>NC_000018.10:30911206-35911206 GCF_000001405.40 Homo sapiens | reverse complement strand
CCCCACCTTCTAATACCATCACATTGGTAAAAATCCTAATGATTTTAAAGTATGAATGTTCAGTTCATTACACTGGTACCTGCGGCAGCAACAGCAGCTGCTACTCATGGAGTGCTCTGTGAATTACACCTCATTCTCCTCATGGTCACCCTGTCAATCCTGCACTGTTACTCCCATTTTACAGATGTAGAAACTTGTTTTCAGAGAAATTATGTAATATTCCCCAGGTGACATAGTTCCTAAACTGGATTAGAAAAAACTGGCTCCAAAACTTAGGGCCTGGTACAGCCCACACACAAGCTTAACCTCTTTTCTGTCCCTTTGGACGTGAAATAGGATTGCATTTGGCTGCAGGTAACAGAACCTGACCATGGCCCAAACGGTGAGGCATTTACTGCCTTATGTCCAGTGCTTAGCACAATGCCTGTTATGTTTGTTAAATGAATACAGAGTAATTTCCTTAAATAATAATTCTGCTAATATTTTGCATCAATATAACATTTTATTGTTAGTGTTCATTCCTGGTAGTTTCTAGAAGTACCAGCATTCTCATTTCAGAGGTAACAGAGAAGACCCTATGCTGTTTTACCTATGAAGATGACTCTGTCCAGAGGCCAGGACAGGTTTTAATGCACCCATTTTGCAGAGGAGAAAACTGAGGCTTAGGAATTTGAATGACTTATCTAAAGCCACAGGGTGAGAACATGGCAGTGTAGAATTCAAAAACTGTTTTTCTGATTTTGAGGTCAGTACCACTTCTCCATTGCTATATGCTTTTCTCCAAATAACATGGTGGAATCTAAGGTGCTTATTATTTCTCTTCTCATTAGCAGTATTTATTTATTTATTTTTTTGCTGAGACTGGTTCTGGCTCTGTCATCTAGGCTGGAGTACAGTGGCGTGATCTCAGCTCACTGCAACCTCTGTCTCCTGGGCTCGAGCGATCCTCCCACCCCAGCCTCCCAAGTAGCTGGAATTACAGGTGTGTACCACCACACCCAGTAAATTTTTGTATTTTTTTGTAGAGACAGGGTTTTGCCATGTTGCCCAGGCTGGTCTCAAACTCCTGGACTCAAAACAATCCACCAGCCTTGGCCTCCTAAAGTGCTGGGATTATAGGCATAAGCCACCGTTACTGGCCTATTTATTTTTTGTTTTTGGAGACAGGGTCTCACCCTATTGCCCAGGCTGAAGTGCAGTGGCATGATCACAGCTCACTACAGCCTCAGCCTCCTGGGCTCAAGCGATCCTCCTGCCTTGGCCTTCCATAGTGCTGGGGTTATAGGTGTGAGCCATCCTCAATAGCATTCTTTGAAAAATGTGTGTAGACATTTTATTAAGGAGGTGTTTTATTGAGCAAAATAAGTGAATGTGGCTTGGTGAGGAGTGGGGATGGTTTGCAGTAGCTCCTGCCCTTCCCTTCCCTTCCCTCCCCTGCCTTCCTCTCCCCTCTCCATGTGTTCTTGGGCCTGCTTTGGAAAGCATCTGTGAGGCCACGTGCTGAAGGCAAGGAGAGAAAACGTATTAGGTTCTCTAATATGATAATAATATAAAATAAATTTATGGTGCCCCAGAGGGAAAGAATTACAAATGGATGAAAGGTGACTATTTGATGTACAAGCCTTTTTTTTAGGGTGTAAAAATAAATAGAGGAAAATAGAGTGCAAAAAGAACCTGCGGCAAATGGGCCCGCTTCTATGGCGCTTCAGCTACAGCCCACCACCCCGCATAATGATGGCCATTTTTCAAATAGCTCTGCAGTCTCACACTTTTTGGCCAGTCTTAGGAGGTTTCTAGAGCTCCTAGTCAATGAAGAGCACCTTTGTCCTGGTCTCTCTTGCCCCACTCCTGCAGACCTCATCCTCGCCATCTCCCTCAGGGCACGTCTCCTGTCCTTGGGCCAGGCAGCAGGCTTGGAGAGAGGACCACAGCTCCTTTCTTCATTGCTCCCTCAGCCAAGTCTGTTATACTAGGACAGTCTAGGTTCATGCTTGGGGTACGCTGGGGACAGCCCCATAAGGGGCCGAGGAGCCTGTCTCCCAGGGAAGTCAGGCCTTTGCTGGCATGCACACAATCAGGGCCCTCTGGGTGCTTTGGTTCTGGCACAGCCCTTCTTCTCAAACTACCAGACAGGTCGTAGTAAGCTCTTTCCCTCCTGGAGACACCCAAGGGCCTGCACCCTGGATGTGTAGCCCAGGGTGGGAGTTCTGCCCACGGCCTTCTGGCTGCAGGCCTCAGTCTGTCCTGAGTCTGCCCAGAAGCCCCTACTACCCTGCCTGGGTGGATGCTGTCAGGCCACTCTATGTGGGCTCATTTCTTCCCTGAGATCCAGCTGCACTTCACCAAGGCCACTGGCCATTCAATTAGTAAATTCTCCCCTGGTTTCCCCAAATCCTTCCCCATCCCAGGCTTCTGAAGCTTAGATCCTCGTACAGCCCACACCCTTAACCTCTCTTCTGTCCCTTTCGATGTGAAATAGGATAGCATTTGGCTGCAGGTGACAGAATCCAACCGTGGCCCAAATGGGTGAGGCATTCACTACCTTATGTCCAGTGCTTAGCGCAATGCCTGTTATGTTTGTTAAATGAATACAAGAGTGAGTAATTTCCTTAAATAATAATTCTGAGGCTGGGCGCAGTGGCTCACGCCTGTAATCTCAGCACTTTGGGAGGCAGAGGTGGGTGGATCAGTTGTGGTCAGGAGTTTGAGACCAGCCTGGCCAACATGGTGAAACCCTGTCTGTACTAAAAATACAAAAATTAGCCAGGCATGGTGGTATGTGCCTGTAATCCCAGCTACTCGGGAGGCTGAGGCAGGAGAATCTCTTGAACTCAGGAAGTGGAGGTTGCAGTGAGCCAAGATTGTGCCACTGCACGCCAGCCTGGGTGGCAGAGTGAGACTCTGTCTCAAAAGAAATAAAAAATAAGGAAAAAAAAAATTCGAGAACTTATTCATGAGAAGACCCCTGGCCCTCCACCTGCTACAGACTTAATAACCACAGCGTTCTTTCCCCTCTGCCCCAGCCTACTGCACCCCGCTGCCTGCTGATCTCTTTGTTCCCCTGTCCCGCAGGTGGGCTTCATGAGCTTGAAGCTTTCCTCTAAGCTTTTCTTTCTGGTTCCCATTCTGTTCACTCTGACCTCTTGTTGGCACAAACAAGTCAGATAGCCCCATCTCAGGATGGGCATAGAGGAAGTGATTTGGTTCCCCTCAGGACCATGTTGGGTAGGGTTGAGGTAGAAGATCCCGGGCAGTAAGGGGGGACAGGAGGCTTGTTTTGTCTTCATCTTCCTGCAACACCACCTACTCTCCACTATTTGGGCCTTGGACCTGCACCTCCGTTGTTCCAGCTGAGCTGCCCGTATGGGCCTGGCTTCTGACTTGGGAAAGAAGGCCTGGCCTGCAACACCTGGGAGGATGTGCTGTGAGGCAGGTGCAGGGGGCTCCCACAGGCTGAGGCTCTGTTACCGCCTGGCCTGCATTTTGGTTCCTGGGGAATCTGAGAATCAGCCAGCTGTCTAAGCATCATGCAAGTAAGCAAGTCATGCAGGCAGCCACTCTGGGTCAGCTTCTGGGATTTACTCATCATGACTTGCTCCCTGCTGCGAGGCCAGAGCCAGAGCTCAGGTCTCCCTGTCCTTGCATCAGCACGGGCTTTCTCCCCACTGTCCTAGCTGCCTCTGTGTTCTTTAGTTTCTGAAAATACAGTTCCAGGGTGCCTGCTGCACATGCTTGTAGTCAGAAGTTGCAGATGAGTACTGGGATACCTTCACTTTCTTCAGACAGAACCCAATAATGCAACTCCACTTCTGCTGCCTTTCAAAGGCAAGGTAAGCATGTGCAGAATTCAGTTTCTTCAGAGTTTTGTCAGCAGGAGCCAGCCCCCCAAACTTGGGCACTTGGATAGCATCAGGTGTCTGGACTTGTGAAGCAGGGGGCTGGGTTCTGGGGACTGGGTAGCTTCTCCCAATAGCCAGTAGCGGGCCACTGCCTGGTGGCTCTGTGACAGGCTCTCATTTTTCAGAGGCCGTGTGTTGGGCCCTGAGACAATGATGTGTTAAAAAGTGTACGAGTCCACAGCAAAAGAAACTACCAACAGAGTGAACAGGCAACCTACAGAATGGGAGAAAATTTTTGCAATCTACTCATCTGACAAAGGGCTAATATCCAGAATCTACAAAGAACTCAAACAAATTTACACGAAAAAAACAAACAACCCCATCACAAAGTGGGCAAAGGACATGAACAGACACTTCTCAAAATTAGACATTTATGCAGCCAAAAGACACATGAAAAAATGCTCATCATCACTGGCCATCAGAGAAATGCAAATCAAAACCACAGTGAGATACCATCTCACACCAGTTAGAATGGGGATCATTAAAAAGTCAGGAAACAACAGGTGCTGGAGAGGATGTGGAGAAATAGGAACACTTTGACACTGTTGGTGGGACTGTAAACTAGTTCAACCATTGTGGAAGTCAGTGTGGCGATTCCTCAGGGATCTAGAACTAGAAATACCGTTTGACCCAGCCATCCCATTACTGGGTATATACCCAAAGGATTATAAATCATGCTGCTATAAAGACACATGCACACGTATGTTTATTGCAGCACTATTCACAATAGCAAAGACTTGGAACCAACCCAAATGTCCAACAATGATAGACTGGATTAAGAAAATGTGGCATGTATACACCATGGAATACTATGCAGCCATAAAAAAGGATGAGTTCATCTCCTTTGTAGGGACATGGATGAAGCTGGAAACCATCATTCTCAGCAAACTATCACAAGGACGAAAAACCAAACACCACATGTTCTCACTCATAGGTGGGAATTGAACAATGAGAACACTTGGACACAGGAAGGGGAACATCACACACTGGGGCCTGTTGTGGGATGGGGGGAGGAGGGGAGGGATAGCTTTAGGAGATATACCTAATGTAAATGACGAGTTAATGGGTGCAGCACACCAACATGGCGCATGTATACATATGTAACAAACCTGCACATTGTGCACATGTACCCTAAAACTTAAAGTATAATAAAAAAAACCACACACAAAAAAAGTGTATGAGTCCTCTGTTGCTTCTCAGGGCCTGATGCAGTCTTAGATCATGAGTGCCCAGCCTGAGAAAGGAGTTTGGAGGGGAAAATAACTTATTTGGAGAACATGTGCCTGTATAGGTCTGCACAGACTCAGATATAGTGGGGAGTACCCTGGTCAGCTGGGAAGAGCCCCTCAGTCTTTTAGACAATTTAGGAAGAGAAGGGATTTCCCTCCCTCTAAATTGTTCAATTTTAAGTTCCTGTACAAAATGTGGGCATGATATTGTTATCCCTCTTCCTTCTACTTTTATCTTCTTTTGTTGGTAGAAAACGATGTGACACCTAATTTCTACACTTCTGTTTAATGTCCCATCTGGGCTCAAAGTCTACAGCCTTCCCAAAAGATTCGTTGAACAAAACTGATGGGTCCACTTTACTGAAGCTAGAAATAAGGAGAGCAACACCGCCGCTTACTCCTCATTCCCACAGCCCAGGAATTCTGTGGAGCTCAGCCAAGGATTGCGCGCCTCGGGGAGGAATCTCAACAAGTCACCTTTGGAGGGACTGAAGTTGGGACGCTTTTTGGGTTCTGGGCCTACCGCGTTTTATTTTGTAAAAAAAACCAGAAATGACTCATCCAAAATAATCTGCAAAAAAATGATATGTAGGAGTTTTTGAATAAAAAGAAACCATAAATAAGTAATAAATCCTTCAGAGGCCTATAGGAAATGGATAGCAGTAATGTTGTGTTTACTGCCTTACTCCCAAAGTGCAGATATTTATTATAACTCAGGGCAATTCATTGTACTAGCTTGGCGTTTACAAAATTCTCATCATAGTATTAGAGTAGGAACCCATTTCCTAGGAAGTATTGTTATGATAAACTGTAATTAGTGGCTTGTAAACAGCCATAATTCATTGTTTAAAGGAAAAGGTATGTGGACAGTGAAGTATTTGCGTGCAAAGCCCCTCACCTCTCTGAGCATTTCCATCAGGCTCGCTGCTCACCTGGAGCACAGGTCATCTATGCTGCCCCGGGCAGGACTCCTCGCCCATCACAGCCAAGACTCCTCAGGTCAAGGCCTCTGCTGAGCCCCAGTCCCAGGACCCTCTACTGATGCTGACCTCTGTTCTTTTACAGCTTCCTCATCGGGATGCACAGCAAGTCGGATTCCCCAAGCAGAAGCTGGGCAGCCCACCTGGAAGAGGAGGCCAGGCAGGTGCTGCAGGTCGGGCTCACCATGACACAGTGTGAGACCTCGGGCTACAACACAGGACCCGGGCGCTGCTCTGACCCCTCGTGTCTTGTGTTGCAGCCGGAGGGACGCAGGTCCGCAGCAGAGCCTGCTCCGCTTGTCCTGAGGGACTCGACACAGGGGACTGCACAGAGACCATGGGAAAGTCCAGGCTCTGGTGGGCAGGTGGGTGGGGTGTTGGGAGAGAGGCCGACCCGGACCACCCCAGGTGTCACCCATTCAGCCCCCTTTTTTGTCCTAGTTTCGTCTCTCCGTACACAGCTTGGCTCACCTCTGGCCCAGTGCAGGTAGCTGGTGCTGGCTGCAGGGTGACACAGCCTACTTTGGGTCTGGGCTTTGAGGATGCCTTCTGCTCCTCACCTCCGGTCCCCAGACCAGGTGACTGAGACTCCACAATGGGGGTAGGAGGGTAGCAAGGAAGGCAGTTTCTCCCCAAACATCTCTCCCATTGATGAGAAGCCCACCACTGGACCGCCTCCAGATCGGAAAAGCATTGCATTTTTAGGAGTTGTCTATTAAAATGTGAATATTTTCTGCAAGGTGGGAGATTAAACCACTGTAGGCATTAGCTGGTTTCATTGAAGACATTACTGCCAACATGACAGAGACTCCAGAAGGAAATGAAATCAGATCATGAACTCCCAATAGGGAAGAAGCCCCAGAAGAGGACCCTAAAACTGGAGGTGAGAGGTGTGAAAAGCAAGGTTCCTTCACCTGTGCAGGCTGTCACAGCACTGGGGTGGGAGCTTGGATGCAGGGTCCGCTGAGTGACTCTGCCTTCACAGCTGAGGACTATGGCTCGAATTTCCCCAAAGAGCCTGCTCTTGGGGCAGCACCCTTCAATCAGATTCAGATGAGCCCCTGGCCCCCAGGACTACCTGCATGTTACTTTCCACACCAACCCTGTGTCCTAGATAGAAAGGATCCATTTATTCCCTTGCTTTTCACCAGCCTCATGGTGTTCACAGTGCCTCCTCTTTTACAAGAAATGAGCTAGTTTTAAAATGTAATTGGTGCAGTGTTTTTCCTTCTCTTGAATGATCTGGAGGGAACTAGCATAAAATGACATTTTATGGTCATTTTAGGCTGCACTTAAGTGAAAACTGAGGGGAAAGCCGGGAAGTTGAGCGGATCGAGATGCAGGGAAGGCTCTGGGTCATGTGTCACCATCATGGCCTGAACAACCCAGCAGGATCCACTACAGAACAGATCAGGTTAAGGCAGACATGCTGTCTTCTGTGTGGGAAACCTGGAAACTGTCTTTTTTTTTCTTATTATACTTTAAGGTTCAGGGTACATGTGCACAATGTGCAGGTTTGTTACATATGTATACATGCGCCATGTTGGTGTGCTGCACCCATTAACTCTTCATTTAACATTAGGTATATCTCCTAATGCTATCCCTCCCCCTCCCCCAACCCCACAACAGGCCCCAGTGTGTGATGTTCCCCTCCCTGTGTCCATGTGTTCTCATTGTTCAATTCCCAACTATGAGTGAGAGCATGCGGTGTTTGGTTTTTTGTCCTTGTGATAATTTGCTGAGAATGATGGTTTCCAGCTTCATCCATGTCCCTACAAAGGAGATGAACTCATCCTTTTTTATGGCTGCATAGTATTCCATGGTGTATACATGCCACATTTTCTTAATCCAGTCTATCATTGTTGGACATTTGGGTTGGTTCCAAGTCTTTGCTATTGTCAATAGTGTCACAATAAACATACGTGTGCATGTGTCTTTATAGCAGCATGATTTATAATCCTTTGGGTATATACCCAGTAATGGGATGGCTGGGTAAAATGGTATTTCTAGGTCTAGACCCCTGAGGAATCCCCACACTGACTTCCACAATGGTTAAGCTCGTTTACAGTCCCACCAATAGTGTAAAAGTGTTCCTATTTCTCCACATCCTCTCCAGCACCTGTTGTTTCCTGACTTTTTAATGATCCCCATTCTAACTGGCGTGAGGTGGTATCTCATTGTGGTTTTGATTTGCATTTCTCTGATGGCCAGTGATGATGAGCATTTTTTCATGTGTCTTTTGGCTGCACAAATGTCTTCTTTTGAGAAGTGTCTGTTCATGTCCTTTGCCCACTTTTTGATGGGGTTGTTTGTTTTTTTCTTGTAAATTTGTTTGAGTTCTTTGTAGATTCTGGATATTAGCCCTTTGTCAGATGAGTAGATTGCAAAAATTTTCTCCCATTCTGTAGGTTGCCTGTTCACTCTGATGGTAGTTTCTTTTGCTGTGCAGAAGCTCTTTACTTTAATTAGATCCCATTTGTCAATTATGGCTTTTGTTGCCATTGCTTTTGATGTTTTAGACATGAAGTCCTTGCCCATGCCTATGTCCTGAATGGTATTGCCTAGGTTTTTTTCTAGGGTTTTTATGGTTTTAGGTCTAACATTTAAGTCTTTAATCCATCTTGAATTGATTTTTGTGTAAGGTGTAAGGAAGGGATCCAGTTTCAGCTTTCTACATATGGCTAGCCAGTTTTCCCAGCACCATTGGTTAAATAGGGAATCCTTTCCCCGTTTCTTGTTTTTGTCAGGTTTGTCAAAGATCAGATAGTTGTAGATATGTGGCATTATTTCTGAGGGCTCTGTTCTGTTCCATTGGTCTATATCTCTGTTTTGATACCAGTACCATGCTGTTTTGGTTACTGTAGACTTGTAGTATAGTTTGAAGTCAGGTAGCGTGATGCCTCCAGCTTTGTTCTTTTGGCTTAGGATTGACTTGGCAATGCGGGCTCTTTTTTGGTTCCATATGAACTTTAAAGTAGTTTTTTCCAATTCTGTGAAGAAAGTCATTGGTAGCTTGATAGGGATGGCATTGAATCTCTAAATTACTTTGGGCAGTATGGCCATTTTCACGATATTGCTTCTTCCTATCCATGAGCATGGAATGTTCTTCCATTTCTTTGTATCCTCTTTTATTTCATTGAGCAGTGGTTTGTAGTTCTCCTTGAAGAGGTCCTTCACGTCCCCTGTAAGTTGGATTCCTAGGTATTTTATTCTCTTTGAAGCAATTGTGAATGGGAGTTCACTCATGATTTGGCTCTCTGTTTGTCTGTTATTGGTGTATAAGAATGCTTGTGATTTTTGCACATTGATTTTGTATCCTGAGACTTTGCTGAAGTTGCCTGTCAGCTTAAGGAGATTTTAGGCTGAGATGATGGGGTTTTCTAGATATACAATCATGTCATCTGCAAAAAGGGACAATTTGACTTCCTCTTTTCCTAATTGAATACCCTTTATTTCCTTCTCCTGCCTGATTGCCCCAGCCAGAACTTCCAACACTATGTTGAATAGGAGTGGTGAGAGAGGGCATCCCTGTCTTGTGCCAGTTTTCAAAGGGAATGCCTCCAGTTTTTGTCCATTCAGTATGATATTGGCTGTGGGTTTGTCATAAATAGCTCTTATTATTTTGAGATACGTCCCATCAATACCTAACTTACTAAGAGTTTTTAGCATGAAGGTTGTTGAATTTTGTCAAAGGCCTTTTCTGAATCTATTGAGATAATCATGTGGTTTTTGTCTTTGGTTCCGTTTATATGCTGGATTACGTTTATTGATTTGTATATGTCAAACCAGCCTTGCATCCCAGGGATGAAGCCCACTTGATCATAGTGGATAAGCTTTTTGATGTGCTGCTTGATTCGGTTTGCCAGTATTTTGTTGAGGATTTTTGCGTTGATGTTCATCAGGGATATTGGTCCAAAATTCTCTTTTTTTGTTGTGTCTCTGCCAGGCTTTGGTGTCAGGATAATGCTGGCCTCATAAAATGAGTTAGGGAGGATTCCCTCTTTTTCTATTGATTGGAATAGTTTCAGAAGGAATGTTACCAGCTCCTCCTTGTACCTCTGGCAGAATTCGGCTGTGAATCCATCTGGTCCTGGACTTTTTTTGGTTGGTAAGCTATTAATTATTGCCTCAATTTCAGAGCCTGTTATTGATCTATTCACAGATTCAACTTCTTCCTGGTTTAGTCTTGGTAGGGTGTATGTGTTGAGGAATTTATCCATTTCTTCTAGATTTTCTAGTTTATTTGTGTAGAGGTGTTTATAGTATTCTCTGATGGTAGTTTGTATTTCTGTGAGATCGGTGATGATATCCCCTTTATCATTTTTTATTGTGTCTGTTTGATTCTTCTCTCTTTTCTTCTTTGTTAGTCTTGCTAGTGGTCTATCAATTTTGTTGATCTTTTCAAAAAACCAGCTCCTGGATTCTTTGGTTTTTTGAAGGGTTTTTTTGTGTCTCTATTTCCTTCAGTTCTGCTCTGATCTTAGTTAATTCTTGCCTTCTGCTAGCTTTTGAATGTGTTTGCTCTTGTTTCTCTGGTTCTTTTAATTGTGATGTTAGGGTGTCAATTTTAGATCTTTCCTGCTTTCTCTTGTGGGCATTTAGTGCTATAAATTTCCCTCTACACACTGCTTTGAATGTGTCCCAGAGATTCTGGTATGTTGTGTCCTTGTTCTTGTTGGTTTCAAAGAACATCTTTATTTCTGCCTTCATTTCGGTATGTACCCAGTAGTCATTCAGGAGCAGGTTGTTCAGTTTCCATGTAGTTGAGCAGTTTTGAGTGAGTTCCTTAATCCTGAGTTCTAGTTTGATTACACTGTGGTCTGAGAGACAGTTTGTTATAATTTCTATTCTTTTACATTTGCTGAGGAGTGCTTTACTTCCAACTATGTGGTCAGTTTTGGAATACGTGTGGTGTGATGCTGAAAAGAATGTATATTCTGTTGATTTGGGGTGGAGAGTTCTGTAGATATCTATTAGGTCTGCTTGGTGCAGAGCTGAGTTCAATTCTTGGATATCCTTGTTAACTTTCTGTCTCGTTGACCTGTCTAATGTTGACAGTGGGGTGTTAAAGCCTCCCATTATTATTGTGTGGGAGTCTAAGTCTTTTTGTAGGTCTCTAAGGACTTGCTTTGTGAATCTGGGTGCTCCTGTATTGGGTGCATATATATTTAGGATAGTTAGCTCTTCTTGTTGAATTGATCCCTTTACCATTATGTAATGGCCTTCTTTGTCTCTTTTGATCTTTGTTGGTTTAAAGTCTGTTTTATCAGAGACTAGGATTGCAACCCCTGCCTTTTTTTGTTTTCCATTTGCTTGGTAGCTCTTCCTCCATCCCTTTATTTTGAGCCTATGTGTGTCTCTGCATGTGAGATGGGTTTCCTGAATACAGCACACTGATGGGTCTTGACTCTTTATCCAATTTGCCAGTCTGTGTCTTTTAATTGGAGCATTTAGCCCATTTACATTTAAGGTTAATATTGTTATGTGTGAATTTGATCCTGTCATTATGATGTTAGCTGGTTATTTTGCTCGTTAGTTGATGCAATTTCTTCCTAGCCTCAATGGTCTTTACAATTTGGCATGTTTTTGCAGTGGCTGGTACAGTTGCTCCTTTCCATGTTTAGTGCTTCCTTCAGGAGCTCTTTTAGGACAGGCCTGATGGTGACAAAATCTCTCAACATTTACATTGTCTGTAAAGTATTTTATTTTATTTCTCCTTCACTTATGAAGCTTAGTTTGGCTGGATATGAAATTCTGGGTTGAAAATTCTTTTCTTTAAGAACGTTGAATATTGGCCCCCATTCTCTTCTGGCTTGTAGAGTTTCTGCCAAGAGATCAGCTGTTAGTCTGATGGGCTTCCCTTTGTGGCGTAACCCGACCGTTCTCTCTGGCTGCCCTTAACATTTTTTCCTTCATTTCAACTTTGGTGAATCTGACAATTATGTGTCTTGGAGTTGCTCTTCTTGAGGAGTATCTTTGTGGCGTTCTCTGTATTTCCTGAATTTGAATGTTGGCCTGCCTTGCTAGGTTGGGGAAGTTCTCCTGGATTAATATCCTGCAGAGTATTTTCCAACTTGGTTCATTCTCCCCGTCACTTTCAGGTACACCAATCAGATGTAGATTTGGTCTTTTCACTTATTCCCATATTTCTTGGAGGCTTTGTTCATTTCTTTTTATTCTTTTTTCTCTAAACTTCTCTTCTCACTTCATTTCATTAATTTGATCTTCCATCACTGATACCCTTTCTTCCAGTTGATCAAATTGGCTACTGAGGCTTGTGCATTTGTTGCATAGTTCTTGTGCCGTGGTTTTCAGCTCCATGAGGTCCTTTAAGGACTTCTCTGCATTGGTTATTCTAGTTAGCCGTTCATCTAATTTTTTTTCAAGGTTTTTAACTTCTTTGCCATGGGTTTGAACTTCCTCCTTTAGTTTGGAGTAGTTTGATCGTCTGAAGCCTTCTTCTCTCAATTCATCAAAGTCATTCTCTGTCCAGCTTTGTTCTGTTGCTGGTGAGGAGCTGCATTCCTTTGGAGGAGGAGGGGTGCTCTGATTTTTAGAGTTCCCGGTTTTTCTGCTCTGTTTTTTCCCCATCTTTGTGGTTTTGTCTACCTTTGATCTTTGATGATGGTGACGTACAGATGGGGTTTTGGTGTAGATGTCCTTTCTGTTTGTTAGTTTTCCTTATAACAGTCAGGACCTTCAGCTGCAGTCTGTTGGAGTTTGCTGAAGATGCACTCCAGACCCTGTTTGCCTGGGTATCAGCAGCGGAGGCTGCAGAACAGCGGATATTGGTGAATAGCAAATGTTGCTGCCTGATCGTTCCTCTGGAAGTTTTGTCTCAGAGGAGTACCCGGCCATGTGAGGTGTCAGTCTGCCCCTACTGGGGGGTGCCTCCCAGTTAGTCTACTCGGGGATCAGGGACCCACTTGAGGAGGCAGTCCTATCCGTTCTCAGATCTCCAACTGCGTGCTGGGAGAACCACTACTCTCATCAAAGCTGTCAGACAGGGACATTTAAGTCTGCAGAGTTTTCTGCTGCCTTTTGTTTGGCTATGCCCTGCCCCCAGAGGTGGAGTCTACAGAGGCAGGCAGGCTTCCTTGAACTGTGGTGGACTCCACCCAGTTCAAGCTTCCTGGCTGCTTTGTTTACCTACTCAAGCCTTGGCAATGGCGGGCGCCCCTCCCCAGCTTCGCTGCCACCTTGCAGCTTGATCTCAGACTGCTGTGCTAGCAATGAGTGAGGTTCCGTGGGCGTAGGACCCTCCTAGCCAAGCACGATATATAATCTCCTGGTGTGCCGTTTGCTAAGACAGTTGGAAAAGCGCAGTATTAGGGTGGGAGTGACCCGATTTTCCAGGTGCCATCTGTCACCCCTTTCTTTGACTAGGAAAGGGAATTCCCTGATCCCTTGCACTTCCCGGGTGAGGCGATGCCTCGCCCTGCTTCGGCTCACGCTCAGTGCGCTGCACCCACTGTCCTGCACCCACTGTCTGACACTCTCCTGTGAGATGAACCCGGTACCTCAGTTGGAAATGCAGAAATCACCCATCTTCTGCATTGCTCATGCTGGGAGCTGTAGACTGGAGCTGTTCCTATTTGGCCATCTTGGCTCCCTCCCCTGGGAACTGTCTTTGTGGTGTCTGTCTTCGTAAAGACTGGCAGGAGCCAAACCAGACTGGGACAAGTGCAGAGCTGGAACTCAGACAAAACTTGAGAAAGTAAATGAGTGTGAACTAGATATGAATCACTATGGAGGTAAGCCATGTTGTAGGATTTTTATTATTAGGTTTTCATAGAAAAGTTACTACTTGCTCTTCCTAAAGCCAGTAGATTGTGCTGAGTAAGAGGAGCCTCAAGACAGGGACCCTCACACTGGTCCAGGGCAGGTGGGTGAGGAGTGGTTACTCCCAGGAGCTGCTCACCATGAGGAGTTGGAACTGAGCTGGGTAAGGAGGGGCATCTGTGTGGCACGGGGCATTGTCAGGAAAATTGGTTACATAGAGTAATCAAATAACTAAATATATTCAGGAAAATAGAACCAGTATGTCACTGACAAAGGAGGGAGTTTTATAATATGGAAAGGGAAGACACCAGAATAAACTGTGGTGTTGGAGTAAGGTTGGAGGTATTAGTGTAAGCATATTGTTTTTAATAGAGATAGGTATAGAAAACACACACACACACCATTCCCTACCTCTGTGCACTGAGAAGGGCCTGGTAACTGTGACATCCCAATAAATCTGAACACATTGTGCCAGATCTTGGTTTCTAAATGTCATTTTTCACTGAAAGGGCCCAGAACTTTTTGGAGAAATGGCTGATTCCAGGGCTGGGGCAGGAGAGATGCAAAAGGAACCTGGAACATCTTATAAAAGGAAGTAAGAAATCTCTTTAGAAAATGATGAAGTTTTGTCTAAGGGACAAGAAATTAGATGAAGAGCCCCTCACTGGCCATATCTGGGATTATTTAATCATCAAAATACATATGGCCACCTGTAATCCCAGCACTTTGGGAGGCCAAGGTGGGCGGATCACCTGAGGTCAGGAGTTCAAGACCAGCCTGGCCAATATGGTGAATCCCTGTCTCTACCCAAAATACAAAAATTAGCAAGCTGTGGTGGCAGGTGCCTGTAATCCCAGCTACTCATGAGGCTGAGGCAGGAGAATCGCTTGAACCTGGGAGGCAGAGGTTGCAGTGAGCAGAGATCACACCACTGCATTCCAGCCTGGGCAACAGAGTGAAACTCCATCTTAAAAAACAAAAACATCTTAAAAAACAAAAAATCCCATATTGCTAGCAGCATATTATAACTGCTATAAGATAAAGTAGGAAACCATGAACCCATGCTGACATTTAAAAAGCAATAAATCAAAAGTTTGATGAGCAACAGGGTATTTATGTAATCTCAAAGTACATCCCCACTAATTACAAAGGCAAGAAAGTGACCTTACTGCAGAAAAGTCTGACAGTTGTGTCCCATTCATTTGTTCTCTCTTTAATTTGGTCATTTTGAGAATGTTATATAAATGGAATCATACAGTACATAATATTTTTAAGTTAGGCTTTTTCCACTTGAAATAATGTCTCTGAGACCAATGCAATATGCATCATGTATCAATTGCTTGCTCCTTTTTATTGCTGAATATTATTCCATTGTAGGGATGTACCACAGTTTATCCATGTACTCATTTAGGACATTTGGGCTGTTGGTATATTTTGGCTACTATGAATAAAGCTTCTATGAACACTCATGTACAAGTTTTAGTTTCTTTGGGATAAATGTCCAGGAGTGCAAGTTCTGGGTCAAATGTAAGTGTATGTTAATTTTATAAGTAATTGCCAAACTATTTTCTAGAGTGATTGTCCCATTTTACATTTCCACCATTATGTATGAGAGATCCAGTTTATCTACATTCTCACCAGCATTTACTATTATTATTTTTTATTTTAGTCATTCTAATAGATTTGTGATGATATGTCATTATGGTTTTCTCTTATTCTATTTTCTGTTGGTATAACAGAATACCATAGACTGGGTAATTTTCAATGGACGGAAGCTGGGCATGGTGGCTTATGGCGGTAATCCCAGCACTTTGGGAGGTCAAAGTGGGAGAATTGCTTGAGATGAGGAGTTCAGGACAAGCCTGGGCCACCTAGTGAGACACCTACCTCTAATTTTTTTTTACACTTTAAAATATGTATAATAAACATAATTTGTTTAGTTCACAATTCTGGATGTTGGAAAGTTCAAGAGCACAGTGCCAGTGTCTGACGAGGGCCTTCTTGCTGCATCATAACATGGTGGAAAGCATGGCAAGAAAGCAAGAGAGTGCATGTCACTCAAGCCTCCCTTTCTCATCTTATAAAGCCACCAGTCCCATCATGGAGAACCTATCCTGATGACTTTATAGAATCCTTATTACTGCCCAAATGCCCCACATCCAATCAATGTATTAAATTGGGGATTAAGTTTCCAACAACACATGAAATCTGGAAGACAAATGCAAACCATAGTGTGTTTTCATTTGCATTTCTCTAATGGTTAATGTTTTTGAACAACTTTTCTATGTTCATTTTATATCCTCTTTTGTCAAATGTCTGTTAATGTCTTTTGCCTATTTTCTAATTGGATTGCTTGCTTTTTTACTGTTGAGTTTGTGCGTTCTTTATATACTGTCAATATAATTCCTTTGTCAGATATGTAGTTTGCACGTATTTTCTCCCAGTCTGTGGCTTGTTTTTTTCATCCTCTTATGGTCCTTCACAAAGCAAAAGCATTTTAATATATCAATTTGTTCTTTTATGGAGCATGTTTTTGGCACTGGGTTTAATGTCTAATGATGTTGAACTTAGCCCTTGGTTTCAAATATTTTCTCGTGTGTTTTCTTCTAAAAGTCTTATAGTTGTACATTTTACATTTAAGTCTCTGGTTCATTTTGAATTTTTTTTTTTTTTTTTTTTTTTTTTGAGACAGGGTCTCACTCTGTCGCCTAGGCTGGAATGCATGGCACAAACACAGCTCACTGCAGGCTTGATCTCCCAGGCTGAAGTGATCCTCCTGAGTATCTGGGACTACAGGTGTGCACCACCACACCAGCTAATTTAAAAATTTTTATTTTATAGAGTCGAGGTCTCCATATGTTTCCAGGGCTGGACTCCAATTCCTGGGCTCAAGTAATCCTCCTGCCTCAGCCTCCCAAAGTGCTGAGATTACAGGCATGAGCCACCGTGCCCAGCCTAAATTTTTCTTTTCTTTTCTTTTCTTTTTTGAGACAGGGTCTCAGTCTGTCACCCACGCTGGAGTCCAGTGGTGTGATCTCAGCTCACTGCAACCTCTGCCTCCTGGGTTCAAGCAATTCTTGTGCCTCAGCCTCCTGAGTAGCTGGGATTACAGGTGCCTGCCATCACACCTGGCTCATTTTTTTGTATTTTTAGTAGAGACAGGGTTTCACCATGTTGGCCAGACTGATCTTGAACTCCTGACCTCAAATAATCCACCGACTTGGCCTCCCAAAGTGCTGGGATTACAGGTGTGAGCCACTGTGCCCGGCCTCAGCCTAATTTTTTTAATAAAAGATTTAAGGTGCTTGTAATCCCAGTGCTTTGAAAGGATGAGGCAGGATGATCTCTTGAGGCCAGGAATTGGAAACCAGCCTTGGCAACAGAGCAAGACACCATCCCTACAAAAAAATTTAAAAAGTAAAAATTAGCTAGATATTCTGGCACATGCCTATGGCCCTACCTACTTGGGAGGTGAGACAGGAGGATCAGTCAAGTCCAGGAGTTTGAGGTTACAGTTAGCTATGACAATGCCACTGTACTCCAGCCTCGGTAACAGAGTGAGACCCTGTCTCATAAAAAAAATGGTGTCAGGTTTATTGTTTTTGTTTTGTTTTTGCCAATTGGTCCAGCACCATTTATTGACTAGACTATCCTTTCTCCATTGAATTGTTTTTGTACCTTTGTCAAAGTTGTTTGGACCTATTTGTTTTGTTTTTTTTTCTGGGTTCTGTGTTTTGTCTCATTGATCTATATGTTTATTCCTCCACCAATACCACACTTTCTTGATTACTGTAGCTATATAGTAAGTCTAAAAATTGGGTAGAGTAATTTATCTTACTTTATTATTCTTTTTCAAAGCTTTTCTTGCCATTCTAGGTCATTTGCCTTTCCATATAGATTTTAGAATAAGCTTGTTTTCAAATTTAAAAAGATAAATATTTAAAATAATCCTATGTTTATCCACATCATCACCATTTCCATGACGGTTTACTTCTTCCTGCAGATCTGGGCCTTTATCTAAGATCATTTTCCTTTAGCATCTTTTTGCAGTGTGGGTCTCTTGGTAATAAATTCTCCTTATTTTTATTTGTCTGAAAAATGTTTGTAGTTTGTCTTCATTTTGAAGGATATTTTTACTGGGTCTAGAATTCTAAGTAGACTAGTATTTGCTTTTAGTGCTTAAGAAATGACATTCTACTGTCTTCTGGTTTCCATCATTTTTTATGAGAAGTCAGTTGTATTAGTCAGAGTTTTCCAAAGAGACAGAACCAATAGGAGATAGAGAGATAGATATGTAGATAGATACAGATATATGAGAGAGGATTTATTATGGATTATGTGATTTTGTGAACCTGTGAAGTCCTATGATAGACCGTCTACAAGCTGGAGACCTAAGGAAGCCAGTAAAGTGGCTCAGTCCTACCTAGTCTGAATGCCTCAGATCCAGGAAAGCTAACAGTGTAACACTCCATCTGAGGCCAGAGGTCTAAGGGGGCTGCTGGTACAAGTCCCAGAGTCCAAAGGCTGGAAAACCTGGAGTTCTGATGTCCAAGGGCAGGAGAAGAAGGGTGCCCCAGCTCCAGAGGAGAGAGCGAGAGTGGTGGGGGGAGGGAGAAATTCACCTTTCCTCTGCCTTTTTATTCTATGGCCCTTCAGCCAATTGGATGTTGCCCATACACCTTGAGTAGATCTTCTTTATTCAGTCCACTGATTCAAATGCCAGTCTCTTCTAGAAACAGCTTCAGAGACATGCCCAGAAATAACACTTTACCAGCCATCTGGATATCCCTTAATCCAGTCAGATTGACATCTAAAATTAACCACCACATCAATTATTATTGACATAGTTCTCCTGAGTGCAACATGTCCCTTTTCCCCCTTCAGCTACTTTTAAGATTTTTCTCTTTATCTTTGTTTTCTGAAGTTTGACTATGATGTGTACAGTGTGGTTTCCTTTGCTTCTTCTGCTTGGGGTACACTTAGCTTCTTGGATCTGTAGATTGATGTATTTCATCAATTTTGGAACAATTTTATTCATTGTTTCCAAAAATATTTCCCCCAATTCTGTGTTCTCCTTCTGGGACTCCATATATGCATGAGCCACCATGCTTGGCCAGATGTTTTTGCTTATTGTTATTTTCTCTATGTGACTTATTTTGGATGGTTTTTACTGATCTATCTTTGATTTTACTGTTCATTTCTTCTGTGTTCAGTTTTCAGTTAAGCCCTCTAATGAATTCTTTGTTTTAGATATTGAATTTTCAATTCTATAAAGAACCATTTGGTTCTTTTTAAGAGTTCTTCTTTCTCTTTTGGAATTTTTCATCTTCTGTTCACTCATTTTACATATTTTCCTCTAACTCCTTTAACATATTTATACTAACTTTTTTTGTTTGTTTTGGTATTTTTTTTCCAAATTCTTGTCTGGTGATTCTGATATCTGAGTCATTAATGGGTATGCTTAATTTGCTTTTTAGCTCTTTTTTATGGATCACGTTTTGTAATGGATCACATTTTCTAGCAAGTTTTTCTGAAAGCTAGACATCGTGAATGATACATTGTAGAGATCCTGGGCTATGTTGTTTTTATCTAAAATTGTTAAGTTTTATTCTGGCAGGCAGTTAAACTACTAGTGGAAGATTGTTAACTTTTATCCTGGTAGACAGTTAAACTACTGGTGGATTTTTTTTCTTTTATCATGTAACTTACTGGTTTTAGGCCAGGCCAGGTTGTTTTGTTTTGTTTTTTAAATAGCTAACTAACTTTTGGGAAGTGGAGTATAATAAATCTCAATGGAAACTCATGGGATAAATCTTTAAGACCAATGGAGAATGCATATTTTAGGACCTAATAACCCATGATATGGACATATTGAAAAATGATGGCTACCCTGGTTTCCATAAATTTACTGGATTCAGATTCTAGCCCAGTTCCAATCATTTTAAAGATCAGGATTCTTCTGCGTAGAAGTCTGAAAACATTACCTGTTTTAACACATCTTATTAATCACTTCAAGTGATTGTCACCAAAGCTTTTAATATTTAATATTTATTACAGTCCCTGTATTACAAATAATTAGATGAGCTTGCAAAGAGGCTACCTACAAGAGTGTTTATTGGAACATTGTTAGTAATGCCAAAAAAGAGATAAAGAACCCGTATGACTATCAGTAGATGACTGGTTAAATAAATGCACCAAAATCTATACAATGGAAAGGTATACAAATAATATTTCTATATTTAAGGGCATAAAAATGTGTTCATTATATATTAACCAAGAAAAGGTTACTAAACAGAGTATGTAGTATGATCTATTTTCCATAAACAAAAGTGTTCGAGTGTATATAATATATACACATACATATATATATTTTTAAGGAAAATATTATCTTTAGAAGTAGGATAATAGGTGATGCTTATTTTTTATGCTTGCACTGAGGGTTCCCAAGAGCATCTTCAGGTTCTATGACTCACTGGTAGGACTCAGAAAAGCTGTTATACTAACAGTTACAGTTTATTACAGCAAAAGAACGCAGATTAAAATCAGCAAAGGGAAAAGGCACAGAGGATGGAGTCTAAGAAAAACTAGGGAATGCTTCTAGTTTTCCTTACCCAGTGAAGTCACACAGATAGTGCTTAATTTTCCCAGCAACAATGTGACATGTGCAAAGCGTAGCCCACCGGGGAAACTCACTTGAGTCTTGGTATTCAGGAGAACAGTCACATAAGCATACAGCACCTGCATGCCTGACCTCAGCCACTCAGAACTCAGCATTCCAGAGGTCAAACTGATACAGTGTGGCCGAAAGTCTCAGGCACACAAAAACAGTTGTTTACCATAAATAACATTATGAGCACACACTATCTAGTGTGGCCCAGGGCCTCAGGCTTCAGGCAGGATACACCACAAGCTCAGAGGTTATCAATCAAGAGTTGGGTCAAGGGCCAGTCCTGAAGATTGAGAATGTTCAGGGTTTGAGCAGCCCAAACCTGCTGAGTTAACTCTTTACTGCACAATGCTTTTCTTGTTTTTAGCATTTGCCATAACCACATATTGCTTTATCTCATTACAGACAGTAATAAAACTATGAATTGCATCCACAAAAAATGAAATGCATCAGAAACTTTTGTGTGCTGCCATTTTCATATCGTTAGGTACCACCGAATTAGATCTCTATATAACAACATTCTCAGCTGCTAGAAGTGACATCTTAATCACTATAAGTGAAACATCATTATGAAGCAACTTTCTTGCCAGGAATTTTCAGAACTCTGTAGTCTTATGAATTCACACCAGAGAAGGACAGGAGCCAAATCCCTTCCTTCCTTTGGAAGAAGGAAATCTCAGTCCATGGTACAAAATGATCTGAAAGTCAGAAGCAGCTAGGAAGGTGACTGAATGATGTATTTGTCACCCCAGCCACTTGAGACTCAAGTAATTTAAAACCATTTAGTTCTGGTGACTGCATTGTGAATTAAGCATTGAGGATTTCAGAAGTCTGGCCTGCTTAGAGACTATCATGCTCCGCTGTTTATTTGTAGGCAATTCCCATTATGGACTCAGAGATCAGCCATAAGCAAAAATACTTTACTCTCTCACCCACTTCACTGTTTGTCATGTTGCCTATCCCTAGCTGGTAAAGAATAAAAGTAAGAACTGCTTCCTATATTCAGTCTTGTGCCAAATGCTTAGATTATACTCAATCTTCACAATTGTGTAAGCTACATGTTATCATCCCCATTGTATAGATAAGGAAACTGAGGATCAGTACAAAACTCAGTAGTGTGACTATGGAACAAGAGGACTCTTCATTTTGATACTTGATGAAGGAGTGCCCGGTAGAGCTTCACATTTCCAAATTCTCACAACCCAGCATTTGAAAATATCTGTGATGTCCAAAAGTCGTACACTTCAACCTCATGGAAAAGGCACAAATGCGTTAACATTTCAGGGTAAATTTTTCCCCCTCAATTAGAAAAAAGGGCAGATATAACATAAATAAAATTCTTGAAAAAAAGAGAGAAAATAACTAGGAAATATTTAGCCCAAAGTTGACAATGCCTCCACAACATTTTGAATTTACATCTGATTGTGAGTTAAGTTTTAATGGGTGACAAATTCTGAACAAGTAGATTGAAACTAAATAAACAGTTACTCCATCCTGCTCCTCAGCAGTTATTTATAACAAGAACTCTGCTTCCTGGGAAGCATTGTTATAATAAATTATGATTAGTGGTTTGAAGCACAGCTACTTTTTTTCTTTGAAAAAAAATTGTGTAGCAGAGTAAAGAGCTTTGTTGAAGCTGTACTGTTTGAGTTAGAAAAGAGCTACCGTAGAAAATTGGTTATTCTTTTGGCAGCTGAGAAAAACTATCTGTCAGTCAAGACTGCAAGTCAAGATCCCCAAATATTATTCAAACAGGAGAGAATGAAACTTGTAAAAATGTTCAGGTGTGGAGAGGCCCTTGGAGCCTTGGAAAATGTTCTGCATTGCTTAATGCCAAATGCTAATTGATGAATCTCTGCTGATTGCTGTTGGTTTTAAAACTGCGTTCAGATTAGGCTTTCTCTGCCTTGGAAAATGTGGTAATTAAAAAGTGCTTTAATATAACATCCAGGAGCAGCATGGATGGTTCCATGAGCACATCCAAACTAATGACAGATGTGGGGGTGTTGAATGTGCTCAAGGTGGGTAAACAGCTCAATGCACCGATTTTTAAACAAAGCCTCTGAGCTTAGCCCTGCGATAGTGTGACAGCAGAGAGTCTCCTCCACTGCATTACTCTCTGCCTCCCAACCCTGCCTGGGGCGTCTCTTTTCTCCCTTTCCACTGCCTTTCTTTATTTGTTTTGTTTGTCTGTCTGTTTCTTTGTTTGAGACCGGGTCTTGTTCTGTCACACAGGTTGGAGTGCAGTGGTGTGATCACAGCTCATTGCAGCCTCGACCTCCCAGGCTCAGTGATCCTCCTGCCTTAGCCTCCCAAGTAGTTGGGACCACAGGTGCATGACACCATGCTTGGCTAATTTTTGTAGAGACAGGGTTTCACTGTGTTGCCCAGGCTGGTCTCAAACTCCTGAGCTAAAGCGATCCGCGTGCCTCAGCCTCCCAAAGTGCTGGGATTACTGGTGTGAGCCACTGTGCCCAACCTCCATTGCCTTTCTTTCTCTTTTCTCTTGAAGCTTCTTTCCTTAGCTGTTGACCCCTGGGCTCTAGTTATGGTGACTGAAACTTTCTGCTATCCCTGCAAAGAGCTTTACCTGATCCAGCCATTTCTAGAACTGCTGGGAAAAGGGGTAAACGAGAGGGAGGTAGTGGCTGGATATTTTCTGTTTGCTCTACCCTCTGTCCCTTCTGTGCCCTCAAAGGCTGACTTCTAGGGTCTGTAGCCACCAGGGGTTCTTGTCCTCTGGCTTTTTATTAGAGCAGCCATGGAGGCACCAGCAGCAGATCAGAGGATGGCACAAAAGGGGAGCAGATATTTATTCTCCACCCAAGGCCTGGCCACACAGCTCTCATCAGCAGACCCTGTCCTGAGACCACAGCTATCACTGGGTTCTTCCAATAACAGCTCCTGCCTGCCCCTTTCCCCTGTGGGCTTAGGGGTTTAACGATATTCCTCGGTGCTTCCATGCTTTTCAGTCTCCCTAACTCTCCCATCCCCTCTGAAAATAGTCCCTTCTTTAAACTCTCTTCTGTTGCCCCTTTGAGCAGCCATCTCTTGGCTGCTGAGACCCTGAATGATACCTGCAGCACCTTAAGTCCTTTCTGCAGAAGTGGCTCAGGTGAGCATCATATACCATGAGTGTGTAGGAGAGGCACCTGTCACCTGTGCAGTGAGGTAGCTGTCATCTTTCCTGCCATGCTCCGGTTCCAGTGAACATCTCATCCAGGAGTGTTCTGAGGTTCCAGGTTAAATATATAGTGGGGCCATGATCTTGGAAAGGTCAAAAGGGAACAAACAGTCTCACTCCAGTCCTGTTTCCTTCTTTCTTTGGTAAATTTCTGACTGTAAGTGATGCTCACTGAACCTTGGTTTTCTTGCTTCCTTTTCAATCCTTCTGTCTGTGCCACTTACTAGCATCACAACTGCTCTATTGAAATTGCTTTTTAAAAGTCATGAAGTTGCAGATCACAGAATCCAAGTAAAGCCATCTCCTTAAAGCTGGTCTTTACTCCCACTGTGCTTTGGATAACTTGTATACTGAATCCCTGATTCCTGACCTATGATTTATGGGGTGTGTGTGTGTGTGTGTGTGTGTGTGTTGTGTGAGTGAAGATCTAAATAAGTTCATGTATTGTCTAGAGGACCTTGATCTTTCTACTCAATCTCTACTTACTTTGGAGCACGATAATGCCTCATCACAGTTCCTTACATACGCAGAACCTTATTAAATGTTTGCTGAGCTGTGTAGTAGGCAGAATAATGGTTCCCCAAAGATGTCCACATTCTAATCCCAGGACCCTGTGAACATATCACATGGCAAAGAGGAGTTAAGGCCAGAGTTGGACTTAAGATCACCAACTAGCCAAGTTTAAGATAGGAAGAGCATCATGGATTATCCAGGTTCCTTAAAAGTGGAGAAGTGAGGCAGAAGAGGTCAGAGTGATATGATGTGGGAAGAACTCAACCTGCTATTGAAGGTGGAGGAAGGGAGCACAAGCAGGTGGCCTCTAGAAGCTGCAAAAGGCAAGGAGCAGATTCTCTACAAGAGTCTCCAGTAAAGAACACAGCCCTGCTCACACCTTGATTTTAAGGTGTCAAAGTGAGGACTGTATTGGACTTACAACTTGCAGAACGCTAAGATAATACATTTGTATTGTTTTAAGCCACTAACCTTGTGATAGTTTGCTACAGTGGCAACAGAAAAGTAGTACAAGCTCCATGCAGATCTGTACACAGGACAGAACAGCCTTAGAACAAGAACCAAAATGAGTCAGTGATGGGCTAGAGTTAGGTGGGCTATAACCTGTGCAGCAATGGGACTCAGCTTACCCTAGCATTATGGCCAAACAAGCAGATGCTAGACAGGCTGGGGATTCTTAGACTCTCATGGGGCATGAGCTCAAACCACTAACCCAATTTTTTAAAGAATTTTTAAAATTTCTTTTTTTTAGAGATGGAGGGGGCAGGCACAGTGGCTTACACCTGTGACCCCAGCACTTTGGGAGGCTGAGGCGGGTGAGTCACTTGAGGTCAGGAATTCAAGACCAGCCTGGCCAACAGGGTGAAACCCCATCTCTACTAACAATACAAAAAATTAGCTCGGCATGGTGGCACGTGCCTGTAGTCCCAGCTACTCGGGTGGAAGCTGAGACAGGATAATCGCTTGAACCCGGGAGGAGGAGGTTGCAGTGAACCAAGATTGTGCCACTGCACTCTAGCCTGGGCAACAGAACAAGACCCCATCTCAAAAAAAAAGAAAAGAAAAGGAAAAAGAAAAAAAAAGCCTCGCTCTGTCGCCCAGGCAGGAGTGCAGGGGTGTGATCACAGTTCACTGCAACCTTGAACTCCTAGGCCCAAGTGATCCTCCTGCCTCAGCCTTTAGAATAGCTGGGAGTGCAGGTGTGCATCACCACACCAGGACCATTTTAAAAAAAATTTTGTGTTCTTTGTGGAGATGGAGTCTCACTTTGTTTCCCAGGCTTGTCTTGACCTCCTGGTTTCAAGTAATCCTCCCCGCTCAGCTTCCCAAAGTGCTAGGATTACAGGCATGAGCCACTGTGCTCAGCCCCCAACCCACTTTATGCTTCATCTTGAGGGAACATCACAGTGGGTAAAATATGGTTTATGTTTACACATGGGGCGAGGGTGAGCGAATGGAGTGGAGATGCTGTACTGGAAGGGCCATTTCTTTCTTTTTTTCTTTTTTCTTTTCTTTTTTTTTTTTTTTTTGAAACAGAGTCTCACTCTGTCATCCAGGCTGGAGTGCAGTGGCACGATCTCAGCTCACTGCAACCTCTGCCTCCCAGGTTCAAGCGATTCTCCTGCTTCAGCCTCATGAGCAGCTGGGATTACAGGCATGCACTACCATGCCTGGCCAACTTTCGTATTTTAGTAGAGACAGAGTTTCACCATGTTGGCCAGGCTGGTCTCAAACTCCTGACCTCAAATGATCCGTAGAAGGGCCATTTCTTTCTTTCTTTTTTTTTTTTTTTTTTTTGAGACGGCGTCTCGCTCTGTCACCCAGGCTGGAGTGCAATGGCATGATCTTGGCTCACTGCAATCTCCACCTCCCGGGTTCAAGCGATTCTCCCGCCTCAGCCTCCCAAGTAGCTGGGACTACAGGCGCCCGCCACCATGCCCAGCTAATTTTTATATTTTTAATAGAGACGAGGTTTCGCCATGTTGGCCAGGATGGTCTCGATCTCTTGACATCGTGATCCGCCCGCCTTGGCCTCCCAAAGTGCTGGGATTACAGGCATGAGCCACCGCGCCCGGCCAGAAGGGCCATTTCTTAAAATGACTACTACACCCACAGTATCTGTGAGGACACCTGCTTCACTGGCCCGTATGGTGCATCACTCTCCCACACATGCTGCCCTCCTCCTCGCTGTGGCTGTCTGGGCAGGATGGGCACATGGCTTAAGGCAGTCAGTCTGAATTGCCAGAGGAAAGGGGCTGGACTGTGCAAACTCTCTCTCCCAATAATCTAAACTAAGAAATACCAAGGAGATAGGGCAGAGAGCAACAGGGGAAACTAAGGCCATGCCAACTAAAGCAGGGTGCAAGCCAATGAGGGGGCGAAATCATGAGGGAGCAGGGGGAGCTAGTTAGTACCAAATGGAGCAAAGAGGAGAGCCACAGACCAGTGGCCCATGAGGGAGGTCCAGGAGAACCACCGTCCCTCGAGTTGCCTCAGGACCAGACAACTCCCACCTGGAATTCTCGTGATGCCCTACTGTGTTGCAGTTTTTGCTCTTGAGCTCCCATTTGATTGCTGTTTCCTTATGTGCCAGTCATCCCCTGAGGGTAGCAGACCCTTTAACAGAACAATACTGTATGGGTCTCTGATTTTCACAATAAAGACAAGCCTAATTAAAATATGTTTGGGGCCCCAAACTAGACAATACACCTTATTTGGGATCTGGAGAGACCAGTTAGAGGTATTAAAAGTCTGAAGACAGCATGGAGGAGGTGGAAGATAAAGGAATAGGGAAGAGGTTCCCTGGCTTCTCCCCCTTTTACACTCTAGTCCATGGTTTCCCAAATGAGACCTGGCGTTCCTCTGCTCTTCTCCCTTACATGCAGCAGTTCCACAAAGCCTAGCGTGTAAAAGATGAGGTGCAGGGTCATGATGTAGGGTGATAGCTCTGGAGTCAGCCTGCCTGGGTCTGATTTCCAAGTCTTTACATTATTAGAAGCGAAATCTTGAGCAACTAACTCAACCTCTAGTCTAACTTTAGTTTTCTCATTTGTAAATGGGCAAAATAATAGTATCTGATGTTTTATGAGTGCCAAATGCACCTGTTCATGTAAATGGCTTAGCACCATTGTTGGCATGTGAGTGATCCATGCAGTGGATTGAATTATGTCCCCAAAAAAGGTCCAAGCTGTAACCCCTGGTGCCTGTGAATATGACTTTCTTTGGAAATAGGGACCTTGCAAATGAAATGAAATTAATGATCTCGAGATCATACTGGATTTATGATGAGCCCTAAATCTAGTAACCGGTGTCTTTAAAAGGGAAACCAGAGAGAGATTTGAGACACAGACACAGAAACATGGGAAAGAAGGCCATGGGAAGAAGGAGGCAGGGATGGGAGTGCTGGGCCTACAAGCCAGGGTACTCCAGGAGCTGCTAGAAGCTGAAAGGTGAGGAAGTATTCTCCCCCAGAGTCTTTGAGGGAGCTTGGCTCCTCCCTGGCACCTTAATTTTGGACTTGTTGGATTTTGGCCTCCAGAGCTCTGAGAGAATAAATTTCTATTGTTTTAAGCCACCCAGTTAGTGGTAATTTGTTATAACAGCCCTAGAAAACTAATGCAGTCAGTTTGTGTTCTTTTGTTATTCTGAAAGGAAGCTGGCTGGGTGTGGTGGCTCATGCCTGTAATCCCAGCACTTTGGGAGGCCAAGGCAGGTGGATCACTTGAGGTCAGGGTTTTGAGACCAGCCTGGCCAACATGGTGAAACCCCATCTCTATGAAGAATACAAAAATTAGCCAGGTGTGGTGGCACGCGCCTGTAATCCCAGCTACTCAGGTGGCTGAAGTACGAAAATTACTTGAACTCAGGAGGCGGAGGCTTCAGCGAGCTGAGATTGTGCTACTGCACTCCAGCCTGGGTGACAGCCTGGGTGACAGTGCGAGACTCTGTCTAAAAAAAAAAAGAAAGAAGCCATGTCCATGCTGACTGAGGAAGAATAAGGGCAATGTCCAGGTGCAGCTGGGGAAGGTGAGGAAGGTTTGTATTTTGTATTTTGTTCTATTGGTTATATTTGTATTCATGTATTTCTTAATATCTGTGTTTTCCTATCTTTTAATTTAATTTTTAGCAACTGGCTCATCTGTGTTTAACATTATCCTTTGATAACATGTAATAAAACTAGAAATTACAAAATCAGAAAAAAATTAAAAAATTATTTCTGGCTTATTCCTGATTTTTATTCCACATAGAAATAAAAAACATTTTATTAAAAGTTACAGAGTTTTTAAAATAATGATAATGACAGCACTACATTTCAGAATGTATAGAATATACTTTAAAAAGTGAACAGAGGAAATTCATAGCTTTAAAAACTGATACTAATAAAAGCAAAAGGATGAAAATAAATGAATTAAAATCCTAATTCAAAAATCTAGAAAGAGAACAGGAAAGAAAGCCAAAAGAAAGTCAAAAATCTAGAAAGAGAACAGGAAAGAAAGCCAAAAGAAAGAACAATTTTCTCTAACAGTTCAAGCCATAATAATAATAAAAAAAGAAAGCACAAAGAAGTAATGAAGATAAAAGTAACAAAATGAATTATAATATAATTAATAATTAAAAGTCTGTTTCCTTGAAAAAAGTTAACAAAATAGATGAACAATAGCTAAGAAGGAAAAAAATGCAAATATACAAAATAAGGACTGACAAGGGGAAAATAATCATTGAAAAAAACTTTTAGAAAAATCAGGCCAGGCGTGGTGGCTCATGCCTGTAATCCCAGCACTTTGGGAGGCCGAGGCGGGCAGATTACGAGGTCAGGAGATCAAGACCATCCTGGCTAATACGGTGAAACCCCATCTCTACTAAAAATACAAAAAAAAAAAAAAAAAAAAATTAGCCAGGCATGGTGGCACGCGCCTGTAGTCCCAGTTGCTCGGGAGGCTGAGGCAGGAGAATGGCGTGAACCCGGGAGGTGGAGCTTGCAGTGAGCCGAGATCGTGCCACTGCACTCCAGCCTGGGTGACAAAGCAAGACTCAGTCTCAAAAAAAAAAAAAATCATAAGAAACTTTAAACTTCTATGCAGATAAATTTGAATGTATAATTTTCTAGGAAAATACAATTTACCAAAATTATTCTAATTAGAAGAAACACAAAAAGTCATCAAGAAACTATCTCACAAAAGAGCTCTAGCCCCAGATAGTTTCATGAGGAATTCTACTAAATATTCAAAACCAGATGATCCCAATGTTACATAAATCATTCTAGAGCAATGAAAATAAAGGAGAACTTCCAAATCATTCTTATGAAGAAAGATTTACATTGACACCTGTTTTGTAGACTCTACAACAAAGCAGAATATTAAGGCTGGGTGCAGTGGCTCATGCCTGTAACCCCAGCATGTTGGGAGGCCGAGGCAGGCGGATCACTTGAACCCAGGAGTTCAAGACCAGCCTGGCCAACATGGTGAAACCCCGTATCTACAAAAAATACAAATATTAGCCAGGCATGCTTGTCCATGCCTGTAAAATCCCAGCTACTCCAGAGGCTGAGACAGGAGAATCACTTGAACCTAGGAGGCAGAGGTTGCAGTGAGCTATCATGCTACTGCACTCCAGCCTGGGTGACAGAGCAAAACTCTGTCTCAAAAAAAAAAAAAAGTAAAACGTTGAAACTGGCCTCATTGTCTGAGGGGTCACCCAAAGCTTTTGGCCTCACAGCCAAGGAAATCAAGGATGTGGACACTCCAAAGGTGAGGTTAGAGCAGATGTTTAATAAGTGAAAGGAAGAAAGCTCTCTCGAACAGAGGTGGGGTCCCAGAAAGATAGGTTGCTGTTTTACAGTGAAATGAAAAGAGTTTTTACAGACAAGCTGGTGGGGAGGGGTGCATTCATTTACATAAGGCATGAATTTGTGAGTCCCCACCCCACCCTTTCTAGTGCACATGTGGGTTTCTTAGCCTGAGTTACTCCATGTTGCTTATCTCTTCCCAGTGCGCATGTGTAAAAAAGAGAGACATGCGCATGAGACAAGTTGTCCCTCTGTCGCCAGGCTCGAGTGCAGTGGCGCAATCTCGGCTCACTGCAACCTCTGCCTCCCAGGTTCAAGCAATTCTCCTGCCTCAGCCTCCTGAGTAGCTGGGATTACAGGCATGCGCCACCATGCCTAGCTAATTTTTGTATTTTTAGTAGAGACGGGGTTTCACCATGTGGCCAGGATGGTCTTAATCTCCTGACCTCGTGATCCGCCCACATTGGCCTCCCAACAGGGTGCCTCTTCTTACTGGTGCTGCTCCAGGCATTCCTCCTGTGCAAGCCTCCTTGTCTGAGCATTTCCAAGAAGGGAGAGGACTGTACTTACTGGGGTCCTCTGTATGTCTGTATGCAACACAGGAGGCCTCTTTCTGTGTTAGAGCCTACCTTCCTTATTTGTGTTTGCAGCCTGATCTCTCAGGCTGCTCTTTGCTGAAAGAGAAATGACCTCTTGGGCTGCTTTTTGTTAGAAGAGAAGATGCTTTTTGTTAGAAGGGAATTCTACCGAGGACCCTTGCCCTATCTGCCTGGTTGATTTCTCTCTCTCTCCTCTCACATTACCCCCTCAGGAGTGGAGACCCTAACTGCTGTTAGGGGGTTTGATTGATGACTTGTCTAGCTACTTCTTGCTGGAGGGGATCTTTGAGTGGGGAAACAGCAGCTAGGGTTCCTCCTGAGGTCGATCTAAGGTCCTCAGAACCATGGTGTGTTCATGTGTGTCTCCATTTGTAGTACCATTTGGAGTTTGATAGCTTCTGGGCAAGAAGAGATGAATCTAGTTAGGAGATTTAACAAACATGGTCCAAAGATTAAAGCTAGAATAATCATTAATAGCAGGCCTGCCAAAGGGAGGAGCCATGATCCCAAATTCAGCCATTTAGACCAAAAGCCCATGACTCAGACAGTCATTGTCATATCTTAGAGGCCCAAATGGCTAATTTTCAGGTGGCATACCTTACTATCCCTATTGGTTGACATAGAAACAGCACCTCTTCCTTTAGAAAGAAACATAGGCCACCCTTTTCAGCAGCTGAGAGGTCTAGTCACCTCCTATTTTGTAGAGCCAGGGAGTCTATTTGATTTTGTATAGTATCCATGGTTCAGGCCATCTCCTTTAAACTTTCTGTAAAATCTTTGGACAAGTCTTCATAGTGGGAAAGAGAGGTTGCGAGTCCTACAACCCCTGTCCCTACACTTGTGGTGATTCCCAACCCTACCAAAAGAGGTATGTACTGGATAGCTCATTTATGCTCAACTGTTGTAGTTAAAGGTATAATAAGGGATTGGTTGTTGGGGGCTATATTAATTTCTGGAGCCAGGTAAAGAAGTTACAGGTTCTAGTCCAATTGGCTGGTAAAATAAGTAGGAGTTGGTTCCACACAGGAAGAAGACTCCCTGTTTTTTTGAGGCAGAAATTATTTTCTATGGAGAACATACAGGTTCGTTTGCCATTCCCACTTCCCCAGGTGGTTAGGGTTCCTGCCAAGGTGGCCCCAGTTAAAGGTTGGAAAGGACCCTGGGAAATATCCTGTTTTACCCCAACATTTTTGTTTCCCCAGCGTAGGCAGTTGCATTTGATATCCATCAGCAGCCAGTCAGGAGCTTTTTCATACTGGGGTACTAACAGGCACTTAGACTCCTCAGGGGTAGTACAATCTTCCCACAGGAAAATATGAACACAACTAGTGGGTCTATTTACACAATACCCAGATTGCACATCTTTCAAAGTCCCCTTATTTATGGATGGCTTCCCTGAGAAGCATACAGGTCTAAATGGTGCAGTTTGGGTAACCATGTGGTTTATATGATCATGTGAGGGGTTAATCTCTAGAGTGTAGTTGCACTGATTTTTTTTAGGGTTCTCAGGTCCTGAACAAAATTTTGGCTTCCCCTAATGCAAAGTGGTGCTTGGAATTTTAGTTCTGTGTTTGTTGATATTGAGCCCCAAATGGGTTTTTGGGGGGATGCAACCCCAGAAAGGTTGCCCTGATAGGACTGGAGAAGGTTTACAGCTTGACCTGTTGGTGTGATCCTTGTCATCTCATTAATTTGGAATTTCATTAACCTGAAGGGGACTCCCTCTTATATTTTGGTTGGTAGGTCATCTTATTAAGGGCCCACTATCGGGCTGGGACTGGGATGGCAACGTATTGAGATAAGGATGACAGGCAAAGCCAGCAGTTCATTTTCAAAGTTGGGTTGGTGGTGTTTAACAACTTCTGTGCTAAATTTAAAGTTTTTGAAAGGTACCTTGAGTTTGTTAATTGTTGGAGGGGTGCAGTAAAACCTGGTAGCACGATGAAGCCAATCCTAATATATATAGGTTGTGGGTGGTCATTTTGAGAAAGAGAAAGACCCACTATAAGGAAAACAATCAAACAACATACTACAGCAATTGCAGCTCTTTGTCCAAAATTCCACTCAGAGGGTACCCAGTGTATAGTCCTATTGCAAATAGAAGGGTAAGTATAGGAAATCCACAAATATAGTGTAGTAAATAATTTCCATCTAAAATTTTGCTCACCAAGATGTAGAATTTCCCTTTGGGGATCTATGGAGTAATTTCAAGAAGAAAGGTAGAAATGATTGAAAATATCTGATAAGGTAGGGGTGGAACTGAGTAGGACGAGTAGCCCTCGCTCCTTTACTTATCTTTGGTGATTTTCAATTTAAGATCCCCTATTTCTTTGCAGTGATATTCAGAGTGCTCTTCTGAATTGTCTGAGGCTTCTCCCTCAGCCTTCCAGGCTTTGACTTGAGTGTGATGGTGTGATGAATCCAAGAGTCAATTCCTGCAACTTTTACGGCCGAGGGGGTGGAGAGAAGAATAGTGTAAGGTCCTTGTCAACTAGGGTCTAGAGAAAGGGAAAGAAGGGAGAACCTTGACCAGTATTCAGCCTCCCAGATTAAATAAAGATGGTCCTGTTTCCTGCAGTTGGGCTTCTGTTAGCTGTATTAACTCCTGTTGGAAGTGAGCCAAGGATGTTACATGTTTGACTAATTCAGAGCTTTTCTGATCTAATAAGAAATCGTGTGTAAGAAAAGGTCATCCATACAACATTTCAAAAGGGCTTAAACTTAACTTTGAAGGGGTATTTCTTATCCATAGTAAGGCCATGGGAAGGAGAGTCATCCAGGGGAGGTGAGTCTCTTGAGACTACTTTCTGAGGTGTCTTTTGATAATGTCATTTTTTTTCTACCTTTCCTGAGAACTGGGGTCTCTAGGCACAATGGAAATGGTATTTTATGTCTAGTGCCTTTGAGACCCCCTGAGTGACAGCTGCTTTAAATGAAAGGCCATTGTTGCTTTGGGGGTATTTAGGGAGTCCAAAGCAGGGAATTATTTCATTGATTAATACTCTTACTACCTCAGAGGCCCTTTCTGTTCGACATGGAAATGCTTCCACCCAGTTAGTGAAGGTATCCACCTACACCAGGAGATATTGAGTGCCCCTTGATTTTGGCATATGGGTGAAATCTATTTGCAAGTCCTCCCCTGGATAACTTCCCATTCTTTGAGCTCAAGGGGGAGGAAGCCATCTGTTGAGGGAGTTGTTTTTAAGACAGACTTCACAAGCATTAACAACCTGCTTGACTTGTTTTTAGCAGGTTCTCCCCTGAGAATAATCTTTGGACAGATTGATAAACTTTATTGTTCCCTAGGTGAAAAGTTTGGTGAAGGTTTTTAAGTACCTTCCACTGGTTGGAGGCTGGCAAGTGGAGCTTGCTGTTCTCTGACCGCAACTATCCTGTGGGCTGAAAAGTGTATCCCTGAGAGGTGGACCATTGTATTTCTGCAGAGGAATATTGAGGCTTTATTTCCCTGATGGAGCCTTCTCAGATTAGAGGGGCTTCAAGAGTGTTGGCATCCTCAGCCTTTCTTGCTGCTGACCCTGCTGCCTGGTCAACTAACTTGTTTCCCTCAGCTATTTCATCTGTTCCTGTCTGGTGTCCTTTACAATACATTACTGCTACTTCTCATGGAAGGAAATCTGAGGATAACAGCCTGTTAATTTCCTAATAGTATTTTATGGGAGACCCATTATCAGTGAGAAAGTATCTCTTCTTCCAAATGGTAGCATGAACATGGAGGATAAGAAAGGCATATTTGGAGTCAATATAAATGTTAGCTGTTTTTCCTTTGCTTAATCCAAGCACTGTATTAGTCTGTTCTCATGCTGCTGATAAAGACGTACCTGAGACTGGGAAATTTACAAAAGAAAGAGGTTTAATGGACTTATAGTTACACATGGCTGGGGAGGCCTCATAATCATGGTGGAAGGCAAAGAGGAGCAAGTCATAGCTTATGTGGATGGCAGCAGGCAAAGAGAGAGAGCTTGTGCAGGGGAACTCTTCTTTATAAAACCATCAGATCTCTTCAGACTTATTCATCATCATTAGAACAGCATGGGAAAGACTTCCCCCCATGATCCAATTACCTCCTGTCGGGTTCCTTCCACAACATGTGGCAATTCAAGATGAGATTTAGATGGGGACACAGCCAAACCATATCAAGCACCCTTTTAAGAGCTATCAGCTCAGCTAATTGAATGCTTTTGCCTGGTGAGAGAGATGCACTTTCAATGATACTATTTAGGGTGACTACTGCATATCCTGCCTTATGGACTCTCTGTTCCACAAAGGAGCTCCCATCTGTAAAGAGGATCCAGTCTAGGTTTTCTAGGAGAGTTCCCCTGAGATCCTCCCTGGCTACATAGATTTGTATCACAACTTGCTCACGGTCATGTTCAAGTTTTCCAGTTTCCTCTGGGAGGAAGCTGGCTGAATTCAGGCAAGAGCAAGTCTTTAGTTGGACTGCAGATCCCTCTAGTAGTAAAGCCTTGTATTTAAGGAGGTGGCTGTTAGCCAAAGACCCCCTTTAGAGAAGAGCAATCCTGTTCCCCACATATTATGTGGGGTATAAACAGTTAAGCTACTCCCCTGGGTTAATTTGGTGGCTTCTGGCACCAGTAAAGCTACCGCTGCAACTGCCTGGAGGCAGGCTGACCATCCTTTAGCCACCAGGTTCAGTTCCTTACTTAGGTAACCCACTGCCTGTTGAGCTGGCCCTTGGGTCTGAGTTAAAACTCCCAGGGCCATTCCCTTTCTTTCTGACACATAAAGACTGAGTGCCTTCTCTATCAGAAAGCTAAGGGCTGATGACTCAAGCAGGGCTTGTTTAAGCTTGTTAAAGGCCTTTTTTGCCTCTGGTTCCCAAATTAGGGAATGAGTCTTGGCTGCCTGGGTTTCCTTTATTAGTTGGTATAAGGGATGAGCCATTTTCCCATACTCAGGTATCCATAGCCTGCAAAATCCTGTAATACCCTAAAATCTTCTTAGTTGCTTGAGGGTTTTAGGGAGGGGGAAGGAGGAAATGGGCTTAGTGCTTTCTTCTCCCAGTGCTCTGGTCCCTTCAGACAATACTAACTCAGGTACTTCACTGAGGTTTGGCAAAGCTGGGCCTTGGAATTTGAAACTTTATATCCCCTATTAGCTAAGAAATTGAGAAGGGCCTCACTGCCCTCCTGAGAAGCTTTCTCAGTTGGGGCACAGAGAAGAATGTCATCTACATACTGTAGGACTTTAGCTTGAGAATGAGATAACTCAGAAAGGTCTTTAGACAGTGCTTGTCCAAACAAGTGAGGACTGTCCCAAAACCCTTGCAGCAACACCATCCAGGTTAACTGGGCAGTCTGGCCAGAGGGATCTTTGAAGGCAAGTAGATACTCTGAGTTAGGGTGTAGTGGTATACAGAAAAAGGCATCCTTTATGTCTAGCACTGTGAAACATTTAGGTTCCTCAGGTATTTGGGTTAGCAAAGTATAGAGATTAGGGACTACTGGATGAATTGGGACTATGGCCTCATTAATGAGGCAGAGGTCCTGAACTAGTCTCCCTCCCCATTGGATTTCTGCAACCCTAATATTGGGGTGTTGCAGGGGCTGTTGCAGGGTTTGAGGAGGCCCTGCTTCTTCAGATTATTCACAATGACCTCTAACCCTTTTCTAGCCTCTGGCTTTAGGGGATATTGTCTTTGGTTAGGAAAAGAAGTGGGATCCTTAAGACGGATCTGGACCTGTATAGTGGTTATAGCCTGGCTGATTTTCCCCTGGCTTGCCCACACCCCTGGGCTAATATTGGTTTCCACCACGAGAAGACAAAGAGTTTGTCTTAGGGTCGTAAGGATACTGGCTCCCATGAAAGCTAAAATATCTCTACCTAGTAAGGGAGTGGGACTTCCAGGCATGATTAAAAAGTCATGTGTAAATAGTAGGTTCCCCTAGCTACAACTAAAGGATTGAGAAAAATATTGGGTTAGAACCTTTCCTGAGATGCCCTTTATGGTCATGCTATGGGAAGAGGGGAGGCCTGGACTGGAGAGAACAGATAGACTGGCTCCAGCATCCAGAAGGAGGTCCACCCTCCTTCCTTCCATTTCTAGAATCACCTGGGACTCCTGGGCAGTAATGGCAGTTTGGGCCACTGGAGCCGGGAAATTGAGCCCCAGGACCTGTCAGGCTTGCCAGACCATTTGTGAGACCAGTTCTTGACCCAGTGACCTATGTCTCTGAGGGCAGTCTGACCTCCAGTAGTCCCCACTGGACAGGGTCGAGGTGGCTTATTCTTTCTGCCTAGACAGCCCTTCTTAAAGTTCCCTGATTTGGCACACCGATAGCAATTAGTGGGTGCACCTCATGGATCCTGGACTTTACAGGCCTGTAAAGTGGCTATCAGAGCCTCTGTCCTTCTCCTGTGCTTCCTCTCTTTATTCCTGGGCCTCCTCCTGATACCTATCGTAAAAGACCAAGGTGGCCACCCTCAGGAGGTTCTCCAGAGTACTATCTGGTCCTATAGCCTGTTTCTGTAATTTTCTTCTAATATCAGGTGCTGCCTGAGTAATAAACTTGTCCTTTAGGATTAGCTGTCCTTCAACTGAGTCAACAGACAGGGAATTCTGTTTTATTAAGGCCTCTCTCAGTCTTTCCGTAAAAGCTGAGGGATTCACATCTGGTCTCTAATCTATCATGGAGAGCTTAGAGTAATTAAAAGGTTTGGCCCTAGTTTTTTTGTAGGCCCTCCAATATGCATATTAAAAAGTGTTTCATTTTCAGTTCATCAGTGGGGGCACTAGGGTCCCAGCCAAGGTTTTCAAGTAGTATTGCCTCTCTCCCTATTGGGAATGGTTGTTCCATAATTTCCTCTCCTTCCTTATTTCCTCTTTTCCTTTTTGGCCTGCTGTAAGAAATATGTTGTGCATCCCCACATTTTTCTACTGTCTGCAGAGCTGCCTGCCTCTCAGCAGCTGTTAGGGTTTGGTTTAAGAGTAACATAACATCTCTCCATGTGAGGTCAAACACTTGGTCTAGATTTTGGAAAGCCTCTATATATCTGTTGGGGTCATCAGAGAATCTACCCAGGTCTACTTTTATTTGTCTAAGGTTCTGCAATGAGAAGGGAACCTGCACCCTTGTGGCACAATGTCCATCAGGCATTTCTTGCAGGGGTTAAAGTGAAGCTGGGGAAGTAGGGAGTTTTGGAAGTGGTGGAACTGGAGGAGCTGATGGCACAGTTGGAGGAGGGGGCCCCAGATAAGGGGGACAAGAGGGACTGAGACACTTAGTAGTTGTTTCAGAGGATTTTCCAGGAATTAGTTTTCTTAGCTTTGGGGAGTTATTCCCCATGGGTCTGCCTGATATGACTGCTAAAAGAACTGGGTCAATTGTGTATCACTTGCAGAGGTCTGAGTTGTCCTGCAGGGCAAAGAAAACCTGTACATAGGGGACCCCAGACCATTTGCCCTCTCGTCCACAGAAAAGATTAATTGTTGGATAGTATTAAAATAAAGACTTCCCTCAGAAAGCCAGGTTCGTCCATCCCCAAGCTGGTAAGAAGGCCACACCCTTGTGCAAAAGAATATGACCACTTTTTCTTCAGTCCCGGGGTCAAAGAGTTCCAGTGATTCAGAATGCACTCAAGAGGAGAGCAGGCTGAAGATGATTTGTTACCCACCTAGAAAGAAGGGGAGGGGAAGGAAAGGCATCCCTTAGTCTTCTCCCCTGTTTTGGAGTGACCCAGGTGGAGAGAAACACAGTGGGGGCATCCCCCCTACTAGTCTCCTTCCCCTGTGCAAGCCTCCTTGTCTTAGCATTTCCAAGAAGGGAGAGGATGTGCTTACTGGACCCACTGTATGTCCATATGTCACACAGGAGGCCCCTTTATGTATTAGAGCTTGCCTTCCTTATCTGTGTTTGCAGCCTGATTTCTCGGGCTTCTCTTTGCTGAAAGAGAAATGACCTCTTGGGCTGCTTTTTGTTAGAAGAGAAGCTGCTTTTTGTTAGAAGGGAACTCTACTGAGGACCCTTGCCCTAACTATCTGACTAGTTGATTTCTTTTTCTTTCCTCTCACAATATCATTTATGAATATCTATGCAAAAATATGAAATAAAATATCAAAAGGAACCTCACACCAAGTTAAGAATATAATACATCATGACAAAGTGGAATTTATTTTAGGAATAAATAACAAAGTTGGTTCGATGTTAGGCAAGGTTGGTTCAATGTTAGGAAATCCATAAATACACACACCAAATTAATAGTTATAATAATGGAAAATCATCTATGTTCTCCATGGATGCTGAAAAAGGTATTTGACAAGATTTCCAGTGAAAATCTGCAAGGAAATAAGAATTAATCAATAATTTCATTAATGGAGAAACACTAGTGGTATTTTCAATACAGTCAGGATTGAGGCAAGAAGGACCACTATCTTCACTACTATTTAATATTTTACTGAATGTATTAGCCAATATAATTAGAAAAGAGAAATAAATTAGAGGCAAAATAGTTAGAAAAAAGGAAGTAAAAGTCTATATTTGGAAAATATGATAATATATCTAGAAGCCTTTGGAATTTCCTCAGAAAGAAACTCAATGATAAAACTAACTCAAATAACTAAATAATTCAGTAAATTAGAAAAGTAGAAAACATATGATAATACTTCATATATATGAACAATAACAAGTTAGATGATATAACAGTAGAAAACTCATTTATAATATCAATAAAGAAGATAAAATACCTAACAAAAATGGAATAAGAAATATGAAACAAACATTCCCCTAAAAGACAAAAAATAAGACTTAAACAAATGGAAGTACACGGCTCATTCTTGGATAGGATGACTCAATGTTTTAAAGATGTCAGTTCCCTTTATGTGAATTCATAAATGTAATTCAATCCCAACAATACCAACAATCTTCAATGGAGCTATACAAGTTGATATTAAAGTTCATATGAGTGTGCAGGAATACTTATGAGAACATGGAAAAAGAACAGTGATAAGGGGACTAGCCCTTTCAGATATGAAAACAAAGTATAAAGCCTCTATTATTAAGACACTCCAAGTACTAGTACATAAATAGACTGGACAGATAGACCAGTGGTGTAGAGAAGAAAACAGACCCAAATACACGTGGAGTTACAGTGTATTATAAAGGTGGCATCTCGAATTATTGGGCAAAAGATAAACATTTTTTTAAAATGATGCTGGGACAACTGGATAGTCAAAAGGATAAAATTAGATTCATATACCTGGTCATTTACAAGAATAAACTACAAAAAGAGCAGAGATATAAAAACAGAAACATGCATTTATTAGAAGAAAATATGGGTGAATTTCTCTATAACCTAGATATAAGGAAGGCTTTTAAACTATCTCTCAAAATATAGGTGCAATAAAAGAAAAGATGCATCAATTTAACTATGTTTTTAAAAATATTTGCATGATGAAAGCAACAAACAAAAGCCCGTAAGCAAAGTTAAACAATGAATGGCAAACTTGCAGAAAATATTTGCAACATATGTCATAGCTAAGGAGTTAATTGAAGGTTAAGTGACGAAAGAACCCAAGAGTAAAATGGATAAAAAATATGAACAGACATTTCACACACAAAAAATGTTCAAGCTCCCTCATAATTTAAAAAATTCAAGTCAAAACTATGCTGAGATACTATTTCTCACATATTAGGTTGGCAAAACATTTTAAATATAAAAACACATTGCTTGTAAAGCTGTGGACAAATAGGCACTGTAAAATATTCCTGGTGTGAATGAAAATGAGTACAACACTCATGGAGGGGAATTTTGTAATATCCAACAAAACTACACATAAGTTTACCCTTGAACTCAGCAGTACCACTTCTAGAAATTTTCTGTGAAGTTATACCTCCAATAATTTGAAAATACATATATAAGACGTTATATATTGCAGCATTGTTTTGATTATAAACTATTGCAAATAACTTATGTATCCATCCATTTCTAGGAGATTGATCAAATAAACTAGGGTACATTCACACAATAGAATAATGTGTAGCAGAGAGAGACAGACAGATAGACAGACAAAATATCTACAAAGAAATGAAAATATGAATGGCATCAGGATTTCCAAGGGTAACTTGCGTGTTAAACTTAATTAAGCCATATTCTGAAGGAAACTTATTTTGGACCTAATTTTATATCCAAGCTAATATTCTTGGTGTGAGAGCAAAACAAAAGACATGGACATGTAAGAAACACCCTTAAACTGTCTCAGAAAGTAATACTGAAGGATTTGCTCTATTAAATCCAAAGGAGATAATAACTACAAGCAAAGGAACCAGAGAAACTTGAGTTAAGTGTAAAATGTAAATAAGTGTTGATGAACAATGTTAATATAAGCTCTGCTATTAACTGTGTAATCTCTGACAGGTAACATAACCATATGCATACCTCCTAGACATTCTGGTATGATTAGAGAAATTAATGCTTATAAATTGTTTAATACAAGTTGTGGAATAAAGTGAGTTGCTTTATAAATGTTAGTTGCTGCAGTAATTATTAACATATCCTTATTACTAGAACTGAAATTCCAGATAATTCTGACATGAGAGGAGGCAAGAGTAATAAGGGAGAAAGGGAATCTTGTTCAGTTTCTTTTCCCTTTCAGGGGAGAAGTTAAAGATACCAAATAACAGAAATATGTGTTTTAATGATTTAAGGAAAACCACTAAAAGAACAAAACAGAGTAAGGAAAATTCAATCAATCTTATAAGACATGAAAGAAAAAACAAATACTAACAAACTGTAATAAATTTGAAGGGTAGGATAAACCCTATACATAATCAAAATAAATATAAATGAGCCATAGTCTGTTAAAATTCAGAGTGGTTACAATAAATAAATTAGCTATGTGTTATATTTGAATCGCTGTAAAATAAAATGAAGCAGAAAAATATATGTCAGGAAAATGTTAACAAAAACAAAAATGCATATTGTAATATTAACATCAGACAAAATAGAATTTAAGGCAAAAAGCATATTGTGTGATAAGGGGTTATTTCATATTAATAAAAGTTATATTCCAAGTCCAGTGCAGCAGGAGGCACCCATAGTTCCAGCTACTTGGGAGGCTGAGGTAGGATCACTTGAGCCCAGGAGTTTGAGACCAGCCTGGGCAACATATCGAGACCCCATCTCTAGAAAGTAAAAATAAAAAATTGTTTTCCAATAAGAAGATGTAATAACCATACATTTTTACATGTCTAAATGTATAGTTTCAAAATATAAAAATAAAAAACAGATAGATCACAAAAACACAAATCAAAACCACAATGAAATACCACTTTGCACCTGGTAGGATGGCTATAATAAAAAGATGATTACAAGTGTTGTTGAGAATATAGAAAAATTAGAGCCTTCACATACTGTTAGATAAGAATGTAAAATTCTGCTTTGGAAAAGTCTGCACTTCCTCAAAAAGCTAAATATAGTGTAAACATGTGATCTAGCAGTTCTACTCTAAGTATATATCCAAGAGAAAAGAAAACATGTGCTTACACTAAAGTGTGTACATGAATGTTTATAGCAATATTATTCCTAACAGCAAAAAAGTGGAAACAACCCAGATATCCATCAACTGATGAAAAGATTTTTTTTCTTGTAAATTTGTTTGAGTTCATTGTAGATTCTGGATATTAGCCCTTTGTCAGATGAGTAGGTTGTGAAAATTTTCTCCCATTTTGTAGGTTGCCTGTTCACTGTGATGGTAGTTTCTTTTGCTGTGCAGAAGCTATTTAGTTTGATTAGGTCCCATTTTTCAATTTTGGCTTTTGTTGCCATTGCTTTTGGTGTTTTAGACATGAAGTCCTTGCCCATGCCTATGTCCTGAATGGTAATGCCTAGGTTTTCTTCTAGGGTTTTTATGGTTTTAGGTCTAACATTCAAGTCTTTAATCCATCTTGAATTAATTTTTGTATAAGGTATAAGGAAGGGATCCAGTTTCAGCATTCTACATATGGCTAGCCAGTTTTCCCAGCACCATTTATTAAATAGGGAATCCTTTCCCCATTGCTTGTTTTTGTCAGGTTTGTCAAAGATCAGATAGTTGTAGATATGTGGCATTATTTCTGAGGGCTCTGTTCTGTTCCATTGATCTATATCTCTGTTTTGGTACCAGTACCATGCTGTTTTGGTTACTGTAGCCTTGTAGTATAGTTTGAAGTCAGGTAGCGTGATGCCTCCAGCTTTCTTCTTTTGGCTTAGGATTGACTTGGCAATGCAGGCTCTTTTTTGGTTCCATATGAACTTTAAAGTAGATTTTTCCAGTTCTGTGAAGAAAGTCATTGGTAGCTTGATGGGGATGGCATTGAATCTATAAATTACCTTGGGCAGTATGGCCATTTTCATGATATTGATTCTTCCTACCCATGAGCATGGAATGTTCTTCCATTTGTTTGTATCCTCTTTTATTTCGTTGAGCAGTGGTTTGTAGTTCTCCTTGAAGAGGTCCTTCACGTCCCTTATAAGTTGGATTCCTAGGTATTTTATTCTCTTTGAAGCAATTGTGAATGGGAGTTCACTCATGATTTGGCTCTCTGTTTGTCTGTTATTAGTGTATAAGAATGCTTGTGATTTTTGTACATTGATTTTGTATCCTGAGACTTTGCTGAAGTTGCATATCAGCTTAAGGAGATTTTAGGCTGAGATGATGGGGTTTTCTAGATATACAATCATGTCATCTGCAAACAGGGACAATTTGACTTCCTCTTTTCCTAATTGAATACCGTTTATTTCCTTCTCCTGCCTAATTGCCCTGGCCAGAACTTCCAACACTATGTTGAAAAGGAGTAGTGAGAGAGGGCATCCCTGTCTTGTGCCAGTTTTCAAAGGGAATGCTTCCAGTTTTTGCCCATTCAGTATGATATTGGCTGTGGGTTTGTCATAGATAGCTCTTATTATTTTGAAATATGTCCCATCAATACCTAATTTATTGAGAGTTTTTAGCATGAAGTGTTGTTGAATTTTGTCAAAGGCCTTTTCTGCATCTATTGAGATAATCATGTGGTTTTTGTCTTTGGTTCCGTTTATATGCTGGATTACATTTATTGATTTGCATACATTGAACCAGCCTTGCATCCCAGGGATGAAGCCCACTTGATCATGGTGGATAAGCTTTTTGATGTGCTGCTGGATTCAGTTTGCCAGTATTTTATTGAGGATTTTTGCATCAATGTTCGTCAAGGATATTGGTCTAAAATTCTCTTTTTTGTTGTGTCTCTGCCTGGCTTTGGTATCAGGATGATGCTGGCCTCATAAAATGAGTTAGGGAGGATTCCCTCTTTTTCTATTGATTGGAATAGTTTCAGAAGGAATGGTACCAGTTCCTCCTTGTATCTCTGGTAGAATTTGGCCATGAATCCATCTGGTCCTGGACTCTTTTTGGTTGGTAAGCTATTGATTATTGCCACAATTTCAGATCCTGTTATTGGTCTGTTCAGAGATTCAACTTCTTCCTGGTTTAGTCTTGGTAGGGTGTATGTGTTGAGGAATTTATCCATTTCTTCTAGATTTTCTAGTTTATTTGTGTAGAGGTGTTTGTAGTATTCTCTGATGGTAGTTTGTATTTCTGTGGGATCAAACAAATTTACAAGAAAAAACAAACAACCCCATCAAAAAGTGGGCAAAGGACATGAATAGACACTTCTCAAAAGAAGACATTTATGCAGCCAAAAAACACGTGAAAAAATGCTCACCATCACTGGCTATCAGAGAAATGCAAATCAAAACCACAATGAGATACCATCTCACACCAGTTAGAATGGCAATCATTAAAAAGTCAGGAAACAACCGGTGCTGGAGAGGATGTGGAGAAATAGGAACACTTTTACACTGTTGGTGGGACTGTAAACTAGTTCAACCATTGTGGAAGTCAGTGTGGTGATTCCTCAGGGATCTAGAACTAGAAATACCATTTGACCCAGCCATCCCATTACTGGGTATATACCCAAAGGACTATAAATCATGCTGCTATAAAGACACATGCACACGTATGTTTATTGTGACACTATTCACAATAGCAAAGACTTGGAACCCACCCAAATGTCCAGCAATGATAGACTGGATTAAGAAAATGTGGCACATATACACCATGGAATACTATGCAGCCATAAAAAATGATGAGTTCATGTCCTTTGTAGGGATATGGATGAAATTGGAAATCATCATTCTCAGTAAACTATCACAAGAACAAAAAACCAAACACCGCATATTCTCACTCATAGGTGGGAATTGAACAATGAGAACACATGGACACAGGAAGGGGAACATCACACTCTGGGGACTGTTGTGGGGTGGGGGGAGGGGGGAGGGATAGCTTTAGGAGATATACCTATTGCTAAATGATGAGTTAATGGGTGCAGCACACCAGCATGGCACATGTATACATATGTAACTAACCTGCACATTGTGCACATGTACCCTAAAACTTAAAGTATAATAATAATAAAATTAAAAAAAAGAAAAGAAAAAAAAGAAAAGATTTTAAGGTTGGACACAGTGGCTCATGCTTGTAATCCGAACACTTTGGGAAGGCAAGTTGGGAGGATTACTTCAAGCTCAGGAGTTGCAGATCATCCTGGGCAACATAGTGAGACATCATCTCTACTAAAAATTTCTTAAAAATTAGCTGGGCGTGGTGGTGCACATCTGTAGACCCAGCTACTTGGGTGGGGTGAGGGAGTGGACTGAGGTGGGAGGATCTCTTGAGCCTAGGAGGTTGAGGCTGCAGTGAGCCCTGATTGTGCCACTGCACTCTAGCCTGGGCAACAGAGTGAGACCTCGTCTCAAAAAAAAGATTTTTAAAAGGTGATGTATCCATGCAATGGAATAGTATTTTGCAATAAAGAAGAATGAAGTACAGTTGTGATCCCTGCTACAACATGGATGAAACTTGAAAATATTATACTAAAGTGAAAGGAGACAGTCACAAAAGACCACATATTGTGTGGCTCACTTTAAATGAAATATCCAGGATAGGCCAATCTGTAGACAGACAGTAGATTAGTGGCTGCCTAGGACTGGAGGAGATGGAGGGAAATGGAGAGTGACTGCTAATGGGCATGGGGATTGGGACAATTAAAATGTTCAAAATTGATTGTGGTCATGGTTGCATAACTCTGTGAATATCCTAAAAACTATTGAAATATACACTTTAAATGAGTGAATTGTATGGTATGTGATTCTCTCTTAATAAAGCTATTTTGTAGGCAAACACAAAAACAGATAGAAATACAAAAAGAAATTGGCTAATAAAAGTACAAATTAAAAAAGCTGTTGTAGTGAAGTGTTTAATCATGTGTGCACAGCAAATTATTCAGTAGTGCATTAGGAATGCCTGTGTATGTATCCACCAGTGCCAGTGTGGGACCTGGCCTCTGCAGCTTTAATATAACTCCCACTGGTGTAGTGCAGAGGCCATGATTCTAGTCTTCTGTTCAAATACTTTGGGCCATGGGAGAGTTACTCCGTCTCTCTAGGCCTCAATTTCTTCACTTGTGAAGTAAGAAGGAAGCAGACTGTGTGATTACTAAGAACACTTCTGCTCTTGCATGCTGTGAAGACCTGAAAGTTTCCTTTGATGTGCTATTCCCAGTGGGCTCTCTGATCTTGGCACAGGTCCTGGCATCTCCTCCTCATTGAGAGTTAGAGCCCCAGGCAGTCAGGAGCAGCACCTGGATGATAACTGTGCAAAGAGAGAAGATAGAGTGTCTGTTCATTTTACTCTGTGGAGACCATTGCCAATCTGGTCCTGCATTCATTAGAGTTTTTAAGGGATATATTTTGTGTTCTATTTAATGTATTTTCTTTGCATTTATAGACAAGAAATTAACTCTTAAGAATACTTTGTTATTTGCATCTTTCTGGTGGTCCTATGAATTCTTTCAAAAGGATATAAACAACTTTGACCAAAGGTAGATAAAGTAATGAGGTGACTTGCTACTCTGGATTTAATTCTGACCAACCAGAGAGAAATAGGGTAGACAGAAGGAAATGATGGAAACTATGGGAAAAGGTGAACTGGCAGGTTGGTATCATGGCACAAAAGAATGAATGGGTAATTTAGTGGCAGATCCAAGTTTGAATCTTGGCTCATCTAACTAATAGACATATGATCTTGGACCTGTTGAATAACCTCTTTGAGCCTCAGTTTTCTTATCTATAAAATGAAGACACTATGCCTTACCTTACGGAGTTGTTGTAAGAATTAGAGATAATAATGGTAGCTGTTATCATTTCCAACTACTGAATGCAAGAACTGTTTTACAACAGCTAGTTACTGCTCAAACAGTGCCAAGCAACTTCCTTGTAAAACCTTGTCTTTGTGGATATCTATGATTGCCTCAAATTTCATTCTTTTTTTTTGAGACAGGGTCTCTCTCTGTTGCCCAGACTGAAGTGTAGTGGTGCGAACATGGCTCACTGCAGCCTCAAACTCCGGGGCTCAAGTGATCATCCTGCCTCAGCCTCCTGAGTAGCTGGGACCACAGGCACATGCCACCATGCTCAGCTAATTTTATTTATTTATTTATTCATTTATTTTGTAGAGATGATGTCACACTGTGTTGCCCAGGTTGGTCTCAAACTCCTGGGCTGAAGTGATCCTCCCACTTCAGCCTCCCAAAGTGCTGAGATTATAGGCATGAGCCACCATGCCTAGCCCAAATGTCATACGTAAAGTGAAGTGAAATATACATCCCCTTAGCTTCCATCTAGTGTTCTAATTTTACTATTTGAATCATTTTCTGTCATTCTCATGACAGACTTTCCCTACTACATTATATCCCACCCTTTACACTCAAGTGTTCTCTTGGCTACTCCATTGCCTTGAAATTTTCCTTATAAGACAAGACTTCCAGATTCCCCACCATCTGGATGTCACTTGGTGACAGCCACTGTGATTTGCAGCTGGGAACAATGGTCTAAATGTGATCTGATTAGCCCAGAAAACATTGAGGCTGTTTCCTGTCTAGATACTCCAAATAGAGCCTGGAGTGTCATTAGCTTTTTTAGCAGCCTAGTCATATCCTTGGTTCCTCTTGAATTTGCATTCAACTAAAACCTCCAGAATTTTTCAAATGGACTTTTTTTCAGAGTCTGGTCCTTGCTCCTCTTCATCCTACAGTTATATGTATATTTCTAAACTATACTTATTTAGTTATATCTGTGTTCTTTTACATGAAGAATTCCAAAATGTATGAAACATGCTATGTGGATAATACCTAAATTTATTGAAAATGTGCTATAAGCAGGCACTTTTTACCCCACATTCAAATGAAGAAACAGAGGGGTAAATAGCTTGTGCAAACTCTCCCAGCCAGCACATGTAACTGCACCACTTCTGTCAGAGTTGAGGCCAGCTTCACTAGGTTGCAATCTCCCTAGGCCTCGGTGTCTGTATCTGTACTGGTTGGGCTAGATCATTTCTTGCATTTTTCTCAGCTCTAAGATTCTGCATAACTCTACCGAGACTCCAATTAAAGTGTAGAAAAGAAATTAAACTTCCGCTTTTCTTTCTCAGGGATTCTACCTGCACTTCAGCACACTAGCAGAACCTCATATTTGCCCCTATTCAATTTCCTGAGATCAAATTTATTGGGTTGTGAGCACTGGCTGGCCTGACGAGTGCTTCTGGGGTCAGTAGTTCTGCATCTGCTGAAATACTGATGCCATCACATCCACTGTTCCCCCTACTTGGCAGCATTTGCAGTCTGATGCTCAGACCCTCTGGACCTTCATGCAGTCACTGGTCTCACACAGTAGCCCACACTGGCCTTTAGGGTTCTCATATTGCCATAAGAAATGCTTCTAGGACATAAGAGAACTTTGTGCACTGCTATTGGAGTCTTGTCAACAAATATACCACAATGTTACAGTCTTGTCAATGCACCACAACAAAGCAGTCTCTTGTTGCCCAAGGTACCACGACAAAGAAAATTAAGAAGCACAGACACCAAGGGTGAGATTGGAGCAAGAGGTTAATAAGCAAAAGAAGAAAGCTCTCAGCTGCAAAGAGCAAGCCCAAAAGAGGGTTGCCATTTTTACAATTGAATGCAAAGGCTTTTATAAGAAACCAATAAGGGTTGGGCATCTCATTTGCATAAGGTGTGAATTTCTGGTAGCTCCACCCCATCCTCCTAATGTGCATGTGGGCCCTTAGTTTGAGTTACTCCATATTGCTTTGTTCCCTTTACTGCACATGTATCGGGGGATGGAATTTTCCATTGTGGGCATGTCTGGGTAAGTCACCCGTGTAGCCTTTCTTATCTGTGCACTGTGGGCATGTCTTAGGCAAGCCTCCCTGTACAAGTTGCCTTATCTGTGCCTGCAGCTCGATTTTTCAGGCTCTTCTTTTGTTTGAAAGAATTCAACCAAGGACCCACCCTAACTACCTGACTGACCATTTTCTTCCTTTCTCCTCTCTCACTGCTGTCTCGAGAACTGTTCTATAAAGGGTCCCCAAATGTTCTTTCCTGGAATAATCACCTATGGTACAAACCACAGTGAACTGTGACCACAGTCTGTGGGTCAGAATGTGAATCTGAGCAAGTCATTTAATCTCCCTGGCTGGCTGTGGTCAGTGAGATCAGCTGTGAGTGGATGCTGTGAGCTCCCTGGCAGGGTGGGGTGCTACTGATGGGACTTTAAGCAGCTTGCTCACATCACACTTCACTATTTTGTCCCCTGCAGGTTTCATTCCACAGTGGCTCTGCAAGCCATGTTTCCTTTTTTGGTAAGCTCCTTCTCAGTAAGATCGGGAGCTTTACTTGTGGTAAAAGAAGAGGATGGGTCTTCTTTTCTAGGCTTTTTTCCTTTCACCCCCAAACCTAAGCAAGAACCTGGTCTTTTCTTTATCAACATATGTCCCAGTTTGCAAGAAAAATAATTCTTTTCATCACAGGGGGTACTTTTTACCCTTCACGCCCCAGTCTCTGGAATGCAAACACAGACCAAGCTGCTGTCACATTTTACTGGCAGAGAAACCCTGGCACTATTTTGGGAGACCGTATTAGTCAGCGTTCTCTGGAGGGACAGAACTAATAGGATTTATATATTTATATAAATCCTATTAAATTATATATATAAACACACACACATATATATGTATATAAAGGGAAGTTTATTAAATATTAACTGACATGATCACAAGGTCCCACAATAGGCTGTCTGCAAGCTGAGGAGCAAAGAGAGCCAGTCCGAGTCCCAAAACTGAAGAATGTAGAGTCCAATGTTGAGAACAGGAAGCATCCAGCACGGGAGAAAGATGTAGCCTCGGAGGCTAGGCCAGTCTCCTCTTTTCACATTTTTCTGCCTGCTTTATATTCTAGCCTCACTGGCAGCTGATTAGATTGTGCCCACCCAGATTAAGGGTGGGTCTGCCTTTCCCAGCCCACTAACTCAAATGTTAATCTCCTTTGCCAACACCTTCCCAGACACACCCAGGATCAGTACTTTGTATCCTTCAATCCAATCAAGTTGACACTCAGTATTAACCATCACAAGTCCACTGCTTGTCAACTTGAACCCATACACAATCTCCTGAGATCATACATAATCTTTAAATAAAGACAATAATAAGGTCATAATATGTCTAACATAATACAACTATCCTTTGTACAACCAGAAACTCACCAATCCCCAACCCAAATACTATTATATAAAGTTAACAATACTTAAATGCTGATGTGAAGTCAATAAATCTTATGTCACATGATAAAGGAAAAGGGAAACAAAATTCAGATATTTTCTTAGTACAAGTGTATACATGAACAAACATGTTTTTAACAAAAGAAGAAGAAAATACTCATGACAATTACAGTCCTCGTTTCTGCAGCTAGTCACATGGTCATAGCTGGTATTGATGACTACCTTCTTCTACTACCCATTCTGTATTCCCTTTGGCTCCAGCAAGCACCTCAGGAGGTCATGGTTTTTTTTCCTAATGGAGTGACCCAAACCTTCATTCCTGAGGGGTCAGGATCATCTGTAGTCCTGCCTGGATTGGACTGTTGTAGTTTCTCATTGACCTTAATCACAATATTAAGAGATGCCCTAATGGATTTCCTGTTTTTCATGCATACTCTTTCTTACCTTCTTTGTGGAGTAGTAGACTGATTTCATCTTGATAGTTCAGGTCAATCACCCCAGCCAACACTGTAGCTCCCTTCTTAGGCCTGTTGACTTAAAGGTAGGAGGAGCCCAAAGTGGCCAGGTGGCAATCTTAACTTTCAGTTTAATGGAATTGTTGTTGTGTCTCCTGGTGGCAGTGTTCTTTCCTCTGGAACTAAGACCTCTAGGCCAGCAGAATGTAATGTCGCAGGAACAGGAAGCAAAAATTTTGCTAGTGGATCATGACAGGTAATGGTGAGTGGTACCACTTCCACTTCCAACCCTTGATTCCTGGACCTATGAATCCTGGCTATGGGAAAAACCGTACCATATATTGGACACTGATTCAGAGCATACACAACCTTCTGGACAACTTTTACCCTGCCGTGCAAAGTATTGTCACCTAGTTGGCATTGTAATTGTGACTTCAAAAGACCATTCCACCATTCTATCAATCCAGATGCTTCAGGATTATGGGGAACATGGTAAGACCAGTGAATTCCATGAGCATGAGGCCACTGTGACACTTCTTTGGCTGTAAAGTGAGTGTCTTGGTCAGAGGCAATGCTGTTTGGAATACCATGACGGTGGATAAGACATTCTGTGAGTCCATGGATGATAGTCTTGGCAGAAGCATTGCATGCAAGATAGGCAAACCCATATCTGGAGTAAGTGTCTCTTCCAGTGAGGACAAACCTCTGCCCTTTCCATGATGGAAGAGGTCCAATATAATAAACCTACCACCAGGTAGCTGACTGATTACCCTGAGGAATGGTGCCATAATGAGGGCTCAGTGTTGGTCTCTGCTGCTGGCAAGTTGGGCACTCAGTGGTAGCCATAGCTAGTTCAGCCTTGATGAGTGGAAGTCCATGTTGCTGAGCCCATGCATAACCTCCATCCCTCCCACCATGGCCACTTTGTTCATGGGCTCATTGGGCAATGACAGCGGTGGCGGGGGAAAGAGGCTGAGTGGTCGCCACAGAACGGGTCATCCTATCCACTTGATTATTATACTCCTCTTCCGCTGAGGTCACCCATTGGTGAGCACTCACATGGCATACAAATATCTTCACAGTTTTTTACCACTCAGAGAGGTCCATCCACGTACCTCTTCCTAAAATTTCTGTGTCATCAATTTTCCAATCATACTTCTTCCAAGTGCTTTACCATCCAGCCAAACCATTGGCTACAGCTCATGAATCAGTATATAATCACTCATCTGGCCATTTCTCCTTCCATGCAAAGTTTGCAACCAGGTACACTTCTCAAAGTTCTGCCCACTGGGAAGATTTTCCTTCACTGCTGTCCTTCAGGGATGTCCTAGACAGGGGCTGTAGTGCTGCAGCTGTTCACTTTTGGGTGATTCCTGCATATTGTGCAGAACCATCTGTGAACGAGGCCCTAGTCTTCTCTTCCTCTGTCAACTGATCATAGGGAACTCCCCATGAGGCCATCAGTGCAGGCTGGCAGAGAGAAGGCAGGGTGGCAGGAGTGGAGACCATGGGCATTTAAGCCACTTCCTCATGTAACTTACTTTTGCCTTCAGGACCTGCTCAAGCCCGATCACATATATACCACTTCCATTTGATGATGGAATGCTGCAGTGCACAACCCACTTTATGGCTAGATGTGTCACAAAGCACCCAGTTCATGATAGGCAGTTCAGGTCACATGGTGACTTGATGACCCACAGTCAAATGTCCAGTTTCCACCAAAGCCCAGTAACAGGCCAAGAGCTGTCTCTCAAAAGGAGAGTAGTTATCTGCAGAAGATAGCATGGTCTTTCACCCTAGAGGCCTCTGCTGTGATTCACTTATGGGGGCCGGCCAAAGGCTCCAAAGAGCATCCCTATCTGCCACTGACACCTCAAGCACCATTGGATCTGCTGGGTCATATGTCCCAAGTGGCAGCGCAGCTTGCACAGCAGCCTGGACCTGTTGCAGAGCCTTCTTCTCTTCTGGACCCCACTCAAAACTGGCAGCCTTTCAGGTCACCTGATAAATGGGCCAGAGTAACACACCCAAATGAGGAATGTGTTGCCTCCAAAATCTAAATAGGCCCACTAGGCATTGTGCCTCTTTCTTGGTTATAGAAGGGGCCAAATGCAGCAACTTATCCTTCACCTTAGAAGAAATGTATTCACAGGCCCTACATCCCTAGAAATTTTACTGAGGTAGAAGGTCCTTGAATTTTAGTTGGATTATTTTCCCATCCTCTGGCATGCAAATGTCTCACCAATAAGTCCAGTGTGTTTCCTACTTCTTGCTCACTGGATCCAATCAGCATAATGTCATCAATGTAATTGACCAGTGTGATATCTTCTGGAAGTGAAAAGCAATCAAGGTCTCTCTGAATAAGATTATGACACAAAGCCAGAGAATTGATATACCCCTGAGGTAGGATAGTAAATGTATATTGCTGGCCTTGCCAGCTGAAGGCAAATTGCTTCTGGTGGATCTTATGGACAGGAATGGAGAAAAAGTCATTTGCCAAATCAATTGCTGCATACCAGGTACCAGGAGATGTGTTAATTTGCTCAAGCCATGAAACCACATCTAGTACAGTGGCCACAATTAGAGTCACCACTTGGTTAAGCTTATGATAATCCACTGCCATTCTCTAAGATCCATCTGTCTTCTGCTCAGACCAAATAGGAGAGCTGAGGGGGATGTGGTGGGAATCACCACCCCTGCATCTTTCAAGTCCTTGATGGTGGCACTAATCTCTGTAATCCCTCCAGGGATATGATATTTTTTTGATTTACTATTTTTCTAGGTAAAGGCAGCTCTAATGGCTTTCATTTGGCCTTTCCTCCATCAGTCAGGGAGCCAATGCAGGGGTTCTGCCAGCTGCTAAATATGTCTATGCCAATATGCATTCTGGCACTGGGGAAATGACCACAGGATGGGTCTGGGAGCCCATTGGACCCACTGTAAGTTGGACCTGAGCTGAAACTCTATTAATTACCTGACCTCCATAAGCCCCTACTTTAATTGGAGAACCACAGTGATGTTTTGGGTCACCTGGAATCAATGTCAGCTTCAGCTTATTCCCTGAAATGTCTGATCATTTCCTTTTCCCCAATGCACATTTACCCTGGTAAAAGGCCAGAGGACTCCTTGGGGAAGGGTGGGAGAAAGAGTAACAGCATAAATTGTGGGTAGTGTAGTGGGGTCCTTCCTCAAGGGGACCTGGCCGCCTCTTCATTCAAGGGGTTCTGTGTAAACTTGCTCAAGTCTGGAAATTCAGGGTCCATTATTCTGTTTTTATAATTAAAATTAGTCTTTTGTCCATCTGACCTAGAAGTTTTCTCCTTATATAAATTAAGCAGGAATGCAGTAGGCTTCCTATCAATTTCACTTCTAGGAACACTGTGATTAATTAGCCAATGCCAGAGCACTACACAAGTCAGACTATTCTGATTGCTGCTTTGTCTCTGCTGTCCATTATGTAGCTACACCCTCCTTGTCTTTGACAGTTGAGTGCTGCCACTTGGCCCCTGCCACCTTGTGATCCACTTATTTCCATTGTATTTAAATTTTATAGTTGAGTGACTGCAGTTCCCACTGTTAGATCTGACATGCAACAGCAATTACAGGGCTCTTCAAAGATGCAGGTGCTGCCCTCACAAATCTACTTCACAAGGCATTGGTCAAGGGTATATCTTCTGGACTGCCTCAACTGGGATGAGTAAGTCTAAAATGACTAATCCGCTCCACCATTCCAATCTCCCTAACCCTTTTGATCCCTTCCTCTATATTAAACCAAGGGAGATCAGGCATTTCCAGCTCACTCACAGTGTGCCACCTTTTAACCCATATTTCAGCTAACCAAGCAAATAAACTATTAGAACCTTTTTTAACTCCCCGAGCTGCAACGTTAAATGCAGAGTCCCTACTTAGTGGGCCCAAATTAATAAATTCAGCCTGATCCAACTCTACGTTCCTTCCATCATTATCCCATACCCTTAATATCCATTCCCATGCCTATGATCTCAAACAGTTCTTTTCTAGTGTAGCACATCTCCTCATGGGTCACATTCTGAATCTCACCTCTAGGGGCCCTCTGGGGCTTTATTCCAGTTATAGATCTAGAAGCAAACAAGAGTGTTGGGGGTGGCTTCTGGGGAGAATCAACATTATTTTGCCTGGCAGCTGCCCCAGAGGAGGCAATCACTATTTCCTCAGGCAGCACAGGGTTTATCTCCTCAGACAAAGGTGGAAAGGCTGATGGCAGCATGGTTGAGGGAGGGGATGTTGCCACTACTGGTGATGGGGAAGCTGTTCCTTCTGGCAAGAAAGGTTCATCAGAGTTTACAAACTCAGTGTTCTCAGCTTCATAAGGCTCCTCCTACATGTTCCGATTCCAAGTTTTAGGGTCCCATTCTTTTCCAATCAATGCCCTCACTTTAACAGTAGACACCTGGTGAGGTTGTGCATGCATCTTTCATTGCAGGTCAGCCACTCATATGATAAGAGCTTGTGTCTGTTTTTCCACCCATTCAGCTCTTTCTCTACAGGAGATAAGACTCACTCAGGACAATCTTAGCAGATTTGAGGCTCAGTATCTTCGTCTGAAGCCAGGAGACAGAATCCCTGAGTTCATCATTTTCTTTCATCAATTTGTCCATTAAACTTAGGAACAACCAGCCAGCTTCATTATGTTCCTTGGTTCTCCATATATGGTCAAAAGTATTATGTATAGAGTCACTAAACTCCTTGCCTCTCACAACCAGTGAATCAGAAGTGTCAAATGCATTTATTTTACATAACTCTCTAAACAGTTCATGCCAAGGGCTATCAGTGTTCTCCTTACTATTAGAAGTAGAGTCCTTAGCAGCATTTTTTAGTCTAATCATATTAAGCAGCCAACTCTAGGAACCCCAAAACCAATGAAAGAACTCCATCCTTAATATTCTATTCCTCTAGAACCACTCTTGGTACCAAAATCTGTATAGTCAGGATTCTCTAGAGGGACAAAACTAATGGTGTGTATATATATATATATATATATATAGAGAGAGAGAGAGAGAGAGAGAGAGAGAGAGAGGGAGAAAGTATTAACTGACATGATCACAAGGTACCACAATAGGCTGTCTGCGAGCTGAGGAGCAAGGAGAGCCAGTCTAAGTCTCAAAACTGAAATACAGTGTTTGAGGGCAGGAAGCATCCAGTGCAGGAGAAAGATGTAGGCTGGGAAGCTACTTTGCACATTTTTCTGCCTGCTTTATATTCTAGCTGCACTGGCAACTGGTTAGATTGTGCCCACCCAGATTAAGGATGGGTCTTCCTTTCCCAGCCCACTAACTCAAATGTGAATCTCTTTTGGCAACACCCTCACAGACACACCCAGGATTAATACTTTGTATCCTGCAATCCGATCAAGTTGACACCCAGTATTAACCATCAGAGACTTTGGGAGAAAATTTTCCTTTATGGAGTCAAGGATTTTCCCTTCTCATTGGCAACAGATAGGATGAATAGAACGATTGTCTTTTTTTAAAGTGAGGGATATGAGGATTAATACTTTCCTTTCCAGGACATGTACTGTGTATCTGCAACAAGGAAAAGTACTTGCAATTTTGCAAATTTCTGGTAAATTTTTCCTGTTTGTTTGAAAATCATGCTTGTTTGTTGAATAATATCCCTACTCAGGATTAGGGGGAAGTCTGTATCCCTGTGTATCCTATGAAGGAAGAACACTGTGGTTACATGTCACTTTTAACCCAGAGTTTCTGCCCTGAAGAAAGAGATAAAAATGGTCAGGACCCCTTACCCCCAGGAAAGGTGGCAGAGATACAGTCTCAGTCATAGCCCTCTCTGTTTTTTGCCCCCAGAGACAAGTAAACCAAGCCAGCTCTGGGGCACTTAGTCAGGTGTGGAATCCCACTTTCAGGCAGAAAGGGACACCCAGATAAGGTGCGGACTTTATACAACTTGCCTTCCAAAGCGAATAAGAGAATGAAACCTTTTGTATGTTGCCTGTTTCTTGGAGTCCCGTGCTTTATATCACATTGCAATAAAAAGAAGGAGAGCATGACCGGGCTCAAACAGGGATGCATCCCTAATTTTGGCAGTTTCTAAAATAAACAGTGAGAGTTTAAATGCCTTAGCCAGGGCCATCTGACACCCAGATCTCCTGACTTTAAACACAAAGTTCTTTCCATTTAGCCTCAAGGGCCAGGTTATTTTAAGCTGAAGCGCAAACAGACATCACCCAAGATGGGTTTCCAGCAAGGGCCTCCACTGGCCGCCTGTTTCTTCTCTAGCCTGGGAGCCCCCTGCAAAAGCTCTAGGAGAGGAAGAATAGAAGTAAATGAAAAAGACATTCTGCCAAACAGCCACAATGTAACAATAGGGTTCCTCTGTTTGGAGAAAAAAGTGAGAAGGGACTCGAGGTCTCTTTTGGGTGGTCTGGCCCTCTGGGTGACTGTGACCACCCATTGCTGAGGGCAGTTCCTCCATCCTCTATCATGTAGTTGTGAGAAGCTTGAGCTGCAGTCCAAAACAGATTCTGTTCCGACTTAGTGAACTGTGGTGACGGCAAGTCATTCTGGTTTTCTTTCTCTCCTTGGTTCATTCCTTTTGTTGATTGATCAGTCTTTCATGCTAGACTTTCTTCCTGTGCTATCTCTCCAGTCTTTTGGGCCCCGGGCCTCTGGGTTGGGTGGGTCAGCAGGCTATCCTGAGGGGGTGAGCTTTTAGGTCCTATGGCTGCCCTTCCCAAGTCCATGACCCACCACACATGCATCTTGACCACTCCTGGCTCTGACCACAGCATGGATGTCCCCACTGAATGCGGTGTTTGATTAAGAAGTCCCCAAAGGAAACATCTGGAGGCTCACTGATCAAGAAGCCCAGGATAGGCATTGTAGCAGCTGAGCATCCTCAGACCCTTGGACCCTAGCTTATATGGTGTGGCTGTGTCCATGACCAAATCTCACCTTGAATTGTAGTTCCCATAATTCCCACATGTGGGAGGGACTCGGTGGGAGACAATTGAATCATGGGGGCAGTTTCCCCCATACTGTTCTCATGGTAATGAATAAGTCTCATGAGATCTGATGGTTTTTTAAGGGGAAACCCCTTTTGCTTGGCTCTCATTCTCTCTCTTGCCTGCTGCCATGTAAGACGTACTTTTTGCCTTCTACCATGATCATGAGACCTCCTCAGCCATGTGGAACTGTGAGTCCATTAAACCTCTTTTTCTTTATAATTTACCCAGTCTCGGGTATGTCTTTATCAGCAGTGTGAAAACGGACTACTACACTAGCCCAGCAACTTAGCTCATCTAACTGCTGCTGGCATCTGGCCAAGCAGCCCACTTTCCTGGTGACAGTGGGAAGAAGAGACAAGGGCTCCCTTGAATGCTATTTCAGGCATAATAGTAGGTGTTCCTAAACTGGTTGCCATTTGTGCTCCAGATTTGTAGGGGCTCTTACCATGATCTAAGAACAAGTCATTTCCTCTTGGTTTTTATGATTAATGTGACCTGGTGAGAGACAGACTATACAAGCAGACAATGGCCAGACCATATAAGACAATGGAATTCTGACCCACAACTTCTGCAGCAACCAGCCCAGGAGGGTCAGCACTCGACACTGACTGTGGCTTCCCTATATTTTTTATCCCTGCCTCCTCCCCAATTTGGTACCAAGCAGAGACAGCCAAATATGCACACCAAAGCAGTCACAGTGTGGCAGGCCGGGTCTCCATTAGCAACCAGGGCAATCAGCCTTCACCAGCACCTTACTGTAGCTCTGGTAAATGTACAAATTAAACATAAGTTAACTTAATTAATTAAGTTTAACATAAGTTAAACTTAGTACAATGGCTAGAATGTAAAAACAAGTTCATTAAGAAACCACCTGGGCTTTCTCAGATCTTAGAGTTTAATTAAAATAATGGAGACGTTCTTGCATACCTTGTACCCGGATACACTTTAGATTAAGTCATCTTTCTAAGGCTCTGAAGTAATTGTCTAGATCCTGGACCCTAGTTAAAGATTAGATAGAGTGGAACACCTTGGCTTTCAGCTTGTAGATGCACTGAATGTATATAAGCACTAGAAAAACCTTGTAACTTTGAGTTGGTCTGATGAGTTACTCTCACCTTCTCCCTGTAACTGGTTGCAGAAATAACACAGCTCAATAAGAAACTCCCTTCTTTCCCAGTCTGTCTGCATCTCATTATTGGAACACAAGAACAAGCAGCTGGACCTCGTTCTACCTGGCAACAATATGGAAGTCCTCACTTCTAGTCAGCCCACCTCCACTTTCCTACACCAACAGCCTTCAGTCAGAGCCCACCTGAAGCCTCCCATTTTCCACTACGAAGCGTCCCCTCTCCCTGCCTGCCTTGGAGTCTCTGCCCAAGACCATGATGGTGGCTGTGGCTGACTCCCTCTGACTGCTCTCATCCAGGCAATTTTTGTTTATTTCCACACTGGGTAAGTCACATTAGCTTTTCAACTTCCTGCCATCTCCTACCCTCAACTGCTCAAACGGAAAATATCCTCAGTAATGAGAAGGGAGTGATTTTGTGCTGATGGGCTCTATTTTCTTTAGAAGAGTACAATCAAATGACAGCAGGCAACAGAAAGCCATCTTTTTTTTCTTAGTGTTTGGAGCAGTCTCTGCATTACCCACAGGGATGTTAAAGGCAAGTGGCCAACCCTGGCGCTGAGGATCCACTGTGAATAAAAAATTCAAGAGGTTCTGTAGAAAATCAGGCTTTAAGGATTCCAAAATCTGATGATGAAGTGTCTTTTCATATTTATTGCTGAAGCCCCACCCCACCCCTCATCTCACCTCCCACATTCCCTTTTTGGATACCTTTCTCTTGCAAGAGATTTGCACCCAGATAGCTCCTTTGCTGCCTTTAGAACCCCCCATTAGCAGCAATTAAAAAAAGGTCTTCCAGCAACTTGACACTTTTTGAAATGCTAATTGATGCTAAGCAGAGCCATCAGGCTGTCGGTCACACCTACTCAGTCCCTGCCCCAGGCTTTTTTGCATATTTAAATCAATAAGTTTCTAAACCTGGGAAGTGTGAGTTATGCAAATAGCTGTTCCTACCGCCCTTGCTGAGATTAGTACCCGTGGGGCTTTAGAAAATCCTCAGGTGTCTGACAGTGTTTTAAGTCTTCTGCAGGTGGAATGCTCAGATCATCTTGGGAGTGACCAGTATTAGAGCTTAGTTTGAGTATTTGCATAAACTGGTTGAAAAACACTGCCTAAGTCTGTTGCCTCAGCAATAAAATGATTTTCAATGAAATCCACGTATACTGCCACAATTGAAAGAAATAATTCAGTGATGAGATTGCTAAATTCGGTACAGAACTAGTTAATGCCCACAGGGTAAGAATTCATAACCAATAGACAGAAATCGTTTACAACTTATCCATCATCTATAAGTCAATATCTAGCATCACAGTCTGATCAGTCAATAGTATGTCCATAGGAGCCAATTGTGAAAGGTGTCAGAATTAAAATAGAGTCACTTGTGTTAAAAATAAAAATAAAAATAACAAAACCCTGATGAATAGAGTCAGGGAAAGCCATGAAGAGAGGGTTCTCATACTTGAAGGCCTATTACCAACTATCACAAAAGACTATGCGAAAACCACAACCTTGCACAAAGGCCATCACAACCTTACACAAAATATATTTTCTGCAAGGACATCCGTCTAGCAACTGCCTGCCCAATCTCAGACTGGTGCCCCCACCCCTTGTTATTGATCCTTGTAGCCAAGCATAATTATCTCAAAACAATTGTGTTATTCTGTAACTGAGCTCAGGTTCAGCTGCTCACCACTCAAAAAGCCAGATATGTGAGAAGTGAGGATTGGCAAAAGGAAAGCAGGTTTATTCAAGTGCTCGTGGCTTGGGAGATGGCCAGACTCAAGTCTCTAAAAGCCATCTCAAAAATCTCAAGCTGGGGCCAGGTGTGGTGGCTCATGCCTGTAATCCCAGCACTTTGGGAGGACGAGGCGGGCAGATCACCTGAGGTCAGTTTCACTCTTGTCCGTGTGAAGAGATCACCAAACAGGCTTTGTGTGAGCAATAAGGCTGTTTATTTCACCTGGGTGCAGGTGGGCTGAGTCCGAAAAGAGAGTCAGCGAAGGGAGATGGGGTGGGGCCATTTTATAAGATCTCGGTTGGTAAAGGAAGAAGGGGGGTTATTCTCCAGTGGGCAGCGGTGGGGGTCACAAGGTGCTCAGTGGGGGAGCTTTTTGAGCCAGGATGAGCCAGGAGAAGGAATTTCACAAGGTAATGTCATCAGTTAAGGCAAGGACCAGCCATTTTCACTTCTTTTGTGGTGGAATGTCATCAGTTAAGGCAGGAACAGGCCATTTAAATTTCACTTCTTTTGTGATTCTACAGTTACTTCAGGCCATCTGGCTGTATATGTGCAGGCCACAGGGGATATGATGGCTTAGCTTGGGCTCAGAGGCCTGACATTCCTATCTTCTTATGTTAATAAGAAAAATAAAACAAAGTAGTGTTAAAGTGTTGGGGCGGCAAAAATTTTTGAGGGTGGTATGGAGAGATAATGGGTGATGTTTCTCAGGGCTGCTTCAAGTGGGATTAGGGGCAGTGTGGGAACACAGAATGGGAGAGATTAAGCTGAAGGAAGATTTTTTAGTAAGGGGTGATATTGTGGGTTTGTTAGAAGGAGCATTTGTCATATAGAATTATTGGTGATGGCCTGGATATGGTTTTGTATGAATTGAAAAAATAATGGAATAAGACAAGGAGAAAAATAGGTATTAAAGTACTAAGAATTGGGAGGACCCAAGACATCCAATTAGAGAATGCCTAAGGAGGTTCAGCATAGCCCTGCCAGCAAAGATTATTTACTTTAAGAGGGAGTTAAGAGTGATGGTTTGGGGATAGCACTAGGAGATATCAGCTGTGATGGCTTGTAGAAACAGTGTAAATAGGCAGTGTAAACAACGGCAGGGCATTTATGAGTAGTTGAGAATGGTGAATAGGAGTATGACTAGACAGAAGATAGTAGGGATGACAAGTTTTTTGGGATGCAGTCCAAGTTGGTCTGGTGTCTGGAAAGACTGGGGCTTAATAAAAAGGAGCGTCTATACAGGAGCTTAAATGGGCTGTACCCTGTAGCATTCTGAGGACAGGCCTGAATTCTGAGAAGGCAAGTGGTGAAAGTATTGTCCAGTCCTTTTATGTTGGTGGCTGAGCTTGGTGAGGTGTGTTTTTAAAAGACCATTAGTCCATTTTACCTTTCCTGAAGATTGAGGAATGTAAGGGGTATGAAGGTTTCACTGAATACTAAGAGCCTGAGAAACTGTTTGGGTGATTTGACTAATAAAGGCCCGTCTGCTATTGGACTGTATAGAGGTGGGAAGGCTAAAAACCGAGGAATTATGTCTGACAAAAGGGAAGAAATGACTGTGGTGGCCTTCTCAGACCCTGTAGGAAAGGCCTCTACCTATCCAGTGAAATTGTCTACCCAAACTAAGAGGTTATTTTAGTTTCCTGACTCGAGACATGTGAGTAAAGTCAATTTGCCAGTCCTGGGCGGGGGCAAGTGCTCGAGCTTGATGTGTAGGAAAGGGAGGGGGCCTGAGCAATCCCTGAGGGGTAGTAGAATAGCAGATGGAACACTGAGAAGTGATTTCCTTGAGGTTAGATTTCCACGATGGAAAGGAAATGAGAGGTTCTAAGAGATGGGTTAGCGGCTTGTAACCTGCATGGAAGAGGTTATGAAATGATGACAGTGTAGAATGGACCTGTGAGGCTGGAAGGAGATATTTTCCTTAGTCTAAGAACCATTTTGCCTTGTGTGGGAAGAGATTGATAGGTGGAAGTTTCAGTGGGGGACTAGGTGGGAGTGACCGATGTGAAGGAGAAAAACTGGCCGTGAGTTACAGAAGTTGGAATGCTAGCTGCTTCTCTAGTCACCTTATCAGCATAAGCATTGCCTAGAGCAAAGGGATCTGATGCCTTTTGATGGCCTTCGCAGTGAATGACTCCAGCTTCCTTTGGAAGTAAAGCGGCCTTGAGCAGAGTTTTTATTAAAGAGGCATTAATGATGGAGGACCCTTGCGGAGTGAGGAAACCTCTTTCAGCCCATATAACAGCATGGTGGTGCAGAATATAGAAGGCATGTTTAGAGTCAGTATAAATATTGACGCATAGTCCTTTTGCAAGAGTGAGGGCCTGAGTTAAGGCAACTAGTTTGGCTTGCTGAAAGGTAGTGGAGGGGGGCAGAGTGGTAGCCTCAATGATAGGTGTGGAAGATACTATAGCATAGCCTGCCTTTGCTGGTGAGTGGTGATTAAGCCTGGTGGAACTGCCATCAATAAACCAGGTGTGTTCAGGGTGAGGAACAGGAAAGAATATTGGGAAATGGAGTGAATGTCAGGTGGTTCAGAGAGATATAGTCATGGGGTCAGGTGTGGTATCAGGAATAATGTGGGAGGCTGGATTGAAGTCTGGGCCAGGAACAATGGTAATTGTGGGAGACTCAACAAAGAGTGAGAATAGTTGAAGGAGCCTGGGAGCAGAAAGTACATGTGTCAGGTGTGAGGAAGAAAATAGATTTTGGAAGTTATGAGAACTGTAGAGATTGAGTTGAGCATAGTTTGTGATTTTAAGGGCCTCTAAAAGTTTTAGGGTAGCAGTGGCCGCCATAGGCAGACTTGAGGGCTAGGCTAAAACAGTAAGGTCAAGTTGTTTGGATAAAAAGGCTACAAGGTGCAGTCCCAGTTCTTGTGTAGGAATTCTGACTGCACAGCCCTGCACTTCAGCTGTGTGTAATGAAAAGGGTTGGGGTGAGTCAGGGAGAGCTAGGGTGGGGGCAGTCTCTAAAGCTGTCTTCAAGGAATGGAAAGAGGAGTGGGGAAAGGATTTAGGATCTGTGGGGTCAGCTAGGTTTCTTTTATTGAGTTTATATAATGGTTTTGTTAGGATGGCAAAACCAGGTATCTAAAGTCAAAAGTACGCAACCATGCCTAGGAAGGAAAGGAGTTGTTGTTTTGTAGAAGGTGTTGGGGTTTGAGAGATCAGTCGGACATGATCAGCAGGGAGCACACGTGTGTTTTTATGAGAATTATGCCGAGATAGGTAACAGATGAGGAAGAAATTTGGGCTTGACTGAAGTAATGGGGGCTCTCTGTGAAGACTTGTGGCAGTACAGCCCAGGTTATTTGCTGAGCCTGATGGGTGTCAGGGTCAGTCCAAGTGAAAGTGAAGAGAGGCTGGGATGAAGGGTGCAAAGGAATAGTAAAGAAAGCATGTTTGAGATCCAGAACAGAATAATGGGTTGTGGAGGGAGGTCTTGAAGATAGGATAGTATGGGTTTGGCACCACAGGGTGGATAGGCAAAACAATTTGGTTGATAAGGTGCAGATCCTGAACTAACCTGTAAGCCTTGTCTGGTTTTAGGACAGGTAAATGGGGGAATTATAAGGGGAGTTTATAGGCTTTAAAAGGCCATGCTGTAGCAGGCAATGATAACAGACTTGAATCCTTTTAAAGCCCGCTGTGGGATGGGATATTGGCATTGAGTGGGGTAAGGGTGATTAAATTTTAATGGGATGGTAAAGGGTGCATGATCAATCACCAAGGAGGGAGTAGAGGTGTCTTATACTTGTGGGTTAAGGTGGGGAGATACAAGGGGAGGATGTGAAGGAGGCTTTGAACTGGGGGAAAAGGTGGCAATGAGATGTGGCTGTAGCCCAGGAATAGTCAGGGAAGCAGATAATTTAGTTAAAGTGTCTCGGCCTAATAAGGGAACTGGGTAGGTGGGGATAACTAAAAAGGAGTGCTTAAAAGAGTATTGTCTAAGTTGGCACCAGAGTTGGGGAGTTTTAAGAGGTTTAGAAGCCTGGCCGTCAATACCCACAACAGTTATGGAGGCAAAGGAAACAGGCCTTTGGAAAGAAGGTAATGTGGAGTGGGTAGCCTCTGTATTAATTAAGGGGACGGGCTTATCCTCCACTGTAAGAGTTACTGAAATCATCTGTGATGGTCCTGTAGGCTTCCGAAGTGATTGAGCAGCGTCAGTCTTCAGCTGCTAAGCCGAGAAGATCTGGGAAGGAGTCAGTCAGAGAGCCTTGGGCCAGAGTTCCAGAGAGCCTTGGGAAGGAGTCAGTCAGAGAGCCTTGGGGCTCTGGAAGTGGCTGCCAGGTGAGTTGAACAGTCCAATTTTCAGTGGGGTCCCACACAGATGGGACATGGCTTAGGAGGAATCCTGGGCTGTGGGCATTCCTTGGCCCAGCGGCCAGATTTCCAGCACTTGTAGCGAGCTCCTGGGGGAGGCGGTTCTGGAGGAACCCCTGGCAGCTATGGTTCAGGCGTTTGGAGTTCTTGTGTGCTGGAGATGTGGCTGGGGTTTGTCTCACAGTGGAGGCAAGGAATTGCAACTCAGGAATACATTGCTACTTGGCTGCCTCTGATCTATTATTGTATACCTTGAAGGCAAGTTTAAGTCCTGTTGTGGGGTTTGAGGGCTGGAATTTAATTTTTGGGGCATTATTTAATGTCAGGAGCAGATTGGGTAATAAAATGTATATTGAGAATAAGATGGCCTTTTGACCTTTTAGGGTCTAGGGCTGTAAAGTGTCTCAGGGTTGCTGCCGAATGAGCCATGAACTGGGCTGGGTTTTTCATATTTGATGAAAAAGAGCCTAAACACTTACTGATTTTGAAAGAGGTCAGATAAAAAAAAAAAAAAAGGAGCATTAACCTTGACTGTGACTTTAGCTCCAGCCACCTTTTTAAGAGGAAATTGCTGGGCAGGTAGGGGAGGGCTAGTTGCAGAACCAAACTGTAAGCTGGACTGGGTGTGAGGAGGGGAGGTGATAAAAGTATTATAGGGTGAGGAAAAATTGGGACCTGGCTCCTCCTGGTGAGCAGCAGCCTGGGGAGGAGGGGAGAGGTCAGATGGGTCTGTAGAAAAGGAAGATTAGAAAGACTCAGTGATGCTTGGTGTTGGGACTGAGAGGACAGGCGGGAGGGAAAGAAGGAGGATTTGGGATGAGTCGCATTGGGAACAGAGACTAGGGAGGGAACAATGTGTAAAAGAATGCCTGGACGTCAGGCATCTCAGACTGTTTGCCCATTTTACGATAAGAATTATCTAGATCTTGTAGGATGGAAGAATCAAAAGTGCCATTTTCTGGCTATTTGGAACCACTCTCGAGTTTGTATTGGGGTCAAGCAGCATTGCAGAAGAAAATAAGGTGTTTAGGTTTTAGGTCAGGTGTGAGTTGAAGAGGTATTAAGTCTTCAGAACTTAAGAGAACATAGGCTAAGGGAGAAGGAGGAATGGAGGGTGGAAGGTTGCCTATAGTGAAGGAGGCAAGTCCAGAGAAAAAAGAGGGTAGAGACAGGGGTAGGGTAAAGACAGGAGAGAAGGGGTAGGGGGTGCTTGCCCCCCAGGAAAGCAGAGAAGGGGTAGAGACATGGAGAGAAGGGGTCGGGGGGTTCTTGCCCCCCAGAAAAATGGTATTTGCTGCTAAGGGTGAAGGACCAAGGCAGGCATCCCCACGTGGTCAGACGCCTCTGAAACATGGGTGAATAATCAGGCAGGCATCCCCGCGTGATTAAACACCAAGGGAAGACTGTCTTCCTGAGTCTGTGACCGGTGCCAGAGTTTTGAGTCCACGGATAAAATGCATCTGCTTTGTCTCTACCAGAAAAGGAAAGGAACTGAAATTAAGAGAAGGGAGAGATTGAAGTGTGGTGCCAAGATTGAAAGGAGAAAGAGGTTGAGGGATAGAGAGGTTGGAGAAGAGAGTAAAAAGAGGCCACTTACCTCATTTAAAATTGGTGAGATGTTCCTTGGGCTGGTTGGTCTGAGGACCCGAGGTCATAGGTGAATCTTTCTCATGGAGCAAAGAGCAGGAGGACAGGGGATTGATCTCCCAAGGGAGGTCCCCTGATGTGAGTCATGGCACCAAAATTTCACTTGCGTCCCTGTGAAGAGATCACCAAACAGGCTTTGTGTGAGCAACAAGGCTGTTTATTTCACCTGGGTGCAGGTGGGCTGAGTCCAAAAAGAGAGTCAGCTAAGGGAGACAAGGGTGGGGCCGTTTTATAAGATTTCGGTAGGTAAAAGAAAAAGGGGGGTTGTTCTCTGGTGAGCAGGAGTGGGGGTCACAAGGTGCTCAGTGGGAGAGCTTTTTGAGCCAGGATGAGCCAGGAGAAGGAATTTCACAAGGTAATGTCATCAGTTAAGGCAAGGACCAGCCATTTTTACTTCTTTTGTGGTGGAATGTCATCAGTTAAGGCAGGAACAGGCCATTTAAATTTCACTTCTTTTGTGATTCTACAGTTACTTCAGGCCATCCGGATGTATATGTGCAGGTCACAGGGGATATGATAGCTTAGCTTGGGCTCAGCGGCCTGACAGTCAGGAGTTCAAGACTAGCCTGACCAACATGGTGAAACCCCATTTCTATTGAAAATGCAAAAAAAAAAAAAAAAAAAAAAAAATCAGCCGGGCATGATGGCACATGCCTGTAGTCCCAGCTACTCGGGAGGCTGAGGCAGGAGAATTGCTTGAACCGTGGAGGCAGAGGTTGCAGTAAGCTGAGATTGCACCAATGCCCTCCAGCCTGGGCAACAGAGCAAGACTCTGTCTCCAAAAAAAAAAAAAAAAAAAAAACACACACACGAAAAAACAAACCAACCAACCAACCTCAAGCTGGCTAAAGGGTTTTTTTGTTTTTGTTTTTTTGGAGATGGAGTTTCACTCTTGTTGCCCAGGCTGGAGTGCAATGGTGTGATTCCAGCTAACAGCAACCTCCACCTCCCAGATTCAACCAATTCTCCTGCCTCAGCCTCCTGAGTAGCTGAGATTACAAGCATGCACCCCCATGCCTGGCTAATTTTGTATTTTTAGTAGAGATGGGGTTTTTCCATGTTGGTCAGGCTGGTCTCGAACTCCTGACCTCAGGTGATCTGCCTGCCTTGGCCTCCCAAAGTACTGGGATTTACAGGCATGAGCCACTGCACCCAACTTTTTTTTTTTTTTAAAAAAAACACAATTACTTTATTGATTTCTTACAATCAAATACTGCCAACTAGCATTACTTCCACTCTCACATCATTAAAACCAAAGGGTATTTCCTCCTTGGTATTTGCAAATGATGCATTATACATTAAACAAAGTTAGAACTTAAAATGTACCCTGATTAATTATGTAAACTGGTAATTTGTTTAAAAAAGCATAATAATTTGGTTCCTTTCTTCATAAAGTAGAAATTTAAATATTTCTCCTGATAGTCTTAAGGTTATAATTATGAGTAGTTCAAAGTGTGGCACATATAGTTTCATCTAGAGGGGTGTGTCTCTTAACACACCTTATTTAAACAATATATGCATTAACAAGATGCATACAGTCAATGAATGATAGAAAGGCTGTTTCAAATATAAGGTAGTCCCTCAGGCCACAATATTATTTAGGTTTTGCATTATCATTTATGGCATTGTAGATTAATTATGCATAACATACTTTTATACATTTTAACCCTGATGATAAGAAAAAATGTTGCTTGAAAAAAAAATTATTCCAGGAAGCCATTTGGTTTGTATCAGGAGAAACTGAACCTCCATGAGTTCAGTGTCTGCCAAGTCGGAATCATTAGCTCAAGTCAGTGAATCAGATATGCGACACATTTCACAGTGACACTGTTTCCCAAGTCCTGGCAATGCATCTTCTCCCACAGTCCGCCAGATGAAGCATTTCCGGGATGACCCTTCTATGTGGTTTTCCCTTTTCATTTTTTTTTCTGCATTAACTATTACTATATTATTTCCTCTTCCCTCTTATGTGGCCTTCCATTTTAATTATTCATAAATCCTTTCGTAATATCCTCAGAGAGCTCCATAAAGGGAAGTTCTGGAGATGAAAAATCCAAGGGAGGAAGATTGGGAATTGAATGTCCTTGGCTTCCCCGGTATTTTCTGCAAACTTCTGCCAGGTTGAGGAGGCTGTAGCAGTTTCTGAATGTGGTGGCAAGTTCCATAACTCTGACATTTCTACAAAATCAGCGTCTACATCCAGCTCATTTTCTACTGGACCTTTTAGAAGTCTGGCCTTTTCAACCTTTAGCTGTTTCTTTCCTTAATCTTTCATTCTCAGCCAGAAGGAATTCCACATGCCTCTTCAAATCTGCAGTTTTGGATGCCTGCTCCTCTATAATTGTTTTGTCATCTTTTGGGGCTTTGCTTCCAATACATGGCTCTGCTGGCTCACTCTTTTTCTGAAGTAAATATAGTAGTGTGTTTGAGTCCCTTTCAAAGATCCCCTGAATCTCAGGCAGGCGTTTCTCTCTGGAAGGGCTGTACTTCTGAGAAAAGGGGCTCTGGCACTCTGCATCCTCTGCAGAGGGTTTGTGAGATGCCTGAAGATGGGCGGTTACATCCTTTGTGTTCTGCTGGGCTTTCAATCTTTCTTCATGCTGGGGCCTTTTCCATCTCTCTTGGATGAGGAGGAGCTGTTTCATGTGACTATCCCTTTGCAATTCCAGTAAAAGCTCAGCTTTTACTGTTCAGATTGTGTCAGCTTCATGGCTTCATAAAGATAGGCTGCAGCCTTTTTGTGACAAGAAATAGCCTCTTCATATTTGTCTGCTGCTAATAAACGGTCTGCTCATCTGCTCTGTTGATGAGCCAGGTTGAGGGGTCTTTCCATTACTTCCATAGACCTTGGGGTAAGCAGCGGCCTTAGGAACAGGAGTGGTGGTGCCAGGGAACATGGAGAGGACTGCAGGAGAGCATGAGGCAGCCGTGGAGACTGCAGCCCCTCTCTGTGCCCCAAGAGCCAGTGGTGGGCACAGAGCAGGCAACAACCTCACCACTTCCTCCTCTGGCACCATGCCACTAAAGGGGTCTTAAGGGGAAAGGTTGCATGGAAACCATGCACAGAAGTGGTCTGGGATGCAGCACTGCTTGTCATTTTCTGATGGCTAGTTTGAGTAATGGACCATCCAGAGGCCTGGTTTGACTCATCTTGGCAGGGATTGGGTTATGGGTTAACCAAGCACTGGTTTCTTCTCAAAAAGGGGAAAATTGCAACTGCCATCTCAGCTTCTTGCCTGGATTGTTTAAACATTAGCATTTGGAATTTTCAAGCAAATAGGTAGCTATAAATGTAGCAAGAAACAAAGCGAGGGAGGGGTTACTTTTGTAAGTATTCAATGGGTTCACCTTGCCCACTGCCTAGACAGAGCTGATTTATCAAGACAGAGGAATTGCAGTGGAGGAAGAGTAATTCATGCAGAGCCAGCTGTGTGGAGACAGTAGTTTTATTATTACTCAAATCAGTCTTCCCGAGCACTGGGGGGATCAGAGTTTTTAAAGATAATTTGGTGGGTAGGGGCTTGGGGAGCAGGGAGGGCTGACTGGTCAGGTTGGAGATGGAATCATAGGGGAGTCAAAATGAGTTTTTCTTGCTGTCTTCTTCTCTTGGGTGGGATGGCAGAACTGGTTGAGCCAGATTACCAATCTGGGTGGTGTCAGATGATCCATGGAGTGCAGGGTCTGCAAAATATCTCAAACATTGATCTTAGGTTTTACAATAGTGATGTTATCCCCAGGAGCAATTTGGAGAGGTTTGGACTCTTGCAGCCTGAGGCTGCATGACTTCTAAACTGTAATTTCTAATCTTGTAGCTAATTTGTTAGTCCTACAAAGGCCGACTGGTCCCCAGGCAAGAAGGGGATCATTTCGGAAAAGGACTATTATCAATTTTGTTTCAGAGTCAAACCGTGAACTGAATTCCTTCCCAAAGTTAGTTCAGCCTACACCCAGGAATGAACAAGGACAGCTTAAAGGTTAGAAGCAAGGTGGAGTTGGTCCCCATAAAATCTCATCAGATGGGTTTTATTTAATCCTATATAATGTGGCTTACTTTCCAACCTGATGCTGGCATAACATTATGTTAGAAACAAATTTTCAGTGCTGCAAGGTGAAACCAGCACTCAGGCAAAATTTTCTCAGTAAGGCAATTTACTTTTATAGAAGGGTGTTTTTGCATGCAAGGCAGAGGCAAGGGAGAGTATGCAAAACAAAGGAGAGCAGGAGTTTTTTTTATCCCTAACACAGATCCTGTTCCTGTGTCCTCCCCCTGAGGGCTGGGGTTGGACCTCACAATCTAGGCTAATTCCAATTGACTACTGTTGACATCAAAGGAGGCAAGGGTGGGCCTTTGATGGGAAGGACAGGTATGGTACATCTTGGGATGTTTGGGCACAACAGAGTTAGGGAGGGCTGATAGATGAATGGGTACAATTACCTTTTAGAATAGAACAAAGAATCAGGAACCAAAACCCTTTTGAAGAGGAACTATTTGTTCTTAACAACAATTTCCCCCTGTTGAATTTATACATTTTTTTTTCAAGCTTATCTAACCTGACTTGGCTTTATTGTTCTTCCAGGAGAAATAATTTATTTGTATAGGATTGGGAAGAACTAGGAAATGTTCTGGTAACAGTTGTTTTTATAAGTCTTTGGACTAGTCTACAAATGTAGGGTATGATGTAGCATCCAACAGGAATAAACACAGCTATTGCAATTGTAAGAGAAGTAACAATAGAGGTCATGAGTCTTTTCCATTTACCAAACCATTTCCCTAACCATCTTGTGAAAGGGTCGTTTATCCCAGAATTTGTGGCTAATTGATTGGATAGGGAGGTAAGACCTTGTAAAGCTTTTGTAATTGTTCCATCAGGGGCTGTATTATTGGGAATGAAGGTGCAGCATTGGGTTTCTATCATAACACAAACTTCACCTTTTCCTGTTAATGTCATATCTGGGCCATTCTGTTTTTTCAAGCCATCTGGCTAGTAGGCCCTAATTGTTCAGCTATTCCTTTGACAGTATCCCTAATGTAATTAATCAATCATTGTTGGTTATAATAGATGTAATTTATCCAATCTACATTTTTATTAATAGTTACTCATGGAAATAATGATTCAAGTTGTGCAGCTATTTGGTCTCAGGCTTTGAATCTATCAGGTACCCTCTGTGGGACTCCAATTGCATCTATATAGACATGACAGTCGAAAGATCCATGAGGGGTCTCTCTCATTTTATGATGCTGTGTTTTCCCTTTTTCTGGTTGATGAAATGCCAGGATGGTCAATTGAGTTAGAGTGCAAGTGCCACTCCAGTTACTTGGCAGAGTGTCCAGTAGGGGTTCACCACAATACTATCATACATCAGCTCAGGGATGAACAAGGATAGACTGATTGGTAAGCTCTTGGAAAGATTTAAGCTTACTGTATACCTTTAGATCTCTAAGAAACGCCAAATTTTCTCCCTGTCATGAGAGACATGAAGTAAAATTGGCATCTGGAGATGGAGGCTGGATGGCCCTTTGGGGCTGACCCACAGGGTGTTGAACTTCAGGGAATAGCAGAGAGAGAATTTGACAGAATTCATTACCCCAGGCTGTGGGGTCTTGGAAAAGAGCCACCATACAGCTCATGTCCAGTTGGTCAGAAGACCGTCTAAGTGGAAAGGGGAAAACTTGGGCCTCTGGCTTCAGTGTGCACAAGCATAACAGTTGTTTTTGTTTAGAGTGTGAACAGAATATTCAATCCATTCCATCCAGGCATTTGTATCTTGGTATCTTGTTTCAATTGCCAGTGTTTGTTTTAAATTTTTAACCTCTACAATAGCTACTTTGGTTTTGTCATTAGGTGAAGAGAGAGTGGTCTGGTCAGCAGGTTTAGAAGAGGATAGAGGTGGAGATGTGAGGGATGAGGATGTAATGATGTGTAACTCGAAAAATCCTATGGGGTCTTTTTTTTGTTACATCTGTTCTCGTACCATAAAAATGGTCTAGGGTTGGGGAGGAATCTTGAAGAGTTGGGATGGTGATGGAAATTTGTACTGGGTTACATTGGTTATGTTGACAATTAGGAGTGGCACTTTCTTTAGTAAAATGGATATAGGGCTTTAGAACTGATAGTGGGAAATCATCTGAGGGGACCCAGTCTTGACATTGAGTGGTTCAAATGACATATTCTCAAGTATGACAAAATAAGTACCTAAACAATTTTAGAAGCATCTGCTATGGAGGAGCAGAGAGATTTTTTTGCTGCTGCAAGCTGTCTCTGGCTTTGGAGATCCCCACAAGATATAACTAAACAAGCATCAAAGGTTGTGGTCTGGGGTGAGTCTGATCTAGTTACATTAATAACGAGATGGCTAGCAACAGAACAAGGAAAGAAGGAGTAATAGAATAGATGAAATAGAGTTAAACTTTCCTTAGCTTTAGTTTGGTAGGATTTTCCCCTCGAACTATGGCCCTTGACCCTGAAGGGGGCAGCACTTTTTTGACTTGGGTGTGATGGGTCCATTCTTTCTCGGCGGTTTGAACTGCAGTTTTAGTTGAGGAGCACTATATATGATACCTCCCAGGACAGTTTAAGTTTTTCTTCTTTCTAGCTCTTAATGAGGATGTAGTCTCTGGGCTGGTGCTGATGGACTGGAAACTCAAGAGGTGAGGTTTGCGCTAAGAGACTTTTAGTCCTAAGGGAAGATAAGGTAGAAGATAGACCAAGCATATAATTCCTAAGGAATTGATCTTTGGTCTCAAAAGTGGGAATATCACTAGTGGAACTTAAGCATTGTAACCCATAGAGCATTTCATAAGGGGATAGACCAACATCTTTTCGAGGGGCAGTTTGGATCCTGAGTAGAGTGATGGGGAGACACTTAGTCCAGGGTAATTGAGTTTCTAAAATTAACTTAGTTAGATGATTCTTGAAAGGCTGATTCAGCTTTTTTATATTTTCTGACGAGGATGGATGTCGGGGGTATGATACTTCCATTTAATTTCTAAAGCTTAAGTAAGTCCTTTAATGATATTTGCAGTAAAATGAGTTCTATTGCCAGAGTCAATGTTTTCTACTAGCCCGAACCAAGGTATTATGTTTTCTAGTAATATTTCAACCACATTGTTAGCTGTTGCACTGGGGAAGGGAATGGCTTCAATCCAATGAGTGAAGTGGTCTACTATTACTATTAGGTATTTAAAGCGACCTAGTGGGGGCATTTCAGTATAGTCAGCTTGAATACTTTGAAATGGCCTTAGTCCTGGGCTTCTGACCCAAAAGGTTGTTTCCTTAGGGCCTGTTTATTAGTTTTGTTGTTGTTGTTGTTATTTTTTTGCATGTTAGGCCATTGTCCACAACTTGTTTTGCTAAGGTATAGATTCCTATACTTCCATAGACTCTGAGAACTGCATCACACCTAGCTTGAGGTCCCCCGTGAGTCCCTTGATGTGGTTGGGACATGATTTTTCTCATAAATGGTTTGGAAAGCATTTTCCTTTGATCTGGTAACACCTACTTCCCCTTCTGAGTTTTCTTTAGCTCCTAGTTTCTCTAACTTTTCCTTTTCATGGGAGAGAAGATAGGGATTGTAACTGGGGGTGAGATACAGGGAGTCAGGTGGAAGATAGGTGCTTTTTGAGAGACGGTAGCTTGTTTTCTAATTTGATCAGCAAGGTTATTCCCTCAGCTTTCAAAGTTAGAACTTTTCTGGTGCCCTGGGACATGTACAACAGCTATTTCTTTTGGTAATTGTAAGCTTTTTAAAACTTGAGTGATTAATTCTTTGTGGACAAGGTCCTGATCTTTGCTATTAGGCTCCACTCAGTCTAAATTTTTCTGAAGGTGTGCACTACCCCAAAGGCATACTTAGAGTCAGTATAGGTGGTACCTTCTTGCTTTTGTAAATATTTTAAAGCCTGATTTTAACATGAGCAATTCACAAGTTTGAGCAGACCAATTCTTTGGCAATCTTCCAGATTCTATTTCAGCAACAACTTTTCCATCTATGACAGAGTATCCTCTGTGTCTTTTTCCTTCAACCACCTGGGAGGAGCCATCTGTAAAAAGATGACGTCCTGTTTTAAAAGCGGGTTTTCTTAAATCAGGTCTAACCTTAGTATGGTAGTCAATGAGATCTAAGCAGTCATGTTCAGGATCTTTGGGGTTTGGATTCCCAGTTAGGAAAGCAGCTGGGTTAAGGGCACTGTCACTGGGGAAAGTGAAGTCATCTTGTTCTAATAAAATGGCTTCATATTTTAGAATTCTTGAGCTTGTAAGCCATCTACCTGCCTTTTGGTTTAATATTATTCTAACTTGGTGAGGTGTGTCAACAATTAATTTTCCCTCAAGGGTAGCTTTTTACTTTCCTCAATCAACAAAGCAGTGGCCGCTATAGATTGAATGTATTTGGGCCATCTGCAGGTTACTGGGTCTAGAATTTTTTATAAAAAGGCCACAGGCTGCCAGTGGCCCCCATGTTCTTGGGTAAGCACCTCTAAAACTTATCCCTTATTTACATTGACAAAGAGGTGAAATGGTTGTTTGAGGGAAGGCAGAGCTAAAACAGGGGCAGTTATGAGTAAGTGTTTCAATTCCTTAAAATCATTGACTTCCTCTGGGGCCCAAAGGAGGGGTAAGGTTTTTCTTGGGTAAGCTTGGGGAGTACAGAGACTTGACTTGACTTTTAGAGCACATGAATCAATCCACAAGCAGCAATATCCAACTAGCCCTAAAATTTTCTAAGCTCTTGTTTTGTACTAGGCGGGGGTAAGAACACAATTTCTTTGACTCTTTCAGGTCCTATTCTTCACTTGCCTGCACTTATCACGTGCCCTAAATACTTGCCTTCAGGTTCTAAAAATTGGAGCTTTCCCTTTGATACGCATAATCTGTCCCCTTGCAGGTGATTGAGAAGACTGATGGAGAAATCAGATACTTGTTCTATGACTTTCCCAGACACAAGCATGTCATCTACATATTGGAGCATGCATATAGATTCTGGGACAGATATCTTCCCCAAAACTTGTTCAAGAATTTGGCCAAACAGGTTGGAAGAGTCTGTAAATCCTTGGGGCAGGACCGTCTAGTGGTATTGTTGCTTCTGCTCTGAATGAGGATCTTCCTATTCAAAAGCAAATATGTCTCAGCTGTCTTCAGCTAAGGGACATGCCCAAAAGGCATCATTTAAGTCTATTACTGTAAACCACTGATGGTCATATGGAATCTTGCTGAGGATAATATATAGAATGGGGACAACATGGTGAGTGGTTTGGACTATTTGGTTAATGTCCTGGAGCTCTTGTATTAGTCAATATGACCCATCTGATTTCTTTAAAGGTATTATAGGGGTATTATATGGAGACATACAGGGTTCAAGTAACTTATCCTGAATAACACCTTGAATCACAGTTTTCAAGCCTATCCTGCCTTCTAGAGGAATTAGGTATTGCCTTCTCCTTACTATTTTTCCAGGGGTTTTCAACTTTATATGAATGGGGGGATTCATATTTTCCCTCGGTTCCCTTCTTTTGATGACTCATTGGGATGAATGTAACTTTTTTCTGTGGTGGTGAGAAGGTTAAATGAAGTGAAAAATTCTTCAGGGCAGGCATGCAGGCCTATGTCCAGTTTTAACATCAGGTCCCTTCCTAACAGGTTTGTTCTTGCTTCAGAGATTAGTAGGAGTTTAATACTAGTTGATCGATTTTTGTATTTAACTTTCGTTTCTTCTAAAACTTTGGCTTTAAATCCTTCCCCTTTCACCCCGAGACAAAAAGTTCCTCTAATGAGTAGTTTATATTAGACGGCCAATAGTAAACAGAGGAGCAAGCAGCCCCTGGATCTATTAAAAAGGTGATAAGCTCATGTTTGGGTCCCACCTCTAAATTTATCAAGGGTTTTTGGTGGGACTGGAGATAGAAAAGACAGAGCCCCTGATCTCCCTATTCCTCCTTGAATGCCATGAGCAGGACAATTTCTTTTTTCTTTCCCTACCTGGGGCATTCTCTTTTGAAGTGGCCTGTTCTTCCACACTTGAAACACCTATCCTGTCCTCCCTCTCTCTCAGTTCTGGGATTATTTGACCTTGTTCCCCCATACTCTGTAGAGGGCCTGGTAGCTGAGGGTCTGGGTCCCCTAGTTGGAGGCTTGGGTCCTCCAAACAGGGGTTTAGACCCTTTATAATTCCTGGCCCCCTGGAGTCTCTGTTTAGAAGTGTGTGGGCTTGAAGCCACCTGTTGGAATGTGGATAGCATAAGTTTCATTTTTTGTTTTTGCTTTTCTTCATCTTTCCTCACATATACTTTTTGGGCTTCTCCTAGGAGTTCCTCTATGGACTGGTTTTTTCAATTTTTTGGTTTCTGCAACTTCTTTGTTATGTCTGACCAGCTATTTGTGACAAAATGTAGCTTTAACATTTCTTGCCTGAAAGGGTCTTCTGGATGTAAATCTGTATATTTCCTTATTTGTTCCCTTAGTCTTTCTAGAAATTTCATGGGGTCTTCATCTTTTTCCTATTGTATGTCAAAAGCTGGAAAAGATTCTGAGCATGGGGCACTGACTCCCAGATTCCTTTGATTATCATTTTCCTAAGATCTTTAATGTTTTCCCAGTGGACTGTGTTGTTGTTATCCCATTGAGGATCTTGGGCCGGGAATTTTTGGTCTGCTGCAGGAATGTTTTGGCCAGGAGGGTGTTCACATTCCCAAATTGTCACAGCAGCCCTGTGAATCATCCCCCTTTCTTCCCTTAAGAAAAGGATACCCAGGATGGACATCAATTCAGCCCAGGTATATAACTGGGGACCTAGGAATTGATCAGTTTGCTCTGTTACACCATATGGATCATGTAGCAGTGGCTTCAGTTCTTTCTTTAAACCTCAAACCTCTGAACTAGTCAAAGGAGCATTTACAAAGTCAATAGCTCCTCCTCCTTAGGGTAAGGGAAGGAAGTGTGTTGGAGTTGATTCCTTAGAGGTAGAGGGGAAAGGAAGATTTTGAATATCTTTTTTACATTGCTCTATTTCATGTTGTAGTTCCTTCAGGGAAGGATACTTAGGCTGACAAGGAGCCAGACTCATGGGGTGGCAGTAATTCCCAAGAGTCAGGGTTATAAGGGGGAGGAATAATAGGCATAGGAGAAGGATCTGGGACTGGGTCCAGGGTGGCAGCAGTTGTCTGGGGAGGGGGCAGGTCAAGTGGTATGGAATTAAACAGGGGAAAGCAGTTTAGAGGGTCCCAGGCATTGGGATCTCTCTGCCTAGGGGTTGTGAAATTTGGGGAGTGTGAAATCTGACCCTTCCCTTGCATTCTTTAGGGGAAAGAGGAGAACATGTCCTTTTCTCCAGCAGACAGCATAGTATATTTCTTCCTGCGAGACTGGACTTTTGTCATTTACATACTGAATTAAAAGTTGACAGATCCAATCCTCATTTGATCCGTATTTTGGCCAGAAGACGGCAGGTTTGAGGATGGCTTCCTTGGCCCAAGTGAAACAAAAATATTTTATCATCTGTTGCTTCTTCTTGTGTCTAGTCCTCTCATTCTCTTTTCAATATTTTAGCCTGAGACCTAAAGGGCTATTGGAGGGGATCTGAGTATCCCTGTCTTTACCTTTCCCTGTTGTACTAGAAGCGTTTCCCATCTTGGAGGTTTTGGAATGTCCCTTGAGTGTGTATGTGGCCCAACCTCTCTTACTGGAGATTTCTTGTCTTCCCTTTTCTCTAGAGACTCAACCCCCCTTATTGGAGATTTCTTGCACTCCTTTCCGTTAGCTTCATCCTATCTGGCCACTTCTCTTGTGGGAAATTAGGTCCCTCTTAGCATTGGCATGCTGGTATAAGCCCCATGGCAGGATCCACCCTAAGCCATATGAGGTGACCACGGAATCGCAGATAGGACCCACTTACTCTGCACAGCAGTAGTGCTTATCATTCACACACACTTTCAACCTCCAAGATATCCGACCACCAAGGAAGTACTTCATTGCCACCCCCCCCCAACAGCTTTTCTTACCTTGGTCTGTGTACAAAGTTACCTGCTTGCTGCGGTGTTTGTAGGCAAGTCTTTTCTACCCATGTTGCTGAGAGTCCGGGTTTATTCATCACAGCAGGTGGGGTCTCAATCTCTAGCCCCTGAGGCCACTGCAATGAGGCAGTGTGACAGGTCTCCCCCTGGGAGATGATCAGAGACCCCTTCCCTGGAGGAGAGTGGGAATCCCGGATGAGCCCCCAAATTGTTAGAAGCAAATTTTTAGTGCCACAAGGTAAAACAAGCACTCAGGCAAAAGTTTTCTCAGTAAGGGAATTTACTTTTATAGAAGGGTGCTGTCTTCATGCAAGACAGAGGCAAGGGAAAGCATGCAAAACGAAGGAGAGCAGGAGTTTTTTTATCCCTAACACAGACCCTGCTCCTGTGTCCTCTTCCTGTGGGCTGGGATCAGACCACACAATCTAGACTAATTCCGATTGGCTACTGTTGACATCATCAAAGGAGGCAAGGATGGGTGTTTGACGGGAAGGACGGGTACGGTACATCTTGGGGTGTTTGGGCACAACAGAGTTAGAGAGGGCTGATAGATGAATGGGTATGAATACCTTTTAGAATAGAACAATTAACCAGGAACTGAAACCCTTTGAAGAGGAACTATTTGTTCTTAACAACAATTACATGAGAGATAAAAAAGGAAATAAAAATATTTTATCCCAAAATATGTTTATCTGTCATATTTTGAAATGGCCCTGAAAAGCTATCTTTTGTAGGGGGAAACTTGCATCTGTAAAGAATCTATATTAACACAACTAGATCTTTCCTATTCTAGGCTCTCCCAGTCCTGAAGAGATTAACTGAGCATCTAGCACCTTTTAAAGGTCTGAATAGGAAAAACGTGCCATCTATTATCTCTAAGGCACTCCCTTAGAGACATCTATGAGACACCCATGAAACTTTATCTACATAATAAGAACCTTGATCTCTGCAACTCCTTATCTTAACCCAGACACCCCTTTCCATTGATTCTAAGTCTTTAGATAATAACTTAATTCTCTTAAGCAATTGCTAATGAGAAAATCCTTGAATCCACCTATGACCTGAAAGCCCCCTGCTTCAAGTTGTCCCACCTTTCTGCACAAAATCAATATATACTTCACATGTACTGACTGATGTCTTATGTCTTCCTAAAATGTATAAAGCCAAACTAAAACCCAGCCACCTTAGGCACATGTTCTTCTAACCATACAATGGATTCACCTTGCCTGCTGCCTGGACAATGGAGAAAGAGTAATTCATGCAGAGCTGGCTGTGCAGGAGACCAAAGTTATATTACTACTCAAATCAGTCTCCCCAAGCATTTGAGGATTGCAGTTTTTAAAGATAATTTGGTGGGAAGCAGCTTGGGAAGTAGGGAGTGCTGATTGGGTAGGTTGGAGATGGAATCATAGGGGGGTCTAAGTGACATTTTCTTTCCGTCTTCTGTTCCTGGGTGGGATCACAGAACTGACTGATTCAGATTACTGGTCTGGGTGGTGTCAGCTAATCCATCAAATTCAGGGTCTGCAGATCAAACACTGATCTTAGGTTTTGCAATAGTAATGTTATCCCCAGGAGCAATTTGGGGAGCTTCAGACTCTTGCAGCAAGAGGCTGCATAACCCCTAAACTGTAATTTATTTCCTTCCTTCCTTCCTTCTTTTGTTCTCTTTCTCTTTCTCTCTCTCTCTCTTTCTCTTTTTCTCTCTCTCTCTCTCCCTTTCTCTCCCTCCTTCTTTCTCTCTCTCTCTCTCTCTGTCTCCCTTTCTCCCTTTCTCTCTCTCTCTCTCTTTCCTTTCTTTTTCTTTTTTGAGACTGAGTCTTGCTCTGTCACCCAGGCTGGAATGCAGTGGTGCAATCTTGGCTCACTGTACCCTCTGCCTCCCAGGTTCAAGCAATTCTCCTGCCTCAGCCTCCTGATAGCTGGGGACTACAGGTGCATACCACCATGTCCAGCTAACTTTTTTTTTTTTTGGTAGAGTCAGGGTTTCACCATGTTGGCCAGGCTGACCTCAAACTCCTGACCTGAAGTGATCCTCCCACCTCAGCCTCACAAAGTGCTGGGATTACAGGCATGAGCCACTGCGCCTGGCAGTACTTTCTAATCTTGTAGCTAATTTGCTGGTCCTGCAAAGGCAGACTGGTCCCCAGGTAAGAAGGGGGTCTTTTCAGGAAAGGGCTATTAACAATTTTTTTTTTTCAGAGTCAAACCGTAAACTAAATTCTTTCCCAAGCTTAGTTTGGCCTATGCCCAGGAATAAACAAGGACAGCTTAAAAGTTAGAAGCAAGATGGAGTTGGTTAGGTCTGATGTCTTTCATTGTCATAATTTCCTCAGTTACAGTTTTTGCAAGGGTGGTTTCAATCTCAGGACCTCTTGAGACTGTGTCTTGGGCCTTAGGCACTCATACTTGGCTCAGAATAAACCTCTTTAAACATTTTACAAAGTTTGACTCTTTCTGTCAACACCAGTTACACTTCTCATTTTCCATTAAAAACCTTTGTCTTCCTTTACTTACCTGAATACACAGTTTACTATGGCACATATAGTTGCATTGCAATGCTATATTCCTGAATAAGTATCATTTGCTTTTAGAGAGTCTCTCTCTGTTATTTAGGTTGACACAATAATATGTCAAACCAGGTTTCTCTAGATAACAACTGCCCCCTAGCCATGTTAAGCAATGCTCCCCTGTGAGTTTAAAGGGGCACACAGTAATCTTTTGCTTTAGTTTTGGGACCTCACACTTTTGGAATGAAACTGTCATTGCAAAATTATAACTGAGAAAATTATTACAGTGAAAAAGATCTGACCTAATCAACTCCATCTTGCTTCTAAACTCTAAGCTGTCCTTGTTCATTCCTGGGCACAGGCTGAACTAACTTTGGGAGAATCAGTTTATAGTTTAACTTTGAAACAAAGATGATAATAGCCCTTTGACAAAACAAACCCCTTCCTGCCTGGGGACTAGACTGCCTTTGTAGGACTAACAAATTAGCCACAAGATTAGAAATTACGATTTAGGAGTCATGCAGCTGGAGGCTATAATATTCTGACCCACCCCAAATTGCTTCTGAGGATAATATCACTCTTATAAAACCTAAGATCAGTCCTTGAGATATTTTGCAGCCCCTGCACTGGATGAATCAGCTGGCACCATCCAGACCAATAAACTGGTTCATCTGGTCTTGTGGCCCCCACCCAGGAACTGACTCGGTGCAAGAGGACAGCTTCTGCTCTCTATGATTTCATCTCTGACCCAACCAATCAGCACTCCCAACTCAATGGCCTCCCACCTACCAAATTATGCTTAAAAACTCTGATCCCTGAATGCTTAGGGAGACTGATTTGGGTAATAATAAAACTCCAGTCTCTCATACAGCCCACTCTGTGTGAATTACTCTTTCTTCACTGCAATTTCCATCTTGATAAATTGGCTCTGGGTAAGAAGTGGACAAGACGAACCCATTGGGTGATTACAGGAAGTTGTTCCCGTAGCCCAAGAGCAGCTTCATGACTTCCCTATCGGTGTCCCCATTCTGCATTAGCACTCAGGAACATATGCTTGCAATTGATTTTGCCCTCCAACAGTAGAGACCAAAGCCCCTCTATCCTGGATCTTCGTGCCTTCAAGCCCCAGGTTAGGTAACTTTTCTGGCAAATTTTCCTTCATCAAACTTTAGTCAGGTTCCTTGGAGCTCTCTTCTTGACTTGGCCTCAGCCTTAGCCTTCTGTGCCTGTCTTGTCCTTCCCAGGCCTGCAGAGCCCAGTCTTAGCAAGAATCCTGCTAAGTCAGTTTAGAGAGAATCCTCCGCTCTTCATATCTGATCAAGTTCCTCACCCTCCATCTTTGATGTCTAAGTCCTTGGCTTGCCTTTGGCAAGAATCCTATTCAGTCAGTGTAGCAAGAATCTCCCTGTCTTTAATGTCTCCTCTTAGTAATTTTCCATCCACTGACCCTCCTTGCTTTGCTCCTTGGCTATACTGGTGGGGAGGAAAAATAATTTTCTCTCTACCCTTTCTGAGTTCTTAGCTAGGGCTTCCTGTAACAAATGACAGATTTACAAGAGAAAAACATACAGGGTTTAATAGCATGTATACCTAATGTATGCACAGGAGATACCTGTTACCGAACCAGGCCTGTTTTGTCTGCCATGCAATATGCCAGTCACTGAGACAATGAGTTTTGCAGCAGAGAAAGGGTTTATTCACATGGCAGCCAAGCAAGAAGACAAGAGAATAGATTTCAAATCGCCTCCCCAAAGATGGGGTTTAGGGTTATTTATGGGTTAGAGGAGCAGAGTGGTCTGAGGCATGGGGAAAAGTGATTGGGGATAAGGAAAAGTGAGATAATCGGTGTTCTGTATAAGCGTAGTCAAGCTTCATGGCTCTTCATAGGATGCATGTTTGAAAAATGGTAGTGTTAGCATGATCTGAGTTTGGAGCTCTCAGGTCTCTGATGTCAAAAGGTCACCCACTGGACATTTACACAGGCCCAGTTGAAGGGTTGGTGGTTTCAACCAGTTTGAACTGGACAAGAGCTGACTTTAAGTTCCTGAAAAACAACTTAGGCAATCATTACCTTTGTGACCCATAGTCAGATAAGTTATCTATAGTGAGGCTGAAAGGAGTCTTTAAACAAAACAAAACAAACCCAAAACAAACAAAAAAACAGCTAAAAGCAAGAAAAGCAGGTAAAAGTCTGAAGAGCCTAGTCAGGTTTGCCCTTGGCTTCATGCCCAGTGAAATGAATAAATCTCTGAGAGCTGCCTGTAAATTCAGGCTTCAATACCATTATCTGCTGAAACAAAGCAAGAAGAGTGTGGGGGAGGTGGATTATGGGAAGGTGACTAGAAAAAGCTTGGTCAACAAGGATAAGGTTTGTTATGCAAATTTAAGTCAGTGCTTTCTCCATCAGTAAGAGTCTCTAGTGGCTTAGTCATCCTTCTTTCCTGGTACAGAGAGGAGGGCACCATTACAAATGGAGATTTCCTTTACAGATGTAAATTTCCCTTACAAAAGGGTAACTCCCACTCTGTTTTCAGTGCTTCTCCTGTGACTGCAGTTTCTTAAAATTATTCTTATGACAAAAAGGCCTGTCTTGGGGTGACATATTCTGGTTCTCTGCAGTCATATTTGGAGATGTCATATTCTGGTCTCCTACAGCTATCAATACCTGCTGGTCCTTGCTGTATTCAAAGTTGAGCCCAATCTCTCATCTCTATTGAAATAATCTTATTGTAATAGTCTTGAATAAATTCTTCCTTATTTTAATAAATGTAGAAACAATTTTTTCTTTAATACTTCCACAGGGTACCACTCTGCCTGCCAGTATTTGGTATTGCTGAGGGACTGGGGTTTATGGAAACATGTCCAGCAGGCACACTAGGGTGGTGAATGATGGGGCTATTGCCTTGGTCAGCATAGTTTCCCCTTCATCCCCTTTTTGTAGTACCAGCCCCTTCTCATTGGCCATGGGACAGGCACAGGATTCAGGTCTGGGCTATTTCCTGGATTTAAGCTGGTCTACATGCTCTTGGCCAGATAATATGCAGACCATGGAAGAAATAAGGTTACTTCTGTTGTGGGTGCCAAGATGGGAAGATGTTAAATTGAAGCTTTGCCCCCACTCCCCAGTGGAGGAATCCCTCCTGATGTTGGCCAAAATGGAACTAAATGCAGAGGGCATCAGGGCAAAAGAAGGAAGGGTCCTGAACTTATCCTGGAGATTCCAGCTGGCTTGGGGCCCTCCCAAAGCAGGGATATTCCCTATGGGCCTGAGCCAGTCTTAGTTGAGATGTCTGCCACTAGCAGATGAGAGTCCTGAGTGCTGCACGGTATGGTGCAGTTACCCCCTTGTACATTCCTGGAGCAACCCTCCCACACCTACCCCACAGCCCCCTGGAGTGAATGTCACCAGTGCTGGTTCCCAGTTCCTCTCTCTGGGGCAGCAGTACACAGCATGTCTGAGCTGGGGCCTGGCTTTCCTTTTCTCATTACTGCTGCTCTCCAAAGTCTGTACAGTACAATACATTAAGGCAGTGTTTTTCAACTTTGAGCAAGGGTACAGACCCCCTTCAGACTCCCTGTGTGAATTTAAATTATTTTTTATAGCAAATGCCAACATAAAACACATGCTCATGGCTATAGAAAACCAAAATAAAATTTCAGCCATAAAATCAACGAAACTCAAGGACAATAATTTAATGACAGATTATGTTTTGCTAACACCACTGGTGACAGTGAGTTTATTATTAGAAAATGTTCTCTAATTGGTTCTGAATTTTCATAGGGAATAAATGATGGGAGGAAACCTTGAGCTGATTTCTGTTTTCCTGCCTCCTAACATTTCCATTTCATTAAGACTGTTCAAAGGGAGGCAAGTAATTCTGGTTCTGAGAGGAGAGGTGACTCTTCAGCTTTCCCCTTGAGGTTCTGAGAGATTTGTTTGGAAACCCTAGACTGTGGGATATTTGGGTGCTCTTAGGTCCCTGTTTAGGTCTCTTGTCTTCAGCTGTCTGGAAGAGACGTCACATGACCCTAGACTCTTTTTTTTTTCTTTTTGAGACTGAGTCTTGCTCTGTCACCCAGGCTGGAGTGCAGTGGCGTGATCTCGGCTCACTGAAACCTCTGCTTCCTGGATTCAAGCAATTCTCATGGCTCAGCCTCCCGAGTAGCTGGGACCACAGGCACGTACCACTGAGCCGGGCTAATTTTTGTATTTTTAGTAGAGACAGGGTTTTGCCATGTTGGCCAGGCTGGTCTAGAACTCCTGGCCTCAAGTGATTCACCCACCTCAGCCTCCCAAAGTGCTGGGATTACAGGCGTAAGCCCCCACACTTGGCCACTCTAGACTCTTAAAATATAATGCCCGTGTCTCTGGGTTTTGGTCCTAGGCAGGTGTAAATATCCTAGGCAGCAGAGGCGGAGCTGTTTTAAATCACAGTTGGGCAGCTTGGGCAACATAGAAAGACCCTGTCTCTACCAAAAAATAAAAAATAAAAAGAATAGCCAGGCATAGTGTCGCACACCTATAATCCCAGCTACTTGTGAGGCTGAGGTGGGAGGATTGCTTGAACCCAGGAGGTCGATGCTGCAGTGAGCCGTGATCGTGCCACTGCACTTCAGCCTGGGTGACAGAGTGAGACCTTATCTCAAAAAAATAAATAAATAAATAAATAAATAAAAATGTCACATTTGGGGAGGAACAGGGCTCTTGTAAGAGTCAAAAGCCCTCAGCATTTGAAAAGGATAATGGAGGAATATGAACACATTGAAAAAAATGTGAAAAATGGCAAAAAAGAACAATGTCTTCTTTCAGGATCATTTGAGAAATGGTATGTTGAAAAGAAATGGAGGCTGGGGGTAAGAAAGCTGGGTGTAGAGAAGGGATATGTCAGGATCCCAAATCCCCAGCTTGGGTTCCTCTGTCCCCAGCCACCAATCCCTAGACTCCTCAGCTCCCAGACCCTGGTCTCTAGCTCCAAGCATCAGTCTCCAGCACCCCTATTCCATTCTATTTTCCTGAGTATTTTATCCTATTATAAAATGCTTAAGCTTTATTCATCACCCAATGTACTTCTTTGTCATACAGAATATGTATAATAATTGAAGTGAACACTTTAACCATTTTCCTGTGACATAATGCCTGCATCAATTTTTTGAAAGCTAATTATTGAAAGTAACATTTTGGAAGTGCCTTTCTTAACTTTTCTATGTTTAATAACCGCTTTAAAAAGTCATAATACATAAAATGACATATCATTTTAATAAAATACATAATATGAATAATTTTTAATTCAATCGAGAAGAAATATTTTAATACTTGGCATATTACAGACAAGGGAAATTTTTTAAAGTTCTACATTTAAATTATTTGATGATATATTTCTTTGTGATTTTTGGCATAAAATTGGAAGGAGTTCAAAGAATTGAATGAATAGCTATAACACATCTCCTCCCATTCCCATCTACTTATTATGTGACTAAGGATACTCCATACTTACATTGATGAAAATGAACAAGAGGAACAGAATTTTCACTGAACTCTATCTCATTTTAGTAATAAGTATTATCCATGCATGACTACATGAATGGATTTCTAAAACACCAGCAAAGATGGAGGGCTGGATGGGGCTGACTCAGGTGGGCCCTCTTGGCAGGGTAAGATCAGACTTGCCCTGGAGCCTGAGGCACATTTCCCAGATGCAGCTACAAGGGGGGTCCCCTAAGTGGTCCCTGAGACATGGTGCAGAACTGATTACCACAGGGCAGGCTGACCTATGTCTCTGTGGGCCACGGGAGCCAAACGGGGAAGGTGTAGTGTTCTTACCTTCTGAAGAAAAGGGGTAAAGTTGATTCATGTATCAAGCAAACTTACATTAACCGTCTCTGTGTGCTGGGAACAATGGTGGCAGGCAAGGAGTTCTCTTCATCAAGAATACTCCAAGAACAGCAGTGATAACAGCAATTACAGTGCTGCATGGTGAGGATTTCCCCTCTCTCCACCGTGGCTCTACTAAGTCTCAATATTCTGTCCTCTTCAAGAGTGTTTCAGCTATTCTTGATCCTTTGCTCTTCCACAGGAATTTTCAGATTGGCTTGTTGGGTTCCACAATAAACCCCGTGGTAATTTTGATTACCATCATATTAAAATTATTTACTTATTTGTTGAGTCTTCCTTCCCTGAGCATGGTGTATCTCATTGTTTCTTTAAGTTTTCTATTAAATCCTTTGGTTAAGCTTTATACTTTTCTCCATGGAGATTTTGGACATATTTTGTTAGATTTGTTCCTAGGTACTTTAGGGTTTTTGTTGTCATTTTAATTGTAGGTGTGTATGTATATATGCATGTATATAGGTAGGTATTTGGAGACAGGGTCTCCCTCGGTCGCCCAGGTTGGAGTGCAATGGTGCAATCGTGGCTAACTACAGTCTCAACCTCCTGGGCTCAAGCAGTCCTCCTGCCTCAGCCTCCCGTAGGACCACAGGGGTGTGCTACCACACCCAGCTAATTTTTTTATTTTTGTAGAGATGGAGTTTCACTATTTTTGTCTAGGCTGGTCTCAAACTTTTGGACTCAAGCAATCCTCCTGTCATGGCCTCCCAAAGCACTAAGATAACAAGTGTGAGCCACTGCACCTAGCCTGTTGTCATTTTAAATATTATATGTGTATTTAAATTTTTAAATATAAAGAATATAACCATATATATGCATAATTTGTTGTTAATATGTAGACATTTTTTATATTGGTCTTGTGTTTAACAAAATTGCTCAATTCTTTTATTATTTCTAAGAGTTTGTCAATTCTCTTGGAGATTCTCTACAAATATAATCATATTACTTGGGAATAATGATAACCTTGGTTTTTTTACCTTTTATGATTTTTACTTATTAATATTTTCATGGTCTTTTTGTTGGCTAGAATAGCTAGGACAATGTTGGTTGGAACTATTAATTTTGGGTATCCTCTGGTTTAAAGGGTTGGCTTAAACACTGTACCATGAAGAATGATGTTTGGTCTAGGTTTTTGGCTAAAGAAGCTCTTCTAATTCTGATTTAATAAGAATATTTCTCATGAATGGGTGTTGAATATTATCAAATGCTTTTCCTAAATTTATTAAAATGATCTTACAGTCATTTTTTCATTTATTTATAAATGTGAATTACATTAGTAGATTTTCTAATATTAAACCATCATAAAATATCCTTGTTAGCACTGCTGAGATTAACCTTGTTTGATCATGTTGTAAATTTATTAACACACCATGGTAGGCAGGATAATGGCTCCCCAAAGAGGATTACACCCTAGTTCCTGGAACCCGTGAATATGTTGCCTTACATGTCAAAAGGAACTTTCTGAATGAAACTAAAGTTGCAGACCTTAATACAGGGAGCTTAATATGGAGTGGGTTCCCTATAACCATGAGTCCTTGAAAGTGGAAGAGGAAGCCAGAAGAGTGAGTTAGAGAGAGGCTTTGGGAGGAGGCCTCTTTGCTGGCTTTAAAGATATAAGCAGAAGGCTAGGAGCCAGGGAATTCCCGTGGCCTCTAGAAGCAGAGAACGGCCCTCGAACTGACAGCCGCAAGGAACTGAACTCTGCCAACAACTTGAATAAGCAGGAAATGGATGTTGCCGTAGATCCTCCAGAAAGGAATGCATGGCTGTGGGCACCTTGATTTCCACCAGGAGAGACCATACTGGATCTCTGACCTATAGAAATGTGAGATAATAAATTTGGGCTGTTGTAAGTCACTAAGTTGTGATAATTTGTTATGACATCAATAGAAAATGAGTCCACACACTTATGCATGTTGCTCGACTCAGTTGGCTAATACTTTATTTAGCTATTTTGCATATTTGTTCATCAGTGAGTTTGACCGATCATTTCTTCTTCTACTGTTTTTGTCTAGATAGATTGCTGTTACAGTTATACCAGCCTCATAGACTGAATGGTGGGGATTCCTTCTTTTTCTACTCTCTGGAACCATGTGTGTAAGAATATTCCCTGAGTATTTGTCAGAACTTACTTGGAAAACTGCCTATATTCAGTCTGGTATACTTTTTTAAGTTACATTTTCATTTTCCTCAGTGTATGTAATATATGTGCATATTTAAAAGTCAGATGGTATCACCAAGCTTATAATAAAAATCATAGCAAATCCCATCCAACCCTGGAGTCATCCTTATTCAATATTTTAGCTGCTGCTTCTGATTTTTACCTTCAAATTTTTAAATAATATGCTGTATTGGTTTTCTGTGGCTGCTGTAACAAATTGCCACAAATGTAGTGGCTTCCAACAACACATTTATTCTGTTACTGTTCTGAAGATGGAAAATCCAAAATGAGTCTTTTATTTAATTAATTAATTTATTTATTTATTTTTGAGACAGAGTTTTGCTCTGTGACCCAGGCTGGAGTGCAGTGGCATGATCTCTGCTCACTGCAACATCTGCCTCCCAGGTTCAAGTAATCCTCCTGCCTCAGCCTCCTGAGTAGCTGGAACTACAGCCACGCCCCACTACACGTGGGTAATTTTTTTGGTTTTTTTTTTTTTTTTTTTTTTTTTTTTTTTGTAGAGATGGGGTTTTGCCAGTTTGCCCAGGCTGGTCTCGAACCCCTGGGCTCAAGTGATCCATCTGCCTCAACCTCCCAAAGTGCTGGGATTACAGGTGTGAGCCACTGCACCCATCTCAAAATGAGTCTTAAGGAGCTAAAATTGTGGTATCAACAGGGCTGGTTCTTTCTGGAGACTCTAGGGGAGAATCTGTTCCTTGCCTCTTCCATATCCAGAGGCTGCCAGCATCCTTTGGCTCCTGGATCCATCACTCCAATCTCTGCTTTTGTGGTCACATCATCTTCTCCTCTACTGCAGTAAAATTTCCGTCTGCCTCCCTCTTATAAAAACACTTGTGATATATTTAGGGTTCAACTAGATAATCTGGGAAAATCTTGTTTTAAGATTTTAAACTTAAGCATATCTGCAAAGTCCCTTTTGCCATATTACATAAAATTCACAGGTTTCAGGGCTGAGCACCTGGATATCTGTTGGGAGCGTTACTCAGCTCACCACATATGCCTTTTCTAATGCTTTTTTTTTTTTCTCCAGACAAGAGTTTCTCTCTTGTTGCCCAGGCTGGAGTGCAATGGGGTGATATTGGCTCACTGCAACCTCCGCCTCCTGGGTTCAAGTGATTCTCCCGCCTCAGCCTCCCAAGTAGCTGGGATTACAGGCGTGTGCTACTACGCCCAGCTAATTTTGTATCTTTAGTAGAGACGGGGTTTTACCATGTTGGTCAGGCTGGTCTTGAACTCCTGACCTCAGATAATCCACCTGCCTCGGCCTCCCAAAGTGCTGAGATTACAGGCATGAGACACCATGCCTGACCTCTAATACTTCTTGATTTTTTAGGTGTAGGTGTTACTGATTGATGTCCTACTCCAGAAGATGTTTTGGCTAACAAGATATTTGGCTTGTTAGCTGTATCCCTTCCAACATGCTCATGCACACACACATGCATACACAGACAAACCTACACAATTCTCTCCTCCCATCCTTGTGATAAATTTGTATTGCCCTTTTAGGTTAAATCAGTATTCACTGTTTATATTATGATTAGGTAAATATAATTCATGGCTGAACCAGCAGTGGACTATGCTTATATTTACTTTCTTATACAATGATTTTTGTTTTAACATTTCTTTGTTTTCTATATGGCTATTACCAAGTCAGTCCAAAATTCTGCCCTAGAATTGAAAATCTGCTCTCAAAATAATCAAACACATCAGGTATAAGATCAATTCCAGTTTTTTTCTTGGAGACATTCTCCTTAGGTCTCTTCCCACTCTCCTGCTCCCATCCGGACTTTGCCCCTAGCATCTGCTCCACAGCTGTCATCTGGAAACACCCCCACATTATCCTGGAAGCCTCCCTGACTCTCTTAAGCTGGATTGCAGGTCTTTGATCTACTCTTTCATTTTAGTGGAACACATCCCCATTAGCTTCCTGAGAAAGGGTGCCAGGGAAATCCTTGTTCTCCTCTAGGTCCAAATACCAATTCACAAGAAATAGACAAGACAATGGAGAACATTGATACCATGGAAACACAGTCAGCAAAATAATCCAAAACCTGGAGAATGTGACAAGTCGCATAATGCGGTTTCTTCAACACATAAATGTCAATGGGGGAGAAAAAGCTTTTGCGAGAAAATAATTTTCAAGGAAAATAGAGGAGGAAACTATAGCTTAAAAGATTTCAAAAGCAAACTACAGACCTTATATGGGTCCTGATTCAAACAAACAATATTTTTAAAGTGTGAGATGTATGAGATGATTAGAAATTTGAACACTAAATATCTGAAGCTATTGTTTATTTTAGGTGTAATAATATTATTCCTATATTTGTAAGCCCTTATCTTTTAGAGAGACACACTGATAGGATATGTGGGGGACATAATTAGGATGTAGATACAGCAAGATTAGCCATAATCTGATTATTGCTGAACCTGTGTGTTAGGTACATGGAAATTAATTATATGATTGTCTCTACTTTTAAATGTTTGAACTTTTCAACAAAATAATTTTCTCTTTTTGAGACAGGGTCTCACTTTGTTGCCCAGGCTGGAGTGCAGTGGCGTGATCTTGGCTCACTGCAACCTCCACTTCCCAGATTCGAGCAATTCTCCTGCCTCAGCCTCCCAAGTAGCTGGGACTACAGGTGTCCACCATCACGCCTGGCTAATTTTTGTATTTTTAGTAGAGACTAGGTTTCACCATGTTGGCCAGGCTTTTTTTTGTTTTTGTTTTTGTTTTTTATGAGTAAAAACAACAACAAAAAGTCACTCTTCTACCCCCATACTTCAGTGATAGCTCAGCTGGATATAAACTGTAAGAAATGATTTTTCCTTGGAATTTTAAAGGGGTTTCTCCATTGATGTCTTCTAACTCACAGGGTTTGTTTCTGAGAGGTCCAATGCTTTTCTGAGCTCTTATCCTCAGCTTTATGTAATGTTTTTCTCCCTTCCTGTAAGTTTTTAAGTGCTTCCTTTTTATCACTTTTGTTTTACAATTTCTTAGGCATATCCTTTGGCATGGGTCTTTTTTCCTCTTCTTTTATAGTACTGAGAATCTAAAAGTCACTTTCAACCTTGAATATTTTTGCTCAAGAAGTTGTATTTTTCTTTGATTTTTTTTTTTCGCTACCATTTTCTTTGGTCTTTCCTCCTGAAATTCCTATTATTTGGATGTTGAACTGATGGTGTTTTTATTGGGGTAACATTAAATTTGTAGATAAAATTAGAGGGTATTGTTACCTTTTTATGGTAGATATTCCTATCTCAAATAGGGTATGTTTCCATTTATACGTTTGTCTCTTCAGTTTTATCAAGAATTTAACATTTTTCTTCATACTGTACATTTAAATTATCTTAGCCATTTTTACTTTGTTTTTGTGTCATCTTGAAGTAGAATCTTGCATTCTGTTATGTTGGCTAGCTAGTTATTACTGCATGTAGGAAAGCTATTGATTTTGATGGCAGTGGCTGCTCCAGACGGCCTGCCGCGGCCATTACGCCGGCTGCAGCAGCGAAGCCAGCTGGGGCTGCACGCTCCGTGGAGCTGGTGGGAGCCCTGCCCCTCCAAGTTGAGGCGGGAGCTCCCCGGGTGCCGCTGCAGCCATCCAAACCCCAGCTGTGGACCCGGGCCTCCTATTCCATTGAAGCAGGATAGAAGCAGGCAGGATCCCTGCCCTCCTGGGTGCAACTGCAGCCATTCAGTATATGGCTGCAGACCTGGGCCTCCTGCAACACGGAGTGGGCAGGAGCCAGGGTAAGTGGGAGCCCCGCCCATTCCGAATTGGCCCTGGTGGTGCTCCCTGGGTGCAGCTGCAGCCTCCCTTCCAGGCACAGGACCGGGGCATTTTTGCAGCCTGTACCTTCTGGCCAGGAAGTTGCCCCTGCCACCAGCCTACCCCCGTCCCCTTGGGGGTGTCTGCTTCCACTGCCTGGCACCCACTCCAATCTTGGAGCCGAATGGGGGTAGGAGCCTGGCCTGTGATGAGGGACTGTCACAGCCCAGTGGGGTGTGCACACGCTCAGGGCAGCACTGACACGCCAGTGCCCTGCCACCTCCAGAATCTGGGGGGAAGCTGAGGGTGGCCAGGCTAAGGGTGGCTGGGCACGGGGCTGAGGGTGGCTGGGTGCTGGCCTGCAGATTCCCCTCAGTGCCAGCAGCCTAGGTGCCATGGACAGTCACGGGAGGCAGACAGGCTCCTGGGTGGAAGGGGGCAGGTCCTGGCTAAGGCCCCACCTTCAGGCAGGGAGGGTCTGAAGACTGGGGGCTGGGCTTCCAGACCTGCGGACTTGAGTGGGGACTTGTGGTGACTTTTCTGTGCCCATGGACTGATCTGTAGGCACTTCCTCCCCTCTGAGGTCCATAAAAGCCAGGGACTCAGCCTGAGCAGGGCAGAGGATGGAGAGAGGGGACAACCAGCTGCAGAGAGGAGCTACCCTCTCTGCTGAGAGCTGCAGAGATGACAGGATGACCTGTGGGCAGAGAGGAGCCACCCTTTCCAGGGCCTCCTCTCTGCTGAGAGCTGAACACTTCATGGGGAAGACTGCCTACAGAGAGGAGCTACCCACTGCGGGTCTCCTCTGAGTGGGGTCTCCTCTGAGCTGGTAACACTCAACAAAACTCCTCTTCATTTTGTTCACCTTCCACTTGTCTGCATTCCTGGAGGCAGGACAAGAAATTGGGCAAAAGTGCCACTGGCCACAGAGGTTTCTGGTCAGAAAAGTGACATCCCAAATATCCCGCAACAATCTTGGTTATTAATTTTTAAAACTACTTTGCTAAATTATCTGATTTCTAATAACTTTCAGTTGATTATCTTGGTTTTTCCAGGTATATGTCTATACAATTCCAAATAAAAGTAAATCTTGCCTTTTTCTTTATAAATTTTAACCTCTTCTTTCTATTTTAAACATATATGATGATGGATTATTATTAGTAGCATTATTTGAGATGGAATCTTGCTCTATCAGCCAGGGTGGAGTGCAGTGGTGTGTTCATAGCTCACTGCAGCCTCAACCTCTAGGGCTCAAGCAATCCTCCTACCTCTGCCTCCTGAGTAGCTGAGACTACTGGCATGTGCCACCATGCCTGGCTAATTTTATTTTTTGAAGAGACAGGGTCTCACTCTGTTTCCCAGGCTGGTCTCAAACTCCTGAGCTCAAGCAATCCTCCCAGCTTGGCCTGCCAAAAGTGCTGGGAATTTTTTAGTGTATTGCTCCATTCTCTTTGCTAGTTTTTTATTTTCTAGTTTTCTTTCACTATTGATAGGTGGTATTGGCTTCTGTTGCTTAAACATTTATGGTGCAGATGAACATGCTCCTGTCTTCTCTATTTCCTGCAAATTGACAGCTGGAGCCAGAGACTGGACCAGACTCAAGTTTAATTCTATGGACGAGACTATAGGAGGTACATCTTAACTGATTGTCTCTTTTTTTGCAGTCATAAAAGTTGTCGATACTTCATGGCTATCCGAATTCATTTGGTGGTTGCAAAATAATGACATTCTGTCATTTTTCTTAATATTTAAATACACTTTTTGTTTTAGAACAGTTTTATATTTATAAAATATTTGGAAAGATAGTACAGAGAATTCAGTAGACTCCACATCCAGTTTTCCCTATTTGTTAATATCTAACACTGCTATGATCCAATTGTTACAACTAATGGATCTATATTGATTCCTTATTATTGACTAAAGTCCATACTTTATTCAGATTTCCTTAGTTTTTACTGGCTGTATCTGTCTGCTCCAGGATCCCGCATTATATTTAGTTATCATGCCTCATTCATTGCTGTTGGAAATACAAAATGATACAGCCACTTCGGATGACAGTCCGGCAGTTACTTACATAGCTAAATTTAGACTTATCATATGATTCAGCAATTGCACTCTTAGGTATTTACCCAAATGAGTTGAAAACTTATGCCCAGATAAAAACCTGTATACAAGTGTTTATAGCAGCTTTATTTGTAATTGCCAAAAATTGGAAGTTACCAAAATGTCCCTCAATAAGTGAGTAGATAAACAAACTGGTATATCCAGACAATGGAACGTTATTCAGTAGTAAAAAGAAATGAATTAGCAAGGCTCAAGAAGACATTGAGGAGCCTTAAATGAATATTACAAAGTGAATGAAGCCAATCTGAAAAGGCCATATAGTATATGATTCCTGCTATGCAACATTTTTGAAAAGGCAAAACTGCAGAGAAAGTTAGAAACTTAGTGGTGGCCAGGGATGGTGGCTCACTCCTGTAACCCCAGCACATTAGGAAGCCAAGGAGGAGGATTGCTTGAGGCCATGAGTTAGAGACCAGCCTGAGCAACATGGTAAGACTCCATCTCTAGAAAAAGAAACTTAAAATAATTTTTAAAAAATAGCCTGGTGTGGTCACATGCTTATAGTCTTAGCTACTCAGGAGGCTGAAGTGGAAGTATCCCTTGAGCCCAGGAGAGCACAGGAGTTTTTTTTTGTTTTTGTTTTTTTTAATACTTTAAGTTCTAGGGTAAATGTGTACAACGTGCAGGTTTGATACATAGGTATACATGTGCCATGTTGGTTTGCTGCACCCATCAACTCATCATTTACATCAGGTATTTCTCCTAATGCTAACCCTCCCCCAACCCCCCCACCCCCTGACAGGCCCCAGTGTGTGATGTTCCCCACCCTGTGTCCAAATGATCACATTGTTCAATTCCCACCTAAGAGTGAGAACCTGCAGTTTGGTTTTCTGTCCTTGCGATAGTCTACTGAGAATGATGATTTCCAATTTCATCCATGTCCCTACAAAGGACATGAACTCATCCTTTTTTATGGCTGCATAGTATTCCAATCTGTATATGTGCCACATTTTCTTAATCCAGTCTATCATTGATGGACATTTGGGTTGGTTCCAAGTCTTTGCTATTGTGAATAGTGCCACAATAAACATACGTGTGCATGTGTCTTTATAGCAGCATGATTTATAATCCTTTGGGTATATACCCAGTAATGGGATTGCTGGGTCAAATGGTAATTCTAGTTCTAGATCCTTGAGGAATCACCACACTGTCTTCCACAATGGTTGAACCAATTTACACTACCCCCAACGGTGTAAAAGTGATCCTATTTCTCCACATCTTCTCCAGCATCTGTTGTTTCCTGGCTTTTTAATGATCGCCGTTCTAACTGGTGTGAAATGGTATCTCATTGTGGTTTTGATTTGCATTTCTCTGATGGCCAGTGATAATGAGCATTTTTTCATGTGTCTGTTGGCTGCATAGATGTCTTCTTTTGAGAAGTGTCTGTTCATATCCTTTGCTCAATTTTTGATGGGGTTTTTTTTTTCCTTGTAAATTTGTTTGAGTTCTTTGTAGATTCTGGATATTAGCCCTTTGTCAGATGGGTAGATTGCAAAAATATTCTCCCATTCTGTAGGTTGCCTGTTCACTCTGATAGTAGTTTGTTTTGCTCTGCAGAAGCTCTTTAGTTTAACTAGATCCCATTTGTCAATTTTGGCTTTTGTTGCCATTGCTTTTGGTGTTTTAGACATGAAGTCCTTGCCCATGCCTATGTCCTGAATGGTATTGCCTAGGTTTTCTTCTAGGGTTTTTATGGTTTTAGGTCTAACATTTAAGTCTTTAATCCATCATTTTTGAATAAGGTGTAAGGAAGGGATCCAGTTTCAGCTTTCTACATATGGCTAGCCAGTTTTCCCAGCACCATTTATTAAATCCAGAATCCTTTCCCCATTTCTTGTTTTTGTTAGGTTTGTCGAAGATCAGATGGTTGTAGATGTGTGGCATTATTTCTGAGGCCTCTGTTCTGTCCCATTGGTCTATATATCTGTTTTGTTACCAGTACCATGCTGTTTTGGTTACTGTAGGCTTCTAGTATGGTTTGAAGTCAGGTAATGTGATGCCTCCAGCTTTGTTCTTTTTGCTTAGGATTGTCTTGGCAATGTGGGCTCTTTTTTGGTTCCATATGAACTTTAAAGTAGTTTTTTCCAATTCTGTGAAGAAAGTCATTGGTAGCTTGATGGGGATGGCATTGAATCTATAAATTACTTTGGGCAGTACGGCCATTTTCACCATATTGATTCTTCCTATCCATGAGCATGGAATATTCTTCCATTTGTGTCCTCTTTTATTTCATTGAGCAGTGGTTTGTAGTTCTCCTTGAAGAGGTCCTTCACATCCCTTGTAAATTGGATTCTTAGGTATTTTATTCTCTTTGAAGCAATTGTGAATGGGAGTTCACTCATGATTTGGCTCTCTGTTTGTCTGTTATTGGTGTATAAGAATGCTTGTGATTTTTGCACATTGATTTTGTATGCTGAGACTGCTGAAGTTGCTTATCAGCTTAAGGAGATTTTGGGCTGAGACGATGGGGTTTTCTAGATATACAATCATGTCATCTGCAAACAGGGACAATTTGACTTCCTCTTTTCCTAATTAAATACCCTTTATTTCTTCCTCTTGCCTGATTGCCCTGGCCAGAACTTCCAACACTACGTTGAATAGGAGTGGTGAGAGAGGGCATCCTTGTCTTGTGCCGGTTTTCAAAGGAAATGCTTCCAGTTTTTGCCCATTCAGTATGATATTGGCTGTGGGTTTGTCATAAATAGCTCTATCATTTTGAGATACATTCCATCAATACCTAGTTTGTTGAGAGTTTTTAACATGAAGGGCTGTTGAATTTTGTCAAAGGCCTTTTCTGCGTCTATTGAGATAATCATGTGGTTTTTGTCATTGGTTCTGTTTATATGATGGATTACGTTTATTGATTTGCGTATGTTGAACCAGCCTTGCATCCCAGGGATGAAGCCGACTTGATCGTGGTGGATAAGCTTTTTGATGTGCTGCTTGATTCAGTTTGCCAGTATATTATTGAGGATTTTCGCATCGATGTTCATCAGGGATATTGGTCTAAAATTCTCTTTTTTTGTTGTGTCTCTGCCAGGCTTTGGTATCAGGATGATGCTGGCCTCATAAAATGAGTTAGGGAGGAGTCCCTCTTTTTCTATTGATTGGAATAATTTCAGAAGGAATGGTACCAGCTCCTCTTTGTACCTCTGTTAGAATTCGGCTGTGAATCCATCTGGTCCTGGACTTTTTTTGGTTGGTAGGCTATTAATTGTTGCCTCAATTTCAGATCCTGTTATTGGTCTATTCAGAGATTCAACTTCTTCCTGGTTTAGTCTTGGGAGGGTGTATGTGTCAAGGAATTTATCCATTTCTTCTAGATTTTCTAGTTTATTTGCGTAGAGGTGTTTGTAATATTCTCTGATGGTAGTTTGTATTTCTGTGGGATCAGTGGTGATATCCCCTTTATCATTTTTTATTGCGTCTATTTGATTCTTCTCTCTTTTCTTCTTTGTTGGTCTTGCTAGCAGTCTATCAATTTTGTTGATCATTTCAAACAACCAGCTCCTGGATTCATTGATTTTTTGAAGGGATTTTGTGTCTCTGTCTCCTTCAGTTGTGCTCTGATCTTAGTTAATCTTGCCTTCTGCTAGCTTTGGAATGTGTTTGCTCTTGCTTCTCTAGTTCTTTTAATTGTGGTGTTAGGGTATCGATTTTAGATCTTTCCTGTTTTCTCTTGTGGGCATTTAGTGCTATAAACTTCCCTCTACACACTGCTTTAAATGTGTCCCAGAGATTCTGGTACGTTGTATCTTTTTTCTCATTGGTTTCAAAGAACATCTTTATGTCTGCCTTCATTTTGTTATTTACCCAGTGGTCATTTAGGAGCAAGTTTTTCAGTGCCCACGTAGTGTGCGGTTTTGAGTGAGTTTCTTAATCCTGAGTTCTAGTTTTCTGTGGTCTGATAGACAGTTTGTTGTGATTTCTGTTCTTCTACATTTGCTGAGGAGGTGCACAGGAAATTTTTAGGGCACTGAAACTATTCTGTATTATATTATAATGGTGGATGTGTCATTATACATTTGTGAAAACCTGTGAAATGTATGACTCAGAGTCCTAATGTAAACTGTGAACTTTTGTTAAAAATAATGTGTCAATATTGCCTCATCAACTGTAACAAATGTGCAAGATAGGAAATAGGGGAAACAGTCGGGGGTGAGTAAGGGAATACAGGAATGTGTACTTCCCCCTCAATTTTCCTGTAAACCTCAAATTGCTCTAACAATAAAGTCTATTTTTTAAAAATCCCATTTCTCACCATTCTTCCATTTTAGTTAATTAAATAATTACTTTATATCTGTTTGGAATCCTAGATCTTTATTTCACTCCACGGGTAAAATAAATAAATCCATTAGTACTGAGAAAGAAAAAGGTAGTCCCTGAAACCTGGGAACCAGTCTGACACTTGCAACAGGACTCAGTGTTATTAGAAGCTGGCCTGGTGCTTCTAGATGTCTGTTGGACATAAACCGTCTCACACAACATCAATGTCAGAGAAGGTCACTCTGAGACCGAGGTAAATTAAGACAAAACAGGGCCACTTCATAAATTTGTCTAGGTATGGACAAAACCAAGATGCAATCCATACAATCCCATCCCTGTCTCCTGGCTAATAAGAGACCACTGCTTCTTGACCATTCCAGCATTATCTGCTCTAGCTTGTTTTTCCTGTATAGAAGGTTTATTGAGGTGTCCAGTCATAGCATCGTCCCTACTTTCTGACAATGTGCAATCCACGTGAAGCCAAGTTCCTGGACTCTCCCAAAACCCTCCCAAACCACTGCCTAATCCTATAATAGGTTTTTTTCTGAAATCTTCTTACTGAGATCCCTTCCACCATAGTCCCCATGGTGTGCATTCTTCCTCGCTGTAAGGGGTAATGAACCCAAATGGTTCAACTACAGGCATTGACATTTATTTTGATGCTCAAATTGTCCTAGATTTGGCCTGTAGGCTGCAGTCCTTTTGACAGATCCTTATTATTGTTGTTTGAGCATTTTCCTGCTTTCTAGCACAACAAGATGCTCCAGGTTCACCTCGTATATTCTCTGTTCCAGCCCTGGAACCAGTAACTTCTCCAAGAAGCCCTGGGTTCTTTTAGCAGGAAATGGTACTTAAAAGTGAATGTCTGGGTCTAAGTGTGCTCATTGCTTTTGGGGTGTCACTGCTCCCAGGGCTGGGAAGAGCTACGAAATACATATATGTATTCTTATACACACACACACACACATAAACATTTGTATCTATATTTCTCTCTCTTTACTTACACACACACACACACACACACACACACACTCTGATACTCCCAAATTCAGCACCATAGGTTCATTCTAGTTGTCTCCTTCCTGATTTGTAGCGCTCTTTTTCTGGCAATGAGGAACCTGGCATCATCCTTAATACATCCACTTGTTTGGGTAATCCACCAGTAGTTAGCCAATCTCCCTTCTCTGGCCCACCCCTCCCCCTGCTGATGCCTGGACTCAGAGACCCTGTGCTGGGCTGTCCCCTCATCGGGATGCCCTCTGTATCCTGCTTGGAGTTTAAATGTTTAAAAACACTTAAATTTTACTTACATGTTTGTTAAAGCATTTGTTTATATTTTACTTTAATGTAATCTGTGACCAGCAGCATCCTCGACGGTGGGAACAGCACAGCAGAGCTGTCTCTGTGAGGCTCTTTCTTTCTTTTTTCCCACATAATAATACACATCATACCACAAGGCTTTCATGGGCATCTGAATGCTGTAAATTTTGCCAGCAAAGGTACATTCTTCTCATCTCCTTTTGCTTCTGGGACTGTCTTGACAGGCTGTGATTTGTGGGTCTGTGTTTGTGGTGTGTGTGTGTGTGTGTGTGTGTGTGTGTGTGTGTGTGTGTGACTAAGGAGCCACAGGCTGGGAAGGTATTTGCCAACCTCAGTCTGCTCTGGGCTCCTGCATTCACCCTGCTGTGGGCAAGGAAACTGTTCCTCACTGCATGTTCTCAGTGGCTCAGCTGGAGGCCCCCAGGGGTCCTTGGTGATGGGTGGTCTGCTGGAGGCTGTGAGAGAATTCTCTCTCCTGCAGACCAGACCTGTGTTAGGTGAGCACTTTCTGGGAGCCAGGCTCTGGGCTGAGTGCTTCATGGCTAAATCCATTTGTCTCATGTAATCCTTACAACAGCTCTGTGAGGAAGGTGTTAGCAACCGCATCTTCTGAAAGAGGAAATGGAAAGGTTAGATCATGTTTATGGGGCTGTCACAGCAGCTGCGGCCAGCCTGGACTCATAACCATGAAGCTATCTCAACCCACAACAGCACACCCTTCCCCCTGTCCCCACCAACTTTATGAAAGGCAAGGGCAATTTCATTATAGTGTAAAGCCTTAGCAGTTCAAGGAACATATAGATTGTCCAATGCAAGCATATGTTATGGTTACAAAATCACCTTTATATAGCTGGAAGCCCCAGTCTGACTTCTCTCTCTCTGCTTTATCATGGACCACCTCTACCCCAGGTCTCCTAATGGAATTTGAGGATTTTGATTTCTGTTGCTGTCCAAGACAACCTCATCCCTTAGACTCCAGACCCCAAACATACTTAGGAGCCCAGCAAACTCATATTGTGGTTCTCTCAGCCCTTGAGACTCCCCAGTTCTTTCTGGGACCTTCTTTCATCCCTGTATCTGAGCGTACTCTTTCTTCTTCTCCAAGGGTGTGATGGTGCCAGCAGGGCTAAGCTGGAGTTTTTCATGGCATGATCATCTAATCTCCTGGTCTTAGCCTTCTGGATCTACAAACTGGGGCATAAAAAAAGACTAGGCACCCATTGTGCCTCAGATCCATGCCAGCCTTTCCTCTGTGCTTCTTTTTGATCACAGGGAACTGCATTTCCCAGGCTCCTTTACTCCATGGCTTCTAGTAGGCATGGCCCATGGGAAGCCTGGTGGAAAACTAGAGGGAGGAAGGAAAGGAACTGCCTGGTGCTTTTTGCCCTTTTGCTTGGCTTCCTGCATCTCAGCATTGGTGGCTGTGTTTCCTTCATGGCTCCAGTTTCTTCCAGACAGCCCTTCCCTTAGGGTCCCAGCTCCCACAGGGCTATCCCACCAGTTTCAGCATCTGCTGGTTTTGGCCTCTAGTAACGACTTCCGCTTCCCTTTTTCATGGGCCTTCATGTATTATTGGCTTCCTTCTGTGGCTAATCCCTGCCTTTCTCCTCTCCCCTATTTAAATCGTAAATTCTTCTGTCAGCTGATGAACCAATTTCCTGTATTAAATTCCTCCATCCAGGCCAGGGACGGTGGCTGACACCTGTAATACCAGTGGTTTGGGAGGCTGAGGCGGGAGAATTGCTTGAGCTCAGGAGTTCAAGACCAGCCTGGGCAATACAGCAAGACCCCCCCTCTGTAAAAAATAAAAATAATTAGCCAGGCAAAGTGGCAGTGCACACCTTTAGTCCTAGCTTCTTGGGAGGCTAAGGTGGGAGGATTCCCTGGGCCTAGGAACTCAAGGCTGCAGTGAGCTATGATTGTGCCACTACACTCCAGCCCGGGCCACAGAGCAAGACCCCCTGTCTGTCTGTCTGTCTGTCTCTCTCTCTCTCTCTCTCACACACACACACACATACATACACACACACACTTTTTAAAAAATAAAGTTCTTCATCCAAAGGCCAATTCTTACCAAGTAGTTTGAGAACCATTGAAGGGAGAGGCTTTTATTCTTTTACTTCTCCCTGCCCATCTCAGATGTGATGAGACCAGAACTCTTTTTTTTCTTTTTAAAAACTCTATTTGTTATGATTATAGAACTTACCTGTTAGTAAGGAGAGCCCTGAGCAGCAGTGATAATGAGACCCTCCAATCAGACTGAGAGGACTGTCCTGTTCCCACAGATTGTCAGTGCCTGTGCAAGGAGGTCAGATGAACAGGAACAGCTAGTGCCATTCACACCCCCAGACAACTGCCACCATCTGCTGGGAGCCAGGCTACGAGTCCTTCCTGGTGAGGCTCATGGCTCAATGCTTCAGTTCCCCAGGCACAAGCCATGCCCTGGAAACACACAGATGCACAGACCCAGGCCTGGTGGATAGGGGCTGGGAGCTTGAGGGGAATCTTTCATGGGAACTTGCAAAAGCATTTGCTGTGCTGGGACCTCCAGGGAGCATGGGAGGGAATGGGGTGATGGGAAAAAGAGCAGTTAATGATGATATAAATCAACCCTGGAACACTGGAGACCCATGCAGTTGGTGCATTCAGCAAACACTGAAGCCTTCTTTTGTCTATGTTATGTTTATTTCTTCTAACGTGTTACTATTTGACACTATAGTTATTATACCTTGTCAGAAAAAAAAGAATACTGTATTACATACGAAGAAGAAAATTCAGCCAGTTCCCTAACGGTAGGGGAATGGAGAATAATGTTGGCAGAAGAAAATCTCCACTTACAATTTGGCAGGTGCTATTGGAGGTGGCTGCCCTGATATTACTGCAATGTTTCTTTTCTGTTACTCTGATGCAGGGAATTGAGATATTCCAATTCTTTCATGCTTTGTGTCAGAGGAATGGGAGCTAATTATAAAATATCATTCAATATATTCTCTGTTGAAGAATGACAGTCACTATGTTTTTCCCTTCTCAAAATGAGAGGCAACTGATACATTTCATTGCCTGGTCCTGGTTATATGACAGTCTTTCTTACAGTGCACATTCGGGATGCTAACTGTTATATTTCTTATAGCAACTTTCCTTTGATAAAACTTCCCAAGTAGTTTATGCATTCTTTGCTTTTTAAGAAACCGTGACATGCTGCAGAAAGAGATATAAATGGGGCTAGCAGAGTCCCCTTCTTGCCCTCTAACCTGGAGAATACATTATCAGGGGTAGCCCTTCTGCTTATGAATCTTTGAAGATTAAGAGGGGTGAGGGGGGTGCACCTTCCCAAGAACTCCAATCTGGCCCAATGAAAAGAATTTATATTTCAAGGTCCTGACCCAAAGCTTGTTAACTAAAGCTCTGAGCTGTTTGATAAGGGGTGGGAAAGAGCTCCTTCCTTTGTACCCTAGGCATGGTCTGGAAATAGGAGGATGGACAAAGGGCTCAGCTAGTGCCCAACACTTTTTGCTTCTGAAAATTATTTAATAGTTGGAAAGTGTGTGTGTTGGAGGCAGACATTACTGCCCAAGGCTGTTGTAGGGAACTGAGGGGAAATGGAGCAGGGGGCTCCACTCCTGCCAAAGCTGTGCAATGGTGGTACCAGTGCAGGTGGAGAGCAGTGGTCCCAGAATTCCAAGTGATGGTCAGCAGTGGAGGAGCCAAAGGCCATGGGTTGCTGAGAGCCACATAATGAGGTGCCAGCAATGTGGCTGGAGCAAGGCTGCTATGAGACCAACACCTCTTCTCCACAGACATGACAGAAAATGAACTCATACACAACTGTCACAGGTTCTTCTGTGGTTGAATCAAAGACTGTTGTATTAGTCTGTTCTCACGCTGCTAATAAAGACATACCCAAGACTGGGTAATTTATAAAGGAAAGAGGTTTAATTGATTCACAGTTCCACATGGCTGGGGAGGTCTCACAATCATGGCAGAAGACGAAAGAGGAGCAAAGTCACCTCTTACATGGCAGCAGGCAAGAGAGTTTTTGCAGGGGGACTCCCATTTATAAAACCATCAGATCTCATGAGACTTATTCACTACCATTAGAACAGTATGGGGGAAACTGCCCCCATGATTCAATTATCTCCACCTGGCCCTGCCCTTGACATGTGATTATTACAATTCAAGATGAGACTTGGGGGTGGGGACACAGCCAAACAATATCAACTGTTCTAGATGCATCCATTGATCATGATACTCAGAGCAGGCATTTTCTCTCACATAAATCCCCCAAACCCATACTATTAAGAAAGTGAGTGAATATAATAAGGAATTACTTAAGAAAATAATCCCAACCTACATGTAGAAATCATTATTTGGAAAATTTGGAGCGTGGTAAAAAAACTCAACAACACATTAAAGCCTTAAAGGACCTCAGATTACAATGGAATATCTTGAAGAAGTTTTACCCTATGAACTAGGAAATACTGACAACACATTTAAAACTCATGGGATTTATTAAGAAAATTGCCTACAGCCAATAGCCTAAAACCAGCTCAGTAATGAAATGGTTATCCATCCAAGCAAGAGGGATATTCAAAATATCTCACAGTTGGATGGTGCACAGGCATCTACCAAGAAGAGGAAGCTGTCGATCTACCATTTAGATGGCCTGACAACGTAGATTGCTGTGCAGACAACAATCCTTTAGTTGCTGAACTAAAGAAGAGGACTATGGCTTTTTAGGAGAATAAAGATCCAAGGAGGCCAACAGGGGGCATTTGAGGAGCTCAGGGAAATAGATATTTACCTACTAATGTAGAAGTATTTTAATATTTTGACAACCTGAATACCCATCCTGATGCATACTATCTTGGCCCTGCATCCATCCATCCATCCATCCATCCATCCATCCATCCATCCACCCACCCATCCACCCATCTGCCCATCCATTTGTCCAGGCATCCATTAATCCATCCACTCAGCCTTCCATTTTCTCTCTATTTAACAAACATATCCTGGGAACCTTTCCTTGGAGATAGACAGTGGTTATACAGTGGGTTGGAAATGGCTCTTATCCTCAAGAAGCTCACAAGTTATTCTTGTTACTTCTGGGAAAGATGGTTTTAAGTTGTTGCCATTTATCTTACTGTGATAGAATTATGGTAAGATTTCATGAAATAAGAAATTAAATGAATTTATAAAGTCTCACAGAGACTATGCTTATTATTTTATATTTTTCAAAGCAATTTTGCATTTTCTCACTTGTTCCTCATAGCAATCCTACACTTTCTACGAACAAGGGAATTGAAATGCAAAACTCTTATGAGATAGCCAGTGGGGTACAGAGCCAGGAATCTGGCCAGAGGATTTCTTAAACCAAGGGTAGAAACACTTTTCTGAGTGACTGTGTCTTCAAAGTATGGATTTCATTTCTATTTTAACATTGATATTGTCTGACAAACTATAAAGTCAGGAGTGGAAGATCCAGTTTATCGTGATTGAGTTGATATATCTGACTGCAATTAGCCAGTGTTGCCTCTCTGCTGCTCTCATAGAGCAAGAAGGAAGGATCCACTGAGATCCAAAAGTCCCCTGTGATTAGTAATAATAATAATTTCTCATATGAAATGTAATTCAACACTCTCAATGGAAGGGAATGCTTCCTATTTTCTTGCAAGAAGTTATTGAACTGAGACACATGTCCCAGTGTTCCCACTGGGATTTACTTGCTTCGTTTTCATGAAGCCAGTATGAGTTGTTGCTTTTCAGTCATTTGGATCTTTCTGTACCTGACTTTGACAGATTCTGATAAAGTAACTGTCTTTGGCTTTGAGAATGAATGGAAAAACACATTTTTTGTGGTTGAGTGAAATAATACTTCTTAGAAGTTGGTTAGGTTTGAGTCCCTTTTAAAACTGTCAGTAGGAGACACCCTACGGAGTATTTACAAGAGGAAAATAAGATTTATCGCCCTTTCCCCCCACAACCCTCTGCTTCACTGGTTTTTGCTAGAGAAGAGGTAACTGCAAGAAGCATGGCCTGTCCTCAGGAGATTTATGACCAAGGTCTGACCAATGGTGATTTAGGATAAGGCCACCTGCTTGAAAAGAAGAAGAGTTCACACTTGGGTTATTGGCCATTCAAGGGGTAAAACAATAATCAAGAATTATTACTCCTCAGCTATGCCTCCTTGAAATGAGTCAGCACCTTCTGCATGCAGAGCAACAGCAGGTATATCCTTCTACTAAAAATCAGAGATGCTTCACTGTGGTTTATGATGGTCGAATCCACAGAAGTCTTTGTGAACAGAATAGATTGTTCATGCAGAGATGATCATAGACTGCTCTATGCCTGTCAGATATGTTAACCAACAAGAGGTCCCAGGGTCCTGCCTTTGGTCTTGATGCCTCTCAAACCAGGAGTGAATGCTGGATGGAGTGGGGCTGAGATGGTAGACAGAGCATCAAGGTCTGGTCCTGGAAAGCTGCATCTGAATGAGATGGAGCGAGGCTCAGGGAGGAGGTGGTTAAACAGGCCCTGTCTGCTGCCAGGTTTGTGGCCCCCTCAGGCCTCTGAGGCCCTTTCTAGTCCCTAGATCTTGGCAGGTCCTGATTGACTATCCACATTCTGCCCACGTCCTCCACTCAAAATCCCCTAGAGTTGGAACTTTCTGTGTATATAACCATGGAAGGAATTAGGAAGGCTGCACAGCACTTCAGGCATTACACAGTGCTCATATTACTCATCTCTTGCTGAATTTAAGCCCCAAAACTTGGCAGTTTAAGACAACCATTGTATTTGCTCATGACTATGTATAAAAAAGTAAAAGTTATCTCCAACAGCCAGCAGCCAGCAGCTGACAGCTGTAGTGTTTCTGAATGTATACAAACAATTTTCATAACATATAAACAATACTCAGACAAGGCCATTTTTTGACCATGGAGAAAAACAATTTTGTGATTATGCCTGAAAGAATGTAGGGACAGACATTCCACAATTCAGAAATAACTAAACATTCCCCTACCTCCAGCTAATATGAGTTATCACTGACAACTCTAGTCCCACTGTAATCTTCCTGCCTTATAGATAAAAATTACCAAGAGATCCAGTCACCAGGTTGCCTCCACTTCCTGACAGCACTCAATCAAAACCAGTCCCTTTAGGCCAGGCATGGTGGCTCACACCTGTAATTCCAGCACTTTGGGAGGCTGAGGTGGGTGAATTTCTTGAGGCCAAGGGTTCCAGACCAGCCTGGCCAACATGGCAAAACCCCATCTCTGCTTAAAAAAAAAAAAAAAAAAAATTAGCCAGGCGTAGTGGTGCGTGCCTGTAGTCCCAGCTACTCGGTAGGCTGAGATAGGAGAATTGCTTGAACCCAGGAGGCAGAGGTTGCAGTGAGCCGAGATCACGCCATTGCACTCCAGCCGGGGGACAGAGTGAGACCCTGTCTCAAAACCAAACCAAACCAAAAAAACCCCACCCTATACCATTATAGAATCACCCAGCAGACACTCATATCCTACAATATTGCCCTCCCTACTCTCCCTTCCTTGTTCCTCTGGAGTAACTCTCCCTTAATGCAGCAAGTTAAACACACTTGTTTGACTACAAGTGTGTTTCTAGTAGTCTTTAATATATGGGTCAGCAATTTTGGCTGAGCTCAGCTAGATGGTCCTTCTGCACCTGGAGTCACTTACATGGCTGCAGTTTTCTGGCAGCTCAACTGGGATAAGATGGTCTAAGATGGCTTCATTCACATGGCTAGTGGTCAGGCTGGCTGACAGCTGAGCCACATGTCTCCAGCAGGCTAGCCCAGGCATCTTCATATGGTAGACTTAGGTGGTATAAGGCAAACCCCAATGCACAGTATGTTTTAAGCTTCTGCTTGCATCGTGCTTGTTAATGTGCCACTGGTCAAAGTAAGTCACATGACTAATCACAGACTCAATGTGGAGGGGACTACCAAGAGTGTAGAAATAGGAAGAAGTGATCAGGGGCCAATTTATGTAATAAACTACTATAGCACTGAAACACACAGTCTCATTCAATCCTCACAAATGAAGACAGTGTTTTCCTAAGTTTGCTGATGAGAAAATTAATGTTCAGAGAAATCTGAGTTCTGATTAAGGCCATAAAGCTAGTAAATAGAAGGTCCAAAGTCCAAAGGCAAGGATCAGATTGTTGAGCCATCCTTCTTCTCTTTCTGGGAAGGAGTTTCTCTTCCCAGAGCCCTCACTGAAGATTTGCCATTTGGGTACAGGTGTACTGTGGCTTTGGTCCAGCAGGGCCCTTCAAGTGCCTTCTGTGACTGAATTGTTTCATTTAGCATAATGTTTTTAGGCTCACTCATTTCTTCTTATGGTCAATTCACATTGCATTGTGTGGATATACCACATTTTGGTTTATCTGTTCATCAGGTTATAGACATTTGGATGAAACTTCCAGAGAAGGGGTCATAGAGTTAAATTATGAACTTTATATAACAAGGTCATGCCAACCTATTTATGTAGTTAACTGGAGCAATTGGATAGTGATGCTTAAACATCTCAATCTAAACACTGTCTTCTCTCCTGTAGATTAGGAAGGGTAGAGATCCCCCAGAGGAAAGGACAGCAGTGTGGGGACGAATGAAAGACTCCATGAAACTAGACCTCTCCCTTGTTGAGGTAATCCCTGTAGGACTCCATTTGGGGCCATAGTTCTCACTTGGAGAAAACAATTTTGTTGCCTGTACATCTAGACATGGCACATTTTATCAATCGGGTTTATTCTGCCACCACATCACCAAGTACAGTCCTAACACAGCTAGACAAAGATCCCCTGAAAATACAGATTTGACCAATTTCTGATTTCTTTAGTTAAACAGAAAAAACCTAGGGTGGAAATGGAGAAGAAGAAAAGGAAATAATCTCTTTCCCTAAAGCTACTCCACAGTAGACAGAAGTGTCAGTTGTCTGTGTGAACTAGCAGGGCTGCAAAAACTAAGATTGATTGGAAATGGCAGAAACTAGAGTTGGTTCTAAAAAAAAAACCTGCACAAAACAAAATAATATTGTACGTAGAGAACACATCTTGCTATAATTAACTGTAAAAGGCAGCAGTGAAAATGACTGTTGGATATGCTCTGAGACCTTCTCACTGGACTGTGATCCAGCTTCATGTGGGTCCCTGAAGTCCAGTCATCCCCATAGGGTTCCCCAGGGGCATCCAAGGGGGCCCAGAAGTCCACACTTTTAATGGGGCCCTGAGTGGTTCTGGCTGTTGATCTGAGCACCCCAGTTTTGGAAACAAGACAGTCTTAGAAGCTACTTTGATTCCTCCTTCTGATTACAATGTTCATTGTGAAGGTAAAACTCACAGGAGAAAGGAGAAAGCTTTGGAGTCTTTGAGGAAGAAATGGATTCGTCCTCACTTAACTGGAAAATTAAATTGAACAGCACATTCCACATAATACCCTGGCCACCTTAGGTCAATGAAATAAATATTTTAATATTGGTTCAGTTTGTCTAATTGGGTTGAGAAGCCCTCTGTGGAGGCAGAAACACACCATTTCTACTGGAAACTGATGGGTATTCACAGGTTGATTATGTATATTTTCTTGGGATTTTCCAGAGAAACAGAACTAATTGTGTGTGTGTGTGTGTGTGTGTGTGTGTGTGTGTGTGTGTGTAGAAAGACAGAGTGAAAGACAGAGAATGAGAGCAAGTAGTCCCCTCTTATCTATGGGGGATACATTCCAAGACTGCCGGTGGATGCCCAAAACCTCAGATAGTATGAAACCTATATACACTCTGTCAGTTTATCTGGTAACTGAGATGGCTACTAAGTGGCTAATGGGTAGGTGGGGTATACAGCGTGGACACACCAGAAAAAGGGATGAAAAAGGATTATTCACATCCTGGGCAGGATGGCGCAAGTTTTCATCACTCTATTCAGAACAGCATGCAATTAAAAACTCTGAATTCTTTTTTTCTCTTTCTTTTATGTTTTTCTTTAAAAAAGCTATGAATTTTGTATTTCAGCAGTTTCCCATATAATATTTTCATTTTGTGATTGATGGCAGGTAACTGAAACTGTGGAAAGCAAAACTGCAGATAAGGGGGTACTACTGTGACTACTGTGTGAGTGTGTGACTGTGTGTGTGTGTGTGTGTGTGTGTACACATAGTATATATATGCTACTGTATACAGAAGTCCCTGACTTATGATGGTTTGACTTAAATTTTTTCAGTTTTAGGATGGTGTGAAAGTGACAGGCATTTGGTTGAAATCCTACTTTGAGCACTCATACCACCATTCTGTTTTTCACTTTCAGCATATTATTCAATAAATTACATGAGATATTCAACGCTTTATTATAAAATACATGATTTTGCCCAACTGTAGGCTAATGTAAGTGTTTTGAATATGTTTAAGGCAGTCTAAGCTAAGCTATGATGTTCAGTAAGTTAGGTGTATTAAATGCATTTTTGACTTATAATATTTTTAATTTTGGATGGGCTTATTGGGAATAACCCCTTTGGAAGTTGAAGAGAGAGACAGATTAATTATAAGGAACTGGTCCACACAATTATAGAAGTTGAGAAGTCCCAAGATCTGTAGTTGCCAAGCTGGAGACCCAGGAGAGCCAATGGAATAAGTTTCAGTTCAAGTCCAATTCCTAAGGCAGGAGAAGACAGAAGTCTCAGCTCGAAAACAGTCAGGCAGAGAAAGAGAGCAAATTCTCCCTTACTCCACCTTTTTGTTCTATTCAGGATTTAATTGGATTGGATGATACCCACCTACACTGGAGAGGGCAATCCACTGTACCCAGCCTACCAAAATACAAGGTTATTTTGCATTTTAAAATAAAAAGAGACCTAAATGCATTATATTACTCTTAATTTTATTAAATCTAGTGAAGGGCCACTAAGTCAAGGGGCCTCTGAAAATACATATCAATACTATATTTTCCCTTGGACTGGCTGGCTGGTGCCCCTCTGCTCTCCCACCATTATTCCCCTGAATTGTAACATAATGGCCTCTTCACATGTGTGCCTCCACCATCAGGCTGTGGGTTCCTGAAGCCAGGAGCCTGCTTTATATTCTTTACCCACTATTGCCAGCCCTCAATTAACTTTTTTTAACAATTGGATTTGATATTTGACCTATGATACTGGTCTGTTGTGTTGGCTTCCCCACCCCCAACCAAATCTCTAGCAGAACAGGTTTATGGCATTGTATAAGCTTGCTTTAACAAATTAATATAAAATATTAACAGAAATAATTGACATTTTTATGATAAAGTGTTAGGATGAAATGAGACTATAAAATAAAATTGTGGCAAATTACTAATAAAGAAAGGGCTCAAGTTAAGAAACAATCTTTCTAGAATTGGCTTGATTCTGGTGAATTGTGGCAGCAGTGACTGATTTACAACAGGCTGCTTCTGACCAAATCTAGCTCAGCTTGTGATAAAGAAGTATAACTGCACATTAGGTACAAAACAGAGTTCATTAGTTTTGCACCAAATGTCACTGAGGCAGTCAGAAAAATGTTTAAAACTCTTACATGGAGGATTCTTTTTTCTCCTGTAAAGTTTAATCACACCAAATATGCAATAAGCAAAATGCAGTTATTTCCTCAATAATTAAATTTACTAAAATTCACAAGTTCATCACATTACTATTAAAATAGCAGTCACCCAGTTGTAAATTAGAAATACCTGCCATTCTTTGAAACTTCAGAAGGTGACTTTTATTAGTTCATATGTTTAAGCATATACTAGCTATGATTTATGTTAAACTGTTTCAGATTTGTTAATTTTGCAACAAATCATTTGTTAGAAAAACAGAAAACTGAAGTAAAATGTGACCTTTAACTGAAGTCCACCTTTGTCCCTGATGCAGAATGTTTTCAGTCAAATGCCAGCTATATTCCTATAAGTAAAAGCTAGTTACCAACTCCAAAGTCATAGATAACCTTGAACTTTCGGAGACAAAAGTATGTTTACTTTAATCCATTTCAGCTTTGATATAAATGATTTCAGGACATAATGGCACAAAAACTCAATATTCCCGAAGACTGATTATATTTAACTCTAAAGACCTAATGATAATACAACATAAACATGTGAGGCGTACAATGTCTTTGAAATACATTATCTGCAGGGTGGATAAAGAGAAAAGAAATAGGATTTCTTTTTTTAAATGGGATTTTTAAAATGTAAATCTGGTTTTTAAATGTTTGGTTCAATCATTCCCTTATCTTTCTCTCAAATCCCATATGAAGTTAGTTTTCATAAACTCAGATTTGGAAGCTCTTGGGCTTAATTCTCTACTTGGCACCAGAGGCCCCTTTGTGCTGCTCTAAGCTCATGCAGCTTCTCAAAGCAGCACTTCCTCTGCTTAAAGGGCTGATTGTTGGAAGCATCTTCTTTATATTGTTAGAGCCTTAAACCGTGTCCCTGTTGTATCCTTCAGTCAGTAGCCTTTGTTCTGCTGTATTTCTGTAATAAAGAAAATCCCCCTCCCAGCCCTAGCAATGACCCAAACCTACAGGTGTGGCTCATATTATACATTTTCCAGACCTCTCCACCTTCCAGATGCCATATCCTGGGTTGACCCACACTTGTCAATACCAGTCTTAAAATGTAAATCTCAAATTCAGTTCTACAATATTTACTGAATACTGTGTGCCAGGTAAGTGCTAGGAATGAGGCATTACAAATAGATATTGTTTGTTTTTTTTTTTTTTTGAAACAGAGCCTTGCTCTGTTGCCCAGGTTGGAGTGCAGTGGTACGATCTCAGCTCACTGCATCCTCTGCCTCCTGGGTTCAAGCAATTCTCCTGCCTCAGCCTCCCAAGTAGCTGGGACTACAGGCGCCCGCCACCACGCCCGGCTAATTTTTGTATTTTTAGTAGAGACGGGGTTTCACCATATTGGCCAGGCTGGTCTCAAACTCCTGACCTTGTGATCCACCTGCCTCGGCCTGCCAAAGTGCTGGTGTTGCAGGTGTAAACCACCGTGCCCAGCCACAAATAGATAATTTATAAATGTATAAAATAATTTCCCTGTCCTCTAAGAGTTTCCAGTTGGAAAAAGAGCATTTCCAAACCTTCTCTCCATGCTTCTCTTTCAGCCCCAACACAGTCTCCCTCTAAGGGGTAAGTTGCTCCTATGGTTGGTCAGATCTCAGGACAGTTAATGGCCACATTTCACTAGAGGACCGAGTGGCTGGGCCTTAAAAGATCACCACCTTGCCGGGCGCGTGGGCTCACGGCTGTAATCCCAGCACTTTGGGAGGCCGAGGTGGGTGGATCATGAGGTCAGGAGATGAGGACCATCCTGACCAACATGGTGAAACCCCGTCTCTACTAAACATACAAAACTTAGCTGGCCATGGCAGCGCGTGCCTGTAATCCCAGCTACTTGGGAGGCTGAGGCAGGAGAATCACTTGAACCCAGGAGGATGAGACTGCAGTGAGCTGAGCTTGTGCTTCAGCCTGGCGACAGAGCTAGATTACATCTCAAAAAAAAATCATCACCACCCTTTGTGGTGCCTTCTCCCACTTTCAATAGAATAAAGGCTAAAGCCACATAATCTCAATAGAAGGAGAAAAAGCATTTGACAAAAATTCAGCAATCTTTCATGATAAAAGCAATCAACAAACTAGGAATAGAAGGAAACTTCCTTACCATGATAAAGGGCATCCGAAAAACCGCAGCTAACATTATACGTTTTTATTTTTTTTTTTTTTTGGTGATATCCCCTTTGTCATTTTTTATTGTGTCTATTTGATTCTTCTCTCTTTTCTTCTTTTTTTTTATAATACTTTAAATTCTAGGGTACATGTGCACAATGTGCAGGTTTGTTACATATGTATACATGTGCCATGCTGGTGTGCTGCACCCATAGACTCGTCATTTACATTAGGTATTTCTCCTAATGCTATCCCTCCCCACTCCCCCGACCCCACGACAGGCCCTGGTGTGTGATGTTCCCCTTCCTGTGTCCAAGTGTTCTCATTGTTCAATTCTCACCTATGAGAGAACATGAGGTGTTTGGCTTTTTGTCCCCGTGATAGTTTGCTCAGAATGATGGTTTCCAGCTTCATCCATGTCCCTAAAAAGGACATGAACTCATCCGTTTTTATGGCTGCATAGTATTCCATGATGTATATGTGCCACATTTTCTTAATCTGGTCTATCATTGATGGACATTTGGGTTGGTTCCAAGTCTTTGCTATTGTGAATAGTGCCGCAATAAACATACGTGTGCATGTGTCTTTATAGCAGCATGATTTATAATCCTTTGGGTATATACCCAGTAATGGGATGGCTGGGTCAAATGGTATTTCTAGTTCTAGATTCTTAAGGAATTGCCACACTGTCTTCCACAGTGGTTGAACTAGTTTACACTCCCACCAACAGTGTAAAAGTGTTCCTATTTCTCCACAACCTCTCCAGCACCTGTTGTTTCCTGACTTTTAATGATTGCCATTCTAACTGGTGTGAGATAGTATCTCATTGTGGTTTTGATTTGCATTTCTCTGATGGCCAGTGATGGTGAGCATTTTTTCATGTGTTTTTTGCCTGCATAAATGTCTTCTTTTGAGAAGTGTCTGTTCATATCCTTCACCCACTTTTTGATGGGGTTGTTTGTTTGTTTTCTTGTAAATTTGTTTGAGTTCATTGTAGATTCTGGATATTAGCCCTTTGTCAGATGAGTAGACTGCAAACATTTTCTCCCATTCTGAAGTTGCCTGTTCACTCTGATGGCAGTTTCTTTTGCTGTGCAGAAGCTCTTTAGTTTAATTAGATCCCATTTGTCAATTTTGGCTTTTGTTGCCATTGCTTTTGGTGTTTTCGACATGAAGTCCTTGCCCATGCCTATGTCCTGAATGGTATTGCCTAGGTTTTCTTCTAGGGTTTTTATGGTTTTAGGTGTAACATTTATGTCTTTAATCCATCTTGAATTAATTTTTGTATAAGGTGTAAGGAAGGGATCCGGTTTCAGCTTTCTACATATTGCTAGCCAGTTTTCCCAGCACCATTTATTAAATCGAGAATCCTTTCCGCATTTCTTATTTTTGTCAGGTTTGTCGAAGATCAGATGGTTGTAGATGTGTGGTATTATTTCTGAGGGCTCTGTTCTGTTCCCTTGGTCTATATCTCTGTTTTGGTACCAGTACCATGCTGTTTTGGTTACTTATAGCCTTGTAGTATAGTTTGAAGTCTGGTAACGTGATGCCTCCAGCTTTGTTCTTTTGGCTTAGGATTGACTTGGCAATGTAGGCTCTTTTTTGGTTCCATATGAACTTTAAAGTAGTTTTTTCCAATTCTGTGAAGAAAGTCATTGGTAGCTTGATGGGGATGGCATTGAATCTATAAATTACCTTGTGCAGTATGGCCATTTTCACAATATTGATTCTTCCTATCCATGAGCATGGAATGTTCTTCCATTTGTTTGTATCCTCTTTTATTTCGTTGAGCAGTGGTTTGTAGTTCTCCTTGAAGAGGTCCTTCACATCCCTTGTAGATTGGATTCCTAGGTATTTTATTCTCTTTGAAGCAATTGTGAATGGGAATCCACTCCTGATTTGGCTCTCTGTTTGTCTGTTATTGGTGTATAAGAATGCTTGTAATTTTTGCACATTGATTTTGTATACTGAGACTTCGCTGAAGTTGCTTATCAGCTTGAGATTTTGGGCTGAGACGATGGGGTTTTCTAGATATACAATCATGTCATCTGCAAACAGGGACAATTTGTCTTGCTCTTTTCCTAATTGAACACCCTTTATTTCTTTCTGCTGCCTGATTGCCCTGGCCAGAACTTCCAACACTATGTTGAATAGGAGTGGTGAGAGAGGGCATCCCTGTCTTGTGCCAGTTTTCAAAGGGAATGCTTCCAGTTTTTGCCCATTCAGTATGACACTGGCTGTGGGTTTGTCATAAATAGCTCTTATTATTTTGAGATACGTCCCATCAATACCTAATTTATTAAGAGTTTTTAGCATGAAGGGCTGTTGAATTTTGTCAAAGGCCTTTTCAGCATCTATTGAGATAATCATGTGGTTTTTGTCTTTGGTTCTGTTTATATGCTGGATTACATTTATTGATTTGCATATGTTGAACCAGTCTTGCATCCCAGGGATGAAGCCCACTTGATCATGGTGGATAAGCTTTTTGATGTGCTGCTGGATTTTGTTTGCCAGTATATTATTGAGGATTTTCGCATCGATGCTTATCAGGGATATTGGTCTAAAATTCTCTTTTTTTGTTGTGTCTCTGCCAGGCTTTGGTATCAGGATGATGCTGGCCTCATAAAATGAGTTAGGGAGGATTCCCTCTTTTCCTATTGATTGGAATAGTTTCAGAAGGAATGGTACCAGCTCCTTCTTGTACCTCTGATAGAATTCAGCTGTGAATCCATCTGATCCTGGACTTTTTTTGGGTGGTAAGCTATTAATTATTGCCTCAATTTCAGAGCCTGTTATTGATCTATTAAGAGATTCAAATTCTTTCTGGTTTAGTCTTGGGAGGGTGTATGTGTCAAGGAATTTATCCATTTCTTCTAGATTTTCTAGTTTATTTGCGTAGAGGTGTTTATAGTGTTCTCTGATGGTAGTTTGTATTTCTGTGGGATCTGTGGTGATATTCCCTGTATCATTTTTTATTGCGTCTATTTGATTCTTCTCTCTTTTCTTCTTTATTAGTCTTGCCAGTGGTCTATCAATTTTGTTAATCTTTTCAAAAAACCAGCTCCTGGATTCATTGGTTTTTTTGAAGGGTTTTTTGTGTCTCTTATCTCCTTCAGTTGTGCTCTGATCTTAGTTATTTCTTGCCTTCTGCTAGCTTTTGAATGTGTTTGCTCTTGCTTTTCTAGTTCTTTTAATTGTGATGTTAGGGTGTCAATTTTAGATCTTTCCTGCTTTCTCTTGTGGGCATTTAGTGCTATAAATTTCCCTCTACACACTGCTTTGAATGTGTCCCAGAGATTCTGGTATGTTGTGTCTTTGTTCTCATTGGTTTCAAAGAACATCTTTATTTCTGCCTTCATTTCGGTATGTACCCAGTAGTCATTCAGGGGCAGGTTGTTCAGTTTCCATGTAGTTGAGCAGTTTTGAGTAAGTTTCTTAATCCTGAGTTCTAGTTTGATTGCACTGTGGTCTGAGAGACAGTTTGTTATAATTTCTGTTGTTTTAATTTGCTGAGGAGTGCTTTACTTCCAACTGTGTGGTCAATTTTGGAATAGGTGCACTGTGGTGCTGAGAAGAATGTATATTCTGTTGATTTGGGGTGGAGAGTTCTGTAGATATCTATTAGGTCCGCTTGGTGCAGAGCTGAGTTCAATTCTTGGATATCCTTGTTAACTTTCTGTCTCGTTGACCTGTCTAATGTTGACAGTGGGGTGTTAAAGCCTCCCATTATTATTGTGTGGGAGTCTAAGTCTTTTTGTAGGTCTCTAAGGACTTGCTTTGTGAATCTGGGTGCTCCTGTATTGGGTGCATATATATTTAGGATAGTTAGCTCTTCTTGTTGAATTGATCCCTTTACCATTATGTAATGGCCTTCTTTGTTTCTTTTGATCTTTGTTGGTTTAAAGTCTGTTTTATCAGAGACTAGGATTGCAACCCCTGCCTTTTTTTGTTTTCCATTTGCTTGGTAGCTCTTCCTCCATCCCTTTATTTTGAGCCTATGTGTGTCTCTGCATGTGAGATGGGTTTCCTGAATACAGCACACTGATGGGTCTTGACTCTTTATCCAATTTGCCAGTCTGTGTCTTTTAATTGGAGCATTTAGCCCATTTACATTTAAGGTTAATATTGTTATGTGTGAATTTGATCCTGTCATTATGATGTTAGCTGGTTATTTTGCTCGTTAGTTGATGCAGTTTCTTCCTAGCCTCGATGGTCTTTACAATTTGGCATGTTTTTGCAGTGGCTGGTACAGTTGTTCCTTTCCATGTTTAGTGCTTCCTTCAGGAGCTCTTTTAGGGCAGGCCTGGTAGTGACAAAATCTCTCAGCATTTGCTTGTCTGTAAAGTATTTTACTTCTCCTTCAATTATGAAGCTTAGTTTGGCTGGATATGAAATTCTGGCTTGAAAATTCTTTAAGCACGTTGAATATTGGCCCCCACTCTCTTCTGGCTTGTAGAGTTTCTGCCAAGAGATCAGCTGTTAGTCTGATGGGCTTCCCTTTGTGGGTAACCTGACCGTTCTCTCTGGCTGCCCTTAACATTTTTTCCTTCATTTCAACTTTGGTGAATCTGACAATTATGTGTCTTGGAGTTGCTCTTCTCGAGGAGTATCTTTGTGGCATTCTCTGTATTTCCTGAATTTGAGTGTTGGCCTGCCTTGCTAGGTTGGGGAAGTTCTCCTGGGTAATATCCTGCAGAGTGTTTTCCAGCTTGGTTCTGTTCTCCCCATCACTTTCAGGTACACCAATCAGACGTAGATTTGGTCTATTCACATATTCCTATATTTCTTGGAGGCTTTGTTTCTTTTTATTGTTTTTTCTCTAAACTTCTCTTCTCACTTCATTTCATTCATTTGATGTTCCATCACTGATACCCTTTCTTCCAGTTGATCAAATCAGCTACTGAAGGTTGTGCATCCGTCACGTAGTTCTCATGCCATGGTTTTCATCTCCATCAGGTCCTTTAAGGACTTATCTGCATTGGTTATTCTAGTTAGCAATTCCTGTAATCTTATTTCAAGGTTTCTAACTTCTTTATGATGGGTTCGAACTTCCTCCTTTAACTCAGAGAAGGTTGATTGTCTGTAGCCTTCTTCTCTCAACTTGTCAAAGTCATTCTCCGTCCAGCTGTGTTCCATTGCTGGTGAGGAGCTGCATTCCTTTGGAGGAGGAGAGGAGCTCTGATTTTTAGAATTTTCAGTTTTTCTGTTCTGTTTTTTCCCCATCTTTGTGGTTTTATCCACCTTTGGTCTTTGATGATGGTGACATACAGATGGGGTTTTGGTGTGGATGTCCTTTCTGTTTGTTAGTTTTCCTTCTAACAGTCAGGACCCTCAGCTCCAGGTCTTTTGGAGTTTGCTGGAGGTCCACTCCAGACCCTGTTTGCCTGGGTATCAGCAGCGGAGGCTGCAGAACAGTGGATATTGGTGAACAGTAAATGTTGCTCTGTGATCGTTCCTCTGGAGGTTTTGTCTCAGAGGAGTACCTGGCCGTGTGAGGTGTCAGTCTGCCCCTACTGGGGGGTGCCTCCCAGTTAGGCTACTCGGGGGTCAGGGACCCACTTGAGGAGGCAGTCTCTCCATTCTCAGATCTCAAACTCTGTGCTGGGAGAACCACTACTCTCTTCCAAGCTGTCAGACAGGGACATTAAAGTGTGGAGAGGTTTCTGCTGCCTTCTGTTCAGCTATGCCCTGCCCCCAGAGGTGGAGTCTACAGAGGCAGGCAGGCCTCCTTGAGCTGTGGTGGGCTCCACACAGTTCGAGCTTCCCGGCCACTTTGTTTACCTACTCAAGCCTTAGCAATGGCGGGCGCCCCTCCCTCAGCCTTGCTGCCACCTTGAGGTTCGATCTCAGACTGCTGTGCTGGCAATGAGCAAGGCTCTGTGGGCGTGGGACCCTCTGAGCCAGGCACGGGACATGATCTCCTGGTGTGCCATTTGCTAAGACTGTTGGAAAAACGCAGTATTATGGTGGGAATGACCCGATTTTCCAGGTGCTGTCTGTCACAGCTTCCCTTGGCTAGGAAAGGGAATTGCCTGACCCCTTGCACTTCCCGGGTGAGGCGATGCCTCGCCCTGCTTCGGCTCACGCTCGGTGGGCTGTACCCACTGTCCTACGCCCACTCTCTGACAAGCCCCAGTGAGATGAACCCGGTACCTAAGTTGGAAATGCAGAAATCACCCATCTTCTGCGTCACTCACGCTGGGAGCTGTAGAATGGAGCTGTTTCTATTCGGCCATCTTGGACACTATACGTTTTTTTTGAGACACAGTCTCATTCTGTCTCCCTGGCTGGAGTGCAGTGGTGCCATCTTGGCTCACTGTAAGCTCCAACTCCCAGGTTCAAGTGATTCTTGTGCCTCAGGCTCTAGAGTAGCTGGGATTACAGGTGCGAGCCACCACAACCAGCTTCTAAGAGAGTCCCATGATGTCTCCATGTGGTGGTGTCCATGATTAGGTTTCATTAGGTGGTAAAGGTGAAGTAATTTTGAAGATATAGTTAAGTAGTTAAGATGTCTAATCAATTGGCTTTAAATTAACTGAAAGAGTGATTTACCTGGCCAGGTGTGACCTAATCAAATGAGCTCTTTAAAAGAGACTCTGTCTTCTACTGGTCCCAGTGAAGCAAACAGCTGTCTTATAAACCGCTGGAGGGGAGCAGCAGCCCTCAGGAGCTGAGGACCTCAGTCCTACCACTGTAAGAAGCTGAAGTTCTCCAAACCTGAGGGAGCTTGAAGTGCATTCTTTTCAAGTTGCATTCTTCAGATGGGAATGCAGCCCACTGACACCTTGACTGCAGCTTTGTGAAACCATGAGCAAAGGACCTAGCTAGGCCCACCTGGACTCCTAACCCATGAAAGCTGTGAGATAAGTGTGTGTGGGTTTAAGATGTTAATTTTGTGATAGTTTGTTATGCAGTATTAAAAAACATATACACTCAAAAGCACAGAGAATAGTACAATGCCATGCTACTCAAACTGTGCTCCATGAACTCATGCTGTCCACAGTCTGTTCCTGATCCCTGAGAAAATCAGTACGGAAACTAGAGCAAGCACTGAGTAACTTCTACAGCAGTCGGACACTGCCATGACACCCAAGTGTGTGACCACTAGACTCATCTCCAGGGCAGGACCAGTTTGCATTTGTGAAACTTACATGACAAATTGTGCATGGTATAGTCTGTGTGCTAGATACATGTTACAACATGTATGGTTTCAGTTTTAGTGTGATGATTGAAATCCAAAATTATCAAAATCTGAGAAATGTAAGCATTTACTTATTTTCTAACTTCTTATTTTCAATTTTTATTCAAGCTTGTTTGGTTTAGGTTTAGCAAATTATTAAATTAGAGAAATAAAAGTCCAATTATTTATTTTTAAACCTGTGTTATTTTAACCCCATGTTTCAACAACATAGCTTGATGTACTCAAGAACTGACCAGTGATACAGAAAACCAACTCTTAGAACAGATAAAACTGGTGAATTTTTCACTGCAGTTCAAAGAATGTGTGGGTTTGCTAATGGTACAGTTCTAGTATGTGTGCAATTTGAACACGATGCCGATATGAAGAATTTAGCTCCATTACCAATCAACACAACTAGCTGTGAACTACATAAAACTATGAAAGAGGCTGAGTGTGGTGGCTCATATCTGTAATCCCAACACTTTGGGAGGCTGAGGCAGGAAGATCCCTTGAGCCTGGAAGTTTGGGACTAGCCTGGACAGCATAGTGGGACGCTCTCTCTTCAAAAACTAAAAAAATTAACAGGGTGGTGGTGCACACCTGTGGTCCTAGCTACTTGGGAGGCTGAAGTGGAAGGCTCATTTGAACCTGGGAGGCCAAGGCAGCAGTGAACCGTGATTACATCACTGTACTCCAGCCCGGGCAACAGAGTGAAGACCACCCTATCTCAAACAACAACAACAACAACAACAACAACCTATGAAAGAATACATTGTCCACAAATGTGGCTTTGAGTTTAAAGTGCGTGGAGAGAGTATTCTTGTGTTCTGACAGCTGCAATAACAGGAGAATATTCTGGAGCAGAGAGAGCAGTCATCCAGATTAAGGAGTTTGTGGCAGAATGTAAGTCAAATGCATGGTTTCATTCCGTGAGAAAGTCTTGCTACCAAAAACACTAAAACAAATCCTAAAAGACCCCCAGTGAACTGAATAGTATATCCAGTAATGAATCAAGAATTTGTGAATTACATGAAGACAAATGCACTAAAGATTTTCCTTCTTTTATGTGATAATATGTGAGTGGAACACAATAATCTCTTACTGCATGTTGAGATACAATCGTTTTGGCAGAAGTCTGTCAGGAACAAAATACAGAACAAAGTCATCACGCTTCCGCAAGATAAGGAATCCATTTGACCCAGTGTTTAAAGAGTAAACTGGACATCCAGACTTACTGATTTTTCTGATATCTCAGGTCTCTTAAATTTATTTTTTAATTAATTAATTTTTAAATTGACACACTTGTAATTGCACATATTATGAGGTACAATTTGATGTTTTGATACATATGTGTTGTATAATGATCAAATCTGTGTATTTAGCATGTTTACTACCTCATGTACTTATTTCTTTATGGTAAGAACATTCAAAAACCTCTCTTGTAGCTATTTTGTGATATACAATACCTTACTGTTCACCGTGGTCACCCTACTGTGCCATAGATGCTAGGACTTATCTTGCCTATTGTACCCTTGTACCCATTGACCAACCTTTCCACATTCTCCTCTTCTCTCTCCCCTCCCCACTCTCTGGTAACCACTGTTCTACTCTCTGCTTCTACTTTATTTTAGATTCTAGATATGAGTGAGATCATATGGTATTTGTTAGGTATTTTTAATGATCTTTAAATTTTCATGTAAGGTAGGAATGCAAGAAAACATCAAAAGGCAAAACCAAAAATTAGAATTTCTACAGATTTTTATGACATGTTTTGTCTCATCAACAATAATCAGAAATGTAGTGGATGGCCTATTACTGTATACCTGCATACTTGTGAAATTTGAATTTTATTTGTATCAGATACAATGCTCACATAAGAAAACTATGGTTCTGGAATCTATTTCTTTCATCAATAGATGTGGATAATTTAAATGAAACTGTGACTTTACAGAATAAATTGAAACTGTCTACTGACCAAGGACTGAAGACAAATTTTGAAAATATAACATTATTTGCTTTATTTTTGGATAACAGTTTTAAATGAATATTCTGAGCTTGCTGAAATTGCTTTAAAATCTCTTCTGCCTTGGCCAGGTGAGGTGGCTCATGTCTGTAGTCCCAGCTTCTCAGGAGGCTGAGGCAGGAGGGTCGCCTGAGTCCAGGAGTTGGAGGCTGCAGTAAACTATGATAGCACTACTGTACTCCAGCCTGGGCAACAGAGTGAGACTCTGCCTCCAAAAAAAAAAAAAAAAAAAAGTTTTGTCTTTACTCTTTTTATATGATATGTTTGTTTTGATTATATTTATTGAAATATAATTTTATGTCTGTTGAATACAATGAAAAATTTTGACTTACATCTTGTATGTCTGGTTTTTTATATCATTTAATTTTTTTGGTAATTCACTTTTATTGTATTTTATAAAAGTATTAGTCTATGATAAATTGGAAGTTTTTTTTTAAAAAAAGCAAATCTGCCCTTCTTCCCATGAGGAGGAGAAGGCACATGGTTGTAAAACCACAGAGACCACACCTGCTTCCACAAAGACCCACTTTTCAACACTCTTGTCTCAGCTGTTCTCCCACTTCTATTTTTTGCTGGAGTATTTTAAAGCAAATCCTAGACATCATATACTTGTATGAGCAACTACTTCAGTATATAGTTTTAAAAATAATGCCTTAAAAACTCTAATCACAATATCATCACATTCAACAAAATAAGTATTATAATTCCTAATAGTATCTAATACTTGGCTTATCTTCACTTCCCTGATTATCTTGAAAACAACTTTGAGGTTGGTTTGTTCAAGTCAGGATGCAAACAAGGGCCACATACTGCATTTGGCTGCTCTGTCTCAAGTCTCCTTTGATCTAACACTTCCCTCTTCTATTTCTTTAAAACCATAAGGCTGTTGAAGAAAGAGAGTCATTTGTCCTGCAGAATTTTTCACATATCTGAATTTGGCTTACTGCTTCCAGGGACGGTCTGTTAATCTCTTCCTCTATCCCCAATAGTTCTATCTCCTGTGAGTTAGTCAAAGGCTTTATTAGATTAATGCTTGTGTGTGTGTGTGTATGTGCATGCATGCATGCAAGATTACTTCCTAGGTGGTGCCATGTATTTCCGATTGCATCAGCCCGAGAGACACCTAAGTCTGGTTGCCACCCTCAGTGACTATGACATTGATCAGTGGGTTTAGTTTTTCACCCTGATCCACCCATTATCATATCCTCCATTGACTTTTACTTAATGGTTAGCAACCATTAATTATTGCTACCTAGATCCATTATTTCACTGGGGATTTGAAAAGTGGTGATTTTCTAAACATCTCTTTCCCTCTTCATTTATTAGCTTGAATGGATTTCTACAGAGGAAACATTATCTCTTCTCTTTATTTGGTTATCTTGAAATACAGACTGTAGAAAAGAACAGGAACAATGCTCAATTTTTTCCCTTCCTTTTATAAATTTCCAGAATAATAAATTTGCACCTTATCAATTTCCCAAGATAACTGATTAATTTTGTTTTATTTTGTATTTTTTAAATAGTATCTATACGAACTCATAGATTTTATATATTTGGTATGTTTCAAAACACTGCCATCATTATTCAAATGGCCCTGTCTTTGGGCAATGGGCACCTCTTCAGGCTGGTTCTGGGGTCTATTTTGACATCAATCTAGTAGACATTAAGAGCTCTTTGTTTTCAGGCATGACAAGGTGTCCCAGGCTCATCTTGTATGCTTTCAGCCCCAGGCATGAAATCAGCCATTTTTCTACTCTGGTTCCTTTTAGTGGAAGTTGAAACTTATGAGCCACAGTCTAGGTTCTATAGCTCTAAGTCCTTTACACCCTCTTCCCATGGACTGGAAGAGCTCATTAAAGATTAAATATGTAGAAGTTTGAGGCCAAGACCATTGCTTTGATTTGAGAGTCTAGTGTACACATCACCTTCAAGGAGCCCATGAGGAGACAGACTTGGGTCTCCCAACACAATACCAGAAAATAACACTTGTACCACCCCTTAAAACCTCTAACTGGTTTGAAATGACTTCATTCATTTACTCATTTGTCCATTCAACAAATACTTTGAGCACCTATTATATCTATTGTGTCAAGCCCCAGGCATATATATATGTATATGTGTATATATATATATATATATATATGTATATATAAATGAACAAAACAGACCTAATCTCTGCTCTCAGGCACACGATGTTCTAGTGAGGGGAGGACAATGAACAGGTAAACACGTTCGTGACAGAGTGTGGGGCATGCTTTCTATATAGCATGGTCTGGTGAAGATCTGGAGCAAATACCTGAGGAAATGAGGAAGGATGGCAGGCAGAAATCTAGGGAAAAGTGTCAGGACAGAGGGAACAGTCAGTGCAAGGGCCCTGAGCCAGAAGTGCACTCATCGTGATTTCTAACCCTAGAGATACTGACAAATTCTTTACTCTCCAACACGTCCTATCAATTTCAAAATATTTTCTCACAGTAACATTTTATAAGTTCACAGCTTGCCTCTCAGCAGTGACCTTTTTATATGGTAACTTTTATGCCATCACTTCACAATGTCTTGAAAGATATAACATCTTCCCCCATATCCCAACACTTATATTCTTAAAAATAACTTTTCTAATTCCAGAAGTTTGGGGTGTTTATTGCAGAACACATGGAAAACACACACACACACACAAAACACATAACAAAATTAAATGAAAACAAAACAGAAGCCATCTGTTTCTCCCCCCACCGCCCCTGCTACTGAGAATTCACCTCTGTTGACACTGAAATTTGTGTCCTTCCATTTTATTTACAAAAATGTAGTGAGTCCAGGACCTTGCCTTCTCATTTGTGGACATGGCTTTCAGTACCTGTAGAGACTGCCGGCTTATAACTGCCCAATAGTAATTTCTCAAAGCAGTAGCTTCTTCCTGAGTTATGGCTTGCACGTGCTAAATTATCCTTTTATACCTAGAGGGCACTTCCGGTGTATCACAAACCCTGTCCTTCCCTCTCTCCAGAGGTCATGCCACTGAGTTCCACTGTTTCCAAATTATCAGGCGGTCCTTGCTTCTCAGATAGATTTCTCTGATAGATGTGACAAAAAGAATCTGTCCCCACTCTCACCCTTTCCCCTTCCTGCCAAGAGAGACCCTTTAGGGTGGGTGGGATAGTGAGGCAGGCAATATTTGAAATGTAATATTGAAATGGTGGAGACAGAATTTAATGAATTTTATTTTAGTGTAAAATAGAATTTTAATTTACCTAGTTTGCTTTCATCACCCGATGCTGTGCATGGTATTGTCACCGAGGTCCTGTTTATTTGGTAAGTTTCATCACCAATTATCTGAACACTTGTACACGCAGAATATTCTTAACAAACTTAGGTGAAAACAACAAAGACCATCCAGATGAGAGCAAGCAGAAGCCATTCGTTCAGAGCTATAGCAAGGGAGTCAGCCACAGCCAGCACCATGGTGTTGGGCAGAGGCTCCAAGGCAGGCAGGGAGTGGGGATGCTTCCTAGTGGAAAAGGGTAGGCTTCAGGTATGCTCTGACTGGAGGCTGTTAGCGTGGGGGAGCTGGAGGCAGACTAACTAGAAGTGGGGCATCCTATGTGATTGTTCTGGAGCACATATTGGGCTTTATCTGGTTTGTCCCGTGTTGGGGAGGGGATGAGGATAAAACACAGGGAAGCTGCAGTTGCTGCCGGGTGCTGATCCTTCCGGGCTGGTCACCACAGTGGTTGTGGTTTGGCTTCCCAGTTTTGTGGCTATACAGATTGCAAGTCAGAATCTCATCATCATATGTAGTCAGTCATTGTTCATTCAGTCTCTCACATATGTTTCAAAATGTCACATTGACGATTTGAGTGTCATGATGGAAAGATATTTTCCTTTAGAACTGAGGTCCATGGGGTATGGTGGTGTGAGAGAAATGCTCAGACATCACAATGAATGTTTGAATTCCAGCAGGTGACCCTAGACAGGCCATTTCCTCATTAGTAAAATAGAAAAATATTAAACCCACCTCGTATGGTTGTTGAAAGCGTAAGAAACATGTGTTTATGCAAGGCCTAGTATAAAGAAGACTTGGTTAGGGCTGTGTGTTGGAGAGAAGCAGCTGATGCTCTCTTCTGGGGGTCACTTAGGGGCCTTGGCAGAGCTGTGACTTTGGACACCAACTTTGGTTTAGAAAAAGACTCAATAAATGCAACTTTCCTTCAGCCACTTGGCAGTGGGAGTGGAAGGTCCTTGCTATGTAGAACCCTGTGGTCTCTGGGTCCCTCCTGCTCTGTCCAGTGGCATTTGCTATCATTCGGAAAGTTTGCAAGGCCATCCCTGACAGGCCGATCATTTCCCCAATTACTGGTCTGCGTTTGTGTTGAAGTCTATAGTATAGCAGAAAAACAGACTAAAGCTCCCAACAGTACATGTTCTCATGATTCATGCAGACAGCCCTGCCATCTTCAGCAAGTGCAAACTAGAACTACATGTTAAGCAATAAAACCACATGCCATGCTGTCCAGACAGGGCCTACTGACTTCTTACAGCTTAGCTGGGGTTGAATTTTCTATACAAGCTCTCACACTCTCCTCCAAGGATGACCGGATCTAGCAAGTATCTGCTCCACCCAATGTTTCTGTTTTCCATCCCACATGCTGAGTCTGGAACTTACTCTGCACAGGCTCTGTGGGTGATCGACACCCCAGGACTTGAATTGGAGACCTTGTACATTTAACTTAGGACCTAAGTGTCAATATGTGTCACTCTGTTCTTCCCTTTGTCCACCAGACTGATGACTGTGATTCAGAGAGGATGTGAGCTCCAACCTGAATTCCATCAGCCTACAAACAACCTCATTCCTCAAAGGTTCCTATTCAGACAGGCTTTATCTGTAGTTATTAATAAAATATGTTAGCAACCGAGTCAGCTTTGGCTGGCAATCATACATAAGCCTACCTAACTAACCATACACCACATTGTAGAAAGAAGTTCATACTCTCAAAGAGCAAGTTTCTATGGAAATATACATCTAACTACATTTGGACTATATGTTTATACATCTATACACCTATATACATTTATATTAGACTCCTAGGCCTGCTGTAACAAAGCATCCCAAATTTGGTGGCTTAAAACACAAGAAATGTGTGCCATCATACTTCTGTATGCTAGAAGCCTAGAATCAAGGGGCAGGCAGGGCCGTGCCCTCCCTGAAGCCTCTAGCAGAGATCCTTCTTTGCCTCTTCCAGGCCTTTGTCTGCTGCTGGCACTCTTTGCATACCTTGGCTTGTAGATGCATTATTCGAATCTCTGGTGTCACATGGTGTTCTCTCTGTGTGTCTGTCCAAATCTCCCCCTTGTTTTAAGGGCACCAGTTATTGTATTAGCACCCACCTTAATCCAGTATGAGCTCATCTTAGTTTGATTATATTTTGCAAAGACCCTATTACCAAATAAGGTCACATTCACAGCCATGGGGTGGGGGGGTAGGACTTCAAAAGATCTTTTGGAGAGACACAATTCTACCCCCAACAGGTACCTCTACACTAATAAGAGGAGTACTTTTGAGAGACAGCATAGCCCAGTTGTTAGGAGAGGGATTCTCACCAGATTCAACTCCTGGCTTTGTTGCTTCTTAGCTGTGTGATCTTGGGAAATATAGGTAGGCAATCTGTGCCTTAGTTTCTTTACCTGTAAAATGGGAGGTGCTAATCAAAATGCCAGCCTCAGAGGAGCATAACAGGCTCCTGTGAGTCAGCCCCCATAAAGTACAGGGCACAGAGCTGGCACATGGCAGGTGTCAGTCCACAGGGGCCCTGCTGATTGACCAGGTACTCTTCTGAGCTCTTCATAGTATTAACCTACTTAATCCTCAAAACAATGAAATTGGTACTATTATCACTCCCATTTTATAGAAGGTTAACTGAGGCACAGATAGGTTAATAATTAGCCCAAGGTCCCACATCAGAAAGTGGCACAGCTGGGACCTAAACCCAGGCAGTCCCGCTCAGAGCCTGTCCTCCACTGTAACATCGGATATCATTACCCACTGCATAATCTACCCAGTGTTCTCCATCACACCCAAAGAGGCTGTTTCTTTTGAATATCTTCTCTTCCTCATGTCTTAGACTCAAATAGGATATAGTTCTAAGTTTAAAATATAAGGCTTTTTCTGCCTTCTCAGTCCTTTGGGGCTATGGCCTTCATCATGTGCTGTCTTTACTCTCCTAGCTGCACAGACTTTGGCCTTTGTCACAAACTCCTCAGTCTATTCCTGCCTTTGCTTACTGCAGGGAGCTGCCCACAAGAGATCAGCTGCAAAATGCATGTCTATATGGAGGGCTGCCTTGCAGTTGGACTGGCCATTTCTCATCCTTTGCTCCTTCTTCTTTGTTTATTAGTCTTGCTCCTTTTGTAGAAACACCTCAGCCCCAGTGCTGGTAACTTCATGTTTTGCTTGTATTATAAGGAATGGCCCTTTTTAGAGTTCTCATCCCAGTTCCCCATGAGTGTAAGCCAGAGACAGACAGGTGGCGACACCTGAGCACAGACGAGGGAGGGGCGCAGCTTGGCATTAGGTGAGTTTGGGAGGAAGTTATCCAGAGGATACCTTGAGTCAGGACTGGAAATAAGTGAGGAAGTTCTCAGCCTGCTCTTGTGGTCTAGCAAGCAGGGAAGACACATAGCAGTTCCTGGGGTGCGAGGCAAGTGCCAAAATGGAGGGCCTGCCGAGGTCAAGGAAGGATTCCTGGAGGAGGGGACCTTGAGCTGAGTTAGACCTGAGTTACAGTTCATCACTCCCTAACTGTAACATGTTATCAGCTTCTCTGGCCTTTTGTCCTCACTGGCAAACTTGGGCTGTTGTGAAACAAAATATGCCCCATCTATGGCACACAGAGTTGCCGTATAAATCACAGTAGGTAGTGCTATTATATTGTTATTATTGTACCTCCTAGTAATAAGAATGGTTGCTTAATAATAACATACCCTCCTCTTTCAGAGAGTAAATTCATTTCCAATAACAAACCTCAGCCTACGTGCAAATACAGCTCTTCAAAAATATGATTATATATATATTTATATATATATATATATGAACAAGATTTTTGAAAGGTATCACAAGTGGATTTCATTCCAGGCCGCTCCATGCAGCTCCTGCACCTGCAGTTTCCCACTCCTGAAGAGTCTGCTACAAAAAAGTGAACAACTGGGGATCTTCAGAACTGGAATCAGTCTTCCCATCCCCAGGACTGACTTCCTTCTTGAGGGATATCAACAATGATATTTTCTCCACATTTGATGCATTACGAGGGATGTGTAATTACGATGATGATGGAAGAGTCTCGGCTCCCTGCGAAGGCATCTTAGTGATGATTATTTTATAATATTGTCATTATGTCTCCACAGAGTACAACTGAGTGAAGCCAAGTTGCTGAGACAGATGGTATGAGCATGTCATTGCATTAAATGGACATTTTCCCCTTGTAGCCTTTAGTAATTTATATCTTTAAAAAGGAGACAAGGATCTGTCTGCCTAGTTAATTAAAAATACCGAATCTCACAGATGAGAAGTATGGTTCTTATTAAAGTGTCCATTTACTACCTTGACAGTTTGTAAGAAGCAAATATTTCTCCTGCTCCATGCATAAAGGAACTAAGTTACTCAGCCAAGGGAAATCCACTTTGGAAAACAAACGAATCCATGAGATTCCCGATGATGCCATAGCGTCAGTGTGGGGTCAGATGATAAAGTGAAATGCCTGCGGAAAAATACAGTTCTCATTAAATAAGGGAATTGGAACTTTCTTCATCCCAATATTGGCCTATAGTCCACACAGATTCTCCCTGTTTTATCAAGGAGGAGATTTATTGAGCAGAAGTATTAGACATTTCCCCACAAAGGACAGAAAGACCTCACTGAGGAGTAGTTTTCTGAGAAGTTGGGCTGAGCTGAAAGCGTGATAGAATTCCAGTAAAATATGCGGTGGGGATGCTGTCACCTACCACTGCCTCTCCCCAACGTCCTCTAAAATGACAGTGAAGAAACGAACAGACAAACAAAAAGACACAAGCCCAATAAGATAAAGAGACAGGCAAAGAGACCATAGAAGAGGGGAAGGCAACAAAAATGTGGAAACCAGATGTCTGAGTGGCCACTGACCTCACAAACCAGAGGAAGCTCCGGGCTGAGAACTGAGAGTTGGCAGGGAAGAGAGCTGGTCAGCCAGCCATGTGAGCTATGAGCAGGGAGGACTCAGCACCAGAGGTGTCAGGGGACTGAGCACACAGATGCAGTTCAGACCAGAGAGAGGAAAGAGCAGCCCCTGGAAGCTAGCTGGCACAGATAGCTAGCTAGCCCTTGACAGTCTCCTGCCAAACAAAAACAGTTTCACAGAACATACATCAGACAAGGCCACTCTGTGACTGTGATGGATAAAGATAAAAACAAAACCACTCCATAACCATGCCTGGGCATCCATAAAAACAGCAACCCTGTCCAAACCTGAAAAATGACCAAGGCACCTCTCTTTCTGGCAAATACGAGTGGCTGTGGCTTCTTCATTGATTACAGCTTTTGCCCTGCTTCACTCCTCCCAACTCCCAGACAAGATTCATGATGTCATCACAAGATTACTCCGCATTTGCCAGCACCCAATCCAGAGAACTCAAATCCAATTTCAAGTCTTTCCTAATTCTCTCTTCCAGAGACACCCATAGTTCTCCATGATGGCAGTTTCCCTCATTAATAAGTCAATAAACCCCAAATGTGTCTGACTATAGGTGTGCTCTTGATGATCTTTGACTGAGGAACATCAACAGGCCCCAGACTCCCATTCCCCGTGTGCCATTCTTCAGGAGGTAACTCTGGAGAGACTGAGCCTGGGAAACGGAGACCCAGGGAGCAGCTGAGACTGCTGAAGAAGGGGTGTATCTCCAGAACAGGGGATTAAATTAATGATGACATAATAGCCAGACCCCAAATCCCTTCCCCCACCTTGCCCAAAAAAATCTGGTAGGCAGACGTACATCCCCTTTGGCAGAGACTAAACAGTCCCCAGCTGTGGAAACGAACAGCCCAAGAGAAAGACTTCCCATCCTCCCTCTAAATGAAATAAGTGGGCAGCCAAGCCCCACCAGATATTTGAAGAAAGACAGAGTCAGAGCAAGAAAAAAACAAGAATGTCAGAGGAGGCAGAAGCAATGACAAAAAAATGAAGAGAATGTCTAAAGGTGAAGCATATTCTCCAACAAATACATTATAAGGGGGAAAAAAGAGTTGGAAGGGTAACTCCAACTGAAAGAGACTTGTGAACTATAACAACCCATTGCAAAGTGTAGACCTTACTTGGATCCTGATTTTAAAAAAGCATAAAAATAAAACCATTTATGAAACAGTGAGGGAAAGGTAAATATTGACTGCATATTTGGTGATATGAGAGAATTATCATCAAAGTTTTTAGATGTGATAATTGTACTATGGTTATGTTTACATAAAAGATTCCTTATCTTTTGGAGATTCATATGGGAATATTTATATGCTATGAATTCTGGAATTTTCTTCAAAATAATTAACTGGGCAGGTGGGGTGGCAGGAAAAGATGAACCAAGATTGGCACAAATTGAACTGTCAAAGCTGTCTGGGGGATACATAGAGGTTTATCATTCTATTAGCTTTACTGTTGCACATGTTTGCAATTTTCCATAATAGAAAATGAACCAAACAAAAGCAAAGCAAACCAAAAACTCTGGAAGTATAACTTTCTTTAACCTTGAGGACTATGCAAAAATGCATCAGCTTATCCAGACCAGTCCCAGACCTGGAAGCCACTATGTCAAGGCAGTACATGCTCAAAGCCTGCAGACATGGAGGAAAGCTTTAGAAACTCTTTGAAAATGTTATAAACCTTGTCAAGGATCATAAAGGGAGGTAACAGGACAGCCTCAAGCACTATTGTAAATTGCTCTCCCCTCCTTCCTGCTTCTTTTTCCTGACCCTTTGGTAACTCTGTGGTATCTGTGGGTGACTTTCCCTCTATACCCCAGGAATTCTCTCACAGGGCAACTTGGTTGGGGTATTCTGGGGGGCAAAACACAGGTGGGGGTTGTGGGGTCAGATTTGGCTCTCAGAGGGGGAAAAGAGGTGACTTGACCTGACTCAGCATAGGGTTCCAAGCTGCTCCCACCCACCGTGCTCCCTGCCCCTACCTTGGAAGCTGGGATGTGGAATGAGGTGGCCAGAAGGGCGGTGGGTGGGCAGATGAGTCCACAAAAGAAAGAGCACCATGAGGAAAGTCCCAGGAGGGCCACACAGGGCAGTGGACAATGAGGAGAGGAAGTGACAGCCACTTGCCCTCCTGGAAGACTCCCTGGGGCACAGTCTGGAGCAGATTCCTGGGCAGAGTGCCGGCTAGGTAAGGGACTAGGTGAGGTGGCACCACTGGCCGCAAGGGGGTGCAGGGTATGGCCAGAACTGGCCTTGGATTTGACAGAGGGGACATAAATGGAGGCTGGCTCCATAAGGGACATGGGAATTGGCAGAATGGGGAATGGGGAGTGGAGAAGATTTCACTCTTTGATTCAAGGAGATGGAGCTCAGGTTTTTTCCTAAGGGATGCGGCTCAAGGGACTGTGACTTCTAAAAATTCCTCTTCAGTGTTAATCTTGGGAGAAGAAATCCTTCATCTCAGACTGAGTAAAGTTCACTGTGAGACTCAGCAGCAGCTTGAAACTGAGAATGCCCTTTTTTTATTTTTTTGCCTTAACAAGAAATTTCCAAGGGCTCTTCTGCTTTTGAGCAACATATCTTGCTTTTCATATTTTTAAAAGACTTGTTGCTTTCAGCCTCTTTGAAATACAGTGAAAAGATATTTTTCCATCTCAGTATTAGAAAGCACTGTTATGCTTTATATATAAGAGTTTTCACTGAGTGCATGGACCTGATGATTCATTTACTGATGGCTAGATGGAAGTTTGTAGCTAATAAAGAGCTGTTTTCTAAAAATAGACAATTACCAGTGTACTTGACTCACCAGGAAAGGGCACCATCAAAACAGTATTGAAAAAATGCACAAGCCAGAGCCATGTCTCCTGACCTTTTCAGAGTAATGGGAATCTGAGAGTCTAATGGAAGACATGAACACCTCAAAGAAGTGTCGAAAATGTGTGCGTGTGCATATTTTGCATATCATTTCAGAAGGTTCATGAACCCAGGAAAAAGCTCCAGAGCAAGAACAACAAAGAGTTGAGAGGAAGCAACAGATCAATTCCATTACAAAAGGATTCTTTGCTCTAAAAAATGATTTGCTATGGGCTCCAAAATGCCTTCTGGTATATTCCAGTTGGTTTATTGGATTTGCAACTATCCCATGTCTATGAGACTTTACAGCTAAGACACTGTTTTCATCAGTTCAAGCCTATTCCCTACACAAACCCATTAATGAAACAACAAATTCTTTTAACAAATATTTGTTGCACCCCCTTTCTGTGCTAGGCCTGTAGGCCACAGAACAGGCACAGGGGAGCTGACAGTCAGCTGGGTAAGAGATGAGGTCTGTGTGGTTCTTGCTGTGTCTCCAGAACCTTGGACAGCTCTCCATTCTATCTATGGGATCAATGCATGAATTAACAATAAGGAAGCAAAATACGAAGTGCTATAAAGAAAATCAAGTGCTATAATTGTAACTGCCCGTTGGGGTTCTTCTTGCCTCCTTCCCAGATGTCAAGACAGGCAAATTGCAATAGAGAAAGAGTTTAATGCACTACAGCAAGCCAAACAGGAGACCAGAGTTTTATTATTACTTAAAGCAGCCTCCCCCAAAATTGGGAGGCTAGGGTTTTTTTGTTTTTTGTTTTGTTTTGTTTTTGTTTTTTGAGACAGAGTATTGCTCCGTCACCCAGGCTGGAGTGCAATGGCATGATCTTGTTTCACTGCAACCCCCACCTCCTGGGTTCAAGTGATTCTCCTGCCTCAACCTCCCGAGTAGCTGGGATTACAGGTGCCTGCCACCATGCCCAGCAAATTTTTGTATTTTTAGTAGAGACAGGGTTTCACCATGTTGTTCAGGTTGGTCTCAAACTCCTGACCTGAGGTGATCCGCCTGCCTTGGCCTGTAAAGTGCTGGGATTACAGGCATGATCGTGCCTGGTCAAGGCTAGGGTCTTTCAAAGATAGCGTGGCCGCCAGGGAGCTAGGGAATGGATGCTGCTGATTGGTTGGTGATGGAATCATAAGAGTTGGGAAAATGGAAAATGATCCTTGTGCACTGAGTCTTGATGGAGGGAAGCCACAGGGATGTTGAGTCATGAATCTTGGGTCCAGGTGGGGCCACCTGGTTGTTAGAAATGCAAAAGTCTGAAAGGACATCTCAAAAGGCTAATCTTAGGTTCCACAATAGTGATGTTATTTATAGGAGTAATTGGGAAGTGACAAATCTTGTGACCTCCAGAATAATGGATGGTAAAAGTTTATGCCTACATCTTAGCAGATTCAGGCCCCTCTCATCTTCCTAACCTTATGGTTTTTCATGAGTTTTACAAAGGCGGTTTAGTTTTAGGAAGGGCTATTACATCATTTAAACTATACAGGAAATGTCTCCCAAATTTAGCTTGGCCCATGTCCGGTAATGACCAAGAACAGTTTGGAGATTAAAGACAAGATGGAATTGGTTAGATCGGATCTCCTTCACTGTTATAATTTTCTCACTGTTATAATTTTTGCAAAGGTGGTTTCATGATGGTGACTAAGGGATGGGAAGGAGGGAAAAATCTCTGTGGAAGCAGAGAGTTGGGGAGAGGTGTTCGGGAAGGTGTCCGCAGGGAGCAGAAATTTAGGCTGAGCTCTGAAAGAGGAGTCCCGGGGGAAGAGCATTTCAGATGGAAAGACCAGCGTGAGTAGAAACCCCTTGGTCAGGAGAGGTATGCCCTGGCGGGGACAGGGGAGGTCAGAGTCACTGGGGCTCCTGGGGAGTGTAGGAAGTGCGGAGGACACAATGACCTGTGGTGTGGGAAGGAAGCAGATGATACAGGGCCTTCTAGGCCATGGTGAAGGGCCACTGCTTTAAATCTGGATGCTGTGGGAAGCAACTGGAGGGGCTTAAGCCATGGAGTGATATGATTTGATATGTGTTTTCAGGAAAACCACTTTGGCTGCTGTGTAAAGAATAAATCACTGGGAGTAGAGGACACAGGGGACAGCTGGAGGCCAGGCAGCTGGACAAGAAGTGATGCTGGCTGTTTGCATGTGGGCGTGGGTTGGGAGTGGCAAGAAATGCCTGGATTTAAGTGACCATCAGAGAGAGAGTTGACCAGGTGTAGTGATAGATTGGATGTGGACAGATGAGGCCCAAGTCAGCTCTCTGACTTCTGGCTGGGAGGATGGTGATGTTACTCACAGAGCTGAGGAAAATGGAGAAACAGGTTTTGAGGGAGCAATGACAAGTTCAGAGTGGGATATGTTGGGACTGAGAAGTTGATTGGGCATCCAAGGGGAGATGTAAAGGAGAAGTGCTGTAGGAGGAGGAGTACAGGTGTTGGAGTGTGAATCAGAAGCTGCAGCAGCAGAGGGGGCATGAAAACCTGGAAAGGTAAGGCGACACAGAGACATGGAAGAGGACTTGGAGATCTCATGCCAGGCACCAGAATCGAGAGGAAGCTGGTACAGGAGATGGAGAGGGAGGGAGAGTGGTTAGGGAAGCTAGGCTCTCACCTGACCCCAACTGCCTTCTCCAAGGCCCTCACAATTTCTCACAAGACCTCTCTGCACTTCAGCCAGGCTGCTGGGGCCCCTGAGGCTGGAAGGCGCCATCTCAACAGCAGCCTTTGTGCTGTTCTTGCCTAGAATGCCCTCCTTGATCTTCTAGACTCTTCTTAATTCCCCTGCCCTGCCTGTATGAGAAGCCATGGGCCAGGCAGCCCCTTGCCCTGCATGTTTTCCAGACAGACATCACACGCCGTCCATGCCACCACCAAACCACAGAGAACATGAATCCAGCTCTTCACGTGTCCTGCTGAAGCCCCTCTCTGTACCAAAGGTGAAGGGGAAACCCCCACATCCCAACTCAGCCCATTATGCCCTGGATGAGGGTTACAGGTGGAAAAGTCACAGAATTTCCAACAAGTCCTCCTTTGTAGGCTCACACTTCCCTGGAACATGGCAGCTTGTGCAATTTGCTGTCTGCCCAAACTGCCTTTCATATGTCCCATTACATGTGTAGGTCTGGCCCTTTGTTCCTAAAAGGACAAAGGATTAGAGGCAGTGATGGCCTTCATGTGGACACCAAAGCAGGGACAGGCTTTAGAAAGGAAGCAAGGAGGCCAGAGAGCAAGCACAGGAGCAGAGACCCTGCAGGGCAAAAGGGGCTGGGGACACCTGGAGGATGGAGGCCAAGGGCAGAAAACTCAGGTACTTGGCACCTGGGCCATTTCAATGATTCTCTTTGGCCAAAAGGATGCTGGACCTAGGCCATGATAGAATGAGGCTGGCTCACCAACATAAACTAACTCCCTCCCAAAGCCTCATTCTAAAGAGTAACTGGACTGCAGGGCTGGGGGTCACTGAGACCCAGAGTGGGGAGTTAGTGCTGGATGTGGCAGCCGTAGGGAGGCAGTGTAGATCCTAGAGGAGGGAAGAGACATCAAGAGCCTTGTGAGGTGAAGCCAGATGCAGCCTGGGGGTGCTGAGAAATCAGTGGGAGGCTGCTCCCATCATCCAGGCACAAGGCAGGAACCTTGGACGTCCTGAGGATGAGAAAACCTGTGAGGCCTCAGGCATTGGATGTCTTCCAGGAGAGGTGGGTCCAGGGCTGAAGGAGAGGATGGGGGACAGGTCCCTCTGGGGATTACCTAAGAGCCAAGAGGGAGGGGTGCGCAGTCCAGCAGACCCTCTAGTGGTGCTTTTCATGCAGCTGCTTTCACTTGCTACTTTGTGCTGCACCCACAGAGGAACTCTGCAGGCCTTTGGCCCTGGCCAAACATCTGCAATGCCCAAAGCTGCCCTTCTAGGCATCCGCTAGATGCTGTTGAAGTTCAGAACATGTCACCCCAAAATGTATCACTTTGTTGTCTTCATTATTTTGAGCTAAAAGAAATGGACAACCAGCCAGTGTAGGAAAAGCTCTTTACCTTCCCCTCAACAGCCTAAAATAAGGTATAAATTTTACATTTTGTAAAGAAAATTTACATTTATAAAAGAAATTGTTATTAGTAAAAGTGTCTGTACCAGGAAGGGCACTACTCTGAGACAACTTTTATCACCTGAGAGACTTTTAACTGCATAACAAGCTGACCTTTATTCACAAGACATTTCCTCCACTTCCTGTCCCGTAACTTGCCTTCACCACCTCCAGAAGCCCCAAACCCCTATTCCTTTCTGTACCTCAGAATGCTTAAAAGCCTCAGCCAGGCGCGGTGGCTCACACCTGTATTCCCAGCACTTTGGGAGGCCAAGGCGGGTGAATCACATGAGGCCAGGAGTTCAAGACCAGCCTGGCCAACTTGGTGAAACTCCACCTCTACTAAAAATACAAAAATTAGCCAGGTGTGGTGGTGTGTGCCTGTAGTCCCAGCTACTTGGGAAGCTGAGGCCTGGGAGGTGGAGGTTACAGTGAGCCAAGATCGCACCACTGCCCTCCAGCTTGGGCGATAGAGTGAGACTTTGTCTCAAAAAAAAACAAAAACAAAAACAAAAGAATGCTTAAAAGCCTCCATCATCTGGCCTTTCTTTGAGTCTCATGTTTTTGTGGGACTCCCGTGCCTATGTACATAGTTAAAATGTTTTTTCTCCTATTAATTTTTCTTACATCAACTTAATTCATAGACCAGCCAAAGAACTGAAAGGATAGAGGGAAGCAACTTTCCTTCCCTACACTGTCCTGCCCAGGGCTGACAGATAACCCCCCAAGAGGTTGGTGGGCACCTGGTGAGGGCACCCCCAGAGGGGCGTAGGGTGAATGGAGGCCCATAGCACCTCTGGGTCATGCCAGTTGTTACCAGTGGTTACGTGCTGGTTAACAATCAGTTTATTGAAATAAAATGTGGGGTGCTGATTTGACCTCAATGGCATACATTGCAGGCACGTAATGAAACAATGAGTTTCAAGTATCTATTACCTGGATTTTAAATGTAATTTACTCGTAGGTTTACATCATTTAATTTTTAATAATGACTGTTGAAGGAGCAGCATGTAAAATTCCTGAAAATTTAATAATCAACCCTTGAGAGGTGGCACAAGCCAGCCCCAGCACAGCACTTGCTGAGCCCAGGACAGGACCTGACAGGGTTCCGGGAGCCCCTACCCACAGAGCTCTCCCACGAGGCACTGGGCTCCCCTGCTGTTGGGAAGCCTTGTTCCCACTGAGAGAAATGACTTCCAAGAAGAGCTTGGAACCCGGGCCAGCTGGGCCAGCTGTGAGAGGAGCACCTTCCATGTCTGCAGGCCTAAGGGCTGTCTGTTTTAACCAAAAAGAACAAAAAACTAATTTAAACCTTGTCTTTCCAAGTGTCATTTGGACTGGAATGGCTACGATAAGACAATGTATCAGTGTTAAGATCAAAGTGAAAATTAAGCACATGCTGCCCTATTAGTCAGCACTTCTAAGGCTATATTACTGTGAAGTTCAGCAAAAGAGTTAACGAATCTATTTAAATGCAAATATGCCATAAAACCAACTAAGAGCAATGCATCTCCAAAATGCTGCCAGCCCTTCTTTCAGCAGGCTCTACTCACAATGGTGTTGCTATTTTTTCAATGCGGAGAATAATATATCTGAGTAATCCTGTGTTATTATCTGGGATGGGAGTCTGAGGCTCCTTCTGGGGCTCAGTTGGCATATGTGTCCCAGTGTCCTCTGGGACTGGCCAGGGCTTAGCATCACCAAGCAGCCTTCGGGTTGGAGGGCTCTGCCTGGAGGCTTCCTAACTCCCCATATTACCTCTCTGGTTACAATGCTCCAGAGGAGCCCAATCATTTCCATAAGCTCCAGTGAGCAGGAGGGTATGGCTCCCTGACTCAAGGGCTGAATGAGACACTCCTTAAAAGGAGCCACGCACAGCACTTGACTCAGAGGAAGTGACCTGCTAGCACTAACCACTGAACCTCCCATCTCTGTAGGAAGGAGGAAACAGATGCTCTCAGAGCCTGTGCTATGTGTCAGGTGACAACCTTACCCTCACAATGATCACACAGAGGAGGCATTATTGCTCTGTCTTGACAGAGGGGCTGGGAGGATGCAGCATGGGGCAGTGAGAGATCGCGGACATTAGGGCTCTGTCAGAAGTGGACTGGCCCATCCCCTGGCCTACCTGTGGAGGAAGTGGGACACCAGGAATCTGGGGCAGAGCTTGGTGGTGAGCCTGGCCTGAGGCTGGGTGAAACCATCTGTTTTCAGAGGCAGCAGGATTTCTGTTCCCACCAAGGCCTGTGCCCATGCTGGGAGCAGTCAGAGGATACCCTTGGGCTTGTGCCCTGGACTAAGAGGAGACTGTGTACTTCAAAGCCCCCAGAATCCACAGAACAATCTAAGAACCACCTGATTCAAGGTGGACTCTGTCAAGGAGTGAGTAAGGCCTGCCCAGCACAGCTCAGCCCCATCTCAGTCACTGAACTGGGGGCAGGATCTGGCCCATGAGGGCGAAAAATAAAAATGTGTTGAGCTTTTAGAAACTGTGATACAGGTATGTAATAACTGTAGGAGCAGAATTTCCAGATATTAAATTTTTAGTGTACAATTAGCATGTATGCAGCTCGTTTTACTCCTGTTTATTTGGAGTCATTCAGAATGTGGCTCGAATGGTGCTGTGCTAGTGCTGGCTGTTCTCCCCTGTCTCCTCTTCAAAGAGCCTCCTGCCCCCAGGATGCACAGTGGTGGCCTCACCTTGGGAAAAAGAAATGCTGGATTGTGAAAACCTCCACTTCCCTCTTTCTTTCTCTGTACTAGGGCACTCCATGTAGAAGGGGTGCATTTCAGGCCTGGGATTCCTTTCTGCCTGGGAGAAGGGGCTGAAGCCATGGGCAATGATAGGGCTGAGGGACGTGTTCAGAGTAAACCTGTTTAGGCAGAGGCAGCATCCAGGCAGCTCATCTCTTAGGATCCCACTCAATATGGAAGGCAGATAGAGGATTGACTCTGCAGAGAAGGGGAGCCCCCACTCCAGGGGCATGAAAGGAGGTAGCAACCAATGAGGGTGTCATCTAGTCATCTAGTGAAAGCTCCCATGTGCTAGACACATGCACTATCTCATGTGATCTTCCCTTAAACTATCTGTTTGCAGATAACCTGATCTTGAATATAGAAAATCCTCAAAAATACACTAACAATTGATAAAACTTCAAGTTCAGCAAGCCTGCAGAATACAAGATCAATATACAAAAATCGATTGTTTCCATATACTTGCAATGGACATTCAAAAATGTAATTAAAACAATTCCATTTATGATAGCATCAAAAAATAAAATAGTGGGTTGAGCGCAGTGGCTCATGCCTATAATCCCAGCACTTTGGGAAGCCGAGGCGGGTGGATCTCTAGAGGTCAGGAGTTCAAGACCAGCCTGGCCAACATGGTGAAACCCCATCTCTACTAAAAATACAAAAATTGGCTGGGTGTGGTGGTGCGTGCCTGTAATCCCAGCTACTGGGGAGGCTGAAGCAGGAGAATCTCTTGAACTCAGGAGGCAGAAGTTGCAATGAGCCGAGATCATGCCACTGCACTCCAGCTTGGGCAAAACAGCAAGACTTCATCTCTAAAATAAAATAAAAAAGGAATAAATTTAACTAAAGAAGTAAAATTAAACTTCTTTAAATAATAAAGACTTGAACACTGAAAACTACAAAACATTTATTAAAAAAATTAAAGACCAAAATAAATGAACACAGCCCATGTTCCTGGATTGGAGGTCTTGATATTAAGATGGCAACACTTCCTAACCAAGCTTCAGATCCAATTCAATCCCTACAAAATTCCAGGTGCCTTTTTTGCTGAAATTGACAAGCTAATTTTACAATTCATATGGAAATGCAAGGGACCTAGAATAGCCAAAATGATCTTGAAAAAGAAGAGTCAAGTTGGAGGACTCACACTTGCCCATTTCAAAGTTAAAGCTACAGTATCAAGAAAGTGTGGTACTAGCATAAAGATAGACATATAGACTAATGAAATAGAACTAAGAGTCCAGAAATAAATCCTCATATTTATGGTCAATTGAGTTTTTGACAATGGTGCCAAGAAAATTCAATGGGGGAAAGAATAATATTTTCAACAAATGGTACTTGGGACAACTAGATACTCACATGTGAAAAACTCCTTTCCCACACCATACATAAAAATGAACTCAAATGGATTCTAGACCTAAATGTTAAAAATAAAACTGCAATACTCTTAGGAAAAAAATATAGAAGTAAAGTTTCATGACCTTAGATTAGAATAAACATAAATAGATATGACAGCAAAAGCACAAGCAACAAAAGAAAGATAAAATGGACTTCATCAAAATTTAAAAAACTTTTGTTCTAAGAATATGACCAAGAAAGTGAAAAGACAATTTAGAGAATAGGAGAAGATATTAGCAAATTATGTATCTGATAATTGTATCTAAATATATAAATATATATATCTGAATTGTATCTAATATATCTGATAACTTGTATTTAAAATATATAAAGAACACAATTCAATAATAAAAAGGCAAAGAATCAGAATAGACATTTCTCCAAAGAAGACATACAAATGGCCAATAAGCAAATGAAGAGACACTCAACATTGTTAGTCCTCAAGGAAATGCAAATCAAAGCCATATTGCGACGCTACTGCACAGTCACTAGGATGGCTAGAATTAAAAAAAAAAAAGAGATTATAATAAGTGCTATACGGATGTGGAGGAATTAGAGACTTCATACACTGTTGGTGAGAATGTAAGCAGTACAGCTACTCTGGAAAAGTCTGGCAGTTTCTCAGAAAGATAAATATATAGTTACAATATGACCCAGCAATTCTACTTCAAGCTATATACCCAAGAGAAATGAAAAAACAACTCCACATAAAAACTTGCAAACAAATGTTTATAGCTATGTTATTAATAATAGCCAAAAAGTAGAAACCACCCTGACATCCATCAACTTTTGAATGGATCAATCAAATGTAGTATACCCATACAATAGACTATTATTTGACCATAGAAATGAAGTACAGATACATGCTATATAACACAGATTTACCTTGAAAATATTACGGTAAGTGAAAGGAAACTAGTCACAAAGACTACATATGGTATTATTCCATTTATATGAAATGTCTGGAATAAGTAAATCCATACAGAAAGAAAGATTAGTGGTCCTTTAGGGCTGGAGGGTTGGGGGAAAATAGGGAGTGATTGCTAGAGGATACAGGATTTCCCTTTGCTGAGATAAAATGTTCTAAAACAAATTGTGATGATGGTTTCACAACTCTGTGAATATACCAAAAACTATTAAATTGCCCACTTTAAGTGGGTGAATTGTGTGGTATGTGAGCAATCCTCCAGTAGAGCTGTTGTATTAAGAAAAGAAGTATGTTGGTGGAAACATTAGGAGTTGGAGATTTTTTTTAATGCCGTTTTAAACCACAAATTCAATTTTTAGAATTGTTAAAGGACTGTTTGAGTTGTCTACTTCATTTTGAGTGAGACTGATTGCTTGTGATTTCTGAGGATTTAGTCCCTTTCATGTAATTTGTCAATTTTACTTGCATAGAGATGCTATTATATTTTTAATATCTGTGAAGTCTGTAGTTATATTCCCTTTTTCATTCTTGATGTGGTCATTTCCTTCTTTTTCTTCTTTTTTCTTTTTCTTTATTTTTGAAATGAGGTCTCGCTCTGTCACCCAGGCTGGAGTGCAGTGGTGAGATCTCAGCTCACTGCAACCTCTGCCTCCCAGGTTCAAGTGATTCTCCTACCTCAGCCTCCCAAGTAGCTGAGATTACAGGCATGAACCATCACACCTGGCTAAGTTTTGTATTTTTAGTAGAGATGGGCTTTTGCCATGTTGGCTAGGCTGGTCTCAAACTCCTGACTTCAGGTGATCTGCCTGCCTTGGCCTCCCAAAATGCTGGGATTACAGGCGTGAGCAACCATGCCCAGCCCTGATTTGGTGATTTCTGTCTTCTCTCTTTTTAAGTTTGTCAGTCTGAGTAGTGATATATCAATTTTATTGATCCTCAAAAGAACCATCTCTTGGTTTCATTGATTCTATTGTTTTTCTATTTTCAATTTCCTTTTTTCTTTCTCTTTTTTTTAATTATTATTATACTTTAAGTTTTAGGCTACATATGCACAATGTGCAGGTTAGTTACATATGTATACATGTGCCATGCTGGTGCGCTGCACCCACTAACTTGTCATCTAGCATTAGGTATATCTCCCAATGCTATCCCTCCCCCCTCCCCCCACCCCACAACCGTCCCCAGAGTGTGATGTTCCCCTTCCTGTGTCCATGTGTTCTCATTGTTCAATTCCCACCTATAAGTGAGAATATACGGTGTTTGGTTTTTTGTTCTTGAGATAGTTTACTGAGAATGATGATTTCCAATTTCATCCATGTCCCTACAAAGGACATGAACTCATCATTTTTTATGGCTGCATAGTATTCCATGGTGTATATGTGCCACATTTTCTTAATCCAGTCTATCATTGTTGGACATTTGAGTTGGTTCCAAGTCTTTGCTATTGTGAATAGTGCCGCAATGAACACACATGTGCATGTGTCTTTATAGCAGCATGATTTATAGTCCTTTGGGTATATACCCAGTAATGGGATGGCTGGGTCATATAGTATTTCTAGTTCTAGATCCCTGAGGAATCGCCACACTGACTTCCACAATGGTTAAACTAGTTTACAGTCCCACCAACAGTATAAAAGTGTTCCTTTTTCTCCACATCCTCTCCAGCACCTGTTGTTTCCTGACTTTTTAATGATTGCCATTCTAACTGGTGTGAGATGATACCTTATTGTCGTTTTGATTTGCATTTCTCTGATGGCCAGTGATGGTGAGCATTTTTTCATGTGTTTTTTGCCTGCATAAATGTCTTCTTTTGAGAAGTGTCTGTTCATGTCCTTCGCCCACTTTTTGATGGGGTTGTTTATTTTTTTCTTGTAAATTTGTTTGTGTTCATTGTAGATTCTGGATATTAGCCCTTTGTCAGATGAGTAGGTTGCGAAAATTTTCTCCCATTTTGTGGGTTGCCTGTTCACTCTGATGGTAGTTTCTTTTGCTGTGCAGAAGCTCTTTAGTTTAATTAGATCCCATTTGTCAATTTTGGCTTTTGTTGCCATTGCTTTTGGTGGTTTAGACATGAAGTCCTTGCCCATGCCTATGTCCTGAATGGTAATGCCTAGGTTTTCTTCTAGGGTTTTTATGGTTTTAGGTCTAACGTTTAAGTCTTTAATCCATCTTGAATTGATTTTTGTATAAGGTGTAAGGAAGGGATCCAGTTTCAGCTTTCTACATGTGGCTAGCCAGTTTTCCCAGCACCATTTATTAAATAGGGAATCCTTTCCCCATTGCTTGTTTTTCTCAGGTTTGTCAAAGACCAGATAGTTGTAGACATGCGGCATTATTTCTGAGGGCTCTGTTCTGTTCCATTGATCTGTATCTCTGTTTTGGTACCAGTACCAGCTGTTTTGGTTACTGTAGCCTTGTAGTATAGTTTGAAGTCAGGTAGTGTGATGCCTCCAGCTTTGTTCTTTTGGCTTAGGATTGACTTGGCAATGTAGGCTCTTTTTTGGTTCCATATGAACTTTAAAGTAGTTTTTTCCAATTCTGTGAAGAAAGTCATTGGTAGCTTGATGGGGATGGCATTGAATCTATAAATTACCTTGGGCAGTATGGCCATTTTCACGATATTGATTCTTCCTACCCATGAGCATGGAATGTTCTTCCATTTGTTTGTATCCTCTTTTATTTCATTGAGCAGTGGTTTGTAGTTCTCCTGGAAGAGGTCCTTCACGTCCCTTGTAAGGTGGATTCCTAGGTATTTTATTCTCTTTGAAGCAATTGTGAATGGGAGTTCACTCATGATTTGGCTCTCTGTTTGTCTGTTATTGGTGTATAAGAATGCTTGTGATTTTTGTACATTGATTTTGTATCCTGAGACTTTGCTGAAGATGCTTATCAGCTTAAGGAGATTTTGGGCTGAGATGATGGGGGTTTCTAGATATACAATCATGTCATCTGCAAACAGGGACAATTTGACTTCCTCTTTTCCTAATTGAATACCCTTTATTTCCTTCTCCTGCCTAATTACCCTGGCCAGAACTTCCAACACTATTTTGAATAGGAGTGGTGAGAGAGGGCATCCCTGTCTTGTGCCAGTTTTCAGAGGGAATGCTTCCAGTTTTTGCCCATTCAGTATGATATTGGCTGTGGGTTTGTCATAGATAGCTCTTATTATTTTGAGATACATCCCATCAATACCTAGTTTATTGAGAGTTTTTAGCATGAAGGTTGTTGAATTTTGTCAAAGGCCTTTTCTGCATCTATTGAGATAATCATGTGGTTTTTGTCTTTGGTTCTGTTTATATGCTGGATTACATTTATTGATTTGTGTATATTGAACCAGCCTTGCATCCCAGGGATGAAGCCCGCTTGATCATGGTGGATAAGCTTTTTAATGTGCTGCTGGATTCGTTTTGCCAGTATTTTATTGAGGATTTTTGCATCAATGTTCATCAAGGTTATTGGTCTAAAATTCTCTTCTTTGGTTGTGTCTCTGCCAGGCTTTGGTGTCAGGATGATGCTGGCCTCATAAAATGAGTTAGGGAGGATTCCCTCTTTTTCTATTGATTGGAATAGTTTCAGAAGGAATGGTACCAGTCCCTCCTTGTACCTCTGGTAGAATACGGCTGTGAATCCATCTGGTCCTGGACTCTTTTTGGTTGGTAAGCTATTGATTATTGCCACAATTTCAGAGCCTGTTATTGGTCTATTCAGAGATTTCAACTTCTTCCTGGTTTAGTCTTGGGAGAGTGTATGTGTTGAGGAATTTATCCATTTCTTCTAGATTTTCTAGTTTATTTGCATAGAGGTGTTTGTAGTATTCTCTGATGGTAGTTTGTATTTCTGTGGGATCGGTGGTGATATCCCCTTTATCATTTTTTATTGTGTCTATTTGATTCTTCTCTCTTTTTTTCTTTATTAGTCTTGCTAGCGGTCTATCAATTTTGTTGATCCTTTCAAAAAACCAGCTCCTGGATTCATTAATTTTTTGAAGGGGTTTTTTGGTCTCTATTTCCTTCAGTTCTGCTCTGATTTTAGTTATTTCTTGCCTTCTGCTAGCTTTTGAATGTGTTTGCTCTTGCTTTTCTAGTTCTTTTAATTGTGATGTTAGGGTGTCAATTTTGGATCTTTCCCGCTTTCTCTTGTGGGCATTTAGTGCTATAAATTTCCCTCTACACACTGCTTTGAATGTGTCCCAGAGATTCTGGTATGTTGTGTCTTTGTTCTCATTGGTTTCAAAGAACATCTTTATTTCTGCCTTCATTTTGTTATGTACCCAGTAGTCATTCAGGAGCAGGTTGTTCAGTTTCCATGTAGTTGAGCAGTTTTGAGTAAGTTTCTTAATCCTGAGTTCTAGTTTTATTGCACTGTGGTCTGAGAGATAGTTTGTTATAATTTCTGTTCTTTTACATTTGCTGAGGAGAGCTTTACTTCCAACTATGTGGTCAATTTTGGAATAGGTGTGGTGTGGTGCTGAAAAAAATGTATATTCTGTTGTTATGGGGTGGAGAGTTCTGTAGATGTCTATTAGGTCCACTTGGTGCAGAGCTGAGTTCAATTCCTGTGTATCCTTGTTAACTTTCTGTCTCTGTCTCGTTGATCTGTCTAATGTTGACAGTGGGGTGTTAAAGTCTCCCATTATTAATGTGTGGGAGTCTAAGTCTCTTTGTAGGTCACTCAGGACTTGCTTTATGAATCTGGGTGCTCCTGTATTGGGTGCATATATATTTAGGATAGTTAGCTCTTCTTTTTGAATTGATCCCTTTACCATTATGTAATGGCCTCCTTTGTCTCTTTTGATCTCTGTTGGTTTAAAGTCTGTTTTATCAGAGACTAGGATTGCAACCCCTGCCTTTTTTTGTTTTCCATTTGCTTGGTAGATCTTCCTCCATCCTTTTATTTTGAGCCTATGTGTGTCTCTGCATGTGAGATGGGTTTCCTGAATACAGCACACTGATGGGTCTTGACTCTTTATCCAATTTGCCAGTCTGTGTCTTTTAATTGGAGCATTTAGTCCATTTACATTTAAGGTTAATATTGTTATGTGTGAATTTGATCCTGTCATTATGATGTTAGCTGGTTATTTTGCTCATTAGTTGATGCAGTTTCTTCCTAGTCTCGATGGTCTTTACATTTTGGCATGATTTTGCAGCGGCCGGTACTTGTTGTTCCTTTCCATGTTTAGTGCTTCCTTCAGGAGCTCTTTTAGGGCAGGCCTGGTGGTGACAAAATCTCTTAGCATTTGCTTGTCTGTGAAGGATTTTATTTCTCCTTCACTTATGAAGCTTAGTTTGGCTGGATATGAAATTCTGGCTTGAAAATTCTTTAAGCACGTTGAATATTGGCCCCCACTCTCTTCTGGGTTGTAGAGTTTCTGCTGAGAGATCCGCTGTTAGTCTGATGGGCTTCCCTTTGTGGGTAACCTGACCTTTCTCTCTGGCTGCCCTTAAAATTTTTTCCTTCATTTCAACTTTGGTGAATCTGACAATTATGTGTCTTGGAGTTGTTCTTCTCAAGGAGTATCCTGAATCTGAATGTTGGCCTGCCTTGCTAGATTGGGGAAGTTCTCCTGGATAATATCCTGCAGAGTGTTTTCCAACTTGGTTCCATTCTCCCCATCACTTTCAGGTACACCAATCAGACGTAGATTTGGTCTTTTTACATAGTCCCATATTTCTTGGAGGCTTTGTTCATTTCTTTTTATTCTTTTTTCTCTAAACTTCCCTTCTCGCTTCATTTCATTCATTTGATCTTCCATCACTGATACCCTTTCTTCCAGTTGATTGCATCAGCTCATGAGGCTTCTGCATTCTTCACGTAGTTCTCGAGCCTTGGCTTTCAGCTCCATCAGCTCCTTTAAGCACTTCTCTGTATTGGTTATTCTAGTTATACATTCGTCTAAATTTTTTTCAAAGTTTTTAACTTCTTTGCCTTTGGTTTGAACTTCCTCCTGTAGCTTGTAGTTTGATTGTCTGAAGCCTTCTCTCAACTCGTCAAAGTCATTCTTTGTCCAGCTTTGTTCCATTGCTGGTGAGGAGCTGCGTTCCTTTGGAGGAGGAGAGGTGCTCTGCTTTTTAGAGTTGCCAGTTTTTCTGCTCTATTTTTTCCCCATCTTTGTGGTTTTATCTACTTTTGGTCTTTGATGATGGTGATGTACAGATGGGTTTTTGGTGTGGATGTCCTTTCTGTTTGTTAGTTTTCCTTGTAACAGACAGGACCCTCAGCTGCAGGTCTGTTGGAGTTTGCTAGAGGTCCACTCCAGACCCTGTTTGCCTGGGTATCAGGCAACCACGAATGCTGCTGTCTGATTGTTCCTCTGGAAATTTTGTCTCAGAGGAGTACCCGGCCGTGTGAAGTGTCAGTCTGCCGCTACTGGGGGTGCCTCCCAGTTAGGCTGCTCAGGGGTCAGGGGTCAGGGACCCACTTGAGGAGGCAGTCTGCCTGTTCTCAGATCTCCAGCTGCATTCTGGAAGAACCACTGCTCTCTTCAAAGCTGTCAGACAGGGACATTTAAGTCTGCAGAGGTTACCGCTGTCTTTTTGTTTGTCTGTGCCCTGCCCCCAGAGGTGGAGCCTACAGAGGCAGGCAGGCCTCCTTGAGCTGTGGTGGGCTCCACCCAGTTCGAGCTTCCCCACTGCTTTGTTTACCTAAGCAAGCCTGGGCAATGGTGGGCGCCCCTCCCCTAGCCTCGGGGCCGCCTTGCAGTTTGATCTCAGACTGCTATGCTAGCAATCAGCGAGACTCCGTGGGCGTAGGTCCCTCCGAGCCAGGTGTGGGATATAATCTCCTGGTGCACCGTTATTTAAGCCCGTTGGAAAAGCGCAGTATTTGGGTGGAAGTGACCCGATTTTCCAGGTGCCGTCTGTCACCCCTTTCTTTGACTAGGAAAGGGAACTCCCTGACCCCTTGCGCTTCCGGAGTGAGGCAATGCCTCGCCCTGCTTTGGCTCGTGCAACGGTGCGCTGCACCCACTGACCTGTGCCCACTGTCTGGCACTCCCTAGTGAGATGAACCCGGTACCTCAGATGGAAATGCAGAAATCACCCATCTTCTGCGTTGCTCACGCTGGGAGCTGTAGACCGGAGCTGTTCCTATTCGGCCATCTTGGCTCCTCCCCCCCTTCAATTTCCTTAATACACTGTTGTTTATTATTTCCTTCCTCCTGTTCACTTTGGGTTTATTTTGCTCTTTTCCTCCCTAGTCTCTTATGGCAGAAGCTTAAATTGTTGTTTTGATACATTTCTTGTTTTGTAATACAATCATTTAATGCAGCAAATTCCCTTCCCACTTTAGCTACATCCCACAAGTTTTGATATGTTACATAGTTATTTTCTTTCATTTCAATATATTTTCTGATTTCCCTTTTTTAAGTGTGTGGTTTGCTTTCTTATTGTTTAGAAATTTTCCTGTTATCCTTCTCTTATTGATTTCTAGTTTAATTCCATTATAGTCAGAAAACATACTTTGTATGATTTCAGTGCTTTTAAATTTAAGGTTGGATATGTTATTCACAATATGGCCTATCTTTGTAAATGTTCCATGTGCATTTGAAAAGAATGTGTAGTCTGCTGTTGTAGTGTGTAGTGTTCTGTAAATATGACTTAATTCAAGTTAGTTGATAGTGTTCCATTCTATCCTTGCCACTATTTCTATATATTACATAGAAAGGAGTGTTGCAATCTCCAAGTATTATTGTCAGCATGTCTACTCCTTTTATATTCTGACAATTTTTGTTTTCTGCATTTTGAAGCTCTATTCTCAAGTGCTCATACATTTAGAATTGTTGTGCTTTCCTGGTGATGAATTGATTTTTCTTTTTTTTTTAAAAAAAGTGTATTGAGGTAAAATATACATGTATAATTCACCATCTTTACCATTTTAAGTGTAAAATTCTGTGGTGATAAATAATTTACATTATTTTTCCCCTTCATTCCCCCTTCCCCTCTCCCCTCCCCCCTCCCCCCTCCCCAGCCTCTGGTAACCACCTATCTACTCTTCATCTCCATGAGATCTCTTCTTTGGCTCCCACAAGTGAGGACATGCAGTGTTTGTCTTTCTATGCTTTGCTTATTTCACTTAACATAATGGCCTCCAGTTCCATCCATGTTGTTGCAAATGGCAAGATTTCACTCTTTTTATGGATGAATAATATTCCATTGTGTATAGGTACATATTCTTTATCCATTCATCCATTAGTGGGCACTTAGGTTGATTCTGTATTCTGGATTTTGTAAATAGTGCTGCAATAAACATTAGAAGGCAGACATCTCTTTGATACATTGACCTCCTTTCTTTTGGATATATACCCTATAGTGGAATTGCTGAATCATGTGATAGTTCTATTTTTGGTTTTTTGAGGAAACTCTATACTGATCTCCATAGTGGCTGTGCTAATTTACATTCCCACCAACAGTGTACAAGGGTTCCCCTTTCTCCACATCCTTGTCAACATCTGTTATTGCCTGCCTTTTTGGTACAAGCTATTTTAAACAAGGTGAGATAATACCTCGTTGTGGTTTTGATTTGCACTTTCCTGATAATTAGTGATGTTGAACATTTTTTCATATACTTGTTGGCCATTTGTATATCTTCTTTTGAGAAATGTCAGTTCAGATCTTTTGCCGATTTTTATTTATTTTTAAATTTTTAATACTTTTTACTCTTTTAAAATATTTTTTTAACTGACACAGGGTCTTGTTCTTTTTTCACCCAGGCTGGAGTGCAGTGGCATCATCACTACTCACTGCAGCCTCAACCTTCTGGGCTCAAATGATCCACTACAGCTTCCCAAGGAGCTGGGAATACAGGTGCATGATGCCACTGCACCCAGCTACTTTTTTTTTTTTTTTTTTCAAGAGGTAGGGTCTTACTATGTTGCCTAGGCTGATCTTAAACTCCTGGGCTCAAGCTATCCTCTCGCCTTGGCCTCCCAAAATGCTAGGATTATAGGTGTAAGCCACAGTGCCCAGACACCCATTTTAAAATCAGATTATTTGTTTTATGCTATTGAGTTGTTTGAACTCTTTATATATTCTGGTTATTACTCTCTTGGCAGAGGGACAGTTTGCAAATATTTTTTTCCCATTTTGTAGGTTGCCTGTTCACCTTGTTTCATTTGCTGTGCAGAAGCTTTTTAACTTGATGTAATCTCCGTTGTCTATTTTTGCTTTGATTGCCTGGAGCTTTTCCTCAATGTTTTCTTCTAGTAGTTTCATAGTTTCAGGTTTTAGTCCTTTTAAATCTTTAATCCTTTTTGATTTGATTTTTGTGTATAGTGAGAGATAGGGATCTGGTTTCATTCTTCTGCATTTAGTTGTTCAGTTTTCTCAGCACCATTTATTGAAAAGACTGTCCTTTCCCTATTGCATATTCTGGGATCTTTTGTCAAAGATGAGTTGGTTATAAATGTGTGGATTTATATTTGGGTTCTCTATTATGTTCTATTGTTCTATGTGTCTGTTGTTATGCCAGTACCAGTGAATTAACTTTTCTACCAATATGTAATATCCCTTTTTAACCCTGGTAGTTTTCTTTGTTCTGAAGTCTACTTTGATATTAACATAGTAGTTTTGTTTCAGTTGGGGTCTTCAATGTGCAGTTTTTTTTTTTTTTTCCATAGTTTTTCTTTTTAACCTACCTATACTATAATATTTGAGGAGAGTTTCTTATAGAGAGCATGTACTTGAGTCATTTTTATAAAATTCATTCTGTCAATCTCTATCTTTTAATTGGTGTGTTTATGTCATTTACATGTAATGTAATTATTGATATGTTTGGATTCAGGTCTTCTAATTATTATTTATTTTCTACTTTTTTCTGTATTTTTAGTTCACCTTTTTTTTTTTCCTTTGTTTGGTTTACTTAAACTTCTTTTTTAGTATTCTAGTTTAAGTTATCTAGTGTGTGTGTTATTGGGTTTTTTTTTTCTTCTTCTTTTTTTGAGATGGAGTCTCTCTCTGTCACCCAGGCTGGAGTGCAGTGGTGCAATCTAGGCTCACTGCAACCCCTGCCTCCCAGGTTCAAGCAATTCTCCCACTTCAGCCTCCCAAGTAGCTGGGACTACAGGCATGCACCACCATGCCCAGCTAATTTTTGTATTTTTAGTAGAAACAGGGTTTCACCATGTTGGCCAGGGTGGTCTCAAACTCTTGACCTCAAGTGATCCACCTTCCTCAGCCTCCCAAAGTGTTGAGATTACAGGTGTGAGCCACCACTCCCGGCCTCTAGTGGGTTTTTGGCATTAACTCTTGGTGTAATTTTTCAGTGTTCTAAGGATTACAATATACATATTTGACTTTTTGTAGTCTATTTAGAATCGATATTTCACCATTTCAAGTGGAATATCAGAATCTTACCACCATATGGATCTCCTTACCTTCCTCCTCTTTTTGTTGTAATTGTCTCATGTATTACAGCTACATACTTTGAAACTTTTTAAAATGGTGTTAAAAATTTTTGCTTTTAATTGTCTTACATATTTTAAAGAACTCAACAAGAGAAGAATAACCTATTATACTTATCCAGATATTTGCCATTTCTGTTCTTGTTCATTTCTAATGTTCCACATTTCCTTCTGGTATCATTTTTTCTTCCCCTCTTACCTACCTAAACAATACCTGGTGGCCCAGCAGAGACAAAGAATCACAGCAAGAGAAAGAGAAATCAATTTAATTAAAGATTTAATGGCTGCAGGACTACTCAGAGGCAGTTCCTAGTATAACAGCGCCACCTGCTGGAAGAGAAGCCAAATAAACTTTTTTTTTGTTCCAAGGCAGCTGTGACCAAGCTCTTGCTGGAACTGAATGCCTGACGCGAGGATGCTTTGTGACTCTTTGGCCTGCCATCCCCATTTTGGGGTGTATCAACTCACTCAATGACTAAAAAAGTGAGAAGAGCCTAAGAGATCTCTCCGTTTAAAAGGAAATGGAGTATTCAAGAGCCAGTTGGCCTCTCCTTAGCAGCATCTTGGCAGCAATCCCTTTAGCGGAAACATTATCACCAACCATGCCCCCTAAAGCAAAGCTGCTGTAGGTGTTCAGCCTCAGCACCATCTCCATAAAACAATAAGTGAACATGATCACTCTGCTCAGTGGGCAGAACTCACTGCAGTCCTAATGCCCTCGCCAGTGCTTCCCGCAAAGAAATTTGCTACATGTTAACTAACTCTTACCTGGCACCAATGGCCTGGCCGTCTGCTCTGCTGCTGGGAAGACTCTAGACTGGAAGGTTACAGACATCCCTCTTTGGAGCAGCAAACTGGAAACAAATCGAGGCCGCTGATGGGCAGCTGGTGTCACAGATGTGGATGCCCTTGGTAAGGATTCTCTGACGAGACTGACTGGAATCAAACTGCTTGATAGATCCCTACCCGAATCCACATCCACGTTTTGGGGTGCCTTGAGCCCAGGCAGGGGAATCTCAGAGGAACAAGAGTGGTAAACTCACTGCTGGTGCTGAGATACTTCAGGCTTTGGTTTTCTTCCAAATGCATCTGCTGCTATTTACTTTTCCGAGTCTTCAGATGGCTGCTCCATGCGTGCCGCCCAGGGTTACAGCTGCCTTCGGTGGGATAGACAGGTCAGGATATGCTTGTTCCATCTCATCCAGAACTGGAACCAAGGGGAGGATTTTAGCAGGTGGAGAGGAGGCAAAAGGGCATTTCCAGGAGAACAGCAGCACTAGGCAAAGCACAAAGCTGAGAACATAGGACAGGCTCTGGGGGCAAGAATAGTTCATCTGGCTGGGTCCTGAGTGCGCAAGGAGAGCAGCAGGTGAGAAATCTGACAGAAGGGCTTGGCCTTAGCATGGGGCCTCAGGAAAGGAGAGTGGGCTTTGCTGGACAGCGTCCCCGGGAGTCACGGAGAGGATCCAAGCTGAGAAGTAGCTATGGCAGAGCTGTACTACGGGGCCTACACGTTGTCCCTCCACCTGGAACTCTTTGTTCTGCTCTTCCCCCAGCCAACTCTTTCTCATCCTTCAGGTTTCAGTGTAAGTCTCTTTCCTCAGGGAAGCCTACCTGACCTCTCACCACCTGCTCAGCTCAGACCGTGGCTCCCATAGAATACTAGATTTTTCCTTCGTGGTCCTTATCATGTTGTCAATTGTTTACTTAGTCATTTGCAATGATTTGTTTCACATCCATTTTCCCTGCCAGCCTGTGAGCATATTTCTTGTTTATTGCTAAGGGCATTTGATCAGCAAACTTGCAGGAAGAATGTGCTCTCTGCCCACCAGGGCATTAGGTGCCAACATTCCCAAGGACGAAGTATGTGACCTTTCCCCATGTTGTTAGCTTGTTGCCTGCACAGACCCTACATCCCAGTGTTCCTGGTCTAGCTGACAGGGGTTGTGTGTGGAGTGGAGGGAGAAGGGGCGGGTGGCAGAAAGACTGGGTCAGAATCCACTATAGTAGGCAAAGGAGTTGCCGGCCATGCTGTAACCAGGGCCTGAGGGGTGAGGCTACACTCAAGAGTGAAGCAAACACCACCCAGACTTTTTTGAGATCCTGGATATTGGGGAGCCCCAAAACAGGACCTTCTGACATTTGCCCACCTCCTGCAGGCTGCAGCGAGCCAGGCTGCCCAGTCTTCCTCTGGCAACTCAGAGGTACCATCACACTGGTGAGAGGAAGGGAACTGAGTGCCTCTTGAGCCAGGACAGAGCTGGGGCTTCAAGTTACTATTTCCAACGCTATTAGCACATGTGATGAGGGCCTAGGGGGTGCAAGGCTCACTCTGGGGTCACTGACTTGGGGATATGGCAGGGCCAGGACAGGGACTCCAGGTCTGTCTGCTTTGAAGCCCCGCTGAACTCCAGCAGGCCCCATGCCCCTCAGGAACCACCTTGGGGAGGGGGATCTGAATTCAGGGGCCACCTCAGCCAGCTCCTTCATCATCCTCTGTCTTCCACACCTGGAGCTCGTTTATGCCAGGGCCTTGGAAGAAGATAATGCAGGATGAGGACACAGCGTGCAAACCACCCGGCTGTGTCCCACACAGCCTCCTCCTGCCTCTTCACCTGTCTTGCATCCGCCTACAAGTCTAGTCGGTTCTGTTTGGTTTTTGCCTGATAGACCTTCAATGTCTGGCAATGTCTGTCAGTAATTACAGCCCACAATTCCCTAGCAAATTTATTTAGGAATGAATTATTTCACAGACTTCAATAACAGTAAATTGCTTATTCCTAGTGGGTTCTGAGGCATTCAGAGATGGGCTATACAAAGCCATGCTGATCCTCACTGTGGGAACCCTAGGTTCTTTCCAAGCGTCCCCCATCCTCTCCCACTCATCAGGAGCTATGGGCCTCCGTCAGGGTGTGGCCCCCAGCTGGCCAGGCCACAGACTGACCAAATCCTGTTGGATCATTTCAGCTGGAGATTCTTGAGGGGAAAATGTGTGATTTAATGGAAAACTATGAATTGTTTAGATCACACCCTGTAGGGGTATCTCACTGTGTGCTGTTTTACAAATCTATAAGTTGTAAATGACTGACAGCAAACAAAATAAGTCTTGCCTATGGACATGCAAATAAATTCTCTCTGGTGAAGGGATGACCCTGCCAATGTGGAGAAACCAGTTTGGGATCCACTTGTAAGTTCATTTTAATATTCCTGATATATAAATGTGTCTATTCTTTGGATTCTCCCTTGAACATGTTGAAACATCCTATAGGTTTCTGCCAGGCAAGTTGTCAGAGCCCTGGCAGTGGAGAGTGATTGGCTCACATATGGGAAAAGAATGTACCGACAGCAGAATAGGTTTGAAGAGGAAAGTTTTATTAAACAGAAAGAACACTGCAGCAGAGTATAGCAGGGCGCTTCAGCTAGACAAGACTGAGCGTGCCAAGGTGGATTTTCCTTAGGGGTATTTATGGACCTTAAAGTGGGAGCTTAAGGGTAATTTGGACCATATTAGCCATGTAGGTAATTTGGTGCCTTGATGTCGGCAAGTGTTGCACAATGAGTTTCAACATACATGCATTCCGGAGATGCATTAGAAATCCTAGTTACTTATACATGTTTTAGAAAGAAGCCTGGTGTCAGATTATGGCTTTAGAAAATAGGAAAGTCTAATTACTTCTGAGTTCCTTAAATAAAGAGTTTTGCCTCCAGATGGTCTGCTTGATGGACACCAGGTGACTTTGCTATCCTCACTTTCCTCACTAATAATGAGTTGAATAAAGTCTTTAACAATATTGATTTTATAACTGCCTTAGAATCATAATTTTACTTTTTGTTGAAAAGTATCCTTTAACACAAACTTAAGCAACCCCAGAGTTTCTGATGCATTGAGTCTGGGGTGGAGCCCAAGAACATGATGTCTAACAAGCCCATGGCTCAGGCTTTGAGGACTCTGTGTCATCTGAGGGTGTTCTTGAGGGTGGCAAGGGCTCTGCTGTGACAGGACATTGTCCTGGGTTAATGGGGTGTCTAACCCCCGGGACCCACAGAGTGTCTCCCAGATGCTGAAAGAAACTCTGTTCTGCAGCCAATGGAGGGGCTGGAGATGGGAGAATTGGGATCACAGAGCCAATGTCCCTTCCCCAATGCCCAGTGTGCAAGTTGGCCCAGGCTGTGTGCTTTCAAGCCATGCAACTATTGCTGATGAACTTAAGGCTGGGCCTTTCTGAGGTGGACATGAAGCCCAGGAAGGGTAGGTGAGCTGGGGCTGCAGCCTCATCACTTTCCCTGGACACCCTTGCTCTTTAACTCAGCAAGTGTGCAGCTCCAAGCAGCCCTCCCTTGAGCAAAGGGACATGTCATGTCACAGACTGGTTTTCGTGACTCTGCAGGACCTGGGACCCTCTGCAAGTGACAGAGAGGTGTCGCTGGGGGACTCTAATCCTGAAATTGCCTTTGCAAAAATTTTAACAGTGAGAAAACTATGACAGTGAAGGAGATGTGATCTAACCAACTTCTATCTTGCCTTTAACCTTCAAAGAGCCCTGAGTCATTTCTAGGCATAGGCCAAGCTAACTTTGGGAGACATTTATAGTTTAAATGATAATAGCCCTTCCCCAAAACTAAACCTAAAGCTAATGAAAGGCCACCAGATTAGGAGGATGTGAGGATCCTGAATTCTTCTAAGGTGTAGACATTAGCCATTGCAGCCATTATTCCGGAGGTCACAAGATTTGCAACTCCCACAATTACTCCCGCAGATAACATCACTATTGTAGAACGTAAGATTGGCTTTTTGATATGTCTTTTCAGGTTTTTGCATCTCTGACCCCCACTGACTCCCACCAAGCTGGTCCTGTGGCCCTATCCAGAAATGGTCTTCCTGGGCCACCAAACTATTTTTTAAAAACCCTAGCCTTGGAGTTTTCAAGGAGATCTATTTGATTAATAACTCTATGTCCCATGTGGTGTGGACAACCTCGTGTCTATTAAACTCTTTCTTTATTGCAATGCTGTGGTCTCAGTGAATGGGTTTTTTCTGTGCAGTGGGCAGGAAGAACCCATTGGATGGTTACAATTCCACCAGCAGCCTTCACCACCACCACCCTCCTTCCACAGCTCCGGACCCAGAGGCCAGGGTGGCCCTAGCAATGCCCTGTCTTAGGTAGGGCTAAACCAGCCCTCGCATGCTGCCAGAAGGCCGGGGTCTTTTAGATTTTTCATGGCCAGACCGTTTGTTGTCTTGGGCCCCCTCTGAGGGAAACTCCTAGGCCCATGAACTGAGATTTTGATACAGGAGCTAGAAAGAAATTATTTAGGCAGATAGTAAGGGCAACAGAGTCCTCAGCAAGCCTTCCCTTTTAACAAAAAGCAGCCCTAAAATAATTTATTTTCTTTTTTCTTTTTTTGAGACGAGTCTTATTCTGTTGCCCAGGCTGGAGTGCAATGGTACAACCTTGGCTCACTGCAACCTCCACCTCTGCCTCCCAGGTTCAAGTGATTCTCAGGCCTCAGCCTCCCGAGTAGCTGGGATTACAGGCGTGCACCACCATGCCCGGCTGATTTTTGTATTTTTAGTAGAGACGGGGTTTTGCCACGTTGGCCAGTCTGGTTTCGAACTGCTGACCTCAAGCCATCCACCCACCTCAGCTTCCCAAAATGCTGGGATTACAGACGTGAGCCACCACACCTGGCCAATAATTTCTTTTCTAGCAAAAAGCAGCCAGAAAAATTGAGCTGCAGACATAGATAACCATGCAGGAGTGAATGCTGCAGTTGTGCCAATAGAAAAGGGCTACCTGGAAGCCAGGTATGTTCAACATAGAGGCACCATTTTCCCTTTTGTTTGTCACCACGTGTACAGTAAGGAAGCAGGCAACATGGCACCAGATGCAGAGAACCCACCTGCATAACAAAAGATTCGGGGGGGTGGCCAGATTTTTGCATGCTATGCAAATAGAACACCTGGTCTGACCAATCTTTCATGCCCTATGTAAATCAGACACCACCTCCTCAAGCTCATCTATAAAACTTGCTGCATTGCATCATGGAACCAGCAACTCATTTCTCCAAGACCCCTCTCTCTGCAGCAGAGAGAGCTCTTCTCTTTCTTTCACCTGTTACACTTCCACTCCGAACCTCACTCTGTGTGTCTGCTTCACACTGCCCCTTTGTCTTTATTTCTGCTGGGATTGTAGGGGCAGAAACCTTATGTGACCCCATCATAATGTTACAGTAGGTAGACAGGCATGAGTGGGGCAGGAGAGGGCTCTTCCCCCACCCACTAGGAATGTCAGGTGATAATTAAGCAATTATCACATTGCCTCTCTAAAAGTGATAAATTGGCGGCTGGTGCCAGGGAGGGGCCATTTCCTGATGGTCCACACCTGTTGCACTCAAATGTTCATTGAATGCAGATGCTGGGGAGAAGCAACTTCCTGGGCATGTGCATTAAGAGACAAAATGGCAGAGTATGACCTTCCAGGGGCACTTCACCAGAAAAGGGAAGAAAGCCTCAGATAGGCATGTGTACAACTTCCCAAACACACTGTGCGTGCTCACCTCCCAAGCATAAGGGGGACACTGCACATGCAGGCAACCCACCCTAAGGGAAGAATCATGGGAAAGGGGCCAGCCTATAAAGTCCTAGGAGCAAGGTTAAACACCACAATTGTTCTTCAAGTCGCCAGCTTGGGACTCTCCCAAGCATACCCTCTTTTCTGCTGTAAAGCTATTTAATAAACTTCCACTCCTGCTCTGAAACTCGCCTCTGTCTTTCTGCCTTATGCCCGTCAGTCAAATTCTTTCTTCTGCGGAGGCAAGAATTGAAGTTGCTGCAGACGTGTGTGGATTCACTGCCAGTAACTCAGATACCTTCCACCACTAACAATACGGGTCACTGCCAACCCTCCTATAGCAAAAGACAGGTTAACAAGAAAAAAACAACAAATCTATGTAATCAAATTCTTATGTGACATGGAAGCTTTCGGAAATGAAGACGCAAACACCCAGTGCAAACCGTCTGTCTGTATGCTTAGATTTGAGGAAGAATGGACAATTGTATGAAATGTGGTTGGACAAAGGGTATGATCTAATGGTAATGTCAGAGGTGTTGCAACCAGAGTGACTCCATCTTGAATAGGGGCCAGGTAAAATAAGGGTGAGACCTGCTGGGCCGCATTCCCAGAAGGTCAGGCATTCTTAATCACAGGATGAGAATAACCCACCCCTTGTTTAGCATATAATCAAGAAATAAATATAAAAATATTCAGTCAAGCAGCCTGTGCCGCTGCTCTGCCTATGGAGTAGCCATTCTTTTGCTTTTTTACTTCTCTAAAAAACTTGCTTTCACTTTAGGGATTTGCCCCAAACTCTTTCTTGCCTGAGATCCAAGGACCTTCTTTTGGGGTCTGGATTGGGACCCCTTTCTGGTAACAATAATAGGCAGAATGGGGAACCCCGTAGGCCTGTGTGTTCAGATTCTTAGCCTCTCTGTGCAGCCTTTTTATGAGAAATAAAAATAAAATTCTAAGCCCCCAAATGACTGAACGGGCCCTCTCTTGGCCAACGGGACTCGAAAGAATCCTTGAAAGCTGATTTCATGACGATGACAGGATGGGAAGTCAGACATGCCTTATTATGGGATGGGAGGTCAGACTCGCCTCAATTTTTTATCCCCTTCCTTGCTAACTATCATTAAGCTTTCTTTTCTAAGGAGTAAACAGAAACCAGCCCTTTCAAAAGCCTCCACATTGATAATGTTGATTACTTGCTTATCTTCCCAGGTACAGAACAAAGATAAAATGAGATTGATCATCCCTTCACCCCTCCCTGAGACATATGCTTCCTCTATTCCCATTTTCTTCCAATATTCACTTTATCTTACATAAAATGTAGATTTACTGGGCACATACACAAGTATGTAATCATTCAGCTCACTGCCATCCGCCCCATACTTTTTAAGGAAAATGTATAAATACAAAACCTCCTGAGAACGTCTTTGGAAGAAAGAGCCACAGATGCATCTGTGACTCGTGTTTTTCCCAGGTGCATCCCCCAAGCTGGCTCCATAAACTTCAGTGATCTGAGACTTATGCTTCAATCACTCATTTTGGCTCCTAGGTATAGGGCAGGACTATTTTGGAATGAGGGAGACAGGAGAAGGGAGAGAATGACCTTTCTAGGTTTTATGGCTTGCTTTGGGGGAGAGGGATTGTAGTTTCTAGGATGCATCCTGGGGAAGCTGAATTATGGTTCCTATGACTTGCTTCAGGGAAGAAAGAGGAAAAGGAGATGGGAGGGCAGGAGAAGATCAGAAAGAACTTGCGTCTGTGACCTTCCAGTTTCCTTCATTTCAAAGTTCTCAGCATGCCAAAGCCCCATGCTTCAGGGTATTGTTTTCTGAGCCCCAACAGGGTCAAATGCATCTTCCTGGCCCATCCATTCTGTTATCTGTGGTCAGCTTGGTTTTGGCCATCTGAATCTGTGGATTCCATCATCCTGCAGGTCTTCCTGGATCTGCCCATGTCCTGCTGACTGCTGGGGCTGGGTGGGCAAAGCCAGGCTGCCCCCAGCCACAGGAGCCCTGCCTAGGCTGGCACTTCCCCCCCTGGGGGTGGTGGTAAGCCTCAGTGCTGGGCTGGCTTTTAAAATGTGTGGTCGGTGTGAGCACTGGCTTGTTTCACCTCTGTGCATGTCAGACTCTGAGGAAGTCACAGCCTAACATGCTGCACACACCCCTGCACCTGGAGTCTCCTCGGTATAAGCAGAGATAGAAAGCCCAGCTGCACCCTGCTGCCTGGCACACAGTAGGTGCTTGGTAAATATTTGCTGAACAAATGAATGAGGAAGTCCCCAACCTGCCATCTGACAGAGGCCACCCAGAGCCCTCTGCCTGTCAGGGCAGGGGACTGCCTTCGAGATCTTTTATGGCCACATCCTTTATTTAACTGAGGAGCAGACTGAAGCCTGGGCGGCAGGTGATTGACAGAAGGTGTCATAGCACGTTGTGGGCAGTGCCTGGCCAGATGGGGCCTCTGATCCCCTCTACTGATACAAGTGAGGCCCCCCAAAGGCCGAGGCTCATTCTTTACCCCAGGCTTGAGCTGGGCCTGGGGACTGGGGGGCCGTGGATGGTCACCCCACCTTGTCCTCCATCCTTTTCCTGTCCCCTGCTCCCTCCCCTCATTTATTTCCTGCTTCATTCTCCACCTCAAACCTACCCAAGCACTGCACCCCCACCCCCACCCCCGCCTCCACCCCATGGGCCTTCCCTGTTTACCACAGAGGGAAGGGCTGGCCCACCCACCAGCCATAACAACCTGTGGGCACAGTTTTGCAGGGCCCCACTCCGTTCTCCCAAAGCCTAAGTTTTAGCAAAATGTTTATAACCCCCGAGGCTCAGATTCTAGCTCTGCCTCCACATGTGAGCTGTGTGACCTTGGCCAAGTCCCTCTGCGAATCTGTCATCTCCATCCCGCATTAGGGCTGGGGAGGCCCGGGGGAGACTCATGTACGGAGGCTGGGAGAACCCCAGGTTCTTTATGAGTTATTGTAAGGATCGTTAGCAACAGCAGAAGCACATGCAGATCCCTGTGCCTCCACAGCGGCAGACTGGACTTCTGAGAGGCACCCTGTGACTTGCAGCCTTTTTGGTTTCCCCAGGAGAGCCAGGCTGGGGATCTCCCAGTGCATTTCTCAGCCCATTTTTCCCTATTGGAGCTGGAGCTAGGGCTGAGACTTTGGGGGCCTGGACTCCCAAGGGAGGGATGTTATACTCTGGTGCAGATGGTGAGGGAGCCCTGTGCTGGCCCTTCTCACCTTATGGAGTCTGCTGCATACTTCACAGATGCTTTGGGTCAGGGGCTACCCAGTCCACCAGCCCTGCTGACACAGGGTCCTGGAGTTTAGGGCACATTCTCCCTCCAGGGCAGGGCAGGGCAAGGCTGGGCAGGGTAAGGCAGGTATGGACCTGATAGCCAAGGAGCCAGGACACTGGCGCAGACATGGGACATGTCCCTGCCTGTGTCTTCTCCACATACAGTTTCCTAGGCCCTGGCATGTCCTCTCCTGAACAGAGGAGGAGGAGGAAACTGGAGCAAGGCAAGTTCAAATAATTTGCCCAGACCACGGTGCAGTGAGCAGGGAGATGAGGATTTGAACCAGGCCTGTTGCTCCAAGGACTGGGCCTTTTCTGGTACAGAAGGGGCTACCTTTACACCGGTAGCTCCTCTGGCTGGAAAGATGACTGTTTTAGACATCTAGTCCTGTTGCCCCAACCCTGCTCTGGGACACCTCATAGCAACAGTCTTGTGACTTGGGACAAAATACTCAATCTTCTGGGACCTCAATTTTCCTTGCAAAGGAAGGTGATGGAAATAATAACTGCTTCTTGGAGTTTTTATGATAATAATTCCTTGTTATTCTTATTAGTAGCAGTAGTATTGACGTCAAAGCTGACATCCACCAAGTGTGTTTACTTATATTAAAGCAGGCAATGTGGGGGGCAGAATAATGACCCCTCAAAGACGTCCACATCGTAACCTATGAATATGAATATGTTAGGTTACATAGCAAAGGGATTACATTTGTTGCAGGTGAAAGTGAGGTTACTCATCAGCTGGCATTACAAAGGGGAGATTATCTTGTATCATCCAGCTGGGGCCATTATACTTACAAGGGTCCTTAAAGTAGAAGAGAGAGGCAGAAGAGGAGATCAGAGTGATACAATATGAGACCTCAACCCGCTCTTGCTGGCTTTGAAGACAGATGAAGGAGGTCATGAGTCAAAGCATGCAGGCAACCTCCAGAAGCTGGAAAGGGAAAGGACAGGTTTTCCCCTTGAACCTACTGAGAGGAACAGAGCCCTCTTACTTTTAGCCCATGTCGGACTCCTAGCCTCAAGAACTGCAGGATAATACGTTTGTGTTGTTTTAAGCCACGAAGCTTTTGGTAACCTGTTATAGCAGCCATAGAAAACCAACATGGAAGGTAATGGTGAAGTCCCTTTGTAAACAATCATGGTGATAAGGTGTGCTACAGAGCTCATAAAAGGAGACTCCGCATTATATGTACACAGCAACTCTAAGATATGTCCCAACCTTGGGAACATTAAAATACTTAACAATGTTAAGTAAAAAGGGAGAGTCATGGTTCCAGACAAGATGGAATAAACACACCTCTCCCTGTTTGTCCTGGTAAGTACAGCTAAAAACTATGGGCATTATATATGAAACAAAATTAAAAGATGTTAAAAGGTGGTAAGAAGAAGGCAGACCAGGGAGGGACTCAGGACCTTAGGAGAAACAGGATTGTGAATTCCCTGTGTGTGTGTGTGTGTGTGTGTGTGTGTGTTTTGTTTTGTTTTGTCTTATGTACCTGGAGTGGATGCTAGAGAAGCCTGCAGCCTGGAGACACCAGTGAATACAGACAAAAGAAGCTCCAAGAGCGGCTCACTCCCTGTATTCATTCTCATTCTGCTATGAGGACATACTCGAGACTGAGTAATTTATAAAAGAAAGAGGTTTAGTTGACTTACAGTTCTGCAGGGCTGGGGAGGCCTCAGGAAACTTGCAATCATGGCAGAAGGGAAAGCAAACATGTCCTTCTTCACATGGTGGCAGGAAGGAGAAGAATGAGAGCTGAGCGAAGGGGGAGACCCCTTATAAAACCATCAGATCTCGTGAGAACTTACTCATCATCCTGCGAATAGCATGGGGGAAACCACGCTCATGATTCAATTATCTCCCACCGGGTCCCTCCCCCAACATGTGGGGATTATGGGAACTACAAATCAAGATGAGATTTGGGTGGAGACACAGCCAAACCATATCACTCCCTCTAGCTTAAGGACCAGGAAGGAGGCAGCCTAGAACTTATCAAACCAATAACCAGTAAAATCTTAACTTAAATAAAAAAAGGTAACAGATACTGATACTGATACAACACACATTTTAGAATTATCTGACAGGAATTTTAGAGGAGCCATCATAAAAATACTTCAGTTAGCAATTATGAACATACTTAGAACACAAGTAAAAATAAGTCTCAGCAAATAAATAGAAATTTCCAGCAAAGAAACTGAAGATATAAATAAGGATAAAATGGAAATTTTAGAACTGAAAACTTATAACTGAAATAGAAATCTCACCAAATAGGCTCAATGGAACAATGGAGAGGGGAGGGGAAAATATTGAATTTCAAATAGATCAATAGCAATTACCCAACTTGAACAATAAAGACTAAAAACAGGCTTATAAAAGAAAGAAAAAGAACAGTGCCTCAGGGACCTGCAGAACTATAACAAAAGAGCAAACATTTGTGTCACTGGAGTTGCAGAAGGTGATGAGGAAAAGCATGGGGCTGAGAAAGTTTTCAATGAAATAATGGCTAGAAATATCCCAAGTTTAGCCAAAGATATAAATCTACAGATTCAAGAAGCTGAGCATTTGAGGTCAGGAGTTCAAGACCAGCCTGGCCAACATGGTGAACCCCATCTCTACACAAATACAAAAATTAGCTGGATGTGGTGGCATGTGCCTGTAATCCCAGCTACTTGAGAGACTGAGGTAGGAGAATCACTTGAACGTGGGAGGTGGAGGTTGCAGTGAGCCAAGATCATGCCACTGTGCTCGAGCCTGCGGGACAGAATGCGATTGTGTCTCAAAAAAAAAAAAAAAAAAAAAAAAAGCTGAGCAAACCTCAAACAGCATAAGCCCAAAGAAAGCTACATCAAGAACATCATAATCAAGATTTTGAACATGAAAGACAAATTTTAAAAATCATGGTATCAGTGAGAAAATAATGACACCTTGCCTATAAAGGAAAAACAATTCAAATGACAGGGAATTTCTTACTGAGAACCACAGAGGCCAGAGAAAGTGGCAAAACATTTTTCAAATGCTAAAAGTAAAGAACTGTCAACCCAGAATTCTGTGAACATATCCTTTAGGAATGCTGGGTAAGTCAATACATTCTCAGATGCAGAAAAACTAAGATAATTTGTTGCCTTCAGAAGTATCCTAAAAGAATGGCTAAAAGAAGTTCTTGAAACCAAAAGGAAAGATATAAGAAGGAATCTTGACCCCTACCTTATTTCAAGTACAAAAATTAACTCAAACAGGATCAAAGACCTACGTTTAAGAGGTAAAACTATAAAACTCTTTTTAAAAACAGTATCAACTTTTATTTTCTTTTGATTCAGCAGGTACATGTGCGGGTTTGTTACATGGGTATATTGCATGATGCTGAGGTTTGGGGTATGATTGATCCCATCAGCCAGGTAGTGAGCACAGTACCCAATAACTAGTTTTTCAACCCTTGCCCCACTCCCTTCCTCTGCCTTATAGTAGTCTCCAGTGTCTATTGTTGCCATCTCTATGTCCATGAATACCCAATTTTTAGCTCCCACTTATAAGTGAGAACATGTGGTGTTTGATTTTCTGTTCCTATGGTAATTTGCTTAGGAAAATGGCCACTAGCTGCATCCATGTTTCTGCAAAGGACATGATTTCATTCTTTGATGACTGCACAGTATTCCATAGTGTATATGTACCACATTTTCTTGATCCAATCCACCATTGATGGGCACTAGGTTGATTCCATGTCCTTGCTGTTGTGAATAGTGGTGTGATGAACAAGAGTACATGAATCTTTTTGATAGAACAATTTATTATTTTTTTGAGTATATACCAGTAATGGGATTGCTGGGTCAAATGGTAGTTATGTTTTAAGTTCTTTGAGAAATCAAACTGTTTTCCTTAGTGGCTGAACAAATTTACATTCCCACCAACAGTATATAAGTGTTCTCTTTTCTCTGCAGCCTGCCAGCATCTATTGTTTTTTGAATTTTAATAATAGCCATTCTAACTGGTATGAGATGGTATCTATTTGTGGTTTTGATTTGCATTTCTCTGATGCTTTGTGATGTTGAGCATTTTTCAACATGTTTTTTGGCCACTTACACATCTTCTTTTAACAAGTATCATTCATGTCTTTTGTCCACTTTTTAATGGGGTTATAATTATTATTATTTGCTTGTTGAATTGAGTTCCTTATAGATTCTGGTGGTTAGACTTTTGTCAGATGCATAGTTTTTGAATATTTTCTTCCATTCTGTAGTTTGCCTGTTTACTCTGTTGCTAGTTTCTTTTGCTGTACAGAAGCTCCTTGCTTTAATTTGGTCTCATTTGTCAATTTTTTTGTTTTTGTTGCAACTGCTTTTGAAGAGTTAGTCATAATTTTTTCCCCAAGGCTGATGTCCAGAATTGTGTATTCTTGGTTTTCTTCTAGGATTCTTATAGTTTAAGGTCTTAAGTTTAAATCTTTAATCCATCTTGAGTTAATTTTTATACGTGGTGAAAGGTGGAGGTCTAGTTTCATTCTTCTGCATATGGCTAGCCAGCTATCCCAGCACCATTTATTATTAAATAGGGAATCCTTTCTCAGTTGCTTATTTTTGTTGACTAAAACTCTTAGAAAAAAACACAGATAAGTAAATCCTTGTGACCTTGGGTTTGGCAATGGTCTCTTAAATATGACACCAAAAGCACAGCAACCAAAGAAAAAAATAGATAAATTGTATTTCATCAAAATATAAAACTTTTGTACTTCAAAGGATACCATGAAGAAAGTGAAAACATTAGCCCACATAAGGGGAAAAATATTTTCAAATCATATATTTGATAAGGGACTTGTATTGATAATATATAAAAAAACTCTTACAATACAGTCATATTTTTTAATGGGCAAATGATCTGAATAGACATTTCTCCAAAGAACATATGCAAATAAACAGAAGAAAAGAGGCTCAACATTATTAGCCATTAGGGAAATGCAATTCAAAATGGCAATGAGATACTGTTCCACACCCACAAGGATGGCTATTATGGAAATAGACAGATAATAACAAGTGTTGGCAAGGATGTAAAGCAATTAGAATCCTTATACAGTGGTGGTGGGAATGTAAAATGATATAGCTGCTTCAAAAAACTGTTTAACAGTTCTTTAAAATGTTAAACGTAGAGCTGCGATGTGACCCAACAATTTCACTCGTATGTACTCAAAAAAAATGAAAATATATGTCTACACAAAATTTGTACATGAATGTTCATAGTAGCATTATTCATAATAGCCTAAAAGTAGAAACAACCTAAATGTCCATCAACTGATGCATAAATTAAATATGGCATAGCCACACAATGGAATATGGATGAATTTTGAAAATATTATGTTAAATGAAAGAAGCTAGTAACAAAACACCACATATTGCTGTGTTCCATTTATATAAAATGTTCAGAATAGGCAACCCTACAGAGAAAGTAGACTAATGGTTACCTAGGATTGGGGGGTGATAGCTAAAGGGCGTGGAGTTTCTTTTTGCAGTGATTAAAATGTTCTAAAATGGATTGTGATAATGGTTGTAAAACTCTGTGACTATACTAAAAAAAACTACTGAATTGTACACTGTGGGCAAATTGTATGTTATATGAATTATAAAGCTGTCCCAAAAAAAAAAAAAAAAAAAACAAGGAATCTTGGAACATCAAAAAGGAAGAAAGAGGCCAGGTATAGTGGCTCACGCCTATAATCCTAGCATTTTGGGAGGCTGAGGCAGGTGGATAACTTGAGCCTAGGAGTTTGAGACCAGCCTAGGCAACATGGTGAAATCCTGTTTCTACAAAAAATACAAAAATACAAAAATTAGCTGGGCACGGTGGTGCATACCTGTAGTCCCAACTACTCGGGAGGCTGAGCTGGGAGTATCACCTGAGCCTGGGAGGTCAAGTCTGCAGCGAGCTGTGATTGCATCACTGCACTCCATCCTAGGCAACAGAGTGAGACTTTGTCTCAAAAAAAAAAAAAAAAGGAAGAAAAAACCCAGAAAGGGTAAAAATTTCAAGTAAATACAGTAGATTTTCCTTTTGCTCTTGAGTTTGCTAGGTTATGTTTGAAGGTTGAAGCAAAAGTTGCTATTTTCTGATGTGTTTCTCAGTGTATGTAGAAGAAATAGTGAAGACAATTATATTACATATGGGAGAAGAGTAAAGAGACTTAAAGGGAGGCAAAGTTTTGTGGGAAAAGAAATCACGCCTGGATTCTCAGCATTCCTGTAAAAACCTCAAACACCAGGGACTCAGAAATTAATACTCAACAGAGATAGAAAATGTTGTTTTTACTTCTCCTAGAAACATGTTACTTTCCACATATCATTAGGATTAAGTCTGCAGTCATTTGTTGCCCTAATGACGGAGCTAATAGCTTCCATCCAACAGGCCTTCTCTTATCTCCCCAAGAGTCAAACAGTTACCATCCAGGATAGGCACCTAGACAATGTTATAATATTATTTTCCTAGGCATTGAAATTTCAAAAGGGATGAAACCCAGGACACAGAGACATTTGTAAACTGGACTAACACATTGAGCTTATTTAACTTCTAGAGATATGTATTTAATCCAAAGTGTTAGAGTTAAGACATTTCTAAGAAGAATCTTTCAGAAGGGGAGAGGGAGGTGGTTGTTTCTTTCTCTTGAACATAAATGGCTAAAATGGACTTTTCGCTGTCCCTCACTTACAATACAGATTTTGTATGTATAGGACATTTGACCTGGATCTCATCACATTGTCCTGGATCTCATCACATTGTCCTGGGGACACAGAAGTATATGCTCATTATTTTCTATAATATAAATAATAAGAAAACTGATTCCAATCCAAAAACCTTACGTGTATACTCACAACACAATTTTTTAAAATGAACATTAAAAACCTAATAGGACACTTGAACTGAACATAGACTGTGGTGTTATGTATTAATACTAAAACACCTTGAGCAACTGCTTAAAAAAGATGATACAAAAGATACATTCAAAAATGCCATAAGAAAATAAAAATCTCTAGAAGGTAAATAAAAATGCAAGCCTTGCACAAAGGCAAGAACAAAAAACAAACCAGGAAATTAAAAGCAGAGGAAACAACCAGAAAACAAAAAAATAAAGTGACAGACTTAAGGCTAACATATCACTAATAACATTAAAAGTGAATGATCTAAATATACCAATTAAAAGATGAAGACTGGCAGGCTGAATTTTTTAAATGTTCCAACTATATCCAGGTACAAGCAATTCACTTTTAATATGATAACATATGTATATTGAAAGTAAAAGAATGGGAAAAGTTGTACCATGCAAACATTAATTGAAATGAAGTAGCTGCAGCTCTATTATCAGATAAGGTAGACTTCAGGGCAAAGAACATTGCTGGAGACAGAGGATCATTACACTTGATCTTAGTCAAAAGGCCAAGAAGTGATGGCAGACGATTACAAATGATTAAAGAGTCAATGAACCAAGAACACATAAAAATCTTATATGTGTATGGACCAATACAGCAAAAACTGATAGAGCTGAAAGGAGAGGCCAGGTATGATGGCTCATGCCTATAATCCCAGCATGTTGGGAGACCAAGATTGGTGGATTGCTTGAGCCCAGGAATTCAAGACCAGCCTGGGCAACATGGCGAAACCCCGTCTCTACAAAAAATAGAAAAATTAGCCGGGTGTGCTAGCACTTGCCCGTAGTCCCAGCTACTTCGGAGGCTGAGGCAGGAGGATCATTTGAGCTGGGAGGTGAAGGCTGCAGTGAGCTGAGATTGTGCGATTGCACTCCAACCTGGGTGACACACTGAGACTCTGTCAAAAAACAAAACAAGACAAAAAAAAAAAAAAACCTCAAAGGAGAAATAGACAAATCTACAAATATATTTAGAGAATTTACAATTCATAGAAGAATTAGACAGAAAATTAGCAAGGATATAGGAGAATTCAACATCATCATCAACCAACAGAATCTAATTGACATTTATAGAACACTTTACCCAACAACAGTAGATTACACACTCTTTTCAAGTGTCCGTGGAATATTTATCAAGATAGATATATCCTGGGCCATAAAACAAACCTTAACACATTTATTTCCTTTTCTTTTTTCTTTTTTAACTTTTATTCTAAGTTCAGGGGTACATGTGCAGGTTTGTTACATAGGTAAACTTGTGTCAGATTATTTCATCACCCAAGTATTAAGCCTAGTACCCATTAGTTATTTTTCCTGATCCTCTCCCTCCTCCCACCCTTCACGTTCAGATAGGTCCCAGTTTCTATTGTTCCCCTCTACATATCTATGTGTTCTCATAATTTAGCTCCCACTTATAAGTGAGAATGTGCGGTATTTAGTTTTCTTTCCCTGTGTTAATTTGCTAAGGATAATGGCCTCCAGCTCCATCCGTGTTCCTGCAAAGGACATTGTCTCATCCTTTTTTCTGGCTGCATAGTTTTCCATGGTGTATATGTATATGTAAATGTACAACATTTTCTTTATTCAGTCAACCATTGATTGGCATTTAGGTGGATTGTTGATTCCATGTCTTTGTTATTGTGAATAGTGTTGCATATGCACGTATGTGTCTTTGTGATAGAACTATTTATATTCCTCTGGGTATGTATAGAGTAATGGCATTGCCAAGTCAACTGGTATTTCTGTTTTTAGGTCTTTGAGGAATTGCCACACTTTTTTCCACAATGAACTAATTTACACTCCCACCAGCAGTGTATAAGCATTCCTTTTTCTCCACGACCTTGCCAGCATCTGCTATTTTTTGACATTTTATTAATATCCATTCTAAGAGGTGTGAGATGATATCTCATTGTGGTTTTGATTTGCATTTCTCTAATAATCAATGCTGAGCTTTTTTTTCATATGTTTGTTGGCCACATGTATGTCTTCTTTTGAAAAGTGTCTGTTCATGTATTTTGTCCACTTTTTAATGGGCTTGTTTATTTTTTCCTTGTAAATTTAAGTTCCTTATAGATGCTAGATATTGGGCCTTTGTCAGATGCACAGTTGCAAAAATTTTCTTCCATTCTGTAAGTTGTCTGTTTACTTTGCTGATAATTTCTTTTACTGTGCAGAAGCTCTTTAGTTTAATTAGATCCCATTTGCCAATTTTTGCTTTTGTTGTAATTGCTTTTGGCATCTTTGTCATGAAATTTTTGTTCATTCCTATGTTCAGAATGGTATTGCCTAGTTTTTCTTCCAGGTTTTTATAGTTTTGGGTTTTACCTTTAAGTCTTTAATCCACCTTGAGTTAATTTTTGTATATGTTGTAAGGAAGGGGACAAGTTTCAGTCTTCTGCATATGGCTAGCCAGTTATCCTGGCACCATTTATTGATTAGGGAGTCCTTTTCCCATTGCTTGTTTTGTCAGCTTTGTCAAAGATCATATCGTTGTAGGTGAGTGGTCTTATTTCTGGGCTCTCTATTCTGTTTCATTGGTCTATGTGTCTGTTTTTATACCAGTAACACCCTGTTTTGGTTACTGTAGCCCTGAAGTATAGTTTCAAGTCTGGTGGCATGATGTCTCCAGCTTTTTTCTTTTTGCTTAAGATTGTTCAACTATTTGGGCTATTTTTTGGTTCCATATGAATTTTAAAGTAGTTTTCCCTAGTTCTATGAAGAATGTTATTGGTAGTTTATTAGGAATAGCATTGAATCTATAAATTTCTTTGTGCAGAATGGCTATTTTAACAGTATCGATTCTTCCTATCCATGAGCATGGAATGTTTTTCCATTTGTTTGTGTCATCTCTGATTTCTTTTAGCAGTGTTTTGTAGTTCTCATTGTGACATCTTTCACCTCCCTGGTTAGCTGTATTCTTAGGCGTTTTATTCTTTTTATGACAATTGTGAATGAGATTGAGTTCCTGATTTGGCTCTTGGCTTGACTGCTGTTGGCGTATAGGAACACTTAGTGATTTTTGTACATTGATTTTGTATCGTAAGGCTTTGTTAAAGTTGTTTATCAGCTTAAGGAGCTTTTCGGCTGAGACCATGGGGTTTTCTAGGTATAGGATCATGTTGTCTGCAAACAGGGATAGCTTGACTTCCTCTCTTCCTATTTGAATGCCTTTATTTCTTTCTCTTGCCTGATTGCTCTGGCCAGGACTTCCAATACTATGTCGAATATGAATGGTGAGAGAAGTCATCCTTATCTTGTGTTGATTTTCAAGGGGAATGCTTCCAGCTTTTGTCTGTTCAGTATGATGTTGGCTGTGGGTTTGTTCCAGATGGCTCTTATTATTTTGAAAACCACAACACATTTAAAAGAACTGAAACAAAATAGGTTGTGTTCCTTCACCATAATAGGTTTAAATTGTGAATCAGTAACAGAAAAAAATAGGAAAATCACGAAGTACTTGGAAACTAAACAACATACTTCTAAATAAGCCACGGGCTAAAGAAGAAACCTCAAGGGCAATTAAAGAAATTGAACTGAGTAGCATTGAAAATACAACATATCAAAATGTGAGGCACAACCAAAGTAGTGCTGAGAAGGAAATTTATGGCACTAAACATGTGCATAAGAAGGGAGGAACATCTCAAATCAATAATGTAAGCTCTTACCTTGAGAACCTAGACTGAAATAAGCTCAAAGCAAGGAAAAGGAAGGGAATAATAAAAGTAAGGGTAGACATAAATGGAATTGAAAACAAAAAATAATAGAAAAGAATCAATGAAACCAAAATGGATTTGTTGAAAAGGTCAATAATATTGACAAACTTCTAGTAAGACTGACAAATAAAGAAAAGAAATAAGATAAATCAGCAGTATCAGGAGTGAAACAGGGGATATCATTACAGACATTGAAGACATCAAAAGGATAATAAGGGAGTAATACACACAACTTTATACACAAAAATTCAACAACTTAGATGAAGTGGAACAATTCCTTGAAAAGTACAAACTAACCAAACTCACTAAATCTGAAATAGATCACTTAAACTGTCCTGTAACAATTTAGAGAAATTTTTAGTTTAAAAATACGTAAAAGAAATGTCCACCTCCAGATGGTTTACCTGGATAATTCTACCAAACACTTGAAGAATTCTATACTAAGTTTATACATTTTTTCCAGAAAATAGAAGAGAAGGGAACACTTCTCAACCCACTTTATGAAGTCAACATTAAACTGCTACCAAACCACATAATGATAGTACAAAAAAGTAAACTACAGACCAATATTGCTCACGAATATAGATGCAAAAATTCTTAACAAAATATTAGCAAACACAATTCAATGTATAAAAGAACTATATACCATGACTAAGTGAGGTTTATTCCAGGGATGCAAGCATAGTTCAATATTTTAAAATCAATCAGTGTAATCCAACATTGTATTGTAGCAGGATGAGCTGCAGACAAAACTCCTCAGACACCGAGTTAAAGAAGGAAGGGGTTTATTCGGCTGGGGGCATTGGCAAGACTCCTGTCTCAAGAGCTGAGCTCCCCGAGTGAGCAATTCCTGTCCCTTTAAAGGGCTCACAACTCTAAGGGGGTGCGCGTGAAGGGTTGTGATCAATTGAGCAAGCAGGGGGTACGTGACTGGGGGGTGCATGCACCAGTAATTAGATTGGAACAAAACAGAATAGGGATTTTCACAGTGCTTTTCTATACAATGTCTGTAATCTATAGATAACATAACCGATTAGGTCAGGGGTTGATCCTTAACTACCAGGCCCAGGGTGTGGCGCTGGGCTGTCTGCTTGTGGATTTCATTTCTGCCTTTCAGTTTTTACATTTTCTTTCTTTGGAGGCAGAAATTGGGCATAAGACAATATGAGGGGTGGTCTCCTCCCTTAGTATTAGTTTCCTAATGCTGCTGTAACAAAGTAGCACAAACTAGTGGCTTAAAGACAAAACCCTATTATCTTACAATTCTGGAGGTCAGAAGTTCAAATTGGGTTTTACTAGGCTAAAATCAAGGTGTCAGTGTAGCTGTTTTCCTTTCTGGAAGTTTAAGAGGATAATCTGTTTTCTCGACTTTTCCAGCTTCTAAGCTGCTTACTTCCTTTGGCTGGTGGTCTCTTTCCATCTTCAAAGCCAGCAAAGGCCAGTGGAGTCTTTCTTACATCACAACTCTCTGACACTGACAGAGAGATGTTGCCTCCCTCCTTCACATTTAAGGGCATTGGGATTACATTGGAACCAAGGGATAATCCTGGGATAATCCAGGATAATATTCCCATCTGAAGGTCAGGTGATTAGCAACCGAATTTCCATCTGTAACCTTAATTCACCTGTGCTAATATACTATTTCCAAGGATTGGAAACTGGCCATCTTTGGAAATCATTATTCTACCTACAATAATTTGCCCTCTGACTCCTGAAGATTTGCAACTATCCCACATACAAAATACATTCATCCCATCCCAAGGTTCCTCAAGGTCTCATCAAGTTGAAAAATCTCATCTAAGTCTCATCATCTCAAAATTCTCAAATTTCAACATGTAAATCAGATATGGGTACGGCTCTGTGTATGATCCATCCTGGAGCACAATTAACTACGTTCTGATTACTCAAAACATTTTATTTTAACATCATGTGCCATTTGGCATGATAAGGTGCACAGACCTCCTGACCTTACGGCCTCCTCCACCATGGTTCTCTGACTGCAATGATCACTACCTGTTCCTCAGGCCAAAAGGTGAAACACTGTCCTTGACTCCTTTGTTTCTCTCGCATCCTACATCCCACGCATCCTCAAGTCTGTTGGTTTTATATTCAAAATCCACAACCCCATGCTGTTACTACCTCCCAATTCTTGTCACTCACTGGGTTCTTAAAACATACTCCTTACTGGACCCCAGTTGCCACTCTTAGTCCTAATAGAAAATTATCCACACCACAGCCAGAGTGACTTTTTTGAGATTTTTGTCAGCTCATTCTGCTCCTCTGCTCAAAACCAGCCTTTCTGACCCACTCACATTGAAATACAAGTCCTCGTAATGGCCTGTAAGGCCCATGTGATGTGGCTCCTGCGTGCTGCTCAGCCCTGCCTCAGGCCCTTCCTTTCCCCTCACAATGCCTGGCCACACTGCCTTGTTAGTCGTCCTGCATGATGATCTGCTGGTCTCAGGGCTTTGACCCTCACTGTTCTCCCACCTGGAACACTGCCTCTACTTGCTCCATGGCTTGCGCTTTTGTGCCTTTAGGTCAAACATCCCCTCTTCATGTAGGCTGTCCACCTGCTCTAGAATGGCCCTGTCTGCTCTGTCACTCTGTCAGTTGGTTTATTTTTCTTCATGGCACATTCTTCATTGTTAACTTGCTGTTTATTTATTTTCTTCCCCCTGCCATGTTAGATCCACAAGGGCAGGGAGTTTGGCATTCTGAGTCCTTGAGCGGTGTGAGACATAGAGGTGGCTCAAGGGTATATTTGGTGGTTTAATGAACAAATAAATGACCATCATCTGCAAATAATGAGAACAAATTGTTGATCTTGATGATGTTTTCTGCCTCTCCTTTCTGTTTCGTGTCCTAATGCGTTGCCAGGAGTGCACTACTGCTTAACTTCCTGAACACTGTCAAGCAGTAATGGTGATAGCAGGCATCCTTGTTTTGTTCTTGATTTAAATAGCAAAGTCTCTAGGGTTTTGTCGTTAAACATAGTTTTAGCTGTTCGTTTGAAGTAAAATTATAGCGCAATAATTTTTTAAGATGTATGTTAAACATATGCTTTTGCAACAAGTTACTAATGTTTTATCCCACATCCGTTGGTTCAGTACATTCATAGATTTTCTATTGAACCTTAGCTACATTTTGAGATAATCCCAACCTGAAGTAAATTGTTCTTTTAATAAAATGTTGAATTCTATCTGGTAATATCATATCTAGAAGTTTTGAGTCTGCAATCATGAGACTGGCTGAGACTTTTCTCCTGCAGGACAGTGTGGCCAGGCATCATGAAGGGACAGAAAGGGCCTGAGGCAGGGCTGAGCAGCATGCAGGAGCCACGTCATGTGGGCCTTATAGGCCATGGCGAGGACTTGCATTTCAATGTGAGTGGGCCAGAAAGGCTGGTTTTGAGCAGAGGAGCAGCATGAGCTGACAAAAGTTTCAAAAAAGTTACTCTGGCTGTGGTATGGAGAATTTTCTGTCCCACGCCAGCTTTTTATTCCTGTGGCTGCCTGTGGTAAGTGAGTCTGTCTTCCTTGGAAGGCACACTCAGGGTGTAGTGTGAAGCCAAGTGGCCTGGGCTTAGTAACAATGGAATTGCTGAAGAGTAAATACTATCTTGTTTCTTTTCACTTTTTGCAGCTTCAAACATCTCTTTGCTAGAGTTAAGCTGAGTCATGTATCGGTTAAGTGGAATCAGATTTACATGCTTCTGCACTGGATCCACTTCCAGCTGCCCAGCTGCAGATGGTCCTTGGTCTGGTCTGGCACACAGCTAGGGACAGTTGCTCCCCTGCCCCTGACACCAGCCCCAGCAGAAGGAAATGATGAGAACAGCAGAAGGGAAAAATCATTTGTTAATGCTATCTCTATCAAGATGTTGTAATTCCCCAATGAGGCAGGCATTTTAGAGAGGACAAGACTGAGGCCTAGATCTTTGGATTTGAACCTGTGGCTATCTGACTTCAAAGCCTGTATTCTTTCCACAATGCCAGTCTCCTCTCACAACTGACCCCTTAACTTTGGTCATTTAAATGGCATAATTATGAATTGAGACCATGTCCCACTCCCTCCCTTTACCCCTGTATAGGAGCTACAGTGCAATGTTGGCCTGCTGTTCTGAAATCTGGCAAAAGCTGAAACTGAGGACAGAAAGTGAAAAGTTCTTTACAGCCTATGAGGCAGGAGCTCAGGCTCCTGGGACTGCTCTGTCTGCACAGCCTTATTTTTTAGAGACTGTGTCATGCTCTGTTGCTGAGGCTGATATGCAGTAGCACAATCATAGCTCACTGCAGTCTTAAACCCCTGGGCTCAAGCAATCCACCCACCTCAACCTCTCAAGTAGCTGGGCTACAGGTACGCACCACCACACCCAGCTATTAAAAAAAGAAAAATTTGTAGAGATGGGGGTCTTGCTATGTTGCCCAGGCTGGTCTCAAATTCCTGGCCTCAAGTGATCTTTCCATCTCATCCTCCCAAAGTGTCAGCATTACAGGTATGAACCACCATGGCTGGCCTTGGATCCAAGTTTATTCTTAAAAAATACATAATTAACCAATAGTTTGTTCCACTGTGTAAGTCATCTTTTCACTTTCTTGATTGCATCCTTAAAACCACAAAACTTTTAAGTTCTGGAGAAGTCCAGCTTATTTGTTTCCTACTTTTGCTGGTGCTTTTGGTTTCATGTCTATGAAGTCATTGTCTAATCCAAGGTCATGAAGATCATGCATGTTTCCTTCTAAGAGTTTTATGGTTTTAGCTCTTATATTTATGTCTTTGATTCATTTTGAGTTACTTTTTACATATGGTGTGATGTAGGGGTCCACCTTCCTTTTGCAGGCAGATACCCAGTTGTCCCACCACCATTTGTTGAAAAGACTATTATTCCATTGTATTTTCTTTGTACTCTTGTTGAAAATCAATTGACCTAAATATAAAGGTTATTTCTAGACTCTGAATTCTGTTCAGTTGATCTATATGACTATCCTCACACCATGTCCCACTCCCTCCCTTCACCCCTCTATAGGAACTACAGTGCAATGTTGGCTTTCTCTATTATTGTAGCTTTGTAGTAAGACCGTAAATCTTAGGGTGTGAGTACTCCAATGTTGTTCTTTTTTTTCAAAATTGTTTTGACTCTTCTGTGTACATTGATTTTCCGTATAGATTTTAGAATCAGCTTGTCAAGTTACGCAAAAAAAAAAAAAAAAAAAAAAAAGACACTTGAGATTTTGATAGGGATTGTACTAAATTTTCAGATCTGGGGAGTGTAAAGAACATGGCTGTGCTTTGGTCATGGATAGGCTGAGGTAAACATCTAGAGTGACTCAGTGAGTTTACAGCACAGGCATATAACTCCACTTGTTATCTTAGCCATGTAGCCATAACATAAGAAGGCTCATCATTTGGCTCTAAGCCACTATTGTCTGTAAAAGGTATTACTGACCTGCTGACACTGTACAGGTGCGCTTGTGCCCAGAGAAGGAGAGAGAGAGCCAGAGCTGTCCGTCTTTGCAGATGGACAGGAGGGAGCCAGAACACAGCTCTGCTCACTTGTACCCACAGAGAGAGAGAAAGAGTTAAGCTGCTGACCCTGAAGGGAGAGCCAGCCATGCAGCTGTGTGTGGGAGCCGCCGGGCTAAGCAGCCAAGACAAGGCGAACAGTGTGACAGAGCTAGTGTGAGTGAGCTGCTGCTAAGAGAGTTACTGAATAAAACAACCTTTCACCTGCCTACAGCCCCCGCAGCGTTCTTTCAGCTATCTGCTCGTCCATCCACTCGCTTCGGACCTCAGCATGAGCTGGAACCTGACTCCAAACAGGACAGAGAGTAGTACCATTGTTGTGAGTTCTATTATTATGTTTTGTTTTATTTTTTCTAATTTGGTCTTGGGGTCTCTTTCTTGACAGTGGCTATAAGCTAAGATAGCCACCCTCTAAGAGAGCCCTGACTGGGGGGATAATTAGGTTCAAGTGTGTCTGTCAGGTGAGACACAATGAGAAAGTGAAACCAAAGTTTGTGAAACAGAAGAAATTTATTACTCACAGGTCCCAGAGAGGTTAGGGGTGCCTATGAGGTGTTGGGACATCTGGAGCCAACAAGAGGTGTAGTGCAGAAGGGGGCAGGCGGGGAGGGTGAGAGAGGAGAAAGTGGGAAGGGGGACTCGTGGTACTATACCTTCATTAAGTTCCATAGGCATTAACCTTTAGGCTTTCTCTCAGGAGTTGTAGACTGATTAGTTAACAAAAACCTGCTGAATGGGGAACTTATTTTTGTGACTCTGGTGTTGACCATTAGGATTTATTGTAGCCAGCAGCTGTGAGCTGTGTTGGGTTTTTGAGTCAGTAGGATGAGGAAAAAGCAGGCTGTACTGGAAACGACCACAAAGGGAGGAGAAATTTTAAAAGCCAAAGGTGATGGAGTACAACTGGGTTTCAAATAACTTACATCAGACCTAAAAATGGATGCTGAGATGCCAAGTATATTAAACAAACTTAAAACAAGCATCTTAATATTAGGCTTTTTGATTCATCAATGTGTGTTTATTTAGATCTTCTTTAATTTCTTTCAGTGATGTTTTTGTTCTCAGCATGTAAGTCTTACACTTTTTTTGGGTTTTTTTTTCTTCAACTTTTATTACAGGTTCAGGGGTACATATGCAATTTTGTTACAAACGTATATTGTGTGATGCTGAGGTTTGGAGTAAATGAATCTATCTCTGAGGGGGTGAGCATAGTACCCAATAGATAGTTTTTCAGCCCTTGCCTCCCTCCCTCCCTCTCACCTCTTGTATTTCCCAATATCTATTGCTCTCATCTTTCTGTCCATGTGTACTTGTTGTGCATTCCCACTTATAAGTGAGAACATGTAGATTTGGTTTTCTGTTTCTGCAGTAGTTTGCTTAGGATAATGGCCTCCACCTTCATCCAATGTTGCTACAAAGGACTTGATTTTGCTCCTTTTTATGGCTGCATAGTATTCCATGGTGTATATGTACCATATTTTCTTTACTCAATCCAGAGTTGATAGGCACCTGGGTTGAATCCATGTCTTTGCTTTTGTGAACCATGCTGCAATGAACATACAGGTACACTTATTTTTTTGGTAGAACAGTTTACTTTCTTTTGACTGTATACCCAGTAATGGAATTGCTAAATCAAATGGTAGTTCAACTCTTGGTTCTTAAGAAATCTCCAAATTGTTCTCCACAGTGGCTGGACTAATTTACTTTATTAGTCTGTTTTCACACTGCTGATAAAGACATACCCGAGACTGGGCAATTTACAAAAGAAAGAGGTTCAATTGGATACACAGTTACACATGGCTGGGGAGGCCTCACAATCATGGCAGAAGACAAGGAGGATCAAGTCATATTTTACGTGGATGGTGATAGGCAAAGAGAGCTTGTGCAGGGAAACTCCCTTATGATACCATCAGATCTCGTGAGACTTATTTGCTATCACAAGAACAGCATGGGAAAGACCCGCCCCCATAATTCAGTCATCTCCCACCGGGCCCCTCCCACAACATGTGGAAATTATGGTAACTACAAGATGAAATTTGGGTGGGGACACAGAGCCAAACCATGTCATTAACATTCCCACTGGAAGTGTGTGTTTCCTTTTCCCCACATCCTCACTGGCATTTGTTGTTTTAGACTTTTAAACAAAGGCCATTGTTATTGGTGTGAGATGGTATCTCGTTGTGGTTTTGGTTTGCATTTCTCTGATTAGTGATTAGTAGTGATGTTAAGCTTTTTTTTTCATGTTTCTTGGCCACTTGTATGTCTTCTTTTGAGAAGTGTCTGTTCATGTCCTTTGGCCACTTTTTAATGTGGTTATTTGTTCTTTGCTTGCTGAATTGTTTAAGTTCCTTATAGATTCTGGATATCAGGCCTCTCTGTTGGATGCATAGTTTGTGAATATTTTCTCCCATTCTGTAGGTTTTCTATTTATTCTGCTGATAGTTTCTCTTGCTGTGCTGAAGCTCTTTAGTTAGGTCCCACTTGTCAATTTTTGTTTTTGTTGCACTTGCTTTTGAGAACTTAGCCATAAATCTTTTGCCAAAGCCAATATCAAGAAAGGTATTTCCTAGGTTTTCTTCTAGGATTTTAATAGTTTGAGGTCTAACATTTAAGTTTTTAATCCATCTTGAGTTAATTTCTGTATATGGTAATAGGTAGGGATCCAGTTTCATTCTTCTCCATATGGCTAGCCAGTTATCTATCACAACACCATTTATTGAATGGGAAGTCTTTCCCCATTGCTTATTTTTGTCAACATTATTGAAGATCAGATGGTTGTAGCTGTGTGCCTTTATTTCTGGGTCCTCTATTCTGTTCTGTTGGTCTATGTGTCCGTTTTTGTGCCAGCACCAGGCTGTTTAGGTTACAGTAGGCTTGTAGTATAGTTTGAAGTCAGATAATGTGATGCTTCCAGCTGTGTTATTTTTGCTTAGGATTGCTTTGGCTATTCGGGCTCTATTCTGCTTCCATATGAATTTTAGAATAGATTTTCTAAATTTGTGAAAAATGTTATTGGTAGTCTGACAGGAATAGCATTGAATCTGTAGATTTCTTTGAGCAGTATGGCCATTTTAATGACATTGATTCTTCCTATCCATGAGCATGAAATGTTTTTCTGTTTGTGTCATCTCTGATTTCTTTCAGCAGTGTTTTGTAATTCTCATTGTACAGATCTTTCATCTCCTTAGTTACTGTATTCCTAGGTATTTTATTCTTTTTGTTGCTATTATAAATGGTATTGTGTTCTTGATTTGGCTCTCAGCTTGAACATTATTGGTATATAGAAATGCTACTGATTTTTGTACATTGATTTGTATTCTGAAACTTTACCAAAGTCATTTATCAGTTCCAGGAGCCTTCTGGTGGAGTCTTTAGGGTTTTCTAGGCGTACAATCATATCATCAGTGAAGAGATAGTTTGACTTCTTCTTTTCCTATTTGGATGCCTTTTATTTCTTTCTCTTGCCTGATTGCTCTGCTAGGACTTCCAGTACTATATTAAATAGGAGTGGTGAAAGTGAGCATCCTTGTCTTGTTCCAGTTCTCAAGAGGAATGCTTCCAGCTTTTGCCCATTTAGTATGATGTTGGCTGTGGATTTGTCATAGATGGCTCTTATTATTTTGAGGTATGTTTCTTCAACGCCTATTTTGCTCAGGGTTTTTAACCTGAAGGGATGTTGAATTTTATCGAAATTGTTTTCTGTGTCTATTGAGATGATCATATTGTTTTTGTTTCCAATTCTGTTTATGCGGTGAATCACATTTATTGATTGCATATGTCAAAACAAACTTGCATCCCAGGAATGAAGCCTACTTGATTGTGGTGAATTAACTTTTTGATGTGCTGCTGAATTCGTTTAGCTAGTATTTTGTTGAGGATTTTTTGTGTCTATATTTATCAGGGACATTGGCCAGAAGTTTTTTTTCTTCATCATCTCTCTGGCAGGTTTTGGTATCAGAATGATGCTTGCTTCATAGAATAAGTTAGGGAGGAGTCCCTCTTCTTTGATTTTTTTGGAATAGTTTCAGTAGGAAAGGTACCAGCTCTTCTTTGTGCATCTGGTAGAGTTAGGCTGTGAATCCATCTGGTCCAGGGCTTTTTTTTTTTTTTTGGTTGGCAAGGCTTATTATTATTATTATTATTATTATTATTATTACTGATTCAATTTTGGAACTCATTATTGGTCTGTTCAGGGTTTCAATTTCTTCCTGGTTCAATCTTGGGAGGTTATGTGTTTCCAGGACATTATCCGTTTCATCTAGATTTTTCTAGTTGTGTACATAGAAATGTTCATAATAATCTCTGAGGAGTTTTTCTTATTTCTGTGGGGTCAGTTGTAATGTCACCTTTGTCATTTCCAATTGTGCTTATTTGGATCTTCTTTTTTCTTTGCTAATCTAGCTAGTGGTCTATCTTGTTTATTCTTTCAAAAAAACAACTTTTGGTTTGCTTGATCTTTTGTATGGATTTTTGCATCTAAATTTCTTTCAGTTCTGCTCTGATTTTAGTTATTTCTTTTCTTCTGCTAGTTTTGGTGTTGGTTTTGTCTTGTTTATCTAGTTCCTCTAGGTGTGGTGTTAGGTTGTTAATTTGAGATCTTTCCAACTTTTTGTTGTAGGCATTTGGCACTATAAACGTTCCTTTTACCGCTGCTTTAGGTGTATCCCAAAGATTCTACTATGTTGCATCTCTATTTCCATTAGTTTTAAATGATTTTTTTGATTTCTGCCTTAGTTTCATTCTTTACCCAAAAGTTATTCAGGAGCAAGTTGTTTAATTTCCATGTAATTGTGTAGTTTTGAGAGATCTTGGTATTGACTTCTATTTTTATTGCACTGTGGTCTGAGTGTGTGGTTGGTATGATTTCGATTTTTTTGAATTTATTGATACTTGCTTTATGGCATGTAGTCAGTCTTGGAGTATGTTCCATGTGCAGATGAGGAGAATGTATATTCTGTAGTTGTTGGATGGAGTATTCTCCAGATGTCTATTAGGTCCAACTGGTCAAGTATTGAGTTTAATTCCAGAATATATTTATTAGTTTTCTGCCTCAATGATCTGTCTAATGCTGTCAGTGAGGTTTTGGGTTTCCCACTATTATTATGTGGCTAAGTCTCTTCATAGGTCTATAAGAACTTGTTATGAATCTAGGTGCTCCAATGTTGTGTGTGTATATATTTATGATAGTTAAGTACTGCTGAATTGAACCCTTTATCACTATGTAATGCCCTTCTTTGTCCTTTTTTTATCATTGCTGGCTTCGAGTCTGTTTTTCTGATGTAATAATAGAAACTCCTGCTCTTTTTTGGTTTCTGTTTGCATGATAGATCTTTCTCCATTCTTTTAATTTGAGCCTATGGCTGTTGTTACATGTGAGATGGGTCTCTTAAAGACAGCAGACACTTGGGTCTTTTTCTTTTATCCAACTTGCCACTCTATGCCTTTTAACTGGGGCATTTAGTCTGTTTACATTAAAGGTTAATATAGATATGTGAAGATTTGATCCTGTTATTGTTGTTAGCTGGTTGTTATATAGGCTTGCTTGTGTAGTTGCTTTATAGTGTCTGTGGACTATGTACTTAAGTGTGTTTTTGTGGTGGCAGGTATTGTTCTTTCATTTTCATGTTTAGCACTTCCTAAGGACCTCTTGTAAGACAGGTCTAGCGATAATGAATTCCCTTAGCACTTGTGTGTCTGAAAATGGTTTTATTTCTCCTTCACTTAGGAAGCTTAGTTTGGTAAGATATGAAATTCTTGGTTGGAATTTCTTTTCTTTAAGGATGCTGGAAAGCAGGTCCCAACTCTTCTGGCTTGTAAGGTTTCTGCTGGAATGTCCACTGTTCACCTGAAGGGGTTCCCTTTGTAAGTGACCTGTTCCTTCTCTATAGCTGCCTGTAAGATTTTTTCTGAGGTGTTGACCTTGGAGAATCTGGTAACTATGTATCTCAGGGATGGTCATCTTATATAGTATCTCGCAGGGGTTCTCTAAATTTATCGAAGTTGCATGTTGACTTCTCTAGCAAGCTTAGGGAAGTTTTCATGGGCAATATCCTCAAACATGTGTTCCAAGTTGATTATTCTTTTTTCTCTTTCAGGAGTGCCAATTAGTCGTAAGTTTGGTCCCTTTTTATAATCCCATATTTCTGAGGTTTTGTTCATTTTTAAAGGTTCATTTTTTCTTTATTTTTGTCTACCTGAGTTTATTTGAAGGAGGAGTCTTTGAGCTGTGAGATTCTTTCCTCAGCTTCATCTATTCTGTTGTTAATGTTTCCAATTGTATTCTGAAATTCCTGTAGTCAATTTTTCAGTTCCTGGAGTTCAGTTTTGGTTCTTTCTTAAAAAGGTTATACCATCTTTCAACTCTTGTATTATTTTACTGTTCTCCTTGGATTGGGTTTCAACTTTCTCCTGTTTTTTTCTTTTTTATTTCTTTTTTTTTTTTTAGCTTCAACTTTCTCTCTTTTTTTTTTTTTAGCTTCCTTGCTATCTAGATTCTGAATTCTATGTCTGTCATTTCAGCCATTTCAATCTGGTTAACAGCCACTTCTGGGGAGCTTGTGCAATTGTTTGGAGGTAAGAAAACACTCTGGCTTTTAGAATTGCCGGAGTCCTTGTGCTAGTTCCCTCTCATCTGTGAGGGCTGGTGTTCCTTTATCTTTTGAAGTTGCTGTGATTTGGATGGGGCTTTTTATGGTCTTTATTTACCTTGAGGGTTTGACTGTAGTGTAAGTTGAGTATAGTTGATTGGCTTTGTTTCTGGATGCTTTTAGAGGGCCAAGGCTCTTCACAGGATTTTTATTTGTTGCTAGAACACTGCACTGGGTTTCACAGGCAATGAAAGCAGGAAGTATTTTTTGGTGGTGTAATTCAGGCTGCAATCAGTAGATTATGCTTAAGAGTAAGGGCTTGTACATCCCCAGGAAGCTACCAATGACTTTCTTCACAGAATTGGAAAAAAAAACTACTTTAAAGTTCATATGGAACCAAAAAAAGGCCACATTGCCAAGACAATCCTAAGCAAAAAGAACAAAGCTGGAGGCATCACGTTACCTGACTTCAAACTATACTACAAGGCTACAGTAACCAAAACAGCATGGTACTGGTACCAAAACAGAGATATAGACCAATGGAACAGAACAGAGCCCTCAGAAATAATACCATACATCTACAACCATCTGATCTTTGACAAACCTGACAAAAACAAGAAATGGGGAAATGATTCCCTATTTAATAAATGGTGCTGGGAAAACTGGCTAGCCATATGTAGAAAGCTGAAACTGGATCCCTTCTTTACACCTTATACAAAAGTTAATTCAAGAAGGATTAAATACTTAAATGTTAGACCTAAAACCATAAAAACCCTAGAAGAAAACCTAGGCAATACCATTCAGGACATAGGCATGGGCAAGGACTTCATGTCTAAAACACCAAAAGCAATGGTAACAAAAGCCAAAATAGACAAATGGGATCTAATTAAACTAAAGAGCTTCTGCACAGCAAAAGAAACTACCATCAGAGTGAACAGGCAACCTACAGAATGGGAGAAAATTTTTGCAATCTACCCATCTGACAAAGGGCTAATATCCAGAATCTACAAAGAACTTATACAAATTTACAAGAAAAAATCAACCCCATCAAAAAGTGGGTGAAGTATACGAACAGACACTTCTCAAAAGAAGACATTTATGCAGCCAACAGACACACACAAAAAAGGTCATCATCACTGGCCATCACAGAAATGCAAATCAAAACCACAATGAGATACCATCTCACACCAGTTAGAATGGTGATCATTAAAAGTCAGGAAACAATAGGTGCTGGGGAGGATGTGGAGAAATAGGAAGACTTTTACACTGTTGGTGGGACTGTAAACTAGTTCTATCATTGTGGAAGACAGTGTAGCGATTCCTCAAGGATCTAGAACTAGAAATACCATTTGACCCAGCGATCCCATTACTGGGTATATACCTAAAGGATCATAAATCATGCTGCTATAAAGACACATGCACACGTATGTTTATTGTGGCACTATTCACAATAGCAAAGACTTGGAACCAACCCAAATGTCGATCAATGATAGACTGGATTAAGAAAACGTGGCACATATACACCATGGAATAATATGCAGCCATAAAAAAGGATGAGTTCATGTCCTTTGTAGGGACATGGATGAAGCTAGAAACCATCATTCTGAGCAAACTATCGCAAGGACAGAAAATCAAACACTGAGTGTTCTCATTCATAGGTGGGAATTGAACAATGAGAACACTTGGACCCAGGGTGGGGAACATCACACACCGGGGCCTGTCGTGGGGTGGGGGGAAGAGGGGATAGCATTAGGAGAAATGCCTAATGTAAATGACGAGTTGATGGGTGCAGCACAACAACATGGCACGTGTATACATATGTAACAAACCTGCACGTTGTGCACATGTACCCTGGAACTTAAAAGGTATAATAATAAGAAGAAGAACAAAAACAGTAAGGGCTTGTAGATAGACTCTAGCTGAGCCATGTGCCTCTCAGTGTATTTCAATGCATTGGCAGCAGTGCTCTGTCGTGGGGCAGACAGGGTTGGGAGAGAGATGATCCCCTCACCAAGTCCATTCCTGGGTCTTAAAGGAGCCCCCTCCAATCACTGGTGCCGTGCCTGCCTTTCCTTAGCCTCAAAGGCGGCTCTGGTGAGCTGTGCTCCTCCCTCCCTTTGAGGTGGTCCAAGCCAAAGATTAGGTCACCAGGAGACCCACAGCTCTCTGGAGGCCCACCAAGGTCCTCTGTGCTTGGCAGAGTCAGAGCAGGTTGTGGGGTATATCTGTAGGTGGTCTGTTGATGCAGTAGGTCAAGGGCGGGGCATCTGTGGGCAGGGCAGTGTTGTTGTGGGTATGCAGCTGGTGGGGTGCCCATGCCTTGGGTTTTTTGCCAGCAGTCAGCTGTGGGACCTGCCCAGCTCCACCCTCAATAGGGTCTCCTGATGAGCGTCCCAGAATTTGGCCTGACCAGCTTTTGTCCCAAGCCTTCTGCACCCAGATTGCTGGGCTGTTAGGCATTCAGGGCCATGAGGCCCCCCGGGGAGAGGCTGTGGCTGCCAGAGAGTCTACATCCCTCCCAGACTGGCCCAGCAGAAGCAGGCACACCCAGCTCCTGTGTCAGCCCACGAACCCATGCCTCACTCTTCCCAGCACTTTGAGAGAGAGGGTTCTTCCTTCACTTAAGTTCCAGCCACAGATCTCAGCTCAGTACTCCTGGGCTGCATGCTCTAACCCTGGGAGGTTAGGACTGGGTCCATGGCTTTGTCCTCTGGCCCCTCAAGGTTGAGCACCAGCCATGCAGGGGCTGGGGGTGCTCAAGGTCCTCCCAGGACGCCAACAAAAATGCTCTAGCGGTAGTTGCTAGCAAAAGCACTCTACTGGGGCAGTGTAGGCTGTGCTTTGTGCCCGCTCCTATGGGAGTGGCCAAAAAGGGATTCTGGGATCAGTCAGTGGACAGGTGGGTGCACAGGTCAGCTATGCCCTGGTCATGCAGGAAAGACAGCCCTGCTCTCTCCAGGTTCAGTAGTCAACAAAGGTTACAGCCTCATAGAGAAATATGTAGAGCCCGGGATGAGCACCTATGGCCGTGTTTTGTTACAGCTGTCCCCATGCAACCCCCACTGGGTTCCACAGAGGCTCAAACTCTATCTCTGCTGACTCTCCAGGTAGTTCTCCCTGCCAACTCATATGTCCATGGGGTTATAGGGTCTCCTGCAGCTAGGATCTTGGAGATCTGTAATGAGAATGGGCTGGTCTGCAGTTACTTCATCCATCCCTTTCTTAGGAGTTGTTCAGGGCCAGGAATAAGTTTCAGAGCTTGGCAACCCCATGCAGGGTTCCCAGCTTCCTCTCTCTTCAGCCCTGGTGTCTGCATCATCTCTCCATTGACTCTCAGTGCTTTCTCCCCAAAGATCTGTTCAAAGTATGATGGTTTACTCTATATTTTGGTCTCTCTTGGTGGAAGATGCTCTTCCTGGCTGCATCTAGTTGGCCATTTGTCCCTCTCTTGCACTTTTTAATTACATTTATTCCTAAATATTTTGACACTATTTTAAATGGAATTTAAAAAATTTTCAGTTTTGAACTGTTCATTGATGGTGTATGTAAATACAACTGAGTTTTGTATTTGATCTTTTGTCCTGCAACCTTGCTGAACTCATTTATTAGTTCTCATAGTTTTTTAGCGGGTTCCCTGAAATTTTCTAGATACAAAATGATGTCATCTGCAAAAACAGTTTTATTTCTTCCTCTTCAATCTGGGTGCATTTTCTTGACTAGTTGTTCTGGCTAGAACTTTCAGTACAATGTTGAATAGATGTGGCAAGAATAGACATCCTTGTCATGTTCCTGATCTTAGGGGAAAAGCATCCAGTCTTTCACCATTAAATATGATGATAGCTGTGGACTTTTCATTGGGGCCCATTATCAAATCGAGGACATTCCCTTTTAGTCCCGGTTTTGTTTGTTTTAACCGTAAAAGCATGTTGGATTTCCTGTTCTTTATTAAGATGATCATGTGGCTTTTGTTCTTTATTCTATTAACATGGTGTATCACATGGATTGATTTTCAAATGTTAAAACAACTTTGCATCCATAGGATAAATACCACTTCATCATGGTGTATAATCCTTTTAATATGCTGCTGCATTTGGTTTACTAGTATCCTGTAGAGGCTATTTGCATCTACAGGCACACCTCAGAGATATTGCAGGTTCAGTTCCACACAACAGCAGTAAAGTGAATATTGCATTAATAAAGTGAGTCACACAATTTTTTGTTTCCCAGTGCATATAAAAGTTATGTTTACACTATACTGTAGCCTAAGTGTGCAATACCATTATGTCTAAAAACAAAACAATGTATATTCTTAATTAAAAATACTTTACTGCCAAAAAATGCTAATGTTCACCTGAGTCTTTAATGAGTCCCAATCTTTTTGTTAGTGGAGAGTCTTGCCTCAATGTTGATGGCTGTTGACTGTTCAAGGTGGTGGTTGCTGAAGGTTGGGTGGTTGTAGAAATTTCTTAAAATAAGACAATGAAATTTGCTACATTGATTGAGCCTTCCTTTCACAGAAGATTTTTCTGATGCTATATGATAGCATCTTACCCACAGCAGAAGTTCTTTCAAAATTGGGGTTTTCTTAAACCTTCCCTCTGCTTTATCAACTAACTTTATGGAATATTACAAATCTTTTGTTGTCATTTCTACTATGTTCACAGCATTTTCACCACGAGGATTTCATCTCAAGAAAACATTTTCTTTGCTCATCCATAAGAAGCAACTCTTCATCAATTCAAGTTTTATGATGAGATTGAAGTATTCAGACACATCTTCAGGATAATTCTAGTTCTCTTGCTATTTCTACATCTGCAGGTATTTCCTCTACTGAAGTTTTGGATCCCTCAAAGTCACCCATGAAGGTTGGAATCAACTTCTTCCAAACTCCTGTTCGTGTTGGTATTTGACCCCCTCTCATGAATCATGAATGTTCTTAATGGAATTTAGAATGGTGGATCCTTTTCAGAAGGTTTTCAATTTACTTTGCCCAGGTCTATCAGAGAAATCACTATCCATGACAGCTATAGCCTTATTAAATCTTATTTCTTAAATAATAAGACTTGAAAGTCTGAATTAATCCTTGGTCATGGGCTGCAGAATGAATGCTGTGTTAGCAGGCATGAAAATATTAATCTTGTTTTACATCTCCATCAGAGCTCTTGGGTAACTAGGTGCACTGTCAATGAGCAGTAATGTTTTGAAAGGAATCTTTTTTTCTGAGCAGTAGGTCTCAACAGTGGGCTTAAAATATTTAGTAAACCATGCTATAAACAGATATGCTGTCATCCAGGCTTTGTTGTTCTACTTGTAGAACACAGTCAGAGTAGATTTAGCATAATTCTTAAGGGCACAAGGATTTCTGGAATGGTGAATGAGCATTGGCTTCAACTTAATGTCACCAGCTGCAACAGCCCCTAACAAAAGAGTCAGTCTTTACTTTGAAGACAGGTATCAACTTCTCCTCTCTACCCATTAAAGTCCTAGATGGCATCTTCTTCCATTTTAGGCTAGATGCCTAAAATCAACAGAAGGCTCTTTTGTCTATATTGAAAATCTATTGTTTAGTGTAGCCACCTTCTTCAATGATCTTAGATTTTCTGGATAACTTGCTGCAGCTTCTGTATTCGCACTTGATGTTTCACCTTACACTTTTATGTTATGGAGATGTCTTCTTTCCTTATACCTCATGAACAACCTCTTATTTTCAAACTTTACTTCCACAGCTTCCTCTCTGCTCTGTCTTCATAGAATTGGAGACAGCTATGGCTGTGTTCTGAATTAGGATTTTGCTTAAGGAAATGTTGCAGTTGGTTTGATCTTCTATCCAGACCATTAAAACTTTCTCCATATCAGCAATAAGGCTATTTTGCTTTCCTATCGTTTGTGTGTTCACTGGAGCAGCATTTTAAATATCCTCCAGGCACTTTTCTTTTGCATTCACAACTTGGCTAACTGGTGCAAGAGGCCTAGTTTTTGGACTATCTCAGCTTTCAACATGGCTTCCTCACTAAGCTTAATCATTTCTAGCTTTCAATTTAAAATGAGAGATATGTGAATCTTCTTTTCACTCTAACACGTAAGAGACCAATGTAGGATTATTAATTGGCCTTATTTAAAAATTTCTGTGTCCCAGGGAATAAAGAGGGCTGAGGAGAGGGAGAGAGACAGCAGAAGGACCAATGAGTGTAACAGTCCACATGCACGCACACATGCATGCACACACACACAATTTATCATTTAAGTTCATCCTCTCATACGGGTGTAGTCTGTGATGCCCCCAAACAATTACAATAGTATCATCAAATACCACTGAACCCTGTAACAGATATTCTAATAATAAAAAAGTTTGAAATATTGCAAGAATTACCAAAATGTGACACAGAGACATGAAATTAGCACACAATGTTGGAAAAATGGCACTGTGAGACTTGCTTGATGCTGGGTTGCCACAAACCTTCAATTTATTAAAAAAACACAGTATCTGCAAAGTACAATAAGATGAGGGTATACCTGTATATTCATCAGAAATATTGGTCTTCAGCTTGTTTTGTTTTCCCTTGTTATGTCTGTCTGGCTTTGGTATCAGGCTAATGCTGGCTTCATAGAATAAATTGAGAAATGTTCCCTCTTCTTTTTGTAAGAGTTTGTGAATGATTGTTGTTAATTCTTCTTTAAACGTTTAGTAGATGTATTAGGTTGAATAGTGTATCCGAATTTCATCTATTCAGAATATCAGCATGAGACTCAATTTAGAAATATGATTTATATTAATTTCCTGGGGCTGTTGTAACAAAGTACTATAAATTGAGTGGTTTAAACCACAATAATTTTTGACTGTTTTGGAGGTTAGATGCCTAAAATCAAGGTGTTGGCAGGGTTGGTTCTTTCTGAGGATTGTGAGGGGTTATCTGCTTCATGCCTCTCCTAGGTTGTGGTAGATTCAGACACCCTTTGGTTTGTGGATGGTGTTTCTCTGTATCTGCACATCATCTTCCTTCTCTATGTGTCTGTGTCATTTCCCCTTTTAATAAGGCCATCAGTCATACTGGGCTAGGGTTCACCGTAATGATCTCATTTTAATTTGCTTACCTCTGTAAAGACCCGACTTCCAAATAATGTCACATTCTGACGTATTAGTGGGTAGGACTAAACATGTCTTTCTTACCTGTGGACACAATTCGACTCACTGCGGAGTCTATGCAGATCCAGTTAAGATAAGGTCATAATGGATTAAAGTGGGCTATAAATTCAATGTAACTAGTGTCCTTATAAGAGGAGGCAGAGAAGAAAGACACAAAAACATGCAGAGAGTAATGCCAAGTGAAGACAATGGCAGAGATTGGAGTGAGGCATCTGACAAGCCAAGAATTACCAGCAACCACAGAATGGAGAAAATAAGAGTCTCCTTCAGAGCCTCCACTCTCTATCTTCTCTCCTTCCAGGTCAATGCATGTATTTGATCATCAAGGCTGTTTTTTTTTTTTTAATCCCTTTATCTTTTTTCTCTGTGGTTCAGTTTGGACATTTTTTATTGACCTGTGCTCAAGTTCACTGATCCTTTCTTGTGTGTGTCCAATTTGCTGTAAATCCCAATGAGTTTTTGATTTTAGATACTTTTTTGGTTTTAGGATTTTTTTCCCCGTTTTCAGACCTCTTCTGAAACTTCCCATTATTATACTTATTATATCCACATTTCTCTGTATACATTTTTAAAACACTGATACTTATTTTGAAGAATTTGTCTGCCAATTCCAACATCTAGGTCACTAGTGGGTCTGCTTTTTATTGACTATTTTCAAAAATAATCAATAAAATAGCCACTTTATTAGATGTGGTCAATTTCCATTTTGTAGTTGGCTCTAGAAACAGCCCTAAGGTCTTAGAAATGGTCTTAATTTCTACACATGCCCTTCTTGGATCTCACCATAAAGTTAACAGTGTTTACCAAGCCCCTCCAAATTTGAACTTCGACCTCTGTGTTTGTGGTGCTGGGCAACTGCTGAGACTGCTGCTTAGATCTTTCTGCCTTCCGGTGGTTGTTTTTCTCTGACCTTCCTGGAGTTTCATCCTGTGCACACTATTTAATCAGCCAACCATCTGAGGGAAGTTTGTATGTAGATTTGGGGACTTCTTTTTCTGACTCCTTGCAGTCTAGGATTTCCTTCCTCAATTTCCAGCCTCTGTTTGCTCTCAAATAAGATCTGACTCCTCAGCCTAATATTATTCGTCACCATCTGCATGAACTCTACCTTCAGTGTGCTGAGTGCATGGTGGATGCTCTCTGGGGAAAAGCTGAGATCCTATCCAGTGAACACACCTTTTTAACAGGGGTCAAATGCCCTACAGTTTCTGTTCACTCACCTGGGGCATCACTCTTTAAATAATATTTTGTTCCAAATTATTAAGTTACTAAGCTTTAGTCTGATACAAGCTAGTCTCGCACTGCCAGAAGCTAGAATTAATTTTTTTAATATTCACACATGATGGCTTACTTACTCTTTTTGATAGTAATTTCGTATCTGAATTTAGTTAGTGGGAGTATGGGGGTGGGGATTGACAGGTTTTTTTTTTTTTCCCCCCAAAGGACTTTATTCTTTTTTTTTTTTTAGAGAGTCTCGCTCTTTTGTCCAGGCTGGAGTGCAGTGTCGCGACCTCGGCTCACTGCAACCTCCGCCTCCCAGATTCAAGTAATTCTCATGCCTCAGCCCCCCAAGTAGATAGGACTACAGGTGGGCGCCACCACACTGGATAATTTTTGTATTTTAGTAGAGATGGGATTTCGCCATGTTAGCCAGGCTGGTCTCAAACCCTGGCCACAAGTGATCCACTCACCTTGGCCTCCCGAAGTGCTGGGATTAAAGGTGTGAGCCATGTGCCCTGCCAAGACTTGTTTTATTCTGATGGTTTTCAGGAAGTGGTATAAATCTAAGATTCACTTTATTTTCTTGATCTGCAGACTTCATGAATGTGGCATTAAATCCCTGATCTCTGTGAAAGGAGGCCTATGATTACAGAGGCAGCACCATCATCTCATTTACTACCTGGAAAAGGGGCAAAGTCAGTCAGATTACCCTTTGGTTTCCTTTTCAAGAGGCTGACTTCCCTATCCACCCTTCACTTGTAGGTGTTAACACCTGTTAATATTCCAACTGAAGATGCAGGGATTTTTGGCTGGTTGTTTTTGTTGAGACAGAGTCTCACTCTTTCGCCCAGGCTGGAGTGTAGTGGTGTGGTCTCGACTCACTGCAACCTCTGCCTACAACCTCTGCCTCCCGGGTTCAAGCGATTCTCCTGTCTCAGCCTCCTGAGTAGCTGGGATTATGGGCGTGCGCCACCACGCCCAGCTAATTTTTGCATTTTTAGTAGAAATGGGGTTTCACCATGTTGGCCATGTGAAGTTCGAACTCCTGACCTCGGGTGATCTACACACCTCGGCCTCCCAAACTGCTGGAATTACAAGCGTGAGCCACCATACCCAGCTGTTATCTTTGGTTTAATTCCCCAACTTTGTTCAGGCCCAAGGCCTAAGCTCCCGTTCCCCAAACTCTAGGCATTATACTTTGTTCTTAGAAGAGGAAGGGCTTTCATATATAAGAGTTACAATTATCACCCAAGTTCATGTTTATCATTTTTCAAATCTGGCATTTAGGAATTTTCCATATTTTCTGCTGAGTTCAGCATTCCACTTTGAAGTACATTTGCGGTAACTTATTCAGCCTTTGGGTGTTTTGTAGCAGTGCAGGACTTTTCAGAAAACCTTGATGCCAGCAGGGTGAATACCTTCATCACTTTCCCCAGCACTTTACTGAGGCATAATTTACATACAGTAAAATGCATATATCCCAAGTATACAGCTCACTATATTTTAAAATATATACACACATACATATATATGTGTATGTTACCACTACTGCAATTGAGATATAGAACATTCCATCATTCCAGAAAGTTCTCCTATGCTCTTCTTCAGTCTATACTTACCCCCAAAGATAACCATTCCATATTTGTTTTTGAGCTTTATAAATGGAATATGTCTAGCTTTTTTTGTTCGTTTTTAAGATTTATCTACATTGTTTTGCCAGTATATCATTATTATTTTTAGAGACAAGGTCTCAATCTGTCACTTAGGCTGGAGAGCAGTGGCATGATCACAACTCACTGCAGCCTTGAACTCTTGGGCTCAAGGGATCCTCCCACTTCAGCCTGCTGAGTAGGTGGGACTACAGGCGCCTACCACCATGCCCAGCTGATTTTTAAATTTTTCTGTCGAGATGGTGTCTTGCCATCTTGCCCAGGATAGTCTTGAACTCCTGGGCTCAAGTGATCCTGCCTTGGCCTCCCAAATTGTTAGGATCACAGGTGTTAGCTATTAAGCCCAGCCCATTCTTTCAATTGCAGACTAGTATCCAATGTATAAACATACCATTACTTGATTATCTATTAGCTTGTTGGTGGATATTTGGGTAGTTTTCAGATTGGGAATATTATAAATAAAATTGCTATTCTTGTACAAGTCTTATTGTAAAAACATACCCTCATTTATCTTGGGTAGATCTTTAGAAGTGGAGTCACTAAGTCACAGGGTAGGCATTATGTTTATCTTTATAAGCAACCGGCAAACTGTTTCCTGAGGTGATTAAACCATCTTGGATTTCTATCAGTTCCACATTCTCACCATTTGGCGGGTATGCAGTGGTATTTCCTTGTGGTTTCATTCTACATTCCCTGATGGCTGATGTTTGAGTGCCATTTCCTATGCTACTCCTGCATCTGGAGAGCTTCTGTGAAGTATGTATTCAACTCACTCATTGTTAAACTGGGTTGCTGTTACAATGGTTTTAAAATGTTCTTTGCTTTCCTTTGGTTCCGTGTATTGTGATTATTTTCTCTTAGGCCGTGGCTTGCCTTTTCACTTTAAAAGTATCTTTTTGATGAGAAGTATCTAATTTTGATGAAATCTGTCAGTTTTTTTGTTTAACCTTCCTGAGATGTCTTCGCCTAAGATATCCTTGTCTACCCCAATGTCATGAAGATAGTCGGTTTCCTTTTACAAGATTTATTGTTTTGCCATTCACATTTAGTTCTATAATCCATTTTGAATAAACTGTGCATGGTATGAAGAAGGCATTATTAACATTGCTTTTTCCCAGACATCCAGTTACTTCAACTCCAACTGAAAAATCTTCCCTTTTTCTATTGAATAGCTTGTTTTTGTTGAAAAGCCAATAACCATATACATGTGGGTCTATTTCTGGACATGTCTATTTCTATTTGTTGTTTATCCTAACTCTAGTACCATACTCTCTTAACTGTTGTAGCTTTAGAGCAAGTCTTGACATTGGGTAGTACAAGTGCTCCAATTTTATTTTTCTTCTTCAAAATTATCTTGGCTACTTAGAATCTGTTGCATTTTCATATATGTATTTGCCAATTTCTACAAGATGGCCTTGTGGGATTTTGATCTCATTGAATCTAGATAACAATTTGTGGGGAACTGACATCTTACCATTATGCAGTCTTTCAATCCATGAGCATAGAATAGCCATTTATTTTGGTGCTCTATAATTCTTCCCAGCACTGTTTTGTAGTTTTCAGAGTAGAGGTCTTGTTGTTAACTTTCTTCCTACTTAGAAGTTTGACTTATTTGATGCTATTACAAATGGCATATTTTAACGTTATATTTTCAAGTGTTTGTTGCTAGGATATAGATACACAACTGAATTTCATATATTTGCCTCATATTCTGCAAAATTATCAGTCCTGGTAGATTATCAAGCAAATGCTTGGCAATCTTCAGGAAATCAGAGAATGGAGAAAATGTCATCTAATTAGAAACAGATCTAATTTTCCAAATGGCTTAAAAAGTGACTCATTCTTTGTATACAACCCCTCACAGTTATGACCTCAGAAACACTACCTTCTAAGTTTCTTTTTTCTTTGAAGAACAGGTAACTATAGAGTTAAATTTGCTCTTGGTATACTTCTTGGAAGATGAGAAGAGCATCAAATCCTTACAAAGAGGAACCTCTGTTTCTCAGCTAAATGTAGAATGGGAGCAATGAGGACATGGCCTGCACGATGTCCTCCATCTGCAGAATGGATGAATATTCCCAATGTTCAATGGCAGCACTATTTCTCAAGAATGCCAATGAAGATAGATATATTAAAATAGACCTTGACTGGGGTGGGGTGAATAGATTTGTGAGATTCAAATTATCCTTAATTGTCACATTTATGAATTCTTCACTGGTTAAATAATAATCCCACTTTTTCATCCTTCATTTTTTCTTTTTTTTTAAGATACATGGTTTCTTCTCTGTTGCCCAGGCTGGAGTGCAGTGGCACCATCATAGCTCACTGCAACCTCAAACTCCTGCCCTCAAGTGGTCCTATCGTCTCACCTTCCCAAAATGCTAAAATTACAGGTATGAGCCAGTACCCAGCCATTGTTTTCTTTTTCATTCTTTTCTTCCCAATTTGAGTTATAATAGAGTGATAAGCATCTGCCTAATTACAAGTAATTATGATAAACAGGGATCCACTCTAACTTCAAATAAAACCAATGTAAGGCACAACTATTCAGGAATATTTTGTATTTTCAAAGTATTTAGGAATTCTTTAATTAGAAAAATAAAGGCAATGGGATTATCTATCAGGTTCTAAAAGTACCCATGAATTAAATCACTTACATCTCCCATTTAAAACAAAACCTTAAATCACATTGCTGTTAAGCTTTCATACAGTAAGAAATAAGACCAAGCTATGCTGGAGTACAAAAACCTGAAATTCTGAGCATGAAAATAATTTATTGATTAGACATCTTGCTTATTCAAGCATTAGGCCTACTGGAGATAGAATTAACACAGCTCATGGAAAAGGAAAAAAATTCCATTCAGCACCTGCTTCCTTTCAAATTTCCTGGGGACATGGTTTATGCATTTTGTACTATAGACTCACCCTAAAGCATCCCCATGTGCTTGATGTTGATTAACTTGAACAGGATATGAGAAACTTTGTGTACACTCAACTTGGCAAATATCATTAGCGATGCGACTTTTGGAAACATTCTTAGGCACAAGAAATAGCACTGCCTGCAGTGAAAGTCCTTGATAATCAAAGAAAAGAATTCCATTAAATATAATTTTACAAATATGAAAGAAAATATATGCATTTTTGCCAACAGACTGCTCTACATATCAGGAAAAATGTCTTAATGAGATTCCTCCTACGAGATTAAAAGGTTACCTTTTAATTGACAACTTTCAATTGACACTCAGGTGATTCTGTGGTATTAAAAAAAATCAGAGAAAAATAAAACTGATTTAGCCTAAATAAGATTTAGGAAAAGAAATGCAAGCCTATTAATATGGAATAATAGCTGCACTTCTTTGGCTAAGTCATTAAAAAATGCCAATTAAACATTTTCAGTCAAATTTTATTTAAAAAAAGCAGCAGATAAACATTACAATTCAATAATCTAATCTAAATATGCATTTGACAATGAAGCATATCTGAGTATGGAGTGAAAAAGGTTTTCCAAAAAACCATCAAATGTATTATCTCCAAATACCCAAATAATAAATCACTTCTGCAGGCCTTTTGTTAAGTGGAATCATAAACAAAGAACTGAAGATTTATTGCTGTGAAAACAAATCTGTGGTACAGTAGCATGAATCTTGGGTATTTCGCATAATCAGTTAGGTCAAGTGAAGAAGTCGAAAATGTGATAAGAAATTTGTGTGTGTGTGCACATGTAAATCTGTAAGCCAGTTGACCCAAGAGCAACTGAAACATCTAATTTGTTCAGCTGAGATCAGACATTGTTAAATTTCCATTTTTTAGAAGGCAATTAAAAATTACAATTCCAACAGCCCACAAACCAAACAAAAAAAACTGTAGAGAGAAATTAAAACTATATTCAAAGAGCCTTTTTTTTTCAGCTCAATTTCAGCACCCCAAGGAAAATAAAAGCATCCATGACTATCACAGATGAAAACAAAATGAATGTCATTGGAATCAGTTATTTTTCCCCACTGAGGTATAAAATCTATATAGAAATTTGATACTATACTATAACAAATTGTACTTCTCATAGTTCTGTTTTAATTTCCTTTAAACCCTGTTTAATATAGTTTTTTTGTTGTTGTAAAAATGTTGTTTTCATGATTCTGAATCTGGTTCCAGTTCTTTTATTTTTATATCAATATTTAATATACTGGCTACCAGTTCTAATCAGGAAAAAAAATCTTGGAAATCTCTTCATTATGACAGCACGTTCAGCAGAAACTACTGATGTGCAAGCAAACCATAAAAGGTACAGTTCTCCAGAAAGCATATTTTGTTGATTTTTTTTCATTGTCTCAGTATTCTTTACCATGATTTTCGGAGAAAGACTCTTTCAATCTTGTAAACATCAGTGTGCACAGTCTCATTACTATGCAGTTTCACGTCCATGGACAGGAAGGCTGGTTCACAGCTAGTGAAAAGCTAGAGAAGTCTAAGTTTTAATGGCTGATAAACCTTACATCCTGCAGAGGAGGAAAGCACTTTTCCTTTTTTGCTACTTAAGAATGTGGCAGAAATGTATGCTGAGGTAGCCCAGTCAATCCTTATTTTTTTCGTTTTTTTGTAAATTTGGTCTCAGAATATTTCTGGCAGGGTGACGTTTCGAAGAAGCCACTGCTGGGACCGACTTCCATTGCAGTCTCTAATGCTGGGCACCTGGCTATCCTCTTCTGTGGCTTTATCCAGGCACTGATTACTGTTCACATGCTGCAGGGTTAATTTCTGAAATAGAAAAAATCTTAACATGAGAGTGGAAGAAAACAAAACACCTCAAGCATCAGTTTTGGTGATTAAGTTCCTCTGCAGAAAAGGTGTTTTTTTTGGTAATATACATTATTTAAAAGACAACGGAGAAAAGGTAGGTAGGTGGATGGATGGAGAAACAGAGAGAGAGAGAGAGAGAGAGAGAAGTAGGTAGATATGTAGGTCGATAAAGAGGTATGAGGGAGGGAGAAAGGCACTGGGGTCCAGTAGGGTACACTTGACTTGCTGCAAGATGACCTAAATTCTAAGTCCTAATTCTGGCATAAGCTCTGTAACACTATGAGAAGCTTCTCTTTTTTGTGCTTCAGTTTCCTAAACAACAAAAAAAGACCAGATTAGTGGTTCCTAATTTAGGATCCTCAACCTATTTTCAAACAGCTATTTCAAAATTGTTTCATTTCTCTATGATAAGGCTGTTCAAGTTAATTCTGTGATTCCAAAGCTCAAGTTTTTAGAAACTCAGGTCTTTCTGATAACTCAAAATCATAAGAATGTTGGGACAGCTGATATTTAGTAAAATCAATCTTATGCCTATGTCCATAGCAAACCCAGAGGCTATCCTGGTGGTTAAAGGAGATGGTGTGGTACAGAAAGAAAAGCACAGGAATGTGGAGTTGAGTTCACAGCCTGGGTAACTTGAGGTTTCTCATTTTAAAAATTAGGATCACATTACATATTTTGAGCAGATTTTGGGAAACTACATAGATAATGAAGATAAAGTACATAGTGCCTCACCTACAAAAGAGATTCTTAATAAATGGTTAACAGACATAGCTATATATTTTATCCACTTATTTAAGTTCTAGATTTGATGCAGCAACATGTTATTAGGATAATTTTGAAAGGGCAGGGCAGGTAAGAATTAACAGATAGATAGTTAACAATGATCCACACCAATGATTGTGATAATATGCTCTGGTCATGTTAAGGACTTCAAAGTAGTTGTATACAGGAATGTGCATTAAGCATTACTCTACAAATGTAAATTAACTCGAAGGAAATGTAAAATGTTTAACACATAGTTATCTGATTCTTTTACTCATGGCTCTATTTTAATGTAGTTCTTTTATCTGAAACATTTCATTTTCATGAGGCCTTTTTTGCACCTATTAGAACTTAAAACAAAATCTAATAATTGTATACAACTACTTAGGCTTCCAGTCATTTATTATTCTTCCGTGTTGTGGTCAAAGTAGGACCTGGCAGATGACAGTCTATCTTTGCAGATGTCACTACTGATACTGTCTTTAGGTTCAGGATTCTATCTTTAATGCTTCCAAATATAAGACTAGAACCTAGAAGAGAGTCAGCATGGCTGTGGGAATTTTTTTTTCTTTTTTTAATGCAGACTTTGTGTAGTTTATTGAGAGGAGGGGCTTTGCAGTCAGACATTCCTGGGGTGATTTCCAGATTTGTCACACACCAACTATATGCTTCTGAGCAAAAACCTAAACTCTTTGAGACCCAGTTTCCTCATCTATAAAATGGGGACAAAAATACCTCACCGGGTTTTTATGAGGAAACACTGAGATAATGTACATAAAGTGCTGCCTATCCCAGAGTAAATGCTTGATAAATGGTACAATGACATTTACATACAATGGTAATTTGCATTTATAGAGTAATGCTTATTATTGGAAAACACAACATCCTGGCAACGTCCTGAGCAGTCATGGACACAATCCAGCAGCCAGAGCGCTGCGGCTCAGCGTGCACATTGCTGCCAGTGGCTTCAGTCTCAGGAAAGACCAGAACAAGAGAACCTCTCAAACATTCCGGGAGTTCCCGCAAAGCTTATCCCAGTGGCCTCCCTCATCAGGCCCATGGTCACTATTACTAAAAACAAAAAACCCCCAACTAGGCACAACAAAAAATTTAGTTGGGAGAGTTGGTCTCTCTTAACCTAGTTTCTAAAAATGTGCATTTCACTCATCTAGATTCATTAAAATAAACCCATCACAAACACATAGGTTATTGCTCTGTGCTGAGTATTTAACTATTCGACATCAGGACAGAATCCCCATAACTTGGAAGGTGAGCAGCACCCCCAGGAAGCCTAGACTCTGGTGGAGAACCCTGTTCCAGATACAACTCTGGCTGCTGACAGCAGGCACAGAGCCTTGTGGCTTGGAACCTTGTGGGTAGGATGCTGTCATCACAGCACTCCTCAGAGGACTCAGGCAACACCAACTAGTCTCCATTCAGAGAGAGCTGGACTAAGGCATCAGGACAAGCAAGTGACAAGCATCTAACCGTAACCTTTGAAGGAGAGGATAAAAGCTATAATTAATCATTTAGTAAAGTCTACCTGCATCCTAGAAAAAATAATTTGCCAAGCTCCTACTCCTAATTTCTAGATGTAACTAGGTCTAAAATCTGCATTTTATTCCAGAAAGGACAGATACAAGTAGTCAAAGCAAAAGAGCCCAGTGCCTTATTGTAAATTTTATGTAATATGTAATACAAGCAAGACTCAAAACTATTAATCAAAAATAGCGTGGTACTGTGCAAAGAAACCTGGATCGAGAATCTAGAATTCCAGATTTGAGATCTAGTCATACTATCTGGCTGCTCAGAGACCTTGGGCAATTAATTTCCTTGGGAAATTAATTCTGAGTTTCAATTTCTACTTGTATAAAAAGTATCCTGGGTTTAATTTCTAGGGTTGCTTTGAAATCTAAGAATTCATGATTTTAGATTACAGATAATGGACATAAGTATTCTGTTATTTTTCTAGACTGTTAAGTTTTCAATGGATGGAGGCAGGACGATTCTGATGGGCTGTTCCCCTCCAGTGCTTTCCCTGTAGTCTGCTCAGGCTGTTGGACCTGCATTGCAACTCAACTTCTCCCTCTGCCCAGGGAGAGGGAGGTATTCCTTTTACAGATATTGGCCCAGAAAGTGCTCCCTAACAAACATCCTGAATGCTCAACTTTATCTTCGAGTCTGCTTCTGGGAGAAATCAATCCCCAGCATTAATGTTTTATCTCAGCAGGAAAAAACCTTGCAAAGCGATCTAGAAGTTTTAAAACTTCACACTCATAACTGGCTCTTTTTTTTAAAATTTAATTTTATTTTTTGAGATGGAGTCTCACTCTGTCGCCCAGGCTGGAGTGCAGTGGCGCGGTATCGGCTCACTGCAAACTCCGCCTCCTGGGTTCACGCCATTCTCCTGCCTCAGCCTCCTGAGTATCTGGGACTACAGGTGCCTGCCACCATGCCTGTATGGTGTATTTTTTGTATTTTTAGTAGAGACGAGGTTTCACTGTGGTCTCGATCTCCTGACCTCGTCATCCGCCCACCTCGGCCTCCCAAAGTGCTGGGATTACAGGCTTGAGCCACCGCGCCCGGCCGGCTCTTTCTAAATACTCTTATCTCCAGCTTCTTACCTGTTTCATCAAACATTTACTTTTGGAATACTGTTGTGGTAGACTGTGTAGGTTGGCTAGCCAACAGTCTTTCCCAATCCCTCTATCTCTTGGCCATCTCACACTCTAACGACTAGAAAACCAAAGACTTGCTTTCCCAGCTTCCTTTGCAGCTGGGGGTCACCATGGGATGTTCTGGTCCATAAGACATAAGCAGAGCCTGCTAAGGGGGTTCCAGAAAAACCTTTTACTTTGCTAATAAAGAGCAACACATGTGGTAGTGTACCATTCCTCTTTCCCTTTTCTTTCTGCCTGGAGTTGGGATGCGATAAAGCTGCAGCAACCACCTTGTGGCCACAAGGAAAAGCTAAGAATATTACAACAACGTTATCCCTGACATCACTATGCCACTGAATTTACTTACCTCTAGACTTATGTAAGAAAAATAAATCCCTATTTGTTTTAGCTATAATAAATAGGTTTCTAAAAATACTGCCTAATTAATATACTGTCATTTTCCAATAAACTTAAGAGGTTTTTCATTTTTAAAATTTTGTGGTTGTCACAATGGCTATGGGGTGCCACTAGCACTTACTATCTGGAGCCAGAGATGCTACATACCCTGCAATGCATGGGGCAGTCACACCCAAAATGGCAGTGGCACATACCATGGGAAACCCTAGAACAGAGCATTCAGGCCATTTCCAATGGCCATATTAACTGAGCTATTATTATAGGTAATATCATTTTTTCTATAGCCTGACATTGTGAAAGGAGACCCAGGATTTATAAAAGATGATCTCTGTCCTCTAGGATCTAACAATCTAATAGTGGAGAAAAGATTGCTAGATAAATAACTACAAACAAGTACAGCTTTATAGAGGTCAGAGATGACTGTAATTAAGATTGACAGAGTTAATTTCAGGTTAGGATTCATGGAAGTGATGTCAAAGCTGGGTTCTTAAGAATGGGTAAGGTGTGTCAGGCAGAGGGAAGCATATTATCTTAGATGTGAACTAGGAAAGTATAAGGTATGTTCAGAGAACAGCATATTGATGATTAAAGTAGACCATGGTTGGTGTATGACACAGTAAAGGGAGGAAAGATGGCCAAAGTCAGTAACTTGGGACAACATTTCCATTTAAGGAGTAGGACGAAGAAGGAGAGAGAGCCAGGCCAACAAAAGGAACAGAGAGCAAACTAAGAGAAGAACCTAAACAGTAGTGCATCTTATGGCCAAGGCATAAGAGGATATGAAAATATCAGGCCAGGCTGGGTGCAGTGGCTCATGCCTGTAATCCCAGCACTTTGGGAGGCCGAGGTGGGCAGATCACCTGAGGTCAGGAGTTCAAGACCAGCCTGGCCAACATGGAGAAACCCTGTCTCTACTAAAAGTACAAAAATTAGCCGGGCATGGTGGCGGGCACCTGTAATCCCAGCTACTCAGGAGGCTGAGGCAGGAGAATAGCTTGAACCAGGGAGGTGGAGGTTGCATGAGCCGAGATTGCACCACTGCACTCCAGCCTGGGCGATAAGAGCGAGACTCCATCTCAAAAAAATAAATAAATAAAATAAAAAATAAAAAAAAATAAATTAGAAAATATCAGGCCAGATATGATGGCTCATGCCTGTAATCCCAGCACTTTGAGAGACTGAGGCGGGTGGATCGCTTGAGCCTAAGTGCTCAAGACCAGCCTGGACAACATGGTGAAACTCTGTCTCCACAAAATTACAAAAATTAGCCAGGCATGATGGCGTGTGCCTGTGGTCCCAGCTCCTCTAGAGGCTGAGGTGGGAGGATAGCTTGAGCCTGGGAGGTGGAGGTTGTGTGAGCTGTGACTGTACCACTGCACTCTAGCCTGGGTGACAGAGCAAGACCCTGCCTCAAAAAAAAAAAAAAAAGTCATCTGTTTAGTGGCACTAAATGCCTTACAGAAGTTAAGCCAAATTAAAAAGAACCAGAGAAAGAAATATTGAAGATGTTGGTGCTGGTTCCAGAACCTGGCAAAAGCACAAGTTGAAAAATTAGGCAAATAGGTGGAAAGAGGTTTACCACGGATGCTTTAATTGAACTAATACCTTTTAAGTACTTCCATGTGAGCCCATTTGATGGTGGTGGAGAGAAAGGTTCCAGACAAAAGGAAAGATAAATAGGAAAGGTTCTGTCATATATGTCACTGGGAAATCATCACAAGCCAGAGAACTTTATTAATTAAAACTTATCTTTCACTGAAGTGTTTAATTAAGTAATTTTAAAAGCCTACTTTCTGCCTCATTTCTCCCAAACTAGACTATAGAACTTGAAGACATACAGAAGGAACAGTGGCTACTCAGTAAACAAGGACCCAGGGATTGGAGGCAACTGTGATTTTATAAGACTAAAATTTAATTATTAGGGAGATTAAAACACATTTATTTTACTTATTTTTCCCGCCTGTCAATATTTAGTGTATAAGACAAGTTTGATCCATATTCAAGGTCCACAAGAACTCATTCCTTTAGATATAAAGTATATAAATATACCCAGTGACACACATAATTTTATTACTATAGGCAACTGCATAACTTACCACTGGGTCATACTCCCAGAGTTGGTTGCCTTTTAGGTGGTGGCATTTGAGCATTGTAACTGGGCCATTAAGTTTGGAAACATCCAAGCAAAGGTCATCTGTTCTAATTTCTTTGTTGGCAGTATAAGAGAAAACCTGGAAATAAAAATGCACACACATAAACAGAAAAAATAAATTAGTCAGCATTTTAAATGCCCAATTAGCTGTCAGGGAAAATACAAGTATTTCAAGGTACATGATTTATGTACTTTATTAAAGTAATGAAGAATAAAGTGACTCAGAAAAGCTACCACTAATTTACATTGATGTTATGTTACTCATTTTCTTGCTTACAAGCTGAAGCAAAAATGACCTTGAGCTCTCTGTATACACTGAATGTATTGTCAAGGGTTGTCATCTGTTTGAATAAAAAGGGCAAAATAAATTTTGTGCTCAGCAATGTAAACATAGTTCTCACAATGGGCCTTTCACAAATGTTTCATTAAAAAAAAAAATCACTGGATTGAAAGCTTCCTTCACCTAAAAGTCTTTATTATTTTCTCTTTAAAGGAAGGAAAATATTTCCTGAATGATGTCATGGTATAAAAAAAAGGCAAAGTAAAAACAATCTGAAAATTATCCCTTTTAAGAGTTTTCTAAGATACTCACCTGATTACCCCCCATACCATGGCAATTAAAAATTCCAACTTTTTCATTCTCTTTTCTAGCCATGTTATCTAGACACTGATTCGTTTCCACATTTCGTATCTATGGGACAATAAATAATGAAAATATCAGGAGTTGGAGAAGTTAATTAGACAGACAGATACACACACATATACACTAAATATCAACCTAAACTTTCCCTGGCCCTACTCTGAAATGGCCTATTGGCCTATCGCTGTCTGAGTATCTAAAATTCATTGGTCTAGAAAGGTCTTACAACTGTTTATGTAATTTTCTGTGTTTATGGGGGAAAATCCTTACAATTTCTTTTTTCATTTTTTTCAAGTTATTCCTTTCAAATTTGTATTGAGTTCAACAAACTCTACTTTGGTTAATGATTTAAAAAATTAACTCCCTGATGACACTATTATCAATCAAGACAAGAACATTAATTCTGATAACTACTCTGATGACTTAGGAGAGACTAAGATGACTCTAGTCAAAGAGCTTGGAACTTGTCTTACCTGGAAGCTTAAGCATAGTGTGGTACAAACTCTACTCTTTCACTAGACATTTGTGGATTACATAAAAGGAATTTAAGTCAGTCATCAGAATTAGGAGGAATATTTTAGGTAATGCCCCTTGATATTTTGTTTCCTCTAAACTGTTGCAGTTTTAAAAGCATATGGTAAATTAACAGATGTTTGAAAGTCTTAAATCTATTCCTATGTACGGTACTGTCAGCAGGTTAAGCCAGAAGAGAAACTACATCTGTCATGTCATGTAGACTTTTTAAAAAAGGTAACTAATTTTGTGTGATAGATAAAGTAGGGGTAAAGTTAAAACCACAAAAAAGCCAGTTACTTCTATAAACACATATACAGTCTGCATATTATTCCAATATTCCCAAGCAGCCAGGAATAAAAACCAGGGTTCTGACATAGAAGACTCAGGTTTAAATACAAGTTACCTAAACCTTTTGAGATCAGGAACTGGGGGGGTAATGTCAGTTCTATGCTAATGTCAGTTCTGTGCTGATGCTATGTAAGACAATGTATCCAGGCACCTAATTCAGAGTCCAGCATGAACAGGCTCAGAGACAGTAATAATCTGCACTGTCACTTTATCACTAGTCACATCCATCTTGCTATTCCACCAAAATCTCAAACTCGGTTCGTTCAAAACAGAATTTCTCAATTTTCTAATATGAACACTTAATCATCTTCACATTTTAATACGTCCCCACCCCATCCCCTCTTGAGAAGTGCTACCTAAAACAAACCTCATTATCATTTCTCCAAAATTTCCCGTTTTCCTGATATCCCTATTTTTATTACTATTCCCACAACTTGTCCAATTATTCAAGCTAGAAATTTCAAAATGTTTTTTTCTCAGGGTCCAATACATTATATGTTTCCAAGAGTTCTTTTACCACATAATTTACATCATCATTTTTTATCCATTAATTGTGAAACCTATTCCCTCATAAATAGGTTGTGTTAGGTTGTATAAAAGATTTTATGGTAAAATACCAATTTGCATAAAGCACACCTTCCTTCATCCTGGTAGGTGATCAATTAATACCAGACGATGATGGCTATCTCACTTGAAAAAGAATTTCGCTCAGATTGGGCCAATCACAGTGACCCATGTCTATAACCCGAGCACTTTAAGAGGCCAAGACAGTAGGATCGCCTGAGCCTAGGAGTTCAAGACTTGCAACATAGCAAGACCTTGTCTCTACAAAAAATAAAAATACAAATCTTAGGCATGGTGGCTCACGCCTGTAGTCCCAGTTATTCGGGAGGCTGAGGTGGGAGGATCACTTGAGCCCAAGAGTTCAAGGCTGCAGTAAGCTATAATTGTGCCACTGCACTTCAACTTAAGTGACAGAGCAAGGCCCTGTCTCTTAAAGAAAAAAAAAAAAGTTCATATTGTGATAAAGATGAGTATTTATCTCATATATTCACAAAAAATAATTATTTCCTTATACTTTTGATATAAATTATAAACTCTCCAATCCTGTTTTCCTCTATTTCTTCCCCCAAATGCAGATGTAAATAAAGGTGGCTAAAGAAAGATGATAAATGCCACAGGAATTATTAGATTAACACCAGTGTTATCTTCAGCTTCTCTCGCTCTCATATGGAATGGCCATTTGCTTAAATAATTGCCTATCTTTTACCAAAATTCAAAACAAAAAATGCAATTCTTGGCGGGGCGTGGTGGCTCATGCATGTAGAATCCTAGCACTTTGGGAGGCCGAGGCAGGAGGATCCCTTGAGCTCAAGAGTTTGGGACCTACCTGGCCAACATGATGAGACCCTGCCTCTATTTTGTAAGAGATTTGTACATAACAGCTTATACCATCCTTACAAGATTCCTATAACTAATTCCTGACATGCGAGATCTGGGCCTCTATCCTTTGGGGTTACTACTGACCATTAGATGTTGAAAGTGGAGTTTCTCCAAGGACTGGAAACCACTGCTTCCCATTAGCTGTTAGAGTGAGGAGTAACTAAACTGCATCAACAACATATGGTCAGTGAGGCCCAGGTGAGGTGGGTGGCATGGTCAGAGACCCAGATTCAGGCTCCTGGTGGCGCCTGGAGGCACTCCTCTGATGTAAAGGGGAGAAACTGGAGATTACACTTCTGAAAGAGCACAGCTATGATGTTAGAGTCCCTAAGTGAATTTCACATTAGAGGACAGAGGATTCTGTTTGGCTCAACAAATATGTGGCTTCTTTGTAGCTGAAGGGACATCTGCTCTCCAGGTGGGTCCCTCTATATACCGCCTGGCTAGAGAATATAGAGTTTTCAGAGAACATTCTTTTCTGTGTAGTGATACATGTGGACTACCTCATCTATGGGGTGTGTAAGATGTTTTCCTCAAGGACATGGAAAATTAGGTTGACTATGGGGTAAGTTTTGTCCTCTAGGATTCTAGGAGGGAGAGGACCACCTAATAGGTTTGTTTGCCGGGAGTTAAGTTTGAAGAGCCTTTGGAGAAAGGGAAAATGAGGAACAAACATTTTCTAGGGATGCTGAATCAAATGTTCAAAATTGTAATTCCATATAGCTTTAAGACTATATAACCAATTACCAGCTTTCTAATGAGATGTGGAGGGTAGAAAGGGTGACAACACATACTTGTTTCAAGTTTATACTGGGATGAAAATAGGTATTTGGGTTGGTTATTCAAAATCTGACATTTGAAAAAATTTTAAAACAGCAGAATTTGGAAAATATAGAAGGAAGAGAAAATACATTCAAGAATTGAGGACTAGCTCTTAAGGATGTTCTAGGCAAATGTCTTATTTGTTGGACTTCTAAAAAGAGTGAGAACCTTCTGATAAGGGGTATTTTGAAGTTTAAGGAACAAATGGGCTAGATTCTTTCTGGAGTCTCCCACTCTTCAGAGGATTTTATCCCATTTCTTGGTGTACACACAGTCTACAGCTAACTGCTCAGTGGTCTTATTACACTACCAATTCCTTTAGTTCACTCCTTTCAAGTCACCTCTTGACTATCCTGGAAAGAGAAAAGCAAGAAGTGAGCCTTGTTTGGTAACATATTCAGTAGTCATCAGGACATCTAACAGCAACTGAGATTCTAAATTATCAGGAACCCTTAAATAAAAGGCAGATTTGATATGGGAAAAGAAGGGAGCTTTTCTTGGTTGAAGTAGATACTCCTGAATATCAATATGGTCCTGATATTCTCCTTAACCAAGTAGGAAGGTATCTACTGACAGGATGGCTTGGGAATTTGATATGATACATCCCTATGAATTATGTTATGATAATTCCAAATTATTTCAGAGTAGAGAGAATTAGAGGGGGCATACATTAGTTATAAGATTTGAAAACAATAGATTTGACAAGGCAAATATGACCACTTCAACTTAGGACCTGGGAAGGAGAAATGAGTGAAATGACAGGGTAGCAGTACATGATACAGAGACAGATGGGTAACCTCCTGTGTTGGCTTATTTTATTTTATTTATTTTATTTTTGAGACAGAGTCTCACTCTGTCGCCCAGGCTGCAGTGCAATGGTGCGACATCGGCTCACTGCAACCTCTGCCTCCCGGGTTCAAGCAATTCTCTGCCTCAGCCTCCCAAGTAGCTGGGATTACAGGCGCCTGCCACCATGCCCGGCTAATTTATTTTTTATTTTTTTTTGTAGAGACAGGATTTCACCATCTTGGCCAGGCTGGTCTTGAAATCCTGACGTCATGATCCACCCACCTCGGCCTCCCAAAGTGCTGGGATTACAGGCGTGAGCCACCGGCGCCTGGCCGTGTTGGCTGTTTTAAAACAGCAGTTGTTAATGTCTCCAGCACCATCCAGTAGAACTTTCTGAGATGATGGAAATGTCTATATTTGTGCTAATATGGTAGCAGCCACTAGTCATGTGTGGCTATTGAGCACTTCAAATGTGGCTATTGTGACTGAAGAACCAGGCTTTAAATTCTATTTACTTTTAATTACATTTATTTTCATTTATTTTATTTTATTTTATATTTTCAGACAGTCTCTTGCTCTGTCACCCAGGCTGGAATGCAGTGGCACAATCTTGGCTCACTGCAACCTCTACCCCCAAGGTTCAAGCAATTCTCGCGCCTCAGCCTCCCGAGTAGCTGGGACTACAGATGCGGGCCACCACACTCAGCTAATTTTTCATATTTTTAGTAGAGATGGGGTTTCGGCATGTTGGCCAGGCTGGTCTCGAACTCCTGATCTCAAGTGATCCACCCACCTCGGCTTCCCAAAGTGCTGCCATTACAGGTGTGAGTCACCAGGCGTGGCCTAATTTTAATTAAATTCAGTGTAGCCGACACGTCAGATGTGCAGGTCTAGATGCTGACACATAGGAGAAAATCTTCCACCATTTGTGAGGAGCTACTTGCCAACGATGGGAAAAGTTGCACAACATGCTAATAAACCCAAGTTCTCACACCATTGGCCACCCTATGAAAGTCACGTGGAAAGTGCCCAAGTTTGGTTTGTACTTTCTGAAACAGTGTAAATCCTAGGAGATCTAAGTTATTTCAAGGGGAAAGATCAGTGGGTTAATGGTCCTCTTCATAGGAATTGTTTATGGCTGATTAACTCATCTTTCCTTACGTGGCCAGGCACGCCACTGAATCAAGCCAAAACAATCTAGAAACGATGTACAAACTGAGAGTATCATAAAGGGTGAGGAGCTGTTAGAAACAAACTTTTCTACTTGAATCACAGCAGTGTCTGACTTACAGTGTGTGAATATCCACACTTTCAAAGTGTCTGTAGGGGTGAGAGTTTAGATTGTGGGGACATGCAGATGGTGCTTCATTCCTGACTAGCCATGAGACCTTGGGCAGGTTATTTACTCTAAGACTGTGATTCCAAAAACCACAATCTGAAGAACAGCATCTTGCAAGGTGCCCCAATAAAAAAGGTGTTTTATGATCAGATATGTTTGGGAAATACTAGTTAAATAAATTTAAATAGGTTTCTTTGTTGAAGGACTTCTCAAAGCCTTTTAATATATCATGACTATTGGTAGGACCGGGGAATGGTGGTACAGATGGATGTAAGATGTAAAATAGTATTGCCCAAACATATTTGACCTCAAAATCTACCTCCTTCTCCCCAGCACTTCGCCTTTCTAATTGAGCACCTTGGGGACATCAGATATCAATATTATTTACAACACAGAATTAAAAACACTGCTATAAGAACCCTTTCTCATTGGTAAAGCAGGGATAAATCTCTCTCTCTCTCAGGTTTGTTAAGTGCTCTAAATGAGATAATACATACAGAGGCTCTAGCAGGGACAGATACATAGCAGGCACACAGTAACCGTTGGTTTTCTTTCCTTTATCCACAGACCCAGCAACTCTTCAACCCCCCTTTGGAAGTAGCAACTTAGCTGTACCTGACTGCCACTTTAAAACTACTATTTTTGACATTAGGAATTGAAAATAATTGTGAATGCACCCATTCTTGGAAAACCAGGCAAGAGGTTAGAGCTTAAGTTTCTTTGTTTCTACTATTAGTCTCCTCCAGAATCAGTATCTCCATTAGGGTGGACAATGTAAGAGCTTTGTTAAACCATTTTTATAATCTAGCATTAGTGAATCTGGATTCACTTTTCTACTCTCTGCTGCAAGGGAAATACTGGTTAGATTTGAGAAAGAATACGGACATTAGGGGTTAACAGCACAGGCTCTCAAACCAGATGGTTGTGAGTTTAGCCGTGTTTTTTAAACCATTTATTTGTGTCTCAGTTTACTTATCTGTGAAGTGGAAATAACAGCACAATCCTATAGTGTTGTGCTTTAATATTCATCAAGCATTCAGATTTGTGCTTGACATAAAGTACATGCTCAGTAAATGTTAGGATTATTAGATCTGCCTGGAAAAGCAATTGGTCAGCCCCTAAAACTGACTAAACCAGTAAAGGTCTAGATTGTTTACTTTTTGTTGTTTAGAATACTCAGCTCCTGAGTTAACAACTATCAGATACCACAATGAAACACATTTGTTCAGGTCCTACAGGAACTACGAACGTCAGCGTTAGCTGAAGCCAGATGCCCTAAATTATATCTATTACCCTAGTCATATTTACATTTTCTGATTTCCCTTTCTGCTGAAAAATCCTATGATTTCAGGTTTCCCTGGACCCTTGAAGCATGAGAAGAGATCTATGAAAGGCTAAATTACTGTTGCTAGCAAAGGAAGGCTCACATGGGTGAAGCTGTGATCAGAAGCATAAGATCCCTGGGCTGCACTATGGTGGGTACTCTTAAGAATGACCTCCAATCTAGAAATGACACTTTTAACCTGTAGGATGTGGCCTGGTATTAAGGGCGTACAAGGCTTAAGGCCAGCTGTTAAGTTAATAAGGCGATAACAAGCAGGCCACAGAGGGTAAACGCTGCGACTTGCCCAGAAGCCAGCTGGCAAGAGGCAGGTAAGACGCAAGCTTGCCTTGGCAGTCATCTACCATGGAGCAGACAAGTGTTTCTTTGTCACACGCCCGAACTCTGGCCCAGCTAACAATGCCTAGGCATTGTCCAAAATTGGGTCAGCTCAAAAAAAACAAAACAAAAACAAAAAACTCCTCATTTTTGGTTCTAAAGACAAGCTGCAGAGTGACTGCTAGAAATCTTTCCCTGGCGCACCACTCACCCTGGGCCTTCTTTGACCAGTACGAGGTCACAGCAAAGGAAAACACATTCCCATTAATGAGGCATCAGTGAGAATGAAAGGCTCAAGAAACTCAATGTAGCCCTCACTTGTTTGAAAACAAATTCCTTAAATCACAACAAGGTTCAGAGGTAGGGAGCTCAAGTCAATCCTGAAGTAGCCTTAGTAACTGTTAGGATAAATGCGTAAGTCTGTGCCTGCCCTGGCACTGAAGAAAACACCAGGCCAGATGGCTTCACCAACTCTCCACCATCTGGCTTCCTTCAGTGATCTACTTGCTTTCCCTTATCTTACATTTCTATTTTACATCCTTTTCTCTTTCCCCAATTCCCCCTCACCAACACCTTCTTCACTCTCAGCCCATAATCTTGTGTTCAACTGAGGAAACAAGCCACCAGAAGAGAAGGTCCTCACACTTCCACCACAAACTGCCAGTTTCCACCTCCAAACCTACAGCTGCCCTGCACTTGTTCCCATTCCTCTACCTTCCTCCCCATGATAAGAGATGACCTCTCTTCTTCCCACCCCCACCCAACACCCTCTACTTGTGTACAGATTTCACCTCCTATCCACCCAAATACATGACACCCATAACAACAGATCCCTTCTTTCTTTTTATTCTGGTGCAGAAACACATAACATAAAATTTACCATCTAAACTGTTTTCAAGTGTACAGTTTAGTAGTGTTAAGTATATTCAGGCTGTTGTGAAACAAATCTCCAGAACTTTTTCATCTTGCAAATGTGAAACTCTATGCCCATGAAGTAACTCTTCTTTAGGCCCTTCCCTCAGCCCTGGTAACCACCATTCTACTTTCTGTTTCTATGAGTTTGACTATTCTAGCTGCCTTATATAAGGAGAATCATACAGCATTTCTCTTTTGGTGACTGTCGTATTATGCTTAACATAAGGTCCTCAAGGTTCATCCATGTTGTAGCATGTATCAGAATTTCCTTCCTTTTTAAGACTGAAAAATATTCCATTGTACGTTGTATCACGATTTATAGCAGTCACTCTGTAGCTTGTCTTTAGAACCAAGAAGGAGGAGTTTTTTACTTTGAACTGACCCAATTTTGGACAATGCCTAAGCATTGCTAGCTGGGCCAGAATGAACGGACACGTGGAGTGCTTCTACTTCTTGGCTATTGTGAATAGTGCTGTTATAAACATGTAAGTAAAAGTAACTCTTCAGACCCTGCGTTCATTTCCTTTGGATACATACCCTGAGGTGGAATTGCTGGATAATATCGTAGTTCTCTTTTTTGAGCATTTTTTGAGAAACCTCCATACTATTTTTAAATAGCAGTTGTACCATTTTACATTCACACCAACAATGCACAAGGGTTCCAATTTTTCAGTATCCTTGCCAACATGTGTCATTCTCTGTTTTTTTGATAGTGGCCATTCTAATGGGTGTTAAGTTGGCTCTTTCTTTTGCATCTTTAAATTTTCTCTTTTGGGTTGCTCATATCAGCACAGTTTTATCTTAATAAAGAAATAAAAACCCCTTTAAGCCCATATTCTCCTCCAGCTACCACCTATTTATCTTCTCTCTTTTACAAGAAAATTCCTTGCAAGACTTGTACACATTCATCTATGTTGCTTCTTCCATTCTCTCTTCAAAACAGAGTTTTTAACAACATCCATGGGGAACTCTCTCAACACTGTGAGATAGGCTACTGATAACATGTCCCTAGCCAAATGCAATAACCAATTCTAAGTACTCATCTTCCTCAATTTCTCTGCAGTATTCGATACAGCTGATCACTTCCTCTTTCCTGAAACACGTCTTTCCCTTAGTCTTGGCGACACCACTCTCTAGGTTCTCCTATTTCACTGCCTACTCCTTCTCAATCTTTTTTGCTGATTCCTTCTCATCTCCATGATTTCTAAACTGTGGCATTCCCTCTGGCATTGTCCTCGGTCTTCTCTCTCATACTTAACATTTTCTCCTCCTCAGGTGACCTCATACAGTTTTGTGGCTTTAAAAACCATCCTATATGCTGACAACCTAAGTTAACATCTCTATCACAACCTCTCCCCCAAAGTGAATATTCTTAAATGTAAAGACCTATTCATATCTTCACTTGGATCTCAAATTTGATGTGTCCCAAACTACTGTTGATTCCCTTGAGCATCTGCTCTTCCTGTAGGTTTTCCCATCTCAGTAATGGCAACTTTACAGTCAGTGTCTCAAGCTTGATAGAAACCAGACATAATCCTTTACTCTCTTCAACAATACACCAGCTCTACTCCTGTTTCCATATAGTTTTTCTCCACATAGCATACAATGTGATCCTTTTCTAGTGGAAGTTTGCTGGTATCTTTCGATAGCTTCCATTTGATTCAGAATAAAATGCAAAATGCAAAGTTCTCACTATAACCTAAAAGCTTTATATGATTTGACCCTCACTTTGTCTTTGACCTTATCTTCTACTACTCTCCACCTTGTTCACTCTATTCCAGACAACTGGTCTCCCTGCTGTTTCTGGAACGCGCTAAGTACATTGTCATCTTAGAAACCTTTATACTTGTTCTTCCCTGTGCCCAGAATACTCTTTCCCTAAAAACTCGTATGACCTGCTCATTCACTTTCTTCAGATCTCTGCTCAAAATCACCTTGACAGGACTCTTTCAACTTCCGTACTCTTTCAACTTCCTTACATAAAACAGTACTACTACCCACGCTCACTTGTCAGTCATTCTCTATCCCTTCTGCCCTTACCACCACCTGACATATTGTGTGCCTTTCATAATCTGTCTTACTCATGGACTGTAAGATCAACAAGAGCAGGATCTCTGCTTTACTTATTGCTGTATTCCTAGTACTTAAAACAGTACTTGTCATATACTAGAGGTACTCAAATATTTGTTGAATGAATGAAAGGACTGAAGAAGTGACAACCTTCTTCAGAGTGGGAGGCCACTTTTCCTGAGATTTAATCCTGGGGTAGGCCTGCTTGTGGCCCTGTCTACACATATCATCATTTGCTGCTGTGACTTATAAAAGGAAATATTGTCCTTCTATTGATTTCTATCACAAAAAGGTTGGATTTCTTTCCCTACTTGGCTTCATATTTTTTTCTAAAAGCCATCTTATAATTACAAGTTCACAAAGACCTGCAAAGAAGTCTTTTTTTTTTTAATATATATACAGATTTTACAGATCCACAATTGCAGATGGTGCAGTCTGTTTAGGAAACACATCACTATAGACAGAATAGGGAAAAACAGACCCCACAGTACACAGCTTATCTCCAGGCGCATCAACTCAGTGGAAATCAACTTTCAGGGAGGAGGAATGGGAAAAAAAGAATATAGTTTAGACTTACGTGGTAAGAAGGAGGAAGGAAGCAAGAGAAGTTAAATGTTAACATGAAGGTACTTTCCTTATTGGAAGTTTAACTAACTCCTATTTTTTTTTAATAAAAAAGTAAGAACATAATAACCACATAGAATATATATATATATATTTCTTACCTCTCCCAATGAGAAATAGTGACGTGGAATTTGAGAATCAGGATATATATTCTCTAGGTACCAGGAAAAAGGTTTGCATTGTAGTTTGTGTCTTAGACCAACTCTTGACGATATATCTCCATAATCTACCTTTGTAACACCTGTTGAAAGAAATAATTGACTCTGAATTATTAGTGTTGTTTTAGGTAACACATGTTTATATATTGAATCTAATAAGCCAGATGAATCAGAACAGTGGTATCAGCTGGGTGATATGTGACTATACAAGTGGAGACACCATGAATCCACCAAAAGTATAAAGCAAGGAAAATACATTAAAATGTGTTTTAATTTTTCAGAGAAAAATGACATTTATGTGAGAATGAAATATAAGTGATATGGGATCAGTAAACTTCAATATATGTTAAGGCACAAACAAAAAAATCAAGGTCTATTTTGCTCAAATATTAAACAGAGCAATTGTTTGCAGTCAGGCTTCTCTCACACAACTCACTGAACTGTGCACCCTGCCACTTGACAGTCTTGCAGTAACTAAAAAATAAGGATGGACTAGTAACAATGTCAGGCCGACTTATAGCTGATGGAACAACTGTTCCTACAAAACTCTGAATAGCAAAGTTTCCGGAAAGAAGGCCCTGTGGCACGTTTTGGGCTCTCAGTGGCCTTGTGATACTTGACGAAAGCCTCCTATGACAGCATTGAGGGCCTGCTTATAGAGAACGTTCATGACCCACTGCAAAAACAGTGGTTTTGTTATGTTGAATGAAAACTCCAAGAATCAAGAAAAAGTCATATAAGCTAGAAAAATGGCTGAAAATTTAACAAGATGAAACTTCACAGGAATAAATACTAAATGTTGCAGTTAGGTTTTAAAAAAAATAGAACATCTGCAAAACCTGGGCTAGCAACACTGACCTGGATAATTTATTACTGTTAATTATATATTATTCTAGGCATTCTGCCAAGCACTTTCTATACTGTGTGTGATTTCATTCATTCCTTACAATGACCTTATGAGGCAGGTGTTCACCTCTGCTCAAAGCTTCACTTCTAACCTTCTTACTTCTCCTCCAGGATCAGGGTCAACAAAGGTACAGCCTTGTATTTCTAATGCAAAACAACGCTAACCTGGAGAAATTATATAGAAGAAATTCTTGAATTCATCCATCCACACTTCTGCAAGTCGTCTGTTATTTTTATTGATAATCTGCCCTGTGCCTCCTGGAAACGTGTAAGGTGTAGCTTTCCGAAACACATGTCCAACATGTGAGCATGTAACAATTTCCAAAGTTCCTCCACACTGCCAAATCTGAAAACAGCAGAGATGACCATGTAACATGTAGCTGAGTAATCAGGAAATGTTCACCTTAGTTTTCCCATAGTATTTTTCTTTTCAATTAAATAGGGGTTTGGCTTTTGTTTAAACTTAAATGGAACATATTGTAGTTACTGGTAAAAAGCTTCCAAAGTACCTCCATACTACCAAATCTGAAAATAACAGCAAAGACCATATATGACATTGATAGTTTTTAAAAAAGTATTGACATCTATTGGGTTCCACAGTTGGAATTTCGCAAAATCAGGGGCACATGATGGGCTCCGGCTGTATGGTTAGGTTACAAAGCCAGTGCTTCCTCAAGAGAAACATTTCTCTAATTTGGGTTCTGATCAAACCAAAAGTTGAAGATTAAAATAAAGAAAACATAGGTTAAAGGCTAAATACAGAAAAGATATGGGATCTAGAGCAGTATTTTTCTAACTGCAGGCCATTATACCTAAGAGAATCATAAATTCAAATTGATGAATTGCAACCTGTACTTGTTAACAAGGACATACTGTTTCATAAAATGTTTAAATTTTATGTTTTGTGTGTGCAGAATGTATAATGTATTTATTAATGTGGCTCATGGTTAAAAACAACCACCAAACAAAACCTGACCATGGAGTAACCAGCCAGATGCTCATCTGTTCACCCCTCTCCAAACCTGCGTCACGGCTTGTACATGAAACAGAACCTAGGAATCTCAACTAGATCCATTGTAAGTTCTTCAGTGAGACAGTAAAAGCATGTTTTGTTGTCTTTGTTAGAACAATAAAAACAAAAAAAGGGGCAGAAGAAAGATGATCAAGTATGGGCTTACATCCTTAATTTAATGAAATCCTTCTGTTTCTTTCAAAATACATTCCCCCCACCAAGTTAAAAATCTCATAACTCTTTATAATTAAAATAACATTTTGGAAAGTTCTGATTTTGTTAAATATTCAGTGTTCCTACCTTCAAGTTTTCCCAGGATTATAAGTGTTAGAGCTGGATAGGATCTCCAAGGTGATATTGAGTCCAACCCTCTCTTTGACAAGAAGGCAAAGCGATTCACTGGGAACAAAGTGAGCTCGCTGGTTCAGATTACAGTACACGTCAGTGTGATTTCCACTATAATAAGCTATGTGTCTAAAGTTGGTTATTTGCAAAAATATGCAATGCCATTTAAACGATATGTTGATTCTAGTGAACATGAAATGCAAAGACTTTATATGTAGACTGGGTTAAATTAATTTAGAGTCATTTTAGAATTCTTTCGCATTTTTATTGAAAAATATAAAGCTGGTAAAGTGACTAGGTTTTATATAAAAAAAATTTTCACACTAAAATAAAAAGCATATTACAAAATGTGAAATTTATGTTTAAATGTGAAATTTATGTTTTTGAGAGTAAAGCAGCAAAGTAGCATATCCAAACTATATATTAGCTTTTAGAGCTTAAATTACTTCCTTGAAAATAATAAAAATTAAAAACAACTAGGGAATCTTGTGTAAGTTTTATAGCTGAACTTCAAAGGTAACTAAATTATTTGCTTCAATAGTTTATAATGAACCCTTACTATCAGTCCTTTTTATGGACTGAAGGCTCTGAAGTTACATTAAACTTGTATTAAATTCAATTTTTATTTTTTATGTAGAGATACATGAATAATCAATGCACATCTATACTTGAAGTTAAATAAAAGATTAAATTTTTTTAAGGGAACTTACCCTAAAGGAAATTTCTAGGTTTTCTCCTCCCCAAATATCCATTCCAGCATCATATGTTCCAATTTCCTGAAAGTAATCTCTGTCTATTGAAAAAAGGCCTCCTGCCATGGTAGGTGTCCTGAAATTCAATAATGCTATACCATTAGCAATTTAAAATTTACAATCAATCAGTTTTTGTTTTTAAAAGCTGTTTCATAACTATTTATAACTACTGAGTAAGTACTTATTCTCACACTCTTCATAAACTTTCATACGCCCCAGGGGCTTTCTGTGTTTTATGCTGTGTTATTTGGTCTTCACACATGACCTGCACCATGGTCATGCTGACTGCTAGACTTGCTGTGTCATGCTTCTGCCCAGACATCCCTCTCTGTCACAGTCCTAAGAGTACTTTCTATCTTTCTTGGCCCTCAGGTCCTAACTGAGTTTAGATCTCAAACTCCTTAAATTAAAGCTGTTCCTCACAATCCTCTCCATCTGACTGTGCACCCACTCCACAGATCCTAGCAACTTCAAGGCAGTTGACTATATTAACCAAGTAGATTGAGGTTAGAGTTACCATGCCATGTTCTAAAGGGTGGCAAATAGTATAAATACATAAGATAAACTGGATGGAAACAGTGAGGTCTTTTCCTAATACCCACTAGAAATCTTTAAGGAGAGGAGACAAAATATAGAATAAAATCAATATGTTCCTTCCTGACTGTGTGGTATATTTTCTGCAAAAGAGGAGTCTAATTCATCAAAATAGGGCTCAGGTATGCAAAGGGAGTGGGAACATGTGAAATTAAGCAGAGAAATTATTAAGAAATGAAGGAAGATTTAAATAAATGAATATCAGCCCATTTGATTTTTATAAAGAACAAGTATGGAGAAAAAGTAAACTCCAACCAGGAGAAAAAAATAAGTTACAGGGACCAAAGATACCACGAAGATTATATTTTAAGATGAACCCTAAAATGTACTCATTGCCTTTCCAGAGGAAACAGTTGTTTCCAAAAAAGGTTTGGACTTATTTTGATTTTAGAAGAAAAAAAGAATGAGAAAAGGATTTAAAAGAAACAGCCAAAATTCAGAATTATCATTTAATACAGGGTTTTCTTGACCTGAGTTTTTTGTGTGCTAAATCTTCTGCATGTACATGTGCATTTTTCTCCATTAGAGAAGACCCATAGCTTTCACCAGATTTTCAAAAAATTTTGTCATTTTTGAAATGTTTAGGAACCCCTGATTTAGATAGTGAATTGCACTAACAGCTAAAGAGAAGAAAAGTCCCTTGCACTACTACTACTAAGAACTCAGGCTAAGGAAAAAAGCACACAGTCAGTGGAAAATCTCTTCAGTGTTGCCAGAACTGAACTTGAATTCAAGGGAAGGCAGACGCAGGAGGCCCAAAAACAGAAAAGCTGAAGCCTGGTTCTGAAGGAACTCTTAATACAGAAGTAGCAGGTCGGTACAATGGGGCTAAATTCTAGGATGGCTCAGAAGAGCTCAAAGGTCTCAATTTCATGTTCTAAAAAGAGCATGAAGATTTTTATTCCATCCTGAAAAAAAAATCTATATATGACCAAGTAGAGAAAAAAAATCAGAGAATAAATGGATTAATGAATTTTTTTATATTTTGTGTCAATTCTAGCTATTTTTATGTTTTACACAAGCTTTTCTAACTTTACCAGTCAATAACTGTCATCCAGATGGTACAAGTCTGAATTTAAAATTGTACATTTTAATGCAAGGACCCAGTTTTAGGTAGTATCTTCACATACTGACACAATTAATTAAGCTAAGTATTATTATCCTTAATAACTGAATTAAAGTACAGATCTGACGCATTTGCAAAATGTTCATAAAGGAATGAAAAAACACGCATGTCATCATTTCTCATGTGCACTAGATTTATAGAATAAGCAAAAATTTCTAATTTTATTAGAGGAGAAATCCTTCTTTAAAACACTCACATATGTGAAAGATGGCTGTTAACTACCATAAGGTATACGAATGCTTCACGTTTCTCAAAATACACTTATCCATTTGATATGATTCCCAAAGCTCCACAACCTTCTGCCAATAACACTTTAGGCAAAATGTCTGACAAATTAATTACCTGACAGGAAGAGTCCGATCACCTTTCCTTCTGTCCATTTCTCTTTGGGGAACAGGATACCAGCGAAAATTGAGCTTCCAGTTGAACCCACCATAGGTCATATCAGAGCCTGCCATGTACTCAAAAGTATCATCACTGATCACATCGATGATGGGACACACCACTGTTCTCCTGATGTCATAAAAGCAAGTTAAGAAATCTTTCAAAACATTCCTGTTTAATGCCAACTACAGAACAATTGTATAGTAAGTGTTTTTATTTTTTATTTTTTCCCTTGAAACAGGGTATCACTACTCTGTCACCACCCAGGCTGGAATGCAGTAGTGCAATCAGGGGCCACTGCAGCCTCGACCTCCTCAAGTGATCTTCCCACCTCAGCTTCCTGAGTAGCTGGGACCACGGCTGGGATCACATAACACCACACTCAACTAATTAAAAAAATTTTTTTTTTGTTTTTTATATTTAAGACTTTAATCTTCAAGGGACTGATTTTAACTATGATATACAGTAAGTATCCAACTTCATTTATTTCTTCTATGGATAACCAGTTGTTCCACCACTATTTATGTAATGGTCCCTTTTTCTTCTGCTGTAACTATGAGTGACTGCTCTGTCATAAATCAAGATTACATACAAAAATGAGCTGGTTTCTAGACCCTACCCTGTTTCACTAGTCTATTTGTGAATTCCTGCATCAATATACCACTGCCATAATTAACACAGCTTTAAAATAAGTCTTGACGCCTAGTAAGGCAAGCCCCCTTAGATCTGATTCTTCTTCAGAAGCATCCCAACTATTTTTTTTCTTTTTACAGTTCCGTATCAATGCTAGAATCGGCCTGTACAGTCTCTCAAAGAAAATTCTGTGGAGATTTCAATTGGAAATGCACTGAATTTATATATGAATTTGGGTAGAATTGATACTCTTATGATATTGACTTTCCTATCCATTTCTCTCTCAAGATTTTTTCGTGAATTTCAGTAAATCTTTTGATAAACATATTCCTATGTGTAGTCTATGACTGCCATTGCTATTACGAATGGTATCTTTTCTTTTTGCATTATATTTTCTAAGTATTCCTTGTTGGTGTGAAATAAACTTTTCATTCTTTTGTTTGGAGATGGAGTCTCACTCCTGTTGCCCAGGCTAGAGGGCAATGGTGCACTCTTGGCTCATTGCAGCCTTGACTTCCTGAGTTCAAGCGATCCTCCCGACTCAGCCTCCCAAGTAGTTGGGACTATAGGCATGCACCACCACGACTGCCTAATTTTTTGTATTTTTAGTAGAGCTGGGGTTTCGCCATGTTGGCCAGACTGGTCTCGAACTCCTGGGTTCAAGTGATCTGCCCACCTCGGTCTCCCAAAGAGCTGGGATTACAGGCGTGAGCCACTGCTCTAGCCTGAACTTTTCTATAGTAATCTCGTGTTTGGCAACATTGCTAAATTCTTATTGTTTCTATTATTTTATGTATAGATTCGTTTTCTTCACAAACACATACACAATTGACAACAATGCTTTTCCTTTTTCCAATAAATAAATGTTCTTTATTTACTGTAGTACTGCAAAACCTAAGAAAGACTTCTAATAATACTAACTGGTGATTGAGGGCATTAACATCTTCTTCCACATCTTTTTAAAAAATGCTTCCAACATTTCTCCATTAACATGATTTCTGCTTGCAAAGGCTTTTTTTTTTTTTTTAAGCCATCCTTTCTTGGATTAGTAAACTTCCACTGTATAATAGTTTGCTAAGTATTTTCTAACAATAAATTCATGTTAAATTTCAGTGAACCCTTTTTCATTATCTATGGGAGTGATCAGAGGTGTTTAATAAGTTTGTAATCACAGTTTTAAAAATACATTAATGGGATGTATTAAACGAATTAGTTTTTGTAATATTACGCTAAACCAAGCAGTCATGATATCATGATATGTTTTTTACACGCATACGTGCACGTGTGTGTGTGTATATTGCTGGTTTAGTTTGCTGGTATTGTGAGATTTTTGTACTAGCATTCATGAACAGATTTGCACTGTAATTTTCCTTGTAGTACTTTTCTGGTTTTCATATCACAGTTATACCAGCCTCATAAAAAGAGTTTGGTTCGTTTCCTCTTTTTCTATATTGTTTACAAATTCTTAGGGGAGATTTGTTTCCCCTCTGCCACTGCATACCAAGGTTGAGACAGGCAAGTTTTCTCTGATGTGGTGGGATTAATTTTTCATTCTTGCTTTATACTAAGATACAGATTTCAAGAGCCCAGCTTTATACAGGTGTTTGCTATTAACCTTCTCACCTGAGGCAGGACCTAGGTTTTTGTCTCCTATCCTTCCATCTTATTTGTCTCTCAAGGCAGAAGCTTAGTGACCCCAAAGTTCAGCAGAAACCCTACCAGCGAAAGCTGGCTTTAGTGTTTGGACTGCACATTTGCTCTCACTTCTTTTCGAGATTTGCAAATTTCTTCCTTTTGTGCCAACTCAATGATGCATTTAAAATTTGTTTTGTCTTTTATCCAGCTTTTTCAGTTGGAAAAGTTATTCAGAATATCGAATCCACCATGCAGCCCAAACTGGAAGTCACTGTGGTTGCTATTTCAGCTGACTCCCTTCCATACTTCTGTCATCACCTCACCTTGCTTTCTCTCTATGGGTTGTGTGTTATCTTCAGGCGAGCAAATATTCCCTAAAACGTCATCTATTATTTAAAGAAAATAATTTACAGATATCCTATTCTTTTGATTCTTCAGGGCAATGTTCTCTTTTCTAAAGCTGCTCTACTTTCCCATTGATTGGCCCAATGCTGAGTTTTCCTATTTATTCATCTTTGAAAGGGAAAAAATATAGATCCAGCATTTGCTATCAAACAGAATAGATGCTGTGGCTTTAGCTCCCACCGTGTTCCACTTGACTAGTAAAAGTTCACTCCACTAAAATCTAAACATGGACAGTCTCTACCTCAAATTACAATGACAAGCAGAAATTCAACCAACATAGGTCTAGCAGACTGAAGTCAGGTTCTCTCCTGATGCACAAGAACTAAGCCAGAAATAGGGAGTTCTTTGAAAAATGTGTAACATGAAAAACTATAACCACAGGTGTTCATTACACCACTGTTCTTCCTGTATTATCTAAGATTATGGTGCTTTCCATACAAAATTAAGCATTTCAGGACACAATGTGCTTCTCTCCATTCTCTTCTACTTCTTGCTGCACTACAAGCTGAGAGGATCTGCCTGCTCCAGCATTAGCTTTAGAGTGCAAGGACAAGTGAAGGGTTTTATGCTGTCTTCCCTGAGTTCACCATCTATCTGTTCTGCTCCAGCTTGGTGAACACAGCATATAGTATACATTCCAATGACATGCTTCCTAATCACTCCTCATTAGTACAACAGTTTGCAAACATTCCTGCCAGGCTTCAGAATGTGGTCTTCTGGATATTTCCTTTAGAGTCCTCTTCACGGATATTTTAAAGCAAACTTGGGAGGAAATTACTTTTATATTTATTTAAAAAATATAGAATTTGGCAACTCACCATATAGTTTAGGACAAATGTACTAAAAGCAAACTTACAGACACCAGAAAATTACCTGTCATGTTTGATCCTGGCCAAGAGAGGCTCCAGCCATCCCACTGTACACTCACAATGGGCATCCAGGAAGGTGATCACTTGGCCTTTAGACACAGCAGCTCCTTTTAATCTAGCTCTGATCAATCCAGAACGTTGTTCCATTCGAATTACATGAACTGGTACTTTTAGTTTTTTCACATAACTCTCTAAAGGCCTTTTCAAAAAGTCTGGAAAATGAACAAAAGAAAACATGCAAACCAGTGTGGCCTGGCACTATTCAGATGAAAGTAATTTTGATTTGGAAAATTTATTCAACATACCCTTACTGAACACTCTCAGTGAGGCTCCCTGACTCATAAACCCATTCTGCTAAAGGAAGCCTTTATATTCCCCAAGAGAATGGACTACAGCTGCCTCTATTTTATTATATGCAGAATTAGGAGAATGCCTTTGTGCTCAGACTTAACCAAGGATAGGAATGCTCCTATGTTTCGCTAAGTAACTCTGTTAGACTCAATTCTTTCTCTAATCATGCTTAAGGATCAGCAATACAAAGAAAGCATTAAATCCAGACCTCAACAGAGAGAAGACACAGAATATGTAATAGCTGTAGAGTTCAGAAAATTGTGAAATTTCCTCAGAAGCACAAACAAATTGTCTTGTTGATTACCATGGTCTTTGACTATACTTTTTTTTTTTTTTTTTTTTTAATCAGGGGGCAGAAAGTGGGGTCACACTTGGAAAAGAAATGCTGGACTGTTAACTGCAAGGCCAAATAGAGATCCTTAAACTGACAATTAGGTGTAAGAAAAAAAGTTTAAAAAGGAAAGGGCAATTGAAGAAGAAAAGAGAAAAAGTGGGCAAAAGGGGAAAGGGAGAGTATGTGGGTGTATGAAATCAATAGCTATCCTGGAGAGTTCAGATAAGAGGTTATGCTCCTCAGGACACAGGCAAGCATATAGGATAAGATAAACCTTACCTCCAAAGTTCACAACTGACTTTAAAAAGCAGAAAAGGTGCAACTTCCTCAAAGCAAAGAGAAAACATTTTTCCGATCAGGTTGGTTTACAGAATTTATGCTAGAGAACTCTGCTATTGGTGGTAATATGGCCAAATGCCTTTCCAACTAGTCACCATACAATAAGTATGAGGATAATCTCTCTAGGGAAGAAAATATTTGAGATGGAACTACTGGAACCCCTAGAGAGATTATCCTCATATCTATTAATTAAATACTAAAAGTAGAGATCCAAAAGGCTTCCTACATAGTGAGGTGGAAAAGACAAATGGGAGTAAAACAATTCTTGCCTATTTGACTCAACAAGACAAAATGACTCAATAATGAAATAATCAGGGATATAAAAAGCTGTAAAAGAGAAAGGCCTATGTGTCCCACTACACCAAAACACTGATCTTTCCCATTTCTGCTAATATATTTTCTAATATTTGAGCTAAAAAGTTATCTGAAAGATATCACTGTGATTTTATGAACCAAGTCTTAGGGTCAGAAGGATCTAAATTGATTCTGAGTAAAAAGGTAAGGGTAGTGCCAATCCCAGAGAAGAGCAACATTTTGTAGTAACTGTTAACATTTTGTGTCTGTTTAGCATAATGCTAACATATGTAATGCTAGTCTCATTATATATTTTATCTCATTTAATGCTCACAATGACCCTATGAAGTTATTATGCATAATTTAGAAATGAAAATCTAAGGCTCAGCATATTACATGAATTTGATTAAGGTGATACAGCTTAAGGGATGGATCCAAGATTCAAACCCAGGTCTGCCTGACTTTAAAGCCCATCTTTTTATCTACAACAAGAGAATCCTAGAAGGGAACTCTATAGAGAGAACAATTCAGGTCTGTGGAAGCACCTGATCAAGCACAAATTTAAAATACTTTGTATCCAGAATTTGATAGAATTTCATGCAGTAGGGTATAAGATATATTTTAGTACCTTAGATCAATCAAGACTGGATGTGTCATAAACAATGCGTCTCCCAACAAGTTTTTCCAAAAATATTAGTTTAAAACGTTTCTTCAGAACTAAAGCAATCTAATCCCCAAGTCCCATATGTCTTTGAAAGCTATACTGTCTTGTTTATGAACAAAATTAAAAAAAAAAATGCATGATTCTGTGGTCGGGTAACTCACAAAATTTGCTCTTCCACAAATTTTCTTGGCATCTTTGTTTGACATCTTTGTTGCTTTCACACAATTACATTAGGATATAGGTGTCTTCTTTTCAGTCGATACAGAATTATGGACTCAGGGATGGGTGGGGGATTAGGAATTATCCAAGTCTCATTTTACAAAAATGAAGCCATGAGTTAAGAGATTATAGTTAGAAGCTACTATTACATCTAAAAACAAGGGAGAATCTTCTTAGGACACCTTTATAACTATTGGCCTATAAATGGATCCCTATGCATTTCTCAGAGTGTGAGGTTGTCAGAGAGTGTGAACATCAGGAAAAAATTTCACTATTCACATCAATGTCTGAGAAATATTAGCCAAAACTCTAAGGAGTAGTAGAGAAGAATAAAGGGAAGAATAAAGAATTCAGAATCTAATAAATCTAACTCCTAACCTCTACTAAATATAAACCTCTGCTTTTTGTATAAAATGAAAAAATAATAGTCTTCTCAGATTAGAAACATTACATAAATTCTAAGTCTTAAGATAACTTTCTGAGATGAAAATTACATAACTTCTGACATAAACTAGGGATTCGTCCAAATTCTGACTTTATTACAGATCCTGTAACAGTAAAGTTGCACCAGAAGCAATCAGAAGTGAGGTACACAGCAATTAAGAGGTCAGGCTCTGGATTTATACAGGGTTTGGATACTCCTCTACCATGCTAAGCCTCATTTTCCTCATCAATAAAACAGGAATAATTATAGCACCTACTTCATACTTCTTTAATAAATAGAGTTACTCAGCAGGTTAACTTGAAATCAAGTATTCAGAGGCCATGGGCACACTATCTATGCTACACAACCCAATTAGGAAGTTTGCACAGAGAAGAAGTAAATGTGAAGATTAAATATACCAGTGTACATTATTCTTTCACCCATTCATTATATAATTCTAGACTGTTGTTATATAACAGGCACTGTGGGAACTGAAGAGATAATGGTGAGCAAATAGACCTGACAAAGTATACAGTCTACTGGGGGAAGGTATCTATTAAACAGACAAGTAATTCAAACCCTGGTTAGAGCTGCAGAGGAGTAGAGTGTTATGAGATGTTTTCAGAGGGATGTGACAGGTCTGGAGAGGTCAAGAAAGGCCTCTCTAAATACATCACATCTGAGCTGAACTCTGATGGATGATTCAATGTTAACAGTGCTGGGGAGATGGTGGAGATAAATGTTCCCTAGAGAACAATGTTCCAGGGAGAGGGAACAAAATCAGTACAATTGAAGGCCCTGAGATAGGAAGAAGGATGATATTCTTTAACAAACTGAAAGAAGAAAACTGGACAGAGGGAAGAAGTATGGGAATGGTTCAAGATGTGACTGGAGATGCCAGGTGGGGCCAGGTCATACAGGCCTTAGTGGAGGGGTTTTAAGCATGGAAGCGAAATGATCAAATTTGCATGCTTTAAAAAAGCTCACTCTGGAGGCACCATGGTGAACAGATGGGAGGGGGTAAGAGTATGTGGGGACATTAGTTTGACTAGTTAGTCTATTTCCATATCCAGGTGAGAAATGATGGTGCCTTAGATGTGTCTCATGAATAGGAAAAAAAGCAGATGTAAAGAGTTACATAAAAGCAAACAGCTTGCTCTGGTTTCTGGGTCTAACAATTACGACTTAAACAATGGAGCCAAAGAAAAATACATTAGATGATTCTCAACCTGGAAAGCAAGACTGCAAATTATAACCACAAAAACAAAGATCTACTGTCTCCCAGATACCGGAAATGGTAACCCGGATATTTGAGGCTTCCAAGGCAGGAAGATAAAGGAGAATCAGACCCCTGAGCAGGGACTCTGGAGCGGCACTCCAGGACCCTGCCTAGAGACTAAGCCTCAGGTGGAGCAGTGAGGTAGACATCTGCTCACACCAGTTTCCTCTCACAGATGTACACAGATTGGGGTGTTGGGTGAGGGCTGCATGAGGGAAAGGAAAGAGAGAACTGCTATAGGTGAGTTTCTCTGTCACTTGTTGTGGGACCCTGCACCTTTTAAATTAGGCCATATTCTACAAAAACTTATTATTCTACACAGCCTTCTTGGGCATTCACAGAACGAGAGAGAAAAACAAAGGAGGAAATGAAAAAATAATTCATTTTATCTCAGGTTAAGTATCTCTTCTGGAAGAATATATTTAATCTAGCAAATATTGACACGTAAGTAAACCAAGCACAAGTCATTTGCAGGATAAATGTTTGTATATATTCCTCCTTATATTAACTTAGGTTAATTTTCTTACAGAGGGATTAAGTCCTAGCAAATAGATTATCCACATAAGGTTTATACTTCTGTTGTCAACAATTATTTCTTTACGTGTGGTATTCTTAACTGCTCTCATTCCTTCTGACATGTAATTATATAATGTATTATACTATTTAAATGTCTTGTGTGATTATAAAGTATCTCTTTAATTTGATTAAAAAGGTAAGATATAAATTACTTTAAAAGGTAGGATTTATCCTTTTCTTCATGTGCAACTGTATAAACTGGCAAAGCAATAAGATTTAAATTGTTTTTATTGTATTAATTACTCCAAATAATTGATATTTGATGTGAATAAACTTAATTTCGGTTAAATGCATGTATTCAGTGTGGACACAGGAAGGAGAAAGTATGATACTTAACTAAATCATAGCAGATGCAATGGGAGAATAGGCAAGAAAGTTGAAGATACTAGCAAAAGAGGTTAAAATGGTAGATCATTTAAGGCTGATGAAGGAAGAAAAGAAGTAGGAAATTATTTTCTGTAGCTCTAAATTTTTCTCATGCGAACACAGGAACATTGGTGGAACACATGACACCAATGATTCCTAAACAGATGAGCTATGAATAAGAAAATTAGGAAATACTGGGTATCTAAGTTAAGCAAGTTTCTTTACTGATGGACTAAGCAGAGCCTTTTCTATATGGTACTCTGTAGTGTGAAATCTCTAGTAAGGATTCAGAATAAATAATATTGACCAAGCCACCATTAATTAATATGTCCTTTCCCAAAGAGTATTTCATGAAATAGTTTGGGAGATTTTAGCCTTGTGAAAAATTCTGAGACTCCTAGAAGGACGTGGGCAAGAGTCTGTAGAGATTTACTATGAGAGTCATATTACATCCCACCTTTTCATCCTTCCTAATCCTTTTATGCACCTAGCTATAGATCATTCCTGAAACTTAGAAATGGAGAAAATAGGGAAACCTAAGAAAAATCTGGAGAACAAAGGTTCACCCAGCTAAAGCTCCATTTTGCTGTCAGAGATATTTCCTACTAAACATGGAACTACATTTCTCCATTCATGGATGTAAGCAGAATCCAGTCTCTCTCTACTGACTCAGTCCTGCAGCTTCCCACAGAGAAAATCCTAACAAAATGATGAGAGTTTTTTCACTGTCCTGCATAATAGTTTATGTTATAGAGCATTATTTCTTTTTGAAACAAGATTAAGATGCAACACACAAATTAAATTAATTACTAATTAAAGTAATATTTTAAGTTTCACAAGGGTGTACTTTTTTACATATGTGAATGAATCCAAATGCCATATTTTTGGGATAAATTAGAATTTTGTATAAAATTATTAGGTTAAAAATTATAGCAACTAGTTTTAACCGTTAGTGACAAAAGGTGTAGCAAATTATTGGCATTAAAATTTAAAATTTACCTCTTTCACTGGCATCATCTACTAGAACAATTTCTTCTATCATGTGTCTTGGTGAGCGATTAATGACACTATGGACAGTTCGCAGAAGTGTGCTCCAAGCCTCATTGTGGAAAACAATCACCACACTTGTTGTAGGAAGATTATCTGGATACACCTTTGTTTTACACCTAGAGACAAAGCAAATGCCTTTATAAAAAGTGACTGTTAAGATTGCATAATAAAGGAATCTGGACTAGAAGGGTGATAGAACAATAAAAGCAGTTTGCTCTAGTGGTGGGATCCTTGGTACCTTTTCATTTAAGTCTTGGTTAATGTTATGTGTTTAATAAATAGCACCTATTTAAAGTGATATATTTAGATTAAAATTATTTCAAAGATGTCATTTATATTCTTAAAATTAGGTACTTCCTCCTGATGAATGTTTTCAGGTGATTCATTTTAATGGAGAATGAAATAAAGCTATATTATCTGCCCAAAACTGAATGTATTTCAAAGACCCTATTAGACAAAGAATTAGAACCACTGGAGTTTACGTAGTTTAATAATCTAAACAAAAATATACCTTCCACAAAAGAAGAGAAATATTTAGTGAGTACCTATCGTGTACCAGGCTCTTACTCTTCCTAGTCATTCTATAAGACGGATGCTTGGAGCCACATTTCACAGATGAGAAACAGGGCAGGGATAGCGAGGAGGCAACAGAACCTGACTGAAGACTCCACAGCCCATGCCCTGCTGTTCCAACTCTTGATGGGGCCACCGCCATAATTAAATATCAACATGTATCTCGTTCACTAAAGACTATTTATGCCTGAGCATGCAATAATCAGAAATACCAAACACACTCAAAAGATATGCACACAAAATCCACATAATAATTGTATGTTTCCAGCACTTTGTTAGGCAACATGGTCTCTTCTTTCAACCTTGTTAGCTAGATGAAATTACTAGATAACAGCCTATCAGAGAACAGTAACAGCGGCAGGTAACCTGAGATCAAGGGATGTGCTTTAGAACATAAGCCCCCCTAAACAGTGCATATATAATTATCTCCCAGGTATCCCCGATTCTAACAGTTGCTCCACCCTCCTCTTTCTTCCTTTATTCCCTGCTCTCTCTCAAGCTCCTCAAACTTTCCACTCCCCAGTCTCAACTGTAATCGCCTGTCAGTGGGAGTGGGAAAAGGGAAGGATGGGGAGGAAATGAAGAAAACACAAGCAAGACTCCTCTTCTGAAGCTGTTGAAGTAACTTCTTATCGAACACTCTACCCTAGGGCTGCCAGTTGGCAGTTGGAAGAAAAGGAAAAGCGAAGGGTAAAAAGATGACAAGGTAAAAGGGTTGAAAGAAGTCATCGTAGGGGCCCCATCAGCCCTTGTCCTTTCTTTCTGCCAGGAGACAAGGAGAAACAAGTAGCTGTCCCTGTCCTTCGATATATTCCACTGCAGCCCCTCTCTCCCTCTTCACCATTCCCAAGACCCCTTTCACAGGATGGTCTCCGTCTCCTACTAACAGTAACCTTCCCTCTACCCACTGATCCAGAAAATCCACAGCCTCATTTCCACTTCACTGCTTGCTCCCTATGTTCACTCTAACCACCACAAGAAGGCCCACACAGCCTGCCACCCTGTCTGCAGCTCCCTCCTCCTAAGTCTAGGCTAAAGAGGTGTGGCCCAAAAGACTAGGCTAGAGGGGGAAAAGATGTGTCCTCAGCAGTCCTAATAATACTTCTGAAAATAGTTTCCCATCAAAACTCTGTTATAAATGGTGGCTAGAATATTTATGTATATAATTAGTACTAGTTTCAGGTACATCATAGCTGAGCAAGCTGTATCTGGAATGCCTGATGCACAGACTCCTGGAATAAGACTCTGAAGTCAGGAATGGCCTATGTATGGGTAAAAGGGGGTCAGAAAAAGAGTTTCTTCCATTACTTAGCTGAATCTTATTATGCCACACATACAATCTCTTTTCCCAAGTGAATCCTACTTATTATTATTGTAGAATTGGGAAGCAGGAAACAGCCAAGGTGGCTATATAGCTGCTACCTTACCAAAATAAAATAAAATAATAAAATCAAGTGATGCATGAAAGATGTACAGATACAAATGGTACTGTTAGCCATGTCTATGGCTAGGAAACAGAAAGGAAGACAGAAAAATGTGGAGACAGCAGGTTCTGCAGAAGAGAAGTGATAACCCAAATTTACTACTTGTATAATATGTTAAAGAATAAAATTCTAAAACTGTATGGAAAGGAAGTAAGATTGTAAGATTATAAGAACAATAGAAAGAAACTGGATGGAAGAATCAGAGAGAGAAGCAATATTAGGATCCAGAAGAACAGATGATAAAAAGGAAATAATTTTTTAAATCAAATGGTTAATCAGAGACCATAACAAATTCATAAATTAATATTCTCTCAAAGCAAATGAGGAAACATAGAGAAAATATTAAACAACCATAATTAACCTCAGAACAGGTACAAACACACACAAACACACACCCCTAACCTGGAAGAGCCACAAGGCACTTGAGAAGAACCAAAGAGCCCTTTAGCATTCTAGCTAAGCTTTTCCAATCAAGAAACCACCTGTCCTTTTGTGTTTTGGGGTTTGAAGTGGGTAGGGGGATGGGTTCATAGAACACAGAGCTGAGGATGAGCAGAAAGGCCACAGGCCATGTTCAGGAAGCAGCTTTCTTCCACACTTGCCCAAGTGAGACTTTTATCCTCAGTTATGAAAACGAGCTTTTTTTTTTTTTTTTTTTTTTTTTTTTGAGACGGAGTCTCGCTCTGTCGCTCAGGCTGGAGTGCAGTGGCGTGATCTCAGCTCACTGCAAGCTCCACCTCCCGGGTTCACGCCATTCTCCTGCCTCAGCCTCCCCAGTAGCTGGTCCTACAGGTGCCTGCCACCACGCCCGACTAATTTTTTGTATTTTTACTAGAGACGGGGTTTCACCGTGTTAGCCAGGACGGTCTCAATCTTCTGACCTCGTGATCTGCCCACCTCGGCCTCCCAAAATGCTGGGATTACAGGCGTGAGCCACTGCACTCCGCCAGTTTATGCTAATTTCTAAAAGTTACATACAGGTTTAACAGCAAGGTATAGGTTAGGAAGAAAGGGAAGAGTCTTAACTTTCTATTGAAATATATACATACAAACTGGCCCCTATAAGCTTTTCTCCTTTGCAGTATGCATGAGGCATGCCTAAGCTCTGTAGGTAGAAGGTGCTGCAGGGACAATGCAGGAGGAAGAAACTTCCCTCCCCGGTTCCAGTGTGCTTCCATTTGTTTTCCTCTCCCTCATACTGTGCGGTTGCCAGTGGAATGTGGTGGATACCCAGGGCATTCACCCCGCTGAGCTTCAATAGCACCCCCACAACAACAGACCACATATATGACAGTAGTCCCATATCATTATAATGGAACTGAAAAATACCTATGGCCTAGTGTCACTGTAGCCACCATCAACATACTAGCGTAATTACTTAATCTGCAAAATACATTTAGAAGAGCCTAAGTGTACAGTGTTGATAAAGTCTACAGTAGTGTATACAGTAATGTCTTAGGCCTTCACATTCACTCAGCACTCACTTACTCACCCAGAGCAAGTTCCACTTCTGCAAGCTCCATTCATGGTAAGTGCCCTATACAGGTGTACAATTTTTCATCTTTTATACCATATTTATACTGTATCTTTTCTATGTTTAGATACACAAACACTATTGTACTACAATTGCCTACAGTATTCAGTAGAGAAATATACTATGCAGGTTAATAGACTGGGAGTAATAGGCTATACCATATAGCCTAGGTGTGTAGTAGGCTGTACCATCTAGGTTTGTGTAAGTGCACTCTATAATGTTTACACAATGACAAAATTGTCTAATGACCTATTTCTCAGAACATACCTCAGTCATTAAATAACACATGACTGTACCTAACAATTCAGAAATACAGAACTACAGAAGTCGCTTGGTATTTACTATTACTAATATTTTTCAATTGTTATAGTCCTACTCTGGCTGGATGCAGGGGCTCATGTCTGCAATCCAGCACTTTGCAAGGCTGTGGCAAGAGGATCACTTGAGCCCAAGAGTTTGAGACCAGCCTGGGCAACAAAGTGAGACTCCATCTCTAAAAAAGTCCTACTCTATTTATCCTATCCCAGGGCACTGGCCTGAAAGGGTCCTCCTGACTTTTTATTAAATTCCTGAAACTGCATTAAGAGGTTTAAATATGTTATCCCATGTATGCTTATAACAACCCTAAGACAGAGGAATTACTCTCCAAATTTTACAGATGAGGAAACTGAGGCTTAAATAAAGTAGATTGCTCATGATAGCAGCTAGTAAGTAACAGAACTACAAGTTAAATCTGCAAATTATGATAAAACTTATACTGCTCATCAATCATCCATATATATGTCAAGAACTATAGTATGAAAGAAGAGCCAAGAAAAGAATTTTCAAGAAATTTCCACATCAAGGTGACTATGCATGTATAATCCAATGCTCTCCTCCATGTCCCTTCAAGCTATGATTTTCAATGTATTCTTTTTCTCCCATTAAATTTCATCTGTCACTAGCATTTATCAATGACAACTCAATATCTCATAAGATGTCTGGCTACCTGCCAGGCAGTGTTTGGCAATGTTACAAAATTTCTCCTCTGTACACTCTCATTCAGAGAAGATCAACTAAGATCTAACCATAAAACTAAGGGCAAAGCATAGTGATTCAGAGCACATATTTTGTCCCTGAGACCTAGGTTCAAATTTCACTTGCGTCACTTACTAACTATACTTTGGACAAATCATTTAATTTCCCTAAGTCCAAGTTTCCCCATTTGTAAACTGAGCACATTACTACTACTTTGCCCAACTGTTTGAATATGACAATGTGTATAACACTGGTATATAATAAAGCATTCAATAAATGCTATTAAAATTACTTTTTAAATATCTAAGACTAACTATATAGGATGGATTTGGCTTACTAGATGATTTGGAATCTGTCTTACACTTCCTTCCCTAAGATCACACATTAGAAAAGTTATTCAGGGACTGTTACTTCTATTTAACTCTTCTGAACAGTGTAATAATGTCATTCTTCCCTCCAGTTTCCTTCAGGAAACATGCTCTTAGAGACTGTACAAGGCAGTAGAAGTTATTGGCAGACAGGAAGATCTGGGCACAGCCAGCTACACACCAGTTAAGCCCATGTCTTAGAACATAAGCAAGGTTTCTCTGGGTTCCAAAAGGTGGTGAAAAAGCTGCACTCCAAGGGCCATCCCACACCATTCTTCCTTCCACCTCGGGGAGCAGGAATGGAAAGCAGCTAACTACCTCTGTCCAGCATAGCTGAGGCTGAAGAAAATACCATCTAATATTTACCACTTGGCATTTCATTGTGAATCTGCTTTGGAAGTCAGGAAATGAGTAGAAAAATAAAGAAAAAAAAGTAGAGATGGAAAAGTCCCTTTGGAGTCAGCTTCTCCTGAGAATCAAACAGGGACCTGGAGCTCACTCCTTGAACAGAGGCCTTCTCTGTATCCTAGATTCCAGGAAGTGTGCAAAGCACTTTACAAATCCTCACAACCACCCTTGTAATTCTCTTTATCTTAGAGATAAGGACCTGAGGTATAGAAAAGTCAGACAACTTGTCCTAAACCACATAGCCAGTAAATGGCAGAGCCAGACTTGGACTTTGCCACTATCAAGATATTAATGAGAAATTTACCTAGAGACAATTTGAAAAGGAACAAACAGAGAAAAAATAAGAGTATAGATTGAGAAGCTCTAGTATATGCATATAAGTAGCTCCAAAAGAACAGATTGGAGGAAATAGTGAAGCAGCAGTATTTGAGATTACAGCTAGGAATGTCCCACAATTGAAGAATAATATCAGTGCTCACATCAAAAGTATACTATGTGCACTGAACATGTAGATACATAAAGATAAATCTACACCTTGACAATTACAATATACCTAGGTCTTACTAATAAAGGAAAAGTGTACGGCTTCCAAACCAAGAGACAGAAAAACATGAATACTAAAACTTTACCAGTTGAAACTGTATCAATTAGAAAAGCAGGAAAGGAGGAAAAAAATGAAAAAGATACTAAACAGAAAGCAAGATTTATTAAGTCAAACTTTATGAAATTGTCATTTTCGTAGGTCAAAAGTGGTTGAATATCAATTTCATATGGTTCAACCTAAAAGAAGTTCAAATATATCAAGTCATAATACATGTAGATCAAGTCATAATATACACAAAAGTCATCTATTAAAAACCAAAGATTAAATTTAAAATACAAAGTCCCAGCCTGGGCAACGTGGCGTGAGACCCCCATCTCTACAAAACGTTTAAAAAATTAGCCGAGTGTAGTGGTGTGTACCTGTAGTCCTTGTTACTCGGGAGGCTGAGGTCGGATGATTGTTTGAGCCCAGGAGGTTGAGGCTGCAGTCAGCTGTGACTGTGCCACTGCACTCCAGTCTGGGCAACAGAGCAAGACCCTGTCTCTCAAAAATATATATGTGTGTATATACAGAGTGAGAGTCCCTTCAATGGTAGGCTGCCTATGAACATGAGCACGAGAGAAGCAAAAAATTAAATAAATAAATGGTAGGCTGTCATTTAAAAGAAAAAAAAAGTCCAGCCATCTAGTACAAATACACCTAAAACAAAGTCCTTTCCTACCCCAAGATCATAAAGATATTTTCTCCTATGTGATCTTTTAGGGCTTTGCTGGTTTGCCTTCACATTTATTTCAGGTAATACATATAAAATTGATTTTTCTGTATGATGTGAGGTAAAGATGCAGTTTCAGTTTTGTCTTGAATTATATCAAGTTGACCCAGCGTCATTCATTTGTTCATTTTTTAGAAGATCATCCTTCTCCTACTGCCACATAGTGCCACCGTTGTCCTAAACCAAGTGTTCAAGTATGTACAGAACTGGTCATGAACTCGCTATTGTGTTCCACTGATCTGCTTGTCTATCCTTGCAACGATACCACATTATCTTAATTATTACAGTTTTCTAAGAAATCTTAATAATTCTATAAGAATGTCTAGCTCTTCCAGGTCTTTGCATTTCCAGTCACATTTGAGAATCAACTTGTCAAATTACACATGTATACGTGGTTATGATTGGCACTGCATCAAACCTACTAATGAATGTAGAAAGAACCAACATCTTTATAATATTAAGGAGTCTGACCCCATGAATGTGGGATAGTTCTCCATTTATTTAGGTATTTAATTTTTCTTTGCTTTAGAATTTACTCTGAAGAGCCTTTCTTGGATATTTGATATTTTCAGACTACATTATAAGTAATATTTAAAATTGTTTTATTTTCTAGCTTTTGTAAGAAAACAACATATAGAAATGTAACGTATTTTTCTTTTTAATATAGACCTTAAAACCTTCAACCTTACTGAATATTTTTTTTCTTTTTTTTTGAGGCAGAGTCTCACACTGTCACCGAGGCTGGAGTGCAGTGTGGTGTAATCATGGCTCACTGCAATCTCGAACTCCTGAGCTCAAGTTATCCTTCTGCCTCAGCCTCCTGAGCAGCTGGGACTATAGGCATGCACCACTGTGTCCAGCTAGTTATTTAATTTTTTTGTAGAGATGGGGTCTCATCAATGTTGCTCAGGCTGGTCTTGAATTCCTGGACTCAAGCAATCTTCCTGCTTCAGGTGCCCAAAGTGCTAGGGTTACAGGTGTGAGTCACCGTGACCGGTCTCTAAACACTTTTTTATTCTAATCCTCTAATTCTTTTGGATTTTTGTTATACACAATCATGTCAACTGCAAATAATAAAATTTTAATGAACTTCTTAAAGTAATAAATTTTAATAAATTTTAATTCCTCTCTTCCAGTCCTCATAACAGTGAGTTCTTTTGCTTGCCTCCTTACACTGGCTAAGACCTCCAGTAAGACACTGAACAGAAGTGGTGTTAACAGGCATCTGTGTCATGTTCCAGATCTCAAAGGGAAAGCTTACAACATTATTATTAAATATAGATATTTGCTGGGAGGGTTTTGTTTTTCTAGAAATCTTTTGTCAGATTAAAGAAGTTCCCTTCTATTCTAGTTTGCTAAGGGGTTTTATCATGACAGTGACAAATTTTATCAAATGTTTTTCCTGTATCTAATGAAATGATCACATAACTTATCGCCTGTTTTCCTATAAATGTGGTGAATCTAAATGATCTTCAAATCCTAAACCAACTTCACATGTCTGGAATAAACCAATTTATTTTTAATGTATCATTTATTCTATATATTGCTGGATTTCACTTATAAATCTGCATCTGTATCGAGACTACTGGTCTGTAATATTTCTTTGTTGTAATAACCTTGTCAGATTTTCATATCAAGATCATGCTGATTTCATGAAATAAGTTTGATATGTTGCTTCATTTTCATTGGCAAAGCCATCTATGCCTGGAAGTCTGTGTTTATGTCTAACTGTGTGAATGTCTGTGTGTAAAGATTTTTTTTTTTCTTCGAGATGGTCTCTCTCTGTTGCTCAGGCTGGAGTGCAGTGGTGTGATCTGGGCTCACTACAAGCTCCGCCTCCCCGGCTCATGCCATTCTTCTGCCTCAGCCTCCTGAGTAGCTGGGACTACAGGTGCGTGCCACCACGCCTGGCTAATTTTTTGTAGTTTTAGTAGAGACAGGGTTTCACCATGTTAGCTAGGATGGTCTTGATCTCCTGACCTCATGATCCGCCCACCTCGGCCTCCCATAGTGCTGGGATTACAGGCGTGAGTCAGTGCGCCCGGCTGTGTGTAATGCTTTTAAATAATTAATTCTACTTAATAGCTATAGAACTTATACTTTCTTTTCTCTGATGTCAATTTTACTAAGTTATATTTTTCTAGGAACTACTAATTTCATCTAAATTTTAAAAAATTGGGATTTTATAATATTCACTTATAATCTTATCTTTACGTCATTGTGGTAAGAACACTTACCATGAGATCTACCTTTTTAATAGGTTTTTAAGGGTACAATGCAGCATTGTTATCTACAGGCACAATACTGTATAGCAGGTATCTAGTCCTTATTCATCTTGCATAACTGAAACTTTATGCCCACTAATCAGCATCTCCTCATTTCTCCCCTGCCACCGGACCCTGGCAACTACTATTCTACACCCTGCCTCTACGAGTTTGACTATTTTAAAAAACCTCATATAATCTACATATAATCTTTCAAACGTCTGCAAGATGTGTAGGGATGCTGTCTTTTTCATACCATTATCTGCTATTTAGGAGAGCGTTTTTTGATTTTGTTGATTTTTTTCCAAAGAACTTTCAGCTTTGTTGAGCCTCTATACTCGATGTTTGTATTCTACTTTATAATTTCTCATCTTTGTGATATATTATCTTTTAAGGTCTGGATCTGTAATGACGCCACCTTTTATGGATTTGTGACTCTCTTATTTTCTTGATTAGTCAATTTTATCATTTTTTAATCATTTTTTCCCATGAACTTTTGACTTTGCTGTTCCTCTACTGTACGTTTTTATTTCCTAAGTTTCCAAGTTTTAAGTTTCCACTCTTCCTTCTACTTATTCTCTTTAATGTGTTCCTTTTCTAATTTCTTAAGATGGTTAGTTCAGTAACTTTCCATCTTCTTTTTAAAAAAGTCATATGCATTTAAAGGTATATATTATCACCTAAGCATGGAATTAGCTACATTTCACAAGTTTTGATATGCAGCATTCACATCATCAACTTTGATAACATATTTTCTTCCTTAGTGCACTTAATGCCTAGCTAACAGGAGCTACAAAAAGGGAAAGTAGACAAATGAAACATGTAATGAACCTGTCCATAATAACAATGCATATTATGGGCCAGATCTCACACCTTTAATACCACAACCACACAATTTACTTGACTTTAAGGATATTGGTACGATATGCCTTTAGGTCTAACTACCAATTCACAGGACAGGGAACTGAAGAACATGTTCAAATGACACCACAGTGATGCAGTCAGCAAAATGTAGGCTGAGAAAAGATGTAAGGCATTCTACCTGGATTCTTCAAATAATAAACTGTAAGGAAAAAAAACAGAGAAGGAACCTACAGACTAAAAGAGACTTAAGAGAATATCCACCAGCTGCAATTTTGATCCTGACACCTACGCTATAAAAAAAGAAATATATATGTCATAACTAGGGAAGTTGGAATATTAACTGGGTATTTTATGATATGAAAGTATCATTGTTTATGTTATTTTTAGGGGTGAAAATGGTATAATCATTTTTATTTTTCTTTTCTATGAGTCCTTATCTTTCAGAGCTACATATTGAAATATTTAGAAATGTTTTGTCTTTGCTTGGGGCTGGAGAATATGCTTCTAATCTTACTTCTTTGGTTGTTCACAAAAAGCCATAAACCACACGGGTGTCGACATAGGGCTGCACCTATTGTGTCCAGGGGCTTATCCCAGAGCAAATGATCACAGCAAGAGTAAAAGACCAACATGAAAGCCACAGCATATTTGATAACATAATATTGAAGGAGATACTCCATTTTACTTGCACCATGTTCTATTGCTCACACAGACCAATCTTAGTGCAAGATGGAGACTACAAAGAGGTGTCAATACCAGGAGGCAAAGATTGTTGACGGACATCTCAGAGGGTATAAGAATTCGTAAGACAAAACTGTTAGGAATTGTTGAAGCTGGGTGGTAAATACAAGAGGGTTCATTACATTATTATCTCTATTTTTGTATACATTTGAAATTTTCCATAATAAAAAGTCTTCTAAAACTTTTTTTTTTTAAAAAAGGTTATCAGTCCAGAGATAGAGTGAAGATATAAAAAGGCTACTCAGTGGTAGTAGTGACTCTGCGCTACCTCCTAGGCAGCCCAGTCCCACAGAGACCCAGCAGTTGGCCAGAAGGACTGTGTATTGGCAGCTTTCACAAAAGTGGACTTCGTCAAGTCTGAAGAGTCTTCAAGTGTGAAACTTGGTGCACAAGCATTTGTATCACACCATTTCAACACTATTCCTAATATCATAAAGCTGTTCAATGTCCAAAAACTGGTGACTTACAATGCACTTAAAAGGCACTCATTAATAAAAGTATCTTCAAAAACCACATAAAGACAAAAAGACATAAATATTTAATAAAATGTGTTAAGAGTGGTGATATACTTAGGGGGGTTATTAAAATGACAAAAACAATTCTACCAGAAACAATAATAGTTGATTGAGGCTCTTGAAGTAAATGTAAGGTTGTTTATAATACAGGCATCATTTTAACTGTAGACTGTGGAGAGTCTATAGTTTTCTTCAACAATGTTTAAATTTTCAGGAAAGCAAATGGTTTGTGAAAAATCTTTACAAATTAAGCTTCTCTTGACTGATCTCCACTTAATCAACTTGCCAGATAAAGAGATACTCTTCATCTCCTTGGTTTAATTTTTACATGCACAATATTCAACAGTTACCTTATTATGACTTATTCATGGCTAAGCCATGTAGTAGTAAACTATGATTACTTTTGTTTTCTCTGAACAATTTTTTTAAAGTTTTCCCTGAAGGTAATGCTCATTTAATTTTTTTCTTACTATGGTTTTCTATGTATTTCAATCCCAAACTTCCTATCAATTGTCTAAATCTACTCTAGACATTCAGCCATATCAGGTGTAACTTCAATGGTATCTTTTTGAAGTCTCTTCTGGAATTTTCTCACTGGCTCCATCTGGGCTGGTCGCCTCTGCCTGTGCAACTCTCACTCAGGCTCTCCCTTCATCACCTTCTGGTCATTCTCACCATTTCTTACACAAGCTGAATCTCCTGTTTTTTACATTCTATGTCTCTCTTGTCCTTGGTTTATTTAAAACCAAGGTTTTAAATGGTAGCGTCCTATCTCTAGTAACTTCCTGAGAATGGATGCTTGGGAGTTCAATGTTTTGAGATCTTGCATGTCCAAAAATATCCTTATTTAACCTGTGCACTTTATTGCAAGTTTGGCTGAATATAAGATTTTAGATTGGAAATTATTTTCCTTTAGAATTTTGCTCCTTTGTTTCTAGAGTTGCTGAGAAGTCTGAAGGCATTCTGATTAATAACCTTTTGATTGTGACCTTCTTTCGCCTCTTAAGAAACCTGTAAAAGGTCTTTTTTCCCCCCTGGGGGTTGAAATCCTCAGTGTTCTGAAAGTCACAATGTCTTGGAGTACAGTCTATTTTCATCTATTGTCCCAAAAAGTTGGTGGGCTCTTTCAATTTGAAAATTTGTGCAGTTCAGTTATGGAAAATTTTGTGGATAAATTTTCTCTTCCCTATTTTTAAAATTCTTTTTGAGACTCCTATTATTAAAATATTGGATTTCTTGATTGTTATTTCAATGTTCATATAATTTTACTGTTGTCCATCTCTTTGGTGCATTTTTCTTTATTTTCAAAAGCTCTTTCTGGTTCTCTCAGTGTATCTTTTGAATAATATCCTATTCTCATTTTATGGTTGTAATATATTCTCTATTTTGTTGAGGTTATTAGTTATTTCTCTTTATGTGTTCTACCTTAATAGTTTTTGTTTCCTCAAAGTTGCTTTTCTCTGTTTGTTGAGGGTTTCCTGAGATGTCTAGTATTCCTTGCTTACCTATTTGTTATTAAGAATGGAAGACCAAGAGGCTGAATATGAGGCCTAAACACATGAGTAGGACTCAATGACTATGAGTTTCCATAAGGGTGATCAGGCTGTGCCATTAAGTTGGAAACTTTCCCAAGTCAATCAGCACTAAAGTGCAATTTGTTGGAAATTCAGCACATACTTTTCATTCATATACTATCAGGACCACACTAGGTACTTACCCTTCTCTCTAGGCCTATCCAATTCTGATGAGAAAGATCTTCCAGTCTCTTCTCTGGAGGAGGCAAGCTTGGCTGCCAGCATCAATGAGAGCAAGGAGTTTAGGGGGCCTCAGCACAGAATGTACATGTTCACTTACTCTACCTATTTTCTGTATAGTTTGCTTGCTTTTAACTGGGCCTATGGTACTCTAGTACCTTGTATTACCTTCTTCTTATGGAGCAACTAGACATCTAACTAATATATTGCTGATAGGAGTGTAAATTGGTATAAACATTTTGGGAAAATATTTGGTAGCACATGCTAATGCTATATAAATGCATAACCTATTCCTTTCTCTAGTACATAGCATACGGTAATGGGCACTTAAGTCCTCCAAAAGACATGAACAAGAATGTCACAATAGCTTTATTTATAGGGGTCAAAAAGTAGAAATAATCCAAAGGTCTATCAATGTATAAATAAACAATGGCATATTCATATTACAAATCACTATTTGCAGTAGAAAAGAATAAAATTCTGATACATGCAACAATATGAATCTTAAAGGCACAAAAAATGGTGTGGATCCATCATAAAAAGTTCAAAAAGAGACAAAACTAATCTATGTTTAGAGAGGTCAATATAACGGCTGCCTCTGGGGATGTAAGTAATGACTACAAAAAACATAAGGAGACTTTCAGGGGTGATGGGATCATTCTATGTCTTGATTTGGCTGATGGTTACACAGGTGTATACATAGCAAAAAATTCAGTGAGCTGTATACTTACGACTGTGTATTTCACTGTTTCAAGTTACATACAACTTAAATCTTTTTGTAAAAAGTTGAGTATGTGAGTATTTTGGTAATAATAAAGTTTAAAATCCCCTTCTAATCCATTAAGATAAATAATTATCTTCCAATGCCTGAAATACATAGTGCTAATAATCAGTAGAAGCTTGAGATATTATTTCTATCAGCATTTAATTATTTTCTAAGTGGGGTAAGTAGTAACATAGTGATATAACATTTGCCTTAAGAACAATCAGCACTCAAGTGCAATTTACTGAAAATTCAGAATATACTTTTCATTCACATACTATCAGGACCACAGTAAGTACTTACCCTTCTAACCTAACATCTGGTAAAGATCTGTTGAGTGCAATCATCTCACTTGCCATTAAATTGAACTGATTGATTTTAAACATCTCTTTCATCTTTTCTTGATCCTCTTTAGGAATGACGACTGGTTTCCCCATTTCTCCAGGACCTTCATGAGGCTTTTGTACTGGCTCTAGAACTAAGAATAGGAAGAAACTTAACTAACATTAATTTCATAGCAATTGATTGATTCATGATTCTATTTAATAACATTTGTGTTTGAACTGTGCCCTCAACAACCAGAACCCTTTCTGAGCCCACCCTCTCCTAGGCTGTTAACCCTTTCAAGGGGCTGTCTTGTCCTCTACCTCCACACCAGTGTCCTGACTCAAGACTTCGTCACCTTGCCCCACTCACCTGAGTCACTGCATGGTGTTGGCTCCCAACTCAAAAACTACTGCCACACTGATCTCCTTAAAGTGCAGCCTTCATTGTTATTCTTATGGCCTCCTAGAGTCCAACCTCTGTAATGGGGAATTGAACCTAATTTTCCAAAACTATCACCTGCTAGACCTTTTCCTCCCATCCCACAGTACTTCATCTTGCAGTCAAACAGCCACCCACTGCCTTCCTTCCAACGTGCCTCACATTCTCCTGCTTCCATGCCTTTGCTCACATCCCCTCACGGCTTCCATCGCTGCAACACCAAATCCCTATTTGCCTTCCCATGCCCAACTAAAATGGCTTCTCTTCCCTGTAGCTTTTCTGAATCTCTCTATAGTGGTTATTTACTAGTCTTGACTATCACATTATTTCATTCAGGGTTCTTATGTCTCTAACCAATTGCTATCTCTCATTATAATGATTGTCAAACCTGTCTTATGTACCCCTCCCATTAGAACAAGAATTCTCATCAAAAGTAATGTTATCTCTTGATACAGACATAAAAAGAGCAATGTGCCTGATCAGCACTTCCCAAACTTTCTTCCTTATGTTTTTGAGACGTTAATAAATGTCCAAGAAAAACAGGTTCTGGGATATATTAAATTTGGAAGGTGCTATGTTAAACTTCTCATCTATAAGGGATGGCTAAAGAATGAGGTGAGGTCAAAAATGGGATGAAAATATATTTTATGCATTACTTATTTTAAAATCTAAAGTTTTATTCTCTTGTAGATTGTTTTTTAGGCATCCTCAAAACATTTCTAAACAAAAAATAGTGGCATCAAGGCAGCAGAAAAGCCATCTCTCTTCAGTCAGGCTTCATCTGTACAAGAACAGGACGAGCTGGTAAAGCTGACTTTAGGGTGATTGTTTCAGCCAGTGGTACAAAGCCACCTACCAATACCAGAGCTGCAGGATATGAAACTATTCACTGTGTCCTCAACCACGTCCAGAATTTAAAAATAGATTTCAGAAAATGATGATGAAAAAAGTGTGCATTAGTTTTCCCCTGTTCTCAGGATAAATTGGGATTTTATGTGGAACATTAAAATAGTAGAAAATTACTTTAAAAATTATAGGAAACTCAAGTAACATAGTTTTTAAAAACAAGTCCTGCCTAATGTTTGCCCAGTAAGTAAGCTCCTTAAATATGAGAGTTGGTAGAGTTTTTAAAAATTCTCAATGACAAAAATCATCAACAAGTGTAGTAAAAACTATAAGTACAGAAGTGTAATACTCCATATAAAATCAGCCTTTAAAGCTTTAAAAATCAAATACTGTTAAACTCGTATAGTCATTTCTACTTGCCAGTCTCTGAAAGTAAAGAACAACCAACAGATTTTGAGATTGGTACATCAGTGGTCAAAAGGAACCGGCAGAGTTCTGAAGGTGACAAAAATCTTTTGTGGATGGCACAGATAACATAAAGAGTAGGTGGGAGACATCTAGTGGCCCTGATTATAAATATCCTTCTGTTACCCATGCTCTATTTTAGTATAAAATGCTTTATAGAAAAATCAAAATAGAAACGTTTTCATGCTGCTCAGTTTTTAAATGAAGAGTATTAACATATACATATACCATCTGTGTTTTTACTAGGGGGAAAAAGATCCTCAACCTGATCAAGCCTCTAGACCTAATTTACAGGAAATATACGGGACAAAGGGACATGGCATGCACCATTAAAGGGATGCAAATCCAGACTGCAGGAAACTGGAAAAGAGAAATACCTCAATTTCTTCTTCAACAACAAACAAAACAGGTCTGAGGGAGACAAAGAGAAAGAGGTATCCATGCCACAAAACTAGCCATGAGTTGACAACTCTTGAAGCCAGATGATGGATACATGAGAGTTTAATTTTTTTTTTTTGATTTTTTTTTTTAAGACAGAGTCTCGCTCTGTCACCCAAACTAGAGTGCAGTGGTGCAATCTTGGCTCACTGCAACCTTTGTCTCCCAGATTCAAGCGAATTGTCCTGTCTCAGCCTCTCCAGTAGCTGGTATTACAGACACGCGCCACCATATCTGGCTAATTTTTGTATTTTCAGTAGAAATGGGGTTTCACCATGTTGGCCAGGCTGGTCTTGAACTTCTGACCTCAGGTGATCTGCCCACCTTGGCCTCCCAAAGTGCTGGGATTACAGGTGTGAGCCACCGCTCCCAGCCATGATTTTCTATTCTCTCTACTTTTGTTTCTGTTTGAGAATTTCCATGGTGGAGGGGGGCATTAAGGAGGACTGGAGAAATTATTACTATAAATACTACAAAATATAAACTTAATTGCTTATTACACATGAAATTATATAACCAGAAGCTTAAAGTTGGTTTTGAGATCTTAAAGAATCAGGCAAAAATGTACAGCATATACAATCCTGCTGATGCACTATTTTGCACATTTCATCACCTGATATTTATTAATCTGAAAATCTAACATAGTGCCTGCATTATGTACTCTAACCTACTGTTACATATGAAATTTCAGAGCCACATTTAAAATTATCATTAATCAAAAGTTACATGTCTACTGAATGATTTAGAGAATGCACCACAATACTCTAATTATTAATAAGAAAATACAATATCCTACAGAATTAAATGGACTATTAAACTAATTTTCTTGGCAAACGAGTTTGGATGAAATGCATGTGGTTAGTGAATATATGTTACTATTAATGCATTTATAGCATTAGAAAGCAACTAAAAAGATGGTAAGTATAAACTTTCCATGTTCTCTACTGCCAGTCTTCTATGTGTATTAAAAGTAGGTTCTGTGAAAATTTTATTAGAAAGAAACTGAAATGAGTTTGGATGTCATTTCATGAACTAAAGAAAATATCTTTGCATAAAATTCTACATGCAGCTCATTTCTAAGAATCAAATCACTTTGACAAGGGAGGGACAAAGGTGTTATTCCAAAGTATTATGTGAGAACAAACATATTTTATTATATACTTCAGTTAAGTTTCATTTACATGACACTGTAGATAAGTATCATGTTTTAGAAAAGGTAATTACCAAGAAAACTACAGGTTCACTCTGAAAGCCCCCAAATAAGATTAACATACACAAACCACTGGCATGCCTTTGAATACACTTTAAGGATATTTTTCAAATTTCTTATGTGTGTTTCTCTCAGGAAAGTAGACTAAAGTTATATGACTTCTTTTTGGGGTAAATATACTAATAAAAGGCTAAAATCATTTCTCCCAAACTATTTTCTGATCTTACTACACAATTAACATTTTTACTGTCCTTATGCACTATATTCACTATTTCAAAATGTTTCCTACTATATTTTAACATTTCTGAAATTGGAATGTGGCTCACAATGGTAACTGGAATGTTATCACTTTTACGGTGGTATACAGAATATTCTATAAACAAAGGTATGTAAGATGCAATAAAATGCAGTACACTATCTGATTTTTTAAACATCAAAATATCATCTATACCTTAACTCACTGGTAACTTTCTGCTACTTCAACATCCTTGTCAATTTCCAATTTCATGTTCAATTTACCTGCGCTGCATATATAAAAATCAACACTTAAAAATTTGTTATAAAGTTATTATAGCCTTTACTAGTAATATTTTAAAGTTTTTTATCATTGTAAGTTTTTTCCATAAACCATGTTCTCCAAGGCTTCCTAATGTTCAACAGTTGAAATAATTCCAGCATAAGTACATGAAAAGTTAAATCATTAATATTTTAATGATCTGAAAATGCAGTACTGACATGAAGAATCAATTACTACTTGAAACTGCATCTTTAAAAATACTGAACACTCTATATAACACCCAAATCCATAAAGTGGATAAATGGGCTAATTCTGGAAAGCAGAAGAGTGTAAAAATATTCCTAGGCCATAACCCCCACTACCCGTATTCTTTCAAGGGAGCCCAATCTAACTCTAGCAGCAGCAGAACTCTGCTATTTTCAGATAGCCTCAGGTATAAAATACAAGTATAGACTTAAGAGAACGACTCAGAAAAAACAAACCCCTCTGGAGTCACCAAAGACTCACTATTCCTTGAAGCAGGCAAGTAACAAGTAAATAGAAGAATCTTAGAAAACTCTTAAGTACAGCATATCAACAACAATGTTACAGGAAGTCTTCAGCATTATCACAATGACATCAATCCATTCTATTCAAACCTAGGAAAACTTTTTTCACAGCAGAGACAGTAAAATTTGCTAAATTTCACCGAAATCAGAGCTGTAAAGCAGAACGTTCAGAAATTAGGTACTTCCAATATGAAAAAGTCACTCTGGAGTGTAATACTGCTCAATGCTTTTTGTTGTTTTGTTTTGGTTGTTTGTTTTAAAACAAAGATCCAGGAGGCCCTATGTGTTCTATTAAGAGAGACTTTGATGCCAGGCACAGCAGCTCACTCCTGTAATCCCAGCACTTTGGGAGGCTGAAACAGGCAGATCACCTGAGGTCAGGAGTTTGAGACCAGCCTGGTCAACATGGTGAAACTCCGTCTCTACTAAAAATACAAAAATTAGCTGGGCATGGTGGCGGGTGCCTGTAATCCCAGCAACTCGGGAGGCTGGGACAGGAGAATCGCTTGAACCCAGGAGACGGAGGTTGCAGTGAGCTGAGATCACGCCATTGCACTCCAGCCTGGGTGACAGAGTAAGACTCTGTCTTTAAAAAAAAAAAAAAAAAGAGAAACTTTGAGGTCACATAATGTACATGCTAATTCCACTAGAAAGTTGGCATCCTTGGTGCCATTACCCATTCCCTCTCCCTGATCCTCTTTAGTAAACATCTCTTCAAATGCACCACAGAAATTTGTCACTAGCAGAACCTTAACAACCTCTGGGCTCTGAAAAGACTTAAGACCTCTCAGCACCTACTGCACTGAAACTTCATATCAAAGCAGATTTTTCAAACTGTTGCTTATTAGCATCAACTGTGCTCTTCCCCTAATCATTTCTTCCCTTAAGACTACCAGGGACCTCAAAGATTATCTCCCCTTAGCTATGTACTTCCCCTCCAGCCTACGGCTCAGCCCTTCCCTCACGCTTGGAGGTCCTTCTCAGTCTGTCCCCTGAACACCCTGACACCCCCAGGCTGTTGTAAAGCCTCTCCACTGTCTGGTCTCCACAATACACAGGCTCCATCTACAGACTTAACTGAAGTCTAGCTCTCCTCCAGAGTCCATTTAACCTCACAACTGTTTCTGGGAGAATGATTCGTTCTCCTTTCCTCCAGAGGCAAGGAGGCCATCTCATACCTCCGTTACTTTCAGACTTTTGCTCCTTTAGCTTGTACTTTTGTACAAAACCCAGTCTTTTTCTTTGAAACTTATGCCACTAGTGGTTGTCAAAACTATAATAACCTGTGGATGCTCTTTGAGGAGAATCCTTTTCACGTTTCTGATACCCCACTGTCTCATCTGCTGAGAATTTGTTCTTTCAAGTATTCCTCCTTTCCCCTATAGTTTAAACCTCTTCCTGAACATACATAAATAATAATAAATACATAGAAAACCAACTTCGGCTCCATTTCTCTCTTGTAACTACCGTATACTACATGCTTCCCTTCATGCTGAAGCTTCCTAAAGAACAGCCACATCCCTACTGTTTCTCCAGTATATTGAATCCAGAATCCACTGACTTCCACAGTTACCATTCCCTGAAATGACACTTGCCAGGGTCACAAGAAGCCCCATACCAAACTATCAGAAACACTTTATTTTAGGTAAAACCTCTGAGCAAATGCCACCCTTGGCTGGGCTTCTATGACCTACTCCTTGGGGCTTTTCATTCCACTCTGACTTCCTGGGAAGCCTTCTCTTCCTTCAGTGACCCTCCAGGAGGGGCTCTCCAACAGGGAGTCTGTGTCTTCCAACTCTACACATACCATGCACAGCCTCAGGTACAGAAAAGACTTAAACTACCATCTATTTTCTCCATCTCGACCATTCTCTACTGCAGAACATCGCTACCAGTTCCTCAAAGTTAAATATTCCAAACTCAGGTTGGGTGCGGTTGTTCACACCTGTAATCCCAGCCCTTTGGGAGGCTGAGGCAGGTGGATCACCTGAGGTCAGGAGTTCGAGAACAACCTGGCAACATGGTGAAACCCCATCTCTGCTAAAATACAAAAATTAACTGGGTGTGGTGGCGTGCGCCTGTAACTGCAGGTACTCAAGAGGCTGAGGCAGGAGAATTGCTTGAATTCAGGAGGCAGAGGCAGCAGTGAGCCGAGATTGTGCCACTGCACTCCAGCCTTGGTGACAGAGCGACATTCCATCTCATTCATGAATAAATAAATAAGAAAAATGAAAAAAAAAATTCCAAACTCAACTTCATGCATCCACCTTTTCATCAAAGCTGCTCCTCTTCTAAGGAGCATCAATTCGTCCAACCATGGAGACATGAAAGCCACCTTAGACTTTTCTCTTTCTCTTATTCCCTACATTCGATGGCCCCCCAGGTTATGTAAACTCCACTACTTAAATGCTTTTCATACATATTTATTTCCTCTCCATCTCCAGTGTCATTTTAGTGTCTGTTCCAAGCTCTTTTCCAAACTCTCACAACAGTCTCAGACTGGTATCTGCTACCTGCCTCGTCCTCTTCCAGTCCACCAGTTACATGACCACCAAAGCATTCTTCCAGAAGTCCAGGTCCGATCAGGCCTTACTCCCTTGTTTAAAGTGCTTCAGCGCCATGCCGCTGTCTACAGATGAAGTCCAAAACCCCTAGCATGCCATAAAAGGCCTTGTGTGACATGGCCTCTGCCACCTCCTGTGCTCTTGTTCTCCTATCAACTCGTTCTCACTTGCTAATCTTGCACATCCTTCTTTCCTTTGCTTGGAAGGTCTTCTCCTCTCCTAACAAACACCTGCTCAAGCTGATACTAAGCTGGAACATACTTCCTTATTGCAGCTTCTCAGACACCCCAAGGCATTCCTTCCTTTCTACTCTTGTGCACATTCCTAAAGTGATATTTATTACGCTGATATTTACTATTGTTATTTCTATTCCATTAGACTGTGAGTTCCCTGAAGGGAGGAATTTTGTCTTATTTTTTTGTTCAGCTGTGTATCAACAGCACCTAGTACCTTGCCCAGCACATATAAAAGTCAAAAAAAATTCAAGTGAATCTACACATGCTATAGAGCCTATTCTTTCTCACTGTCAAGTCTTTACATTTAAGATAGAACACCATGAGCTTATTATAAATGGCAATGAATTAAGGTAGGGTGAGGGGAAATTTATTCCATTCTATTTGGGAAAAGAATACTCAAGTTTCTGACTGATGAATCGTAATACCTGTTCTTTGATTTAAACATAGACAGTATGAATACAGTTCTAGCAACAGTTAAGGTGGCAACATTTTGTCACCCAACAAAGATACTCAACAGCAGAGCTATAAAGTAAATATTATGCAAACTAATAGGCTGACTTTGGATGAAAAATGTATTAAAACATTTGGAAAAAGTGAAAATTTAAGTTAGGAATTAGCCTAGGCATTACTGGAATTCAGTGCTAGCAACTAAGCCTAATTTTAGGCAGATTTCCCAAGAAGATATAAATAGAACCAGTTATGTAAGCCCACATATAACAATTAAAGTTAAGTTGGTACAGTTAACAATACAAATCAATATTTTTTTTCTATTGTAAATTTTGGGGGACCAAAGGCCCTTCTCATCATAAAAGTATAAAAAATTTAAATGTGGCTATATGCTTAAAGAAAACATGTTTAAAGAGTAATTATTTGTATATAATTTCTAAAAATAGTAGAACTGCTGTATAGCCATGTATTCTATAACTAATCACAGAGTTCAGAGCCCAGAACAACTGGATTACTGACTCTTGCAATGCAGTCATTTTCATTATGGTTAAAAACAAAAAAAAAAAAAAAGAATTTTTTAAAAAATGGCAACATTTGTTTGTTGAATAAAAGGAGTTTAAAACTGAATTTTCCAATGTCCTCTGCCAAAAATATCAGTACTACCTATTACCTCCCTCCTTTATATTTGTATATTTATTTCCTTTCCATACTAGATATTGCAATGATCTCACTGCAGCCTCTATTCTATCACCCAATCTTTTCAAAAAAGTTCTCCCTAAAAGTGCTAACTGCAGCTATCTAAAACATTAACAACAACAACAACAACTTCTACAGATCACATCTATCTATAAAAATTTCTTCCCCTTAGGAATGAGATGGGAGGGGAGGAGTAATCTCTTTTGATACCTTATAATGCAATTTTAATGCTCCACTCAGCATTTTGGCATTAGACTAATCTTCTGTACAATTTTGATATCCCAACTATGAGATACCCACATTATTTAGTAACATAAAGTAACTTACAGGAAATTAACTACACTAAATATTGAACACAAAAATCGAATTCAGCAATTCTATATATGATACTTTCATGCTTTTAACTGCTGGATGAACCCATTGGAGAACTATCAATATGATCCTCATATCTCCCACAGGAAGTCACAGACTACAGTTAATCTAAAAAAGTTAAAATTTTATATTATCCAAATTAGTTAGTAAAAACCAGTGATATAGTAGTTAAAACAGCTCTATTATAAAATGTCACTCACCATCTCCAGCAGGAAGTCCTCTCTCCTTTTTTTCATCACATTTGTTGCATTCACTGAAGTAAAGCAGCAGGAACATATCCAAGAGTACCCAAATCAAGGAGGTGGCTAGGACCACCTTGCAGTATGCAAATTTTCTCATGGCACTTTAAGTCAAATGCAAAATTTAAAAATATATATATATAAATATACAAAGATCATGAAAATTATTCCAATCCAGTTTCATCAGAAATCACGTTCATACCCTATAGAGAAAGAAAGGAAAAAAGATTAACTTAAAAATTCAGAACATCAAAAGTGAATTATAAAATTAATTTAATATTATAAACATTAAGTAATATGAATTATTAATTTCATTAAGAATAAGAAATTTCACTATGAAGACTATGTTTGAAAATCAGACTTGGAAAAATGCTTATAAAATATATAAAGAGTATCAGGACTATATAAATAATTCCTACAAATCAATATACAACAATCCAATAGGAAAATAGGTAAAGGACATAAACAGGTACTTTGTAGAATGGAAACCTAAATAGCCAATAAACATGTAGAAAAGTGCTCAATTCCCTACAATTAGGAAATGCAAATTAAAACAACAGTGAGCTACTATTTCACACCCATCAAACACCTGGGTCTTAACTACCTTCCTACTCAACTGCTGTATTATACGTTAAGGTAAAAGTCAAGCTATTAATTACCATAGGGGGTTAGGCAACTAGTGATTCCCAGTGCATTTCAACTGTCCACATTCAGTACCCAGGCTCAAGAATTAATAGAGTTCTCCTTGTAGCCTGCACTACAGCAGCTTCCTGAGTTAACTCTCGTTCCTCTTTCACACTGAATCCCATTCTAAAACTGCAACAGTCACCAATCATTCAGGAAACAGATTCGTGGAAAGTATAATGGAAAAGAAAAGTATATGTCATAAGATCTGACATTTAGTCTTGGCTCTGACAATAATTTTATACACTTCCCTGATTTTTAGTTTCCATTTCCCACCCTACTACCTCCCTTTATTATGTTATACCATGATGAGAAAATGACTAGAGGAATGGTTACCAATTTTGAAAAGTCATTTGGGATAGTTTGAGCATAGGTGTCTTAAGCGTAAGGAATTCATCTTGGAGCATGATGAAGCAGCCTGAGAGACCTCAGAGAGGTAGAGAATCTCCTGCTCAGCAGCTGACTCTAAGGCTCAAAGCCTGTGTCACTGAAGACCAGGAGAAATATAAACCAAGTGCATTCCTATGAAGTGGAGTGAGGAAACAGAGTCTGCACTGTGTCTATGCTGAAAGCTACAAATGCAGATGCCCTGGAAGGACCAGAATGTGGGCAAGATAACAGCTTCTTACAAGGGCAACTTTATGCAACAAGTTCCATGGTGGCCAACAGAGATGCACTTACCTGAACAATTCAGGGCAGGCCTGTAGTTTATCCATGAAATATATACAGCAGTTCTTGCCTACTTCACAAGGTTGCTAGAGAGCAACCTGAGAAAACACTAAGTGATACTTATAAATGTAAAGTTATTATTTATGCTCATCTCTCTAGGGGCTTTGATCTCTTGCCTATATTCCTCCTTTCATCAAACCAATACTCCCTGACTGCAAGATGAAAACAAGGATGCTACTGTCATGTTCTTACCTCAAAATCATGCTTACTCAATACCTGATACTGGGTCACCTGTAGTGAGCAACTTACTGATAACTATGGTAACTGAGGTGAGGGGAGAACCTAAAGCATTAGAGTGCACAATGTCATGGAACAAAAGTTCTCACCAGATAAACTATATACATACATTTATATTTTGTGTTATTTCATATGAAAAGCTGCCTCTTTTGATCACTGGCAAAGCAGTCTGATTGCTGGTGCAACATCTGAATTTCAAATGTGGTTTTACGGTCTCTAAAATCCTATTTGAAAAAAATGCCTGCAGAATAGTTAAATGTAAGTATAACTTTTCATCTACTTCTACTTAAGTTTCGCAAGGGTGCACAATTAGCTTTTAAGATTGAAGGTGAAGTGCAGTGAAGAGGGAGTGTTTGGGAGAAGAGGGGTGTGTGGCACACCCTACATGGAGTATGGGGAGAAAGGAAGATAAAGGAGAGGCAAAAAATGATTCCCAGATTTAAGGCCAAGGTAACTAGCTAGACAGATGATGGTAATGCAACAATGAAAGGAAATACGGACTAAATCATCAGTTCAGTTAGTTCACACTGAATGTGAGGGGCCTCATGTCGAGGTGTCAATAGGCAGTCAGGGGAGTAACTGGGTCTGATGTGAAAAGGCAGGTTTGTTAGGCATACATACACAAGCAGCAGCTGGGGTTGGCAGAGGGGACGATGTGGCCGATGAAAATGGCAGAGAGAAAAAAGGGGGCTGAAACTCCAGGACACCCATCACCTTCCACATACTGCAGAAAACAGACCCCTCTGAGAGAGGCATGAAAAGTCAGAGGAAGGAAGGAGTATGGATAAACAATGTTAGACCCTCTATGAGGCTGAGATAACAAAGAAAGAATGTCCACAGGGTTTGGCTCTTAGGACGAGGCCACTGGTAATTTGGGGTTTCTATTACTGTTCCCCGCAAGGGAATGAGGTCACAGAAGGCTTGCTCATCTCTGTAAGCTTCTAAGAGAAAACTCTTAGAAAATGTCTTCTTTGAGATGTTTCTTTGAGATCATAACCGTACCAGGAAGAAATCTGGTGAAGAGCAAATAACATGTAAGGAACTTGATTTTTTTTACTTTGTTGTTTATGTTCAATAAAAAAAAAAAGGCTACTTATGTCTTTAGAAAATTGAAGATAAAGTTCCAAGTATGTTGCCACCAATGTTTGCAATTGTCATCAAAGATATAAGATGTAAAAGAATGAAAAAACATTTATTTAAATATGGCAGATAATTTTTCTTTCTAAAGAGTTGTTTAAAAGATTGTTAATTTGCACGACCCATTGCAGGTAAGATTCTAGTTTTCATATGTAATTAAATAATTATTACTTCAATTTGTTTAATGAAAGCTAGTACAATGTATTTAATGAAAGAATTGCTACCTTTATTGCCACCATTATTGTAAAGTTATTCCTTATTCTCCACTTACTAAGCAACTTTTGTGTGTCCTTCGCTGTCCTTAAAATGAAGGATAGAAAGAAAACCAAGTCCTTGTTCCAAAAGGCACACAAAGCTCAGTCAAAGAACAAATCAGCAGGTGGGGAAAAGAGTCAGAGCTGAAGAGAACTGTCCAACAACAAATTTCAGTCCTTTAAGAGACTACAGGACATCAAACCCCAAAGTAATATAGTAACAATGTCTTCAGACTTCATTATTTGATCCAAGAAACTCAAGGCCAATTTTATATTTTTGATATAATATTTTTCATTACTAGAAAAAATTAATATATTACAAAATCAGACTTTTAAAATTACATTTTGAAGTTTTTTTCCTCAAGGTAAAGGGGTGGTGGCAGTTTCTTTATAAAAATAGTTATGGTGCAAAATTATGAATGCATTGTTGAGTCATAAATCATATTTTTAGGTTCATGATAGCCATTAATAAGTAATATTAATATGATCTCCTTGTTCAGAAAGATTAGCCATAATCTAGGAAGCCTTGAAAAGGAATTTCACATTTGCCCCAGAGACCTTTAATAAGGTTCAGGAAACAAAAGAAGTTTTGTTGCGGGAAGTCAGGGACCCCGAACGGAGGGACCAGCTGAAGCCATGGCAGAAGAACATAAATTGTGAAGATTTCATGGACATTTATTAGTTCCCCAAATTAATACTTTTATAATTTCTTATGCCTGTCTTTACTGCAATCTCTGAACAAATTGTGAAGATTTCTTGGACACTTATCACTTCCCCAATCAATATTCTTGTGATTTCCTATGCCTGTCTTTGCTTTAATCTCTTAATCTCATCATCTTCTTAAGCTGAGAATGAATGTCGCCTCAGGACCCTGTGATGGTTGTGTTAACTGCACAAATTGTTTAAACAATATGAAATCTGGGCACCTTGAAAAAAGAACAGAGTAACAGTGATGTTCAGGGAACAAGGAAGATAACCTTAAAGTCTGGCTGCCTGTGGGCCGGGCGGAACAGAGCCATATTTCTCTCTTTCAAAAGCAAATAGGAGAAATATTGCTGAATTCTTTCTCTCAGCAAGGACCATCCCTGAGAAAGAGAATGGTTTCCCAAGGGGTCTCTGAAATGGCCGCTTTGGGAACGTCTGTCTTTTATGGTTGTAGATAAGGGATGAAATAAGCCCCGGTCTCCCGTAGCACTCCCAGGCTTATTAGGACGAGGAAATTCCCGCCTAGTAAATTTTGATCAGACCGGTTGTCTGCTCTCAAACCCTGTCTCCTGATAAGATGTTATCAATGACAATGTGTGCCCAAAACTTCATTAGCAATTTTAATTTCGCCACGATCCTGTGATCTCGCCCTGCCTCCATTTGCCTTGTGATATTTTTTAATACCTTGTGAAGCATGTGAACTCTGTGACCCACACCCTATTCGTACACTCCCTCCCCTTTTGGAAATCACTAATAAAAACTTGCTGGTTTTACGGCTCGGGGGCATCACGGAACCTGCTGACGTGATGTCTCCCCCAGACTCCCAGCTTTAAAATTTCTCTTTTGTACTCTCTCCGTTTATTTCTCAGACCGGAGGACACTTAGGGAAAATAGAAAAGGGCCCACATGAATATCAGGGCTGTGTTCCTCTGATAAAGTTTAAAGAACAAACATCCCACATTTTCCAGAGGCTGCTGGTGTTGCCTTCACCTGAGCAACTGCCCACTCTTCTAAGAGGAAAAGACTAACAACATCATCTGGGAATCTTCGGCACAGCAAAGGCACTGTCTGTCACAACAGACAACATTATTGGTGACAACAGTGCACCAGTGAGTGCTAACCTTAGCACTAAGCCAAGCCCTGCTCTCTACAACAGATCCACACATATACAGTCCATTGTTATGGAGAAATAACAGTTTTTTCAACAGTCCCAGAACAATTAGATATCCATATACAATAAAAACACAAATATTGGCCCATATCCTATACCACATACAAATATTAACTCAAATTTTTGAACTAGATCTGGAATAAAACAGAATAAAATCTTTTGAGACCCTGAGACCTTAGGCAAAGATTCCCTAGATAGAACAAAAAAGCACAAACCATTAAAAAAAATAAACTGGACTTCCTAACTAATCTTCAAAAGACACCATTAAGAAAATATCTGTTTATACTCAGGTGATACACCTTTATTGATTAAGCTAAAACTTCCAATTTTTCTTTGAAAGAAAATAAAGAGCAAGTCACAAATTTGGGAGAAAATATTTATAAGTCACATATCTGATAGACGACTAGTATCCGGAATATATAAAAAACTTTCAAAACACAGTAAGAAAACAAACAATCCAATAAAATAGGCAGAAGGTCTGAATTGTCACTTTACCAAAAAAGCCAAACACTTTTTTCAGATGGCAAATGAGTACATGAAAAGAAATTCAACATTAAATTAAAACCACAATGAAACACCACTATGAACTGATTAAAACAGCTAAAAGAAAAAAGAAAAACAACAAGTGCTGGAAAGGAATTGGAGCAACTGGAACTCTAATACGGTGCCAGTGGGAATGCAAAATGGTACAGCCTCTCTGGAAAACAGGGGAGTTTCTCCCCACAAGAATCTGTAATCCCGTTCCTATTTATTCAGGAGAAAGGAAAACATATCTGCACACAGCCCTGTATGCACATCTTTATAGCAGCCTACTTATAATCATCAATATCTGGAAACAATCCAAATGTCAATCATCTGATGAATGGATAAACAAATTGCACTATATTTATACAATGAAACACCACCCAGCAACCAGCAATAAATCAGATCAGCGGCTGCCAAGGGCTGAAAAAGGAATAGGGGATTGCCCATAAATGAATCTGTGGCAATGAAAACATTCCATAACTTTCTTGGGCTGGGGGTCATACAACTGTGTCCACTGTATAAACTTATACAACTGAACCTAAAATGATGAATTTTACTGTATATAAATTCAATCTCAATCAACTTAAAAATAAACAAACATGGGGGAGAGGATACCTCAAAGAAACAATGCCAGTTTTACAAAGAGAGAAACTGTTTTATGTTTTCTCAAAAGACACATACCAGAATTCATTTTGGAAGTAACTAAAAGTTGCTTATTTTGTCCCAACCACATAAGTTAAAACCTTCCATTTGAAATGCATTTAACTACTTATTTTTAAAGTTATAAAATTAGAGTTAATATCAAAGTATAGTGATTAATTACAGATGCTTCTCGACTTATGATGGGGTAATGTACCAATAAACCCATCATAAGTTGAAAACATCTTAAGTCGAAAGTCGAAAATGCCTTTAATACAACTAACCAACAGAACATTATAGCTTAGCCTAGCCTACCTTAAATGTGCTCAGAACACTTGCATTAGCATATAGTTGTGCAAAATCATCTAACACAAAGCTTATTTTACAATAAAGTGTTGAATATCTTATGCAATTTACTGAATACCATACTTACACATAAATTGTGATGGTTTTACACTCTCACAAAGTCAAAAAATCTTAAGTCAGGGCCCATTTGCATATCAGTAAACTTCTGATCCAATCCTCTCTCCCTCCCTCCCTCCCTTCCTTCCTTCCCTCCCTCTTTCCTTCCCTCCTTTCCTCCCTCCCTTCCACCCTTCCTCACTTCCTCCCTTCCTCACTTCCTCCCTTCCTTCTTCTTCTTCTTCTTCTTCTTCTCTTTTTGTTTTTGACAGGTTCTCACTTTGTACCCAGGCTGGTCTTGAATTCCTGGTCTCAAGTGATCCACCCACCACGGCCTCCCAAACTGCTGGGATTACAGGCACGCACCACCACGCCTAACCCTGATCCTATTCTTAATATCACATGCCAAATTTTCCCAAAGATTAATCAGTATTTTCTACGGCCAAATGATTTTCTCCTACCCCTCATATTTCTAACCAAAGCTCTCCAGAAAGTTTGAGAGAATCTCAGCTGGATAGTAACTTTCTGAGAAAACAAAGCTTCATTCTCTTGGATCCTAGCTTTACTCCTCTCTCCTGAGAACACAGCAGTCTCCCAGCCACCCACAGCCAGGATCACTAGTTTTACATCATACTAACCAGACAGAGGTATTACATATGAGAACCTTCGACAAATCTATTTATTTAATTAACAGCTAGAGTTTCTGCCAAGAAAACTAAAAGACTTAAAAAAGACAAGTGTTATCCTCCAATACAAATAAAAGAGCCTAGATTATTTTATTAATTTTATATTCTATTTGCTCTATTTCTCAAACAGAACTATAATCAATGTATTAATTCACTTATTAACTCATTCAGTCACCCAAACAGTAAATGTAGGGAATGTGTCAAATGCAGGGAATACAAGGGTGAACAAAATGCACACACTCCCTGACTTTATGAAGTTCAGAGTTGGCTCCAGGGAAGCAGACGTTAATAATCATATAAATGTGAAATTCCAATTGTGATAACTGCTTTGAAAGAAGGTACACAGCTCTACACACATCTATAATAGATTTGACTTTGTCAAAAAGGCTTCCCTAAGAAAGACATGGTTTGAGGGAAAATAAGCATTACAGGCAGTGAATAGTAAAGGCTCTACAGCAGAAAGGAGCCCAACACTGAAAAGCTAGTGAACTGAAGAAAAAGAAAAGGAAACTGTGATGTGAGATGAAGCTGGAGATGATAAAAGTGGGAAGATACAAGAGATACGATGGGACAAACTCAATCCTAGCTTGTACAGCTGGACAGAGAAAGGTGTCAATCATGGAAATGGGGACCAGTGAAAAAGGACCAATTTTTGGAGGGGAGGAGAAGATGGGAAGAAACGTTAAGTGTGATTTGGGACATGTTGAGTATGAGGTGCCTTTGAACCTTCAATGAGAGATGCTACCATGGCTGCTTGGATATACACAGGGCTCAAAGGAGAGGCCTGAGGTAAAGATATCCAGACAGAAGCCCTTGACTTATGCTACTCTGTAGGGCAGACAGACTAAAAGAAACACACAAAATACTTTTTGTATCATTTAACTTCCTCCTAGAGTGTGGGCTGGACTTAGTGACTTGCTTCTAACCAACAGAATATGATGGAAGTGAAGACTGAGTCATTAAACACTCTATGGCCTCCCCCAGCACTCTCTCTGATCACACTCTGGGGAAGGCCAGTGCCATGTCAGAAGGATGCTTAAGCATTCCTATGCAGAGGTCCACATAGTAAGAAACTGAAGCCTCCTGCTTACAACCAACATTATGCTGCCAGGCATGAAAGTGAGACCCCCTTGAAAGCAGCCCCAGGCAAGCCTTCAGATGACGGCAGCTCCAGCTGACATCTTGAGTACAACCTCATGAAAGATCCTGAGCCAATATCCTGCTAAGATGCTTGATATAGTTTGGCTCGGTGTCCCCACCCAAATCTCATGTTGAATGGTAATCCCCAGTATTGGGGAAGGGACCTGGTGGGAGGTAAAAGGATCATGGGGGCAGATTTCCCCCTTGCTGTTCTCGGGATAGTGAGTGAGTTCTTAGGAGATCTGATGGTTTACAAATGTGTGGCACTTCCCCCACCTCTTTCTCTCTCCTGCTCCTCCATGGTAAGACATGCTTGCTTCCCCTTCACCTTCTGCCATGATTGTAAGTTTCCTGAGGCCTCCTAGTCATGCTTCCTGGTAAGCCCGTGGAACTGTGAGTCAATTAAGCCCCTTTTCTTCATAAATTATCGAGTCTCAGGTAGTTCTTCATAGCAGTGTAAAAATGAACTAATACACTGCTCTTCCATTCCTGACCCAAAGAAAATATGAGATAATAACTTCATTGCTTAAAGCCATTAAATTTTTAGGTAATTCATTACTCAGCAACCGAAAACTTCAACAGCAAACTAGAACTAGAAAGGGAATTCTTTAATCTACAATAAACATCATATTTAATGATGAAGCTTCAGTTAAAATAAGGCAAGTTATGTATCCTCACTTCAGTCTGACACTGTACTGAAGGTCCAAGCAACAGATAAGAAAATGAATTAAGGATTAGGGGGAAAAAAACAAAATTATCATCTGCAGATGGTATGATTTCTACATAGAAATTATTTAAGAATCAAAAGATAAACCATTAGAGCTAATTATTGATTTCATAAGGCAGATGACTACAGATGAACATATAACATCAGTCGTGCTCCTATATGGTAGTTATAACTATTTAGAATATATAAAATAAACCGGCCAGGTGCGGCAGCTCACGCCTATAATCCCAGCACTTTGGGAGGCCACGGGCGGATCAGGAGGTCAGGAGATCGAGACCATCCTGGCTAACACGGTGAAACCCCGTCTCTACTAAAAATACAAAAAATTAGCCGGGCATGGTGGCGGGCGCCTGTAGTCTCAGCTACTTGGGAAGGAGGCTGAGGCAGGAGAATGGTGTGACCTGGGAGGCAGAACTTGCAGTGAGCTGAGATTGCGCCACTGCACTCCAGCCTGGGCAACAGAGCGAGACTCCATCTCCCAGAAAAAAAAAAAAAAAAAAAAAAAAAACATTCAAAATAGCTATGAAAACCCAACAGGTGCAAGAGGTGAAGAAAACTGTGGAGCTTTATTGAAGGATACAAAAGAATAACTAACTAATGAATAGATGAGAAAATGAATACAAGGTTATTCCCAAAATTAATCTATAAATTCAATATAATTCTTATCAAAACCCAAATGAGGCTTTGGGGAATGGATTTATTTATTTATTTATTCATTTACTTATTTATTTATTTTGAGACAGAGTCTTGCTCTGTCACCCAGGCCGGAGTGCAGTGGTGTGATCCTGGCTCACTGCAACCTTTGCCACCTGGGTTCAAGCAATTATCCTGCCTTAGCCTCCCAAGTAGCTGGGTCTACAGGTGCATGCCACCATGCCTAGCTAATTTTTGTATTTTTAGTAGAGAAGAGGTTTCATCATGTTGACCAGGCTGGTCTCAAACGCGTCACCTGAAGTGATACGCCCGCCTCAGCCTCCCAAAGTGCTGGGATTACTGGTGTGAGTCACCACGCCTGGCCTGGACTGAATTATAAAGCAGACGTACTTAAAACCATATGGTAACCCAAAACAAATCCATACAAGTGTGAAAAACTAAAAAGATGCTACTACAAAGAAAATTGGTGCAGGGACAAGTGGCTTTCCATATAATTAAAAAATAAACTTGGATCCTACCTTATAGCAATATAAAAGTGAATATGTAGAAAGATAACTGAAGCCAAAATTGTCAAAACCAAGTAGCAGCTATTCTGGCTTACCCCTAGTAGCCAAAGTGAGTACGGCTCCAGTCTCGTAGGCTTCAATTTATATTCCCAGCTTCCTATAAAGTGTTCAGGCCAATACTTCTGCCACAGTTTTTGAGCTGTCAAGTGGTTACTGATCGAAATTTAGCACTGAGAAGCCTTATTCGATAGCCAAAGAAAAAGGAGAACCAATTTTCAGGTCTTGGAATCTTCTTATTCAACATAAGTATTTAACAAAAAATTAGCAAATAATCAATCCAAAATTCCTGCCCAGATTGATGTCCACATTCCATTAAAACCTGGATATTCTCTTTCTGTAGTTATTTCCCGGGTGTTATCTCAAGTTTAGAGGTCAGAAGAACAAGCTTATCATTTGGGGTAGTCATGATGTAAATAAACTCCTATAAAATTTATTGGCTCGAATGTTTCAAATTAGAGAATACAGTGTTTAGTGTCTTGAGTGGAATGTCAGTTTTTAAGATGACAAACTGACTTCCACCAATACCTTTAAAAGTTTATATTTTTCCTGTTTGTAAAGTAATGTATGTTCAAAACAAAGAACCTGGCAAACAGAAAAGCAAAAGATACAAACTCCCTACAAATTTGCATCCCAATGAAACACCAATGGGTTAAATGCCCTTCCAGTCATTCAGAATAGTAGATATGTGTTTTTTTTTCTTTTTTTTTTTTTGAGTCAGTCTCACTCTGTTGCCCAGGCTGGAGTGTAGTGGCACGATCTCGGCTCACTGCAAGCTCCACCTCCCCGGTTCACGCCATTCTCCTGCCTCAGCCTCCCGAGTAGCTGGGACTACAGGTGCCTGCCATCAGCCTCCCGAGTAGCTGGGACTACAGGTGCCTGCCACCACGCCCTGCTCATTTTTTGAATTTGTAGAGATGGGGTTTCACTGTGGTAGCCAGGATGGTCTCGATCTCCTGACCTCGTGATCTGCCTGCCTCGGCCTCCCAAAGTGTTGGGATTACAGGCGTGAGCCACCGTGCCCAGCCAGATATGTGTTATGTTTTAAACCAAGTTTGTAACATCTATTTAGACTCAAGTACTTAATGCCTTAAATGTCCTTATGGGAAGAAGGGAAGGAGACAGGTGTGACTATAAAGTGGTAGGAGAGCTGATCATGCTGTATTTTTATTTTTAACAGGTAATAATATGCTCAACAGACATTTCTAACCCCTCTTCCCACCTCGGCCATGTCTCAGTGCCATGTCTTAGGCAACATCTTAGCGTTAACATCAAAACAGCCCTGATATCCACACAAAGGTGTGACAAAATGCCACACATATTGCTTTACAATTAATACATATGTAACCATTACAAACAGAAGTGGCTGCCGGGCTCATGATTCTGACCCTTAACCTCTCCTCCCCTCCTCAAAAGGTTTCTTCTGGTAACAGATCCAGTTGCCTGGCCACAGTATGACCTAGCCAGGCTGACCACAGGACCTGACTCCTTGGCCTGAGTCACAGACCTGGAAGGCTGTGCTCTAGGACTGCGCTCAGTCACACTGCCCCCGACATGGAGAAGGCCACTTGCAGCCAAAAACAATGTGGCCAAGCAGAGACATACAGATGAGTGGCAGAGCACCCTGACAGTGACCAAGTCCCTGACTCTTCCTTGGCTTCAGTGACCCAACGAGGAATCCTATTAGTCCCCTTTTCTGCTTAAGAAAATCTGAATTGGGTTCCTGACACAACCAGAATGCTTGGGGAACCAGGGAAGAGGGGGCAATAGGTAAAAAGCAGCTTCTAGTCTGCTGATGAGCTTCCACTCTGTGGGTCATAATTATATATTATGAGACAGACTATACTATTTGAAAAGATACTTTTTAATGCCCCAGATCACAAAAACTTATAAAATATCAAAAGAGTACGTATAAAACATGTCACGGAAATAAATGATCACAACACAACACACATCTCCACCACCTGGTTTAACAATAAGAACATGATTTTTAAAGTTCCCTCTCAAATCCCATCTCTTCCCCAACTCTTCAAAGGCAATCCCTATTCTTACGGTCCTTCCTTGTCCTGATAATTTAACCTCACGAGTATCTTTAACAATGCCTTATTTATACTTGACTGTTTCTGAAGTGCTTATAAGTGGAAAAACCTGACTTGCTTTTTTCTAACACTGTTTCTGAGATTTATCCATATGCTTGGATCCATCCATGCATCCAATTCCATTTCACTACTGAATAGTATTCCGCTGGCTTAGCAAACCTATTTCTCTACTCTTAACAGACATTTGGGTTCTTTCTAGGTTTCCGTTATTACAAGCAATACTGCTATGACCATTCCTGAACATGTCTACTAGTACGCATGTGCAAGAGTATTTATTTAGAGAAGAGGTCAGTAAATATTTTCTGCAAAGGGCCAGATGATAAAGATTTCAGGCTTTTTGAGTCATGCAATGTCTGTTGCAACAACTTAACTCTAGTGTTGTACCATGAAAGCATCTGTAAGAGGTACATAAATGAATGTGACAATATTCCAAGCTTATTTTTGGACACCAAAATTTGAATTTCATATAATTTTCACACTATAAATTACAAAATATTATTTTTTTTAAGCACTTAAAAATGTTAAAAACCATTCTTAACTCATGAGTCATCACACCGACCCCTGATCTAAAGTATATACGTATGGTTGTTAGGTGGCACAGTATGCATATTTTCAATATGATCAGATATCACCAATTTGTTTTCCCAGGTGGCTGAAACCACCCACCAGATGTGAACTGTTATATCACTGCACGTGGTGGATGTGTTATATCGTTGACAACACTTATTACTGTCAGACATTTTTATTTTTGACAATCTGATGTAATTGGTATCTTAATATAGTTTTAATTTGCATTTCCCCACCATCTCTGGCATTACTGATCATTCCATTTCCTCTTCTCTAATATGCCTACTGAAGTTCTGCTCTACTAGATGTGTTGTTTTGTGTTTTTCTTGTTAGTCTGTGAAGATCCTAATGTAGCCTTGTGTGAGTTAAATGTACTGCAGTATCTTTTCCCAGCGTTTTGGAGACAGGGTCTCCCTCTGTTGCCCAGGTTGGAATGCAGTGGCACAATCATGGCTCACTGAAGCCTCAACCTCCTGGGCTCAATGAATCCTTCCCACTTCAGCCTCCGAGCTAGGACTACAGGCACACGCCATCATGCCCGCCTAATTTTTGTATTTTTTTTGCAAAGAGAGGGTTTCACCATATTGGCCAGGCTGGTCTCATACTCCTGGGCTCAGGCAATCCTCCCACCTCAGCCTCCCAAAGTGCTGGGATTACAGGTATGAGCCACCATCCCAAGCCCTTTTCCCAATGTTCTTAATAAAAAAGAAGTATCTTTGTCTGGGTATGGTGGCTAATGCCTATAGTCCCAATACTTTGGGAAGCCAAGGTGGGAGGATTGCTTGAGGCCAGAAGTTCAAGACCAACTTAGGCAACATAGCAAGACCCCCATCTCTAAAACAAAAAAAGTAGCATCTTTTACGGTTCATATTTTCTATGTTTTAAGAAAATCTTCTCTATCTAGAAATCATTATAATGTTTTAATATCTAAAAATGTTAAAGGTTTGCTTTTCCCATTTAAGCAGGGATTCAATGTCATTCCCTCCTATGTGGATAACCAGCTGTCCAAGAACTATTTATGGAAAGCTCTCTCTAAAGGAGTGTAATACCAACTTTGTCACAAGCCAAGTTTCTGGGTTTCCATATTCTCTTCTATTGATCTATCTCTCCCTATACCATACTGTTGTCTTAACTTTTACAGCTTTATACTAATTCTTCATATATGGTAAAACAAGTCTTCTCACCTATCACAACTTCTTTAGAGGAGTGTCTTGGCTACTCCTGACCTGTTAAGTCTTCCTCAAAAATTTTAGAATCAACTTTTTAACCCAAAAATAAAAGTTGTCATGATTCTGACTAGATTGAAATAAATCTATAAATAACTGGAGAGATCTGCTATCTTTCCAAAAGCATCTTTAAATCTATAAAAATATTCTCTCTCCATTTATTTAGACCTTTCCTAACATCTTCCAATAAAATTTTATAATTTTCTTTTAAAGGTTTAACACAATTTTGTTAGAAAATACTTGTTACTTTAATTTTTTCCTACCTGAAATGGTATTTTATTGCTGATTTACAAAAATGCACCTGTATTTTTATTTGTTGATTTTAAATTCAGCTACCTTGCGAAGATTTCTAGTATTAATAACATATTGAAAAAGGAAGGTAACAACAGGCATCCTTGTTTTATTCCTGATCTTAAAGGGTAGGTTTTAATAAGGCAAAAAAAGAATGTAGTAGCTATGATTGATCATTTAATTACTTAAAATAATATTCCAAATACTGCAAAAGAAATCTAGTAGTTAAGGCTGGACATGGTGGCTCACACCTGTAATCCTAGCACTTTGGGAGGCCAAGGTGGGGGGATCACCTGAGGTCAGGAGTTTTGAGACCAGCCTGGCCAACATGGTGAAACCCTGTCTCTACTTAAAATACAAAAATTAGCCGGCTGTGGTGGCAGGCACCTGTAATCCCAGCTACTCGGGAGGCTGAGGCAGGAGAATTGCTTGAACCCGGGAGGTGGAGGTTGCAGTGAGCTGAGATCGCACCACTGCACTCCACCCTGGGGGACAAAAGTGAGACTTCGTCTGACAAAAGAAAAAAGAAATCTAGTAGTTAAAAGTATTTAAATATTTATGGTGGAACAATTCTACAAATCAAACAAGCATAAAGATCACAAAAAATAAGTTAATGTTAATGGGAAAAAAAGCCAAACTCAAGAGAAGTCTAAAATAAAATTCCAAAAATGTTTCTCAAAATGATATCATTACTAAAATAAATGCATAGCACCTAACTTTTATGTCTACTATATTGTTGTTCTTTAAAAAAATGAAGTTTCGCTACAGGCATACCTCAGAGATACTGCAGGTGTGGTTCCTGACTACCAAAATAAAGCAAATATTCAGTAAAATGAGTCATAAATATTTTGGATTCCCAGTACAAATAAAAGTTATGTTGATACTATACAGCAGTGTGTACGCAACAGCATTGTCTTTAAAAGTAATGTATATACCTTAATTTAAAAATTTTACTGCTAAAAAATTCTACCAATCATCTTTGCCTTCAGCGAATCGTAATTTTTTTGCTGGTGGAGGGTCTTGCCTTAGTGTTGATGGCTGCTGATCGTTCAGGGTGGTGGCTGCTGGAGTGGCTGTCGCAATTTCTTAAAATAAGACAAAAATGAAGTTTGCCACATCAACTCTTCCTTTCATGAAAGATTTCTCTACAGCATGCAATGCTGTTTGATGGCATCTTACCCAGAGTAGAACTTTTTTCGAAATTGAAGCCAATCCTCTCAAACCCCTTGCCACTGCTTTATCAACTAGGTTTATGGATTATTCTAAATTTTTTGTTGTCATTTCAACTGTGTTCATAGCATCCTCACAAGGAGCAGAGTCTGTCTCAAGAAACTATTTTCTTTCCCCATCCATAAGAAGTAACTACTCATCCATTCAAGTTTTATCTTAAGATTGCAGCAATTCAGCCATATCTTCAGGCTCCACTTCTAATTCTAGTTCTCTTGCTATTGCTACCACATCTGCAGTTGAACTCAGCTTCTTCCAAACTCCTGTCAATGTTTTGACCTCCTCCCATGAATCAGAAATGTTCTTAATGGCATCTAGAATGGTGAAACTCTGTTACTTTGCTCAGATCCACCAAAGGAATCACTGTCTATGGGAGCTATGTGTAGGAGATTGGTCACTGTGGTGGGAAAAATTGTAGAAAGATGCAAACCTTCTTGGAAGGCCGGGAGATTTTACAAAAGCTTCAGAAAAGGATTTGGCTGAAGGCAGCCAGATTCTCTCACCCTGTGCCTGAACGCTTAGGTTAGATAACAAGGAGATGTAAAGAAACTGATCTAGATAACTTAGTTTACTTAGTAGAACCTGGCCTTTAATCATCTGAGTGCAGGACTGCTGGGGCTGTGTGTGTGTGTGGGGTGGGGAAGGGGGGAAGCACCATGTTAATTACCCAAAAGTGTGTTGACTCAAGGCCTTTGTCATTAAATCTGTATAAATAAATGCCTGCAGCACCAGCTTGTCAGGGCCACAGCTGCTACAACTCTTTACAACACCCTCCTTGGGGTACATGAGCAGCCGAGTCTCCTAGCCCACTCTCACTGGATACCTGTGTCTGAGTGCATCCGTTCATCCATCGCTTGGTCGGGGTCTGTGGGTCAGACCCAGCAACTATGGCCTTATGAAATGTATTTCTTAAATAAGACTTGACAGTCAAAATTACTCTTTGATTCATGGGCTGCAGAATAAATGTTGCATTTGCAGGCATGAAAACATTATTCTCATCACACACCTCCATCACAGCTCTTGGGTAACCAGGTGCATTCTCAATGAAAAGTAATATTTTGAAAGGAATCTTTTTTATTAAGCAGCAAGTCTCAACAGTGGAATTAAATTATTCAATAAACCATGTTGTAAACAGATATGCTGTCATCCAGCCTTTGTTGTTCCATGTATAGAGCAGAGGCAGAATAGATTTAGTGTAATTCTTAAGGGTCCTAGAATTTTCAGAATGGTAACTGAACATTGGCTTCAACTTAAAGTTACTAGCTGCACTATCACCTACTAACAAAGTCAGTCTGTTCTTTGACGCTTTAAAGTCAGGCACTGACTTCTCTCTACCTATGAAAGTCTTAGATGGCATCTTCTTCCAATAGAAGGCTGTTTTGTCTGCATTGCAAATCTGTTTTTTAGTGTAGCCACCTTCATCAACGGTCTTAGCTAGATCCTCTGGATAACTTGCTGCAGCTTCTACAACAACACTTGTTTTTACATTGTGGAGATGGCTTGTTTCCTTAAACCTCCTGAACCAATCTCTGCTAGCTTCAAACTTTTCTTCTGCAGCTTCCTCACCTCTCTCAGCCTTCATAGCATTGACGAGTTAGGGCCCTGCTCTTGATTAGGCTGGACTTAAGGGAACGTTGTGGTTGGTTTGATCTATGCAGACTACTAAAACTGTCTTGTCAGCAATAAAGCTGTTCTGCTTTCTTATCATTTGTGTGTTCACTGGAGTAGCTTCCTTCAAGAACTCTTCCTTGCCATTCAGAACTTTTCAAGTTATATGGCGCAAGAAGCCCAGCTTTTGGCCCATCTCTGCTTTCGACATGCCTTCCTCACTAAGCGTTATCTTTTCTAGCTTTTAAGTGAGAGACACATGACTCTTCCTTTCACTTGAATGCTTAGAGGCCACTGTAGGGTTATTAATTTGCATCCTTTCAATACTGTTGCTTAGCAGAGTGTGGTGGTGTATGTGTTGTATCTTGGGGAACAGGGATACCCGAGGAGAGGGAGAGAGACAGGGAAACGGCTGGTCGGCGGAGCAGTCAGAAAAGACATTTATTGATTAAACTTGCCGTCTTGTATGGGCACAAGTTTGTGGTACCTCAAAATGATTACAATAATAACAACAAAGATCACTAATCAAAAATCACCACAACAGATATAATAATGAAAACCTCTGAAATACTCTAAGAATTACCAAAATGTGACATAAAGACACAAAGTGAGCAGATGCTGTTGGAAAAATGGTGCCTATGGACTTTTTCAGTGTAGGGTTGCCACAAACTTTCCATTTGTTGAAAAAAAAAAAAAAAAAAAAAAAAACAAAGTAGTATCTGTGAAGTACAATAAAACAAAGTACAATAACATGGACATGCCTGTATTTTTGAGTCACAACTCATTTCATGCTCTCTGGATATTTATTTTGTCCAATGATGTTCTTGATACTGTGTCAGGTACTGTAGGTGGTACAAGCATGAATGTAACGACCCACATCTAATCACACTGTTAAACACCAATCTAAGAGACATGCCATTCACATTCCAAAGAGAAATATCAATTAAGGAAACCTGACAGGCAAAGAAACATCAAGATAGGGAAGTTTCTGAACAGGTTTTATGAGAAAGCAGCATATGATACAAGGTTTTGTTTGTTTAAAGTAAGTTTTTTCTACAGTTGTTTTGTTTCTGTCTCTCTTTGACCTAAAACCCTCTAATGGCCTTTCCCTGTCCTTAAGACAGTCTTTCCCTCTGGTCCATTTTGTTCTAAAGAACACTGTTATTGCAGGACCAATAACTGAGACAGTCTTCACTAAAGACATTCCAGAGTCAAGTAAGTCGAGGAAACAGTCTATACTCTATTTGTCCTGGTAGATTCACATTGCATATTATCCTACTAAAGGGTCTGTAAAGTTCTGCAATAAGGAAAAATATGGGAATCTATTTAACTATGTTAACTCAGAATGTCCCATTTTTAAGCAGGGGACTGTCACCATCCACTTTGTTGTTTCTGTATAACATAAAGCAGGTTTCAACTAGCAATAAATAAAGCGGCAAAGATTGATTCCATATCCTGGAATCAGACATTCTTTTTTAAAAAAAACTATGGCTGATGTGCTTTCTGCAAAACTGGTATTTCCACAATTCTGCAAATTCTGTAAAAAAGGATCCCATTGTGTTATAAAGCCAATCACAAGGAAGACCTTCACAAAGTGAAGGTTAATTTTGAAATAACTGTCTTTAAGTTAATATTTTTGTATTACTCTTTAACATAACACATATCATTATATAATACAAATAGCTGTGGACAAAAATAGGAAATCCAAAAGTCACCCTAAAAGAAAAGAATCTATAAATCCCTAATTAAAAAAAAAATCTACAAACTTCTCAGAGAAACAAAATTGGTCAGCTATTTTACCATCAATTATTGTTTCTACATTTAGAATATCATACTCTAAAGAGTATATCTAGCATTAAATATTGCATTCAACAAATCCAACAGTATTTCAACTGTATGAATCGAGTTAACACAGCAGGTCCGTTTTACTTAGGTTGTGCTAATCTCTAGGGGATTCCTGGAGTCACGGCAATGACCCTAGCCAAACTCTGAGAACTATGTTCCTGGATTGTTAACAGTCACTTGTTAATGATCTTTTTGTGTATGCTCCAGGCAGTGAGTCAGGATGTACCAGGCTGTCAGCATTGTTTTAAAGTAATCATTAAGATTTATTATGTGTACCTGGTGTCTGGTGTGGGGTCCCCAGTTTCAGTTACCAGAGCTGGTCATATGGTAGGAATGTGCTTATGTGACTAGCTCCCTGTAAGAACTCTGGACTGTAACACTTGTGTGCTTCTCTGGCTAGAGACATCTTGCATGTGTCTCTATCACTCACTGCTGGAGAGAAAAGCATGTCCCTGTGATTCTCACTGAGATAGGACCTGGAAGCCTATGCCTACCCACTCTACCATTTACCTTCTTCCTGCATTGTATCCTTTGCTGTAATAAACTTGAGCCATGAGTACAGCTTTATGTTGTGTGCATCCTTCCAGAAAATCAGCGGCAACTGGGACCTCTCCACCCTCCACAAAACAGATTCCATTAAATAATTTAGTTTGCCATAATATGTACTTTTCTCATTACTTGTCAAAAGCTGAATGATAATAATCACAACTGCTTCAAATGAATAAATCAGTGTACAGGAAAAAAGTTAACAGGCCTAAGATTGCTATCCTTAGAAGGACTTGGTTGTCGAGATTGGCCCTTGGCTGGCATGTGGAAACTTTAATGGTGAACAGTTCCCTACATTGATATAAAACTTTTCCTAAATGATAAGCGTGATTCACTGTGCCTAAACTTTACAAACAACATTGTATTGTTTGTATAAACATCTGCTTTCCTTCCGGGAATCTGGAATTTTGGTATGTGTTAGGCAGGAGATGCCTACATGACCAGACTCAATAAAAATCTCGGGCACTGACTCTCTAATGAGGTTCCCTAGTACACAACATTTCACACATGTTGTCACGATTCATTGCTGGAAGAATTATGTACATCCTGTGTGACTCCATAGGGAGAGGACTCTTGGAAGCTTGTGTCTGTTTGCCTCTGAACTTCACCCCGTGCACCTTTTTCCTGTGCTGTAATAAATCCTGGCTGTTAGTACAACTGATGCTGGATCATGTGAGTCCTTCTAGCCAATCACTGAACCTACGGGTGGGTCTTGGGAACCCCCACACAATCAGCATATTAAGACAGAAATCAGTGTCTATTAAGCCAAATGCTGAAATTCAAATGAGTTCAAATTTCAGTTGCAGCAACACTTATGAGTTATGTGACCCCTAGCAATGTTACTGTATTTGCAAAAACCTGAGCCTCTTTGTTCCTTTAAATGAGAAAAACATATTTTCCTTATAGCCCCATTGCACTAAACTAAATGAGAAAATGAACAACACACTCATACATGACAGTAAACACTTGGTAAATTTTAAATGGTATTATTTCTAGAGGCACCTTCTCAGATTAAATAAACAATGGAGAGCCTTTCTCATGTATACTTACACAACAAGAACTCAAATGGTCATTTGGAACACTGCAAAGCAAAGCTCACAGACAAACTTTCATCCTGTATCTTCAGCAATGGCTCTGGGAATGATTTCTAGATCACATGACAGGATTACTGGGTTAAGTTCAAGCAGGTTAAATCCTATATAACAAGTATCTTTCAATTTCTGAAACTGGTCCTTATTTAGCCTTCAGATTGACCTCCCTAATCAGAAGTGAGTGTACTAATTAATTAGTATTGGGACTATGCTTTATTGTTACATTTCTCAAATTACTAAACTGGGATTTTAGTACAAGCCATTCTCTTGCTTGTATATGAGGCATAAAGTCCAATCAACATAATTTTTTTTATTATAATACTTTTAGGTTCGAGGGTACACATGCACAATGTGCAGGTTTGTTACATATGTATACACATGCCATGTTGGTGTGCTGCACCTATTAACTCATCACTTATATTAGGTGTATCTCCTAATTGCTATCCCTCCCCCCTCCCCCATCCCACAACAGACCCCAGTGTGTGATGTCCCCCTTCCTGTGTCCAAGTGTTCTCATTGTTCAGTTCCCACCTATGAGTGAGAACATGGGGTGTTTGGTTTTTTGTCCTTGTGATAGTTTGCTGAGAATGATGGTTTCCAGCTTCATCCATGTCCCTACAAAGGACATGAACTCATCCATTTTTATGGTTGCACAGTATTCCATGGTGTATATGTGCCACATTTTCTTAATCCAGTCTATCATTGTTGGACATGTGGGTTGGTTCCAGGTCTTTGCTATTGTGAATAGTGCCACAATAAACATATGTGTGCATGTGTCTTTATAGTAGCATGATTGATAATCCTTTGGGTATATAACAAGTAATGGGATGGCTGGGTCAAATGGTACTTCTAGTTCTAGATCCCTGAGGAATTGCCACACTGTCTTCCACAATGGTTGAACCAGTTTACAGTCCCACCAGCAGTGTAAAAGTGTTCCTATTTCTCCACAACCTCTCCAGCACGTGTTGTTTCCTGACTTTTTAATGATCACCATTCTAACTGGTGTGAGATGTTATCTCATTGTGGTTTTGATTTGCATTTCTCTGATGGCCAGTGATGAGCATTTTTTCATGTGTCTTTTGGCTGCATAAATGTCTTCTTTTGAGAAGTGTCTGTTCATATCCTTCGCCCACTTGTTGATGGGTTTGTTTTTTTCTTGTAAATTTGTTTGAGTTCTTTGTAGATTCTGGATATTAGCCCTTTGTCAGATGGGTAGATTGCAAAAATTTTCTCCCATTCTGTAGGTTGCCTGTTCACTCTGATGGTAGTTTCTTTTGCTGTGCAGAAGCTCTTTAGTTTAATGAGATCCCATTTGTCAATTTTGTCTTTTGTTGCCATTGCTTTTGGTGTTTTAGACATGAAGTCCTTGCCCATGCCTATGTCCTGAATGGTATTGCCTTGGTTTTCTTCTAGGGTTTTTCTGGTTTTAGGTCTGACATTTAAGTCTTTAATCCATCTTGAATTAAGTTTTGTATAAGGTATAAGGAAGGGATCCAGTTTCAGCTTTCTACATATGGCTAGCCAGTTTTCCCAGCACCATTGGTTAAATAGGGAATCCTTTCCCCATTTCTTGTTTTTGTCAGGTTTGTCAAAGATCAGATAGTTGTAGATGTGTGGTATTATTTCTGAGGGCTCTGTTCTGTTCCATTGGTCTATATCTCTGTTTTGGTACCAGTACCATGCTGTTTTGGTTACTGTAGCCTTGTAGTATAGTTTGAAGTCAGGTAGCATGATGCCTCCAGCTTTGTTCTTTTGGCTTAGGATTGACTTGACAATGTGGGCTCTTTTTTGGCTCCATATGAACTTTAAAGTAGTTTTTTCCAATTCTGTGAAGAAAGTCATTGGTAGCTTGATGGGGATGGCATTGAATCTCTAAATTACTTTGGGCAGTATGGCCATTTTCACAATATTGCTTCTTCCTATCCATGAGCATGGAATGTTCTTCCATTTGTTTGTATCCTCTTTTATTTCATTGAGCACTGGTTTGTAGTTCTCCTTGAAGAGGTCCTTCACATCCCTTGTAAGTTGGATTCCTAGGTATTTTATTCTCTTTGAAGCAATTGTGAATGGGAGTTCACTCATGATTTGGCTGTCTGTTATTGGTGTATAAGAATGCTTGTGATTTTTGCACATTGATTTTGTATACTGAGACTTTGCTGAAGTTGCCTATGAGCTTAAGGAGATTTTGGGCTGAGACGATGGGGTTTTCTAGATATACAATCATGTCATCTGCAAACAGGGACAATTTGACTTCCTCTTTTCCTAATTGAATACCCTTTATTTCTTTCTCCTGCCTGATTGCCCTGGCCAGAACTTCCAACACTATGTTGAAAAGGAGTGGTGAGAGAGGGCATCCCTGTCTTGTGCCAGTTTTCAAAGGGAATGCTTCCAGTTTTTGCCCATTCAGTATGATATTGGCTGTGGGTTTGTCATAGATAGCTCTTATTATTTTGAGATATGTCCCATGAATACCTAATTTATTCAGAGTTTTTAGCATGAAAGGCTGTTGAATTTTGTCGAAGGCCTTTTCTGCATCTATTGAGATAATCATGTGGCTTTTCTCGTTGGTTCTGTTTATATGCTGGATTACATTTATTGATTTGCGTATGTTGAACCAGCCTTGCATCCCAGGGATGAAGCCCACTTGATCATGGTGGATAAGCTTTTTGATGTGCTGCTGGATTCGGTTTGCCAGTATTTTATTGAGGATTTTTGCATCAATGTTCATCAGGGATATTGGTCTAAAATTCTCTTTTTTTAAAGTTGTGTCTCTGCCAGGCTTTGGTATCAGGATGATGCTGGCCTCATAAAATGAGTTAGGGAGGATTCCCTCTTTTTCTATTGATTGGAATAGTTTCATAAGGAATGGTACCAGCTCCTCCTTGTACCTCTGGTAGAATGTGGCTGTGAATCTGCCGGTTCTGGACTTTTTTTGGGTGGTAAGCTATTAATTACTGCCTCAATTTCAGAGCCTGTTATTGATCTATTCAGAGATTCAACTTCTTCCTGGTTTAGTCTTGGGAGAGTGTATGTGTCGAGGAATTTATCCATTTCTTCTAGATTTTCTAGTTTATTTGTGTAGAGGTGTTTATAGTATTCTCTGATGGTAGTTTGTATTTCTGTGGGATCAGTGGTGATATCCCCTTCATCATTTTTTATTGCGTCTATTTGATTCTTCTCTCTTTTCTTCTTTATTAGTCTTGCTAGCGGTCTATCAATTTTGTTGATCTTTTCAAAAAACCAGCTCCTGGATTCATTGATTTTTTGAAGGGTTTTTTGTGTCTCTATCTCCTTTAGTTCTGCTCTGATCTTAGTTATTTCTTGCCTCCTGCTAGCTTTTGAATGTGTTTGCTCTTGCTTCTCTAGTTCTTTTAATTGTGATGTTACGGTGTCAATTTTGGATCTTTCCTGCTTTCTCTTGTGGGCATTTAGTGCTATAAATTTCCCTCTACACACTGCTTTAAATGTGTCCCAGAGATTCTGGTATGTTGTGTCTTTGTTCTTGCTGGTTTCAAAGAACATCTTTATTTCTGCCTTCATTTCATTATGTACCCAGTAGTCATTCAGAAGCAGATTGTTCAGTTTCCATGTAGTTTGGTGGTTTTGAGTGAGTTTCTTAATCCTGAGTTCTAGTTTGGTTGCACTGTGGTCTGAGAGACAGTTTGTTGTAATTTCTGTTCTTTTACATTTGCTGAGGAGTGCTTTACTTCCAACTATGTGATCAATTTTGGAGTAACTGCGGTGTGGTGCTGAGAAGAATGTATATTCTGTTGATTTGGGGTGGAGAGTTTTGTAGATGTCTATTAGGTCCACTTGGTGCAGAGCTGAGTTCAATTCCTGGATATCCTTGTTAACTTTCTGTCTCATTGATCTGTCTAATGTTGACAGTGGGGTGTTAAAGTCTCCCATTATTATTGCGTGGGAGTCTAAGTCTCTTTGTAGGTCTCTAAGGACTTGCTTTATGAATCTGGCTGCTCCTGTATTGGGTGCATATATATTTAAGATAGCTCTTCTTGTTGAATTGATCCCTTTACCATTATGTAATGGCCTTCTTTGTCTCTTTTGATCTTTGTTGGTTTAAAGTCTGACTTATCAGAAACTAGGATTGCAACCCCTGCCTTTTTTTGTTTTCCATTTGCTTGGTGGATCTTCCTCCATCCCTGTATTTTGAGCCCATGTGTGTCTCTGCACGAGATGGGTTTCCTGAATACAACACACTGATGGGTCTTGACTCTTTATCCAATTTGCCAGTCTGTGTCTTTTAATTTAGCCCATTTACATTTAAGGTTAATATTGTTATGTGTGAATTTGATCCTGTCATTATGATGTCAGCTGGCTATTTTGCTAGTTAGTTGATGCAGTTTCTTCCTGGCATTGATGGTCTTTACAATTTGGCATGTTTTTGCAGTGGCTGGTACCGGTTCTTCCTTTCCATGTTTAGTGTTTCCTTTAGGAGCTCTCGTAGGGCAGGCCTGGTGGTGACAAAATCTCTCAGCATTTGCTTGTCTGTAAAGTATTTTATTTCTCCTTCACTGTGAAGCTTAGTTTGGCTGGATATGAAATTCTGGGTTGAAAATTCTTTTCTTTAAGAATGTTGAATATTGGCCCCCACTCTCTTCTGGCTTGTAGAGTTTCTGCTGAGAGATCAGCTGTTAGTCTGATGGGATTCCCTTTGTGGGTAACCCGACCTTTCTCTCTGGCTGCCCTTAATATTTTTTCCTTCATTTTGACTTTGGTGAATCTGACAATTATGTGTCTTGGAGTTGCTCTTCTGGAGGAGTATCTTTGTGGCGTTCTCTGTATTTCCTGAATCTGAATGTTGGCCTGCCTTGCTTGGTTGGGGAAGTTCTCCTGGATAATATCCTGCAGAGTGTTTTCCAACTTGGTTCCATTCTCCCCATCACTTTCAGGTACACCAATCAGATGTAGATTTGGTCTTTTCACATAGTCCCATATTTCTTGGAGGCTTTGTTCATTTCTTTTTATTCTTTTTTCTCCAAACTTCTCTTCTCACTTCATTTCATTCATTTGATCTTCCATCACTGATACCCTTTCTTCCAGTTGATCGAATCAGCTACTGAAGCTTGCGCATTCGTCATGTAGTTCTCGTGCTGTGGTTTTCAGCTCCATCAGGTCCTTTAAGGACTTCTCTGCATTGGTTATTCTAGTTAGCCATTCGTCTAATCTTTTTTCAAGGTTTTTAACTTCTTTGCGTTGGGTTCGAACTTCCTCCTTTAGCTCGGAGAAGTTTGATCGTCTGCAGCCTTCTTCACTCAACTCGTCAAAGTCATTCTCTGTCCAGCTTTGTTCCGTTGCTGGTGAGGAGCTGTGTTCCCTTGGAGGAGGAGAGGTGCTCTGATTTTGAGAATTTTCATTTTTTCTGCTCTGTTTTTTCCCCATATTTGTGGTTTTATCTACCTTTGGTCTTTGATGATGGTGATGTACAGATGGGGTTCTGGTGTGGTTGTCCTTTCTGTTTGTTAGTTTTCCTTCTAACAGTCAGGACCCTCAGCTGCAGGTCTCTTGGAGTTTGCTGGAGGTCCACTCCAGACCCTGTTTGCCTGGGTATCAGCAGCGGAGGCTGCAGAACAGCGAATACTGGTCAACAGCAAATGTTGCTGCCTGATTGTTCCTCTGGAAGTTTCAGCTCAGAGGGGTACCCGGCCGTGTGAAGTGTCAGTCTGCCCCTACTGGGGGGTGCCTCCCAGTTAGGCTACTTGGGGTTCAGGGACCCACTTGAGGAGGCAGTCTGTCCATTCTCAGATCTCAAACTCCATGCTGGGAGAAACACTACTCTCTTCCAAGCTGTCAGACAGGGACATTTAAGTCCGCAGAGGTTTCTGCTGCCTTTTGTTCGGCTATGCCCTGCCCCCAGAGGTGGAGACTACAGAGGCAGCAGGCCTCCTTGAGCTGCGGTGGGTTCCACCCAGTTCGAGCTTCCCAGCCACTTTGTTTACCTACTCAAGCCTCAGCAATGGCGGGTGCCCCTCCCCCAGCCTCGCTGCCACATTGCAGTTCAATCTCAGACTGCTATGCTAGCAATGAGCGAGGCTCCGTGGGCGTAGGACCCTCCGAGCCAGGCACGGGATATAATCTCCTGGTGTGCCGTTTGCTAAGACCATCAGAAAAGCGCAGTATTAGGGTGGGAGTGACCCGATGTTCCAGGTGCCGTTTGTCCCTCCTTCCCTTGGCTAGGAAAGGGAATTCCCTGACCCCTTGTGCTTCCCGAGTGAGGTGATGCCTCGCCCTGCTTCAGCTCGGTGTGCTACACCCACTGTCCTGCACCCACTGTCCGACAATCCCCAGTGATATGAACCCGGTACCTCAGTTGGAAATGCAAAAATCACCCGTCTTCTGTGTCGCTCACACTGGGAGCTGTAGACTGGAGCTGCTCCTATTCGGCCATCTTGGAACCGCCCCCCCAATCAACATAATTTTTAAAACCTAAGAAGCTAGCTGTAAGATCAAACCCCAATGTAAGAGAAGTAGAGCCCTAAAGTCATTCACTCCCAACTATCAACTTACCCAAAGTGGTTTTTCAAATGAATTCATATCCCAAATCCACATGTCCCACATCTCCTGTTGAAAAATGAATGTCCTAAAATCAGTTTATTTTAGAATAACTCTATTCTCCCCCCTTAGTCAGCCACCCTGTTCCACTTAACTGTAGGCAGCTACCACCTGAGTGCCAGGATCATGCCTTATTCAGCTTCTTCCCCAATACTGAGCACAGTACGTGGCACAAAATGTGTTCCGTTAATGTCTATTACATGAATTAGTGAGTTAATAAACTATTACTGAGATCCAATGCCAAGCTCAGTGGAAATACAAAATTATCTCTCTCCCTCTTAGGAAACTGTGAGGATCTTAACTTTCCAGGTGGGAAGGCCAAAGACACCTACACAGCACTGTGGGAGACACTGTTTGTTCCTTATCCAACCTTGACATTTTTCATTGCATTTGACCTCCAACTGAATTCAAGTGACCATTCTCTGCTAGGCCACCTATTCCTGACTGGTCCAAGCCAACCACGGTCATTCTATTCCTCTAGCTAATAGAAGTGACCAAATCCTGACTAATGGTACTGAAAGGGAGGTCTGCTGGGAAGCATTCAGAAACAGTTATATCCCTCATAGAGATGTTGAAGGAGAAACTACACTTTTCAACCTTTGGCTATTGTTGGAGAGTACAGAAGTAGTGTATGCTTAGAAGTAATGTAACCATCTTGAGGCCATGGGGGAAGCCATCATCAACATGCCATCAATGACATGCTGAGGATAACAAATTGAAAACATGGAGAGCACGCAGGACCCTCATGATTTCATGGAGCCAGACCAACCCTAAGACCAGACCTCCCAATGTCTGAACTTCTTGTTATGCAAGATGATAAAGCCCTCACTGATTTAACTGGGTATTCTGCTACTACAGTGAAAAGCATCCTGATACACCAATCTGCAACCTATAATTATTGATTTATATAGGTATATATCCTGTCAAGAAAAAAATGAAGATACAAATCAGTGGAGGATCTAAATTAAGGACTCTACTTTTACAGGAGACTGCAAAAAAGCAGAACTTCAATATAAATTTTAAGAGCTACAAACTAGAACCTAGTATATGACCTGCTCATCTTAGACACGGCGTTACTTAGTCTATCACAGAATCACATATCCCTAATTCACTCAAACTTTCTCAAATATGTGCAAAACACTACACTAAGCAGTCTGATGCACACAAACATGAAAAATGTTCAGTCCCTATCCTCAACGAGCTTGCAATATAGAAGGAGAGACAACAAAGTGAGTTTGCATGTCATTTCACAGTTTAAGTCTTTGCAAAAGATGCCGAGAGTTGTGACGGGCTATAGCGCACAAAAAAGAGAAACTGGTGGGGAGAATGACTAGAGAATTGGTATGAGTTAGGAAAAGGCAAAACAATATCTCAAGTGGACAAAACAGTGTGAGTTAAAATAGGGAGGCAAGAAATTGCAGGGAATGTCTGGGGAACAGCAAACAGAAGAATTAATTGGGAGACAGGAGTAAAGGGGTGTGTTCAGAACAGAGGAAATCTTAACTATCATGCTAAAGAGTCTGAAAAGCAAAGGCCAGGTAAGTTACTAATTTCTTCTCATACTTTAATTTTTAATCACACGAAGATTAATGCCAGATCATTACAAGAGAACACTGCGTTGGAGTTTCAGCAAAATATGCATCTTTCTGCCCACTATGAACTCAGACACAGGAAAATACACCGCCTACCAGGGGAGCAGTTTCTGGGAAGTAAAGGATCCAGCAGGAACTTCCTCCAGGCCAGGGGCTCATGTTATTTTCTGGTCATGGAATCCCCCAAATCTCTAAGATTTTCTACATGTTTTTGCTACAACACCAACCTCTCCAATTATCATTCTATTTGTTCTTCCTTTACCATCTTCTGCACAAGAAGTCTTTTTCTCTATCCCTAAGGCAAGTCTTCACTTCAATGAAACCATCTGTTAATCAAGTAACTGTAATGTCCTACCTAGCAACACAAGTCTCTTTCTCAGCTTCATTCTACTTGATATCTTAGCCATCTTAAATTATTTTTAGAATAGGCAGGCTATAAATAAAGCCTCTTCTCTTGGCTCTCAGGGTCATTTCTTGTTCTCCTACTTTTCTGACCATGCTTTGAAGTCTTCTTTATTGGTTCCCTACTCTTCTCCGGATCTGTTCTCAAGACCCCTGACACTATACACATCCTCCCTGGGAATTTCAGCAGTGGCACAGCTTCACCCACCGTGTGCCAGTGGCTTCCATATATGTATCTTTTCCCCGGGACTCTTTGGTTAGATTGTAAACATCCCCAGCATGGGAATTATGTTTTTCATACTTGAGCCCTAAAGATGTTATGAAATGTCTGAAGAGAGCAGAAACTAATCTACAAGACAGCATCTCCACCCCCAATGTTATTCTTTATCTTTTCCTAATGCATTACTTTCCACTGTAGCACCAAGTAGTAATTTACATCATAATGTATCTTAATTAATTTATTAATTATCTTGTAAGCTCCAAAATGACAGGAACTTTATGTGGCTTAATGTTATTACTACATCATCTGGAACAGTACTTGGCACAAGGTAGAAGAGTTCAATAATTATTTAGTAAATAAATAAAAATGCCAGAAAACGTATCATGTGAGAAGGAAGAAAGACAATTGAAATTAAAGCATTTTAAGGTCATTGTGTTTAGGGATAGGGTAGAAAGATTAATTTTAGCTTTTTAAAGAGCAAATATGTTGAGAATTAAAAGGTAACAACTAATTAAATAAAAACAGAATGTGTAAGTTAAAAATCAAAGTTGAAAAAGGAGGAAATAGAAAATCAATCACTTTAAAATAAAATGAGAAAGGAATTTAAAATAATAGAGAAACCACACCTATAGACAGCACAAAATGGTAGAAATAAATCCCAATACATCAGTTATTAAAATTAAGACAAAATGACTAAATATATCTAAATTGTCAAACTGGATTTTTTTTAAAAAGTAAAAGCTAAATGCTATTTACGAGACATACACCAAAAACATAAGGATTCAGAAAAGCTGAAAGTGAAAGCATGAGACACTCACACACAGAAAAGTAGAGGAGCTTATTCTAGACTAATCTACTCACAAATAACAGCAGTTACCAGCCTACACTGTGCAGAGTTACTGAAACTCAAGAAGGAAGTCACAATCATATTGGCTTGAAGCATCAAAGGATGAGATTTGGAACTAGCAGGCAACTGGAAAGTGAGGCAGGAAATACTAGAAAAGTGAGAACCCTAAAATATCTATGTAAACTTCACCACCATCTTTAGTTGAACCTTGAATCATATAACACAGGACAGACTCCAAAGGCTCCAAAGAAAAGGAACATTTAGATAGCTGAAAGAACTGAACAGAGATATCAATGATGTTGCCCAATGCCAGGGAGGCAGAATTTGGAGTTTAAATCTAGCCAGCAAGGAATCAATATTCGTTAAGAGAAGAGAGAATTGAGGGTCAAAAAGCATATTATCCACAATATCCAGTATACAATAAAAAATTACGAGACATGAAAATAAACAGAAAAGTTGAGTCAAGAAAATAAGCAGTCAATGGATACTGAACAGAAGATGACCCAGACGTGGAAATCAGTTGGCAAGGACTATAACGTACCTACTATAAATATGTTCAAGAAATTAATAATAACTGAACAGAGGAAACTCTTATCAAACAAATTAAAACTTTAAAAAAGAACCACACAGAATCATGTAAAATACAAAAATATAAAGTCTGAAATGGGAAATTCACTTGATGGGATTACAGCAGATTATAGACAACAGAATACAGGGTTAGTCCATTTAAAGGGAGATCAAAAGAAATTATCCCATCTGAAAAGGAAAGAAAAATCTTTAATGAACAGAGCCTCAGTGAGCTGTGGTACAGCATAAAATTTAACATATGTGAAATCAGAGTTGCAAAAGGAGAGAACAGAGGAAACAGGATAAAAACAAAACATGAAAAAAACCCCTGAAAATGGCCACATTTGGGGAAGAACAAAATTGCAAATTTAAGTCCAGTGAAACCTAAGCAGATAAATACAAAGAAAACCACAACCACAGCACATCTTGTTTAAAACTGTTGAAAACCAAAGATAAAGAAAGACAAAATATTGAAAGCATCCACAGGGAAAAAAAAATGTATGTACAGGGGAAAAAAAAAGGATGACTTCTCATTACATGTAACAAAGACATTTTCAAGTAAAGAAATGTCAAAACAAATTAAGAAATGCTAAAGGAAGTTCTTCAGGTAAAAGGGAAATGACACCAGATGGAAACTCAGATCTGTCAGAAGGAATGAAGAACACCAGAAACGGTAAATATATGAATAAATATAAAAGCCTGATTTCTTCCCTCTTAATTTCTTAAAAGATGTATACCCAATTAAAACAAAAGTTATAACTCTGTGTTGTACAACTTATTAATATGAAGATGTGATAGATGACAAGATTAGAACAAAGAATGGAGGTGTGGGTAAGAGGAAACAACTTATATATTATATAAAATAGTAAAACTCAGCACTCCTTTAAGACACTTAAAACAAAGAACTCATGGAAAACTAGAAATAAGAATTTGGTTAACCTAACAAAAGATATCTGCCCTAAATCTACAGTTAAAAAAACAACTCACTTACTGTTAAAGTTGGGAAAAAGACAAAGATAAATGTCTTCTATTACTTCTTCCTGTCAACAATGTACTAGAGAACCTATCTAGCGCAGTACAACAAGAAGGAAAAAAAAAGAGATTTAGAATCAGAAAGAAGAAAACGAACAAAAAATAATAGAAAATCCAAGGAAATAAAGACAATTAGAACAAGAACTTTCAGCAAGGTTGCTGGATACAAGATGAACATACAAAATTCAGTTGACGTCTTCTGTACCAATAACAACCAGAAAATTGCTAAGCCAGGTGCTTTGGCTCATGCCTGTAATCCTAACACTTTGGAGGCTGAGGCAAAGAGTATTATTTGAATCCAGGAGTTCGAGACCAGCCTGAGCAACATAGGGAGACCCTGTCTCTACAAAAAATACAAAAGTTAGCCAGTCATGGTGGCATGTGCTTATAGTCCCAGCTACTTGGGAGGTTGAGGTGAGAAAATTGCTTGAGCCTGGGAAGTCGAAGCTGCAGTGAGCTGTGACTATGCCACTGCACTCCAGCCTCTGTGACAGAGTGAGACCCTGTCTCTTAATGAAAAATAATAATATTAAAAAAAGAAAAAGAAGAAAATTGCTTAGAAAGATCTACAAAAAAATTAAGGAATACTATCTTTATGTGTGGAAGGATTTCTATAGTAAAGAAAAAAATTATCTTTATATTAATCTGTGTACTTACTATAGTTCCAATCAAAATCTCAATATAGTTTTTAAATAGAACTTTAAAAGTAGATCCTAAAATTACATGGAAGAGCAAAGCTAAGAAAGCCATTACAATTTTAAACAACAAGGTCAGAGAACTCTGTCTACCATATATCAAGATATGGTAACTAATTTGGTGTCATACACAGGCAGACACACATGAAAAGACCAATGAAACAGAAGACAGCCCAGAATCAGACCCACATGAATATGCAAACTTCATATATGACAGAGATGGCACTATAAATCTGTGTGAAAGGGATGGGCTATTCAATAAATGTTCATTCATAAGTAAAAATAAAATTCCTACCTCATACCATACAAAAAAACATTAAAGGCTTAAAGGCATAAATCTCTAACACTCTAAACTATAGGCAACTATTGTCACGTCATTAGATCAGGAAGAATTGCTTAAGCAATATTCAAAAAGCACAAACCACAAAAGAATGAATAATTTCTACTACATAAAAATTAAAATTTTTGATATAACCAAAGACATCATAAGATATGCGAAAGTCCGGGAAGAAATATTCAGATACATACAGATAATGAACAAAAGATTAGTATCAGAATGTATTAAAAACTTCTACAAACCAAAACAAACAACAGACCAATTGCGGTGATTCATGTCTATAATCCTAGCATTGTAGGAGGCCAAGACAGGAGGATCACTTGAACCAGAAGTTCAAGACCAGCCTGGGCAACATAGGAAGACCGCATCTCTACAAAAAGCAAAAAGTAAAAAAAAAGAAAATTAGCCAGGTGTGTTGACACGCATCTGTAGTCCCAGCTACTTGGGAGGCTGAGGTGGGGGGATCACTTGGGCCTGGAAGCCTGAGGTTGCAGTGAGCTGTGATCCCACTACTGCACTCCAGCCTGGGCAACAGAACGAGACCTTGTCTCTAAAAAAAAAAATAAATAAAACAAACAACAAAAACACACACAATTGAAAAATGGCCAAAGATATGAACGGGCAAATCATAGACAAAGAATCATAAACATGGAACATATAAGACAACATAAAAATATGCTCAATCTCCGTAGTACTCAGGAAAATGAATCTGACCTCATCAAACTGGCAAAAACACAACTAGTAAGAAATAAGGAAATGGGACACTCACACACTGTTGTTCCAAGTGTAATTTGGCACGGCCACTTTGGAGAGCAATCTGGCAATAAGTATCTCATAAAGCTGAAGAAAGCACTACCCTATCACTCACTAATTTCACTTCTAGGTACAGTCCCTGGAGAAACTCTTACACATGAGTATAAAGAGACATGATTGCAGGATTGTTTATAATGACCAAAAAAAAAAAAAGTAACAACCTAAATGTACACATGAACTATACAATAGACTACTATATAGCAGGAAAAACGAATAAACTAGAATTATGTGCATCATTATCAGTAAACAATGATGAATGAGACAAAAGTGATTTACAGAATATGTACAATATGTTCCATTAATATACAGCTTTAAAACATATTAAAATAAAACAGACTGCTTATGGACACAAACACTGTAGAGAATAATATGCATGAGGATAATACACCAAATTCTTACTAGTGGTTGTTTCTGAGGAGGGAGGAAGGGAAGGGCTTCAACTATATCAGAAATTATTTTATATAAAAGATCTAAATTATGGCTGACTGCTAGTTGTTCATTCAATAGTTTCCTCTTCTTTTTTTACAAATCAAACTGCTGTATTACTAAAAGTGGCAATTTACATCTTCTGGCCTGCCTTGAAGATTAGGTTGGCCAATATCAGAAATCAGTGGGTGGGAATATGGGAAAGATTTTTAAAGGGACCAACTTCACAGAGAGAAGGGCCATTTTGCCCTCACCCCTCGATTCTGCTGCCTGAAAAACAAACACAACGGATGGAGCTGCAAGGACCTTCTTTGCAACCAGGAGATAACCCTGAGAAGGAAAGTCATAAGCTAAAGACTGCAACACAGAAAGATAGGAGCTGGGTCTTTGCTGACCACATAGCTGCCATATCCTGAGAGGAAAAAACCTCTATCTTGTTTAAAGCACCTTTTTGTGGGGGAAGAGGGAATACAGGGACCTTTGCGATGCTGCCAAACCTAATGCTAACAAACACAGAAGGAAATCGGTCAAAATAGAAAAATAAGACAAGACTCAGAGGAGAGGTGGTTTCATGGCTTGTTCTTTATCTTCTGCTAACTGTACTTTTGAATAGGCTTTACATTTTTTATTTAAAAAAACCTTTTACTTCCTAGACTTTAAACAGAGATTCTCAAATGTTACCCACAAACAACTGTTGGTCCACAGATCAAGTTAAAACGCAGAGACAACATGTATACTCTATGAGGTGGCCCACCAGAGTGGATAAAGAATTCACTAGAAGCTTGCCAACGACACTACTGAGCGCAGACAGTTACTACACTGTTGTCATCAGTACTGCCACTGCCAGTTTGGATCACAAACAAGACTGTATGATCCCACAGTCTCTTGGCGCTGGACTATGGATGAGAAAGACCAAAAACAATTTGCAGACTAAATGGAAATCTCTGTTGTCACTCCCTTTTCCCAATTTTTTTTTCCATGCATTCCCCAGAGCTCAGTGCCATACTTTTCCTCCTGTATAACTGGATCATCTGTGAGGAGAAAAAGAAGAAAAAAAATCTCAAAGGACAGTAGTACCCTTAGATGAAATTCTTTTTTTTACATTTGTAAGCATGAAGGTTCTTTTGAGAATTGCTTTCCTTAATACACTGTCTGATGTTACTAGGTTACTAACTTAAGCGACCTTTTGAGATCTAAAAAGTTTTCAGATTTGCTCAACAGAACAAATAAAAACCAAAACTTGAGTTAGGGGTAGATTTTAGATTTTTGGCCCTAATAATAGCCTGAAATATTTAGTTACCATTGAAAAAACAAAACAAAACATATATTAGCATGTTACAGAAAGACAGTGTTCTGGTTAGTCACAAATTCTACCTTACAGATTTATCGCAGGTACCACACACTGCAAAACAACCATACCCTTCCTTTTTTCCTTAACTAATCAGTAATTTGGCATATCGGTTTTTAAGTTGCTGTGTTTTCTAACTTGGTTTCTCTCTTACTAGTCTCTCCCTAATGTCATTTAACGTCTCTTAGTTTATAGCGTTAGTGATTGTTTTGCATTCTTGCCTGCTGATTTTCCTGTGAAAAGCTATTCTCTGCCTCCCTCCCTCAACTCGGTCTGCCCTGTAGTCTCAGGCTGCTTCTGCATTGCTATCAGTTAAGATCCATTCTAGGGGATGACCTCAAGCGCCTTTTCTTCATATTTGTTTCAGCTCTTTGGAGGGCTGATTATAGGATTTGCTTCCTGCTCTCAGAACAAACAAACAAACAAAAACAGTGCAGTACAATTAAGTTGACATTTTACTTAACAATGTAATAGGAAAGTTAAGTAAATTGTTGGAAAAAAAAAACTCTGAAATAAACCTGCTATTTAATTCACATCAATAACTCAAACATTTCTTTTGTATTATTTTTTAAAATTCTAATTCTCAAAACTATTCTACTAAAACCTCTAATCACTTGGGTTATCTCTCCTTTTCTTTTAAATACACTAAACAGTTACACATGTTTGTCTTTATTACCCATAATGCAACTAAAAGATAAATTTTTTGCAGATGTCATTTCTCCACTTGAGCTTTAGAGAATTTAAGAATTAAGTTCATCCATGAGCAGTCTTTTTCAAACACACATTACAGTCTAGTCTCAAGCTTCCTTCTTGAGACCCTAACCATAAATTCAAGAGGAATAACTAAAATTTTTTAAAGATGTATTTAAACTAAACATACCAAAGAATATATACTTTTTAATGAATACAAGATTATTTTACAGGTTTAGACTACATTTAATGTAAATAATGTTAATTATGAATGAAAATGATGTAAAATTATTTTCCTAATGGTACTGCACATAATGCTATCTCATTGCACAAGAAAAATCAGAGCAGTTAACAGTTTTGCATTTTGCTGTGCTGTTAACTGCAGTAGTGCTCTCTATACATGTTAAGTGCTTGGCTATCAAAAAAAAAAAAAAAGAACAGCAAAGCAGTCTTAAAAGATGAAACCTTTATCTGCTAGAGCAAAGTTTATGGTTTCATTATAAAGAACCCTAATCTGAAGAGTTATCGAAAAGAAAAGAAGAAGAGAAAGGGAGAGAAATAATTTTTAAAATAGGTATTGTTTTTATTTTTTTAAGGAAAGCTTTTTTAAAAAAACTAAATGTGCTATGTTGATCTTGTTTTGAGTTTTGAATCTACAAATCAACTTAAAAAGACACTTTAGGGACCACTGAGGAAATATGATTATGAACTGGGTTACAGATGCTACTAAGCAATCACTGTTAATTAGGAATGTTAACAGCATTGTGGTCATATTCAAAATGTTCTCATTTTAAAGGATCTATACTGAAGAATGTTAGAGGTAAAATGACATGATGTCTTCCATTGCTTTAAAATACTTGGGCTTAAGAGCAGGGGAGTGAGGTTAGATTGAGAGGTGGAACACAAGTGGGAAAATGTGTTTGCTGAATCTGGAGAATGGATACAGGTTTAAGAGGGCTCGTTTCACTGTTCTGTCTACTTTTATATATGTTAGAATTTCTCGAAATATGATGTTAAAACAAAGAAGTAACTTTTAAACGTGTTTCAGATAGCTAAACGCTAAATTAGGATTTAACATCTTACTTTGGATTTAACATCTTACTTTGGCAGGCCAAATACTGCATACACTGGTGTTCTGTGAACAAAAGCAAGGCATATAGTAGACATTTGTTCACTTAACAAATTTGTTAACTGCCCTACTATATGCCAAGCATTTTACCAGACCATATGAGAACAAAGATGAGTTAGACAACATCACTGTCCTTAGGGAGGAAATGGTCAATATAAATACCTGTAATAAATGATTCTTGGTGGTGTGAGAGAAGAGTCTAGAGAACAGTAGCCACAGACAGGAAATGGAGGGGGGAGCTGTCTGAATGCCTGCAATGCGCCGCTTGCATTACATTCACCCGTCACTGCTGCTCAAATGGGGAAGGAACTACTCATAAAGTTTTGTTTGTTTTCATACCACACCTCACTCTGGCATAAATGAGTCAGGATCTATGGTTACAGGGTTCCTCAGTGGCTTAGGCATTAGAGAGAGAATTTTATCCTAATAACAACCCTTTCAAGTGGGTTTTATCTTCATTTTCAGCTGAGGAAGCTGAAGAGTCAGAAGTTTGAGGGGTGGACCATACTAGAGGACTGGAAGGTCTGAGAAGTCACAGAATTTGAAGAGTGGTGCCAATACAAAGGAGGAGAGAGCTCTGAAAAAGGAGTCTGAGACGATGCTAACTGCCACAGAGAAAGATTACGTGACACTGGAAGCTGTTTCTGCCAAGTATTCAGCAAGCTACCATGAATGTGGAGATTAAAACACAACACTAAAACACTAGAAGGTTTTACAACCTGTGCTAAGCAAAAGGAATCAAACATTACTCAAGACTTCAGGTGAGGATATGCAAGCCTTAGTACTTCTCATTAGCCATATGCAATGCAGGTCAGATAAAAAAAACACCCAGTGTCCAAAGCAATAACAGCTATATTTCTTTTAATAGAGATATAAATTAAACAGGAGAATAAAAGCATAACAACAATTACCAAGCACTTACTGTGTGCTGAGCACTTTGATGGGCACTGTATAACAATACTCCCAACAACCCAGTAAGCCAGGTACTATTATGCACACCATCTTACAGATAGGAAAACTGACACTTTAAAAAGTTAGGTAATTTGGCCAGCGTCACATAGACTATACATGTCAAGGCCAGAATTCAAAATTAGTCAGGTCCCAGCAACTATGATGAAACCCACAAACCTGTATCCTTTACCTTGTCTACCTCTGCAATTTACATAAATTAAATCATATTATAATGTATTCTTCTGCTACCTTTTAAATCCAACATTACGTTTTTAAGACTCATCCATATTGATGTAGTTCACTAACTTTGGTGTCATAGAGCAAGGGGTGGCAAACTAGTATTTTTGTAAATAAAATTTTATGGGAATGCAGCCACTCTCATTCATTTATATATGGTTTACAGCTGCTTTTGCACTACAACGTCAAAGTTGTTGGCCTTTACAGAGACTGTACGGCCTGCAAAGGCTAAAATACTTACTATCTGGCCCTTTACAGAAAAGTCTGCCAACCTCTGCCATGGAGTAGTGCAGTGGTATACTTGACAATGTCCAACTTTTACAATTTTGTCAATGTAGCTTTAATTTGTATTTCCCTGAAAACAACTGTTTACTGGCTATTCATTTTTCTCCTAAGAAACAGCTCTTGCTTTCTTCTGCCATTAACTGTTTTCACACTTACGTATGTATGCGTACTGACATATGGGTGTGTGCATTACTGATTCTAAAAATCCTTATCCTTTGTATGCAAAATATATTCTACTTGTGTATTTGTGACTAGTCTTTACACTCTCCTTTCCATGCACACAAAACCCAAGAGATCTTAATTTTAGTACAGCCAAATTAATAAACCTTTTCCTTCAACAATTGTGCTTTTGGCTTCCAAAGCCTGAGGTCTAAAATACTCTCTAATATTTTATTCTGGAGGCTTAAGTTTTGCCTTTCACAATCTAGTCTTTAATCCATCTGAAATTGCTTTTTTTAATACAGTGTTAGTAAAAACCATTTTTTAAAATGTGGCTAAGAATCCCAACCATTTAAAACGTATTCCATTTCCTTGATTTGTAACATTAGCTCTGTCATGTATTAGCTTTCCACGTACTTAGAGTTCTGGTTTTTGCCTTAACTTCCTTCCATTATCTATTTGTCTATGCTTGTCCAAATATTATGCCATCTCAATGATTAAAGTTTTACACTATCTTAAAATCTTGTAAGACAAGTACTTGCTTCAGGAATGTCTTAGCCATTCTTGACCCTTTGTATTTCCAAATAAATTTTAGAATTAACTGGTCAAATTCCACAAAAACAAACAAAACCATACCCTGCTGGGTGTTTTTTTTAATAGCAATAAATTCATATATTAAAGACAGATTAATTGATACGTTTATAGGAAACCTTCTTTCTATGAACATGGTATGTCGTCACATTTATTTAGGTCTTCTTAATGTCCTTCGATATATTTCTATACCTTTCTATTTAAAGATCTTGCCCTCTCTTTTTCTATTTATTCCTAGGTGGCTTTTTATTTTTTTTACTATTGAGAAATATTTTTATTACATTTATTATTGTATGCTGCTAGTTTAGAGTAATAGAACTGACTTTACCATAATGATCTTCTTGTTGATTAATTGGCATTCCTTGCAGATTCTGGATGTTAGTCCTTAAATTTTACTATATCAATCATATATTCGCAACTTAATAAACTCCTGAATTTTCTATGAAGGTACTTATATTCACTCTAAGGAATGACCATTCTGTTCATTCCTCATAGCCCTGTAGCTCTTTGTTGCTTTACTGCACTAACTCATATCTCCAGTGCAATTGTGAAGAGGCAGGGTAACAGTGGGCATCTTTATATCGCTGCTGTTTTTCAAAGGAATACCATTAATGTTTCTCTATCAAATACTATGTTTGCTGTAGGTTTTTCACAGATGCCCTTTGTCAGGTTACAGAATTTCCCTTCTGTTCTTAGTTTGTTATGAGTTTTTACCATAAAAGAGAGATGAATTTTAATAAATTCTTTTTCTGTATATTTTAGGATGATATGGTTTTTTTAACTTTAAACTGCTTGTGTCGATAATTACATTAATAGTCCTTCTAATGCAGAACCAAGCTCGCCTTCCTGGAATAAACCCTTTGTTCAATATCCAGTATTTCCTTTATACACTGCTGAATTCAACTTGCCTAATTATTTTTGATAGTCTTTTGCTCTTTAGCCGTATTTTATACTCTCTAAACATATTAAGCATTTATCTTATATTACATATCTGACAACTACAATATCTGCAATGTTTGAATGCCTGATTACACGGTCTCCTTGCTCTGCTGATTAACTCATGGTTTATATAAAGTGTTTTTGGTTTTTTAAATTGTGAATGCATTTCTAGGAAGAAACTTTACCTGTGTCAATTCTCTGAGGCCTGTGTTCCTGTATTTCTCCAGTGAGGATTTCATTTGATTCTCAGTCCTGAGACTGAGACTACTTTTCACTAAATTCTTGGCTTGGTTGTTTTTTTTTCCCCCACCATTAAGGTAGTATGAACTTCAACCCCAAATCCAGTTAGAGTGGAACTGCAGTTATAATTTTTCGGGGAAGGTTATTTTACCCTTCCAGTGAAAAGCTGAAACAGGCAACCTTGTTCCTATGCTCCCTACCCTATACTTTTCCAACCACTGAGGGATAGGTTTTTTGCTTTTTCCTAGTTAAACCCACTGACAGCTTTCAGGGAGCTTCAGCTTTACACAAAGGTCTCTGGATCTTACTTAGCAACTGCTTGATCCCTAGACACCGTCTGGTACCCTATGGCCACCCTGCAAAAGCCAAAGTTCTGGGTTTTGAAGGACTTACAAATACCAGAACCCTCAGCACGGGAGCCAGTATCACTACTAACTTACCTCCCTGGATTCAAGATTTCTTGTTCTGGGCCTCTGGAAAGTTTCCTTACCTCTTGTCAGCTCAACGATGCATTTAAAAGATATTTTGAATATTAAGTCCAGTATTTTTAACATTTCATAATGTGGGACCTTTTTTTTAACCTCTACTCTGCCACGCTGCCAGAAACAGAAGCCTCTTAAAGTTTTGAATAGTCTGCTGAGTATTTTTCCCCAAAAGAAATGTACATCCACTTCTAGAAGCCAAAGGAAAAGCAATTCATTGAATTAACAAATATATTCTAGGCACTCAGTACGTATCAGTAAACTAAACAAAGATCAATGCATTCAAAGCACTTCTGTAGGAGCAGAGTAGGAGACAGGAAATAATAAACATAAGTAAACTAGATTATAGCACAGAAGGTATTGCAATGGAAAGAAAGAAAAATTGAGTAGTCAGGTAGGGAGGACCATGAGTGCCTGGTGGAGAGGAGCTGCGATCTTAAACAAGGTAGCTATTACTAAAACATTTCTTACTTCCCTATAACATACCACTGATTAATTTTTTTAAACATAAAATTTTAAGAAACTATGGGTACTTTCCTCCTCTCCTGGTGTGAGGTATGATGGAGAGCTGCCTACGGATTTTTTTTTTTTTGAGACAGAGTTTCATTCTTGTTGCCCAGGCTGGAGTGCAATGGTGCGATATTAGCTCACTGCAACCTCCACCTCCTGGGTTCAAGCAATTCTCCTGCCTCAGCCTCTCGAGGAGCTGGGATTACAGGCACCTGCCACCATGCCCAGCTAATTTTTTGTATTTTTAGCAAAGACAGAGTTTCATCACGTTGGCCAGGCTGGTCTTGAATGCCTGACATCTGGTGATCCATGCCTTGGCCTCCCAAAGTGCTGGGATTACAGGCGTGAGCACCACGCCCGGCCTAGAAAGGTTAATACTACATGACTCCATCTACTTCAAAGAAATTGGGGCACACTTTAATATTAATTGGAAATGCTAAAAAATTTATGATGCTATTTGTTCAAAAAAATTAAACAAATATAAAAATAAACACGATAGGCTTAGAGTGAAGCTTTTACTGAAAAAATGGTTAAATTAGCAGACTTATCTTTCACATTTCTAAAGATAATTAGAATTTAATTAGTATCACTATTAGGCAGTTCTTTTGAATTTTAAACCTAATCCAGAAGGCAAATTGTCCAATTATATCTCCTTCTATCTTTCATGGAGATGTACCCTATTTTTAACTCATTAAAACAGGTTTTTTCTCTTTTCATAAGAATCATGTGTGAAGTTATTAAATCACATCTTAAAAATATTTAAATCCAAACCTAAGACAGTATTTTGCAGCCTTATAATTATTTTCATTACTTTTCCCTTTATCTCTCAATTTTTCCTTCTCTTAAAATGTAGACAACAAAGCTAGAGCTCATATTTTATATAAACACTGTGATATAATTACATATAATAAATGATGTCTTTTTTAATGATACAGGTAATAAATAATGATGGTAATGAGGACACTTTATATTGCCTGTCAGATAAAACTCCCAAAGGGCAAGGCCTACAAATTTAGAGACAGGATTTTTGTGTAAAAACAGAAGCTTTGTGGGAAACTTTTGTCAGGATCCTTTTTTCAAGACAAAAAAGATTAGAAACAGTTTTACACAGAAACAAAACAGACTGAGTTAAGAATGTTTCCCAAGGCAGTCAAACACTGCATTTACCACAACAACGTATTACCATTAGCTGGTGGTGGTGCTGCCTAACACAGGGTCCAAGCTCTAGGCAGCCTCTGGCCAGCTGCCATTCCCTCCACTCTCAAGACCATGAGAATTCCTCCTGCATTTGGCACATACAATTAGATTACCAATTCCCAATATTAAACTTCCTCCACATCCTTACTTTTGTCTGATTACATATTGGACCTTGATTGAATTTTATTTTACATACTCTCAGATGTATAAAGAGAGCAAATTGTCTTTTAAAAACCTGAGTTAGATAACATTCGATTACATAAATATTTCTCTAAGGTTGCTGCAAATTATAGCAAATTTTCTTACTGACTTATATAAAATATTAAAAAGCTATTAAATAAAATACCTGAAAGTTAAACTATGGCACAGGGTGGAAAGTCTCTGCAGTATGTTCAACTGCCTCACTTTCTCTCACACAGTATTCCTGCCTTAGAGGTATCAATCCCTTGGCCAATTTAGTAGCTCAGCCAAAAAATGAGAAAAAAAGTGAAAGCATGGCTCCAGGGACCTTCCCCTGCTCCCGAATCCGTATTCCCACCACATATGCACTTTAACCAAAACAGCTCCACCTTTATCTTTTCTATGCATTGGAACTTGTTAGGAGATATTTGAAAATATACTCCTGCTACTAAAAAGTTTGAAAATCATCCACCTACAGCAGCAGTTCTGAAAATGTAGTACAAAGACCCCCACCCTATCCAACTCAAGGGGTCATCAAGACCCTTTCAAGGGGTCTGCAAGGTCAAGACTATTTTTATACTATGCCAAGTCACCATTTGCCTGTTTACTGTCATTCCCTCCTAAGCATGTGGCTGAGGTCCAGAGGCTACATGATATGCAGTATCAATAGACTGAATGGAAAAAAGAGGGTATGAGAATCCAGCTATGAGAAGCCAGACACTAATGGGATTTACACAAATGTCAGATAATGCCACACTTCTCACTTTTTTTGTTTTGGAAAAGTTATTTTTCATAAAAATGTTTATATTAACATATCACAAGTCTATTATTTTAAATAAATTATTTTTAAATGTCTAGGTTATCTTTAATTTGGTAAATATCAATACATATGAACCCACAAAACAAACTCTTCGGGGTCTTCAGTAATTTCTAAAAGTGTAAAAGGGTTTAGAGAACTACTGGATTAAGAACAATTAACTCACAGAAGAAAATTCAAAATCCATAATAAAAAAATCCACTTATATTCCCATCACAAACATTTATTAAATGCCAGTTTTATGCTGGGCTCTAGATCTACAGCAATAAACAGGACAGACAAGGTCCCTGCTCTCATGGAACTATAGTAAAGCACTAGGACACAGACAATAAACAAAAAGTGACAGCCAGTAAGGAACGCTCCATAAACAAACAAAAAGAGGAGTTGGCTTGTTAGCAAGTGACTGGGTGGCTACTTTATCCTAGGTGATCAGGAACGGCTTCTCTGAGGCAGGGCAATGAGAAGCAGCCTGGAAGAGCAGGGAGCCAGACACAGGAAGATCCTGCAGAAGGGCCTTCTAGGCAGAGACCACACCCTGGTTCCACTCTGCACCTCTTTCCCATGCCCTGCTCTTCATTCACATCCAACCACTCCCAGCTGCCCAATTACGTCATGCTTTCTCTGGCTTCCATGTCTGCACAGGTGTTGCTTTCTCTGTCTAAAATGGCCTCACAAATTATATAGCTGTTCTATTCCTTGAAATTTGAACACTCTGTGATCCATAAAAGTGTATCTTCATGGTTCCAGGCATAATAAAAATTAAAAAATTGAAATGATCTGTGTTCCATTCATCTCAAAAAATGACTTTCAGAACTATTTTCAACCTCGATCTAAAAGGATCAAATGTATACTGAAGAACAACCAAATCCTAGGGATTAACTTCATTTTTAAATAGTAAAAACATTAATTATTATTTGGGATGTCAGTGTTAAAACCTATGTCTTCAATGTAAAGAATCTAAGGGTATTAATACTAAGCAAAGAGTGGGCAGTTGATTACAATCAATATTTTTTAAAAATCCACTCTGTCTCCTGGTCACTGTTTTCTCCCAAATGCTTCTGATGAAATGTTGTGCCCATCCTCCATTAAAAAATAATTATCTTATAGGAAAACTTCCTTTTTTTGGACTGTCCAACATCTATGATGCCAAGACAGTGAAGAATTAAAACACAAAATTTAGAGCTACAATTAATCTAAGTAAACTATCATGCATAGCAGTGCTTTCAATTCCTACATTTAACACATACTATGACAGCACACACAGAAGAGGCTCAAGGGCAGCAAGGCGCTCCAGGCAAAATTATCCAAGAGCAAACACCATCTCAAACATGAGGTCTGAAAAGCCAAGCTATTTCCATATCCCAAGAGATGGGCTGCAGGAACAATGCTCTATTAATCTCATGTTATTCCATATATTCTGCATAAAATGACAGAGATTTAACTGACCTGAATTTTTTTTGTATTAAAATTCCATTTCAATCAAAGCTTAGCATAGCTATCCTCTACAGTACCACTAATATCAATCAAAGACCAACTTTCTAAAGACAAAGGCAGAAGAAAAGTAAAGAGGGATAAGATTTAAAGTAAAACACACCACCAGTGGCAAGCTAGGTCAATAAACACAGACTGCTATTTTAAAAATGCCAAAAGAAATCTTAGTCTGACAAAACTGGGTAACTGGATTTCTGGAAAACTGGGTTTGTAATGAGAAGAGTTTTCTATAACATAAAGCATTATACATATGTGATTGCTCTTTACTGTGGTAGGTTCAGGGATTTGTTTAGAGAAAGCTTTTACTCTGTTCACTAATAAGGAAGAACTGGAAAACTCTTGTAAGAAAGAACACCTGCATTTGGACTTACAGTGCCCCTATGATGGCTAGTGCTTAGTTATTTCCCGTGTCTTGAAGAAATAAGAGAGCTGGAAGATGCAGAAAACTAGTCCTTCTTTTCTGTCATTCTAGTAGTATATGTATACTTTATACCTTGAATGTTGATCTTTATTACTGCATTTATCATACTATATTATTTTTACTTATTCAGTTGCCTCTGCCAAACTGTGAGCTCCTTGAGGGAAAAGATCACATATTTCATTTTCGTGTCTTTCTTTTGTGTCTACAATGCCTAGTACCACACCTAGAGTACATAATAGACACTAAGGTTTATTAAATGAAGAAACAAAGTGAATCTTTGTTTAGTTTGGCTGAAACAATCAGTACAGCAGAAACCTAGGTACAAATTAGGCATTAAATCAAACAAGAAGATTCTGAGTGGTGTTTTACACTCTTTTCACACCAAGGCACAGAGGTGGCCTCAAGCAACAGGGAGTTTACTTTTAAGATACAGGAAGCATGGGAGAAATAAAACTACCTCTATTTATAAATTACATGGTTATTTATTGGCAAAATTCTTAGAAATCTTAAAAAACATTAAATTTAATAAGCATGCAAAGTAAAAGATCAACATAATCTAATCAATTGCATTTCTACAGATTAGTAGCAAACAATTAGAAATGTAAGTTAAAACATCCTTTTATAATAGCAGAAAACCCACAAAATTTTAGGAATAAACTTAGCAGTAAGACAACTTCATTGAAAAACAAAAAATATTACTGAGAAAAATTTTAAAATATCTAACTAACTAGAGAGGGATCTAAGAAATAGCTACTAGATGATTTGATATTGTTAAAATATAAAAACTGCTGTATAGATTCAAGGTAATTCCCCCAAATCCCTATTTTTAAAATAAAAATTGGCAGTTACCCTAAATTTATATCAAAAAAATTTTAAAACATATATGAAGCACACTGCAAGACATCCCCCAATATTCATGTCCCTTCCAGCAGTTACAGAACCCCCAATTTTTGCTAGGTACATGGACCACTAGAATAAAGATATAGTTCCAAGTTACCCTTGGAGTGACTAGTTGGAGGTTCTAGTTGATATATGACAGGAAGCCTTGAGTGTAACTTCACATAGGTGTCTAAAAAGGACTGTAGCATGACCGTTCTTTCACCCTTCCTCCATTCTACTGCGTGGAATGACAATATGATAGTTGAAGTTTCATTTGAGACCATGAGGATGAAGACCAGCCCGAGTCAGCAAATACGAAAGTTAGAACAACTAAGATCCCAGAAAACCATGGAGCCACCATACCAGCCCCCAGCCTCATACATGAGCTGTATAAGTCCAGATTTAGACATGAGACAGAAGTACCTCTTCCTTGCTTCAGTTACTCTTACACTAAGCCTCTGTATGTAACTAGTACCAACACCCAATCCTATGCTACAGCATGCATGCAAGGAACCCAGGAATCCCAAGCCAAACAGGGCAGAAACAACCATAGAGTAAGGCATCACAGAAGGAAGCAGAAACACAATGGCTCTGGCAGAACACAAGGCCCCACCAAGGACCCCAGCAGAAGGATTAGTGTCTCTCAAGGACTCCATGAGGACAACACTCCAAGAGCCTCTTCTCTTTTCATCCCCAATCAACTCTGCTCTCTCTTTTTTCTCCACCCTCACTTCCTCTGATTGCCTCAAACTGCCTACGAATGATAATGGCTTTTTTACTCTCCCATGGCACTGTGTTAGACTCAGGGCCTCTGTCTTAGACTGGGAAGTTAAATTCTCAGGAAGAGGGCAGAGTGGCCAGCCTACTTATCTTTTCAAGCCAGGTCATATCACAGCAGGTGCTACTGACCTGGCTGCCTTGAGTCTGGTGCTCACTTCTGAGGGGTACAAAATATGACCAACTAAGAGCACCTTTGAGCAGGAACTGTGGGGGTCAGGCAGTTTCCTCTGGAATGTGATATAAATATGGCCAGTGCTATGACTATGTCTCTCACAGTGGATGGTCACAATCTATAAATCCCAGCCTCCAAACACACACACACACACACACACACACACACACACACACACACACACACACAAAACATCAACAAAGAGATCTGATCTGGAATCCCAAACCCCACTTGAAACATCCAAGAGTCTGACCTGGCATTTTACCCATGTCACAACTGAAATCAAAATCCTACTTTAAAAAGGAAGAGGGACAGTGATGGGCAAGGTCTTCCTATAATGAGAAGTAAAGAAGCCACAACTATTCTGCCCCTTCTCTGATATGCTGACTGTATCACCTTAGAGAAGGGAAAAGTCTGTACCTCCCAGAAAGAATTTGGGATCCAATCTAGAAATTGGTATTCCTTCTCTGAGGACTTCTAATTAACTAGTCTAAAAGTGGCTTTAAAATAACAGCTAAGAAAATAATGAGGATAACTTTAATACTATTACCTACACTTGTCGCATGAGGGTAAACAATTCTTGAAGCCTTAGCTGTCATACATCAAGTTGAAAGACAGGTGAAATTTTCTATTTCTCACAATACTGTGATAGTCATTAGTGTTGCCTACCAAACATTTCTGGTTCTTTTCACCAATACATGATAAGTTTGCACTTTTCCATCCCCTAGAAATATAGGTTAGTCACGTGACTTGTTTTGGCCAAGTGTGAGCAGAAATGCCATGACTCACTTCCAGGCGGAAGCTTTATGAGACTGCACACAATTTGCCCTGCTCTCTTTCCTTCTACAATGGTGCTGGCAACAATCAAGACAGTAACTGCTCTTTCAGCTTGGTTCCAGAGGGAGGGTGAGGCAGAACCAAGGCCCCAGTCAATCAGTCACAAGACCAACAAGTTTTGTTGTTTTAAGCCACTGAGGTTTTGGGATAGACTGTTAGCACAGTATAACTTATCCTACCTTGATATGTACAAATATGAATGCCTAAATATTCATAATTGTTTCGCCAGAACTGCTAATACAAAGACTAGTTTTCACAGTGCTATACCTTCTTATGATGCTAAAAAGAACAGTACCTTAAACAAACATGCAGGCAACTGAAACACTGAAGCAAGAGATGCCTAGCTTAGGTCTAGAGTTCAGCTGGAAAAAAGTCCCTATTTAGAAGAGTCAAATGCAAGCACCTTAAAGCTACTGATTTTAAGGCTATCAAAATGTTGATAATTACTGAGGTTAGATGATGAGTATATGAGGGTTCATTATACTATTCTCTATACTTCTATACATATTAGAAATTTTCCACAATTAAAAAAAGGAAGAAACAGGGAGGGAGGAAGATCTGAGAGTGTTAAAAAAAGGAAGAAAAAGGGAGGGAGGGAGATCTAAGAGTTTTAAAAAATAAAAATACTGCTCGTTTTAAGCACCTGAGAGAAAAAAATTTTTCTTTTTCTTTTTTTTTTTTTTGAGACAGAGTCTGGGCCCAGACTGGAATACAGTGGCACAATCTTGGCTCACGGCAACCTCCGCCTCCTCAGTTCAAGCAATTTTCCTGCCTCAGCCTCCTGAATAGCTGAGATTTCAGATGCCCATCATCACACCCGGCTAATTTTTGTATTTTTAGTAGAGACGGGGTTTCACCATGTTGGCCAGGCTGGTCTTGAATTCCAATCCACCTGTCTCGGCCTCCCAAGGTGCTGGGATTACAGGCGTGAGCCACCGTGCCAGGTCAGAAAAAAAGTTTCTAAAACACTGTTAAAAGACTTTGCCAGTGCCATTTACAGAGAAGTTGTAGAAACAGAACATCTTGGGGCTACTAGACTATGAAACCATAATAAATACAGTAAAGATCTGAGACACCTGTTCTGCAAAATCCTCACCTTCTTAACTCCTAATTAAATTTAACCAGATATTTTGCATGGGTTCCAAAATTAAAGAATATCTGAGATGAAAAGTAAATTATAGCTTATTCAGGGCAACATCCTTGTTTTTACTGTTCAGGAAATTTAGGTCTAGTGATATAGGTAGGGAGTGGCAAAGTAGAAACTAAAACCAGGTGGTCCTCTGAGTCCTAATTTACGCAGTTTCTAACATGCCAGATTGAGGGACTAGCCTATTTAGCAATATCTTGGTGTTCAACTTATAAATACCAACATAAAAATCTTGTTATCAAATCAGCAAGCAAAAAACAAACAATCCTATTAAAAGATGGACAAAGGAACATGAACAGACACTTCTCAAAAGAAGACATACACACGGCCAATAAGCATATGAAAAAATGTTCAACATCTCTAATCATTAGAGAAATGCAAATCAAAATCACAGTGAGATATCACCTCACACCAGTCAGAATGACTATTATTAAAAAGTCAAAAAATAACATGCTGGTGCAGCTGTAGGGAAAAGGAAATGCTTATATGCTGGTGGTTGAAATGTAAATGAGGTCAGTCACTGTGGAAAGCAGCTTGGAGATTTCTCAAAAAACTTAGAACTACTACTTGACCCAGCAATCCCATTACTGGGTATGTATTCAAAGGAATATAAATCATTCTACCATAAAGACACATGCACGTGTATGTTTATCGCAGCACTACTCACAATAGCAAAGACATGAAATCAATCTAGATGCCCATCATCAGCAGTTGACTGGATAAAGAAAATGTGGTACATATACACCATGGAGTACCACGCAGCCATTTAAAAGAACAAAATCACGTCCTTTGCAACAACATGAATGCAAATAGAGGCCATTATCCTAAGTGAATTAAAATAGGAACCAAAATACCACATGTTCTTATAAGTGGGAGCGAAACATTGAGTACACATGGACACAAAGAAGGGTAAAAATAGATACTGGGGCCTAGTTGAGGGTGAAGGGTGGGAGGAGGGTGAGGATCGAAAAACTATCTATCAAGTACTATGCTCACTACATGGGTGATGAAAGAATCTGCACACCAAACCCCAGTGGCATGCAATATACCCATGTAACAAACCTGCACATGTACCCCCGAACCTAAAAGTTGGAAAGAAAAAAATAAAGAAAAACCCTCTTATTTCCTTACATTCTAATTCTGCATTACTACATCAGTTGGGATACCTTTAGCTTTAAGAGATCAGAAATTCCACCTCAAACTGCTTAAACACGAGGAAATTTACTGGCTCACATAACTGTTAGTTCCAGGGGAGGGCAAAGTTTAGAGCTGGCTTAACTGTAGAGGGATGGAGCTCCAGGGTCCACCAATGATTGCCACACAGTGGGGAAGAAGAGAAGTCATGATTGGGAGATAATCACATGCCACTACGAGGACAGCCAGGGTTTCCTAATCTATATACAGTCCACAAGTCTTGGGAAGGTAAGGAATTGCCTCATTAACACTTTCAAAACAAATTAATAAATTAACGTGTGTGTGTCACAAATACATGATGCTACCATTTAAAATATGTATAGAGGAAGTGATGTTACCAAAATTGCAGCAATCTGGCTTTACCCTCCTCTGCAGAAAACCAAAAACAAATATTCAGTCCCAAGAATATCACCAGCAATACCCCAGAACTTGAATCTGAGGCTAGTAAGATCTCCAGGGCCACAGAGAAGTGGAAAAACTCCAAGCAGACAGTAAGAGAAACAGACTTCTCTCTCCACAATACCCCTCCCACAATCTGCTAGGCACTGCACATGGAAAATTCCTCCCTGTCTCACAATTTCTACACTGGAAAAAGTGAGGTCAAGGTGAAAGGCCAGCTTCCCCACCAGCTTGGGTTCCCTGTTCTTGCCTCAACCCACAAGAAGCTTGTAAGGAGAAAAACCCTCCCACTCTCCCACCTCCATCTGGGACAGGCAGTGCTCTGAGTATTTGCAAGAGCCAAGGAAAACCTAGACTTAAGGCACCATGCAGTGCCAAAAAGGAGGCAGTGATCTAGGATAAATGAAAATTACAGTCAACTGCAAAGAACTTCTAAGCAAACATACTCTAGAAAGACAAGACATATAGAGAAGACTGGAATAAAAAACCAACCCTTTAATGTGAAGTCATAGACATACATCCACAAGAAACAGCAAACAGGGAATTATGGCTTCCCCAGAAGGACAAAGTGAGAAGCCAGAGACCAACCCTAAGCAGACAGCAATGTGCGAGCTCTCAGATCAAGAATTCAAAATAACAATTCTATGGGAAATCAGCAAGCTCCAAGGTAACACAGAAAAACAATTCAGAAATTTATCAGAAAAATTTACCAAAGATTGAAATGTTTTTTAAAACATGAAATAGAAATCCTGGAACTGAGAAATACATTTGCTAAACTGAAAAGTGTATTAGAGGGTCTCAACAGGAGAATGGATCAAGCCGAACAATATGAGCTCGAAGACAGGATATTGGAAAATACAGTCAGAAGAGGAAAAAAAAGAATAAAAATGAACAAAGAACACCTACAAGATATACAGAATAACTTCAAACAGAAGATCTAAGAATCACTGGTGTTCAACTGGGAGTTGAGAAAGACGGGGATAGAAAGCTTATTCAAATAAATAACAGAAAATTTTCCAAACCTAGAGAAAGATATAAATACACAGATACAGGAAGGTCAGAGATCACCAAACAATTCAACCCAAATAACGCTACCCCAAGATATAATGATCAAACTCTCAAAGGTCAAGGACAAAAGGAGGATCCTAAAAGCAGCAAGAAAAAAGAAGCAAATGACATGATGCAAAGGAGCTCTAATTCATCTGGCAAGAAACTTCACTGGAAACTACACAAGCCAAAAGGGAGTGTGACAACATATTCCAAGTGCTAAAGAAAAAAAATTACCAACCCAGATGACCCAGCAAAGCTTTCCTCCAGACATGGAGAGATCAAGTATTTCCCAGACAAACAAAACTAAAGGTATTTACCACTGCTAGACCTGACTCATAACAAATGCTAAAGGGAGTTCTTCAATCTGAAAGAAAAGGATGCTGATGTGCAAAAACAAAACATTTGAAGGTATAAAGCTCACTGGTAAAAGTAAACAGACAAATTCAGAATACTCAATACTGTAATTGCAATGTGTAATCCATTCACATCACTAGAATGACGACTAAAAGACAAATCTATCAAAAACAGAAACTACAGCAACCTGTTAAGTCATAAGACAATATAAATTACACTAGACCAAAGGGACCTAACTCACATTTACTGAACATGTAACTGCTGCAGAATACATATTCTTTTCATCGGCACATGGAACATTCTCCAGGACAGACCATCTGGCAGGCCACAAAACAAGTCTCAACAAATTCAAATCTGTCAAAATTATATCAAGTATCTTTTCTGACCGTGATGAAGTAAAACCAGAAATCAATAATGAGGATACACAACGTATCAAAATCTATGGGATATTTATAGAAATAAACATCTACATCAAAACAGTAGAAAGATTTCAAATAAACAACCTAACAATACTCCTCAAGTAACTAGAAAAACAAGAACAAAAATTCCAAATTAATAGAAGGAAAAAATAATAAAGAACAGGAAAAAAGTAAATTGAGACCAAAAAATATAAAAGATCTACACAACAAAAAGTTGTTTTTTGAAAAGATTAATAAAATCAACAAACCCTTAGGTAGACTAAGAAAATAAGCAAAAAAGGGAGAGGACCTACATAAATAAAATCAAAACTGAAAAACAAGACATTAACAAATGATACCATAGAAATACAGAGGATCATTGGAGACTATTAAGAACTATACACCAAAAAATTGGAAAACCTAGAAGAAAGGGATAAATTCCTGAACACATAAGACCCATCAAAATTAAAACATAAAGAAATAGAAAACCTGAACAGACCAATCAAAAGTAACAAGATTAAATCTGTAAATAAAAAGTCTCCCATCAAAGAAAAGCCCAGAACCTGATGGCTTCACTGCTGAATTCTACCAAACACTTAAAAGATGAACTAATACCAATTCTACTCAAATTATTCCAAAAAAGTAAAGAGAAGGAAGGAAATACTTCCAAACTCATTCTGTTAGGCTACCATTACTCATATACCAAAAACAGACAAGGACACAACAAAAAAAGAAAACTACAGACCAATATCCCTGATGAACGTAATATGCAAAAATCCTCAAGAAAATGCTAGCAAACCAACTTGAACAACATATTAAAAAAATCATTCACCACGATCAAGTGAGATTCTTCCCAGTGATGCAAGAATAGCTCAAAATATGCAAGTCAATAAACTTGACACATCACATTAATAGAATGTTAATGGTATAGAAGGATCATACCCCTCCCCGCAAAAATAAAGGCCATATGTGACAAACCCACAGCTAACATTGTACTGAATGGGAAAAAACTGAAGCCTTTCCTCTAAGATCTGGAACAAGACAAGGATGCTCATATTCACCATTTCTCTTCAAAACAGTACTGGAAGTCCTAGCCAGAGCAATTCAAAAAGAAAAAGACATAAAGGGCCTCCAAATTGGAAAGAAAGTAGTCAAATTATCCTTGTTTGCAACAACATGGTATTATATTTAGAAAACCCTAAGACTCCATCAGCAAACTACTAGAACCAATAATCAAATCCAGTAAAGTTGCAGAATACACAATCAACAACAAAAATCACTAACATTAATACACACCAACATCAAACAAAACGAAAAAGAAATTAAGAAAGCAATCCTACAATAGCTATTAAATACAAAAAATATAAAATACCTAGGAATAAAGTTAAACAAAGAAAGGAATGATCTCTACAAGGAAAACTATAAAACACTGATGAAAGAAATTAAAGAGGACATTTTAAAAATGGGAAAATATTCCATGCTCATGAATTGGAATAACTAATATTGTGAAAATGTCCATCCTACCTAATGTGATCTACAGATTCAGGGCATCCCTATCAAAATACCAAGGACATTCTTCACAGAAATAGAAAAGACGATCCTAAATTGGAACCACAAAAGACCCCAAATAGCCATAGCAATCCCAGGCAAAAAGAATAAAGCTGTAGGCATCACACTACCTGACTTCAAAATGTATTAGAAAGCCATAGTAACCAAAACAGCATGATACTAACATAAAAACAGACACAAAGATCAATGGAACAGAATACAGAACCCAGATAGAAATCCACGCATTTACAGCCAACTCATTTTTGAAAAAGGCAAGAAGAATAATCACTGGGGAAAGGACAGTCTCTTCAATAAATCCAGCTGGGAAAACTATATGACCATACACAGAAGAATAAAGCTAGATCCCTATTTCTCATCATATACAGAAATCAACTCAAAATGGATTTAAAAACTTAAATCTGGCTAGGCGTAATGGCTCACACCTGTAAGCCCAGCACTTTGGGAGACCAAGGCGGGCAGACTGCTTGAGCTCAGGAGTTTGGGACCAGCCTGGTGAAACCAGGTCTTTATCCAAAATACAGAAAATTAGCTGGATGTGGCAGTGCATGTTTGTGGTCCCAGCTACTTAGGAGGCTGAGGTGGGAGGATCACTTGAGCCCCGGAGTTCAAGGCTACAGTGAGCTGTGATTGTGCCATAATTCACTGCAGCTTGAATGACAGAGTGAGACCTTGTCTTAAAAAAAAAAAAAAAAAAAAGTGTAAATCTCATACCTGAAACTATTAAACTACTAGAAGAAAACACTGCAAAAATGCCTCAGGACATTGGTCTGGGCAAAAACTTTTTGGGTTGGACCTCAAAAACACAGGCAACAAAGGTAAATGTAGGCAAATGGGAGCACATCAAGCTAAAAAGCTTCTGCAGAGCAAAGGAAACAACAAAGTGAAGAGATAACCTGTTTATAATAGGAGAAAACACCTGTAAACTATCCATCCAATGAAGGATTAATAACCAGAATTACAAGGAACTCAAAAGCAAAACAACAAATAATCCAATTGTAAAATGGGCTAAAGATTTCAATAAAAAGAAGACATACAAATAGCCAACACGTACATGAAAAAAAAAAAAAAAAACGCCTGGATACATCACCTGGAAAATGCAAATGAAAACCACAATGAGATATCATCTCACCCTAGTTAAAATAGCTTTTTACTACAAGGACAAGAAAATAACAGATGCTGGCAAGGATGCAGAGACAGGGGAGCCCTTATATGCTGTTGGTGGGAATGTAAATTAGTACAGCCATTAAGGAAAACAGCATGGAGGTTCCTAAAAAACTAAAAACAGAAGTACCATATGATCCAGCAACCCCAATGCTGGGTATATATCCAAAAGAAAGGAAATCAGTATATTGAAGAGATATAGACACTCCCATGTTTATTGCAGTACTATTTACAATAGCCAAAATAATGGAATCAACCTAAGCATCCATCAATAGATGAATGGATAAAGAAAATGTGGTACATAGATAGAATGGAATATTATTCAGCCATAAAAAATGAAATCCTATCATTTTCAACAACATGGATGGAACTGCAGGTCATTACGTTAAGTGAAATAAGCCAGGCACAAAAAGACAAATACCTCGTGTTCTCACTCGTATGTGAGAACTAAGAAAGTGGATCTCACAGAGGTAGAGAGTGAAATGATGGTTACCAGAGGCTGGGAAGGGTAGGGAGGAGAAGGGGAGATGAGAGACTGGTTACTGGGTACAAAAATACAGTTAGATTGTCCAGGCACAGTGGCTCACGCCTGTAATCCCAATACTTTGGAAGGCCGAGGCAGGAAGATCACCTGAGGTCAGGAGTTCGAGACCAGCCTGGCCAACATGGTGAAACTTCATCTCTACTAAAAATACAAAAATTAGCAGGGGGTGGTGGTGGGCACTGTAATCCCAGCTACTTGGGAGGCTAAGGCAGGAGAATCGCTTGAATCCGGAGGCTGCAGTGAACTGAGGTCGCGCCACTGCACTCCACCCTGGGCAGCAGAGCAAGACTCTGTTGAAAAAGAAGAGAAGGGAGGGGAGGGGATGGGAGGGGATTGGAGGGGAGGGGAGGGGAGGGGAGGGGAGGGGAGTTAGATGAAAAGCTATTGCTCAATAGTATAGTCAGGTGACTATAGTTAACAATGATATATTGTATAATTCAAAACAGCTAGAAGTGAAGTCTTAGAATGTCCCCAGCATAAAGAATCACAGCATTTAATGCCTAATTTCAAGGCATTTACATATATATGTTGAAAAGATGAACTTAAGTTGTGACTTAAAAGATGTAAACTGTTTTATTACATGAATTTGACTATTATTTTAAAAGTACACATATGCTAACGACCGATGAATCCAAATTCATTTAAAAGTATTAACTAATTCATGATAATGTTTTAAACCGCATATAGGCAAGGTAGCCCAGATTGCTTGAGTTTGCACCCTGACTCCTGACACCTACTACCAGGTCAGTTCATACAAGCTGCCTATATCACAAGACTGTTGAGATAATTAAAGGAGCAGCATGTAAAGGGCCAATATCAGACACAATACAAATTCTACTGAGAAAAGCACTAAACAAACTGTCATTATTTGTCTTATATAAGTAAACTACTAGAATGTAAAGAGTCATTAAGTTATTTAATGTTGACAAGGGGTCTGGAGGAGGTATTTCATTTTGGCTGCTCAGCATCCATCTCTCCCCACGTCCTAATTTCCTGTTGGAGAATTACCTGCCCTTGTATAATCCCAGTGAGAATGTAACTCCATATGACTACCCTCCCACTAATGGATGCCAAAGGGATTCCTGGAGGTTCTTGCAAATACTATAAATCCCTACTCTCACCCCTGGTACATCCAGCATGACCTAGGTTTCACCAACTAGATGCTTTCTCCAGGACTCTTAAATCTTGGGCAAGTAACATTCAAGGATGAAAGAACAGACTGGGTTCAATCATCCCAGTGGTAATCTGTTGATCAGGTCACTCCTGCAATTCTGCTTCCTAGCCCCCAAGAGTTGCCTTAGTTTCCACTAATCTGTTCCCAAGGCTGGTTCTCTAGAATTCCATCGGTTCTGTGAGCTTCTAATTCCTTTCCAATAAATTAACTCCTGCTAAGTTAGGCGGAGGTGGATTCTACTGCCTACAACTGAAGAATCCAATTGAGTAGTGAATGAAGAACAGTCAGTGGAGTACAACATGAACATACTGTGCTGGGGCTCATGTTGGAACTGGAGGCTCTGCTGAGGATAAGAACAGCAAGTCTTGGAAAGATGTTCTAGTAAATACAGTGAGAAAGCCAGAGGCTAAGATGTGATGAGCAATGGAATAAGGTATGGAGACTTCCCCTAGAGATGTGAGGAACTATGGTGTGGAGTTGAGTTGCATGGGAGGAAGTGGGCCCACCTATATCTGACCTGAAATTTCTGCCCGGTGAAATTCTAGGGTGTATTTTTATAAAGTCCCTTTCAAAGAGTTCTGTAAAAAAATAAAGAAAGAAAAAAACACTCACTCTCAGGTATCTACAAGTACACTAGGGTGGAGACCTTTCACGAAGAACCAAGTTTCTATGCCCTTCCCCCTAACTCCCACCTCTCTAGCTCAACACACTTTTTTAGCATACATAAGGTTCAAGTTCATAATGAAACTCTATTATAGTTCAATAGCATTTAAAGGCAAAGAACATTCAGAAGTGAGAGAAGAATATAAAAGTTACCCAGCTGGCTTGCTTCAGGTTTAAAGCCTTCAACAATTTTTTCCAGGAATGATATTATTATTACCATAGCCTCCTAGAACCCCGTCTATTTTGACTTGTCTACCTATTTCCACCTTTTTGACCCAATCTGAATCAAGCTACAGTCAGAGCTCCCATTTGGGGTCTCTGGGGAAAAGAGTTTTTCTAGTTCAGGGCTCAGATAAACCCCCATTGACTGTGAAAGCCTCTTTGTGCTTTGTTCTTCTCCAACATAATCTACCCTAATCTCTATATTTAAAATCAGTATCCTAAATTCTCTCCAAACTCTCTGCTGTTTTCCTTAGTTTTCGCAGCACCCTCTCTCTCTCAAATACACATTCCCCACCTCCTTCCATTTCTCAAAATGCACCCCAAATTTAACTTTTTAAAAATGCCTACCAGCATGTCACACCCAACTGGTAATTTCTTTCCCATCTAGCTTAGTTATCATATCTCTTCATAATATTCTAATTCAGAAAATAATTTTGAGGCAACTCTCATCTGGCCCAGAAATATTTATGACTTCCATTTACAACATTAAGAAAAAATTACTAGAATAGAACAGTTAGTTTTCACTGTGTACTTTTTGATACCGTCAGGATATTTTACTATGTAAACATGTTATTTTTTCTCTTAAGAAAAAAAAATTGCCACTATTTAATAATGTAAAAAAAATTATCTTATTGTCCCACTCTGCCAAGAGTATTTTTTATGCAAAAACATGTTAACATCAGGTGAGAGAAAAGAGCATCCCTAAATTCACAATGTTTCTGTTTAGTTTTGTTTGGAGGGCAGAGAGTGGACACGCAGCAGCTTGTTGCCATAGGTTTATGGTCTGGTTACTAAACAAATCAATGCTCTTCCACTGTTAAAAGTTTAAGGGAAATCTGAAGAATTTTTTCAAGTCAGTCATCCCTCAAAAAGTTGGTACTGCAAGTACTTTTAGGCTCCCAAGTGATGGTATGATTGGATCAGCCACTGTCACCTCCCACAAGTCTGGGAGTTGCTAGTAAATCAGAACAAATCAGGTCAGGGCCAGCATCTCTGTGTGTGTGTCCCAGGCAGACTCCACCTCTCTTTCCTCTAAGCAAAATCTTTTCATATATCATTTCATTATGTAAATTATCTTGTTATTAAATATTACATTACTTTTTTGTTATATATTAAGAGTATTTTACATGGGATATTTTCCATGCTATTGAAATATCATATTGTAACAGGAGAATCTGAATTGTGTATTTGTCAGAATCTGCCTCTTCATTTAGGCCCCATCCCAAAAAACTTACCCTCACACTGACACTGATCTTTAAGGCACCATCTAGCCTCCCCTAATGAGTTGATTTCAACACTAGAGTTACCATCTTCCTCCCCATTTCCAAAGCTCACCTCAAACCTCTGTTAGCAGCAACATCCAAGCTTATAGTCCCCATTGGCCTCAATCCTGATTTGTCCTCTGTCTCGAGTCTCAACACCAACCTGCCTGTCTATACCTTAAACTACTCTTCAGCCAAAACCAAACCCAGGCATAAAATACACCACCATCATGGTCTCCTGACCACTGGGGCTTAGGTTCCCTCACCCCTGCCAAACTTGTTCTTCTCCGTCTGCAGGAAGTTGCCTCCTAGTACACTTAACCAGCCTTCTAGTTTAATGTGCTCAGCTTCCAACACAGAAGTCATATTACCTTTGTAATAAGGTACTCTTTGACACACAAAAAATCCCTCACTTCATTGGACCTTTCAGCCTTACATACAATCTCTAACCCTCAGTAAGTTCTACTCTTCACTTTTTCTGCTTCAACTTCTAGGATAGTGGCATTAGAAAGTTCTGAAACACTGGCAAGGTCCCCTGTAAACCTACACTAACTAGCCAGACCAAGCCTTACTATTCTTTACAGCTCCTCTCCTGGACCCCCTCTCTCACCCTCTACCTTCCCTTGTGCACATCCTCAGACCAGCCAACATAGTCCTTGCCTCTCTACAGAGAAATCCCACCTCATCAGACCGGAGTTCCTTCCACCTCACTTTTACCTCACACTCCCTTGTTCCTCTGAGTTTTTTCTCCTTTTTAAGGATAATACTCTTTATTTGTACACTTAATTACATTCCTTTTCAAAGCCTTAGAAGCCTTGCTCCACAAATAACTCCTCTTCTCTTTCACATTCACCAACCAATGCCATCAGCCCTTTCTCCCAAGGTAACTTTCAGGCAAAGTTATGCCAGAGACAAGGGTTTTGTCCCCTACTCCTGCCCCCGCCCCCCGCCCAAAGAAAAGATTTAAAAACTGATTTAACTGCCAAAATCAGGACATTGCACTTGAAAAATCAAGATTTGTATTATAGGCTGGGCACGGTGACTCACTCCTGTAATCCCAACACTTTGGGAGGCTGAGGTGGGTAGATCACCTGAGGTCAGGAGTTCAAGGCCAGCCTGACCAACATGATGAAACCCCCGTCACTACTAAAAATACAAAACTTAGCCAGGTGTGATGGCACGTGCCTGTAGTCCCAGCTACTCAGGAGGCAGAGACAGGAGAATAGCTTGAACCCGAGAGGCGGAGGTTGCAGTGAGCCCAGATCGCGCCACTGTACCCCAGCCTGGGTGACAGAGCAAGATTCCATCTCAAAACAAAAAAGACTTGTATTCTAGCTTCTCTGGTTTAAAAAAAAAAAATTATCTGCCACCACTGACTGAGCATACCCAAAGAGCAAAATCCTAGTAGGTGATTAGCTGCCCTCTTGCAATGGGGTGCTTGCCATCTCCAGTCACCACAGTTGACCTTCCTTGTCCCCCGTCACCCCTCAGTGACTCTCATATACCTTACTACCCTGACTCAACATAACCTACGACCTACTAATAATAGGTTCTGCTCCTTCCTATCCTAAAAACCACTTGCCTCAACTACCCCGAATGCAAGCTACAATCTCCTCCTTTCTCCTCTCCCAAATACTTCCTCAGGGAATGGTCTACATTTGCTGTCACTCCTATCCCCTGGTAATAGATTTCTGCTCTTCCGCCTCTGCTAAAACTACAGAGAGCAGAGAAAGAATCTTTTCACCCTCCTGCCTGTTCAGCAGCACTGGACATCAGCAACTGTCTTCTTTATAAGGCCTCCTCTATTGGTTTCCTGACTCTGCCCTCTCTAATCCTCCTAATGAGGAAATCACGTAGACCTCCCTATGGTTCAACACCTGAAAACACCTCCGTGTGCCACATAGATTTCTTCAGTGCTTCCTCCTCACAAGTCCCAGACATGCAGCATCCTCCTTCTCCCGTGGAACCCTGCCCACAGCCTCCCACGTCTTGCAACTCCTCTCAAGGAAAAACAACAACAACAACAGGAAAACAACCTCAGTATGAAGACAAGTACATTGATTTATTCAACATTTACTGATCACTTTTCAGGTGGTAGGCAGACCAGTAAGAGAAGGTCCTTATCCCTACATAAGGGATTCACAGTCTAAAAGGGGCAAGGATAAACAGAGAGGGGTAACATGATACATATGATGATAAAGAAAAACAAAGGTACTAAGGTGAAGGCCAGAAGAGCTTGCTGAGACAAACACCAGAGCCTGATCCCCAGCCTCAGACATATCCACTACCACCATTTAGTCCAGGCCTCCTGCAAGAGCTTCCCAACTGATCTCCATGCCTCCCCTTTACCCATCCCACCCTCTCACCCAAATCCATTCTCCACACTGCAGCAGGGGTGATCTGCTTAAAATCAGGAGCAGAGCTTTCTCCTACTCAAAACCTTTCAACAGCACTGAGAATGAGGTCTTGCATCAGCTATACCATGCCAATTTTCCTACCTTCATCTCACCCCACCCCCATCCCTTGCACCAATGGCCCTTCAGCCACACTGGTATTTCAGTTCCTTAAACAGAATGAGTCCTCTTTGCTACACAGTCTCTGTGCATAGCATTCTTTTTTACCAGAATCCTCTTGCCCATACTCTTTGTATTATTAAAATCTTTTTGACCTCTGGGTCTCAGCTGAAATGTCATTTCTCCCATTGTTTACTTAATTGTTTCTATTTTTATCTTCCTCATTAAATTGTATGATCAACAAAGACAGGATCTATGTCTGTTTAGTTCCCATTGTAGTCACAGTGCCTGGCACAAACAGATACTCAATAAATATGTGCCCAGTGAGGATGTAAAAGTCACTTTCCTCATCCGGGCCCGTAACTGTAAGTATCCCCTCAGGTTTATTCCTCAGCCCTTTCTACCACTCCCTGTTTTCATCATTTCAATGCTGATGATGCTCATCTGCACCTCCAGACCTGACCTCTCCCAACAAGATGCAGTGCTCCAACTATGAAGCCTACAGGACAGTTCCACCTGGAATCCTTCTCTGACACCTGCAACTGGATATGTACCAAGACACATTCATTAACTCTTCTCAAACTCTGTTTTTTTCCATTGCTGTTAATGGTGACACCCCTTACAAATCAAGTGATTGACTTATTTTTCCTTCACCCATTGACGAGACCATCTGATTCCATTTCTAAAAATGCACCTGTATGCTCCTGCATACAAAGTCATGTGAAGTAGTGCATTAGCCTCATTTCCTACCTCTAGTCTTTTGAAATAGCAATCACTCACCTACATGTATGTTAAAGCTTAATTCTGATTATGTCAATCAATGCCCTCGTCAAAATCCTTCAACAGCTCCCTCCTGCATTCCAAAGAACATCCATACTCTTTTTGTTGGTATTCAAAGCCCCTCTCAATCTTTCCCAAACTATCCGAGCAAGGTAGTCTAGTTAAACAGTTAAGACCATAATCTGTGGAGCCAGACTGACACATTAAATGCACAGCCATGGGGACAGGTTTACCTGTCCAGCTTTACCACTTATCTTCTCAGTGCCATTTAATTTTGTTATAAAGAGCAAATGAATTAATATAAGTACAGCACTTAGAATTGTGCTTGGTATATGGCCAGAGATATTCTAAGTTGTGATTTATTTTGTTTTGCTTCCCCATCTCCAATTATCAATAGCCTACATTCACATCTGTCTGAACCAACTTACTATTACCACAGCATAGGGCAGGACCACAGCACAAGGACCAGCTGATAAGCTGCCAGTGTTGCATCCCCTTCTCAAAGCATTTCCAGTGAAAAGCTCCTGCCACAAAGGTCCTTTCTCTCCAGGAGTATGTATACATCTCATGCAATGAAATGCCCCAGAGGTTGCTCATCAAAGGATTTCCAGCCCTGTTCAAAGACTCTCAGTCTAAATTAACCACCCTTTTCTTCCCTCTACTTTCTCAATCCCCTCACAGGTTTCAGATCAGAGACCATGTTACCCTTATTTCCTATCCCCAGTGGCAGAGCTGTTTTAGTCATCTTTTGCCCCCAGTCTAAGTAAAAGTTGAAACTCTCACGGCTACTCTCCCTATATCAGTTCTGTTACTTGAGACAGTGTTCCCTTTGCATGGAAACACTTAAAATAATTAAAATTTATTCTGCAGTCCTAATACGAACACAATATGGACTTCAATCTCCAAAGCATCAGGCCTCTCCACTATGACAGTGCTGCCTTCCTACCTTTTTTTACAGTCCCTGCCACGCATGGGGACTTGTAAATGTTAGTAAAGTGTTTACTGATAACTCACTAATTCTTAGGAATGGACAAATGAGAGTTTCAATAGTCCCAGAAATTTCCTCCTACCCTTTAACCTGAAAGACAACAATAAATTATAAAACATAATGTGTAGATTCCAAAGGACAATCCAATAACTTAGTATGTGTCTCTACCAATGCAATGCAAATTCTACTCCTTTCTACAAATGAACTGATACTTTAAAAATATTCTTTTTTCAATGAGAAGTCATAACTTCCATGATGCTTAAACCTAAAGAACTGTCTTCAAATCACCTCCTGGTTCCCATAGAAGTTTGTCCTATACTCAAGGCTGTCAATCAAAAGATTAACATACTGGAAGCCAATACTTAGACATCTTTACAGAATCAAAATCAATCATATGTTCTCTAACATTAGAAGTCATAAATTACAACGAAGGATTTAAAGGAGTCTCATAACGATTTATAAGAATTTATAATTTGTAAAAATTTATAAGAATTCTAAACACTGAACAACAAATGGATCACTTGAAATCAGAGATGCACTCTCAACTCTCATCACCGCTGCTACATCTGCCCTCAAAACAATCCCAAACATCCCTCCCCATTAAGGACTAAAATGGGCTTCACATTGAAGGTGTCCCTACAAAAATCCATGGAAAACAGCAGAGAAGTTCAACTGAATGGCTAATCACTAGTCTATCATTTTAAAAAGAATCAAGCAGTAACACTCCAGGCAGTGCTAGTCAAAGTCTAGTTCCTAGATGGCAAACTGGCACTCACCTAGTCCATGAGGAGTAAGGAGAGAGGGTGAGAGCAAGCATTTAGAAACTTTGGTAGCAATTTGACAGATAAATGTTACATCTACTGAATCCAATAATTTTTGAAATGGAAATTATATATTGTGGTTTTTAATTTCATTTTTCTTGCAATTCATATTTTACACATATTAGGAAAACATCAGCCCATGAAAAGAAGAAATGTTACAAACTGATCCTTCGGGGATATTCAATTCCAGGAAGATGAAGCAGATGTATTTTCCCTATTCCTCCCACTAAGCACAACTGAAAACTCTGAACATTACATATAAAACAAACATGAGAAGATTCTTAACTGTGGAGAGAAGAAGGCTAGGGACCTCAGGCTGCAAGGAACAATAAAATGGTGAGTTCCCTGAGACTTATTTTTGCCTCATATATCCCAGCTTTCTGGAGTTGAAAATGGCAGCAATCTGAAACCTGGAAACATTAACAGAAGCAGAAGGGAAAAAAAGTCAAAAGACCAAGAAAGGGACATCCTACTGAGACAGAAAACTGATAGGAAAAAAACCACTCTACTCCAGACAAACATCACAGAAAAAAACTGTAGCCTTACCCCGACCCATGCCAACAAAGGTCAGGTGGGTAGCCTAGACTTCACGTACTCCCCGGGTTATAATAAGGCACCCACTTCCCACACACCAGGGTGGTGTTGAGAAGGCCAAGTAGGGAGCCCAAGCTTTCATTTACATCAGCTGGTAACAAGGCACCCTTCCACATACACCCTCTCCCCCGGATATCCTGGACCTCTACTCCCACCTGGTGGAAACAAGATACTGTACCTCTTGGGTCAAGAAAGGCCAAGTGGGGAGCCTGTACTTCTAATTTCCTCTAGTGATCACTAGACAGTGCCATGTGCCCTCCCCACCAACCTTCCCCCGCCAGGGTGGTATCAAAACAAAGCGAGCTAAAACAGAAGGCTTAAGTAAGATCCAGAATCTCATAGTATAATATAAAAACACCCAGGTTTTCATTTAAAAATCACTCATCATACCAAGAGCCAGGATGAACTCAAACTGAATGAAAAAGACATCAGGAGGCAGCAACACCAAGAAGAGAGATGTTAGAATTATCTGACAACAATTTTAAAGCAGCTGTGATAGACATGCTTCAATAATTACAAGCATGCTTGAAACAAATTAAGAATAAATAAACAAAAAGCCTCAACAAAGAAATACAAGATATGAAGAAAAACCTAAAGCAAATTTTAGAGCTGAAAAATACCAAAATAAAAAGACTCAGCAGCAGAAAGGGAGGGAAGGACACAGGAAAGGAACTGGAAGACAAGAGCCCAATATGAATAAGAGAGAAATGGACTAAAGAAAAATTGACAAAGCCTCAAAAACATGTGGAATCATAACAAAAGACTGAACATTCCAGTCATCAGAGTCTTGAAAGAAGAGGAGAAAGAGGGCAGGCTGAAAAAGTACTCAAAAAAGTAATGGTGAAAACTTCCTAAATTTGGCAAGTGACATAAACTTACAGATTTAGGAATCTGAGTGAACCCCAAGCAGTATAAACCCAAAGGAATCCACACCGAAATGTATCATAATAAAACTTTCGAAAACTAAAGACGAAGAAAAAATCCTGAGAACAGTGAGAGAAAAACGATTCCTTTCTACAGAGGAAAAATTATTAGAATGACAGTGGATTTCTCCTCAGAAACCATGGAAGCCAGAAGAAAGTGGTATAATTTTTTCAAGGGCTGAAAGAACTATCAACACAGAGTCCCATAACCAGAGAAAATAACTGGCCTTCTCTCTCCACAGTTGATAGAATGCCTTGACAAAAACAAGCAAAGACACAGAATTCAACAGCATCATCAACCAACAGGATGTAAGAGCAGAAAACACATTTCATTCAGGGGCCCACAGACAGACCATATTCTGGGCTGTAAAACAAACCTCAATAAATTTAAAAGAACTGAAATCAGAGTGTGCTCTCCAACCAAAATGGAATCAAACTAGAAACCGAAAACAGAAGATGAAAGGAAAATTTCCTAATACTTGGAATCTCAACAGCCCTCTTCAACATACCATGGCTCAAAGTGGAAGTCCCAAGATAAAATAAAAACAGACATTGAATTGAATGGAAATAAAAATAAAACAAAGGTGTGGAACACAGAGAAAACAGTGCTGAGAGGGAAACATTGCTAAATGCCCCCATGAATCTAAGTGCAAAATTCCTTAACAAAATATTAGTAAATGGAATTCAGCAACATATGTACAAAAAGTGTTATACTGTGACCAAGTTTCATGCCATGGATGTAAGGCTGGCTCAATATTTAAAAAATAAATCAATACAATGCACCATATTGACAGGCTAAAGAAGAAAAATCACATGATCAGATCAACTGATGAACAAAAAACACAATAAAATTCAACACTCACTCATGATAAAAACTCTCAGGAAGATAGGAACAGAGAGGAACTTCCCTAACTTGATAAACAGCATCCATGAAAATCCTATAGTTAACATTATACCTCATAGTTAAGGACTGAAGGAATGCTTTCCCCCAAGATCACAAAGACTGTCCTTTCTCACCCTTCTTATTCATCATAGTGCTGATATTTCAGCCAGTGCAACATGGCAAGAAAAGGCAAGAAAAAGTGTGCAGATTAAAAAGGAAAAGAATAAAATTGTTCCTCTTTGCAGGTAACATGGTAGTCTGCATAGAAAATCCCAAGGAATCTCCAGAAGAACTCCTAGAACTAATAAGTAGGTTCAGCAAGATTGTGGAATACAAAATCAACATATGAAAGTTAATTATATTTCTACATACTGGCAATGAGTACATGGACACCAAAATTAAAAATACCGTTACAATTACTAAAATATAAAAAGAAATATTTACTTACAAATGTAACAAAACAAATCCAATAAAAACTAACAAAACATATGTACAGGACTTGCATGATAAAACTACACAATGCTGATGAAAGAAATCAAGGATCTAAATAAATGGAGAGACAACCTGTGTTCACAGATTGAAAAATGCAACATACATACTAAAGACGTCGATCTTCTCCATACTGATACAGGTCTACTGCAATTTGTATCAAAAGCCCAGAAAGACCTTTTTTGTAGATATAAACAAGATTATTCTACAATTTATAAGGAAAAGCAAAGGAACTAGAACAGCTAAAATAACGGGGGAAAAAAAGTGTAGGAGGAATCAGTCTACCCCATGCCCATGCCCACCACTCCCAGCTCCAAATGCTTTTTTACAAAGATACAAAGGCAATTCAACGGAGGAATGACAGCCTTTTCAAGGAATGGTGCTGAAGTAACTGAACATCCATAGACACACGCATAAACACACACACAAACACACACACAATTTTGACCTAAATCTCAGCTTCATAAACTGGATCATGTAAAAACCACAAAACTATTAGGGAAAAAAAGCACAAGGGAAAAATCTTCAGGATCTAGGGCTAGGCAAAGAGTTCCCAGACTTGACACCAAAAAGAATGATCCATAAAAAAATAAACTGAGAAACTGGACTTCAACAAATTTAAAACTTTTGCTCTGCAAAAGACCTTATTAAGGGGATGAAAAGACAAGCTACAGACAAACAACATACCCAACAAAGGACCAGTATTTAGAATATATAAAGAATAAACAAGTCTCAAAAGTTAATAGTAAAAAGGACAAACAATCCCATTAGAAAATGAACAAAAGATAGTTCCCTGAAGAAAATATACAGTTGACAAATAAGCACATGAGAAGTGTTCAACATCATTAGCCTTTAAGGAAATGCACGTTAAAACCACAATGAGACATCCCTATACACCTATCAGAATGGCTAAATGGTGACAGGCCAGGCGTGGTGCCTCATGCCTGTAATCCCGGCACTTTGGGATGTTCCAGCCATGCTAGAACATTTTACAAAACAGCTCACCAGTTTTTTAAAAAACTAAACATGCAACTGCCACACAACCCAGTAAGTGTACTCCTGGGCATATATCCCAGAGAAATAAAGACTCTGTTCACACAAAAACCTATACACAAAAGCTTACAGCAGCTTTATTCACAATAGCCAAAAACTAGAAACAACCAGATGTTCAACAGGTAAATGGTTAAAAGATCCGTAAAAGTACATTCATACTATGGAATATTACTTAGCAATGAAAAGGGAGTAATTACTGATACATGCAACAACCTGGATCAATCTCCAGAGAATTATGCTGAGTGAATAAAGCCAATTCCAAAAGACACTTATCCCATTTATAAAACATTCTTAAAATGGCAAAATTACAGAAATGAACAAATTAGTAATTGTCAGAGTTTAAGGAGGGGGTGGAGGTAGAAGGGTAGTAGGTGTGGCTACAAAAAAACATAAGGAAATCTTGTGGCCATGAAAATTTTCTCTATCTTGACTGTTTCAATGTGACTATTACAGGTCTGGAAATTGTACTATAGCTTTACAAAATGATACCATTGGAAGCAACCAGGTAACTGAGGACTAAATGAGGACACACAGATATAAATGTAAACTGTTATCCCTACCCTTAAACACCATACACTCAAGAGGCATAAATCAACAGTGAATAACTTCATCAAGGAGAAAGACCTTGAGCAAATCTATGAAAAACAGGTAGCACTTCCACAAGTGGAGGTGGAGAAGGGGACATCTTGGGAAGGAGAAGAAATCACATAAAAAGGTACAGAGCCAGAAATAAGCAAAGTGCCTATGAAGAAAGAGGCATGTGTCGGGGGTTGTGAAATAACATAAAAATGGGATAAGAAATGTGGAGGGTAACTCTGAAGGGTCCCCAAAAGTCAGGTGCAGGAGTTTAAATGTTACATACCCAGAGAAGCCGTCCTCCCCAACCCAGCCAACCTGAAGTTCCCCCACCTACAATCTCTCCAGCATCCTTTACTGCTAATGTGTAGCAATAATCACAAATTGTATTTATGTACTTATTTGCATGTTTATTTAATGCTATCCACCCCCAGTTATCTTGAGACTACAGCACTGGGTGTGGCACACATTAATCGCTCCATACAGGGGTCCCCAACCCCCAAGCCATGAACCAGTACCAGTCTGTGGCCTGTTAGAAACCTGGCCACACAGCAGGAGGTGAGCAGTGGGCAAGCGAGCATTACTGCCTGAGCTCCACCTCCTTCCGGTCAGATCACCAGCGGCATTAAATTCTCATAGGGCAAACACTACTGTGAATTTTACATATGAGGGATCTAGGTTGCACAAGACTTATGAGAATCTAATGCCTGATGATCTGAGGTGTAACGGTTTCATCCCGAAACCATTCCCCTGGCCCCCAACCTGGTCCACGGAAAAACTGTCTTCCACAAAACTGGTCCCTGGTGCCAGAGAGACTGGGACTGCTGAGTCAATAAATATTAATTGAATAAATGAACAAACAGTAAGTAGTCACTCCTAACTCTCTTCTACGAAGTTGCCGCACTCCTCTTCCTCCATTATCTGTCACTCCCTTTGCCTTGGTCCCTCTTTGCCTAACTGCCTCTTTTAACTGATCTCTCCTCTTTCCTTCCTCCTCTACCTCAGCCCAGCTCTTAACCCATCAAAAAATAAAACTTGGTATATAACTGCAATGGTATAACACTCTTCTGCATCTCAACCAATTAGGAACTGTATCCAAGAAATCTGTTACTGAAAAAAAAGTACCAAAGTTGTATGTTACATAAGCATGACAGATGTATTACATAAATAAATAAGTAAAAGCAGAAACAGCGTCAACCTGATTGTGACCTTTCATGAGAATGAGTATGGAAAGCTGTCCATCAAAGAAAGCCAGGACAGTATTCCTCAAAACTACCAAAGTTATGGAAAACCAGACAAGACAGAAACTATCACAAACCAAATATTAAAGAAACATGATGTCAAAATACAATGTAGTACACTGGACTGGATTCTGGAACAGAAAGAAGATATTAACGGAAAAACTGGTGAAATCCAAATAATGTCTGGAATTTAGCTACCTAAAAAAATACAAAATTTTTTAAAAACTATATGAAGCACTAATGTGTGATTCAGATTCAAAATTATTATTATATTAGTTAAAAGAGGGATAGGGCATGCAAGTGAGCCAGGAGCAAAACTCCAGTCAGAGTAGCTGGAGCGTCCCACTGAAAGTTACAAACAGATCTATCTTCATTTTGACTCTGGTCCCATGCTCTCTCACCTGATGTCATGAGAATTACCTTGCCTGTAACTGCTTGGGATTAACAATCAGTTTTGTTGTTGTTGGGTTTTCAGTTTTTTGAGACAGGGTCTCGCGCTGTCACTCTGGAATAGCTAGGACTACAGACGCATGCCACCACACCCAGCTAACAACCACGCTTAAGTATCCTAGCACACTCATTCGTTTATCCAACAAGCATTTATACCAAGTGCTTATTGCTTACCAGGCACTGTAAAGTCTTCAGTGATACATGGCTGGAAAAGGAAGCCACAATCTCTGCTCTCATAAAGCTTAAACTCTATTGAGAAAGCCAGGCATTTAACAAGTATTTGCATAAATGGTGAGTGCTCCCAAGAGTTTTGCAGTCTGCTGCTTAAGAGGCACCAAACAAACCAGCAGAGCAGTCATTAAACGCAGTTATCACCAGCACGCTGAACAAAGGCTTCTCAGGTTTCAAAGTGCACACAAATAACTTGAAATCCTGGTAAAGCAGATACTGATTCAGTTGATGTGCAGCGGGGCTTCACATTCTGCATTACTTGAGTCTGAGGTGACAGGGATGCTGCTGGTACACCATCCACACTTGGAATAGCAGGACTCGGAGTACCATGGAAACATCCTCAAAGGATCATGTAAAATGTCAATTCCAATAGGGCAAGGACATTGTGTCTCCCTTATTCACCATGTACCCAGAACTTAAAACTGTGCCTCATAGACAGATCGCATTCAGTAAATATTTACTGACACAACAAATGTATGTATAATTTAGACCAGGGCTGTTCAACTGTAGCAAAGAACCACATTTAGCTATGGAACACTTGAAATGTGGCTACTGTGACCGAGGAGCTGAATTTTTAAAATTTAATTTTAATAGTCACATGTGGTTAGTGGCTCCCACGCTGGACAGTCCAGGTCTGGACACAGATGTGATGTAAAGAGGACTGGACTAACAAGGTCTAGGTTTGAATCCCAACTCTGCTGCTCAGATTGTGACCTGAAAAGTTGCAACTTCTTAGGGCCTTCACTATTTCATCTGTGAAATGACAAGACCTCCTAACTCTCAGCGTTCTTGACACGATTATAAAGCAATGTATTAAACATAAGATATGATCAAAGTGACATTCTCTGCCCTCCAGAAACAGTTCAGAAAGACTACTTTGCCTATTGCCCACTTGACCAAAAAAATGCCAAGTGAGTTTGGTAGACGGGTTGGTTAGCTCAGTGGCTTTGAGAATGAGGACAAGGTCACAAATCTGGGGAGTAAGGGAACCTCATCTAGCAAGGCTGACCAGATAAGAGAAGCAATGACAATGCAAATCATCCCAATTCCTGGTAAATGCTTAAATGGGCAACGTATTGATTATGGATGAGTAAATGACATCTCATTCATTCATTCTTCCAGGAAAAGCGGAAAAGCTACTACATTACCTAAAGCCCGCTACTTCCCAACCACAAACATTTGCTAATTTAGGTCCGGGTCCTCCTCGGGGGCAGCGGGCCGGGAAGCCCCCTCCCCCGCTGCCGGCGTGTCTTCCCCTCCCCCGTGGCGCCGCGAGGGTCAGGCTGGCACCGCGGTTGCAAGTACCACACGGCCGAACCCAGAAGCCATATTTAGCTTTATTTTTGTCAATAAAACAAACTTCCGTCTTCTAAAGAAAAACGGTTCTAACTCAATGTCAAACTAGGACGGAAACTCGCTGCTCGCCAAAGCTGCCAACCAGAGACGCCGCGTGTCCAACGGCACCGGGGTCCCAGACCCGAACCCGCGCCGAGCGTGCCCGCGCCCCGGCCCCAGGCAGCGCCGGCCACAAAGGGACCGGGGACGCGGCCGCGGCGGGGCCTCTTTCTCCACCTCCGACCCGCGCGCAGCGCTGCGGCTCCGGGACTGCCCAGCCGCGGGCGATACACTCACCTCGCTAGGCGCGCGGCGGCGGCGGCGGCAGGCGTCCTCCGGGCCGGCCGCGGCGGTCGCGGCCGGTCCCGCGGCCAGCGCGCTACTCTCGGGCCGCCGTCCGCCGCGCGCTCCTCGGCCACTGCCGGCGGCTCCCCCGGCGGGCGGGCGGGTCCGGCCGGGCCCCGCTCCGCCGCGCCCGCCCCCGCCTCCGCGCCCGGCTCGGGTCGGCGGCTACTCCGGGCGCCCCGCTCGCGGGCTCGGGCGGCGCTACTCCGGGCCGCCCCGCATGCGCGCCGCCTGCCCGCTCACTTGGGGCTCGTCGCGCGGCGGGCGCCGCAGGGCGCCCGCAGGCGCTCGGGCGCGGTCCTCCCTGCGCTGCGTGCTCGGCGGCAGCGGCGGCGGCGGCCCGTGCGGCTGCGCGGGGGAGGCGGGGGCGCCGGCGCTCACCCGGATGCGCGCCCCCTCCGCTGCGGCGAGCCCACCGCGGGGCCGCGACGCTCCCCTCGGGCTCGGGACTCCGGGGTCGGGCGCGGCGCCCCTCCCGGACCGACCGCCCAGTCCCGGCCCCCGCTCACACGGCTACGGGCAGGGCCGGGCCAGGCCGAGAGGTGCCCCCGACCCTGGGTCGGGACAAAGAGGCTGCCGCAGCAAGTTAAAGACAACTCGGGCTGTTGCGCGTCGAGCAGGTCACGGGGTGGGAGGAGATGGAGGAGCCCTCACAGCGGATCGGCTCCCGGGCCGAGCGCGGGGCCGCCCCAACCCGGTCGGCTGCCTGAGGCGGCCGCGAGCGCGGGAGCTGGAGCGCTGTCAGCCGCGCTGAGCCTGCGCCTGGCGACCGCGATGCAGGAGGCCCGGGACTGAGGGAGGACGGCGAGAGCGGAGGCCCGCGACCCGCACCGCCGGGGCAGGCACCCGGGTCTCGGGGGCAGCAACGCCGGGGCCCTTGCAGAACGGGGACTGTTTGGGGAAGTGGCTCCCGCACAGTGCCCGGAGAGGGGCCCTCCCTCTGTGCCCCCTTGGGAAACACTGCTTGGTACAATTCCAATACCCAGCTGTACCCTGCCCTGAAGATAGAAGACAAAACCCTGGCTCTGTCACTCACGCGAGGCATAACCAACCATTCTTTTAATAAATTAATTTTCTACTTAAATAATTCAGAGGTTTGTGTCTTATTGCTTGCCAACCAAGAGCTGCAATAAGAGATTACTTAATATTTAAGTGGTCCCACTTTTAAATTTATATTACCTCTCACATAACCAAAAGGCTGTCCGAAAAAAAAAAAAAAAAACCTGAAGATTATCTCTGGAATTTTAGTATCCTGTTTTTGCTTGTCTACATCTTCCAAGTATTCTAAAATAAAAGTTAAAAGTTACTATTTTAAAAGTACTTATATAATATTTTGAAACAAAGTCAATCATGACTAGCCTGTTACTGTTCCACAAGGAAACTTCACTTTGGAATAAAGTTGTCATCGTTAAAAAATACTCTTATCTTGGGAGAAAAGATTGGCAAATCATATATCTGTTAAAGGACTTGTAGCCAGAATGTATGAAGAACTCTTACAACTCAGTAATAAGACTAATAGTCCAATTTTAAATGGGCAAAACAATTGAATAGACGTTTTACCAAAGATATTTAAATGATCAACAATTACATAAAAAGGTGTTCAACATCATTAGTTAATAGGGAAATGCAAATTAGAAGCACAACAAGGAAGTTCTTGACACCCACTACACTGGCTGTAGTACAAAAGACAGACAGACAATAGCAGTGTTGGTGAAGAGATGGAGAAATTAGAACCCTCATACGTTGCCTATGGAAATGTAAAATGGTGCAGCCACTTTGGAAAACAGTTTTCCAGGTTTTTTAAAAAGTTACACATGAAGTATTCTATCACCCAACAATTCCACTCCTAGGCGTATGCCTGAGAGAACTGAAGATAAATTCATACAGTAACTTGTACATGAATATTAATAACAGTGTTATTCATGATAGCCAAGAAGTAGAAACAGTCCAAATGTCCAGAAACTGCTGCGTGGATAAAATGCAGTATATGCCATACAGTGGACTACTACTCAGTAAAAGGAACGAAGTAGTCATAGAAGATACAACATAGAGGAACCTCAAAAACGATAAGCTAAGTGGAAGAAGCTAGATGTGTAAGAGCCTGTATTGTAGGATCTATTTACAGCCATGCCCCGGTCAATGATGGGTCACCTGTACAATGGTGGTCCCATAAGATTATATGCAGCTGAAAAGTTACTATCACCAAGTGAGGTAGCCTTCATAATGTCGTTGGGCAATGGGTTACCTTTTCTGTGTTTAGATACACAAATACCATTGTGTTAACAATTGCCTGCGGTATTCAGTACAGTCCCATGCTGTACAGGTCTGTAGCCTAGGAGCAATAAGCTGTACCATGTAGCCTAGGTGTGTAGTAGGCTATACCATCTAGGTTTGTGAGTATACTGTATGATATTCTCACAATGACAGAATTGCCTAACAATGCATTTCCCAAAACATACCCCTGTCATTAAGTGACACATTGACTATGTAAGATATCTAGAAAAGGCAAATCGATACAGATAATCAGTGGTCTAGAGCTGGGGGTAGATATGGGGAATGACTGCAAAGGGGCACAAGAGATCTCTTTGCAGTGATATAAATGTTCTAAAATTGGATTGTGGTAATGGTTGTAGATTTACGAAAACTACCTGAACTGTGCACTTGAAATGTGGATTTTATGGTATGTGCAATTACCTCAATAAAGCAATTAAAAAAAAAGATAACTGTGTACCATTAAATAGCGCAGGAAAATAGTACCTTTTTAATCTGCTTGCAACAAGTTCTTTGCAATGAAAACTACCTGTAAGACAAATGAAAAATTGTGTGCTGTTTGCACATAATTCTACCGTGTAATCAAATGCACTTTTCACAACTGTTTTTATAACCAAGCACATTTACCCTTCAACAATCCAAGTCTACTCCTATTCATTCCAAAATGTGTCTTCACTGTACCTGCTAACAGAACAGAAAATGGGGTAGAAAAGGGTAAGCATATTTGAGAGCAGGAAAAAACTAGATTCTTTACAACAAAGTCAAGATTTGCCAAGAAGGAATAGTTGAAAGGGCATAGACCAGGGAATCCAGAGTAAGAATGCTTTCTTTCCCAGTGTTAATCTTGTTTTTCTTTGGCTCTGCCCCAGGACTCATTGGTTGCCTCCAGTAATGCACGTGGTATGCCTGTGGGGTAAGGGACATTGTCTTTGGGCTGGATAATGGTAGGATTCAAGATTTGTTTCATTATTTTATGGATTTGTAAGGATTTTTCATGATTTCTATGATCTTACCATAGAAGAAATTAACCCCTAGAAGAGTAAGTAATGGAGACACATTGAAATTGAACAATCCTACCTGAAATAGCCTATCTGCCCTGACATCCCCTCACCACAGCCCCCGACTCCCGGAAGCACACCAGGGGAGCTGCTCCTTGGAGTAGACTTATTAATTCAGGGCATTATTTCTATCAGGCCCCCTTTAAAATGGTTGTTATCTAAATGATGCTAATATTCTTTCAGTTTATGAATAAGGCCAAATTGTTTGTTCCTGACTACCTAGAAACCAAATGAATGGCACCTAGGGTGGATTTGGTTTAATGGAGAGATGTGGGGGGGTTGCCTGAAGCAGGGTAAACTGTCCAGGAACAACTGACCCACATGGTAGGCAGGGAAGGGAGAAGAGTAGAGGTTGTTTATACAGAATTGTGTGTCAAGCACCCACTTGTGGGAAGGAACAGAAGAGGGTAATGGATGAGAGAGGGACAGACACAAACTAGCCCACACAGATGTCCAGTGATACGAAGTATGTGGAATCATGCAGAATGCAAAGCACCATTATTTTATGATTTTTTACTCCTTGTGTTTGCTTTGCCATACGGAGGCCTGGCAGCTCTGTCTTGTGGCTGCAGCCTCAGGAACATGCATGCACTTCTTCGTCTCATAGCTCCCCTGCCCGTAGACATCATCGCTGTCATGACCACTCACTGTTGTGAGGCCCAGGAACAAGAGAACGCAAATTGGATGCAGGCAGGAACCTTGGTACATTCATCCATTTGGTGGTGATCATGTCATGTCAGCGAGGTGAAGGCAGCCCTGGGGAGATGGAGGTAGCATCCCAGTCAGGATGCCATCAAAGCCTTGTGGTGATCAGAGCAGTACATTTTAGGCATTTGTGGGAGGTGGGGCAGGTAACAGTGACTAATAGTTGCAGTTTCCCCCAATGATTACACCTTATATAACTGTAGTATAATATCAAAACCAGGAAATTGACATTGGTGCAATGTGTGTGTGTAGCTCTATGCCATTTTACCACGAGTTGATTCCTGTAACTACCACCCGAATCAAGATACAGAGCTGTTATGTTAATTTCCTATGGCCTAGGTTTGCTAACTCTGACCAAAGCTGAGAGGTTTCACAATGACTCAGTAGCCAATTATGTATGTTTGAATTCATGGTTTATTGTGAGGTCTTCACACACCATCAATTATGTAATTAATATTTAACACATAGGCAGTCATCAGAGGTGGGTAATGAACCACAGTGATGGGCTTGGGAGACCAACGCACTGACAGACATGTCCAGCGGGTACAGAAGTCCTTCAGATGTTGGTCAGGTGTGGGGGTGGGGGGTCACCACTTCTGCTTCTCTCAGGCAGAGCCCGCAGTGACCGTTGCCAAGTTGGGAGATGACCTCACAGTTCTCATGGGCAGAGCCTCTTAAGGCATCTAGGCTAAGACCAGGTGCTTGCTGCTTTCAGGATCCTCTCAGATATGTCCACTGTCATTAACTCAGCCACTTTTCAATTTCTGTCAGTTCATTTCAGGTCTCAGGTGGTACCAGGCAAGAGCAGGTGTTATCACCTCAAGCCATTACACACACACGTTTAGCACTTTGAGGAGTACACATTTAGCACTTTGAGGAGTAAACAACTTCACTGTGGCCTCAATACTACTTGATAGGAGTGACCCCATTTTGAGACATTAGGATCCCAAATCATCCTACTATATCAAGTAGTATTTCATCACCACAAAGATCTCCTTTATAGCCACACCCTCTTCCCCACCCTCACTATCTCTAACCCCTGGCAACCACTTATCTGTTCCCTGTCTCTATAGTTGTGTAAATGGAATCATACAGTATGTGGCTATGGATGTCGTATAAATGGAATCATACAGTATGTGGCTGTTATGGTTTGGCTCTGTGTCCCCACCCAAATCTCATCTTGAATTGTACTCTCATAATTCTCATGTGTTGTAGGAGGGACCCAGTGGGAGATAATTTGAATCTTGGGGGCAGTTCCCCCGTACTGTTCTTGTGGTAGTGAATAAGTCTCACGAGATCTGATGGTTTTATCAGGGATTTCCGCTTTTGCATCTTCCTCTTTTTTTTTTCTCTTGCCGCCGCCATGTAAAAAGTGCCTTTCACCTCCTGCCATGATTCTGAGGCCTCCCCAGCCATGTGGAACTGTAAGTCCAATTAAACCTCTTTTTCTGCCCAGTCTCAGGTATGTCTTTATCAGCAGCATGAAAATGGACTAATATAGTGCCCTTTTGAGATTGGCTTTTTTACTCAACTTAATGCCCTTGCCTATTGTTGGGTCATGGTTTTTTGTTTATTTTTGTGCTGTCCATTCTGTTGACTGGGCAGGGATTAAAGCCCTGGGTCTCCACTTGGCCACGTGGTCTTCTCTGACTCCTTCTCAGCAGGGAGTGAGGTCATGAGGGGTGCATTGTTACAACAGAGTGAAGATGGCAGTCTAGGCTCTCTATTCAAAGCCTTTATGGACAGGGAAGGGGTGAGGTCAAATATGTTTTCTTCAATGTTTGGTTGGAATAGGGCATTTATTTTCTAAAAGTTTTCTCTCTTGCTAGGTTGCCCCTTTCCTGATCCTTTGGCTAGAGAGAACAGGCATTTATGGGTTTAAAAAAAAAATGCTCCTGTGATGTTCCCAGATGCCCACTCTCCAGCACTTGGTCCAGGATCTATGAGGCAAGAAGGAAACAGGGAACTTGGCAGGGTGCAGTGGCTCACGCCTGTAATCCTAGCACTTTGGGAGGTCGAGGCAGGCAGATCACTTGAGGTCAGGAGTTCGAAACCAGCCTGGCCAATATGGTGAAACCCCATCTCTACTAAAAACACAAAAAAATTAGCTGGGCATGGTGGTGGGCACCTGTAATTCCAGCTACTCCAGAGGCTGAGGTAGGAGAATTGCTTGAACCAAGGAGATGGAGGTTTCAGTGAGCTGAGATCACGCCACTGCACTTCAGCCTGGGCAACAGAACAAGACTCCATCTCAAAAAAAAAAAAAAAAGAAAAAAGAAAAAAGAAAAAAAAAACCCTGAGGGAACTTGTTGCCCTGTCATTCCTTGGATCCCAAGATCAATGGTGGATGGGTCCCTGTAGATCCCTAGTCAATTGTCTTCTTCTCTCCACCTTTTAGACTCTTCTGTTTGTTTCATAAACAATGCTCAGGGCTTTTAGCTATTGTTAGTAGGCAGTGTACTTCACCCACTATTCTACCTTGTTCTGGAACCAGAAGTTGAGAATAAAATTTTGAAACAGAAATGAGATCAGATTGCAGATTATTCCTATAAAAACATCACCCCTGGACCAGGCACGGTGGCTCACGCCTGTAATCCCAGCACTTTGGGAGGCTGAGGCGGGTGGATCACCTGAGGTCAGGAGTTCCAGACCAGCCTGACCAATATGGTGAAACCCCATCTCTGCTAAAAATACAAAAATTAGCTAGGCATGGTGGCAGGCACCTGTAATCCCAGCTACTCGGGGGGCTAAGACAGGAGAATTGCTTGAACCCAGGAGTCAGAGGTTGCAGTGAGCTGACATCGCACCACTGTACTCCAGCCTGGGCCACAGAGCAAGACTCTGCCTCAAATGAAAAAAAAAAAAAAAAAAAAAAAAGTCACTCCCAATTTCTTGCATTCCAATAGGCTTTCTTGAGTCAGAAAGCAAAGGGAAAATTTACTGCTAGACGATTAGGAATTCCACATATATGCTTTGGACATTTAAATGGTCTATCATAGTGGAAAAAGTGCTATGAACTGCTAGATCAGAGACCCAGCTGAAGCCTGAAGTAAGCAAATATGGAGGAGTGGAAAAGTTGAGACATCAGTGAAAACAAGCCAGAGGCACTGCAAGTGGAACAGGGCCTGCATTGATAAGGCCCAAGACATACCATTTGGGCATAAGGTCAACAAGGGTGAAGACGACAGTAAGCAAAAATAAACCTAAGAAACTGAGGCTGGGCGCTGCGGCTCATGCCTGTAATCCTAGCACTTTGGGAGGCTGAAGCAGGTGGATCACTTGAGGTCAGGAGTTCGAGGTCAGCCTGGCCAACATGGTGAAACCACATCTCTACTAAAAATACAAAAATTAGCAGGGCATGGTGGCACATGTCTGTAGTCCCAGCTACTTGGGAGGCTGAGGCAGGAGAATTGCTTGAACCCGGGAGGCAGAGGTTGCAGTGAGCCAAGATTGTACCACTGCACTCCAGCCTGGGCGACAGAGCAAGACTCAGTCTCAAAAAAATAAAAATATATAAAAAACTGAACATTTAAAAAGTCACAAAGTCGTTAATATAAAATTTAAGGAAAGTAGAGTAGCCGTCATTTAAAAAGAAAATCAAATGACATAAACTTCAAATAAAGCGAAATGGAAGAGGCAATGGGTAATCGGTTCAAAAGAGGTACTACAGAGTAAGAATGCCAAAATTTTAACTATGAATGCATATGATTTATGATATTGTTAGATAGCATTTAGAAAGCCTCAATGAAAATTCCCATGTCAAGTAGTACAGGGTAGGCAAGATAACTGCAGGTCTTTTTTAGTTAGGAGTGGCTTTCAAAGGTTTATAAGATACATTTTCCTGGCCTCTTCTTTCTTCAAGTTATATCTTTGCAGTCCTTCAGGGCAACCAAACAGTCTCTCTGAATAACAGCCTACATATTTCTAGCAAAAAAAAAATGAGGCACTGCTTTTTGTCAATTTGGGCCTAGAGGATGTGGTAACAAAAGCCACATGAGTTAATAGCAATACCTTGACATCTGCCACACCACTTGCCTAAATGGCCCGTAAGTTAGTTTCCACCAGCTCTGAGGATCGTGTTTTCACTATACAATATCCCCACCCCACACAGCCCTGCTATATTGACCTTCCCAAAACATCCAGTTCATGTCCACACACATCAGTCTAGCATTCCAGGCCCTTCACAAGTGGTCCCCCTCCCAACTACCTGAGACCTCTTGCCACAGCTCACCCATAAGAATTCTCTGTCTAGCCCTACCACTCACCGAGTCCTTCCCCATGCTCTACATGTTATGTGTTACACTGTTTCTTCCTTGCCTACTTTCGTCCACCTTTTCTCTACTCTAAGATTTCCATCCCAGTGCAGTTTTCTCTACTGTCTACAACCTCTTGTCAGGTTGATCTTTTCTTTTATCTAAATTCCTACAATTTAATCATCTGCAGCACTTTTTTTCTGACACAAGCTAGATGTCTCATCACATTGTTGCTATAATGTTTTGTATTTTAAAGGCTTATATCACCTCCTGGATGGTATGCACCTTACTTTTTATATTTTAAAGGGAAATGTGCATATGACAAACATTGACAAAGGACAGGTTTCTGTGAAATAAAAAACTTAAACTCTCTTCCCCAACACAATCTTTAGAAGTAACTAACCATTTTTGTTAGGTGGTTGCCACTCCTCCCTCTCCTGGTAGATTCCTCCTCTAACTCTAAATAATATAGTCCCCATTCTCAGTTCATCAACTTCAGATAGTATGTTTATCAATTTTTGCTGCCGCACAAACAATCCCCAAATTGTGGCTTACAACAACAAACACTTATTTCAAGCTCATGAGTCACTGTCTGCAGCTATGCTGGACTTAGTCAGGCTTGGCTGTATGCATCTTCTCATTTTGGGACTTAGGCTAAAGAAGTGGCCATTATTTAGGGCATGTTCTTCCCATGGCAGACGGCCACAGCTGAAGAGGAGCAACACAAACACATGATATTTTTGGAAGCCTCTGTTTACAACTGGCCACTGTCACTTCCACCCACATTCCATTGTTGAAAATAATTCACACGGCCAAAGTGAGAGTCAACGGAGTAGGGATGGCACTATATGTGCTCTACCAGGAAGCATGCGAAAAATCACACGACGAAGAGTGTGGATGTATAATTCTTCACAGGAGGGAGCAGAATTGGGATCAATAAGCCAAGCTATCATACACAAATATCTATTGAGTCCCACGTATCGAAGACAAGGAATAGAGCTCATTAACACCACTCCTGTCTCCCTCCTCTTCTCAAAGTGTCTTAGTAGTATTATACATAGTTCTTCTACTGGCTTACTTTGTAACTTTAAATTGATAGGTAAAGTGTTTCCTTGATCATTCAACTTTTGATAGCATCTCTCAAGTCTTCATTATAAAAAATAATGAGGCTACATACACCCTTACATTTTCATACCTCCTTTTCCCTTTCTATCTCACAACTCTTACACCATGGTTTATGACATTTCCATTGTGTTTTAGAACTATTATTATCTTCTATGCCTTGTATATAAGATGATTTAAAAAACTAGAATCCAATAAAGGGCACTTACAATACTGTAATTGCATACATATTATTTTCCATAGAACCAAAAACTTTAGTTGGACTTGCAGAAAAGGAAATGGAACACTTCTCCTAAATATGTGTAGCTACAAGATGAATACTTCAGAAACCAAGATCAAATGGTTTATCATTCATTACACCCCTGTTCAGAATTGTGCTACATTTAATTTGTTTTATATAGACTGATTTTGCTGTAGAGCTTTTTATTTTTCAAGGAATTTCTGTTTGTCTTATTTTATTATCTTGTTAACAGAAAAACAATTACCTTCATTCTATTTGTAAATTCATACGCCTTCTTAAATCATATTTAATTGCTGAAGTGAATTTATTTTCTTATTAAACACATTCATCTCCAAGTCTGACTATGTGCTTAATTCGAAACAATTGCCTTTACTAGGAATTCTTTTTATCGCTATTCTGATTTGTGGCCATTATTTCTTGGATTCCATGTATTCATCTTTTTTGATTTCCATTTTCATTTTCCTAGAGCATATGCTCAAGTGACTTTTTTTTTTCCAGAAAAAGAATTTAATGTTGACTCCTTTCAGTCTGACTTGCAGATTGGTAAACTGGCTGGGCATAGAATTCTATGGCTTATGCCACTTTCTGTTAGCACTTTGAAGCCGTTGTTTCATTGTAGTCCATCTAAACCTGGAAAATCTGAAAGTTGATATGATTCTCATCTCACTGCAAATTAGTTGTTTTTGCTCTCAGAAAGCTTTTAAAAGTTTTCTCTTTAACTTGGTATACTAAAATTTCATAAGGATATTTGAGTTCACAATGAGTCCTTTTAAAAAAGCAGTTACTTAACCCACAGGCATTTTTAATGTCTCATTACATAGTCAGCAGTGTTGAAGACGTGGGTGACATATAAGAGAGCACAATTGTTTCTCAGAGCATTTCAGTCTATAGGAGGACATTTACAGTCCAGCTAAAAAATGATTAAATGGCTGTTATATAATAAATTTTAATAAGGCAAATTGAGTTCAGTTATTCACTTTGTGTCTCATAAGATTGTGTAGAGGCTATTTTTGTACCTTCTGATGAAAATGTTAAATTCTGGAACTTTATGAAGAGGGAACAAAGTCAGCCACTTCTTTGTTTATTTTCTCTTTTTGCTAAAATCTAAAGTTAGTTTTTCTAGTAATTCTTCTCCAAATAAATATTTCAAATTATATTACAATAGGTCATTCATTTAATTAGTGACTACAGAAGTTAAAAATAATTATTTTTATTTCCTCTTTTTGACTTGTAACTAGATCACATTTATAATAAGCTTCTTGCTGGCTAGGTTTTATCTCCTTGAGACTGTTGCTATACTCTTTTTAGGATTATAGAAATTATATCCTGTAACCATGACCATTTTTGTCTGTTTCTTGAGGCTGTACTCCTAGATGTCGTCTAAGGCCAGATTCCCATCATCACAGTGAATAATGACATGAGCTCTTTTCAGAGTAGCAGAGAATGAATGAGATGTGATTGGAAATATAGACCCAGGACAGTTTCCCAAAAAATGAATAAAGTGAGAATACCATCTTCAAATGTCTTTATAATTTCCTTGTCTCCAATAAAAGAAAACAAGGAATATTCTAGAGAAATTGATATTTTAAAGCATAGAAAAAGAGCTTACTTCTTTTATGCTGAAGCCTTGAGATCCCTTAAAATCATATTTCCCAGTCCTTAGTGTGATTCAGAATTCTCCAGAGATGCTTGTTAAAAATATAGTTCTCTGAGCTCCACCCTTAGGAGTATCTTGGGGCAGGTAGAGCTGGCTCTATCCACTCCCATTCCTGGAGACCTTCCAAGAAAGTCTCAGTTTTTTGATAGATCTCGTTCCAGAAATTAAAAACCTAAAGATCTGTATTGCAAAAGGATAACTGCATGCACTTGCCAAACAGTTGCCACCCACCCCACCCTCAAAAGGTGTTGCCGTGTTCAGAAGGCCTTACAATGTTTATATTTCTTTGGGTATCTGTTAGTAACTTAGATAACTAACTGATGTTGACTAAGTTAGATGAGATAGGACATTAAAAATTGTCCTTTGAGAGTTTTCTTTTCTTTTCTTTTTGAGACAGCATTTCGCTCTTGTTGCCCAGGCTGGAGTGCAATGGCACAATCTCGGCTCACTGCAACCTCCTCCTCCCAGGTTCAAGCAATTTTCCTGCCTCAGCCTCCCAAGTAGCTGGGATTACAGGCATGCGCCACCACGCCTGGCTAATTTTTGTATTTTTAGTAGAGACAGAGTTTCACCATGTTGGCCGGGCAGGCCTTGAACTCCTGGCCTCAGGTTATCCACCTGCCTCAGCCTCCAGAAGTACTGGGATTACAGGTATGAGCCACCACACTCCAGCCCCTTCAGGAGTTTTCTTAATGTATCTTCTCAGACAAATGATTGGAAGACAAATCTTAAAGCAGAGGAAGTTGAAATCCTAATAATGGACTTTGTGTGTGTGTGTGTGTGTGTGTGTGTGTGTGTGTGTGTGTGTGTGCATGTGTCTGTATGTGTATGTGACACATATACCCTAGCATACACATAATCACACTCAGACATATACACACATGTGCACCAGACTTTTATTGTAGATATGATAATTCATATTCAGAAGGAAATGTCAGATGTTTGAAGTCAAGGAAATGTCAGATTTGAACTTCTCAATAGATGGAGAATTCAGTGACTCTGGATGTCACTTATTCTACTTTTGTTAGTTCCCTTAGCGATTTCTTCCTTACATTGACAGGAAATCTGTATCCTTTAGTTTCACCTTAACATCTATTAATATTTTATCTGACTTTAATACAGTTAGACACCTAGTTTTCTATTTTGATATTTTTTCCCTGTCCTTTCATTTTCAACTCTCCATGCCTTGTTTTAGGTATGTCTCTTTAAGATGGCATATAATGGATTTTTAAAAATCTATACAATAAATTTTGTCTTCAAAACTGAGCTTATTCTACTTTTAATTATATTTGAATTTATTTCTTGTACTTTTATGGTTTCTATTTTTCTTATGTTTTCAGTTTTTATTTCTTCCATCTTTCCTTAATTTAAAAATTCATTCAAGGCTAGGCACGGTAGCTCATGCCTGTAATCCCAATACCTTGAGAGGCTGAGGTGGGAAGAATGATTGAGCCCAGGGCAACACAGCAAGACCCCCATCTCTACAAAAAATAAAAAACTTAGCTGGGTATGGTGGCGTGCACCTGTAGTCCCGGCTAGCTGAGAGGCTGAGATGGGAGGATGGCTTGAGCCCAGGAGTTTGAGGCTGCAGTGAGCTATCACACCATTGTATGCCAGCCTGGAAGACTGAGTGAGACCCTATTTCTAAAAAAAAAAAAATTAGAGTCATTCAGCCTTTTTTCTTTCACTTTATTTTTATGCATTTAGTAGTTTGGAGATTATATACTCTATTTCTTCTAGAAAGTTTAATAATATTTATATTTATTGATAATTTATTGGTTTAATTGCTAACCATTTCTTCATGTATCTCAGACCAAAATTTTAATTAGTAAACTATCTTTTGTTCCTGGCTGCTTTTTAAAAAACTTTTTATTTCATAATAATTACAGATTCACAGAAAGCTACAAAAATAGAAAAGAGGGGCCCTTTGTACCCTTCCCCGCAGTTTTCCCCAATGGTTACATGTTACTTAACTATAATACAATGGCAAAATGAGGAAATTGATATTGGCACATTGTGTATATATAGTTCTATCTCATTGTATCACATGTGTAGATTTCTGTAAGCATCACTCAGTAGTTTCAAGATACAGAATGATTTTATTATGACAGAGATCTCCCTTATGCTACCACTTAACAGCCACACCCAAACCTCCTACCATCACTAACCCCTGGCAACTATTAATCTGCTCTCCATCTCTATAATTTTATATTTTTGAAAATATTACATAACTGGAATCATGCTGCATGCTATGAATTGAATTATGTTTAACCTCAATGTGACTGTATTATTAACACTCAATGTGACTGTGTTTGGAAATACAGCCTTTAATGAGGTTAAACAAAGAGACACCAGGGAACTTTTCTCTCTCTCTCTCTCTCTCTCTCTCTCTCTCTCTCTCTCTCTCCCCTCCCTCTCTCTCATTCTCTCTGCCATATGAGGGCAGGGAAACAGTGATTTTCTGCAAGCCAGGAAGAGAGCTTTCACCAGAAATCTACCCTGCTGGGCCTTGATCTGGGATTTCTAGCCTCCAGACTGTAAGAAAATACATTTTTATTGTTTACACCCCTCAGTCTATGGTATTTTGTTATGGCAACTAGCACAGACTCATGCCTCATTTTGTACCTTGGCTTTTCACTCAGCCTAATATTCTTGAAATCTAATCAAGTTTCTGGGTGTTTCAATAATTTGTTCCTTTTTATTGCTGACTTATATTTCACCTGACCGTTTTTAAGAGCTTCAATTTGTCTTTGGTGTTCTGCAGACTAGTATGATATGTCCAGGTGTTAATTTCTTTTCTTTTCTTCTTTTTAAGTTATTCTTGGAACTTGTTGCACTTCCTGAATTTGAGAATTGGTATCATTAATCAATTCTGAAAAATACTCAGCCATTATCTCTTCTGATATGGCCTCTCTCCTATTCTCTTTCCTTTCCTTTTGGAACTCTGATTAGACTTATTAAATGTTCTCACTCTATCCTTGATATCTCTTAACTTTTCTTGTATATTTTCCATCTCTGCATCTTTTTGTTGTATTCTGGGTCATATCTTCAGATTTATATCCCAGTTCACTTATTCTTTCCTGTAGTCTAATTCATCCTTTGAGTTTTTAATATCAATTATTATTTTATAAAACTTTATGATGATATAATTCTTATACCAAAAATAATTTTTAAAGTATAGAATTTTAGTGTTTTTCAGTGTATTCACAGATTTGCGCATCTACCACCACCATTAACATGCAGAACATTATCATCAACCGCAAAAGAAACTCCATATTTATTGGCAGTCATTCCCCATTCTCCTCGTCTCCCAACCCCTAGAAATTACTAATCTACTGTCTATTTTTATAGCTTTGCCTATTCTGGAAATTTCATATAAAAGGAGTACTATAATATATGTAGCCTTTTGTGTCTGGCTTTTTTTCATTCAGCATGAGGTTTGCAAGATCCATTTTGCATGGGTACTTTATTTCATTTTATTGCAAGGTAATATTCTATTGTATATGCCACATTCCACACCACTGTTTGTTAACCATGCTTCAGTTGATGGACATTTGGGTTGTTTCTACTTTGGCACTGCTATGAACATTTAGATGTACAAGTTTGTGTGTAGTTTTGAATTATCTTGTTTGTATGCATGAGAGTAGAATTGCTGGGACATGCAGTAGGTAACTCTATGTTTAATCAGTTGAGGAACTGCCAAACTGTTTCCTAAAGTGGCTGCAGGATTCAACATTCCCACCAGCAATGTGTGAGAATTTAAGTTTTCCTACATCCTTGCCAACACATATTACTTCCATTTTTTATATTAGAGCCACCATAGTTGGTGTGAGGTGGTAGTATCTCATTGTGTCTCTGATTAATAATTTGCTAACGAATATTTTTGCGTGTGCAGATACACACAAATTCCTTTTGAATTGTCTTGGCATCTTTTTCAAAAATCAGTAAATGTAAGGGGTAATTTCTGGAGTCTCAGTTCTATTCCATTGATTTGTATGTCTATTCTTATACCACACTGCACTGATTACTATAGCTGTATAGTAAGCTTTGAAATCAGGAAGTGTGAATGCTCCAATTTTATCCTTATTTTTCAAGATAATTTGGCTATTCTGGATCCCTTCCATTTCTATACGAGTTTTTGGATTAATCTTTCGAAATTCCTAAGATTTTGATAGGGGATGTATTTAGTTTGAATATCAGTTTGAAGATTATTGCCACTTTACCAATACTGAGTCTTCCAATCCATGAGCATGTGATGTCTTTATAGTGATTTGGGTCTAATTTTATTTATTTATTTATTTATTTATTTATTTATTTATTTATTATTTTTTTGAGACAGAGTCTCGCTCTATCACCTAGTCTGGAGTGCAGTGGCACGATCTTGGCTCACTGCAACTGCCACCTCCCAGGTTCAACCTCCCAGGTTGTAGCTGGGGTTACAGGTGCACACCACCAGAACTGGCTAATTTTTTCTGTTTTTAATAGAGATGGGGTTTCGTTTTGTTGGCCAGGCTGGTCTTGAACTCCTGGCCTCATGTGATCCACCTGCCTCAGCCTCCTAAAGTGGTGGGATTACAAGCATGAGCCACCACACTTGGCCCTAATTTAATTTCTTTCAATGATGTTTTGTAATTTTCAGTGCACAAGTTTTACTCCTCCTAAGTTTATTTCTAAGTATTTTATTCTTTTTGATGCTATTATAAACATAATATTTCCAAATTTTACGTTCAGATTGCCCATTGCTTACATATAGAAATATAATTGCTTTTTGTATATTGATACTGTATCCTGCAATCTTGTTGATTTTATATAATTTTACTTCTTCCCTTCCAATCTGAATGTTTTATGTTTCTTTCTTGCTTAATTGCTGTGGCTGGAACTTCCAATATATCATGTTGAATAGAAGCAGTGAGAGCGGATATCCTTGTCTTGTTCCTGATCCTAGGGGGAAAATACTCAGTTTTTCACCTTTAAATACATTGTTAGCTATGTGTTTTTCATGGATGGCCTTTATCAGATTGAGGAATTTCTCCTTTATCCCTAGAGTTTTTTTTTTTTTTTATGAAAGGATGGGTTTTGTGGAATGTTTTTCTATGTCTATTGAGATGATCATGTAGTTTTTGCCCCCTTACTCTACTAATATGACATGTTACATTGATTGATTTTCATATGGTAAGCCAAGCTCACATACTGTGATAAATCCCACGTGGTCATGATGTATAATCCTTTCTATATGCTGCTGAAATCAGTTTGCTGGTATTTTGATGGGGATATTTCAGTCTGTATTCAAAATTGGTCTGTAGCTTTCTTGTGATGTTTTTGTCTAGTTTCGGTGTCAGGGAAATTCTGGTCTCAGAGAGTAAGTTGGGAAGTATATACCAATTCTAATTTTTACAAGAGTTTGTGAAAAACTCATGTTAATTCTTTCTTAAAAGCTCAGTAGAGTCCAGTAGTTTAGCCATGTGGGTTGGGCTTTTCTGTGTGGTTAGTTTTTGGTTTGTTTGTTTCTTCATTTGTTTTGTTGTTGTTGTTAATAGATAATTCAATCGCTTTACTTCTTGTCTCTCTGCTCAGACTTCCTCTTTCATTTTGAGACAGTTTTGATAGTTTGTATGTTTCTAGAAATTTGTTCTTTTAGGTAACCTAACTTGTTGGCATGCAATTATTCATAGTATTTCCTTAAATTCCTTTTTATTTATTGAAGATCAATAATGATATCTCATCTTTCATTCCTGATTTTAGCAATTTGAGCCTTCTATCTTTTTCTCTTGGTCAGTCTAGCTAAAGTTTTGTCAATTTTTAAAAATCTTTTCAAATCAATGACTCTTTTGGGGGCAATACTTAATCCAAAAGGATGAATGGATAATGATGTAACTTTAGGTGACAATTTTAGAGCTTGGTTAGAAGAGTATTTACATTAAATATAAAACAGTAACATTATTTTGGGGAAATTTCTAACATTTACCTGAGAGCATTGGTGAAAGGAAATCGTATTTTACTGTCATTTACTGAGATTCTGGGTACAGAGAAGTCTCCTTTGGCTATAAATAGGAAAGAGATACCAGTGAACTTATTTTAAAAAAGGAAACTTTTGGTGATTATCTCCATTATCTTTCTATTCTTTATTTATTTCTCTCTCTACTCTTTATGATTTTTTTTCCTTCTGCTTCTTTGGGTTTAGTTTGCTCTTCTTTTTCTAATATCTTAAGGTAGAATATCAGGTTCTTAATGTGGATTTTTTTCTTTTTTTTTAAATATAGACATTTATCAGTATACATTTCCCTCTAAGCATTAATTTCACTGCATCCCAGAAACTTCGGCATATTGCATTTTTATTTTCATTCATTTTCTAATTTCCCTTGTGATTTCTTCTTTGACTCTTTAGTTACTTAGAAGAATATTGTTTAATTTCTACATATTTGTGAACATCTCCAATTTTTTTCTGTTATCAGTTTTTAATTTCATTCCATTGTGGTCAGAGAATCTATTTCATATAATTTCAAAATTGATTTTTAAATTTATTGGGGCTTGGCTGGGCGCGGTGGCTCACGCCTGTAATCCCAACACTTTGGGAGGCCAAGGTTGGTGCATCATCTGAGGCCAGGAGTTCGAGAGCAGCCTGGCCAACATGGCGAAACCCCATCTCTACTAAAAATACAAAAATTAGTGGGGTGTGGTGGCTTGCACCTGTAGTCCCAGCTACCCGGGAGGCTGAGGTAAGAGAATCACTTGAACCTGCGAGGCAGAGGTTGCAGTGAGCCGAGTTCGCGCCACTGCACTCCAGCCTGAGCGACAGAGCGAAACTTCATCTCAAAGAAAAAAAAAATTACTGGGGCTTGTTATATACCATAGCATAGGGACTGTTCTGGAGAATATTCCATGTGCACTTAAGAAAAATGTATACTCTGCTGTTATTGAATGGAATGTTCTATTTGTGTCTGTTAGGTCTTGTTGGTTTATATTGTACATCATCTTTCTTTTATTGATCTTCCTCATTCTTGAAATATTATTTTTTATTTCTAGAAAATCTTTTGGTCCTTTAAAATTATGCTTGGTTACTTTTAGTTAGTTATTTCTCTCTAGTTTAATTTTGACTCCCCCTTTTTAAATTTCTATATACCCACTAAACAAGCTTATTTTATAATTAGTATCTATTTAATTCCAGTAGTTGGCATCTTTGTAGATTGAGTATGCTATCTGCTATCACTCATTACCTTGTTTGTTGTTGTTGTTTGTTTGTTCGTTTGCTTTGAGATGGAGTCTCGCTCTGTCGCCCAGGCTGGAGTGCAGGGCAGTGACACGATCTCGGCTCACTGCAACCTCCACCACCCAGGTTCAAGTGATTCTCCTGCCTCAGCCTCCTGAGTAGCTGGGACTGCAGGCGCACGCCACCATGCCTAGCTAATTTTTGTATTTTTTAGTAGAGATGGGGTTTCACCATGTTAGCTAGGATGGTCTTGATCTCCTGACCTCGTGATCCACCCGCCTCGGCCTCCCAAAGTGCTGGGATTACAGGCATGAGCCACCGCGCCCAGCCTCATTACCTTGTTTTGCATATATTCTATAATATTTGACAGAGAGCTCCTATTCTTTGGAACTTTGAGGCTTCAATTTAAGGTATTTTCTTTCATGAAAGATTTGGTTTGCTTCTGCGGATGCTTGAGATTACTCTAAATTTTCAAACTGAGATTTTTAAAACCTAATGAGTAGTTTGAATTCAGGCCAAAACCCATATGAGGCCTGCTTAGGATTACACATTATCAGGGCTGCATTTTTCCTCCTTCACTCAATGTCAAAGTTAAGACAGGCAAGTTTCCTTACAATTTTTTTCTTTAGGGTTAATTTATTTGCAATCTATCATTATGCTGCCACTATACCCCTTGTGTTTCTAACTTTATGCAGGGATCTCCTTTTAGATTCTGCACTTTGGGCGGGTCTTGGATTTTAGCTCCTGTTTGTCATAGCACGAAGGACCATCTAATGAAAACTCAGGGTCACCATTGCTGGGCAAATGGCCTCAAGATGAAAGCCAATCTCAGTGCTATCTTTCATATCTGGATTTCAACATTTATTTCATTTTGACCTGTGAGGCTTCCTTACTGCCTTGCAAGCTCAGTGCTACATTTATAAGTACATGTATTTTATTTTAAAATTTTTTTGTGGAGATGGGGGTCTTGCTATGTTGCCCAGGTTGCTGATCTTGACCTCTGAGCCTCAAGCTATCCTCCTGCCTCAGCTCCCAAAGTGCTGGGATTACAGGCATGAGCCACTGTGCCCAGCCAAGTGCATATATTTTAAATTTTTATTCAGCAGGTTTAGTTGTTTTCTGGGGAAGAGTTATTTATGTTTTATACATGTCTGTTAAGTCTAGTTGGTTTATAATGTTGTTGAAGTCATCTTTTTAAATAGATCCTCTGCCTAATTCTTGAAATATTATATTTTCCATTTCTAGGACTTCTTTTTGGCCTTTAAAATTATTCTTGGCTTTTTTTTGGGGGGGGGGGAGGATGGAGCCTTACTCTACATCCAGGCTGGAGTGCAGTGGTGTAATCACGGGTCACTGCAGCCTTGACCTCCCGGGCTTAAGTGATTCTCTTGCCTCAGCCTCCCAAGTAGTTGGGACTACAGACATGCACATGCCACCATGCCCAGCTAATTTTTTGATTTTTTTGTAGAGATGGGATCTCTCTATGTTACCTATGCTGACCATGAAGTCCTGGACTGAAGTGATCCTTCCACCTCGGCTTCCTCAAGTGCTGGAATTACAGGTGTGAGCCACCATGCCTGGCCTGGTTGATTTTTGTTTTGGTGCTGTGGGAGGAATGCCTGCCTTGGAGGAAAGAAAGATCTGCATTTTTTTCCCTAATTAATTTTATTTTATTGTGGTAAAGACATTAAATTCACTCTTTTAATAATATTTAGAGCATACAAAATGGTATTGTGGTATTGTTAACTATAAGCACGATGTTCCACAAATCTCTAGAACTCATTGATCTTGCATAACCCAAACTTTATGCCCATTGATTGCTGGCCTGTTTGTTTTTTTTTTTTTTTCCAGAAGGAGTTTTGCTCTTGTCGCCCAGGCTGGAGTTCAATGGCATGATCTTGGCTCCCTGCAATCTCTGTCTCCCAGGTTCAAGCGATTCTCCTGCCTCAGCCTCCTGAGTAGCAGGGATTACAGGTGTGCATCACCACACCCAGCTAATTTTTGTATTTTTAGTAGAGATGGGGTTTCACCATGTTGGCCAGGCTGGTCTCAAACTCCTGGTCTCAGGTGATCTGCCCGCCTCAGCCTCCCAAAGTGCTGGGATTACAAGCATAAGCCACTGTGCCCGGCCTGGCCTGGTTCTTTTTATTTAGCTCTCTGTCTCTAGTCATATTTTATATATATGACTAGAGAGTATGATGGCCAGTAGTATGATAATGTGGTGCAGTGTGTTCTGTACATGTATCAAACATACAAGTACAGAACGTATCTAAAGTAACTGCTCTACACTGCCCTATACTATAAACTAGTCCTCAAAAGCGTAGCAAGTTCTACAGTTTGGAGAAATTTGCACATTAAAAAGTTGCCACTTTTAACTACCTTCTTTTATGCATTGATAGTTTATGCATTGATAGTCAGAAAAGGTCCCCCTTTAAGAGAAGATGCTTGGGGCCTAACCATTCTCACTGTTCACACTTATCTCCTCTACTCTTGAGATCATCCAGTCTCCTTGACACTAAGAAAAGAGTGTTCTCAAAGCAGACAGCAGCAGGAGGAACCAATGTGTGAGGACAAACAACAGGAGCAAAGTGCCAAGCTGAAGCTTAGGAGCAGGTGGATAGTCAGATAAAAGAGTGGAGTGGAGTGTGAGAGCCAGATGGAAGGGTCATGGCCATAGCCATGTAGGGTAGGAGTGCCACAGAACAGACCTCCAATATTTGAGATCAGTTTCAAGTCACCTCTGGTCCTTCTCCAGGACATGCCTCTCTATCTTTCACACTGTGGCATGAAACTGCCACTTCAGATGTTGCTAGCAGAGCCATACCCTCCAGTCACTCCATTAATGCAGTCAGCCAGAGCTGCTCTAGCTTTGCCCTGTTGATTCATTTTGAGCTGTCACCTAAAACACCCCAATTCTTTTCCATAGCTAAAACAAATTCATTTTTCTCCCATTTTTTACCTAGTTGCATGGAGTTTTGTTTTTGTTTTGTCTGTTTTTTAAAAAAAAATTTGAGTTCACGAACACACATTTATCACTTCACCTTGTTAGATGCAGCCTGCCATTCTAGGCAGCAAGAGGTTTTGGCCCAATTCTGTCTTCATTAGCTTTTACTATCTTTCTTGGTTTCATGTCATCTGTCAATTTTATGAGTACTTCACTGTGTATACATCTAAATCACTGATAAAAATATTGAGCCAGATCAAGGCACACCTCTTGAAGTTTCCTTTGAAGCTGATATTGATGCATTACTCAATACCCTTTGGGTGTGATTGCTCAACCAGTTATTATTCCACCTAGTTGTACTTGTACCCAGGACAAATCTGCATGGTTGTCATGTATCTTTTTCTCAATAGCTTTTTGGTAAGTACACATTTTACTGACCTACCAGCATAGAAACCATCTCAAAAGAGTGAAACCAAGGCAAGTTTAACAAAACTTGTTCTTGGTGCATCCAGTTTAGAACCTAGCGATTCCCTGGATCCTTGATTATTACAGAGCTGCCGTAACAACCAGCGGTGCCTAACCAGTGTTTATGTGTTAGAGAAATAAACTTCTATTTTGCTTAAGCGCCTGTATTTAGGTGTCCTTTTTACAGCTGCCTAACTAATATAGTATATTAGCGCACAACCAAGACAGAAAGGAAGGAAGGGAAGGGCATGCTCTTTCCTCCAATATGAATAACCCAGGAATTTCACACATCATTTTTTGCTCTTATTTCATTGGCCAGAACATATAACTGAAAGTGAGGCAGGGAAATGATCATCTCCATTTAACTCATCTTAGTTTGCCCAGCTCTTTTCAGGTTTTAGCACCAGAGTTCTGCATCTTGGGAACCCCCTTAGTCCTGGGTAAATAGGGGGATGGTTGGTCACCCTACATCCAGCTAAAATTTGTAGGTTTTAAAGAGAGAAAGGAGAAATGGATATTGATGGACCACTAGATCCCTTCCTCAGTCTCCATCCAGTTTGTCTTGTGAGGCTGCTATTTTTTTCTGCTTGAGGGACTGCTTTTCTTCATCTCACCCTGAAGGTACTTCTCCTGAAAATAGAGGACTAAAGCAAAAAAGATGATGAAGAGGCTGGGCGCAGTGGCTTACGTTTGTAATCCCAGCACTTTGGGAGGCCGAAGCGGGTGCCATCACCTGAGGTCAGGAGTTTGAGATCAGCCTGGCCAACACAGTGAAACCCCATCTCTACTAAAAATATAAAAATCAGCTGGGCATGGTGGTGGGCGCCTGTAATCCCAGCTACTCGGGAGGCTGAGGCAAGAGAATCGCTTGAACCCAGGAGACAGAGGTAGCATTGAGCCGAGATTGCGCCACTGCACTCCAGCCTGGGTGATAGAGCTAGACTCCGTCTCAAAAAAAAAAAGATGATAAAGAATCTTCCTTGTACTTATAATTTGCCAACTTCCCATCTATTATCCGTGCTTCTCTTGGCTGTGAACATTTATTTAAGGCCCTTTTGATGATCTTGGAATTAAAAAAAAAAGACAATTCACAAAATAATACATAAAAATGGCTAATAAGAACATAATTAGATGCTTAACCCGACTAAGAATGAGGAAAATGCATATTTAAAAACCCACAATGAGGCTGGGCATGGTGGCTCACGCCTGTAATCCCAGCAATTTGGGAGGCCAAGGCGGGCAGATCACTTGAAGAGTTCAAGACCAGCCTGGCCAACATGGTGAAATCAATTTAGCTGGGCATAGTGGCGAGCGCCTGTAGTCCCAGCTTATCAGGAGGCTGAGGCACAAGAATCGCTTGAGCTCAGGAGGTGGAGGTTTCAGTGAGCCAAGATCTTGCCACTGCACTCCAGCTTGGGTGACAGAGTAAGACTTTGTCTTAAAAAAAAAAAAAAGAAAAAAAAAAACCCACAATGAGATCCCGCTACACATTGATTAGAATGACTACAATTTATAAAGAATAATAATAGCAAATATTGGTGAAGATGTGGTGCAACTGGCATTTTCATAAACTGCTGTTGAGTTTATAAAATGCTACGCCACCTTTGAAGACAGGTTGGCAGTATCCTAAAAAGTTAAACATACACCTACCATATACTCAGCCATTCCACTCCTAGGTTATTTGTCAAAGAAAAATAAAAGCTTATGTTCATACAAAGACTTGGTCACAAATGTTGATAGCAACTTTATTTATAACAGCCATAAACCTATAAGCAACCCAAATGTTCTTCAACAGATGAATGGATAAATTGTGGTATATCCAATACAATAGGATGCTACTCAGCAATACCAAGGAACAACCTCTGATGCAATCAAAAACATGGATAAATCTCAGAATCATTAGGCTGAATGAAAGAAGTCAAACCACAAAATAAAGAGCACTTATCGTATAATACCATGTGCATAAAATTCTAGAAAACACAAATTAATGTATGGTGACAGAAAATAGATCAGAGGCCAGGTGAGGTGGCTCATGCCTCTGTTCCCGGTGCTTTGGGAGGCCAAGGCAGGAAGATTGCTTGAGGTCAGAAGTTTGAGATCAGCCTAGGCAATCTAGTGAGACCTCATCTCTACAAAAAGAAATAAAGTTTTTATATATATATACACACACATGAATATATTGGCCGGCTGTGGTGGAACATGGCTGTAGTCCAGGCTACTCGGGAGGCTGAGGTGGGACATCACTGGAGCCCAGGAGTTCAAGGCTGCAGTGATCTATAATTGCACCATTGTACTCCAACCTGGGCAACAGAGAAAGAGCTTGTCTCTAAAAAGAAAGACAGAAGAGAAAAGAAAACAAACCAAGAAGTTCTTTTGGGGAGGGATGTATTATAGAGGGACGTAGGGCTATAACAAAGTATCTCCATTTTTCTAAGAGATAGTTTAATTATTTTTAATTATTTTTTCTTCTTTTCTTATTTCCCCTCCCTCCCCCATTCCCAGATTCCTACTTAGCCCTTTAGAAATGCAACTATAACCTTTCACCTCCCCCTCAACAGACAGTCCTTATGGGGCAAGTTCATCTAACTATCTGCTCCAAGACAGATCTCCTTGAAAGTTGGCAGTCAATTTGCAGACCAAAGCATACTTACCTAAGAACTTTCACCCTCCAGGCAGTGGGGGTCACCTCAGAACTCACACCCACCAAGAGGGCTTGTCAAAAGCATGCCCACTTGTCCACTTTTACCACTTACCCCTGTCCTGGAAGGCACCAACTCAACTGCCCAGTAGATAAGGCAACAAGCTAGCAGGAGAACTCTTTGCTCTTGCTCCCTCCCTCCCCTGCCTTATAAAAGTGTCCACTTTATGCTCCAGAATTGAAGCAGCACATTTGTAGGTTGAATGGACATTTGTGCTACCTCCCCAAGCTAGGTTCGGAATAAACCACTCTGTACCAGACCTTGCTCTTGTTAACTGGACTCTGCATGCAGCAAGCAACTAACCTGCTGTCCGGTTATAAGGCAACTTTCAGGGGTGAAGAAAATGTTCAGTATCTTTATTTTGTGATTCTTAATTTTACATTTTAAATTTCTGTAGTTTATACCTTAACAAAGTAATTTTAAGAAAGTGAACTGGTTTTGGCAAAACTAAGCTATAGTGGTTAGCTTTGGAGGAGTTGGGGGTGACTGGAGTGCCTGAGGAGCCGGGAAGATGTTTCTGGGAATGCTGACAATGTTTTGGTTTTTTATCTGGGTGCTAGTTACATAGATGTGTTGAGTTTGTGAAAACAAATTGAGTGGTACAATTGTGCTTGCTGTGCCTTTAGGAATGAATGTTATAGTTCAATAAAAATGTTTACTTTAAAAAAATCAAGCTCCATCTCCTTTTATGTATTATTTTTCCTGATATCATTCTTACACGTCTGTCTAAGCCTGTAAAGTCTTCCTTGGTTTAATCCCTTTTTTTCATCTTCTATGCATTTTTTTTTAAAAGACTGCATATCAGAGCTTTCAAGGAACAATACAATTTTCTTGCAGTTATGACCTTATTTTCTCAGTAGAACAACTTATTCTATTTAATTATATATATCCATTATACTGGGTTGGAAAAGCAGTTTGAGGTTGTAGACTATAAGCTCCTTGAGAGATTGTTGGAATCCAACACCTATAATAGTTCCTGGCACATCTTATGTGCTTGATAAATAGCTGTTCACTTCATCAAGGTTGCTGCATATCTTCTTAATAAGCTACCTAATATGTGTTTCTTTTGAATAAAATACACCCTCCCATCATATTTGACTTTTCAATCTCATCATATAGTCTTAGTTAATTAAAACTGTGAATTTGGCCGGGTACAGTGGCTCATGCCTATAATCCCAGCACTTTGGGAGGCCAAGGTGGGTGGATCACCTGAGGTCAGGAGTTGACCAGCCTGGTCAACATGGCAAAACCCCATTTCTATTAAAAATACAAAAATTAGCCAGACATGGTGGCGCACGCCTGTAGTCCCAGCCATTTGGGAGGCTGAGGCAGGAGAATCACTTGAACCTGGAAGGCAGAGGTTGCAGCGAGCCAAGATCGCACCATTGCACTCCAGCCAGGATGACAAGAGTGAAACTCTATCTCAAAATAAATAAATAAATAAATAAATAAATAAATAAATAAATAAATAAATAAATTGACCTGAGTGGCCAGTCCCTGCACATTGGAGAAGCTGAGGCCATAAGCATGTTCTCAACCACTTTCCTCATGAGAGTCATGGGAATCTCCTACCCTCTTATTCCTCCTCCATGCCATACTTTTTTTCCCTCCATCCTTCTCCACATTTTGTGTCAAAAATTCTTGTGTACCGTTTCAACTTTTTTCAAGTGTGTGTAGGTTACTTTATTTATTGTTTAACATTAAGATTTATTCTGCACGGTGGACTTCTGAATCATTTTATTTTCATCTTCATACATTTCTTGTGAAAAAACAACCCCCCAAACTAATATATATTTTTAAAATCCTCCTGAGCAGATTAGTCAGTCTCTGACCAAGAGTCTTCTTCCCTATCTTTGTGGGATCCACTTTATCTCTCATTAGGAAATTCTCATTCCAGCCCTTTATGCTAAGGTCCAAAATGCCAAATGGCCTCATACCTGCTAGTAAAAAACTATTTCCCTCCTATATTTCTCTCTCAAAGTCCCTGTGGCATAATGAGAAATGTGTATGTGTCTCTATCCCCCAGTTTCTGGGACAGAGCTTCTAAAACTCTTGTAACTTCCCAAGTGATGGGAGCATCTTTGGTATCAAATTTGATCTTAGTCTCCAGTTCTTGGCACAAGAGTTTCTAGGACACTTGAAATCTCTGAATGATGAGTGTCACTTTGAATATTAATGAAATGGCTGGTAGCAGAAAGCTTTTAGATGCCTTCAGGGTGGGGCTAATTGCCAGAAGAACCAATCATGTGATTAGAAGGTTGGAACTTTCAGCCCCACCCCTTTACCTCCAAGGAGGGGAGAGGGGCTGGAGATTGAGTTTAATTACCAATGGCCAATTACTTAACCAATCATGCCTACATGACGCAACCTCCATAAAACCCTAAACAATAGGATTTGAAGAGCTTCCCGGTTGAATACATCCACATGCAGGGAGGGTGACTGAACCCCCAACTCCATGGGGACAGAAGCTGCTGTGCTTGGGAATCTTGCGACCTTGCCCTATGTACATCTTCATCTGGCTGTTCATGTGTCCTTTGTAATATCCTTTAGAATAAGCCCATAAACCCAAGTAATTATTTTTCTTACAAAATTTTATACAAATACAAATATTTCTTTAGCAAATGATTGAACCTGAAAAAGGGATGCGGAATTTATTTACAGTTGGTTGGTCAGAAGTACAGGTGACAACTTGGGACTTGTGACTGGCCCCTAAGGTGGGACTGAGCCCTTAAGCTGTTGGATCAGATGCTACCTCCAGGTAGGTAGTGTCAGAATTAAATGGAATTGAATTGTAGGACACCAAGTTGGAGTCTGAAGAAGTAATTGTTGCGTGCAAAAAAAAAAAAAACAAAAAAAAAAAAACCACACACACAGTTCCCATAGACAGTTTGGAATAAAGAGCAAAAGTATGGTTTATATTCCTCACGCCTTCAATTTTCTGCCTAATAATTTACAAATATTAAAAATTCTTTGTGGTTCCTTTTAAGCAGTGCCACTTGTCTTTCTATAAATCAGCATATGTGAAGATCTATAAGTGGTTCTGAGATAAAGCTTACTCAATTCTGTCCCACTAAGAAGGTGGCACAGGCCCTTGGTCATGCCTGTATCTATCACTGCATGTGCATATCTATCTATCTATCTATCTATCTATCTATCTATCTATCTATCTATCTATCTATCTCTGTCTATCTATCCATCCATCCTGTGTTTCTTTTCCAGAAGATTTTGTAGATGCTCCTTCAGTTATGTTTCTCCAGTACTCGCTGGCTTTTTCTCTTTTTTCTCTGACATCTTTTGGTTCTAGTCAACAACATTTGATTCAGGTTTTATTTCTATTCACTTTCTCAGAATTTTACATTCCCAGTTTCTTTTCTTTCTGGAGAGTATATTATTTCTTCCAATATGTCTAGGAATTTTACCTCTTCTCTCTAGTGGCGTCAAAATAATATAAAATCAATACTTTGACAGGAAAAACATGAATTCAGAAACATGAGTATCCCCTTTAAGTAGGGAATAGGCTTTTGATTAAGGGGCAACGAGGAAGCAATCTCATGGCTCTTTGTTTATTCAGGTGCAGTACAGTAAATTGCCTCTGCTCCAGAATATTTCCAATGCTGGTGAGTTACACAGCTCATTTCAAAGTTAGCTTGGGTGGACTAGGATCAAAGGTCTAGGCAGACAGTATTTTGCTATGTTCTTATTTTCCCTCTTGGATTCCATTCACTTTTCGCTTATAGTCACTCAAAGTCCAAGGAGATAAGAACACTCTGATGTGTTACAGAGTCTGCCTTTATCTTTCAACATGAAACCCTCACCTCCATGCATATACCTCTAGGTTTGTGAACAATATCTTAGGTAACCTCACAAAGCCCTAAACATACTAGAGTAGAAGGCAGTGGAGTGGCTGCTAGCTTGAACCTGGCTTTGAATTTCTAGTGGCCATGGCCTATGAGTGAATAAGAGCCACCTACAGGCATGTGCCAAGATGAGAGTGGAGAGAGAACCCACTGCTGTTATCTTCGAGGCCTGCTCTGTCTCGTCATAAATTATTTACTTTAGCCTAAACATTCTTATTTTATATTTCTTTTTTCTTAAACTTTTTTTTTTTAGCAAAACAGGGTCTTGCTGTGTTGCCCAGGCTGAATTGTAGTGGCTATTCACAAGCACAATCATAGCTCACTGCAGCCTTGAACTCCTGGGCTCAAGTAATCTTCCTCCTCAGCCTCTTGAGTGACTGGGACTACAGGCATGAGCCACTGGGTTTCTGTCACTAGTAACCAAAGAAACCCTGAACAGCCCATGTGCCCCACATACCAGTGGGATTCTAGTTGCTGACAGCACTCATCAGTAACTGGACCTTTGGGGAGGGAGGGTGAGATTTGGACTCTTTAGACCTGCAGTCCTGGACTTGTATACCCAAATGTAAGGGAAAATAGAGAGAGGGCTCAACAAACAGTTCAGAGGTAAAAGTAGTGGCTGGTTCCTTCAGACTCTGTGCCACAGTCACCTTGGCAAACCAGTTCATCAGCATCTGTAGAATGCAATATAAGAACAGTTCTCAAGCTTCATACAGACCCCCTTCCTTGTTTCCAAAGTTCATTGGCTCCATTTCAAGGGGAAGCTCTCCACAGAGGTGCCATTTGTTCCAACCATCAGGGACTCACCTTCTCCTTTCTATTTCAATAATAAACCTTTTCAGGATTTGCAAGTACTGATTCCCTTTATCACATAACAATGCTACAAGGCAAGTAGCACAGTATAAGTATGCCCCTGTTGTTATAGGTAAGAAAACTTAGGCATGTCCAGGTCATGAAACTGCTAAGTGGCAGAGCTGGGGAAGCAGCAGATTTAAATCTAACAATCTCACTTAAGGTCCACCATGGGCTCAATGTTGTCACGGGTCTCTCATGAAGTTGTTACCCCTTCACTGATGCCTCTTCAAGGTCATAATTGGCAGATTAGTCCTATGCACTTATAGCCTCTCTCCCTAAAACCCCACTAAATTATAATAATGAAACAAGGACAATATTCACCCACAAGGACAAAGAACATTAAAAACAACAATAAATGAGGAATTTGAGCACATTTGTTTAAAAGTTAAACAGAAAGATGATGAAAAGAGAACTGACTTACAAAAAGTCAGAGACTACATAGTAGCTTTCTAATGGGAAGGAAGACAGTTTCCCTAGAACCTCACCAGGCTCCTCTTGAGCCCAAGAGTGGGAGGCCAGCTTGGACAACATAGTGAGACCCCATCTCTCAAAACAAAAACAAAAATTACTACAGGCAAGGGAATTGTGAGGCTGCCTCCAGGGCAGAGGGGCTACCGGGTCAGTTCTTCTCTTAAATATCTCCATCCTCCACCATGTCACCATCCCCCTCAAATGGGACTCAGGGAGATTATTCCTTTGCAAAATTGTACTAGAAGGGCCTGCTTTATGTGTATGTGGCATATGGGTTAATTCTCTGTTAGAGCCATGTTGAATTCTCAGTAATTTTTGAACACTGTCCCACTTGTCTGAGTGAGGAGCTCAGTTTGCACTGGGCTCTTCAAATTATTCAATGGTCTTGTGGACTTCTGAGGCTCAGATGTAGGGATACAGGTGCAGTGGTGGCTGGAGGTGACATGCAGGCCTTGGCAACAGGGAAAATTAAGTGAACATCAAACACTGAATCGTGAGACCTCACTCTCTTCCCCTGCCCTGTGTCCAGAATACAAATATCCACATATTTTATACCCCCCGCACCTCAATTTTTATCATAACTTTTTCCAATTTGGATTTCTTATTTGGGTTGAAGGAATTCCCAACCTCCATTCATGTTATAGTCTTTACCATTTTCTTTGATTCCAATAATTTCTTTACTGCCTATTTACCCCACATTCCTTTCATACATGTTTTTGGTTGGGCTCAGGATAACAACTCTTCTCTCATGTTTATTGATAGAATCTCTTCTGGAGAGTCTGAAGGGCCCAGGCAAAATGCTTCTAGAAGCTGACTTTGAGAGTAACCTACAGAAAGGTCCCCATCACTTCATAGTAAAATTCATCCTTCCATGCACGCTGAAGTTTTAGTTAGCTCCTATATATAAGCAGTCCCTTCTTGGCAAGATGACCAGACATTTAAGAAAAGTCTCAAAGGGGACCCAGAGAAAACAGAAACAATGAAGGAAGTAGTAAGCAATTTAAGTAAAATCTGTAAATAACATATTCAAAAAGTTTTTTTAAAACCTGGAGTTCTTGAAAAAAAGGAATAATTGGATAGCAAGAAAGAGCATTCAGAAATTAAAAATATGACATAGCTGTAATATGAAAATACAGTACAATGCCTAGAAAGTGAAGTTGAAAAACATCCCCAACAAGGTAGAGTAAAAAGACAAAGATTGGAAATAAAGGAGGTAAGAGGGATAATATAGGAGAATTGGAGGTTTAATGTAAGAATCCAACATCTAACAGGAATTCCAGAAAAGTAGAATGAGGAATCAGAAGGTAAAGAATTACTAAAGAAATAACATGGAATCTACAGATTATATGGGCCCAGTCAAACAAAACCCACACTGAGGGACCTCACCATGACATTTCAGAACATGAGCAACGATTTGCTTATGTTGTTCAGGTCTTTTTTATCTTTACTGATTTTCTGTCTACTTGTTCTATAAGTTGAGAAAGGAGTGTTAAAGTCTCTACTACAATAAGAATTTGCCTTTTTTTTTTTTCAGTTCAAACAGTTTTTGGCTCATGTAGTTTGGGTTTCTACTGTTAGGTGCACATCCATTTAAGATTGTCTTCTTGGAAAACTTACTTCTTCATCATTATGCAATCTCTCTCTTTATCCCTGATAATACTTCTTGTTCTGAAGTCTGTTTTGTCTAAGATTAATATAGCTACTCTAGCTTTTTTTGTTGTTTAGTGTTTACGTGTTCAGTCTTTCTCCATTTAAGCGTATTTAATGTGATTAGTGATAAGATTGAATTAAAATAAACCATCTTGCTAATTGTTCTCTTTTCCACCTGTGTTTTTGTTTCCTTTTTCCTCTTTTTCTGTCTTCTTTTTGGGTTATTTGAACATTTTTATGATTTTTTTGTATCTTCTCTAGAATTATTATGTATACTTCCTTAAATACTTTTTAGTGATTACCCTAGGATTTATAATGTCGACCTAAAATAAGATCTCCTAAAAATCTAAAAAATATCGCCTAAAATGTTGAATTTATTTGGGAGTAAGCAAAAAGAACTATAATCCAGGATGCACAGCTATGGCAAGCCACAGTGCATCAGAATAGAGGAGGGTAAAGAAAAGCCTTTATTGGCAAAAAGGAGAAGTTTGCATAAGCTGCTTGGAAACAGAGTTTATTGATTCTAGAGGCTCAAAGCCAGAGCTCTCAGTTCATTTGTGGGAGATATCATTACTGGGAAAGTGGTCTTTGGAGAACATCTTATCTGAATTGCGAAAGTCCTAAAGAAGACATTTCTTGTGGGTTTATTTTAGAAAGTGCTTAAGACAGCCTTAATCTCAAACAGCAAGCATTAGCCTTCCTACTTTGTGCTTTCTCAGCTCTAATTTGCTTAGGTCTGACAAAAGTAATTTTGTCTGCCATGGTAGTGTGTGCCTGTAGTCCCAGCTACTCAGGAGGCTAAGGCAGAAAAATGGCTTGAGCTTAGGAGTTTGAGACCAGCCTGGGCGATATAGTGAGTCTCTGTCTCTAAAACACATTTTAAAAAAATTAGCCTTGCGTGGTAGCATGTGCCTGAAGTCCCAACTACTTGGGAGGCTGAAGCAGGAGGATTGCTTGAGCCCAGGAGTTCATGGCTGCAGTGAGCTATGGTCACACCACTGCACTCCAGCTGGGGCAACAGAGCAAGACCCCACCTTTAAAAAAAATTTTAAGTGATTTCATCCTGATATCTGTAACCTTCACAACAATATACATTTTTAATTAATCAAAGACTACTTTGAAATGATAATACAGCAGTTTGCATGTAGTATAATGGCTTTATAACAGTATATCCTCAATTTCTTTCTTCCATTGTCTTTGTGTTATTGTCGTCATAATTTTTACTTTAACATACGCTTTTTCTTTTTCTTTTTCTTTTTTTTGAGGCGGAGTTTCACTCTTGTCGCCCAGGCTGGAGTGCAATGGTGAGATCTTGGCTCACTGAAACCTCCACCTCCTGGGTTCAAATGATTCTCCTGCCTCAGCCTCCCGAGTAGCTGGGATTACAGGCGTGTGCCACCACGCCTGGCTAATTTTTGTATTTTTTAGTAGAGATGGGGTTTTGCCATGTTGACCAGGCTGGTCTAACATATGCTTTAAACATGTAATACATTGCTAATATATTGCTTTAGGCAGTCAGTTATCTCTTAGAGCAAGTAAAAATTTTAAAAATAATTCTATTTTACATTATTCCGTTTTTGCTTCTTCTCATTTGTTTGTGTAAATCCAGGTTTCAGTCTGATACTTTTTTTTTTTTTCCTGAACAACCTTCTTTACTATTTCCTAGGGTAGGTCTGCTGGCTATGAAGTTCCTCAGTGTTTGTGTGAGAAAGCATTTAATCCCCCCTCTCTTTTTTTGGAAAGTTTTTTTTGCTAGGTATTGAATTATGGATTGAAAGCCTTTTTTTTTTTTTTAGTGCTTTAAAGATCCTCCTCAAATATCTTCTCATTTTCTGATGAGAAGTCTGCTGTAATTCTTATTTGTGTTCCTCTGTATGTAATGTTTCTTTTCTCTCTGTCCACTTTCCAGATTTTCTCTTTGTTTTTCTTTTCAGTAACTTGAATATGATCTGTCCAAGTGTATGTCCTGCTTGTTTTGGTATTCATCCTGTTTGGTGTTCTCTGAGCTTCTTGGATCTATGGTTTGGTGTTAGTCATTTAATTGTGAAAAATTCTCAGCCATTATCTTTTCATATATTTCTTCTGCCCCATTCTTTTTCTCTTTTCATTCTGGAATTCCAATTACGCATGTTAGTCTGACGTTGTCCAGGTTTTGAATGTTCTGGTTGTTTTTTTCCCCACTCTTCTTTAATCTTTGTCTTTTAGTTTGGGTAGTTTCTTATCTTCAAGTTTACTGGTTATTTGTTTCCACAGCAATGTTGAGTCTACCATTAAGCCAGTTGTTAACTGTGCTTTTTCTTTCAGGCATTTGATTTTTTTTTTTTTTTTTTTTTTTTTTTTTTAGACAGGGCCTAGATCTGTTACCCAGGCTGGAGTGCAATGGGGCCATCTCAGCTCATTGCAGATTTTGCTTCCCCCACCTCAGCCTCCCGAGTAGCTGGGACCACGGGTGTGTGCCACCACACCCAGCTAAATTTTGTATTTTTTGGTAGAGACAGGGTTTCACCACATTTCCCAAGCTGGTCTTGAACTCCTGGGCTCAAGCAATCCTCCTGCCTTGGCCTCCCAAAGTGCTGGGATTATAAGCATGAGCCACATGCCTGGCATTATACTTTCTTATAGTTTCCATCTCTTTGCTGAAATTACTCATCCAATCTTGCATGTTGTCAACATTTTCCATTAGTCAAATATTAATCAAAGTTATTTTAAATTTCCTGTCACTTACACAACTTCTGTGTCATATCTAAGTCTGGTTCTGATAATTGCCCTCTTAGGAGTATGTTTTTTCACACCTTTTTGTAAGCCTTATACTTTTTTGTTAGAAGTTGGACATCTTATATACAACAAAAGTCCTGAGGGAATTACCTTTATGCCTGGCAATTGACTTGTCTTTCCTGTTAGGTCTTTCGTACCAGGGTTGAATTAATCTAGATAGACATTGGACAGGGTCTGAGGTTAACTGTGACTATGATCACTTTCTGTGCACTGCAAGTTTCAAATTCCAGTAGGGTTACTTTTTGCTTAGGATGAAGGTTGGTTCATCAGAGTAATGTCTGCTCAGTTCTGAGCTTTAGGTCTTGCCTTGTTTTATGCCTTTAAGATGGTCTGTTGAATACTGTTGTTTCTTGCCTGTCTCTGCCCTGTATTCTGCTGTTACTTGTTAACTAAAACTTGTTAGCTTAGCACGGGACAACATAAAGGAAATGCACTCTATGTTGTTTTGATGAAGGCTTGGATTTAGGCAAGTCCCTAGTACTGGGGGAATGGCATCACTTTTTTTCCTATTCCTGGCTACAGTGAATTTTCACCATCACCCTAAAGGAAGCAGTGCTTGTCCTCCCAACCTCCTCTTCTAGACTCTTTAAGTCAACCAGTTTTTAACACTCTGCCACATTTGTTTTGTTATTCTCTATCTCTTTATCTGATTAACCCTACAGATTAAGGCTTTTATTCTATTTGCAAGACTAGGGGCAAAGGATCTAACCAGGGGTATCCAGGGAGAGAATATGTCATGGGTCCTCAGTTTCTGTTTCTGGTTGGGCCAGTAAAGCCCTTTCCTCATTCCTTTTTTCCGCTTATCACTAGAAACAGAAACTAAAAACCATGGCTTCAGGCTGCTAAAAGCCTAAAACAAAACAAAACAAAACAAAACAACAACAAAATAAGGCAGGTAGGACAAGCTTGATTCTAAGCCAATTCTTGCCTCTCCCACAAGAACTTCTATGAAGAACATTATTGGGTTGATTGACAGAATTGTGACATGCACTATAGATGATAAAAGTATTGTGTCAATATTAAGTATCTTGAAGTTGATAACTATAGTGGAGTTATGGAAGAAATATCACTATTCTTATGAAATGGACACTAAAGTATTAACAGGTATTAATGGCATGATGCATGCAACCTCTTCTCAAATGAGTTGGGATAGATAAGGCAGATACAGATAGACAGATAAAGAGATAGAGAATAACAAAACAAATATGGCAGAGCATTAAAAACTGGTTGACTTAAAGAATCCAGAAGAGTTTCCTGTATCATAAAATTGCAACTTTTCTGAAAATTTGAAATTATTTCAAACTAAAAAGTGTGTTAGAAGAATCAATTTTTTCCACCCAGGATTTAGAGAGCTGGAAGAAGCATTACTCCCATCCTTAAAACAACATCAAAAAGGAGGCAAACTAACTTCAAATTTATAATTTTTTGGAAGTCTTTTGAAGAGCCAAGGTTGCACAATAACTAAATGACCCAACAACTGAGGAGAGACAAGCACTTGCAGGGATAGAAGGGGACTCACCACTGCCTTCCCTGGGTTGGAAGTAACCAATAGACACCTGTAAGAAGAGTTCCGCCAGAATCGTTGAATTGGTGAAGGGACAAGTGTGAATTGGTGGAATAGTGTTGAGACTTGCTGTCATTCAGGTGATTCTTTCAGTCCCAGTCCCATAAAAAAAAAAAAAAAAAAGTTAAACCACAAAGAATCATCTAGAACTCTGGGGTTAAGAACAACCAGTGTCATTATCTCATTGAAGGGACAAGAGGAGGGCACTGTCATCAGAACTTGGACATGGGACATGGGACAGCAGTGTGGCTGTGGGAGGAGATAGCCTCTGACAGGACTGGAGACTTCTCTGGAGACATGGCCAGCTGAGACCACCCCACAGGAAGGAAGCCTGGGAAAAATATACCTGGAATTCACCCTCTTCATTCCTTTTGAGAATCTTCTGCTGTTATTGAAGAAATGGGCTTGCTGCCCGAAACACACAGAAGCCAATACTATAGCACCAGCTTTTGACAGAAGAAAGGTTTATTGCGAGGCCAGTTGGCAAGGAAAGAGGAGACTCAGCTCAAATCAATTTCCTTGATTTGGGGTCTGAGGCGGGTTTTAAAGGGTCACAGGTTAAGGAATTTAGGAATGTTGGTTTGGCAGGGTCTGATTGGAGGGCTTCACATTTGAGCATTTAAGGTAAGTTATGTTGAGGTGGATTTTAATCCCAGATCTTCTAGGCCAGTGGACTTCTCGCTTTTGAAAGAGTCCTGGAATTCACGTTCTGCTCATGTCCCAGTCTTTTTCGTTCCACAGGGAGGATTCATTGGCTTATTGTTGTTAGAGGTCAAAGTTTTTCTATTACAAATGCCCAGGCTACGTGACTTGCAATTTTGGCTCTGTTATACCTACAAGGTAACTCGATGTTCTGTTATCAAAAGAGTAGGCCTAGTTTGGGCTGGTCCTGTGGTTACACTGCAGCCCCCTCCCTTTGGCTGAACCCAGACAGCCAGGGAGCTGGGTGGTGTGGTCTAACCAGGCTGCCGCCTGAGGCACACAGCATGGAGGACAGGGTGGGGCCGAGTGAGGAGAGGAGCCAGCAGAAGTTATCCATAACACCTGCCAGGCTGGCGGGTAAGGGACAGCCGAAAAGCATAGGAATTAGATCAAATTTTGAGTTTGGAACCTGCTTCTTACTAACCATATGACTTCAGGCTGACTCCTCTCTCTGGTCCTGTTTTTGGGTTTATAAATGTTGGGAGCATAGCATCACTTGTAGGATGTGGGTTTTAAATGAGATAAGCTATGTGTGTGAAGTGCCTGGCCCATAATTAGCTCTCAATAACTGGGATCTTTTAAAATATATATATACATACATATATATGTATATGTATATACACATACACATACACACACACACACACATATACATAAGAATAACCATGCGTTTATGGAAATGTCAACCTCTCACAGTGTGACAATGCCAGAGAGAATGGCATCCTCAAATGTGAATGAATAGTGAGGTTAAAATAAGAGAAACACTCCGAGCATTTACCAAGGATATTATACTTTTATACTTTCAGTCCAGTAAGGTCCACATCTAGGAATTTATGCTAAGAAAATAATCATTTGAAAAGCAGATAATGAGGTGGCCTATACCCTTGGTTCTGCAGGCAGAGAAATCTAGACAGAAATTCCAGCTTTGTCACTAAATAGTGATACGGCTTTGAGCAAATTCCTCAACTTCTCTCAGCCCTCCTCTATCTTTCTATAAAGCGGAGATGAAAATAGTACTGGTAGATAGTTCTTCTAGGAATGTAAAAATGTAGCACAGAACCTGAGTCATATAAGACACTCAACAATATTCGCACTTTTATTTACAGTAGTGGAAAATAAGGTACAACTTAAGTATCTAAAAAATAGGAAAATGGTGAATTTATGAAACAAAATATTATGCAGCCATTAAAATGATGCTTTAGGATAACATCTTCATTACCTTGTAGACAAAGGTAATTAAGATATTATTTTTTAGGACACAAAAAACTTAAACCAGAACAGTTGGATATAAAAACTTCATTAAAATTAAAAACTCTTACTCATCAATAGACATCATTAAGAGAGTGAAAAGGCAAACCACAGAGTGGGACACCCATATCCAGGATATAATATATAAAGAACTCCTGCAAATCAACTTAAAAAGGTAGACAACCTAATGAAAAAATAGTCAAAACAGGCACTCTACAAAAAGAATGTCCAAGTAAAAAGGTGCTCAACATCATTTGTCAGCAGGTAAATGCAAATTAAAACCACAAGGAGAAACCATTATACTCAGAAGAATGACTAAAATAAAAAGACTGGCAATACCAAGTGTTGGTGAGAATGGGAATAGCTAGAACTCTCATATGATGCTGGTAGGGGGGTAAATTGGTGCACTACTTTGCAAAATGGTTTGGCAATATCTACCAAAGCTAAACATACATTTATCATATGCTGTAGCAATCCTACTCCTGGATACATATCCAAGAGATACATATGCTTACGTCTAAAAAGAGGCAGATGCAAGAATGTTCATAACAGTTTTACTCATAATAGCTCCAAATTGGAAACAGCCCAGATGTCCATCATAGTAGAATAAATAAATGTTGATATCTTTATACCATGGGATACTGCACAGCAGTAAAAAAGAATGAAGTACTAGGACACTAAAGAACAGACAGATACTACAGAGCTGATATTTAATTAAAGAGTCAACTATAAAAGAGTACTTGTGATATGGCTCCATTGAAATCCAGCTCAAGAATAGGCAAAATTGGGCACGGTGCGATTGCTCACACCTCTAATCCCAGCACTTTGGGATGCTGAGGTGGGTGGATCACTTGAGTCCAGAAGTTCGACACCAACCTGGGCAACATAGTGAAACCCTGTCTCTACAAAAAATACAAAAAATTAGCTGGGCGTGGTGGTGTGTGCCTGTAGTCCCAGCTACTCATGAGGCTAAGGCCAGAGGGTTACGTGAGCTGGGAGGTTGAGGCTGCAGTGAGCCGTGATGGCATGTGGAAAATTTTTATATAATGCTAAATGGGAAACAATCAAAATACTGTATAGAGAATGAGCACAGCATTACCGTAAATATTCAAATGAATAACAGGAAGAAAATAATCTAAGGTTTAACAGTTGATCTCTTTGAGAGTGGGATTAAATGTTTTCTTAATGCTTTTTTGTTTCTTTAAAATTTTCTTCAATGAATATGCACTACCTTCATAATTAAGAACAAATATTTTTAAAAATTAAAGTGCTTTTCTGAGATTTGCAGGCCAGAAATGAAATGGAAAGAAAAGAAATAGCCTGACAAAATAGCATTCTTTATTGACTTTCAGACATTTCAGCAGAGCTCTGCCTATGCATGACCACTCCTGTCTCCCCTTACCTTGCAGGGGATGGGTTCTGAGTACTCATTAGTTTGAGGTTAAGTGGTCATTGTGGTTGGGGGAAAGCAGAAGCCTGTCAGGCCCTGTTGGACCCTACCTGAGGCAATGTATTCAGTCTTGTCTGATTATCTTGCTTCTTATTAAGACCACATTCCCAGGTAATTAGCACATATAAAAGAGCCAGTCAGACCTGTGGTGGCCATACCCAACCCTCTGCTGGTTGGTTCTCCATTGCTTTCCTGCTAACTGCCCCCACCCCCACCCCACTGCCACAGACTCAGGCTCACAGGCTAGAGGGGAAGGACCCTTCTCCCCCAACTTAAAACTACAGCAGGGAGAAGACATTAAGGAGAGGGGAGGGTTCAGGACCTTACTTTTTAAAAACAAAAACGTTTTATTATGGACATTTTCAAATATATATAAAAGTAGAAATAATAGAATAATGAACCCTAAGTTACACATGACCCAGCTTCAACAATTAACAAAATATGGCCAATCTTGTTCCTTCTATTCTCCCTCATTCCGTCTGGATCTCTACCTATTATTTTAAAGTAAATCCCAATTATCATATAACTTCCATCTGTAAATATTTCCAAATAGAGATAAGAACTCTATTTTTAAAACAGAACAATAATAACATTATCATATCTTTAAAAATTAATAGTAATTCATTAATAGTAATTCATTGGCTGTCCTCTAATATCCAGCCAGTGTTCAAATTTCCCTATTGTCTATAAATAGCCTTTCCCCCCGCCCCAGCTGATATGTTGGAATCAAGATCCAAACCAAGTCTTTGTACCTTAATTTGTTGGTAAGTCTTTTAAGTCTCTTTTAATTTCTAAATTTCTCCTCCCTCCTTTCTTCTTGCAACTTATTTGTTGTAAAAAATCAAGCCATTTATTTTGTAGAATTTCCTAGATTCTGCTTTGGCTGATTGCATTCCTGTGGCATCATTTAATATGTTCTTCTTTTCTGTACTTCTTTTAAACTAATAGTTGCGTCTAGATATTTGATTAGATTCAGGTTAATTATTTGACAAGACTACTTCAAAGGCAGCACTGTGAGCTTCCTATTATATCATATCATGATGCATATACTATCTGATTATCTGTTTTTTGATGATGTAAGATTAATCCATGAGTTCAAGTGATATTATCTTCACCCATTTATTATAAAGTTATAAGATTGTAGAGAATATGTTTCTGCACAGTTAGGGCTTTCTGAATAGATATTACTAAAGTGTGTTTCCTGGCCTGAGAGCAAGCTTAGAAGGCAATTTATGACTGATCAGATAGTGAACACATTCCAAAGAGATTGACCTAACTCTGGCAGTAAGAGGCTCAGGGCCTTGGAGCCATCTCTGAGTTGTCAAACTGAAGACACTGCGCTCTTCTTTTCCCTCAGAGGTTTACTTTCCTACCAAAGGGTTAGGGTAAAGATCCCTCCATCTGATCTCTAAGGATTCTCAGAAGGTGAGGGGGAGAGTGATGTCTTTGCTTTTTATAAACAAAACAAAATCCATATTTCTCTATATCTCACTTATAGAGTCAACCTACCACTTGTACAGGGCATTTATTCCATCTGGCACTCACATGGTACTCTGCAGGCAGGCTGGGTGAGGGGGACCAATGCTGCAATGTTACTTTGGCTGTTGATCTTTCTGTGAGTGTAAAAAGAAATCTGTCTCTGGTCCAAAAACCTGATGTGTATAATCAGAAAACATTAATAAAAATGAATATTTAAAGCCTAACAATTGCAAAGGAAATAATCAACAGATTGAAAAGGCAACATATGGAATTGGAGAAGATATTTGCAAACGATATATCTGATAAGACGTTAATATCCAAAATATATATGAAACTGCGAATAACTCAATAGCAAAAAAAAAGCAAATAACCCTATTTAAAAACGGGCTAAAGACTTGAACAGAAATTTCTTATAAGAAGACATACAAATGGTCAACACGTATATAGAAAAGGTGTTCAACATCACTAATCATCAGGGAAATACAAATCTAAATCATAGAGATATTATCTCACACCTGTTAGAATGGTTTTTATCAAAAAGATAAAAGATAAAGTGTTGGTAAAGTTGTAGAGGAAAGAGAACCCTGTAAGCTGTTATAAACCATAAATTGGCACAGTCATTGTGGAAAACAATATGGAGGTTCCTCAGAAAATTAAAAATAGAACTACCATATGGATCCAGCAATCCCACTTCTGGGTATATATCCAAAGGAAATGAAATCAGTGTGTTGAAGAGATGTCTGCCCTCCCATGTTTATTGCAGCATTATTCACAATAGCGAAGATACGGAAACAACTTAAATGTTGTTTCAACCTAAATTTCTGTCAACAGGTGAATGAATAAGGAAAATGTGGTGTATATACTTGTGTGTATGACACACGCACACAAACACACACAATAGAATATTATTTAGCTTTAGAAAAAGAAGGAAATCCTGCCATTTGCGACACTGAAGAACCCAGAGGACATTATGCTAAGTAAAATAAGCCAAACAAATAAAGACAAATATGTCATGATCTCATTTATTTTTGGAATCTAAAATAGTCAAATTCATAGAAGTGCAGAGTAGAATGGTGGTTGCCAGGGCCTGATGGTTGGGGGAATTTGGGAGATGTTGGTCGGAGGCTATAAAGTTTCAGTTATGGAAGATGAATAAATTCTGGGATGTAATGTACAGCATAGTGACTATAGTTAATAATACTGTATTGTATACTTGAAATTTGCTAAGGGGATAGATTCTAAGTGTTCTCAACACACACACACACACACACACACACACACACACAACTATGTGATCTGAAGGATATGTGAGCTAGTTTGACTGTGGTAACCATTTCACAATGTGTGCATATATCAAAACAACAAGTAGTACATTTTAATTATACACAATTTTTGTCAATTATACCCCAATAAAGCTGAAAACAAAGAGCCTAACAATCCTCTATTGGCCTTGTACCTTGTGATTTCTAACAGCTATTTGTGATCATTGCCTACAATCATTATTTCATTAGGAGCTGCAAAATAGTAATATTCGAATTGTATCTTTTATTTTGCATTTAATAGCTTGAATTTCTTATAAAAAAGAAATTTATCTCATTTACTATGTGGCTGCTCTGAAATATATTTCATATAGGGAATGCAGGAATTATTCATTTAATTCATTTACCAATTTTAGAATGTGTTAGTGTCCTAGCATCCTTCAAAGGCAATCAATGAGATTTTTAAAAAGTATTGGTATAAGCACATGGATTTTAGTGTTTTCATATATTTCAATGTACTATAGGCATTATTACCCAGTCTTTGACCAATGAAACTAAGTTATCTCTTGAATCCTCTGATATGACCCTAGTAGCCTTGTTTTCTGTTATGAAAGATGTTTCAGGTTCATCTTGTACATTTCATGTCTCAGACCTGAAATCAAACATTTCTCCATGGATACCTAGTTCCCTGTAGTGAGAAATGGTCTTTAGAGACTCCAGTCTGGGTGTTAGAGGTGCTCACTGAGATGGGGTTGCTCATTGCTTCTATACCTTTTGGTGGACAGAACTGGGAACTATTTTTTTAAGAGTAAAATACATTGAGATTCCATATTGGTATATCCAAATCTAAGATGTACAACTTTTACTCAACTTCTTTAATTTTATATGTCTCTTTTTTGTATGCTAAAAATCTCAATTTTTAACAATATTAACATATCCAATTATTTGATTATTTTACTATGTATGTACATAATAGTTTACAAATAACACAATATTTTTATTAAAAGTATGCTTAAGTACGCTTATTGAATACTACGGGTTTTGTTTTGTTTTGTTTTTGCAATTCTTTGACATTAGGATCTACTTCACCAGGGATATATACAGTCAAACTACTATGTTTTAAAGTCACATTATTACCTGAGAGAGGTGTGTGGTTAAAGTACCAATAGGATGTGTGGTTAGATTTATTTTCTAAATTTTATTTTTAATTTTCATTTTTTTTTTGCATTTTGTTTTATACTTGTACAGAACATTTACATGGTTCTGATGCCAAAGCCATAAAACAAGATGCATTCAGTCAAATCTAGTTTCTATCCCTGTCTCTCTTCATCCTGTTTTCTTTCTCTTCTATAAGTAAAAATTTTCCAATAGATTTTAATTTATCTTTTATTTAAACATTATAAGCAAAAAAGAATATGTATATTGGTAGGCTGAATGATGACCCCAAAGCTATCCAGGTCCTAATCTCTGGAAACCGTGGAAGTTACCTTTATAGCAAAAGTAATTTTGCAGGTGTGATTAAGTCAAGGATTTTGAGATGGGGAGATTATCCTGGATGATCATCCAGGTGAGCCCTAAATGTAATCATAAGTATCTTTATGAGAGGGAGGCAGTGGGAGATTTGACTGTCAAAGAAGAGAAGGTGATGTGGTGATGGAAGCAGAGATTGGTGTGATGCACTTTGAAGATGAAGAAAAAGGTTACAAGCCAAGGAATACAGGTGGCCACCAAGAAGTTCAAAAAGACAAAGAAATAGATGTTCTCCTCAAAGCCTCTAAAAGGAACCAGCCTTGCCAATACCTTAATTTTAGTCTCATAAAACTCATTTCAGCCTTCTAGACACTAGAATTGAAAGGAAATAAATTTGTTGTTTTAAGCCACTAAGTTTGTGGCAAATTTTTACAGCAGCATTAGGAAACTAAATGTGTGTGTGTGTGTGTGTGTGTGTGTGTGTGTGTGTAGCAAAAATATACATGCTCATAATTTCCAAAATAAAGAATTAATTAAAATCTATAGAAATTGATTCCTCATAGGGGAGGAAGGAAGCAAGGTGAAGAAATGTGGAGGTGAAAACAGACTTGACTGAATGTGTCTTATGGTTTTAACTTTGGAACCATGTAAACATACGTAAAAACACACATTGTTCTGCACCTTGATTTACCTAACAATATACCCTGGTGATTATGAGAAGTTTAAAAGATCTTCTCCATTCCTTTTTATAGCTGCATAATACTCCATTGCATGAATGTACAATATTGAGTTCATTCCAATCTTCTCTTGATAGAAAATTGGGCTGTTTCCAGGCTCTTGCTATTTATTATAAGCAGTGCTATAATTAACAAATGTATGCATATATTTGATATTTTTGTTAGCATATCTGTATAATAAATTCTTATAAGAGGAATTGCTATGTCATGGGGTAAATGTATATGTAGTTTTGCTGTATATTTCAAATTCCCAATCCCTTCTATGGAGGTTATGCCTTTATTTTGCATTCCCACTAGCAATGTATGAATGTGTCAATTCTTCCACAGCCTTAGCAACAGAATATTTTGTCCAACTTTTGGATTTTTTTTGTCATTCTGACAGGGAGAAAAGTTATCATGGTTTTAACTGGTGATTCTCCTACTGTAAATTCAAATAGTTTTTCAAATGTTTAAGAACCATTTGCGTTTTTCTTTTTGTTAACTGCCTTCACATCTTCCAGAGCATTTTTTCTATGAGGTTATTGGTCTTTTTTCTCTTAATGTTTAGAGTACAGTAAGCTAACTTTTGAGAGAGAAAATAAACAAGTAAACATAATAGATAAATGAATGAATTCAGCTCATAATTTCCAGGAGGGGAATGAGAATGAATAGGTGACAGAGTGAGGGTGTGGGGAGAGCTTCTTTAGCTGGAGAGGAACAAGGAAAGTCTATTGGAGGAAGTGACTTTTTAAGATGAGATATTAAGAGAAGCAGGCATGTAAAGAATGAATGTGTCTGGAGGTAGACTTAATAATCCAGGCAGGGAAAACCTCATATGCAAAAGTCCTGAATTAAATAGTTTGAGATGTTCAAGGAATAAATAAAAAAAAAAAAAAATTGGCTAGCTTCAGGATACGGTCATTTTTGGGGACAGTAAGTGGAAGAAGAAGAATTATGAAGCTTTAATCATGTTCTGGTTTTTGTCTTTTTATTTGGGTGCTGATTATGTCTGTGTTCACTTTGTGAAAATTCATCAACATATGCACATATGATATATCTGTGCTCTATACATGTGCTCTAATTCAGTAAAAAATTTGCCAAAGAAAAATGTGAAGGAGACAGAGGAGGGGAGCCAGTGTTACTGAAGCCTACTGAATGCAGGGATGATGGGAGAATTGGGAAGAAAGCAGGAGATGCAGAGCTTTAGAAGTCAGGATGAGTTTGGATTTTATTGCAATAAGGTGAAAGATTATTGCTGGATTTTAAACAACAGAATGGCATGTTGTTAAGAATATAGAACCGAAAAAGTACAACACCAATTTTACTTAAACCTGCAGTTTGGAAAAGGTTGTTTTTGGTGCCTGGCCCCCCATCCTACTCCCATGACACCTGAGTGAAATAATAAGAAGGGGTTCTTAAATGTTTTATGAAAATGGATTTCTCTACTATCATATCTGCAGCCTTCCCTATGCTGTGAAATTCCCTGACTGTAGATGAATGCCATTAAACCCTGGTTTTGAGGCACTTGTTTGGGGATCCTCCATAGGCAAGGAGAGGAGAAATGTATTCAAACTGTACATTGATGATGAGAAAAGAGTGAAACTAATACCAATAGCACGTTAAAATGGGAATCAATGGGAAAATGTCTTTTAAAAATGTATTCTCCTTTTTTTAACATTTTAATTCAGTCAAATTGGTGTGCGTGTGTGTATGTACACGTGTGTGCATGTTTACAGTTCTATGAGTTTTAACACATGTATAGACACACATAACCACAAAAACAATCAGGATGCAAACAGCTCCATGACCTCTGAAGACTTGCTCTGCTGCTCCTTTGTAGTGAAACCCTTCCCCTGCCCCTAACTTCTTGCAACATCTCTTCTCCTACTGAGGTAAGCCGAATTATAAAATGGACCCCATGACCTTTGTCCTGTTCTGTTATCCCCTATTTAATTCCTCACATCTTGAGTGTGGGCACAACCTATGACTTAATTCTAGCCAATAGAATATGGTAAAGATTATGGGATGTCACTTTCCTGATTAGGTTGTTATATGGTAAAGTTTATGAGTTGCTACTCTCACAATTACACTGTCTTATATAAGACTCTCTCTTAGAAGACTGGAGCAAGAGACTCTCCCCTGTTTGCTGTGAAGAAGCAAACTGCCATGTGTGAGGAGGGCTATGTGGCAGGAAACTGTGGGCAGCTTCTAGCACCTGAAAGCACTCTCCAGCCAACAGCCCATGAGAAGCTGGTGCCCTCAGTCACATAGCTGCAAGAAAATAAATTCTGCCAATAGCCTGAATTAGCTCAGAAGTCAATTCTTCCCTGGTTGAGCCTTCAGATGAGAACGCAGCCTGCTTGACATGTTGATTGCAGCCTTGTGAGACCCTGAGCAAGACCCAGTTAAGCCAAATCCTGACTCCTAATCCACAGAAACTTTGAGATAACAAATGTGTATTATTTTAGGCCATTAAGTTTGTGGAAATTTGCTGTGCATCAAGAGAAAATGAATATACCTCCCTAGAGCTCTGCCTTTTCCAGATGTCATATAAACGGAATCACATGCATATAAACATACAAGACTAGCTTTTTTCTTTTTTCTCTCTTTTATTTTCTTTTCTCTCTTTTCCTTTTCTTTTCTTTTCTTTTTCTTTTTTTTTTTAGAGATGGGGTTTTGCTGTTTCCCAGGTTGGTCTTGAACTCCTGGGCTCAAGTGAACCTCCCAGCTTGGCCTCCCAAAGGGCTGGGATTACAGACATGAGCCACCACATCCTGCCAGGCTAGCTTTTTTCACTCCTTGTGATACTTTTGTGATTTGCCCATAGTGTTTCGTGTATCAATAGTACATCTTTTTGTTGCCATGTGGAATTTTATTATATACAGGGACCACTGTTTGTTTATCCATTTATTTGTTAAAGGACATTTGAGTTATTTCTAGTTTTCAGCAGTTATGTCTAGAACTACTATATACATTTGTATACAGATGTTTGTATAAACATAGAGTTTTATTTCTTTGGAACAAATACCTAGGAATATGATTGCTGGTCCATAAAATAAGTGTAAGTTTAACTTTACAAGAAACTGTCACACTGTTTTCCAAAGTAGCTGTACCATTTTGCATTCCTACCAGCAAAGAATAAAAGTTTTTTGCTAATCCTTATTATTAGCAGCTAATCCTTTTTATTGCCAGCACTTAGCATTATCTTTTTGTTGTTGTTGGTTAGCCATTCAACAGGTGTGTAGTGATATCTTGTTGTGGTTTTAATTCCCATTTCTTTAATGGCCAATGATGTTGAACATCTTTTCCTGTGCTTATTTGCCATCCTTACATCCTCTTCAGTAAAGTGTCTGTTCAAGTCTTTTTGTCTATTTTTTAATTGGGTTGTTTCTTCTTATTGTTGAGTTTTGAGAGTTTAAAAAAACATTCTGAAAATAGTTCTTTTGTCAGATGCATGATTTGAAAATATTTTCTTCAAGCCTCTAACTTGCCTTTTTATACTCTTAAGAGAGAATTATTGTGACATAACTCAAATACCATACATTTCACCCATTTAAAGTGTACAACGTAATGTATTTTACTGTATTCACAGAGTTGTGCAATCATCACATAATCAATTTCGGGACATTTTCAGCACCCTCAAAAGAAACTCCCCAATCCTAAAATGTTTTAATCTTGATGAAGTATAATATATTAATTTTTTCTTTTATGTATCATGTTTCTGGTGTTGTATCTAAAACTTATTTGCCTAACCCAAGATAAAAATTTTCTCTTTTCTAAATGTTTTACAGTTGTACACTTTACTTTTAGATTTATGATACATTTTGAGTTAGTTCTGGTATAAGATACAGAGTTTAGGTGAAGGTTCCCTTTTTTCATATGGTTGACAAAATTAATTCAATCCAATGATTGACAAATTAAACAATTTAATCCAATTAAGACTAATTTGTTCAATAGACTCTCCTCTCTTAATTGAATTACTTTTGCAGTTTTGTAAAAAGTCAACTGGCCCTATTTGTGTGGGACTATTCTTGGCCTCTCTATCCCATTCCATTAGTTTATGTGTTTTTCCCATTTGCCAGTACTACACTGTCTTGATTACTGGAGCTTTATAATAGGTGTTAAAACTGGGTACTGTGAGTCTTTCAACTTTGTTCTTTTTCAATATTGCTTTGGCCATTCCAGTTCTTTGGTATTTCCATAAAATTTTTAAAACTTGTTTGTTAATACTGAAAAAGGATTTCTGAGCTTTTGATTGAATTTGCATTAAATCTATAGACCAATTTGAAAATCTTGTTGACATCTTAACTCTTGAATCTTTCAAACTGCAAAGTATGCCTTTCTGTTTCTTTAAGTTTTCTTTATTTTTTCATCAGTAGTTTGTGGTCCTCAGCATATAGATCCTGCATATGTTTTGTTAGATTTATATGTAAGTATTTCATTTTTGAGTTCTTGTTAATGGTATTGCTTTATTAAATTTCAGTTTCCAATTATTCATTATGAGTATCTAAAAATATCACTGATTTTTAAAACGTTGAATTATAATCACAACCTTGCTAAACTCATTAGCTCTAGATTCCTTGGGTAGATTCTTTGGAATTTTCTACATAGACAGATAATCATTTTGTCTGTGATACGGTTAGTATTATTTCTTCCTTTCCAATCCAAATACCTTTTATTGTTGAGTAGGAGCTGTGAGAGTGTCTTTTTGTTTTGTTCTAGATCTTAGCAGGAAAGCAGTCAGTCTTTTGTCATTAAGTGTGATATTGGCTTTTGCCATGATCTCGGCTTGTAGCAGGACGAGCCACAGACAAAACTCCTCAGACACTGAGTTAAAGAAGGAAGAGGTTTATTTGGCCGGGGGCATCGCAAGACTCCTGTCTCAAGAGCTGAGCTCCCCAAGTGAGCAATTCCTGTCCCTTTTGAGGGCTCACAGCTCTAAGGGGGTGCGTGTGAGAGGGTCGTGATTGATTGAGCAAGCAGGGGGTATGTCACTGGGGGCTGCATGCACCAGTAATTAGATCAGAACCAAACAGGATAGGGATTTTCACGGTGCATTTCTATACAATGTCTGTAATCTGTAGATAACATAACCGATTAGGTCAGGGGTCTATCTTTAACTAGGAGGACCAGGGTGTGGCCCCAGGCTGTCTGCTTGTGGATTTCATTTCTGCCTTTTAGTTTTTACTTTTTCTTTCTTTGGAGGCAGAAATTGGGCATAAGACAATATGAACGGTGGTCTCCTCCGTTAGGCTCACTGCAATCTCCACCTTCTGGGTTCAAGCAATTCTCCTGCCTCAGCCTCCCGAGTAGCTGGGATTACAGGCGCCCGCCACCACACCCGGCTAATTTTGTTGTTGTTTTTTTTTTGAGATGGTGTCTTGCTCCATCACCAGGCTGGGGTGTAGTGGCGCAATTTCGGCTCACTGTAACCTCCGCCGCCCAGGTTCAAGCGATTCCTCTGCCTCAGCCTCCCGAGTAGCTGGGACTACAGGTGCGAGCCATCACGCCTGGCTAATTTTTTGTATTTCAGTAGAGACGGGGTTTCACCATGTTGGCCAGAATGGTCTCCATCTCCTGACCTCATGATCCGTCTGCCTCAGCCTCTCAAAGTGCTGGGACTGCAGGCGTAAGCCATCATGCCTGGCTGTGATATTGGCTTTTAAAAAAAATTTTGGTAAATGCCCTTTGTCAGGTTAATTTTCCTTCTATCCCGACTTTACTAAGAGTTTTTATCATAAAAGAATGTCAAATTATTTTCTGCATTAACGGATATAGTTATGTGGCTTTTCTTCTTTAGTCTTTCATATGGTAGGCTACATTGATTTTCGAGCGTTAAAACCATCCTTGCATCCTTGAAATAAACCCTACATGCTTGTGGAGCATTATTCTTTTTTTTTTTTTTTTTTTTTTTTTTTTTGAGAGGGAGTCTCGCTCTCTTGCCCAGGATGGAGTTCAGTGGCGTGATCTTGGCTCACTGCAAGCTCCGCCTCCCGGCTTCTTGCCATTCTCCTGCCTCAGCCTCCGAAGTAGCTGGGACTACAGGCGCAGGCTGCCACACCCGACTAATGTTTTTGTATTTTTAGTAGAGACAGGGTTTCCCCGTGTTAGCCAGGATGGTCTCGATCATGGAGTATTCTTCTTTTTATGTATTGCTGGAATCAATTTGCAAATATTTTGCTGAGATTTCCTACATCTATGTTAATGATGGATTTGGTCTCTAGTTTTCTTCTCTTGTAATACCTATGCTTTTGGTATCAAAATAAGACTGGCCCCATAAAATATTTCCTATTTTCTATTTTCTGGAAGTGATTGTATAAAATCTATGCTATTTTTCTTTAAATACTTGGTAGAATTCACCAGTGAAACCATTTAATCTTGGAATTTTTTTTCAAATGTTCTTAAAAAAACTATAATTCAATTTTGTTAATAAAGAACTATGCCTGTTATGTGTTTTTTTCCTTGGGTAAGTTTTGTAGATTGTAGCTTTCAAGTAATTTGTTCATTTCATCTAAGTTATTGGATCTATATGTGTAGAGTTGTTGGGCGTATTCCTTTATTTTCCTCTTCATGTCCATAAGGTCTGTATTAATGTCTCCTTTCTCATTCCTGATATTGGTACATTATATTTTCTCTCTGTTTTACCTGGTCAGTCTGGCTAAAGACTAATCAATTTTATTTATATTTTCAAAGGACTGGCTTTTGTTTTCATTCATTTTCTCTATTGTCTTTCAGTTCTTAATTTAATCAATTTCTTCTCATCCTTAGTATTTCCTTACTTCTCCTTGCTTTGGGTTTACAATTACCTTGTTTGTTTTAGTTTGTTAAGGTGAAACCCTAGATTGTTGATTCAAAAATTTCTTCTTTTCTAATAGAAAAGCAGCTATAGCATTTTATGCTATAATTTTCCCTCTAAGCACTGCTGTAACTGCATCTCACACATTTTTAATATATAATGTTTTCATTTTCCTCCATTTTAAAATATTTTCCAGTTTCCCGTGAGACTTCCTATTTGATGCGTGGATAATTTAGAAGTGCTTTAACTTCTTAGTATTTGGAAATTTCCCACTTGTTAATATATCCCTGTTGTTTACTTCCAGTTTAATTCCATTATGAATAGGGACAAATTGTTGCATGATTTTAATTTTTATATTTGTTAATGTTTGTTTTATGACTCTGGATGTGGTATATCTTTATGAACCTTTAATGCACACCTGGAAAAACTGCAGAATCTGTTGGGTGGAATGATATTACAGTGTTAATTAGATCTAGTAGTTTCATGATGTTAAGTTATTCTATATTTTTGCTGATTTTCTGTCTTTTTTGCTTTATCAATAACTGAGAAAGGAGTGTTAAAGTCTCCAAGTTTATTTCTATATTTCACTATTCTTTCAGTTCTGTCAGTTAATACAACTGAGTTTCTTGAATCTGTAAGTTGTTTCATATATTTTGAAGCTCTGTTGCTTTGTGCATACACATTTAGGATTAATATTTGTTTTTGAATAATCAATCATTTTATTATTATAATGTCCCTTTTTATCCCTTTTCCTTGCTCTTAAGTCTACTTTGTCTGATATTAATTAGTATAGTAATTCCAGCTTTGTTTTGATTAGTGATTACATGGCATATTTCTTTTGTTCTTTTACTCTTGATCTACTTGTATCATTATATTTTCACTGACATTTGAGAATTATGTTGACAGCACATAGCTGTGTGTTGTTCTTTCATTTTTTATCCATTTTCAGAATCACTGTCTTTTAATTGATGTGTTGAGATAACTTATATTTAAATAATTATTGGTATGTTTTTATTTAGATCAACCACATTATTACTTGTTTTCTCTTTTTTCCCTCCGTATTTCTTCATCTATTCCCCTTTCTTGCCTTATTTTGATTTCTTTGAACATTTTTTCATATTTTAATTTTTTGAGTTTTTTACTTATCTCTTTGTATATATTTTCTTTTCAGTGGTTTCTTTACAGATTATAATATACATACTTAACTTTTTACAGTCTGTTTTGAATTACTATCCAACCACTTAAAGTGGATTATAGAAAGCTTGTATGGTTTCCTTTACCTGCCCCTTATATTGTATTTTCTCCATGTTTTGCACCAATTGCTAAAGAAAACCCCATTAAACAATGTTTTAATTTTTTTTTAATTATCACACATATTTTAAAGAATTCACAAGGAAAAAGCCTAATTTATTATACTGAATTAGGTATTTATCACATCTGCTACTCTTCATTCTTGAAGTTCCAAGTTTTCCTCTGGTGTCATTTGCCTTCTGTTTGAAGAATTTCTTTTATGGCAGGTCTAATGACAATGAATTTTCTTTGTTTTTTTTTTCATCTGAGAATGTCTTTATTTCACCTGTATTCTTGAAATATATTTTTGCTGGTTACAGAATTCTGAACTGACAATGATTTTCTTTCAGTAGTTTAAAATGTTCCACTGCCTTCTGACCTGGATTTCTGAGGAGAAATCCAGTCATTGTAGCCATTTTTTTCCTACATGTAATGTGTTATTTTCCTCTGGCTGTTTTTTCCCCTTTGTTCTTAGTTTTCATCTGTTTGTGTCTGGGTATGAATTGCTTTGGGTTCATCTTCCTTATGGTATGCTCAGTGCTATGGTTTGGCTCTGTGTCCCCACCCCAATCTCATGTCAAATTGCAATTCCCAGTGTTGGAGGAGGAGCTTGGTGGGAGGTGATTGGATCATGAGGGTGTTTTCTAATGTCTTAGCACCGTCCGCTTAGTGCTGTCTCATGACAGAGTTCTCACAAGATCTGGTTGATTTAAAGTGTGTAGCACCTCCCACTTTGTTCTCGCTCTCCCCTGCCAGCCATGTGACCATGTACCCACTTCGCCTTTGCCTTCCACCACAATTGTAAGTTTCCAGAGGCCTCCCCAGAAGCAGAAGCCAATATAGCCTGCAGAACCATGAGCAGATTAAGCCTTTTTTCTTTATAAATTACCCAGTCTCGGGTATGTCTTTATAGCAGTGTGAAAATGAACTAATACAACTGAGTTTCTTGAATCTGTAAGTTTAAGTATTTCACTAAGTTTTGAAAGCTTTCAGCCATTATTCCTTTCAATACTTTTATAAACCACACTCTTTTTCCTTTCCTTTTAGGACTCTGATGACTCAAATTTAGAGTTTGTTGTTCTTGTTGTTGTCCTTCAGATCCCTACGACACTGTTCTTTTTTTTTTTTTTTTTTTGTGAGTCTGAGTCTCACTCTGTCACCCAGGCTGGAGTGCAGTGGTGGGATCTCAGCTCACTGCAACCTCTGCCTCCCAGGTTCAAGCTATTCTCCTGCCTCAGCCTACTGAGTAGCTGGGACTACAGGTGTGCGCCACCACACCTAGCTAATTTTTATATTTTTTGTAGAGGTGGGGTTCCACCATGTTGGCCAGGCTGGTCTCAAACTCCTGACCTCAAGTGATCCACCTGCCTTGGCCTCCCAGAGTGCTGGGATTACAGGTGTGAGCCACTGTGCCCAGCCATTTTTTAAAATAATTTTTTTCTTTGTTGTTCAGATTGAATAATTTCTATTGATCTACCTTCAAGTTGACTGACTCTTTCCTCCCATTTTTGTTCTACTATTGAGGACTACCCATACATTTTTTGTTTTGGTTGTTGTATATTTCAGTTCTAAAGTTTGCATTTGGTTCTTCTTTTATATCATGGCTCTCTCTGCTTAGACTTTGTATCTTTCCAATCATTTCAAGACTGTTCTTTCTTATTTATTGGCGCATTGTTGTAATAGCTGCTCTAAAATCTTTGGTAATTTTAATATATGTGTCTTCTTGTGATTGATGTCTTTTGGTTATGTTTATCCTTATGAATTGTTGAGATTCTTCTGGTTCTTCATTTGGGACATTTTGAATATTGTATTGAGACTCTGATCTTAATTGATTCTTATGGAGAAAGTTGATTTGTTTGTTTGTTTCAGCAGGCAATGAACTTGGTTAGGACCCATGTCTCACCTGCCTTTAGTGGGCTGTGGTTTTAATATCAGTTCAGTTTTCCAAGTTTTTACAGTGATATTCAGACATGTCCTCAACTGTCTACCTCCCAGTGACCGATCTGGGAACCAGGTGGTTGCCTAGTTCACAGTTCAGTTCTTGAAACTTTTGGTATGCTGTCTAGAGTCAGACCAATGCATTTATATTCCTGGAATAAGCCAACATGCTCATACATAACTTTAGGGGTTTGCTTTCTCGAATTTTCTCTTTACCATGATCTCTGTGACATGTTCTGGCCTCCAGGGATTGCTTCTCCTGGTATTCCGTCTAGAAACTGAAAATTTAGCTTCCCAACTCTGTAGCATACTTCTGACTGCATCTTTCCTCCAAAGCCAAGCAGTGGGAGAATAGACACAGACAAAAAACAATTCAAATTTTCTCTATGCTCTTCGGACTATAGTCCCTCTGGTCAGAGAGAAGGGTTCTACTCCCTCAGAATTTTAGGTGCCTCTTCAGTTGCTGCTGCTGTTACTATCACTGTCACCACCATGGGGTTTCCTGGAGGGTTGGGTGGGAGATAAAATAAATGACTAAAAATAAAGGGGAATGTCTCCCACTCTCTCTGAGTCTTATGGGCTCCCTTTCCCATCCTCAGGTCAGAAGGAGACAGCTTCTCTTGGAGCTTGCTTCGGTTTGGGTGTTTGTCACCTCCAAATCTCATGTTGAAATCTGATCCCCAATGCTGGAGGTGGGCCTAATGGGAGGTGATTGAGTCATGGGAGTGGTTCCCTCATGAATATATTAATGCCTTCCCTTGGGCATTTATTAGTTCCTGCATGAGCTGGTTGTTAAAAAGAACATGACATCTTCCCACCCCACTTCCCTGATCTCTTACCATGTACTCTCTGCACATGGTAGCTCCCCTTCACCTTCTTCTTTTTTTTTTTTTTTGAGGCAGAGTCTCACTCTGTCTCCCAGGCTGGAGTGCAGTGGCGCAATCTCTGCTCACTGCAACCTCCGCCTCCCAGGTTCGTGGGGCTTGAAGCCAAGTGTTTGGTTTTTGTTCTTCCTGAAGCTTGCACAGCTTTAGACCTCGTCTGCTAACAGCACTTGTCTGTTAGGAGATGATTCTGCCTCCTTTCTTTTCCTCCTACTCAGTGCAGAGCTTGCAGGGTCCCCAGCAGCCAGGCAGTTATTTGGGTGTTAAGTAGCCTTATGCTATTTTTAGCTCTTAGAGGATTGCAAGTGCTTTATACACAACTCTTTACTTCTTGTTTGCTTTATCTTTTCATTTTTGTTGTTGCTGTTTTTTGTTTTTGTTTTTGTTTTGAGACAGAGTCTCGTTCTGTTGCCCAGGCTGGAGTGCAGTGGTGTTATCTCAACTCACTGCAAGCTCCTCCTCCCAGGTTCAAGCAGTTCTTGTGCTCCTGGAGAGCTGTGATTACAGGCGCATACCACCATGCCTGGCTAATTTTTTATTTTTTTATTTTTTGTATTTTTAGTAGAGACGGGGTTTTGCCATGCTAGCCAGGCTGGTCCTGAACTCCTGGCCTCAAGTGATATGCCCGCCTCAGCCTCCCAAAGTGCTAGGATTACTGGCATGAGCCACTGCACCCAGCCTGTTTGCTTTATCTTTTCTAAAGCTCAAAACAAATAGGAAAGAGCTTCACTTGCTCCCTCCAGGCAGCTACTGAATGAGAGTCTCCGCAGAGCCAGCACTTAGTTGACACCAGCCCAGCTCCAGGCTGCACGTGACTTGGAGGAGGATCCGAGACATGCCTCTTCTTCCTCCATCATGGGAGGCAGCGTTAGCCACAATGTCTCACCTTCAGCCCACGACCTTCCAACAGATACATGCCAAGTTTCCTGTCCTGCTTCCTGTCATTGCTGCCTAGGAAACAACTCTCCAAAGAAGGAACCACCACTAGTTTGACTTGCTCTTCTCCAAGCTCCTCTTACACATCTCAGAAGGGGTCACTGAGCTAGTGGCTGTTTTCTTACACTCTTCATATGTACAGCACTGCTGATCTGGTCTCTGTTACTCTTTACATTTGAAAATGTCTTAACATTCTATTATGCACTCCGTTAAGACTTTTTATTTTTTGAGACAGAGTTTTGCTCTGTCACCCAGCCTGGAGTGCAGGGACATGCTCATAGCTCACTGCAGCCTCCAACTCCTGGGCTCAATAGGTCCTCCCACCTCAGCCTCCCAAGTAGCTGGTACTACAGGTGTGCACCACCATGCTCAGCTAATTTTTTATTTTATTATTACTTTCTATAGAGATGGGGTCTTGCTATGTTGCCCACGCTGGTCTCGAACTCCTGGTCTAAAGTGATCCTCCTGTCTTGGCTCCCCAAAGCACTGGGATTACAGGTGTAAGATGTATAGATGATACAAATAGATGACTATTTAATAGTCATCTGCATGCCATATTTTTTGAGGTGGAGTTTCAAAGCCTTGGAAGCAGTCCTACATTCATGAGTCCTTTGGAACCAGCTCAGGTCAAATGGCTCCTTCTGTGTGTACCCAGCCTTCCTTTCTGGGCCCAAGCAGGGACCTGACTTTGGGTCACACCTGGCTCTCCCATATGGAATAAATGCAAGCTCTCTCCCTTACACTGCTCCATTCCAGTTCTTGGCCTGCCTAACTCATATATCAGCTGCAAACAGGCCAAGGAGAAGAGGAGAGGACCTGGAAGCAGTTAACATGTGGTTTATTTGCGGGTCAACTCTAGCTTATTGCTCTTATGACAGCATGTAATTGTAACGAGACCTGGTGCTGTTGCTCCCAATTACTGCTTACATCCTGAATCTTGGTGTGTCTGGACTGTGTTTTCGGGTTGGGTTATCAGCGCTGCAGTTAGCCTGATTATTTGGTAATCTTGGTATATGCCTCTTGAGCCCAAGCTCTGGCTTTGTATCTCGATGCTTCCTCAGAGGGTTTTCCTTATAATAACTGTAATAATGGCAGTTACTCTTTACCAAGTATGTGCTGACTGAGAACTATTTTAGACCATTTTACATGCATTAGCCTATGTGTTTCTCCCAGTAACTCTGAAAGATAAACTGCCGAGGGTCAGAGAGGTTAAGGAACTAGCCCAAGCTCACATAGCACAGCTAGTTCAACGACAGACTTGAAAATAATACTCAAATCTGCTTGACTCCAAAGTGTGTGCTGCTTCATTTCCTCTGCACCAGACTTGCGACCTTCTGCTCAGAAGGGCCTGGAGAGTATGCTGAGTTCTGGGTATTTCCATGGCTGGAGATTTCACAAGCTCATGCCTGACCCATGTGGCCTGGAGAATTTCCTTGGGTTGGGTTTCTGGTTTGCTCCTGCCTTCCCTGTGAGGCAGCAGCAGTTCCGCCCGAGCCGCTTCCCTCTTCAGTATTCACTGTTCAGCTCCTGTCAATCCCACTGCATAAGTACAAATTCAACTTGTCCACCCCTCACTGAGAAAGCCAGGTACACCCCCATGGAGAAAATTGCATGGATGTATTTGGAATTAACTCAATTGATGATGTATAAAAATACTTAAAGACATTTGGGAAACTGGGGCTGGAGTTTTGTTCAAACTGGCAGTAGCAGGTCGGATAGGACAAGATGTAGAGTGCAGATTTTCTATTAAAAATATAGGGGAGAAGTGACTTCGTTGAAGCCTTGGTAGCAGCAGGTTGCCATGGTAACACAGGCACACTGATCTGAATTAGAAAGAAATTACTATAGGGTCGAACTACACCAGAGGGAAAAAAGAGCTTGTGTGTGAAGGGGATGGCAGGGAGGAGAAGGGGGGGAAGTACTGGGCTGGGAAGGAGAGGAGAAAGAGGAAGTTGTCTCCAGAACAGGAAGAGCAAGGATGGGGACCATATTGAGGCAAGGAGTGATCTCTCTAGGGTTTTCTCTTCTTTTTTAGAAATTTCTATAACTAAAAGTAAAAAAGGCAGAAACAGGACTGGCAGGTGAGGTTGTTCCCCATCTCATAAATGAGGACTGCTTTAGTGTGCCAAGCATGTAGTGTGCCAGGCATGTAGTGTGCCAGGCATGTCTCCAATCCTCCCCCAAGTCACTTGCAGCCTGGAGCTGGGCTGGTGTCAACTAAGTGCTGGCTGACAGCTCTGCAGAGACTCTCATTCGGTAGCTGCCTGGGGGGAGCAGGTGAAGCTCCTTCCTATTTGTTTTGAGCTTTAGAAAAGATAAAACAAACAGGCCAGGCGCAGTGGCTCACACCTGTAATCCCAGCACTTTGGGAGGCCAAGGGGCGGGAGGGCGGGGGACAATCACTTGAGGCCAAGAGTTTAAGACCAGCTTGGCTAACACGGTGAATGGTGAAACCTTGTCTCTATTAAAAATACAAAAATAAAAAAAAAATTAGCCAGGCATGGTGGTGTGCACCTGTAATCCCAGCTCCCTGGGAGGCTGAGGCACAAGAATTGCTTGAACCTGGGAGGTGGAGGTTTCAGTGAGCCGAGATCGTGCCACTGCATTCCAGCCTGGGCAACAGAGCAAGACTCTGTCTCAAAAAAAAAAAAAAAAAAAAAAAAAGAAAGGAAGAAAGGAAACCAACAACAACAACAACAAAAAACCAACAACAACAAAAAAAGAAAAGATAAAGTAAACAAGAAGTAAAGAGATATGTATAAAGCACTTGCAATCCTCTAAGAGCTAAAAATAGCATAAGGCCACTTAACACCCAAATAACTGCCTGGCTGCGGGGACCCTGAAGCTCTGGACTGAGTAGGAGGAAAAGAAAGGAGGCAGAATCATCTCCTAACAGACAAGTGCTGTTAGCAGATGAGGTCTAAAGCTGTGCAAGCTTCAGGAAAAACAAAACCCAAACACTTGGCTTCAAGCCTCATATCTGCTATTACTAGCTATGTGACCCTGGGAAAGTTACTTAACTTCTTGGTGCTCCAGTTTCCTCAACTGTAAAGAAGAAATAATAATTGTTCCTGTCCCATGAGGTTGCTGGGAGGATTAAAAAAGATAAAGTGTTTACAATGATTAGCACACAGTAAGCACTCAATACCCAATAACTGTTATTACTCTAATCCATATGGTGAGCCACACTCAGGCCCTAGGCCATCAGGCAGATTGTCACCATAGCTGTGGAGGGCAACAGGTATCACTGTCTTTTGTTCTTCAGCCTCAAGGTTTGAAGTATTGACATTGTCAGAGCATGTGGTTCTCAGGACCCAGCTGCACAGACAGTGTTGTTACCTCTGAAGGAATTAGATGATTATATCATTAAGGACTCATTTTTTTCACTTGTTTTCCTAATGAGCAGTGTAATCTGGTTAAGAAAATAGGAACTTATAGCTTTGGGAAAATATGTATGAATTTTCACCAGCGGAAGAGATCAAAGAACAACATGATCAATTTGTTCAGGAAATGAACCCTGGAACATGGGACTTGGCACAAAGAAGTCCTCCGGCTAACCTCTTTTCTTGTTGAATTTAATCCAGGGATGGTCAGATGTGTTCTGATGCTTGTCTCCTTCTAGACCTAGAGCCCCTGAGAACCAGGGTCATGGCTTGTTCATTTCCTTGTTCTTAGTCCCCAGCACAACACCAGGCACATGGTAGGTGTTCAATAAACATTTGATCAATGGATGAAAGAATGATAAAACGAGTAACAGCTCACTGCCACAGGCTGCCTATCTCTTCCCAAAGTCAACCCCTTCCTGCCACTCCAGCAGCTGAATCCACAACTTACCTGTTAGTGCACAGGTAAGTTGTTGTGTAAGATAAGGGATTTTTTTTTTTTTTTTTTTTTTTTTGAGATGGAGTCTTGCTCTGTCACCCAGGCTGGAGTGCAGTGATGCGATCTCAGCTCACTGCAATCTCTGCCTCCCAGGTTCAAGCGATTCTCCTGCCTCAGCCTCCTGAGTAGCTGGGATTACAGGCACGTGCCACCACACCTGGCTAATTTTTTTTTTTTTTTTTTTTTGCATTTTTAGAAGAGACGGGGTTTCACCATGTTGGTCAGGCTAGTCTTGAACTCCTGACCTCTAGGCTTTAAGCATGGGAAGGCTAGGCCTCTCATCCTTCAAACCTCAGTTTCCAGCTTTCTGTATTTCAGTTGTTATCATCAAAAGCAAATATTTATTGAGAACTTGATCCCATGTGCAAGGCTGGATTCTGAGGATTCAGGTAAAGTAACTCAGCTCCTGAAGGGGCTAAGAATCTTATATCTGTTAGCTTTGGCTGCATAACAAGCCATCCCCTAAAGTACTGACATATAAAAACAAACATTTCTTATTTTGCTTACAATTCCATGGATTGGTTGGAATGGCTTTTCCGATCAGGCCAGCTTAGCAGGGGCTGGATGATTTAGGTTGGCTTTGCTCACACATTTGGTAGTTGGCCAGCTGTTTGGTGGTCTCAGGGGTTTCTAACACACCAATGGCCAAAACAGGTCATATTCCGATTCAAGCTCAGATTCAACGAGTGAAGACCTCTTGAGGATAGAAATGGCAAAGGGGCATACATACATACAGGCATGGGAGAAATTACTGTGGCCGTTTTGCAAACTATCTACCCCAGGTCTCTTTGGGACAACACGGGTAATGCATAAAAACATAAATAACTATATGAAATAGCACCAGATACATGCCAGAAAAGCTTTACAGCTGAAGTCAGACTTGAGTTGAACAGGAGAGATAGCCTGAGATTGGATGGAGGCAGGGGAATGTTTCAATTTGAAAGAATACTGCAGATGTGGAAATGCATTTGATGTGTTCAGGGGGCCTACGAATGTATGGCTTTGACCATGGTAGAGAGCTCACTTAGGGGGAAAAGGGGAACTGAGGACAATAAAGCAGTTGAAAGCCAAATTAGGCGAAGTCTTGATGGAAGGAATTTGAGCTTAATTCTCTAGGCAGTAGGGAGCAGTGTAGGGTTTTTTCGGTTCGTTTTTTGTTTTTGTTTCTTTTTGGAGAACAGGGTCTCACTCCTGTTGCCCAGGCTGGAGCACAGTGGGGGGATGTCAGCTCACTGCAGCCTTGACTTCCCGGGCTCAGGTGATCCTCCCACCTCAGCCTCCCGAGTAGCTGGGACTACAGTCATGCGCCACCATGCCCGGCTAATATTTGTATTTTTAATAGAGACAGGATTTTGCCATGTTGCCCAGGCTGGTCTCAAATGCCTGAGCTCAAGAGAAATGCTGCCTCAGCCTCCCAAAGTGCTAGGATTACAGATGTGAGCCACTGTGCCTAGCTACAGTGTGGGTTTTTGATCCAGGGTCAAGCAATAAGAAGATTACTCTGCAAATAGTGCCCAGACTGGAAAGGGAAGTTCTCTGATTTTGCCACAGTATACAGACACAACATCACACTTGCCTAAAGTATACGAGATCAAGCACAAGAAGGGCCTTTCAGTGATGGGTGGAGGGTGAGTCTTTGTTATAATTGCTATGTTTTGTTTTTTTGTTTTTTAAGTCTATGTGTACCTTGGTTACAAATATACTAGTACTTACCTTCTAGGGTTGTAGTAAGGATTGAATTGGTGAATATATATTAAAGGCTTCAGCACAGCACTTGGTTTTTGGTAATTCAGAGTAGAGGGATTTTAGAAAGGGAGTCACAGTTGGGCTGGGCGCGGTGGCTCACACCTGTAATCCCAGCACTTTGGGAGGCCAAGGCGGGTGGACCATGAGGTCAGGAGTTCGAGACCAGCCTGGCCAACATGGTGAAACCCTGTCTCTACTAAAAATACAAAAATACAGGTATGGTGGTGTGCGCCTGTAATCCTAGCTACTCAGGAGGCTGAGGCAGGAGAATCTCTTGAACCCGGCAGGCTGAGGTTGCAGTGAGCTGAGATCAGGCCATTGCACTCCAGCCTGGGTGACAAGGAAAGACTCCGTCTCAAAAAAAAAAAAAAGAAAAAGTAAAAGAAAAAAAAAAAAAGAAAGGGAGTCACGGTAAGCAAGAGAAAAGCCATGTGTACTGCAGTGTCTCCCTTCAGAAGGTCCCAGAGCCCTTCCAGCTAGCACAAGGGAGACCCAGCCCATCTGACCTCACAAGTTGAGCTTTTAGCTCTCTTCCAGGATAGCAGGGCTGGTCAGGGTGTGGGGGTAGAACAAAGGGAACCAGGGGAGTAGAAACGACTGAGAACATGAAGCAGAGAGACAAACGATCTTTCAGAACACCAACATCAGACAAGGTCACTTAGACAAAACAAGGCCACTTCATAATTTTGCTTAGGCACAGACAAAAGTAGTTATTGTGTCACCCACAAAATTATAAGCATTCCTCCCTTGGCTAATATGAGTGACTGCTGTTTCTTTACCAATTATAGCTTTATTCCTGCTCTAGCGAGCCCTCTCATAGATAAGTTTTCTCGACATAACCAATCACAGAATTGTCCTCACTTTCTGATATTGTGCAATCCAGGGAAAGCCTCTGCCTTCCTGGTTCCTCTTTAATAACCCCCCAAGCCCCAACCCCATAATAGAATTTTTCTAACACACTGTTATTGAGATGCCCCATGGTTCCCCTGGTGTAGTTCTATCTCACTATGAGAAGTACACCCAACACCTCGTCAGCTACAGGTGTGTTCTTGGTGGACTTTGGTTGGAGGGCATTTATACACTGTTGACCATGGGCACTTTCTTTTCCTTTTTCTTTTTGAATTTCTTTTGGAGATACGGTCTCACTCTGTCACCCAGGCTGGTGTACAGTGGCACCCTCACAGCTTGCTGCAGCCTTGAACTCCTGGGCTCAAGGGATCCTCCTGCCTAAGCCTCCTGAGTAGCTGGGACTACAGATATGCACCACTGCACCAGGCTAATTTTTATAAAGGCTGGGTCTTGCTTTGTTGCCCAGGCTAGTCTTGAACTCTTGGCTTTAAGCAATCCTCCTGCCTTGGCCTGCCAAAGTGCTGAGATTACAGGCATAAGCCACCAACCATGTGGCTGATTTTGCCACAGTATACAGACACAACATCACACTTGCCTAAAGTATACGAGATCAAGCACAAGAAGGGCCTTTCAGTGATGGGTGGAGGGTGGGCCTTTGTTATAATTGCTATGTTTTGTTTTTTTTGTTTTTTAAGTCTATGTGTACCTTGGTTACAAATATACTAGTACTTACCTGGCCATGAGCACTCTGAATCCTGAGACTGAGTGTATTCATTGTGATTCTCCAGAAAAACAGAACCAATAGGATATATATACACACACATATATATATATATGAAATTCACATTTATTATATGAACTAATATATTGTAATGTTTATATACATGATATAAATAAAATAAGGAATCAGCTCATACCATTGTTGAAGCAGAGAAGTCCCAAGATCTGTAGTTAGCAAGCTGGAGACCCAGGAGAGCCGATGGTGTGGTTTCAGTCTGGGTTCAAAGGCCGGAGAACCAGGAGAGCTAATGATGTAAGTTCTCGTCCAAAAGCCGGCAGACTTGAGACCCATGAAGAGCCAATGTTTCCCAATGAGTTCAAAGGCGGGAGAAGAGTCATATCTCAGCTCAAGGCAGGCAGCAGGAGGAGTTTTTAACCCCCTTACTCACAGGAGGGTCAATCTTTTGTTCTATTCAGGCTTCAGCTGATTGGATAAGGCTCACATTAGGAAGGACAATCTGCTTTACTCAGTCTACCAATGTGGATGTTAATCTGATCCAAAAACACCCTCATGGACACATCCGGAATAATGTTGGACCAAATGTCTGGGCACCCTGGGGCCCAATCAAATTGACACATAAAATTAGCCATCACACTGTGGTTTGATGTTGGCCAAAGACCTAAAGAAAGACCTGGATGCAGCCAGCATGCTGAAGGTGTGGACAGTGAACAAACAGATGCTGAGATGAAAAGGACCCAGGTGACCTCTGCAGCCTATGTCTGTTGCCTTGGCCCTGGAACACTGTGTTCTTATTTTTGAAAGTTTGTAAATAGAAGGAATTTTGTACAGGACCACAGTGAGAGGTGGCATGTAAGTGCTGGTTTGGAGCGTTATCTGCTCTACCACATAGACTTGGGGCCTTGGAGGCAAAGGGAGTCTCTGTGGCCAGGAATCAGAGTCCAGTTTCTTGAGGGCCCTGGGCACAGTCCACAGAATGAAAGGAGGCTAAAGGGGGAGTCATTTGGGAAATCTGAACAGGAAATGACCATTCTTTTCCAAGAATTTGGACATGACCCAGATGTGTCAAGGTTGTCCATCAAGTTGGTGTCATTTTCAGGGCCAGTTTCAGGGTTATGCCACCTGGGTAGTCACACAGAGTCTATGTACAGGGGCCCAGGCTTTGTTGTCACTGTCCTGAAATTTTTAATATCTTTGAACAAGGGACTCTGCATTTGTATCTTGTACTGGAACCCACAAATTGTGTAGCCAGTCCTGGACATGTGGTCTGCAGCCCTAAATGGTGACACCCATTCTAGATGTAGAGAAAGAGACTGATTCTAGAGTGGACCCATGAGTCCCCCGAGTCCAGGTGTGGTGCCACCAGGGCACCCCTGGCTACCTCAGGTCAGTCTGGGTTAGACCACAGCAACTGAGCCCCTGAAATTGTTTTTCTTTGCAATTGAATTGTTTTTAGTAAATTTAAAAGTAGAAATGTCAACTCTTTCTTCCTCTAAACCTTAGCACCTTGTGTGTGGCTCTCATCCATGCTGGAGTTGCAGGAGGAAGATGGGAAATGTGTTAAGAGTGGGGTGGAGCCAGGAAGTGGGCAGTGGGCAGACAGTGACGGTGGAGGAGGCCAGAGGTGGCTCAGGGAAGTCCTAGAGGAGAAATGTGTGGGTGGTTCTGATTTGTCAGGAATTCCATCACAATTTTCCATATCCCTTCATATTATAATAGACTGGCTTCGTGCCCCACATTAGGCCTCAAGATGCAGGAAACAGCAACATTCAAGCATTAGGAGAGAATGTCAAGTACCTGGCTTTAAGCTAGTGAATGTACTATTACTTGGTTAGTTTAAATATACGGTACACGTATTTTTCCGTTTGACTTCATTACCACAGTATAACAGCATTGTTTTCTACCAGTGTGATTGCACATGCATTATGGATTAGTTTTAGCGAGGTTTTCATGTGAAACCGAATTTTGGGTGCCAACTAACCAAACTGTAAATGCACTTTTGGAACACAACTTGTTTGTAAGCTGGGGCCATGCATGTTTAAAATTAGGAGAATACTGGATTGCAAAGTCCCAATGAGAGTGACACAGCATGAATGCACTATATATATCCTTAGGAGAATTACAGAGGGAACTGGTCTCCATAAGGGCCTCAGTCATATGCAGTGATGATGTCTGGGGACATTTGCAGAGTTTGCAGAGTTTCTTTTTTGTTTAAGTCCATGAAACCGTATTTGACTCAATGCCACTCTGTGAGGTGTCTGGAACCAGCTCTTGGTATCTATTTTGACAGCCAGGAAACCCGGGGCCTCAGACAGAGACTGCCTGGCTGATCTAAAGGCAGAGGGTGCGTATGAGCTGAAGGAGCCATTGCACGGGAGGATTTTAGGAAGCAAGGCCAGGGAGCCTCCTGCTTTGAGCTGCCCTCCTCTTTACCGCTCTGGTCTCTGATGTTTTGTTTTTGACTGGTGTGTCTGGGCTCATGTTTTATGAGAAGACTCTCTAAATATTTTTTCCTGCCTTTTCATCTGAGCTGGAGTTCACCCTGTCTTCATTTTCCCTCAGCAGGAATGTGGCAGGCAAGTGAGTGGAGTAACTTCTAAATGTGACTGACTTTTATCTTTCCAAAATCTATGCTCTTAGGTCAGTCCCAGTAGTTCTGGAAGAAGCACGAAGGGAGAAGAATTTTCCCCAGGCTAGACAGAATCTCCCGGGGCTGGAGAAAGATGGTCTGTTGAGTAGGCTGAACCAGCGGGGGTGCGAACAGGAAATGGCTTCATTTTACTTTCTTTGTCTGTCTTGAAACATTTTTAGTTGAATTTCCATTCCTGACTCCTTAACATGTCAGGCTAACTTTTACTTTTAGTTTATAAACTTCCAGTAGCATTTAACTTAAAATGTCACCCCCAATTTAATCCTAACTCTTTCCATCTTCCCTGCACAGGGCACTCATCACAGCGTGGAGGCAGGAGTGTGGGCAGTCCTCTTTGCTTTCCCTCCTCCACCTCTCAGTGTGCCCCAGCAGCGAGAGGCCACATCCCTCTCCAGTCACTGACAACTCTTCAAAGGGCTCCCCCTTTTGAATTTCTTTCCTTCTCTTTAACCTGAGCATAGAGCTGAAGGTAGTGGACCAGTTTAGTCTCCTCAGTTATGTGGGGATGCTTTTTAGGATGTCAGGGTGTGGAAGGGAAGAAGGAATAAATAGAGATACACACACACACACACACACACAGACACACACAGACACACACCCCACAGTGCTCTGTGGAGTCCTGACACCTGCGAGATCTGCGCTGAGCTGCTTGGCAGCCTCCAGAGAGCTGGATGGACCCCAGAGAGGAGAGGCTGCCAACCGAAGACCATAAGCCGAATTTGGTTGTCGAGACCAATGTCTTGTTTAGCACGTTGTTATAAACAATTCGAATGTCACCCCAGTTTGTCATTGAGCAGTGCTTCTTAGATCCTGGGCCTCCATGGGCTCCACTGATGTCCATTCACAGCCTGGATCCTGTGACCCTGCATGGGAACTTAGACCACAGGCTGCCTTGGCCCAGATTCCCACTCCTAGGGGTACCTGGGGCACAGAGGCTGCCAAGGAACCTGGGACCTGAAGAGGCCATTTGAGAGCAAGGACAAGAGCTGGTTCTCCCTCAGTACATACACATACCCTGGCACTGTGTAACCTGGGGAGGGGAAGAACATTCCAGCAAGGACAGCTCATGTCATTCAGCAACTCAGAAGATCTGGGGCTAGGAGCTAGCTATTCATTTGAAAGAATCAAGCAACTTTTCTTTGCAGTAAACTTTTCTTCAGTTAGTGAGACAAAAAAAAAATTTAGAAGGTAAAATTAACAATTTGTCAAGTTATCTTATTTCTCACATTATCTCTCAACTGTCCTTTCAAACATCTATTTTTGCTGTCGTCTTCATCATTATGCACAGTCACTGCCTTTAAATAACTGGATGTGTTTGTCCATTCATTCTTTCAGCCATTCACTAAAACCAGGTGGCCACCGCCTGTGTGTGATGGGAACTTAGGACAAAAACAGACAAACCAACAAAATACAAAAATAAAAAGTCAGACAGTGTCTCTGCCCTGGACAAGTCTATAGCTGGAGGAAAGAGAAGGTATGATCTTCAGAAACACACTTGCTGCCACCACAAGCAGACACACCCTAAATCATGGCCTTCTGCTTCTTAAACTGGAACTTATTTATTTAATAGCACCTCAATGTGGTGTGGATACACTGGTCCAGTGGCCACTGTCCTCTGCACCCCCAACTCCCCATCAAAGGGAGATGGAGGATGGGGAGGTTTGAATCAGAACTGGTGCGTCTCTGCCTGGACAACAGAGAGAGCCACTTGAAAAGGTGGCTGTGTGTGTATATGAATATGTATGTGTGTAAAAACGTATATGTATATATTTGTGTTATGTATGTGTAGATGTAGGAGAGTGAGTGTGATTTTTTTATGTGTGACTGTGTACATGTGTATACATGCATGTGTGCTACGTATATAGAGGTGTGCATGTATTTTGTGCGTATGTGTGTATGTGTATTCTGTGTGTGTGTACACCTGTGTAAGATATGATGCCAAGTCTTGGGACAAGCAGGGGGAGCCGAGAGCTAAATGCTTCTTAGTCCCACAGCACAAAATTGCAGTCAGAGGTGGGGCTGTGGGCATTGTGGCCAATGGTCAAGACTGGAGCCACACTGACAGGAGCAACATTTCCCAGGGGGGCTGTGAAAATGGATTCCTTCTCACTATGCAGTAAGTGTCCCTGATAGCTGAGATCAGCTCTTGGCTCTCCTGGAGGGCCTGGGCCTGGCTGAGCCTGAGCTGTCTGCATTCTGTAAGGCACAGCAGGGAACCTGGGCTGGAAACCCTGGCTGAGACAGGCTGCCCATTCCAGAAGCATGACGAAGTCACTCCCATGCGTGGGGCCATGAACCCAGGGCAAGAAGGGAGGGTTCCGAAAGCATTGCAGGCCTCAAAAGGCTTTCACCCAGTGGGGCAAAGGAACCCTGGGGCTGCTGGGACCTCAAACTTTGCTCCTCCTTCCTTGGGATACTGTCTGAAACTGTCTGGCTCCTAGTCAATAAAGGGAACACAAGAACAACTGCCATAACGCTGGGTAGAGTGAAGGGGAGCACCTAAAATTCAGGGCTATAAAATACAGGGTCAAGTTATGAGGAAATGACTGAGTAGTCAGGAGTGGCTCGTGCAGCCAACAGACAGGTTGAACTTGGCTCAAGTTTATGCAGGGTGCATTCCTGCTTCGAGGAGAGGTTAACATTTCCACATCCTGGAAGGTGCGTGGGATGTCTGGTCTGGGAGGGGCAGGAAGCTTAGCTTGTCAAGAGGCTGCCATAAGACTACCATGATTATCTATGACATAGGAGTCCCAGAGCCACCCCAAAGCCTTTGTGAATGACAGACAATAAGAACCAACTTCCTATTTGCTCAGATGTCACCCTGTGAGAGGTGAGTAAAAGGAATACATATTTTGACAGAGACCAGTTTCCCTCTGTGAGACTGTCCAGATGGGACATTCTGGTCTCTGGGGGGTACCTCATGATATGAGCACCCCAGTGTCATGGGGCAGTCCTGGGTTCACACTTGGTGACCCAGGTCAGGCAAGGTGATGGTGGGAAGGCCTATGTGAGTTATTTGTGGTGTCCCCTGTGCATCTCCTTCGAAGTAAAGGCCTGTCTATTTGCCTTTGTAGCCTGTTATGGAACTGGGGAGCCCATAGCACAGCTGGGGTGTGGGAGCTAGTGAGAAGAAAAGACCCCTCCATAACATGGGGACTATGGGCCCCTCTACAAAACTGACCTGAGGATGAATGTGGCAGTGCATGTGACATCTTGGGCAAACGGCTTGGCACATAGGACATACTCGGGACATAGAATGCCTGGGCAATTTTGCAGACTTGTTTCTCCAGCTGAACCTTGGCCTCACCTAAACTTAATCAGCCTGCTGAGCCATCATAATAGTAGAGTTGCTTATGCCAGTGGCACAAAAACATGACTTCCCCTACTCTTTGTGAAGGAGGAGGAAATGAATTTAAGAATGCTCATGATCCTAAATTTCAGGTGTGTTTTAGAATAATTTTGACATTATTTACTCCTTTCCTAATAATCTTACAATCTTAAGACTTTAAGCAATTCCAATATGGGAGTTGTAGTTATAGGACATTGAGCTTGGTCGTTATGGGAGTTTTACATTAAATAAGTGATACATTTATTAATAAGATACAGCTGCCTTGAGTGAAATCACAGGATTTCTCCCCAAGGCTCCCATTTGAGTTGGTTGTTCTCCTTTGTTGTGAGATTACTTCAAGTGTCTATACCCTAAGGTGGTATAACATTTCAACCTGCATTGCTTCTGGATGATTTAAACACCTCAAAGTCCATCAGCAGGAAATCAATGGCACACTCAAATTATGAAAATCTGTGGAGAGTTCAATGAAGTAACAGTTTAGCAAGGTTTGGGCTGGGTGTCAGGAGATCACAAGGGAGCTAGGGGACCAAATATCTTGAACCTACTCTCCCTCACCTATTTCCTGCTGAGTTTCCCCATTGGCTGAACCTACCTGGGCACCAGAGGGCAACAGAGCCCTTGGTCTCTTCATCTGGACAGTTCTTGGGCAGAAAACAGGGGAGAACGTCATTTGATGGGGGAAGGAGTGTTTACCAATTTCAGATATGCACATCTGGGATAGAGAATTGAATGAGCTCTCTAGGATAGGAAAAATATAAGGGATAACTCCTAAAGGAAAACCAAAAAAATAACCTGTGTTTCATGCTAGGCAGATCTAAGCACAACTAGCCTAATCAGACTTAGGCTAAGAGTTGGCCTCCAGGGACTCAGTAAGAAGGGGATAACCATGCAGGCACATGGTTGAGCTGGCTTTCTCTGGGGCAAGAAGTGAAACTGTGATGTCTTCCCCAACACCCTCATTAGGGCTGGGCTCTGTGGCTGAGAGAGTTTCCATCTTGCCCATTCTCTGTGCCCAAAATACTCACCGTCCTTTTTGACTCCTGATTGCCAAGACCTGGTGTGACCCAATGCTGAGCCAGTCCAGGTCACAACAACACTAAAAAAAGATCAAGAAGGCAATAGGAAAAGGAGAGAAAGAGAAGAGAAACCAAATACCTCAGAGACCTCAGCCAAGGCAGGCCCACAAGCACACACAAATAGACGTTCAAGGATATGTACATGAAATAATAAGAATCAGAAACATAAGGAACTGGAAAACAGAGAGATGAGATGAAGAGACTTCATGGATTTTGATGATAAACGTATATTTTAATAGCTGCTGATAGCTTGGGTTTAGGCCATCAGAATAGATGCTCACTGCCTTTTGCAATACTGACCAACTCATCAACAATAAAAATAACTTTTCTTTGGGAGGTTGAGGTGGGAGGATTGCTTGAGGCCAGGAGTTTGAGACTAGTCTGGGCAACATAGCAACACCCCATGTCTACAGTAAAATTTTAGAAAGAAAAAAAATGACTTTCAAACTCTATATTTATTCTTGAAATCAAGGCATATTTTATTAATGAGTTCTAAAGATGTTTTTAATAGTATGTGATAAAGCAAATCAAAGTGTGGGTTTTTTTTTTTTTTTGCAATTTATATTCAAGTAGGAGTAATTCTGCCTGGGGGCAGATAACATTCACTTGGAGGTATATCTGAATTGGACCCTGCGGAATTTCCAGGCCAAGGGAACAGCATGAGGCCTGGAGCATGGAAGGTAGTCAGGGCTCAGTCAAGACAGCAGTGAGTCCAAACCTGGGCCCAGAGGAAGCATGGGCAGTGACAAGGCTGGAAAGATGAGCCTCATAAAATGTGAACATGATATTTGCTTTCTCTGCCTCATGGCAGAGTATAATGAAATGTAAGTAAAAATGCTTTGGATATTAGGAGACACTGACTTTTGTCATATATGCTTTTAGATTTTTCATTGAAAAATCAGGTCAGTCATTTTGCCATTAAGAAAGCCAAGTAATGTTTAAGAGATACACAGACCTGACATATAACATGGGCAATCACTTAGAAGAGAAAGTCGTAAATAAAAAGACATCCTCCCTGGTATTTGCTTTCCAGTGGAGCTGCTGCAGAATAAGCAGGCATCAGGAAATTGCATCGGGAATTCCTATGCAATGTGCTATAATGCTGCTCTTAAAGCAGTCAACCACATATCAGGTGCTCTGAGGCAATATGAGAAAAGCAGTTTATAATCTAATTAGAAAAACATTCAAGAACCAATGAGAAAATAGCATAAGGTAGTGCTTAACAAGAGGCTCAGTGGCGTAGTTCTGGCTGTCAGGGTGACAGGAATTTGGAGAAAGGTCTGTGAGGTGTTGACAGAGTCTCAGGGAAGTTAGATGGATGCCAGCTGGGCCTGGAAGGATGGAGCAAAACTGAAGAGTGCAAAAGAGAGAATATGTTGTTTGAGGGGTGGAGACCATGAGTGGCAGAGGAAGGGGTGAGAACCAGCTGTGCTGAGGACTCCTGCCTGGCCAAGGGTCCCGAGTGAGGGAGCTGAAAACATCACTAAGGCATCTGGAGTAGTACTCATTCTCAGAATCTGCTGGTTTCTGAAAGATTCGGGTTAAATGTGACAGAGGCTCTTTATGAACTCAGCCCACCACTAGAACATTATTCAGATGCCAGCTTCATTCTTCTTGTGAGCTAGCAGGGATGATTAAAAATAATGACACTAAATACTGTTGGTAAGGATGTTGATGCTGACAACAGCAATTGGAATTGTCAGTTGTTGACATTTCCTGGATTATTATGGTTATTTTTAAATAACAACCAGAGAGCCTCAAAACAGCCATAGATATCTGCACTGGAAAATTCGACCAAACACTTATGGAAGAAATAATACATAATATTATAAGTCTTCCAGAAAATCAAAGAGGAGGGAATACTTTTCAACTCAGCCTATGAGGACAGCATTACCCTAATACCAAAAGCAAAAACTCATGACAAATTTGTAGCAAATTAAATCCAATGTTACTACAAGGGTAATACATTATAATAAAGTGAGATTTAACCCAGGAATTCAGGGTTGGTTTAACATTCAAAAACCAATCGAATTTGCCATATTAACAGAATGAAAGGAAAAAGTATATGATATCCTTACTAGATGCAGAATAAGCATTTGAAGAAATCCAACCTCCATTCCATATTTAAGACTTTCAGAAATAAAAGGGAACTTCCTCACTTGATAAAGAACATCTACAGAACACCTGCAGCTAACATCATACTTAAGGGTCAAAGATGAATGCTTTCCCTCTAAGACTGGGAGGGAGATAGGGATGTCTGTGCTCATGGCTTCTATTCAGCATTGTACTGAACAGTCTGGCCAGTGCAGTGAGCAAGAAAGAAGCAGCAGGGCTTTGATTGGCTCAGGCCTGGCACTGAGAAGAGGGGAGAGGTCTGCCAGGAATGCCTCTGATGTTCTCCAGCACACAACGGGACATCAGATACATTGCTGATGCAAACCAGCAGGACCACTATGTAGCTGTGTGACCTTAAAACATCCTTTAATCTCTTGGAATCTGTTTCCTAAGTGATGGAGTGAGCATAATAGTAGCCCACTGGCAGATTTGTTGTGACGCTTAAATGGAGTAAGATTGTGTCAAAGTGCTTTCAAACTGGAAAGCGCTATTCCAGCGTTTGGATTTGCTACATTCATATTGAGTGACCAGGGAAGCAATGGGATCCATTAGGAATGTAACAGGGAGGTTTGAGGATTTGGGATTTGAAGACCAAGGTCTAGACTAGGTGCTCGAAGAGGGGCTGGGGGTCAGGCTGAAGATGGGGACTGATACCTGCTAAGCTGTAGCAGGACCCTGGAGCACGCTGTGCAGGCAGCCAGCTTGGGTTGCATCTCTCCTTCTCTCGGGTGGGGCAGAGGCATGCTGGTTAGCAAGAGGAAGGGGCACGGGACAAGAGGATCCTGGATCAGCTCTCTTAGCAGGGGTACCCTCCTTATTATTCTGTTCTCTCTCTGTTGACTTTTACAAGCTCTTTCCATCCTAAAGACTTCTCCTGGCTCAGAGGAAAGTGATCTGACAAAATAACTCAAAGTGAGACACCAGGGATTGGTGATTAAACACTCAACCTTTCTGGGGGAAGCATCTGCCTTTTAAGAGGCCTCAGGGTCAAAGCCGTGCCTACGGTGGCTCTCCAGGAGTTTGGAGAGGTGCTGGGGCTCCTATATATAAGATATTTTTGGTCTTATTCTTCTGTAAGGAGTCCCCTCCTCCCATACTGAGTTAATTCATTGCTTGCCCTATAGCAGGGGGTAGGGGAAGTGGAAGAAAAGCCCTCATGACAGAAGGAGGTACAGGAGGAAGGACCGTATAGGCATGAGGTGAGGCTGGGGAGAGAAAGGGCAGATGCGGCAGTTTCATAATCTGCCCATAGCTGGCCTCAGGAAGAGCACCCAGTGACACAAAAGCCAGCTCATCGGGCCAGCCCCACAGGGAATGGCCAGGAGGGCCAAGGGCTAAGGAGGACAACACCGGTGTTTGTGATGTGTGTGCATTTGTTAGTGTGTGGCTGGGCATCTGGACGGGTGGGAGGAAGGAGATTTCCTTTGCTCTCAGAATAAGTACCTGGTGAGATCTTTGCTTGAAGGATAGAGTGAAAGCATTCAAATCTTTAATTGAGGAATCATGAACCATTACGTTCTGGGACTAGGAACAAGCCCTTGCCTTGCAGATGGCTACTTCAGATAATGGGAAACTATAGTGGCTTGCTCTGGCCACCTCTTGGTTTGACAAGTCCTCCCGCATATTTTGCATGGTTTTGAGAAGTTGTGTCACTTCTGGACATGTGACAATTGTGTACTTTGGGGGCGGGGTGGGTTGAAGGTGTGGATCCTGGGAGCTTTAACTATAGAAAACAATAAGGAACAAAATAATGTTCTGATGCTCTTTAGTTGTGATTTTTTTAAAACTCCAGGAAGGGTAAACAACTGGCAATCACTTTAGCTCTTAGTATCATCAGTAGCCATAGCCCTAGCGGTCCAATATTTGCACCCATTTTTAGGTTTGAAGACTTCATCGTTCTAAAAAGCCAAAAATGTAAGATAGAAATTTTTCAAGTCTCTCTTGCTGTGAGGGCCTGAGCACAGGCTACAGGCTCCACCCACCCACCCAGTGGCCCACCTCAAATTTCATGCAGGAGAGCTTTGTGAGAGGAGGCAGGCACAGGCAGCAGCATCCCACCTGCCTTGGCCAGGCATGAAAGAGTAGGTGCGTGTCATCCACGGTGGTTGTAGCACTGCCTCTGCCACTAGCTCTTTCACACTCTGACCATCCTGCCAGCTCAGCCTTACTCTCCAGAACAAAATGACTCCACTCTGGGACCAAGAACTCTTCTTGCAAATTTCTCTTGTTCTTTCCCACACTTGTTTCCAAAGCCCTTTAGGTCGTCAGTGTCCCTGCACCAATTAAATCTCTGCACTTGAAGCAGTACATCTATGGCAAATGTGTATATGTCTGTTGTTTAGGGTCCACCCAGAGCTGTCCTGGGCCTGTCACAGGGAGACACCAGAAAGTATGTGACAAAGGTAGCACTTCTCATGAAAATCACAAAAAAAGCCAAGACTTTCATAGATGAAAGTAGTCTTATAGATCATCACTGCTTTACAAGTAATAACTTCCTCGTCCAGAACTATTGCATCCTTCACTTGAGGTTTTACCTGAGTGTGATTTCTGCTATATCCCACTGCCTCTCCGCTTGCTCGGGGCATTTGTTTGGCAAATATAGTTATGTAGTATCAAGTGCAATGAAAAAATCCTTGGTGTAGATGAGTGGAACTCTCGTTTGCTGCTGGTGGGAAGGTAAATTGGTACAACCACTTGTCAAATGGAAGTATCTATTAAAGTATACTCTGTGACCCAACAATTTCATTCTTGATATAATCCAACAGAAGTTTACCTATGTAGGCTGAAAGATATGTATGCACAATGTTCAAAGCAGCTTCATTCAAAAGAGCCAGAAGACCCTGGAAACAACCTAAATGTCCAGCAGATGAATAGTTACACTGTGGCTTGTTCTCACAGTGGAAAACCATACAGCCACGACAATGAAGTACTGCTACATGCTGCAAAAGGAATCTCCTCCAAGGCAGACACACAAGAATACATACAGTACACGACTGATTACATTTCTATAAAGCTCAGAACTAATCTCTGGTGGTTGAAGCCAGGAAAGTGGTAACCTTGGGGATTGGCAATGGGCATGAAGCAGGGGCTTTTAGGTGCTGATAACATTCTGTTTCGTAAGCTGGATTACCAAGTATGTTTACTTTGTAAAAATTCACGTGGCTGTCCACAAATGATTTGTGCACATTTTTTATGTGTTATGCCTTAAAAAAATGTTTACTTAAAAATGTCTGACAACTCAGATAAACAAAATTGGTTAGCTCATTTTAGAGATAAGGAAACTGAAGCCAAAAAGAGGTTAAAAATTACCCAAAAAGGCCATTAATCAGATCAGCTAAACTAAATTCTCAAAAGTCCACACACTGAAGCACATGCCTCTGGTCTTGGGACACCCACCCTGTCCCCACCAAGGCCTCACTCGTGGGTTTCTGTGATTATTTTAGACATATTTCTAACACCTGTGGTGGTTGATCACTTCAGTCCACAACATATTAAAAACAGAAAATCTATTATGTTTATGGGTGTGCTACGGGAGATGTCTGAAGCCAGCCCTTTAATGGCAGAAATGAAATCAGAAGGCAAAAACTCAAACTGCATACTAGTGCAGGGCCATTTAGCATAGGGAGAAATGCCTTATCGACCTGCTCATGAGAGGTTCCTTGCATTATAGCAGAGCACAAAAACTGATGTTCAGTTCACACTGACAATCCCCAATCCTTACAAAAAGTTCAAATCCTCAGTGCAAGTAGATGGAGAATGAACTAGAACTCTTCGGAAAGTGCTTCACAACAGCGTCAGGGAATTGCAAAAGTGAACATGGGATAAGGAAAGGGGCTAGAAGCCACTTTACACACAAGTCCAGGGATTGAGATCGAAAGAGGCAGGGCAGACGCTGAGCCAGGCTGGGACCCCAAGATCCCTGAGAGAACTGGGATGGAGGGCAGGGTGGCTGGACTGGGTCAGAACCCAGTCAACATTTGGGAGCCCAAATGTGAGAGATGAAAGGCGAGATAAACAGATAGGTCATAGGGCATCCTAAGTAGTTTGAGTCTTTCTCTATAGAATGAAGATTCTCTAAAAAACTGTGAGCACATTTCCTCTCTTGTTCTTCCAAACAATGGCCATCGTCTTTCGACAAAGTGAGGGATGGGGACTGTCCCACTATCCTTTGGGTTCTGTCCAGTGCCATGCCAAGGAAGAAGACCGCTGACAGCCCTGCCTGTCACAGGTCCTTTGCCCAGAATGGGTCTCCCTCCCTTGGCCATACCCTCTTCTCGCCCTGCCCCTGTTCCCAGGGCTGGGTCACACCTGGGAGCTGGACTGGTTAGCTCACCTACTTTGGAGCAGCAACAGCAGCAATGTCTAGAGAGGGGTACATATGGGATACCTGGAGGAGGCCTCAATTTCTCAGTCTTTGGGGATTTCTTGGTGAACTTAGACAATGAACATCTCTAAGCTTCCATATTGTCTCTGTTTTATTCCATTAGTGAATGTGCCCAAAGCTTGTGGATTGATCTTCTCTGATACTATCTTAATGTACAGCTGACAGAAACAAGGTGTCACATGTGAATAAAAACAACCAAAACAAGCAACACAGCAGTGGGGGTTAGGAACCATGATGCTGGGGAAAATAATCAAAGCAGGCTGACAATTTAAGAAGGCAGGTGTTGTCACAGCCTGGGGATTAGCAAATTTGAGGTTATGAGAGAGAAAACAGGGAAAAAAATATCAGAGATGGGAGAATTATAGTAATTATAATTGTTTTCTTTCTCTATGGTATGCACAAACAGTAAGTGTTAAAACAATAATTCATTTTAAATAATGGGTGGGACCTCTGGTAAGAGAGAAAGGGACGACCAGTGCCCAGAAGGGGATTCACAGAGGTGGGCAACAAAAGACAGAAAAATACCATCCTGGGAGCAGAATCCTGCCTTTCACAATGGAAGGCAAGCACCCCACTATTTGGAAAGTCCTGTGTCAGCCTTTCTGGGCCATATTTGTAATGTTAAATTGGTGTTTACTTAACAGGCATGGATTTAAGAAGTAATTCCAGTAAGCAAAATGGCCCTTAAAACTATTTTCTCTCCTTCAGACTTTGCAAAGCAGTATTATCTGTTGAGGTCAAAATTCAGAGAGTAGATTGCATGAGTTTGGATGCACCAAGTATGTCTTCCTACTGTGTAAGATGTGCAGTGCCCAACTCGAGGGTTGCCATACATACACACAGTAACCACAATAAAGGGTGCTTCTGGACTTCAGCTGTGCCCAACCTGCCCAAGCAGATGTGCCACTCGGCACTGCCAGGAGGTTTCTCACAGGTCCCTTCTCAGCTCTCTCTCTAATGGTACCTTTAAAGTGTGGCTTTTCCAAATCTTCCTACGACCCTTCCTAAGCCTCTACCACTCTCCCTCCACCTTGCAGGGGTTGCTACCTGTTACCTCTCCTGTTACTGAGAAAACCCAGGCTTAGAGATGGAAATCACATCAACTTTCTGCCATCTCAACTGGATCTCCTCCTGGACCTGCCTTCCCCTCTCCCACTCCAGTTTAAAGGAGGCTGGAGCTCCATGCACCTGGCTTCTGCTCCTCATCTGGTGTCTTCCTACTTAACACTCTGAGCACAGGCCTGTGACGCACAGCCTGGGCAAGAAGCCCCTCTTTCTGGCTCTGCCTTTCCACACTGAGCAGAGTGAATAGGGACACAGGGAAATGTGTCAACCCAAGTCCATGGCTCCCTCCTTTTAGAACATGCTCTGGTGCTTGGGACCCCAGAACCTCATGCTCAAACGGCCCTGTGCCCCCTGGGAGGGCCCCTGTGGACCTTGTCCTTGCACTTGATGTATATCCCCAAAGGCTTGAGGGGGTAGTCAAGAGGTTTCCACAGGTGTACACACATGTTTCCTCCAGATGCCCTGAGGAGTAGGGGGGAAAAGGGGGGCTCAGGGCTGGAACAGCTCTTCCCACCCTACCACATTCTGAGCAGAACTCCAAGAAATCTGAGCATTCTAAATTCAACTCTGGCCTTCTGGGTTATAAAGATACATTTGCCAAGATAGAAGGGTAGAACATATTTTATTTTACATGTTATTAGCTTGCTTTGTACACTTAAATATCAAGGCATATGGTAGGTAGGCCTCCATTTGTACTCTTGCCCTGAACCCTGGAAATGTCACAGTCAGGCCTATTTTCAATTACTCTTTCCAGCTTTTAAATATTTCCATGCGGCTGTCAGGCAAGAAATAGCAGGCAATGAAGTGAGCAAAGGCCTGTCCCCAGCATCCACTGGGCCCGAGCTCTCTTCTGCTCTCTCTATTAATACTGATTGTTTACAATGAGGCACATAGCAGATTGCCACCGAGGGACTGCAATACTCTGAAAACAGCGACAAAGAAGAAACTGTGTCTGCTCAAGTGAGCCTGTGACCCACAAGCACTTACCAAACGATATACTTTGGTCTGTGATGGAGAAAACACAGGCTACTTTAGGAAGGTTCCTCAGAGATGGTGTTCCAGGAATGAGTGCTGCTCTCACACTCCTGAGAGGACTGCCACTGGTCTCTGAGGATTCCATCAGCTTCTCACTGCAATGGGTTTGTTTTCAACTGCACGTCCCCAGAGCTCAGAGTAGACAGTGCACACTAAGCTGCCTCTTTCAGTATCTGGGAGTTGGGGGATTTTGAGCATCTTGACTGCAACAGCTTCAAGGTTTCTTCCCTTCATCAAGGAGTCCCATATCAACTGGAACAGCCATTTTTCATACAGTGAGCATGACTAGCACACTTCACACAAGGTGTCAAGAGAAGAGCAGTGTGTCTTCCATGCAATAGCAGCATGATCCCAAATATCTACTGTGTTTGCTGAGATCTTTGAGAGACAGTAAATTCGGCACTCTGTGTCTCAAGTCATACATAGTAGCTTAGCAGGCACATTATTCATTCTTAATCATTGTCTTAACTGGGATCAAGACTCTGGCTGAGGCTGCTTAACTGGTACACCGCAGTCAGGGCATCAATATCCCAGAGAAAGCCCCAGCAGCCTTTGCCAAAGGAAGTGTGGCATTGGTGAGGGAAACAGGAGCTGCAAGTACCAGGAAGGAAGCTGAAGAGGAAGTGCAAGAGAGGGCGCACACTACGGCAGGGGTGAGACACACCCTGCAAGTTTTCAGGAATAACTGAGGAGGGAACTTAGGGCAGCCTTAGGCCCTGTCTCAACACATAAGCTAGCAGAATGTTGAGTCATCAGTATTAATTTATCTTTACCAATGGACAAGGAAACCCATGAGTTACATATGCAGCAAGTATATGGGATCCTGGTATGTGCCAACACTGGTAGTAACTGGCACTACCACGGTGATCATGGGGCAGGTTTCTCAAGCCAATGTCCTCCAGCATTTCTCCCACTCTCCTTGTTGCTGTCATCTGTTGATGCTCTGCCACTCAATCCCTGATGACTCTGGCAACTGCCTATAGGAAGCTTAAGTCCAGCTGAGAAGACAAATATAATATCTTTCCTTCCCTACTAGAAATGTATGTACTGGGCTACATAGAAAGATCCTCCCAAAAAAAAAGAAAAAAAGGTAATCAACAGGGATTAAATAACTGAGAGAGACTGATGGGAATGTGGAACCAGACCAGAGGAGAGGGAACACTGAAAATGTAGCATGTCAGCCAAGATAGGAAGGGTGCGTGGAATTTAGTGAGACCAGAGGAGGGTGGGGTCGGGAGAAAAGCAGCTTCCAGGCAGGAGGAGCAGTGTGTCAAGGCCTGAGGGAGGAGGGGCACAGCTGGTTGTTGGAACTAACAAAAGTGAAAACTGAGCAGGAGTGCAGGGACCTGGGACAGAGGCAAGCTGGAGAGATGGCAGGTCTCTAAGGACCTTTGGAACCACCTCGTGGACAATGGGCTTCATTCTAGGGACCACAGGAAGCCACTGAATGGTTTCAAGCAGGCGGTGTGATCTGAAAAATGCACATTTGTATCTTTAAAGAAATCATCTGGAATCGCATGTTGGAACTGGGTTGCACGGACCAAAGGTGGAGGCAGAAAGAGAACGCATAAGGCCACTTTGCAAGTCCAGAGAGAGATGGTGGCTGGAATACGGTTATGGTGTGGAGTGGAGGAAGGGGAGGAGTCAAGGATGACTCCCAAGTTTTGGTCTGAAGAACTGGTGGCTAATCGTGGCATTTGCTGAGACAGGAAACACTGAAGGAGGAATCTGTTTTAGAGGAGCAGAGAGGATGATGAATTCTGTTTTTGCCATGCGGAGTGAAAGATGCGTGTAAGCATCTGAGTTTATACTAGGGAAAGGAATTTTACGTCCAGGTATGCTTTTTTTTTTTTTTTTTTGAGACGGAGTCTTCCTCTGTCGCCCAGGCTCACTGAAACCTCCACCCTCCGAGTTCAAGTGATTCTTGTGCCTCAGTCTCCCAAGTAGCTGGGGCTACAGGCAGGCCCCACCATGCTTGGCTAATTTTTGTATTTTTTTAGTAGAGACGAGGTTTCACCCATGTTGGCCAGGCTGGACTTGAACTCCTGACCTCAAGTGATCCACTCGCCTCGGCTTCCCAAAGTGTTGGGATTACAGACATGAGCCACCATACCTGGCCTTGGGTATGCATCTTTGGAGAAAGAGCCAGATAAAGGATGCAAATCTGAAAGTGGTCTGCATTTAGGTGGTAACTGAATCCGCAAGAAATGGTGCAATGGCTGGGGAGAGTATCAACTGAGAAGAGCAGAGGGCCTTGGACCAAGCACCAAGGAACTCTCAATATGTAAGGATTCTGTGCAAGAGTCTGGTTTCAAACCTGGCTGATCATTAGAATCACTTGGGAAACTTTTAAAATGTGAATCTACAGGAGCATGTGACTATATATTTTGAAAAACCTGTAGTAGCATTAGAGACCATTTGGTAACAGAAGACTGGCCAGGAAAGAGGAAAACAAAAAGATGGTGATGTTTCAGATACCAAGGGAAGAATTTCAGAAAGAAAGGAATCAGACAAGATCAGGCCTGAATTTAGTAACAGGAAACCAGATGGCGGTGCATCCACTTGTCTGACTCCTTAAAAGTAGGGAGTTGGTGTTTGAACTCAATAAGGGATGACAGGAAGCAGCCCAGCAGGTCCCCCTGTGCTCACGTGCACAGCGTGAGGACAGGGAAAGGGAAGGGGAAGGAAGGTGTGTCAGATGGCAGAAAGCTTTTCATTGGAAGTAGCATCTGAACTGAGGCAAAATGGATGGTAATCAGGCAAGGAGCTAAGCATTCCCAGGAGAGGAAATAATAGAAACAAAAATATGACAAGCTAAGAAAACATATACATTCTAGGAAATAGAGTTAGTCCTTGGCTGGAACACAAGGAATTAAGTGTTGGGAACCAAGCAACAGAATGGGGCACAGCCCAGTTGTTGTTGTTGTTGTTGTTGTTGTCGTTTTGAGGCGGAGTCTTGCTCTGTTGCCAGGCTGGAGTGCAGTGGCACGATCTCTGCTCACTGCAATCTCCCGGGTTCAAGCGATTCTCCTGCCTCAGCCTTCTGAGTAGCTGGGATTACAGGCGCATGCCACCATACTCAGCTAATTTTTGTATTTTTAGTAGAGACGAGGTTTCACCGTGTTGGACAGGATGGCCTTTATCTCCTGACCTTGTGATCTGCCCGCCTCAGCCTCTCAAAGTGTTGGGATTACAGGTGTGAGCCACCGCGCCCGGCCCAGAGCCCAGTCATTAAGGACCTTGTATGACAAGCCAAAACGTTCTTACCCTGAAGGTAAAAAAAAAATTTTACCCTGAAGGCAAAAGGGCCCTGAAGAATGTAAGAAAGTAAGTGGTATGATTATATTTGTAATTTAGAAATCCCATTCTGGCAGCCAGTGTGAAGGATGGTCTGGGGTCAGGAATGGATAAGGGAAAGATGGCGGCCGAAACGTCCATCTGGAGGCTGTTGCTGAGATGTAGACATGGGATACAGATTCACCAGGGCAGGAGCCGTGAAGGAGAGAAGCGAGCTGAGGAGGTGAGGAATGGGAGGAGGTGGGGACAGTAGAGTTTGCTTAGGTGACTGGCTTGTTGGAGGTGAGTCCTTGAGTTAAGGAATGAGGAAAAGACTAGCTTTAGATGAGGATAGGGATGGAGATGGGGTGTGGGAAAGAACATTTCAACACTGGTAGGCTTATTCCTTTCTCTAAAGGAAAAAATATGTCAGTAACAATATTGCAAGTTTCCCTAACTGCTCCTTCTCTCTCACCTCTAAGTCATTGTGCAGCCTGTTTATTTCAAATATCAAGACTCATATACATCAACTTCCTGTATTCAAACATAGTAGCTTCCACCAATCACTGCAGGGAGTTAGTTCATTCGTTAAATACATCATTAAAAATACTTATAATGCACCAATGACTTGCAAGGTACTGTGATTGGGGGGACTGATAAGTTAACAAGACATAACTGACCCTTCCCTCATACAGATTACATTCTAGCAGGAGCCAAAAAAGACATTAACCATCCGATTATAAATCATTTAGTTATATGATGTCGCAAAGGTTCTGTAAAAATATAGGGTAGAATGAGGCAAAGAACAAGGCGGGTAGGGGGACTCAGGTTCCTAAATAGGTTTTAGTAGATCTGTGACCTCCCTGAAATCTGTAAAATTTTGTCTGTGTCTGTATACATTTAATGGGGTGGTGGGGAGGTGGGGGTGTGCGGCAGGGATAGGAAGCACAGATTCCATGCTCAAGAGTCTGTGAATCCTAAGAGATTAAGAACCGGCCGGGCGTGGTGGCTTACGCCTGTAATCCCAGCACTTAGGGAGGCCGAGGCGGGCAGATCACCTGAGGTCGGGAGCTCGAGACCAGCCTGACCAACATGGAGAAACCCCGTCTCTACTAAAAATACAAAATTAGCCGGGCATGGTGGCACATGCCTGTGATCCCAGCTACTCGGGAGGCTGAGGCAGGAGAATCGCTTGAACCCGGGAGGCGGAGTTTGCAGTGAGCCGAGATCGCGCCATTGCACTCCAGCCTGGACAACAAGAGCGAAACTCCGTCTCAAATAAAAGAAAAAAAAAAAGGGAGAGATTAAGAACCACTCTACCCTTCATGTCCATTTGGGCGCTATTTATATACAAACCTTTTCCGCGTGGGAAGGCAGGGAGGGATAGAGGGAGAAGCCAGTAGCTTGGCGGTCTACTGAGAACGACCCCAGCTTTAGGCTTACAGACATCAAAAGTAATCACTCTTCTATATGAGAAAAGACAACACGCTCATTAATTTTTTAAAACGTAGTTACTTAAAAAGATTGGGAGATTTTCTATTCCTCTATCAATGGGGATTTCCAGGCACGTGCCCCACCCAAGGCCCACGCCCAGAGCGCCCGAGTGGCAGGACAACGCCCGCTGACATCTTCCCGTCCCGACGGCACAGGCTACTCCGAGCTCCGCCTTTTAGATTGCACCGAGAGAAGCCAGCTACAGCTTGGAGTCCAGGCCGGGTTTTCAAGCATCAAGACGGAAGTAACAGCGGAAAGGAAGTTCCAAGGCCCGCGCTGGGAAAAAGGTGGGGGGACCAGGGGAAGACTCGGAGTGCGATGGCGGCGCAAATTCCAATTGTGGCCACCACTTCCACTCCCGGAATAGTCCGGAACAGCAAGAAGAGGCCGGCCAGCCCTTCCCACAATGGCAGCAGCGGCGGGGGCTATGGCGCCAGTAAGAAGAAAAAAGCGTCCGCTTCCAGCTTTGCGCAGGTACGCAGTCGCGCTCCCAGGCTGCGCGTGCGCGTCGCGAAACGGGACTTGGCGGGGCGGAGCCGAGCCAGGGCGCGTGCGTAATGTGGGGCGCTGCGCGTGCGGTCTCCGTTGGGGTTGAAAGACGCTGCCCCGCGGAGTGAATGACTACTCTTTCCCTTCGTTTGGACACATGGGCTTACAACGCCTTGTGTTGTAAGGAGAGAAGAAGAAGTAGGGAGGTTATTACTGACTTAGTATTAATAGAAGGACTGCCTCTTCCCCTCGAGGTCGCCTTTAGCATGAGGTTCAGGACTAATGAGTGTCAGTCATTCAGAAATTTGCGTGTCTTCCCCTCGTCCATTCTGCAGACATCTACCCAGTGTCTTTGAGGCGCATAGCGCTGTAATGTCCTGCATGGATGAATACAAGATGTATTGATAAGTATGCTTTCTCTCATCCTGAGAAAAGTGCTTTTTTGACCCTGGGTTTCCCAATCCAAAGGCAGGTTTGGTCTTAACTCATGGGCTTGTTAAGGTTATGAAGTAATGAGTGTAAAGGCACTGAGCTCAGCGCCTGGCTCAGACGTCAGGGCCTCTGAACAATCTAGGTTCCGTAATTCCAGCAATGAATTTTCAGCAGGGAGTGGCTTGATTAGTGTTTTCTCTGGCTCCTGCATTTTATTCAAAGCAAAAAAGCAGAGATAGAGTGTGTTACTTTGTGCTCCTCAGCATATGGTGTGACACCACCGTTCACCCAGTCAGTCAGTGGCTGTTCTAGAAATCTTGTTCCTTCTTCTGTAGGTGATTGGTAGTGCTTTTTATTTTAACCTTTTAATATTAAATACTTTGCTATAGTAAGATTTACACAGAGTACAATGCACAAATTTTCAAGAATACTGGCTGAACCACAGATCTTCAAGAATCCTGTCTCACGCCTGTATCCCAGCACTTTGAGAGGCCAAGGTGAGAGGATTGCTTGAGGACAGGAGTTCGAGACCTGCTCCCCAACCCCCATCCAAATTTACAAATAGCTGGGCGTGATGGTGCACGCCTTTAGTCCCAACTACAAGAGCATCACTTAAGCCCAAGATTTCAAGGTTACAGCGAGCTATGATCGTGCCATTGCAGTCCAGCTTGGGCAACAGAGTGAGCCTATCGCAAACAAAACAAAACAAAACAAAACTACAGATCCAGTGCCCTTTTACATTTGTATACACCTATGGCCACTGCCTGGATCAAGATAGCATTTCTAAGAGCAGGTGACATTTTCCTGTCAGTACTGTCTTTCCTTCCTAACAGTTACCCACTGTTCAGCCACCCTTCACAATAGACTGACTTTGGGTTGGAACATAATATAAATGGAATAATACAGGACAATAGGGAACATATTCTTTTGCATCTGTCTAGGTTCCTTTTTGAGACAATGTTTTTGAGAGTCGTTTAGTACATCTGTTGCATTGTATAAACATACACCCGATGAATATTTGAACGTTTACAGTTTTTGGCTTTGTGCAGAAGCTGCTCTGAACATTCTTGTACAAGTCTTTGTGTAGATAGATGCTTTCATTTCTCTTGAGAAGTAGTGGAATTGCTGAGTCAGAAGGTAGGCATACATTTAACTCAGTAACTGTTAAACAGTATTTCTCAAAGTAGTTGCACTGTTTTTGCATTCTTACCGGCAAAGTATGAGAGTGCCAGTTGCTCGAAATCCTCAACAATACAGAGTATTGTCAGTCTTTCATTGTCAGTCTTTAACTTTTAGCCATTTTGTTGAGTGTGTAGTAGTATCTCCTTGTTTTAATTTGTTTCTCTGATGGCTAATGATATCAATCACTTTTCATGAGCTTGTTGGACATTCCAGATCTTTTGTGGAGTGCCTAATTATTTTTTTCTAATTGGCTTTTAAAAAAAAATTATATTGATGTGTAGAAGTTCATTACATTATCTTTCTTGATTAGACTCCTTTGCCAGATGTATGTATTGTGAGTAATTGCTCCCAGCCTGCGACTGGTGCGTTTTGATAACCAGTTGTGCCAGGACCAAGGAGTGTCACTAGGACATATGGGTAGGAATAATTGTTTTGACCCCAAAGGGATTGTTGATCAACTTCCACTACCACAAGCTTCTGAAAGTGGTCAAATGCCTTCAGGAGACTGGAAATTCCCAGTAATCCAATATGGTGGAAATCTTAACTCTCTATTCCCTCTGGGCCTTTTTTGTATCCAAGCAGCAGCCTCAGGAGAAGCTGGAAAGGGCAGAGCATTTCATGAAATAGTGCCTTCTTTTGTCCTGACTCTCCTTTTCCCAACTGATATTTACTAAAGAAGACAGGGTCTTCTTCTGTCACCCAGGCTGGAGGACAGTGGCACAATCATGGCTCACTGCAGCCTCGACCTCCTGGCTCAGTGGATCCTCCCACCTCAGCCTCCCAAGTAGCTGGGACGACAGGTGCATGCCACCATTGTATTTTTGGTAGAGGTGGAATTTCACCACATAACCCAAGCTCGTCTCAAACTCCTGGGGTCAAGCAATCTGCCCACATTGGCCTCCCAAAGTTTAGGGATTACAGGCATGAGCCACTGTGCCCGGTTGTCTTAGATTTTTGCCTTGCTGTGATCCTTTCATTCTAGTTCCCTTTTCACAGCGTATAGGAAATAAGCAGGCATAAGCACAGTACCCCTGAGGGCTGCCAGGAATCTTCTTGAGGTCACCCTCATCTGTGTCACTTGCCCAACCTTTCTGTTCTGTTTCAGTTCAGTTCATGTAGCAGTAATTTATTGTACTGTTTCTGTTCCATCCCCAGCAGTATGCTTAAGACATTTCAAAGGATTATAGCTTGTCCCCACACTACCAAAAACATCCCAGGAGAGAATGACGTATATACATTGTGTTTAGTTTTCTACTGCTGTCATTACAAATTATCACAAATTTAGTGGCTTAAATAACACTCATTTAGTAGCTCATGGTTCTGTAGGTCAGAAGTCCTGACACAATGCAACTGGGTTGACTCTCTGCTCTGGGTATCACAAAGCTGAAATCAAAGTGTTAGCCGAGTTCTTGTCTGAAGGCTCTGGGGAGAAATTTGCATGCAGGTGAATTCAGGTTGTTGGCAGAATTCTGTTCTTTTGGGGCGGCAGGACTGCAGGGCCCCTGTCTTCTTGCTGGCTGTCAGCTGCTGCCCGTGTTCCTTGCCACATGGCGTTTTCCATTTTCAGAGCCAGCTATGGAGAATCTCCCTTGTGTCCAATTCTTCTCATGCTTCAGATATTTCAGACTTCTTTTATTGCTGACCCCTGGACTCAGATTTAAAAGATTTATGTGATTAGGCAGGCCTACTTGGATAATCACCTTTTTTAAAAGTCAGCTGATTTGAGACCTTAATTACATCTGCAAAACCCCTTTGTAGCTGCACCTAGATTAGTGTCTGCTTGAATAACTCGGAGAAATTGTGTGCACACCAGGGGCAGAGTACTTGCAAGGTAGCAGGGGTGTACTGGAATTCTACCTATCACACAAATGAAACCATTAGGAAGATATAGTAATGTCTAACCTTGAGCCAAAGCTAATTATAGGTAATTATAGGTGTTGGTGCCCTATTGTGGTGAGACACAGGAGGATGATTCCTCAGTGCTGGTGATGGTACTCAAAGGAGAGGTAGGGAGGCAGAGGGACTTGAAGTTGGCTTGGAGAGGTTTGCTGGAGAAGGCATTCCAGGTTCAGAGCTGTGCTCATTGTGAGATTAACCCAGGTTGCCCAAGGTTCCCTTAGTGGGGAAGTGAGTGTTTTTCTATAAATGATTGTATTTCTTGAGTTAGAGGAGATTTTATAGGTCTTTCATCACGTAAATTTCCCTACGTCAGTAATTTTAGCTATTTTGATTCTTAAGTAAAGGCAAAGTATGTAAAACTTTCATGGAATTTTAAAATTTACAAAGCACATTTACGTGTAGGACATTAGAGTGCCTTTTGAGATTGTTAAAGATAACTTGAATTATCATGGATTCTTAAGGTGGGTTTAACTTTCCTGAAATATGCTTGCTGTTTCTAAAGTAAAATTGAGTGCTTAGTTGAAATTTAAAGAAGTTTAGAAATTTAGATGCTTAGAAGTCCTGAGGAGTTGAAGGGAATATTTTTCAGCTAAAAGTATTCTGAGAAAAGCATTTATAGAAGCCTTCTTTACATCAGTGTTAGGAAATACTATTAAATAATTTAGTAGTACAAAAACAACTTTGTTTTATCATTTCATCAAGATGGCTCTCTCTAGTTCAGCAGAAATTACTACTAATGTTCATGCTTGCTAAGGGGTGGTACAAATCATCTTAGAATCACAATTCTGTGGATTTATATTTTCACTATAACAGTTGTTGATTAATAATGTTATGAAAGTGCAGTCTTCCATTCACTCTGGTTGTTACTTTGAAGGGATTAATTTTGGTGGGTTGGGGAACAGATAACTGTTAAAGTGAAAGGAATAAGGATAAATAATAGTAATTAATATTTATCAAGCATTTACTACATGCCAGGCACTGTTCTATGTACTTTCTAAGTACTATGTCATTTAATTCTCCAAACGACCCTCTGTGAATTGATCACTTCATTTTACAGATAAAAACGCCAAGAGCATAGAGAGACTGTGTAACTTGCCCAAGCTCACACAGTGTTAGTGTCGGGATTCGAACCCAGGCATGCCGTCCAGAGTCTACATTCTTTTTTCTTAACTGCCTCTCTTGATATCACTCTGTTACTTTGTATATTAGAAGATTATTAATTAGATCTCTGGTATAACCAAATTCATGGTACAGAGAAATGCTTTTGGCAACAGTTTTACTGAATCAATATAGGGTAATTTAGGCTTTTCAAATGTGTATTAAAGTTGATAAAATGTACTGAGAAATCTAATTAACCTATAGACTGAGAGTTACTTAATAGCCTCTTCATTTGTGAAGCAGCTAATAAAACATCTAAAGTGGAGAGGCAGTAGTTGCATCTTTAGGAGGATAGGGCAGATAATGAGAGAATCTTCTGTAATTGGAGGGGCAGCCAGATAATGCTGGACTGATTTGGTTTATTCATTGAAAAAATAGTCATCCTACTATTCAACTTTTGTAAAACACAAAAGTAAAAATTCAACAAATCCTGATAATTTTAAGTCTTAAAAGTTATTCTTTTCTATTTTTAAAATTACCTTTTTTTTCATTTTTAAAATTGACATAAAAAGTCACCCAATCTCCTTCCCCAACAACTATTATAATTTGTGTTTTCTACATGTAGATACAGTTTTTCATCATTATATTTGGTATATAGTATTACGTGCCCCGTTTTTCACTTAGCATTATTTTGTGAACATTTCTATGTGTTGATAGTCTTCTCAATTAGACTTTTAAAAGTCAAATAGTCTTTTATGACTATTGACTGCATTATATTCCAAGGAATTAACTACTCATATTTAATTGACTTTATTATTGGATATTGAGGTTGCATTTTGAATTTTTGCTGTTTTAAGTAACCCTATAGTAACCTTGCAGTTTTAGACCAGGGTCAGCTATTTGCATCTATAATTCTATGACATAGATATAACTTGACATTTGACTTTTCAGTAATAAGACAAAGGATATTTTTCTCCTTTCTTTGTAACCACAGACAGAATGTCCAAATTATCCTTTAGTCTGATTCAGAGTCAAGCACACTACTGTCTGGAGAGATGAAGCCATTGATTTGGGTTCTTCAGTTGGGCAGAGCAGAGCAGGGCGAGACCCAGGCCTTGTGAACTCCAGTCTATTAGCATAGGCGTGTGTTTCCTGAGTAGCAGGCTGGATTTCTCTTCCCTGAGACTTACATCAGCTCTGTTAGTGCTGCAAAGAGGGGGCGCCCCTTAGTGCTAGGCGTTCCTTCCTCTCCTCTTAGGGTGTTCATATCTTGGGGCGGGACAGTTCATCTTGTAAAGTCCTTAGTGATAATAGTGCTTTAGTAATATGGAAATGATGCATCATTTTAATTTTATCTTATTGCATCCAAGCCTCACAGACTTGATCTTCCCTTTGACTAAAGGTCTGTCTCCCTCTCATCCTGTTGTTAGTAGACACAGGAGTCTCAGCTAGGCTAAGGGTGTAGTAATGTGGGGGTCGGGGGAGAGGAAAGTGAAGCATAAAACCAGCTCTGGCCTGGGGCAGGGGTGTCTCTGGTTAGAGAAGGAAGGGAGCCTGCCACAATCTCAGAAGCAGGAGGCAGCACTGGTATGATGTGGCTCAGTTCACTCCAGGGTGGCTTCCTTTCTCTGCCCTCTCTTCAGCCTGACTTCCCAGCGGGGGTCTGGCAGAGGATGGAGTGAGCAAGCCGGCAGGAGGGGTCCCTTTCAAAAACCAGTGCTTCCGTGTGTCATTTTCATCCTCTTCTTGACTCTTCTCTAGCTTGCTGCCTGGAATGGCTGACTTAGACCTCTGGTCCTCTCTTCATTACCACCCTCTCCTTACTCTCAGCAGACGTGCTTGTCTGCCTGAATCTAACGAGGGCCCCTGTCTGGCATTTTTCTCCCCTGTCTCCCTGGGGCCTTGGAACTAAACGCCTATGTCAGAAGAATCCCCCTGTATTGCTTTCCTTTCATTGGGCACACAGCACCTTTGAGCTTCCTCACTGGGATTGGGGAAGTGGAATAAACTGAAAAGGAGAAATAACAGTATTTGGCCAGGCGCAGTGGCTCACACCTGGAATCCCAGCACTTTGGGAGGCCCAGGTGGGCAGACCACTTGAGTCCAGGAGTTCGAGACCACTGTGGGCAACATGGTGAAACCTTGTCTCTACAAAAATACAAAAGTTAGCTGGGCATAGTAGTGTGCACCCGTAGTCCTAGCTACTCATGAGTGGGGGCTGAGGTGAGAAGATGGCTTGAGCCCAGGAGGTTGAGGCTGCAGTGATCTGTGATTGTGCCACTGCACTGCAGCGTGGGTGACAGAGCGAGACCCTATCTCAACAACAACAACAAAATAATAAAAAAAGAAATGCAGTTTTTGAACATCTCTGGAGTGGAAGAAAAAGCGAACTCCACTGCCTGAGGATAGGACCCTGGGAGCTGGCAGGTATGTGGATGGTTCTGTAATCGCTGTTGGAAGCTTTGGGGACTGCATTTTCCCTTTCCCTTTAGTGTGTCCTTTTTGCTCTTTAACAGTTCAGATTGGTTTTTTCCTCCCTGATGGCAACAGTATTATATCAGTAGTCATATTCTTTATGAGAAACTCAAACGATAAAGTTGAAACTTAAAGCATATCTGGCCCCAGGAAATCTCTTTCATAGCCTGTTTACCCTGAATTAGACCTGAAGTTGTCCCTAGTGGGGGTGTTTTGTTTTTCTTTTGACGTGGTGCTTACTGGATAGCTCTCAGGGTTATCTCTCCTGCTAATTTAATTTAGGCCACTCGTAGGCCCAGTCTCCTGACAGTCCAGGGCATTGAGTAGTCCTGTGGCACACTCTATGAATGGTTAGATGATTGGGAGAATGGTTGCTTTCCTTCTGCTAATGCTGGCGGGTCTCCTTGGACCGGCTCACCCCATGTTCCTTCCAGTGGGCCTGGGCTTTCTCCTTTGCCTTTGTACCACCACCTCCTGAAAGAGCGATCACTTGTCACCCTTCCTGCCCTGCATGCCAGCTCCACCTTCCTTCTCAGGAACCAGGAGTCATGACCTCTGGCTCATTCGCAGCTGGGTGTGCCTCTTGGGGAGGCTTCACTTGGTCACTGTATTTTTTTTTTTTAATCCTCTAAATATTTCAGTGTGAATTTCTTAAAACCAAAGTCATTCTCTTACATAAGGACAGTTAGGAAAGACCGTGCATGGGGGAAAGATGAAGTGAGGGGCAGTCCAGACAGAAGAGGGGTGTTAACAGAGGAGGGCCCAGATGCCCACATGCAGAGGCCCTGGAGAGGAGTGTGGGAAGGTAGTGAGGAGAGATCATTCCAAATTTTATCAAATTCAGGAAGTTAACTCTGATACAACACTGATATTTAATACACAGACTTTATTCTTGTCCCTTATCTGGTTCAGAATCCAATCCAGGATCACACGTTGTATTTAGTTGTCATATCTTTTTAGTCTCCTGTAATCAGAACACTTCCTTAGTCTTTTTATCTTTTATGACTGATATGGTTTGGCTGTGCCCCTGCCCAAATCTCATCTTGAATTGTAGCTCCCATAATTCCCATGTGTTGTGGGAGGAACCCAGTGTGATATAACTAAATCATGGGGGCAGTTTCTCCCATACTGTTCTCATGGTAGTGAATAATCCTCACAACATCTGATGGTTTTGTAATGGGAAACCCCTTTCACTTGGTTCTCATTCTCTCTCTTGCCTGCTGCCATGTAAGACGTGCCTTTCGCCTTCCACCATGATTGTGAGGCCTCCCCAGCCACGTGGAACTGTGAGTCCATTAAATCTCTTTTTCTTTATAATTTACCCAGTCTTAGGTATGTCTTTATCAGCAGCATGAAAATGGACTAATACAATAAATTGGTACCGGTAGAGTGGGTTGCTGCTGTATGTAAAGATACCCGAAAATGTGGAAGCAACTTTGGAACTGGGTAACAGGCAGAGGTTGGAACGGTTTGGAGGGCTCAGAAGAAGACAGGAAAATGTGAGAAAGTTTGGAACCTCCTAGAGACTTGTTGAATGGCTTTGACCAAAATGCTGATAATGATATGGACAATGAAATCCAGGTTGGGGTGATCTCAGATAGAGATGAGGAATTTGTTGGGAACTGGAGTAAAGGTGGTTGTTGCTATGTTTTAGCAAAGAGACTGACAGCATTTTGCCCCTGCCCTAGAGGTATGTGGAACTTTGAACTTGAGGGAGATGATTTCGGGTATCTGGCAGAAGAAATTTCTAAGCAGCAAAGCATTCAAGAGGTGACTTGGGTGCTGTTAAAAGCATTCCGTTTTAAAAGGGAAACAGAGCATAAAAGTCCAGAAAATTTGCAGCCTGACAATGTGATAGAGAATAAAAACCCATTTTCTGAGGAGAAATTCAAGCTGGCTGCAGAAATTTGCATAAGCAGTGAGGAGCCAAATGTTAATCACCAAGACAATGGGGAAAATGTCTCTAGGGCATGTCAGAGACCTTTGTGGCAGCCCCTCCCATCACAGGCCCAGTGCCTAGTGGGAAAAAAAGGTTTCAGGTGACTGACCCAGGGACCCCTCTGCTGTGCGCAGCCTGGGAACTTGGTGCCCTGTGTTCCAGCCACTCCAGCCATGGTAAAAGGGGCCAAGGTAGAGCTTGGGCCACGGCTGCAGAGAGTGCAAGCTCCAAGCCTGGCCAGTTTCCACATAGTGTTGAGCCTGTGGGTGCACAGAAGTCAAGAATTGAGGTTTGGGAACCTCCACCTACATTTCAGAGGATGTATGGAAATGCCTGGATGTCCAGGCCAAAGTTTGCTGCAGGGGCAGGGCCCTTACAGAGAACCTCTACTAGGACATTGAGGAAGGGAAATGTGGAGTTGAATCCCCCAAACAGAGTCCCCACTGGGAAACTGCCTAGCGGAGCTGTGAGAAGAGAGCCACCGTCCTTCAGAGCCCGGAATGGTAGATCCACCAACAGCTTGCACTGTGTGACTGGAAAAGACACAGACACTCAACGCCAGCCTGTGAAAGTAGCCAGGAGGGAGGCTATACCCTGCAAAGCCACAGGGGCAGAGCTGCCCAAGACCATGGGAACCCATTTCTTGCATCAGTGTGACTTGGATGTGAGACATGGAGTCAAAGGAGATCATTTTGGAGCTTTAGGATTTGACTGCCCTGCTGGATTTCAGACTTGGTGTGGGTCCTGTAGCCCCTTTGTTTTGGCCTATTTCTCCTATTTGGAATGGGTGTATTTATCCAATGCCTGTACCCTCATTGTATCTAGGAAGTAACTAACTTGCTTTTGATTTTACAGGCTCATTGGTGGAAGGGACTTGCCTTGTCTCGGATGAGACTTTGGACTGTGGACTTTTGAGTTAATGCTGAAATGAGTTAAGACTTTGAGGGACTGCTGGGAAGGCATGATTGATTTTAACATGTGAGGACATGAGATTTGGGAGGGGCCGGGGGCGGAATGATAGTTTGGCTGTGCCCTCACCCAAATCTCATCTTGAATTGTAGCTCCCAAAATTCCCACATGTTGTGGGAGGAACCCGGTGGGATATAATTGAATCATGGGGGCAGTTTCCCCCATGCTGTTCTCATGGTAGTGAATAACTCTCAGGAAATCTGATGGTTTTATAAGGGGAAACCCCTTTCACTTGGCTTTCATTCTCTCTCTTGCCTGCTGCCACGTAAGACGTGCCTCTTGCCTTCCGCCATGATTGTGAGGCCTCCCCAGCCGCGTGGAAATGTGAGTCCATTAAACCTCTTTTTCTTTATAATTTACCCAGTCTTAGGTATGTCTGTATCAGCAGCATGAAAATGGACTAACACAATGACCTTGACACTTGAAGAGTACTGGCCACTTATTTTCTAGAATATTCCTCAATTTGGGCCTGTCTGATATTTCCTCATGGTTAGATTTGAGTTATATATTTTTGGCAAAAATAGAGAAGTAATGCTATCTTCTCAGTGCATCCTGTTGTGGCACTTGATGTCAAATTACTAATGATGTTAGATTTGAGCACTTAGTAAGGTGGTATCTGCCAGGTTTCTCCAATGTAAAGTTATTCTTTTCATGTTTGTATTGAAGTATCTTGTGGGAAGATACTTTGAGACTATAAATAGCCTATTTTATTTCATACTTTGCCAGTGACTTTTAATATCCATTGATAGCTTTTGCTTGAAATAGTTATTATTGTGGTGGTTGACAAGTAGTGATTTCCTAATTTGAATCTTCATTCCTTTTAGATTTATTAATTAGAATCCTATTGTGAGCAACAGCTTTCTCTTCTCTTCCATTCATTCTTTTTTTCCTATTAAAATTTTTTTTTTTTTTTTTTTTTTTTTAAGAAATTGGGTATTGCTATGTTGCCTGGGCTGGAATGCAGTGGCTATTGCCAGACACAATCATAGCGCAGTGCAGCCTCCTGGGTTCAAGTGATCCTCCCTTCTCAGTCTCCCGAGTAACCAGAACTACAACAGGCCATTTATTCATTTTTTAAAATCAGTATTTATGTCATGGATTTTTATTTTATTATATGGGTTATAATCCACTACTAGCTTTATTCATTCCTTCTTTTATAAGTTTATCTGTAGTAGCTTTACTGAGATATAATTCACATACTATAAAATTCACCCTTTTAAAGTGTATAATTTAGTGGTTTATAGTATATTCACTGAGTTGTGCAACCCTCACAATATCCTATCTAATTTTAGGATATTCCTGTTACCCCAAAGAGAAACTCATTACCCATAAGCAGTCACTTTCCATTCCCCTGTTCTGCCAGCCCCTGGCAACCACTGATCTACTTTCTGTCTCTGAATGTGACTACGTATCTCATATAAATGGAATTATACAATATGTGGCCTTTTGTGTCTGGCTTCTTTTTGTTAGTGTAATTTTTTTCAAGATTTATCCGTGACAGAGCATGAATCAGAATGCCATTTCTTTTTGTGATTGAATAATATTACATTTTATGGACATACTACATTTTGTGTTTTATTTTTTATTTCTTTTAGAGACAGGGGCTCACTCTGCTGCCCATGCTGGAAGGCAGTGGCACAATCATAGCATACTGTAACCTTGAACTCCTGAACTTGCCTCAGCCTCTGGAGTAGCTGGGACTACAGGCAAGTGCCACCACAACTGGTTACTTTTTTATTTTATTTTTTGTAGAGAAAGGGTCTTGCCATGTTGCCTAGGCCACTTTTGAACTCTTGGCCTCAAGCAGTCCTCCTGCCTCAGCCTCCCAAAGTGTTGGGATTACAGGCATGAGTTCCTGTGCTTGGCCCTGCCACATTTTATCTCTTCATCAGCTGATGGACATTTAGGTTGTTTATGCCTTTTGGCAATTATGAATAATGCTGCTATGAATATTTGTGTACAAGTTTTTGCATGGACATATGTTTTTCATTCTCTTTGAGTGTATACCTAGAAGTTAAATTATTGGGTCATATGATAATTCTGTGGTTAACATTTTGAGAAACTTCCCAATTGTGTTTTTTTTTTAATGGTGTTTTTGCACCATTTTACGTTCTTACCAGCAATGTATGAGGGTTCCAGTTTCTTCACATCTTTGCCAATATGTGTTATTGTCTTTGATTGTAACCATCCTAGTGAGTGTGCACTGGAATTTCATTGTGATTTTGATTTACATTTCCCTAATGACTAGTGATGTTGAGCATCTTTTCACGTGCTTACTGGCTGTTTGTATATCTTCTTTGAAGAAATTCTTTGCCCTTTTAAAAATTGAATTGTCTTTTTGTTGTTGAGTTGTAGAGTTCTTCATATATTCTGGATTTATGTATATACTGGTTTGTTGCTTAAGTTTTTGAAATTGGTCCAGTAGGAGCCTCTTCAAACTGGCTCCCGTGTCCTTTAGTTTGCCCCTATCATTTTTTGGGTGCTGTTATGGACTAAGTTTTGGTACCCCCATGCCCCCAGTATTTATTATTTTGTCCTGACCCCTAGTATACCTCAGTTACATTCTGGAGATAGGGACTTCAGGGAGGTAATTAAGATTAAATGAGGTCGTCTGGGTGGGCCCTAATCCTGGATGACTGGTGCCGTTATAAGAAGAGGGAGAGACTCCAGGGGTGCACACAGCCTCAGGAGAAACCAAACTTGTCAACACGTTGTTCTTGGACTTCTAGCCTCCAGAACTGGAGAAAATAAATTTCTATCATATAAGCCACCCAATCTATGGTATTCTGTTACAGCACTCTGAATAAACTGACACAAGTGCTTTCTTTCTGACACCACAAGATGTTCTAGTCTTATACTTTCCTGCTCCAGCCCTAGAGTCAGCCATTTCTTCATGGATCACTGGTTCTTAGAGAATAATACACTTGTCTCTCAGTATATGTGCTGGATTGGTTCCAGGACCTCCTATGGGTACCAAAATCCATGGAACCTCAAGTCCCTGATATAAATAAAGTAGCATAGTGTTGCATATAATTTGTGCACATCCTCCTGTATACTTCAACCACGTCTAGATTACTTATAATAGGTAATGCAATGTAAATGCCATGTAAATAGTTGTTATATTGTACAGTTTAGGGAATAATGACAAGGAAAAAAGTTTGTACATGTTTAGTCAAGATGCATTTTTCCCCCACCAAATGTCTTCTGTCTGTGGTTGCTTGAATCCATGGATGCAGAACTCCTCTATATGGAGGGCTGATTGTATTTAGAAAGGATGATCTGAATGTTGCTTTGCCTATTGTTCATTGTTTCCAGTCTTCTCAGTGCACAGAGCTAGGAAATATATGTGTGTGTATACCTGCACTACCCACACCTCTCTATGTATTTCTGTAATTATCTGCCTGTATACTGAAAACTGTGAGCTCATATTGATAACCTCTAGTTTCAATCCAATTCCACAGCACTCATTCTGGCCTTCCCCCTTTTCTTATTTGCTTTTCTACATTTGCTATGTATCTTAGAATACACATAAAGTAGTTTCAGAATTATTAACATGTGCCCCTGTGAGAAACAAACTTACCAACTATGTATGGTTCTTTTTGGCCTTTAACCTTGGATTACATAGTCAAAATACCATATTCATAGTTACTCAGGTTATTTCTCCCTTGCCTCCACTTCAGTGTGGTTATGTTATTTGAAACACAAGTGAATTTGTGTTTACAGGGTTTTTAAAATTCTATTTTTTATCCCCTGCCGCATCCTTGTTGATTTTATTATTTATTTTTTCAAGTATATGAAACCTTAACATGGTTCAAAAAGTCAAAACTCTACAAAAAGCTATACTCAGAGAAGATTTACTCTCTTCTATTTCCTTCCCATCTCCCTCTCCATTCCACTATGTTCCCCTCTGCCCCTGCAGGTAACCACACTCAGTTGTTTCTTTCCAAGTTATCCTTCCTGTGTGTTTGGCCACTGCATCCCAGCCAGAGATGCTTCCTTGTAAGGAGCTTCTGAGCATATACATCTCCAGTGCTGATGCTGGCATTCAGTCATACCACCCTGTCTTGTTCCTTAACATTGATCAGTTAATCAATGAATCACTCATTATTTGGTACCTACTCTGTGCTAGGCACTGGGTTAGAAGCAGGGACAGAGGCTGAACTATGAAGTAAAGCAGCATGTTTTGAGCCCTCTGTGTATCCTCACTCTCTGAATCTACCCCTCTCTCCTTGTCCCCCTTTCTTCTGATCTGTTGTTCCCTGCGTGTATCATAAAGCTGCTGTTGTGTTGTCTAAACTATCAATCATATATACAATATATACTAGATGTTACTCTTACAAATAGTCAGTGCAAAATAACATTGACAGCTGGCTAAAACTGCACAAGGTAATGTTCGTTACTGATGAAATGTGATGGGAGAATCAAATCTTCCTTATCAGACTGGGTCTCCCAGAGTACAGGTACCTGGTAGAAATATGATGACTATAAAGGAAAAAAAATCATACAAGCAATAAAAGTTATGTAAAAAAAAACTAAATCTAACCTTTGTTGTAAAATTAAAACTGACATGGACGAATCCCAATGAAAATAATCTTAGTACAGCATAAATGAAAATGGAAAAATTGGAGACTCTTTTTGCTGTATAGAAAATGGCTAAATGGATATCGCACCAGAAAAGACAAAATGTAGGAAGGATGGGGAGCAAGAGGCGAGGCTGGAGAGGAGGCCTGAATTTGTTCCTAATCCCAAGGGAAGTAGAAACCACTGGCCAGATTTAAGTAGCGGAGCATCATCATGCTTGCATTGAAAAGTATGTCACTGGCTGAGCTGTAGAGAATCGGCTGGAGTAGGCAAGATGTGTACTGCACAGTCCCACCTCTGAATTATATAGCTCAGGAAGTTACCAGATAAACGCTAAGGACTGTGGGAGGAAGGGAGAGTGGGGTGCGGAAGGGAGGGTGGGAGGAAGGAAGAGATAGATCACTGTGGGTACAGATGGTAGGAAAAGGATGAGGAATGGGCAGCCTCTCAGTTCTTAAAGTTGACATTTGCACTGAGCTTGGAGGGAAGAAAAGCTAAGAAAGACCTTAGAAGTGGAGAGGATGAGGTGAAGGGGAATCCAGACAGAAGGTGGCGGCCACAGAGGAGAGGGAGCACAGGGCCTTGGCTGGAACCCCGGCTCAGGTGGAGAGACCTGGAGAGGGGTCAGAGAAGGTGTTTGAGGAGAGAGCACCCAAAGAACTATTGCAGCAATGTGAGTGGTTCTTGTCTTCTCCACTCCTCTTCCCCCAACATGAATGAATGTAGATATATTCATATTCCACCATACTCTCTTACTAAGATAAGTAAGATTTTCACTTACTAAGTAAGTTGAGCTCCTTATCAGCATGAGGGAACCAGAATAAGTTGCTAAAATTCCAGCTGAGAGTAGATAAGCTGTGATTTAGTTAATCATGTAGTGTCTTCCACATTCCACATGACAACATGATGACTTTTAGCCTTAACTCTTTTTTTGAAGGGTGCATGCAACCTTTGGAACATGATTTGGCAGTGACTTGTAAAGTTAAACATACACTTACCCTATAACCCAACCATTCCACTCCTAGGTATTTGCCCAAGAGAAATGAAAACATCACAGAGGCTTTATTTGTAATAGCTGAAGACTGATAATGAACCGAACGTCCACGAACACGAAAATGAATAAACAAATTGGGGTGCCTCCTTACCGTGGAATACTATTGTGTTGAGTAGTGTGCAAATACACTGAAACAGACTGATCCACGCAACAACATGGATACATCTCAGAAACTTTTCTTTGTTTTTGAGACGGAGTAGAGTCTCGCTGTTGCCCAGGCTGGAGTGCAGTGGCATGATCTCGGCTCACTGCAGCCTCCGCCTCCCAGGTTCAAGTGATTTTCCTGCCTCAGCCTCCCGAGTAGCTGGGTCTACAGGCACACATCACCATGCGTGGCTAATTTTTGTATTTTTAGTAGAGGTGGAGTTTCACCATGTTGGCCAGGCTGGTCTTGAACTCCTGACCTCAAGTGATCCAACCACCTCAGCCTCCCAAAGTGCTAGGATTACAGGTGTGAGCCACCATGCCTGGCCACATCTCAGAAACTTTATGCTGAGCAAAAGAATCCAGACACTAGAGTACATGCTGTTAAATGCTGTTTATACGAAGTTCTCCAACAGGCAGAAGTAATGTGGTAGAAATTAGAACAGCGGTTGCCGTTGGGACTGGAAGGTATTGACAAGGATAGGAATTGTACTAGTGTAAACTTTTGGCAAAACTCATGACAACTACATTTAAGATCTGTGTATTTCACTGTATGTAAATCACATCTCAATTTTTTAAAAGTTAATTGAAGCCTGGCAAGATGGGAAATTGTATTACAGATCAGAAGTGGTTTCTTACTTTGGCTTGTTTTTTCTTTGTGATTGTTAGCTTAAAGGTTTTTTGCTTTAAACCATATTAGCGTTCTTGTCAGGGCACTCTCTGGCTGCTGCCAGCTGACCTGTGGCCCTCCAGCTTTTTTTCCGTTTTCCTTCCTTGGAATGCCCATGTCCTGTTGTGCCACTTAAGCATACCAGCTCCAGTCTGGGTTCTCTGGCCAACTAGACCCTTAAAGGGGCTGGACCTTTGTTGTCTTAATATTTTAAGACAGAGTTCATAAGATCAGTGGAAGTCAGAACTGTGTGGTGTCATGGAGATTATGAGGGCTTTAGAACTGGCCCAACCTAGGTTTGAATCCAAAACTCAATCACTATGTGACCTTGAACCTGTTCCCCTGGGCCTCAGTTTTCTTTTCTGTATGCTGGGGATAATAGCACCTACTGTGGAGTGGTTGTCAGAATTAAATGAGCTAACTTGCGTAGGACAGCCATCCCTGTGCTTGGCACTTAGGGTACCCGGGAAACATAGCAGTTGGAGGTCCTGGCCTGTTTCTCCTGTGGCTTCTGCACAGCAGGTGCTACTCCCCGTGTGGTGTGCCCTCCCCTAGGGCAGGCTGCCTGCTGGAGCTCTGGGCATACTGTCTTCCCTTGCATGCCCTGTGGCATCATCGTATGCCCTGTTGAGAGCAGAGGTGGGGAACTCAGCTGAAAGAAACTGACTTCTTCAAACTATTTTTATTATGTTTTAAGGGTATCAGCATGGAAGCCATGAGTGAGAATAAAATGGTGCCCTCTGAGTTTAGCACAGGACCTGTGGAAAAAGCTGCCAAACCTTTGCCATTTAAGGATCCCAACTTTGTGGTAAGCATCGAAGGTATTAGCTGAATAAACATCCAAATGCCACACCTCAGCCTCTGATCTTGCTGGGCCTGTAGCCAGGGTGGCACTGGCATTCTCTCCTCCCTCAGTCTCAGTTACCTCCTTCTCCCCTATGGGCAAGATGGGGACAAGAGAAGGGTTCTTTCTGTTGATCTTTTAATGTGCCATATCCCAAGGATTTGGGTGTCCTTTGTGGATTCATTAAAGGATACTGTTTGGAGGGTGGGACATTTCCATGATGATTGTTCCCCTAACCTTTTCATTGGTCTTACAATCTTAGACAAAGCTTGAAATATTTAGCTAAATGAGAAGTACTTCCTCATTAGTTTCATAAGGTAAATCCAAGCTGTTGTGCTGTGGAGTAGAACACAGGGTATTCTTCCTTTCATTCTTGAGACTGGTAATAAACTGCAGCAGTTCAGATTATACTGTTAAATTTTTTTTTAATGAATTAGTTTTGGAAATACAATATTACCAGTGTTTGCAACAGATTTTGGTATTCTTTTCCATTTTATTGTGTCATCTTTGTAGGATAAAAAAAAAAAAAAAGAGGTACCTAGAAGAGTACCCATACTGCAACTGGGGCTTTCTCAACTTTTCCAGGATCCCCAGTTTACATGGCAGAGACTTGCCCCGAGAAGGGAGTTGAGAGATGCAGTCCTGGATTTAAATCTGACTTTGTAGTAAATTTATCTTAAAGTATGAAGAAATTCATGAATGAATTCTACAAAGTTAGACCCAATAAAGGCTTTTTTTTTTACGTGCATATAAAGAAGTAGCCTTTTATTTCTACTCCAGCACAAACTAACTCAAGGGTTTTGACAATCTGAAAACTTCTTTTTTAAACTAAGATTAACATGTTAATGTGTACAGTGAAATACCTTTTAAAAAAAGTCTCAGGGGTCTTAATGATTGTTGACAGATGAGAGGTATATTACAGTTATGATTAGGCATAAATGTCAGATGTCGAAATGGTAGTCTCCATTGGTTTTTGTTTCTTCTAATCCATGCCTTCAATTCAAGCACTCTGGCCACGGTGGCGCAGTAGCTGGCAAGAAGAACAGAACCTGGAAGAACCTGAAACAAATCCTCGCTTCTGAAAGGGCATTGCCGTGGCAACTGAACGATCCTAACTGTGAGCTGTCTAGAGCCTTCCATGTGTTTGTAATGTTCAGAGTAGGAACTGTCTTATAACAACCTACATTATTGTATTGTGTTTGCATCATTGTAGGAAATAATTTTTAGCTTGAGAATTTTATAGTGGCATCAGTCTGGGCAGATTATGTGTGTATTTTCTCATAACTGTATCTGTATTGAGCCTATTTGTTTGTGTTGTCATGGATGTGTGGTTTTTAGGGTCATAGGTCCCAATATGATAATATTGGTGTTTCTACTAGACAAACTTCTTATTCAAAAGTCTACTCTTAAAATGTGTTTCCAAAAACAAGGTAGCCCAAGTATAATACCAGATTTAGGAGGGTTCCTGACAACCAGCTTAAAGGCCAGCTCTTTTATACTTTGTGAGCCAGTGTTTAGTAAATACTTCATGCTGCAGTGTGTCCAGATTTATGTAAAACACTGTTATATGTTCTGTTCAGCTTCACTGGAAAGTACAAGTTCAAAGTTCTCACCATCTCCTACTCCACTGTACTTCTTTCATGGGGGTGACTCACATGGGTGACAAGTGAGCTAGTCATTCATTCGTCTGGGTGTGGACATGAGGGTGTCAGGGTGCTCAGATCCAGTTATTGGCTCATTTGGCATTTCATCACCATCAGCCCATGTAGTGTGAGATCGTGAAAATAGCTGGTGGGCAGATGAGCTTTCCGGTGGTTCTGTGGGAATAGAGGGTCCCTGGTGACAGGGCAGGGCTAGATCTGGAGCCTGCACTTGGCCTGTGACATACTGTCTTGTTTCTGAGAATCCTCCCCTACTTCTCTAGTTAATCTCCAGAGACTTCTGTGACTACTTAATCACAAAGGAAATTTTCAGGAATATTATCAAATACTATTTTAGAAAAAAAAAGAGAAGGGATTTGAATGTTTTCAGTTCAGTTTAGTTATCTTTTTTTTTTTTTTTTCCCAGACTTCAGTATTGATGCTCCTCCATCCTTTAAGCCAGCTAAGAAGTATTCTGATGTTTCAGGTCTGCTTGTGAGTATGATTATATCTCTTATAACATTAAATGGAAAAGATTTCACAGTAATGTCTAATTAGACAAGTGTTGAATATTGATCATGGCTGGTCCTGCCTGGAGCCTGTCTACAGTGATAGGTGATAGGTTTGTGCAGTGTGTTCATTGCTGCAAACAGGCATCTGTGGGGGCAGCCTGCAGGGAGGATTGAACCAGAAAGCAGGAGACTCCAGCTTCTCTTCTTTACCTCTGCTAGTTAACTATATGAGATAACATGAAAGAAACAACTATGTATTTCTTTTTTTACTGCTGAAGTTTTAAAAACCTGCATTTTAGATGATGATTGTATTTACAAAACCATGTTTAAACTTCTCTAAACAGGTGCTTTGGCAAAGGTTGTGACATTCAAACTTATTTTTAAGCATCAGAACCCCTTTTCCAAATGAAATCTTTTACAGAATCCAATATATAACAGCCTGGAGCCCACCTTTCTGCTGTGGTCCCATGTGGATCTGGCCGCCTATCTTCCTCCCCACTCCCCACCACAGTGACTGCTCAAGTGCTTCTGGGGAACACAATTCAGAAACTGCCAGCAGAGCTGAAATAGTGGGAAGTGGGCAAGTTGCTAAAGCTCAGGAACCTCAGAACACCCCCATTTCCTTATTTGCAGAAGGTGGAACCTAAGATTCATCTTTTTTTGTTTTGTTTTGTTTTGTTTTGTTTTGTTTTCTTAAACAAATGGATGAACTTAGAGATTCTTTTAATTAGCTCTTGCATGTCAGGGTCTTAATCCTTTTTCATCTCATAAATTTGGAAAAATAATTTAAGTACTTTACATTTTAATGAAAATATGACTCCAACTTATCTAACAAATTGACCAAATTAATTATGTACGGAGGAGAATTGCCTCCTTTGTTATTATTATGTAATATCCCTGTTTGTCCCTGATAATATTCATTGTTCTGAAGTCTACTTTGTCTGAAATTAATATCGTTACCCCAGCTTTCTTTCGTTCATGTGTGGATGGTATATCTTTCTTGATCTTTTCACTTTTTTTTGAGACAGAGTCTCACTGTGTTGCCCAGGCTGGAGTGCAGTGGCACGCTCTTGGCTCACTCCAGCCTCTACCTCCTGGGTTCAAGCGATTATCCTGCCTCAGCCTCCTGAGTAGCTGGGACTACAGGCACACGCCACCATGCCTGGCTAATTTTTGTATTTTTAGTAGAGATGAGGTTTTGCCATGTTGGCCAGGCTGGTCTTGAACTCCTGACCTCAAGTGATCCTCCTGCCTTGGCCTCCCAAAGTGCTGGGATTACAGGTATGAGCCACCATACCTGGCCTATCTTTTCACTTTTAAACTATCTATATATTTAAAGTGGATTCTTGTTGAAAGCATATTGTTGAGTTGTTGGGTCTTTCTTTTTCTTTTTCTTTTGGAGGTAGAGTCTTGCTCTTTTACCCAGGCTAGAATGGAGTGGTGTGATCATAACTCACTGAAGCCTTGAACTCCTTGGCTCAAGTGATCTCCCAACATCAGCCTCTCAAAGTGCTGGGATTAAAGACGTGAGCCTCTGCACCCAGTGGATCTTGCTTTTTATCCAGTCTATCAATCTAAGAACTGTTGTCCTTAGGCTATTCATCTTTAAAGTGATTGTTGATATGGTTGTATTTAAATCTACCATCTCACTAGTTGTTATTTGTTCCATTTGTGTTGCTTATTTCCCTTTTTCTGCCTTCTCTGGATTTATTGAGCGTTTTTTAATAGACTATATTTTTCAGAACAGTTCTAGATTTATGAAAAACGGAGACAATAGTATAGAAAGTGCCCATATAACCCAAACTCAGTTTCTGCTGTTATTAACATCTATGGTATATTTGTTACAATTAATGAACCAATAGTTATATATTATTATTAACTAAAGTCTATAATTTATTCACATTTCCTTAGTTTTTACCTAAAACTATATCAAATTTAGTCATCCTGTCTCGTTAGACTCCTCTTGGCTCTGCCAGTTTCTCAGGTTGTCCTTGTTTTTAATGACCTTAACAGTTTTAAGGAGCACTAGTCAGGTATTTAGTAGAATCCTCCACTACTGGAATTCCTCTGATGTTTTCTCATGATAAAACTGGGGTTAATTGAACATTTTAAAATTCTGTTTGTTTCCTTATTATTTACACCTCTTTTACAAATTATGAATGGTTACTTTCATGTTTACAATATACATTTTAAATAACCTGAATCTATTTTCAAATATTTTGCCACTTTGTGCATAATGTGAGGGACTTCTAGTAGTGAATTTCTAATTCCACTCTCTCATTCTTTGTTGTCATATAGTTTACTTTTACATATGCTACAAACAAAATGTATGGCTGTTAATTTGTGCTTTAGACAGTTACCTTTTAGAGAAATAAAAATAAGAAAAAAAAGAACTTTCTTTTATCTTCATTTCATTCTGTTTCCACCTTTTTTCATTTTGTTGTCTATTTCCAAGTTGCAATCTGATGTCATATTCTTTCTACTGGAACAATTTACTGTGCTTTTCTTATAAAGTAGATTTGCTACTAACGAAGTCCTTTCTTTTTTTGTTTTGTCAAAGAGCCTTTATTTCTTCTTCATTTTTTTTTTTTTAAGACAGGGTCTTACTCTGTTGCCCAGGCTGGAGTGCAGTGATGCCATCTTGGCTCACTGCAGCCGTCTTGACCTCCCAGGCTCAGGTGATGCATCTACCTCAGCCTCCCAAGTAACTGGGGCTACAGGTGTGTGCCACCATGCCTGGCTAATTTTTTGTGTTTTTTGTAGAGATGGGATTTCACCCTGTTGCCCGGGCCTGGTCTCAAATTCCTGGGCTCAAGTGATCATCCTGTCTTGGTCTCCCAAAGTGCTGGGATTACAGGCGTGAGCCACTGCACCCAGCCTTGTTCTTCCTTTTTGAATGATATTTTCAATGAGTATTTTTGAATGACATTTTCAAGTCTGGGCTGACAGTTTTTTCTTTCATCACTTTTAAGATGTCAGTGGTTAAATGTTGTCTTTTTGCTTCCATGGTTTCTGATGAGAAGTTTGATATAATTCTTACCTTTGTTCATCTCTATGTAATGTTTCTTGTTTGACTGCCTTCAAGATCTTCTCTTCGTCTTTTGTTTTCAGCAGTTTGAATATGACTGGGTATTGAATATGACTCAGGGTATTATTTTTCTGGTATGTATTCTTGATGTTCTCTGAGGTTTTGGATTTGTGGTTTGGTATCTGTCAAGAATTTTGGAAAATTCTTGGCTATTATTTCTTCAAATATTTCTTTTGCCTTGTCTTTTTCCCTTCTTCTAGGATTCCAGTTACACACATGTTAAACTATTTGATAGTGTCCCAAAACTCTTGGATGCTCTGTTCTGGTTTGTTTGCTTTTAAAAACTCTTATTTCGTTGCGGTTCAGTTTGGATGGTATCTACTGATGTGTCTTCAAGTTCTTTACTCACTGTATAGAGTATACCAATGAGCCTATTGGAAGCATCGTTTATCTCTCTAATTGTGTTTTTAATTTCTGGCTTTTCTATTTGATTATTATAGTTTTCATGTCTCTGATGAAATAACTTTCTTTTAAATTATTTATTTATTTAGAGATAGAGTCTTGCTCTCTAATCCAGGCTAGAGTGCAGTGATGTGATCACAGCTCACTACAGCCTCAAACTCCTGGGCTCAAGCGATCCACGTGCTTCAGCCTCCCCGGAAGCTAGGTCTACAGGTGTGTGCCACCACACCTGGCTTTTAAATTTTTTTTTATAGAGAAGGGGTCTTACTGTGTTGCCCAGGCTGGTCCTGAACTCCCGGCCTCAAGTCATCCTCCTGCCTTGGCCTCCCAAAGTGTTGGGATTACCAATGTGAGCCACCGTGCCTGACCTGAAATAACTTTCTATCTTGCATGTTGTCTCTCCTTTAACTCCTTCAAGATATTAATTATAGTTATTTTGAATTTCCTGTCTGGTAGTTTCAAAACCTACATCATATTCGGGTCTGGTTCTGGTGATTTCCTTGTCTTTTAAGACTACTTAGTTATTAAGTATATATATATATATATATATATATATATATATATATAGACACACACACACATATACACATATATATACATATATATATATATATGTATATTTTAAGTCCTTGAACACATAATAGCTGCTTTAAAGTATTTATCTGCTGTGTCCAACATTTGGTTCATCTTGGCCAGTTTCTGTTGACTGCCTTTTTTCTTAACTGTGCGTCACATTTTCCTGTTTCTTTGCATCTACAAGTTTTTGATTGTGTACTGGACATTATGGATGATATATTGTAAAAACTCTAGATTCTGTTATCTTTCCTTGAAGAGTATTTTTTTCCTGTGGTAGCTCAGTTACTGACTGATCACCTTTGTTAGGACAGGTCTGCAGAAAGCCCATGATGTTTCCCAAGCTCCTTTAACTTAGTTGCACTTAACTTCTAAGTGCTTTATCCTCTGCCAGTCTTACTGAAGTTTGGTGTTAGGCTTTGTTGTGGTGAGACTAGAATAGATGGTACTCAAGGGCATGATTTTTTTTCCCAAGCTGTGGCCTTTCTGTTGCCTGAGCTAGGTGCCAGGAGTGTTATAGAGATCTCTCTATTCTGGCTGGGCTGGCACTTCAGCAACTCCTAGCACTGCTCAACCTCTGGATTTTCTCTTTCCCTCTTAACCACTCTCCAGTAAGACGTATATAGTCTTGCCTTGAACATGCATAGCCCAGCCCATGGTTATGGACTCACGTGGAATCCCAAACTGACTTTTGCCTCCCTTCCAGGGCAGCTCCCTCTTCTGTTACTCAGCTTTGCCAATAACAGGTGTTTCAGTAGCCCCTGAATCTGAGCTCTGCGTGAGCTCCACCTCTGCCCCATGGTCAGGAAATTGTCACAGGCAGAGAGAGTTTGGATGATCCTGGAACTTACCTTGTGAGCTTCTCTTTTCTCAGGCATTGCAGTCTTGTGCTACCTCTTGTCTGTTGCCTGAAAATGGCTACTTCATGTATTTGGCCTGTTGTAATAGTCGTTTATGGCAAGAGAGCTCATCTGGCACCAGTTATTCTGTTATGACCCAAAGTGGAAATCTCTCCCTGTGTCATTTTGAGTTTCTGGAGGCCACAGTTTATGGCCAGACTTGGAGGGTGGTTCCTCAGAATGTCAGCTTTATCCTTATTGTTTCAGGCAGCTCATCTGCTAGTACAATGGTTTTCACACATTAGGAGGAGGGAGAATCATTATTCCAGGCCCCTTTATGACATTGGCAATGGACTTGTCACATTACACATTACCTAAAACCTCTTGCCCCACTGTATGTAGGAAATAAGAAGTTCTGAATAGACAGATAACTCTCCTAGTTCATTAAAGGACAATCCCACAGAAGAATCAGCAAAAAGGATATAAATAGGCAATTGCCAGAGAAGAAATATAGATGACCAATAAGTAGATATTCAGCTTCACTAGTAATTAGGAGAAAGACTCATCAAACAGGGAAGAAATTAAGACATTTGATTATACATTTTGGCACCAACAAACAGAAATGGGTATCTTCATACATTGTTGTTTTGAGGTGGGAACATACACTGGTACTGCTTCTTTGGAGGACAATTGGAGCAGTCTGTTGAGATTAAAAAAAAGAAAAACCTCTGACCTTGCAATATGCCTTATAGGCAGCTCCCTAGAGAAATAGTGTGCACACAGCAAAAGAAACTACCATCACAGTGAACAGGCAACCTACAGAATGGGAGAAAATTTTCTCAACCTACTCATCTGACAAAGGGCTAATATCCAGAATCTACAATGAACTCAAACAAATTTACAAGAAAAAAACAACCCCATCAAAAAGCGGGCAAAGGATATGAACAGACACTTCTCAAAAGAAGACATTTATGCAGCCAAAAAACACATGAAAAAATGCTCATCATCACTGGCCATCAGAGAAATGCAAATCAAAACCACAGTGAGATACCATCTCACACCAGTTAGAATGGCGATCATTCAAAAGTCAGGAAACAACAGGTGCTGGAGAGGATGTGGAGAAATAGGAACACTTTTACACTGTTGGTGGGAGTGTAAACTAGTTCAACTGCTGTGGAAGACAGTGTGGCGATTCCTTAAGAATCTAGAACTAGAAATACCATTTGACCCAGCCATCCCATTACTGGGTATATACCCAAAGGATTATAAATCATGCTGCTATAAAGACACATGCACATGTATGTTTATTGTAGCACTATTCACAATAGCAAAGACTTGGAGCCAACCCAAATGTCCAACAACGATAGACTGGATTAAGAAAATGTGGCACATATACACCATGGAATACTATGCAGCCATAAAAAATGATGAGTTCATGTCCTTTGTAGGGACATGGATGAAACTGGAAACCATCATTCTGAGCAAACTATCACAAGGACAAAAAACCAAACACCGCATGTTGTCACTCAGGTGGGAATTGAACAATGAGAACACATGGACACAGGAAGGGGAACATCACACTCCGGGGAATGTTGTGGGGTGCAGGGAGGGGGGAGGGATAGCATTAGGAGATATGCCTAATGCTAAATGACGAGTTAATGGGTGCAGCACACCAACATGGCACATGTATACATATGTAACAAACCTGCACATTGTGCACATGTACCCTAAAACTTTAATAATAATAAAATTAAAAAAAAAAGAAATAGTGTGCACAAAGAACTTCATGCAGAAATGCTTATGAGAGACCGCATTCGCAAAATGCTGGAAGCAACATCAAGGTCTATCACAGTGGATATTTTCATACTGTTCTTGAGCTCAATGCATAGTAACAACATGGCTAAATTTCCAGGATGTAATGTTGATTGAAAGATGCAAAGCAATATAAACAGCATGGTGCCACATATATAAAAATCAACACACACACACAAATTGGGTTATTTCTCTTGTGTGTTTACATATGTGTATAGGGGTAGACATAAAAAGTCTGGAAAGGTGCCCACTTAGCAGTGGTTTCTCCTGGGGAAGACAGAGGACTTTTGGATGGTAGATGGTGATAAATGAGGACTTTAGTCTTATCTGTAATGTTTTCTTTTAATTCTTTTTAGAGGAGAACGTGTTCGTCTGTTGCTTATATAATTTAAAGTTACATAATTAAAAAGTAAAGCCTAGTTCACATTTACATTGACACACACCTGTTCCTAGCCAGCCATGTGACTCTTTCCCCTGTGCCTAGGCATGGCAGCAAGACATGCAGGGTCATACCTGTGTTCAGCACTCGTTACAGAGCTATGAAAAGTGTATTCTGGGTGAGACGGGCAAGCCGTGAATACTGCCTGTCACCCTACAGCAAGGGGGGCCTGAAGCTGTTTGCTGGCTTCCCTGTGGGAAGTTGGCGTTTGCTTATTTCACTCAGGCTCAAAGGATGGCATCCAGAGGAGGGTGGACTGTAGGTGTGAAGCTCTTTACTTGTTCAACTCCTGGGTGTCACTTGGCATCCTTCCTTCTATTCAGAATCCTAGATGTTGGCCCCTGGGTCCAGTGCAGTCTGTTCAGGTTTTTGTTGGTAACCTTTTTGTTGGTGCCACAGGATCTCTGTATTCTGCACTGTTTATTCAGCAGCCCTCTTGGCAGTGAGGTCTGAACTTGGGCGGGCCGGCTCAGCACAGTTTGCTGGTAGGAGTGAGGCAGCCACAGACATGGAGCTCAGCCGAGGCTGGTTCGTCTATGGAGGCCAGATGGTCCACGCCAGACACACATGCCTACACTCTGCTCGGAACTGCAGGGCAGCCTCTCCTGCTAGTTAACCTAACTTCCCTCACTGCCAGGATCCCTCAGAAGAGACTTGTCACTGTTTTTCTAATTAAGCCTTTCCTTATATTACTGTCATTAAAGGAAATGTAGTACAGAAAGGTAACATCTAGATCAAGCCAAGGGATCGAAGTTTTATATAGAGCCATTAGTTAATCTTAGCCTTTTAGGAATAATCCCATTTCCTAACACACAGCAGTTAAATACTTAGGGGGGGTTCCCAGTGGCAAAATGGAAGACTTTTTAGGGCATGAGAAGCCTATAAATAAGTTCCCGACAGCTTGTTGCTTTTTTATTGAGTGTTCCCTCCCTTCCTAAATCACAGGATTACTGTGAGTCTAGGTCCACACAAAGATGATCCACATTAAAGTAGACATCTACACTTGAATAATTGGATGTTATCTGTCTAGACTTTAATGGCATCTTTTATAATTTTTTTAAAGGAGCTCAAAATGACTCACCCTCATGTCTTTTGTTTCAAAATCCGTAGAAGCCCATGTGCTTTGAGGTATATAGTTAGTGAATTATTTTCTCCGCTTGGCACATGGGGAACAGAGACCAAGAGAGAATTTTGATATGTCTGGGAAACAAGTTCTCTTTTCTGTGATGGTCCCAATTGTCTGTTTGTTTATTCATTCATTAGTCATTCATTTTGTTATACAAACCCTGACTGGAGGCCCTCTGTGTACTCTGCGTTGCACTAGGAGCCAGTCTACAATGATAAGCAAACTGTGGTTCCTGTCTCATGGACCCTCATAGCCTAGACCATCATCAAAGAGTCATGTAGATAATAAACTTTAAAGCAACAGAGATGTGCATTCCACTGGAATATTTTTGCTGCTGTGAAAGTGGAGGGTGAGGTTCTGACCTCCTGTGGGGGTACAAATAGGCTTCCCCAGAGGTGTAGCTTTGGGGCCGAGTCCTGAAGAATGAACTGGTGATTACTGAGCAAAATGGGCTGCAGTTGGGGTCCCCTGCCAAGGAAAGGACAGATGGGGCATGGTAAGAGGGAGGAACTTAGAGGCCGGGGACAGTTGGAATCAGAGAGTGGGGACATGTGGCTGAGGAGGAGGCTGAGGACAAAGGAAGGCCCATAGCTGAGGAGCTGCACTGAGGACTTGGGCCTTTGTCCCAAGAGCAGAGGAGCCATTTTGAGAGATTTTATGCCGAGGAATGACATGATCAGAATTGCACGTTGCAAAGAAGATCCTGGCCGCAGTTCTAGGGGAAGGGTGGGTGTGAATGGCTGGTGATGCACTACAGAGTTGCTCAGGGAGGCATGGAAGTGGCGCAGGGGGTGTTGGAAGAGCTGGAAAGGAGCATGCTGGAGGTAAGTGGAGCACAGCAGGGAGGGGCACATGCCCAGCATGCTGGGCGTCGGCTCCTGCCTTGAGGAGCACAGACCTGGGACATTTGTTGGAAAGAGGCAGGAGTCTGAAGGCAGGGAGGGATGACCATCATGAATTCAGTCTTGGACCTGTTGCAGCCCTTGAGGCACCAACAAGAAGAGTCCCAGAGTCTGATGTGGTCATTCCCCTTCCTCTCGTCCATACCCTGAAGTGTTTCTAGAGTCTGGGAAGGTTAATGAGCCTGTGCCACAGTGAGTGATTTAGTGTTCTTGGTGGCAGAGTAAGACATAATGAAAATATATATCACTTTCAGTGAAATAGAAAAAATTTTTAAACTTGAACTTAAAATATCCCTACCAGCAAAAACTTTCTGCCCTTCCCTGTGCCTCTTTTCACCCAGGCCAACTACACAGACCCCCAGAGCAAACTGCGGTTCAGCACCATTGAAGAGTTTTCCTACATTCGGAGGCTGCCCTCTGACGTCGTCACCGGCTACCTGGCCCTGAGGAAGGCCACGAGCATCGTTCCCTGAGCCCCAGAAAGGGAGATGAAGTGGAAAGCTGTTTCAAAAACAGACTCTGGACTCATGATTTTGTTTCACGGAAACAAACTCGTTCTGCTGTCAATCTGAAAATGCCAGTGCTGTGCCTTGGAAAGAATGTTTGGCTTTAATTTAAGGGTTTTTTTTTTTTTTAGTGTGTGTTTTCCCTCCAAGTGTGATATTTCCTGCTGAATTAAATTATACTTCAGTTGTTGCCTCAAGTAAAGGTGTTTGACAAGAAGATACAATAAAACCATACTTTTCATTTATCCCAAGTCCCTGAATTTTTGTTTTAAAGTGGTGAACCCCGTATAACACATTTAAAGACTCTGCAGTGAATCCACAACAGGTCTGGATTACTTCTAATCCTGGTGACCCCCCTTTTAGAGCATGTTAGTCTTTGTCTCTGATCAGAATGCTTAGAAGAATTCCAAAATTGGGTCCAGAGAAGAAAGAGGCAAGTAGTTTGTTCTGTCCCACTGGGCTGGTTCTCACATGTGCCTCTGCCTCAGATCGGCCTCCCCTCATCTTTGGAGGTGTGGAGTACCAGCATTGACACTCTGTCCCAAAAGGGCTTTTGTCTTGGTACAGGATGCCACCCCTCTGGCTGCAGCCTGCTCCAGAAAGGGAGTGTTTGCATCTCCATCCTCCAAGAAGAGGAAGCATTTTCTTGGCCGGGGAAAGGAGAGTGTCGAGATAAGTCCTGGGCCTCTCTGGGCCCTATACCCGCATTTCCCCAGGGAGGACAGTGGAAACAGGCCCTGGGGCTTCTGGACCACAGCTGCCTCTGCTTTGGGGAATTAGGCACCAGGTGTCCTTTCTCTCTGGGGAAAGCCCTTCTTCAGGCTTAGAGAAAATAAAACAAAGCAAGTCAGCTGGGAGAGCAGCCTGTGCAAGTGGCAGCTGCCTGGAACCAGGCTCCTTTTCCTCCAGGTTGGCAGCCCCAGCATCCTTCAGCACCTTCCCAATAACAAACCGAGAGCGGGAGAGGTGCTGTGGGGCCTCCCCCTGCCTCCATGACAAGGGACCTGAAAGGATGGCCAGAAGAGGTGGGGGCCTTTCCTAAGCCCACAATCACCGAGCAAGCATCAGAGTCACCTGGGAGCCTCCTGTGACACAGATTAGGGAGCCTGTCTCCCTGAAGTACCTGATCAGTAGATGGTCTGGGGTGGGGCCCAAGAATTTGCATGTTTGCTTTGATGATGCTTTGAGACCCACTTTGATGAAGCTTTGAGACCCATTTTGCTGATGAAATCAATGGTCTCTGAAAGACCAGAGGCTGCTGTTTGGTTTCCGCTTGTACTTCCTGCCAGATGTCAGCCTAGGAAAAACGCCAGCTTCCGTTTTGGTAGAAGCAAGGAGGGAATGAGCCAAGGGTCCTTCCTGCTTCGCTTCCACCTTCTATTGTACAGAGAAAACTTGGGGCAGGTCCACTTCTTTTCCATGAAGGTCCCCAATTGGGCAGTGCCCTGAAATCACTTCTAATGCTGATGCTAGGCAACACCTCAGACCTACTGCTCAGACCCTCCAGGGGCAGGGCCCAGGATTGAAGAGGGAAGCCCTGCTCCACACGTGTTCATCAGGAAGGACCCACAGACTGCTGCTCCTGGAGGCCTCTCGGTTTATGGATGTGTGTTTGTTCCATAAACCCTCAGAGGGTCACCTGGAGACCCGCTAAAATGCAGGTTCTTGGGCCACATCCTAGACCTTCTGACCGACCCAGGGAGTGGGGCCCAGGAAGCTGCATTTGACAGATATCCCCGTGTGATCATCATGCACACAGGAGTGAGAGAACCAGTGTTCTCCCCGGGCAGAAGGGAAGCTCGTGTGCAGGACACCTCACACCTCCTTTCCCATTCCCCTGCCAGGCTCTCCCTGCTGACATTGTTTTTGCGGGAGAGCTGTGAATTCTGAAGATTAGGTTGCTTCTCACCCCAAGCTCCAGAAGTCCAGGCTGAGCCAAACCAAGCTTCAAGTTGTGAGTATTTTGAATAATGAGCCCTTGCTCATTAACTGATCCTGTACTGAAATAGCCCTTGCTGTCCATGCTGTACCCCGGTGGTTCTCAGGCCGGGCTGCACGTTAGAATCACCTGTGTGGGTGGGGGGTGTCCAGGAGGGGGATGGTGAGGGAGGTTTAAAAATACCCAGAGATTCTGATTCCACTGGCCTGTGCAGGGGCCCGGACATAGTATTTTGAACTCCCAAGATGCTTCTAATGTGCAGCCAGCGTTGAGAACATTTGCTGTAACTATGAAGAGAATATTTCATGTAAGGTACATTTTCTTATTCTCAGATCAGCTGGCTCTTTCCATCCCAGGCCATGAGCAAATTGCAAGGGGTTTCTTTGGGATGTGTGTGCATGTATGTGTGAATTTAGAGTTCCTTTTTACATGGCATCCCACACTGGAGTCAACTATGAATGCCATTGCAGATTCCTCCCTCTTCATTCCTACATCACCCTCTTCCTCTTCTACTTGGCTCCAATCCTGCTTCAGGATCACCTCATACCCTGCCTGACACTTTCAGTGTCCTCCTGACAACTTTGAATGACTTTGTTCATCACGGCATATCTACTGGTCATTTGCCTCTGATAAGAGGTCAGTTCTGGTATTGGTCTGCAGGATCCAAAAGAAAAACTCAGACACTTTAAGAGAAAAACAATTAGCTGGACTTGAGAAATCCTCTTAAGACCAAACTCAGGTCCAGTCTGCTCTGACTGGAGTTTGACTCTTTCTTAATCTGGTATTAGGCATGGTTTAAAACGACCTGTAACGTTGAAAATATGCTCTTCAGAGCCAGAAGGCAGTCCCTGTAGGTGAGGGGGACCCATTTTCCCCCATCTCCCAAGTTAAAGCATGGATCTGTCCAAATTTTAAATGTGTTTCATGATTGATTTGGCACCTGGTGGAGGGCTAAACATGTTTGCAGTAAGAAATCTCTTAATTTCTGAATCCATAGTCATTGGAAAAAGATACCAGATATTTGTTACTCTTTCCAGTGACTGTAAATTGGGAGAGTTTAACTTAGTAAAAATAAAGGGTAACGAAAGAAATCAATGGACTATGGAACTTGACCCCATTATCAAATAGGACAGATATCCTGGGGAGAGATTACAAATTATGCCCTCTTACAAATGCATGAAACAATAGTGTCATTTAAAATAATATTCTATCTGATGGGAATGTGTGGGCCTTATTTGGATCCTCATTCAAACAACAACAAAAAAAACTTTAAAATTTTGAGACATTTGGGAATCTGATATATTTTGATATTTGATAATATTTTGGAATTCTCACAAATAGTTGTGATTATGCTATTGTAATGTTAAAATAATTCATATTTTTAGAGACACCTACTGAAATATTTATGGATGGAATGATATGACATCTGGGATTTGCTTCAGAATGATATGAGAGAGAGGAAGTGGATGAGAATCGTGTTGAAATAAGATTGGCCATGAGTCAGTTATAGTTGAAGCTGAGTGATAAGTCCATGGGGGTTCTTTATACTATTCTGCCTTTGGTATATGTTTGCATTTCTTCATAATAAAAAAGCTTTCAAAAAGAATGAGATATTTTTATTACTAAAAATTGTGATGAAATCTTACCCAAAGTTAGTGCTTTGCATTAGCTTGCACTGGCTTACAGATGCTGAAAGTTTGAGAAATGCTGCCTAAATGGTATGCGGTCTTGAATAGAGGAAGTACCCAATTCCTAAAACATCTAACAAAGAATATAGAAGAGAAGAACCATGGACAGGTAAAGTTGTCCTGTAAATGTTCTTAATAGAGGTCTTCATTGTGTGTTCAGTTGTCCCGGAGGGCTGTGTATTTAAGAGTATTTTCTCTGTAGAGGTTAGGAAGCCTGAGAGTGAGAAGACCAAAGACTTCAGCTTTGAGGTTCTAGTGGGGTATAAATCTTAATAGAGAGGGCTGCGGATGCATTGAATGACTGACTATGGCTTGAATAAATACCTGTTGTTATAATTCCTGATAGAATCTGCAGTATTCATTTATGTAAATAGAGAAGGAAATTAGGTTATCAAAGAACTATGCACCTGCACAAATTGTTTGGCTTCAAGGAATTGCTTTTGCTGAATTTCAACAGGGTTTATGCTTTTGTGCCCATATTAAGGAATTGGATTGAAAGAGGTCAGGAGATATGGACCTACAAAAATGCCTATTACATTTGTCTCAGAAATGTCCCACAGAACCCCACTCCCCCACCCCAGTCCTGTAGGGTGAGCTTTTTCATTCAGGACCCAGACATGGAGCCTGATAGCCTGGGTTTGAATCTCATTTCTGCATCTCACTAACTGTAGTCTTGGGCACATTACGAACTTACTCTTGAATTCTTAGTTTCCTTATCTGTAAAATGAGTGTTATAATAATGTCCACCCCACGAGATTGTCAGGATCAAATAAGAAAATGTCAGAGAAACACTTAACTCGGGACTGGGATCACCCACATCCCCTCTGGTCTGTGCATTAGAAAGGCAGAGTTTTCCTGACTTGTATGTTCTGCTTGGTTATATTTCTCATTTCCTTGGCTCCTAGGACTCTTGGCTCATGCCCGCTTGTAGTAACTGAATAACATCATATGATAGATGTTTCCATGTGCTCATCTTATTGCTGGCTCTATCAACTATTTTCCTTGCCTTCTTCATTGCTTATTTTGACCATTTCTTTTCGTCCTTTATTCTCTTATTCTAATAAGCTTGCTCAACTTTTTTATGAGACAAGGGAAGGAGTAAATAACTAGCTAAAGAAGCAATGATCTGTGATTGAGGCCGGGGGAGAGAGAGGGGTTGAGGGATTTGTGGGGTGAATAGCAGAGGACTTTAATGGAGGAACTCCTCTAGAATAATGAGGGACAGAAAGAGCCAGTAGAAACCACCCACTGGACCTCTTAAAAATCACTAATGTTTTATGCCTTCTTTGGTATTCACCATGTATACTACCATGTTTCCTATGTAATAGCAAACCTTAAAACCCTAAAAAAACAAAAAAGGGGGGCTAGTTGTTTACTTGTTTTGATGACCAGCTTGAGCAGGAAAAGGAGGGATCCTTCTTCCTGGATCCACAGAACTGGATCCAGCCTGGTTTTCTTCCATAACTCAGTGGCCTCTGTCTACTTGTACTTCTGTTCCAACTGCCGTCAAAGCCTTTCCTGAGAAGAGTCAGTGTTTTCCTGGCCTACAGGATGCTGACTACTGACAGGTGCACAGTGTGCACCAAACACACCACTCGCCTCCCCTGGGGTCAGGAAGATGAGTCACATCCATCAGCCCTGGTGGCTTGGAGCCTTGGATCTTTCTAGTATGAATCCAGGAGGGCATAGCCTGGGGTTCTGCAGTGTGGAATACTGCAAGGGCTTTTATCAGGGAGCCAGCCAAGGCCTTGGTGACTGATATCTCCCCTAATAACATCTGGAAAGGAAATTGCTCACTAGAGATAAAGAAGAGAATTTCTGCTCTTCGCAACGGAAAATTATTACAGACAACATTAGACCTCAAAAATGAGCTTCCTCAAAGTACGCATTTGTACAACTCCCCCCGAACTCCTTGCTTGGCTGTTTGGAAGGTTTTGTAGAAAAACAGTAACCTGGCCAGGCGTAGTGGCTCATGCCTGTAATCCCAGCACTTTGGGAAGCCGAGGCGGATGGATCACCTGAGGTCAGGAGCTCAAGACCAGCCTGGCCAATGTGGAGAAACCCCATCTCTGCTAAAAATACAAAAAATCAGCTGGGCGTGGTGGTGCATGCCTGTAATCCCAGCTACTCGGGAGGCTGAGGCAGAAGAATCACTTGAACCTGGGAGGTGGAGGTTGCAGTGAGCCGAGACTGCACCATTGCACTAGGCCTGGGCAACAAGAGCGAAAGAGAAAGAAAGAAAGAGAAGAGAGAGAGAGAAAGGAAAGAAAGAAAAAGAAAAAGGAAGAGAAAGAAAAAAGAAAGAAAAGAAAGAAAGGGAAAGAAGGAAGGAAGGAAGGGAGGAAGGAAGGAAGGAAGGAAGGAAAACAGTAACCTAAGGAATTTTCTTTGAAATTCAGTGCTGCCATTTGTTTGCTTATGGAGTGGCACAGAGCCCACAGCATTTGGCTCTGCCTCAGAGGCAAACATGGCTACAGCAGCCAAAGAGAAACACAAAGGAGGACACTCTAGGAATGGAACCTATAAGTGGGGACTTCTGGGTGCACGTAAGTTCTTGGAGAGCACAGGCAAGGCCTCCTGGTAGCATCACCTGGGCCAGGGCCCTTCTCAGAGAAAAAGGGACTGAGCAATGTGGATGCTTTCCCAGAAAACTGATTTCATTGGCCTACAACGAGGTTTATATTTTATTTGTAGAAGTCTTTTGTTTATTTTTCTTCTTTATCTTTCTTCTCTATTTTAAGTGAGTAGAAAGTTAAAAAAGCCTACTACTATACAAGAAGTCAGATTTAGACATTGAAAAATACATACAATACGTTGGTAAGTGAACAACAATAAAATCACAAATATAGACAACCACCTTTTTGTAGTTTAAAAAAATCAGTAAGAGAGGATGTGAAATGATTTATGTTAAGGAGTTAATGATTGTCTCCTTTGGAAAAAGGAGTGGATTTGGGGTGGGAGGATGAAGAAGGAGAACTTGAATGTCTTAGAATTTTTGGAAAGAGTACAATATAATTTACAAAGAGTGAGAGAGACTCAATTTAGGAGCCCTGGGCTGGGAGGATTGCTAACACTTTCCTGTGAACTCAGGAAAATTCCTTGAGGTTGGACCATCTGTCCTCTGCTGCCTCCGTCCATAAGGCAAGCCCACCGCCACCCATCAGGATCCAGGGTCGCTCTGCCCTGCTCTGTGTCAGAGCCTCTAGCCCTCCTGATAGCACAGCCACTGCACTTGACGGCACACCGTGCACCCCACACACGTTGTTTCCATCTAATGCCCACAACAATATTGAGGCAAGTGTAGCGGCGGGCTCGCTCTACACCTAAGGAACCTGAGGTTCAAGAGAGAAACTAGAGGCAAGGGAAGGCTGTGAGCCAGGCCCCTGCATCCACGCCCAGCACTCCTTCTCAGCCCCTGTGTCCTCTGGCAGGAGAAGGTTGGCTTGGAGCTACCTGCGGAGGGCAAGGAGAAGCAGAGGAACACTGCCTGGGACACTCATGAGAAGCACATCACCCCATGTCACGTTCTGTGATGGTTAATTTCATGTGTGAACTGGGCTAGGCCACAGTACTCTGATACTTTGTCATATGTTGTCTGGATTTTTCTGTGAGGGTACTTTTTAGATAAGATTAACATTTAAACCAATAGACTTGGAGTAAAGCAGAGTACCCTTCATAATATGTGTGAGCTTTATCCAGCTAGCTGAAGGCCTTCGAGGAAAAAAAACTGAGGTCCCCAAAGAGAGGAAAGAAGCCTCTAGGCCCTCCTCAGACTCACATCTTCCCTGGGTCTCCAGCCTGCCCATCTGCCCTGCAGTTTTCAGACTTGCCAGCCCCGACAATCTTATGAGCCAATTCTTTAAAGTAAACCTCTCTCTCTATATATACACACAGCCTATTGGCTCTGTTTTCCTGAAGAAGCCTGGCCAAGACACTTTGTTTAAAGCAGAAGGGTGAGTGTACACATTTAATTTAAACTACCCTTCACTGGCATTACCACACCTAGCAGTGAGCATTGCACATCTTATATGCTTCATAAATATTTGAGTGGAAACCAACAATAAGGCTAAAATGCTGAATGGCTTTGCCAGATGTAGTATTTATTTAAACTATTGTTTTGTTTTCTTATGAGTCATTGAATGGGAAGGAACTGAAATTGTCTTGAAATTGTGAGTGGGTAGAGAGGGCTGGGAGCAATGGGTGGTGAGGTATCCCCCATTTCTAAAGATTCTGTGACCCACATTATTCCAGAAATTCTAGTTTGTGTTTTGTCTTTTTCTTTGTTTTCTTTCTTCTTTTTTGTTTTTTCTTTTTTTTTTTTTTTTTTGTAGACAGAGTCTTGCTCTCTCACCTAGGCTGGACTGCAGTGGTGCAATCATAACTCACTGCAACCTGGAACTCCTAGACTCAAGGGTTCCTCCTGTCTCAGCCTCCCAAGGAGGTATAGATAGATACACTTGGCTAATTTTAAAGTTATTATTATTGTTTTGTAGGGACAGGGTCTTGCTTTGTTGTCCAGGCTGGAATGCAGTGACGCAAACATAGCTCACTGCAACCTGGAACCCTGGCCTCAAGCAATCCTCCTGCCTTGACCTCTCAAAATGCTAGGCTTACAGCCATGAGCCACTATGCCTGGACTGTCTTTTTACTCAGAGTAAGCAGGGACAGGGAAGACCAGAGGGAGAGCCCTAGGACAGGCAATGTTGGCGTCTTCCCCTACCCTAGCTGCCCTGAGCCTCTTGCTGTGCAGGTCCCTCCTTAGGGAGAGGCCTGATCCCATTTTGTCATTAGTCACAAACACCACTTACTGGCCATTTGCGCTGGGCCCTGCACTGTTCCCTCAGGACTTCCTCAGTATCCTCTGTGGCAGGCACTATTGCTTCCAGTTTAACCCTGGGGGAAGCTGAGGCTCAGCAATTTTGGGCCATCAGCCCAAGCAGCACAGGAACATAGTCCAAGCTTGTCTTGAAGCTACTGGGAAGAGGAGAGGTGTCTAGGAGGATGTGCCCTCGCTTTCCTTCCCTGGGATCCCCAACCACCTAACCCCACTGCCTTTTCTTTTTTTCTTTTTCTTTTTTTTTGAGATCAAGTCGCATTCTGTTGCCTAGGCTGGAGTACGGTGGTGCGATCTCAGCTCACTACAACCTCCGCCTCTTTGGTTCAAGTGATTCTCCTGTTTCAGCCTCCCAAGTGGCTGAGATTACAGGTGTGTGCCACCATGTCTGGCTAATTTTTGTATTTTTTATTAGAGACAAGGTTTCCCCATGTTGGCCAGGCTAGTCTCAAACTCCGGACCTCAGGTGATCCTCCTGCCTTGGCCTCCCAAAGTGTTGGGATTACAGGTGTGAGCCACTACATCCGGCCCCCCACCACTTTTTGAAGAGAAGAGCCTAACAAAGGGATCAAGACTTTGTATCCTAGCATCACCATCCTCAGAACTCCATCCTAGGTATAGAAGAGTCCTTTTTAATCCCATTAACATTTCTGGCTTAGCGTCTCCTTAAATGAGTTTCATTCAACACAACATTTCATTTCCCACAATGTGGCAATCTCATCCCCTATCCCCTTTTACCTGGAACACTCCCTTTTCCCCAGCACTTAACTCAGCAGTCGCCTCCTCCAGGAGGCTCCCCCGTCCCCTCCTCTGCCCTCTGCCTTCCTCCATGGAACCCTGGCAGTCCCCCAGCTCCACAGTTGTTGCCTTGCATGGTCACCAGGGTAAGACCTTAAGGGCAGGGACACTCCACAGTGTCTGGCAAATGATGGAATGGACAGTGGCCTGGTCCATAGGCCAAGCTGGAGGCAAGGTGGCCTGTGGCCTGGAACAGTGACTCAGGCAGGAGGAATGTGGCTCAGGCTGCCTGCAGCTGCGATAAGGAGGACAGGATGGGGCTCTGCAAAGGACATCCTGCAGCAGCCAGGGGACTTTCCATGCAGAAGCACATGTGGAAACCCACAGCCTGAGAGAATCCTGGCCTGCATACTGCACAGAGTCCTTGAGGGTGAGCAAGAAGAAGACTGGAAATGCCATCCCTCTGTCACCAATCCACAGTGGGTTTGGGGAGGAGGCATGGCCAACATCCACTGGGCTGCACAGACAGTTTTATTACTACCCCACCTGGCTCCTGCCTTCTGGGGCCCTGCAGCCCATGAATTAATCCCTTTCCAGGCTAGCCTGGGGTACATCCATCCCCTTTGGCTCCTAACCCATGGAGTCAAGCCTCGGGCACATTTCTCCTACCAGCCTGGTTTGGGCCATATCTATGTAATGCTTTTGCCTTCATTTACTTAGGTTGCTCCCTTAAACAGGCTCACATTTTAAACATAACCTCTGCCTCCTAAGCAAATACTTATATTCATAAATTACTCCCACCTGAACCACCACCACTGCCACCACCCACAGGATTCCTGGGCTTCCTTGCAGCATAGATAAAAGCTTTTTTGGGCATCCACTTACCAGGCACTGGGTGGGAGCAGGCAGCAGGGCACATCCTCCCTCCTTGGAAGCAATATTTACTCAGCAATTCTCCACTCAGCAGTGTAAATCACTGTGGCTTCCCAGCAGGCATATGATCTCTGCCTGGTCGGGTTTCTCTCCCTTTTCCATGACTGAATCTGAAGCTCAAGCCCCTTTCCCCACAGCCTCTCCCACATATGCCTGGAAACTGAGGTCTGGCTCATCCTTCAGGGAGCTCCATGCTTCCCTGGTAAGGTAAAAAAAAAAAAAAAATCATCCTATTAATGCCCACAGTGATGTCATGTTGACACCGTGTACCCTTGATAGGATGTGATGAGAATGGCATTTCACCTCTGTGGTCTCCTTCCCAACACCCAATAGCCTAATTATGAGAAAAACATCAGACAAATCCCAACTGAAGGACATTCTAAAAAGTACCTGACCAGTAGTCTTCAAAACTGACAAGGCCATCAAAAATAAAGTCTGAAAAGCCGTCACGACCAAGAGAAGCTTAAGCAGACATGACAACTAAGTGAAATCTGGTGTCCTAGAAGGGACCATGGAACAGAAAAAGGACACGAAGCAAAACATAAGGAAATCTGAATAAACTATAGACTTCAGTTAATAACAACATATCACTATTGGTTCGTTAATTCTAACAAATGTGTCACACTAGTGTTATGATGTGAATAATAGGGGAAACTTGGCGTTGGAGCTGTAGAACTGTGTAGTATCTTTGTAACTTTTCTGTAAATCTGAAACTGTTTTAAATTTCAAAGTTTATTTTAAAATCATAATAAAGGTTACTGCAGGAAAGAATGGAGCAGCAATTGCTTGGTCAGGTGTCATGGAAGAAAATCTTACTCATGAATCCCAAATGCTGCCTTTCAAACTTTAGTTACGATAAAGTATCAACTAGTTACTAAGTGGGAAATCCACTTTCTTTCTTTCTTTTTTTTTTAACTGCTATTTTAACTATTACACAATCCACAAGAACTATTATTAATATGTACTTTAAAAATTCTGGTTTGACTTATTCTGATTCAAAATGTAATATATTACTTGTTAGGACTTGAACAGATTGTGAAAGTTGCTCCTACCTTAAGAAATAGTATTATTTGCAGAACACCCCTTTAAAGAGTTTTTGGAAATGACTCAGAATGCCCAGTTACTCCACCACATTCTACCCTGTAGGAATTGTGATAAAGAAGCAGTGCTTTCCGGTGATAGCTAGGTGCAATAAAACCAAACAAGTAGATTCCATACCTCATCGTGCATATGCAAAGCCTAGCCCATTCTTTCCTGCAGTAGTTGGTGAGGTTATCAATATGTGTCTGATTTTCATCCATCAAATGTTTCTTGAGCTGCCATTGTTTTATGGGGAGAGGGACGATTTGAGAAGGGGAGAGATGCTCTCAAAGGGAAATTTGGGAAGAAGCTTCTCTTGTTCTGAGTACAGATATCTCAAAATATAACATTAGTGTCTTGATTTGCATATTTGTGGTACATAACACATTGTAATACCATTCAAATTATAAAATACTTTCTCTTTTTTTTTTTTTTTTTTTTTGAGACAGGGTCTCACTCCATCACCCAGGCTGGAGTGCAGTGGTGCCATCTTGGCTCACTGCAACCTCCCTCTTCCAGGCTCAAGCAATCCTCTCACCTCAGCCTCCCTATAGCTGGACTACAGGCACGCACCACCACACCTGGATAATGTTTATATTTTTTCGTAGAGACAGGGTTTTGCCATGTTGCCCAGGCATGCCTCGAACTCCTGGGCTCAAGTGATCGGCCTGCCTCCGCCTCCCAAAGTGCTGGGACTACAGGCATGAGTCACCGCTGCACCCAGCCATAAAGAAATAAATGGAAAAAAAGTCCTGGCAACGGTCTTTGAAAAACTGAAATATACTCCATGAACCCTGTCATGCAGACCTGCCCAACTCTGCAATCTTAGCATCTCATTGTTTTGTTTTCCCTGTCATGTCTGCAGCTCATCTGTCTCTTGGGCTTCTTCCTATCTCGGTCCTGGTCCCCATCCCCTGTGTTTTACTCTTTGCCAGCTTTTTTTCTGGTTTTATGTTCTTCCTTGTCCAGAGCACGACCTTCATCTGTGTATGAGTCAACACAGAAAACCTGACCCAAAAAGGCCAGGTCCAGGAAGGGTGCAGCTCAGCTTTTACTGAGTGTCCTGTATGCTTTGTCAAGTCCTCCTTACGGGTTGTCTCATTTAGTTAGCAATGGATTTGGCATTTCAAGAGGAAACAAGGTTTAGAAGTCTCACAAAACAATCAGCCAATCAAAGAAGCCATAGAGCTACTGAGTGACTTCAACATCTCCAAACTCATTTCTGAGTATGGCCCACACTTAGAGAATGATCTGATAGTATTCATTTCTCTGGGCTGTTTCCTCATTTTCCCTTGAGTAGTAACTAGTGAATCAAAGGATCCCCGAGTTAAGCAAAATCCAACTCATCCACTCCTAGCTGAAGGTTCTAATGCTGCTCATTTCCATAAAACAAAGATTTCCCAGAGCCTGAAGTGGCTTCCTGTTGGCTACTTAAACAGCACAACATATGGTAAAATCAGACTATTAGTTTCTATAAAAAAGTTTATATATATATTAAAAAGGCCTACTACAATTTTGATTGGAATTGCATTGAACCTATAGATCAATTGGAAAAGAATGAGTATCTTAATATTGAGTTTTCTGAAACATAAACTTGACTCATCCTTCCATTTATTTAGATCTTCTTTAATTTCTCTCAGTAATGTTTTATAGTTTCCAGTATAGAAGCCTTGCGCATATTTTATCAAATTTATTCCTAAATATTTTATGGTTTTTGGTTGCTATTATAAATGGTCTTTAAAAAATTTATTTACAAGCGGTAGTATTCACTTTTGTGATATATATTTCTATGATAGATTCTCTTTTTTTTTTGAAAAACTGGGATATAAATTACATATATTAAAAAGCCTTTTAAAGTGTCCAACCCAGTGGTTTTTAATATATTCACAAGGTTGTGCAACTGTCACGACTATCTGATTTTTAGAACATTTCTATAATCCCCTCAAAGAAGCCCCCAGTCTATTAGTAGTCATTTCCCCCTCCCTCTAGCCCCTGCCAACCACTAATCTGTTTTCTGTCTCTGTGGACTGAGCTATTCTATTTATTTTGTATAAGGAGAATCATATAAATAGAATGATATAATATGTCACCTTTTGTGTCTGGCTTCTTTCACTTAGAATAATGTTTTCAAAGTTTATCTTCATTATGGCATATATCAGAATTTCATTCCTTTTTATGGTTGAATAATATTCCATTGTGTGGGTAAACCATATTTTGTTTATCCATTGTCCATCAATGACACTTGAGTTTCTCCCTCCTTTTGGCTATTATAAATAGTGCTGCTATAAACACTCATGTACAAGTGTTTGTTTGAATATTTGTTTTCAGTTCTTTTGAGTATATATCTAGGAGTGAAATTGCTGAGTCATATTATAATTCTGTGTTTAACTTTTACAGGAACCACCAAACTGTTTTCCACAGAGGCTGCATCAATTGACATTCCCACTAGCAATGGATGAGGGTTCCAATTTTTCCAGATGCTCACCAACACTTGTTAATTTTGGTTTTGTTTTCATTATGGCCATTCTGGTGGGTGTAAAGTAGCATCTCATTGTGGCTTGACTGAATTTCTCTAATGAGTAATGATGTTGAGCATTTTTCATGTGCTTATTGGCTATTTGTATATCTTTGTTGGAGAAATATCTGTTCAAGTTCTTTGGCCATTTTAAAATTGGGTTGTCTTTTTGTTGTTGAATTGTAAAGTTCTTTAGATATTCTGAATACTAGATCCTTATTAAATATATGATTTGAAAATATTTTTCCCATTTTGAATGTTGTCTTTTCATTTTTTGGATAGTGTCTTTTGGTGCACCAAACTTCAAAAATTTTTTCGAAGTCCAGTTTATCAATTTTTTATTTTGTTGCCTGTGCTTTTGGTGTCATATCCAATAAGTCATTGCCAAATCCAATGTCACAAATATATTTTTGCTGCTTTCTTGTAAGAGTTATACAGTTTTAGCTCATATGTTTAGGTCTTTGATGCATTTTGAGTTAATTTTTGTATGTAGTGTAGGATAAGGGTCTAACTTCATTCCTTTGCATGTAAATATTCCATTTTTCTGGCACCATTTGTTGTAGGAACTGTCATTTCCCCATTAAATGATTTGGCATCCTTGTCAGAAATCAATTGTCCATACATGTGAGGGTTTATTTCTGGGCTCCCAATTCTATTCCATTGGTCTATACATCTGTTCCCATGCCAGTACCACACTGTTTGATTAATGTCGATTTTTAGTAAGTTTTGAAATCAGGAAGTGTGAATCCTCCAACTTTGTTCTTTTCAAGATCATTTTGGTTATATGGGTTACCTTAAGATTCCATTTGAATTTTCGGATGGGTTTTTCTATTTTTGTAAAAAATATCATTGGGATTTTGATAGGAATTGCACTGAATCTGTAGATCGCTTTGGGTAGTACTATCATATTAACAATATTAAGTCTTCCAAGCCATAAACATGGACTGTCTTTCCATTTATTTAGATTTTCTTTAATTTCTTTCAGCAATGTTTTGCAGTATTCAGTGTACAAGTCTTTTGCCTCCTTTGTTAAATTTATTCCTAAGGATGCTATTCTTTCTGATGCTAGTAAAATAGTTTTCCTAATTTCATTTTCAGATCATGCATAACCACCACCATAAACATGATTCCAACACCCCAGAGTATTCCCTCAGTCTGACCTTTTGTAAAGTGGTGCTTTTTAAAATTTAATTTTCCAATTGCTTGTTGCTAGTGTATAGAAATACGACTGATACTTTTATATTGGCCTTGTATCCTGAGACCCTGTAAATTCACTTATTAGTTCTAGACAGTTTTAATTCTTTCTTTCCAATCTTTATGCCTATTATTTCTGTTTTGTTTTGTTTTTTAAACAGGGTTTGGCTCTGTCACCCAGGCTGGAGTGCAGTGGCTTGATTCCAACTCACTGCACCCTCGACCTCCTGGGCTCAAGTCATCCTCCCACCTCAGCCTTCCAAGTAGCTGGGACTACAAGCATGAGCCACCACACCCAGCTAATTTTTTTTCTTTTCTTTTTCTTTTTTTTTTTTTTTGGAGGGTGCAGGGAGCAGAGTCTTGCTCTGTTGCCCAGGCTGGTCTCAAATTCCTGAGCTCAAGTAATTCATACACCTTGGCCTCCCAAAGTGCTAGGATTACAGGCATGAGTCACCTTGCCTGACTATTACTTCTTTTTTTGAGACAGTCTTGCTCTGTTGCCAGGCTGGAGTGCAGTGGCATGATCTCGGCTCACTGCAACCTCCGCCTCATGGGTTCAAGCGATTCTCCTGCCTCAGCCTCCCAGGTAGCTGGGACTACAGATGCATGCCACCACACCAAGCTAATTTTTAGATTTTTAGTAGAGATGGGGTTTCACCATGTTGGCCAGGATGGTCTCGATCTCTTGACCTCATGATCCACCTGCCTCAGCCTCCCAACATGCTGGGATTACAGGCGTGAGCCACTGCACCCGGCCTATTATTCCTTTTTTTGCCCTATTGTCCCAGTGGATAGTGATGTCCAGTAGAGCGTTGAATCAAAGTGGTAAAATTGTGCGTCCTTGCCTTGTTCTCCACGTTAAGGTGAAATTTTGAAGATTTCATTATTACATATGATGTAAGCTGTAGGTTTTTATTTATTTATTTATTTAGAGACAGGGTCTTGCTCTGTCACCCAGGCTGGAGTACAGTGGCATGATCCACTGTAGCCTTGACCTCCCAGTCTCAAGCAGTCCTCCCACCTCAGCCTCCCAAATAGCTGAGACCACAGGCACATGCCACCATACCCTGCTAATTTTTTATTTTTTGTAGACATGGGGTCTTACTATCTTGACCAGGCTGGTCTCAAACTCATGGGCTCAAATCATCCTCCTGCCTCAGCCTCCCAAAGTGCTGGGATTACAGGCATGAGCCACTGCACCTGGCCTAACTGTGGGCTTTTTTTGAAATGTCTTTTTCAGGTTGAGGAAGGTCCCTTCTATTCCTAGTGTACTGAGAGTTTGTATCATGAAAAGGTATTGAATTTTGTCAAATGTTGTTCCTGTGTCTATTGAGATGGCTGTATGGGTTTTCTCTTTTTTCTGATAATGTGATGAATTATATGGATTTATTAATATTGAAATAATAAAATGACACTGCATTCTTCGGAAAAACTTCACTTGGTCATGTTGTGTTATTCTTTTTAAAAAATGCTGGGTTCAATTTGCTAATATTTTGTTAAAGGATTTTTGTGTCTATATTCATGAGGAATATTGGTCTGTGGTTTTCTTTTCTTGTAATGTTTTTTGTCTGGTTATGGTACTAGGATTGTGCTGGCCAAAACATTTAAAAATTGGGAAATGATTTCCTCCTCCCCTATTTTCTGAAACAGTTTATGTGCAATTGGTATAATTTCTGCATTGCAAGTTTGATAGAATTTAGTAGAGCCATCTGTGACTGAAGTTTCCTTGCAAGTAATTGCACATTCAATTTTTTAAATCAACTTGGAGATTTTCAGATTTTCTATTTCTTCCTGTGTCAGTTTTGTTATGTCGTTTTTTTAAGGTATCATAAATATGTTTAATATACTTGCTTGGCATCCATCTTTAGGCCTTACATAAGTTGTTTGAAACCCAGCCATTCCCCACCTCCTTTAGCCTAGTTAAAACTTCCCCTTCCTGTGATGGTTATTTCTGATATAGCCCACTTGTTCTTCATCCCACTGACCCCAAATCCCACACACCTCATAGCTGCTAACCGTGATAAAACCTAATGATCAACACCAGAGTCATGAAAGTAAGTTCCCCTCTTTGCACATATTTTCTTTAAATTAGATAATCCACAATCCCTGTGAGAAAGCCTAAAGGGTAACACCTATGGACCTTAATATAGGCATAGCCTCATAGGTCCTCCCTCCTACCCTTTTCCCTCTCCTTATCCTTCCCCATTTCCCTCTCCCTCTTCCCCATCACTTGCTGGTTGAGCTCCCTACTACCTCTACACTTCCCATCAGCCTCCCATCAGCACCCCTAACTTCCCTGGGAACTATAAGTAATAAATTCCTTCTATCTCATGCATTTTTGGTTACACTTCTTCATCGTGCCTCACCTGACACACACACTTGAACCTAACTTTACCCTAGTCAAGGCTCTCCTAGACAGTGGATATCTTGGCTTACGGCCAACTTTCCAGAGACAGCCCTCAAAACCAAATTAGATCAGGTGCAGCGGCTTACACCTGTAATCCCAGCACTTTGAGAGGCCAAGGCAGGCAGACCATTTGTGGTCAGAAGTTCAAGACCATTCTGGGCAATAGAGCAAGACCCTGTCTCTACCAAAAAAAAAAAAAAAAAAAATACAGCACAAGGAATTTGCCTATCTTGTCTAAGTCGTCAGTATTCTTGAGGATAAAGTTGTTCAAAATCCTTTATTTAATGTTTCCATGTCTGCAGCATTGCCAATAATAACCTCCTTTTGTTCCTGATGTTTGGAATTTATTTTCTATCTTGTTAACTTGCTCAGTCTGATGTCATTTTCTATCAGCCTTAATTAAGGATTTTCTTTACCATTTCTTGGAGTGCAAATCTGCTACAGATGACTCCTTTTGTTTATCCAAAATGCTTTTATTTTTGCCTTGATCTTTAAAAGATATTTTAGTAGTTTATAGATTCTGGGTTGCAAGTGTTTTTCTTTCAGCACTTTAAAGATTTTGTTCCATTGCCCTCTGGCATTCGTTGTTTCTGATGAGATGTCAGCCCTAATTTTTTTTATGTATATAAAGTGTCTTTTTTTCCTTTGGCTACTTGAAAGATTTTTGTATTTAACTTAGGCTTTTCAGCATTTTGATTATAAAGTGCCTGGATGTGATTTTCCTTGTATTTATTCTGCCGTGACTTGCTCAGCTTCTTGGGTCTGTGGGCTTATGTTTGTCTTTGTGAACTATCATGAAAAGCTTGGCTGCCTCTCATTCACATAGTCTTCCTCTGTGGCCAGCCTGCTCTTCAGCAGACTAGGTGCTGGCCTCCACTGGGCCTTTTGACTCAACCATGACGGGCTCATCACCACCTGAAATTCAGTTAATCAGGGCTTCTTTGCATCTGCCACTTACTCACCAAATGGAAAATTATGATTTTTGTTTCCTCTAGTTTTATCTTGTGACCATGATGGTGAAAACCTTTTGCGTTCTTCCTCCTAACTCTGAAGGAGAATTCCTGGCATTTTCTTATCCTCCTCATTCTGTATACATGGAGGGATTGTACTTTCTACCTTATAAAAGTGAGGTGTGGCCATGTGACTTGATTAACCAATGAAATGTGAAGGGCATGAAGTATCCTCTTTCTGGGCAGAATATTTAAGCCTTGTGTGTGATTGGGCACCATCACTTCTCTCTGTGTGATCAGCTAATAACAGCCCCCCAGAGAAATCCACATGTTAGTCTCTAGAATTTGTGAATATGTTACTTTACTTGGCGATAAGTATGCTGCAAATGTGATTAAGAATCTTGAGATAGGCAGATTATCCTTGATTATCCAAGTGGGTTCAACATCATTACAAGAGTCCTCATAAGAGAAAGTAGAAGAGTAAGAGAATAAGAGTAACAGAATAAGAGAAGATATGACCTTGGAAGCAGAAGTTGGAGAAGGAGAATTTGGAGAAAGAGAAGACGCTACATTGCTAGTTCTGAATATGGAGGGTGGAGTACTGAAACAAGGAATGCAGGTGGTCTCTAGAAGATAGAAAAGACAATAAAAAGGATTCTCTCCTAGGGCCTCCAGAAGAAAGACAGCCCTGCCAACATCTCTTTATTTTATTTTATTTTATTTTTGTTTTTTTTGTTTGAGAGAGAGTCTTGCTCTGTCTCCCAGGCTGGAGTGCAGTGGCATGATCTCTGTTCACTGCAACCTCTGCCTCCCAGGTTTAAGCGATTCTCCTGCCTCAGCCTCCCTAGTAGCTGGATTACAGGCATGTGCCACCATGCCTGGCTAATTTTGGTATTTTTGGTAGAGATGGGGTTTTGCCATGTTGGCTAGGCTGGTCTCGAACTCCTGACCTCAAGTGATCCACCTGCCTCCGCTTCCCAGAGTCCTGGTATTATATACATGAGCCACCATGCACAGCCCCAGCATCTCGATTTTAGTTCAGTGAGGCCCAATTCAGACATTGACCTCTACAACTATATATAATACATTTCTGTTGCTTTAAGCCACTTAAATTTGACATTAATTTGTTACAGCAGCAATAGGAAACAAATATATGCTGTCATGAGAACAGCAATGCTCCTGGTGGGAAAGGCTCTGTCACCTGCACTCCTGAAGGCAGGTGACACTCAGCAAAGCAGAGCCCCCACCTGACCATGGTGGATGGAGTATGAGCAAAAAATGGGGCTTTGGAGGTCTGGGCGCAGTGACTCAAGCCTGTAATCCCAGCGCTTTGGAAGGCTAAGGCAGGCAGATCACTTGAGGCCAGAAGTTCAAGACCAGCCTGGCCAACATAGTGAAACACGTCTCTACTAAAAATACAAAAATTAGCTGGGCAAGGTTGTGCTTGCTTGTGATCCCAGCTACTCGGGAGGCTGAAGCAGGAGAATCGCTTGAACCTGGGAGGGGGAGGTTGCAATTAGCCAAGATCGCACCACTGCACGCCAGCCTAGGTAACAGTGTGAGACTCTGTCTCAAAAAAAAAAAGCAAAGACAAAAGGAAATAAGGCTTTGTTTTTTTTAAGCAACCGAGATTTTGCAGATGTTTGCTTTTATAGCATAGCTACATGTCAATACAAATACCATCAAATACCATGTAAAGAATTTAAATCTATCTAACTTTGCTGTGGGACTTGAAAATTTTTTTTCAATGGGCCCTGAACCTTTTTTCAGGCCCTAGAAGTGATGAAGTATTGGATTATTCTGGCAGGAATCTTACAAATGGTTGAGAATGTATAAACCAAAAAGTACTCAAGACAAGTCTCAATCAGTTTAGAAGTTTATTTTGCAAGATTGAGGATGCACGCCCAGGAGACAGGTCTGTGCCTTTCTTCAAAGGTGATTTTGAGAGTTTCAATATTTAAAGGAGAAAGGGCAGATATTGGGGAAAGAGGAAGAAATTTTAAAAAGCTGTAGGTAGATAAGAGTCAAACGATTGTTCTTTTGAGTCTTTGATCAGCTGTCCACATGTGAGAAGGGTAGAGGAATAGTCACTTATGCATTCATCCAGCTCAGTGAATCTGCATTTTTACATAAGATGAAATAAGCATAGGGCAGAGGAAGAATCAGGTATGCATTTGTCTCAGGTAAGCAGAGAGATGACTTTGAGTTCTGTCCTTCGTCCCATACCCATGAAGATAAGCTATCAATTCACTTTGTCAGGGTGAAATTCAACAGAACTGTTCTAGGGTAAAGATCTTGGGGCCCGTGAGAAATTTCCTAGTGGGCAAATTATGAGGGAGATAGGTTTGCATGACACAGTTTCCAGCTTGACTTTTCCCTTTGGCTTAGTGAGTTTGGGATCCTGAGGTTTATTTTCCTTTCATAAATTAACTCAGCAAGTTGGTTGGGGACTTTGTGTGTTGTGGCTCCTCAGTTCCATAGGGGATAAATACAGAGATTTATGATGTTCTGCTGCTTCTCTCAGGGAGTGGGTAGTTTAACTGGAGGGAGAATCTGTGGATGCATGAAGCCCAGGGAGCAATAGGTGGTATGGATTTAAGTCACTTCAGAGGGCCCTGATAACAGTGAAGAAAAGTTACTATGGGGAAAAAAAAACTTGGTGCAAGAAGATAGCCTCTCTTAATCAGTAATAAGTTTTATCAAATGTTGCTCTTCAGCGGGTCAGAGAGCTACAGTCTCCATTTTACTTTATTTCAGAACAAGTCAAATGACAAAAACAAAACACCAGGCTGAAATCATAGGCTTCTACAAGCAGGTATGCTTCAGGGTTTGTCCTGGGGCCAGTGTACATATAACCCTGTATTTCCTTTGCTTATCTGTAGAACAGAGTGGTAAATGTTCTCAAAGACCACCTTATGATTCTATAGTATTGTAATAAGGACTTGGCAGTTTGCAGAAGGATAAAACATTCATTGCACTGGATCCTAAGGTAGCGAGGAATGCATTACATTTTTTAGAGATTTCTCCCATAATCATAGGATACAAATCCTCAAAAAGATCTAATGGATCATGGAATCTAATGCCCTATGAGGACCAGAGGGTCCAGAAAAACCCCGGGGGTGGGAGTTGTCTTCTAGGTTCTGAGATGAATAATTCCAGGGGCTGCATGGCACCGGGTTGGGGATGAAGACAGCCAGCCGAGTGAGAAAGAGTGTGAACCAGGGCCCTCAAGGCAAGAGATAGATTAAGCAGAGACAAGGGAGGAATGCCCTAGGGAGAAGAAGAGGGGTCCTTAGCATGACCGTGGGTTGGGTCCATTGTCACAAAGCCTGTTCTGTCTCCAGGTGCCTGGACTTGGAGAACCAGGAGGTGAGGGGACTGACTACTTGAAGATCACATGGAGGAGGAGTCTGATCCAGGCCCAGGTGGGCATCCATCCTCTTCCTTCTTGGCCCAGTGAAGACTATCCGTGGACCCCCATTTACAAGCCTTGGGGGCCTTTGCACTAGCTCTTCTTTCTGGTTGTAAACCTCTTACTGCACACGCCCTTGGCTCACAATAGCGCCTCCTTCTTTTCTCGATTGTCACCTCCCACACGAGGATTCCCTGACCACAGCTGTACCTGACCCATCTACCTTGCCACTGCCCATTCTTTTTTTTTGAGGAGGGGACTGGGGGACACAGTTTCACTCTTTCGTTCATGCTGAAGTGCAGTGGTGCAATCTTGGCTCACTGAAAGCTCTGCCTCCCAGGTTCAAGTGATTCTCTTGCCTCAGCCGACCCAGTAGCTGGGATTACAGGCGAGCACCACCACACCCGGCTAATTTTTGTGTTATTAGTAGAGACAGGATTTCACCATGTTGGCCAGGCTGGTCTCGAACTCCTGACCTCAAGTGATCCCCCCAACTCAGTCTCCTAATGTGCTGAGATTACAGGCATGAGCCACTGCGCCTGGCACCACTGCCCATTCTTCTCTTCTTTTTCCTTTTCTGTCTTTTCTTTTTCCAGGGCATCTCTCCCTTCTTCCAGCACGCAGTGCAATTTTCTTTACTCTGCTGGTGGCTCATTGTCTATCTCTTCCCAATAAAGTGCAAACTCACAGGGTGGGGACCCTCTGGTTTGCTCACTGATGGTCTCTAGTGCTGTACCTGCCTGGCACAGCTTGGGGCTCCCTAAGAACCTGCTGAATGGACAAAAGGGACATTTTCAAATATTAACCTGTTGAAAACAGCTTATTCCATATCCAGTTCAGGTAACTAAGGAGGTAGTATACTTTATATACTATCGTGACTTAAATTAGGGCTGCCAATGCTATGTGGGAGAATCCTGATACCTATTTGTGGCCTCCAACTAAATCATTCTTTTCCTTTTTTTTTTTTTTTTTTTTTCTTTGAGACAGTCTTGCTCTGTTGCCCAGGCTGGAATACAGTGGCATGATCTCAGCTCACTGCAACCTCTGCCCCCCAGGTTCAAGCAATTCTCATGCATCAGCCTCCCAAGAAGCTGGGACTGACTACAGGCATGCACCACCACACCCAGCTAATTTTTGTGTCTAACAGGATTTCGCCATGTTGACCAGGATGGTTTCAAACTCCTGACCTCAAGTGATCCACCTGCCTCGGCCTCCCAGAGTGCTGGGATTATAGGCGTGAGCCACCGCACCTGACCTAAATCATTTTTTATTTTTTTAAGAATATCGTGACTTGACCAAAGGCTTGAGTCTTCTTTGCTCCCTCCTGCTAGGTGTGGAAGCAGATATCCCCTCCATGGCTGGGTGAGTGGGCTGCAGAGGATCTAGGTTGTCATCCCTACCCCCACAGGAGTCAGGGCAGGGGTCACACATTTCTGTTTAAGCTTCTTCTTGGGTTATCCCTCACAGAGGGACAGGAGAGCAAGGAGCTCAGTGTTACAGCATCCACTCCCCCAACCGCCCCCCACCTCCCTCCCTCCCCACAATACACACACCCCTACAGAGAGCCTCTGGGGACATACTGCTCAGACATCTGCCACAATATGTGTCACCCCCTCACTGGGCTCCCCCAGTGTAAAAGGACAGGCACTGCAACTCCTGTCCCATCCATACTTAGGGGCATTGCCAGAGGCCAGGACCAGAGGACTTTGGACACGGTGAGACCCAAGATGCTGAATCTCGCTGTCAATTTAGGATCTGTTTGCAGCCTCCCAAGGTCATGCCCAATTGCTGGAAGAACTCATGGCTACAACTCTCTCTCTCACACACACACACACACACACACACACACACACACACACACCATGGCCTCTTTCCTGAAGCAGGTGGCTCTCCCTCTGGTCTGCAACAGCTTCTAAGTTTGCCGAGCTGCCCTGCACTTCCAACCCACATGCTGGCTTGCTCTCCATTCAGCAGCAGCAAGAGCAGCAGGCCTCTAATTTTGGTTGCTAGACACGTTGTGGATCTTTCAGAGTCTGGGTTTAGAGACAGACACCAGGGAGGCACAGTGCCAGAGACAGAGATGGCAGCTGGGATTGCCAACCCAGGGGCGGGCTTCCCATGGTGCCATGAAAAAGCGAGGAGACAAATCTCTTTATGCCTCTGCCTCCCTTCCCTTCTCCTTCCACTTCTTCTCAGACTCCACGTACGGCATCTCATGCAGGTGCCACAGCAGCCCTGCATAGCATTTGCTGTATCATCCCCATTGCACCAGGGAGGGAAGGAAACAGAGGATGCCTGGTCTTTTCATATACCATCCACGATACACCGATGGCCCACCTCTCCTTCTGTCCAGCTCTCAAGCCTAAGGGCCAGCACACAGCTCCTGTGTCTGCACATCAACCTTGGTGGGAGCTGTAGCTTGATTTGGAAGGAACCTGCATAGCATAACATCCCACATTCTTAGCTGAGTCTTTGCCAGGGCAGGGGTACTCAAGGTACCCTGACTTCTTTATGGCCCAGTCCCCACCCAGAGCAGTGACTGACGTGGTGCATGAGCAGACCTTAACCAAATTGATGCCCAAGGAATCCTTGGCCTTTACTTAGGAAAGTCGAACACCGTTTCCTGGGGAGCTGCTGTGGACTGACTTGTGTTACCCCAAAATTCATATGTTGAAGCCCTAACCCCAAATGTGACTGTATTTGGAGATAGGGCCTATAAGGAGGTGATTAAGGTTAAGTGAAGACGGGGTGCTGATAGGATTTGCGTCATTATAAGAGAGCTTGTTCTCTCTGTCTCTCTCTCTCCCCTCTCTCTCCCCCCCCCCCTCTCTCTCTGTCACTCTCTGTCTTTGCTTATGTGTGCAGGCACCAAGGAAAGGCCATGCAAGGACACAGGGAGAAGGGCAGCTGTCTGTAAGCCAGAAAGAGCCTTCACTAGAAACCAAATCAGCCAGAACCTTCATCTTGGACTTTCCAGCCTTCAGAGATGTGAAAAAATAAATTTCTGTTGATTAACCTACCCAGTCTATGGTATTTTGGTAAGGCAGCCCAAGTAGACTAACATAGGAGCCACTATGAGCCTGGCCCAGTATGGCCTGGCCCATAAATCCAGGCTCTGGGGCCTCTGATGGACTCTGAAGACAATGGTCTTCCCTGTGGTTCTTGACCCAGGGCTGCAGGCCTGGGCAGGCACCTGCGTTTCCTCCCATCCACGTCCTGCACTGCTCACTAAGCATTTATAGTTTAGTCTTTGAAGACTTCCTGGAAATGACTTCTGCTTTTCTTCCACAAATTGATAATCTTCCCCAGAGATTGTACTGAAGCCTGCAATGAAACTTCCTCAGACCCTCACCTTCTGCCCTAAGACACTGTAAAGAGACCACAGTGATTGCTCCCTGTAGTTCCCATGATGCTCTGGAAGGAAGCCCAGGGCTGCCAGGACAGGTCCGGGTGGCACTTGGTATCGTGTGGGTTGGGGCAGGGGCAGGCTTGGGCTCGGGTTGGAGAGTAACACTGAGGTCTGCACCCTGGCATAGGCCACTCCCTGGTCCCAGACACACTCCCCTTCCTCCAGTTGCCCAGGAATGAGTCGTGGCTCTCTGCAGAGCATGGCGATATACTGCACTGAGTCTGTACCTCTGTCTCCACTATAAAGGAGGCTGATGCTTCTGGGCCGAGACCTCATTGGTTCAGTTAGTTTAATGGATTCAGCTTAGCGTGGGAGGAGAAGGGAAAAGAAAAGGAGGGATAACACGGGGGAGAGAAAAAGGCAGGGGAGAAAAGTGGGGAACAGGAGTTGCAGGAGTGAAAGCACAGTGACCTCCAAATCCCACAGTACAAGGCTAGGAGGGGACACAGACCTCTGCACTCAGTGATACTCAAGCCATCTCTCCAGTCTTTGGTTTCGTCTTCAGATAATGAGACATGTGAGTTCCCAACACCCAGAGCCACCGTGCTCCAGACATCCACCACACTGATCGAAGCACATGGGCTTTACTGCTGGGGCCAAATAGCAGACAGGAAGAGGGCTTATAGACACAAAGCCTCTTAGAGCCTCGGCTCACTTTAGATTGTTTGTGATTTTTTTTTCAGCCTAGCATGTTTTTTAAAAAGCAGCACAATAATCGGGCTAACATCATCTGGCATTAGTGGGAACACTATAAATATTTCTATTTTGAGTCAGGCCAAAACATTATTTTACAATATCATTTAATCATTTCTTCCAGCATTCACCTAATTACTACAAATGTCAAGCAAATGTTTGAAATGAAAGGAACTGATATGTTAAGAAATAAATAAATTTATGGTAATAACAACCACCCCCAGTCAGGCTAAGTACCTAAGGTTCTGGATTTCTTCCAGGGGCTTCCACAGAGCCCAGGAATGTTTTTGCCATTCACTTATACAGCTGAGCTGACCAGTTGCTGTGACAGGGAGCTTTGTTGATTTGGTTTTCACTTTTCAGCATGAAATACAGTTCTGTTTTGATTCTCCCGCCTCTAGGGGTCTCTGAATGTTTCTAACTAGAATGTTTCTGCTCATTTGCAAAAAGTCTTGCTCCCCTGGGACTGGTGGGTGCCTGGAACTGCTGGTGAGGTGAGGGTCTGCTTGGACCACAGCTCTGCTTGGTCATCCCACAACTCAGGAGTGTTTCTGGAGTTAGAACTTTCCTGAGGTGATAAGTTTTCACGAAAGATAGCACTAACTTGACTTTTGAACTCAATGTGATTTTCTTGTAAATCTAGCAAAGTGCTTCATCTGGGGAATTCTTGCACAGATTCTGTCTTGTCATCATCACCGCATTACGCAGTTTGTGGGCATGTTGACTTTTGTGTGCGCTGGTGATTCCAGCAAGCTTTCCCCTGATATACGAACACTGGTCAGACGTCTGACTTCATATCTGGTGTCTGCATCAGTGCTTCTAAAAAGCAAGCAGGTGAAAGGTATCAGATGTTTGGGGAAGGGGCTAGGGGCCGAGGAGAGTACAGTTCAAAATAAAATAGCCACAGCTTCCTTAAAAAGTAAATACGTAGGGCTGGGTGCAGTGGCTCACACCTGTAATCCCAGTGCTTTGAGAGTCTGAGGCAGGAGGATTGTTGGAAGCCAGGAGTTCAAACAATCTGGGCAATAAAGCAAGACTCAGTCTCCATAAAAAAATTTTAAAATTAGCCAGGTACAGTGGCATGTGCCTGTAGTCCCAGCTACTTAGGAGGCTCAGTTGGAAGGATCACTTGAGCTCAGGAGTTTGGGTCTCCAGTGAGCTATGATGGCACCACTGCACTCCAGCCTGGGTGACAGTGAGACCCTGTCTCTAAAAAACAAAAATTTTTAAAGTAACTATGCAACTAATAGGTGATCCAGCAATTGTTGTCTTAGGCATTTATCCCAGATAAATGGAAACTTGTATTCAGATTAAAGCATACACATGAATTTTCATAGCAGCTTTATCTATAATGGCCCCAAACTAGAAACAATCTAGCCGTCTTCCAGTTGCAGCATGGTTAAACAAACTGTGGTACATCCATACCATGAAATAGTACTCAGCAATAAAAAGAAACTGACTATGGATACACACAACAACCTGATAAATCTCCAGGATTTATTCTGAGTGAAAAAAGTCAATCCCCAAAGTTTGCATACTACATGATTCCGTTTATGTAACATTTTTGAAATGACAAAATCATAGAAATGGAGAAGAGGTGATGGGTTACCAGGGTTTATGGAGGGAGTGGTGCAGGAGCAAAGTGTTTGGCTAAAAATTGGAGACATGGGAATCCTTGCGGTGGTGGAAATACCTGGTGTCTTAACTGTATCAATGTCAATATCCGGGTTGTGCCATTGTACATAGGTTTACAAGATTACCACTGGGGGAAACTGGGTAAAGTGTACCAGGTATCTTTCTGCATTCTTACAACTGCATGTGAATCTTCAGTTATCTCACAATAAAAACTTTAATTTTTAAAAAATAGGGTGGCCAAGGTGGGCTCACTGAGAGGGTGATATTTCAGCTAATACTTGAAAGAGGTGAAAGAGATGGCCGTGCAGGTATCTGGGGAGACAGTGTCCCTGGCAGAGGCCCCAATTCAGGTGAGCACCTGGCCTGCTCAGTGGCACTAAGGAATTGGTGTGATGAACAAGGTGATGCATCAGGGACATAGCTGGGGCTGGACCCAGGGGCCCCAGTAGGCATGGTAAGGTCCTGGGCTTTTACTATTAGTGGTCTGGGGAGCCTCAGAGGGTTCTGAACAGCAGAGTGATGTGGGCTGACTTCGGTTTCAACAGATTCCTCTGGCTGCTGAGTAACTAGACTACAGGGGCCCATGGGGGACAAAGCTGGCATCACTGTTAGACAGTTCACCACAAGTGGGCAAGCAAGTAAAATAGTGAGGAATAATAATGAATGTTATGAGACAAGCAAAGAACGGGCTGGGGAGGATGCATATGGGGAGGGGAGACAACGTCGCTCCCTTAAGGAAGAAGGTGACACTTAGGCGAGGCACAAAGTAGGAGAAAGAGCCGGGTTAGAGAGTTCCCAGTGGAGGCAACAGCCTGTGCAAGAGCCCTGAACAGTGTGGGGAGGAGGAAAGACAGGGTCCAGAGACGGAGTCACTTGCCACCATCGTCACCGGTCAGCCATCCCTGCTTGGCCTCTCCCAAGGATAGCACTTTGCATCCAGGGCACTGGCCTCACACTCCTGCCGTTTTCCTCAGAGTCACAGAGCCAGGTCTGGATAGCACTTCGCTAGGGGCCCAAGAACAGCCCTGATTTCACAGTGAGCATGAGTTATACCTTCCTCTGTGAGGGTGAGAAGTTGTGGGAAAAATGAAACTCAATCTATTAAATGTGTCTGCTTCCCAAAGCTTCAAACCCACACATGGCAGGACCTGGTAGCCCAGGAGAGAAGGACAGGGCAGGTGGGCTTTTGTCCCAGATAGCAGACACAGGACTGCTATCTTGGATATGTAGAAGTCAAAGTCGGAGTGAACAGACTTTAACAAAATATGCATATCATGTTTATCAGTTTTCTGGGGCCGCTGTAACAAAGCACCACAAACTGGCTGGGCTGAAATGACAGAAACTTATTCTCTCAGTTCTGAAGACTAAATGTCTAAAACCAAGGTACAATCAGGGCATACCCTCCCTAAAGTTCTTAGGGGTGGATCCTTCCTTGCTTCTCCCAAATTCTGATAGCCCCAGGTATTCCTTGGCTTATGGTAACATAAGTCCAATCTCAGCCTCCATTTTCACACACTGGCCTCTCTCTGTGTCTTCGCATCACATCATCTTCCTTTTTTTTATTTATTTATTTTTATTTATTTTTATTTTATTTTATTTTTGAGATGGGGTTTCACTCTTGTTGCCCAGGCTAGAGTGTAATGGCGCAATCTCAGCTCACTGCAACCTCCGCCTCCCAGGTTCAAGCAATTCTCCTGCCTCAGCCTCCCGGGTAGCTGGGATTACAGACACCTGCCACCACGCCCAGCTAATTTTTTTGTATTTTTAGTAGAGATGGGGTTTCACCATGTTGGCCAGGCTGGTCTCGAACTCCTGACCTCAGGTGATCCACCCACCTCGGCCTCGCAAAGTGCTGGGATTACAGGCATGAGCCACACCGCCCGGCCTCTTCCCTCTTCTTATAAGGACACCAGTCATATTAAATTAGGGCCCACCCTAATGACCTCATTTTCACTAATTACATCTGCAATGACCTTATATCCAAATAAGGTCACACTCTGAGGTACTGGGGGTAGGACTTCAGTGGATCCTTTTGGAGAACATAGTTCTGACCATAGTCATGTCACACCAGGAAAGAGACAGTGATGAGAAAGGACTGGCAGCTTTTGCTTTGCGGGATCAAGTCACAGATTTTGCTCCAGAGAAGCCATTCTGAGCTCATGTCCACACCCTGGGTCTGCTGACTCTGAATCACTCCCACTAATACCTTTAAAAATATGCTTCAATCTGAGTGCTTCTGTTATTGATTTTGTGTAAAACTTATTTTTATGCTCTTAAGCCAGGAAATTTTTGTTAGAGGTACACTGCTTTACAGGCACACAAGGCTGAATGACTGGTCTTTTATCCCTTCCTCTGCCATGGCCACAACACCTCCCAGTTGGGAAGTAAGTGGGGGTAGATAAGGCCAGGACAGATTCTGGAAGGCCCAGGAAGCCAGGGGAACTTGGACTGGCTTAGGGAGGCAGTAGGGAGCCATTCAGGTCCCCAGCAGGGGAGTGATATGGGAGACACAGAGTTCCCAGGGCTGGGCAGGGCAGGATGAAGGAGACAAAACAGGGCAGTGAAGTGTAAATGACAGGAGCAGGAATTAAGCCATCAAGATGAAGTTGCAAGCATATTATCTGATATTTTCAGACTTGGGGAGACAAAGATGAACCTGAAGCTCCTCTTTGGGAGACAGTGAGACTCAGGGAACGATGTGTTGTCAGTGATAAAAACGAGGGCATGCAGGAAAAATAGGGAAGGAGAGCTTTAAGAAGAAGGGGAAGCTTAATGGCTTCAAACTTCATCTGAAGGCAAGTGTGTGGTGGTTCTTGAAGAAAAACCTTCTTCTTCAGATGTCTTCTTCCTCCTCTTCACAGATGGCTCTTTGCTCTGCTTCCAGGATCCTGGATGTCTCAGTCTCCCCAGGTGATCATGTGGCCTCAGAAGCCAGAGCTAGATGTGCTCCTGATCTTGTAGCCCCTCGTCCTATGCCTCATCAAAACCAGGGGTCATTGGAATGGACTGAAGAAGGAGAAAACTAGAAAGGATCTGAGGGAAGTGGTCTGGCTGAAAGCTTGACGTGGACAGAGTCCTGGCTCTCAGGCAGACACTTAAATTCTCCTGGTGCTGCAGACATCACAGCTGAATCCATTTAAAAGAGGATGGCAAATATATAAATCATGACCTCAAAATTCCTTCAATCTCTCACAGGACACCAGGGAAATATTTTATTATCCCTCAATAACAACCAGGGTCAGGAATAAATTTGGAATTCTTTAATTTAGGCTCCAGTTCATTTGCTAAATTAAATGCTTGAAATAATTTCCTGCTATGAAAATATGAGACTCTTACTATTCAGATAAATAGACTTTTCAAATCAAAGGCTTGAAATCTTAAGAATTATCTCAAAATGCCTTTTGAAAAACCTTTTCTGTTTTGGATCATAAAATGTCAAAGGCACACTATCATGAACCACAGTTTCTCTAAATTTAGCTTTACTTATTAGTATGCAGTCATATCTAAGTTAATAAGATGTCATGCTTAAAATAATAAAATCCATTTCTTTGGAAATATACTGTATATAGATGGGACTACCAGCTATGAAGGAGTGAAGCGGTTAACAAATCCTCTCCCTGCAAAGCAATTATAAAGCTGGACAAAATTGTCGAAAACAATTATTTCAGGGCTCTGGAAATTGACAAGGGGCAAGCAAATTGAGAAATTTATGTTCTCAAGAAACTATGGAGATTCAAGTAAACACAGTGGAAATACATGGCATTCTTGCTGAAACTGCCTCCACCAGTCAACATGGTTGTTTGACCTGGACAGCACAGGCCTTCACTTGATTTGAAGTGAAAAGTAGAAACCCACAGTCAGCAGCAAGTGGGAAAAGCTTGCAGATTTCCTAGACTGAAGTTGCAATCCTGGTTGGGATGAGCAGTATTGAACTAACCAGAAATTTAACAGGAAGGTCGTGGAAATGAACTAGCATTGAGAGCTTGACAAGCATTCCATATCCCTGTCTGTCTGGGAACCTGTATGCATGCACAGTGGAGACCCAAGAGGGCCCAGTGTTAACATAACACCTAGGGCAGAGATGAAAACTGGCCCAAATTTGAATACATTTCCCATTTCAATCACAGATCCACCAGTGGCAAAGTATGGTATTTGAACACAATTTCTGACCAGTTTTTGAGTGCTCATTAAGCTGTGCAGACACAAAGGTGACCCATAAGAAGCCAACCCTTCCACCTGTGCAAAAAAACAAGTAAGAATTTTTTTTTTTTTTTGGGAGATGGAGTTTCACTCTTTCACCCAGGCTAGAGTGAAGTGGCAGGATCTTGGCTCACTGCAACCTCCGCTCGCCCTCCCAGCCCCCACTCCCCGGGTTCAAGCTATTCTCCTGCCTCAGCCCCCTGAGTATCTGGGATTATAGGCACCCACCACCCACCACCACACCCAGCTAATTTTTGTATTTTTATTTTTAGTAGAGACGGGGTTTCGCCATGTTGGCCAGGCTGGTCTTGAACTCCTGACCTCAGGTGATCCACCTTCCTCGGCCTCTCAAAGTGCTAGGATAACAGGTGTGAGCTACCACGCCCAGCCAACAAATAAGAATTTTTTTAAAAAAACTGATCAGGGATATCAGCAGATGCACACTGAAGGGTAACAGATTCTGCAGATCAAGTCCAGGCAAGTTATAAACTAATATAAGGTAGCAACAACCAAGACTCTCTGAGGTTGAAAGGAAAAATGAATCCAGAGTTCTTATGATATATTATCTAAAATATGAAATTTTCAATAAAAGTTTATGAGTCATAGAAAAAAAATGAAGAAAGTATTATCCATACTAGGGGGTGGAGTGGAGGGCAGGAGAGACGTCAATGAAATGGTCTTTGAGTGCTTTAGATGTTGATTTAACAGACAGACTTCAAAGCTGCTATTTTAAATATGATAAAAAAATTGAAGGAAATCATGCTTAAATAATTTAAGGAAAATATTATGAAAGTGACTCAACAAGTAGGAATATCAATAAAGAAATAACATTTTTAAAAAAGAACCAAATGGAAATTCTAGAGCTGAAAAATGCAGTAACAAAATAAAAAAAGATTATATGGAATCCCTACTAAAGATAGAATGTTATCCAATCTGAAGAACAAAGAGAAAAAAGATTGAAGAAAAATGAGCAGTCTCAGAGACCTACGAGACAGCATCAAGCATAACAACTGTGGAAGAGGAGTTTCAAAATGAGAGAAGAGGAAAAGGGCAGGAAAATAAAATTGAACAAATAGTACTCAAATCCTCCCAAATTTGAGGAAAAACATTAACTATAGATCTAGGAACCCCACTGTACCCCAAGTAGGAAAATCACAGAGATCTTCACTTAGTCACATCAAACTGTTGAAATCAAAAAGCAAAGAGAAAATCCTGAAGGCAGCAAGAGGAAAACTAATCATCTATAAGAGAACAATAGTACAAATCATGGTTAAATCCTCATTAGTAACAGTGGAGGCCGGAAAGCAGTAGAAAGACATATTCAAAACACTGAAACATTTGTCAGCCAATAATTTTATATTCAGCAAGATTATCCTTCGAAAAGGAAAGTGAAATAAAGACATTTTCAGATAAACAAAAACTGAGATAATATATCGCTAATGACCTGCCTTACAAAAAATACTAAACAAAATCCTTCAAGATGGGAATGAAAATTACTCCAGTTGATAACTTGAATCCACAAGAAGAAATGAAAAATACTGAAAATGGTTAACATATGGGTAATTATAAAAGACTTAATGAGTATACATTTTTTCTTCTATTATTTCTTTAAATGGTATGATATGCAAAAAAACTGTACTTTTTGGTTTAAAATATAAATAGATGTAGTAATGTACGATACTAACAGCACAAAAGTGAGAGTAGGGTAGGGAGGAAATTGAGCTGGATTGGAGGAAAGTTGCTATATTTTACTGGATTAAATTAGTTTTAGCTTGAAGTGTGTTGTGGTATGTTAAAACTCATATTGTAATTCCTAGAGCAAATGCTAAGATGATAACTCAAAATTATAGTTTAAAAATCAACCAAGGAGTTAAAATACTATACAAAATTATTTGCTTAACACAAAGAAGGGAGTAAAGGAGGAATAGAGGGACAGAAAAGACACAAAGCATATGAAAAACAAATAGCATAATGACACATTTAATTCTAATCATATTAATACTTACATTAAAAGTGAATGGAATAAATACTTCAGTCAAAATCACAGATTCTCAGACTAAATTTAAAAAAGCAAATCCAATTATATTTTGTCTATAAGACATACATTTTCAATTCAAAGACACGTGTAGGCTGAAAACCAAAGGAGATCTGCTCTGACCACTCTTATTCAGTGTAGTACTGGAGGTTCTGGTCAATAAAAGAAAACAAGAAAGGGCAATCCAGTGTATTGTATACAGACTGGAAAAGAAGAGATAAAACTTTGTTTTTATTCACAGACAGTATGATCCAGTATGTAGAAAACCTTTTTACATATATATAGCATATATACATATACATAGTGGTACTAGGTCTGGAAATGTTTCAGGATAAAAGATCAATACATAAAATATCAATCTTTCCTACATATTTCCTACATATGCACAATGAACAATCCAAAAATGAAATTTAAAAAATTTTGTCCACAATAGTATACAAAATAATAAAATATCTAGGAATAAACTTAACTAAGAACTACAAGACTTATACATTACAAGTACAAAGATTATAAGAGAAATTAAAAATCTATATAAATGGTGACATATTCCATTTTTATGAATTGAAAGACACACTATTATTAATATGGCAGCTCTCCCCAAATTGACCTATAGATTCAACAGAATCCCTATCAAAATCTCAGTGGGATTTCTTATAGAAATTTGCAATCCAATCCTAAATGTATATGAAATGCAAAGGACCTAGATTAGCCAAAAAAATTTTTGAAAAGATGAACAATGTTGGAGGACTCAAACTACTTGACCTCAAAACTTACTACAAAGCCACAGTAATCAAGACAATGTGCTGTTGGCATAAAGGTAGATGTATAAAGCAATGGGACAGAATTAAGAGTTCATAAATACATCCTTACATTTATGGTCAATAGATTTTTCACAAAGGTGCTAAGGTAGTTCAGTTAAGAAAGAATAGTCTTCAACAAATATTGCTAGGACATTTTGATATCCATATGCAGAAAAATCAATTTAGATCCTTAAATCACAACATGTACAAAAATTAACCCAAAATGAATCACAGGCTTAAAAGTAAGAGTAAAAACTAAAATTTCTAGGAGAAAACATTGTAGACAATCTTTGTGGCCTTGGATTAGGTAAAGAGTTCTTAAGTATGGCATGAAAAAGACAATATGTTACCAAAATAAGGAATTAATTGGCTTCATCAAAATTAAAAACATTTGCCCTACAAAAGAGACCATTTAAAAAAAGATGAATCACAGACAATGAGAAAATATTTGCAGATCCATGTCTGATAAAGGGTTTGTATCTAGAATACATAACAAACTTTTATGATTCAATAATAGAAGGTCAAGCAACTTAAATTTAAAATGGGTGAAAGATTTGAGTAGCTATTTCACCAAAAAAAAGATATTCTAATGACCAATAAGCACATGAAAACACGTGTCTACACAAAGGCTTGTATGTGAATGTATATAGCATCTTGGCACTGGGGGCTGGCTCTGCAAGTGGAAGGAATGGAGGCTTGGAATGTCCTTTGGAACTTGAATAGATCTGCACTGCACAGATCAAATCTATCATGAATAGTCAGTAATGCTGATAAGAACAACAGTATTATATATTTATTCATGGTGACCATGGCATTCTGTCCCAGTATAGGCTTTGCCATTTCTAAGGCACATTGTTGACCACCATGTTATCTGAGCCTCACTCACCCAGTGGGTAAAATTCTTCCCAAGACTGGCCTCCCTGTACACCTATACCACCTTACACACCCCTTCTACCCCCATCACCTAGTCACCTCCTCACCTCCCTCCCTTAGCCTAAGAATATCCCAAGTGGCAATGGCCAAGCTACCTAGCCTGTTGTTCCTGATAAGGTAAATCTTTTCTGGTTAAGACTAAGCCCTCCCACTCTTCTAATCTCTGTCTCTTTGAAACAAAAAAATAAGTCTTATCACCCTGACATGTCTTATAAAGAGTAGAAAGGAGAGAAAAATAAGAACATTTACTATGACTGAGTTCCATTGCTGGGACTTGTAAAAATCAGTGCAAAACCACAGTAGCTAAGGAGGAGGGAGAAATGTGGTTTACTGAGATTTGCTGAAAAGAAAGAATTTCTCTCATGGGGCAACTTGCTTGGAAATAGAAGGAGCTGAAATTTAGACATGTGATTCTCATTACCAGCTACATCCTTTCAGACAGGAGGCAGAAATAATTGGATCCATTTCTATTTTAATTATAACTCTTTGGCTTTAAAGAAATTGCCAGTGGAAATCTGCAGGCCACTACAAACACTGCCGTTTCAAATTCCCCAGATTTTAATGTGGCCTGGATTTCCTTCAGCAGGGCTGAGGCCACTGCCACAATACATGTTTGCTGCTGTTATAGACTAAAAGTTTTCCCCAAACAAAAATGAACTGATCTCTCTCTTTCTGCCTTTACCTCCCCCTCCCTCCCTCATTCTATTTTTCCTTTTGAAATAAGTAGAAAGACCTTTTATATTTTGCCAACCACAAAAAATAGGAAAGAGAAGGAAGCTTTTCACCACGAATGACAGTAGAGTGCTGGCACACGGCGCTTCCTTTCTGTTGCCCTTAGGTGTCTGAAGTGGTCCCCCAACCTCTCTAAAGTTTCAGATTGAGGAATAATCATGAGTTCTGAGAAGTGCTTGAAACTGGAGGATGGGGTCCCAGTGAAGTCAAACAGCACAACCAACACTGAAACCTCTGCAGTTGAACCTCATTAGAGCTGGTCCTCCTCACTTTCTTCCCATCAGTCTCTCTGTCTCAAAGACATTCTTGGCAGAGTTGGAAGGGAATTCCAGCAAGATAATACCATCCAGTGCCCAAGGCAGGGGATGCAGTGTCCATGTGGCCCCCCAAAAGATCACTGCTCCCATGTTCCTGAGAGAGGAACCTGATGGATATCTGAGGTCCCCATGCCAGTCCTCTGATATTGGCCCCACTGAAGAGATTGGTGGCTTGTTGACCACAGCCTGCCCAGGATAAAGGCTGGACTAGTCTTACTTTTGAAGCTGAGCAAATAAATATAGAAGCACAATCCATGCTGTGGCCACAATTTTGTTTTAAATTAAAATTTAAAACAAATTTTAATTTAAATTTGTTTTAATGTAAATTTAAATCCCAAAAACAAATGGCCAGAGACATGCACCATTGTTGGCTTTGAAGATGAAGAAGGGGCCATGAGCCAAGATAAAATGGTTATGTATGCTCGAATGTTTTGCTTGCTCTAATTTGCCCTGCACTTAAATGCTTTACTCAAATTCACTAAAATATAATTCAATAAGTCTTTAAAAGTCACTTTAGTAGGGAAGTAGAACAGCGTTTGTTTATTTGGTTGCTTTCTTGATTTATGCACATATGCAAATAGAAATGTGAGGCATGCATGGAACACGTACACACACACACACACCCTCCAAGAAATAAACATAGCAAAGCATTGCTGTTTAATTAAACTAAACACAAGGTTTGCACCACGTTAATAATACAACTTCCGAATACACAAAGTATATACGTGAGAATGCCAAAGTGTTAGTATTTGGAAATGTTACTGTTTGAAAACCTTACATTCAAGAGGTTTTAGCATGAGCAATAAGCAGCAAGGAACAAGTATAGATAACTGTGTGAGTATGCATGTGCCAGCAATGTCTGGCAATCAGCTATCCAAAAACAAGGAAGTCTGGGAGATAAACCCTTGTTTACAAAATGACAATCTTTGCCTAGAAATGATGCCCAAGAGACAGTTGTGCGTCAACCAACCACAAGCGGTTTTGTTCTTGTTTTGTTTTTTAGGTTTTCCCTTTTCCACACATTCTCTAATAAATCTGAACAAACTAACTTTGACATTTCCTAATGTTTCAAAAAAGGAAGTAAGCTAAAGTCATAAAACACCTTGCTCAACAATAATTTTCTTGGGTTTTTAATCTTGCTTGGAACAGATAGGCGTGATTCACATCCAAGTCAACATGGCCTTTTGTAAGCTGACTCACAGAGAGGGGATGCTGGGGACCCTACCCTCATCCTGGTGGCTCTTCTCTATTTGAGCCCCAGCAAAGGCCACCAGCAGTGGGCACCAGCCACCTTATCAGATGGGCCAAAGACTTGTTGTCATCACTGATTTACATTTCTATAATTTTTTTAAAGTTACATAGTGATTTTTTCCATCAACGAGGGCCCATTTGGCATTACTGAATCTCTGTTTAGAGAGAAAAAGGAAGGGCCTTTTCCTTCTCCAAACAAATTCTGAATGCAGCCAAGACTGGCAAGTCATGCAAAGGAGTTTCTCAGTTTGCCTTGCACCTTTTTGTGAAGATTTCATATCTCTTTTATTTATGATAGTGACACTGGAAAACTTTCCTTGAAGTTTCTTATGCAGAACTTGAATCCCTTCTCTCATGGTTTTTCCAGTCCTGTTATTATTGGCATCTCCTGGCTCCTACCCCTAACCATATGCCTAAAACCTATGGATAAATAATTGAGGAGGGGACTGTGGCAGACACCCCCTCAAAAATGTTCATGTCCTAATCCCTGGTACCTGTGACTGTGTTAGGTTACATGGCAAAGCAGAATTAAAGTTGTGGATGAAATTACGGTTGCTAGTGAGCTGATGTTAAAACAGAGAGAAAAATCTAGATTATTCAAGTGGGCCCAATATAATGTTAAGGGTCCTTAAAAGTGAAAGAGACAGTCAGAAAGGAAAATGTAAATACCAAAACAAATGGCCAGAGACATGTACCATTGTTGGCTTTGACGATGAAGGAAGGGGCCATGAGCTAAGGAATGTGGTGGCTTCTAGCAACTGGAAAAAGCAAGGAAACACATTCTCCCCTAGAGCCTCCAGAAAGGAAGCAGGCCTGCTGTCACTTTAATTTTAGCTCACTAAGACTGATTTGGGCCAGGCGTGGTGGCTCACGCCTCTAATCCCAGCACTCTGGGAGGCCGAGGCAGGTGGATCACCTGAGGTCAGGAGTTTGAGACATCCTAGCCAACATAGTAAAACCCCGTCTCTATTAAAAATACAAAAATTAACTGATGTGTGGCACACACCTGTAGTCCCAGCTACTTGGGAGGCTGAGGCAGGAGAATTGCTTGAACCTGGGGGGTGGAGGTTGCAGTGAGCTGAGATGGCACCGCTGCACTCCAGCCTGGGTGACAGAGCGAGACTCCATCTCAAAAAAAAGAAAAAAAAAAAAAGACTGATTTGGACTTCTAACCTCCAGAACTGTAAGAAAATAAATGTGTATTATTTTAAACCACTAAATTTGCTGTAATTTGTTACAGCAGCAATAGAATATGAATACAAGATTGAACACTTCACTGCTAGCCTCTCTCCTTTGATACCACCATGCCTAATGGTCCACCTCAAATCACTAATTTTGTTAGGTTTGATAATGTCATAGGAAAAATATTTTTAAAATACTATCCTTATCTGATAGAAACCCACACTCAAGTGTTTATAGGTGAAATGACATGGTGTCTGGAATTTGCTTTAAAATATACCCATCGTAAAACCAACTTGTGGGGAGAAATGAAACCAGACTATCGTTGATAATTGTTGAAGCTAGATGATGGGCACATGAGAGATTGTTATGTTATTCTCTCTACTTCTTGTGTGTGTTTGAATATTTCCATAAAACAAAGTTGAAAAAAATGTAGATGGAACAAAATCTAAAATGTCCACCTGACATGGTTTGGCTCTGTGTCCCTATCCAAATCTCATCTTGAATTGTAACCCCCAGGGTGTCAAGGGAGGAATCTGGTGGGAGGTGAGTGGATCATGGGGATGGTTTCCCCCATGCTGTTCTCGTGACAGTGAGTTCTCATGAGATCTGATGGTTTTATAAATGGCAGTTCCCCCTGCTCTTCTCTCTTCTGCCACCTTGTGAAGAAGGTGCCTGCTTCCCCTTCTGCCATGATTATAAGTTTCCTGTGGCCTCCCCAGCCATGTGGAACTGTGATTCAATTAAACCTCTTTCCTTTATAAATTACCCAGTCTCGGGTATGTCTTTATAGCAGTGTGAAAACGGACTAATATACCACCTTTATAGACAGCTATTTTATTTTATGTAAGCAAAGGGGTTTTTCAATTGTTTTTACATACAGCTTAGTTCATGAGACTCTTTTATTATTAACCTCATCTGTGCTAGAGAGGCTGGCCATGACCCTGGCTCTTGATTTTTACCATCTTCCTGAGATGTTGGGAGAAAGATATTAAACCTAAAGCACATAATAGGTGCAGTGCTACTGTCTTCCTCTGCTGGCTGAAACCATGCTGGGGGTTCTGACAGTTGGAGGAGGGAGAACAGGAGCAAGGTCATGCTGGAGGCAGGTGAGCAGGACATCCTCAGGGCCTAGCACCAATCAGTCTTCTTAGTGCCCTCCCACCTCCCTTCTTTAGGGCTTGACTTGGTCCCGAAGCTTAAACAGAAATTCATCTTTTGAAAAAAACTTTTAGGCATGGGGCTTCACTCTGTCACCCATGCTGGAGTACGATGGCACAATCATAGCTCAATGCAACCTCAAACTCCTGGGCTCAAGCGATCCTCTCACTTCAGCATCCCGAGTAGCTAGGACTACAGGTGCATGCCGCCATGCCTGGATAATTTTTTTAAAATTATTATTATTATTTTATAGAGATGGGGTCTTGCTATGTTGCTCAGGCTGGTCTTAAACTGGTCTCAAGTGATCCTCCTGCCTCAGCCTCCCAAAATGCTGGGATTTCAAGTGTGAACCACCATGCCTAGCTAGAAGTTCATCAATTTTAAAATTCATATTTTAATATCTATAAAGTAGGGATGCATCTTATAATCTGTGGTGTCTGTGACTGGGTGAGAGACGGTATATGTTCCTGCTTCTTGTGATCTGTATCTGGGCGCATGATAGTGCCCAGGATTGTATATATCAGGAGCACCTCAATTTATAGTCATCTCATTTGTTGACTTTTTTTTTTTTACATTTATATAAGGCTCCATGGTAGTTTATATTGCTGCTATAATAAGTTACTATAAACCCCATGGCTTAAAACCACACAAATATATTATCTTATAGTTCTGGAAGTCAGAAGTCCTGTATGGGTCTTACTGAGCTAAAATCAAGGTGTCAGCAGGCTGCATTCCTTTTTGGAGGTTCTAGGAGAGAATTCATTTACTGCTCATTTGCATTGTTGGCAGAATTCAGTCCCTTGGGTGGTAGGCCTGAGGTCCCCCTTTTCTTGCTGGTTGTAAACTGAGGGCTGTTGCCAGTTTCTATAGGCTGTCAAATTTTGTGGCTTGAAGCTGTCATCCTCTGTCTCCTTTTTCTTTCATCTCATCTCTCTGACCTAACTAGAAAAGGATTTCTGCTTTAAAAGAATTATGTAATTAAATTGGCCCACCCAGATTATCCAGAATAACTTCAGTGTCTCAAGCTCCTTACATTAATCACAACTGCAAAGTCCCTTTTGCCATGTAACATGACATATCCACAGGTTCCAGGGACTCGGGAATAGGCATCTTTGAGGTGGCCACTATTCTGCCTCCCAAAGGGTCCTCTACATACATCCCCATAGATGGGGAAAGCTGAACTAAAGTCATATGTCTGCTCCATCTTCTGAGCAGACTTTGTCTAGGTGGACACATGAGCACCTAGGTGTATGGGGCATGTCAGGGAATGATGAATTTCCTGAGAGACCTCATGGAAAATGGAAGTCCTGTAGGTCTCACTGTACTTTTCTGAGATTGGTGAGAGTGAGTAAAAATCCTCGTTTACTTCAGGGAAAGAGAGAAACTTTGGATTAACCCATATGTTTTCATCTGAACAGCAAGCTTGTGTTGACACACTCACACTTGTACACTGTCCAGCATCGTGTTCTTCCATCACTTCTTTCCCAAAGACCCATCTCCTGCAGCATCACTGTGTTTCATAGACATTGCAAGCACATTATGTCACTTCTGAGACCCAGATGCGCCTGGGCTCCTCCTTTACCAAGCCAAACATTCCTGTGAACAGGCTTGAGTGGAAGCCCTGGGGTGGGACGACACAAAGGCAGGCATCTCCGTTCCAACTAGATGGAACCCAGGTGACCTGGAACCCTTTGTGGGCAGGGATGCATGCCAATCTCCCATTGTCTTTGACTCTTAAAATTTAATACCTCATAATAAGCTCTCCAAGAGAAAACTGATGAAAAATTTTGATGATTCTGTGGTTGGATGTTTCCTTCAGCTGCAGAATCTAGTATGCAGGGTGCTCAGTGACTGGCCTCACAAACCTTGTGGTGGGAATTACAACCCTGGCTTTAGGCAGGGTTTAATTACATGGCATTATCAAACTCTTCTCTAAAAAGAGATCTGGTATCATGGCTTCATTAGGGATATTTGAAAAAGAGAAAAAGATACCACTCCAGAGAACCTGCAGACACCTCTGAACAAGACAGACATCTGACTTGTCAACAGCAACTGTTAGTGTAAGAGGATCATGGAGTAATGATTTTGAAAGTGTTTCAGAAAAAGAATTGAGCTAAAATTTTTTATTTATTTTTATTTTTAACTTTTATTTTAGGTTCCGGGGTACATGCGCTTGTTTGTTATATAAGTAAATTGTGTGTCACAGGGGGTTGGTATACAGGATATTTTGCCATCCAGGTAATAAGCATAGTACTTGATAGGTTGTTTGTTTGTTTGTTTTTTGAGATGGAGTTTCAGTCTTGTTGCCCAGGCTGGAATACAATGACGCAATCTCAGCTCACTACAACCTCCGCTTCCAGGGTTCCACTGATTCTCCTGCCTAATTTTTGTATTTTTAGTAGAGACAGGGTTTCTCCATGTTGATCAGGCTGGTCTCAAACTCCTGACCTCAGGTGATCCACCTGCCTTGGCCTCCCAAAGTGCTGGGATTACAGGCGTGAGCCACCACACCCAGCCGATAGGTAGTTTTTTGATGCTCATCCTCCTCCCTCCCTCCACCCTCAAGTAGGCCTCAGCATATGTTGTTTCCTTCTTTGTGACCATATATGTACTCAATGTTTAGCTTTCACTTATAGGTGAGAATACGCAATATGAACTAGAACTTTATATTCAGGTATATTACCATTTAGGGTGAGGATAAAATAAAGATATCCCCAGATATACTGAGTCTCATAGAGTTTTACTATACAAAAAAAAAACCACACAAACAAACAAACAAAACCCTTTTTGATAACACTCTTAGAGGAAGAATTCTAGCAAGAAGGGAAGTAGTAAATATAGGAAGGCACCTTGGAATAAGGGATATAAGGATGAGTGTATAATTTGGTAACATTTACTGTTTATAAATATTAAATTTACTGTTGTGTAAGTAAGCAAGAGCTTCCAATTTGCTTGTAAGTGACTACTCTTAAATATGAATAAGAGGGCCAGGAGCAGTCGCTTATGCCTGTAATCCCAGCACTTTGGGAGGCTGAGGTAGGTGGATCACCTGAGGTGAGGAGTTCAAAACCAGCCTGACTAACAATGGTGAAATCTCATCTCTACTAAAAATACAAAAAATTAGCCAGGTGTGGTGGTGCATGCCTGTAACCCCAGCTATTCCAGAAGCTGAGTCAGGAGAATCACTTGAACCTGGGAGGAGAAGGAGGTTGCAAAGAGCCAAGTTCACGCCATTGCACTCCAGCCTGGGCAACAAGAGTGAAACTCTGTTTCCAAAAATATATATATATATATATATATATTTTTCTCATTCATATATATATGTGAATGAGAAACCAGAGATCACCTTATAATGGAAGAAAGCCTTTAACATAAAATATATAATATAAAATATATAAATCAAATAAACAAGTAGAAAAAGGGAATTTGGAAACTAAGAAATGCAATGAGTAGAAGAAAATGTGTTAAAATTGAATTAATATTCTAGATAGATGTGATAGTTCATCCATTAAATAAGAAGAGGAGGCTATAAAAAAAGAAGCATTCAAAAAACAAGAGAGATCTCCTGGAAATTAGGAATATAATAGTAGAAACTAAAAATTCAACAGAATATTTCAAAGATAAAGTTGAGAAAGTCTCCAATAAAGTAGAATGAGAGAGAGAGAGAGAAAACAGAGAGAAAAGAACTATCAAGGAAATAATTCAAGAATATATAAGATATTTATGGAGACAAAATCTCGAATTAAGAAAATAAAGGAAGAAACATTTGCTTCTACCCGGGATGGGGTAACAGGAACCACATTTACACTCCCGCCTCAAACAAACAAGCAAACAAACAAATCAAGACCAAATATATGAAACAATGGGTTTTAAGATATTGGACATCAGGCAACAAAAAGATTAATCCTGAAAGACAGGAAACAGATGAGGTGAGCCCTATGGTTGTACCAACTTACTGCCTTGAGAGAGTTCCCAGGCTACAGCATTGGAAGAGGAAACCCAGGCACAGCCTAGCAGTCTCCGTGAGTCACAGTCAGAACTGAGAGTCCCAGGTAGATAAAAGTGGCTGAAGTTCTTAAGACAAAGAGAGAAACACAGATATTTGTAGATGGTCACCCTGCATATTCAGTGGAGGAGTGACCAGCGCAGGAGTGAGAGGAACCTGCCCAAGACTGGGTGTGGGGGGTGGGAGGAAGCTAGCTGAAAGGATTAGAGAACAGTGCCTGGCATTAACACTGAGCTGGGAATAGTGCTTATTCTCACCAGCCAGACTGGAAAAACTTAATTCACAGACTATTGGATAGGATACCCAAGAAGGTCTTGCTTTAGTAGTGGGAAATAATTAGCAGTACACAGAGCACTACTCTGGCGCCATTAGAATCATAAAAGTAAGACCTGAAAGGATGAGACTATTTCTAAGAAACTTAACTGCATCCCAGAACAGACCACAAAAATATTCACAGAATAAAAAACTATCGGCCGGGCACAGTGGCTCATGCCTGTAATCGCAGCACTTTGGGAGGCCGAGGCAGGTGGATCACGAGATCAGGAGTTCAAGACCAGCCTGGCCAAGATGGTGAAACCCCATCTCTACTAAAAATACAAAAATTAGCCAGGTATGGTGGCAGGTGCCTGTAATCCCAGCTACTCGGGAGGCTGAGGCAGAGAATTGCTTGAACTCAGGAGGAGGAGGTTGCAGTGAGCCAAGATCGTGCCACTGCACTCCAGCCTGGGTGATGGAGCAAGACTCCATCTCAAAAAAAAAAAAAAAAAAGTATCCAGCACCCAACAATGTAAAATTCACAATATCTGGCATCAAAACATGGTCATCAGGCAATGAAAAGAAGTAGGAGAGTATAATTCACAATGAGAATAATGGATCAAACAAAACTGACCTAGAACTGACCCAGGTGTTAGAGTAAGCAGACGAAGACATTAAGGCAATCATTAAATCTGTATTCTGTATTTTTCAAAAAGTTATATAAAAACATGTGAGATTTTTTAAAAAAGACCTAAACCAAATTTCTAGAAATGAAAAGCTACACTGTTTGCAATAAAAATATGCCCTGGAAGAATTAATGGCAGATTAGACTTGACAGAAGAAAAGGAAAAAAAATAGCGAGCTTCATTAAACTGTGGAACAGCTTCAAGCAGCATGACATATGTAGAATAGACTGCTCAAGTTCCCACACTGAAGCACGATGGCCAACTAGAAGCCCCTAGTACTCATTCCTCTCACAAAGACAGCCAGAACAATGAATAAACAACTACATTTTAATGAGATTAACTGAGAAAGAGCACCAGGGTGCATCAGAGGAGTAACAGAAACCCCAGTGAGCACAGAAACTTGGGATCGCCACAGAAGGAAACACTGGGCCTCTACAACCCTCCCACTCAACTGGGATCAGCTGGGAACCAGCAAGAACTTCTCCTTAAGGCAAGGAGGTAAGAAAGAAGATCCCAGCAACCCCCATCAATACCTTGGACATCTGTAGACCTCATTACCAGGTCCCCTGCAGTCCTCACAGGCACTGAGCTCAGGTGAGGGAGCACAGTCCAAATACCTGTGCTTCTCCGAGAGAAGGAGCTGACATTGTGCCCTGCCCACTGTAGCTCATGTGGCGACTACACTATGCCATCTTGGAATTGGAACTACAGCTGAAGTGTCTTACTCTGGGTGTGAGTAGCCATAGCTCCCTTTCATCCCTAAAAGCCACCACTAAACCACCTCACCCCAGTCCTGAACTGAAGTGGCACATTGCCACCTGGTGAATTGGTGGCCTGGCCATGCTGAGCAACTGTGTATCCCAAGGCTGAGCTAACTTTGTACCCCTGCATCCCAGGGAAATAGAGCAGTGGCTGAGGTGAGACGCCCTACCCTACAGGCCAAACAAATCTAGTATCCTGCTTCCCTGAAGCTGGACTAGCCCTCTAGATTCTGAGCCCTGGAGAGTCAAATGATCACTGTGCTGTGCTCTGCCCTCCCCAGGGCAAAACGACAGCTGTGCTTCACCATTCTGGGGTACTTGCTGTCAATGCACCTGCCCTCACAGTCTGGGACACTGCCAAGCCCCACCATCCCAAGGTCTATAGTTACTACTACATGGTGCCTTATCTCGTGGCACTCACGGCACTCAAGTTGTTACTGAGCCCTATTGGCTCAGGTTCCTGAATTGCAGCCATACCCTTCTCCCCAGGCCCAAACCTCCAGAGCATCCCTTACTCCCTGGAGTTGGGCCAATGCTGTGCTCTGACCCCCAGGGATATAATCATAGCTACAACCCAGCCCTCTGGGCCTGAGCTGCTAGAAGTTACCTCAAGGTGACAGATTCTATCTCTGTGAGCAAGCTACAACCAACCCCACCACAGAGAGCAAACCAGTACCCCAACACCCAGGTGCCAAAATAGGTTCACAAGACACTAAGCCTAGGACTCCAGACTCACAACTACTGCAAGCACCTGCACCTGGAACCCAGTGTCATTGCAGCTGCTTGTAGGCTGTATCAGACCTGACACTAAGAGATTTCCTTGGCTAAATCCCCCCCATTGTGTGGAAAATGAGAATATAAGGACCCCCAGATCTCATGAGAACTCACTCACTATCATGAGAACAGCAAGGATGAAGTCCACTCTCATGATCCAATCACCTCCCACCAGGCTCCTCCTCCAATACTGGGGATTACAATTCAACATGAGATTTAGGCAGGAACACACATTGAAACTATATCACAATGCATCTCAAGGAACTAGAAAAGCAAAAGCAAACCAAACTCAAAATTTGTGGAAGGTAAGAAATAATAAAGAACAGAGCATAAATAAATAAAATTGAGACATAAAAAGATATAAAATATCAATGAAACAAGAAGTTGGCTTTTTAAAAAGATGAACAAAATCAGCAAACCATTATGTAGACTGACCAAGAAAAAAGAAGATCTAAATAAATAAAACAGAAATGAAAACGAGGTATTGCAACTAATATCACAGAAATACAAAGAATTATTTGTCTATTACATTACAAACAACTATATGCCAACAAATCAGAAAACTGAATGGAAATAGATAAATTCCTGGACATATACAACCTATCAAGATAGAAATAATAAGAAACAGAAAACCTGAACAGACCCCTTATGAGTTATGAGCTTAAATCTGTAATAAAAAGCCTCCCATCAAAGAAAAGCCGAGGCCCCAATGGCTTCACTGAGTTATTCGCCCAAACATTTAAAGAGCCAATAACAATATGTCTCAAGCTATTCCCAAAAAGTAAAGAAGATTCAAGCTCATTCTTCCTGGTTAAAAGGAAAATTAAAAGTAAAGAGGAGGAACTACTTCCAAACTCATTCTATGAGGTCAACATTCCGCTGATACCAAAACCAAAAATACAACAAAAAAAGAAAACTATACACCAATGTCTCTGATGGACCAGTATGCAAAAATCTCGGATGAAATACTAGCAAACTGAATCCAGCAGCACATTAAAAAGATTATTCACCATGATCAAGGGGGATTTATCCCAGGGATACAAAGATGGTTCAAATCAATAAATGTGACACATCATATCAGCAGAAAGAACAAAAACCATATAATCATCTCAATAGCACAGAAAAAGCATTAGACAAAATCCAACATCAATTTTTGTGGGTTTTTTTTTTTTTGAGATGGGTTTACACTTTGTTGCCCAGGCTTGAGTGCAGTGGTGTGATCTTGGGTCTTGGCACAATCTCCACCTCCCAGGCTCAGGTGGGTCTCCCACCTCAGTCTTCTAGGTAGCTGGGACCACAGGCACATACCACCTTGCCTGGCTAATTTTTGTATTTTTGGTAAAAACAGGGTTTTGTCATGTTGCTCAGGCTGGTCTCAAACTTCTGAACTCAAGCTATCTGCCCACCTGAGCCTCCCAGTGCTGAGATTGCAGGTGTGAGCTACTGTGCCCAGCTGATTCTTGTGGGCTTTTTTGTTTGTTTTTTTGTGAAAAAAAATCCAAATCTTAGCAAACTAGGAATATGAGGGAAATTCTTCAACCTGATAAAGGCCATCTATGAAAGACTTAGAGTTAACATTATACTTAATGGTGAAAGACTGAAGGCTTTCCCCTAATATTAGGAACAGGACAAGGACAACATTTAACATTGCACAGGAGATTATGGCCAGTGCAATAAGAAAGAAAAGTAAGAAACGGAAACAAAAATAAATTCCTTTTTTATATACTAGGAATGAACAATCATATATTGATATTAAAATACAATGTTTCCAAAAAATGAAAAGCTTGGGATACATCTGACAAAAGATGTGAAAGAGCTCTACACTGAAAAATATAAAACAATGCTGAGATAAATAAAAGAAAATCTAAATAAAAGGAGATTATATTTTGTTCGGTGGTAAGAAAACACAACATATAGTTGTGATGTCAATTCTCCCTAAATTAATCTATATATTCAATTCAATCTCAAAATCCAGTATTATTCATATAGAAATTGATATTTTGATTCTAAAATTCACATAGAAATGCAAAAACCTGAAATATTCAAACAACTTTGAAAAATAAGAGAAAAATTGCGGTTAACTCTACCAGACTTCAAGACACTGTAATGCTGTGATAGTCAAAACAGTGTTGTATTGGCATAGCAATAAACAATCAGATAAATGGAACAGAATACAGAGTCCAGATATAGACCCAAACATACATTGACAAAGGATTTTTGACAAAGGTACAGGGAAATCCAGTAGAGAAAAAGTATCTTAGTTCATTCAGGCAGCTATAACAAAAATACCTTAGACTGAGTAATTTATACATAATAGAAATGTATTGCTCACAGTTCTGGAGGCTGGGAAGTCCAAAATCAATGCACTATCAGATTTAGTGTCTGGTGAGGGAATGATCTCTTTTTCCAAGGTGGCACCTTGTTACTGCATCCTCACATGGCAGGTCAAGGCTGTTCCCTTCAACCTCTTTTATAAGGGCAGTAATCCCATTCATGGCATCTCTGCCTCATGACTTAATCACTTCCTAAAAGTCCCACCTCTCAATACTGTCAGATTTGTGATTAAATTTCAACATCTGAATTTTGGGAGGACACATCCAGATCATTGCAGATAGCCTTTTTAACAAATGATGCTGGAACAATTGCATATCCACATGAAAACAAATGAACTATTCATACTTCACACTATATATAAATATTAACACAAAATGGATCTATATTAGTCCATTCTTACACTGCTATAAAGAACTGCCCTGGACTGGGTAATTTATAAAGAAAAGAGGTTTAACTGACTCACAGTTCCATATGGCTGGGGCCTCAGGAAACTTAAAATCATGGTGGAAAGGGAAGCAGGCATGTCTTACACGGTTGCAGGCGAGAGAGAGAATGTGTGAGAGTGCAGGAAAAACTACCATTTATAGCCATTTATAAAACAATCAGATGTCATGAGAATTCACTCACTATTACGAGAACAGCATGGGGGAAATGGCCTTCATAATCCAGTCACTTCCCTCTCTCAACACATGGGGATTAAAATTCGAGATGAGATTTGGGTGAGGACACACAGCTAAACCATATCAGGGTCATTGACTGTGGTAAGAAGAATTACGTCCACCAAAAAGTTTCTATACCCTGATCCCCAAGACTGAATATGTTACATAGCAAAAATGACTTTGCAGAGGTAATTAAGGTTACTAATCAGCTGACTTAGAATAGGGAGGCTACCCTGGATTTCCACGTGGTTCCAATGTAATCCACATGTGTCCTTAAAAGCAGAAGAAAAAGACAGAAATGGAAGTTAGAGGGAGTCAAAGCATGAAGAGTCAGTGTACCATTGCTTGTTTGAAGATGGAGCTTGGCCATGTGAGAAGAAATACGGACAGCCTTAAATTGCTGAGAGAAAGGCCCTTGGCTAATAGCCAGCAAGGAACAGAGATCTCAGTCGTATGACCATAAGTAATTGAATTACTTCAATAAGTAATTACTTTGGCCAACTTCAATTACTTGTGTAATTACTTCTTGAAGTAATAAGGAACTGTTGATTCATGCTACAAGATGGATGAATTTCAAAATTATCAAGCCAAATGAATGTAATTACTTACTGAAGTAATTACACAAGTAACTGAAATTGGCCAAAGACCTTAGTTTGCTTGGAAGAGGACCCAAAGACACAGAACTGCAGCTTTAGCCAATAACTTGATTTTAGCCCAAAGAATACAGTCATGCCATGCTGGATTTCTAACCTATAGAAACAGTAAGATAATAAATTTGCATTGTTTTAAGCTGCTACATTTCTGGTAATTTGTTATGCTGCAGTAGAAAAGTAGTAAATAGGCCTTAATTTAAAACCTAAAACCACAAAACCTCTAGAAGAAAACATGAAATGTTCATCATAAACTTGAGTTAAGCAAAGACTTATATACAACACTTACACACCACACTTCTTATATACACAATTCCTTTACATACAGACGCGTTTCATAAAAGAACAATTTGATAAAGTAGACCTCATCCATAAAACAGTTGTTCTTCAAGAGACTGTTATGAGAATGAACATACAAGCCAGAGACTAGGAGAAAATATTTGTAAATTACATATATAATAAAGAACTTCTATCTGGAATATATGTAGACTTCTCAAAGCACAATAAAAGAAAAACAGACAAACCAATTTTAAAAGTAGGCAAAAGGCTTAAACACTCATTTCACTGAAGAGGATACATGAATGGCAAATAAGCAAAATATGCCCAACATCTTTGTAATTAGGAAAATGAAAATTAAAACCACAATAAGATACCTCTGCACTCCTGCTAGAATGGCTAAAATTAAAAAGACTAATCATACAACCTGCTGGTAAGGATTTGAAGGAACTAGAACTCTTACACTGCTTGTGGGAATGTAAAATTATACCAACACTTTGAAAAACAGTCTGGCAACTTCTTAAGAAGTTAAACATATACCTACCCTCTAACCCAATCATTTCTTTCCCATGTACTTACCCAAAAGAAAAGAAAGCATATGTTCCTGCAAACAATTTTATGCAAATGTTCATAGAAGCTTTATTTGTAATAGCCAACAACTGAAAACAACTCAACTGTCCACTGACCAGTGAATGGGTAAATAAATTGTGGTATATCCATACAGTGGAATACTACTCAGCAATAAACAGGAAGGAATTGTTGATTCGTGCTACAAGATGGATGAATCTCAAAATTATCATGCCAAATGAAAGAAGCCAGACAAAAAAGTACCTCCTGTATGATTCCATTAACTAAAAACTTTAGAAAATGCAAACTAATCTATAGTGATGAGAGGGCATCACAGGTTACACAAAGACAGGGATGTGGAGAGAGATGGGAGAAAGGAATTACAAAAGGACACAAGGAAGTCTGAGGGGATTATGGATTTGTTCACTATCTTGATATTTGTGATGGTTTCATGGGTTAATCCGTATGTCAAAACTTACCAATTTGTGTGTTTTAAACATATGCACGGTTTGTATGACAATTTTATTTCTATAAAGCTTTTAATTATGAAATAAAAGAATATTTACATAAATGTACAAGGATGTAATGAGAACACTTTACAAAGTTGTTTCTTCCAAACTAATCTGTAAATTAAATGTAATCCTTACTAAAGTTGCAACAAGATTTTTTTTAAAGATTTGGCAAACTTATTCTAAAATGTAGTAGAATACTAAAGATTCTCAAATAGATTAGTCAATTTTTTTTTGAGACATGGTCTCACTCTATCCTCCAGGCTGGCATGCAGTGGCATGATCATGGCTCACTGCAGCCTCGAACTCCCAGGCTGAAGTGATACTCCCACCTCAGCCTCCTGAGTAGCTGGAACCACAGGCACACGCCACCATGCCAGGCTAAATTTTTACTTTTGTCTTTTGTAGAAATGAGGTCTCACTATGTTGCCCAGGCTGGTCTCAAACTCCTGGGCTTAAGCGAACCCTCCCACCACGGCCTCCCAAAGTGTTGGGATTACAGGCATGAGCCACTGTGCCCAGCCTGATAAGTCAATTTGATAATAAAAACAAAGAAGGACAAATTGTCTTACTAATTAATTGTGAAGACATACTGTAGACACAATATTAAAACAGTGGATATTGGCACAGGAGCAGGCAAATGGAAAATCACTTGCGCCTAGGCAGTCAAGGCTACAGTGAGCTGTGATTATGCCACTGCAGTCCAGCCTGGGTGACAGAGGGAGACTGTATCTCAAAAGCAAACAAACAAACAAAATAAATAAAAAACTTCATGCTTCGATGGTGGAAGTGAACACTGATGCAGCCATTCTGGACAGCAACCTGACACTAGTGCAATTAAATGTGTACATACATCTGTGCACTGAAACCCCTTTATGTATACCCTGTCTGGAAAGCTGCGCATTGCATACAACAATTAGAAGTGGAGTACTATATCAAATTTATGGCATAAATTTTAAATCAGCAAAAGTTAAAGTTGAGAAATCTTAAAGGAAGTGAATAATACCAAAACCAAAAACCCCAAGAAATGCAAATAAAAGATAAAAGATTGGAAAGTTAGACTTTCGGTTCAGTAGGTCAAATTACAGGATTCTAAAAGCACACTGCCATTAATGTGATTTAAAACACATGATAAAGAGCACCACAGATTTTTTTTTAAGATTTATGAATTATGCAAGGATGTGCACCAGAGGTGTCAGAGTAGGACTCTGGAGGAGGGAGCCAAATAGGAGTGACACTCAGAGATGAGAAAAACACAGTTAAGCAAGACGGAATTCATGTGGGCTGATGAAGACCATGTGGGTTTATAAGGAGCGTCTGCCCTTACGGAGACAAAAAGGGAAAGGTTATGACTAAAATAAGTGTGGTACTTAGAGAGAAAATAAATCGAAAGGTCAGCCATGTGAAAGCAACTTTGAAAGGGAACTTCTATATTTTCTCTTCCCTTCCTAATCTACTGTCTCACTCTGGCTCCAGAGGAACAAATGAAAGAGGAAATAAGATTCATTGCAACTGGATTCTTTAAAAATGGCAATTCAATAATATGTTCTCACAAGGGAGTGAAAGTACAGAGCAGGCTGAACCTGGCACTTATCTAAATTTCATTTCACTCATAGTAAAGTGGCAAGAGACAGTGTGATTTATACCTACACCAGGAAAATGTCAGAAAGGTTTTACTAGTGGTGTCCTCCCAAGAAACAAGGTAGAGATGCCACAGATACACCTCCAATACTTCCTATCACCTGTAAAATGAGATCATTCACCATCTTGCTCTTACTGACCCTTTCTAGCCTCAATTTCCATTCTACCCCTAGTAATAGGAGCTCAGTTTTACCCAAACAGACTGAATCAGTGTTCAGACCCTGAGATTTCCTGACCACTTGGCTGTAAAACATCACTTGCTAATGCCTCTTTAGTGACCTTCTCAAACCTTACCCATCTCCCGTGACCCTTTCACATCTCTCCTGTCCTAAGTGAATGTTCCCACTTATGAACTGTGGAGCACTTGTTGCCTAAAGTATTCATTGGCTAATAGTTTTTTTTTTGTTGTTTTTTTTTTTTTTTTAGCATTTAAGGCATCATTCCATTGTGTCCAGATTCCACTGTTTCTGCTTTGAAGTCAGCTTAATTTATGGCTTAATACCTTTAATCAACTTTTTTAAATTCTCAATTATTAACTCTTCAAATACTGCTTCTATTGCACTTCCCTACTCTTCTCCTTCTGGGACTTCTTTGTCTAACTTCTTTGTCTCTTACCCCAGCTTCTGCTTTTTCTATCTTTCATCTCCCAATATTGTACTCTGGATATTGTCTTCTGATCCATTGAAAGTTCATGAATTCTCTCTTCAGCTATCTATTCTCCACCTAACTCCATCCACTGAGTTACTAATTTTGATAGTTGTATTTACAGTTCTAGAATTTTCTTTTTTATATACTTTATATGTCTCTGTCAAAATCCTCAATCTTTCATCTCTCAATGAACACAACAAGCATAATTATTTTAAAGACTGAGTCTTTTAACTTTATTTTCTAGCTCTCCTGTAGGTAGCTGGTTATTTATATGGTTTTGTACGCTTGCATGTCTCGTTAGTTTTCTTTCTTTCTTTTTTTTAATTTGTTGGGTTTTAATGTTTTGTCTTGTTTTGTTTTTTTGAGATGGAGCCTCATTCTCTCACCCAGGCTGCAGTGGCACGATCTTGGCTCACTGCAGCCTCCCAGGTTCAATCCTTCTGCCTCAGCCTCCTGAGTAGCTGGGATTACAGGTACCCACCACCATGGCCAGTTAATTTTTGTATTTTTTTTTTCATAGAGACTGGGTTTCACCATGTTGGCCAGGCTGGTCTTGAACTCCTGACCTCAAGTGATCCATCTGCCTCGGCCTCACAAAATGCTGGGATTACAGGTGTGAATCACTGTACCTGGCCTAGTTTTCTTTCTTTTTTTTTTTTTTAAGTGAAATCCACATAACTTAAAAGTAATTATTTTAAAGTGCACAATTCAGTGACATTTAATACATTTACAATGTTGTACAACCACTAGCTCTATTTAGTTCCAAAATATTTTCATCCCCCTAAAAGAAAATCCATTAAGCAGTCACTATTCATTTCCTCCTCCTTATAGCCCTTGGCAATTACCAATTTGCATTCTTTGTTTCTATCTTTATATTTAAAATGGGTTTCTTATAGGCAACATGTAGTTCGGTCTTGCTTTGCTTGGGTCTCCTTCCCTGTACTGTTGCCTAAAAATCTCAAACCAATAAGCTGGGGCAATCATTTGTTTTCCTTTTCTCAAGGATCACTGTCTTTTGTTGCCTGATGTCCAGTGTCTTCAAACAATTATTTCATATATTTTGTGTGTTTTTCCCTTTTTTGTTGTTGTTTCAGGTGGGAGGTTAAATACGTATCAGTTAGTTTACCTTGAATAGGAGCAGAAATCTGACCTTTAAAAACATAATTTATGTGCTTTAGTTTAAGTAGTTAAATTTTCTGTTCTAATTTAATTTTAATTAATTAATTCAATTTTCATTGTAGCTGTTTTTTAAGGTATGGTGGTGTTTGATCACGTTTTAACCAAGACAAAGACCATTCTGAAATCCTCCCTGGTAGCTTGTATTATATAAAATATGCCCATTTCTTTCAAGTTAACCTCCTTTGCCTGTAACCAACAAATGGCAGCTTCCAGAGCCTCTTTTCCCCAGCAGCTGGTGAGAACAGCACGTGTTTATGAACTGCTGAAGATGTCCCTAGTCATCAGATCAGATGCACTCTGTAGCTGGACTCTCTCCTAAACTGAGATCATCACATCCACTGCCCCCCACTCCAGTTGTCCATAGAACCCTTGGGCTCTATGCAAGCCTGTTAGAGCTCAGGGAGTTTTTGATATTTGTTTTTAAATCCAGCATAATTAACTTTTAGGTGTTGGTAGATTTCTAAAAACAATCTTCATTTACATAAAGATATTTCTAAGTTGAGTTATTTTCTTCTCTCTCTCTCTCTCTCTCTCTCTCTCTCTCTCTCTCTCTCCTCTCTCTCTGTCATCAGCCTGTAGTGCTTCTAAATAATACAGGCACTCTCTGCTGCCCAGCCTAGACTCTCTTGGGGCAGAGGTTTGTCAAAGAACCACTAGCACTGTGGTATGCATGTGCTTAGGTGCCTGCTACCATCGTGTCAGAGGGAGAAACCTGAGCAAGTCCCTCCATGCAGTCTGACTAGATTATTACCTTGGCTTTAACACACTACAACCAAGGAGCATTTAAAGAAAAAGCAGGCTTCCTGTCATGCTCAAGCCTCATTCATCATAAGAACACTCCCTCTGCAGTTATTGCCCCATCTCTTCCTGCCCTTTCTTGTCCAGATTTCTTGAAAAAAAAAAACTTGCTTCCTCCTTGTTCTCACACCTGGCCCAGCTGCAATCTGGCTTTTACTTCCTATCCCCAGCCTTTCACAGCATCTCTCCTTGGCCCCTGCAATCACCTTCAGGCCTCCTCCTGCTTGCACCAGCTGCATCTGCTGCAGCAGACCCCACCTTTGTTTTTTGCTTCTCTGCCACTCTTTCACTCTCTCCGTCCTCAACAAACCTTTAGTGTCTAACTCAAGGCCTGACACACTCCCCTGATTTACAGAGTCTTCTCCTTCTTCACTCCCAATCCTCCAACAGGAGAGGAGTCATCAAAGCCATGGGAGTCAAAGGTTCTCCTGAAAGAAGAAAAAGGAGTGAGGACAGAGCCCCCAGGACCTTCAACAAAACAGGAGGGAAGAGAATGAAGTCAGCTAGAAGAGAATGGGGTCACTAAGGACATGCCTACTGCACAGAATACAGAAAATGTAAAATAGGCAAGATTCTTGTCTACAAATTATGATCACATCTGATATTCCATGCAAGCACAGAGCAATATGTCAAACCAGAATGCTGAATAAGATTTCACTGTCTCAACATTGCTAAGAGGAATATGACATTAACATATTGAAACTCTCCTCCACTGTGGGAAAAGAACCATGCAGATGTGTTGGTTCCAATTTGCTTACACACATGTGTGTAATACAGACAAGCAGCAGAAGACACTATCCTCCTATGGCGGGTTTAATCACCAGAACCTATTAACTACAATTTTGTCCAATTGCCAGTCTCAGCCTGGAAATCTTCTCCCTTTCTGTCAAGACTTTACCCTCCTTCCCAGCTCAGCTTGAAGCTGCCTTTCCCAGGAAGTCTTCCACCAACCCCTGTGCATCCCTTATGTGTGAATATTCACACTTCACACTGTGTGACTCAGGTGACTCTTAGACAAGCCTTCTGTCTTCTGTAGGTCTGGAAACTTCTCGGAGGCAGGGCTGATCCCTCAAGGCATCCAGCAAAGCACCTCCCCGACCATGAGCACTCGATGAGTATTTGTGAACTGAAGTTTGTCTGAAGTTCCTGCAGGAGGGTGAGGATTACTGCAGAGGGGTGCCATTGCCGAGGCTCACCCCAGCCTAAGCCACCCATGAGCCACAAAATGCCACTAGAGATTCCTGGTATGGCACCTTCCTAGCCCCTGCACCAAGCAAATAATTCTGTACTTTAAATAAAGGAGGGACGGCTGAGGGAGAATACTTCAGGCCCTCCCTGTCTACTTCTGCAGCACTTCCCAGCCCAAGAGCCCTTGGAGGGCATTTGTGACCTGGAGCATTAGGAGGGTCAGTCTGTCTGGGCTGAGTAATGGTCCAGGCCCTGGTCAGCTCAGGCTGTGTGTGTGTGTGTGTGTGTGTGTGTGTGTGTGTGTGTGTGTGTGAGAGAGAGAGAGAGAGAGAGAGAGCGCACGCGCTTAGTAATCAGATAATTCCGGTCATTCCAACCATCCAAATCCCTTTCTGATCCATTTCTCCTCCCTCCCAGTCGAGCTTTCTGAAAACCTCACCGCGCATGACCCTCCACTTGGTGACTCTACCCCCTTCCATCTCCTCCTCCTCATTGCATGGTGACTCGCACCTGACCAACCTGCTCCTCTCCACCTTCTGTCACTTCAGCACCGTAGATGCACCACACACTCTGGTTCCCAGTCCTCTATCATGTTGACAACCATCCTCTCCCTCCTCAACACCTCAGCTACTGACACCCACAGCCTAACTTCACAAGTAAATGCACCACCTTCAACAGCTTGCTTGGGAGCCTGAAGCTCGGTCATCATAAGCCCCCATGGTTCTTGCTCACTATAGAATCCTGGCTCCAACTCCTCCATTCACTGGGCGTGGTCTGTAGGGCCAACGTCTCACTTTCTTCCTCATTGGGCTAGCCCCACTTGCTTTCCAATGACCTTACCTACTTTGCATACTTTGTCTTCACTGGGGCGAAACGTCAGCACTGGTTAACCAGAACCATCAACCCCATCAGACCTGAGGAGCAGGTGCTGAGGGACAGCAACGTCACAGCCAGGAAGACCCTTCCGAAATGTCAGATGAGCAGCAGCCCTACCCTGCAGGCTCACCACAATCCTTGGACAAGTTCACACTCCTCCCCTAAATGGTCTACTTCCACCCTCCCCTTTCTCAAATCCTCTCTCCCACCCACCTCAAGCTCTGCAGAGACCCACTGTTCCTGGAGAAAGGTAGAAGCAAAGTCCCTCACTCCTAGGGGTGGTGCTGGAACCCTCTTGGGCTCAGGATCTTGAACCACAATAAAGCCCAAAGCCATTGCCACCCCTCCTAGCCACCCCATGAACTCTAAACCTCAGCATGCGTTGCCAGCCTGGCCTTTATGTGGAGCAAAGGGGCTTCATGGAAAGTGATGAGAAAGCATCATTCATTTCCCCTACAGTGGGGTTAGTTCTTCCCTTTTCCCTCCTCTGCATGGCAGGCACCCACTGCAGACCAGCCACCTGCAGGGAGACGCGTCCTGATACATTTCTCTCTTTTCTTCTCCAAGCTCTTTTGTTTCTTCAGCTCCACCCTTTGCTGTGGGTTTTGGCCACACCCAGGGTGGAGCTAAGGAGGGTGGGGCAGCAGGATTCTCACATAACTTGGAACTTTGTGATGATCTGGAATCAGCCCTCTCTGAAGCAAGTTCTTTCCTCCCTGTAAGGAACTTCGTAGGTTTTTTTCAGAGACTCCTTAGTCTCTGGGGCTCTCTTTCCAGCTGGTCACTCAAGACACCTTCCTGAGCCTTTATATGATGAAGGAGCCTCAGACTTACTGTGCTGCGGAGTTTTGCTCTTCAGGCAGCTCTCTTGGGTGGGATATCAAATGACCCCAGCCAGCTTTCTCAGTGGAGCCGCCCAAATCAGGTCCTTGGGAAACACTCCCACGTTCCCTTTGCCCCTCAAGGTATCATGCAGGCCCCTCCCAGCAACCCTCTCAAAAACCTTCTCACCACTAGCCTTTTCTCAGCCTTTGAAACCTCTTTCTAGGTCAAAGATAGGAGGCCAGCTAGGGTCACAAAACCAGTCTTTGGCAGCCTCCTTCATAAGGGAGTCTCGAGCATGACTTGGGAATCAGCCCGTATCTATCCTTCAGCACCCTTTCAAAATCCTGCAGTGCCTGGTTGTGTGCGCGATGAAGTTTAGTGCTTCATGGCTGCTGTGCTTCTAAAGCAGGAAGGCAGCAGAAAGCAAGGAAACACTCATCCTAAAGGGGAATACACAACCTGATAATTTAACATTAGCAAAGGTTCGACCCACTCCTCAGGCCCAGAAAGGCTGCCCCATTGCAGGCTGTATGGGATTTTACACCACAATAGAAATGAATATATTTGTATACACCAGGTGTATACAAATAACACCCGTATGGTGCCCCCTGGCTCATATTAATGTCTAGAAACCTGCATGTGAGAAGAGGTGGTGATGATGACTGTGGTTTGGCTGGGCTGTGCACCCCACTTGCCTGGGGAGAGCTTTCCAGATGGTGAAGCCCCTGCACCCATCAATCAAGGTGCAGTCTGAGAACAGAAACCACTTGTTCTTTCAAGCAGAGAAGGATTCAGGGCAAAGAACTATTTACCAAGGTATTGCAATGGCTGGTGGGTGTGGCTGGAGGGGTGCCAGAGGGGGAAAATAGAGGAGGGTTAACTAGAGATGAAGAAGTCATTACCGACCCGGCTGGCCCCAAGCCTACACCAGCTACCCGTTGCCCCGGGAGCCAGAGGCTGCTGCTGTGGCCAGCATGGACAGCACTAAACCAAAGCCGCCTCTGTTCTCCACTGCTGGCAGGACCAAGCTGAGACCAGGACCAAAACTGTGGGATGTGTTGGCCACATACTTCCAGCCCCACAGCACACAGCAGGCATGGAGGGCGGGTACAGGGCCCAGCAGGACAGAAAATCTGCTGGAGCAGATTCCTGGGAACAGCGTGTCCCTCCTCTTCAGAGGTCTCCTCTTCTTTTCTGAAGCTTTACAGATAGATTATAGAAAATGACCAGCATGCATGGTAAGTCATTGACAAACTCAGAAAAAAGATCTTGGAGGAGACTCTTGGAGGTCACTCAGTCCCCCCTTGGCAATCCCTCTAGAGTTTCACAGATAAGGAATTAATAGTAAAAATAATAATAGTTACTTTTTTTACATATAAAATATATGTAATTTTATATGTAAAAATTTACATATAAAATATTTCTTAGACACTTAGGGAACTCTACCTCATTTATTTCCCAGGACAATCCTATGAGGTGATTACTCTAATTGCCTTTATGTTACAGATGAGGAAACTGAGACTCCAAGAGGCCAACTCACTTGCCTCAGATGCCCTGGCCAGGAGGGGACAGCCTCAGCAGGACAGTCCATGCTAGATGACCCCTGGTCTGGCATGATTTCCATTACGCCAGTGCATTGCATAGCAGACAAGCTCAATCGGAAATGCTCTCCTAGACCCAGGCTTAGGGTCTGAAAGGTGGTTACAGACCATTACAGACCACTTTTCCACTTTTCAAGTTGAAAAGAGCCATTGCTTTGAAAATACTTGTGGATTAGATTGAAATGCCAACGGCAGAGTATGAAGACCAGGCCACAAAAGGAAAGGTTCATTCACCTTGCGCCCTCTTGTGGAGAAGAAGGCAAAGAATACTATAATACTACCTCAGAAAACGGGAATTTAGTTCATCCTCTTCCTCTAACATACAGTTGCAATACAATGTAATGATATGTCTTCATCATAGTATGATTTTGCAAATTTTTTCACAAATGAACCAGGTAGATTGTATTGTATAATTATTTTTCCTTGTCTGGAAACATCCTTCTGTGTTTTTGCTCCTGAAAAATCATAACCTTGCTTTATTTTTTTGCTTAGTTTTCTAGGTACTTATCAAAATTAATGCTTAAAATCTCTACTGAAGCTGTATGGTCCTCTCAATATTGTTAAACAAGTCTGAATTCTCCAATAATTCTCCTTCTGAAAAATTACTGGAGTTATTCTCAGTGCTACTGCTCAAATTGAGACTACTTTTTCATTTGTTGCACAGCTAACATCCTGGAATTCCACATTTGCATGTCTTTTGATAAATAAAAATCCCAATTTTTAATAAGCTGAATTTATCATTTTTTCTTTCCCTTTGAGATTAGAGTTTTAGTGTCATATTTCTAAAATCTCTCCCTATCCCAATATCTTGAAAATGTTTTTATATTATATTCCATCATCTTTAATATTTTGCTTTTTACAATTAGGTTTATAATTAACTTGAAAATGATTTTGTGTATGGTATGAAGTAGGGGTCAATTTTATTTTCCATTTTCCATTTAGATAATTGATTCAGCATCATTTATTGAAAAAAAAACTTTCTCCCACTCTTCTGCAAAGATCTTTGTGTCACATGTCAAGCCACCCATGTATGTATGAATCTTTTCCTGGTACCTTTAATTTCTTCCATTGGTATGTTTATTTGTCTTACATTAACACCATACTTTTTTAGTTATTACAACCTTTTAATGAATCAATGAATCTTCTTTTTTTTTTTTTTTTTTTTTTTTGAGATAACAGGGTCTCACTCTTTTGCCCAAGCTGGAGTGCAATGGCACAAATATGGCTCAACCTCCTGGGCTTAAGCAGTCCTCCGGCCTCAACCTCCCACGTAGCTGGGACCACAGGTGCATGCCACCATGTCTGGCTAATTTTTAAAAACTTTTTTTAGAGACAGGGTCTCTCTTTGTTGCCCACGCCTGTTTAAAACTCCTGGGCTCAAGCAATCCTCCTGCCTCAGCCTTCCAAAGTACTAGGATTGCAAGCGTGAGTCACCACGCCTGGCCCGTTTAATGAATCTTGATAACCAGTAGAGCAAGTCTTATCACCTACATTCTCCTTTCAAGAGTGTCTTTGCTCTTCTTAACTCTGTATTTCCATATAAATGTTAGTATTCATTTTTCAATTTCCATAAAAAGTGTTTCAATTTTTATTGGGATTACATTAAGTCTACAAGTTAATTTGGGAAAAATTGCCATTTTTACAATATTAGGTTACGATAGGTTACAATTAAGGTATAATCAGTCCATGAATATGGAATTCACTCCAGTTATTTAGGTCTTCTTTAATGTGTTTCAGTAAATTTTTTTTACTGGTTTCTCAATAATTTTATCCATAAATATTGTTTTATAGGCTCTGTTCATTTTTTTAATTGTGTTAAAATATACATGACATAAAATTTACAATCTTAACTATTTTTAAATGCACAGTTTAGTAGTGTCAACTACATTCACATTGTGCAAACAATCTCCAGTACTCCTGTAATTCTGCAAAAGTGAAACCTTATACCCATTAAACAACTGCCCATTGCCACCTCCCCCTCCGCCCAGTCCCTGGCAATCACCATTCTACTTTCTGTCTCTATGAATTTGACTACTCTAGGTACCTCATATAAGAAGAATAATTCAGTGTTTGTATTTTTTGTGATTGGCTTTTTTTCCCTTGGCATCATGTCCTCAGGATCACCCATGGTGTACCATGTGTCAGAATTTTCTTCCTTTTGAAGGTTGAATAATAGTCCATTATACTAAATACCATAGGTTGTTTATCTACTCATCCATTGATAGACATGTGTGTTGCTTCCTCCTTTTGGCTATTGTGAATAATGCTGGCTATTGTGAATAATGCTGCTACTAACATGGGTGTCCAGATATTTCTTCAAGATCCTGCTTTCAATTCTTTTGGGTATATACCCAGAAGTGGAATTGCTGGATCATATGGTAATTTTATTTTTAGTTTTTTGAGGAACCACTGTTTTCCATAGCAGTTGCACCATTTTACTTTTCTATCAATAATGCACAAGAGTTCCAGTTTCTCCACATTTTTGCCAACGCTTGTTATTTTCCAGTTGTTTGCTTTGGTTTTTTGCTAGTAGCCATCCTAATGCATGTGAGGTGGTATCTTGTGGTTTTGATTTTCATTTCCCTAATTAATGGTGTTTAGCATTTTTTCAGGTGTTTGTTAGACCATTTGTATATCTTCCTTGGAGAAATATCTACTCAAGACCTTTGCCCATATTTTAATTGGTTGTTTGTTGTTGTTGCATTGCAGTTCTTTATGTATTCTGGATATTAAACCCTGTCTGAAATGATTTGCAAATATTTTCTCAAGTTCTATAGGTTGCCTTCTCACTCTGTTGATTGTATCCTTTGATGCACAGGAGTTTTAAAGTTTGATGTAGTCCAGTTTATCTATTTTGGCTTTGTTGCCTGTGCTTTTGGTTTCATATTGAATAAATCATTGCCAAATCCAATGTCTTGAATATTTTCCCCTGTTTTATTCTGAGAGTTTTATAGCTTTAGCTATTGCATTTAGGTCTTTAATTCATTTTAAGTTAATTTTTGTATGATGTGTAAGGGTCCAACTTTATTCTTTTGCATATGGATATCCAATCTTCCCAGCACTATTTGTTGAAAAGACTTTCCCCACTGGATGGTCTCAGCATCCTTGTTAAAAAGCATTTGACTATGTGTGGGGTAGTTTGTTTCTGAGCTCTCTATTCTATTCCTTTGGTCTGTAGGTCTGTCTTTACACCAGTACCATACTGTTCTGATTACCGTATTTTTGGAATAAGTTTTGAATTTAGGAAGTATGAGACCTCCAAATTTGTTCTGTTTCAAGATTGTTCTCATTATTTGGGAGTGCTTCAGATTCCCTCAATTATATTTCAAAACTTTTTGCTTAGAAGTCATGCCTATATGTCAACCTACAGAATGGGAGAAAATTTTTGCAATCTACTCATCTGACAAAGGGCTAATATCCAGAATCTACAAAGAACTTAAACAAATTTACAAGAAAAAAACAAAAAACCCCATCAACAAGTGGGCGAAGGATATGAACAGACACTTCTCAAAAGAAGACATTTATGCAGCCAACAGACACATGAAAAAATGCTCATCATCACTGGCCATCAGAGAAATGCAAATCAAAACCACAATGAGATACCATCTCACACCAGTTAGAATGGCGATCATTCAAAAGTCAGGAAACAACAGGTGCTGGAGAGGATGTGGAGAAATAGGAACACTTTTACACTGTTGGTGGGATTGTAAACTAGTTCAACCATTGTGGAAGACAGTGTGGCAATTCCTCAAGGATCTAGAAATAGAAATACCATTTGACCCAGCCATCCCATTACTGGGTATATACCCAAAGGATTATAAATCATGCTGCTATAAAGACACATGCACACATATGTTTATTGCAGCACTATTCACAATAGCAAAGACTTGGAACCAACCCAAATGTCCATCAATGATAGACTGGATTAAGAAAATGTGGCACATATGGACCATGGAATACTATGCAACCATAAAAAAGGATGAGTTCATGTCCTTTGTAGGGACATGGATGAAGCTGGAAACCATCATTCTGAGCAAACTATCGCAAGGACAAAAAACCAAACACCGCATGTTGTCACTCATAGGTGGGAATTGAACAATGAGAACACATGGACACAGGAAGGGGAACATCACACACCAGGGCCTGTCATGGGGTGGAGGGATGGGGGAGGGATAGCATTAGGAGATATACGTAATGTAAATGACGAGTTAATTGGTGCAACACAACAACATGGCACATGTATACATAACAAACCTGCACATTGTGCACATGTACCCTAGAACTTAAAGTATAATAAAATAAATAAATAAAGAAGTCATGCCTATCTTTTGTTACATGCTTTAGGTGTTTAATTTCTAATGACTATTTAAAGGAAATTTTTTTTACTTCCCAACCTGTTGCTGAAATGTAAAAATGCAGTTGCTTGTTGTATATTGAACTTGTTAAAGCTCTTAATTTATCTATAGGTTATCTACAAATATTACCATGTCTTATTAAAAAATCCTTTTTTTTTTTTTTTTGAGAGAGAGTTTTGCTCTAGTTGCCCAGGCTGGAGTGCAGTGGCATGATCTCAGTTCACTGCAACCTTTGCCTCCTAGGTTCAAGCAATTCTCATGCCTCAGCCTCTTGAGTAGCTGGGACTACAGGCACCCGCCACCACATCTGGCTAATTTTTTGTATTTTTAGTAGAGACTGGGTTTCACCATGTTGGCCAGGCTAGTCTCGAACTCCTGACCTCAGGTGATCCACCTGCCTCCCAAAGTGCAGGGATTACAGGCATGAGCCTCCACACCCAGCCAAAAGTCCTCCTTTCTAATCCTTAGCTTTTAAATTTTTTCCTTGCCTTTGTCTCTGCCAGGATCTCTAAGACAATGTTGAGTATAGGTAGTAACAGTGGAATCCTTGTCTTGTTTCTCAGATCCTTGTCTTGTTTCCCATGTCTAGAAGAAAGCTTGATCATCTCATTATTAAAGGTAATGTTTGCTGTGGGTCTTTTGTGAATACTCTTTATTGTATTAAGGATTTTTCCTTCTATTTCTAGTTTGCTAAGAGGTTGGTTTTTTCTTTTCAACATAGATAGAGATTTGATTTTATTAAATGCCTTTTCTGTATCTATTAAATCATATGATTTTTCTTCTTTGTTTTGTTAATATAGTGGATTGCATTTAATAATTTTCCAATAGTATTAAGTAAACCTTGCATTCCTGGAATGAACCCATTTCATCATGTTGTATGTATTGCTGAGGGATTTTGCTAATATTTTATTTAGATTTTTGTAACTGTATTCATTAGTGAAATTACCTTGCCATTTTTTTCTTTTTTTTGTAATGTTTTTATTAGCTTTTGGCATTTCAGGGTTATCCTGGCCTTATAAAATAAGAATGAGAATATTTTCTATTTTTCTAACATCTGTAAGAATGTTTGAGGTTGGCACTATTTCCTCTTTAAATGTTCGGGAAGATTTCATTAGTGAAACTATCTAGGCTTGTAGTTTTTGTGGGGTGGGGGGATGATTTAAAATTATAGATTCAATTTCCTTAGCAGTATTGGGCATTTAATGTTTCCTATTTCTACTTCTATCAGTAAATTGGAAAATTGTATTTTCAAGGAATTTCAAATGAATATTTCTAAATTTCAAATTGTTATTCTTTTAATCTCTGCCAATCTGTAACCATGTCTCCATTCTCATTTCTAATGCCAGTTATTCATAGGGCTATCATACATCTCGATTTGCCTGAAATGGACCTGATGTGTATGGGACAGTCCCAGTTTATATCTATTTTCCTGGCATCCTATTTAGTTTAGCATTTTTCCCTAGAGAAACAAAATTTAACTATCATCAATAGTTGAATTTAAATAAGCCATAATGGTTTTGGTCAATTTTCACTTTGGAATTCATTCAGGCTTCAGCCATGATGTGGCCCAGTAGCGTATAAGACACATGTGCACTGAGCAGCTTCCATCACGACTTTTGGCCACAGGGCTGGTGACAGATACAATGCTTTCAGGGCCTCTCTCAGCTGGAGGGCTGCCTTGCCTAAGGTCCTGTTCTTCCTCCAGTGGTCCATATTCAACAACTGGTGGGGGGGTAAAGATCTGGACATTGTGGCACAAACAGGACAACTCTGACAGGTCATTTTAATAGCAGAGTTCCCTGTGGGGTTGATTAAGGCTGCCATTGGGTTGTATCACAGCCCATCCGGCCCTTTGCTCTCTCACCTTTCCTTCCTTTTCCTCCCGCACACATTGATCCCAAAGACATTCCTCAAACAGACTGCTCGGTCAACTTCATCTCAGAATCTGTTTCCGAAAGAACCCAACCCAATCCAACTATAAATTGATCATAGCTGAGGAAGCTTTGAAGCTCCTTCAAAGCTTCTTCCAGCTTTAAAAAAGGATTGCAGGCAATTTTATATAGGTGCTAAAAATAATATGATCATGTTGAAAAAAATGCACCTGTCAAAAAAATTCAGTGACTGCTTTGCTATACATACTCTTTTTATTTTTTAAAAAAGAATTTTTGAGAATAGTTTTTGAATAAAAGTATTTTATAGGTTCACTGGTATAATAAAATTAATTTGTTAATTAATAAAGGTTTCAAAAAAGTATATAATTACATTCAGTGGCCTTTCTCAGTGTAAACATGCCCTGGTGTAGACATAAATTACAGTCACTCTTATTAATTGTGTCTTCTCTTTTTTTCTTGAAGGGTCTCACCAGTGGTTTATTGATTGGATGTCTTTGAAAGAACTATAGCTTTGTTATCATTTTTATTGTATGTATTGTATTACATACACATTACATTATGTATTGTATTACATACACATATACATTATGTATTGTATTACAATAAAAATGTAATACATTTTTATTGTATTTATCATTTTATTGTATGTTTTCTTTTTTTATTGTTTTTATTTTATTTCTAATATGTTCTTTCTTCTACTGTATTTTGCTATATTTTATTGTTCTTTTTCTTTTTTTTTTTTTTGAGACGGAGTCTGGCTCTGTCGCCCAGGCTGGAGTGCAGTGACGCCATCTCGGCTCACTGCAAGCTCCGCCTCCCGGGTTCACGCCATTCTCCTGCCTCAGCCTCCCGAGTAGCTAGGACTACAGGCGCCCACCACCACGCCCCGCTAATTTTTTGTATTTTTAGTAGAGACGGGGTTTCACCATGTTAGCCAGGATGGTCTCGATCTCCTGACCTCGTGATCCGCCCACCTCGGCCTCCCAAAGTGCTGGGATTACAGGCGTGAGCCACGGCACCCAGCCTATTGTGCCTTTTCTAACCTTTTGAAATGAATGCTTTCTTTGTTAATTTTCACCTTTTATGCACTAAAGATTACAAGTTTTCTTTTCAGTACTGCCTTAGCTACATCTTACATTTTAATGTGTAGTATTTTACTACCATTTACTTATTTTAATTGGGAGTTAATTGTTATTCATTTTAGTATTTTTAATTTATATTTAAATTACTTTAAATTGACAAATAAATTGGATATATTCATCATGTACCACGTGATGTTTTGAAATATGTATACATTGTAGAATGGCTAAATCAAGCTAATTAACATACTCATTACCTTACATACTTATCACTGTGGTGAGAACATTTAAAATCTACTCTTGGTGATTCAAGATATCACCATTTAATTTAAAATGTTTTATAATATTCATTGTAAATTATTTTTGGACACATGGATTATTTAGAAATATATTTTATAATCTCCAAACATAAGAATATTTTTAAAGTTGTCTTTTTGTAATTTTGTAATTAATTTCTAGCTTAATTGCATTGTGGTAAGCAAACATTCTGTATAATTTTAATCCTGTGAAAATTGTGTATGATTTTCAACCCTGTGAGATTTGTTGAGACTTACTTTAGAGCCCAGCATATGGTCAGTTTTGGTGAAGATTCCATGCGTCCTTGAAAAGAAAATGTATTCAGCAGTTGTTGGGTGCAGTATTCTGTATATTCTGTATATATTAAATATATATTCTATATTCTGTATAGAAATCCAGTTTATTAATTGAATTGTTCAAATCTTCTAAATTTTTGCTGAGTTTTTTGTCTGCTCAATTCTATGTTTCCAAGAGAAATACAGGATATTAGCTACAAGACTTCTGTACATGCTAAATAACAGTGACTTAAACAAGACAGAGAGTTTATTTCCCCTTGGTGTGAAAGTCTCAGTAGGTGGGTGAACAAGGAGTGTATGTGTCTCTGCAACTTACTATTATTCAGGGATCCAGGTTATTCTATCTGTGGCTTCAGCCAACCCCTACAGGGTTGTTCACATCTACCAGGTAGAAATAGGCCAATCATTTGCATGACCATTTTCTACTTTATAGAAATAAAATGTAAGCTGAGAGCAAGGAGCTTTCTTTTCAGGATATGAGTGGGAAGTTACTTACACACATGGTCACACCTTGCTGCATGGGGGGCTGGGAGGTGTTTTGCCCTTGAGTGGCTGTATTCATTTCCTACTGCTGCTGTTACAAATTACCACAAACGTGGTGACTTAAAACAGCATGAATTTATTGTTTTACAGTTCTAGAAGTTAGAAGTGTAAAATGGTCTAACTTGGCTAAAACAAAGGTGTTGTCAGGGCTGTGCCAACAGCCTTGGAGCCTTCTAGAGGCTACATGAGAGAATCTGTTTCCTTGTCTTTTCCAGCTTCTAGAGATCGCCTACATTCCATGGCTCATGGCCCCTTCTTCCACCTTCACGTCCAGCAATGTAGCACATTCGTTTCTCTGACTCCAACCTCTTCTTCTGCCTCCCTCTTCCATTTAAAGACCCTGTGCTTACACTGGACCCACCAGGATTATCCAAGATAATTTCTTATTTTTAAAGTTAGTTAATTAGCAACCTTAATTCCATCTGCAATCTTAATTCCCCCATGCCAGGCAACATAACATAGTCACAGGTTTCAGGGATAGAACATGGCCATCTTTGGAGAACATTAGTCTGTCTACCACACCTGCCATTCTCAATGTGCTTGCATTTCATTTTTTGCTTTATTATCTCATGATTTCCAAACCGTGCAGCTTCAAGCATCACTTTCTTACACAACTGCATTGAAGTCAGGAAGAAAATGGCAAGGGGGAAAGGGCTTTCCTTTTATCAGGAGCAAAGTCTTTCCCAAATGCTTTCCAGGTCATTTTTTCCTTTGTTCTCATTGCTAATAACTGGATCTCTTGGCCATTCATCCTAGCAACAAATGAGGCTGGAAATGTAAGTAGGTAATAAAAAGAGAAGGAGTTGGATTACAATGACTGGTTTCAAAAAGAGAGAACTGCTATTGGGCAGGCATCTAATGGTGCCTGCTCAGAAAGCCACCAGCTCCTAAGCTTTAGTCACCTGCCTTCCCGTTTTCTAGTTTTCTCATTCTACTAGCCTGTCACACTTTAACTCATGCTAGCATGCATTTTCCCCACTAACTATTGTTTATGCTATGAACTTTGTATTTGAGATCCTTCAGATGTCAGCTTTGAATTTTCAAAGATGAATTTTTATAACTCAAGAAAAGAAAGGAAAGGAATGAGGAAATTTCTCAAAAAGCCCACTATTTAAAAAGATAAATGTTCTATTGGAATTTTTAAAATATTGGTTTTAAAGACTATTGTTCCCACTATGTGGTTAAAAAAACTATTTGGAAAAACTCTAAGCTTTTCTGTCCCTTGAAACAATACCCACTTCAGGCTCATGACTTGAGTGATAGAAAGGCTATGAGGTGAGAAGGAAATTTACTGAGAACAGCATCATCAGAAGTTGCTGTTTCAGAGTCTTATCCTATCACAAACGTCTCTACTTAATGCCTCCTTTCTGCTCCTCTAATTTAGTCATCAGCTGATTGCAATCTTCACGTTCACTCAAAGCCTTCCCTGTAAACAGTTCTAGGAAAGGGGACCAAGGATCTTCATACTGTCCAATTCGATGAAGATTTTCTTGGTCCTGGGCAAAGAAGCCCTGGAAGAAGCCCCCATGGCAGACTCCTAGGACCTAGGAGAGGCCTCTGCTCCTGAAGCCACTGAGGAGCAAGCCTCCAGCCTCCAGGATGCTCTGAAGCACAAAAGGAATGAATCCTGGAGAGGAGCTCAGCCCTAGCTCAATGGTTAACAGGCACTTCCTGTCTGCAGAGAGGATTCAGTGGGATGGTGTGTATGAGGCACTTGTCACAGTAGTATCAAGTGCCTATGAAATGTGAGCTATTTTGTTGCTAGGATTAGTAAGTTGATTTCTGATACAGGAAAAGGAGAATCTACTACTTACGCTCCTTGGCTGTCTTGTGTGGGAAACAATTTGGAAATGTATAAAATCTGTATTCCTCTCCAGCCTTCATTATCTCAGAGGAAAGAGTGTCTCTCTTTCTATAGCACTATAGAAAGGTGGTCACTGTCACTATAAGGCAGTTCCTTCAGCAGGGAAAATATCTTTTGTTAACTGTAATTGGAGCCACATTTTAATAATGTTAGAAGTTCAGTCTCCTTATTCTGAGTTCCTCTAAGTGCTCTATAAAACAAAGCATTATTTTAAAATAAATGTGACTATGTGCATGATAGTGTTACAGCAGCCTTGCAAATTACTTAGGAAATTTCATTATGTTTCCATGTATAAAACTATGTTATTAAGTATTGCCCTCCTTTAGGAGACATCTATGACCCAAGGAAGTTTTGCAATTTGCCATTCCTAAATGATTTCTGAGGAGGGAAACTCAGAGTAATAACTGTTTTGCTGTTTCACTCCACAGCCATGATGACTGTTGAATTTTAATAAAGGTACTGTACTGGGTTGCAAATGAAAGAGAAATAAGTATAAATATAAAGGAAGAAGAGAACACTATCCACAGAGAGCAGGAATTCCAGCCTGGAGTGAAGTAACTGCCATGAACCACGTGTCTTTCCAAAACATGCCAGGAAATTTTGCTATCCAGATTCACCTGGACCTCGTAAGTCTCTTTCTGGACCCTTCAAGGACCCTGTCAACAGTGGCTGAAACCAGAAATGTACCTGAAAGGGCAGCTTCTAGTAGAACTGTAACAGTTTCTGGCCTTTCTGTCTAGGGAGCTTCAGCCCACCTCCAGGAACAGAGACCATAGATTGAAGAAGCTGAAAGTCTGCTGGAGATCTGTTTTTCCAAGAGTGGTTCAAGAATCATTAGGGCACTCCAGTAAGAGCTCATTGTGGCTTTATTTTTTTATTTTATTTTATTTTATTTTGAGACGGAGTCTCGCTCTGTTGCCAAGGCTGGAGTATTGTGGCACAATCTCGGCTCACTGCAACCTCTGCCTCCCGCGTTCAAGCGATTCTGCTGCCTCACCCTCCCGAGTAGCTGGGATTACAGGCACACGCCACCACACCCAGCTAATTTTTGGATTTTTAGTAGAGACGGGGTTTCGCCATGTTGGCCAGGCTGGTCTCGAATCCCTGACCTCAGGTGATCTGCCCACCTTGGCCCCCTAAAGTGCTGGAATTACAAGCGTGAGCCACCGTGGCCGGCCCCGGCTAGCTTTTGTATTTTTGGTAGAGACGGGGTTTCACCATGTTGGCCAGGATGGTCTCAAACTCCTGGCCTCAAGTGATCCAATCGCCTCAGCCTCCCAAAGTGCTGGGATTACAGGCGTGAGCCACTGTGCCCAGCACCTCATGGTGGCTTTAAAATGCAATTTATCTAATGACTAATAATGTTGACCAAATTTCATGTGTTTATTTACCTTTTTTTTTAAATAGATTGTCTTATGGTTTGTAAGAGTTTTACATATTCTGAATACAAATCCCTCATCAGATATATGTTTTGCAAATATTTTCTGTGTCTTCCTTAATAGTGTCTTTTGAAGAGCAAAATGTTTTCATTTTTGATGTAGTTCAATTTATCTATTTTTTCCTACGGTTCTTACTTAGTGTGCCCTATCTAAGAAACCTCTAACTAACCCAACATCACAAAGATTCTTTTTCTAGATTTTCTCCTAGGGGTTTAAGTTTCAGCTGTTATATTTTTAGGCTAGTTATCCGTTTCAAGATAATTTTGTATATGATATAAGGTAAGGGTCTATATCATTTTTTAGTATACTTTCCTATTACAGAACACTCCAACTTTCCTTTTAGAGAACTAACAGGGTAAGGGGGACAGATACCACACACAGGAGTCAGAGGAAACCTTCCTTGAAGTGGGGGTGAATTATAATGCTTTTGTGCAAAATTACAGGCCACTTTTGAATCACCTAGGCTGTTCAGGAAATCTCAGTGCTTTCGTATGATTTGAGGTGGTCCTGGATAGGGAGACTTCCTGCTGTTTTGTAAGTGGCAAATAAATATCTTCTCTGGAGGAAGGTACCATCATCCTCATCTCAAATTATTTCTACAAGTAACTTCAGTTATAGTCAAAAGTCACAAAACATGTAAGAAAACTAGAATCCTTGAGAAAGAAACAGCAAATGCAACAATTTCAGATGCTAAAAATATCAGATACAGACTACAAAACAATTATATATACTATGGTTTTTAAGAAAGACAATTCAACAAAAGAAAATTAATAAATGTAATTACACCATATCAATAGAATAAAAAGCAAAACCCACATGACCATCTCAATAGACACACAAAAAAATTCACCAAAAATTCAATATCCTTTCATGAGAAAAACAAACCTAGAAATTGAAGGGAACTTCCTTAACCTAATATAGAGCATTTATGAAAACCCATAGCTGGCCAGGCGCGGGGATGAAAAACCCGCACCTGGCCAGCTATGGGCCACACTTTTCATCCCAGCACTTTGGGAGGCCAAGGCGGGTGGATTGCTTGAAATCAGGAGTTTGAGACCAGCCTGGGCAACGTGGTGAAACCCCATCTCTACAACACAAAAGTTAGCCAGCCATGGGGGTGTGCACATTTGGGCTCAGCTACTCGGGAACCTGAGGTGGGAGGATCACCTGAGCCTGAGGAGGTCAAGGCTGCAATGAGCCATGATTGGGCCACTGTACTCCAGCCTGGGCAACCGAGTGAGACCTTGACTCAAAAAAACAACAACAACAAAACTCTCATAGCTAACATCACACTAAATGGTAAAAAATGGAAAATTTTCCCCCTAAAATCAGGAATAAGACAAAGATGTTCATTTTCACCACACCTATTCGATATTGTACCGCAGGTTCTAGCCAGGGAAATTGGGCAAGAAAATGAAATAAAAAGCACCCTGATTGGAAAGGAAGAAGTAAAGCTATCTTTATTTTCCAATGATATGAATAATACAAAGAACATTCTACCGGCCTGGGCAACAAAGCAAAAGTCGTCGCTACACAAAAATTAAAAAATTAGCCAGGCATCATGGCACATGCCTGTAGTACCCCCTACTCAGGAGACTGAGATGGGAGGACTGTTTGAAGCTGGGAAGTCAAGGCTGCAGTGAGCTGTGATTGTGTTACTGCATTCCAGCCTGGGCAACAGAGCAAGATCCTGTTCCTAAAAATAAGAAAAGAAAAATTCTAAAGAAGCCACCACCCGCCTCGGCCTCCCAAAGTGCTGGGATTAGAGGTGTGAGCCACCGGAAGGCAGGTGGATCACCTGAGGTCAGGAGTTTGAGACCAGCCTGGCCAACATGGTGAAACCCCGTCTCTACTAAAAATACAAAAAATTAGCTGAGCGTGGTGGTCCATGCCTGTAATCTCAGCTACTCAGGAGGCTGAAGCAGGAGAATCACTTGAACCTGGGAGGCATAGATTGCAGTGAGCCGAGATTGCGCCATTGTATACCAGCCTGGGAGACAAGAGTGAAACTCCATCTCAAAAAAAAAAAAAGAAAAAAAAAAGAAACCACCAAAGGAACTATTAGAACTAATAAATAATAAACAATTTCAGCAATGTTGCTGAACCCTTGTAATTGATACAAGATCAATATACAAAAATCAACTGTATTTCTATACAGCATCAATGAGTAATCCAAAAATAACATTAGGCATTCCATTTACAATAGCCTCAAAAATAATGAAATACTTAGGAATAAATTTAACAAAATAAGTCTGAAGGCTTGTATACTGAAAACTACAAAACACTGTTGACAGAAATTAAAAAGACTTTAAAAAACAGAGAGGCATTCTATGTCCATGGATTGGAAAACATACGATATTAAGGTGGCAATACTCCCCCAACTGATCTACAGATTCAGCACAATGCCTATCAAAATCACTGCTGCCTGTTTTAGAAAAACTGACAAGCTGATTCCAAAATTCATGTGGAAATGCAAGGGACCCAGAATAACCAAAACAATCTTGGAAAAGAATGAAGTTGGAGAATTTACACTTCTTGATTTCAAAACTTACCACAAATTTGCAGTAATCAAAACTATGTGGTACTGGCATAAGGACAGATACATTGATCAACAGAATGACATTGAAAGTCCAGAAATAAATTCATATGTTTATGGTCAACTGATTTTTGACAAAGGTGCCAAAACAATACAATGGGACAGAATGGGTTTTTCAACAAATGGTTCTGGGACAACTGGATTGCCACATGAAAAAGGATGAAGTTGCACCCATACCACACATACCACATACAAAAATTAACTCAAAATGGATCTAAGACCTAAATGCAAGAGCTAAGGGCATAAAGTTCTCAGGAAAAAAATAGGAATAAATCTTTATGACCTCGGATTGGGCAGTGGTTTCTTAAATAGGACACCAAAACACAAACAACTAAAGAAAAAAAATTGAACTTCATCAAAATTAAAAACTTACATGCTTCAAAGTAACTATCAAAAAAGTGAAAAGACAACCCACTAAGAAGAAGAAAGTATTTGCAAATTATATATCTGATAACAGACTAGTATCCAGAGTACACAAAGCACTCTCACAACTGAATAATACAAAGACAAACAGCTCAATTTTAAAATGAACAAAGAATTTGAATAGACATTCCCCAAAGAAATAATATAAATGGATGATAAGCACTTTAAGATATGCCCAACATCATTAATCGTTAGGGAAATGCAAGTCAAAACCACAATGAAATACCACCTTAAAACCACTAGGATGGCTATAATAATAATTTTAAAATAGAAAATAAGTGTTGGCAAGCATGTGGACAAGTTGGAACCCTCATACACTGGTGGTGAAAATATGAAATTGTGCAGCCACTGTGGAGCATAGCTAAGCAGTTCCTCAAAAGGTTAAACAGAGAGTTGCCATAAGATCCAACAATTCCACTCCTAAGTATATATGCAAAAGTATTGGAAACATATGTTCACACAAAAACTTGTATACCAACGTTCGTAGCAGCATGATTTAGAATGCCCCCAAAGTGGAAACAAGCCAAATGTCCATTAACTGATGAATAGACAAAATGTGATATAGCCATACGATGGAATATTATTTGACAATAAAAAGAAATGAAGTACTGATCCATGATACATGATGAACCTTGAAAACATTATGGTAAGGGAAAGAAGCCAAACCCAAAAGGACACATGTATGATTCCTTTTATGTGAAATATCTTGCACAGGCAAATCCATAGTGATATAAAGTGGATTAGCGGTGGTCAAGGGCTGGGAGGTGGAGGCACTGGGGAGTGACTGATAATGGAACTTATTTGGGGTGTGATTAAACTATGCTGTAATTAGTGGTGAAGTTATACAACTTTGGGACTATACTAAAAACATTGAATCATATACTTCAAAAGCATGAATTTTTATGGCATGTATATGTTTCCTATTGCTGCTGTAACAAAATATCACAACCTGGCTGGTTTAAAACAAGACAACTTTATTATATTCCAGTTCTGGAGGTCAGAAGTCTGTTACAGGCCTCACTTTGCTAAAAGCAAAGTGTCAGCAGTGTTGCATTCCTTTCTGGAGCTTACTAGGGAAATGTTTCCTTGACTTTTCCAGCTTCTAGAGGCTGCCTGCATTCCTGGCTCATGGCCCCTTCCTTCATCTTCCAAAGAAGCAATAGCAGATTGAGTCCTTCTCACACCAATCTGACCATTCTTCTGCCTCTCTATCACTTATGTGGACCCTTTTGATTATGTTGGGCCCAACCAGACAACCCAGAATAATCTATTTCAAGGTCAGCTAGTTGGCAACCTTAAATTCACCTGTAACCTTAATTCAGTTTTGCCATGTGGTACAACATGTTCACAGGTTCCAGGGATTGGGATGTAGGTTTCTTTGGAGCGCCATTTTTCTGCTTACTACAGTAAGTAAATTATATCTCAATAAAAACATTTGTGTGAGAAAAAAAGTAAAGCAATCTTCAAGTTAAGAAATAGGAAATTATATTAAAAACTAGAAATGTATGTAGGCCGGGTGTGGTGGCTCACGCCTATAATCCAAGCACTTTGGGAGGCCGAGGTGAGTGGACCACCTGAGGTTGGGAGTTCGAGACCAGCGTAACCAACATGGTGAAACCCGATCTCTACTAAAAAATACAAAAGTTAGCCAGGCGTGGTGGTGCAGGCCTGTCTTCCCAGATACTCAGGAGGCTGAGGCAGGAGAATTGCTTGAACCCGGGAGGTGGAGGTTGCAGTGAGCGGAGAGCCACTGCATGCCAGCCTGGGTGACAGAGCGAGACTCCGTCTCAAAAAAACAGAAACTAGAAATGGGTAAAAATGGAAATTCTATAGTAACACAAAAAGTTAGATTTTTTTTTCCTAGGCAAAAAGTCTTGTCACATGTAAGGAGTTAATTTTCCGGTAATACAGTATGTTAGTGAATACATAATATGACTGATGCAGTCTGTTATTACAGAAAATGGGAATGAAAGTAATAATTGCACTTTACAATTGGATGAGCTCACTTATAATAGCTTACAGATGGCTGAAATTGTTTTGCTATTTCTCCCTTTAGGGGGTGAAGTCTAGTTCTTCTCTCCTTGAATCTGGGCTGACGTTAGTGACTTCTTTGACCAATAGGATATAGCAAAATTGTGATATTCTGGGTTGTGTGAGGCTAGGTCATAAGAAGCCTTGAAACTTCTCCCCAAGTCTTTTGGAATGCAAATTCTAGAGGAAGCCAGGCACCATGTAAGAAGTCTGACCACCCTCACATTGTCATACTTTGAGGAAGCCCAACCTGGCCACATGGAGAGGCAGCATGGAGAGATATCTGGATAGACTCCAGCTATGCAGACACGTCATGTCCAACATACTATCACATGCACCACCAGACATGTGAGTTGATAGGTCTTCAGATGATTTCAGCTTCAGGATCATCTGACTGCAGCTACTACCCACTTCCCTATTCCCTCTTCCCCAGCCCCTGGCAGCCTCCATTCTACTTTTTGGCTCTATAAATTTAACTAATCCTGGAAACTCATATAAGTGAAATCACATAGTATTTTTTTTGTAACTATCTTATTTCTCTTCACATAATATCCTCAAGATTCATCCATGTTGTAGCATGTGTCAAAATTTCCTTCCTTTTTAAGACTGAATAATATGCCATTAAATGCATACCACATTTTCTCTATCCATGAATCTACTGATGGACACTTGTGTTGCTTTCACTCGGTGGCTACTGTGAATAATGCTGTTATGAATATGGGTGTACAAATATCTTTTTGAGTCCCTGCTTTCAATTAATTTGGGTATACACCCAGAAGTGGAGTTGCTGGATCATACAGTAATTCTATTTTAATGTTTTGAAGAACTACAGTACAGTATTTTAACTCTGCTTTCTTAATTATTTCTAAATAATGGAAAAAAGTCATATTACAAATGTAGAATATGTTTTTAAAGAATTTTATGATATGTTAATTCAAAATAAAACATTTTATGTAAATCATTTTTACATATCAAGCAAAAATTGACAAATTATCTTTTTAGTCCCAAGTGGTTTTGAGAAATTAGATATTGATGTCAAAGATGCTCTCTAGTCAAATTAGGTTGAAAAACACTGTATTGGCGGAAACACTGAATTCGGAGCAAGATGGAGATTGATCAGTGCAGCAAGTGGGTAAGGACAGTTATTTAATTAAGAAGTATTCATCGAGTAGTGACTCACTGTATGTGTGTTTTCGATGGACAGTGCAAAAAAGGAATGAGATATCATCCTAAAAGAGCTTAGGGTCTAGTGGACTGGGGCAGGTGGGGCAGGGGATGGAGAACAGTATAATACATCCAATAATTAAAAGATAATTATGTTCAGAATGTATAATTAGGTACTAAATGTACGATACTATCAAATCCTTCAGGGACACAGAGAAAGAAATCACTGCAGGGTAGGGTAACTGGAAGAAACTTCATGATGAAATAAACTGTGTCTCAAATTTGAGAGGATGGGAGGAGTCATTTAAGGTATATACACGGGGAACTTAAAGTTTGTGGAAAAACAAAATTAAGAGATAAAAATTGAAAAATTAAAACTTTATTTCTCAACATAGGCTCCAGACACTTTTGTAAGTGATGAGACCCTCCTAAAGAACTGAGGGTCCTGGGAATTTAACCATGTCAATGCAGTCTTTTTTACATTATTAACTGACGAAAAAAATGGGTGCCCTTTACAGATTTTTTTTAGATTAGAAAATAAAAAAAGTCAGAATGAGCCCAATCAGGACTGTAAGATGGATGATGTCTAATGATTTCCCATTGAAACCTTTGCAAAACTGTCCTTGTTTAATGAGAGGAATGAGTAGCAACATTGTCACTGTGAAGAAGGACTCTCTGGTGAAGATTTCTGGGTGTTTTTCTGCTAAAGTTTTGGCTAACTGTCTCAAACCACCCTCATAATAAGCAGTGTTATCATTCTTTGACCCTCCAGAAAGTCAGCAAGAAAAATTCCTTGAGCATTCCAGAAAACTGTTGTCACAACCTTTGCTCTTAACCAGTCCACTTTTGCTTTGACTGGACCACTTCCACGTCTCGGTAGCCATTGCTTTGATTGTACTTTGTCTTCAGAATCACACTAGTAAAGCCGTGTTTCATCTCCTGTTACAATTCTTCAAGGAAATGCTACTGGGTCTATATCTTATTTGTTTAAAATTTCCACTGAAAGCTCTGCTCTTGTCTGCAGTGGATCTGGGCGCAATGGTTTTGGCACTCATAGAGTGGAAAGTTTGCTCAAATTTTTTAGTCAGAATTACGTAAGCTGAGCCACTTGAGACATCTGTGGTGTTGGCTATTGTTTGTGCTGTTAATTGTCAGTCCTTTTCAACTAGAGCATGAACAAGATCCTTTTTTCCCTTGCAAATTGATGTGGATGGTCTGCCACTGCAGGCTTCATCTTCAACGTTATCTTGTCCTTCTTCAAGTGGTTTATCTATTTGTAAACTGCTGATTTATTTGGGGACATCATCCTCATAAACTTTTTGTAAAGCATCAGTGATTTCACCATTCTTCCATGCAAGCATCACCATAAATTCGATGTTTGTTCTTGCTTCAATTTTAGCAGAATTCATGTTGCTCCAATAGGGGCTCTTTTCAAATTGATATCTTATCCTTCTTAGTGCCTCAAACTAGGTTCTATTCAGACATGTCATATCAAGTTGGTATGAGTTTATTTGCAAAAAATTTGAAATCCATGCATAGTTTTTCATAATACACATTTTCCATGAACTTTTTGAAGTTTCCCTCATAGAATAGCTTGAGCAAAAGCACAGAGATTCAAATGAGAATAGGACTCTGACTACTTAACCTACACGTGCAACCTTCTTCACATCTTTGAGCACATCTGTACATCAACAAAGCAACTCTAATTTTCTTCTGTAATAAAATACAACCATGTTTTTTAAAGGCAAATTTCTCACCATTTCCTCAAAATGTAGAGATGCGCAGTCCTGGCAGTCATTGTATTCATTACTGGTTATATTAATTACTCCCCAAATTCAGTCATAGTCCCACTAAATATTCTGTAACCTAAAGAACACATTGTAAAGTTAAGTTTAAACTATTTGTGTATAAAACGACAATGTGGAGAAAGAAGATGAAAATGGTTAGAACATAAAATAAACAAATGTATATAATAAGCAAACAGAAAATACACAAAGCTATTACTGTCCTTGGTTTTGTAATTTGTTGTGAAACTGAATATCTACCCCTTCCTTCTTCCATTAACTAGTCCACCTATCCTCCATCCTTAGCTAGAAACACAGCTTGCTGGGGTTCTCTACCCAGTATAGTGACCCAAACCTTTATTCCTGGAGAATCTAAGTTGTTAACCCTGACTTTTTTGGTTTCTGTAGTTTTCCATTAACCTTTACTAGTGGCCACAGAAGTATAAGAGGCATCCCTAGATAATTCCCTGAGTTTCAGACATAGTCCTTGCCCCTATAGTGTAGTAGCAACCCAAGTTCCTCTTGGTAACCATGATCAAGCACCTCCCCTATATAACTTTTTTATTTTCCAGTTGGTCCAATGGCATAAGAAGTCTAATATGTCTAGGAAGCAGTTTCACCCTCCTGAATGGTCCCATTCAATTGAAACACTGTGTCTGCTGGTAGAAGAATCCCTCCCTTGGGGACTATGACTTCCAAACCAGCATAGTTCTAAGTTTCTGAAAGAGGAAGAAAAATTCTGCAAATGGATTATTGGGTATAAAAGTGAGAGGAGTCATGCTCACTTTTACCCCTTGATGCCCAGATCCATGTAATCTGGCTATGAAGAAACAGCATCATATAATGATCTCAGATTCCAAGCATGTATGATACCCTGTAAGACAGAATGCTGTTGTTTTGGGGTGCTGTCTCCCAACTGACACCATAATTGAGTCTTCAGTAAGTGATTCCAACTTTCAGTTAGGCCAGCTGCTTCTGGATGTTGGAGTATGTGGGTGGTAAGACCAATTGATTCCTTCCATAGACATGAACTCATTGCTATCCTTCATTTGCTGTGAAATGAGATCCTTGATGAGAAACAATGCTGTGCAGAATACCAAGAAGATGACTAAGGCATTTCGTAAGTACATACATAGTAGGGCTAGCTGAAGAATAACAGGCAGGGAAGGTGAATCCATATTCAGAATATATGTCTATTCCAGTGAGGATTAATCTGTTTCCTCTATGAATAAAATGGTCCAATGTAATCAACCTGCCACCAGGTGGCTGGCTGGTTCCCATGGACTATTTGAAGGGCTTAGTGTTGCCCTCTTCAAACGGTGGAGGACCATTTGAAGGGCTTAGTACTGGCCTCTGCTGTTGACAAAGTAGGTACACATGGTGGTGTTCGCTAGGTCAGTTTTGGTGAGTGGAGACGGTCCCTGTTTTTGAGCCCATACATAGTCTCCATCCTTGCCACTGTGGCTACTTTGTTTACAGTCCGTTGAGCAAGCACTAGGGAAAGAGACTGACTTATATTCACCGAGAGTGTCATTTTGTCCACGTGATTGTTAGGCACCTCCTCTGTGGTACATAGCCTTGGCTCACTGGATAGCAGAAAAGTCACTGTTTTGCCATGGTAGTGAAACTTTCCTGAAATCTGCCCTTCAGAACTTACCAGAAGTCTTCCCTCTAGAATGCAAGAGACAGCCATTCACTGGGAGGCTTCTCACTGGAGGCACTCGGCTACAAAACTGCCCCAAAGGATGCAAGAGCAAACAGGGAGGAGCTGTTACTGGATGCTAGAGAAGCTGTGCGCACCAGACCCAGAAGGGAAGCCCTTCCTCCTGCAATGTCTCTCTAGCGCCTCCTGCTGACAAATTGTTAACATCACGCCTACTGTTAAGGAGCTTTTTTCTTATTTTTCCTCCTGTGATTTGGTTTATCAAACACTGTTTCTACAACTTAATATTAAACTAAGAAATTAAATGAACTCTCCCTCACACACATATGAATTAAAGGCAAATTTCTCACCATTTCCTCAAAAATGCCATTTCCTCAAATCCTCTTTCTAGGTAATAATTGTCAGAACTTGCAAGAAGTATGTTTTTATTTTATTCTAATTATTTTCCTGAGGGGCATCAGGATCAAATAGGAAGAACAGAGTCAGGAGATATGGGATCCAGTTTGGGTTCTGTCACTTAATAGCTGGCTAAATTGGGATAAGCATTTTCACTGTGGGGGTCTTTAGTTTTGTCATCTAGAAAAGAATGGAGGCAGAACAACTGCTCAGTGCATTGCTTCCAGTTTGCCTATTCTCATTCCAGTTTCCTGCTTCCGGGAAATTTTATGAATGTACAAAGTGAGTGATGATTAGTTATAGATCACATTGGTTTCCATTTCATCTCCTCCACAAGGCAGAGCCCTGTATTTTCCTGTGACTATAAATACATCCCATCATAGCCTTATATTCTGTTTACCATATTTTGTCGTGGTCTTTGCCAAGGGGTAGATTCCAAAGGCATCAGGCAGTTGGATAGAATGACTTGTATTCAAATTTGCGGTTTGAGTCTCTCCACCCATCACAGATGTTGCTTTCCCAGGTGTCATAATCCACCTTCCATCCAGGACTTGCCACCTTTCTTAGGCCCCTTCCTTCATTCTCTGCCTTAAGGAAATAGATTTAAAAGACCCACTTCATGTTACATAGCAGTCACAGAAGGGTGAATTTCAACAAATTACTAGCTGGCAAAGGCAGTGTGCTGGGTTGAATACCCCCAAAATTTGTGTCCACCTAGAACCTCAGAATGACCTTATTGGAAACGTACATTTTTTGCAGATGTAATTAATTAAGATGAGGTCATACTTGATTGCTAGGTGGGTCCTAAAGCCAACGACTGGTGTCTTTTAAAAAGATGATAGATACATGGAACCACACTCAGACACAGAGGGAAGAAGGCCATGTGATGAGGAATGTCAAAGACTGCCGGCAACCAGCGGGAATCATACAGACACGGAAGGCTTCCTCCCTAGAGCCTTCACTGAGGGTATGACCTTACCAACACCTTCATTTCAGACTTCTAGCCTCCAGACCCATGTGATAATAAATCCCTGTTGTTTCAAGCCACGAAGTTTGTGGTAGTTACAGTATGAATTTCCTAGGGAGGAAACTCATAGAGGAATCACCTCACATATAGCTGAATATTTAGTTCCAGTCTGTGGAGAACAAAATTGAAGATGAAAACATGGAGCCCCATGCCTTGGAAGAGAGGTGAGGAGCAAGACTTCATACGGGGCAGTGTGCTGAGCATCCAATGTTATAGCAGACCCTGAAGCTCCAACACGTCTGTTTCTCAGCATGCTTTACTGTCTTCCCTGACATGAATTTTCAGTATTGCGTGAGATGTATTCTCTTCATCTCTTCACATTCAAATTGTCATGAAGCCATTATGCTTTTTTTTTTTTTGAGACAGAGTCTTGCTCTGTCACCCAGGCTGAAGTGCAGTGGCACGATCTCGGCTCACCACAACCTCTGCCTCCCGGGTTCAACCAATTCTCCTACCTCAGCCTCCCGAGTAGCTGGGATCACAGGCATTCACCACCACACCCAGCTAGTATTTATTTATTTATTTATAGTAGAGATAGGGTTTCACCATGTTGGCCAGGCTGGTCTCGAACTCCTAACCTCAGGTGATCCTCCCTCCTCGGTCTCCCAGAGTTCTGGGATTACAGGCGTGAGCCACTGCACCCGGCCCCATTATGCTTTTTATTCCAAAATAAATCCTCCTCATGGATCATCTGTTTTCTCTGGTAACTATGCCTTTAAATCCATCTGAATAATCTTTGTTAAATTTCACATTTAACATTTTGACCTCATCCTTCATTTCCTTCCTATCTTACACTGGGCTCCCATTACGAATATGAATCAAACTTCACATCTTCTTGTTTCCAGTCCACTCTCATAAGCTCATTGCTATGAGCAAACTGACTCTTTTATCAATTTGTTCCTCTCCTTTTTTTATTATGTTTTTATGGAGCATGGACATAGACAGCACAAGGATAAATAAGACGCAGACGCTGCCTAACATGTACATGAGTGAAATTGACACATCATAGAAGATTCCAAATTTCTGTTGGAGAAAATGGGTGAATGGCAGTGCTAGTCCAGAAGATAGAAGATACAGGAGAAAAGAGGCAGGTAGAGGGAAAGAGAGGAATAATTCATGATCAGTGTAGGGTGTCGGGAAACAAGCAGTTATGTTAAGTAGCAGTCAACTCTATGGAGAAGAGACTAAAAAAAAAGGTCAGGCCCAAGATATAGGTTGGAACTAATTACTTTAGATATGGTAGTTGAAGCCTCATAGGTGGCAATAGATAAGCTAGCCAGAGAGAGCCTACGGCATGAAAAGTGCGGGAACAAAAGGCAGAACAATGGAGAACACTAATAATATGTAAGGTTGCAGAACAAGAGGAACAGTCAGGGGTGCTCAGAAGATGGAGGAGAGAATTCCCTTTCCTTTCTTTCTCCTCCAGCTGCCCAAGATGCCCAAGGAAAAGAAGGCCAAGGGGAAGAAGACGACCCCAGCCCCTGCTGTCTGAAAGTAGCAGGAGGCTAAGAAGGTGGTAAATCCCTTGTTTGAGAAAAGGCCTAAGAATTTTGGCATTGGACAGGACATTCAGCCCCAAAGGGACCTCACTTGCTTTGTCAAATGGCCCAGCTATATCTGATTGCAGCGGCAAAGGGCTATCCCCTATGAGCAGCAGAAAATGCCTCCTGTGATTAACTAGTTTACCCAGACTTCAGACTGCCAACAAGCTCCTTAATTAACTCGGGCTGGCCCACAAGTACAGACCAGAGACAAAGCAAGAGAAGCAGAGGCTGTTGTCGTGGGCTGGGAAGACAGCTGCCAGCAAAGGGGATGTCTCCACTAAGAGGTCACCTGTCCTTCCAGCAGGGTTAAGACTGTCACCACCTGGGTGGAGAATGAAAAGTCTCAGTTGTTGGTGACTGCACATGATGTGGATCCTGTAGAGCTGGCTGTCTTCCCTCCTGCCCTGTGTCATAAGATAGGGGGTCCTTACTGCATTATCAAGGGTGAGGCAAGATTGGGGTATCTAGTCCACAGGGAGACCTGCACCACTGTCACCTTCACACGGTCTAACTCAGATGACAAAGCTTTGACTAAGCTAGCAGAAGCTAGCAGGACTAATTATATCAAGTGATTCTCCCATCTCAGCCTCCTGAGTAGCTGGGACCACAGGCATGTGCCACCACCCTTGGTTAATTTTTTAAATTTTTTGTAGAGATGAGTGGCGTCCCCCTATGTTCCCCAAGCTGGTCTCAAATTTCTGGGCCCAAGCAATCCTCTGGCCTTGTAGTTTGTTTTTCTTTATAATGTCTTAAATCAAAACTTAAAAGTTAACAACCAATTCAATTTTAAAACAATGGGCTAAATAGAACCCGTCAACAGACTGGTCATTGTCAAGATTTATAGCTTGTGTCTTCTGTTAGACCCTGCCCCAAGAAAAATGCACATATGCACCTAGAAACATATATTTCAAGAGGTACCCAGCAATGTCTGTTAGAGCTTTCTGTGCTGATGAAAATGTTCTATACTTGTGCTGTCCATTATGGGAACCACTAGCCACATGAGGCTAGTGAGCATTTGAACTGTGGCAAGTGTGACTGAGGAATTGAATTTCTAATTTTAATTAATTAAAATTTAAATGTAATTAGCCACAGGTGTCTAGTGGTTACCACGTTGGGTACACAAAGAGCCACAGATCATGGGTTAAAATTCCTCTCAAATGCTTGTCTTCTCAAAGATTTTTTTTCTTTGAGACAATTCTTTATTTAGCAAATATGGAGACTCTCCCCATTGGCTGCTGTGGTGGGTTAAAAAATGGTCTCAAACGATATCAGGTCCTAATTCCTGGAACATTTACAAATGTTTACATCACATTTACCAATGTTACCTTATTTGGAAAAAGAGACTTTGCAGATGTGTTTAAATTAAGGGTCTTGAGATGGATAGATTATTCTGGATTATCTGGGTGGGACCTAAATGCAACCACATGCATCCTTATGAAAAGGACGTAGAGGGAGATTTGAAGATGTTGGCCTTGAAGATTGGAGTGATGCAGCCAGAAGCCAAGGAATGCTGACAGCCAAAAAATGCTGGAGGAAGAAAGGAATGAATTCTCCTCTAGAGCCTCCAGAAGGAGGACTGCCCTGCATGCTGTCACTTTAAGCCCAGTGAAATGGGTTTCTGACTTCTGGCCTTTAGAACTGTGAGGAAATATATTTCTGTTGTTTTAAGCCACCAGATTTGTGATAATTTGTTGCAGTGTCCACAGGAAGCTAATACAAGTGCCCACTGAAATCACCTGGGGAGCTTTAGCTACATTATTTCATTTAATCTTCAGATTATTATGATCCCAATTTTATAATCAGGAAATAAGGATTAGAGAATTTTAGGACTTAACCCACAGTAGCTTGCGGCAGAGTTGGGGAGTGAACCCAGGTTTGTCTGTTGACTTTGAGACCACATTGGATTTCATAAACAAGGGAAAGAAAAATGTGTAAGATGACTCCTAAGACTTACTGCCTGGAACATAGAGCTAACAGCAGTTTCACTATCAAAGCAAGGAATTTGGCCTATTGAGGGTGATGGAGAGAGAAGATGAACTCAGTTTGGGATACTTCCTGATATGGTTTGGCTTTGTGTCCCCACCCAAATCTCATTTTGTAGCTCCCATAATCCCCATGTGTTGTGGGAGGGACCCGGTGGGAGATGACTGAAGCATGGGGGCGGGTCTTTCCCCATGCTGTTCTCATGATAGTGAATGGGTCTCATTAGATCTGATGGTTTTAAAAACAGGAGTTACTCTGCACAAGCTCTCTTTTCTCTTGCCTGCTGCCATCCACGTAAGATATGACTTGCTCCTCTTTGCCTTCTGCCACGATTGTGAGGCCTCCCCAGCCATGTGGAACTGTAAGTCCAACTAAACCTCTTTCTTTTGTAAATTGCCAGTCTCAGGTATGTCTTTATCAGCGGCGTGAAAACAGACTAATACACTTCCTTAATTGTTTTCCCAACTTGATACTTTATTCACGTCTTCCACTAAGGGAGAGAGAGCTCCCCTAGTTCCCTCACACAAACTCTCATATCTGTTCACTGTGTGAAAAAGAGTCATTCGAAATCTAAGCTGCTAGAACTCTAAATTATTTTAGGACTTGGAAGAATGTTATTACTGATCCTGAGTCACATGGTAGGCACCTATAAACTAGGGAGCTATAACCTTCTGTTTCTCTGATTACAGATGAAGCCTTTTCCCTTACCTGCATTGTTTTGTAAAATGTTATATATGGCCAAAGGGAAGAGGAAGACCCCTTCCCTCTCCACTGTTGGCCTTTATTATAGATTCACCTTTCTCTTACCTTTCTCACACACAGACTTCTTGACTATCACATTGACTTAAGATAGAATGTTAAATACACTCTTTTAAATTGGAAACCAAATGAAAACCAACTATAAAGAAAACAAGCTATATGGAAAAGAAAACAAACTAACTAATTAATTTGTTGAAACTATTAAGCCAGCCTTGTATAGAAAATGTTGCAATCCTGATAAATTTCTTTGTCTTCTTCCTATATTAGCAAGATTTAACTTTTAACTTTGGAGCACTGATCCCATTTCTCTGGAGTCTGTGTGTCCTGGAATGGCTATTCCCAGCTTTTTGTTTGAATAAACTCTTTAAAACTGGATTCTGACCCTTTTATTATTTCAGGTTGACAAGTGTGTACCCACACTTGGACTCCTACACATACAACCCATCCACCACTTGCTTGGAAACCATAGTTCCATTGTAGGCAAATTGCTTTTTATTGCTCAATCTAAATTTCTTTTTTTTTTAATTTTAAAGTTTTTATTTTTGTTAATTTTTTATTTCAGTTTTGGGGTACATGTGGAGGCTTGTTATACAGATTAACTGAATGGGGGTTTGGTGTACATATTATCTCATCACCCAGGTAATAGGCATAGTGGGTAGTTTTTGAACCCCGACCCCCCACTCAAGTAGGCCCTAATGTCTATTATTCCCCTCTTTGTGTCCATGTGTACTCAATGTTTAGCTCTCACTTATAAGTGAGAACATGCAGTGTTTATAAACCTAAGTTTCTTTTTTTTTGAGACAGGGTCTCATTCTGTTGCCCGAGTTGGAGTGCAGTGGAATGATCATGGCTCACTGCAGCCTTGACTTCCTGGGCTCAAGTGATTCTCCCATCTCAGCCTCCCAAGAAGCTGAGACCAAAGGTGCATGCCACTATGCCCAGCTAATTTTTGGTATTTTTTTGTGGAGATGGGGTTTTGCCATGTTGTCCAGGCTAGTCTCGAACTACTGGGCTCAGGCAATCCTCCTACCTCGATCTCCCAAAGTGCTAGGATTACAGGCATGAGCCACCATGCTTGAGCCAACCTAAATTTCTTAACCTTCTAATTCCTTATCCTATAGAAACATGGCAGCTGTGTATAATACATCCACTTCATGCACCTCGGGTCAAAAAAAACAAGGGTTATGTGTTTAGACAGACACAGATCCATGCCCCTAAAAGCTTCTACCTAGGTGGAGAGCAAATATGTTGGGATGAAGGGAGTGGTGAAGAGTACAAAGTTGAGAAATAAATGTCTCTATAATGTCATTGTAGAGTGATTGCCTTAGAAATGGTTCATAAAAGTCATAGAGATCTTTACATACCTATATAAGGGAAGCATTCAGATATAAAACATGTTTGATATTTATTTTCACATGATCACACAAAATGTCCAATTATGTGCAGTTATTGATGATAGCATCCCATTCAGCTTCTGATCCAGTCTACCCAAAAATCCCCTCAAATATCCACATAAGCCATTGTCAAACATACTCTGTTGTTTAACTTCCCTGAATGACACATTATGTACCCAATCATCTGTCAGTCTTCCATCTAAGCAAGCACCAGCCTCCCAAGTGTTTCCAGAATCTGCCTCCATTCTCGTCCCCTCTGTGCTAGTTCAGACCTTCACCAGCTGCAGCCTGGATCTTTGCAACAGCTTCAGAGCTGGTAACCCTGTCTTGAGTTTTGCCTCCCTTCAGATCTATCCTTCGTGTTGCTATCAGAGAGCCCTACCTGAATTGCAGATGTGCACATGCCACTAATTCAAGTTTCTGCTTAAAACCTTAGTTCATAGCCCTTTACTTGGCCTGTCAAACCCTTTAAAACTAGGCTGCTGTTTGCCTCTTCAGCCTCATCCTCAGCCACTCATCCTGCTGTCCTTTAATCCAGCAAATCTAAACAACATCCCACACTGGTACCTCAGTCTCAAATGTATCAACACCAGCTTTCTCCATCAACTCCAATCCCAGTCTCTACCCAGGACCTCCCTTTCTTTGTGCTTTTATAGTATCCTGCAGTTGTCTCCATCAGAATGTTGCCACATTGTTTAGAAAAGTCAATTTATTCATCTTTCTCTTTACTTAGTCTATTAGCCCCTAAAGGGCAAGAATCTATATTTTACCATTGAATTCCCGGTGTTTACGATACAACTGGTATATAGTAGGTGCTCACCCTACTGGGACCTTATTCCTGCTAATTTCTTTTCACTTTACCCCCAAAATTTTTAAAAAATTAAAACAGCAAACAAAAACCTGTTCTTGCTCTAACTACCTGACTGTGAAACTTTTCTAATCAATCTTTTATGTCTGCTCCCTTTTTTGTTGTTGCTGTTTTTAACTTTGGCCTCTGATATCTGGCTGTTTGGTGGACCATACCCATGAATTCATCATCCCTGACCTCTTGCCACATCCCACAGTTCCTCCTTCTCCTTGAAGCTTCTGACTGTCGTTCATATTCTCCTTAAATTGTCTCCTGTGACTTCACACCACTGCCAAGCCTTGCCCTCGTTTCAAATTCTCCCCTGACGTGAGTCATTTAACCTACCCTACCCACCAGCGCCAGAAACACATTCCCACCTGCACTTTTGGGCTGTTTGCTATTTGTGTTGGCAGCTGCATCAGCAAAAAGTCTTATCCTGTGAAAGCCCCTTGTTTGAAGCAAGAATTTCTTCAGATTTAGTTTTACTGTACTCTAATTGGGATCCAAACCTCTCCCTAGTCCCCTAGCGTCATAAACTGAGTAAACCAGCCTCTTCTTTCTTCACTTCAGATTCCAGTACTAACATACTTTTGGGGCGGCGTCATACCAAAAGGGATTTTTTGTTATTGTTCTTTATTAATTAGCAAGTGCTTTTCAAGCATCTCCGTCCTCTCCCTAATTCCTCAGTTACGAGTACAAGTACATTTTCCAGGAGTCCCTAGGGAAAGGGGCTAGAGAAGGAAGTCACGAGGTGGGGCTGTGGTGCATTTAGGCTTAAATTTATTTATTTATTTATTTTTTGAGACGCTCTCACTTTGCAGCCCAGGCTGGAGGGCAGTGGCGCAATCATGGCTAACTGCAGTCTCCACCTCCCCAGATTGAGGTGATCCTCACCCCTCAGCCTCCCAAGAAGCGGGGACTACAGGCATGCGTCTCTACACTCGGCTAATTTCTGTATGTTTTGTAGAGATGCGGTTTAGCCATGTTGGCCAGGCTGGTCTCGAACTCCTTGGCTCATGTGATCTGCCCATCTCGACCTCCCAAAGTGCTGGGATTACAGGCATGAGCCACCGCGCCCGGCCTCAAACTTATTTTTCAATTGAGATTAAGATTATCTGAGGAGAGATATGTGTATGTATTGTAACAAATTTTATGTGGGTCAGTTCTCACTTTTTCAAGGGCCATTGTGTTCTCCTGTGAAAGCATGGGGTTGCGGATGTCAAACTTGTCCCTTAAAACGTCAGTACTTGGGGTGTAACCACTTCGGGAGTGGGAATGGTATTAGGGATTGTACTCAGCGGTAGACAGCACAGCATTCGCCCCTCTCTGTAATCCTTGGCAAGTCACAGGACATTTGAGTTTATTTTCTGTAAAATGGGAATAACCTTACTGAGTTACCGGAGTAAATGAATAATGTAAGCAAAAGCACTTTGCGAAGCAACAATGCTAGTTTATTGAACGGAACACTGAGCAGAGCAGCTGGATTCCCACCGGTCGAGCCTCCCGGTTCTCTTTCCCTGTCCCAAGTGCGCGGCCACAGCGGCTCTTCTCCATGGCAACGTCCCCGCGTTCCGGGCCCCGCCCCGACCCGCCACCAGAACCGGAAGTTGTTGCGCAGCTGGCAGTTCCCCGGTTTCTCCCCGACGGCGTCGGGAGGTGAGACCCGAGGCCTCTTTAGGGCCCCCAGGCTGCGGTCAGAGGCGGTGGTCCCCGGGTGGTGGAAGGGGGACGCGGAGAGGCGGCCGCGGACTCGTCGCCACCCCTCCCTTCGCGCGCAAGTGCAGCACCCTTACACCGTCCCAGATCCCCAGGCCCCTCCCCTCCGCTGCCTGCCCCTGAGTCCGCGCACCCCTTCCCCTCGTCCTTCCCCGGCGGACCCCGGGCGCCTGCCCTGCCAGGTGAACCCGCGCCACCTGCCGCTTCGCCCCGGCGGTTCCCAGCCTGGGAGGCGCGCGGCGCGGCGCGGTGGGCGCGGGAGGTCGGGAGATGGTCGGAAGCCAGCCCTCCCAGAGCCGGCCCACCACAGCAGGGTAGAGCCGAGAGCGGCGTCCCCTGCAGAAAGACCCCTGCGTCCCAGGCTTTGATCGAAGCCTCCCCTCCAGGGACGTTCTTTCTGGTTGTCGTGCGGTGTCGGGGGTTCCTTACCCTCACCTCAGGTTTAGCACAGATTCTGCGCCTGGTGCTGAAGTGACAGGGCGGCCACTCTCTTCCAGAGGCTGCTTTAGCCCCGGGGTCCCTCATATATCCCTTAGGGTACCTGACGGCTCCAAACCGGTGGCCTCAACCCTTCCCACCTCTCAGGTCTTGTTCCCCAGACTCTTCTGGCCCCGCTTCATCTGGGAGCGCGGCTGCCTGCCGCCACTTCCTCCTCTGCGCTGAGACAACGCGCAGGGGTCACCACAAGGGCCCCTGCTGCCTATGGCCTCTAACCACACAGCACCATGGATAAATGTGGACGGCCTGGGTTCAGACCCCAGCTTTGCCCTTGGCCAGAGTACCTGGCTTTGCTGTGACTGCTTCCCCGTCTACAACATGGGGGTAAAAATAATCTAGGGCTTTTATGAGGATTTAACCTTTGTTTATTTTTACTAAGGTGTTCAAAACAGTGCTTGGCACATAGTAAATTCTGTTAATATGTGTGTCTGCTATTGTTTGTTTCATAGCACATCATTGTGTAAAGTTGTATCATTTATTTGGTAACAACTTTATGAACTCACAGGCTTTATACAGGGCCTAGAACAATACTTGGTGAAGTGAGAAAATAAGTCAAATGGCAGGATACATAACGATGGAAGACGGAGGCGCACGTAAGATTTTTAAAGTAGTCATCATTTGCTGAAGTTGTACAAACACTATCATATACCTCCTGCCCAATTTAAAAAATATGATTAGACCGGGTGCAGAGCCTCACGCCTGTACTCCCAGCATTTTGGGAGGCCGAGGCAGAGGGATCACCTGAGGTCAGGAGTTCGAGACCAGCCTGGCCAACATGGTGAAACCCCGTCTCTACTAAAATTATAAAAATTAGCCGGGCGTGGTGGTACACGTCTGCAATCCCAGCTACTTGGGAGGCTGAGGCAGGAGAATCGCTTGAACCCAGAAGGCAGAGGTTGCAGTGAGCCAAGATCCCGCCATTGTACTCCAGCCTGGGCAACAGGGCCAGACTCTGTCTCAAACAAAACAAAACAACAACAACAACAAAATGAGATTAGTTACTGGTGATACTTAACAGTAAAATGATACAAAGGAAAGTGCCGTCCCCCCCCAACTTTGTTGCTAACGAGCTAATAATACTTGAAGAAATCGTTGCCCTCACAAGTCACTATGATTGTGATGGTATTGTGAATTGATACAGTCTTTGTGCAATATTTTGATAATACATAGCAAGACAGAATTTGCTCTTCTCCTTTGATCCTCAACAAGCAGAGGCCTTGGGACATGCTTGAAAGAAATACTTTGAAAGGAGAAAAACAGTATATTCATAAAGATGTGCCTCCCAGCATTAATTATAATAGTGAAATTAGAAACAACCTAAGTATTTTAAAATAGTTAAGTAAGTAATATGGATATGGAAAAAAATAGAAATACATTCAGATGAAGGAACGTGATTGCCTTTTTTGTTGTTTTTTCTTTTTTTTTTTTTTTTGGTGGGGTAGAGATGGGGTCCCATTATGTTGCACAGGCTGGTCCCAAACTCCTGGGCTCAGGTGATCCTCCCATCTCCCACCTCGGCTTCCCAAAGTGCTGGGATTTCAGGCATAAGCACAGTGCCCAGCTGATTGGTTTATTTTTTTTTTAATGGTTCCTTTAATGTCGAAGTAATGTTTTAACAGTAAAAGCTGAAAAAAGTCACACAAAAGTGCTTCCCTCATGAGACTATTTCTTTGAGCTCTTTGCAGCACACTAAATACCGATTGGCTCTTTGAACTGGCTCCAGAGTTAGAGCATTTCTCAGGCTTCCCTTATTTCCATTATCTGGGAGCTTCTATGCAATCCTGGCTGATCTCTTATTGTAATATTCAGTAGCCTTGTGGGCATGGTTTTCAGAATGAATTGTGAATCACTTATGCATATGAATTAATGAGTCTTAGCTGTTTGGTTCTCTTAAAGAAGTATTCTTCAAAAGCATGGTTTCTGGGCCTGGCGTGGTGGCTCAAGCCTGTAATCCCAGCACCTCAGGAGGCCAAGGCGGGTGGATCACCTGAGGTCAGGAGTTCGAGACTAGCCTGGCCAACGTGGTGAAACCCTGTCTCTACTGAAAATACAAAAATTAGCCAGGCGTGGTGGCGGGTACCTGTAGTCCCAGCTACTTAGGACGCTGAAGCATGAGAATCACTTGAACCCAGGAGGCAGAGGTTGCAGTGAGCCGAGATCACACCATTGCACTCCAGCCTGGGCAACAGAGCAAGACTCCATCTCAAAAATAAATAAATAAATAAAAGCATGGTTTCTGTTAAGACTAAGGTCAGTAGTTCCTATACAGTCTTATGTTTCTAATCTTAGTTGTTTTGTTCTAAGAAGCATTTGTCTTTTGTCTTCTTTCCACTTGTTTCTTTAATCATATTTAAGGAGTGTCCATCAGGACAGCTTCACCTCCTTGAGGATTAAAGCCTAACAGTACTGAGCTATTTGTCTGTCAAAATGTCTGCAAAATTGGGAAAGTCATCATCACTCCTAACACAAACTTCAGAGGAGTGTAATGGGATTCTGACAGAGAAGATGGAAGAGGAAGAGCAGACCTGTGATCCAGACTCTAGCCTCCACTGGAGCAGCAGCTACAGCCCAGAGACCTTCCGCCAGCAATTCAGGCAGTTTGGCTACCAGGATTCACCTGGGCCCCATGAGGCTCTGAGCCGGCTCTGGGAACTTTGTCATCTCTGGCTGAGGCCGGAAGTGCACACCAAGGAGCAGATCCTGGAGCTGCTGGTGCTGGAGCAGTTCCTGGCCATCCTCCCAAAAGAGCTTCAGGCCTGGGTGCAGAAGCATCATCCAGAGAATGGAGAGGAAACTGTGACTATGCTGGAGGATGTGGAGAGAGAGCTTGATGGACCAAAGCAGGTAAGAAGGATGCCTGTGGAGATGAACCCCCAGGCTGAGTCAAGAGCACTGGCACATCATTGGGAGTAGAGCTCTCAAACTGTATTCCCACTCAGCACAACTGGATGTATAGGGGTGAAAGTACTAATGGGTGTCCCAGCAAATAGAAGGTGGCTCTACTTTTTCCCTCCCTTTTCCTGTGTCCATGATACTTTTTGCATAGTTTCTTCTCTGTTATTTTATCCTCAAGTCCCAACCTGATGGTGTTCTTCAGCCTCAATTATTCCTGTTTTTAGATCTTTTTTGGACGAAGGAAGGACATGATTGCAGAGAAGCTAGCACCTTCAGAAATCACTGAGGAATTGCCAAGTAGCCAGCTCATGCCCGTGAAGAAGCAGCTCCAGGGAGCATCATGGGAGCTTCAGTCCTTAAGACCACATGGTGAGGGGGCAGGATTCAGTTCATGTTGGAAGGTGTGGGGGCCCTCTGCTCACCACACACATCTCAGCTGATTTATGCAAGAGGCCTCAAATCTCCCCCTCTCATCTCCTCCTTACTGTGGGAACTTCTGTTATTTGTCCTACTAAATGAAGATCTTCAGTATTTTGTTCTTGCTTCTTTTTCAGAGATTCTTATAAAATCTTCAGACTTTAAATCCCTGACATCTGCATCAGGGTTTTCATGCCTTTTTAAAGTAGCCCTTTTATCTTCAGGCAGCCCTTGAGGCCTTTCTGTGGGACCCCAAGGTACACAGCCCAGAGACCACTGATCCTCATCATCATTTCCTATATAACTGCTCAGTTACTGGTGGGATCTCGTAGCAGAATCGCCTATATTGCTGCTAAGGTGACTTTGCTCTCATACGTGCTTTGAATACACTTCTCTACTCCCTCACATCTTCAACTGGCCTCAACTGCTCTTTGCATTGCTTTCTATAAGTGCTCCAGAATAGCTGTGTAGCAATCTATTCTTCCATTGCAGATACTAAACAAATAAGTGCTATGGGGAAAAAATAAAAACAAAACAGAATAAGGGGGCTAGAGGGAAGGTGAGAAGTAGAAATAAGGCTGAGTTAGAGGCCTTGTAGGCTGTGACTGCTCCTGCTTCAGACAGAGTAGCTGTGTTTTCGTCTGTTTTATATATTGGAACTCAATGTAAAATTTCATTTGATAAAAGGGCCATGCTACTTTAAACAGAATGGTGGGGATAGGATCTTATTATATAGAGTGGTAGAAAGGCCTCTCTGATGAAGCGACATTTGAGCAGAGACCCTCCTTCTAGATGATCATCCTGGATAAAATAGGAGCCAGAGATTAAGAGGGAAATCCTACTTGGGAGCATCTCCTTCCTTCTCTCCAGCACTGCTTCCATAGTTCAGGAGTGGCTGATAGCTAAGCAAGGTTAGAGTTTTTCCAAGGGAATTTTTATAAGAAACTACACAAAGGAAATACAGTAATTTAGAAAGAGATTTAGAAAACATTGTTCACCCTAACTTGGCAAGTACTGGCTCTCTGAAGGCTTATACTGGGACACGTAATACCTCCAGTCTAGAAATTGTCTTGGTATACTTAGAAAAGTGAAAGTCTTTTCACGAAAAAGTATTTTCCGTCAGGAAAGGGAGGGAGACCATCCCAGCCTCAGCAGCTTGGTGTGGTGGTGACTACAGAAGTGATCAACCTCAAAGCCAGGTGTGGCAAGAACCACATCCTACCTGTGAATGTCCTCATGGAGGCCTTTCCTACATTTTTTTTTAAGATTCGTAGAAATTTGAAACAGAATGCAACAGGTCCAGGATCTTGCAGTACAAGGCAGAGAGAACCAGAATCACTTGATAGAATAATAGAACCATTTCTTAAGGCCACAACATGATTTCTGTGGTACTGAGTCATGTCTTATGAAAGCTTCTGGGAGATGATCTTGGTCTCAGTACTGTAAAGTACTAATTGATGCCAGGATTTTGATAGTAATGACTAATCATTGAGGTCACTTTGGAATATAAACTATCAAAAATGAATTTGAGACAGAATCCTTACCATTTATAAAATGATTTCCACTTAAACTAGTAATAATAAATGAGTATGCCATATGCTATGGTTTGAATATTTGTCTCCTCCAAAACTTGTGTTGAAACTTAATCCCAAGTGTGGCAGTATTGAGAAGTGAGGCCTTTGAGAGGTAATTGAATTATCACCCCTGCCCTCATAAATGGATTAACTCATTCATGGATTAATGGGTTAATTGGTGATCATAGGAGAACTGGTAACTTTATAAGAAGAGGAAGAAAGGGCTGAGTTAGCATATTAGCATGCTCAGCCCCCTCACCATGAAATGCCCTCCACTGCCTCAGGACTCTTCAGAGGGTCTCCACCAGCAAGAAGGCTCTCACCAGATGCACCCCTCCACCCTGGACTTCTCAACCTCCATAACTATAAGAAATAAATTCTTTTTATAAATAAATTACTCAAGTTCAGGTATTCTATTCTAAACAACAGAAAATGGACTGAGACACCATATTTGTGAATAAATACAATAAATAATTTTAAATTCCTTTTGTAATAACTATTTAGACCCATTTGATTTGATTTTTATATATTTTTTCAAGTTAGGTTTATTTAGTTTGCTGCAGCAAGAAAGAGAACACGGCACAGAAACTATGGGGTGTGTCATTAAGAAGGAATTGGGAAGGGCTTATGTTAAGATTTGAGCTTATGTTGGGTGATTCTAAGGAGATTGTAGAGACAGCAGGTAGATCCATTTTAAGTAAATTCTAAAGAGTAAAACAACAACTCAGTTTTCTTATTCAGTATCACATTGCATCACTAATTCTTCTCCCCAGACTACCTTTCTCACCCTAACCTTTTCATTAGGCCTTGAGAGGGCCCAGGGAATCACTTATCATCAGTACCTCTCTGGGTTGCTTTTAATCTTATTTATATAATTACTTCAGATAAAGGCACCCCCAGTAGTCACAGTCAGCCCCAGCCAAGTCATCTCCCCAGACATGTCCAAAACTGTTGTACTTTGCTTTTATAAACTCATTTTAAGCTCCTGTCTTTCAGCAGCTTCAGTTAAAATGCCACCATGGGCCGGGCGCGGTGGCTCACGCCTGTAATCCCAGCACTTTGGGAGGCCGAGGCGGGCGGATCACGAGGTCAGGAGATCGAGACCATCCCGGCTAAAACGGTGAAACCCCGTCTCTACTAAAAAATACAAAAAATTAGCCGGGCGTAGTGGCGGGCGCCTGTAGTCCCAGCTACTTGGGAGACTGAGGCAGGAGAATGGCGTGAACCCGGGAGGCGGAGCTTGCAGTGAGCCGAGATCCCGCCACTGCACTCCAGCCTGGGCGACAGAGCGAGACTCCGTCTCAAAAAAAAAAAAAAAAAAAAAAAAAATGCCACCATGAGGATAACTGAAGTGATTTCTTCAGGTAATGCAACCACATTACACTGGCATTTTCACATCTGAGTTAGCAGTTCTGCTGGAGCTTTAGGCACCCTGAGTCATAAGGCCCTCTGCATCAAGCCAGGTTTGTGTGCCGCCTGAGTGGCCGCAGCCCATAAGCAGCCATGTACGTTTTTCATGGATGTTAAATGTAATACAAAATAATACAACAAACAGCGATTCAACCAGTAATATAAAATCCATACAGGAGTAGAGGTTTTTCATCAGTGGGTACTCTGCTACCCTTGATCTTTTGAGGTACTAGTTATCCTAGTCTATAATCTTCCCTTTATTGGCCTAACTTATATTTTCTTACTTTATTTTCCACATTCCTTTTTGGCCCCTTGGCTTTCTTCAGCTCATTTCTTTGCATAGTTACTGATTCCTTTATGAATATTAAGCTTTATTTATTTATTGATACTCCAGTACTAAATCTTGTTTGTTACTCCCACTGGCACATTGGATTCCTCTCCTTCTAGCTCTCTGTGTCTCCAATCATTTCTTCTTTCTAAGCCCTTTCTTTCCTTCCAGACTTTCCTTAGTCTCTGACATATCTTTTTATCCTTATTCCCTATTCTGTCTTTTCCATAGAACTTTGCAACTTTACAGTTTAGTTGACTGCCTCCTCAGTATGTAAACCTTTCTCTATGTCTTATATAAACTTCTCAATATTTTGTCTTACACTCTCCGTCCTTCACATTGTGTGTTGTTTTATAAACATGCTAGCAATAATCATGTATATTTCATTTGGATCATCCTTTCTCTTTCCTGGTGACATTTGTTTTTCCATTTCAGATGAAGACATCAAAACTACAAATGTGAAATCTGCTTCAAGGCAAAAGACTTCTTTAGGCATAGAACTGCATTGCAATGTTTCCAATATCCTTCATATGAATGGCTCCCAGAGTTCCACATATAGAGGAACCTATGAACAAGATGGTAGGTTTGAAAAGAGACAAGGAAACCCTTCTTGGAAAAAACAACAGAAATGTGATGAATGTGGCAAAATCTTTAGTCAGAGCTCAGCCCTTATTTTACATCAGAGAATCCACAGTGGAAAGAAACCTTATGCATGTGACGAGTGTGCAAAGGCATTCAGCCGAAGCGCAATTCTGATTCAGCATCGACGAACCCATACTGGTGAGAAGCCCTACAAGTGTCATGACTGTGGCAAAGCCTTTAGTCAGAGCTCAAATCTTTTTAGACATAGGAAAAGACACATTAGAAAAAAAGTCCCATAAGTATCATGAGGGAATCAAAGCATTTACTCAGAGCTATTTCAGCACAAGGGAAGACACCAGATGCAAACGCTCCTTAGTACAAATCAGTGGTCTTAGTAAGCACCAGTCTCCTTTCAAGACTCATGAAAGCCACAGGAGAGAAGGTTGAAGATCTCAGGTCAGCATTATTTGCTTTTCTGCTTATCAATGCAGTCTCAATTCTGACGTTTGCAATTCCAAAGCTTAATTCAGATTTCCATCCCTATGCAGGCCTTGAAAAGGCATTCTCAGACATGTTCTACTATTTTCATTATTAACACATATAATGAATTAGTATATATCTTTTTAGACAAGTATGTTTTTTCCCTCATTGAGAAGGAATGTGTGAGTTACTCAGTGTAAAAATAGACATTCTCCTCCATTTCATAACTTGAGCACTAGAATTCTAAAGACCAAAAATTAAAGCACTCAAAAAGAATTCCTGGCTGGGTGCGGTTGGCTCATGCCTGTAATCCTAGCACTTTGGGAGGCCGAGGCAGGCAGATTGCCTGAACTCAGGAGTTCAAGACCAGCCTGGACAACACGGCGAAACCCCGTCTCTACTAAAATTCAAAAAATTAGCCAGGCATGGCAACGTGTACCTGTAATCCCAGCTACTAGGGAGGCTGAGGCAGGAAAATTGCTTGAACCGCTCAGACAGAGCAAGACTCCGTCTTTAAAATAAATAAATAAATAAATAAATAAATAAATAAAAATAAAAATAAATTCCTATTTTGTCTTCTGTTACTAGATTCAAAATATGAACATGCGATTGCAGAGGCCCAAAAGAATATGTACTTCAAGACTAGGCTGAAGTGCCCCAGGTCACTTTCAGGAGGCAGATAAATAAAGGCCTTATCTTATGAAAGCACACAAGAGCCTCCATACTATTAATATCAAGTTAATTTCCCGTGTTGGAAAAAAATAATCTCCTTTGCAATGTAATTTGGAAATAAGTCAATGGAAACATGAAAATGACTGCTTGTCTACAAGGAGTCAGCTAAACATAAGGAATGTTTTCATAACAATATTAATCTATGGGTGCTTCTGTAAGATGGATGATCATCTTAATATAAAGAAAAAAGGGAGATGAACAAAATTGTCAAACAAGACTGATGTACCACAAGTGTTGTCAAGTACAGTGTGTGTCGGAGAGATGTACCACAGCTTAACTGGAAGAGGAAGCCCGTAACTGCTGATGACAATACTTTCAGTGTCCCCTTTTCTGGCATAAATCAACTATGAATATGTTTCAAGCATCACAAGACAACCTTTTCAGAGTCTTCTGTATTCTTAGTAAGATGAGTTTCTAGACACGCTGTCATGAAATGAGACCCTGGATTTTGATGCTCTTGTACATATGGACAAATCACTGAAGTTCAATTTAAAGGGTCCACTGCAGTCCCTTATAAACAATTGTTGAACCTAACCATTATAGTTTATAAGTTTTAAGACATTTATGGGATATCTTATTTGGCTTATCTATGGGATATGAGTAACTATGTTTTACCTGCATTTAATTCAGCCAGATTCCCTGTTTAAAATTACTGAATCGTACATTATTAAAATTATTCTGACAGTATACAAACAACAAAATTATCTATTTTCCAGAGATTCTTGATAAAACTCTGTAATGTTACTACAATAATACATGTATTGTGTTTTCCATGGTGCTACAGTTACACAATATGGAGGCAAACATCAGAAATCAAAGTCCTTGGAATAAGGGAAGAGACTCATAGTAAACTTCTTTGTCTGGTTGGGTTCCTCATAAAGTATAAAACATTTCATTCTCAGAAAATCCAACCATATCTTAGAGTATCTCCAGAAACTGGCTTAGAGGAGCTCCAAATATGTGGAATTACCACACTCTGCTTAGTTAGTATGCTGATAAATGTAAGATTAGTAGGAGGAGAAGTGAATGTAAATTTTATTATAGAATTTTCTGATAGTGATTATGATTTGTAGCTCTAGTGAATATGAATTTTATATTGAGTTGTGTGTATCTTGAGTCACTAAAAATGTAGGATACTTTTTATTTGGGGCTCATTGTCTTTGTAATTACGGAGAGGAACAAACCATCTATTGAAACAACAAGTGCCTCAGAGATGTATATATTGTGAATTACTGCTTAATTACGGAAAGAGTTTCTTAGGTTCTATGTGAATAAGATGGCAGAATCTAAATCAAGTATTTTGAAGGAAGCACCCATCTTCACTTGGTGCTGCCATCAACTTTGTAAGATTGCATTCTATTTATTGTGAATAATTTGAGTGTTTCCACAGGAAAGTGGTATGAATCATATCGTCTAAGTATATGATGAATCTTTAAAGGGTGTCTCTGTGTACTTTGAATTATTTTGCAGTTATGTAGGTATCCTAATGAGTGAATGGTACTAGTTTATATAAAAGGAGAATTCATTGAGCTAACCTTGGTTTTAAAAATTAGCATTAGCACCCCCATTATATTAATTTTCAGGGATAGTAAATACTCCAAAATGAAATTGGTATTGTTTTCTGGCTTTCACTTCATCTGGGCCTTCAAGATTACCAATAATCCTATATGGTTTGTTTGTTTTTGTTTGTTTTTGTTTACCACTCCCATTCTCTTCAGAGACCAAGTCAAATGTTCATCACTGTCCTTACAACAGTGGCTTAAAACAGCAAGCCTTTGTGTTAGGAATGCTTCTGGATGCAAAATCCATCTTTGGTGGTTTAAACAAATAGGAATTTTCAACCTGAAATCTGGAAGGTGGGTTGCTGGCTCTCAATCTGCAGCTGGAATGACGACTGGTCTAACTTTACCTCATGCTATTTTGTCCGATTTTCGAGAGAGCTGTCACAGCTCTAGGAACTAGGATTAAGTCAGGAAGAAAGGAGAAAGACAGCCATGCTAAGCAAAAAGCTTTCCAAAAACCTTAGCAAAATCTGGCTTATGTTTCCCTGTTGCAACTGTGTCTGGTAGGGCAAGCGTTTTCAACCTCTAGAGGGAAAGCAGGCCAGATGGGGGTTGAGGACGACATTGGGTTAGCCAACCGTGTTTGCCATACTAATCCTTTGCCACCTTCCTCCTTACGGGCAGACAACTATCTTTTGCTTCCTGCATTAAAGGAAAAAAAGATAAGAACTCTTACAAGTTCCTATGACTAAATTTGCCAAATTATTTACACTTTACCCATCATTTCCTCTCCCTCTTCTGAGAATGAGAGAGGGGCCTCTCCCCCGTCTGAGAATGAGAGAGGGGTCTCTCCCCTCTGAGCCTCAGCATTCTCACCTCTGAAAGGCCTTGGCTGCCAGTCATTCTTCCTCTCTTCTATTTCTTCACTCTCTGCCTTCCTTCTGCATCCATCCCTTCAACACTTAAATATGCTGTTGTGACCCTGCCTCCTACCCTATATTTTTCCAGCTTACACTGGCAAAATTCAAGATGGTGGCTAGTCCCTGAGTGAGGGGAATTATGTGGCCCTTAACTTTCCCCTCTTCATATGCATTCATCTCTCAACCAGAGTAATCTTGCTAAGGCATACATTTTATCATGCCCTTTCCCTGTCTAAGACATAGGCTTTCCCTTGTTTTAGGATAAAGTCAGAACTGCTAAACAAGATTGTTAAGGCTCTTTGTGATCTGACCACAGCTTACCACTTCAGCTTCAGCTCTTGCCATTGCCTCTATGCTTCAGCCATTTTGAAATATCAGAAGTCCTCTAGCCTTTGGACCTTTCCATGTACTCCTTTTGAACTCCTATCTAGCTTTCACATGTTACCTAATTCCTGTGTGTTCTTCATGTTTTAGTTTAGGTACCACTTCTTCCCTAACACCCAAAGAGTAGGTTGGAGAGCACCACCACACTCTTATGTTAATTGCATATCAGTCTGTTCTTATCCTTACCATTACATTTATCTCATGAAATAAAATATTTTTAAAGTATTAAATTACAAGTATGGCTGCAAGGAAGAGGAGAATAAATGACACCTTGGGATGGAAAAAGTTATGGAGTAGCAAAAAGAAAAATTTTTAAGGCTCTCCTAGTCCTGGGAAGAGTGAGTCAATGAGAGGGTCAGGCACAGGGTGTCCTTTCACCTCTGTTGCCCAACCCTGCAGAATTTTGGAGGGGGTTAGGGGAGAATCAAGGGGAGAAGGCTGTGCCCCCTTGCCATTGAGTGCATTGGGAGGAAAATTGTTGAACAGACTGCTAGTGCTCCAACACTGAACTCTCATAAAAACAGCCATTCAGTGTTAGGTAAATGGCTTCTATCAGCTAGTATGTGGCTTGAAAGAGATACGGCAGTTCTCTGTGCCCAGTGGGAACCTTGGAAAATAGCTGACTATAGAGCTGGAAAGTTGGGATAGTTGAGCAAGTAACCTTGTGGATCCTGTAGCTAAGAGCTGCAGGGCCCACCAGACCTTACTGGGGACCTATAGCTCTTCCTAGAAACAAAGTGGAGGCAAATCACCAAGGAAGAGACACTGGCCCCCAGCCCAACCAAAAAAACAGATGATTTGTTGCCGCAGGTTTGGTGAGCAAGCACCACAGAAGACCAGCTGCCCAGAATAGAAACCAGAGAAGATCAGAACAGCAAGCCCACCTAACACCTAATCCATAGCACCACCTCATCACAGGGAATGTATGCCCCCCTCACCTTCCCAAGCAGGTGGCAGAAAAGGGCAGAGTGAGAAATAGCCATGAGAGGGAGTTGAACTTAAAATGGACTGAATAATTCAATTTCATAATAACTAAATATAGCAATTTAATTCAGCTCTTTCACCACCCACCCACCCACCCAATGGGGCAAGGATTCAAGAAAAAAGATTATCAGTTATAAAAAATAAACTACATTTTCCTTTGCTTATTTGAGAAGCAATGTGATAACTTTTTGCCCTGCTAAATGGAGATTATATCTATTTCTGTATTGACTCCACTATTTCATGCTGCCTGAGAGCATAAGCTGCCTCATTTACCATTGTTTCCCAAGCATCTGGCACAGTACGTGGCCCATAATAGGCACTCAAATACTTGTGGAACAAAAATATTTGAAAATTATATATCTGATAAGGGATTACTATCTAGAATATATAAAGAACCCCTCCAACTCAACAACAACAGAAATTTCAAAAATGGGCAAAGGTCATGAATAGACACTTCTCAAAGAGGATACCTAAATGGCCAATAAACACATGAAAAGATGGCCAATGTCACTAATCATTAGGGAAATGCAAATCAAAAGCACAATGAGATACCACTTCACAACCATTAGGATGGTTATTATTTTAAAAAGAAACAGGTATTGGAAAAGATGAGGAGAAATTGGAACCTTTGCACATTGCCATTAGGAATGTAAAATGGTGTAGCTGCTATGGAAAACAGTTTGGTGGTTCCTCAAAAAGTTAAACAAAATTCTCATATGATCCAGTAATTCCACTTCTATGTATATATTCAAAAGATCTGAAAGCAGAGACTCAAACAGGTATCTGTATGCCAATGTTCATAGCAGCATTATTTGAAATAACCAAAAGGTGGAAACTACACAAATGACCATCTACATATGAATGAATAAACAAAATTTGGTATAGACATACAACAGAGTATTATTCAGCCATAAAAACAAATGAAATTCTGATACATGCTACAAGGATGAACCTTAAAAACACTATGCTAAGTGAAATAAGCCAGACATGAAAGGGCAAATGTGATTCTGCTTATTTGAGGTAACTAGAATAGGCAAATTCATAAAGACATAAAGTCAAATAATGATTATCAGGGGCTAGAGGAAAGGGGGAATGGAAGTTATTGTGGATACATGGTTTCTGTTAAAATCATGAAAAAGTTCTGGAAATGTAAAGTGGTGATAGTTGAATAACATTACAAATGTTCTTAACACCACTGAATTGTACACTTAAAAATGGTTAAAATGATAAATTTTTGTTACGTATATCTTATCACAATGAAAAACAAAAGCATTGGAAGAAACAAAAATGAAGCTGCTTTTTTATAATCCCTGCCATAATAAAGCTTATATTCTAGCAAAGAAAAGAAAATCCTGTGGAATGAATGTTATTCAAAAGCAAAGAATCTGAAAGATAAAATCCAGATGTCCTTGGTGAAAGGACTGACTGACTGTAAGCCCAAATAATGTTCCCTTTGCCACTAAACATTGAGGACAGGGGATGATGAGATTATCCAAGGAGCCCTGGAAGAATGTTCAAATGGACCATATAGGCCACAAATCCTGAATGGCTAGGAAATAATATAAAAATTGGTTGTAATTTCTTAGACTCAAAATTATTTTCTTATATAAATCTATATGTTTAATTACTTTGCTGATTCCTGAGATTTTGCTCAATGGATGTACCTTATTGTCTGGGTGTATTAATCTTAGTTGTGTTTGAATCTAAATGGTTTGTCTTCAACTGAAGGGTCATTTTTATGCAAAGGTGACAATGACATTGAGAGACAGCTTACATAAGGTGTGGACTCTAGTGTCATAGTTAATGATCAACCACATAGACATTTGGTATCTTTTCCTATATAGCTTTGGGGGCTCCAGTCTATCCATCTTAGAAGTAGTTGTCAGGATTCTAGGTAGAATATCTCCATTTGGACATGTTAATGTGCTGCATCAGAACTGGATCAGCCTATTAATTTTTTTTAATTTTTTGGCTATTACCAGTCTTGTCACCTAGGTGGTTTTACGGTTTGACTTCTTAATACTTTTTCTACCCCAAATGATTAGTCCAAGCCAATCATGATCATCCAATTCCACCTGTGGGCCAGGCATGGTGGCTCACACCTGTAATCCTAGCACTTTGGGAGGCTAAGACCAGAGGATTGCTTAAGCTCAGGAGTTCAAGACCAGCTGGGCAGCAAAGCAAGACCCCATCTTTTTAAAAAGAAAAAAAATTAAAACAAAAACAATTCCACTTGCCTGCTTTTGGTTTAGGAATGAGTATTTCACCCAATCCAGGCCAATGAGACATCAGGAGAAGCCTGCCCCCTGACTTCTGGGAAAAGCTTGCTTTCTTCTAAAAAAAAAAAAGAGACATACAGATGATATCGTCCTATTCCCACATGTTACTGTGAATGGTTATGATGCTAGGAAATGCTGCATCAGCTGGAAGATGAAGCTGACACATGTGGAAGAAAGAGCTATGAAAACTGCAGGATTTTAAGCACATAAATGTGAAGGGAAAAAATAGAAAACAACAGGAAAGCACGACTGAAGCCCAGATGTACCATTCCTTTCAATAGCTATAGTAAAAGAGAATATTTAAAATGAATTATCTAATCATCCACCTTAATAAACTAGGGGGGAAAAAAAAACAAAAAAAGCAACTTAAACCAAGTAAAATGATAAAAACAAGAACAGAGGCTCTGACTCCAGGGAAGATAGAGTAAGCACACTCCCCCTTGTCAGGCCTCTGAGCCCAAGCTAAGCCATCATATCTCCTGTGACCTGCATGTACACATCCAGATGACTGGTTCCTGCCTTAACTGATGACATTCCACCACAAAATAAGTGAAAATGACCTGTTCCTGCCTTAACTGATGACAATATCTTGTGAAATTCCTTCTCCTGGCTCATCCTGGCTCAAAAGCTCCCCTACTGAGCACCTTGTGACCCCCACTCCTGCCTGAGAACAACCCCCCTTTGACTGTAATTTTCCTTTACCTACCCAAATCTTATAAAATGGCCCCGCCCCTATCTCCCTTTGCTGACTCTCTTTTCAGACTCAGCCCGCCTGCACCCAGGTGAAATAAACAGTCTTGTTGCTCACACAAAGCCTGTTTGGTGGTCTCTTCATATGGACGCGCATGAAATTTGGTGCCGTGACTCGGATTGGGGGACCTCCCTTGGGAGATCAATCCCCTGTCCTCCTGCTCTTTGCTCCATGAGAAAGATCCACCTACGACCTCGGGTCCTCAGACCGACCAGCCCAAGGAACATCTCACCAATTTCAAATCCGGTAAGTGGCCTCTTTTTACTCTCTTCTTCAACCTCCCTCACTATCCCTCAACCTCTTTCTCCTTTCAATCTTGGCGCCACACTTCAATCTCTCCTTTCTCTTAATTTCAATTCCTTTCATTTTCTGGTAAAGACAAAGGAGACACATTTTATCCGTGGACCCAAAACTCCGGCGCCGGTCACGGACTCGAGAAGGCAGCCTTCCCTTGGTGTTTAATCATTGTGGGGACGCCTCTCTGATTATTCACCCACGTTCCATTGGTGTCTGATCTCCGCGGGGATGCCTGCCTTGATCATTCACCCACATTCCTTTGGTGGCAAGTCAATTGTGGGGATGCCTGCTTTGGCTGCTCACCCATGTTGCAGCCCAGGGCTGCTCCCCACCCCCTTCTCCGTGTCTCTACCCTTCTCTTTAAACTTGCCTTCTTCACTATGGGCAACCTTCCACCCTCCATTCCTCCTCTCCCTTAGCCTGTGTTCTCAAGAACTTAAAACCTCTTCAACTCACACCTGACCTAAAACCTAAATGCCTTATTTTCTTCTACAATGTCACTTGACCCCAATACAAACTCAACAGTGGTTCCAATAGCCAGAAAACAACACTTTCGATTTTTCCATCCTACATCATCTAAATAATTCTTGTTGTAAATTGGGCAAACGGTCTGAGGTGCCTGATGTCCAGGCATTCTTTTACACATCGGTCCCTCTCTAGTCTCTGTTCCCAATGCAGCTCGTCCCAAATCTTCCTCCCCTCCCACTGGTCCCCTCAGTCCCAACCCCAAGCGTCGCTGAGTCTTTCTAATCTTCCTTTTCTACAGACCCATCTGACCTCTCCCCTCCTTGCCAGGCCGAGCTAAGTCCCAATTCTTCCTCAGCCCCTGCTCCTCCACCCTATAATCCTTTTATCACCTCTCCTCCTCACACCTGGTCCAGCTTACGGTTTCATTCTGTGATTAGCCCTCCCCCACCTGCCCCAGCAATTTCCTCTTAAAAAGGTGGCTGGAGCTAAAGGCATAGTCAAGGTTAATGCTCCTTTTTCTTTATCTGGTCTCTCCCAAATCAGTTAGTATTTAGGCTCTTTTTCATCAAATATGAAAAACCCAGCCCAGTTCATGGCTCATTTGGCAGCAACCCTGAGACGCTTTACAGCCCTAGACCCTGAAAGGTCAAAAGGCTGTCTTATTCTCAATACACATTTTATTTTATTACCCAATCTGCTCCCGACATTAAATAAAGCTCCAAAAATTAAATTCCAGCCCTCAAACCCCACAACAGGACTTAATTAACCTCGCTTTCAAGGTGTACAATAATAGAGTAGAGGCAGCTAAGTAGCAACATATTTCTGAGTTGCAATTCCTTGCCTCCACTGTGAGACAAACCCCAGCCACATCTCCAGCACACAAGAACTCCAAATGCCTGAACCGCAGCTGCCAGGGGTTCCTCCAGAACCTCCTCCCCCAGGAGCTTGCTACGAGTGCCAGAAATCTGGCCACTGGGCCAAGGAATGCCCACAGCCCAGGATTCCTTCTAAGCCATATCCCATCTGTGCGGGACCCCAATGAAAATCCGACGTTCAACTCACCTGGCTGCCACTTCCAGAGCCCCTGGAACTCTGGCCTAAGGCTCTCTGACTGACTCCTTCCCAGATCTTCTCGGCTTAGCAGATGAAGACTGACACTACCCAATCGCCTTGGAAGCCTACAGGACCATCACAGACACTCTGGGTAACTATCACAGTGGAGGGTAAGTCCATCCCCTTCTTAATACGGAGGCAACCCACTCCACATTACCTTCTTTTCAAAGGCCTGTTTCCCTTGCCTCCATAACTGTTGTAGGTATTGACGGCCAGGCTTCTAAACCTCTTAAAACTCCCTAATTCTGGTGCCAACTTAGACAATACTCTTTTAAGCACTCCTTTTTAGTTATCCCCACCTGCCCAGTTCCCTTATTAGGCCGAGACACTTTAACTAAATTATCTGCTTCCCTGACTGTGCCTGGACTACAGCCACACCTCATTGCCACCTTTTCCCCCAGTTCAAAACCTCCTTCACATCCTCCCCTTGTATCTCCCCACCTTAACCCACAAGTATGATACCTCTACTCCCTCCTTGGTGACCGATCATGCACCCCTTACCATCCCATTAAAACCTAATCAACCTTACCCCGATGAATGCCAATATCCCATCCCACAGCACACTTTAAAAGGATTAAAGCCTGTTATCACTCACCTGTTACAGCATGGCCTTTTAAAGCCTAGAAACTCTCCTTACAATTCCCCCATTTTACCTGTCCTAGAACCAAACAAGCCTTACTGGTTAGTTCAGGATCTGCGCCTTATCAACCAAATTGTTTTGCCTATCCACCCCATGGTGCCAAACCCATATACTCTCCTATCCTCAATACCTCCCTCCACAACCCATTATTCTGTTCTGGATCTCAAACATGCTTTCTTTACTATTCCTTTGCACCCTTCATCCCAGCCTCTCTTCACTTTCACTTGCACTGACCTTGACACCCATTAGGCTCAGCAAATTACCTGCAAGAATTCACAGACAGCCCCCATTATTTCAGTCAAGCCCAAATTTCTTCCTCATCTGTTACCTATCTCGGCATAATTCTCATAAAAACACACGTGCTCTCCCTGCTGATCGTGTCCAGCTGATCTCTCAAACCCCAACACCTTCTACAAAACAACAATTCCTTTCCTTCCTAGGCATGGTTAGATACTTTCAACTTTAGATACCTGGTTTTGCCATCCTAACAAAACCACTATATAAATTCACAAAAGGAAACCTAGCTGACCCCATAGATCCTAAATCCTTTCCCCACTCCTCTTTCCGTTCCTTGAAGACAGCTTTAGAGACTGCCCCCACCTAGCTCTCCCTGACTCATCCCAACCATTTTCATTACCCACAGCCAAAGTGCAGGACTGTGCAGTCAGAATTCTTACACAAGAACCAAGACCGTGCCCTGTAGCCTTTTTATCCAAACAACTTGACCTTACTGTTTTGCCTAGCCCTCAAGTTCTGCATGCGGTGGCTGCCGCCGCCCTAATACTTTTAGAGGCCCTTAAAATCACAAACTATGCTCAATTCACTCTCTACAGTTCTCATAACTTCCAAAATCTATTTTCTTCTTCACACCTGACACATATACTTTCTGCTCCCCAGCTCCTTCAGCTGTACTCACTCTTTGTTGAGTCTCCCACAGTTACCATTTTTCCTGGCCCGGACTTCAGTCCGGCCTCCCACATTATTCCTGATGCTACACCTGACCCCCATAACTGTATCTCTCTGATCCAACTGACATTCACCCCATTTCCCCATATTTCCTTCTTTCCTGTTCCTCACCCTGATCACACTTGGTTTATTGATGGCAGTTCCACCAGGCCTAATCGCTACACACCAACAAAGGCAGGCTATGCTATAGTAAAAGCCACTAGCCCGCCTCTTAGAACCTCTCATTTCCTTTCCATCGTGGAAATCTATCCTCAAGGAAGTAACTTCTCAGTGTTCCATCTGCTATTCTACTACTTCTCAGGGATTATTCAGGCCCCCTCCCTTCCCTACACATCAAGCTCGAGGATTTGTCCCCACCCAGGACTGGCAAATTGGCTTTACTCAACATGCCCCGAGTCAGATGACTAAAATACCTCTTAGTCTAGGTAGATACTTTCACTGGATAGGTAGAGGCCTTTCCTACAGGGTCTGAGAATGCCACCGCAGTCATTTCTTCCCTTCTGTCAGACATAATTCCTCAGTTTAGCCTTCCCACCTCTATACAGTCTGATAACAGACCAACCTTTATTAGTCAAATCAGCGAAGCATTTTTTCAGGCTCTTAGTATTCAGTGAAACCTTTATATCCCTTATGGTCCTCAGTTTTCAGGAAAAGTAGAATGGACTAAAGATCTTTTAAACACACACTTCATCAAGCTCAGCCACCAACTTAAAAAGGACTGGACAATACTTTTACCACTTTTCCTTCTCAGAATTCAGGCCTGTCCTCACAATGCTGCAGGGTACAGCCCATTTGAGCTCCTGTATAGATGCTCCTTTTTATTAGGCCCCAGTCTCATCCCAGACACCAGACCAACTTGGCCTGTGCCCCAAAAAACTTGTCATCCCTACTATTTTCTGTCTAGTCATACTCTTATTCTCCGTTCTCAACTACTCATACATGCCCTGCTCTTGTTTACACTGCCGGTTTACACTGTTTCTCCAAGGCATCACAGCTGATATCTCCTGGTGCTATCCCCAAACTGCCACTCTTAACTCTTAAAGTAAATAAATAATCTTTGCTGGCAAGGCTATGCTGAACCTCTTTAGGCACTCTCTAATTAGATGTCCTAAGTCCTCCCAATTCTTAGTCCTTTAATACCTGTATTTCTCCTTCTATTATTCCGTTTAGTTTTTCAATTCATACAAAACCGTATCCAGGCCATCACCAATAATTCTACACGAAAATGTTTCTTCTAACAACCTCACAATATCACCCCTTACCACAAAATCTTCCTTCGGCTTAATCTCTCCCACTCTAGGTTCCCACGCTGCCCCTAATCCCGCTTGAAGCAGCCCTGAGAAACATCGCCCATTATCTCTCCATACCACCCCCCAAAATTTTCACCATCTCAACATTTTACTGCTATCTAGTTTTATTTTTCGTATTAATATAAGAAGACAGGAATGTCAGGCCTCTGAGCCCAAGCTAAGCCATCATATCCCCTGTGACCTGCACGTACACATCCAGATGGCCAGTTCCTGCCTTAACTGATGACATTCCACCACAAAAGAAGTGAAAATGGCCTGTTCCTGCCTTAACTGATGACATTATCTTGTGAAATTCCTTCTCCTGGCTCATCCTGGCTCAAAAGCTCCCCTACTGAGCACCTTGTGACCCCCACACCTGCCTGCCAGAGAACAAGTCCCCTTTGACTGTAATTTCCCTTTACCTACCCAAATCCTATAAAATGGCCCCACCCCTATCTCCCTTCGCTGACTCTCTTTTCGGACTCAGCCCACCTGCACCCAGGTGAAAGAAACAGCCTTGTTGCTCACACAAAGTCTGTTTGGTGGTTTCTTCACACAGATGCGCACGAAATTCCCCACTTGGCATCTCTTTGCTTATACTCAAAGGCAGCCTGAAACCCAGAAGTGCACACCGAAAATGAATAGAAAGTTCCAAGATAAGAGTTCTGTCTCTGGCCTAAGGAATTGTACACTTAAAATGGTTAAAATGATCAATTTTCATGTTACATATATTTTACCACAATGAAAAAGAAAAGTATTGGAAGAAACAAATTGAAGCTGCTTTAAAAAAAAATCCCTGCCCTAATAAAGTTTGGAGTGGGAAAGGGGGATTCTAAGGGTCAGAGAGAATGGGAAAATCCCACATACAGTATTCTTTGCTTTATTTCCCTTCTCTTCTACCCCAGTCTTCAGGGAATAGTATGGCAGTAGCATTGGCGTCAGCAGCATTGCAATGGCAGTAGTCTTTTGGAAGGCATTTAATTAAATTAATTTATTTAATGATCTATTTATTTTAGAGACAGGGCCTCACTCTGTCACCCAGGCTGTGGGAAGGCACTTTAAGCTCAGAGGGAGATGAACACTTTGTTCTGAACAGAGTTGCTTTGGTCCCAGAAGCATGGAGCAAATCCCCATTGCTTTTATTTTCTCTGTGTCCTCTGGCTGCTTGGACCAGGATGCGGAATGCAGCTGGGAGAAGTAAACAGCAGAACTAAACCAGGAAACTAAAACCCCAGCTTTCTAACTGAAGAACTGGTAAGACAGACCCCAGGGAGCCAGAAAAGTGATAAAGTTATTGCAAAGAAGATGGAGATCAAGTGAGATCCCCTAAAGTTTTGTATGAGCGCTGTCTGCTTGCCTCTAAACTGCGCATGTGTGAAGCTGACCCTAACTGGCACATCACAGGCATTGAGAACTGAGCTACAAGATAGACTACCGCTTAGGCCCCAGATTGGCCACTGGGTGGCAGACACAAAGACCCAAATTGAACTGGAAATGTGTGAAACCTGAACTGACATTGGAACTACAGCCCACACAATGCAGATCAGAACTTGCAACCTGACCCTAACTAGGGCAGTTGACTGTTAAAGAAAAACATCAACATTCTCCTTATGACTTAAATAATGCCCAGGATCTGACAGCATAATATTGAAAATGTGCAGGATACAATGCAAAATTACTAGGCACAGAAAGAACCAGGAATATCTCCACTTGCAAGAGAAAAAAAAATCAAGTGATGCCAACACCTAGATGATACAGACATTAGGGTTCACAGAAAAAACTTTAAGGCAAGTTTTATAACCATGCTTTGAAAGTAAGGGTGAATGAATGGAAGGATATATATCAGGAAAGAAATGGAAGATATAGAGAGGAAATGAATGGAAATTTTTGAAGTGAAAAATACAACAATCAAAATAAAATATTCACCTGATGGGTTCAATAGGGAAACGGAGATGACAGAGGAAATAGTGATAAATCAATAGAAATTACTGAATCTAAATGACACAGACAGTAAAAGACCGACAAACAAAAAAAGGACAGTACAAGAAAACTACAATCCAATATCCTTCACAGACGTAGGCACAAAACTCCTCAACAAAATACTAGCAAATTTAATTCAGCAATGTATAGAAAGGATAAAACATCATGACCAAGAGGGTTTATCCCAGAACTGTAAGGTTGACTCAGTACTCAAAAATCAGTGAAGCTAATTTACCATATTAATAGTCTCAACAGGAAAAACCACATGGTCATATCAATTGATGCAGGAAAAGTATTTGACAAAATTCACATCCATTTATGAAAAGAATAGAAGGAGGCTTCTTCAAACTTGTAAAGGTTATCTACTAAAAATCTAGAGTTAATATAACACTTAATTATGAAAGGCCGAATGTTTTTCTCCTTAAGACTGAGAACAAAAAAAGGGATGTCTACTCTGCACTCCTATTCAACATTGTAATTGAAGTCCTAACCAGTACAATAAGGCAAGATATGAAAATTATGCACAGCTTGGCATGGTGGTTCACACCTATAATCCCAGCACTTTGGGATGTCAAGACAGGAGGATCACTTAAGGCCAGGAATTTGAGACCAGCCTGGCAACATAGCAAGACCTCATTTCTACAAAAATTTTTAAAAAGCCAGATGTGGTAGCAACACCTGTAGTGCCAGTTACTCAGGAAGCTGAGGTGGGAGGATCACTTGAGCCCAGGAGGTTGAGGCTGCAGTAAGCCATGATCACGCCATAGTACTGCAGCCTGGGTGACAAAACGAGACCCTGTCTCTAATTTTAAAAATTAAAAAAGAAAGTTATGCAGGCTATTTATTTTAAAAATAAGTGCTCCCAATTTGCAGGTAACTTGAACATCTACCTAAAAAATCCCACTGAATCTATAAAAAACTTCCTAATAATAATAAGGGAGTATAGCAAGATTGTAAAATATAACGTTGTCTTAGTGAGTTTGGGGTCCTATAACAAAAATACCATAAGCTGAGTGGTTTAAACAACAGAAATTTATTTCTGTACAGGAAGCATGATGGTAGCATCTGTTTGGCTTCTGGGGAGGCCTCAGGAAACTTACAATCATGGTGTAAGATGAAGGGGAAGCAGGTACCTCTTACATGGCTGGAGCAGGTGCAAGAGAGAGGTGGGGAGGTGCTACACACTTTTAAATAACCAGATCCCTTGAGAACTCTATCACAAGAAAAGCACCAAGGGGGATGGTGTTAAATCATTCGTGAGAACTCACCCCCATGATCCAATCAATCACCTCCCACCAGGCCCCACCTCCAATATTGGGGAACACAATTTGACATAAGATTTGGGCAGGGACACAGAACAAAACTCTATCATTCTGCTCCTGGCCCCTCCCAAATCTCATGTCCATCTCACACTGCAAAATACAACCATGTCTTCCCAACAGTCCCCAAAGTCTTAACTCATTCCAGCATTAACTCAAAAGTCCAAAGTCTCATTTGAGACAAGGTTAGACCGTTTCACCTATAAGCCTGTAAAATAACTAGTTACAACCAAGATACAATGAAGGTATAGGCATAGGGTAAATACTCCTATTCCAAAAGGGAGAAGCCCACCAAAAGAAAGGGGCTACAGGTGCTGTGCAAGCCCCAAATCCAGCAGAGCAATCATTAAATCTTAAAGTGCCAAAATAATCTCTGTTGAATCCATGTCCCACACCCAGGGCATGCTGATGCAATGGGTAGACTCCTAAGGCCTTGGACAGCTCCACCCTGTGGCTTTGCAGGATTCAGCCCCTATAGCTGTTCTCAAGGATTGACACTGAGTGCCTGTGGCTTTTCCAAGTGCAGGGTGCAAGCTGCTGGTGGATCTGCCATTCCCCCACTAAGCAGTGCCCCAGTGGGAGTCTGTATGGGGGCTCCAATCCCACATTTCCCCTTTGCACTGCCCTAGTACAGGTTCTCCATGAGGGATCCACCCCTGCAACAAGCCTCTGCCTGGACCTCCAGGCTTTTCCATACATCCTCTGAAGTCTAGGTGGAGGCTCCAAAATCTCAACTCTTGCACTCTGCATTCCCACAGGCTTAACACCATGTGGAAGCTGCCAAGTCTTATGGCTTGCACTCTCTGGAGCAGTGGCCCAAGCTGTATCTGGGCCCCTATATGACGTGGCTGGAGTTGGAGTGGCTGGGATGCAGGGAACAGTGTCCCAACGCTGTGTAGGGCAGCAGGGCCCTGGTCCTGGCCCAGGAAACCATTCTATCCTCCTAGGCCTCCAGGCCCATGATGGGAGGGGCTACCACAAAGGTCTCTGAAATGCCTTCCAGGCCTTTTCCCCATTGTCTTGGCTATTAGCACTTGGCTCCTTTATACTTATGCAAATTTCTGCAGCCTGCTTGAATTCCTCCCATGAAAATGGGCTTTTCTTTTCTACAACATTGCCAGGCTACAAATTTTCCAAACTTCTACCCTCTGCTTCCCTTTTAAATGTAAGTTCCACTTTCAGCTAATTTATTTGCTCGTGCATATGAGCATAGGTTGTTAGAAGCAGCCAGGCCACATCATGAATGCTTTGCTGCTTAGACATCTCTTCCACCAGATACCCCAAATCATCATTCTCAAGTTCAAAATTTCACAGATCCCTAGAGCAGGGCACTATGCAGCCAGGCTCTTTGCTAAAGCATAGCAAAAGTGATCTTTACTCCATTTCCCAATAAGTTTCTCATCTTCATCTGAGACCTCCTCAGCCTGGACTTCACTATTCATATCACTGTCGGCCTTTTGGTCAACAAGTCTCTAGGAAGACTTCAACAAGCCTCTAGAAATTTCCAAACTTTCCCTCATCTTCCTGTCTTCTTCTGAGCCCTCTAATCTCTTCCAACCTCTTCCCATTACCCAGTTCCAAAGCTGCTTCCACATTTTCAGGTATCTTTATAGCAATGCCCCACTCCTCAGTACCAATTTTCAGTATTAGTCCATTCTCACATTGCTATAAATAAATACCTGAGACTGGGTAATTTATAAAGAAAAGAGATTAATTGGCTTTTGGTTCTCTAAGCTGTACAGGAAGAATGATGCTAGCATCTGTTCAACTTCTGGGGAGGCCTTGGGAAAGTTCAAATCATGGTGGAAGGCAAAGGGGAAGCTGGCACATCTTACATGGCTGGAGCAGGAGGAAGAGAGAGAAGAGGGGAGGTGCTACACGCTTTAAATTACCAGATCTCGTGAGAATTCTATCACGTGAACAGCACCAAAGGAGGATGGTGCTAAATCATTCATGAGAACTTGCCTCCATTATCCAATCACCTCCTACCAGGCCTCACCTCCAACATTGAGGAATCACAATTCAACATGAGATTTGAGCAGGGACACAGATCCAAACTATATCACCTCCTAAGGCCTCACCTCCAAATACCACCACATTGTGAATTAGGGCTTTAACATACAAAGTTCAGGGTAACACAAACACTTAGTCCATAGCAAAAGCCAATATACAAAAATCAATTACATTTATATATACTGACAATAAACACTGGAAATCAAAAAATGTTTAAATACTATTTAAAGGCCAGGTGCAGTAGCTCACGCCTATAATCCCAGCACTTTGGGAGGCTGAGGCTGGTGGATCACTTGAGGCCAGGAGTTTGAGACCAGCCTGGCTGGCATAGCGAAACCTCATCTCTATTAAATATACATACACACACAGATTAGCTGGGCGTGGTGTCACTTGCCTGTAATCCCAGCTACTCAGGAGGTTGAGGAATGAGAATCCTTGCATCCAGGAGGTGGAGGCTGCAGTGAGCTTAGATTGCACCACTGCACTCCAGCCTGGGTGACAAAGCAAGACACTGTCTCAAAAGAAAAACATTTAAAATAGCTCATAAAACACTAAGTATTTAAGAATAAATTGAACAAAGCATGGGTAGAATTTGTATACTGAAATCTACAAAATGATGATGAAGAAAATCAAAGAATATCAAAATAAATGGGGAGATGTAGAGTGTTCATGGACATCACTAAATTGAACAATAGATTTAATGTAATTCCAATAGAATTTCCAATAGAATAGGGTGTTTTTGTAAATATAGGCAAGCTGATTCTAAAAGATATATGGAATGCTAAATGGATTCAAACTACCAGATTTTTTTTTTTAAACAAACAGGGTCTTGCTCTGTCACCTAGGCTGAAGTACAGTGGCACAATCGTAGCTCACTGCAGTCTCAATCTTCTGGGTTCAAGCAGTCCTCCTGCCTTAACCTCCTTAGTAGCTGGGACTACAGGTGTGCACGACCACATCCAGATAATTTTTTCTATATTTTTGTAGAGATGGGGGTCTCTCTATGTAGACCAGGCTGATCTTGAACTCCTGGCCTCAAGTGATTCTCCCACCTTGGCCTCCCAAAGTGCTGGGATTACAGGCATAAGCCACCATGCCCAGCCCAGGTTTTTGACAATTATCATAAGGCTACAGTAATCAAGCATGTGAGATAACATGCTTGATAATATAACAGATTAGAGAATTGAGAAATATGACCAATTGATTTTTTATAAAGATGTAAAGGCAGTTCAATGGACAAAGGATGAACTTTTTATCAAATAGAACAATTGGGCATCTCCATGCAAAACAAAAACAAAAAACCCTTTAGTGTAAGATATAGTTCATGCCTTATACTAAAATTCATGCAAACTAAATCATATATTCATGTGAAATGTAAAACTGTAAAACTCTTAGAAGAAAACATAAGAGAGAGTCTTCATGGTCTGGTATTAGGTATTATTAGATATGACACTAAAAGCACTAAAAAATAAATTGATGTTCATAAAAATTAACAAGTGTTGCTCTGCAAAACACACTAGTAAGAGAAGAAAATATAAGCTACAGACTCAGATATTTTCAAATCACAAATTAGACAAAAGACTTATGTCCAACATAGAATTCCCAAAACTCAATAGTAAGAAAAAAAATTTTAATGGGGAGGGAGACTTGAGCAGACACTTCATAAAAGAGTACTTATGGGTGGCAAAAAGCACCTGAAAAGTTGTCCAACATCATTAGCCTTTAGGGAAATGCAAATTAAAACCATGATGAGCTATGACAACACATACATTAGAATGGATAAATGGCAGCAGCAAAAGACAATACCAAGTGCTGTTAAGGATGGGGAGCATTTGGAGCACTCATGCATTGCTGGTGGTGCAAAATGGTGCAGACACTCTGGAAAACAGTTCAGCAGTTTCCTTGAAAGTTAACCATGTACTTACCATATGACCCACCAATCCCACCTCTAGATATTTACTCTAGAGAAATAAAATCTATGTTCATATAAAAACCTGTCCATGAATTTTTTTTTTTTTTTTTGAGACAGAGTCGCACTCTGTCGCCCAAGCTGGAGTGCAATGGCGCAATCTCGGCTCACTGCAACCTCCGCCTCCCAGGTTCAAGCGATTCTCCTATCTAAGCCTCCCAAGTAGCTGGGATTACAGGCACGTGCCACCATGCCCGGCTAATTTTTAGTTTAGTAGAGACAGGGTTTCACCATGTTGGCCAGGCTGGTCGAACTCCTGACCTTAGGTGATCCGCCTGCCTTGGCCTCCCAAAGTGCTGGGATTACAGGCATGAGCCACCACGCCTAGCCTCTGTCCATGAATATTTATAGTAGTTCTATTCATAATCACCCAAATCCAGAAACAACCCCAAAGTCCTTCAGTGGTTGAATGGATAAACAAACTATGATAGATACAAGTGGAATATTACTCAGTAATAGACTGGAATCGACTATTGATACATGTGACAACACAGATGAATCTCAAAGGCATTATGATGAATCAAAGAAACCAGCCTTAAAAGATAACATACTTTATGATTCCATTTTTATTACATTCTGGACAAGTCAATACTATTGTGACAGATGACAAATCTGTGGTTGCCATGAATTGGGATGTGGCGAAGGCATGAGTACAACTTGATGGAGTTTTATAGAATGATGGAACTATTCTGTGTCATGATTTTGGTGGTCGTTTCACAAATCTAAAACTCAGAAATATCTGCCCCCCCAAAAGTGCCATATTTTGCTGTCTGTTAATTTTATTAAGAGAAGAACTCCATAAATAGAGAACAAATAATGAAACAAATAAACAAAGCCAAAAGTTGATTCTTTGAAAAATTAATAAAATTGATAAGCCTCAAGCAAAACTTGAAGTCTTGATTAAGAAAAAAGAAACCAGAAATTAGCAATGTCAGGAATGAAAGAGGGGACATCCCTACAAACATTAAAAAGATATTAAGGAACTCACATTAATGATATTAAGGAAATAATTGTGAACAACTTTATGCCAATAAATCTGACAACTTAAATGAATTAGACAGATTTCTTCAAAGATACAAACCATTTCCCCTTATATCTCATGGACCAGAAATGAATCACATACTCATTCCTCGGTGCCAGCAAGGCAAAGCGAGGGTCTGGCACAGGGAAGCAGAATGGTCATGGATAGCTTAGCTCAATTACACTTTATTGCTTACAGCTGGGCACACTGTTCCCCCTCTCCATCCAAAAAAATCAGGAGTGTATTAGAAGCAAGGGAAAGCACTTTGTGTGGGAAGCTAACGATGCTTGCCTATTAGGTTTTCAGTCACTTGCAATCAAAAGACTCCTCATACTGTATACTTACTAGCTAAAATGGAATCTTTAAGCAATGTACTTAAAGTGCCCAGAGGGAGATACTTTTGAGCTGAAGGGGACTGAGAGCTCCAAAGCCTGGAAAAAAAATCAGTCTTGGATGGAATCTGATAACACCAAATCTGAAGGTCTATGCTTTCCTTCCAGTGTGAACACTTTTTTTTTTTTTTTGATCAGGATCTCACTCTGTCCACAAGGCTTAAGTACAGTGATGCGATCAGAGCTCACTGCATCCTCAACCCCTCAGGTTCAAGAAATCCTCCCACCTCAGTCTCCTGAGTACCTGGGACCAAAGGTGCAGGCCACTATGCCCAGCCTGAAAACTTTTCTGGCTGGCTTCCTCCATTTCAGGGTGCCTCCCTTCCCTCTTAGCACACTATCTCATTTAGGAGCCCTTACAGGCCTTCTGCTTTTCTCTACTGTAGCACTTCTACACTGCCTTGTGAATACTTGTTTTTTTCTGTTGTTGTTGTTTATTTCCTTAACAAGATGGTAATGTTAAAAGAAGGAATCAAACTGGACATGGTGGCTCACAACTGTACTCCTAGCGTTTTAGAAGGCTGAGGCGGGAGGATCCCTACCAGGAGTTCCAGGCTGCAGCAAGCTGTGATTATGCCACTGCACTCCAGCCTGGGCAACAGAGTGAGATCTCATCTCTTTTAAAGGGAAAAACAAAGACGGAATCATGACTTCATTTTATTCATCTCTATTATCTCTGGTACCCAGGTAGTATCTGTCTGGTCATTTTGTTCGTTTTACCATTAATTAATGAATCAGATGTTTGGTATCAAGGCAAGGTTGAAAGATTTGGCTGGTAAAGAAATGAACCCTTTTTGAATTTAGACATATTATTATTTGCACAGACATTGAAAGCAAAAGCAAGTGCCAGCTCTCCATGAGCTTTTGTCTCAGATACCAAAATGATGACACCAAAACAGAAGGGGCTGGATGACTACAGCATACACTGTGGACACCTTGTTGCTGAGGGGTTAATGCCATGCTGCAGCTAAGCCTTGTTATAACCTGCAGCTGTACTCTAAGAGGGTAAGGCAGAATGGCTCGTTGGAACCCAGGAAGCAATAGAAACTGCCTCATGATAGTCTCTTTGGAAGACAGAGAGCTGAGTGGGAAATGGCCTTGCACTAGCTGCTTACAAGCCTCTCATGCACTCATCTTCTGGGAAGATCCCAAGGTGTTCTGCCAAGACTCAGATCAGCTGTGGTTCAGGCATTGCCTATGTGGCCTATGTGGATATGTGCAAGGTTGTCAGGCCCGGGTATGAAGCTGCTCCCTCCATTCAGGTTGTCCAGAGGAACATGTTTTATCTTGACTAGATCTTTAAGATGGCAACAAGGGCCACCATTCAGGAAAAAATCCCAGAGGACCTCAGAAGGATGGTGTTTCAAAGCGGGTGTTAGTAGCCCCTGCCCTCAAAGGAGTAACTTAGTGAGGAAAACCTTACTGTGGTTTCCATTTAGTAGTTTACAAATAATTAATAATAATAGAATGGAGGCCAGGCACGGTGGCTCATGCCTGCAATCCTAGCAATTTAGGAGGCCAAGGCAGGAGGGTCACTTGTGCCCAGGAGTTGGAGAGCAGCCTGGGAAACATAGGAAGAACTCATCTCTGAAAAACAAACAAACAAACAAACAAATTAGCTGGGCATGGTGGAGCACACCTGTTGTTTAAGGACTTATCAAAAGTGTAAGTCCAGCCTTCCATAAGCATTTCAAGATAAATTATTACAGCATAAAATGGAGGCCTTTAAATAGGAGAATGAAGTGGTTTGATTTGTAATTTTAAATGATTGCATCAACAGCTGTTTTATGGTATAAAATGCCCAGTTAGGAGGCTGAGGCGGGAGGATCACTGAGTCTGGGAGGTTGAAGCTGCAGTGAGCCAAGACTGCACCATTGCCCTACAGCCTGGGTGACAGAGCAAGACCCTGTCTCAAAAACAAAACAAACAATATAATCACAGGAAAAGGGTTTTGTAAAATTTTGCAACATTTTTAACTTCCTCAAGGTTAGGTTTCAGATTTATTATTTTTGTTTTCCAACATTAATTAGATGTAAAAACTCTTAAAACAAAAATGCCTTCAGCTAGCCTTTACAAATCAGATAAGAGGGAAAGGTTGGGAAGAGCAGCCAAGTTGCTTAGGGGCCGTATCCAAGTAGCAGAGTGAAAAGGCTGTACTTCTGAAGCTTCCTGCAATGGAGAGAAGTGTTAGCAGGGGTTGTGAGAAGAGCTCTGGTCGGAATGAAAAGCAGTGGTATACCATCAGCTGCTCGCTCACTTGCTCTCTCATGCACGAATCCAGCGGAGCCTGACGGCACTTTTCAGAGGGCATTTTCTCCAATGAGGCAAAAAGTCAAAGCCTGAGGATCTTGAAATGCTTATGTTAGGCTGGATCTACACTTTTGACCAGTCCTTAAACAACAGGGCTCCTTTGTGTGGTGTCTGATGCCAATCATGTGACCTAGCTAAAGGCAGCAATGTAACCATCCCACAATTCATTTATTTATTCAACAAATATTTATTGAGTTCTCTATTTACCAGGCAGTCAGCTTCCAGGATCTAGGATGGGATACTGTGGTGAGCAAGACAGACAAGGTCCCTGCCCTTAAGGGACTTAAAGACAAAACAAAACAAAAAATAAAACAAGTAAATAAATGAGATCACTTCCATTAATAACAGTGCCATGAAGGGTCATGCGCCATGAAAGGCAGGTGGTGAGGCTGAGGATCTTGGGCCACAATGAGCCGAGGAGCTGAGGTGACTGGGGGCGCCAGGGTCTGGGGGTGCGGGCAGGCAACAGACCACAGGGGACTTACAGGCCATTATAAGGAGTTTTTATGTCATAAATTATTATGACATAAATTGGAGGGCTTTAAATAGGGGAGTGAAGTGGTCTGATTTGTAATTTTAAATGATCGCGTCAGCAGTTGTTTTATGGTATAAAATGCCCAGCTTTAAGATGACCATGCATTCTACAAATTCACCGTGACATCACTGCCAAAACTCTTAACCTGTCTTATCTAGTTTTCCTGACAGATAAATAGGTCGGAATAAAGCTCCATGACATAACTAGTGGGAGCCAAAGATTTGAATCACGTCTTGGTTTCAAATCTTGCTACCCACAAATGAGTTGTGAGCTCTTGTCAGGTTATTTACTGTATTTGTGCCTCAACTATCTCAGCTGTGAAATGGGGATAATGAAAGTTCCTACATCATTTATTTGTGGAAAAAAAAATGACATGTAAAGCACGACGAGAGCGCCTGGCACAATGTAGTAAGCTTTCACAAACACTCACTTTCATTCCTTCTTGCAGGGGATTACTGAGAGGATCCACAAGATAATGCACGTGAAAGGGCTTGCGAAATTGTAAGGACTATCTTAATGGTAGAGTCCTCTTTATGTTTTCTTTTAAACGGTCCAGAGGACGCTGGGCTGTTCGAGGAGAGGCGCGAGGCCAAGCGCAGCCTCAATGCGGTCATTGTCGTGGGGCCGCCCCTCCCCCGCCCGGGGCGCTTCTCCATGGCAACGTGGGCTTTACCTCTCCCCGCCTCCTCAGGCCCGCAGACCGGAAGCAGCCCGCGCCGGGGGCTTCTGGGAAAAGGCTTGTGAACGGCGTTTCTGCGTCTGCCGTGGACAGCGAAGCTGCTGCGGTTCCTGAGCCGGAGGTTTGCGCCGGTGTGCGGGGAACGTTATGAGAGGGAGGGGGGACACCGGGCTAGGGTCTGCGGACCTCTTAGCAGGAGCCGGCGGGGAAGCCTGTCCGGGACCTTCCTCAGCTTCCCGGGAGGCGCGGGGAACAGGCCGCGGTCTCCGCGCCTAGCAGTTGTGGGGCGGGGAGGGGTAGGCGGCAGGCCTGCTTGGGTCTTCGGCATTTGCAGAGAGCTCTCTAACCCCCTGTGTCCTCCGAGACCCTCACCTTCCCCCTCCCCCACCGGCCGGTTTTGTTCTATTTCGAGGCCCTGGCGTCTCGCGGAGGGTTCTGGGAGTCGTGATGGGAGGGGGTGGTAGTGGGACGAGACTTGCGCGGGGCTTCTGGGATTTGTAGTCTCACCGGCCGCAGGCGGAAGTGCCGTGGTTCCGACGCTGTTGTCACAGGGTGGCCTTTGGTCATCTGAAATCCGCGGTCCTGAGTGCTGGGAAGAGGGGCTAGAGGACGTCGGGCCGGGGCCGGGGCCGGGGCCGGGATACACAGCAGGTCTATGCAGCAGTAAGGTGGGCGATCCACCTGGGACGAGGTACCCTGCCCAAACATTGTCGGGACCGTGGGCCTTCCCTCCATTTCCCACAAGCGGTATGCTCTACAGCATAAAAGGAAGAGAAAATTATGTAGAAATACTTGCACCGTTGATAAGCAGGGTCTTGGAATAGGAACGAATGAATGTTGGCTAGACCTTATGTATAAGGCCACCACACTCCAGGGTATTTAATTAAACCAGTATGTATTACTTGTCTGATAAGGCCTTTTCTGATTCTAGTCTTCATCTTGCTTGGGTTACAATAAGTTTTTTTAAGTTGTTATTGTTCAGATTTTGGGCCCTGAATAAATAAATAGGCTGAATGGCTCATTGCTAGTATGTGTCGTAAACAACAGCACGGGCATGATCGTGCAAATAATAAAGGTCCAGAAGCAGTATACAGTTTCACTGAAGGTAGAAGCTGGGGAAACTGTGAGTCCTCCAGTGTAAGGACAAGACACTGGACCACTGCAGGAAGTCAAGGTGCTTATGCGAGTGCCTTTTCTTAATAGAAGTTTCTGTGATTAATGCCTATCATTATAAATATAAATGTACGTATGGTGTGGTGGAAGACTGAATATTTACGTATTATGTGCAAGATAATTTTTCAAAATTATGTGATGTTTTTCACATATGATCTTTTCAATATTATGTGATCTGCTACTCAGCAAGTGAACATTTTTTCACATATAAGTCCAAGGAGTTCTTAAACACCTTAAAAATATTTTTTAAATGGTAAAGAAAATTTTTTTAAGCACATAATAATAAAGCGAACCTTCCTTTTGAGTTGACTTGTGTGTGTCAGGAAACACCAATCCTGAATTGGAAATAATGCGTTCCAGGGTCAGGCACATTTAGAAAGCACTGAAGTAGTCTGGTTCTTACTTGGATTCTTTTGATTATTGACATAGGGTTTGTCGTCTTAGTAGGTCATGATTGGCAAACTTTTTCTGTAAGCGGCCATATAGTAAATAAGGTCATGCATAACTCAACGATAGTGCTATGGTCTGAGAAATATGTTAGGCTATTTCATCCTTGTGTGAACGTCATAGAATGTACTTGCACAAACCTAAATGGCGTAGCCTACTACACACTTAGGCTATCTGGTATAGCCTATTGCGCCTAGGCTACAAACCGGTACGGCATGTTGCTGTACTGAATACTGTAGAGAATTGTAACACAATGCTAACTATTTGTGTATCAAAACATAGAAAAGATAAGAGTAAAATATGATATAAAATGTTTGAAAAAAAAAAAAGATATGCCTGTACAGGGCACTTACCATGAATGGACCTCGCTGGATTGGAAGTTGCTCTAAGAAGTCAGTGAGTGAGTGGTGAATTTGGAGGCCTGGGACATTATTGTACATTCCTATAGACCATATAAACACTGAACACTTAGGCTACACTAAATTTATTAAGAAAACATTTTTCTTCAATAATTAACCTTAGCTTACTGGAACTTTTTCACTTACAAACTTTTACATTTTTTTTTAACTTTTTTACTCTTTTGTGATAACACTTCACTTAAAATACAAACACATTGTACAGCTGTACAAATATATTTATATCCTTATTCTGTAAGCTTTTTGCTTTTTTTTTTTTATAGACAGAGTCTCGCTCTGTCGCCAGGCTAGAGTGCAGTGGCGCGATCTTGGCTCACTGCAGCCTCCACCTCGCGGGTTCAAGAGATTCTCCTGCCTCAATCTCCCCAGTAGCTGGGACTACAGGCGCAATCCACCACGCCCAGCTAATTTTTGTATTTTTAGTAGAGACAGGGTTTCACCATGTTGGCCAGGATGGTCTTGATCTCTTGACCTCGTGATCTGCCTGCCTCAGCCTCCCAAAGTGCTGGGATTACAGGCCTGAGCCACCGTGCCCGGCACAGCTTTTTGCTATTTTTAAATTCATTTTTTAGAGACAGGGTCATACTCTGTTGCCCAGGCTGGAATGCAGTGGTGTGATCATAGCTCAGTGGAGCCTTGAACTCCTGGTCTTTAGTGATCCTCCTGCCTCAGCCTCCTATAGTGCTGGGATTACAGGTGTGAACCATTGCACCTGGCCAATTTTTTTTTTCTTTTGGAACTGTTTTTGTTAAAAGCTAAGATAAACACATTAGCTTAGGCTTACACAGGGTCTGGATTATCAGTATCATTGCCTTCTACCTCCATATCTTGTCCCACTGGAAGGTTTTCAGGAGCAGTAACATACATGGAGCTGTCATCTCCATAATAACAGTGCCTTCTGTAATACCTCCTGAAGGACCTGCCTGAGGCCATTTTGCAGTTAACTTTTTTATTTAGTAAGTAGAAGGAGCACACTCTAAAATAATATAGTATAAAAAGTATAGTAAATACATAAACCAGTAACATAGTCGTTTATTATTGTTATCAAGTTTTATGTACCATACATAACTGTATGTGTTAAACTGGCAACACAGCAGGTTTGTTTACACCAGCATCACCACAAACATGTGAGTAATGTATTGACCTTACAACAGCTACAGTGTCACTAGGTGAATCTTGAATTTTTCAGCTCCATTATAATCTTATGGGAGCACTGTCATCTAGGTGGTCCTTCATTGACCCAAACATCATTTTGTAGTGCATGACTGTGTTGGGTTTTTTTTAGGCCATCTAGTCTGTTGAAACTACTCAACTCTGCTATTGTAGCGTGAAGTATGAGTAAGTACAATTATTTATGGACACAGTCATGTTAATTTCATATCATTTTCACGTGTCATGAGGTATTCATTTGATTTTGGGGAGCTCCATTCCCTAAATATCATTAGGTATTCATTTGATTTTAGGGATCTCCGCTCCGTAAGGCACTGTGATGAAGACCACAGCCATTTAAAAATGTGAAAATTATTGTTGGTGCAAGTGTTGTACAGAAATGGGTGGCAGGCTAGATTTGGCCGTGAAGCTGTAGTTTGCCAATTCCTGGTGTAGGTTATTGATTGGAATTTTTAACTCAAAGAACAAGTATCTTTTACTTTTACCAGTATAAGTTCAAATTCTTAGGATATTTTTGCTTATTTATATATCTTTTATTTCTTATGCCTCAGGAGTGCCTGTGAAGAAAACGGGGTATTGCCCTGAGGCTTATATTCTGCCTCAGTTGTCTTTTCTTGAAATATTATAAATCAGAATGTCTGCACAGTCAGTGGAAGAAGATTCAATACTTATCATCCCAACTCCAGATGAAGAGGAAAAAATTCTGAGAGTGAAGTTGGAGGAGGATCCTGATGGCGAAGAGGGATCAAGTATCCCCTGGAACCATCTCCCAGACCCAGAGATTTTCCGACAGCGATTCAGGCAGTTTGGATACCAGGATTCACCTGGGCCCCGTGAGGCTGTGAGCCAGCTCCGAGAACTTTGCCGTCTGTGGCTCAGGCCAGAGACGCACACAAAAGAACAAATCTTGGAGCTGGTAGTGCTGGAGCAGTTTGTTGCCATCCTACCCAAAGAGCTACAGACTTGGGTTCGAGATCATCATCCAGAGAATGGAGAGGAGGCAGTGACAGTGCTGGAGGATTTGGAGAGTGAACTTGATGACCCTGGACAACCGGTGAGCCTGCTTGTGTCATTTCCTGTGTCAGAAGCACTGGCATAGGTAGTAGGCAAAGCTGCTGAATTAATTCCACTCAACTAAGTTAGAATTATGTTTATGCCTTTTCCCCCATTCCCCTACCACTCCTTGTTATCTGTGCCGCTTTGCCATCTAGGCTTCTGCAGTATTTGTTTCATGGGGTTTCTCTTACGTGTTTTTAGTTCTGATTCTCATTACAGTTCCTTCTCTGAATCAAATCTTTCTGTTTCCAGGTTTCTCTCCGTCGACGAAAACGGGAAGTACTAGTAGAAGACATGGTATCTCAAGAAGAAGCTCAGGGATTACCAAGTTCTGAGCTTGATGCTGTGGAGAACCAGCTCAAGTGGGCATCCTGGGAGCTCCATTCCCTAAGGCACTGTGGTGAGGACCAGAACTCTGTGTGGGCTAGAGGGTGAAAGAGAGTATAGGCCTTTTGTTCAGAACTTTGCTTGTTCTCACTGGTGGGGGGATCATATCACTCTTAATCTAATATCTCAGTTTTTTTCTGATTAAGTTGATTTTGCTGGCCTCAGACCTTTTATTCCTAGACATTAACATCTTCAGCCTTTTCTTCCCTTTCAGTCTCCTTCCTAAAAAGAGTTGCCCATGTCAGGCTAGCATTTGCCTTACTTTGAGCCAGCACCCACCCATGGACCAAGTCCCTCTATTTTGCATTCAGTATTACTTGTCATCTGTTTTACATCCTTTTACTTTCAATCTCCTGCCTAATTCCATTGGTACAGTAAGCTTACCTGAAAACCTCTTCTAATCTCTTTGTTGTATATCACTGAAATCTTTCTAAATATTTATTTCTGATTTCCTTCAACGTCTACCTAGAGTCATTTTCTTCTAAGAAGCTTCTTTTGTAGAAATATTTGGAGTAATTTTTTTCCTTTTTCTAAGTATTTATGCAAAAAAAGCCTCCTTAGCTATAACATGCTTTAAATGCAGAAAAATCTTTTTTAAAAGCTCAAAGTTGTATTAATTCACGAGACCAGTCTTTCCCAATATATTAGCCATTAACACCATATACTTATGTGTATCCTTTGATATGGCCCAGTATATTCCTAAAACTGCTAGATTGCTTTCTCATGTTTATGTGAACTAAAATGAAATTTTGTTTGACTCTGCTTTAGTAATCATTCCTTGAAGTAGTTGGAGATGGTGCTGGTATGCCACTGAATGAGGTCTGAGCAGGTTTTCTTCACATCTGAGGGGACAGTGCCAGCCAGTCAACTTTTGGGGTGGGGCTGAAGTCTGCTGAAAATCTGCAGTTTTACATGTTTCATGGGACATTCTTCTGTGCAATAAAGTTTGAGAAGTATCATTCTTGATATATGGGGCTGATATTTTCAACTTCTCATCATCTGAATTTTAGAGTGACTTTTCACCTGCGTTCCTTATTTCAGCTGTCTAGTCTCTTCCACACTTGGGAATTTCTGTTTCCTGTGTGCCGTTTGTCTCCACTTAATCTTCACGCTCCTCTGTTTTTCAAGTCTCCAAGCCTCACTATCCTCCTCTAACCTTTCAGTCTCTCTCTCTTAGCCTTATCTCCTGACTTGATCTTTTTGTTAATTATTTACTGTTTTCCTCTTCGCTGAAGGCAGTTGCTAACCCTATATGAACTGGATCTTTACTCCTTAAGGCATGAAGTTTTAGAAAAGTCTTAAATGACACTTGCTGTTATCTCTGCCTGCGTGTGAGTGATGCTAACCCATGTTGGTAATTCAGGCTTTTCTTTCATTGGACACGTTTCACTGAGGCTTAGAAATAACGATTTTTCTAAGTACCATGACAAATACCACATGGGAGAAGCTGCTTTTATTGGAAAACTTTCATTTATTAGGGGCATACTGAATTTTTATGTCATGTCTTTGGTTAACACAGGAGGCCCCCAGCTTATCTTCAGCCCCTTCTTGTCAAGACTCCTGTGTTCTGCTTTTAGGCTAACATTGGCTGTGACCTGACTTGGCTTGTTCATTTCAGAAATAGCCACTTTCTGACATGTTTTTCTAATTTACATCTTTGTATTTTGATGTAATTTCTCCCTTTCTCAAAGTAAAAGAACATTATAATGATTTCCTAGTGGCCAATTTTATTTTATTTTTATTCTTACAAAGTTTCATCCATACCTAGCCACATCATTTTGACTATCTCCCTAACCATCTTAGAATCTACCATCTTTCTGACCTTTGTTTTCTGACTACCATTTGTAAACCACTTGCCTATGTTTTATTCAGATATCCCTTATATCATGATGTTATACTGTTATTCAGAGTAATTTCATTTTTTCTTTTTTGAGAATAGGCCTTAACACCAGTGTCAGAGTGGTTTATAGATGTGTGCTAGCTATTTTAGTTCATTAAAAAAAAAATTTTTTTTAGGTTTCTTTTCCCTTAATAGATAATGAATGATATTTACATTTTCTGTTTATTTCAGATGATGATGGTAGGACTGAAAATGGAGCACTAGCTCCAAAGCAGGAGCTTCCTTCAGCATTAGAATCCCATGAAGTTCCTGGCACTCTCAATATGGGTGTTCCTCAAATTTTTAAATATGGAGAAACCTGTTTCCCCAAGGGCAGGTTTGAAAGAAAGAGAAATCCCTCTCGAAAGAAACAACATATATGTGATGAATGTGGAAAACACTTCAGTCAGGGCTCAGCCCTTATTCTTCATCAAAGAATTCACAGTGGGGAGAAACCTTATGGATGTGTTGAGTGTGGGAAAGCATTCAGCCGAAGTTCCATTCTTGTGCAACACCAGAGAGTCCACACTGGAGAAAAACCTTACAAATGTCTTGAATGTGGGAAAGCCTTTAGCCAGAATTCGGGGCTTATTAATCATCAGAGAATCCATACTGGGGAGAAACCTTATGAATGCGTTCAGTGTGGGAAATCGTATAGTCAAAGCTCAAATCTTTTTAGACATCAGAGAAGACACAATGCAGAAAAACTTCTGAATGTTGTGAAAGTTTAAGAAATTGAAAAAAAAAAAAGAATCAGCACTCAGGTCTTTTTCTTCAGAAATGAAGACAAAATTTAAAATATGAAATGATGCAGAATAGTTTTTTCCCTATTGACTGTCAGAAAATCCACTGGGAAATGTAAAAATCTTCACTCACCATTATGATATTTATCTTGAAAGAAATGGTGTCATACCTGCCTAGAAACTGAAATTTTAAACTTAATTCAGGTCTTAATGCCTAAATTTTCCATGTGATGTTTATAGTCTGTATTACTTCTCCAAATAATGAACTACCTGATTCATTGTCCCTTTCTTGAAAGTTTCTTTTTTAAGACAAATACATTATTTCTGCATTGATCATTGAAATGTTCTTTATATGGATACATTCCCTTATATATTAAAAGGCAACAGGAATTACAAAGTCTGAAAACCATTTTAAACCATCTTTTAAAAATTTACCCTTATTTCCTTTTACCTAATTTGAATATGCATTTGAGAAAATAAGAGGATAAAGGATGGCTAAGAGCCTCAAAATGAACCATAAGATCTCAGATAAGAAGTGATGGTGATAAAACATCAAAAAGTGAATGGAACACCTTGATTGGGGAAGATATGCAAATACTTTGATCTAAGAATTGAAATGTATCAAGAATTTATATTTTGCCTGCAGGAAAATTCAAAAGCTACTCATCCTCTCTATAATTTGGAGTCATCTTACTAATGAAAATAATGTTTTCCCATATATTATTAAAAAGCATACAGTCTAAATAATAAACAGTTGTAAAATAATGAAGGTAGAAATTATAACACTAGGGAAAAATTTGTAGCGGATGGCAGTGTTGAAGGCAAATGTAAACATAAGGGTAATGGTCTGTCATGGCTTTTAGAAAAAGATGATAGAGTTCATCATTATTTTGCCTTCATCTTTGTTAAGGACAGAAAATTCCCTGACAGGTGGGCAAGTATCAGGTTACCTATTTTTTATTCCTTTGGTACAAAAGGGTTGAACGTCAGGCTAAAAAAGCAGCCATGCATTTATTATTAAACATTTTCTACCGACAAGGCACTGTGCTAGGTACTGTAATCCTACCATAAGTAGGTAGGTATTTCTTCCACTGTAAATCATAGGGGTTTGCTGTTTTATGTGAGTTAGCCTCTTCCCCTTGTCTGAGCATTCCTCAGGGGAGGTCACCTGTGAGGTTCCCAGAACTGTAGTTTTTTTTACCAGGGTGTTGTATTTGGAGGGGGAGGAGGACTCGGCTCAAAAGAGCTAGCTGGCTCTCCAGTGTTCAGAGGTGAGTCCACGATACTCTTACCACAATTTGGAAGTTTGTGAATCTTTTTAAAGAACTAATCAATCTCTAATAGCATTGAGGTTGTACCTACATATTAAGTTGAATGGACTGTTCTATTTAAAAAATAAACAACTAGACAATTAACTAGTTTATTAACCTATCACAATTGAATTTTTTTTTAATTTTCAGTCTTAACACATTTTTTAAAATGTATTAAAGTAATACATTGTAGTAGTAGGATTATATACTCCTTGGCTGAGAATTCCAAGTACTGTGGTTCTACTGTTTAGTGGAAAACTCTGGAAGTTAAAATATAGAATATGAGAGGAGGCTTTTTTATAATGGGCATCATTGTGTGGAAAATGACCCATGTGAATACAAATATTTCCTAGTTCAGAGATTTTGGTTATATCTGGTGCTTGGATCAAGTTTAAAAATGGAAGGTGAGATTTTGCATGAGCCTATTAAAAAGCATAGTAATAAATGCAAGGCCAGCTGGTGGAAAAGTGAGGCAGAATGGAGCTTGTTTATAGGTTTTCTGATAACAATTATAAAAAATGTGCTTTATAGATTAAGATTTATTGAAGTATAAATATGTAGTAATGATATAATGTATTTTAAGTTATACAAGAAAATGTAGGGACTTTTGTTTGGGTCTTTTTCTCTTTGTGGCTGAGGGGAAACAAGTCAGTGTCCAATAAAGCTGTAAACTCCTCTGCTCTAAGATAAATGATGTGATTTATTTATTTATAACTGGCTTCTTTCCAAGTAGGTTTTCAGGTGGCATATTTGGAAGACGGCTGGAATGACAGAATTCTTGTATCAGAGTAGGTAAGAAGGGAGCAACCTCTCAATGGCTATTATGTCATGCTTTTTAAGATCGTATGCGGTTCCTATATACAAGGAAGCTTCCCTGTGGTAGATTTGTCATAAATGCCAAAGATATTTGGTAATGTGAGTGTAGAAAAAGTAGTATGAGGGTTGGCAAATACTGTTTTTGTCTTGGCAGCTCTAATATCTGCATTGTTCAGAAAGGATTCTGAGGCTAAGGCAAAGCTCTGTGGGAAAAAGGGACTGGACCAAAAAAAACTGGATGGTGGCACACAAGAAGAGGAAATGATGAGATGTGTACTTTCTATCTCTGGTTAGGCTTAGTCCCCACTAGACAAATTGATTTTAAATACTATGTAGTGATTTTTAAATTCCATCCACACATTCATTACCCACACAGATAATCATAGAAATTTGGGGGAGTGCCTAGCTTCTGATGAAGTGGTGATATGGCAGTGCCAAGCAGTGGCATCGCCAGAGTATCTGTTTGGTTAGCAAATGAGCAGTCATTTTAGGTCATGCAGATTGCTGATATCTGCCCAGTAGCCACTGAGCATTTGCTGGTTTTTTCTTCTGGCTTTCTTGGAGGTTAAGCTCTCTGTAGTCATACCCAGTTGGTACTTGATCTTTAGCAATATGTCTCATATTCATGTAAATTGAAGGGAGGGTTACATGTACTGAAATAATCTGCATGCTAGGCATTGGCTTAGACACCGTACCTATCTCACTTAGATTTGTGGACTAGGAAAGCAAGATTCAGAGATCATGTGACTTGCATGTGGCCTAGAGATAAAATTCAAATCTGGTTCTGTAGACTCCAGGGACATATTCACCATGCCATGGGTGGTGGCTATTAAACCTTGATAAATTTGTGTTTATGGTTAACAAATGTGAAAGCTATTAAACATTGCTGGTTTGAATTTTTTACAGTGCAGAAATGTAAAATGAAAAAGGATATTTCCTTTCACAGTGTTACCGAGAAGTCATGATAATTTCGTTTGTTCTTCCAGATTTAGGCATATACTTATTTAATCAATAATGTGTTAACAGCTGACACCTGTGGTTGCTGTGACAGGCACTATTTGAAGTGCTTTATCATGGATTAACTCTTAATCCTCAGCTACCGTATAAAGTAGGACATAACCCCATTTCACATGCACTACACTGAGACTTGCCTCCTCTCCCCCCACATTGAAGATGTTCTTTTTTCATAACTATATACTATTCCATTGCATGAATATTCTGTAATTTATTTAATCCCCTATGGATTGATAATTAGGTTCATTATAGATAGAAGTGTAATTAACATTCCTGTACATGTATTTTGCTACTTGTGTGGGTATTTCTGTAGGATGAATAACTAGAAATTTATTGGATCAGGTTTCACATTTGCAGTTTTGAAAACTACTACCAAAAAGATTTCACCAATTTACAACTCCATCATTAGTAAGAATGCCTGTTTGCCTATAGTCTGCCAACCCTGAATCCTTAAAAATTTTTGCCAATCTGGTAGGCAAAATTTCTTTCTTTTCTTTGAATATTAATGAGGAGGAACATCTTTTCATGTTTCTTGGCCATTTGCATTTCCTATTATGAATTGCTTTTGCCCATTTTCCTTTTTTTAATTATGAAAGTCTAATGACTACCTTCTCATTGTATAAAAAACACAGTTCTTTGAATAGAGAGACCCTTTTCTCCAATGCTACCAATCACATTCCACTTACCACAGTTTAACATACATCCTCTAGTCACCTTTCCGTACGAATATACATACACATAAAAACACTTTTTACATAAATAGGATCTCATATTCTGTAGCTTTTTAAAATTTTGGTCTCAAAAAAAGATAACAGGTCTTTAAATTTCTTTAATGGTTGAATATGATTAAATACTATGAAAATGCCATTATTTATTCCCTTAATTTTTTTCCTCTCGCTATTACATTGCCAAAGTAAACATCCTATTCAGATGTCTTTGTGCATGTGTGTGAATATTTCTTTAGTCTGGAGTCCAGTAAGGTGGATTTTTGGATCAAAGGGTTTGTTCTCTGTCCACCTTCAGTCTTCCCAAAGGCCTTCATAACTGTATTTTCACCAAGTGTATGGAGAATGTTCATTTCCCCATATAACCATACCTACACTTGATAGTTTTTATCTGTTGGGCGAAAAAGAACCTTTTCTTATTTTGCATTTCCCTGATTATAAAAAAAAATGGTGAGATTGGGGTTATTTTCATGTTTATTGGCCATTTATAGTTTACTGTGGATTGTTTGTATCCCTTACCTGCTTTCTATTGGGTTATGTGTGGATATATTGTTTTTATTTGTTCAGCATCTCCTTCCCCATCTTCTGGTAACACAACCTTTATTTATTTGTGGGGAACCTATTCCCTGTGGCTTAGGTGAGCATGTGACCAGGCCTGGCCTCCTGAGTCCCACAGCTTCCTAGCCACAGTGATAAAAGAATGGGTATATAACTTAAGCCAGGCTAAGGAAAGCCCTTAACAGAACTTCTGCTGGAACTACTGGAAAGAAGGCTTTATGGAGATCCCAGGAACCAAGGACCATGTAAGCCTGAATTTGTGCCATGTGGAGAGAGTCTGTCTGAGGAGAAACTCGGATGCTAGCAGAAATGGAAAGAGAACTAAGTTCTGATGTCATTTTTCTGGAGGCCCTAGATCCAGCTGTGCCTAAAGCCTGCCCTACCTCCGGACTTTAAAGTTTTGTGAGCCAATAAAGTCCCTTTCTTGTTTAAGATAATTGAATTGAGTTTCTGTTCTGATTAATATAGGTTATTTGTATTTTCTTATTGATTTGTAGAAAACCTTTGTAATTTTAAATTCTAGACTTTATGCACTATATAAGTTAATAAAATTAGCATGGCCTTCCATGATTTGGCCTGTGTCAACTTTTGCCATTTGTTACTCCATTCTCCCTATAACACACACCCCACACACATACACTTTACATTCCAATAGTAACAACATTGATGTTGGGAATGTGGATGAACAGCTTTTTACACAATTGCCTCTTTGGCAGTTCTCTTCTTATTCTTCCTCTAGACTCATTAACCTGGGACTTTAAGGGTTACACTGCTGAGAGCTGTACCCATCTCCTACCATTGTTCTTGGGGGATTCCCCTCAAGCATTCCCTGTATACAACCCTTGGAGCCCTTCCAATGACCTCCATCCCAACTCCATGGTTCTCTGGCTCTTTGTTTCATTCTCAGGCCTGTGGACTCAAGACGTGAATGAGCACACACAGACCTGAGCAGCCTCACCCTGTGGGCTCTTTTCTATGGCCAGAAATGTAGCAGCGCTCTATGTCACCTGGCACCTCTATTAATCACATCTCCTAAGATGGAGTTTTCAAAGAGATGTCTTTCAAAATTGAGGAAAACATTTTGCAAGCTTTTATTCAACACATTTAAATGCCTACTCTGGGTCAGGCACTGTTATGGGATTTACATCTGTTGCTTGCGTGTGTGAAAAACTACACGTGGCAGTGGAAAACCAAAAGTAAATGAGAAACAGTTTTTTAAGAAAGCATATTGTATGTCATATGATGAGAAGTGGTTAGGGAGAAAATAGGAAAGGGATACAAAATGTCAAGAAGGAAAGATAGTGCAATTTAGATAGGCTGGCCAGGGAAGGTTTTCACTGAGAAAGTGACATTGGAGAAAAGATAGTATAAGGAAGCAAGCCATGAGACTGGAGAGTGTTCCAGGCATGAAAACACCAACTGCAAAGCAAGCTGATGTAAGAGCAATGCCTCATTTGTGCAAGAAACCAAAGAGGCCCGTACGGCTAGAGCAGAATGAACATGGGGGGAATTAGGTGAGGCCAAAGACAAATGTGGTGAGGGTGGCAGGGAGAAGCTGGATCATGGAGGACCTGGTTAGCCATTGATAGAACTATAACTTTTTCTTTGTAATGAGAGACCATTAGAGGTTTTAAGCAAATGAGTAATGTGACAAGGTGCTGAGAACAGCTGAGCAAAACAAAATCTCCATCTAGTTTATCTAAATTCTTAAAATATTTCTTTACATATTTTCTTATGAAGGTAATATAATAGGAAAAGTTTAGAAATAAAAATCACCCAAAAAGTCATGCGAATCCATAATCCTAATAACATCCCAGTAACATTTTTTATTCTCTATACACCTATATAAATGTTCTATCTATATACCTCTCCCCATCTATATCACACCATTATTCACAACAAATACATATTTAGGAAAAAAAAGTGTGTCTATATGTCTATATACGGCTTCCTTCTTTCCTCTGAACTTTAGATCAACTGTCTGCTTCTGCCTAAGGCTAACCTCTCCACTGGATCCAAGCTGTCTTCTCACACCTCGGAAAGACATACTCCAATAGTCCTCACCTTTCCCACATTTCAGTTTTTCCTGTCTTCTGAAATTCTCTAATTAACATAAAAATATGCTGTTTTTATCACACAAAAACCTTCAGGCCAAGATGGAGTACAGGGATCAGATCTAACCTGCCTGAATAAATAAAATATCAGACAAAATATAGCAGACAGAGGCAAAGAATGGGAAGATGGGATTCCCAAGAGACAAAAAACAAATGAGGCAAACTTGGATTGCCCATTTACTTGCCTGGGGAGAATTTCCAGGCCTCAGCACAGGGAGGGTGGCTCAGGCAGAGACTGGCAGTTTTCTTAAGTTGAGAAGATGGAGCAAGAAGTCCTGGGAGGCCAAGGTGGCTAGCTTTTGCAGGACAGAGTATCAGAGAGGAGATAAGTGCACAGAAAGACAACAGTGGAGATCTGCAGAGTCCCTCTCAAGTATTCAGTTGAGTACTTAATAAACATATATGTAAGGAGACTACCTGAGTTTGGGAAAAGAACTATCCAAAAGGATTAGAGGGAAAAATCACCGGAACTCACAAAGAGACAGGAATGGTATCAGCCAGAGTAGAAAACCTCATAATTCATAGAGCATCAGAGCAGTGATTCTCAAAAGCAATTCTGTCCCCCAGGAGACATTTTTGGTTGTCACAACCAGAGGAGATGGGCACTACTGGCATTTAGTGGGTAGAGACCAGAAATGCTACTAAGTATCCTACAATTTATAATAATGAATTAGCCCCAAATGGCAGTAGTGCTGAGGTTTGAAAAAACTCCTGGTTAGAGTACTAGGGAAGGATCTTGCCTACTTTGTGGAGAAAAATAAACCCTAAACACTGCTTAAAACTTAAAAGCAAGACCTGAGAAGATAAAACTTAAACACATCCCAGAAGAAAGTTCAAGAATACAATGTCCCTGTATCGGACACGAACGTGTGTATGTGTGTGTATTTTTTAAATACCCAACACCTGGCCGGGCGCATTGGCTCACACCTGTAATACCAGCGGCTCACACCTGTAATCCCAGCACTTTGGGAGGCCGAGGCGGGCGGATCATATAAAATGCTCAATTAAAATCACAAGACCCATGAGCCAGGTGCAGTGGCCCATGCCTATCGGCCCAGCTACTCAGGCGGCTGAGGCAGGAGGATCACTTAAACCAAGGAGTTTGAGACCAGCCAGGCAACATAGTAAGACCACATTTTTTTAAAAAAAGAAAAATCACAAGAGGCATAGAAAGAGTGGAAGACAAAAATAGTAACAAAAAACAAGGACAACAAATAGAAAACAGTAACGAATATGATGGTAGTTCAAGTATGTCAATAATCACTTTGAAATATCAATGGTCTAAATGCATCAATTGGAAGAGATTGTCAGAGTCGATCAAAAACAATACCCAAGTATATATTGTCTACAAGCAATGCAACCCACCTTAAATATAAAAACAAAAATAGATTAAAAGTAAATGGATGGAGAGAGCTGTGCCATACTAATGTTAATCAAAAGAAAGTGGAAGCATCTATATCAATTTCAGACAATGCAGACTTCAAAACAAGGAATGGTATCAGGGACAACCAAGAGTATTACAAAATGATAGAGGGATTAATTCTCCTAGAAGACATAACAATTCTTAACATGTATGTGCCTGACAACATTGTCAAAATACATGAGGCAAAAACTGATGACAATGCAAAGAGCAATAGATGAATCCACCATGAAGTCACACTTGCAGACTTCAATGCCCCTATATCAGACATGAACAGATCCAGCAGGTAAGGACATAGTTGAACTCAACAAGATACTTATATCCAGTTATATCCAATAACTGGATATAATGAACATCTATATACCATTTCATCTAACATGGCAGAATACACATTATTCTCAAGTTCACATGGAATATTCACCAAGATAGGCCACATTCTGGGCCAGAATTATCTATCTTAATAAGATAGAATAAGAATAAAGAATAAAGTAAACCCAAGATAAAGAGAGGAAAAGAAATAAAGATTAGATTTGAAATAAAGATTAGATTTACATTTACTACCAAAACGTCCTTTGGTAGGTGAATGGATAAATAAACTATGGAATATCTAGACAGTGGGATATTATTCAGTGCTAAAAATAAATGGGCTATCAAGCCATGAAAAAACAGAGGAAATGTAAATGCATATTATTAAGTGAAAGAAGCCAGTATGAAAGGGTTACATACTGTATGATTCCAATTATATAACATTCTGGAAAATCAAAACTCTGGAGACATTCGAAAGATCAGTGGTTGCAGGGGTTGGTAGAGGGGAGAGAGGATGAATACAAATGAATACACAAAGCACAGAGAATTTTTAGGACAGTAAAACTACTGTATATATTATAATAGTAGATATATGTCATTATAAATTTGTCCAAACCCTTGTAGTGTACACCACCAAAAGTGAACCCTAATGTAAATTATGGATTTGGGGTGATAATGTAGTGTTAACGTAGGTTCATCAGTTGTAACAAATATACCACTCTGGTGGGGGATGTTGACAATGGAGGAGGCTATGCATGTGTCGGGGTAGGGCGTATATGGGAAATCTCTGTACCTTCTGCTCCATTTTGCTGTGAACCTAAAACAGTTCTTCAAAAAATATATATTAAAATTATTATCATCATCATTAACTTCATCATCATCTATGAGATACAGTCAAAGTATTACTTAGAGGGAAATTCATAGCAATAAAGCAATTATAGTAGAAAAAATTTCTCAATTACCTCAGCTTCCAACTTAATAAGATAGAATAAGAATAAAGTAAACCCAAGATAAAGAGAGGAAAAGAAATAAAGATTAGATTTGAAATCAATAAAATAGGAAACGGAAAAACGAGCAAAAAATGAATTTCTATACTCAATTTAAACCAAAAGTATCTTGTAAAAATAATAGTAAAATTGATAAACTTCTAGCCAAACTGATCAGGAGAAAAAGAAGATACAAATTATATCAGGAGTGAGAGGTGTGACATTATTATATATTATACAATTTTTCTCAACATAGAGTTCTAGCCAAGTTTGATAACCTCAGTGTTGATGATTCCAATTCTCATTTCTCAGACTTACATTGCTTACCAATGAATAGTATTTTGTATAATTGACATATTTTAGTTTGGCTTCCAGAACAACACTCTTGATTTCTCTCTACCTCATGAGCTGTTTCTTCTCAGTCTCAATGCTGGTATTTCCTCACCTCTCTGGACTTCTTTCTACATATTGGAGTGCCTGAGGGCTCAGTGTTCAGCTCTCTTTTCTTTTCTAGCTATATCCACTTCCTAGTTGATTTCATGGTCTTATCTTGTTAAATACTATCTACAAATCCAAAATCTATATCCCCAGCCCAGAGACCTCTTCTCTGAACTTCAGACTCATGTATCCCTTTGCCTAATAAACATCTCCACTATGAAACCTGTCTTAGTCTGGATTCCTGAGAAAATAGGGCCTAAGACAAAACCTTATTACTAAGACAATATTAGGGTGATGCAATTCAAGAAAAGCATGACTGAAGGTAAATGAGAAGTGAAGCAGAGGAGAGAAAGCAAATATGAGTAGGTGTTATTGAGCTGTCTGTAGCTTCTAAAGGCACAGCTGTTTGCTTAGTCTCACTGATCATTTTCAGGGCACAAGCCATGTGAACTAAAGTACTGCATCTTACCTTACTATGGGGTGAGGAAGAAAGAGAAGACTTCTCTGCAGACTCCTCTCTCCATCTGGTCAGTTTCCACCACAGAGCATCAGCTACACCGCACTTCCAGGTTGCACCATTCAGTCTCTCCAGCAGCAATCACTGAGGAGGTCAGGCTCCAAGAAAACAGCACAGGATGAGTGGCAGGCCAGCAATCAAATGGGAGTCAGCAACCTCCAGGGTGGATGGTGCAATCTTAGACAATCATCAGCATCGTAAGAGCAGAAAATTCTGGCCCTGAAAACATAAGGAGCCTTATAAATTGGCTTTGGTACCATGACTGATTAGGCATAATAAACCTAATATACCCAGAAGCAAATTTCTTCCCCAAACGTGTCCTCCTTTAGTCTTCCTCCTCTTAGAAAATGGTAATTTTGTCCTTCCAGTTGCTCAGGCTAATAGCCTCCCTGCTTCTCTGCTTGCCCTATGTTACTCAGTTCTCAACACAGCCCCTAGATCATATAAGTCAGACCATGTCACTCCTCTGCTCGAAATGCTCTCCCATTTTACTCTACATAAATGTCAAAGGGGCATAGTGTCTGCAACTTACTCTTAAATAATTCAGACAAATATTCTACATATGTGGGGCAATCATTCTGTGATTCTCCCCGTGTATACATGTTAAATAAATTTGTATACATTTTCTCCCCTCCAAAATTAAATATATATATACATATAATGTATATATGTACATATTGCATATATATAAAATATGCCTAGATAGGTATATGTAACAGTAATAGGTATAGTAGTATGTCTAGATGTGTTATATATAGATATATGTCTAGATAGGTAAGTAGATTAGATAGAGTTGGTAGGATGGAGGATTATAAAGTAAATATGGTAAAATGTTAACATTCGAGGACTCTGGGTAAAGGATATACAGGAATTCTCTGTATTATTCTTTCAATTTTTATATAATTTTGAAATTGTCAAAATTCAAAGTTAACAAAACTTAATGTCTCAGGAAAAGAGCGAATTACTTAAAGGAAAATCAGGGCAGGTGTGGCTACTGAGAAAGCTTGGGTCAGGGAGGGGGAAGGAGGAATATCAAGAAAGGAATTACTAACATCCACCCATTATAGACATAATTTTAAATGATGTTATAGAACTATGTTATGGACATGTAAAATATGACATAACAATAGGAAAAAAATTAGTTTACCATTATACATACAATTTGCTAAGTAGGCTTCTGGCAATAAGTGACTTTTATCTTTATTCTCTTACATGTTATTTTTTCTTTTTTTTTTTTTTTTACAATAAGCTATCAGTAAATTTATAATCAGCAGGAAATCAGTAAAACATTTTAAAAGGAAGAAAATTCTCATTTAGATCAGGGGTCAGCAAACATTTTCTCTGAAGGACATGATAGTAAATATGTTCAGCTTTGAGGACCATAGAGTTTCTGTTCCAAGTATTTAACTCTGCCATCATAGCAGAAAGCAGCCTTAGATAACATGGGCATGACTATGTTCCATGAAAACTTTTTATTTGCAAAAACAAGTGGCTATCTGGCCTTCCTAAAATAGTTTGCTAACTCATGGTTTATATAGCCACTTATTTCCCTATAGCATGGCTTACTGGGAAGGAATGTTCTCATTGCTTTGGAGCTTCCTGTGGAGCCAGCCCCCTAGACCAACTGGCAGTCTGGAATTTTGACTGGTCCTGTGTAATTAGTTATATTATTGAGTAAACAGACCAAAAGAAATTAAATGAAAACGATCTTTACAAATAACAAGCACCTTGTGTAGAGGAGTGTAATGTAAGTGATAAATGTATATTTTGTCATATTGTAGATAGTTAGTTAGATTCAGTCTGCCAGAGAAGTGAATGCTAACTGTTGGAAAGAGATTCCTTTAAATGATGATGAAAGGCTCAGCAGTAACTACCTGACAAAGGCCTGGAGGGTGTCCTGGGGAGATGTGAGGAGAATTCTAGGGAAAACCAGGCTCCTTCTGGTCTTGTTTGAGGGAGGAAATCTTCCTTTCTAAAGAGCATAATCCACAGATGCCATAAAATTAGTTGGGTAGTATACCATCTTCTCCCATTACCTTGAAGAGATTGCGTACAATTAATTATTTTTTCCTTTAATGCTGAAAGTATTCTTCATTGAACTATCTAGCCTAGAATACATTTTATGAGCAAATTTTAAACTATAATTAATTTCCTTAAGAGACTCAGAGCTATTCAGATTTTAGATTTCTTCTTGTGTATATTTTGGACAGATTTTCAATTTTTTAAGGTTATTTAATTTATTTATTTAGAGACGGAGTTTTGCTCTTGTTCCCCAGGCTGGAGTGCAATGGCGCAATCTCGGCTCACCACAACCTCTGCCTCCCGGGTTCAAGTGATTCTCGTGTCTCAGCCTCCGGAGTAGCTGGGATTACAGGCATGCACCACCATGCCTGGCTAATTTTGTATTATCCCTTATATTATATCTGTAATGACCACAGGATCTGGGCTGATGGACATTTTTGCATTCTTTGTTTGACAAATAGTCCTTTTTTTCTTGATCAGTTTTACTGGGAGACTATCAATTTTATTATTCTCAAAAAATCCATTTTGCCTTTATTTTCCTTTTTTAAATGTTTATTTTCTATTTCATTAATTCATACTCCTTACCATTTAACTCTTTCTACTTTCATTAGATTTATTTGCTTTCTTTTTATAACTTGGAATAGTTAGATCATTGCATTTTAGCCTTTTTCCCCTAATACATACACTGAATACATTTATCTTTAATCAGGACTTTAGCTGTATGCCACAATTTTTACTATCATTCAGATAAAAATATGTTCTAATTTCTATTGTGCTTACTTCTTTGACCCATGGGTTATTTACACTGTATGTGTGTGAGTGTGTGTGTGATTGTCTAAATATACGGTGAGTCTGTGCTTTCCAATATGATAGCCATAACCACATGTGGCTATTTGAACTAATTAGAAATGAAATTTAGTTCATCAGCCACACCAGTCATATATTAGTGTTCAATAACCACATCTGGCTAGTAACTGCTGTGTTGACTATAGTGACTACTGTATTCAACAATATAAATAGGACAAAAATAGTCCTATTGGACAGCACTACTCTAAATGATTTCCATCTGATGAGATTTGTTGTAAGTTGCTTTATGAACCAGTTCATGCTAAGTTTTGGTAAATTTTCTCTGTGCATCTAAAAAGAATAAGTTTTCTGTCATTGGTTGCACTGTTATCTATACATCCGTGAGGCCATTTTATTAATTAAATTGTCAACCTACACTGTAATTCCTTAGAATTTTTTTTCTGTTTGTTCTATATTTTACAAATGTGAGAGTTGTTTCAGTGTGTAGAGGTCATGATAATAAATACATAAAAGAAAATATTGTGAGAATTGTGAAAGTCTCCTACTAGGATTACAGAATTATCACTTATTTTAGTTTTGTCAATTTAAGCTTTATATATTTTGGAGTGAAATTATTGTTATGTACATGAGGTTCTTGGCTCTCAATAGAAATTAGTAATAGAAATGAAGATGAGGCCAGGCAAACTTTTCCTAGACAAGGGTTATTAAGACTTACCCCCAGAAAGGCTGGGCATAAGGAAGACAGAAAAGGAAAAAGTTCTTGGGCTGACTCCCCAAGGGGAGTGCATCGTGATGTCTTAAGGAGGGTGGCATGCAGAATTCATGAGGTAGGTGAGTGTCACTATATGTGCAGGGTAGAATGCAGTGTGCAGATACAGTAAGGAATCTTGGTAACATATATGACCATAAAAGGGCAGATAAGCCCCTCCTTGGGCAGGAATTTTAGTATTATAATGAAGCATGGGTCAAAGATTGGTCATTCTTCTGGTTTTGTGCACATGTAGGTGATAGGGTTAACTCCTTTGAGTGAAATTCATGTTTGGGTGTTGCTTATTGTGGTTTTTCAAGGTCCCACAATCAGCAGATATGGTGCCTTGAGTAAGATTTATGGTGGGATGCTGCTTATCTTAGTTTCTTCAGAGAGTTTGCAAGGTCTGGTCAGCAGGTATGTATGAAAAAATACATTGGTGGGGGCTGGCTGAGTCCCACCTCTACCCTGTTTCATTCCCCCTGAGAGATTTTACCCTCCTTATTCTTAAGGAGAAGGGGATGGAGGTCTTGTCTTCTGGAGCTGCTTCTTCCTGAACTGGACTGTTGTCGTTGCCTAACATTGGAGGTTGTAAAAATCTCTTGCTGACTGATCTAATGATTTATAGGGACTTAGATACTCCTAGTATAGTATATGTTGTTCCATCATCAGCTTGACTGGGGACTGTTGAAGCCTGGAAGATACGAGCTTCAACCATCCACACCCTTGTTGAGTCAGCTTCCTAGTCCTGAGAATAGATTAGTTTAAACAACTGTGTCTCATTCCAGGAGGTGGCATTGCAAACAGGCTGAGCCTCTATATTAATGAAGGCAAACAGGTTTTTAATAAGAGGCATTTTTATGGAAACAGAAGAAAAACAAAGGTTAATGTTGGACACAATGTATCTAGATGTTAGACTCAAAATATCTTTAGTTACCAGGGAGGAAGGTGGTGGCAACCTGACACATTTTTCTTGCCTATATCATGAGAAATAAGCTTCAGCTTGCAGAGCCTCAGGAACATGGGGGCAGCAATTTCATTGAGTCCTAGTCTGAAAAATAGAAGAAAATTTTGAAAATGTTGGTTTGGAGCCCAGAAAGAATTGAAGAGCCAATCCAAATTGTAGAAAATAATAAAAACTCAAAAACAACAGACAAGAACTGGAATCCAATAACTGGTGCACTATACATTTTCTTTTTAAACAAAACGTAATCTTCCTGTCCAGTCTCCCAGTTTTACCAAAGATAAATCATGCTGGAATATGGTATAACAAGACTAAAACTTATCTTGCGGTAAGTTTTAGTCTTTTTTTTTTGAGACAGAAGCTTGCTCTGTCACTCAGGCTGGAGTGCAGTGTGCACTCTCAGCTCACTGCAACCACTGCCTCCTGGGTTCAAGTGATTCTCGTGCCTCAGCCTCCCGAGTATCTGGGATTGCAGATGTGCATCACCATGCCCAGCTAATTTTTGTATTTTTAGTAGAGAAAAGGTTTTTTTTTCCATGTTGGCCAGGCTGGTCTCGAAGTCCTGGCCTCGGGTGATCCACCTGCCTTGGCCTCCCAAAGTGCTAGAATTATAGGTGTGAGCCACCATGTCTGGCTGTTTTATCTTATTATACTTGCTGTGATTATTTGCATAAAGTACAGCAAGAATAATCATTTGCCATGTAGTATCCTTTTTTTAAAAAAAACTGGTTTTGCTGAAACTTCCATAGGAATCTCTGGTTAGACTTTTTAAAGCCTTGAGCCCCACTGTGGATGTATTTGCGCCTACAAATACTTGTATGAATTGGGTGAACTCCTTTCCTCTACAAGTCTTATAATAGTTTGGGGGCTCCTGGACCTGTCAGAAAGTGACATTCTTTTCCACAGGTCAGGAACCCTGTGCAGGGACTGCATAGACAAAGTATGAGACCATTTCCTCCAAGGAGCTTTTATTGGTTCTCTAAGTAATCCCCAATTTTTAAAAGCAATCTGAAAGCATGCTATTCCAGTCAAAGCCTTAAAACAAAAAGTGTCTCTAATTATGCCTGTTACAAAAGAAGACAGATTCTTATTGCACTTAGGCAAACAACTATATTGCTGCAAGTTAGGAATACTCACAAATAATTTTCAAATTCTGGAGAAGTTAACTAGACAGAAAGAAATAATGCCCCAAATTTTGCTTACAGAAGTCTACTTTACTCAGTTGTTAAAAGGTATAAATAGCTTAACAGAGAAAAAAGTTTTCTTGATTCTGAAAAACTTAGAAGGATCAGCAATGTTTTAAATAAAAAGGTCTAAGAAAGATTATTTCAGTCTTTTTTTGTTGTTTTGAAACAGGGTCTGGCTCTGTCACTCAGACTAGAGTGCAGTGGTGTGATCACAGCTCACTGCATCCTCATCCTCCCGGGCTAGAGCAACCCTCCTACTTTAGCCTCTTGAGTAGCTGGGACCACAGGCATATGCCACTATACCCAGCTTATTGATTGATTGATTGTAGAGACAGGGTCTCCCTATATTGCCCAGGCTGGTCTCAAACTCCTGGGCTCAAGTGATCCTCTGGCCTTAGCCGCCCAAAGTGCTGGGATTACAGGCATGAGCTACTGTGCCTGGCCTATTTCAGTCTTCTACTAGGTAAGTCCATGCAATTAACTCTTGTTCTGCCCAATATTGGGCCAATAGTCCGCATGAACACATTGGCTCTCTATGCAAGTCCTGGAAGTTTTTTTTTTTTTTTTCTATTTCAATGGCACAACCACTAAAGTTATCAGAAACCTTCATTCAAGGGCACCCATGAGAGTTTTATAGCTGATTATAAGCCACCTTTTGAAAAGGATCAAGACAACAATTATCCATGGATGACAAAAGTCTTAGGACAGTCACAGTTAAAGCCACAATTAACAAGGAAATCTAGCCATCTCTGTGGCACACAGTAATTTCACATAACCATAATTATTACTGATAACAAATACTGAGACAAATCAGAATTATAGACAAATCAGAATGAGAATTAGGAAAAAAATTGTATTTTGTTCCAAAAATACAATTTTGGAATACAAATTAATAACATTTATATGATTATGACCCAAAGAAATTTAAACACCATTTTATATTTGACAGTGTTTTCTATATGATCTTAATATACCAACTAAGCTCAATATGTCTTTTTTGGACTTCAGGGGACCTAATAGTTAAAAAGTTAATTAGGACCAAAAAAACAGATTTAATTTAGAAATTGATCTTGGAAAATTTGTCGATAGCAAATGTTTAAAACACTTGATATCACAAAATAGAATCCCAGGTCACTATAAGCCATTTATTTAGCCAAATAATAATAATTTAAAGATATTTTAAAAGCAAAACTTTTATTCTTTGGTAGAGACTTGGTTTTCCAGACAATAAGATCTGGTGAAGACATCATAAGGCCAACTGAATCTGTCTCCTTTTGAAATCTTTTATTATCCTTTTAATTATTACAGAAAAATCTTGTTTAAAAGAGAAAACCAAATTCTACCTTTGTATTAATGCATTATTAGCATTAAGGTTAATTTTAAATAAAATCTTATAAACAAATCTATCTAATTTTACTTAGTTTGACCACAAGGTAAGATGCCCATAAATAACTCTACAATTTTTGGTTAGAGCAACTTAACGTTCCAAGAAACCCTTTTTATTTTGACACATGGGCCCACATTTTGGCTTTGCATCATGTGCTTTTATTTTAATGTTTAATTTGTGGAAAAAGTAAATAATACCCTTTTAATTGTAACTCAACTTGCTCCCACATGTAATTTTTTTTACAAGAGTAGTCTTTTATAAATCTTTTACAATTCATTTAAACCTTTAGTTTTATCCTATCTTTAATTCAAAATAATTTTTAAACCCTCTAAACTGGAAAAAATTACTTTCTCTTTAATAAACCACATCCCCATGCCTTTTTATAAAAAAAAACACATCACTTTTATTTTTAGTGTAAGCAATTTTAATTATGTACCAGGTGCAGAGCCTAGGACACAGGAACTGAAGATAATATCTGACTCTTTTCCATCATAGTGAGGGGCATGGCTAACTCCACATGTCCCCGGGCCTTGCCTAGAATCTAATGGCTTCCAAGCAGGCAAGTTGAACAGTTATCAAAAATTACAGTATCAGTTTATGATGTTATAGCATCTAGCAAGCACAGTCTTTTAACCTGCCTAATTGAGGCCAAAGGTATGAATTTTGAAGATGTTTTTATTTTGCCAATAATCTTTAAAATGATCTTTATTTGTCAAAGATTGCTAAAGTCATATAAACTAAAACAGCATTGGACTTAATTTATGAGTATTCATTTACTTATAAGCCAATTTAGGAGCATGCTAGACACAACACTTAACATAATGCATGTATACACACATAAACACATCTAAACACGTATATATACACATAAAGATCCGATAGCTCTTACCTCAGAATTCTATCCATATATGATAGCAATACAAAGTCAACACATCATAAAAGATAGATGGAGCCAAATGATTTTTTTTTTTTTTGTACAAAATTGGAACCTGTTCACATGGCTAAATTTTGTTTACCCCAATAGATAATCTAAGGAAAGTTGTGGACCAAAATTTGGGTAAAGCAGTCTCTATGACAGTTTGTTTTAAAAAACCTCTTTTACCCGTTGTTTCCTTCAGTTTCAAATGAGTTTCCAATGTTTATATTTCAGTTAGACCATAAATAATGAGTCTTACCTCAGCACCAACAGCTTAGTAGCAACAGATTCAAAGCAGGCAGAAGAGAGGAAGATAGTATTAGAAGACTCAACTTAACTCCATAGTTGCAGGTTAATCATTTGAGCTCTCAACTTTTCTTACTGTGCAGAAAACCAACACTGACTGTCACATCCAGGCATCCCTGATGCTTTCCTTAAGTCCAGCCAGGTGTCCCCGGCACCATCTCAGGCAGTCTCCCCAAACTGACAGGACTACACACTGGACAGACAAACATCAGGAAGAGTCACAGATCTCTCCTCCCCACTAAGTGTGGCACAGGGAAATGAAGTAGAGAGGGCTTTTAAACAAAGTTACAGAGTCAACAGCCAGAGTGCCAGAAACCAGATTCTTTGGGACTCCAGCCCAAACCAGTCTGCCTGATTCTTCGGGACTGAAACCCAAACCAGACCATGTAGGCCAAGGGAGGGATGCAACCTGTCCTGCTGCCTGCCAGGTTAATCAGACCCTGGGGGAAACTGTTTTAATTCATCTCTCACAGATGTCTATTAAGGCAATCCAAAATAGTAAAACTATGGGGAAAGTGAAGAAAAAACAAAAGGAGTGCTGAAAGGAGCAAATGAAGATAGAAAGGAAAAGAGAACATTGTTTATGGGTGAGCAAGGAGCCCCGTGAGGCCAGAGGAAGACTTACCATTTGTGGTGACGCTGAATCAAAAGTTCAGGTACCTCCTCATTAGCTGCAAAAAGGGGTCACATCAACCAGTCCTGCTAGCTCTCAACCCCCCAGAATAAGTACAAAAATCCTCACAACCCCTTCATGGTTGCCAAGAAATATGTTATTGGTATGACATTTTCAGCTCTCAATGTAATAGAAATTAATATCAGGCCAGACAAACTTTTCTGAGATTAAGTTTTATTAAGATTTATGCCCAGAAATGTTGGGCATAAGGGAAACAGCACAGGAAAAAGGGTTCTCTGGCTGAGTCCCTGAGGAGACTGCATCACGGTGTCTTAACGAGGATGACATGCATAATTCATGAGGTAGGTGAGCATCACTACATGTGCAGGATGGAATGCAGAGTGGGCAGATGCAGTAAGGAATCATGGTAACATACATGTCACATGATCAAAATGGCAGATAAGCCGAGTGCGGTGGCTCACACCTGTAATCCCAGCAGTTTGGGAGGGTGAGATGGGAGGATCACTTAAGCCCAGGAGTTTGAGACCAGCCTGGGCAACATGGTGAGACCCCGTCTCTACAAAAATAAAAAAATTAGGGAGGGCATGGTGGTGTGCACCTGTAGTCCCAGCTACTTGGGAGGCTAAGGTGGAAGGATCACTCAAGCCCAGAAGGTCAAGGCTGCAATAAGCTGTGATCATGTCACTGCCCTCTAGCCTGGGTGACTGAGTGACATCCTGTCTCAAAACAAACAAACAAACAAACAACACCCCCTCCTAAAAACAACACCACCTCAACGAAACAAAATGGCAGATATGTGGGAAATTTAGTATTATAATGAAGCATGTGTTAAAGATCATTCTTCTGGTCTTGTGCACATCAGGGCAACAGGGTTAACTCCTTTGAGTGAGATTTATGGTGGGATGCTGCTTATCTTAGTTTTTTTCAGAGAGCTCACTAACCTCCATTCAGCAAGTATGTTATGAAAAAATACATTGGTGGGGGTAGGCTGAGTCCCATCCCTACTCTGTCTCATTATTAGATGTATATACTTTAAGAATATATTTTTGCCAAATTGACTCTTTAATCAATAGAATGTTCTACTTTATCTCTAATAATATTTTTGCCTTAAGGTCTACTTCTTGTCTGATATTAGTAAAGCTATTTAAGAGCTCTCTTCAGTGTTTGAATATTGTATCTTTTTCCATACTCTTAATGTTAAATTTCCTGAGTCCTTATAGTTATTGTGTGTCCTGTGTAAGTGGCATATAATTAATTTTTTAAAAAAGTTTCTAGTGGAGAATATTTGTCATTTAGTTCACTTACATGTAATATAATTACGGATGTATTTGGGTTTATATCTACCGTGTTTCTATTTGTCTTCCCTGTTCTGTTTTTTTTCTATTTTTGTTGCGTTCTTTTAATCAATACTTTTAATTAATGCATTTTACCTTCTATTAAGTTGCTAGATATACTCCTGTTTTACCCTAGAGATTATAACATGCCTCCTTGGTTTTTATTAGAATCCATTATAAATTGATACTTTTACTACTTCCTTGAGAATGTTCTGATTTTAGGGATTATTATCTTGCAGTCAATATTCATTTACACTTACCTTCAGATTTACTCTTTCCATGCCTCTTCATTTCTTCCTAAAATTGTTTTACAGGACAGGATATTTTTCCTTAATTTTTGGCTATTATGAGTAGTAATCACCATGCACATTGATGTACAATATCTGCTTGAGTCCCTGATTTTACTTCTTTTGGGTATATATCAAGAAGTAGAATTGCTGGATCATATGGCAATTCTATTTTTAAGTTTTTCAGGAGACAGCAACATTCCCATCAGCAATGCCCAAGGGTTCCAATGTCCCCACATACTTGCTAACAAGTTCTGATTTTGTTTGTTTCTTTGGAAAATACCCAGCCTAATGGATTTGAAGTGGTATCTCATCATGGTTTTTTATTATTTATTTATTTATTTATTTTTGAGACGGAGTCTCACTGTGTCACCCAAGCTGGAGTGCAGTGGCACGATCTCGGCTCACTGCAACCTCCACCTCCCGGGTTCAAGCAATTCTCCTGTCTCAGCCTCCCGAGTAGCTGGGTCTATAGGCACGTGCCACCATGCCCGACTAATATTTTTGTATTTTTAGTAGAGCCAGGGTTTCACTGTGTTAGCCAGGATGGTCTCAATCTCCTGACCTCGTGATCCACCCGCCTCGGCCTCCCAAAGTGCTGGAATTACAGGCGTAAGCCACCGCACCCAGCCTTCATCATGGTTTTGATTTGTATTTTCCTAATGATTAATGATGTTGAGCATCTTGTCATGTGATTATTGACCATTTATATATCTTCTTTGGAGGAATATCTATTCAAGCAATTTGCCCATTTTAAAATCGGGTTTTGTTGTTGCCTGTGCTTTTACTGTCATATCCAATAAAATCATTGAAAAATCCAATGTCATGAAGGTTTTCCCCTGTTTTCTTGTAAGAGCTTTATATTTTTAGCTCTCATGTTTAGGTCTTTGATCTTTTTTTTTTTGTTGTTAAATTTTGTATATGGTACAATGTAAGGGTCAAACTTCATTCTTTTGCATGTGAATATGCAGTTTTCCCAATTCTATTTGTTGAGAAAATAGTCCTTTCCTCATTGGATGGTCTTGACACCCTTGTCAAAAATCATTTCATCATATATGGGAGGGTTTATTTCTAGGCTCTCTATTATATTTCATTGGTCTATGTGTATTGACCTGAAGGAAGAAAATGAGGGAAAATTAATGTAAAGAGTATATTTTGGCCAAGGTTGAGGACTGGAATTTGGGAACCACTGGGAAGTGCTTCAGAGAGCAAAGGAGAGTCTTGAGTCTTTTAAAGTAAAAAGAAAAGGATGAATCAAAAGAGAAAGCAATTTACAAAAGTTTCAGGAATTGTCATTGGTTTACAGAAATAACACTGATTAGTGATTAGCTATACATTGTTGAACTACAGGGTATGAGCTATGGTGTCCAGCGTAAGGCATTGTTAGGTTTATGGCTACTTGGTGGTGACAGTCTAGAGTCCCTATAGCAGGTAGGTTAGAAATAGTCAGCTCAAGCGTGGAGTAAAAGGTGACTACTGTCACATTTCAATGTCTATTTGGGCCTGATAATTTAAAGGAAGTTCACATTCCTCAAATTAAAAGTTTCTTGTCTTCCTCAAGTGTCTGTCTTTATGCCAGTACCACACTATTTTGATTACTGTGGCTTTGTACTAAGTTTTTTTTTTTTTTTTTTTTCAAAGACTGGGTCTCACTCTGTTGACCAGGCTGTTCTCAAACTTCCAGGCTCAAGGGATCCTCCTACCTCAGCCTCCTGAGTAGCTTGGACTATAGGTACGCATCACCATGCCTGGCTATAGTAAGTTTTGAAATCAGCAGTGTGAGACCTCCAACTTTATTGCTTCTCAGGATTGTTCTGGCTAATTGAGATCCCTTTACGTTCCATACAAGTTTTAGAATTAGTTTTTCTATTAATGCAAAACTTGTCACTGGAATTTTAATAGGGATTGCACTGAATCTGTAGATTTCTTTGGGTAGACTGAACATAGGGTATCTTCCCAATTATATGTGCCTTCTTTCGCATTTTCCAGCAATGTTTTGTAGTTTTCAGGGAACAAGTCATTCACTTACTTGGTTAAGTTTATTGCTAAGTATTTTAGTCTTTTTGATGGTATTGTAAATGAAATTGTTTTCTTCATTTCCTTTTTAGATTGTAGATTGTCAGTATATAGAAATGTAACTGATTTTTGGGTGTTGATTTTGTATCCTGCAACTTGGCTGAATTCACTTATTAGTTCGTGTGTGTGTGTGTGTGTGTGTGTGTGTGTGTGTGTGATCTTAAGGGTTTTTTGCATATAAGATTATGTCATCTGCAAATAGAGATAATTTTACTTCCTCCTTTCCAATTTGGATGTCTTTTATTTTTTATTTGCCAAACTGATCTGCCTAGGACTTCCAGTATTATGTTGAAGTGGTGAAAGCAGGCATATTGTTTCTCTTAGAGAAAAAGCTTTCAGTCTTTTACCATTATGATGCTCACTGTAGTTTTTTTTTTTTTAAATATGGCCTTTATTATACTGAGGTAGTTTCCTTATACTCCTTGTTTGTTGAGTGTATCATAAAAGCATTGAATTTTGTCAGCTTTTTTGCATCAGTCGAGTTAATCACACTTTTTTCCTTCATTCTGTTACTGTGATGTAGTACATTGATTGATTTTTGTATGTTGAATCATTCTGAATTTCAAAAATAAATCTTACCTGGACATGGTGTATAATTATTTTAAAGCATTGTTGGATTGTGTTTTCTAGAATTTTGTTGAGGATTATTTATAGGGGACATTGGTCTGTAGCTTTCTTGTAGTGTCTTTGTCTGGCGTGGTGTCAGATTAATGCTGGCTTCATAAAATGAATTTGGAATTGTTCCTTCCTTTGTAATATTTTGTAGGAATTTAATAAAAGTTGGTGTTACTTCTTTTTTTGAGACAGTCTCACTCTGTCGCCCAGGCTGGAGTGCAGTGGCGCGATCTCGGCTCACTGTAAGCTCCGCCTCCCAGGTTCACGCCATTCTCCTGCCTCAGCCTCCTGAGTAGCTGGGACTACAGGCGCATGTTGCCACGCCTGGCTAATTTTTTTTTTTTTTTTTTTTTTTTTGTATTTTTAGTAGAGGCGGGGTTTCACCGTGTTAGCCAGGATGGTCTTGATCTCCTGACCTTGTGATCCGCCCGCCTCGGCCTCCCAAAGTGCTGGGATTATAGGCGTGAGCCACCACGCCCAGCCAGTGTTACTTCTTTGATAGAATTCACCAGTGAAGCCACCTGGTCCTGGGCTATTTTTTTGGTAGGTATTTGATTACTGATTTAATCTTACTAGCCATAGTTCTATTCAGATTTTCTACTTTTTCACAATTCATTGGTAGGCTGTGTGTTTCTAGGATCTTGTCTATTTCATCTAGGTTATCCAATTTGTGGTGTACAATTATTCCTAGCAGTTTCTTCTAATCCTTTTTATTTCTGAAATTACAGCAGTAACATGCCCTCTTTTATTTCTAATTTTAGTTAATTTGGGGATTATAGGTTTTTAAAAAGAATACTACAATTTGAAGTGACTTTCTTGTAACATCATACCAAGTGGTACATAATATTCACATAACATCACTCACTGGTGATGTTACCCTTTAGGTGGTGCATCTTAGGCAGGTGAGAAGCCCGTCAGGTGACATTTGGCAGTGGCTGGAGACATTTTTGGCTGACTGTCGTAACTGGGGGAGGGTTGCCACTGGTATCTGGTGGATAGAGGCCAAGGATAGTATCAAATGTCCAATAAGTCCACAGGACGGCTCCCCACAGCAAAAAATTATGTGCCCCAAAATGTCAATAGTGCTAAGGTTGACAAGCCCTGCCTTATGATAGTTTTTGTCAGATTTCTCCACTGTAGTTAGTTTTTCCTTTTCCATACTCTATTCTTTGGAAGTAGGTCAACAGTTCCAGCTTCCTCTGGAGGAGGAATCTAAATATATAATTTGGAATTTTTCCATAAGGAAGAGTTGTCTCTTCTCCCATACCTATGTTATCAGTATGGATGCATGTATGCTTATTTGGCCTTGGGAACTCCTTCAGTTTGTCTCCTATGTTCCTTTGACATGCCCCTATCCTTTTGTTTTTTGAACTCTTACCTACTTTCTGTACTACAAGATGCTCTAGGCTCATCTTGAGTTTTCCCTGCCCTAGCCCTACAACCAGTCATTTCTCAAAGGAGCCCTGGTTCCTTTTATTTGGAGAATGCTATTTAGAAACCAAGATCTAGTTATGCTCATTGATGCTTGGGTGTCATTTCTTCTAGATCCTCTCAAAGAGCTAGGTAGTGTATGTATGCATAACATATGTATAGAGGTATGTTCTATAATTGTTTCTGCGTAATCCACCTGTGTGTGCATAAAATGTATGAATTCATATTGATGTTTCTGATTCTAATGGTTTTGGTAATTTTTGATTGAACATACTGTGCATGAAAAATTGTAGAATCTGGATAGCCATCCTCCAGAGAGGATTCACCCTTTCCTCTTTTCTAGCTGGCAGCCAGATTAGGGCAAGATAACTTAGTTCACTAAAAGGTTGACCTTACTTGACATTGCATTCAGTCTTTTTAAGACTTGGTCAGGTTTTATCCTCTCTTGGGGTGTAGCCATATAATGTTTACATTGAGAATGTGGGGTGTTCACAAGGACACCACCTACTTGGCGCAATTTATACTCTAATTTTTATTCCCTAGCATGAGTCAGCTGAGTTTCATTTAACCTTCCAGCATTCTTTGAATAGATTTCTTGGCCCTTTGCCCTGTCAGTTCAAGAATCAGCAAATGCCTGGAAGAATCAACCGACATAAAGTGTCAGGCCCAATTCTCTGTATTTCCCTTCCACTCTATATTCTTGACAGTTGTTTGAATTTTGCAATTTTGCAACTCACTTCTAAGACCTAGTAAGCAACCAGATTTGGAAAACTGGAGGTCAGGAGTGTAGGTTGATTACCAGTTATTTTATGTGGATGACAAGGTGTTTAGTAGTGTAATTCATAAAGATAGGGAATTCTGGAGGAAGAAATCATGTATGTGTGTGTGTGTGTGTGTGTGTGTGTTAAGTTCATGAATTTCAGTTTACCCGTAGGACACTAAATAGAGAAATGTGTAGTAGGCTCTCAAAATGTATTCTCAGGAGAGATAGCTAAACTTCAGAAATAAATTTGGAGACCACCCTGTTTTTTCTTCTTTGCTTTTTAAATTCTCCAAAGAACAGATAATAAATTTTACCTTTCTCTTACCCACTTCTCAACCTATCAGCATGTCAATGCCTTTTAGCTCCTCTACTTCTGGACCTCATGATTTTATTTCCAGACTTTAAAAATGGGTTTCCTTTCTGTTGTTTCTCTCCCCCTTTTAATCTGAAACTCTTTTTAAAGCAGGAAGATCATTCAAGGACCTTAATGGCTTTTCATTACTTTGAGAATAAAATGCAGAAACATAAAATCTAGTCTAACCACCCCAAGTACTTTTGTTTAGAGATAATTAGCTACAGCCCAGAAAATTAAAGTGTCTGCTTGTTTAGCATCACACTCCTTTTCTTTCCCACTTGATTTTCATTTCCACATTATTCTTACCCTTTGAAATGTATGTTTCAATAAGCATTTTCATAATGCATCGTAACTGTTTGTGTGCTTCTTGAGGGCAGGGGCCCTTCCCTCACCCCTCTTCAACAGGAACCAGTACAATGCCTGACACTGAATATTTATTGAATAAATGATAACCACCATGCTCCACATTTCTTGCACTTCCTTTTGTGCCTTTGTTGATTATTCCCTCCCTGCCTTTATGCCTCTATTCCCATCCTTCAAGGCTCAAACTTCAGGAGTTCCACAAAGCTCTCCCTTTTCTTTCTAATCAGAATTGAACCTTGACTCCTCTGAGTTCTTACAAGCATGTCCTACCTTTATGATTACATTGAGCCATGTGTTTTCTGTACATATTAGTCTCTATCACTATACAATATACACTTCATTGGAAGAGATAGTATATTCTTTTAATGTACTACAAAACCTCCCAAAAGGCCTTGCCTTAGCATTACACTCCTAAGGAATAGAATTTAACAATGTCTGCTAAATTAAAATATTAATTAGACAATTATAGGGGATAATCAAAGGAAACAACTTTGTAGTACTTTTAGTAGCAGAACTTATCAAATTGTTAATACCAGAAAGACAATTTGAATTTTTTATTTTTTCAAACTATTTCTATTTTTCAGTGGAAAACTTTGCATGTATGTTGCCTGTTTTCAGTATGTATGTCAGAAATCAAAAAAGTCTGATAAATGTTGCCACTTGAAAAAAATATCAGAAAGTCTTATTTTTACACAGAATATACTATACAAATTAATGATGTAGGTACTTTAGCTACTGTATAGGAAAAACTTATTGTCTTCTCTATACTCACAACATTTCTGACACCAGATGTGTATGAGGTTTCCCCAAACCAAACAATTCTCCAATTTTCTGTGGACACCCACTAAGTGCCTGTAATTAAATTTTGAAGCTATCTACCTGGAATCAGATCAACATAGATGCTTCAGGTTAAGGGCTCAGTTCTACAACTGACACCAATTGTGTCAGTTTTGGACACCAATCTCATGTCCATGTTTTCACTGGTGCTTCTGACCAACTGGCTATAAATCCAAGGTTCCTACAATCCCCTCTTTGAGTTTCAGCATTAGCTAGAATGACTCATAGAATGTAGGAAAAGTTTATTTACTAGATTCTTGTAAAAGAACACAACTAAGGATCAGCCAGATGAAAGAGATGCATAAGGCAAGGTGTGTGGGAAGAACACTGAGCTTCCATGCCCTCCCTAGGTACACCACCCTCCTAGTACCTCAACAAGTTCAACCTGGAAGCTCTCTGAATCCTGTCCTTCAGTTTTTTATGAAGGCTACATCACGTAGGCATGAATGATTAAATCACTGGCCACTGGTGACTGAATTCAGTCTCCAGCCTCTCTCCTCTCAGAGGTCAAGGTAGGGTGGGGTTGATCTGAAAGTTCCAACCCTCTAATCACATGGTTGGTTCTCGAGGCAACTAGCCCCCATCCTGTGGTTCTGTCTTTCCAAAAGTAATCCCATTAACATAAACTCAGGTGTGGTTAAAGGGGCTTGTCATCCTAATTACTCTTACCACTCAGGAAATTTCAAGGGTCTTAGAAGCTCTGTACCAGGGGATGAAGACCAAATATGTATTTATTATAAATCACAATTTCACAGCTACCACTTTTTGTTCAATCTATAGATGACAAGATAAATGCTGCTAGAAACATCTCTACACTTTGACATATGGAAAATTTTTTTAAAGATCCTGTTTCACATGTTTAGAAGCTGTGATTAAATGGTAGTGAAGAACTTTCAAACCAATAAAGTTTATGGGCTGCATTATTCAAAGCAAAATAAATCTATATTTGCTGTGAACATTGCAAGAACTTGCACAAACTAATGTGCACTAGGAAAACCAAAACTATACCCCCCAAAATTAAAAACAAAAAAAAATTCTGAGAAAAGGGGGCACTGGAATTATGTACTTAGTAAGTTTAATATCAGAAGAGTATAGCATGTTTACACACGTGGAATTTAAAAATAGATATCTAGCATTAGCATAAAGTAAGACTCTAGCTGTCAGGGTTAAGTGTCATATTATTATAAATGCCAATTAGGATATGGAGGGGATTTAAGTTTTCCTTACATTATCAAAAAAATTTGATATGCAATTGGTAATTTAGGCTTTCTTAAGGTTTGAAATTATAACGATAATACATTTCCTTCTGACTTTTGACTGAATACCTCCCACACTGATTTTTACAATATCTGATAAGTTCTGCATTAGATCTCTTACAATAATACAACTCTCTTCCTGTAGGTTATGTCTGAATAAGACTAGAGCTTTTCCAACCTTATAGAAAAGATAGAAATTTGTTTCTATTGTGGTATACTGACATTCAGTAAAAATGTTTTTCACTTTGAAGGTTTTCCCACAACTCGCAGGACTCTTCCTCAGAGTTTTTTTTTCTTTTTTTTTTTTTTTTGAGAGAGTCTCACTCTGTTGCCCAGGCTGGAATGCAGTGGCAGATCTCGGCTCCCTGCAACCCCCACCTCCCAGGTTCAAGTGATTCTCATGCCTCAGCCTCCCGAATAGCTGGGACTACAGGCGCCTGCCACCATGCCCAGCTAATTATTTTTTATTTTTTGGTAGAGACAGGGTTTCACCATGTTGGTCAGGCTGGAGAATTTTTCTTAATTTTAGTAATGTCTGAGCTCTGAGTTAACCTTTCATTACAAAAACTGAATTAATGTTTTCTCCCATGTGGTATTGGTGGTTTTTTTTTTTTTTTAAATAGACAGGGTCTTGCTCTGTTGCCCAGACTGGAGTGCAATGGTGGAATCATAGCTCACTGCAGCCTCAAACTCCTGGGCTCAAATGATGCTTCCACATCTGCCTCCCAAAGTGTTGGGATTACAGGCGTGAGCCACCATACGTATCCGGATCCAGTGTGGTTTTAATGTAGCATAAGAGTTGAACACTGATTAAAACCTTTTTCATACTCATCAATAATCAACAGCATTCATTAGATTTTTTTCTGGTACAGTGTCTCTGGTACTGAATAGAGTTGGTGTACACACTAAAGGTTTTCTCACATTCATCACATTTTGACTGTCTTCTCCACAATGGACTTCCTCATGAATAGTAAGTTCAGAGAGTTGGCTACAACTTCTGCTGCACTGAACACACTGGTAGGGTTTCTCCTCAGCATGGGTTTTCTGGTGTTCAATAAGATCAGTACATGTGCTGAAGGCTTTCCCACATGCATCACACTTATACGGCTTTTCACCAGTGTGTATTTTTTGATGGTTAATGAGATCAGAACGCCGACTAAAGCTTTTGCCACACTCATCACATGGATTTGGTTTCTTCCCAGTGTGGATTCTCTGGTGTAGGGTAAGAGCTGAGCACTGACTGAAAGCCTTCCTGCACTCACTGCATTTATATGGTTTTTCCCCAGTGTGGATTCTCTGGTGTTTAATGAGGTCTGAGATCTGACTGAAACTTTTGCTGCACTGTGTGCACAGATAATAGTTTTTCTCCAGTGTGAATTCTCTGATGAAGAATAAGGTCAGAACTCTGACTGAAGGCTTTCTCACAACTATTGCAATGATAAGGCTTTTCACCAGAGTGTACTCTCTGATGTTTAGTGAGGTCTGAGCTTTGACTAAAACTTTTATCACACTGATTACATGCATATGGTTTCTCTCCAGTGTGTATTCTTTGATGCTTAACAAGATCTGAACGGCGACTAAAGCTTTTAGTACAATCACTACATGCATAAGGTTTCTCTCCAGTGTGGATTCTCTGATGAAGAATAAGGTTGGAGCTCTGACTAAAGGTTTTCCCACATTCATCACATTCATAGGGTTTCTCACCTGTATGAATTCTGTGATGTTTAACAAGATCTCATCTTCGACTAAACATTTTATTGCACTGATTACATGGGTAAGGCTTCTCTCCAGTGTGAATTCGTTGATGATTAATAAGATCTGAAAGCCTACTGAAGGTTTTGCTACATTGATCACAGGGATAGGGTTTCTCTCCAGTATGAATCCTCTGATGTAAAATAAGGACTGAGCTCTGATTAAAAGCTTTCCCACACTCATTACATTTATAGGGTTTCTCTCCAGTGTGGATCCTTCGATGTTTAATAAGGTCTGAATTCTGACTGAAACTTTTGCTACACTGATTACATGGATATGGTTTCTCCCCAGTATGGATTCTCTGATGCAGAATAAGATCTGAGCTCTGACTGAAGGCTTTCCCACACACATCACATTTATATGGTTTCTCCCCAGTGTGGATTCTTTGATGTTTTATCACATCAGAACTCTAAAATGTTTGTTACACTGGTTACAAGTATAAGGCTTCTCTCCAGTATGGATTCTCTGATGTTTAACCAGATCTGAGCGCTGGCTAAAACTTTTACTACAATGACGGCATTGATAGGGTTTTTCTCCTATATGGATTCTCTGATGTATAATAAGATCTGAGCTCTGACTGAAGGCTTTCCCACACTCATCACATTTATAAGGTTTTTCACCAGTGTGGACTCTTTGGTGTTTAATAAGGTCTGAGCTCCAACTGAAACTTTTAATACACCAATTACAGGAATAAGGTTTCTCCCCAGTGGCCTTTCCACACTTATCCCATTCATAAGGTTTCTCACAGTGCGTTTTTCGATGCCTAAAAAGGCTTGTACTCCAAACAAAGCTTTGCCCATATTCGTCACAGTTATGAGGTCTCCTTTTAAAGACGTTCTGATCTTTTTCATTTAATTTATCCCCAAATTCACAGAATTCTTTGCCTTCAGAATCCTGGAGAACATTCTGAGACTGCTAGACTCTTCTGTCAATGGTTCAATTTTTGCTGTAATTCCCTCCTCTGAAGCTGGCTTTCCAATCTTGGTCTTGTTCTCACCATCTGGAACAATAAACAAAATCCAAATGGAATGTGTTCTGTATATTGTAAGAAAGTTTCAGGTGACACAGATTAGTATTTACCTATAAAATGTGATCATAGTGTGAGTGTTCCAAAAAATGAACATTACCCTCTGAGGAAACCTAGAAAGATTCAATAAGTAATGGATCACATTGATCATTTATAGAAGTGATGTACCAGATATGCTCTGTATGTTTGTCACAGGAGATCTAGGAATACTGAAACCTAATTAGTGATTAGTAAATTGTGACTAAATTAGAACTAATACATAAGCATTTTATTAACATATATAAGGCAAGCAGTGTGAATCTCAAAAAAGATAAAGAAGTTGGTTCGGCTTTATCTAGTACTACCCAGCAATTTGGGCTAAATGTATGGTATTAACAAAAAAGAGAAAAAGAAAAACAAGGAAAAGAAAATGCTTCAATTACTTTGTTTGCATCTTCTCTATCAATTTTTAGAAATGGTACAAGACTGATTGTTAACACACCAGTGGAGCGTTTACTATGCTCTCAATACCTTATATAATAAAGCCATAAATAAGAATGATCCCAGTCCTTAAGTACAGCAATCACTTCAGTATTGAGTTTTCATACAACTATTTGAATTTATTATGTGAAAACATCAATAGGCTTCCAAACGGGATAATGCTGCATACCTTCCATCTTACTATGAAAATTATGGTTTTTATTTTCACTCAAATGGAGGGCCATCCTAGTTCTGCCCATAGGAATGTCTTTAGGAAGAATATCCACGAAAATAACAATAATTACACCTGAAGAAAACTGGGAGTCACACGGTGAGGAGTATGAGGAATTCTGAGAAACTTTTTATTGCATACACTTTGATAATGCTTGACTCTTTCATCACTTGCATGCATTAGCTATTTTTAAAAATGAATATACCTGAGAACCACAAATATCTGAGATGGGTCTCAGTAAATTTAGAAATTTTATTTTGCCAAGGTTAAGGACATGCCCGTGACACAGCCTCAGGAGGTCCTGATGACATGTGCCCAAGGTGGTCAGGGCACAGTTTGGTTTTATACATTTTAGGGGCACATGAGACATCAATCAATATATGTAAGATGTACACTGGTTTGATCTGAAAGGTGGGATAACCAAAGCAGGGAAGGGGGGGCTTCCAGATCATAGGTAGATAAGAGATAAAGGGCTGTATTCTTTTGAGATTCTGATTAGCCTTTCCAAAGGAAGCAATCAGATATGCATTTCTCTCAATGAGCAGAGGTATGACTTTAAATAGAATGGGAGGCAGGTTTGTCCTAAGGAGTTCCCAGCTTGACTTTTCCTTGAAGCTTAGTGACTTTGGGGTCTGGAGATTTATTTTCCTTTCACATACCAAAGTAAGTAAAACTGTTGAATTACGGGAAAAAAAGAGATCTATATTTGTATATGTCAATTTGTAGCAGTAAACACAGACCACAAAGTGATAATATAAATCACTCTGAAAATTGGTTACAAGAAAATGTATTGTGTTATGGTCTATATGAGCCACTTTGCAAGCAGTGCACTCAACTGAGTGATCATTATCTTTATGATTTAGGACATGCTATCCAACAAAAAGAATCCAGATAGCTGGATCAGAATTAAATTTGAACCCCATAAGCTCCATTTTGGCTAGGCTGTAACTGGGAAGGTATACCTACCACAAACCAGGCTGGCCAGCAACTGCCATTAGGGGAAAGAAAGAAACATCATGCCCAGGAATGGTCAGAACAGAATCCTAAATTTTCAAAATCAGGTCTATAAAAAATTTCTACCTCTTTTGTTCTGGTTATTTCTAAGGAAGTGACCAAGAAGACATAATCCCTTTCTGGCAACAGCCATATTCAGTGAACAAACTTCCTTACTAAGGAGTGTGAACCAGAAAAAGGCTAGGAAGGTAGAGTTAGATATCTTTTTTGAGTTGACTTTTGAGGAGCCATTCCTATACTCAACAATACCAGATACCTATGATGGTAGGGCACATGAAAGCCTCACTGAATTTTTTTTTTCTTTCTTTGAGATGCAGTCTCATTAGGTTGCCCAGGTTGATCTTAAACTCCTGAGCTCAAACAATCCTACCTTAGCCCTCTAAGTAGCTAGTATTACAGGCCTATGCCACAGCACCGGTTCCCACTGAATTTCTTGGCTATCAGCCCATTGTTGAGTGGTGTTTATTACAAAAGGCATATCACTGTCAGACTACAAATAGTCTGGAGAGCTGAAAACACATTCAATTCGGGCGAAAGTCTAAAACCTAAAGGGGTACTTCCAAGTGGAGGCTTCTTCCCTCTTGCCAACGGCTCCAATTAGCAGAATCATTAGTTATAAATAAAGACTAGCTCAAAGGAGTCATTAGGTTTGTGAGGGGTCCCAAAGGACTTCTGGCACTTCCCTATATTCAGTTCTTTCCAATAGGGAGGATCCCCTCTGGCACTTAAGTGATACTGAAATACAAGAACTAATACCTACTAAACATTCAGATGTAGAAGCAGTAACAACAGTACACTTTATCTAATTCTTCATATCAAGTTGGTCATTTTCATCAGCACTGTAATTTCAGTGTGGAGCTGTAAGAGCCTGGATACGAGTTAATATCTTGTCCATGGTATCTCGCAGGAGTTTTGTCTGTCTGAGGGAAAGCCCCCTCTCTCGTAGGGTGCCAAAGTTCCTCTATCACATCTTAGATCCACTGTAAAAGAACTCTGAAATTACTTTTAGTGTCATCTCCAAAGGGATCTAAGGTTGGCATGACAGACTATAGGAGGGACTAAGTAGTAAGATGGCTCAGCTATTTCCATTCTTCCTTAATCTTTAAGCAACCAACCCAAGCAAACCAGCCAAAGTTCTAGCAATTCACCTGCTTTCTGTCCATAGTGTTCATCAATTTTCCTCCTTTTATGCTCAGTGTAGCTACATATCTTTGTAACTGTCTGAAAGTGGGTGGAAACTTTTGTCCACCCAATATGAAGCTTAACTGCTATTTGTTACAATGGCACACACCTGAGGCTGACCACTAAATTGAAGTTCCCCCGGAGGACAGTTAGCAACAATCAGCGTACTGTTTAGATAGCTGTCTTTGAACATGCTTCCTGGATTTGGCTTGCAACCACCTCCTGAATTCCTACTTATTAACAGGCAATAAAATGAAGAAACATTTATTGCTCTGTTGACCATACAATTTGGTCAACATGTTCACTACCAATTCTCATGGACTTCCCTCAAAATCTGTTAAAGAGCCCGTGAGGCCCTTATACTTCCTCTTCCAGAAAGTTATGTCTCTGTCAGCATCCCATCGTTATTACCAACACTATCAAAAACTGAAAAATCTGGGATTTTACCCTAAGTGCAAGCTAACAAGTCAATCTACCCAGTTTCACAGCCCCTGGCAGAAGACATGAGAATCCTAGATAAGAAACAAATGACAGTTTATTACACACAGCAACAGCATTAGACAGAATAGCAGTATTTGCCTTCCTGAACCCTAATTCCCACAAGGTGACAAAAGTAAGTTGTGTTGCAGGACAGGAACCCTGAGGCAGGGACATAAGGACATCTGTCCTCTGCTTTAGAGGGGGACACTATCACTATATTCAAAGGTTGCCTGCTATACAACTTTTTTTTTTTTTTTTTTTTTGAGATAGATCCTGCTCTGTTGCCCAGGCTGGATTGCAGTGGTGCGATCTCGGCTCACTGCAACCTCCGCCTCCTGGGTTCAAGCAATCCTCCCACCTCAGCCCCCGAGTAGCTGGGTCTACAGGTGCCCGCCACCACGCCTGGCTAATTTTGTTTTTGTATTTTTAGTAGGATGGCGTTTCACCGTGTTAGCCAGGATAGTCTCGATCTCCTGACCTCGTGATCTGCCTGCCTCAGCCCCCCAAAGTGCTGGGATTACAGGTGTGAGCAACTGTGCTCAGCCACAACATTCTTAAAAAACAGTCCAGAACAAATGCAGGCAATTCCTTTGCTTAAAAGATGTGCAGACCCACAAGAGCCCATGGAGAATTCTCTCTCAACCCTAACTTTAATAGAAATGATGAAAACCAGAAGATAATGGAATGTCATCTGCCAAGTGCTTAAGGAAAAGAAGTGCCAACATAGACTTGCATAAGAAGATAAAATGCCTGAAAGAAAAGTTAAAATAAAGATATTTTCAGTTAAATAAAAACCAAGAAAGGTTTTTAAAAATATACCTGCACTAAAATAAATACTAAACAGAATTCTTCAAGAATAAAAAATATCCCAGATGCAAGCAAGGTAATGCAGGAATGAAGAGCACTGGAAAAGTAAAGTGTCCGGGTAAATCTAAATGTGTACTTACTGATTAAAGCAATATGAATGTTTTGTGGAGTTTATAAAATACATAGAATTAAAATATATGGCAAAAATAGCACAAGAGGAGGGGATAGGAAGAACTACAGTATTATAGGGTCTCAGCATTGTCTTAGAAGTAGTAAATTAAACTGTAATAAATCCAGTGTACACGTTCTAATTTCTAAGGCAGCCTTTTTCAACCAGAGTTCCAAAAGAGAATGAAACAGAAAATGAACTGAGTGACTATTTTCTTAATTCTCCAATGATGGTACACAGTTAATACCATAGTAGATGTATAAGAGAGCCTGATAGCATTGGGGTTTAATTCTTTCACAGAATCACATGTGAGAAAGCCTAGGATGAGGTAACCGTTAAAATAATAGAAGACTATGTAAATAATAAGCTAACAGAAGAAAAAGTGCAAAAACCTGATAATCTAAAATTGGACAAAAAGGAAAAAAAGAAATAAATGGAATAAAAAAGAAAACAAAATAAGAAGCTGGTACATTTAAATCTAAGCATATCAATTATATTCTACGCAAATTGACTACTCCAATAAAAAGCAAAGAAAAACCTACAGCTAACATAGTTAATGGTTAAATACTGAATGCCTTTCTCCTAGGAACAAGGGGGTAAGGCAAAGATGCCTACTCTTATCACTTCTCTTCAATATTGTACCACTTCTACTCAACATTCCTAGCCAAAAAGATAAGACATGAAAAATAACTGACACATACAAATAGGAAAGAAAACAGTCATACTGTCTTTAGAGACCACACAACCACATATACCGAAAAATCCCTATCTCAAAAAAGCTATTGGAACTTTTAAATCAGTTTACTAGAATAGAATACAAAACCCAACTGTATTTATATATTCAAGCAATTAACAATCACAGTCTAAAATGTTTTTTTCAATTGTACCCCAAAATGAAATACTTAGAAATTCAACAAAATATGTGCAACATTTGCATAATGAAAACAAAACTGCTCAGAAAAACTAAAAAGGAACAGAAATATACAATTACTTATAAATAAGAACATTTAATATTGTTAAGATGGTAATTCTCGCCAAACTGATCTACAGATTCAAAGCAACGCCAATCAAAATCCCAGCAGGTCTTTTTTAGGACGAACTGACAAACTCGAGGAAAACAGCCTGTTGATGATAAGAGTAATGCCATCTTGAAATGAAACCACCATAATTACCTGTGTTTGACTCCTGTATGCCAAGGTATTCCTGTAGCATAGATATAGCCCCTCACAAAGAAATGTTGCCTGTAGCAGGGATAACCCCTCATAAAGATGCTTATCTAACTTCCCCAGTGGTCGGAGTTTTTAAGAGGGTCTGAGACATGACAAGCTGCAAATGTTTACCAAAAAAAAAAAAAAAAAAAAAAAAAGCTTGCTACATAAAGAATGCTTTCTTGAGGACAAGGGTGGGGATCCAAAATCTTGCGGCCACCTCAGACGTGACTTCTCCTCATCTCTAGTAAGTGATTCTTTCTAGGAAACTGGATTTGTTAGCCTCTTTATATGGCCGATCAGCTCCCTTGGCTTTTGGGGGCAGGTATGCATCTACCTGCCCACTGGGGAACACAAATTAGTTTTAAACTCTATGTAGAAAGGCACAGAAGAGGCTAAACACTTTTGAGAAAGAACAAAACTGGAGTAGTTACACTACCAGATTTCAAGCTTTACTCTAAAGCCACGGTAATCAAGGCAGGGTGGCATTGGCATAAGTGCAGACATACCTATTAGTGGAACAGAACAGATTTCAGAAATAGATCCAAAAACGTATGTACCACTGATCTTCAACAAACGTGGCAAGGTAATTCAGTATTGAAAGGACAAACTCTTTTCAACAAAAAGTGTTGAAACTAAGCCAGGCACGGTGGCCCATGCCTGTAATCCCAGCTCTTTGGGAGGCTGAGGCAGGTAGGTCGCTTGAGTACAACAGTTCAAGACCAGCCTGGGCAACATGGTGAAACCCTGTCTTTATAAAAAATATAAAAGTTAGCCAGGTGTGGTGGCGCACACCTGTAGTCCCAGCTACTTGGGAAGCTGAGGTGGGAGAATCGCTTGAGCCTGGGAGGTTGAGGCTGCAGTGAGCTGTGATCGCACCACGGCACTCCAGCCTGGGCAACAGAGCAAGACCCTGTCTCCAAAAACAAATGAACACACAAATAAAACAGAAGTGTCAGAAGTAGATATCATAATGACAAAAATGAATCCCAACTTTTTCCTCACACTATACACAAAAATTAACTGCAAATGTAACATAAATCCAAGCATTGAAGCTAAAAGTATGTAACTTCTAGAAGAAAGCACAGATGACCATCTTTATGATTTGGGGGCAGGCAAAGATATTAGATAGGACACCAAAAGCATGAATCATAAAATAAAAAATGTAAGTTATACTTCATCAAAATTATAAACCTCTGTTCTTCAAAAGACATTACTGAGAAAAAAATTCAAGCTACAGATTGGGAGAAAATATTCATAAAGCATATATTTGACGATTATATATCTACAATATACAAGGAACTTTTACACCTTAAAAATAATACAACTCGAACAAAAGATTAGAATACACAGTTCGCAAAATAAGTTATATGAATAGTTAGTAAGCATATGACAAAATGCTCAGTATCACTAGTTATCAGGGAAATAAAATTCAACCTCAAGGAGCTACTGGTACCCATTACTGACAATACAACTAACATAGTTAATGGCTAAATACTGACTAGTCTGTGGACCAACTGGCACTCTCAAACACTGCTGATGAAAATACAAAATGGTATACCTACTTTAGAAAATTCTAGCAGCTTTTCATAAAGTTAAACATTTTCTTACCATACAACCCAGCAATTCTACTTCTAGATATTAATATTTATCCAAGAGAAATGAAAACGTATGTCCACACAAGGACTTGTACACAAATGTTTAGAGCAGCTTTATTAACAGCCAGAAATGAAAGCAATCCAAATGTTCATTATCAAGTGAATCAATAAACAAATTATAATATAGCCATACAATGGAATATTATTTAGCAATAAAAAAGAATTACTGATAAAGCAAAATATGGATGAATCTCAAAAACATTATGCTGAACTAAAGGCAGGCAAGTATGATTCCATTTACATGAAATGTTAGAGAAGCCAAAGCAAATATGTAGTGACAGAGAGCATATTAATGGTTGTCTAGGGATGGGGATGGACTAGAAGGAAATTTGGAAGAAGGGTGTTGATATAAAGATTCTATGTTTTGCTTGTGAGGGTAGTGGACATGGTGTATAAATATGTCAAAACTCATCTAAAGCAAGCTGGGTGTGGTGGTTCACACCTGTAATCCCAGCACTCAGAAAGGCTGAGGTGGGAGGATTGCTTGAGCCCAGGAGTTCGAGACTAGCCCTGGCAACATAGCAATATCTGGTCTCTATAAAATAAAAGAAATTAGTTTGGCATGATGATGTGCAACTGTAATGCCAGCTATTTGGGAGGCTGAGGTGGGAGATCAATTGAGCTGAGCCTGGGAGGCTCAGGCTGCAGTGAGCTATGATTGTGCCACTGCACACCAGCTGGGGTGACAGAGGCAGACTCTATTCTCATCTAAAACCTCATCTAAATGCACAATTAAAAGAGGTATGTTTTATGGTCCATAAACTATGCCTGACTAAAGTAGATTTAACAAAAGTCAGTAAAAATATATTAAAAAGCAACAACACAAAAAACCTTGACCTTATATTCCATCCTTCTATTGCTTCATTTCTGTTTCCCTTTATAGCAATTCTCCTTGAAAAACTTTACTTTCTCATTTTTTATTATTTTATATACAAAAATATGGATACATCTATATGCATATATGTACAATTAAAAAATGAATAATACAACAAACAAAATTGAACCTTCCATTCAACTTAAAAAAAAATTACCAGAAGGTTTCCAACATGCTAGAATTCCCTTCTGCATGCTTCCCTGTTCCTGACTTCCTCCTCCAATCTCTTTCCCCCACCTACTCTTGTAATTACTGTGCTAAATTTTGTGTTTATCCTTCTCTGGCTTTCTTCAGAGCTTTACCAAATATTTGTATTTTTAAGAAAGTATTGTTTGGTTTTGCATGTGTTATAGACTGACTTGTGCTTGTGCACTGCCCCCTCCCTCCCTGTCACCATCCCCAATTCGTATGTTGAACCCCTAACTCCCAATGCGATTGTAGAGAGGGCCCTTAAGAAGGTAATTAAGGTTAAATGAGGTCATAGGGAGGGCTCTAATCCAATAAGACCAGTGTTCTCAGGAGAAGATGAAGAGGAACCAGGAGGCATGCATGCAGAGAAAAGCCACTCTCTGCGTGCAGAGAAAAGTCATATGCAAGCCATGGAGAGAGGCCTCAGGAGAAACCAACTTTGCTGGTCCCTTGATTTGGGACTTTCAGCCTCCAGGACTGTAAGAAAATAAATTTCTGTTGTTTAAGCTACCCAGTAGATGGTATTTTCTTATGGTAGCACTAGCAGACTAAAACAGGATGTTTTTTAACTTTATATATTTATGGAATTCTACTTGTATTCTGTGGCTTGCTTTGTTTGCTCAACATTACACCTGGAGGATCCACCCACGTTGATGTAGTTTACCTGTAGTCCATTCATGTTTGCTACTACAGCGTAACATACACTACAATTTATTTACCTATTCTCCTTCAATAAACAATAACATTTTGCTATTATAAACAATGCTGTTATGAATATGCTTGTATATCTATCTTGGTACACATATACAAATGTTTCTCTAGGTTATATAAACTATAAGTTATATATCAAGTTTATATAACCTTGACTTGTTTGGGTCTCAACTAGGTATTTCCAAAGTAGTTGAACCAATTTAGACTTCCATCAGGATGGTGTATGAGGAGTTCACATTGTTCTATGCTGTAACCAACATTTGGTCTATTCTCTTTTTAGTCCATTGTCATTAGGCTTTTATCTCTGAAACTCCATCAAAACTGGATTTATTAAAGTCCCTAATAGGCTCTATCTTGACAAAGCCAATGGTCACTTCTCAATCTTATTCTGGATTGATTTGAATAGTTGATTACTCTCTTCTTGAAACATTTGATTTCTTCTCCCTAACTTACCTTTCTCATTATCCTGTATAAAGAACCCCAATGGCTTCCTATTATATTGGGAATAAAATTCCAAGTCCTTACTATGGTTTATAAGGTTCCACATTATCTGGTCCCTTTCTTTCTCTCTGCCCTCATTTCATTCCACTACCACCCCTAATACCTGTCTACCCCAGGCTCCCTCTGTTCCTGATACATTTAGGAGCCACTGGCATTTGCTACTCCCTCTTCCTGGAACACTCTCAGATAGTCATATGGCTTGTTTTCTCACTTCATTTATAGCTCTACCCAAATGTTACCATTGCAAGGAGGTGCAAGACTTGGAGCGCCTCTGCATTTTTGAGGTGACAGATACCACAGCTCAATGAGCTGAAATGACCAATTTAATTAACTTGTAAGGTTGCTACTTTTGAGTGAGACTCTTATTACCAGGATAACTAATGGTATTGGAAGTGCCGGTGGCAGTCATGGATGCTGTATAGAGACTCTCACAAGCCTCCATAGAGAACCACCCTGGAGTACGGCCACATCTTCTTCTGTCAGCAACCATTTTCTATATGAAAAGCAGACCCTGGCTTACTATTGGGCACTGATAGAGATTTCACACTTGAACACAGAGCACCAAATGACTACACATTAGACTGCTCATTGTGTATTGGTTGTTATTCCACCAAATCACACACAAAGCAACGTTCCATTGCAAAAGAAAGTCTAGAAGAAAAGTAAATTCCATATGCAAGTGACTAGGATTCCACAGTACCTGGTCCTACTGCTTCACTACCTCTCCCCTTCAATTTATGTTTATGGTCTCATGGGAATTCCCTATTACCAGTTAACAGCCAAGGAAAAATTACAGAACTGGTTTACAAATGGTGGGGAGTGGCACCAGCCAAAAGTAAATAGCTTTCACTTACACCCCTACTCAGAAGTGGCCTCAAACACACTGGTGAAGGCAAATCCTCCCAGTGGGCAGAATTTCACGTATGTACCTAGTTGTCCACTTTTCATGAAAGGTAACATAGCCTAAGATATATGTTTATATTGATTCATGGGTAGTGACTAATTGGTTATTTGATTATGTAGGTACCTGGAAAGAACAAGATTGGAGGACTGGAAGCAAAGATTCTGGGGGAAAAGTATGAGGATGGAATTCCCAGAATGGGCAATGAATGTGAATATATTTGTGTCCCATGTGAATCCTCACCAAAGGGCATCCACTGTGAAGAAGCCTTTCCATCAGACAGACATGATGATCTACTTTATGACTGTCAACCAGTCTCTTTTCCAATGCTTATCCAATAGGCTCATGTACAAAGTAGTCATGGCAGTGGGAATGAAAACTATATATGGGCTCAATAATATGGACCTCCCCTCATTAAGGTTGATATGCCTATCACAACTGCTATGTGGCCAAGCAGCTAACAGCCAAGACCAAAACCAAGCCCCTAAAAGCCAAGACCAAAACCATTTCCTGGAAATGGGGGCAGATTCATTACACTGAACCACTTCTATCAAAAAGAGGGCAGCAATTTGTTTACAAAGTATTAAATACATAGTCCAGATACAAATTTGCATTGACTTAAGGTTGTTTATTACCACGGTATTCGATACTCTGTTGCCTCCAAATAACTCATTTTTCAGGAAAGAAAGTATAGCAATGAATTCACGTACATGTAATTCATAGGTCTTGCCATACGCCCATTAATCCAGAATATGTGGAATGATCTGCTAAAGGCTGAGTTATGTCAACAACACAATACCCTGTAAGTCTGGGGTGCTGTCATATAGATGCAATATATGCCTTAAATCAAAGGACAATAAATATTGTTTTTTTCACCATGGCCAGAATACATACACAGGTACAGGAACCAAGGGTGGAGGAAGAGTGAGAATGGTTCCTCTTATTAGAGACCTAATAATTTGCTTGTATTATTTTTGCTTCCTATCACCATAATTGTTGGCATGGTGAGTTTGAAGTTCTAGTGCTCAAAGGAGAAATTTCCACCATGGAACAAAGTCATCATTTTGTTAATTTCAAAAAAAAAAAAAAAAATGAAACTGTCTCCTGGTCATTCTGGGATCCTCATGCTGCTGAACCAACACAGAAGGGATCACTTTACTGGACAGGATGACTGATCTCAATTACCAAGGGGGAATTGATTGCTGCAACATAGGAAGGGCAAGAAAGAGTATGTCTGGAACTCAAGAGGATTCAATAGGATGCGTCTTAGTCCTCTCATGTCTAGTAGGCCTAATCAATGGTACACTGAAGCAGCCTGAAAGAAGCAGGATTACCGAGGACTCAGATCATCCAGGAAAGCAGCTTTATATTACTTAACTACGTAAAGAAATTTATGCCACTGAGGTGCTGGCAGAGAGTAAGGGAGATATAAAATGGGTAATGGAAGAAGATAATTAGGATTATCAATTTAGGCTTTGTGAATAGCAAAAACAGTGGCTGTCATGTTTTATGTTAATTATGCCTTTCCCCCCTCTCCTTCACCATTTTATATGAAGGGCACTAGTGGTAGTTAAATTCCAGGTTTCCGGTGGGAATATGATTTAATTATGTCAACCTGAAATGAAATGGCAGCTTAAGGGACTTTGTTTTTCTGCTATGTTGGGGTGGATATTGCAGGATAAAAGTGGTGGATTATAATGAATATTGTCCTTTTACCCCTCCAGATCTACTCTCCACCTTGCTCTGTGCCCCACTCTGCTCTGTACCAGGAGACTGATGTTGACAGACTGCACCACCTGGGGTTCCATGCCCTCTGGTATGCAAGTAGATTTGGGCACAAGTGGGAAAATAGTAGAGTGACTAACTGTAATGGTTTGCCTAAAACTGAAGGGGCTATTGCAGATTTCAGTGCTAAATTCCAGGCAAACTGGGATGAACTGGTCACCCTATATCCTGGCTCTCTCCTCGCTGGGCTACTAGCTGAGCCTTTTAGCAAAGGCCAGAGCTCCTATCAGATGGCTAAATCCTACAGCTATACTTTCCAGGGCCTGGTAATCAATCTTTCCCCTGGTCCCTGAAGACCTACAGGTAGTAACTGCTCCCCAGTGTTGTCTGATCCATGGCTGTTCTCCATCCCTTGCTGATTTCTGTAATCATGCCCATCCTCTTCATGAAACTTTGAATTACTGCACTCGAATGAGCCATCTGTTTCCTGCTAGAATCCTCACTGATATATCCCGGTTTAATTTCTCCATAACCATTATCATTATTTGATAATATAATGAGCATTCATTTATTTTCTCCTTCCCTCCACTAGCATGTAAGCACTTTGACAGCAAAGGCTTTGTGTGTTCAGCTCACTGCTATATCCCCAGCACTTAGAACAGTTATTGGCACAGAGCAAACCCTTAATAACTAATATTATATGGCTAGTAATTAATAAGGTATGATCTTATTAGTAAACATTTATCAATAATAAATATTTGGTGAATTAGATGAATGATTTTAAGGATATATTAATGTTAGCAGTGACTATTTCTAGAGGGTGGAGCTGAAGGTTATTTAAATTTTGTTTTGTGTTCTCCTATTCTTTACAAATTGACTTTAGTATAACTGTATTTCTCTATAATAAAATGTTATTTTATACATATTCTAAGAGACATAAACACAAAGACTAAGTATATCAATTTATGCAAAACTGCAAGGAGAAGGTCTAATTCTGCAGTGATTCTCAGGAAAGAGCTGGATGTCTTGGAATAGATTATTAAGGAAGGACAAGTTCTACACATAGGAGAGAAAAACTAAGTAAAATAAAATAAAGATGCTCCAAGACTAAAAAGAAGCAGAAGATCTAGAGTGAGAAAAGGGACAACTGAAGGTGACTCACAGGAAAAACAGCGCAATGAGAGGACAAACCAAAAAGAAGTAACATATGATGTGGAAATGAGACCCTACAGAACACCTGAAAAACGTTGAGATCAAAATTATCTTACTTAAAATAATAGTGGCTACCAATTATAAAGAATTTACTGTAAGCAAAATCTGTGCTCAGAGTTTTACGTTAAGGATCTTGTTTAGTTTTTTTTTTTCTTGGTGTTTTTTTGGAGATCGCATTTTATTCTGTCACCCAAGCTGGAGTGCAGCGGTGCAATCATAAGTCACTGCTGCCTCTGAACTCCTGGGCTCAAGCAATCCTCTCACCTCAGCCTTCTAAATAGCTAGGACTACAGGCACACACACACCACCATGCCTGGCTAATTTTTTAAATTTTTGTAGAAATGGGGTCTCACTTTGTTGCCCAGGCTGGTCCTCAACTCCTGGCTTCAAGCATTCCTCCTGCCTTGGCCTCCCAAAGTGTTGGGATTACAGGTGTGAGCCACTGCACCTGGCCTGTTATAGTATTAGTGTACCCCAGTGAATCCTATCTCCCAGTACCCATATCCCTGTGTAGTTTCCTTCTATAATGACTTTAGAACTGGTCATATGACCTGCTTTCATCAATGAGACATTAACAGATGAAACACATTAACAGATGAAACACAAACATAGGTATGAAAAGAGCTTGCCTTCTCTGACTGGAAACAAGCTGTCCTGTGAAAAAGTCCAGCGTCACCTGCTGAAGACATGAGGACTCAAGCCATAGCCGGCACTAACAGTTTGACATTGAGACAACGTGATTGAAACCATCTTAGACCCTGGCCCCAGTAGAGTCAGCCTTGAGATGACTGCAAAATGACCCCAGAAAAGACCAAGAGAAAAAAAAATGCCCAGGTGAACCCAGCTCAAGTTGATGACCTACAGAATCATAAGAAATAATGTGGTTTAAGAAGTCTGATGTTTTAGGTCACTAAATTTTGGGGTTCTTTATTCTGGAGTAATACATAGATACAAATCTCAAAATAACTTCAAGGTATGAAGTACTATGCACTTGAAAAGTGAGGAAACAGAATCGTAAAATATATGAGTAACTTACTGGAGCCAGTTAAGTGACAAAACTACTGTTTGAATCTAGGTTGTCAGACTCCAGAACTTTTAACTATGCCCCTACAGTAGATAAGAAAAATGACCAAAACTGACAGATTAGCAATGAGGTCATTATACAGGGAAAAATGAATGACTTTGGGGTCTTAAAAAAGTGGAGAGAGCTGCATGAGAATTTGATCGCCAGATTTTGAAATAAAGTCATGTGACTATGCTTGGTACACTAAAGAGGTAATACTGCCTAACAGAGTTAAGGGGGATCATTTGAAGACACTAGCATAGAGTGACACCCCCTCATCCTCCCCACCCCGCCAAAGCCACTAAGAAAGATATAATACCCTGCCTCTCACCTGACAGAAGGTGGTGTTCCTGAGATTCATAATTGAACTGGATCTCCATGGGCTGCAACTGGACACCTCAGTGTGCAAGTGGAGAATTACCATTTCCTCTGTAAGCTTTTCTTGTCCACATAAAGGTCTGGGACCTGGAGGCAACTGGGCACCACTGGGCTTGGAAGGGAATCATTGTGCTGACTACAGATGTAATCTCTGAGACTAGACCACCAGAAAAATCCTCAAGATATAAAAGAAGGAGAAAACAAAAAATCTCATTTGACTTCCAGTTGCTTTTCTCTCAGAATGTATTAGGCTTCCTCCCCATCATCCAAGAGCCAGGGATTAACCCACTTAAGACACACATTCCCCATTCCAAGTCTAGAGATGTTCAAACAAAATTAGGGGTTAATGCTACCAAAAAAAGGTATAACTGGAAAGATAACGCAGAGAGGGGAATTTTACAGTGAATTCTAGTGGTTAACACTATGTTATTCGCTGCCCTTCCTATCCAAAAATGACACTACTGATCATTTTTCTTCCTTTTGCTTTTACAACATTCACAAATTCAGGTGGCTCTTTCCCAGTACGGTAGGCTGATTCGTATGGATGCACCACGGTTGGTGACTCCCCCCACCCCACAGAGTTTCTGGCGTTCATTCGGTTGAACCCAAGGCCAGCAAGGGCTGACTGGGAACAAACCGAACACTAGGCCGTGAACCAATCGTCTCTCCGTGCCCGGGAGCGACCCCGGGGGCCTTCACTCTCCAAGGACTCGAGAAACCATGCACAGTTTCCTGCTCGTTAGGCAAGATCACCCGGAACTCCTCTGCTATCCGCGAGCCGACATCACCCTTACCTCGACTTGGTCACCGGACCGCTGTGAAGCCTCACACCCGGCGAACCTGCCATCGCCCTGTCCGCTCTAGGAATCTGGGAGGAGTGCTCAGCTCTATGGCGCTTCACCGCGCAGGCGCAGGGCGGGGGTGGGGCACCGGGTGACGGAGGGCTGCCGAGAATTAACCCCCGAACCGCCGCGAGCTGTCCCTAGCAGTGCCTTAGCCAGGGACCTGCTTGGCCAGCGACAGATCCTTTGCTGCTCTGTCTGCCGGTTCTTGAGGTGAATGTCGGAATCCATTATCTTTCGGGAAAGCTCTCTGGGGCAGGGTAGGTTTTCTTACTACATACAAGTTCTTAATTAGTTATCGTTTTTTAAATAACCACCCCTCCCCCTATCGCTTATCTGATTCGTAGGTATGCTTTAATTCTAACTTTCTTCCTGTCCTCTCTGGTTTTTCACACCCCCAGAAGAGTAGCGCGCATCAGAATCACCTGGAGGCCTTGTTAAAATACTGACTTCTGCCCCACAACTCCGGAGTTGCTGATTTAGTAGTGGGGGAGGGGGCGGTGGCAGCCCAGGTTCTCAGGTGATCCTGAAGCTGTTGGTCCTGGGACCACATTTTGAGAACCACTGCCCAAGAAATAAGTGATGCTCAGTAATTAATCCCTGAATTAACGGAAAGTTGGATTTTTATCTACTTTGCAATCTAGAAAGGGTACGAGGTCTATTTAAGGTTTGCTTGCTAGAACAATTCTCACTGATCAGGGTGAGAAGGACCCGAAATGGAGGGTGCGGGGTAATCAGGGTAGGAAAGGATATTGCTGTGTTCATGGAAATATCTTGGGAAATGAGGAGTTGGGACCTCATTTCTGTTGAGACCAATGAGACGTGTGACTTGGTTTAAGCTGTCCGGTGGGGAAAGGAAGAGGTTTGAGAAAATGGTGGGTGGCTAAGTGGTAGTTGAGGTGGAGGAAGAGGGCTTCCTGTCCCAGCCCAAGTCCCTGTTGGGATATATGAAATTTAGGGATGTATGACTAAGCCCTTAATATAACCGTAAGAGGAAAGAGATGTGGGAACTTGAGTCCAACCCTCCCAAGTAGGGAGTGCAGATAGTTTTAAAAAAACAGCTTTCTTTTTGGCCAGGCGCAGCTTAGGCCTGTAATCCTAAAACTTTGGGAGGTTGAGGCAGGTGGATCACCTGAGATCAGGAGTTGGAGACCAGCCTGGCCAACAAGGTGAAACCCTGTCTCTACTACAAATACAAAAATTAGCTGGGCATGGTGGTGTGCGCCTTTAATCCCAGCTACTTGGGAGGCCGAGTCAGGAGAATCGCGTGAACCCATGAACCCAGGAGGCGGAGGTTGCAGTGAGCCGAGATTGCGCCACTGCACTCCAGCCTGGGTGACAAAGCGAGACTTTGTCTCAAAACAAAACAAAACAAAACAAAACAAAACAGCTTTATTGAGGTATAACTGACATAAACAGCAAATATTTAAAGGATATAATTTGATAAGGCTTGTTAAATGAATACAGCTGTGGAACTATCACTGCAATCAAAATAATATGTTTATTACATCTAAACCCCAAAAGTTTCCTCCTGCCCGTTGGTAAGCCTCTCTCCCAATGCCCCCTCCACTGGTCAGCTGTTACTAGAGATTAGTTTGCATTTTCTAGATATTTATTTAAATGGAATCATACAGAATGTCCTTGTTTTTGTCAGAGTTGTTTCACTAAGCTTTTATTTTGAGATTTATCTTTATTGCTGTGTGTATCAATAGTTAATTTTTGTTGCTGAATAATATTCCATTGTATGTATATACCACAGTTTGTTTATCCAATCACCAGTTCATGGGCATTTGGGTTATTCCAGGTTTTTACTGTTACAAGTAAAGCTGAGAACATTCATGTACACACGTCTTTATATGGACATATGCTTTTTTCCCCCTCTCTCATGGTAGATGTACATTTAATGTTTAAAAAAACCCACACTACTTTTCAGAGTGGCTGTATCATTTTGCATTCCTAACATGAGTACATGAGAGTTCCGGTTCCTCCACATCCTTACCAACTCACTGTGTATCTCACTGTGGTTTCAATTTGCATTTCCATACTGACTAATAATATTTAGCATTTTGTAATGTGCTTATATGCCATCTGTATATATTCTTTGGTGAAGTATCTGTACAAATCTTTCGTCCATTCTGGACACTAGTCTTTTGTCAAATATATGCTTTGTGGCCAGGTGCCATGGCCCAAGCGTGTAATTCCTGCACTTTTTGTAGGCCAAGGTGGGTGGATTGCTTGAGTCTAGGAGCTGGAGACCAGCCTGGGCAACGCGGTGACACCCTTTCTCCACCCAGAATACAAAAAATTGTCGGATGTGGTGGTGTGTGCCTGTGGTCCCAGCTACTTGGGAGGCTGAGGTGGGAGGATTGCTTGAGCCTGGAAGGTGGAGCTTGCAGTGGGTGGTGATCATGCCACGGTACTCCAGCCTGGGCAACAGAGCAGGACCCTGTTGCAAAAAAAAAAAAAAAGAAGAGGAAGAAGATATATGCTTTGCAAATATATTGTGCCTTCAGTTTTCTTTCTGTTAATATTTTTTGAATAGCATCAGTTTTAAGTTTTGATGAAGCACAGTTTATCAATTGGCTCTTTTATGGATCATGCTTTTTGTATGATATTTGAGAAATCTTTGCCTAAAATAAGTTCACCAAGATTTCCTCCAGGATTTTTAGGTTTTACATTTTGGTCTCTGATCCATCTGGAATTAATTTGTTTCTACCCATACAACTCTGAGATTTAGGGTAAAGTTAATTTTTTTTTTTTTTTTTTTTTGGTATGTGGATATTCAGTTGTTCTGTACCATTTCTTTCTCCTCTGAGTTTCCTTTAAGCTTTGTAAAATCAGTTATCCATATATGTGTGGGTCTATTTCTGGCCTCTCTATTTTTTCATTGATCTACTTGTCTCTTTAGTCCAACACCACACTTAATTACTCTAGCTTTATAATAAGGCTTGAAATCAGGTAGTGTGAGACCTCTAATTTTGTTGTTTTGGTTATTCTAAGCCCATTGCATTTCCATATCAATTTCTGAATCAGTTTGTCAACTTCTACAAAGAAGCTATCTGAGATTTTGATTGGGATTGGATTGAATCTGTAGATCAATATGGGGAGAATTGACATGTTAAAGCAATATTGAGTCATCTGATCCATGAACACAATATTTTTCTCAATTTATTTAGGTCTTCCTTAATATCTCTCACCAATATTTTATAGTTCTTTTTAATATTTTACAGATCTTTCATAACTTTTGACAGATCTATTCCTAAGTATTTAATATATTTTGATGCTATTGTATTTTTCCTTTAATTTCAGATTGTTTGTTGGTAATATAATAGAGAAATACAATTGATTTTTGTATATTAATCTTGTATCTTGCAACTTTGTTAAATTCATTTATTAGTTCTAGTAGCTGTTTTTGTAGATTCTATCAGATATTCTACATATGAGATCAGTTTTACTCCTTCCTTTCCAATCTGGATGCCTTTCTTATTTTCAGCGCAGTAAGGCAGGCAAAGGGAGGTGGAGAAAGGCATTCAGATTGGAAAAGAAGAAGTAAAATTGATCTTTATGTATATCAGTGTTCGGTAGAAATGAAGAAAGGGGAAATCTTTGTCTTTTTTCCAATCTTAAGTGAAGATCTTTGTCTTTTTTTTTAATCTTAAGCATCCTTTCTCTGTTAAGCATGATGTTAGCTGTGGTTTTTTTTATTGGTACCCTTTAACAGACTGAGGAAGTTTTTTTCTAATTCTAGTTTGGTGAGAATTTATATCAGGAATGTAGGATGGATTTTGTCAATTGCCTTTTCTGTATCTTTTGAGAAGACAGTTTGTTAATATGGTGATTTACAATGATTGATTTTTGAACATTAAACCAAACCTGCATTCCTGTAAAAAACCCTGCTTCACTGTGATGTATTATCCTTTTTATATATTGTTGGATTTTTCATGAAGAATATTGGCCTATAGTTTTCTTGTAATGTCGTTGTCTAGTTTTGGGATCAAGGTAACGTGGGCCTCAAAGAATGATTCAAAAAGCATCCCATTGTCTTCAGTATTGTTGAAGAGTTTGTACAGAATTGGTATTATTTCTTCCTTAAATATTTGGCAGAATTCACAGTGAACCTATCTGGACCTAGAGTTTTTTTGTGGGAAGGTTTTAAATTACAAATTCAGTTTCTTTAATAGATATGGTGCTATTCAGGTTATATATTTCTTATAGGGTAAGCTTTAGTATTTTGTATCATTTAAAGAATCAGCCAATTTTGTATAAGTTGGCATAAAGTTGTTTATAATATTACTTTGTCCTTTTTGTATCTGTTGAATCTGCAGTGATGTTACCTCTTTCATTCTTGCTATTAGTAATTTGTATCTTCTCCCATTTCCCCTTGTCGGATAGGCCAGAGCTTTGTCATTTTTATCTTTACAGAGAACCAGCTTTTCATTTATTTAAAAATTGTCTTTCATTTTCTGGTCTATTAATGTCCACTCTGTTCCTTATTATTTCCTTTTTTCTCCTTGCTTTGGGTTTAACTTGCTTTTTTTTTTCTGGTTACTTTAAGTGGAAGTTGAGGCCTCTGATTTGTAATATTTCTTATTTTGTGTTATAGAAATTTGGTGCTATAAATTTTCCCCTAAGTACTGCCTTAGCAGCATCTCACAAATTCTGATGTGTTGTCTTTTTATTTTCATTCAGTTCAGAATACTTTGAACTTGGATTATTTCAGTTTCTAAATATTTGGGGGGTTTCTAGAGATTTTTCTGATATTTATTTCTAATTTAATTTTATTGTAGTCAAAGAACATACTGTGTATGACTTGAATCCTTTAAAATCTATTGAGACTCATTAATGGCCCAAAACATGGTCTGTCTTCATAAATGTTCCATGCACATTTGAGAAGGATATATTAATATATTCTGCTGCTGTTGGGTTGACTATTTGATTATTGTTAGTTGGTTAATGGTATTACTGAAGTTTACTATATACTTTGCTGATTTTCTACTAATTTTAAAAGTAATTATTGAAAGATGAGTATTGAATTCTCTGTCAATAATTGTGGTTTTGTCTATTCTCCTTGTGATTCTATCAGTTTTAATTTTATGTATTTTGAAGCTCACAATTTGCATAAATGTTTAGGATTGTTATTCCTTTTCCTTTTTCTCTTTTTTTGAGATGGAGTCTCTCACTCTGTTGCCCAGGCTGGAGTGTTGTTGATGGCAACAGTGGGCCATCTGGACCATCTGGAGTGGCCACTGCCAAGATGCTGGCTGCAGCCAGGAGGCTCTGCCCATGCTGTGAGCTTCACAGAGCCAGAGGGAGCGGGGACAAGCAGGAGCCCAGCTCCTTCCAAGTTGGCGGGTGGGAGCTCCCCAGGCATAGCTGCAGCTGCCCAAGTCATGGCTGCTGGCTGAGCCTCCCTGTGTTCTTGGAGACCAGGAGCAGGCAGGAGCCCTGCTCTCCTGGGTGCAACTGCAGCCACCCAAGTCCTTGCTACAGACCGTGTTCTTGGAGGCTGGGAGCAGGCAGGAGTGCCAAAGCAGGCAGGAGTGCTGGAGCAGGCATGAGCCCTTCCTGCATCCCCCACCTCCTTTGTGCAGCTGTAGCCACCCAGGTTGTGGCTGCGGACCAACCTGGATATCTCTGCACTCTAGGGGCCTGGGAAGGCACCCCCACCTCAGCAGGCTTGGAGGTATCTGCTTCTGCTGCCTGGCCTCTCCCTGCTCCTGGTGACTGCTCTGATCTAGGAGCAAGGTTGGGGCCGAGCCAGGGTGCTGTTGCAGCCCAGCCAGTTGTGCGCATACTTGAGGCAGTGCTGACAGGCCATTCCTCTGCTGCTTCAGCCCCCTCCAGACTTTGGGTGCTGACAAACATAGAAGGGAGGCTGAGGGAAGGCTGAAGGCAGTTCAGCATTTGCCTGCAGGTGCTTGTCCCCACGAACAGCCTGGGCACCATAGAAAGCAGTAGGAGGCGACATGCTCTGAGGCAGAAAGGGGCGGGTCCCCAGAAGGCCTGAAGCCTAATGGCCAGGCCACCAGTCCCCCTGACTGGAGGGGGAACTGGTGGTGCTTTTTCTTGGACCTGCCCATGGCCACCAATGGACCAATCAGCATGCACTTCTTCCTCTCTGAGGCCCATAAAATTCCCTGGACTCAGCCAGACTGGGGGAGAAGACCTGCCAGCAGAGAGGAGCTACCTACTCCAGGGCCTCTTTTCTGCTGAGAGCTGCAGAGACAACAGGAGGACCAACCTGCAGAGAGGAGCTACCCACTTCAGGGCCTCCTCTTTGCTGACAGCTGCAGCGATGATGGGACAAGCTGCCTGCAGAGAGGAGCTACCCACTCCAGGGTCTCCTCTGAGCTATTCTGTTGCTCAGTAAAGCTCCTCCTTCTCAGTAAAGCTCCTCTTCACTTTGCTCAGCCTCCACTTGTCTACATACCTCATTCTATCTGGATGCAGGACAAGAACTTGAGACCTGCTGAATGGTGGGGCTGAAAGAGCTGTAACACAAACAGAGCTGAAACATGCCCCTTGCTCACCACATTGCAGGCAAAGAGGAGAGAAGAGCTGTGGCCCTTCAGGAAGCCCAGACCAGGAAGCTCCCTGAGCCAGGATTGTGACTCCCGTTGGGGCCCTGCATTTCCTGGAGTCTCCAAGCTTCTGGGCACCACTGTGGTGTACTTAGTCCAGTCACAGCCTTGCAGTGAGCCAGGGCCCGTACTGGCACCTGGAGCTGCCCACCCTGCTGCAGCAGCCAGCGTGCCTGACTGTGTGCAGTGGCCAGACCCCACACTCTTTCGCTCACACATCCCTTGCTACTTCACGCCTGGCTCACCCTTGGCAGGGGCGAGATACAGGCTGGTAGCATTAGCCAAGCACAGCCTGCCAGGCTGAGTGGGCAGAACGATCCCAGTGGGCCCAAGCAAAACTCAGGCAAAGGCACCACTGGCCACAGAGGTTTCTGACTAGAAAAGCAACACCCCAAGTATCCTGTGACACAGTGGCATGATCTCATCTCATTGCAACCTCCACCTCCTGGGTTCAAGCTATTCTTGTGCCTCAGCTTCTGGTGTAGCTGGGGCTACAGGTGCGTGCCACCACATCTATCTAATTTTTGTATTTTTTTTTTTTTAGTAGAGACGGGGTCTCACCATGTTGACCAGGCTGGTCTCAAACTCCTGACTTCAGGTGATCCGCCTGCCTCAGCCTTCCAAAGTGCTGGGATTTCAGGTGTGGCCTACCATGCCCAGCCTGTTATGCCTCTTGATTGACTCCTTTTTCATAATGAAATGACCTTCTTTATCCCTGATATATCAGTCAGTGTTCAACCAGAGACACAAAACAAGTAATTGAATATATGTATATGTACATATGGATTTGTTAAAGAGAATTGGCTTACACAATTATGAGAGCTAGTTAGGCACTCTTATAATGCTGTTGTGTCTGATGCTAGAATTTGATGTTGGCAGAGTAGTCAGAAAGGAAGATGGAAGTAAAGTGGGAGAAGTCAAGGTCAGGCTGGAAGTCACAAGTACAAACTTGAACCTCATGAAAATGGACTGAAATCCATGTTAGTTCTTGTTGCCTTTGACCTTGGTGGTGAGGGTATCCTTCAGAAGCTGGGGCTGTTTGTCATAAACACACATACATAGGCCAGGAGTTGGAGAAGCTGAAGGAGGATCTAGAGGATGGTAGAGTAGTTGCAGGCCAAGCTGCTACAAAATGAGTCAACAAAGTGAGTCACCAGTCAGCAACAACATATGTGAACTACAAATGGCTACTATTTCCTTTCCACATTACACATCTCCCAAAAATTGCCTTTTTGGCCCGCCCAAACTGTAAACATAAAATAAATAATTCTAGGAAAACTGGTGCACTTTAAGCAAGATGACACATTATAAAAGCATCATGGTCTGCCCCTTGTCAACTTAGTACCATACATGTTTCTTTAAGCCATACTTTAATTCTCCAAATTATGATAACAATGAAGTTGTGCTTTCACCTTACATAACACTACTATCACATAACTATTAACATGCTAACCATTTCCCAAAAGAGGAAAATAGTCTTTTTGTTGGTCCATGAATGGCATTCATTCTGCTCCCAGATGATAACCCTCCTTCTTTCATATCCTATAACTTAAATACTGACATATAAAGTTAACTATTAACACATATTGTGTTAGATGATAAGATGAGAGAAGGAAGAAACATAAATTTTCAAGTAGTTTCCAAAAGAAGCTGGGTGTATATCATTGCCCACCAGAATGTTCTTCTTGAATTCAACTAGACTTTTAGACCTTCAAGACTACTGCAGATCACCCTTGGCATCAGATTAACTTAGAAGGATAGGACAGAAGCCACAGCTGACCAGTAGGCAGCACCTACCCCTCTTCGGTGGTAGTGGTACTCACAGTATTTTACACAAGCATGCAGGGTTTTTTTTTTTTTTTGGCCTTCCCATTCCAAGTTGACAGCTCAGATGCAAGGAGATGAGACTTACATTGGGAACCTGTGGGATGCATCTGGATTAGAAACTTCCACAGGAGCTAATATGTCTTATAGCAACTCCATGGACATAGCTTCTAGAATTTCTGTAAGAGACATGCCAATTACAAGAGTCACTATACTCAGGGAGGCCCAAAGTTATAGTATCCATTAGCATAGTCAATATTTATAGTTCATTTATAATTCTTTTGGTAATCAGGAAACATTTTTACCATAAACAATATTGTTGGGTAACATAATTGACCTATTAATAAGTTTTCAATAAAACAGAATGAGAAAATTAACCAAAGGTTAATTCTCATGTACAAAGGTAAAGTGTTTTGTTAACCTTTTACCCAAAAGTGATGATATGAATGTAGATTTTTTTGGGTGTTTGACCAAGGAAGCCAAACCATTCTTTCAGATTATGTTAGATTTGTAGCTTTGTGGAGTGTTGCCAGAGATGTTGCTTTCTGTGTGTGAGTTTGATGAGCTAACCTGGAGTTTGTTTGTTGGACTGGCCAAAACAAATCTGAGCCAACTATGGTCCATATCAGCTGACACTGAAGAAGTTCCTCTCAATGAAGTAAATGGAATTGAAGGGTTTCCAGAGAGATTAGCAGTGATAATACAGGCATGGGAAGTGATATAAAATTCTCAAGAATGAAACTGATAGGCCACCACCAATATTCTACCTGAATTCTATTTCTCATTTCACTTGGGGGAAACTAGGTCAAACTAACATGTGTACTAATATATGTCTAACTTAGGCATACGCTCTAGAGCAGTGATTCTCAATCTTTTTGAGATAGTAAATTTATTTGAGAAAAGGATGAAAACTGCAGACTTCTTCCTCAGATAAATGAACATAAAGACCTACATGTGGACTTTTGCTTATCATGTATTGTATTGGAAATTAATTTTCTTTGATACTTAGACTGTGTAAACAATTTTCACAAGGAAGGGATTTCAATTTAAAAATCAATTTCCAGTTCTGGGGAAAAAAAGGAAATAAATCAAAATTGTGAAGCCACATTAAAAATTAACTTGCCTTTTGCTCATATTAACAAGTAGGCTGCTGCTCAAATAAATATTAACAAGTATTAACATGTTTGTTGTGAATAAGATCTTTAAATTATGGGTAATAAGACATCTTTGACATGTCAGTGTGCATGTCCAGTTGACACTGACTTCCTAAAACTCAGAACCAGTGCTGAAAACTCTGATTCAGAAAAGAAAATAATGGCCAGTGTAATCACAGTTCCCAAGGTTCACTTTGACAGAAGTGACTGGCCTTGTATCAAGAAATACTATAATTCCCCAAGATCTTTAAAGTTGAGTTCAGGTCAGATAATTCCCTTTGTTTTTTATCAGTAAGGTCATTGGCATCACCTTGAAAAATCTTTATCTGTTAAATAACTGAAAGCCAAGTCATGGTGTTTTGTGTGTGTGTGTGTATGTGTGTGTTTTCTTTCTTTTTTTTCAGTAAGTGTTGCTTGCCTTCTATGTCTCTCTCTCTGCCTCTCTCTCTCTTTTTATAAATGGTGGTTGCCTTCTCTGTCTCTCTCCTCTCTATTTTTTTTTTTTTTTTGAGACAAAGTATCACTGTGTCACCCAGGCCGGAGTGCAGTGGTGTGATCACAGCTCACTGCAGCCTCAACCTCCTGGGCTTAAGTGATCCTCCCACCTCAACCTTCTAAGTGGCTGGGAATATAGGCGCATGCCACCATGACTGGCTAATTTTTCTATTTTTTTGTAGAGTCAGGGTTTACTATGTTGCCCAGGCTGGTCTTGAACTCCTGGGCTCAATCAGTCTACCCACCTCAGTCTCCCAAACTGCTGGGATTACAGGCATGAGCCACTGCTTCTGGCCCACAGTGGTTTAAATAAATCTTGGTTTATGTTAATCACATTGTTGTGGATTGAATTGTATCCCCCCAAAAGATAGGTTCAAGCCCTAACCTCCATTACCTGTGAATGTAACTTTACTTGAAAATAGGGTCTGTGTAGGCTGAATGTTATGTCCCCCCAAAATTCATATATTAAATTGTAACTCCTCATGTGATAGTATTTGGACATGGGCCTATGGGAGGTAATTAGGTTATAAGGGCAGAGCCTTTATGAGTGGGATTAAGTGTCTTTATAAAATAGGACTTGGAGTGCTCCAAGGCTTTCTGCCGTATGAGGACACAGTGAGAAGATGGCTTCTATGAACCAGGAAGCAGACCCTCTCCAGACACCAAATCTTTCAGTGCCTTGATCTTGTACTTTCCAGCCTCCAGTACTATGAGAAATAAATTTCTGTTGTTTATAAGCTACCCAGGCTATGCTATTTTTTGTTATAGCAGCCTGAATGGCCTAAGACAGGGCCCTTGCAGATATAATCAAGTTAAGGTCATAAAGGATTAGAGTGGGCCTTAATCCAATGCCTGGTGTTCTTATGAGATAGGCAAATTCAGACACAGAGGAGACAGAGGAGAATGCATGTGATGATGGAGGCAGAGATTGGAGTAATGCATCCAAAAGGCAAAGAATGCAAATGATTGCCAGCAACCTGAAGCTAAGACAGTGGGATGGAACAGACACTTCCCTAGAGCTTTCAGAGAGAGTATGGCCCTGCTGGCACCTTGATCTTGTACTTCTAACCTCCAGACTATGAGAGAATACATTTCTATTATGCCATCTTGTTTGTGGTACCAGAAGTGGGGTGCTATGTACAAATATCTAAAAATATAGATGTGGCTTTGGAATTGAGTAAGTGATTGAGCTGGAAGAGTTTTGAAATTCTTAATAGAAAAAGCCTTGAAGAGACTGTAGAAATAGGAGGATTAAAGGTGATTCTGGTAAGGGCTCAGAAGGAAGTAAAGAGGACAGTAGAGAAAGTTACATTTTAGGGAATACATACATTGCTATGAAGAGAATGCTGCTAGAAATAATGAACATTAAAGATACTTCTGGTGAGATCTCAGATGAAAGGAGGAACATGTATTAGAAACTAGAGAACAAGCAATCCTTGTTAGAAGTGGCAGAAACTTGGCTGAATCATGCTGTGCTATTGGGTGGAAAGTAGAACTTGTAACTAATGAACCTGAGTATTTAGCTGAGGATATTTCCAAGCAAGGAGTAGAAGGTGTAGCTTGTTTTTTCCTTCCTTCTTATGGTAAAATATGAGAGGAAAGAGATACACTGAGGAGGAAACTGTTAAGCAAAAATCATTTGATGATTTGGAAATTTCTCAGCCTATCTCAGATAGCATGCTCTGGAGACAGCACTGGGACAAACGTTTTGGTGAAGCGATTAGGTGTGTGATTTATGGATCCAATTAACTATTTCAGCAGAATCCAGGATAGAAATTGGGTTATCCAGGAAGGATCCATAGAGAATCCTTGTGCCTAATTGTATGGATTCTCTTAAAATCTATGGAAAACTGACAAGGATTTTGACAATGCTATCACCAGAAACACTGCTAATTTTGAAGAGGACAGAGACAGGATGAAAAGAAGAAAAGCTGTCCAACTTCTGGTATTACAAAAGCAGGAAACGAGGTACCCAGAGGGTGGGGACACTACCAAGGGCAGAGATGGCAGGGCCACCTCAGCTGAGGGTGGCTCAGGGACCAGTGAAGCCTCTTAGAGTCTAGAAGATAGGACCAGTTGGGTATCTATAGACCAAGAGGTTGGGGACAGTGAGGATTCCACTGACCCAGAGGGCATATTGAGTCAGCATAATTTGAGAACTCCACAAATATTTGGAAATTAAATAACATAATATAAATAACCATGATCCAAAGAAGAAATCATAAGAGAAATTAGAAAATTCTTTAAACTGAATAAAAGTGAAGTACAACATAAAATATTTTATGGGATGCTGCAAAAGTAATGGTTAGAGGAAATATTATAGCTTTAATATGTCTATTTTAGAAAAAAAATTATCTAAACCTAAGCTTCCACCTTAAGAAACTAAAAATGAGAGCAAACTTAAAAACAACAGCAACAGAACAGCAGAAGGAAGGAAGTACAGTCATCTTTTGCTTGATGCTAGGGATACATTCTGATAAATGCATCATCAGGTGCTTTTGTCTTTGTGTGAACATCATAGAGTATACATCCACAAACCTAGATGGTATAGCCTACTGTATTAGTCTGTTCTCATGCTGCCAATAAAGACATACCTGAGACTGGGTAATATATAAAGGAAAGATGTTTAATTGGCTCACAGTTCAGCATGACTGGGGAGGCTTCGGGAAACTTACAATCATGGCAGAAGGGGAAGCAAACATATCCTTCTTCACATGGTGGTAAGAAGAAGTGCCAAGCAAAAGGGGAAAAGCCCCTTATAAAACCATCAAATCTCATGAGAACTCACTGTCATAAGAACAGCATGGAGGTAGCTGTCCCCATGATTCAATTACCTCCCACTGGGTCCCTCTCATGACACATGGGGATTATGGGACCTACAATTCAAGATGAGATTTGGGTGGGGACGCAGCCAAATCATATCATTTTGCCCCTGGCCCCTCCCAAATCTCATGTCCTCACATTTCAAAACATGATCATGCCTTTCCAACAGTCCCCCAAAGTCTTAGCTCATTCCAGCATTAACCCAAAAGTCCAAATCCAAAGTCTGAGACAAGGCAAATCCCTTCTGCCTATGAGCCTGTAAAATCAAAAGTAAGTTAGTTACTTCCTGGATATGATGGGGATACAGGCACTGGGTAAATACACCTATTCCAAATGGGAGAAATTGGCCAAAACAAAGGGGGTACAGGCCCCATGCAAGTCTGAAATCCATTGGAGCAGTCAAATCTTAAAGCTCTGAAATGATCTCCTTTGACTTCATGTCTCACATCCAGGGCACACTGATGTAAGAGGTGGGCTTGCATAGCCTTGGGCAGCTCTGCCCCTGTGGCTTTGCAGGGTACAGCACCCCTCCTGGCTGCTTTCACAGGCTGGCATTGAGTGTCTGTGGCTTTTCCAGGTGCATGGTGCAAGCTTTCAGTGGATCTAACATTCTGGGGTCTGGAGGACAGAGGTCCTCTTCTCACAGCTCCACTAGGCAGTTCCCTGTTGGGGACTCTGTGTGGGGACTCCATCCCCACATTTCCCTTCCATACTGCTCTAGCAGAGATTCTCCATGAGGACTCTGCCCCTGCAGCAAACTTTTGCTTTGACAGCCAGGCATTTCATATATCCTCTGAAATCTAGGCAGAGGTTCCCAAACCTCAATTCTTAACTTCTGTGTGTCCACAGGCTCAACACCATGTGGAAGCTGCCAAGGCTTGGGGCTTGCACTCTCTAAACCCACAGCCCGAGCTTTACGTTGGCCCCTTTCAGCCATGGCTGGAGCGGCTAGGATGCAGGGCAACAAGTCCCTAGGCTGCACACAGCAGGGGAGCCCTAGGCCCCACCCACAAAACCATTTTTTCCTCCTAAGCCCCAAGCCCTGTGATGGGAGGGGCTGCTGTGAAGGTCTCTGACATGCCCTGCAGACAGAAAACTGACTAAAGAAGAAATAGAAAATGTGAATAGATGTATAATAAAGAGATTGAGTTAGTAATTTAAAAAAAAAAAAGGCACACAAAGAAAAGCCCAGGCCCCAAGGGCTTCACTGGTGAATTCTACCAAACATTTAAAGAAGAATTAATACCAGTTCTTCACAAACTCTTCCCCTCCCCAAAACAAGAAGAAGGAATATCTTCCATCTCATTTCATGAGGCTAATATTACTTTGATATCCAAATCAGTCAAATACATCACAAGAAACATAAACTACAGACCAGTATGTCTTATTCTCAACAAAATACTAGTAAACTGAATTCAGTAACATATAAAAAAGGATTTTCTACTACGACCAAGTGGAATTTATCCCAGGAATCCATCTGAGCATCAGTTTAAAAATCAACCAAATCCATATCAACAGAATAAAGGACAAAATATGCAGAAAAAGCATTTGACAAAATCCAACACCTCTTCATAAAAAACAAACGTTGAAGAGAACCAGTATGAGAAAAAAATGGGATATCTGGAAATGGAGAATGTCATTACAGACCAACTTCAATAAGTCAGTTATGAATAAAAGAAAATAAGAAATAGGGTAATAGTGGAGTTTAGGGATGGTTTATTTGCTTGGTTGGTGGCTTGATAATTTTTAAGATAGGAAAGATATGTAATGTGTAAAAGATAGCAGGAAGAATCCAGGAGAGAGAGAGTAGATAACACAGGAAGAGAATGAACTGTTGATGGCATATGATTGATGGGGAAGGAGATGGGATCCAAGATACAAGTGGAAGAATAGGTCTTTAGATATGAGTGGCCCTTCTCCTATGCTAAGATGATAGGAGAGAATGGGTGCAAGCTCAGGTAAGTTAGTGGGAAACTGAGGACATTCCAATTCATTGGGAAGAAGGAGGTTATATCATCATTTAAGAATGAGGGGTGAGGAGAATAATGCTTGAGAAAATGGCTTGAAATAAACTTCGTGCAAAGGTGAGCTTACTAGAAAAACATAAGATTGATAAGCAATACTGAGTGACCTGTAGTGTTCATGTATTCTTAATCATTCTTATGATGCTAACTTTATAGATGGATGGAATAGCCTATAGCCATCTCCATCATAACACTATATGTGGGATCAAAGATGAATAATGTAGTTGAATGAGCTGGCATGAAAACCAGCATAGATAAGAAGGACAATTCAGTAAGTGATTAATGGATAATTAGTTATTCATCTAGAAATACTTATTGTAGATCTCTGCCTCATAACTGCACACAAAGCAAATAGCAAGTATATTAAATACATGGGAGAAAAGCAAACTTTTTGTAAAATTTGTAGAAGAAAATATGTGAAAGTATATTTATGACTTCAGAGTAGGGAAGGAAATCTTTAAAAAAGACAGTAAAGCCCAATATATATAAAAAGGAAATTTCAATTGGACTACATTAAAATTAAAAACTTATTATTCTTCAAAAGATACTATCTTTTAGGGGAAAATTAAAGTCACAGAACTCAGCTTCCATTATTGGTACAGTGAGTAATGTGGATCACACTTCCCTTAAGGACAACCAGTAAATCCATATAAAAATATGAAATCAGCTGGAAGGCATTAGAACTGTCAAGGTAGTACAGAATACTAGAACAAGATCCAAGAAATGATCTAAGTCCAGTGAGGTGAACCAAAGCATCTAGTGGGCTTTCACTTTCAGATTATTTGCTTATCTGGAAGAGGCAGCTGAGGGTACTGAATGGCATTTTTGATAGCCTCATAGGACTAGAGAGAAGAAAGTTGGAATCAGAGACTAAGGGTTGGGACCTTGGTACTTTGAATTATACCCAAAATCAACTACATTCTAGGAATAAAGGTGAACTTGTAGTAAACCAGCCCTTCCACAGACTGTAGCCCAACTGCAAGTCATCTGGTTGACCCAGAAAAATCTCAATACCTAAAACTGGTTTGTGATGACCAACAATTATTGGAGCTCCCAGATAGCTGGCAGAAGCAAACAATGATTCTCTCTAGAAGAGGAGTACCTTCGGCCGGGCACGGTGGCTCATGCCTATAATCCCAGCACTTTGGGAGGCTGAGGCGGGCAGATCACGAGGTCAGGAGATCGAGACCATCCTGGCTAACACGGTGAGACCCTGTCTCTACCCAAAACAAAAAACAAGCAAAAAAAAGCCCCCAAAAATTAGCTGGGCATGGTGGCGGGCGCCCGTAGTCCCAGCTACTTGGGAGGCTGAGGCAGGAGAATGGTGTGAACCCAGGAGACGGAGCTTGCAGTGAGCCGAGATCGCACCACTGCACTCCAGCCTGAGCAACAGCAAGACTCCGTCTCAAAAAATAAAGAAGAGGAGTACCTTCAAATTATTTCCCCATCAACTTTTCATGAAAATTCCTGATAAAAGATAACCAGGCAACCGAGCTAAGAACAACCAGCAGAAACAATTGACGATAGAAGTAGAATCACTGGAGTTTCTTATGTTAGGATAATTAGATTTGGATAAAATACTGTTTTTTATTCAGGGACGTAAAAGACAAGATTGAAAAGAATTTGATGGAAAACCAGAAGCTATTTTTAGAATGACTTATTAGACTCTAATTCCTGATTTAATTAAGCTACAATTATCAAAACAGTGTGGTACTGGCATAAGAATAGACATACAGGCCAATGAAATAGAGCACTCAGAAGTAAACCCTCACACGTGGTCAACTGATTTTTAACAAGGTTGCTAAGACCATTCAATGGTGGAAATGGTGGTCTTTTCATGAAATGATACTGGGAAAACCGGATACATACAATGGAATGAAGTTGGACTCTTGCCTTACACCATATACAAAAATTAAAAATGGATTAAAGGTACTGTTATAATGATAGTAGCATTATTCAAAACAGCCAAAAGGGCGAAGCCACCCAAGTGTCCGTTAACAGATGAATGGATAAATAAAATGTGGTGTATACATGTAATAGAATATTATTCAGCCCTAAAAAGAAAGGAAAATCTGACATATACTACAACATGGATAAACCTGGAGACATTATGTTAAGTAAAATAAGCCAGTCACAAAAAGGCAAATATTGTACGATCCCACTTATTTGAGGTACTTAAGGGTAGTCAAATTTATAGAGACAGAAAGTAGAATGGTGGTTGCCAGGGGCTCAGGGGAGGGAGAAATGGGGAATCACTGTTTAATTGGTATGGAGTTTCAGTTTGGGAAGATAAAAAAGTTCTGGAGATGGATGTTTGTGAAGGTTGTACAACACTGTGAATGCACTTAATGCCACTGAAGTTGATACGGTTTGGCTCTGTGTCCCCACCCAGATCTCATCTTGAATTGTACTCCCATAATTCCCATGTGTTGTGGGAGGGAATGGGAGATAATTAAATCATGGGGGTGGTTTCCCTCATACTGTTCTCGTGGAAGTGAATAAGTCTCATGAGATCTGATGGTTTGATAAGGGGAAACCCATTTTGCTTGGCTCTCATTCTCCCTTGTGCTGTTGTCATGTGAGACATGCCTTTCACCTTCCACCATGTTTGTGAGACCTCCCCAGCTACGTGTAACTGTAAGTCCAGTTAAATCTCTTTCTTTGGTAAATTGCCCAGTTTTGGGCACGTCTTTATCAGCAGCGTGAAAACGGACTAATACAGAAATGTACACTTAAAAATGGTTAAAATGGTAAATTTAATGGCATGTGTGTTTTACCATAAAAATCTTTCTAAAATGGGCCGGGCACGGAGGCTCATGCCTGTAATCCCAGCACTTTGGGATGCTGAGGCAGGCAGATCATTTGAGGTCAGGAGTTTGAGAACAGCCTGGCCAACCAATATGGTGAAACCCCGTGTCTACTAAAAATACAAAAATTAACTGGGTGTGGTAACACACACCTGTAATCCCAGCTAGGATGAGGCAGGAGAATCGCTTGAAGCTGGGAGGCTGAGGTTGCAGTGAGCCGAGATTGTGCCACTGCACTGCAGCCTGGTCCACAGAGCGAGACTCCATCTAAAAAAAAAAAAAAAACTTTCTAAAATGATGGATATGGGCCGGGCACGGTGGCTCACACCTGTAATCCCAGCACTTTGGGAGGCCAAGGCAGGTGGATCATTTGAGGTCAGGAGTTCGAGACCAGCCTGGCTAACATGGTGAAAGCTTGTCTCTACTAAAAATACAAAAAATTAGCCAGGTGGTAGTGAGAGGTGACAACGGGCTAGCAGCCCTCGCTCGCTCTCAGCACCTCCTTGGCCTCAGCGTCTGCTCTTGCCATGCTTGAGGGGCCCTTCAGCCAGCCGCTGCACTGTGGAAGCCCCTCTCTGGGCTGGCCGAGGGGGAGCTGGCTCCCTCTGCTTGCGGGGAGCTGTGGAGAGAGAGGCGTGGGCGGGAACCGTGCCAGCGCGAGTTCCGGGTGGGCGCGGGCTCGGCGGGCCCCGCACTTGGAGCGGCCGGCCAGCGCCGCCGGCCCCAGGCAGTAAGGGGCTTAGCACCCGGGCCAGCAGCTGCGGAGGGGGCGCGGGGTCCCACAGAACTGCCTGCGCCACAATCAAATTCTTGCTGGGCCTTAGCCGCCTCCCCATGGGGCAGGGCTTAGGACCTGCAGCCCGCCATGCCCAAGCGCCCCCCCTCCCCGCAATGGGCTCCCACGCAGCTGGAGCCTCCCCGGCGGGTGCCGCCCCCTGCTCCGTGGTGCCCGGTCCGATCGACTGCCCAAGGGCTGAGGAGTGCAGGCACGCGGTGCAGGACTGGCAGGCAGCTACGCCCACGGCCCTGGCACGGGTTCCACTAGGCAAAGCCAGCTGGGCTCCTGAGTCAGGTGGGGACTTGGAGAACTTTTATGTCTAGCCAGAGAGTTGTATATGCACCAATCAGCACTCTGTGTCTAGTTCAAGGTTTGTAAACACACCAATCAGCACTCTGTGTCTAGCTTAAGGTTTGTAAATGTACCAATCAGTGCTCTTTGTCTAGCTAATCTAGTGTGGACTTGGAGAACTTTTAAGTCTAGCTAGAGGATTGTAAATACACCAATCAGCACTCTGTGTCTAGCTCAGGGATTGTAAACGCACCAATCAGCACCCTGTCAAAATTGACCAATCAGCACTCTATAAAACGGACCAATCAGCTCTCTGTAAAATGGACCAATCAGTAGGATGTGGGTGGGGCCAGATAAGGGAATAAAAGCCGGCTGCCCCAGCAAGCAGCAGGAACCTGGTGGGGTCCTTTTCCACAGTGCGGAGGGTTTTTTTGCTTTTTGCAATAAATCTTGCTGCTGTTCACTCTTTGGGTCTGCACTGCCTTTATGAGCTGTAACACTCACTGTGAAGGTCTGCAGTTTCACTCCTGAGGCTAGCAAGACCACAAACCTACTGGGAGGAATGAACAACTCCGGACGGGAGGAAGGAACAAACTCCAGATGCACCACCTTAAGAGTTGTTAACACTCACTGCAAAGTTCTGCAGCTTCACTCCTGAAGCCAGCAAGACCACGAACCCATCAGAAGAAAGAAACTCTGAACATGTCCGAACATTAGAAGGAACAAACTCAGGACACACCATCTTTAAGAACTGTTAACACTCACTGCGAGGGTCCGCGGCTTTATTCTTGAAGTCAGTGAGATCAAGAACCCACCAATTCTGGACACAGTAGTGGCCTGTGCCTGTAATCCCAGCTACTTGCGAGACTGAGACAGGAGAATTGCTTGAGCCGCGGAGGGGGAGGTTGCAGTGAGCTGAGATGGTGCCACTCCACTCCAGTCTAGGCAAGAGAGTGAGACCCTGTCTCAAAAAATAAATAAAATAATGGATGTGAACTTGAACCAAAGAGAAATTCTGAATTAAAAAATCCAATGACAGAAATTGAGAACTCAAGGAATATGTTTAAAAGTACATTATCACTAAAGAAAGAATTAGTGATTGGAAAATAGGTGGTAAAATATGCAAATGAGAAACAAAAATTAAAAAGAGCAGATAAGAGATACAGAGGATATGGCGTGTAAGTCTAACAGGTTATTGAAACCCCACAGCAAAGAAAGGCAGACAAGGTATTTGTTCCCTCGTTCCCCTATTTCTGCCTTCTTTTTATTAAGATATTTTAAAATTCAATTTATCTATTATTGCAAAGATAGTACAGAGAGATCCCATATACTTTCGCATTCATTTCTTTTTATTAACATCTTTCACTGATGTGACATATTTGTCAAAATTAGTTGACCAAAATTGATACTTCATTATCTAAAATCCATGCATTATTCAGGTGTTAATACATTTTTTAAAAGAAAATAAATAAATGATAGAGAAGTGTTTATTATTGATGAAGTTGCTAATTTTCTTAGGTATATATCACTCTCCCCTCCCCACCCCACAGTGTTAGCAGATACTGGTATTCATCTGTTCATTAAAAATGGGGAAATTGGGTACTTACATTAAAAAGTGTGTTGCTAGATCCTTTAAGGGAATGAACAAATTGAGTATGTTCTGTGTATAAACCTTATGGACTTTTTACATAGAAGACAACTTTACAGTCTTTTTTTTTTTTTTTGGCCACTCATTATTTTATGTGCTTCATTAGAAATGTGCTATGTTTACTTTGTTCATTTCACTCATTGGGTTCTTTTTAACAAGTACAGGCTAGCTTCACTGTCTAGTATGGAACCACTAATCCCATGTAGCAATTTAAATGTAAATTAATTAAAATTCAATGAAATGAAAATTTTACTTGCTCAGTTCCTATCAGCCATATATCAAGTGAGCAAATATATGTAAACCTACTCCCAGAGGTTGAGAGAGCTGAGCTGACAAATGCAGTTTCTCAGAAGGAAACATTTGGTAGGGATAAAAGGACTTAAGATGGTGGATCCCCATACCTGCCCTGCAGATATTATTCTTTCTATTGCAAGCTTTTTTTTTTTTTTTGGTAAAACGTGCAGCTTGTCATGTCTGAGACCCTCTTGCAAAACTCTGACCAGTGGGAAAATTAGATAAGGATCTTTATGAGGGGTTTTCTATGCTACAGGTATTGTTTCTTTATGAGGGGTTATCTATGTTATAGGCATTGTTTCTTCACCTTGCTGGGGGAATGCCTTGGTATGCAAGAGTCAAACACTGGTTATTATGATGTTTCACTTCAAGATAGCATTACTCTTGCCATGCAACAGGCAGCTTTCCTACACATAGCCATAAATGGCTAATGGCTTCCATATTGGATAGTAGATACAGAACATCACTTGAAGTCGTCTCTTCCAGTCATTGGCCGTTGTAACATTCTTCAAAGTCTGGCTCAACTGTAACATCTTCTGATTAACACCTTTGTGGTCAGAGTCATCTGACATAAACATCTTCAACTTCTCCCTTTTCTCTTGCACTCACCCTCCACTTTCCTCCTATTCAGGAACAAATCACTTCCTTCTTTTCTGAGACAAACTACTTCACCAGCCCATCTGGTCTCATTTCCTCCCCATCAGCTGTATCTCTTTTCTTCCATCTTCAATTTCTTGTGCCTACTAAACTTTACCTTTTCTTTTCTACAAATTAGCTTTCCACTACCCTTGAAAATAAGAATACTTTAAATCCGGTTGCTTAGTTCAACCAATATTCTTTTTCTTTTCTTGCAGTATCACAATTCTCAAAAGAGATTATTGTCTATTTTTAGTCTTACCAACTCTTCTGAACCACTCGAAAGGACAGTCCACAGGTAACATCTCTCTCTCTTGCCCTCCTCTGTCATTCCCCCAAATTCCACCATCAGCTTAGTTCTCACCCTCTTTCGGCTCTCTGCAGCAAAGCAACAGTGTTCCGTCTCCTGAAACACTGTTGTTTTTATGATGTTTGAACCATCTGGGCGCTCCCTAAGTAGCTCCTCTTCTCGAACTCCTTTTCTTCCCCATTCCAAAACGTTGGTATTTCACAATCCCGTTTATTTTCCAAAAGACCTCCCTTGGCGATGTCATCCCTTGCCCTATTTTCAATCATACTTTCACAGATTATTACATTTTGCTAAATTCATGGGTCACCTGTATTCTTTCATCTCTTTTGTCCTTTAATCCACTCTATACGGTACAGACACCGCCCTGAACACTGTTCCAGCCATGTTATATGTGAATACCCTGCACTGATGATTCAATGCATTTCTAACACCTGAGCCTGGTATTTGACACTCTCCACAACCTAACTCACTCTAACCAACCCCTTGGCCTAGTTTCTGGCCAGCTAAGATGCCGGGCCAATTCCGAGCGTGCCCTGAACCCCGCCCCGCTGTGCCCTGGCTCCTGTCGCTTCCTACGCGGGAAACCCGTGGCGCTCCTCCTCCTGCTGTGTCAGCATCCAGCACGCGGCCACGGGCAGCTCGAGGGCAGAGTCCACCAGGAAATCTTTACAGCTTCTCCTGCCCCCCATCCCGACCCCTCCGCAGCACCTGGCGTCCTCGGCATTCGTGGGCAGGACCCGTCCCCGCCCCAGCCCTTCCGCAGCTCCTAGGACTGTCGTCTTCGCAGTCAGCACGTCCGCGGTGAGCGTGGTCAGCTCCTCTTCCTCTCAAAATGTAGAGATCATGGGTTCTCGGTTTTTATTTTCTCGATGGTATACCAGCCCGCGACATAACGAGGAAAAATATGTTTGAATATATACGTATATTTTTATGTATTAAAATATATAGAATATATAATTATATTTAATATGTATCTTATGCTCCCCACCCTTTCAGCAGCGCGTCAACCGCTTGTACTCTGCGATGCCCCCGCCAGGTCTGAGCCGGACCCGCGCCCCTCCTGCGAGACACGACCCGCGCCTGCCACAGAGCTGCGGTCCTCCGGGCTCCTAGAGGGGCACTCTCCCACTTCCGGCGCGCGTGCGGCCGGGCATTGTTCTCGCTCCCGGGGGTGGGTTCCCGCCGCCGCCGGTAGAGCGAAGGGTGAGTGGGGCGGTCCAGCAGGGCGGTCCCGGGTGCTTCCCAAACCGCCCCTGTCCCGCATCCGGCCTCCGCGCCGCCTTTCTTCGACCCCTCGGCCACAGGCCGGGGCTCGGCTGTATCTGGGGTCCCGCCCGCCTCTCCGTCGGTCAGTCCCGCCATCCATTTCCACTTGCCCACTCAGCCACCCCGCCTTTTTGGTCAGCTGACTCCTCAGGCGCTTACCCAGCGTGTCTTGTGTCGGGCTGCAGGCTCAGGAGTCTGACACTCGCCAATGGGCTCCTTCCTGCCACTTCTCACGTGGCCAAAGCTCGGTTTTGAGACGGGTCTCAGCCTTCCTCTTGGCTCCCCGAGGAAGCCAAGAGGGGACAGGATCTCACTGTGTTGCCCAGGCTGGTCTCAAACTCCTGGACTCAAGTGATCCTCCTGCCTTTGGCCTCCCAAAATGCTGGGATTACAGGCATGAGCCACTGTGCTTGGTCTCTAGTATTTTACACTAAAAAATTAAGAGAAGGCCCTGCACGGTGGCTCATGCCTGTAATCCCAGCACTTTGGGAGGCCGAGGCGGGAGGATCACGAGGTCAGGAGATCGAGACCATCCTGGCTAACACAGTGAAACCCTGTCTGTACTAAAAATACAAAAAATTAGCCAGGCGCAGTGGCGGGCGCCTGTAGTCCCAGCTACTCGGGAGGCTGAGGCAGGAGAATGGCGTGAACCCGGGAGGCGGAGCTTTCAGTGAGCCGAGATAGCGCCACTGCAGTCTGGCCTGGGCGAAAGAGTGGACTCTGTCTCAAAAAAAAAAAAAAAAAAAAAAAAAAAATTAGGAGAAATATCCCCAGGGTTCTTGTGTTTAGATATGTATGAAAAATCTATTAATACCTGGCAAAGCACGGTTTAGGAGACGCTGCTTCGTAGGCATCTCAGACCTAACTTTCTTAATGAATAGCTCAGCAAATAGCACCATCATCCTCTAGTCACAAGGGCCAACCACAAACTTGAGTCCTTGACCCCTCTCTCTTCCAAGCCCTTATACGGTGTGTCAAGTCCTGTCAAATCTCCCGTCTTTTTGTCTTTTGCCTCCCATAGCTCAGTCTCTCACAGTCTCTCTTCTGAATGGTTGCAACAAACCCCTTCCCATGTCTTCTCCACGCCACTCTCTGGGTGGGCACACAGACCTTCCAGCCATCACTGTGGCCATGGGGATCAATGCAAACTCTGTAGTTCAACCTCTCAGACCTCCTCTCTCACCATTCATTAACTGTGCCCCAGGGTCTGGCACCGGGTTCTTAACCTGGCTGCTCATCAGAAGCTCTTGTGGCACTTACTAAAGCCCTGTCCCATGGAGATTCTGACTCAGGAAGTCTGCCTTGCGGTTCATGTTTCATGGCTGATTTTGAGCCGTAGTCAGAAGTGACAGCCATTAATCTGGTCTCCCCAAACTACCTTCAGTTTCCTCAGTGGGCCACATTCTCTCATACCCATTTTCACTTTGCCTGGGTGACCTTCCTCTCCATCTCACTCAGCTCACTCATATCAGACTCTGCTGAGATGTCTCCTCCAGGCAGCTCTTTCTGGCTCTTCCCATCCCTTTCTCCTTGGTCTTGGTCAGTCATCTTTCCCTTGTGCTACCTTGTCTACTTCGCTCCGTCCTTGGATTTATCACTGTGTTTACGTGTTGCTTTCCCATAATAAACTAAGAGTCCTTTGGTACACATCTTTTAATTCTGAGACTGCTCTTTGGTACGCTATCTAGCACAGAGTAAATGCTGAAGTATTTGTTGAAAGAATCCATTTTTCTTTGTGCTGTTTCAGAACCTTGCGACTTAAAAGTCAAGAATAATTTTTCCTTGTTTCTACATTCACCTTGCCCATTCTCCATGATCCCTTCCTAACATTTTCACCATCATTTCTGATTTAGTATCAGCCAAGATTGTCCTGGGCATCAACCCATTCTGTAATAAAAAGAAATAAAAAGAGCAAGTACTGTAGAGTTGCAGCCTGGGTTCATGTCTCGACTTTGCTATTTACCAGTTTGTAGCCTTGGACAAATTACTTGGCTTTTAAGAACCTTAGTTTCCTCATTTGTAAAATTGAGATGATAATACCTGATGGTGTTATTGTCAAGCTCCAGTAAAATAGTATTTGTAAAGTGCTTGGCCCATAGTAGGTGTTTATTAAGTGTGAGTTCCCTTCTTTTGGGATGCCCCATAGCATAATAGAAAGAGCTAAAGACTTTGGTTGCAGAGCCCAGTTCTGCTGCTCCCTGGCTGTCTTTGGTCAACTTATGACTTAGTAGCCTCGTTAGGAAAATGGGCGTAATTTTTTTTTTTTTTTCTGAGGCGGAGTCTCTGTTGCCCAGGCTGGAGTGCAGTGGCGCCATCTTGGCTCACTGCAAGCTCCCCCTCCCGGGTTCATGCCATTCTCCTGCCTCAGCCTCCCAAGTAGCTGGGACTATAGGCGCCCGCCACCACGCCCGGCTAATTTTTTGTATTTTTAGTAGAGATGGGGTTTCACCATGTTAGCCAGGATGGTCTCGATCTTCTGACCTCGTGATCCTCCCGCCTCGGCCTCCCAAAGTGCTAGGATTACAGGCGTGAGCCACCGTGCCTGGCAAAAATGGGCATAATTTTGATTGTCCTTATAGAGTTGTTAGGAAAAGCATATAAAATTTATGTTAAGTATCAAGCTAGTGATCAATAAAATGGTGGTTATTTCTGAGATGTAATCATATACTATAGTGCTTTTCTTGCTCTCTATAATCTACAAGCACTATTTTATTATCCCTAATGTTGTTCCTAACAGTATTACTAAAGGCCAAATTGATTTCAGCCATACTAACATTTTTCTTTCACATCCTAAAAAAATCCTGAGTCATCTATAAATGTATCATTTATGTGGAAGTGCCCTGTTAGTCAGTTTTCTTTACAATGCTATGCTCCCTGGCAACTGGGCTTCAAAAACCTGTATTTATATTCCAAGTACATTATTTTCCCTGTGTAACATGAGCATTGTCCACCCTCAGGAGCGTCCTGGGGAGTTGGAATTCAGAAGGAATCTCTCAGACGCAAATCTCCATCTCCTCCCTGCCTCACCTGGGCAGCCTTTTCAGACTGTCTCTGCCCAGAATGTCAGGAGAGGCCACAGTCTTGGCCTACCATGCTCCAGAAGAACAGGAAGGACTTCTAGTTGTCAAGGTTGAAGAAGAAAATTATGTTTTGGACCAGGACTTTGGCCTTCAGGAAAACCCCTGGAGCCAAGAGGTATTCCGGCAGAAGTTCAGGCAGTTTAGTTACTCTGACTCCACTGGCCCTCGGGAGGCTCTGAGCCGGCTGCGAGAGCTTTGCTGTCAGTGGTTGAGGCCGGAGGTGCACTCCAAGGAGCAGATCCTGGAGCTGCTGATGTTGGAGCAGTTCCTGGCCATCCTTCCTGAGGAGCTGCAAGCTTGGCTGCGAGAGCATCGGCCAGAGAATGGAGAGGAAGCTGTGACTATGCTGGAGGAGCTGGAAAAAGAACTGGAGGAGCCAAGGCAACAGGTAAGAAGTAAACATTTTTGTTTGTTTGATCTATTGTAAGTTAATGGGGAAGCCATAATTATGACTGGGGCATTGACTCAGCTCTCAGAGAATTATACAGTTTCTTTCTTTTGGGTTATTAATTATTCACTCATTGGGTTCAAGTCACTAGGGCTCTTAAGGTCCTGTTTTTTTTCTCTCTAATCATTTGAATGAGTTTTTGATTCTTCTGTTCCTGCCCTGTTGCTCTAGGAGTTTTCTGCTTGTGTATCCTCAGAATGATAGTGCTGGTACTTGATTACTCCTAGGACACAACTCATGGCCAAGAAATGTTCTGGCAGGAAATGACATCCACAGGAGCACTGAAGTCTCTGTCTCTGAATAGCCCGGTGCAGCCCTTAGAGAACCAGTGCAAGACTGAGACTCAGGAGTCCCAGGCTTTCCAGGAGAGAGGTGAGAAGCCCCAGTCCATGTGGGGTTGAGGATGGAGGTGAGAGCTATCAACTGTGGCACGGTTCATTTTCTTAACGACAGCCACTTGTGGCTATCACTAAGTATTGTGGAAAGGCTTCTTTGCCTAGAAATATTCTTCCTTAGGCTCTGCCTAGAATCTGAAATTCCAGTATCATTTGTAACTTTGGGTTAAGAATTAAAGTCTTTAGTAAAATTCTCTAATACCCATAATTATTTTTTTTCTTTTTCTTTTTTCTTTTTTTTTTTTTTAGATGGGGTCTCACTCTATCACCCAGGTTGGAGTGCAGTGGTGCAACCACAGCTCACTGCAGCAGCCTTGAACCCCTGGGTTAAAGTGATCCTCCTGCCTCAGCCTCCAGAGTAGCTAGGACTACAGTTGTACACCACCATGCCTGGCTAAATATCCATAATATTCAAAGCTCAGTATTCTGTTATTTAATTTTGGCTTCATTGGCAAGACAGTCCCTAAGATGGAGATGAATACATTTTCAGTAATAGAAACCACATAATCATTTGAACAGGGAAAGTTTAATGTTAAGAATTATTAACTACTAAGTGTTATAACAAAAAGTGAAACTCAAAAGAATACAGCAATAACAGATATAGAGTGTCTCTAGGGCTGAGGCAGAACATCAAAGGTAAGAACAAATTTGCAGGAGGGTGCCACAACTTCCCCTTTCCTGCCAGGTCTTAGATCCAGGCCTTGTTGGAGAGGGCACAGCCACAGCCCACTGGATGGAGATGCCACTGCAGTGCTGAGCTGGCAGAACTCACTGAGGAGCCACACTCTGGGGTGCTAGAAGCTCCCCATGGGGAGCTGACCTGGTACAGAACTTGCTGGGAAGCTACCCATAGGGATGGGGCCTTTGGAACTCATTGGGATGTGCACTGCTGGGTGTCCCATGTGCTACAGAAACAAACACAAAGAACATGCCAGAACCAGGAAGAAAAGCCCTTTCTTCCAGTTCCTCTGCAACCCCCTCTATTGATAAAGCTCACAGCATGCCAGCTGGCAAATAGTCCAGTATCACAGACAGGGCAATGAAGCGTAGATTTGAAACTGAGGCAATAAATTGATAGCTGTCACAGATGCCAGGGATTAGAACTGAAAGGACTTTGATTATGTTATTGGCAAAATCATCCTTATGGGCAGCAGATATATCAGGTATACCAGCTTGTTCTCATTAATCTTTTGTTAAATCTGACTACCCTTCTGATTTTGTCTTCACCAAGCAATCTTATTAACTTCCTATGAAGCTTAGCTGTAATAAGAAAATTGCATTTGTTCAGTCTGGTCCATGTGATGGTTACATTACTCATTAATTCTCATTCTGTTTTTATTACTGAGTTTCACGGGCTTAGTTATTAAGAGTCTACCCCAAGAGATAAATCTATTTTTTGTATGATGATAAAATTAGGTATATGAGGACCTAAGCCCAAAGGCCAGACCCTGGACCTCGGCAGTTCACCAAAGGAATCCATACCATCCATCCACTGAATTCTTCTGGGAAACTGCTTCCCAACCTTCCCCAGGCATCATACCCTGATACTACCATTAGCCAAGCAGGCCCTCTTAAGTATCTTCTGCACCAAGCAGGTGCTACATTAAAACGGGTTTTGAAAATTCATCTCAAGGAAATCAAGCTGTCTCTATTTGCAGATAATATGATCCCATGTCTAGAAAACCCTATCGTCTCAGCCCCAAAGCTTCTTAAGCCAAGAAGCAACTACAGCAAAGTCTCAGGATACAAAATTAATGTGCAAAAATCATAAGCATTCCTATATACAGAGATTCCTATATCTCTGTGTCTGTACTGCACACCTGAACAACAATAAGACAACCAGAGAGCCAAACATGATTAACTCCCATTCACAATTGCTACAAAGAGAATAAAATACCTAGGAATACAGCTAACAAGGGAGGTGAAGGGCCTCTTCAAGGAGAACTACAAACCACTGCTCAAGGAAATCAGAGAGGACACAAACAAATGGAGAAACATTCCATGCTTATGGATAGGAAGAATTAATATCATGAAAATGGCCATACTGCCCAAAGTAATTTATAGATTCAGTGTTATTCCCATTAAACTACCATTGACATTCTTCACAGAATTAGAAAAAAATACTTTAAAATTCATATGGTACAAAAAAAAGAGCCCTTATAGCCAAGACAATCCTAAGCAAAAAGAACAAAGCTGGAGGCATCATGCCACCTGCCTTCAATCTGTACTACAAGGCTACTATAACCCAAACAGCATGGTACTGGTACAAAAACAGACACATAGACCAATGGAACAGAATAGAGATCTGAGAAATAAGACTGCACATCTACAACCACTTGATATTTGACAAACCTGACACAAACAAGCAATGGGGAAAGGATTACCTATTTGATAAATGGTGCTGGGAAAACTGGCTAGCCATATGCAGAAAACTGAAACTGGATCCCTCCTTTACACCTTGTACAAAAATAAACTCAACATGGACTAAAGACTTAAATGTAAAACCCAAAACTATAAAATCCCTAGTAAAAAAATCTAGGTAATACCATTCAGGACATAGGCATGGGCAAAGATTTCATGATGAAAATGTCAAAAGCAATTGCAATAGAAGCAAAAATTGACAAATGGGACGTAATTAAAGAGCTTTTGCACAGCAAAAGAACCTATTATAAGAGTGAACAGACAATGTACAGAATGGGAGAAAATTTTTGCAATCTATCCATCTGACAAAGGTCTAATATCCAGGATCTACAAGAAACTTAAACAAATTTACAAGAAAAAAACAACCCCATTAAAAAGTGGGCAAAGGACATGAACAGAGACCTCAAAAGAAGACATTTATGCACCAAAAAATATATAAAAAATAGCTCAACATCACTGATCATTAGAGAAATGCAAATCAAGACCACAATGAGAAACAATCTCATGGCAGTCAGAATGGCGATTATTAAAAAGTCGAGAAACAACAGATGCTGGCAATGCTGTGGAGGAGTAGGAACACTTTTACAGTGTTGGTGGGAATGTAAATTAGTTCAACCATTGTGGAAGACAGTGTGGTGATTCCTCAAAGACCTAGAACCAGAAATACCACTTGACCCAGCAATCCCATTACTGGGTATATACTGAAAGGAATATAAATTATCCTATTATAAAGATATATGCATGCATATGTTCATTGCAGTACTACTCACAATAGCAAAGACATGGATTCAACTCAAATGCCTACCAGTGATAGAGTGGATAAAGAAAATGTGGTATGTATACACCATCGAATACTATACAGCCATAAGCAGGAATGAGTTCATGTCCTTTGCAGGGACATAGATGGAGCCTGAAGCCATTATCCTCAGCAAACTAACACAGGAACAGAAAACCAAACACCACGTGTTCTCACTTATAAGTGGGAGCTGAACAATGAGAACACATAGAAACAGAGAGAGGAACAACACACACTGGGGCCTGTGGGGGTGGGAGAGAAAGCATCAGGATAAATAGCTAATGCATGTGGGGCTTAATACCTAGGTGATGGGTTGATAGGTGCAGCAAACCACCATGGCACACATTTACCTACGTAACAAACCTGCATGTCCTGCACATGCATCCTGGAACTTAAATTAAACTTTTAAAAAAGAAAATTCATCTCATCAGGTCCCCTGCCTTAAATCAGGTAAATGACGAAATCATTTAGGTAGACTATTTTTACTTTCTTTTTTTAAAATCTTAAGGAACAGAGACTGTGGTAAGTGTTTCTTGGGCTTTTCATATTGTTATTTGTTATGGGATGAGTTGTGTCCCTTCAAAATTCATATGTTGAAGCTGTAACCCCCAGCCAGAACCTTAGAGTATGACTGCATTTTTTTAGAGATAGGGCCTTTATAAAGGTTAAAATGGGGTCATTAGGGTTGGCCTTAATCCAAAATAATTGATGTCCTTAAAAGAAGAGGAGATTAGGACACAACACAGACCAAGGGATGATCTTGTGAGGACCTAGCAAGAAAGTGGCCATCTGTGGCCGGGTGCAGTGGCTTATGCCTGTAATGCCAGCGCTTTAAGAGGTTGAGGCAGGCAGATTACTTGAGGTCAGGAGTTCAAGACCACTGTGAAACCCTGTCTTTACTAAAAATACAAAAATTAGCCAGGGATGGTGGTGCATGCCTATAGCCCCAGCTACTTGGGAGGCTGAGACAGGAGGGTCACCTGAGCCCAGAAGGTGGAGGTTGCAGTGAGCTAAGATTGCGCCACTGCACTCCAGCCTGGATGACAGAGTGAGACTATCTCAACAACAACAAGAAAAGAAGGTGGCCATCATCTGCAAGCCAAGGAGAGAGAAGAAACCAAACCTGCTGACACATTGATCTTGGACTTCTAGTCTCTAGAATTGTGAGAAAAGAGATTTCTGTTGTTTACCACCCATTCTGTGGTATTTTGTTGTGGAAACCCTAGTAAACATACTATATTAAAATTCTTCCTTATGTCCATATGAAATACTCCCAACTTTAATTTATTCATAATCCACTTTCTTTAGTTTACAGAGTCCTCATAAAACACAATCTATACTTGAATGCAGTGAGTACACTGCACTTTGACCTTTTTTTTTTTTTTTTTTTTTTTTTTTTTTTTGAGATGGAGTCTGGCTCTGTCGCCCAAGCTAGAGTGCAGTGGTGTGATCTTGGCTCACTACAACCTCCAACTCCTGGGTTCAAGTGATTCTCCTGCCTCAGCCTCCCGAGTAGCTGGGACTACAGGCACCCGCCACCACGCCTGGCTAATTTTTGTATTTTTAGTAGAGATGGGGTTTCACCATATTGGCCAGGCTGTTCTCAAACTCCTGACCTTGTTATCCACCCGCCTCGGCCTCCCAAAGTGCTGGAATTACAGGCATGAGCCACCGTGCCCAGCCTCCTGACCTTGTTTTAACTAAGCCTCTCACTCCCTCTGATCCCATCTGTGTTCTGTCTGTTTGGATATCTTGCCACTTTTCTCTGGACATGCTTCAGTTTCTCCACATTCATCTGAAGTTTGGGGATCAAGACAAAATAAAATACTCTAATGAGAATCTGATTGATTTAAAATATATTCACCCTCCAACTGTTATCTGTTACATTTTTTAACTTTTTATTTTCTTATTACTTCATAGTGGCAGTATGTTGTTGACTCAGTCACCATATCAGTAATAGTGACTCTATCTCTCCAATGTCCTTGGACTTAGCAAAATTTACTCGTTCTCCATTTATGCGTGGTCCCATGGCCATGAATGGCCTTGACTGGGTTCCTGTTAAGTCTCCTTATGCTAGTCTCTTTTCAGTCTTGAAAGTCTTAGCCCTGCCTCTGAAGAATTAATGTGGATCCTTTCACAGCTTTCACCTAGGTCATGAGGTTTAAATTGTTGGAGAGGCCCACTGTGATATGATTGTAAGAGTCACCATGCCATTTTTACAACCTTGAGTTATAAGTTTCTTGTAGGTGCTTCACTAGCCTCATGATATGCCTTGCCAGAAGTAGCGCCTGAGATGGAGATTTGGGTGCAGGTGATTTATTGACGATGTGTTCTTCAGGAAAAATCTGTAATGGAGAGAGAGAAGCAGGATTAGGAAGGGAAAAGAGCAAGCAATGATGTGGTCTCAGTTACAGTCTAGGCTTGGTCTAATCCTTGGAGCATTTCATGGGCCGCTGAAGCATAATTGCACTGCAGAGTTGTCTCTTCTTGACGCAGAGATGGGGCAATGAAGGTGGAAGTTACTTCCTGGGCCAAGTGGCTCTCATCAGCCTGGGTAATTCTCCACAGAAGGAGGCATCTCTGTATAGTTAGGAGCTGTCTTAATCGGTTAGGACTGCTATAACAAAATACCATCAACTGAGTGGCTTGTAAACAACACGGATTTACTTCTCACAGTTCTGGAGGCTGAGAAGTTCAAGGTGCTAGCAGATTTTGTATTTGGTAAGGTCCCACTTTCTCATGGATGGCACCTTTTCACTGTGTCCTCACGTGGTGGAAGGGGCAAATGAGCACCATAGGGCCTATTTTATAAGATCACTAAGCCCTCATGACCTAGTCACCTTCCAAAGGTCCGCACTTCCTAATACCATCACCTTGGGGGTTAGGACTTCAACATATGAATTTTGGGGAGACACAGACATTCACATCATTGGAGGAGCCAACATTCACAGTGGCTGAGGGAAGGAGGCATCATATTGGTAAAGGGGAACTGGGTGGGCAGTGGAGCATCACTGACATAGCATTAAGGCTAAAAGCATACTCGTCAATATGCAATTGAAGGCCACATCCCTAGTTAAAAGGATTTTAAACTAAACAGGATGGAATTGCTCACTGAACTGCTGAGCTGGCAGAACTCACTGAGGAGCCACCCCAGAGAACAAGTAAGAAAAGCAGGAGGTGTGTTAAAGAGAAAAGCTAGCTGGGTGTGGTGGCTCGTGCCTGTAGTTCCATCACTTTGGGAGGCTGAGGCAGGAGGATTGCTTGAGACCAGGAGTTCAAGACCAGTCTGGGCAACATGGCAAGACCCCGTGTCTACAAAAAAAATTTTTTAATTAACTGGATGCAATGATGCGCACCTGTACTCTTAGTTACTGGGGAGACTGAGGTGGGAGGATCCCTTGAGTCCAGGATTTCAAGGCTGCAGTGGCTGATAATTGTACCACTGAACTCCAGCCTGAGTGACAGAGCAAGACTCTGTTTCAAAAACAAACAAACAACAACAACAACAACAAAAACAGAAGAGCTCTTCTAACAGAGATACCTGTGCCTTATTTCTCCTCCAAAGAGCCTCTTATAAATCTGTACCCCACCCTCCAGCCTCCAGACTTGAGCCTGATTACAAATTAGTTTTCATTCTTGGGAGATAGTAATTGGGTTCTCTCTATGCAAGTATTTCTGAATAATCAAGTGACCATTTCTTATTGTAATCTTTTTTTTTTTCTTTTTGAGACAGTCTTGTTCTGTCATGCAGTGGTGTGATCTTGGTTCACTGCAACCTCCACGTCCCTGGTTCAAGTGATTCTCGTGCCTCATCCTCCCGAGTAGCTGGTATTACAGGCGTGCACCACCATGCCTGGCTAATTTTTTATACTTTTAGTAGAGATGGGGTTTTGCCATGTTGGCCAAGTTGGTTTTGAACTCCCCTGGCCTCAAGCGATCTGCCTGCCTCAGCCTCCAAAAGTGCTGGGATTACAGGTGTGAGCCACCGTGCCCAGTCTCTACTTGTAATCTCTATTTGTCTTTTCTAAGAATTACTCTAGTTAGCTATTTATTCCAACTTTTTAAATATAATAATAAATGTATAGTTGAACAAATAAAAATCTTGATGTCTTCCTGATGTATACATCTGAGGACAAAATTTTTCTCTAGTCTCATAATTTGACTTCATATAGTTACAGAATTTGAAGACGTATTTAAATCCCATAAGTTACATTGCTTTTCTAATTTTCATTGCCCTTAATTTTGTCCCTACACAATTATATTGCCACTTTATACCCTATAATTGATGCTCTTAATAATTTGACCTATTTATTACTTTCAGAAAATTTCTCATTAGGTTGTTGGGTCTCTGACTTTAACCTATTTGGTACTTTTAATTTTTATGCCTCTATTGTATGCAAGTATATTTTTCATAAATGTTTTCTTTTTGAATGAAACAATGAATAATTTAAATTTCTATCTAAAATCCAAGGACAATATGAATTTTAGAGGTGATGTCATCTGTGTTTAATTTCTGGTAAGGAATGGGGAAAACGGGAAGCCAGACAACCCTCTGCTTTGATCAGGTATCAATTGTGGTGCTTTATTGTTGTGTTTGAAGTGTTGTGAACTTAATATCAGAAATAGGTATTCATTTTTATATAAAAGCATAATGCTTTTCCAAAGCCAAATTTAAATGATTTTTAAGTTATATTTTGTTTCAGTGCAACTACAGCCCTGCATCCTTCCAATATGGAAGGCAGATAGCATAAAGATTACAAGTTTTGATGTTAAGAATGTTTATTTGAATCCTAACTCTTAGCAATTATTACTTCTATGGCCAGACTTAGCTTCTCTGAGCCTCAGTTTCCTGATATGTAAAATGCATATACATTTAGAGGGCTTTTGGGAAGATGTATTTTTCAGAATAAAATAATTCAAGTTATATCAGCCATTTCTAGTTACTAGAAATCTCTAGATATAACTAGTAGATGGCTGACATAATATGCCCCATCTCTAGTAGCCTTCTGTTATGAGTTACTGTAGTTATCTAGAGAGATTTCCAGTAACTCATAACAGGAGACTACTAGAGATGGGGCATGTTTTGTGAGAGCCAGAAGGTCTGGCTCTGGGCAGTCATGTTTTTAGGTATAAATGCTCAAAGAAGGAGTTGTCTCCATCCCCTTCTTTGATACTTATACATTTTAAAAAGTAAAACTATAAGATTCTTTTGTATTCCATGGATGATTTAAGTGCAAAATTTTTTTTAAAGTTAAAAAAAATTCCCACCTGACCTGAGAATGAGTCAGGAACCTGTATTTCTTTTCTCTGGGTCTGTGTCTTATTCTATTTGCTTATAATTATTTAATTCATTTGGAACCTATCAGAATCTGAAATTGCCTTAATGCTTTCTAGTTGCTGCCCAGCTACCTCTGTTCAGTGCTAACTCCCAAAGCATTTCCTAATCATATCTTCTGCTCTCCTATATTGATAGAAGACCACAGATTTAAGACTCTTAGATATCTTTCTTTATCCTGATCATTCCTTTTAACTTTTTTTTCCTGATTATCTCATTACCTAAAAACGTATCTTCTCTAACCCAAGATTGTCTCCTAGCTTCCTGGTTTATCGCCAATATTCCTGTTTGTCACCATTCCCTCTAACTAATGTCTTTCCTTGTTCACCATCCCTCTTCTCCAATACTAATTCATTTCTTTGTCTACCTTACTCTCCAAGGGGGCCATATTTGGCTACCCCAGGCCACTTCTCTGAATTCTAGATTGGGAATCTAGTTTTGAGAACTGTCCTCCTAATAAATAAATACCTATTTCATTGAGTTTGTGTTCCTGCTACAACAGTTTCTTCTGTCATGGGAAGTAAATGATACTTACACTTTCTATTCACATTTTTAGATGGCAGGATGGTGGCTGGCAAAGTGTTGATGGCAAAGCAAGAAATTGTTGAATGTGTAGCCTCAGCAGCTATGATATCGCCGGGAAAACTTCCTGGAGAAACACATTCCCAACGGATAGCTGAAGAAGCTTTGGGAGGTCTGGACAACTCTAAGAAGCAAAAGGGAAATGCTGCAGGGAACAAAATCAGTCAGCTTCCTTCCCAGGACAGACATTTCAGTCTGGCAACCTTCAACAGAAGAATCCCCACAGAACACAGTGTCCTTGAATCTCATGAGAGTGAAGGAAGTTTCAGTATGAATTCAAATGATATTACACAACAGAGCGTTGACACTAGGGAAAAGCTCTATGAGTGCTTTGACTGTGGGAAGGCCTTTTGCCAGAGCTCAAAGCTGATTAGACATCAGAGAATTCATACTGGAGAGAGACCTTATGCATGTAAAGAATGTGGCAAAGCCTTCAGTTTGAGCTCAGACCTTGTTAGACATCAGAGAATTCATAGTGGTGAAAAACCCTATGAATGTTGTGAATGTGGAAAAGCCTTCAGGGGCAGTTCAGAGCTCATCAGGCATCGGAGAATCCACACTGGAGAGAAGCCTTATGAATGTGGAGAATGTGGGAAGGCCTTCAGCCGGAGCTCAGCCCTTATTCAGCATAAGAAAATTCACACTGGAGATAAAAGCTATGAATGTATTGCATGTGGTAAGGCTTTTGGTAGGAGTTCTATCCTTATTGAACATCAAAGAATTCACACTGGAGAGAAACCTTATGAATGTAATGAATGTGGAAAATCCTTCAATCAGAGCTCAGCCCTCACCCAGCACCAGAGAATTCACACTGGAGAGAAGCCTTATGAATGTAGTGAATGTAGAAAAACATTTAGGCATAGGTCAGGCCTTATGCAGCATCAGAGAACACACACCAGAGTTTAACTCTGTGGGTAAGAGTTGTACAATTGTGAAATGCAAGGAGTTCACTGTAGGGGTGAGACTCCACAGAAAAGAAAAGTTTCCTGAGAGCAGAACTTCTGTCCTTCCCTCCCAGTTCGGTACTATAAGAAGACATGCACACAAAGATGTTTGTTATGATTATTGAAGTGTTAAATGGAAGAAAAATGTTACCCAAGTCTTCTCCAAAAAGAATGGTAGATATTTCCTTGAAATGCCTAACCCATTTCTGGATGAGACTCATCAATATCCCCTTCACTCCACTCTCTGCCAACTCAGATATAATTTCCATTGGGCACCTTCACAGTAATGCCAGGATTGGGGCAGAGATCCTGAAAGAGCTTCTTATAAGATGGCAAATGTGCCTGGCAAGAGCATTTGTATTTTGTCAGGTGGAGGCATGTGCTGAGAGTTATTCAACTATCTGAAATGTTGAATTTGGAGGTTGTGAAAATATTGAATTATGCTATTAGTTTAATAATATCTGAGGCAGTAAAATAGTACCTGAGGAATGGTGCCTCATTCTGCCCCCTTGCCAGTTGTCTCCTCAATCCTGAGCTTCCTGCTGAGGTTAATTCAAGTCTACTAGTTTATTGAGCACCTGCTATGTGCTAGGCATTGAGGTAGACCTGGTCATTGCCCTCCCAGAGTTAAGGGCTAATAGGATATGCATATATACTAAACAGTAATTACAGTAAAGTGTGGTAAGTGCTTTGGTAGGAAAAATGCGGGTTTCCATCAAAGTACATGGCAGGGATACCTAAATCTGGTCTATGAGTCACTAAAGACTTCCTGGATATGATGGTATCTCAGACATAAAGGTGGGTAGAAGGTAGCAAGGGCAGGGGAGAAGAGAACAGGATCTGGAGACACTCCATGAAGACTCTTCTCTACTGCAGAAATTGTCATAGACCTAATTTTTAAAAAAATGAATCTGAAGGAGTAATTCAACAAATATTTATTGCCCTCAAGTATAATAGCTCAGGGCCTGCAAGCCTGGTAAGGAGGGGTGTGGGCAGGGAATGGGGAATAGCAGAGCCTGGGAAGGCAGATCACCGTGTTCCTTTATACTTCCCACTGCCTGAGTCCCAGAGTCATGGGACACAAACACTCCAGTCCCCACTGTCTCTCTAGCCTCTGATATGCATTCTTTCCCTGTGTATATACATGCCTTTTCCCATAAAATGCACCAGTCTCTCACCACACTAATTCTGAGTACTTCAGAGTCTCACAGGTCATTCTGGGTCTAGAATAGGCTCCCCAACTCAGTGATTATAAGTAGGAAGAGGAAAAGCAACACATGGGGATTCTGAGCCAGGCTTTATGACAACTAATTCCTGCTGGAGAGAAGAGTCCTGATGATGGGCTGTCTCCAGATCCTATCTTATCTTCATGCCATTGTATGGGCTATAACCTCTGCCTGTAACTCTCTCTGCTAATTTTTATTTTGGCAGTTTTAATTAACCCACAATTGCTGAGGGCAATTAATACCTAAAAGAAAGTTTGATTCCTCTTCTAAGATATCCTAGGTAGTGTCATTTCTAAAGAAGACTTGGTGATCACTGCTTGTATTAGTCCATTTTCACAGTGCTATGAAGATACTACCTGATACTGGGTAATTTATTAAAAAAAAAAAAGAGGTTTAATTGACTGACAGTTCTGCAGGGCTGGGGAGGCCTCAGGAAACTTAAATCATGGTGGAAGGCGAAGGGGAAGCAAGCACCTTCTTCACAAGGTGGCAAGAGAGAGTGCAGGGGAAATGCTAGGCACTTATCAATCAGCCAAATCTCATGAGAATTCACTATCATGAGAACAAGGGGGAAATCTGCTCCCATGATCTAATCACCTCCCACCACGACCCTCCCTCAACACCTGGGGATTACTATTGGAGATTTGGGTGGGGACACAAGAGCCAAACCATATCACTGCTGTTGTGGGTAATAGGGGAGGTGAAATTGGGGGGACAATTCGGCCTCTTTGTGTCCAGAGGTTGTGCAGTTATCGAGTGAGGTCGATCAGAAGTCTAAAGGGATCTTTCAAATGGATAGTGAGTTGCCTTTTCCTATAGGTGACAATCAGAGATTTAATGTTTTAAGTATCATATAATAGGTTTTTCTCCTGATTGTGAATTGTAAGTGTTGGTAATACAGAAAATGAGAAAGTATAAACCACCCCCAATCCCAATGCCCATAGAAACGTTGTTAACATTTTGGAGTACTTTCTATTAGTGTTTATTTTTCCCAATCCTAGTATTTTTAGTAAAACTACTGTTTAGTAAATGATTTTTGGTAACTAATTTCAAAATTTATACTTCAACCGTTTATTATTAGAATGTAATGCAAGATGTATTGCAATAAAACTTGAGTTTTAAAAGTTTGCTTTGAAATTATTCATTCAGGAATACGGAACACAATAACATGAACAGAGATAATGCTAGGACGATGGGGAAGAGGTTGTGGGAAGAAGATAGGGAACTGGTGTTCTCAGTTTCTATTTTCTGAGCCAAAAAGTGTCGGGAAACTAAAAGAGACAGTCTCTGGGGCTGCAGTTAACCAAAGTGAGGGGGCATCTGAGATTTAGTTGTTGTTGGAAGACAATGGGAATGAGAGCAAGAAGGAGCCTCTTAAACACAAACACGTCCTGTGTTCACCAGAATTAGGACTCTCTCTTCCCTTTAGTGGAGGTGGCTGTATGCACCAGACTGGAATCTTCAACACTAATTGCTGAGAAGGACCAAGCTTAGACCTGTGGACCTGCCATGACCACCTCCTCCCTCAGCAGGTCTTCAATGAGCTTGGAGAGATGAGGGTCAGATTTGCTTTAAATTTCCAATCCTTTCAGCTGGATGTATTAGTTGCAGGCTATGGAAATGAGGGAAGGGGAAAGGCAGGAAATCAAAGTTAAGTACACTAAATTGCACATTATCTTTTAAAATCTGTTTAAGACTCATTTAAGGTAGACATTATTATTCCCTGGACTGCTTCTATACCAAGAGAAACAGGACAGCCCTGAGCAGAAGGGAAAGGCATGAATTACTTTTCTTCCAAGCAAGAGTGGTGAAGACGAAAAAATTTCCTTTGACATCCACCCTATATTGGTGCCCCTTCCATTTCATAAAAAGTGGAATGTTGAAGTTTTGACCATAAGAGATCATCTACATCAGCTCCTTTAAGTGAGGGTCTAGAGTTGGAAGATGACTTGCTTATGGCTATGGAATACATGGAAAAACTCTAATAATCAAAGATCTCCACTTCAAAGCTATTGCTTTTCTCAACTGTAAATCTTTCAGGCAAGAATTCCTTTTGCACCCAGATTTATACTTTGTAGACTTTTTAATATACTAGGTGTGAGATGGTTATGTTTACCATTGTCATTTTACCAGTGATGAAGGGATCAGAGTTAACAAGTTAGCTAATTTCCTGAAACTTGGAAGAGACAAGAGATGCTATGAAAAGCAAGTGCTTTTAAAATATTTTCTCAAGCATCCTGGGATTCCATTCACTCTTGCCCCCTAATTTTAAGAGTATTAGAGGTTTACTATAGAAAAATTTGGAAAACACAAAAAAGCACAAGAAAAAAATTACATCACCTACAACCTCAGCACCCACACATAACCAGTATAGCACTTTATGTTTTCAGTATTTTTAATACATAAATATATATTTTACATAGGATCATACTGTACATATTGTTTTGTAATATTTTTACTTAACAATATATCATGAATACTTCATTTAATATTAATTGACATCAGTGTTTTTTTTTTTTTTTTTTTTTTTTTTGAGACACAGTCTCACTCTGTCACCCAGGCTGGAATACAGTGGTACAATCTCGGCTCACTGCAACCTCCACCTCCCGGGTTCATGCAATTCTCCTGTCTCAGCCTCCCAAGTAGCTGGGACTACAGGCACATGCCACCACACCAGCTAATTGTTTTGTATTTTTAGTAGAGACGGGGTTTCACCATATTGGTCAGGCTGGTCTCGAACTCCTGATCTCAGGTGATCCACCCGCCTCAGCCTCCCAAAGTGCTGGGATTACAGGCATGAGCCACTGTGCCTGGCCTGTGACATCAGTTTTAAGAGTTTCAGGATTTTGTGTACATTCATGATGGTTACTGAAACATACATTTCCAGGTACAATTTCAAAGTCAAAAGGCAATGCTTAAAGCTTCTGGTATTGATTGCCAGAGATGGTATGTATTTATTCATGTCTTACCAGCAGCATTAGAGTCCCAATGTCCCTGAATCCCTGTCTGTTTTATAAGGAAAAGTGTCATCTCAACTCTTGCTTTAATATACATTTTAACTGTAGTGAGGTTGAACATTTATTGTTCATTGGCACTTATTTTGTGATTTCCCTACTTAAGTAGCATTTTTTTTCTATTGGAACTTTCTTATGGGGAGAGAGTATACTGAAGTGGCTCCACAGTCAGGTTGTGGGTTCAAAGTCTGACCTCCCCACTTTGTAGATATATGACCTTTAGCCTTCATTTCCTCATCTGCTACATACGTGCTGAGAAATAACAATAATAAGTATATACAAAGCCCTTAGCAAGTATCTATTACATTTACTTTTTTCCTTTTTTTTTGGTTTGGAGACAGGGTCTTGCTCTCCCAGGCTGGAGTGCAGTGGTGTGATCTTGCCTCACTGAAGCCTCGACTTCCAGGGCTCAAGCGAACCTCTCACCTCAGCCTCCCAAATACTTGGGTCTACAGGCATGCACTACCACGTCTGGCAAATTCTGTTTATTTTTTGTAGAGATGGGGTCTCACTATGCTGCCCAGGCTCGGCTTGAACTCCTAGACTCAAGCAATCCTCCAGCCTTGGCCTCCCAAAGTGCTGGCATTATAGGTGTGAGCCACTGTGCTTGGTCTATCTATTACATTGCTTTCTGACATACAGTAGAGCTTTCTTATATAAAGAGTATTTCCGTTTTACAATTCCTACTTTACGTCCTACCTTTTCAGTTTGTTCAGGTCTTTATCTATGGAAAAGGAGAAAAACAAGAGTTGAGTAGCTCTTACCACGTATTTTAATCTCTTACATCTTTTCCAAATAATCCCATCCATTTTTTCCATATTCTCTCCCTAAACATGGGCATTTAGGCCTCCTGCTGTTCTTACTGGTTAGCACATGTCCACTGATGCACGCCCCAATAAGAGCATTACTTCTCTTTGCTTCTTTTTATCCTCATGAAAATTCTTTTTCTATGCACATGATTCTAGATTTCCATACAGATTTGTTTTTGGTGTGGTATGTTATTCTTCTGACCTATTAGGTCTTTTGAATATGTCTTTGTGTTGCTGGTTAACCTGTACAACATTCCTTCTTACACTAAGCATCAGTCTAAATATTCTCTTCCTGCTAGGCCCCTCAGAAAAGGGAAGTCTTGACTGACTGTGACCATTAGTTTCAGTTGTCACTTCCTTTTAGCATTGTCTTTAATAAAATTTGCAAAAGATGGTTGGGCGCCATGGCTCACGCCTGTAATCCCAGCACTTTGGGGGGCCGAGGCGGGCGGATCACCTGAGATCGAGAATTCGAGACCAGCCTGACCAACATGGAGAAACCCTGTCTTTCCTAAAAATACAAAATTAGCCAGCTGTGGTGGTGCATGCCTGTAATCCCAGCTACTCAGAAGGCTGAGGCAGGAGAATCGCTTGAACCCAGGAGGCAGAGTTTGCGGTGAGCCAAGATCGTGCCATTGCACTCCAGCCTGGACAAGAGCGAACTCCATCTCAAAAAAAAAAAAAAAAAAAAAAAAATTGCAAAAGATATTGTGAAATACTGGTGACATAAGACAAAACTGAACATGTGCGAGGTGCCCAAAGAATGTCACAGACCCAGCAACTGACAAATATTTTTTGAGCACCAAAGCCCAAGGGAATGTACTAGGAATTGTGGGCGTATAGCCCCAGAAACAAATGATATGGCAGCTTCTGATCCAGAGCGTTGGGAATTTTAAGAAACCTGACAGCAGCTCTGATATTGTCTTTAGAATCAAAGGAGAATAGAGTCTTAACACTCTAGCAGACTCTTGAGGTATAGGCTGGGCTCTTTCTCACCCTCATTCCCACCACCACCCTCATGGAAGTTCTAGGATAGCCTACAGGTTGGGCAAGGAAACCACATATTTGCCCTTTCCCTGGGGTCACATAAACCAAGACAAAGCTCTTGACTACCCTGTGGCCCAAGGGCTCCAGGTTTTGTCTATTAACAGGAACTTCTCCATTGGCACTGCTTAAGAGTCTGGCCAGACCCAGACTTCTCTGACAGACAAGACCTCACTACAACAGGAACTCAAGGAATGCTCCACACTTTGTTTCTGGCCTTTGGCTACTGTTCTTTACTGGGGTACCACTTCCCTAGAGTACCACCTTGGCTAACTCCTCCTCATCCTTCAGGCCATTTCCCCCATTTCCTTATCCAAGGCTGAGTCAGGTGCTCCTTAAGGTCACATAGGAGCATTCCACTTTCACTGCCTGTCTGGCTGCCTTGCCCATTAGACTGTAGAGACTACAGTCTTGTTTTCCACTGTATTCCTAGTTCCTGGGACAAAGTAGGTACTCAAAAAATAACCTTTGGGTAAATTATATTCTTTCTTCTCATGCCTATCTAATTCCTGGCCTGCCCTGGGCTCAACAAATCATTGATGAAGCCATTTCCCCACCTTTCCTGCTGCTCTGTCACTGTTCTTTATTGGGTCAGTTTTTTTTTTTTTTTTAGTTCCTGAGACGAAGTGCCTCACACAGTCCACACCAGCCCCATAACCTGGCACACTAACAATCAGATGCAGTGACAGAGCCTGGGTTGCTATATTCATGACACTTTCATACAAAATGAGGTTTCAATGTTACATTCCCACTTTTCGTATTTCCTGAGTATTCCTAATAAGAGAAGAGCTGGAAGTAATGATTCTTCTGTATTCTGTTCTGATTAGTCACAGGAAAAGCTTTCAAGGGACACTTTACATTAGCACTGGGAAATGCTGCACAAAGCAAGCTAGACTCAAGACCTAGTATTTTATAACCTTTATGGAGTTTTGCTCCAAAGTAAACTCTTTTGACTAACAAACTTAAAAATCTGACTGAAGTATTTACACTATTCACAGTATTCACAAATTACTTTATAGTGTGGACTCTTTGATGGCGCATAAGGACCGATCTGTGCCTGAAAGCCTTCCCACATTCATTACATATATAAGCTTCATCCCCAGAATGAATTCTCTGATGCTGAACAAGGGCTGAGCTCCTTTTGAAAGTTTTGCCACATTCATTACACTGATAAGGTTCCTCCCCACTATGAATTCTCTGATGTCTGATAAGGTTTGAGCTCAAACTGAAAGCTTTTCCACATTCACTACATTCATAGGGTTTCTCTCCACTATGTATTCTCTGATGAGTAATCAGCTCTGAGCTCTGCCTGAAAGCTTTTCCACATTCATTACATTCATAGGGTCTCTCTCCTGTGTGAATTCGCTGATGTCTAATGAGTTTTGAGCTCTGGCTAAAGGTTTTCCCACATTCATTACACTCATAAGGTTTCTCACCAGTGTGAATTCTTTGATGTATAATGAGATATGAACTTTGACTGAATGCTTTGCCACACTCATTACATTTACAAGCTTTCTCACCAGTATGGATTTTCCGATGTCTAATGAGGGCTGAGCTCTGATTGAAAGCTTTCCCACATTCACTACATTCATATGCTTTCTCACCACTATGAATTCTCTGATGAATAATAAGATAGGACCTCAAACTAAAGGCCTTCCCACACTGGTTACATTTATAGGGCTTTTCTCCAGTATGGATTCTCTGATGTTGTGTTAGAGAGGAATGCTGCTTGAAGCTGTGCCCACATACATCACATCTATAAGGTCTCTCTTCTGGAGGAACTTTCTGACACATTATAGAGTCTGTAGTTAGAATCAAGCATCTTTCAGCCTCATCATAAAGGTCTCTCTTTCCTAGAGATTTGTTTGTGAAGATCACTTGACTAAAACTGCCCCCTTGGGAAGGAGATCTTAGTTTCTCCCCTGTAGCACTTCCTTGCTTCCACACTAAATTGCTTTCATGCTCACTAATTCCTCGAAATGAAGGTTCCTGAGGGAGTCCCTGTGATTTTTCTTCTGAGATGCCCTCTTTTGTTGCTGTTTCACTGTTCTCACAATCTGAAACAATAAGTAGCAAAAAAACAGATATTACATTTCTCTTGTCACCGTCAAAACTTTCTACATGAGAGAAAACAGAAGCTTCTACCTACAAAGATGTCACTGTCCTCCAGTATCTTTTTTTTCAACTGGCCAAAAGAGGGTCTCTCTTATCTAATAATAAAGTCTACATCTACACTTCGAATTCCATCCTTTCCTGCCTCTTTTGAGACATCAACTGATAAATTACCTACAATTTTTTTCTACTATTTACAATCTCTTTCTCAACTGATTCCTGTTCATCAGCTTTTAAATAAGCTTAAGTGTCTCTCACCTTTTAAAATCAACCTTCTTGCCTACATATCTCCCTCAAGCAACCTCACTCTCTCTCAAGTGGTTTCGCAACCTCACTCTCTCATAGTGATTTCTTGAAAGAGTTGTCTGCAGCCTTTCAAGTGAAAGTATCCTCATTCCACAATCTGGTTTCTGCCTTACTGTCCTCCCCCGCCCCCCACCGCCCCGTCCCCTACTTCCACTGATACTACTCTCATCAAGATCACTTCATAGCTCTTTAATCCACTAAGTACTTTCTAGATTATTACTTAGCCTCTCTGTAGCATTGACACTGAGGATCACACCTTCCTTCTAGAGACATTCTCTTCCAGTGATATTAGCCTGATTTCTGTGGCTGTTCCTTCTTAGATTCTAGGGTAAATCACTCAAACACGAGCGTTCCTCCAGATTCTGTTTTGGGCTCTCATGTATCCTTACTCTACAAACTCTCTACCCTTGGCTTCCATTACATCTTACATTGTAAGCTATTGTCTGACTAATGTCTGCCCAGATCCCCAATTATATCCATATTTTATTAAGCTCTAGAGTCTTATGCTAATTGGGCATTTTACTTTTGAATATTTCACAAGCACCAAATGTACCAACCTAAACACATCATCAGATGTATCTGTTTTTCCTTATGTTTTCTCATTCACATGAACAGTACTACCATTAACCAGACTGTTGAAGACTGAAACCTCAGTATCATCCTCAACTCCTCTCCCTCACACTCTAGTTTTAATAATTACCAGATGTTGCAAAACAACTTAAATGCTGTTGAACAGGAGTCAGCTTTTATGTTCTCCACCGCTTACCATAACACATATTGATTGAATACACTGTGGCCACTTGGATTACAGCAGTCTTTAATAGGACTATACTCTTGCCTTCCTTACATGATTCTCCATTTGCAGCTAACTTCTAAACTGCAAATCAAACTATGTCACTCCTTGTCCAAAATCCTTCAACTGCATCCCACTGCACTTAAGAAACTATACAAACAAATTAACATGACATACAGGTCTTCATGACTTGGATCCTATTTTCCTCTCTGGTTCTTCTCTTACCACCTGTCAATTCTCCATTCAAGTCAAATTAAACTACCTGCAATTTTCAGAATGGGTTATATTCTCACACCTTCGGGATGGTATGGCCTTTACTTGGGCTACTCCTCCTCCCACCTATTTACCTGGCTTTCTCTTACTCATAGTTCAAGTCTTAGCTTAGATTTTCTTCCTTCAGGAAGTGTTCCTTGATCCTCTAAGATTGGGTTAGGTGCCTTTAGATGTGCTCCAACAGTACCCACTGCCTACTTATATTCTATAATTTACTACATTGCAACTGCCTTTTTATTTGTCCATCACCCACCTAGACCTGAAACCTCTCCTGGGGCCTACCACAGTACCAGACATGTATTGACGCTTTATAAAGTTACAACATAATGAAATGAATGAATGAATAACAGGGAAACTCACACAGGAGGGCTGACAGCAATTCATGAGGGGTGAATACAAAGCCGCTAAAGCGAGCACCTCTGGTTTAGAATAATAAAGGTGATGCTCACATGTGGCAAGTTTGTCAAGTGCAATTAATTCTGCATTCTCAAAAACAGAGGCCTAAGTGTCAAGAGTTTCCAGATGATTTCCCATTCCTCACCACTTTTAGGGGAAAGGCATGGTTTCCAGGATTTCAGCTGTGTCTTTAAGGGCTGGAGGTGGATGTCTGTTGACTCTTGGGATGCTCTGAGACATGTTAAATCCTTCCATGGCACTGCTGGTCCCTGTGGACTAGCTGGGACCTGAAATCAGTAAAATATGGTTAGCTTTGTGAGAAAATCCCTAAGAAAACTTGCTTAGTAAAAATCTCAAAGAGGTCAATGATGACATCTCCAGGGATGAAGGACAGGGGAAAAAGACCATTCAAGGGTATAGACAAGTATGGCTCTATTAGTCACTTCAGGTTAGGGTTCAGTAGAGACATAAAAATTTTTATCCTACTGTTATGATACCATTACATGCTCCAGGCTGTAAATTCCTTTTCCCACATCACTTTTCTCCGTTCCCACCTGCTGCCCTGGGTCATCAAACTCCCTCTCTAAATCCTCCAACAGGGTCACAGCTTCCTCGCCGCTTTCTGGATTATGTTGCTGAACCCAGATCTGCAGCTCCTCAGGCAGAATGCTCAGGAACTGCTCCAGTACCAGCAGTTCTAAGATCTGCTCCTTTGTGTGCAACTCTGGCATTAGCCACTGATAGCAAAGTTCCTGGAGTCGGCTCAGAGCCTCCCGGGGCCCAGGTGTCTCCTGGTAGCAAAATTTTCTGAATTGCTGACGAAACAATTCTTGGCAGGATTGAGTACTCCCATTCTGCTTAAATTTCTCATCCCAGGAAAAGTTATCTTCTACTTTCACTAGTATTAGTTCTTGTTCCGGAGGATCCTGAGGTATCAGGGTTGAAATCACTCCAGATTCCACAGCCATTCTTGGCTGAAACAGCTTAGCAAAAAGCTCAGTACAACTGGTTCTGTGCTTGCGAAGGAGTGTGAGTAATCTCTTCTTTCCTGAAGGATATAAAAGCAGTTAACTTACAGCAATCAATAAAATCTCTAAGTACTTGTAATAAGAAAGATGAGTAACTTTAGTAATATATTGAAAGGGAGTAGATTTGGGGCTATCACTAAATAAAACAATAATGTGATGATAAACTAAAAATCATTAACCTCAATTAGTGTCTCCCATTATGAAGAATTCCTACCACTAATGTTAGAAAAAACTATTTTAGAAGCCTAAGAATGTGAATGCAACATTAACATCAATCACATAGTGAGAAAATTTCCTTTCCAATTCTTTCAATTCTGATTGTATCAAGGAGAAAAGTCTATCTTTAACATGTATGTATTAATAAAACTTGTAGAACTCTCTTTTAAATAAAATACAGGCTTCAGAATCAGACTTCCAAGAGTAAAAATATTTAGGCAGAATTTAGTAATACTGATTTTAAACATTTATTTTTACTTACTTTCTATCTAAAGCAAGTAATGTTGATTTTCATTTAAGGCAGTAATAACGTTTTTTTAAAAGTTCACATTAAACATGAGTTGATGTAAATATTGGATATTTGTCATTTGATCGCATTTGGTGTTTACCGAATTACTTCAACAAACACTGAGGCACTTACTGAGCATTAAGATTTTTGCTTATGAATAAACGAGTCTACAGAGGAATTGACCAAGAACCAAGACGTATCTGTAAAATGCTTACCATGTGTTCAAAAACATGATAGGTATCACATACACAAAAGCAGCAAAGAGATCCGTATCAGTTCTGAAAAAGCTTAGAATATCCCAAGACTAAAAATGTTCAAAAGCAAAATATGGTAACAAATAGGTATTAAATGTTGTGACACAGACCAAACTTGACCTGCTTTTAGGATGGCGAGATATCGATAGGAATGTATGCCCTTAGTTTGTCAGGACAGATGAGTAAAATTCATTCCTCACACTACGGTTAACGTTAAGAGATGAATTAAAATATTTAGCCTACAAATTTAAGGTTTAACCAGTCCGGCCGCACTAACTAACTAACTAACTAGCCCTTCTATTTTTATATCCTTGGTTAAACCGCAGCATTTACGAAGTCACGGGGTCAGCGGAACTGCGTTTTCCTTTGGAAAGCAGGAGTTTGAGTGCTGGCCTCCTCTGAGTTCCCCAGTCGCTTGGAGACGCCGCGCGGGCCAAAGGGCCGCGACCTGGGGATGGGCAGGCCGAGGAGCGGAGCTCCTCCACTGTCCGGCGCGCGCTCCCAACCCCACCTCCCTCTTCCTAGGGGCCCACGTCCCTCACCGCGAAGCCCAGGAGCGGCCAGGAAATGAGCCACCCACCCCGAGCTGCAAGCCACAAAGACCGGAAGTGCGCGTACGCAGTGTTCCGCTCTCGCGCCCTTCGGGTCCTCCGCCGCCCCGCCCCTTGCTCTGAGGTAGCCAATCAGAGCCGCGGGCTCTACAGTTTCCACCGCCTTCTCCCGGTAGCCGCTAGCCCGGCGGAATCTCCAAGGCCAGGGGAGGGTGCGCTAGGAGTCAGGGGTCCTTGTGAGCGGCGGCACCTGGAGGGTCCCGCATCTCGCCTGGGCCGTTCCCACCCTGGCTTTCTCCTGGCACCACCCATCATTGTTGGTCTCAAGTAATTCCCGAATCTCACTCCCAGTTTTCCATTAAAATATTCAGATTTTCGGCCGGGCGCGGTGGCCGAGGCGGGCGGATCACGAGGTCAGGAGATAGAGACCATCCTGGCTAACACGGTGAAACCCCGTCTCTACTAAAAATACAAAAATTTAGCTGGGCATGTTGGCGGGCGCCTGTAGTTCCAGCTACTCGGGAGGCTGAGGCAGGAGAATGGCGTGAACCCGGGAGGCGGAGCTTGCAGTGAACTGAGATGTGCTGCACTCCAGCCTGGGCGACAGAGCGAGACTCTGTCTCAAAAAAAAAAAAAAAAAAAAAACCTCAGATTTTCCTGTGATTCCAGTTCTTTTCCGACAAAAGTAAATGTAAGGATGAATAGGCTGAACAAAAACTAACAGTCACTTATATTGCTTTTGCCTATGAGTATCACTGGAGCCTTACAACAGTTCTGTGCTGTGGCTATATAATCCCAAATTTACAGCCGTAGACATCGCCCAAAGTCAGGCAACTTGTGACCAGGGACGTCCACGTCCCCATAGTTCAAGGAGACTGGTATCGTAGACTCCTGGAGCCTATCTTAGGGTCTTCCCGTTCTTCAGTGGAAGCTTGCTGGTATTGTCTCACTGTTTAAATTTTTCTTTGGCTATTTAGTCGGTGAAAAATGATGCCTCATGTTTCAACTTTGTGAGCTTAAGATAGTCCCCCTTCATGTTTACTGACCATTTATGGTTCTTCAGAGATGGCTTTTCCCATTTAAAAAATTAAGGGAGTAAGATTTTTCTTTTTTATTTGTGAGAATTTTTTGCTTATTAAGGATAGCAACTCGTTTGTTGCAAATCGTTTCCCATTTATTTGTATTTATTTTTAAAACGTTACATTTTACATGTTTAAATGTTACATATTTTTAAAATGTTATATTAAAAAAGTACACAGGATAATAACAAAGCGATACATACATACATAGAAACAAATTCTCCTTTGTGAGCCAAGACTTAAAACACATATTTGAGAAAAATGTTCGTTAGCATTCAAAGCTATTAGTGACTCACTAAATAATTTTATCATTGTGAAATGACTACAGCAATTTTACAAAGCAAAAAACCAAATAATATTAATTTGTTTATAAATTATCAATTGCTTCATAATGAACCACTTCAAGACTTAGTGACTAAAAACAGCAGATGTTTTATTGCTCACAGTTCTGTTGCCAGGAATTCAGGAAGGGCTTAGCGGAGATGGCTAGTCTGCTTTATGATGTGTCAGCTATCTTCACTTAACTGGGGTGGAAGGTCCAAGATGGCTTCACTCAAATTGCTGAAGTCTTGGTGTTGCCTCTTGGTTGAAGTTACTTGATTCTTCTCCACAAGGCCTCTCTCCATTCAGGAGTTTAGCCTAAGCTTTCTTACATGGTGACTGGCTTCCAAGAGAGTTAAGGAGGAGGAAAGATGCTAATTCTCTTAAAGCCTGAGTCTGGAACTGGCATTATATTTTTCTGCAGTATTCCATGACAGAAGGACTAGAATGGTGGAAAAGGGAAATAGACATTAAGCAGCTTGATCATAGGAGGAAATTTTGGCAGTTATCTTTGCATCCAACCTAACACACCTTGTTATATTGAGAAACCTACTATGTAAGAGTGAAACTATTGAAAGAGAGAAGGCATATCAGTTGAAATGCTTTTGGCTGCAGTAACAGGAACCTTACTAAATGTCCTTATTGTTCAAGCCTTTTAAAAACAAATCCTAATAGCTAGATGCATGGAGATAAAATCATTCCCAGGGTTGGTTACTTCTGCATCTGGACAATATTGTCAAGGACACAGGTTTCTTCCTTCTTTTGGCTCTGCCATCTTTAAGTGTGTTGTTCTCCAGTCTGGCTTCCTTTATGGTCCTAAAATGATTTCCTCAGTTCCAGATTACAGATAATGTTCAGAGACCAAAAAGGGGAACACCTTTATCTTTTGCCCCTTTATACGATTAAGGAAACTCTTTTTCCCTGATAGATTTCTCCATCATGTCTTATTAACTGAAATTGCTTTGAGTGCTTATGTCTATCACTAACAAGGGAGGTAAGGCCTCCATGGTGGGATTAGGACAATTGAAATTTATATCCCAGGGCTAAGGAGAAGGCCAGCCTCTCCTAAAGGACACAGACACTCTGGGGAGAATGCATGAAATTAGGGCTGTGTTAAAAAGGCAGAAAAGGGAGATAAATAGATGAATGTTGAATTTGCAACAGTAATATCTGCTTTGATAGGTAATCTGATTCCCTTGTATAGGTAAGAAAGTGAGACACTGAGAAAAAATCCAGACTCCTGTCCTTCCTTATAAGATGTTACCTATGTTTAAAATATAAAATATTAGTAATTACTTACTTGCAAGAGATGTAGATTAGAGATCTAGAGCCAGTTTCTGGGACATAGTTTAAGTTCCCACTGAGAGAGCAACTGATTACCCCATAGGACTGTAGGGCCTTAGGGCCTCCTTAGAGCCCCTTAAGGACCTTAGCCAACAATTTCCATGACTTATTTAACTTTCAGTGCTATCGGTTATATCAATGCCCTTGAAATCATTCCCTCTATCTTCCCCCATCCCCAGTTTCACATATATCCAGTCTGCTTTAATGTGAAAATATTTGCAAAATTATTGAATCAAGGGTAGAGAAGTATAATTTTTTTCTCCTCCTTCAGATGTTCTTGATTTTTGTTTCTGTTTTTTTAATGATATGTATGACAGGTGTGAAATAATGTCAGCTCCAGGCATTACCAGTGATTAGTGAGTAAGGTTGCTCATTCAGTGAAGTCCAACTGCTTGAATTACTGTATCATACAACATTGGTCTACTTTATGATATTTATCAAGTGAGATAAGCCCATTGAAAGTCTCTTAACTATAAACAACCATTCAATAATAAAGGATAGAGAAAATGGCTTCTGATGCACAAAGGAAAGGAATCATTTTCTTTTATTTTTATTTTTTATAGAAAACATTTTTTTTCATAGAGACGAGGTCTCAATATATTGCCCAGGATGGTCTTAAACTCCTGGGCTCAAGTGATCCTCCCATCTCAGCCTCCCAAAGTACTAGGATTACAGACATGAGACACCACGCCTGGCCAAATCATTTTCTCATTCAGCAAATGTTATGAAATATTTGTATATGTGAAACACTGAGAAGAAAAGTAGGGATTCAAATGAAGTAAAATATATACCCTTTCACCTCACTCATCACTGTAATTCCTAGAGTATAAATTCCATGAGGGGAAGGATTTTGTCTTCCATTGTTGTCTCTCCTGTATGGCCTAGCATTGTGTAGATATTTTGATGAATAAATGAATGAATATATAATACATATATACAAGAGGAAGTATTGATGCAAAAACTAGTGACAGTATTTGAAGCATTCAAAGAAACGGAGTATACAGGTAGGAACATTTTTAATAATATGCTTAGACTATTTTAATATGAACCCAGGATTTGTTTTTATCAGTTATGGTAAGATGACAGACACAGAGGCCATTGCCTTTACAAAAAGAGTTTTTTATTACTCACAATGTATTCTATGGCTCTTCTATGATGTCACTAATTTAGCAGTTGTATTTTTTAGAGACAGATAATAGGATGTATTAACAGAGCATGACAGTGCTTATTTGTAGTATCCAAAACAGTAAACAAAGGCCTTAGTTACTGTTGTTTCTGTTACTGTTGTTTCTGTTTGCTGCTAATGTCAAAGAAAGCCTTTGAGGTTTCTCCTGACATTCATTCTTGTATTTATCATGTATAGAACAGAGTTAAAGCTTCAGGTAGGCTGTTATTATTGTTTTATTTTTTTCAGGTTAATCACAATGATAAATCATTTGACAGGGTCCCACCCCAACTCTTAATTCTGTCAGCCACTTCAGAAAGATCTTCCACTGGGATTCTGTTCTGTCTTAGGGATAATTCAACCATGATACATAGATACATTCTAAGAACTTTTTTTAAAAAAAGGCAATGCCTAAAAGCATGGCGTATGAGTAATAAAAAGAAAAACACATGTTCTCATAGTTTTGTGGGTAGGAACCTTGAGCATTTGGAGAGAAAGCATTAAAAAAAAGCTGTAGGAATTAAGTGATAAAAGACACTCACCCCATTTCATTACACCTATTATATGTGATAAGGTGGATATGTTTAAAAATCTAATCTGTGGATATGTTTAATAATCTAATCTGGTTGCCTTGAGCTTGTATTATTTGCCTAAATTATTTTGTTGTAGCTATCATTATTAAAAGGAGATTTAGATTTTAATTGAATTCTTGATATACAGTGAATTTATTGAATACTCATTGGGTTTCTGTTTGACAGTGTCTAATAAGAAATTTATTTCTTTTAATCTTGCTTGGCAACATAGTGGTAAATGAATAACTAATTTATATATTCCCCCAAATTACCTTAAAGCCCCCTAAATGCCAAATATACTTTTATTTTTAAATATCTTTCAGGTGGTACAATATAATTTGCTTATCTTTTTGGATATGTGTAGCTTTTAAAAGTTATTTTATATATATTATTTTACACATTATGTTTTTATGACTGGGATTATACTGCTGCAGGTAATACTTTTCTTATAAATGGCTACTTCTTATATTTAAAATATCTAGTTGAATACCTTCTTGTGGAACTTCCTTTATTTATAATCTACCAGTTTGAAATTGTAATCAAGTATACAGAGACAATAAATTGACTTTCATTACCGGTTATGGAAATGATTATCCAAAGGGAACTTTTGGGGCTAGCACCTTGGGGAGGAAGGGGCAAGTGAGTATGGACAGAATAATATAATGATTAAAAGTTCAGGTTCTGGAGAAAGCCTGGTTCAAATCTCTGCTCTCTTAATTCTTAGCTCTGTGACCTTGTACAAGTTTCTTAAACTCTGTATACCTCAGTTTCTTCTTCTGAAAAATAAGGATAATTATTGTGTCTACCTCATAACGTTGTTGTAAGCATCAAGTGAATCAATACATTTAGAACAGTGCACAATAAATGTGTATTATTATTTGTGGGAGGAGATATTGAGTCAGTGGATGTGTATTGTTATTTGTGGGAGGAGGTATTGAGTCAGTGGGGAGAATGCGGAGGCTAGAAGAAGGAATATTTCTGCAGGTTTGGATATGCCCAATGATAAGAACAATTTAGGGTCATTATTAAAAATAAACATTTCTAGGCCTTCAATCAGAACACCTGGGGAGGGGGTTTTATCTATTTTTTAGCAATTACCCCAGATGATTCTTAGTATCAATTAGTTTAGGAAACTGTGATATGGTAGACAGAGTACAGGCTTTAGGGTCAGACAGATGTGGATTCTGATCCATCCATTAAACAATTATGTGTAAATGTCTACGTGTACCATTCTTTGGCTACAGCAGATACTAAATCTGATAAAAAATATTTCTACATTTATCCTTATAGACCTTATAGTATATACTGGGATTACGACTCTAAGGCACCAACCAGGGCCTCACTGAGTGACTTTAATGGACTTATTTTTTATTTTTTTAGTTTAGAGACATAGTCTTACTCTGTCAATCTGCTCATTTGATCCTCCTGTCTCAACTCCTGAGTAGCTGGGATGACAGGTGCCCATCTCCGAGCCTGGCTAATTTTTGTAATTTTTTTTTTTTTTGTAGAGATGGGGTCTCACCATGTTGCCCTGGCTGTTATCGAGCTTCTGGGCTCAGCAGTCTGTCTGGCTTGGTCTCCCAAAGTGTTGGGATTACAGGTGTCAGCCACCATGCCCGGCCCATATTTACCAAATTTGTAATACCAAAAAGTATTTGACAGTGGTTTGAATTGGAGTTCATTTAATATAATTGGTGTCCTTATCTACTTCTAAGATCAAAATAGGAACAGAAACCCTGTTTTGTTTGTTTTTTAGTAAATGAATTAAAGAACACTAGTATTAAGATCAATGTAAGAGTGCTATTTAATTTAATACTGTGAAAAATAGACATTAAAGATAAAATACTATTTTCTTGGAATCTTTTGAGTATTGCAGTTTTTATCCTTTGATTTGCAGATTCTGGATATATCTCCCACTGGCTATGGTGGTTTTCTATTCTTTCTACTGTTGGTGCTCATGCATTAAGTACAGTATTAAAAAACATTAAAAACAAACATGCATTTTGGACATTGCTGTGGAGGAAATGAGATGTTCATTCTAGTGGCATTTTAGATAGCTGAAGCTTACCTCTTTAAGAGCCAGAGTTATCACATTTTTGCACATTCTAGTTATGTTGTACATTTCCATCTCTTTACAGAGTATATTGAACACTCTTAGGGCTATAATTTACTTTCACACAAAGTATGATTTTTGGAAATTATGGAAGTATGGAAATAAGGATACAAACTCACTTCTCATTTACTGTTCAACCTGAGGCAATCCACTTTCCTCTTACCATTCCACTTAAGTTGCCTCCTTGAACATAATGACATCTCAATCCTTAGCCTTCCTGCATTTTAGCATTTATCACTGCTGATAACTTGTCCATTTTTTTAGATTCTAGGGCACTATTTTTTCTCTACCTCTCCATCCACACCTTTGCCTTACAGCTGCCTCCTCTTTTCTGCTTACTTCCTTCTGAGGTCATCTTCAACACTCCTCTCTTTTCCATATATATTCCTTCTCTGGCAGTGATTTCATTCTTCCACTTATGCATAAACTGTCCCCAAATTTCTACTTCCAACCCTGACTTGTCTACCAAGCCCTAAATCTTAATATCCAATTTGTGTGAGCGTCTGTTCTGGACAATTCACCAATGCCTCGACATTCACACAGCCAAATCCAATTCGACTACCTTCCTCTATCTTAAATTTTATTATTAATCATGTTATTATTATGAATTATTAAAATAGAATAATTATCTTACTTTCTTAACTTTCCTTTTTGCCTCACACTGTCAAGACTAAGTAGAAATTTTAGGGCCAGTGTAAGGGACCAGAAAAATTGGCCATTCTTTAACTGTGGTCCTATTAAAGCATCATTTGAAATAACTCAAATTTATCTTCTTTTTCTTACTGCTGTTTCAATTCCGGTCTTCGCTGTCTTTCTTGTAATAGCTTTTCAGTCCTTGTCTCCTATCTCTCCTCTTATTCCAATGCATCTTTCAGATTGCTGCCAGAGTCTTAATATGAATTTGATTATGTAATCATGCTATTTTATAAATATTTGCTGCTTTGCCATGTCCACTGAATATAAGGTACATACCCTTGACATACCATCCAACATCTTCCTTCTTCTGACCCATACTCATGTACACCCCACATACTCAGGCACTAAAGGTGATATGCCATTTCTGTTATCCTATTCTGTCCAACTTCCTTGAATTTGCTCCGAATATTATTATTATTATTTTGAGACGGAGTCTAGCTCTGTCGTCCATGCTGGAGTGCAGTGGAGCGATCTCTGCTCACTGCAAGCTCCGCCTCCCGGGTTCACGCCGTTCTTCTGGCTCAGCATCCCGAGTAGCTGGAACTACAGGCACCTGCCACCACGCCCGGCTAATTTTTTTGTATTTTTCAGTGGAGACGGGGTTTCACCGTGTTAGCCAGGATTGTCTCGATCTCCTGACCTCATGATCCGCCCACCTCGGCCTCCCAAAGTGCTGGGATTACAGGCGTGAGCCACTGCACCGGGCCTATTATTTTTAATAATCTTTTTGCTTTTGGTTGAAATTTTCAGCATCCTTCAGGCCACATTATGTTATTTTCCTTGTGAAACCTTCCTCAGCTCCCTAGGAAGGGCTCTGCTATGATATGCTCCTCTTGACTTATTTATTTGAGACAGGGTCTCACTCTGTTGCCCAGGCTATGTGCAGTGGCCTGATCTCTGCTTACTGCAATCTCTGCCTCACCAACTCAAGCAATCCTCCCACCTCAGCCTCCAGAGTAGCTGGGACTACAGGCGTGAGACACCACACCCAGCTAATAAGTGCGCGCGCGCGCGCGCGTGTGTGTGTGTGTGTGTGTGTGTGTGTGTGTGTGTGTATTTGGTAGAAATGGGGTTTGCCGTGTTGCCCAGGCTGGTATTGAACTCCTGGGATCCAATACCAAGCTCAAGGGATCCACCCATGTCTGCCTCCCAGAGTGCTGGGATTATAGGCGTGAGCCACTGCTCCTCTTAACTTATTTATGTTAGTCTTCTCAGGACCTGGCAAAGCACTTTGAGCACACTGTTAATTTCTTTTTAAAATTAAAATTACTCATATTTAGAAATTACCCTTAAAAGGAACTTTTCATTACCATTTAGTTCTTTATTTGTAAATCTCCTTTTTGATTTCTTAGAAAACCAAAGTAATATGATGGTCATAATCACTTTGACAAACATTTAAAAAATGTCTACACTGTTTACATACAATTGAGGTACAGAAAAATTTAATAATTGGTTCAATACTCATCAACTAAGTGAACTGTATAATAGAGCTAGAGTGATGTTTCCTGATTGTACTTCTTCAGTGCTGCACTGCCATAGAGCCATCAGTGAGGACTAGCTGAGATTATGAGAGCCAACCAAGTCTTCAAGTCTCATTTGAAGTATGAGGTCATAACCTGACTCCTACTTGACACATTTCTAAGCTTAGTGGCTAATATAATTTTAAACAAGTCTCAAGTAAATTATTTGAAGTTAGACAAGTCTAGCCAATGTTTAAATAGCAACTGATTTCTCAGTATCCTAGGAAACTGCATCAAAAGTAGGGACTCAAAGACTCTTTAAATAGAGGGAATGTCAGGATCTCTTCAAGCTTCAAAATCAAGGGTACTATTAATTAACAGTTTGTGTGGGTAAGCATGACAACATAGCAGAGTAAAATTAAGAATATACACAAATGAATGCCTTTTGCTAAAGAACAAATCTAACCAAATTGAACAAAATAAAAAAGTAATTATCTTTCTAATCTAACTTGCCTACGATTTTACCATAATTTTTACTACTGTATATTAGTCTATAAAAGGACCCCATACTAGTAACATCCTACAGTTATAGTAAAATATATGATATTGAATGTCAATCTATTTCATAGGATAAATTTTTCTGTTTTTACAGAATTTACTTGTACAAAGAATGAATACATTAGCCTAAAAATCCTCACTAGTTCTTATAGTTATTTGAGTGCATTACTATTATTAGTATCTATGTTAATAATATATATAAGGCGTTAGTATTATAAACAGTAAAAAATCACATATTAATCATGTTTATTAGACTGAAAAATCATTAAGTGTGCAGGTAATAAGTGTTCCAGATTACTTAAGCATTTTTCAATATTTCATGTTCCCAAGATTCTTTTAGCTCTTTCTTCTCTCCTCTCTGGCTTGACAGGAAACTTGCTATTTTGTGTTATATTCACCTATTATTATGCATTAACAAGCAGGTGATAATTAGTGGTGGTATTGAAACTAATTGTAAAATGATTGAAACCATAAGATGACCTCTACTGCTTTAGAAGTAGTTTGACTGGAGCCAGTAAATAGATTTTTGTTTACCCTGCATTCCACAGTCCAAGAGTTCTGGTGGCAGTTCGGCGACTGTTTTTCGTCACAAAGACTGTTGCAGGATTCGAGACATTGCCCTAGAACATGCTGCCCCCTGTTGGCCATTTAAAGCAGGGCACGTTCAGAAGGATCCTAGCGGAGCCTGCAGTGTAATTTCTCATTCCCAGTAACACATAATTTCTGGACATAGAAATTTGGATTTTAAATGTCTAAAGGCTTTATCAAATATTTTAATTATAAATAAAAATTATATAACATCCTAAGGAACCAAATAATCTTGAATACTTTCTACAAAATACTTGAATATAAAGATGCTGTAAAAGAATAAATTTTATGGCCGAGTGCAGTGGCTCACTCCTGTAATCCCAGCACTTTGGTAGGCCGAGGCCGGCGGATCACCTGAGGTCAGGAGTTCGAGACCAGCCTAGCTAAGATAGTGATACCCCGTTTCTACCAAAAATACAAAAAATTAGCCGGGCGTGGTGGCGAGCACCTGTAATCCCAGCTACTCGGGAGGCTGAGGCAGGAGAATTGCTTGAACCTGGGAGATGGAGGTTGCAGTGAGCCGAGGTTGCACCATTGCACTCCAGCTTGGGCAACAAGAGCGAAACTCCATCCAAACAAAAACAAAAAACAAACAAAAAAAACCAAATTTTATTATAGCTACTTTTGAGTTATATGAACAGAGAAAGAAAATTAGCCCTGAAGAATTTGTTTACTAGAATTTTACAGTGAATCTCCTAAGGCTGAATTTCTCGTAAACTTATTTAGTCTTATAAATTCAGCATCACTTATTAAGTGATGGTGTATGTGAAAACTAAATAACTTTGGCCTAAATGAAAATGTTGGGTATTTAAAATGTCATTAATATACAAAATATTACTATGTCTTAATTTTTAAATACTTAATTAAATTCAAAAAATGTTTATTGAGCATCAATGAGCCAGGCACTGTACTAGGTTCTGTGAATACCACAGTACCAGTTGACCCTTGAACAACTTGGGGGTTAGGGGAACTCATACACCTACATATAGGTAAAAAATCTGCATATCGGCCAGACACAGTGGCTCACACCTGTAATCCCAGCACTCTGGGAGGCTGAAGTGGGGGTATTGCTTGAGTCCAGGAGCTCAGGACCAGCCTGGGCAACATAACAAAACCCCATCTCTACTAAAAATATAAAAAATTAGCCAGGCGTGGTGGCACACACCTGAGTACCAGCTACTTGGGAGGCTGAGGTAGGAGAATCACCTGAGCCTCAGAGGTTGAGGCTGCAATGAGCTGAGATCACGCCACCACACTCCAGCCTGGGTGACAGAGAGAGAACCTGTCTCAAAAAAAAAAAAAAAAGCATATAATTTTTTTTTTTTTTTTTGAGACAGAATCTCACTCTGTTGTCCAGGCTGGAGTGCAGTGGCATACCATAGCTCACTGCAGGCTTGAACTCCTGGGCTCAAATGACCCCCCTGCCTCAGCTTCTGAGTAATTGGGATTATAGGTGTGTACCACCAGGCCAGACTGACATATACATATACATTTTTTGTGGGGAGAGTGATGGGGGAGTCTTGCTAAGTTGCTCAGGCTGGTCTTGATGTCTGGCCTCAAGTGCTCCTCATGCCTTGGTGTCAGCGTCCCAAAGTGCTGGGATTACAGGCATGAACCACAGTGCCCCAGCCCACAGTCGACTCCCCCCAAACTTAACTACTGATAGCCTACTGTTGGCTGCAAGCCTTGCCCATAACATAAACAGTTGATTAACATATATTTTGTATGTTATATGATTATATACTGTATTCTTATAATAAAGTAAGCTAGAGAAAAGAAAATGTTATTAAGAAAATCATAAGGAAGAGAAATATATTTACTATCCATTAAGTGGAAGTGGATCATCATAAAGGTCTTCAACCTTCTCATCTTCATGTTGAGTAGGCCGAGGAGTAGGAGGAAGTGGAGGGGTTGGTCTTGCTGTCTCAGGGATGGCAAAGGTTGAAGAAATCCACATATAAGCAGGCCCACAGAGTTCAAAAATTGTTTTTTGTTTAAGGGTCAACTGTAAATAAAAGACACATGGACTGGGCCTCTAGAATCCATCTAGGGTAAGACAGAGACATCAAGAGTATTCTAGAACAACAAAAGTAGGTAGAGTTTAGAGTGCTTGGGAAGAATTGAGGAAGAACTCTGAACCCCAACTTAGATTATGGAAAATAAGAAACAAACCAGATGTATTAGTCCATTTTCATGCTGCTATAAAGAACTGCCCAAGACTGGATAACTGATAAAGGAAAGAGGTCTAATTGACTCCCAGTTCCGCATGGCTGGGGAGGCCTCCAGGAAACTTAAAATCATGGAGGAAAGGGAAGCAAACACATCCTTTTTCACATGATGGCAGGAAGGAGAGGTGCCAAGCAAAGAGGAAAAAGACCCTTATAAAACCATCAGATCTCATGAGAACTCACTCACTATCATGAGAACTGCATGGGGTAAACCGCCCCCATGTTTCAGTTACCTCCCACTGGAGCCCTCCCATGACATGTGGGGATTATTGGAACTACAATTCAAGATGAGATTTGGGTGGGGATATAGCTAAACCATATCACCAGATTAATGTAAATTTTTTTAATTGGTAAGCTACTTTATAGCTGACAAATACAGACTTAAATTTACATCTTCGACAATTTTTTTTTTTTTTTGAGACGGAGTCTTGCTCTGTTGCCTAGGCTGGAGTGCAGTGGCAGGATCTCGGCTCACTGCAACCTCTGCCTCCCGGGTTCAAGTGATTCTCCTGCCTCAGCCTCCTAAGTAGCTGGGACTACAAGTGTGCACTACCACGCGTAGCTAATTTTTGTATTTTTAGTAGAGATGGGGTTTCACCATGTTGGGCAGGCTGGTCTCGATCTCCTGACCTCGTGATCCACCCACCTCTGTCCCCCAAAGTGCTGAGATTACAGGCATGAGCCACCGTGCCCAGCCCCACAAAAAATTTAAACTCCAATTTTATATTGTCAGATTTCCATCTAAAGAGTATGTTTCATTGTAAAATTTCCTCTTCTCTTGAAGAGAAAACTTAACTTCAGAAAAATTGTGAATTCTTTTCATGGTTTAGATGTAAATAATTTAACTTAATAACTAAAGCTTAGACAGAAATGACTAGCAGTTATAAAAGTGTGTATGTTTATAATCTCTCTGGACTTAATAGTCAGTGTTTCAGGAATGATCATGTTTACTTTTTGTGGTCACTTACCAATATTATAATTATGCTGTCCCCCATCTTATAATTTAGGTTAATGTTTTGTAAAGACTTCTTCTCTAAATAGATTTTGTTTGTTTGTTTGTTTTGAGACAGAGTCTCACTCTGTCACCCAGGCTGGATTACAGTGGAGTGATCTTGGCTTACTGCAACCTCCACCTCCCAGGTTCAAGCGATTCTCATGCCTCAGCCTTCCGAGCAGCTGGGATTACAGGCATGTGCCATCACATCTGGCTAATTTTTGTATTTTTTGTAGAGACATGGTTCTGCCATGTTGGCCAAATTGGTCTTGAACTCCTGGCCTCAAGGGATCTGCCTTCCTTGGCCTCCCAAAGTGCTGGCAAGGCAGAAGAATAGGGTCTGGAGGCAGAGAACCTAAGGCCAATTCACACTGACTTCCTAGAAGTAAAGCAAAAGGAAAGGACCAGAGGCTATTCCCTTTGTATTGCCCCTGCTTTTCTGCCTGGCAGATGAAAAATTGAAAGTACCTCTGATTGGTCCCCTCATGCAACCAATCAGGCTGGTAGTGGGCCAAGTCTTCATTTGCATAGGAGTATAACTTTGTAACTTCACTTAAGCCTCTGATTGGTTGCTTTCCAAAACCAATCAGACGTTTGCATAGGATGTAACTCTGTAACTTCACTTCAGCCTTTGATTGGCTGCTTTCTGCAACCACTAGGACTGGTTCATTTACATAGGGTGTACATCAAGTCACCAACAGGAAATTTCTACAGGGTATTTAAGCCCCAGAAAATTATTTAACTGGGGCTCTTAAGCCCCTATGCTCAGGCCCATTCCTGCCCTGTGGAGTGTACTTTTGTTTTCAATAAATCTCTGCTTTTGTCGATTCATTCTTTCCTTGCTTTGTTTGTGCATTTTGTCCAATTCTTTGTTCAAGACGCCAAGAATCTGGACACCCTCCACCAGTAACACTGGGATTACAGGCATGAGCCAGGGCTCCTGGCCTCTAAGTCAATTTTTATTTCTGTAGGTCTATAAGTTTTGGGAATACAGTTCCCTCCTGCTTTTAAATTGTGTATTTAAAATGAAAGGAAAAGTTGCCAGTTTGGAATGAATAAAATAAATAAATAAATAAATAAACAAATAAACAAGCACACACACACAGAGTACACACATATAATGACCTGCTGGAATATTTTTCTCAAACTTTAGTTACTCCTGTAATGAACTGCAGATCTTTGATATTTTTCTACTATTCACCTGTCTACTGCAAAGCCTTTTTCTCCTCTCCTACAATTGCTTACCTTCATTGTTATCTTTTTCTTATGTTTTATGTTCCTTTAATATAGTATGGCATTGCTAGGTCTCAGAATTTTATATGGTTCAATTGTTAATACCTTTAAGATTTGCAAAAAATTATACGATGTTCATGTTTTATTTTATTTTACTTTACCATTATTAGTTTTTTAGACAAGGCCTGGCTCTGTCACCCAGAGTGTAGTGGCACAATCATGGCTCACTGCAGCTTTCGCCTTCTGGGCTCAAGGATTCTCCTGCTTCAGCCTCCCAAGTATCTGGGATTGAAGGTATGTGCCCCCACACCTGGCTAATTTTTGTATTTTTTGTAGAGTCGGAGACTTGACATGTTGCCCAGACTGGTCTTGAACTCCGGAGCTCAAGCAATCTTTCCACCTCAACTTCCCAAAGTGCTGGGATTATGGCATGAGCCACTGCGCCAAGCCCATTGTTCGTATTTTAAAGTAAATTTTAACTAATTTCTTAGACAGCTGAATGGGAAGTCATCTTTCAGCATTTTAATCCAGGGGCTTTTTGTAGTATCTTAAGTCTCCTGGTCTCCGATTAGAAGGTGTTTTCCAGAATATTTTCAGTCTAAAAAAGAATCTCTTGGGATATTTTTTAGTGGAGGTTAAAATGAATAAAATAACATTTTCTCATCTGCTTAAATGTTGTTGTAATCCAATTTTTGAACAGATAAATTTTTTAATGGTTCAAAAAATTGCAAAAGGTATAAGATGAAAAATTGTAATTACCTATTCATTTCCCACTTACCTGCCTACCCTCTGGATAGCCAGCATAATTGGTTTATTATAAGTCATTCCAGAGTTTCTTTATGTCTGCAGAAGCAATGAAAAAATACGTTTCCTTATTCTACCCCTTTTACTCAAAAGGTAGCATACTATACACCCGGTTTTCACTTTGCTTTTTAGAAAGCTAATAATATACCTAAAGATCTTTCCATATTATTTACTTAAAGAGCTTTCTCAGTTTTTTTACAATTGCCTAATATTCTATAACATATAATTTATTAAACCATAATTTATTCAATCAGCCTCCTAGTGATGAAAATTTAGGTTGTTTCCAATGTTTCACTGTTATAAGCAACGTTATAAGAAATAACCATATGCATTTCAAAAGAAGATTATTGACCTGTTATTGTGTTATATGAGTATTTTTTCCTCTTTTTTTTTTTCAGTTTTTGGATTTGTTTTTGTTTTTACCATGCAGAACTTCTTGATTTTCACATAGTGAATTTTATTATTTGTTTCTTCTATGGGTTCTTCATTTTGTGTCATGGTTAGAAAAGTCTTTCTTACTTCAAGATTATAAAAAAAATTATATTTTCTTCTAGAATTTTATTGTTATATTTTCACATCTAAATATTTGATCCATTTAGAATTTGTCCTGATGTAGAATGTGGGTGTAACATATATATTTTTCTAGGTGGCTATCTAATTATTACAATGCCATTTATTAAATAGTTCATCGTTCCCCCCATTAATTTCAGATGACAACCTTTTCATATACTAACTCCCCATATGCGCTTGACTTATTTCTTGGCTTCATGTTTTATTCTTTTCCTCTGGATTTGTCTGGCTATACATGTGCCACTTTTCCTAATTGTCTTTTGAGCTATTAAACATTAATATGGTTTTCATTTATTTTTGTTTGATGAATAACAAGGGGTTGTAAGCATCCTGTGCTTTGGAAGGCATATTTTGATCATTAAGGTAAGGTGTGAATAAAGTCAGATGATAAGCCTGCTTGTGCCTGCACCTTGGCATACTCAGTGTCTAGTCCTTTTGTGTTTATCCTGAAGGACAATGTTTTCTAAGATGTGATGGAGAAATGCTGAAAACATTTTATTAGTCATGTAGGCTCTGGATAATAGTTGTATAATTTGGACATGCACTAGATCATGCAAATAATCAAAGATTGAAAGAAGGATTGATCTTGCCCAGCTCTACAACACAGGAAAAACAGAAATATAAGAGTAATCACTTAGTACTCACAGAACGGTTTTTCTTTTATTTTTTTTTCTTTTTTATTTATTTTATTATTTTGACTTTTAAGTTCAGGGGTACAAGTGATTTGTTACAAAGGTAAACTTGTGTCATGGAGGTTTGTCATACAGATTATCACCCAGATATTAAGCCTAGTACTCATTAGTTATTTTTTAAGATCTTCTCCCTTCTCCTACCCTTCACCCTCCAAAAGGCCCCTGTTTGTGTTGTTCTCCACTATGTGTCCATGTGTTCTCATCATTTAGCTTCCACTTATAACTGAGAACATGTGGTATTTGGTTTTTTTGTTCCTGTGTTAGTTTGCTAAGGATAATGGCCTCCAGCTCCATCCATGTCCCAGCAAAGGACATGATTTTGTTCTCTTTTGTGGATGCATAGTATTCCATGGTATATATGTACCACATTTTCTTTATCCAATCTGTCATTGATGGGCATTTGACTTGGTTTCATGTCTTTGCTATTGTGAATAGTGCTGCAAAAACATACACATGCATGTGTCTTTATGGTAGAATGATTTATATTCCTTTGGGTATAATGGGATCCCAGTAATGGGATTGCTGATTGAATGGTATTTTTGTCTTTATGTCTTTGAGGAATCACCACACTGTCTTCCACAATGGCTGAACTAATTTACACTCCCGCCAACAGTGTATAAGCTATCCCCTTTCTCCACAGCCTCACCAGCATCCGTTATCTTTTGATTTTTTTTAATAATAACAATGTCAGCAAAAAGTCTCAGGATACAAAATTAATGTGCAAAAGTCACTAGCATCCCCATACACCAACAATAGTTAAGCCAAGGACCAAATCAGGAATGAACTCCCATTCACAATTGCCACAAAAGAAATAAAATACATAGTAACACGGCTAACTAGGGAGGTGAAAGATCTCTACAAGGAGAACTACAAAACACTGCTCAAAGAAAACACAGAAGACGCAAACAAATGGAAAATCATCCCATGATCATGGATAGGTAGAATCAATTTTATTAAAACAGTCATATTGCCCAAAGCAATTTATAGATTCAATGCTATTACTATTAAACCACTATTGACATTCTTCCCAGATCTAGAGAAAACTATTTTACAATTCATATGGAACAAAAACAGAGCCTGGATAGCCAAGGCAATCCTAAGCAAAAAGAAAAAACCTGGAGGCATCACACTATTCAACTTGAATCTATATCATAAGGCTATAGTAACCAAAACCAGCATGGTACTGGTACAAAAACAGACACATAGACCAATGGAACAGAATAGAGATCCCAGAAATAAGACCACATACCTGCAACTATCTGATCTCTGACAAATCTGACAAAAGCAAGCAATGGGGAAAGGATTCCTTATTCAATAAGTGATGCAGAAGAATTGGCTAGCCATATGCAGAAGATTGAAACTGGACCACTTCCTTACACCATATACAAAAATTAACTTGAAATACCTTAAATGTAAAACCCAAAACTATAAAAATCCTGGAAGACAACCTAGACGATACCATTCAAGACATAGGCACAGGCAAAGATTTCATGATGAAGACGCCAAAAGCAATTGCAACAAAAGCAAAAAGTGACAACTGGGATCTAAGTAAACAGTTTTTCTTTTGATATGTTATTTCAGTTATTTCTTACCATAACTTGGTAGATACTGTTATTTTATGGATGACGAAGTCACAGATTGGTTAAATGAGCCCAAGTTCACACAGACAGTGTTAGAGCCTAAATTTCAAGTTTGGCATTTTTTTTTCCTATTTGTTTTTTGTTTTGTTTTTGAGATAAATAAATATTCACAGTTAGCTGCAAAAATGGTAGAGAGGTCCTATGTACACTTTACCAAGTTTTCCCCAGTGGTTTTGTCATTGGAGAAGATGCACATAAGATGTAAACATTTATATAATTTATATAACCATCTTATTTAACCGTAAGTTGCAGCAATTGGGGAAACTGGGTAAAGAGTTACATCTCATTAGAGAGTACAATATTAAAACTAGGAGGATTCTGGGAAGATGGCAGAGTAAAAAGTCTCAGGAATCTGTCTCCTCACCTAGACAGCAACTGCACCGGCAGAATCTGTCTGATGTAAATATTTTTGGAACTCTGGCATCTATTGAATTGAAGGCTTACAACTCCTATAGAATGGCTTGCACAAGTAAATTGCGGTTAAGTTAAATCAATTTCAGCCCTTAGGACAGTAACAGTTCATATCCCCTTTCACTCGCGTCCATGTGAAGAGACCACCAAACAGTCTTTGTGTGAGAAATAAAGCTTTTTAATCACCTGGGTGCAGGCAGGCTGAGTCCTAAAAGAGAGTCATCGAAGGGAGATAGGGGTGGGGCCGTTTTATAAGATTTGGGTAGGTAAAGGAAAAAAGTGGGGTTGTTCTCTGGTGGGCAGGGGTGGGGGGGTCACAAGGTGCTCAGCAGGGGAGCTTTTGAGCCAGGATGAGCCAGGAGAAGGAATTTCACAAGGTAATATCATCAGTTAGGGCAGGAACAGGCCATTTTCACTTCTTTGTGGTGGAATGTCATCAGTTAAGGCAGGAATTAGCCATCTGGATGTGTACGTGCAGATCACAGGGGATATGACGGCTTAGCTTGGGCTCAGAGGCCTGACATTCCTGTCTTCTTATATTAATATGAAAAATAAAACGAAATAGTGGTAAAGTGAGTGTTGGGGTGGTGAAAATTTTTGGGAGTGATATGGAGAGAAATGGACGATGTTTCTCAGGGCTGTTTCAAGCGGGATTGGGGAGGTGTGGGAACCTAGAGTGGGAAAGATTAAGCTGAAGGAAGATTTTGTGGTAAGGGATGATATTGTGGGGTTGTTAGAAGAAACATTTGTCATGTAGAATTATTGGTGATGGCCTAGATATGGTTTTGTATGAATTGAAAAACTAAACAGAATAAGAGAAGGAGAAAAACAGGTATTAAAGGACTAAGAATTGAGGACCCAGGACATCCAATTAGAGAGTACCCAAGGGGGGTTCAGCGTAATTACTTGCTTGGTTGGCAAGTTTTTGGGCTCTATCCTGAAGTTTTTTTATGTTGTCATACACCAGGTCAGATTGATTTAGGTAAAAATAACAGTCTTCATTTAAGAATATACAGAGTTGTCCTTTTTCAGCAGTGAGTAAGTCAAGGCCTCAGCGGTTTTGGAGGACAACTGCAGCTAAAGAGTAAACTTGGGCCTGGAGGACTGATAAAGTTTGTGATATGTCTGTGATGCTAGCAGAGAAGTCATTAGAGAGGCTGTGGAAGGTCGTGACAGAGGTTGAAACGCCTGCTATTCCAGTACCGAGAGCAATAGTGGAGGCAGAAAGTCCTAAACTGACAAGCAAGGGAATTCATGGAATAACTCTTTTTTGTCATGTTGGTGTCATGAGGGGGAACAGGGAGCTCTTCGGTCCTATTTGCAAATTGAATTTTGGGACTAAGAAAAACTAGTGTGCATGTGCCTGTCCAATTAGCAGGTAGACACGTGTAGGCAGAGGATCCACAGAGGAAGAATAGACCTTGTGCTAGGCAAAACTGGAGATGCAAAGTAAAAAGATGAGAAGGAGTGCTGAAAGGGGTGTCTTGTACCCAGACTCCTAGGGATCCAGCTAGGACGGCAGCTGTCAGAGGTTGTAATGGGGACTGATGAGGTAACTACGTAGAGGGGGAGGTTCAATTTTCATGGTGTAAGAGAAAATCGTCGAGTGTCTACGAGCAACCTTTCACTGTTATTTTCGGGGCTGGGTATAAGTAAACAAGAAGAGGGCCTGGGAGGAGAGTCTGATGAGCAAGGGGAAGGTAGCCAAGGATGGAGTGAAATACAGGGTGTCTTCCTAAGCAATAATTACTGCTAATGTTTTTAAGTTTGCCAGTATTGATAGAGGGCTTGTCTGTAATACGGAGCTGGAAGGCTCCAATTGTTTCAGTGATGTGTGTAGTTAGGCTTTGGAGATGAAGAGTGAAGGAACATTGAGAAGGTGAAAGGTTACTTAGGGGAATTCCAGTGGGTCTTTGCCCAAAGATACATAAAGGAGTGGCCACAGGAGTAGTAGTTTGTGTTGTGAGAAGTGTAAATATGGGAGGAGTAGAGTTGACATAAGGAGAAAAGTTTTTTAAGTAAGTACGGAGGGGGGCGGCAGCTTGCTGATGTGAAATGTCTGGGGAGGTCTTGCTGGACCTGTCTAGAAAGTAAATGAGTTCTTCGGGAGGGAAGTTCGGAGGTGTAGGGAAACAGGGGATGTTGCCTAGTCTGCATGTAAGGCGGGGACAGCTGTGTAGGCGCTAGAAGAAAGGGAAATGCAAAGCCAGCGTTTGTTCACTAAGGAGGGATTACAAATGGCTAGGAGAGAGTGAGTGAGATTGATAGTGTGGTGGAGATAGCTGGGGAGAGGTAGAGGGTAGCATGAGAATAGGAATGAGAATAAGAGTGAGTATAAAAGTAAAGAACAGAACTTCATCAGGGTGAAAGTATTGGAGGGTCCCCTGCCAGCAAAGATCATCAGTCCACTCTAACAGGGAGTTAAGAGTTGTCATTCCTGGGTGGGGGCAAATCCACGAGCTTGATGTGTAGGGAAGGGAGGGGGCCTGAATAATCCCTGAGGAGTAGTAGAATAGCAGATGGAACACTGAGAAGTTATTTCCTTGAGCATAGATTTCCATGATGGAAAGGAAATGAGGGGTTCTAAGAGGCGGGCTAGTGGCTTCTACTATAGCATAGCCTGCCTTTGCTGGTGTGTGGCAATTAGGCCTGGTGGAACTGCCAACAATAAACCAAGTGTGATCAGGGTGAGGAACAGGAAAGAAAGAAATATGGGGAAATGGGGTGAATGTCAGGTGGATCAGAGAGATAACAGTCATGGGGGTCAGGTGTGGTATCAGGAATAATGTGGGAGGCCGGATTGAAGTCCGGGCCAGGAACAATGGTAATTGTGGGATACTCAACAAAGAGTGAGTACAGCTGAAGGAGCTGGGTAGCAGAAAGTATATGTGTCAGGTGTGAGGGAGGAAGAAAATAGATTTTGGAAGTTATGAGAACTATAGAGAGTGAGTTGAGCCTAGTTTGTGATTTTAAGGGCCTCTAAAAGTATTAGGGCGGCAGCGGCCACCGCATGCAGACTTGAGGGCTAGGCAAAACAGTAAGGTCAAGTTGTTTGGATAAAAAGGCTACAGGGCGTGGTCCAAGTTCTTGTGTAAGAATTCTGACTGCACAGCCCTGCACTTCAGCTGTGGGTAATGAAAAGGGTTGGGATGAGTCATGGAGAGCTAGGGTGGGGGCATTCTCTAAAGCTGTCTTCAAGGAATGGAAAGAGGAGTGGGGAAAGGATTTAGGATCTATGGGGTCAGCTAGGTTTCCTTTTGTGAGTTTATATAATGGTTTTATTAGGATGACAAAACCAGGTTTCTGAAGTCAAAAGTATCCAACCATGCCTAGAAAGGAAAGGAGTTGTTGTTTTGTAGAAGGCGTTGGGGTTTGAGAGATCAGTCAGACACGATCGGCAGGGACAGCATGTGTGTTTTTATGAGAATTATGCTGAGATAGGTAACAGATGAGGAAGAAATTTGGGCTTGACTGAAGTAATGGGGGCTGTCTGTGAAGCCTTGCGGGAGTACAGGCTAGGTAATTTACTGAGCCTGATGGGTGTCAGGGTCAGTCCAAGTGAAAGCGAAGAGAGGCTGGGATGAAGGGTGCAAAGCAATAGTAAAAAAGCGTGTTTGAGATCCAGAACAGAATAATGGGTTGTGGAGGGAGGTATTGAGGATAGGAGAGTATATGAGTTTGGCACCACAGGGTGGATAGGCAAAACAATTTGGTTGATAAGGTGCAGATCCTGAACTAACCTGTAAGACTTGTCTGGTTTTAGGACACGCAAAATGGGGGAATTATAAGGGGAGTTTATAGGCTTTGAAAGGCCATGGTGTAACAGGCAATGATAACAGAATTTAATCCTTTTAAAGCATGCTGTGGGATGGGATATTGGCATTGAGTGGGGTAAGGGTGATTAGGTTTTAATGGGATGGTAAGGGGTGCATGATCAGTCGCTAAGGTGGGAGTAGAGGTGTCCTATACTTGTGGGTTAAGGTGGGGAGATACAAAGGGAAGATGTGAAGGAGGCTTTGAACTGGGGGAAAAGGCGGCAATGAGGTGTCGGTGTAACCCAGGAATAGTCAGGGAAGCAGATAATTTAGTTAAAGTGTCTCGGCCTAATAAGGGAACTGGGCAGGTGGGGATAACTAAAAAGGAGTGCTTAAAAGAGTATTGTCTAAGTTGGCACCAGAGTTGGGGAGTTTTAAGAGATTTAGAAGCCTGGCCGTCAATACCCACAACAGTTATGGAGGCAAGGGAAACGGGCCCTTGAAAAGAAGGTAATGTGGAGTGGGTAGCCTCCATATTGATTAAGAAGGGGATGGACTTACCCTCCACTGTGATAATTACCCAGAGCATCTGTGATGGTCCTGTAGGCTTCCGAGGCAATCGGGAAGTGTCAGTCTTCATCTGCTGAGCCGAGAAGATCTGGGAAGGAGTCAATCAGAGAGCCTTAGGCCAGAGTTCCAGGGGCTCTGGAAGTGGCTGCCAGGTGAGTTGAACAGTCCAATTTTCAGCGGGGTACTGCACAGATGGGACATGGCTTAGGAGGAATCCCGGGCTGTGGGCATTCCTTGGCCCAGTGGACAGATTTCCAGCACTTGTAGCAAGCTCCTGGGGGAGGAGGTTCTGGAGGAACCCCTGGCAGCTGTGGTTCAGGCGTTTGGAGTTCTTCTGTGCTGGAGATATGGCTGGGGCTTGTCTCACAGGGGAGGCAAGGAATTGCAACTCAGAAATACATTGCTACTTGGCTGCCTCTACTTTATTATTGTACACCTTGAAGGTGAGGTTAATTAAGTCCTATTGTGGGGTTTGAGGGCTGGAATTTAATTTTTGGAGCTTTATTTAATGTCGGGAGCAGATTGGGTAATAAAATAAAATGCATATTGAGAATAAGACGGCCTTCTGACCTTTCAGGGTCTAGGGCTGTAAAGCGTCTCAGGGTTGCTGCTAAAGGGGCCATGAACTGGGCTGGGTTTTTCATATTTGATGAAAAAGAGCCTAAGCACTAACTGATTTGGGAGAGACCAGATAAAGAAAAAGGGAGTATTAACCTTGACTATGCCTTTAGCTCCAGCCACCTTTTTAAGAGGAAATTGCTGGACAGGTGGCGGAATGAAACTGTTAGCCGGACCGGGTGTGAGGAGGGGGAGATGATAAAAGGATTATAGGGTGGAGGAGCAGAGGCTGAGGAAGAATTGGGACCTAGCTCGGCCTGGTGAGGAGGGGAGAGGTCAGATGGGTCTGTAGAAAAGGAAGATTAGAAAGACTCAGTGACGCTTGGGGTTGGGACTGAGGGGACAGGCGGGAAGGAAAGAAGGAAGATTTGGGACAAGTTCCATTGGGAACAGAGACTAGGAAGGGACCGATGTGTAAAAGAATGCCTGGACATCAGGCACCTCAGACTGTTTGCCCATTTTACGACAAGAATTATTTAGATCTTGTAGGATGGAAAAATTGAAAGTGCCATTTTCTGGCTATTTGGAACCACTGTCGAGTCTGTATTGGGGTCAAGCAGCATTGCAGAAGAAAATAAGGCATTTAGGTTTTAGGTCAGGTGTGAGTTGAAGAGGTTTTAGGTTTTTAAGAACACAGGCTAAGGGAGAAGAAGGAATAGAGGGTGGAAGGTTGCCTTTAGTGAAGGAGGCAAGTCCAGAGAAAAGAGAGGGTAGAGACACGGAGTGAAGGGGTGTGGAGTGCTTGCCCCCCAGGAAAGTGGTGAAGGGGTAGAGACACAGAGAGAAGGGGTCAGGGGGTTCTTGCCCCTCAGAAAAGCGGTACTTGCCTCTAAGGGTGAAGGACCAAGGCAGGCGTCCCCACGTGGTCAGACACCTCTGAAACGTGGGTGAATAATCAGGCAAGCATCCCCGCGTGATTAAACACCAAGGGAAGACTGTCTTCCCGAGTCTGTGACTGGTGCCAGAGTATCGGGTTCATGGATAAAACGGGTCTCCTTTGTCTCTACCAGAAAAGGAAAGGAACTGAAATTAAGAGAAGGGAGAGATTGAAGTGTGGCACCAAGATTGAAAGGAGAGAGGTTGAGGGATAATGAGAGAGGTTGGAGAAGAGAGTAAAGAGAGGCCGCTTACCTGATTTAAAATTGGTGAAATGTTCCTTGGGCTGGTTGGTCTGAGGACCCGAGGTTGTAGGTGGATCTTTCTCACGGAGCAAAGAGCAGGAGGACAGGGGATTGATCTCCCAAGCGAGGTCCCCCGATCTGAGTCACGGCACCAAAATTTCATTCGCGTCCATGTGAAGAGACCACCAAACAGTCTTTGTGTGAGAAATAGAGCTTTTTAATCACCTGGGTGCAGGCAGGCTGAATCCGAAAAGAGAGTCAGCGAAGGAAGATAGGGGTGGAGCTGTTTTATAACATTCGGGTAGGTAAAGGAAAAAAGGGGGGTTGTTCTCTGGCGGGCAGGGGTGGGGGTCACAAGGTGCTCACTGGGGGGAGATTTTGAGCCAGGATGAGCCAGGAGAAGGAATTTCACAAGGTAATGTCATCAGTTAAGGCAGGAACAGGCCATTTTCACTTCTTTTGTGGTGGAATGTCATCAGTTAAGGCAGGAACCGGCCATCTGGATGTGTCCATGCAGGTCACAGGGGATATGATGGCTTAGTGAAAGTGAAAAGTGACAACTGGGATATAAGTAAACAGTTTTTCTTTTGATATGTTATTTCAGTTATTTTTTACCATAACTTGGTAGATACTGTTATTTTATGGATGACAAAACCAAGTCACAGATTGGTTAAATGAGCCCAAGTTCACACAGACAGTAATAGAGCCTGAATTTCAAGTTTGGCAATTTTTTGTTTTTTTTCTTGTTTTTTGTTTTGTTTTTGAGATAACTAAATATTCACAGTTAGCTGCAAAAATGGTAGAGAGGTCCTATGTACACTTTACCAAGTTTTCCCCAGTGGTTTTGTCATTGGAGAAGATGCACATAAGATGTAAACATTTATATAACTTATATAGCCATCTTATTTAACCATAAGTTGCAGCAATTGGGGAAATTGGGTAAACAGTTACATCTCATTAGAGAGTACAACATTAAAACTAGAAGGATTCTGGGAAGATGGCAGAGTAAAAAGTCTCAGGAATCTGTCTCCTCACCTAGACAGCAACTGCACCAGCAGAATCTGTCTGATGTAAATACTTTTGGAACTCTGGCATCTATTGAATTGAAGGCTTACAATTTCTATAGAGTGGCTTGCACAAGTAAATTGCGGTTAAGTTAAATCAATTTCAGCCCTTAGGACAGTAACAGTTCATATCCCCCACCTCCAGTCCTGGGATAGTTAGTTATGTATTCCTGGAGCAGCTTGCACATAGCTTGTGGAAGCCAAGGAGGGCAAAAAGGACCCTGTTCTACAAATATGGGGGATCTGTACTCTGATTGCTGAGTGCTGCTTCTGATCACCTGGCTCCATTGTTGCTGCTTCTGCTACACCTCCCCCATTGTTGCAAACCTTTCTCCTTCTGGCTGAAGTGACATCCAGGGGATTTAAAGGGCCAGTTCTATATTTCCCCTACTCTTGAGTTTTTTTTTTTTTTCTCCCTTTTGGGAGCCAGACATTAAAGACTGGAACATTCAAAAGGAACTGGATATATGAGCACAATTGGAAAGTGACCATAGTTGCTTAGAAAAAGGCACTGGAACAGCCTACAACAATCAGAAAAACAAAAAGAATAACAGAAGCAATGGCAGACAAACAGCAAAAGGGAGAATATGATTTTCAGAGTTACCACATTATTTGATTTGAATGTCCAGTTTTCGACAACAACAAAATCACAAGGAAAACAAAGAAGCAGGAAAGTTTGGCTCATTTAAAAAATAAGCAGAAACTGTCCCTGAAAAAGACCTGATGGCAGATCTATTAGACAAAGATTTAAAAACCATTGTCTTAAAGATTCTCAAACAACAAAAGAAACGTGGAGAAAGTCAAGAAAATGATGCATGAGCAAAATGGGAGTATCAGTAAGGAAATAGGCTAAAATAAATAAATAAATTCTAGAGCTGAAAAATACAATAACAAATTAAATGTTCACTGAAGGGATTCGCAGGCAGGTTTGAGCAGGCAGAAGAAAGAATGAGCAAACTTGAAGGTAGGGCATGGAAATTATTGAGTTTGAGAAACAGAAAGAAAAAGGATTGAAGAAAAGTGAATAGAGCCTAAGGGACCTGTAGGGCACCATCAAGCAGATGGATGACTATACACATATCAGGAGTTTTAGAAGAAGAAGAGAGAAAGGGACAGAGAGAGTATTTGAAAAAAAAATGGCTTGGCCGGGTGCAGTGGCTCACGCCTGTAATCCCAGCACTTTGGGAGGCTGAGGCAGGTGGATTGCTTGAGGTCAGGAATTCAAGACCAGCCTGGACAACATGGTGAAACCCTGTCCCTACTAAAATACAAAAATTAGCTGATCGTGGTGGTGGGCACCTGTAATCCCAGCTACTAGAGAGGCTGAGGCAGGAGAATTGCTTGAACCCAGGAGGTGGAGGCTGCAGCAAGCCCAGATCGTGCCATTTCACTCCAGCCTAGGTGACAGAGTGAGACTCCATCTCAAAAAAAAAAAAAAAAAAAAGAAAGAAAGAAAGAAAAAAAGAATGGCTGAAAGTCCCCCAAATTTGATGAAAGGCATCAATATAAACATCCAAGAAGCTTAGAAAACTCCAAGTAAGATGAACTCAAAGAGACTTACACTGAAATACATTTTAATCAAACCATGAAAATACAAAGATAAAGAGAGAACCTTGAAAGCAGTAAGAAAGAAGTGATTCATCACTTTCAAGGGATCCTCAATAAGATTATCAGCTGATTTCTCATTAGAAACTTTGGGGGTTAGCAGAAGGGCTAGAAACTCTGTAGGCTGATATGTAAAACACAGGTAACAAAAGAAAAAATAGACAAATTAGACTACATGAAAATTTAAAAATTGGCCAGGCATGATGGCTCATGCCTATAACCCCAGCACTTTGAGAGGCCAAGGCAGGAGAACTGCTTGAGCTCAGGAGTTCAGACCAGCTTGGGCAACATAGTGAGGCCTCATCTCTACTTAAAAAATAAAATTAGCTGGGTGTGGGGGCATGGGACTATAGTCTCAGCTACTTAGGAGGCTAAGATGGGAGGATTGCTTGGGCCTGGGAGATCAAGGCTGCAGTGAACTTGATCATGCCACTGCACTCCAGCCTGGGTGACAGAGCAGGACCCCATCTCAAAAAATAAAAAAAATTTTAAAAATTAAAGATTTTTGTGCATCAAAAGATAATGTCAAAAGAGTGAAAAAGCAACCTATAGCTGAGCACAGTAGTGTACACCTGTAGTCCCAACTGCTCAGGAGGCTGAGGCAGGAGAATCACTTGGGCCTAAGAATATGTGACCAGCCTGGGCAAAAAAGCAAGATCCCATCTCAAAAAAAAAAAAAAAAAAAACTAAGGGCAACTTACAGAATGAGAGAAAATATTTGCAAATCATATATCTGATAAGAGGTTGATATTCAGAATAAGTAGAGAATTCCTAAAGCTCAACAACAACAACAATCCAATTCAAACATGGGCAAGGGACTTGAATAGACATTTCTCCACAGAAGATGTACAAATAGCCAATATGCACATGAAAAGCTAATTATTAGGGAAATGCAATCAAAAATATAATGAGATACCATCTCATACCCATTAAGATAGTTACTACCAATTAAAAAAAAACAGAAATAACAAGTGTTGTGAGGATGTGGAAAATTTAGAATCTTTGTGGACTGTTGGTGGTAATGTAAAATGGTCTAGTTGCTGTGGAAAACAATATTGTGGTTTCCTCAAAAAATTTTAAATAGAATTACTATGTGACCCAGCAATTCCACTTATGAGTATATACTCAAAGGAATTGAAAATACAGACTTAAAGCGATATTTCTAAACCCATGTTCATAGCAGCAATAGTCACAATAGCTAAAACATGGAAGCAGCCCAATTGTCCATCATGGATGAATAGATAGACAAAATGTGATGTATCCATATAATAGAACATTATTCAGTCTTAAAAAGAGGGCTATTCTGACATATGCTACTACATGGATGAACCATCAGGACATCACACTAAGTGAAATAAGCCAGTCACAAAAGGACAAATTCCTCTGTTTTTCTCTTTTGCCTTATTGTGAGTTATTAAAACACTTTTAAATAACATTTGGCCGGGCGCAGTGGCTCAGTGCCTGTAATCCCAGCACTTTCGGAGGCCGAGGCAGGCAGATCACAAGGAGATCGAGACCATCCTGGCTAACATGGTGAAACCCCATCTCTAATAAAAATACAAAAAAATTAACCGGGCATGGTGGCAGGCTCCTGTAGTCCCAGCTACTCGGGAGGCTGAGGCAGGAGAATGGCATGAACCTGGGGGGCGGAGCCTGCAGTGAGCCGAGGTGGCGCCAGTGCACTCCAGCCTGGGCGACAGAGAGAGACTCCGGCTCAAAAAAAAAAAAAAAATCCATTTTAATTTATCTGTGGTGTTTTAATTGCATGTCTTTGTTTTGTTTTCTTAGTGGTTGCTCTAGGTGTTATATCACACACACACACATATATGTATGTGTATATATATATATACAACCTATTGTAGTCTACTGGTATTGACATTTAACCGTTCAAATAAAGTATAGAAACCTTACTTTTTAAAAGCCCCTTTACCCCCATTTATCATGTAATGATCTTAAATTATCTCCCCTACCTGTATTAAGAAACAAATCAAATGATGTTAACATTTCTTTTGCTTCAACAATCAAACACAATTTGGAAAACTCAAGAGGTAAAGGAACATCTGTTGTATTTACTCCAATTTTTACTTTTCTTTTTTTTTATTATTATACTTTAAGTTTTAGGGTACATGTGCACATTGTGCAGGTTAGTTACATATGTATACATGTGCCATGCTGGTGCGCTGCACCCACTAACTCGTCATCTAGCATTAGGTATATCTCCCAATGCTATCCCTCCCCCCTCCCCCCACCCCACCACAGTCCCCAGAGTGTGATATTCCCCTTCCTGTGTCCACGTGATCTCATTGTTCAATTCCCACCTATGAGTGAGAATATGCGGTGTTTGGTTTTTTGTTCTTGCGATAGTTTACCGAGAATGATGGTTTCCAGTTTCATCCATGTCCCTACAAAGGACATGAACTCATAATTTTATATGGCTGCATAGTATTCCATGGTGTATATGTGCCACATTTTCTTAATCCAGTCTATCATTGTTGGACATTTGGGTTGGTTCCAAGTCTTTGCTATTGTGAATAATGCCGCAATAAACATACATGTGCATGTGTCTTTATAGCAGCATGATTTATAGTCATTTGGGTATATACCCAGTAATGGGATGGCTGGGTCAAATGGTATTTCTAGTTCTAGATCCCTGAGGAATCGCCACACTGACTTCCACAATGGTTGAACTAGTTTACAGTCCCACCAACAGTGTAAAAGTGTTCCTATTTCTCCACATCCTCTCCAGCACCTGTTTTTTCCTGACTTTTTAATGATTGCCATTCTAACTGGTGTGAGATGATATCTCATAGTGGTTTTGATTTGCATTTCTCTGATGGCCAGTGATGATGAGCATTTTTTCATGTGTTTTTTGGCTGCATAAATGTCTTCTTTTGAGAAGTGTCTGTTCATGTCCTTCGCCCACTTTTTGATGGGGTTGTTTGTTTTTTTCTTGTAAATTTGTTTCAGTTCATTGTAGATTCTGGATATTAGCCCTTTGTCAGATGAGTAGGTTGCAAAAATTTTCTCCCATGTTGTAGGTTGCCTGTTCACTCTGATGGTAGTTTCTTTTGCTGTGCAGAAGCTCTTTAGTTTAATTAGATCCCATTTGTCAATTTTGGCTTTTGTTGCCATTGCTTTTGGTGTTTTGGACATGAAGTCCTTGCCCATGCCTATGTCCTGAATGGTAATGCCTAGGTTTTCTCCCAGGGTTTTTATGGTTTTAGGTCTAACGTTTAAATCTTTAATCCATCTTGAATTGATTTTTGTATAAGGTGTAAGGAAGGGATCCAGTTTCAGCTTTCTCCATATGGCTAGCCAGTTTTCCCAGCACCATTTATTAAATAGGGAATCCTTTCCCCATTGCTTGTTTTTCTCAGGTTTGTCAAAGATCAGATAGTTGTAGGTATGCGGCATTATTTCTGAGGGCTCTGTTCTGTTCCATTGTTCTATATCTCTGTTTTGGTACCAGTACCATGCTGTTTTGGTTACTGTAGCCTTGTAGTATAGTTTGAAGTCAGGTAGTGTGATGCCTCCAGCTTTGTTCTTTTGGCTTAGGATTGACTTGGCGATACGGGCTCTTTTTTGGTTCCATATGAACATTAAAGTAGTTTTTTCCAATTCTGTGAAGAAAGTCATTGGTAGCTTGATGGGGATGGCATTGAATCTGTAAATTACCTTGGGCAGTATGGCCATTTTCATGATATTGATTCTTCCTACCCATGAGCATGGAATGTTCTTCCATTTGTTTGTATCCTCTTTTATTTCATTGAGCAGTGGTTTGTAGTTCTCCTTGAAGAGGTCCTTCACATCCCTTGTAAGTTGGATTCCTAGGTATTTTATTCTCTTTGAAGCAATTGTGAATGGGAGTTCACTCATGATTTGGCTCTCTGTTTGTGTGTTGTTGGTGTATAAGAATGCTTGTGATTTTTGTACATTGAATTTGTATCCTGAGACTTTGCTGAAGTTGCTTATCAGCTTAAGGAGATTTTGGGCTGAGACGATGGGGTTTTCTAGATATACAATCATGTCATCTGCAAACAGGGACAATTTGACTTCCTCTTTTCCTAATTGAATACCCTTTATTTCCTTCTCCTGCCTGATTGCCCTGGCCAGAACTTCCAACACTATGTTGAATAGGAGCGGTGAGAGAGGGCATCCCTGTCTTGTGCCAGTTTTCAAAGGGAATGCTTCCAGTTTTTGCCCATTCAGTATGATATTGGCTGTGGGTTTGTCATAGATAGCTCTTATTATTTTGAAACACGTCCCATCAATACCTAATTTATTGAGAGTTTTTAGCATGAAGGGTTGTTGAATTTTGTCAAAGGCTTTTTCTGCATCTATTGAGATAATCATGTGGTTTTTGTCTTTGGCTCTGTTTATATGCTGGATTACATTTATTGATTTGCATATATTGAACCAGCCTTGCATCCCAGGGATGAAGCCCACTTGATCATGGTGGATAAGCTTTTTGATGTGCTGCTGGATTCGGTTTGCCAGTATTTTATTGAGGATTTTTGCATCAATGTTCATCAAGGATATTGGTCTAAAATTCTCTTTTTTGGTTGTGTCTCTGCCCGGCTTTGGTATCAGAATGATGCTGGCCTCATAAAATGAGTTAGGGAGGATTCCCTCTTTTTCTATTGATTGGAATAGTTTCAGAAGGAATGGTACCAGTTCCTCCTTGTACCTCTGGTAGAATTCGGCTGTGAATCCATCTGGTCCTGGACTCTTTTTGGTTGGTAAACTATTGATTATTGCCACAATTTCAGCTCCTGTTATTGGTCTATTCAGAGATTTAACTTCTTCCTGGTTTAGTCTTTGGAGGGTGTATGTGTCGAGGAATGTATCCATTTCTTCTAGATTTTCTAGTTTATTTGTGTAGAGGTGTTTGTAGTATTCTCTGATGGTAGTTTGTATTTCTGTGGGATCAGTGGTGATATCCCCTTTATCATTTTTTATCGTGTCTATTTGATTCTTCTCTCTTTTTTTCTTTATTAGTCTTGCTAGTGGTCTATCAATTTTGTTGATCCTTTCAAAAAACCAGCTCCTGGATTCATTGATTTTTTGAAGGGTTTTTTGTGTCTCTATTTCCTTCAGTTCTGCTCTGATTTTAGTTATTTCTTGCCTTCTGCTAGCTTTTGAATGTGTTTGCTCTTGCTTTTCTAGTTCTTTTAATTGTGATGTTAGGGTGTCAATTTTGGATCTTTCCTGCTTTCTCTTGTGGGCATTTAGTGCTATAAATTTCCCTCTACACACTGCTTTGAATGCGTCCCAGAGATTCTGGTATGTTGTGTCTTTGTTCTCGTTGGTTTCAAAGAACATCTTTATTTCTGCCTTCATTTCGTTATGTACCCAGTAGTCATTCAGGAGCAGGTTGTTCAGTTTCCATGTAGTTGAGTGGCTTTGAGTGAGATTCTTAATCCTGAGTTCTAGTTTGATTGCACTGTGGTCTGAGAGATAGTTTGTTATAATTTCTGTTGTTTTACATTTGCTGAGGAGAGTTTTACTTCCAACTATGTGGTCAATTTTGGAATAGGTGTGGTGTGGTGGTGAAAAAAATGTATATTCTGTTGATTTGGGGTGGAGAGTTCTGTAGATGTCTATTAGGTCTGCTTGGTGCAGAGCTGAGTTCAATTCCTGGGTATCCTTGTTGACTTTCTGTCTCGTTGATCTGTCTAATGTTGACAGTGGGGTGTTAAAGTCTCCCATTATTAATGTGTGGGAGTCTAAGTCTCTTTGTAGGTCATTCAGGACTTGCTTTATGAATCTGGGTGCTCCTGTATTGGGTGCATATATATTTAGGATAGTTAGCTCCTCTTGTTGAATTGATCCCTTTACCATTATGTAATGGCCTTCTTTGTCTCTTTTGATCTTTGTTGGTTTAAAGTCTGTTTTATCAGAGACTAGGATTGCAACCCCTGCCTTTTTTTGTTTTCCATTTGCTTGGTAGATCTTCCTCCATCCTTTTATTTTGAGCCTATGTGTGTCTCTGCACGTGAGATGGGTTTCCTGAATACAGCACACTGATGGGTCTTGACTCTTTATCCAACTTGCCAGTCTGTGTTTTTTAATTGGAGAATTTAGTCCATTGACATTTAAAGTTAATATTGTTATGTGTGAATTTGATCCTGTCATTATGATGTTAGCTGGTGATTTTGCTCGTTAGCTGATGCAGTTTCTTCCTAGCCTCGATGGTCTTTACATTTTGGCATGATTTTGCAGCAGCTGGTACCAGTTGTTCCTTTCCATGTTTAGTGCTTCCTTCAGGAGCTCTTTTAGGGCAGGCCTGGTAGTGACAAAATCTCTCAGCATTTGCTTGTCTGTAAAGTATTTTATTTCTCCTTCACTTATGAAGCTTAGTTTGGCTGGATATGAAATTCTGGGTTGAAAATTCTTTTCTTTAAGAATGTTGAATATTGGCCCCCACTCTCTTCTGGCTTGTAGAGTTTCTGCCGAGAGATCCGCTGTTAGTCTGATGGGCTTCCCTTTGAGGGTAACCCGACCTTTCTCTCTGGCTGCCCTTAACATTTTTTCCTTCATTTCAACTTTGGTGAATCTGACAATTATGTGTCTTGGAGTTGCTCTTCTCGAGGAGTATCTTTGTGGCGTTCTCTGTATTTCCTGAATCTGAACGTTGGCCTGCCTTGCTAGATTGGGGAAGTTCTCCTGGATAATATCCTGCAGAGTGTTTTCCAACTTGGTTCCATTCTCCGCATCACTTTCAGGTACACCAATCAGACGTAGATTTGGTCTTTTCACATAGTCCCATATTTCTTGGAGGCTTTGCTCATTTCTTTTTATTCTTTTTTCTCTAAACTTCCCTTCTCACTTCATTTCATTCATTTCATCTTCCATTGCTGATACCCTTTCTTCCAGTTGATCGCGTCGGCTCCTGAGGCTTCTGCATTCTTCACGTAGTTCTCGAGCCTTGGTTTTCAGCTCCATCAGCTCCTTTAAGCACTTCTCTGTATTGGTTATTCTAGTTATACATTCTTCTAAATTTTTTTGAAAGTTTTCAACTTCTTTGCCTTTGGTTTGAATGTCCTCCCGTAGCTCAGAGTAATTTGATCGTCTGAAGCCTTCTTCTCTCAGCTCGTCAAAATCATTCTCCATCCAGCTTTGTTCCGTTGCTGGTGAGGAACTGCGTTCCTTTGGAGGAGGAGAGGTGCTCTGCGTTTTAGAGTTTCCAGTTTATCTGTTCTGTTTTTTCCCCATCTTTGTGGTTTTATCTACTTTTGGTCTTTGATGATGGTGATGTACAGATGGGTTTTCGGTGTGGATGTCCTTTCTGTTTGTTAGTTTTCCGTCTAACAGACAGGACCCTCAGCTGCAAGTCTGTTGGAATACCCTGCAGTGTGAGGTGTCAGTGTGCCCCTGCTGGGGGGTGCCTCCCAGTTAGGCTGCTCGGGGGTCAGGGGTCAGGGACCCACTTGAGGAGGCAGTCTGCCCGTTCTCAGATCTCCAGCTGCGTGCTGGGAGAACCACTGCTCTCTTCAAAGCTGTCAGACAGGGACATTTAAGTCTGCAGAGGTTACTGCTGTCTTTTTGTTTGTCTGTGCCCTGCCCCCAGAGGTGGAGCCTACAGAGGCAGGCAGGCCTCCTTGAGCTGTGGTGGGCTCCACCCAGTCCAGCTTCCCGGCTGCTTTGTTTACCTAAGCAAGCCTGGGCAATGGCGGGCACCCCTCCCCCAGCCTCGCTGCCGCCTTGCAGTTTGATCTCAGACTGCTGTGCTAGCAATCAGCGAGATTCCGTGGGCGTAGGACCCTCTGAGCCAGGTGTGGGATATAGTCTCGTGGTGCGCCGTTTTTTAAGCCGGTCTGAAAAGCGCAATATTCTGGTGGGAGTGACCCGATTTTCCAGGTGCGTCCGTCACCCCTTTCTTTGACTCGGAAAGGGAACTCCCTGACCCCTTGCGCTTCCCAGGTGAGGCAATGCCTCGCCCTGCCCCAGCTCGCGCACGGTGCGCGCACCCACTGGCCTGCGCCCACTGTCTGGCACTCCCTAGTGAGATGAACCCAGTACCTCAGATGGAAATGCAGAAATCACCCATCTTCTGCATCGCTCCCGCTGGGAGCTGTAGACCGGAGCTGTTCCTATTCCGCCATCTTGGCTCCTCCCCCAATTTTTACTTTTCTTGTTCTTACTTTTTGATGTTCAAGATACCTTTTATCATTTCTGTTCTGTTTCAAAAACTTTGGCTATTCTTTTAGAGAAGGTTTGCTAACAATAAGTTCTCTTACTTTTCTTTCATCCGAGACTATCTTGATTTCTTGTTCATTCTTGAAGGATATTTTTACTAGATAAGGGGTTTTTTTCTTTCAGCATTTGAAAAATATTGTGCCATTTCCTTCTGGCCTCCATGGTTTCTCATGATAAATCTGCTGTCAATGAAACTGTTTCTTCCACCACCTTCCATTCACCACCCAAAATAGGTAAGATGTTTTCTCCTGTAATTGCTTTCAAGACTTTCTTCTTTATCTTTAGTTTTCAGTTTGACCATTCTGTGTCATGGTGTAGATTTCTTTGTGTTTATTCTGTTTACAGTTTATTTACATTCTTGAATCTGTAGGTTTATGTCTTTTGCCAACTTTGGGAAATTTTTAGGCATACATTTAAAAACTACCTTTTCAGTTCTGCCCTTTTTTCTCTCTCCTTCTCAGACCACCGTTGCATGAATGTTAGATCTTTTGTTATAGTCCCACAAATTCTTAAATTTGCTTCATCTTTTTCTCAGTCTGTTTTTTCTCTGTTGTTCAGATTGGTAAATTGGTCATTTCTATTGCTCTATCTTCAAATTCACTGATTCTTTAATCTGTCTTCTCCATTCTGCTGTTCATTCCATCTGGTAAGTTTTAAAATTTTTGTTATTATATTTTTCAGATCTAAAATTCCCATTTTGTTCTCCTTTATATCTTCTGTTTCTTTGCTGAGACTTGCTTTATTTCATTTGTATTTTTCATTTGTTTCAAGTGGGTTCTTAGCCATTTTTGTGATGGCTGTTTTAAAATTCTCGTCAGATAATTCCAACATTTGTATCATCTTGGTGTCAGTGACTATTGATTATCTTTTCCCATTCAAGTTGAGATTTTCCTGGTTCTTGGTATGTTGAGTGAGTTTTCAATTATATCCAGCACATATTAGGTATTTTTTTATGAGACTACTCTGGATCCTATTTAAATCTTGTATTTTCAGCAGGCCTCCTATGAATCCACACTGGTGGGGCAAGAGTAGTACCACCTTGTTACTGCCATATTGGAGTTGGAGTCCAGGTTCCTCACTTGGCATTTGTTGACACCCAGGATGGAGAGGCTGCCTTGTTACTGCTGGATAGAGATGGGAGTTCAGTCTTCTTGCTAGACCTCTGCTGACACCACGCTGGCTGGGACAGGGAAGGGCATCTTGTTACTGTTCTCCAGGTGGCCTCCACTGATGCTGTATTGTTGGGGGTGTCATCAACTCTGGGTGCTGGTGAAAGTCCAGGCTTTTCATTCAGCCTTCTCTGAAACTACCTGAGTAGAGAGAAGAGTACCTTGTTACTGTCAAGCAGGGATGAAAGTCCCAGCTCCCCACTTGTTCTTCTCTGACACAGGCTTGGCAGAGGGAGTGATACCTTATTACAGCTGGATGCAGATGGAAGTGTAGGCTTCCCATTTGCCCTTTGGCCTTTGCTAATGGAGCTTGGTGGGGTTCACATTTTTTTTTCATGGTGTTTGGTTGGAGTTGAGAGTTATTGTCCAAAAAAGTTTTCTCTCCTTCTAGGCTGCTTCTTCTAGGTCTTTTGGCTAGAGAGTGCTTGCTTTTCTTGAGAGATTTTGTTTGTTTTTTTCTGGGATGTTTGGTATTTCTAAGCTGCTGGCTTTTCCAGCTCCACGTCTGGAATACGTGAAGAAAAAGAAAACCCAAGAAACTTATCACTGCATCTTTCTTGGATCATGTGGTCCATAGACAGGCTGCTTTTTTTTGTTCTACCTTTCAGAGTCTTTTTATGTGTATTTAATATATAATATCCAGAGATTCTAGCCATACTTAGCAGAAGGAGTGGGGAGGAATCCATCTTGTACTGGACCCAGAAACTAATAGAACAATATTTAGTATTGAATATTATTTGTATTAGAATTTGAAAAACAAAGAGTTGAGGAGCTCTCTAATATATAGTTGATTTTTTTCAAGTATTCGAAAATTCTCACTGGTGGTGTTAAAATCATGTGTCTTGAAGTCACCAGAAAAATGTCAAGAACAAAGTTTAAGATATTGGATGCAAAATGTAGATGCTTTTCTAGGGAATGAAGATGATTTATTTACCAAAAGAAAAAGACAATAGAATACAAACAAAAATACCAGCTGGGTATGCCTAGTGCTTTTTGGAATGATTACTTTCTGGGAGCTGAATAAGATAGCGCTTTGTGAAAGGAAGGGGCCTTAAAATCATTTAGGACTCCTTTCCAAAATTACACGTGCAGGGTTTTAGAGAGACACACACTCATTAGTGTTGATTGGAGTTATGTAACTCATATTACCCAGGGTATTACAGCTCGCTTTGTTAGTGTCTAATCTAGTGCCAGACTCCCCAAAGGCCCAAATCTGGCAAAGACACAGTAAAATGAAATGCAATGCTGTTTCTTAAAAAAAAAAAAAAAGAAATGCAGTCCAAGCTGTTCTCTGTAAGTTTTAAGCTTAGATTTAATCAAGTGCAGCCAAAATTATTCCACCCAGGAGCTATTATCACATTCCTTTTTTTGAAAGCAGCTAAAACCACGGAATTGTTGGCAGTCATATCCAATCCTTTAGGAAAGAAAAATTCTTATAGCCTCACAATTCCTAACTCTAACTTCCTTTTCCTGTTTAACATGTTTGTGAAGTTATTTGGGAAAAAAATGTTTGAGTGTTAATTTGTAAGTCTTCAACTTAGAACTTGCTGTGAATGAAAAGGATATTGACTCTGGGAGAAATAATTTGGAAAATTTTGGTTTTTAAGGGGAATTAATACAGAGAAATATATATATGTGTATGATTAAATATATATTATGTATGTATTATATTATTTCATATATTTATTTTATATATACAGTTAAATATATATTCCTTTTCTAGCTTTATATATGTTCATATATAAATATGTAACACATGTACATATATAAAGCTAGAAAAAGAATACAATATATATTTTATTATATATTATATTATATATTATAATATGTATTATATTCTTTACATTCCCTAGCTTTGTATATATATAAATCTAGAAAACAAAAACAAAAACAAAACCCAAGAGACTATGGCAGTAACTTCAGACTAACTTTAAAAACCACCAGTTTTTATTTATTTAAATACTTTTTGAGCTGCAACCCCTTGAAAAATTCATAGCTGGACTGAGCCATAATTCCTTTTCTACACATTTGTTTCTTCACCTGGTTTTTATAAATGTTTACATGAAAGAGAATATACTTAAAAAGTATATTAAAAAGTATACTTAAAAAGGTGTATATATTCTGCTTATACCTTGTCAGAAATATCTATGACTTTGTTTGGAATTTCTATTATATATGATAGCCACTTGCAATTTAATAAACAGGCATTTTTTTATTTGTATGGACAGTTCGCTCCAGGGAAGACCTTTTGGAGCTGATCATAAATGGTACAGGATGTGCTCATTTTAAACAAAATTAAGAAATACATGAAGGCATGTTTCTGGCCCCTTCTTAAATCTGTACCTTGTTTCTCTCTCCTGAATTCATCCACTTCTATCCTTGGGCCTTATCCCGTGGCCTGATTCTACCTTCATATGGCTGTCAACAAATTTTTGCTAACACTGACTTAAGGTGGGTCTTGAAATGATTTAAGTAAGATATAGTTTTGTGGAATCTTTTTTTTTTTAAACAAGATCACTGGAAGATGAAAAAGCATTTTTTTTTTCCTTCCACTGGGCTTTTTCCGGAGGCCAGAAGTGAAGAGTAAGTTAGCATGCCATCTAAAGGAGTGTGGAGCCCTGGTCTGTGCTTGTTTGATATAAACAGTAAGCTTTTTATGAATTGTGGAAGCCATTTCTGGGAGGAAAAGGGCTCAAACCTGAACAAATCACTGGAGTCCAGCCATACAGCGCTCTCAAGGGAAAAGCTTAAGCTAAAGGCCTTCCCTAGTTGGGCCATCAAACCAAATCAAAGTGTCTGCTCATTAAATTGCAAGTGGCCATCTGTTTGCTTAATCATGTGCTTCTCTTTCCGTCGGGCTGGTTATCACCGTCTGGTCTGGCCCCTTTTACTAATTAGCCTAAGCTTGATCTTTAGGTGAACCACAGTTTAATTTTATCTGGCATGGAATATGGGTTTATTTATTGTTCCATTTGGTTAAATCATTTGAGGGAAAAGAAAAAAGTTACTATTCTATAGTTTACAAGGACTGGTTATTTAGAATCTGGATTAATATTTGGCTTTTACATTTGAATATTCCCCAGTGAATTGTTTTATGTTATTCTTTTTCTCATTTTGGCGGTGAACATGGTAATGTTTACATTTATAGTTTTTTAGAGCTAGACAGTATTGTTTTTTGGTTTTGTTTTTTCTTTCTTTTCTTCTCATTTCTTTTCTTACTTGCTTTTTTTTTTTTTTGAGACAGGGTCTCTCTTTGTTGCCCAGGCTAGAGTGCAGTGGCACAATCATGGCTCACTGCAATCTCCACCTCTTGAGCTCAAGTGAACCTCCCACCTCAGCCTCCATAGTAGCTGGGACTACAGGTGTACACCACCATGCCCGGCTATTTTTTGTATTTTTTGTAGAGATGAGGTTTCGCCATGTTGTCCAGGCTGGTCTAGAACTCCTGAGCTCAAGCGATCTTCTAGCTTCGGCCTCCCGAATTGCTGGGATTACAGGCGTGAGCCACTGCACCCAGCCTGTTTTCTTTCTTTATTAAGCAATACATATATATATTATAACAGATCCAGTTATACAGTATAAAGGCAAAGTCTAGATAACCAAAGTTAACAGTCTGCTGTGTATCTTTTTGCAATGCTTGTTCAAATACAGACGAGTGGGATGCAATAAAGATATAAATGTAACAAATAAAGCTATATGAGAATGTTTCTATAATGTAGTGGGCGGCAATGTGGGAGTAAGGGAGGGGAGCTTTTTAAGATGGAAAACCCAAAAGCTTAGAGTCAGACTTGAGCCACATCAAAAATTTAAAGTTTCTAAAGATGATTGCCAGTTGGGGAATTGTTTATAGTGTACTTATAAATACTGCCACTGAATCAACCAATCGTTTTAGCACCATGTACTCTTAATTTTGGTTAATAAGTTTAATTCATATTATACTATTTTAATAGGCTGAATTTAAGTATATATGCTGAAAGAACCATAAGACTATTTTGTATTGACTGTAAAAATCCACGAAGTAGAATTCTTTTAAACATTCTCGAGTTCGACTTCTTTTTAAAATTCTTTTTCATTCTAGATTCCATAGATAGAAGCATGTGAGGAGATCTCAGTCTAGTTCTGTGTTGAGAGAACAAATGTCTGTGCATACGATGTTCCCTTCCTGAGCACTGTCTTATTTAACTTCCCACCAGAGAAGGACAACACTGGAGGCTCCTTTTTTCCTTAGGGTTATGATCTATACCAAGCAGCAAGACTCAGGGAAAATCATGTTTCTGCTAACAATTTACAGAAAACATAATTTAAGAATTTCTCATAATTTATAAAGAGTAAAAAGGGATTATGTAACATCATGTTGTTTTTTGGAGGTCACTTAAAATTAGGATGGTAAATATTGATATTGTTTCATTGATTATGTTCCAAATTCTCCAAATTGGCCAATAGTTATACTATGTAGTTACCATCCACTGTTATCCAGGTTTATTCTTCTGTTACTTAGGCTGTCATTGATATTCCAAGTAAAGTAGTATAGTTCACTCTTCTGAATTTGTTTGTGTTTGTTGAAAACCCAGTATTTGGGTATTTAATTTAATTAGCACTAGATGTACATTGCCCCCTGTTTGCCTAGGAGTAGAAAAGCTAAGTGTCAGGTTGTGAGCCTCATTTTTAATGTGAGCCTCATTATAAGTATTTTGAGAGAGAAGCCATTCATTTCGTCTTTGTTCTCTTCACCATAATGTTCTTCACGTAAGAGGAACTCAAGTTCAAATGAACTATGAAAAGCGAAGAACAAACACCCAAACATTTGTATACAAAATAGGGGGATCAGTAAAAGTCTCCAGGAGCTTGAACAAAAAGTAATGCATTTTAAAATTTAAGTTTGAATTGGTTATGTAGAATCATAGAAATTAAAAATAAAAAAGGACACTGGAGTTCATATAATAAAATCTCCAAAAAAAAATAAACAATAAAAAATAAACAAAATGCAGGCATGAAAAGTGATCTCTAATTCATAGAGCAAGGTGGTTTTTTGTTTGTTTGTTTTTGAGACAGGGTCTTGCTCTGTAGCCCAGGCTGGAGTGCAGTGATGTGATCTTGGCTCACTGCAACCTCTGCCTCCCAGATTCAAGCCATTCTTGTGCCTCAGCCTCCCTAGTAGCTGGGACTACAGGTGTGCACCACCACACTCAACGAATTTTTATATTTTTAGTAGAGACAGGGTTTCACCATGTTGTCCAGGCTGGTCTCGAACTCCTGACCTCAGGTGATCTGCCCACCTTGGTGTCCCAAAGTGCTGAGATTACAGGTGTGAGCCACTGCGCCCAGCCCTAGAGCAGGATTTTGATAGTACAGATCAGAAGTGAAGTCAACTGCTCCCCCTGACACTGTCCTTTTTGCAATTTCAAATCATCTCTCATGGCACAGGTCTTTAAATTTCGCAAATGATAAATTTTGGCAATATATAACAGGTGTGCAAAAGAGGTAAGTTTACAAATAACTTTGGAAAATGAAGTTTTGGGTTTTTTGTTGTTGTTGTTGGTTGGTTGATCGGTTTTATTTTTAATCCAGCGGTCTACTTTAGAGAACTCTATTGAATCTGGGAAAAGAAGGTAAGGGTGTCATAGCAGAACCATTCCAACATTTAGGGGGCCTGGGTAAGCTAGTATAAATGGAGGTCCAGGGACTGCTCCCTGCTTCTCCTGCCACTCCTAGCTTATGTCCTACTGGACATAGGCCTTGTTTGCATGCAAGTGGAGACCCAGGTGGCAGCCCTAGTTCCACATCCCTCTGCACCTCCCCAAACAGCCACCCCTGGCATGCTGGGAAAAGGGATGCATGGGCCTAGAAACTGGACTGGGGTTCAATTAGGGAATTCCAGGGTCATGGGGACCTGGAGCATGTTCTAGAATGGGGGTGCCTCTCCCATGTTCTAGAATGGGGGTGCCTCTCCCTGTGAAGAAAAATGCAGTGAGAAGACAGCGCAAATGGGCCAAGGGTAAGACACAGGGGATGTGGATAGTCATTGCATTCTTTATGAGGCAAATAATTAGAAACAGTTGAACTGTCTCACAATAGAGGAAAGGTTGAGTGTATCCGCATAATAAGAAATAATAAACCATTAAAACTTTAATCTTGGAGGCTGTACAACACCACGGAAAATGTTCACTGTGTGTAATATCCAATATGAGATATCCAGGAAGCAAAATTGAATAGATGCTATGTGTCTATTCAATGACTTTAATTACATAAAGCTTCAAGTGAAAGGTCCACATCTAGGATTTTATCCCACCAATATCTTGCATATCTGCATAAAGATTTAAGTACTAGAATGCTTGTTGCAGCATTATTTGTCACAGCAAAACGTACCCAATTCATTTTATTCTGTAAGAATTGGGTAAATAAATTATGCTACATCCATACATCAAACAAATACGTAGCTGTTAGAAAGAATGAGACAGCTCTACATGCCAATATTAAATTCTCTCTAAGAAACATTTTAGGTGAAAAAAAGCAAGGTGCATGTAATATATTCCTATTGATGTAAAAAATGGCATTTTATATATATGAAAAACTAAGACTATATGAGAATATTACAAGTGATAATTGTTTTAAGGTGGCAGGGATATGGGTGATGATCTTTAATTATTTCCCAAACTTTCTTTAGTGCTTCTGTGGCTTTAAAAGGAAAATTAAGGAAAAATGAAGAGCTGGAAAAATGAATGCTTAAGCAACCATGAGAGGAGGTTTCCTAAACTCTGATCACCCCTTCCTACACTATTGAATTCTGTTGCTACTTAAAGTTTAGAACAGTTGTGCAGGCTGCAAGTTTTCATTGCCTCTGTTATATTCAGAGACAGAGGGCTATGCTTTGATTTCTATTAATACAGTCATTATTGCATTGAACATGTCTGTGTATTGTCATAAAATTATGAAAAATATGGTTTCTGGACTTTATTATTAGGTTGCATGACACAGCTATGCTCAAGAGAGAAGACTGAATTCTCGAGAAATCTTTGGCTTTGGCTGAGATTTCCTGACTGGTTCATTTCTGTCAGTGATTGCTGGCACAGTCTCATGAATAAAACAAAGCATCTAAATGCTTTTCTTGGCTTTTCTAACTGAGCCTTAACTTGCATTATTTTACCTTTAGACATTTTACCTCATTTTGTACCCACACTTCTGGCTCTTGATAACAATTTGATCCTAATGGAAAAATTAAGTCAGATAACGTCTACAACAAAGGGGCCTGGTACCATTTTGAGAAGCCAGGGGTATCAAGGGGATAAAATCAATTAAATCTACAGAATTTCTTTATTCTCTGTATTCTGTGAGACTTAGCAAAACTCATAACAGATCTTTATCTTTCATTAGTCTTCTTGGCTATACAGGAGACATTTCAAGGGCTAAGCAGCACCTATAGAAGTGCCTGAATTATTAGTTCATGTTAGATTGCCAGTTGATGCTCGGTTCTACTCTAGTCCTTGAATTCTAATACTTTTTATTTTTTCAAATTCTTGGTAATTACATAAATAAGTTGGTAGTCTTTTCTTTGCACAGATGAAAAGGAAATGATTCTAAATTGATTAAATTTTATTCCAGGCATAGGCAAATTATTTATGATTACAGCTCCCTTAATTGGCACATAAACTAACTTTTAACTGTGGCTTATCTCCTAAAAACATGATTCATTAAAATTGGAGAAATTCTCGTGATTTATGCATACAGTTATGTGCCCTTTGCCCTTTGCGATGCTTTATTCAGATTAGTAAGTAATCAAATTGCCAAGTTTGGTTTACAACTGATGTTTTAATTAGTTTGGGATGGCAGCTCATTCATATGAAGATACATTATAAACCAGAAAAACAGCGTTGTATTTTTGAATTGAATTGTTGCCTCAGATCAGAGTTCTATTGAACTTTTTCTTTTTCTTTTTTTGAAACAAGTTCTTACTCTGTTGCCCAGGCTGGAGTGCAGTGGCAGGATCACAGCTCATTGTAACCTGGAACTCCTGGCTCAAACAATCCTCCCATCTCAGCTTCCTGAGTAGCTGGAAGTACAGCTGTGCATCATCATGCTGAGATAATTTTGTATTTTTTGTAGGGAAGGGGGTCTCACTTTGTTGCCCAGGCTGGTCTCGAACTCCTGGCCTCAAGCAATCTTCCACTCTCTGCCTCCCAAAGGTCTAGGATTATAGGTGTGAGCCACCACTCCAGCCTCTATTGAACTTCTTACCTTCTATTTTCCAAATTTGAAATCTCCCTCTTTACTCTAGAGAGAGCAGATTCTGTATACATATTCTTTAAAATTTGCCTTCCCCCCCCGCCCTCAGGAGGCTATCAGATTGATGATGGAACTAGTAAGACATTTTGTTTGCAGAGATCCTGATGGGTTTGAAAATTCTATATTTTTCCCGAGGCGGGCGGATCACGAGGTCAGGAGATCGACCCCGTCTCTACTAAAAATACAAAAATATTAGCCGGGCATGGTGGCGGGCGCCTGTAGTCCCAGCTACTCGGGAGGCTGAGGCAGGAGAATGGCGTGAACCCGGGAGGCGGAGCTTGCAGTGAGCCGGGATTGCCCACTGCACTCCAGCCTGGGCGACAGCGAGACTCCGTCTCAAAATAAAAAAAAGAAAATTCTGTGTTTTTCTTTGTATAATTTGGCAGGCAGCAGAGAATGGTAGCAACAACATGGTTTTGGAAATTAGGCCAAGATTGGAATCTTGATGTACTAATTACACTCGGCCCTCCTATATCTGTGGATTTCTCATAATGGATTTAACTAACTGCTGATGGAAAATATTTGGGAAAAAAATACAACAATAAAAAAGAATACAAATAAAAAAACTATACAGTATGACAACTATTTACATAGCACTTACATTGTATTAGGTATTATAAGTAATATAGAGAGTATATAAAGTTGTGAAAATTGATTATACAAATTGGAGTTATGCTTCAAAGGAACAGGGGAAAAAAGCACTCAGGGCACAAAGTGCCTGCTGCAGGAACTGTCTTGTAAGCCCAGCCCCTGAAATGACCTGCTGTAATCTTAAGACCAACTTTAGTAGCTGCGGAATGGACCTGCCCTGACTCTAAGAGCTTTACCTACTGCCATCACTCACCAATCACAGTTTGTCCACTCAGAAAGACCTCATTAGCGCCAATGAACTTTCTTTCGAAATGTTTTACATTTCTCTATCCCAATGAAACCTCAATCTTTTCTTTTGTTGTTTGGGCATACTGAAGACCACCCTGGTCTGTGAGTACATCCTGAATTGCAATTCTGTTTTTATATATATTCGTAAATAAAACCTTTCGCTTATTCTTCTTTATATTTTATTTTATTTTATTTTAACAAAGTGTATGGTAGGATATGTGTACGTTATATACAAATACTAGGCTTGGCGTTGTGGATCACGCCTGTAATCCCAGCACTTTGGGAGGCTGAGGCAGGCTGATCACCCGAGGTCAGGAGTTTGAGACCAGCCTGGCCAACATGGTGAAACCCTGTCTCTATTAAAAATACAAAAATTAGCTGGGCCTGGTGGTGGCCACCTGTAATTCCAGCTACTTGGGAAGCTAAGGCTGGAGAATTTCTTCAACCCAGGAGGTGAGGTTGCAGTGAGCCGAGATGGCATTATTGCACTCCAGCCTGGGTGACGAGTGAAATTCCGTCTCAAAACAAACAAACAAAAAAAACTGCACCATTTTTTTATAAGGGACTTGAGCATCCTTGGATTTTAGTATTTACAGAGGATATTCCCCATGAATATCCAGGAAGAACTGTGCTAGTTACTTTGATATAGAGGGCCAAGTGTACTAGTTACTTTACACAGTGTACTACACAATTGTTTTAAATATAAAGGAGTCATAATAATCTTTATCCTGCTAGGGAGTTGTGAGTCATGATAACAGAGAATACATAAAGTTGCTCAGGCAGTGCCTGGTATCTATAGTTTTCAATTTGACCTTTAATTCAATAAAAGTAAATCTTCCAGATGACTTCTTAATGAAAGGATACATCATAGAATATTTTACTACAGTAAAAGAATAATTGATATTTTATCATCAGGTAGCCTCACTTACTCTGTACTTTTTCCTATCTGTTATATAATAATGATGATTAATATTTCTTACTATACCCCTAGGCCCAGAGGATCTTTCCAAATGATTAAAATATAGGGTAATCATATAATTTCATCTTTAAGCATTTTTATTATATTCTAATTCCATAAAAAGAAGTAATTCAATTGATTGAATTTCCTTTTGTGTACAGGCAAAAAGTCCACAGTTTAATTCCACATATTACTTTTAACAATGATAAATATATATATGGAAAATGTCTATTGACTAGAATACCTTTTTTTAATAATCATGCCAGATAGCCAGTGCATCGAAAATTGCTATTATGAATAACATCATAATAGCATCCATCATTAAGTGCTTACTCTATGCCATGCTCCGTGTATTTCTCATCAAATCTCATTTAACATTAACTCACACCATGCAGAATGTAGTATTGTCCCTGTTTCACAGATTAAGAAACTCAGAGAGGTTAAGTAAATTGCTCAAGGTCACATAGGAAGTAGGTGGCAGAACTAGACTTGAATTCATAGCCACCTTAAGCCAAAACTTGGTCTCTTAACTACCATACAATTCTAGACGGCCTTTCATATCTAGGTATTTTTTTTTATTATGCCTTGTGGTCAAACCCTTTCTCTCTGAAAGTTTCTATGTTAGGAAAACGAATTGTGCCTTATTATTATATGTGTTGTAATATACAAGTCAAGACTATTTGAACAGGAGGGAAAAATGTACTGGCATAGCAAAACAACACCACATCCCTGAGGTTGATGGAGCAGAAGGTCACACTGTTTTTAATATCATTGTTAGAGACATGGGGACTCAGCAGTGTGAAAGTCTATTGTAAGCCATCTCCCTGTGTCATGGCCAGGGTGTAGTAATGGAAAGGGTATATTTCACTTCAGTAGAAAGAAGAGCAAACAATGAGAGTGCCTGCCGTTCACCTCTGCAGAGAGATGACTTGGCAACATTAGCCTGTGACTGAGAAGGAGTCTAATCTGTCAGAAAGAGACCCTTAAAGTTGGCAGCCATCTAGACCTGTTGTATATGTGGCATGTGTGCTTTTGTCTGGATGGAGGGTCCTCAGTGTTTGTCAAATTATGGCATCCACAAACAAAATAATGTTGAGAACTAGCTTATCTACATGTAGCCTTACAACAGTAATTAAAAAAAGATGTAGTTTAAATATATAGCTGAAGATAATTTATGAGGATGCATTTATGTGTGGTTTTGTATTAGGCACTTTGAATAAAGAGAAGTTGATGGGCAATATTTTCCAAAGGTTAAGAGCAGTGGGATTCAGGAGTCAAATCTTAGGTTTCAATCATTATCACTGTCCCTCCCATTTCTAACTTAACTTGGAAGGGTCAGATTCCTCTTCTGTACAATAGGGATTATAATATGTACCTCTCTGGGTTAACATGGGTATTACATGAGGGAGCTGAATTATCTGTACAAAGAAAACACAAATTGTCCAAACAGAGCAGAGTATGACATTCATTCCTAGGTACTCAGTAGATGATTATAATCAGAGCCCTATATTCTTTATATTAAAAATTAAAACAGCTTAAATAATCCCTCCGATATCCAGGGCACATAGAAAACAGCAAAAAGATTAAATTAGTTTAAGTTAAGGAAAGTGAGTTTTCAGCAAAATCAAAGTGGGAAATGGGGAGGAAAGGCAGCTCGTAGGTGGTATTTGAAGAAGCTCTCCAGGTCACAATGAGAAGGCTTGATAGAGAAGCGAAGCTGATCAAGCAGCAGCAGGACGTGTATGATATGACACTGCTTCTGAGGCACCTCAGATGCAAGAGTAGGTCACAGTCTGAACCATGTTCAGATACTCCAAGGTTTAATTATGTAAATGACTTCTCCAGGGGATATTCCAGCTGCTTGCAAAGCCACTTCAGCCATGCTTCATTTATCACAGTCATGAACACACAAGAGCCTTCATATTGAAAAATTTATTAGTCTACAATGGGGATTGGGAGATGGAAAGGAAGGGCTTGATAACTAAAAGTGCTGCGGAGCTTCCATTGCTCTCACAGCAGTTACAAAATGGGCAGGTACAATCCTTGACCTCGAGCAGGATAAAGGCTTCAAAGTGAAGTCTTCCTCGGCCTGCTTTAAATGAGGGTGTTAGTGTAAAAGAAAGAAATGCTTTCCCAATAAAATTAAAATTTTCCAGAGAGCAGTTGAGATGACAAAGTATTTTAAATGATCATCGGCAATCTTCATCAATTGAAGACACAGCCGGGCGTGGTGGTGTGTGCCTGTAGTCCCAGCTACTCTGGAGGCTAAAGCTAGAGGAACCCTTGAAGCAGGAGTTCGAGACCAGGAGTTCTCTTTATGTTGCCTGGGCACCATAAAGAGACCCCATGTCAAAATGAAAACGAAACAAAAAGTGAAGACAGAAGATATTTTCAACTATCTTTTTTTTTTTCTTTTTTTAAATAAATTTAATTTAATTTCACTGTTTCCCAGGCTGGTTTCCAACTCCTGGCCTCAAGCGATCTGCCTATCTCTGCCTCCCAAAGTGTTGGGATTACAAGCATGAGCCACTGAGCCGGGCCACAGCTAGCTATTTTCTTAGTGTAACAATGCATATTACATTCCCTAGCACAGCGTCTGGCACATAGTAGGCCTCACATGTTTCCTCCTCCTCCACTCTTTCATATCTTTCCTATTCGATGAACACTTCAGAGCTTATTACGAACCCAGGTCACAATACCACAGTGGTGTTTTCTAATGAATGACAAGACACATTTGCATGATAAAATATTCTTGTTTTGTTTTTTAACTTACAAAAAAGGTCCTGCATAAGATTTGTGGGCCCCTTAGGGTCAAGCATTCTCTGTTCTCACAAGACATAAAAGCTGAAGCTTTTTAACAAATAGAAACAGTGGATTTTCTTTGCTCTGCAGTAAAGACCAGAGAAAAGTTTATGGACTTGTCCTTAGGTTTTATGAATGGGACGTGAAAACACCCACTTCCCCTTCCCAGAGGCTGTTTCAGAGAATAACCTCTTTTCTCATTCTACTTATGTTCTAAAGCCTTGCACAAAGCTAGTAATTTATAATTGCTGATTTGACTGAATGTATAATCTCTATCTTAAAGCATTTCAAGTTCTTTTTGGCAACCGCAGGGAGTTTCCAAGTTCCAAAAGGGAATGTTCAGTTTACTTTCATCTTTAATTATCTGGGATGGTGGTTTTAATCCTACTGAAAGAGTTAAGTGTCGATCAAAAGAAAAATCCATATGGTAAGATAGGGTGGTGAGGGAAGACCAAGTCATGCAGAATGCTAGGTAAGCAGCAATTTACAATTCAACTCCTGTCCTCAGTGCTATCAGAATATCAATAGTTAGGATTTGTTTACTTTTTTCAGATTTACAAGAGATAAATTCCAAACCTCACGATGGTATCCCCTTACTTAAGATGACAAAGTTCATCTGTTTTCATTCAGATGAACCATACTTTTGGGTTATAAGAGAACTTTGGGTAAATCTCTTTCTCTCTCCTAGTTTATAAACAACAGATATTTTTTTCTCATTGTTCTGGATGCTGGGAAGTCTGAGATCAAGATGCCCGCAGATTTGGGTCTGGTGAAGGCTGCTTCCTGGTTCATAGATGGCACCTTCTAGCTATGTCCTCACATGATGAACGGGCCTACATTTTTATTTCTAGAGGCATTAAGTTTACCTGAAATATGGCAAGTTTCTAGTGTCTTCTCTTGTTTTTTAAATAGCATGTTTTGGTAGCATAATATTGTCCTAAATTATTTCTTAGGGAACAAAGTAACATCTTGACTTATAGCAAATTGAGAAAAGGTGCTGGATAAAGTTCCAGAGCCCATTACAAGGCATCTGAGAACCTCCAAATACCAGGGTAGACTTGGAAACCTCAGAATCTCCTTGTATTTCTTTTCTAGAAGTCTAACAAGGGATTAGAGTCAACCTGGGACCCCAAGAACAATCTGCTCTGGGTACCAGCCAGAGTTGAAGAGCCTGGAAGGGCAGATGAATTTTTGCAAACTCTAGCGCAGTTTAAAACCTCACAGGAGAGGGTGGCAAGCTGTGGTCTCTGAGGTCTGATTGCCAGGGTTTGAATTCTGGCTCTGCCACTTACTAGTTGTACAACCTTGGGAAAGTTACTCAACCTCTCTGTGCCTAAGTTTTCTCATCTACGAAATTGGAGAGATAATAATAGCAGAGTTGTTTTGAGGATGGAATTATTTTTAAAAAGCTCAGTTGGGCTTGACACATAGTAACTGTGTATGTTTACAAGGGAAAATCCTAGAGAAGAGAGGGATCAATATAGTTTCAAGCAAGAGTTGTTAAACTGTGGCACACAGGCCAAATCTGGCCTGCCATCCATTTTATGTAAATACGGTTTTATTGGAACACTCCTATGCCTGTTCATTTATGTATTGTCTATGGTTGTTTTTGTGATACAAAAGCAGAGTTTAGTAGCTGTGACAGAGATTGTATGGCCTGCAAAACTTAAAATAGCTACTATTTGGCCCTTTACAGAAAAAGTTTGCAGGCTCTGAACTATAGTCTTCCTTCTATTGCATTGGTATGTAGTATATTTTCTTTATTCGATGGTAAATGTGTTTGCCACAGATCTGGCAAAAGTGTTTCCAGCTACTCTTTCCCTCTGCAAATGCCTGAGAGTCTGTAGGTCATGAAACTCCCATGAAGCAGCACATTGTACCACCAAAGAAGCTGACAGGCTGCCCAGTGTCACAGAATGAATTGTGACTGAATCTTTTGTGGTGGTACTGTGGACCATTGAGACTAATATGAAAATTACCTTCTGAGCATTTATGCAAGATAATTTAATTTTAGAGCTCATAAACAAGATCAGAGTTATGTGGTTTAACAAAAGGTCTCCTTATGTGTATGTATGCTTGCCAAAAACATGATGAAATCCTGGAACATGGGAAACTTAACCTGCACTTTTAGATTTACATGTGGCAAACAGAATTGACTAGTGTATCTGTTCATAAATATTACTGCTGCTATTAAGAGGCACTTGGGAAACATGGACAGTTCTATTAAATATAAAAACGATCTCCTCCCTCACTATGGGGCCCCCATCCCAATAAATGCACTCACGCCAAAGTCTTGCAGGCAATTTTTCTTTTTAAAATTTTATGTTCCATAGTAAACATACTTATCTTTCTCCCGACAACTTGTCTATTCATTTGAACTTGTCCTGGTTCATATCGAATGCCTGTTTCCAATAGGGACTCCTATCTTGAGGCTGCTCTGGTATCATGCCTTACAGAGGCTCTAAAAGCATAGTGGTGCACAAGAACAGTTTAGTATGCTCTAGTCTTAGGCTAAAAATTAAATTTGATTTATTTGCCCAGCTTTTCCAGGTAAGTTTAAGGTTAAAACCAATCTTTTTTTTCTTTCAACCAATTTGACAGCACTAGGTTAGGTCATACCTACATGCCAACTGGAAAATAATCCCTAGAGGAAAAAAGACGTGACTTAATTTAAAGATATTGAGAGACGCATAACCACTCAACAATGGACTGATAATTAGGGACTTGCTTTGTTAGCATTGAGAACTGGTAGTAAATGGGATCATTACCAGTTTCATTCGGCAAGTACTTATCTAGAACAGACTCTATGCAAAGCATATGTGGCCTTGCTTCTTTATATTGGATTAGATATATTGGAACCAAAGTGCCAATAGTGGCCTATAAGACTCAAGTAAATATATTTTAGCAATTTTAATTCCCTAAAATAATATATAGAATGTAAGCACTTAATTACTATAAATATGATAACATGTATAAAAAAAGGATGGTATCATCCTATAAAAAATTATATTGTAGAAAGCCTCACTTATAATTAAAAGCAGCAGATTAAAATAAGGTATTTTTTTACTTACAGATTGGAAAAGATAAAAAAGAGCTCAATAATATGCCATGTGTTGGGTGTGAGGGGAAATGACTGCTCGCAGACACTGTTGATGGAGGTTCAAATTTGGGGCAATTTGGCAGTATATATGTAAATGTATTTCTTTGACTCAGCAGTTCTATTTCTAGGAGTTTGTTATATGGATTTACTGACACATGTACAAAGATACATTTACAAGACTGTTCATTGCAGCATTGTTATAACAATAAAAAGCTGTTATAACAACAATATCTATAATGTGTCTATTGTGGATTAAATTCTGTGTACTTTAGAATGTGACTGTATTTGAAGGTAAGGCCTTTAAAGAGGTAGTTAGGTTTAAATGAGGTCATAAGGATGAGGCTCTAATCCAATATGGCCACTATCCTTAAAAGAAAGAGGAAGAGACAGCAGAAGCTACTTTGCCATTCAATATTCTAAAGAATTTGAACACGAATATTCACAGTAGTCTTTATTTTACTGCTTAGATTCTCAAAAAAGAAAGAAAGCCAAGTCCTAGACAACTGAGACCTAGAAAGGAAAAACATGCCATTTTTTTCTGAAAGATCAAATTTCATCAGAAATTATCAATTTTATAAGTATTAATATTTAAATTGATAATTCCATCCATAATATAAAATGTAATATGATTTAGAAAGGAATAAAGTAATACAAGTAAGGTGTAAGGAAATGATTTAACAACGACTCTAATTCAAGGGACCTCACAGTGTTCAAGGCTATACATAAGGTAATACTGGAGTCCAGGTAATTTTATCCTAGAGCACGAACACCTAAGACTCTCAAATAACTTAGTGGGGAGTTTAACCTTGTGGTTGAGAGCATGATTTTTGGAATCAGACTCTATTAATTAGGGCCCCAGCAGGAATCAACAGATACATTCAAATTATTTTAATTTATGAGAGATTTAATTCAGAGACTATATACAAGGATAAAGTGAAATCACATTGGATGGTGCAGAACCTCAGAGCTAGCAACAGTATAGCTGTTACTGCCTCTGGCTTGAAGGGGTGAAGGAGTGGAGAAACTGGTTCCTGGAAGCTGAGGGAGAGAGTCTTGTAGAGAGTACCACCTTGGGAAGCACAGTGATCTTCAGTTGAGGGACATAGACAGCTTGAGGTGACTCCACAGCAGGGGACCCCAGGGAATAAGCACCTCAGCCTCTGATCTCCTGATTGGCCCCCATTGGATGAATCAACTGGAATCCAGAAGGAAGGACACTGACACCCATGGATGCAGTTTGTAGAGGTTGACCACCTGGCACTGAAGTTAGGTGGAGAGTGAATCTGGCAAATGAAGAAGTTGGCATACAGACCCAACTGAATTTGAATCACAGCTTTACTAATTCTTAGCCATGTACCTTTGGGCAAGTTAGTCATTACAAGCTTATTTCCCCATATGTAAAATGGCATTGATAATCCTATCCCAAGGGGTTGTTGTAAGGATTAAACGAGCTAATTTATAGAAAGCCTTTGGTATGATGCTTCACTCATAGCAATGATCAATACATGCTAGCCACTTCAGTGTCATCTTTGTTGTAATCAGCTCATCAAATCCTCCAGCGATCATATTTTTAACACATGCCTGCTTTGGTCTTAATCTCAGAAGGATCTATTGACTAAGACAAAGATTCCCCTGAGGGGCCGTTTTGACCTCCTGCAGAGGGGAAGTAGCATCTAGTGCTGTCGCTTTGCCTAGCATTGTGCCCAGTCAGCTAAATCTTGGAAGCCCTAATTTGATTCCTATTAGAGGTCTGACAATTGACAAAATGATATTACTCACCTTTTTTGTTTCTGATTTTTCATTTCCATGAATACGTTATACTGTTAGAGGGTGACAATGTTAATATCTACTGGATGGTAATAATTTCTGGAAAGTACATGAGACACAGAATACCACCATGGTTGGGGAAAGGACAATGACTTTTATACATTAGCTGCCAGGATTCTTGGCACTGTTTCTGAAAAACTGTGTGGCGGTCTATTTCTGGAACCTAACCATGGATAGTTCATTTTATTTTTGTTTAGAAATATGATGTTTTAAACATGACTTTGGAAAAAACATCTGTGCATCTCATCATAAGCCACAAAATGAGTAGAACATAAAATTTTGTTGAATGGGAAAGCATTAACTTCTCAACAGTGTATACAGCTTAATCCGCAATAGAAAGAAAATACATGAGAAAAATGTCTTAGAGTAACATGTCCTCATAACTGTGATTTCTTAGGTTGTGGTTATTTTTATCCTAAAAACCATCCACCAAAACATTAATTTTGGAACATGTAAGATGAACCCATGAACATTGCATTTTAGCTACTTATTATATACACTCAATTTTTCCATTATAAACAACAGGCCTTTTCTGTGTTTCTTTTAGTTTGATTCTCTCTTCTTATAATATGAAAGTGTCCCCGCTGAAATTTGGTCAATGTGGCCAGCCAAATTAGGGACTCACTTTTCTATGTTTTGAGATTCCATTTATCAGTACCTTCTTACCTGCTCATCACTGTAGGAGGAGCAGTCAGCCCAGAGATTCTCAGCTCTGGTTTGGCAACACTTTGGCCTGACTTCAGTTCCCATAAGAAATGCCAAGAACAAAGTAGTTTCACCCTGAAGAACAAACTCAGTGGCATTTTAAGAACAGAGCCTTTAACACATGATTGTAAGGCATTCTGATTACCACAAGTCCTTTCTGGAATGAAATCCAGCGTAGAGAAATAAAACTAATACACTAGAAAAAGAATATTATAATTTTTTTTTGTCTGTGGGGCATTGATTTAATTATTTCCAATAGTGTTCTGTGGAGAATGTTTTTCTGTTTCTAGAATAATTAAAAATTACCACTTAAATTTTGCCATCTTCACAATCGATTTAGGTAACGGAACAGCTATGAGATCATTGGAAACAGTGTTTACAACCTTTCCTTTATTTTTTAAAATTTAAAAATTTTTGTAGATTCAAGGGTTACATGTGCAGGTTTGTTACATGGGTATATGGTATAATGGGGAGGTGTGGGCTCCTAGTGTACCCATTACCCAAATAGTGAACACTGTACCCAATTGGTAACTTTTTTAACCCTTTCCCCCTTCCTACCCCATGCCCCACTTTGGAGTCCCCAGTGTCTATTATTTCCCTCTGTACGTCCATAAACTTTCCTTTTTTGATGATACATTTGGTGCCTCTGCCACTCAGCAGCTGTGATCAATTGGGTCACGATGGAATGGCTTTCTGCCATGAATATTCAGGGAGACTTTGCCTGTGCCATGAAGGTTTATGATGGATGGGGGGAGCAGGAAGAGCATGGGATCTTTAGGACGTCGAAGGGAATGGATCGACAGTTGGGTAAATGAATTATTTTCCAGTGTCACAATAGTGAGGTTTCTTTATATTGCCTTTGTGACATTTTCATTGCTCCTTGGATTCTTGATTCTGGAGGAGGAACAAAAGTGTTTTTTTGTTTTGTTTTCTTGCCAGATCTCCTTGAGTTAGACAGGGCCCATTGGTAGAATGGAGGCTGCACTTGAACTGGGTTCTGAAATTGGATGGGAGCCACTCTACGTGGGATTTTAAAATCAGGTTTCTGGGTCTGTTGGTTCTTCCTCCATATGGGTTGTCCCCCATTCAGAGCTTAGCAAGGATAAGATTTTGTTCTATATCCCTAAGCTTCTATGACAACAATATCCTAGGATCTCTCCACTCTCCTTCATACCCTCAAACGGTTACTACAACCGTTAGAATCTCTCTTGTAGTAAGAAAATAACCCCACTGAAATTTTGATCAATCTGGCCAGCCAAATTAAAGACTTACTTTTCTATGTTTTGGGATTCCATCCATCAGCACATTCTTATCTGTTCATCACTGTAATAGGGGCAGTCAGCCCAGAGATTCTCTGCTGCACTCAGGACCCTTGGGTTAATGTAAGTCCACATCTTCCCTGCTAGGAGGATGGCAATTGAGGAAGGAAGTATTTTAATTTTATATTAATTTTTAATTCCAGAGAGCAGTAATAATCCCATTGCCTTTATTATAATTTTTAAGGGATGTATTACCCACTTTCATTTTTCACTTTAAAGAGTAATGTCAGAATAATATAAGGAAAAATATAAAGATTAGCAATAAAACTGTGTTTGGCTATTGCAGATTTCTTTTTCTAAAAATTCAGTACACTTTTTATAACATAATTTCATATAATGTCACATTTTAAATAAAATCCTATGTCAGTCCCCTCCCCTGCCCCTGCAATGCGCGCACACACACACACATGCACAAACACACAATCATGTGCCAAAGGGGAAATCCACTTTGTCCTTAGAAATGGTGGTGGTTTGGTTAACTAAAAATTGAATCTCATCCAGTGTCAGAGCACCAATGTTGTGGAAAATCAACTCCAGAACAGCATGGAGATATTTCCCAACTTCAGTTTTTTGTTTGTTTTTAATGGAAATCTATCGTAGTGACACAAGCAATCTCCAAACTGTGAATTGATTTTGTTCCAAAAATTCACTTGTAAGCTAGTTGTTGGCGCTCAGAACTCATTTTTCCATATAAGCAATGTTATATGGTTAGTTCCGTTCCCAGGCTGGCTCCTAAAAGCTTACTTAATACATGTGCAGTTGAACAATGCTGCTCTAAACTCACAGATTATTGGTATTTGAGGGGTTGTCAGAGATCTTCAAATTTAGTAACACCATTAAACTGTACAAAGGATCAGAGAGGTTAAGGGACTTGCTTAGGGTTATCCAGCAGAGGCAAGACCAGATCCACATCTCCTGACTTTCAGGCCAGTGACCTTTCCACTATACTGTAATTTGTAAAACTGAGCCACTGTTTACCACCTTGTATCTGTAAAAAGGTTACTTCTGAGTAGGTATATATCACTTTAGCACTTAGAAAATACTTACCCATATATTAGGCTCACAAAATCTTCACTACAATCCTATGAAGACAGTAGAGGAGATCCTGTCCCCATTTTTAAACGTAAAGACACTGAAGCTTCCGGAGGTTAAATCAATTGCCCACGGCCACACAATTAGTAAGTAAGGCTCCAACCCAGCTCTTCTGAGCCTGAGGACAGTGTCCACTCCGCCCCTGACCTGCAGCAGCAATGCAGCCCTCAGGGCTTCACACGGGGTGTCCCATGCAGGAAACAGCACTGGCTGGGCAGGTGGGAGGCTGGGTCAGTCACGGAGATGGGTGGGATATGCCAAGTGGGGCTGCAGTGTTGATGGGGCAGAAGGTACAAGGAAAGGGCCGGGGGAGTGAAGATCCAGGGCTCTGGGGGTTGTACGGCTTAGGGTAGTTTTCAACATCACAATGGGAGGTTGGGAGTTAGTGGTTCTCAATGGTAGGAGGTTGAAATAATGGCAAAGTGGGTGAGATATGCTTATTGCTTATATGTTCATATATGTGTGTATATGTTGTATATATGTTTGTGTCACTTTTCCTTAGAAACTGCCTATACAGGGCCGGGCACGGTGGCTCACGCCTGTAATCCCAGCACTTTGGGAGGCCGAGGCAGGCGGATCACGAGGTCAGGAGATCGAGACCATCCTGGCTAACACGGTGAAACCCCGTCTCTACTAAAAATACAAAAAAATTAGCCAGGCCTGGTGGCGGGCCCCTGTAATCCCAGCTACTGCGGAGGCTGAGGCAGGAGAACCCAGGAGGAGGAGCTTGCAGTAAGCCGAGATCGCGCCATTGCACTCCAGCCTGGGCGACACAGCGAGACTCCGTCTCACAAAAAAAAAAAAAAAAAAAAGAAACTGCCTATACATAAAGATCATCTTTAATAGATCATCTGGCATATGGTTAATTTTTTTGAAAAATTTTCTTAATTGACAAATTATGATTGTATGTATGACAGAGCAAATCTCTGAAAAAAAAAATCCCCTGAAAAAGAGAAAGAAAAACTCATTCATAACAGTGCACCTTTTCACTGATGTGTGTTCCCGCTGATGTGATGCGATGCTCCACGCATCATCACGCTGGTTAAGAATGCTGGTAGGAGAGGGTGTGGGTTTAGGGGTATGCTATGAAGATTCCTCCTGCTTGTTTGGTAGTAAAGATGGAGTCAGATTCCAATCCACAGCTTGGTGGACTGGACTAGGGATGGAAGAAATCAAGTCCGTAGCAGCAGCCTGCGGTCTGGAGGCTCGCTGCAGAATTGAAAATGGTTCCAGAACAACATCATGTTTAGGTGCCACACGCCACATTTCTAAGCATTATGTCATGTAGGAATTGAAATTAGCATTCCTCAGTGCTTAATTTTCATTGTGAGAGGTCTGTTTGCTCATTGATGCTTTTAATTTATTACCTTGCTATTGCAAAATGTATCACTCAAAGTTGCTATCTTGTAACTATAAGTAAAGCCAGGGAAAAGCCCACATGGCAGGACATGGGACTAATTTCTGAAATGACTGGTAGCCTGTGTCTGCCTTCTCCTTTTTACCATTCATTTTACCTCACGATTTCTTTACCCCTCTCTTTTAATTTTTAATTTTTCTTCTCCTTTTCTTTTCTCTAACTCTTGTCTTTCTCCACCTTCAGACTTCACCTCACTTTCTGCTTGTTTTAATGCTTTTTTTCTTTATATAATCATTTCCCTCCCACTCTTTCCTATTCTTATTCTTTGAGTCTCAAAATTCTCTCTCACTCCTCTTCCAGAACTCACTCCCAGCTACCTCCTACCTACTTACTTTCTTTGGTTTATTCACATTTTCTTCTTTGACCATAAAATTTCCTAAATTTAATGCTCCTTATTTTTAATTCTGTCTTGAATTGTAAGAAAGAGATTCTGGTTTTAAGCTTATAGGCAATAGCCTAAGATGCATAGGAACGGGGATACTTTTCCAAATCTCCTTGTCTAGGGTTATGGAATCATCTCAATGATTTGGATAAAAGGTAGTATATGAATCCAAAATATTTGTCACGTTTGTATTATTAGTACTGCTAATACGAATTCTATTTAATGATGAGTTACACTGACCTTGCAGGTCTTCTAACTTGGTTATATATTATTTCAAGCATATATAATAGTTTCTACTCGGGGGAGGAAGCACAATATTGTGGAAAAAACATAGACTTCTGAATCAAACAGGTGTGAATTTGCATGTGGGCTCTGCTCCTAATTGGCACTGTAATGAGGGTGAAGTATTGCCATCATTTATTGATTTTTTTTTGGTTAGGAAGTATCTCAGAGCTCACAGAAAAATATATACGAGAACAACTGCTTACCCACCCTTTATCTGTGTCAAATCTTATTTTGCCATATTAATTTCAGATCTCTTTCTTTTTGTTGAGGATTAACATATCACGTTAATTACTGAACTGCTCTGATTTAGAATTTCTTCAACTCTGAAATGGGTGTAGTCATACCTATATTCCAGAGTCATGAGAATTAAACAGTATGCCATATCTAAAGTATCTGCATATGGTAAGTGCTGAAAAACAGTAGTTTCTTCCTTTCTTATGTAAGGAATCCTGAAAACATCATTTTAGTGGCATTTTAGACCTCATATGAATTTTTTAAAAAGATAGAGAACATAATTTTCCTGACTGTAGGCAGCCCCTAACCTTGACTTTGTTATTATAAAAATAGAGGTGATTTTCCTAGCACTGACTTAGGAACATACATCAAAATTTAATATTCCCTGAAACCAAATTCTAAAAAAAATCTTAAAATTTGACAAACATTTGAATTTTCAGGAACCAACTAGTTCCTCATAAATGCATTTTGAAACTAATATTTTCTAGTCACTTGAATATTTGACTGTAAAAAATGAAAAAGGTACTTTTGCTGGCACATGAGCACATAAGAGTTGAAACACAAAGTGAGTTTTCCAGATGCTAAGATGAGAAGTGTTTTCTTTGGTAGCTGATTCTGCAGCAGTAGCAGCTGCCCTAAAATAAGCTGTTGTTCAGGCCAACGAGGAAAGTAAGTCTCAGATGGGGAAAGGGTAGCACACTGGGAGGCATGACTGCTAGAGAACCTAGGGGAATAGCTGCTGAGACAATGCCATGGCCATCTGAACCTTGCTGAGCAGCACAGGCTCAGCATTCATTCATATTTATTAAGTACCTACTAAGTGCCAGGCATAATTCATGCCCTTGGGATACAGAAGTAAAACAACAAAAAAATCCCTTTTGTCATGGAGCTTACATTCAAGGAGTGGTGTTGAGAACAAAGAGATCACAAAAGAAAGAAGGTAATTTATGATATGTTAGAAGGCAGTAAGTGCTATGGAGAAAAAGGAAGAAGGGTCGGGGGTTAGGAAGTGCTAGGTGGTGGCATGGTTTACAAGAACTGTGGATTAATTTGCTTGTTCATTCATTGGCCAACAAATATTTGTTGAGCAAACATTTCATTTGGTCAGTGTAGTAACACATGGTCCAGGATCGGAAGATACTTCCGGTCCAGTGGGGAAGTCGGAAGTATGGCAGGGTATGATCAAGGTATGGCAGGTTATGATCAAGGTATGCCATGGGAAGACAGGAGAGAGGGCAGAGCAACTCTTTCAGGGTCAGGGAAGGGTGTCTTGGAAGAGGAGACCATGTTGAGTGATGATAAAGAACAGGACTGCAAGTTGGGAATGAGTGAGGCAAGAAGTCATGATCAAGGCCTGGCTTCTGCTTGGCCAGCTGGTTGGGGACGATTCTGTTGCTCGGAGTCAGTGTCAGGGAATGCAGAGGAGCACACTGGTTTGGGGGATGACGATGAGCTCTATTGGATGCCTGTGGGTGTCTAGAAGCAGTCAGATAGATGGGCTCACGGCAGAGAAGTCTGGCCCGGAGAAGCCTCATGGCACGGTGGGAGATGCCCAGGCATGTTACCCAGAGTGTACTGGGTCTTAGGCAGCCCCGTTTCCAAGCGGAATGATCTTAGAAGCAAAGAGCAGAAAGAGCCTCACAGGCTGCCTGCTGCTCTCTTTCACATGGGATAGCTACAGACCTTCCTATCCCTACTACTTGTTCCCTTCCTGAGGGCTTATACCCCAGGCTTTAGGATTCATTTTGGGGGAAATTAAGGAGCCCTTATTTAAGAGTTCAGGCAGATTGGCCTTGTTGCCACTCATACTCAGGACCTCAGCACTGAATCAGGTCACTGATGGTCTGTCTTGGTTATAGAATTTAGACCAACACAACATCTAATAACTGGGCCTTTATTACCTTGAGTTCTAAATCCTGGCCTGACAACCTGCCCTAAACTCTTACTCCTTTGAGACTGGTTTTCCATTCTGACCTTGATAGTTCAGTTCCATTTGTTCATGAGCACCTGCTGAGTCCCAGGCAATGAAGGTAACGTGACAGGTGCTGAGATTCAAAAATGAATAAAATACATTCCCTGCCTATATGCAGCATATTTGTTTAGCAGGAGAGTTGGTCATATAAGCATGCAATGATAGTTCTGTATGATTTGATTCAATAATAGCAGAAAGTTCAGGGTCCAGAGGAAGCACAGTTCTGCCCAGGGACAGGGGTACCAAAACCCAATTGTGGCCTCAAAGCCATCTGCTATCTGCTGCAAGATGTCACTGCTGGTGGCTGCTGACAGGCCTACCACTCTTCTCCACTCTGCTTTCATGGGATTGACCCATCAGTGGTTTTAAGCATCTTACTGGAGTTTAGATACAGCGTTTTGCCAGTTGCCTTCACTACCTTTCTCTGCTAAATACTTGAACTGTGCAATCTGTCTCCTTGCGTCTCTCTGTTCTTCTGTCCCACTTCAACTTCATCTGTAACACACCAGTTTTCTAGTCCCTATTCTGAACATGGAAAATTAACATCCATAAATGTTGAAAGTCTTGAATCTGTATCAGAATTTGAATCTAGTTTCCCAGAGTCTTGGTGCAGTGCTCCTTTTATTAACGCTCCTGATACGGCCATGTATTTGAAAGGAATGGTGAGGAATCTGCATTTTTGATAAGCACAGTATGGTGGTTTAAAAAACTGTCTGCAAATTCTTTGACTTAAAAGACTAGGTTAAAAGAGGTGACACAGCTTCTGACTGACTCTCTCTTGGGATGAGTCACCATGTTGTAAGGATGCCCAGGCCACATGGAGAGGCTTGGTGTTGTGGGTCTAGCCCCAGCTGAGGTCTCAGCTGACAGCCAGTTTCATCCATCAGAACTGAATCAGTGAACCTTCAGATAGTGCCAGCTCCCAGTCTAAATTGCTCTGAGTGAAGCAGAGATGAGCTGTTCCTGCTGAGTTCTGCCCAAACTGCATTTAAGACGCCAAGTTTTAGAGTGGGCTTTGATGCAGCAGTAGATAATCAGAATACATAATAAACAAATTTATTGAATGTGCTAAAAGTTGTTTATAAAATATTTGAAATCTTGATTTTTTTTTATAAGGAAGGCAAAGAAAGATAGCAAATCTCTTCCTCCTTGAACTAGAATCAACTAGTTGATTGTCTCTGAATCTGACCCATTAATAACAATCTTTTGAAGAACTTTAAATCCTTCCTAGCTTTTGTACAGGGCCCACTTATTTATTTGCAGTCAGTCATGCCTTTCTGTAAAAGGAATATAATATCACTAAATTTGACAGAAAAATTCAGTTTAGTTTTTTATGTTTTAATTAAAAAATGATCTATTGAGTTACAATTGACATATAATAAACTTCATGTTTACAGTATGTGCAGATAGTGCTGGGTAGGTTTTGGTGTTATGTATACACTGATGAAACCATCAACACAAGATAATGAGCATATCCATCATCCCTCAAAGTTTCCTTGGTGCCCTTTTATAATTGCTCCTTCTTGATTCCCACCCTAATCTTCCCCTTCCTCAGCTCAGGCAGCAACACTGATCTGCTTTTTGTCATTGTAGATTAGTTTGCATTTTCTTGAGTTTCATATATATGAAAGCTTTTTTGTCTTTTTTTATTTAGCATAATTATTTTAAGATTTACCCTGGTTGTTATGTGTATCATAAGTAAATTCCTTCTCATTGTTCAGGAGTAATTCATTATCTGCATATATCACAATTTGTTTAATCATTCACCTGTTAATGGGCATCTAAATTATTTCCAGTTTTTAGTTATTACAAACAAAGCTGCTATGAACATTTGTGGATAAGTCTTTGTATGGATGTACACTTTCTTTTCTCTAGGATAAATATTAATACTTGTGAGTGGAATGGCTGGATCATGTGGTAGGTATATACTTTACTTTTGAAGAAACTAACAAACTGTTTTCCAAAGTGAATATACTGTTTTACGTTCCCACCAGCAGTGTATGAAAGGTACTCATTACCATCCCTAACGCTCACTATTGTGGGTCTTTGTAATTCTAGCCATTCTATTTGGTATGTAGTGCTATCTCTTGTTGTTCTAATTGTATTTCTCTAATTACTAATGAGGGTGAGCATCCTTTCATGTACTTATTTGCTACTCGTAGATCTTCTTTGATAAAGTGTCTGTTCATGTCTTTTGCCCATATCTATATTTGGTTTGTGTGTTCTCAGTTTAGAATTTTGAGAATTCTTTTTATGTTCTGCATACAAATCTTTTATAAGATATATGTTTTGCAGATATTTTCTCCAAGTCTGTGGCTTTTCTTTTAATCTCAACAGGTTTTAGTTTTTGTGAAGTCTAATTTATCAACTTGTTGTTTTATGGATAATACTTTTAGTATTGTATCTAGGAAATCTTCGTCTTATTCAAGGTCATAAAGATTTTCATCTATGTTTTATTCTAGAAGTTTTATAGTTTTTGGTTTTATATTTTGGTCTATGATACCTCTTTCTTTTTGAGATACTGTCTAGCTCTGTCACTCAGGCTGGAGTGCAGTGGCATAATCACCACTCACTGCAGCTTCGAGTTCCTGGGCTCAAGTGATCTTCCTTAGCCTCCCTAGTAGCTGAGAAAATGTTGAATCCACCTGTGCACCAGTGAAGCCAGCTGGGCTTGAAAAGTTTTGTTTCTTTGTTTTGTTTTTGGTCAGAACATTTTAATCTATAAATTAAATTTCTTTAGTAGTTATAGGGGTATTCAGGTTATCTGTTTCTTCTTGAGTGAGCTTTGGTAGTTTATGTCTTTCAAGGAGTATGTTAATTCCATCTAAGTTGTTGAATTTATTGGCATAAAGTTGTTCACAATATTTCCTTATAATCTTTTAAATATATGTAGACTATGTAGTGATAGCCCCACTTTCATTCCTGATTATTGATAATTTGATTCTTCTCTCTTTTTTTCCCTGATCAGCCTGGCTAGAGATTTATCAATTTTATTCATCTTCTCAAAGAACCAGGTTTTGGTTTCATCTATTTTTCTTTATTGTTGTTCCATTCTCCACTTTATCATTTTCAACTCTATTCTTTATCATCTTCTTTTTTCATCTTACTTAGGGTTGAATTTGCTCTTCCTTTTCCAGTTTAAGGTGGAAGCTGAGGTTATTGATTCAAAGGTTTTCAAAGAAAACCTTTCTTCTTTTCTCTTTCTCTTGTAGGCAGTTAGAGCTACACATTTGTCTTCAAATACTGCTTTAATGGCATCTCATAATGGGTTCTACTGTGGTTCCGCATCCCTGCACCATGGCCTGCAAATTCTCTCAAGCCAGTAGGCTGGGTAAATCACAGGGCTCACTTCATTTGTTTCTCATCTCTCAGAAATCACTGTCCTTCATCACCTGATATCCAGTATGTCTTGAGAATCATCGTTTCATATATATAGTCTGGTTTTTAAAAATTTTTATTCCTTCAGGTAGGAGGGGACAATCGGGTCCCTGTGACTCCATCATAGTTCTTCTGTAGCTTTACATAATGTTCTTATGTATTTTTTAAACAAATACATTTATTTTTAGGCATTGTTTTGATTGCTTTGAGTTTATTATTTAGTATATTTGTGCTGAAATTTCTCTTTTACCCTTCAGACACCAGACCTGGTATTCCATTCAGTGTGAGACCGTTTTTTTTTTTTTTTTTGAGACAGGGTCTCACTTTGTTGCCCAGGCTGGAGTGCAGTGGTGCAATTCTGGCTCGCTGCAACTTCTGCCTCCCAGGTTCAAGCAATTCTCCTGCCTCAGCCTCCTGAGTACCTGGGATTACAAATACCCACCACTACGCCCAGCTAATTTTTGTATTTTTAGTAAAGACGGGGTTTCACCATGTTGGCCAGGCTGGTCTGGAACTCCTAACCTCAAGTGATCCACTGGCCTTGGCCTCCCAAAGTGCTGGGATTACAAGTGTGAGCCACTGTGCCCAGCTAGCCACAGTGCCCGGTCTAGTTGTTAAACGCTTAGATAATTCCTCTCCATTGGAGTTATAACCTTTTACTTTACTATATAATTTGCTTATTTATTTTATTTATTTGCCTTCTGCCCTACCTTTCCCTATAAGCACTATGAGGAAAAGGATTTTTTCCTGTTTGGTTTCTGCTGAGATTCAGATGCTTGCTCTGCCAGTTTTACTAGCGAGACAATATATGTAACCTCTCTGTGCCTCAAGTTCATCATTTGTAAAGTGGATATAATAGTGTCTATCTCAAGGGGTTGTTGTGAAGGCTGAACATGTTAATATACATGAAACACTTAGAACAGTGCCTGGCACATAGTAAATCATTGCTGTTTGCTGAATTTTTCTCATGAAAGACTGGATAGGGTGACAACAGATGATAAATGCAATCCCAGCTCTCTCAGATCAGCCATGAGCCAGTGGCCTTTAAAATAGTTTGAAGGGCGTATACATTGAAGTGGTCCACTTAACTACAACTATTAGCTTATATGAAGACATAATAGCTACCCTTTTCCCAATTAAAAAAATAAATAAATTTTGTATTAGTTTGCTTGAGCGGCCATAAAAAAAAAAAAAAAAAAACTGCCACAGACTGAGTGGTTTAAACAATAGACATTTATTTTCTCACAGTTCTGGAAGCTAGGAGACCAGGACCAAGGTCCCAAAATCAGGATTGGTTTCTGGTGAAGCCTCTCTTTCTGGTTTGTAGATGGCTGCCTTCTTGCTGTGTCCTCACACAACCTTTCCTCTGTGTTTGTGCAGGAAGACAGTGGGGATGGGGGTGGAGTGGGTGGGGGAGGGATTGGCGGGAAACGGAGAGAGGGAGGGAAGGAGGAAGGGAGGGGGAGGGGGATAAAGAGGGAGGGAGAGAGAGAGAGTGCTACGGTTTCACTTCCTCTTCTTATAAGGACACCTGCCCTATCGGATTAAGCCCCAACTCTTATGACCTCATTTAACTTTAATTACCTCTTCAAAGGCCCCATATCTAAATACAGTCATGCTGGGGATTAGGGTCTCAACATATGACTTTTGGGAGGACACAATTCAGCCTGTAACAAGTATTGACTATTACATTAGTAAAAGGGCTCTGATGACTTAGAGGAGATGTGTACTAAAAATGTATTCTTTCTGAATCTCAGTTTATTTATCTGAGAAGTGGGGATCTTTGAAATTCTTGTGGCCAGATGTATTTTGGTATTCAGATAATTTTGATTTTAGAAAGAAAAAAAGTGTATATACTCCAAAGAACATAAGATGTGACATGACAGGAGGGCCTAGGACAGCACTCCCTCATTCAAACATGTGACCTGTGTGGCAGCAAAATGTATGAATGTTCACTCTAAGTGGATAAATGAAGATTATTTTTTAAAAATTCATGTTGGTTCAGGTCAAGTTTTACCACAAGAAGAGTTTGCCATATACTTAGGGAAAAATACTTGGGTTTTCAGAGCTTTTTGTATTTCAGAATTGTGGATAAGGATTGTGGACCTTCTATCATAAAGTTTTGGAGAGGATTAAATATGTAAAGTACCTGACATATAATCAGAACTTAATAAATTATTATCATTATTATTAACATCAGCACTGTTTTTAGTATAATGTTGCAATAGTAGTTATTATGAGGCTGTAAAAGCGAAAGTCCTGTTAGAAATGTGTCTCAGTTTCCCCAATCAGTCTGGCCTGAACTATGCATTCTGATTTAGTGAGGGTTTAGACAGAACTAAGAGGACTGGTAACCCCATGCTCAGTGAGCGGTGGGGTGAAGAGGCTGGTGGATGTAGTGGTGGAGGACAGAGACCTAGGTAACATTAGTTCCCAAAGTAATCATGATTATAGATACTTCACAGGTAATTTAAAGTGTGATGCTGGCCAGGTGTTGTGGCTTATGCTTGTAATCCCAGCACTTTGGGAGGCTAAGGTGGGAGGATCACTTGAGGCCAGGAGTTTGAGACCACCCTGGGCAACAACATAGTGAGACCCCATCTCTACCAAAAATAAAAATAAAAATAATTAACCAGGCATGGTAGTGTGCATCTGTAGTCCCAGCTACTCAGTAGGCTGAGGCAGGAGGACTGCTTGAGCCCAGGAGCTCAAGGCTGCAATGAGTGGTGATTGCACCACTGTAGTCCCACCTGGGCGGCAGAATGAGACCCTGCCTCAAAACAAAACAAAACAAAACCTAGTGACATTATGGGATGGGAAGGACCTGAGATTTAGTAACAGAATATCTGGGTCCCAGTCTGGGTTTTACTGGCAGTATGATCTTGAAGAAGTCACTTAATCGGATTTCAGTTTTATTCTCAGTAAAATGAGGATTATGATATAGCCTTTGTCTGCCTCCTAAGGCTAAAGTGAGAGGATGTATCCAGTGAGAGAATGTATGTGGAAGTATTTTGTAACACTGCAATATGTAACAGAAAGACTAGTATTGTCTTGTAAACTTATCCTTTCTTTGCCTTTTTGGCAAAGGGACTTCAGATTCTCACCCAAGGGAGAAGAGTTTATCATAGAGCAATAGTCTGAATTCAAAAGGAACCTTCTCCTCATTTCCTGCCAAACCAACATTGTGGTTAGAGGCAGGAGAATTCTGTTACTGAAAACAAGAGTTGGAATACGGGCAGGGATGAGCCTCTGAAACTGAAGTAAAATCAATAAAACAAATAGAAATTCTTGATATTGGCCTCTCTCACTTGATACCAAGCTCATTTCTTGCAAGGTATACCTTCCTCCTCTACTCATGTATGTTTACCTATTTATTTATTTATTTGAATTTATGCAAATCAAATTAAAAGCATGATTACTTGGAAAATAGAGAATGTTTGCTGCTCTGTGCATTGGCAGTGTGAACTCGCCTTTTGCTGCCTTGGATCTTACTTTTTCTTCCTGTTACTGTATCATCAAATTGTTTCACTTGAATCCTTTATGCTACCTCAAGTGCTCTCCTTTGCCTTAATAGGCCCTTGACAGTTAGCCTGGTGTTCTACAAGATACTGGCTTAATTATTAAATGTCCTGTGCAAGGCACCCTGGGGCAGTGGCAGGAGCATGGGCTTGGAATCCTCAGACCCAGCTGCTCACCCCAGCTCTGCCACTTGATGGCTTTGTGACACAAAAAGTCCAGTCTTCGCTGTGAACCTCACCTTCCTCATATGGCAAATGGGGAGAAGACGGACTGCCTTGTAGAGTGGGTTATAATGGTTCTAAGTAGCTTAGGCCAATGCTCAATACAGGGAAGTATTTAGATTAATGAAAGAAAGGCTTTGGAATTCAACGAGTTCCATAGCCCACTAGCTGTGAGACCTTGAGAAAGTCCCTTAACCTTCCTGAACTCCTGTCCTGTCATAAGTGACATAGGATCATAGCAATACCCATCTGTGAGGATTATTCTGAAAACTAAAGACCCAGGTAATACAGGTAAAGCTCTGGAAAGTAGTGGGAACTAGCTGTTTGTAATGGCAGTTGTTCAGTGGCTTAGTCTGCAGCCAGGCTGGTCTCGGTTTAAACCCTAATTCTGCCAGTCAGCCTTTTGAACTTCATTTTCTCCCTAGTAAAATGGAGAATAACATCTTCCTCGCATAGTTTTTGTGATGATTAGAGATAATGTCTAAAAAACATCTGGAGCTTTAGTAAGACTGCTCAATAGATGATAGACTAATATTGTAATTTGCAGTGTTAGTAAGACGTTTGTTTATCTGATTAGCTAATTGTGATTCTTCATTTGCTGGAAAATATCCAGTAACTAACAGGCGTGTTTAAACTTTAACTATTCTCTTTTTAGACCGGTGTACAGTGCAGTCATGGAAATACTTAGTTATTGACATTTAGCTCTAGGAAGAAATGAGGCTGGGCAGATGTCATCTGATCTGAAGGCACAGCAGGAAGAAAACAATTCAAAGTCCTTCATGCCCAAATGTGACTCAGTTCTCATCCTCCTATCTATGAAAGGTCTAATAAGCTGAGTTGCTCAGCCTGCAAAGGAACTGAGTTTATTCCTGAAGTATAAACTTTAAAACAGTAGCTCTTGTTTGTTACCTTTTAGAATATGGTTTGTACCACGCTGTCAAAGCCAAGAACTTAGTTGCATATTATTCTAGAAAGTAAGGAACTGTAGGCAGCTGGTCCAGGTAACTCAAGCCAGACATTTTTATAAAATTTGATCCAATTAGGTTGAATTTAGTCATACTTGGAAAATTTGAATGATTTTCCAAAGTTTCTCCCCCTTTGTGAATCCAGTTCAAACATGTACTTGCCAATTAATAGTACAGAATGTTTTCTAACCTTCAGCTTTGTGGGCCAGCTTGCCTGTAGAAATTATAAGGCTGTTTAGTCATCCTCTCTTGGACTCACAACAGAGGATCTTTTTGTTTTTGGTTTTCGTTTTTTTAAACTTTTTTTTTTTTGGTTTTTAGGTTTGAGGGTATATATGAAGGTTTGTCGTATAGGTAAACACGTGTCATGGGGGTTTGTTGTACAGATTATTTCATCACCCAGGTATTAATCCCAGTACCCAATAGTTATCTTTCCTATTCCTCTCCCTCCTCTCACACTCCCCACTGAAGTAGACCCGTGTCTGTTGTTTCCTTCTTTGTGTTCATAAGTTCTTATAATTTAGCTCCCAGTTGTAAGTGAGAACATGCAGTATTTGGTTTTCTGTTCCTGCATTAGTTTGCTAAAGATAACAGCCTTCAGCTCTACCTGTGTTCCTGCAAAAGGCATGATCTCCTTCTTTTTTATGGCTGCATAGTATTCCATGGTGTATATGTGCCACATTTTCTTTATCCAATCTGTCATTGATGGGCATTTAAGTTGATTCCATGTCTTTGCTATTGTGAATAGTGCTGCAGTGAACATTATTGTACATGTGTCTTTATAATAAAATGATTTATATTCCTTTGGGTATATATCCAGTAATGGGATTGCTGTGGTAATTCTGCTTTTAGCTCTTTGAGGAATCACCACACTGCTTTCTGCAATGGTAGAACTAATTTGCACTCCCACCAACAGTGTATAAGTGTTCCTGTTTCTCTGCAATGAGAGGATCTTTATGATAACTGTAGTAGAAAGACAATTCCTTTATTCCCAATGATACATTTTATCAATGAAATGATTCTAAAGTAATAATTACAAAGTCACTTCAGAAATAAGACAATCAGTTGAAGAACTTCAGTTTCAGGGAATGTGTTACAACCTGCATAATTTCAAAATGTGAATATCTAACCAGGTCTCAGCTCAATCTATGGCCCCCAAATAATGAGTGTATTAGTTTCCTAGGGCTGCTGTAACAACAGAACAAACTGGATGGCTTAAAGCAACACCAGCACCTTGACTTCAGATTTCTGGCCTCCAGAACAGGTTTTCTGATGGATCAGATGTGGAGTGCGACAGTCAAGCGTGACACTAAGGTTTTTGTCTTGAGGAACTATAAGGATGGAGCTGTCATCAGCTGAGAACAGGAGGCCTGTAGGGGTAGTATGTTTGCAGGATGGGTTAGGGAGAAATCAGGAGTTCAATTTGGGACATGTTAAGCTTGAGATGTCTATTACACATCCAATTGGAGTTTTAAATAGGCAGTTGATGGAAGTCTGGAGTTCAGGAGAGAGGTCTGAGCTGAAAATATAAATTTGAGAGTCTGGGCATACATAGATTGGATGAGCTCTCAAGGGTGTGAGTAATGACAGAGAAGAAAACCAAGAGCTGAGCCCTGGGACCTTCCAATATTAAGGGGAGAAACCAGCAAAACAGACTGAGAAGGAGTAACCAGTGAGGTAGAAGGAATAGCGATAGGATGTGTTTGACTCCAGTGGAGAGCTAATAATCTGTTGAGATAGGACAATAAATAAATTAGTAAAAGGTCTTGAAGATCAAGCATAGAATCTAGATTTCTTAGATGCTGAAACTGAAATATAAATTGATATAGAGCCGGCTGCGGTGGCTCATGTCTGTAATCCCAGCACTTTGGGAGGCCAAGGCAGGTGGATCACCTGTCAGGAGTTTGAAACCAGCTTGACCAATATGGTGAAACCCTGTCTCTACTGAAAATACAAAAATTACCCGGGTGTGGTGGCATGTGCCTGTAGTCCCAGCTACTCGGGAGGCTGAGATAGGAGTATTGCTTGAACCTGGGAGGCAGAGGTTGCAATGAGCCGAGATCCCGCCACTTGCACTCCAGCCTGGGCAACAACTCCATCAAAAAAAAAAAAAAAATTGATATAAGACTTGTCTAAAATGACTTCATGGTAAATCTCTCCTTCTAATCCCAGTTCCTTGATTAAATCAGAATCTTCATGGTTGAGAAAATTTTTCTAATGTGCAAGGTTTAGAAATATGCACCTCACTCTCCCCTGGAATTTGGTATGAGAGGCTATTTCATTCTGAGTTCAGTATAACAATAACAAACTCTTCGTCTCTCTCTCTCTCTCTCTCTCTCTCTCTCTCTCTCTCTCTCTCTCTCTATATATATATATATATATATATATATATATATATATAAATGGCAGCATTTTAGAGAAGCTTCCACATAGCCACACAGTAGGTCAACATTACTTCCTTAAAACTCAGTTTACCTCCCCAGTTTGACAAGGAAGAGGTTGTAGACTTGCAAGCCAGGCTTAAGGACAGAATATCCTGAATCCTGGTCATGGTTTCGTGCTCTTTAGTTTTTGCCGTGATAGTCTGTCTTGCTTATTGCCCTCTGACCCATTGAGAGCTTGGATTTTCTTCTTGCAGTGTGAGTTATAAAATTAAAGATCAGTCAATTCCAAAAGGAGGCTGAAATAATATCTTTTGAAATTCAAGGGTGATGTAAAAATATATTACAGAGGAAGATGTGGAAATTCAACAACATCTCATAAGAGATATGAGAATCAGAGGAGGTGCTTTGACACCTCTATGATACCCAGACTCCAGGTGCATATTCTTTGACTTGGAAAAGGATTTGAGCATGGCACATAATTTTTATTTATTTTTGTTTGTGGCTATTGGGTAGTTGCTGACTAAGTTGGTGCTTCTAGGAAATAACTAAGTGTAGGCATTTAATAGCTTTTGAAATATGCTTGAAGACATTTTTAGTCCCATTTTCTTTGTTGCTTTTTTGATCTAGATTCTCAAACTCTTTCAGGACTGCAGCAGGAAATTTAGATTTAACCTCAAGAGTCAATGTTTTGTCTTGTGTCTCCTCTAATATAATACAGATGTTAGGATGGCTGTATTTTACTTGAACAGTTATTGAATTTCTACCTTACTCCCATTCTCTTTTTAATGAGAAACAGTCAAACTGTAGTGCTTATTAAACTCAGAGAATACAAGTTGTAATCTTGAGCATGTACATGTGGAGAAGATATATTTAGGTTATTTACTTAGATTACAAACCCTTAAACTGTTCCACTATTTCAGGGAGAAACTTTCCCTCTGAGAAAAAGACACTGAAAAACAAACGAAAATATTAAAGATGAAAATAGTGCTTAAGAACTGAAAAAGTGGTTCTCTAAAATGTGTTTTTTTTTTTTTTTTAACTGGTATGAGTGTCAGTTTATTACCTGGGCAGCCTGTAATATGGGTAAGATATTACTTTTTAACACTCCGCATTCCAAGTACACAATGCCTATATTTTCTATCTAGAAAGCTAGTTCTTCTACTATTTCAGCGAATTGCACAAACCATATGAGCAGTTCAGCAACTTTCACGTTGCCAATTTCAGCTCCATGCCACATCCCCCCTCTCTAGGTCAGCTGGCTGGAGAAAGATCCACTATACCCAATGACTCTAATACAAACGATGAAACCCAGCTCCTTTGGCTGAAATGCTGCATTTGCTGATCAGTACTGAATCAGCAATCTGAGGGTTTTTTTTTTTTTAAATGTCGGTGGCAAATTTATTTAAGAGGGCAAAAACTCTGCATAATGTGGATGCTTCATGTGAGCTTATTCATATGGTTTAGGTATCCTTTCTTCGCTGGCCCAGTTACCTGATCTGTTTCAACTAGGCTAAACATACGTGTCACAATTACCTTTAGATTTACTTGATTGGAGACATTCTTGTTTATTTGTGTTACTGAGGAAAATAAACTCAATGCCATGCCCTCAGACCAATCACTGATTTGTTTACTCTGATGGTTACAACGAATTATGAAACAGAGCTGTTCAAAGGGGGAGCGGTGGCCTCTTCCAGGATGTACTGAGCTCCGCGTCAGTGTCACTGGGTGACTAGCCTCACTCTCGCATGCGTCCAGGTGACTGAATGTTGGGGATCTTACAAGGAGACTTATGTGCCGAATGGGCACTTGGTCTGGATGACATCCATATCCCCCTTCCCACTGTACGTGCTCTATTGGTTGATTTGATTCAGTCTTTCAGGACCAACAGCATCTGGAGAGCTTGATTCTTTTTAAAAAAACTTTTTTTTATTATTTTTATTTTTTAAGTTTATTTATTTATTATACTTTAAGTTCTGGGGTACATGTGCAGAATTCTTAAATGAGCGATTTAGAGTCCCATTCGCATCTGGTCCATTGTGCGCCCGTGAACCTGCTAATGATTACATGTGTACACTTGGCCATGGTATGTAGAATCAGTATTCTGTGGGAGGAACATTTAAAATTATTTATTGTTTTGGCATTGACATTTTCTTTGAAATTTAAGATTTCTATCATGTTCTCATTAGGAATGCTGGGCATCTGGTTTTAAAAAACCTTAACAACCTGTAGCTGGTACTTCTAAAATAACATATATGTATAACACCACCAATTATTATGTTAGTGATGCCATTACTGCTACAGGGAGCAATTTAGTGTGTCTAGTCACGAACTATATTATGTTATAATAAGACAGTAAAATATTTCTGTTGTTTTTACTATGGTACAACTTATTGTGGAATTAAAACAACTCTTCATTTATAAATGTCTGTTTTTTTTCTGTCAGCTTGCTGTGCATTTCTTGCCTTTATGCAGACTTTGCACAGCATTTACGGGTAAATTTAAACCTAAAAAGGTAAAATAGAAGGGACTAGAGGAAAAAGGAGCTGTTGGTTCTGATCGGGCTGAATTTGAAGCTCAGCTGTGAAACTCACTAGCTGTGTGGCACAGTTTCCGTCTTAGATCTTCTGGAAAAAGACATAGCCTTCAAGCCAGCAATGGTGTGTTTAAAAAAAAAAAAAAAGACACTGAATCTCATGAAATTCTGCTTGACATAGGTTCTGTGTCCAGTAAGAGGGATCTTTCATAAGACAAACTGTAGTTCCCAGCCGGGCCTGCTGCCTTAGTGGGAACAAAGAGCAGTGAAGCAGATTAAAGGCAATGTCGGAACTTCTCCCATCCTCCTTTTTCTTTTCCATTATTGGCTTGCACCTTGTTCACTGGTTGCTAGGAGATCAGAGGTGGAAGGGGAAAGAGCCCTGAGGCAGGAAAACCGGAGTATGCTCAACAATGGGGATCTTGATTCTTTTTTTGAGATGGAGTCTTGCTCTGTCACCCAGGCTGGAGTGCAATGGCGTGATCTTGGCTCACTGCAACCTCCGCCTCCTGGATTCAAGCAATTCTCCTGCCTCAGCCTCCCAAGTAGCTGGGACTGCAAGCACCTGCAACCATGCCTGGGTAATTTTTTTAAATTTTTTTTTATTTTTAGTAGAGATGGGGTTTTGCCATGCTGGCCAGGCTGGTCTCGAACTCCTGACCTCAGGTGATCCACCCACCTCTGCTTCCCAAAGCGTTGGGATTACAGGCATGAGCCACTGTGCCTGGCCTGATCCTGAGGTTTTTAAAAGATGGTATTTAGCTCAAATACTTCTGTGTGGCAAAGGTGAAAGCATGTTAGACTTCTGAGAGTTAGCATGATCACTAGAAAGTCTTCTAATGCCAATTTCTATGTTTCTCTTTGCAGGGCATATCTGTAGAAAAGCCTGAAGAGAGATAGGTTGCAGGAAGCTTTGCTCCCTTTGGTGTCTCCTGCCTTCTTGTTTTTTGTCCTTACTTTATGTTTGGCTTTATCCCATGTTTATATTCATATCCGGTGTTGTTTTCTCCAATGTCAGTAAGGATCTCAAGGCCTCACTACTGTCATTTCCCTGGCAAAGGCTCCTCCAAAGTTTGATGTGAATCCTTGAACCAGGCTTGCTTTGATAAATCCAGGCAGAATATACCTTGCATATTTATTAGCTATCTATCTTTTTTCTTTTTTGAGACAGAGTCTCACTCTGTTTCCCAGGCTGGAGTGCAGTGGCACTGTCATGGTACGCTGCAGCCTTAAACTCCAGGCTCAAGCAATCCTTCCACCTCTGCCTCCTGAGTAGCTGGGACCACAGGCGCATGCCACCACAACTAGCTATTTGGGTGTTTTTTTTTTTTCAATTTTTAGTAAAGATGGGGATCTTACTATGTTGCCCAGGCCTTCAGGTGCTAGGGATGGCTGAAGTTATCTTAGGATGCCCTGAGCTTTGATGATCCTATATTAAGACTTGGAGTTTATATGGGTTGGTATGTAGAAGATTCTCAAAACTAAAGATCTTGGATTCATAGAACTTGAACTTAATTCGGATGACCTGTATGTTTTGACATTTGTACCTGCTAATGATTACAAGTTATGTAAGTTTATTTATGGAAGATCTATCAAAATATACTCTGAATATGGTGACACTAGTGTTTTAATTTATAATTTATTTATTATGGCATAACTGACAGATTTTAATTAGTTTGGCTAATACAGGGGATGATTCTCCTTATGGTTCAATAGCAGCATCAAAAGTTCTCTCATGTACTGATTGTTTTTGTCAGGCACACTGAATCAGTGAATCATTTTCCTTCTGTTTGGGAAGGTGTTGAACTTGGGCGCCATGGGAGGAAGCTCGGTACTGTTGGAGAATGCCTGTAGTTAGAATTGTTCCATGTCCAAACCACTCCACCCAACAAGGAAGTGGCTTGAAGTTCCAAACAGATTCCTGGAGCTGGAGATGCATTTAGGGGAAGAGCAGGGCTGGCTTGGCCCGTGAGCTGCACAGCACAGAGCCATGGATGATTAAATGACAGAATCGAGGCCAAAGCTTGAGTAAGGTGCCAGACCAGATGAGAAGCATGCCAGTGGAGGGAGAGAAAAACTGGGCTTGAAACGAGGGCACTGTATCTGAGGACACTGGGCTGAGAGAGGGCATATACAAGGGCAGGTCGGAGGCAGAACTCTAAAGGGCCCTGGGCAGCATTGGACAACCTGGCTAATTACAGAGCTATATGCAACCCACTCACTCACTTTGCAGTGAAAATGTCTTAAGTCAAAAGCACTGTGCAAAAGATCGAATCCCTGGAGACCCCAGCTGGGCTTGCAGGTCTCGTTGTTCTGGCTTCGGGAGAGTGGGCTCCAGGGAGTGCCTTGGTTATCCTGAGAGAAGTGGGAATATTGGACTCTGCCCTACTCTGCCTTCTCTCGTCATCCAAATAATAGCAAACCTCATAGCAGGAGTCCAGAATAGTCATGGTTAAAGGCAAATGCTGGAGAAAAGGTAGGAAACTTTGGTCCTTTACAACTGACTTGAAGCTTTATAACCTGGCAGTTGAAGATGCGGTGATTTCATATCCCCTGTTATCTGCTTTTACTATTTGGCCTGTAATATAAATATAATGCATTTGATGCAAGTTATTCTTTAATTTTAGGTGTGGTCCTTTAAATATTAGAAGTTAGCAGTGAAGGGAACAGGGGTATCTTGGTGGAGTAAGTCACTAGATGGTGTTGGTTTCTAGTTTCATTCCAATACGTGCTGGTCTGGTCATTTTAATTTGTAATACAAAGAAGCTATTGAAGTAGAAGAATATTTTCTTGTTCTCATATTAGAGCCAAATGAGCAAAACATTAAAGAATCATAGTTGAAATTGTTTCCAAATCAGAAAAAATTCTCTATAATTTTCTCATTCTGGTTCCTATTTATATTTTCTGTGGAGACTGAGTTGTGGTTGTCATAGCAATTTATTTTCCTACATGAAATTCTGATACTTGGATTTTTATTATTTGTACTTCATGTCAAGAAAAGACCTATTCAAATCTGAATGTTGCCTTTTAAATGATATCTGACTAGAGTAGATCTTTTAACCATTACATCATCATCCTAATATTTGCTGACTGGTGAATAATAGGATTCCTTAGGATTCTGTTTTGATGGACCAGGAAGTAGTCTTATGAGCAGGGTGTTTTTAAGAGAAGAGTCTGTGTCCTGGTACCCACAAGATACCTTGGTACCCTCCCTTTGCCTTCAGCACCTTCAGTGGCTCTGAGGTCCTTGGGGATTGCCTTCATGTCCGTATACAGTCTTGGTTTAAACCAAAAATCTTTCTTTCCTGGGTTTTGTATCCCTTTTATTTTTTTCCTTTTGCTTTTAGATGGTTTTATTTTTAAAAAGTTTTAAAACTTACAGACAAGATCTCATGCTGTTGTCCAGGCTGGAGTGCAGTGATGCCATCATAGCTCACTGTGGCCTGGATCTCCTGGGCTCAAGCAATCCTCCTGCCTCGGCCTCCCAAAGTGCTAGGATTACAGAGTTGAGCCACCGTGCTGGGCTCTGCTTTTAGACTTTTCCCCATGCAGTTTTCATGTGCTGTTTTGACCTCATTACTTTACTAAAAATTCTCTTTTGAAGCTGACAATGACCCAATTCTTGTCAAATCCATTAGCTTATCGGAATTTACCATTCGCGTCTTTCATGTGACTTTGATATTGTTGACTAATCTTCCTTGAAGCTGTCCCCTCTGGTTTCCATCTTTCTCTCTTTTGTCCTTCCTTCTGTCTATCAGCTATGTCATGCCAAGGTACTTTTTTCAGGGCCCTGCATAGCTGGTCGCTCAGTGAGTCTTTCCCAACATCTAGGTTCTTATTTATCTCCTGCTCCAAAATGTGCCAGTTCCCACAGCTTCTGCCTTGGACAGCTCCATGTTTTGCATTCATTACTCCGTAGGATTATTCACTGCTGGGGTGCTACTTGTCATTACAGAGGACTAACCTTTAAATCCACATCACTGGTTCTGACCACTCACCTCCACTGCAGTTCTGTATCTTGATATCGGCAGGACATCTCCACCTTTAGTACCTGCCATCCAGCACTGGGTTCATTGACTTCACCAATCTCAACGTGGCTGCTCTTGACTGCTAGAAGCACTACTTTTCTGCCAGTTGGACTGTTAGACAGTTGGACTGTGATATCTGCTTCTGCATACTATTTGCTGTGATATCACACCTCACGTAACCTTGGAAAAGATCCACTGTACACTGGTGAAAGAATAAGAATGAAAAAGGCAAATAACATCTCAGGCTCATTGGGAAAATAATTTTGACTTGGAAGATTTCCTAATAAGCTCTTGGGGACTCCCCAAGGGTCTCAGAATCACATTTGAAATCATTGATGTACAGTGTTGCTAAATCTTTTTCTAACTTGACATTTTATTTTTCTTGTACACGGCTTTTCAATTTTGGTTTTGAGGTTTATATAAGGAAAGTTCAAAATCAAACACAAGCATGCAGTCAGAATATAATATTCATTGATGGAATTCAGTCTCTGAAGCTTGAAAACACATCATATGTTAAATGACAGATTTTTAAAAGTCATGATGTTAAACTTCCATGCTCATGAGAGTCAAGTTACGCTTCATGGCTCTCTGCAATTCTGCATTTTCATCTCTCTTGTTCTGACCACCTGGATTGTAAATTTTCTCTGATGTAAAATTAAATTTTTGTTCTCTGTGTTAATGGAGAGAAAAATGAATATACAGGAAATAACTCTGATGTTAAACTTCACCACTGCACCTTTTCCCTTCTCTCTTTTATTTTTATTTGGTAAACCAAGTTCTGTTATGTGCTCAAAACTGCTAGGTGCTGGGGACATTAAATTCGTGGACAAAATGGTCCCACCCCTAAAATCATGCCCTAGGGTGAACACAGTCTTCAGCACCAGCAATCACAACATAATGTGTTAAAAGAGAAGATCTAACCCCTTCAGAAGAAATGTGTAGTGACCTGAGGCAAGGTACTTCTGACTTCTAAAACAATAGTAGGTGACTGATGATCTCCAATCCACTTCTGTCAAAAGAGACCATGTGTAGATCCAAAAAGCACTGTAGATCCAGTGCCTAGTGTTGCGCAGAAAGCTTACCACCTAGCAGTTAGCCATGAAAGTCTTTATTCTTCTGGGGACTCAACATACATTAGAAAGTTGAATATATGGCAGGCGGATGAACTGTGGGAAGGGGAGGCAGGAATTTAGAGCTAGAAGTGCTAATGGTTGTGCTGGGGGCCTAATAAGGAGCAGTAGAATAGGGGCTATCTCTGGGTGGCTGTCTCTGGAGAACAGAGAGAGTATCTCTCTTGCACATCACACTTTAGTTTGGGTATGGACTGAGAGAAATTATACCAATACCACCATCACCACCACTAATTGCAGTAGGCAACAATGTACAACTATGTGCCAGGCACAATAATAAGCTCTTTGCATGTATTATTTTATTACATCCTCTTAGCAACCTTACATCTAGGCACTTTTCATTCCATTCATTCATAAGTATATTGTGCACCTTCTTTGTATTAGTTAAGTGTGCTAGTTGCTAAGGATAGGATGGTGAGCCAGGCAGACATAGTCTACATGGTGATGGTGCATGGAGTTTAGCAGTAAAAGGTTAGAAATTAGCCAAACGGGTCAGGTGCAGTGGCTCACACCTGTAATCTCTGCACTTTGGAAGGCTGAGGTGAAAGGATTGTTTGAGGCCAGGAGTTTAAGACCAGCCTAAACAATAGTGAGACCCCTGTCTCTATTAAAAAAAAAAGAAAAGAAAAGAAATTAGCTAAATAATCTCACTAGTAATTATATGTAGGTAGTTAATTATACACTGTGCTCATGTATGTAACTTTTTTTTTTTTTAAGAGATCACTCAGGCTGCAGTGCAATGGCTTGATCAAGGCTCACTGCAGCCTTGAACCTCTGGCTCAGCCTTCAGAGTAGCTAGGACTACAGGTGCATGCCACCATGACTGGCTAGTTGATTATTATTATTATTATTATTGTATTTTTAGAGATGGGATCTCACTACGTTGCCCAGGCTAGTTGGCCAGCTCCTGGCCTCAAGCAATACTCCTGCCTCAGCCTCCCAAAGCACTGTGATTACAGGCATGAGACACTGTGCCCTGCACATGTATGACACTATTATTCATTGAGCACCTATTGTATACCAGGCTGTGGGCATACAACAAGACTACTGCTATTGTCTCTAGGTTCCAGAGAAGGAAGCTGAGTAAGTTTCAGTAAATAACCCAACAACTTGCACACTTAAAATACGAGTCCTTACTCACTGTGCTGGTAGAAGAATGACTCAGTGCATGTCGGAAGGAGCAGAGAATAGACCATCAGTGGGTCACTGCCTTAGTTATCATTAGAGGTGGCTAAAGCAGAGTGTGCTATGGGTTCTCACTGGGCAATTGGGAGCCATTATCCTCATGAATGAGGCAATGACTGGATTTCCTCCTTGGATATTCAGAAGTTGGGAATACGGAGAAAGGTATATAGCATGATTTCTGTGTTGAAAGTGAACAGCATGTCCAGTAAAATATGTGTTTTAAATTACCCCTGAGCTGTTTTTTAAATTATAACCAATGAAGAAAACTGTCCAAAGGAAGCGTTTCCCATGACCTTCCCTTTGGAAATAACCCAGGTTTTCTAGTCCTTAGTTTAACGAAGGTATTTTCAGGAGAAGGAAGTTGTGGGGAGAGAGCAGGGCAGGAAGAAGAGGAAATTTTTATAGATAAAGTTGATTTTTAATGAGCTTCTTTTAGCCTAGTTACCTCCCTTGTCATCATAGTATGTGCTTGTTTGCTGTTGAACAGCGCAGAGTGATGTTGGTCTGAGGAGTGACATCAGAGTCTCTCACTGGCCCTGTTTCTCCTGGCCCTATGGTCCTCTCTGCAGTTACAGGGTCTCTGGAAAGGCTGGAGGAGTCGACACTTGTCCCATCCATTGCATCACAAACTGAGTAATGGCCATGACAGTGTGCATGGTAAATATATGATGCTTTGTTTCTTTTCAGGAAGTGGAAAATAAAGTGCCACAGATGAGGTGGAGGCAGATGTGGCCACTTCCTTATTGCAGAGACGGGGTTGTATGAAGAATGAGTGTTGTATATAATGTGTGACTTCTCTGTGGCTTCCACCTGCTCAGCCCCCTGAGTGGGATAACCCAAGAGGCAACAGGTTACTTAGACATGCCCATTGCCTGGAACACTCTGGGAACTTCAGTACAAGTCGATAGAGGAGAGTGAAGGAACAACATGGAGATCATTTAAAAACTCATTTATGTCAAAAATTCACTTAGGACCTGTCTGTGTTTCTGATTCCTCTTTCTTATTTCATTTGCATGGGAAGTGACCTCAGATCAAATAACTGAGTGAGAAAAACAAATTAAATCAAAGCACCCAGGAAAGGGACATTTCATTCAAACAACTTTTTTGGGCATCTACTATGTGCTGGGAAGCAGCCTATAAAAAATACTTGCATTTGATTCCTATCCTCCTGCTCCCCACCCCTCCTATCCTCCGCTTCTAGGGTAGGAAAGTTCTGCCTAGCTCAGGTAACTATCCCCTGGGGGCCATGTTGTTTTTCATTGTGTAGTTTATTGGGAATCAGAATTTTTAAGTGCCAGAAGGGATGTCAAAGATTACCTAGTCTCATTCCCTCATTTTACACTTAATTTTATGAAGCTCACCAAAGTGATATGCTCAAATTATTTCACAGCTGTTACAGCATAAATGTGACTCAATTCACATTCTTTTTGCAAAATGCCTGTATAAAATAACAAAATGAAATCTATCCTTCACTGTCAACTACATTGTTCTAGTTATCTATTGCTGTGTCACAAGAAGCCACCCTAAACTTAGTGACTTGAACCAATTTATTATTCTCTTATGGTTCCATGGGATAGCGGGGCAGTTCTTGCTTGAGGTCTCTCCTGTGGTTGCTGTCAGATGGACAGATGCTCGGAGTCATCTGAAGGCCCAAGGGGGCTGGATGTCCAAGTTGGCTTCTTCCCGCACAGGGCTGGCAGGTGATGCTAGCTGTCATCTAGGTGCTCAGCTGGGCTTGGTATTGGATTGTCTTGAAGGTCCCTTCTGTTCTATCAACTTGGGAAAGTTATTCCCTTTCGAGAACCTCACTTCATGAGAATGTGTTGGGTTGCAAGGAAGCGACTCATTTAAGTTACCTCTGACTTATGTTAATTACACATAAATGTGAGCTCTATAAATCTGGTCAACTAGATTCCAGAAAATCGTATTTAAAACCTTCCTTGGTTCTTTCCTGAGTGTTTGCTTTTTCTTCTTTTTTTTTTTAGAGACAGGGTCTTGCTCTGCTTCCCAGGCTGAAGTGCAGTGGCACAATCATAGCTCACTGCAGCCTCAATCTCCTGTGCTCAAGCCATCCTCCTGCCTCAGCCTCCCAAGTAGCTAGGACTACAGGTGTGCATCACCACACCCAGCTAATTTTTACATTTTTTGTAGAAACAGGGTCTTGCTATGTTGACATTGCTGGTCTCAGACTCCTAGCCTCAAGCAATCCTCCTGCCTCAGCCTCCCAAAGTGCTGGGATTACAGGTGGGAGTCCCTGTGCCCAGGCCTCTCTTTTCTTTTGACCACTTTCACCTTTTTTCTATTTCAGAGCAACTGCTCATATATAACATCAGCATGCTGTGATCCTTCCTCGTGGCTTCGTTCCCTGTGCATCCTTTCAAGCTCTGGTATTCACTGCTAAGGTTCTCAATCCTTAGTGCAAATGAGAGGGAAGGGGAGAGCAGAGGGAGGATCTAATTGCCATCAGAGAGGCAGACCATGTGGTCACTTGAAAACCCTAATACTGACTGGCCCTGGGTTAGACGCCCACTCTGAACCACGTAACATGTGGCTGCCTAGGACTGCTCTTGCTGCAGGGCAGTGAAAGCAGTGGGCGGTGTTGAAATGTTTAGCATCAGGCTAAGAAGATTATTATTATAATATCAGTAATATCTGTACTACCTCCCTCACAGGATTGCTATTGAAGCCAAAATTAGTAGTAATAGCTAACTTTGCTTTCTTTGTCCTTTCCTTTTCCTTTTCCATTCCTTTCTTTTTCCCTTCCCTTCCCTTCCCTTCCCTTCCCCTCCCCTCCCCTCCCCTCCCCTCCCCTCCCTTCTCTTCCTTTCCCTTCCTTTCTTTTCCTTTCTTCTTTCTGACAGAGTCTCACACTGTCACCTGGGCTGGAGTGCAGTGGCACGATCTCTGCTCACTGCAACCTCTGCCTCCCAGGTTCAAGCAATTCTCCTGCCTCAGCGTACCGAGTAGCTGAGATTACAGGCGCCCACCATCATGCCCAGCTAATTTTTTGTATTTTTAGTAGAGACAGGGTTTCACCATATTGGCCAGGCTGGTCTCGATCTCCTGACCTTGTGATTCGCCCACCTCGGCCTCCCAAAATGCTGAGATTACAAGCGTGAGCCACTGTGCCCGGCCTTTTGTTTTGGAGACAGAGTCTCACACTCTCACCCAGGCTGGAGTGCAGTGGCGCAATCTCGACTCACGGCAACCTCCGCCTCCTGGGTTCGATTCTCATGCCTTAGCTTCCTGAGTAGCTGGGATTACAGGCGCATGCCACCACACCCAGCCAATTTTTGTATTATTATTTTTTTAGTAGAGATGGGGTTTCACCATGTCGGCCAGGCTGGTCTCAAACTCCTAACCTCAAATGATCCGCCCACCTTGGCCTCCCAAAGTGCTGGGATTAAGGTGTGAGCCACCACGCCTGGCCACCATTTATTAAGTATCGACTATGTGCAAGGTACTTTATACACACCATCTTCACTTATTTTTCAAAACAACTGTGCAAGGTAGGTATCATCTATATGTTCAGATGAGGAAACTGAGGCTCAGAAATTATGTGTAATTTATTTAAAAGGACACAGGTAGAAGTGGTGTAGCTGGAATTGGAATCCAGTTAGGTAATTTTCAAAGCCTGTTCTCTTTCTCCTCTAATAATTATCATCTTTGAAGCCATTTTGCAACCTGTAAAGGGTTTTATAGATATAATAAGATTTTTATTAAAATACTCTCTTTTCCCCTACAGACTTGTGTTTTGACTTAGGAAGCATACCATCTGTCAGTGGGCTTTCTCCAGGACAATTTTAAGGCTTACAGGAGTGTGGAACAGCTAATAGCTTCATATCTATAATCTACACTGAAAATTTCCCTATCAGTGAATTGCCAAGGATAATTGAAAAACCAAAACCAAACGCAAAACAGACTCACAAAAGTCAAACCCTTATGATGCTTCTGGGGAAAAGTGTGACCCGGACCCTGGCACCCCTCCTCCCACCTGCCAGGGGTGGGGTGGCCTGTGGCTTGTGGCCTGGCCGGGCTCCTCAGCCTGTAGCCTGAGAACAGCCCCTCCCCTCCATGTGCTGACTGTTGGGAAAGGAACCGGGTGTTGATCAGCAGCATTCAGTGTCTGTCCTTTAGTAGTTGCCAAGGTCACACTGCCATTCAGTATTTACTAAACTTAGGCTGCAGGGAGTAGCACTTGCAGTACCCTTCCCCTCGCCCCCATCACTGCCCTATGATTCTATAGTTTATCCTGGGATGAAGCCTGACCTCCCAGGAGCTGTTTACATGCACAGACAGCTCCAGTCCCTGGTAGATTGCTTTCGACTGAACCACATCTTGGCATTATATCATCAGGGATAGTTGGAAGCAGTCCTATTACAGTGTTACTGTATTTGCTGTGAGATGTTGTTGAGGTCAGGCTCCCTACATCATTCAATTTCTTCCTAGGAGGTAACGCCAAGAAATATCTGTGCTCCCAAGTAACTGATTTGTTTAAACAGGACCCCTCCTCCACCCACCCCCATCCGCACACACACTGCTCCTGCAAATACCAAAATCCACGGATGTTCAAGTCCCTAGTAAAAACTGGTATGGTATTTGCATACAACCCTCACACATTCTCCCATATACTTTAAATCATATCTAGATTACTTATAATACCTAATGCGATGTAAATGTTAAGTACAGATGCTCTCACTTATAATGAGGTTGCTTCTCAATAAACACATTTTTAAGTCAAAAATTTCATAAGTTGAAAATGCATTCAATATCCTGATAAACTCATCATAAAGACCAAAAATTGTAAGTTTAACCATTGTATATCAGGGACTATATGTAGTTCTAATATTGTATTTTTTAAAAATTTGTATTATTTTCTATTTATTTAAAAATATTTTTGATACATGGTTGATCTGTAGATGTAGACCCTTCAGATACAGAGGGCTGGTTGTACTTTCCTCTCTGTTGGCTACTAGGAAGCACAGAGGTCATTTTTTCTCCTTTAGTCCTAGTAAAGTCTAGAAGACCTCAGGGCATGTGTAAGGCTCCTAACTTTACCTCTGGCTTTGTCTTTTCCCTCCTGCCTTACTTTCCCTTCATGCTGATTTCCTCATTTATATGTAATATACTGCCTTAAAAATATGCAGACAGCTTTAGTTTATTTTTTTGGATTAAGGCAAGACCTAACTTAATGGATTCAGAATACCCCTCTCTATAGAGCTCCATTAGAATAACTTAAAGATCGTTAGATGAGGCTGGGCATGATGGCTCACGCCTAATCCCAGCACTTCAGCCAGCCTGGCCAACATGGTGAAACCCTGCCTCTACTAAAACATACAAAAAATTAGCTGGGTGTGGTGGCATGCACCTGTAGTCCCAGCTACTCAGGAGGCTAAGGCAGGAGAATCACTTGAACCTGGGAGTTGGAGGTTGCAGTGGGCCCAAATTGCACCCCTGCACTCCAGCCTGGGCGACAGAGCAAGAAAAAAAAAAAGGATAATGATATGATATTTTAGGAGTAAAGTTACTTTTGACTCCTGTGCTTCGCCCATAGTTGGTGCTCAGCCTTTAAAAACACTGAAATTGGAAGACAAAACAAAAACATGCCCTATCCCCAACCCTCTGCTTTTTTTAGCTTAAACATTTAATTGGGGTCTTTCTTAGGTAGTGTTAGCCTCTTTCTTGGCTACATATTTTAAATTTAAAGGGAGCCTCTGTTTGGTAATGATCACTTCCTGTTTCTTCTTGAGGAGGCAGTCAACGCTTCAATATACCCATCTTTTTCAGTAAAGAAATGTGATCATGAATGAAACCCTTCCTGTGAAGCAGCAGTCGATTCCCTTTGTGGTTTCCGGGGTTTGGGTTCTCCAGAGGAGCAAGATGAATGGGTGAAATGACCACAGACCTCCATACGATGGATGAAGCCTGGAGTAGAGTGCTGCTCTTGTCCTGCGTGTGGCCTCTGTGGAGTCCCCTTCGCAGGCCCTCTGCCTCATCCACCCTTGGTCAGCCTTCAGCTTCCCATCCAGAGCCTGGGGTCTCCTCTTGCCCATCATAGAAAGCAAGTACAGTTCCTACCTCAAACCAATCTCATTACACAAGGGCTGGTCTTGTCAGGCTATGTCTGGGCTAATGATATGACCAAATCCCTCAGCATGCTATTTTAAAAACAGGAACAAGTGACTTGAAGAACATATGAATATTTTTTTTTTTCCCGAGACGAAGTCTCGCTCTTGTCCCCCAGGCTAGAGTGTGATGGCGCGATCTCAGCTCACTGCAACCTCCGCCTCCTGGGTTCAAGTGATTCTCCTGCCTCAGCCTCCCAAGTAGCTGGGATTGCAGGCACCTGCCACCACGCCTGGCTAATTTTTGTATTTTTAGTAGAGATGGGATTTCACCATGTCGGCCAGGCTGGTCTCAAACTCCTGACCTCAGGTGATCTGCCCGCCTCGGCCTCCCAAAGTGCTGAGATTACAGGTGTGAGCCACCGCACCCGGGCCCAGACACATGAATATTCTTAAAATATCTTGAAGGCAAGAGGGACCACGTCTCATACCATTGTCACCTTTTCTATTCTCCTCTCTCTTTCCTTAAGAAGGAAAACTACATAAAAGGACTCCCATGGAAAACGGGAGTCAACCAGGGAGCGGAAGCCCATACTGGCACAGCTTGGAAAGCTACAACTGTTCAGGAGCTCTCATTCTAGGTTTTCCAAAGCTTATAATAAGTTTAGGCCTACAAGCACATACATATTGGGTTTGGGGGCACTTCTATACATAAATCCACTTTTTTCTTTTTTGGCTTTGTGGAATGCAGGACAGTCATACAAGAAAATGGGAGACGCATTCACAGCAGCTTGGAAACCAGTTTGGGTCACAGAACATCACAATGAAGCATAGCTGTGTGGTCCAAAGTATTGCTTTTAGGTTGTACGTAAACTGGCTATTATGTAACAAAATCGTGTGTTCTAACTAGGAGTTACCCACACTGTAAAGTATTTGCTTAGTTAAAAAATGGTGGAGATACTATATGCCTGTCAATTTCTACCACCGTCTTCTCAGGAGAGATAAATTCTTACATTTGAGCCTTTTTAGATCTACTGTGGATATGACAAACACAACCATTCACTCTGTGCCTATTAAATCTTTGGCTTAAAAGGAATGGTTCTCATCCAGAAGTAAATGGTATCCAAACTTTTGAGAAAGTAAAACTAAAGAAAACCCTGGGTGCTGTGGTGATGATGTCTTAGGTAATGACTGGGAAACATCTTGTGATATTTCAAAACCATTCTCCCAAGAAAAACTGAAAATAGACAGCTCCGGTCTGTAGCTCCCAGCGAGACCAATGCAGAAGGCGGGGGTGATTCTGCATTTCCAACCTAGGTACCCAGTTCCTCTCATTGGGACTGGTTAGGTAGTGGGTGTGACCCACTGAAAGCTGCAGAAGCAGGGTGGGGCGTCGCTTCACCTAGGAGGTGCACAGAGCCCGAGACCTCCCTCCCCTAGCCAAGGGAAGCAGTGAGGGACTGTGCTACCTGCCCGGGGTACTACACTTTTTTCACGGAATTTTGTGATCCACGAATCAGGAGATTCCCTCCTGAGTCTACACCACTAGCGCCCTGGGTTTCAAGCACAAAACTGGGCAGCTGTTTGGGCAGGCACTGAGCTGCAGGATTTTTTCATTGTCCAGCAGCACCTAGAACTCCAGTGAGACAGGACAACCGTCCACTCCCCTAGAAAGGTGGCTGAAGCCAGGGAGCCAAGTGGTCTCGCTCAACAGGTCCCACTCCCATGGAGCCCAGCAAGCTAAGAACCACTGGCTTGAAATTCTCACTGAGGGCACAGCAGTCTGGAGTTGGACTGGGATGATTGAGTTTGGTGGGAAGGGGGGCGATGGCCATTACTGTGGCTTTAGTAGGTGGTTTTCCCCTGACAGTGCTAAGGAGACTGGGAAGTCTGGACTGGATGGAATTCCCTACAGTGCAGCAAAGCGGCTGTGGCCAGACTGCTTCTCTAGATTCCTCCCCACTGGGCAGGGCATCGCTGCAGGAAATACAGCAGCTCCAGGCAGGGGCTTACAGACAAAAACTCTCATCTCTTCGGGGCAGAGCACCTGCGGGGAGGGGCGGCTGTGGTCGCAGGTTCAGTGGACTTAGCCTTTCCTGCCTGCCGGCTCTGAAGAGAGCAGCTGATCCTGACAAGGGAGATTCTCTCAACACAGCGCACCAGCTCTGCTAAGAGACAGACTGCCTCCTCAAACGGGTTCCTGACCCCTGTGACTCCTGACTGGGAGAGACCTCCCAACAGGGGTCGGCAGACGCCTCATACAGGAGAGCTCTGGCTGGCATCAGGCCCGTGCCCCTCTGGGACAAAGCTTCCAGAGGAAGGAGCAGGCAGCAATCTTTGCTGTTCTGCAGTCTCCACTGGTGATACCCAGGAGAACAGGGTCTGGAGTAGATCTTCAGCAAACTGCAGCACACCTGCAGAAGAGGGGCTTGACTGTTAGAAGAAAAACAAACAAACAGAAAGCAGTAACATCAACATCAACAAAAAGGATGCCCACGCAAAAACTCCATCCAAAGGTCATCAGCCTCAAAGACCAAAGGTAGATAAATCCATGAAGATGAGGAAAAACCAGTGCAAAAATGCTGAAAATTCCAAAAGCCAGAATGCCTCTTCTCCTCCAAATGATCGCAACACCTCTCCAGCAAGGGTGCAGAACTGGACAGAGGATGAGATGGACCAATTGACAGAAGTAGGCTTCAGAAGGTGGGTAATAACAAACTGCTGAGCTAAAGTAGCATGTTGTAACCCAATATAAAGAAGCTAAGAACCTTGATAAAAGATTACAGGAGCTGCTAACTAGAATAACCAGTTTAGAGAGAAACATAAATGACCTGATGGAGCTGAAAAACACAGCATGAGAACTTCATGAAGCATACACAAGTACCAATAGCTGAATCGATCAAGCAGAAGAAAGGATACCAGAGTTTGAAGACCACCTTGCTGAAATAAGGCATGCAGACAAGATTAGAGAAAAAAGAATGAAAAGGAATGAACAAAGCATCCTAGAAATAGGGGAATACGTTAAAAGACCAAACCTACAATTGACTGGAGTACCTGAAAGAGACAGGAAGAATAGAATGAACACACTTCAGGATATTATCCAGGAGAACTTCCTTAATCTAGCAAGACAGGCCAACATTCAAATTCGGGAAAGACAAAGAACAGCACTAAGATACTCCACAAGAAGATCAACCCCAAGACACATAATCGTCAGATTCTCCAAGGTCGAAATGAAGGAAAAAATGTTAAGGGCAGCCAGAGAGAAAGGTCAGGTCACCTACAAAGGGAAGCCCATCAGACTAACAGTGGATCTCTGGGCAGAAACCCTACAAGCCAGAAGAGAGTGGGGGCCAATATTCAACATGTTAAAGAAAATAATTTTCAACCCAGAATTTCATATCCAGCCAAACCAATCTTCAATAAGCAAAGGAGAAATAAAATCCTTTCTAGACAAGCAATTGCTAAGGGATTTCATCACCACCAGGCCTGCCTTGCAGGAGCTCCTGAAGGAAGTACTAAATATGGAAAGGAAAAACTGGTACCAGCCACTGCAAAAACACACCGAAATATAAAGACCAATGACACTATGAAGAAACGGCATCAACTAGCGTGCAAAATAACCAGCTAGCATTATGATGATGGATCAAATTCACACATAACAATATTAACCTTAAATGTAAATGGGCTAAATGCCCCAGTTAAAAGACACAGGCTAGCAAATTGGAAAAAGAGTCAAGCACCATTGGTGTGCTGTGTTCAGGAGACCCATCTCACGTGCAAAGACATACATAGGCTCAAAATAAAGGGATGGAGGAAAATTTACCAAGCAAATGGAAAGCCAAAAAAAAAAAAAAAGAAAAAGAAAAAAAAAAGCAGGAGTTTCAATCCTAGGCTCTGATAAAACAGACTTTAAACAAACAGAGATCAAAAGAGACAAAGAAGGGCATTTAAGGGATCGATGCAACAAGAAGAGCTATTTTAAATATATATGCACCCAATTCAGAAGCACCCAGATTCATAAAACAAGTTCTTAGAGATCTACAAAGAGACTTAGACTCCCTCACAATAATAGTGGGAGACTTTAACACCCCACTGTTAATATTAGACAGATCAACAAGACAGAAAATTAACAAGGATATTCAGGACTTGAACCCAGTTCTGGATCAAGTGGACCTAATAGACATCTATAGAACTCTCCACCCCAAATCAACAGAATGTACATTCTTCTCAGTGCCACATGGCCCTTATTCTGAAATCGACCATATAATTGGAAGTAAAACACTTCTCAGCAAATGCAAAAGAACTAAAATCATAATAAACAGTCTCTCAGACCACAGTGCAATAAAATTAGAACTCAGGATTAAGAAACTCACTCAAAACCACACAACTACATGGAAATTGAACAACCTGCTTCTGAATGATTCCTGGGTAAATAACAAAATTAAGGCAGAAATCAAGAAGTTCTTGAAACCCATGAGAACAAAGAGACCACGTATCAGAATATCTGGGACACAGCTAAAGCAGTGTTTAGAGGGAAATTTATAGCATTAAATGCCCACATCAGAAAGCTGGAAAGATCTCAAATCGACACTCTAACATCACAATTAAAAGAACTAGGGAAGCAAGAGCAAACAAATCCAAAACAGAAGACAAAAAAAAAAAAACTAAGATCAGAGCAGAACTGAAGCAGATAGAGACAAAAAAAACAAAACAAAACAACAACAACAAAAAACCCTCCAAAAAATCAATGAAACCAGGAGCTGGTTTTTTGAAAAAATTAACAAAATAGACCGCTAGCTAGACTAATAAGGAAGAGAGAAGAATCAAATAGATACAATAAAAAATGATAAAGGGGATATCACACCACTGACCCCACAGAGATACAAACTACCAACAGAGAATACTATAAACACCTCTGCGCAAATAAACTAGAAAATCTAGAAGAAATGGATAAATTCCTGGACACACGCACCCTCCCAAGACTAAACCAGGAAGAAGTCAAGTTGCTGAATAGATCAATAACAAGTTCTGAAACTGAGGAAGTGATAGCCTACCAACCAAAAAAAGCCCAGGAGTAGACGGATTCACAGCCAAATTCTACCAGAGGGACAAAGAGGAGCTGGTACCATTCCTTCTGAAACTATTCCAAACAATTGAAAAGACAGGACTCCTCCCTAACTCATTTTATGAGGCCAGCATCATCCTGATACCAAAACCTGGCAGAGACACAACAAAAAAAGAAAACTTCAGGCCAATATCCCTGATGAACACTGATGTGAAAATCCTCAATAAAATAATGGCAAATGGAATCCAGCAGCACATCAAAAAGCTTACAACCTCACGATCAAGTCAGCTTCAATCCTGGGATGCAAGGCTGGTTCAACATAATGCAAATCAATAAATGTAATCCATCACATAAACAGAACCAATGACAAAAACCACATGATTACCTCAATGGATGCAGAAAAGGCCTTTGATAAAATTCAATATCCCTTCATGTCAAAAACTCAATAATCTATGTATTGATGGAACATATCTCAAAATAATAAAAGCTATTTATGACAAACCCATAATCAATATCATACTGAATGGGCAAAAGCTGGAAGCATTCCCTTTGAAAACTGGCACAAGACAAGGATGCCCTCTCTCACCACTCCTATTCAACAAAATATTGGAAGTTCTGGCCAAGGCAATCAGGCAAGAGAAAGAAATAAAGGGTACTCAAATAGGAAGAGAGGAAGTCAAATTGTAAATTGTCTCTGTTTGCAGAAGACATGATTCCATATTTAGAAAACCCATTGTCTCAGCCCCAAAACTTCTTAAGCTAATAAACAACTTCAGCACAGTCTCAGGATACAAAATCAATGTGCAAAAATCACAAGCATTCCTATACACCAACAATAGACAAGCAGAGCATCAAATCATGAATGAACTCCTGTTCACAAATGCTAAAAAGAGAATAAGATACCTAGGAATACAGTTTACAAGAGACATGAAGGACATCTTCAAGGAGAACTACAAAGCACTGCTCAAGGAAATAAGAGAGGACACAAACAAATGGAAAAACATTCCATCCTCATGGATAGGAAGAATCAATATCGTGAAAATGGCCATACTGCTAAAGTAATTTATAGATTCAATGCTATTCCCATCAAACTACCATTGACATTCTTCACAGAATTAGAAAAAACTACTTTAAATTTCATATGGAACCAGAAAAGATCTGTATAGCCAACACAATCCTAACCAAAAAGAACAAAGCTGGAGGCATCACCCTACCTGACTTCAAACTATACTACAAGGTTGCAGTAACCAAAACAGCATGGTACTGGTACCAAAACAGAGATATAGACCAATGGAACAGAACAGAGACCTCAGAAATAACACCACACATCTACAACCATCTGATCTTTGACAAACCTGACAAAAACAAGCAATGGGGAAATGATTCCCTATTTAATAAATGGTGCTGGAAAAACTGGCTAGCCATATGCAGAAAACTGAAATTGAACCCCTTCCTTACACCTTATACAAAAATTAACTCAAGATGGATTAAAGACTTAAATGTAAAACCCTAAACCATAAAAACCCTAGAAGAAAACCTAGGCAATACCATTCAGGACATAGGCATGGGTGAAGACTTCATGACAAAAACACCAAAAGCAATTGCAACAAAAGCCAAAATTGACAAATGGGATCTAATTAAACTAAAGAGTTTCTGTACAGCAAAAGAAACTAGCATCAGAGTGAACAGACAACCTACAGAATGGGAGAAAATTTTTGCAATATACCCATCTGACAAAGGTCTAATATCTGAATCTACAAGGAACTTAAATTTACAAAAACAAAACAAAACAAAACAAAAAACCATCAAAAAGTAATCCCAGCACTTTGGGAGGCTGAGGCAGGCAGATCACCCAAGGTCAGGAATTCAAGAGCAGCCTGGCCAACATGGCAAAACCCTGTCTCTACTAAAAATACAAAAATTATCCGGGTGTGGTGGCACGTGCCCATAATCCCAGCTACTCAGGAGGCTGAGGCAGGAGAATCGCCTGAACCCGGGAGGCGGACGTTGCAGCGAGCCGAGACTGTGCCATTGCACTCCAGCCTGGGCAACAAGAGCGAAACTCCATCTCAGGAAAAAAAAAAAAAAAAAAAGAGTGGGCAAAGGATGTGAACAGACACTTCTCAAAAGAAGACATTTATATGGCCAAAAAACATGAAAAAAAGCTCATCATCACTGATCCTTAGAGAAATGCACATCAAAATCACAAGGAGATACCATCTCGCTCCGGTCAGAATGGTGATTATTAAAAAGTCAAGGAACAATAGATGCTGGCGAGGCTGTGGAGAAGTGAGAATGCTTTTTCACTCTTGGTGGGAATATAAATTAGTTCAACCATTGAGCAGGATAGTGTGGTGATTCCTTAGGGATCTAGAACCAAAAATAGCATTTGACCAAGCAATCCCATTACTGGGTATATACCCAAAGGAATATAAATCATTCTACTATAAAGACACATGCACATGTATGTTTATTGAAGCACTATTTACAATAGCAAAGAGATGGAACCAACCCAAATGCCCGTCAATGAAAATGGATAAAGAAAATGTGGTACATATACACCATGGAATATTAAGCAGTCATAAAAAAGAATGAGATCATGTCCTTTGCAGGGCCATGGATGAAGCTGGAAGCCATCAACCTCAGCAAACTAACACAGGAACAGAAAACCAAACACATGTTCTCACTCGAAAGTGGGAGCTGAACAATGAGAACACATGGACACAGGGAGGGGAACAACACACACCAGGGCCTGTTGCAGAGTGGGGGGTCAAGGGGAGGGAGAGCATTAGGACAAATACCTAATGCATGTGGGGCTTAAAATCTAGATGACGAGTTGACAGGTGCAACAAACCACCATGGCACATGTATACCTATGTAACAAACCTGCACATTCTGCACATGTATCCCAGAACTTAAAGTAAAATATAAAAAAAAAAGTTCTGGGGTAAAATTCACATTTTCCTTCTCTGCATTTTTTTTTTTTTTAAAGCTCAGGTGACTGGACAATGTCTTTGTTTGCAGGACAGGATGGCCTCTGAGCCTATCTTGACATAACTTAGCCTAAAAGAAACTAACATTTGGCTTGGTTTTCTGTGGTCTTTTTCTAAAAGATCTTTCAAGCTGGAAGAAAAACTGTTCCGTTAGAAGTTCATGTTTCATCTACATAATAAATATATCAGATTAGAAGACAGCATCCTAGTAGTAAGTTCCAAACACATTTATGAGACCTTTTCATTACTTTTTAATTTCCAAAGTTTCATTTAAGCTCTCAGATTTGACAAAAACCATTTTACTAAACATATTTTTTTTTATTGTATATGGATAACCTTCAAGACCTAAAGAAATACCATAGTGTAAAAATATGAAGGATGTTAGCTACACAGAAGGAAACATGTACTTAACTTTTTTATTCTCTAGAAAAGAAAACATTTAGGTCTTGGGTTAGTTTCCTACTGAGAATCGTAAATTCAAAGGTACATTAATACATCATTACCCTTTAAAAACAATTTATCACCAGGCTTGATGATAAAATCGTTGCAAAATACCACAAGAAACCTGTTTTAGAAATTAAAACTTGGAAGCTAAAAAGTTAAACATTTTTTTTTTCCAGTGAATTGAGAGAAAAAGGCATCCAACAAATTAACTTCAGCTGGGTCTTCCATTTTGATGACATTTGTAAACCCAAAACAGAAGCACAGCCTCAGTAAATGCACCTTCTGTGTACTCGTAATCTATACAAGACATGGGGTCTGGCTCAGAGTTGGGGGGTCTGCCCGTGGGGCAGTCTTGTGATCCAAAGTACCAATGCCACGTGAGGGTCCTCCAGGGATCAATGGATTTTCTCCTCAGCTTTGCTTTCCTTTAGGCAAATAAAGCCAGGATTCCTCTAATGAGTGGAAAACATCTTTTATGAGTTCCTAGTTTGGCAAGACAGGAGCTATTAGACATCCACGGAGATGTTTTTATCCATCATTTGTGCTATTTGGCAACATTGCCTCAGTGCTGAGAAACTGGGTCAGTAAAAGTTATTACTAGTGATAGCAGCCTTAATTAATGATCATAGTTGTGTTCTAGCAGTTAAAAGGAATAAAACAAGTCAGAAACCAAGTTGTCTGTGTGTGTTTTAGAGAACTGGCATTTTGTAACTCAAATTCAATGGAATTCCATTAACTTTTTTGAGAAGGGGTGTCTCTGGACTTGAGCCTATCCATAGTACCAGAAGCAACAAATTTTTAGAAATGATGTCAGATTTAATAAAATAGAACAAGCATGTTATTTCGCCACCTTTGAACCATCAGTGACAGATTTACTAGAGTCCACCAGTGTACATTTTGTAAGATGAATCACATGTATTTTTGTCTGTGCACAAATGTCTAAGATCAAGTGTTTAAAACCCCAGAGTTCGTGGATTAAATGGGAAACACACATGTACTTTGAGCATGAAATTTCAAACCCAGGTAATGGCTCACAAACTTCTGTCACAAGTGGTGTACCTTGGGAGGAAATGAATGTAGATGGAGAAGAGGGGTAACATCTTTGCTTTCTGTTATTTTCCCACTTATTTTAATAGAAATGTGCCTAAAGGCAAGTGACTGGAAAATAGTGGCCAAAGGACAGTAGAGAAACCAAACTGGCCTCTAGGTGGTGCTTGGAAGCAGCGTAGGGAAGGCTGGCACTCTTCACGGTGAAAAGGGTATTAGCTGAAGCCCAGTAACCTGCAGGCTCCAGGGTAACGTCTGCATCCCAGTGTGGCCTGCTCTGCAGTCTCCACAGGTGATTACTGGGCCAGTTGAAATACATTTCTCTTTTCACCTATTCCTGTATCTGTTAAATTGTTATTACAATTATAGCTCATGTCGATAAATCATTGCCGTTTAAAGTCAACAAACACTTATTCAAAGGGTTTTTGTCAAGCAGGTCATTCTGCCACAAAGCTGTACTTAGAAACATCTGCCTGCTTCTCCCACAGTTTCCTATTTGCCCAGCACTGTCTTGTCCAGATGGAGTATGCTGGACCTGCAGGAGCTAGGATTCTGTTTGCTTGCAGGTGGAATGTTTCCCAAGGGAATGTTTTCTCTTTATGTCTTTTTTTTTTTTTTTTTGGTAAAGTTTTTAAAAGGTATTATAGCTGCTACATTTGATATCAAATACGAGTCTGTAACTCTTGTTAACAACATTGGCCATCAATAAAAACAAAGACAACCCCCGCCCCGGGGAAATCATAATAAAATGTGGGTAGATGTGTAAATCCACACAAATCTATTCCTATTCACATGCTGACTGAAAAGGGAAGCTTCAGCATAAAAATTTAAGAATCTGTAACTCCAGGCAGATTTTAACATATACTTTTTTTTTTATTAAATATGTAAAAAGATCAATGCAAGTCAAGTTATTCACATATTCAGAGACAAAAAACTATTCTACCATGCGACAATAGGTGGGTAATGTAAAATGAATGTGATACATCTGAATAAGACTTTTTCATCTATTATGTCATTACTTATCTATATTTATAATTAACAATACATATGTTTACATTCCTTTCAGTTTACATTTAATATATAACAAAAGCTTTATGGTGTCCTATTTAGTAAAAGTAATCTGAATGCATATTAAACCTTAACGGAATAATGGAAATACTCACCAGGGAAGGGAAGAGTTCTTGGTTCCCTTCTGGAATTTACTTCTCTCAGGTCAACAGGTGTTTTTCTTTCTTTTTTTTTTTTTTTTTTCCTGCTTTTCTGCTTAGAACAAATATGGGCTTTCTCTTTGCCCCCTGCTTCGATCACTTCCTATCTGACAGTAGCAGTGGAAGTGCTATAACCAGCCGACAGCGGGCACGAGGGGGGGTACTAAGGATGAAACTGGGCTTCCTGAGAGGGAGAAGTGGAGCACGCAATCAGGGACGCTTCCTGCCCAGCCCGATGACATGTGACCAGGGGCCGCTAAGGAAACTGTTCCCTGAATGCCGAGATGAGAGAATAATGGGGTCCCACCATCCATGGGAAATGAGGGGGGATCTGCAGAGGCTGGAGGTGCAGCCTAAGAGGACTGACTCAAATTCAGCTGTTAAAGATTCCCCAAAGCATCTGAGACACCATCTGGGGTGCAGCACAACAGAAGACGTTTAAGATGGGACCAGAAAGAAGAATGTATAGCTCTTCTCTAAATAAACGAATGGTCTGCCCCAAGCCTTCAGGAAGGAGAATGGTCTATGGTGACTGGGGAAAGTTCTCTTTGCAGGCTAAGAGATCTGGCCAGCATGTTTATAACTGAGAAGGCTGGGGAGCTGGAGGGCAATGGAGTGGTTCCTGCAAGAGTCACCAGGGAGGCTTATGCAAGTTATACAGCAGTAAGGGGTTGCTGGAGAAGGCAGGATCCTGACTCCCTGCTACCCACTCACGTGCATCCACATGACAGGAGTTTGGTCATGATCCACTGAGCATTGGGTATGACTGAGATGTCCAGAGCAGATGAAGAATGGCCTAGGAACCACTGCAGTATCAGGTGCATAGAGTTATTGTGACCTTTTACAAGAGCTATTTTTTGTTTTTAAAGAGATCAGTGAGTACAACAGGCTCAGAAGGGCAACACGCTGTTAAGCATGATGCTGGGTATAGCACAGCCACTACTACTTGTGACCAGGTGTGGGAGGACGTCACTGCCGAGAGCCAGGCTGTCCAGCCTTAGAGAAATAAGCTGCTGCTATAATGCAGAGTGAGCAGGAGAGAGAAGAAAGGGAAACCAAACACCACGGAACATCTGTCTAATTCTGCACAGTGTGTTGTAATAATCTGAAAAATACAAGCCATCTTTTCCACATAACTCAATAAATATCACTTTGCTGCAAAAGATTTATTTTGGAGAGACTTCTTTTGGTGAAAAGCTTCAATGCTAGAATTTAGAATTCATATTTCATCGATTAATAAAGAAATTTCAAAGCTTCAGGATACATAATTCAGAAATTTATTTTAAGCTTTTCAGTTAAGCGGAAAGTGGGGTGGGCACATTTGTTTCTTGTTTTTGTTGCACCTGCTAAGTCAAATAACAAGTGAAAGTAAACCTAAAGTTAGAAACCAAGGTGAAATGAATGATCCAGGAAGGGATACCATCTGTCAAAGGAAAAAATAAAAATAAAGAAAAAAAAGAGGCAAAGACTTGGAAAGAGACTAAGAAAATGTACAAATATTAGTTAAAAAATAAGGAATGCTTTTAATTCATTAATGTTTCCTCTATTTATGAATTGCCATGGTTTAGCTAAGGTCAATGACAAGGAGGGCCCTTGTGTTAAAGAGGGAAAATTCTTTATTCTAGAAGATATTGGGAGTCATAGATTTTTCTGTGCTGTTATTCCAGTGTCTACACCAGACTGCAGAACCATGATTCTCCCTCGCAATTATGCTCCTATTAATAAGGTCTTCACTTCTAGCCTTACAGCAAGTGTGTGGCATGGTGCAGAGCCTTGGAGCTCAGGGCTGCACACCTGAAGTTACCCTTTAGTAGGGGTCCCCTAGAGTGAATGACAGTTTTGTGGCTGAAACCTACACAAAGAGGAAGAGGAATGAGGCAGGAAGACCCGTACCTAACCATACCCTCTTTGGACTGCAGAAAACTGATGGCAACATCTCGGGGAGTGGCTGCCCACCAAAGAGGACCCTGAGAAAGAAAAGAGCATAACCTGGGAAATGGGCTACATGGGGGCAAGGGACATGGTGAGCGGGCAAAGTTGAGATGGTGTTTTCCTTGAGTGAATGTCTTTCAAAACTAACAACATACTGTGTAGTTGTCTAACATGCTGATGGAGGAACACTGCTGGGCCCTGAAATCCTAGCTTTGAATCCATTTTTTCCCTTTAGTATTGTGAGTAGAGGGAGAAAATGACCTTATGTTTTCCCCCACGACACAAGTCACCGTCATTATGGCTTTCATATCAAGTATCTGTTTCCCTTTGTTCCAATTATTTGACCAAATTTATGTTCAGAGGTTAGACTTGCAAACATCAAAGCACCACAAATGTGTGTGACATCTAGTGACACTGGGTTGAAAAATGCCAATATAAATACCATATATCAAATTACCATTGTTTCACACCAGGATAAAAAGAGGGGTGGTGGCAGTGGTGTTGGGGTGGGAAAGAGTTGTTCTGGAAAGAAATGAAGAAAAGAGCAGAACCAATCTCAAGCAGCCAAGTGGTGAAGTTGGATGTATGTGACCCTACGATCTCTCGGGTAGGTGGCCAGAGGGCCGTCCGCTAATACACCTTGGCAAAGAAAATGGGAACCAAGCGCAGTGGCTGGCATATGCAACAGTGCGTTGATGGTAACGGCAGATTGGGAACAACTGGTTTCTGTTGAGCTTGGGGCCACACATGTTCCAATTCTCCAGAAGAAACGTTCCCACACACAATGGAAGTGTCAAGAGCAGCCGGGGTGGGTCAGTACTCTTCCTGCTGCGGGGGCTGCTGTTCGTGGGCTTGCTCCTCTGCTTCCGGCTCTTCTGTGTGGCCCTCCTGTGGGCAGGGGAGAAGTTTCAGCTGAGATAATTGACTGGGAATGGGGCCCTGCAGCATCCCAGCCCATTGCCACTGCCAGCATGGCGTCTCAAGGCTGTGGAGGGCACCAGGCTTAGTTAGGCACAACTCGCCATGCAAACGTCTCCCAGCTTCCGGTGTCTGATACATATGCAGGGGCGCCTTAGCTTCCCCATGTGATCAAAGAACAGATCATTCTAGAAAGCACAGTCGTCAGGCTTTAGGCACCCAACTATTTTGTTTTGGAAGGAAATCTTCTTAGAATACATGGCATACTTTCCTAACCTTTGTAAAAGAGTAAACCAAACACAGTGATCCAAGAGCATCATGACAACCATGAGTAAAGCTGCTGTAATATAAAAGCAGCACCCCTGGCCTCCATGGTATTTTGGTGGGGGGTGTCACTCCTCACTAATGGATAGGGATGTGGGCTTTTGCTCCATTTCCTAGTCCCTCCCTTGCTGTCATTCTTCTTGCTCGGCAGTGTCGCCCTGAAGGAGACCCTTTGTTATGTTACTAACCTGATGTAGGCTTAGATACCAGAGCAGCAGTGTTAGAGGTTCCCAGGCTAAGGAAAGGACAGCAGCCACATTTCATGGGTTGTCCCAGGCAAAGAGGCCCCTCCCAATGAGGGAGCTCAGGAGCTTTAGCTCAAGGACTTTGGGACATCTACTTAGACTGCTTGGGGCCCTTTTGGCTTACGTTATGTTTATCAACTGAGAATCAGATAGGTGAATTGTTCTTCCCACTATTTAGAAATAAACAGCCCTATTTATTCCTTTATCTAACCCAGTGAAGCATGGCATGAACACCAACTCCAGGGAGCACTAGCCTCAGTCAGCCGTATCTGTACATTCATTCATTTTCTGAACTCACACAAAATATTTGCTGTTTTTTACCCAAGCTGAGGGAGCATGGCTAATCAAAGGAGTTCCCTGTTCCCTCAGTAAGGGCACACAGCTTCTGTGATGCAGTCTGGAGCATGTGCTGGGACATATGGAAGTGCCCATGCCTCGCACACCTGGCACGCTGGCTCCCGAGCACTGAACTGCCCAAGCCCTTCCCTGTCTGTCGGGCCCCTCTTCCTTGGAGCTTAGGACAAACCCATCTTTAGCCAATTCAAATATGGCATGATCACTGAGCCAGAATTCCTTCTCTCTTCTCCTGCAGCATTTGTTTTCTTCCTCTGCTATGACACTGATTTGGAATCTTGTCTTGACCCTTTTGGCCCCACCCACTGGATGCTGAGGTTACTGAGGTCAGGGATCGGATTCTCGGTGCCACATCTTTCTTATGTAAGACTCAATCCATGTCGTGTTGAGAGGAACAAATTGCAGTGGATTCAAGGATGAATGACTGAGACTATCAGACTATCAGCCAAGGTCACGAGCCACTTATTTTCTGAGAGGCAGTAAGTAGAATGTCAAGGTTACAACATGGACTCGAGTTCACATCCCAGCTCTGTTATTTACAGGCCGTGTGGGTTTGGGTCTAGAACTTAACTGCTCTGGGCCCCAGTTTCCTCACCTGTAAAGTTGGGGATAAGGTATCCATGTAGGAGCATTTTCAATGCATTTTCATTAGTCAATGAATCAAAGGACTCCTCGAATCCAACAGAGGAGTTAATGAGTTAAAATAGGAAAAGTGCCTAGAAGAGTATTTGGCACATGGTAAATAGAAATGTGAGCTGTGATTATTATTTCTTAGTGGGAGAACTCTGGAATATATTCTAGAAGTGCAAGTAATTTTTTTAAAAAAGTAACCCTTTCTGTGTCAACCAACAGTAGACAGTGACATTGTGTTGAAAACTTGGGGAAAAATCTGGCATTGTCTCTTACCGTGCCGACAGGCCCCTTATTCAGCAAATGTGAGCTCTCCCTACCCCATGACCACCCTGTGTTCACCACCTAGAACTAGCTCCACTTCTGGAACGTTAGGCCCAATCTCTTGCTCTCTCTGATCACATCATGTGTCTTCCTGACCCTTGCACTCCCAAATTCCTTAATTGCAGGTGCTCTTTGACCTCAGGGAGATCTCAGAGCCCTGATCCCCTCTTTACTCCCCTTCTGCCGGATCGACCCCAGACCCCTGGGCATCACAGCAGCTGTGCTCTTGGCACTTCCTCTGCACACTGCTTTGCCTTCTGTCTGGCACATGTGAGGCTGGTCCTCTCAGCTCAGAGTCAGTGCCTCACCAACAGTGTGGCCATACATGCTCAGGGGAGCAGGAGAGAACTTCTTCTTGGGCCAGCGCAGGACAAGAAACAGTTACTGGCCTTCCTAAGCCAGTGCTCTCCTCTCATCCAAGGGAGAAGAATGAAACTAACATTCATGGGAGTTTAACAAGAATGGTGGGCTGGGAACTCCCAGCTGTCTGTCCCGCCACATGCTCCTCTAAATTATGAGAAAGTCACTCCTCCCTGAAGCCTCTCTCACTGCCTGCAGCCCCGAGATAATGGCTTCCCTCTCCAAGCTTCCTATCCTCAGTTTCTGCTTCGGTGGGAGGGCGCACCACAGTCCCGCGTGTGTTCTTGCTGGGTGGCTACACATCTGTCTCTCCAGCCGGGCTCTGAGCCCTCCACGGTGAGTTATATTGTTTTATTCAGCATCCTAACTCTTGAACGTGAGTGTGGTGTCTTCCATATTGTATTGCTCAAACTTCAGCTGGTCTAAAGTATGCTTTTCTTTATATAATTGTTTCTGTGCATGTTAGACTTCTGAAAAGAAGATTTCAGAAATGAGGAACTGTTTTACATTTTGCAGAAATTCTCATTTGCTCACGTCACAACTGGGAGTTTATTGTGGGCTAATGGAGCTAAAGTTGAAAGACCTAGATTCAAGTAATCATTGAGCCTGTAATAAACTAGAGGGCCAGGAAGCCACTAGGCTAGGCCTCCTTTCCAAACACATCCAACAAGGCAGCAGGTTTGCTGGCCTTTTCTATGGCTCTGAGGCTTCCAGATGCCCAGGGCAGCTGCTTCTCATGCACATCCAGCTTAAATCTCAGTCACAGGACCCCTCTGTGATGTCATGCATCTGCAGGAACTGTGGACCCCAGACAACTCTCACTGGGAAATACCAGCAAAGCTCCCAATTTATCAATGGATTGCTCATGCTTGGCCTGCAAGTTAAGGCAGTCTGAGAGTCTGGCAGAACACATCTGTAATTCTGGGGTGTTACAAATCACAACTGAGAGCTCACAGCCCACACAATGCTATTGCAGGCTCACAGGAAAAAACAATCTTTTTCTATGCCTTATACGAGAATGAAGAACTTAAACCCATGTCTAAGTAGGAGGCCAGGCAAAACCTATACCAAATATGAGACTAATGCACCAGAGCATCACCTAATAATTCTAATATGTGCGTATCAATCTATTCACATCTTTCCGTTGAGCTGTGAGTGATTGTAAGAAAACTATCATTCTTTAGTTTCCTTATAATCATTAGATAGAGAGGCAAACTGGAAGATGGTATTGAAGAAGGCTCTAGGCCACTGTGGGAGGAAAATGGGGGCAAAGGAGAGAGGAAGGCCCATCAGGAAGCTCCAACAGCTCCTGGCTTCCTAGCTGTGGAAGGCACCACCCTGCAGCCTTGTCTCCTGCCACCTTGCCAGCTGTGGCTGCTGGTCTTTCTTCTCTGCTTTGCTCATGCAGTTTCTCCCTACCTTAGCTCTAGAGCTGTTGATGTTCCCAGTCACCCTGTAACATCCAACACAAATGCCATCTTCGCTGTGAAGTCTCTGCGTGGTCCTCCAGGCGGCTTTTATCTGCTCCCCACACAAGTTTATTTATGTCCCCATTATCACATTTGTCATCATCTGACACATATTCCAGTTAGTCATGTCCCTGTCTGTCTCCCTTACTGGGACTGGGAGCTCCTCTGAGGTAGGGTTGGGTCTTTTTCTATAGCCAGCACTTAGTCCAGTGACAAGAGGCCCTCCAGTGACAGAAGCACAGCCTGTCCCTGCAGGAAACAAGTAACTGTTCATAAGCTGGTGCCCTTCAGCTGACAGAATCCACAGGGAGCAGGTAACCAATGCTTCAGCCCAGACTCCTGTGGCTCCAAGTTACGTATCAGGGGAAAACATAATGAGAATAAGTATCTGCTCTGGAAACTTCCATTAGGTCTCTACAACTGGGAATTGAACCACCTCTGTTGATTTTCTGCTCAAAACTCCCACCTGGATTTTCACATCTTCCAAACACCATATTCTGGGATGGCTTAAATATAACAATCAGAGGCCAATCATCACAAAATAAGAGTGTTAAGTAATCACTCAGGGGAAGAGATCTCCCCAGCAAATACTCCTACCTCAAATGTCAAAGCAAAGCATGTCCATCTATGTTTAGCTGAACAGCATGTGCTGCAACCTGGCCTTCTAGCTCCAGGAGGGCTCTGGGAAAGGCAGACCACCAGGCATCTGTGCCATCTCAGCTCTGTACACACAGCTGTACCAACAGCATCATGAACAAAGTGCTGGCACTTCCTCCCAGACGCCATGTACATCATCCCTGCACATGGGTGCAAATCTACCCATCACACAAGTGTGGGGCTGGCCAGAAAACAGGACACAATGTCAGGGGAAAGCACAGTGGGGCAAAGGCAGGATTCCCAGAGATGGGGGCAGTGGTGTATGATGGCATCGTAACCACTAAGCACATTGTTTTTCAAAACCGTTGCTTTTCCAGACCATAGACATAGGGGAAGGCAGGCAAGGGTACAGCTTTAGGAAGGCTCACTCCCCCAGTGTAGGACTGGCTATGTGCTTCTGGGTGGTTCCAGAGAAACCAGATTCCATATTCTCAGGAAGAAATGAAAATGCTTGGAGGCTTTAAGATATCTAGGATGATTTCTTGGACCTCTGGGAGGTGGAGTGCTAGGGGGCAGAAAGGAGAGTATCTAGCTGCTCCTGAGCCTCTCGGCAGAGTCATGCATGCACAGGATATGGAAAGCACCCAGCACGGCATCCAGGCCCACTGCAGCCTTCCTTTTCTTTCTGCATAAAAACCAAGGTTTAAACAAATGGGTCTTGTCACATTCCAAATAAGGACACCTGGCATATTCCAGATCAAACGGCTTACTCTCTGTAGAAAACTCAGTATAGCCTGATGTGTCTCTTTTGGAGTTTTGCAGACACAAAGTTGCAATAAAAATATCCTGGAACTAGAAAAATTAAGCCAGTAACTGCATTTGAACATCTTGCTCTGGTAACCCACACATGCAATTTATGTTAAGGCTGTTTTCTCTGCCAGATTCAACTGCCTGGTTACTCTGAGTAATTCTCTTCTTGAATTTTGGGTACTCCCCAGCATATACTTACAGGGCAATGCCTCTGTCTCTTTCCCTCTCTCTTCCTTCCCTTAAAGCTATTTGATGATGTCAGCGCAGTGCCAGAGATACAACAACAAAGTGGGTTTAAAAAAGTTACAAACTGGCTAGAAGAAAACTGAAGTTCTTTGTGGATGCTCATTTAAAATCAGATGAATGCCCCGAAAAAGAGGCCACAACTAGGCTTTCGAAGGTGAAAATCAACAAAACGAGGTAAGGGGAGTTATTTAGAGAAAACCCACGTAAAAATTTGGAAACTTTCTTCTTCACACACAGGGCGTGTTCAACTGAAGACTGTCAAGTAGACAGTTAATCTTGAGGCTTTCCCCAACTAGTACTATGTTCGTTTCCTCCCTGCTCCATGGTACCCACCACTCGGCGAGGGAGGTAACTCAGTCCTTATGATTTTAGCCTCTGAGTTAGATAAACCTGGGTTCAAATCCTAGTGCTGGAGCTTATTAACTATGAGCCATTGGGTTAGTAATTTCATCTGTAAAATGTAGATAAGTAATTACTCACCTCACAGGGATGTGGTTAAGGTCAGTAATCTACGTAGTAAATGAATACAATCCCTAGCACATGCTAAATGCTCAATCAGTATTAGCCATTACTACTGTCATAATAGCACTTAAAAGGTGCCTCAGACTTGGAGAAGGGAGAACATAAACTCAGGATTCAGATTTCAGGGTTCAAATGGAAATTATTCTGCTCCTAGACTTGGGAAAGTTATTCAACCTCTCTGCTGCCTTAGTTTCCCTCATCTGTACAATGGGATGACAATAGCTACCTAATAGGATTCTCTAGAGAATTATAGGAGCTAATAAGCTAATATACGTCAAGTCCTAGACCCTTCTACCTCAAACCCCAACCAGGTGTCTCAGAAGAGGTGTCTGCTAAACTTATTATTTAGTCTTAATGAATGATGAGGCCTTAAAGTGTTATTTCTTCTTGGGGTGCTTGCATTTTAGTTGCATGTACATTGCAGGAATGGCTCTCTGAATCCAGATGGTGGCAAGGTGGTGCTGGGATGTATGTGTGTGTGGGGTCGGGTGGTGATGGGTATGGCAGAACAGAAACTGAGTGCGGTCATCTAGGTAGACCCCCTGGAAATCACACCCAGGAGGCAAGGGCTCTTGCCTGAGGCTGTCCACCTATCTTAGCCGGGAATTCAGTGGACCTCTCCAACACTTCATTTGGAGTTCACTGTCAGACAGTGCTCCTGCACATGGACTCCCTCTTGGGACAAAATCTGGCATGAGGTTAGACTCAGGGTTTCCCCGTTTGAAGTGCAGGGCTGGGAAGAAGATTTGATCCTGCACGCCGGCCTTATTCCCACTAGCAGGCGTTATCGCAGACAGCAGCGCCATTCACTCAGTCTCATGGCGCTGTGGAGATCTCAGCTGATTTAGCCTCAAATAAGCTTGTGAAGAGAATAACCATAGTCCATCTAGTGCTTACAGAGGGCAAGCACTCTGTACACACAGGACGTCATATATGTGACACTGTGGCAGCTGCAGACATACTACAAATCAGTCTCTGGTTTATTCCATCAGATCTGAAAATACTGAGAACCGTATTTTATGAAGCCATCATGGAAACCAGGTGGATTATCAGGGCTTCAAATTCTGAGCTATTGATAACCAATAAATAATTTAAATCAAAATATTTGGAAGAAGTGAAAAAAAAAAGTGATAAAGAGCTTCCAAACCACAGATACAGTGCCTTACAGTTTAGGAGAATTTCACTGCTAGTATTTTGAGGCATAAATGGAGTAAACATTTGCCTGGGATTCAGCTGGAATAAGAGAGTAAACTTGCTGATGGCTTGCTATGTCCTATAGAAATATCAACACATACAACTCCACTGGAGGCCCTCAGAACATCACAGGCTCAGAACACCCAGAGACCGGGACACTTCCACTAGCATCAGCCTGGCATAAGAGAAGCTGGACACCCCAACCCCTCAACTTGGCTCTGTGGAAGGTGAAGCCACATCAGGCTCCCACCTCCACCTCTGGCTGCTGGGCCTCTCTCTCCTGGCACTGGCAGACCCGGGGTGCCTTGCCTCAGTCTCTGCCATGCATCCTGCCCCGCTTTCTCTCCTTGCTTCCTAGATTCTTATTCCTCCTCCATTTCTCACATCTGCTTTTCATCACCCTGACACAGCCACATCCTGGGTCTCCATCAGCACTTGTGAATAGCAGCACTTGTGAATAGCAGCACTTGTGAATAGCAACTCTGGTGGCAGCTCCTCCCCATAAAGGAGATGGGCATGTGGCTGTCCCACAGCTCTAGTCTGTCCTGGCAATGAGTAACCAAGACAACCAGCTACGAAATAAAAACAGTCAATTATGGGGCTTCTGGGGATGGGAAAAGCATCTAGATTATTTTCTCCTTTAACTACACTCTGTACTTGCATGAAGAAGGAGGAATCCGTATACAAATTCTTAATGCTCATTTGCTCAGAGAGCTGCAGACCACTTGCAGTTTGGCTGCATAAGCATATTTTTCTGTCAAAGCCTTCCCCACCCCACCTGTCTCTTCCCAGATTAATTTATGACTGCCTGTCCCACAGGCATGGGTCAATAGATCATGATGATAACGATGTTTATTCCTTTGGGACTATCAGGTGCACTTGGCTGAGCAGTAATTCTCATTGAGGTCCTGGGGAAGTATTCTAAGGAGTGCTGATCTACTGTGTTTTGACCAAGAGAGTCATTTTAGAACACAGGAGTCACATGCTCCTCACACTTACGTGTTCTTCTGAAGCATACAGGATGTCCATTAGTCTCTGCACGAGGTCATCATTTTCCTGCCCGTGTTCTTGGCAGAGTAGCTCGATCTCTCTCAACTTCCCAAAGTAGAAATCCCTTTCCTTTTCCACGCCTTCAAGGGCAAGTTTTAATGAATGTACCTGCAAGGGAGTGAGAGTGAAGAAAAAAAACCACCCAAAATATAGTATAAGACATGACCAGCAATTCCTGTGAATAAAACCCAAAAGAGAGAGAGAGAGAGAAGCAGAAATAACCAATGTGTAAGTCTGAGGGAGAAACAACAGGGCTGTTGTCTGGAGCTTGACCCTGGGCCAAAACGTCCAATTCTCCACAGCACTCTGGTCATTCCCTTCAGGCAACTGAGCGTTTATTAACCAGGGACAGAGTGGTCTTTCTGCTTGTGCGGTTCCCCGCAGGCTGGAAGTGAGCTTTCGTCTCCTGCTAACATAGGCTGGAACACATCTTTCCTCTAACTTCTTACTATGGTCTGAAAGTTTGTATCTCCTCAAAATGTGTATGTTGAAATCCTAACACCCAAGGTGATGGTGTTAGGAGGTGGGGCCTTTGGGAGGTGGCTGTCATGGGGTTAGAGCCCTTATGAATAGGATGAGTGCCCTGATAAGAGGCCCAATCGAGCTTATTCATCCTTTCAGCATGTGAAGACAGTGAGAAGGTGCCATCTATGAAGAATGGGGCCTCAAGCAGACGCTGAATCTACTGGCGCCTTGATCTTGGACATCCCAGTCTCCAGAACTGTGAGAAGTAAATTTCTGTTGTTTATAAGTCACCCTGTCTACAGTACTCTGCTCTAGCAGCCTGAACAGACTGAAATACTTGTTCATCTTCTGCAGGAAATGGAGAATGGGAGGAGGAAAGAGAAGCAGAACAGAGAGGCTGTAAGCATGGCTATTTAGTTTTATGTTGAGGACTCTCCGTCCCTTAGATCACTTACATGGAAGCCACGCTTAGCTAGACCCTTTCACAAATGATACTGAGCCACATTAGACAAACGCTCTCCAGGGAGAAACTGAGGGTTCGTGACACGAGGAAAACTGGGTAAGACCCAAAGCCTGGCTGAGTGGATCTGTCTCAATTTCTCTAGTTCGGGCTTTGGGTACGTCACTGGGAAGGCAGGAGGGCAAGGAAGGCCTATTCCCTCACCACAGTAGCCCTCATTCCTCTTTCTTCCCCTCGATCCTGGTTCAGAGTTTCCAGGGTTGTGCAGCTTCTCAGGGTGGCTACAGAACAGTCCAAGTGAAGGGAGGAGGCAGTGGTCAAAAGAGGGTCCAAGAACTCGGACACCCAGAGCTAAAGAAACCCTCACGGGGTTGTGACTAGATCTGGTTTCAAATCTCAGTCTACCATAGTCCCACAGGCGCAGCAGCTACACTCAGGCCCAAACTATTACCCCGTTCCTGGTCTCTGAGGATCCCCATTTGTTTAAACCCTTCGTTTATTTTTATGTAGGGTATATGCTTCAGGTGGTAAATTAAGTCTTTCATGGCCCTCCTTAGGTAAAATCTCTCTGTCATTACCTTAAAAATCACCCCTAATAGAATTTCAAAAAATTACATTTGGAATGCAAATTTCCTCCTCTCTCCTTCTAATAATTCTGGGCCTTTGTGTATGCTTTATCCATCTGGAATTACTGATTCATTCAAACACACACTGAGCCCATGCAGTGTCCATCCTCTTCCTGTGCACCTGGCAAACCATATCCATCCTGTAGATTCAGGGTTACCCTCACTGACACCCCCATGTGGCTGCTTGCAAAGCAGTGGAGAACCAGTTTGCTTTTAACTCATTTCTATTAATACTATAGCTTGCACATTTGTAAGATGTACAAAAAAACTGAAGGTGACCAGCTTAAATTCCAGAAAAAAGAAAACTCTTATTCTAGAAATCCTTTCCTGCTTTAAAACAAACCAACCTCTCCCCAGGTTTGGACATAAAATCCATCTCAACCCTGTGCTAGTGCCAGCAGATGGATCTGTGGCAGCTTAGATGTGCCACCCCCCCCCAGCCCCCTGTACCAGGCAAGGACACATCCAACCCACGAAAATAGGTCTGTCTGGCTCCCTAGGGCTTTGTTCTGCACAATGAACACATAGCTGAGGCTTTTCCAGACAACCCTTTAGTGCAAATCAGGCTTCAGTGATATTCCACATGCATTAGGTAACAGCTGCCACTACCAACATTCCCTAGTAAAAACCAACACTAGCTAACTTACATGATGAAAGATCAATTGGCAAGCAAAATTCCACTGTCATAGTCCCCCTCACAAAGACCAATGCCAGCCTCATCCCTCTTGGGTTATGGCAGATGCTTAAGCAATGAAGGAGATGCTGTAGATGATCTTAGAAAATGAGAAGCAGCACTCTTCTTACCATTCTTCCAACTCCTCCCAGTGTGGCCATAGACTGCAGGTTCCTGCAGGCCTTGCTGTTTCAGTGATGGCTATAGTCTCTGCCTGGGCTAATCGACACCCATCCGTGGCCCCACCCGCGCTCCGAGCGAAGACCAACCTACTTCCAGTTGGCTAATCCACTGACTCCAACCCACTTCTGGGTGGCTAACCCACTATACAGAACGAGTCCCTAATTACTTTCTTTATGACTTTTCCTAAATCTTTTGATTCATTTCTATCATGGGAATGGTCTAGCATAGTGGTACTTCTGTAGTGCATCATGGGAAATTGCCTGAGAAAATGCAGGAGGCCAAGCAAATGAGACTCCTCTAAGTTTATGGCACTTGTCTCTTTCTCAGTGATGACTGTGCTTCACCCTTCAGCATCAGGGTCTCCCCTCAGCCTCTCCTCGCCCGAGTGTTCTTTGTTCCAACACCATGATGCCTGTGGGGCCCCCTACCAGGCTCAGGGGGCATCCTGTTGGCTCCAAGACAGAAAAAGGAGGGAACGTCAACAGTGAACCACGGATATAAATTTGGAGTAAGTGCTCAGTAATACTGATTGAAGGACTCAGAATTCAGGGTGTGTCTTCCTTCTGAGGGACAGACAGGGGCAGGCACATTCCTCGGTGTGAAGGTGTTGGGGGCAGAAATGGGGAGGCAGGCCTTTGGGAAGTAATGAAAGGATTATAACAGGAAGGCGGCACTGGCCTATTCCTCTCTCTTCTCACTCGGTTCTCTGAGTGGCATTGTGGATGGTAGCATGGTTTAGTGGAGGCATTTTAGAGGTCTGAGTTCCCTGGGGATGGGGCTCTGTGTGTGATCTGGAGAGCTAGCGGGAGCCTACAGCCAGCCCCAAGGAGGGGAAGTGGGGCTGGGCGGTTCAGGCTATAAGCGGGAGAGAACCTCAAGGTTTCCACGTGGTTATACTTTGGGCTGGAGAGGTGGGACACTGGGTGTGGCAGACGGGGAAGAGAGGGAGGAGTCATGAAGAAACACAAGATAAGAAAGATACCAAAAGAATTTGGGTTCCTTAAGGAAAAAGAGTTCTACAGTTGTGCCTTGGTATCTGAGAGGAACTGATTCCAGGATGTCCCTCAGATATGAAAACCCATGGATGCTGAAGTCCCTGATATAAGACGATACAAGATGGCATCGTATTTGCATACAACCTACGCACATACTCCTGTATACTTTAAATTATCTCTACATTACTTATAATACCTAATACAATGTAAAGTTATGTTGTACTGTTTTTAATTTGCATTAGCTTTTATGTTTGTATTGCTATTTTTTATTTTGAATATTTGCAATACTTGGTTGCTTGAATGTGCAGATGTGGTAACCCATGGATATGGGAGGACTAACTTTAGGTCCAAGGCATTACAGCCTTTAGGTCTACTCTGATTTTCTTGGAGCCTGAGGCATGTGGACCAAGGTTCATTATGACTGTCCTTACTGCCTTTTAATTGAGAAGAAGTCATTATTGGAAACAGGGCTCAAACTGAGAATCAGCAGGTAATTAGAACATTCTAGTTTCCAAATCCAAGTCCTACCTGCTGGATGGCTTGTTTTTATACCTTTTTCCATAAAGTGATCAGAATTGTAAAGAAACACCCTAGCTAAGAAACTGCCTCCATTAAACTAGATTCTTGATTACAAATATACAATTATCACAAAAGCTGTTTTTAAACTCTTGCTGGCTCATCAAGAATAAGATTAATCACCACGACGGGCCCAGTGAGCGGCTGGGAACAGCCTGGGGCCCTGAAGTAAAGGCTCCTCTCATAGCGGCAGGGTAGCCAGGATAAAAGGCTCTCCTCGATGGGCCCTCCACTACCCGTTGCTTTTATTACTTTTAAGCTACATATAATCTTAGGAAAGATGAGCAGTACCTAAGATTTTATAATGAAAATTTCAAAGACTAGTGGAGCTAGTTAGATTTTACCATAACTGTGAGGCATATTAAATTAAAAGGAAAGCTCTTCTACTTAAAACACAATTGTGGCCTTTCAGATCCCCCAAATATTGGGTTCGGTGCTCCTGCAGCACCCAACTTCTGCCATTGTGGGAAGTATCAGGTTTTTTGTTTTGCTTGTGTAATAACTTACTGTGTGCAACTGCTATCTCCAAGTTCTATGAAGGAAGGAAAGGTATCTATTTTACTACCTTTATATTACCAGCATTAAGCGTAATATCTTTCATATAGAATAAGCTCAACTACTAATAGCTGAAGAAAGAAAGGAAGAAGGGAAAAAAGAAGAGAGTGGGAGGGAGACAGACTAACCCTGACCCAGCCTTTAAAAAGAGAGGGAGGCAGACTCACCCTAATGCAGCACTATCTAGAATGGCCAGAAGTGGGCAGGATGGGCAACGGTCTAGCCTGGAGCTCTTGACGGCCCTGAGGAGCAGGGGAGGGGAAGGTAGCCTGAAGTCTGCAGCAAGGCTGAGCCATCTGCCCCATCTTAATGTACAGCTTTGAGATTTGTGACTAACACTTTTTATTCATCATGGGCTACTGATTTTGTCTTCGAACAATTCTTTTTATTCTCACTTACTTGAAACCAAGGATTCTTCCTTACCCTTCCCTCCCTTACCCCAGTCCTAGGGGATCCTAGGCCCCCTACCTCTTACACACGTCACTGCTCCTAGAGGCGTGGCCAGAGCTGATGCATTACCTGTTCATTAAGCTGTATGACCTGCGTTTCTAAATCTTTATCGGATTTGGATGCTGAGCCACTGGAAGAAGCCCTTTTGGCTGATGAGGGTCGAGAAGGTGTGGATCCTGGTTTAGCTGCTGGACTTGATTTAGCTGCACCTGAAAGCAATCAGAATAAATGATAAATACTGGCAATATTAAAAGTGTGTTTTAGATACATAGAAAATGAATGATATGAAAAGAGCTTACAACAACATATAAGAGATACCTCCAGTGATCCCTTCCCATATAGAAGGAGTATAAATATTTCAGCAGGAGTGTACACAGTTAAAGTACGGTTGTTTTGGGCAACTTATCTCACCTTTGTGAGTGCTGTTTTTTTTTTCCTCAAGTAACATGAGGTTAATGCCATTGTCCCTTCTCCCTCTGGAGATATAAGAGTAAGAGAACAAAGGGATTTTAAGATTTTTAAGAGGAAAGGTTTTTAGATAAACTTAAAAGTATCACCCTAATTGAATTTCTAACAAACAAGAGAAAAGATCTTATAACCAATTAATACTTCAGCAGAAATATCAATCCAAATGTATTTTTTTCTCTTTTAAAACATTTCCTAGCTTTAGCCACTAAAGTACCTAAGAGCAATGACATCTCCATAGCAGTGGCACTCCTGATGCCCAAACTTTGGTTTCTAAATGTTATTCTGCAATAAAAGGGCTTCTTGAGAAATGGCTGATTCTAGGGATGGTGCAGGGAATGTTCAGGGTAAGCTTAGGATATCTTGTGTCAAAAAGCAAGGAGGTGCTCCAGGATTTATATCAAGAGCTTGAAGGGGCTCTCAACTAGTCACACTTGGGACAGCTGAATATCAGGAAGAACAATAGCTTCATTTATTGTAATGCACTGGATAAATAAAAATCTATTAATCTATAATGACTGAAAAAGAGATGGGCTGGAAGACAGGGAGAGGGAGAGGGAAGAGAAAAGAATATAAAGATCTTTTCAATCCTTTTTAAGGAACACTGGCAGCCACTAAATATGCAAGAAATGCTGGAACTAGAAAATAAATCACAATTTTGCAACATCCGTAACTAATAAGCGATTCACAAAGGGCTCGTCATTGGACACGTAAACTTTAGGTGAGAGGGTTTTGGGGAACAAGATATTTACATGTGTTACTCTAAAGGGGAAAACACACCCTTACAATGGGGAGATCTGAGAGTCAGCACCTTAAGGAAGTGATCCACTTAGCATCACTAATAATGTTGTGAAGTGGAAAAAAGAAAAACCATTGGTTTCAGGTAAGACCTCGCCTATCTGGAGCTCAGGTCACAATAGACTCTCACTACCTAGAACAACGCGCAGACACAAGAATGGCCTCTGCGGCCAAAATAGATGTCCCAATGTATACGCAGTGTACTTCATGGATTATGAAATTCCAAGCCACTACTGGGGGCCCGTCCATTCCCTTTTCCTCTGAACACAGTCCCTGTGAAGTGGCATCTCTGTCTTCCACTACCCCTTCAGTGTGGTGCAGGTGTTCCTTCTCTGTGCTCCCACTGGCCTAATTCCCCAACCCCTGCTCTTATTTAGAGCAAGAAACACATCTTACTCATCTTTGTAACCCCAGTGCGTAGCACAATGCTCAGCTGAACATGTATTTGCTTAAAGAGCAAAAGTTTAACTAACTATATAAACAAGTAAATAAAACTTTTAGTGATGCGGTTTCCAATTTTACAGTTTATTTCCAACTTCACAGTTTATTAGTACCAAGAGATTAGCAAGAGCCGAAGGGTTATAAAGACAGGTATGTGACAGCAGTTACAAGTTTCAACCAACATCCTAATTACAAAGTAGCAAACAGAAAGACCATAAAATTTATATTTGTGTCTTCAGGTGCCTGGGGTCATTAGCTCCGGATGCAAGTCACACCCCCTAGAAGCACTGACAGCATTACAGCCTTTAAATATAAGCCTTTCTGTTAAAAATTTTTAAAAAATAAACTTCTTTAAAAACACAGGGAGGTGCCTAATATACTTTAAAATGAGAATGGTTAAATTGGGAAAGACTTAAAATAGTTTGAATATTCTCAGGGTAAATCTGTGCAGAAGAGCTTCCCCAGGGTTCCAGAGAGCTGACGTTTTGCTTTGTGACTGGTATATGGGCTTCAGCTCTGTTGAAGCCCATATAAAACACTCCTGGAACACTACTTCCATGTCCCGCTGACCAAGTTCTTTAACCCAAAGGCAAACCAACTGGGTAAAGAAAACAAGTAGACAAGCAGGCAGGGGAGGCAGGGTGAGGACACCTGATCTGGCAAAGAATCTTCTCTGAGGCAGCCACCAGCCTAACAGCTGGGGAGACAGCTCGGAAATATCAAGTTCTTTCAGATCTTTTTATAAGCAATACCTCATATTTTAATATAAAGGAAGTCTAACAGAAAGCAGTGCGAAGACTACCTATGATCAACACCCCTTACACACATATTTGTTAAGTGCCTGCCATGGGCCATGCACTGGAGGCCCCTAAAAATGCCTAAGATGCAGTCTTTGTTCTCTAGCTCAGTCTCACACAGAGCAACAGCTATCTAAGAATTTCTGGTATGGCACCTTCAATGTTCTCAGGAACAAGCCAGGGTTCTATGACTCCATGACCATCCCATGTGACGTGGTTTGGCTGTGTCCCCACCCAAATCTCATCTTGAATTGTAGTTCCCATAATCCCCACATGTTGTGGGAGGGACCCCGTGGCAGGTAATTGAAGCATGGGGGGCGGTTACCTCCATGTTGTTCTTGTGATATTGAGTGAGTTCTCATGAGATCTGACGGTTTTTTAAGGGGCTTTTTCCCTCTTTGCTTGGCACTTCCTCCTTCCTGCTGCCGTGTGAAGAGGGACATGTTTGCTTCCCCTTCAGCCATAATTTTAAGTTTTCTGAGGCCTCCCTAGCCCTGAGAAACTGTGAGTCAATTAAACCTCTTTTCTTTATAAATTATCCTGTCTTGGGCAGTTCTTTATGGCACTGTAAGAACTAATACACCATGCAAGTCAGGCTGTATTCTCTCTGCCTCCTTCCTGTCCCCTACCTCCTCTGAGCAAGTAGGTCTACCACCCTGCCAGTCTCAGCTCAGATGTCACTTTGTCTGGGAGGCCACAGTGCCCTGAACACTTTCCACTGTTGTGGTACAGCTATTTCTTTAATGTCTACTTCTCCCATGAACATAAACCCTAGGACATAGGTGTTTCATCTGTTTTAGTCACCTTATGCTCTCACCACCAATCACAGTGCCTAACCCAGAGAAATTCAATAATAGTTTTTATAATTCATTATATAAGACCTAGCAGAGGCATCTCTCCAGGGTAAGGACACCAGGGGAAGCTTGAGGAGCTGATGCCAATGTCAAAGTCACAGACACAAAGAACCAGCAAGACAAGAAGGAAACCAAATAAAAACCATCAGCCTCCCAGAAAGAGAGCTCCTCCTTGGTTTCCTCTTAAGATTACCTTCTGTAAATTACTTAGGCTCCTTACCTACACAATTAGGAGAGGTGGAGTAAACTCAGTCAGTATATGCTTAACTCTGAGTGGTCTATGCTGGGCTGTCCAAGCCTGTGCCATGCTCACTGGCCCCTCCTGAGGGACACAGCCTTGCAGAGGGGGCTTCCCTAGATAGCATGTGACGACCCACCCACCCTGGCAGTCTTTCATAGGCAGGTCAGCAACAAAAAAGTCGTTGCAATAACTGAGCTAGGATCATCAGACACACTCATGTTCTGGTATCTGGCCTTATCCAGTCTGATGTCAATTTAAAAAGAAAAAATCATGGAAGAAACAGAAGCTGATTGCTTACAATAAAGGGCTACCACTAATTATATTCTCAGGGTATTATCAAACAGAGCTTGAAAAAAAAACTGAAATGTTTGATAAGATGTAGAAGGGGTCATGGCAAGCCAAACCCCTGGGCAAAGCCACGTTATCGGGGAAGAGCAACTATGAAGAAGCAGAGGACACTGGCCAGGAGAGCAGTGAGACACGCAGGGAGAATCCCCGGCCGCTGGAGGCGCTCAGCATGGCTCACGGCAGGGAGGGAGGGCACAGCTGCTGCAGTTACTGATGCTCTCCCCCTTCTAGCCACACACAGCCACTTGGGGAAACAGGTTTTGTTTTGTTTTCTTCCCCTGAGGAAATATCCCTTTCTGTTAACAGAGCCCAACTTCAACCTGCCTGTGTGGCTTGGACTCACCAAGCTGTGGTTCAGCAGAGTCTCGGCCCTAAAATGGCATCTGTGCTCACGAATCAGGCAAAGGTCAGGTGGTGGCCTAGGGCCCCAGGGCTTTCCCACTGGCACACACACGTGCACCTCCTGGATCCCTTTGAGATGAGAGAGGTGCAGGCGATGAAAATCAGGCTCGGCAACCTCTGCTGCTCCACCACCTACACACATGTGGGATGGAAGCACCGCTTCTGCCCCACCGTTAAGCCTCACTAACGGGGACACAGTGCAGGCTGAGTGAAGGAAGAAATGGAAAAAAAATTCTAAACATTTAATAATCAATCACTTAGGTAACTAGTATTTGATATTTAAAATGAGAGGGATCTTGAAATTCTATTGTTCGGAGAAAAACTGATAACAGGAAAATAAATGATGCATGAGGATATGTGAGATCAGGCCTACTTAACTACATTTTTACCTTCAAATGAATAAATGTGAAGAAATTAAAGAACAGGAAAGGCATGGGAAAGATCTTAGTATCTTCCGAGGTTTGGGTAAAACAACAACTACAACAAAAAAACCCCATAATTAACAGTTAAACTAAAAGCTTGTTTTCAAATAAATGTAAAGTGGGCTCATTAAATCATCCCAAGCTGCAATTTGAAACGGAAGTAATTTACCCCTCACAGCTGTCACATGATTAAGAAATACTAAATGTATAAAAATAAAAATGAAACCTTTTGTCCTCATTATATTCAATGATTTCATGTTTTCTTTTTCAGAATAAATAAAAGACAATATCCTAACATACAGCATAACTCTTTAGAGTTAAGAACTTGTTTTTGTTTATTTGCTTTCTAGGTCTCGCTGCCTTCTAACAACCACACTCTAAAATTTCTGGGGCTGCCAGATACTCTTTCCCCCTTACCTGGGCACTAGAACAAGAATGTTCTCACAAAACTGCACAGTTATCAATGTCATAAACTTAACATTGATAGAATACTTTTATGTGAGCTACCATCTGTATTCCAATCTCGTAAACTGCTCCAAACATGTCTCTGACAGCATCCAATCCTGGTTTTAGATACTGAAGTCCTCAATAGCTATCTTCTTGCTTCCCAGAATGCCCCACTCCATCAGTGATTTGACTTCTGTACCTTTACCAGGCCTCTTGGCTCAATGATGCTTATGTGGAAAACATTTACATAACAGCTTTTACAGAGAGTGCACCTACTTTGGCTGTAATACAGATATAGATTTTTTTTTCTTGCAGCTGATTCAAACATTTCAAATTTTTTTTCAAGCTGCATTTGAGGATGTCCTGAGAACATAATTAGTAGTGGCCCTGTTTACAAGTAACCATTTTGCCCTCAAGCTTTTCTACCTCCCTAATTTTACCTTTCAAAATAAAAAGGAATCTCAGAAGCAGAGGAAAAAAGCATAAATTCTGTCTAAGTCCCTGTAATTCTCTGAATTTGCTCACTGGACATGATTTACAATGCTAGTCTTTGAGCAGTTGTGTCTTAATTAATGCCTTTAGGATTTGGGGGTATAAATATGATTCTGACATTTTAACCATAGTTGTAAAAAAATTCGGAGTGGTCAGATTCACTGCCTTAGTGAAGCCAGGGCATTACCGTGTCTAATGTCAATAACTAGTAGCTTGCTTAATGTTTATGGAAAACGCTGCAACAAGTTGGGCATATGAGGCCCAATGGATTCAGAAGGATGAAGCAAATCAAAGCACTGGACTTGGCTTTATCCTTCATGGCCAAGACTCTGCTGGAATTTAGAAATTCTTTTCACATAATCTGCCATATTATTCCTTTTGCCAAAGTCATAAACAGAGGAGATAAAAATATGACATTAATACTGTTGACAAGAGACATTAAAAACATGAGCGTGTGCACACACACATGCAGGCGGCCACCACTCTTCTGGTCATGGTCAATCCCAATTTTTCTCTACTTTGAGAGCCCCTTCCCTTCCCAAACCATCCCCCTAGCCGTTCTCACTCAATTGAAGAAAACCCAGAGCTGAACAACTATGGCAGAAGATACACTGCATCTGTATTGATTCATTGTGGATGGATTTGATATTACTTTCTTATCCCCTGCACCTTGGCAAAGAGATTATATTTTTTAACAGATGATGAGCTTGGTTAAAAAAAAAAGTAATGTCATTGCTGGAGAAAGGGTATGGGCTAGACTGATGAGGAGAGTGAATTCCATAGGAAGAGGACTTCCTCAGTAACTGAACTGACACCACAGCCCTCATACTGCAATAGGGTTGCCAGTCCCTACAGAATTCTGATTACTGCAAATTCAAGTTATATTGACCTAGTCTTTCCTTCAAAACTGCCTCCGTACTGTCACTTTGTAGATTCTGTAATCTGCTCTGAGCTGAGGGCAAAAAAGCACCTCAGTGGACAGATTTCCATCCAAATGAAACTTTAACAGGGTTCTGGGATGCTCTGATTCATGAGATCACTAGGAGGCTGGTTTTTTAATTCTGAAATTGGCAGTTTACAGCCCTTAGGACTTCTGTTCTGACCAGTGCAGCCAGTGGTGAGGTCTGCAGCTCTTCCTTTTCAGTGGAGGCTCTTAAGAGTGGGCAGTCCTCCTTGAGCAGCTAGGGGCAGCTCCACACAGCAGGCACTAGCCACACCAATCTCGTGGGAATGAAGACCTGGTAGGGAATTGGACATCCTTCACCTGCCTCTAGGGAGGGAGTGAGTGCAGTGGTCAAGAGTGGGGGCTCTGCAGCCAGAGAGCCTTCTTAGGGGTCCCAGCTCCACTACTTCCTGACTGGTGTGGCTTTGTGGCCACCTTGCTTTACATTTAAGAAAGGAGGAGCAGCACCAACTTCTCAGAGTTGGGAGGGGTACATGACTTAATACATGGAAAATGCTTACACAAGGGTCTGGCACACAGCATGTGCTCAATAAATGGTAGCTTACATTACTATTATTACTCAGCAAATAAGACCTGATTCAACAAATGATGCAAAAGTGCACTTGTTTCCCATTTCTAGATACTACTAAAAACAGCTGAAATACTAAGAAAATAAGGCTCATTTTTATTTAAAGAACATTTTTATAAAAATTGATTAACCCAGTTTTTACACAGTGAACAACTACTGTATAAAGATGCACAACTGCATCATGTAAATATGCTCAGCTTCAATAAATTTGTTTTTAGAACCAAAAAATGTGATTAACCCATAACCCACCAATGGGCTCCAAGGCATAGGTTCCTTCCATTCCATGCACTCCCTATCTATCTCCGTCTGTGCTTCTTCTAAATTATCCTAATTCATTCATTTGTGCAAATTTTTATTGAGCCATAACCCTATTATGTACCTGGGAAGCTAACAGGCAGTTGAGATCAAACAATGAATGAAACGCACAAGATGCTTGTCCTTGTGGAATTAACATTCTAACAGGGGAACTAGACAATAAATAATAACATAAATTAGGAAGTGATAGAATAAACTAGAAAATAAGTGCTATGAACAAGAGAAAAGCAGAGCAGGGTTGGGTAGACAGAGCTGGGCTGCGGGTGGGTAAGTAGCAATTTTAAATAGGAATTTCATGGAAGGCCTAAGCATCCACTATGGGTCTTCCTCCAGTTTCAGTTTTTCAACTCAGACCCATGGTACTTTCATGGGCCACACTCACACCAAGGCCACCCAGAAGAACGGAGGTCAGAACACCAAGCACCAGCAGGGCAGCGCCAGGTGCCCCTCTTGCTGGGAGTCCTGCAGCAGTCTGGCACAGACACGGGAGGCGAGAACCTCCTGTGTGGGGTCACCGGGGCTCAAAAGTCTCATTCTTCACAGAAGCCAACAGCTCTTGTAACAAACTCCATAGTCACAACTTCCAGGTTCCCTGCAGGGAACATGCCAGTTGCAGGAGTAACCCTTCCTTCTTCAAGGTCTCTCACAGTAAGTGTGAGACCTGAGCCAAGACCTGAGGCAGGAGAGGAAGGTGGCCGTCTGGACAGCCAGGAGCAGAGCAGGCCAGGCAGAGGAAATGCTGAATGGGGGTGCAAAGGCCCTGCCTTCTCCACTCAGCAGCCAGGTCAGGTGGGTGAGGCAGGGTAAGAATGGGATACTGTAGGTAGACAGAAGGTCAGAGATGTACTGGAAGGGCAGGTCGCAAAGGACCTCGCAAGGGAAAAGGGAAGCCACTGCAGGATCCTGAACAGAGTGACATGATCTAGCTTTGCTTTCAAAAGGCTCACTCTGCCTGCTGTGTTGAGAACAGACCAGGGAGGCTGAGGGGAGCTGCAGAAAGGCCAGCTAGGTGGCTACTGCAGTAATTTTCCTGGGTATGAGCAGTGAGTGCCCAAGACAAGATTTGTTGTGTTTTTGGTAAAGTACTTGCAATGCTATAGTTTAGGAAACCCTATTCTGTACCCTACAGAACAGTCGCCAAATGTCCAGCAATTTCACAAAACCTATGTTTTGCAATGTTAACAGCAACAAAAAGACATTCTGTGATCAATGGCATGTGCTATTGATTCCAAGGGGAGGGCTTAAGAGAAAACGGGCAGTAACAAGAGCTGAGTCAGCCGGTTTCCCTCCCAATCCACTGTTTAGGGGTCATTACAGTGTAAAATAAATGGCTCTGCCCCTGGGAGAGCATACGAGTGAGGCGCGCTGCAGGTCAGGGGCCTGCCGAGGGCATGGCTGCTGTGGCACAGAGTGGTCAGCACCTGAGGACCTCTCTTCGCTGACTTGTGGTCTCAAAGCCTGCCCCTGCCAAGGACAGAGGGCCTGACTCTCCTGAGCATGTCCAGTGAGTGTGAGCCTTCACATACTGAGTTACTTCTGCCCTGCTGCTTACTGTCCCTGCTAGAGATGATGTGCTTATTTTTAGCCATCATGTGATTCTCCAGTATTTTCCAGGCTCTGCTTGAGTCACTCTGGTTTCAGAGAATTTTTCACAGGGGGAAAAATGCAGGAAAGCGTTCTGCATCTTAAAATGGCTCAAGTATTAAAAATTCTCTTTTAAATAGTTATTTCAACATGCTATTTCTTTCAATAAACTACTGACTTTTCACCCCTCGCATCTTGGTAAAATATTAAGTGTCCTTTAAAACACATTAAGTATCACATCCAATCACTATCTTCATTTAAAATATTATTTTTTGATCATTCTCAGAGCAACAGAAATGGTGAGGCTCACTCACCCCAGTGAAAACCACACACACCACATCCCAACAATAATTTAGAGTACCCCTTCGCCTGTTTACTGCAGTAACAGGGGAAGATGGTGACAGAGCCCAGCACACTGAGCCAGCCCACTGGGCAGACGACACACAGGTGTCACCACAACAACTACATCAAGGGTGCTACTGCACTCCTGGTACGCAGCAGTCATTTAACCAAAAAGCTTATACACTAGGATGGTCATTTTGGGGGAACGTAAGTACTAAGTGTATAATGTCTTGTCCTTTAGACTCCAGTCAGAACCCCTGTTGACCAATAACTAGCAAGACCAGTGTTTGCGGTTGTTTTTCCGATGGTGGCCAGCCTGTTGTGCTCCATTAACACCATCTTATCCAGACTCTCCGGCTAAGAGAGACACGGTCTGAGGCCACAGGGCAGGCTGGAGCTCAGGGAAGGGAGAACTCCGCGGTGAGCCCCATGCTCACCAGGCTCCTGGTCCAGGGATCTCTGCTTCTATCAACCGACTAGTAAGTCAGAAATGTGTGTAACATTTATCCCCAATTTCCTCCTCTGCTTTACTTCCCATAACCCATTAATCATCCAATTTTGCTGACTGTATCATCTTACGGTCTCCATCACCCGCATGGCTACTACCTTCATTAAGGCCACTGTCTTCTCCCATGTGGTTTGCTGCAAAGCCTCTCAGCTGGTTTACGAGATTCTAACTGTGCCCTCTCTAATGTGTTTTCTATAATACAAAGCATGCTTCTGCTTAAACTTTTCCATGACTCCCTACTATAAAGTGTAACCTCGGTGTGACAAACAAATCCTACAGTAATCCCCTTACCCTAATGATCTCCACCTCCTGGTGTTCATGCTTTTGTATGATAGCCTCCCCTTGAGTGTATGTAAGACCCGTGACCTGACTCTAACCCACAGAACATGGCAAAGGTAATGGGAGTCACTCTTACCATTATGTTACTACATGACTGTCTTGCTGACAAACACACCAGAGAGACTTCCCCTACTGCCCTGAAGAAGCAGTTGCCACGAAGTAAGCATCTTTGTTGGAAAAGCCCATAAGGCATGGAGGTGCAAGTGGCCTCTAGGAACTGAGGGTGGCCTTCAGCAAGAAACTGAAGCCTTGGTCCTGCAGCCTCAAGTCAACAACTTGAGGGGGCTTGGAAACAAATCTTTCCCCAGTTGAGCCTTTCATGAGACCACCACCCCAGTGGATACCTGGATTATAGTCTGGTGAGATCCTAAAACAGATAACCCAGCTAAGTTGTGCCTGGACTTTACAATCTGTGAAATAATGCATAAGTGTTGTTTTAAGCTGCTAAGTTTGTGATTTTATTTTTGTAGCAATAAGAAGAGCCCCGCTTCCCTCTGCAGTCTCATATCTCAACATCCACACTGAACAACATGCACTTTACTGAATGGAGCACATTCTTTCGACTTCAGCATCCTTGTCTTTCTGCCTGGAATGCTCTTCAATACACCTCCGTTTGGCTAACATCTACTTATACATTAAGTTTTGCTTGAACTTTACTTTTTTCAGAAACCTTTATAGAAGATGTTTAAGACTAGCTCAGGTGTTCTTCCTATATATGCTGAAGGAACTCGCCTCTATTACTATTGCCTATTTATTGTCAGATTTTCCCACTAGGATTTAATTTCCTTGAAAACAGGTCTTGTCAGAATCACTATGTATCTCCAGAATCTCTTACAGTGCTTCAACAAACATTTGTTGACAAACTAAATCAATTAGTAAAAAAGAATGACTGAGAATTCAGGTAAAGCTTTCACAAAAAGAGCAAGGAATCCAAAAAGTAGGAACTGGTAAGAAACATTTTCTAGAAGTAATTATATGAAAAAGACACATGCACACACATGTTTATAGCAGCACAATTCACAATAGCAAAGATATGGAACCAACCTAAGTGCCCATCAACCAATGAGTGGATAAAGAGAATGTGGTATATATACATCACGGAATACTACTCAGCCATAAAAAGGAATGAAATAATATATTTTGCAGCAACTTGGATGGAGCTGGAGACCATTATTCTAAGTGAAATAACTCAGGAATGAAAAATCAAATAGTGCGTGTTCTCATTTCTAAGTGGGAGCTAAGCTATGAGGATGCAAAGGCATAAGAGTGATATGACAGACTTTGGGGATTCGGGGGTGGGGAAGGTTGGGGGCTGAGTGTGGGATAAAAGAGTACATATTGGGTACAGTGTATACTGCTCAGGTGATGGGTGCACTAAAATCTCAGAAATCTCCATAAAACGACTTATCCATATAGCCAAAAACCATCTGTACCCCAAAAACTATTGAAACAAAATTTCAAAAGGAAACATTTTCTGAGCTACTGTGTAGTGTACTAGCATACTTTCTAAGTTACAGTGTAAGGGGCTTCTCAGGTGATGGAAATGACTGGAGAGCACTTCAAAAACAGCCATGTGTTGACTGAGTACTACATCTTCCTTGATCAAGATGAATGCTGCAATGATTCAACTTAAACTCATCAACTCAATAATTATATGAGGACCTTCTACAGGCCAGGCAATGGGGGAACAATGATTGAGCAAGACAAAGTTGAGTTATAGTGTAGTTCACCCAATTCAAAGGGATTCTAGAAAATTCTACAAGTCAAAGCTGTTTTCGATTCCTGCCCAATATACTAAGCAACAAAAAAAAGTATCAATAATAAAGAAAAATAGGTTCACAGACAATCTATGATATTCTGCTGTGGAAACTAAGAATGAATCCTAAGTCACTGTCTTGTGTGGCCTGGCGAGGTTTACAGCTAGGCTGAGAAGTAAAATCTGATATTATTCCTATGGAGAGAAAAGGAATGATCCATCAGATGAGCACATGGGGTTTAGTTATAGAATTAATATTTCAACACATATCAGGAACAGCTATATAAGATTAATGACCCAATGCTGTTTTAAAAAGGGCTAGGATGGTCTGCCTTCCAGTGCAGGGAGGACAACAGTGGAGACCCTCGCCCTCCTCTGCAGAGCTCTGTGTGAAGGAACAGACTCTGAGTGCCCAAATACATGCCAATTGCATCTATCCTTCACTTTCAAATCACCCAGACCATTCACACGGAGAGCTAATTGACTTGAAGGATTAAGAAATCAGAGATTAGTAATTCTACTAATCTAGGGCTCAATATTCTTGGCTTTGTATACACTTCTGCTTTTGAGCTAATAAGAGGCCTGGAACAAATGGTTTTAACATTTCCTGCATCTATAAATGTAGACAGTAACTCTACAGTATAGTAACTCTCTCTCACCCTAGAACCTACTGTAAGGATGAAAGGAAATGTTTTTGAACTTTTGAAAAATCACGATAAAAAAAAATGTCATCGCAATACAACAGCATATGTTCTGCTGTCTCAAGCCTAAGCAACATTGCAGAGCTTTGTATATCCTCCATACACCATGTAATTTGAATTTGGTTGTGAAATTTACCGTGGTTCAGCATAGTGTGGGGAGGAGGTAAGAGGAGAAAACAAGACCACATCCATGACATATGAGAGACGCAATATAATATAATGATGAAAGAGCATGGATTCTGGAATCACAGAGTCAGGCCTTAAATCTTAAGTCCTCTCCTTCTAGTGTGTGACCCTGGCAAGTTACTAAACCTCTCCGTGCCTCAGTTTCCTCAACTTTAAAGTGGAGGGTAATAATATGATCTGTCTTTTAGAATTGCTGAATACATATTAAGTTCTTAGGATAATAGCTGACACTTAATATGTGCTCAATAAATATTTGCTAATATTACTGATGACTCCTTCTATATTTTATTTTTTTGGGACAGGGTTCCACTTTGTTGCCCAGGTTGGAGTGTAGTGGCATGAACATGGCTCATTGCAGCCTTGAACCCCAGGCTCAAGTGATCCTCCCACCTCAGCCTCCTGAGTAGCTGGGACTACAGGTGTGTGCCACCATGCTTGGCTAATTTTTGTATTTTTTGAAAAGACGGGGTTTTGCCATGTTGCCCAGGCTGTTCTCAAATTCCTGAGCTGAAGCAATCCTCCCACCTTGGCCTCCCAAAGAGCTGGGACTACAGGCATGTGCCTGGCCTTCCTTCCACATTTTAAATGTTTTCATTTCCCTTAACTTTCATGAAAAATTCTATTCATATTAAGATTCAGATTCTGAGTTGCAAAGTAATAGTATCACAACATTCTGTAGTTTTTGATCTCTAAGCTTTAAAACACTCTAGTTTTTTTTTAAAAAACAATGTACATACTTTGACCCAGAAAGCCAAAATAATTAAAAATTGCAAATTGAATTAGTAAATCATCTGTCAAAAATGCTACCTCAGTAAGCAAAGAAATTAGGATGGCAATGAAAAATGTATGGCTCTTCCTAGGAAGAAGCCCTTGGGCTTTTCTACAGACGCTGCCAGGAGATTCCTATTTGAAACTCCAGAATTCTTCATAATTTTCTGCTCTTCTCTCTGCTCAATAGTTTAAATTCAGAAATATTCAGTGTCCTGGCAAGGCAGGGCACTGCTCATATTTTATGCTGGGGTTTTTATCATCATAAGAGGTAGGTGCTATAGTCTGAATGTTTGTGTTCCCCCCCAGATCTATACGTTGAAACCTAATCCCCAACACAGTAGTATTAAGAGGTGGGGCCTTTGGGAGGTAACTAGGTTGTGAGGGCAGATCCCTCATGAATGAGATCAATGCCCTTATAAAACAGGCCTAAGGGGGCTTGCCTCTTCTGCCATCTGAGGAAACAATGAGAAGGCACCATGTATGTGGACCAGGCTCTCACCAGACACTGAATCTGCTGGTGCCTTGGTCTTGGACTTCCCAGTCCCCAGAACTGTGAGAAATACATTTCTGTTGTTTATACAAAGCTACCTAGTTTATGGCATTTTGTTATAGAAGCCTGAACAGACTAAAATGTAGGGAAATGCAGTTTCAGTTATTCTTTGAGGAGAAAAGTCTAGCAGTGTCTTTTATACATCTTACACATGTAATCAGAAGAAAAAAACCACTGCTACCTCTCTTCTTCCAGGGAGTAGGGGATCTTCTACAATAATTTAATTAGTTGGGCCATTAGAATATTTCTTTCTATTTGCTCCAAGTCTTGATGTAGCTAAGGGAGTAGGCATTAAATGGTATGCAGCTTAGCAACGGGATAGTTTCTTAATATGAACAGGTCAAAAGGATGCCATGCTAATATGGGGTAGGGGTTGGGTAAAAGAAACAATGTTCTGCCGGGTGTGGTAGCTCACGCCTGTAATCCCAGCACTTTGGGAGGCTGAGGCATGTGGATCACCTGAGGTTGAGAGTTCAAAACCAGCCTGACCAACATGGAGAAACCCTATCTCTACTAAAAATACAAAATTAGCCAAGCATGGTGGCGCATGCCTGTAATCCCAGCTACTCGGGAGGCTGAGACAGCAGAATTGCTTGATTGAACCCAGGAGGCGGAGGTTGCACCATTGCACTCCAGCCTGGGCAATAACAGTGAAACTCCGTCCATAAAAAAAAAAAAAAAGGAAGGAAGGAAAGAAAGAAAGAAACAGTGTTCTGCATAATAATGAGAAGTACTAACATCTATTTGAAGAGAAGTCTTGCTAATTATGGGGCTAGTAAGAAAAATGCATCTTTTCCTTGTATTATTACATGATTTCTAAAATTAATATTTGATCCTTAAAGACATACGTAAGGTACTTGGGTAGGATGGTATGTGGATAAGTGACTGGGGACTGTAAAATAGCAGTATCAAGTAGGCATCTACTGGAAAATTGTAAGAATAAACAGGCATGACTCATCTTGATAGCAAGACCATCAAGGGACAAGAAGAGTACCTGTGCCCACCCTACAGGGCTCCGGTAAGTCAAATGCCATCATAGACTGACCTAAAGTGAATTTCTTAGAGCAAATAATGGCTTTAGGGAAAGACCAACATTTGTGGTTAAATTAAGGAGTTTCTCAAAAGGTAAATGAAGATTTAGTGCCACTTTGCAATAATAAGGAAAACGAAGTCTTGCATAAAGGCACAGACAGGCCTGAGGCTAAGGTTAGATCCCCTTGAAGATCCCCTTGAATGGGAGTTAACTTCCTGAGTATTTTTCCCTTGGACTCTAATTGAGTTAAGTGCCTGTTAACTCACAAGCATCAACCCTCTTTACAGCAATATAACAAAATCCAGTCTTCAGAGCACTAAAATTCACAATAACTAAGACATAACCCAAAATTATTTGACATATAAAGAGCCAGGAAAATGTGACATATTCTCAAAGAAAAATAAAATCAACAGATGTCAATTGTGAGATGGCCAGAATGATGGAATTAGCAGACAAAAACTTTCAAAGCAGCTACCATAAGCGTGTTTAGTGAAGTAAAGGAAATATGCTCATAATGAATGAAAAGGTAGGCAAACTCAGCAGAGAAAGAAAAAAAAGTAAACAGAAAAATACAATAGCTGAAATTTAAAAATGAAGACTTCTACAACAGTAGAATGAAGATGACAGAGGAAAGAGAGGGTAAACTTGAATTTACATCAACAGAAACCATCTAATCTAAAGAAGAGAGAAAATAAGTACTGGGAAGAAAATCAACTGTGCCTCAGGGACTTGTGTTATAATTTCAGAAGCTCTAACATATGGATAAATGAAGTCCCAGAAGGACAGGAGAAAGAATGGAGCTGAAAAAAATATTTGAAAAAATAATGCTTGGAATCTTTCCAAAGACATAAATTCACAGACTCAGGAAGCATAATGAACTCTGAAACAAGATAAATTCAAACAGAACCATAATTAGGCACATCATAGTCGCACTACTCAAAACCAAAGATAAGGAGAAAATTTTGACTGCACTCAGAGAAAAACTATGTATTCCATTCCAGGGTAGAATGAGTATGCACTTCTTATCTTTGGAGGCCACATGCAGTGGAATAACATCTTTAAAGTGCTTACAGGCAAAAAATAAAACAAAAGGAAAAACAAAACCCAGCTTGAATCCTTTATCAAGTGAAAATATTCTTTAAGAATGAAGGTAAAATAAAGACATTTACAGAAAAAGAAAATCTAAAATAATTTTTGCCACTGGACCTGCAGGATAAGAAATCCTAACAAAAGTCCTTCAGGCTGAAGAGAAATGAAACCGCTAGGGAACTTGGGTGTTCAGAAATGAAGAACGTTGAAAATAGTAAAAATATGAAATAAACAACTTTTCCTGTAATTTCTCTACAATAGATATGACTGTTTAAAGCATAACCATCTAATAGAAATATGTGAACCACATAAGTTTTCTAGTAGCCACATCAAAAAGGTAAAAAAACTCCACTGACTTTAACATACGCAAAACATATACAACATATATGAAATATAATTTCTACATGTAGTCAATACAAAAATTATTAGATGTTTTACATTCTGTTTCTCATACTAAGTTTTCTAAATTCAGCACGCATTTTATACACACAGCACATTTTAATGATGAATAAGCACATTTCAAGTGTTCAAAAGCCAACGTGTATTAGACAGTGTAGGTTTAAAGCAAAAGTTATAACATTATCTTGTGAGGTTCATAATGTATGTAAATGTAATACATATGACAACTATAGGGGTGGCTGCAGGGTTTCCACATTTTACATAAAGGTGTACAGTATTAATTTAAAGGATAGTGTGAAAAAACAAGAATATATATTGTAATCCTTAGAGCAACCCCTAAAAAATTAGTGCAAAGAGGTGTAGTTTAAAAGGCGGTAAGTAAATTAAAATAGAATTCTAAAAAATACTTTAAAAATCCAGAAGATGGCAGGAAGGGAGAAACAACAAAACAAGAAACAGAGGGGACAAACAGAAAACAAATGATAATGCGGTAGCTCTAAATCCAACCAAATCAATAATTACATAATTATATGAAATGTAAATGGGCTGGACACTCCAATTAAACAGTAAAGATTATCAGAATGAATAAAAAAGCAAGACCTGATTACATGCTGTCACACTTTATAAAGACAAAGACAGGCAGAAATTTAACTTATCATGGAGAAAGATGATGCCATGCAACAGTAAGCATATAAAAGCTGGAGTAGCTAGATTAATGTCAGATAAAATAGATTTCAAGACAAAGAATATTATCAAAGATAAAGAGGAACACTTCATACAATAAAAAGGCCATACTTCCCAAAATAATTTATAGATTCAAAGCTATTTCCATCAAACTACCATTGACATTCTTCACAGAATTAGTAAAAAACTATTTTAAATTTCATATGGAATCAAAGAAGACCCTGTATAGCCAAGACAGTTCTAGGCAAAAAGAACAATGCTGGAGGCATCACACTACCTGACTTCAAACTATACTACAAGGCTACAGTAACCAAAACAACATGGTACTGGTACCAAAACAGATATATAGACCAATGGAGCAGACCTCAGAAATAACACCACACATCTACAACCATCTGATCTTTGACAAACCTGACAAAAACAAGCAATGGGGAAAGGATCTCCTATTCAGTAAATGGTACTGGGAAAACTGGCAAGCCATATGCAGAAAACTGAAACTGAACCCCTTCCTTACACCTTATACAAAAATTAACTCAAGATGGATTAAAGACTTAAATGTAAAACCCAAACCCTAGAAGAAAACCTAAGCAATACCATTCAGGACATAGGCATGGGCAAAGACTACATGACAAAAACGCCAAAAGCAATTTCAACAAAAGCCAAAATTGACAAAAGGGATCTAATTAAACTAAACAGCTTCTGCAGAGTAAAAGAAACTATCATCAGAGTGAACAGGCAACCTACAGAATGGGAGAACATTTTTGCAATCTACCCATCTGACAACGGTCTAATATTCAGAATTTACACGGAACTTAAATATATTTACAAGAAAGAAAAAACCCCATTAGAAAGTGGGCAAAGAATATGAACAGATACTTCTCAAAAGAAGACATTTACACAGCCAACAAACATATGAAAAAAAAAAAAAGCTCAACATCACTGATCATTAGAGAAATGCAAATCAAAACCACAATGAGATGCCATCTCACACAGTCAGAATAGTGATTATTAAAAAGTCAGGAAACAATAGATGCTGGCGAGGCTGTGGAGAAATAGGAATGTTTTTACACTGTTGGTGGGAATGTAAATTACTTCAACCATTGTGGAGGACAGTATGATGATTTCTGAAGGATCTAGAATCAGAAAAACCATTTGACCCAGCAATCCCATTACTGAGTATATACCCAAAGGAATATAAATCATTCTGCTATAAAGACACATGCACACATATGTTTACTGCAGCACTGTTTACAATAGCAAAGACATGGAACCAACCCAAATGCCCATCAATGACAGACTGGATAAAGAAAATGTGGTACATATATACCATGGAACACTATGCAGCCATAAAAAGGAATGAGATCATGTCCTTTGCAGGGATGTGGATAAAGCTGGAAGCCATCTTCCTCAGCGAACTAACACAGGAACAGAAAACCAAACACTGCATGTTCTCACTCAAAGTGGGAAGTGAACAGTGAGAACACATGGACACAGGGAGGGGAACATCATACACTGGGGCCTGTTTGGGTGTTGTGGGTGAGGGGAGGGAACTTAGAGGACTGGTCAATAGGTGCAGCAAACCATCATGGCACACATATACCTATGTAACAAACCTGTACGTTCTGCACATGTATCCCTTTTTTTTTTTAGAAGAAGACAAAAAAGGTCAATTCAACAGGATGACTTAACACTCGTAAATACATAAATACATATACATCTAGTAATAGAGCACTAAAATACAAGAAACAAAAATGGAGAGAATTAAAGGGAAAAATGGACAATTCCATGATCAATGCAGGAAAATTCAACAGACTCTGCAGCAAATGTTAGAACTGGACAACAAAAAAATCCATAAAATACAGATCTGTTTACTCTGACACTGGTATTAGGTAAGTAAAAAAACGCACATAGAAGATCTGAATAATACCATCAAACACCTTGATCTAACTGATATTTCTAAAACACTATACAACCAACTACTGCAGAATACACATTCTTTTCAAGTGCATGTGGTCCGCTGACCAAAAAAGACTACATCCTGGGCCATAAAGCCAAGATCAGAACAAGGATGAAAACCACTCCTTACTGCTATTTTTTACTGCTTCTCTTAAAAAGCAAAGCAAACAAACAAAAAACCCAACAAAGTAAAGCAATTCTTATTTCCCAAAAGAAGGTGAGAGGTGATGAGTACTTAGATGACAGGTGCTCAACAAATGCTCATACATTGCTAAACAAATAAATGAATAAACATGATTACATTTTACAGTCATACAAACAGCCTTAGAAAACCCAACATTAAGGGTAATTGTTGAGTGAGAATATTCAAATATTCAACAATGTTCTTGAAAAACACCTTAGGATTTATTCAAATCTACATTTAGGGATTTAATTATGATTGCTCAAATACTTTATTCTATTCTACTTAGGTTGCTTCCTTTTGAAACCACTTTTGTGGCATTCCTATTAATCTGATTTTAAGGCTAAAACACTGAAGTCCCTAAGGAAAGCAGAAAGCTCAAACTCAATTTCCATAGCAACTCTAAATCTATCACACTATATTTATATATGGGCGTTTGATTTAAATACATGAATGTATGTGAATCTGCAATGTGTCTTAGCTGTCGTTGCTATAGTAACTACATAACTTTGAATTTCCTTTTATGTTTAGTAAGTGTTCACACATAAAAACCAATCCCCACCAACAGCTATCTTGAGTTGCAGATATGGCTCATAGCAATAAATTTACAAACATCATGATTCACAATGATGCATGTACTTATATATCTATCATTGTGAAAATGTGTATTTTAATACATGCCCCTGGTTGGTAGATTAAAACCAATTCAAGATGCAACTCCTCAGAATGTAGACAATAAAACTTACCAAGCAGCCATTTACCCTTAGGTGACAGCCTCTGCTTATGCAGTAAGCTTGTTACAGTAAAGTCCCCAACGACACACAGAGAAGCCACAGCCAAACTATTCTAAGGCTTCTCTGAATCATAAAGAAAAGCTTTTATCTGTATCAAAATGGTTGAAAAATCTAGCATGTTCTTAAAAAAACAGGATGCACCAAGTATTTAGAATGTATCTATTTTATACATAAGCAATCTCTGGTGCATGCTTATATAAGTAGTCTGTACAATGTAAAAGCACAATTTTTTTTCTTGCTAATGTAGACTGAGTCCTTTCATGGTGACAATCTACTCCAGGATCACTTTTTCCACTCTAATCTGGTCCCTCTGTCATACAAAATGTTTGGGAGCTGCCACTTACTGCTCTTACTGTATAATAGTTAGGACATAAGCTAATTTTAATATTGGCCTAAGGAAATTTTGGGGGAGAGATAAATCCACTAAAAAAATAAATCAAGTATTCCAAACTCAAAATAAAAAAAAATTAAGGACTATCACCTGTTTTTGATGATACCAGCCACTGCTTACGTCCACTAATGCAGATAATTAAGAAATGACCAAGGCTTAGAGGTGGGAACAAAATTACTGCTACATGTTAGTGACCTGGCAACACTGTGATATAAATGTGATACAGATATGTGAATTTTCCAGACCGCTGACCATCACCTTTCATTTGCTCTAAATTTCAGATGAACAAAAGCAGACTGTGTATAAAGAGAACGGCTTTGAGTGACTCCCACAAGCAGGGGTGCCAGTTTAGATAATGTAAAAATAGAGCTCATGAGGGAAATAAATCAGGGTCAATATTACAGAGAATTATGACAATTCTAAGAATTGTAAGGGACCTATGAGAGTATTGATGACTGCCTGCTGGTGTCATACATATACTAAAGACTACTGAGAGGCAATGGAACGATTTGATTTTGTAATAAAGATCCCAGGATACTATGAGGCTCTTTAGTAAGGTTTTAAGTTTTTTTTTTTAACTGAGGTTTGTACTTTCTATTGATACCTGTATATTCCTTGCCCTAATGAGCTATGTGCTAAGAAACCACATCCCCATCTTTATTACAATTATGTCTAAATTAAGAAAGAGCAAACACACTCTGGGTAAGTACCTCAGAAACTCATGAATGAAGACTAAGGTGCATACATTTTATAGCACCTATTCTGACTCTTGGAAGACATTTTGGCTTATATTATCTTGGCTGTATTCCCAATAACTGGATATGACTTCTAGAAAAAATGAGGTCTTAATGCATTTATAGGAGCCTTTCTCCTATCATGGCTTTTAATAATAACACTCTATATGTGATATACCCCCAGTATAGTTTTACTACCCTACAATGCCCAAAAATCAGAGCATATTTTATTAGAAAGGGAATGGCAGTTTGACTTCTGAAAATATCATTTCTCCCTGATTAAGACCAATAACGTAAACATGGTCAAGGTATCAGGAACATGGTCTCAGGAAATTACTGCCTTCCAGAACATTAAAAATAAAATTTATTATCTGTTGACTTTAATGTGTTTCCTGAGCATTGTCACCCAAGAGGTTAAGCTCTAGAAAATATATATTTCTCTTTCAGGTTCATGGACATTCTATCAAAATGGCACACGTTTATCTGCAGCTTTTGTGAAAGACAGATGAGGGAATTCCTAGAAAACGAGGCCAAGGTAGCATAGTAACAGTGCTATTTGGGTGTGGAGGAATATTGGTACCAATGAGAAAAAAATTAAGGACAGGTTATGATCGTGGAAGAAAATATTCTGAGGTCTGTCCAATCTCACTACAGAAAACTTGAAAAAAATGGCAGTTGAGTTTCGAGTCCAAGCTATCCATCATTCACAGCTTTAGAAAATGACATTAAGATGAGAAATATCAGACACCCTTGATTTTCTTAGCTTTTTGTCCTCCCACCCGACATACCTCCTGAATCCCAGACTTTGGAGAGGGCACAACATCCCCCTTTTCTCCACCCCAGCTCCTAGACTGATGAAAACTGCTGACAAAAGTTGAAGGCCTATCTAAACTGCCATCAATGTTTGTTTCCCAAACTCTTTGTGGCTTAATTTTTACCCAGCCTCTCCTATCGCTTTGGCTCCAAGAAAATAAATATCCTCTCTTTTCCTTTCTAACACTTTATCTATGCCCTTGACATCTCACCTTTTCCTTTCAGCTTTAGCGTCATACTCCAATTTCCCCTCTTTTTCTATTTTCAATGATTCCTTCTCCACAGACATGTCTCCCATCTTACAAACCTGCTTACATTGCCTTATCCTAAAAGCAAACAAGAACAGTTGAAAAAAAATAACATCTTCCTTCCAATCTTATTTCCTGAAGCTACTATCACTCTTTTCCCTACACAAACCAAATGTTTTTATTTTCCTCCATTTTTTTCTGACACATTTGTTAAAGGTTGAATCTACTCTTACTGCCTCCACTTCCACAAGCCCTTGTTAAATTGCTGCAATCTAGGCCTATGCCCTCAGTATTTTAATGGACCAATTCTCTGAGGGACTATTAATCACCTCCTAGGAGTCAGACTTTGGCCTATTTTTCAGGCTTCATCCTATTTGATATCGCCACAATTAATATTTGGCACTGTTGGTGACCCCTCTTTCTACAAATTTCCTACGGTTTTTGTTCTCTGATGCTGAGCTCTTCTGGTTTTCTTCCTGATGTTCATCTTTTTTGCAGCTTCCTCTTCTTCCTCCTCCCCCTTAAATGTATGTATTTCCAAAGATCTGTGCTTAGTTTTCTTTATTCTATATAGGCTCACCCATTATGGCTCCAAAGTTGGATCTTTCCACTGTCTCAATTTCCTTTCTCCAACTTTTTCCTCAAGCCATTCCTGGCTCTACCATTCTACTGAACGGAGAAATCATTCAAGTTGAGAAATCTAATGAACTCTTTCAGGCCTCATTTAACTTGACTTCTCAGCAGATGTAGACATTGTTGACCATTATGCTCCCTACCTTCTGCTTCCCTGACACATCACTTCCTAGTTTCCTTCATTCTTTCTGGCACCTTCTCTGCTTCCTATGCAAGCCCTTCCTCTTCTACTCAACCAGTAAATGTCCAAGTTTCTCAAGACACTCTACCCTTTATCATTCAGTATTTGCTTCCAGCTTCCATTACATCAATATGTGGAAGAATCACAAATGTTTATCTTTAGCCTATAACTCCTTTGAGCTCCAGACACACATGTGCACCACCCCCAACACAAAAATTGCCTATGTAGATCTTCTCTTAAATGTCACAAAAGAATCTCAAACTTAGTATGTTCAAAACAAACTCAAGATTTCTTCCCAAATCTGGTTCTCTTTCAGCACTTCTTGAACAAAACCCCAAATCCTTCCAGTTGTACAAGAAGTCATGTTTAACATCTCCTTCTCTTTTATCCCAGCATTCAGCCATTACCAACATCCAGTCTATTTTGCCTCCTAACAACTCTCCCAGAGTTGTTCATTCCTCTTCATCTACATGAGTACTATTTTAAGGCAGATGAAGAATTCATCTAATTCATACTAGTGAGTATGAGTATTCATGTTATCCTTAAAAATATTTATTTTTAAATATTAAAAAAATTTCAAAAAGTAATGCCAGTTTTCCAATGGTTTCAGTCTGCCTGGAATACAGCCATAAATCCAGAAATAAGATGATAAAAATGCTGTTTAACAGTAAGCAAAACTGTGATTTCAAAGCTCTTACCACCTATGTGGTCCTGTTAACCATTTCTACTTCATTCAGATTGTAGTTTGGGCACAAATAAGAAATTTGTTTTATTTACAAAATTCAGGTTACTGATTTAACAAGTTTGAACACTGGGTTCCACAATTGAGATGGAAACATGATTTTGGATGATTTCATGCTTAATTGTGCAGTACCCAACTGTGTTTCTAATAATGACCCAATTTTATAAGAACACATTCTGCTTGGTAAGGTCTGCTGTTTATGGCAAGGATGTTTATAATATATTTTAGAAAGTGGTTTTTTCTTTTTTTATCCACAGAAGTTTTAAAAGTTTTAATGTTCCAGATATTTTTCCTCAACGACTTCACTTTTGGACAAAGCTGGATAAATAGGGTATTGCTGAATGTTACTGCATAAAAATTGCCACTGCCTACAGAGGAGGTAGGATGTACAGTTCACGAATTTCCTTTGAAGGGTTAGAGACGATGATCCATATTTAACAACAGAGTTCAGTTCATATGCTGGTCTGTACTGCCAGCAATTAAGCAGTAAAAATACTTCAGTCAAAATCTAAACAGGCTACTTGAAATTTCTCGAAAAACTAAAAGGAAAAAGAAATCTATCCTGGGAGCATTATTTTCACTGCCAGCTTCAGTGATACAATGCAAATAGCTCTGCCTTTTTAATAGTTTAAATGAAGATGGTTAGACTAATGACAAATGGGTCACAGGAAGATAAATGTGGTGAAACAGACAACAGTAGAAATCATCCGAAGGCATTAAAATATTGACTGTTGAGAAGAATCAGTCAGAAACACACAGTAAATAACAGAAGGGTCTGAGCCATTATCAAAGATGAAAGCAACTCCCGCAATCTCATTGTGACAATACCTGCTGTGGGGGAGTTTGCATGGTGAGACTTTTTTGGCAGGTTGAAGATCTGTTCACCAGGGTCAGGAGGAGGAATTGCATCTTGCCCTTGTCGTGCCTCTACAGGATCATACTCCTTCCCATCGTAGTTAGCATCATAGAATTTCTTAAACCATTGAATAAAATCCAGGTTGTCCTGGAAACGTCCTTTCACTAGCTTCTCCACTGGAATTACCTGCAATAAAAAATCACTATGTGAGTTACAAACCTCACGTTTGGGTATATACCCAAAAGAAAGGAAATCAGTATCTCAAAAAGATATCTGCACTTGTAAGTTTGTGGCAGCACTGTTTATAATAGCTAAGATTTGGAAGCAACCTAAGTGTCCATCAACAGATGAATGGATAAAGAAAATGTGGTACATATACACAATGGAGTACTATTCAGTCATAAAAAGAATGAGTCGCAGTCATTTGCAACAACATGGATGAAACTGGAGATCATTATGCTAAGTGAAATAAGCCAGGCATGGAAATACAAACATCACACATTTTCACTTATTTGTGGGATCTAAAAATCAAAACAAGCGAATTCATAGGCATGGAGAGTAGAAGGACAGTTACTAGTGGCTGGAAAGGGGGAGTTGGGGATGGTGATTGGGTACAAAAAAGTTAGAAAGAATGAATAAAACCTACTATTTGATAGCACAACAGGGTGATTATAGTCAATAGTAACTTAATTGTACATTTTAAAATAACTTAAAGAGTGTACTTGGATTGTTTGTAACTCAAAGGGTAAATGCTTGAGGGAATGGATAACTGATTCTCCACGATGTGCTTCTTTCATATTGCATGCCTGTATCAAAATGCCTCAGGTACCCCATAAATATACACACCTACTATGTACATACAAAAATTAAAAATAGAAAAAAAAGAACTAAACCAAAACATCATTATTGATTTTCTTGGAATATTTAGTACTTCTGAACAAGCCAGACAAAAGGAATATCCTTAGTTGTCAAGAGGGGCTGGTCCCACTCATAGTACATTTATCCTCAAAACGTCTCTCTGGAAAAACAGACGCCTGGAATGTTGTGCTATTTCAAGACTGATAAGCTTTTTATTTTTATTTTATTTATTTTGAGACGGAGTTTCACTCTTGTCGCCCAGGATGGAGTGCAATGGCACGATCTCGGCTGACTGCAACCTCCGCCTCCTGGGTTCAAGCAATTCTCCTGCTTCAGCCTCCCGAGTAGCTGGGATTACAGGCATGCACCACCATGTCTGGCTAATTTTTGTTTATTAGTAGAGACGGGGTTTCACATGTTGGCCAGACTGGACTTGAACTCCTGACCTCAGGTGATCCACCCGCCTCGGCCTCCCAAAGTGCTGGGATTACAGGTGTGAGCCACTGTGCCTGGCTGATAAACTTTTTAAATTTCTTTGTAATATGTAGCCCAGTTGTGTTGAGATACACTCATATAAAGATTATAGTTACTAGAGAGTGGAGATGAATAAGATTTAAATCAATAAAATAGATACTTTTTATGGCTTCCTAGTATTCCATGGTGTATATGTGTCACATTTTCTTTATCCAATTTGTCATTGATGGGCATTTAGGTTGATTCCATGTCTTTGCTATTGTGAATAGTGCTGCAATGAACATTCACATGCATATGTCTTTAAGGTAGAACGATTTCTACTCTTTTGGGTATATACCCAATAATGGGATTGCTGGGTTGAATGGTAGTTGTTTTTAGCTCTTTGAGGAATCGCCACATTGCTTTCCACAATGAACTAATTTATACTCCTACCAACAGTGTATAAGCATTCCCTTTTCTCTACAACCTCACCAGCAACTGTTATTTTTTGACTTTTTAGTAATAGCCATTCTCACTGGTGTAATTTGCTGTTTTTTTAAAGAAAATGGAAAGGTATCTAGCTATGTGAATTATATTATCACTGGATTCTTACCTTTTACATCTTTGGGTGGGAATACTAGCTGAATGTGAATCACAAGATAGTTACAAAGCTAGAGTGTGAGTCAGATTGTGTGTGTGAGTGTGTGAATGTGTGTGAGTGTGTAAGCATGTGATTCAGACAAGCACACAGCTCACAGCTTTGCTATGTGACAATATGAATGGAAGCTATAGAAATTAAACTTTGAACAAGGCTTTGCCACTGTGGGAGCTACACATCATTGATATCCTAAAATGTATCAATAGGACCACTTTAGAAAATGTAGAAAGACCTTACATATCAATGAAAATTTGGAAGAAAAAAGCAACTGAAGCACGCATTAAACTAAATAATTAGCAATAAATTTTGCACAAATGTTTTTTATGCAGCTAAAATAGAAACTAAACCAAGTACAAAGCAAAATAAAGAGAAGGGAATCTTTTGGAAGATACCATATTTTTCATGAAGATTCTTTGGGTAATAGACTTTGGTGGTGATATGTTGCTCTTCTCTCACTTCCCCCAAACTTCAGTGAATTGTCTGCTTACAAGGAAGAATTCCTGCCACATGTGAACTCAATTGCTTTAAAATTTTTATTTTTTATTTCAGAGACAGAGTCTCACTCTGTTGCCCAGGCTGGAGTGCAGTGGTACAACCATACCTCACTGCAGCCTCTAACTCCTAGGCTTAAGAGATCCTCCTGCCTCAGCCTCCTGAGTAGCTGAGCCTACACGTATGTGCCACTGCACCTGGCAATTAAAAAAAAATTTTGTAGAGATGGGGTCTCACAATGTTGACCAGGCTGGTCTGGAACTCCTGGCCTCAAGTGACCCTCCCGCCTTGGCCTCCCAAAGTGTTGGGATTACAGGTGTGAGCCACTGTGCTCAGCCTCAATTGACTTTTAATTGTATTATTTAATCACTTTTATGTCTTCTGAGTTTAAAATTTTTGTTTATGCTGATATTGATTGTTAGAAATCAACTTTTTAGAGGCTTTTTAGAGCATAAAAAGCTTTTAACTAACAAACTACTATATTTTGTCTATTGCCAGACATGAACATTTATAAATAGTTTTAGACACTGGTGGTACATTAGCTGTTAAAAGAAGGCATTTACTTCTGTGGACTTAATTCTGCATTCTCTATCAACATGAAAGCTTCAGGGCAAAAGTTCAAAATCCTAGGTGGCAAGCAAAAGCATAGAACTTTCCATTGTGCCATCAGGCTATGACACACATGAATGAGGGTACTTAATGCTGTCTCTCACCGTACTTTTGGATCACATCACTGCATACTAAAGCTAGAAAGGCTAACAAAGGCCATCATGGCCAGTCTCCTTCCACTGCAATAATTTTTTTCTTCAACATTCTTAACAACTGCTCATCCATTCTGTGTGTATATACTTCTAGAGAGATATGGAGCCCACTAATTTGATGTATGACAAGTTCCATCAATAAACATATGAAAAGGTGTTTCTTTTCTTTCTAATCTAGAAGCATGTATAGAGAAATGAATGAAAAAGACACAAGAGGTATTATAAAAGTAAGGAGAACCTATATATCCCTAGTTTTAAATACATATGGAAAGAGCTAATTGGAAATTAACCATGACAAAGGACATAAAGTTGGAAATAATCCAAAGGGCTAAGATGTTAAAGAGAATGTATGTTTTGAAATAAAAATTCCAAGACAATGAGAAGTCAGGATTTTCTTAATATATTGATAAGAATGTCAAGAAGATATTAATTGCCTTAGCTTACAAAATACATAGTTTATCAAACTTTCCTTTAATCTCTGTCTTTTATAACCTGATATTTTATTTTTCATTTCCATAGCCTATTTATTACCTCTGTTTATGCAAAGAACAGTTTTCCATTTCTCCCCTGCTGGTTTATCTCTTTTCCCTTATTCAAAATTCATTTCTTTCCAAGCTCATTCATGCTAAGAGATATATCCTAAATAAGGAATATAGATTAAGTATGTATTTAAATAGCAGTAAACATGCAGAAAGAGACTGTTTTAGCAATAATCCCTTATTGAGAGAAAAAGTACTCCAGGCCATTTGCACCACTCCAGGACAAAAGTATAATTCATGGGAGAAAAAAAGGGCAAATTATGGACATTGAGAATCTGAGCGCACACACTATACCGGACACTGCTTCTCATGTCAACTTCATAACCATGAATAAGGGGTTTTTAGTCCCATTGTACAGATGGGTAAACTGAGACTCAGAATTTAAATAACTTGCTCAAGTCATGAAGCTGGGATTCAAAACCATGCTGTTTCTGCCATGACATGATGTTTCTCCAAAAGAACAAAATACAAAGAACCACAGTGGCATCTGGCAAACATTAAAAGTTTCTCATCTGCAATGCTAAATTTAACTAATAACACTTTAACATTTGTGAGCCCTGTTAGTTTTTAGTCTACTGGCTACAAGTTTAGAAAATCTGAAATGAAAACCTCATAAAAATACAAGAACTTAGGGTGATGCTTTATGCTAGGTACAGACCCCAGCCTACTGTTGGGATATCAAGATATATCCCATTGGTATGCTCCTGGACTTTTGCATTTATGCACAAAAACAATTTTAAGAAAAAACAACACATTTTATGGAGGTACAAGTCTCCTACCTTATCAACGTTCATTCGCTTAAATGATGCTTGCAGAAGTTTAAAATTGTGAATATATTCATGTTCCAGCTTTGCTTGAAATTTTACTTTCTTCAAACTAATGCAGCCAGGGAAGAGCATGTCCATGAATTGGCAATAGGCCGCTCCTGGAAAGAAACAAGAACAGTACTGGAGTGAGTCTCACTGTACCCAGATGTGGTAGAGGACTGCTAGGCTGGAAGGGGATTGTCCTTACAGGCACCATCATCACTCAGAGCAGAGTGTGTCCTTCTTACCAATGCGCTTATATCTCCTTGTCCACAGGATCTGGGAGCTAGAGGGAAGGGACTGTACCTCAACAATACAGCACCTGCCACTTCCCAACCCTAAACTCCGTGTATTGTACTCCATGCATCAGAATATCACCAGGTTCCACAACCAACCAACAGAACCTCACACTATAAAGCCAAGGAAACCAGGATAAAAGGAGCTCCTTCTAGCTTCTACCAGAGAAAAGAAATATACATTTTCTTCCACCTGGCTACCACCTGCTCCAAGTCATCAAAATAAACTTAAGAGGAAAAAGAGAGGAAAACATGAGAGAACTACAAAAGTTCTCATGAAATGTGTAGCTCAAAAAATACACATATGCTCAAGCTGTTTTCTATCTATAGCTGTGGTATTTACAAAATACCACACAGGTGAAAACTACAGAACCCCCACACAGGTGAAAACTACAAGTCAATTAATACCAATTTAAGTATTAAGTATTACTAAGTATTACTTATTAAGTATTACTTATTAAGTATTAAGTATTACTTATACTTATTAACTATTATTACTTATACTTATTACCTATTACTTATACTTATTAATTATTAAGTATTAAATTGGTAAATTTAATTGTTAAATTTTGTTATAAGCCAAGTTAATACTAATTTAATTCCAGTCCAGAGCAATGGGGTTTCCATATTAACATGAAGTATGAAGACATGGATACTGAAAGCTATAGAAGTTCAGAGTCATGTTCTTTATGACTAAGAAACATGACAGAAATGTCCAATGAGCCCCCTGGGGAAATGATCATAGAAAAAGGGGACTTTTGAAAAAATATATGAAGAGCTCTTAGAACATGACCACTACAACTGGGAAATTCTGGCAAGCTGTGTTTACTGATTCATATCTTCTTACTAGTATAGGCTAATGGCATTTAGGAAAATAAGCTGGAAGCCAGAATGATTCCTTTTCTTTTACAAGAAAGAAAACCAAGTGGCAAGAATAGGAACAAGTCACCATTTTTAGGTTCATTCTTTCTTTGCTATCTCCAGATCTCTTGGTCTCTCTCTATGATGTGCTCATGATCAGTCTTTCTGGAACATGAAGTGCCTCCCCTCATCCTTTACACTACCAAGACTTCTGTGAAGAGCCAGTCCTTCTACTTGGGTGACTCACTTTAGGAAGCAAGAACTGCTCTGTCTCTCATGTGAAATAAAGGTTAGGCATCCTTTACTGAGACAGCAATCTGAGATAAGAGAGAACAAGACATCAGGAATCTAAGGGTTGTTAAAACATGAAATGCTGGGGCAACTCCTATTTTGTAGGTAAGAGCGTAAAGTGATAAAACATAGGCCATAACGAATATCTCTAGAGTCTCTGCATCTGGTGTCCTTTAGATGACATACCCTGAATACTAACTAGTAAGTTCCTAGTCAAGCAGATGGGTTCTCTTAAAGAGAAGACAAAATAAAACAAATCAAAGGAAAAAAAAAGACACTGGGGGAGGAAAGAGAAACATCATGATCTGGAGGGTATTCTTTGAGTCATCACCCACTATCCAGTTCTTTCTTTTGAAGGACCGCCAGATGGAGCAAATTCCAATTGCCACTTTAACATTATTTTTATATGGATGGGATTGTTGAAACACAACTGCCTCATTACCTGGTCTTAGAAGTTATTTTCGCTTTTGTAGAGTTTAGCATAAAATTTATCTATGGAGACCCAGATACTATATACTCTTACAAACCAACCAACCAAATTCCTCATGTTTCAGATTTAAAAAGAAATAACAGCTTTTGAAAAAAAAAAAAAACCCTCTTCCATATAGTGAGGGAAGGAAGGAAAAATCATCTCTAGTGTCATCATCCAGAGAACCACTCGAAATATTCTGGTATATGCCATTCTAATCCTCTTTGGAAAGGAGTGTGTGTGTGCGTGTGTGTGTGTGTGTGTGTGTGTGTGTGTGTGTGTGTATTTTCTTAAAAATGTGATCCTGTTTTAAAAATGTAATCACATTATACCCATTTTTAATGTAAACTTTCTGAAACTCAACAGATCATAATTCTCTTTCTGAGTCACTTAATATGCTCTATCAATATTTTTAATGGCTTTCTTATTTTTATATCTTGCTTATCAACTTTCTCGAACCAAGAATACATAAATATGCATATTTCTGTCAAGTACTTTTATGGTCTCAAGTTTTACATTTAAATTCTGAATCCATGTGGAATTTATTTTTGTCTATGATATAAAGTATGGTTCTAATTTTAGTCATTCCAAATGTTGGTGGAAATCTGTCATTTTTGGCTCCAGGATTTGGACACCTACTACCTGGGGAGATGCTATAGTGCCCTGCCTCCCACCACAGAAGCTGAAAGTGGCCAGGCATCCCTTTCCCTCACAACAATAAGGATGAAGGCCCATGACCTAGGCTCTGTGTTTGAATCCTGCCTCAGTATCTGAGTTGAGGAAATGATATAAACACACAGGGACCATTAGAGTTTAGTTGTGGTGGCAGAGTGGTGGGGTCTAGAGTCCTGAGCAGCAAAAGCAGCACAGTGCCATCCTATTCTTGTGACACAAGGGAGGCTGTGTTCCCAGCTCCTTAGCATCCTTTGGTTCCTGTCCATCTTCTGAGCTCGGCTTTCCATTGACTCTGAGCTACCCAACATTTTTCCTATAGATTGTTCTTCTACTTAAGCCTGCCAGGATTAACTTCTACTATTTTCAACCTAAACCACTAACTGATAAAGTTAGCTAGGTGTTGAACATCACAACTTAATAATCTATTCGTTCCCCACCAATGAGAAGCACTATTTTTACTATCTATTGCCTTCCTAATACATGTACTTAGATCTCTTTCTAGATTTTAAATTGCCTTTTTTGTCTCCATGGCAGTTCCACATTCTTATTTAAAACTCTATAACATGTATTACTATCTATAGAATAATTTCCCCTCCTCTTATTCTCAAAATTTTCCTAAATTTTATCATGCCATTTATTCTTTCCATTATATTTTTGAATTTGTTATTCATGGCATATAAAAATAATAGCTTTCAAAAACAGGTAACTTATTAATTTGTATTTTGTTTTTGATAAATAATTATATACATTATGGGGTACAAGTGTGATCTTTTAATACATATATACATTGTGTAATGATCAAATCAGGGTATTTGGCATATCCATCACCTCACACATTTATCATTTCTTTGTGGTGAGAACATTCAAAGTCGCTATTTTTTTCCCAAGTGGCTGCAAAATATTTACTTGGTATTTCACCATTGCTTATTTAACCTTGTGCTTGTTTTCCAATTTTTCTCAATTATAAATAATGCTATGATTTGAAAAACTCTTGTCTTGAGAAAGGTCAATATAAGTCAGGGAGATGTTAGCTCTAAATAGGGTACACTCCTGGGATTTGAGAGCAAGGGGAATATGAAATATACAACACAATATTGTTAACCATAGTCACCATACTGTATAACAGAATGCCAGAGCTTATTCCTCCTACCTAACTGTAACTTTGTACCCACTGACCAATCTCTCTCCATTCCTCCCTCTGCTTTCCCCTTTCCAGTCTCTGGAAATCATTATTCTACTCTCTATTTCTATGAGATCAACTCTGTCAGATTCCACATGAGGAAGATCATGCAGTATTTGTCTTTCTGTGCCTGGCTTATTTCACCGAACATAACGTCCTCCACGTTCATCCATGTGGCCACAAATGACAAGATTTCATTTTTTTATATGACTAAACAGTATTTCGTTGTGTATTTATACCACTTTTTAAACATCTATTAATCACACTGATGGACACTAAGGTTGATTCCATTTCTTGGTTATTGTCAACAGTGCTACAATAAACATGAGTGCAGATATCTCTTGGGCATACTGATTTAATTTCCTTTGGCTATATATCCAGTCGTGGGATTGCTGGATCATACGGTAGTTCTATTTTTAGTGTTTTGAGGCGCCTCCATATTGTTTTTTATAATGGCTGTACTAATTCACATTTCTACCAACAGTGTATGAGAGTTCTCCTTTCTCCAAATCCATGCCAACAATTTTTTTTGCCTTTTTGATAATAGCCATTCCTTTTTTTTTTTTTTTTTTTTTTTTTTTGAGACAGGGTCTTGCTCTGTCTCCTAACCTGGAGTGCAGTGTCATGATCTCGGCTCACTGCAACGTCCACCTCCCAGGTTCAAGTGATTCTCATGCCTCAATCTCCCCAGTAACTGGGACTACAGGCACCCGCCAGCATGCCCAGGTAATTTTTGTATTTGTAGAAGAGATGGGGTTTTACCATGTTAGCCAGGCTGGTCTTGAACTACCGACCTCAAGTGATCTGCCCACCTCAGCCTCCCAAAGTGCTGGGATTACAGGCATGAGCCACTGCGCCTGGCCTCTTTTTGATAATAGCCATTCTAATCGGGGTGAGGTGATGTCTCACTGTGGTTCCCACTGTATTTCCTTGATGATTAGTGACGTTGAACATTTTCTCCTATACCTGTGGCCATTTGTATGTTTTCTTTTGAGAAATGTCTAACCAAGTCTTTTGCCCATTTTTTATTTAGTTCTTTTTTCTACTGAGTTGAGTTCCTTATATTAGCCCCTTGCCAGATGAATAGTTTGCACATATTTTCTTCCATTCTGTAGGTTGTCTTTTCATTCTGCTGACTGTTTCCTTTGCTGTGAAGGAGTTTTTTTGTTCGATATAATCCTATTTGTCTATTTTTGCTTTTGTTAGCTGTGCTTTTAAGGTCTTACCCAAAAAATCTTTGCCCAGATCAATGTCATGAAGTATTTCCCCTATGTTTTCTTCTAGTAGTTTTATCATTTTAGGTCTTTCACTTAAGTCTTTAGCCCATTTTGAGTTGATTTTTGTATGTGGTAAGAGATAGGGATCTAGTTTAATTCTTCTGCACATGGATAGCCAGATTTCTTAGCATCATTTATGAAGAGACTGTCCTTTCCCTATGTTCCTGGCACTGTGGTCAAAAATCAGTTGGCTACAAACGTGTGGATTTACTTCTGTGTGCTCTATTCTGTTGGATTGTTCTATGTATCTATTTTCAGGTGATATGGTTTGGATCTGCGTCCCCACCCACATCTCATGTTCAATTGTAATCCCCAATTTTGGAGGTGGGGCCTGGTGGGAGGTGACTGGGTCATGGGGCCAGTTTCTCATGAATGGGTGATCACTATCCCCTCAGTGCTGTTCTTATGATAGTGAGTAAGCAGTGAGTTCTTGTGAAATCTGGTTGTTTAAAAGTGTGTAGCAAGTGTGAAGCAACTCCCACATCTCTCTCTTGCTCCTGCTCCAGCCACGTAAGATGTGCCTGCTTTCCCTTGGCCTTCTGCCATGACTGGAAGCTTGCTGAGGCCTCCCCAGAAGCAGAAGCCAATATGTACAGCCTGCAGAACTGTGAGCCAATTAAGCCTCTTTTCTTAATATTAATACATTACCCAGTCTCAGATATTTCTGTATAGCAATGCAAGAATAGGCTAATACATCATGCCAGTATGATGTTATTTTGGCTACTACAGCTCTGTAGTGTATTTTGAAGTCAGGCGATGTGATGCCTCAGTATTTTTTTTTTTTTTAAATACAGATGCCGTGGGAGAGTGGGATAGCCCACTCATTGCCAAGGAGGCAAAGTGGAGTCAAAGGAGCCCACCCATCTGCTGCAGTCCCCTCCAGCATTGTTCTTTTTGTTCAGTATCGCTTTGGCTATTCAGGGTCTTTTGTGGTTCCATGTGAACTTTAAAATTATCTTTTTCTCTTTCTGTGAAGAATGCCATTGGTATTTTTTGCAGGAATTGCACTGGATCTATAGATGGCTTTGGGTAGTATAGGTTAAGTACACCTTATCCAAAATGCTTTGGACTAGAAGTGTTTTCAGATTTCAGATACTTTAAGATTTGGGAATATCTGCATACATATAATGAGATATCTAGGAGACAGGACCCAAGTCTACACATGAAAATCGTTTATGCTTCATATACACCTTATACACATACCCTGAAGGTAATTTTATACAGTATTTTTAATAATTTTGTGCATAAAACAAGTTTGAATGTGTTTTGCCTGTGAACTGTCACATGAGATTAGGTGTGGATTTTTCACTTGTGGTATGTCAGAACTAAAACAATTTCAGATCTTGAAGCATTATGATTTTTGGATTAGAGATACTTAACCTGTATGGACTTTTTAACAATATTGATTTTTCCAATCCATAAACATGGCATGGCTTTCCATTTATTTATGTCCTCTTCAATTTCTTTCATCAATGTTTTATATGTTTCCATTGTAGAAATCTTTCAGCTCCTTCGCTAAGTTTATTCTTAGGTGTCTCATTTTTTTGGTAGTGATTATAAGTGGGATTGCTTCCTTAATTTTTCAGATAGTTTGGTATCAGCATACAGAAACGCTGCTGACTTTTGTTACGCTGATTTTGTATCCTGCAACAAAATTTGTTTATTAGTTCTAACAGTTTTTTAAAATTGAGTTTTTAGGGATATAAATACATAATCATGCTGTCTGCAAACAATTTGACTTCCTCCTATTTTTTTTCTTTTTCTTTTTCTTTTTTTTTTTTTTTGAGACCGAATCTTGCTCTGTCTCCCAGGCTGGAGTGCAGTGGCGCAATCTTGGCTCACTGCAACCTCTGCCTCCCAAGCTGAAGCGATTCTTCTGCCTCAGCCTCCTGAGTAGCTGGGACTACAGGCACCCACCACCACAACTGGCTCATTTTTGTATTTTTAGTGGAGACAGGGTTTCACCATGTTGGCCAGGCTGGTCTCAAACTCCTGACCTCAGGTGATCTTCCTGCCTTGGACTCCCAAAGTGCTGGGATTACACGCGTGAGCCACCATGCCCGGCCCTGAGTTCCTCCTTTCTAATTTGGATGCCTTTCATTCCTTTCTCCTGTCTAATTACTCTGGCTAGGACTTCCAGAACAATGTTGAATAGAAGTGGTTAAAATGGACATCCTTGTCTTGTTCCAGATCTTATCCTAGTAAAGCTAGGATATAATTCATATACCCTAAAGTTCAACCTTTTGAAATGTAAAATTCAGTGGTTTTTAACATACTCACAGAATTGTTCATCCATTGCCACTATTTAATTCCAGCATATATTTATTACTGCCAAAAAAAAACCCTTCTTACTCATTAGCAGTCGCTCTCTATGATCTCTCCTCCCTCCAGGCCCTGGCAACCACTAATCTATTTTCTGTCTCTATGGATCTGACTATTCTGGACAATTCATATAAATAGAATCATATAACATGTGGCCTTTGTGTCTGGTTTCTTTCACTCAGCAAACTCTTCTCAAGGTTTATCCATGTTGTTCCATGTATCAGAACTTCATTTTTTTTCTTTACAGCAAATAATATTCCATTTTATGAATTACCACATTTTACTGATCCATTCATTAATGAACATCTAGATTGCTTTTATGTTTGGACTATTTTGAGTAATGATGCTACAAACAGTTGTGTACAAGTTTTTTCATGGACATGTTTTCAATTCTCTTGGCAGTATACCTAGGATTGGAATTGCTGGGTCATGTGGTAACTCTGTTTAACAATTTGAAAAACTATCACACTGTTTTCCAAAGCAGGTGTACTATTTTATATTTCTACCAGCAACAGATGAGGGCTCCACATCTTCATCACCACTTGTCTGTCGTTTTGATTCTAACCATCCTAATGGATGTGAAGTGGTATGTCACTGTGGTTTTGCTTTGATTTCCCTATGACTAATGACTTAGAGCATCTTTTCCTTGTGCTTTTTAGGCCATTTGTATGTCTTCTTTGGAGGAATGTCTATGCACATTCTTTGCTTGTTTCTTAAATGGGTTGCTTTTTTATTGTTGAATTGTAAGAATCCTTTCTATATTCTAGATATAATTTCCTTATCAGATATATGATTTGTAAATATTTTCTCCCATTCTGTGGACTGTTTTTTCACTTTCTTGATGGTATCATTTGAAGCAAAAATGTTTTATATTTCAATAAAATCCAATTTAGCTATTCATTCTTTTGTCACTTGTGCTTTTGTTGTTATAACCAAAAACCACTGCATAATCCAAGGTCATGACGATTTATACCTCACGTTCTTTGAGAAACTGCATAGTTCCTATCAAAGTTCAACTCTCTACTTGTGCTCTGGGTCACGTCTCCTCTTACTCACTGAGTCATTCCTGCTGCTATCCTCATTCTCTCCTGCAATGCAAAATTCTTCCTGCATATGTTATTCCTAAATCCTGCAAATATGCTCCAGTATCATTCAACTTTGACAAAATAAAACCAAAGTTTCTTGATCCCACATCATCCTTGAGCTATGTACTATCTCCTCCTCTTCACAGTAAAACTTCAAATGGTCTCTGTTTTCATTGTTTCATCTGACATCCAATTCAATTTAATACAAATTCAATTGTCTTCCAACCTCACCATGTTCTGGTCAAGGTCATCAAAAGCTTCTCTGCTATCAAATCAAACAGTTGTTTTTCTTTCTGCATCCTACTCAACCTCTTAATAGTATTTGGCCTTATTGACCACCTCTTTTGCTCTTGAAATTCTATATTTTCTTCTTTAATCAGATAAAAATAGATGTCAACAAACTGAAATATTCAGGAATCATTGCCAGTGTCCTGGAAGTCTTACCCAGCCACAAATCAGAATGTTCCTCATCAACAGATACACAGACTTTTGTGCCATTTAACTACCCTTGCAATAATGTGAGGTACATTTTGAATAAACACAATTTTATCTCATTATGCCACGGTTACCCTTATTCAGATCACATCCCTCTCCTGCTAAGAATATCACAGTGGTTTTCTATGAAACTATCATAAAATCCAAATTCCTTCCCTGGCTTAAAATACCCTGTTATCAGGCCTCTGTCTATTTCTCCCTTGTCTAACTTCCTTTTAGGAAGCTCCCTTCATGCTGGCTTCCTTGCTGTTCCTAGAACACTTCAGATTTGCTCCTGAATTAGGACCTTTACACAGTTTCATCTAGAACTTCACATGGTGACCTTCTTGACATTCAGATGAAAGCTTATATGTCATCTCCTCAGAGAGGTCCTCCCTTACTATGCCACATGAAGTAGCCTTCTAAGCACTCTTTTTCACCTCATCCTGTTTTATTAACTCTTATGTTGGCATTGTATTAACTCTTATGTTGGTGCTATGGTTTGGATATCCCCTCCAAAATGCATGTTGAAATTTATTTGCCATTGTGATGGTAATTAAGAGGTAGGACCACTAAGAGGTAAGCAGTCCATGAGGGTTCAGCCCTCCTGAAATGGATGAATGCCATTCTTGGGAAAGCAATTCGTTATAAAAGGGCAAATTTGGCTCTTGTTCTCTCCCCTATTGTCTCTTGCATTTCTGCCATGGAATGACGCAGCATGAAGACCTTTGCCAGATGCTGGTTCCCTGATCTTGGACTTCTTAGCCTCCAGAAGAGGAAGACAATAAATAACTGTTCATTATAAATTACCCAGTTTGAAGTATTCTGTTATAGCAGCATAAAACAGACTAAGAGAGTTTGTGGCTTATTTTTTCCCTCGCTGCAATATAAGTTTCAAGAATACTTGTGCCTTATTTGTCTTGGTCCCCTATGTATCTAAACATTTAATACAGTACCTGGCATAAGTGGGTTTCAATAAATATCTGGCTAATGAATGAAGATCTGCATAGCAGTTGAACCACAACAAGGGCTGGTAAACAGTAAAATTCTTATGTTGCCAAACTCCCCAAAGAGATATTATGAGAAGAGTTGCTAAAAATTCTTTTAAGAATTGACGAGGTATAAATAAAATTTTTTAAAGCCACTCAAATATAAGAATGACCCTAGAGACCAAGTCTGCAGAAAAGTAAAAGATAAGCTTTAAAAGCTAAGCATAGGGTAACACATTCAAGTAACACAACCCAAATTGTAGGATGCTGTGCCTACTAAGAGGTTAATTATGATGGGATATACTCTGAGCCCATAAGCTCAAGGTGCTGCTGCAATTGTGAAGGTCTACAAGATTCTGAAATGATCTGGAAATAAGTAGGGGGGAAAAAACTATTCTTTCTACACTGTCTGTACCCCTGCAGCCCTAAGATTGGTTTCAGTTGTTATACATCAAAATTGACATAATGAAGCTGACAAGTGTGAGGACAGGAATAAAAAATGAACAGCTGGGAGGCTGTATGAAGATGGCAGAGCTCAAAAATGAACATTCATACTCAAAGGATTCAGGAGTGTATGATTTAAGTCTATAAAATCATGAAAAGCCTAAGACAATTTCATTTTCACCAGATCCCAGGATTTCAACCATAGAGTAATATCAGAATAAATGGACATTTTTAAAGTGGAAATTTTCAGATAAAAGGAAATATTACTCTAATAACAAATTTATGGAATATATTACGCAAGAAACATAAGACATAAAAACACCCACATTTGGGTAAAATCTGTTAGCGTTTTCATATGTATTTTAAACATTCTGAATCCCATAGTATCCTTAAGAGGTAAGTATTTTTATTATCATTCCCATATTTTACAGGTATGGGAACAAGGCTCAGAAAGTCACCCAGCTAAGAAATTGCAGAGTGGAATTTAAACTCTGATCTGAACTTCAATTTTTTTTTTTTAAGAAAAACATTCCTTTTTTCTATGCTGCTTTTAGGAAATTATATGTAAAAATTGAAAGGTTCAAAGAGTGTTTGGAAATTTTTATAGATTAAGTTTTAGAAATTTTTATAGATTTTTATAGATAATTCTAAAAGGAAATATAAAGGAAAATGCAAGAGAACATATAAATCGTTTGGACTGGTGTTAGAAGTATCAGCTATACCTTTTCTATTTATAGTAGAATCTTGGGCTTGATAGATCATTAATCTGCTCCAATGTCATGACTTTCCATTTCAGTATATATACACTCATAAGAATTTCATTTTACATATATACAATGTGTATATAAAAATAAACATCATCTCTATATATAATCTTATTGATCGCCCATATATATGAGATACATATCTATATATGTATCTCATATATACATGTATATATATATCTTATTGGTGTCAAAAAAAGTCTCACAGCACTTTTCCAGAAATGCAACACAATCTGTGGAAAAACACATCAAGCCAGATTGGGTTCTGCCACAAACAGCTACTCAAATTGCCCATCTGATTTCCTCACAGGCCAAGGAACTATTATACAGAGATGCCTATATCACTGAGGGATTTAGTTACAACTTTTCACTTTCCATAATCTTATTTGGTACTGATGAAAGGTTAGAAGAAAAGCACAACAACCTCAATTAATTGGACACATCCATGTGATCATACTCTTCATGATGTGAATCATTACAGGTAAATGATTTGTAAAAAAGCTTATTATCTCAAGCTAGTATCAACAAAGAATGGGAAGGCAGGAAACAGAAAACTATGTTGGCCTTTGGATCTGAGCCTTCTCATCTTGAATGAACAGTGACATGTCGTCACACTCTGCTAAGCCAACAGTATTCTTATGTGCAAAACGTCAGTGTTGGACTGATCTCTGGTCTCTAAAATTAGATGATTTTCTAATTCTCAGTCTGTCACCAAGTTCTCTTTTAAGGGATACTTGATATTTCTGCTAATTAGGAGACAATGATGCTCATCTTCATATGACCAAGATGTTTGCCAGTGCTCTTGCTTCTAGCCATCACTGGCTTTTGTCATAGTTAATATAAGAGGAGACTTACTAATAACACTGCTGCCTCTGGTGGAATATTCCTGGGGGCACACACACCCTTTCCAGATTCAGTTCTGGTGACCCTATCTTCCATGTACTTCTCTTTGAGATCTTGACATTAACAAACTCAGTAACATAGCCATATTTTCTATCCAGTAGTTGAATATTAGCAATGAAAAATCTCCTTCATATTAGATTGTTCATACGCAATAATCATAAAGTCATCCCAGCTTTATTTTGGCATTCAGCTCATCATTCCTTGAACTGATGTTCCTGCAGAACTGCAACTATTACCTAAGCCCAAACCTCGTGTTGAAGGAAGCATTCCCCTTTGGGAAATCAGGGCTTTACTAAAGAGGAAAGTGAGGCTGCAAAATACAAGGTTACATATTTCCAGCACATCAGCAGAAATCTCTCTACCTACAGAAATACATGCTGTAAGGAGTTTAATGGCAATTGTGAAATAATGCTTTGAAATATTAACATTTTAAAGGAATTTAAAATCCCAAAGTTCAACTGTATCATTCTAATCTAACAAAAATCTGATTAAATTAGTAGTAGCTTTTTGTTGTTTTCATAGGCATCCTTCACATTCCTGGCATGGAGGAGCAGCTTGAAAGCTTCAGTTACCACAGTATTATTTCAGTCTGTTAAGGGGAACTTTGGACACTGTTTACCTTACCTGCCCCGAGCCACAAATGCCAAAATAAAGATCAAGAGTTCAGAAATCCGGTTTCAACTGAGATTGCTCCCTTGAATTCCCATGGTCCTCAGCTGAGCTTCCTGCTTCTCTCCACTACCTGACATTGTCAGAAGCTTTTTATTCCTATTGTAAATAAGTCCAAAGACAAGTAGCTTTCAAACTGATCCCATGTAGAGGAAAAGGAGTAATAGCCAGCAGGAAGATTTCAACTCCTACAGACACAGAGGCGGCTTATGTGAACTGAAGAGAGTGCTGAAAAGCACCCCATCTTTTCCCTTGAACACACAGAATAAACTGTTGAAGGACATTTTCATCTCTTTTCTTGTACAGGAAAAGAAATAAGCTAGTAATAATCATTCAGGCAGAGAGGCAGATTTTTAAGAGCATCAGCAGATTAATTAAAAGGCCTTGTCAAATCATGTGATTGGTCTTTTATCTGATAAATGCCCTCAGTTTTTCATTAATTCATATGATCTTAAAACCTTTTTAAGAATCTTATAGGCCTGCACCAAACTGCAGTTAAAGGTGCCAGTATCCTCTGTTTATAACCTGCTTTCAACAAGAACCAAGAATACTTTTTTAAAAAGTAATGTTATTTTATTTATTATTTTTTTTTGAGATGGAGTCTCACTCTGTCACCCAGGCTGGAGTGCAGTGGCACAATCTTGCCTCACTGCAACCTCCACCTCCCAGATTCAAGTGATTCTCCTGCCTCAGCCTCCCAAGTAGCTGGGATTACAGGTGTGTGCCACCACACCGGACTAATTTTTGTATTTTTAGTAGAGACAGGGTTTCACCAAAAAGTAATGTAATGTTTAAATCTGAATTTATTAAGAAGCCTGCAGAACTACATTAAATGTTAGGCCTGCTGTAGAGAAAATTGATCAGATATTAATATTACTGTAACAAATTGATTTTAAAAGTGCTTCTTCATAGAAACATCATGGAAGAATAAAGAGTATTTTCTACTATCTTTCAAAAGGAAATTTCAATGGAGTAAAAACCTATATAACAAATAGCCCTTGATTAAGATTTAGGTATCAACATTTTTATTAAAAAGTAAATTTTAGAAAATAGAGATTTTACTGGCAAGTAAAATATCTCATTGGTTTCAGATTTCTTTTCGTCTGCTGATTAATGGTGCAGTGGCCAGCGCTCAGTTTCATGCCTAGATTCTAACACCAGTGATTTCTTGTAGGATAATGTGCTCATCAAATTTTACCAAAATAAGGTGTCTGACTTGGTAAAATATGATTTGGCTTCTCCAGAGGAGCCAAGAAGGAAGAAGTAGGAGAGGCACTGGGAGCACAGGGCAGGAATGGTGTGCAGGACAAAATGTCACTGGCTTCCAGGGAGGCTGATACTGAAACTGGCAGTGCGATGTCTCACAGGCTAGAGTCTGAGAGTGGAGCTAAAGTTAGAATTTGACATTCCAGATAGAGGAGCAAAGGGGACATAAAAAGCTTTTACTACAAATGAAAAACAAGTTCGAAAGTTACATATGAAACCCATTCTGAAGAAGTCAGTTTTCTCATTAGGGTCATGAAAATAGAAAGTTTCATAAAGCTCTAATATCATGGGATATAGCTTCTCCACATGTGCACTCACGTATTCTCACACACTTGTATTACCCTTCTACTTTAATGGACAAAAAGGTGCTTTATTTTTTAAAGGATTGATTAAATATGTAAGGTCAAATTTAAGGTAAGACTTAAATTTAAGGTAAGACTTAAGAAGAGCTTGAGTAGAAGGTAAGAATCTGAAAAGATATGAGATCTTATCTAATTTTTGTAGTCATAGGTCACCTCTAAAGAAATGCCCATCTGTAGGTGGCATGGAGAGATGTCACTTTGTTTATTTAGCAATGTTAAACAAACCAGCAAATACTTATTGAGGAATATGACCTTAGTCTTAATAAGAACCAAGTAACTTAGTCTTGAGAGTCTGGAGAAATACACATGGAAAAACAGCAAAAATACAAAACAACTATAAGTGCTAAACTGTATGGCCTAGATACATAAATATTAGTAATATTTATAAATATAGATACATAAATATTAGTTCCATACAGTTAGTTCAAAGTCTGCCCAATAAAAAAACAACAAAGAGTAATCAGTATTATCAAACACATAAAATCAAGCCAAACTTGCATGATCATTTCAGTCCCCAAGGAGCTTAACTCCGAATGCTGAAGACTTAAAACAAGTACTCAATGAGCGTAAGGCTTTGTAAAGGTCTGATCATTGAAAAGAGAGAGAGAGCTCACATTTTGTTGAATGTGATCAGGAAGAATAGGGCAAAGTGGCATTTGATATGAATTTCAAAGGAGATACTCCAAGCAAAGACAAGGAATCAGGGCATATAAGTGAAACGTGCGTTTGAGGAAATACAGGTTATGGGTAGGGAGGCTGTGGGGATAAATGTTGGAAAGGTGGAATGCAGCTAGATTGCTCAAGGCTTTAAATGCCAGGAAAAGAAGAAGCTTAACTAATTTGGTAGGCAAACCAATGCTGATTTCTGGGCACAAACGTCTTTAGAGAATGCCATTTTTAAGTTCTAATTTTCAGAACGTATGTATTTTTTTTTTTTTTTTTTTTTTTGAGACGGAGTCTCGCTCTGTCGCCCAGGCTGGAGTGCAGTGGCGCAATCTCGGCTCACTGCAAGCTCCGCCTCCCGGGTTCACGCCATTCTCCTGCCTCAGCCTCCCAAGTAGCTGGGACTACAGGCGCCCGCCACTACGCCCGGCTAATTTTTTGTATTTTTAGTAGAGACGGGGTTTCACCGTTTTAGCCGGGATGGTCTCGATCTCCTGACCTCGTGATCCGCCCGCCTCGGCCTCCCAAAGTGCTGGGATTACAGGCGTGAGCCACCGCGCCCGGCCCAGAACGTATGTATTTTTAGGTCAAATTAAATTGCAAGTAAGAAACCTAAAGCTGATCCCTTTCCCCATTTTCTCAGAGAATTTCTACTGAACCATTACCCACATCATACTATCAACAGTTATACAGGCCAGGCCACTACATGAACTCTATGTATGGCAGCCCACAGAGAGGCTTTTAGTATAAGGTAAAATATACTGGTATGAGTGGACCAGCGCAAACCCACGGTCCACGTCTACACAATGCGCCCCTTTCTCAAGTTGCTCATTTTGAGGCTGAGGTCACTATCCCTGGCACTAGAGACTAGAAGCTCCAGGATTCTTCCCCAGATTTCAGCCATTTCACCCTCTCCCCAAGACTTGCAGGTGAGAACTCCATACTTATGGCCACTCTCCCCAGTCCAGTCCTCTAGCTTTCATCTACACCAATAACATCCCCTATTACCACTTTCCAGAGGAGGATGCTCCTTCCCCGGCAGCTCCCTGAAAAGAGTCCCGTCCAGAGAAAGCCCAGAAGGCCAGGTGTGGCACCAAAGGAAGCCTCCAGCAATTACAGACAGAGAGGAACTCACATTCAGGCACCACATAACATTCGTGCAGACTGTGATACTAACAGAATATTGTTCTTTATGAGTTGCTTTCTTTATATTTCCCAGGTTAATCCCAAAATATACTTTGCTTTCTAGGTACACTCTAGTATCAGAAGGATCCCAAATCAGTTTGAAGAATGCACAGTATTTACTTCAGGGATTCAATCATATGACCACAGTAGAAATAAAAGAATGGAATAATTTTTGGAAAAAAAAAGAAGCAGGAAAAGATTTCTGTGAGGTTTTTAAATAGTAGATTTTAACACAATTCTGCGCAATTTTAAAGTTGATGTACATCTTTTCATTAAAATTTGGCTCCTTCTACACTTTTGTAAAGTTCTTCCATGAGCTGTCATACAAATGTAATCTAGAAGAAATGAAAATGGAGAACGATCCTCCTCATGCAGAATGCGAAGAGAAACTGCAGGAAACAGGACTCGCATTAGTTTCACATTTATATGCTTCTCATGTCAAATAATTTGGTCATAAAAAGCTTATGAGTATTAATATTTGGGTAAGAACACACCCTTGGGAGGGAGGGGACAAACACAGGTAATTTGCTATTTGTCAGAATTACGTAATGGTTTCAGGGTGGGAAAAAAAAAAACGCAATCTGAAAAATGATGGTGTCTTTACGAGTTGCCAAGCAATTTCATTATTCTGTTTCCAGGTATGCAATTCTAACATGCCCAAACATTTGACAGTGATTTCTGACACTCCTTTTTAATAGTGTCTACATGTCTGATAAACTAGAAATTTAAAAACACAATTCAGAAAAAAATTGGTTAGGAAAAATGTTTTCTTTTGAAGAGCAGAAGAATTTGGAGATGTTTGGCTTGATTATCTTAACTGTGTAGAAACCAGATGCCTGCTAATATTTCAGATGTTTCCATGTACAGACTGCCCATTAGTGCCCTACACTGAATGATGGCAAGACAGGCTGGACGTGTACCTTTCTCCAGGGGCCTTTCTCTGCCTTTGCTTCATACTCAGGTAAGCTGAGAAAAAGGAATTTGCTCTCTCTGAATAGACCTGTCAGGGAGAACTTTGGTAGTAAAGGGATAGGTCCTAACTGGATATGATCTGTGTTGTGTTTTGTATAGTGGTGTATCCTCCAATCCTAATCCACCACCTGACACATTGCAGGTACTCAATAAATATCTGCTGACTGCAGGAATAAATAAAGCAATGTGTAGAATATCAAAATGATATCTAAATGGTAACTTTCCTCAAAATCACCATCTTCTTCTCCGTCTGAATCCTATCCATATTAAAATCCTAGTTTGAATAGCATTTCAATTCAATTCAACTTCATAAATATTTATTGACCATCCACTAAATTTGAATGACTGTTTGGCCAAAGACCCAAACAAGGGTAAGACAAAAAGCTTTTCTAGATGGAAATAATCTTTCCTTTCTTTGAATACAGCACTTATTACTTGAAGTATTACTGTCCCTCTTTCGCTGCCTTGAATTTTAATGTTACAGATGTCTTACACATGCAATGTACATGCACAAAACACTGCAACTTCTTTTTGCCTTGATCAAACTTTTTGTCTAAAATGTCCTTTCGTCCTCTTTTATACTTGAATAACTTCTCATTCTTAAAAGCTTAGTCAAAACATCACCTCCTCTACGAAGCTTTCCTGTTTCCAACACAAAATTGTTTCACTATACTGGATACAGAAATCTAACAGGGATTTGACTTACATTTTAATTAGTTCTCTCTCCTGGCTGACTGGTGAGTAAATCTTTAAGACTGGGGATGATGTTCAATTCATCTTTCTACTTCACTAGCACAGTGTCTGCTACCATACCCACTGGCAGATCTAGAATGGCTATATGGAAAAAGTTCAGGAGCTGCAATCTGGCTGGAGTTGGGAAACCAGACATGGGAATGAAGGGATAGAGCTGGATGGGAAATCGGTGTCTACTCTTAAATGTTGCATTAGTAAGTCCTTTTACGTAAGACTAAGAAACCATCAACTTTTCATATTAAAGAAGGGGTTGGAGAAGTACTGATGGAGCCTCTTAGCATGGCTACTGCAATACAGGTTTATTGAACTGGATTAAATACATGGAAAACAGTGATAACTTGATAAGTAAATCCTTTGTGGGAACCAAGCTTGTAAGAAAATTATCCTAGGAGATGTTGTAATTTCCTCAATAGCATAGAAAGGAGGAAATAAGGATGTGTAGTTCTCTCAGGTACAAGCTTGTTCAAAAGCTAGCCTGGGATAAAAATAAGAAAAGGACCATATTCTTGGGATTCAAATGTAGACAGTGCAGAGACATGCACATGCAAATGTCTAAGGAGGCATCATCCTGGTTGTTGTTTCACTGGCCAAGAATTATCCTGAGAGAGCTGCAAAGTTCCTCCATGGCAGGTGGCAAAATTTCAGAGCCACCTCATCTTGCTTGGAGGGAAAGAAGTTAGAGGAAGAAAAGGAACAAGGAGAACAATCAGAGAGAACAGGCGGCTCTTTCCCCACTCTACTTGCAGCAGGTGGAGAAGGAAGAACTTCATAAGACTAGGAGCAAATGTCTCTGTCTCGTTACTTTTGGTAAGAAAGTTCTTGATGATGATACCATTGGGACACACCCTTGTCATTAGTAGAATTACCAGATATGTCTCATTTCTTCAAGTAGAATGTAAAGGATGGAGATAAAGACTTTCTTTCTTTTCTTAGAGGAGATGCTTAAAGGACTTCTGCTAAATGGATATGGAAAGAATCAGAAACACATCCACATGGGCAAACACACAGTGAACCCTTCGTTGCATCCACAGCTGCCACACATACAGCAATGAGAGTACTGGGCTATGATCCAAGGACACCTCAATTCTCATTATCAGCTGTGAACATGGCTTCTTGGAGCTTTTAGCCTCATAAAATAGGAATAAAATATTCCTATTCTTCCTCATGGGGTTGTTATATGAATTAAAAGAAATAATACATATAAAAACACACTGAAAATGGCAGAGAGAGAGAAATAAAAGCTGAGGCATTATGACATCATTATACCCCTAATGTATAAAACTATATAGTATGTAACCGGTTAAGATAATCAGAGCTATAAAAATGAATGGGCTTGAATTGGACTGTTTCAGATGCAAAACATGAATCTCCAAAATGCATGTTTTAGATTCAAAGGACAAGGAACCAAAGAATAAAATGAGGTCCTTGGCTTCCTACCAGACAAGAAAGGGTATGAACACATTTCTAAGATCCTCCAGTTCATCTGTGGAAAAACATTTGAGGGTTTCTGTAATTCTTAAGTCTTTCCTCAGATAAACATATGAGGTGCTTAAGTAATCATAAATTCATTTATAAAAGGAAATGACTATTTTTCCCCAAATTTACACTCTTCCTGTTAAAGTCTTTAGATAATCTAAACTGAAAGGGAGAAAAGAAAAAGAAAAAGTATCATGGTAAATACAAAATAGTGTTTTATAAGGAACATATCCATCATATAAAGTGATTGACATGTTTTTAAAAATTCAAAATAACTTTCAATATGTTGAAAGATAAATCTTTTTCTTGTTAAGATACTGGTTTTTATTGATCTTGGTGAATGATTTCAAAATAAGCATATCATTATGTACTTTAAAAGAAAGCAACTTATCATATAACAGAGACAAAATCAGAAGAGAAATGGCTCTAAAGGTTTCTGTAATTAGAATTATGAATTATAAATGAGTCTTAAAACCTGTCATGTCCTTGGACTCCAGCAAGTTTTCTCACAACCTTTGTCAAGATCCCTGGGGCTATGGAGTTAGGGCTCCAGTCACTGAAGTTAATGAAATCAATGATGAGGCTTTAGAGACTCCTTAGTACTATGTTCAGTATCACTCTCATTAACTGTATCCAACTTAGATTTCTTTTGATGACCCATCCCTTGGTACAACAGTTTTCATCTCTAGGCTCACAACCACCCACCTATTCATGGCTTGGGGGCAGGTAAATCTCAGCAGGGTCTTACTATAGTAGGGTAGATACAATAGCATTTGTGAATTAGTGATATACTCAATAAGAACCTCAAAGACTGCACTCAACTATGACATCTGGGAATTTCTCACATATGGGGAAAAAAATATGAGATTCCCACTAATGGTACTGCTTTGTACCAATTGTGTGTGTGTGTGTGTGTATGTGTGTGTGTGTGTGTGTGTGCGCGCGCGCACGCGCGCGTATCTGTGAGAGAGAGAGAGAGAACTTATTGAGACTTCTCAAAGGCAATTATTAATCCTGTTTCTAATATGTCACTGATTCACTTATTCCTGTTAAGGCACTATATAAAGTTAACTGTGATCACATGTTCCTTGATTTTTTGTTCAGTATATATATTGTTAGTCTTCAATAAAACAATGGCATTCCAGGTGATCTATTTTTCCCTAAGCCTGTTTTTCTAATTTCCCCTTATTTATGGTGTTCGTCACTAACCAGGAGAGACTCCAGCAGAAATGGGTAATAGGATGTAGGGATATATCTGTAGGTCTGTTCCTGTGATAAATACTAATGCAGTCACATGACATCTACCCAGTTAGAGACCCAAGCAGTTATCACTGAGGTTTGGCTTTAGTATTTAAAAGTATCTGGTGCATTCCTCCCAAAGAAGTGGCCAATTCTATGGTTTCCTGAGAATATCCCACACGCATGCCTAGTTCCTTCAAACAAGTAGAGTAATAACAATTCTCACATACTCATGTGATGAGATCATCAAGAAAATCCTTTATATTTCTTTAGAGATGACAATATGCTTCATGTACTTAAGGGCTGTACCCACTAAAGCACATGCATTTTACTGACTAGAGTCCCTGTGTCATAAGACAAAGGCCCCCCTAGCCTGGGGAGTCTGTCAGGGTAAATGAAACTAAGTACCCCACACATTATCCTACATACACACTTGTCACTCCATCTGACTTAAGAGGGAGGGGGACATTTCTGAGGTGTTTCCCAAACGATGGCCATTCTTTCATCCAGAAGCACCCAGCCACTCCCAAAGAATCTGAGTAAATCTCTCTACTGACTCCCTATGTCCCTACCTCCCTTCATTTACTTCCTTCTTTGTATGCTCAAAGCACTTGCAAACCAGCACTTACCACAGTGTGGTCTCTGGTCTTTTGTAGGACAGTACTCTGCTGTACTGAGCTATTTGAGGGCAATGACTATGTTTTATTTATCGCTGGGTCCCCAGGGCCTAGCCCAAAGAAAGGCTCAAAATATGCCTATTAAATAAAACTAAATTGATTATAGAATTGAATGTAGTTAAGGACATAAACGAAGATGTGGCTGGTTGCTTTCAAAGATATATCATCCATATGTGTAAAAAAAATTATAGAGCAGTTTGGTAAATGAAAGTGAATGCATACACACTTTTCACCACCATGGTATTCAGCATTACAAAAGACAGTAAACAAACAAAAAGTCCCAAGAAAAACAGAAACAGCAATTTACGTTCATCTTCGGGAGCAAAGTGTCAAGATGTAAATGAACAAATTTGGAGGGAAAAAAAACCTACTGTATTATCTATCCTGCTCCAAAAATAAACTCCCTTTCAACCAGTGCATTAGTAGAGACACTAGAGTATATTACCATATATTACTGCCTGAAGCAATTGAACATGAGGCTAGACCCCTCCCCACCATTATCCAACTCTTTTTTTTTTGTCCCCTTCTTCTCCAATTAGTTGATATGCTGAGACCATGTAAACTTTTAAAATTAGCATGAGTCAAATAATTAGAGAAAAAAACTGTCAGCAAAAAAACCAAAAAGACTCTATGTAATATATCACAAGTATGAATAATATTCCATTACAATTACCTCCCTAACAATAGTAATATAATCTAAGATGACCTAACTTTCTTACAGCAAATAACAGTCAATGATTTTATAAAGCTAAGTAAACTCTTATGCTTACAGACACTGAAAGAATATCCTTACTTGGTTTCAATACCAGAGAGCCAATAAGAGAAGCCCTACTAAATTTAGACTCTGAGCAGATTTCATCGGTAACCTGTCCTGACAGAGGTCTCTGTGGATGGAAGAGAGGAGGCACAGGGACAACACACGAGGCTGGGATCAACCTATCTAACAGGCACAAATCTGCGGCCAAAAATGGTCACAAAGAACACTCTGCTGGGCTCAGGAATGATGGCCATCAGGGTGGGGCCCGGAGCACCTGCACCACGGGTCCCAGGGCCATCTGATGGCTACACCTGTGTGAATGCCAGAGTGTACTCTAAATACTTGCTCCTTCCACATAGCCATCACGTAACCAGAATTGCAAATGTGACTACAATATCATTAGCCAAATTCAGAAGCTCTCCTGGAAGAACAAAATACCAGTGACTTGATCCAAGACAAAGCTCGCACCAATTTGGGGAAGCACAAATTGAAACTGAATCAAATCCTGATCATTTTCTCTTTCTTTTTTTTAAAGCAAGTCAAGAAAATATCTCAATTTTCCATCTAAAAATGGTTTAATTCAAATGACATTTTATTAAAATACTAAAATGCTCAGGAAAATAACAGCTTTCAGTGACAGACAGTGACAGTCCAGGATATAGTGACAGTCCAGGCAGTGCCAGCCCTACATGCAGACTGTATTTAACATTTGCCCCAAGTCAGGTGTCTGCTCGGCTAGTGGAGGGGTGGGGAGGAGGGAGGCAAGGTGCACAAAGAGAAAAGGGCAGGCTGCACTAGCCTTGTGAGGATGGGAGTCAAGGCAGGCACTCAGTCTGCCAAGCAGCAAGAATGACCCAGCATTGGACCCAGTGATTTTGCTGCTTAGCTCCAGCCTAGGGCAGAGGATCAAGACACAGAAAATTAATGTCACAAAGAAGTCTCAAAGGAGGCTTGAGGTGAGGAGTGAGGGAGAGGAAAAGAAGGAAAATATGTACTTTCAAGGAAAAGATGTACTTTCTCCCACTCCACCCTACTCCTCCCTCCCCATTTCCTTTTCTTCCCCTCTAAGTCCCCTATCTTCTCTATCACCTCCACTAAGGTATCTAAAGTTGCTAAAGCTTTTAGAGATTTTTAGCACCATGCTGTCCATTCACCCTCATTGCTACCTTATAAAAGATTTAGTAAATTAGTTTGAGCTAGTACTAAAGCAAAAAATGAAAAAAAAATTCCCTATCACCCCCCTGCCCAAGCTGTATAACTTTTGAATTAAAATATAAAATATCTATAAGCTGAACCAATCTGATACTACATGTGGTTCAACCTTCTCACTCCACCATGGAAAATCTACAATTATTCATTTCAAAATAGATCTAGGTGAGCAATAGATTGCTGAATTATTATAGGTAGTATTCACATTCATTGATAGCCCACTCTCCATTTATATAGCTCACCTTTTACTTGAAACTTAAAGGTTGTTTGTCACAAGAAATAAATGAAAACCAGATACCCATATAATTACATGACCCAGATTTAATGTTCAAAGAAAATTTTCATGAGGTTATATTCTTGGGATAAAATAACAGGAGATAACAGTGAGTCATTTTCACTGTTTTGCAACTTACTACAAACATATTTCCAAGTGTTCTACTTTCTCACGCCATCTTTCCTTTAAAGAGCTTTTAAAAATGCCTACCTGGAAACAAATTAGATGTTACATAAAGGCAGAAAATACTGAGTAAAACACAACACCAATGTGAGGCAATCTTTTAGCTCTTCACAAATTAAAGAAAAGCTGGTGTTAGTTTTAATACTGAGCTGGAGGGAGATCTCTTAGCTGGAAAATTTTAAAAACAGAAATAGGAAATAATGCAATAGGAAAAAAATTCAAAATGGGAACCACCAGGATTGGAGCGTAAGTCTTCAGGAAAGAGAGTAAGAAATGATGTTGACATTTTAAATCATTTTAAATATGAGAAAGTATTTCCTGTATGTTTTTCCTGGGCATACTGCTAAAATAAAATCCCACACAGTAAACTAAAAAAATTGAAATAAACATTGAAGAAAATATTACATAAGAAATCTGACTACTCATAAGTATGAGGAATATAAGTCACTTAAGTCAACAATACTTGGCTTTGTTCCTATCCTAATAGCACTGTCCTAGCTGCCTTAAATATTTTCTAGAACAATGAAGGGTATAAATAAATAATTTCATAAATAAATAAATAGAAAGATAGCTTCTTCCTGCTAAATGCTAAAGACAAAAGTCACAGATTAAATTATGAACAAGGAAACTTCCAAGGACGTTTGGATAATTTAACCTCATTTTTGTTGGTCTGGGGTAAAATGTACTGCAAGCTCTAGGCTGCAGCACAAAAGTACTTAAACTTGTACTTGTTAAACTCAGATTTCTAGGCTATACTCAGAGGTACCGATTTAGAAGGTCATCTGCTTTTTTTCAGCAGCTCCCCAGGAAATTATAAAAGAATAGAGTCTATAGTTTATACCTTGAGAAAACTGCTACCTAAAATAAAAGACCTGTTTCTCTACTATGGAGATTAACTTCCTTTTTTTTTTCTAGCGAGAAACATATTTCAGAGCAGAAAGGAAACTTTAAATCCACTTCATTCTTCTGAACCATCAATCCTGTAATTTTAGGCAGCCAGTAAGTTATCCTAATGGTAATTATGTGTATCTGTTTGATAGTGATCAAAATTGCTTCTACAGGTTTTTTTGTGTTTTTAAATCAAGCCACGCTTGATGGCAGTGTAGCTACAAAGGCCATAAATGTACACCAATGCTTTAAGATCACCATATATGAATCCTTTACAAATGTCCCTTAAAATTTTGTTGAATTTGCTTTATGAGAAATTTCAAAGATCTGCAAAGATTATGTATATTGCTTATAAATACATTTACTACAGTATCTAAAAATTACAATTTGTTCTTATTTCATTTGCTACCAAAAACTCTCCAAGTGTATTTCAGCATAGGAAGTTCCTCATGGTTTCCTTTAACATTTAAGACTCATGCCTGGGGATTTTCTCTGTGAGCCTTTTCCTTATCCCCTTCCTTCCTATGTCTCTTTTTCTTGATAACCAACCTTGTTTCCCTTATCCAAATGCACATATACCCACTTTGTGGGTAAGATACACATTTTTGTCTTTGCCCCTTAGCAGTTGCAAATTGCAGTTCATTCATCTCCAAAATGAGTATTTCTGAAGGAAAACCATGCATTAGGCATTGTGAAGAAATAGACAATTTCACAATTACAATACAAAGGGGTATGTGTTATCAACAAAGTGATTGCTAATAACAGAAACTGTTTTTGGTTTCTTTTTTGGCAGCAAGTTAAAAATAAAATATTAGCTCAAGAATGCACAGCAAGAACAGCACAGTAATATTTGGGTATGTAGAGATCTGAAGTTGCATAAGCTGCAATACAAGTTGTTTCTGAAAGTAACTTTTAGAGACATTTCAGTAGATCAACAATATACATGCCTGGTACATCATCATCGTAGTCTAAGTCAGCTTTTCTCTATCTTGTATTGAAGGGCAAAGGAGTGGTTAGCTAGCACCCACTACTGACCTCATAAATCACAAGACTTCATGTCTGAGACCTAGGCATAGATTTGTGAGTGAGGCAACGCCTAAGTTCTGGCCAACCTTACTGTCTTCCTCGTGGGAAAAATGATCACAGGGAAAAGGATGTCAATCATACTCAAAGTTAGTGCTCTAGGAGTATTCTGATCAAGTCCAGACCTGGTGAAGGGAGAATATTTACACTGGTGGGTGTTGGACTCAGACAACATCTGAAAGTGACTACTGGGGGCTTTTGAAATTCTAACTGCACTGTATAAAATCTTTATACTTGACCCTCTGGGAAAAAGAGCAATGTTGACTTCTTCCTACCTATTCTGACTCATGAAATTTCACACAAATACATTTCAGTGGTATTTTCTAATACCATTTTCATGTTGAAGCCAAAGGGAAAGAAGAAATCTCTTATCTATTTGTTTACTGGAAGGAAACATTCCCTGTTTCCAAAGGAGGACTGCTTATTTCTTTCATAAATACTCAGACCTAAGAATGAATTAATTTACTAGCAGCATATTTTTTGTTTTGTTTTGTTTTAGAGACAGGGTCTCACTGTGTCACCTAGGCTGTTGGGCAGTGGTACAATCATAGCTCACCACAGCCTCAAACTCCTGGGCTCAAGCGATCCTCCCATTTTGGCCTCCCAAAGTGCTAGGATTACAGGCGTAAGTCACCACACCTGGCCTAGCAGCACGTTTTTTAAAACATCCTCCTATTTTGTCATTGAAGTCAAATATTTTTATTTTTTAAAGAAGTTTAACTCAATATATATTCCTTGCAGACCTACCTCATACCAAGTAGAGGCAACTACAGGCATTCAACAAAGAACAAAACGCAGTCCTGTCCTCAAGGACTCTCAGCACCTTCAGGGCTAGAAGGAGTTAGACATCCTAACACGACGTGGCAAGTGTCATTTTGGAGGATGAGCACAGTGTTTCAGGAACACCACGGAGCCTGCGAGGCTGGGGAATGCTTCCCAGAGCAGGTGGCAGGTGAACCAGATTTTAAAGTATGAGCAAGATTTTCCCACAAATGAAAAGAAGGGGAAAGATCTCAGCAAAGGAACCATGAAAAAAGCTATGGGATACAAAAGGGAAAGAGTCTTTAGGGAACAAAGATTATATTGTGGGTCTGAGGTATAAGGGAGAGAGATGTGGAGGGTGGAATTGAGACTAATAAGGACCTCATTAGTCTATGAAAAGAGTTTGAAGTTTATCCTGTAGTGAGGACAACGTGGAGCCCTAGAGGTTTTAAAGGAGGAGTGTTGTAAGAACCAATTGGTGTTTTCAGGAGGCAAGTGTGATGGCAGATGGGATGACAGAGAAGAGGCTAGGAGCCAGTGAAAGGCATTACGAAGCTCAAGCAAGAGACCTTTCCAATACGTGTCCGTGTGGCTCTGCTTGTGCTCCTGGATGCTCATAAACACTTTTCCCAATACGTCCTTTAGTTATATCTGAGTTTTTCCCCCTTTAATTACATGCCAATAGCAATATATACTTTTTCCTACCCAAAATATAGCAGCTGTGGTTCATAAAATCACATTCCACATGACAGACTGTAAATATTTAGGTAAACACTTAAAAGAATATGTCTTACCTGAACAAAGCTGTTCCACTTTTGTGTAGTTTAAAGATACTATGTCATTAACCCATGCAATGATGTCATGTCTGCTCATAGTCTCTTGGGTTATCGAGGTAGAATACACATTGACCGCCATTCCCCAACTAGAAAAAAAACAAAGTTTATTTAACAACAAGGAAATTAACTCAGAAACACAAAAGATACCTATTCGAGGTCAAGATCCTGGCAGGACTCCAGGGCATGTAAAAGTCCTGCTCTGGCTAAGCCCTTTAGCATCTTTTTCTATTTTACATATTTGCATTAAAATTATTAAATTTCACATATTTTTCATGCAGTACCATTTTATATCTCTCCAACTAAATCCAAATGTTCCTCAGGTTCTGAGATTCCTAATTTATAACACAATTTAGAGTCTCCCTTTTGACTGTAAGTCTACGTGTGATATTAAAAAGTTACCAGGTTTGTAGCAGTATACACCAGAGTAATCTGTTAGTTTCATACATTATTTCAGTACTCACTACAAAGACTTGGAAACGTTAGTGTTTTGGGGTTTGGCCATTCTAGTAGGTGTGCAGTGATAAAGGATTCTTTTTTTAATATTTAAACCTGGATGAAACTTTGCAATTTTACCTAGTTTGTGGAATATATATATATTGATATATTGTATATGTATGTTTATGTATATATTGTAGCTATGTATTAACTTCTATTTTGGAAACTTTCAAATACATGCAAAAGGAGAGAGAAGAGAATAACAAACCAGTTAGGTTTACCCCTTGGATTCAAGAATTATCAATACTTGACCATCTTGTTTGATTTATACTCCTATCAACTCCCCTTGTGTCAATCCCATCCTAGCCTACCAAGCCAGATTATTTTGGAGTAAGTGCCAATAATCACATAATTTCACCTATAAGTGTTTCAGTGTGTCTCTGAAAAATAATTTTTAAAAAAAACAGAATATTATCACACCTAAAAATGAAAATAATTACTTATATCAAATATGCATTTCAATATATTATAATACAAATTTAACTTCAGATTGCTTGAATCTGGATTCATATAAGGTTCATACATTATGATTCTTTGATACATTCTTTAAATTTCTTTATAAAGTTTCTTCTCTATTTCTAATCTTTCCTTGCAATTAAAAAAAAAGTTGTTGTTGAAGGAACTAGGTTGTCTGATAGTTTCCACATTCTGGATTTTTCTCATTGTATCACACTGCTGTGGTTTAACATGTTCCGCTGTCCTCTGCATCCCTACAGACTGATAATTCCATCTAGAGCCTTGATCTTATTCAAGTTCTAATGGGACGGGGATTTGATGCCATCTAGCACAACTCTGGGCTTTGACACCTAATCCTCCATCAATACACTGCCTGGTAATGCAAAAGCTTTCCATTACTGCCTGAAGAAGAAACCAATAGAACAGCCCATCAGCTGCCAAAGGTTATGCCAGTATATGACAATTGCATCAAACAGACTATTTCACGCCGTGTTTGAACTTCCATCAGAAGGCAGATAACTATTACCTCTGACTGCCTGCTTCCATGATATTGTTAGCTCTGATATTTGCCTAGATCCAATAATTCACTAAAACTTCAAATATTCTATTATTCATTCTTGATTTATTAGCTGGAATAATTCTACAAAGAGAAGTTTCCCCCTGAGGTACCCTGAGATACAGGTCATCGAGGAAAGGCAGGAGAGGTGCCTAACTCTTTTTCTCTATTTGCCAGTTTTCAAAGTGATGAGTAGTTCCCTAATATTCTCCAAACATGACCAATGAAGTTTTTGTTCTTATATTTTGAAGTATAATTATGAATCCATGGACTTAAACATATTTGATATGTTTCAATCCATTGAAATTATACCTTTATTGATAAAAGCTTGCAAGAGCTTATTCAAGCTAGCCTCTAAGTTCTTTTGACACAGTCTTAGTGGTCTTTGATAACCTTCTTCTTTTCCAATATGACGAGATGTTCCAAGGCCAACTTGTATATTTCTTGCCTCAGACCTAAAACCAGTAATTTCTCCAAGCGCTCCTGATTCCTTTTAGTGAAAAATGGTATTTACAGATATAGAAGTAATATTTTTAAACATGACTAGATATAATAGCAAAATCTATAGTATATAGGTTTTAGACAAAAATCTACATTTTATGAAATAGTTGTGTTTGGAGTTCCTATTTATGCTCATGAAAGCAATAAAAATCTGTTTTCTACTTTAAAGTGCTAAATGAAGGTTTCATTTAGAAATAAATGTAAAAATAAATATCTATCACTCCATTCCCAGAAGCACCCTTATCTCTAAATTGTCTTCTCGTAAGGATCTGAAAAATCTCACAGCATAGGAATCTCAGATAGTGTGACCATAATTACTGCTTTGTACACCATTATTGAAGGTTTTTTACTTTTTGGTTAATAACTTCCACTGTTTTCTTTAGTCTATCATTTATTAAACGAAACCATTTGCTTTTTAAATGTAGTCAATTTTTAAAATCATCTATGTAAATTATGTATAATCTTAGTAAGGGTAAATAATTCAAAATTTAAAATATTTTGGACTGATGAAATGATCATATACTGGCATAACTTTTGGCAGCTGATGGGCTTTTCTAGCGGTTTCTTCTTCAGGCAGTAATGGAAAGCTTCTGCATTACCGGGCAATGTACTGATGGAGGATGTGGTGTCGAGGCCCAGGGTTATGCTAGATGGCACCAAACCAAATTGAGATGAAATTTTTAATCAAGATGATTTAAAAAAAATCTAAATGCAAAGCAGAAAAGACACAAACAGATCTGTGTTTTAGAAAAATAACCCATACACAAGTGAGTAAAAACGTTCTGTGGTTACATAAGAGAAATTAATATACAACAGAAGTACAGGTAGAAGAGTAATGACAGCTTTTTAAAAATCCATATAAACAAGGAAGCAGGTCATTTGCTGCAGTTTGTCAATAAATCACACTTTCCTCCAGGTCTTTGCTGATAACATTCACTTAAGGACAACAATTGTCCTTTCATAATGTAAACAGACATTCAGCTCACAAAGGTAAGTCAAGGCACTATCTGCCTTCAAGCAGTTCATTAAGATGATCAGGTAAACAATGAAAACAGCACCAGATCTGGGCTTTAGAAAAATTCTGGGTACTTAGTTACCAGGCATACCACTCAAATCTCCACCATTGCTAGCCAACACAGCTGTAGTCCTCACAAGCCCTGTGGCAGGGGCTACCATGTGTTAAGGGACCTGTGGGATAACTAGTTTAGAAGACAGATTAAGAATAAGTGAACCAATGAAGGCAAGAAATTTTTCACCATTTCCTAAAATAAAATAACAACACATTAAATGAGTAGACTTCAATACCTACTTCAAATTAATAACAATGAAATCAATATAGTTAATTTCTATTTAACACCCCTGCTGATGGGAATATTCTTATAATCGATCTTCCTCTTTCCAAATTTCAGCAAGGTACTTCTAAGCGCACTTCACTCTGTGGCTGTCTTTGCTCCCAATGTTTGCCCCGAACCCAAACAAGCCAGCTTTTCCGATTTTAGGCCTGAGAGTTCTGAGTCTGGACTCACTTTCCCTGGAAGGGGAACTGTCCTGAACCTCCCGCAAGTGAAGTGTCAGCCAAAGTGGAAAAAGGATTCTATTCCTGCACTGCCATCCACCCTTTTGTTTTCCCAATTCTTTCAGCTCCTGCTTTTTCTACAGGTATGCTTTCCATATAGTTAAACTTAAATGATACAAGTGGCTACAACATTCACAGAACATTTATATATTTTTTCCAAATGTTAAACTCAGGTGAGAGAGTATTAAATTGTCCTAGTCCCTAGGTGGATACATTCTAAAATCCTAAGATTTCATTATGATTTCTGGGGTCTCAATCTATATGACAATATAAAGGTAAAAGTACTTGTCCCTACCTAGTCTGCAGAAATGCTGTGTGGATAACACAAGGAAATTTTATATCTTTTTAGAGATAAAGTGGTTCTATTGACCCTTGGAAGAATCCTGGGAGGAAAGCAGGGCAGGAATCATACTCTTCCCTTACAAAAGTGGACACAAACTTCAATTCACGACTGCTAGTCCTTAGGGATATTACCAATTACATCAACATCCTATGGAAGGTAGGAATTATACAATTCAAAAAGCTAATTTTTAATTCATGGAGTACTTCCCAAAGACTCAGTCAAGAAAGATAAATGGTTATGAAAGGTAAGGTCATACTAACTATTACAGAACAAGGAGCAACTCACTGTGCGGGGTTTATTCTCATGTTTGGATCTTCAGCATGTCTTTTACATGGAAACAACAGTTTATTCTTAGGTGACTTGCCACATGGCCTCTGGGACATGAGCATCTCTCTGTCCCATCCTTGCAAAGGAGAAAGTCAAAGCGCTGTCTCCCACTTTGTGGCTTTCAATTGGAATCTCAACCAGATCACTGTGTTGTTTAAGACCTGGTCAGTGCAGGCCAGGCGCGGTGGCTCATGCCTGTAATCCCAGCACTTTGGGAGGCCGAGGCGGGTGGATCACCTGAGGTCCGGAGTTCGAGACCAGCCTGGCCAACATGGCGAAATCCTGTCTCTACTAAAAATACAAAAATTAGCCAGGTTTGGTGGCATGCGCCTGTAGTCCCAGCTACTAGGGAGGCTGAGGCAGGAGAATCGCTTGAACCCGGTAGGCAGAGGTTGCAGTGAGTTGAGATTGGGCCACTGCACTCCAGCCTGGGTGACAGTGAAACTCCGTCTCAAAAAAAAATAAAAAAGATAAATAAATAAAAATAAAGATCTGGTCAGTGCAACAGCACAACAAGCAGGAGATAAGGGAGGAACACTTTCCTAGCACTGCAGTCCCTGGGTCACCACACTTTAATATTGTATTTAAATTTTATTTTAAAACAAATTTGCATTTATTGCCCCTACTTGAAAATAAACTAATAATCACAATATAGTTACACACTTTTTACATGAATATTAGAATAGCTTTCTTGGAAGGTGGGAATACACTTTTTGTTTTTTTTTTTTTGAGACAGAGTCCTACTCTGTCGCCCAGGCTGGAGTGCAGCAGCGCGATCTTGGCTCACTGCAACGTCTACCTCCCTGGTTCAAGCAATTCCCCTGCTTCAGCCTCCCAAATAGCTGGGATTGCAGGCACATGCCACCACGCCCAGCTAATTTTTTTGGTATTTTTAGTACAGACAGGGTTTCACCATGTTGGCCAGACTGGTCTGGAACTCCTGACCTCAGGCCATCTGCCCACCTTGGCCTCCCAAAGTGCTGGGATTACAGGCGTGAGCCACCACACCCAGCTGGTTTTTTGTTTTGTTTTGCAAACAGAAGAGAGAAAAACACACAGAAAAAACAAAAATCCCTTCAGACCTCTAGCAGGCAAAGTCACGATTCTAGCTTGTCTGTGGATAGTGACCACTGATACACATGACTTTAGAAAAAGGAAAGCCTCCAGCTGAGGGCCAATGTGTAGATTTTGCTCAGTTTCATCCTTTATTCAGTATTTGGCGGTGGTGTTGGGTGGAGAGGTACAGCAAGGTTATGCTTTGCAGTAGTGATTGAATCAGACACATTAGACACTGTATTTCTGCTTACTACAATAAATGGAGTTTTATGTGAGTCAATGAGACCTGAGTTAGCCTACTGAGCAAAATATGAATTCTACCACCTTTACCAGTTCTGCACCTAAAGCTTAACTACAAAATACTCAACAATTTTGTTCAAGAACAAATTTGGCAAGGTTTGTGAATTATTCCAGAGAAGTGGCTCTTCAAAATTAAGCAAATATATAATATGTGCTAGCTAGCATTATGAGTGTTAACTGAAATTATTTCCTATGTAATTCATTTTGTCTCTCTGCCCTGCCCCACCCCTTGCAAACACACTATCAGCCATACTTCAGGGGAGGGGGCTGCCTGTCCTCATTTTCTCTTTTCACACTTCACCGATCACTCATTTTGGAGGACAAAACAGTATATATACATATATGTATATTTTTTCCAGCAGGTTTCATGATAGGCCAGTTGTTGTCCCGGGATCTGGCTCTGGTCCCATTTGAGGTGTGTGGCTATAAGGAAAAGGGTTTAATGTGGAACCTATTTTGATTTTTTTTTTTTTGAAATGAGGCTTTGCTCTGTTGTTCAGGCTGGAGTGCAGTCCAGGCTGGAATGCAGTGGTGAGATCTTGGCTCACAACCTCTGCCTCCTGGGCCCAAGCAATCCTACTGTATCAGCATCCCTGAGTAGCTGGGACCACAGGTGTGAACCATCACGTTGGCCAGATTTTTTTTTTTTTTTTTTTTTTTTTTTTTTTTTAAAGAGACAGGGTCTCACTCGGCAGTCCAGGCTGGAGTGCAGTGGTGCCATCATAGCTCACTGCAGGCTCAATCTCCTGGGCTAAAGCAATGCTCTTAGCTCAGCCTCTCAAGAAGCTGGGACTACAGGCGTGTGCCACCACTCCCAGCTTACTTTTCATTTTTTTGTAGAGACAGGGGTCTCACTATGTTGCATAGGCTGATCATGAATTCCTGGGCTCAAAAAGTAATCCTTCTGTCTTGGGCTCCCAAAGTGCTAGGATTACAGGCGTGAGCCACAGTACCCAGCCTGACTTTTTTGTTTTTATATCATCTAAAGTCTGAGTTTACCAAACTTCCCAAATTCAGGCAAGTTCATCTGCAGAAGAACAGCCTCCATAAGTGGTTGACTGCTATCTGCTGCGCTGCAAGGAGACCCCATTTGGCCTGGATTTACTTATACCAAACCCACTTGGAGGCTGAGCCTTTAAAGGGCCTTTTGGATTTAAGCTACCTTCTTCTCCTTTTTTTTTTTTTTAAGTTACCTTCTTTATGTCACTCCTTAAAGGAGTCCACATTCAACTGGAAACTTCATGTTCAACATAAAATGTTCTGAGGCCGGGCGCAGTGGCTCACGCCTGTAATCCCAGCACTTTGGGAGGACAAGGCGGGCGGATCACGAGGTCAGGAGATCAAGACCATCCTGGCTAACACGGTGAAACCCCATCTCTACTAAAAATACAAAAAAAAAATTAGCCAGGCGTGGTGGTGTGCGCCTGTAGTCCCAGCTACTCAGGAGGCTGAGGCAGGAGAATGGCGTGAACCCAGGAGGTGGAGCTTGCAGTGAGCCGAGATCGCGCCACTGCACTCCGGCCTGGGCGACAGAGTGAGACTCCATCTCAAAAAAAAAACAACAACAAAAGTTCTGAAAGTTCAACCCACCGCATGCCAATGTACTCTGTTCACACATGTTGCAGTGACAACCATACCCATATGTGTGATATGTGTGACTGTCTTTCTTTTCTCTCATAACAATCTCTATTTTCAACATGTTCTCCCATCACTGGGGAAAGTAATCCACTACCAACAGTTTAGGGTAAATACATGCAGTGCATTCTTCACCCAGTTTCACATAAATGAAACAACGAGCAGACTAGAAGAGAGATATAAAGAAAAAGTATATTTTTCTTTCACCTAAGAAACTTATTTCTTTGGGCTTGAGCATATAATGATTTCTGAATTTCTTATAACCCAAGTGGTTTATTAAGGTAATGGTTAGAAATATCGATGCTTCCTTGGAAATTAAGTCCAACTGACTAGGTGTTTGAGATCCTTTCAAAGTGTTTCTACACATGCCAACAGGGGAGAAGGACCTGTGATCCAAAAGAATGGCTTTCTTTGCCAGTCACTGGACTTTCGCTCGGTCCAGGTCAAGGCCACACTGTCAGTTCTCATTTCACAGAGTTGTTCCTGGTTAAAGGTTTTAGGATTGCCAAAGTTGGCCTGTTCCAGCATAGCAGGTAAAGTGAGGTGCATTATTTCAAATGCGCTTGTAAAGAAGGCTTTTTACTTAGAAGAATTTTGTGTTATTCTAACAGAAATAGCCGTTTTGTAAACATTTCTAAGTATCTGCAAATATTATGAGAATTTAAAAAGAGATTTATCAATCACCAATATTTTCTTCTCTTAGAAGTGGCATCTTTCTAAAATAACCTGCAAATTGTACATTCATGCCCACAGATTAAATACTTAGCCAAAGGAAGAAACCTCAAAAGTTTTTCTCAAAGACTACTTCTGCATTAGAATATATGTTATCCTCCGGAGGGGAATGAAGATATTCAGTCCCATCACAGACATCCCCCCAAACGTCTTTTCCTCTGAAAAGCCTTGTAAACACAGATCCTGCCTGCGTGCCTCCTTCCCAGCGTCCTCACCACAAAAGGCTGATGTTAAATCTCCCACAGCCTCCCCTAATAATGAACTGGGCTTCCATAGGGAGGGACAGTGTAAATGTGTCTCCTGAACCAGAAATATCCCGCTTTTCATCTGCGCATAATTCATTCTCTAGGTTCAATACCTCGAGAGGCAGGATTTAAACATTTCACCCAAGGAAAGAATATCACCAGATCATTCTAGATTCATCACTTTCTCTTTATTTGTGACCTGCAATGTGGGGCACAGAGAAAGTATTTGTTTGAGGAGGGAGATCAGGATGGAGCAAAGAGGGAGTCAAAGAGGGTGTCTCTGAAAGACAAACCTTGACAGGATAAAATCTCCTGGAGAGAGATTACAGGAACTATGGAGTTTCGCCTAAAACTGGGTATTAAAGCTTCTGTTTAACTTGTGGACTAATTGCCGTATGCATGGATTCTAGGGCTGGAATGGGAATTTAAGAAGTCATTTATTGTCTCCAGGTAATAGCACACATAAGCTGCTGTGGGCAGACCTGCACGTATTTTATTTTTACGGGGCTCTATGACTGTGATGGGATTAGACAGACAATGCAAGACCAACTCCTCCAGGCACAGACCCTCCCTGCGGCCGGGCCTCTCCATGTGGCAGGGGTGTGAGCACGGAACTGACTTCACACAAGGATGATGGAGAAATATCAGGACACTGTCCATATGACAACATGCACATACTTTATTAAAATATAGACACTGAAATATACTATTTTTTTCTCTCAAAATTAGGCATTGATGGTTTAGAACTAGTGAAGAAGACCAATGTAAGAATCTTCAAAACTATGCTGTTTAGAGGAAGATGAGATAAATGTGAGTTTTATCAGGTTTGAGGTGCTTGCTCTCTACTGCAGGCTTTTCCAGGCTGCCTATCATTCCAATATGAATGTGCTCTTCATTATCAGTCACTTCTTAATGATAATGCTTTTAATGTGCATACAAAGTTCCATTTAGTCTGACAATCAGAACTCCTAACGACAGCTAATAACTGCCACCTCCAAGAGAGAATGAACATAAAAATAATACTCTTTTTCAGGGTGCCCATCCCTTTTACCATTAATGATTATTTTTCAAAACACGGAGATTAAGCTCTTTCTTGCCATATCACCAAGTATTCTACATATGTTTTAAGAAAAAAAACCAACAGAATATCATTAAAACACAGGTGTCTCCAACCGCCTACAATAGGACATTCCGTAAGTCACCTTGAAAATCAACTCCATTTTTAACAGCCTCATTGTTATTTATCTGCATTAACCTCATCCACTACTATTCATTAGGCAGCTCCTTGCATACAGGGCTTAGTTTGGCTAGCCACCCTATCGTAACTAAACAAAAAAGACAAACTTTCAAAACAGCATATACGGGTGGATTTTTGTTTTGTTTTCTAAACTCAGACTTAACAAGTCAATAGCTACAGCCCTGAAATGACTTGGAAATTTGGCTCCTATCCAGGGTATGACAAAATTTTGGAATTCTAAAAAAGTTCTTTGTAGCATTCATAACGTCCATGGATATGAATGAAACTTGACATGTACAATGAGAGAGTAAAAGGCTAACCCTTCCCTGCCCCACATAGACATACGCTTCTTCATATGGTCAGAAATGCAGCTGATTATATTTGCCTAAATGTCCATCTGTTTCTAGCAGTGGGTGGCTTCGTCCATGCTCTGAAAATAATTTCAATGACCTAGAGCTCATTCCCATGCCACAGGGCTTGGCTGGTCTCCTCAGGGCACCAACTTTTCTCAGTACCCCCTCCCCCGCCAACTCAGCTCCCAGCACATCCACTCCTTCTTGACCATATGCCTTCTGTTTACTTTCCCAGCCCTACTTGGCCTCGTTCCCTCTTACCCTGACCTTAGCTCTTTCCCATGATCCCAGGTCTTTTCCAGTCATGCCCACGCTGCCCCCAACGAGCAGGGCCCTGGGTCAACCTTTCAGGACATAGGTGCTGCTGGTACCATAGTGGGTGGTCATGCTCAGTTGTTAGTCCACTGCATAAAATCAGGCGCATGCAATATAGCAGAAGCATATGCGGTCATCAAACAATCATGCTGCCACTAGGCAAAGTCCTGTGGTGCACACATTTTGTAGGAGTGGTCCCCACCTCCTGGTTCTGAGCTCTCTTGTACTCTTGGTGGTGCTAGTTCCTTCTCAGGTACTTCGGTGTCTGCTTTTTCTAAATCTTCTCATAATAAGAAACAAATGACAGAGCAAAGCCTCAAGTTTCATCCTTAGGGATAACTGGGGCTCAAGACCTCATGCCACGGAAGAGCAGCTTGTTCCAGCACTTGGCAGGGTTGGCTGCATCTCATGCTTCAGGTTTGGCTCAAATGTCAACTCCCCAGTGAACCCTCCATGCCCACTTCTGAAGTGGCCGCTTCCAGTTACTCCCACATCTCTCTACTCTGCCCTCGGTGATACTAACACCATTGGTAATTATCTTGTTTGTTTACCATCTGTCCACTCCTCTTGCCCCCAGGATGTAAGCTCTATGAAGGCAGAAACTTTATAGAATATGTTTTGTTTACAGCTTTATCTCCTGTGTCTGGAACTGTGTGTGGCACACAGTAGGTACACAATAAATAAATGCTGAATGAATGCAAACAAAGGTGTGCCAAATCATACAAAAGGCAAATATCAATACGTGCCCCTAGTGCTATGTGAGATGGCTAGGAACAGACTAGGGTTGAGTGAATTAAAGGACCCTGTCTTCTAGGCATTTTTTTTTTTTTAAAGGTGAGTAGGGAAATGTCTGGAACACAGATACCAAAAGCTCCCTAGCTGCCCTGCAGCTTAATGAGAGCTCTGTTCTAGGCATCAGGGGCAGCAGCTTCTAGTTCCAGAACTATCAACCAGTTGGATAAATGTGGGCACATGTGTCTCAACTCTTTGGGATCTCCTTTTCTTCACTAGTAAACAAGGGGAACTAGATTAGAAGTTACAATAACTAATATTTATTGAAAACTTTCCACATGCCTAATGAAAGAGTAAAACAGGAATTTTTTAATTTAATCTTTGCAACAATGCCATGTGATCACTGCTGCTTTTATGTTATGTAGGAAAAGATACAGACTCGGAGAGGTTTAGTGACTTGTCTAGTCACCATTATTAAGTGGCAAAGCAGGGATTTGGACCTAGGATGAATTCCAGGATTCTTGCTTTTAATTGAGACTCTCCCTGCTCTTGTGTTTATGTCATGAGATTAAGCAGGAAGAAAAAATAATTCCAAGTGAGGACACAATTGTGGTCTTTAATAAAGCCATTTTGTCTTTTTAAATTCTACCAAGATCTCATTTTACATTTTCACTTTAACCAAGATGATTTTAAGTTTCTGTGAAGAAAAGCTCAAAATGTAGAGATTTGGGTGGCTAGTTACTCAGTTTATCGCTGGGAATGAATTTTTGGCTGGCAAATCTGCCAGCTGTAACATATAAGGTATGTTAATATCGTAGGAGTCATCACATCGTGCATTTCTAGTTACTACAGATTTGAGGTTCAAGCCTCTCAATTTGCTTTTTGTGGTAAATTAGTCAAAATGGACAGAGACCATGTACATTATACTGCTTATAATTTTTTCAAAGCTAATGAAAGACTTCAGATTGGTATCTTGACTATGTGTTTAGAAAAAGCTATTCCTTAAAAAAAAATAGACAAGCCTCTCAGTATTCTACTCTTAGAGATTGGTGCCTATCCAAAGGTCTGTATTTACATTATGGTAAAATTGATTTTTAAACTCATGAGAACATTTTGAAATGAAAATGGAAAATGAAGTACCAATAAAATTAAGCTTATTAACAGGACAAGGGAAGTACAGGCCAGTGGCAAAAAATATTCCAGTGAATCTGACTCCAAAAGACATCCTTATGCCCCCAGCCATATTTGTGCTTATCTACTCTTCTTAATTATTTCCATAGTAGACTCTGACACAGAATCAAAATTGAAAACTTCAAACTGGGAAATAGCACAACATTAAACTTAACTCCTTGGGTTCAGTTGGCAAGGTACTGATCTGCCTCTACATCAAACCCATGCTCCAGCCCCAAAGAAGAAACTGCAAATTATATACAAGACAGGTTCTCTCCTGCACTTTATGATGAGTAGCAAATGGAAATTTTGGTCATTGCTACAGCTGAGCTAAGATAAACGATGTTCAGCTAAGTTGGTGGAGCAGTGGGGAAATACTATCAAAACTAGGAGCATTATTTCACTACCAGCTTCGTAGGGCATCGTCCCCAAAACTTCTTTTCCCATGTGAAATGATTCTCTCATTTCAGCCAGAGAATGGATTTCCCTGTATCTTCTTAAAATTCCATCCCAGGATCAGAGTTCATCCTTCTTTTCCCTTCCCTATTCTTCTGGTACTCTTGTTTGGGCAACCAGATACCATCATTGTATATATTGTATATGGAACAGAAGAAGAATTTTTTAAATCAATAAACATCTTTATTTATTTACTGGAATGAAGAATGAACTGACAGACTTTTGCATTAGAAGTACCTAGCAGCCCCTGACAAATATCAGTTTACACACACACACACACACACACACGCACACACTCCTTGCAGTATCTCTCTGCTCTCCTTCTCTACTACCTTGTCACAGGTCAAACGTAAAGTTACAACATTTCTAGCATCAGTGTAATATCACTACAATTTTCAAAGGGAAGTACAGAAACTGAGCATTCCAGTAAAAAGCAGATAAAAATTGTGCCATGTTTGAACCAAATCAGGTATAGAAATAACAGAGGGCATGGTGGCTCATGCCTGTAATACTAGCGCTTTGGGAGGCTGAGGCGGGTTGATCACCTGAGGTCAGGAGTTCGAGACCAGCCTGGCCAACGTGGAGAAACCCCATCTCTACTAAAAATACAAAAATGAGCCAGACATGTTGGCATGTGTCTGTAATCCCAGTTACTTGGGAGGCTGAGGCAGGAGAATACCTTGAACCAGGGGGGCGGAGGATGCAGTGAGCTGAGATTGCGCCATTGCACACCAGCCTGGGCAACAAGAGTGAAACTCTGTTTCAAAACAAAACAAACAAACAAAAAAACAGAGGGGCAGATACATGGTAAGACCATGGGTTTGGGAAGGACAGTGGAAGCAGGGAAGCTTTTTGAACTGCAGTCTCCTCTTTAGATTCTGCAGCGCTATGCTATGAGGACTTACAGGAGCAAAGGACAAAATTTTTAATACAGTATACTGCAGTAGTTTAACAAATGTTAGGGATAGGGGTCATTACTGAATTGAGAATGTTTTGTTAAACTTGGGATAAAGACAGAACAGTAACAATTAGTTAATAAGCATTCAAAGATAATTAAGAAAAAGGAAATTACCACAAGACCTAGTAAACTTTTTGACTAAATAACTAGAGATGTTACTATAGGCACAAATGTCTAAATAAGAAGGGTCAGTGGATGAAGTAGTTCTAGAGTAGATACATGTGTTAAAAGTTACCCAGTATTTGAGCCAATTTGAACAGATGAAATTTAAAAATTTGGTAAAGTCCCTCCCCATCCTGCCTCCATACCGAGTTTCTAGGTTCCTAGGGTTAGAGACTTTAAAAACATTTTTAAGGAAAAAAAGGTTTGAGTTCAGCAATTGAGTAAGAATTATAAGTTTTCTTTTCTTTTTTTGGCTTTCCAAACCTAAACCAAAAACCTGACAATCACACTGGTTGATTCAATGTCTCAAAAACCTATTTTACTTTATATTATTTCAGCTTTAGCTATTGTTATAATAATAAGCATAATAAACATTTAATATCACAAATATATTAATGGGTTCATTATGTATATTTATATATGTATAATGCTACAAAGGATTAATTATTTAAAGTTAAAATATTTCATTAAAGTTGGATGAGGCAAAGTAACAACAAACTTAAAGTAGGATGCTAGTAAAAATAAAAATCTACAATTTTTTTAAGATGTCAAAGTGCTACTGTTTATTCAAAAAGCCAGATTTTTCTATTAAAAAAATCTGTCCATTTTCACTAATGCAGAAAATACAGATAAAAAATAAAATTAAAATTTCCACTGTTCCATCACCCAGTTATAACACTCATATTCATATCTTCCTAAACATCTTTTTTTTTTTTTTTTGAGACAAGAGTCTTGCTGTGTCACCCAGGCTGCAGTGCAGTTGCATGATCTCGGCTCACTGCAACTTCTGCCTCCTGGATTTAAGTGATTCTCCTGCCCCAGCCTCCCCAGTAGGTAGGATTACAGGCTGGCACCACCACACCTGGCTAATTTTTGTATTCTTAGTAGAGACAAGGTTTCACCATGTTGGCCAGGCTGGCTGGTCTTGAACTGCTAACCTCATGATCCGCCCACCTCGGCCTCCCAAAGGGCTAGGATTACAGGCGTGAGCCACCACATCTGGCCCTAAACATCTTTTATGTGTGTCTGGTGAGGGGTACCTGTGTGTATGTGTTTCACACATACAGTTATTTATAAAAATGGGTTCATATGTATACACACACACACACATACACACACACACACACACACACACACAGAGAACTGAATAGTGTCCCTGCAAGATTCATATCCACCTGGAACCTCAGATTATGACTTTATTTGGAAAAAGGTCTTTGCAGATATGATTAGTTAAGGTGAGGATATACTGGATTAAGGTGGGCCCTCCAATGACTGGTTCCTTAAAAGACGACCATGTAAAAAACACAGATGAAGAAGGCCAGGTGATAATGAAAGGCAGAGATGGGCGTGATGAAGCTGCAAGCCAAGGAGCACATGGGGGCCAAAAGAAGCGGGAAGAGACAAGGAAGGGTCTCCCAGAGCTGTTGGAGGGAGCATGGCCTTACTAACACCTTGGTTTTAGACTTCTAGCCTCCGGCATCACAACTGTGAGAGGATCAATTTGAAGCCGCCCGGTTTGTGGTAATTTGTTATGGGAGCCCTGGAAAACTAATATAATCCATATAAACGTTTGTAATAATCATCTTGCTTCTGTTAACATTGGTACATTTGTGAACTTTTTTCATATTTTCTTCACATGTAATATTTGTATAATACTTAACCGTATAGGTATACCACAGTATACTAGATTTCAGAATTTTATTTTAACATCCTTAATTTCAAGAACTTCGACTTCGGTCATTTCCCCTCTTTGGTTCATTATTATTTCAAGCCAATAGAACTGACGGTCACTTCATTGCGAACTATGACCAAATCATCTCTGCCTTACATAAAAAGATTTTCCAATGTCTTCATGTGATTTTGCAGGGGCTTAGTTGTTTGCTAGTTAAGAGTCCTAAAAGCCAAATGGACATCATCATCTAGGCTCCCTTGTTAACAGGAAAAAAACCAAGTAATCATCTTATCAAAAAAAAGAAACAAACAAACAAAAAAACCCACACATCCTTGGCCATCGTAAACTAAGGGAATCACAGGATGTCCTGTCTATTAGTATTTGGCTTCCGTTCACGGCACATCCTCAAATCAAAAAGAACACTCGCAACTCTCAAGGGATCCTTGAGTGGCTGTGGTCCACTCAGTCCCAACCAGAACAGAGAGAATCATCTGACTGCCGCCACCATGGAGGCAGCGACTCACCTGAAATTCGGCCTGAACCTTTTGGCAATAAAATGAATAAATGTTAAACGAAATAAGTGGCACCCACGAAATCTAGTAGTAGGCCTAGGACATTTGTGAAATCATTAGTGAACTTAAACTTTGCATTTTTGGATTTTGAAACATATGTAGTTAAGAAACTGGCTTTTAGCTGGAAAGATTTCTGAACAGATTCTGGGAGCCAAGGATCCTCATCTTCTCCAAAACGAGGTCCCTCAGTCGATCCTTTTAGGCAAACCTATGACCTTACTAAGCTTTTGTTTCCCAGTCTCTAAATTTTACTTGAGACAATTTCTTCTTAGGGAGTTAGAGAAGTCAGGAGCAAAACAACAACAAAACTGCCAAATTAGATGGAATGGGAATGGAAAGAGATCAAGTTTAGGGATCTTCACCACAAAAATTTTTAAAAGGGGGGCATCCAACGCTTTGGCTATTCTTGGCAAAATTTTGGAAGCATGCAAATGGCTCCTTGTTACATTTATTTTTCCTCCCTCTTTTCATTTACTTAGTTTTTAAAATGTTTACTTTAGGTTTGGGGGTACATGTGAAGGTTTGTTATATAGGTAAACTCATGTCATGGGGGTTTGCTGTACAGATTATTTCATCACCCAGGTATTAAGCCCAGTAACCATTAGTTATTTTTTCTGCTCCTCTCTCTCCTTCTACCTTCCCCTCTCAAGTAGACCCCAATGCCTGTTGTTCTCTTCTTTGTGTTCATTAGTTCTCATCATTTAGCTGCCACTTGTGAGAACATATGGTATCCTTGTTACAATTAAAGAAAAAAAATTTTCTATGCACACTTTCCTCTTAAATTTAATAGTGGAATCTAGCAAGAAGGGGACACACAATACAAAGAAAAGAATGTCTTAATTATAGGGTTCTTCTCCACAGAACTAGAAGAGCATCTCCTATCTACCAAGACTACCTCCCAAATGTAACATGTTCATATAAAACTTCTAAGGTAGATTCAGTGTTTTTTTTTTCTCAGCTAAAATAATTATTCTGTTACTATTTTACCCTCTATTTACATATTAAATACTGTTTTTTTATTTTTATTTTATTTTTTATGAGATGGAGTCTCGCTCTGTTGCCTAGCCTGGAGTGCAGTGGCGTGATCTTGGCTCACTGCAACCTTCACCTCCTGGGTTCAAGTGATTCTCCTGCCTCAGCCTCACAGGTAGCTGGGATTACAGGCAAGTGCCACCACTCCCAGCTATTTTTTGTATTTTTAGTAGAGATGGGGTTTCACCATGTTGGCCAGGCTGATCTCAAACTCCTGACCTCAAGTGATCCACCCACCTCAGCCTCCCAAAGTGCTGGGATTACAGGCATGAGCCACAGTGCCCGGGCTAAATAGACTCATTTAATATGTACTTACTGAGGATGGACCATGTAACTAATTGCTGTAAAAGTCATTGTGAACAAAGACTAGGTCTTTTTGTGTGTGTGTGTGGGGGGGACTTTATATTCAAGTTAAGAATATAAGACCTGTACATATTAAAATACAATTCAAGACTATATTATTATGCAAAACATATGTGTATAATTCTATTTAAAAAGATAACCTATTTTTTTAAATGGAAAAAGATTTGAACACTTTACTACAGAAGACACACAAATGGCCAATATGCACATGAAAACATACCCATCATTAGTCATCATGAAAATAGAAATTAAAATCTCAATGAGATACCATTCTACATCCATAAGGATGGCCAACATTTAAGAGACTGATAGTAAGTGTTGCCAAGGATGTGAAACAATCAGAACTCTCATACTGTGCTGCTAGGAATGTAAAATGGTACAACCATTTTGGACAACTGTTTGCCAAACAGTTTCTCAAAAAGTTAAACACCAGCCATATGACCCAATCACTCCACTCCTAAGTATTTTCCCCAGAGAAATGAAAACACCTCCACAAAGACTTGTATAACAATATTCATAGAAACTTGCTTCATAATTCCTAAAAACTGGAAACATAAATGTTCATCAACTGGTGAGCAGATAAACAAAATATGGTATAGCCATACAATGAAATACTACTCAGCAATAAAGAGTGATGAACTACTGAGACATCCCATATGGATGAATCTTAAAATCATTGTGCTGAGTCAAAGTAGTCAGACACTAATGAGTGCATTCTCTGTGATCCCATTTATATAAAATGTAATCTAATCTGTGGTGACAGAAAGCAGATCACTGGCTCCTGGGGCTTTGGGCAGAGAAGATTTGGACTGCAAAGGGTACAAGGAGTCTTTTGGGGGTGATGGAAATGTTCTGCATCTTGACTGTGGTGATGGCTTCAGGGTGGACACACTGCCAAAACTCTGACTCAGACACTTTAAATGGCTGCAGTTTACTGTACATAAATTCTTAATAAAGTTGATGAGGGGGAAAAAAGACTGTAGTATAATTTGTTTGACTTTTTTCCAGGTTCAATTTGAACTTTTAATGAACATCTGCTATGTGCAAAGTATTGTACAGGGTACTTAGAACAAAAAGATTATAGATTTTTATCAATACAGGGTAAAAGAGTAGATTTAAGCTGCAAGCAATAATACTAGCTAACATTCTTTGAGGCATTTACTTTGCACCAGGCACCGTTTGGCACACCTTATGTTCTGTAACACATTTAATCTGCATAAGAACCCTGGGAAGTTGATGCTACTATTATTTCCATATGCACGGTAAGAAAATGAGGCTTAGAGAGGCTAAAAAAATGTTGCCCTAGAAAGGGATGGAGCTGGGACAGAAAGTAAAAGTCTCACACCAGAGCCAAGCTTTGCCCACTATACCTCACTGCCTCTTCAAGCAACTTCCTGGCTGTGCACTTTGAGGACCCCAACTGGTCCTCCTGGAGGTTAGGAAAGGAGGTAGGGGACAATCCAGGTTCCCTTTTCGGTACAGACCAAATTTTGAACTGGAGTAGAGGTAGCAGTGACACACTTATCATACAGGCTGGAAATAGGTACATGCTGACATCTTAAAGTCATTGTTATGACAATGCTATCTGCCTGTCAAAAATTTCAGGGGGAAAGAAATTGGCTTCCCAAACCCAAACTTATCAATTTGGCTTCCCAAATTGGCTTCCCAAACTCAAACTTAACAATTTACTGTGTATTCCAGGCCCCATTAAGGGACTTGGGAGAGACTTGTTGGTCCTGTTTCCCTTCTCCTGCCAGACCCCTGCCTAGGCTAACACAGAGCTCTTCATTTTCTTCTGTCCTTGGAGAACAAGTGTCGAAGGGAAGGTTTACTCTGCCCTTGAAAAGACAGGGAGAGAGATGGGGTGGGGGTAGGGAGGCAGAGAACTAAACTCTCTCTAGAGGCTGGCATGTTCACCCCAAGAAACCCTCACTGTCCTCCATGCTGCACTCACTTCCCATTACACTCCATCTCCCAATGATCCTGTCTTCTGCTTCCTCCTTTTCTAGCAGACATTCAGCTCGTAAGTTCCACAAGCTTTTTTATTTCAGAGTTGCTGACAGTGAGCAGGTCCCTATACTGAGGATAATATATTCAAAGCTTTGTTCTTGTTTTTTTCTTAATTGGTCAGTCTCCCTGGGGGTTCTCTCAGTTTTCACCCAGACTCCTGGGTGAGAGGGCTGAAACAGAAATGCATGGTGAATGCAGATGGCTTGTTTCCTGGCCGTCATCACACACAGGGGTCACATGAAGGCCAGATATTGCCCAATTAAGTTCCCTAAGGTGGGAGGTTAGGCTGAGTTGGAGGAGGACAGAGGACTGCACTCAGAGTGGCCAAAAAATTGGCAATTACCTGCAATCTCAGTTTTAGGGCCCTTTGCTGTACTTGATAAATGGCAGGAGCTTGATAAATGAGAAGAAAACAAAAATGCAAAGAGGATATTTTAAAATAATCCTCACAGAGTATTATTTTGCAGTTAGTGTAAGATTCACAGAGCATACTAAACAGGCTGGACGCATCACAAAACACACAGGCAGCTTCAATGTACTCTGGAGAAAATGAAACAAAATCTCCACTATGGATTGCTATGTGTGAAACCTCAAAGGGCTAAATGAGGCAGATGCTATAGGAGCACATTTCATTTGTGACTACTGATGTTTAATGTAAGAATGGTACTTGCATTAGGCAAATCTTTACTGTCATCCATGTGACTTTGGTAAGTTCATGAGTATCTATCAGATGTTTCCTAACATATTTCAACATGTAAACCTCATTAAGTTCAAACTGAAACTTATTTAATTTTAAAAACCTATGCTATTAAAGGGCTAATTGAAACATCACTGATTGATGAGGTAATGCATTTAGTTTCAGTTTAGAAAAAAAAAACATAAAAAGGTACACAGTGATTAATCTTCCCAGTTCTTACCATTATTAGTTTATATCCTTTCAGTTTCTCTATGAATAAAGTATGAATATATGATCTCATTTTCACTTTTTATGTAATAGCATACTGAAATATTTTTAACCTAGTGATGACCAATACAAATATAAAAATTGGAAGAGCAAAACAGATAAATAAGCCTTTTACTTTTCCTCGACTTTTTGAAAAGCAGAAATGAACTTCCTGCCACAAAAATCACTCAACAATGCCCAAGCTTGTGCCTCAAGGCTATGTTCGTAAGACAAATATAGAGGTCATAGTAGGGTACACACACATTTTTACTTACACGCTACATTTCTGAAAGCTTTTGAAAATTATAGGAGTGATAATTTTGCCCTTCCCAAGTATCAACACAATAATCACAAAATTACTTTTATTCAGACAAGTATCAGGAAGACTTCTGAACCAATGACAGCCACACCTCAGCAAAAAACAAAACACACACCCTGTGTATACTCTGGGGTCAGGTGTGGGAACCTCTCCATCTCACATCCCTCCCACCACGTACTCTCGCCCACTGTCCAGGCCCCTGGAGGTTCTTATCAAGGGAGGGCTGTGCAATATTTATCTTTGTATTCCAAGGGCCCAGCATGGAGGAAGGTTGGCACATTAAAGGAACTCGGTAAGTCTGCTGAAAGAAGGATTTTTGGCTTAAACTTTAATGTAACAATAATTGTGTAAAACCCAAGAGTGGGGATTTTAAAAATGACATTATTAGAACCTGAAAACACTTTCTGGCACTCCAAAATGATAAAAAGGAAGTAGATGGCGTGAGGGAGTGGGGGAAGGAGCTCACTTAGCTTCACTTTCTCCTGACTTGCACAGCACCAAATGAAGACCTCTCAGGGAATCACAGAGGGCCCTTCAATCAGGGATACCACTGTTTATAATCAAAGTATAGCTGTGAACATAAGAAAGCCTCCCAGAGATGTTTTTTGACAAATTACCTGGCGTTTTTGACAAATTACCTCCCAGGGCTTTGCCAGGGTAGGCTGACACTAAATAAAGAACAAAAAATTAATGTCTTTAAAGCAAAACAAAACAAAAACAAGTATTACTTCTATGAAAAATGAAATAGGATCACAGAAATCTAAAGTGTGTCTCACATCAACAGCACCATCTTTTTAGTCATACGCAACAACAAACATTGGCCATAAACTTCAGGATCGATTTTGCACACAATTAAAATGTGAATTTCTATAAAAATTTGTATTTTCTTCTGTATAAATTTTTATGGATAGCCAAAATGCCTTTAGGAAGTATAATCTTAGAAAGTATAATTATATATACATATATATGTGTTATATATAGTATTAACACATACTATATATGCCCAGTTCTCACCATTGTGTTATAGTATTAACACATATACTATATATACACTATATATAATAGTATATATAGTATAGTGTACGTATAGTATTAATACATATACTATAAACACATATACACATATAGTATATGTGTTAATACTATAAATACTATGTGTATATAGTATACATACACACATATATAATACATATATGTTACTACTATATATGTGTGAATATAGTATATGTAGTATATGTGTTAATACTATATGTAACACATATATAATTATACTTTCTAAAAGTATATATGTATGTGTATATATACTTTCTATAGTGTACATATGTATAAATACACACACACACACATATATAGTATATGTGTTAATACTATATAAATATATGATATAGTTTGGATGTTGTCCCCTCTAAATCTTGTGTTGAATTAAAATCCCCAGTGTTGGAGGTGGGGCCTGGTAGGAGGTGTTTGGGTCATGGGGTCGGGTCCCTCATAGCTCGATGCTGTCCTCATGACACTGAGTGACTTCTCACATGAGCTGGTTGCCTAAAAGTGTGTGGCACCTCCCCCTCCACTCCCTCTCTCTTGCTTCTGCTCTGGCCATGAGACATGCCTGCTCCCGCTTCGCCTTCCACCATGAGTGAAAGCTCCCTGAGGCCTCCCCAGAAGCTGAGCAGATGCTGGTGCCAGCTTCCTATACAGCCTGCAGAACTGTAAGCCAATTAAACCTCTTGCCATGTTGTCTTTCTGTTCCAAAGTCATTGCTAAAATCAGATTCTTCCAGCATGGTCATTTTACCTGCTGGAACAAAGAGAGGCCTAGAAATCACAGAAAGTTTGAGTTTTTGCCATATTTTCTTAACTAGATAAGCATTAGAGGACACCATCACTCAAAGCTGTCAACTTGATCATTTCATGTATTTATCACAAACTTCTGCTCCCTTAGAAAAGACAGTAATTCTTTAAGAAACTCTGTCCTGGTTCAAGTGAGTAAAATCTTAATTCACTTGGGGAGATTTGACACTGAAAACACAGTGTTTTTTTTTTTTTTTTAAGTAACCTACTAAGAAATTATTTATTGGTGGCCTATAAAACTCTGTTCAGTCTTTACCTTGCTAATGATTTATTTTCATTAAAGTAAATGATCATCTTTGGGGAGGCATTTTATAAAAACATATTTAGGAGAAATTTCTTTGATTTATGCTATAAGGTAAATGTTGCATAATTTCTTGCCTATGTGAATTGTAGGTTTCCACTTTGAGAGAATTCTCTCAATCTAATAATAAAGACCAAGGGCCAGAAACACTAAGATAAACAATCGGAATTTTAAAATGAGCTAAGAAACAAGGTTTGTATGATACCAATGGGATGTGTGTGGAGTGTTAGAAAGAAAAAGGGCTGTTGGAATAGTGCTTCAGATATTGGCTAAGTTTGACATACTCAATGTAGTATTACAGAGGCAGCTAGCTGAAAGATGGCCTGAAGTCAGGAAGAATAAAACTGTTCTTAGATATATATTCTAACTTAATTCACTGTAGAAAAAAGATACTTCTCACAGGAGAGAAGAAAATCAATTTGTCCTTTAAAGTGAAATTGACTAAAATAAGAAGTAAACACACACACACTATTTAGGGTAAACTCCATCCACTCTGGAGTCTGCCACCAAGGTGATAACCTTCTAACTGTCAGAGGAATTGGCCCCAAAGTCACAGGGAGTGTCCTGAGCAGTTTCATCAGCCACATCGGAACTTTTTACATCATTAAATGCCAAGGGAAGATGCTTCATAATGAACCAGAAACCTGGTTCATTGTTTGGGAAGATCAGAATAGTGGCAGCTCTCCACACTTGCCACTCCTAAAAGTTAGACTGATAGCTATGAAGTGGGCATCTGCAAATATAAAAGCCACTGTCTGGGCTAAGTACCAGTCTCATTATGGAACAAAGCTGCATTCATTGCTTCTACTCAAGGAAAGACATCCTGAGCCAGAGAACATCTACCTAGTCCTGATCTCTGCACATTAGAGGGCTCAAGCTCTCGCATGGCATTAAGTATTTTCTAGTGATTCTAGACCCACACAGTGGTGCATTGGGATCCCGTTTTCCTTTTAGCTCTCATTTCAAAACTGAAGATCCACTGCAGTAGGCATCTGTTTTCATTACACTATCTTCAGTCAATAAACTTTCAGTAGCTTCTTATTTCCAAGTTCCAACTACCCCGCCTGCTTTTCAATGCTTTTATTTTCTACCACTGCCCAACACACCTGGCCAGGCCAGTGAAAATTCTGCCTGATCCTAAAGCCTACATTCTTTTCAGCAAAATTTCTGGTTTCTCTCAGTGTCTTTTAGCTTCCTACAGCACACTGGACTTCAGAGAAACTTTTTTTCCCCCTTTGGGTCACTGGGGGTTCAGGAAATGCAAACCACTTTCGCTATCAGACTAAGCAAAATACCAACACTGTAAGTCTTTTACAAAATGAGCGGTTTTCCATCGGACTTTACTAGGACTCAAGATCCTTCAAGGGGCATCTAGCACAGACCTTGGCCAGAGCAGACTTTCAAATATTTGTAAAATTAATTAATTCTCTAAACCAAACAGAATATTTAAATTAGTCCCAAATTTCCCCTTCCAATTAATCTAGAATTATTCACTGCAGCTTCAAGAGGTCCCTGTAAATAAAGAAAAGATGCTGCATAAGGAAATCAACCTTCTGAATTCCAGAGGACAATCTCACAGCACTGCTCTAAGATAATGCACTGTCAACAGATACCAGCTACAGAGCAGGAGTGAGCCTCTCCCCAAAGCAAGAGCACCCGGAAGACCATTCCATTAACAGAAGCTCTGAAAATCCGTAAAAGAAGTTCCAGAGTTGGGCATGTACTAAAGCATCAAGTAATCTTCTGATTTTTACAAACACTAAGAAAAATAGTAAGGACAAAAATCTTTATTTTTGGAAAACCTCCTTTGACAGTATTAAACCTAGATGATACTAACAAATACATAATAAAGACATGAACGTAGACTTTTGCAATCTATAACTGCTGTTTTGGGGAATGTGATGTGAAGCCTATGTTCTGATAAAAGTGAGCCATGTTACAATAGCCTCTATTGAATGGAACACACTTTCACAACTCTTTTATACACACACGTGCACAAAAAAACACACACACATGCACAATATTACGATATTTCTCTTTGTTTTCCTTAACAACAGCATGTTTTTTAAAACTGGCAAAGCTGGATGTTATGGCCAATGCTTTAGGCTTAAATTTTAGTTTTGCTTTTCTCTGCAATCCATTTCCTGGGGCCAAGTAATTTTTTTTTTTAAAGTATTCAGAAACATGTGCTACTGTAGTCGCATGCTCAAAACACCCATGTGGAAATAGTCCTCTAGACTTATACATTCATTCTTAAAAGCCTGGAGTATACAAACAAAGATGCAGTGGGCAGAGAGCCAGTTAATAAATCTCATTTCCAACTAGCATCTGCATGAAACAGAGCTATGGGGAGCATCCTCTCCAGGGAGATCCAGAGCACGACTCATTCGCTCTGTGAATTAAACAGTGTCACCTCGGATGGCCCACACCACATTTATTTTTTAAGCAGGTCTTAAAATACATAGATTTCTAGCATTCATAAACACAGTGAGGAAGCTGAGGCTGAGAAGGAAATCACACAGGAGTGAAAACATGTCTCTATGAGTCTGCTAAGCCATTTTTGTACTTACTCTTTTCAATTGGAATTACTAATCCAGGGGTAATTTTCTAAAGGAAGCTTGCTTTTCTAATCAAGGTGCAAGCTAGTTTCAATAATGAGCTGCCACCCACTCTGTTCCATGCTGTGAAAATGGGCTTTGTTTACACTATCAGATACCTGGGTTAAGAGATGTGGGTCAGGAACCAAATTTGACATACTTATGAACAATATGGTGCAAATGCTATAACAGTAATGTCTCCTTCTCCAAAGAGTGACTGCTTGCCCATTAACAATGCTCAGGAGAGCCACCCTATCCTCTAGGTGTTCCCTCCTCTTCTCACCTGTGCTGCCAGCAAGGTGAGACATGTTCTTGTCCAAGAGCCCCTGCAAGAGCCCTTTTTCAGTAACAACAGTATTCTTATGTTACATAGCTCTTTTAGGAAATTACTTGGTTTAAATATGGAGTTTAGCCTCACAATATCTCTCTAACAACGGGGGCTAGATATTTTTATATACAACAGGCAAAGGTAGAAAATAAAGCCTAAGGCTGGGTGCAGTGGGGCACGCCTGTAATCCCAGCACTTTGGGAGGCCAAGGCAGGTGGATCACTTGAGGCCAGGAGTTACAGACCAGCCTGACCAACATGGTGAAACCCCATCTCTACTAAAAATACAAAATTAGCTGGGCGTGGTGGCGCATGCCTGTAATCCCAGCTACTCGTGAGGCTGAGGCAGGAGAATCTCTTGAACCCGGGAGGCGGAGGTTGCAGTGAGCAGAGATTGCGCCATTACATGCCAGCCTGGGCAACAAGAGCAAAATTCTGTCGCAAAAAAAGAAAAGAAAAGAAAGCCTAAGATAAAGACCTGTTCGGGGGCCTACCTAGAAGTCAATAAAGGATCCAGGGAAAGAATTCCCTCTGATCTTGCCAGGGAACTGGGCTCACTCAACCCCAACCCCACCATAAGGGACTCCACCCAGAACTTCCAGGCACATCTTCATTGTTGAGGGCCATACCAAACCTATAGCCAAGGCAAAACTTTTATTTGGTTAAATCTCTACTCTTCGCTTTCAAATTGCCTTCCAAGTTTCCTCAGCAATTAAATGGCTATAATATTCCAGTCTTGGGATGCCAAAATAATGATGGAATGCTTCCTGGATAGAAAAATGTGTCACATTTTTCCTTTTCCTATGCCCCTCCAAAAAAATAAGTGGTAATTATTACACTGGACATCCACTTTGAAAGAAAAACAGAAGAAGAAAAACATCGAATGTGTCTGTCTCCATGTGCACCCTTTGTATAACACAAGACAAATGCAATTTGAGAGGCTTCCTTCTTCATTTAGCCTATGACACCTCTCGCTATATCATCCAGTAATCCTATTATATCAAATACAAATGCAGTGATGCTCTTAGGGACTTAAGAATTTGTTCAGTAAGATCTTTATTAAAATTCAGTTTTGTTTTTTACATAATTTTGAATGCCATTATAGGGACTCAGAAAGCAAACTGCAAATAATTTAGGAAACGCAAATAATAGCCTGGGTTGAATTAAAGAGGTAAATAAAATTTCATTTTAAAGCAATAATCTGTCACCAAAACGTAACATTTAACCTTTCTGTCAAATGATTTTCCACTGCCGTTTCAAGTTAGTTTACATGAGTAATAAAACCCAACCAGGCAACTTCCTTTGGCCCGTGGGGTAAAATTCGAATTCTGTCTTAAAAGCAACTGCTACCTACACAGCAGGGATTAAATCATTTAGAAAATGAAGGCTTCAAATTTATTTTCTACAAAAAAAGTTCAAACTAGTGAGATTTAAAATCACTTCAAGTTTTTTGTTTTTAAATTCTATTTTTAGGCTTTGGGATGGTCACAGAGGAAAAAGGTGGAGGAGTAAGAGGAGAAGAGGCCCAAATTTCCAATCACAGGGTCTCTGAAAGGATATCTCCAGAAGTTGTGGAGGAATTTTGATTTACATTAAGTGAATAACAAGCACTTGAAATCTGTAAGAATGCCATATCAACACATTAGTTGGAACCATAAGGCATGAGATTTTGGTGACCTCATGGGCACAGCCAAAATTAACTCCAAGTATTTATGTAACTGCCAGAGATGACAGGGCAAAGGTTGCTTATAATTTTTTTTTTTTTGAGTCAACAAATACTGCATTTCTTTGGCCAAAGAGAAAGGAAGTAGGGTACTTTCTGGTTCTATTTTGTGATATGCAACATTTACACACACAATATTCTACCCATAATACCATCTGAATGTTTAGATGACGGCTCTAAAAAGGAAAAAAAGAGTTATTTCCTGTTGCTCATCAGCTGAGAGGATGCGCTTTAGAGGTATGTGTGCTCTGCCTCAAAGCAAAAGCATTGTTAGCGTTTATCAAGGTAACATTTAAAAATAACTACCCCAGTACAAAAGAACTTCAGAGGAAATATGACCGAAGCTATCAGTCTCCCTTCAAGTCTGGCCTTGAGCTGCATAAGACTCTAGCTGCATTCTCCATTACATTGTTATCCTTATCAAACAATGCAAACAATTTTAATGAGCTTATCTACTGGAACATATTGCCAGATATGTTAATGTAAAAATGATGCCAACCGTACAGGCCAACTCATTAATCAAAAGGCTCACAATACAATGACCAAGATCAGTCCCATCCTCAAAACAGACCTCAGCAAAAGACCAGGAATCACCTTCCTACTGTAAATAAGAAGGAAAGGCTCCCCCACCCAAGCGGTGGCCATAAACTCCTTAGAAAATGCATAACAGCGCCCAGTTTTTTTCAAGTCCTTTGCAGTCCAGTCTCTTTCTAATAAACCTAGGGTTCTATGGAGAAAATTTTGGTGAATGTCTGACACTATCACCTCTGCTGTCAATCCCTGCACCAATCAGCGAGCAGAATTCTTACAAAGCTCCATCAATCTGGCGGTTTAACATCACAGACTGCAGCTTAATCTAGAGGATTCCATCTTTCCTGCACACTCTCCAGGTTAAGCGCAAACGTTTTTCTCCCCACCCTCCCGTTTTCTGCCTTTTGGCACTGCTACCTAATGGCTCCTTTAAAATCTAAAAGGGAAGGAGGAAAGGAAGTGCTACTGCCTGTCTCCCTTTGGACAGCGGGGGAAAACAGCATGCATTTTTATCAGTGTGGAAGGAAAGAGATGGAGGGAGACCCCTCGAAGGCAGCAAACCTATTCACAAAATGCTTTCCATCTGCAGTCGCGGAGCCTCAATGCAAACCCAACATGACACATGGAAACAGATACCAAATAATCACAACCGCCTTCACAAATGCATGCCTGCAGCAGGGGTCGCAGGCAGTGTCTGCTCCATTATATAACGGGCTGGATTTCCGCGCGCCCTCACGGCGGTCCCCGGCGCTGCTCTCGTGCCAGCCCCATTACCTGTAGGAACGCTCCCCGCGCACTGTGTGCTTCCGGAAAGGAATGATGGTCCCGTTATTATCCTGGATGATGTCGTTGTTGTTCTCGCCATTTGGGGACAGGGTTTGGGTCGGCCCAGGCATTGGCGCACTCCCGAGAAGGGGAACAAACCGCTGTGGGCTGGCTGGTGAGGAAGGTGGCTGCGTCTTCCCGCTCGCTCGCCTGCTCCGCACGGACCGTGCCTGCCGCCTGCTCGCTCACTGCCTTCTCCCAGCTCTCGCTCGCGCCCCGCCCTCCTGCGGCCCCGCCCTCTGGCAGCTGACGTCAGAGCGCCGGCAGCAGCACCCTGGTCACGTGGCCAGCCTGTTGCCATGGCAACCCGCTAACTCATCACCTCGCCTCAATTCGCACAGGGTCGCGGCGTGACCACGCCAGCAGCTCCAGGCAGGCACCGGGGCAGGCCTACATCTGGCATGTAAAACCCCAGGCCACCCTGCAGCCCCCCTCGCAGACTCGCCTTGTCTGAAAACCAGCTCTTCCTCTAACCATTTCCTTTCCGACCCGTGCTGCCACTGCAGCTGTGTACACAAAAGAACGATTCATGCAAAGGGGTGTGGGAGACCCTTTAACTCCTTCAATACCAAGTTTTTATGCCATGACAATTAAACTTGGTCAGGTTTCAGAAAAACCTAAAAAGGACCTGGTGGCCAGCTTGTAGAAAAGGTATCAGACTAAGGTTAAAATTTCTGCCTTTCTCCCTTTCTCCAAATAGCAGCAACCATCTCCCCAAAAACAAGCCAAAAAGCTAAAAACCTACAAGGAAGCTGTATTTCCTTCTAATCAATGTAGCCTTTAATAATGTGAGGATTAAAGATGGCAAATTAAGAGATCATCTGTACAAAGGAATCCCCAAAGAGGGTTTTTCTTTTAAAAAAAGATAACCACCATTTTACCAGTTACCCAAAACCCTCCAATTCAAATTCTTTATGCTGCCTCCTGATACAGATCATTAATTCATTGACATTTATTCTATTTCCATTTGAATTACAAAAGTGATCACCTCACTTAGTATTTGAAAGTGCTTAACATTCAAGCTGTTCTATATCCTTGCAATACCGCTTTCAAATATATTGGCTATGTGACAGATACTATTATTATTCCCATTTTAAAGATGAGTAAACTAGTAAGATTAAGTAAACTGCTTAAGGTCACACAGCTAGGAGTGGTGAACTGGAGCTTCCAAGTGACATGGTTTTATCAATGTGACTGGACAGTAATGATCTGTAATGTGAGCTCAATAAATATTATAAATCAAGGTAAGAATCAAGTACTTCCAAGATGACTGTTGTGAAAAGATAACTGTGAACAGAATTGCTAGCACTGTGCAGTCTACGGATTAGATTATAAACTGAAAAGACCCTGCATATGTTCAGTACTGTCCTCCAGAGAGGAGAGATTTTTTTTTTATTATTATTTTTTAGAGGCAGAGTCTCGCTCTGTCACCCAGGCTGGAGTGCAGTGGCGCAATCTCAGCTCACTGCAACCTCCGCCTCCTGGGTTCTAGTAATTCTCCTGCCTCAGCCTCCTGAGTAGGTGGGATAACAGGCGCACGCCGCCACACCCAGCTAATTTTTGTATTTTAGTAGAGACAGGGTTTCACCGAGTTGCTCAGGCTGGTCTTGAACTCCTGAGCTCAGGCAGTCCACCCGCCCCAAAGTGCTAGGATTACAGGCATGAGCCACCACGCCCAGCCAGGAGAGATTTTGAAGGATTCTTTGCTTATCAGCAGTGGTCTCTGACCTTTTATAGGGTGAAAAGGGAAGAATTGGGGTGTAAAAGATACAGCATAAATATATGTGTCATAAAGTATTAAGCTATGACTCACTCCTTCACATCACTGTATGGTTTATCAGCTTTATCATTTTGTGATACAGATATTAAAAACAAGTAAACACTTTGTCATTCCTGACAATTCTTCAGCATATGTCCCTGGTAATAAGTTATTTCTGGTATCAAGTTTCTGGAATTAGAATCAAATGTTTTACAACCCAGATGGTAAGGATAATCTCAAACAAGGGGCCCTACTTATTTTCCTTCCTATTTTATACTTTCCTCTTGGGCTATTATTTTAATAATTTTATCTTTTGCTTCTCCAGTTAGTCCACAGTGCACAAGTTGATTCCTTCGTCCACATCTCACTTTACATAAGATTTTTTTTCTTATACAATCAGATCCAATTCTGACCTAAGACTTACAAGGTACACAGATGAATATCTAAGTATCAAAGATACACACCAAGCTTCACATTGCACTATGAGCTAAAGGGGCATGAGAGTGTAGTCATTCTTGCAAAGACCCATGCTTCCTCTTACTGTTTCTGTTACTTGACCTGCTGCTGTCAATTTCCTTACTAATTTGCTTCCTTTCACAAAACTTCCCCTTTTTGGGGGGACAGTCTGAAATTGAAAGGCACAGTCTACAAATCAAATATTTAATGTCCTCAGAGTATGTTCTCAATCTGGGTTCTTTAGTACAGATCACTTTTCCATGATCCCATATTTAAGTAGTATGTAAAACATAATTTGTGTCATTGTGGGGACTAAATTTGTCAGAATTTGAATGCATAGTTCATTGATCATACCAACTAATTTTGTGGAGAGAACACACCCACTTTGTTTCTAGTCTGCTCATGAAGGAAGGGATGGGATGATGGCCAAGAATTTGGGCTGATGGTCTAAAAAGGGAGGGGCTGTGAGTCAGGTGAAGGGCCCCAAGGGCCGCGTAAATCTTCCTCTAAGACTGCTCTGAGCCACACTACTATAAAGGGACCCACAGAACTCCAGAGACCAGTGATTACCCTCTGAGATGCAGGGGTAACAGGGGTAATAATTTGAAAATATTAAACAGATGTGTTTTCATTCCTCTCCTCATAAATCAGGTTACCTGGAAGCCATTTTCCAGCTGAGCCCTAGGGAAAAGGGAGGGCAAATTCCACTTTGGGAAGCGGAATGGTACGATGTAGGAAAAGTACAGAAAATTCAGGAAGGATGAGGGAAGAATTCACTCTTTCCAGCCCCAAGTGAGGGTAGAAAGAATGGATGAAGGCAGAGCAAGGAAGGGCCTCCCAGCTTCAGGTCTCCAGGCTCAAATCCCAGAAGGGAGACATTGGATAGGCTGAAGGCAAAGCCTAAACCTAAGGGACTTCCTTTTGCATCATTTCCCATTTGATACTCTAGGAAACCACTGCCATAAAGAGGGTCTCCCCAACACCAAGCAAGGTGTAGCTTCATCACAGTAAAGACTAAAATCAGTAGCTTAGTATGGTTAAGGAGAGGGTTGGCTTAAATTTCACTCTCAGACTCTTCTTTTGCTAGCATGCCATGTAGAAGATATCTAGAAGTTTCTGTCCGTCCTGTAAGGGGATAATCAGGAAGTGGAGGAGATGTTGCTATCAGAGGGCTGAGTTTGTGATGGTGGTGGTGGTAGAGGGTGTCAGGAGGGAGTGTCTTTACAGCAGAGGTGAAGTGATATTTAAGTGGGTCCACAGGATGGAACATTTAAGGCAGAGCCCAAATAGGAGAAATAGCTAGCTCTGAGGAATCTACACAGGGGCAAGGGCCACATCTGTAGAGAGAGAGATACTACAGCTGTAGGGGTCAGCATAGACCACCAGCAGAGTGCCCATGGATGAGATCAGACCAGTGACTCCTCAGCAGACTCAGATATTACAAGCCCAAGAACCAGCATGAGACCAGGAGGCCCCTACTCTCCCAACCCTGTTGTGCTCCTATAAGCCCCACTCACATATTCCTACAGACACCATCTTGCAGAGGGGCTGGGGAAAGGAAAGATATATAGAGATCGAATAGTCACCCAAGAGATGAAGCCATCCATCCAAAGATGGTCTAAAATGGAAGAGGCTGTAATACTGTGAACTAGCAAGTTTAAGACTATTTCCGGTTCCCCACTACCCAGCAGGGTAGGGAGAATTACCCAGGTCATCCTAAGGGAAAAAAAAAATAAGCTAAAATGTGTTTGTACGTATGACTGTGGATTTAGGTTTTGTCTTATGTACACAGGCATATCTAAAATAAAGCATGTGCTGGCATATCTAAAATAAAGCATGTGCTGACCATTGCCCTTCACCTCCAACTGCCTATTGGAAAATAACTCCTGTCACCAAGCATCAGCATTAAAGAGGGGGCCTGGGGCCTGGGATTGACTTCACCAGATGCAGGTTCTATGACCTTGGCAAGTTACTTTGTATCTCTAACATTTAGTTTCCTCATCGATAAAGTAGGGTAATAATGCTGGTTTCTCCATAGTGCTGCTGTGGAGATGGAGATTAAATTATATAATGTATTTAAAGCACTTAACCCAGTGGCTATACAGCAAATGCTCTTTAGTGGTAAATGTAATTTTTAAGTAACATGTTAGGCATATCCTAAAACATTCATTCATCCATTTGAAACTTAAAACTGGCTTCCTTGTATACTAGGAGCTGGTAAAAAAAAAAAAGCCTCAGGCTTTCACTTCAAGGAACTCTCAGTGTTGTAGGTGAGCAAGGGTAAAAATAATTGTCAATTATGATTACAACACAAGTGCTACAGCAATGGTGCAACATAGGGTGGGATGGGACCATCGAAGGTGAGCACCTAAGTCAGAATGGAAACTTGGAAGTAGGTCCGAAAAGTACACCTAAAATCTTGGATGAGTAATAATAATAGTAACCTTTTTCTTTATAGTTCATTTTCTATGCACCAGACAGAATGTGAGACCCCTTAGAGCAAGGGCTTCAGGAGTTTTGTTCACCGCTCTATCTGCAGTTCCTAGAACAGGACCTGGCAGATAGTAGGCACTCAATGAATATATAATCAATTCATTTATTCAACAAATATCATTTGATTTGATTCTCACAACAACCCTAATGAGAAAACATTAAGCTCAAAGAGAAGCAACTCATTCAGGATTGGATATTAGGTTTTCTTAGCCCAAAAGTTCACATGCTTATCCATTAGGCTATATTGTCATTTAAAAGAGGAATGGCAGTGTAGAGGGAAGATAAAGGGCTTTTCATGCAACTATTCCTACATACAGAGGTAGGGAAGGTTATAACATCTCTCGGAAACAGCAGGCTGTTTAGTATGGACGGCAAACACAGTGGTAGGAGATGGGGCAAGGATGAAGGTGCAGAAAGGTCTTATGGCCAAGCTAAGGAGCTTGATCTTAATTCTGAAGGTGACCTGGAACCACAAAGTGCCATAGGAAGGGAAATTTACGGTGACACTTGCACCATAACAAAAAAGTCTGATGTTGACAGTAGTATGGTGGATATACTGAAGAAGCAGTTTAGGTCTTCATCACTCTTTGACTTATTTTGAAGACCTAAACTAAACAGAGGCAAGGGGTCGTAAAATTCATGGGGTATAACTCAGGATTTGGTGACTAATTGGATGTGGATGCAATCGTCGGTGGGAGTTAAGAGTGGGTAATGAAGGAGGAAGAGACATCTCAAATGAATCCCAAGTGTATGGCTTGAGTGGCCAAGTAGATAATAGTACCATTTATCAAGCTAAGGAATACAGATTAAATTGTTCTTTTGCGATAAAGTTTCTCATAATGTGTTTTGGACATAGAGAAGTACCTCTAGAACATGCTAGTGGTAAATACTAGCATGTAGTATGGGTGTTCACTAAGTATTTGTTGAATAAGGGAATATATAGGTCTTAATGTGATGAGGTGTGTTTGACTTGGAGACACATATTATTTGGAGGAAGTTACGTAACAGGTGGTCATTACAGCTGTGAGCGCTCTCATTCAGGGGGAAAGAGAAGACCCGAGATGAAACTCTTTAAAGGCTGATGATAAAAGAGAAACCTGCAAAAAGAGACTGTGAAGGGTTTTACCTAGTAGGGCAAATCACAGGAAGGAGTGATTTCAGTGGGCCCATAGGAGAAGCAGGTCTCACAAAGGAGGGAGAGGTCTCTAAGGTCAAATGTCACAGAGAGTATGAATCAGATAAGGAAAGAGATATGTTTACTAGATTTGATAAGATGTTCTTAAAGATATTTTTAAGAGGCTGGGTTTCAGGTCAGACACATCAATAACTACTGAAGAAAATAATGAAATCTTTTAACAGGTAGGAGGCACTGCAATTTTTTTTTATTTTTATTATACTTTAAGTTTTAGGGTACATGTGCACAATGTGCAGGTTAGTTACATATGTATACATGTGTCATGCTGGTGTGCTGCACCCATTAACTCGTCATTTAGCATTAGGTATATCTCCTAATGCTATCCCTCCCCTCTCCCCCCACCCCACAACCGTCCCCAGAGTGTGATGTTCCCCCTCCTTTGTCCATGTGTTCTCATTGTTCAATTCCCACCTACGAGTGAGAACATGCGGTGTTTGGTTTTTTGTCCTTGCAATAGTTTACTGAGAATGATGATTTCCAATTTCATCCATGTCCCTACAAAGGACATGAGCTCATCATTTTTTATGGCTGCATAGTATTCCATGGTGTATATGTGCCACATTTTCTTAATCCAGTCTATCATTGTTGGACATTTGGGTTGGTTCCAAGTCTTTGCTATAGTGAATAGTGCCGCAATAAACATACGTGTGCATGTGTCTTTATAGCAGCATGATTTATAGTCCTTTGGGTATATACCCAGTAATGGGATGGCTGGGTCAAATGGTATTTCTAGTTCTAGATCCCTGAGGAATCACCACACTGACTTCCACAATGGTTGAACTAGTTTACAGTCCCACCAACAGGGTAAAAGTGTTCCTATTTCTCCACATCCTCTCCAGCACCTGTTGTTTCCTGACTTTTTAATGATTGCCATTCTAACTGGCGTGAGATGGTATCTCATTGTGGTTTTGATTTGCATTTCTGTGATGGCCAGTGATGGTGAGCATTTTTTCATGTGCCTTTTGGCTGCATAAATGTCTTCTTTTGAGAAGTGTCTGTTCATGTCCTTTGCCCACTTTTTGATGGGGTTGTTTGTTTTTTTCTTGTAAATTTGTTTGAGTTCATTGTAGATTCTGGATATTAGCCCTTTGTCAGATGAATAGGTTGCGAAAATTTTCTCCCATTTTGTAGGTTGCCTGTTCACTCTGATGCTAGTTTCTTTTGCTGTGCAGAAGCTCTTTAGTTTAATTAGATTCCATTTGTCAATTTTGGCTTTTGTTGCCATTGCTTTTGGTGTTTTAGACATGAAGTCCTTGCCCATGCCTATGTCCTGAATGGTAATGCCTAGGTTTTCTTCTAGGGTTTTTATGGTTTCTAACGTTTAAGTCTTTAATCCATCTTGAATTAATTTTTGTATAAGGTGTAAGGAAGGGATCCAGTTTCAGCTTTCTACATAGGATGGCTAGCCAGTTTTCCCAGCACCATTTATTAAATAGGGTATCCTTTCCCCATTGCTTGTTTTTCTCAGGGTTGTCAAAGATCAGATAGTTGTAGATATGTGGCGTTATTTCTGAGGGCTCTGTTCTGTTCCATTGATCTATATCTCTGTTTTGGTACCAGTACCATGCTGTTTTGGTTACTGTAGCCTTGTAGTATAGTTTGAAGTCAGGTAGCATGATGCCTCCAGCTTTGTTCTTTTGCTTAGGATTGACTTGGTGATGTGGGCTCTTTTTTGGTTCCATATGAACTTTAAAGTAGTTTTTTCCAATTCTGTGAAGAAAGTCATTGGTAGCTTGATGGGGATGGCATTGAATCTGTAAATTACCTTGGGCAGTATGGCCATTTTCACGATATTGATTCTTCCTACCCATGAGCATGGAATGTTCTTCCATTTGTTTGTATCCTCTTTTATTTCCTTGAGCAGTGGTTTGTAGTTCTCCTTGAAGAGGTCCTTCACATCCCTTGTAAGTTGGATTCCTAGGTATTTTATTCTCTTTGAAGCAATTGTGAATGGGAGTTCACTCATAATTTGGCTCTCTGTTTGTCTGTTATTAGTGTATAAGAATGCTTGTGATTTTTGTACATTGATTTTGTATCCTGAGACTTTGCTGAAGTTGCTTATCAGCTTAAGGAGATTTTGGGCTGAGACAATGGGGTTTTCTAGATATACAATCATGTCATCTGCAAACAGGGACAATTTGACTTCCTCTTTTCCTAATTTGAATACCCTTTATTTCCTTCTCCTGCCTAATTGCCCTGGCCAGAACTTCCAACACTATGTTGAATAGGAGTGGTGAGAGAGGGCATCCCTGTCTTGTGCCAGTTTTCAAAGGGAATGCTTCCAGTTTTTGCCCATTCAGTATGATATTGGCTGTGGGTTTGTCATAGATAGCTCTTATTATTTTGAGATACGTCCCATCAATACCTAATTTATTGAGAGTTTTTAGCATGAAGGTTGTTGAATTTTGTCAAAGGCCTTTTCTGCATCTGTTGAGATAATCATGTGGTTTTTGTCTTTGGTTCTGTTTATATGCTAGATTACATTTATTGATTTGCGTATATTGAACCAGCCTTGCATCCCAGGAATGAAGCCCACTTGATCATGGTGGATAAGCTTTTTGATGTGCTGCTGGATTCAGTTTGCCAGTATTTTATTGAGGATTTTTGCATCAATGTTCATCAAGGATATTGGTCTAAAATTCTCTTTTTTGGTGACCACTGCAATTTTTCATAAAAACATGAATTTTATGACTGAAGCAAGATATTCCAGGAAGAGATATACTAAATCAAGGGTGTATCTAACGTATCTGCAACTAATGGGAATCAGCAACTATCTGTACTAAAAAGCTCCCAGCAATACAGGAAGGATATGTTAATTAATGACCAACTGTTAGGCATCAGATGAATTGATCCTACTTTCAGGCCCCTCTTGAGGTCTAGATCCACCAAAAATAAAAAACAAACAAACAAACAAACAAATGTTTAAAGTGCCTGTTTGGAGAGCTGGATTTCTAAAATGGACCCAGAGGATACAGAGCTGGAAGCATGAGAACAGGGAGCCAAAAATAAACAAAAAAACAAAACAAAAAAAAACCCAGGAAGAGGTCCCAGCACACAGGTGCAATTGAGGAAGACTGAACCCTGGCATTAACTCGAATTTTAATTTCGAGTCCCTAGCTTATAGCACAATCATGTTTCTCTTAGAACTTAGGCCAGAGAGTACAAATAATTCTGTATTGACAGAAATCATCATCCCTCCACTTCTCCAACACATATGGTTCATCTAGAACAGGGATTTTTGCATTGCCTTGGACTTGAGAAATTCTCAACTATGATAGCAGAGAAGACATGAATTCCCTAGCCAGGAATGAATGTTAATCTTGACTCAATCCCAGAAACACCTACTCATCACATGAATGCCTTTTTTCAGGTTAAAAATGTGTTCACTGAAGCTGATAATCACTGCTGTCAAAGGCATTCACAGCTGTCACATCACCTTAGATCGGGGCTTCCTTAGATCATTATCACCTCAAATACAGACAGAAGATTCCACTTAGCAGTCACCTCTGCTGGCTCAGGACAAGCCATTTCCCCCATGTGTATATTTTAAGATATTTTCCAGTAGGGAATGGCAGGTACAGTAGTTATCAATGGCTGAAATATATGCTCCACACCCAAAATGATAGCAGTGAAAAAGTATATGGTTGGCCAGCCAGTGGTACCGGCACTGAAATTGCACTGGTGGCACAGAAATGTATTTGAGATTGGTTCTTCCTCACTACCTTTCACCCAGAGGCATAGGAAGATTTTATTAGTTCTTCTGGATCTGGTGAAATTTCCATGACATGCAAATACCTCCTGGCCTTAAGTAATAGCATTTTATTTTAAAAAAAATTGGTGAATAATGTTTTCCTCCAGATGAAGAAAGCCTCTTCAAAACCAACATGCACAGGTATGCTCCTCTAGAATTGACTTTTGAGATTACTTGTCTTTGCAGATTATTTATGCTCAAAAGGCAGAATTTTTAAGTCTCATACTTGCTAGCAAAATAGCAAGGTGTCCATGATGTGAAAACACAGAACATGCCATTGCATGAGACAAGATTTCTCTCTGTGTTGGAATTTATTTCTAATCTGCTTTTTCTTAGATTTTCTCAAGCTTGGATTTAATTTTGTAGAATAACTCATAGAACATGATGTGAATGCAATTTAAAAATACTCAGAGCATTATGATTTCTGTAATCATTCAATCAAATCTGTACAATGTGAGGTTTCAGTCTATTAAACAAAAATGTACTTTTGAATTATACCATCTGGCTAAATTTAAGAGCTTTAAATGTGTTTTCCATAAAAATACAATGTGATAAAAGTTATAATGAAAAGTGTATTAAGTATTAGGAATATAGAAAAGAAAGTAGTCAGGCCTGGGGACACTAGAAAAGCTTCATTAAGATAGTAATATTTTAATTAGTCCTCAATCATTCATTCTACAAATATTTATTGAGAACTTACTATGTGCTAGGAACAATTCTAGACATCAGAGATGCAGAAATTTGTAGACAAAATTCCCTGAACTTACACTTGAGTGTATGAGCAAGTGTATGTGGTAGGGTCAGGAGACAGACAATATATAAGTAAAATATGTAGTGTGTCAGATGGTGGCAAATGCTATAGAGACAACTAAAGCAAGGAAGGAGGACTTGGACTGCAGAGGAAGGGTGTTGTAATTTTAAATGGGGTGACCAGGGTAGACATTCCTGAAAAGATAATCTTTAATCGATGACCTGAGAGAGGTGAGGGACATAGACCTGTGATATCAGAAGAATATTTCAGGTAGAGCCAACAGAAAGTGCAAAGGCCCTGAGGTAGGAGCATGATTTGTTCAAGAAACATTAAGGAAGTCAGGTCACATGTATGTAGCACAGTGAGTGTGAATGTGTGCGTATTGTGGGGATGGGAGAGATAACTGTAGAAGATAAGGTCAGAAAGATCACAGAGAAACCAGAATGTGCAGGGCTTTTAAAGTCTGTTGTAAAGAACTTGGCTTAAAACCAAAGTTAGAAACCAGGCATTTGCAGGAGTGTTAGTAGTGGCAACAGAGATGTGGAATATTCTCTAATCACATTAATAGCAACACCTAATATTTGAATACTTTTTATGGGCCAAGTGCTATGCTTAACAATGAGGAGGTACTTTATTCTCACAAGAAAGGGGGCTATTCTAAGTCCCAATTGTCACAGGAGGTAACTAGTTCAATAACTTAGCCAAATAACCAGACAGGAAGTGGCAGAGCTGAGCACAAACACACTTGCCAGATGTCAAACATGTCATTCTTTTTCCCTAGCTCAGTCTACCTTCCACTAAGGTCTGATTAACCTGGAAGGAAGAATGCAGAATCCAGGGTGGGGAGTGGCAGGGATGAGATAGCTGATGGTTGCAGAGGCAAGAGACTGCTGCCATAAAACGGCACTTCCGTGTAGGAAGCAAGGAAATAAAAACATACAAGGGCTGAGAGACAGAGAGAATAAAAAGGACCCAGGGATGGGAGGCTGTACAGGATAGCAGTATCCATGAGGGTGAGAGATTGAAAGAAATGGAGGGAGAGGAGCTGTAAATTATGGTTAAGAAAAAGGGAGGGGGAAGGAGGAAGAAATGCTAGGATTTGGTGTTAGCAGTATATGTGATTGATAGAGAAAAAAATAATTTTCTTGTCCTTATATAGTGATTAGCTATTTTATTTCTCAGTAAGCGTCAGCTAGCAATGTCCATTTCTTTGATACCTTCTGGAGGGAAAGGAAACTGCAGGCATTTTTTTGGTATTTGTATTCAAAGCTACAATCTGCTTTCATTTTCACTATGCCAAGACTGTTATAATTCAACCATCCAGATACAGACATGTCTATTTGAGTGCTCTCGTTAAAACGTGTCTATGTCCAATTTTATGAAATTCCTCTATTTCCTTTCTCTATTTTATTTCCATCTTAAAATAAAATGCATCTTGTTGAAGTGACTGCATAGGACAGCTAAAAGGGATTAAAAGGCACCTTGGGCTCAGTTGGGTGGCAAGAGAAATGAAGAGACTCCAAGTACTGCTAACAAATAAATTATCTTGCAGACGATTCAGAAGCTTCCCAGAGAAGATTTCCTTAGGGTTCTTAAAAATCAACTAACTCACTGGGCTTTATTTCTGACTTTGATATTAAAGAGTGCAAGCTGAGTGGCAACTCCTTAATATACATACAAAGGAAGTCAGGAGAAAGTGGGGCAATGGTCATTCCATCAGGTACCAGGGACTTCCAGAGTTCCAGAGCTACTCAGAACCCAGGCCATCAAGTGGCAACCAGGGACATTGGAAGGAAGCGTCTTCCTGAGCCTGGAACTTCTCTGTCAAGTCTGGTGTGTACCATGGCAGAGCTATGGCTTCTGGATGGCTCCTCGACAGCGTGTCAAGGGAACATGAGGCCGGCAGCTGGAAAGCAGTGTGAGTAATGGAAGAGAAATTCCTCATTTTCTGACCTCATCCAAATAAAATTTTTAAAAAGAAAATTAAAGCAGCTTATTTCATTAGGAAAAAAAATGCAACTGGAAATCATGAAGTAAGACTAAGTTTCCCATCAGAAATGTTTTAATTAGAGCTTATGTTTTGTTTCCTCAAGTGCTTAGACACCAAGCATCTTCCTATTCTCAATTCACATTGACTCAACATGTACAGAAAGTAGAAATGAAGGGTCCAACTGCATAGTGTAGCACATGAAAACATAATGGGCCTCCTTTAAGAAGCCTCCATTTAACTTCTACATAAAGGAATCAGCCCCCTAGGAAAACCAGAGGTCTTAGTCTTAATATGTGAGACATAATGAGTTAATAGTTAGCTGATAGATCTAGAATCAATGCTTGGAATGAACTTCTCTACACAGCCTGTCTTCACGCCATTCCCACCAGCCCACAATTCCAGTCTCACTGGGACAGATCCTATCTGCCTTCAATGATGCAATGAAATCATGAATGAGAAATAATGGCTTGCAGTATAAAGAGCATGCACAGTGAACATTATTTTGTTTGCTCCTCCCTCTTTCGGGAAATTATTTCTTCAATCCTTGTGGTTGTAGCAGAGCTTGCCAAATATAATTATTCCATCCTCCAGACCCTGAGGATTGATGCAGAGATAGGCCTATGACCCAAATCAGGTCATTTAGAATAGTTCTCTAGGTTTTTCTAAAATTAGAGCTGTAATGTGTATGTGTTTGGGGGGTTGGGGGATGTTATCTTCCTTATAAAAGTTAGTACTGGGGAATTAAGAAAATATAGTATACATTATATATTTACTATATTTTGCATAGAAGAATAGCAAAATTCAGAGTTCATGGTTTTGATGCATATGCTTTGGATTTGAATCCAAGTGCTTACAAGTTGTGTAACCTTGGCCAAATTACTTAACTCCTCTAGCTTCAGCTTCTTCACCCATAAAACAGGTATAATAAGATTTGTAAGGTAACATTTTGAGATATAAACCTAGGTTCCTGCCTTGCCCCTGTGGCCATAATTTTTTCTTACCCTTCCATTCTAGAGGTTGGATTTATTTCTCCTCCCTTTGAATCATGGTGGCAGCTTTGATCAATAGATTTTGGTAGAAATGATGCCGACCAGTTCTTGACCTAGACCTTACAATGACAGGCAGCTTTTGCCTTTGTCTCTTAAAGGTCAGCTGCCCTGTGAGAAGTTCAGCTACCCTGGGACTACCATGCTGCTCTGTAAGAAGGCAGGTCTGCTGCCCTGTGAGAAGTCTAGCTACTCTGGGGGAAGTACCAACCATGTAGAGAGGCCCAGAGGGTGGGACACATGGAGAGGGAGGGGAAGAGAGGAGAGACCACAAAGAGTACCAAGGCTCCAAATATGTGACTGAGGAAGCATCCTGCATCTTCACCCACCACAGCTGACACTATATGGATATATGGATTAGAAAGGACCCACCTAACCAAGACCTTCCTGAACTCCTGGTCCACAAAACCATAATGTAGGACAAATGGTTATTTTAAGTTAATAAGTTTTGTGGTAGGCTGTTATGCATTAACAGATAACAGAAAAACCCTGTTGGTTCTCTATTGTGACTCTAAACTTGGTGGATTAAAATAGCAATAATCATTTTATTATTATCTCTTGTCATTCTGGAGGTTGACTGGGCTTGGCTAGGTGGTTGTCACCCATGGTCTCTCATGTAGCTATGGTTGGAAGGTGACTGACTGCTGAAGTCTTCATAAAGGCTTCCTCAGTCTCATGACTGGTGGCTGACGTTGCCTTTTAATTGGGGCCTCAGCTGGGGCTCTGGTTGGAACACCTATGCAAGGCTTCCCCATGTGGCCTGGGCTCCTCACAGCATGGTGGCTGGGTTCCTAGCACAAGCATCCCTAATGAGCAGGCAGAAGGGCATGGCAGTTTTAAAACCTAGTCTTGGAAGTCACAGAGCATCACTTCCATTGTATTTTGCTGGTCAGGGCTGCCACAAAGTTCCACCCAGATTCAAGAGGAAGGGCTATCAACACCACTGGTAACATAACTAGGAGGAATGTCAATCTCACACTGCAAGAAAACCTGTGGGATGGGAGAGATTGTAGTAACCCACTTTGGAAAACCTGCCACACACACCTGCTGAACCTTCTTTACTCGCTGAGTTTTCAGCATGGGGCAGGAATGCAAGAGAGGAAGAAAAGAATGAATGTTCAACTTCGGAGTTTCAAAATCAACTTGTAAGCCCATGGCAGAGAAAAAACCCTGAAGAAATGTTTATGAGCCTCAGAGTCTCATTTTCAAGTATCAAAAGCTTAAGATCTTTCAAAGATTCAGAAACTAAAGTTCGTACTATAAGCCACAAGACTACATGACTGGTTAGAGATGTTGGGTTAGGAGCTGGTGAGTGTCCTTGAAGAGGGACTCTGCCTGCTCTCCTATCCCCAGCCATGCCCATGGGAATTTGAGAGTAGAGGGAACCTGTCCTCTGCTTTATATCTGGAAACTGAGGGATGCCAAAGCCACACAGAAGGTCCCTAGTCACCTTGGCACAGGAACAGCGGGGTACAGATGCAGGTAAACTGTTTAGGGCAACAGCAGTTTTTCCACAGAGCTAGCAAATATTTTTGGGGAGGGAGAAAGAACAAACCTGACCCCATGTGGTAGTGACAAACATCAACAGAAAAGAACAGGCCTCTGCAGACTGCGCCTGTTTTCATGGGGAGGGTTGCCATGGAAGCAACTAAAAAAAAAAAGTCAAATCTCCATTCAGGTTTCCAAAAGCACCTTGTAAAAATGTGAGACTGTGGTGTGGTGTCCATATTCATCGCTGCATTCTCTCACTTGCTGAATAAGCAGGTCAGAGGCATGCACAGAAATTAGGTTGCGGCCATTGGTTTAGACAATACACAGTACATTTAATGAGGAAGCTTCTCTCCTACTTGGCTCCCTCTCCAGATCTCCTGCTTGAGCTAAACTGATAGCCAGCACTTAGCTTTGAATCCTCAGAATGTTTTTCCCTCTCTACCCATCTGTCTGATTCAGACATCATACCTGTTCATTTCACAGGGGGACAGGTATGTCCTGCCCATTCCTCTCCCGCTGCTCACACCCTGCTTCAGACACGCTCCTTCCTCTCACCTACCTCATGAGTCTCTCTAGAGAGGTTTCCTTGCTTCACAATCAATTCACATCTCACCACCAGCTCTATCTTCCCTCCTTTCATTTTTAGAAGTCTTCAGGGGTTCCCTATCATTTCAAGACAAAAATTCTAAGTTTTTCTTTTGGCACTGTAAAACCTAACTACCTTTAGAAACTTATGCCCCACCGTGTATAGAAAGAGTAAGATTGAATTTGGTTTCGGCCTAACCTGGAATGTTAGTTTTGCCACCTGGTATCAGCATAAGCAAAGCTTCCTCTGTACTTGGTAAACAAAGAGAAGAACCTGTAAACATTCCTATTTGGAATCCTTCATAAATGCTCTTGGAAGAATCTATTACTACATCTGATTATTCCACTGGACTATGTTCAGTGGAACTGCTAGACTTCTAAGCTACTGTTTGAAAATAACTTCAGCTTGCTTTATTAAAAAACTACAGAGAGGACGGCAATTTAGTGAAATGAATTCTGATGATGTAAATGTTAACAGTATCCGAGTTGTTACCTCTGAGTCCCTGTCCTCCTAGGGTGAAGAGCACATAGAGTTGGGAACATTCAGCCACGACTGTCTCATCTTTATAACTGCTTTAATTACAATCGAGTACATCATTAAAGTCAGAATCACAATGTTTTAAGCTCATTAAAATATCAGCTAAAAAATTCATAGGGGATTATTGGCTGGAAGAAATGAAAAGTTATAGCATTGCTATTTCCTATTGATGGTTAGAACATGCAAAGATCCACAGAGGGTAAGTTTTGAGGCTGGATGACAAGCTCCAAAAAAAGTTTCTTTGGCCAGTCACTTACATTTGGACACAACAGGCTGAACAGCAGCTTCACATTCTGCACGCAAAACACTCAACTCTGGGTAAAGTAAATCATTCCACAAGTGGCCTCCTTCCACATTCACAGTACTTGAGAAGAGTTCCTGAAACTTGGACACAGTGCTGTGGAGCAGAGCCAAGAAACTTCACAGTGGTTATGAAACAGCTGCAAATCCATGCTTATGTCATGCTTTGTACAAATACTCTATAAAGGACACATTTGATCAAGAGTAGAAATATGGCTTTGCTAGTACTAATCAAGGTGAGAAGCTGGATTTCACTAAAAAGACTTCAGAATAACCCTCTAGTGTTTCCCAATTATATAATTCTAAAATTTATAGTTAACCTGTATTTTTTTATATTTTTCTCACTCACCCTCCAAGCAAATTCATCATTGTATTAATAGCTACTCACAACATGGAGAAAGAAAACAAGCAGCAACGAATTAAAGAATCAGTCCCCTCAGAGGTTAGCACTAGTTTATCTGACAAAAGAGAATGTCCTATAGCAATGAGAGATGTTGCCATCCTTAACATTGTCTATGATATAAAGGACAATACTAAATTTACTGAAAAGGTCTATTTCTAAATTCCCCTTGAATATCAGCCAGGCAAATGTAAGAACCAAATTTTTGCATGATTATAATTCTCTCCAAAATGGGAAATGAAGGTTAAATTAACTTTCAGATCCTGATCTGCAGATACTCGTAGTAAATTTTATTCATCTTCAGATTCTCTTCTTCATTTACTGAATAAAAGCAAGTTATATCGTTATCAATAGAACTGAAATAGGTTCATTTGCATAAAATGCTTTGTTCTACTTCATTCTGAAGAAAACAGCATTTATAGTCAAAAGGCTTTCAGCAACTATTGCAAAAGATACTTCATGAGTCAAGGATGCTGTCAGAGCATGAATAAAAGGGAGAGGGACACAGAGTTCATCATTTACAGAGGGGTTGGAGAAAATCTCTATTCCTCCTAGTTTCAAGTTAGGAGTTTAAAAACCTTTAGGAACGAGGACAAAGACCTGAAAGTTGCTAAAAATCCCAGCTCATGGTACCAGAACAAGATAGCTCCAGAACTCTGAGTGCTTCTAATGCAATAACACTTGGGCACTTTCCCCCTGCTACAAACCAAATCATTGAAAGGTGTCTGATAGAGCCAGCATACACTGTTAGCCTGAAGCATCAACGCTTTGTTTATATGAACATTATGACCAAAAAATTATGTTATTTAACTTATTTTTTACTGTGCCCTACGGTGGTTCTTTATGGTAGTATATTTGACATTTGTGATTAAATAAAAAACAAATTTAGGTTGTCATATTCTTATTACGGTACATACTTGACAATATTTGACAATATAGTAAAATGGTTATATTTTGATTCCTCAGCTATCCTGGAGACATAGTACTCAGTGAAAAACAGCAAGGCATCAGTAAATAAAAAAATTAAGAATTATCCTGGGCATCATTTAGTCAGTGGCTTCAGTTTCAATTATCTCTTTAATGAATCTAAAAATATTATTCATCTTTGCTTCATATTCATTTTTTAACCTGTCCTCTTCAGAACATCTACTGGACCACCAAATCTTACCAATTCTTCTCCAATTGCCTCTCTCAATCTTTCATTTCCAACAGATTCATGTTACCTGAAATGTAGACAACTGCAATAACTTCCAAGAATCTCTCTACTTCTATTCCCCTTCCTTCCAATCCATTAATATATGTAAACAATTTATATATATATATGTATATATATATATATTTTTTGCGAAGGAGTCTCGCTTTGTTGCCCAGGCTAGAGTGCAGTGGCGCAATCTCTGCTCACTGCAAGCTCTGACCCCTGGGTTCATGCCATTCTCCTGCCTCAGCCACCCGAGTAGCTGGGACTACAGGCGCCTGCCACCACACCTGGCTAAATTTTTGTATTTTTAGTAGAGACGGGGTTTCACAGTGTTCACCAGGATGGTCTTGATCTCCTGACCTCATGATCCACCCACCTCGGCCTCCCAAAGTGCTGGGATTACAGGTGTAAGCCACCACGCCCGGCCAACAATTTATATTTTTAATAAGACAGACACATGTTAAAAATTGAGGAACAGAATGTATAATATGAAAAGTAAACATCTTTCTTAACTATTATCCTTTGCCTTTACCCAATCCCATTTTAAAGAGTTAATGTTTTTAAACTTATTTCTGTTTTTAGTTTTTCTGAGCTTATGAGTGTCACTCTAAAAATTCAGGTATATTCTATTCTTATCAACACAGTATCTATTTTGTATTATAAAAGAAATTTATAGTGCTTCTATTACACATTTTAATTACTTCTCACCTCCCCTCTGAATTTTATTGGTAATAGTTTTAATTATTCTAGTGGTTACTTTTACAACCTTTAAGTAAAATTCTTAAAATTATATTTCTTGGCTGATTCCAAGGCACAGTACCTGTTGACTCTCTACTGTGTTTTCTTGCAGCCTTTCCTACTTTGAATTTGTATGGTTTTCTCATTGTGTTTTCTTTATAAAAATGACTAGCATCTACATTATGTTCTGTGACTATGGTTATCTTCCCTGTTTTGACACAGATTGCTTCTAAGCTTGAAATCTAGTAAAGAGGATTTATGATTATGTAATTTCTTATCCTCTCCAGAATCAAGTGGTATTACCTCCATAGAGAAGGCAATATAATCCTCTCATTAAATCTTGCAACCCGAAGAATGTTCCAATGAAAACATCAAAGTCAAATGGATTTTTTTCACATGCCATTTATTGTTCAAAAGCATGATTCAATTTAAGATTAAACTTGAATCTTAATATATATTTTTTTCTAGAGCTTTTAACTACTTTTTTATTGACAGAAGAAGCATATACCGTTATCTTATGATAAAAAATACTCAGATTCTAGGTCTAAGTATAAACCATAGAATCTGGGTTTTTCTTCAAAACATTCTGCATGAAACTTACTTACTAATTTGAACAAATTGCTTTGATATCCCTGCTAGCATCCTGGTATTTCTTATACTTCTTGTAATTGGATTCTTTCATTAGTTCCATAGATTTTTAGATGTTATGTTATTCTTTATTTTTTCTCTTTTACTTTGCTGGAGTTCATCTAGAAATTATTTTTTGAGAGATACAGAGACGTAAAGTTTTCAAACCTTTTCATGTTAGAAGTTATCTATTTGTTTTTATATTTTATTGATAGTTGAAATGTCCAAAATCACTTCCCTCAGAACTTTGAAAGCATGGTTCCACTGCTTCTGAGGCTTCAGAATTGCATATTGATGTCTATAACATTCAGGTGATCACTCTTCTGTATGTAATCACTCTTCTCTCTGACCCTCAAGCTCTAACATCTCTTTTATTCTGAAATTTCATGAGGGTGGACCTAGGTTTGGGTTTTTTAAATTCATCGTGGTCAACATTCAGTAGCCTCTTTTAATCTGAATCTTTATGCCTTTATTTCTTTGTCTTCAATGTCTTCTTGAAACTCTTCATAAAGAATGCCAGGCCATTTAGATCATTCTTCTATTTCTCTAATACTTTTCTAGTATTTTCTGTCTTTTCATCTTTTGCTTTATACCCTGTGATACTCTCAGCCACACTAAGTCCAATTGATTTTTGATTTAATTATATTTTTAATTCGCCAAAGCTCTTGCACTTTCTGATTACCTCTTATTCATAGCAACTCTTTTTTTCTGGGAGGAGTGGGGCCGTGAAGTTTAAGGGATGCAATACTTTTTGTCTGTTTAAGGATATTTATTAAACGTTTTCTTCTATTCTCTGAATTACTTCATCTAAATTAGCTATTTTATTTCTTTTTCAATTTTTGCTCTTATTTAGCTGGCAATATAATCCTATGCCCTTTCCATCTTCCAGAACTTTGTCCATTTCTGGTCCCCATTCATGTTTCTGTAAGTGTCATGGATTTGCTCTCCTTTTTAAATTTTGTTATTTCAGTTGAAGAGCTGGGAAGATGGGAGCAAAACTGTATTTAGACTGTCATCTTAAAACTCACGAATTTTTCTAGAATATACTTGCATCATGTTCAACATTTCCCTCATTGTCTAAAATATAAAGCTTAAGTAATGGTCTGGTATTTGGGACTCTGCACAGTTTGACCCTAGCTTATCTTTCTTCCTTAATCCTCCATTATTCACACTAAAGTACCAGGTTCTCTCTGCCCCCTTGAGATGGCCTACATTTCATTTCTCGCCTGGAATGTCCTTTTTCCTTTCATCTACCATTTTACACAGGCAGGCTCGGCTCAAAGACCACATCTTCTGAAGTCTTTTTGAACATTCCAGGATACCCCTAATTCTGTATCAGTTAAAAATATGTATTGAGTTCCATCCAGACAAATAATTCTGTTTCTTGTGCCAGCAATGGCAATTTTTCCAACCAGAATTTTCTTCTCTGCCATTTTTAGTATATAATCTAAAATCATTTTACCTAAATGAAAATTTAAAAGCAAATGCTTCATGTTTTTATGTCTCACTATACAACGAAAATATCAAATTTATGGACACAGCTTTTTAAATAAAGTAATGTTCTCGAGCCAGGAAATTTTTATTTTATAATTGAGGGGATACGTTTTCTTGAGTAGGAGGCAAGAGTGGTTAGATAGTCTTATTCGAAGACACCTTTACAGAAATAGGTTGCTTCTGGTCAGAGGCAATAATATCAGTATACAAATGTTCTAAGCACTCACTGCACATTTTTTTTTTTTTTGACAAGCCAAGGAAAGCTTTTCTCTAAGCTAAGCACTCACTAAAAGAGGGTGCAAATGGTTCAGGCCAGCTTATAAACCGAAGTAATGTTGCATGAATGGCATTACCTGACACAGGTTTGAACATGGCACTCACCAAGGGCGAAAATAAAGTTAAAGAATTCCATGAGAGAAACTACCAACCAAATATAAAGCATAGTCATTGCCTTGAAAAATCATAACAGAATAACACATCAGCATCCAAAGTAGGATTTAGAGTCCAGCTGGAGAATAAAATATCCTCATGGCCTAGAATCGAGTTCTTTAGGGAGGCACTCTGGGGCTTATCTTGACCTGTATTATTCATTTTTCCTTCTGTAGTTTGATGTTATCCTGATAATCTGTGATTCATCTGAATTGCTTTCTTGAAGACTGAAGCACAGCTAATTTTAGAACAGAGACAAACACATCATGCACACATTTTAAGCAGAATGATATTTGAGGTAAGGGGTGCTGAAAATCTGTGTCATCCACAGTACAAGTAGCCAGGCAACCTGAGGCCGAGCTGATTTTACAGAACTCAGAAGTATGTATTAAGTATCTAATGTCTGGGGAGATAAGTAAACTAGAATGCCTCATCCATTGTTCTTAAGAATATTATTATTTGGAAAGCAAAAATTATACATGTGAAAAAGGTTTTAAAAATCTGAGGTAATATCCAATCAGGAATTCCACGCTGTAATAGAAAACATGTTATATTCACAGGGATATGGGGACACATAGGTATGAGATTGCCACTCAGAGTATTATTTAACCAGTTATGATCTATAAGTTTCAGGCACACCAAAGTTAACTTTGAAACAGACTCCATATGGCAAACAATGGCAAGTTGGATAAATAATGGTCAACTCTACAGACTATTTGACACACATTAAAACATGTCTACAATCATGAATATGTACTGTAGCATGGAAAACTGCTTATGACATAAAGTAAAGAAGAAGAAAATAAAATATGACAAGGCCTGGTTACAACTGTATAAAACTAGCCACATGATAATAGTGGGGGACTTTAACATCCCACTGACAGCATTAGATAGATCATTGAGGCAGAAAACTGACAAATTCCGGACTCAAATTCAACACTTGGACCTAATAGACATCTACAGAATACTCCACCAACCACAGAATACACAATTGACAAAGGAATTCTGGACTCAAATTCAACAATTGGACCTAATAGACAGCTACAGAATACTCCACTCATCAACCACAGAATATACATTCTTCTCATCTGCACATGGAACATACTCCAATATCAACCACATGCTCAGCCATAAAGTGTCTCAATAAATTAAAAGAAAATCAAAATCATACCAAACATACTGTTGGACCGCAGTGGAATAAAAATAGAAATCAATACCAAGAAGACTCCTCAAAGGTACATAATATGGAAGTTAAACAACTTGCTCCCTAATAACTTTTGGGTAAACAATAAAATTAAGGCAGAAATAAAAAAAAATTCTAAAAAAATTCTTTGAAATAAATGAAAACAGACATGCAACATACCAAAATCTCTGGGATCCAGCAAATGCAGTGTTAGGAGGAAAGTCTATAGTGCTAAATGCCTACCTCAAAAAGAAGGACCTTACATTAATGATCTAACATCATACCAAAGGGAAGCAGAGAAACAAGAACAAACTAACCCCAAAGCTAGCAGGAGAATATAAATAAATTAAAATCTAGCAGAACTGAATAAAATTGAGACCCAAAAATCCATACAAAGAATCAGTGAAACCTAAAGGTGATTCTTTGAAAAGATAAACAAGATCAATAGCTGCTAGCTATATTAACACAGAAAAAAAGAAGATCAAAATAAGTACAATTGGAAGTGACAAAGGTGACATTACAACTGACCCCAGAGAAATACCAAAGATCCTCAGAGGCTATTATGAACATCTCTATGCACACAAACTAGAAAATCTAGAGGAAATGGATAAATTCCTGGAAATACACAGTCTCCCAAGATTGAATCAGGAAGAAATCGAAACCCTGAGCAGACCAATATCAAGTTCCAAAATTGAATCAGTAATTAAAAAAAAAAAGACCAAAACAACACCCTACCAACCAAAAATTGCCCTGGGCCAGACGGATTCACAGTCAAATTCTAGCAGATATACAAAGAAGAACTGGTATCAATTCTGCTGAAAGTATTTTTAAAAATCGAGGAAGAAGACCTCTTCCCTAACTCATTTTATCAGACATCAACCTGATACCCAAACCTGGCAAAGACACAACAAAAAAAGAAAACTACATGCCAATATCCCTAACAAACATAGATGCAAAAATCCTCACCAAAATACTAGCAAGTTAAATCCAACAGCATATCAAAAAGTTAACCCACCACGATCAAGTAGGCTTCGTTCCCAGGATGCAAGGCTGATTCAACATATGCAAGTCAATAAATGTGATTCACCACATAAACAGAATTAAAAACAAAGACCCTGTGATCATCTCAATAGATGTAGAAAAAGCTTTTGATAAAAATCCAACATCCTTTTATGATAAAAACCTTCAAGGAACATACCTCATAATAATAAGAGCCATCTATGACAAACCCACAGCCAACAGCATACTGAATGGGCAAAAACTGGATGCATTCATATTGAGAACTGGAACAAGACAAAGATGCCCACTCTCATCCCTCCTATTTAACATAATACTGGAAGTGCTACCCAGAACAATCAGGCAAGAGAAAGAAATAAAAGGCATCCAAATAGGAAAAGAAGTCAAACTATCTCTCTTCATGAATAATAAAAATTCTACACCTAGAAAACCCTAAAGACTCCACCAAAATACTGCTGGAACAGATAAACAACTTCAATAAAGTTTCAGAATATAAAATTAATGTACAAAAATAAGTAACATTTCCATTCACCAGTAATGTTCAAGCTGAGACTCAAATCAAGGTTGAAATCCCATTTAAAGTAGCTGTAAAAAAAAAACAAAAAACAAAAAACAAAAGAAAAAACCTAGGGATACATCTAAACAAGAAGTTGAAAGATCTCTACAAGGAGTACTACAAAACACTGCTGAAAGAAATCAGAGATGACACAAACAAATGGAAAACATTCCATGCTCATGGATTGGAAGAATCAATATTGTTAAAATGGCCACACTGCCCAAAGCAATCTACAGATTAAATGCTATACCTATCAAACTACCAACATCATTTTTTCAAAGAACTAGAAAAAAATTATAAAATTCCATATGGAACCAAAAAAGAGCTCAAATAGCCAAAGCAATCCTATGCAAAAAAAAAAAAAAAAAACAACAAAACCGGAGGCATCACATTACTTGACTTTAAACTATAAGGCTATATACAGACCAAAGGAACATGGTACATGTACAAAAACAGACACACAGGCTAACAGAACAGAGTAGAGAACTCAGAAATAAAGGGACACAGCCACCTGATCTTCAACAAAATTGACAAAAATAAGCAATGGGGAAAGGTCTTCCTATTCAATAAATGATACTGAGATAGCTAGCTAGCCATATGCAGCAGAATAATAAAACTGGACTCCTACCTTTCACTATATACAAAAGTTAACTCAAGATGGATTAAAGATTTAAGTGAAGACTTTGTAAGAATCCTAGAAAAAAAACTAGGAAACACCATTCTGGACATTGACCTTGAGGAATAATTTATGACTAAATTCTTAAAGTCAAATGCAACAAAAACAAAAATTGATGATGGGACCAAATTAAATGAAAGAGCTTCTGCACAGCAGAAGAAACTATCAACAAAGTAAACAGATAAGCTACAGAATGGGAGAAAATATTCACAAACTATGCATCCAACAAAGGTCTAATATCCAGAGTCTATAAGGAACTTAAGCAACGGAACAAGCAAAAAACAAATAACCTCATCAAAAAATAGGCAAAAACATGAACAGACATTGCTTAAAAGAAGACATACAAGTGGCAAACAAACTTATGAAAAATGCTCCACATCACTAATTAGAGAAATGCAAATCAAAACCACAATGAGATGCCATCTCACACCAATCAAAATAGCTATTATTAAAATGTTAACCAACGACAGATGCTGACAAGGATGTCGAGAAAAGGGAATGCTTATACATAGTTGGTGGGAATGTAAATTAGTTCAGCCACTGTTGAAAGCAGTTTGTAGATTTCTCAAAGAACTTAAACAGAACTACATTCAACCCAGGTATCCCATTACTGGAGATATATATATATATCTCAAAGGAAAATAAATCATTCTACCAAAAAGACACATACACTTGCACTTTCACTGCAGCACTGTTCACAATAGTGAAGATGTGGAATCTGCCTAGGAGTCTATCCACAGTGGATTGGGTAAAGAAGATGTGGTATATATATATACCATAAAATACTACGCAGCCATAAAAATGAATGAAATCATGTCCCTTACAGCAACATGGATGCAGCTGGAGGCCATTATCCTGGGCAAATTAACACAGATATAGAAAACCAATACCACATATTCTCATAAGTGGGAACTGGACATTGGGTACTTATGGACATAAAGATGGCAACAATAGAAACTGGGGACTACTAGAGTGCAGAAGGAAGGGGGCAAGGGTTGAAAAATTATTGGGTACTTTTCTTAGTACCCAAGTGGCAGGATCAGTTATACCCAAAACGTCAGCATCGTGCAATATACCCAGGTAATAAAACTGCATGTGTACCCCAAGAATCTAAAATAAAAGTAGAAATGTAAAAAGTAGCATTTGATTTTAGTTAGTGTTTCTGCAATTTATTGGGGTTTGTTCTGAATTTTTGTTCATGATCTGACAACTGTAGAAAGGAAAAAATTCTTCCCAACCAGGGCTTAAAGGCAAAAATACACACACACACACACACACACACACACACACACACACACACACACTGCCATCCCTATACACACCCACCAACTGTGTAAAATTATGTGAATGAGGACTAGAAGGAAAATAAAACGTGATTCGTTAGGGTAGATAACAAATTTGCATTCACACCCGCTTGGGTCCTAATCTTGGCTCTACCACTTACTAACTATATGCCTTGAACAAGTCAGTAACCTCTCTGAAACAATTTCCTCATTTGTAAAAAGCAACAACGAAGTTTCATGTAGAACATATGAGGATAAGTTGCTAGCAGAGTATCTGGTACACCGTAGGCATCAAATAAAGTTTATTCTCCCACATGTTTTCCCCTATATACAGGGGTCTGGTGTTCAGGTATTACACAGTTTAGGAAATGAAGGTGAATCCACTTTGGCTTGGTGGACTGTTTACAGGTCTTGCTCCTTCCCCTGTACTCAACCTCACCAGGACCAGAATCCCTAGGCTATCACCAACTTGTTGATGGCAGGACTTGTTATTCTTAGTGACTCTCTGGCCAGGAAAGTAAAGTCAGAAAGTGAAGGGGGGTAGAGGAAACACATTTCTTGTTTAGGGGTCTGAATATATACAAGCATTCTAGGCATTGGCCTGTGAGACAGCAGTAGCATTCTTTCCATATACCACAGCCTACTTGTACAGAAAATTTTGATAAGACATGTCAACCTCAGAGTAATTTTAGTGACATTTTGGCTAGCAAAAATGACTGTTACTTAACTAGATCCTGGTACTCCATGCAAAAGGCAAAAATCTATGGCAATGCCATGGATTTACAACGTGGTAAAGGTGCACTAAGCATAGTGTAGATGTATTTGTATATGCAACACAGTGCTTGTCCCTGGGGCCACAGTACCCTTAAAAGGGAATACAAGTTTGTGAGGGGGGATGTAACACCATCAAACTGCTCAGTAAGTTGTTCTAAGTTTCACTCTGATCAATGATCAATTGATAATTAAGGTTGGTCCCCAATAATCTCTGTAGTCAACAGAGGGCCCTGGAGAGTTAGTTACAATCTCTGTACCAATAACAAACTCATTATAAACCAAACAATTTGCAACTCTTAACCCAGTCATTTGGCTCTTACAACATTGTAAAGAGAAAGAAATAAAGCATTAGTCCATTTAAAAATAAATGTGTCACCCTCATGATCAATTTTCACGTTTCCCCAAAGAAGAGCTTTTATACAATTTTTATCTGCCAGGTATATATGCCTTATATAGACTGCCGAGACCTGCTGGGACCAAAAAAAAAAAAAAAATCACCCTGCCCGGGAGACTAGCACAACTGTAAACTGATGGCCTCCAAACCCAGTGGATCTCAATGCTTCTAAATCACCCTTCTGTTTCCCTAGTTTGGGTTCCGTCATTATTCATAAACCAGATGTTTCAATACTTTTTCCGTGTCCTTATATCTCCGACCCTACCACCTTCTCTTCCCTTAGCAGATGGCCTTGCATCTGACTTTATAGAAGGTATTGAAGCCATTAGACCAGAATTTAACTTTTCTGTCCCCAAACCTACATATTTACCTAAAGGATTGCCATCTTATTCGGATTCTTGCTTGTTGCAATAAAGGGCTATGGTCTCCCCTCTTGCCTCCTGCCTTTTCAAAGCCCTGGTATATTTAAATCAGAAAGTAAATCATTATGTCAAAGAGACATCTGTACCCCCATGTTTATTGTGGCATTGTTTACAATAGTCAAGATATTAAATCAAACTAGGTGTCCAATAACAGATGAATGAATAAAGAAAATGTAGTATATACACACAATGCCATGAAAAAGAACAAAATCTGGTCTTTCACAGCAACATGGATGGAACTGGAGGTCATTATATTAAGTGAGATAAGCCAGGAGCAGAAAGTTGAACACTGCATATTCTCACTAATACGTGAAAGCTATTACTAAACAAAAGTTGATTTCATAGAAGTAAAAAGTAGAAGACAGGATACTAGAGGCTGGGAAGGGTTGGGGGAAGGAAAGGATAGGGAGAGATTTGTTAAAGGATACAAAATTACAGCTAGACAGGAGGGATAGGTTCTAGTGTTCTATACCATTGTAGGTTGACTATTGTTGACAATAACATATAGTTTCAAATAGCTAGAATGAAAATATTAAATGTTCCTAACAGAAAGAAATTATAAATATTTTACATGATGGATATGCTAAGTACCCTGATATAATTACTTACATTATACATATCAAAACATCACTATGTACCCCATGAATATGTACAAGAACTATTTGTCAATTAACAAAATTAAAAAGCTCTAGTTTGTAACTTTCTACCAGTTTCTCCTATGCCTTGTCCACTGGCTGCCTCCAGGCAGTGTTTAAATCACTCAGGTCTCTTCTACCTTAAATCAACTCTTCTTCCCCACAGGTCCTGCTTTCTGTCTCCATCTTTATAGTCAGTATCTTAAGGGTTATCTAAACCTGCCCTTTCCACTTCTCAATTTCTCCCTTCCTCCTCAACTTCTTGCATCTGGCTCCCATTCTGAACATGACATTGAAATTATTCTCACCAAGATCACTAACAACCTCTTTGTTGCTAAAGCAATAGGCATTTTTAGTGTTTATTATTTTATATAACCTTTATGGGCATGTGGATTTCCTGACCCTGCTATTCTTGAAATGCTATTTTCCCTTGGCTTCCATGATAGCATACTCAACTGGTCTTTCTCTTGTGTTTCTGGCTAATCTTCATCTCTCTCACTTTCACATTGTAGTAAAATGCATATAACAAAATTTTACCAATTTAACCATTTTTAAGTGTACAGTTTGGTGACATTACATATATTAACATTCTTGTTCAACCATCACCACCATCCTTCTCCAGAATGTTTTCATTCCCCTAAACTGAAACTCTATAACTATTAAACACTAACTCTCCATTTCCCCCTCCTGTCAGCCCCTGACAACCACCATTCAACTTTCTGTCTCCATGAATTTGACTACTCTAGATAGCTCACATAAGTGGAATCATACAGTATTTGTCTTTTTGTGACTGGTGTATTTCACTTAACGCATTGGCCTCAAGATTAACCCATGTTGTAGCATGAGTCAGAATTTCCTACCTATGGTTGAACAATATTCCATTGTATGTATATACCAGATTTTGTTTATCCATTCATCTCTCAATGGACACTTGGGTTGTTTCCACCTTTTGGCGACTGTGAATGCTGCTGCTGTGAACATAGGTGTACTCTCTCTTTTTCTTAATCTACATTTCAAATATTGGTGATTTTCAAGGTTCTACTCTGGACTCCCTTTCTCATTCTATACTCTCCTTGGGCAATTTTATCTATATTTGTGGCTTACTGCTTACATGCTAGTGACCCTCAAAGCTGTAATTCATTTCTTTTTCTTCCAGAGTTCAGGTCTCAAATCCATATATATACATAAAGATATCTATATCTATATCTTTTTTAACGTCACAGGCACCCTAAGCACAACATGGGCAATACTGGGCTTCTGATTCTTGTCCTCACGTTTACAATGTGTCCTGTCTCAGTAAATAACACTCACCAAAGCCCCCACTTACTCATGCCAGACACTGGGCACTATCTTCTGCCAACCACAGCACTGCCACTTGTGGGGCTCCCAGGGATCCCACTGAACCCCAAGATCTTTAGGTGACTACTTCTCACTTTGCCATCCCTTAAAGATCAATGTGTTCTCCTCTAGAAAATCCCTCTCCATTACTTCCCCCTACATAAAATAGCACCTCCTCCGGCTGTATTCCTGTCCCCCTTTCTTTACTTCTCTTCATAGCACTGAAACAGCATTTAACACATAGCAAGCACTCACTGTGTGTTCGCTAGATGAATGAATAACTCCTTGACGTCTTCCTTCCCCAGTCCTTTCTATTAGGTTGGTGCAAAAGTAACTGTGGTTTTTTTCCTTTTTTTTGCCACCTAAATAGTACTCAAATCCACCCATTAACCTCTACCCCAGCTGTCACCACTATAGCCAGATGCTAATCATCTTCCGCCTGGTCTCTCTGCTGTCTAATCATGTCCCTTCCTGATCTTTCCTTTACACAGCCATCAGAGTGACCATTCTAAGATATAAAACAGGTAGTTTTACCTCTACGCTTAAAGGACTTCAACATCTTTTATGATACAACCAAGAGTTCTTCTTTAGCCTGGCAAGGCCCTTCCTGATCTGTCTGTCTGTCCAGCCCTACCTGTCACTATTCCCTCAATGCTGCAGCTCATTACTTAACTTCTTTCAATTTCATTAATATGCCAAATGCTTCTCTTATTTTCCCTCCAGATCTTTGAAGCTGCTACTCTTTCTGCCCAAACAATTTCCCTTTCTCTGAAGTCCTCCTCTCCCCAACACTTGGCTAGCTCTTCCTTTTCCTTCGGGTCTCAGATTAGACGCCTCGAAACTTGGAAGCCTTGTCTGGCCTCTGCACACCAGTTCTGGCTTAGCTGTTGCTGCTGAGGACTCCCACGGCATCCTGTACTTCTCCCACCACAGCACTCAGCACTCTGGAATGGAACTGCCTATTTCATTAACATTCCCTGCAGTGGGCCATATCTCCATCAGGGCTGAGAACCCTGACTGTCTCACGCAAAATCTACCCTCTGCCCCTGAACAGTGATGGAGCCATGGTAGAAGCTTAATACCTGATACATAATGCTCTAAAAAATTTTGCTTGAGACATTTCAAACCTCCAGAAGGGTAAAAAAAATCTTATAATAGTATAACAGACATTCATACCCACCAGCTATATTCAGCAATTGTTAACATTTAGCCATATTTTCTTTATCTAACCATCTACCTCTCTATATTTATTTGACACATTATTTTAAGGTAAAACACAGAGAAAACAAGTGAATTCTTAAGTCTTACCAACACATCCATAGAACATGTAAGATAAGCTACTGAAGAAAAGGAGGAAAAGGAACCATAAAGAAAATCTCTAAACCTCTACTTAAGCCTAGTTAAGTAAAACTCAGAAATGAGAACGTTAATCTCTGCACCACAGTTTATAAATGTACCCTTATTCCATCATTTAATTCTCAGAAGTCTTATAAGGCAACTTGATGAATAAACAAAAGGAATCCCATGAAGAACCTGTAGCTCTAGGAGGGAAGGGGAAAGAAAATCAATATTTCAATATTTTCTGAGTGTCCATGATGCACCCAACAATTATGTTACCTCTAATTATTCTCACAACAAACAAGATGTATTACATCTCTACTTTGAAGATGAGAGTGGAGCTTAGTGAGGTCAAGCTATTTGTCCAGCTCACAAGCTGGTATGCAGTGGTACAATCACGGCTCACTGTAGCCTTGAACTCTTGGATTCAAGGGATCTGCCTGCTTCAGCCTCCTGAATAGCTGCAACTACAGACATGGGCCACCACACTGGCTAATTGTTTTTAATTTTTATTTATTTATTTTTTTTGTAGAGAGATGAGGTCTTGCTATATTGCCCAGGCTGGTCTTGAACCCCTGGCCTCAAGTGATCCTCCAGTGTCAGCCTCCAAAAGTGTTGGGATTACAGGCGTGACCTACCATGGTCTAAATTAAAATTTTAATTAAAAATTGTAAATTAAAAAATTGTTACTGTGGTGTGAGATGGGTAAAATTTATCTTATTGCTTTTATTATACAAGGGATGCTTAGGTTAATCTAGTCCTAATTCTTACTACCTCTATGGTTTAGATGAGGCAGGGCTAATTAAAGCAGTGACCATAGAACAAGAAGAATCAGAAGTGAAGGTTCTGGTGCTGTGGTAATGCCACTGTCTAACCCTAGAAAAGTCACTCAAACTCTCCTCACTCAAGAATGTTCATCTGTAAAATGAGATGTTGGATTAGATTATCAGTGAGGTTCCTTCCAGCTGTTTTAAAGACAAAACACAAATGAAACCCACAATTTTTAGTGATTTACTTCCATCATCATCTGGTGAGGGCCAAGTTGTAGGTCTCACCGATCCCAGGCCTATCCTCCGTGCATTCTCAGTAAATGTACTCATTTAGGGGACTGTCAATGCAGGCCAACTTTAATTGGAATGTTGGTCAGTACAAGTGCAATTACAAGAAACTTCAAGCTTCCAGAAGCAGATGTTCCCACAGATTCTGACACAATAACTGATGATGAAGGCTGTGCCTTACAAAAGAGAAGCCATGGAAAAGTTTCATTCCAGGGGAAACTCGCATTCATCCCTAACCTTGTGTATCTTCTGCCAGGCAAGCTAGCCTGCTTATCACCCTTATAATGATTTTTTAAAAAATATTCTTTACACTATTAGATAGTATGCTTTAAGAGCTCTGCCTTGGTCACCTCTATATCCCTAGCTTTTACCATAAAACTTGGCACAGAGTTGGTGATCAATACATGTTTATGGAATGAATAGCTAATCTCACCATCCCTGAGTATTCCACACCAACTCACCTTCATGGCTCAGCTCAGATGTCATCTCTACCTCCCCCTCCCCAAACTCCCATTATACTGTAACTGTATTTCTCCTATGGTGCATCTTATTTTCTTACTAAAGTCGTTTACATATATCTTAGTTCCCCAGTAAAGTCAAATGCTCTGAGATAGAAGCTATCTCTTGCTCACTATTGAAAAACTACAATACCTAGCTGATAGTAGGCACAAAATAAATGTAGAATGAGCACATCATTCATATATATATATGTACACACACACACGTGCATGCACACACACACACACCCCAAAACACTCAGCACAGTGCTTTACAGTTAGTAATCATTCAGTAAATACTATTGAATAAATTAAATGCTTTCTGAAAATGTTATGGTGAAACTAGTACCCTAAAACTATAAATGTTTGTAAATTATTCCAAATCTCTGGGAAAAATATAGTAAACTAGATTAAAAGTCATAAAAATGGTCTGTCCTTGACAGATAATCCCACTTCTGGGATTGTGACCTTAGAAAATAGATGAATAGACACAAACCAAACGAAACCAAACCAACAACAAGATCTGTATAAAAATTTAGCATAGCATTTTTTATAGTGAAAATGGGAAGATAGTAAGAATTAAAGCACATACTATGGCATGTTGATATAACATTATACTGCAATTCCAATAATAGTTCTGATGACCCATGAAAGTAAAAGATGCTGTGACTCACAGTAGGTAAAATACAAAGTTCACACTCATTATGATATGCACTGTGGAAAATTAGGAATGCCCGTGAGAAGACCAAATATGCAAAAATGGAAAAATAGTTATTTTAGGATGGTGTTGTTATGGGTGATTTTCTCCTCTAGGTTTTCTTTAAGTGTATTATGTTACTTTTCATTAATATAATAAAAAATTTGGTATAGTCGACATGAACTTTTCCTTAACGTGACTGATTATATTTCCCAAAGATAACTATTTAGTGAGGATCAAAGCATAAAATTAAATTGCCTACTAATGAGCTATTGCTTCAGTATTTAACACTAAGACTCAGGTGTCACCTGAGTCTTATACATCATGAGGTATAAAGTACAAGCATGTTGTGTGTGGTGCAGGAACAGATTTGGATGAGAAACAAGAAGTGACACCCAGTAAAGGAATCTCAGGAACCACTTAATAGCAGATAGGATTACTCATTCAAGGAAATGATCAATACAGCTTTCCCTAGGGGATTGGTTTCAGAACCTTCCTTCCCCCACAAGAATCCATTCATGCTCAAGTCCCCCAGTTGGCCCACTGAATCCAGCAATATGAAAAGCTGGCTGCCTTTGGCTTCATATACCGATGAATACTGTATTTTCAGTTTACTTTTGGTTGCGGATCTGGAATCCACGGATATGGAAGTTTGACTGCATTTATTGAAAAAAAAAAATCACTTATAAGTAAGCCCGTGCAGTTCAAACCCATGTTGTTCAAGGGTCAACTGTACTAGTTCCTGAAAGGGTTAAATAAAGGAGGGTGCAACCCAGAAGGGATATAGAGAGAAGGGAGAGGGACTAATGATGGTTCTCTCTTTGGTTCTCTGCCATCTCCTACCAACTTAACCCATCTCTGTTATCTATCATGGATGCGCAAATGATGGCCTGCAGGCCAAGTATAGTCCATTGCCTGTTTTTGTAAATAGCTTTACTGAACACAGCCAAGGCCATCTCTTTATGTGTTATCTTTGTCTGTTTTCACACTACAATGAGTTGAACAGTTTAGACTGAGACTTGTATGACCAGCAAGGCAAAAAATATTTACAATTTGGCTCTTTAAAAACACATTTGTCCCATACCCCCATATATAAGGAGATTTAGAAAGCAACACCCTATTTAGATAGTGGGCCACCTTTTCCTGTTACTTTTTCTTCACCAGCCTGGAAGATAGGATGATCATATAATTTATCATCCAAAATGAAACGTTTTGAGGGTGAAAGGCAGTGCTAACTAGACTATTTTCCAGGAACACAGACTTGAACCAGGATTGCCTCATACAGACCCGACATATGGACCACCTACTATAAGGGCTAGCAGTACAAGATCAGTTTTCAAAGGGCACTTATGATCCGCAGCTATAGACACAGAAAGCTTAGGTGGTTTCTCTTCCTGGTTCTTCCTATTTCTAATGCCCTCAGGTACCTTTCCACTGAGCCCTGTCCCAACTCTGTCCTAGAGCCTGCTCTGGCCCCTGAATATTCCAGCTGTTGGAACATCATGCAGGGTACCATATCTCCACTTTGTTTGCTTGTTTTAGATGGAGTCTTGCTCTGTCACCCAAGCTGGAGTGCAGTGGCACGATCTTGGCTCACTGCAACCTCTGCCTCCTGGGTTCAAGTGATTCTTGTGCCTCAGCCACCCGAGTAGCTGGTATTACAGGTATGCACCACAATGCCCAGCTAGTTTTTATATTTTTAGTAGAGACAGGGTTTTGCCATGTTGGCCAGAGTGGTCTTTAACTCCTAACCTCTGGTAATGTGCTCACCTCAGCCTACAAAAGTGCTCCATATTTCCACTTTCACTAGAGCAACAGGAGAAAACATCTATTCTTCCACACTAAATAAACTAATTGTTCCAAGTCAATACAGTGAATTTTATACCTGCAAATTTTAATATCAAGACAACTTCTTAAAATGCTATTAAGTGGAAGAATTTCAGTTTCTCTTCTCAAATATTTAAAAAGTGACCACCAGTCATAGCATTTATTACAATGAGGCCCCAAAACAAATATGGTATATTATTCATGATTTGAGCTTTTAATAGTCACCATTACTGTTTAGAGAATTACTATTCAAGAATGAGGTTTCTAATTTTATCATTCCAGAATTTTTTTTTGAAAGAAGAAAACACATACGTCCCCACACACTTTTTTTTTAAGTAAAAATGTTTGATGCTGTGGAGAAATAGGAGTAAAATAAAAGATGTTTAGAGTACCTTTGATGAAATATAGGATGTTACACCACACTTTGTGAGACTATTCTGTGTGAACAATAATAGCTTGTAGCTTGGGACCTCTCTGAATGGCTTTCCAAACATTGCCATCTGGTGGAATTTCAGTTAATTGTTCCTTTGTTCTAAGGGCTCCTGGAGGTGACTCTTGAAGACATTACTTACAGAGACTTAGAGTAATAGTTCGAAATAACTGAAGGTCAAAATGATTGCATCTCAAAGACAAATCCCAGACAGAAAAAAATGAGGCTTTCCAGGTTCGTCATCTCTGTCACAGACATGCTCGCACGCTCGCACGCTCTCACTCTGTCTCTCTTTCTGCCTCTCAAAGCCAACAGAGTGGCTTTCTTGATTCTTAACAATATCAAATAAAAATCATTTATTTATAAATAGCGATGTCATGAGTTCATTTTGACCATATCTTGATATTCTACCCTCCCCACCTATCATAAGATTTTTCAAAATTAAACTTTAATTAATTGGCTTGACCATTTTTGGAGGAATTACTAATAGCAATTAATTAGCCCTTCGTACACTTGGGAAATGGAATTTGATTTGAAAAATAGTGTTTTAAAAGAGCATATTTACTCAAATATCGGCTTTAATTGTGTACTGGAATTTTGAAAATAAATTTGTTACAATGACAATATTACTACTCACTTTAAATTAATTTTTAAGCAAGGAGTCATGCAACGTAATTTATATAAACCTTACCTTGAGCATCCAGGCTTTCTCCCTGGCTGTTGAAATGAACTGTTCCTCTGGGAAACAGGACACTGGGATAGTAAAAATGGAAGAAAAAAAGAGTGCAAGCATTTAATATGATGAAAATATGGAAGCAAAGAGTTATAATTTAGTTTAGTGGGTGTGGCCAGCAATGGAAAAAATTAAAGAAAAAATACACGCCAAATATCCAAAAGTCAATCAATCTTACCATATGAAAGTGATTAAGTCAGCCAGACAATAGAATTATACTCTCAATATATATTATTAGATCAATTCTTATATTGATTAATAGTTGATAAAAATTTAGTATAATGTCAGTCCTATGAAAATATTTTTTCTTTTGTTTTTCCCCTGCCCTGATAGTCTGATGTGACGGGAATCATGTCGGCGGATAACCCCAAGGAGCAGTGCCTCTAGTGGGGTATCAAATACCAACATCAATTAAAGTACTGAATTCCCCAAACTTAGGTTTAACCAGGTTTTATATTTAGTATCAACACAGGCTTTTTCTAGTCAAAAAGATTTTTAATTTCAACAGGATAAGCATTATAAACGACTTTAAAATGTACATACCAATAAGCAGTAATTTAGTAATTTACTTTCTTTTCTTTTTTTTTTTTTTTGGAGATGGAGTCTCGCTCTGTCGCCCAGGCTGGAGTGCAGTGGCGCGATCTCGGCTCACTGCAGGCTCTGCCTCCTGGGCTCACGCCATTCTCCTTCCTCAGCCTCCCGAGTAGCTGGGACTACAGGCGCCCGCCACCATGCCCGGCTAATTTTTCTGTATTTTTAGTAGAGACGGTGTTTCACCGTGTTAGCCAGGGTGGTCTCGATCTCCTGACCTCGCGATCCGCCTGCCTTGGCTTCCCAAAGTGCTGGGATTACAGGCGTAAGCCACCGTGCACAGCCAATTGACTTTCTTTATATGAATTACCTATTTATTTTCAAAATATGCTTTGACTAAATGAGGCAGTAAGACAGTAAACTGATGAGGGACAAATCCAATTCTGGAGGCTAAGAAATGGAGGAGTCTGAGTTTGCTTTGAGAATCAAGTGTTTGGGGGATGAACGGTTACGGAGGAGGTTGCTATGTTTCAACTGGATGCTGCTATGAATGACCTGACTTGCATATACATATGAGCCTTAACTCTCTTCCCCACTTTCCACCTAAGCCCTACATTGCTCTTCTGTGTTTTCTATGACCATTTCAGAAATGACTTGGTGTTTATTTAGCTTAAAATCATTGTGTAAAAATAAAATATTTGTGATAGATCCAACATGATGTGATTATTCCGAGACACAGGTCTGGAGATGTTGCTGGTAGAATTATTATTTTTTTTAATTAAAAGGGAGGAGGTGGCATTTTATAGTTTTTCTCTAAGGGAAAAAGGAGATGTTTAGTTAAAAAAAGGTGAAAAACAAAATGGCAAGAGTCAAGAGAATAAAAGTAAAGGTGACAACTGAATTGTTATACTACTCAGTGAAGGATCTCAAAAATAATTAATAAACTTGGGCTTGTTTAAAAATCAGAAAACTTAACATGAATGGTGTACATAGTGTCAATAACTAAATTAAGATATATTGACTACAATCTAAGTTTTTTCCTTCAGATACAATAAGTTGAATTTCCTTACATATTTTGCAGCAGAATTTAATTTTACGAATACGTTATATCTTTCTACAACTGAATGATAGTTGATAAACCTAAATTCAGATTTTAACAATATTGGTTCCCATCCATGTCAGTTTCTATTCTTAAGTCCTTCAATTTTCCAGAAAGTTCAACTGAATCAGAATGAAATTTTCATTTATCTACTTTATTTAATAGTACCCAGTAGCTGTGCAAGCCACTGGCCACCAAGCTACGAAGCAGGAACATAAGGTTTCTAGTTTATCTATAAAGCAGATAATTAGCCCTTAGAAAATTCAGAATTGTCTGTATACAATTGGCCTTTTTCTATTTTCTGACAACGGTCCATTGCTAGGTTTTCCAGCAGCCGCAATGGATCAGTTTGGAGAAGAATGACATTATTTATTGAACACCTTATGCACCAGTCATTTCACATATTTTATCTAATTTAATCCTCAAAACTATCTTATTATAAATGAAGAAACAGAGGCTCAGAGTAGTGGGGCAATTTGCCCAATATCATGCAGCTAGAAAGGGATAGATTTTAATTGAGTCTGGCAGACCAGTATCTATCTCCTTTCTCTTTCATCTGTATGTCCACACTAAAATACCTTAATAGCAGTCATTTGACATAGATTCGAAATACCTGGAGAGCTTTCACTCCATCATCATAAGTTCAGGACCTAGCATGTGGTAGGTGCTCAAGAAGTCCCAGCCTTGCAAGGATAGAAGTCTAGCCTTCCCATGCAGCCTTTGCTTGTGGGGATAGGAGTGAGGCAAAGCTTGCTCCTGCTGTGTTTGGCAGGAGTAGAGCTCTCATTGTCTGCAAGTCTCACACTTTACGTAAAAACGAACTCAAAATGGATCATGGCATAAATGTGAAATGTAAGACTACAAAACTTATAGAAAAAACAAAAAACAGGAGAAAATCTTTAGGATCGGGGCTGGCAAACTGTTCTCAGCCTTGACACCAAAAACACAATCTGGAAGAGGAAAAATTGGTAAATTGGACTTCATCAAAATTAAAAACTTTTGCCCATGTGAAGCAGATGTAAATACAAGATATAAACTAGAAGAAAGTATTTGCAAGCCCAATAACTGACAAAGAACTAGTGTCTAAAATAAAGAATTCTCAAAATGCAACCAAATAAACCAACTTAGTCGGAAAATGGGAAAAAGATATGAACAGACATTTAACTGAAGAGGATATACATATACGGAAAGCAAATAATATTAAATGGTATACAACATTATTAGCCTATAGATAAAAGAAAATTAAAACTACATGAGACATCACAACATACCTATCAGAATGGCTAAAATAAAAAATAGCGACAACACCAAATGTTGGCGAGGGTTTGAAGAAACTAGATCACTCATATATTGCTTCTGAGAATGTAAAATGGTAGAGCTACTGTGGAAAACAGTTTTGTAGTTTTAAAAGCTAAACATGCAACTACCATATCACCCAGCAATTGCTCACTTTGGCGTATACCCCAGAGAAATGAAAATTTGTTTATAGCAGTTTTATACATAGTAGCCCCAAACTGGAAACCACCCAGGTATCTTTCAACAGGTTAATGGTTAAACAAACCGTGCTGCATCCAAACTTCAGAATACTACCCAGCAATAAGAAGGAACCAACTATTGATAGAAAGTAACAACCTGAATGAATCTCCAGAGAATTAGGTTGAGTGAGAAAAGAAAGTCCTTAAAAGTTATATACTGCATAATTCCATTTATCTAACATTTTTAAAATGGGAAAACTATAGAAATGGAGCACAGATTAGTGGTTGCCAGGGGTTAAGAGGAGGGGGTGAGGGCTGGAGGGAAATGAGTGTGATTATAAAAGGCAACACAAATATTTTTGTGGTGATGGAAATGTTCTGAACCTTGATTGTGTTGACATCAATATCCTGGTTGTGACATTGTGCTGTAAGTTTGCAAGATGCTACCATGGCAGATTAGATAAAGAATATATGGGATCTCTCTATATTATTTCTTACAATTACATCTTACTGTACAATCATCTCAAAATATATATATTTTTAAATCAGGTAATTGGACAGGAACTAGAATTGAGCAAGATACATTAGTTTTATTTTCTTACCTTTTCAAAGAAAAGCAAAAGCCCCAAAGCAGTGGGCAAGATGGACCAGGAGTTTGCTCCATTTTGCACAGATCCAAGAAAAAAAAAACTCACCCACTAACTTAGCATTCAGAAACCACTGCCAATGTTCTGCTATCCAATGTTGCCTATGTTGGAATTTTCTTTGCTGTTATTCCCTTCTCCCTCGTGTACCTTCTTAATCCATTAAAATTCACCATACACATATTCAAAACCAGAAGTGAGTTTGAAATAGCAGCTTGATACATCACGTATCTTTTTTTTTTTTTTTTTGAGACAAAGTCTTGCTCTGTTGCCCAGGCTGGAGTGCAATGGCTCCATCTCTGCTGACTGCAACTTCCGTCTCCAGGGTTCAAGCGATTCTCGTGCCTCAACCTCCCGCGTAGCTGGGATTACAGGCATGTGCCACCACACCCACTAATTTTTGTATTTTTTTAGTAGTGATGGGGTTTCACCATGTTGGCCAGGCTGGTCTTGAACTCCTGGCCTCAAGTGAGGCTGCCTGCCTCGGCCTCCCAAAGTGCTGGGATAACAGGTGTGAGCCATGGCACCCAGCTGATATATCCTGTATTTTTTAACTTATCTCTCATACCCTTAAGTTCACACTATCTAGGAATTTTCAAAATCTTATAAAATGTCCACATTTATTTGCATAGAAATGGAATATTTAACATTTATTTTTACAAATGGGGTCTTGCAGTGATGCCCAAGCTAGAGTACAAGAGGCTATTCACAGGCACAATCACAATGTACTGCACCCTCAACCTCCTGGGATCCAGTGATCCACCTGCCTCCGGATTGATCTCAAGTCACTGGGACTACAGGTACGTGTATGGAGTGGAATTTTATCCTTTGTGGTACTATTTTATGGATGACAAGGCAGGTGTTCTGTATTCAAAACTGGACCATACACTAAATAACGACAGAATTTTAATCGCCAACACACACAGAGGAACTTGCAAAATCCCCCTTCGCGTTTGGAAAGATCATACTGACTTTTATTCTTTAGCCATTGTGAGCACTAGGGCAGCTCCTCAGAAATGAGCAGCCATAAGCCAGCTGCTTTCTCTGGCTTATGGCTCTGCTTGTTTGTTGGTTTTGTTTTCATTGAAAAGACCAAATATCTTTGTTAGGATAAGAGTCATGACTCTTTAACAAAGCACATTCTCTGTTTCTACAAAGGTCCATTTTCCCCATCCTCTAGAAATGTCAAATCCTCTTTCTTTGACAAACAAATCCAGAATTCCAGCATCCCATGTCCAAGGCATAGCAGCAGAACCTCTATCCTAGCTAGGGAGTCCCCCCATCCTCTGGCAAAGACTGCTACTTTCATGTCTGGCCACAAAATCTACAGGAACATGAAAGATATATCAGAATGAAAAATATGTTTGTAAAAATATTTCAAATCATGCCATGCCATCGAAAGAAGATTTCATTCTTTCTTCATTGCTATGTGTTTAACCAGTGAGGCTTCTGGTCAACACAAGGTTAAAGCATCCTCCTCACAAAGAGACAGCATTACTACCTCCCCAGCTGTTCACAGCTTTTCCAAGAAGAGAACACTACTGGGGCCTGAGCCCAAGTTTTCATCTAGGGAGTTTACTAAGCTGTCTTTGGATCTCCAGAATAAGCTGTATCCTGAATTCCAAACTCCCCATGGCCACTTTGAGATATTGAATCCCTTCAGTTGTAGATCACATTCTTTAGTGTGGGAGGTCCATAGCTTTCTAGGAATAAAGCAGCTTGCAGCATTAGCAGAAGGTCACAGGCCATTAATCCTGAGGTGGAGCCTACTAGATATTAATCTTTCAGAGAGCTCTGCCTCCGCCGCCACGCACTGCCTCAATTAATGGTCTTGGGTTGGGCTCAGGGCCTTCTCTAGGGGCAGCAGAGGGGAGGCCCAGACTGCCTCCCCTCTCCTGTGCAACTTCCCCAGGGCAAGACTGCCAGGAAGCACAGAGCTGAGCACACAACAGGGAAACCAAAAACCAAATGAGCGTATCTGGCAAGTAAAGGAGGTCAGATTACACTGAATCTTGGGTTAAGTCTGGTACAACTCATTCTTCTCCTTCAGAAAGACAAACTACCAAATGACCCATATTGTATATTTAAGGACTTCAAAAAAATTATAGCTCACTGCTAAATGGATTTGGGTGGTATATATTAAGAATGGTAATGATGTTATAAACTGATGGTCATATGATTTAGGTTTCTATAAAAATAAAAGATAATCCCCAGAAAATACCTAAAATGATAGTTACAATAAAATAAAAATTCAGTTCTTTTCGTACAAATGTAGCCTAGCCCTTTCTTCTTGGAATCATCATTTATCCATCTGCTACTTTCCATGTGAATCAGAATTAAAATATTTTTTAAGATTGCCCTTTCTATTTTAGAATAGAATATTTATAGTGCTCAATGTACAAAAGTAAAATTCTTTCAAAAAATTACATGAGACAAAACTACATATATGGGAAATAACACATATATTATAGTTCTGTAAAGTGTTTCTATAATTACATTATTTTCACTTATCCTTTTATCCATTTTTAATCAGATATTTTTGAAAATAGAGTCGTAAGCATAGAATAGCTCCTCTCCTCATGTGTGCAATTAATAATGAAATGTGGGAGAATGCATGTTACGTGGCAGAATGCATGTTACGTGTCAAAGTAGCACAGAGAGAGGTTTCATTTCAGAGCCCAGGGTTCAAGTTTAGTGTTTGGGTCATAGTGGAAACTAAAGCCCTGCTTTCCATGCTTGCTGTTTTTATAGTCTGTAATTCCTTTGACCATGCAAAGAAGGAACACAGTAACATACTAAGGGTTACATGTGAAATCTAAGTAAGACTGACAGTAGCAAAAGGGCTGAAAAGACATTGGGTATCAAGGGCTACTGTGACCTTTTGCCCTGTATTGTGCTCTGTGGAAATCTTTTCAAATTATATTTTAACATTTTTGGCCAAGTCCGGAGTGAGACTCTGTCCAAAAAAAAAAAAAAAAAAAAAAAAAAAATTGCAACTTCGGCCAGGCTCAGTGGCTCACGCCTGTAATCCCAGCACTTTCAGAGGCCAAGTTGGACAGATCCCCTGAGGTTAAGAGTTCGAGACTAGCCTGGCCAATATGGAGAAACCCCGTCTCTACTAAAAATAAAAAAATTAGGCCAGGCACGGTGGCTCATGCCTGTAATCCCAGCACTTTGGGAGGCCGAGGCGGGCAGATCACGAGGTCAGGAGATCGAGACCATCCTGGCTAACACGGTGAAACCCCGTCTCTACTAAAAATATAAAAAAATTAGCGGGGTGTGGTGGCGGGCACCTGTAGTCCCAGCTACTTGGGAGGCTGAGGCAGGAGAATGGCATGAACCTGGGAGGCAGAGCTTGCAGTGAGCCGAGATGGCGCCACTGCACTCCAGCCTGGGCAACAGAGTGAGACTCCATCTCAAAAAAAAAAAAAAAAAAAAAGAGAGAGAAAAATGCTGGTAAGTGAATGGGACTTGTAGAGACCTGTGGGAATGTTAGCATAGCCTCCGTCCATAAGTTTCCTGTTTGAGCCAATGTGAAGACCCCAGGATGCTGACATAACAACAAACAGCCTTGCTCTTGGGCTCCCTGCTGTGGGGTCTGCCTTACAAAGGAATCTACTTTCAAAAGGTTTGGGGGCCACATCAGTAACTAAATTCCTTGATAGAAAAAAAATTCATGCTAAATTCCACTCAACTGGGAAATATCCCAGTGAAGTTGTGGAGCCGATACCCCAATTACACTGTCAGGGATTAAAACAACTACTGGGGAAATCAATATATTAATGGAAATAAATCCAGGTAACATATACAACTTGAAAATATTTCTTAAAGGCTTTTCCTTTAGTAATTATACTTGTTTATAGCTCTTAGTTTTGCAAAATTATTTTATATATATCACATCACCCAGATCTTGAAAGTGTAATTCATTTTGATTGTTTATTTGTTTGAGACGGAGTCTCACTCTTGTAGCCCAGCCTGGAGTGCAGTGGTGCAATTTCAGCTCACTGCAACCTCAGCCTTCTGGGTTCAAGAGATTCTCCTGCCTCAGCCTCCCGAATAGCTGGGATTACAGGTGCCTGCCACCACGCCAGGCTAATTTTTGTATTTTTAGTAGAGACGGGGTTTCACCATGTTGGCCAGGCTAGTCTCGAACTCTTTACCTCAGGGGATCCGCCCGCCTCAGCCTCCCAAAGTGCTGGGATTACAAGTGTTAGCCACTGTGCCCAGCTGAAATGGTAATTCTTTTATTACTTCTTCTAGAGGTTCACTCTGCTTGCCTTTTAGTTAGCTGCTTTTCTCTCCTTATGCTTTTTCCTGAAGAGCTCTCATGTGGTACCAAGTTGAAGAGTCAGAGCTCTAATTGTGCTTCTCAAAGTTTTTAAAAATCATCTTCCTCACTCCTCCTCCCCACTCACAAGGAGTCTTTGTATCCCCTAAGGATGCTAAGAAATCCTTTAGGATCCCCTAAATGCTATGGAATAAGATTTTGTCCATAAAGTTTAACCTTTGGAGGCCACAAGCCATTGCAATATCCAATTTTCATTCCCCTTGAGAGTTTATGCTGTAATCCATTGGAGCAAACAGGCATTATTGAGCATCACTATTTGTCAGGAGAGGTAGGGATACAAAAATGAATAAGGAGGATACAAAAATGAATAAGGGATACAAAAATGAATAATGAATGAATGTTGCAAGTTGTAAACCTCCCACCCCCCTTTTTTAAGCATAACGCCATGAAAAGAAGAGGATTACTAACTCCACTCTTTAGGTGAAGAAACTGAGGCTCAGGAAGCTTGTTTCTTGCATGAGATCACACAGCTAGTAAAGGGGAGAGTTGAAACCCAAACACTGGTCTTGTGATTCCAAATCACAGGCTTTTCTCATGGATCTATTCTACCGTTTTCTTATGTTTATCAGGCTTCCTTTGCATATTGTTTTTAAATTCAATTTCATATATTTGAAGCAACAGGGCACCACATTTCAGACCTCTGAAGACTTCGTATACAAGGTTTCTATTCTTTCATTTGTTCAACATATTAGCCACTTATGAGTAGCTACAGTACATCAGGGGCTCTGGTGCATCAGCTCATTTACTCCTCCCAATAACCCTATAAGAGGTGTTATTCTTTATCCCATCTCATAGATGTATGAACTGAAGCTTCCAACCCATGTTTGTTGTACTTTGAAGCTGGGACTCTTGAGTACCACCATACACACCTATTAGATTCCAGGTACCATGTTGGGTGCTGGGATTCTAAGGGTGAACAAGACACAGAACAGCCACCCAGGACTTAAGTCTAGTTGGGTAACCACTTAAGCTCTGCCTCCTGTCAGATCAGCTGCAGCATTAGATTCTCATAGGAGTGCGAACACTATTGTGAACCGTGCACATGAGGGATCTAGGTTGCCCGCTGCTTATGAAAATCTAATGCTTGATGATCTGAGGTGGAACAGTTTCATCCCGAAACCATCCCTCATCCTCCACCCTACCCCCAGTCTATGGAAAAATTGTCTTCCACAAAACTGGTCCCTGGTGCCAAAAAGGTTTAGGACCGCCGAGGTAATAAACACAAAATAATCATATCACAGGGCTGTGAAGGCAATGATATTGACAGCAGGGGTGGAAAAATTCCTGACTGCTGTTTTCTTGGGGAGCATATAGAGTTTGAAGATCATTTGTTTTTCTCATTCTGAAAATTAGAGGAAAACAAGCATTTTAACTATCAGGTTCATCTGTGACAGCGCTTTCCTGACTTTATGAATCACCTGGGAATTTTGTTACAATGCAGGTTATGATTCAGTACGTCTAGCCGTTGAGGGGTGTGAGAATCCGCCTTTCTAAAATCTTCTAGGTGATGCTGCTGGTCTAAAGACCACACCTTGAGTTGCAAGGCACACACACACACTCTCTGTGCTTCAGGCTCTTTCTAGAATCTGCTATGGTGACAGATTAACATGCGCTTGGTAAAGGAGCCATTCACTCACATGATCCCAACTGAGATAAACTAATGTATAGCTTAGACCTTACTACCAAACAATGGACACAAACATATAGCTTAGACCTTACCCCCAAGCAAGCAAAACTAAGGATGTGAAGTCCATCCTTGGTGCACACCACTTTTTTCTTGCTCCTCCTTCCTGCAATTATTCCTAGCCCCCAGTGGTAACATACTCACCCAGAGTTCCAGGTTCTTAGGGAAGTTCTCCCCTTTTGAAGATGATATGTATTTAATTGATTAACTAGTTTGTGCAAATGCATTAGAGAGTGTTTTAACAAAAATTTGTTATTTTTTCCTCTGCTGACTCAAATGGCTGTCTCTGGATCTTGTTACATGAGCACCCTCAGTGAAGCCACTGTTATTTTCTTGTGTAGGCAATTGGATCAGATGAAGCTGCCACACATATATCCAGTGTGCTTGAGAGATAGGAAGATGCTTGGAAGTCCTGCCAAATTCTGTGACTAGCAAACAATGAGCTAAAAAACTTAAAAACTGCATTACTTGATTCCACAACTGTATACCATACTGGGACCATTATTCTGCCTAAAAGTGTCAGGCTCAAAATGAATTTGAGATTGCCCATACTTTATAATAACATTCCTCTCTTGGTGCACTTGCATTTTCAAACTGAGGGAAAAGAAGCGCCCACTGATGCTAGAATATCAGGAGTCCTCACCTACAGGGAGATGTGTCCAGAAAATGTATTTACCTAAGTTTTTAAAACCCAATGCATGTTTCTATGGAAATATGAGTTGGTTAGAGGTTAACATACTGGTATAAGTTAATACTTTTATGGGTTAAAGGGATCTTTGAGGGCTACCCTGAGAATTCAACTATCATTTGTAAAGCTGCCTGGTATAAAGAGCATTGGGACTTGGGGTATCATCCCCTGGGTTTGAGGTTTTCCCAATTATGTGACTTTGGGCATGCCACTTAAACTCTGGGACCCAGTTTTTACAGTTTTCTGTAAAGTACAGCTCCTTAAAGAGCTGCTGTTACATATAAAAATTCTTTAGCAACTATAAATTTCTATGTACATGGAAAATACTTATTAAATTTATCATTATTATTATTGAATTTGAAAATATCTCCTGATTATAGGGATATAAAATATTACAATAGAATTAAATCTAGGGAAAACTAACAGCTTAAACAGAATGGGAGGGAATACCTATCTTCAGGGATCATGTGGATGCGGCCTCGATGAAAAGGGCCCCAAGAAATCCTTGGAACAGGACCTTCTCTGGCCTTTCTGGCCCTGCCAAGGCCTTTTTTGCTGCCTCTTCTGTAATACATGACCTTGGCAGCCCCAGTTTGACCATCATTTCTCTAAGGTTGGCAGCCTAGGAAAAGAAAAAAAAAAGCAAAAAACAGAAGCCAAAAAACAAAACTATTTTTTGACCACAACTGAGACTTCTTCTGTTAGCTTAATGTTGAATAGTGCTCATAAGATTGTTGTACAGATTACGTGTTTTGTAGCTATCACTTCATCTAACAAGTGCTTAATATCTTTATTTCCTTCAAATTTTTTGGAGCCTAGAGAAGCTTGTTTTTCTTCTTTCTTGCCCCTCCCCATCCCACATGGTTTCCTTTTTCATTCCCCATGGGGACAGCAAATGTCTCCCCATCCTCCCAGTTAGTACAATGTACTGGAGAGCCAGGAAGCAGCTCAGATGATCTGCAAAGCAATGTCAAAAGCAAATGATGTGCTATAAACATTTAAAACTTTGCAATTACTAGTGGTTTCAGTAAAAAAAAAAAAAAAAAAAAAGAAAATCCATGCCTCAGTTTTTCCTCTATAAAATGGCATTAAATGAGATCATCTCCAAGGTTGCTCTCAGCTCTAAAACACTAGGATTCATTTAATTTGTTATTCGACATAAATAATGAAGGGCATATATTTCAAGAATTATGTACTGATTTTGTGAGACCCTCTCTGTCAACCCTCTGATTATGCCAGACATTCAAAATGGGTAGAACACAACTAGCTTCATTTGTTCCCATCAGGAGTGAGAAAGTGTCATGGAGCTGTACCTCTGGTCCAGAGTACAGTAACACCACGGCCTGGCCAGGAGAAGGCTTTGCTCATCACAGACCCCTCTTTGGGCATCATTTGGCATTAACTTTTAGGTGCCAGGGCCATAAGAGAAGAAATGATTCCGACTTCTGTTCACAACTGTTGATGTATGGTCTTTCTATACTCACAAGCATGACTCAACTACAGTCTTAAAAAGGGGAAGTCCCTTTGATTAGGCTCAAAGAAAAGGTTGTTATAGTTGGTTCACTCCCTGTGTTTTAAGTCTATTTTCTTCTTGTTCTTGCATGATCTAGTGCCTCAGGCAGGTGCTGTATCAGTGCCTGGGCCAGGCACAATGGCTCATGCCTGTAATCCCAACACTTTGGAAGGCAGAGGCAGGAAAATCCCTTGAGCCGAGGAGATCTAGACCACCCTGGGCAACAAAACATGACCTTGCCTCTATTAAAAGTAAAAAAAAAAAAAAAAAAAAAGGCGGGAATGGTGGTATACACCTATATTGCCAGTTACTTGGGAGGGTCACTTGAGCCCGGGAGTTTGAAGCTGCAGTGAGCTATGTCTGTATCACTGCAATCCAATCTGAGCAAGAGTGAGATCCTGTCTCACTCATTCATTCATTTATAAATAAATCAGTGTCCAGTAATTGTGCAGTAGCACAAAATCACAAGATTCAGGCCTTAGTGTCTTGACCTGTATTTTGAGGCAGCACAATCCAACTCACTCCTGGGCTCCATCAGTGGTTCTGCTTTTTCCATGTCTTCCCTTATCGCTAATGGGATATGATATATGGACTCTTTATTTGTCAGCCTATGAGGGAGAGACAACCCAACACTAAAAACCACATGCACAGGGAAACGTGAGCTCAGGAAGTTTTCTGAGTGGGTGCTTTTTAAAATGTGTCTGATCTGCCGGAAATCACACCGCTTTCGTATTTTGAACAGCTATAATGGCATTCTCCATATGTTAAATGGATGTTTAAACTTATCACTGCATCTGCCTATTCCAATTTAAAGAATTCAATGTGCTAATGGACTATCAAAACTGCATGTTTTCCTCACGTTTAAAATGTAATTTATGGATTCCCCAAAGGAAAAAAATATAGTTCCCACTCTATTTTCTATTATATTTTATTATAAGAAAATGAATTAACAAACACCTTTCACAGCACTGGGATATTTTGTGGAGAGTGGATGGGTAAAGTTATGTAGGATGCTTTCATTTTATTATGAGACCAGAGGTCACAAAAGTGAATTGAGTTGGCTTAGATTGTACTTTAAGCACAGCTGGGGCAAGAACTAGGTCCCTTGACAATCAGTTCAAATTAACTTATTGTTCATATAATAAAGAACAATAAGAATGATGTGCTCAACTTGCAAAAGTTTTGAGTGAAGATCATTGCACAGACTTTGAACTAAGAGGGGTAGTTGGAGACAACCATTCTTTGTCTTACTTCATGTTTTCTTTTGAATATTTTAGTAGCTATTGCTGTCTCCACTTTATCATTTCTCTAATTTTACTTGTCTGTAATACTTTTGCTGTTTTAATTTTTTTAATCTCTAGAGCCTCTACTCATGATAGTAACAATATTTACATAATTTTTCAGCTAGAGAAATCAGCGTCCAAAAGTCGCTCAACCAAAGTCACACAAAATTATTAACAGGGTGGTAACAAAGCTCAGGGCTATGAATCATTCTTTAATGTTAAAAGAAAACCCAAAACATAAAAAACGAAAAAATTCACACAGCTTTCAGATTCCAATAGCAACCCTTAAAACACCACTAGGCCTCACAAGAACATAGTGTTAAAAATCTCTTCCCATTGGGATGGGCCACAAACTCCATGGGAAAATATGACTCAAAATATGACTTGATATTATAGAGCACAGAACACAACAATTGTTTTACCTATCCCGCATGGCTTACCTGCGTCAGATTGCTCAACAAGTTATACTCTAAAGGTGCCAGATGACTCCTAACAAACCCCACCCAAGGTCCCAGGTCTGGGCAAATTACCATGAATAGCATCATCACAGACACTCAGATAAGAGATTCCAGAAAGACAGCCTGACATACTCTTCCACAAAAGAGATGAACCTAACTCCAATTCACAATGCTCCTGGAGCTGTGTCCATGGTGATGGGTAAGTATAATATAGCGGTAGACTCCCAAGAGGAGAAAAAAGGCCACGCATTCTGGAATATGATTATACTCCCTTTAGTCTTGCAGTCTGTGTGGCTAATTGTGAGAGCTGTGGGTAAGCAGTACCAGGAGCCTCTCGTTCCTTTCAAATAAGGCAAATAATAGTTCTGTAGGACAGACGTTTCTTGTTTCTGAGCACAACTTGGTTCCAAAGCTCTACTCGGTCTCTCCTGTTACTCAAAACAGGCTCAGTGAACGAACACAGAAACAGAAAACCAAATGATGCACACTCTCACTTAGAAGTGGGAGCTAAACAGTGGGTACACATAGACGTAAAGACGGGAACAATGGACACTGGGGACTACAAAAGGGAATTGGGAGAGAGAGAGAAGAGGAAGAGAGGGGAGGAAAGAGGCAGGAGGAGGTGGACAAGGGTTGAAAAACTACCTGTTGGATACTATGCTCATTACCAGGGTGATGTGTTCAGTTGTACCTCGAACCTCAGCATCATGCAATATACCATTGTAACAAATCTGCATGTGCCCCCCTGAATCTAAAATAGAAGTTGAAAAACAAAAAGCAGAGGCTCAGGAGCTGATCCTCCCCCCATCAGATTATCTGTCCCCAAGTTCACAAAACATTCCTTCCACAATGAAAAGACCAAGGGATCCATGAATACAGCGAAAGCTCCCTATAGTTCAGTTATTGCTTAATTTTTTGTGTGTTTCTTTTTATAGAGATGGAGTCTCAGTATATTGTCCAGGCTGGCCTTGATTTCCTGGCCTCAAGCGATCCTTCTGCCTTGTCCTGCCAAAGTGTTGGGATTATAGGCATGAGTCACCATGCCCAGCCTGATAAATCTTAATATAACTTAGAAACATCAGTGTAGAAGTACTGTGCTTTTGACTGTCTAAAATTTTAAAACAAACATCTAAAAAAATTCCCTAGGGCATCAGTGGTTTACACTGAACGTAGCGCTAGATGAAATTTATCATAGATGAGAGTCAGGATTGGAGAAAAAAGTCACATCTGAGATTTTTAGATAAGAAGTGTGGATTTTTCTAAATGAAAAAAAATGACCTACATTAAGATTCCAGACAAAAATATCCCAACACCTGTCAGAGTTAGAAATCAATTCTCCAAGAGTCCACCATATATCTTTCCTAGTGTTCCTTACCCTCTCCTGTCAGACAAGCATTCTGTTCCTTCTAAACCCTTACCAAAACCTGCCAACTGGTCAACCCTCACACCAAGCCTCAAATGCCATCCCTCCCAGAGGTATTAGTATTTAACAAAGCAGAAGAAATGAAGTTTTTGGCAGTGGACTTCCAGAAGTTATTCACAGAGAAGCATTCCCCACCAAGCATGTTTTTTATAAGAAAGACTGCAACGAAAGGGGACCCTCTAACAAACTGTAGTCCCATGGTGGAGAGCAACCTTTCTGAGTGCACAAGAAGATTCTCATTGCAATTCTTCATCTACAAATCATTGTATTGGAAAATGAAACAATTCCCAAAGTTAAAATCTTGTGTCAAGCACTGTGCTAGAATCTGGGGATGTGGAAATGAATGAAAGTTTATTGCAATCTTCAATGGATTGCCATGCAAGGGGGATGAAAAGCAAACCAAATATGGGCCACCTAACTCACCCCATTGAGATGGGTGGAGACCATGGTTAGGAGGTTAGGAAAGGCTTTCCATATCAATGTTTCTCAAATATTAATGCCAAACAACAGATTACCGGGGGATCCTCCTAAAGTGCAGATTCTGAATGAGAATGTCTGCAGAAGACCCTGAGGTTCTGCATTTATGAGATGCTCCCAGGTGATGCTGATGCCACTGGTCAATGGACCACAACTTAAAAAAAAAAAGACAGAGAGAGAGGGAATGTCTCACTCTGCTTCCCAAGCTGTAGTGCAGTAGCGTGATCATAGCTCCCTGCTGCCTTGAACACCCAGGTTCAAGTGATCCTCCTGCCTCAGCCTTCCAAGCATCTGGAACTATAAGTACGGCACCATGCCTGGCAATTTTTTCAAAATTTTTTGGTAAACATAGGGTCTCACTATGTTGCCCAGGCTGGTCTTGAACTTCTAACCTCAATAAATCCTCTTGCCTGAGCCTCCCAAAATGCTGGCATTATAGGCATGAGCCACCACACACAGGTGAACCACACATTTTGCATACCAAGAACCTGAGACAAGACAAAGTCCAAGCTTGAATCAACTAGGACATCCAGGATAGAAGACCGAGAGAAGGCACAGGCAAAGACCCCAAAGCTAGAGACATTAAGCTGGATAAAGGGAACATTACAAATGCTAAGGGAACATTTTATGTAAGACATTGTTGAATGTAAATACAGACAAGAAGAACTTTACACAATAATAAAAATAGTTTTTGTAATAGTTGCATGAGGGTGGTTAACATTAGGAGTACTTCCTCCCACTCCCCTCCTTCCTTTTTTGGTTTGGGCTCTCACTAATGAACTTATGTTTATTAAAACAACAAAAGGATAAATAGATTTCTCCTTTGTGTGCTAGTAGTGGAAATTCTGCCCTGGGATGTTTTAAGAAAATGACTGTGCAGGCTCTTCCAATTTGGGGTTGTATGATTGGATAAGATAAAAAGCTACTTAATAACTAATCACAATTATGTAATAATGTGGTAATAATCATTTCCTGAGAGAGAGTGCAGGCAAGATTATACAGAATTCTAGAAGAAAAAAACAAAAGAAAAGAAAACCTGCCTTTTGATTTCACAGAGCAATGTCTGCTGAGGAATCCATTGCTTGGAGCCCTGGAGCACATCACTGTTCCCCAGCCATGAGGAGAACTTTAAGGTTCTGAGGAGCAGAAGGGAGTGTGTGGCTGACGTGGACATATATAGCCAGCAGCTACATGTAACATACATGCTCTGTGGCTTCATTCCCAGTGTGTAGATCACCCTTCTTCAAAATCAGGCATGTTGCAGGAAACCACATCCTATAATAGTCAACTGCAGCCCTATATGAAGCAGATCATTAAACAAGTCTTAGGACATCACTGTACGTCCTACAGTCATAAAGATGTACACAGATGTTATCTGATCTTGTAACTCTTGTCAGACTTCGCTTTCTCTATTTGACAGATGAAAAAACTCAATTTGAAGGATGTTGATGAAGGATGTTAATAACATCTCTAAAGTCACCCAGTTAGCAGCAGAACCAGTTTTAAAACTCAAGCTACTTGGCATTCTTGCTCCAATTTCAGAATTCATTCTATGATACAATACTATAATTTCTAAAAGACAGGAAAGCAGACATAAAGAAGTGAGGTTTTAGAACTCAAAAAGAATTATCTATGGACTCTTTTTGTTACTTTTAAAAACTTTAAATTTCACAAGAATAGTTTGGAATCTCCCATAGACCCAACTGGATCTCCTTTTGTCCAGTTTTAGAGGAATCTGGGGATACAAGTATATGAATATGTGGTATTGGTATATAAATACTGTTCTGTAAGTTACAATAATAAAATGAAAAACAAAAGAGATTTGCTGGTGATCTGAGTGCCAGGAATTATGATCCACCTAATTTACAGGTTAATCAAGGAAAATCCAGAATTATATATTAGCCTGTTCATTTATTCCATGAGGTCTTTGAAAAAGTTGACTTATAGGCCAGGTGCGGTGGCTCATGCCTGTAATCCCAACACTTTGGGAGGCCGAGGTGGGTGGATTGTTTGTTCCCAGGAGTTCGAGACCAGCCTGGGCAACATGGTGAAACCCCGTCTCTACAAAAAATACAAAAATTAGCTGGGCATGGCAGCATGCAGCTATAGTCCCAGATACTCAAGAGGCTGAGGTGGGAGGATCACTTGAGCCTGGGAGGTGGAGGCTGCAGTGAATGGTGATTGTACCACTGCACTCCAGCCTGGGCAACAGAGAGAGACCCTGTCTCAAAAAATAATATTTTTTCACATTGATTCATAATATTATAAATGGCCATTTAGGAATTTTATATGAATAAAATGGAAATACAATGATTTCATACCTGGAAGATATTTTATCTATCTTCTAGGGGGTTAAAAGAGACAGCTTATTAAGGATTATTCAACAAGGTATTAAACAAAAATACCAATTTAATGTGTGGAAAAAGTGAATCCTCTAGTTCAGGGCTTCTCAAACTTCAACACGCATGTGATTCACCTGTGTTCATTTGTTAACGTGAAGATTGTGATTGGGGAAGTCTGGAATGGAGTCTCAAATTCTGCATTTTAAGACACTCCTAGGTGATGCTGATGCCTCATCTAGGTAGCAAGGCATCATTGCAATCACTTGGAATCTCACTTTGATTAGGAACATACTGTTGACATCGTTGATGGATTTCTCATGTTAGCCCTACTTGAACTAACAATATACCTATTGAAGTATTTATTCTATTAAAAAATTGGTGAAAGAATAGAAAGTACTTTAAAATATCTTACAAAATTAAAAACATTGCTAATTTTCTAGTTCTTGTTTTACTTTTTATTTCCTCTCAATCTAGTAAATTGTGCAAAAAAACTTCAGTTAATGGCTTTTTTTCCTTGAGTAAGTGAAGGCAGCTAAGACATTTTTAATTCATTATCTCATAAATATAACCTCAGATCTTTTACAGACCAGGAAAGCTAGTCATTTTGAAATCTATTGTATCATAAAAGTAGGATTGCTGAATTTAGCAAAAATAAAAATTAAAAACCAAATAACAGAAAAATGAAATGCTCAGTTAATTCAAATTCAGATACACCAAAACAAATCTTATCTAAAATCAAATTTAACTGGTTATCCTGCATTTTACCTGGCAACTCTACAGAAAAGCATACCTCCAAATTTATCTTGAAGTGCTGAAGGTCAGGTGCTGGGATGGAGAATTAACAGACCCACTGACCGAGTTGCCTAAACATTTCAACTGTAGAGGGAATTGCTTCTGGATTTGCCAATACTACATCACACACTTGGTTATTACTGCTGCTAATTTGTGGAAGCTCCTTTTAGGGGATCTGTGCCCAGGAGACCACACTTTTAAAAAAATCACAATAGAGGGCAAGCTGGAAGTGAAACTACCGAAGAGCCTTACTTATATCAATAGCGTCTTTCCCGGGAAGAACCAGGTGGAGCAAAACCAGCAAGGTCTTTCTTGTAAGGTCTCTCTTTTTTTCCACTTTATGGAGAGCTGAAGCTGCTCAGTGGGAGAGCTAAGATAGTAGTTTCTTGGTAAGAATCATGAAAGGTTTTTCTTCTTCATATCAAATGTTGTTAAATTGATCAGATTTAAGATGATCTTTGAAAGAAGGAAGGAACGTTCAAGGTGGTTTCAGGCCCTGTCATCTCTTACCAGTTTTTGAAAGCCTTTACCAGCTTTTAAAGGAGCAAGCTAATCCTCTCATTTCATTTTTATGTATGATGTGCAGTAAATAGTTTCAGGTACTTCAGCAAAACAAAGGAATCTACTCATTTCTAGGTACCTTTTCTTGTGTATTTACCTACCTCCTACCTACTTCAAATACCGATAGTCATTCCTGCCATGATGTTTATAATAAGTTGGGACCAAGGTTTGCCTGTTAGCAGAAGACTTTTGGATGTTTTGCCTCTGTTTAAGCAATTGATAATTATGAAGTCCCTGCTCTAGTAAAAATATAGTAAGCCTAACTATTTTCTAATTTTAGAAATTAATTTGGAGAGAACTATTAGTGCTACATGTATAGAATAGGCTATATATTTCATACCTGGAAGATACTTTACCTCTCTTCTAGGGGGTTAAAAGAGACAGCTTATTAAGGATTATTTCAACAAGGTATTAAACAAATATGTAATATATTTTATATATTACATATATAATATATATTTATATATTACATATTATATGATATATATTTATATATCACATATTATATAATATATATTTATATATTATTATAATATATCATATGTTATATATTATTATAATATATATGTTATATATTATTATAATATATCATATGTTATATATTATAGTTTATAGTTTATATATTATATTTATAATATATAATATATATATTATATATTATATTTATAATATATAATATATATATTATATATTATATAATATACAATATATATATTATATATTATATAATATACAATATAGTTATATAAATATAATATATAATATAGTTTACATATTATATTTATAATATATTATATATTATATATATATAAAATAATATATTATATATTATATTATATATATAATATAATATATTATATATTATATTATATATATAATATAATATATACAATATATAATATAATATATAATATATTATATTATATAATATATTATATTATATATTTTATATTATATAATATATAATATTATATATTTTATTTTTATTATATATATTTTATATATTATATTTATATATTATTTTTATATATTTATATATTATAAAATATATTTGTATATATTTATATATAATATAGTATATAATATTTATATATTATATAATATATATTTTTATAATATATTTTATTTTATATATTATATAATATATTTTATATATTATATATTTTATATATTATATAACATAAAATATATTATATATTTTATATATAATATATTTTATATATTATATATTTTATATATAATATATTTTATATATTATATAACATAAAATATATTATATATTATATAACATAAAATATATTATATATTATATAACATAAAATATATTATATATTTTATATGTTATATAACATATAAAATATTATATATTTATATTTTTAGTATTATATAATTATATAATATATAACTATATATTAATATATTATTATATATAGTATGTAATATATTAAATAATATATTATTAAAATGTGAATGTAGATTATGATAAAGGAGGGCAGTTAATTTTACTTGGATTGGTTCCTTACCCAGTCAGCATGGGAGTTATACATCAATCTCCAGCCATCCCTTTCCTCCTTTCCCCCATCAGAAGCACTAGGGGTTAACGTGGAAGTTAGTGACCTAACATGCCATTACTATCACTGGTGTTAGGATGGGATTAAATACAATTACAAGTTTTTGCTTTTAGAAATAATTTAGCTGATGTTATGTACCTCAAAACTTACGTTAATTATAATGTGTTTTTTGATTTGGTGAAAAAGGAATCCCTTTGTCTTTTCAGTCTATAAATTGCAGCTCATTCTGGAAGGGGTGAAGAGAACACCAGTTATATATAACTCTTAAAGTTGCTCTATTATCTAAATGAAACTCATAGCAAACTCCCATTCTGTGGCATTAACAATTCATCAAAAGGAAGAAGTTCTTTTAGCTGAAGGAAGTTTTATGACAAGCAACACTTACAATAAAAAATTGAGACTAGTTCCCATCAATGTAGTTATTATTTTCAAATATCCTTTCTAGAATCTTAATGGTAATCTTTCCAGCTTTGAGCAGACTGGAAATAATTTAAGATGAATTTTGAATTTCTGGATTATAATCTGGTCTACTTTTGAATTTGGAAATTTTAAACAAAATTGTCCACAGCATAATGTCAGCTTTAGCAGTGTTAGTAACCGTGTATATCCTTTTAGTATTTAGTGATCCTTGCCATTACAAGTAGCAAGCAATTTACAGTAAATGCATGTTTTAGAAAAGGAGTGCTATTTCCAGGCCAGACACTGTGGCTTATGCCTGTAATCCCAGCACTTAAGGGGGCTGAGGCGGGTGGATCACTTGAAGTCAGGAGTTTGAGACCAACCTGGCCAACATGGTGAAACCTCATCTCTACCAAAAACATAAAAATTAGCCGGATATGGTGGCATGTGCCTGTAATCCCAGCTACTTGGGAGGCTGAGGCATGAGAATCACTTGAACCTGGGAGGTGGAGGTTGCAGTGAGCCAAGACAGTACCATTGCACTCTAACCTGGGTGACAGAATGAGACTTGGTCTCAAAATAAAATAAATGAAATTAAATGAAAAGAAATAAAATAGTAGGGCTATTTCCAAAAACAGCAAGTTTCCACATCATGTTAAGTGTTGGAAGTGACAGTGAATAAAAAGTTTCTAAATCTGAATAAATTTCCAAATTATGTCTTCATATACTAAAATAAGCATAGGAAGGCCCTCACAGGTTGAAAAAACATTGACTAAAGAGTTAAGGCAAGTGTTCACATTAGGATTGCTCTTAAGGACATGTTTTCACATTTTCTAGAGCTCTGGAAACGGTTACTAGTTAGTATTGCACTATTTGGGCTTGTTTGGATTCAGAAGTTTTACAGTTGACCGTATCACTAAAATTCATATATTTAGAAATATACTGCTTTTCGCAAAGTACATACACAAGAAGAATATGAAAATAAACTATCTTTTATTTTTAGTGATTAGTTGACCTATGGTTGGTAACTACATTTTTTCTTAACCTTTTCTAAGGGAAACAAAAACAAAAACAAAAAAGACTAAGGCTTTAAGTGAACAAATTTTTATTTAAAATTTGAAGTATGTTAAACTGGGGTAAATCAGAGGTCTGCAGTAGTTTTGCTGTAAATATTTTAGGTTTTGTGGGCATACAGTCTTTGGTTCAACAATTCCATGCTGCCACAGCCATAGACAAGATGTAAACAAACAAGTATGGCTGCAGTCCAATAAAACTTTATTTTGGACACAGAAATTTGAATTTCATGTAATTTTCAAGTGTCCTCTAGTATTTTCTTCTTTGGATATTTTTCCATGACTAAAAAAATATAAAAACCACTCTTGGCTTCAAGGTCATACAAAACAAGCAATGGGTTATAGTTTGCTGATTCTAGAAACAGATGGAGTCGTGAGTTTTATCTCAACACAGCTTAATGTAATTGTATGAAGTTTGCCAGTGATTTTAGAAGTGATAGATTACTAGATTAGGTTTATTGGAAGCAAATTTACCAATTAATTCTATTCTATAAAGCTCTGGTTTAAGAAATATAATTTTGGATACTTCTCAAATCTTGCAAATTTGGAACAAAAATTTTGTGAAATTAAGAGATTTGAAATACCAAAGCCAGACTTTTTCTTATCTCAGATTAAAGAGTATAAATTCTCTTTCAATGTTTAAGATGGTTGCGGGTGAATTATGTAGAGTTGGATTTATTCTTCGTGGCCTCCAATAGGTGAATGCTGCAAGAAGAGATGGGAATGTGCTTTGAGGGAGACAGTCAAGTGTAAGTTGGAGGACTCCTTAGTGAAGAAGCACTAGGTATTTAAGATTTCTATGGGTGGTGGAACTAATCTCTAAGGGTCTGTAGTGAAGTTTATGCTTCTATGACTTGGAAAAAGACTTGAAGAACTTATTATTTTGGTTACCTAGATGAAAAGCTAAAGATGGCTCAACATGTTTGGGGTTGGTTAATTCCAAAGGTTAATTATTTAAGAATAAAGTTGGCCGGGCGCAGTGACTCACGCCTGTAATCCCAGCATTCTGGGAGGCCGAGGTGGGCGGATTACGAGGTCAGGAGATCGAGATCATCCTGGCTAACACGTTGAAACCCCGTCTCTACTAAAAATACATAAAATTAGCCAGGTGTGGTGGCGGGGGCTGTAGTCCCAGCTACTCGGGAGGCTGAGGCAGGAGAATAGAGTGAACCTGGGAGGCAGAGCTTGCAGTGAGCCGAGATGGCGCCACTGCACTCCAGCCTGGGAGACAGAGTGAGACTCCGTCTCAAAAAAAAAAAAAAATAAATAAAAATAAAAAAAAAAAATAAATAAAGTCGCTGAGACAATGATGTATATGAGTAGTTTCTACTTTTTAAGGAGAAAGGAGTTAATTCAAACTAGTCTTGTGTAGCCAAAGCCTCCAGGCAAGACTACATGAAAACCTGTATGTTGCAATAAACACTGGAAAAGGAGTCAATAATCCAGGAGTCAATGCCTTGGCATTGCCAGGATCACCTAACTTATTGGATTCACTTGTGTAATTTGGCACCTGGGAATACCATTTACCCAATTATGATTAAGCCCTGATATGTTAGTAAGACCAAAGGGCTATATAAATTTAAGGTAATAAGACTGGGTGGTTCTCGTCTGTTCTCAAACACTTTAGAGCTTATAAAATAGAGATGACACACTTTCTTCTACTCTACCCCTTTTAGCTACTTGTAAATATTACAGAGCTAGGTATATATCATACTCTGAGAAATAGTTTCTGATTAATATGGAGTAATCCGATTAGTCTTTTTTTTTTTTTAAGATGGCATCTCCCTCTCTGTCCCCCAGGCTGGAGTGCAGTGGTGAAATCTTAGATCACTGCAACTTCTGTTGCCTCCCCAGATTCAAGCGATCCTCTCACCTCAGCCTCCCGAGTAGCTGGGACTACAGGTGTGTGCCACCTTGGCTGGCTAATTTTCATATTTTTAGTGGAGACGGGATTTCACCATGTTTGGCCAGGCTGGTCTTGAACTCCTGACCTCAGGTGATTCACCCGCCTCGGCCTCCCAAAGTTAATTCTATTTTTCTAAACTACTTTATCTCTTATGCCTCCCAAAAAGGTGTTAACATTTCAGAAGTGCCTCCCCAGTTCTTTTTCTAAGCTACAAAGAAGTGAGAATGAATGCATTTATATCATTTTGGTCTTTGGAAATTCTTATTAACATTTAGTTTTGGTTGTACTTATCACAAAATACATCCAACTTCTTACTTTTAATATGGTGGCTATTTAAATGTACTTATGCTATTTTAATGGGCAATACACAGGTGAAAATAAAAGCTATTTAACTATTAATCTATTCTACAATGTTTCTCCTAGCTCAATAAATTCATATGTGGTTTTTCATAATAATGGGTAGAGAGTGAAATTTTGTGAAGTGATTGTTTTGGCCCATTAGAGTGTGGTTAAATGTGATAACAATTATTAGTTATGCTCAAAATGCTAAATTGTTGGGTATGAAATGTAAGTGAACAAATAAGCTATCATAGCAAGTAAGAATTGTGACAGGACTTTGGCTTCTATATATCTGGAATGTCTGTCTTGGAAAACAGCAAACTGAATGTACTCAGGATGCTTTGGTTTTCAATGTTCTCCCCACCTTTTGATACTCTTCAGTACGAACAAGCAGTATCAATAACTAACAGAGTCTGTGCCCCTGCTTTGGGGGCTACAGACACTGAGGCCCCTATGAGAAAATAGAATACCAAGCAGGCTACAATAGATGCTCTAAGAGAGGTTCAGATAAAGTTCAACGGCCAAAAATATTGAGTGCTTGCTGTGTGCAAGACACTGTTTTTCCTCCTTAAAGAAATTGAGGGCTGGTGTGGTGGCTCACTCCTGTAATCCCAGCAGTTTGGGAGGCCGAGGCGGGTGGATCACCTCAGGTCAGGAGTTCAAGACCGGCCTGGCCAACATGGTGAAACCCCATCTCTATAAAAATACAAAAATTAGCTGGGCATGATGATGTGTGCCTGTAATCCCAGCTACTCAGGAGGCTGAGGCAGGAGAATCGCTTGAACTTGGAGGCGGAGGTTGCAGTGAGCCGAAATCGTGCCAGCCTGGGCAACAGAGTGAGACTCTGTCTCAAAAAAAAAAAAAAAAAAAAAAAGAAAAAAAGAAAAAGAAAAAGAAAAGAAAAGAAATTGAGGAAGGGGAAGAAAGCATTTAGACAACAGTGCAGAGAGTGATAGTGATATTAAAAATAGTGAAGAGGTATTAAAACTGAAAGAAGAAAAAGAAAGTTTGTTTTTTGATGACTCTAAGATAACCTGTTAAAGATACAGAGAACCAGAGATAACAGGTTATCCTGGAGTAATCCTTTTGGGATGACAGTTTTAAAGGCAAGAAACCTTTGGTTAATAGCCAACATGAGGTTTTATATAAAATGTTAAGTGTAACCATTTCTATTTAAATAGATCATTTAATTCACTCCTGGATGTATAATCAAGTAGTATTTGACTTTTTTGTATGCAAAATTTATGTGTTACATATTCATCCTTTCTGCTTCACATAACTGAAATAACCCAAACCAGTTTACACTTTCCCAACAGTTTTTTTTTTACATGCTTCCCACCAAGAAAGTTACAGGATGTCTAGTTAGCTTTGTGTTTCCCCTTCTAACAGAAGAGAGCATTATATGAAACAGGCAGAATGGTGTGCTACAAAGGGAGTGGCTCCTGCAAGCAAGTAGATCCTGATCAGATATTAAATGTGCTTTCAAAGGAGTGCAGTTTGTGCGTGTCAACAAACTACTCGCTGTAATTACTTCCTATTCACTGGGATCGCTGTGCAGCCTGCTGACTCACCAGGCTGCTGGAGTATGTTTCTGCTGGGTTTTCCTACTGACTGCTACACATGAGTCATCACAGGAATGGAAGTTTCTATCCGTCTCCCTTAACAACAGTGCAGAAACCAGGCATTGAAGTAAGCTTCGATTTTTCCAATCAGACCCTAGCCAGGGAAGGGAAAAATGTTGTGGTAGGTGTCACCACCAGCTAGGCTGCTAGATGACAGTTCCCCGCCCCAGGGTGTTAGTCATCGGCACTCCAGTTTCAGCGTCTTTTCTCTCACCCACCCAAGTAGTTAAAGTGGCATCTTGTCTTGCAATGCCTGCTGCTGCTGGCCGCTGAACTCTTCCTTTGCTGTAGAGTTTCCCCAACTTGGCTGCACAATGAAGTTACCAGGAGTTGTTTTTGCTTTTAAATACTGTGCCTATTTCTCACTCCCAAACAACCTGATTTAAATAGTTTGGGATGTGATCAGGACATCAGGAGTTCTCAAAGCTCCCCAGATGATTCCACTATGCAGCAAAATTTGAGAACCAGTGCTTTGAAGAAGCATAGCTCTACCCACGCAAGGAAAATTTACCAGTTAAGCTTATCTACCAATCACTCGGTGAGCTCCCGGACCTCTTATCTTACCCCTAACTGATGTCTTTAATCAGTTTGGCAGAAAAGAACGAAAGCAAAGTAAGGAAGCATTTCATTTCCAGAGGGGACACTGGCTAACCAAGAGCCATACCCCTTTTTGCTTGATAAAAATTTGGCCAAATTTAGCGTTCAGGAGAAGCAGGGGAAATGTTGCCATTCTTCAGATTACCTTTTGATCTCTGTTCTGTTTCATTCCACAGTGTCCTATTCAGCAAAAGTGTAAATCGCGGGTCCTCAGATTAGAAGTAGGTGCTGCGTCTGACCACAATCGCAACCGGTCTGCACACTTCACCCCAGCTGGGACCGAACCTCCGCCTCGCAGCGCGGCCCCAGGGTCGATACTATGCTAATCAAGGAAGTTCTTCCGTTTCGGTGCGCGCGGGCGCGGGTTTGAGCGCTTAACCCTTCATTCTACATTGACAGCACGATAGTATTTTTAGTGACCTCTTCCTGCCTAGCGGGTCTACACTATTTTCCTTTTGTTCTTCTTTTTTTGGAAAAGGAGATGTGAACAAGTGATAGAGAAGACAATCAGGGAGGGGACAGCAGTGTTGGCTGGTGCGGAGGTGAAGGAAAGGCTAATGTTCGTAATATTAATTACTCCCAGCGCTACTGACCCAGCGAGGACTAGCAGGAGGGGCTTGGGGGTTAAGACAAAGGCTTCTCCTGATCAAATGGCTGCAGCGCCCCTTCTCCGAGGTTACGGCTCTGCCCTTGGCACTGTATTGACGAAGTCACTGGAGGAGTGACCAAACCCACTAGCCCTTTTGGGGTCTGAAAATCAGCTTTATCGAGCGCCCCAGGTTCAGAGGGGACCGCTTTCCGCGTCCACCCCTCTCCTGGCTCTTTGTGGGATTTCTGGCTTCCGCATAGCCCTTCTAAGGGTAGACCGAAGAATTTCCCACTAAGCCGAGTGCGAAGTCGCTGAGTAGCCCTCGCCCTGCGCTCCCGGGGCTCCCTGCAGAAGAGATGCTTGGGCGCAGAATAACAACCCGCTTCCTTTTGCACCCACCCGGCTCCTGAGTCCCGGGAGCGCGGATGGTGGCCGGCGTCGGAGTGGGAGAGTGGTGGCTGCCGAAGGGGAAGTGCCCGGGGTCCAGGGGATGCTCCCAAGCGCGCGAGCGCCAGCGCGCTGCACTTCCTGATCTGCCCCCAAGCGCGCAGCCCCTGCCAGAGCCCCCAGCTCTCTCAGTGCCGGCGCCCCAGCTAGAGCCTGGAGGGTCGTGCGCCGCGGTCGCGCAGTCGCGAGCCCCCCTCCTTCACCAACGCCGTGTTCCTACCCTGGACAGCCCCAGCCTCACCCCTCAGAACCAGTCCACTTCGCTTCTGCCAGCGTGGCAGCCCCAACTCCCTCCCTCCACTTTCCTGGGGTGCACAGAGCTGGGGCACCGAACCAGAGATGTGGCCCGCGGGAGAGCGGCGGGGTGCACACCCGGAGACCGCCTAGCCGACCCTTGCACAACTTCTTGCTAGACTCTGGACCCCCGGTTCCGGTTGCTCCGAGCCCCGCGGGCTGCAGACCTCAGCGGCAGGAGGAGGCGCAGCCAGCCCCTGGCCTGGGAGGGACTGCTTCAGTGCAGGGGGTGTCGGGGTGCGCCAGGGCGGTACCGCTTTAAATGCACTTGACTCACCTGCTCCGGCGCTGTCGCCTCCTTCCTCTGCTGACAGCTGGGGGCTTTGTTTTCTCCACCCACCCGGCCGCCGTGCTCCGCCTCCTCTGTCGCACGTGACTCGCAGTCTGCCACCGCCGCCGCCGCCGCCGCTCCGGGAGTCCACCCGAGAGAGTCCGGCCAGCGCCGCCCCTTCCCGCGGGTGCGGGTGCGGGTGCGGGTGCAGGTGGGCGCCCCACTGGGCAGGTCCGAGCCGACCCGCCTGAAGACGCTGTCTCAGGCCAAAGGAAGCCAGGCTGAATTCGTGACAGGGAAGAAAGTGCCAGCGGGTGAAATAAACTAAGTGGTTTGACCCCGCTCGAGAGGGAGGAGGCCGGCGCGGCTTGCAGAGGGGGCTTGAAAAGGCGCCGCCACACTGTGAATTAATTACCTGCAAACGGGGGCTTGCACACCAACTGGGGTGCATCTGCTTTTTACACCCAGTGTTTGTACTCCTACCTGGAGCACGATTGATGATAAGGGGCAAACTAGTTTTGTCATGAATATTACTAATTAAACTAGGCAATTCTAATACAATTAACAATTTAATAATAGCGTGTTTTTGGGGGGTTTCAAATCTGCTTGTTGATGCTGTTGATATTTGGGTTCTATTTGGAAAATGGAGTGCAGGCTGGAGAAGCGAACTCCAGAAGTCTACTGATGTGGGCGCTTGTCCATTTGGAACAGCAGCTATTTTTAATGAAATGAGAAAATGTTCTGGCTTCAAGACCCAGCTCAAGATCTGCTGCTTTTGGAAGTGGTCCCGACCGGTGCTGATCGCAGTGATCTCTAGTGTTTGAAACAGCAAGGATTTGTCTGAATCCTTCTGTTAGCCCTTGGAAAACGCATTATATACCTTCCCTCCTGTGCCCTACACATTGCTACTCAGGGGAAAGATTGTCCATGTCTCCCCCAGCGTTCGTTAAAGCCAAGTCTTCGTAGTGGAGTGATTTAGCACAGTGCTTCTCAAAGTTTAAGAGGGATCACCTGGGGATATTGTTGAAGCCAAATTTGAGCGTGTCGAGAGTTAGGCCTGAGATTCTGCATTTCTAGCAAACTCCCAGTTAATGGCATTGCTGCTAGTTTGAGGACCACACTTTCAGTAGAGAGGTGTTGATCGCCGCTTTGGCATTAGCCAGCCTATTTTGAGTCCTGACTACACCACTTGCAAGCTATATGATCTTAGGCAAGTTTCTCAACATTTAAGCCTCACATACTGTAAAATAGGGATGATACTAATTTCCACCTCATAGGGTTGTCTTGAAGATTAAGTGAGAAAGTCCATATAAGGCACTTAGTGTAGTGCCTGGCACACATACCTAGGGTTCAGAAAATGCTAGCTAAGTCACTGTAGAGGTCATCCTTGCAGGGGGAAAGCTGGCACCAAGTGCAGCATGGCTGCAGGGGGAGCAATGTGTGAAATGGGCACAAGGGTGAGGTAGCCTGCCCAAGAACAAGGACTGTGCCCTGTAGTGCCTAGCATGTGCCAGATGTATAGGATAAGTTTGATGAATAAATAAATGACTCTAATGTGGAACAGATCGTATGTGTTCAAAAAGTTCTGCTTCTCCTTTAAATCATGATAAATTAGTTCTGAGACATTGAATTAAAAAATCATTTTGCTTTCTATTACAGATAATGTCCAGCTGCTTGTCACATGGGTAATCTATTTTAATATCTGAGACAGTACATGGATTGTTAAGGTTTAGTACATTTTTTATCCTCAGTTAAAAACCTTGAAATTTAAATTTAAATGAATTTATTAATGAAGATATGGTATTCTTAGCTCTCAAAATGAATGGCTGTTGTCATCATAGTTCTCATATCTTCCTTCCTTACTTCTCCTTCTCTCTCTGTCCTCCAAATATGAGTGTTTCCTCAGACTAATTTCTTGCCTTTTTTCCCACTATGCCATTTTCTTTAGAAATTTTATGTGTGTCTTATGTTCATCTTTCAAGTGTGAGCGGATTACTTCTGAATCCGTACCCACATTCTTAACCCATTTGCAAGCCTTATTTCTGCCTTTCCCTTAGTTGCTAGGAATTTCCATTTTCACGAGCTTTTAAAATTTTATTTATTTTTCCACTTGAACTATATTTTTATTTGTGTAAATGTATGGGGTACCCGAAAGATTTTCCCAGGTATATAATGGATAGTGACCAAGTCAGGGTATTTACAGTGTCCATCACCTGAGTATAATATGTATATATATTTTTAAGCATAGTCATCTTATTCCCTATCACACATTAAATTTACTCTTTCTCTCTTACTCTATGTTTGTACACTTTAACCTCCTTCTCTTCATCCTCCTCCCCCTCACTACACTCACACTACTCAGTTTCTTTGTCTGTATTTCCACTCTCTACTTCCATGTGTTCAGATTTCTTAGCTCCCACAATATGTGAGAACATACTACATCATTTTGTGCCTGGCTTATTTCACTTATGATAATCTCCAGTTTCATCCATTTGCTGCAAATAACACAATTTCATTCTTTTTTAGGGATGAATCATATTCCATTCTGTATATACACTACATTTTCTTTATCTTTTCATCTGTTGATAGATACTTATGTTGATTCCCTATCTTTGAAATTGTGAATAGTGCTGCAATAAACATGGCAGTTCAGGTATCTCTGATATATTGATGTATTTTCCTTTGGGTAGATGCCCAATAGCAGGATTGCTGGATCAGATGGTAATCCTATTTATAGTTTTCTTGAGAAATTGCCATGCTGTTTTATACAGTGGCTATACAACTTTATATTCCCACTAACAGTGTATTAAAGAGTTCTCTTCTGCACATCCCAGCCAACATTTGTTATTTTTTTGTCTCTTTAATAATAGCCATTCTGGCTGGGGTATGATGGATGATATCTCATTGTGGTTTTGATATGAGTTTCTTTGATTATTAATAATGTTGGACATTTTTTCCATAAGCCTGTTGGTTATTTGTAGTCTTCTTTTGAGAAAGGTCTACTGATGTCCTTTGCCCACTTTTTAATGGGTTGTTTTTTCCTGTTGAGTTGTTTGAGTTCCTTATGTATTCTAGATATTAGTCCCCGTTATATGAATATTTGGCAAATATTTTCTCTCATTCAACAGGTTGTCTTTTCATTTTGTTATTTCTTTTGCTGTGCAGAAATTTTTTAGCTTAATTAAATTACATTTGTCTATTTTTGTTTCTGTTGTCTGTGTTATTGAGGTCTTAGTTATAAATTCTTTACCTAGACCAATGTCTAGGAGAGTTTTCCCTAATTTTCTTCTAGTATTTTTGTAATTTGGTGTCTTACCTTTAAGTTTTTAATCCATTTTTAGTTTATTTTTGTATATGTTGAGAGATAGGGGGTCCAGTTTCACTCTTCTGCATGTGGCTATCCAATTTTCTCAGCACCATTAATTTAAGAGGGTGACCTTTCCCAGTGTAAGTTCTTGTCAGCTTTTTCAAAGATCAGTTGGCTATAAATATGTTGCTTTATTTCTGTGTTCTCTATTCTATTCCATTTGTCAATGTGGCTACCCACTAGATTTTAGTGTGTTCTAAATTAAACCCCTTTCTCCTCCCATAAAACTGATACCTCCTTGGTGATAAATCAAGATGGTTATTTGCAGTGGGGAGCCCTCAGTGCTAATCCAGGGACCTGGCAATGGTGTGGAACCCAGTGTGATTTATCCCAACTACCTTCCTGCTGCTCCTAGGTATTTATTTGAGACATTGCTCTCAACAGTGACTGGAGTCAACTCATGTATATGTATATACTACCTACTGGTGTAACAGTCACATATGCAGTTGTGGGATGCTACATAAATGGTGACTGAGCTAGTGAGAGATTGTATCAGTCAGGGTAGGCTAAATTATGCTGCTGTAACAAATGCCATCAAAATATCAGTGGCTTAATACAACAAAAGTAAATTTCCTTCTCATGCAAAATTTCCAGTGCTGCTATCACAGTGACTCATTGTTCTAGCCACCTTCATTCCTGTGACATTTCCATGAGCACCATGGCAGAGGAAGGATGTGGAGAACTGCACACCAAACCTCAAGTGCTTTCATCCAGAAGTGATACAGGTCACTTCTCACATTTCTCTTGTCAAGGAAAGTCACATGGTCATTGCCTAACTTTAAGGGCTATGTTTATGTTTCTAGGAATCACCAAGATTCTAGATCGTACTTTCTAGGAATCTTGGTGATTCTGAGTAATGCCTGCCACAGGGATCCATTTCGCATAGGAGGGTTAGGGATAAAGCTAGACTGAAAATAGTCTAGCTATAGTAGAGGATAAGCAACAGGTTACCAGTTCAAGGAAGGTACTCTGTTACATGTAGAGTCTTTGGGAAACATTAATGTTGTTGTTATCATTATACAATATTATGTAGAAAAACACTTAAAGGTGACAAATTCTCTCTCTCTGCCTGCCAGGGTTATCTTATGATTTAGCCAAGGTTAGTCTACTCCAGGTTAGAGTGCAGTTTGATCATCCAAACTCTTCTGTGACACAGCATTCAGGAAAGATCATCTGTATGATACCCTAGGGAACACACCAACCATTAGGTAAGTAAGGTTACATTAACACAAATAAATTTGCTAATTTTGATGACATTGTTGGTCATTCTCTCCTTGAGGAGTGAAGGTATGTGTATAAATGAAATATTTTAGTGGTATCAAATTGTCCTATGTTTTTCCCATGATTATCTGCTTATGCGTTACCAAATAATTTACTTGTCATGTTCGTGGGAATGTTGAAATAAAGCTTTGTGAGTAAAATTCAGTTCATAAACAAAGGGAAAAAACACTGATATCAATGTGAGAAAAATAAAATCATGCTTTTCAATAAGTTTTGGGTTTCTTTCTCCAAAGGGCAGAGATTATGTCAACTAAACTTGCTTCCTGCATCTCCCAACACTTCATGTGCTTAAAAGAGATAAAGGACTGATGGATGCTGTAAGCTCTGAAGTGCTATGCAGATCTAGGATATTGTAATGTGTTTCTGGGCACTGAATAGTGTTCTTGATCTCAACAGTTTTACGTTGTCTTTGCCCACATCCATCAGTGACATCTACTCTCCTTTTAAAACATTTACTTCTTTATAAGACTGTTACCAATTAAATATTTTTATATAATATGAGCATCTTCCCAAAGCTGATATTCTGAGAATTTCAATCAATCACACATTTCCAAAAATATCTAGCACAAGGGACTACAAAGGAGAGGCAAAGTTTATCAATTAATGTTTTAAGCTGTTTACTAAAATTATTTTTATTTTATATAATTAATTTTTGCCTCTGAGTCCTTGCTAAGTTGTAATATTGCTTTAAATATAAATCTTAACTTCAAGAAATATGCTACAGTGAATTACTTATAAATATATCAGCAATACCCTGTGAAACTGAGATGGAAGTGTTCATTACCAAGATATGATAGTGTTTATTAAGATGAGTAGCAAAGGTGGCATGAAATGACAGCTTGCAGGGATCACTGCTTTATGATGACTCTAGCGTTTATTCATGGAGTAAGTGTTGCAATAAAAAATAATACCACCTTCAAAGAACTCTGTGGGCTCTTAGGAGTATTTGTGAGTCAACTAAAAAGTGTCATCATTTTATAAGTGAAGTTCAGGAGAAAGCTTAAATGACTCACCCATGTCCTAATTTCTGGCTATGACCACTGGCAAAAACTGCTGCCTCCATAAGATAACATAGAATGGAAAAGCAAAATTATTATATGATACACATTGGGATGTATATTATAAGCTATGTTTAACGTACATCAAAAGGAGAAAAATTTTAACCTGGGCTCATGCAAAACCATCGTGTGATAGAAATGTTTATGATTTTATGTCACACTGAAAATAAACTCACATGCAAAGAAATAAGTTGGATATATTTTTTTAATATGCTGCTTGGAACAGGTGTAGCTGAAGGTAATCAGTTCTATACATTTTGAAGGCAATAGATTTAATTAATTTATTAATTAGTAATTATCTCTTAGAAGGTAAAGCTATCTTTTCAGTCCCCCTCAGTCTCTGAGGCTGAGATGGAATTTCTAGTTTTCTGTTGCAGCTCTATGGAGTACAATGCTTTCTAGGGATCACTGGGGTCACCACCATCTCATCGTGGGATCTTCTGGAAGACAATGCAGCCAGTTTTTGTTGAATCAAAAGCTATTCTTGATTAATTAAACCTTACCTTGCCAGTTGCACCTTCTTTGCAGCTCCCTTATATCCTATCTATGAATTGGTCAGCCAGTGTAAGAATAACAGGGAATTGATTCCTTGACTCTTCTCAGAAGCTTTTTCCTCTTGGTCTTCAATTCTTCAACAAATATTTGCTGTTCTTTGCTTTTTATATTTAAAATTGCTCAATCTTTCTAAGTTGTAATATCCCGAAAATATTTTTTGTGGTGCTGTCTATTGGGAAGTCTCTGTGTTAGGCTCTGTGATTACTCAAATGGTCTTTGGCTCCAAGGGGCTTCCAGCATAGGGAGAGACATATGTGTCCATAGTGTGGCTCAAGGGGCATTAAAAGGTGTGAACAGAGTGCCCAGAACACTGGGCAGGCAGAAAGAACATCAAAGTGCTCTAATTTGTGCATGTCTTGAAGGATGAAGAAGAGTGTACTAGGTGAAGATGTTTTTGGATAAGGCAGTGTGTGGGTAAGAGTATTCTAGATAGAAAATGTGAAAGACAAAGCTATAACCAGATTCGAGGATGATGAAATGTTCAACGTGGCTGATGAGTAGGCTTTGAGGAATTGAGAGATTGCTCAGGGTGACCAGGAAAGTCCTTGCATGTCCAGCTGAGATATTTGAATGTAATACATTAGCCAGTGGTCTCCAAAGTAGGGTGAGAACCACTCAAGGGCTTTGTGAGTGATATACTGGGGTGTGGGAAGAAAAGGTTAAAACTTGGCTATCTATCCAAAAATGTGAGAAACGATTTATGCTTTATTAATAAGTAACATGGATTGACATTGGCGCTCTCACTTGGTCCGTATATCAGACAGACAGAGGGACTGCTATGTGCAAGGAATTCTGAGGGAAGGTTGGGATCCACAGCTGAGGGGTGTCCTTAACAACCTTGTTCATTCTTAAAGCAAATTACCATTTATCAGCAATTTATGTTACTCAGTGAAGTGGATTTATGTATTATATTATCTGGATTGACTAACCTAAGCCTCACAGAATGGACAAATAACTTAAAAAGATTGAAATAACATGAATATTTCAAATGTTAATAAATTTTAACAAAAGTCCTTGCAAAACTGGTGGATGGTCTTTGAAAAATGAGTATCATACTTTCATAAGCTCATCCAATGAATGCTTCCTCTGTTTGCATATGTGGTTCTATGTGAGGTGTATTCTGTAGCTCTGACAGCCATAAAAACTAAATATAAGTAAGCTGTACTCAGATTTGTAAGTTGCCTTATCACAATAAAAATTTCCAAAAAATGTGAAGAATATTCAACCATATTACTCTCACTAAACAACATTTTAGTAATGGCAAAAGGTTTTTATCTACCATTATAAATGGAATAAATTAATTAGCTAGGTATGGTGGCATGCACCTGTAGGCCCAGCTATTAGGGAGGCTGAGACAGGAGGATTGCTTGAGCCCAGAAGTTAGAAGCTGCAGTGAGCTATGATCATGCCACTGCACTCCAGTCTGGACAACAGAGCACGACATTATTTCTTAAAAAAAAAAAACAAAAATAATAAATAAATGGCATATAAAATAGGGGTTATTTCATCTTCATCTCATCCTTTAATTTTTCAATTTTTATGTTTTCTTATGTGTATGATATATTAATGCAGTACTTGTATAATATATGCTATTTACAAATGGATATGTGTATTTGAGATAAACATTTTACTTATAGGAGTGCATGGGCAGAAGGAAAACCAAAAACGGTATTAGGGAAATGGTGTCTATGATCTGGTTTGTTTTTAGGAAGATGACTTCAGCCACAGGATGAAACAGATGACGAGAGACTGGAGTCTAGAAGATCAGCCAGAGGGCAAGTATCGTGATCCAGATGAAAACCGATGAGGACCTGGCCTAAAACAGTGATAATGATGATAGAGAGGAGAGATCACCAAACATGTGATCTTCAGTAAGAGAGAGAGTGAGAGAGAGAGTGTGTGTGTGTATGTGTGTGTGTGTGAGAGAGAGAGAGAATGTGTGTGTATGTGTGTGTGTGTGTGAGAGAGAGAGAGAGAGAGAGAGAGGTTATTTCCAGGTTTGTAGCTAGCCAGTCTAAGTGGATGGTAGAACTGTTAGTAGAGATGATGAAATGGGATATCAAGCATGATACTGAGTTCACTTTCGGACATGTCAAGTCAGAGGTCCCTAAGGGATTCTGGAAAGATGTCTAATGGGTGGTTTAAATAAAAATCTTAAGCTCAGGAGAGCTTAAAGACACAGATTTTGCAGTAGCTTTTATTTCTCAATCTGTAGCCCTTTCTACAACAGCTGATCTTAAAAAATAGCCCTTCCTTTAAAGACAAATTAATGTAACAGCTTAACATTTATAATTATTTATAATGAAAATGATTAAGAATCAACTACTGCATTGTATAATGGTAATGGCAATACATCATTACCAAACAGACAATGTTAGAATTTTAAGTGGACATTTAGGCTAGTTTTGCACTCTAATGACCTCTTTAAAAGTATGTAATTCTTTTCTGGTTTTCCATGTTCACTATTTTGTTATTCCTCAAGGGTTCTCCAGACTGCAGTGTATTGTAAGATAGTCTCTCTTTCTTGCATCACCTAAAACCTTGTGCAAATGGGTCATTTATTTTCTTTCATTGTGCTATAGAAATAATGATTTTTCTGATCTTGCCTTTCCTTCTTTTTTTTGAGACAGAGTCTCACTCTGTCACCCAGGCTGGAGTACAGTGGCACAATGTTGACTTACTGCAACCTCCACCTCCCGGGTTCAAATGATTCTTCTGCCTCAACCTCCCGAGTAGACAGGATTACAGGCATGCACCACCACACTCAGCTTATTTTTCTATTTTTAGTAGAGATGCGGTTTCCCTATGTTGGCCAGGCTGGTTTCGAACTCCTGACCTCAAGTGATCCACGTGCCTCGGCCTCCCAAACTGCTGGGATTACAGGCATGAGCCACTGCACCTGACCCTGCCTTTCCTTCTTACGGAACCATGAGCATTGTAAAACCATAGCACGATTCCTCTTTAACTCTCCATCCTCTCCATATTGTTTATTGAACAACCTGTCAAAGAATGTTCTTGTTGAGTTATGACAATGCCTTTCAAGCCATGCCATTTCTACAAATTTCTTACTGTCATATTGTGATGTAATAAGAAATATATATTTGGTCTGTGCCTTGGTTCCTGGCACAGAATTCCTCAAACCCTTTTAATTTCCTGAGTGATAGTGGTGTTAGGTGCATCTTTTGTGCTGATGTTTGGTCTTGGGCCCTGGCTCCTGACACAGAGGTCCTAATCCCTTGGAGTTTCCTGGGAGATAGGAACATTTTTTGTTCTAACGAGGCAACTTTCTGTGGGCTCCTAGACGGAAGCTGGTCACCAGAAAGACCAAGCTATGATTAGAAGATTGGAACTTTCAGTTCTTCCCTCATGCTCCAGGAAGGAGAAAGGGCCTGGAGATTGAGGTAATAATTGGTCATGCCTATATGATGAAGCCTCCACAAAAATCCCTGAACTGCATGGTTCAGAGAACTCTGGGCTGCTGAACACGTGGAGGTGCTGGGAGGATAGCTTGCTCAGAGAGGGCATGGCAGCTCTGCGCCCCTCCCACGTACCTTGCCCTGTGCATCACTGCCATCTTGCTGTCCATCTGTATCCTTTCTAATATACTTTGTAATAAACTGGTAAATGGAAGTAATCTGCTTTCTTGAGTTCTATGAACCATTTTAGCAAATTAATCAAACTCAAGGAGGGGGTTGTGGGAACTTCCAATTTATAGATGGTTGTTCAGAAATTGTGGAGGCCTAGATTTGTGATTGGCATTTCCAGTTGGGGGTAGTTTTGTTGGAGTGAGCCCTTAACCTGTGGGATCTGATGCTATTTCTAGGTAGGTAGTGTGAGAATTGAGTTAAATTGTAGGACATCCAGTTGGAGTCTGCTGGAGAATTGCTTGGTGTGTGGAGAAGCCCACTCCCCAACATTTTGGTAACCAAAATTGTGAGAGAGTCAACTTTGTAAGAGAAGAGAAAGTGTTTGCTTTTCCCTTATACTTACTAAGCACTTGCAGATAATTTACCAGTATAATTTCAGGCTTCATACAATTTTATTTCTAATATTTATCTCATAAATATGGTTTTATGCCAAATATATATTTATTTAAATTTGGAATTTTCTTATGTTTTGTGGCATTTTATTATTTAAAATTTCCAGCACTTATGCTGTGATTTCCTTATAAAATTGGAATTTATTTTAGTGTAGGAATGTCTCTTTCTCCACTAGAATATGGGGCCCAAGATGACAAGAATTTTTGTCTTTTAGTTTACTGGTCTGTCTCCAGGGCGTAGAACTGTGTCTGAGATATGACAGATGATAATTAAATACTTTTGAATGAACAAATGAATACATAAATAAATAAAAGAATAGATTCATAAATATATCCTGATTTGAATTTTTTTCCTGTTGTTTTAATCCAAATCATCTTTACCACGTTGTATTATTTCTCCGTAATTTAGTGACTCTGTTTTTTAGAAACACTATGTAACATAAATTTATTGTAAGATAGTAACTTTCACACATTCAAGTTTCAGTCATTCAGCATGTAGGAGAAAATGTCCTTCTAAGCTTCTTTTAGCTAACAGACATCCTGAAGACAATAAACATCTTATATGAGTCTCCAAACAAGAGGTAGGAAAGTTAAGATTAGTCTGAAAAGTAAAATGCATCATTCGTAAGAAAGAGTTTTCTTTAGAATATGGAAAATAAGATTTAAAAGGAAGGCATAAAATGCAGTACATAACAATAATAGAACAAGAGACATTAAAATGAATTTCTTAAAGGCAATGAATATCTGTACCGGTGAAGTGCTAATCATACGCTACATTTCAAGGCGTTGCTAAGATAGCATTTAACCACATCCACAAATTAATTCTTGCCATTAGAGTATTAACATTTCACAAAATGTTTTTCTCCCGTCTAAATTCTGGGAAGAGCAACTGGGAAAAAAGCCACTTAATTGTCTCAGAGAAATCTAGCTGCTGTGAGCTGTATGTTGGCTCTGGGGATATGGATCAGGATTTCTGTAAATGAGGATAATGGATAGAGAACAATATCTGCAGTGATGGGAGAGTTGGGCCCTGAAACTCCCAAATCAACTGTGCTTTGGAGGAACACTCACATGCTACCATGTGTTTCCTTTGTTCTCCAAGAACATCCATTCTGTTCATCACTCACAAGCACACATTTAGTTTTGTCTCATAACTGGGAGTATGAGTAAATATAGAATACAAAATATGTTCTTACTGAGATACCAAACAGGTATATTCATAACTCCTCCTTTCCTTTTATTTTCTTTGTTGATTTTCTTTCTTACAAGAATCTTACAAGATTAAACAAATTTTAGACAAGTCACAAACATTACTATGTTAGTTTAATACAAATGCATGTTTATAATAGCAATGACAACATAGGAACAGGGATCAGGAGTCCATGTCACTGCCACAGAAACCTTTATGATGGTTGCAGATCTTTGTGATTATCTCCAGAACAGTGATATGTTTTGATGCCAGGTCAGACTCTGGCTAAAGGCCAAGTTAGCAACATGCTCTTTTATTCATAATGAGCTCTAGCTTGCATGAAGTGGAACCAAGTGCGACACTTTTGATCCTGGCTTCTAGAAACCTCAGATTCCAGAAACAGTGTCTGACTGGCTTTTTCAAATCAGGAGAGAGCACTGTGTAGTTAAAGAAAAAGAAATCATCAAAAAGCCCAGAAACAGTCAACTAGTTAAACAGATTGTAGTTCAGTTATGTGATGGATTATTTGGTAGCTGCTGAAAAAAATCAGCAGTTAAATATATTTAGGTATTTACGTTAAAGATACTTAGGGGCATGGAAAAATGATCACTTTAATATATTACGGGACAAAAACAAGATTCCAAGGTTTTGAATCTGATATATGCAGTGTGATGTCATTTGAGTAAAGTAAGTTCCCATATGTTTTCATACATGTAAAAGTAAGTAAATAGATAAAGTTGAATAAAACATTTTAAAATGGTGATATTCCTGATTATAGGGGATTTCTATTTTTTTCTTTTTATACTTTTCCCTTTTTTTTTTTTTTTTTACGGAAGCTTACTGTGTCTCCCAGGCTGGAGTGCAGTGTCACAATCTCACGATCTCGGCTTACCGCAACCCCCACCTCCTGGGTTCAAGCGATTCTCCTGCCTCAGCCTCCCGAGTAGCTGGGACTACAGGCACGCACCATCACGCCCAGATAATTTTTGTATTTTTGTAGAGACAGGGTTTTGCCATGTTGGCCAGGCTGGTCTCGAACTCCTGACCTCAGGTGATCCACCTGCCTTGGCCTCCCAAAGTTTTAGTAGACATTTTTATTGGCTTTTGTGTGTCAAAAATAAATCAGTCTCTCTCTTTGTATATGTAGTTGTGTGTATGTGTGTGTGTGTGTGTGTTTGGCCTGTGGTGCTGACGCCAAACAACTGGGCACCACTGCCTAGCCAAGTTGACTAGTAAAATTAACCATCACACTTTTCAAGCATTCATTTTTACATTCTTTTTTTTTAGTAATAAGAAAATTTTTCAGTTTTCCCTGTTCGGTCCCTATACATTTCATGTACATTTTCACTTTCCTAAAAACGGTTACAATTCAGGTGAACTGAGATGACTTAGATGACCTTAGCAGATGAATATTACAATTTTTACTTAGAGGCCGGGTGCAGTGGCTCACGCCTGTAATCCCAACACTTTGGGAGGCCGAGGCGGGTGAATCGCCTGAGGTCAGGAGTTTGAGACCAGCCTGGCCAACATGGTGAAACTCCATCTCTGCTAAAAATACAAAAATTAGCCGGGAGTGGTGGCAGGTTCCTGTAATCCCAGCTACTCAGGAGGCTGAGGCAGGAGAATCACTTGAATCGGGGAGGCAGAGGTTGCAGTGAGCCAAGATTGCACCATTGCACTCCAGCCTAGGGACAAGAGTGTGACTTCATCTCAAAAAAAAAAAAAAAAAAAGATTTTTTACTTAGAATGCTAGGATAGAATTTCTGTCTCCATTGTAGTGTAGGGGGTGCAGATGGGAAACCTGGAACAGATACCACGAAAGAAGCTTGTCTCAAGAAGGCTGACACAATGGGAGACATAGCAGGGAGATGGAAAGAAACTGCTGTTGTGATAGCCATTAGTTCCTGAATTAAATCAACTCTACCCTCTGTTCTTCCTCTGGATTTTCAGTTACACACATTTTTCTTACATAATCAAGCTTTTCTGTTACCTGCAACCATATTTCAGCTAATACTCAGTATTTTTCAGGTTTTTAACAAATATACATTACTTTTATGCTAACAAAATAATTATTATATTCATTGATTCTAAGACAAACTTTTTTTTACCTTTTAAAATCCTTGAAATTGGCATGTATTATACAATCCATGGCATGTCATAATTTAATAGAACTTTCTTTCATAGGATACATTAAAAAGTAATGTTGCGAGGCACAGAAAGATAAATATTACATGTTCTCACTCATATATAGAAGAAAAAAAGTAGATCTCATGAAGATAGAGAATAGATTGGTGGTTACCAGAGGCCAGGAAGAGTAGGGGAGAGGAGGAAATGAAAAGAAGTTGATTGATGGGTACAGTTTGATAGATTAAATAAGACCTACTGTTTGATAGATGAGTAGGGTGACTATACTTTACAATAATCTATTGTATATTTGAAGATAGTTGAAAGAATAATTTGAATGTTTCTAGCATAGAGAAAAGACAAATATTTAAGATGATGGACATCCCAATTACACTGATTTGATCTTTACAAATTATATGAATGTATTATCACATACTCTGAAATTATATACGTCTATTATGTATAATAATAATACGTTGATTGTCATATTCAATGATGCTTTAGACTTGATGAAAAACAATAATGTTTTAGACTTGATCAAAGTATTTTTTAAGAAAGATGGAATGCCAATGCCCAGGACACCTGGAAGGATATGGCATATACTACTGGCACCATATAGCGACCTGGATGACCCCACATTTCTGGATTGGTCCAAGAAGAAATCAGAAGCTTAGAACTTGGCTTTGCTGTACTGCTAAGGCTAACATAAGCTAGGCTGACACAGAACACTTTATTATTGCTATTAAAATGAGAGCAAATGTTTTCCTTTCAAAGACTGTAGATCACTGCTTGAAATGGCCTAGCAGTACATAATTTTTAGTATCTATTTTCTTTTCAGTTTACTATATTGTTTTATATGACTTTTTGTTTCAAATGGCTTCAAAATCAACTTCCTCAGTCATGCCACTTCAAGCTCTCACATACATGAGCATTAAATAGTAAGATCATATTATGCACATGTGCATATGGTGTTAAAACACTTTTCAATCTATTATATAACTAGATTCTGTAACATTTTTGTGAGTTAGGCACGGTATTATGATCCCTTTAGTATTCAAGAGACTTTCTGTCACAGAGTAGTTGGTGTAGAGACAGGACTTCCAATGGACTGGAAAGAAAGGGCTGATGAATGAAGTTTTATTGCGTGAAGTTATGACCTGTGTCATTAGCAAAGATAGAACACAGTTTTAAAGTTTTTGAACCCTGGTTCAAGGTTATGGTCATCAATTCATGACTGTCTTTCTGTTCACGTACATATTCTGCCATTAAAATATCACTGGAGAACCGAGGCCATTGTGATTCACTAATTTTTAAAAGATCCTATTTATTTTGTGATAACTCATGTTATACCGTAAACACTCAACAATAAACTATTTCAGGAACTAAAATCTTCAATGCTATTATAATTTATTGGATTAATTTCAATTTTAAAATGGTTTGGAATGTGTATCTTTGACCAGAATTGGCTAACTATGTCTATGATAGTCTTTTATATCATAATAAAAATTGTATGAACAGTAACAGTGTACAAAAAATTACTTCTGCAATTCTATGAGCTATGAGTAATGTTAGTGCTGTGACAGAATCTATCAGTATCTGTGATAAAATTTATCAGTGGCAAATAAAATAAATCATATCCTCTGTTCCGTGATTAACATAGAATTTATGTTAGCACAGAATTCACTTTGAAACACGTGATCTAAATTTAATATGTTAATTTAAGCAAAATGTTAACACAATCATTTTCTCATTTTTATTTAGTTTGATAATGGTTCTATGTCTCTGAGAGAGAAACTAAATGTTTGCTTATTCATTCAACAAACACTTGTTAAATGCCTCTCCCTCATTTTTCATCACATTACCTGTTGAATTTTCTTCAGAGTACTTGTAGCTATTAAAAATTATTATTTATTTATTTATTATTTTTTTCCCATGCTAAAAGTTAAATTCATGAAAGCAAAGAGATTTTCTTTCTTGATTACCACTGTATTGCTAATGCCTAGAGCAGTGCCTGATATAGAGAAGGGGCTCAATATATTTTTTGTGATGGCTATACAATATGAGTGAGAGAGAGACCTCCTGATATACTGGTGTCCCAACTGAGCCTGGCCTGCCAGTCATCCTCACCAAAGCACCAGACATGTAAATAGCCACCTTGGATGTTCTAATCCAATTGAGTCCAGAAAGAGTGTACCCCTAGCCAATATCATGTGGAGCAGAAGAACCCTCCAGTTGAGCTCAGTCAACCCACAGAATAGTGAGAAGTTATAAAATGGTTGCTATTTTAGGACATTGAATTTTGGGGTGGTTTTTGAGTGCATCAATAGGTAACCACAATACTACTGGGTTTTTTTGCTTTCTTTTTTTTTTCTTTTGGAAGAAGTGTTTTTTGTTTTGTTTTGTTTTGTTTTCTTAAAAAAAGGAAAGGATCTGGGGATGCCAGGAAGTACAGGGTGGTAGGAAGTAAATCAGTTAATAATTAAAATATGTTGTTGTTTCAGATCTATCTTTCTTTTAAATGTTTCTGTGTATTTTTCTGTTCATCCTTTTAACCACACTCACATGAGAAAGAGAAAATTTCAAAAGTTTTACCTTTAAAAAGATATACAGTAACATTTTAAATATTAACTCAGAATTGGAATTTCATATTATAAATAATAGTGATTTACTTTTTCTTCTTTGTTCTTAATGATTCACATCTTTCACTTATTTGTTTTAAACTAGATTAGGCAGGAATTACAGATGATGGACCAAAAAAATCATAAATTAGGAGATAGCTAGTAGTTAGAATGAATTCAGGGAAAAATCTCGGGTAACTACATCTTTTACTTATACTTGCTATTATAAGAGCGCTACACATTTTGTGAATTACTGTCCCAAGTCATTCAGCTACACTTATTATATTTTGTTTTAATTATTTTCTACATCCTCCTCTTTATCAGGCGATGCATTTCTTGAATGCAGAGACTACATCTTATTTTTCTCTCAGGCATAGCTTTTTTCTAGCATACTACCTGGCTACTACATAGTAGGTACTAAAGATGTGTTAGTTAGATGGCTTTGTGGGAAGAGATAAAGGATGGCTTTTATTTCCTCGGTGAAATAAGTGGGCTTATCTTCTGAAAGTTAAGAAGTAGGATCAGGTTTGGAGCTTGAAAGCATGACATGGGAATTTTTAAGTTAAAGCCACAGGATTTCCGGGTAGTACTGGGATTCCAGGTGAGTTTGGCAGCCGTAGGGTTTGGGTTTTGGTTTGGGGTAGGACAGAAGAGGAGTTTTTCCGCTGCTTCCATTTTATGTAAAAGAGTGGCAGTGAACTAGAGAGATGGAAGGTTTTGGTCTTTCAACTTTTGACTGATTTATGACTTTGAAAAGTAATCAGCATTTTAAAAAGTAAGCATTTTACTTATTTTCTTTGAGAAGCCCATTTATGTAAATCAAATTCAACTATTACTATTCAGTACTACCTAGAAAAATTGGTAATAGTTGAATTTGATTTACACAGATGGGCTTCTTGTTTTATTTACTTGGGCAATGCCCTGTAACCTTCTAGGAAGTTCATACAAAAAAAAAGAGTCCACCTAATAAGGTAACAAAATGTCTTAGGAAAGTAGCAAATGAAAAACAAAACAAAACAAATTCCCACATACACCTAACATTCTGAACATAAAGCTGTTTTGTTTATTTAGAGAAATTGGTACTTTCACCTCATATAAGTGTGAAAATTCAGCTAACCAGGGTAATGGAGAGAGAGAGCAAAAAAAAATTATTATTTTTAAGTGGGAGAGGAAGAAGCAATGGAGATACAAAGTGCCTTGCCTACTTTAAGGTGGAATGGTTGAGGTGCATAGAATGTCAGCATAGCTAAGTCTGTACCTGTAGATCACAGAGTTGCAGAATCCAATTGGATGTCATCTTCATATTTCTGAAAGTTGTGGCCCTGATAGAAAAAATATGGAGATAATTCCAAAAAAAAATCAGACAATGAATAGGTTAGTTGCAATCCAGACAAGGTGGTGAAGGGGTTGAAAAGGAAAACTGTTGAGAAGAACTGGTAATTCAGGTACTTGTGGGCTGCTAGATTGGCCTATTTAAAGATACAAAGTCCACAGTGGTTATAAACACGGGCTCATTGTATCCCAACCTTAGGGTGAGTCTTTTGGTTGTTCTTGGGAGCAGTTTTTGTTCATAGAGAGGACTATTTGTACTGGCTTTGATCTTTTAAAATTAATATTTGATTGATTAAAGTTACAAAATTCAAACTCTAGTTCTTCTTTAAGCTTTAAATTTAAACTTATAAATCTAATGATTCAGTTTAAAAATTTGGTATAGTTTAAAAATTAATTTTAAGGAGGATGTATACATTTAACACATTTGATATTTTTAGAGTGATTAAATTATCAGATCAAATAACACTTTCTCAAGTATTTAAATTATTAAAATCTATTAAATTATATTCATAAACATGAGGAAGCTACAATATTTATTATTCTAAATGTTGTCATATTGCTTATAAACCCATAATTCTTTTATGCATTTGCATTTAAAATCATATGTCTAAATGAATCATCTAATTGCACATTTAAAATTGGAATCACAATATTCATATAACATATTCTTTGTTCTCTTATATACTCTTAGTGCCAATTATGCATATGTATTTCTAATATTTAACACAATAATACTATATATTTGACTTACTTTTTCATCTCTCTCCTTTAATATACATTTGCCTGGGGAAAAAATAAAGGAAAAAATTTCTACCCAGTAAATTAGGGTGACTCTACCAAGACCTTCTCAAATGGACAAGTGCATATCTGCTGGTAATTTTGTTTGGGTTATAGGGTATTTATTGTCCTGAGACACTGTCAAGGACCTGAGGGCAATGTGAGCCCTCTGTATAGTGGCTTTAACAGGGCTACCACTGAGAAAAGGTATCGTTTCACAACCCATGCTAGCCCCTAAGATTCAGTCTCTACAAAATTCAATTCTTTCTCCTCATAATTGCTTTACCAGTTGATAGAATTCAACTAATTTCTTTATCTCTTGATTCTACTCTGAATTCATTTCATAATTTTCTTCCTTGATAGGGCCAAACTATTATATTTAGATGGCATTGGATTGGGTTCTGCATATTCATCATGGCTTTGCCTTGTTCTTCAGCTACAAAACTGAAGTCCTAGTAATGATGGATAAGACCACTTGATTTAGTTTGGGTGCCCCTGGAAGTAGGCCCTGAAAAAAGGACTGCAGCTTAAGTAGGATACAAAGTAAACACTGGGAAGTGGGACAGAGACAGAAGCCAGCCAACAAGAATTGTCACTGTGGGCTACTGGAATTTAATGCCAATGAGGGAACTCTGGGAACCAGTATAGAACACGTGTTTCAGAGTCATTCTCATCCAAGAGGTGAGTGAGGTGAGGTATTTATGCACCAATTCCTGTCAGTCATGCGTTAAATGCTGTTCCTGGAGGTCACTAATTTCCAGTACTTTCAGCCTATGCCACAGGACAAAGTGCTTTCAGTGATGAGAAAATGCTCACAGGCAAAGACATATAGGAGCTGAATTGGTAGAAGCATGAACCTGTCTGTCATTTTCTTCCTTGAGAACTTCATTGTACTTTATGACAAACTAGTTTCATAGTTCTTAATGACCATTTCCTCCAAGTCTCTCAAATACTAGTGATCTGCATTATCCAGTACACCATCTTCTACCTGTATCAGATTCCAGTTAACAACAAGTGAGAATGTTAATAGTTGGGTTGCCACAGAATGCCTAATGTTGGTACTATTCCACTTATCACCAGTAGTGGAGCCCTTATTGCCATTTGGCTGGTGAATTGTTCAATTCTAGAATCCCATTCTGAAAATCTGCTTCTTAGGATTTTTGCCTTGCCGCTAGCTCAGTTTGGGCTGTCACAGAAACATACTTTGCGAGAAAGATGGTAGAACAAAAAGTTTATTTGAGAGATGAAGCAAACATCAGTAGGAGAATTGGGAACTAAAACAAGGAGGGAAGGCAGCCAATAAAAAGGTTCATTGTCTGGTTAGTTACCACTGTGGGCAACTGGAATTTAATCTCACTGGGGGATCTCTGGGACCTATGTAGAACAGATGCCTCAGTGCTATCCCCCGCTCCCCAGGGTAAGGGATCTGGGATATTTATTTAGTAACTCCCTTCCACATTGGTGGAGGGCTCCTGCTAAGGGCTCCTGGCACTTTTGACCTGTTGCAAAATGGCTATAAAAAGCTGTCAGGGAAGGAAACCCAAGTATTGGGAGCTGGAAGCCTGGGCCACATACACAGAAGTGGTTAAGGATGAGAGGATATTAATGGGACACTTGCAGCCTTCCTTATACCATTGTTGTTGAGATTTTTGCTCCAGTTTGATAATAGATGTTTAAATAAAATGAGAATTAAAATTTCCAAAATTTTCAAAGTCTTTTAAATAACTACAAAGCATTTTCAGGATGTTAGTAAGTGTGAATTTGCTGGGAAAGGCAGATTCACTAAGCTGAGCTATTTAAGCTAAGCTATTTATTTTTACTTCTGCTAATAAGATTCCCAGATGTAGATGCAAAAGAATAGAATAAACATGTTTCTTGGATCACTAGAGGAAGGAAAGAGTATGAGTCATGTGTATAGAGACAGACAGGAATTTGTTTAGAGAGAAATTAGCACTGCTGGGAATTAATGTACCTATTTTAGAACAAGTAAATGAATTGGTATTGGGTGCTGGTACCCTTCTGGTATCATAAGATAGTAACAATGAAAACAGAAATGTTTTATTTTTCTATTTTCCATGATGAAATTAAATTTCATAGTTTTTTTGTTTGTTGAAGGAACACATTTGATAGAGATGTGAGAAAGTTTTTTTACCAATAATACATGAACTAGGGATGGTCTTGGGTTAATATGATGACCATATTGAAACTTCTGGTTATCTAAAATTTTGTAAATCAAAGTCAACAGTGAGGAGTATGATATTCATTGTCAATAAATTTCCTAAAACAAAATCTTATGTCGGAGCTGTTTTCTAATTAGGCATATTTTCTGAAGAGATATTAAGGAGGCACATTTAATTGTGATAAGGTGTTCTGACTAAATAATAGAAGTTATCAACAATCTTTGTGTGTATAGGAAAAGCAGAATCACTTCTTCTGACTTGCCACAATTACTTGGCAATTTTTACTATCACACATCAAGCATTTTATTTTCCATTTACTGAAATCCATACTGTCATCCATATCCATTATGTGAAAAACATTCTATTGGGCACTATGAATAATACAAAGTCAAGTTCCACAGTTGCTGTCTGTAGGTTGCTTATGGCTCAGTACAAAAAAAGGCCCCCATCTCAGCTATTTCTCTTACAATGGTGACTTTTTTCCCCTTCCAAACTATATTTTATTTATTTATTTAACATTTATTTTACTTTAAGGGATACATATGAAGGTTGGTTCCATCGATAAATTGCATGTCGTGGGGTTTGGTATACATGTTATTTTGTCCCCCAGGTAATAAGCATAGTACTCAATAAGTAGTTTTTTGATCCTCCTCCTCCTCCTCCCACTCTTTACCCTCAAGCAGGCCCCTGTGTCTATTGTTTCCTTCTTGTGTCCATGGGTACTCAATGTTTAGCTCCCATTTATAAGTGAGAACATGCAGTGTTTGGTTTTCTGTTCCTGTATTAGTTAACTTAGGATAATGGCATCCAGCTTCATCCATGTTGCTGCCAAGGACATTATCTCATTCTTTTTTATGGCTGCATAGTATTCCATGGTGTATATGTACCACAGTTTCTTTATCCAGTCCACTGTTGATGGACATTTAGGTTGTTTTCATGTCTTTGATGTGATGTGATGATGTCTGTGATGAACTCATTCTGTGAGGCTAGCATCATCCTGATACCAAAACCTGGCAAAGACACAACAACAACAACAAAATTTCAGGCCAATATCCATGATGAACATAGATGCCAAAATCCTCAACAAAATGCTAGCAAACTGAAATCCAGCAGTATATCAAAAAGCTAATCAACCGTGATCAAGTAAGCTCTGTTCCTGGGATGGAAGGCTAGTTCGACATATGCAAATCAATAAATGTGATTCACCACATAAACAGAATTAAAAACAAAAACCACACGTAGTAGATGTAGTAGATGTAGAAAAAGCTTTTGATAAAATCCAACATTCCTTCATGATAAAAACCATAAAGAAACTGGACATTGAAGGAACATACCTCAAAGTAATAGCTGTCTATGACAAACCCACAGTCAATATCATACTGAATGGGCAAAAGCTGGAAGTATTCCCCTTGAGAACTGGTGCAAGACAAAATTGCCCACTTTCACCACTCCTATTCAACATAGTATTGGAAGTCGTGGCGAGAGCAATCAGGCAAGAGAAAGAAATAAAAGGCATCCAAATAGGAAGAGAGGAAGTCAAATTATCTCTGTTTGCAGATGATATGATTCTACACCTAGAAACTTCATAGTCTTTGCCCAAAAGCTCCTAGATCTGATAAACCACTTCTCCAATGTTTCTGGATACAAAATCAATGTACAAAAACCAGTAGCATTTCTATACACCAATAACACACAAGCTCAGCGCCAATTCAAGAACTCAATCTCATTCACAATAGCCACAAAAAAGATGAAATACTTAGGAATACAGCTAAAAAAGAAGGTGAAAGTTTTCTATGATGAGAATTACAAAATACTGCTGAAAGAAATCAGACATAACACAAACAAATGGAAAAACATTCCATGCTCATGGATTGGAAGAATCAATATTGTTAAAATGGCCACACTGCCCAAAGCAAAGTACAGATTCAATGCTATTCCTATCAAACTACCAACGACATGCTTTCCAAAATTAGAAAAAAACTATTCTAAAATTCATATGGAACCAAAAAAGAGCCCAAATAGCCAAAGCAATCTTAAGTAAAAAGAACAATGGTGATTTTTTGGACCTTTATAGAGAAGTGTTATCTATGACACTTTTTAAGGTGATTCCACCATAAAATTAGATGCTGAACAAAAACTTCAGTGGCTGCTGAAATAAATGATTGTTTATGCATGGTTAGAAAAGTGAGTGGGAACCCCAGAGAAAAGTTTCTGGGTGACTTTTTATAACACAAATGTTGCTAGATAGATATTTCCCAAATGGAAATTCTCTTAGGCAATCAGTGTTTTCCAATTTGAAAGGAGCTAGTTTACCCTTCACAGCACCTCTAAGCAGCTGCAGATGTGGATGAAGTGGATGGAGATGCCTACAAATACTCAGTAGCACTAATTATATTTTGGCAAAAATGAACTCTATTAAATGAGTTGAGTCTGTTCTAGATCCTTGTTCCACATGAACCCAATTTATTTCAACCATTGGCTGTGATTATAGTTGATTGTCTTGGCCCAATTGCATGGTGGTAGATGAACAGATCTGCTTATTCACTTTCTCAGATCAGTAAAATCACTGAGGAGTCAGTAGTCCTGTCCACATCTCTGTGTAATGATATTAAGTAGGTATGCTGTGTGCCTGGAGGAAGTTATCTGCACTGTTATTGCACCCTCCCCAAACACTCTGCTGAGCAGAATCCAGGTCTGAAGCTTACCCTGTCTTTTATCTCCCACAGAGCTGCTTAGAAAGGAGAGCAAATGCCGTGCTTAACATGCTTTCCAAAGAACAAGAAACAAAGCTAAATCTGGTTCTAAGGAAAAGCTAACATTTCTTCAGTCTCTGAGCATGCATATTTTAAAAGGCAAAACCAAAATGCAAAGCATAGTCTGTATTTGTGTCATGACTATCTATCAGATGAAAATTGGCCAGTTAATACATGCAGAATAGGAGAGACCCAAGTTATTAAATCGATGAGTGTTGTTCAGACTAGAATAAATTGGAGTGATAGATAGTACCAGTCAATTTTAATTTTCATTTGGAATCAAACCCTGGACCCTATTTATATTTTCATGTCCATTGATGTGGGTTCACTGGCTTGAGATGGATGGCCTCCAAATATGCTTACACTGTATTCATACTGTGCTGACACTGCTGACATGCATTTGCCTCAAGCTGGTGTACACTGGTCTAAGCAGGTGCCTTGTGCTTCACCAATATTGGCAAATGCAAGGATTTGGCCTTGGCAGGAGGTTGGAATATCTGGTCCTCTTTGATAGCTGGTGAGAATGAAGGATCCCCAACTACATCCTACAGGAAATAAGCCTAGCAGTGACCCCGGAAACTGAGAACAGAATTATCCTACAACCAAAGTGAACATGACCAATTTGGACTACAGTACCTATATGTTAGAAAGAAGGAACATTAGACTAGGTAGGACATGTGGCTGAAACTCAGCTTTGGAAGTAAAGAGATGAACTCACATATGAGTCTTGGCCACTCCAGGGAACTTGCTTGAAGCAACGTAGGGGTGAATGAGAGCAGGGATCTGCCCTTGGAAAATGGGATGGGCTGGAGCCAGGTGGGAAGTAGCTCCCCAGTCAGTCACAGGAGGGACAGACAGTGGCTGGAGGCAGTGAACACAGTAGAAAGGGCAGGCTTGGTGGACTGGAATCAGATTCAAAAGTGCTTTCCCTCAGGTTTGGGGCATGAAAGGGTTTGGGGAGAAAGATGACTTGGTAGGTGACCTGATCACCTTACAAATATATTTGTGATGAGAATACACAAGAGGCTTTGCCTTTCATGTGAAGAATAGTAACTTATTTCCAATCCAGCTGTTATATAATTATTAATTCCCCATGCAACACACATTTATTGAGTGACTGTTATACACATACACCATTACTGGTCCTGGGGCTACAAGCACAATCTTCAAAGAAGTACATACAGTTAATTATAGCAATATGGCAACAAAGAAGAGAATGACATCTGTCCAATATGGACCAGAGGCTGGTGAGAAAAAGTTTCTTAGAGAAGGTAGTGGGATATAGGCAGATGGGACAAACACAGAAACAGTGGAGAGAGATGGTTTGGTTTAGTTGGGGGAAATAGTAGAAGTTCAGCATTGTTGGCTGAATGATGAGGTCCAAAGCCACGCAGGAAATGATTAGAGATATAAGTCAACTGTTCTTACTGCTTCAGGAAAGAGAGTGGGGCCATATTTGCCATTAGCTTATTGGTCATAAAGAACTCTGAGACAAGGCCAGGCATGGTGGCTCACGCCTGTAATCTCAGCACTTTGGGAGGCCAAGGTGACAGATTGCTTAAGCTTAGGAGTTCAAGACGAGCCTGAGCAACATGGCAAAACCTCATCTCTACAACAAATACACAAATTAGCCAGGTGTGGTGGCTTGCACCTGTAGTCCCAGGTACTCAGGACGCTGTGGTGGGAGGATTGCTTGAGCCCAGAAGGCGGAGGTTGCAGTGAGCTGTGATTGTGCCACTGCACTCCAGCCTGGGTGACAGAGCGAGACCTGTCTCAAACAAACAAAACAAAACCACACAACAAACAAACAAACAAACCTCAGGCATTAAAAATATCTAACCTTTATTGAGTGTTTATTATAACCCAGGCACTGTGCCAAGCATTTTATGAATCTTATTTTATTTTTACAACAACCCTATGAAGGGTTGCGTAACACAATATTGTCTTTATATTATGGATGAGAAAGTTGAAGCTTGTAACTAAAGTTTACACATAGATGAGGGCAGAGTTAGGACTCAAACACAGACCTGTCTGCCTAGAAAGCTCATGCCCTTTACAAGCACTATGGCTGTGCACCTGGGAACAAGCAGGCTGGGAGAGTCATCTCATTCAAGCCTGGAGACTTAAGGTCTGGGAATGGGGATACAGGCAATAGTTGATATTCAGCCAGGACACCAAATCATCAATCCCGCCTCATTTTCTGTCTTCCAATCTTGGCCCATTTATATCAAGATCTTTCCCAGGGGATAGATTATGCAAATATATTTGATCTGTTTAAAATGCTCCATTTATTCCTACAGTTGTATATGGTGTTGTTTCCCTGAAACTCTTTCAGGAAGTCTATGAGGTCAAAATGATTTTCATAATAATACTAAGACATTATTTACTTCTATCACTGTGCAGACATTTGCACTGAGAGTGCAAAAAATGCTTACAGTTTTAAAAAGTCAGTTTCATTTAGGAATGTTCTTAATGAAGTAGAATTATTAATTATATCAAATATTGACCCTTGAGAACACATTTGTGTGACAGAATAGTAAGTACCCACAAATGTTTTCATTTTATACTGAAGTATGTTGGTTGTGTTGAGGAAAAGCACTCCTGTGATAGCGTTGTGAGCTAAACTAAACTTCTTTTTTCATGGTACACCATTTTACTTCAAAGAATGGCTATGAGACAAACGTAATTATTTAGACTTAAGTATTCTGCATGTATATTTGTAGAAAATGAATGAACTGAATCTGCTGTCACTCTAAGGAAAACAACAGAATTTGGTGGCAACAATAAAATTCAATATCTCAAGTGCAAATTACAATTTTGGGAAACTTGAATCGGCTGCTATGAGTAGGACAGTTTTCCAATACTTTTCTGATGAGATCTGTAGTGATATTAACAAATGTGCTTTAAAAATATTATATAATGAATTATGTCTATATTTGGAACATCTGAATTATTTGGTGAAACAATATTTTTCAAATGACCGGTGTATGATGTTACAAAATTATATTGTACATTCAAAGGGCAAGATGGACCAATGGATTTTAACGTAGCAGAGCAACAAAGTTCATTGATAGGATTTCAGATTCCATGTGGTGACTAATCTTTTAAGAAACATCAGCGCATCAAAGAAGAATATTCACAATTATCTGAAAGGACTTTTAAAATAGCCCTTTGCTTTCCAAGTGTATATCTGTGAGAGGCCAAATTTTCTTAAGATACATCAACTAGCCCGGGCGTGGTGGCTCATGCCTGTAATCCCAGCACTTTGGAAGGCTGAGGCGGGCGGATCATGAGGTCAGGAGATCGAGACCATCCTGGCTAACACGGTGAAACCCCGTCTCTACTAAAAATACAAAAAGTTAGCTGGGCGTGGTGGCAGGCGCCTGTAGTCCCAGCTACTTGGGAGGCTGAGGCAGGAGAATGGCGTGAACCCAGGAGGCAGAGCTTGCAGTGAGCCAAGATCAGCCACTGCACTCCAGCCTGGGTGACAGAGCGAGACTCTGTCTCAAAAAAAAAAAAAAATCAACTAAAATAACATATTGCAAAAGATTGAATGCAGAAGCAGCTAGGAGAACCAAGTGTTGTCCATTAATCTAGACCTTAAGGAGATTTGTAAAATTATAAAACAAGGTTACTGTTTAAATATTTTTGTTTTGCTAAACGTTATTTTTCACAGGAATATGTTATTTAATTTAACATGTGATGGGTTTACTATTGTTATTTTTTATTTATTATTATTTTTTATTTATCTTTTTTGAGACAGAGTTTTTGCTCTTGTTGCCCAGGCTTGAATGAAGTGGCACGATCTCAGCTCACTGCAACCTCTGCCTCCCAGGTTCAAGAGATTCTCCTGCCTCAGCCTCCCAAATAGCTGGGAGGCATCCGCCACCATGCCCAGCTAATTTTTGTATTTTTAGTAGAGATGGGGTTTCACCATGTCATTCAGGCTGGTCTTGAACTCCTGACTTCAGGTGATCCACCCGCCTCAGCTTCCCAAAATGCTGGGATTACAGGCGTGAGCCACTGCGCCCAGCCTATTATTATTTTAAAATAAATATATACTTAAAACATTTCTCAGTTTTAATTTCTAATATAATAAATATCAATAGATATAACCCACATAAAGTGTAAAGAGCCCCTGAGACAAAAATACTAGATGATACATTTCTATTCAGATTCTCCTTGATAAAGTGTTTTTGACTTATGTGTTGCATTAGATGTAAGCTGTGTTTAATACTTAGATGCTGCGCTTTGAGAATTCAAAGAGTTCATAAAAATTTATTTCTAAAGCATAGAGATTTAACTTCTATAACTAGTTCTAGTGATATTCATGAAACTTCAGAGAAACTCACTGTTGATCAACAATAGAATTAACAGAGCTAACACACCCTCCTTTCTACGAACAAGAGGAAAATCTGTCAAGGGTCAATGCCACTTCCACACCTTTATTTCAAATAAGCAAATGGTGTTTATTCCTGAAATTGCTTCCTGCCTTTGAAAAACATCTAATCAACCACTACATTTCCTTGGCTCAATAAAGAGTAAAGGGATTTCACTGATACTTGATTCATTCAGTGCTTAAACTTCATTTCTGCTATAATTTCGTCTTTAAAAAATAGGTGTATTTGTCATGCAAAAGGTTTTTCTAGTCAATGCATATCAAACAAACACATTTACAGGCTAAAAAGTGAAAAATGCCATCATTAATTTTTATTTCCATAGAATTCTTTGCCATGTTTTCACATCGTGTGTCAAATACTAGTTCAGAAGTAGTTGGGTCTGAGGAAATTGGGTCTAAGGAATTGGGTCTAAGGAAATTGCTAGAAGACAGTGCTAGTGCATTGACTGTTTGTGAAAAAGACCTTTCAAAGAGTCTCTTTTACAGATAGATTGCTCTTTTATTTTCCCTATTGATGATCAGCTTCCAGTGGTATAGGGGGACGAAACCTTGCTATCCACAGAGAGGTCCTTAGACCAGCAGCATCAATACCACCTGAGAGCTTGTTAGAAGTGCAGGATCTCAGGTTCCACCCTAGGCCTACAGAATCAGAATCCGAATTTTAAAAAGATTCCCATTTGATGCCTAAACACATTAAAGTTTGAGAAACACTGCTATTAGGGATACAAATAATATGTTCTCCATACTTTTTTGGGTGTTTTTTTCTGACTAGTATTCAACTTCTCTTTTAGAACAATCTTAAACAATGTAATCAGTGTACTCAGACTTATTCCTGGATTGTTAAAATATTTACTTCTACCAACCATTTTGAAATAAGTACAGGTACTTATGCCCTGTCTTCTAAAATGCGATAGCAATGAAAACATCAAAGAACTTAAGAAATACAGATTGAAACCTAAATGTAGGGCAACAGTAACTGATGATAAGAATCAATAAATATTTATATTTTAAAGTATTTTGTCTTAAATGAGCCTGTTTTTGGGAAAAACTTTTATTTAAACATGAGGCTCTTCCATCTAGGCCCTTTATTTGCTCAATACCACCTTTTTAGATTGGAAAAAGATCTGATTTGCAAGATAACCTGATAGATATTCTTTAACATACTGTACTTGCCTGCCAGATACCAGTAGCACCCCCTTGATTGTACACCTCCAAACTTTGAAGTGTAGTGAATTCATTTTTTGAAGGAAAATAAAAGCTTTTATTGAAATATTTTCTTTATATTTCCCAAAGATGGCCTGTTTGAATGGTGAGCTCCCACACTTGGTAGCTCTACGGTAGCCTGCTTTAGGTCAGTGGAGATCATGGGCAGTCTTCCTGGAAATGACAAAAGATCACTTTATAAAACCAGGCCATGTTTTGCAACAGCTGGTTATTTTTGCTTCAGAGAAGCAGGCAATGAAGAAATATGGCAAAGTGTGAGGAAAAGCACATTATGGCAATATGATGCCATCTTTTCATATTCTGCGTATATTTCAGTGCATCTGTCATTTGGAATGTGGCCTTCCCCTGGTTAAAGATCATGAGATTTAAATATGTGTGACTCAGCACTTTGTAAACTCAGGGCTTTTAATGTTGATCACATAAACACTTAGCTGCAGTGTATATAACAAAAGACATATATGAAAGACCTACCTGTGTAAAGCATTATGTTAATTAAAGGGTATAACCACATCATTATGTACTTCAGGAATTTAGATAATGATTATCTATTGTTTCTTTTATGTGCTACTAATTTTAATGTAGTCCAGTGATACATGCTTAAGAATATGTGCTTTCAGTACTCTGATAAAAATGACTGTCAAAATGTGAATATATTTCACACTTCCTACATATTCCATTAGTCATTATTGGAGGAAAAAATGTGAATAATTTATTGGTAAAAAGTTTGAATTAATCTGCTGACAACTTAAATCATACATAAAGGTGCCTAAGAGTGTGGGGCTTTGGGGGAAAAAAGGCATGCTTTTTGTTAATAAGAAGGGTGACTCTTTGAAGGACAGAGAAAATAATTTTACCTTCTACAGAAAAAGTCAGCACACAATTATCTAATCTATTTCCTCATAGTGTAATCATCTTGGGTAAATTATTTCTTCATACATTATATTTATAACTGTTTTTAATTATAATGATTATGTATGGATTTGCCCACAGAGATATATATATATATATATAAAATTTGTTAACAAGTATATTTTCATATGCATTTATTTTTACTTATTTTAATATTTATTTTCTTTATGTTTTAGAGAAAAGATCTCACTCTGTTGCCCAGTCTGGAGTTCAGTGACATCACAGCTCACTGCAGCCTCGACCTTCTAAGCTCAAGCAATTCTCCTGCCTCAGCTTCCCAAGTAGCTGGGACTACAAGCATGTGCCACGACTTCTGGGTAATTTTAAAATATTTTATAGAGATGGTATTTCCCTATGTTTCCCAGGCTGACCTCCAATTCCTGGGTTCAAGCGATCCTCCTGCCTCAGCCTCCCAAAGTGCTGGTATTACAGGCATAAGCCACTGCACCTGGCTTGCATTTATTTTTATAAGATCTGTTTTAGATCATTTCATTTAAAAACGAAAAAATCTACATTTAGAATAAAACTAAAAATCACTAAAAAGTATAAATTACATGGAATAATATTCTACATAGAGAAGACACAGACAGGAACAGGAACTGAGGTGTAATGAGAAAGAGTTTTTGAAAGTGGGGAGTAAGAGAATATAAAATAAATGAATTGAGATACTTTGAGAACTGCTAATTCTAGGTAAAATCTAGATGAATCATCATAATAATAAAGTTAAAATGTATTGAGTATTTATAATGTTATATATGTAATTTTTTCCATTTAATCCTCAAAATGACCCTTTAAGATTTGACGCTATTGTTTTGCCTGTTTTCAAATGAGGAAACTGAGGCACAAAGTTATGTCTTAAGGTTGTACAACTTTAAGTAGCATCAAACCTAAGAAGTTAGCCCAGCAGCTCATGCTGTTTAACCCTGTGCTATGCTGAGCCTGACTACTGTGCCCCGCCTCAGGGTTTGCCTGCTAAGAGAGTCCACAGCTCAGGGCCCTGTGCTATAAGGTTAGTGATCAGATAATTTTCCAGTATGATCTTCACTCATTGACTCAGCTTCCTCATCTCCCTTTCCCTGATCAGTTCTGCAATCAGGCTCCCATTCTCACCACATTTTATAAAATAATGTTTTATTTTTAAATCAATTTTTTTTTTTTGAGATGGAACCTGGAGTGCAGTGACGTGATTTCAGCTCACTGCAACTTCCGTCTCCTGGATTCAAGTGATTCTCCTGCCTCAGCCTCCATCAGTAGATGGGATTACAGGCATGTGCCACCACGTCTGGCTTTTTTTTTTTTTTTTTTTGTATTTTCGTATTTTTGTATTTTTAGTAGAGACCGGGTTTCACCATGTTGGCCAGACTGGTCTTGAACTCAAATGATCCACCTGCCTCGGCCTCCCAAAGTGCTGGGTACAAGCATGAGCCACCAAGCCCAGCTATATTTTGAAATCATTTAAGCCTCATATAAAAAGCAGTAAAAATAGTACAGATTTGCTCTGTATCCTCCCCAAACTTGGTATTATCAGCATTTTTTTATTAACCATTCTCACAGGTATGCACTGGTATCTCCTTGTAGCTTTACTTTACATTTCCCTGATGGCTAAAGATACTGAGGATGCTCATTTGCCATTCATATACTGTTCAAATCTTTTGTCCACTTTCAAATTGGATTGCTGTGGTTTTTTTTTTAATTCTGAGTTTAGAATTCTTGACATGTTTTGGATAAAGTTCCATATAAGTTATATGATTTGCAAATATTTTCTCCCTTTCGTGGCTTGTCTTTTTATCCTCTTAACAGGATTGCTCTCAGAGTTACAGTTTTTAATTTTGTTAAAGTTCAATTCATTGATTTTTTTCTCTTAGGGATCATGTCTTCCATGTCATGTCTAATAACTCTTTGCCTAACTCCAAGTCATGAGGTTTTTTTTTTCCTACATGAAGTTTAGGTCAAGGTTTTTTCCTATGATTGTCCAATGTTCTGACACCATTTGTTGAACAGACTATCTTTCCTCTCAACTAATTTTTGAAACTACTTTCACCAAGGTTGCTAATGGCCTCCTACTTTCCTGATCTAAAGGAACGATGGCCTGTAACACATTTTAGCAATGTAATGTTGGTGTAGACTGTGTGCTTTGTAACAACAGTGACATCAGGAGTTCCTTCACCTGGACGTTGAGTGAATGGAGGGAGAGTGCTGGCCTCATCCATCACCCACTGGAGGGGTGGAACACATTCATAGTGGTGGGAGCAGCCCTGACTCTACACTGCCTGCTCATGTAGCATGAACCAGGTCTGTCTACCCATATTTTCCTAAATTGCGATAGACAATGATCTTTCAGGAATATTTTCTATCTGCACTCCTTGAAATAAGAAGATAATATTGTAGTTTTAATTTTTATTTTAAATATTTTTTTCTTATTATAAGAGTAATATAGTATATGCTCATTGTAAAAAATCTGGAAAATACTTAACACCTCCTCTTGCTCTTCTCTCTCCTCCCTTCTTCCTTCTTTTGCTCCTTCTCTTCCTTTTCATTCTCCTCCTCCTTCTGCTGCTGCCCATCTTGCCCCTTCTCCTTGTTCATAGGACTCATAAACATAATGGCAGTCTACTTCTGTGGAAGAAGGAAAAAAGTGAGAGAGAAAGGCTTAGATGGATGGAGGATGGAGGTTAAAGCAAATATCACAGAAATAACATGTTCAATCTTGGTAGTAGGGACATGGAAGTCTATTTTTATTTCTTCTATTCTGGTATGTAAGCTTGAAATGTTTCAGAAATAAAATAAAAATGAATAAAAGCCCTCAAGGCATTTACTTTCAGATGAAGAGACACTAAACATTTATGATCTTTATTATTATATTATGCAGCACTGAACTAAAAGGTTAGAAGCAGAGCATCCCCACCATCCCAGAGATGAAGGAATGCTGCTCTTGACTATTTAAAATGCACTAGACCTTTTCTTAAATGATATGAAAAATAAAAGAGAATATAATCTGTCCTGGATGTTTGGGTAGGGGACAGATGGAAGATGAATGAGGTATTTTCTGTATAGGCATACTGTTCTTTGCTATGTATGACAGAATGAATAGATGACCTGCATGGCAATTTTGGAAACTTTCCTGATGTGTTAAGATAATAAGAGCAGGCAAGTTAGCTGACTGGGAGCTATTAGTTCAGCAAGTTAGAATTGCTGTTCATAGTCAAGTCATAGATTTTATAGAAGTTTTTCTAGGTTTAGTTTGCTGATGGGTCTGTAACTTTTTAATATGTTCCCTTTCTTAGACATCTTGGCCTCCATCTGCTACCAGATTAGGCTCTGGAGACTTAATATTGAAATATAAATGTTAATAAGCTCTAAAGATTGAGGTATCTGTCTAAAAGGTACAGCATTTTAAGTTTGCACCTTGCAATGGTGTCCACGTTCTAAAGTAAAGCAAAGAACTAGGGCAATGATTTAGATGATTCAAGCAAAAACATTTTACCAAGCTCTAATTACCTGGACACTTAGGCCAAATCTATTTTTGGCACAAAGTATTCAGACAGCTACTTCATTTTGCGTAGACAGATATAAATTATGTCAAACTTGACTTGTTTGCCTTTTTGAAGGAACTTTAACACACACTTTTATACAAATGCTTTTCTTCCCCCTTTGGAAAAATGAGAGCAATAATTTTGCTTGGGAAATTTTCCTATTCTTGGAATCTTGTCTCACTTTGGACAAGCCTCTTGCCTCTACTGGGTCTCTTGTTCCTTGGCTATAGAATGTAGAGTTCGGACTTGATGGACTTTAAGCTCCCTTTCATCTTCATGCTTTTAGGTAAAAATCTTTGTGAGTCCCCTTTTCTGTTGGACTTCAGTTTTTCAACTGGGATATGATGTTAGGTAACCATTCTCCTGCAGAAATGGGCGCCGGGAGAGGGAGGAGGACGTGAGCCACCCTGATCCACACGTTCTCCACGCAGGCAGAGAAGACAATGTATCTTCACAGCTCTCCCACTGTGTGGCTACTTGGAGGAAATATGCTGCCAAATGAATGAAGGAAAGAAGGTGGAATGGTGAGTGACCAGATCACACCTTTAGGAGTTTGGACTTCAGTCTCTAAGAGCTAGGGCGCCACCTGAGGTTTTCAGGCAGCACAGTTATATGTTTCAATAAAAGAACCTCTGGCTAAAGTGTGAAAGATGATGGGAGGGCTAAACTGGCAAATGAGGCACAAGGTAGGAGGTTACTGCAGTAGTTTAGGTAAAAAATGACAAAGACATAGACTAAAGCAAGCGGAGAAGAAAAGAAACATTTGAGAAATTTTAAGGAGCTGACTTTGTCACAGCTTCTTGGGTGATAGGATGTAATGAGTGACAGCGAGCACTTAGGGTGTCTTCCCTGTTTCTCCATGCAAATTTTGCATTCTTTCCTATGCTACATCCTTATTTATTCTAATCTAAAAGTAATGTTTTGATTACTACTGATTATAATTAAAAATTTCAGATAAAATTATCTATGTTTATTCTGTGTATTCAGTTTGAGAAGTACAGATATAGAAAGAGAAGAAAAAGAGGCAATGGTTAGAACCCTAAGGAAAACTAACATTTAAGGGGTAGGTAGAGGTAGAGGAGCTGGCAAGGAGATTAAGGAGGAATGGTCAGAGAAGCTGGGGGTGAAGCTGAGAAAATGTTACCATGGAAGTGAAAAGAGGAGACAGTTACGGGGGCGAATGACTAATAGGGTCACATGCTGCAGAGAAGTCAAGGAAGTTAATGGAAATATTAACTTTGAGTTCAGAAATTAACAAAGTCTTGTTGATTTTAGTGAAGGCACATTCTGGTGACAGACAGTAGATTGTCATGAGTTGAGAAGTAAATGAAGAGTAGAAAAGTAGGGCAACGAGCATGAGCTACCCTCTTCAGGAATCTTGACTGTGAAAAGAAAGAGCACTAAGAGGGCAATTTATTCAGTGGGAAGCATAGCGTTTTTTTTCTTTCAAGTGTCAGAAAGATGAATATTTTTATAGATTGGGAGGAAGGACCCAGTAGATATGGAAAGATAGAAACTACGGAGAATTAATCTCAACCTCTCAAATTCTAGAAGGTAAATGGGAAGTTTTAAAGGTTTTAAAATATATATACTACATCCTTTAACTTTCATTTCTAGAATGTTATCCTAGTTTTAAATGCTTTGAGCACTTTTCCATAACTTAAACTCCACAATTAGAATTGTATCTTAAATATTTAATTAAAAATAAAATGAACAGAGATTTGTACAATTTTAGCATCAAAAAATTGGTAACTACTTACATACTCAACATTGAGAAAATTTCCATTGGCTGCTGTAAGAATATTCAGGTGAAAATTATTGAGTTTTTAAAATATATGTTTTTTTATTATACTTTAAGTTCTAGGGTACATGTATTTTTATGTTGGATAGGTTAGACAAGCTCAAAATATTTGTCATACCCAGGAGCCCTTTCAAGATGTTCCTCCCCACTTTTTTTCTTAAATCGTATTTATTCAGGCATAATTTACATGTAATAAAATGCACCCATTTTAAGTGTCCATTTCAAAAAGTTCTGACAAGTTTCACACCAGTGTAACCATCACCATGCTCAAGATAAAAAACACTTATACTACCTCAAAGAGTTCCCTCTCCCCCTTTCTAGTTCATCCTCACCCTGCCACTGGCCATAGGAAATCCCTGACCTGCTTTCTGTCACCATAGGTTTGTTTTTTCTAGTTTTAAATAGCATAGTATGCACTCTTTTTGTCTGCCATTTTTAGCTCAGTATTATGTTTCCAAGATTCTTCTATGTTGTTACAAGCAAATATTGGTAGTTATGCCTTGTTATCATTGAGTAGTGATGTCATGAATACACCAAATTTGCACATTTATTCACCAGTTGATGGACATTTAGGTTGTTTTCAGTTTTCAGCTGTTAAGAATAAGCTGCTATGAATATTCATTTACAAGCCTTTGTGTGAATGTATGTTTTCGTTTTGCTTGGGCAAATACCTAGGAATGGAATTGCTATATCCTAGGGTCAAATGGTAAGTGGTATTCAGTTTTATGAGAAATTGCCAAACTGTTTTCCAAAATGGCTCTACACTTTTTACATTCCCATCAACAATGTATGAGAGTTCCAGTTGCATACTCTTCCCAACCCTTGATAAATCAGCCTTCTTTACATTTTAGCCATTCTAATGGGTATGCAGTGGTATCTCACTGGGGTTTTAATTTGTGTGTCAGTGATGACTTGTGATATTGAGCATTTCTCATATGCTTTTGGGAATTTGTGTATCTACTTTTATGTATTGTGAATTTAAATCTTTTGCTTATTTTAAGATTAAATTGTCTTCATCTTCCTGAGTTGCAAGTCTTCACATATTCCAGATTCAAGCTCTTTGTCACATATAAGTATTATGCACATTTTCTTCCAGTCCTTGGCTTTTTAAATGATATTATTAGTGATATCTTTCCAAGAGCAGACATTTTAAATTTAAAGTCTGACTACTTTTCAAAAAAAAAATACATTTTTTTTTATACCTTAGGAATCTTTTTCTATTCCAAAGTTGTGAAAAAAACTCTCAATTTTTCTTCTAGAAGTTATATAGTTGGGAGGTCGAGATGGGCAGATCACCAGAGGTCAGGAGTTCGAGACCAGCCCAACCAACATGGAGAAACCCCGTCTCTACTAAAAATACAAAATTAGCCAGCTGTGGTGGCACACACCTGTAGTCCCAGCTACTCGGGAGGCTGAGGCAGGAGAATCACTTGAACCCGGGAGGCAGAGGTTGCGGTGAGCTAAGAGTGCACCACTGCACTCCAGACTGGGCAACAAGAGTGAGACTGTCTAAAAAAAAAAAAAAAAACAGAAAAAGAAAGAAAAAAGAAGCTATATAGGTTTAGCTTTACATTTAGAACAATGATCCATTTTGAAGTAATTTTTATGTAGGATATAAAGATGTTGGTTGTTTTTTTTTTAACATAGGATAGCTAATTATTTCAGCACCATTTATCAAAAAGATTAGCATTTTTCCCATTGGATTATGTTGGCACCTTTGTTGAAAGTCAATTGATCACATACCTACAGGTCTATTTCTGGGTTTTCTGCTTTGTTCAATTTATCCTTCACTACTACGTTGCTGTCCTAATAACTAACTTTATAATAAGTCTTGACATTAGGTAGGGTAAGTGCTCCAACTATGTTCTTCTTCAAAATTGTTTTGGCTATTCTATATCCTTTGAATTTTCATATAAGATTTAAAATCACCATGTGAATTTAATTTTTAAAAGCTTACTGAAATTTTGATTGGGGTTGTGTTGACTCTATAGATCAATTTGGATAAAAATTGCCCTCTTTGATTTGGAGAAATTCTGAAATAGTTTCTGCAGAATTGGTATTATTTTTTGCTTAAGTATTTTGTAGAATTCAACAATGAAGCCATCTGAGCCTATTAATATGTTTGTAAGACTTTTATTACAAATTAACGTAATTCATTTAACAGAATATAGGGCTATTAAGATGTATTTCTTTGAACTCCCTTTTGTTAATTTTCATCTTTTAAGAATTTTGTCTATTTCTTTATCACATTTATTGGTATAAAGTTGTTCATAATATTCCCCTATCTTTTCAGTGTCTGTAGGATATGTACTGATATCCATTTGTTATTTCAGATATTGGTAATCTGTATCTTCTGTCTTTAATTTTTTTGATCATTCAAGGTGGAAGTTTATCAACATGATTTATTTTTTCAAAGGCTAGGTTTTGGTTTAATTATTTTACTCTACTGTCTCTTTTTTACTTTACTGATTTTTGCTTTTGTCTTTATTATTTTATTTCTCCTACTTACTTTGGTTTAATTTGACTTTTTCTTTAGCTTCTTAGGGTCCATAACTTTTTTTACAGTGTGGCTTCTGCATACTGTGCCTGGGTCACCAGACCAGTACCATGTGGCTCCAGCACACTGAGAGATGATGGGCCTCAGTGAGCAGCTGATGCCGTGTATCGATTTGCCAGTGGCCCGTAAGATGCTATGGAGTAAAAATTCTGTTCAAAATCATTGAAGTGATTAATAGATAATTGTATTATTTCTCTCAAGAGGTTGAGAGCAAACAACAGAGTGAAAGTTTAGTTGTGAGAGTAGAATATTCTCAGATAGTGAGTAGTTGAGTCAAATAATGGTGCCCACTAATTGAGATAATGCATTTCTGCCACTGAAGGGACAGCAAAGTAGTTGTTAGTGCTGCCTTGAATGCTGGAAGACATTGTAGTTTGTAATTATGTTCTAATCTTGATAGAGCCTGGTTGTATGGCTGATCTTGTGTTTCGACAGGGCCTGGACATGTTACTGAGTTTGCCTTTTCTTTGCATGAGTAACTTTACCATTCACTCTTCTCCATACTTGATGTTACAAAGCAAGTCTCTGATCAACTACTCCTGAGAACCAAATGGGAAAAATTTTAGTGATAAAGCAAAAACACAAGACTCAATTTTATGTGTGCATTGTGTGATTCCATGGCAAAAACATGTAGAAAATGATTGAAAAGAAGTATATGGGATTATAGATAATGTTCATTTCCTTGTTTGTATTTTTCTTGCTGAAACCAGATTTCTTTAGACCTCACTTGCCTGTGTATAAAGATACAGTTACATTAAGAGTAGAAACCCAAATATCTCTGGCATAATTCCCTGTGTGCTTACACAGAACTTGGCTCCTTGTAAACCCACTTCCTTTTCCAACATAAGGAATTCCCAAACATTATTGATCTGAGGTAGAAACTAGGAGTATCCTAGACTCAAGTAGGAACCTTAGCGATATATATTTTTTATCATAAGCATGTATTACAATATCTTCATTATTCTCAGATTCTATATTTTCACATTTATTTATAACCCCAGATTAATACTTGCAGTGTTTTCTGGTCACTCATGGACATGTGCAGAGTGGGAAAAAAAATGGAGCCATCACATGCACATGTTCCCAGCTGAGTGAGCAATGTGATGTCTGCCTTCTTGCTTCAGCTCTTATGCTGTAAACAAGTGTCCTTCTAGTGGTCTATTTAGTGTCATGTTTTTTACACTTTTGTGCTTTTTGTTAATAATTTTGCTGTGTGAAGTGGCCTCCAAGCATAGTGCTAAAGTGCTGTTTGGTGTTCTTAAGTGCAAGAAAGCTTTAATATGCTTTACAGAGAAAATATATGTGTCAGTTTTGCTTCAGGCATTAGTTACAGAACTACTGGCTGTGAGCTCAATGCTCATGAATCAGCAATATATATTAAATAAGGTGTTTTTAAACAGAAACAGAAAAACAAGGTTATGTATTGATCCGTTGATGAAAATGTTGTGGTTAGAAGCTTGCTGGGACCTAACTCTGTATTTCCCCTAGGAACAATGGTTCAGGATTTACTAATTCAGTGTTCATGGTGGCTTTATAGAACACAACTCTCATGAATAATGAGAATTGACTATATTTTAAGAGGGAAAATAAAGACCTAACAAAAAATACAGACTAGAATGCATATGAACCAGTAAGATTAACATTAATAATTCTAACTGATGGAGGAAGACCAGAAATTGTAAAAGGATGTGGGGTCCAAGATCCAGAAGCAGGTACCTTTCCATTTTAGGCTTGAGGGAAAGAGATAAGGGAATAATCAGAAGAAGAAAATTTGAGGGGATGGAAGGGAATGGCAGAGTTGAAGACCAAATTTAAGGAGTTAAGGGCATCTACTAAAGATGATGTGGGGGGTTAATTAGGGACCCAAAAAGGATGTCAGCATTTTGGAATAGTCACTGAGAGGTACTAAGGCTAAGAAATGAAATGGTACTTAAAATGAAAGAACAAGCAACACAATTATAATTTATGACTTTTTTTTTGTTAAGATACATAGAAAAATGAGGTTTATAAGCAGATTGTATGGAATCTATTGTATAGATTGTTTAAACAGGCAGAATACTAACAAAATAATATTGTTTTCCCTAAGCCCTTGGCCAGGCTTCTAAATTGGATGTGTGGTGGCAGAACTATCATTTCCAGGCAAAACGTATATGTTCTTGATACTAAAATAAATTGTTTACGTGTTTTTCAAGTGCTAGTCCTTATGTTGTATATTTGTAGACATCCATTTAGTAGTAATTGGCAATTATTTATTGAACATCTACTAGATTACAGAAGCCAGAAATACATAAGAAATTAAACCTAGCCTCAGCCATCAAGAATCTTAGCTAAGGGTATATACTCCCAAATGAAGAGACAATTATGATTCAGTGTGGTGAGTGCTGCAGTGGGATAGACATGGGATACGTGGGAACAGCTGGGAAGCCTCAGACCCAGTCCTGGAGGTTTCATGAACGAGATAACCGGACTGAGATAATTGGGCTACAAACAGCTGGCTGGGAGGGATTCTAGGTGGTACAAAGTCCCAGAGATACAAACCACATAAAATTGCATACCAGAATTAATATCAAAGTATCTATTCTATTCTATTTTTGTATTACATTGTCAAAACCAGTGGCTGGCCTGAGTGCTCTTATAATTTTTCTGTGTAAAGTTTTATGTGACAATTATCATAATCATCATCAAAATTTTAATGTCAATATTTCTATAAATTGCATTTATTATTTATTCTTTTAAACTATTACATGTTCTGCCACTTTGATTATAATCAGAATATATTTAAAATTTGAATGGCCATAAAATAAAATAAATTGTTATCAATTTATAAACACGCTAAGCAGAAATAAAAATAGACATTTGTCTATCTATCAAACTATTTTAGAAACTCCACAAAGATGATTTAAGAACACGTTTTGTAACATGGAAAGGATTTTAGGTGAATTTTTTACTTAATATCTTTATTAACTAGCTTTTCTAAAATAGTTATAAATAACCCTCAAGCATTTTTTATAAGCCAATCTTTTTCTCCCAAGCAAAGTTGTGAGAAAATGTTCAACTAATAAGCCTTAAAGTTAAGGATTCTGGCAAAGTTTGACATTATAAACACATATATTTTTTGAAGAATAGAGAATTTTTATAAATATTCATTCTGGATGAATACTCTGCTTGGAAGTGGTTTGTATTTCAAATAAAATAAACTTTACATTGATTTATCTGTCTTTTGTATATGGAATAGGAGATATAAGTGATTTCAGATGTGTTGGGAGTTCTTTTTATTATTCAATTGGCTTTTATTAAAACACTATCATATAATACTTCCTTGCAACTAGAGTCTTTTTTGCTTTAGGACAATTTAAAATTACATAAATATTTCTTTTTTTCACACACAGACTCATTGAAAACAGTTTGGCACTAATTAGAGAAATTCATGTAAGTTATGTGGTCATATATTGCATATTAGCCATTTTCTCTGACCTGTCAATTGGAAGAATGTTGCTATAAAAATATGGAGAACAGTATTTTAAATAAATGGTCAAACTGCATTTGGCACTTATCAGAGCTGGCTAAGGGATCTTGCATACTATTAGATGTATTTGAAAGTGTATTATTGGTTTAAGGAATACCACTGTGGGCTTTTTTTTTCTTCCCTAAATAAGTCATTTGAATTCCTATAACTTTTTTTGCATAAGAGTGAGTGTTGTACTTCATAAGAAATGTGTTATTTATGTCAGTATATTTCCATGATGCTGCTGTGGTTTCAATTTTATATTGACATAACATAGAGTCATGAATGGGCATTTGGGATTTTTAAAAAATCATTGAATTGATATATTTGAACTGAAATGCTGTCTATTTTTCTGTTTGCTGTTGGAAATAGATGCAGAATGTTTGCATTATTAATAGAGGGCTTTGGGTTAGTAGTTTCATGCAAGTGAATGGGATGTACAATTAATGACAGAAATTAAATTATTTTAAAAATAGTTTCAGTAGAGGAGAGAGACTAAGTTATTAACTTGACATTTTAGATATGAATTATTAAGTTACTGAATATGAAAACGTTATATCACAGAGGTATAGCCAAGGGAAAAATCACATTTGCTTTAGACTAAATGTAGCAGAAAATGAGAACCGGGAATATTCCCTCTCGCCATATCTATGATATACACATATGATAGATTTCCATGTGAATACCCAGATGTTGAAGAAATTCTCAGTAGTTTTTCATACATCATAGTGGACAGTTGTTACAACTATTAACATTATACTGTATCAGCAAATTGTGGACTGCTATTCAGGATAAGCTGTGCTTATACACAGTTCTCACATAGCTAAAGCAAGTGAGTGCAAAAGATACAAGGACATGCTGGGTGCGGTGGCTCACGCCTGTAATCCCAGCACTTTGAGAGGCCAAGGCGGGCAGATCACGAGGTCAGGAGATCGAGACCATCCTGGCTAACACGTTGAAACCCCGTCTCTACTAAAAATACAAAAAAACAATTAGCCAGGCGTGGTGGAGGGCACCTGTAGTCCCAGCTACTCGGGAGGCTGAGGCAGGAGAATGGTGTGGACCTGGGAGGCGCAGCTTGCAGTGAGCCCAGACGGCGCCACTACTGCACTCCAGCCTGGGTGACGGAGCGAGACTCTGCCTCAAAAGAAAAAAAGAAAGATACAAGGACATGCAGGAAGTCATTCTATATATATATCTGAAAAGAAGCAAATCATTTTTAAATGTTGATACTTCACTAAGGCAAGCCGTGCATTTGATTATTGTACACTAGTCTGTTCCAATAGCATATTGAAAAACTGCTGGCCTAGAGGACTCTGGCTATGGAGAACACCCATGCATTATGAGTCATCAAGATTTCTTTATTATCAGTGGAAAGTGGCATTACAAGACCTGAATTAATTGCAACATACAGATTTTATTGGATTGAGCTGTTCACCAAGTAGCACTATTGATTAAATTCTAAGATAAATGCTTTGATGAAATCTTGAAATCAATAAATCTATTTGCATTATGACTTTAAATCATTTGTTATTTTAAATGGATGTGATGGTGAGCCATCTGGGAATATAATTTGATGAATTATAGATAAAAATAATGATTGGACTTTATTTATATCAACTGGGTTTTTTTTGGATCTCCAGTTGGGTGCCATTTCTAGAGAGTTTTGAGAATTAGGACTTGGACACATTTGAATAAATATTATATTCCAGGCATTGTGCTTGGGAATGATGTATGTCTTTGTTAAAAATAAAAGGATTGTTTTCCTTTGGCAATTAAGGTGCTGTTTAAAAGCTGTAAAGATGTAGTTACCCACAATGACATCATTCTAAGGCCTGGAAAATGGAAAAGGTTAAGATATGGAGAACAGTGGCTCTCAAGTTTTTTTTCAGTGGAGAGATAAGAAATTAAACAACAAAAAGAACATGACACAGGAAATATTTAAGGTGAAAGAATATAATTTTTTCATAAGAATAACTGAATTAAATATTTTTCTTTAATATCAATTAAAATTTTTTGAAGGAAATAACATAAGAACTGTTTCTTTTTTTCCTTATAAATTATTTATAGGGCAAAAAGGAGACTTTCTAGCAGGACACTGAAAAAGACAAGGAACCCTTGTGCGGATGAAATGCTAAGTGAAGTGTTAGGTAGTTTAATGTACAGTGTAGAGACAAGTAATATTGGCTCATTTCTGTAAACAATGAAAGGATTGTGTCATTTTGATTGCTGTTCCCTCAGGTAATTCCTCAAATGACAAAATGAATTTATCTACATTTCTAATAATGAAATCAGCTTCATCACTGGAATGGGATCCTGGTAGCAGACTTCTCAGTCATCTTGCAGCAATGTGGGTAAGCTGTACTGGCTCTCTTATTTATTCAACACCTATTTATGTCAGCAGTGGTCTAAGTGGTGGGAGTACAATTTAAAAAAAAAAAATCAATGATTTTTCAGTTTACTGAGAAGAGTGAAGGTAACAAATATAAGGCATTCACAAGGGAAAAAACAGCAGCTGCATTCTCCCCAATTTCCCCTTCTGCCTGTACATGTAAGACCTAGCTTAGTCATTGTGACTGATTGTGCAGAAACACTACTCACAAAATACCCATACACATTTCCTAATACCCATATAATGAAATGGGATCATGTGACTAGCTATGGTCAGTGAGTTGGACGTAGAAATAGAATTGATATAGTTCACTTCTAGGAGAAAGCATTATTAACAGGTATGTGATACTCCAGTTCTCTCTTCTTCACTGTGGTGACCCGGAATCCATGTGTTCTAGATGGTGTAGCTATAACAAGGAATTAGACTGGGTCCTTGAGTCATCGTTTTGAAGGGAGCTATGCTGAAGAGCCTCTAGACTCATGGTAGACTTGCTGTGTGTTAATCCATTGATAGATCATGGTTGTTGATCTTGCAGCATAACCTATCTTATGCTGACTAATGGATTGCCAGTAACTGATATTCCCCTGCTGCCGCCATCAGTAATCCAGAGATGAAACTTCCAAGCACATTAACAGTGTTCTAGGAAAATTTAGGGGACTCATTCTTTAATTCTTTAACTTATAATTTAAACATAGGATAGCTTAGCCTTAATCTCACCTACCTTTTTCCCTTACTACAAACTTTTCACTTTTGGCCCAGTATTTTAGTTGGACAAAGAAAATGTGCTACACTCAAGTAGGCTAGGTGATTATTATTCATGCCTAACCTTGATGTTGCTGGATTTTTGTTAAACAGAATCTTTGGAACTTGAACCTGTTGAAGGTAACAATAATAAGTCAGCACAGACAGTCACCACTTAAGAGAGATTGGTACTGATAAGCACTCTAATGACTCCTATTGTCTGCATAATGATGGTGGTGATGGTAATGCTAATGTCAGCTAACACTTCTATGGCACTTTAATATGTACCAATCATGAGTTTAAATTCTTTTCTATATATTAACTCATTTAATTTGTAATTAATGGTGTTCCCCAATTCTACTTCTACTCGTCATGAGTACTAACTTCATTTCACTGCTCAGTGAAATTTCTTCCAACTCCTCCAGGAACAATGATCACTTCTTCTGAGCTTCCTTACAACTTGGTACATATTTTTGTTAAGCATGTATAAGATTATATTGCAATTATTTGTTGATGTGTCTCGAACATCATATAATCCATAAGGGCTGCTTCTTGTTCAATTTTATATTCCCCAAACTTACACATTGTCTAGAACACCAATCAACATAAGATGAATGATTGAAAAAATAAATTTAATAAATGAGTGAATAAATAATTGAAATTACATGAATTTTTCCATTTGTTATGGCCAAGAGAGTACCGACAAATAAAAAACTGGGAAAATGGTCTTTTTACAGTGAAAACAAAAGGTTTTTACAGCTTTATAGTAACCCTGAAAATTTATAACAATAATTTTAGGCTTCACCTTCAAAGCAGCTTTTAATCAGGTATATTCTTTGGCCTGGATAATCAGATGTGACCCCATGGGGGAAAATGACACAAGAGCATTAGAAAGATTGATTTGTAAGGAGTCTCTTTCGTGCCTAGAAAGTGGTATTTTATACCCTTCGGGACATGGGTAGAAAATGGCCTAGTGCTCTTAGCTAGTGTCTAGGACTTAATGGAGTGGTTCTCTATAATCAGATATGAGACCTTTTAAGTAACTTAAAGGCAAAACTGCAAAAGCTTAAAATCTGGTAGCAAAACAACAGTGTTCATTGGCCTTCACTAGGATTAATGGCTTAAATTGTTATTATTTGCTATTTAATAAAAGAGAAATAATGCAACTGAAGGTTTTCTTTCAGAATTAAAGCATTCTGATAAATGATTCTATTGGAACTTTGACATAATTTTTATTCCAATATGTTAAAATCAAGGTCATTGATGGGTATGTGGACTTCCAGGCAAAAAAGGATGTCTCAGAAAGAACTCTTGAACATTCCTTACTGTATTGTCAACTTGGGAAATATTAAGGCTCTGTAATCTTCAAATCTGAAAGGGAATAAAATAAAAAAAATTTATTGCTATGATTAGTAACATTAGTAGTAACAGACATTTATTGAACTCTTACCATGTTTCAGGCATGCTGCTAATTCTGTATGCATTTTACCTTATTAAATCTTCCAAGCATCTTTTTGAGAGTTGTGTTATTATTTCCATTTTACAGATAAGGAAACTAAGGCACAGAGAGGTTAAGTAAATTGTCCTTGTCACAATCTCACATAGTTAATAAGCAATCCTAAAGCCCAATTCTTAATCTACACACTGCACATGCTCCCTATGGATGGGAATGGAGTTCTTTTTCTTCTTTTCCCCATCTTAATTGGGGTATAATTGACAAATAAATTCATCTATATTTAAGGTATACAATTTGATGTTTTGATATACCCATACATTGTGAAGTGATCACCAAACCACAATCAAGCTAGTTAACATATCCATCATCTCCTAAAGCTACTTTTCTTTTGATATGGTCAGAATACTTAAGATCTACCCTCTTAGCAGATTTCAAATATAGAATACAGGATTATTTACCATAGTCTCTATACTGTATAGTAGATCTCCAGCGCTTATTCATCTTGCATAACTGAAACTTTGTATCCTTTGACCACAACTCCCCATTTCCCCCAGCCCCCAACTCCTGGCAACTGCTGTTCTACTCTGTGCTTCTATGAGTTTAACTATTTTAGATTCCTCATATAGGTGAGATCATGCAACATTTGTCTCTCTGTGTCTGTCTTATTTCACTTAGCATATTATCCTCCAAGTTCATCCATATTGTTGTAAATGGTAGGATTTCCTTCTTTTTCAAGGCTAAATAATATTTGTGTGAGTGTATGTGTTTATTGTGTATCACTCCCGTGGCTCTTTTCCATGTTGCTGAGGTTGGGAAACAAGCTGGACTAGTACGAGGCTCATTCCTTTTAGTACCTTCCCACCAAAAAGTACTTTCCTCTTGGATCTACTATGGTTGGTTAGGAGGCTGGGGAACACACCCTTTTCTGAGAATCCTTTGCAACCCACAACTCTAATTTGGGTTGTGCCTAAGATTAGACAATGGGGACTTAAAAGAAACTGCCGACTCTCTCTGCCATTCAAAGGGACAATCTATGCTGTGTTGTCTAGATACCTCATATATCATTTTTTCATGATTCTCTGCATGATAAAAATTTTAAGAGACCACATGTTTTAAGAAAATATTATAAAAAAGAAAGCCAAACAAACTGAAGTTCAATTTAGGGCTAATGAATATCTGGAAGTCTTTTCCGCAGACATTTTTATCACAGGTGGTTGGACAACATTTATTTTTTAAACAGCTCATAGGTGCCTATACAAATTATACAATTAGAAAGATTTCATCTTTGTGGTAAATGGAAATAACTAGGGAATCCTAAAACTATCTGAGCATGGTTTTGTATCAGTAATAATAAAAATAACAGATTGTTTCATAACTGAATTTTGATATTTGTACAACTCATAAAATACTTTTACTAGTGTATTATATGATTAGATTTATAGAAACAGTTTTTGAGGTACATAGCTTGGGTGTTCTTATGAATTCTTACTTTATAGATGAGGAAACAGATGCTTGTTAGGTTACATGACTTGACCACAACCAATGGGGACTCACATCATATGCTCTGCCTTAAATCTCATAGTTTCAGCTTTGCAACACCTGACCTTTCTACCCAACCCATGACTCAGCTCTGTGGCCAGCCTCATGAGGGGATTAAGGAAAATGGGAAGAAGAGGCCTAAGTAATTTTTTCATAGATTATTGAAAATTGATTCATAAGACCTGGAAATTGAAATGTTGAAAGCACGGCTATCATCACAGCTAATTATGGGGTTGCAGATGAGTTCGACTTATCTGGGCTCAATGACTAAGGCTTTTAGATTCTCTCCTTCCCTCCCTCCCTTCCTCTCTTTCCAGAATTTGTTTAGCTAAAGTGACTTATGATTCATTCAACAAATATTTACAAAGCCCTAATCCACTTGCCTGGAAAATGCCCTTCTCTGAAAGTCAACCTGGCCCCACTGGATTCGAACAGTAAGTTCTGAAAAGAAGATCTAAGCTTTTCATACTGTTATTGGTTCAGTATTGCCTGGCTCCTTAGGGGCTTAAATGGCATAATAACTGGGGGCAAAAATTCCCATTACTGTACACATGCTATGTATAAGACACAATGCAAGATATTTGGGATGAGCAGAAAACAAAATGCAATAAAACATATTCCTTAGTGATCTTATAATTTAGCAAAATAGTTTCTAGGCCTAAATATTATGTGCCAATTCATATTTTTTCCTCTCTTGGACAATGTAGATTCTTCAGTATTAAAAGACCTAGTGTAATGAGGAAAAAAGATGTACTCATTTATTTAATTCATAGTGAGTGTCTGCTATGTGATCAGGTAACATCCCAGGCCCTGGGGAACAAAAGCAGCCTGAAACCACCTTATAAACCCCTGCCTTAACTCAAATAGGGGGAACAATTTAAAAAGAAATAAACATAAAAACTAAATGAAATGGTCCAAATTGTGTTATGTGTGAAGAGGCCAAAAAATAAAAAAAATAAAAAAATCAAGGGGCTAAGAAAAACACATTTGGAGAGGGGACCTCCTTTAGGTAGGACGCTCATGAAAGCATTTGGAGGGCTTCATTTAAGCTGGGACCTAGGGATGAAAAGAGTTAGTCATATGAAGAGAGAGGGCAAAGGCCTTCCAGGCAGAGGGAACGGCAGCAAAAAGTCAAAGGTCAGATTTCATTCCCACCAGGGCTAGAGTCAAAGATTCAAATGACGTGGTCAGGATTTGGTCCTGCTCTTCACCTCGCAGCTCTGCTTCCCTGTGTAGTAGTTTCATTCTAAGCTATGCCCTCACCATGCTCATGGCCAAGGCCCCATGTCCTGCTTGGCACTGAGGGTGCAGAAACCCACGGTGGGAGGATTTTACCAGAGGGAAAATGGATTCTGGGTAGGTAAAAACAACCTCCCCCTCCCCCATCCTTGAAGCCTGATTTGAAAACCCTTGAAGCCTGAAAGAGTTCCAAACAGATGGAGGATGAGTGTGGCAGGTTGTGGGAGGAGATCCGCCAAGATTGGGTGGGGCTGGTAGCGAGGGATGCATCCTCTAGGTGTTAGGAAGAGCAGCTTGGATTGGATCCTAAGAGCACTGGAAAGCTGTTAAAGGGTTTTAAATGGGAGTGATATAATTTGATTCATCTAATTTCTAAGATTTTTTCAAACATTTAAAATTATCCTCTATTTGAAAATAATTTCAAATTTATGGACAAGTTGCAATAATAAGAATACTATGTGGGATACTCATGTACCCTTTGTTCAGATTCACCTAATGTTAACGTTTAGTCTCATCAGTTTTATTATTTGCCTCCTCTATCTGTTTCTCTCTCCCTCTGTCTCTATCTCTCTTCTGTTTCCCTCTCCCTCTGTCTCTATCTCTCCCTACACACAAGAATAATCACACACATAAAACATACACATATAATATTTTTGAGCCATTTTCGAGTAAGTTGCATTATATTATCATAGCGCTCTACCCCTAAAACCTTCAGCATGTTTTTATTACTAAGAATATTCTATGACAAAACCTCAGTACAGTTAGCCACTTCAGTACCTTTAATTGTAATACAATATGTTAATGAAATCTAACATCTGCATTCCAGTGTTGTCAGTTGACCCAATAATGTCTTTTATAGATTCTTCCCCTCTCCTGTACAGGATATAGTATAAGATCACATACTGCATTTGGTTTTCATGTCTCTTTAGTCTCTTTTAATCTGGAACATTTCTGCAGCCTCTCTTTGTCTTTTATAGCATTGACTTCTTTGAAGAATACAGAATGTTCCCCATTTGGGGTTCCTCTGATGATTCCACGTGGTCAGATGGAGATATATGTGCCAGACTGAAATACTACATAAGCGATGTTGAGTCTTTCTCACGGTTTCACATCTAGAGACACATCATGTCCATCTGCCCATCATTGGCAACACCGATTTTGCTCCCCTGGTGTAGGTTTTGTCCAATTTCTCCTCCCCATTATTATATTATTTTGAAGCACATAAACAATCTGTGAGGAGTTACCTAAGACCATGCAAATATCCTGTTTCTCATGAAAAATTTCCCCAGGATTTAGCATCCACTGATAATTTACTTGAATCAGTCTTTGCTATGATGATAACAAAATGTGATTTTTCCAAAACTGCACTCCTTCCACATTTTATCGGTCAGTTCCATAAGCAAGAATACTCCTCTCTCCTATTTCTTTATTTGTTACTGGTATGGACTCATGGACATAGTTTTTCTAATAGTCTGTACTTTTTTACTATTCCTAATTGTTTTAGTCATCAAATTGTCTCAGATTTGGCCAGTGATAGACTTTTCCAACTGAAACCTGAATCTTGTGACATGCTCCCATGAAATTTTTTTAAGTACATTTTTACTATCTGGAAAAACAAGGTGTTCCATGCTTACCTGTACTTTCCTTGACCCAGCCTCAGAATCAGCTGTTTTTCTGAGAATCCTTGGTATTTGTTAGTGAGGAATGGGCATAGAGACCAATATCTGGGTGCTAGGCATAAAAATTGCTATTGGCATGGCTCCAGAGGCAGAGGTAGAAAATATATGCATATCTTACACCCATGTAAATATGGATACATACATGTACATGTACACACACATATATACATCAATCTACACATATACATGCATACATGCAAACACCTACGTATTCCATTTCTAGTTTAGAAAGCATGTGTTGACATTTATACCTCCAATTGTAATCCACTGCACAGGGTTGTTCATCCTCATTGCTTTTATAGTTAGAATTTGACTCTCAGCAACATCAACATACTTATTCATTTGCTCAATCCTGTAATGCATCTGAAATAGTTTCACAATTGCTTCTCTTTGTCACTAAACACATCCAATTGTATTTTTTTTTTTTTTGAGACAGAGTCTCACTCTGTCACCAGGCTGGCATGCAGTGGTGCAATCTCGGCTCACTGCGACCTCCGCCTCCTGGAATCAAGCGATTTTCCTGCCTCAGCCTCCTGAGTAGGGGTATTACAAGTGCGTGCCACCACGCCCAGCTAATTTTTGTATTTTTAGTAGAGATGGGATTTCACCACATTGGCCAGGATAGTCTTGATCTCTTCACCTCATGATCCACCCGCCTTGGCCTCCCAAAGTGCTGGGATTACAGGCGTGAACCACCGTGCCTGGCCCAAACGCATTTTAAAAGTTCAGGGTTTGGGCCAGGTGCAGTGACTCATGCCTGTAATCCTAGCACTTTGGGAGGCCGAGGCGGGCGGATTGCCTGAACTCAGGAGTTCGAGACCAGCCTGGGCAACACGGTGAAACCCCGTCTTTACTAAAATACAAAAAAAAAAAAAATTAGCCGGGCGTGGCAGCATGCACCTGTAGTCCCAGCTACTTGGGAGGCTGAAGCAGGAGAATTGCTTGAACCTGGGAGACAGAGGCTGCAGTGAGCCGACATCGTGCCACTGCACTCCAGCCTGGGCAACAGAGCAAGACTCTGTCTCCAAAAAAAAAAAAAAAAAAAGTTCAGGGTTTGTTTGTTTTTCTCCTTCTCCCCTTGTCTCCCCAAACCTGAGGGTAGATAATAAAATATTGTGTTCACACATGACTTAGATTCAATCTCTCTCTCTTTTTCTCCTTCTGTGTGATTATTTATTTGAATTACAATTGGGTTCACTTGTTTTAGTTTGATTTCAGCTTCAGTTTTCCTCTTTCCTAACCTTGTTGATTTAATCTTGTCAGGACATTAACAACCTTCTGAAAGAAAAATTAAATGGGAAGTTATCCTCAGAGAAGCGTTACTCCCTCTCACATCCCTTCCACCCTGTTCACTCTGCTCCCAACCCCTTGGAGGTAACCAACTTCATTGCTTTCTAATTAATCTTTCTTGAACTCCTTTTGTAAGGATAAGCAGGTAAATTCATGCTTTCTTGTTTTCCTCTTTCTTTCTTACAGAAAAGGCACATACTCTGTGTATTGTTTTGTACTGTGCTTTTTTCAGTTAACAATATCTCCTGAAAATTCTCCATATAAGTTCATATTGTTCTTTTTCTTTTTCATAGCTGTGCAATACTCCATATGTGTATGTATCATAGTTTTTTTCAATCTCTTATGCCCAACATTTGGATAGCTTCCAATATTTTGCCATGATAGATAATGCTGCAATAAATAGCCTCTTCCACACATGTATTTCCATATGTTGGAGAGCTATCTTCACAGTAAATTTCTAGATGTGGAGTTGCTGGATAAATAGCTAAATGCATATGTACTTTTATTAGATATTGAAAAACTCCCCTCCATAGAGACTGTATTATTTCTTGTGTCCCTCCTGCAATCCATTTGAGGGAATGAAATCTCTACTACCTTACAAGACAATGTATTGCTCTTTGCCAAACTATCTGCCATTATTTCTTATTTGGATCAAGTTCATTTTTCAGGAGATTTTTTGAGAAGGGCACATGAGTACATTAGGAAATAATTTCTTGAGTTCTTGCATGCTCAAAGACATCTATTTACAGCATTGATTGTTGAAGAACAGTTTGGATGGATACAATATTCTTAATTTACACATTTTTAGTTTTTTTTGAAAATGTTGTTACTATGTGTTGAATATGTCCCTGAAAGTTCATGTGTTGGAAACTTAATCCCCAATGCAACAGTGTTGGAAGGTGGGGACTAATAAGAGGTGACTAGGTCATGAGGGCTTTAACCTCATGAACAGATTAGTGTCATTATGATGGGAGTGGGTTATTTATCTCAAGAGTGAGCCTGATATAAAAACAAGTTTGCCCTTCTCTTGCTCTCTCGCTTTTGTCCTCTCTTGCCCTCCCACCTTCCACCATGGGATGATGCAGCATGAACGTCCTCACCAGATGCTGATGCCATCCTCTTGAACATCCCAGTCTCCAGAACTGTGAGCCAAATAAACTTCTCCTGTTTATAAATTACCCAGTCTCAGATATTCTGTTATAGTGACACAAAATGTACTAAAACAGTGGGTCAGTTGTTGCCTTGTTTTGTATGTTGTTTTTGACAAGGCCAATGCCAGTTTATTTCTCTGCCATAAGGTGGATCTTCTAGTAATGACTTCTCTCAGCTTTTGTTTATCTGGGAACAACTTTATTTTCTGTTCATTTTTGAAAGACAGTTTTGCTAGATGCAAGATTCTTGGTTGACAGATTCTCTTAGCACTTTGGATATTTCATCCCACCTGTTTTAGCCTCTATCTTTTCTGATGAAAAGACAGCTGTTAATCTAGTTGGATTCTCTTGTAGAGGATGATTCATTTTTATCTTGCTGCTTTCAAGATTTTCTTTTCCATTTGTCTTTCAAAAAATGTCAGGGTATGGATCTCTGTGTTTACACTATTGAGAGTTCATTTTTACTTCTTTCTTTATCTCTTTTTTTTTTTTAATTCTCATTTGAATCTAATTTTGGGTACCTTTTGATTTCTGATATAATTTTATCTTTTTCTCTCTTTCTTGAATTCAGCTTTCATTTTATTTCTTCTTTCCCATTCCCCTCTATTTCCGTTCTTGATTTTTGTTTTTGTAGTTCAAGGCTTTTTCATACTTACAAATATTTGTGTAAAAGTGTTTAATTCTGTTTGGAGTATTTTATGACAATTTCTTCAGCTTTGTGGTTGATTTTGTGGGGAGGGGTTTTGTTGACTAAAATGTCTCAACTCACATTTTCTGAGTTGTTCTCCAGCTTTTGTATGGATGTGGTCTGCTATTTGTATTCCTATTCATTTTGTAGTCAGTGCTCCTAGTTTGACAATTCTCTATTCTGATGTTTCTACCCTCTGAGTTGCTTTTATGGATGGTGTTGTTTGATAGTGTCAGGAAGACAAAAAATTGTGTGCTTTGTTTTTTTTGTTTCTTTAATTATTTTATTTAATTTAGTAAATATCTTTTCCTTTTCTCACATTCTACTTTTCTTTTACTGCTATATTTCCAAGGGTTACATCTCCTTTCCTGTACAACTGATTTTTCCCCTGAGTAATGCTTCTCAGAGACTGCTGCTTCTGGTGCCATCATCCTCAAACCCCTTCCCTTTAGCTGGTATTGTTAATTACCAAGTTCTCCCCTGTGATTAGTGTTTACTGCTGGATCTTTCTCTTTCTGGGGATGCTTTTGTTTGTACCATGTTTCAGTTATCTGTGCCTCTTTGATCTTTTCATAGTCTCTTAAGGATTGCCTCCTCCACTCTTTTCACCCACAGGCTTGTAGTGGTAGGTAGGCATCAGGAGCTCAGCTGGAGTTTTTTTTTCTCTACTTACAGAGAATTTGAGTGTCATGATATTCTCTCTCATAATACTGCTAAAGGAGTGGATTATGTATGATTTTATTTGCTCTCTTTGTTGGTTTTATGTTTTTTCACGGGGTGGAGGTTGAGTGGTAGATTCCAAATTAGGCAGTCACCATGAACCATTTAAAAAAAAAATTTGTTTTTTGAGATAGGATCTTGCTCTGTCGCCCAGGCTGGAGTGTAATGGCACAATCACAGCTCACTGCAACCTTTGCCTCCCAGGCTCAAGTGATCCTCCCACCTCAGCCTTCTGAGTAGTGGGACTATAAGTGAATGTCACCATGCCTGGCTACTTTTTGTATTTTTTTTTTTTAGAGATCGGGTTTCTCCATGTTACCCAGGCTGGTCTTGAACTCCTGGCCTCAAGTGATCTGCCCGCCTTGGCCTCCTAAAGTGCTGTAATTACAGGCATGAGCCACTGTGTCTGGACATTTTTAAAAATTTTAAATTTCTGAAATCAAGATATATCTTACAGTTATGTAATAAGAAAGCATTATGTCATAGTCTAAATGGTATGTGCTTTCTGATGTACATACCTTGTGGAGGTGTGTTTCTCTGGTACTATTTAAAAAGCACATTAATACTTATTACTTGTTTTTCTCACAATGTTCCTGTTGGGGTGGCAGGTCAGGTATTGATATTATTATTTCACAGGTGAATAAGTACAGGTCTGGTGTGACAGAAACATTTATAGCTATTCACCTAAAATGCATGATCTCCCTGGCTAGACCACATTTCTCAGGCCCTGGCTCCAACCTTACAATCAAGCATAGCCATTTGGCTAGTTCTAGACATTGGAATGTGAGTGAAAGTGAAATGTGTCACTCGTAGGCCAGACTCCTAAGAGGCAAGTGAGACTTCTCCACACTTGCTTTTCTTTTCCATTAGCTAAAAGCAGATAACTCTAAAGCTCTAGTGGATGGAGAAATTTTTAAAACTGGATGAGCCTGAATCCCTGAATAACTGTGTGGAGGAAAGTTGCTGCTGACTTGGAGTATTTGCATTGAACTGTCCTATGAACAAGAAACAATTTTCTATCACCAATGAAATGTTGGTATTTGTTCCACAGCTGATGTTATCTTAACTCGTATATCTGGAAATATTAAATGTCTTACACAATATCTCATAGTTAGTGAATAGTAGAATGATGGCTAAGACCCAGATCTCTTATCTCTTTGTTAAATGTTTTGATGGATCTCTATTGCATAGGTACCACGGGATCTTGGAACTGAGCATACTTTTTATAGAAAACTCTGAAAGTAGGTAAGTAGATAGTTGCATTAAATGCTCATTTAAAAATTATGTTTTAGATTTTGAAATAGGTAAAATGAATACATCCGTCCTGGATTCCTTATAAATCTGTGAAACTGATTTTAGAGATTATTGAGAAATAACAACTATTAGTAGGATAATAGCAGTTTTTTTTGTGGTACAAAACTGAAATGCACTTCTTAACAGTGAGACACCAACAGTGTGCATAATATTTTATCCCAGATGGCTCTCTCTTTTGCCAATTTTATGTGGAAATCAACAGCTTGTCTGGGAGAATGCCTAAATACCCTTTCAGGTCAAAGTTGTCGTTACATAACAATACACTCATGTGTTTTTCTCTAAGAAAAGACCTTCTAGGAAGGCTAGGATCATGCTAAAGTATAGTCTTCTCTGAAAAAAATTCAATTTAACAAAAGTATTACATTATATTATCCAGGGACTGATGATCTCATTTATGGATAATGGTCAACAATTTACTGTTACCAGGTTTTTGGTTAGTACTATTTTGGTTAGTACTCTTTCCAATATTTTCTTTTAAAATAGTTATCAGTCATTGGAGGAAATGATGTCAAAACTTCCACAAGTTTTTTTTTTTTTTTTTTTAATGCTTTCCTTGTCTGCTACTCTCTGTCCATTTCTGCAGTTTGCAGCTCTGTCTTGTACACAGCAGGGACCTGTTGCTACCTTAAACCTGACTCCAGGAAATGCATTTGGAGACTTTTTAGAAAAATCTCTCATTGGGTTCTCCATGGTAAATTTGGAGAGTTGGGGAGCTCTCTACTGCATATAAGATGGGTGGGTGCACAGAGTGTGACAGAAAAGCAAATGCACAGCCCTGTAGCAACTTTGAGAAAAGCTCTGATTCAGTCCTACATGGAGACATGCTGGTGGTTCCTCCTCAACTCCTTACTCCTCTATGGTTATAGTTTCTTTAAGTGCAAAAGTCCCATCTTCTCTTCGCTGTATAAGGCAAAGTCTACCCTTTGCATTCAGAAGAGTCCCGTGTGATGGGCAAGTATGCCCTACCACATCTGACAGGCAGGGAAGACTGAGGCAGTGTCTACTGGGCCCTGGTATGAATGGGTCTCTGTGAGGTTAGAAATGGAAGCACGAGTGCAATAGCATTTGTTGCGACTGGAGGGTCAGGCCAAGTCAGAGAGGGTACAGGAAAGTTCGGACTCAAAACCTGGGAAGACACAATGAGGCAAAGATCAAAGATGGGAATTGAAGTTAACTCTGTGAAGCCAAGTGCTCCGAAGGAAGATACCAATATAAGCAGAGTAGGATCAAGACTTAATTGAGTCTTTTGTCCCTGCTTAACGACTCAAGTTAACTTAGCCTCCTCCACCCCTTTTTTTTGGAATGGTATTTCCTTTAAGGACTTTCTTTAAGAAATTCCCGGTGGGGCGTGGTGGCTCACGCCTGTAATCCCAGCACTTTGGGAGGCTGAGGTGGGTGGATCACGAGGTCATGAGATTGAGACCATCCTGCCCAACATGGTGAAACCCTGTCTCTACTAAAAATACAAAAATTAGCTCAGCGTGGTGGCTTGCGCCTGTAGTCCCAGCTACTCGGGAGGCTGAGGCAGGAGAATCACTTGAACCTGGGAGGCGGAGGTTGCAGTGAGCCGAGATCACGCCACTGTACTTCAGCCTGGCGACAGAGCGAGACTCCATCTCAGAAATAATAATAATAATAATAATAAAAGAAAAAAGAAAAGAAATTCCCTGGCCAGGCGCGGTGGCTGACACTTGTAATCCCAACAGTTTGGGAGGCCAAGACGGGTGGATCACCTGAGGTTAGGAGTTCAAGACCAGCCTGGCCAACATGGTGAAACCCCGTCTCTACTAAAAATACAAAAATTAGCCAGGCCTGGTGGCAGGCGCCTGTAATACCAGCTACTCCGGAAGCTGAGGCAGGAGAATCGCTTGAACCCGGGAGGCGGTGGTTGCAGTGAGCCGAGACTGCGCCACGGCACTCCAGCCTGGGCGACAAGAGCAAGACTCCATCTCAAAAAAAAAAAAAATCCCTAGGGTTCCTAATTCTCTTTAAACCTTTCTAGTCTTTGTCCATTTACTATATGTATGTATGTATGTGTGTAGATGTGCTTCCCTATGGGGAAATACTTTCAGAGTTCTGGGGTGAGATGCCAGAAAGTACTGTTTCCGCTGCACACTTGACCAGGATTTTCTCTGACATCTTTGCATTCCTTCTCTGGGCAGTAGTATCAGCTTGGGTAGCTGTAAAGTCAAGCACTGGATTTGGGAGTGTGGATTCAGCTGGTAGATGAACTGAGAGACAAATTTTTGTCGAAAGAATGCTTTCCACAGTTGAAGAAGCCCTAGGAAACCGGGGTGGAAAAACCCTGCCTGACAGAGAGACTACAGAGCACTAGGTCTGGTAGCACAAGAGATTTTGACATCAGAATTACTGCTTTGCTGAAGGTGTTATCTGGGGAAGGAAATGCAATTAAAAGATCATAGTCTTAATCAATTTAACTCTCCTGTCCCTATGTGGCTTCCAGAAGAGAAAGTTTTCTTTAGTTTTATTTAACTAAAGAGAAAAAAAACCACAAGACCGCTATCAGATTCTCCTAGTTCTTTGCCCTAAAAATTCATTAACCGATAGTACTTGATAGAGCAGCTCAGAGCATAGGCAGACGCCAACTTCAAAGGCCGTAGTACTGACAGGTTAGACTGAAAGGCCAAAAGGGAGCTGGGGAGGGAGGGTGATATAGGGATTTCTGAAGAGGTTTTCTGAGAAAAAAAAAAAAAAAAAGAGAGAGAGAGAGGTAATAGAAAGCTGCTGAAGGCAGAAGAATTAAATGCAAGTGCCCGGTAGGAAATATTGGGAAGTTTGCATTCCTATCTGACCACTTTTCCCTCCCTTAGATTTTGAAACTATTCACAGTCAAGTTTAATACAATTGTATTAGGACTTATGTTATTGTGAAAAAAAAAGATGTTGGTTGTATAGGGCTCTGATTTTATTTTATTTTTGAGTCATCATTATTAATACAAACATCATCAACAGCCTAGATTTATATATTGGTCTGTAAGAACAATTTTGGAAGACACACACATTAACTTTCTAGGACAGTTTTTCACCTCAAAATGATATTTAAGTGATACTTTTATCATCTCCTAAGTGAATGTTGTTCGCAAAATTATCCTTTATTCTTTCCTTACAGTTTCATATTTTCTTTGGTAAGGACAATGCTCATAGTCCCAGAAGCAAACAGAAATTAGGCTGATTCTGAAAGAAAGTATTTAAGAAACCCTAATAACATAAAAATAAACACTAATAACATAAAATAAAATAAAAATAACATAAAATAAAATAACATAAAAATAAACACTAATAACATAAAAATAAACATTTTTTTTATTTTTCTAATAAAAAAATGATGGTCTCAGTTCTTTCCTTCTTCAGAATATTGATGTCATTGCTTGAATTCTGAGTTGTTACCTTGCTTTGTTAATTATAGGCCATGCCTAAGGAAAATTTTATTGGCTTATTAAAGATTTTTAGGCCCAAAGATATATTCAGCCTGCATCACCAATGATAAGAAGTCTAGCAAAAATCCTATCATCCTCTCCTAACAGTTTGTTTTGAAAATTGGAGTTTTATCCAATGTGAAGTTTATCTACATGTGATCACTTGCCCCTGCTCAGGTCTTTGAACACAAGTGAATCTGAAGAATCCTAGCTCATGGATGTGGGTTAGGTGTTGCTGTTTTCTTTGTTCAGAAAATATTGTCTAGGGTAACAAAATTACATAGAGTACTTTTTAAGCATACACAGAAGAAGAACTTGGCTGTTGATGAAGCTTTTGGTCCATAGTTCATTGAGTTTATGTAGAAACTCAGCTTCATTTTAATTCCACCAGATCTGGAGTTTAGTTTGGGCTTTCCTGTCACAAGTAGAGAGCACATAGGCAGAGAATGTATGCCTTTTAGGAACATCACCTTCTGTTTTTTTGCTTTCTCTTTATGAATTTCATGCATGGATATTTAAAACTTTGGATAGTAAATGATCTCCATAACAAAATCTTTCATTTGAGGATGTAGTGAACTCAGTTTTAGTCATGCCAAATGCTGGTTTTGAAATTTAATGTTATTTGGCCACAAATAATTATTTGCATTTTTGAGATGAATTATGGTTCTACCACAAATGCTGAAAGAAATGATAGAATGATAATGTGTTCTTTAGAGTGAAATTTGAGTTGGAAATAGATTGATATGAAAAGGACAAATATTCCATTGAAACCCACTATGGGTGTTTGTAAAACTGCTCAGTGATTGCTAAGTGTTTATTAATTTTTTCTAGTTATTCTTCTCAATATACTTCTCAAGTGGGCTGCATTACTATTTTTTATGCTTTAATTGTTAGAATCTAGTTTATCAGGGCTGATACCAGGGCTGACAGTAAAAGTATGAGAGATAAAAATTCCTAATATAAATAAGTAAATGAATAAACAAGCAAATAAGTAAAAAAAAAAAAAAAAAAAAAAAAGGTGAGTAAATGAACAAATGAATGAATAAATAAAAATAAATAGAAAGTCTGTTGGGAATGACCTCTTCAGATAATTCTCACAGTGACCCAACTATTATACTGTGAATGGCTGAGGAACTATCATTTGGTACAAAATGGCTATTTTTTTTTAACTTTCATTTTAACTTCTGGGGGACATGTGCAGGATGTGCAGGTGTGTTACATAGGTAAACGTGTTTCATGGGTGTTTGTTGTACAGATTATGTCATCACTCAGGTATTAAGCCTAGTATCCATTAGTTATTCTTCCTCATCCTCTCCCTACTCGCGCCCTCTGCCCTCCAGTAGGCCCCAGTGTCTGTTGTTCCCCTCTGTGTGTCCATGTGTTCTCATCATTTAGCTCTCACTGTATAATTGAAAACATGCAGTATTTGGTTTTCTGTTCCTGCATTAGTTTGCTGAGGATAATGGCCTCCAGCCCTATCCGTGTCCCTGCAATTGACATGATCTTATTCTTTTATATGGTTGCATATTAGTCCATGGTGTATATATACCACAATTTCTTTATCCAGACTATCATTGATGGGCGTTTAGGTTGATTCCGTGTCTTTGCTATTGTAAATCGTGCTGCAATGAACATACGTGTGCATGTGTATTTACAATAGAATGATTTATATTCCTTTGGGTATATACCCAGTAATGGGATTGCTGGGTTGAATGACATTTCTGTCTTTAAGTGTTTGAGGAATTGTCATACTGTCTTCCACAATGGTTGAACTAATTTACACTCTCAAATACAGTGTAAAAGCATTCCTGTTTCTCCACAACCTTGCCAGTATCTGTTATTTTTTGACAAAACGGCTGTTTATACTTGAAGAATAATAAATGTATTCTGTATTTTTTAAACATCATCGATAAGAACAATGCTATGTGCAACTCCACCAGGTGGTTTACAAACTTTGTATCACTTATATTTCCAGGCATTCGTGTAGCATGCTCTACCCAAATGAAAACTAAATTCATAATAAGGAGACCTGGATTTGAATTCTGGTTTGCCATGTTATTTGCATGACTGTCAGTAAATCACCTAATTTTTCTAAGACTCAGTCTTTTCTTGTATAAAATGGACATGATAATAATCCTCTCATAAGGATGATTTTGAAGACAAACCCTAATAATGGTTATTAAGGTGTGTTGTAAACTGGAAAGACCTATAGAAATGGTAAGAATTATCAGGTATTACAACTATCACTTTTTTCACACAGACAAAATGTGAAGGTGCCACTGGGTGGGCATTGAGCCCATTAGGTTATTATTGTTACAAATTTGAAGACAATAGAAACCTGGTAAATGAACGTTAACTGTGTTTATGTTTAAATAATTTCCCTTAACAATGTATTACATGTATTACATAATCTGATAATTAAACATGTTATTAAATATTAAATTTATTTAAATTTACATAAATTAATTAAATTATTTAAATAATTAAATTTATAATTATATATAATTATTATAACTATTACATATAATTATATATATTTTTTATATATTACATATAATATGTATTATAAAATATATAATATGTATTATAAAATATATAATATATATTATAAAATATATAATATGTATTATAAAATATATAATATATATTATAAAATATATAATATGTATTATAAAATATATATGTATTATAAAATATGTAATATGCATTATAAAATATATAATATATATTATAAAATATATAATATGTATTATAAAATATATAATATAAAATATATAATATGTATTATAAAATATATAATATGTATTATAAAATATATAATATATTATAAAATATGTATTATATATTAAATATATAATTATTAAAGAATTATTAAATATATAATTATTAAAAATTTAATATATAATTATTAAATATTAATTGGTAATTGGTTATGTTATATAAGTAATAATTAAAATATTAGTATACAATTTTGAATTCCATTCTCATCTGTGAGGTTAAAAATCAGCAGAGGGGAACCCTTTGTGAGTTACAAGGAAAGTGTAAGAAACGAGTACCCTCACACAGGATTTAAGTGCTTTTGCAATAGAACTTTGAAATCCTGATGTAGTGCTTTAAAAAAGGCGGTGCCTGGGGATAAGGGGATATGCATAACCAGACCTCTTCGTATTTGATTGGCTCACATATCTGCACTGAGACACTTACCTATGTAAATACCTGAGATACTTAACCATTTAAGAGAATTTTTGGTTTGTTTTAACTGCCAGACTGGAAGGAGAGTAAAAAGCCAGGTAGTTCTATCTAGTGAAGTTGATTATTGCTACCTTACATGACATAAACCAAAAATGATAAACACTCATTAAAAAAATTAAACCTACAATGAATTAATGAAGTGGATAAATCCTCAACTCCATCCACATGAGTCCATTGCAGATCTCATGATGAAACTACCGTTTCCCAACCAAGCAGAAACCACTGAACACATCCCTCATCAAACTACCCTGGGGCTTGGTCTGCAGATTCCAAGTGTCATATACCACTGCTCTTTATTTTCAATAAGCAAATGCTTCTACAGCAGTGGGCCAGGAGGGGAAAGATGGCTTGCTTTCAACCCAAAAGGAACACTAGTCCTGCTTGTGGAGTGAACTCCGCTGGGGTGCGGCAAGGGAGGATCTGCTCAGAGTCCCAGGAATCTGGCTCAGAAACACGGAGACCATTGTCTTTAGAGGCAACAAAAGGGGTTATTGAAAAAACCAACTTTAATATAAAGCCAAAAATCTGTGCTCATCATTTTGTGTTTATTTGGCATTCAAATATGGCAGTCATTCTCAGCTCTTGCTGCTGTTTATATTTAAAGGAGGCCCACAGCCATGGAATGGGAGCCAGCTTTCAATATCTCACTCTTAAAAAAACAAAAACAAAAAAAATCCCTGTATCATTTCTACTCATGTGTCCTTTGACTTCCTGTCTGAACCTTTGGGGCTGGGGAGATGGTGGTGAGTGACAGATCAGCAGGCTTCTTAACACCAGAGCCTGAGAACTCTCCCGGACAATTCTTTCATAACCAGATACACATTTGTGTTTACTTGGAGGAGGGGGACAACATTCCTTTGGCATTGGGTCAGATTTTCTTGTCTGCATATATATATATATATATATATATATATATATGTTTTTCTGGTTCTAGTTGGGCAATTTCTGTTAAATCTCAGCAACAGTGGAGTGTAATCATTGTGGAGTTTATTTCAGCTTCTTGGTTGGCAGTTACATTGGCCTCTAATCATGAGTGGTGGAGGAACTGCTGCAATTACATAACCTTTACCCTAACTGCCTGAGGAATGACAGTTGGAGGGGAGGGGAAGGTGATGGAGTGGGGCTGGTAACCTAGGAAGGGGCAAGGGTCACTACAATGTTAATTGGTGTCTGCAGATCAGACCCATTTTTCTATAGTGAATAATTTAAAAACAATGTCATTCATTAAATGAACCAATGCCCTTGACTTCTTAAAAGAGGTGAAGGGAATTAATCACAGTAAGTTCTCTGAACATAAAAATTAACTAAGTTTATAGTGCTGGAACTGATGTGTGTGCGATAACAGTACATTATATTTGAAAGGTGAGTTATATTTCTTCATAGTGCTTTTCATTTATATGATCATAAATTACTATATATTTGTATTTTATTGTATTACTTTATTTGATCATCACAATAAATCTGTAAAGAATTTAGAGCAAGCATCCATATCCTCAATGAGAAGTTTATTGAAAATAAGAAGTTACGTGATTTGCCTAGGGTCAAGTAAGCCAGTCTCCTACTTGATGCTTGGTGCCCCTTGATTTTTCAATGTTATCATTTAACTTTATGGAATGTTAGTCCCTTAGCCAAACTTAATGATTCAACAGTTGTAATACAATCAAACAACTATATGTCATCCAGTGAAAATCTCTATAGCACATCCCTGTTCTTTAATGTACCCAGTTTTAACCTGGAAAAAAAAGAAAAATGCTGCGGAAACATCACTGCTGCTTATTGTGGGTCCAAGTGATGGCACATGATACATTCCTTTCTATTCCATTTTCTTTTCACCATCAAAACAGATTTTTACTTGATTTCAGTGGTCTTTTCTTTAATTCTCTTTTGAATTAGCTTAGGGCAAAGTCTCTCTTGTCCACCAAACCTTAACTTTGAAAGAGTTGCATTTCTTTAGACCAATATTTTGCAGGTTACAACAAAACCCAAATGTCACCTCTTTCCATCCATATTAAAAATGCTCACAATATATGCTCACAATAATGAGTCTTCCCAGTCTAAAGTGGTTGCTGTAGTCCCTGGCCTAAGTAATCCACTCAAAGTCCTTTCTTGACCACATTTCTAATGACCCAATGAAAGCTGATGAACAGAAAGTAATTATAGGATCCTATGAAATCCCAGTAGGCCAACTACCCATCTGAAGTGTAACTATTCTATGAGTGTTGTGAACCACATTGGTCCATAAAGAAAGAACCTGGAGTGGCTCATGCCTGTAATCCCAGCACTTTGGGAGGCCGAGCCAGGTGGACCATCTGAGGTCAGGAGTTGGAGACCAGCCTGACCAACATAGTGAAACCCCGTATCTACTAAGAAATACCGAAAAACCTAACCAGGCATGATGGTGCTCACCTGTCATCCCAGCTACTCAAGAGGTTGAAGCAGGAGAATTGCTTGAACCCAGGCAGCAGAGGTTGCAGTGAGCCGAGATTGTGCCGCTGCACTGCAGCCTGGGCAACAGAGCAAGATTCCGTCTCAGAAAAAAAACAAAAAAAAAAAAAAGAGAAAGAACCTGGAGGCTCCTTCCACCTCAAAGGAGTTATCTCAGTAAATATTTGTTGATGCTAAACCTCATAATGGGAAATGTTTCTCTTTGTTCATCTTCCCAAATAGACATTTTATGGAATGTTGAATGTAAACATTTGAGGGATTCAGTAAAACTCCAGCTATGAGCACTTCCTGCCTCCAGCCTTTTGTTTGTTTTCCAGTGAGAATGTATAGTAACCCATTTCAAACTCTGGCTCGCATTTTTCTAGTGAAGGCTCCCCTGGAGGTAGGACTGCCAGGGCAAGAATTAGCCAGATTGTAATCTTTGTGTCTAGCAGTCTGACATCACTTGTAAACTCTGCCAAAATTCCTTTGGAAACAGATGTTCCTAGAGAGGGAATGGTAATCATTTATTCTCTTACATTTGTTCAGTAAATGCTGATTTGTGGAAAATACAAGGATTTAGGTTACGGTTAGAAACAATTCACTAAGGATATACCATTTCAGATAGAATAACCATTATTATTCCAAAACATTTTTTCTTCTTTCCCAGCATTTCTCATGCTTGAATTCAGGCTTTCCCATCTACTTAGAGTCAGGAACAGTCACATATATGCTCTCCCATGCTCCACCTGAAGTGGCTCCTGTATCAAGCTGTAGGCGAGTAATTTACATATCCTGGTAATATTTTCTAGTCACTAGCCTAGCATACAATATAAACTTTAAGCCCTCCTCCTTGTGATTTGCAAATTATCTCTTTCATCCAAAAAAGTGGAATGATAACATAAAACTCCAAAAAGGATCATTTTTTTGATGACTGACTTATAAACAAGGAAAACTCTGGGTCTCATATCATCACTGTGATCATAAGGTCCTTGGGCCACTATAATGAATGGATGTATATTGATATATGTATCAGAAAAATACTGCCTCTGATATAAAAATATCAAGGATTTAAATTTTTTATTTTTGTGTTCAAGGAATACATGCTATATGGAACATAAAGCTGAGTGAAACTGATATAAGACTGATTTGTGCTTGCCTAAATCTCTACACAAAAATTCTTTCTTTATTGGTAGTTACCATTGAACTGAAAGTATTTTCAGTTGAATTTTCATCTGAATGAATAATCAGCTACTGGTAAGGATGAAAGTTCGTTTAGAGGTGAACTCTTTAGTAACTGCTGAAGCATCTTACCAGGGAAGTCTTGGAGATCTTTTATGTTATTTGTGGTTTGTTCTGTAGTTTTGGGATCATCAGAATTTGCTTATTATGTATTTCAAACTCTGAATTATTAAAGAACTAAAAATAAATTATATTAGGGCAAGTTTCCTCCAGAAATTGCAGGATAGGGGCGTTCAATAATGTAATATATGAATCCCACTATATGTTAGTAACTTTTTCCAGAAATGTCAAGATGCTACTTTTATTGTGAACAGAAGTCTTTACAGCATTTATTAGTCTTTGATTCAATAAATGGAAAAATCTCTAAGGGCCAGATTGTATATTTCCTCTGTAGATTCCAAGCTCACATGTGTCTTTCCAGAGTCAGTTTCAATGCCCCACTGAGTTTCCAGGGGGTGGGATGGGCAGTGGACAGAACAATGCAGTGGTGAAAACAGGGCTGCATCTCAGCCCTTCTATGTAAATTCATGTCTGAATAATTTGATTCTGTTCTTACATGAACTAAATGATGTCCTCCCTTCAAAGAAAATGGGAGGACAAGTTAATGATCTAGTCAAAATTTTGGAGGTGGCCTCAAGAATAAATTGATTCTCATGGCCAATCACTGTCTTTAAAAAAATCTCAATATCAGTTATTGAGATTCAACTTCATTTTAATGGACTCTACTATCTAGTTGTGTAAAAAACTCGAATCCTTAGGCCATCTCATTTTAGAAACACCAAAGTAAATCCACAGGTGTTCTCATTTTAGATACCTTCAATTGAATTCTGCAGCTAATGCATTCCAGCAAGACATCAGAATGAAATCCTTCTAAAAATTAAGCTTTTGATAAAAAAGATATGTTCATGGTAGAATAAACATTTTTTTGTCCTCAAAATGTCCCACTCTAGATTAACAACTTACATGCTGTATGATGCAGAATTCAGCTGAAAATGGTTACCTGCTGGACTGCTTGAGCATCTGTTTTCTAGGGTGACCAATGTTTTGATCTGACGGGAACTGAGGATTTCTCAGGAGTTGGGGCTTTCAGTGCTAAACTGGGTCAGTCTGAGGCAAGCTGCTGAGTCACTTTCTGAGAAAAGTTCTGGCTCTGTTGTCAGGTATTTTTGTAGCTCAGGGATCAGAATACAAATCAGTGTCTCCACTTCTCAGAACAAGCATCACTTCCACCTAATTTTAGAGCACATGGGTTGCCTCATCAACCTCCTGTTTCTAGTGCTTACCAAGGTTTATTCCAAACAGACTTTCCTCTATTCCAAAGCTTTCATGAAAGATCCTATGACCACTGATATTTAGAAACATAGCCCAAGGAATACTCTGTCCTCCTTATTTTCTTCATTTTTTCTATAATTTTTGCTCAATCGCTTTGCATCAGGCATTGGGTTATGTGATGTTTCCAGTGAGGGCAGACACTGCCTACCATGGGGTTAGAATCTGATAAGGCAAATGAGTGAACAAGCACTATTAACAAAGCTTTGTCCCTTCATCAGGCCTGGTCAGACCAGGCCAAAGCTATGGTCCTAGGATAAATTCTGTCAGTTTTGTACAACTCATCTTCACAGATTTGCAATTTAGCATTATGCTAAGTGGTCATATGAAGAAGAACGACTTTGCGCTTTTTCAGAAAAAAAATTGACAACTGTCCCTTACACAGTTCAATATTCATTAAACAGAGATCTGTATAATGCAATCAGCTCTTCATATCTGTGGGCTCTTCATCCACAGATTCAACCAGCCACAGATAACAAATATTCAGAAAAAACAATAAAAAAAATACAAATTTAAAAAAATACGGTAAAACAACTATTTGTATAACATTTACATTGTAGGAGTGTTGTAGGTAATCTAGAGATGATTTAAACTGTATAGGAGCACGTGCATAAGTTCTATATAAATACCACATTATTTTACATCAGATACTTGAGCACCCAGGGATTTTGGTATCAGTTGGTGGGGTGGTTCCTGAAACCTATCCTTGGTGGATACTAAGGGACAACTGAGAGAGTTCATGGCTGGGAAATCATCTGTCTCTGCAGTTGAACAAATATGCTTCCTTGTAGTGGACAGTGAGAGCCAGGAAATGAATATAAGTTTGACATGCAGTTTTCAGTATCTTTTCTTAGTCTTGATTTAGTTTTCTGGTAAAATGATATTCTCATTTTTATAGTGTTAAAATATTTTAATCTCTCTCCATCAAGGGCTCTCTTTGCAACAGAGGGAGAATATTTCTTTTCTTCCATATACTAACCCCTTCAAAGACAGCATTCTTTTTATATTTAAGGCTATAAAGGGGCCAAGCATGATAGCTAACACCTGTAATCCCAGCACTTTGGGAGACCAAGGTGGGTGGATTGCTTGAGCCCAGGAGTTTGAGACCAGCCTGGGCAACATGGTGAAACCCTATCTCTACAAAAAATACAAAAATTAGCCAGGTGTGGTGGCATACACTTGTGGTCCTAGCTACTTGGGAGGGTGAGGCAGGAGGATCACCTGAGACTTGGAGGTCAAGGCTGCAGTGAGCTGAGATTGTGCCACCGTACCACTGTGCAACAGAATGAGAACCTCTCTCAATAAATAAATAAATAAATAAATACTAGCTGGGCATGGTGCCACATGACTGTAGTCCCACCTACTTGGGAATCTGAGGTGGGAGGATCGCTTGAGCCCAGAAGATAGAAGCTGCAATGGGCTATGATTGCACCACTGCACTCCAGCCTAGGTGACAGAGTGAGAACTTGTCTCAAAAAAAAAAAAAAAAAAAAAAAAAGACTATAAATGATTTTGGTTTTCAGAGGACCATTTTTCTGAAATTGACTATGAATCAGAAAAAAGTTCTTGCCCTAAGCTTCTCTAGCATTCTACAACCAGGACCACCCTCTTATTCCTGACTTTTGCCAATGAAATCTTAGGGGAAGGTTTTGAGAATGGGTGGTTCTTAGTGTACATCACAGCACTGCTGCAGAGTCTGATGTCTTAGAAAAATATTTGGTACTGAAAATATCTCTTCACCTTTCCCTAGTCTTCCAGTTCTCTTTTACTGGCACAAATAGTGTTTAAAACAAAAATTATCATATTTAATATGTGTTGCTAGGATGACCAGAAGACAGCAGCAGGAATTAAACTAAAGCCAAGAAACTGAGCACAGCTCCTTGGACAAATCTTAATCTTGGCTGATGCCATATCTGGTGGGGGTGAGCTGAAGTGTACTTCACTGTGCATAGAGAGAGAAACCTGCTTTTGAAACTCCTTCCAGAAGCATACTATCTTTTCGTAAGTGGGAAATGTCTTGTGTTTTGCCTTGTGTTTCTTGTTTGATGGCATGCCTGGGTCTTCTTTCTTATTTTTACCTTGTCTGCAGATTTTTCCACCACAAAGAGAGCTCCCAGATGATTATGCACTCTTCTGCCCAGTGAACAAAAGGAAGCATAATCTGGACTAACTACAGGTTGAATATCCCAGGTTCTTCTCAGGTTATGGTTGGCTGAGCTATACTTATTGAACACCTGCTGTAAATAACCATCATGAAGATGAAGCCTTGTAGGTTCCAATTGTGGTTTACCCACAGAGTGTTCTGGGCAAATCACTCTGTGATTCTGTTTTCCGTGTCATTAAAAGAGGAGAGTATTACCACCCTCCTAAAATGGGTATTGTGAGGATTAAATGGAAACAAAATAGGTTTTGTGGAAATTGTAAATGTTACCTTAACACTACACCAATGTTAGTTATTTTTTCCCAGTATCTGAAATTTGGGAGGAAAGAATAAAAGACAGAAAAATGAAAAAGAAGAGGAAGAGAAGGAAGAAGAGAGGGTGTGTGGATTTTGACCTTGAGATGCTTATACATGTGTGGCAGAGAAACAAAACAAATGACATGAAATGATGCTGTAAATTGGGAAACTTTATACATTTAGTTGGCTCTGCTGATTGTTCTAATTACCAGTTGATATGGTTTGGCTGCATGCCCACCCAAATCTCATCTTGAATTGTAGTTCCTATAATCCCCATGTGTCATGGGAGGGACCTGGTAGGAGGTAATTGAATCATGGGGGTGGTTTCCCTCATGCTATTCTCGTGATAATGAGTAAGTTCTCACAATATCTGGTGGCTTTATAAGGGGCTTCCCCCTTCACTCAGTTCTCATTCTTTTCTCTCCTTTTGCTATGTGAAGAAGGACATGTTTGCTTCTCCTGCCATGGCTGGAAGTTTCCTGAGGCCTCCCCAGCCATCCTGAACTGTGAGTCAATTAAACCTCTTTCCTTTATAAATTACCTAGTCTTGGGTATGTCTTTATTAGCAGTGTGAGAACTAACTAATACAGTTAATTGGTACTGAGAGTGGAGTGCTGCTATAAGGATACCTGAATGTGGAATGCAACTTTGGAACTTAGTAACAGGCAGAGGTTGGAACAGTTTGGAGGGCTCAGAAGTAGATGGGAAAATGTGGGAAAATTTGGAATTCGTAAAGTCTTGAAGGGCTCAGAAGACAGGAAGATGTGGGGTAGTTTGGAACTTCCTAGAGACTTGTTGAATGGCTTTGACCAAAATGCTGATAGTGATATGGGAAATGAAGTCCAGACTAAGGTGGTCTCAGATGGAGATGGGAAACTTGTTGGCAACTGGAATAAAGGTCACTCTTGCCATGCAAAGAGACTGATGGCATTTTGCCCCATCCCAGAAATCTGTGGAACTCTGAACTTGAGAGAGGTGATTTAGGGTATCTGGCAAAAGACATTTGTAAGTGGCAAAGCATTCAAGAGGAAGAATAGCATAAACGTTTGGAAATTTGCAGCCTGACTATTGTGATAGAAAAGAAAACCCCATTTTCTGGGGAGAAATTCAAGCAAGCTGCAAATATTTGCAAAGGTAGCAAGAAGCCTAATGTTAATCACCAAGACAATAGGGAAAATGTCTCCAGGGCATGTCAGACACCTTCACAGCAGCCTCTCCCATCACAGGCCTGGAGGCCTAGGAAGGAAAAATGGTTTCCTAGGCCAGGTCCAGGGCCTCCCTGCTGTGTGCAGCTTTGGGACTTGGTGCCTTGCATCTCAGCTACTGTAGCTGTGGCTAAAAGGGGCCAATGTACATCTCAGGCAAGAGGGTGCAAGCTCCAGGCCTTGGCAGCTTCCACGTGGTGTTGAGCCTGTGGGCACACGTAAGTCAAGAATTGAGATTTGGGAACCTCTGCCTAGATTTCAGAGGATGTATGGAAATGCCTGGATGTCCAGGCAGAAGTTTGCTGCAGAAGAACCTCTGCTAGGGCAGTGCTGAGGTGAAATGCAAGGTTGGAGCCCCCACACAGAGTCTCCACTGGGGCACTGCCTAGTGGAGCTGTGAGAAGAGGGCCACTGTCCTCCAGACCCCAGAATGGTAGATCCACTGACAGCTTGCACCATGCACCTGGAAAAGCTGCAGACACTCTATGCTAGCTGGGATGGGACTGTACTCTGCAAAGCCACAGGGGTGGAGCTGCCCAGGGCTGTGGGAGCCCACCTGTTGCATCACTGTGACCTGTATGTGAGATATGGAGTCAAAGGAGACCATTTTGGAATTTTAAGTTTTAATGACTGCCCTATTCGATTTTGGACTGGCATGGGGCCTATAGCCCCTTTGTTTTGTCCAATTTCTCCCATTTGGAATGGGCATATTTACCCAATGTCTGTACCCCCATTGTATCTAGGAAGTAACTAACTTGCTTTTGATTTTACAGGCTCATAGGCAGAAGGGACTTGCCTTGTCTCAGATGAGACTTTGGACTTGGACTTTTGAGACCATACTGGAATGATTTAAGACTTTGGGGGACTATTGGAAGGACATGATTATTTTTTGAATTGTGAGGACATGAGATTTGGGAGGGGCCAGGGGCAGAATGATATGGTTTTGCCATGTCCCCCCGCCCAAATCTCATCTTGAATTATAGTTCCCATAATCCCCACATGTCATAGGAAGTATCTGGTAGGAGGTAATTGAATCATGGGGGTGGTTCCCCCATGCTATTCTTGTGATAGTGAGTTCTCAGGAGATCTGATGGTTTTATAAGGGGCTTCCCCTGCACTTGGTTTTTCATTCTTCTGTCGCCTGCTGCCATGTGAAGAAAGAAGTGTTTGCTTCCCCTTCCATCATGGTTGGACGTTTCCTGAGGCCTCTCCAGTCATGCTGAGCTGTGAGTCAATTAAACCTCTTGCTTTTATAAATTACCCAGTCTCAGATATGTCTTTATTAGCAGCATGAGAATAGATTAATATACCAGTCAAGTGTTTGCCTCAAAAAAACCCTAAAAATTATGGTACTTCCTGGAAGGACATTTATTTTGTTGTTATGAAGAAAAAAAAAAGAGGCAAGATAGTTCAGAAAATAAGAGTGGTAATCTGGTATGTTTTACAAAAGGATCTAATATACCCAAATTTTCTATCATATGGAATAGCAATTTAACCTCATAAAAACTCATCTCCTTTTTATTTAATTCGAATAGCTAAAATTTAAAAATGCCAGTTTGTTTAAAAACATTTCACATTTAACTCTTACAACTTTTGAGACAGACATGTTACTTTTACACTTTAATACTTTGGTTGTAAAAATAATTCATGTTTACTTTAGAATATGCAGAAAATATAGATGGAGGAAAGAATATTTTAAAAATTTATCCAAAATCCTTTACCCAGGAATAATCACTGTTAATACCAAAAAATATTTTCCACCTTTTTTTTCTATTTAAAAATCAAAATTATATTCACGTGGCATAAAAAGTTTTCATCCTCCCCAAATTTCCTTTCTCAGAAATAACTAATTCCACCTCTTTTTAAAGCTTTTTGTTTTTGTATTTACCTCATCTTTAAATAACATATTTGTGTTTCTTCTTGTTTTATAAATTTTAGGCATTGTCTGTGGACTTCCCATTATGGAAAATGGCAGAGAAGTTAGCTCTGCCCCTCTACCATTGTATATGTATATATCTCATCTCCCATCTTCTCCATAGAGATTTTGGTTGATTAACATGCTGTGCTTACATTATTATATTGCATATGCTATTTGGAGATGAGATTCAAAGCTGAGATATATGGCTTACTATGATTAGTCTTTTTTCCTTCTTTCTTTCTTTCTTTCTTTCTTTCTTTCTTTCTTTCTTCTTTCTTTCTTTCTTTCTTTCTTTTTTTTTGAGACAGAGTTTCGCTCTTGTTGCCCAGGCTGGATTGCAATGGCGATCTTGGCTCACTTTAACCTCCGCCTCCCAGGTTCAAGCGATTCTCCTGCCTCAGCCTGCCAAGTAGCTGGGATTACAGGTGCCTGCCACTATGCCTGGCTAATTTTTTGTATTTTTAGTAGAGACAGGGTTTCACCATGTTGCCCAGGCTAGTCTGGAACTCCTAGCCTCAGGTGATCCACCCACCTCGGCCTCCCAAAGTGTTGGGATTACACATGTGAACCACTGCGCTGGGCCTTATTAGTTTTCTTGAACAATTTGGGGATGAATAATTACCTAGCTTTTCCTTTTTAGTTATTTGCTAGATGTAAATAAGGGTTAATGCAGGTTTTTCTCAGCATGGCCATCATACAATTTTGGGAATCCGCTAAGAAATGCAATTGCAAATTTTCAAAAAGTGAAAGGAACTTGGATCCCTAAATCAATACTTGGAGGAGAGCTGCCTACTAATCAGGAACTCCCATTTTGGGGTTTAAGTCATTGTTCTATGTAGGTTTAATTTTGTAACAGCTGGGATTATTGTATTTAATTTCTGCACCATAGACCACTTTTCTTCTAGGGTTTTTTTTTCTTTTTTTCTTTCTCTTTGTTTTGGTCTCTAACATTTATGTTAAAGGATCTACTCAAATATCTGGTTATACTTGATTGTCTGCTCGTGTTTAAAAGTGGGGGTCTAAATAGCTGATCTGTAGTCTCAGCATATGAGTGGAGCTGATTGAACATGAGCTTTACTTTAGGGTGCTCTGCTTGGGCCCACGTCAGTATGTTTAAGGCTTTTCTTTTGGATTGGTCAGATGCCCCAAAGAAGGCTCTTTCATCTCTGATCTGAAGGTAAAGGTCTGACTGCCAGTGTTCTGTGTGTTGAGTGGAGAAATTTGGCTGGAGGGTCTCAGAATTTACGACGTACAGGATTACAAAATCCCCGTGTGTCTGTATGATACTCATCCTTCAGTTAGGCCTGGTATCCTCTAGAGTAGACCAGACCCCCTCTATCTTGCCCTCTCTGTAGTATGAACCTCTTGTTTTCACCAGAGTGGGAGGACAGTCACCCAGTGGGGTGAAGCAGAGAAGAGGATCTAGGATCTGTTTCCTCAGAAGCTTTCAACAAATCCTGTTGTCTGTCCCATTTTCAGAGGTACCTGGTGCCAGTTCCTGAGACTTGAGGATTCTGGTTGGTTCTCAGCACAGGAGTCAGCCTGCTCTGATTTGCTAGGTCAGTGACCATGTGCTCATTTGCTTTCCAGTTACCAAAATGTTATTTCCTCTTCCATTTCCTCCAAATGTGTTCCTTTTAAAGATATTACCCAGAGGCTCGCTCCTACTCTTTTTTCTGTGCATATTTCTACATAGTTGTATGTTTCATATAAATTTTTTGAATGCTACTTTAATGATTGTTCATAGCAGATACAAGTGTTTGATCCTGTTATTAAAAGTTCTTCAGTCATTTATAGAGCAGCTTTATCAAGATTTAATTCACACATCATACAATTCATCTACTTAAAGTGTACAAATTAGTGATTTTTTTGCATATTCACAGTTGTGCAACCATTAACATAATCAATTTAAAAATATTTTCATCATCCCCCCAAAAAGAAATCCCATATTCACTAGTAGTCATTCTCCCTTTCTCCATAATACTAAGCAGACACTAATCTACTTGCCTCTATGGATATGAATATGGGTGTTCTGGACACTTCATGTAAATGGAATGACACAATATGTGGTCTGTTTTGACTGATTTATTTTACCTAGCATAGTCTTTTAAAGGCTTATCCATGTTGTTTCATGTATCAGTATTTCATTCCTTTTTTTTTTTTTAAAGGAGTCTCACTCTGTCACCCAGGCTGGAGTGCAGTGGCGTGATCTCGGTTCACTGCAATTTCTGCCTCCTGGGTTCAAGTGATTCTCCTGTCTCATCTTCTTGAGTAGCTGGGATTACAGATGCGTGCCACCACACTCAGCTAATTTTTTGTATTTTTAGTAGAGACGAGGTTTTGCCATGTTTGGCCAGGCTGGTCTCAAACTCCTGACCTCAAGTGATCTGCCTGCCTTTGCCTCCCAAAGTGCTGGGATTACAGGTATGAGCTACCGCACCCTGCCCATTTCATTCCTTTTTATTGTCAAATAATTATTACATTGTATGTTTATACCAAATTCTGTTTATCCATTCATCAGTTGATGGACATTTGAATTGTTTTCACATTTTTGTTATTACGAATAAATGCTAGTATAAATATTTATGTACATATTTCTGTGTGGACACATTTTCATTTTCATAGGAGTAGAATTGCTGGGTCATATGGTAACTCTATGCTTAACATTTTTCGGAATCGTCAGACTATTTTCCAAAGTAGTTCCATCATTATACATTCTCACCAGTTCACAGTCATTTTAATGTCTATGCATACATATTTATTTGTGCAAAATATTGCATTGTTTAGATATACCATGATTCAGTTAACTATTTTCTGTTGTCAGATTTTTAAGTATTTATATTTGTGTCTAACAAGTTTAATTTCTTTGAAAGTCCATGATGTGGTGCTATTGAGTTGCAGAGTATGAATGTTTTGGAATCTCTCTTCTACCTCCCTTCATTGCCCAACCCCTCTGCCTGACTACCCAACCATACACAATCTTTTCACAAGTGCATATTCTTGGTAGCAGATAGTCCACTTTCCTTAGCATTGACTGACTTTATTAAAAGTCTTTGCTCATTTAGTAGGTTTTTAAAGAGGTATAGCAGTGTTTTAAAATCCAGTCATTTTATTCCTAAATAGGCTGGATATATTTTTTCATATTTATCTTGGAGGTAATTTACTTTTGTGTGAATTTTCTGAAAACAAAAAAACTATCACCTTCATTTTATAAATGAGGGTCATAAACTTCAGAAAGGAAAAAGGGAAAGGAAATGACAGTTGTTGAACTTCCATCATGTTCTGGAACCTTGCTAGGTGCTTTGCATGTACCTTTTCACTTAATTTATCTCTCAAAGCAACCAGTAAGTAAGATTAAACAAACACACATTGCCATAAAGTGGCAGAGCCTTTTTTAAACTTTATTTTTATGCATCAAACAGCAGGGGAGAGGTTTACAACTTAGCCTTTCTTTTTTTTTTTTCTTTTTCTTTAAATTTTTTATTTTTTTATTATTATTATACTTTAAGTTGTAGGGTACATGTGCGCAATGTGCAGGTTAGTTACATATGTATACATGTGCCATGCTGGTGTGCTGCACCCATTAACTCGTCATTTAGCATTAGGTATATCTCCTAATGCTATCCCTCCCCCCTCCCCCCACCCCACAACAGTCCCCAGAGTGTGATGTTCCCCTTCCTTTGTCCATGTGTTCTCATTATTCAATTCCCATCTATGAGTGAGAACATGTGGTATTTGGTTTTTTGTCCTTGTGATAGTTTACTGAGAATGATGATTTCCAATTTCATCCATGTCCCTACAAAGAACATGAACTCATCATTTTTTATGGCTGCATAGTATTCCATGGTGTATATGTGCCACATTTTCTTAATCCAGTCTATCATTGTTGGACATTTGGGTTGGTTCCAAGTCTTTGCTATTGTGAATAGTGCCGCAATAAACATACGTGTGCATGTGTCTTTATAGCAGCATGATTTATAGTCCTTTAGGTATATTCCCAGTAATGGGATGGCTGGGTCAAATGGTATTTCTAGTTCTAGATCCCTGAGGAATCGCCACACTGACTCCCACAATGGTTGAACTAGTTTACAGTCCCACCAACAGTGTAAAAGTGTTCCTATTTCTCCACATCCTCTCCAGCACCTGTTGTTTCCTGACTTTTTAATGATTGCCATTCTAACTGGTGTGAGGTGGTATCTCATTGTGGTTTTGATTTGCATTTCTCTGATGGCCAGTGATGATGAGCATTTTTTCATGTGTCTTTTGGCTGCATAAATGTCTTCTTTTAAGAAGTGTCTGTTCATATCCTTTGCCCACTTTTTGATGGGATTGTTTGTTTTTTTCTTGTAAATTTGTTTGAGTTCATTGTAGATTCTGGATATTAGCCCTTTGTCAGATGAGTAGGTTGTGAAAATTTTCTCCCATTTTATAGGTTGCCTGTTCACTCTGATGGTAGTTTCTTTTGCTGTGCAGAAGCTCTTTAGTTTAATTAGATCCCATTTGTCAATTTTGGCTTTTGTTGCCATTGCTTTTGGTGTTTTAGACATGAAGTCCTTGCCCATGCCTATGTCCTGAATGGTAATGCCTAGGTTTTCTTCTAGGGTTTTTATGGTTTTAGGTCTAACATTCAAGTCTTTAATCCATCTTGAATTAATTTTTGTATAAGATATAAGGAAGGGATCCAGTTTCAGCTTTCTACATATGGCTAGCCAGATTTCCCAGCACCATTTATTAAATAGGGAATCCTTTCCCCATTGCTTGTTTTTCTCAGGTTTGTCAAAGATCGGATGGTTGTAGATATGCGGCGTTATTTCTGAGGGCTCTGTTCTGTTCCATTGATCTATATCTCTGTTTTGGTACCAGTACCATGCTGTTTTGGTTACTGTAGCCTTGTAGTATAGTTTGAAGTCAGGTAGCATGATGCCTCCAGCTTTGTTCTTTTGGCTTAGGATTGACTTGGTGATGCGGGCTCTTTTTTGGTTCCATATGAACTTTAAAGTAGTTTTTTCCAATTCTGTGAAGAAAGTCATTGGTAGCTTGATGGGGATGGCATTGAATCTGTAAATTACCTTGGGCAGTATGGCCATTTTCATGATATTGATTCTTCCTACCCATGAGCATGGAATGTTCTTCCATTTGTTTGTATCCTCTTTTATTTCCTTGAGCAGTGGTTTGTAGTACTCCTTGAAGAGGTCCTTCACGTCCCTTGTAAGTTGGATTCCTAGGTATTTTATTCTCTTTGAAGCAATTGTGAATGGGAGTTCACTCATAATTTGGCTCTCTGTTTGTCTGTTATTAGTGTATAAGAATGCTTGTGATTTTTGTACATTGATTTTGTATCCTGAGACTTTGCTGAAGTTGCTTATCAGCTTAAGGAGATTTTGGGCTGAGACAATGGGGTTTTCTAGATATACACTCATGTCATCTGCAAACAGGGACAATTTGACCTCCTCTTTTCCTAATTGAATACCCTTTATTTCCTTCTCCTGCCTAATTGCCCTGGCCAGAACTTCCAACACTATGTTGAATAGGAGTAGTGAGAGAGGGCATCCCTGTCTTGTGCCAGTTTTCAAAGGGAATGCTTCCAGTTTTTGCCCATTCAGTATGATATTGGCTTTGGGTCTGTCATAGATAGCTCTTATTATTTTGAGATACGTCCCATCAATACCTAATTTATTGAGAGTTTTTAGCATGAAGGTTGTTGAATTTTGTCAAAGGCCTTTTCTGCATCTATTGAGATAATCATGTGGTTTTTGTCTTTGGTTCTGTTTATATGCTGGATTACATTTATTGATTTGCATATATTGAACCAGCCTTGCATCCCAGCGATGAAGCCCACTTGATCATGGTGGATAAGCTTTTTGATGTGCTGCTGGATTCGGTTTGCCAGTATTTTATTGAGGATTTTTACATCAATGTTCATCAAGGATATTGGTCTAAAATTCTCTTTTTTGGTTGTGTCTCTGCCTGGCTTTGGTATCAGGGTGATGCTGGCCTCATAAAATGAGTTAGGGAGGATTCCCTCTTTTTCTATTGATTGGAATAGTTTCAGAAGGAATGGTACCAGTTCCTCCTTGTACCTCTGGTAGAATTCGGCTGTGAATCCATCTGGTCCTGGACTCTTTTTGGTTGGTTACCTATTGATTATTGCCACAATTTCAGATCCTGTTATTGGTCTATTCAGAGATTCAACTTCTTCCTGGTTTAGTCTTGGGAGGGTGTATTGTCGAGGAACTTATCCATTTCTTCTAGATTTTCTAGTTTATTTGTGTAGAGGTGTTTGTAGTATTCTTTGATGGTAGTTTGTATTTCTGTGGGATAGGTGGCGATATCCCCTTTATCATTTTTTATTGTGTCTATTTGATTCTTCTTTTTTTCTTTATTAGTCTTGCTAGCGGTCTATCAATTTTGTTGATCCTTTCAAAAAACCAGCTCCTGGATTCATTAATTTTTGAAGGGTTTTTTTTGTCTCTATTTCCTTCAGTTCTGCTCTGATTTTAGTTATTTCTTGCCTTCTGCTAGCTTTTGAATGTGTTTGCTCTTGCTTTTCTAGTTCTTTTAATTGTGATGTTAGGGTGTCACTTTTGGATCTTTCCTGCTTTCTCTTGTGGGCATTTAGTGCTGTAAATTTCCCTCTACACACTGCTTTGAATGTGTCCCAGAGATTCTGGTATGTTGTGTCTTTGTTCTCGTTGGTTTCAAAGAACATCTTTATTTCTGCCTTCATTTCGTTATGTACCCAGTAGTCATTCAGGAGCAGGTTGTTCAGTTTCCATGTAGTTGAGTGGTTTTGAGTGAGTTTCTTAATCCTGAGTTCTAGTTTGATTGCACTGTGGTCTGAGAGACAGTTTGTTATAATTTCTGATCATTTACATTTGCTGAGGAGAGCTTTACTTCCAACTATGTGGTCAATTTTGGAATAGGTGTGGTGTGGTGCTGAAAAAAATGTATATTGTGTTGATTTGGGGTGGAGAGTTCTGTAGATGTCTATTAGGCCTGCTTGGTGCAGAGCTGAGTTCAATTCCTCGGTAACCTTGTTAACTTTCTGTCTCGTTGATCTGTCTAATGTTGACAGTGGGGTGTTAAAGTCTCCTATTATTATTATGTGTGAGTCTAAGTCTCTTTGTAGGTCACTCAGGACTTGCTTTATGAATCTGGGTGCTCCTGTATTGGGTGCATATATATTTAGGATAGTTAGCTCTTCTTGTTGAATTGATCCCTTTACCATTATGTAATGGCCTTCTTTGTCTCTTTTGATCTTTGTTGTTTTAAAGTCTGTTTTATCAGAGACTAGGATTGCAACCCCTGCCTTTTTTTGATTTCCATTTGCTTGGTAGAGCTTCCTCCATGCTTTTATTTTGAGCCTATGTGTGTCTCTGCACGTGAGATGTGTTTCCTGAATACAGCACACTGATGGGTCTTGACTCTTTATACAATTTACCAGTCTGTGTCTTTTAATTGGAGCATTTAGTCCATTTACATTTAAAGTTAATATTGTTATGTGTGAATTTGACCCTGTCATTATGATGTTAGCTGGTTATTTTGCTTGTTAGTTGATGCAGTTTCTTCCTAGTCTCGATGGTCTTTACATTTTGGCATGATTTTGCAGTGGCTGGTACTGGTTGTTCCTTTCCATGTTTAGTGCTTCCTTCAGGAGCTCTTTTAGGGCAGGCCTGGTGGTGACAAAAATCTCTCAGCATTTGCTTCTCTGTAAAGTATTTTATTTCTCCTTCACTTATGAAGCTTAGTTTGGCTGGATATGAAATTCTGGGTTGAAAATTCTTTTCTTTAAGAATGTTGAATATTGGCCCCCACTCTCTTCTGGCTTGTAGAGTTTCTGCCGAGAGATCCGCTGTTAGTCTGATGGGCTTCCCTTTGTGGGTAACCCGACCTTTCTCTCTGGCTGCCCTTAACATTTTTTCCTTCATTTCGACTTTGGTGAACCTGACAATTATGTGTCTTGGAGTTGCTCTTCTCGAGGAGTATCTTTGTGGCGTTCTCTGTATTTCCTGAATCTGAATGTTGACCTGCCTTGCTAGATTGGGGAAGTTCTCCTGGATAATATCCTGCAGAGTGTTTTCCAACTGGGTTCCATTCTCCCTGTCACTTTCAGGTACACCAATCAGATGCAGATTTGGTCTTTTCACATAGTCCCATATTTCTTGGAGGCTTTGTTCGTTTCTTTTTATTCTTTTTTCTCTAAGCTTCCCTTCTCTTTTCATTTCATTCATTTAATCTTCCATCACTGATACCCTTTCTTCCAGTTGATCCCATTGGCTCCTGAGGCTTCTGCATTCTTCATGTAGTTCTCGAGCCTTGGCTTTCAGCTCCATCAGCTCCTTTAAGCACTTCTCTGTATTGGTTATTCTAGTTATACCTTCGTCTAAATTTTTTTCAAAGTTTTCAACTTCTTTGCCTTTGGTTTGAATTTCCTCCTGTAGCTCGGAGTAGTTTGATCGTCTGAAGCCTTCTTGTCTCAATTCGTCAAAGTCATTCTCTGTCCAGCTTTGTTCCGTTGCTGGTGAGGAGCTGCATTCCTTTGGAGGAGGAGAGGCGCTCTGCTTTTTAGAGTTTACAGTTTTTCTGCTCCGTTTTTTCCCCATCTTTGTGGTTTTATCTACTTTTGGTCTTTGATGATGGTGATGTACAGATGGGTTTTTGGTGTGGATGTCCTTTCTGTTTGTTGGTTTTCCTTCTAACAGACAGGACCCTCAGCTGCAGGTCTGTTGGAGTTTGCTAGAGGTCCACTCCAGACCCTGTTTGCCTGGGTATCAGCAGCAGTGTCTGCAGAACCGTGGATTTTCGTGAACTGCGAATGCTGCCGTCTGATCCTTCCTCTGGAAGTTTTGTCTCAGAGGAATACCTGGCCGTGTGAGGTGTCAGTCTGCCCCTACTGGGGGGTGCCTCCCATTTAGGCTGCTCAGGGGTCACAGGTCAGGGACCCACTTGAGGAGGCAGTCTGCCCGTTCTCAGATCTCCAGCTGCATGCTGGGAGAACCACTGCTCTCTTCAAAGCTGTCAGACAGGGACATTTAAGTCTGCAGAGGTTACTGCTGTCTTTTTGTTTGTCTGTGCCCTGCCCCCAGAGGTGGAGCCTACAGAGGCAGGCAGGCCTCCTTGAGCTGTGGTGGGCTCCACCCAGTTCGAGCTTCCTGGCTGCTTTGTTTACCTAAGTGAGCCTGGACAATGGTGGGCGCCCCTCCCCCAGCCTCGCTGCCACCTTGCAGTTTGATCTCAAACTGCTGTGCTAGCAATCAGCGAGACCCCGTGGGCGTAGGACCCCCTGAGCCATGTGTGGGATATAATCTCCTGGTGCGCCATTTCCTAAGCCCGTCGGAAAAGCGCAGTATTCGGGTGGGAGTGACCTGATTTTCCAGGTGCCGTCTGTCCCCCCTTTCCTTGACCAGGAAAGGGAACTCCCTGACCCCTTGCACTTCCCGAGTGAGGCAATGCCTTGCCCTGCTTCAGCTTGCGCACGGTGAGCTGCACCCACTGTCCTGTGCCCATTGTCTGGCACTCCCTAGTGAGATGAACCCGATACCTCAGATGGAAATGCAGAAATCACCCATCTTCTGCGTCGCTCACGCTGGGAGCTGTAGACCGGAGCTGTTCCTATTTGGCCATCCTGGCTCCTCCCTTGATCAAGACTGGGTTTAATTCCTAACTTTCTTGCTTACTTAGCCTTTCTTCCTCTGAAAATAATGGAGGCAGATGAAATTGCAGAAGTCATAAAAGTAAGGCTCCTCTTCCAAAAATAATGATTACATATATCCTTTTCACTAAAAAGCTATTTAGAGAGTCAATAGGGAAATATTTTCTATATTGACTTGGTTGTTATAAGCCTATCAACAATATGTAGATTGTCAGCACTGTCTTTGTGGATTGATCTCACCAAGTGGAAACTAGGAAAAGGAGCTAGCTTTTGAGGGTGTGTGGAGATGGAAATCAGAATCGGCTCATTTCATTCATTTCGTCTTCCATCACTGATACCCTTTCTTCCAGTTGATCGCATCGGCTCCTGAGGCTTCTGCATTCTTCACGTAGTTCTCAAGCCTTGGTTTTCAGCTCCATCAGCCCTTTTAAGGACTTCTCTGCATTCGTTATTCTAGGTATCCATTCGTCTAATCAACTCTGTGGATTTATTATAGTACTCAACTCCCTTGAGGCTTTTAGAGGAAAAGCAAACATGACTTTTCACTCAGGGTTCATGAAGATTTCATTAAGAACATAGGAGTTCTTCAAGCTTGAAAATAGCAAAGAGATTCTTTGAACATGATTAAATCAATTCAATTCAATGCTCATGTGACAGCTGCTGCATCAACACAGTTGATCATCACCACAGCTCCTGATTTTATTCCTACATTTCTGACCATTCCTTTTCAGTCTCTTTTATTATCTCCATAGTGATGATGTCAAGATTTGTAGTACCAGTTCAGACTTTGCTTCTGAATTTCAAGCCTAGATTTCCAATACTCCTCCCTCTTTTCACTTGGATGTTTAATAGGCATCTCGAAGGTATTAAGTCCAGAAATTAGCTCCTGAAATTCTACCCACCCAAATTCTGCTCTTTCTCAGTAGTTTAATTCTCCCAGTTATTTGGGTTCTCAAATTATTTTATCATCCTTATTTCTTCTCTTTCTCTCACACACATCCAATCTACCCACAAAATCTGTTGGTTCTACCCTCAAAACATATTTAGAATATAACCACTTTTACTCTACCCTTAGTCTAAACTATCATTATTTCTTTTTGTTTGGATTATTGCAGTGATGTCCTAACCAATCTCCCTGAAAAATTATCTGTGAAATTTATTTCTATACATCCAACAAGCACAATGAACTCTAGGTAGAATAAATTCAGTGAGGTCCACATCAAGAACATTGTAATCAAACTGTTGAATGTCAAAGACAGAGAATCTTGAAAGCAACAAGAAAGAATCAACTATCATGTACAAGGGAACCTTAGTAAGATGAACAGTTGGCTATTTATCAGGAACTATGGAAGCCAGAAAACAGTGGGCATATTTAAAGTGCTGAAAGAAAAGAACCTATCAACCAAGAATTCTGTATCTGGCAAAATTGCCCTTCAAAAGTGAGGAAGAAATTGAGATATTCCCAATAAACAAAAGCTGAGGGGTTCACTACAAGTAGACCTGCCCTGCAAGAAATGCTACAAGATGTCCTCAAGTTGAAATGAAAGGACACTAAATGGTAACTTGAAGCTGTATGAAGAAATAAAGGTCTACAGTAAAGGTAACTACATGGGCAAATATAAAAGCAAGTATTATTGTGTAGCATAATGGAGAATATATGTGGTCTCTCTGGTCTTTGTACCTGGCTCCTGGCACAGAGCTTCAAAAGCCCTTGGAATTTCCTGAGTGACAAGAGTATATTTTTTATGCTAATGAGGTGACTCTTTGTAGGTTCCTAGATAGCTTCAGAATGGGGCTGATCACCAGAAAGATCAATCACATGATTAGATGATGGCAACTTCTGGGAAGGGTATCTTTATGTCCTATATACGGGAATCCTCAAAGTCCAGGTGATGCTAATTCTGTTGGTCACTGGACCATATTTTGAGCAGCAAAGAAATAGCATAATAGCATTTGTTAAAACTGGTCAGACTGTAAGCATCACCTGAAGTGCTTATTAAAAATACCATCCAGATTACCTGACCCTACTCTACATCTGCCAAATCAGAATTAATCAACTTCTCAGGAGGCTTTTGTAATTCAATAAATTTGGGAAATGCTGAGGTAGGGCAGAGCTAAATGTGGCCCCTAAGAGATGAAGTGGTGAGTCACTGGGATAGCGCCCAAAGGGATGTGGACAGGAGCTGCTGGACATGCCCTTGGCTCTCACCTTCAAAGGGAAGTGGACTGTGTGAGTTCCCTCTCACGATTATCTCAGGTCAGTATTTGCCTTTGTAATTGATGGAGAACTTCTTAATTTCTCTCTCTAGTGCGTCTAGAGTGTTGACAGTTGTTTCCATGGACTTCAAATCAACCCAACCCTGTGAGCACAGACTTTCAGCACCAGAGTCAGATTTCCCAAAAATGCTATTCTTGAAGCGTAGAGCCAGACTCACAGATCCTGTAAAGAAAACAGATCTTTCAGCAAGTGAAACACCCAATCTTCCATTGCATGGGACTCACAGAGGTTCTGAGGGAGAGATGTGAATAGAAGGAGTGATCATCACTGTGGACTCTATTTCTTCCATCTGTGCGTGCAAGATTTATATCTGTATGTGTTTGTTTTAAAGTTTTATTGAGGTATAATTGATACACAATAATCTGTACCTATTTAATGTATACAATTTGATGAGTTTGGACATACTTAAATACCTGTGAAACCATCACCACAATCAAGGTAATAGACATAGCCATCACCTCCAAAAGTTTCTTTGTGTCCCTTTGTGGTTTGTTTCTGAGATAAGAACACTTAACATGTGGACTCTTGACACTCTCCTTGGATCTCTTAATTTGATTGCTGTTGCTGTCACCACATTGACTTCCTAGCCCTGCTGATCCTCCTTTATCACTAGCTCTAGAAAAAAAAACAAACCAAACACCACTAATTCATTTATTCAGTAATTCAACAAAAAAACCATTGAGCACTTAATATTTGCAGAATACATGGCTAGATGCAGAGGATTCAAAGAATTGAGTGAAGTCACATAAAGTGTTAAGAACAGTGTGTGATACAAACATGAAATATGTTAGCTGTTAGAATTTCAAACTCACTTCCATATCAATTATAATAAGGATTTCCATAAATAGCAGAATAGTATTTCTATTAGATGCTCACAGATGCTAATAAAACAGTAGAATGGTAAAAACCATGCATCCCCCAAGGCAAGAGAAGGTGAGCTATTTTGCCTCGGTGGCTCAATATTCCATCAATGGGTCCTGCTTTAAACTGCAAGTACCTGCCTTCCTTCTTTCAACAGACTGACTCCACGTTGCTTTAGGAAAGATTCACTGAAACAAAGGAATAAACCACCCAAGATATAGTGTTTTTAAAAACATTTTTTAATGAAGAAATTATTCCACTCCAAAATATAGACACACAATTAAATAGTTTAATCACTTCAAAATATAACATGTCCCCAGGAGGTTCCAACACACACACACACACACACACACAAAACAATACTTAACAGCAATACAAAAATCCATACAATAGTATTTTTTTTTTACAATACCAATGAATATTGTGAAATCTTTAGTGTCTCTGAATTGATTATTTCAAATGGTGTCAAATTGCAGTAGTCATAATTAAAAATGTCTTACAGTTAATTCGCCTCAAGATGCAACACTTCTGATTTTTTTTTCTCTTTTTGGTTCAAAAGTAAAAATGCCCTTTCTTCTAAGGACAGTGGAGTTCTCACTTGTGGCTCCTTGCGTGGAATCGAACCAAGGGGAATGCAGCAACCAAAGGTTGCTGGATTTACAAGATCTATCTACGGTTAACAGCCAAGAACTAATAAGGGTGGACAAAGATGATCAAAATAAAAGCAGACATCAGTGCTAAATTATGATGCAACAGTTTGGCTCATGCATATAAGAAAATACATAGTATATCACAACAAAGGCCACACACTCTTAATGCAATTCAGTTCACATTACTACTTACAAATGAACCTTCCCTGCCTTATAGTAGATCATTCAAGAACCCATTTTTCACAATCTCCAGCACAACTCCCTCTGACCAACCAAACTTACCCCAACTTCCGTCCTGACCAACCACAACTGTTTCCTGAATCCCATGCAGTAGATTTCACCTTCCTCCCCTCCTCCATTAATATGGCGCTGTGGAGGAGGGTTGGCTGTGTTAGACCAGTGCTTATTAACAGGCTATCAGCTCTGATGGAGATGGATGTGCAATTCATTGTGGAACAAGAAAGAAACAACCCCCGCAAGATGTAGTTGTATCTAATGGACAGGACAAGTGAAACTTGCTGGGTTTGCACTTAGAACAGGCCCCAAAAGTAAATCTGGAGAGCCAAGGAAAGAAACCCACCAAAAAACACAAAACCCCAAAATAACACACGCCATTTTGTCTCGCTTACAGGACAGGGGTGCTCGAGTCTGGTCTCAGTGCTGACGTGGAGCTAAGAGAGAGAAAAGGTGGCTGGTTAGTCAGAAATTGGTCATTGGCGGCAGTTTCCAGAGTCCTTGCAATGGCTTTATATGACGATATCAACAACCATGTGATGGAGTTGGTTGGCAATGAAATAGCTATGACAACGGGGAAGGTTATCAGCAGAACAGTTCAAATCTTAGACGAACATTTTGATGTAGAAACACAAAGAAACAACATATGCCAGCTCGGTCCAGTCAGTGGTGGAGTGCCACGTGCAGGATTTAAGTTCTGAGTTCAAGAACTACCTGGCTATGATTTTGAGCTGACAGCATTATAGGTAGCTGGGATGTAGTGGTTTTCAATACTGAGTATGAGGCACCAGTGGCCACCTGCTCCATCTAGAGAGGTATGGGTTCACAGAGGATGGGCAGTGGAAAAGAGATGAACATTAAGACACCCCAACAAAACCCGCAATAAAAATCAATCTGTGCAAAGAAATCTGAGAACTGTGCAGTTGTGCCACTTTGGTGTCAGCCTGTGCTCAGAGACATTTGTCAGGTGAGTTCTCTGGAGAGATATATGATTAAGTATGTCAAGGGATAGGATGGGCTTCTCACTAATGCCAATTGAGCACTTTATCCCCAAGGCAAGTGATTTGGTTTCAAAGGGCAGCCAAGGAGATGATGTCTGACCAAACGCAGACATGTGAACATCGTACAGCCGCCCTCTGCAGAGGGGGCATGAAGATGTCAGGACTTGGCTGGGCACCTACCAACTACGAACTTGGTGTGTGGGTTCAGAGAAGGTTTTTGCCAGCCCCAGAAGCAAAAGTGAATCACAGAACCTTTCTTGCTTATTCTGAATAAGGCCTTTTCAGAGACTTTATTATACGACTTCATTCTAAAGCAGTAGTTCTCAACCTTTAGCGAGCATCAGAATCACCTAGAGGGTTGACTAAAACAGACTTCTGGACCCAACCCCCAGAGCTTCTGATTCAGTAGGCCTGAGGTGGGGCTTACAAATTAGTATTTCGAAGACCTTCCTAAGTGTTGCAGATGCTGCTTGTCCGGGGAACACACTTTGAGAACTATTGTTCTAAAATGTTCTCTCCTTTCTTTTAAAGGAGAGACAGGAATTCCAGAGAAACTGCTAATTTAAGCATAATGTATTGAATAGGTCGCAGGCTTTTTTAAAAAAATCAAATCTTGAAGCAAGTAGAAGATTACTTTTTCTTTTTCCCCAGAATTCCCAAAGGAGGTCTTTAGGGCCCTCTAAAGAGGGTCCTTGGAAAAGACTATCCCAGTCTTTTATCCTCTTGTCTTTGATAGCTCTTTTGCACTTCAGCTTTTCACTGAGTGCAAAAATCCCAACTCAACTTAGAAGAGCCTGTCTCCTTTCACATGACCACAGAAGGCTACATGCAGAACACCAGGTGGCCAGCTAAGGCAATCAACATTCAGAAAAAAAGGAGAGCAAACGTTTGCAAGCGCACTTTAAGCCTGTACATTTAAAGCTGAAGGCCTCCAAACAACTTGATGGGGGAACTTGTGAACGAGCGGTGCTGTTAAAGACATGCTTCCTAAAGCCAAAACGAGAGGAACAAGACCATGGAAGAGCAGAGATAACTTTAGTCCGTTTGGGGATCTTATGGCACCTGTGGTTTATAAACAGCTTTAGTAACGAGTATTTCAAAACATAGTTCACAGTTTTTAAGAAGATCTGTGCTGATTTTAAAAACTAGATTCTATATAATTTGAATGCTGCCTTTTTTGAATATGATATCTATTTGGAAAAAAAAATATTTACACTAAATTCTATGGCTGATTAGAGTATCTTGAAAGAAAACAACCTCGAGTTGGAAAGAGGCCCCAAAGAATGGATTATTCCTGGTGTGTTTGGTTCAAGTCACTGCTCACAGAGACTTGGAGTCAACTACAGACCGTGCAGGCCAAGGACCCTTCTTGGCTTCCGGGCTCTGAGTTTGTACACTCAGGAACCAAATTCTTCAGGGTTATTGAATGATTGCAAGTGGTTGTTTTTTTCCAATTGCTGTGAAAAAAATGTACAGTGTATAATAAACTGTTTTGCTAAAATCTCAAAGAATTCAGAAATCAAACTTCTAGCTATAAACAGTATTAATATTGTCATTGTAAACTGAACAGGTTCAATATCATGTGCAAAGGTTTAAAATGCTTGTTAATACTGCCATTGTGTATAACAGCAGCATGGGTTTTCAGCCTGTGTTTGTTTGCTTTTTAACCAGGGATGAACCACGTTACAGAGGATGTAGCTGATAAGTTAACTTTGAACAGAAGTCTTTTTTTTTCCTTCTTGAAACACACACCTATGCACTACAAATCTGAGAACAAAAAGTTAGCTGCACTATAGTCATCAGGACACATCTTTAGGGGTGGGGGTCTGTCAGGAGCTGCTGGGTGTGGTGGTTCCTCTCTTCGGTGAGGCTGCTGCCAGGCTGCTGTCTTCCTCCTCTGTGTGGCCACAGGGCTCTCCATCATCACCAGTTTTCATGTTACTTTCATCATCTGTCTGACTATAGCTTGCCTGGGAATAAGGAATGTGTAATTTTTTTTAAAGATGCAAATTGTTTCTAAATTAGGGTTATGAAACTTAGGATCCCCCCTTTCCCCAATATAGAAGAAAGTGCGCGCGCACACACACACACACATGCACACACACACTCCTTTCCTACGACAATCAGGAATGAAAGTCCTAGGACACTGTGCTATTGCACCTTCTGGAAGAGAGGACAGGAAGTCCTCCATGTGGATCTCTTTCTTAGTGGGTACCAGAGGCATCTGGAGGGGAAAAGCAACACAAACAGAAATATTTGTGCTGTCTTTTGGACAAAGAGATAAAACCAGTGACCCATGATTAGGCTGCCACGTTGGTTTTTAAAAAATCTACTTTGGATGGTCCAATCCTCTAATTTCCACTTGGATGTGAGTGGCCAAGGACAGTGGTGTACCATGTGGCCACAGGATGTAACAGGGACAAATTGAATACCTAAATGGGCTAAAATTGAGTCTTGGAGGACCCTAAGCTGAGTGCCATTATGTATACCGTTTCTTCAAAAGTGGCTAGTTGAAAACCAATAAACCAGGTTTTAAACTATTCACTTTTTTTAATATTGTATGTTGAAAGTGTGTACTTATTTTCAAATAAGCCTAAAGCTCTTTTTGAGCAGAGGTTGCATCTTCTATGTCTCTGGCGTCCACCTTCTGCCTCTTCCCAATGCAAGGCTCTCTGCCTTGGCGGATGGCTAACTAATGTCAAGCTGATGAATCTGGCTTCAGAACCCTTGGATAAGAGACACATATACTTTGGGATAATTTCTGGTCTTGCAGTACAGCCAGAAAGTCTAAACAAAAATATTTTAATGAAATAAACTGGCCTAAAATGCACCTGCATTTCTTGGTTACATTAAGAAAAAGTACAATAGGATAGAACCAGCTGCAAAAATGAAAAGCCACTAGTTTTTACAACATTCTATCAGGTTTTAAATGAATTTGCCTATGTGGCTGATTGAATGACAGGCTGGTTCTTGTTCAGAGTTCTGTGGAATTCCAGCTAGGTAGGCTACAGGATGCAGTAAATGGCAAAGACTACAACAGTCTAATTTTTCACTGCCAAATTTGCAACCAAAGATTTAAAAAATGGCCTAGGAACTTCTAGAGTACTGAAATTTTTGGCTTTTAGGTACCAAATTCCACTTTTTATCTGGGTTTAACGCAAGCACATTTTATTAGACTTTCAAAAATATTTTTCTAAGAACTAGCTACTGATGTTTAAATAATGTGCAGAACAACAATGATCAAATTGCTGAAGCTAAGAGAAAGAAAGTGCTATTAAAGGAAAAGGCCTGCCCCTTGGGACTAAATTTGTTATAACTGGAGTGAATATTTTCAGAAACAGCTCCTGGGAATTTTTTCACTCTACTTGTAATGAGTCAGGAGAGCATGTGTGGTGGCACTCTCAAATCCAGGAGAGGCAGAATAGAGAGTGGTCAATGAGCTCCTTCCTCTTCGCTCATAAAATATATATGATCATAGCAATTACTCCATGATTTTCACTTGCTTAATTTTAACCTGAGGACTGAGACAGGATGTCAGTAGCATTTGCACTAGCATGTATTCTTTACTAATTAGTATGTCACTTAACAGATATTTATTCCTTTTTCAAATTATTAATAGCAACCAACATTGATAGCATTTACTGTCCACTGCAGTACAGACTTATGGGATTCCATGATTGGGAAAGCTCAAATGTTTGGGCCAGTGCAGCCAGAATCCTTTGAGAGGTATATTAGCTTTGAACTACCATGGAGGCATCTAAATGGCTATTAGCTGGAGCCAGAGAAAAAATCTAGACTTACGGAACAGTGTGGCCCACAGTGTGCCAAGTCATCACATGTAGCTGCATCCTAGCCTTGTTTATAAAAGTAGAAGAGAAAGCAAGCTAGTTCTGGGTCCCAGTGTTTCCCGTACACTTAGGTAAGCAATATGGCAGCTGCCAGGTGTTGAAGTGCTATAAAGCACTGAACATAGGGGCAGGCATATATGTGAATGTTCATAATAAATGATAATGTGCCTTCCACTATGCCAAGCTCTTTAAAAACTACATCCCAGTGAGTAGGATATGGTTTTTAATACCGGCCTCTTCTGTGGTGATACATAATACCAGCCTCTTCTATGAGGCTATTATGCAATATGTTGTATAGAGGAAACTGAGGTAATACGGGTTTAATAATTTGCCCAAAGTTCTGCTGTTAGGATTTGGTGAAACCCGTATTTGAAATGGGTCTATTAGAGTCTGGCGCCTAAGCTTCAGACCACTACAGTCAAGTGATGCTGCCAGTCCAGTGCTAATCTCTCTGCATTAAAAAATTACTGAGAATTTTCCACATATTTAGGTAGGGCTTTGGAGTGGTTTCACATGCCATGAAAATAATATTTTAAATTAATTTATATACTGCTGAATTCCACAATGGATTTGAATCAGGTATTCCAAAAACATAAGGCTGCAGAATTTTTCCTCTGTTTGGGCTCTTTTGTTCTCTTTATTAATGCATGATTTTGCTTTCACTCGTTAAGGCACACACATTTGATCTCTTGAGCCCGAGGTATAGTATGACTAACAAGCTGGCCCATCTCTAGAGGTACTGACTTTTCCTTTTCAAGTGCTAGAGCGGCTACAAACTCCGATATTGTCATGGATTGGTGATGTGACAAACTTATTGGTAAGTTTCATAGCCACAGAGGATTACTGGAACGTCTCTAGGTTTAGAAGCTTTGTGCCAATTTTCCTAGCTAATAGAGTAAGAAGTCACCTCCCAAGGATGTCTGGCAAATCTCCACTGGTTTATAATGAAACCCTCCACAGACTGAGACGACTCTTCGATATCAGCAGTTAAGGAGGGTATTTTATCACATAGAAAGAAATGACTAAGAGAAGTGATTGTGAATTCGCATTACAGGTTATCAGAATTCAGTGTACAGTGGCCATGATTCCTCCTAAATAAGATGGTACTTACTTGAGAGGAGTGTGATAAAAGGATATTGCATTCAACCTTGCAAGCTGACCTGTGGGTGACAAAGGACACAAACGAGAAAGGTGACACGTCAAGTCTGTGATGCAGTCAAGCTGGTGAATTATTTGGCGGGAAGCCATGCACAAAGACACAGAGAGAGAGAGAGTCTATTGAGTGAGAGTAGCGTTCCAATCCATCCAACAACCGTATGCTCACAGAGCATTCAAGGAAAACCACTTTGACATCTCCTCCAGGGAGTATGTTTTGAGTGGAGATACACAGGCCTGTTATAGTCTCCCAGCTTCTTCCCTGTCCTTTTCTTGGAAGTCATGAGGCACGGAAAAGAAAGGAGAGGGAGAGGGAGCTTAAGATTTACCAGCGATGGTAAAAACTCCAGTTGAATCTTAAGTCATTAGTAGAAATTCCCTTCATTTTACTCATAGAAGGTTACATTTTTAATTCATTAAAATGAATAAAAATCTAATATTTTATATGGAATGGTGTAAGCCTGCCTCCCTTAAAGAAAAAAAAGAACCCCTAGAATTTCAGTTACTGCTGCCACTGAAATACAGAAGGTGACACGAGCTCAAAGAGGGAGGCCTAATAGACGCTTCTAATAGCATGAACCAGAACATTGGTTATTTAGTCACATTTTTCTTTCCTTCTACACAGCAGAGCCTAAGGAGATATGTGTAGGAATGCCATCCCTGAGGATTCCCAGAGACACCCTGGCAGTTTCATTCCAGGCTGATTTCCTTCTGTGGAGGAGCCATAGAAGGCGCAAGGAAAACTGCACTCTCCATGGGTTTGCAATCAGGCGAATTTGTTTCTGAAGCATGGGAGCACGGCTCTACATATAGAGTCACTTATGTTTTTCTTTTACCCTCTTTCTTTGGTATGGCTAGACCAACATTTTAGTTGCTTCTGAAATGTGGTCGTTAAACTGAAAAGGCAAATGGAACATTCCAAAGAGGCAAAACTTTGTTTTTATATTGCTGGGATGGAATTGGTGGGCTTCCGTTTCCCTCCTGCTACAATCTTCTTGGAAAAATATTTCAAGGCTTTATCTATAGACATATGAGAAATAGGAGATAATTTCTTCTCTCTGCTTCCCTTTTTTTTCAATAACAAAGTAAGACAGGGCACTGCTGCCCTAATAATATGCAGAAAGCCTGGGTATGGTGGCTTATGCCTATAATCCCAACACTTTGGGAGGCCGGGGTGGGAGGATCACTTGAGACCAGGAGTTCAATACCAGCTTGGACAACATGGTGAGACCCTGACTCCACAAAAAATAAAAACATTAGCCAGGCATGGTGGTGTGCACCTGTAGTCCCAGCTACAGGAGGCTGAGGTGGGAGGATAGCTTGTGCCCAGGAGTTAGAGGCTGCAGTGAGCTATGATTGGGCAACTGCACTCCAGCCTGGGCAACAGAATGAGACCCTGTCTCAAAAAGAAAAAAAAAAAGGAAAAAAGAAAAACAAAAGAATGTGCAGAAAACTTGTCTGGCCACTGGACAGAAAGTCTGACAGGATAAAATAACCATTGAGGCCCAGGTTCAACCAGGCAAACATCCCTGAAATACCAGAACCCCAAGTAAACGCCTGTGAATTAAAGGGAAAAGGAACATACCAGGAAGACAAACAAGGTAGTAGAACGACCTCCATGGGGAAATGCATGGCCTTTAGGATGAGTCGCTGGTTACATTTATTGCCAATTGTATATGTCATGTTCAGTGAATTTTCAGGTGGCTAACATACTCCAGTACATCTGAAAATCTGTCCGTCCATACCTTGATGAACACAGGCCTGCAGTTCCCCCAACATTTCTCCAGGAATTTTGCCATTCTCCTACTTACACTTGGCATGAGGTGGGCAATGAGGAAGACTGAGGGCAAATAATTCAAGGGAAGTGGTGGGTTTATGCTTATTCAATTTCCTCGTGCCCTGTTCTTTGTATCCATTTAAAAATAATTATGAGAAAAAGCATCTTTCTTAATGGGCCTGAAAGAGTCTGGACTGTTAGTTACCTTGTTTTTTTCCAATATAAGAAGGCTGTTTATCACTTTCTAGGGCAGAATTTAAAAGAATACATGGTGAGTGACAGCTATAAGAGTGGGTGCAGTGGCTCACGCCTGTAATCCTAGCACTTTGGGAGGCTGAGGTGGGTGGATCGCGAGGTCAGGAGTTCAAGACTGGCCTGGCCAATATGGTGAAGCCCCTTCTCTACTAAAAAATACAAAAATTAACTGGGCGTGGTGGTGCATGCCCGTAGTCCCAGCTACTCGGGAGGCTGAGGCAGGAGAATCACTTAAATCAGGGAGACGGAGGTTGCAGTGAGCCAAGATCACACCACTGCACTCCAGCCTAGGCAACAGAGTGAAATTCTGTCTTAAAAAAAAAAGAAGTATTTAAAATGTTTACTGTCTAAAAGACACGGATTAAGGAGTGAAATCAGTGTATTTTGAAAAGGGAGGGTGGAAGGAAGAAGGCTCTGATTCTGCAAGTCATGTCAAAGACCCAGCTACCAAGGGGTTGAGGCAGAAGAGGTGGGGTGGGGTGGGCCTGGATCCCTGTACCTGATAAGCTTCATCTTGCAGCTTCTGTTTCAGGTATTCCTCCATCTGGAGCTCATTCTCCAGCTGCCGGACAGAGTCATTTTCATAGTTTTCATCTTCAGGCTGCACATAGGGATCTGCATCCTCCGTAACCCTGAAAATAAACCACAGATGACATGTTAGAGCAAATCTTAAAAGAGAATTACAAGCGGGATTCATGTGTGAGCTGTAGTTTCGTTGGCACCTTTATTTCCCCTTAGTTCTCCAAGTCACTTTCATGTCTTCTTTAGTAATACCTAAAAAAAACTTGGAAACATTTTGGAGGTTTGAAGCGATATATGATCAAGGTATTTTCATACACAATTTTTTTATGGCAGTTGCGATCATTGGTCATTTATCTTTTCCTAGGGTTTACTGGAATGGGTTGGCCCTTTAAATGTTCTATAATTTAAAAAATGGCAAACATCTTTTGAGGGGATACAAAGTTTTCCCAATCTGAGGGCTCTTTTTATTCTTGTTTAAAATAGAACCCAAGATCACTTTCTGTGTGGAGAGTGAGCCCTCTAGTGAAATAATGCTTAAGGACATTTGGTTATAATTTAACCTCTTTTGTGTTACACATACGCACATACATGCACATACACATATGCATGCATACCACATTCATGCCTTATTTTTATAGAATTAAGTCTTAGAATATCAGCTAGTCAATGCCAGGAGGGCTACTAACCCATAACTCTTGACCTTAGCTCTAAATCTGAAAAAAAAAAAAAAAAAAAAAAAAAGCATTTTAATTATCCAATTCCACTATCAAATAAATAGATAAAAATGACCTCATTCCCTAATGTGGGACTCTGTCTCCATCTATTCATCCTAGACTATGCAAAGCTTTTCATGGGGCTGGACATAAACTCACTACCTAAATCATAGGACTAAAAGAGTCTCAGGGTAAAACACAAGTACATGTTTAGACAATAGAAATATTAAATTATTCCCTAAAATGAAATAAGTGGTCAAGAAGAAGTTTCTAGGTTGGAACTTAAATGTCGTTGTTTGCGTTTATTTATAGCTGTACAACATGTTCTGGTTATTTTTGGAGGTTTGGGGCCAGGCTAAATGGGTCTGCCCAGGACTCTGTTAACTTTCCTTCCCTAACTCCTGAGTCACATGTTGGTAGCTGGTACTGCTACTCAGCATACCAGGGCTAGCAGATTAGGGTGGCCTCAATAGTCTTGGATTTTAGAATTAGGACAAGGAAATTCTAGCTAACTGCCATATAAATGCTTAATAATAAAAAGTCAAATAGATATGAATTTACCAGACAAAACAGATGACAACTAATTCACCATTTTGAATAACAAATCCAACAATTCTAGAATACAGAAGAAAGGACAAGAAAGCAAACTATATTAAGCAGCAGCGTACTGCCATGTTAAGTCCCATGATAATGGTTTTGTTTTGATCCTACTCTCTGCTGCTTCATAGCTGACTCTCAGACCACACCTCTTGATAATTCTCCATGATTACTGATTGTTTATTCACTGCTTGGATGGAGAGCCAAACACCAGAAAGGCCTCTGTTTAGTTTCTTCTCTGAGTCTTTAAAATGGCCAGTTTATTTTTATAGACTAGTCTGAAGTACTTTTCATATTAAGCAACATCACCCTTCTGAAGTATTTTTAGCATTCAGAAACTCCCTCCCCCAGCTTTTGGGTCAGCCTTTGCCCACATTTCCCATAACTCCATGAACCATGGTCATTTAATGGGCCACTTTCTTCATTTCTTTTGTTTTTCTCCTTTTTCTCCCAAGTTGGGCTCTGCAGCTCTGTCCCAGCTTTGCCTTTGTTTCTCAGCTTTGGTTTTCTCTGTTGACTAATTTGAGCTGATCCAGGGTCACAGAAAGTCTAGTGGGGACGTTACTGATGCTGCTGGTTTCTGACAAGCTCCAGAACTGGGTGAAAACTTTTGCAAATAAGTCTTTGGAGGGTCAGATTCATACAAATTCAACAAGTCAACCAAACTGGATTTCTTTATAATGAGATTTTATACATGTACTTATTTCAATTCCAAATACTTATGTGATGTTGTTTACACCAATTCTGGACAGAGACCTCTCCAATGTCATGGTATCCTCTAAGTGCAAATACAATAAGTTCAGAAGATAGGATGATTTATCTCCTGAACTAGTCTGTGAGTCCTAAAAGGGTGGCAGCAGTTTTTTAATACTATTTTGTATAGCACTAGCAATGTGCCTTGGGCAAGGCAGGCTCTTGATAGGCACTGGTTGGTTTAGGTTATTGATAACTCTCTGGAAATTGTAAGAGGGGAAATATTACAATGCCGAATTTAAATGTAGCACCCTTCTATATCTCTGGCAGAACAGAAAACTATGTCACCCCTTCTGAAGGTTAAAAAAACCCTAAACAATTATGCTTTTACTTTCTTATTGTCTCCTACAGATTGTTTTGTTACTGAGAAAATGCTTCCAAGCGGAAGATACTCACATGTCGCCACGCATGGTACTTGTGGTAGCTCCACTGTGAATGTACCCAGGTTTTCGGGCATGGATTTGCGCTAGAAAAGCCTTTTCAGAGGTTGGTGAGGGAACAAGATCCTCAAACTGAGTCCGTGCAAATTCAGAATCCACATTACTCTCTGTTTCACTCCCAACCTCTAGCAGATACAATTGAAGAAATAAAGAATGACTCGTTAGATTTTTTTATGACCTGCAAATAAAGGAGTAGGCTTCACAAATCAACCTGTGCTGTGTAAAATGTTAACCAGTTATCATATTTTAATCAAATACATTTTTATTGTTTCAAAATAAGAATTGATATTGACATGAATTACTATAAAATCATTTGGTATACAGCATTTTTAAAATCTCAGAAATGTTATGAGGAATTTTTGCCATCTTAGTAACTGACTTAACTCTTTAAGACTTCTACTTTTTCCTTTCTGTAAGAGACTTAACTAAAATTGTTACTTTTGCTTAATATTACACTAATTTAAGAACTATGAGTTAAAACCTAATCCTAACCATAAAATATTCACCTAAAATGCTTAAAATATGAACTTAAAATATTAAGTGAACCCTATCACTTAATACTTTAAAGAATTATGAGTATAAACTAACAGTACTTAAGACTTCTACACCAAGAATAACTTTGTACTCATCATTTGCTAGGGCAGTGGTTACCTGCCATTAATCATGATGTATTAACTACTATCTTTTTATTCCGTTTGGTAATCTTAATCTAAATTAGCAGCAACAATTTTCAATTGAGAGGCTTTAAGAAAGCGAAGTCCAGGATTTTTTTAAAACTGAAGTTTTATTTCTTATAGTTGCAATCTCAGCTGTAAGACCATAGTCTTGCCAGACAAATCTCTTGGTAGGTCGGCCTTAAGGAATAGATGGAGATGTATTAGTGACTGGTAAGATATTTATTTGCATATTCATACTGCTAAAGTTTTGAACACTCTTTGTAGTATTAAAAGGATAAAAAGTCTCCTTAAATTTTATGCTATTTATTTCTGGGCAGATCTATCTTCAGAGACATTGCAAAGGTAAATTTCAGTTTGAAATTCAAATTTAAATGATCAGGCATTCCAAATTAATGAAACCTAAATAGATAAGGGCTGGGAATCCCAGCACTTCGGGAGGCTGAAGCAGGAGGACTGTTTGAGCCCAGGAGTTCAAGACCAGCCTGGGGAAAAAAGGCAAGACCCCATCTCAAAAAAAGATAAATAATACACTTGACCCTATAAAATAACCTTAGCATCATGTTGTTTTAGGTCACCATAGATGTTAACAGTGGCTGTCTTTGGATTCCAGAATTATAGGTCAGTTTGAATATTTTTCGTTGTTCTTCTCTGCCTTTTTCAAACTTTCTACATTGAGTATGTGTTAATAGTCTTTTAATAAGCAAAATATAAACATTACTTAAAAAATCTGAATAGGCCAGGCATAGTGGCTCACACACTTTGGGAGGCCGAGGCAGGAGGATCACTTGAGGCCAGGAGTTTGAGACCAGCCTAGGCAACATAGCAAAGACTCTGTCTCTATGAAAACAACAACAAAAAATTAGCCAGGCGTGCTGGCATGTGCCTGTAGTCTCAGCTACTAGGGAGGCTGAGGTAGGGGGATCACTTGAGCCCAAGTGTTTGACATACCAGTGAGCTATGATGGTGCCACTGTACTTCAGCCGGGCAACACAGAGACACCCTGTCTCAAAAAACCAAAAACAAACAAACAAAAAAAAAACCCCTCAAATCTGAATAGACCAACAAAATATCACATAGAGCTTTAAAGAATCTTTTGATATTAGACAATAAGCAGATCTCTAAGAGAGACCCCTAGCACTTATGGATCCCTCCATGATGAGCAGACAAATGAGAGGGAATCAGGAACTCACCAGAATTCAGCTCTTTCACAAGAGAGGACATAGTGTTAGTGATGGAATCTGCAGCCACTAGCAAGTCATTCCTTAAGTTTCTTCTTGAACCTTCAGGGAAGAAGAAATAATTTAAAAAACCAAAGCTTCCTTCTATCCTAAATTTTTATGTTGTTTATTTATCCTTCCCATTAATAACCTAAAGCAAGAAAACTTCTAAGACTTCTCCTTTTCAGAAGTGCTTTAGTTCATTTCCTGAAACAAGAACAACAACAACAACAAAACACTGCTTAGGGCAGTGGGTCCTGCAGTAAGAAGACATGGCTAATGATGGAGTTTCATATATTATTTGTCCATATGGGGACAATTTTGAAGGTGAAAGAGAGCAGTATGAATAAGGCTGGCTGACCTGGCAAAACTGGGATGGTTCCAGGTAAACCAGTGCGTGTGGTCACCCTTCTTAAGAATAATCCACACAGATGAAAAATCAGGTTTTCCAGGAGAGCTGCGCCTTCCTAGCTGCTATTATTTTTCTTGCCCTTACCTGGTGGCTGAGCCCTTTAGATTCTGGTCTCTACTAGGACATGCGCTGTCTCCTATCAGGGCTCTTGGAGCTCTTCCTGCCAGTGTAAGTACCACTTGGGAATGGGAAACCCACATGCACTGAATGCCCCCAGAGCGTGAGAAAGGGGTGAGGATTCTTGTTTCTTCTGCCAAGACATGGGCAGATGCATGTCTGGTACTATAAATTGGAACTTAGACTATGTTTCTTTATGGCAGAGAAAGATTATTATTTTGTTTCAGGCACACTAAGGGTTAATGGAATTTCATTCCGTCATTTTTCAGAAAGTAATACTAACTAAATAAAATAATAAATGTTTAAATTAAAAAAATCAGAGTAGTTAAGTAAAAACATTAATTATAATGGAAATCACAAATTGATTTAAAATATAGTACATTTCTTTAAAATATGATTAAGAGAAGGGATATTTTCTTTCTAAAAATTAAAAGTTATTTTGTGAATTACATTTTTAAAAACTCTTGAGTTATATTCAGTGCCTAGAAGAAAAAGTTCTAATATAGATCCTTCCTTTTCCCTCAGAGTAGAGAGTTCATCATTCTCTCTCATTGAAGTGTGTTAAGATTTTATCACCCCTCTACATGGACGAGAGTACCTTTTTCCTCGCACTTTTGCTATCCCTGGATATTATGATGTTTCAAAACATTTTTTTAATCTTCTAGGCAAAAAGTGATACTTATTAAAATTTATATTTCTGTAATTAGAGGTTGAACATCTTTTCATATATTTATTGGCAATTTCTCTTTGTTCTTCTGTCTATTCGTATATTTCACCTGTTTTTGTTTTGGTGGTGTCTATTCTTTCTGATCTCTACATGATTTTTGTATAACTGAAATTATGAAACTTGATTGACACATATACTGGAAATGGTTTCCTCAAGACTGTTTTCTGTCTTTTAACTTTGTTTATGATCTCTTTTGCCTTAAAACCCATATTCAAACATGTCTCTCTTTTCCTTAGATCTCTATGTGAAGACTTCGAAGAATGTTAATGATATATTGCTAATTTAAAGAAAATGCAAATTGCAGACCCCAAAATGCAATGCATGATCCTATTTGTGTGAAAAAAAGAGTATGTGTCTATAATCACATCCTTAAACATATCTATTTACACAAAAGCAAAACTTTGGGAAGGATCAAACTGTTAATAGTGGTTACTTCTGGGAATGAAAGCTGCCGGTGAAGGTCTACAGAATGATTTTTTTATTATTATTCTCTATAAATTTAAAAAGTGATAGTAAGAAGAGGTTTTAAAAAGTGTTAAAAATATTTCTAAATTAATAAAGTTACTCTCCCTGTCATGGGAAAGTGCTGGCTGGCATCCCCATCCCTCTTTGTACTCCTCTAACTGCAGAGGCTTAACCCTGTAGCCCTGCCTTACAGAGGCAATGATTCAACTCTTCGGGGCATCAGAACAGGGAATCTGTCAAATGACTAAATGTCCTTCTTGGTTACCTCATTGCTAAAGAGCTGTGATTACTTATCTCAGTCTTGACTTTAATATAAAGAAAAGACAATATGAGATAAGAAAATCTCTAAGAATTAAAAAAAATAGATTACATTTATGAAGTTTTCTGGGGGTATTGGTGAAAAGATTTCCTGTCTTTTGATGAACAAAGACTTACTAAAAAATAAGGCAGGGCAACAAAAGCCAAAGGAAGGTAAAATCGTGAAGTGAGAACAAATTGGTGTAGGGAGTTCCCAAAATGGCTGGCAGGCCAGGCTCTGACACCAGCCATGAAAGACCCTACAATAGTCACATGTGGTTCTGACAACTCTTGACCACTCAATAGACCTTGGTGACCTATTTGCCACATAAAAGCAGACCACAACAAAAAATAAAGCCACTTACTTTGTGCAAATGCCTCTTGTACATCTCCCCCTACTCCTGTGAGGGAGTCCTGCGGCGTGTGCGTCGGGGTGGAGCAGGCTGACGCTGACCGGATGGGCATGGGAATTGGCCTGCTGATGGTGTGGCTGGGGGAGGAGCGGGGAGAGCCTGCCCCCTGAGTCTGGAGAGACAATGCAGGTCATTAATTTGCTTTCCCAAGAAAATGTCATATGTCATCCCCAATGCCTCAGTTGATTGTTGAAAACAGTGACAATGAAATTTCAAAGCAGGAGGAAATCCTAGGTAATTGTGTTGGTAATCCTAAAGCTAATTTGCAGGTGCAGATAATTTAGGACCTTATTGTATGTAATCTGAAGTTTGGGTTAAATATTGAAAGCTAAAACTATTAGTACAGCATTGCTCTACAGTATATGGGACATGTGCCCATAAAATGAAGGTACTGTTAAATGCAGATAATTACAAGGTGTGGATACTTTCTCCTTGAAGGAAGGTCTCCGAGGACTAAGAAGACATTAAGGAGAAAGTTTAAAATACAAACTAGAAGACTATTTGCAATGGATGCTTTCTGAATTTTCAACCTGACTGTACTAGCATTATCTTTAGAGGATAAGAGTTTAAATCATGTCATACAATATTGTGCATATTAAGTCTCAAATTAAGAATCAAATGAAGTGTAAATTGTTTTATCCCTATTTTATAGTAAAAGCTGATTTTGTCAAATTAGTAACTCAGGGATTCCAATGGGGAAGAAGAAGAAGAAGAAACCTTGTTTTCTAATTTTTTGGTATTATTTCCTGCAGGAAATGTCCTTCTCTTCTCCTATGAAAAAGCAGTATTCTAGCAGGACAATAAGAATAGTAGGATTTAAAGACAAGTAAAGAAAAAAGTAGAAAACAACTGAAGGAACTTATCTTTGCACTACAGTTTTTGGCATGAAACTATTCTGAGACTGTCACACTTTGAATCTTAAGGATTTGTCTCTAAATGAGGTGCCTTGGAAATATTCTCCCTGTTTTAATAATTAGTTGACAAAAGAAGTCAGCCACATGCGTAAGAAAATGCAAGGAGACCCTTGAGTGCATACACAACAGATTAGGTGTTCACATCAATTCCATCCCAGTCTGTTTGCTGTGGTTGCTAGAGTGAGAATTCTTCTCCAGCAAGGCCCAGAGAGTCATCATTAACCCATTCAAACTCCTAGATGTATACCACCAGAGCAATGCTCTGGAATATTCCATTTAGATATTTGCTTTGGGCTCAGTGGCTTGTGGTTAAAACACACCACATCAATCCTGAAAAATGCCATGCTGTTAGCTCTCCAGGCTCAGCATCACGCATAATTGTTAAAGCCATAAACTGAGAAAAACCCAGAATTAAAAATGAAGCAAAACAGAACAGAGCACAGAAAATAACCCATGGGGTGCCCAATGGGCTGAGGGTCCCATTCTTTCACTCTCAACAGTACCTTGTAATGGTCTGTCCAGGCCCAAGGAAGAGAACTTTGCCCGGTTGTGATGTTTTTGCAGCCTGCTTCCCTCGGCCTGCTCAAGGAGGGGTCTAGTTTTCCCCAGCAAACTCTGGCAGCTCAGCCCCATTACCTTGAAACCTTCTGCTTCTGAGCTACCACTGCATCCTTGACCTTCCCATGCCAATAATAAATAATTTCACATTTGCGTTGTGCCTTATGATGTTCAAAGGGTTTTCACATACACTCTCACTGATTTCTCTCCATGACCCTGGGAAGTATGCATTCTTACTCTAAATGTGAAGTTGTGGAGCCCAGTACTCAGAGAGGTGAAAATAATTGCTTTATCTGGAGACGGAGTCAGAGGGGCAGGGCTGGGGCTGAGCCCAGGGGCTCTGAGTGCCCTGGGCTGCGGGAGCCTTGCTGGCCATGGCTGGCAAAAAGTCCCTCAATGGAGACAGACGCTGGTCAGATGCCCTGAGCTCTTCCTACTTTGGCAATTCCTCTTGTACACCCTTTTTAAGGCAGAGGCCTTAGCAAGGCTCCTGAGCCTCTTGTCTCTGTCCTCTTTATCAAGGGACCAAACACAGCCGGGAGTGGGGACTAGAGAAGGGAAGTTGGACAGAGTGGTTATTAAGAAGTAGGATTCTCTTGGCTATCAGTGTGGGTTACCGTCTCATCCCTGGGAACTCAGATTGTCTTCCATGGTGAGAAGTTCACAATAATAATATAACTCCACTTTTGTAAGTAATTCAATGTACAAAGCACTTTTACATACACTGTTTTGTTTCATTTTCCTAGTACAGTGGTACAAGTGGTAATATCTTATATTTGAATAGCAATTTGCAGTCCATAAAGCACTTTAACCCCTAATACTTCATGTAATCCTCTTAATAACCATATGAAGTATTATTATTCCCATTTTATATATTAGCAAACTGAGGCTAAGAGGAGATAACTGGATTACCCAAGGTTTCTGAGCAAGAGAATGGCAGAGATAAAATTGATCCCCAGTCTTTAGACTCCAAGCTCAGGGTTTGCCATGCTGAGTCTAAGGACTGTGGGCACTGTGACCAGCCATCATACGCTTCCATCTATGCTTCACTACTATAGAAAGGTTCAGCAGCCTGAAGAGGGAAAAGACACAGGGCACAGACCCAGTAGGACCACCTTGTGGTGCTGGAGCAGCGTCCTAGGGCTTCCTGCTACTGGGCCAGGCAATACCTTTTAGTTGCTGGATCATGGAAAAGATGTATGGGTGCTCAGGGTGATGGGAGGGCCTTGGACTGTTTATCAATTGGTACAGAAGTACAGGCCTACAATCTCTTATTTGCAATTCTGAAAGCCAAAAAAGCTCTGACAAACACTGGTCATTCCATAATGAATTTGGTCTTAATGGATGTGAGGTAACTGATACGATATCTGCATCATATTGCTTTTCAAAATCAGATAAATGCCAAATTCTGGAACATATCTGGATCTAGTGATTTGAGATATGGGGCTATGGACCATATTTCACTACTTTAATGTCTGTTCTGGGGCTGTAGTGCACACCAGCCTTGCTTATACCTCTTATACCAGGTTCTCCAGGGTGCTGGGGGCTCCTCCCTCTAGGCAGCATTTGTAAGAAGACTCATATGTCTGGCCCTTCCACCTCCTTTTCTGTAAGCCTCTCCCCATCTCCTAGTGCACTGGGCTGTTCTGCTAATTCCTGTGGGTCTGAGGCATGCCTCACCCAACCTCTCCCTGCTCAGTTCCTGGTCTCAAAGGCAACTTTTGCTACTCCTTTCTGTGGGCATTCTTTTTCAAAACTCCCATTAGTGGTTCTGCAATAAGAAGAAAATCATTGACTCTCGTTGTGTGTTAAGGGAAAAACAGTTGACTGAATCTAAATTACACCAATGTGTGAATGATGAATAGCCACCATTTCCCAAAGGAATCTCTAATTGGTGCAATTTCATGCAGTTTGATTATGTGAAGAATTTAGGTGGAAGATCCTGTGCTGAAGAGAATAATCAGTTGCATCTTTCCCACAACTGGCAACTCCCATGTCACATCCAGCCTTTACCCAGACTTTTGGGGGTAGGACACTGACACCCTGGGTGATCACGGCCCCACCTCTCCATGTCAGGACACTGTCCAGTTTGATGCAGAGCATCTTCCTAGTGCCTACCCACTGTGAGGAATGCCATCTCTGGCCTTCCTTTCTGTTCTGTTCTTGTAGGAACACTAGGAAAAGGCAGTGGCCTCTTGGCATTGGGGCAGATCAGTGATGATGTCACTGAGTTTCATTTTCACAGGAAGTGGCCTCGGTGGGATGGTGGCCTCCAGCCTGGTCATGAGGCATGGTTGTCTGCTAACAACTGTAGAAGAGTTAGAGTGAATAATCTCTGTGAATATCCTTTCCTGGAAATTACTCAATGATTAATGGAGCAAAGACTTAAGGGACAATGGTCCATGCAGATCAATATATAGATCTAAAATTCCCAAGGAGAGAGTTGATTTATGGAAGAAGGAAAACATATATCACACTTGGCAAATTTAAAATAGCTCACTTCCTGGAGAATAAATGAAAAATTAATCTCTATGCACCATCCTCCAAGTCTACTCAACTTGCTGTTGTATCCATTTTTTTAAAAAGTCTGACAAGATTCATACATTTTCTGATATTTTCCAGGAAGTGTTTTGATTTCTATTCACCACCAGAAATGAGGGATGCTTCAAGGAAAGGAGCAAATGTCTAATTGTTGAATCAGGACACCCTGGTGAAACAGCAGAGAATTATATATCCCCCTCCCCGCTAGACCTGAAGAGTCTGCCTCTCAGTTTGGCTGAGAATGCAGTCTGGTCATGCCTGGCCGCACCTAGCAGCTTGGGAAGGTGCAGCAAAGCAGTGCTTAGCAGCATTCAGCCCTGTTTTTATCCTTTCTTCCAATATAAATTCACTGGCTATCATCACACTGATGATAATTTTTATAATCAGGCCTTTTAAAGTGCTCATTGTGTATAGAGTGTTGTGGGGGTACATGAGAGGTGATTAATTCCGACTGTTCAGGCAGGAGGCATCATTTGACTTGGGTTTTAACAGTGAAGATTTGCAGGCAGAAATGAGAAAGTGTGGGGAGAAGAGAAGAGCAGAGCAACCTGGGAACAGCAGGAGCAAGGCATGGGAAATGTGACACGTATTGTGGAGAGGGTGGGAAGGCCATTGTGGCTCTGGTGTCAGGCTGGCTGCTGGGTGTAGAGAGAAATGAGGCTAGAAGAGGGAGATGGGCAGGTCTCGGGACCTCCAGGGTAGACTTTATTGTGAACCAGAGAGTCATCTTCCTAGGTTTTTAAGCAGAGAAATAATATTTACTTACTTAGAATTAATTATAATAATCAATACTTAATTTTAAAAAGAGAGAGTCTGGGAGGGTATGTTTTTGAACACTAGACGATCATCTTTATATTGCAGTTGATCATTTCTGAGGTGAATTATCCCTCTCCCTCGCTTTTGACTGGTTCATGCCTGCATAGAATACCCACCAGAGAGGATGAGCTAGGAAAAGCCAGGAAGGTGAGGCCCAAGCAGGTTATTGCTGGCCTGCTAGTATTCCATGAAGTGTTTGGAAGAAGTAGAAACCTGATGACTACAATTTCCTGACTTAATTGGACCATCCAGTTATAAACAGAGAAGAGAATAAGGGTAGGAGATGGAATTTGGAATGATGCTTGACTTTTTTTCCCCACCAAGTTAGAACAATTGTATTACTTAACATAATACCAATGTATAGACATTATCTTCCCAAATAAGAAACAATTCAATCCCAAAGTTTAAAATGTAGTTTAAAAAAATGGATCCTTATTGTAAGTCTGAAAAAAAGTCCTGCAAATTAGCATAAGCTTAATTTTACCCCCTTTTTTTTGAGACGGAGTCTCGCTGTGTCGTGTTGCCCAGGCTGGAGTGCAGTGGCACGATCTCAGCTCACTGCAAGCTCCGCCTCCCGGGTTCATGCCATTCTCCTGCCTCAGCCTCCCGAGTAGCTGGGACTACAGGCGCCTGCCACCACGCCCGGCTAATTTTTTGTATTTTTAGTAGAGACAGGGTTTCACCGTGTTAGCCGGGATGGTCTCGATCTCCTGACCTTGTGATCTGCCTGCCTCGGCCTCCCAAAGTGCTGGGATTACAGGCGTGAGCCACCGTGCACGGCCTTAGTTTTATCCTTGACTAAAATATGCACCCTGTACTAATCACCTCTCTCACACAAAAATGTTTATTATAGATAAAACTTAAGAAAAAATATCAGATGTTTCATTGCACTCATATAGAACATCTGTTACTGGCAGCCCTTCACTGTATTAGCTGTTTAATATACCTACTCAAATTATGGCGAAAGCCACACTCTGTAGATATTAGTATATCTAGGATCATATCTAATGTTACCAGAAATAGGAAAATATAAACTTACTGGACTTGTCTGTCACTTTCTCTAACATAAAAATGACTCTTTTTTTCTACTGTTAAAAGCAATTACAAGAGATCTGAACAAATTAAAAGTCCTTTTCAAATTTCTTTCCCTGATGGAGACACTGTTAATGAACTGTAAGGAAGAGAAGTGAATGTGTGTGTGTGTGTGTATGTGAGTGTGTGTAAAATATGGACCAAATTTGAAAAGTTTATATATACCTGTGTGTATGTATACCTATATACATACATTCATACTTATAGCTGACGTATAAGATTTTACAAAGTGCTTTCACATCCAGTATCTATCAAAATCTATACAATAATCCTATTAGCCATGGATTATCAATAGTTTGAAATTAATGAACATGAAAGTTAAGCTTACAGCCGTGAGCAAAGATCTGGTACCACTGTAATTCAGGTCTAATTCCAGTAACTTTGCTAAGAAAACTAATATTGAGACCTTACTTTCTGGAGTCAAAGTCAGTCTACTCAGTTTTAGACTGGTACATAATATTTGGAACTGGAAGTGTACCAGAAACTCTGGAACATATTGGTACTGCAATTATACCCCAGCTGCCTTCATTATTAAACGTTTTATGAGTGTTCTTTTTATGGTTCCTTCAATAAATCTTAAAGATACACAAAGAAGAAAGAGGGTAGGATAACTTCAATTCAAGTTTTGTAAAAAAAAATTTATTGCTTGTGATATCATAATCATCACATTATATTACAGGCACTATTTTTTTTAATTCATGTTCTCTCCTCGAGAGGGATAAATTCATGCATTACCTCTAACAAGAAACAATGTAAGTAGAAATTATATATGCCAGTATAATAAAACACTACATTGAACCACACAGACTTATGATAAAGCAAGTAGAGGTTATTAAATCCAGCACAATTTGTTGTGTGGGGGTGTTCTAAGTTTGGTTTTACAAAGACAATGTCCCCAAAGGGGAGAAACACTCATAAATAAAAACAGAATTTAGAAGCAGATGCCAGTCTAAAACCTCTAAATTCTCTCCTTAGATCATGTTTTACCATGAGAAGTCTATATTTGGACAGCATTTGTTTATTTCCTTGCAGAACCGCCTCTATAGGGCTGGGATTGATAAGGTTCTGCTTTTAATTTTGACTGAGGTCAGTATAAGAAACAGCCACATGAAATCTATGACTGCTTTTTTTCCTTTTCTATCGTCCAGTACTCCTATAAAGCTCCCAGTGAAGACTTTCTTTCATATTTTATGCCAACAGAAATTTTGTTCCCCTGAGAAGTGGTATTTCTGTACTGATAAAACCACCGATAATTTTCCTTTTTTTTTTTTTTTTGCTTCATTGCCAGAACATGCAGAGTAACATCCTTGTCCCTTAAGATTAGCATATTCACATTTTATTTTCTTTAGTTTTTGATTTTTCTATTTCAATTTTATGAAGTCACTGTTTATATCTTTTGTTGTAAGCTGCCTCAGGTCCTTTTTGAAAAGAGGCTTGTGTATAAAAGCAAAAAAGATAAATAAGTGAAATAGGCAAACTCTGCCACTACCCAGACGATGTATTGCTGACATCTGGGTGACGTGGGCCCTGGTCCTTGGGTACCGACACCGCAGTACCCGCTGTTGGCCCCCTGAGATGCAGAAGCTGCTGAGGGGCTTGGTGGAGAGGAGCTGGAAGGTGAGGGGGCAGTGGCGCCACCTTGGGGGCACTGCCACAGTTTGGCTCTGTGCATCCATCTGTTTACGAACTTCCTGGTCCATAGGAGCCTTTCAAGATCCTGCTGCCTGGGAAATGGCCTGGAAAGTATCCCCAAGGGAAATGGCTAAAGCAAGGCTGATGACGACAGGATGATTGCCCTCTCTCTCTGCTAGGAGGAGGGAGGTTATAATTGAACCTTATTTCCTTTTTCTATGCACATGCTAAATAAGAGACAGGAGAGGAAAGAAGCCATTTGCAGAGAAGTATCATGAAGAAGGCATTTTTCTTTACCATGATCTAAGTGTATTGGAAATACAATAGCAATACCCCATGTATGCATTCATGGGCAATTATACAGGCTGTATGTGTTATGTGTCCTTCACCCAGGGGGACTGTCTTCTGTTAAAATTTGACTTTAATTTAGTAAAGTAATTTTTTTCACAAAATACAAAATAATGTAATACATTATCTTTATTGTCTGACATTACAGATTGATTTTACACTTTCCTTTTTTACAGACCATGGGAATGAAGGGTAAAAATGTGTCCAGCATTTTCCAAACATTCTTTGTTACACACAAACACACATAATGAATAATAGAAAAGAGCATACAGAAGAAATGAAAGATACGTTGAAATTGGACAGGTTGTGGTTCTAATTGATCCATGGAAATAATGTGAAACTTTTAAATAATGCTAGTGAGTGGGATATATTGTCATACATAGCGTGGTACATGCACTTGAAATTAAAGCTGCTTTTATTTTGCTTCTATTTAATTTAATTTAATTTAATTTAATTTGTTTTTTTTTTTGAGTTTGCTGCTCCCCCTGCTGGCTCTTGAGCCTGACCACAGGTTCAGACAGCTCCAGTTTAGGCTATAAAGTCACAATGCCCCTATTTCCAGAAAAAAAAAAAAGTATGTAATGACCCTCTCGTCTCCCGGAGCCGAAAGGCTCTGGTGCTAAGGAAAAAGCTGAGAGTTACTTTTTAAAAAGAGATTACTGTCAACCAACAGTAAGGATTCTGCTTTGGGGAAGAGCCAAAAAGATGGGACGTGAATAGTCAGTTATGGAGTACAGTCTTTCTCTCACAAAATTGAGCACATTTTGGTGAGCCATGGGGAACAAGGCTCAATAATTGTGTGATGAAAAGGGATTTAATTGCCTGATTTTTATAAAAAGAGGTTTCACAGGTTTTCAGTAAAATGAAACCGAACTGAATACTCACAGTGTGAGTGGGTGTAGAGGTTAGCTTCTGAGTGCTGTGGGTTTTGGGATGACATGAACCTCAGGGTATCTCTAGTGACTGTGGTATCTCTCTGTTAAGAGAAGGGTCTGATCAACAACTTGAAAAGCTAAGACTGGTTTGAAACTTATACCTCTGGGGATCTAAAATGTTTCCAATAAATGACAATTCGTTCCCTTTTCTAAAAGATGTCATAGTTCTTCTTTTGATGTGGATAGTAGTGATAGTTATAAAAAATGCTAAATTTATATATCTCAATTCAAGCACTACATTGAAAAAGAAGCAAATTAGTATGACTTTTTTCTCTTTCCAAACTGAAGCATGAACATACATTAGAGCAAAAGCAATGAGAAAACCGCAGGTCGGCAGGCCCCTCCACTGTTAGTTAAGACCTGCAGTAGGGGACATAACTTACTCCCTGCTTCAGTTCTTCTTCCTACAGAAAGATTGAATCAATAACAGTTAGATTACCCAGGGTTCCAATAAGAGCATGTACACAGTGTGAAGGAACGCAAGATGGGGAAACATCAACACACCTTTGACGGCAGGTCCAGGCCTCTGCCACCTCAGTGACTATCACTCCAAGTCTACTTGGTTATTTGAGACTACAGGCCCATCTCTTTTCTCTGCATGTACAACCATTTTTCAACACAATCCACCTCTCTGTCCTGGTATGTGTACATCTCAATAAAAGGCAGTACTCTGTTAGGCTAGGTTGATACCAACATGGCTGGTGGTGAATAGACTTCTATCCCATAGGGAAAGAGTCATAGCTAATGGTGACAGAAGCAATAGAAACATAGGGGGCAGTTTTCAAAGCTTCCTGTCATTCACTGAGGGGAAAGATAGGTTCAGTCCTTTTCATTTGGTATATTTGGAAAGGGAAGCAGAAAGAGTTTATTTTTGGTTATCAAATGAGATTAACAGGCCAGAAACAGCAGCAGGTTATGAACTATCTAGTCTTGTCTTACCCAAGATAGATCAACAAGAATTGAATTCTACACTGTACATATCTAATTACTGAAAAGTCAATTTTGTTGAGTAAAGATAAAGTATTCCCAATACCAATTGTTAAAGAGGACACTGATGGAGGGAAAAGGAATAAAATAGAGTAAGGAAAACAAAAGAAAGTTTACAAGAACAGTGGCTGGGACAAAGTAGCTTTCAAAAAATAAAACAAAGAAGGAAAGAGGGGGCAATCAAGAAAGAAACAAAAAAAATGAAGAAAAAGGGAAGAAGAAAAGAGAAAGGTAGACAAAAAAAAGAGAAAGAAAGGACAGACAAAAAAAAGAGAGAAAGAAAGGACAGACAAAATAAAAACAACAAATGTTGGTGTGTTGGGGCCGTGGGACATCCACGGACTGAAAGTTGGGAGACCCTCTCTCGCAAATGAGCTGCCCCAGGGTCTTCCCTTTACCATTCTCCTATCAGAAGTTTCACTTCCTGCCTTTGACATGTCACAGTTCCAATCCATACTGCTTCTTGCTTGTTTATATCAGGCAGGATGATCATGTGGCACTGATCACATGGGCTGACTGTAGACATGTGGCCATAATTTGCCTGCTTTTGACTTTAAATGCAATTTAATGTATACTAAAGAAGGGAATAAGGCTTTACTAAAAGAAGAATGCCACTTCCCAATGAGAAAAATAGATTACAGCACTCTACAGAAGACTTCTATAAATCATCTTATTAAACATTTTACTTACAGAAGAGTAATGAGATATTCTCTCTTAGAGTTTGTGTCTGAGTTCACTAGAAATCATGTGACCTACTGATAAAGCATACTAATGGAATAAAATATTTTACTGATATTAACAGTCACTCCTCTTAATTTAATCAGAATTGCTGAAAGCTACTAAATATAAAATATTTCTAAATAAATCCAGTTTTATTACTTGCAGACATAAAGAAACTGGAAATAAGCCAAGAAGAAGTTGCCCCATGAAGGCCCTCAGCAGTCTGGTTTCAGGAATGGATAAGAATGTGTTCTAGGCCGGGCGCGGTGGCTCACGCCTGTAATCCCAGCACTTTGGGAGGCCGAGGCGGGCGGATCACGAGGTCAGGAGATCGAGACCATCCTGGCTAACACGGTGAAAGCCCGTCTCTACTAAAAATACAAAACATTAGCCGGGCGCGGTGGCGGGGGCCTGTAGTCCCAGCTACTCGGCGGGGGGCTGAGGCAGGAGAATGGCGTGAACCCGGGAGGCGGAGCTTGCAGTGAGCCGAGACTGCGCCACTGCACTCCAGCCTGGGCGACAGAGCAAGACTCCGTCTCAAAAAAAAAAAAAAAAAAAAGAATGTGTTCTATTACTGACAGCTACTGCTACACTGGTCTAACAAATTGTTTTACATCTGAGCTTGAAACAACATGTTGAGGGAAATCACATACAGCAATTGGAAAAACCATTGCACATTATGTGCAAAAATTTTCACAGATGACATGGAAAATAAGCTCAGGAAAATTTATCTGGCAGGTCTTACCTTTAGTAGCTTCATGAGACCCTCCAACTGGACCATTAGCTCTCTCCGGCTCTCCTGGAGAGCAGACATTCTCTGTTCCAGCTCATCTTTGCGCTGTCTAAGAAAGAAGCAGCTGACATCAGAAGCGGCATGCAACTCTCTGAGCTAATCACATTTCCATTCTTGAGGGACTTGTGGACTGTCAGAAAAAGGGCATCTCTGGGTCTCTGACAAGGTTACCAGGCAGGGAACTGTTGTCAAATGAATGAACAATTACAGCTGGAAGTGTTTCTTTTGTTAGCAGTCATACTACATCAGAATTAAAGTCCTTTTAGATCTTTTGTTTCCTTCAGACCTTTCTACCCTGAATTAATCAACCATTGAATGAAATATTTTCTGAATGCTTACTATGTAGTGGGCCCTGTGATGTGCTATGGGGTCCCTTGAAACAAACAAAAACCAAATTGTCACTGAAAAAGGCAAATCTTCCAGATTCTCCAAATCTAAGAACCCTTTTGCAAATTCACAGAAAATATTGATTACCTTAGTATTTGGAAATATATTTAGAAAAGTACATTTGAAATCTTCAGCACCCATTGAGGTGTCTCTCAGAGGTGAGATATTAACAGCACGTAGATACAATCCATTTAAATTTTTGGGTTTGAGTTTGGTTTCATAAAGTGAAGTCAAAATAAAGGCATTTCTACATACTTGTTCAACAAGTGAAGATGATATATAAGGTTCATGCTTAATTTTGTTTTGTTTTACAGACCTTTTATTAAACTGTCAGCAAGAATGAAAACAACTAAGGACAATCTATACTCGATCATTTATGTTGACACTAAGAGGTACCAAAAAGATCTTTAAAGGGGGAAAGAAATGAAACAGTATGATGAGGAATGTTAATGGTTCACAATTCTGAAGTATATGTATACTTTCCAAATAAATTCCAAATCCATTACTGAATGATTATTACTGAATAAGTAATACATATAATTTTCCCATTGCCCCAAAGATTTCTGTTTGAGTTTGAAATATTCATACTTACATACTAAAACTGCATGGAAACTTTAAACATGTATGTATTAATGTATAAATGGATATGGCTAGTCTCAATGATAGCATATTAAATGAAACTATGACAAGAACTCTGCAACGAAAAACTGATGATATAAAAATGTCACAGTGAGCTAGGTCAATGACTCACTCAATTGAAAGATATTTTGTGGGAGGACAGGTTAGTGATATAAATGATACATTTCTATTTTTTTCTATTTTTTTTTAGAGACAAGGTCTCACTCTGTTGCCTACGCTGGAGTGCAGTGGCATAATCATAGCTGATTGTAACCTCAGTCTCCTGGGTTCAAGCAGTCCTCCGCCATCAGCCTCATGAGTAGCTGATACTACAGGCATGTGCCACCATGCCTGACTAATCTTTTTTTCTTTTTTAAGAGATGGTTTCTCACTATGTTGCCCAGGCTTGTCTTGAACTCCTGGCTACAAGAGCTCCTCCTGCCTCAGCCTCCTAAAGCAGTGGAGGACATTTCTAATTCACTTTCTTATAGGCTTCTTCTATAATGAATTATGAATTTAAAATTTATAAATATTTCACAATTCTTTTTGAATAAATTTATATTTTTAACTTTTTAACTATAAAATATAAATTTTTAAATTTATATTTTTAACTATTATTGCCACTTACAAGCAATCCTTACAAGAGTAAGGACTGCTTACTCTTGAAGCAATCTTTCTTTCAATTTCCTTTAAAATTGCTTCTTTTCTGAATCCAGAGGATGAGAAACATCATAATTTTATATGCTTTAATGGTATCTTATTTTAGTCTTTGTCTTCCTGGGTTGAAGCATTCTAATTTCAAAAGCCTTGCCCCATTCAAGAATATTCCTCAGTGACAAATTCAGGAGGTGTTCTTTCTCTTTCTCTTTTTTTTTTTTTTTTTTTGACCTTGTCTGTGTATGGTGTTCCAGGTACATCCACAGTAGTCTTTGGTACAAGAATAGATAATGTTTCTGATTTCTTTCCAGTTCTCTTCTTGATACTGTTCTGTAATTTTGGCCCTTTGGCCACAGAAACACTTTGGGAAGAGGGTTAAAGCAACCTTCTAAAACTGTAGGTGAGAAACACTAAGAGAAGCATTTAAAAACTATCAGAGAACGTTAACTGGTATTATTAGGTTGGTGCAAAAGTAACTGCGGTTTTTGCCATTAAGAGTAATGGCAAATTAATTTAGAATTAGTCAACACTAAAAAAATCTAATTGTACATTTATCTTACAGTAGTAATCTCTTAAAAATATGACATCGAATTCAATTAAAAATTAATTTAAGAGTGTCTTCATTCAATCTTCTCTAAGTTTCCACCAGCGTTTTCCAAATGTAGGTATAATAACAAATCTGTGGTGTAACCTCCACCTTCCAAGGAGAATGAGAAAACAAGACTAAATAGTGATTTTCCTTTCCTAGCACTACATGTATTCATCTCTAAAGAAGTGCCTTTATTCTGATAGTCTGTCAGATTATTTCTAATGTATATGTGTGTTAAAACCTACTTTCTTTTTTTTTTTTTTTTTTTTTTTTTTTTTGAGACGGAGTCTCGCTCAGTCGCCCAGGCTGGAGTGCAGTGGCGTGATCTCGGCTCACTGCAAGCTCCGCCTCCCGGGTTCACGCCATTCTCCTGTCTCAGCCTCTGCAGCAGCTGGGAGTACAGGTGCCTGCCACCACGCTCGGCTAATATTTTTGTATTTTTAGTAGAGACGGGGTTTCACTGTGTTAGCCAGGATGGTCTCGATCTCCTGACCTCGTGATCCGCCCGCCTCGCACTCCTAAAGTGCTGAGATGACAGGTGTGAGCCACCGCGCCCGGCCGTTAAAAGCTACTTTCTTTTAGAACAGTGTTAGAACAATTGTCAAAATTTTAATATGGGTTTATATTAAATACCATATATCAACATTAACTTTCCCGAATTGAAGATGGTATCATGGTTATACAAGATAATTTTTTTCTTAGGAAATATATACATAAATTACACACAATTATACAAATTTTTTTCTAAGAAAAAATTTCTCCTTATAAATCATATATAAGTACATAAATATATACACTAAGTGAAAGGTATGATATCTGCAACTTCTGTGTGACTTCTGTGAATCTCAGTTTCCTTATCCATTAAACGAGTAGAATAATACTGCCTATCTCCTAGGTTTGTTACAGTAATTTTACGGGACAGTGTATGTAGAGTTAGTATGCAGCAAAGCGTCAGATTAGCACATAGAAATGCCTATCATTCATATTCATTGTCACTTCTGGCTGTGACTCAGCTTTCAGTTTTCTTGTGGCGAAAGTGAAAAGGGAAAGGGAAACATGATCGTTGAGAAAGTTCATTGTGGTTTTAAGACAAAAATGAAAGTATGCATTAACGAAAAACAAAGCTCTGCCGTGCTCAGGTGTTAAAGTGTCTGAAGAGCAGAGCAAAGATAGAGCCTCCGGAAACATCCATGCAATCAACAGGAACTTGGTAAAATCCAAACATAGTCATAAAGAACTTGCTTCATTTCGTCTTTTTGTATGGAAGAAGAAAACAGGACTAATTCTGACAAGGGTTTCTGCAAAGAGGCATCTGTACTTACTATAAAAAGTATGACTCAGAGTTATAGATATACCTGGAACATAGTTGGCACCCAAACTGAAAGATGAAAAGAATGGGCTGGGCGCGGTGGCTCACGCCTGTAATTCCAGCACTTTGGGAGGCCGAGGCAGGTGGATCACGAGGTCAGGAGTTCAAGACTAGCCTGGCCAAGATGGTGAAACCCCGTCTCTCCAAAAAAAAAAAAAAAAAAAAAAAAAAAAACAAAAAATTAGCCGGGCGTGGTGGCACGCGCCTGTAATCCCAGCTACTCCGGAGGCTGAGGCAGAGAATTGCTTTAACCTGGAGGGGCAGAGGTTGCAGTGAGCCGAGATCGTGCCACTGCACTCCAGCCTGGGTGACAGAGTGAGACTCCATCTCAAACAAACAAACAAACAAACAAAAACAAAAAGAAAAGAATGTAATACTTCCCAACTACAGGTGCCTTGTGAAAGAACAGTATGATATTTATACGAGGGAATGTCTTTGAATTTATTTTTGTGTTGTTTGCCACATAAATACACTGGAATACCAGCCTTATTCAAGGCATGGTAAGAAGCTAGTCTGAAATGGAGCCCACAGCAAGACTCATTTTGCAGCGTGGGAGTAGTAGGAGAAACCACATTTCTTTTCCAAGGCCTGCTACTCCCTAGCTTCTGACTCTGAGAAGTGCACTGAAATGCAGCGGCAGAATCTGATTGAGTCAGGAGAATAGGGACTGGAGGCAGCGAAACTAAGGACGATTTGTACTGACTTCCTAGAACTGAATGGAAAGGAAAACCTCGCCTTTCCACACCCAAGTAACAAAAGGATCCGAGGCTACTCCCTTTGTATGGTGAGGCAGATGAATAATGGAAAGTACTTCTGATTGGTCCCCTCCTGCAACCAATCAAATGTTTGCATAGGATGTCACTTTGTAACTTCACTTCAGCCTCTGATTGGTCGCCTCCTGCAAGCAATCAGAGTGGTCCTGGGCCAAGTCCTCATTTACACAGGGTGTACCCAAATAACTAATGGGAAACCTCCATAGGGTATTTAAACCCCAGAAAACTCTGTAACTAGGGCTCTTGAACCGCTTACGGGAGCTGGCTCCTACTCTGTAGAGTGTACTTTCGTTTCAATAAATCTGCTTTCGTTGCTTCATTCTTTTGTTGCTTTGTTTGTGCGTTTTGTCCAATTCTTTATTCAAAATGCCAAGACCCTGGACAACTTCGTGGTCAAGACCCTTCACTGGTAACAAGATGACTTCTATAGTCCCTTCTAACTCAAGTATTTTATGATGACAGACTAAAGAAGACTAGGCTTTTATGTTCCTTTATAGTACAGGAAGGTGTGATGCCTATTTTTAAAGATCTGAATATAAAGAAAGATATTAGAGACCAAGACTTAGAGAAAATCAGACTCCTTTTATGAGTTAGGGGTAAATTTTTAAATTTAAAAACCTGTGATGTTTATTTAACTGATTATTTCTAAAAAGAGCTATGTTTAAATTGTTCCTAGTGAGATATGTTGTTTTTGATGTAAAGAACACTGCTGGCCGGGTGTGGTGGCGCACGCCTGTAATCTCAGCACTTTGGGAGGCCAAGGCGGGTGGATCACCTGAGGTCAGGAGTTTGCGACCAGTCTGACTAATATGGTGAAACCCTGTCTCTACTAAATACAAAAAAATTAGCCAGGTGTGGTGGCGCATGCCTGTAATCTTAGCTCTTGGGAGGCTGAGACAGGAGAATTGCTTGTACCTGGAAGGCAGAGGTTGCAGTGAACCGAGATCGTGCCATTGCACTCCAGCCTGGGCAACAAGAGTGAAACTCTGTCTCAAAAACAAAAACAGAAACACACTGCTTTTCCCTGTACCAAATGAAAGAACAAAATATAAACAGCTTCTCTCTAAATCCCCCAAATATCAGCAATTACGTGTGTGCTATGAAAAAAACAAATGTCAGCAGCTAAGGTAGCTGAGGACTGTTTTCTGGCTAGACACTGCTAGACTTTCTCAAAGATCTGACACATATATATTCCCTGAGATGACATGGGTGCTCTCTCCTACCTGAGGAGCCGGAGTTCTGCCAGCAGGGTGGGGTTTTGCTGTGCCTTCTCTGGCGTGGGCTGAGAAGCTTGTTCATGCTCTAGCCGAAGTCTCTGGATCTCCTGTAAGATTTCTCTTGGGAGAGAGGAGGAAGGTGAGAAACCAAGGTTAGTTAGCTTTCAGGAAACTAACATCGGAGCAGATCAAGGCCACCAGAACAAAGAGAGAAGGGATCATCCTATGTTTAGGAGCAGAACCGACCTTCCCTAACCAACAGATTCCAGTGTATTTAAGAGGCTTTGACTATAGCTAGATGGGTGCTGTGGGTGACGGGAAGATTGACTTCATTTCCAGTACATCCAAACCTAGAAGCTTCTGCAGCATGTCGTTGAGTTAAATCACCAGGGTCCAGTCATCTCTCTAGCAAGTAATGTAATGCATTACTACTAGCAAGTAAGGTAATGTGTCCAACTTTGAAGAGCATGCTGCTTAAGAGACAAAAATGCATCTTCCTGTTATTTACGATCACACTCTGACACCGTAAAGTACCTGCAGCTACCAAGTAAGAGGAGCCTGAAGGGAAAATAAGGATAAATGGGGCTCATTTCACAAAACTAAGTAACCTCATTCTCTCACCAAGAAGGGACTTCTCATTGAATTTATCTGAGAAAACCCCAGTTAGACAAAATTCTTTCTCTTTTTTTTTTCTTAAATCTCTCAGCCTTAACAATGGATCTCAGGGAAGTCCACCTTAGAAGGAAAGTGCTTTTAAAAAGATTCACAGTAATTGAGTCTGTGACATACAGTGCTATTGGTGTGACCTCTGTCGGGGGTGAGATGTGTCAGTCAACTATTGATGTCAGAGCCTGGGCTTCCCTGCATTTGGTGAGCATTAGGCTAGCCATAAAGGATATGTGACCTGGCAAGGCAAATTATCCCTAAGTGAGTCAGAAGCCATTAAGCAGGGTTATAAGTCATGTATTCTTGGGAGCTGGGGGTGTCAGTTTCCTACTCAACAAAATGCATAGAAGCCAGTAAGACGGAGCAAAGCACTGCGAATGGAAGGTGAACTTGGTGTACAAGGAAGTAGCTTTCCATTTTGGAGGGCTGATTTAAAACTGCCTGCTTCGCAAAGCCCCCAGAATCAGGAGGCTAATGATTAGTAAGCCATTATACATTTCGTGGGTGTGGTGAGAAGATGGAACTGTAATTCAGTGGTTTTCAGTCTTTTTTTTGTTTTCTCCTCTTTGTGATTCCATCGGGGAATCCTTTCTTTAAAAGAAATATGCCATGGATACCCAACATGTCAGATAGTTTAAGGGGTCGGGTGCTGCTGGGGTTAAAGAAATGAGGACAAGTCCCTGTGTTGCTGGGCCCTGCTGTGCCCTCCCAGGTGCCCCTGCAGAGCCCTCAGGATGCCATAAAGCTCAGCCTGAAAATCAGTGCAGTGGGATTTCCAAGATTTCCTCCAGGGCTAACACCCTGATATTCTATGACTCCTGCTATTCTCTTTGTTCATTCTAAAGACAGAAACACAACAGAGCCATTTGGTCCAAGGAAGGAAAAGAGAGCAACAGCTCTGGTAAGAAAAAATAAAGAAGAGATATGTAACGTGCATCGAGTAGTCAGTCTGTACCTGGGAACTCTGCTGACTTCTTTAATGTTATTTTATTTCATTCTATAACAGTTCTATTATATATAGGTACCATTATTATCTCTGTTTATTAAATGAGAGAATCCAGGCACAGACCAGTTGAAAGATTTCCCCAAGTTCGATAACAAGTAGGTGGTAGACGTGATGTGAATCCAGGCTGGCTAGCCCCAAACCCCACATATATCAGCCTGCCTCAGTCTTCTGGTACTTGCTTTGCTAGGTCTAGCCAAGACAGGCTGTGACCCATACAATATAATTTGAAGATTCCTGGTACTCCTAATACTAACCCTGACTGGCTCCACCAAAGGTGCTATAAGGAACCATTACCTTCTAAAGATCATTGCTGAAATGTCTGTGTGTTACCTGGGGTAGACAGAGTCATTAAATGAAATGAGGAACTCTATCTTCCCCTTAAACTCACAGATCTGATTATTGAGTTGTCATCTTAGAGACATGAGTTCCCTGGGTGGGTTTCCATGGTGCAGTAGTATTACCTAAAGGAGCTTTTGGCCCTGGGATGTCTAGAGAACCAGGCTGCTGGCTCAGAGAGATGAGCTTAGGATGTACTTGCTGCTCATCAGAGATGGGTTGGGGAGCTCTAGAACCCACAAAAGAACTCAGGGACAGAATGAATCTCTCTTTCCGCCATCTCTTCTCACTCCTATTTCTTTTTTCCTCTCTAGTCCTTAAAGACATGCATTTAGAGAGTGCGATCCAAAAACATCCAGGAAACAAGCAGCAAGAGTGATATTAAGGCATGGCCAGGGTTGTTGGGGCCTTCATGGTGCTTCATGCTGATTCTGGAATCAGAAATAGACAGAACCACATGGAGGCAGATATCTCTGGGGTATTTCCTCAAAAGAAGTCCTGCTTTCCCCTCAAATGTGTTACCCCCATGCCCGAGTGGAAGCAGAGTATTGGAAGGGAAAACAAAGTGCTCTGAAGAAGTGGAAGAGTAGGTTAATTAACAGTGCAACCAAGATAAAATATTCGTGGGCTTGTGAATTTCTGTTAGTCTTTTCTTTCTAAGAAGGGATGGAGGCGTGATGCTGCAGCTTGTGGAAACTCTGGTCAGGGTTGACCTCCTTTTGATATTCCACAAAGCCCCCTTTGACCTTGATGTTTTATCCCTTCTCTTTATATCGGGACAGATGGATAGGAGGAAGGAAAGAACAAGAGAGTGAAAGAAAAGAGGATTGCTAGTAAAATCTGAGTTGTGTGAAGGTTGTTGTTGGAAAATCTGGAATCCCTAATGGAAAGTTCAGAAATGAGTAATAGAATCTTGTAAATTAACATTTCAGCACTATTTTGCCTTTTGTCTAATCATCTCCTTTTTGGGTTCCTTTATTTTTATTTCTGGAACCATCTATCTAACATAGTTCCTCATCACTTCCCACCAGCTTCTAGTCAATCCCTTGTAAATGCAACCTGCATATTTAGTGAGCTGATTATTTTGCCATAAACATGCGGACATTCTGTCACTTGCCTGACCACTGCTGTCCATCATAACAGGATAGAATTAAAATTCTTTGGTCTGGTATACAAGCCTCATATACTGATGTTTTCATTTTATTCTTTGATTCCTCAGTGCTAGCCTGGCAAGTGTCTTGTTGCTTTTCTCAAAGTCTATGTGTATTTTTACCTTTAATTCTATCTCCCAACTTTCACTGCAAAATTTCACTGTCCTGAAATGTCCTAAAAACTCACCTTCCCCATGAAGTTTGCCCTACACAACCTAGACCACAATGATGGTGAAGTGGGTCATGTTGGGGAAAAAGAGTAGAAATAACACCTCACATTTAAATTTTCATCTGTAGAATGGGGATGATAATAGTCACCCTGCCTACCTTAAATAGTTGTTCTGAGGATGAAATGAAACTATATTTGTACACATGTACTTTAAATGTATTTTAAAGTTGTCCTTATTCTCACTTCAACCCCTCAAAACAAAAACCCAGGTTTCTTACTGCTGCCACCTGGAACCTGTGAGCATATGTTATTAATCCCAGCTGTGGTCCCTTCCCCAATGGATGGCTCCATGCTTGTTAGCAATCATAATATGTCTTAGAGAAAAGGGACTAAGGGATGGAGAAGGGATTATGGAATGATGTCTGGTAGAAAGTCCGAATGAACGGACTACATAGAAAGTTAGGTCCTTCTTCAGAAAATGGCCTCAACTCTGGCATAGTTCATTAAGGCCTCAAGCTGGCACAGCCTTCCAACAGCAGATAAAATGATTGTTTTTATCACTCCTTTCCTCCTTTCTTCTTTAGCTCTTTCTGTTGCCTTTATTATGGGACACTCACTGACTTACTGACATCTGTTAATTCTGAGTCATTTTAAATAAACCTTTCCACCATATATTATTGGTTGACTTTGTGGACTGAAAAAAATAAAACCCAAAATAAAACAAAACTGCTTTACATTCCAATTCTGACATTTGCTGAGGTTATCAACCGTAATATTTTGTTCCAAAAAAGCTGAAACTTTGGATTAAGTCTAATTGTCAATAATTTAAAACTGGCTTATTTTGCTTCTTTTTCTTGCCATGATCTTTCCAGTGCCTGAATTGATGTAAAGTATCAGTACATTTGAGGACGGCCCCTCCATTCTCCTACTCCCCATTGTCATCAGTGTCATCAATACTCACACAAGCATTCCACGAACCACAAAGTCCAATGGTTCTTTTACATTGTTTGCTTCGAGCCCTCTGCCTGCTAGCTCAGCTCATACACTTTCTCCAATGCCTGCCTGTCCCCACTTTTACTTGCATCCCCCAACTACCCTTTTCCTTTTTTTGGGTTGTTTCTCCTACCTTTTTAAAGTGCCTTTGCTCATTTGAAGACTTGGCTCCCACTCTCAATGCTTTTTTCTGACTTGGCACAATTACTTGCACGTAGTAGATATAATAAATGATACATAAAATAGAATAGGTAATTTTACAGACTTGTGAGTATCCTGAACAAATTCCAATTTGTATGGCTATTTTTTTTTATAATTCGTCACTATGCATCTGCTCTTTCCCTTCTTAATTCTTTCCTCCTATTATTTGCTACATTGACAGGGATCACATGTGACAAACTTTTTTTTAATTTTATTTTTAAATTTTTTTATTCCAGCTCTGATGTGAGCACATCTCCCTGGGGGTCAGAGTAGAGCAGTAGTTTCAAAGGCGATGGAGTCATGGTGTCACATTTATGAAGCTATTTCTATCCTAATTTGTGGTTTCCTAATGATGGCAGCCAGGTCTCAAGACAACTAAGCCAAAAGCTTTCCTTACTAGAAAAAAATATGAAAAAGTGCCAACCAGAGTTTGCACCCTCCTTTTTATTCTTTCTTGAGAACTTTAAAGAATACTTTGATCATTTATCCCCAAATTCTCAGGTCAAATTTTACAGGCATGAAATAATTATCACAACCTCCTCCTTTACTCCTCCAGTTTGACCTCAAATGTCACATCAGTGTTTAAGAATGGGGTTAAGCATGGAAATGTTTTGGTGCTGTTTCAAGAAATATATTACTAGAATGTGTTAGGTTGGTGCAAACGTAATTGCGTTTTTTTGCCATTAAAAGTAATTAAAAATAATGGCAAAAACCACAATTACATTTGCACCGACCTAGTACAAGTTGTTCCATGTTGGGTTTCCTCAGAACCAAGTTTGAGATTTAACTCAGCTATTCATCGTTTTCTCACTCAATGTATATCTACTGAGCTTCTACAATTGCCAGGCCTGGTTCTGGGCTCCAGGGACCATTTAGCCATGGCCTCTGTTCTCAAAGAACTTCCGTTTCAGTCCAGGAAGACAGACAATAAACGAAGAAACAAACACACATGATTATTTCAGATAGTGATAAGTGACAACCTCCTGCCCCCAACACACACACAGGGGTATGTAATTGAGACTAGTTTCTGGGCTAGGGGCAATTAGGTAGGATCAGACAGGTGGTCTTTTAGGAGATGATATTTGAGCTGAGACCCCAGTGATGAGAAGGAGCCATCCACACAGAGACCTGGAGGAAGAGCTTTCTAGGCTGAGGGAATGACTAATTCAAAGGCTGTAGACAGGAGGAACACATGGGAGGTGGGAGTGTGCTGAGCAAGGTGAGCTGAGGCTGGAATGGCAGGAGGGAATCAGGTCAGGTAAGACCTTGCAGGTGATGGTAAGAGGAGTAGGATTTAACTGAAGTGTGATGGGAACACATTAGAGGGTTTAAACCTGGAATAACATAAGATTGATGTTTTTGAAAAGGACAGGCTGAACTGGGTGGTGGTGGAGATGAGCTGGACAATTTTTGGGGTGTATGCTGTGGAGGTAGACTGTGAGTCAATCTGTGTTGAATAGAGGAAGAACCTGCTGATGGGCTGCAGGTGGAGATCTTTGGATGTTTGGAGAGTAACTGGGTGATGGTGGTGTCTCTCCAGATGCCTCTTTAGCTCAGGGTCCTTCCAGGGGGCCTCTCTGGTGAGCCTCCTACCTGTTTCTGGGTGGTAGAGACACCTTCTACCTAGTACCCAGGAGGGTCCTCCTGTACTAGAAGCTCTTGAACAAAATTAAGTATCTCAGAAAAAGGGAAGTGAGACCGTCTAGAGGGGCAACATTAATTGCATTGATATCTCAGAACTATACACATACATGCACACGCCGTTTTCTCATGGAGCTTCTGAAGTTCTAAAGATCTAAAGACCAGCTTTTTGGAAGTGAGCATCACTGAGTGTAGATGTCTTCCCTTGAGTAGCCATACAGGGTGTAAAGCCCTGAAACTTTAAAGCACGACCATAGTTTATTAAGGAATGCGCACATTGATCAAACAAGCCAGCACGTCTACAAAGTCTCACCTGTTCTTGTTTTCTAGCTCAGCAATCAGCTGCCTTTGCTGCTTATTCGCATCGATGGTGAAAGAGATGTCAGGAGCACTTCTCTGCTGAGGTGGCTGCTGTAAAATATGTAGTTTATAAGATTTCATATTGAGAATGTGAACCTATGTATTTGGGAAGGCAGGAGTCATGAGATATGCAGACAAGGAGGAGGGAATTATTTCTATCAAAACAAAGAAAGCAAATACATAAAATTCAATTGCCATTTTTCTCCTATGGACCAACTTTTCTGTGGATCTGGAGCACATCTGTGAGGTGGAAGGCAGAACAGAATTCTCTGGCAGGCAAATACACAAAAGGTAGGAAAAATGATTTTTCAGCTTTCTGACTGAAAATCTTTGGGAAGTGATTTTATTTTTGCCACACTGTCCCCATTGTACCTATTCTTTCATTATAGGTGGCTTTAAAAGATGTTGCACTGTTGAGAGGGTGCTTTCTCTAGAGTTACCGTTCAATTACTGTAATGTACAATTAAAAATATAGTTTTAGGCCAGGCATGGTGGCTCACGCCTGTAATCCCAGCACTTTGGGAGGCTGAGGCGGGCGGATCACTTGTGGTCAGGAGTTTGAGACCAGTCTGGCCAACATGGGGAAATCCCATCTCTACTAAAAATTCAAAAATTAGTTGGGCCTGGTGGCACACACCTGTAATACCAGCTACTAGGGGGGCTGAGGCAGGAGAATTGCTTGAGCCCGAGGTGGAGGTTGCAGTGAGCTGAGGTCATGCCACTGCATTCCAGCCTGGGTGACAGAGCGAGATTCCATCTCACAAAAATAAATAAATAAATAAAAATATAGTTTTAAAGTCATAGTTGGTAAGACTTACTTTTCTGATTCTTCTAATCAACAAACTTTTATGTCTTTCTTTATTCACACATGTAATTTTAGATTGATGAATTCACATATTCATGTATATTCTTTGATTTCCTTCTACTTTCTCACCACTCCAGCTCCTCATTTTCAGAAATGCAATCAGCTTTAACGACTGGTATACATGCAGTCACAGCTTTCTCCATTCTCATATAAACATAGATATCATTAATCATATGCCATATATATATATCTGTTTGTGTATGTTTATGTATATTTAGTCAAGGATTTATTTGGTGTTGTTTTACAAAAATGGGGTCATATTATGTACACTTATGTATGTCTTGCTTTCTTTGCCTTACAGTACATTTTAGAAATTCCTCCACACCAATTTTTATTGTTTTAAAAACAAATTTTTAAAAATCACAACTCATCTTTCTACCGAAGAATGGAAAGCTTTTAAAAATGGCAACTGTTGCCTAAGCCAGATGCAGAGAATCTTGTCCTGCTTTTTAATGTCCATAAACCTAACTGTAGGAAAGATTAAGTTTTGTAAAGGTTTTGCTTTTATAAAGCTGTCTATGCATTTTAATTTACACCTCTTTTCAGCAAAGAATGACTTATATAGCTAACAAGAAATTTTGAGGTCCTACATTTTAGATTCTAAATGACTTTCGGTAGCTAATTCTGGCATATGGCAACTTTGACTTGTGATTCAAGATTTTCTTCTGATTTCATTACATAAGTTTCCTTTTCTGGCATATACTTTATGTATTGATAAATGGTAGAAACTTATCTGAGCCAGTTGTGAATTTCAGTCATTGCTTTGCTATGTATATTAATTGATCAGGAATTATAAAGAAAAACATTGACCCATTTACTAAATGACCGTTCTATCTCCTTTCTAACCAAGTGTCATCTTACTAATCATGATTTACTCAGCTAATCATACTATTCTTAATATGTGGTTATGAAGAGATTTACAAAGGAACTAGAATTAATGTGTGGACGGTATCTTTCCTATGATGGATCCACAAAGATTATATATAGTGTAAGTAGGCAAGGAACACAAGTTACTAATGTTCTCCAGAAAGAAATGGAACAAGACTGGAGAATTTAGTACACATATAAATAATAACATGTGCATGGAGATTTAGCAGTCTGCCAGGGATCACTAATGCAAATGCTGAAAGGGGCAGGGAAGTAACTCAAGTGACGGAGGTGGGCCAGGGTAGGGGTTGTGGCAAAGTGCCACACACTTGCCCTGTCCGAAGCAGCAGAGTAATGCCTCCACTCCAGCTGCCTGCTGTCAGAAGGAACATGCATCTGATCTGGTCAGTCTTTTAAGATAAGATGAAAATCCAGACTTTCAAGGAAAACCATCTGATTTGTAAGTCCTGACATCTAATAAAGAATTGAAAACACTGTGGGGCTCAACAAAACATTTCTGGGGGACAAATTTGGTCTGCAGGCTGCCATTTTGTAATTGCTGGTTTATGCAGTACTTTCACACATTTTACTATCTCAGTGGATGCTAATAACAGGCAGCACTGACATATATAATAAGCATATTTACACCTGTGTACAGATGAGGAGACTGAACTCAAAGAAGCACTGCTTTGCATGAGGTCATGGAGAGCTGGGACACACATTGCTAATCCCATATCTTGGTATACCATAGCCTCTGTTTATAGAAGTATATGCATGGATAAAGGCAAGAAAACTTGGAAAAGAGGTTTTTCCAAAAACCTTGTTTTGCCTTTACTTTCAAGTGACTCCTGGAGTGGTTGCTTGTCCTAAAATCTAATTCTCCTGTATTCTCAGCTGATTCTATATTTTAATTTTCTTTAACATGTTTGCTCCTTACTTATGGCCCTTAAAATTTCATATACTCCAATTACGTCTCTGTTTTATCATGTCTGATTTTGGGGGCACACAGTACACTTTTAGCCTGTCCTGGATCCCCTCCATCTTGCTCATGGTAGTTTCTAACAGTGTTACAGTCACGGATGTCACAGAGAGCAACTGCCAGGGCTAATGCAGTCGGTCATTATGCAGCTCCCATCTGGGATCATTAGGTTAAATGCTCAGCATGAAGGGCTCTGATAACTGCAACATCTGATGTGAGAGGTGCAGGCAACAGCTTCCTCACTTGCTCCCCTGCCACTCTTTGTCCTTTGTGACGCACTAATAGCAACTCACCCTTAGTCAGCACAGATGAATTCTGAATCAATGTGTTGAGCTGACAGTTGCTTTTGTCTTAGAGACTGACACAAATGGAGAAAGCTATAGCTCTATTATTTCTACTGGTATATTTTAAGTGTCACTTGCAACTACTCTGCCTTAAACTTAGTGCCTTCACTAACCACACCTGCTTTAAATAAAGGAATCACAACCAGTCCTTGCCCCCTTCCTTGGGACTTCATATGGGGTTGACACTGAATGAAGGGGGATGCGAGGATTCCAGCTTGACTCCAGGGTCACACTACTGTGGATGGTTTTGTTCCTCAAGTCTTCCATTTTTAAACTGTAAATTCACCACCAAGACACCACAAACTTAGCAACAAACACATGCACAATAAATTAGCACAAATTGTCCTGGTAATCAGCACCAGCTATAATAACAATAAACATGACATATAAAATTCAAGGATCCCAGATGCCAACAGACGAATCCTTTTACTCCAACTACTTACAGACGAAGAGGACTCTGCTGCCAGCCTTGCCGCATACCTGGCAATTAGCCTGTGTTCTTCATCAAGCCGGTTTGAACTCTCAAGCATGCTATTAAGAACAAAGCAAGAAGGAGACCGTTAGGCAACTGAGAAAGATTGCTGCAGTCATTTTACCACAAGGAGTTTTTACTATTTCAATGTTTTGGTGCAAAAGATTTGCAAACTACACAAAACCCTGTTAGAATAACAATCTCAGACTTGAATTTGTAACATGATCTAATATATAGTCGGGAAGGTCATTAATAAATCCTGTCTTCAGTCAATTCAATTGTCTTACTAAGAAAGCCTCACAGAGAGGTGACTATTCTGATCAATACATCTGATCAGAAGAATTTCTCTTACTTTTATTGCCTTTAACATTTTTTCTTTCCTTTTTACACAAGTAACACATGTCCAAAATTGACATGTTAGAAAATAGGAAAGCAAGAAGAAAGAAAAACATCATTGTGGTCAATGTCCAGTGATCCCTACCTGCTGGTATTACATTCTCATGTAATTTCCTCCCCTTTAGGATGGGCTAGACTTACTAATCTGCTTCTAATGAATAGCATATGGCAGAAGGAATGGAATGTCACTTCCAAGATGAGATTATAAAAAGACCATGGCTTCCATCTTGGACTTGCTTGTTTTCTCTTTAGCTCTCTTGGTCTGTTTGGTGGGAAAATAGCTGTCAGGTCATAAAGCAGCCTTTATGGAAAGACCTAGGTGATGAGAAACCCAAGCAAGCCAATTACCATGTGAATGGATCCCCACTGGTAGAGCCTTCAGATGAGATCACAGCCTTAAGTGACATCTTGATTGCAACCTCACAGAAGCCTTGAACCAGAGGGACTTAGCTAAGCCAAACCTGGATTCTCAACCTACAGAAATTCTGAGATGATAAATGTTTGTTATTTTAAGCTACTAACTTTTGGGATAATTTGTTATGCAGCATAAGGTAACTAATACAAGTCTCATCTATAATATTACTACTTATTTATAACCTGCCTTTTATATTTACTTTCAGAGAAACAGAATTTTAGTAGTGACTCCCAATGACCTTAATGGAATTTTTTAGTGCCTCCTATAAATTTACAGAAACTGTTCATACTAGAATAAGGATGATCTGAGTCCCTAAAAACTAATGCAAATAGAAGCGTTACTAATTCTTCCATATTTCAGAAAACTTCATTCTGTGAAGTGCTCCATTCAAGACTAAGTTTTGGGTGCCATTAAAAATAATTCTATGAAACATACCAATAGCACTAATCTTGTTAACAAACTAGTTGGTTGTAGTTTGGCTTATTGGTTATTGTGGTATGTATCAGTTCAGAATCAAGATCAGAAACTAGTTCCTCTCATTCATAAACATACTTATATTCTTCTGCATCAGTTCTTATACTTACGGCTCTTCCTTAAAGAAATTAACTCATAAATACATATTGTAAAGACACCCTCTTATGCCAATATTAAGGTTGTAAGAATTATTCATTGCAATCACTTGGATCCATATAAAGTAACATACTATTATATGTACATTTACAAATAGAGTAAACATGAAACATAGTGTTTTAACCTTTGTTCTGAAGTGAGAAGATGAGTGAAAGTAATTATGTTCTTCCAGCATTTTGGCTATGTCACTTCCAAATAGCTCTTGTCTGGTTAGCTGAATCCACTATATAACAGGTTTGTTTTTTTTTTCTGGTCATTCATAAGACATTCCTGTCTACATTATCTCTGCTCTAGCCTACACCCCTTGCATATATAAGCTATAGCTGTTTTAATATGAATACTTCCACTCTAGACTTAGCCCTTTTCTCTGAGCTATAATAAATAACTAGAACATTCCTGAATTTCCTTATCTAACAACTGATTTCTCCCTCCTCAGAAAAAGAGGCTTCTCTTTCCTTTTGCTCAAATGAGATAATGTATGCAAAAAGCATCAAAAGAGTGTGATGCCTGGAACACATGAGGTGCTCAAAAATATTAGTTAATATAATGTTATTATTATTTTGCCTTTTAAATAACATGTTCATATCCATTAGTAATCCTCATCCCCTTCAAAATATCATCTACCATCTGACAATTATCTAGAGCAGTGCTTTTCAAATTTTAAAGTGTAAGCATATCACCTAGGGATCTTGTGAAAATGCAGTTTCTGGTTCTGTGGTGGTAGGGTAGGGGAGGTTGGGAGGGTGGGACCTGAGAAGATGCATTTCTAACAAGCTTCCAAGAAATGTCGATAATATTGGTCCAGTGTACTGGTTCAACACTGAGTATCAAGGATCTAGAAGATCTCGAAAACAAAATGGAAGACACAAATACGTGAAATGAAACCTAAATATAAACGATATAAAAGAGAGAGTTGTTCAAGAGTATTTAACAGATACCCATACAGCATGTGTGATATGTTATAAACATTCCCTTAAGACAGAAAATTGTAGGATATACGGCTTACATAATGTTTAGTATCAATCCCAGTGGATTGAGATTTTATTCATTACACAAGTTTAGATTTGGAGTAAGAAAATAATTTTAATAGCAAAGGCAGAATTATCTCTGGAAAACTGATGCTTTAAAGCAGATGTCTGTCTTTATAAAATAATGTCTGCATTCTGCAATGGTTAAAAATAATAACTAAATTCTTTATTACAGCTTCAATGAAAAAGAGAAAGTTACACTGTCTTTTCTTTCGACGTCAAACTACCCCACAAAGAGACAACTGAATTTGATTTTAACATGTTTATCATTTCTGGCTCATGTATTAGGGGCTATACATCTAATTCAACACAGTGTTTTGCGGATAACCCCATTGCTCCAGGCCCAGGAACATGATATCTTTGACACCTTGAAAGTGACTTTGTCAGAAACATTTGTATTTTGATAAATAAATAAATAATTTTAAAAATCTTGATAAAAACTTCTGATAAAAGTATCTTTTAAAATGAATGACTAGCTAGTGTAAGTAATATGAAGGTTATATTTTTAAAAAGCCTCCTGGAAATGTAAGACGTGAAGATATAGGATTCTGTATAGCAAGTGATAACTCATACGTCCATGCCTTTCCTCCCCCAGCACTGAGTGAATGAGGGCCTGTGTGATAATATTACCCCTTTGTGCACATGAACAATTTATGGGTCCACATAATGCCATTTCAGTATGTTCAAATTATACAAGGGTGAAGGAGGCATTCTTCTGATAAATTCCTCTATTTCAAGACTTCAATTACAAATAGTTGAAAATGAATGATCAACAATCCCTAAATCATTAAAATAAATACCAATTCCAACACTTTCTCCAGCCCTAGCTATTCATTTCAGGACTTTATAATCAGTAATCTTGCTACAAGACTATGATGAATTAACAAGTGATTGCAGTGTTGACGGCATTTCAGAGCAGGAAAATCCATTATTTTGAAAGCCCTCCACATTCTACCCGAAATGCATGGCCAGTGTCTGTTGCCAGTGATTTCAAAATGGCATTCCAGGAAACTCAAGTGGCCCCAGCTGAGCTAGGGCTTATGAAAGTGTGATTTAGCAAAGATTTTTGGGAACTCACGGTTTGTTCACATTCTTTTGATTTTTTTCTGGGCCTGTTCTGCTTTCTAAGTTAGGGTAGTCAACCAGAAAATACTGTGATCCAAAGCATATAGCATATATAAATGCAAAAGCAAAAGCATATATAAATGCTTCTATATTTTCTTTTCATATTTTTTCTACTACTCTGGCTAGTGATGGGAATTTTATCACTAGAAATTAATTTAGAAGGCCATCGAGTTTCATGTACTACTCTTCTATTAAGAGGATTAGTTAACTCAAATGGAAGATTGCTTTATTAGATTATTCTCTATCTTTGGCAGTTGGTTTAGAGCAAAATGCTAAGGGAATAGAGCACTTTTTTTTGGCATTTAGAAGTCAGTGAGCTCAAGAGAGTCAGGGTAGAAAGGAACAAAGTGACACTGGGGACCGAGAAATGGTTTTACAGTACTGAAGAATGGGGAAAGAAACTAACTCTCAAAGCTTAGTGTAGTGGCCCTTTGTGAGTGGTTTGGAATAACAACAAAAAAAGACAGGAAATCATGAAATGGCAATCTTCATGGATAACAATAAGAATTTACCACAATAATGGCTTCCTTAAAGGAGACCTTTAAACTCCTTTATTGAGACCCTGACTTCAACAACCCCCTATGTTACAGTTGAGGTCATGCATTCTATCTTCTAAAAACTCTCAGACTCCTCCATTTCCTTCTACTCCAACTGTTCCTGATGTGACAGTCTTTAGATTTATATTTCCAGGATTCTAAGGAAATATCTTTCTCAGAAGTCCAGTTCTATAATTGAAGTTCCTAAAAATTTTACTAAACAAAAGGAGTCGTGTTAACAGGAAATGAAAACTCATATAAAAGAGACACTGTCAGTAAGTGTAGGTAACTCTTCTTTTTTCTTTCAACAGATTATAATTTCTTTTTTCTTTCAACAGATTGCAATAAACTCACATTTTTCAAAATCAACAAAATGTACTAAAAAGAGTCAGTCAAATCTTGACCTACACATTAAAAATATTAAAGGCATACAATTCAGTGGATTCAGTGGGGAAGTGGGTTATGGATTCAATTGTGTCTCCCCCAGTATTCATATGCTAAAGCATATGAATACCCTCAGTACCTTAGAATGTGACTATATTTGGAGATAGGGCCTTTAATTACAGTTAAATGAGGTCATAGTGTGGGGCCCTAATCTCATAGGACTGCTGTTCTTTTAAGGAAAGGAAGAGACACTAGGGTAGAGAAAAAAGGTTATTTGCGGACACAGCAGGAAGGTGTCCATCTGCAAGTCAAGGACAGGAGAAACCAACCCTGCTGGCACCTTAGTCTTGGACTTCCAGCCTCCAGAACAGTGAGAAAATAAATTTCTGTTGTTCAAGCCATCAAGTCTATGGCATTTTGCTTTGGCATTCTTAGCAAACTAATACAAAGATGAAGAATCTAGGGGGGCATTAAAATTAAAAAAAAATTCTTGCCCAATTATCACTTTAAGTTTTTAAAAAAATTTTAGAATGCCCTATTAGTTGCTCTGTTCACATCAGTGAATTGCTGGTGCTTATCTTTGCCCATGTCTACCACTACACAAAGCTTAATACTTTAATTTTTCATCTATTTTATACTCCTATACTAAATGTTCAATTTAAGTGCTACTCTATAATAGTGATTTTTTTAAATAGTAAAAATTCTAATTTTGCTAGTAAAGTTTCTGACTACTCCTAACAACTTTGTTTAGGGGAAGATGGAATTTTTTTAGCTACTGCACTACTGATATTCTACAATATCAACAGATGTTTATTGAGCACCTACTATGTGCCTGGCACTGTGCTAGATGTCAGAGATAAGGTGGTGAACAAGTTGGAGAGGGTCCCTGCCCCACTGAAGATACAGTAAATAGTAAGCCAACCAACCAGCCACCAACCAACCAACTAACCAGTCAGCCAACCAACCAACCAATGAGCTAACCAGCCAAACAGCTAACCAACTAACCAACCAAACAATGACTGCAGCTGATAAGAAGAAAATAAAAATAGTATGCTATAATAGAGACTAATATAGAGGACCTACTGGGGGAGGTGTCTTTAATCTAAGATTGGAAGCTAGACAAGCAAGTTCATGTGCATATAGTAGGGGTGAAATGGGAAAGAATGTTCTAGACAGAGGGGAGAACTAGTATTGGAGTCTTGAGGCAGGAAAGAGCTTGGTTCGTTGGAGGAATTGATCAAAAATTGACATGACTAAATGTAGTGATTGAATGGGAGAACCCCATGAGATCTGAGGCTGAGAAAGGAGTAGGCAAGGGCTAAGTCACATGCAGGTTTGTACACCATGGTGAGGGGTCTGGGTTGTAAACTAGGTCCAATAGGAATCTATTAAAGAGTTCTAAGCATGCAAGCTAATAAAAATTTAGACCTCATAAATGAAATTCTGAAATAGGCATTCTTAGATGTCTTTTTTCCCAAAGCATAAAATATTGTGGAGCAATTTTAAACTAGATGGATTATTAATCCACTTAACAAGAAATCTATTGACAACACAAATGTACACTTTCTTGTACTTGAGAAAAATATAAGCAGAACAATTTTAACCTAGTCATATGACATCAGGAGTCTAATCAAGTGACAATGTTAGAGGTAGAAGTTCTGGGCTGGTTTCAAATCATTTGGTTGGTCTACTACAGACCTTGGTATAAACTAGCAAGCCCAGGAATTTGACAAGCTTTGGGGGAGGGTAGTAAAAGCCCACACTGTATCACATTTCAGACTCCTTCTCCTGCAATGAGGAAGGTGCATACAAATTATTAAGGCTTTTAAAACTTCATTGAATTAGGAAGGAAGCAGAAATTCTCCCTTGAGCTGCAGTTTATTTATTTGACTTATCTGACAGAACCAGCAATGACATAAGTGTTTCTTTAGCAGCAAACTATTACAAATAAGTCAGTTTCCCAGTGTGTTAAGTAGTTAATATAGGGTAGAAGACCCCCACACAGAGTTAATCAGGATTAGGTCTGAATAATGGCAAAAACAAAGCTTTTGATGGAGAACAGCTAGAGGCCAAGGAATGGGGTGGAAAATAGATGGGAACCAGTGTCATAAGACCTGTTTGCAAGCCCTTACTAGCATGTGACTTTGGATAAGTCACTTAATGTCTCAAAGCTCATATTTTTTAAACAGTGAAATGGAAATAATCATATCCAACCTTCTAGGACTATGAGAAGTAAATTAAATAATGTGTGGAAAAAGGCTTTGTAATTTTTGGAGCATTTCATAAATACAAAATTTATTATTCTTACTCCAGCTGTTGTAATAAGATAAAAGAGACTGAAGACAAAACTCTTGCCCTTTTTGAAGCTTACAATTAACATGAGAAGTCACAACTCAAGGAACTACATACATAAAAGGTAACTTGTTAAGAATCACCATTCCTGTTACTAGTATGTGCTCAAAATATTTGCTAAAATCAAATAAAAACACTAGAATAAGATATACAGTTTCAGTAAATACGTGGAGGATGCAGTGTGAAGGAGGCATCCACAAAAGATCCTGAAAGGCGTGTGTTGATGCAGATTTTAAAAGAGGTGATGAAACACAGTGGTTATGAACTTGGATGGATAATGGTTAAAATCTCTGCCCCACTTTTTATAGCTGTGGGACTAAGGGAGAGTCAGGTAAGCTCTCTAAAATGATACCTTTACTTGTCTATAAAAGGGGGATGATCTTATTTACTCCATGGGCTTACTTTAAGGACTAGGAGAAATTATGTATACAAGGCTCTGAACATAGAGCTTGGCATGAGGTAAGTGTTTTAAAAACACTTACTATTATTATTACTATTATTATATGTCTCACTGTAACTTAATGATGGTAAAGCATTGTAGCTACAATGATGTTAAAGGAGGTAAGAGGTCATTACATTACTTATAGAACCATGACAGGTATGAGGAATTGTTGGGATCTAATTAAACATAAAGAAAAGGGAAGAAAAAATGAGAAATTTGAAAAAGAAGTTGGAATTTTTTAAGGATAGAAAAAACTATGAGAAATATGGAGGGTGCAGCTATTAAAACAAAGCCTCCTTCATTGATTGGTTGGCCTTAAATTCTGCTTTGTTTTCAAAATACAAATCACATTTAGCTTTCATCAGGCAGACGCAAGGTGTCTCTGCTGAGACAGATTTATGGTCTTAAGTAACCATCAAGTCAATATGATTAATCACTTGAGTAGGGAAAATGGCTGGTAGTGACAAACTCTGAGCTTTTCTCTTTGGAGATTTCTTTGTTAACAACCTTAATTAAGAAAAGGTCAAAGAAGAGCAGTAGAAATAACTGGAGTGTGCTTAGAATTATGGGAAGAGGACATGATGTGAGATCGCATCATAGTCTTACAATTGAATCTACACTGACTGTATTCTTCTTCAAAGATGACCAATACAATTAAAAAAAAATTCAATGCTTAGTTCTACTGCTTCAGCTACCATGTAACACTGGAGTACCAAACTCCTTGGGAATAAAGCAATTTTGTAGTTTTGAGAGCCTGAGTTGTGAAAAAGTGGATACTATTTAATCTAGAAGCTCACAAAATTTGAAGAAAGAGATGGATTTACGTCAGCCAAAGAGTGCATTTTTATCCCCTTAAACAGTAGGATCTAAGGTAAAATTAAACTAGTGTACTGGTTATACATTTTTAAAAATACAAATTAAGATACATGTATGTACTAAAGCACATAAATGTTCATCAGTTCATGAGAACTAAAAATTATCTCATGTATTAATCTTGCAAAAATAGATCTAAGAAGCAGTAATAGGAAGAAAATTTTGAAAATACTCAAGTGAGGAGGAAAGAGGTTCAGAAACAAAGCGGCTAATAACATCAAGTGGTGAGGGCAAGGAGCATGGAGCAATGGCCTAGCATCTGAGGAATGCCTTGGTGAAATACTAGGTTGGTGCAAAAGTAATTGCAGTTTTTGTCATCACTTTTAATGTAATTGCCATTAATTTTGCCAATTACTTTTCCTCTAATAGTAGAGGAAAGAGGACTTGCCATGCTAAAGGTTTGAAACATTTTAATGGAAATTGAACCCATTGGCTTTCTTAATAATTGTAACTATGGAAAATCCATGGGCCCTTAATTGAGAGAAAATTGAAGTGGTTGAGAAAAATTGACATATTTTCAAGGAATTGGTTTGCTAAATATGTTTATAAAACAATAGTCTGAACTAGATTGAAAAATACATATGATACATAGTTTGTCCTTTTCCTTTAATTCAAGCTGCAAATCCACATTTATTATTAATATCAAGTAACTTTAACCAATGGAAGGAGTCTCCTATGTCACAATGAAAATGGAGAAAAGCCTTTTGAATGGCTTTATCCAAGTACACAGGGCTATCTTAATTCCTGAATTTAACATATCTGAAACTAAGTTTTGTGTATTCCAAGATGTGAAAGCAGGCTTTAGCAGGATGGTCATCAGAAAAATGTGTAATAGAATTGCTGAAAGACGATTGTTCCCACTGTTATCATTGTTAAAGAAATGATTTCCATTTTGTGATTCAATCACATCGCATTTTCTCTTTTTCACTCTTAAGTAAAATGAAGCATTGTTTTCCAAATCAGCAGAGACATCCATGTCCTTGGAATAAGACAAATTCTTTTATCACCATCCTGTGGTAATTTGACATGACACGTAGCACAGAACTGATTGGTGGGACCCGGAGTCCTGAATCTACCTGAAGGCTAATATTTAGCAAGGCATCCCTTTATGCAAGTTTTCGTTTTAGCTAATATATAAACAAGGATATGAATCCTATGGTTCCTTCATGGGAAGTATCCAAACTAACATCACGAGAGACTTCTTAACTGAACCAGTTAACAGTGCTTCAGTGTCACCACTGGCATCCAGTGACCTTGCTCCTTGCTGAGACTGCTTGTCACCAGCTCAGACTGTATCCCTCTCTAAGGACAGTCAAGCAGCCAAACCTGCACTAACCATGAGGGGTTGTTCCGGAGCATGTTGACATACAACCCGATGAGAACATGTTCATCAGCTAGCCTGTCTGCCACATTCAGGCTGTACTGTATCCTGAAACAGGGCAGGGGGAAAGAAAGCGTGTTGTTAAGAGAGGTGGACAGAAATAAGTAGAGGAGGTAGGAGTGAGTTTTTGGTAGAAAAGGCATTTAGAAAACCAAGCAGGTAAAGGAAGGGTAGTAAGTGATGTGCTATGAAAAACACAAGTGAAATCCAGGCAATGAAATCCACAATTCGATTTCACTAACTTTAAAAATAAAGACTTCCATTTAGGTTAAATAAAGTTTTAGAAAACAGATTTACATTTTTCAACCACTAAGGCCAAGGTATTCATCTGTAGAGTAAATACATTGAAATTGGTTGCAAGCAAAGATTAAATATCCTTCAGAAAATCGAGTCTTCAGCTTAGTCATTTCAAAAAAGAAAAGGACACAAATTCGGGAAAGTGAATAACAACACAGATGTGTCTACTGGAAATAACTACTTAGTGCTGTTAACTGGGTTAAAGCAGAGCTGCTTTTACTGAATCAAAGACAGTCTTTCACACACAAAGCATTTTTGACAAAAGAAATCTCCATTTTTAGTTTAGTTAATGCAGGGTTCCAGTACACTCTGGCTGTAACTTACCCTTTGCCCTTCAGAAAAGCTGGAGCAGCCCTAGCCAGCAGTTTGTTCTGCTCTACTTCACTGTCCTTGGGAGGAGAGCTAGTTAATAAGATGGGAAAGCCAAGAAGAGCGTAAACACGGCAATGCATTCAAGAATAGAAACTGGCAACAGACACTCCCAAGTCTAGATCCAAGTTTCATTTAGACAGATCTCTTATTATTTTGAAATGTTCAAGATGTTTTCAGATTTCCACAGACTTCAAGTAGGAATAGAAACCCAGCCTGAGAACCACAATCGCAATCACCATGATCCCAGATTTGACCTCTGCTATTTGCTTAACAAGCAAGCATTTATATTGAGTATGTCTAGACATAATGAAAATTCATTCAACATTTATCATGGCATATCATGTAAACAGTCCAATAGTTCACTAAGTCCTGCCAGCCTTTAGATCCCACTCAAGAACTTAGCCTTCCCTACATCCTCCAACTTTCTGTTCTGGATAGAAAGACTTGAAAATTACCTAGCTAGAGATTGCTTCATATTAGAAGTGTTTTACTACTCCAAGCAAAAGCCACATGATCTTGGCTGTGGAGCTACAAAGAAAATTTTCAGAGGAACAGAGAAATACACCTTTGAGTCTTATACATATATATTGTTATTTCTTATGTTTATATTAATACAAAGCTAGTGAATATAGTCTCATTGCTAAAGCAAATTCTTAACATTATGGATTCATTATGGGAACTACTCATTTTCTTTAGTAATTTAAATGACAATTTTAAAGTTTAAAATATAGTTTTATTAAAGTACAAATAGAAATATAAATAATAATTCATTAAGTGTGGCTATGGTAAAGTCATCCAAAATCTACTGTGACAATTTGTAGTCATGCTACATCGAGAACTATGGTATTGATTCTTAGTATTACAATTGTATTGGTAATGTGTTTGAAGAAAGTTTGCTCCTCTATAGGTTAAGTAAGAATTTGTCCTGCACACTGGTGAATCTAAAATTGTCCCTCTCCTTCTTCATGGAAAATAGAAAAATAAATTGTCTGTCTTTGTTTGAATACCAAATATTTAACTATTGGGATCTAAATTATGAGGTTCCACCAAAAATTTTCAAGAAACTCTAAATCTACTAAATATATATATAATGGTTTATAAATTAGTTAAAATCTTAAAAACTTTGTACTACAAGTTTTAGGGCTCTACTATAAAGCACCATTCTTTCAGGCCATGAAGTACTAAAAAATATAAATTTATACATAACACATTAGAACTATGCACATTATAGTTGGAATTCTTGCTTTATAATAGTGTATATTAAAAGATTCCTTGAATAGTGAGGTATCTGATAAATTTAATATTAAATTTGATTTGTAAAGAAAATGACTAGCAAAGAGTAGACATGCATGTTTGTCAGATGAATGACATTTTCACTCAGCTCTTCAGAAAGGCATCTGTTATATAAAGTATTGCTGTACTTAAAAAGTTCAACTGTACCCAACAAAATTGACCTTTTTTTTTTTTTTTTTTTTTGAGACAGAGTCTCGCTCTGTTGCACAGGCTGGAGTGCAGTGGTGAGATCTTGGCTCACTGCAACCTCTGCCTTCAAGGTTCAAGTGATTCTCCTGCCTCAGCCTCCCGAGTAGTTGGGATTACAGGCATGCGCCACCACACCTGGCTAATTTTTGAATTTTTAGTAGAGATGGGGTTTCACCATGTTGGCTGGTCTCGAACTCCCGACCTCAAGTGATCTGCCCCCCTCGGCCTCCCAAAGTGCTGGAATTACAGGTGTGAGCCACCGTGCTCGGCCCAAAATTGACTTTAAAAATAAATTAGATTGTGTTTTAGGATAATTTACTTTCCTGATGACCTCAATAACTTTCTTTTTCCAGCATATTGATGTTTTCCTTTTAAAACTGTGAAACCTGCCCATCAGGGCCAAATAACCACCTTCAGCCATCATTTTCTGATGTACCATTATACCACCAAAACTGTTTCTGTTTTCTGTGATGTACAGTTACCCCACCAAAACTGCATTCCAGACTTTGTCTACTGAAGCAGATCTCCATACATTCATTATGCAGTACCTACAGTACCCCTGCTGCCCAATATCCCCCCAATTCTTTTTTGTAACTAAAGATAGATGAATCTATTACATAATTTATTTCAGATGCTTGCAAAACCATTCAAAACACTGTGTGAAACATCCATGATTCTTCCCTCCAAACTAAAGTATCTCCCTGCCTTCTTATGCTTCTTTGTTCTTTGAATCTCAGAAATTGTGGCAATAATTTCTTAAGCAAACAGCCGAATAATTGCACAGGGACAACCTCTCATGCTGAACATGCAAGATAACAAGCAAGAATCAGTAGAGAAAAGAAACACAGGAACGTCAACCACAAAGATGTGTTTGCCACAAATTATTCTGGTGAACTTCTATGGGAGGAAGATGTGTCAGTGAAGGCCCAGAAATGTGGCTCCACCACCCATCACTGACAAAGCCCAAGCATGGAGGAGCCCTAGCCTCAGTACTGTGTACAGGTAGGGCTGAGAGAAGGGGGCGATAGGCCGGACTTTCCTTTGGTGGCCTTCTCCTTTTTTTTTTCTTCAAATCTTTGGGCTCCTCTCCTCCTTCCTCTACTCCACTTGCCTGTCTCTCCTCTCCTCTCCTCTTCCTTTTCTTCCTTCTTCTAACCAGGTCCCTTCTTCCCTCAAAGGAATGAGACATATTCTATATATATACATCTCTTAACTTTTGTTGTCATTTTCTTTGTGTTGGCCCTTGCCAGTGTTGGTTTAAAGAAATAGTTTAAAACCTTTTATCTTCCGTTCCTTTCCCATGTGAATTCTTAGAAAAAATAATTCTTGGAAAATATGGGAGTTACACCGTGAACATACATGAGTTTCTGGAAATAAACTATTTTGTTTTGCTATAGCTCTTAATTTCTAGTGCCAGAAGCACTTCTAACTTTTTGATACTCACTGTTCACATAGTTTCTGTAATTTCTAGAGCTAGCCTCAAATTCTTCTTCTCATCATCTGTTTCCAGGAAGCCAAAAATATGACTATGTACAGAGGAGGCCAAATGCATGATGAAAACAAGACAAAAATAGCCACTCTTTCAAAATGAAATGAATCAAGAACCTCGAGAGTTGACTGGGAGACAGGTTTCACTTAAAACTTGTGTCTTTAAAGTCTTTTCACTTGAAGTACTTTCCACCAGAACCTCTTCTCCAGCTTCCAAGCTTGAAGAGAGGCAGCAAAGTGAAATTTTTTCTCTTGAGTTGCTGTGAAAATAGTGATTGCTATGGTTTGAATATTTGACCCCTCCAAACTTCATGTTGAAATTTGATCCTCAATGTTGGAAATAGGTCCTAATGGGAGGTGTTTGGGTTATGGGGGTAGATCCCTCATGAATGGCTTGGTGCCATTCTCACAGCAATGAGTGAGGTCTCACTCTATTAGTTCCCTTGAGGGCTGGTTGTTAAAAGTAGCCTGGCACCTCTTGTCTGTGGCTTGCTTCCTCTCTCCTCATGTGATCTTGGCACAAACCAGCTTCCCTTTGCCTTCTGTCATAAGTGGAAGCAGCCTGAAGTCTCACCAGAAGCAGATGCTGATGCCATGCTTCACGTACAGCCTGCAGAACCATGAGCCAAATAAACCTCTTTTTTTTTTTTGAGACGGAGTTTCACTCTTGTTGCCCAGGCTGGAGTGCAATGGTGCGATCTTGGCTCACTGCAACCTCCGCCTCCTGGGTTCAAGCGATTCTTCTGTCTCAGCCTCCTGAGTAGCTGGGATTACAGGCACCCACCACCACACCCAGCTAATTTTTTTTTTTTGTATTTTTAATAGAGACAGGGTTTCACCATGTTGGCCAGGCTGGTCTCAAACTCCTGACCTCAGGCGATCTACCTGCCGTCGCCTCCCAAAGTGCTGGAATTACAAGCGTGAGCCACCGTGCCCAGCCTCAACCTCTTTTCTTTATCAGTTACCCAGCCTCTGGCATTCCTTTACAGCAACATAAAGGGACTAAAACAGTAATGATGTGTGGCTTATTATGATCCCTTCAAGGTGCTATATTATCACAATATTTTATGGACTAATTTAGATTCTAAACTTTGATTTTGTAGCTTGGAAGTTTGCATGGAGAAATTAAGTTTCTAATTCTTTGTGGGATTTGGGATCAGGTACAATGGAACCTACTTCCTGACTAAGGAAAGAGTGCTTCCAGCATATCATTGTGTCAGAATGTGACAATGGCTTTCATACAACCCAGACTGAGCTTCATTAAAGCTGCTTCTGTTCTACATGCCTTGTCTTCAAATCAGAATGCATTCTTCCTTTTAAGCTCCGAAACTGAGAACTATTTGGCATTCAACTTGACCATGGGATACACCTTTTCTAATCTGAGTTTCAAAGAGAAGCAAGACTATCATTTCTAAAATCATGTGCACACAAATCTCTTTTTCTTATCGCCATCTTTTTCTTTTCACTAATCCCTTGCCACTGTATGAGCACATCCTTTCACATACATATTATCACTGATGGTTGTGGGAACAGCCATACCTTTGAGGGCATGGCATGGTAAATTTTGAAGTTCATATATCTGCTGAAAGAAAAAAGGCAGGAAATATTCCTTCAGACTTTGTTTTTCTAACAAAAATCCTCTGGCTTCTCACCACTTCCTTTTTAGACCTTTGGAAAGCAGCATATCTAGAGATAAATAACCTTCCAAAATTTTTCTCACACACACACACACACACACACACACACACAGTGACACAATGGGTTCTGGAAAAGTAGAACAATCTCAAAATGTTTCATACTTATTAAAAAAATTATCCCCTTAGCTTTGAAGGGTGACGACTGATGCCAATAATTTTACTTCAGTGAAAATATTTAGGGGGTGGGTCCAAAGGTAACAAAATCACACACAGATGCTTCCTGGATACCTGAAATATATTTTTAAAAACCACTTCTGCTAATGTTGAGTTACTATATTAGCCCTTGACAAAGATTATTTTTTCTTTTATTGAACATGATATTAAAGGCCTGGCTGCAGTCTCACAGAGAACAAATATTATAGAAACAAATTATATTAATATAGAATAATTATCGCAATGGTTAAAAGAAAAACAATATTTGAAATATAGCAAATTAAGAACAGATATTTTCATTTCTATTGATTCTTAAATTATTAATAAGCTTGTATGACATTTGGATTTGTGAAGAATGACTTATAAAGTTGGCTGCCTCCTTAAGTAACTATCTATAGTGTATAAAATTTTCCTTCTCACTAGAATTATAGTCTAGTAATGAGGCCATCACACTAACTTAAATATAATAAAAAAATCCAGAAATCTGTTTTGTCAAGAAGTAATGTCTTGAAACATTGTTTCTTTTTTTCTAGATTTCAATAGCTTACATCTGAAATATAAAATATGTATTACCTGAAAATTCATAGACCAGTATTAAAAAATAGGTTAGTGTCTCAGTGGGAAAATTAGCTGTCATCAATTCAGGCTGGCATAGAAGTTCAACCATCTCAAACAGGTACCATGGAAAAAATAAGAATTCTTAGGTCATATTTAATTTACTACATTGTACCCAGGTATCATCAAGTCACAGCAATTGCACTTTTGTCAGGAGAGCCTCTAGGAAAGTTTGCTTGGTATAGGGCATGCAGAGACAACAGCCAAAGCAACTCTAGTAGGAGAGTAAAGGTTACTGAACTGAACAAGAGAGGTGACTGTGGTTTTAATGATGCATAGTATAGAAAATTATTAGGGTTGATGTGTAGACTGGTGTAATTCCAGTTTGGAAAGATCTAACATATTAGTAGAGCTCTGGGACTACATGAAGTAAAGAATTATCTGCAGAGAGTGATTATTTCAACTTCATAAAATTTCATACAACATGCCCAGAAAGTTTGAAAAGAATGAGAAATCTTCAGGGTGGTGCCAGATGTTGATTTACAAATTTATCTATTTTATGACTGAAAATGGATGGGCATTAATCTTAGAAAAAATTAGCTATGAAGAAAACTTTGATTTTCAAAAGGAGAGGCTACAATCAGTATCCAAAATTTATTTTTAGCTACTTTTGATGATCAAATCACAACTATTTAAAATTTAGCTTGAACTTTTTGAGTCAGATTAAAAGCCACGGTTGTTAAGTAAAGAATCTTTGGGTAAGCAAAAATATTTTTTAAAAATGAAAAAGGCACAGTGAATTAGCATTTCTTTGGTTGAAAACCCAAACCTATCAATCACCTGACCAACAAGTCAACCCAAAAAATAACTCACAATTTCTGCTCCTCTTGGAGGGATCAGGATTTGGGAAGTATCTGGGGTGGGTGCACTCTCCCTATAGGAACTACAGAGCCTAATACAGTATCATTTTTTATTTTTTTGAGATGGATTTTCACCCTTGTTGTCCCGGCTGGAGTGCAATGGCACGATCTCGGCTCACCACAACCTCTGCCTCCTAGGTTCAAGTTATTCTCCTGCCTCAGCCTCCTGAGTAGCTGGGATTACAGGCACCCGCCACTGTGCCTGGCCAACTTTTGTATTTTTAGTAGAGATGGAGTTTCACCACATTGGCCAGGCTGGTCTCAAACTCCTGACCTCAGGTGATCTGCTCACCTCAGCCTCCCAAATTGCTGGGATTACAGGCGTGAGCCACCTTGCCCGGCCATCTAATACAATATGATTAATTAACTACTTGTTATTGCAGCAAACCAGAAACTAGCACATTAGATTGTGTTCAACATGCTATATGAATTGTAAGCAATTTCCTAATATTTGGTGGAGTGATAAGACCTGGCTAGATGTTATATAGAATAGTCAAGGTGATTCCTTTTGTGAGTGCTTACCACTTTAGAGGTTGCAACTATGAAAATACCTGTGAAACCTTTAAATGATGTTTCTAAAATTGGAGGTAAAAGAAGTGTGACTAATTTTTTCATTAGTCTTTACTCTGACTAATGAAGAAGCTTGACCATAGTGAAAGAAGCTTACTTGACATTAAAAAGTATTGGTTAACTTTCTCATGTAAACTAAGTAATGATTATGGCAAGATAATTAAGATTTTAAAAAGGAGGCATGATGCCAAAGAAGATAGCAGATCCTAAGAGGCACAGAGCTGTGGGCAGTGAAGGGGAGAAAGAGCCTTTGGGACCTGGCTTTGTGGTCAGTCCTTGCAATAATATCTGCAATAATAATAATAATACACTAACTTTCATAAGCTTAGATAATGTTGCTGGCTCACCATACATAGCTCTTAGAGCTCTTTCCCCAGTGGTGATAATAGATTTCCATCAAATCAGCCATTCTTTCCCATAAATTTATAAGAAAACAAAATAGATTAGGGATACAGTTTACAATCAAGAAAATGAATGAAGTGAATCGGTCCATCAATTATGTTATATGACCCACATTCTACCTAACTTCTGACCAACACTGAATGTACACATGTGCACACGTGCACACACACATAGACATACACACATGTAAGAAGACTTCGAAGGACCAAGGGAGAGTGCCTTTGAGAATCGCTTTTTTTTTCTTTTAAGTAAGGGAAAAGTGAATCAAGTACAGAGCTAGAAAAGATGTAAGAACAGGGAATGCGACAGATGATGCTGGTAACCAGAGGTACACACTCATAAATCTGTGTGAAGTAGATTACTAGGATGTCAAAAGACTTCAAAGTTATATCCCTGTGTCTTTTGAAGATCAAAGTGGTATGCTTGTGAAGGGCCCTAGGTGAATAATGCCAGGAGTTTGTGGTGAGGATTCTGGAGTGGGGATTTCAATTCAGCCTCATTCAGCTTTATCTTTCTAGGATCTGTCATGATACAAAAGACTAAACTTAGGCTAAATAAAATATGGAGAACTTCTCTACTTTCTCGGTGCTGCCCTATACTGACTGGCACTATACTTGGCTTGCTTAGGTTTTATTTCATTGTTGGGATGGGCTAGGGGTGAGGGCAGAGCCATAGGTCATATTTCTTTGGTTCTGTTTCAATGATAGAAGTATAGAACCTTTAACTTTTGCCTACATCTGGCATGATAGATTTCTATCCATCTTAGTTTATCGACACGATTAAGAAAACAAAAGTGATTCACCACCAGCATTATCAAGTGATAGAGAATAAGCACAGAGAGCAAGAAACTGTTTTTGAAATTGTTACTTCATTAGGAATCAGACTTCCCTCCCTGGGGGGAAAATGGACCAGGTCCAATAGGACAGAAAGGTACAAGTCCTCAAGTCTTTAACTGCAAAGAGGTCCAGCTACATGACATTGTCCTAGCCTCACCTAGTTAATGCTAAAGATCTTTCCAACAGACTCCTTAATTCAAGAGTCTTAGAAATTACCATCTGGGTTTTTTGCAAATTGTACAAAAGCAGAGACTTGTCCAAACAAGATCCAGCTTGATACATTTCACATATATACATCTCTTATATACCGGTATGAGGCTATGAAATCCATAAAATATGTGGAAAGGAGAGGAAAGAGCTGCAAAGTCCAGCTCAAGTTGAAAAGTCTCAACACAATTTCATTAAACCCCAGAAGACCTCTATCTCCAATAAGACGTACTATGAGAGGATTTTAGTGCCAGAGTAGAATGACTTATCAGTCTAGCTATGGAACTACTACTACGATTAGCAATTCAGGGCTGGGATACTGACCGTGCACCGTGATCAAGCTGATTTACGTACAGCTTTATGAGGGAATGCTCTTCAGCCACAGGGCTGGATGCACTTATTCCCTCAGGTAACCTGAGGGAGTCAAACAATGAGACCTCATTAAAACTTCCCATGGACAGAGCAAGGCCCACTCAGAGAGGAAAGACATTTAGTGTACACAGCTTTATTGAACAGCACCCTCAAAACAGAAACCGTAGGCCAATCTCTGTGGTGACAGAAAGAAATGTGAGCTTTAAACAACACAACTGTGGTTCACAGAGAACATTCCAAAATGACTGAAAATGGGAAAAAAGGGAAATAATCATATTTTGGGTTAATGGGTACCATGCACCCTGGAGGAACCAGAACAGCTCAAAGTATTATAGGAATATTTTAGGGTAGAAGAAGTCATGTTATCCATCTAGACGCATCCACCAAAAGCACCGTCCGAGCTGAAATGATATAAAATGACCTTCAGTAAGGATGGGGTCTACCTCTGCTTGATATTTGCAGAATGCAGAGCTTCCTAATAAAAGTACATATTTCTAAACATCACATCAGGTCTTCCCTAGATAGATGCACAGACCTGTGTCTTTTACAGATTTTACAGTTTATGATTTCATTCCAGAAAAAAAAAATGGTTGCATTTGCTGGTGATTCTAAAAAAGAGTGCTAAAAGGAAGTTACTGAGGGCCTAAACCATATTATTTTACTGTGGATGTTCTGCTGTATAACTGTTTCCTTATTTCCACTTGTTACAGACCTCGTTTATACATCAGAAACCCCATTTTCTGCCATATTCTGTTTATTCTGCTAATTACAATTATGGGGAACATCTTCATCTCAGGTTCCTGTTGATGGGCACATACAGGAACTCAGAGGAAAAAAAATCAGCTGTGTTCTTAGTCTCATTGTCTTCAAATCCTCAGTTGAATGTACCAGGATATTACAGTGAAACTGGCACCTTATAAACCTCTTCAGGGAAAAGATGAATTATGTGCATTTTGTGAAATATGAGGCTGTACTTTTTTTCTGCTGAAAGGCATTTGAAATCTTATGTTCAATTACTCACTCCAATTTTCCTTACCTTTGTTTTTGCTTTCCCGTGAGCCTTCTCCATGTATTTATAAAATAATTATCTGGTGCTTGATTTGCAATATTTGATCAAATGACTCAGAGCACCTCTTGACCCTGCATATGTCTGATGCTAACTCTTAGAGAAATATTTGCTTCTCCTGTTTCTTGCTCACATGGCAATGGATCTTGTGCAAAGAAATGAGATGCAGATCCACCTTTTAAAAAAGTTCTTATTATTATCGTGAAATTACTTATATGGAAACTACATTTCCAAGTTTGGTCTTTATCCTCTAGCCTCAGGAACTCCAGGGTTCACCAACAAAGGATTCTTTTGTATCTTAGCTTTAAATAATGACACATTTCACCATTTATATAGTAACACACCATTGCATCCTGAAATTCCAGTTCTTTGACTTCAACTCTGAGGACTATGAACGTGACTTCCTTAATGAGATGGGATGCATGTGTGTCAGTAGTAAAACTGAAACATACCCTCACATTCTTACTGTGGGTAAATTATAAATGCAGGTTTCCAGACATGACATTAATCCCCAAAGCCACCCTACCCCTCTTTAAATGCATACAAATGAATGAAATTGAAAACTTATAATGGATATTTGCAAGTTAGTTTCTAGTAACAATATTCTGCCCTTGGCTTGCATGAGAATATTTTTCTTACCACAGAATCAAGGCTCATTACCAAAGAAAGGGCTTATTTTATAATAGGGTTGGAACTTACCTCCTGGTAATAAAAGGACTTCCTGAGGAGGGAACAGAGTGGGAGAACAGGGTGTCGTTCATGCTGGTTACAGGTCTGGGAGGCCTAAAACAAAACACAGGGTGAATGGAAAGTTAAAACAAATAAAAGTCACAAATTTAAAACTCTCCCTCATCCCTCCAGGAAACGGGATGGGAAGATCTGGGTTCTACCTTTCCCAGGATCAACAAGAAATCTTATATTTTCCAATTAAATTCCTTAAGTGTTTTAAAGTTACATTTCCTTGAGAATATATAATCTCAGGTAAACACTGGGAGGAAGATCTCCAGACACCATGTGAATACTGATGCATGAGCTTTGAGCCTTGATGTTTCATTGTATAATATTCTGGAATGAAGCAAGGATTTTGAAGAAGGTAGTGGCTTTACTTCTACTGCCTTCTCAAGAAGCCTTGAAGACCTGATCATTGAATCTATATTCTCTTGGAAAGAGGAAGATTCCTGAGGCTTTGAAAGGTTCCTTCTGTGTTCTCCATGATGATGGGCCTCTCCAACATGCCTGGTCTGAAAGGACACAGGCTGTAAAATCATATCATACCTTATTTGCCTTTGTTCTAAGTGAAGATGCAAGTAAGCTCCACAAGGATATATGAAGTTAGTTTCTGTTGTTTGGGTGATCCATATGATAGAGTATGTGGTGTACAGCATCCCATAAGCTTCACTTGTTTTCTTATGATAAGAGAAGGAAAACAGAATTCAATTTTCCTCAGAATTGTTCATGGTTCTACACACCAACTGCATGGAGTCTGTCTTCCTTCATCTGATTTTCATTTCATTCTGTCATTCTTTCCCCATCATGAATGTTTTAGTTCAGGTAAAATGATAGGGCTAAGATCCCTATCTCATCTCCAAGCCATTTTTACCCTTTTTTAGGTTCAATATAGGATAATGAATGGTAATATGAGATGGGACTTAGAGTTCAAAAGATGGAAAATGAGGTGGAGCATTTTCTGAATCAGAGGAAATTTCAGTTTCACTATAATTCTATATTTGAGTTTGACAGTATAGAACGTTTTGAAGATGAGACATTAATTATAGCAGCCTAAAGAATCAATTTATATTGGCATAATTAAGATCCAAATTTGTAAATGGTTTAATTTTTACCTTAGAGAACAGCTTTGGATTCTACAATGAAGACATTCTGGGAAAAAGGTAGACTTGCATATCCCAATGTATTGAATGGAATGGACCTGAAGCTCTGCAGGCTTTAAAATGTCAATACTACATGCAAAAATTCATTGAGACTTAGAATAAGTCTCTGGGGTTAGGGATAAAAGATCACAAATATGGTACAGTGTATACTGCTCGAGTGATGGGTGCACCAAAATCTCACAAATCACCACTAAAGAACTTACTCATGAACCAAATGCCACCTGTACCCCAATAACTTATGGAAAAATAAAAATAAAAAAATAAAAAATAACAAATTCATCAAAACTTTTTTCAAGGTAGCTGGTGCTAAACTATACTCTGAGATTTTGTAAGACATGTCATCTGTTGGATGAAGCCAAAACAACAGCTACTTATCTACTCTAGACAAAACTGAAGTTCTGAAAACAATCTTAGTGTTTTGCATTACTTATCTAAGACATATCTTTGATATATAAGGGAGCAACGCAAGGCTAGTTTAAAACTAATTCTGCCTTGAGTTGAACACTAGCACTTTGGAAGAAGGATGCTAATTTTATACAAATGTCCTCTGTGAATTATGAAAAGTTTGGTCTGTTAGATTTTAAAACAGTGAACAGAGTATAATATCTTCATTGTAGCTTTGCAAAGAGTTGAAAAAAATACTTGACCCCACACTTCTGATTTTGTCTTTTTTTAAAAATTTTTCCTTCTTGCTCTGTCTAAAAATGAGAAAACAAGTGGATTTAGAATGCTTTTTAACTAGCTTGATAAATGTATTCTATTGAATCTGGTCACTACAAAGCTGAAATCAAGGTTTCTCAGCAAATGGCTTTGTTTAAGGTCTACCACTGAAATGTTGAACTTTGGACAAAGAATGGCTAGCTCTGGCACCAAATGATGGTTTTCAGAGGGACTGAAATTCCTATTTCTTCCACAATCAAATGGCAAGTTACCTTATCTAACAAATGGCTCACACTGGGAATTTTGAACATATTTGGTTTTATGTAAAAGAAACAGCTCCACAAAAGAGAGTAAGTCACAATGGCCTTCTGGACAAGATCTTCACAGAGGACATTTTTATATAAGTGGCATCCTTGTGAACTGAGTGTACAGCATAAGAAGACTTAGTTCTAAACTAGCCTCATATTGCTCACTTGTTTTGTGTCTCATCCCCACTTATGATCATGATTATACATCTTTGTAAGTAGACTGGAAATGACTGCACTACTTACCAAGTATCACTTTTGGCAGCGAAGAATTGAACAGAATAGAGACCGTTAATCATGGTAATATTTACAAGCAATACAATAGCTAAGAACAAATGTCAAAATACCAAAATGTCACCACCTGCTCATTTCTATTTAAGGACTAATTCATGACTGGCAGCACCTCTCTACAAGGTGGGTAGAAAAAAAAAGTCCCTTGGCTATAGTTAAAAAAAAAATGGCATTTTCTGTGTGTCACATGCTTCATTTCCATATACAAATGTATGTATGTGTGTGTATATGTGTGTGTATTAGTACCGCAACCTGTTTAAAAATCCTATTGATTTAATTTTTTTTTTTTTTTTTTTTTACTGTATCTAAGGCTACCTGTAAAATGTTAACTTGTTACATAGTCAGACTGTGCCATATTTTTGCCATTTTTTCACATTTAAGTTGTGGCCAGGTATGGTGGCTCACACTTGTAATCTCAGCCTAGGAGTTCCAGACCAGCCTGGGTAATATAGAGAGGCCCTATTTCTACAAAAAATAAAAAAAGAAGAAAAAAGAAAAAGTTGGAACTTGAGTTTTAAATGAGTAATAAAAATATTTTCTAATGTATTGATAAAGCATTTTCCACTTATTATTTTCTTAATTTTATTTGTATCTTATAATGCTTTTGCTGCTCACCTTTGGATGCAATATATATTAGAGGACTAACAGCATTTTTTTTATTTTACTTTAAGTTCTGGGGTACATGTGCAGAACCTGCAGGTTTGTTACGTAGGTATACATGTGCCATGTAGTAAAAAAAATTTTTTTTTTTTTTTGAGATGGCGTCTTGCTCTGTCGCCTAGGCTGGAGTGCGGTGGCGCGATCTCGGCTCACTGCAACCTCCGCCTCCCTGGTTCACGCCATTCTCCTGCCTCAGCATCCCGAGTAGCTGGGACTACAGGCGCCCACCACCACGCCCGGCTATTTTTTTTGTATTTTTAGTACAGACGGGGTTTCATCGTGTTAACCAGGATGGTCTCGATCTCCTGACCTCGTGATCCGCCCGCCTCAGCCTCCCCAAGTGCTGGGATTACAGGCGTGAGCCACTGTGCCTGGCCAGCAATTTTTAACACAATCATTAAACAGCAAGATGTGCATTTAAGAAGACTGTATAATGTTCAACATCAAATTTTATATCCATGAGCTCTATAATGTTCTACATATTTCAGCACTATGTAAGGACATACAGTTATCCTTCACTTAAACATGTACATCATGGAATTTTTTTCTGAATATGTCTTTGAAGAATTTGTATTAATTTACAAAATCAACACACTTTTTCACAGTGGCAAAAAAATGTTTTATTTTGAGTCTGTGCTATAATTCCCAATGTCCAGAACCTCAGGTCATCAGTACAGGACAGAGGATGCCCATCAATATTGCCAATGCTTGCACCCCACTCACTGCTCCCTTCTTACCTCTGTCTGTAAGCTTATCTATGGGTGTAACTGATGTGGACTGGGATATTTTTGTGACACTACATCCAAAGAATGACAAAGATGTGGTTTGTACTACAATTAAAGATTGCTTAATAAATTATTTAGTAAAGCAAGGGGAAAGATCAGAGAGGGAATGAGGATGACCAAGACAGAGCTATAGCTAGAAAACATGTTTATTGCTATGTATAGTTCTAAGGAACATACTTTTAGGATGATTTTTGCTAGAGACTCAATGATAAAGTGTCTTACTATACACATTTCTGCACTATGACAATATTCCTTCTGCATAAGACCTTTATAATTTAAGTCATATTTGGGAGTAATAAATTAAGCGCATTAAGTGGAGGTGGGAGTATTGGTGTGTTTTATTTCTTAAATTTCACTTATTTCCATTGTACAGCACTGTATAAAAGTAGTGGGCTTATTATAAAATGACATGGTATGGAATGTCATATATTTTTGTCTAATTTATCAAAATCTTATTTACATACATTTGGAAGAAGTGTGAATATTCATTAATTCCATGTACATGTTCATTATAGCAGATTAAGAGAGCATTCTTCTTTGTAAATGATTAAGGCTTAATACCATTTATTTTTTCATTTCAATGGCCTTGATGTGCCTATGATAATTTAGAATAGTTAAATGAGCAATGCATTTTAAAATTAGAAATCTCAGAAAAAAGACATGGATATCTACTCATGACAATAGCATTTGAAAAAGAAACAAATATGGAAAAAATTTCTATGGCTAAAAATAGAAAAAAAATTCTTTTCTAATATAGACTTAACATTCTACATCCAGAATGTCTTGTATGTTATTTCAACAATTAAATATCTTGTACAATTTGCATTTTAAAATTAAAACTTTCATCCTGGGAAAATATGTTATCAGTGAGTAGAGATCAGTATTTTGATTCAAGGACTCTTGAGGATCTGGTAAAATACATAGAGGTTTTTCTCAGAAGACACATTTTGTACAGAATTTTAAAATCTCTCCATGGAACATAAACTAAGAACGCATTGTGAGGCTATAGCCCTCAGTTAATTCAATAAATAACAAAACAGATTATATTGCCCCGTAAGTCAAAATGTAAAAATTATTACTCAGCCAATTAAATACTTCTTTCTCCCTCTCTTTCTCTCTCTCATGCAGACACACACGTGCACACACACACACACACCACCCAATCCTAGCACCCACTGGGTACAGGCCCTGAGCTAGATAATACTCCAGTGGGACTCACTGTGAAATGGACTTTTACGTTGCAGTGCATCACGTTCTAATTCTTTGGAGGAGTGGGAAGCAGCAAAGCTCTTAGAGCCAGGCTATTCACACCCACACCCTCTATCTTCATGACACCCAGCAGCTCTGTTGAAGGCTGCTCTCTTGGGGTGAAACTCCCAGCAGGGCTGGTAGGAAATTACTCTCGGCAGAGCTCAGGGAGCACTGGCTGCTCTCACTTCGCTGTGGTCATTCATTAGCAACTTAGTGATTGTGTCTAATTGGTTATGGGAAGGAAAGTCTAGATCTTAATAAGGTTCTTAATAAGCATCTGTGAGGTAGATTTCTGCAAGTGGTTGGCCCTTTGGGACATTCCCCAGATTTATTTACCCCTGGCTTATTTTAAGGCTTATTTATAGAAACATAATTTCCAAAAATAAGCTAGCCACATTCTACAGAATTAGTTTACATTAGTTTCTGGAGGCTGAGCCCATGCCAGCTTGTAAGCTGAGAAACAGGAGCCTCCAGGCTGTGTATACTGCTGAGGTCAGAGATGCCTCAGAGCATCCCCGGGAACAAGCAAAACAAAGCCCCAAAGTATTTATACAAAGCTCACAGACGTGACCCAACACAAATCGTTTGGTGGTATTTGCTAAGGTCCATCAGAGAACATAGTTGCTGCTTCCACGAAGGTCTCATACCCACCACAGTGCCCCTTATGGATCATATGCTGAACTGCCTGAAGCATGAACTTTGCATTGTTGAATTCCTATACCGGTAGGTCCCGTCACCCACCTCTTGATGTCAACATGCAAACACAGGCCCTATGGTGTGATAGGTCCCACTGAAGTGTGGAAAACTACAGGCAGTTCATAAGGAGGCATCTGTGACTACATGACATCTAATTGTGCATAGAAGCAGGTAATGAGACTCTTTCTTCTTATGAGCCCCAGGTAACACCAAGGAAAAAATTGTTTCTTCTACCTAAGCCCCCTTGTTATCTTGGCCACCCAGGCCTGAGAGAGGTTCAAAGGCATGAAACTTCTGGGAGGTAGCAGGGATGGCTGGAAGGACTGTTTGTTGGCCCAACACCTTCTGCCACGAAACTCACACATACTTTGAAGAAAAGAATCTATGGATATTCTGATAAATTTTCCCGCCACTCCCCCTCTTCAACCTTCCCCTGCACAGGCTATGATTCTTCTAAAGTTATACAGCTTGGGATGAAAAACAAAAGTAATTTCTAGGTTTGCTGGCATCTTAAACTGGGTCTGCAGAGAAATAAAACAAACAGCTTTTATATTTGGAACTCAAAGCACATATGAAATTAAGGAATAATATACTGTAAATCATTTTTTACCACAGTGATCCCATTGTTAACTTCCAATGTGCAGACACCACTAACATCCGTATTTTATAACTAAGCTTTCTGAAATATTTTCCACCTCCAGGTGAATTATGTTAGTGTTGCATACTTTACTTGTCCAGCCTGGTGGAAGTACTGTACACCTCAACAACAACAAAAAATTATGATGGCATTACTCTGACTTTTTTTTTTAAACTAAATTAAAAATCTTGGTTGCTGACCACTGATAGGAAATTGCTTTTGTGTGGCTCCAGACATGTGCCCTTGAAGAAAATTGTCTCTATACTGGGAGGGTAGGGATACTCACACGATGTGAGCCAAGTTGAGTGGCTTCTCAGGCTGATCTGGGAACATGGGGTGCAAAGGTTCACGGCTGGAAGCACAGCTCAGGGACTTGCTTAATGCATTAGTCAGCTTCTTAGCAGGTGATTTCTGGAAAGAAGAAGGAAGGCAGAAGTGACAACAGCTAATATTTATGTAATATTTTATCAAATGATTTGCTTTTCATAATAGATATTCATTTACGGAAGAAATCCTTTTTCAGTGCTGATTCTGAGTCTGGAAGTTTGCTCAATGCTCGGAAAAGAGTTTCCGAACAAGCTGCCTCCTGCTGCTCAGTGTCAGCAAATGCTACAATAAATGGAAGCAGGCATTGTGCATGGGGCACCTGCGCTGGGACTTAATGGGCCTGCAGGAATCCTTCTGACAAAAACTCAGCAGACTGGGAAGGTCATTCGAGAATGGAGGAAGCAGCAACAGTGAAGGGAGCCCTTCTGGGGAGGAAAGCAGGAGGCAGATCATCAAAATCTTTATATGGCTTGTTAAGAACTGTCTCTTTATCCCCAGGACAGAGGCAGACCATGAAGAGTTTACATCACAGGCATGACAGCATCAGACCTGATTCTAGAAGGACTGCTCTCACTTAAGAACAGAAAATGGTTTGTGAGGAAATAGGCTTGGAATGAAGATGAGTGGAAGATTTTGCGGGAATCCAGGTGCAAGAAAGATGTTTCAGGTGTGGCTGAACACATCCAGTTAGAAGTGAAAATGGAACTTCAATCTGAGTCTTCAGAATTTAAAATTCAGGTTATTTCCAGAGAATCACGCTGCCTCTTCTTCGTTTAGATTGTTGGGAAATTTATCCTGATGTTATACAGTCAAAATTTTATAAAAAGTAGCCTACCACATACATTAGGTTGGTGCAAAAGCAATTGCGGTTTTTGCCATTTGAAAGTAATGGCAAAAACCGCAATTGCTTTTGCACCAACATAATAATAAAACCTTAACCATGTTTTTCCTTTCCATAAGAAACCATTTCAAATTTTGTCACTTTCTTTTATACCTAGAGTCCATAATTGGTAATATAATGAAGTGACTATTGTCCTCATTTTTTAAAAGCTAAGTAATAAGAGCATTGCTCAAGAAATCCCTCTGGCTTTTGTTAGGAGATGTAATTCTTAGAACAGTTAAGACAGCAGCAACAGCAGCTCTTTGCCCCACAAACCACAGGGCCTTCTGTCCTCTCAAGGAGTCTGATCCTTCTTTGTACAGATAGTGCCCTGGAATATAATGTTAGGTCTACAACCCCTAAGAAAGAGGCTCCTTATGTAGATTTAGCATTTATGTAAAACAACTAAATCTGATTAGTTTTCAAACATCAAATCTTTTAGGATATGGGGTAGAAGTTTGAAAACTGGTAATATGCTAACAATAAGAAAATAGAAAGTTTTAGCTCCTTTCTTCTAAACTAAGTTGTAGTTCATGATCCGTGTTAATGTATCTATCTGTCCTCAGCATGACATAAACAACAGTGAGGAGTTGCATTGGAATTGGCAAGTTCTCAGTATACTCTTCCTTAGTGAAGAACTGTTGCTTGAATTCAGAATCTGACCGGTGATGAAGTACTAGTATATTTACACTGAATATTGGTTCCCAATAATAATTCCTAGGAAGAACATTTTGATTTAAGATGTATATTCTGAAGACTTCTTTAAGTAAAGACTAAAGGTTGAATTGAAATATATTAAAATATAGAAAAACTCATAAATAGGTTGGATTTTCTTGTGACGGAACTATTCCAAGAGGTGCTGGAAGGGCTGATGGTATATCCCACAAGAACCAATCTGTACACCTTACAAAAACCAATCCTTGAAGAGATGCACGAGGGCAACATTGCTGGAACTGATCTTTGAGTTTAACGAAGATAAACATCAGTAAATCATAATCCATTTGAACAGTGAGCACATGGAGTCACATTTCCTCCCACAGACCTGGTACCACATGCTCCTGAGAATACATCTATCACACAGACACTCACATGCCACCTTTGCCAGGTTGGTCACTCACACTCTTCATGAAAAGATGGTTTGCTAATATAACCACAATCTCCCCTCCCCACCCTCTGCAGAAAAGTAAAATGGAACAGTATTATTAAGTCCACACTCTCCTCTCATACTTGTTTCTTTAATATTCTAGTCACGCACTTAAAAGAACTCCAGAATCTAAGAAAAATAAAACTAACAATAATTTTTAAGCCGTTTCCACAAAACAAAACTTGGAAAAGATTTTAACTTACTGTGAATGTAAGATTATGTTCCAGAAGGTCCTTGCTATTCAGTTGTTATTTAAATCAGTACTGAATTATCTATATTCCAAGAAGTAACATAGTTTTGAGTCTTCCTATATTTTAAATCTCAGGAAGCTACACTGGGTTCCAACAGAATAAGTAAGAGCACGCAGTAGGGTGGAGAGTGGGAGGAAGGGGGACTGAATACTAGACCTGGGATGGAAGGTAAGTTTGCCCTTTAATTCTGCCACCATCCTTGATATTCCCTTTAACTCTGGGCAACACTCACACATCCAACTCCAAGTATTGCCTGGACCTTGCCTTACCCATGACGTGTACTCTTTCATTTGGTGCTGGTTGCTATGAGAACCACCGGCATGTCCCCTCCAGAAGCAGTCCTGACAGAGCTGGTAATTGTGACACTGTTGGCATCGGTAGCGAAATCCCATCATACTCTCACTGTGGCAGTAGGAACACTCAACCGGATGGAAGACTAAGGGGGAAGTAAGTGAAGAAAAACCAAGAAAACAAAAGTATGAACCAGAAGAAGGAAAAATACAGCCTTACAGGAATTGCACCTTTCTTCTCTGCACCACGATTTCAGATGATAGTTGATTTGGGCTCAGAGAAACATTTAGTTCATTCCTGGAATCTTACAACCCTTTTCAATCATGCCTGTGGGGAAATGAAATGAAATGGGATGGAGAAGAGGTGTCCTTTTAACAACAAAAATCTCTGTAATGCCATTTGCTCTTTCTATTCCCATCTCTCACATTACAAGAATTTAAATTAGCCAAACAGACTTGCCTTTACCCCAAACTGCTCTCTGTCTCCAGGAGACCAGCACAGCTCACTGGAAGACTCAGAAGCACAAGGGGTGAATGCTGATTGTCCAGTGGGAAGAGAGCGAATATCAGAGACACGGAGAATGAGAGGAAGAAAAAAGAAAGGAAGATGGGCAGAGAATGGAAAACTGGTGTGGATGAGATAATTAAGTTATTTTTTAAAAAATAGAGTGACTAATGGCTTACTTAACGAGTGGTGTTGCCTACATCTGACAAACAGATTTTTTTTTCTTTCCTGAGGCAGGTGTATAGGGCCCTAAAAAAGATGTGCAAATTATCTGAAAACAGTTCTAAATAATTCAAATGCCTCAAGAGACGGTTAACTTTCTTTGGTAGGAAATTTGAATTATAAAGCAGGCAAAGCAAAATACTAGATTTGAAGCAAAGTAAAATATTAGATTTAAGTGATCAAATCCAAGTAATTGTCTACATGCTATGAGCTAGATACTAAAACAACAATAACAATTCTTGCCTTTGGTAAAGCTATTCTCCGGCCTAACCAGTCAGGAAAAACAATGAAAATAATAATAAATGAAGATAAAAAGCAAAGTGTAAAAACAAAGACATAACTAGCTCTGGACGCATTGTCTTCTAAACAAGTGTCATAACCTTTCTTCCCGGCTCTTGAGAAAGACTAGAGTGGGACTTCAATCTAGGGACAACTGTTCTGGGATGGTGCCTAAGAAACTGATCTCCTGCAGCAGGAAATGCTGAGAGAGAACGAAAGAAATTATAGCTTTATGATTGGAAAATGACTAGTTCTAGAACTGTAAACAGTAACGTGAACTCATTTTGCATAATAACATGGACCTTGATTGCTCTTCGCTTCTGCATATGGATAAACATAAAAAAACTATGATTGTTAGTGATTGCAAAAAAATAAAATAAATTCATTCTTTAAATTTTCTCCATGAGAAAAACAGGATAAATTCATAACTTCTAACTAACAGATAAATAAGGGCAGATGCTAAAAATTCTGAATGATAATTTAAAATTAAGCTAACTTTAGCTGCAATGTATATTAAAGAAATACACAGAAGTTGAGTAATATATAGAGACTTAAGTTAAATCTCAGTAAGAGATAGAGACTAAATTATTTCCTCGTCAAGTCTGGAGAAATTTCAGAGTTACATTGAACAATAAGTAGGAACACCTAAAGATTAGATGGAGGCACTGAACTGCTCCATGTTTAATTTTCTGTAAATTTTGCCCCAAATGGTATTTCATATTTAAATCTGGATATGCCAACAGTAGTTCCTTTTATCCTAGAAATACTTGCTTTAAAAAAAGACATGATACGAAAGTTATTTTACTCTTATCTTTAACGTAAGTACAACTATTGAAAGCTCACAATCTGGAACATATGACTAAAGATTAACAGGGTGCTATCATCTATTTTTTTTTCTCATTTCTCCCACCTATTTCTGGCTGAGTGCCTGGGAAGAAATAATCAGTACCGTGTATGCAAATATGAGAAATTCGGATCTAAAACAAATACAAAATAATGTCACACTCCTTGTTGAAGTTCGCCTTCTATCGTGCCAAGTCTTTTAACCACACCTGACTTGTAATTGAGAAGAAGACCATGAGATTTATTTTTGGAACTGACAGTCCTAATTTTTCAGTGGTCCTTTAAGGCCTTCCCGAACAGGGAGATGGGTTAGTTCTACCCTAAACAAAACTAAGAGCCACTAAATAGGCTTCCCTAAAACAACAGCCTGGGCTTACTAACTGTAGAACTAATGGCCTAATTTCAATAATTTAAAAAATCACCTTTGCTCCTTAGTAACTACTCACCATTTTCCACATTTGCTAGTCGATGCAGAAGAGGCAACCAGACCAGACACTGCGGGGGAGGATCTGACATAAGCGTGTCCAAGAAACCATTTAACGTGACTTTTTTCTGCATAAAAAAACCCCCCATAAATTTAGGACAGAGAATCATCTCAATTTACCTGCTATGTAAATATCATATCATTTGAGACTGAAACAAAAGAGCACTCAATAAATGTCTAATATCTGAAGAAACAGAACTTGCCAAATGTGTTATTAAACTAGTTTAGAACTGAAAACATCGTTTGCTTTTTATACCTAAGCAGACATAGGACTGAATTCTCTCCACTGAGGCTGAGTCAATAGTATCACCAGGAGAAAAACAATTCCAAGAGCATCATTTGTATATATGAAAGACAGTATAAAAATAATGAAGCAAAATAAAGAATGGAAATTCTCCATGGAATTTTACTCAAGAACGCATCATAGCTCACTCTACAATTTTCCTGTCAGTCAGTCTTCTAAATTTATAGAACAACTTCCCTTCTGAGCTTCCTCAACTTCCTTAAGTACTAAATATTTAGTGGTTAATGTGAATGGTTCTGTTATACAAGAGCAGGAGGGAATCCTGTTAGGACAGAACCATCTACATTTTTAAAAATTTGCTCCTTTTATTACTTTATATATAATTCCTCTCAATTCAGTCTGCTTCTTTCTCACTATCCAGGTCCTTTTGGATGTACAAAAGGAATGCATTGTATCTATAAGTTTCTTTCAAAATGATAAAAGTAAGAAAGCTATATTAATACATGTACTGTAATGGTATAAATAAAAAAATACATATTTATATGCAAAAATCACTACTTGAAATTTTGAACTAGAATATCAAAGGGGATGGGATAATTTTATTTATTTATTTTTTAAAATATTTTATTTATTTGCTTGAAAGATGGGGTCTCATTATGTTGCCCAGGCTGGACTCTAACTCCTGGTCTCAAGCTGTCTTCCTACCTCCTCCTACCTACCTCAGACTCTTGAGTAGCTGTTAATAGCCAATTCATTAAGTACAAAAATAAACTGGTCTTATTATTTTTGTGTTACCTCTTTTCATATTTGAAATGATCTTATTCATTTTGACTATTTGTCATACTTGCTAAAAAGCACTCCTGGAAGTTTCCAACAATGCTATTATGATTTCAACATGTATAAGTTGCTTATCATTAAGGATATATATAAATCATATAACAGAACAGTCTATAGGATATTTCAAAAGGAATTTTGAACATGTCAACATCACATATAATTCTTGAACACATAGGTCCTTTTTTCTCTTTTTTTTTTCTTTTAGAGACAGGATCTCACTCTGCTGCCCAGGCTGGAGTGCAGTGGCACAATTATAGCTCACTGCAACCTTGAACACCTGGGCTAAAGGGATCCTCTCATCTCAGCCTCCCAAGTAGCTGGGACTATAAGTGTGTGCCACCACACCTGGCTAATTGTTTAATTTTTTTTTTTTTTCAGAGATGAGATCTTACTATGTTGTCCAGGCTGGTCTTGAACTGCTGGACTCAAGCTCTCCTCCTGCCTCAGCCTCTCAGTGCTAGGATTACTGTGTGAGCCATCACACCAGCATAGGTCCTTTTAAGATTTTTTTTTTAAAACCCAGTCCTATTATTCTAGCTGATTTTGAATGAGACATATATTCTGAGGCATTAGCACATTTACCAATTATTCTATAATACACTAACTAAAATTCAAGAATTCAGTTATAAATGAAATTATTCTTGTTTCCATGACTGGGTGAAGTAATACAACAGGTAGTTACATTTCCTTGAGTCAGATCATCTGCATATTTGTAAATATGAACTGAAAGTGCACAAAACAAAAGCAACAACAACAAGAACACAAGAATAACATTAACAGATGGAATTAGAAGACCAGAGTTAAAAACTCAGCCCCCTGCCCTCACTAGCTATGAACTTTATATTGTTAAAAAAGAATCATATTTTCCTTGTTAGGTCACAGGGTTGTTGCAAGCCATAAATCAGATAATTCACTTTGTGAGGCATAAAGCACTGTAAAAATAAAAGGAGCCATACATTTAGCATGCCATGAGAAAAGTTGGAAAGCAGTAAAATTGAATGAAAAAATAGATTTGTGTTTTGAAGTGATTGACTTTTTTTTTTTTTTTTTTTTTGAGATGGAGTCTTGCTTTGTCTCCCAGGCTGGAGTGCAGTGGCACAATCTTGGCTCACTGCAACCTCTGCCTCACGGGTTCAAGCAATTCTCCTGCTTCTAGCTGGGACTACAGGTGCCTGCCACCATGCCCGGCTAATTTTTGTATTTTTAGTAGAGACGGGGTTTCAACATATTGGACAGGCTGGTCTCAAACTCCTGACCTTGTGATCCGCCCGCCTTGGCCTCCCAAAGTGCTGGGCTTACAGGAGTGAGCCACCTCACCCGGCCTATTGACACTTTTAAAAGTTAATTTCAGTAAAAAGAAAAGACTTCCTGACTCTTAATCCATAAAGCTGTGTAGTGAGCATTTGTTGTATGCATTTTATGGGGCAGGGATATACCTTTTTTTTTTTTTTTGAGACAGGGCCTTGCTCTGTCGCCCAGGCTGGAATGCAGTGGCGCCATCCGGGCTTAAGCTATCCTCCTGCCTCAGCCTCCTGAGAAGCTAGGACTACAAGCATGTACCACCATGCCTGGCTATGTTTTAAAAATTTTTCGTAGAAATGGGGTTTCCCTATGTTGCTCACACTGGTTTTGAACTCCTGAGCTCCTGAGCCTCGGCCTCCCAAAGTCCTGGGATTATAGGAGTGAGCCACCACACCCAGTCAAGAGGCATTTTTAGAGGACAAAAAAGTTAGTTTGGATTCTCAAAAAATGGTAAACTAACCTTTAATGTATGGATTTCTATGCTACCACTGGGCTACGCTGGAGAATGGGCCTGGAGTCTCTCTACATGACCAGAGAGGTACACACATAGATAGCCCCCTAAACTATGCAGCTTCCCAGGGTAGCTTGAGCCATACCCAGTTAAAACACATCACTTGGAACCCCAAATGTGTCATGCTGTAGAAGATTCAGGCAGCTGTGTTTACCATATTTTGGGCCTCTCAGGTCATGATGTGGCAGATGTTGGGATTCCTTTCTGGTATCCTTTGCTAAACCAATGTTAAAGCTTGTTGCCGGGTCAAGCATATATTTCACATGAGGCTGAGTGAGACAATTAAGCCCTTTTGAAAGTGCAGTGATAGTAAAAATAATGACACTGAGGGTGTAGGTGATATGGTAAGGCTTTGTGTCCCCACCCAATCCCATCTTGAACTGTAATTCCCAGGTGTTGAGGGAGAGACCTGGTGGGAGGTGATTGGATCATGGGGTGGTTCCCCCATGCTGTTTTCATGATAGTGAGGGAGTTCTCAGGAGATCCGATGGTGTTATAAATGGCAGATTCCCCTGGGCTTTTCATTCTTTCTCTTTCCTGTCGCCATGTGAAGAAGGTAGGTCTTTGCTTCCCTTCACCTTCCACCAGGATTGTAAGTTTCCTGAGGCGGAACTGTGAGTCTGTTAAACCTCTTTTCTTTATAAATTACCCAGTCTCGGGTATGTCTTTATAGCAGTGTGAAAAGAGACTAACACAGAAGGGTTGTTGTAGGGATTAAATTAGACAATGAAAGGAAAAAATTTAGCACAGTGCCTGCCTCATGGTCAGTAAACACTGTCTATTATTGTGATCCAGATGTGCTGGGTTTAGTTACTGGCTCAGAGGTCATTTGCCAGAGGCTGAAAAATACAATACAGGTTGCTATCACACAGAATAATTTGTCTGAGTATCTGTGACCTGGAATGACATCTAGAAGGAGAGCAACCACTGTTTGAAAGAGATACTTCCTTAAACATATTTTTCTCCTACCTGTTGGGAGAAACAGGATCTGGCTGACTGTTCTGTGTAACCAAATGAAGGACCTTCAAAAACTGCCGTGGGTAGTTTGAGAACTTCCCGAAGGAATTGGTCATATCGTCCATAAACCATCACCCCACTGGAGTCAGAAATCATTGAGAAAATATCTGATGAAAGGAAAAGGAAAGATATTATTCATCACATGAACATTCTCCACTGTTTTTGTTCAATATATCTGCTACAAATGACAAAAAAGTAGCAAAATAAACATTTTTTATGAAAGAATAATATAAAAGCTAATTTTTATGCTGAAATATTCCTGGCATAATGTTTTCTCTGGTTTCTTTTTGTAGATGATTCTGGCACATAGCAATCACAAGTAATTTGGGTAAAGTTAACATTTTAATGAGAGAGACACTTATTAAATGTCTTTAATAAGACACTACATTTTTGTTTTGAGGTCAACTATTAACTCTCATGTAGCTCAACAAGAGAAATTTTTGTATATATGAGAGAGACGCTGACTTCATTTGAAACACAATGAGAGTTTTACTATAAAGTTGGGGTGTGCGTATATTCATTTATCTAGCTAGAAATTTACCAATTTATATTATCACTAAAACTTTCGGATTTTGGTGTAAGATATTTGAAAATCAAAGACACGGTGAGGATAAAGATGTAATGACAAACACTTGATTAACTTCCTACAGAAGAAGAAAACTTTCTATGAATTACAGTTTTCTGGGTGGAAGGCACTTGATTTACAGGGAAGGGTTTTCTGACTCGTGTAGTGAAGAGGAAGCCTGGTCTTGTGGATGATCAATGAGGTAAAGTCAGGGTCCTGGATCTTTCTCTGAAGGGCCTATGGCTTCACTGAACCACTGTTCTTCAATTTCTGCCACTATGTGCATTTAATGAATATTAATGGCATAATTTCCCAAGGTGTTTTATAATTCCTCTGTGCAAATCACTATTAGAATGAAAGGGTTTGCTATTATATAGTTTGTCACCATGCTAACTAGCTTGTCACCAGGCCAGCACAGCTGCTGGGATAAACTGCTGTGAATGTGCCACCTCTATTCACTTTAGGTTTAATTTTTCAAGGTCAAAATATAATCTGGGAACATTGTTTTTACACCAAAGTCAGATGTTAAGCATATCAGAGGCTTTTATCGGATTATGGTTTTGAGAACATGAATTGACTCTCATTTTCATTAAATACTCCATTTATAAAGGGTTTCCGCTGTTTCAAATAGTTTATTAACCATGAGACTGTAGAGATTCTATCTGAGTAAAAAAATTAATGTACATATTTATGGGCTACAGAGTGATAGCTTGATACATGTGTTCAATGTGTAATGATCACATCAGGATAATGGGCGTTACCTTCATTTCAAACATTTATCATTTCTTTGTATTGGGAATATTCAACATCTTCTCTTCCAGCTTTTTGAAAATATACAATAAAATTTTGTTAACTATAGTCACCCTACAGTGCTATAGAACACTCGAACGTATTCCTCCTACATAGTTGTAATTTTGTAGCCATTAGCTAACCTCTCCCTATCCCCCCAACCTCCTGCAGCCCCCTACCCTTCCCAGCCTCTAATAAGCACAATTCTACTTCCATGAGTTCAGTTTTTTTTTTTTAGCTCCCACATATGAGTGAGAACATGCAGTATTTATCTTTCCGTGCGTGACTTATTTTACTTAACATAATGTCCTCCAGGCTCATCCCTGTTGCCTCAAATGACAGGATTTCATTCTTTTTTATGGCTGAATTGTACTGAGGAGTTTAGGTTGTGTCCAGAAGATGCTGAGGGAGATACTGAAGAATTTAAAGTAGGTCAGTGCGTTAGAAAGTCTATGGGTAGGCGTAGAGGCAAAACAACCAGTTCAGTAATAGAAACTCAATAAATATGCAGTATTTTCCATAATACTAGTCTTTTAAAAAGACTTAAAAAGTCCTCCCCAAAGCTTTAGAACAGCACATGACATACCAGGCTTACAGCATTGGATTTAGAATCCCTTAAGATCCTTAGAACTATCCAGGAGCCCTAAGACAGAAGTATAAACAAATGTTCCAACCCATTAAAACAGCTTATAATTGGGCCAAGAACAATCTGACAAAATAGTAGTGTTATTAGGTAAGTTTATGTTTAGGTTGCCATGGCACATGACTGCAGGGGGCGCCCTTCATCTCCTAAGCTGTGTCAATGATGCTCCCTGGAATTACACAGGGAACACCCTACCACTGAATGGTGCCCTAATTACTGGAAATTATGTTGCAACATAGTGTTGTTTTCTCTTCTAATGCATTTTAAAGCGTTAAGAAAATCAACTTCAAATTTTCTGTTGCTTTCTCTTTGTTTTTTAAAATTTCCGACTTATTTTCAGCCAGTTATTCTTGCTCTGTGTTCACCAACAATAAGGGAGTAGCTGGAACGAGCTAAATATCTCTCAACCCTATGCACAAAAATAGAAAAATTGCCAAACAAGCACAGCTGGCATTTTGGCTTAACGTGAATTAGAAAAACTTTAAAGAAGGGAAAACAAAACCCTCAAGCCTGAAACATTCCATATCCCTTCATTTTACTTTTTCTTATTACAGAAGCAACGTAGAAAATCATGACCTTACCTGTTTTTTTTGTTTTGTTTTGTTTTGATTTGTGTTTTTGAGATGGAGTCTCGCTCTGTTGCCCAGTGTAGTGGCGTGATCTCAACTCACGCAACCTCTGCCTCCTGGGTTCAAGTGATTCTCCTGCCTCAGCCTTCTGGGTAGCTGGGACTAAAGGCATGTGCCACCATGCCTGGCTACCTTATCTGTTTTATCATTAAAATGCAAGCCAGCAAAAGAATACAATAGGAACACCCACAATCCCACTCACCAAGGGGCAGCCACTGGTCTCTGCGGGCAGATTTTGTGGGTAAATTTGCCCACATTCGCTCATTCCATTAATAATTATCACAGAAACTAGAAATATTCATAACTCAGGATATTCATTTTTGACTAGTTAACATTCTGGAGAGATTTTTGTGACCAAATTACCTTTAACTAAATTGTTTTTGGTCAAATTGATTTTAACCAAGTTACCTGGAAACTGCTAAAACCATCTTCCCAGGATTAACTATACAAAGAGTGACTCCTCAGTCAGAGAACCAGGGACACATAAGGGTGTGATTCAGGTGCACTGCTCTCAAAGTGGGGAATGCGATTTATCGGGGTCACACTATCTGTATTTCTACAGAATCTGTGATATTGTGGGCTTGTTTCTGCAGACTAGAAAACTTAGTTTACCTCCAAGGGGACACATGCATTTGTTGCTTCTTTCACTGCCCTAAAGAGGATAGACTTTGGCCACTAGAGAGTGCTTTTTGGAGGGTGATGGGATGGGGTGAGGAGAAAGCACTGTAGCAGTTATACTGTTTCCTTTGAACTCCTGGGCCCAAGAGAGAACTGGAAGGGTTTTCACAATTGTAAAGATCTAATCAATAACTTAGTTATATTTTGAACTTTGTAACTGTGCTGACATTGCTAGTCCCTTACCTACCAGCCATTCCCTTCATCTTTATTTGACCCACATTTGTTCATGGATTGCTCATGGGTTGAGGGAAAGGGATGGCCCTTCTGAGCACAGGAGGTGAAAGTGGATTACACAATGGCCATTGCTGTCATACTTTTTCTCTAACCAGTAATTAGTTTAGTAATTGGTCTGAGACGCCACCTAGGTGATGAGCTGTAAGGGCTTGGGGACCTCTGTAGTGAGATGTGACTCCTGTGACTGTCACCTCCACCAAGCCCCCCTCCCTCACCCTCCACCCTTACTCTTGGAGGAGGATGAAATCTTACACTGAACAAAGCTGAGTGGAAAGACAGCAAACACCAGGACTTCGAGGGCTCAGAATTAGCCTGGTATGTTAAAGGTTGACAGACGTTCTGAGATGCAGAAAACTGGTTTTCTTAGATTTCCTTAAACCTATTTTAATATGGGACCCTTCTATCCAGGTACCTATTAATATAATATTAAACAGGTATTTTTAGATGTCTCTCAAGTGGATTTTTTTGTTTAGCTTTTGTTTTGTTTTTTACATTTATCTAATGTCCTCTTCGTAAATGGCCAGTTGGGGTTGGCAGACAAGGTTCTCAGAACTTCCTTCCTTAGCCTTGGTTCATTTTGCTAAACTTTCTCTTTCTGGCTTAACCCTGAAGGAAATGCCCGAGGATTACTCTGAAGCTTTTTTTTTTTCTTTTTTTTTGAAAAAAAAAAAGAAAAAAAAAAGCCCTCGGTGTCAGCACCTTCTAATTTAGCTATTATCTCTCAAATAAGCACTGAGGTAGATAGTTTTTAATTTTCTATATCTTTCAGGCTAACAAAAGAGAAGCTACATGGCTCCTCCTAAGGTCTGGCTAGGCTTCTCTGAATCCTGGCTGTCTTTGGCTCTCCATGGAGGGAAGTCCCAGAAGTGAGGGAAGCTGTGTGGCTACCTGAGGCTTTGTTGTCCCTTTCACTTACTTACTGGTCCACTGGAATGACTCATCCCTGGAGCATCTCCAGGGAAATTTCAAAGGAACAAAAGGTGTTCTGTGTCTTCCTTTATTCTTTCCTTTTGGGTGGATCAAGAAGCAAGCGATCTCACTCAGAAGAGGACAGGCAGCAGGTGAGCCTTGTGCTGTGAGCCACACAGATGGCTGCATGCAGCCAGGTGTGATTCTATGGGTATCTTACAAAATCCCAAAATTTAGGATACAGAAGGAGGCTGAGGACTAAAGAAGTGAAGTAACTGACAAAGGATAACTCAGCAAATTAGTCACATAGCTGGGCTTGCAACCTGGAACTCCCAATTCCCAGGACAGTGCCCTTTCTAACACAGCATTATAGCCCCAACTCATACTATTTAGGGAAAAGGATAGGGTTAAATGGAAATTTTAAATTTAAACAGCGGCATCAACATCATTTTAAACTAGTTAGAAATAAATATGCTTTTCACCCACCCTCATCCTAGGCCTACTGAGTCAGAAATTCTTGGGGTGGGACCCAGAAATCTATGTTTTACCGAAGCCCTCAAGGTGATTCTGATGTATGCTAAAATTTGTGAACCACCTGTGTAGAAAAAAAAGTCAGGGTTCAAATCCTGGCATCGTCTTAGCCATATGGTTAACTGAGTCTCAGTTTCTTTACCTAAAGCAAACAAACAAACAAACAAACAATCCCCAGTGTGTCGTTGGTTAAGGAACTCTACCATATTTAGAGACAAAATGTTCATTAAGGCCCACAATTACTCAATGTACTTTAGCTACCATGCTTTTACTGGCATCTAGTTAACTCTGCCAATGCTGTCTCTATGTAATTCCTATTCTTCTTTCCTGACATTGTTGGCTTTGAAACCTTTGGAGTTCCCAGTGATTTGAACAGTGCTGGCTGAGAAGAATGAGGAAATGTGCCAAGAGTCTTGCTTTTAGAAGATTTAAAGGGGAAGGTTTCCCACTAAGCCTTCACGTGCCTATCATCCTGTACCACGTGTAAGGCAGTATAACACAATTAACTGCAAAGAGTGCTTATTTTACTTTAATTTCAGAAAGAGGCCAGTTGGTGATACTCAACAGGTTATAAGTAGAGGAAAACATTCATTTCATTAGCATTTATCTAATATGAAAATATCGCTATGACAAAATCCAAACATCAGTGAAAAATGTATTTCAAACAACTCTCATAGAATGAGGAAAGATACAAATGGGGAGGGGACATAGAGGAATGAGGGAGAGAAAAGGGTGGTACCTAGCAAGGAAAAGCAAACAGACACACAAGGAATAATAACTTACATCTTAATTTGTCCATGATCTTCCCTCCACACAATGTGGCTAAAGCCATTTTGACAGCAAATACTGAAATTTTACCATGGCCTTCCCTGTTTAATGGTAATAGAAAAAAAACAAAAACAAAAACAAAACAAAACCATGATGTCATTTGGAGTACTTCCAGCAACAAGGTTTGACATTTTCTATTCTGTAGAAATCACAGGATACATAGCTGCATGCCTTATGTGGGCACATCCATTTTATAAAAGGTTGTGAAAACAATTCAATGCACATATCTGAAGAACTGTCTATTCAATGTTTCCTTAAGAGACATCAGAATCTCTTAGCTTATTCTTTGTATATGTCACTTGCTCAAAATATGGGCTGATAGCCAGAGGAATATCTACTAGCTAACTATGGATTTAAATAACAGAACATGCTTTTCACTTGGAGTTTCATAAAATGATTTTTGCACACAATAATTCCAGAATCTCTATAATTTACTTAAACAGAGCTTCAGAAACATCATTTTTTTTTTTTTTTGTCAGAGAATTTCTGAATTTGAGGTTAGGGTAACTATGGGGACTTTTTCATCACACATTTTTTTCAACCATCATTTCCTACCCACAAGCCAACTGTGCTTATGTGATATATTTACTTTTCAAAGAGAGCTGCTATTTTAAAGGGGCAAAAGTAAAAGCTCTGGCCGAGCACGGTGGCTTACGTCTGTAATCCTAGCACTTTGGGAGGCTGAGGTGGGCAGATCACTGGAGGTCAGGAGTTTGAGACCAGCCTGGCCAACATGGTGATATCCTGTCTCTACTGAAAATACAAAAATTAGCTAGGTGTGGTGGTGCACGTCTGTAATCCCAGCTACTTAGGTGGCTGAGACATAAGAATCGCTTGAACCCGGGAGGTGGAGGTTGCAGTGAGCCAACATTGTGCCACTGCACTCCAGCCTGGGCGACAGAGGGAGACTCTGTCTTAAAAAAAAAGTAAAAGCTCTGTTTGAACACTTTCTTTCTACCCAAATGACACAAGTGCTGCCAAATCCTCATTGATTCAGGAAGTATAACAAATCTGTCCTTCACAAATGTGATATAAAGGGGATATGATAAAAAGTATAATGTTTCAGCTAAATGATTTTCCAGCTGGAATCAACTGTTTATTCTTATACTTTGGAATCAGAAACTGTATCATATTAGTAATTCATTTATTTGATAGTTGCTAATCTTAAGAATGGTCAAAAGAGTTATTTAAAATAATAATGTGTCTGAAAGGTAAGTAAAGCTTGTATTGGCAAAGCTTTAGTACATGGAATAAATAATTTATATGAATAAGATTCATATGCCTTATATATAAGAAAAATAAGATATAAATAATCGTGGTTTTGTTCCTTACTAGGTTTCAGAGAGGGATCATTTGTTATTTATCACTGTCGCTGTCATTTTTAGTGTAATACCTCAAATACAACCAGCCAGAATGCAAAATTGACTGAACCCTATGCTAGTGACTCTTTCATATTTATTTCTAAGCCTCAGCACCAGATTTATGTAATCATTTATCTGAAACCTTCACTTAGATACCTCATGCCAAACTAAGTATGTTCAAAAGAGAACTCATTATCTTTACAGAGCTCTTCCATAATACTCAGACTCACCGTAGTACTAACCTGCTGTTCCTCCTGCAGTCCTTCTGCTGGTTATTAGAAACACCATGTACCTAGTTACCTGAAAATGAATCCTGAGTTGGGGTCGCCTTTGATTTCTTGCTCTTCCTTAATTACTACCACTCCGAACAAATGTTTGAAGGACTCAGCTAGACTTGTTACCTGTATGTTGAATCCATTCCCTTCTTTTCATTCCCACTGTCACTGCTTCCATCAGCTCTTGCTTTAACACGGTCATAACCTCTGAAATGATCTCTCTGCTTGCACACTCATATCACAAATTTGACCATATTATTTCATTGCTTAAAACCCTCTGGCCGCCTTTTGCCCTCAGGACGAAGTTCTAACGTTTGCTCATGGCACACCCAGCAGTCTCGTCTAGTCTCCTCTGCTACCATTTCTGTTGTTGTACTGCACACCATGGTCAAACTGTTCAACGCCTCCTGGCCCCTCCCCCTCCTAACATGGTCTGCCCACAACCCTCCCATCCATTTGTCAAGATGCCACTCAATATCATTATTCACCCTGCTCTGAAAACAGCTTTTCTCCTAGATGTCTAGGAAATCACTCTGCCCTTCACTTTTTACTTATTATGTGGCATCTGTCACAATGAATGACCTTGATGTGATTTTTACATGTCCACAATGTGACTGGATTCTACATTGTGAGATCCTTCAGTGCAGAGATGATGTTTTCTGAATTACTTGAATTCCTAGTGCCTAGCACTTGGTCTCACACAGAGTTAGTGACTAATACATTTCTTATATTAAGAAATGATTAGTAATCATTATAAAAATTACACCTAGAATTTTGAGTGTCCATCCACTCAGTGAGTTATTAATTTTAGAGCAGGTAGCTGTAATAGAAATGCAATGATTTTGTAAAAACCAGCCTATTCAAAAGCATTCCTGTCCTCCCATTACATGGATAACTGGAAGTATCAAACATTTGACCTCAGGAGGTAATTAGCTTTTTTCCTAAACTGTAACATGGTTCAAATAATGACAACAGTAAAGTCTACAAGGTATGGAAGATTAGCAATCACATAGCAATAATGTGGCCCTCAAAATGCAAAGAAATCGAGGAGCATTATATGTGAGGCTTCAAGAGCAATACAGTTCCTTTCAATGAATCCGAGAGAATAATTTATTTAAAAGGAGAGGATTGACCACCAATGATTTTGGAACAGAGAGTTCTCCAAAGGATGAAACAATGATAGCTCATAGGTGTACTCTTAGACCTCAGCTTTTAATGAAGAAGATCATGGGGAGATTGCCAGTCCTGTATTGTTCCTGGAAATGGAAGATTGATGATACTAGATCCAACAGTGGTTATATCAGAGCTGTTCTGCCAAATTGACACAATAAATCTAGATAAATCACCAAGTGGAGGGCAGCCGAATGAGGGTTTTACAGGAACTCAAGGGTGAAATTAGGCCACTGGAATCTATTGTTATGCAAGCTACTGTGCCAGATTGCAAATGTGACTCTGTCATGAAGAAGGATTCTGGGGGTATGCAGGGATTTAGGTCGTGGCAAGCACACCAAAACTGGGTGAGTTCATACTTTGCTTATCCCAGGCACTGGATAAATATTTATGCGGTTTGAGGAGTGAGCAGAGATGACTGACTCTACAACAGAGAATGGGAGCACTAAAGACTTAAATACAAATGGATCTTTTTTAAAAGAACATTATTTGTAAATATAACAGGGTGAAGAGGAGGGTGTCCAATTTTAAAGAGGGGGCCTTTAAAAAATATCAGCTTTTTTTGAAGAGTAAATATATCACATAAGCACAGTTGTATTGTGAGTAGGAAATAATGGTTGAAAAAAATTTGTGATGAAAAAGTCCCTATAGTTACCCTAATTTCAAATTCAGGAATTCTCTAACAAAAAAATTATGTTTCTGAAGATTTGTTTAAATAAATTATAGAGACTGTGAGATTATTCTGCACAAAATTATTTTATGAAACCCAAAGTGAAAAGCGTCTTCTGTTGGCTAGTTAGCCAACCACAGTTAGGTAGCATATATTCCTCTGGTTATCAGCCCATATTTTGAGCAAAACATGGGACCAGGGTCCCTATTTCATTGTGAAAAAAGGCACTGGCATTAACACAGGAAGCAAGGAGTAGAGAAAAGCTGATACATCCCAAATGGAAAAATTTAGGAGCTATGCTCATCAGGAATTGTCATTAGTTGGGACCAGTTTGATTTACAAACAGCCAATAAAATCTGTTAAGTGTCTAGGAAGCAGAAAGACAAGTGCATGAGGATGGATAATGGGAAGCTCCTCAGAGTCCTGTACAAACGAGCAGGAAAGCAGCATATTGCTCCAAAATGACTATGTCTCTGGCAATGCCTTTGCAGTAAGGTAGTAAAACTGCACCGATGGAATGCTGGCTGTCAGCTGCAACCCAGGAAGCCAACCACCAGTGTGTGCTGAGGTTGAAAAACATAGATTTTCCCTAAAACTTCAGGCCAAACAGCCTGGGAGTGGGGCAGCATCAGGAAGTGCACAGAAAAAGTCTGTATACTTCTCTTGCTTTTATGAAAAGCCATGGCAGTATGCCTTCAACTTCATGTGCAATTCTGACTGCCATCTCAAGACATAAAAGAGCCAGATGTGTTTGAGAGACTGGATGCATCACAGGGCACAAGTCTGGATGAATCACAGACTTTTAGGGGCGGGATCAGCCTTAGGAGTCTGTGATGTGGTCAATCACATGGCCATGTAAGTCTTTCTTTGTGAATTAAGGCTGCTAGTACAGTTAATTCTTTGGTAATATAAAAGGCACAGAAAAAGCTTAAAGAATTAATATTAGTATATCATTTTATTATTAAAATAGTAATTGGCCAGGGGTGATGGCTCACGCCTGTAATTCCAGCACTTTGGGAGACTGAGGTGGGCAGAACAAGAGGCCAGGTGATCAAGACCATCCTGGCCAACATGGTGAAAACCCGTCTCTACTAAAATACAAAAAATTAGCCGGGCATGGTGGTGTGCACCTGTAGTCCCAGCTACTTCGGAGGCTGAGGCAGGGGAATTGCTTGAACCCAGGAGGCGGAGATTGCAGTGAGCCAAGATCGCGCCACTGCACTCCAGCCTGTTGACAGAGCGAGACTCCATCTCAAAAAAAAAAAAAAAAGTTATTTTATTTTTAAAATAAAATAATAGTATTTTGTTTGTAATGTTTTCCATTTCAATGCAGAGAGAAAACAGCGCATAATACATACTTTATTCATTTTCTCCATTATAGTCTTTTGGCATAGTGGAATATGTTCTGTTTCTAAGCCAATTACCCTGGAACTTTTGCCTATACAAACTTTACTTTCTTGTTCTAGATCGACATTCAAAAATTCTCAATAAAATTGTGTATTGGTATATAATTAACATGTAACAAGGTATTTAAGAGAACCAGGCTAATATATGCAAATTATCAAAAGCACAAACTGAAATGGCTTCATAAATCAATGTTTCTTGAAATCTTTTATCTTCCTTTACATTTTGTTTTCTCACTCTGAGACTTTTCAAGTTATTCTAGGGGACAACTGATTGAAAATGGAAAGAGGAAGGCACTTACCCTTTGGTTAAAATATATATAGTGATTTGTAGGGTGTTTTATGTTAAAAATTTGAATTACTTCAAAATTTGACTTGTCATAATAAAGAAGTGAGAAACTGCTTTAGTCTGCCCTGGGTTTCCCATAATCTTATAAAGAGACATACTGATTTCTTCCAACTAAGAATATATTATTTATATGGAAAAGTTGCAGGGAAGAGAATATTTGTTTTTGACAAGAAGATAAAACAACAAATAGATATTGATCGGTAGGGCTGGATGCTAAGTACAGGAGGTAAATTGTCTCCGAATTGCCAACAGGGTTTCCTGTTTGAAGTTACAAAATCCCATGAGAAACTTGAAGTTCTTTTAAGTAAGATTCAATTCTGACTGATTCTTTCTTAAACAGACAGAAGGAATTATTTCTCTATTTAAGAGTACTAAAATCAGAAGCTCTTCTTTTACCAACATATTTCACAAAAACATTTGGTAAGCATTTTTGATAAGCAGAGGCACAGCACTCAAACTGCTCTTTCTCACACATTTTGGTGGCTTAATTAACGGAGAGAATTGCTTCCTCCCTCTGCTTCCACAACATGCCTCTACTATAACACATTTTTTATCTGAAAATTATTTTGCTCATATGGATCACTCATTTAGTCACTCAATAAATATTGATTAGCATTGTCCTAGAGGTTGGGGATATACAGATGAAAAAGGTGTGGTCTCTACTCTTCATTTGCTCACAACATGTTGGAGATAAAGGGTCAGAAACAGTTAATTTTAATACAACCCATTTTCCAAGGGTATCTCATCTCATTTCATCTTGTCTTATCATTTATTCCCAGCCTATCATAACACCTACCACATAGCAAGCTCTTTACATATGTCAGTTCAATTAATGAATGCACAAGTGAGAAGCAACTTTCTGATTTACCACTTGAGATTTATATTGAGAAATATAACGTGTTTGAATACGATGATAATGATTGGCTTTATGGCTGTTTCTTTTAGATTGTGCAGTTATGTGATGCTTTGAATTTAGAAGTGTTCACAGGCATAATTAACTCTGGTTTGGGGCGTAGTGAAGTTAACCTGTGAACAGACAGAAACCCTTTATTTGGATCTGGCTTCTCTCTGGGCCCTCCACAATGTTAGCAAAACATCTGGGAAAAGTACTCCTTATAGCGCCGGGGCAGGTGAGTTTGCTAGGGGTTTCTCCAGAACAGAAGGGGTCAATACTGTTGGAATGCCCCCATACCCCTTGAAATTCCTCATCTCTCTTGAAATTCTACCTGCTACTCATTCAAAGTATGTCAGATAAACAACGAGTGACATTAGGATATTTAATGTATCTACAGCTGTGAAAATTCTTTGGAAAGTGATTCCATTTTAGCAGGATGTAGAAATTTTGAACAAAGTATTTTTCACTACAACAAGATTTTAGTTAGTAGAGGAGAATGTTCTATGGACATCTTGAAATTTAAGACGTGCAAAGAAAAAAGTCACCACGCCAAGTAAACACTGTTTTAAATATCTAGTCTTGGCTGTATAGATAATAAAAGAGAAGAACATTTGGTTTTTTATAACTCTTCTCTTTTTTTCTTCTTTGCTTTCACAAATCTACATAGTCTCAAACATGAACAATACTTTTTTTGGTGCAGAGAAATGGTTGTGTACTTTGTAGTACATTTTGCATTAAATATCGAATCATTTTTTAAATTCGAAAGACAGAAGGATTTTGGCAGAGTACCAGGCATTTCATATCCATGCATTTGAAATAGTTCTGTGGTCTTTTTTGTAGCATTGGAAGGCTCAGCAGTGGGCATGGGTGTTCAAATGGCCCAGTAAGGTGCAATATGGCAAACAGGGAGGAAAATACCAGGATTTTGTATTCTCTACGTAAGACTATTATGTGATGGACTTGTAGTTCTGGGTAGCTGTCATAAAACTGATCCTAATGCTACAATGTAAAACATGTTAAGTCCAAATATTTCTTCCACATACACTCTTTCAAATGTGTATAAATACCAGAAACTGGAAAGATTAGGAATGTAAGCATCAGAATAATATCCTGTAATAAGCAAAACAAGTCTGGGAGAAAAAAGGTTAATTAATTTTCATTTTAAAAAGTGAAACAGAAAGCATGAATAGAGCTGAGCTTAAAACAGTTCCTGAAACAAAATGAGTTTTCCCTCATTTACCTCATTTAGTATGATGCTGTATGACCTGCAAATTATTTAACCTCTTTCTATCTCCTCTACTGGAAAATCATGATAATATAGGGCCAAGTCAGTAAGACTATTGACATATAGTAAATACTGAGTACATCTTATTTTTAATACAATTATTATGATTATCATGGAAGACTATAGCTTGACCTCTGAAAATAGGAAAATCACTGTTCCTTTTAATATTTTTAACTGTCATACTATGATTTTTGAGTGACTGAGTATATATGATAATGTTATTTGCTAAAAACAAGGCTAGAGTCACATAATCTACTTTATGAAGAACTGTCTTACGAAAGAAGATACTACTGAATTGAAATGAGATTGAGTCAAGACAACTTGTTTTTAGTGTTTCCTGGGGAAGCAGGGAGAAGGTGAGAGGAGTACATAGAAGTCTTTTGTAAAAATAGGATCACCAACATTGGTAACCATGAACACTTGTTTTTTTTTTCTGTGGAGCAGAAGTAAAAATAGAGGGTCTGAATCTAGGTGACTGGGACCCGCTAGTCTTTGTAATATATTGGAGATCAAGGAAGACTTAATCTCAGAAAAAGAATTAAAAGAAAACTGGCCAGACATGGTGGCTCATGCCTGTAAATCCCAGTACTTTGAGAGGCTGAGGCAGGTGGATTGCTTGAGCCCAGGAGTTCAAGACCAGCCTGAGCAATATGGTGAATCCCTATCTCTACTAAAAACACAATTACTAGCCAGGTGTGGTGGTGCACGCCTGTAGTCCCAGCTACTCGGGAGGCTGAGGCACAAGAATTGCTCTAGGCCAGGAGGCGAAGGCTGCAGTGAGCTAAGATTGTGCCACTGCACTCCAGCCTGGGCGGCAGAGTGAGACTCGGTCTTAAAAAAAAATAGTTAAAAGAAATTAGTACGACAAGAGCTCAGAAAGATCAACCTTGGATTTTCATTCATTGATTCATTCTTGTGTTGGCTATGGTCTCAGGTGCTGTTCATAAGAAGAATAAAATATGGTTCTTTCCTAAAGAAGTCTTTGGGAGGCAGTCATATAAACAGTCAGACATGCACTATAAGACAATAGCAGAATCAGGTGCAAGGAGAGGTGGACCTGTGGAAAGGTGATCAACTTGACCATGACAGGCGAAAGGCTTCACAGAACCTCAGAGTTTGTGACTGCACCTCTCAAAAAGGCTGCACATTATAGGCTTTTAAGAATTATTTTCATCTTTTAACTTTCTGCAATATTTTTCTTTTGAGTTACTCTCTATTTCCTACAAAATAATAAGAACAACATTAAAGGTCCTTTGAAGACTTCAAAGAGTTTTCCCCCTCCTCAATAGAATATGGACAAGAGGTGACAGAAGAAGCTGCTGCCAGTTTGCTGGGGGGATTCTGGAGGAGACAGAGGAGCGGAAGGCTCCTGGCAGCAAAGAAGGGGAGGTGGGAGGCCAGTTCCTGGGGTGATCGGAGGAAAGGGACAAGAGGAAGAGACTGGCTCAAGTTCTGGCTGCTCCCTCACATATCTTCTTCCCTCTCAGCCCCTGGTCTTATTTCTGACATCTCTTTTCCCATCCTTCTCAGGCACACTCATCCATTCCACTAGACGCCTTAAAAAAGATAACCTCTGGCCGTGGAGAGATTTGCTTAGAAGTTGGTTGGTAACTGCTCCCTGGGTGACCCCCTCCCAGGAATACAGCCATTTTTAAAAGGAATGTCACAAAAAACAAAAATCTTCTGGACTCAAGGAACTGTGTCTTCAGGGACAGAATGGCAAGCATGAGCATAAACCACTGGGGTCCACTGCCCACCCCCAACATTGTACAAATCATCTACAGATGTAGTTATCATATCTTCTGAGAGGCTGACTTGCCAACGAGCAGAGAGAAATCTTGCAACCAGGAAACTGATTACAGTCTGCAGTAAGCATCCTGGTATGAAAATTGAGATCCGGATGTTTTTTTGGTGGGAGAGGGAATGCTATTCTTGGGGAGCTATGGCTGTGCGAAGGTAAGTCTGGCTCTCAGAAGTACATCCCAGTAAAGGAGGCATCAATCCTCATCTCAGGTTACCACTTTCTTCACGAAGTTCAACTACCTGGGAGTCTAGTGAATTTTAAGGCACCATCCCCTCCCCCACAAAATGGCCAAGTTTCTTTGAATCCAAGTTCTTATTCTTCATGAGTTTAAATCACTATACTGCCTTTCTTTTTTATTTATTTATTTTTAGCAACTCTTCTTCAGAGTCTAGGTTCTTAAGGCATCTCTAATTTTTATTTTGGATTTTTTCCCTGTTTATTTATATGTCCATTTAAAATACGACAAATGGGAGAAAAATCTCCTAAATGTTTCAGTGATTCTGTAATAGCAACAGCACATCTTTCTTTTAGTAGTATCAGGATCATTCATGTCTGCCAAAATACAGACGGTTCTCTTAAACACTTGGACTCTGTCGTGGGACAGGTGGTAGGAAGTGGCATCAGATTTCCACGCTGGGTCTCATTTGGATAAATTGGAGTTTACTATTATAAGAAATAGAATTTGAACATTTATTTTATTCTTAAGTTTCTCTTCTTATATTCACTTCTAAATTACATATCCAGTTAGCTGTACTTCCTGATGGCTTACATTTCATATCCAAAATTCCATGCCATCAGATGGAAAATTTGAGTGTCAGTAGGACTGCCTATGCTCATTTGCTACGCTGAAGGAGCAAACGCAGAAGTGTCTGCAGAGTAGGATCTCTACATGGATATGTTTATAAATCTTTGCAGTGAAATTTGTCTATGTGGATGTGTTTATAAATCTACTACAGTGAGATTATTGAAAGTACACATCAGGAGGCTTCCTATCTATACGAAGAATAGGCACCAAATAAAGATTTCTTCTGAACTTTTTTGTGAATTGTTCCTTACCTTGGAATAGATGTCAAACTTAGCTTTTCATCAATCTTGAAATGATTCAGCTATATTTTCAGCAGCTATTTAGAGACCGTTCATAGCTCTATATTTAGAAGTGATCTAGCAAATATTTCTGACCAAAAGTGAAAAATCTAACTATATTTGTGTGAATCCTATATATCTCACAAAATACCCCCTTCCTTATTGTTAGTCTGGTTTCTGGTCTATATTTATGGAGTGGGTGCAAATGATTATTTGGCTTTGATTCTTTATGAGTTCTCTAGCAGTACTCCAGGATTTAGTGAGATATTATATTTCTCTTTTTGCAGTTTCCATTGTTACATTTCTAACAAATAAGTCTCTTGACATCTTTAGGGGCAAATCTGAAAGCTGCCACACTCTTGTCACAGGGCCAGGTTAGAAATGCCACTACAGAAATGCCATGGCCAGGTTCCATTCTGCTGCCTCTGCTGCCTGTCATGTGGAACCACAGTCCTCTTTACCTGCCCCAGCATCCAGTTACTATAGTGATTAAGCTAGAGCTGTACATCTCGTTCTGAAGTGTGCACAGCCGAAGCAAAGACTCTACCAACCTGGAATGCTAGTTGTAAAATTGTTTATTTTAACTGAAGAATTTCTCAAAATATAAATATCACGAAGACAATAATGCACACTGGAAAAACTGAGCAGGAACGATTCTGTTAACACTCTAAGTTGCAAAGTGACAGCTGGTAGCTTTTGTGAATTGCAAAATAACATTAGCCTGGCTGGAACATCTCCACTGCGGGGGTAAATACTTCCAGGCATTGGCCAGACAATGAGACTAAGTAAAACCTTCTGAGAATCTCAAAATGTGATTGCTGAAAGGTCAGGTTAGCAATTTTCCTTTTTAATATTCAAAACAAGCAGTGGAAGTGGAGGGGGTGGTACTACGTCCAGGTTGGAGGCTATTGGCAAAAAGCCCTCTTGAAATTGTAGGCTGAGAATGTAATTCAGGGGAATCCACATATACCTTGGTAAAGAAACCTTTGTTGAACACCTAAGTCCCCACTCGGCCACTAACATGCTGCGAGACACCAAACAAGTGACAATTTCTTTGTGCTTCATTTCCTTCATCTGTAAAATGAGATATGTGGACGAACAGCCTTTAAGATCTCAGCCAGCCCTGAAATTCTCTGATTCTAAAAGGGAAAATTATACAAAAATGAAGCTGAGCTTCAGTTGTGGTCTGTGGACAGCATCCCCTTATTTTATGATCGAAACACTTAAATTGACCAGTCCATTTAACGCAAGTCATAGTTACTTTGACTGGGATAGTCAAGAAACCCTTTTCAATTTCTTTCTTGTTTGCTGTAGGGCCTTGTTAGGACACCTCAGAAACACTGTCTTAAACAATTTGCAAAGAAGAGAGTTAAAAAGATCCTCCCACTTCACGCTTCATTAAATCGCACCACAGGCAATCCTCTCAAGCATCCACAGCTTCCAGGAAGCATGGGATGAGATAACTAAAGGTCAGCACATAAAATACAATTGTCCTCAAGTTCCTCTGGCACCATTTTACTCTCTAGTCTTTTTCACAGGATTTAAAATTTATATTAAACACATGGAGACTTTACTGACATAAGCATCCACTGTAAGAAAAAAGAGAGTAAAAAAAAAAAGAGAGAGATATAAAATTGTTTGGGAAAAAGACCAAGTAAGACAGGAAGTGAAAGCCAAACATGTAGAGAGGAACAGACATTCAGAGGGTGCTTACGGATCAAACGCTGCAAGCAGGAAGTTAAGGAGGAGGCTGATGGACTGCTCCACATGGATTTGGTGAGTGGTTGGCATCCGTTTGTTGAGCTGGTAAAAAATAGTGGAGAGCACAGCCTCTAAGCGGGACACGTTGAGTTCAGTGTTTGGGTCCAGGTTGTTCAGAGCATTTTCCCGCAATGCTTCTATGACATTCCATATGTCCACCAGGTGCACTACAATTAAAGCAGAGTTAACACATCAGCCCAAAGTAATGGAAGGCAAATACATCAGTTTACATGACCCTCTGTCCTGTTTTTTTCTAGGTATCTCACATGTGTGCAGCTGTTGCAGGGGGTCAACATAAGTAAATGAACATAGGCTGTGCATTATCTCTAAGACTTGATGTGCATTACATAATAGCAAGCAAATGATTTACTGACCACCACAATAGATAGTTATTTCCAATCTTCACAATCACTCTTGAAATACAGCTATTATCCCTGTGTTACACATAAGATAACTGAGGATCTGGAAACTGAACTGACAAATGCAAAAGTAGAAGAGGAGTCAATGGCAAGACTAGCATTCAGATCCAAGTCTATCGGTTTAAAAGTTATTTCCCCATTGCACACCCTGCCCCCTCAAAAAGAAAAGGCCAACATTTAAATTCTAGTGTTTGAAAGGATGTCCAAATTATATTTGAGTATTTAAAATGTTTTCATTTATTTATGTGTTTTTTAGTAGTATGCTGTTGGAAACAAGAAAAAAAAAGAAAGTTAAGGTAGGCAGGAAGACAAGGTAAAAAGGAAAAGTTATGTATACACTGCAGCAGCAGCAGAACTAAGTCACACATCACTGAACTAGGCTGGTCAAGAACAAGAAGTTTCTTGGCTACATTATTACCAGCTGATTTAAGTCATGGTTACTTTCACTAGGGTAGTCAAGAAAGCTGTTTCTGTTTTCTTCCCTATTTGCCCTGAGGTCTTGTTATGAGATCCCAGAAACCATGATCACGACCAAGATAAAGAACACGTCCTCACCCTCAAAAGTTTTCTCATGCTCCTCTGCAATCCATCCTCATTCCCTGTTCCAGGCAACTATTGATTTGCTTTCTGTTGCAAACTTCAGTTCTTAATAACTGTAAGTATATGGTAAACACTCTTTTTTGGGTCTGGATTCTTTTACTTAGTGTTAACTGTTTTGAAATTCATACATGTATTGCTGAAAGTATCAATAGTTTTCTCTTTTTTATTGCTGAGTAGTATTCCATTATATGGATATATCACAATTTGGTTATCAACTCACTTGTTGATGAACATTTGGGTTGTTTTTCAGTTTTTGTTTATGAATAAAATTGCTATGAACAATCACGTACAAGTCTTTGTATAGATATGTGGCTTCCATTTCTCTTAGACAATGAGGGATTCAAAATATTAAAATCATTAAAAATATTAAGTAAATACTTAGAAATGAAAAGGCTGGGTTTCACAGTAAGTGTATGTTTAATTTTTAAAGAAAGTTCCAAAGTATTTTCCAAAAGTAGTTGAACCATCTTACATTCCCATCAGCAGTGTACGAGAGTTCCAGTTCCTCCACATCTTCACCATTTAAGGTTGACTTTTCATTATGCTTTTGCATTTGCAAATAAATATTTTGTTTATTCTCAATGAAATATAACAGTTTCCGTTTTTGAGAAATATGCACTGTATATATATTTTTTCACTAACAGCTCCCTATTTTTTTGTCTTCTACCTCATTGCTCTCTCCTGGCTATATACCTAATAAGCAAAACTAACATCAGCTTCTACTATGAATTGAGCTATGTGACTTTTTTCTTGACTTCTCTCTTACTTTTGCTTTTCAGAACAGATCTATGGTTTCTGACTTTTGGTATAGGAGAACTTGTCACCAATTTCTTCCATTATAATAACAAATGAGCCAACTAGCCAACAGTCTTTTGAAGTCAGACCCTTTTCCCAGGCTAGGTTTAACTGCAGGATCTGTAACCACAGAACCCTAAGAGAGAGAGAGCAATCTGTTCAGACATTCTTATTTTCAAATTAGGCATAAAGAAAAACAAAAACCTAAAGTATGGTTCTCATAACTAACTTTGTGTGCACATTGAGATCCAAGAGATGAGTAGATTATGCAAATCCTTAAACTAAAAAAAAAAAAACAACAGGTTACATAGAACCGTTACTGTGTCCTTTACTTGGATTTTTGCTGTTAATTTTAACAATTACTCAAAATAATGTTTTATGTTATGAAGGGAAGATACCTGTGCTCAAGGAGCACTGGACTTGGAGTCCAAAGACCTAGGTTGCAAATCTGGCTCTTCTACGACAAGTGCATGACCTCTAAGACTTAGAGTCTCACTTCCTTCATCTATGAAATGGGGCTGGCATTCCTAAAATGGAAAAATGCATAGAGTAAAAAGTGGTAGTTCCTGGTACCTAGCAGACAATGCATTATAGATGAACAAGTAAATAATGTGAGTCATGTCAAAAGAAAAATATATTGCAATATATCTCTGATTTGGAGCAGATGAGTACAAATCACATACCAACTAAAATAAATATTTATTAGTTTTGGAAAAATTCAGATTTAAGTGATTTCAAATTTGCAAGCTTTTCTGTATATCAAGAATTAATCAACAAGGAAATTATTTGTATTTCTTGGTGTTATTTATCCAACTCTTCTATCTAGCAAGCAAAACACTCCCAGGGAAATGGCATTTATAAACTAAATTTATTTATTTATTTAAATTCTAGTTGGGAAGAGCTGGGATTCCTCTAATTACTCCCTATAGATTTGATCTGTGAATCTTCTGGATCTAGTCATCAGGATGTGTCTGGGTGCAGGATGCAAAGAAAGCAGTGCTGATGACATCCAGCCTGTCGTCCTGCTTGGTCCCTGTGACCTATCCTCACCTAGTTCCTGGTTGTGGATGATGTGGAACAGACATCTGGGGAGAGGAGCATGGACTGGGAACTTGAGCATGGGAGGGAGATGGGTATATGTCAAGAAAGCTAAATGGCTGTTGGCAAAGGGAGGGAATCTGGATGCTTAAATTTCTCTTGACGAGCCATTGTAAGGAATAGGAAACCCTTTTAGAATTCCCAGTGGTGGAATTATCCAGGCCCATGGGAGTGACCACAGGAGTGGCCCACATAAGGGTTCCCACATAGGCATGCCCATGTAAGGGTTCTTTGGGTACTTCAGCCTCAGGGTGAGCAGCCCATACTCATCTCTCCCCTTGCCGGCTCTGGGATTCCCTTCCTTGGTGAATGCCACCATCCTCCCGCTGCCTATTCTCCCTCCAGGGAGATTTACTTTCTGGGTTCTATCAATGACCTAGTCCTATGGACTGTATATCTCCTAAACATCACTGTAATCCCACCATTTCCATGAACCTTTATTGCCACCACCCAATTTCGTTACCCAATGCTATCACGCTTACTGTTTGGCTGAGTCAGTTCTTTTTTCATTCTTTCTGTACTCCCTTTCTACTCACTGCAGCCAGAGTGTGATTTCTAAACCGTAATTTGACATATCACTTGTATGCTGCTTAAAATTGTATGCTGCTTGGAGAATGGCGTGAAGCCGGGAGGCGGAGCTTGCAGTGAGCCAAGATTGCGCCACTGCACTCCAACCTGGGCAACAGAGCGAGACTCCGTCTCAAAAAAAAAAAAAAAAAAAAAATATATATATATATATATAGTATGCTGCTTAAAGTCCTTTAATAACTTCCCATTAATTTGAAATCTAAACAAGGATTGAAGTTTTTTTTCTTTCTTTTCTTTTTTCATCTAGCCCCTGTGTACTTCTCATCTACATCTCATCTACTATACCTTGGCGTCAACATTACTTCCTCAAGGATATCTTTCTGGGCTGGATCAGAAACCCTGTCTCCGGGTTTTATACCCCTTGCATGCACCACCTTAGAGCTCTGTCCTTCCCCATCACAGCATGTAGTGGGCACTCTTGTGTAGACCAACAGTTTGTCTGTTTCCCATTCTGCGTTGCATGTGGCACAGGACAAGGCTGTGTCTATTGTGATAACTGTTCACACCCCTAGTGCCCCTCACACTGCCTTACACATCCTTACACATAGGAACTTGGTAAATGTCTTTTGACTAAATGAGAGAATGACAAAGAAATGACTCAACAGTGAAACAGGGTTTTCTAAGGATGCATTTGCTTTCTAAAATGCAATAAGGCATAGTCATGAAGAATCACAGAGACACTGGTTTGAATCCTAGGTATACTGTCAGTCTAATTAACTTCTCTGAATCTTCATGTTAGAAAAGTGGAACTGAAAATAGCATCTACTTTCGGATGATTACTATGACAGCTGAATAAAATAATGCCTGTAAAACACTTGGAATAGGGCATGTCATGTAGGAGACAATAGTTGTTTATTATTATAATCAAATACCTAGAAATTATATGAAAGTTATTAAACATAAATATGCTGCATTTATGTGCTTACATATTGAAGGTCCTAATATAAGGAACGTAAAAGAAAAATATTTCATGAAAAATAAAATAATTCTGGCTAACTGTGAGAATAGATAATTAAAAATGATTTAAGTAAAACTAGTTTTCATAATTATATGCAAACACTATGGTAGATTGTGAGGACTCAATACAAACAATATAGATGTGGTTCCTGCCTATGGGAGCTAACAGTCTGGTGGGAATACAGACATGACTCACACAATCACACAAACGGGTGATCAGAAATAGTGACATACTGTGACATATAGCATGCTAGGTATAAAATGGGATTACGATATGGTCTTGATTGGGCCAGAACAAGATAAGGTTGCAGGAGCACCATAACTACAATAAGGATTTGGCTCTTTATGCTGAGTATGAAGACATGGGTTTTAAGTAGGACAGCAACATGATCAGGAATGCAGCTTAAAAATGTCATTTCTGACTTTAAGGGAAGAAAGGAGCGGAGACGGACAGGCACACAGTGGGAAGTAGTTGGAGCATATTGTTTTAGTTCCAGTAAGGGATGGTGGTATTTTTGTCTACAAGGTGGTACTATGCAGAAAAAACTGCAGTCACGCACATTGTACCCCTTATTTTCCAGTGGTGGCATAGTGGAAAGAATTCAGATTTTGCAGCCACAGAGATTAAGGTTTCATTCCTGGCTCTGGAAATAACTGCAAAACTGGGCAAATTTTATTAATAAAAATAAAATGTAATAATATTTTGTTTATACATTGTATTATTCCTTTTTTAAAATGAGGAAACGAATGCCATCCAGAGGCAGTTATAGTGAGATTAAAAGAGAACGTGTATTTACATAATAGATGATCAAGAAATGAGCTATTTGTGATAAAATAACTAAATACACTCTGATCTAAAGCCATACTATTCTACTACTAATTTATAAGATCTGTGAGTCCAAAACTAAATTTTAGCCAAGTATCCCAATTTCAATAAATTAATCAACCCATAATCTTGATGACGTATTATGTGGGTGAAGTAAAAGAATCACAAAGTGCATTGCAGCCACAAAAGCAGACACTTAGTTTTGTTGTCATAAATTTTGAGTTAGTGGAGTTTAAGTTGATTTTACCATATCGGGTCATTAGAAACCTGGTGAGGAGGCTATCTTTCACAAAGGTTTCATGGAAACTTTATTTCATTGGCGACTACCTTGGGAGGTGTAAGCATAGTGCAGAAGGTGCAGGAACCGGGGCAGTGGCTGGGGTCCCCTACTGACTGTCCCTATGACCTTGGGCAAGTCACTTAACTTCCTTAGGTTTCAGTTTCCTCGCCTGTAAAATGAGGACAATACTATTTTCTCTACTACATTGTTGTTTTGGGGGGGTCAAATGAGATACTTCACATAAAGCACTCCACATAGTGCTTATAATAAGCATTGTATAATAAGCATTCAGTATACATTAGTTATTGAGAAATTTAAGTAACATAAGCCTTTTGTTTATTTAAATAGTGACACTGAGAAATGCTAAGTTGAGATTCATTAAGAAGTTATTAAGAAGTTTGTTTTAAAAGTCTGACAGTTGTATAAATATGTTGCTTACTGCTGTGCTAGTTAAATCATTTTAGATGACATTTAGGTTGTGTAATAATGACTATGAACCACTAGATGGCACTGCGCGCATTTTACTAAATAGCTATCAAACCAGTCGTCCATTAATAGAGCACCTGCTACTAGGCACAGGAGATAGGAGGAATTCCCTCATCTATACAGTTGCATATATTTTACATTAATATACTAGGAAAGGCAACGGTTTGCATAACGAAATTCCTTAGTTAACAATAACCACATCGAGAATAGACAAAATGCATTCTTAACCTAATATTTAGTTCTTCATGGAATCTTAAAAGTAACGATAATAGTGTTGATTTCAGGCATTAATTATTAAGACCTAAGATTTGTCTTTACATACATAAATGGAAATAGACAAAGCTTCAATGGTTTTCTATAAATCCAGGCAATCTCAGGTAGAAAAGGGCTAGGTTCGGGTGTTGGGGGGAGAGTTGCAGATGGGTAAAGGAGAGTTTGTTTATCTCAAGAGATATTTTTAATGTGTTTTCTGACATCTTGCACTATTTTAATGGGAGATGGAGTCCTTCATTCACAGAGATGACTTAAATCCAAGCATCCGTAGGAAAAGTGCTAAAATGACAAACCTAGTTATATCTAGATAGAGATGGCTGATGTCATAAACTTTATTAGAAATAGTAGAATCATATAAGTTAGATAAAATATGGGGGAGAAAAATATCAAAAAGACAACTTCAAGATTTAGTCTATTTTATGATTTATCCAGGGCCAGCCTTTCTTGAATCCCTGAGGCTGGGTCCAAGTTTCTGAATCTAAGCATGATGTTCTTTTTCTAAAGCATTTGATGATCTCAAAATTCTCAAACCCAGACTCTACCACCTCCTGAGTCCAAAATATAAAAGAGTGGAAAAGGGTTTTGACAAAACTCTCCAGGTGATTCTGACAACCACTGATTATAAACTTTTAGAAGGTTTTCAAAGGGCTTGCAGCTGAGAAAGGTCAGTAGACAATTATAGTGACTTAGCTTTAGTCATTATGGAATAGTGATCCTTAACTGTGGCTTCACAATGGAATCACCTGCAAGGATGTAAAATGGATTCCTGGTGATACTGGTGGTCCAACATCACACTTGTAGTAACAAAACACAGGCTATTTAGAAATGCTGCATCTCTTAGGCTCCCACACAGACCTAGAAAATCGTAATCTGCATTTTAACAACATATCTAGGCAGTTTGTATTCACATTTAAGTATAAGAAGCGCTTCTTGAAGTCAGTAGTTCTCAGTCCTTTGGCATCAAGACAGCCTGAAATGTCTTCGTAGGTTGTGAGGTGTATTGCAAGAAGCTGATTACCATAAATTAATTTATGCAGTTTAACAGTGATTTGTATAAGGATATATATACATATTATTTTAGAAGGGTTTGAGGCTTAATCCCTAAGAAGGTCACTCATTGCATTATGATGTGCTTTAATTAGGAGAACAGGAAATTGTAGTTATGCTGGAAATTGGATATAATCTGTTGATCTGCTATTGGGAATACATATATCTTCTTGTGCGTAGACAGTGTTGTGTGTGGTTTTGTGTGTGTGTGTGTATATCCATGCGCATGCTCCCTCAATCTCCACCCTGCCCTCCGTGCTTAAAGTGAGGGTGACTGGTGTCTGAGGTTTCTGTTATGACTTGTTTTCCCCTCTTTGAGATATGCAGATATATGCAGGAATCCCCATAGCAACAAAGATAAATAGTTTCTCCTGAAAATGCATTCAGTTCTCCCCTCCCTAGATGTAAATTTCCTGACCTTCAGTGCAATATTCCCGGCATGAATTTCCATTGCAATTACACTCTTCAGAGTACAAGAACAAAGTTCAGGTAGTATTTCTGATTAGTTTACACACCGGGTTTGAAGTGCCATATTATGTTCTTTCATATAGCAGATTCTTAAAATACATTTGCTAGCTTGTAGAAAAGTTAATTATGGAGACTCATTCTTTTAGTTATCAAACAAAGTTCCAATGTCCTTAGAATGAACAGATGAACACGCATATAAGCATTGTCTTGTTCCTACGACAACTCTCAAATGGAAAGTTTCATTCAGTATTCTAAGCACCAAGTAGACTTTAAGAAAAAATTGCTTTTAAGGAGCTCACATGTGGGCCAGGCTTCACAGAACTGGGGTGTGAGGAGGTAGGGAGAGGAACTTAGCCCCTTGAGAATGTCAGGAGTGACACTAGGTTCCTGAGACTCATTACCCTAAGCTGCTCACTGGCTGCATTTTGTAGTCTTCCATCTTAGTCTTATAACTTCTCTCATACAATAAGTGTTTATTCAGTCCTTATTGTGTTGCAGTGCTGTTCTGGTTTCTAGAATTGGAGTGTACAAAATAGGTCCCTAATCACACAGAACTTACATGTGTGTCGGAGAGGGAGGAGATAGAGATATTAAATAAGTGCATTGAGCATGCAATAATAATCTATTTTCTCTCCTTTTAGATTTCAAAATATTCAATTGGCATATAAAAATTGTATATATTCAGAGGTATACAATGGGATTTGACATTTATATATACATACTATTTATATTCTCTTATAGAGAAACATGAACTGAGACACTGGGATTCAAGTGTTTCTTCATTTGTACAATGGGAATAATAATATCCTTTCTGATAGAGTTCTGAGGAACAGTGAAAATGTACATGGGAAAAGAGTAAAATATAAAGTACTATATAAATTTTAGGCATTATTCTTATTTTTGAGAGCAAACAGAGAGGCATTAAAATTTACTCTCATATTCAGGTAGAATTATAAAAATTTTCCACTCACAAAAATTCTTTCAATTCTTTGCCTCACTCTGTCTGGTATAAATATATTTGTCCCTTAATATGAGCTTTCTTCTATAACTTGAGGTTTGTTTTCCCTTTAGTGGATGAAATGATGTTATAAATCCATGAGAGACTGTATCACAGTGATTACGAGTTTAGTTCAATTTCAAATCAAATATTTCAGGGGCCGGTGTGGTGGCTCACGCCTATAATCCTGGCACTTTGGGAGGCTGAGGAGGGCGGATCATGAGGTCAGGAGATTGAGACCATCCTGGCTAACACGGTGAAACCCTGTCTCTACTAAAAATACAAAAATTAGCTGGGCGTGGTGGTGGGCGCCTATAGTCCCAGCTACTCGGGAGGCTGAGGCAGGAGAATGGTGTGAAACCGGGCCAAGATCGCACCACTGCACTCCAGCCTGGGCGACAGAGCAAGACTCCATCTCAAAAAAAAAAAAAAAAGAATATTTCAGTGTATCACTAGTTGCCATGCATCAATCATACATGCAGGCTGTAACATATGGAGAAAGATTGCCATATGCATATACACACAGAGTTGGGAAATGGAACAAGCAGCTAGATTCCATAATAGTTTCAAAGAAATTAAATCCAACCAGCATTTTTAAGGCTCTACAATGCATTATGGTTGATGTTATTGGTGATTTAACAAAATATGAGAGCCTGACTACAAAAAAGATTGTAAGTCTCATGGGGAAAGACACACTCAGATGACCTAACTGAAGATCACCACAAGACACTGTGTTATCCAAAGCCCACATCCACAGTGCAGATTAAAAAGAAAAGTGCTACAGGAGCTCAAAATACAGGAATGCTTTATGGGCTGGAAACTATGTAAAGATTTGGAAGAGGAGGTAAGGCTCAAGTTGATTCCTAAAACACAGCAGAAAGTGCATAGATGGGGATAAGGAGGGAAGGATATTCCAGGAAGAAGTGGGTTCAGTGAGCAATGGCACAGAGCAAAGAACGATGATGGTGCATTTAGATTTTATATTGACCTAGAACCAGAGAAATTTGTGTTGGAGCTTAGAGGAAAGCAGGGTCTATAACTATTCATTTATACTGCCCAGTATATAACACTCTTAATTTTTCAATGAGGGAATATCTTTGTTTTTATATTTTATTAAAGATTTGAATCTCCTAAAGTTAAATGTTTAATTTCATTTTCAGACTACTATGTGAGTTAATTCAGAGCCCCATCTAAAGCTAAGAGGTATGGTGGTGGAAACCCGGGCTGTTCTTTAGAGCCATAAGTGGGTCTCAAACTATCGAGTTTGAATCCATAGGTCTAGAGTGTGGCCAGGGCATCCCTAGGTATAATCAGCTTCTTAGATGATTTTGTTAGACAATAAAGTTTGAGAACCACTGCTATGGAGCACAACTTAAAGAATGGAGTTAGACAAGAGACAGGAAGAATAGAGATGCTCCTTTGATTCAGAGGAATTTCCTGGGAGCACTGTGGCCAAGAAAGCCAGGTGCAAATTACCTAGTTGTTAAGAGCTCTAAAATAAATAATTTATTTTTATGCCCTTGTTCAGGCCTCTTATCATGAGAAAATGGTATTTAAAAATCTTTTAGGGAAGAAGGACTCAATTAAATGGTATGCTTTTCCAGGGTCAATAGATACATTTTTATGTGATTACACTGAAGCTATCCGCCATCACCCACATTAACCAAACATTGAAATCAGAAAGAAAATGTTACTAAAGGCACAATCTTCAGATTTGTTTTCCATTAGTGAGCATGAGCTATACCTTTATAAAATGTGAACCCAAACAACAGCTGAGTAGCTCACTAGGCGTTTTTATGCTTCCAATCTCAACGTCTTTCTGGCTCTGAAAGCATGCTTTTATCTCCAAGGTAGTTCTCTTTGCTAAGGATCCTTAGAGAGAAGCATCATGTCTTACAGAGATAACATTTTAGTTTCACTTTAATTTCCTGGTTAAGATGATGTAATAAACCTTCATGAAAAGGTCTACAACATATTTTTGGTGTAAAATCAAATTGAATATCATGCCAATCTTCACAGGCCCTGGTAGTACATCCATTGCCTATTAGGAAAAGGTATTCAGTATTCCTTAAATTGTGTCTGCAGACCAGAATCGTTATTCAAAGTGAGGTATGAAAATTGTTGACTCAGTAGCTGTCACACTATAAATTAAATCTAAAAACATTCAATTGAACAAGGATTTATTAAGCCCATTATTTTTAAAGTATTATACCAAGGATTACAAAAATAATAAGAGAAGGTAAATGAAAAGACAGATCTGAATGATAACTAATTTCTCATTGCCAGTGTTTAACTTTATTCAGAATATTAATCACTTTAGAAGCAAGAAAATCTTGTATCTTATTTCTCCTGTGGACAGTCATTTTATAAAGGGCTTTTAGAGCTCACATCTTTAATGTGGTCTTATCATTCCCTACATTCTAGTGCCCTAATCTAGGCTTGTAAAAGCCTTCTACTTAGAAGCAAGCCTCCTACTCACCTCCACTTTCTGTCTCTTTCTGTCTATCCTAAGAAATATTATAAGGTTCTGCTCTGGCCATGCCGTTCTCCATTGCCTATTGAGTAAAACCCAACAGGCTAAGCATGAAAATCAGTGTTTGGACCTCAGTCTACTAGTCTGTAGTCCCATCTCCCACTATTCTCCAGCTTCTTCCAAGAGTCCTATGCTCTAGCCACACTGGACTTCATAAATTCCAGGACATTCCCTTGGCTTTCTTGTATGTGCCTTTACTTAGCCTGCTCCCTCCACCAGGTGTGCCCTACAATCACCATCCCTCAAGGTACCACTCACATGCCATGTCCCTGAGGATGCTCATTCTTATACCCTCAGGTAGGATTACTTTCTCCCTTTTGTTGCTCCCAGAGCACTTCACATATCTATTGGACCATTTATGACACTACATATTTTCCATAGTTATTAATAAACAAGTTTTTTCCTGAATGTTTTATATCATTCCATAATTGGAATTATAAATTCCACTTAATATAAAATCATGAGCTAAATTTTATGCTCAGGGTCATGTATATTTTGAAACATAGGTCCATGGCTTTCATCAGTTTCTCCAGAAGATACGTGGGGGTAAACTTAAAAACCACAGAACTACGTGCTAGCATCTTGAGGGCATGGGCTATGTCTTGTTCATCTTTGCATTCCTCTCAACTCTGCATAATACCTTGTTCAAACTGGGTTCTCAATAATGCTAAGTGAATGGAATAGAGTAGGGCACCTACTGGATGCCCAGCATTACACATAATCTTTAGAAGCTTTCCCTTTACCTCAGTGTTCTAAGAAAGCTCCACAAGGCTTTATTGGGCATAGTTTTCCACAGAACCTTTCTTATTTCTTATGCAGTAACTTGAACTGTGGCCAGAATCCTAGAAGCCAGAGGCCACATTCTGAAAGAGCACCGATAGGGCTGGCAGCCATGAGGAACTGTCTCCTACTTGTCCTTTAGAAATTTGAACTCACTGACCCTGAATTATGTGCCCATCTGGCCAACATAAACTCAAATAGATGAAGTATACCTGGCCATTGAAAAAAGTGAGTAAGTAGCAACTGCATTACTTTTACTTCATTCATTCTGTACTATATATCTATACAATTCTCTGTGCAATGAGAATAAATACAAATAAATAACAGAAAATCCACTTTATTTATTTATTTATTCATTCATTCATTCAGAAAATAGCTGTGGCCCAGCTCCCTAGTGCATAGAAAATTGCTTGGGAAATAGGACTAGAATTTGGGATGAAGAGATCTCTAGGTGGTTAATCAGCAGTACAGGTCATTTATAGGTATCTTGAGTGAGGTCATCCATAAATCAATATAGTATAAAGAACATGAGGAGTGTATCTTTTGTTAAAAAAAACTTTTAAGGCCAATGGGATAAGTTTTAGTGATCTATTGCACAGCATGGTGACTAAAGTTAATAATGTATATTTCAAAATTGCTAAAAGATTAGATTTTAAATGCTCTAATCACAAAGAAATGATAAGTATGTAAGATAGATGTATATGTCAATTAGCCTGTTTTAATTATTACACAATGTCTACCTTATCATAACATCACATTGTACTCCATACATATTAATGTATACTACTCTTTTTCAATTAAAACAAAATTTTTTAAAAAGCCCATGAAAAATAGTGATGAAGAACCCTGAATAATGAAAATCAAGTGAGTGATATTTCAGATCCTTCTTGTGTACCTTTGGAAATCCTCTTGGCCCTGCCTCTTTCTCCTGCCCCTGCACACGTGACTGGTACCACACAGATTTTAACCAGGTTGATGCAGCTGCAACCGGACAATGGCTGGCCTCAGCCTCTTTCTGAATACCTCTGACATCTCAGTACAAACACCTGGAACTTAGCTACCACTCACACATGTGCAACCTAGAAGCATGAGGACATTAACTCCTGTAGGCAACCATTGACCAATGCAGGACAGAGCAGCTAGGTTAGAACTCTCTCCTTTTGTCTCCTGAATGGACAGTTCTGGAGTGCATTGGACAAGGTTTCTTGGAAATTCCTGCACTGTCTATCAGCTTTCCTCCCTTCCTGGTTTCAGTTTGTTCTGGGTTCACTATCCCAGTGAGCTGCTTCCATGCAAGTTTTGTCCTGAGGTCTGCTTCCTGGGGAAACAGACTAAGCACTGATCCTAATAAAGTCTCTGTCTATTCCTGGCTGAATCCTCCCAGAACAATAAATGAGAAGAAAATGATGATTATGACCATGTTTGAAGCAGATTCTGATTCTTGTTTAGTTACATAAATTTTTCTCACTTTATTTTTCTCCACAATATAATATCATTGTTTTTTATTTAGCACTATTTAAATTGAAAGATAAAATGTATCATACTTGATTATATCAAAAAGGCTGATTATTTTTCTGAGAAAGTAAGCTGCTTAGGGCTGGTGCCATTACTATCAGTTTTACAGCAGGTTTGCTGGTCCACATGCTTTTCTCAATGTTCCAGTGTTTTTTGGTGACAAGGCTTGACAGACATTGTAGGACACTGACTGTCTACTATAACACTTGGATAATATTGGGAAGTTAGAAGTAAGGCTCTTTAATTACATGATTTTATCTGGTATTTACCCAAGGGAAGCCACTTAATATCTTTTGTACTATGCTCTCCTCACCTTGAACAAATAGAACTTTATAATTTCTGACAGACAAGGAGATAAAGCAGACGTCCTAGCCCAACACCATCAATGGTTAAAAACAGCTACCGACAATTTATTTAAATATGTTATATATATATATACTTGATTTTGTAACTACCATAATTATAAGTAACCCCTTTTTCCTTCAGAAAATGACATTTGGCTCATGAGATTGATAGGGCAGATATCAGTTTATGCAGCAAAGCATGAGAGGGGAATTACTATTTGATAGTAGATCCACTATCCACTGTCTGATACTACCAATCTACAAAATCAGGAGCATTATAATAAATAGAACACATTCGTTGGATTGTAAACTTGAGGTTATTCTATTACTAAATTTGTATACTAAGGAATATTACTATCTAGAATAATTTAAACTAATGGAAAAATCTCATTGCATTTGTTTTCTTATGCTGCCCCAGTTAAATTTTTTCCCTTTTAAATGCAAAGATAGTGCCAAGAACCAACATTATCTGATTGACACACATCTAACTGTTCCTGAGGATGGATTGTTGTTGTTATTATTGGGGGAGGGGGCTTTGAAAAGGGAAGAAAGGGAGAATCCTTTATTGGACAATTCAGGCTTTTAGATTTCTTGCTACTGCTGAACATTTTGAAGATGCTAAAGTAAGTTGTACAGACCATGCTGAGCAAAGACTTTAGAAAGGGCCTGGGAAATTAGAGTAATGGAAAGAAAAATGAAATAAAAACTGGGTTTAGGCCAAGGAAAAAGCTAAATAAGTTATCAAATAGCTACCTCTAGAATGTGCATATCAGGTTTCTTATGATCATTTACAAGGAGCTTGAAGTGAAGCTCCAAGTCTGAATAATCTCCATGTCCCTCAAGGTACTCAGTAAGATGTCATGCATAGAGTCATTACTCAATAGACATTTTATGAACCCATCTGCACATGAATATGGGTCAAATGCATTCTGTGTGCTAGACACTGTGGAGGATGTAAACAGTGATAAGACACAAAACAATTCTTATCATTCTGTCTTGTTTTCCTTAGATTACTTGCTCCTATCTGAAATTGTTGTGTTGTTTGCTAGAATGCAAGCTACATGAATGTTTTTTTCTGTTTTGTTTACTGTTCTGTCTACAGAGCACCTGGCACATGGAGGGTGATCCATACATATTTGCAGAATGATTTTTAAAAATACTTTCCCGCTAACATGGTGAAATCCCGTCTCTATTAAAAATACAAAAAAAAAAATTAGCTGGGCATGGTGGCGGGCGCCTGTAGTCCCAGCTACTTGGGAGGCTGAGGCAGGAGAATGGTGTGAACCTGGGAGGTGGAGCTTGCAGTGAGCCGAGATCACGCCACTGCACTCCTGCCTGGGCTACAGAGCAAGACTCTGTCTCAAAACAACAACAACAACAACAACAACAAACTTTCCCTATATATATAGCTTTTATTTTACAAGTCATTGACAAATAGGGTTGTTTTGTAAAGTAACTTTATTTTCACGAACATTTTTTAGGGGTACCATGAAGGTCACTTAACCATGTGCTTGACTTTTAGCCATTTTAGTCTATACCCCAGAGGTTAGTCTATTTGGTGGCCATCACTGAAAAGAATGGCTGAGACAATATTTCCAGGATATTAAAAAAATTAATGAGTGCAGAATTTTTGTTTGCGATGATGAGAAAATTTTGGAAATTGACAGTGATGATGCTTGAACAACATTGTGAATGTATTCAATGCCACTGAACCATACAGTTAAATGGTTAAAATGTTATGTACATTTTAACAACCTTTTTAAAAAGCATTGAATACATTTAACTAGAAAAAGATAAAATATGCTATAAAAAGAGTGAAGTGGAGACAATCGGTGCCACTCTACATTGCACTTAATGTAATAAAAAATGCAATTGTCTTTTTAAAAGTCTTTTGCCTAAATACATTAGCTGTTTGGATAGTAAATTGGCTTGGTTTATTTTTGATATTTATATTTTTAAGGTTTGATGTAATCATCCCTCCCCATCTCCTGTAGGAGCTTCTATGTATCAAGCTTTAGAATGATGCTCTTAAGTTCCAGTTGATTCTGAAGTCTCCCAAATAACTTAGGAAAAGAAAACCTCAATCTGCTGCGAGATCCTTCTGCCCCTGTAAAACCTCACAAATCCATAGGGCTTTCTCTGTAATGGGTTTTGTCACATGGCCTTCTAGTCATAGGTTCAATAGCTAGGCTTCTTAAAGCTACTGCAGTTCCCTCACTAACACAATGATGAGGGTTAAGATTTTTAGAAGCCTTATGGCAAGAAAAGTCAAAGTTCAGATCACTTAAGAGGAAAACAGACTTAGGGGTTGATGTGGTTTGATTCTGTGTCCCCACCCAAATCTCATCGTGAATTGTAATGCCCACATGTGGAGAGAGGGATCTGTAATCCCTATGTGCCAAGTGAGGGAGGCGATTGGATCATGGGGGCAGTTTCCCCCATGCTGTTCTCATAATAGTGAGTGAGTTCGCATGAGAGCTGATGGTTTTATAAGTGTTTGGTAGTTCTTCTCTTGCTCTCTTCTCTCTCCTGCTGCCTTGTGAAGAAGGTACTTGCTTCTCCTTCACCTTCTGCCATGATTGTAAGTTTCCTGAGGCCTCCCCAGCCACATGGAATGGCGAGTCAGTTAAACCTCTTTCCTTTATAAACTACCCAGTCTCAGGGAAGTTCTTTATAGCAGTGTGAAAACGAACTAATACAGTGTGAAAATGGATGGATACTGAGCATTGGGGTAAACCCAGAAGATATCTATAAATATTTTTCATTTCTGAAATACAACTTAATGTCAACACACTAGGTAGACCTCCAGTGGTATTTTATTCATTTAAAATTAATAGGTACTGAACCATACACTATCTTTGACATCATTTTCTTGTTCAAGAGCTCCTCCCCAGTAGTCTCAAAATGTTGATTTACTAATTCAGTAAGTATTTTTTGAACACTTATAATGTTCCAGGTATGGGGGATATGTCAGTACACAAGACATACACTGATCTTTGCCCAAAGAAGCCTACACTCAAGTTGGGAAGGTGTAATAAACATAACAACTAAGTAAATTACATAGCATAGCGTATATTAGAATGTAATAAATACTTTAGGAAAAATACAAACAATAGGACAAGGCGGATAGGGGAACTGGAGTGTTAAATGGGGTTGCCAAGGTAGAGAGCTCACTGAGAAGATGACAAGTGAGCAAAGAATTGAGAAAGACGAGGAGGTCCGCCATTGAGTTCGCTACAGGAAGAGAATTCCAGGTGAAGGGAACAGCCAGTGCTAAGGCCCTATGCGGGCACATGCCTGGTATGTTCCCAGTGAAGTAAGGAGGCCAATGGTGGATGGAACAGAGTAACCAGATAGGAGAGTGGGAGGAGATGAGGGCAGAACAAAAAAAGACTTGATCCAGTGGAGCCAACTGGGCCATTGTCAGGGCTATGCTTTTACCATGAGGGAAGTGGGGAGCCACTGCAGGAATCTGAGCAGAGAAGTGACAAGATCTAATCTGGGTTTAGATATCCCTTTGAGATTGAATTCATTTTGTGGTAGAAAATATTCATGTGGGCCAGGCACGGTGGCTTATGCCTGTAATCCCAGCACTTTGGGAGGCTGAGGCGGGCAGATCACGAGGTCAGGAGATCAAGACCATCCTGGCTAACGTGGTGAAACCCCATCTCTACTAAAAATACAAAAGATTAGTCAGGTGTGGTGGCAAGTGCCTGTAGTCCCAGCTACTCAGGCTGATGCAGGTGAATCAAGCTGATGCAGCTTGAACCCGGGAGGCAGAGGTTGCAGTGAGCTGAGATCGTGCCACTGCACTCCAGCCTGGGCGACAGAGTAAGACTCTGTCTCAAAAAGAAAATACTCATATGTTATTTCCCTGTGTGGCTTCTCCGTGTTTGGAGGATGCTTTGGGGGTGTCATTACTCAGAATGGTTGACTTTTGACTTCTCTCTCCCACCTTTGTTATCCTGCTCCTTGTCCAGATCCTGCCTTTGGTTCCTTTTTCTCCCTCTATGATGATAAGGGACTTGGAACTTGATAAGGGAAAAGTTTTCGGTAAATAGCGCTGAACTTCATCAGTTGTGTAAAACAAAGTGTCCACTCCCCTTCTAAACCTACAGGGTTATTCAGTCTCAGTCCTGCTTTGAATTTTATACAAAGTATATGTCCCAGTGGCTCTTACATATCTGAGCAGTCTTCTTTCTCACAGATGTCACTGGAGTGCAGGTCCATGCTTTACTGTGTATAGCAGAAAGCACAGGTCCATGCTTTACTGTGTATAGTTCTTTATGACTGTGTGGCAAATAACCACAAACTCATAATCTTAAAACAAGACTCTTATTAACTCACAGTTCTGTAGTTAAGGAGTTAAGTATGGCATGACTGGTTCCCTGCTCAGGGTATCACAAGATTAAATCAAGGTGTTGGCTGAACTCAGTTTTATTTTAGAAGCTCTGAGGAAAAAAAATACTTTCAAGACATTTGTTAGCACAGTTCAGTTCCTTGTGACCATAGGACTGAGGTCCCTATTCCTTGCTGGCTGTCAGCCAGCTGTCTCCCAACATCTAGTGATTGAGCATGTGGCACTTTCCATCTTCAAGCCAGCAATGGCATGACAAATTCATCTGTCCCTTCAAACGTCTGATTTTCTCTTCTACGGCTGCCAGATAAAACTCTCTGCTTTTATTTTTATTTATTTATTTATTTTTATTTTTTTTTGAGATGGAGTCTCGCTCTGTCGCCCAGGAGTGCCGTGGTGCAATCTTGGCTCACTGCAAGCTCCGCATCCCAGGTTCACGCCATTCTCCTGCCTCAGCCTCCTGAGTAGCTGGGACTACTGGCGCCCACCACCAAGCCTGGTTAATTTTTTGTATTTTTAGTAGAGACGGGGTTTCCCAGTGTTCACCAGGATCGTCTCGATCTCCTGACCTTGTGATCCGCCCGCCTCGGCCTCCCAAAGTGCTGGGATTACAAGCATAAGCCACTGCACCTGGCTAACTCTCTGCTTTTAAAGGGCTCAGGTGATTAGTTCAGGCCCACCCAGGTGATTCCCCTATTTTAAGGTTTGTTGCAACTGTGCAATGTAACATAATCTAATCACAGGAGTGAATTCCACGAAATTCCCAGTCCTGGGGATTATGCATGGGATTGCTCAGGGGATAGGAAGTTTTAGGAGCCATTTTAGATTGTAATTCAGGTAAAGATGTTTTGGACTAGGCATTTGTAGTCAGCACAGAAAGATGTGGATAGATTTGAGATATATGTGAAAGCATAACTGATGAGATTTTTATGATTGATTCAATCTGGGTTGAGATAAGAGGTCAAAGATGATGCCCAGATTTATGACTTGAGAAACTTGATGAGTCTTGGTACCCTGTGGAAGCAACCTCTCTTTTAAAAGGATTCGCTGAATAAATCTTCCACTTTTCTATTACCAACTTCTATCTCTCTTTTGCTTTACTCTTCGACAGGTGAGAGTGATATATTGAAAATGAAATTTTTATTGCTGAAGAAGTACACTAAAATAAATATGCATTTATGTAAAGTTTCAGTAAGAGAATATGCAAATAGGGATGAATTTCTGAATGGTCCACTTTGTACTCACACTGTTCTCCCCATGATCTAGAATAATGCTTGGCATGCAGTAAGTGCTGTCTCTATTTATGGAGTGAATACATAAATGAGTGATTGCTAATAACAATGAATGTTAACAAAACCTCAGTGAGGAGTGAACCCAGGTGACATCAGGAGTGACTTTCAGATGGAATCTCAGGTGTGATTTCATGGGAGAAGCTGCTCTCCCATCCCTGTCCTCCCGACTGACTTCTGTTTTCTTACAATGTGTGCTGGAGTCCTGAGATCCTGGGAGCCAGGCAGTGGGAGAACCCCTTCTGGGCATCCCTTCATCGCTCTGCTGACTGGCTCCAAGCCAAGCAGGCAGTTTCCCAGAAACAGGGCTTGGCAGGCCACCAGGGGAAGGTCATCGAATCTTGCCTTGGCACCTGTTAGATAGGGTTGGGAAGCTTGAAACGCATTCCTCTGTATGCATCACTCTTTCCCAACTGACAGGAGCATTTTAAGATGATGGTTTTTCCTCAGCTGTGAAAGTAAAAGTGCTTAGTTGGCACAGCTTTCACGTCTAATGCAGAAGCAGAAGAAAGGGAAGGAAGTCACTGTGTGTTACATCCAGATGCCTGGAAACGAGACTACAGGTGTGGCTTAGCTCACAGGTTATGCAGTGGCAGCAGTTTAAGCAAAGCTTCTGGCATTCTCTAAAACAAAAGTCTACTAACAAGGAAACAAAACCCTGATTTTTAAGATCTTAAAAACCATTAAAGGGAAGAAGCAGCTTTAATTAAACCCATATCATAATCATCAGGACTTTAAAATCATTGCTTTTCTCATCCAGAGGTTTACTCTGATTAAGGGGAAATAATTTTGCCATAGGTCCAGGGTGCCAGAGAGGAGCAGTTTTTCCATTGTCCTATTACATAGGCATCTTTAATAGGTTTGTTTATATTCCACTGCCACCACCAACTTTCCCACAGGGAATTTTTGGGAACGTTGCATTCTAGCACAATGCACCTTCCTTTATTCTAAACAAGTGTCTAGAATGATTCAACATCAGGAATGAAAATATGTAGTAAAAACATTTGCAACAACACTAACATAGATAATTGTGCTCCAAGGGTTAGTCATCTGCAGTTTATTTCCCCAACTGTGAATATTCCTGCTTTTCCTGCTGGCTCCTTGACTAGGGAGAATCCTCTGATCCCTCTCTTTTAAATACATATCTTTCTCTGGTTCGATTTCTCTTGCCTGTGTTTCCGACTTTAAACTTTATTTTTACATCCAAGATTTTATACATCGTTATCTGAGAAATACAAGAGTCTATGTTCTTGAGCAGTGTGGTTGATTCCTGGTGCATGGTGTCACATACTTTCTCCTAGTTATTCAAACATGAATCCAGGGGCTGCAGTGAAGGGATTTTGCAGATGATATTATGATCCCAAATTAGCTGACCTTAAAATATGGATATCATCTGAGTGGGCCTGATATAAACACGTGAGTCACTGAAAAGCAAGGAGACTTCTCTGGCTAGTCATAAATGGGGAAGTCAGAGAGGACACTCTAGCTGGGCTGGAAGAAGCCACAAACACCCATGCCCTGAGCAGCCCACAGGGGCCATGAGGCAAAGAATAAGGGAGGCTCTAGGAACTGAAGGTAGTCTCCAGCTGACAGCCAGCAAGGAAACGGGGCCCCAATCCTACAACCACAAGAAAATAACACTTTCCCACAATGAATGCACTTAGAAGAGAACCTTGATCCCAACATGAGAATCACAGACCCAACCAGCACTTTGATTTTAGTTGAGTGTAAAGCTAAGCCGAAAACCCAGCCATGCTGCATTGGATTTCTGACCTACAAAAACTGTAAGATAATAAATGTGTGCTTCTTTAAGCTGCTAAATTTATGGTAATTTTTTACCAAGAATAGAAAATTCATAGTGGCAGCTAAAAATCCACATATTTAAACATGAAGCAGGGAAGAGGAAAATACTGATACACTAGTTGGAAGAAAAATGAGTGGAATATTAGTGTTTACTACTAAAAACATAGCTCAAGGCTACTCCTGCCACATAAGACCAGCGTTCTTCTAGTCACCTGACTGGTGAGAAATGAATCTAGTGGAGCATATTCGTTCATTCATAGAATATTGATTCAGGACCGACTAGTTATATGGGACTCACTTGGCTTACTTTTATGGTGATAGAGAAACATTTAGGTAAAAAGGTAACTGCATTTTTTTGGTTCAAAAGAAATTTGAAAAGAAATTTAGAGACAGTAACATAGAAAAAGCAGGTGTTCTAACTTAACATATCTGAATGAAGGATACCTTTAAAATATTTCAATTACTAGAAAAAGAGTATGTTGAGAAACTCTGACAGCCGAGATATAATTATAGACCTTTTCTCCTCTTTGCCTTTTAAACAAAATTTTAATTAAATTTTAGTTGATATGACTAATGGAAAGAAAATTCAGGCTGTAACCAGTAGGACTAAAAGATGGTGCAATGTTAGCTGTGGGTGTAGGATAGAATATTCCCTTGCCTTCTTAATTTTGTTCCTACTATTAAACAGGAGGGATTAGATATTTCTGATTTATTTCTCTTGTTGTCCTTTGTTGTTCATGATTTTAGGGCTGCATTTCATTGACTCCAAAGTAATTTCTGAAAAAAAAAAAGATCTGCTGACATTACAGGGTATCTGGATCATTAACCACGTCAATGCTGACCAAGGAAATAATGTTATGGTAGAAACAGCTATTTGTCTAAAATAAAGGCTGAGATGATGCCATTTTATATATCCTTATAAGAGTTTATGGGGTATTAATTTTTGTGGAAAGTTAACAAAAAATCTGGAAGCTGAAGAGAAGACTACTGATTAGAAAGGATTATTTAAAATATTATTTGTATTCTTTGTTCTGCTCCATTCCTCCTAGAATATCAAATAATCAACTTGGTGTCCCCTAATTTTTTAGAAACACTCATTCTTTTATTCTGTTAGAGAATGTGCTAGTTACATCATGGGGAAGGTATGGCAGGGTACAAAGATGAATGGTAAGGGGAAGAAGCGATTTGGAAAGGAGAACCCTTTGACTCAAAAAGAAGATGGGTTTTTTACAAGTGTGTTTTTGTTTTTGAGAAGGAGTCTCACTCTATCACTCAGGCTGGAGTGCAGTGGCACGATCTCAGCTCACTGCAATCTCCACCTCCCCGGGTTCATGCCATTCTCCTGCCTTAGCCTCCCAAGTAGCTGGGACTGCAGGCGCCCGCCACCACGCCCCGCTAATTATTTGTATTTTTAGTAGAGATGGGGTATCACCATGTTAGCCAGGATGGTCTCGATCTCCTGACCTTGTGATCCGCCCGCCTCGGCCTCCCAAAGTGCTGGGAATACAGGTGTGAGCCACCACGCCTGGACTTACAAGTGTCTTTTATAGCAGGGATTGGTCAACATTCTTTTTGTGGACCAAGGGACAAAATCAGGGATATTATATCAGTACATACATAACAAGAGAGAAAAAGAATTTACACAACATTTTTACTGAAGTTAAATATCCAATAATTGGGTACATTAAGAAAATGCTGGTCTACCAATGAGAAGAATGTAATTCTTGGCCAGGCACAGTGGCTCATGCCACCTGGCCTGGCCAACCTGGTGAAACCCTCTCTCTACTAAAAACACAAAATTAGCCGGGCGTGGTGGTGCACGCCTGTAATCCCAGCTACTTGGGAGGCTGAGGCAGAAGAATCACTTGAATCCAGGAGGCAGAGGTTGCAGTGAGCCAAGATCACATCATTGCACTCCAGCCTGGGCAAAAAGAGCAAAACTCCACTCAAAAAAAAAAAAAAAAGAATATAATTCTTCTTGGGAGTATGCATTTTTAAAAATTGGGGTTACAAGTTAGTGTTCCCTGTTATCAAATCGATTACAAATATTCATCTATAAAATCCATTAGTTCATTCTCTATAAAAAAGTAGGTTCTGGGCCTCATTTAGTTCATGGGTGACAGTGGCCTCTTGTTCAGAGTCCTTTTAGAATCCCGGGAACTGACTATTCTCAGCATACATTAGGAATTGAACAGAAGAAAATAAACATGAATGTCAGTGATAGGAACCAGTTGTCCACATGCAAAATCATAAACAAAGTAGGCAAGGGCTGTGGGGAAAGAACTATAGGGAATTAACCAACATTTATGAAATTTGGATTTAGATAATAGATAAAAAAGAAATCTCCTGAAAACATACACAGTCTGTGCTGTATGCAGACAGTATTCATTTTTTTTCTAGGTGATAGTTTTACAACAGCCGTTTTTGTTTTTTCCTCCTTTATGTAGTTTTAAAACTTAGTTTTGTTAGTATACGCAATAAATTTTAAATAAGGTATGGACCTAAAAGTAAACAATCTATTTTCACTTCAGATCCACTGATTTCTACGAAGTAAATACTATAATGAGTTTCTGCTATTGTTTGAATGTTTGTGCCCCACCAAATTCTCATGCTGAAACTTAATCCCTTAATGCGATGGTATTACCAGGTGGGGACTTTTAGCAGGTGATCAGGACTTGAGGGCAGAACTTTCATGGTGGGGATTAGTGCCCTTATAAAAGAGGCCCCAGGCCAGGCGTTGTGGCTCACACCTGTAATCCTAGCACTTTGGGAGGCCAAGGCGGGCAGATCACATGAGGTCAGGAGTTTGAGACCAGCCTGACCAACATGGTGAAACCCTGTCTGTACTAAAAATACAAAATTAGCTGGGCGTGGTGGTGCATGCCTGTAATTCCAGCTACTTGGGAGGCTAAGGCAGGAGAATTGCTTGAACCTGGGAGGCGGAGGTTGCAGTGAGCCGAGATTGCACCATTGCACTCCAGCCTGGGAAAAAAGAGTGAAACTCTGTCAAAAAAAAAAAAAAAGCCCCAGAGGGCTGCCTTGCTTCTTCCACCATGAGAGGACACAGTGAAAAGGGGCCACCTATGAACCAGAAGGCTGCCCTCCCTAGATACCAAATCTGGCAGTGCCTTGATTTTGGATTTTCTAGCCTCCAGAACTATGAGAAATAAATGTTGTTTATAAGCCACCCAGTTTATGGTATTTTTGTTAGAGCAGCCTGACACTTTCCAATAAAAAAATGCACTTACAAATATGCTACCTACATTTTGTTTCTTATTTCTTTTACTGTAGGGAAAAACTCCATTATAAGGTATCATAATTTATTGTGGGTTAGGTTTATTGCAGACTAAAATTACTTTCCTCTAATCAGCGAATATATTCAATGTTGACTAATGTTATGTCATGTAAACATTGCTGCTTCTGGTTGGCTAACTTTCTAGAAGGAAGGTTTCAACTTTGATTAAGATAAGCCAAGATCAATTATGTAAGCATTTTACAAATACCTCTGAATATCACAACTGTTGCATTTATTGTTAGAAAGGAAAACTTTGCAAAGACATATAGTACTTGCATTTAATGCCTCTGATGAAGGTAGAAACAATTTTTAAAACCTTAATTTAGCAAAGCATTCAAAATATGCTTGTTTTTTTTCCTTGGGCCTTAACTTTGTCTAATTTTGTAGAATGTAATATCTTTTCTCATCCTGAAATACAGGAATTTTATAAGGTACATTATAAAATAAATAAGACTTTCCTGATATCTCCTTCTCTAGGAAAGTCCTACCAGTGACCCTCACCCCCAACAACTCAGGGCACTGACTCCCTGAAGCTCTCACATACCATGTACATATTTCTATCATTATCTTTCTACATGGTTTTATAAATCTGCTTAAAAGCCCATATTCTCAGTTAGATTTTGAGCAACTTGAAGGAAGGTATTGCATGTCATTCATCATCACACTATCCTTGGTACCTAGCACAATGTCAAACACATAGCAGGAGCTCATTATACACTTAACTGAATTAAGAGGTCAATGAATGGACAGACTGAAGGGCCACTGGACAGGTATAAGCTTCTATTTTCACCCAGGGATGGATTAGCATCCTCACTTCTTCTCTACTGTTTTTCAAGAAATTCCAAGACAATTCTGGATGCAGGATAAGGATGTGGACCAGAAAAGAACAGAAAGAGGAAAAGGAAATGCCCAAGAATGAGAAAGTGCCTTTCTCAGAGAGCAGGAGGCATGGGATAAGGCCTGTGGACCACAGCTGCAGACAACACAGTGTGTCCACTTTAATGTTGAGTGGGGACAACACAGTGTGTCCACCTTAATGTTGAGTGCAGTGTTGCCAAGTCCCTGATTCCCTGAGCCCTTCCTTCCTTTCCTTTTCCTTTTCCTTTCTTTCTTTTCTTTGTTTTCCTTTTTTTGCTTTTTTTGGGGGGGCGTTCCTTCTTACCATTTTGTAGTCTTTTATTGGAAATCTCTAGCTCTCCTGAAAGGAGCCTAAGGAAGGCTCCGCTTGGCAAAGCTCTAAGGAGGACAGAGTGTCTACCACTTACCCTCTGCCTTCCCCTCCAATTCTGAGGCCATTGTAGTGGTAACACATGATAAGAACGTGGGACAATCATATCCCTTTTAATTGCTGAAAACACGGAGATTCTTCCTTTTATTTGTAATCTGGGTGATGTGTTTGAAGGGGAAGAGGAAACTTCTTCTGTGGGAACATTTTCCTTGGCCCCTATCGCAAGCAGTGGAAATGGCTTTTATTGACTCATTAGGACTACAAATACAGTAACAAATTCTTTCAACATCTGTAATGCTTTTCTCACTACTCATTTTAGATTGCTTTAGCTTCCTGTGAGGAGTCAAAACACATATATGATGTGTGACCAATGCTATGGTTTGAATGTTTGTCCCTTCTAAAACTCATGTTGAAACTTAACCCCCTGTGAGGCAGTGTTGAGAGGTGGGGCTTTTAAGAGGTGATTGGTCATGTGGGCTCTGCCCTCATGAATGGATTAATCCATGAGTAATCACAGGAGTGAGGTGGCCTTATAAGAAGGGGAAGACAGACCTGAGTTAGCATGCTCAGCCTCCTTACTATGTGTGCCCTGCACCATCTTGAGACTCTGCAGAGAGTCCCACTAGTAAGCAGACTCTCACCAGAGGCAGCCCCTTGACTTGGACTTCTGAACCACCATAACTGTAAGAAATAAATTCCTTTTCTTTATAAATTGCAAAGTTTCAAGTATTCTGTTATAAGCCACAGAAAATGAAAATAAGACAACCTACTTATATTTTTCTTCCATCCCCTCCTTCCCCAAACTTCAGCCCCATTTTTATCCACTGGGGCTGGGGAATAAGATGTAGAGGAGAAACTTGAGGAATAGATGCGTACTTTGCATCCTCACAGTCATGATTAGCTGTAAGCCTAGAAGCCTGGGGCTAAGGTGACCTGCCCAGGGCCCTAGGAAACATCTTCTAGAGACTCTGAGAGGGTAGACATGTGGAGATGCCGGTTTCTACCCTTACCATGAGTCTAATTACCATGCCAGTTATCATAGAACTATGTGTATGTATCAGGAGAACATTACGGTTTTCATTTTTAAAAATTCATCCAATATTAATTAAAAAATGAGACTTTTTTAATAAGTAAACTTTTTAAAAAGAAAAGAAAACGTTCTTACACATGAACTATGAATCAATATTTTTTTCCAAGAGAAAATGGATATGGTAATACAATGGAAGTGTTGACCCAGCAGAGAATAAGACTGCTCATTGTTACTAGTGATCTAGCTTATTGCTTACACTTTTAAATTTGAAAAAAAAACTGGAGCAAGTTCCTTTGTTTCTTTAAGTATTGTCTCTTTTCTTATTTTTGTCTCATGTAAACAAATGTGGTTAAAACTCTGACACAAAGAGCTAATTTTGTTCTTTCAGAAAAAAACTTAAATGTTTTCCAAAAGCTTTAAAATATTTTCCTGTGCTTGTAAAAGAAAATACAAATATAAGGGGGATTTAATGTTTGATATTTTATAAAGTTCTTGGAAACCATTTTTATTTTATTTTATTATTATTACACTTTAAGTTTTAGGGTACATGTGCACAATGTGCAGGTTTGTTACATATGTATACATGTGCCATGTTGGTGTGCTGCACCCATTAACTCGTCATTTACATTAGGTATATCTCCTAATGCTATCCCTCCCCCTTCCTCCCACACCACAACAGGCCCCGGAGTGTGATGTTCCCCTTCCTGTGTGTTCTCATTGTTCAGTTCCCACCTATGAGTGAGAACATGTGGTGTTTGGTTTTTTGTCCTTGCGATAGTTTGCTGAGAATGATGTTGGAAACCATTTTGATGGCACTGCATTTATGATACCAAGGTTAGAGAAAAGAAGAAAAACATCCATCCAGATTTAAACCATTCCAAGGTCAGAATTATATTGTATATGTATCCAGAGGTTCATCCTTTTAGTATGAACTAAACGGTTCATATGCTTTAGTATTTAAGCATTTTCAGATTTCAAGACTACTTAGGAGTCATCTCTACCATTTGTGCCTCATAATACCCCTTTTATTGTTGTGTAAACATATATAACAATATTAGCAATATTTGTAACAGAATCTAGTTTAATAAACTTAGTACCAAATGTAAACTATAGGATTCATGATGGTAATTAGTCCAAACAACTGGCATACTTACAATTGCATTTCTTCTGAACAAACCTAAGCTTGCATGCTGTTCTGTAGGTGGAGAGTCGGATGCGATCCAGATCTTGAGCCCCTAGTGCGGGGAAAAAGGACACATAAGGTATGCCATGTGTGCAGAAAGAAATTTACAATGTTTACAAATAAAACAACTGTAGATATGATCCTTACCCCTAATTTTATTTTTATTAGAATATAAATATAACTTTAAGACTTGAACAGGTCTGTCCTATTCAAGGACAAGTTCCTCAGGTTCTAGGGAAAAAGAGCACACACATGTAATCAACATTGGAGATTAGGTTGTAAACCATATTCTTGGATCAAGAAACACAATGTCATCCCTGTTGTGTCCACCACTTCTGAAAACAGTCTGCTCAAGCTGTGACCTACAGTGAAACAGCGAGATGATATAGATACTATCATCAAATAAGCATTTAAAGTGCATTGCTATTGGTCATTAGAATGTGGCTGTTAGGTGACCATGTACTGACTGCTGAGCATCTTCTCTGTGTGCCCTTAGGCCAATTGCTTTTAGAGCTTCAGTTTTCTCACTTGGAAGATGGGGATGATGATAATAATAGTACTTATTGCACAGGACTGTTGTAAGGATAAATGAGTGAATATACCTAAGGCACTTAAACACCGTCTGGCACACAGTAAATGCTGCATAAGTATTCATTTTTATTACTAACAACTTTCTTGTGATCCTTCCTGTCAATCTCAGAGGAAGACATGCCTTTCTAAAACAACCTTTCTTTTACTGTGGCTTCCAGTTCCTTCCTAACTTAGAGGGAACACATTCCCTATATTCTTAAACTACTTTCCTTATTTCACTCTCCCACTTAGGAGTCCAGCATGGCTCCTGATGCCCAGAACATCAGGTCTAAAAGCTCTGCTCAGAATCCAAGCTCGTCTGCAGTTTCTTTCCAGCTTACTTGCCTAACGACATTGCCCACCACTTTCTACCACAGAATCTCTCGTAGCCTTGGTCAGTCTCATCTCAATACCCTGCAGATGGGCTGCTTGTTACATCAAGACCTGAGCTCCTAGTATTCCTCCCACCCTCCTTTGAATGAGTTAATCTCTAGACTTTGTCTAGAACACATTAGACTATCAATAAATGTCTGCTTTTCTCCATTTCTACATATTTTCTTTTTCTAAGCCCATGTTTATGGTCCATAACAGATATAAAGGCATGTATTGAACTTTTATCTTTACCAGTCATATACTAATAAAATGTGCTATGTGAATCCTTTAGAGTAAAACAGAATAGAAAGTAAATGAACTATCCTGGAAGCGATTATATTAGACGGCCAATTAAGTGCTTTCCCAGTGAAACTCAGCATGAATTAGCAAGTGTCCCCCACTAGGGGATTTAGCATTTCTTCAACTCAAACCGATATCTTCAGATTCACTTGAAGTGTTGCCAATAGTCCTATTACTTTGTGGTTTTACAAAGCAGATCATTAAACGGTCACTCTTAATAAAGCTTATTCTTTGACAAACAGGCTTAGTGACACTGAGCACTTGAGGGATCAAAGAGATGGGGAACTACCCTCACCCAATGCAGGAATTCCCTTAGAAATGTTCTCAAGAGATGAACATTTAGCCAATGGCCACGTAGGATTATTTCCAATGATAGAGAAGATTATTACTTGTGAAAATAAATGAACTTTAAAGGAAGTAAAATTTAACTCTGTCACTTCCCAGTTGTGTGAGTTTCACCAAGTTTTTCCTTGGCATCTCAATTTCCTCATGGATAAAGCGAGATAACAATATCAACTTTACTGGCTGGTAATACAGATATAAAGTCTTGACTTCTGCACTGAGAACATAATGACCACTTAACAGTAAATGGGCCCCTTAAGAGGCTTCATGTGCCATTTCTGAACAAAAATATGTGATAGAAATTTCTTTTTTATATTTGAGCTTTGATTTACCTCCCTGTAACTTCAACCTATTTGATCTAGTTTCCCCTGGAGTCACATACTCTTTTCCCCCTGCCATTTGAGAATTCATTTCTGAAATATTGCAAAGCAGCTACATTATCATTATTAGCATCCTCATTACCATCTGAAAATTATGTGCAACAGTCCTTGTCATCATGGACTTTAAAATTTAGCTGGGGAGGTAGCTTCTCCTTGACTTTTTTTAGGGTAAAAGATGTTCAACTCCACAGCCATTTCAGGTATACTGTTTATCTGTCTGGTACCCAGTAGGGCTTCAATTCATGGCAGTTGTTATTATTATTTTCATTATGATCAAGCATGGTTTGAAACCCTTAAACATTCTAGTCACCCTGTTCTGTGACTGGCTAATATCTCTTTAAAATTAGGTGTCCAAAATTAATCCAAATAGCTATTGCTTTACCTGTATAGAATATACAGAAAGCAATTATTACTACCTTTGATAAGGACTCCTAACTAATGTGATCTTTTTTTAAAAATAGACGGCTCATTATGCCAGCTTTTATTAAGTTTGAAGTTAATTAAAAAACTGCTTTGAAAAATCATATGCACTTCTATATAAGTCAAATCTTTTCTATTTGCTATTTAAATGCCTATTTTGGAGCTAAGGGTAGGACGTCATATTTATCTGGTTAGTTACTTTTAAAATTTAGCTCATACTAGGAACTTTTCTGAATCTTTTAAAATTCTTAAGTTGTCACTGGAACTTCAAAAATCTTTCCTAGTTTCATGCCCTCTGTAAATGTGACTCGTGGGGAATGAGCTCTCTAAGATGCCCGATAACCAGAGACAGAGAGACTTTTAGAAATACCTGAATGCTAAATCTGCCTTTGCTCCCAGATGAGGATGTACTTTTATTGGTGCTAAGTTTGGCTCAGCAATCAGGAGAGTCTCAATATCTGTAAATAATCACTTAAAAGAAAACATTAGGGGCACAGATTATTTGTGTAAGTTCTTCAAGCATAATGATTTAAGCTCCAGATGAAAAAATGTTTGTGATGTGGCACATAGTTAAGTTTCTCAGTTTCTGCAAGACCTTACCCTCTGAGCACAGTAACCCTGGCACCTCTGCACTTTCCTCTGATTGAAGTCCTGGGGGAAATACGGCAAAGGTGCACTTCTCCAGGATGCAGTAAAGAGGGATGTAGAGATGCTGCTTTGGGCCTGAAGTGCACTGACTGCTCTCTCCTGTCGTATCACTGTGTGGACTTAACTGACCCTGTGTTTTGTTCAAGAATCAGGAAGAGGTCTGTAGGTCTATAAATGCTGTATAAATTCTTCCTGGCTGATGATGTAAGCCCTGAATATTAAAAGGGATGTGGTGAACAATACAATTTAGTGTGTCAGATATAGCAGCACACAACCGTGCACAATCAATGTATGTGTTAGCTGCAGGATCCATCCAGAAAGGGACCAGAAGAAGCTGGGCTGAGATATGATACATAGCCTCTTACTCTGTTTATCTGCCTTGTCAAAATAAATGTATTTTTCTTTGCCCCAGCAAACAATGAACTTAACCCAGTTTTACATGTGTGGTCTTTTCTTGAAAGTTTATAAACCCAAAAACCTACTTTGGGATTAGTTCTGTGTCTTCATTCGAGTCATTGATTAAAACCAAGGACCAGAACAGGTCCACAAACAGAGCCTTCCAGGATACTACTAGACGCCTTCCTCCAAGTTGATAGACCCATTAGTTGTGGCTTTAGACATGGTCATGACATCCCCCATAAATCTACCTAACTGTATTGTGACCCAGTCCACAATTCCCCAACACATGCACAGTCCAACAGCTTTGGTCAATATCTTGCTGAAATTAAGGTTAATTTTTATCAGATGGTATTTTTCTGATCTAGCAGTCTGGTAGTCTTATTAAAAAGCGTATTAGCTGACTTAATTTATCTATTAAAAAGATGGAATTTAAATAAATGAGTAAAGAAATAAAATCAGCAGGGCAATCTTTGCTTTTAGTATGTTGATATGTCTAGAATTACCACTATATTTTGGCCAAGATCTAAAAAACATCCATTTTGTTATGAAACTTATAACCAGTTCATACCCTAAACTCCAAAGAATCTATACTTTTTCTTTTTAATAAAAAAGTACAGAATTTTCTCGTTACATTTTTTTTCAATGTACTCTTCATTATTTTTCAAAATAATGGATAGTGGTTGTTTTCTGAATTATATCACTGGAATATAATTCGTTAAATCTGGTGATTCAACTGATCTAAGTGATTTATTAGTTTTGCTTCATACTAATACAGTGGGGGATGGCATACATAATTAAGAGTTGAGATAAATACTATTTTCTCTACTTCTACATATATTTGAAACTTTTCATAATAAAAAAACTAAAACAAATTTATTTAAGGCAACTTAGTGCTCTTGCACCGTCTCCTCAAGCCTCTTGTACCCATGTCATAGTTGGAAGGAAGTAATAAATAGGACAGCAAAGACACAGATTGTTTACACTGTTATCAACAGCAGTTTTTCCTTTCTTTAGCCCTTTTTGAAAAGATTCTCTTTCTTCTCTTCTCCCTCTGTCCCTACTTCCCTCTCTCTCCCTCTCTCACTCCCTTCTTTCCTTCCACCTTTTCCCTACCCATTCATTTGTTCATTCAAACAACCAATCAACCAACAAATCAACGAACCAGTCTTATCTAACTTTTGGTTTTAGCTTTTGCACTCTGAACATTTTCACACAATTTTTGTATGTTTTGCCTTTTATATTTTGATAGCTCATTATATAGCCATTTTTGATAGCTCTATTAATATATAGCCATTTTGATTCTTAAATATCTCATTCATTTAAAAGTTTTGCTCAATACATATTTCCAGAATAAAAATGAAGCCTATGATGAACCTGCTGCCTGAACTCTGCCACGCTTTATCATTGGCTCTGTGTGTGTGTGTGTGTGTGTGTGTGTGTGTGTGTGTGTGTGTGAAGGATGGAGGGAGAGAGAGAGATACTGAGAGAGAGAAAGAGAGAGATACTGACAGGAAGATAAAGGAGTTTGGGGGTAAAAAATGATTGCTACCTTAGGTAGCTGAGTGGAATAGAGTATCCCTCATTGAGCTAAGTAAGGTACAAACAGGGAGGAATAGGTTTGTTGATGGGTGAAGATAGTTTTGGGCTAAAGAGTTTGAGTTGCTTGTAAGATGTCCAAGTAAGATATCCACAGGACAGTTGGATATAAGGATTAGAGCTTTAGTATATTCCAGAAATTATCAACAAGCACACAAAATGTAGTAGTGTGCGTGACTGGGCCAAGATTGCCAACAGGAGACTCTGTGCACAAGTAGGGCTATTCTATATTTCTAGCGACAAAATGAGGCACAAACTTGGGAACAGGAGTGCTCTCCCCACTTCTGAGCTGTGCCCAGCTGCTTGGCAGTTGTTCAAAGACCGCAGGCTTTGGGAACACTAGAAGGCAGCCGCCTTGGCAGGGATGATAGGTATTTTTGTGATGGGCACTATTAGTGGAGTGACAATGAGCCCTCCTCAGACTGCTTCATTAGCAGAACACTTGAAAACAAGTAGGCAAGGCTGGAAGGGAAGTTTAGTTTATGTGCTGCCTATTTTGGATAAGCTGGCTCATGAGAAATGAGAGTTGTTTTGGGGGACTCTGAACACTCAAGGGTTATAGCAATAAAGGTAAAGGCTTGAGAGAAAGACAAATTGTATATGGAGACAACTGGTCAAGAAGAAATCTTTAAATTCTCTGACTTCAGTGTCTACAGGGTACTAAGAGACAGAAAAAGAGAAGTAGAGGGGACAGAAAAAGCAGGAGACTATGTTAGGGTGATGACATAGAGAGAATTTCTGGGGTGGCGATCCATGGTGTTAATATCTTAAAAAGACTGAGGAGCATGAGAAATGAAGAAGCAAGTGAAAACAGTCACCGTATCCATGAACCTACGGTGGTGGGGTCATTCATGTCATTTTTCTGAATTTTTGAGATCGGTTTTCTTAAACTCATAGTGTGCGTTTCAAAATCATGCCCTAGGTTCCTTTCCAATCGTGCATGTGCCGACTTCAGCCAACACTCTCAAGGATGGCCTGCCTTCAAATAATTCAACAGTACTTAGGCCGGGCACAGTGGCTCAAGTGGTAATTCCAGCACTTTGGGAGGCCAAGGTGGGTGTTTCACTTAAGATCAGAAGTTTGAGACCAGCCTGGCCAGACATGGTGAAACCCAGGGTGTCTCTACTAAAAATACAAAAATTAGCCAGGTGTGGTGGTGCACCTGTAGTCCCAGCTACTTGGGAGGCTGAGGCACAAGAATCGCTTGAACAGGGAGGCGGAGGTTGCAGTGAGCTGAGATCGCGCCACTGCACTCCAGCCTGGGCGACAGAGTGAAACTGTGTCTCAAAACAAAAGCAAAAACAAAAGCCAAAAATGGTATTTGTTGAGTAGTTTCATTTGCCTCCTTTTGATTTCAAGTCCTGTCTCTGCTGACAGGCCGGTGGCATCACTCTCATTTCTCCCCAGGACCTTCCTTACCTTGTTAGGCAGCCTTCAATGTTCTCAAAGTGTGTTTTCCAATCACTTCCCTTCCATTAAAACCTACCCATCCTGTGCCCAATCGGCTTTTAAACAAGGCTTGATTCAGCATCTAAGGGGAATGGATTTGAAGGTACATGTCCTAGGTCTGTCCCTAAAAAGGAGTTCACAGCAGTGAGTGTTGTGGACATGTTCACAAGTAACTACCATATAAGGCTAAGTAAATGTGCTCTGAGAGTAAAACAACAGAAAAGGAGAGTTTAATTCCAAGAACAAACAATTTATTCTGTTAAAAGACAGTCTGATAAACTTATTTAAGCTGCTAAACTTATATGATGGCTGAAAAAGCCAAGGTGAGGATGATGTTTATATTTAACTAGAGGGTTTTTTTGTTTTTTTGTTTTTTTCAGCTTTAATCCAAGGTACTAAGCAAACTGATAATTAAGGCATTATTGTGAAGAGAATTTTTGGTTAAGGGAGAACTTGTACAGAATTTCTTAAATCAAAGTAGGTGGTCACCCAATTTTTTATATAAAGCTATTTTTTTCTGTTTGTTTTTTAGTCTATGCTTCTCTTAATTTCATTTCTTTGCTGTTTCTTCCTGCTTCTGCTGCTTATAGTAATGAGCTAAGAGTGAATGTTTAACACATATGTGCTGCAATCACCTGAATTTGCCAAACTTTCTTATCCATTTTTCTTATCAATTGCTCTCTGTTCTTTACCTTTTCTAAGACCTAGACCTCCTCAACTTGCCTAACTTTAGATAGACTTCTTCCTTGCTCTAGGCTTCTGACCTCTGTTTTCTTACAGCATTTACTTTAGAAAACTTTTCATTGTAAATTCTTTCTCTGCCCCTTTGAGATGTAAATATCTTGCCAAGTTTACAACCCAGGAATGTCTTTCTCAAGAACCTGGGTGCCAGCCCTTTGAAATATAATAATTGAAGGACTTATCACCTCTATCTCCAAGTCTTATCAGGAGGGTAGAAGCCTAACTTTTAAATGTGACAATTAGCAAACAGATGGCCTAATCACATTGACCAATCTCCTCCCTGAAGTCCTCCAGTATTTTTCCCCAGTGCTTAAAGTACTTCCTGCCTTTTCTTCCAGGGAAGTTGAGTTCAGTCTTTCTCCCTTGTTGCAATAGTCTTGGATAAAAGTCTTCCCTGCCTGTTTAACTCTGGCCATTACAACTTTTCTTTCACATTTCTAATTTCTAAAGCAAAGAATCTCATTGGCACTTTCTTTTGTTGTTTTTTCTTTAAATATTTCTATATAATACTTAGATGAGAAGATTTACAAGTCTAGTCCTTTTTTGCTCCCTGTCTAGAAAGCACAGATTCCTAGAAGTTACTTTTTGAATCTTGATGTCAGTCTTCTCTGATAAGAGTTTCCTTTCCTTTCTTTGGTGTGCTGCTGATACAGCTGGGATACCCATATATTTTTCAACCATTTAACACATTCGCAGTGATATTACCTTTCTCTTTTGTATGACAGTCTACCTGTCAAAATCAATTGCTCCCTTTGAAACCAGCCAATTGTTTTATCCAGCCGAATCCTACTTATTGTGGATGTGCCCTACTTAGTGCTGATATAAACATGTTGCTCAAACTAATGAATTATTAAGGTCAGACGTATTTAGCTGTTTTTGCCAACATTTGAGTTGGAACACCCAGGGAGGAAAGATATATATTTGTTTGGCTTGTTTATCTATTCTGACCGTTAATCACAAGAACTCACAGAACTAATAAAGCTGCAAGACATCACTGTGATGTTTCTATGAAAACACAAAGTTATAATTTGGGAACCGAATGCACAATTTTCCTAAGTCTCTGTCACTTGAAGAAAAACTTAGAGTTGTCTTATTTCTATGTCTCTAAAAATCATATCGAGCTTTCTTTGAGTTGGGCAATTTTAATCCAATAGACATTTGTAACATATGTATTTGTCTGAGCCAGGCACTATATCAGGTTCAGAAAGCACTGGGATACTTAAACTCAAAGAAGGATTTACAAAATCATTGAATAAGCATACTTTTATAGTTCTTACAGTGTGCTGTCTGATACAGTCTTTAGTGTTATAATGATAAGTTCAAATATTTTTCCCCAGATTTTATTGCCTTTTTATGGTAAATATTTTTTTTCTACTGTGTCTGAGAAGACATTGTCCCATGATGTCTTATAATATAAGACATAATTTTATGCCTTTTTAATATAAGAATGTGCTGTTGGAGGATACCTGTGCTGCTTTGGATTTTGTTTAGATGGACAAGTACTCACTAGGCTCCTTGCTCTGTTGGATTTGTAACTGCACAAAGGTCACAATTCCAGGTGAAGACACAGTACCACACATGGGGTCTAGGAAATTGGAAGGCCTGGCTGAAACTCTCCCAAACACTCTAAGCACATCTCTAAAAGTGGAAAAAGCAAGGAACACGACTGAGATTCCCCACATCAATTTTAATTTTCTTTCCTCCTTGTTAGTTCTAATGCTATCTTGGTACCACCAGATTATTGGGGAATGATAAAGGAAAATATGAATCTTATTATCTGGGACTTTCCTTTTTCTGTTCTGACCCTCATTCTTGCCAGTCACTTCCAATCTTTAGTAGAAACCTAATTTTGTCTACTGCCTTCTTAGGGAAAAAGGCTTACCACTCACTCTTGCTCATCCTCATTCCGTATGCAGGAAGAAGAGATAAAAAGACATGAAGAGAACCATGCTTTTTCCTTTATAATATTCAACTTGAGATGTGTGGTTTTCTCCCTAATGTCAAGTTCTTTTTCTTTATGAATAAGAAAAATGGTCTACAAGGGAGATGCTACCAACCAATTACTTATACAGCAACTGTGCACTTACATAAACCAATAGCCTTTATTGAATAGATTCTTCACTGGAGTCAGTAACTTAGTTTGGTTTCCCTTGTGTAGCAGGTCAACTCTAAGCTCCTTTTATCTTTTATTTTCCTTAGTATTTTTAAAAAAACCAGTTTGCAGAATAGATTCTCCTTTTCTACATGAGGTCTGAATGACAAGTTTATAGTTTGGTCCAGTAATTGTGCCTAACTTCTCCTTTCCACATAAACATATGATATCACTTTGCAGGGAAGAAAGTCAATAATTCATTTCAAAAATTTTATCTAGTGCCTACAATATGCCAGCTGCTGTGACAGTTCAGGGTGATGAACACAGACTTTAAAGTTTAGTGGACTGTATTAATGTCAACACTAAATAGTGTTTATCAACTGTCTGTGTATGTGCATATATGTGTGAATGTAAATATATAAATCTATAAACATTTTCTTCCACATAAAATAGACAGTCTAATAGCAAATTAGGATGAATTACTGACTAACTGAACTCTTGCCAAGTAAGAAGTAAAAAAGGCCAAAATGTACACTTCATGAAAGGAACTTAGGATCCTAAGGAAAAGTACAAATATCATAAAGATAAATGGTTATTTCTAGCCTTTCCATGAGTATTCAATGGAAACTATAGGGTGTTCCTTAAAAGATCCATACTTACTCATCTCTGCAAACAGCTGTCTTCTTTCTGCCATGGTATTTCCTCTTTTCCCACTATCTTCAATCATTCTATGAGACAAAATAGTTACAATGTGTATTATCCTCACGCTATTGAGGCAAGAAGCCATTTCTCTGTAAACGTACTTGCTGTACTTGTGACACAAACACATAGAAAACCTATTTAAAACTGTTTGTTTTAAAAAGTACAGCTTTAGTTTTACTAACCTAAATTGCTGCGCATATTTTTCCATATATATTATTGTTGTAGTTGTTGGAGGGGGGATAAAATTTTTATTGTCTAACATAAAAATAACTACTGTAGCAAATGACCTTGTGCTATAACTAAATACAACAATCTACCATCTGTTAGGTGACTCGTTTCCCATTCAGTTTCTCTTTCAATTTTAAGAATACCTATGACTGGAGAACAGATATTGTGGATCCCATTCAACAGATGATGAAACCAAGAGTCTGATGGACTTGGTGAATGAAGGATGCAGACGTTTGGATTCTAAGACCAGTATGGCTTCCATCTCATCCTGTTGCCAGTTGTCCCTTATACACTCAAAACCTCAATTTATAAACAGGTAATTTTCTAAATGTTCATTTCTAAGTTGAGTGTTTGGAACTTGCAACAGTTCCTGTATATAACAACTTCATGCAAGGTGGTTAGATTCAAATATCTTTCCTTAACCATACTATTGTCTGCAGTGGAACTATTTAAAATATACTACTAAAATGCCAACAGTTAAAACAGAGAATTAAAATGTGATAGAAAAAATAAACTTCAGCTTGAGGAAAAAGAAAATAATGAGAAAGTTAATGGATATGTTTAATCATGTAGAGGGCTTTGGGCTAAATATCAAGAGTTTTAGAGGCTGACGGATTTGACTTTTTATTGCATCTAATTAAACTTTCAAAAACCAAAGTTTCCTCTCATGTGCACATATATAGATGCACACGTATGTCTACCACACTGACTTCTGCCTTGATTCTCAGGCATAGTTAACAAAAGGTGTAGCTGCATGGTTTTTTGCCTATGGCTATGGCCCCTGCTCTTTCTCAAATCTAGGACTCTGTCCATGCTCTTTTTTGACAGGATTGTCCTCTCCCTATGCCAAGCTAACTTGCTGTCACCCTTCAAATCTCAGTTTGTCTATCTTCCTCTGAAATCTTCCCCAACTTTCTACAACTGCCTGGGTTTGGTGCCTGTCCTCTGCACCTCCACAGCACACAATGCCTTTCAATTCTGAGCACTCACTCAACAAACAGCATGTTCACCACAAAAAATAAGTTGGTGAGGTGATGGATATGTTAATTAGCTTGACTGACTCTTCCTACAATGTATACACGGATCAACACATTACATTGTACCCCATAAATATACACTATAATTATCTGACAATTAAAAATAAACGAATGGAAACAAAACAAGCCTTTACTGAGTGCCTTTCATACTCCAGGAACCCTACTACACTTTGAGTGCCCCACAGTGATCAAGCCAGGATCACACTGTCCTATGAGCGCATCACAGTGATCAAGCCAGGACCACGCTGTCCTCTGAGTGCACTACAGTGATCAAGCCACAGTGCTTGTCCTCAAGGTGCTTATACTGTAGTGGCAGAGATACCGAAGCATAAAAGCAATTAAGACACAATGAGGTAATTATAGCCATAGAAGTGGAAAGAAAGGTGTGACCATGAGAGGGGTTGATTTCCTGAGGATAAATTTAACAAAACTACAGCAGAAGACTGCTCAAAAGGTAATGAGCTGTGTACAAAATGACTCACCTGAGGGTAAAATTAAAAAAAAAAATTGGTGGTAAAAGTGATGTTTATCAAATTGGTCCAGTAGCCTGACCAGATGCTTTTATGGGTGAAGCACTATTTGCCCATTGCCAGGAAGGGAGGGAAGGACGTAGAGTAGCTTTGGTTTATGGAGTCAAGGGAAGAGTGTGCACATATTAACAATGGGTTAGATAATATACCAGGGACTATCCTAAATAATTATTGGAAAGGAGTAGAGTTACTAATGAAGCTTCATCAATTTGGTAACAATTTGTTGCTGAACATGGTCAAATACTTTCTTTTTATAAGATTTCATATACGCAGGTAAAGTTGATATATAGATCTAGAAAAAAACACTCCCTTCCTAATTCATATAACCTCATCTCCTTTATTTCAGAAGAAGTGGGTAGATAATACTGACTTTCACAAAATAGTATGAATATAGCTTCCAATTTTTATTTCAAGGGCTCAGAAGTAGACTTGAGGCAGTAAGAGAGATAGAGGATAGAACAAGTGATGTGTTCCTGGATCTGTGTGTTAGAATGAGATGAAAAGAATGATTAAAAATAAATCACAGGCCGGGCGCGGTGGCTCACGCCTGTAATCCCAGCACTTTGGGAGGCCGAGGCGGGCGGATCACGAGGTCAGGAGATCGAGACCATCCCAGCTAAAACGGTGAAACCCCGTCTCTACTAAAAATACAAAAAATTAGCCGGGCGTAGTGGCGGGCGCCTGTAGTCCCAGCTACTTGGGAGGCTGAGGCAGGAGAATGGCGTGAACCCGGGAGGCGGAGCTTGCAGTGAGCCGAGATCCCGCCACTGCACTCCAGCCTGGGCGACAGAGCGAGACTCCGTCTCAAAAAAAAAATAAAAAATAAAAAAAAAAAAAAAATAAAATAAATAAATAAATAAATAAATAAATCACAAAGGATGGTAGTCTAGGGAGCTCTGACAGAAAATATCAGAGGTAAAGCCTGGCATCTGAACTTGCAGGCCTTGCTGCTTGTACTACTTGTTTTGCGGTGTTGTGACAACTCTACTCCTATTTAACACTTTGTCTGTTTCTCTGTAAGGTTTCGAGAGCACTAACCTCACATATCTTAATTTTTCACAGTGCCCAGCAAAGTCCAACCAACAAATGATATGGCCAGCTAGTATTTATTGAATAAATGAATGAAAGAGAAAAAAAAGAGGAAAGAGAGAAAACAGCAAAACAAGCTAAGTTTGGTTTCCATGAAATGAACTTTCAATTATATTTCCCAAATCTGACTTACAGAAGTGTGAAATTCAAATTGTACTAGTTTCAGAGATTAATTATTTGAAATGACAGAAACTAATTTACATTGTTTATAATCTAGGACCATACATTTTAAAGCAAAATCAAGTCTTATGAAGAAGTTGAAAAATATGCAAAGTACACTGATGTCAACTTTTGTTCTATTCCTCATGTTTTTTTTGATTAATTAACTTGTAAAAGAACCATCATTAGTTACACAATAGGTATTAATTCTCACTTCCAGGTCAAATGTGTACCTTGGAAGAGATAGAAAAATCTCTGTGGTATGAAATAATACAAGGCACAGAATATAATTATAAATATAAGAGAAAAATAACACACTTCTCATTTTATCCCCAGAGTTTTCTGGAAAGTAGTGTAGTCAGATAAAATTGAGAATACTCACCTATTACTCATTGATCGTAGTCATAATAGTAAAAATGGGAGGCCTGCTAGATTACACTTTACACTGATTCAATAGAGGGACTCTAGGACAAAGTAAGCTCATGAGTTCAACAGGCAGGGAACACCACTGTGGGCTCCTTGGTTTCCAATTTAACTCTCATCAATGGGATCTGAGACACACAATGCCTGACTACATTCTCACTGCCTTTGAAAGAGAGAAGAGCATGTCATTCTGTAGGGAAAGGAGCAGGTGCTTTTACAGAGAGCAGTTTTATTTCTGAAATGAGGGAAATTGACAAGGAGCTGTGCTTTTCATGAATTTCAGTACAACAACAGCTGCCCAAAGTCATATGGAGGAGGTGAAGAGGAAAATAACCCATCTGTGATGACACTAATGTGTACCACAGGGCACATGGCTCACCGATGAGCCCAATTTGGTCAGTTTTTGTTGCTCCTTCATGTACATAAGATGCTTACAACCTTAGATTTTACAAGAAGATTATATAAATGTCAAAAAGGTGAAAAGAACTAACAGTGATAAATAAGTGATGAGCCCTGTCAGATGTTTCCTTTACTAAAGCTCAGTCCCACAAATTATACAGGACATATGTTGTTTTCGCTTATAAGAACCCATCCATTCATTTACTTAAGCAATATTTATAAAGTAGCTATACTTTGTCAAACACACTGGTAGTTTCTTGAGACCCAAAGATTAATACAACATGATCCTTGTCTTCAAGAAGCTCACAACTTTGAAAGGGGAAACAAATTTTTCTAACAAATAATTAAAATTTGGAGTAATATGTACCATAATGAAAATATGTACTGTAAGATGTAGTAGTTTATTTCTGGAATGATCTGAAATAGGATCAAATAAAGAGGGACTCTGAAACAGAATTTAAAAGGATAAACGGGAATTTTCCAGATGAAAAAGAGTGGAGGAAGGGCAAATAGAATCGTGAAGAAAAGCAGGGAGCTTTAAAATAGGTAAGGTGCATTTGGGAACAGGCAGTTGCTCAGTATTGCTGGGTGCAAGTGTGAGTGGAGACACTTCAGAGATTAACAGGCATCAAATCTGGAAAGCCATCCTTGTCATGTTTAGACGATAAAGGGCTTTCCAATCGACGCTAGATGCCATCCAAGGTTTAAGTAGGAAATTGATGTATAGAGATTCAGGTTTAGGAAACAACTCCAGCATGGTGAGTGGAAGGAAGACTGGGTAGGTAGGAGGGTAGGCGTGGGAACACACGACTAACGGAAGAGTCCAGTGAATTGGATACTTCTGTGTTTCAGGAGTGAGACTCATGTGTTGCATTAAAGCATTGATTTAAGAGAGATTTAGAAGACACATTTGATAGGACTTGGTGACTACCAGACCACACAGAGAATGGCAGATGAGAGGACCTCAGCTTTTTCTCTCCCATATTAGGAAATAATCTTTTGGCCCCATGGCATTAATGAATTTGTAGGAGGTGAAGTCACCAAGTCACCCTTCTTCAGAATGGTCATTAAAAGAGGGTTGCACCGCTGGACAGGGATGGCTCCAACTCTTTGCCCCCATGTATGGGGAAGGATAAAATAATAGTAAAACAGTTTGGGAACCAGCAAGAAATAAAGAATAAATCCAAAGGTAGGGAATACAGTGTTAGAAGAAATGTGAACTATATTTTGGCATAGTGAAATGAATTCACATTGAAATGTCACATCCTCAAGTTACTTCCTTCAAGGCACACCTTTCATCCAACACCATCCATAATAAATACACATTACTATTACGCATGATATATAAGAAATTTTAAAGGCAGAAGCTGAAACTAATGGTGCCTTACATTTGTATAACTTCTTAAAGATTATAAAATGCTTTTCCCTGTAACTTTGTTAGGAAGTCAAAAAGATATTACATTCCCAAGTTATAGCTAAGGAACTTAAGACTCAAGAAGGTAAAGTGGCTGCCTAAAAACCATAAGGCATTTTCTGGCATGACAAGATATTGAATTCTCTTTTTTCTGTTAATTATTAAATCCCTAAGCTAGTATAGATTCCATTCACCAGTAACCTTATTCCAGATGCTACTGTTCAATGCAAATTAAGATTTTCTGAAATTGGTAAACTGAAAAAAGTAAATAGGACTTGGCGATTAACAGGCCAAAAGAAGGATGGAGAAGGGTCACAGCTCTCTCAAACTTCACTGGGAAGTTCCTTTATGTATTATTTCTTAAAGGAATCCTCCTATTTTAGGACATTGTTACACTGGAAATAATCAGGGAGATTAAAAGAATTCCCAGTGTCCAGATTTATGTAAACCAGACACATAGAAACACACCAAGTCACACACTGATTCACAGTCTCGCAATTAAAATCCACAAAAGCAGGACAATGTTTTTGGAAACGTCTGGCTCTGCTTTGTTTTGCTCCACTTTAGCAAACACTTAAGCAGACTTTGGGTTTAATATGATGACAGCATTACCATGCTTTATTTTCCTACATTTTGCTCCAGGTGAATGAAAAGAAAATGCTGGGTTCAGCAATCCCCAACTGCTGCACTCCCTGAAGTTAATAACCACAATGAAGGCCATTTCAAGCTCCTTTCCTCCTTTAATTGATTTATTGGTGGCATATAAATGCCTGTTTCCATTTCTGTTAATGAGGAAGGCCTTTGATATTACTTTCTTAGATTTACATTCTAGTCCTAATCTTTGGCAATATAATAAAAAAGTATTCAGAGCTCTTTCCTGAGGCAAATTATAATTGCATTTGCTTTCACTTCCTAGTCCTTTATCTAGATGAGCCCATGACAGTACAAAAATGCTGTTACTAAAATACAAGGTTATAATGAGTTTCTGACTTTGTATTTTACTTTGAATATCATCTTCTACTCCTGGAACTGGTATCTTATTTGTTATTATTATTATTATTATTATTATTATTATTATTTTTTGGAGAGAGGTGCATGAGCTCACTACTTTAGTGTAGCGACCAGCTAGATGGGTTATCCGGGATTTGGTTTCCCTTATCAAGTGTCCAGCATAGTAGTTCTCGGCTATGACTGCCTCTCACGCTAGCCTGGAGACCTAATCAAAAATGCAAATACCTGGACCTACTGAATCTGGAGTTGGACCTGAGCATTTATACTAAGAGTTTCTTGAATGGGGGAAAGTTAAAAGCATTCCCCCTGAGAACTGAAACTAAACAAAGGATGCCCACTTTCACCACTTCTATTCAACACAGTACTGGAAGTCCTGGCCAGAGCAATCAGACAAGAGAAACAAATAAAGAGCATACAAATTGGAAAGAAGAAACCAAACTGTTGCTCTTCACTGATGATGTGACTGCACACCTAGGAGGCCCTAAAGACTAGTCCAAAAAGCTCCTAGATCTGATAAATAAATTCAGTAAGGTCTTAGGATACAAAATCAATGTACACAAATCAGTAGCATTGATATACACCAACAATGACCAAGCTGAGAACCAAATCCAGAACTCAATCCCTCTTACAACAGCTGCAAATAAAATAAAATAAAACAAAATAAAATACTTATGGATATACTAAACCAAAGAAATAAAAAATACCTACAAGGAAAACTATAAAACACTGCTGAAAGAAATCACAGATGACACAAACAAATAGAAACACACCCCATGCTCATGGATGGGTAGAATCAATATTGTGAAAATGACCATTGTGCCCAAAGAAATCTACAGATTCAATGCAATTTCCATCAAAATACCATCATTGTTCTTTGCATAACTAGAAAATAAATCCTAAAATTCACATGGAACCAAAAAAGAGCCCACATTGCCAAAGCAATACTAAGCAAAAAGAACAAATGGAGGTATCACATTACCCGACCTCAAATTAAACTACAAGACTATCATTACCAAAACAGTATATTACTGGTATAAAAATAAGCACATAGCCCACAGGAACAGAATAGAGAACTCAGAAATGAAGCCAAAAACTTACAGCAAACTGATCTTCAACAAAGCATACAAAACATAAATTAGGGAAAGGACACTCTATTTAATAAGTGGTGTTGGAAAAACTGGCAAGCCACATGTAGAAGAATGAAACTGGATTCTCATCTCTCACCTTATTAAGAAATCAACTCAATATGGCTCAAAGACTTATCTCTAAGACCTGAAACCATAAAACTTCTAGAAGATAACATTGGAAAAACTCTTCTAGACTTTAACCTAGGCAAATAATTTATAATTAAGGCCCAAAAGCAAATGTGACAAGAACAAAAATAAATAAATGAGGCCTAATTAAACTAGAAAGCTTCTGCACAGCAAAAGAAATAATCAGCAGAATAAACAGAAAACCCATATAGTGGGAGAAAATCTTCTCAAACTATGCATCTGACAAAGGATTAATATCCCGAATCTACAAGGATCTCAAACAAATCAGCAAGAAAATAACAACTAATCCCATCAAAAAGTAGGCAAAGAACATGAATAGACAATTCTCAAAAGAAGATATACAAAAGGCCAACAAACATATGAAAAAATGCTCAATCACTAATCATCAGGGAAATGCAAATGAAAACCATGAGATACCACCTTACTTCTGCAAGAATGGCCATAATTAAAATGTCAAAAAATAATAGACATTGGTGTGGATGGGGTGAAAGGGAACAATTTTACACTGCTGCTGGGAATGTAAACTAGTACAACTACTATGGAAAACACTATGGAGATCCCTTAAAGAAGTAAAAGTAGAACTACCATTTGATCCAGCAATCCCCAAAGGAAAAGAAGTCATTATATGAAAAAGACACAATTTGCAGCACAATTTGCAATTGCAAAGATAAAGAACCAACCTAAGTGTCCATCAACCAACGAATGGATAAAGAAAATGTGGTATACATATACACCTTGGAATACTACTTGGCCATAAAAAAATGAAATAATGTATTTTGGAGCAACATGGCTGGAGCTGGAGGCCATTATTTTTAGTGAAGTAACTTAGGAATGGAAAACCAATTATCATATATCCACACTTCTAAGTGGGAGCTAAGCTATGAGGATGCAAAGGCATAAGAACGACATAATGGACTTTGGGGACTCAGAGGAGAAGGATGGTAGGGAGGTGAGGGATAAATGACTACATATTGGGTACAGTGTTTGCTGCTCAGGTGACGGGTGCACCAAACCTCAGAAATCATCACTAAAAAACTTATCCATGTAACCAAAAACCACCTATAGCCCCCAAAACTATTGAAATAAAAAATTAAAAAAAAATAAAAGCACCCTAAGTGCATCCGATTCATGGCTCGGGTTGAGTGGAAATATGATGCTAGTTGAGTTTGAACATGAACTTACTTGTACAACATTAGGTTGGAATTCTTATGCTGCTTTGCAGTATGTTTCTATAACTTAAGACCCACCTTAAAATTTACTTTGAGCCAAGGGAGAAGATATTTATTTCTTTTAGAGGAATATAAATATACATAAACATATATATATATATATAGATACAGATATAGATATAGATATGGGTATCTAATGAGGCAAACTTTAAGAAACAGAAAAATGCCATTTAAAAAATGACAGGACCATTTGTATTCTCTAAAGAACTACTCTTAGTGGTTCTTTCAAGTCAGGAAGAAACCTCTTATTCTGGGTAAGACTGTACAAGTTGCTTAAGGACATTTGGTTTCGTTTGGTTTCATTTGATGACATTTGGCTTGGTAAGAGGCTAGGTACTTCTGCTCAATAGCAGCTGGTATCACACCACACCTCCCCCTTACTATGAGGAAAGACTGCAGAGCCAGGCTGGGAGCAGATTGGCATGGGTGGAAAGGAACTTTTTGGAAGGATGATGATCCAAATTCAGACTCTGTTATGCATGTGAGGTTCAAAGTTATTAGAGTGTCTCAGAGGGACTGGGGAGCCCTGCCAAAGGTTGAGCTTGATCAAAAGGACCTCCAGAGTCCCTGTGGGGAGACTATCATAGGTGGGGTCAGCTGTACTGCTGCCTTTAGAACTGCACCAGGACCTCAGATTTTTTTTTAGAGAATCATGTTTTATTCAATACGATGTATCTTGGCAGAATGACTGTGTACATGTGTGCATCTGTATTTCTCACTAGCAATAATATTATACACATAGGCCCACTTTGTCATAGGGAAATGATGGCTGAGCCTCACATTGGAGAGAGAGGCTTTCTTGTCCTCCTGCTGTGGTAGCCAAGTCCTTAAGTCTTGGGGAAAGGGTATTAGGAAATGACTGCCTTCTGATCATTTGGGACTGTCTCAATTCAGTGTAGAACATTACTATTCATGAAAATATATCTGTTTCTTTTTCCTACATATTAAATAAATAAAAACAAATAATCTGCAGGATTAGGTATAAATGAAAAAAAACCCCAAATAATTAAAAAGTCCCCCCCCCAAATTAGAAGACTGTTTTTTTAATTAACCTTGCAATAAGACAACCTTGAATTTTGTAATTGAATTTTTGAACTCCTCTTATCAAAGTGGGGAGTATATTGTATATATGCATAAACATTTATAAAAGTAAAATATTTTGGAATACTTTTAAAAATGTAATTCCAAAATTTTTTCAAGTGACTGAGCTAAACTTGGCATCCCAACAAAGAGGCTGCAACAGGACAAGGAGGTATTTAGCTGGCTAAGTGGTGTGATGCTGCCCTGTCTATATTTTAAAGATTTTAGACCCTTTAATGAGCTGATGAAGGTATGGACCCCACCAAAATGTTCATGTCTATATACACACACAACTAAAGGCATTACAGTTCTTGCATGGGCTGGTTTAGAAGAAGAAAGTCAGGATTTGGTGAGAATCAAAGGTAGTTTTATTTTATGGGGAGTGCCAACTATTAGTGAAATGGCAGCAGCCAATTACAGTGGACACATCTACAGAGCAACTGCCCAAGGGACAGGGCAAGAAGCTTGCTGGCGACCTGCAAAGGCTAAGGTGGAACAGTGAAGGTGGGAGAAGACAGTGATGCGCTCCTCATGCACTAGGAACCAGAATACCTGGATACACAACCCAATAATCATGGTCAGGCAGAAACTCGCATCCTGAAAATCCCACGTGTTTTAGGACATTATTGGCATGACTCTTGGTGCTTAAAGAATTCTAAACCATTGTTTGTTTTTGAAGATATTAGAAAGAGTAGTAGAAAGAAATAGATCCTCCCCCAATTCTAATGTGTTGAGAAAAATTACTGGGGCTGCTAATGGCCATGGGCTAATTGTGATCTGGGCTTCTGAAATTGATTTCCATAGGAGAATTGGGGAAAAGAGAGTGAAAGTGCAGTATTGAACTAGATGTAGGCTAGGGAGGCTTGTATGCTTTAACATTTTCTTTTTTTTAGTGCTGAGTTTGGAGAGTTGGGAAGGGGAGAGGCAGGAGAATATATTGTTTTCTGCAATAGGACAAAAAATCAGACTTCTGGGAGAAGAAATAATAATAAATAATAACAGTAATAGCCACGACACTACTTAACACAATTATCATCTTAAAAAGCTTACTATGTTCCGAGTACTATGCAGGCCCCTTCTCACTGTGTTCTTGTAAGAACACCATAAGGTTGGTATTATTAGTCTCATTTTACCAATGTGAAAACCAAGATTCAGAGACTAAGATGTACCTTAAGTGGACAATGTAAGGTTTAAGACTAGACATGTCTGACTACAAATCCCACTGAGCTTCTTAATGAGAACCAAAATGCAATTGTATGAAAAAAGACTCAAAGGAACTGCCCTGTTTTTCCCGAGGGTACTGGTTGTGGGGCACTGCCCACACAGACACACACGGACATAGGCTAAAGCATAACTGAAGACATGTGTGAGTGAATTCCAGAGGGGAGCTGGGCAGGATGGAGTTCACGGGTTGTGCAATGGCCCACTTTTGCCAAGGAAAGAGACCTGTGAGCCGAAAGTGCCTATCTCCTCTGCATTCCTCCCATTTTCTTCCACCTCTCTTCTTCTTTCCATCTTATTCTCTCATTCTCTGCTCCAACTTTCCCTCCCTGCTCTTTGTTTTCCTTTCCTTAACTCTGTTCCTTTATTCACCTTCTTCGTTTCTATGTGTGTTATAGGAAATGTGACTAAAACCAACAAGGTAGACAGAAAGCCTCATGATATTTTTTTCCTGGTCAAGAAAGACCAGGAAATTATGGTGGGAAAAGAAATACCAATAGAGTTCCTAACAATCATGATATCCATGATGTGTGAATCCAACAGTGGCATGGTGCTTTATATCACTGTATACTCAGAACACAGAGCTGCTTTTGCATAGGCATGAAGATTCTTGAATGAATCAGTGAGGATGGAGAGGGTTGCCATTTATTTGGGGTGATTTTTAGTGAAACTAGAAAGTTCTCTTTAACATGAAACCTCTCATTTACTATGTGTCATTGAGATGTACCTTGAAATTTCACCATGGGAAGTTTATTTTATGTCATTAATAAAGCAAATTTCCTTGGGAAAATCAGAATTAGTATACTTAATTTGGTTGCTTTCTTCTTCATACCTGCTTGAGATAAACACAGTGAAGAGGTGGCAATTTTGATTCGCTGGGAAAAGGAAATAATAATGGCTCTTGTGTGCTTTCTGAGGAGTCTAGCTCTGGATGATATTCTCCAGAGGCCACACGAGGAAAGCGTCTTTTGAGATAAGGAAGATGAGAGGGTCAACGGCAGATGAGGGCTAAGATGGGTGGGTGGGAGGATGCCAATATGACCATCACTGTGTATCTACAGATTTAAGACCAATAGCAAAACTTAAGAGCACAGGGTTCCAAAGTCAGTACAAGAAGGATAGGAAAAGATGATAGAGTATGTCTATTAAAAATTTCTTTTAAATCCCCTTCCTCGCTACTGATTCTACTATATGTTTCTGCAAAATTATTTGTACCAAAAATATTTTTAAAAAGTATCAAAAATTCTATGTTGCAGAAGGAGCTATTTTGATTTTTAATAAACATGCATTTACAATGAGAACATAAGAGAACCTACATTTAACAAGTTTACAATCTAGTTTTATCTATCAGTAACATGTGGAATAGAGATTAATTCATAGCTAAATATTAAATTTAGTAATATTATTCTATTTTTTCCTTCCTCCACTTAAATTCTTTCTGTGGTGGATATCCTAGGCTGATATAAAACAACTTAGAAAACAACAATATTTAGAAACAACTTAGAAAACAACATTGTAGGGACTCTGGTGATTGTTATACAATGAAAACACAGCCAAGTAGATGGGGTTAATGAACATAGATGCCAAAACTAAATAGGCCACATGGAAAAGAAACAGGCGGGGGTATGAGCAGCCAAAAGTTATGGCTGCAAGATCTCCAGCAGTAAACAATGGCATTTTGCACACCACGGTTCCTTTCCCCAAGACCAGCGTTGACTGGCTATGACAGGAATACAGAATGGAAAGAGAAGAAACAGAGGCAGCCCTTATTTCTTGCCTCTGGATCTGTTCCTATAAATTATAAGGCTTTTAATTATGTCCCTTCCATTGAAGAGAATTTTTTCTGAAATTAAGGGAAGACTGGGAGAATGTGTTTCTTAAGAGAGCCATGGCTCTAATTTGGTGATTGCCAAGAATTTGAGTGAGGAAGAATAGCTGGTGGGAAGGCGCCTTCTTTTTCAGTCTTCCAGGCCTCCTGCATTGTCCCGGTGAGGCAGAGGCATGAATGCCTGGGTTATTAGCCGGAAGAGACCCTGAGATTCATTCATTGAATGTCATAACAATAATAATAAACATTTATTAAGTGCTTCCTCTTTGTGAGTAGGCTCTGTACTCAGCATTTCACATGAATTATTTTATTTATTTCTTATCCTAACTCTGAGAGAGGCCATACTATATTACCCTGTTTTTAAGAAGAGAAAACGAAGGCTGATGAAATAGACAGGATAATGGGAATAGATAGATAATAGATTATCTATCTATCTAGATAGATAATAGAAGATAATCAGAGATGTCCACATCTTAACCCCCCCAAATTTGTGAATACGTTATCTTGACAAAAGGGACTTTGTGGATGTGATTAGGTTAAGGATCTTGAAATGGAGAGATTAACCTGAGTTATCCTGGTGGGCCCAATGCAATTATTGGAGTTCTCATAAAGTGTTGAGAGAGGATTCGAAGATGGAGGCAGGACCCACAAACCGAGAAATGCATGTGGCCTCCAGAAGCTAGCAGTGGCAAGGAAATGGGCTCTCCTCTAGAGCTTCCAGAAGGAACGCAGCCCTGCCAACACTCTAATTTTAGTACAGTAAGACCCACTTCAGACTTCTGGATCTCAGAACAGTAAGATAATACATTTGTGTTGTTTTAAGCCACTACATTTGTAGTTATTTGTTAGATCAACAAGAGGAAACTAATACAACTGAGAAGAGTTAAGAAACTTTCACAAGATCACATTGCAGGTAGCCAGAGAACCAGGATTTGTACTTAAGAAGTCTCTCCTAAGGCTTCCTAGCCATCAGGCTGCACTACCTCCCTAATCCTCCTTAGACTCTACTACCTCCTAAATATCCTTTAGACAGGCCTACTGTGATTCCTAATTTTAATTATTTAATTTTATCTTCAAGTTAGTTGGTGTTATTATCCTCATTTTGTAGATGAGGAAACTCAGGCTTAGAGAAGTGAAATTTAAAGAACTCAAATTTAAATAACTCAAATTTGAACTCACGTCAGTCTAACTGACCTTTGGTCCAACTTGTAGCCTCTTCATCATATTGTTATATACTAATATTTGACTATTATTTATTATGTATCAGATATTACTCAATATTTAATAAATTGACCAATATCAGATAAGTACTGACTAATATATTGACTAATATCAGATATAAATATTAGTGAATATTTCTTGCATATCTGATAAATGCCAGCATAAAACAGAAACTCAAATTTGAGTACTTTGGATCTCAGTACTTCTTGAAGATATCTAGAGGGCTCACACAGGACTCACTGTAGCAACTAGGCTCCAGGAATATTCTGCTCCAAAGGATTGGTGATGAAATCCTTGGACATAAAGTTACCATTGACATAAGCTTTTGAATCTCGAGTTTCCTGAAGAGAATTAGCTAGGCTACACTCTGAAACCATTTAAGTGTCAATATATTTAGTTAGCTCTGATTGCTTAATTAATATGAACAAATTTAATAGAGGTAAATATAGCAAAGATTATTTTGAAGTTATTAAAATATCAGCCCACATATGTGGCTATCATGATAGAAGAATCATTGTAACCCCAATACCACATATCAAGGACTGCCTGAATGGGAGGATACCCTGCTTATTCTAGTTCAAATATTACGAAACATAAAAGTAGCTAGCTAGCCAAAGGGTATGAAAATAAAGTGCCTGCTCCTGGGAACTTTATGATCCCCCAAAGCCAGTACCTCAGTGAATTACATTAACCTAATTAAAATATCACATCCTTTTATTATGTTATGTTATTCTTACTATAATATAAAGGACAAAGTGATATACAATACGATTATGTAGAAAATGGACCTGCGCAGAGAACGAGAACACAAAGTTAATTTTTGTATTATAATTCCACCAAGTTAGAGTTTGTAAATGGAACAAATAAAAATACCCACACATACATCATGCTCCTCTGATTCATGATGCCTGTGCCTCAAATCACCTCCACTCCACAAACACACTGCTAGAAACAGTCACCAGGGTACAAAATAAGACTGTGGCACATGAACAAAATATTTGCAGCCAAAAAGCATTAACACTACTGTGGACACTTTCTTTTCTTTTTTTTTTTTCCTGTTTTTGAGACAGCATCTCACCCTGCCACCTAGGCTGCAGTGCAGAGGTGTGATTATAGTTCATTGCAGCCTTGACCTCCTGGGCTCAAATTATCCTCCCGCTTCAGCCTCCCGAGTAATGGGGACCACAGGCGTGCACCATCATGCCCTAATTTTTATTTTTTAAAGTTTTTTCATAGAGACAAGGTCTCACTATGTCACCCAGGCTGCTCTCAAAACTCTTGGGATTGGGAGATCCTCCCACACTTTTGAGACCATAACAATCATGCTTGTGATGTGCCAGTATGTGTCCACTCTGCAGATCTCTAAATACTGAAAACACATGTTCCAGATTCCAGCTTCAGTGTCTGCATTTATGGAAAGAAGTGTCCCTCAACCTGGTAAGAACACAGCAAAAGGACTAATAAGCAGAAGGCTAAGTGTCCCAGAGTGAACAAGCAGTTCCTTTTTAACAAAGCCTTTTTCCCAGGGGGTACTCAAGCCATTTCCTGATGGTTCTGGGCACACAGACAAGCAGCCACCACTTCACTGTCCTTCAATGCACAGAGCAATGATGCACTTAATAGCACCAGTAACTTCAAAGGCTTAATGAGTCTAAACTACTACCTGGAAATGATAAGACACTGATTAAGAAATAACTACTAAAAAACTGTCCTATAAAAGCTAGCAAAAGGTGGCGAAAGGGATTCTGGGACTTAGGAAGTTTATTATATGTGATGAATATATACTTGGAACTCCCACAGTGTAGGAATCAATCTCAGAGATGCTCCCTTCCAGCTGAGAGGTGTTACATCATTAGGCTTGAAACTTGAATCAGTCCTATCTCTTATATAAGGTCAGGACATCTCAAATAAAAGCCAGACCTGCATAACACGTCAGGGCAAACAAGAATGGTGTGTGAATAATGGAGTCACACCAAGAAGTTTCTCACCATTACTTCTCCTCTAGTAATAGGTATCTGTACTACTGTTCCCTACTTTGCATTGTCACATGATGAGAACAATGAAACTCAGAAGTCAAGCAAAAGGTCCAAGGCTGCCTAGTGAAACAGCAAAGCCAAAGCCAGAATTTAACATTTTGGGGTCCTGGTTAGAGATGTTTTTCTGTTTTCTGATTTAGAGATCTATTTCTTTGAGCCAGTTCCTCCTTCTAGTGTAAAAAACACTTTAGAATGCCTATCATGAAATGAATATGGAGTGTCAGGGATTGCGGAGGTGAGGAATGAGAGACTTGGAGTTTGCAAGTGATTGTCATAATTACAAGGGTCCACAGAAGTCCTTTCAAGGAAGCAAATCATTGCTCTGTGGCACATCTGTCTGGAAATGTTTTAAACTTCAGTTTTTATTCCCCAAGGTCCATTAATAGTCTGCAAAGCAGGCAAGCAAATGAGACTTTTGAATGACAAAGCTTTTAAAAGTATGATGTGCCTTTGTTTGTCCAAACTTGAGGATTATGCCAATATCTTATGGAGGTCTGTGAGGGGAAGACTATTTGTGAGAGTTAAGAAAAGAAAAAGAACTAGACCTTGCACCTCCAAACAAAAAGAAAATGATAATTATTTTAAGTTTTTAAATATGTCACTTTTAAAGAAGGACAAATGTGTTTATTTTTAATATAAATCCCACTTATATCCTAATCTCAGAGAATCAGCCAGGCATATTTTAGTTTAAAAAGCTCAAGCGTAGTATTCCATGGTGTGCAACAATAGAAACAGGATTACTAGAGCAGGGAGGGAGGAAGGGGAGAAAGGGTTGAAAAACTAACTCTTGGGTACTATGTTCAGTACATGGGTGATCATTCACACCCCAAATCTCAGCATCATATCACACAATATACTCAGGTAGCAAACCTGCACATATACCCTCTGAATCTAAAATAAAAGTTGTAAAAACAGTTCAAGTGAATTATGCAGCTTTTCTCTGCAAAACTTGTCAAAAGTGATTTGCAACATGATCTCGGAAACTTTCTCTAGGCATGCATTCTGCACTAATCCTTCATTAATGTGCAGCTCCAGACTGTTAGCTATGTATGCACAAAACTCCAGAGGTGTGCAAAAAGGCATGACTAAGCAGACTGGCATTCCTCACCGTCACGCGCTGTCCTCTATCAGACATCCTAAACCCTGAACACAGCACAGGGAGAGATTTGTCACATCGGGACGGCAGATAGAAGAAGAGGATAAAGAGACCGAGGTGCAGAGGGAACAGGGTGAAGAGAAAGGAGTAGAAGGAGGGTGGCCTCCAGCCCAGCTTCAAAGCTGGACTCAGCCTGGTTTGCTTGGTAATCTAGATTTTTAGTAAATCATGTTTTAAATGGCAAAAAGCCAATATGGGCATCTTTGTTTTAAACAAAGTAAACATACTATGTTGCTTTGTTTCTGAGGCTCCTGGAATATTCTTGCTAGCTGGGCCTGTACTGTGTGTACCTTCCTCTGTTTAGATATTATGCTTCTATTATTGCAGCTCATATTACATGAGCTAATTTATAGTAGACATGCGTGTTGTGTCTGATGGCCTCTGGGGTCAACTAAGATGCTTTTTGAGAGAATGGCAAGTAAAAGCAGGATGGACTTCCTACTGCCTTTAATTTGAAGTCCCGAATCTTTAAAGTGGCTTTGTATGTCCAAGCCACCTGGCCCCCAGGCCCATGTCTCTGTGTTCACTCATATGTGCCTCAGGGCCTTTGCTTCTGCTGATCCCATTGCTTGGAATATTCTCTTTTTCTCTTCATAGATATCCTAACCCCTCTCAGCCCCAAACCTGGCTAGTTCCAATAGGCATGTCTACCACAGGGCAGCTTTTCCGAATTTCTCTAATATACTCTAGTATATACTCTAATATACCCATAATTGTCTAACAGTTTTTGCAATTGTCATAAAATCTTCATGAAATTGTTTTTGTTGGTGTCTGTTTTATTCATAGGACTGTCGGTTTCATGAAGGCGTGTCTCTGTGATGTTCATTAGTGCCACTTGTGCCTAAAATGAGTGAAGTTAGGGAGCACTACACTGACTACAGCCGGGTCACGTGGCTTATACTTCATAGTGGAGGAAACAAAGAGTTCTGCGAAGACTCCTATGCACAGGACTTAAACAATGCAAGCAGTAATTACAGAATATGAATCCAACGGTAAACACACAGGATGAATCGGAGAGGGAGAGCGACTAAAGACTTGGAAGATTTGACCTGGAAGGGCTGGAAGTGAGAATTCACACATCGAGGCCTATTCCCAAGAATTGGGAGGCTCCCTTTCTCTAAGCATCCCTTGGTTGTATGCATCATAAGAGGGAGGACACTATACAGATGATTCAGCTGGAGCTAAGTGAACTACTTAGAAAGAAAAGGAGAGAACTCTTTCATTTGTAGCCTTATGGCTTCAAATATATTTCTAAGAGACAGAAAAATGTGGCAAGAACCAGACCGTCTTTAGAAGAAATAATTACTATTTCGCTTAGGTGAGGCTTCACAATCACTTTACAAAGTAATTTTGTACACATATATCATTTCACAATTTAAACTATATGTTGTTTGTGGATTTGAACTTAGATAACAGCCTTCATAGGTACAGCTTGCCTCAATTTCCTTAATACATATTAGCTAGTTCTTCCTTTGATGATTAAGATAGCCTTTTATGTATAAAATATACCGTTCTGTTTCAGTTAAGCCCCAAATTATTAATTTTGGATAACTGAATATTTTCAAAGAATCCAAATATCCTTAGAATACTAATACTTTCACTATACATCTGTTTAAAAATGAATACAAATGAACTTTCACTACTCCCTGGTTTTGAAGGAAGCCCATTCTTCCCAAGCCATACCAAGTGAGAAATGTTGCCTGCACTATGTGCCTTTCTCACAAAACTGATGCCCTGTGGCAAAGCAGGAAGATCAAATTATATGAAGAATGAGAACAAAGTTATCCCCCAGGTTTTGTCATTTCTAGAACAAGACAGACTATTTTTAGGTTTTCAAAATTCATTACTGAATTTTGCATCATTACTTTTAAACAGGACCTATGCTCAAATGACTTGGTTGATTCACACAGTTTTTGGCCAAAATGTACTATGAACACTTTTTGGAGGTTCATAATATCACGTTTATTTTAATGCACAATTTTGAATATCCCAAGAACACACTGGGCAAATGTCTTTTAATCCTAAGAAGTTCAAGGCATTTAAATGAGGCCTTAAATTTCAGAATACTGAGATTTTTATCTTTATAAAGTTGACTTTATCTTCGCTGTCCACCCTACTAGTTTTAGAACCTGGAATTTGATTCTGTCTGTACAATCTTCCATTTTTTCTTCTTATCTGTGACTCCATTTTAAGATCCATGACAAAATAGCTGTATGAAAAATAATGAAATTCCTCCTTTGGTGATAATATAAATGGGAAATGTACATCCTGAAATGTTTTGCATGAGCGGATTTATTCATATTAATTATGGTTCATATATAATTCATTTGAAAAGATTCTCCTACAGCTTTTAGAAATGAAATCTCTAAAAAATGGAAACAAATGACAAATAGTGCACGCATACATATGTGTAGTGTGTGAGTACTCATTAGGGAAAGTAACATTTCAGAGTTTAATGTGGTATTGCTCTCCTTTATAATACTTATCAGTGTTAGCTAATCTGAAGGTGCAGCTACAAACTACAGTACTCAGTCATTAGTGTTTGTGAGAGCTCTTCACGTGGAGGGCATTGAACTAGAATTTCCAACTTCATGGTATAGACGTCCTCTAGGTATATTTTATGCATTTCGAACACTATTGGCTTCAATTTTTGAATGAGAAATAAATTCCAAAAGTAGTAAAGTCAAAAGAAGTGGTGTCTCTGGGGGTGAGTTGGGTGAGGATCCTGTGTGAGATAACAAAAGGAGATGAAGGTGAGGAAATGGCTAGCTTCTCATGCACTGTTTTAGCCACCTTATGTGAAGAGTACACCTTAACAGTTAGGTTGGCGGAGGGACAGCATTAGGAAAAGTAGCTAATGCATGCTGGGCTTAATACCTGGGTAATGAGTTGATAGGTGTAGCAAACCACAATGGCACATGTTTACCTATGTAACAAACCTGTACATCCTGCACATGTACCCCAGAACTAAAAATGAAAATAAAAATGTTAGGTCCAGGGAAAGCTGCCTCTTCTGGCTGGTCCACAGAATGATAATGTGTTGCAACATGAGGCCAGGCAATGAAATAATGCAATGAACTGCAAAGAGCCACATGAACTAATGGTAATAATAATAATAAAAGAAAATCAACAGCAAAAGAATCCATTAAAAAATGTCTTCGTGCTCTTCTTGGTTTATAATGCACATCCTTTAGTCCCTAAGAGCCTGGCATATAAGGTTGCCACACTTGGCAAACAGTTTTTTAGTATAGGTGTGATGGTTAATACTGAGTGTCAACTTGATTGGATTGAAGGATACAAACTATTGATCCTGATTGTGTCTGCAAGGGTGCTGCCAAAATAACGTTTGAGTCAGTGGGCTGGGGAAGGCAGATCCACTCTTAATCTGGTAGGTACAATCTAATCAGCTGCCAGCAAATACAAGCAGGCAGAAAAACGTGAAAAGGAGAGACTGTCCTAGCCTCCTGGCCTACATCTTTCTCCTGTGCTGGATGCTTCCTGCTCTCAAACATCGGACTCCATGTTCTTCAGTTTTGGGACTTGGACTGGCTCTCCTTACACATGTATATATATGTGAGTGTGTGTGTGTGTATATATATATGTGTATGTGTGTGTATATATATGTTCTATTAGTTCTGTCCTTCTAGACAACCCTGACTAATACAGATTTTGGTAACAGGAGTGGTTCTAGAGGAACAGAATATTAAGAATGGAGTTCTTTCGTTGGTTTTGAGGCTTCTGGAGTTGGCTGCTTAATATGATTAGACCACAAAATGCTAAGGACTCTACTTCTAATAGTATGGAGAACACTGATAGTCCTTGGTGTGAACTGTTTAGAGAGTTATGCAAAATAAATGCATTTGACACTTCTGATTCACTGCTCCTGAGAGGCAAGGAGTTTGGTGACTCTATACATAATACCTTTGACCATATATGGAGAATAAAGGAACATAATGAAGCTGGTTGGTTACTTCTAACTTCAGTGGACAAAGTGTTGAAAGAAAATGATGAACTGGGGGATTCTGTCTCCCAGCTTCAGAAGCAGACACTGAGCCTCAAATCTGCTAAGATTGCCCTGAATGAGAGTCTTATCTCCTGTAGAGAAAGAGCTGAAATTGTGGAAAAACAGACAAGCTCTTATCATGCAAGTGGCTGACCTGCAATGAAAGATGCATGCACAGCCTCGCCAGGTGACTACTGTTAAAGTGAGGGCATTGATTGGAAAAGAATGGGACCCTGCAACTTGGAATGGGGATGTGTGGGAAGATTCTGATGAAACTGAGGACACTGAGTTTGTAAACTCTGATGAACCTTTTTTTTGCCAGAAGAAAGAGCTTTCCCATCCCCAGTAGAGTCAACATCCCCTCCCTGACCCATACTGCCATCAGCCTTTCGACCTTTGTCTGAAGAGATAAACCCTGCACTGCCTGAGGCAACAGTGACTCTCCTGAGGCAGTTGTCAAGCAAGATAATGTTGATTCTCCTGAGGAGCCACCCTCAATACCTCTGTTTGCTTCTAGACCTATAACTAGACTAAAATCCCAGCAGCCCCTAGAGGTGAGGTTGAGAGTGTGACCCATGAGGAGGTGCTCTACACTTGAAAAGAACTGCTTGAGTTCTTCAATTTATATAAACAAAAATCTGGAGAACAGGCATGGGAATGGATTTTAAAGGTGTGGGATAATGATAGAAGGAACATAGAGTTGGATCAGGCTGAATTTATTAATTTGGTCCCACTAAGTAGAAACTCTGCCTTTAATGTTGCAGCTCAGGGAGTTAAAAAATATTCTAATAGTTTATTTGCTTGGTTAGCTGAAATATGGATTAAAAGAGGCCCACTGTGAGTGAGCTGGAAATGCCTGATCTCCCTTGGTTTAACATAAAGGAAGGGATCCAAAGGCTTAGGGAGATTGGGATGGTGGAGTGGATTAGTCACTTTAGACCTACTCATCACAGCTGGGAGGGTCCAGAAGATATACCCTTGACCAATGCCTTGTGAAATAGATTTGTGAGGGCAGCACCTGCATCTTTGAAGAGCTCTGTAATTGCTCTTCTCTGTATGTCAGATCTAATGGTGGTAACCGCAGTCACTCAATTATAAAATTTAAATACAGTGGGAATAATTGGATCCCAAGGTGGCAGGGTCCAAGTTGGCACTCAACCATCAAAGGCACGGTGGGCATAGCTACCATAATGGACAGCAGAAGCAGACCTGCAATCAGAATAATCTGACTTGTGTAGCACTCTGGCATTGGCTAATTAATCACGGTGTTCCTAGAAGTGAAACTGATAGGAAGCCTACTGCATTCCTACTTAATTTATACAAGAAGAAAACTTCTAGGTCGAATGGACAGAAGACTAATTTGAATTATAAAACCAGAGAATCACAGCCCCTCAATCAATTTCCAGACTTGAGCCAGTTTGCAGACCCAGAAGCCTTCGAATGAAGGGGAGGCTGGCTCCTTTTGAGGAAAGACCCCACTACATTACTGACAATTTATGCAGTGAATCTTTCTCCCATTCTTCCCCAAGGAGACCTCCAGCCTTTAACCAGGGTAACTGTGCACTGGGGAAAGGGAAGTGATCAGATATTTCGGGGACTACTGGACATTGGCTCTGAGCTGACATTGATTGCAGGGGACCCAAAACGTCACTGTGGTCCTCCAGTTAAAATAGGGACTTATGGAGGTCAGGTAATTAATGGAGTTTTATCTCAGGTCTGACTTACAGTGAGTCCAGAGGATCCCCGGACTCATCCTGTGGTCATTTCCCCAGTGCCAGAATGCATAATTGGCATAGACATACTTAGCAGCTGTCAGAACCCCAACAACAGGTATATCGCAAATGTTGAATAGGACTCACTTACACTAAAAAATACTCACCATTTATCTGAAATTGAAATTTAACTGAGCCTCATGTGCTTTATCTAATATTCCTACTAACATAGCACTTTAGACTTAGAAAATATTTGTTGTGTGATTTAATTTTCTTTGCTTGGGATTATAGAAGAATGTCTTTTCCAGCTTGCTGATTTTTATTTTTGCCATGGATTTTTAAAAATTCAAATGAATTCCATAACCTGAGCCAAGCTTCTAAAACGTAAGCAGGGAGGTGCTCTCACAGGGAAGGAGAATAGAACCCAGCTCAGTCCAGGTTGCATCCTTTGCTACTGTTTGACATTTGTTTCTTTAGCCCAGGCTTCTCATTTTAGATAAGTAAAGGAGGATCGCAGAGGAAGGTGACTGCAAATCCAGTGTCTTTGCTTTGGATCACGCTGTCTTGGCATATACAGGTGACTCTGCTGTATAAGAATGAGTTATATTCCTAGAGTTAATTTACAAGCTTCATTACAGCACAGAGCACATTGTCCTCTTCAGAAAAAGCTATAACACTAAAGTTAGATTAGTAGGCAATCCAACAAGTTAGCTGAAAAACAAAATACCTGCCATGAAGAAAATTAGGGGGAAAAATAAACTACTTCAAATAAATTATGGGTAAGGTAGGTTTCACTGGACTAGTCTGAAAATGTAATGATCATGGTGTTAGTGAGACAGTGTGGAAACAGGCAAATAAATATTCTCTTTTCTTTTCAGCTTCAGGGATACTAATAAATGGAACTTGGATAGGGAGGAGACTGATTTGGTGGTGAGAGTAGAAAATGCACAGAAAGAATGAGTGAATAAAGAAATGGAGTCTCTGCTAATCTTTCCCAAACACTTAGACAGCTGACAATGTTCCAACATCTTCAGAGTTTTCACCATCCCTCACCTGCCCTGTCACTTCTTTCCCCTATAAAGTTAAAACTGTAAAGAAAGAAAAACTCTCCACATTTAACACTCTCCATTTGACCATTTATCTATTCATTAATACAATAAAGAGTTAAATATGTGGGCCAGGCACTGTACAAGGCACTGGTGACACACAGGTAAACAAGACAGAAACAGTTTCTGCCATCAGGGAACTTCAGGGAGACATACATTAAGAGATGATTACACAAATAATTAATTATAATTGTGATAAGTGATACTCAAAGAAGTACAGTTACTGCAAACACTGGCTACCCAATACAGAATCATCATCATCATCATTTCTTCATTATGCACTTGCTATGTGCTGTACTTTGTGCAAAGTATTGTATATCCCTTTTATCTAAAATTCGCACAAATCTTTTTTTTTTTTTTGAGACGGAGTCTCGCTCTGTCGCCCAGGCTGGACTGCGGACTGCAGTGGCGCAATCTCGGCTCACTGCAAGCTCCGCTTCCCGGGTTCACGCCATTCTCCTGCCTCAGCCTCCCGAGTAGCTGGGACTACAGGCGCCCGCCACCGCGCCCGGCTAATTTTTTGTATTTTTAATAGAGACGGGGTTTCACCTTGTTAGCCAGGATGGTCTCGATCTCCTGACCTCATGATCCACCCGCCTCGGCCTCCCAAAGTGCTGGGATTACAGGCGTGAGCCACCGCGCCCGGCCACAAATCTTGAAAAATAGCAAGGTAGAAATTATCACCATTTTCAAAAGATAACAGATAACCCTTTTTTTCTATTTATAGCTTTGCTTTCAGAGGAGGCCATTGGAAGACCCTTTGTTCTGGGCATCTTGATGCATTTGAGTATGAAAACTTGGAACAAGAACAGAAGAGAGCTAAATTTCTCTGCATAGTAAGAGGGAAAATATTTGTGTTCCTAGGAAACTATCTGGAGGCATATGTGAAGGGTGAAAAAAGCAGATAGAGGTTTCTGGAGAGACATCAAAGGCTGTGAGCCTCCCCACACCAGTCCTTGCCAACCCCAAACCTTCAGTGAAGTTACTGGACACACCAACATGAGTGAGCTCTTTGGTGGTCACCAGTGAGGGGACAGAGTTTCACTTGCAATTTGATAAAGGGGGAAAAGAGAACACAATGTGCATAGATATTAGGGTGAGAGGAATAACAGGTTAGGGGACAGTAACTCCAGTATTCCCAAAGGTGGTGAAAAGGGTTCGAATTGGTTTGAGCCAACTTTATGTGAGCCCTCAAGGGGCTAGGAAGTCCCAGCTGACAACTGGGTTATCCAAATGAGGACATATGGACACAGAGAGGTCCCAGAGCCATGAAAATTACTATATTTGAACCCAAATCTGACTCCAAGGTCTATATTCTTCCCACTTTGCCATGTTCCCTCAGTTTTTGCCAAGACTGAACAAGGGGCCACAATGCAACACTTCTGACCTGTGATTCTTGAAGGAATTAGCTCCAGACTAACCAGAGAACAGGCTGGCCATTCTCACATCAGAGCCCCCAACAACTGTGTACTGCTTTAACACTTCAAGTTTAAAGCACTTTTGCATACATTACCTCATGCATGGAATTTTACTTCTTCTGAATGAAGAACTAAATAAATTGTGCTAAATAAATCTCAAGCTGTTGTCAGTGCTTTTCACTACAAATTCCTCACCCAGCAGTTCCCCCATGGGTATTATCTGTTAAGTGCAGCTTTGCCCAGTGCAGTCACTCAGCTGGGGAGCAAATGCAGAACTTGGATTTGTTGTGCTGCAGACAGGCTTCAAGAGCAACTCGTACATCCTGTAGGCTTCGGAAAGAAAACTGGGGACACAATGTCCTGGTTCAAGCAAATGCCTACATTTATTTTTGGAATTATTCCTTGGAACTGTGGAGAGATGAGTTTTTTCATGCAGAACCAAGGACAAGAAACAGCAAGGTTAAGAAAACACAAATCTTGAAGTCTTAAAGCTCTTCTAGACTTATCTAGTGTGTCCTGGAGGTTTAATCACTGGGTAGAGTAAATCCTCAGCAGGTATAAATAACCTTAGGTTTCTTTCAGATTGTCTGCTTTGGTTGGGGAACTGCCAGATCTACAATGACTATTATTTCTGGTTGCCATTTATGTCTTTCCACCTTGAATTTCCCATCTTCCATCTTTTCTTTGTGTCCTAATTTAGAGTGTGTTTACTTTTGTATCTTTGAGAGTGCCTCGTATGCTGTGGAAAATACTCTTTGAATGCCCAATATGGAATGTGCCCAGCCTCCTTCAGAAGTTTTAAAAATTTGAGTGTTAAATTATTTTAGTTTATTTGAATCCTACATCTGATTTTAAAGTGTGAAAAATATACAACATTTTACCTCAGTCACACACTCAGACGTCCTGTTCTCTTCCTTAGCTTTCCTCAGAGCGGGGTTCTGAAGGAGAGAGCAGCAACCTGCCACCTACAGGAAGGTATTAAAACTTCTAGTTGCCCCTGTGCCATTTCTCACACACAGAAACACAGAATGTCTCTCTCTGTCTCTTGATTGCAGGTAAAGCAGCCATAAGAACTCAAGGAAGACAAAACATTTTAGAGGGGAGGTTTGGCAATGACATTAGACACACTTGAGTTCAAATCTCCTTGCTGCCAGGTACTACCTGCATGTACTTGAGCAAATAACTTGTTTTTCTTACCCTCCATTTCCTTATTTGAAAGTGCACATAATAATTTTCCTTATATAATTCCACGAGGACTGACTGAATAAGATGATTTTGTAAGACATTTGGTATTATACCTATGAGTTCCTGCCATTGACATTGACATCATACTCTCTTTTCAATATTCCCTTTCCTCTTTTTTTTCTTGTGACTTCTCTGGGACTCTCTTCCAGGTAATTGTGGTGGGGCTGCCTGTGTTTTCCTTCAGACATAGAGGTGCACAACTGAAGGGACCCCGGGTGTCAGAATACCCCACCCACTTGGCCATGGTGACCATTCAGGGCTGTACACACACCCCAAGCCAGGCTTTCTCACTTACTTGCTGGGATCTTTGAATTATTAAGAAAAATCTCCTGCTCAGAAAGTGAAGCTGGTGGGGTGTGATTTGGGGGCTACTGGCAGCCATCTTACCTGCTGTTTGGGAAGCCTCTTTCCAGGAGCTAGTGAGAGGCATAAGGTTTGGTTTTGTGTTTGAGTAGGAATCACTGAAGAAAGCTAAGCAGAAACAAGCAAAGCCTTGAAACAGGGAAGAGAACTTGGGGATGCCCTTTGGGCCTCTGGATCTAAATGAGTCTGCAGCCAACTGTACCCAAGTCCTTGTTATTTACATAAGCTGATTCCTCCTTTTTATTTTTTTTTGAGAAAAATACTTTATTTTATAATATTCTTTGAAAAAAGTACTGGAAGGAAATATATAAAGCCCTCAACAGTTTTATCCTGGGATGAGAATAGAAATTTTAGGTGGGGAAATTTTACTTTTCATGTAAAATATTTCTGCATGAAAAATTATTTATTTTATTTTTTTAAATTTTTTAAACTAGTTGAAGTGATATTTCTCAAACCTGCAGCAGGAGGAGCCTATTATAATTCCCTTCTGTTCTCCTATACTGCTTTTCATAAACTAAGAAGTGGGCCTTGTTTTTTGTCCTTTCTTTGTCAAAATCATTTTTGTCCTGATTTCTTAACATATAGAAAAACTCCAATAATTATACAAAAGAAGATAAAAACCATACTATTAACATTGCAGCTGATAGTCTTCTTGCTTCTTCTATACGTAGCTGCATTCACATTGAGTATGCAATTTCAAATTCTCACTTTTAACTTAATATCACAACATTGCGAAAGTAATACGTATCTGCTGAAGAAAATTCAGAAAACATAGGAAAGTAAAGATAGGAAAATTAATCTATTACCCATGGACAGTCATTAAGGATACCTTGCTTTATTTCTATCATTTTTTGCCTTTTCCCCCCCTCCCTCTTAATATTAGGATTAGATAGTAGATGGCATTTTATAAAAAACATATCCTCTTTCACAAAACACTTTTATAAGACATTTTAGGCGCTGAGTGCAGTGGCTCACACCTGTAATCCCAGCATATTGGGAGGCCAAGGTGGGTGGATCACTTGAGGCCAGGACTTTGACACTAGCCTGACCAACATGGTGAAACCCTGTCTCTACTAACAATACAAAAATTAGCCAGGGAAGGTGGCACTTTCCTGTAATCCCAACTACTTCGGAGGCTGAGGCAGGAGAATCGCTTGAACCTGGGAGGTGGAGGTTGCAGTGAGCCAAGATTGAGGCACTGGACTCCAGCCTGGGTGACAAAAGCAAAACTGTCTCTCTCAAAGAAAAAAAAAGGACATTTTAAATGGTTTCCATCATGCAGATGTTCCATAATTTATTTAACTTGTTCTTCATTGTTGGGCATTTAGTTTGTTTTACAGTGAAAATTTGTTTTCACAATACTGTGAATCAATATCCTTGATTCACAAGGATATTATAATACTGGGATCAGTATCCTTGTTTATAAATTCTGGGCCAAAAATATTTCCATTTTAGACATTCCTAAAAGTAAAATTACTAGTCAATGGTCATAAGTATTTTAAGGAAATTAAAAATATTATCAAGCCAAGACAATGGGAAAAAGGCCTTAAAAGCATTTCAGAAGGCTTCAGGACAGTCCTCCCATCACCAGCCCAGGATCACAGTAGGAAAGAATGGGTTTTGGGGCCAGGCCCAGGACCCTGCTGCCCTGTGAAGCCTCAGAAAACTGCTCCCAGCATCCCAGCTGCTAGGGCTCCAGCCTTTGCTTAAAGGGCTTCAGGTACAGCTCAGGCTGCCGCTTCTGAGAGTGCAAACTGCAAGCCTTGGGGGCTTCTACGTTGTGTTGAGCCTGCAGGCACACAGAATGCACAAGTGAAGGAGGCTTGGCAGCTTCCACCTAGATTCCAGAGGATGTATCAGAGGAAAGCCTTGGTGCTTGCCGCAGGGTGGAGCCTCCACAAAGATACTTTCCTAGGGCAGTGCTAAGGGGAAATGTGGGGTTGGAGCCCCACACAGCGTCCTCACCAGGGCACTACCTAGTGGAGCTGTGAGAAGGGGGTTGCTGTCCTTCAGTTGGGAAAATGGTAGAGCCACTGGCAGCTTGCATCCTGAGCCTGGAAAGCCACAGGCACTCAACTCCAATCCAGGAGAGCAGCCACTCGGTGGCAGTCTGCATAGCCATGGAGGTGGAGATGCCCTAAGTGTTGGGAGTCCATCCCTTGCACCAGTGTGCTCTGGTTTCAGGACAAGGAGTGAAGGATTATTTTGGAGCACTAAGGTTTAAGGTCAGCCCTGCTGGGTTTCAGACTTGCATGGGGCCTCTTACTCCTTTCCTCAGGCTGATTTTTCCCTTTTGGAATGTTTACTCAATGCCTGTAGTATTACTGTCGTTGGAAGCAAATAACTTGATTTTTATCTTACAGGCTCATAGGTGGAAGGACTTGCCTTGAGTCTCAGAAGAGACTTTGGACTTTTGAGTGATGCTGGAATGAGGTAAGACTTGGAGGCTATGAGGAAGAGATGACTGTATTTTGCAATGTGAGAAAGACATGAAATTCGGGGGACCAGGGGAAGAATGATAGATTTGGATATTCTGATCCCTCCAAATCTTTCTTTTTATTTTTTTTTAAATTATTATACTTTAAGTTCTGGGGTATATGTGCACAATGTGCAGGTTTGTTACATAGGTATACATGTGCCATGTGGGTTTGCTGCACCTATGAACTCGTCATTTACATTAGGTATTTCTCCTAATGCTATCCCTCCTCCAGCCCCCCACTCCCCGACAGGCTCTGGTGTGTGACGTTCCCTCCCTGTGTCCATGTGTTCTCATTGTTCAACTACCACTTATGAGTGAGAACATGCAGTGTTTGGTTTTCTCTTCTTCTGTTACGTTGCTGAGAATGATGATTTCCAGTTTCATACATGTCCCCGAAAAGGATATGAACTCATCCTTTTTTATGGCTGCATAGTATTCCATGGTGTATATGTGCCACATTTTCTTAATCCAGTCTATCATCGATGGACATTTGGGTTGGTTCCAAGACTTTGCTATTGTGAACAGTGCTGCAATAAACACACGTGTGCATGTGTCTTTATAGTAGAATGATTTATAATCCTTTGGGTATATACCCAGTAATGGGATTGTTGGGTCAAAGGGTATTTCCAGTTCTAGATCCTTGAGGAATCGCCACACTGTCTTCCACAATGGCTGAACTAATTTACAGTCCCACCAACAGTGTAAAAGTGTTCCTATTTCTCCACATTCTCTCCAGCATCTGTTTTTTCCTGACTTTTTAATGATCGCCATTCTAACTGGTGTGAGATAGTATCGTATTGTGGTTTTGATTTGCATTTCTCTAATGACCAGTGATGATGAGCTTTTTTTCATAAGTTTGCTGGCTGCATAAATGTCTTCTTTTGAGAAGTGTCTGTTCATATCCTTTGCCCACTTTTTGATGGGGTTGTTTTTTTTTTTTCTTGTAAATTTGTTTAAGTTCTTTGTAGATTCTAGATATTAGCCCTTTGTCAGATGGATAGATTGCAAAAATTTTCTCCTATTCTGTAGGTTGCCTGTTCACTCTGTTGATAGTTTCTTTTACTGTGCAGAAGCACTTTAGTTTAATTAGATCCCATTTGTCTATTTTGCCTTTTGTTGTCATTGCTTTTGGTGTTTTAGTCATGAAGTCTTTGCCCATGCCTATCTCCTGAATGGTATTGCCTAGGTTTTCTTCTAGGGTTTTTATGGCTTTAGGTCTTAGGTTTAAGTCTTTAATCCATCTTGAGTTAATTTTTGTATAAGGTGTAAAGAAAGGGTCCAGTTTCAGTTTTCTGCATATGACTAGCCAGTTTTTCCAGCACCATTTATTAAATAGGGAATCCTTTCCCCATTGCTTGTTTTTGTCATGTTTATCAAATATCCGATGGTTGTAGATGTGTGGTATTATTTCTGAGGTGTTATTTCTGATCAATGTTCTGTTCCATTGATCTATATATCTGTTTTGGTACCAGTACCATGCTGTTTTGTTTACTGTAGCCTTATAGTATAGTTTGAAGTCAGGTAGTGTTATGCCTCCAGCTTTGTTCTTTTTGCCTAGGATCTGACCCCTCCAAATCTTATGCTGAAATGTGACCTCCAATGTTGGAGGTGGGCCTAGTGGGAAGTGTTTAGGGATAGATCTGTCATGAATGGCTTGGTGTTGTCTTCACTGTAATGAGAGAGTTCTCACTGTATCAATTCACACCAAGAGCTGGTTTAAAAGAGCCTGGCACCTCTCCCCTCTCTTGCCATGTGATATGCTATTTCCCTTTCACCTTGTACCATTATTACAAGCTTCCTGAGGCCCTTGCCAGGAGCAGATGCTGGCATTATGCTTTGTGTACAACCTGCAGAACTGCGAGCCAAATAAACCTGTTTTCTTTATAAATTAAAAACATTAAAAATTATCAAACTGCTGTTCAATAAATTTGTAGTAATTCTCACTTCTACCAACAGTTTATGATAATGCTTAGTAAACACCGCTTTAGTAGCTGCATAGGATTTTTTAGCTATGAAATGACTTTAGCTATTCATTTTCCTGTTATAAGACATTATATCACACTATAAAAGACATTCTGTACATAACTCTTTGTATCCATTTAAGGTTATTGCTTCAGGTGATTTCAAAAATAAAATCTTTTATCAAAGGGCATAATTATTGTCAAGTCATTGATACATACTGATATGCCAAATTGCTTTCCAGAATGATTGTATTAATTTATATTTCACCACCAATAAAGTGTGAGAATGGCTTTCAACTTCACTAACATTACATATTACTACTATTAAAATAAAGCAATAAAAACTGACAATAACATATCTAAGAATATTCACTCATTTGATAGGTGTCACAGTTTGATTTTATTTTGAATGTATTTGATTAAGAGTGAAGTTTAATATTTTTCATAGTTTTTTTTTCTTTCTTTCTTTTCTTTTTTTTTGAGACAGAATCTCGCTCTTGTTGCCTAGGCTGGAGTGCAGTGGCACGATCTTGGCTCACTGCAACCTCTGCCTCCTGGGTTCAAGTAATTCTCCTGTCTCAGCCTCCTGAGTAGCTGGGATTACAGGCACCCGTCACCACGCCCGGCTAATTTTTGTATTTTTGGTGGAGATGGGGTTTTGCCATGCTGGCCAGGCTGGTCTCGAACTCCTGACATCAGGTGATCTACCTGCCTCGGCCTCCCAAATTGCTAGGATTACAGGCCTGAGCCACCGTGCCTGGCCCTATTTTTACTTTTTTTAGTTGTGAACATCTTATGTCCCTTGCCCATTTTATTGCCTTTGTATTCTCCTACATATTTTGCACAAATTATATTTAGGTTATTGACATATGGTCTCACATATTTATTTCAGAGATATACAATATATAAATTATTTCTATTATGTTTCACATAATTTCCTACGATTGGATATTAAACTTTTTTTGACAAATATACCGTCTATGTATAATATATACTCCTTCTCCACACAGGGAGGCACCACTGAACAGTGGTTAAGTACACAGGATGTGGCACTATAGTGTTTAACCTTTTAGGACTGTTGTGAAGATCAACTGATAGATCAGACAGAGTTGCCGATGCTTTGCTTATGGCAAGTTCTTATCATTGTTAGCTATTACTTATACAGTTTCTTTGACTATCATTTAACCTGAAGTTTGGTTAAGAACATTTTTTTTTGAGTTGCAGTAATTTAAAATGTTAATGTTGTCAAATATAATGATTTTCCATGGTGAACTTTTAATTCTTATATTTATAAAGTCCTTTTTCTTTCATGGATCATTTAAAATTCCCATAGACATTTACTCAAAAGGAAAGAAAATATGTATCTGTTGAAACATTTTCACATGAATGTTCATAGTAGCTTTATTCGTAATAGTCAAAAACCAGAAAGAACCTCAATGTTAATCAAAGATGAATGGATAAACAATAAATAAAGTAAGAAAGATGAACACATTGTTGATACACACAATGTAGATAAGTCACAAAACAATTATACTGAGTGAAAGAAACCAGACCAAAAAAGTATGTACTGTCTGATTCCATTTACATAAACTCTAGAAAATGCAAACTAATCTATAGTGACTGAAAATTCATTTGTGGTTGCTTGGGATGGGGGAGGGACAGGTGGGAGGCATTACCAAGGAGCTTGAGGAAATTTTTGGTGGTGATGAATATGTTCACTATCTTGATTCTAAAGATGGCTTAGGATATGTGTGTGTGTGTGTGTGTGTGTGTATGTATATATATATGTCAAAACCTATTAATTTGTACAATTTAAATAGTTTAGTTCATTATCAATTATATCACAATAAAGCTCTTTTAAAATTCCTGTATATTTTCTATTAATCCTTATAATTTGATTTATAGTAAGTATTTAACTCTAATTTACCTGGAATTCATTTTGTAGTATGAATGAAAATATTTTCCTTCCCAGTAGTATTTTACTGCATAATAATAATAATCTTTCCTGTTGCTATGCACAGCCTTGTCTAGCATATATTGATACCTATGCAAGTATTTGTTTATACTCCAGGGTTTGTCTATATTAACACCCTTTTAAATTATAGTTCAACTTAATTGTGATTATAGCTTATAATATATTTAATAGCTAGCAAGTGACATTCTTCTTTATTTTAATATTCCTTTCCTGCCTAACCTTAACCTAATCAAAAGAATCTCAGATCTTAGCATTACTAACAGAAGATAATATTTAAACCCAAAGGATTATTTTAATACAATTTTAAATGAGAAAGGTAATAAATGTTGCAATTTGGACTTTTTTTAAACATTTTAGGAAGGAGTATAAGGAAAGGGGAGCTCAAATAGCTGCAATACTAGCTGAAGTAAGGAGCTTCACTTTAGCCAAACCGGAAAACCCTAATACTGACAATCATATGCCCCGACTTCTTTTCTCCTGCCCAGACTTTAATCACTGGTTCTCACAGAGCATTAGCCAGGGGAAGAGTATTTTTTATGTCTCCGATAGGCAAGGAAGATAACTAAACTCAAGGGCAATGTCAGGTAAGGGAAGGTTTTTAAAGAATACAGACAGTGTGTGGTACAAAGACAAACACATACGTAGGAATATACTTGGGAATTTCATAGGCAAGATAAAATTGTATATTGTTTGGGTGTTGCATGGATATGAGAAGCAGAGTAGTTTTGGGGCTCATGATAATTTCCTTTGATTAGTTTTGCCTAAGTATAAGTTGTCTGCCTTGTTGCCTTCTGGCTTTGTCCAGTTATTTTAAGTCTACTCATTTATATGTTAGAAGCTAGATTATTTTCTTAAGTTAAAAAGAACTGCGTCACGTTTTTGTTTGTTTGTTTTTTTTCATTAGTTTCCCATGTTGGGAGTTGTAATTGCAGAGTATTCCCTTCTACTCCAAAATAAACAACCTTTTAATCCAGTGTGTGAGAATCAGAATGATTGCTCTGGAGGAGTACAAAGAGACAATAATCAAGCAGTTAACACTTATTAAATACCTACTGTGTACATAAACTACCTTGAAAGTATGTTTAAAGGGAGAATTTAATCTGAACAATCTGAGTAAATGTAAGAGTTCTTTATTTGTAATAGCCATTTTCTAAAGGTAAATAGCTATCACTGAGACAATTTTTACTTTTAAAGGTGAAGAGGTGTTGAATGAAGCAGGATGCATTAGTAAACCAGTAAATTAAAATTTGTGCTTTGCTATCAAACCCAGTGCCTCTAGGAAAGTAATTGAGCTTGATTTCCTTCATCCTTATAAAGGAATTGATGGTGTCATCAACCTCCTAGGATTGTGGGAGATTCAAATATAACATAATTGAATATTTTGCAAACAGTAAATCACCATACAAATTTAGTTATTATGGTTGATAAAAGCTTGTTACTTCTCCAGATAACCAACTACACATAACATTTGCAGAGATTATTTCAGACACTCTATGAATCACTAACATTATCAATGTATTCCCTAATAGTTGGAAGAAAACCATCACCATTTAAGCTCATGGAGAAAAAGCCATCACAGATGGGAGTAACACAGCAGAGAACAAACCTCTAGAGAGAGATTCCCCACCCCACATCCCCAGCTCCCACACCACAGAATCAGAGTGGTGACAGTTCTGCTGATCCTTCCACTCTCTCTTCCTTGTCCTCTTATTGGGTGGTCGGCCTGGCACACTTGCCCAGTGACATTACTGGTGAAAACCCTGTGAATTCTCAGGTCACTGATGAAGACAAAGGGAACTATAGGAGCCACCAAAGCAGACGACAACTTCTGATTACTCAGAATCCAGATTTTGCCTTTCCCTTCTCCTCTGTAGTCTCCTGTACCTCTCTAGCTTTCTCACATTTCTTCCTTCCTGAGCCATGGTATTCTCAAAGCTCCTCTGCCTTACCTGTGTCTTAACCCAAACAGCATCATTCCCTGCTGGAAATCCAGTACAACAGAGGCATTGTTCTTTCATTGCCTGTATCTACAATGTTTAAGTATCTTTAATTATGCTTTTATTGACTTTCTTATTTCAGTTAGATTTCAGAGCCAGCTAATTTTCCATACAATTCTTTTTGTACAGAGGATGACAATCAACCCACCCCTACCAGCCCACATTATAGGGAAAGGAGATAAGAACCAAACTTTGAACCTAACTTTGTTCTAGAGTCTGGTTGGGTTCTGCCTGGGTCCACCTGCTTGACTTTGACTTTGTGACCCTTCCACCCCCTCATGACTATGCCTTGGCCAGCCTCTGGCCTGATTCCCTTTTCTGGCTGCCAACCTCGCACTAGCTCCCTTAGGTTATAAAAATATTAGCGCATTTAATTCCTAGTAAGACGGCAATGAACAAATTGACATATTATTCAAATACCAAGCTTGGAAGGGAATTCCATTTGCTCTTATTAGTACCATTAGCAGCAGTCATTCTCTGTCAGAAGGTCAGAGCCATGTAGATGAGTATATAGAACATTTCAATGAGGCCCATTCTTTGAGGTAAAAACTTCAACTGTGCCAGTCAAACTGATTGACAGTATTTGGGTAGAAGAAGAGTTTCTCCAATTTATAAGGGCATGCTCCTAAACAAAGCTTTCTTTACACTTTACATAAGAAAAATCCAGAGCTGCCCTAAAAATCTTGTTACTATTTCTGAGCAGTGTCGGTGTAGAATGACATAAATACCGGAAAGTCTTCTAAATCTTATTACATAATGATAATTGCTAACATTTTTGCAGGTTTACTATATGTCAGGCACTTTGTGAGCACGTTACAAGTATCATCTCTGTACATATTATAAAATTAACATAGATTAAGAGTAGGCAGGATGGCGTAGTAGTTGAGCTGATTAAATAGAGCTCTCTCTGATTAACTGTATGCTGTTTGGGGGATTACTTAACCTCTCGGGCCTTAATTTCTTCATCTGTAAAATAAAGATGGTAAAAGTACCCTGCTCATAGGGTTGTTGTGAGGATTGATGGAGAGATAATAACTACTTATTTTTTTATTTTTTTATTTTTTGAGATGAAGTCTCACTCTGTCACCCAGGCTAGAATGCAGTGGTGCGATCTGGGGTCACTGCAACCTTCACCTCCCTGGTTCAAGTGATTCTCCTGCCTCAGCCTCCTGAGTAGCTGGGACTACAGTAGACCCACACCACCATGCCTGGCTAGTTTTTGTTTTGTTTTTGTATTTTTAGTAGAGACGGGGTTTCGCCATGTTGGTGCCAGACTGGTCTTGAACTCCTGACCTCAGGTGATCCACCCACCTTAGCCTCCCAAAGTACTGGGATTACAGACGTGAGCCACTGCATCCCACCACTACTTACATTTCTTCAGTGATTTCCATGTTCTATGACTGTTCTCCAAAAAAAAAGGGTTAATTGCCTTAAATAGGTTAAACAAAAAGTACTTAGAACAGTATCTGGCACTTAGAAAGTCTTCTATTTTCTTAAATCCGAGAACTCATGGAACTCTCACATGATGTGCTCCTCTCTGTCCTGCTGTATGTTCAGGTTTCCTAGTATCAAGCCACACATGGTCAGCACATTGCCCAAATGGCTGCTATTCTTTCCTCACTCACTCTGGCTTGTAGTTACTGCCAAAGTCCTCCTTACAGTCAGACTAATGCCCATACTCTTCAGTAATACCTTTCTCCTTTCATTTCTTTATGACCAAGACCATACTCCACCTCCTCCACCATTTTTCTGCATTTTCCACCCTTCTTTTTTTGACTGCAGTGATCATAAGGCTTTGGAAGAAATAAAACCTAACGTCTTATTAGAAAACAGTGGGGGCTTTGATGCTGGAATAACAGCTTCTACTGTCTTCCCACCTATAAATGAACCTGGATATACTGCCAAGAGAAAAAAGTCCATCAAAATGGGGTAAAGACTGGAGAAGAATAATGTACCCAAATCATAAATTCAACAGACGATTGCTTTTTTGACCTTTCTAAACGATGCCTAATTATATACTTTTAAAATTCTTGTATTTTTGGAAGAAATAAAAACACTATTTGTCAAAATCAAAGAATGTTAAGATTTTAACGAAAGAGGAAGTCTCATAAATATTAAGTTTCCACCTCAGTTACATTACATCCCCAAACAAAATTGTCATGTGTCATACATTTCAACTACATACATGATGTAGTTGCGCCTACTTCCAAGAGGATGATTTATGTAAGTTGGTCCTGTTTGAAAAACTTGCATATTGTAAGATACGCTCAGTTTCCTTGGCCACAAAAATCCTGCTCCAGCATTGTATGCAGTAATCGACAATTTTCAAGGGGGCTTAAAAGATAAATCAGTTGTTCTCTACCTGACTTATTGTAAAGAGAAGCAACAGACAAAACACCTCTCAAATCTACTCTTTTTAAATTCTACTTTCATCCCCTTAGCTCATAACCTCCCTCATACTTGTTCTGGATTGTAACATTAACTTCTGGACTCATTTCTGTCTACACACTAGTCTATTTTCTGTGCTGCTGCCATTATTACATTTCCAGACATTTCTGATTCTCATCTCTCCCTGGTTTTCCCATACTGTTCTGTTTCTCAAGATCCTCCTTTCCCCAGCTTCCTATTGAACACTGGCCATTTCTTTAAGGTTTATCCCAGTGCTTCCTTCTCCACACAGCATTTTCTCTCCCCTCCTCTGTAATATCTGCTCTGCACCATTTACTCCTTAGGATACTCCAAGGATTTCCTGAATCAAGGAACTCTGCACTACTACTATCTTTTCAATGTCAGTGTCCAACACAAATATATTCAATATAAGGTTTTTTAAAAAAAATAAATGAGAAAATGAATGAGCATTAAAATTCTTAAGCAAACAAAACTACAGACTACTTGAGACCAACACTTCTCTGGAAAATCTTGGACTTGCAGTCACTAGAATCAAAGGATTTCATTGATCTGTATTTCTGTAGATAAAAGGGAAATTGCACAAAGAATACTCACCTTCTTGTCCTATCTATATCATCCGAATTTAGCAGAGGTGCTTGAAATTAACCTCCGATATTAAATAAAAGACCCTATTTGTTGTGCTTAATTCTAGAGTGTCACTGTCTATTAAGATAGCACTAGACACACGTGGCTATTTCAATTACTTAGCATTAAATAAGATTTGAAATCTGTTTCATCAGTCGCACTAGCTACCTTTCAAGTGTTTAATAGCCACATGTGGCTAGTAGTTACTATATTGGACTAAGAAGATATAGAGCATTTCCAGCATCACAGAATTTTGAACAGATTGCTCTGGAGCTCTGCCTCTCCACCACACCTAAATGTAGGTGTGGCCCAGTTATTCAAGCCCAGTTATCCTCTGCCCATCCTTATATGAGCAGAAATTTCTTTAGAATAAATTTCAAAAACTAATAATTGGAATGTATACCCTATTTAAAATATTTTGTTATTTTCTCTCACAGTCAAGGCATTCCAGATTTTACCATTTGGTATTGAATTTCAGTGAAATTATAAAAATCTACCCTTCCCACTTGATATGAGACTTCTTATTTGCAAATCAGCGGTGAAGACAAACACATATACATGGGTAAAGGGATTCACAGACTTTTCTACTCTTTAACATTATTATTTTAATAATTTCATAAATTTGCATATTTATATTAACTCAGCTAGTTAGTAGCATGATTCAGGCATTCCAATTCTTAAGCCAAGACTCTTTTTCTACACCATGTTGCCTATACATGTTCCATCTAAAGAGTTGGGAAGTCAACAGTTAGACCAGCATATAGCCATGTCTATGACTTCTTGCAGCTTTTTTTCTTTCTTTCTTTTAATTGAGATGGAGTTTCACTCTTGTTGCCCAGGCCGGAGTACAATGGTGTGATCTCGGCTCACTGCAACCTCCGCCTCCTGGGTTCAAGCGATTCTCTTGCCTCAGCCTCACAAGTAGCTGGGATTACAGGCGCCTGCCACCACGCCCAGCTAATTTTTTGTATTTTTAGGACAGATGGGGTTTCACTACGTTGGCCAGGCTGGTCTCCAACTCCTGATCTCAGGCGATCCACCCGCCTCGGCCTCCCAAAGTGTTGGGATAACAGGTGTGAGCCACGGTGCCCGGCCGACTTCTTACAGCTTTATAGCTTCTAGAGAGGAAATACGAGCTCATGTGTTTTCTATATTTCTTGGATTTTCTTTTTCAGACTGCTATTGTCTGAAACAACGAAAAACTATGTAAATACGTTAGACTATTTATTTTGTTAGGACATATTCCTAGTAGTAGAACTGTAGGGCCCAAGGATATGCAATTTTTAAAGACTTTGCTACACATTGCCAGCTTGATCAACTCCCCACCTGCACCCAGTGTACACTGCTATATGATAGCAGTGTATATGTGTTCCCATTTTCCAGACTTTTCCTAAACCAGACATTATCTCCCCCTTCCTCCTTTTGCTTTCCCCTTTAAAAAATAGTTGCTAATTATTAAAATGACATGTGTTTAATTTGTAGATATTTTTAAAATTAAAAGGGAAGTGCTTTTTCTTACAGATTTATGAGACCTCATTACATAACATGGATATTCACTTTTTCTCTTTCATATATGTTGCAAATGTTGTTTCTAATTTGCCATTTATCTTTTTAATTTTGTATATAACATATTCTAGAAGGAGTAAGTTTTCATATTACCATTCCTTTATGATTTTTGTCTTTGAGGTCATCCTTTTCTATCATAAGTTCTATATTTTCTTTCACTACTTTCATAGATCCATATTTTATACTGGAATTGCCAATCCATCCAGTATTTTCTTTCATGTCAGGGATGTGTAGAGGTAAGTAATTTTTCTGAGTAAATGTTCCACCAAACAAATCAAAATTAACAGGTTTCAGATATAAAATATTGTTTATTTAAAATAAATAATTAAAAAATTAAAAACAATTAAAATATTGAAATGGTGTCTAGTGAACATTTCATAACATGTGTGTTTGAGAGTGGGGAATTATTATAGTAATACCACTCTAAAATATCCAGCTAATAATACCATGAAGTGAAGACCAGTTAATTGCCCCTTTATATACTAAAAATATAACTAATTGTTCTTTCCTAGAAATGAGTTTGCATTTTTCCTGTCAGATACTGACCCACACATTGTACAATTCTTGATAAGTTTAATCATTTTTTTTTCTATTTTTTATTATTATACTTTAAGTTTTAGGGTACATGTGCACATTGTGCAGGTTAGTTACATATGTATACATGTGCCATGCTGGTGTGCTGCACCCACTAACTCGTCATCTAGCATTAGGTATATCTCCCAATGCTATCCCTCCCCCCTCCCCCCATCCCACAACAGTCCCCAGAGTGTGATATTCCCCTTCCTGTGTCCATGTGATCTCATTGTTCAATTCCCACCTATGAGTGAGAATATGCGGTGTTTGGTTTTTTGTTCTTGCGATAGTTTACTGAGAGTGATGATTTCCAGTTTCATCCATGTCCCTACAAAGGACATGAACTCATTATTTTTTATGGCTGCATAGTATTCCATGGTGTGTATGTGCCACATTTTCTTAATCCAGTCTATCATTGTTGGACGTTTGGCTTGGTTCCAAGTCTTTGCTATCGTGAATAATGCCACAATAAACATACGTGTGCATGTGTCTTTATAGCAGCATGATTTATGGGTGGCTGGGTCAAATGGTATTTCTAGTTCTAGATCCCTGAGGAATCGCCACACTGACTTCCACAATGGTTGAACTAGTTTACAGTCCCACCAACAGTGTAAAAGTGTTCCTATTTCTCCACATCCTCTCCAGCACCTGTTGTTTCCTGACTTTTTAATGATTGCCATTCTAACTGGTGTGAGATGGTATCTCATTGTGGTTTTGATTTGCATTTCTCTGATGGCCAGTGATGGTGAGCATTTTTTCATGTGTTTTTTGGCTGCATAAATGTCTTCTTTTGAGAAGTGTCTGTTCATGTCCTTTGCCCACTTTTTGATGGGGTTGTTTGTTTTTTTTCTTGTAAATTTGTTTGAGTTCATTGTAGATTCTGGATATTAGCCCTTTGTCAGATGAGTAGGTTGCGAAAATTTTCTCCCATTTTGTAGGTTGCCTGTTCACTCTGATGGTAGTTTCTTTTGCTGTGGAGAAGCTCTTTAGTTTAATTAGATCCCATTTGTCAATTTTGTCTTTTGTTGCCATTGCTTTTGGTGTTTTAGACATGAAGTCCTTGCCCATGCCTATGTCCTGAATGGCAATGCCTAGGTTTTCTTCTAGGGTTTTTATGGTGTTAGGTCTAACGTTTAAGTCTTTAATCCATCTTGAATTGATTTTTGTATAAGGTGTAAGGAAGGGATCCAGTTTCAGCTTTCTACATATGGCTAGCCAGTTTTCCCAGCACCATTTATTAAATAGGGAATCCTTTCCCCATTGCTTGTTTTTCTCAGGTTTGTCAAAGATCAGCATTCTTATACACCAACAACAGACAGAGAGCCAAATCATGAGTGAACTCCCATTCACAATTGCTTCAAAGAGAATAAAATACCTAGGAATCCAACTTACAAGGGATGTGAAGGACCTCTTCAAGGAGAACTACAAACCACTGCTCAAGGAAATAAAAGAGGATACAAACATTCCATGCTCATGGGTAGGAAGAATCAATATCGTGGAAATGGCCATACTGCCCAAGGTAATTTACAGATTCAATGCCATCCCCATCAAGCTACCAATGCCTTTCTTCACAGAATTGGAAAAAACTACTTTAAAGTTCATATGGAACCAAAAAAGAGCCCGCATCGCCAAGTCAATCCTAAGCCAAAAGAACAAAGCTGGAGGCATCACACTACCTGACTTCAAACTATACTACAAGGCTACAGTAACCAAAACAGCATGGTACTGGTACCAAAACAGAGATATAGATCAATGGAACAGAACAGAGCCCTCAGAAATAACGCTGCATATCTAAGTTTAATCATTTTTGATGACAGCCTCTATCGCTTATTGAACAAAACCAAGATATTTTATAATAAAGTCTGATAATAACATACCAAGCACCTCTATTCCTAGTGACTTATAAATGCTATTAACATAATTAATTAAATTTGAGGGTTAATTTCTGAGAATCATACTACCCATTAGTAATTTCCACTTTCCTTCTAAGAGCATTGGCCTTTTACTACACAAAGAGGCAAGAGCTTTCTAATCTATCTTATTCTCCAAATTAATCATTATTGTCGTTATCATTATCATCATGATCATGGTACCATTACTTTCTTTTTCATTTGAAAAGTCTTAGATTTCTAAAAAAAAAATCCAATTCTTTTCATGTCAAAAATTACATAGTGGTCAATAATAAAATTCACCTTAATAAAATCGGAGGTTAAAAAATAACTCCTAAAAATGGAGTATCTAGATGATATTGAGTCATCATTCATTGGCTTGATCTTCATCTATTTTAGAAATATTTTCTTGGAATTTAAATATCATTAATTTTTTAGCAGAGGCTATACTATTTTACTCAATATGGTTGTTTTTTAACATGTTAAAAAACTGTTAAATATCTGTCTCCTTAGTAGAGGTAAATGTTTGCAGATAATTATCTATTGGTCTATGACTCTAGGCAGCTCTAGAGATTAAAGCTAAAATGTTAACAAACACTACAAATTATTCAAAATTAACAAGAAAGCATAATTTAAACAAGAGTTGAAACAAATACTGTACAATTAAAACATCCTGGCAAAATTTACAGTTTAAAGCAAGTACATCAAAAGTCAATTTTGCTTCTTAAGAATGAAAATACCAAAACAACTATAAAAGAATCTTCCATCTTGTGATCTCTGTTAAAATTATTTCAGAAGTTTTTGTGTACATATGGTCTAATGTCAGATGAATAAAGATCACAGAAATTTGGGCATATCTTGGTTTTTACACACTTGTAGCTCTAATATCTAAGCTGGCTGGTAGCCCATAACTACAAAGACTGAGACAACCTCACTGTAGATTTTTTTTCATTTTATTTAATAGAAAGGAACTATCTATACTTTATCATGTATTTTAAAGATGGAATAGTGAAATAAAAATACTTTTTAGTAATTTCCCTCATCCATACTACTCTCTTCTCTGACAGATACAGATTTAACCCTTTCCAGTACCGGCGGGAAAGAAAAATGCTTGGGTAAGAGATCATTTACACTTTTATCTTTACCTTTTGTATATCTTTTCATTTTTTTGTCTCTCTCTGTGTCTCTGTCTTGCTTCTTCTTTCCCTCTTTTATTTTTCTTTTAATAAAACATAACACTTTCTACCTCAGATATTGTCAGTTTCAATAATTTCATACTTTAGAATAGTTTACCAGGTACCATCTTTCACTGATTTTTAGAAACTCCCTATTCTCTAGTAGTAACAACTTATGTTTATGAAAATATCTCATGTTTTGAAAGACATGGTCATAGCTCATTTGTACTCAAACAACAAAGGGAAAAAGAAAGGAATAAATTCAGATACAAGCATGAACATTTACAATATTAGATGCTATTATAGTACTTTTGATATCTGTCATCATGGAAACAGTTCTCTTTATTTGAAATCATGGCAAATAATTTTTTTGAATAATGATTATAATTCCTTGCTTAAACTTAGAAAATGGCTTGGACATATGGAAACTAGAGAGATCAAGGAAATAGCGACGAAAATCACAGAGCATAAATAAATTTAATAAAATCTAAGTTTTCCTTTTGTAAGAAAGCATGCTGTATGAACAAACTTGGGAAAATTTATTGGCTTTTATCCTAATTAGTGCCAATTAAGGGCACATAATTGATTTTAGTTCACTAAGAAAGTATTTTTCAAAAAGATTTTCCTATATCTGCACTTTTTCAGGTGGACAGTGAATACACTAGAATAACAGTAGGGCTTTGCTACTATTTAATTAGGTTTTATTTCTAAAAGCTGCTAAGACAGCTTTGTTCTAAGAGGAAGGAAAGAAGTTGCATTAAGTAAACCCCTGGCTAAAATTAGAGTAAATCCTAATATCTTATGAGAAAGTCAAACATCAAACATCAAACATCAGTAAAAGCCATGAAAAAGTAATTAAAATAAGTTATTATTAAAGAAATTGTTCTCCTTTAACTTGCTCTGTGTGTACCAAAGCCTCCCATTTTGAAACAAGCTGCCAGGGTGATATGTAAACAACGCATGAGAAGGCGTCTGCGCTCTGGGAATTGATGCTCCACACAGCCACACTGAATTGTTTACATTCAGTTCCTACCAGCCTCTAAGCAAAAGAGTTCATTTTGCACTCACCCATGTTGTATTTACTTCTATTTTTAAATCCTGTATCACACATACAGCCACAATGCCTAAAAGATTAGAATGCTAATAGAAATAATAGATGTTTTAAAAAATATAGATAAAACCGGACTATACATGTTAGATGAGGCTCGCAATAATATGATGAAAGAAAAACAAAAGCTCACATACAATAAACACACTAGATAACTTTGCTGGAAAACTTTGTCCTACTGCTTAATTTAGTAGAAGAGACAAGTAGCTTTGGACAAATGCCACTAATAAGGTGTCCTCTAAGAAAAGCGGACCATTTTCAAAAAACAAAACAAGAAAACACTTTGTTCAGGTCTACGCTGATTTGAAGACACCAGTTATTGCATTCTTATTACTTCCTTTGCAGTTTTCTTTCTTTGACTTACACACACACACACACACACACACACTCCCACACACACACACTGCCATAAAACTATAACATTTCACAACATCTTAGACTTTCAAATTAAAAACAGCTGAAACCGGAGGTGGAGGAGCTAGGAGGGTGGGCAGGAGAAATTTATCGGGTGCCCATGTGGGGGTGGGGGTGGGGGCGACAGTGAAATTCCACCCAGCAAGTTATGCCACTGCGACAGAAGTCAGAGAGTTCAGTTTCATAGATTCAATTGTACCTTACCTGGTTTTGTAGTTAAATGCACCAACATGCCCCTTAATTCTTCCTCTGAAGTACTACATATGCTGAAAACTATAGTATTTGACCTTACACATTTCCAAACAAACTCCAAAGTAACCTTTAACTTCAATAAAAAGCTGTGTTCATTCTTCCCCTTGTGCTCAACACACAGCAATCTAATACACCTCATCATGTGGTCCGTTACCATGGTAGCAATGAATCCAGCTGCTGAAATACAAAAGACTGACAAAAAGTTGCTTTTTTCCCCTCCACCCACCCTGACAAAGTCAGATTTTTTTTTCTGTATGACAAGTCTAATTTGAATATGCTTCTCTTGCTGACTCAACTTCATGAACAAGAAAAAAATAACAGAAGTATAAGAATAAAAGGTTTCCCAACTAACTAATGAAATATCTCTATGCATTTTAAGTCACCATTAATCTTTTGAAATACTGATCATTATCTACTACATCAGCCAACTAAATATTTTTAAATGTCAGTTACTAACTCAATAGGAAATGCAGCAATAATCCCACAGCTCCTTTAGAAACATTAAAAAATGCAGTAATGTATTCAGTAAACACAGATGCTGAAAACACTACATCAGTGTATGAAGGGCTAGTTTCAAAGTGCTTTTTTTCTAGAGCAAACTTCTAATCACAGCTTAGATGTGGGAGGTAAAATTCTTCATTTTCTTTTCATCAAAACCCTGTGTTTAACTGTTATTTAAACAGATTTCAGTTCTTTTAAAATTTATCATTTAAATTTAAAGCAGGCAACACAGCCTGCTGGAATCGATCAGGCTATATTTGCTGAGGTGGGGAGGGCTCTATATTAAGAGCAGCAGTCTTGGATTTGAAACGATACAAACTCTGAGCAATCCTGGGACTCCCCAAACCAATGGCTATGTAGTTAGGATTTAAGGAATCACCTTCAGCGCATTACCAGTCCTTTAGGGAAAAGCTGAAGGAGTCCCAGGTGACTGGAGCTTCCCCGCTTGCCAGCATGTCAGCATGGTCCTTCCTCCCACCATGGTACATTAATCAGCCAGTGGGTGCCCCCGTCCTCCAGGGATGGCTACTTCATCCCTCAGGCCTCGCATAATCACTCTGCTCTTGCACAACCTTCCTTATTTCCCAAACTTAGCTTACATTTCACAATAATTTGTTTGCATATCTATCTTCTCTCTTTAGAGATGGACTCCCAGAGGAACAGGAACATTGTCTTACTCATCTTTCTCTACCAAGTAACCATCAAAAGACTTGGCACTAGGTAGGGCTACTTCTTCAATGGATAAAGATGGCATCTGAAAGCTTTCCCTCAACTCCTCCAGGACTGTCTTCAGAGCATGGCTTGCTGTGGTTAAACCCTTCAGAGATCTGCACAGAATTTTTCTTAGTACATCACATCACAAAGAGAGGCAAGGCAGAGGAGTTCTTAAGAAGAGCAATTGTGGAATCAAGCAGATGCGGATTTGAAATCTGGCTCTAGCCCATACTACTTTTGTGATCTTGGATAGGTTACTTAACCTCTCTAACCCTCAGTTTACTCTTCTGTAAAATTCCTACTTTAACAAGGAATGGAAATGGATTAAATGAGATAGTCCAAGGGAAGCACCAAGCTTGAAGCATACTAAATGCTCAATAAATTCTGGCTAGTATTATTTAGTCAATATGTGATTTTTGAACAAGAGGGACCATGAGAAAGCTGACTGGCACGTGACTTCCCTTTGCTGAATAAACTGTCATTTTCAACAAGATGTGCATTAACAATCCTATGTTTCCTAACATAGGTTTACATAACAACACAGCATAAATATAGAGACCTTTTTAGGCAAAGAGCAAGGGCTGCTTGCTCCAACCTACAAACCAGCTAGGAGCAACTGATCAGTCAGAAGGTTAAGCATATTTCTAGTATGAAATGGACTGTGGGAAGAATGTTAAACATGGTAGTTAATTTTTTTCATCTTTAAATATGGAAGAAAAACACAAGTACAGCAGTTCATTGTGGTATTCATTTTGGATTCTTAAAAAATGGTCTATATGTTATTTGTTAATGATACTTTCTCAAATTAAGATGAACTGTAAAGAATCTTCATCATAAAGGGCTTTAAAATATAAATTATATACATAGATTACATTTCTAGTAATTAACCAATATTGTGTCAATAGAAGCCTTTACAAGGTCACCTTGATCTCTAACAAGTACTGTAAACTGCTCACCAGTGTAGACTTTTAGCTGCTTCTCTCCATCGTAATCAAATTCAGGAAATTACCTGACACCAAAGCCAATGGTATAGGAAAATTAGCATTAAAATCCCTTTGAAGAATATGGTACAAAGAAGCAGCCAGGGGTTAAAAAAGCCTGTGGTAGAAAAAAACAATTTTATTTTTCATTGCAGGAAGTTACCAGAAAGAATAAAGTGAATGTTGCACATTGCAAGATTTCTCTATCATTAAAAAGTAAGTAAGAAAGAAAAGCCCCACAACAAATCAGTTGGGATGATTAAAATAGCTTTGGCACTGCTCCAACCTTGAAAAATCCTTCAGCGCGGTGACTCATGATGATCCAATCCAAAAAAATGTGTGAGGCCGACCAGGCAAAAAGGCAAGGAGCAGCTACACCGGAAAATTAGCACTCCCTAATCCTCTTCAAAACAGTTGATGAAGGAGAGACTATTTGAATAATTTGAACCCCAATTTGAATAATTCATACCTATTCTCATGTGTGGCTGGCTGAATAGAGACTCTCACTGACTGCATTCATTTCATCAGGAGTGTTTACCTTGTACATTTTTTTCCCCTGGAGATTGGTTATGTGGCCATTACACGTATCTAATTGTTTTTCATTTTGTAAATGTAAGAGCTTATCATTTATCTAGTTAAGGTACACTGTTACTAGAGCATTTAATATGATTGATTGCCAAACAGAAGGTGCATCCTTTGTCAGATGTTAAAGTGACTGTTGATTCTTTAACCCCTAGGGAATACGACGCCAGTATATTTGGTTTCACAAAGTTTTAAATCCCCTTTTGCAAATGTTAAAATTAAACTTCCCCCTCATGTGAACAAAATATGCAACATAATCTGTGCTCTTGTGACCCACTTAATTTCATATGAAGAATTCAATCACTTAGAAAAAGTTTTTGAGACATAGGTAATGATGCTTCAGAAGGTACCCCAGGAAGTCAATTTGCCAAATCCTAGTCCCATAGAAGCAGGAGGGAGCTTCAAAGTTATATGCTTCACTGCCCTCTCTTCAGATGTGAGAGCACCTAATTTCCTACAAACTCAAGGTAACAACATGGGCTCAGAAGTCACGCGCTTAAATTAAGCAACATGGCTGCAAAAAACGTTGATGGCCAATGTTAATGAAATTAAAACAAGCAAAACAATTTGAACCTCTGAAAATGCAATTTTCACATCATAGTTAAAAATTATTATTTATTTTTTCATACCACAAAGTGCTTTATTGTTAGGGCACTGGTTTAAATTAAAAAAGAAAGTGTGTTGACAGCAACAAAAAAAGATTGTGATCTACTGAACAATTTTTGCAAGCACATTGTTTCTTGGGCCACTTTGAGCAGCTGACCTAAAAAATATTAATCGGATTAGTATCTATTCTGCTCATAAAAATTTCTTATGAAAGAACAAGTCTGTTGCAAGCCATCTCAATTTATACAATTTAATATCAAGATATTCTATTTTACCCTTAAGATATTTCAAACATGCACTTTTCCTTTGAATTGTAACAATGGGGCTATAAATAATAAGGATTTCTTTATGTTTTTCTTCTGTGAGTACATCACAGAAAATATCCGTTTTTAAATAACACTATGAAATTGATGGCTCCATATCTTACAGATAACCTATTGTGAACTCTGAATCATTTTGCCATATCATTTTTGGAAATTTATCCTCAAGCCTCTGTTTTTGTATTTTTTCATGTGTTTAAAAATTATAATTATATACTTATATTCTGAATGTATTCTTAGTGAAAAATACGTTGGTTTTTAAACTTAATAATAAAAACTTGTAACTTTCCATGTTCTCATGAAAAGATAATGTTACATGTCCATTGTAGAGAAGTTGAAAAATACAGAAAACATTTGTGAAATAATATTAAAAGCACTTATAATTCAACTATCAGAAATAACAAGTATCAACATTTTGATGTATTTCTTCATACATTAAAAATTCATGGCTGGGAGCGGTGGCTCATGCCTGTAATCCCAGCACTTTGGGAGGCCGAGGCGAGTGGATCACCTGAGGTCGGGAGTTCAAGACCAGCCTGACCAACATGGAAGAACCCCGTCTCTGCTAAAAATACAAAATTAGCTGGGCATGGTGGCGTATTGCCTGTAATCCCAGCTACTTGGAAGGCTGAGGCAGGAGAATCGCTTGTACCTGGGAGGCGGAGGTTGCGGTGAGCTGAGATCACGCCACTACACTCTAGCCTGGGAAACAAGAGCAAAACTCCATCTCGAAAAAAAAATTCAGAATAATTTTGAATATTGCCTTTTCACTGAAAGACAGACATGTAAAATAAGCACACTATGGTATTATACATTCTTTGAAAATACCTTTTAATAGTGGCATAAAATTTTAACATTCGTATATATCAGAATTTATTTAACTATCCCTTACTGCTAATATATGTTTAGTCTTTTCCAGGTTTCTAATTATAAGCAATATATCTTTGTATATAAATTTTTGGTTATACCTTGGGTTATTTCCTTAGAATAGATTCCTGGAAGTGGAGGGAGATTACTGAGTTTGAGTTAGAAAGTCTAAGAACAAAATTTAAGAATTGGCAGAATCAATACTCATAATTTAGTATTATACCTCATTTTATTGATTTTTATTTATGAGGAATCTGAGGCTTAAAGAGGTGAAATAACTTGCTTAAAGTTCCAGCATGAAATTACTCTAGTGCTAGAAAGGAAACAGAGTTCTTTGTGAGTCCACTTTGCTTTTTGTAATTTTACCATGCTGATTCTAAATGGCAACTCATCTCTGAGGGCTTCCCTCTCAGTTCCAGTTTGATGTCATCTGTGAAACCCCATGAATGTGTTCTGGAGTCCAAGTCAGGAATGGTAGTTACTTTGAGGTGGGTGATGCTGTTTTGTTTGTTTGCTTTTTATTTTTTTTTTATCAGGGACAACCCACACGGCAGTATATCTAAAGGCACCTTCTATTGGTGGCAAGACAGAATTGATACTGAGGAGTAAATATTCTCCCAGATCAAAATCTGTTCTGTGGGAAACAAAATGGAAAAATTCCAAAAGAGCTGAAGGGTCAGGGTGCTCATCAAGTTAGTGAGCTGAGATTGATATAAAATTATTATGGCTCTTTTATGGCCTCTGAGTTCTTTTATGGCCTTTTAGTACGTTGGGGTAGAAGAAAATCCATGTGCTTTGAGTGGAAGACTGTCAGGTAACTCAATAAGTACCTGTCTGGTCGCTCTCTGTGACATTCCCATATCCTGTAAACCCAGGTGTGTTTGCACAGCCATGACATCTCTATTTGATGGATATATTCTCTCTCAGCTAAAGGGAAAAGGGAAGGACATTTCTGAAAATTAAGTCTACCTGTGAAGTCAAGAAAACAGGCAAATTCCTGAGATCTCACTTTTAAAAGAATTCATTTTCTTAGTCTGGATACAAAGATTTAGAGATTATTGTTTCTTAGTTTCTTCTGTGTGGCTTATTCTGAAATGAGATGTACTGATTCAGTACCTTTGAATTAAGTGCTTTCTAAAAACAGTTAATGAACTAGGTGTAGTCAAAGAAATATAAATGGCCTACAATCTAGATGGGGAGATAAGAACATGGAAAAAGGAAATACTAACTGTAGCTATAACAATATATGAGAAGGAATATGACCAACTGATTTGAGAGTAGACAGAGAATTTAATTAGGTCAGTTTAGGCAGAATGTTAAGGAGGGGAAAAATCACCCAGTCAGTGTCCCCTGAGTTTAGAAAGCATTTGTTTGGGGGATATTAGGTGTATTTTCCCAGATTCTTTTACTTTGTATTCAGGGACTTGGAATACATCAGCACAGTACACATTCTAAAGCTCTATGGAGAAATGCCTGATGTACTCTAAAAGCATATTCAGTGACCAAGATGAGATGTAGGAGTGACAGAGTGACTCCACTTTCTCCCTTCCTTCCTTTGTAAGGCTCCCTGGGGAAAGGACAAGTAATTATGTAGTCAGTGGGCAAGGGGAGGGTGAACTATAACTACATATCAAGTAATATGTGTGTATGCATCATAGATAATGGGATGGAGAGAACTGGGAAGCAAATGCGATGTCATGTACCCTGTAGACACACAAAGTTAATTATTGATGACATTATGATAAAAAAAGAATATGAGAAAATAAAGCAAGTTAGAAAAAATTAAGGGAAGACTGTAGAATAAATTATTATGGTAAAACAAAGATTAAGAAACAGTTTGAAAAGGATATAAGGTGATTTGGGGGAAAGAAAAAGAGAAGCATATGTGGTTCAAGAAAACACATAGCAAAATTCCCAAGAAGGGGAGAATAGAAAAGAAGGAAATACTGAAGAAATGCACACTATTGTGGAAATTGTTTGACTAAACTGAGACAAGCAACAAACGAATATTTGGAATTTCATTCTATACACTTAAATGAATTCCATTATTGGAATGAATAAAAAAGGTCCATCTAGTAATTGAACAAATTTCATATAAATTGACCCAAAATATAAAGATAACAGGCACTTTGAACACTTCTGGGTGTCTGTGGTGGCAAATACTCTGCCAGCAAGGACTGTACATCTGATATTTCAGAGATCCCTGGAGTCAATCTGGGAGGCATGCTCCTTGTTCCACACTGGTCAGTTCTCCATCAGGCCACTGCATTCTGTTTGGAGCCTCATAGTGACATGTGAAAGGGAGAAACTGGAAAAGGTAAGATGGTGAACAATAAACAGGAAGGAAAGTGGAAGAGAAGCCTGTGAGGGAGGCACTTGACCATTTGCAAGTATATCCCAGTGAAAATAATGGTGAATAGATGTTCTTCGTTTTTTACTGAAGCTACCATAGTACGTTTTTGCCAGGCGAGACATTAGGAAGAACCTCCTAATACAGCACCAAAATTCTGGCTTATAAGTATACAAGTTAGGAAGACATTAACATTCTATATTATTCATCAAGGACGAATTTTCAAAGGATATTAGCCACTTATATTTGTAGTACATGTAGGAACGCTCTACATCCCAGTGATGACCAGTTTTGTATTTAAATTCTTCTATACATACATACAGAGCATAGAGAAACCCGACAATCCACATTCAATCCTGCGGTTGAGCTTTCCTAACCATACTGTTATACCTGTAGCAACCATATGTAAAGAATGAACATAAAGACTATTTTATCTGTTTCAGACTTTATGACATCCTCAGTACACACTGCAGACCAATTAAACAATAAAAGTTAGCAAAAATATTTTCTAATCCTTTATAATCCCAACAACCACAGTCAACATCTTTATAGTTACCATTTCCTATCTGTCTCTATGTAAATATGCAGGTTGGGTAAAATGAATTGTTACCTTTAAAACTGTCTATTTTCCAAGATTCTAAGGAAGGCTACAGAGTTCATGGCTTTATGATTGCTCTTTTTTTTGGAATAAATTTTAATAGGTGTATTGCTTATATATAGCTTAGTCTGGAAGACAGAGGTGGAGGAAAAAGAAATTAAGCCACTTTATGTAAAAGAGAAAAAAATGCTGTGTTTATTATGGGTGATATAGGTGGAAAATTACAAGTTATTAATTGGAATGGGGAAGGGACTAGGGGCTAGATCAAGGGAGAGAATAGGTGCTGAGGTTCTGGACGTGGGGATAAGGTCCAGGTCAAAGCAAACGCCTTCCTGTGGGGGAAGCAAGTTCTAAAAACGGTGGCCCAAGAAGAAACGCCAATGGATTCTATTATTAGGATGAATAAGAAAGGCCAATCTAGCAGTTGTCTTATGAAGGGCAAGACTTACAGTTTAATACTTATGCTGAAGACTAATTTTAATGATTTCTGACTTGTATCGTCTCTGTTATTGTGAAGATTTTAGGAAAGCTTCGGGAGCTGGCCGCAGCTTCACGTGATAATTTAGTCTGTGTCCATGCTTGGAATGGGCTATGAGGATAGAATGTCACATCTGAGGTGATTTGGTGGTATCTCTGACCTTTCTGAGAAAGTGACATTTGAGATGACACCTGTGAAAAAGGAGGCGAGGGATTTCAGGCAAAGGGAGACCCGAGTCCGTGAGTAGGAGGAAGCCTGGTGTGATGGAGGAATGCAGGAACAGCAGTGTGGCTGGAGCACTGTGCAGATGGGGACAGGGTCACACAGGGACCAGGACTTTGAAGCCCATGTTAGGGATTCTGAAATTTATTCTCAGGGCAGCACAAAGCTTCTGAAGAATTTCAATGATAATAGTGATAAAACACAACTTTTGTTTTTAAAATAACACTCTGTCTATGGTGTGAAGAGTGGATGGGACAGAGGAAAGGGTGGATAGTGAAACGAGTTTGGAGGCTGACTGATGATGCTGGACTGGATGCTGACAATGGGGACAATGACAAGCGACACATTTGAAACATATTTTGAAGGTAGAATGGACAGGGATCAGTCACAGATTGAATGTGGGAAAACGAGTGAGAATAAAGTATTTAAACAACCTCCCAGCATTCTGAGATAAATGGAGATGCCATTTACTTTAATGCAGAAGCTGGCTTGGTGCAGGAATGCGCTGAGGGAATGTAATGAGGGGAGAGGTGTGTGCCAGGAACAGTTTTGAATTTGAGATGTCACATAGGCTGTGTCTGTATTAACCTGAAGCTCTGAAAATAGGGCTTGGATGCAGATACACATGTGGAAGTTGTAGGTAGAGAGGAATTTTTTTTTAAGTCCTGGGAAGAGAAGAGACTGCACACATCGAGATCATGCCTAGGATGCTGCCCCAGCTCAGGGAGACCTAGGAAGCAGGAGAAACACCATGTGAGCGTGCTTCTATGGACTTGAAAACAAGGGAATTTTTCAGGAAGAAACAGGTGATTCTTGAGTTGAAAGCTACTGAGAAGTTGAGTAAGATGAGAATGGGAAAAACATCCACTGGCTTTGGAATATGGAGATTACAGTGACTTAACAAGAACCTTTTTTGGGGGAATGTTGAGGAACAGGAGAAGGATAGAGGTCAAGGAAGTGGAGTCAGCCTGTGTAGACAACTTTTTGTGTTTTTAGAAACTTTAATTTGTACGAGAGCAAATGTAGGGCAGCAATTGAAAGGAAATATGAAGTCAGGGAAAGATTTCTAAATATAGGAGACTCTTAAAAATATTTACCTGCTGAGTGGTCCACTACAGGCAGAGAGACGGAGCATGTGAGAGAGAAAATGGCTGGTTGAATGCACTCAGTCCTTAAGAGGGTGAAAGGAGATAGGATACAGAGTGTATGTGGCAAGAAACTGCCTTTCCTGCGACACTAGGGAAAAAGGAGTTGAAGGCTGCAGATGATGGTATACTTGCATGTTTGGAAACCTAAGGAAGAGGGAGTCTATCTAATGGCTTTTATGTTTTCAATGAAGTAAGAAGCAAGGTTGGTAGCTCAGACACGGAGTGGGAGAAGAAGCATGATGCAAATGGGAAAGTGATGAACCAGTCACCATGCAGAGGAGGAGTGTGAGCTGACTATAGAAATAGTAGGATAGACATGGAGTGCTGCAAGCACACCTGAAGTGCTTATTATGAGCCTAGTAGGATTTCAGCATGGTCTGCTGTGTGGTTTTCTGCAACAAAGCTCAGCTACATAGACACAAGTAATAGTAAATCAGGTGAGTGAGTTCACTAATGCCTGGTGAATGTGATGGCAGGACAGGAGGTAGGGACTTGAAGGTATATAAAAGGAAAGCTTGTACAAGGGATAAACTATGTAATAGAAGCAAGTAAGGAAGAAAATAAAGACAGGAGGAGTCTGATAGTGAGAAAGAATGAGGCCCAAAAGACCCTTTAATGAACACAAAGAATCACAAATGTGAGATATCAGAGCAAAAGAGCTGGAAGTGGAGCATGTGGTATTTGGAGACAGAAGTATCTTATTTTGATTGTGGAAGTGGTTAATTTCCTGAAGGTAACCAGCTCTAGTGGTCAAGCAAGTGGATGGCTGAGGTCAAATGGAGGAATATTTTTCTGGATATGATGAGGGTATTGATTGGGTCATCCATATCATAGGTATCCTGCAGCAATCAAGATTGAAAATAAGAGTTGGAGTAGGAATGTTTATGTGACCTAAGGAAAGCCAATTAGAGTTCTATGGTGGTCAAAGTTAAGCTCTTTTCTCTGTGATCTATAGTTGGGTAGATTGTTTATGCTTGGAGGTCTGCTGATTTTCTTCATCACTGCATAGATAGAATCTCCTTAACTATTAATTGAACGCCAGAGAGAAATGGTGCTGAGAAAGGCGGAAAGAGACAGGGTCCTGAGTATAACCTTTGAACTTTTGGATCTGTCCTTGTCTAAAGTGCAACTGTCTCTTTTTTGTTAAGCTAGCCAAGTTTTTTTTTGTTTTGTTTTGCTTTGCTTTTTGTTGCTTGAAAATACAAAGCATAGACTAATATGGATGGGTCTGTTTCACCAAAAAGAAATATATAGAAATGCAACAGATTTATTAGTTACTTACCTAATAACCATTCTCCCCCTTTTCTTTGCTGGTAAAATGCTGAATTATTTGTTGTCTGTGCCTCCACCAAAGTCTCAGGGAAGGGTTTAAGTCAATCACTGCGAATGCAGTTCCCTTGCCAGGCTTGTCAGCAAGGGAAAGTCTGCGGGGCATTGTGTATTTGAGTTGTGTGACAGTGAATTTTATGTGTCAACCTGACTGGGTCACCAGGTGCACAGATATTTGGTCAAACATTATTCTGGGTGTATTTGCAAGGGTATTTCTGGATGAGATTAATATTTGAATTGGTAGACTGAGTAAAACAGATTGCCATCCCCAGTGTGAGTGGGCCTAATCCAATCTGTTAAAATTACAGTGTCTGAATAAAACAAAAGGCTGAGCAAGAGAGTGTGTGCTTTTTCTGCATTATGGTCTTTGAGCTGGGGCACTGGTCTTCTCTTGCTTTTGGATTCAGCCTGGAACTTAGGACATCAGCATTCCTGGTTTCCAGGCCTTTGAACTGCATACCTGGAGACTTCTCAGCCTCCATAATCACATGAACCCATTCCTTATAATACATGGTTTTATAGATGTGTGTGTGTGTGTGTGTGCACATGTGAGTACATATTGGTTCTGTTTCTCTGGACAACCCTGACTAATACAAGGAGTGTCCCTCAAAAATTCATATCTCAAATGCATATTATTATCTCCTTTAGAAATAAAGTCTTTTCAGATATAATCAGTTAAGGATCACAATGAGATCATACTAGATTATGGTGAGCCCTAAATCCAATGACTGTTGTGATGATTAGTATTGAGTGTCAATGTGATTGGATTGAAGGATGCAAAGTATTGTTCCTGGGTGAGTGTGTTGCCAAAGGAGATTAACATTTGAGCCAGTGGACTGGGAATGGCAGACCTACCCTCAATCTGGGTGTGCACAATCTAATCAGCTGCCAGCATGGCCAGAATAAAAGCAGGCAAAAGAACGTGGAAAGATTAGACTGTTTTAGTCTTCTGGCCTACATCTTTCTCCCATGCTAGATGCTTCCTGACCTCAAACATCGGACTCCAAGTTCTTCAGCTTTGTTCCTTGTTCCTCAGCTTGCAGACAGCCTATTGTGGGACCTTACCTTGTGATCGTGTGAGTCAATACTCCTTAATAAACTCTCCTTTATATGTACATCTATCCTATTAGTTGTGTATCTTTGGAGAACCATAAGACAACTAGTATCTGTATAAGAAGAGGAGAGAATGTAAAAAGAGACATACAAACGGGGGAAGCCATGTGAAGACTGAAGCAGGGATTGCAGTGATGCAGCTGCAAGCCAAGGAATGCCAGGACTACTGGAACCCACAGAAGCTAGGAAGAGGCAAGGGGGGATTCTTCCGCAGAACCTTCATAGGGAGAATGGCCCTGCCAGCACCTCAATTTCAGACTTTTTGCCTACAAAGCTATGACAGAAAAAATTTCTATTGTTTGAAGCCACTAAGCTTTGTGGTAATTTGTGACAGCAACTCTAGGAAACTAATGCAGGTAGTTTCTGGGAAAAGTCTCTTCACTCACAAAAGGGACTCTACAGGGTGAGAAGACAATGTTGACACATCAGGGGGATGACAAATGGTTCTGTATGACTGGGCACAGGACGAGTGGAGAGGCAAGACCCAACAAGAGCCTGAAAAGGTAACAGAGTGCAGCTGGCCATCAGCAGGAGCATTGAAAAGCAGATGACGCATTGTGTGAAGGAGTGTGTCAAGGGAATGATGAATCAAGGAACAGAACCATTCTCTGAAAATAACGTTACTGTTTTCTTTTCACATGCTGAGGATGATGAGGTTCTTTTGCAGCAAGTGTTGGCTAAAGTGGATTGTCACCTTCCTGTTTTGTGATCACCAACACTTCCTGGGCTTCTTCTGTGCCCATGCCTGACTGCCTTCTTTGCTCTTCCAGTAGTTCAGATTCCCTCAAGGGCAGGCCACAAGCGAGACAATGGGTTCCTCTAGCAGGAAGAATCGGCCTATCCTCTCCTTTAGAACAAGGAAGTTGTCACCTCCTCCTGCAATACTTGCTACCACAGCCTCGCTCTATTTCATACAATCAAATCCCCGGTGCACAATTAGGCCTTTTCTGCACTCTAAGCCTTGTCCTGGAATCCCATCTTCTCCATCAAAGAGGTTCTTTTAAAAATGAAATTTCCCTTTTCAGGAACCTTTTTTCTCCCCTTCTAACAATGTCATCTCTTCTCCAGTCCAGGTCCCTAGAACCCAGTAAATTTACTCAGGAAATGGAATCATAGGCCATGATTAACTATCCTGTCAGCCAGCTCAAATGACACACATGCATTTTAATAGGGGCCCTGTGGAGACAAAGAGTTTCAGAAAACACAGAAGGCAGTTATGTAGGTATTTTTGAAGAAAGAAGCACAGTGACCTCACAGGAGTTGGCTTGAGGAAACTAATCTGCTTTTGAATTCAGGGTCCACTACTTGTTTACTGCACGGCCTTGAGCAAGTTAACCTTCTGAGCCTCCACTTCATCATCTGAAAATGGAGGTAACAGTAATACCCACCTAAAGGAATGGTGGTGGAGATTCAATGGTAACAAAAAAATACCACATATTGAACCTGGTACAGAGTTACTTTAGCCTTTGTACTTTTTAGAAGAATTTCTCAGCATTGGCACTATTGATACGTTGGGCTAGATCATTCTTTACTTTTAGGGACTGCCCTGAGCATCGTAGATTGTTAGTAGCATCCCTGGACTATACCCACTAGATGCTAGTATCACTTCCACTCCCAGGCATCAATCAAAAATGCCTACAGATATTGCTAAATGTTCCCTGGACAGCTAAGCTGCTCCTGGTTGAGAACCACTGCTTTAGAGTAAAGTGGGCAGGCCTCTGAACAGCTCTCAATAAATAGTGGTTAATAATTTTCTGTCCTGCCCATATGTAGGGCAGAGTCCAAACAAATCATTTGGTTATGAGTAGTGACATTTTTTCTCATTTAAATTAAAAAAAAATCATCTTTCTTTCCAAACAGTGAAATGTCTATCTCGTACAGCTGTACTTCTTCAAATTTCCCACTCAGTGGGCTGGGAAGGTGAGGCAATGGCAGTGCATGAGGTGGGTCTGGTGACAGAATTACTTTCCAATGCTGCCATTCCTTTACCTTATTTTTATTTTTTTATTTTTTGAGATGGAGTCTCACTCTGTCGCCAGGCTGGAGTGCAGTGGCTCAATCTTGGCTCACTGCAACCTCCACCTCCCGGGTTCAAGTGATTCTCTTGCCTCAGCTCCCCGAGTAGCTGGGACTACAGGCATGTGCCACCAGGCCCAGCTAATTTTTGTATTTTTAGTAGAGACGGGGGTTCCACTATGTTGGCCAGGGTGGTCTTGATCTCTTGACCTTGTGTTCCGCCCGCCTCGGCCTCTCAAAGTGCTGGGATTACAGGCATGAGCCACCATGCCCGGCCTATCTTTTTTTCCCCTTAAAAACTCACGCTAATTTTGCTTTCAAGTCAATAGTGTATTTCTTATTGTTTTCATAAAAATGTAATGTTCTCTTTTCCCTTTAAAATGTAACACACTTTAAGACAGGGGTATCTTATCCTGGGGCTTTGAAAGTCCCAGCATATGGCCAAATGTCCCAGTATAAGGAACAGCACTGGGTATGCTTCAAGCTGTGTGTGCTTTCTTCAGAAGTTATCAGGTATTATTTATGTTATGGGTTAATTTTACCATCCTGCTATCAGTCTGCTTATTCTAACTATTTTTCTCTTTGTTTCTACATTGCTTTTTAAAGCAAGAGCCTTTGAAAAGGGAAAATGTTTCAGAATCCTTAACCACTCAATGTGTAAAAGATAATATTAGAGAATGGGTAAATGCTAAAAAAAAATTTTCCTAATGAAACTGAGAAAACAGAATCAGGAACACGTGGAAAAAGCTGTTTGAGAGTGTTGAGTCCTTGCAAACACTTTATTCTGTATTCTGTAAAAAGTATTTCAAAGGCATTAGGATCTGGTCCTGTTGTTTCCATGGTCATTCCCCAAACTCCTATCAGACCATAGAGAAGGACATTATGTTAAACGCTAATTCTTGTTTTTATGATTTAAGGAGCTACTTCTGAGAAAGCTACTGTTTCACCAGCCCATTAGAAATGTCTGGGATGGCTAGTGCAGAATTAAGGCTTGGGTGACCCAGCTGAAACTAATGTCAATGCTTCAGTTATTTATGTTCTTCAGACTCTCTGACCCGTCTCCACTGGTTAGCGCCTCCACTGGTTACCAGGCAACCACAGCTTATTAAGGCTGTGTATGTTACACACGAGCCCCAGGTATGAGTATGAAAAGGATCTGAATATTTTAATGAGAAGGCAATCATGAGCTGAGCTAGATTATTACCTTTGTTATTAGGTAAGACAAAATCGGGAGAAGGTGGATTCAGGAGGTGGATTAATAATATTTTAGTGAAAAACCTTCATGCTTGCAGTTACAACTTTACACACAACAGCCCCAGGGTTAGACGATATGGGAAATCTCAAAGGTGTAATTATCAGATGGAAGAATTCCTATTAATAACTGAATTTAGGGGGCATTTACAAGTCCTGCTACATAGGTCCTTTCACTTCTAGCACTGTACGGAGGGAGAATCCAGGAGAGAATGGGAAGGTTGTTATAGTACAGTAATTTTACCATTGTACTTAATGTCTGCAAATGTTCTTTGCCAAAGGAGAATTCAAAGTGCCGTGGGAATATGCCAGGGATTCAGGTGGTGGCATGCTCCGTCCTACTCATGGTAGCACCCTTGACCACACACGAGGAATAGGAACTGAGGGAGGCTAAATCTGCTTCAGTATAAAACCAGAACCTGTTTAACTGAGGGGATGAGAGGCTCATTTGCTGTGGCTGAATGGGAAGAATGTAACCTTATCTATAATGTACTAGTGCTGTTTTGCTGCCAAATATATGCTTTGTGGATGCTACTACCCTGGGAAGAAATTCAACTTCAGAAGGGAAATCATGTGACACTAGAGCTGTTTACATACATTAGGGAGACATGATATAATAAAAACCCGTTCATAAAAAAAAAGACAGCCACCTTACTTATCCAACTAGGATTGGAAGTAAAAATACTGCAAGTTTTTATCTGAGTGTGAAGGCATATTATACACAGACAAAAGTGCAGTAAAATTTCTAGCCTACTGTTAGAGAATGGTTAGAAATAGACAAAATTGAGAGCTACATTATTTATCTGCTTTGCTAATTTGAAACTATCAAATTTACAGTTTAAGATTTCACTAAAATAAACTCTGTACAGACTTAACATTTGCTTTTTGAAAGTGACAAAAATCAGTTGATGGCTAAAATACAAGCTCAAACAGTAAATTGTCATTACTAAGAATGCACTAACATTAAAGCACATTATTACTAACTTTTGTAAACCCATCAGAATTCTAGTTTTTGATGGAAAAACATTGCTCCATCCATTCTTGTGATAACATAGTTTTAAAAATCATACTTATGAAAAGGTAAATAGTATTCTGCAAAGCTCTTCTAGGGAAGTAAAGGGGCAATTAGCAAACAAAAGATAACTAATCAGGAACATAACATGGGAATGTGAACAGATTTCTCATTTTTTTTTCTAAAATACTGTATATTTATCTTACTCAAAGAGATATAGCAGTGTAGATATGTACTGAGATTTTAAAAAATTATTTTCCACTTCTGAAATGTTTAACAGGAAACAGTCATAAAACAAGTTATTCATATAACAGTAGTAGACCAAAGACATATACCTGTATCTTTTCAGTGTAATACATAAGGTGTTTAAGGATTGCACTGTTTTACGTTTTTTAAAAAAAGTAAATATAAATATGTTCTAATCACTTTAGTTGCCTTTTTTAGCATTACATTATATCTGCCATTGCCTGGGCTATTTTAATATTCCCATTAAAGGGCAGTTTAGTGCCTTTAGGCTAGGGTTTTACACACACACACACACACACACACACACACACACACACAGTGCACACAAGATGACAAGCAGGATGTGGTCCAGAAAGACATTTCTGTTTTTCTCACACATATGACCAGCTCGTAGGAAAGTTCCTGATATTTGGTTAATTCTCAATTAATACTTGATGAATCATAAATCTACTTCTATTTATTATATTTAAAAGAAAAATCAACTTTATTTTCTCAGTCTTCTCTTCTTAGACCAGGAATCTCCTCTTGGGGGAAAATAAACTCAAGAATATAGAAATGTTAGCTAGTTTATTGTATAGTAGAGAAGAGCTGGGTAGTAGGAGACTCAGACATGTCTGAGTTGTGGCTTTGCTGCTAATTATTTGGGTAGTACTTAAGCTCTCTAGTCTTCAATTTCCTCAAACTAAAAATTAGGAGGTCTGGGCTGCATGATCTGAAATATCCTTTCTGATGCTTCAATTCTATGATATTCTATGACTCTATGATATAATCTATGGCAAATATAATTAGGATATTACTTGAAATAATTAAACTTTATTTATCTCAGGCTCCCAGGTGCCTAACATAGAGCCAGGGAACATAGAAGATGTGCAATATATGTTTAAAAAATGAATGAATGAATGAATGATCATTATAAGTATAAATGCTGCCTATGCATCTTATGATTTTTCACAAAGGAACCCTTCTCTACGGATGCTGATTTTTGCAATTAAATTTAATTTTGAGTTATTAATATACATTATTATTCTTATGCATGGCCCTTGAATAGTGTTATAAAAATTTCAGAATGTGTTTATGTACTTCTTTAAGAAGTGCTAATAGTATCACTATGTCTAGGAAATTTTTTTGCATTCTAAAGAAATTCGTTTATAATTAGTCATAGATATTTATTTCATAAATATTCTTAAGGAGAAAAAAGAAAGAGAGACAGAAACTCTTGCCTTAAAGAGACTCCACCTCCAGTGGTAATCCCAGATAACATTTAGCACTAAAATTCTATCAGTCTACAGCTTTAGATACCATCATTTCCAGGCTTATGTGCACATCAACGAAGAAGATTTTGTATAAATAGTTTGCAGAACCACAAGGTGCTACATCTTTTAAACTCTTGTTGAACAGAAATAATGCTAATTTTAGCATCAACCTAAACATAAACTTATTTGCCAATGAGTAAAGATCTGTGCAGTTATAAATAGCTTACTCCTCGGGAAATGTTTTAAATGGAAAATTTTAACACTATCTAACAAACATATTCTTCTTATAGGATTAAATTGGAAAGCTCTTTTAGAGTGGCAGTTTGCTGCAGTGGAAAGATCTAACATTCTCATTCTGCCACTTACCAGAAATACAACATTGGCAAGTTAGCTAAGCTATTGGAACCCTAGTTTTTTTTCTCGGAATAACAGGGATAATAATAGCTAATTTGTGGGGTTATTATGAAGATTAAATAAGATAATGTTCATGGAACGTCTGCTTTGGTGCTTGGCACAGAGTGCCACGGACCCCCTCTGTGAGGTTTCCTTCCCCAGAACGGAGCTCTTCTTTTACTTCTAATGGCTGGATAAAGTGTTAGGATCTTAACTACACTGAAGGAACTCAAATTTATCTCAAAATATGACCCTCCCTAGTTCATTCAAAACCAGAAAGGAAGACTACTTCTGAACTTGGTATAGGAACTTCAAAGAGGAGGAGACTTGGCATTTGTCTCTGATGAAAAATTCAGAAGAAAAAGAGAAATAACATGAGAAGCTAAGATATGGTGCTGTGATTGATAATGAAGGTTGATTTTCTTTCTGTTGTCTACATTAGGTGCTGATACCCTACAAATAACCCAAAAGTCTATGTGCATTCAAAGATAGGACACATAACTATGATCCATGAGAAGTTCATCAGTGACTTTAGTGAAATGGTAACAGCAGCAGCTGTGCTGGATATTGAAAGATGACTAGCATATTGCAAGTTATGTAAGAGTACATGAGTGCATGCAGATGAAGGGGATTTAGGGAGGGGTGTGGATGGGAGGAGTGTCTAGGCAGAAGAATCAGCATGTGCAAAAGTAAAGGAACAAAGAGCATGGCTTAGGAAAGACAAAATATCCCTATATTAGCAAAGATCAGCTGATGGGAAGCAAAGGTAGGCAGTGAGACCCAAGAGGTCCATTGTACCAGTATTATGACATGCTAAGGAATACAGAACACAGATTTTCTTCTGATGGGGCAGTCAATGCTGGCTTTGAAACCAAAGTGGATGAGAGTACTTGGATGATATTTTCAACTGCTTGTTTCACACATGCAATGCATCAGGAACTCCACTGTGCTTTGTTTTATAGGTATTGTTTCCTAGTCCTTGAAGTAAAATAGACTTATCTTTTCAGCTTGGTCAACTGACGCTCAGAGAGGTTAAGTAACTTGCTCAAAATTACACATCCGTAAGCAATCTTGTAAAAGGAGCAATGGCATATTTGAGATAGAACAAATCACTGAAGAATGAAAATGATGAGATCTGAACATAAGTTAGAAAGTTAGTTTAGTCGGTCATGTTTTAAAAGGAAAGGAGAGGAAGAATACAGAAAAGAAGTAATTTCTGTTCAAAGTGAGTGTTCATGATTTGGGCAGGTCTGTTAATATAGGTGTGCTATATGACGTGACAGAATGTTTTTAAGTAATACAAAATGTTGCTCCTGTGTTTTAAAATTACTTGGTGATTATTTTACCTAAGAGGCAGTGGAGCATCACAATTAGGAGCTCAGGCCCTGAAGCCAGACTATCTGGACTTGAATTTTCACCTTCAACCTACTTAACCTCGGGCAGGTTATTTAACTTCTGTGAACCCGAGTTTCCTAATCCTTAAAAAAGGAGATAAAAATAGTGCCTATGTTATAGGGTTGTTTAGGCATGAAAGGGAGAATATAGAACAATTTCTTGCATAAAATAAGAACTCAGTAAGCATTAGCCAGCATTGCTTTGTGCCTTTGCCCTTAATCACCAGCCATTTATTTAGAAAGTATTAATAGTGTGCCAAGCACTGTGTTAGTTTCCAGGAATACAAAGATGGATAAAAGATGATTTCTGCATTTAAACACATTTGGGTTTTCTCACATACTCTGTGGTTCAACAGAAGTACTTGAGATTACATCATGATTAAAATCACCTATCTGAATTACTTGAGAACAAGTTATTTAAAATCTCCCATTGTGGCAAGATGGCTGAATAGGAACAGCTCCAGTCTGCAGCTCCCAGTGAGACCAACGCAACAGGTGGGTGATTTCTGCATTTCCAACTGAGGTACCCAGTTCATCTCAATGGGACTGGTTAGACAGTGGGTATAGCCCACAGAGGGCCAGCCGAAGCAGGGTGGGGCATTGCCTCACCCGGGAAGCGCAAGAGGTTAGGGAACTCCCTCCCCTAGCCAAGGGAAGCCATGAGGAACTTGCCATGAGGGAGGGTGCTATCTTGCCAAGTTACTACCCTTTTCCCATGGTCTTTGCAAGGAGATGCTCTTGAGTGCCTGTGCCACAAGGGCCCTGGGTTTCAAGCACAAAATGAGGCGGCCATTTGGGAAGACACCAAGCTAGCTGCAGGAGTTTTCTTTTTGTACCCCAGTGGTGCCTGGAAAGCCAGTGAGACAGAGCCGTTCACTCCCCTGGGAAGGGGGCTGAAGCCAGAGAGCCAAGTGGTCTTGCTCAGCGGATCCCACCCCAAAGAAACCCAGCAAACTAAGATCCACTGGCTTGAAATTCTCGCTGTCAGCACAGCAGTCTGAAGTCGATCTGTGACTCTCAAGTTTGGTGGAGGGAGGGGCTTCCACCATTACTGAGGCTTGAGTAGGTGGTTTTCCTCTCACAGTGTAAACAAAGCCACTGGGAGTTCAGACTGGGTGGGGCCCACCACAACACCTCAAAGCCACTGTAGCCAGACTGCCTCTCTAGATTCATCCTCTCTGGGCAGGGCATCTCTGAAAGAAAGGCAGTAGCCCCAGCCAGGGGCTTATAGATAAAACTCCCATCTCCCTGGAACAGAGCACCTGGGGGAGGGGGCAGCTGTGGGCGCAGCTTCAGCAAACTTAAACATTTCTGCCTGCCAGCTCTGCAGAGAGCAGTGGATCTCCCAGCACAGCACTCGAGCTCTGCTAAGGGACAGATTGCCTCCTCAAGTGGGTCCCTGACACCCATGCCTCCTGATGGGGAGACACCTCCCAGCAGGGTTCGATAGATACCTCATACAGAATAGCTCTGGCTGGCATCTGGCAGGTGCCCTTCTGGGACGAAGCTTCCAGAGGAAGGAGCAGGCAGCAATCTCTGCTGTTCTGCAGCCTTCACTGGTGATACCCAGGAAAACAGGGTCTGGAGTGGACCTCCAGCAAACTCCAGCAGACCTGCAGCAGAGGGGCCTGACTATTAGAAGGAAAACAATCAGAAAGCAATAGCATCAACATCAACAACAACAAAAAAATGACCACCCAAAACTCCATCTGAAGGTCACCAACAACAAAGACCAAAAATAGATAAATCCATGAAGATGAAGAAAAACCAGTGCAAAAAGGCTGAAAATTCCAAAAAGCAGAACGCCTCTTCTCCAAAGGATCACAATTCCTCGCCAGCAAGGGAACAAAACTGGATGGAGAATGAGTTTGACGAATTGGCAGAAGTAGGCTTCAGAAGGTGGGTAATAACAAACTCCTCTGAGGTAAAGGAACATGTTCTAACCCAATGCAAGGAAGCTAAGAACCTTGAAAAAAGGTTAGAGGAATTGCTAACTAGAATAACCAGTTTAGAGAAGAACATAAATGACCTGATGGAGGTGAAAAACACAGCACCAGAACTTTGTGAAGCATATACAAATATCAATAGCTGAATCGATCAAGCAGAATAAAGGATATCAGAGACTGAAGATCAACTTAATGAAATAAAGCATGAAGACAAGATTAGAGAAAAAAGAATGAAAAGGAACAAACAAAGCCTCCAAGAAATATGGTACTAGGTGAAAAGACAAAATCTACGTTTGATTGGTGTACCTGAAAGTGATGGGGAGAATGGAACTAAGTTAGAAAACACACTTCAGGATATTATTCAGGAGAACTTCCTCAACCTAGCAAGACAGGCCAACATTTAAATTCAGGAAACACAGAAAACACCACAAAGATACTCCTCAAGAACAGCAACCCCAAGACACATAATTGTCAGATCCACCAAGGTTGAAATGAAGGAAAAAATGTTAAGGGCAGCCAGAGAGAAAGGTCGCGTTACCCACAAAGGGAAGCCCATCAGACTAACAGTGGATCTCTCAGCAGAAACGCTACAAGCCAGAAGAGAGTGGGGGCCAATATTCGACATTCTTAAAGAAAAGAATTTTCAACCCAGAATTTCATATCTAGCCAAACTAAGCTTCATAAGTGAAGGAGAAATAAAATCCCTTACAGACAAGCAAATACTAAGGGATTTTGTCACCATCAGGCCTGCCTTACAAGAGCTCCTGAAGGAAGCACTAAATATGCAAGGGAAAAACCAGTACCAGCTACTGCAAAAATAAACCAAATTGTAAAGACCATCCACACTATGAAGAAACTGCATCAACTAATAGGCAAAATAACCAGCTAGCATCATGATGACAGGATCAAATTCACACATAACAATATTAACCTTAAATGTAAATGGGCTAAATGCTCCAATGAAAAGGCACAGACTGGCAAATCGGATAAAGAGTCAAGATCCATCAGTGTGCTATATTCAGGAGACCCATCTCATGTGCAAAGATACACATAAGCTCAAAATAAAGGGATGGAGGAAGACTTATCAAGCAAACAGAAAGAAGAAAAAAAAAAGCAGAAGTTGCAATCCTCGTCTCTGATAAAACAGACTTTAAACCAACAAAGATCAATAAAGACAAAGAAGGGCATTACATAATGTTAAAGGGATCAATGCAACAAGAAGAGCTAAGTATCCTAAATATATATGCACCCAATACAGGAGCATCCAGATTCATAAAGAAAGTTCTTAGAGACTTACAAAGAGACCTATATTCCCACACAATAATAGTGGGAGACTTTAACACCCTACTATCAATATTAGATCAATGAGACAGAAGATTAACAAGGATATTCAGAACTTGAACTCAGCTCTGGACCAGGCAGATCTAACAGACATCTGCAGAACTCTCCACCCCAAATCAACAGAATATACATTCTTCTCAGCACCACATAGCACTTATTCTAAAATTGACCACATAATTGGAAGCAAAACACTCCTCAACAAATGCAAAAGAATGGAAATCATAACAAACAGTCTCTCAGACCACAGTGCAATCAAATTAGAACTCAGGATTAAGAAACTCACTCAAAACTGCACAACTACATGGAAACTGAACAACCTGCTCCTGAATGACTACTGGGTAAATAACAAAATTAAGACAGAAATAAAGATGTTCTTTGAAACCAATGAGAAGAAAGACAGAATGTACCAGAATCTCTGGGACACAGCTATACAGTGTTTAGAGGGAAATTTATAGCACTAAATGCCCACAGGAGAAAGCAGGAAAGAGCTAAAATTGACACCTTAACATCACAATTAAAAGAACTAGAGAAGCAAGAGCAAACAAATTCAAAAGTTAGCAGAAGACAAGAAATAACTAAGATCAGAACAGAACTGAAGGAGATAGAGACATGAAAAACCCTTCAAAAAATCAACGAATCCAGGAGGTGGTTTTTTGAAAAGATTAACAAAATAGATAGATGGCTACCAGACTAATAAAGAGGAAAAGAGAGAAGAATCAAATAGACACAATAAAAATGATAAAGGGGAGATCACCACTGATCCCACAGAAATGCAAACTACAATCAGAGAATACTATAAACACCTCTACACAAATAAACTAGAAAATCTAGGAGAAATGGATAAATTCTTGGACACATACACCCTCCCGAGACTAAACCAAGAAGTTGAATCCCTGAACAGACCAATAACAAATTCTGAATTTGAGGCAGTAATTAATAGTCTACCACCACCACCACCAACAGAAACCCAGGACTAGACGGATTCATAGCCAAATTCTACCAGAGGTAAAAAGAGGAGCTGGTACCATTCCTTCTGAAACAATTCCAAACAAAAGAAAAAGAGGGACTCCACCCTAACTCATTTCATGAGGCCAGCATCATCCTGATACCAAAACCTGGCAGGGACACAACAAAAAAAGAAAATTTCAGGCCAATATTCCTGATGAACATTGATGCAAAAATCTTCAATAACGTACTGGCAAACTGAATCCAGCAGCATATCAAAAAGATTATCCACCACAATCAAGTCGGCTTCATCCTGGGATGCAAGGCTGGTTCAACATACACAAATCAATAAACGTAGTCCATCACATAAACAGAACCAATGACAAAAACCACATGATTATCTCAATAGATGCAGAAAAGGCCTTCAATAAAATTCAACACCCCTTCATGCTAAAAACACTCAATAAACTAGGTATTGATGGAACATATCTCAAAATAATAAGAGCTATTTATGACAAATCCACAGCCAAAATCATACTGAATGGGCAAAAGCCAGAAGCATTCCCTTTGAAAACCAGCACAAGACAAGGATGCCCTCTCTCACCACTCCTATTCAACACAGTATTGGAAGTCCTGGCCAGGGCAATCAGGCAAGAGAAAGAAATGAAGGGTATTCAAATAGGAAGACAGGAAGTCAAATTATCTTTGTTTGCAGATGACATGATTGTATATTTAGGAAACCCCATCATCTCAGCCCAAAACTTCATTAAGCTGATAAGCAAATTCAGCAAAGTGTCAGGATACAAAACCAATGTGCAAAATTCACAAGCATTCCTATACACCAGTAATAGACAAACAGAGAGCCAAATCATGAGCAAACTCCCATTCACAATTGCTACAAAGAGAATAAAATACCTAAGAATACAACTTACAAGGGATGTGAAAGACCTCTTCAAGGAGAACTACAAACCACTGCTCAAGGAAAGAAGAGGTGACACAAACAAATGGAAAAACATTCCATGCTCATGGATAGGAAGAATCAATATTGTGAAAATGGCCATACTGCCCAAAGTAATTTACAGATTCAATGCCATTCCCATCAAGCTACCATTGATTTTCTTCACAGAATTAGAAAAAACTACTTTCAGTTTCATATGGAAACAAAAAAGAGCCTGTATAGCCAAGACAATCCTAAGCCAAAAGAACAAAGCTGGAGGTATCACAGTACCTAACTTAAACTATACTACAAGGCTACAGTAACCAAGACAGCATGGTACTGGTACCAACACAGATATATAGACCAATGGAACAGAACAGAGCCCTCAGAAATAACGCCACACATCTACAACCATCTGATCTTTGACAAACCTGACACAAACAAGCAATGGGGAAAACATTCCCTATTTAATAAATGGTGTTGGGAAAACTGGCTAGCCATATGCAGAAAGCTGAAACTGGACCCTTTCCTTACACCTCATACAAAAATTAACTCAAGATGGATTAAAGACTTAAATGTAAGACCTAAAATCATAAAAACCCAAGAAGAAAATCAGGCAAAACCATTTAGGACATAGGCATGGGCAAAGACTTCATGACTAAAACACCAAAAGCAATGGCAACAAAAGCCAAAATTCACAAATGGGATCTAATTAAAGAGCTTCTGCACAGTAAAAGAAACTATCAGCAGAGTGAACAGGCAACCTACAGAATGGGAGAAAATTTTTGCAATCTATCCATCTGACAAAGGGCTAATATCCAGAATCTACAAGGAACTTAAACAAATTTACAAGAAAAAAGCAACCCCATCAAAAAGTGGGCAAGTGATATGAACAGACATTTTTCAAAAGAAGACATTTATGCGGCCAAAAAACATATGAAAAGAAGCTCATCATCACTGGTCATTAGAGAAATGCAAATCAAAACCACAATGAGATACCATCTCATGCCAGTTAGAACGGCGATCATTGAAAAGTCAGGAAACAACCGATGCTGGAGAGGATGTGGAGAAATAGGAATGCTTTTACACTATTGGTGGGAGTGTAAATTAGTTCAACCATTGTGGAAGACAGTGTGGTGATTCCTCAAGGAGCTAGAACCAGAAATACCATTTGACCTAGCAATCGTATTACTGGGTATATACCCAAAGGATTATAAGTCATTCTACTATAAAGACACATGCACATGTATGTTTATTGCAGCACTATTCACAAAAGCAAAGACTTGGAACCAACCCAAATGCCCATAAATGTTAGACTGGATAAAGAAAATGTGACACAAATACACCATGGAATAATATGTAGCCAAAAAAAGAACGAGTTCATGTCCTTTACAGGAATATGGATGAAGCTGGAAACCATCATTCTCAGGAAACTAACACAGGAACAGAAAACCAAAGACCACATGTTCTCACTCATAAGTGAGAGTTGAACAATGAGAACATATGGGCACAGGGAGGGGAACATCACACACCAGGGCTTGTTGCGGGATGGGGGGCAAGGGGAGGGATAGCATTAGGAGAAATACCTAATGTAGATGACGGGTTGATGGGTGCAGCAAAGCACCATGGTACCTGTATGCCTGTGTAGCAAACTTGCACGTTCTGCATATGTATCCCAGAACCTAAAGTATATATATACATAAAAATCTCCCATCACAATGTTGTTCATTATTGTAATGACTAATACCTCCACTCTTCCCATCCCTCTCTCCCAACGTGACATTAAGATCTGTTCAGCCTGAGTTATCTTTGATGTCAGGTGTTTCCCTTGACCCTACAGGCAACATCATAAAGTTGGTGAGATCATTTCCCACATATGTGTACCCCAACTTCCAATGCTGAATGTTTGTACCATTGTTTCAGGGGTCTCTTCCTTGCTAATTCATTAGATTTACATATTATGTAGTATATATAATTAATGGGTGCATTTTTCTTCCCAAGGGTATTTTTTTAAATTATAATTTTATAAAATCCTATTTCCAAAAGCTGGAGAAAAATGTTAATGATTAGAATTTTTAGAGCTGTATCAAATAAGGGGAAGACTTGTACTGGCAACATAAGTTATTCATTGTCTTAAACTGTATCATAAAGCTCCTCATACCTGTGTCTCCCAGCTTTAGGATGATGAAGGAGTTTTAGAAATTCTGTTCATGATGGCATTTGCGCATTGTCTGAAAGGATTCTAAATTAGGCATTGCAGGTTCAACATTGACATTGGTTGAATAGATGAAAATTGTTGGTAGAAGGAACATCATGTCCTTCAGAGTCCAACCACAGTACATTAAAATGGACAGATGAGCAGTTGAGATGACCTCTGAGAAAAGATTGAAAAGGAACATGACTACATAAATAAATGAGAAGGAAATGAAAATAGCAAGGCCCTTCCATTTAAAATAACTAAGTGAAGTACCAAAATGATTAAGTGAAAAGCGACTTTAATACCAAGGAATCTCTTTAGAATGAATGGAATTGTTGAGACAGAGTGAATTGATTAGTTATCAAGAAAGACAGACACTGGGATCCTGATCACATTGCTTTCCAATACAACCAGTATTTATTACAGGACATTTGAAATGTTCAGATCATAAGGCATCTTCAAGTAGCAAACAACCATTACTAAAAGAGAGAGGTCAGATCTCTCAACTGCAGGTGAAAAGAACCAAAATAAAGTAAATCAGAAGCTTTAGATTTAAATGTGAATGTTGGAATGAGACTGATTTAAATTGGAATGAGACTAAGAAGTTCTTATACTGTACATAGTAAAGTTTGTGAAATGTGGATATTTTAAAAATAAAAATAATACTTGGGATATACCTGAAAATTTAAAAATCTTCCCATTAATTTGATATGCAAAATGGGAAACTTGACAATGATTGTGTTAACAGCAACAAATTAATGTTACAATATTGTATAGCTGAGGATATGGCTTTAAATATATTAAGTTTAATTTTTTTTCAGTTTTTAAAAAAACAAACCTTGAAGAGAATGACAAGCGAAGACAGAAATAAGAGAAATTATTTTCAAAAGACACATGTGATAAAGGATTATTAGCCATAATATACAAAGAACTTTTAACACTCAACAATAAGAAAACAACCCAATTAAAAAATGGGCCAAAGATCGGAACAGACACCTCACCAAAGAAGATACAAAGTTAGAAAGTAACCATATGAAAAGATGTTCAACATCATTAGGGAACTGCTCATTAAAATCAGAAGTATACACCTATTAGAATGACCAAATTCTAAAACACTGACATCAAATGCTGGAGAGGATATGGAGCAACAGGACACTTATTTGTTGCTGGTGGAAATGCAAAATGATACAATTAACTTGGAAGACAGTTTGGCAGTTTCTTACAAAACTAAACATATTTTTATCCTATGATTCAGCAATTACACTCCTTGGTATTAGGTTGGTGCAAAAGTAATTAAATCAAAAAGTAATGGCAAAACCGCAATTACTTTTGCACCAACCTAAAATATTTACCTAAATGAGTTGAAAATTTGTGTCCACACAAAAACCTACATATGATGTTTATAGCAGCTTTATTCATAATTTCCAAAACATGGAAGCAACAAAAATGTCCTCCAATAGGTTAATAGATAAATTAAATGTGGTACATCCAGGCAGTGGAATATTATTCAACACTAAAACAAAATGAACTATCAAGCCATGAAAAGCCATGAAGGAGACTTAAATGCATATTACTGAGTGAAAGAGGCCAACCTGAAAAGGCTACACACTGTATGATTTCAACTATATGACATCTCAGAAAAGGTAAAGCTATGGAGCCAGTAAAAAGATGAGGGGTGAGGTGCAGGGGAGGGATGAATAGGCAAGAGCACAGAGGATTGTTAGGGCAGTGAAACTATTCTGTATGACACCACAGTGGTGGATACATGTCATTTATGCATTTGTCAAAGCCCATAGAATGCACAACACCAAGAATGTACCCTAATGTAAACTGTGGACTTCAGGTGATGATGGGTTAATGTAGGTTCATTGATAGTCACAAATATACCATTCTGGTGGAGGATGTCCATAGGGTGTGTGTGTGTGGGGTGTGTGTGTGTGTGTGTGTGTGTGTGTGTGTGTGTTGTGTATAGGGGGATATATAAAAACTGTACTTTCTACTCAATTTTTGGGTGACCTAAATTGCTCTCAAATAAATTTTACTAAATTAATAAATAAATGACACACTGCATGATTCCATTAGATAAAGTTCTAGAATAGGCAAAATTAGTTAATTGTCACATAAGCCATGATGATGGTTTCCTCTGTGGGAGGAATGACTGGAAGCTCACGTGAGCAGGACTTCTGGGGGCATTGGTAATCTACTTCTTGATCTGATGGGAAGTATACACTTTGTGAAAATTCATTGAGATATACACTTACTTGTGACCTCTTTGTATGTATATTATATCTCAATGTCTTAGTATAAAGTATTTTAAAAGTAAAAAACACCCTGCCCAACTTTACATTTAAATTTAATTTCTTAGGAATCACTTGTTTTCTTAAGAAGCAAGTAATCCATGTTCATTTTCTTCCAATAATTTTGGAAGAAATTAATGAAGTATTGATAGATTAGTTACGATTCAATCAAGATAAAAGAAAACATTCTAAGTATTTAAAATGATGAACTTTAATACAAGGAAATGGTTACAAAGATGAAAGAATTGAGAAGCTAAATTGGGAATGGTGGATCAAATTGAAGATCAGCAGCCTCAGGAAGCCAAAGGCACTATCACTCATGATTCTCAAGGGACAAAAGGGAAGAGGTAGTGTTAATGAGGTTCAGGGTTCAGGTCACTGGAAGAAGCTGGAGGTAACATGTAGGAGGGGAGGAGAGGCTCTGGCTGGAAAATACAGCCCATAGGGTCAGTCCCTGTGGAATAAAGAGAGGCAGGGCAGGGCAAGGAATGGCCCTGAAGGTAACAGGCACAGATGGGCACAAGTGGAAAATAAAGGATTCAGAAAATAAGTTTTTCATTTTCATTTTTTTCTTCTAGAGTAACTGTTACACTAGGCAAATTGATTTACTGGTATTTTTGATGGGCACCAAGTTTAGCTTCTGGGAACTGCATTCAACACACATCTTGTAAATAAATAGAATTACCATTTTAGTTCTAAATCCAATCTCTATAAACCAAATTTATACACCTGTAAGTTTATGAAAGCATTATTTGCCATCATTTTGAAGTTAATCAAAAGTATTAAGGAAGCATCTCTGCCTTTCAGATTAGATTTAGACAGTGGCCAATGCTCTGTCAGCTGCATTATTTTATTGGAATTGTAAACATAGGTATATGCTGGTGTTCTGAAGATCACCTTTCTTCAAAGTACATAATAAAGCCACACTTTGAAAACTAGACTTAGGAGGAGGTGGAAAGCCACACAATATCCTCAATATGACCACCACTCACTTTCTCCATTCCCCTCTATTCTGCTGAAAAATGGCAATGGCATATATCAGACTAATATTAAACCACCAATTTTAGGCTCTTCTCTTTTCTGACATGGAAGGGTGATGACATATGATGATGTAAAATATATTTATTCATTCATTTCATGGCCAGACAAAACAAAGCTTAATGTGAGTGTGTGTGTGTGTTGTGTTTAACTGTACATAGCACTTTAAAAATTTAGCACACCTGCCCTTAACCATGCCCTACTTTTAATTCTAAGCAAAACCTCCCAATAAGCGCATCTAAAACGTTATCCCGATCTCAAACACAGATTCATTAGTGATTAAGCCACTATTATCACCATCAAATTTTCCTTCAGTTTATGCCATCAAAAATTTTGTCTCATTCTGGTTTATTACACTGATATTAAATACATTTTATATTTTACAAATTATATAACCTTTAGAATAGAATGAAGTATTATGGCATTTGCTTAATAGAAACTGGGAAGTGACGGTCAAGACAATCTTTATGTTATATAGCTCACAGTTCAGATGGTTTCTGATAATAATAATAATAACAATAAATAAACAAAAAGACGGTAAGTCTTTCATTGTCTGGAACCTCACTAAAGGTACGAAACTGAAAGGCATTGATAATATTTATTTAGCCATCTTGCTCCACCTCAGCATTGATAATATTTAAACCCATTTTCTTTTCAGGCAAATGAGAGGAGCACTCTAAAGAGAAACAGTTCAATATTCATCTTAAGTTCTTTGTCTTAAACACACTCACCTAAAATTCAATGAAGGGACAGCATGAACTTTTCAAAACCATCTATATTCTTTGAAATGGCAGTTGATTATGGCACTTAAAGACTTCCCAAGCACTTCATCCAAGGATTGGTAAATCCTATTTATCTGCAACGAGAAAGTAGACTTTTATTTAGCTAAGCAATTCACACTTCTGTATTTATTACACAAACAGGAAGCCAGAATTGGCAGATCTAGAACATACGTTATTTTATAAATCCCCTTATCCTCTATTAATAACGTATGCAATTTAGAACCTTGCTTTTCATTTAGTATAAGAAATATTTATAATAACAGACATTTATGGTAGAAGTCATTTCACAGATGAGGACAGTGAGTTCCAGAGGGATTAAGTGATCATCCAAGATTTAAAAGCTGGTTAATGATAGTTGCCTGGAACATTGGGTTCCTGATATAGCTCTATGGATTTAGTTGACTGAAAAACCAGAAATGGAAAAACATGGAATCTTCTTTGTTTTCCAAGTAGATAGTTTTCTGGGATATTTTATTGACATAATTTTTACTGAAGCCAAGTAAAGTATTGCTAAGATCAGAGTCCTCAGACTAACATTTCCTCTGATGGATTGAGCTTGAGCAGTCATTAGTAGATACCCTGTAAGAGTGGACTACAACAAGGTGGACTACAAAGGCAACCTAATGTTACTTAATAATCCATATAATTATGTTGTGTAGTAATAACATAAATTGTAAATATTTCATAAGATTGGCTGTTAATTTTTCTTAACTAAGCTGAATGGTTTTATAAGCTTTTGCCTTCTGAGAAAATTTCTAAATGAGAACTGAAAGAGACAAGCTCTAGACTGCCCGCCCCAATGCCCAAGATCCCTGACCCTATGGCTGGGAGTGACCCAGGCACTCCACTCATCATCTCCCCTCAGCCAGTCCTCCCCAGTGTTCTCTTCCTCCTCACCCTTTCTTCCTTGCTTCTCCCTGTGAACACACAGGCTGCGTGTTACTATCCCAGGTGCCAGATGGCTTGAAGCAGCAAAAATTTGAAGCTTAGGAAATCTCATGTTAAGATGAAGGAAAAGTGTGGGGAGGAGGGACACAGTAAAGTAAAAGGGACAAGGCATCTGGTGGCAGTGGGGGTGGAAAGGGAAGGGATGGAAGGAACCCAGCTCTGCACCTTTGCTGGGTGATGGGTGCCTTCTGCTTCTGACTCCCACCCCATGCTTTCCTCTCCCAACCCAGGTTATCTAAAATGAACACAATAATTATTTCAGCTTTCATGACTGGGTTCAGGCTTCCTATGATTTGAGGTACTAAAGAAAATTCTATAACAAAATCTTCCCCTTCCTCTTATCTAAGTTCTCAGACATGTTCATTACGTGAGGTTTATTTATGATACGGGTTTGCTGTGTCCCCGCCTTGACTTGTAGTTCTCATAATCCCCACATATCACAGGAGGGGCCCAATAGGAGATAATTGACTCATGGGGGCTGTTATCCCCATGCTGTTCTTGTGATAGTATAGGGGCTTTTCCCCCTTTGCTCGGCACTTCTCTCTCCTGCTGCTACATGAAGAAGGATGTGTTTGCTTCCACTTTCACCACGACTGTAAGTTTCCTGAGGCCTCACCAGCCATCTGGAACTGAGTCAATTATACTTCTTTCCTTTATAAATTACCCAGTCATGGGCAGTTCTTTATAGTAGAGTGAGAATGACCTAATACAATTTAATAGGATATAAAGAGACTTTCACTACACAATTAACCACTGTTCTGTGACATTCAGACCCAACAGTCTTTCCCTGTGCTATGATTCTAGGCATATACATCTTCTGTTTGACATTCTTTGAATTAAATGTATTATTACAACAGTAGTACTTTCAGATATTTTTTGTTTCTTAAAGTACATGCTTTTTTAAAAAAAAATTGGAGTCGGAGTAGATTAGACCTATGTATCTGAGAATAAATTATATATTAAAATATTTCTCCTCATGAACACAGCTCTCTAAGCCACAGCACCTGGAAATAAATGAAAATCGCATATAATCTAAAGTATTATATTTTCACCTTAGGCTATATCTATGTATATAATAAAGTGAGATAAACTTATATCCAGCTCTATCTGGCAATGTAGAATCACTCGAGAAATCACTTGGTATTGTCCTAGGGACCTCTTAGGATTTGGCTGCTGGTTGTTGTTCCTGTACCTGACAATTTTGGGAAGGATGACTTGCATATTTCTTTTTTTTTGTCCAGATCCAATGGGTTACTCCAGACTGCAATAGATTTGGAGGGAGCCTAAACAATGCTCAGATGGAGACACTGTGTTAAAGAACCCCATGGGTGGTCCAGGTTGACATCTTGACCAGGATCTATGACTAATAAAATTTACACCTTGGGTGGTCTACGGATCACAAGGCAGCTTTAAATTCTGCTGTTCCTTTTCTACTAAGAAGTGGCCCCACTTCACCCCATATATCACAGATAGTGATTAAAAGAAGTTAGTTGTCTAATCTGGAGGCAGATCCATCCCTACCATTCTTGGCTTCTATCCTGCATGGCAACTCCAGAGTATGCAGAGCTGAATACCCTCAATTCTTTCTACTCTTTCTTTCACCTGAGGGTGGCAGCTTCCCAAGCTGCTAGTGAATTAAAGGCATCAATCCTACTATACTCTTCCTGCAGCCTACTGGACACTTGGAAAGCAAAATTGTCACATGAACATTGGGTGGGAATACAAATTATACCTTTCTCCATTCTCTCCCTCTCTCTTTGAGACAAGGTCTTGCTCTCTCACCCATACTGAGTGCAGTGGCATGATCGTGGCTCACTGCAGCCTCAAGCTCCCCAGGCTCAAGCAATCTTCCCATCTCAACCTCCTGAGTAGCTGGGACTACAGGTGCTCAGCACCACGCTCAGCTAATTTTTGTATGTTTTGTAGAGATGAGATTTTGCTATGTTGCCCAGGCTGGTCTCGAACATCTGAGCTCAAACAATCCGCCTGCCTCAGCCTCCCAACATGCTGGGATTACAGGCATTGAACCACCGTGCCTGGCCCCTTCTCTCTTTAAGTTCTTACTTAAATTACAGGTCAGCTAACGTAAATTCTAGGTTGGCTAACTTGTGACTAGAAATTAAAATTTAGTGTCATGGTATAAAATAAAAATACTGTATTCTTTACTAAGCTCCCAGAAAAGCTTTCATCCAGGGTCTGGATTGGAGCTAGGAACCAGTGTCTTACCACAGAGTACCATAAAAGAAAGAAGTATTTCATTCATTTTGGGTGCTGCATTTTAGGCATGTAGGTTAGATGGAAGTTGCAGGAGTCACATTTTTGCTTAATAAGAGGACCCCCTCAAATTGGAGGACACAAAAACAGAATGGGCCACCTAAAAAGGTAGTGACCTTCATACCAATGATATCAATTTAAACAGAGGCTCAATAATCATTTGTAGTGGTAGGATTTGGTAAAGCATACACGTTTATTACAAATTGGGATATGTGGTCCTCTCAGCCCAGATTCTGTGGGACCTAGACAAATATTAGACTGGAGAAGAGTTAACATTCGTGTTATTATTCCTATTTATGCTCGGACTGATGTTTCTACCATAAATAGCACTCTGTACTCACTCTCTATTGTTTATTTTGATATATTCCCCTGTACTGCCACTACCTGATGTATTATTTATTCATTGTCTCTTCACACCAGAATATAGCTCCACAAAGGCAGGAACTTTTTTCATTGTTGTGCACCTGATGCTTAGAATGGTGGCTGGCACATAGTATGCCTGCAGTAATATTTATTGCACGAACAAACAGATGTATGAATGAATGTATATTTTTGGTTGCCATCAAATTTAAATCTAAGAAGTTTGGATTTTTCTTTCACACAAATATTTGCAAGTCAGATTAAAGCTTCTAGATGATGATTTTATTTATACATACCTTAGAATAAACAAGGTAGGGTGAAATACAAGATTAACTAGCAAGAATGTAGTAAAAGAAAAATCCTATTACATTTTCTTATTTTAAAATTTGTCTTCTTTTTCTTATAAATATTTGGTTCAATTTCCTTTCTCTTACCCTTGTGAACTTGCACCATATTAAAAATAATTTCATCATCACAATCTGAAGAATTCATGATTATTTTATTCACCCTAAAAATATAAGGAATCCAAGCAGAAATTTTAGCTACTTTCATTATTATTCAAGAACGGGTAGCCTAAATATTAAAAGGAGGAATAAAAAGGTGCTCTCCAGGACTTCTTTTGAGGGTATGACTTTTGTCCAGTGGTTCTCAATCAGGGTGATTTTGCCCCCAGGGGACATATGACAATGTTTGGAGACATTTTTGGTTGTGCAGGGTGGGTACGTGCAACTGGCATCTAGTAGGTACAGGTCAGGATACTGCTGAACATCTGAAAATTCATAGGACTACTGCCCCCCAACCCCCAGCCAAATAATGAATAGTCCAAAATGTTGATAGTACCCAGGTTGAGGAACCCTGGTAGGTGGTCCGAGTTCCTTTGAGTCCTAATTCTATTATGTAATTTTACCACAGGTCCCATCCAGACCTCTGAAGTTGAACAAGGTAAGTCTAACTTCCCTTTTGAAGCTTCCTCCAACTCTATATACCACGTGAATTCCTTCCTGCCCCTCCCAGCTGTGCTCTTAGACCCTCTCTGTATTCCAGTCCTTAGTGCTGCCACACCACTCTTGGAGGTCTTTCATTGCAGCACCTGTTATCATTTAAAATTACCATGAATTTTCTTATCCCTTTATAAGAATACGTGCAACTCTGGGCAGGGACTTATTGCTTGTTTCTTCATCATCTCTAGTACATAATCTTTAATGATGAATAGCAATCATCACTAAATGCTTGTTTGAATAAATGATTGATAGTGGAACAGTTAGCAAACACAAAGCTCATGTTTTCACATCTGGTTCCTGTACAGAGTGGCAGTATAAACTTATTCAAATAATTTCACCAGATTATTAGTTATCAGCCTAAGAACGTCAAAGTGGCTTAGAAAGTTGTAGTAAAATGGATTTGGAATCATGGCCCTTGGACTAAACCCAGAATCACCCCAGACACAAGCATATTAATTAAGTCAGAGTCAGGGAGAGGATGGCTGGCAAATGGGCCTTTTTGGACACTTAAAAGCTGGAAACAGAATTAGTGCTATTGGATGCTTAGGCATCCTCTCTATTTTAAGGACTTATTTTTGTTGACACACAGCACAGTATGAGAGGCAGGAAGGTCTTGGATGTCTTTACTTCCTATTAAGGGCATAGCTTATTTCTTCAAGCCCCTAGGATAAAGGGGCTGTGGCTGTGACAGTTTAGTTGTTCACATCCAGTGTGGCACCTTTGCGGAAGGGCAAGATCACACAGTCAGGCAGGCCTCTCCCATTAGGGATTCTGGGCCCCAAGGAAAGTGCCTTTGAGACTGGCTGCATCAGCTCCTAAGCTGGGCGGCAACCTCATTTCTGTGAAGTTTTTAAATCTTTGGACTAATAATCAGGGAAATTAATCTAATCTCAGAAGGGGTTGTGCATCTATAATTCATTTCCATCAAATCACAGCCCAGTGATTGCAGAAACATGTGTGTACTTCACAATTCTGGGTATCCATATAGGCCACTGCTGTGCCTCACTTTTCAGTTGCCTACTTTAATACTTATCTCTGATAAAATTTAACAAGACAGCAAGAAGATATTTGAGAAGTATAAGATAGTAGCAGAGAATTCGGTTTTATTCTTGATATTTCGTCAATAGAAGTGGATAAAAAGTTGTACCTTATCACTTAGGTTAAAGTAAGATAAAGCAGAGAGAACAATATTTGGACAAAATAGCTGTCAACAGGAAAAAAATATATACCTTCAGCAATGAATGTAGAATTTTTCACGCCACAAAGCCGAAGACCTGCTGACATTCAGGAACACTTAAGAAATAATATGATGGCCTGCCTGTCAATATCAGTTCAGTTGGGTATCCAGTCAACTGTTTTAAAGGTGCTGAGAAAAATGAAGGTGGTTTAAAAAGGATTTATCAGCTGTTTCTTGCACAGCATTTTTTTTTTTTTTCTGAAGGACTGGCTCTGCGTATCTTTCTGTTGCATTTTATTGTAAGGTTAAGACAGTTGCTTATCGAGATGATACTTGCATTTTTAAAAGGTAAGGTGGCTCATGCCTGTAATCCCAGCACTTTCGGAGGCCAAGGCAAGCAGATCCCTTGAACCCAGGAGTTCGGGACCAGCCTGGGCAACATGACAAAACCCCAGTGATTAAGTTTACGTAAGTATCTCAGAAATTGTATAGAGAAAAAATAATAATAATAATACTAATAATACAAAAAATAGCTGGGCGTGGTGGTGTGTACCTGTGGTCCCTGCTGCTTGGGAGGCTGAGGTGGGAGATCACCTGAGCCCAGCAGGCGGAGGTTACAGTGAGCCAAGATTGTGCCACTGCATTTCAGCCTGAGTGACAGAGTGAGATCCTCTCTCAAAAAACAAACAAATAAAATGTAAAAATAATTGGCTTACATGGTAATACTTATTAAAAATCAAGTTTTATTAAAAATAGATCAAGAGACAAGAAGAAACATGGAGTTTTTAAACTGCGGGTATGTGTGTGTGTGTGTTTTGATCAAAGTAACTCTCCTTTTAGGAAATGTGGAAAATATAATAAATTGTGAAGAAAATTAGTATCACCCACATTCCACCCCACAGGAAATCCCTATGAAGATTTTATACATTTACTTCCAGTTATACACACACACAGACATATGTTTGTGCATATATATACATACCATATAATTTTTAAGGAAGTAGTTGAAGAACTGTAAACTATATATAATTTTGTTTTAATATTTGAAACTTTTTTGTCCTATTATTAGCAATCTATACATATTCAGCATGAATACTTCCTCTGTTTATGGCTATGAAATTATTTTTATTCAACTTGCTCACTAAGGGATATGATACATATGAAGATATGAGACATCAGTAGTGGCTGAACGCTCCTTTATTCACGTACTTTATACACACATTCACACAGAACACATGTCAGCTGCATTTCAAGGTAAAGCAGTAAGTCACTATTTTATTTTTATATTAAGGTTTATTTTGTTATAGAAATCGCTACTGTACAAAATTCAGGTATCCCAAAATATCAGAAAAATAGGAGTCACTTTCTTAGAATACACTTTTAAAGGGAGTGATTATCTCATTTTGTATCTTTTTAAAAAATACAGTTGAGAAACCAGTGAGTCTCATTGTGTATTTACCTACACAAATAATCACTAAACCTAAGTATCTCAGGTTTTCTTAGATGAAAATCTCCTTTTATGAATATAAGTAGGGCAATATGAAACTAAAACTAAGTATAGATAAATGCCACCCCACAGTGATGAATCTCATTAAAGCTTTATGTTCTCCATGTTGAAATTAATTCCAAGTAAGGCAGAAAGATTCACGTATTTTTGCTGATCAGGACAAGAAAACAATGTTTACCCAAGTGCAGTCTTTTGTCTCCTGCATCTCATTATACCCACCAAATTGGCCAAAAAAAGAATTAAATTGAATTTTGCAGGTTAAGTAAAAATGTGTCAAAGGTTAGTCTAACTAGCTTTTAAAAAGCCATATTTGTAGTTACCTACAAGCAGGTATACCATAGAGTGTATTGAAATCTCTCTGATACTATGTGATCATGATTTTGCTCATAATTTCCATGCATTCATTTGTTAGAGAAGCCCACTGCACACTTCTAAGAGACTGATACAGTGTGATCTGGTATAACTGTGTCTGTTGATACTATGATGTAAAGTTCAATTAGAAAAGAAGGAAGGAATGAAGAAATAAAGGAAGAAAGGATAAAACCTTATAAAACTAGATATAGAACAAAAAGGCAAAATAAAAAAAGATTTTGTAGGAACTCTATCAGTTACATTAGTAACATGAAAAGCAGGGTGAATGGAGAGGAGAGAAAACGTTTGCATGCAGAGTACCGTACTTCTGACAAATATTCTGAATTAAATTTGTACTGAGCACATGCAATTCCACATTTTTAAACATCATTCTTGAAGATGGCCAAATAGGAACAGCTCCAGTCTACAGCTCCCAGCGTGAGCAATGCAGAAGACAGGTGATGTCTGAATTTCCAAATGAGGTACCGGGTTCATCTCACTGGGGCTTGTTGTGAGCCAAAGCAGGGCGAGGCATTGCCTCACCTGGGAAGCACAAGGGGTCAGTGAATTCCCCTTCCCAGCCAAGCAAATCTGTGACAGACAGCACCTGGAAAATCGGTTCACTCCCATCCTAATACTGCACTTTTCCAATGGTCTTAGCAAATGGCACACCAGGAGATTATATCCTGCGCATGGCTCGGAGGGTCTCACGCCCCACCCACGGAGCCTCACTCATTGCTAGCACAGCAGTCTGAGATCCAACTATAAGGTGGCAGCGAGACTGGGGGAGGGGTGCCCGCCATTGCTGAGGCTTGAGTAGGTAAACAAAGCTGCAGCTGGGAAGCTTGAACTGGGTGGAGCCCACCACAGCTCAAGGAGGCCTGCCTGCCTCTGTAGACTCCACCTCTGGGGGAAGGGCATAGCCGAACAAAAGGCAGCAGAAACCTCTGCAGACTTGAATGTCCCTGTCTGACAGCTTTGAAGAGACTAGTGGTTCTCCCAGTACAGAGTTTGAGATCTGAGAACGGTCAGACTGCCTCCTCAAGTGGGTCCCTGACCCCCGAGTAGCCTATCTGGGAGGCATCCCCCAGTAGGGGCAGACTGACACCTCACACGGCTGAGTACCCCTCTGAGACAAAACCTCCAGAGGAACCATCAGACAGCAACATCTGCTATTCAGCAATATCCGCTGTTCTGCAGCCTCCAATGCTGATACCCAGGCCAAAAGGGTCTGGAGTGGACCTCCAGCAAACTCCAACAGACCTGCAGCTGAGGGTCCTGACTGTTAAAACGATAACTAACAAACAGAAAGGACATCCACACCAAAACCCCATCTGTATGTCACCATCATCAAAGACCAAAGGTAGATAAAACCACAAAGATGGGGAAAAAACAGAACAGAAAAACGGAAAATTCTAAAAATCAGAGAACCTCTCCTCCTCCAAAGGAACGCAGCTCCTCACCAGCAATGGAACAAAGCTGGACGGAGAATGACTTTGACAAGTTGAGAGAAGAAGGCTTCAGACGATCAAACTTCTCCGAGCTAAAGGAGGAAGTTCAAACCCATTGTAAAGAAGTTAAAAACCTTGAAAAAAGATTAGATGAATGGCTAACTAGAATAACCAATGCAGAGAAGTCCTTAAAGGACCTGATGGAGCTGAAAACCATGGCACGAGAACTACGTGACGAATGCACAAGCTTCAGTAGCCAATTCGATCAACTGGAAGAAAGGGTATCAGTGATGGAAGACCAAATGAATGAAATGAAGCAAGAAGTTTAGAGAAAAAAGCATAAAAAGAAATGAACAAAGCCTCCAAGAAATATGGGACTATGTGAAAAGACCAAATCTACATCTGGTTGGTATACCTGAAAGTGATGGGGAGAATGGAACCAAGTTGGAAAACACTCTTCAGGATATTATCCAGGAGAACTTCCCCAACCTAGCAAGGCAGGCCAACATTCAAATTCAGGAAATACAGAGAATGCCACAAAGATACTCCTCAAGAAGAGCAACTCCAAGATACATAATTGTCAGATTCACCAAAGTTGAAATGAAGGAAAAAATATTAAGGGCAGCCAGAGAGAAAGGTCAGGTTACCCACAAAGGGAAGCCCATCAGACTAACAGCGGATCTCTCTGCAGAAACTCTACAAGCCAGAAGAGAGTGGGGGCCAATATTCAACATTCTTAAAGAAAAGAATTTTCGACCCAGAATTTCATATCCAGCCAAACTAAGCTTCATAAGTGAAGGGGAAATAAAATCCTTTACAGACAAGCTAATGCTGACAGATTTTGTCACCACCAGGCCTGCCCTACAAGAGCTCCTGAAGGAAGCACTAAACATGGAAAGGGACAACTGTTACCAGCCATTGCAAAAACATGACAAATTGTAAAGACCATTGATGCTAGGAAGAAACAGCATCAACTAACGAACAAAATAACCAGCTAACATCACAATGACAGGATCAAATTCACACATAACAGTATTAACCTTAAATGTAAATGGGCTAAATACTCCAATTAAAAGACACAGACTGGCAAATTGGATAAAGAGTCAAGACCCACCAGTGTACTGTATTCAGGAAACCCATCTCACGTGCAGAGACACACATAGGCTCAAAATAAAGGGACGGAGGAAGATCTACCAAGCAAATGGAAAACAAAAAAAGGCAGGGGTTGCAATCCTAGTCTCTGATAAAACAGACTTTAAACCAACAAAGATCAAAAGAGACAAAGAAGGCCATTACATAATGGTAAAGGTATCGATTTAACAAGAAGTGCTAACTATCCTAAATATATATGCACCCAATACAGGAGCCCCCAGATACATAAAGCAAGCCCTTAGAGACCTACAAAGAGACTTAGACTCCCACACAATAATAATGGGAGACTTTCATACCCCACTGTCAACATTAGACAGATCAATGAGACAGAAAGTTAACAAGGATATCCAGGAATTGAATTCAGCTCTGCAACAAGTGGACCTAATAGACATCTACAGAACTCTCCACCCCAAATCAACAGAATATACCTTCTTCTCAGCACCACACCACACCTATTCCAAAATTGACCACATAGTTGGAAGTAAAGCACTCCTCAGCAAATGTAAAAGAACAGAAATTATAACAAACTGTCTCTCAGACCACAGTGCAATCAAACTAGAACTCAGGATTAAGAAACTCACTCAAAACCGCTCAACTACATGGAAACTGAACAACCTGCTCCTGAATGACTACTGGGTACATAAAGAAAAGAAGGTAGAAATAAAGATGTTTTTTGAAACCAACGAGAACAAAGACAAAACATACCAGAATCTCTGGAACACATATAAAGCAGTGTGTAGAGGGAAATTTATAGCACTAAATGCCCACAAGAGAAAGCAGGAAAGATCTAAAATTGACACCCTAACATCACAATTAAAAGAACTAGAGAAACAAGAGCAAACACATTCAAAAGCTAGCAGAAGGCAAGAAATAACTAAGATCAGAGCAGAACTGAAGGAGACAGAGACACAAAAAACCCTTCAAAAAATCAACGAATCCAGGATCTGGTTTTTTGAAAAGATCAACAAAATTGATAGACCGCTAGCAAGACTAATAAAGAAGAAAAGAGAGAAGAATCAAATAGACGCAATAAAAAATGATAAAGGGGTTATAACCACCAATCCCACAGAAATACAAATTACCATCAGAGAATACTATAAACATCTCTATGCAAATAAACTAGAAAATCTAGAAGAAATGGATAAATTCCTCAACACATACACCCTCCCAAGACTAAACCAGGAAGAAGCTGAATCTCTGAATAGACCAGTAACAGGCTCTGAAATTGAGGCAATAATTAATAGCTTACCAACCAAAAAAAGTCCAGGACCGGATGGATTCACAGCTGAATACTACCAGAGGTACAAGGAGGAGCTGGTACCATTCCTTCTGAAACTATTCCAATCAATAGAAAAAGAGGGAATCCTCCCTAACTCATTTTATGAGGCCAGCATCATCCTGATGCCAAAGCCTGGCAGAGACACAACAAAAAAAAGAGAATTTTAGACCAATATCCCTGATGAACATCGATGCAAAAATCCTCAATAAAATACTGGCAAACCAAATCCAGCAGCACATCAAAAAGCTTATCCACCATGATCAAATTGGCTTCATCCCTGGGATGCAAGGCTGGTTCAACATACGCAAATCAATAAACATAATCCAGCATATAAACAGAACCAAAGACAAAAACCACATGATTATCTAAATAGATGCAGAAAAGGCCTTTGACAAAATTCAACAGCCCTTCATGCTAAAAACTCTCAATAAATTAGGTATTGATGGGACATATCTAAAAATAATAAGAGCTATTTATGACAAACCCACAGCCAATATCATACTGAATGGGCAAAAACTGGAAGCATTCCCTTTGAAAACTGGCACAAGACAGGGATGCCCTCTCTCACCACTCCTTTTCAACATAGTGTTGGAAGTTCTGGCCAGGGCAATTAGGCAGGAGAAGGAAATAAAGGGTATTCAATTAGGAAAAGAGGAAGTCAAATTGTCGCTGTTTGCGGATGACATGATTGTATATCTAGAAAACCCCATCGTCTCAGCCCCAAATCTCATTAAGCTGATAAGCAACTTCAGCAAAGTCTCAGGATACAAAATCATTGTGCAAAAATCACAAGCATTCTTATACATCAATAACAGACAAACAGAGAGCCAAATCATGAGTGAACTCCCATTCACAATTGCTTCAAAGAGAATAAAATACCTAGGAATCCATCTTACAAGGGATGTGAAGGACCTCTTCAAGGAGAACTACAAATCACTGCTCAATGAAATAAAAGAGGACACAAACAAATGGAAGAACATTCCATGCTCATGGATAGGAAGAATCAATATCGTGAAAATGGCCATACTGCCCAAAGTAATTTATAGATTCAATGCCATCCCCATCAAGCTACCAATGACTTTCTTCACAGAATTGGAAAAAAACTACTTTAAAGTTCATATGGAACCAAAAAAGAGCCCGCATCGCCAAGTCAATCCTAAGCCAAAAGAACAAAGCTGGAGGCATCACACTACCTGACTTCACACTATACCACAAGGCTACAGTAACCAAAACAGCATGGTACTGGTACCAAAACAGAGATGTAGACCAATGGAACAGAACAGAGGCCTCAGAAATAATACCACACATCTACAACCATCTGATCTTTGACAAACCTGACAAAAACAAGAAATGGGGAAAGGATTCCCTATTTAACAAATGGTGCTAGGAAAACTGGCTAGCCATAGGTAGAAAGCTGAAACTGGATCCCTTCCTTATACCTTGTACAAAAATTAATTCAAGATGAATTAAAGACTTAAACGTTAGACCTAAAACCATAAAAACCCTAGAAGAAAACCTAGGCAATACCATTCAGGACATAGGCATGGGCAAGGACTTCATGTCTAAAACACCAAAAGCAATGGCAACAAAAGCCAAAATTGACAAATGGGATCTAATTAAACTAAAGAGCTTCTGCACAGCAAAAGAAACTACCATCAGAGTGAACAGGCAACCTACAGAATGGGAGAAAATTTTTGCAATCTACTCATCTGACAAAGGGCTAATATCCAGAATCTATAAAGAACTCAAACAAATTTACAAGAAAAAAAAAACAACCCCATCAAAAAGTGGGTGAAGGATATGAAAGGACACTTCTCAAAAGAAGACATTTATGCAGCCAACAGACACATGAAAAAATGCTCATCATCACTGGCCATCAGGGAAATGCAAATCAAAACCACAATGAGATATCATCTCACACCAGTTAGAATAGCAATCATTAAAAGTCAGGAAACAACAGATGCTGGAGAGGATGTGGAGAAATAGGAATGTTTTTACACTGTTGGTGGGACTGTAAACTAGTTTAACCATTGTGGAAGACAGTGTGGCGATTCCTCAGGGATCTAGAGCTAGAAATACCATTTGACCCAGCCATCCTATTACTGGGTATATACCCAAAGGACTGTAAATCATGCTGCTATAAAGACACATGCACACGTATGTTTATTGCAGCACTACTCACAATAGCAAAGACTTGGAACCAACCCAAATGTCCAACAGTGATAGACTGGATTAAGAAAATATGGCACATATACACCATGGAATACTATGCAGCCATAAAAATGATGAGTTCATGTTCTTTGTAGGGACATGGATGAAGCTAGAAACCATCATTCTCAGCAAACTATCGCAAGGACAAAAAACCAAACACTGCATGTTCTCACTCATAGGTGGGAATTGAACAATGAGAACACATGGACACAGGAAGGGGAACATCACACACTGGGGCCTGTTGTGGGGTGGAGGGAGTGGGGAGGGATAGCATTAGGAGATATACCTAATGTTAAATGAAGAGTTAATGGGTGCAGCACACCAATATGGCACATGTATACATATGTAACAAACCTGCACATTGTGCACATGTACCCTAGAACTTAAAGTGTAATAAAAAATATATATATAAATAATTCTTCTCTAATATGCATTAAACCCCAATCATAAATCTTGTTTTCATAAAAAATTTGTATACAAATGTAGCAGTTATTTGGACACAATTTCATTGACAAATTCTTAGCATGAAAATCAGATTCTTAATATTTTGTTGTTGTTGTTTGTAATGTATATCTTGTTTCCCTAAGGAAAAAAATATTTGTGTGCAAAATATGGGTGGTTGCTTTGTTAGACAAAGAGATACTTTTACTGGAAATCATAAAAAGACAGAAGCATCTAATTCTGGGAAAGAATGCTCAGGTCTTGCCCTTTAGTGGTGCATTTCTACCTTAACTGGTGGCCTTGCATATGACATATGCCTTAGGAGCCACCTGAGGGTTACTGAGAGCTTGACTTAGCATTTTCATCTGACTCTGGGGAGATGAGTACCTTTAAAAAAAAAAAAAGAAGAAGAAGAAGATAGAAGATAGAAGATAAATCATTTAATTTGGTTTCAATAAATTGCCATGCTACTTTGGGGTTAAAAAAAGGGATCCCATATCCTACATCAGAGGTTTTTAAACTTTTTGTTCTGAAGACCTCCAAGAGCTTTTGTTTATGTTTATTATACCTATCAATATTTACCCTATTAGAAATGAAAACTTATAAACTTTAAAAATATTTATTTATAAATTCACTGGAGATAAAACCCAAAGCTACTTGGCAAGCTAATGGAAAGCTAAAGCTATTGATAGGTGTACTTGTCCTTGTGTCTCTGTGATAGAGCAAGTTTGTACCCCAGACACCTTCCACCTGTCTGTTTAGGCCCCTTCCTCAAACCCTATTCTCACTCCACAACCACACCACCAGTTTGGAAGGCTGGTGTAGCAGAAACAAGACATATGGACATTGTATAACCCAGCATTCAGGTGGTGGAGTTCCTTTTATTCCACTTGCATACTATTCTAAGTGCATTAACCTACCCCACCTTTCCTCCCTTGATTCTCATTATACGTTTAAAATTGACTTAATAAAGCACGTGATTGGAGCATCTTAAAAGAATTGGTCTATAAATTCATTTATGTGACAATGATAAACCCATTACATGTGACATAAATAAAATAATATATTTTTAATAAAATAGAAATATTTTCCAAAACAAAATTTTGGTGATAAGCATGGTTTTACATTTTTTGGAAATCCCCTAATATCTGGCTTAATGGAAGATAGCCAGATTTACCTATCTGCTTCTGCATTTAATCTATTGGAATATGTTTTGGTTGACAAATATGAAGAAACTCCAGGCTCACATAGACTTGTAGTTTGAAATAGTAGAGTCTTTTCATAGCCTTTCAGATTATTATGGACAGTTTTCTTTGATACAACAGTGAAATTCAACAAGTGATTGTTCCTTAAAAATGGAATGTGGAATCTGAAACATATCAATGAACTTCATATAATCTATTACAGTAAACTCAATTATTTGTCTCATACTTGGTATAGTTTTTAAAAAAATCTATATATGATTTTATGACAAAATAGTCTAGCTCACTTAGTAAAGCAGATCTTCCAAATGTTTACGTATTATTTTTGATAACAAAAAATTACTTTTGTTAATGTCACCACGAGTCTCATCAAGAAAGGTATTGAGAAGCTGTCAAGTTTATAGTGGCAGATGTAGGCTTTTCAAAATTCTAATTTCTACTTGAAAGTTTGAATTTTATCATTGTCAGAAATTCCTGTCAGTTGTTTTTTCTGGTGACAAGCTTATTTCATTCAATTTCAAAAAACATTTGCCAAATACCCCTGCTGAAATAATCATAGTTTGTCTGCCCATTGTTCTTTCAAAAAAAAAATGTTCTATGAAAGAAATGACTAGTACCACTTGTACCTTGAACAATAATACTTGGAGACAACTACCGCACCTCAACATATTTCAAAAGTGCTTTATGTGTACTTCCCATTTCCTTGCACTATTAAAAGGATGTGGCTAGGCACGGTGGCTCATGCCTCTAATCCCAACACTTTGGGAGGCCAAGGCAGGAGAATCGCTTGAGCCTGGGAGTTCAAGACAAGTCTGGGCATAGCAAGACATATCAAGACCTTGTCTCTACAAAAAAAGAAAAAATTAGCCAGGCGTGGTGGCATGCACCTGTATGTAGTCCCAGAAACTTAGGAGACTGAGGTAGGAGGATCACTTGAGCCCACGGGGTCAAGGCTGCAGTGAGCCACGATCATGCCAATGAACTCCAGCTTGGATGACAGAGTGAGACCCTATCTCAAAAAAATAAAAAGTAAAAATAAATAAATAAAATAACGTCATTTACACTCCCAAGACTTAATAACATGCTTTTGCTGTTGCTTGCTTTGTTTTTCACTGGAAGTACATGGGAGTGAAGAAATATTACTACCAGTAGAGCTTGGTGCCACTGCCTTCAACCCCTAGTAATAGATTCCAGCAGTTTTACTTACCATTACTTTTGCACATCTGTGTGACTGTCCCATAGTGAAAAAGGCAAATAATATGATAGAGTTGTTATTAAAATAGTTTTAACCTCAAGAATCTCATGAAAGTGTCTTCATTTTGAGAACCGTTGTCCTAAAAGGAAGGGCATATATTAAGGTTGTTGAGACAAATCTCTGAGGTTGAATAACACAGTTGTTCCTCAGGGTTAAAGGAGATCACTTAGCACAGTGCCTGACACAACTGTCAACTCAACAGATGTTAGCTATGATTACTAATATTTATATTATCATTTCTTTTTCAGATCAAGAAGCAATGATATGAGTAAATCAGAATATCAGCTGTGTGTTGGAATTTATCCTACCTAAATCCAAATTTTAGTTCTGCAATTCTTCTGTGAGTATAAGTTACATGCAGATATGTTTTTCCTGCTATTTTAAGTGAGACTGAGATTTTTGTCCCTCACATGTCAATTTTGTAAATCCTTGGGTAATCAGTCATGAGAGACATTTCTCAGTCATTAGTTAGTGGGGACAACTGAGAGAAGGTATTTGACTGGGTCCCAGGATCGCCCAGTCCCTTATCTTCTTCCTGCCATATCATGTTTGGGAAGCAGGTATTTCCAAAGGGTTATGCAAAGCTCATAGGGACATCTAGCTGATGTAAATGATGGAAATAGGTAAGTGTAAGTCAAGGAGACCAGTCACATTGTGCCTGCATATTTTACTCTTATGAATATTTTTTACTGCCTCCAAGAAATATGTTCTCTCTCATTTTCCTTGAAATTACAAGAGGCTTGCTTGCTATGTTATTCTTTTTACCATCTTTGACCTGAGTACAAAAAAAAAAAAAACAACAACCGGTTCTTAACAACAAAATGATGCAAGCTTGATAATAAGTAACAGCTTACATTTAATCTCGGTGTTAGAAAAATAGAGAGTGATAGTGATGGAGTTGAAATGAAGAGTTTGTGCCTTGTTTATAGAGAGAAGCTCCCTCTGACTGCCACACAGAGGCGCAGACATACAGTGTGGCCACATCTTTCTATTTTCAAGCTCAGGGTGGAAATCCAGATATTTATGTGAAATTTTCCAATTTATAAATGTTGCCCCAAACTGGGTAGGCCACATAAAACATGTTGGCAGGGTTTGAAAGCTGCCACATTTTTGATTTCTCCAAATATATAACTTAATTTCCCTCCATGATCTCACTGACCATTATCCTCTGCACTTAACTCTGTCACCTCTCCTATCTTGGGGCAAAGAGGGTGGGAACAGTGGATGGAGAGGCGCCTTTATCTCCCTCTAGTGGTGAAAATATGCCAAAACAACTAGCTGAATGTTCATTCATCCTGTTTATTGAAAACTCATCTATGCGAAACTCATCCTTTGTCTGATTAAAATTAGCAAAACAGACTCTGGCTGTTATGTGTGAGATGTGAACTGAAAGGAAATTTTACTACCAGTGCAGATTAGACTCTGGGGTAAAAGAAGCCAGAAAGAGGGAGCAGGGATATCAGCCCAAGTAGGAATTTAGAAGATTCAAGAGTTTCAGACCTCATCACCAGGAAAAGAGAAGAATCTAAAAACTTGTACTCTAACAGAAGGCAGGGCCATCAATACATACTGCAGCTGGAAGGCATACACTAAGTTTTATGGGCAAAGTTGAGTATAGTGTGAATGATCAACGTATCCACTAGCTAGAGCAGTGTCTAGTAAGTACTGCTAATTTGATCCCTGTTTTAAGTATTTAATAGTACCTTAGCTCTTATTAATTAATGGAGAGCATCTCATATTCTTTGTTTAGAAGCTCCACTTGGGGAAAATGTTTTCAGGGTGGAGAATGGAATACATTTTGCAAATAAACAGAATTTCAAATAGGTTAGTAATACAGAGCTAATAAATGATACTGAGAAAGATAAAAAATAGATATCATAATAGTTGTTGACAAAAGAGTCAAACTCTGAAAAATATTTGAAAAGATAAATTTTGAGCCAAATATGAGTGGGCAATGGTCAGTGACACAGCCCTGTCTCCTGAGAACATGTGCCCAAAGTAGTCAGGCTTCAGCTTAGTTTTATACATTTTAGGGAGACAAAAGACATCAATCAATACATGTAAGATGTACACTGGTTGGGTCAGGAAAGGTGGCACAACTCAAAGCGGGGGTGGGGAGCTTCAAGGTCATAGGTAGATTCAAACAATTTCTAATTGGCAATTGGTTGGAAGACTTAAGTTATTGTCTAAAGACCTGGAATCAACAGAAGGGAATGTCTGGGCTAAGATAAGGGGTTTTGGAGACCAAGGTTCTTATTATGCAGATGAAGTCTCCAAGTAACAGGCTTCAGAGAGATTAGATTGTAAATGTTTCTTATTAGACTTAAAAAGGTGCCAGACTCTTAGTCGATTCTCTCCTGGATCAGGAAAAAGACCTGGAAAGGGAAGGGGATTCTCTACAGAATGCAGATTTTCCCCACAAGCAATAGCTTTGCAGGGCTATTTCAAAATATGTCAAAGAAATATAATTTAGAGTAAAATACTTTGATATCTTTCAGGGCCTGCTGTCTGTCAGGTGATGCTATACTAGATCAGGCTGGAATTTGGTGACCTATTGCTACAAAAAGTCTTAAGATCTCTGTTTTAATGTTAATGCTGCTCAGTTGTGCCTGAATTCCAAAGGGAGGATGTCTGACCCCCCACTTCCTCTCACGGCCTGAACTAGTTTTCCAGGTTAACTGGAATGCTCTTGGCTGAGAGGAGGGGTCCATTCCGATGGTTGGGGGGCTTAGAATTTTATTTTCAGTTTACACAGCTTTGCTTCATTTGGATGCCCATGGTGTCTTAGAACACTGTCCCCAAGTATTATATGCCTGTAGCTCAAATGTCAACTTTCAAGGATGGTTCCCTCTCTTGTATACTCATTTCTTTGCCTTCTGCCCTCCTTGGTACACTCAGATAATTTAAAGAACTGAAATACAATTGCTTTTAAAAGCTCAATACTTCATTATACTTTTGTTTTGAAAACAGTTTTTGAGTTGAGAGTATGTCAGCAAAAGCAACCAAAAGAATGTGGATGTTGTTACAAGGTCAGCTTTTCAGCAGCCGTAGGCAGCCATTACTGGCATTCTGTCAAACAATCACCACTGGCAGCGGGGCCATTCATAGGCAATGAGTCAGCAGCTCTGACAGCACTAAATACGGTCACCGGTTAATGCGCAAGATAACAGGCTCACATGCTCCTTCAGAAAGGGCTGGTGAGAGGAAGTATTTTATTTTTCAAGTTTATTTAGAAGAAGATCAGAATAGGTTGTTAAAACCCAGATGTTAAATGAGTGTGTGTGTGTGTGTGTGTGTGTCTGTGTGTGTCTGTGTGTATGTGTACGTGTTAGAATCTAGAATGAAATATATATGGATTTCTTGTGTAAGGAAAAACATGTTCAAACTGAGAGCTGAAATATCAGAAGCTAGGCATTTCAAATGAGATACTGTTGTACAAAGAAGTGCCTGCCTTATACCTGGGCTGTACAGTCCAGTAGTCATTGGCTACATGTGGCTATTGAGCAGTTGAAATGCGGCTAGCCCAAATCAAGATGTGTTGGAAGTGTAAAATCTACACAGGATTTCAAGCATACAGTACAAAAAAGGAATAAAAGACCTCATTAATAACTTTTTATATTAGTTACATGTTGAAATGATAATAGTTTTGATATATTGGACTAAGTAAAATATATTTAGATTAATTTCACCTGTTTCTTTTTCCTTTTTTAATGTGGCTACTAGAAAATTTATAATTACATATGTGGCTTGCATCCTGTTTCTATTGGATAGTACTATTTTAAAGGAAGATATTTGCTATCATCTCCTTCCAGTCATAACACACACATGCGTGCACACACACACACACGTACAGTAAATGGATAGGAAGGCAGTAGGTGTTTTAAAAATGCAGGCTGCAAAATTCCACTTAAGGTGCTGATTTGAAAATCCCAGTTCTCTAAGCTAAAGAACAGTGCAACATACTCCATAGCACTGAAAGATATTCTACCCTGAATTGTCATTAGGCCTCAGCCGTGGTTACAGTGGAGAAAGAGTGTTAGCCATATTTATTTAATTCTGGCCATTTTATTAAGAAAGAAAGGGCACTGTCCAAGATGCTGAGAAATGACACTCTCATAAAAGAACAAAATGAGCACTGTAGAAATAAATTAGTGTTGTTCTCTGGACTTTTCTGTTCTGTTTTAGACTTGAATGCTCTTAACACTGCTTTGGTGGTGGTAATCAAGACAGTATTATAACATATTGGGCTTAAACTTTGACTTAATAAGGATTTTGATAAAGGCCACATTCAGTGGCTCAAGCCTGTAATCCCAGCACTTTGTAAACCAAGGGAGGTAGACTGTTTGAGATCAGGAGTTTGAGACCAGCTTGGGCAACATGACAAAACCCCATCTCTACAAAAATACAAAAAAATTAGCCAGATATGGTGGCACACTCCTGTTGTCTCAGCAACTCGGGAGGCTGAGGTATGAGAGTCACTTGAACCCGGGGGGCAGAGATTACAGTGAGCCAAGATCACGCCACTGCGCTCCAGCCTGGGTGATAGAGCCAGACCTTGTCTCAAAAGACAAACAAAGAAACAAAAGAATTTTTATAAAAGCAAAATTTGGATACTAATTTGGCTGTTTAAACAGCTACTGAAAGATTGTAATTTCTAGATTTGCCTGACTGTTTTTGTGCTTTGAGTCTGATTTGTCACTGCTAGTAAATTATCCCCCTAAATTCTGGCTAGTGTTGAGGGATTCCTAGTAGCCTTTCTCCTATATCCTGCTGCATACTCTCTCCTTTTTAGTTTCAGTGCTTGAATCAGTTTCATCAGTCAGCTTCTTTCATCTTTTTCTTAGCCAATATCTACTTAGAAGACTTTGGAGTTTTGGAGTCAAACAGATGCCAGTTTGAGACTCTGAAGTCAGCCAATTCTCCTGAAATTTCTCTTTCATCCATTTTAACTACTGACTTTAATTTTTATGAGCAAAGCTGGAAAGCAAGTAGCTGAGCAGAGGTTTCATTAATAGTGGCCAGGACTTCCTGAATGATTGTCCAAAGGTGTATTCTAGCAATACAAAGATGGCAGTGTGTGTGGCTCCTGAGCTAGTTGGAAGAAAGTGTGAAATTCTTCAGATTCTTTTTCATTCAGAGCTATGTGATGTCTCCCCTCCTTCCCAAATGCATAACCTAATTTCATCCCTCAAATTCAGAAACTGAAATTTGGATAGACTTCTATTGGAGAATGGCTCATGGTGTTCCCCTAAAATCTCTGTTTAGTAGTCTTCCTTGTCTAAATGGAGAGTGATGTATGAAAAATTTAGTGTATCCATTTAAAGTTATAAAAATATTTTAAAGAAAAATTAAATGGTTGGTATTCTAATGATTTTTAAGTATATTTTTGCTTTCTCATTAAAAAAGACATTGTGTTACAATATAAACATTTACATGATAAATAAAAATAGATTACTTTTACCACTCAAAGGAAATTGTTTCTTAACTCTTTCAGTTTGGACAATGAAAGCAAACTGACTGATTTATAACACATTTTGTTTTTTGACAAGTTTTTTTAAAAATTCAAATTCTTGACAAGTGTTGCTGAGCAATACCAAAAAAGTACCATATTTGGGAAATACACAAAAGCAAGAAAAGTTAAAGCAAGCTATGACAGGCTTTCAGTATTTTTAGAATGACAACCTTACATTATCTGATTCCAATGGACAGGAGAAATGGTAGGGGTTAAAAAGATGTTGATTAAGACTTTACAAATAGGACCAGGTGCAGTGGCTCATGCCTAGTCCTAGCACTTTGGGAGTCTGAGGTGGGTGGATTGTCTGAGCTCAGGATTTTGAGACCATCCTGGGCAACATGATGAAACCTTGTCTCTACTGAAAATATAAAAAATTAGCCATGCATAGTGGTGCACACCTGTAGTCCCAGGTACTCGGAAGGCTGAGGCATGAGAATTGCTTGAGCCTGGGAGGTGGAGGTTGCAGTGAGCCGAGATCATGCCACTGAACTGCATCCTGGGTGACAGAACAAGATGCTGTCTCAAAAAAACAAACAAACAAAAAAAGGCTATGCAAATATAAAAAGATTACGTAAAATAGACTATTGGACTATTAACATCATTTCACTAAATTTTTAGATAACGGCATTACTATGTTTTAAAAAAGCATTTCAACATCTAACAACTATAATTTTCTCTTCTCTTTGTTTCAGTTTTTATAATGAAGAAATTTTAAATAACGAATCCTGTATATTCTAAAAGTTTATGTGTTGTTAATAAAACTCTTTTGGAGAAACCTACAAAAGAAAAAACACACCATTGAAACTTGTGACATCTGTGAAATGTGGTTTAGGAAACCTGGCAGGGCTAGGAGAACTTCAATATGAAAGTAAAAAGCATTTGGGGACTGCTCCGTGACCTGGAAGTTCAGAAGGGAAGGGGTTAATGGTGACTGGCAGCTCATTTCAAGTCTTTTTAGCACCCTGTTCCCCTAAAGAGGAGAAGGAAAACGACACAATTGTCAGACATTTACCGTAAGAAGAACCCTTCTATTCTTCTAATTCCTAGCAAGACGTGCAGAAAATAAAATCCAAACTGTATAGCCAGTCTTCACTGACTTAACCAAGACGAATCACTTTCATGAGTGGCTTACTTCACCTCTTCTAGGATTGACATCTGTGCTTATGGTTTAGCAACACTAAAATTGGAAATAAAATTCATAACTGATACATGTCTAATTCAAGAGATAAAAGCAACTTATAACTATAACTTTATAAAAGGGTTCTATAAACTGCTAACATTTGATAATCATATAAACCATCCTGTAATGCAAACCACAGAATTACTATCAAGAACATAAAATATATTCACATAATTTGATTCATTCATCTGCAGCAAGAGAAGCAGTTGACAATAAAATATCACTCAGTGTGCACACGTGTGTGTAAACATGTGTTTATGTGTGTAAAGCCTCCCTTTTGTGCTCATTTAAAAGGGTAGAATGTGAAAGTTGACGAGTTAGAGAATAGGTAAAATGAAGACTTAATTTCTTTGTATATATGAACAATTAACTTCTTCCTCAAAGTCTGTCTATTCCATAGCAACGTTATGAGTCTCCTGGCAGGACTGGCCCATTCACACTCTAACAAAGTAAGAGTTTTATTGTGCTCAAATACAGTGAGTTATTTGGTTAAAACAATACTTGGGCAATCCAGCTCCCAGGAATATTACTGTCTTATTAATTATTAATAGTAAACCTAAACACTTATAGAAAAGAGGACACAATTTAACATGAGAAGTTACCCTTTGGATATTTTTAGAAATTAATATCCATATAATTTCTGTGATAAAAAGTGAAGACACATGAGTAAATTGAAAGATACAAGGGTAAAATGCACAATAGTCTGCTTATCTGAGAACTTTTCTTTTTCATTTAATAATAGCTAATACAGGTGAACATAATACTCAGAAATACCTGCTTAGTTTTGCCTTTAGCCACCATTTCCTTTACCAGATAAAGTTAAGCAAGTAGGATTCTTAGCATCTTTGAGCAGGCAAGTGGAGGTGGGAGGTGGGGGAGGAGGCCTTGGTGGGCTGGAATGGTCTGAGTTATGTTTGGGTGATGCTAATCTTCCCCTTACTCTAAAGTAACACCAATTATGTAAGAGAGAAGGAGGCAGTGAATATGTCCAATAACCGATTCAGAGAAGGGCTTGAGTAGGTAGGCAGAGTGTGGGAAGGTCACCTCTTGAACCTAGCAGTTTACTTACCTGTCTACTTAAACGGGGGTTTACATTTTTGCTGGATTTAATAATCGAATATCATATATTGCCTGCATATTATGGAGTTCTGAAAAACTACATGTGTTAGTAAAAGAATTTCTTAATATTATTATCCCTATTAAAAAAATTAGGCCGGGCACGGTGGTTCATGCCTGTAATCCCAACACTTTGGGAGGCCGAGGCAGGTGGATCACCTGAGGTCAGGCATTCAGGACCAGCTTGGCCAACATGGTGAAATCCCGTCTCTACGAAAAATACAAAAATAAGCTGGGTGTGGTGGCACACACCTGTAATCCCAGCTACTTGGGAGGCTGAGGCAGGAGAATCGCTTGAACCCAGGAGGCGGAGGTTGCAGTGAGCCAAGATTGCACCACTGCACTCCAGCCTGGGTGACAGAGCAAACTCTGTCTCAAAAAAAAAAAATTATTTACAGATTTTACAGTCCACTTTCTAAACACATACATAGTGGAACATAGATTATCCCACATGGAAGATAAGTTATAAAATCTGCATTTGGATTCAGAGGTATTTTTTTAGAATGTACCCATATGAGGTATGTTTTTAGAATGTTCCCAAGAGATTAACTTTCATATTTAACTTTGTTGCAGTTAGTATTAAAGGTACTGCGTGTGTTCTGAGTATACACTGGCAAGTACAGCATAGTGACCAACAGCATGGACTTACATCTGTGACTTATTTTCTCTAAAAGCGTTTCCTCATCTTTAATATAAAGGTAATAATAGAGCTTACTTAGAGAAATCTTGAGTTTTGATTTAGATAATGAATGTATTGTACCTAGTACACGACTGTCACTCAGTAACTGGTAACTGCTCGAGGATTATTAACTAAGGTAAGGCATGGGAAGTAACTACATTGAAATGGGGTCACAGGGACATTTGCAAAGTGCTGTTTCCAAGGTGAAAGTCTTCCTGCCAATTTGCAACAGCTCTATCACATCAGCTATTTGAGAATGTCACTAATCCAGCTGGAAGATGGTTGGCCAATAACAGGAGAAAAAATTGAGCAAGCTCACCAGGTGAATTACTGAGACCACCCAAGTCCTATAAATAAATCCACAGTTCCTTGAGGAGTCATCCCTGTCCCAAGCCTTCCTCTCATAGGAACACTCTGAATGTTGGCTTTAGTAAATTATCTGAAATGGCTGACAAGAAAAACTCATCAAAACCCTTTGGATAGATATAAGGAGGCTGAAGTGAGACAATGTATCTGAAGACATATACTGTATTGTGAGTCTCCAATTCAAAGCTGTTTGATATTGATATTTTAGCATGGATTCCTCAGTGGTATTTTTTGTTTTTATTGTTTATTTATTTTGAGATGGAGTCTCATTCTGTCACCCAAGCTGGAGTGCAGTGGCGCAGTCTTGGCTCACTGCAACCTCTGCCTCCTGGGTTCAAGCGATTCTCATGCCTCAGCCTCCAAGTAGCTGGGACTACAAGTGTGTGCCACCACACCCAGCTAATTTTTACATTTTTAGTAGAAATGGGGTTTCACCACGTTGACCAGGCTGGTCTCAAACTCCTGACCTCAAGTGATCCGCCCACCTCAGCCTCCCAAACTGCTGAGATTACAGGCATAAGCCACTGCACCTGACCCTCAGTGGTATTTTTAAAAAACTCTTTAGTGTTAAGTGTTTTTTTTTTCTTGTTCTTTCAATCACATAAATGATACATTGGAAAGAATCAAGCCTTAACTATAGTATTCACTATAGAGACAAGCAGAATTCAATTCTAGTAGTCACTATGAATCACAGAACCTGCTACAAATTAGATTGGTGTGCCTAGGAAATGCATAAGCAATCACTAAAAATATTAGCTATAAATCCAGGTAGAGGACTATAAAATTGAAATGCTAAAGGTGAGGCTGAATTTTATTTTTAGCAATCAACAGGTAGAAGCCTATTCGTTTTTTTCCCTTTTTTGATTTACCATGATTATAAGAATAAATAAAAAGCATGAGTAAATGCATAGTACGGAGCTGATAGCAGTGGTGATACAGTTTCAAGTATTTTAGATGTGTAATCTGTAAAAACATACTATTCACCCATCAGGTTTTTATGTAAATCTTGGAATCCTGCAGGAAATAGTGACATTTAAGAGAAATTATACTAGATTCAGATATGATCACTTTGAAACAAAGTCATTGTTCTGGCAATGTGGATCATTAGGAAGTACCAAAATAACGTCACCATTATCCAGGTTCAGAATATGTATCCACCCCTTTGGATATTTACTATGAACTTTGCAGCTCCTAGGTTAATGCAGGGTGATGGGCATTACCCGATGATAGATTGGATCCCTGGACTTGGCCACCTAGAACAGAAGTCTCATGGAGATTTCGGATTCACGTTAACTGCTTAGCTGTCATGCAGTACAAAAAGTGGCAGCAGACAGAAGAGAGGCACGTTTAGGATATTAGGACTTCAGAGAATGAAGAAAACTAGAAGAGATTATGTCAGTTGAAGCATCTGGGGACCTTCACAGAAGTGTCATTTAAACTAGTGCTGGAAAAGTAGCATGGCACCCTCTATATGTTGGTGCTTAATAAATTTTCATCAAAAGAATGAATGAAAAGACATTGGAAGGGTGATAGCTCACAATGTCTGGCATGTACCAGTTACTCAGTAAATGCTCCCTGAATTCTAAAATTTGAGGAAGAACATTCCAGTCAAGGAAATAAGCAAACACCTGGGCATGTAGGAACAGTGGGTGGGGTATGTGAGGAAAGTAATGGGAAGGGTGGATAGGGCCAAATTTCACAAAATCCAGCTAAGAAGGCTGAATGCTATTGGATGGATGAAGAGAACTCATTGATGAGTTCTGAGCTCATGCTGAATTTCTTTCAGTTCCTCAATAAAGAGTATTTTCTTTCACCTCCAAGTGTTACACATGCTATTCCTTCTGGTGATCTTTCCACTTTTGTCCTCCCTCCCCCGCCCTCTGTCTGGCTAACTCCTACTCACCTTCAGGTCTCAGTTTTCGTTGTTGCTGTTTTGTGGTTTCTTTTTTCTTTTCTTCTCTCCTTCCTTCCTACCTTCCTTCCTTCCTTCCTTTTTTCTTTTCTTTCTTTTGAGACAGGGTCGCAATCTGTCACCCACACTGTAGTGCAGTGGCATGATCATGCCTCACTGCAGCCTTGACCCCCCTGGCTCAAGTGATCCTGTCACCTCAGCCTCCTGAGTGCCTGGGACTATATATGTGTGGGCTACCATGCCCAGCTAATTTTTGTATTTTTTGCAGAGACAGGGTCTCTCTGTGTTCCTCAGGCTGGTCTCAAATTTCTGGGCTCAAGCAATCTTCCCACCTCGGCCTCCCAAAGTGCTGGGATTATAGGTATGAGTCACCATGCTCGGCCCAGGTCTGAGTTTTAACATCACTTCTTCCAGGAAACCACAGTGGTCCCTGTATTAGGTTAGCTTCCCCTTCTGTGTTCTCCCATTGATTCTGCACTTCTCATTGCATCGTAATGAAATTTTATTATTAGTTTTCCATTTTATGGTAGGCCCTATAAATGCAGAGACCTTGCCCTTCTGGCAGCTGTATTTCCAGTACATAGCTCAATGCCTGGAATATTAATTAAGTTAATTTGTTAAGTGAATGAAACAAACAAGATCAGAAATGAGTCTTAGCAATGTTGATCTGACTCAAGCATATCCTCTATTATTGAATGAGGAAAGCCTAGGATTTAAAAAATAAAAGTGGCTAGCATATGGGGTATGGCCATTAAAATATTATAAAATCAAAATCAAATAGTAATGACTATTAGCATTTATTGAGTGTTTACCATGTCAAGCACTGTGCTAATACTTTTCAAGTATTACCTTGTTTTATCCTCATAGTAATCTTACTAGGAAGGTATTGCTAATAAGTAAATGATATCATAAATGCAATTATACATTAACAAAATGTGGCCATTTTTACAAAAACATTGTGTCTACATCTTAAATACCACTTGTAATTCTAGTTGCCACAGCTCACAAGATATATATGAAGTGTCTAAGGAGAATAGGGAGGTAGCTGTATAAAGACAGACTACAAAAATATGGGGCATTCTGTTTGCGAAAAGAAGACGTAAAGTCTAGAAAGCTTTGAATGGTCTGGAAAAGATGACAATGAGCTTATCCACTAGAAATCTATTGTTGTTTCAAGAGGTAAGTGTAAGATCAATAAAAGGGTGTACTACTAATATTAGTAGGATTGGGTTGAAAATAGAAAATAATTTTTAAACATTCAAATGATTCAGGGTAGTAGAACTATAATAAATTACTAATGTACATGAAGAATTAGAGGTAAATTCTTAATCTGACAGTAAAAAGAATAACTATATTCTGTATTAACACATATCCTAGTACTACTATAATAGAAAAAGTGTGGTTTTAGCAGGACAAAGGGTCTGATTCAGTGCACTAATTTTATGTTATTTACTAATATTAGGACAGAACATCCAATTGCAGCAGCTTTGCCTTCTGGGCCTAGTATAGTGTCTGTCTCTAAGCTCAATAAATGTTTATTGAATGCTAACAGAGTGCCTGAAGGTGCCACAGGCTAAGAAACTGAATTTTCATTCTATTTTGAGGTAGAGATACTGGCTTCAAATTCAAACGATGATTAACAGTGTCGAAAAAGGAAAGGATCTAATTTCCACCATTACTATAAAAAGACTGTGTCTCAAAAGGAGAAGTAGGAACAAAGCAGATGTTTACAAGTAGGAAAAACACACAAACATGCACATGCACACACACACTCACACTCACATATTTCTTTCACTATTTACAGTTGATTCATGTATCTGGAACTTCATCCTTGAAATAAAATGAAGAGTTCATCTGACTCATGGTCTTTCTGCTTGTAGTTCTTATTTAGTGTTTTGGCAGTAAATCCAGATGCTTGGAAGGTCAACGTTTTGTCTTCAAACACTTGGCTTTCAGGAAGTGAAGATTTTCAGGTGCCAGGTGCCAGAAAGCAGTGTAATCAGAGATCTGCTTGGCTGATCCGTGCAACGGAGAAACTTGAAACAAATTTAAGTCTTTTGACTCTCAAGTTCTCCTGTGCAAAGGACTTTATCCAAGACTTCAGTTTTTTTTTTTCTTTTGCTAGGTTGTGAACTACCACTTTTGGAATAAGTGAAATACCTGCCAGGAATTACAATTCACAGCTTGGAATTTGAAGGCAAACACATGTCATTTTTATATTATTATCCTACAACCACATACAAACTGAAGTCAGAGCAACAAAGTGAATTTACAAGTTTCCCTCAATTTCCTATGCTTTGGATCACGTATAGCATAATCTTGAAGTGAGGTGGCTATGTGACAGGAAAAAGCAATGGAAAATAAAGAAATAATTTTAAAAGATCTTTGAAAAAATCTTAAAACAGAATGTAGGTAAAAGTTAATCTGGAGTAGATATCAAAAAGAAAGTGAAGGATATCCCAATAGACATGAAATGAAAAAATGAGGTTATAAACATTAATGTGTTTGGCAGAAACAACCAAAAGTTTTTTCTGTAGAAATCATAATTCCCTCAATTTTTTTCTCCAGAATGCAAATAAGCATTTAATTTAATCCAACAACTTGTAGCTCAAAATAGTGCCTTTTGGATGAAAATTATTCAAATAAATTATTTAAAATTGCAATAACATTTAACACATGTAAATGCTATTGCCAGAAGAGTCACAGAAATGAGGCTCTATCTTTAGGTTGAGGGAGGGAACCTACCAGAAGTATTTCACTGATCGTGGGTATAACGTCCCCACAGGAAATTCACCAGTCCCTCACAGCATTCTTACTTGTGCAATAGCAGCCGTTTTGCAGATATATCAATCCCAAGATCATAATCTTCTTTTGTGCACGTCATCTTAAAAGCTGACTTATAAACATTGAAATAGCTCTCTCAATACCTCTGGGAAATCACTATAATGTCCATTTCAAGATGATAAATACAGACAGAGATAAGTTTGTAACCCAAGAATGAATGGGGAGAGAGAGGAGAGCAGAATGGAATGCAAAAACATCAAATTTCCAGCCTTCTGTACACAGTGTTCTTATCTCCAAAAAAACATTCTAATAAACACCTGAATCATTAGAATGGTCTCCGAAAGAGCAGAACACTGGCTTCAATTAACACTATTAGAATATTTGAATTACTTCCTAAAACATTAAATTGAAAAATGAGAACCAACAGTACCACATTAGAAAAATATTAAAGATTGTCCAAAATTTACCTTTTAACAAAAATATTTTAAAGTTAATGTGTGTGGGCACTTAAAAATACATTTGCACATACACATGCACACATACAAAATTCTTCACTGTGATTATGCAACTTACCTAATCTATTTCTTGAAGACAAAGGGAAACAGAAATACAATATAACTTGGAACAAGTTTTGAAGAATCCCAGTAATCTAGCCTAAGTTTAAATGCTTGCTATTTGACTGATTTTTGAAAAATCTTGAGAGTCGGAACAAAGCTTCTAAAAGAATCTGAATAAAGCAACACTAACTGTCTTGAAAGGTCTACTTTTAGTGGCAGCAGTCATTTTAATGGCATCTCTAAAGAGAATAATGACAAACAGAGCCAGAGGACTTTATTGCTGTATTTACCCATCTACTCCAATTTCCCTTTATCTACAAAATGTATTTCAAATCCGTCTATCTGCTGTGCTTCCACCTTGTTTTAAACCACTGCACTGATTTAGGTATCCTATTTGGATGATTTCCAATAGTCTCCCAACTAGTCAAACTTACTGCTTCTACTCTTACCCCACCTCAACCTACTCTTCACAGAAAGCCAGCATGATCTTTTAAAATGAAAATATAATCACATCACCCCCTTTCCTTCCTTATACTTTTCATCGTGACTGTGGAAAGACCAAAAGGCTAGACATACGTTATAAACCTTGCCTGATACAGCCCTTGCCTATTTTTTTAGCCTCACTTCTGCCATTACCACTCAGACCCTCTGGGGTCTTATAACTCTGGCCGTTTTCCAGCTCCTCAAATGTATTAATCTCTTCCCAACTCAGATGCTTTAATATGCTGTTCCCTCTTCCTGAAAAATGTTGTCCACCACACAACTCTTCTTTTTGCTAACTCCTAGTCAGCCTTTATGTTTTAATGTCAATATTATTTCCTCAGAAAGACCTTCCCTGATTGCCAAACTAATTTAGATTCCCCTACTGCTTTCTTTTACAGCAACTATTTTTCCCCCTCATATATTTTCATTCATTCATCCATGGAGGTAGGCATGCATTAATTCAACAACTATTGCTGAGCACCTACTGTGCACTAAGCACTGTTGTAAGTGCCAGAGAGGCATGTTCCAAGCTCTTTTAGAGCCTATATTAGCTGAAAATTGTAATGATATATTTATTTGTGTGTTGACTTAATGTCTTTTCTTTAAGACTGTCAGCTTTATGAGACCAAATCATACAAAAGGCAGAGGTCAGAACTTGCTAAATTTTTCATAATTCCTTAGTGACAGAGGTAGCCCTAGAAGCCAGTCCAAAATAGCTGAGTGCCTTCCTCATTTTTAGGAACATATGGAACGGTAGGTGTGGCAAAGACCACTGACTGTTCTCCTCTTCCTGGCACGCAGCTCTACTACATTTCCCAGACTCCTTTGCAGTGAAGTCATGTGGTTAAGTTGTAGCCAATGGGCTGTGAACAAAGGTGATACGAGGTACTTCTAGGCGCCTGCTCCTGTAAAGCTGCCCTTTTTCTATGCCATTTTTCCCCCTACTGGTGGCTAGAATCTGAGGAATTCTGTGGTCCAAGAGGTTGGCTGAGCTTTGAGATGAAATGGGCCTGGTTCTGTGAATCATCACATAGAGGAAAGCCACCTGCTGATCAGGACCACCCATCCTGGACTGGTAGGTGGAGACATTTCAGGATTTGTCATATCACCTAATTTATTATACATGTGGCTTTTCTAATAATGTAAAAATTTAAGGATCTTAGCCAAAGTGGCTACCCGTGTGTTATTCTCATTTTGAATCCTGAGAGTGCTTCCTAAAGAGGAACCATTGGACAGGTACCCTGGTACTCACATTCACTCAAATGAAAACATGGGTCTATCTCACTTCCTCTCAGAAGGCTGTGAGCCTCTTAAGAATAACAAAACTGGCCAGGCGCGGTGGCTCACACCTGTAATCCCAGCACTTTGGGAGGCCGAGGTGGGTGGATCACGAGGTCAAGAGATCGAGACCATCTTAGCCAACATGGAGAAACCCCGTCTCTACGAAAAATACAAAAATTAGCTGGGCATGGTGGCGCATGCCTGTAATCCCAGTGACTCAGGAGGCTGAGGCAGGAGAATTGCTTGAATCCGGGAGGCGGAGGTTGCAGGGTCGCAGTGAGCCAAGATCGCGCCACTGCACTCCAGTCTGGTGACAGGGCAAGACTCCATCTCAAAAAATAAATAAATAAATAAAGTAATAAGAATAATAAAACTAGTAGCTTCAGATGGAGATTTGTAAAGAAGAATAAATCATTTGAATACGTGGTCTGTGCTTTAAAAAATTTGTAGCACTGTATTTGGTACTTCCGATGTCATATTGCTTCTAAAATAATCTGTAATGTACAGTTTATATGAGGCATTGACTTGTGGCAAATCAAGTAAAGTTAAAAGTGGTGATTATTACTCTGGTAAATTCACATCATTTACTTAATAGCTCAAAATGACTTTTAGACATTAAATATAATCAGCACTGGATGTAAAATATGCCCTTTTTCACAATAAAATGTAAAATATAACAGATATGGTTTCTTATTGTTTGTATGAGCTGTATCGTCCTAATTTTAAAACTACCAAGTTAAAATGCTTACATCTAGAAAATAAGTTTATTGCCATTTCTTAACATGAATTTTTTTTTAGTTTATTATAAACAAAAGACAGGAATTTAAGTAATGTGTCCAGTTTTTCACTGTGATTTTCATCATCTAATGAGAGATGTTGTATTGTCATTTGTTTATTCTGAAGTAACTGTCAAGATGACCTTTTAAAATATTGATTTAAAGGGTATAGCTTACTGAAAAGGCAGGAAGCACAATCAGACATTTCTTAAAATACTGAACCATAAAAAGAATACCAGCTAAGAGAGTACATATGCAGTCAGTGCAGTTCAGATGATCACATCCCATGCAGTTAGAAGGATAAATAGGAGGGGACCAGGATGTATGTCTTTACCTCTGTTTCTTGATTTCTAGATTAGATTAGGAGAATAGGTGATGGAGATGTACCAAGAGGAAAATATTAATAAGCAAGACCCAATTTTTTCAAAAAATGGTTAAAAAACTAGAAAACGAGTTAAAGAGTGGAAAATATGTAAGCCAGCTTCTAAAGTCAATACAGCTGAGAAAGCATCTGACTTACTTTTTTTCTTCTCTTACAGAGTTCTAGAAAAGACGTTGCAGGAAACTGAAGAGACTCCCTATTTACTTCAATAATATTCATAGGGTGTGCTTGTTCAAAATTCTGATCAAGGAACCCCTCTCCATTTCATCCACCTGTGAGTGTAGTGTATACACACCATCTGTATTACCAGAGCCCTTCTTGAGATTTATTCTCTATCTTCTATATGGATTTATACATATCTGTAGGTTTTTCTATGAATCGAGATATCTAGAATGGAAAGGAATACTACTAAAGTTAATATTCCTTCAACAAAGCCTAAATTTTCCTCTTCCCTTAGTCAATAGTAATTCTCCATTACCTGCCCACATTACAAGGTGGGACGAATAACATTCTCAGCTTTTGCCAACTTCATGAACAGGCTCAAAAACCCATACAAAAATCTTATTAATAATAAGTAACACTGCCCTAGTGGGTATATGCAGGTTTCACTATAAGTGTTTAATATTGAGGATAATGAGCACCTTTAAAATCACACTATTTATTTAACAAAGTCCTCCACCTAGCATGAAAATTGCCAAAGGTTTTCCAGAATCAGAATAGACAGGCTGGAGCCTGACTTTGTGAAAATCCTTATTCCTAAGATGACAACAACTACATTATGTTGAAAAGCTATGGAGTGAAAAAATGACCTTGAGAAACTTAGGAAAACATTGAGTTTTCTTCCAGTGTTAAAGTGATCATTACGATCATTATTAAAGATTCAGTTTGTCGTTACCTTACAAATGTGCACTAAGGACTCCTAAAGGGCAACAATTGAAAGCATGAATTCACTATTTTGAAAATAAATTCAAATACTTAGTATACATTAAAATATTTTCTTCAGTACAGGGAACATTAGAAAGAATGTGATGAGCTGTTTAGAATATTATGTCGTCTTTTCATATTTATTGTAATAATGGATTCATTGTGCAAAGGTCTCAACATTCTGGCAGGCTGCAGCAATACTAGGAAACGCTAATGCCAGTTACATTTTATATCCATATTAGGCTGAAGGAAAAAGACTGGTTGAAATGAACTAAAAAATATGTTCTTCTTTTGCTCAAAAAATTTTTTAAGCCTCAGTGCTGTTCTTTTCAGATTATAAAGTGAGGTGCCAAATTGTATATTTCTCAGATATTCTTGATGATTAAAAATATACAAATCAACAGTGACTAACCCAAACTTGTAACTCAAAAATAGAGATGTTTAAGTGACTACAAATCCTTGGAGAGCCTTTTGACTCCCTAGTAAGATTTAAATGTTTTAATGTCTGTAATCCCAGAAAGCCTTTTAAACTAATGAGTGTGTTTAAACTGGAATCTTTTAAAAGTTATTTTACTAGCTGCTATGCAATTTTATTCTCTATGTACCTCAACTAATAAACATAAACATTACAAGTAGTCATAAATAATTAACATTCACAAAAACATCCTCTTGATGATAATACAGTCGACTCCTACATGTTCCATGAATTATTCAGTTTTGTGGCTTTTTGGCTATCTCCTTTATTTCTGCAGTTTCACTCTCTCTATATGTACTTCCACTACTTACTAAGAATTCCACTAGAGGGTGAATAGGACAATAAAAGGATATAAGTGGGCCACGATCTGGTGAGGGAAGCTTGAAACTACTTACTCAAAAGAGATTTAGCTTATTTTTTTTATTTAAAATATCAATGTTATTCCCATTTTCTATTATCCCTCACAATTACATTGGCCATGATAAGAGTGATAGATAATTTAGAGAGAACAACATAATATACAGCTGAAGAAAAATGTAATTTTTGATGAATTATACAGTTTTGTTCTAGCCGGGTAGATCTAGATTATATTATATAGCAGGAGCTTATAATTTTATAGGTATAAAAGATGATGCTTAATAATGTATGGATATTTAACAAATCATGTAATTAAGGAATATACAATCTGATTGCTGTGAATTACATAATGATAATTTTATTAAGATTTCATGTTGGCATCTACCCTCAAAATGTGGAGCAGAAAACATAATCTCAGCTTTTAAAAAAGGCAGTTTCTATCATATAATCTGAAATATGTTTAAGGTTAAAATTGGGATACTGGTCAGATGCTTCTGACCAAGAGCCTAGACAAGGAAACTGGATCTTGGGATTTTGTTGCCAACATTTCTGGTTTACCCAATGAATATATTCTCAAAACACCTGCAGAGAATAATAAAGAATAAACAGATTTCCTGAAAATCATGAAATATGTGGAATTGAAGGTAAAATCAGAAACAGGCTAATTAACACATTGCTTATGATTCTTTTGTCATATTGTGTTTAAGCCCAGGAACTGGGGATAGGCTGCTGCCATAATTTAAGAGTGATTCTTGTAGACTCTTATCACAAAATAAGAATGTGCTAATGCAAATCACATACTTTTTAATGAGTGTTAATTTTGAAAGTTAAACTAACATCATGCATTCTTCTTTTATTAAGATTTCAAAATATTTGGGTATGTGCTTTACCACCATGGCTAAGAACCCATGGGCTCTAATTATAATTAAAAGCAGCAATGGTTAACACAGGAGAGGCCCTGAGGAACCAAGAGCCATGACACATCTTGCCACTCTTAGGTACAAAGTCACTGTACCCACTAAAGACTGGCCATGTCTCCAGAATGTTACCAGAAATAGTCGTCAAATTCCTTTTTTTTGTTTGTTTCCAGTTATACCTAATACTCAGAGATGTTTGCAGTAGCCTGCTGCTAAGTTATGGCATGCTAGTTACTCACATGAATTCCAGGTAGTGTTAGTTTGGGACAGGGCAGTGCTGCTGTGACATTTCTGGGAGGGTCTGAATTTCTGTAAGCAGAGAGATTTCACACTGGAGCCAAGGCAGCATGATTCCCTGAGAAAGCCAGTCTGGGCCAGGTGCGGTGGCTCACGCCTGTAATCCCAGCACTTTGGGAGGTCGAGGTGGACAGATCATGAGGTCAAGAGATCGAGACCCCCCTAGCCAACATGGTGAAAACCCATCTCTACTAAAAATACAAAAATTAGCTGGGCGTGGTGGTGCGTGACCATAATCCCAGCTACTCGGGAGGCTAAGGCAGAAGAGTTGCTTGAACCAGGGAGTCGGAGGTCGCAGTGAGCCGAGATCGCGCCACTGCATTCCAGCCTGGCAACAGAGCGAGACTCCGTTGAAAGAAAAGAAAGAAAAGAAAGAAAGAAAGAAGGAAGGAAGGAAAGAAAGAAGGAAAGAAGGAAAGAAAGAAAGGAAGGAAGGAAGGAAGGAAAGCAACCCAGCCTGAAGTAAAGTGGAATGTGAAAGTTGTTCTCCTCTACCAAGGTAGTAAGATTGGGTAGTAAGATGGCATTCAAGAGCCTTAAGTAGTAAAGAAAAGTACTCTTCCTCAAATCAGTGGGCTCCTTCTAAAGCCCAGATAATCCCAACATGAAGGGTGGGAGTTTCTCAGAGACACCCAGCTTCCAGTTGGGCAACCTTTAAGGGGGGACCCCAGTGCAGCTCCCAAGTGCCTTAATTCTTGTCATCCTGATGCCACATTCAATTTGGCTCTAGGATGCCCTAGAGGGTTCCCAGAATGCCTCAGTGGCTTCTCACAGACTCTCTGCTGCTTTGGGAAGAATGTGGTGAGTCCTCATTAGCAAGCTTCTGCCTACTGTAGCAGTACCTCATATCCAGTGAATAATCAATGTATATTAATTGAAAGGCAGCTATAAAGTAGTTAAACAAGTTCTGAATATAGTACAATCCTTATATAATAATGGTGCTGGGAAGGATATTAATGCCTATTTGGTGGGTTATGCTGTGCCATAACTGTTCTATGTGACTGTTTTTCAGGGATTACTTTTAAACTCTTGGCATACATGAAAGTCAGCACGCATGTAACTTAATTTATGAAACTCAGCTCTCTGGCAAACAATGCTTTCTATCCTTGCTCTCTATCTCTCTCCACCACTCAACTCCAAGCTGAAGTCCTTATATCAACTTATTTACATTAAAATAAAATAAAGAACCAAATGGAGAATTCCCCAGCTCTGTTTATGCCTGAAACACAATGTTTGGTTATCTGGGCCTCAATTTGAGACGCAATGATATTCAATAGGAGGGATAGGTTGAATCCAGGGATTGGAGGAACTCCTCCAGAAAAGAATCTCATACTATAAGTGGATAGATTGATTAAATGAATTATTGATATTGTTCCACCTGGATAAAAGAAGATTCAAGAAAAGTATGATTGTTGTCAAATATTTAAGGGGCTGTCATAGGAAGAGAGACTAGGCCTGATCGGCCAGGTTCCAGAGGGGGAAGGTTTAGCCTGGGTAAACGGAATAAGTCTGTAATATTCAGAGTTGCTGTGAAACATCTGGGGCTGCTGTGATCAGTGGCCAGTTCCCAGTGCTGGAGAGGAGAAATTTCCAGTATTAAACTAAATCAATCATATGCTTCACTGATAACACAGTACATAGACATTATTCATTAAATGCTAGTTATCACATTATTAATAGTTATAATTATTTTTAGGCATGGGATTTGGTAAGTCACTAATAAGTTCTTGTAGATCTTTGAGATTCTATGATTCAATAGATAGTTAAGATTATTATCTGTCTTACCCTTATATTCATATATTATCTACTCTGTTCTAGAAATATTCTAGATAGATTTTTATTTTAATATTTATTTTTACTAGTAGCAACATTTATTATAAAATAGCACATCCGTTATTTGATTAATAATAAAGTCTTTACCCCAAGTTTATAGATATGTAAATTGATGATACCTGGTAAAATTCAAATGCCTTCCCCTCCCAAAAAAGCAAACAACAACAAACCAACCCAACAACAACATCCGCCACTGCCAATTAGTCCTTTCTATGCAATGAAAAGCAGCTAGAAGGCCATAAGAAAAAAACAAACCTTTGCTTTTAGAATAAACTTTTAAACTTTAACATGAAAATAGGGAACTAGCCAGTTCTGGGGTAGGCTAGATCAAGGCTGGAAGGAATATAAACTTCAAATTGGTTTTTAAAGATGAAGCAAACAATTTAGCTGGGCTTAGGTTCAAATCATGGGAGACATTCTAGGCAGTTGGTTAAAGCATAGCACCCAATAGCAAGAGGCCTAGAAAGATTGGTAGGACTATCAAGGGGTATCTGTACCTAGCATGTGGTCTGAATTACAGTTGCATTCCATAAATGTCTATAGGATGAATGAACAAATAAGTGAACGAATGAATGTCTGTGATTGGCACTGGAGGTCCTTGCCATGGGCATTAGGTATTTTTGCTGACAATGCAGTTCCTATAAGAATAGAGAAAGAGGGTAGGAAGGACAACAAGGGTCAGCTATTGGACCTGGAGCATCAATACAGAGTAAAGCCAGAAGGACAATTGTCTACAGACCAATGAGGGAGAATTGTTAATCTATGGATGCCTGTCTTTCAGCCTGAGAGTGTTGAGGAAAAGGAGACAGAACTCAGAGGAGGGACAGGCAGGCAGGGAGTCAGTCACACCATCCCATAGCTGTTGCTGAGAGAGGTAATGAAATGGTCTGCAAGGTGCAAATAGGAAGCTGCTGACAAAATGGTGATAATCATATGAAAATATAAAAAGCATTATCATCTCTGATTGTCCAACTGTAGATTAACAGTCATTTCTGGCAGAGTTTGAAACTTAGATCAGGAGAAATTTGCATCAAAGGCTTTTATTGGAACTTTTGAAGTGCAATCTTTTATACCTGAAAAGATAGTTTGTTTTTCAAGTATTCACTGGGCTAGGCGAAAATAATCTCTGAACTATTATCCTAATCCCATCTCAGTAAATCTCAGGGAAATGTGTCCAAATAAAAACAGAACAGAAGGTGATGTTGCAACTTCTGCTGTTGTTATCTGCCAGGCTGGCAGCTGAGCTTGCAGTCCCTCTTCATTTCTAAATAGAGAGAAGCACTAAGACTCCATGGGAGCAGAATAAGAATAAGGAAAATAAAGAAATAAACAAACAAAAACACTGCCACCAATTCTGAGTTTAATTTAACTTGTATTTCTTTCCTTCTGAGTCCTGGAGTAGGTCAGGAAGAGCTGTGTTTATAGCTTGAACATGAGCTATAATCGAAGTAGGCCCATAAAAGCCTTTTGCTGAAGGAGATTTTGCAGTACTATGCCACTTAATCAATTCAGAGAAGTTTAGTTTGAGCAGTGCTTTGGGGTGTGAAGAAGGCTTGGAGGTGAGGTATCTGACTATCATACTTAAATAGGCCCCTCCCTCCTGCTCTATCAATATTACCTGCAATTCTATTATTTATCCTTGTCTTCTTTTTTCAGTCCATTCATATAGAAGCTTCATGAAAGCAGGGCCCAGGCAAGAGGGTCTCAACCAGGAGCAATTTTGCTGTTTCTCTCCAGAGGACACTTGGCAATGTCTGGGGACAGTTTTGGTTGTCACAACTGGAGACAGGGTGATGCTATTTGGCATCTTGTGGGAGGAAGGCAAGGATGCTGCTAAGCATGCCACAAAGCACAGGACAGCTGCCCACAACAAAGGATGATTTGCCTGAAATGTCAATGTGAAGAGGCTGACAATCTCTGGTCTAAGGTGTATCAGTAGTACCTAAAATAATGCCTGGGGCCAGGAGCAGTGGCTCACGCCTATAATCCCAACACTCTGGGAGGCCGAGGCAGGTGGATCACCTGAGGTCAGGAGTTCGAGACCAGCCTGACCAACAGGAAGAAACCCCATCTCTACTAAAAATACAAAATTAGCCGGACATGGTGGCACATGGCTGTAATCCCAGCTACTCGGGAGGCTGAGGCTGGGGAATCACTTGAACCCGGGAGGTGAAGGTTGCAGTGAGCCAAGATGATGCCATTACACTCCAGCCTGGGCAGCAAGAGCGAAACTCCACTTCAAAAAACAAAACAAACAAACAAAAACAATGCCTGGAAAACAGTAAGTGATCAATAAATACTGATGTAAAATGTGAATGTATGCTAGGATAATTACTCGAACCTATTTTCCTGAATAGTGGAATATTGCTTTCATTGTGGGCATGAGTATCATATTTTTCTAATTTATGAATTCAGCAATCAGAAATGCTTATGAATTAAGGTGATGGTAGCATGTTCCCATATAGAATATAGAAATATAGGAACCAAGATGTCCTCTGAGAATTAAACTGTAAATCAACACATAATGAAGTGAGCTAGAGTATGCAAAGTCCCTTTAGGAAGATAAAGAATGATGCCTAGGCAGGTCACACTTGAGTGTCAGTGTAGGGTACCAACCAGAAACATGGTTGGTGGAGTTAGACTGCCTAGATTCCAATCTCAGCTCTGCCCTTTTCCAGACAGGTAAATTAGTTAAATATCGTATCTCAGTTTCCTCTTCTATAACACGGAAATAATTATAGCACTTGTCACAGATTGCTGTGAGGAGTAAAGGAAATAATGTATTTTAAAAATTTATTAAATGTAATGCCTAGTGCACAGTGAGCACTCAGTAAATATTAACCATTAGTGACAAGACTTAACAATAATTCCACTTAGGGTATTTGGATACCTAAGAGAATAAAGTGTTCATCAGAAGCATAGAAAAGGCAAGCATCAGAAAGGGGATTAATACTTGCTCTCCTAACTTATGCCAAGCATTTTATTATGTGATCCGTATCCATTACTTCATTTAATTTCTAGCTAAAGGAGGCTACGTAGTAATCAAAGGACAGACAACGATAAGAAGTAATGCTGAGATGCCTGGGACCTATCTGACAATGGACAAGCCTCACTCTTTCCAATGTGAAGAGGAGATGCCCAGGCAAAAATGACAATGACAAGTTCACATGGAAAAGACTGTAATGACAAATTTACCTTTGCTATTGAAATATATGCTTAGCTCAGTGCTCTCAAATATTTGAGTGACCCAGCTAATTGGCCTTATTCTGACTGAATCTTAAGAAACTCCCTGGTTCTATTTCCCTTTCTATGGAGAGTATCCTTGTAACACTTACATTTATCACTACAGAATTTAATAAACTGCTTTGGGGTTTCATAAGCTGGGATAATACAAATGTACCTCTGAGAAAGAACTGTGTCTGTCTCTGCCCCAAATCAATAGGTCCAGGTCCTGCACTCTAACGCTCAGAGGAAATGCTGCTAGATGCCAGACTGTGGTGGTGAGGGTGACAGTGCTTTGTGGAGTGGGGACTAAGAGCTAAGCAAATTTTTAGCCTAATAGTATCTGAGAGCCAAACGGAATAGGCTTTAATTAACTAACTTGCCATATTTACACATGTAAGAAATTCACTCATTTATATATATTCTCCTTTTGGGTACTTTCCCATCCAGTTCTGGGGAAGAAATAGATATATTTTTCCCATAATTTTCCCATTTGGGCAGCATGTTTCAGGCAGCAACAGTGGCTTTACACTTCTGAAGGATCTGATAAGAACTGTGAAGGGGGCAATGAACTGCACTTAATTAAATCCTGGTTGCTAAAAGTAAATAGCAGAGTATGCCACTGACAGCAACAGACTGGCCCTGAAACAAATTATATGTAGGGCTGAAGATATACCTAGTTTCTTTGCTCTTGGCACAACATTAGGACATAATTCCATCCATTTCCTTTCTCTTGGAACAATTAGGGAGCAAATATCAGCAATTACGCAAGCAAGGTATTATATAAGTACAGCATTTATTTATTTAGAAACTCAGCCTTTTTGGAGGGTATTAAGCAACTGGCAGGTGCCAACAATTTTATTCTCTCTTCTCTGGGGTCCTTTCAGAAGAAATACCCTGGAAGTTCCAATCAATGACAGAGTCTCCTATTAAGCATCCATTGAGCATCAATATCTCCTACAGCATTTCAAAACTGTCAGCAAACAGATTACTAAATTCATTTTAACCAACACCTATTATCTGAATTTTATTCTGAATATTCTTACGGCATAGTCACAATTTTGGATTCTGTAACTCAATGACCTAAAAGCTGTAGGTCAGAAGGGAGATGCTTTAAAATAAGACAAAACAAGGCAAACTTAGAAAGAAGCATTCTGTATGGTTCTGTTCCTCAAAGGGTGATCCATGGGCTCCTGGGAGACCCTGAGACTCTTTCAGGGTATCCATAAAATCAATACACTCTTCATCATAATGCTAACATGTTACCAGCTTTATTCACTGTGTTACCATTTGCACTGATGGTGCAAGAACAATGATGAGTAAAACTTTCAGCACCTCCACAAGAATTGAGAGAGTTCTCTCAGACTTCACTAGTAATTTTTAACTACAGGTTTTTTAAAAGTTTGTTTTACTTCAGGGTGTCCTTGATGAAACATTAAAAATTACTAATTTTCAGCCCAGCACTGTGGGATTACAGTTTATGCCTGTAATCCTAGCACTTTGGGAGGCCGAGGCAGGAGGATCACTTGAGGTCAGGAGTTCGAGACCAGCCTGATCAATGTGGTGAAACCCTGTCTCTACTAAAAATACAAAAATTAACTGGGCATGGTGGCTGAGGCAGGAGAATTGCTTGAACCCCGCAGGTGGAGGCTGCAGTGAGCTGAGATCATGCCGCTGCACTCCAGCCTGGGTGACAGAGTGAGACTTTGTCTCAAAAAAAATTAATTTTCTTAAATATCACCCTCAAATATATGTCTTTTTAACATTTTGTGTGATGAAATGGAAAGTATACATAAAGACTTGCTGCACACTGAAGAATATATTGTGTGCACACACGTGAAACATCTGTGCAACTGATTGTGAGCTAGGCTACATGTGTTTTTGTGGAACATCATTTTAAGTGAAAGAAGACTGACAGACAAACTATGGTTATTCAATCTTGGATATTTCACAGGTTTTTTTTTTTAATTGAAAAAAAAGAATTAAGCTGTCACTTCAAGTAAAACAAATGACAGTATTTGTTGCCAGTGATAAAATTGGAGCTTTCTAGCAAAAATTAGAATTTTGGAAAACTTGCCTTTGTCTCCATGAGCATGACAGCTTCCCAGTACCTAAAAGACTTTTGATTGAGATAAAAGATTGGTGAGATCAATGGTTATATTAACAAAATTCGTGTTTTTGTTATCGTTAAGTAAAATGGGTCAATATTTGGAAGGCCTACGTAAGATCTGTAAACCAATATCCTCCAAATGATCAATGCATGATGTTATAAAATCATACCTAAGTTAAGGATATATATGAAGTATGAGACAGATAATGGATTTTAATGTAATAAATTATGCAAAGTTTATTAATATGATTTAAGATTCTACACTGCAACTCACCTTTAAGAAACAATCACATGTTCAATGTAAGCTAGTACAGCTGTTATGAAAAACAGTGTGGAGGTTCCTATTAAATATAGAACTGCCATATGATCCAGCAATCCCACTAGTGGGTATTTATTCAAAGGAAATGAAATCTGTAGGTCAAAGAAATATCTGCATTCCCATATTAATTGCAGCATTATTTAAAACAGTTAAGATGGGGAATTAACCTAAGTGCACATCCACAGATAAGGGGATTAAAAGTGTGTCATATATACACAATAGAATACTATTCAGCCTTTAAAAAGAAGGAAATCTTGTCATTTGCAACAACATGGATGAACCTGAGGGACATTATACTAAGTGAAATAAGCCAGGCCCAGAGAGACAAATACCACATGATCTCAAATGTGGAATCTAAAAAAGTTTAATTCACAGAAATGTAGAATAGAATGGTGGTTAGCAGAGGTTAGGGTGGGGAGTGGGGGGATATTGGTTGAAGGATACATTTCAGTTAGGAGGAATAAATCATAATGCTAACATGTTACCAGATTTATTCACTGTGTTACCATTTGCACTGATGATGCAAGAATAATGGTGAGTAAAATTTTCAGCACAACGCAGTGACTATAGTTAATAACAATGTATTGTATTCTCGAAAATTGCTAAGATAATAGATTTTAAGTGTTTTCACTACAAAAAAGGAGGTAGTGCATATGTTAGCTCAATTTAGCCATTCCACAATGTCTACATATTTCAAAACAACATTTTGTATATAGTATACAATTTATATTTGTTAATTAAATTTTTTTTAAAAGAAACAACCACTTTTTGAGTTTAGGTGCTATATAAAAGAATATCCACAATTTTCTGAAAAGGCTATGAAAATGCTCTTGCCTTTTCTGACTACATATATGTGTGAGACTGGATTTTCTTCACATACTTCAACCAAAACAACATATTGTAACAGATCAAATGCAGAAGCAATTACGAGAATTCAACAGTTCTTTATTAAGCCAGACGTTAAAGAGATTTGCAAAAATGTGAAAACATGCTGTCTTTCTTACTAAATTTTTGTTTATAAATTATAGTTTATTTTTAATAAAGTATGGTAATATGTAAATGGTTTGTTATTTTTGACTTAATAGGTAAGTAAAAAAATTTTAAATTTCTTAATTTTAATTTCTAAGTTGATAAATATCAACAGATGTAACCTGTACAAACGAAGTCCTTTGAATAATTTTTACAAGCTTGAAGGCCTTGGAGACTAAAAAGTTTGAGAATAGCTAACGTACAGAAATGCATTTTGGGCAAAGGAGTAAATGCTTTCGAGAAAACGTGATGAAAAATGCAACCACAGTGAATGAAAGACAAACATCTCTAGAGGTTTTATCTTCCAAATCTCAACCTCAAATCCAAAAAGTGACTTAAAATACACCAGATAGATATGCACTATGTTTTCTTTCCTTTTTGGGCTGGGGGCTTGAGGAAGCACATCTGTTTTCTCCTGTAATACTATTAACTACCAGCTATTGGTTATCTACTATGTGCTGCAAAACGTACTGTAGATTTCCCATGTTATCTCAATCCATTAAATTGATATTATTCCTACTTAAGCCCACAGAAACCAATTTTGATGATGCCCAAACAGTTGATTGAAGTTTTAAGAAAGGTATGTTCTGTTTTCCCATTTACTCTTTTTCCTTAGGCTGGAAACTCAGGAGACTGTTCACTACTCTACAGTCCTTCAGGCATGGATATCCTTGGGCTGGCCCCATTCTTAGCAATTAATGTTAGGTGGTCAGACAGGGTAGTAGAAATGTGGCATGTGTGTGAGTGTGTGTGTGTTCCACAAAACATACCATACTTAAAAGTGAGAGGAACCCTTTGAGTGTATGACCTGTTAGTACTGTGTGTATTCAGTTTTCTGCATACCACCTGGCCCTCTGCCATCCCGACCTGCCTGCTTTTCTGTTTCTCTGCTTGCAATTTTTCCACTTCATTGAAAATTAGCATGTCTTGTAACATCCCTTATTCAGTTCTTTTCTTATGGCTTTCTTACTATAATAGATCTTTATATTTCCCTTCATTGTATAATTAAACCTAACATTTATTCAAGCAATACTATTAAAAATTTTTTAAAGTTTCTTACTGTTTTATGTTTTCCTTGATGTCTGATATTGCAACATCATAGCTTTGACATTAATTACTATAAATATGCTGTATTTCACCGACTTTAGATTTCAAATGAGATTTTGTGGGCTGGGCAGAGCACCAGACCTCTCTAGCATTGTATTCTGAGTTCCAAATAATTAACTCACACTGGACTTTTGAAACTCACCAAAGGCTGTAAAGAATTGTCTTAATCCAGATATCAGAATAGTTACCATTGATTCATCACAAGGAAGATACATTAACTTAATGTTCTAGATCTTCCTTGTTCATCAAATATGGCTCTGGAATGAGACTACCTGGATTCAAATACTGGTTTTACCATTTACTAACTTTCAGAATTTTTTTAATCCTCTCTATGTCTCAGTTTTGTTAGCTGTAAAATAGGGATAATAATAGCACCACAAAGAATAAAAATGAATGATAATCTGGTATATAACATAACAAAGGATATACTAACTCTTAATTTAGCAAATTATTGTTGTTAATTGCAGGTGGACTAGCTTAACAGAAAAAGAAAATCTCATTTTATTGATGAAAATGAAAATAAGGATTAATATATTTTTAAAAGTGAGTTGAAAAACAAGAGAAAATCTTTAGTGAATTAAAATTAAGATTTCTGTATAAAAGTTTGTAGCAAATGCTGAAGTTCCCAGATAAAAATCTTTGCTTCTAAAGCTCTTAGGATGAACAATTAGGATAAGCTACAGTTGGCATATTTTACAGGAACAAAATTTACCGGTAAAGGGCTGAATGATTTCTGAAACAGCTGAGAAATCCCGCTGATAGAAAGATTCTCCCTGACAGGGGACAAGAGTTCAAGCTGTGTTCTGGCATTTTCTGCAGAGGGCTTTTCCAAAATAGCACTAGGGAACTGTTAAATAAGGCACCATGCCCAGCGTTATATAGAAACCTACAACAAAGCACAGCAGCATCATTTGCAGCCACCACATTTGAAAGAGCTGAAATGCAATGGGAACCACTTGACTTGCTTGCTAAATGATCCTCCCCTTAAATCACCATTAACATAGGGGAACATAAGCTTCATGTACTGGTGAGGAAAAGTTGACACAAAATGTCCCATACGTATGAGCCATTTATGTCTGTGGCACCATACAAGGAGAAGGAAAAGCATGATGTCCTGTAATCTGCTTCTGGTGCCAAGGGATTTATAAATCCATTTTGTGAAGTTTACATTACAAATGGATTAAATTCTATTAATTTAATTTAAATGGATTAATTTAAATGGATTAAAGAAAAACAGAAATAAATTATATTTTCTTTAACTAAAAGCATATTAAATTGAAAATGTTATGAGACACCAAGATAATAATTTTTTAAAATGAAGTCCATGAGAATGGTGCAAAGTAGTATGCAAAAAACTTATCTGCCAAATGGAGAATTGTGAAACTCCCGATAGAAGTATAGCTCACTAAATTTGAGGAGAACCCAGTGGTTTCATTGTATTGACATAATTGCAGATCATATCTATAAGCTCTTCTGTGCACAGTGACTCTTGGGTGATGAACAAGTTTGCACATGGGAGTCCTTGGTACACAGTTCAGGGTAGGAGTGTAAACAGACTCTTTGTAGCTCAATTTCCATGTGGTAACAGTTCCTTGTTATTGACCAACTCTGAAATCATGTTATCTTCATCAAATCTCTATTGCTACTATTAGATGAATTAGCAGATGAATTAAAAGAATGTGCTTTATGGATTATTTTCATGACTACGTCATTGTATTTAGATCTTTTAATCACTTTGCTTCTTAAAACTATTTGCTTTTTTGTTTTCTGCAACATCCTTTCCTGCTCATTAAATACTTGGACTCTCAGGTAGATCTCTTTCAAATATCAACAGTGACACTTGCTATAAGTAACCTTTTAGAATCTCAGTTTTCTCAATTTAAAAATAGTGATAAAAATCATGTCTCCTCATTGAGTTATTGTGAAATTAAAATTGGAATAATAAAAATAACTGTTAATCCTTATATAGGGCTTTCTATGAGTCAGACATTGCCTTAAATGATCCATTAACCATTTTAGGCTTCATGCCAACTCTATAAATTTGGCACTTTTATTATCCTCAAGCCATAGCAGCACAGAGTGCTTAAGTAATTTGGTAATGGCTATAGCTACTAAGTGGTAGAATTATAATCTGAACCCAAGCGCTACGTGTGCTTTAAACCCCTCTACTATAATGCATATAAAATGCATAGCAAAACTACTTGGTAATAATAAGCACTCAATATATGTTAGCTAGTATTATTGTTTAAATCATTTTCATTTGTAACCATTACTTCCTTCTCTGGCCCTGTGATTGACTCTGTGTCTCCTAGCCATGCCTATGATGTTGAGGTCCTTCAGTCATTTATCCTTTCTTTTCCTAATTCTACACACTCTCCCTGGGTAGTTTCATCTACTCTCTTAACTTCAATAACATTTATATGCTGATGATTTCACAGCTTTATCTTTTACTCTGGCTATTCTTCTGAATTCCAAACACATATATCTACCTTTTTTTTTTGACAGTTTGGCTTAATAATACCTGAAATTTATCATTTATCTGCTCCACCTTCCAGCTGCATGAACAGAGCTACAATCCAATTATTCTCCCAAGCTAGCCACTTTGGAGTCAGCCTCTACTTCTTGCTCCTCTCTAAATCCAAGAGGTTATTACATCTTCCCGATTTTATCTCACTCATGTCTCAGGAAACTGACACTCTTTACCTCCTGTGCTACTGCCTCTATCCAGGCTTCCAGGAACCTCTTCGCTCCAAATAAAATGAACTTTCCACTGATCTCTTTGCTACTAGTCTCCCCTTTCAAATCCTTTCCATCACTATTCCCAACTCTTCATTTTCTTATCGCTGACTAACCCTCACAGTAACCCTGTAACATAATGTATGATTATTACAGAGTAAAATGATCATACACTGCATGTGATTAGCAGCTAAGGCTTAGAGTTAGTATCAGTTATTTCATTTATGATTTTATGAATTCAGGAGAATTGGGTTATTCAATATTATGATGTGGCTGGGCGGTGGGCTGCCTGAAGTGGAATAGAGAAGATGAATAGAGAAGTCAGGGAAGCCAAGGCCCTATAAGCTCTCCTTTTCATAAATCACCCGCCCAGACGTGAAGTCACTTAAGATGATGGCAGTTGCTAGGGTTGTGATTAAAAAAAAATGTACTGGCTTCTGAACTCTTCAACAAGTAGGTTTACAGTGGTGATAACTGAGGTAGAGAGAAGTGAAGGTGGACACCATATATCCCAAAAAGAGATATTCATCAAGTGATGGTAGAATATGGCCTGGAAACCACTTTGGGGAAGGAGAAAAATGCCAACGACATCATTTAACCCTACGACACAGAGCATGAGATAGAATAAGCAGCTTTCTCTGGACTGGGCTGCTGAGGAAGCATGGAATCAGAGGCCCAGCAGGCATGTATCAAGCCCAGGAGAGGAGAGATGCTCAGTGAAGAGAGTGACAGTATGGAGGATTGCGGGACCAGCAGTCAGTTCAAAATGGACTAAGTTAGGAGGAAGGTGGTTCAGGACATTGTGTCTGGTGGTAGAAGCCCATGAGAAAATGAAGGACTGGGGAGGCTTATATGCTGGGTTGTAGTTGACCACAGGTAACAGGCATAGGTGGCCTGGAGGACTAAAGAGGTTGCAGGTTTTAAACAGCACTTGTCCTGGAAGCCCAGAAGAATGGGCATCTTAGGATTGCCTGAAAATATCTCACTACGACTTGAATTCACTGGTTTTTCTGATGAAATCCTATCCCAGGAGAACAGATAGCATGTTGAGTGAATTCCTGGGACCACTTCTAGATATCTTCCGAGCTAGGGCTGAAAGTACCATATTCATTAGGAATCTGGACAACAATGGCAATAAAATAAAAAGAAAGTAAGATAAAAGGATAAAAAATAAAACCAGTTTTCCCAAGTCTCAACCACACTTACTGGCTCTTTGTACAGTTACTTATGGAAACTCCGTCAGGGCAGACTAACAGAGAACACTTTGGTAAGTATTGCTGTAGTTGAAAGACCTTTTAAGCCAATTTACAATAAGAAAAATTTTCAAGCACTGGGAAAAACCTGGGTTAATTCTTAATATAAATAATGTAGTAAGCTTTTTTGTGTTTTAATTGAAGCTGAAGTTGAGCTGTAGTGAGGATTGTTCTTTATTAATAAAGAAAATAAAAGAGCTTGTGTAAACATAGCAGAGAATTCTTCTAATTGTTAAAATATTTATATGATATGCCATTTCATAATTTAATAAAATATTTGATTATTAAACTCATGAAATTATTTATGCTACTAAGAAGAACGGTTAATGTGGGTACAGTGTTAGATTGAGATAATATCATTTATGGGGAGGAGGCGCTTTGTGAAGTTGGCCCCATTTTCTAGATAAAATTATTAACATTATTTCAGTTAAGAAACATTGTACTGTGAATAGCATGCATTTTAAATGATTTAAACTATGAGTATGGTAGGTATAAGGTGTGTCAACCAGTTTGAAAATATAAGCTTATAAAGTGTGACAAACAAGTTCAAGTAAGAAAAAAAGAATGTACAGAGTTTGTAAGAAATCCAGGCATCCAATAATACTTCACACATACATCTTTCTGCTTTAGCTATATCTTTAGAAACATTGAAACTTGACAATTACAACAAATAAAGTTGTTATGCAGGGAATATGCAATTTTGAAATGCCAGAAGGTTACTAGAAGTTCTCTGATAAGCAATTCTTTGAAAAGGCATCAAGCAAGATTTATCTGGATCAATGAAAAAAATCTCAATAAACATAATGCAATTTGAACATTGTGTAAGTACAGGCCAAGGGATATGAGTCTTTCTTCACAAATGGATCTCTAACCTGATGGCTAGCTTTCTTTATAAAATTGCATGTCATGTCTAAAGATCCTTATGGCAAAACAGGATCAAAAGAAATCACTGTGTCACATGAATATGTGAATCCTTTACCAAATAATTTGAAAACCTTTCAGTAGAACTGATTTAGCACACAGCTATGTTATATCTTCTAACTTCTTACTGTATTAAAAATAAGATGAGTTATAGACGTTGGTTAGCAGAGAGGGAATGCATAAGAAGGATTTTAAGTGGTCTTCATGAAAGCTAGAGAAATGAGTTGTTAAAGAAGCCTCTGAGTGTTTCATAGCTATTGTAGATAACTTGAGTCTTCTTAAGGATTAGAATTCATATTTTAACAAATTTGTGCCAGGCGCAGTGGCTCATGCCTGTAATCCCAGCACTTTGGGAGGCTGAGGCAGAAGTATCACTTGAGGCCAGCAGATGGAGACCAGCCTAGGCAACACAGTGAGATCCCATCTCTACCCCCCAACAACAACAACAATAAACAAACAAAAAAAATTAGCATACAGTCAGACAGAAGGGTGTACCATGGAATTCCTACAAGTAACTAATGTTAGAAGAAATATAAGCAGCACTGGGAAGTCAAAAATTGAATGAAGATTTTTAAAGAAAATCTTTCATATTTTGCCCAGACTTAGCACACATTCAAAAGAGAGGCTGGGCTGTGGGTGGAATTCTCAATAAGCACAGCTGCACTGGCACAATCATGTGCATCATCCTTCCCTGACTCAGGAACTCAAGGTTGATCACCATGTTCCAAGAGAGGCAAAGGACAAAGAACACTGGACTGAGCATTATAAAGATGATGGGGCCAGAGATCTGAGAATAATTTCATTTGCAGATATTGAAAGGGACTTTTCAGATAGCATGGCCCTCTATGATCTCTAAGGCTTATTGATATTGGTGAACCTAAACTTAATATCTTGAATGGATATGTGGGCATTGGCTGGGAGGATGCTATGGGAACTGATAGGGCCCTGAGAAGAGTGGACTGGGAAGGAACCATGGGGTCTGGGGAAGAATTTGTCCTTCTTGGCTAAAGGGAGCAGTGGAGACTTCAGTAGAAGAGTAAGGGAAAGTGAACACACTTTACACAGGTACTGCTTGGAATGAACGTTGGTTCCCCAGCTGTCACACATTCTCACACAGATATTCTTGGCTTCAAGGGTAAATTTGTTTGTTTGTTTTGACCAACCAAGTGAACACAAAAAAGATCAAGTCACTTAAATCATCAGCTTTCTTGAAGTGGTAGATACTTTGAATGAATCGATTTTTTTTTTTTTTGACTCTCAGACTCATCCGTAGATATAGACTTTTGCTTAAGCAGAATTTATGGATTTTCTTTTCTTCTAGTGGTGATGACAAATTTATTTTGTTCTATCATTTTTGTCAGGTTCTTCTAGCTATAAAAACATGCATTGTGAGTCAGTGGGAAGGAGTGAGCCCAGCTGGTAATGTGACTCCAGGAGCATGTGAGTCCACATGGAGGGGATTTCCATTACTTTGATGCCATTAGCACACACCTTTGGTCAGTGAGCTTATCAGCTACAGACAAATGTTTCCAAATTAATGGTGAGACACCCTTAAACAATAAATAATATCTGGATATAAACCCTCATCATCTATGTCCACATGTGACAGCCCCAGGCTGCATCTGTGTAGCTTCTTAAGAAGAATGCCAACTGGAGCAGACCCTAAAGCCTTACAAAAATTCAGCCACATTATGGCCTCCTTATCACTAATATCTATTACTGTGTTTTGGGTGGAAATTGAACTGATCTTCCCTGATTTTCCCCTCATAAGGTCATGCAGATTGCTACCTACATTAAATGGTTTGCTGGTTGCTGGCAACCTGTTGCGTCTGCCTCTTCTCAGGTATTAAAGGTGTAATGACCAGTTTGTAACTCTCAAAGATATTTCCCTCTTAAAACAAACCAACAAACAGAAAACAGCCTTACAGAAGGAAATTTCATTTTTTTTTTTTAACTTCAGGACACTTTCTGAAGGTTCTTAAAATATCTGTGATAGGCCCTTTTTGGACATAAATCTTTCTTTTCATGGAGCATTTCCACTTTGGTTTCTCTGACATTGTTTTAACAAATGTTAATCCATTATCTCTGTTTTTCATCTACTCCTTTATGGTAGAGCAGGCCAACTAAATGATTTCTTCTGAGTCTTACTTATAAGATTTTACAGAACACTTTCACGAGTGTTAGGGTTGTATACACACTCATTAGTTCTCTGTATGTGTCTGATGTAATAATAACATTCATTGTACATCTGTCTAAAGCTTTATAAACTGTTTAGAGGAACTTTATATAAAACATTTCCTGAAAAAAGCAATAATCACAAGCCTAATCTTTCTAGTTGCTTTCACGTGTCACTAGGCTGCTTGACAGTCTACGAGAATTTCCTGTTCCTATCAGATCAAATCCGGATTCCTTGTCTTGGCATTCACAAAGCACCCCCATCCTACACTTAATGCAACCAATTAGTTCTTCCAAGGTTCCCCAAAGAAGACCTCATGCTTTGGCCAGGTCAGTCTCTGAGGTTCATGGAACAGGATGTAGTCAATTCTGCCTTCATTCATTGTTTTCATCATTTCAAGTCTTACCTTCTGCTGCTTCTGCAAGTACTTCCAGCACTTCCTCTCCCATATCATGGTCCACCTTCTCCAAGATGTTATTTCATTTCTCACGTTGATACCAACTTCTCCTTCTACTGAACTCTCAGAGCCTCTACATTCTGGTCAAAGACTTTTTATTCTTTTGCATACAATTGTGTATTTGATAATATTTTGTGTATATATAAGTGTATAAATGTAGACATATATTTTATGTATGTCTTATGTTTCCAAGAAGATAAGTTTCCCAAAGGAAAGGGTCATATCATATGTTTGTATTATTGTCCTTTGTGGCACCTAATGCTTCACCTGATGTATATCACTTAAAAGGTGTCCCTGGCCGGGCGCAGTGGCTCACGCCTATAATCCCAGCACTTTGGGAAGCTGAGGCAGGCAGATTATCTGACACCAGGAGTTCCAGACCAGCCTGGGCAACATGGTGAAACCCCGTCTCTACTAAAAATACAAAAATTAACTGGGTGGGCCAGGCGTGGTGGCTCACACCTGTAATCCCAGCACTTTGGGAGGCCGAGGCAGGTGGACTGCCTGAGGTCAGGAGTTTGAGACCAGTCTGGCCAACATGGTGAAACCATGTCTCTACTATAAATACAAAAAAATTAGCCGGACGTGGTGGTATAATCCCAGCTACTCAGGAGGCTGAGGCAGGGGAACTGCTTGAACCAGGGTGGTGGAGATTGCAGTGAGCCGAGATCGTGCCACTGCACTCCAGCCTGGGTGACAGAGTGGGACTCTGTCTCAAAAAAAAAAAAAAAAATTAACTGGCTGTGGTGGCATCTGCCTGTAGTCTCAGCTACTCAGGAGGCTGAGGCAGGAGAATCGCTTGAACCCAGGAGGCAGAGGTTGCAGTGAGCCAAGATCAGTCCACTGCATTCCACTCAAGCCTCGGTGAAAGAGTGAGACTCTGTCTCAAAAAACAAAACAAATGAAAAAAAGTGTCCCCAACTGGAATTAATTACCCTATTCCCTGCAATACTTTCAGACTTGATGTTGTTTATTCAACTATTAAAGCACTTATCACAGCTGTTTCCCACTGTGTATTGTGAGCTCTGGATGAGTCACGGTCCCGTCTAATTCATCTTTTTATCTCTCAAAGCACCTAAGATAGCATTGTTTATAAAAAGAATTTAACAGCACTTGCTAATTAAGTTTCTATTAAATTTCAACTTTATTTAACATATCAGCCTTCTCAGTAGCCATCTTTTGGAAGAACAAACATTTCCACAGTTAACATTGATTATACTTGAAATTATATTGGCATTTGGCATGTGAGAAGAAAATGTTTGATGCTTTCCTAATTTGTTTACTCAAAAATAATGTTAAAGTCTAGATTTAAATGTAAGTTAGTGAGTTGTGCTGTCAGATCTTTACTTAAGGGGCAGTTGCTATATCAAAAATGCAATAACAGATATTTCAACATAGTAGGTACTTTCTATAGAAATGTTAATATATCAATGTGTTACTCAGTTCTCAGCATAAGATTTTACATTATTGTTATTTACTTCAGTGTCTTTATGAGACACTGAAGATTTTGAGATTAATTGATCTGCAACTGGCAAAAGTGAATTGAAATTGAATTTTCATTGTATCATTCAAGAAAACTTCATGACACAATCCATCCATAACCGACTACCTTGTATTTTTTTTGCTTTTTTGATGTAAATATGACACTATTTCTTTCTTCAGAGGTGGGCAGAACTTTTCATAGACTTGGACAGTCATGGGAAATCATTTCACTAGGCCTTTGGGTAATTTTAATTAAAAATTCATTTCAAGTCAATCTCTTATGCTTATCAGAAGCATCTGCCATGTTTTCCCCACTTAAGAACTTGAGCTGAAAATATGAGCATTTTCCTGTTATGAAAGCGCCACATCTGTGTAAAGTTAAAATAGCTTCTAAGGACAATTTTCAACACATTTGGATCTTCCAAATTATAGTTTTTAAAATGCAGCTTTCAGAGAACAACACTGATGCCTCATTCAATGGTGTGACTGCATTTCTTGCTATACATGATGCCTTCTCTCTCAGCATGTGTTTAATTCCTTGAACCATTAGCCTACTCTTAGTTTCCTCACTAGGCTTATGGCCAGGACATAGCACACCGCCTGCCACATAACAGTTGCTTAAAAGTACTTATTGATTGAATGGATGAGTGAATGAGTGAGTTTAAGGATATAAAAGCCCTGTCTTCATTTATTTCTTCTATGTGTTCTAACTGTAGTTACTGATTCTAGCCTAGAATGTTCTCTGAATATAAAAATGCCCTTGAGCTCCTGAAACTAATTGGTGAAAACTAAATAGAGAAGCAAAGGTTCCAGAAAGATAAAGTGACTTTGTACAAACAAGAAAAGAAAATTTTTGTACTATACATTTTATTAGAAAAGGTACTTCTATCTGCTAGAAAATTCTATAAAACTCCAACACCAAAAATCTACAGTATGAATGAAGTTTCCCTTGATTTGCTTCTGAGGTTTATTACAGCCTCTCAGTAACCAAAATAAAAGTCTTCTAAAGTCTGTCTTTTCTTGCTCAAGGCTCAGATATTGCTTCCTGAATCAGATTTTTGTTCCTTTTTTAGGTGAAGCCTGCATTTTTTGGCCCTTGACCCTATACTGGCAAGGTTATGAGGTTATGCAGCTCCAATGTATTCCATGTGAATGGTGCCCTGGGAGATCTGCCCCATGGGGGTCTCATGTGCCTTAACACACAGCATGTTTGTTATCCCAGGGTATTTCTTAGAAGAAAAATATTTCCTATTTTTAAGAGAGTCTGATGTTACCCATCTGTATTAGTCAAGGTTCTTCAGAGAGAACCAATAGGGTATATAAAGATATGGATGTAAACAGATATATGGGAGAGGATTTATTAAACAAACCGGCATTATTATGGAGGCTGAGAAGTTCCAAGACATGCCATCTGCAAGCTGGAGACTTTGGGATGCTGGTAACATGGCTCAGCCCAATCCGAGGGCCTCAGAAACATGGGAGCCGATGGTATAACTCTTGTCTGTGGCCAAAGGCCTGAGAAGACGGGTGGAGAGGGGCACGAGGAATAACGTAAGTCTAAAAGCTAGGGAGCCTGGAGTTGTTGTCCAAGGACAGGAAAGGAAGAGTGTAACCCAGCTCCAGCAGATACATAACATATTCACCTTGTCTCTGTTTTGGTTCTCTCTGGGCTGCCAGCAGATTGCACGGAACCTGCCCGCATTGAGGGCAGATCTTCCCCACCCAGTCCACTCAGGCTCACATGTTAATCTTCTCCGGAAACACCTTCACAGGCACACCCCAAAATAATGCTTTATCAAGTTTCCATGTATTCCTTAATCCGGTCAAGTTGACACCTCAAATTAACCACCTCACTGTCATGTACACCAAACCGTAGCACTTTTTACTAAACCAGTGTGGTCTATGGATAACAATTCAAGTTGTTCTTTTGATGGTAAATCACACTAGTTTAAAACCGGAGTTATACGTATAGGGGGCTTCTGATCTCTCCACCTCCCTACTTTACTAGGGTTTAACTGACAAATAAACATTGCATATATTTATAGTGTACAATATGATGTTTTGATATATGTATACATTGTGCTATGATTAAGTCAAGCTAATTAACATCCATTGCCTCACATACTTATGGTTTTGTGATGAGAACATTTAAGATTTACTCTCTTAGCAATTTTCAAGTATACATTATTACTAGCTATAGTCACCAATAGATCTCCAAAACTTACTCTTCCTAACTGAAATTTTGTATCCTTTGGACAATATCTCCCAATTCCTCCCCTCTGCCCACCCTTTGCAACCACTCTCCTACTCTCTGCTTCTATGAGTTCAACTTTGTCTTTATTATTTGACAAATATAAATCGTATACTATGTACAATGTGTTGTTTTGAAATATGTATACATTGTGGAATAGTTAAATTTGGCTCATTAACATATGCATCACTTCATATACTTATTTTTTATAATGAACACCTAATATCTACTCTCTTAGCAATTTTCAAGAATAAAATACATTGTTTTTAACTATAGTCACTATGTTGTACAATAGAGTTCTTGAACTTATTCCTCCTTTCTAAGTGAAATGTATCCTTTGACTAACATCTCCCCAGTCTCTTCCCCAGCCCTTTGTAACCACCATTCTATTATCAATTTCTATGAATTCAACTTTTTTAGATTCCATATGTAAGTGAGATCAGGCAGTGTTTGCCTTTCTGTGCCTGGCTTATTTCACTTAACATGATGTCCTTCAAGTTCATCCACGTTGTTACATATGACAGAATTTTCTTCTCTTTTAAGCTATACAGTAGAGATTGCAGATATCTACCACATTTATCCATTCATCCATCCATTGACAGACACTTAGGTTGATTCCATATCTTGACTTTTGTGAATAATGAATGCTACAGTGAACGTGGGAGTGGACCAGCTCTATTTATTAAGAAAGCATTACCAGTTCCCACAGAATTTAGTTCTTTCTAAAATGTCTTCTGCAGGATATATTGATGTGTGTGTATATATATACACACACAATCATTATTCACAGGATATATATATATCATATATATGTAATATACAATATGTACATATATTACATATACACATATTATATATAATATATATTTATTTGTAATATATATTTGTAATATATGATGATCCTTAAGAAATCATGTTTCAAATACTAGGTAATCATTTGTAGAACTGAGAGAAGGAGATTTTTCTGGATCAACGGTTCACATTCTATCTACCAATTTTCCCTTGATAACAAAAAATAGCACTTGAAATTTGCAATAAATAGCTGGGTTTTTTTAAAATGGTATTTTATGCAATTGCTCCCAAAGCAATTCAGTTACTCCAAATACATTTTTTATTAGAAAAAATTTCAACTATGCAATGTGCATTTTGGTTTGTAATAAGTGGTATGTTTTGGATATGTGTCCCCACCCAAATCTCATGTTGAAATGTAATCTCCAATGCTGGAGGTGAGGCCTGGTGGGAGGTGATTGGATCATAGGGGCAGTTTCTCATGAATGGTTTAGCAGCATCCCCGTTGTGCTGTTCTCATGAGATCTGGTTGTTCAAAAGTGTAGGGCACCTCCCTGCTCTCTCTCTTCTTCCTTCTCAGGGCATGTGAGATGTGCCTGCTTCCTCATCGCCTTCTAACATAATAGTAAGTTTCCTGAGGCCTCCCCAGAAGCAGAAGCCACTAAGCTTCCTGTATAGCCTGCAGAACTGTGAGCCAATTAAAGATATTTCCTTTATACATTACCCAATCTCAGGTATTTATTTATAGCAATGTGAGAATAAACTAATACGATGAGTAAGCTGTATTTCGCACAAATACCTGTTCTAGAGATTCTTCTCTTCATTCTCTGTAACTTAATCATCTTCTATTTTCTGTGTATTCAAATTATCCATTTCCATGAACTTTTTTGATATGAGCATTCAAATATCTTCAAACTTATTTAAAATTGACATTTAAAAAACGTTCTTCAATTTGGGTTCCCCATTTAGCTACCTCTCATTTTCCTTTCTACACCATCAAATTTCCCAAATAGCAATCTTATGTTGACTGTCTAAACTTCTCCATCTCCCTTTCACCTTTTACCCCAGTGCAAACTAGCTCATTTTCCCACCACTACACTGAACCTGTTCCCAGTAAGACTGTCTCTGACCTCTGAATTGGGGAAGCCAACAGGAACTTCTGTCTTTACCAATCTTGTTTGTTTCGTATAATACCACTTGCAGTACTCCCTGAAAAAAGTTCTTCCCTTGGTTTTGGTAAAACCATTCTGTCCTTATTTTCACCCCTCCATCTCTTTGGCTAATTATTCTCAGTGTCTCATGATGATACAATTAACTTTTTCTCAACCAAAATCATAAGTGTTCTCTAGGGTTCTTCCCCATGCTTCTTTTCTTTCTGATACACATCCTTCTTGGGATAACTCATACTGCTCATAGCTTTAAATACTTATATACAAATGACTTTTAAATCAGTATCTCTACACCAGATATGTCATCCCATTTATCCTAATGACTACTGGATATTTTAGTTTGGATATCCCACTAAAACCTCCAACTCAAAATGTCCAAAGCCATTGTGTTCATCCTTTCCATACATGAACCTTTTCCCACATCCTCTATCACAGTGGATGACATTACCATCCATTCTGTTGTCAGAGCCCTGGGAACCATCCTTGATATGTCTTTTCCTCCTGACCTCCCATCCAATCTTTAAATCATGTTGATTCTATTTATGAAGTATCTCTTAAATTTCTCCTCCCTTTCCTATCTCATTGACATTATCACTGTGATTTCCTTAGAACATTAGGCTCTAATTTTTCCTTGCTTGGAATTTGTGGTATATTGCTTCTTTGCTATTCTTCCTGGTTTGAGGTTCTCTGCCATCCATTCTTTCTTTCAGACTGTGGCAACAGTGGTTTTTCTAACACTGAGATTGGTTATGCCATTGCCTGTTCATAATTCTTAAATGGTTTTCCACTGACCCAGTATAAATGTTAACCTGTTTAACACAGTGTTAAAGACCTTTTATGATGCTTCCCCCAATGTGCCCAGTCTTATTCTGTACCACTCATTACAACACATCTTAGGCTTTAGCAATGCTAAACCATTTGCATTTAACTAAAGATATCATACTCTTGCCCCTCCAATACCTTTTAAATGATATTTACTTTTTCCAGAATATTATTTTGCACTCATATTGCATGCACACACAAACGCAAATCTGCCTGACACACTTGTAGTCATCTTCCAACCTTCATCGCATTTATCTTTCCCTGAATTAATTCTCTGCTTCCTCTATAATGCCTTTTGGGGCTTCTATTGTATCTGTCATATGAAATATTAACAATTTACTTGTATGTGTCTTTCCCCTACACTCTTTGAGCTCCCTGGGGCAGAGATTGCATCCACAGACTTAATAAATTAATTGGTACATGGCTGATGATCAAAGTAGATGATAAATGAATGAAAAGATATTTTAAAAATACAGGTTTTCCTCATTATTGAGGGTCAGTTACTTGAGCAATATTTTTACGAAAATGAAAAATGCTTAGGCAATATTGCAAGTAATTGTTTTCTTTTATCACAACATGACATTGTTTTGAAGTTCTTTCTTCATCTGCAACACAAAGCCCTTAAAAACACCAAAAATTCTACATCCTAAAAGTGAACAGTTTGGCATAATCCCCCAAAAATGACATAGGCAGAAAGGAACAATAACACATGATTGAGAGACTGAGAGAATTGTAAAGTGAGTCACAGAATTATGACCTATCTACTCCAGCCTGTGAAGGACATGCTTCCATTTGCTTGATCTGTGTATAGAGAACTATCTGATACCATGTTTGAATGAAACAGTAATTTATAGTCAGCACTGATTTAAAATGATTTGCTGACAATGATTAATCCTTCTGTCTCTGGATTTTCATCATCAAAATGATTTCATACTATTGTCTACAAATATTGAAGGAGAATGAACCCCATAAAATGAGATACTTTAGGCTGGCAAATCATTATCATATATGTCAAAAATGGTTGACATGAATATTTTAAAGGTAAAAAGATCTAACACAACAGAACTGGATTGAGTTCGACTCTTGACCCTTGTACTCTTGGACAAAGTTAATCTCTCTAGACTGTGGTTTCCTCTTCCGGAAAATTAACAATCTGAACTACTCACTAGATGATGTCTAAACCTGCTCCCAGCTCTAACATTTGGTGACCCAGCCCAGAGATTAGCTTCTCTGTATTCAGTATAATATTGGAAAATTATATTATCAAAAAGATGAAGGAAATGTGCAGATAAATTAGTTCTCTAAAAATGTGCATACAGGTATACCTCAGAGATATCATGGGTTAAGTGTCAGACCACTATAATAAAGCAAATATCACAATGAAAGGATCACACAAAGTTTCTGGCTTCCCAGTGCACACAAAAGTTATGTTTACATTATGCTGTAGTCTTTTAAGTGTGCAATAGCATTATGTCTAAAAAATAATGTAGATACCTTAATTAAAAATACTTTATTGTCACAGCTGACTTCTACCAGACATGTAAAGAAGAGCCAGTACCATTATTACTGAAACTATTCCAGAACATTGAGGAGGGGGAACTCTTCCCTAATTCATTCTGTGAGACCAGCATCATCGTGATACCAAAACCTGGCAAAGACGCAACAAAAAAGAAAATGTCATGCCAATATCCTTGATGAAAATAGATGCAAAAATCCTCAAGGAAATACTAGCGAACTGAATCCAGCAGCACATCAAAAAGCGAGTCCACCACAATCAAGTAGGTTTTATCTCTGAGATGCAAGATTGGTTCAACATACCCAGATCAATAAATGTGATTAATCACATAGAAAGAATTAAAAACAAAGCCCACAAGATCATCTCAATAGATGCAGAAAAGGCTTTTGATAAAAATTTAAACCATCATTTCATGTTTAAAACCCTCAACAAGCTGGGCTTTGAAGGAACATGCCTTAAAATAGTAAGAGCCATCTATAACAAACCCACAGGCAACATCATACTGAATGGGCAAAAGCTGGGAGCATTCCCCTTGAGAACCAGAAGAAGACACGGATGCCCACTCTTACCACACATATTCAGCATAGTACTGGAAATCCCAGCCAAAGCAATCAGGCAAGAGAATGACATTGAATGCATCCAAACAGAAAGAGAGGAAGTCAAACTATCCCTGCTTGCAGATATGATCCTATACTTAGAAAAACCCACAGACTCTTCCCAAAAGATATTAGATATGATAAACAACATCATCAAACTTTCTGGGCACAAAATCAATGAAAAAAATCAGTAGCATTTCTTCATTCCAATAGCATTCAAGCTGAGTGACAAATCAAGAACTCAATCCCATTCACAATAGCCCCCAAAAGATAAAATACCTAAGAATACAGCTAGCCAGGGAGGTGAAAGATCTCTACAATAAGAATTACAAAACACTGCTCAAAGAAATCACAGATGACACAAACGATTGGAAAAACATTCCATGCTCATTGATAGGAAGGATCAATATTGTTAATATGACCATATTGCTCAAAGCAATTTACAGATTCAATGCTATTCCTATCAAACTATTAATGACATTGTTCACATAACTGAAAAAAATCTAAAATTCATATGGAACCAGAAAGAGCCTGAATAGTGAAAGCAATCCTAAGCAAAAAGAACAAAGCTGGAGGCATCACATTACCCAACTTTAAACCATACTACTAGGCTGCAGTAACCAAAACAGCATGGTACTGGTACAGATGTGGATAGTAGACGCTGGATAGTAGATCTTTGTCATATGCATAGTTTGCAAATATTGTATACCATTCTGTGGGTTGTCTGCTTGCTCTGCTGATAGTTTCTTTTGCTCTGCAGAAGCTCTTTGGTTTAACTACATCCCATTTGTCAATTTTTGTTTTTGTTGCAACTGTTTTTCCATTTCATCATAAAATATTTGCCGGGGCCTACCTCTAAAATGGTATTTCCTAGGTTTTCCTCAAGGGTTTTTAATAGTTTTAGCTAGGCTGTGGAGGAAAGGGAGCACTTATACGTTGCTAGTGGAAATGTAAATTAATTCAGCCATGTGGAAAACAGTTTGGCAACTTCTCAGATAACTTAAAAGAGAAGTACCATTTGATCCAGCAATCCCATTATTGGGTATACACCCAAAGGAATATAAATTGTTCTACTACAAAGATACATGCACATGTATGTTAACTGTAGCACTATTCACAATAGCAAAGACATGAAATCAACCTAGGTCTCCATTAATGGTGGATTGAACAAAAAAAATGTGGAACATATACTCTATGGAATACTATGCAGTCATAAAAAAGAATGAGACAATGCCTTCAGCAGCAACATGGATGGAGCTGGAGGCCATTATCCTAAGTGAACTAATGCAAGAAGAGAACCAAACATTTCATGTTCTCACTTACAAGTGGGAGCTAAACATTGAGTACATAGACACAAAAAAGGGAACAATAGATACCAGGGCCTACTTCAGAGTGGAGGGTGGGAGGAGTGTGAGGTCTGTAAAGTTGCCTACTGAGTACTCTGCTTATTACTTGAGTACTATGCTTATTACTATGCTTATTACAGATGAAATAATCTGTACAACAAACCCCCGTGACATGCAATGTATCTATAAAACCAACTTGTACATCTACTTCTGAAACTAAAATAAAAGTTAAAAAAATCTTTACCTCCAAAAAATGCCGACAATCATCTAAGCCTTTCCTGAGTCATACTCTTTTTGCCCATGGAGAGTCTTGCCTTGTTGCTGATATCTGCTGACTGATCAGGGTAATAGTTGCTGAAGGTTAGGGTGGCTATGGCAATTTTAAAAAATAAGATGATATAGTTTGCATGTTTGTCCCCCATAATCTCACATTGAAATGTAATCCCCAAAGTGAGAGGTGGGGCCTGGTTGGAGGTGTTTGGGTCATGGGGGCGCATTCCTCATGGCTTGGTGCTGTCCTTGCAATAGTGGGTTCTTGTGAGATTTGGTTGTTTAAAAGAGTGTGGCACCTTCCCCTCCACTCTTTCTCTTGCTTCTGCTTTCACTATGTGTTGTGCCTGCTCCTGCTTTGCCTTCTTCTGTAAGTCAAAGCTCCCTGAGGCCTCCCCAGAAGCTAAGCAGGTGTCAGCACCATGCTTGCACAGCCTGTAGAACCATAAGTCAATTAAACCTCTTTTCTTATAAATTACCCAGCTTTAGGTATTTCTTTATAGCAATGCAAGAATGACGTAATACATAAGGAAACAATGATGTTTGCTGCATTAATTGGCTCTTCCTTTCATGAAAGACTTCTCTGTACTGTGAAATGCTGTTTTATAGCATTTTACCCAAAGTAGAACTTCTTTCAAAATTGGAGCGAATCCTCTCAAACCCTGTCACTGCCTTATCAACTAAGTTTTTGAAATACTGTACATTACTTTTTGTCATTTCAACAATGTTGACAGAGTCTTGACCAGGAATAGGTTCTATCTCATGAAACCACTTCCTTTGCTCATCTGTAAGAACCAGCTCCTCTTGTTTTCAAGTTCTATCAAAAGATCGCAGCAGTTCAGTCACATCTTCAGGCTCTACTTCTAATTCTATTTCTTTTGCTATCTGCACTACATTTGCTGTTACTTCTTCCACTGAAGTTTTGGACCCCTCAAAGTCATTCATGAGGGTTGAAATCAACTTCTTCTAAACTCCTGTTAATGATATTTTGACCTCCTGCCATGAACCACAAATATCCTTAATAGCATCTAGGATGGAGAATCCTTTCCAGAAGCTTTTTGATTTACTTTGTCCAGATCCATCAGAGGAATCATTGTCTATTGCAGCTACAGCCTTGGGAGATGTATTTCTGAAATAATGAGACTTGGAAGTTGAAATTACTCTTGATCTATGGTCTACAGAATGGACGTTGTCTTGGGAAGCATGAAAACGACATGAATCTCATTGTACATCTCCATCAGAGCTCCTGGATGCTCCAGGTGCATTGTCAATGAGAAGTAATATTTTGAACATTATCTTTTTCTTTTTAGCAGTAAGTCTCAATAGTGGGCTTAAAATATTTTTAAAAATTCAGGAAACCATGCTATAAACAGATGCATTATCATCCAAGCTTTGTTATTCCATTTATAGAGAACAGGCAGAGTAAATTTAGCATTATTCTGATGGGACCTAGGGTCTTTGAATGACAAATAAGCATTGGCTTCAATTTAAAGTTATCAGTTTCATTAGACCCTAACAAGAGGCACCTTATCCTTTGAAGCTTTGAAGGCAGGCATTGGCTTTGCATCTCTAGCTATGATAATCCTAGAAGGCATCTTCTTCCTATAGAAAGCTGTTTTGTCTAAATTGAAAATCTGTTGCTTAGTGGAGTTATCTTCCTCAGTCTTCTTAGCTAGATCTTATGGATAACTTGCTTCAGCTTCTACATCAGTACTTGGTACTTCACCTTGTTCTGTTACGTTAGTTATGGAGACAGCTTCTTTCTTTCAACCTCATGAACCAACCTCTCCTAGCTTCCAACTCTTCTTCTGTAGCTTCCTCACCTCTGTCAGCCTTCACAGAATTGAAGAGTTAGGGCCTTGAGCTGGATTAGGCTCTGGCTTAAGGGAATGTTGTGGCTAATTTGATCTTCCTCCCAGATGGGTAAAATTTTCTTTATATCAGCAATAAGGCTGTTTCACTTTCTTATCATTCATATGGTTTACTGGGGTAGCACTTTTAATTTCCTTCAAGAACTTTCCCTTTTACTTTGCATTTACAATTTGGCTGACTGTTTGGTGCAAGAGGCCTAGCTTTCAGCCTGTCTTGGCTTTCAACATGTGTTTCTTAACTTAATCATTTCTAATTATTATTTAAAGTGAGAGACACAGGATCCTTCCTTTCACTTAAACACTTAGAAGCCATTGTAGGGTTATTACTTGGCCTAATTTCAACATTACTGTGTCTCAGAGAATAGGGAGGTTGGAGGATAGGGAGAGAAATGGAGGAATGGCTGGTCAGTGGAGCAGTCAGAATGCAGACAACATTGATTAAAATATCTGTCTTATATGAGTGTAGTTCATGGCACCCCAAAACAATTATAATAGCCACATCAAAGACTACTAGTTGTAGATCACCATAATCAATAGGATAATAATGAGTTTGAAATATTGTGGGAATTATCAAAATGTGACACAGAGACATGAAGTGAGCACATGTTGTTGGAAAAATGGCAGATAGACTTGCTTGAGGCAGGGTTGCCACAAACCTTCAATTTGTAAAAAAATTACAGTATCTGTGAATGGAAATAAAGTGACCTGCAATAAAATGAAATATGACTGTATATGTTTTTAAAAGTAATAAGGTATAGCATGAAGGTGGACTCATTATGATTGGCTTATGCACTGAAAACTCTCCTAGTCATGATTAATTCTAATGAGTATAGTATCTTCATTTAGATTAATATGTATAGTGTTTCATAAGTATAAGGCAAGAACAAGGCACATTGGTGGGGAAATGTTTACAGGCAAGCTGAGCACCATGAAAATGTCAACGTGTAATAATGTTTACTGATGAGTGCAAGTGCTGCAAAATCAATGACAACAATCTTTCTTTGTTTATTGCTTTTCAATATAGCTAATCACAGCATAGGCAGAAAATACTCTCCCTGTTTTTTTCTTTTTCTTTTTTTCCAGAAAGATGGAAGTGGACATTACCCTTTATTACAGGGTCCACACTGTGGGTGCCAGGGCCCCTTCCGCTGAGGGTAGGCTGAGACTCTAGCCCGGGCTGACCATATGGCCTCCTATGAGTTCATTCTCCTTCTGTCCCCTTAATCTCAGGTTGAGCATTTGTACAGGATCCCTGGGGGCCTGGGAGACCTCCTTGGCCACCATCGCCCACTGTCCTATGTGCATGAGAGCATCACAAGTCAGTAGCAGTGAGTTAGGTGGTATGTGGGTCACCTGGCATGGCAGGTCTGGGCCTCAGGTCCCAGCCAGCAGCTGCAGGATCCCAGAGGTCCTAGGCTCAAGGTCCAGGCACGCGTAGATGGTGGGGAGTGAGGTGTGCAGGCCAACCAACAGGGGTTGAGCCAGGGAGGCCAGGTCCCCGTTGTTGCCCAGGTCCTCCCAGGCCAGCACAGGGAATGTTGTGATGTCCTTGCCAGCCGGTGAGCTCACGCGCGGTGGCCCGTGTCAGCTGGCTGCAGTTGAGCAGCAAGTGGGTGAGGAAGGGTGCCGCCCACAGAATGCACTCATAGGAGGCCAGATGGTCAGCCTGGGCTGGGCAGGTGGACAGCCATCAATGAGCCCCGTGAAACACAGGCCCAGTGCCACCAGCCCAGCTCTGTGACTGCCCAGGTAGCATGTGATGTGCTGCACGCCTGCCCAGCGAGATGCCCGAGACCCCTCTGCCAGCGGAGTCTTCTGGAAACTGCTCTTGAGATGAGTGACCAGCATCTCCACACCTGCTATATCTGCCATCTCACTTATTTTTCAGTGAGGTGAAGTAGCTCCTCCATGGCCACACACAGCTAAGGGGAGAACCAGGTCCCCAAACCAAGAAACTCTGATTCCTGACTCCTGAGCCCACATGGTTTAGTTTAGTTTTGTTTTCCCCCTGTGCCCCTTCTAAGATTGATTCTGCTCTGAGTTTTACCCCTGGTGCTTTTTATTTCTTTAGCAAAGAGGTGCTACAGAGTATGCCTGGAGTCTCGGGTGCCACTTTTCACAGTTACACACCCCCATGTCCTTCAAGAATACATGATTCTTCTGAACTTGTTCCTTGCTTAAGAGTAACACAAGTTCTAAAGAAAGAAATGAGTTCATATGAATAAAGATTTATAGGGCTCAGCACCTGAGACTGGAGGAAACTTCTGAGACCAGGATTTAATCACTCTCTACCTGTTAAATTTTCATTACAGGTGAATGAACCTGTCTAAAAAGCTAAAAGGGATTTGCACTAGAGTTGAATGGTACTGTTTCCTTGGTGTATTAGAGATGTACACTCACAGATAAAGGTTGTAAGCAAATAAACCACACCAGCTACCTCCAAAAAATCCAAGAATTGTTAAGATCCAAGAGAATTTTTTTTTGTGGGAGTTTAGATCTATATTTATGAATTTTATATTTTTTCTGAGCATATGTTGTATGCATTTTATAGAAAATTTGCACAATACAGGTGAATACAAGAAATAAAATAATCTCCTCTTTCTCAAAATCCAAAGTAATTGCAATTAATGTTTCTGTCTTAGCCTTTTCTATCAAGATATCCACATAATTCTAATTAATTGCATAATTTGTGTCCTGGTTATGGTATTGTTACATTGTGACATCAGCCTTTCCCTATGTAATTAACACTTTTCATAGACATTATTTTACTACATGTAATAATCTGAGCTCATCAATTCTTTACATGGATTATCTCATCGAATCTTTTTAACAATCCTAGGCAGTAGCTCTATTATTGTTCCAATTTAAGAGATGAGAATAAAAAGTTAAATAAGCTATGCTGAAGTCATACAGTTTACAGGAAGGCTTTTGTTCTAGATCATTAAAGAAATGGACAACAGCCTAAATGCATAAAAGGCCACATATTATTTTACTGAGTGGATTTATCACAGTTTTCTTAAGTATTTCATTTTCAAGTGTGCACTGTTACTTATGTAGTTCTCTGCACCCTTTCCCAGATCCCTTTGGATCTATACATTTTTTAAATGTACCTGAAAACAAACTGTACATGCTATTGGCACAAAAGATAAGTTGACAATATACCACACTTCAAAATCATGTTCCGTATGCTCAGTCATACGGAAGTCATAAAGTCATAAAGTTTCTGGACTTTAAACCAGAAAATTTGTGATTTATACTTCCATTAAGACTGATTTGTTCTGGTCCTGGATAATTACTTAATCTCTCCTGCCTCAGTCTCCTTAGATGTCAAAAGATTTCCATGAGAGAAACACCAGCTCTTGGTTGGTTTGACTTATCCCAGTTCTCATAAACACAGCCTCACAGGTGAAATCTTCCTTAGCCTATAGAAGTCTCCTCACGTACTTGACTAGTGGCCTTGGTTGTAAGAATAGGACAAACTGATGACATAAACACATTGTAATCAGGCATGACCTTATTGTTTAACTATTCTGTCTAGATTCCTCTGATGCAAACTCCAACAAAATTAAAACTTGCTGAAAATAAAACTCAATACAGTAAAATGTGACCTGACTGAAAATAATATATATATATATAGATCTCGGCAAAAATGGAGGGAGGATAAGAGGATATCGCTAAGCTCTTTGGAGAAAATTGGTCTCAAAGTGTCCCTAAGAATTGTTATTGTTTTTATTTATTATTCTCAGCTAATTAATTGGTTTGTTAATCATTCTTGATGGTTTAGAATTTTACTTCCTATTTTCAAAATGGCATATTTCATTGTTAAAACATACAAGACAGTGCAAAGTAATGTTAATTCACTAAACATTATTTGCTTGATGATGAGAAACAGTAGAACACTAGACAGTTATCACGTGAGTCCAAAATCACAGGCAAGTAGACAAGGAAGGAATTCCACCTTCATGAGATAAGGGTTATAAAAGAGAAAATAAAGGGGACTCTGCAAAGGTATGAGTCAAAACAAATTTTGAAGACAGTAGCTATATCAGGCACCCAAAACTGGATCATTAATACAACTGAGCATTCAAATTTAGCTTTAAGAATTGAAGCAGTGGCCAGGCGCGGTGGCTCACGCCTGTAATCCCAGCACTTTGGGAGGCCGAGACAGGCGGATCACGAGATGAGGAGATCGAGACCATCCTGGCTAACACGGTGAAACTCCGTCTCTACTAAAAATACAAAAAATTAGCCGGGTGGGGTGGCGGGTACCTGTAGTCCCAGCCGCTCGGGAGGCTGAGGCAGGAGAATCGCTTGAACCCGGGAGGCGGAGCTAGCAGTGAGCCGAGATTGCGCCACTGCACTCCAGCCTGGGTGACAGAGCAAGACTCCGTCTCAAAAAAAAAAAAAAAAAGAATTAAAGCAGTCAAAACAAAAAGGGAAACTGATAGATTATATAGTTTATCTTGTACAATAAAGAAAGCTTACAAGCTTGTCTTGAGTGATAAACTTTTTCCTGGCATAATCCCTATGAGAATTGTGTGGGCTTAGCTCCTTATTCTGAAGATAGCAAGTAGCATTTAGCACAAATGTTACTGCAGTTGTTCAAAGTCATTCTTTATTTTCCCAAAGTGCCATGCTTTATGGTAAACTTGAGCAGTAATCAAGACCACAAAATTAAATAGTTACTCAGTAATGACATTACATGTGTATGAGGGGGCAGAGAAAGTGTTAAGCCAACGTGCTCTAGGTCTGAGATCCAATATACAATAGCACTTAGAGAAGGTATCTTGGCTATAGCACAGCCAATCCAAGGTTAAATTTGTTGACAGCTGTTAGAAGTGCTGATATTCTGCATGGTTGATTGAAGAAAGATCTATATGTTTAAACAGCAGGTGAGAAGGCAGCAGAGTTGACATTCTGATGGGAAAACTGCCTGACTTTTATTCTCACAAAGAGATGGGTCACCCTAATACATAGAGATGGATAAACTTTTTTTTTCTCAAAAAGGAAAAAAGAAAGAATTCTGAATCTGCTCTTGTGATTTCATAAGTCCCATGAGGCATGATTGAAGCAATTTGGGCCTAGAAATTTTTATGAATAGTTCTCACCATTGCACTGCCTGAATCCATAAAAAAAAAAAAAACCTAACGAATACTTTTGTCCCTTTTGTCAAATTTCTGAATATTTGAGTAGAAAGACATACTGATGGGTGCTCCAGGGTATTAAATATTTCAAGTAGATGAACAAATTGACCTAATAGGATTATTTAGTATTGTTTATTTGAATAAAGGATATGTCTTTTATTTTTAGCACTGCTAATTTAAAATCTTTCTTCCTGGCAGCAGTTAGTAACAGACAGCTACTTATTAAGACTACTCCTGACCGTGATAGCAAAACCATGTCATCATAGGTCAGGCTGCCTATCTTTATGTAGGCTTGGGCACATAAGCATGCTTCCAATTCATATAAATACCAACCCAGTTACTTAGATATATAAAATGAGGAGGACATGGCACAGTTCTTTTCGTAAGATTGAAAATTATAATTGAGTCTGTCAAAAGAGTAGGGTAGCCTCATCAGGGATTGGAGAGACCTTCTGGGCTTCCCTTAATTGGCATCCATCATAGCAATTTAAGATTCAAATCATAGGGATTTGGAATCCTTGCCACTTCTAGATCAAGCACTGTTATAATCCTCTGTCTTGCATTTCACTACTGTATCTATTAAACAGAGCCATCAGTAGAAAGCCTTCCTCACTGAGTATCGAAATGCTACCTCTTTGGCCTTTTTCTTAGTTGTTGTATGCAATTCTGTATCTTCTGATCTATTGACCCTGGATAAAGTGGATTGTGTGAATGCATGGGAAACAAAGTACCCCAATTTCCAGCAAAACCCAGAACTTTGAGTGTTTGTGGAAGACTGTCACAAGATGTCAAGAGGTCATGAGAAGAAATCAGGAACCCTTCAGGACAAACACCTCTCTCTGTGTTATAAGTGCTGGTAACAGTAACAAACATTTTCTCCCATGTCTCCTAGTATGTATTTGTAGTATTGGGGAAGGGCTGAAACTATGAGAAAATCATAAAATGTAGTCCATTTTTTATATATTTATTTAGAATGTCTGCTTTGGAACAAGTTTGGAAAGTATTCAGCTATATCAATTAGATTTCTACAGAATCAAAGTAGAAAAAATAGGGGAGCTCCCCTCAGTGGTCAAAATATTATTCCATCTAACTAGGCATCATGAAATCTGTTACATCTAACATTTTATGAGCAGACTATTGCAATATTCTCTTTCTCCTCAGTCTGTATTCTTGCCTTCTTTAAAATCACCATCCAGAGTGATCAATTTATGTGAAATACATTTCTTGAAACTCTTAGTTTAAATAATCTTTGCTACCTACAGCTGCACTTCTCAGTCAAAAAAGATTTGTAATCATAGAGAATTCTAAGGACACAAACAGTATTTCAAGGGATGAGAGCTATTGGATAAAAATGGTGCATCTTACTAGAAATGTGGAGAAAAATACTTTTATGGTGAATGAAACAAAGATTCATTATGAAGTAAAATGCAAATACTTGAGAATTCAAAGAACTGGATACAGATGGGAGGCCATTTTGAGCTATGGCTTCAGTCCCTTTCGTGGGAATGTATTCATTTTATTTTTGCTTTGTTTACTTTGTGGGAGGGGTTTGGATTTCGAAGCACTAAACCTCCAAGGAATAGAGACCAAACCCCTTACAATGACATGAAAACCCTTCCATGTCTGGATATCTATTTACCCCTCCAAATTCATCGCCTTTCATTTTAGCCTCAGAGTTCACCCTATTATAACACCAAACTGTTGGGTATCTCCTCTGCACACCATGCCCTTTCATATCCTTGCTCATGCTAGTCCTTCAATCCTGAAAGCCCTTCCCATCTTTCCTTATCTAAATAACTCTTACTCATCTATTAAGATCCAATATAAGCATCACCTTCTTCTGGATGTCTTCTCTGGGCACCTTTATACTGTCTATAACTTACTACAATTTAACTAAACTATCACCATATGTATGTGTCTTCCCACTGGGCACTGCATTCCTCAAAGGCAGGGACTTGGCACTGTGTAGGTTGTTTAAGACTTCAAATATGGAGTATAATGCTGAGATTCAGGAATGTCTTACTCCAATATGCATGTTATTGATAGTGTCATTTTGATACGAGTCTTGGTTGTGAAATGATTATAAAAAATAGACACATTGCTAGTTTCTCATTTTTTGTTGTGAAATATTTTTGTTGTGAAATAGTCAAAGAACATAGTACATTAAATGTTTTCTTTTATTTGTATTTTGAAAATATATACCATCATATGAGCTAAGAGACAACATAGACTTTATAATGGCAAGATATAAATTTGCTATACTGAAGTTGCAGCTATATCAAGTAGATTTCTAAAGAAATAGGTAAAAAAAATAGAGCCCTCCCGTTGTCAAAATAATGCATGCAAATACCCAGTTATTTACTCAGTATTTTTCCCCTCCACAGAACTTATTAAACTCCAAAGTCTTCCTTTTATAAAACATCCCTGATTTGATTACTTTCTTATATCCCTATCTTGAAGGTCATTCATAGTTACTAACTGAAGTGGATTTTTTTCATTAATAGTACATAAATTGTTTTTTAACACTATAGGAGAATAGATGTTTATTTAAATCATTTAAATAAACCACAGACAATAGCAGCCCAAATCACCCACTTATCAATGAGAGATTTTGGGTAGTAGTTGGAATTTAACCATGTGAAGGCAATGCTAAATCCTGTCCAGATATAAGTAATTTAATTATTTGTACTGCAGCCATTGAGAGAAATGTTGCTATTTATTAAAACCACTCAAGGTAAAGAAAGGATCCAGTCAACCCTAGCTGTGTCTGCTACTTCTGCATTGCCCTTAAGCATGGAGTTGTGTTTTAATGTGTATATTCCTAGACTTGTAAAAGCACTGTGTGTGTGTGTGTGTGTGTGTGTGTGTGTGTGTGTGTGCCTGAGTTGCAATTTTGATGGTTTGCATAAGAAATCTGTTGGCTTCTCTTCTAGAAAATGCATATCTAACTAAGCCAGGCAGCAGCACTTTCATTTGCTTCATCCCTTGTCATCAGATTACCAGTAATGGTTTGGCAGAAAGCCTGGAGTAATGTCTCTGCTTTGAAAATTGTCAAGCTCTAAAATTTACCCAAATGTTGCAACACTGATTGGTGGAGGGACTTTGTTTTGTTTTAATTACATTCTTATATTACCTTATTAGAAAGCAAAGCTTGTTTAAAAAGCTCAAACACACATTTGGACATGTGGGTCCATACATTTGGTATTCAAAATAAGTTTTTGTTTTTTTACAAATATAGAACAATATATTTAATTATTATAGTTCTAAACCCTCAAAGACCACCTCCAAAAGACCCATGATTATTTATTTTAAAAAGTTTGCAGTAACAGTGGGAAAATTCCAAGAAAAAATTGTATGCCCTATAATTTAATTTCTTACCCAGATTTTTTTTTTTTTGCTGGTTTTCTAAATGTTTGAGACAAAGAAAATGCCCATTGTTTTTCCATTTTGTAAAATAATGTATGCAGACTTATCACTTGGATGTTTCTAAGTTAAAAAAAACAAAAGACAAATCCAGTTAAGTTGGTATATATGAATGACCTTCAAGAAATTCAGCCTATTGTAAGAAATGTTATGGGTAATTCTCAGAAAGCATACTCTCTGAGAATAAGTTATGGCCTAAGACAAAAGTTGGCATTTCGGGAAGCTACATTGTGTCTTTGAGGCCACTGGGGTACCATATAGGAAACTGGAGCAATAATTTACTCTTGTGCAATGAAAAATGTAATGTAACTTGCACACCAGGATCCTCTGCCTCATTAAGTTAAACATTTCCCTCATGTCCTTTTTAAAGGAGAAACGGTAGTACTGTAAATCTAAGTAAGTTAGATTTATGTTCTGGTGTCTGGCAAACAGCTACATAAGATATTTTTCAGCATTCCAAATGTTCTAGGTGCTAGGCAGTTTCAGAATATGAATACAATTAACTTCATAATTTGACAAACAAGAAATGGAGTTCTGCTGTGGGGCTAGTCAAAGAGTTACAGAGGAGCAGCCCTGCAATGCTGAACAGAGATCTTCAGATCCTCTTGCTATAAAATTTTAGAGGAGTTGCTGACATCATTATAGCCTCTGAATCTTGTTATGGCCCTATGAATAAATATAAGCCAAAATTAATTAAAGGAAAAAAAATGTGTGCTAAGAATTTATGCTACCCACAGTTTTGACTGAATAATTTCTCTTTCTATGGTACAGAAAGAAGTTATATTTCCCAAATTTTTTTTAAAGTATTGATTTATCGCTTATTTTGAAATGATGGGAGAGGAACTGAAATTGCTAATGAATGAAAAGCAGGATTATCTTCTCAGAGTGGACAAGTGATGAAAGGACACACACCCGGTCACGCCTAAGCCACCTTAATATTTATGGGTGAACCTTATATCTAGGATTTTCTTTGAATGGAGTTGCTGGTAGTATAACAGTTCACGGAACAATTGCTTCATTTTAAATGGTCATAACACCTCACAACTATAACACATATTTAGGAACGTGGACATTTTGTTTTTGTTAGTCTACTGCTTTTCTTCTTGCACAGAAAAATTCCCATACATGATAACTTTAGTAGAGCGTAGAGCTTTTTTTTGAAACTCAATAATTTTTTTCTTTTTAAGCTTTAAAACTTCTGAACTTAAAGGAAACTACCAAGAAAAACTACCAAGAAAAAGAAGTTGAAGATGTTGAAGTTGAAGATGACCTTTCTCTTCACAAGGTCTTCATAAAGAAATAATAAGTCTAATAAATTTAACGATGTGTGATCATATTCTAAAATGAAATAACAGTTTTAGATTTTTGAATGAAATAGGTAAAATGGAGCAAATCACTTTAGAGTTCTGCATTCTGAAGAACACAACCAATCTCCTTACCTGTGGTGTATCAAAGATAATATTCCTCAACAGTATTAAACAAATATTATTGCAAGCTCTGTCAATTTAAAGTTTGATTTCTGTTGGTGTTGAAAATCAATGCCATTTAACAAGACAATGAAAACCGAAAAAGGTGAAAAAAAAGAATACAAATGTATTTATTACCATTGAACTCTACACTTAAAAATGGTAAAGATGGTAAATTTTACATGTAGATTTTAAGTGAATAAAAACTGCTAAAAAAAAAGAGAATGAAAATAAAGTGCCAAATACTAAGGATACTTATAAAAGTCCTTTAAAATTCTTAGCTTTATATAAAAGTATTACATGAGCTGCAATATTATTGCACTTTTAATTATTAATACAATGTACTAGAGGTATTTATTTTATTTTTATTTTTTAAATGGGATTTTTTTTTCCTTTCCTTTCCTTTTCTTTTAGAGACAGGGTCTCACTCTGCTGCCCAGGCTGGGGAGCAGTGGCACAAACACTACTGCCTCAAACTCCTGGGCTCAGGTGTTCCTTCTTCCTCAGTCTCCTGATTGGAACTACAGGCACACACCACCACGCTCAGCTAAATTTCTTTCTTTCTTTCTTTTTTAAAATTAAATTAAATTAAATTTATTTTTTATTTTGTATTTTTTTTTTGAGAGGGAGTCTCACACTGTCGCCCGGGCTGGAGTACAATGGCGTGATCTCGGTTCACTGCAACCTCTGCCTCACCGGTTCAGGCGATTCTCCTGCCTCAGTCTCCTCAGTAGCTAGCATTACAGGTGCCTGCCACCACGCCCGGCTGATTTTTTTATTTTTAGTAGAGACGGGGTTTCACTATGTGGCCAGGCTGTTCTCGAACTCCTGGTCTCCTGATCCGGCGGCCTCCCAAAGTGCTGGGATTACAGGTATGAGCCACCACGCCGGGCCTCTTTTTTTGTTTGTTTGTTTGTTTTTTTTTGTAGAGACAGGCTCTCACTACATTTCCCAGGCTGGTCTTGAACTCCTGGCCTGATGATCCTCCCATGTGCTGGGATTACAGACATGAGCCACCGCACCACTCAGCCTTAGAGGTTCTTGCAACCAGAATTACCAAAGTGTGTTTTGTGGTGTTGAAATGTGATATATCTCTATCTATCTATGTATCTATCTATAATTATAAAGTTCCATAGTCAAATTACACTGGAAAACACTGGGTTAAAGAAAGTCAAACATATCCCTTTAGTGTAGAACTTTTATGCATTCTTAATGCAAATGTTTACCTAAATCTCCAAGAAAGGGATACGGTATACAGCATGTTCCAAATTCATTTGATCCAAGATTCTTATCCCAGCCCTCCCCACAATACACACATAATATTTCCTAAAATTATTGGCTTCCAAGGACACAAATTGGATTTGCTGATTTAAATGACAATTCAAAGGACCTTAAAATATTGGCTTAAAAATTTTCAACTCTTAAGTGTCTCAATCTTTGAATTCCTGAGTTTTATCGATTATAGTTAGTGCTTAAAACTAAATGCTAAGCAAAGGGTAGAGTACCAATAATATAAATGCTATTCGAGACTATGTATTTCTAATATATAATATACATCACCATTCCTCTGTGCCATATTCCCTGAGCCTAGGCCTTTTACTCTGTCTACTGATTAAAGTGGGGGCTGAGGATTAGAATTGTATTCAATTTCCTTTTTCTCCATTTCTGTACTACATATGAGCAGTTCCTAGAGAGGAGAAAGCATTAAGATTTCACATTTACTTTCTGCATTCTGTAGGAATTGCCCCAACGGAGTCTCCTTACACTTCCCAAAACTGTTTATGGGCAGGACTCCCTGAGTGGTAAGTGTAAGGATAGGTAAAATCCTAGAATTCCATAGTGGTGGAGAAGCTGGACAGAAAAGGTCACAGACATGGAAATGGTAAAGATTTAGACAGCTGAAAAGTCTCAGTGGAGATAAGAGCCAAAAGATGTAAACAGGCAATAGACATTAGTATCAGATCGCAGGTGGCGTACATTTACCAAGTATGGACCTGTTCACAGATATATATGACTTTAAGTCTAAATCTGTGTTACTAAGGGAGTTTTAGGCTGCCTATTATCCAATAGTGTAGAAATTCCTCAGAGCTCTACATAAATATTCCAGTCCTTTCTCTTTCTAAGCACATGGTGAGGTAGGAGGAGGGACTTGACTCCAGACGCTGGGCTCAGACACTGGAAGGAGTTGAGGACTAGCTAAAACAGGGCCAGTATGGAAACAGCTTTCCATAAGACATGCTTAGCAGTATGCCATGTCAGTTCCCCATTGCTATGGCAACACCCAAAAGTTACAACCCCTTTCCATAGCAATGACCAGTGACCTAGAAGTTACCTTTCTCCTAAAAATTTCTGCATAAATCACCCCTTAATTTGCTTATAATTAAAGATATAAATATGACCACAAAACTGCCTCTCAGCTGCTACTCTGGACACTCTATGGGGTAGCCCTGCTCTGCAAGGAGCAGTACCTCTGCTGCTGCTGTACACTGCCACTTCAGTAAAAGTTGCTGTCTAACACCACTGGCTTGCCCTTGAATTCTTTCCTGCCCTAGGCAAAGCCAAAAACCCTCCTGGGCTAAGCCCCAGTACTGGGGCTCACCTGTTCTAGGCCAATGGTAGGATCATATTATACTTCCCATCCAACTGAAGTTAGGTGTGGCCACATGGCATGCTTTGGCTAAGGGAATGTGAGTATAAGGAAAATGGGTCATTTCCAGGTGAAAACAGCTGTGTAGAGAAGAACCTTCAGCTAATCTGTGGTGGCTAAATTGTATAAGTGAGAAGGAAACCTGGTTTCTATATGTCACTGAAATTGAGAGTTGTTTGTTACCTGAGGAAACCACCCATAGTATATCTGGAACACTTCATATGTCTACATCTTAGTTTTATCATATGTAAAATAAATGTCTCTTACCTACAAAATAACTTCAAACATTGGATGCATCTGGGAAGAATTGCTACATTTATCTGAGGTGTTAAATATCTTTTGGTTAGTAAACATGATTCTTCAAATATGTAGAAATGAACAATCTAAGACCTGGAAGTTCATATGCATTGGAAGATAAATTTCATTCAAAATTATATCTTGTAAAAAACTAATTAAGGCATCTGTATTCCTGAACTGTGATTAATTCAGTGAATTCATTGTTTCAGCATCTATAAATGTGTGAACTATCACACTATATAGGAATGAGTACAAAAAATAAACTGAGACTTAAAAAGAAAAATAATTAAAGTAACTCTATTGCTCTTTTTAAAATACTTAGAGGTTTACAAAACTTTCATGATTCAGAGTGTCTGAGTCATCTTTACATCATTTTTATTTTGCAAAAATGCCAAGTCCAGTTTTATTTATGCAAATAAATGTGTTTCTATTTTATATTAAGATTTAATTAAATATGTAATAAAAAATACACATTTGACTTAACTTTTTTTCAGAATTTATTCAGCTCTCTTTAAGCTCTTCTGTTACATAAGTATCTCCTAAACAAGAGATTTTTTAAGAATCTCAAGACTATCCTCTAACTTAGCTTTCTGAGAAGAAAATACTAGTTGTTGAGAAAGGCAAAATGACTTTTTAAATATGTGTGGAGATTAAGACAAATACATTTAAAATATCAATGAAAGATACATAAAGAAATTTGTTGGCTGGACACGGTGGCTCACACCTGTAATCCCAGCACTTTGGAAGGCTGAGGCAAGCAGATCGCTTGAGGTCAGGAGTTCGAATCAGCCTGGCCAACATGATGAAAGCCTGTCTCTACTAAAAATACAAAAAATTAGCTAGGCGTGGTGGCGGGTGCCTGTAATCCCAGCTACTTGGGAGGCTGCGGCAGGAGAATTGCTTGAACCCAGGAGGTAGAGGCTGCAGTGAGCTGACAGCTGTACTCTAGCCTGGGCGACAGAGCAAGACTTTGTCTCAAAAAAGAAACAACAAGAAAACAAAACAACGACAACCAAAAACAGGTAAAGTCATGATTTTCCTACATTGCTTCTGTAATAAGAAAAAGTAAAATGAAGGGATATGGAATTTTTCAGGTTTGAGGGTTTTGTTTTCCCTTTTCAACAACAAAAAAGAAAAAAATTGTTAATTAAATTCATTGTTTTAACATGATATCCTTCAGTACCAGTGTCCGGTGAAGGGGGTGAATAAGTAATTTCATTGTCTACACAGTTAGAACAAAAGGTAGGAGTTCAAATTATTGAATTAATGAGAAAAATGAGTTCAGCTGTTTGGAAGTTATGATTAGAAATCAGCCATTATTCAAGAGCTAGTTTAGAGTTCTTTTATAGATGAGGCAAAAAAGAAAGGCCAATATCATATTTTCATATTTTGCGATGAAGAATTCTGGGATCTCAAACACTGAGTTTGAACATTTCATTAAATTCAAAGATGTTTTCTGAAGATACATTTTCTGAAGATACATTCTGAAGCCCCACCCATACTGGGGCTTTTCTCTTTGTGAAGGTAGGAGTGTCCTGTATGAGAAATAATATAAGCCAAGTTTCTTATTTATCTAAATCTCAGAAGTTGGCGTATCAAAGCCTCACAATAAATGTGTAAAAAGTTTATAAGTGGTCCAAAGAGTATAAAATTAATTAAACATCCTTGGAATTAATAAGTTATATTTCCTCTTCCTCTGGTTCCCATCAACTATATTCAATGTTTAATAAACAAATACAGTTTTTCTTTGCTTAGCATAGGCTTTTAGAAAGATGATATTCAAATTGCACTTCAAGGCCTTAAATTTTTTTTTTGAGATGGAGTCTCGCTCTGTCACCCAGACTGGAGTGCAGTGGCGCGATCTCGGCTCACTGCAAGCTCCACCTCCCAGGTTCATGCCATTCTCCTGCCTCAGCCTCCCAAGTAGCTGGGACTACAGGTGCCCACCACCACACCTGGCTAATTTTTTTTTGTATTTTTAGTAGAGATGGGGTTTCACCGTGTTAGCCAGGATGGTCTCAATCTCCTGACCTCGTGATCCACCCGTCTCGGCCTCCCAAAGTGCTCAATTACAGGCGTGAACCAATGCGCCTGGCCAAGGCCTTAAAAATTTTAAGAAAAGTTTTCCACAAGCTTTCACAATATTGTATTACATAAACACTCAACTGCTTTCTTTGTAGCACCACACTGTGATTTGAAAACAACCCAGTGTTTTCTAATGGTTGAAATTGAGGTTGTATGCAATGAGATAATTTTCATTTAGTTGTGCCTCATTGACATTTTCCCATTGTGCTATTTAACATTCTGGACTAGATTTGTTGAAATATGTCAGTTTTCCCACTCTATGACTCTTTTGATTATGAATCTCTCTGATAATAAACAGCTGACTCACCATACTTAAATTTCTACTCTCTTGTTGTCACAATCAAGTTATACATCACATTTGGTAAAAAAAAAAAAAAGAAAGAAAGAAAATAGAGAATTCCCTTTCCCCAAGACAGTGACAACAGCCAAATAAACATGTTTTTACTGACTCCACTTGACATACAGGATTACTAATGATCATTATTCTAGACAAAGAGTCTAAGGTCAAAAGAAAAAATGATGTTTAGAATGGAAAAGAATATATTAACAAAACAAATTCCTCAGAAACAAACTTCTTCTGAATAGTCATCTGTTCATTTCTTAAACATTTTTTTGAGTGGTTCCTGTGTGTCAGTGACTGAGAATAAAAAAGCGAGTAAGACACAAGCCACAGCATTAGGGACTCCCAGAACAGTGGGTGAGCTATACACTTAAAAAGAAAGTACAGAAAGTACAGTGAAGGTGACTTATGAGGTCAACCCTAAAGGAAAAGTGGGGTTTTCCCACAAAGGAGAGAAGCAATAGGCATTCTGGGGGGGCGGGGGGCGGTGGGGAAAGGTAGACTAGCACAGAGCTAAAATAGTATACGGCATATTGTGGAGGCAGCCATTGTATGTGATTGAAGTGTTGGTGATAACCAGTGAAGCAGTGGAGTCAATGTTTGAGAAACAGATCGAGGCTTTGTGATGGACCTTTTAAGACATACTAAGGACACTAAGCTTTATTTTGAAGGGAGTCATGAATCACTAAAGATTTTTAAGTAGGGGAGCAATTAATTGAAGTCTATAGTTTTTAGAAGATGGGTATGTTGGTTTCAGCAAGTGTGTATGTAGTGGCAGGGTGAGGGTGTGGATGGAGCTTAGAGACAGGAGAACAACTGGAAGACCATATAATAGCCAAGTTAAATGATGAAGACCTGAAGTAGAGCAACTGCAGAGAGAATGGAAAGCACGGGATTTAAGAAGATTTTTTAAATGTCTTAGTACTGGATATAGGCCAAGAGAAACCAGAAAGAGTCAAAATCAACTTCTGAGAGTGAAGGATGCTTGTGGGATGGATTAGAGGTTAAAGAAATTGCCAAGGAAAGGGGCCAGCTAGGGACAAATAATACTGCACAGCCATAAAAAAGAATGTGTTCATGTCCTTTGCAGGGACATGGATGAAGCTGGAAACCATCATTCCCAGCAAACTAACACAGGAACAGAAAACCGAACACCACACGTTCTCATTCATAAGTGGGAGTTGAACAATGAGAATATATGGGCACAGGGAGGGGAACATCACACACTGGGGCCTGTCAGGGAATTGGGGGCTAGGGGAGGGATAGCATTAGGAGAAATACGTGATGTAGATGACGGGTTGACGGGTGCAGCAAACCACCATGGCACATGTATCCCTATGTAACAAACCTGCACGTTCTGCACATGTATCCCACAACTTGCGTATAATTAAAAAAAAGAACTGTTAGGTGGTGTTGACAGCTCAAATAAAGTCAGAAAACATGAATCTTTCAATCAGCATGCATATGCAATTTTCTCCAAAAAGTTTGAATATATCAGGTCACAACTAAAAAATAAAATCAGAAAAGTTATCTGAAATCATTAATGATATCAGCAAACTTTGATATGTTCTCTAGAACGAAGAGTGTAAAAAGAAACAACTATAATAGCAGTAGGATGAATTTCCATTTCTGGTAACAGTAATGAGAGAATCTGGACTGATATACCCGATGTAATAAGATATTTGTATGTATTACCTGATGTAATAAAGATATTTGAGATATAAAAACAGTAAAGAGGCTGGGCATGGTAGCTCATGCCTGTAATCCCAGCACTTTGGGAAGCTGAGGCAGGTGGATCACTTGAGGCCAGGAGTTCGAGATGAGCCTGGCCAACATGTTGAAAACCCGACTCTACTAAAAATACAAAAATTAACCAAGCATGGTGGCATGTGCCTGTAATCCCAGCTACTTGGGAGGCCAAGGTACGAGAATCACTTGAACCCAAGAGGCAGAGGTTGCAGTGAGTGGAGATCAATCGCGTCATGTCACTGCACTCTAGCCTGGGCAACAGAATAAAACAAAACAAAACAAAACAAAAAACCAACCAACCAAACAAAAAACAGCAAAGAGCCTTTAGTAAGATGGTGAAGATTTGGCATATGAAAACTTAGGAGAAGATCAGAAATCAGAGAGGTGAGGTCACTTTTAAAAGCCCTTGGGCATATGACTATCAGGAAAAAAGATCTGAGAATCTAGCTTTACACTTCAAGTAGCTTTCTGTGCTTCATAGAAAAGTCAAAGTCCTTGGCCCTCAGGTGGGGCTTTAATTAACTAACCCAGCTTTATGCTGGTGTCATGAAAGGTCATACTCTCCTTTAGGGGAGGAGTGAACCTACCATTCCTCTCACTGATTTGCAGCCTTCTTGTCACAGAGGTGATTCAGGGAACATCAGGAGTTGTACTTTGTCTAAGATGATTCTGGTCTGATATCGCCCCCAGGTGCCTGGCAGAAGCAAACCAAAGTCTTCTCTGGAGGAAAACATTATCACTTAGATCTCAACTTACTCTTACGATCTTTAATTATAATGTAATTTTAAAAATACATTTCCAGCATAGAGTCAAAGATATCCAAGCAACCAAGAAATTAAGACACCATGAATGAGAACTAGCAGGAAGAGTAATAATAGAAACAAATCCAGTAACACTTGAGATACTATAATTATCAGAAATAGATTATAAAACTACACTTAGGATGTTCAAAAGAATAAAAGCTAAGATTGACAATTTTATACAAGAATTAGAAACTATAAAAGTGATATAATAGTAGCAGAGAAATATTTGTCTCTTTTTCTGTCAACACTATTTGGCCACATAGTTTAACATTCTTCATTTTAGAATTTTACATTTTGTGTTCTTTTTTGTGTTTTTTTTTGACACACTGAAAAAAAACCCAAATCCCACACTGGTAAGCCTAACATATTTTCATTTATTTTATAATTCAATAAAAAACATATTAGTTACATAAAAGGTATGCCTACATGTGTTACTGTGTGTACCTGAGTGTATGGTGAGCACCCAGGTGCATGCATTCACAAACTTCTTGGAAGCACCTGTGATTTCTGCCAGGTTCATTCTTATTGTCAACCATTCAGTACACAACTGGTAATACAATGTCACAAGGCACCCAGTATGACCACAGAAAATTTACAAAGTTAACACATGATTATGGGGAAATGAAAATTAATTGCAATTGCTTGCAACCTAAAGGGGTTAATTATAAGTATTACCCAAGGTTAACTATCATTTAACAAATTGTCTAAACTGTCACAAGGTCAGATATTTACACTGAAAAGCAAATATTACTGGGGGACTTAGTACATTGACTTTAAAACTCTCTTAAGTCAGATTCTTTCTTGAGTATAGGTCTTGCTTGACAAGAAAACGGGGGCGCTGAGTAGTCATATTCATCAGGGGTCTGGAGGGATAAGGAGGACTGAGAGGGAGGGAAAATTGGACAGAGAAAGGAGGAAAGGGGCATCAGAACTGAGCTCTGCCAACTTCACATTTGCTTGGCCTCACTAGATTACTCAGTAGTTGTAAAATCAAATGACTTTATCAATATAATGCCCATTTTTCATTTTAGAAGAGTGACACAGTGTATTACTTATTCTCATCAAAGTTGAATGAAAAATCCATAAGAAGCCCTTCATTGTTTGTACCTAGTTTAGCCAACTTAGTTCATTAGAATCTGGTCTATTTGACAAGACAAAAAACTGGCCAGTTACATTTAACAACTGTTCATCTGTGCACTCTGTAATAACAGCGTCAGCAGATTTATTTTCCCCATATAAAGTAGAATTTCCAATTCACACCATGTACTCTGTGACTATTATGGACAGTATTTATTCAGAAGGAATGCTGTGCAAGTTTGGAAGAGCTGTCTCTAAGAGCAGAGGGAGAGGTCATTTGACAAAACAAGAAACAAAACCTATACATGGGCAAAACATGAAGAGAACTAAAGTTTGTCATTCTTTTCAAGAAGAAGTTTGAAGTCCTAAAACAGTGCGACAATAGCAAAATCAGACAACTCTTCCTCTCCCTTGTCTTCTCTCAAGCTCTGTAAAATCAGAACGCCTCCATCCACTTAGCAAATTTCAGCTTTTTTTTTTTTCCTGAAGGAGGGGAACCTGCTTGGAATTAATGAGATAACACTAAAAAATAACTTCTATTAATTCTTCTCTTCCTGAAAAGTGCCTATTTTTTTTCTCAGTTGCTTTTTAAAAAGTAGAATATCTTCTAAAGGCTCCTTACGCAGTTTAAGCCACCTTTAGAGCACCTTTCCTCTCCTTTTTCCTTTTTTTGTTTCTCAAATTGGGAAGTGACTTAGTAACATGCAGGGGAAACTGAACTCCATCTCACAATAATATAGTTTCATCCAATGGCATAATAGACACAGTAGCATTCAGTCTGTGTTGTGACATAAAACTATTGAGATTGTAACTCAGTAAACTCATAGTGCTTAAGAGAAGAATAGAGGGAAAAACAAATAAGGATAAAGTCAAAACTGAAGTTACAGACTTGCAATGTAAATTTCAAAACTAAGCAAAAATCCTCTTTCTGCTGCACAAAATGTAAAATACCAAGTATCTTAAGAAAGGTAAGCAAGCTACAACACTGAAAAATCTTGACCTTTTCATTCACACAGATAAAAAGAAAAATTCAATATTAAGCATCCCAGAAAAGCGATGCACTTTAAAAACCAATCTTTTCACTTACCCTAGAACATGCACACCATGATCTCTTAAATCCTTTTAATTCCAGTACATCCAGAACATATGTGAATTCTAAGCATATTCATTTAAAGAACAAACTTGAACCAAATTGGTAATTACAACAGAGATCATAACAGAACTCTCTGAAATTCTAGGGAGAGCTATGAGTATGAAATCCAGCCTCTAGATCCTGGTGTGTACTGTGTCTATCTTTAACTTGAAAATGATTTGGTTTCACATTCCATTGAAGTCCCACTGGCAGATGCCTTTGGTAAGCTCGCCAATGGCAGGCTTTCATGCGCCCTCCCTCCCCGCTCCCTCTGACTGAGCTTCCGCTGTTACATCTAATGCTGATTTACTCAGCTGTCTTTTTACCTGTCTCTACGTGGGTAAAAGGAGATGCTTTCATTGACGGATATTACGGAAACACTTGGAAGCTGAACATCAGCCCGAGGACTCACTATGCTTCCCCTGCCATCCCCTCCCCCTACTCACTGCCAGAAACCAACTGACTTCCAAACTTGGCTGCCTGAAAAAGAATGTTCTCTGATTGGCATTCCTGGAAGCAGAAAGCAAGGCAGCTCAAGTTTTGTACTGTTACTCAGCATGAATAACTTCCCAGGTACACAAAATACAAATAGTAAATTTTTTTTCTTAACTTTGAGGAGGGCATTAAAAATATTTTCATTGTAGGACAGCATTTAAGTTTTAATGTCCACATGTAATTTTACAGAGGATGGCAATGGCTGTAGTAAGAAAGAGAAATGACAAATTTTTTGTTAAAAGTTGAATGAGTCTTAGTAAATGAGTTGGGATCCGTTAGAAGAGGAAATCATCATGCCGCCTGCTTGCCAGTGTTTTGGAGGGCAACTGTTCAATCTGTGCATTTTCTGTTAGAGAAAAACTTGTTGTAAGAATTGTGGAAAAACTGATTTCAACCAAACAGGAGAGAGTGCAAAAAACACTTCTATCTCCCCACTGAAACTTCTTTTTCAGGACTGTCTTGCAAAACTTGAGTGCGGACTGGAAAACAAAATGTGTGTGTGTGTGTGTGTGTGTGTGTGTGTGTGTGTGTTATACAAGTGTATATCTAAAAGAAGAGAAATTGAGTGAATGGAAACAAAGAAAAAGATACATTTCATCAAATAGAGACTGACATGAATTAACAACATGGGGTCCCTTTAAATCACCATTAATTAACTTGTGTTTAATATTTATTAATATTTAGTGGTCACTGGGGCCAAAAGATCTCCTGCCTCTGAAAATAACTAACCTCTTTATGTTCAAAACATGCAATTCTACAGACCACACAACTTCTTCAAAAGCCTAATGAAGGCTTTATAATTTTGGTAATTGGACACATCTCAACCCTAAGCATTTGGGGGTTTCCAAATTTCAGCTAGCTGTGGCTGCCAACTCTAGGCAACTGTCAGCTGGCTGGGCTCAGGGTGGTGGTGTGGCTGCAGCTGCTCCTTGGAACTTATGTGGACATCTCAAAAATATTCAACGGCAAAACGTAGATGCCAGAAAGCAAGCTTTCTGTTTTTGTTTGTTGATGGTTTTGAATCTTCTATTTTGGGTTATATTTTATCATATCTAGGGCAATACCATCTTAAGAAACCATGAGGGAAAACTTGATTAATTGGCATCATATTACTAGCCTATTTTAGTGATATTTTGATGCCCCATATAGATTGGTGGCTTACCAGCTTTTAGCCTTTTAGCCTAACTTTGTTACTAGATGTCTTTTAAAAAGATCAAAAGATAGAAACAGAGGAGTAAGAAACTTTCCTTATTTTTGTCCCCAAAGTTGACAGTTTCTTAGGGAAACTGCAGGCTCTATGTAATGCTGATAGACGGGCATTCTAATGACTTCACAAATAAATGGGAAGAAATAAAGCAATAGTCCAGAAAGTACACATTTCTGTCACTGTGTTTCTTTATCCCTCTGTCAAAAACACGCCTTCCCAAGGCTAATGGATGGTGCCAAAACACAAATGAACTAAGAAGGGTGGACAGACGTGCGGCCATCAATGGTTCACATTCAGCTGCTCTGTTCACCTCTGTTGTATCTCAGAGTGAGCACTAGCACATAACTGATACTCAAAAAATGGTTGTTGAAACTGAAGAACTGCTCATGTGCAAGTGTATATCTTAACCTATGGAAAATGGTTATTTGTTGGCCTACATCTTAGATAAATATGTTTTGTATTTGTCTTGGGAAAAATACGCTTCTTTTCAGGCAATTAACCAAAATATTATATAGAATGTATATTATGTACCAAGTACCTTTACTGAAGCCAAAAAATCATTATACATCTTATGTATGTATGTATGCATGTGTGTGATTCTAAATATTAACGTGGCAAATATTTGTTAAGAGCACTTCTACCAATCTTGGTGGCTTATAAGAAAAATAGAAAAAAAAATGAAATGTTTAGGTTTGCTAATATTTCCCAGTAATGAGTAAACTATAATAATTTTCCTTATCGAACTGTTACTGGCCACTCTTTATAGTGCAACATTCATCAGTCAGATATCTCCTAAGGTTCCCAACTTTATCTCTGCTGCTATTTCCATTTGTGCCAGTCTTAGAAATCTCAGAACACTCAACAACGGGAATAGGAACATTAGTCCAGATGCAAGTGTGAGTGAGTACAATCATTTTTTTCCTTCTTTTTCCCCCTAACCTTCACAAGGCAATTGATAAGATTTATAATGGCTAGAACTCAGTCTTTATCGTGAGTAAATGTTGTTTTCCTCTTTCATAAGCACTAATGTGAGAATTAGGATTAGATCAGAAAAACAGCTTCTAGGGCTTGCTTCCAAAGAAAACTGGGCATGTAACAGGCAAATCAGATACCCTTGATTTATCATGAACAAGAAGTTAATCTCTCCTCCATTCTCCAGAAATAGACTCTATTAGCACCGTTCTGTGGATGGCAAATGCTGGAGCATGGCTCCTTGCAGGGGTGACCAAGGTGTTCAAACACAGGCCTTAGCTGATCTGTGAGACATCCATGTGTATGAAGAACCTGGTCACTGAAAAGCAAACGACCTCTGTTATTTTTTTCCTCCCTAATAAATATCCTTAAGGGATTAGGACAGGCAGTATTCTCATGGTGATAGTTTTATAGCTAATATTTTTGTCATATCATTTATTTTTAAAAGCATATACTTTTTATGCAAAAATAATTTGGGGTATAATTGTGATTTTTGTTAAAAGAGAAAACATTAATACATCCAAGTCATTTAAAAGTAATTAAAATAGATACTGCCCAAGAAAAAGTAGAAAAACTTTACATAAACTGCATTAGAAAACAGGGGCTCTACAGACAAATATGGAAGATTCAAAGCAGCAGCATGCTATTTATTATCTTATTAAATGCCAATCAACTTAAAAATATACCCAGCAATCTCTTTTATGGGTATATACCCAAAGGAAATACATCAACTCCTAAAGGTATCTGTACTTCCATGCTCATTGCAGCATTATTCACAATAACCAAGATGTGGGAACAACCAAAGTGTTCAATGACAGAGGAATGAATACAGAAATTGTGATATACATATGCAGAATCTTATCCAGCCCCCAAAAAAGAGATCCTGCCATTTGCCATAACATGGATAAACTTAGAGGACATTATGCCAAGTGAAATAAGCCAGGCACAGAAAGACAAATCCTGCATGATCTCACTTATATGTGGAATCTTTTAAAAAATCAAATATATAGAAATAGAGTAAAGCAATAGTTACCAGGAGCAGGCAGAAATGGGAAGATATAGATCAAAAGGTACAAAAAGAGAGTTATATAGTTAAGCGTAGAGATTTAGCATATAGAACAAAGACTACAGTTAATAATATTGTATTGTATACCGGTAATTTGCCAAGGGGGTAGATTATGAGGTACTTTTTTTTCGTTTTGTTTTGTTTTGAGACAGAGTCTGGATCTGTTGCTCAGGCTGGAGTACAGTGGCACAATCTCGGCTCACTGCAAGCTCTGCCTTGTGGGTTCATGCCATTCTCCTGCCTCAGCCTCCCAAGTAGCTGGGACTACAGGTGCCCACCACCACGCCCAGCTAATTTTTTGTATTTTTTAGTAGAGACGGGGTTTTATTATGTTAGCCAGGATGGTCTCGATCCCCTGACCTCATGATCCACCCGCCTCGGCCTCCTGAAGTGGATTATTAGGTACTCTTAACACACACAAACGTGCTCATACACACACATGAAAGTAACTATAGGAAACAACGGAATATTAATTTGTTTAACTGTAGTAATCACCTCACTATATATATCAAAATAAGTATATCAAAACATCATGTATACCTTACAAACATACATTTTAAAAACAAAGAAAACCACAGCAGCATGCTACATATAATCCTATTAAATGCCAATAAACTTAAAAATTGGTTGAAATGGACACCTGTTATATATGCCTGTCACATGAAAATAACTGTAATCATGCAAAGGGCTGTATGTACAAATATACTAATTACAAAATATACTTAGTATTATACATATAATTAGTATAGTATTATAAATATAATTAGTATAGTATTAATATAAAATATAATTCGTATATTTGATAGCAAATAATGGGGAACAATGATAGTTTTTATAAAAAACAGAATGGCATAGGCTAATGCTTAGTTAGGTTAAAAATCAGCTTGCATGTGTATGTGCACCATGATTTCAACTATATTAGAACACCAGAGAGGAAGATAAAGGCTAAAAAATTCCTACCAAAATGATTGTGGATCCTTTATGAAAAATCTTAATTCACTTTTTGTAAATTTTCTGTAATGACATTATTTTACCTTCATAATCTACACACACACACACACACACACTATAATATTCAAGTAGGAATAATTGCAGCATTTCCTCATTCCTCACCCTCCTCCTCATCTTTGAAGAGGCATCTCTAGTTCTCTGGATCTTTGTTGCAGGAGCTTATAGGGGAGAGGAGCATAAGGGGATGAAGATGCTCTTTAATGTCTAAAGAGACATAGAAGAAGATTAATGGGACTTATGTTGGTTTTAAGAAAGGGCAAGGAGGGAAATATCCAAGAAAAAGAACACTCTTAAGATGGTGAGAACGAGAGAAGAGCAGGCGGGAAACAGAATCTGGCACACTATAGGTAGGGGGTTGGGGGCAGACTGTAAGCTGGGTTGGGGAGCAGCTACTTCAATGAGGCAGACGTTGAGGAGATCAGGATCTCAAAAAGAGGTTTAGGGTATTTGGCCCTAGGATATCTGTCTGAGTGTTTTGTGATTTCTTCTCATAAAACACTTAAGAGAGGTTTTACTTTTCAAGATATGGTAGTACCAAGTTTGTGGGTCTTTGGGACACTTCATGATATAGTCATGAATCTTAAGTCTATAGATATATTTGGTTACATAAACATTTTTGAAAAGTTGGTGCCAATTGTTGGGTTGTGGTGGTTGTTACAACTGGTTTACTTTGATAGGGTAAGAAATCAGTTTTACTCGTCTATACAAACTTTCTGGATCATTTTCTTCTACTTGCATTTCCTTCCCTGTGTCTCTCTCAGTTCCCATGATGGGTATCTATTACAGTCTCTTGGACTGACTGCTGAATGTAAAGTGGCCAGCCATTCTGTTTTGTCTAGGCCCGAGGGATTTCCTGGGATACAGGATTTTCAGCGCTGAAACTAGGAAAGTCTCAGACAAACCAGAGTTGGTCATCCTATATATGTGATCTGGAAGTTTTAAAGTTATATGTATGCTTGTGATAAAGATTAGCCTTTTTAATAATTAGAAAGTGTTTGGCCCAAGTAGACCAAAACTCTGAAAATAAAGATTTCATTTGGTCTTTATCCCTTGTTAGCTACACAACCTGGGAGAGGTCCACCACCAAGGGCCACTATTTCTTCATCCCTACAATGAGAATAATAATACTTCAAAGAGTTGTTGTCAACTTCAAATGAGATATGCATTTAAGTTCAGAACACATAAAATGTGTAAATATATACTTTATATCAAATATATTTTATATAAATTTGTATTAGATAACATAGTTATTTTTCAAAGCAGATTTTAATTATTTTATATTGAGAAATAATGGAAGCACAAAGAACAGGCACAGCATTTCACACTATGTGGAGTGCAGAGGAGAACAAAGAAAATGAAAGAGAGAGACTGACTAAGGAAACATATTTTTTCAGGAGTGTCTGTTTTAGCATTTGATTTTCTCCTAAATTAAACTCACCAAGTTAGGGATGTTTTGTCTTTAAGTGGTTATAAAGCCCCAGTAACAACCAATATAACATGCTTGCAAAACATATGGGTTATCTCCAGTATAAAAGAAATAAAGATTTTTAGCCAGTGCAATATAGTGAGACCCCATCTCTACAAAAAAAAAAAATTAGCCAGGCATGGTGGCATTTACCTGTGGTCCCAGCAAGTAGCTCGGACCCTCCCAAGTAGGGGGGCTGAGATGGAAGGATTGCTTGAGCCCAGGACTTTGAAACTGCAGTGAGCTGTGATCACACCACTGCACTCCAGGCCTGGGTGACAGAGAAAGACCTTGTCTCCAAAAAAAAAAAACTAAAGATTTTGTTGTATTTTTTCTATACCCTGGGGTGGGGGTATTTTTCCTTTGTGGAACCAAAGTCAACTCGAATTGGAGCACAATCATAAATATGTCCATCACTCAGTGAAACCAGAATGTCCAACTTCATCCCAGGGACAGAGGACCACCTCTATTGGATTACTTATTTGAACTCTGCCAGCATATACTGTATGTGATACTGCTTAAGAAGTGAGGGTAAAATTTGGTTTTGGAGCAAAATGAAAATATACAAATTTTCATAATCAAATATCTAATCCATATTTGAAATCCATGTGAAAACTGGTTCTAATTCAAGTTCTTTTAAAGATCTATCCAGGGTTAGAAATACGACAATTCTGTTTTGTGTAATAACAGAAAATGACAGGTGATAGCCAAACTGGATGGAGTCTGATAGTTAGAGTCAGCATATTCATTTGTGTTATGGAGGCTGGGAAGTCCAAGACGGGTGGCTGCATCTGGTGAGGAACTCATGCTGCTTCATAACAGGGTGGGAAGGTGAGAGGGGAGCCTGGCCCATGCAAAAAAAAACAAAAACAAAAAAAACCCGACAAGACAGGCAGTTTTACTTTGTAACAACCTCAAAGTAACTAGGACTTCACTCCCATAAAAAAGGCATTACTCCCTCTTAATGACCTAATAATCTACCCTTGGAGGCACCACGTCCCAACACCACCACATTGGGAACCAAGCCTCAACATGAGTTTTGGTGGGGACAAATCATATTTGAACCAAAGCAATTTGGGAACAGTTTTTCTCCAAATAAGCAAACTACTATCAGTGTTTTTCAAACTTGCTGTTGTTTTCTATGGAACCTTTTCTTCAAAGGAAATAGTTCACTGAAACATAACAATGACAAAGCATAGCTCCTTTAGCAGTAACAGGTGTAAAGCCTGTGGCCCCATTTCTTCAGCCCCCTCCTCCATGAGGCAGTCCCTGTGGGGACTCCAGGAGCCCTCCATGAACCTGGGAAGCACTGCTTGAAAACCACAAAGCTCTAGTATTCATGGCATTCATGTTCTTTACAAACAATTAGCTTTTTCATATTAATAAAAATTCATGCACATATTCTTAAAAACTACACAAAACTGTAGAGCTTAAAAGAATGTCCCACCCACCTCTCTATACCTTTGAAGCCCAGAGGCAACCATCTTCATCTAACTGTTCATTATGATGATGATTCCATATTCCCACATGATACTCAGATACCTACTTTTTGATTTTCAAATGTTGATATTACCTTTTGGCCTCCTACTATGGGAGATAAGGATTCTATGTAGGATATTATATATAATACTTCCTCCAGCATGTGTGTCCTCTCTCCCTATCTCTCTCTCTTTCTTCTTTCCTGCCTCCCTGTCACCTACCTCCCTACCACACACATGAGCACACACATGCTTCCCTTAGCTTAATCTTCCCAATTTAACTACACAACAATCTTAGATAAACTACTAATTAGGGTTTACATTATTTTAACTTGTATATATTATCCACATGTAAGCCACATGGGAATGTATGATTACATTTCTTTTACACATTTTTTTCTTCTTTTTCCTGATATTAGTTGCATCATATTTTTGTTTTCTTAATTTTTCATCTGCCCATCTTATATTTCCTCAAACTCTCCAATAGAAATGCAACATTCCTCTTAATACAGTCAAATATGTTAGTTGTGTTGTTGTTGTTGTTTTTTAGTACCCTCATGCTTTTTGTGGCAATCTTGCTACTGAGCTGTCATCCTAGGACTGCTCTTTGCCTCTCTGTAGTTTGGGTCCCGTTCCCTGAATTCTTTGTTTTTCTTTCTCGATGGACTCCCTCATGGGTGGGTGGGCGAGCATGCAGTAGCTTCCTGAGAAAGATGTTTGGGACAAACTCATTTTTGGAGAACTTAAATGTTTGAAAATATTTCTTTATTCTCTTATTACATTAATTGTTACTTTTACTTTACACAGAATTCATTGTTTAGAAATACCTTTTCCTCAGAAATTTCAAGGGATTTCTTTACTGTCTTTTAGCTTCCAGTGTTATTAAGAAGTTATTTTGTTTCCCGATTCATTTTATTTGACTTTCTATCTTTCTTTGTTCCTTTCCTTGCTTGTTCATTTCTTCCTTCTCCTCTTCCCTCCCTCCTTCTTCTCTCTGAAAACACTTATGATTTCTTCTTTATCCCTGGTGTTCTATTGTCTCATAACAGCACATTTGGTGCGATATGCATGAGTTCCCCCAGTTGATTATATTTGAAATTCAGGGACTTTTACTCATTTATTCAGTTCCAGGAAATTTTGTTATGTACTTTTAGCAATTTCTGACCTCTATTTCTTCTGTTCTTTTATTCTGAAACTAACCTTGAGACTCAAACTCTAACGTTATTATCTTTTCTATTTATCTTCTTTTTGTCATCTACCTCTAGAAGAGTCTCTCATCTTTGTTCTGTTGATTATATTATTTCGCCTAACATTTTTAATTTTTAAGAATTAAATTTTCTCTAATTTCTCCTTTTTCATAGCACCATGTTTAGTTTCATGAACACAATTTCTTTTTTACTATCTATAATACACATTTCAGCTTTTTAAAGCTACATGTAACAGCTTTCTGTTCTCTCCAGAGTCTTTGTTTCCTTCCATTTCTTGTTGGTTAGTTTGCTTTGGTCTCTTTGTTGGAGACTTTCCTCCATATGTGGTATTCTTTAGCTGTCTGCTCAAGCAATGTATTATGGGCTCCAGGACATTACCATAAAACCATTAGACAAAGCTGAGTTGTTTCACCGAAATGCCCTCAAGATTAGCAAGATTTCTTCCCCCTTGGGTAGTCAGACCCTCTAGGAAGGTGCCCCCTCCAATGTTCTGCCTGGGAAGTACAGCCTGGTTGCCAGTGTCCTGGGAGCTGAGCCACCTAAGAAGGCTTGAAGGGAAAGTAGAGTTTGTTACTATTCGGCACGCAGATTTCTACTTAAGTCTCCCAGATTTCTATATCGTATCTCATCCTCATCTGCCACTGTCCCCAATAATGCTAAGCTTGTAGCCTCTATAGTTAAGTTACTCCAGAGAATAATACCCCGCCATCTCTCTTACAGGGTGAGAGAGGGGTAGCTGTCAGGCTGCAAAAAGTTGAGGAGGGAATTTGGGAGTCCAGGTGTTCTTGTTAAGAATTTCAAACAGTCCTGTTTTCAGCCTCAAGTCTGTCCCTTAGCGTCAGCAATCCTTTTTGCCTCCAGTCTTTGAGTCTTTTGAGGGTTCTCAATGGAGTTCCCATTTGTTTCTTTTTGGCATCTCCTCTGCAGACACCTGGGTTTCTACATCTCTGTTTAGCTAAAAACACATACCACTCATTCATTCCATTTCCATTAAAAAAAAAAAAAGTCAATAGCTCTCTGCTGTTGTGTTCTCTCCTGTTTTCTTTAGAAAGTGAGTTTCTTTTTCATTCTTTTTTTAGTTGTCATTATAGCAGTTCCTTTAGGAGGGAGAGGGTAGACTTAAGCAAGTATCCCATCCACCATTTTAATTGTAATTCTCTGCCTTCACTCTTTAGCACTGCCTTATAAAGGGAACAAATTCTCAAACATCTCTCCAAAATGATCCCACCAAATTCAGCAGTTGTGTGTTTGGGGGTGGGGGCCAACGGGGGCAACATGATATTTCATTTTTCTCCACAAGTACACCCAATGCTAAAATGAAAGCTAAATCCCAGCAAGGTATGTAATTATTTCTATCAGACAGACATAGTGAAGTACAACATTCAATTAGACTAAGGAGATCCTTTTATTCTGACATTACATGTTGTTCCCTATATTAAGACTTCCATCATTTATCTGTGGAATTAAATATCTGAACATATATAATTATAAATAATTCCTTCCTAGGCAAAACTATCTCTCTTAAAAAGTGAAAATACAATTCTTTTGTAATTGAACTTCTGCCTAAACTATTAATTAAGTCATAACCTAGTCAAGACAAGTAAAATTACTTAGCAGTCATTTTATATTTGCTTTTTGTTAGAAGACAATGTAAAATCTAATAGTGAACTAATTTCCCTTTCAAGTTGTCATGATGATTCGTATATGGACCACATTTGTATATTTTGTTATTTGAGGTAAGGTTTCTCTTGAATCATTTTACATACTAGTTTTGGCTCCTTATAATATGTGAGTCTGGAGAAATCAGTCTTCTAGAAATATTGTACCCTATTTCTTCAAGAGTATCCCATCAACATTGAAGCTACCTTTTACACTTAGAGAGATATATACATTCAATTATTTATCCAACTGTAAGAGTTGGCCCTGAGGAGAGAAACACAGGTTATTCTTGGCATCCTTTACTTTCTTGCCACATTTACCCTCTCTATGTGGTCTGCTCACCTAGCTCCAAAATATTCTGTTGCCATCAGTACTGCCCTAAGACACAGTCAAGGGGGTTGGGAGGTTGTGGGGACGGGCTGCCCTGGGCCTCACTCGTTAGAGGGCCTTGCTGCTGTAGTCTTCCTCTGTTTTCTATGTCATCCCCAAAAAGCTATGAGTTAGAAGAAATACCAGTGTCCCTCTTCTAACCAAGCTCTGAGCATGTGAGACTCTGGAGTTTCCCGCTCAAAAGGCGTTGAGACTGCATCCAGGTCTGTCTTCCCAAGGTGAACCTGCCTCTAGTATACACACCTTAAAGACTTAAGGGTAGTTGAAGAGTGGTTGTTTGTGGGGATGTGATGTAGGGGGTAGCAGTCAATCTTGGAAGAATGAGCTAAGGTGTTCACACACACCTTAGTGCAAGGCCCTTTCAGATACAGGACAGAACTAGGGATGGGAAGAGAAGGCAGAGTGTGTGGGTGCTCTCTCTCTCTGAGCAGCCACATTTAGGAGAATTTCAATTTGAACTTGGCCTTAAAAATCATTATGAAGATACACATATTAAGGTAGGAAAACATATTTGGTTTAATAATTTATAAGTTTGCGTTATAGCTTTTAAATATTTAGACATATTGTTTGTATGTCCCTCTTTGTATTTGTGCCTCAGATCCTACAAAATAATAGGGGCAGGGCCGGGCATGGTGGCTCATGCCTATAATCCCAGCACTTTGGGAGGCCGAGGTGGGCGGATCACGAGGTCAAGAAATCAAGACCATCCTGGCCAACATGGTGAAACCCTGTCTCTATTAAAATTACAAAAATTAGCGGGGCATGGTGGTGTGCACCTGTAGTCCCAGCTACTTGGGTGGCTGAGGCAGGAGAATCATCGCTTGAAGCCAGGAGGTGGAGGGTGCAGTGAGCCGAGATCATGCCACTGCACGCCAGCCTGGTGACAGAGCAAGACTCCGTCACAAAAAAAAAAAAAAAAAACTAACTAGGGGCATGCCTGACTGCCATATTGCCCCCATATTTACAGTGCAGTGTTCTAAAAGTAACTGTGTGCCTTTCCACACTTTCTCTTCTCTATCAAATTTATCTGTCCTTAACAACAAAAAGTCTCAAAATCATATTTTAAAAAAACACATCAGAGAGCTGAAGACACAAAGAAATCCAAAGAAATTAATTTTCAAAATGAGGTTAACCTTTTCTTGGATAGAAGAATTCTACAGCTGTTGTCACTCCTGAGGACACAGCAACAGGTGGAGCACCTTTGCCACAGAGTTGGATAAGGACAACCAGCCCAGGTATTAACACAGTTTCTTTTTTGTTTTGTTTTTTTGTTTTGTTTTGTTTTGTTTTGTTTTGAGACCCAATCTCGCTCTGTCACCCAGGCTGGAGTGCAGTGGTGCGATCTCAGCTCACTGCAAGCTCCACCTCCCGGGTTCACGCCATTCTCCTGCCTCAGTCTCCCCAGCAGCTGGGATACAGGCGCACGCCACCACACCCGGCTAATTTTTTTTTTGTATTTTTAGTAGAGACAGGGTTTCACCGTGTTAGCCAGGATGGTCTCAATTTCCTGACCTCGTGATCCGCCTGCCTTGGCCTCCCAAAGTGCTGGGATTACAGGCGTGAGCCACCGCGCCCAGCCTTAACACACTTTCAACAGTTGCAAGTGGACAGGTACCACAGATTAGAATACTGAGGCCCCACAACCACAGAGAGAATCCATGCCTGCCTGTTAACTCCTTTCCACAGATCATCACTGAATATTTGGGGGTAGTTGATACAGGCTGGGGCAGGGCAAGAGAGTTGATGGAGATCCCCTCAAGGTGCAGAGGTCTTCATTCAGTGCACAGTAGCAGTTCTCCAGAAGTGAAGAGAGATATCCATATACCTGGAAAGCTTGGTGCTGGAGTGTAAAGAAGAAAGAGATCCTCCGTGGTCCAGAAACATTGGCAGGATGGCTTTAAGTACGCAGACATCTCTGAGGCAATGCTATTCTCAGTCTTCCTAAAGATAAATTTCTATTTCTTCCCCAAATACATCTAAAGCCAAGGACAAATCACACTAAAGCTATAGCAAAGCTTACATTCATATCTAATCATATTAGATTAATCCAGTCTCCCTGCATCCCCCCGACCCCACACACAGCCAAATAGAGAAAAGGATGAGCCATTTTATGGGAGTAAATATTATTTATTTCTGTGCTTTTACCCACTGACATACAATAAACAATTATAAAACACATGAAGAAGCTGAAAAATGTGACTATGAAATAAAAAATAAACATTAGAAGCAGACCCACAGATGGCTCAAATGTTGGATATAGCAGGCAGAGATTTGTTTAAAAATTATGATAGATATGTTAAAAAGATATAATGAAAAAGTGAGAAGCATGCATTAACATTGGGAAATTTCAATAGATATATGGGCATTATCAAAAAGAGCAAAACAGAAATGATAAAAATAAAAATTATGTATAATAAATGAAGGATTCATTCAGGGAGTTGAACAGCAGACTGAACCCAGCAGAAGAAAGGGTGGGTAATATTTGAGACATGTCAATAAAATCATCCAAACTGAAACACTAGAGAAAAAAAAAGAGTGAAGAAAATGGGACAGATATCCTGTGACTGTAACAAAATATCTAATGATCTAAGATATTTGTAATTGGAGCCTCAGAAAAGTAGCGGGGAGAAAATCAAGGAGAAGAAATACCTGAAAAGATGATAGGTGAACAATTTCCAAAACTGGTAAAAGATATCAACCCATGTATGAAGAAAGTTAAGTAAAACCCAAGCAAGAAAATTCAAAAACAAACAACTAAACAAACAAAACAAACTCCACCACCACCAACAACACGTTGAGGCATTTTGTGATTAAACTATTGAAAAACAAGGATAAAGGGTAAATCTTAAAAGCAGCCAGAGGAAAAAGACATTTCACACAGGCAACAACCTTAGGTATGATGTCTGAGTTTTCAACTAAAATATTGACTGCCTTAAGACGATGCAATATCTGCAAAGTATTGAAGGAAAGCAACTCTTAATCTAGAATTCTATGTTCAACAAATATATCTTTCAACATGAGGGTGAAATAAGATGAGAAAGGTTGAGAGTGTTTATTTTTAGCAAATACATACTATAAGAGACAAGGAAAGTTTTCAAGGTGAATTCTTGCTGAAAGCCTGAATCTACAAGGAGAACTGAAAATTATTAGAGTGGATAAATGACTAAATATCTGGATAAGTATAAAAGACCTTTTAAAAAATTACCATCTGTCTACCTACCTACATATCTATCATCATCTACCTACCTATCTATTCATATTTTAAAAACTTGTGACTGTTTAAAGCAAAAATAGTAACACATTTTGTGTCGTTACCTATAAGTAAATAAAATACATGACCAGAAGAAAGCAAAGGACAGCAAGTAAATAGAATTATACTTTTTAAAGGTTCTTACATGGTTATTTTTGTAATATTATTTAAAGGTAAACAATAATAAAGATGCATGTGTGCAATCTTAAGACACAACAACGAAAAATAAAAACACTCCATTGAGGTGTAGTAGAAAACATCAATGGAAGAGATAAAAAGAAATAATAAAATTTTTAATTAGCTCAAAGGAAAGCAAACAAATAAGGAACACAGGAACAAAAAACAGATGTGACAAATAGAATACAAATACTAAGATGGTAGACTTAAATCTAATGACGGTAAACATTACATTAAATGTAAAGGCCATGGTCACCAAAACAGCATGGTAGTGGTATAAAAATAGGCACATAGACCAATGGAACAGAATAGAGAACCCAGAAATAAACCCAAATACTTATAGCCAACTGATCGTTGACAAAGCAAACAAAAACATAAAGTGGGAAAAAGACACCCTATTTAACAAATGGTGCTGGGATAATTGGCAAGCCACATGTAGAAGAGTGAAACTAGATCCTCATCTCTCACCACGTATAAAAATCAACTCAAGATGGATCAAGGCCTTAAGTAAGATCTTAAACTATGCAAATGCTAGAAGATAACATCAAAAAAACCCTTCCAGACATTGTCTTAGGCAAGAATTTCACGACCAAGGACCCAAAAGCAAATGCAATAAAAACAAAGATAAGTAGGTGGGACTTAATTAAACTAAAGAGCTTTTGCATGGCAAAAGGAACAGTAAGCAGGCAGCCCACAGAGTGGGAAAAAAAAAATTCACAATGTATACATCTGACAAAGGTCTAATATCCAGAATCTACAATGAACTCAGACAAATCAACAAGAAAAAAACAAACAATCTCATCAAAAAGTAGGCTAAGGACATGAATAGACAATTATCAAAAGAAGATATACAAATGGCCAACAAACATATGTAAAAATGCTCAACATTACTGATGATTAGGGAAATGCAAATCAAAACCAAAATGCGATACCACCTTACTCCTGCAAGAATGGCCATAATAAAAAAATAAAAAAAAAACACATAGTAGATTATGGTGTGGATGCAGTGAAGAGGGAACACTTCTACACTGCTGGTGGGAATGTAAACTAGTACAACCACTATGGAAAACAGTGTGGACATTCCTTAAAGAACTAAAAGTACAGCTACCATTTGATCCAGCAATCCCACTACTGGGTATCTACCCAGAGGAAAAAAAGCCATTATACCAAAAAAAAAAAAAAAACTTGCACATGTATGTTTATAGCAGCACAATTTACAATTGCAAAAATGTGGAACCAATCCAAATGCCCATCAATCAACGAGTGGATAAAGAAACTGTGGTATGTCACACACACATATATTATACATATACACACAATGGAATACTACTCAGCCTTAAAAAGGAATGAATTAATGGCATTCGCAGTAACCTGGATGGGATGAGAGACTACTATTCTAAGTCAAGTAACTCAGGAATAGAAAACCAAACATCATATGTTCTCACTCATAAGTAAGACCTAAGCTATGAGGATGCAAAGGCATAAGAATGACACGATGGACTTTGGGGACTCACCAGGGAAGGGTGGAAAGAGGGTGAGGGATAAAAGACTACAAATGGGGTTCAGGTGATGGGTGCACCAAAATCTCACAAATCACTACTAAAGAACTTACTCATGTAACAGAATACCACCTGTTCCCCAAAAACCTATGGAAATAAAAAATTAAAAATAAATTTTGTAAATGGACTCAATATTCCATTATCAGACTGAATAAAAAACCAAGACCAAACTACATGCTGTTTATATAAAAAATGCTTTAAATATAAAAACACATATTGATTGAAAGTTTAAAAATGGTAAAAGATATACCATAAAAATATTTGTGTGCCTATGTAAGACACATTAGATATGTTAAACTTCAAGACAAAGTATTAATATGTTATCAGAGATAAAGAGAGACATTTCATGGTGACAAAGGGTCACTTCATCAGGAAGATATACAACTAAAAATAGGGCTTCCAAATACATACAGCTAAAATGAACAAAATTAAAGTGAGAATAGACAAACGCATAATCATTGTTTAAAGGCAAGCAGAAACCCTTTTGAGGCCCTTTATTTCAACACTCTTACACAAATACTATTTATTACTGACCCACAATAAACTGGGGTGGGGTGTGTTTTGGGAGAGAAGTTTTTGGGACCTTTCAAGGCAAGTTGTATCTCTAAGGCTGTAGCCTAGAAGTCTGATACAAAATGTGGGAGACTCAGAGCACAGTTTGCTGACCGCCAGCAAAGTTAGAATGTTCACACGCATGACAAGACATGGGCTGTTTGTCCCTTGCAGCCTCTAGGTGGAGTGAGTCATAAACAACCTCATTCATTTTCCCCGACTATCATACAAATATCACCAATTTACGGCTGGGCATGGTTGCTCATGCCTGCAATTCCAGCACTTCGGGAGGCTGAGGCAGGCAGATCACCTGAGGTTGGGAATTCGAGACCAGCCTGGGCAACATAGTGAAACCCCATCTTTACTACAAATATAAAAATTAGCCGGGCATGGCGGCATGTGCCTGTAATCTCAGCTAATTGGAAGGCTAAGCCAGGAGAATCACTTGAACCAGGGAGGAGGAGGTTGGAGTGATCACACCACTGCACTCCAGCCTGGGTGACAGAGTGAGATTCCATCTCAAAATAAATAAATAAATAAACAAACAAAACAAAGCAAAAACAAAAATATATCACAAACCAATTTATTTGTGTTCCATGATGAAACAAAGATGAGGAAAAATGTGTTCATACCCTTGATTCCCTCCCTGCAAGTTTGTCTTGATTGTCAATTGCTGACTTGGGATCTGAGTGGGATATTCTGGGTTCCTGGAAGACTACAGTGACCAATAGGACATTCTCAATCAGAGGCAGTTCTGTGGCAGTCACTTGTGTGACACAGGACATGCAATAGTCACACAGCTTTACCACTGGCTTATCCTGAAGGCTCCATGCAGCTCTGTGAGCATTATGCCTGCAGGTTTGAGCCCAGGATCAGGACTCTAGGATTTTCCCCAAAAGATGGTTCTATGGACAGCTCTCATTGGGTTTCACAGAACTAAAGCTTGCTTTATAAATGTAGGGAGAAAGAACATCATGGCATGTTTTCTGCTCCAGATGAAGAAAAACTTAAAATTTCTGACAGGCTCTGGCATTTTAAGAGAGGTCATTAAGCACTGGAAATGTCTTGGTTGAAGGCCAGACTTGAAATAAAGTTGTTTGAAATGCTGTCTGGAGACAGATATTTAAGAACTGATTAGTCCTACTCTTTATTGTGGTTAAAATAGACTTTCTAGGGGAAAATGGGGAAGAAAAATCTAACTATCCAGAAGAAGATGGCATGATGGTTGATGTTACACAAAGGCTATAATACAGTCATTTGAAGGATAAATCAGAATCCATCCAATCCCAAGTAGCTAAACCAGAATAATCTTGAAATTTATGTCAGAAAAGTAAAACACAGCTATAGATAGTATTAAAGAAAAATTTCGATGAAAAATCCAAACTTTAGGGAAATGGAAAATTACTTTTATACAAAGGTAAAGGAAGACTGAGTGGTCTTAATTTACATAGAAAAAAAGGAGGTTGAAATTTCAAGACCATGTTTGGAAAAAATTCTACATGAGAAGGAACATCAGATCTAGCATTTGACTGAATGTTTGTTGAAGATGACAGATTTGTTTGCTGTCCTTAGAGATGAAATGGACAGTGGTCACTAGGTGTTGGATATAGTAAGAGAGTCAGAAATAAGAGACAACTTAGATGAAGAGTTTTGAAGAATCACGTATAACATCAAGTAAAATCTTCCTTACAAACTCTTGAAAAAATAATCAAATATACAGTAAATTCACTAAAAGAAGCTTATGCATTATATTAAAATATTCCAAAGCAAGAGTGTATCAGAAAATGCAAAGATAGAAGATGAAGTTCAAAAGCTTGACAAGAAACGAGTGATGGAATTTTATCAAAATGAAACTTCAAAAGAAGTTCACCTTACAGGAAAGAGACTCTAGAAAGAGAGAAGAAATGTTTCACAGCAGATACAATATCAGCTATGCCTCTGAGGAGCCGGACACCTATAGAAAAGAATTATTTCTACGTTGTTGTACTATTTTAGTAAAAGCATTATATTATGACTTGTTCAACCAGACTACCATACATTAAGAAAAACAGGCATTTCTCATGAACAATAAAGTAACTAGAGATAATTGAAACTTGAAGAGGTATTTCTAGGCTTAGGCAGGAGGATCAATTGAGGCCAGGAAATAGAAAGATCTGGGCAAAACAGCAAGAACCCATGTCTACAAAAATAGTAATAAAAATAAAAATCAGCTGAGCATAGTGGCTTGTGCCTGTAGTCCCAGCTACTTGGGAGGTAGAGGTGGGAGGATCACTTGAGCCCAAGAGTTAGAAGATGCCTTGAGCTATGATCACATCATTACTGCATTCCAGCCTGGAAGACAGAGACTGTTAAAATAATAATAATAATAATAACAATAAAAACAGGTATTTCTGTTGGCTTCAAGCTGTTCTGCAGCTCTACCTTTCCAAAAACATGTGAGTGTGTGAAGTTCCTGGACGGCCCCAGCGATGCCTCCTGCAGGGTGTGGCCCAGACCATTGCTCACTGTGACTCTAAGAAGGACAAACACTTCTGGGGCATCATTGGGCTGAAGTCCACAACCCACTTCCACTCCTCTGTGTGTATCCTGGGGGCCAGCAGCACTGTGACAAGGCCAAGGTTGTGGAGTCCCCCGTATGGACCTGGAGGCACTGGAGAAACTCGACAAGAACAAGAGGCTGGCCAAGAGGTATGGTACCATTTGGCCTTGGAGTCTCAGATCAAGCAGATCCCATGGATCCTTGGCCCAGGCCTAAATAAGGCTGGCAAGTTCCCTTCCCTGCTGACACACAACGGGAATATGTTGGCCAAAGTTGATGAGGTGGGAGCCCACAATCAAGCTCCAGATGAAAAGGGGGCTATGTCTGGCCATGGCCATTGGCCCCCTAAAGATGGCAGATGATGAGCTTGTATGTAACATCCACTTCACTGTCAGCTTCCTGGTGTCGCTGCTCTAGAAGAACTGGCAGAATGTCCATACTTTAAACATGAAGAGCACCATGGGCAAGCCCCAGTGCTTGTGTGAAAGCACATTCTAATACATTTCAGTGCCACACACACACAAATGAGCGAAGAACCTTCCCTTATATGTAGAATCTAAAAGAGTGGAACTCGAGACTACAGACTGGAATGGTGGTTAGTTATTAGGGGCTGGATGGGTAGGGATTGGTCAAAGGATACGCAATTTTAGCTAGGCAGGAGGAATAAGTTCAAAAGATCCAGTGTACAACATGGTGGCTGTAGTTAGTAACAATGTATGATATTTTGAAAATCACAAAAATAGATTTTAAGTGTTCTCACCACAAAAAATGATACCTACATGAGGTAATGCATAGGTTAATTACCTCGATTGAGCCATTCCACAATATATACATACTGCAACGCATCATGTTGTACATGATAAATGTATACAATTTTAATTTTTCAATTAGAAGAATAAAAAAGAGCCTACCCTTTATCCAGTCCTTTACCCAGTCTCATGTCAATTAATGGTTATAGCATATAGAGTATGACAACATGTAGCCATGTGTAAACAAAATGAGGTAACAGGTGCCTATTGAGACTAATGCATGTTCTTCATAAGTTCCTTAGGAGAGATCTTAAAACGGGATTTTAGGCATTTGGATATATTGGTGGTAGCAGTGGCAGGAGAGGAGGGAAGCAGGAGAGGCTATAAAGTTTTGAGAGGCATTTTTGTTCCTAATATTTATTTAGGGCCCTAAAGTTGTGTTATGTGTGTAGCTTTCTGCTTTGCCCAGCAGACCTTTCTCATACAAAACTTTGGCTACTTAGCACAGACTTTTAAACACAGAGGAATAAAGGAATAAAGGAAAGCAGAAATATAGAAGCTAAACAGGAGTTGCCAGGTGCAAAGTTAATTGTATATGTGACATGGGAGCAGAGCAAAAGGGAAGGAACCCATGTTTACTGAGCACCTACTGTGTGCAAAGGAACCTTCTATATGTTATTCTACTTCATCCTTTTAAATCATGTGATTTAGAAATCATTATTTCTATTTTATGGATTAAGAAATGGGATGTCAGAGAGATTAAGTGACTTGCCCTGGGCTCAGGATTAATAAGTGAAAGTACATAAATTTGATCTTATATCTGTGTGATTCTTAAGCTTTACATTCTTTCTACTGTTTTCAGGAATAAAGAGGCCACTTTCCCAAAGCAGATGAACCACCTAGCTGTATTTCCTTGAATCTCAAAGACTTGGTTCTGTTCCACTGCAAGGTAAATACAGCAGGTGTGGGAGTTAGATGGAAGTGGGGGAGAACCTCCTAGGCACCTAATAGTAGAACTGGTGAGCCTATACCTAGATTAGACTCTGCAAAAGTCAAGAGGAAACGGGAACCTGATGGGAAGGCTGGGGAGACATAATATGGTTTATTTCATAAACTCACTTAAGTTTCTAAGAGTACGGGGTGCTAGAAGCCCTGAACTCACATTCCGCCTCTGCTGTGCCTTACAGTGAGTTACTTAATCTCTATAAATGTATTTTTTTAATTTGCAAAAAGATGATAATAATATTGGCCTCACCCAGTAGCTGTGGTGAATACTAAATGAGCTGCTATATGTAAAACACTTAGGAAAATTGGTTAGCACATAGCAAGCTCAATTAGAGTAACTATCATCATTATCATGGTTGACAGAAAATATATGAATCAGAGTATTCTCATTTAATACACATTTTCTACAACAGTGGAAAGTCTGAGAAAGGTAAGAAAAACAGCAGATTTGAATCACTTAGGGATAACAACGATTGGCCCAGTCAGACTGGGCCTGAATCAGAATCTCTAGGGCTGGGTTCTGAGCATCTGTTTATCTAAATCTGTTTATCCCAGATTCTAATGTGCAGCCAGGGTAGACAACTTTTACCATTCTACTCACATTTTTGTGTTTTTCTTCCCCAGTCTCTCTTGATTTTTTACATATATATTATGCATTAAGATAACTGACTGAATTTTGATATGATGTCAGGGCCTTGCACAAATGCATTTTATTTCACATGAGGTTGGTGACCCTGGACATTAGCAACAAGTTTTTATAATACAAAGAAAAATGAACGCTGTGTTGCCAAAATTAATGGAAGAAAATCTGATATGAAACTTAATTGTTTCTTGATACCTATTCAATTTAATTTTTATGGTGAATGTGTGTGTGGCCCAGGTAGTACCTACTTTTTGGAATGGGGTATGTTGAAAAAGCATCAGCTGTGCTAGAAAGCTTACAATGGCAGAACGGCCCTGAGCAGGACCCTTTGCAGAGAGTTAGAGACTAGGCATGATGTAATCCATTTCATTAATTTAAATTAAACAGGATAAAACTCTTGCTAACATCAAAGCAGCCACCAATTAAGAGCACCTCAAATCACAGGGCCAGTGCATGACTATTCAAGATTTTCTTTTTTTTTGTTTGTTTGTCAAGATGGAGTCTCTCTATGTTGCTCGGGCTGGTCTCAAACTCCTGGACTCTCAAGCCATCCTCCTGCTTCAGCCTCCCAAAGTGATGGGATTACAGGGGTGAGCCACCACACTCAGTCTGTTCAGAATATTTCATCTGAGTTTAGGGTGCGCCATTCATAAACTGAGTCAAGTCTCTTTTCCTGGGTGAGAACACCTGTAAGCACACAGTATGAGAGTTGGCAAAATGGAAGAGTATCTACAGTGTTTCTGATAGTGGTTTTCAGCCCTGGAAACATTTTAGAAATACTGATGAGACTTAAAGTTAAATATGGAGGACTGTGCCTCTTACTCAGAACTTTTCATATAACTGATCATAAGTGGGGTACAGACTTGGGTGCTTTTGCTCTGTAGTTAGAGTTGAGAACTGCTGATGTATCAGAAAGAACATAAACTTTGTAGCCAGTCAATATAGGCTTGAATTTTTTGCTGTTCTGTTGGCTTGATGTGAGGAACTTAACCGAACCTCAGTGTCCTTATCTGTGAAAAGAATGTAACACTATATACCTTACAAAGGCTATTATGGAGACAAGTGGCAATGAATGCAAAGCACTTAGTACTGTGCCTGATACATGGTAAATACTCAGAGGTGCTTACAAAGTACCTCATAGCTTTCTTTTCAGTACTTCTTTCTCCTCTTTAGGTATCCTTCACTCCTCCCCTGGAGCCCACTCAAAGCTTCCAACCTGGTATCCCCATGTAGCTCTGCCTTACATAGAGGTACCCAAAATTTTTAAACTTCCTCAACAACTTCCCCACTTTAACTGCATCTAGTGCAAGGATTTGTGACCTCTGGAATTACCCGCAGGTCTTTAAAAACTGCTGATGTCTGATCCTACCACCAGTATTTTGTGATTTATAACCCTTGTTGCTAGTATAATTTCTCCAGATACAGCAATGCAAATCTGTGCAAATTCTTCAGAATGTGGTTTTTAAAAAAATCTTTGGAATAAAAGTGAAGTATTCAGGGACAAGGAAAAATACAGAGTAAACATTTGGTAAGTCACACTTCCATTATTTCTGTAGTAAGCATTTACTGAGCTCTTAATTTGTGCTAGATGTTAGGTATAAAAAAGTAATTAAGACTCTGTCCCTGCTTTCAAAGAGTTCACAATGTAGTAAAACTGATAGAAAATAAATGCAACTTATTACCTCATAGGTATAAAAAAGTAATTAAGACTCTGTCGCTGCTTTCAGAGAGTAGTAAAACTGATAGAAAATAAATGCAACTTATTACCTCATTTATCCATCACTTTTATTGAGTGCCTACAATGCACCTGGGGACATTTTAGGTGTTGGAGATACAGATGTGAACGAAAAAACTCCCTAAATGACTATACTCAGTGGCTTAGATTTTGGTGGGGGGAATTAAAGAAAGATGTTTTTATGACAGAAGTAAACACAGGGTAGTTTGGCAATTTAGTTCAAAAAGGCAAACTCCCACCTAGGGAAAGGTTTACAGGAAGGTCTCCTTGAGAGAAGACAGGACAACTGATTTTTGAAGAACAAGGAGTTAGCCTGGCAGCTAATGGAACGTATGTGTCATATGGTTAATTTTATGTATCAACTTGGCTGGGCCATGGGTCAAACATTAGTCTGAATGTTTCTGTGATATTATTATTATTATTTTGTGTGTGTGTGTGTGTGTGTGTATGTGTGTATGTGTATGAAATTAACATTTAAATCAGTAGCCTTTGTGTAAAGCAGACTGGTCTCCATAATGTGAGTGGGCCTCATCCCATCAGCTAAAGGCCTTAATAGAACAAAGATTGACTTCCCCCAACCAAGAAGGAATTCAGCAGGAGACAGCCTTCAGATGTGCACTGCAATATCAACTTTTTCTGAGTCTCCAGACTGCTGTCCCACTCTGTAGATTTTTGACTTGTCAACCTCCATAGTCACATGAGCCAATTCCCTAAAATAAATAGTTCTATATATGCACATCCTATTGGCTCTGTTTCTCTGTAGAATCCTGACTAATGCAGTATGCATTTGAGTTAGATGAATCCTTTCTGGTTCTTCTCAAGACTCAGTCCCACCCCTTGCTTTTTTTTTCTCACTATCACCAAGAAATAGATGTCATCCAACATGATCACTTTCAACTCTGTTTCCATTTACCTCAAAAGTTCCCCTTATCTTTATTGGTTCACTCCTCCTTTTCTGTTTAAGAGGAAAAGTACTCCCTTTCCTTCCTAAGGCTAATCTTCCACCTGTGCTTCAGGTCCTTCTCAGACAATCTGTTGCGAGTTTGGTCTAATAATGATCTCCTCTCTCACATCTGCAACCTCTCCTCCTTTCCTTTCCCTTACGATTCACTCAAGCCTTCTCCTGTACACACATTTCTACACACAAAAATGTCTGGGTGTGTACATTCATGAACATGACTGAGTCTCTAGATGGGCTGAATCCAATGAGCTCAGATCCAGCCAGGCCATTTCACAGAAGGTAGGGGCACAATTTACTTGACTTTGCATTTCTGGCCTCCTGTTAAGGGTCAAAGTTTTGTGCTGGAAATACCATGGATTCAGCATAGTAACATGGGTTTCCTCAGATGTTCAAGAGTCTTGATTGACAGTCATGAATATATTTGATTAGTTAATTATCACTTAATAAATGAGAAATGGGCCAGGTGTGGCGGCTCATGTCTGTAATCCCAGCACTTTGGGAGACCAAGGCAGGCGGATCACCTGAGGTTGAGACCAGCCTGGCCAACATAGTGAAACCCCATCTCTACTATAAATACAAAAATTAGCCAGGCATGGTGGTACGTGCCTGTACTCCCAGCTATTCAGGAGGCTGAGTCAGGAGAATCACTTGAACCTGGGAGGCAGAGGTTGCAATGAGCCAAGATCGTGCCACTGCACTCCGGCTTGGGTGACAGAGAGAAACTCTGCCTCAAAAAAATTAAATAAATGAAAATAAAAAAATTATAAATGCTTTAGGGATAAATTTTCAAAAGGAGTAATAATAAATTGAGACTTTTATGATTATGCATGAGGAAACTGTAGGAAAGTAAAAAGACAACAGAGAAGGAGGATAGAGGATAGAAAATATGGAGATAAAATGAAGATGAGTGGCAGATGGGAAATTGTAGGGAATGAGATAAACCCTGAACAGAAGTGCCAGGAACTCACGTTACCTAAGATCTTATCTTTTTCTTTATGAAATAACATGATTTACAACCAAAAGCCAGTAAAAATCTCTCTCAAATTTTTAACGCCAGAATGCCTTGACAAATCATATCACTGCACAAACACACACATATACACAGTGGTGTAGAGTGGTTTGAGGCTACATTGTGCTGAGTTATTGGCAGAATAAAATGGCTTGACTTATCATAGATAAACTATGAAATCCCATATTTCATTTTTTTCTTGGCCTTATTTTTATAAAATTACCCTTCATCTAGTGTGAACAACAAAGACTCAGATTCATACTGAATATGTCTCATTTCCCAATCTATTGCTCAGAGTATTCCTATTTCTATAGAAACAATATTCATTTTTTTTCTAAAATTTCAAAGAGCATTCTCTCCATAAAGCAATATTCATGTAAGAAAACCGCATAATTGCAACATGCAGGAAAATAACATAAAATTGTATTTTTAAAAACCCGGCAGAATAACATACTTGATAGTGACATTAAAAGTAGGGCAAGGATAAAAGCTTTACAGAGACCAAAATTTTCTCTCGGGTGAAAGGCTTATTAAATTCTAATTAGTTACATATATGTGTTTTGTGAATATAAAAGAGTAGAAAATATACACTATTGAATTTTTCTAAGATGTGCTGAAGTCTTGGAGTTATTTCTTAATTGAATTTGATGTCAAAATAGCAGTTAGGTAAAATTTTTTTTTAAGATCTATAACATTGCATGGTTTAACCCTAAGACAAAAGCTGTTGACCTGTTGATTGATGTTAGTTCTAAGTTTATAGGTTATCAGTTATTATAAGTGACATAAAATTATATAATCAGATTTTGTATATGCTTCAACTTAAAAATTTCTTATCAATCTGTATACTTTTAAATTCTGATTTATTAAGTCTAACACAAAGTATTTATAAAACAAAATTTTAAATGACTTCCTTCATAATCTCATTTAAATTCTTAAATTCCCAATCTAAAAATATCATAACAGCCAAAAAGTTGATTTTTAAATAACATCATTTATTTCACCTAATTTTAAAGCTCAACTTTTTAAGGTAACGAATAGTAAATCCACTTTAAGTTTTTAAAATAAACATACTTACCATAATCTCAGTTCATAAAGCTAAGAAAAGGATTAAAAGCTTATTGATTGTTAACAATTAAAATAAAGACATCTAAAATGCCCAAATTTACCATCCTTAAATTAAAAAAATGTTAGTTGACGCAAGCACGCTTGAACATAGTTACCATTGTGACTAATTCAAAAATTTTGTGGGGGAATATCAAGTGGTCAAAAGAAACCTCAGGGTTCAACCACTCCTTAACATGGAATTGAAAAGGCAAAATTGATGGTATATTGACGACATACCATGGAATGATTTATTCAGTGTCTTTCCAACAGTTGAGATTACAGCGATCCGGGTATTTCAGTTATTAACCTTAAAAAACCTAAATGCACTTAACAACAGATGTCATTGCAGAGAAAAAAGGTGATGATGGCTTCAAAGTATAATGCAGTTTTAAATCTCTATGGTGTATAAACATTAAGGCTCCTTTTATTCTCAAGATCTTTCACACTACTGATCAGGAAGGTCTCTGATCTACTTTATGTAGGCCTGACTGATGTTTCATAGTGGATTCAGTAGGATCCCTGGAGAACATGCTTTTACATGGAAGATCAGAGTTAGAATTACAGTTTGGAAACTGGATTCTCCCACTGTGAATATAATAAGATGTCCTGCAACGAGAAGAGAGGTTACAAGTAGACGACTCCAGCACAGCGGCTCTAACAATCTGTGGCAACTTGCACAGTCTGTCTCATATTTCAAAGAAGACAGGTCACAGACATGTGTCCTCACACAGAATTTTTGAAGAACTTTCTCTGAAACATGTGCATTGGGTGTTATGAAGGGAAGGCCATGTATTGGTTTAATTTCTTTGTCCATTAGGTAAAAAAATTCTAGATGTTTGTCAAACTTTCTACCATTTTTAATCCATGAAAAATTGGACTTTTAACTTCTGAAACTGTGTATATCAAAGTTCCCAAATGCAGGTTTCATACTACTTAATCAGCTTAACCTAATCTGACACCTTCCTTTTTTTTTTTTTAAAGATTAATTTCTCTCTTCTCTCCTATGCCACCCTTCTCTGCTGGTTTCCCTATTGTTTTTCCACAAACTCCTTCTCAGCCTCATCTTCAGAATTTCTCAAGGATGGACATTACTTGGTCATTGCTTTACTCTTTTCGCTTCTCACACAGCTTGCATTGGCAATCTTGTCCATTCTTCTGTCCAACCCAGGACTTTCTCCTGATTACTAGACTTATGTCCACCTGCTAGTGGCCATTTTCATTGAGTGTATTTCATTAATATTCCCACAGTCACTGAGTGCTTGCTATTTGCCAGGCATTTTGGTGTCAATGGGAAAGACTTGCACATCTCACATTGTCTATGCCTAAGATACCTCACTATGTGTTTTCCCTCTCTCCTCAAACCCGATCTGCAATGGAGGTGTCACCTACTCTAGGTGGCTGTAGCAGGTTGAATGCTGGTCTCCAAAAGATAAGTCCATCCAATACCTGTGGATATTACAGTATTTGGGAAAAGAGTCTTTATAGACATAATTAAGTTAGATCTTGGGATGAAATCATCCTGCATTAAGGTGGGCTCTAAATCCAAGGATACAGGTTCTTAATAAGAGAGACAGAAGAGAAGACAGAGAGACACAAAGAAAGTCATGTAGAGGAAGGCAGAGATTGGAATTATTTTGCCACAAGCCAAAGAATGCTCTGGGCCATCAGAAGCTAGAAGAGGCAAGGGAGGAACCACCCACTTAGCCTGCAGAGGAAGGTGTGGCCTTGCTGGGGCTTTGATTTTGGACTTCTAGCCTCCTGACCGTGGCAAAATAAATGTCTGTTTTTTCAAGCCATCAAGTTTCTGTTAATTTGTTACAACAGCCCTAGGAAGCCAATACAGTACCCTTTCTAAATTTCCCCCTGCCCAAGGGCCCAGTTTTCTCCTTAAGCAGATTCTTAACTGTCTATTATTCCTCTTCCCTGTTAAAACTATCACTCTTTGAAAGCAAGACTCTGAATTTCTTCTCTATTTTTAATAACTGATACTTGGCACATAGTAGAAGTGCTGAAAGAATGAAATAGGGATTTGTTTGTATGTTTGTTTTACTGGCTAGAGAAATAGCATAAATCTACATATAATAAAGGCAGATCTCTCAAGTCATTTAAATTATTTTAGCACAGTTGTATTCTTATTAAATGTTTCTTTTCATTTGTATGACTTTTAAAAATGCCTACTTACATATTACAATATAGATGCTTTGCTAAGCTGTTTGGGAAAAAATAGCAAAGTCACTCAGAACTATTACTATAAGGTAGAGTGCATGCAAATTAATTTTATTAAGGCAGGATTCCTAAATATATCACTCATAATTACATATGTTTTATTTTTAAGACATAAAAGCTTTGCTTGGTAAATCTCCATTCTTTATCTTAAGTCTACAGCAGGCAGCCACACACATGCATGCACTCACGCCCACACTCCAATTAACCCTGTCTATGGAGGGTCAGTGCATTCATGACACAATTGAAACAGCAACAGAAGGAGGCACAGATACACTTAATAGTATTACTTATTTGCAAATAAAATAGCCAAATGGTCTAATTAAAGGCTTGGTATGTATTTGAACAAATGAGTATAAAGCAGCTTAAGAAACACAATACACCTCAACTTAAAATTTTATTGAAAGACAGACGAATGGGAGATAATATGCATAATTTCTAACTAAAAATACACAAATGCTTTATTTCTCCACAATGAAAAGGGCTTTGTATTTAATATGCTCCCAGTAGAGTTTCTTTTTCCCCAACAATAAATAAGACTATGACTTTCCCAGTTGAACTTAGACTCTTCAAAGATCCTTCAAAAGTGTGGGGGCCAGGTGCTGTGGCTCACGCCTGTAATCCCAGCACTTTGGGAGGCAGAGGCGGGCGGATCACTTGAGGTCAGGAATTCGAGACCAGCCTGGCCAAGATGGTGAAACCCTGTCTCTACTAAAAATACAAAAAAGTAGCTGGACGTAGTGGCGCGTGCCTGTAATCCCAGCTACTGGGGAGGCTGAGGCAGGAGAATCACTTTAACCCAGAAGGTGAAAGTTTCAGTGAGCCAAGATTGAGCCACTGCACTCCAGCCTAGGTGATAGAGGGAGACTCCATCTCAAAAAAAAAAAGGAAGTACGGACATGTTGGTCGAAGGGCACAAACTTGCAATTATACGATAAAAGCCTTCCGCCTTCTGCCTTCTGGAGACCTAATGTACAGCATAGTGACTGTAGTTAATAATAATGTAGTGTATACTTGAAACTTGCTAAGAGAGTAGATCTCAACCATCCTCACTACACACACACACACATACGAAAGCAACTGTGTGAGGTGATGGATATGAATATCCTTAAACTGATGAGGAAGTGTAAGGATAGAATGAACTGGAATTATTACAACAACCTTTTCTTAGTTGGGGGTTCTTGCAGAAACATAACCATAATTTATATTTGAAAAACAGGGGAATTTCTCCCCCGCCCCACATTTTCTGAATGTAGTTTAGTGTCTCTAAATTTTGGTGGATTTAAGGCAACTTCAGTGGAGAGTAATATCACTTTGTACACCTTGAATAATACAATTTTAATTTGTCAGTTATAACTCAATGAAACTTAAAACCAACAAACAAATGTGTGGGGTGGATATAGCAGAAGAGGAAGGAGGAACTGATGAGGTGGGAAGGATGAGAGCATATTTCTTTACAAAGCACATTTTAATGAGAAGGTCTTTATAGACTAAGAGCAAGGCAAAGAATACTCTTAAAACATAAACCCTACAAAGCCCTCTGTTAGTTTCCCCAGGCTTCCATAACAATTAAGCAAAAACTGGTTGGCTTTAAACAACAGAAATTTATTCCATAATAGTTTAGGAGGTCAGAAATCCAAAATCAAGATGTCAGCAGGGTTGGTTCCTTCTGAAAGCCCTGGAAGAGAAACTGTTCATGTCTCTCTCCTAGCCAAGGTGGATGGCAGCAATCCTTGACATTCCTTGGCTTGTGGCAGCCTAACTCCAATGTCTGCCTTCATCTTCACACAACCTTCTTCCATGTATGCCTCTCTAAATGACCTTCCCAGTAGGGAACCAGGGATTGAATTTAGGGCCCACTCTAATCCAGTATGACCTCATCCTAACTGTTATACCTGCAAAAACCCTCTTTCTAGCTAAGGTCACATTGGGTAGTTCCACGTGAAACTGCCACTGGGAACATTTTGGAGGAAGCTAGTCAATCCAGTACAAGCTCTCAGTCTTTGAAGTTCTCAAATTCACGCCGTAACTCATTAGGTAAATTCTCCACAGTCAAAAGTTTTCAGGGACAACTTTTCCTAATTTGCAATTTGTCCAAAGGTACAGTACCTCATTACATCGTTTTTCCCTGCATTTAAACAATAAATTTGGAGAAGATCTTTAAGGATAGCATAGAATTATCTGTGCACTCTCTAATGGGTGATTAACGTGATTGTCATGATAACTATTCCCTAAATCAGTAGTCCTCTAACTTTAGTGTTCTTCACAATCACCAGGAGGCTTGTTAAAATACAGATTTGCTGGGCCTCACCCTCAGAGTTAGATATTTGTGTATCTAACAAGCCCCTGGTGATGCTGATGTGGATGCCCAGGGGATCACACTTTGAGTACTGCCCTAAGTGATCATCAGGTAAGAGTCCCTATTACTTGCAGGGAGAAAAATCTTTTCTCTCATTATCAAGTTCCCTTCTGCCAATGTTATGAATGGCAGAGAAAAGTAGAATGCTGCATGGTAAAGAAAAAAAAGGAAGGAGATGCCACTTCCGGTGGCATCATATCTCTATTATTAACTTCTGACTGAGGACGAAGTCTAAGAATAGAACAAAGTGGAATGATTACACCAACCTTTTCTTAGTTTAAGGTTGCGCAGAACTATAGTTCATACTCAAATAACGGGAAGTTCTTTATCCCCCATATTTTGTGTGTCTCTAAATTTTGGTGGATTTAAAGCAACTTCAATGGAGAGTAATAAATGTGAAACTAGGGGCAGGGTTCGTTTTTTAAAATTTATTTAAAGATGTATGTGTGTGTATTTATGTGTATGTATTCTTTTAAAGGAGATTTTTAGTTAACTTGATTGTTGTTGTACGGTTTTATTATAAGAAACAGTTTGGAATACATAAATGTCCTTTGACAGTAAAGCAACAGTTAATGGCTCCAAACTTATTTTACAGAAAACACCACATAACTTTACCACAGTCTCTAGTATGTGGAAAAAAAGGAAATGAGTTTAATACTCTTAAATACAAACAAAGATAACTTGGAGAGTGGAAAGAAAAAAATGCAATCACTTAACTGGATTAAAATGTATTCTCTAATAATTGCCATGGTACAACATTCTCACTTTCCGTCGGCACAAGTATAAGTAGATAAAAGTAGTTTCAAAAATGAAATTTATTACTAAATCAATAAAAATCACAATATTCAATAAAACTGTCAATAAATGAAGGATTATGCCAGGATGTTGCTATAGCATCCATTTATAACCTTTTTCTCTAACGTAGTAAGCACATGCAGCAAAATGTTAATACTTTTTCTATAAATTATGAGGTACGATAAAAATTGATTATTCCCTATACTGTTCAATCACTGATTTGTAAAGAAGACAAGCAAATAAGGCCATTAAATAGCATTATTTCACTATTATTGAAATAATAATGAGCCACCATGCCCAACCTGTTATTCATTATTATTGAAATAATGCTATTTCAATAGCATTGTAAGAAAGCCACTACTTTTTTTCAACTCAACTGTGATGTTGAGAAGGCAGCAAATATCAAATATATAACTTAGAAGAGTTAAACAAGTTATTTCACCAGTACTTCAAAAGTCTAACAGTATAATCTTTCACTACAGCACGTGTTTTAAAACACATGAAAAAATATCCTGAGAGAGTAGTGATTTCAGTACTGAGAAGTTCTGTAAAATTCTTAAGGCTCCCAATGATAGTATTATAAATTTCATCTCGATCCTTCTTTAAAATGTTAGGAAGATGGAGTATTTTTAGGGGAACCTATTTTATCTTTGAAAGAAAGTGATGCTAAAATCCGTTGTCACAGTCATGTTTGTTGTAGTATATAGTTGTAAAGTTGTTGCCACATCTTGAAAAAAATAGGACTTTTTTCTTTTCTGGTAAAGCTATCCTCTTCACTATCAAATGCCATCTCATAATGATCACATTTATTGTGCAGATTATAATTAACATTCAATTTAAATAGATCAAAAATGAAAATATAGAACTTAATATGTTAAACCAAATAATTTCAGATTCTTTTGATTCAATGTCAATATTTAATGGAAAGAAATCAAGAAACGTTATTCAAATTTTATTTTTTGAGACAGGGTCTCCCTCTGTCACCCAGGCTGGAGTGCAGTGGCATGATCTCGGCTCACTGCAACCTCCATATCTTGGGCTGAAGCGATTTTCATGCCTCAGCCTCTCAAGTAGCTGGGACTAATAGGCACACGCCACTATGCCTGGCTAATTGCGTGTGTGTGCGTGTGTGTATTTTTTGTAGAGATAGGGTTTCAGTATGTTGCCCAGGCTGGTCTCCAATTCCTGAGCTCAAGCTATCCATCCTCCTCAGCCTCCCAAAGTGCTGGGATTACAGGAGTGAGCCATAGCGCCCAACCTCTTATTCAAATTTTAAATTGCTATAGATTCTCTATAACTACCATGAAAAACTAAGATGCATCATATGTTCAGAATATTTACTGGAAACAAAACTCATCTCAATGAACATCAAAATAATTGAGTAAACTATGTGTAGGCTTATTTCAATTACTTATGATAACACTGGAGTACATTACTTTAAAAGGCATTCTAAGTTACAAGTATCTTTATGACCTTAGAATTTGTAACTTTCTCATTACTTACTTATTTGGTTAAATAATATATTTGTTTTGAAATTGTGTCATTCAATTATTCAACAAATATTTGTAGCACCCAGCTATGTTCCTGGCATTATGGTACATATTGTGAATATAAGGAAAATGAAAATACAGTTCCTGCTCTCAAGGAGTTTGTGGTCTGCTACAGAAGACATATCTAAAATGAAAATCAACACAGCTGAGGTGCAAAAAGGTATCTAACCCAGAGAGGATGATTAGGGAAAGTTTACAGGGTGAGATCACTTAAAACCTCAGCCCAGAAAGATAAATAGGAGTTTGTCAGGCCAAGCATGGTAGTATGGGAAAGGAAGGCATTTCAAATAAAGGGAAAAGTCTATATGGGAAAGGGTATGTATGAAAAAGAACAAGGTGAAATTACAGAATCTCTAGTGGTTTATTAAGGTCAGCACAACCTAGTTTACAATCATAATAATTCTAAAACAGGAAGTAATATATTTCAAGCACTTCATAATTTGTGTTTTCCTATACATATTTTGTGGTACAATGTATAGGATGACAGAGGAGATGCAACATTAATTCCAGCTTACTAGTAAAGAAATGGATGGCATAAGAGTAAAAGGAAGTCTAGTTCTGAGACTGTGTTTACTAAAGACCTCTGGAAACTGGCTTTCCTTAGTTCTGATTTCAGGAGGAACTACAGTAAGGGAAAGAGAGGATGCAACCTTTACTTCTGTTTCAGTTGAACATGGCCAACAGTAGATTTAAAGCTCTTCATTATATGAGCCTTGGTGAATGAAGGAAATTGATAATTATACCAAAGAGTGAAACCAGGCACTTATTTCCTTTTGAATTTCCTGTCCAGAACAGCAGCGTGTTCTCTTCGTAGTATTAGACATAACATTTAATCCTTATCCCACATCTACAAAATGAGGATATAACACTCATTTGTGCACTAAGCACAGCTTTCATATTTCAATTAAGAAATAAAAAAGGTTGCACACATTTAAACGCCCATTCAGTATTTTTGGAATACTTTAATTCTCTATTCATTTTTCCCCCCACTTATCCACAGAACTTGATTCAGTTGCTCACCCTGGCGAAATTGCAATGTAAGAAAGCAATTAAACAACTGTGAGTTTTGAATTTTAAATAACTTTGAAACAATTAGTTTATTTCCTTTTAGAACTATTTCTAATTACTTTTTTATAATATGCCCTAATTATCTTTACTTTCTCTTCATCCTATCTACCTTCCTAGAGTCAAGTAGGGAAATCAGGCATTATGGGTATCATGTATGTATTATTGTTACTAGAACTTAGTTATCAAATAATGTTTTGAGTTAAATCTCACCACACAGCTTGCTTCTACTGGTGAAACTGTTGCCATGTTCCAATGGACAGTACTCTTAATCAACCAACATTAAGAGTGGCCATGTGTAACAAGCATATGCAGTTTGTCACAGGCAAAGTCTGTCAACCATCTCCATCAATAGTCTCATTCTGGCTATCTTAGTACTGGCCTCATCTCTTAGCATTGCTTCCTCCTTCCCTAAGCTCCAGCCACATCAGTCTCCTGTTGTTCCTCAATAACAGCACATACATTTCAGTCTCAGAATATTTGTCCTTAGTCTTCCCTTTGCTTCCCCTAGATATCTGCTTGGGCTGGCTCTCAATTTCATTAAGATCCCTGCTCAAATACCACTGTATGACAAAGAGACCTTTCTGGACCATTGAATGTAAAAAATTCTTCACTTTCCTATTCCCAGCCTACTCCAATCACTTTCTCTTCTCTTCAACGGCTTTATTTTTTATTTGCATCACATAATATATTATGCATTCATTTCATATTTGTGTATTATTTTCCCTCCAGTAGAATGTACACTCCATAAGGGCAGTAACGTATTTTTGTTTATGGCTGTATTACTGACAACTAGAATAGTGTCTGACACACAACAGGCACTTGGTAAATAATAGTTGAATTAATCAATGAATTAAAAATAAGCAAACTAGGGGGGAAGAGCCAAGATGGCCGAATAGGAACAGCTCCAGTCTACAGCTCCCAGGGTGAGCGACGCAGAAGACGGGTGATTTCTGCATTTCCATCTGAGGTACCAGGTTCATCTCACTAGGGAGTGCCAGACAGTGGGCGCAAGTCAGTGGGTGCGCACACCGTGCGTGAGCCGAAGCAAGGCAAGGCATTGCCTCACTTGGGAAGCGCAAGGGGTCAGGGAGTTCCCTTTCCGAGTCAAAGAAAGGGGTGACAGACTCACCTGGAAAATCGGGTCACTCCCACCAGAATATTGCGCTTCTCGGACCAGCTTTAAAAACGGCACACCATGAGATTATATCCCGCACCTGGCTCGGAGGGTCCTACGCCCACGGAGTCTCGCTGATTGCTAGCACAGCAGTCTGAGATCAAACTGCAAGGCGGCAGCGAGGCTGGGGGAGGGGCGCCCGCCATTGCCCAGGCTTGATTAGGTAAACAAAGCAGCCGGGAAGCTAGAACTGGGTGGAGCCCACCACAGCTCAAGGAGGCCTGCCTGCCTCTGTAGGCTCCACCTCTGGGGGCAGGGCACAGACAAACAAAAAGGCAGCAGTAACCTCTGCAGACTTAAATGTCCCTGTCTGACAGCTTTGAAGAGGGCAGTGGTTCTCCCAGCACGTAGCTGGAAATCTGAGAACAGGCAGACTGCCTCCTCAAGTGGGTCCCTGACCCCTGACCCCCGAGCAGCCTAACTGGGAGGCACCCCCCCAGCAGGGGCACACTGACACCTCACACGGCAGGGTATTCCAACAGACCTGCAGCTGAGGGTCCTGTCTGTTAGAAGGAAAACTAACAAACAGAAAGGACATCCACACCAAAAACCCATCTGTACATCACCATCATCAAAGACCAAAAGTAGATAAAACCACAAAGATGGGGAAAAAACAGAACAGAAAAACGGGAAACTCTGAAACGCAGAGCGCCTCTCCTCCTCCAAAGGAACGCAGTTCCTCACCAGCAATGGAACAAAGCTGGATGGAGAATGACTTTGACGAGCTGAGAGAAGAAGGCTTCAGACGATCAAATTACTCTGAGCTACAGGAGGACATTCAAACCAAAGGCAAAGAAGTTGAAAACTTTGAAAAAAATTTAGAAGAATGTATAACTAGAATAACCAATACAGAGAAGTGCTTAAAGGAGCTGATGGAGCTGAAAACCAAGGCTCGAGAACTACGTGAAGAATGCAGAAGCCTCAGGAGCCAATGCGATCAACTGGAAGAAAGGGTATCAGCAATGGAAGATGAAATGAATGAAATGAAGCGAGAAGGGAAGTTTAGAGAAAAAAGAATAAGAAATGAGCAAAGCCTCCAAGAAATATGGGACTATGTGAAAAGACCAAATCTACGTCTGATTGGTGTACCTGAAAGTGATGGGGAGAATGGAACCAAGTTGGAAAACACTCTGCAGGATATCATCCAGGAGAACTTCCCCAATCTAGCAAGGCAGGCCAATGTTCAGATTCAGGAAATACAGAAAATGCCACAAAGATACTCCTCGAGAAGAGCAACTCCAAGACACATAATTGTCAGATTCACCAAAGTTGAAATGAAGGAAAAAATGTTAAGGGCAGCCAGAGAGAAAGGTTGGGTTACCCTCAAAGGGAAGCCCATCAGACTAACAGTGGATCTCTCGGCAGAAACCCTACAAGCCAGAAGAGAGTGGGGGCCGATATTCAACATTCTTAAAGAAAAGAATTTTCAACCCAGAATTTCATATCCAGCCAAACTAAGCTTCATAAGTGAAGGAGAAATAAAATACTTTATAGACAAGCAAATGCTGACAGATTTTGTCACCACCAGGCCTGCCCTAAAAGCGCTCCTGAAGGAAGCACTAAACATGGAAAGGAACAACCGGTACCAGCCGCTGCAAAATCATGCCAAAATGTAAAGACCATCGAGACTAGGAAGAAACTGCATCAACTAACGAGCAAAATCACCAGCTAACATCATAATGACAGGATCAAATTCACACATAACAATATTAACTTTAAATGTAAATGGACTAAATGTGCCAATTAAAAGACACAGACTGGCAAATTGGAGAAAGAGTCAAGACCCATCAGTGTGCTGTATTCAGGAAACCCATCTCACGTGCAGAGACACACATACGCTCAAAATAAAAGGATGGAGGAAGATCTACCAAGCAAATGGAAAACAAAAAAAGGCAGGGGTTGCAATCCTAGTCTCTGATAAAACAGACCTTAAACCAACAAAGATCAAAAGAGACAAAGAAGGCCATTACATAATGGTAAAGGGATCAATTCAACAAGAAGAGCTAACTATCCTAAATATATATGCACCCAATACAGGAGCACCCAGATTCATAAAGCAAGTCCTGAGTGACCTACAAAGAGACTTAGACTCCCACACATTAATAATGGGAGACTTTAACACCCCACTGTCAACATTAGACAGATCAACGAGACAGAAAGTCAACAAGGATACCCAGGAATTGAACTCAGCTCTGCACCAAGCGGACCTAATAGACATCTAAGAACTCTCCACTCCAAATCAACAGAATATACATTTTTTTCAGCACCACACCTATTCCAAAATTGACCACATACTTGGAAGTAAAGCTCTCCTCAGCAAATGTAAAAGAACAGAGATAATAACAAACTATCTCTCAGACCACAGTGCAATCAAACTAGAACTCAGAATTAAGAATCTCACTCAAAACCGCTCAACTACATGGAAACTGAACAACCTGCTCCTGAACGACTACTGGATACATAACGAAATGAAGGCAGAAATAAAGATGTTCTTTGAAACCAACGAGAACAAAGACACAACACACTAGAATCTCTGGGACGCATTCAAAGCAGCATGTAGAGGGAAATTTATAGCACTAAATGTCCACAAGAGAAAGCAGGAAAGATCCAAAATTGACACCCTAACATCACAATTAAAAGAACTAGAAAAGCAAGAGCAAACACATTCAAAAGCTAGTAGAAGGCAAGAAATAACTAAAATCAGAGCAGAACTGAAGGAAATAGAGACACAAAAAACCTTTCAAAAAATTAATGAATCCAGGAGCTGGTTTTTTGAAATGATCAACAAAACTGATAGACCGCTAGCAAGACTAATAAAGAAAAAAAGAGAGAAGAATCAAATAGACACAATAAAAAATGATAAAGGGGATATCACCACCGATCCCACAGAAATACAAACTACCATCAGAGAATACTACAAACACCTCTACGCAAATAAACTAGAAAATCTAGAAGAAATGGATAAATTCCTCGACACATACACTCTCCCAAGACTAAACCAGGAAGAAGTTGAATCTCTGAATAGACCAATAACAGGAGCTGAAATTGTGGCAATAATCAATAGTTTACCAACCAAAAAGAGTCCAGGACCAGATGGATTCACAGCCGAATTCTACCAGAGGTACAAGGAGGAACTGGTACCATTCCTTCTGAAACTATTCCAATCAATAGAAAAAGGGGGAATCCTCCCTAACTCATTTTATGAGGCCAGCATCATTCTGATACCAAAGCCGGGCAGAGACACAATCAAAAAAGAGAATTTTAGACCAATATCCTTGATGAACATTGATGCAAAAATCCTCAATAAAATACTGGCAAAACAAATCCAGCAGCACATCAAAAAGCTTATCCACCATGATCAAGTGGGCTTCATCCCTGGGATGCAAGGCTGGTTCAATATACGCAAATCAATAAATGTAATCCAGCATATAAACAGAGCCAAAGACAAAAACCACATGATTATCTCAATAGATGCAGAGAAGGCCTTTGACAAAATTCAACAACCCTTCATGCTAAAAACTCTCAATAAATTAGGTATTGATGGGACATATTTCAAAATAATAAGAGCTATCTATGACAAACCCACAGCCAATATCATACTAAATGGGCAAAAACTGGAAGCATTCCCTTTGAAAACTGGCACAAGACAGGGATGCCCTCTCTCACCACTCCTTTTCAACATAGTGTTGGAAGTTCTGGCCAGGGCAATTAGGCAGGAGAAGGAAATAAAGGGCATTCAATTAGGAAAAGAGGAAGTCAAATTGTCCCTGTTTGCAGATGACATGATTGTATATCTAGAAAACCCCATTGTCTCAGCCCAAAATCTCCTTAAGCTGATAAGCAACTTCAGCAAAGTCTCAGGATACAAAATCAATGTACAAAAATCACAAGCATTCTTATACACCAACAACAGACAGAGAGCCAAATCATGAGTGAACTCCCATTCACAATTGCTTCAAAGAGAATAAAATACCTAGGAATCCAACTTACAAGGGATGTGAAGGACCTCTTCAAGGAGAACTACAAACCACTGCTCAAGGAAATAAAAGAGGATACAAACAAATGGAAGAACATTCCATGCTCATGGGTAGGAAGAATCAGTATCGTGAAAATGGCCATACTGCCCAAGGTAATTTACAGATTCAATGCCATCCCCATCAAGCTACCAATGACTTTCTTCACAGAATTGGAAAAAACTACTTTAAAGTTCATATGGAACCAAAAAAAGAGCCCGCATCACCAAGGCAATCCTAAGCCAAAAGAACAAAGCTGGAGGCATCACACTATCTGACTTCAAACTATACAAGGCTACAGTAACCAAAACAGCATGGTACTGGTACCAAAACAGAGATATAGATCAATGGAACAGAACAGAGCCCTCAGAAATAACGCCGCATATCTACAACTATCTGATCTTTGACAAACCTGAGAAAAACAAGCAATAGGGAAAGGATTCCCTATTTAATAAATGGTGCTGGGAAAACTGGCTAGCCATATGGAGAAAGCTGAAACTGGATCCCTTCCTTACACCTTATACAAAAATCAATTCAAGATGGATTAAAGACTTAATCGTTAGACCTAAAACCATAAAAACCCTAGAAGAAAACCTAGGCATTACCATTCAGGACATAGGCATGGGCAAGGACTTCATGTCCAAAACACCAAAAGCAATGGCAACAAAAGACAAAATTGACAAATGGGATCTAATTAAACTAAAGAGCTTCTGCACAGCAAAAGAAACTACCATCAGAGTGAACGGGCAACCTACAAAATGGGAGAAAATTTTCGCAACCTACTCATCTGACAAAGGGCTAATATCCAGAATCTAGAATGAACTCAAACAAATTTACAAGAAAAAAAACAAACAACCCCATCAAAAAGTGGGCAAAAGACATGAACAGACACTTCTCAAAAGAAGACATTTATGCAGCCAAAAAACACATGAAAAAATGCTCATCATCACTGGCCATCAGAGAAATGCAAATCAAAACCACAATGAGATACCATCTCACACCAGTTAGAATGGCAATCATTAAAAAGTCAGGAAACAACAGGTGCTGGGGAGGATGTGGAGAAATAGGAACACTTTTACACTGTTGGTGGGACTGTAAACTAGTTCAACCATTGTGGAAGTCAGTGTGGCGATTCCTCAGGGATCTAGAACTAGAAATACCATTTGACCCAGCCATCCCATTACTGGGTATATACCCAAAGGACTATAAATCATGCTGCTATAAAGACACATGCACACGTATGTTTATTGTGGCATTATTCACCATAGCAAAGACTTGGAACCAACCCAAATGTCCAACAATGATAGACTGGATTAAGGAAATGTGGCACATATACACCATGGAATACTATGCAACCATAAAAAATGATGAGTTCATGTCCTTTGTAGGGACATGGATGAAATTGGAAATCATCATTCTCAGTAAACTATCGCAAGAACAAAAAACCAAACACTGCATATTCTCACCATAGGTGGGAATTGAACAATGAGATCACATGGACACAGGAAGGGGAATATCACACTCTGGGGACTGTGGTGGGGTGGGGGGAGGGGGGAGGGATAGCATTGGGAGATATACCTAATGCTAGATGACGAGTTAGTGGGTGCAGCGCACCAGCATGGCACATGTATACATATGTAACTAACCTGCACATTGTGCACATGTACCCTAAAACTTAAAGTATAATTTAAAAAAAAAATAGTTAAAAAAAAATAAGCAAACCAAAACTAGCAACTGGGCCCGTGATGACATAGTGATCTATAACTCAGGGGCTTTTTTTGTATTTCTTTATGAAATGGTTGATTACAACATACTACCATCTTCCATCGAGGTGTTCATTAAATGCACCTTTCAAAAGATTAAAAGGCAAAGTTGGGAACCTGTTCATATAGACTATGAAAAGTAACGATGGAAAAATATGAGTTATATTAATTTCTGAAGAAAATTTAAACATAGGAAAGTAAGAGAAGAATATGAGATAAGGTGGCTTGGGAAGGACATTATAAAGGAGGGAGCATTTAAACCAGAGGCTGAAATGGAGCCAAGCAGTGACAGCATTGATGACAAATGGCTGAGACAAAGGGAACAACATGGGGAAAGATTCTGAGTGGGAAAAGAGTCTTAGTTTATTCAAGGAAATATAAGGCCAGTTGAATAGAATGAGAGCCACTGACACATAAATATTGCAGAGACAGGCCAAGATCACATTATTTGGGTCTTATGCGTCACAGAGGTAAATTTTCATTGTATATTAAGAGCAAGAGAAAGTCACTGAAAGGTTTTAAGCTTGGTACAGGGATGCAATGTGATATATATTTTTAAATGGCATTCAGGACTTTCAGATCTAGACCAAAAGATATACTTTTTCCTAGCCCTCCTGCTATGTTCAGCCTAAAACTCTAGATATTATACATAAAGCAAACACAAGTATCCTCTGAAAGCTGGAGAGATGAAGACAGGCTGCTAGGGACCTCAGCCTCTGAGGAACAATGCAGCAATGAGTTCCCTGGGTTTTCTTTTCACCTTATACATCCCAGATTGGGCACTGGAGAAGCAACTACTTTGGAAATGCCAACAAGCATTGACAAAAAAAAATATCCAATAAAAAGTAAAACAAAAAGCCTTTCTGGCTGCTGAATGGAGAGTGCATTAGCTGAGTGGTAGAACCCGTGGAGAAGATGCTGCAATAGCCTAGGTAAGCGATTTTGGGAACTTGGTTTGAGTGATGGCTGTGGTGAGGCGAACACCTGTGGGATATAGTTTGGAGGCAGAACCACTTGACTTGTTTTTTGCCTACACATGGGTAGGGTGAAGAGAAAGGCCTTCATATGAATGAGACACAAACTGTAAGAGTTTGAGTGGGAAATTATCAATCTCTGTGGAATAAGATAGGCGAGCTAAAACAAAACTCTTTTCTCTTTATGGTTGACAAGACAGATCCATCAGGAGAGCATGAATGGAGGCCAGTCTATTCATAGTGATGACAAAAATAGTAAAAGCTCAGGCTCAACAGATGGCCTTATGTTTCATATCAAAGTAAATAAGGGCAATCTGGATTAAAGAAATTGGAGTTAATATGAGACTAAAAGCAGTGCCTAAGAAGGGGCTCTATTGAACAATGCAGAATGCAATGTCATCAATGAAAGCTGTACAATTAACTGAATAGTTATAGGAATAAATATAGTGATCAGAAAAAGTGAGGACAAAGCAAAATATAATAGGAAAATGAAATTTTTTTCCTTTAAAGAGATAATCTTTTAAAGACATTTTTGATTAGAAATATAACATCCAGACTATTTGGAGTTCTACTGTCTCTTAGAAGTAATAGAAAAAAGTTGAAGATCCCTGAATAACAATGCAATATACATGAAGAGTTGAAATCACTTGATGTTTTAATTCATTTTAGGTAAGAACACTAGAACAAAACTAGATTAATTTTATTGTTCTTTTGACAATGCATTTAATTTGGTTTATTTATTAAAATGTAGACAGGCCCAAAATGACAATTCTCAGACTCAAAAGGCATCTAAGAATTTAACTAGGCAATTTTGGAAAATGTATTAAAAAATGTGTCGATTCACCTGCTCACCACCCTGATGTGACACAGCTGTTAAGTTAAAATCTGGATATTTTTCTGATAATCCAGTAACTGTTTCTACTTGCTTTGGGTGAGCAAGAAGGTCCAGTTTAGCACTGCATATAGATCCCCTAGCCGAAAATCAATAAATCAATCAACCACTCCATGCACCTTCTAGTGGACTCAGGAGTACTCTGCTCACTAGTCCCTTAGAAAATAGTGTATGAAAAATGTTGACAGAAGGATCGCGGAGAAAATCCCACTCTCATCCTGCCAATTCCTAAAACCCTCTAGTTTATAACAATGAAAACAAATTCCTTTCTATGAAATTTTAGGGAATTGGCCTAATCCAACTGAGGTTGTACACTAGGATAAAAGAAAAAGGATAAAATATCACTGTTAGAAGCTTTCTAGAGTTGTTTACCTATGTTCCCAGAGAACACTTTGGGATTTTTAAGGCAGAGAGTATGATTTCAAACATTTCTTTAATAAGGAACTTAAGGAACAAAAACTGATATCTAAATTCAGATAATAGTTACTCTAAATCTTTTTTTAATGGCCAGAATTCATCAAGACAAATTCATTCAATTTCAAATTTTGATTCATTTGCCAAATGTACAAATCACCAGATCAGTTTCAAAGTTACCCTTTATGAGGCCCATTTAAAGACTAACTTTTAAAGTACTACAGTCATTATCATTAGTAATAAAAGGCAATAGTTGTTACAAATAATAAAAAATCTCATCTAATATGGCTCTAAAATAATGCTCAGAGAAACAAAGTAGAAAAAATCAGCAAAAGGAAAGGAAATAAAACAATTAAAGCTTGCAATTGTGAAATAAGATAGGAAAGCTAAAACAGAAGTCTTTTGTCAGGACTGAGTTGAGTCTGAATTACAAGTAGGATGTAACTATGGAACAAAGCAACATAAACAGCAATGGTAATCTGGGCACTCCTGTAAACTAGATTAAAAGGAGAGTCAGAAAAGTGAGAGAGTTAGGATGCAGTCCAGGAACTTTGTGAATGAGAGGGAAGCTTTTTAATTAACATTAAAAAGGATGGATATTTCTTTCAATGCCTTTAAATCAAAGCACAGGCTTTGATTTTCTTTTTAATCACTTGATATTTTCCTTTCAATACTCTAAACGCTGAAAGAAATGCTTCGATTATAAAATGCTTTATATAATGTAAATTCCTTGTAACCTACAGGGAATCCTTGTATGATGGGATTTAAAGAAGATGCCGATTTATGTTCTCGAGAGATTCTGATGGCTCTAGTGTGGACAGATCATAGAGGGGTCAGAAACCAGTTAGATATTAGCACTTCTTAGAGAGAAATGACAATGCTCTGCTGACCATGTTAGTGGGAGCAGAGAGAGAGAAAGGGAAAGAGGGTGAAGAAAACACCAGGAGGCAGGAGCTCTAGATGACATTTCTTTGGGGATTGAGAGGGACTTGTTAAAAGGTGGTACCACTTATTAAGGTGGGAATAAGGGAAAGAAATTCCATTGTGTGAAGATTGCTAAAGAATCAGTATTAGCCACAATCATTCTAGAGACTTGATTTGAATCTAAGTGGGCTAGAACACTTTCACAGACTTGCTTCCTGTTTCCTGGCCAGTGGCATTATCTCCTCCAAGGGTAAAGTATTGAATTGGTCAAGCATTAAAAAGACAAAAGGTTTGATTATAATGCCATTATGCAGTTACCCGATATTAACATACTTCTGTTAAGGTCTTAAGGTATTTTTGTTCAGGGGTCAGTGAAAGTCCTTAAAGAACCAAGAGGTAGAGGCAGATATTTAGGAATTTTGACTCCTGGCTTGGGATGGTTAGGAGGCTAATCAAAGTCTACTAGGAATCTTAGTGTCAGGGAAGGAGGGTGTGCACAGATATGACCAAATGATAGATATTTCTTTCAATGCCCTTAAATCAAAGCACATGCCTTTTTAATCACTTAATATTTTCCTTTCAATACTCTAAATGCTGAAAGAAATGCTTCGATTGTAAAATGCCTTATAAAATGTTAATTATCATCAAGTTTTCCTCAAATGAGATTGTTTCTACTGAGAAAGAAAAATATTGAAAAGAATTCAGCCTAAAAGAGATAGAGCTGTCAATCTTTAGGCTCTCTATTGACCTTTACCTTTCTATTGACCTTTACCCTTACAGCTTTGCTTTCTGGTCTGGGACACACCTCTAACCTGTGTGAATTACCAGAGTATAGGGACACCTTCAGGCAAGACTACAGTCCTGTCTTTTGAGACAGGGTAGGCCTAAAATTTTTCAATTAAATGTGCTATTACAAAATTTATAGCACAAAAATACATGTAAGGCAGCATGGAAGAGGAGGAAGTCATTCATTAAAAGAGGAAAATCAAAGTCTCTAACTACCCAAGAATAAATCTCCTAAGCCTCAAGAAACAGAAGGTAAAAGGTTTCCCCAGCTTCCAAAAATATTGTCTTCAATCGTTAACATTTAGCTATGTTTATGTGAATCTTTTAATCTTCCATTAATCCTTGTTTTGTCTTATTTATTTTAGATTTATCTCAAAAGCATCCAAGAAAGATTCTGGCTGGGTTAACACTTAGTTGGTTGCTGTGATTACAATTTAGCTGAAATATGCAGAGACAGATTGCACCCAGGATATATTGAAATTCAAATTCATAAAGCAAAGGCTTAATATCCAATAGTCTTCTCCTAAACAATCTATTCCAACTTTTGTCATTTAAGCTCAGTCGTATGTCTTTTTAGAAGTGATTTTCAAATGTTGAATTTGTCCTTGTATATCTATACATGAAGATGCAGTTTATGTAAACAGGTTTGTTCTGTGACAAAGAAAAAGTGAAGCCAATTCACTCAAGGATAACAGTAAGGTATATCTCCAGGAACCCAATATAGTTTAAAAAATAATAATGGATGTCTTTCATAAACTTGTCCAGTATAAGGGCAATGTGTAATTTTCATTGAGTTAGGCCTTATGCACACAGGTCAGAGCACAGAGTAATTCCCACCCTGTAAGACTTCTCCCAAGACGTCTCACAGTGACACATACAATAGAGTAATTCCTTGGCTGGTTGCAGCTCAGAGCAAATCCGTAGAAAGATCAATTCTTGCTACTTATAGCTTTCTTTATGATGAACGTTGGGGGAAATGAAGGCACGAAGCTGACAGGTTGACTGAGGCTCCCTGGCATAAAGAGTTAGAAATTTAATAATTTTAAAAAGTATCATTATAATATAACAATAGCTCTCTATGATGTTGAAATATGTATATATTTTGCTTTTGTTGGTGAGCAAGAGGGCCTGATCAAACTTATAAAAAGCAGAAAATAATTTCTTTCAAAAAATTATTATACAAATTTCCAATCTTTCAAAAATTATTTATATTTGCAGTAAATCACCAGTATATGGTAACTTATATTACACTTATTCTTTCTATATCATTTTAGATAATATCATAACAGCAGATTTATAATCATGAAAATTACAACAGGGTGGGGTGTAGTGGCTCACATCTGTAATGCCAGCATTTTGGGAGGCCGAGGTGGGTGGATTGAGGTTGGGAGTTCCAGACCAGTCTGGCCAACACAGCAAAACCCCGTCTCTAATAAAAAGTACAAAAATTAGCCAGGCGTGGTGGCACACACATGTAATCTCAGCTACTTGGGAGGCTGAGGCACGGGAATTGCTTGAACCTGGGAAGCAGAAGTTGCAGTGAGCTGAGATAAAAAAAAAAGAAAGAAAGAAAGAAAGAAAATTACAAAAAAATAAGGGCAGGTAATTACTGGGTGGCTTCCCCTCCCCCATGGCCCTTACTCAAATTACTCACATTTTAGCCACAAAATGTCACTTCAACTTTGTTTAAAGGTTTGGTTGATGACTTGGTGTTTGTGAGATAATGTTGGATGCATTGATTATGTCTTCATTTTTTAGTTTCCTTGGGATATTGAACCTATGTGACTAATTTGTCAGAGGCATATTTACTAGCATAGAGTCAGTCAAGCAGGAAATCATGCATGATTCTAGATCCTTTCGTTGATCTGAATTAATCTTTGAGACTCTTCCTTCTCATTGATTAAAGAGGCATGATTAATTCAGAGTTTCAGTACTATACTGATTGGGCTCACTTGATAGGGCAGATCTCCATGTAAATTAGCCAGCTTTACTGACCCAGAGTTGCAGAATGAACATAAGGTGTTCAGTTAGGATGAGCTGACATGTATGCCTTTGGTTAGACAGAGGCCAGAAGGAGGGAGTATGACAATATGAGAAGAAATATATTCTCATTGCTGGGGGAAGGGGAGACCCATGTTTTTTATCGTGTGTCAGTAAGTTCATTTTTTCAAAGCACTTGGCTATTTCCTAGGCTCTTGTACCAATTAGTTCATTTTTCAAAGCACTTGGCCATTTCTTATGCTCTTGTACCAATTTACAGGAAATTGTATTTTAAACATTCTTCCCACAGTATGATTATATGAGTACTACAGAGCCGAGCCTCCCATAGATCCTTAATGAATGATCTCTGAACAAACGTGCTGCACACTGTGCTTTGAGAAAGCCAGGTAAGCTTGGGACCTGGTGGTGTGCTCAGAAAGTGTTGACACAGAAGAAACTGACTCCATGAATTATTAATGTTTCCTACAGCCTGCGGAGAAACAAATAAAATAATTTTCTCTTACCTGAAAAAGAAAAAGAAATGGACACAACTGAACAAACTGCATTAAATTCTACCTATTGCCATTTATAATAAAAATATTTAAGAAATTAAATATAATTTATAAAATCTTAGAGTTGGGCAGAAGATTGAATTGAAGGTAGTGGGAAGCTCTGAAATCCAAACTTGCATATCTGACATTTTGTTACTCATATTCCTTAAACAAGGAGGTTGAAATAAAGATACACTACTAACCATTTCAATGTTTTACATGCTACCATGAAAATAAATTGCTAGATCTATTTTTTAAGTTATGCATTCTATAATTAAAAATCAACTTATACTTCTTTGTTGTTGCTAACTACTATGGTGCCTGGTTAAGTTAATCACACATTAGAAAATATATAACAAAAACATAACTGAGAAATTTTAAAACTGTAATAATTTTCCATGGAGTACATATCCTAGTAGGAATATAAACTTGGATTTACATCATATCCTTGTCCCCCACTGACTGCAACACCCAGCAGAGGTTCCTCCCTTTTACTGCAAAGGGATTCAAGATTAATTGGGACTTCCAGATCCAGTGTCCATTGGCTAGCCAGACTGCAGGGCATCTCACGTCACTACCATCACCTCTGCTACTTATCAGATCCCTTGTTCCAAGCGCTGCCTGGACTCATACTTCCCTATGTCCCCTTCCCATTAGCCCCCACAAGCTCTAAATTGAAATTTGGTAGCTTGCCAAGGACTTACATCAGTCTCTCTCCGGTGATAGGATTCTGCACTTGTGCTTTCCACATTCACTTTGTAGGGAATCTTGCTGGACAAGGATAGCTACCTTTGAACTTTATCTGCCACTTGTTGGAATCACAGTATTAAACAACATCATCTTTTCTTGAGGCCACAACTGCAAATGTTGATAACTCAGTCAATACCAACTGCTTCTGACAGTATCCTAAGGGCCCCTTTTGGTAATGGACACATATTGCCCAGTCAGTTTTACCCATTGCAAGTCTCCAGGCTTCCTCCTCAACACCGAGAAACCAGCACTCTTTTCTGCCCAGTAATTACCTGACCTTGAGTAATTACCATAGCCAAACACACACTGCGAGTTGCTTCCTCATGAATGCCTAGACAGATACCTAAAACTTTAGGCACTAGATTCTAAAGATGTTATGAAAAATAGCTTTTTCAAAAAGATAATTTCCTAAATAAAACTTCAATGCAGATGTAATTATAAATATATGTACTCTAATTTAAAATTGTTATGTCAACTAAAGTTTAGAACGTTCCATAGAAGGTCCACAATTATATGGAAAATTCCATTGAGACTGAATTCCTTGATTTTCCTTTCTAGTTCTCCTTTTAAGATTGAAGGGGAGTTCCCAAGTATGGTTCTCTTGAGTTTGTTGAGCATTGCATTATTTTCTTTTTCAGGGGATAGTGCCCTTTGAAACAAGACATGTAAATATGTCAGTAGGCTTCAGCTATAGCAAGAGTTTCTATTATTTTTTTTAAAAAAACATATTTATTTAATCATAGACTTAGGAAAGAAATATATAACACTATAGTGTGATACATTAGGCATTTTTAAATTAAGACATACTGGAGAGTAGTGTTATTTACATGAAAAACCCCAGGCTTGCCCAACCTCTGCTAGTCCTTGTACTTATTAATGATGCCACAGATGATGGCTTCCATGAGGTCAGTGGCTAGAAAATACTAATCTGCACAATCTTCTCACTAAGGAAGTACTCTCACTTCCACTTTGCATAATCAATATTTTCCTGTACTAACACCTACTAACTGGCTTTTTATGTAAGAGAATCTATTGCTTTCACAGCTGTCACTCTTTGCAACTGCCTCTTGAAGTTAACAGCTGGCTCTAAAATTTCGTGCAAAAACAGCCCCCTTCCTTCACACCTTTCTATCCTGATTGCTGTAGCTCAGGCTTATTTTTCTCATTTTTATGGGTTCCCAGATGTCTACTGGCCCTGCTACAAAGTTGAAAAGCACTTTCAGTGAATCGAATATTAAATTCCAATTGTTTCTTTGTATGTGTGTATGCAGTATTTGTATGATGTTTCCATTTGGTGGGATTTTTCTGTTGTCATCTACTGTCCACAATTTTTAAACCCAGTACACTGACTGAATTAATAAATGCTTATTTGGGCTTGCTATATTCCAGAAATTGTGGAAGGACCTTTCATATACTTTATTCTACTGTGGTTAGCAGGTAGCTACAGCATGGGGCAACAGGCAGTATTCTCAGTTTTCCTTTTGGATGACATGCTGTTTAACATCCATGAGAATTGTAACAGGTGCAGGTGTATTAATCTATAAGGCAAATAGAGTACTTTCATCAGCACAGCTTTCCTATCCAAGAACAAACGCACTGTGTTAACAATGCTGTATGAACTTTCAGCTGTGTTTAGAACTTCATGCTATTTTACACATTTTGATCTATTGTGTGCTGAAAGACAGCTTTTTCAGAGATTCCTTTTGTTAGAATTTTTTTGGAGAAATTATGTATTGCCCACATGATGGTTTAAAATAATTAAATTATTATATTTAATAAATACATTTCATTATTTTATATATTTATTGAACAGTCTGAACAGCAGTATCAGGTCTTGTGCAATGACTGACAACACCGCAGCAAAGTAAATACATAGAGAAACATCTAGATGTAACTTCTAATATTATTTCTGGAAATTTTATTAAAGCTACAAGTGAGATTAATAAAGCAGACTGAATAGTACAGAACCAAATACATAATTATGCATTATACTACTAAATAAGATTGTTACAGAATATCACATTTGTAAAGGCTCAGAGGTCAGCTAGTTCAGGTTCTCTAACTCAGGTCTGCAGCTTCTTGGAGATCCATGCTGGACTTTTCATTAGTATGATGTAGAAATAAGAAAAAAAAATGAGGACATACATTTTTCAAAATGTGAAATGTAGTTGCTTTTTAAAGTGTGAAAATAGCAATTCTTTAATAAAATGCTGGTGTAAGCAGATATTAGTTGTGGTGGTGGTTGTTTAAATGGTTGTTGATTCTGTGCCTTTTCTATTTTTAAAAATTATACAGGTATATAAAACCCCAAAGCCTGGCAACACCAAGTGACATCTCCACTCTTAATTCTTAATTTTTCACTTTTTTTTTTTTCACAGAACAGAAACAACTTCCACAGTCTCTAGTCTCTGGACATTTCTTCAGTAACTTGAATGAATCAGCAACATGAACTGAAAACTTTGGATTCCACCTCTGCTTCCACTGGGAGGCATGCTAAGTGAAACACTTTGGCAGTGTAGACTGGCCTTTGTCAGAAGTGGGTTACTATGTAGTCATTAATGAGTAGACATAAAACCAAAGAAGCATTCAGTTCAGAAAGGAGAAATAGTCCACAGGAGGGAATGGATCACCACAGTACCCACACACATTGATCCAAATTCCATGAATTTCATGAGATTCAATTCTGGAAGCTAGGAAATATTAACAATATAATCACTGAAGCAATTTGAAGTTGGACTGTTGTTCTGAATGGTGGGTTCTCAGTGGCAAATTACAATGATAAAAGTGAATTTATAGAGTTTTAGATTTAGACTATTCACTAAATCTAAATTTAGTAGACACTTACTACAATATAAGGCAAAAGAATGAATAGAAATCAGCATCAGTAAAAATGGAACAACTTAGTACATGTTCCTGGTGAGCTCTCTCTCCCCCAACCTTTCCCAGCCCAACGAGGGCACTGTCCACAGCTAGACTGAGGGGATGCCCAGAGATTTCTGTGTGCTCCCATGATACCACTCTTCTCTGCCTCTCCACTGCCCCTGGAGTCTCCCTGTTCCCCATGCACAAACTTTCTATGATTTGCTTATTCCCAAGAAGGAGGCATTAATTAGGGTTGTTGACCTTCACTTCTAATCAATCACCAGGTCTAGACCCATCACACCTTGCAGCTTTTTTACTCTGGTCACAATCAGAAGTCCACAGCTCCTATGCCATCCCTTTTCTCAAGGACAACTCTCTTCACATTTCTCTGGATATCTTCTAATCTCACTTTATCTCCCACTATTTAATACGTCCTAGACTGTTCCTCTGTGTCTGTCATCAGAAAAATCCTTTATTTTCTAACCTATTTCCTGAATGTTCCTGTATTAGTCTGTTCTCACACTGCTAATAAAGACATACTGGAGACTGGGTAATTTATAAAGGAAAGTGGTTTAATTGACTCACAGTTACACATGGCTGGGGAGGCCTCACAATCATGGTTGCAGGCAAATGAGGAGCATCTTACATGGTGGCAGGCAAGAGAGCTTGTTGGGGAACTCCCCTTTATTAAACCATCACACCTCATGAGACTTATTCACAATCAAGAGAACAGCATGAGAAAAACTCACCCCCATGATTCAATTATCTCCACCTGGCCCCGCCCATGACACGTGGGGATTATCACAATTAAAGGTGAGATTTGGGTGAGGACACAGCCAAATCATATCAGTTCCCATCACATTCTTGCTCTAGCTGAAATGGTTCTCTTTTGACAACATGTATCTCAACTGTGGGCCTAGACTCCTGTAACTATGCAATTTGTATCATTTGTATCATTACCCAACTTGTAAAATGGTGTTGTGTTTATCATACGTAGAATTTTGTTTTCAAAACTAAACTTTTTATAGAGGTAATTTTATGGTGTTTTGAGATAGAAAAAGGATTAACATTTTACAGTGCCTTTAAAGTCCCATTGTGTTCTCACCGCTGAAGAATATTATGTCTTACTGCATAGCCCAATTTTTACAACCCATAAAAATGTTAATTTCATTGAATCCAGCAAGGATTCCTAAATTGGCTTAACAGGTCCTTAGGTCAATTATAAATGCAGAAGAGAATCAGAATATGTGCAAGATGAAAACCCTACCTTCAAGGAACAATCTGGATATTGGAAATGTTTAGTGTGTTAAACATGCACAATGACTACAATAAAATCTCAAATTCTTGGTTGTCCAGCACATCATGTCTGGTTTAGAGAAGCAGTTTTTATAGGGCACAGTTTTAATGATATCAAGTCTATTTTTTATTCTGGATAGTTTATGTTTTGCCTAAATAATCTAGATTTTCCCTGTGGATTAAAGTAGACTGTCATAAAGGGTAACCTTGGGCCATATGTTCTTTACTTCCCACAGATCTTCTTCTATTTAGTTGTATGCTTTGGTGTCACACCTTAAATATTGTTGAAGATTATACTAGATATTATTTTAAGGACTATGATAATGTGTACGTTGAAGAGATGTTAATAAAGTCACTGTCCATCCACTGTATGAGTGTCTGTTATAGAAAGTCCCCAGTAAGGTGATGTTCCGAGATAAACTTTTCTTTGCATGGAGGTTCAGTATATTTTCTATGCTTCATACAATGAAAATCATATAAATGATATGTTTCTTTGTTATTGTGGACAACAGGAAGCCCAGAAATAAATGCTAATATCCACTATTAGGAGCTACATAAAATCTTATGGCTTGCATGCTTGTGTTCTATTCTTTCCTTTCCACAACTTTAATATTTTTGGTTCTTGAATTTTTAAAAATCCCTTTTCTTATATGATCTCTGCCAAATTATTTTTGTAATAAAGGGAGAAATTAAGTAAGTGAAAATATAGGCATTAGATATTCCACATTTTTTGGACATCCTCAATTTTATGTAATATTATTTTCAATGAAGGTGATTTATTAAATAAAAAGCTTAAAGAGATTTAATATTAATATCTGAGAGTTCATAAAAATGAATTATTCAAAAATCAGATTAATGTTGTCCAGATTTGTCACTTGGTTTAGTATTGTGTTTAATTACTTATATATTTTTGGTTAATTATAGTGACTATATTGATAAGTGGCCTTAAAAGCATATAGCATAAATTAATTTTACCAGTCAAAATGTCTACTTAAATTTAAGTAGAAAAAATCTTTTTGAAGAATATATAAAATAGAAGGAACATTTTCTAGTGCTTATATATTGCAACTGAAAAAAACATAAAGACAACAGATTCCAATTCATGGACTTCTTTCTTTAACAGAATTCCTAAATCACTTTAGTCCAAGGTTTATATCTTTAAACACCCTACCCTAAAAGGAAAAGATATGTTCACATAGACAATGATACAATTAACTGCTGGTAACTTAGAAGTCAAGATCAATGCAGAAAACAATATAACTGCCTCCACAAGCCAAAAGAACAGTAGGTAGGTTAACAGAGATGGAATCCCAAGCATAATGACCTTAGTAATCACACTAAACTAGCCTGCCTGGAACCTCTGATTCCTGACACTTTATTAGATTACTTGAAAGAAACTTGGAAATTTAGATTGCCCCTAATTTTCTAAATTAGCAAGTCAGCCAACCACCATTACCCTTATAGCTCATAAAATTTCCAGTGGACATCTGAGAGTACTTTTTTGTTTTCAGTTTAACTTTAAGAAACTAGAATCTACAATCAAATTTAGAATTCAAATTTTAAATTCAAAATGCAAATTTGTCTTCCTTGGACAAACATCTTCATATTCATTGCCAACTTTTTTTTTTTGAATGGAATCCTAGAAGTAAAATTTCACTGATTCTACGAACCTTTCCTCTAAAACAGTTTTCCCAAGAAAACCTGCATTAAGAGATCAGTGTGCTGTCTTACTCCTGGACCATCAATGCATATTCTTGATCATTTTAAATATTTTGCCAATCTGATCTGTGAACAGTGATAACTCATTATTTTACATGGCATTTACTTGTGACATTTAACATATTTTCATTATTGGTCATTTGTATATTCTTTTAATAAAATTTCCCTTTTGTTCTGTTGAACTATTTTTCTCTGAGTGTGGTATTTGTTTTACTATTCATTAGTGTCTCTTGTGTTGAGAAAATTTTAATTTATAAATAAGCAAATTGGACAAAATTTTCCTGTGTGGATTCTGCTTTTGCTCTTTGTTCTTAGGAAGATCATTCCTACCCAAAGACTGTACACATACAATTATATATTATTTTATGATGCTTAAATTGATTTATGTTTAGGTCTTTAGACCATGTAGAATTCATTTTTGCATGAGGTAAATATTGTTTAAACAATACCAAAGAACATGTATGGGGTATTTACCATATATCAGGCATTGGGCTACTTATTTTTAACGGATTACCAAATTTAACCCTCCCAACATTTATACAAGATTTTTTTATTTTCTTGCTATCTTCATATGAGGAAACTAAAACAAACAGGTTATTAACTTCCTTAAGGTCATAACGCTCCATGAGAAAACTATGATTTGAACTCAAGCAAGCTCACTGCGTAGAGATTCTACTGGTCAGAATCCACTCCACTGTGAATATTTAAGGACTCACTAGGTAAAAGTTGCTCTTAGTTCTCACAGTATTTTACTAGGATAAAGGATCAATTTCCATTTTTAAGAAATCTGTGATTGCATGGTCTTTGTTCTAATCCCAAGCAATTTAGAGAAATGAATTTGGGACTCAGGACATATATAAAACAGTGGTTTCCAAACTGGATTGCTGGGCCCCAACCCCACAGTGTCTGTTTCAGTAGGTCTGGGTTGTGGCCTGAGAATCTGCGTCAACAATTTGATAGTTAGGTTAGCAAAACTGCTCTCTTTTTGTTAGCACTTGCCTGGTATAACTTTGTCTATTCCTTTGTTTTCAACTTTTATTTACCATTTTGCGGAGCGTAGCTCTTATTAAACAGCATAGAGCTACTTAATCAGACTGAGAAATTCAGATCATTTGATGTGTTCAAGTGTATAGTGAATGAATTTATTTCTTACACTTATTTTTAAAATATATTGTACTTTCATGTTGCTTCACGTTGCCTTTCCCTATCTATCATTTTGAAAACTTTGTTATTTTCCCTCTAATGATTTTAAAGTTATGCATCTTATTTGTAATCTTCTAATAAATACTCATACATTTATAACATATTTTTTCAAGTGTATAACATTTCATCAAAGTCTAATCTACCTCTGTCTCCTCCTTCCTATAAAAGCATTACTACACATTTCCTCCATTTCCCCATCTTATTCCTCTTTACTAGATCCCAACTACGTGCTAAAGTCATCTGAAATTATAGTTCCAGGTTATTGTTAATTTTACTGCAGACCTATCTTCTGTGTTTTGTACTATTGCCATTCCTTCATATTTTGCTGCATTTATCACATTTGAGATGCCTAAAATTTCAGAATTTAAATGCATTGAGGTGAATTTCTGATAATTACAACTTTCTTTGTAGAGAATATGGGATTGTAAATGTGCTTTTTTTTTTGCTTTTTAAAACATGTTATTTATATTTTTAATCAGCATTGTATTTTAATGCACTACAATTTCCTTAATACAATACAATTTCCTTAATTATTTTCCTTTTTAAAAATGCTATTGAGTCATGCTTCTGTGACTTTTCTTGTGATATTCATATTATTTTCAGCACTGCAAATTTTCTCTCTGTAGATTGTTACGTTTGCTATATCAGCAAGAAAGAGTAAGACAGTTGATAGAAAATTACAAATAGACTCTGTTGCCTTAAGAATAGATTAGGTAGTCATGTTTTGAGTTAACAGTAACTTTAGTAGGATGTAAAAATTTATCTAAGCCCCCATTAGCTGAAGGAGTTTAACAACCAGCATTTAAAAAATTAAAAAGGACACAGTTTTGCCCTAATAGTCATGGAGATTTAGACAGGTATAGCTAGTAATAGCAAGTTGTACTGATACTTCACAGAACACAGTTTGACTTCAAGAGAGCAAAGGAGAAAATATCTTTTATTGTCCCTGAATTTTTATTTTCATTTTTCCATGTCATGCTGCTAGTATAAAAGCAGCTGGCTGACTTACATTATCTCTGTGCCTGAACCTCAACAAAGATACCTGTATCCTGTTTCTTCCTTCTCCTCCCATATTATTTGCTATTCAACAAAGGAGAATATTTTTGCTCTGATATATTTGGCCACTTTTTCATAAGCACTAGGAATATTATTGTTATAGCACATAAAAGAGGGTAATTTGGTATATGGGTTTTTATTTATTTAATTTAACACATGGGTAGCACATATTTCTCATGTGCAACTTAAAAAGAAAGCCAAATTAGATGCAAATTAGATAATAGCTACACTTCACTATGATAGAAAAGTGAACTGTTTCCTAGATATAAGAAAATATAGAGGATGTCTTTACATTATAGTAAAACTAATATCAAACTGACAGAAAAATAACTCAATAGGACAAAAAGGAGATTTATGAAAGGAAATACAAATGGCCAATATAAAAACATGCTAAATGTCAGTAGTAAACACAATTTAAAACAATGAGCTATCACTTTTCCCAGATCAGACTGGGAAAGTATTTAAAAGAATCAATAACATGTTTTGATGGTCCGGGAATAAGAACCTAGAACGCTCATCATCTAATAAAAGTTTACTTGAAAAACCATTTCGCAGAAAGGCTCATAGTATCAGATAAATTCCACTTCTAGGAATCCACAAGAAAAAAAAACTTGGCAGTGAGCAGGAAGATGTTTGCCTCAAAAAAGACAAATTTACATTTAGTTTGCTTAAATAATTAGAATCAAATGACATACCAATCAATAGGGGAATTATTTTACAAATTACAAGCATCTATTTATAATTTATTAGGTAACCACTTAAAATGAGAAAGGTCCTTATAATTGAAGTATAAAAACATTGTCAGAATAAATTAAAGAAAGAAATGGAAAAATGTATTTTACACCTTATTTTATGTCAGAAAATTATGTATGTGTGTGTATTTATAAATTCTTAGGAAAAGAAGCATAAAGTTTCAGAAGCAGAGGTAAACTTATTTTTCAGGAAGAGAGAGAAATTATTAGAAGAATAAAAGAAGACAGTTTTACTCTCTAAACTTCTGTATTTTAAATCTTTATCATGAGAACACATTCATGTGCTACTTGTCAAATTAAAATACTGAATTCTGGTATTTAAGGGGCAGAGGTAAAAAATGCCTGATGTCTCCACAACCATCTGATCTGTGACAAACATGACAAAAACAAGCAATGGGGAAAGGATTCCCTATTTAATAAATGGTGCTGGGAAAACTGGCTAGCCATATGCAGAAAACTGAAACTGGACCCCTTCCTTACATCTTACACAAAAATTAATTCAAGATGAATTAAAGACTTAAACATAAATCCTAAAACCATACAAACCCTAGAAGAAAACCTAGGCAATATCACTCAGGACATAGGCATGGGCAAAGACTTAATAACTAAAACACCAAAAGCAATTGCAACAAAAGCCATATTTGACAAATGGGATCTAATTAAACTAAAGAGCTACTGCACAGCAAAATAAACTATCATCAGAGGGTACAAGCAGCCTACAGAATGGGAGAAAATTTTTGCAATCTATCCATCTGGCATCCATTCTGGATATTAATCCAGAATCTACAAGAAACTTAAACAAATTTACAAGAAAAAACAATCCCATCAAAAAGTGGGCAAACAATATGAACAGACACTTTGCAAAAGAAGACATTTATCTGGCCAAGAAACGTGAAAAAAAGCTCATCATCACTGGTCATTAGAGAAATGCAAATGAAAACCACAATGAGATACCATCTCACACCAGTTAGAATGACAATTATTAAAAAGTCAGGAAACAATAGATGCTGGTGAGGCTGTGGAGAAATAGGAACGCTTTTACACTGTTGGTGGGAGTGTAAATTAGTTCAACCATTGTGGAACACACTGTGGCGATTCCTCAAGGATCTAGAACCAGAAATACCATTTGACCCAACAATCCCATTACTGGGTATATACCCAAAGGATTATAAATCATTCTACTATAAAGACACATGCACACATATGTTTACTGCAGCACTATTTACAATAGCAAAGACTAGGGACCAACCTAAATGCCCATCAATGATAGACTGGATAAAGAAAATGTGGCACATATATACCATGGAATACTATGCAGCCATTAAAAAGAATAAGTTCATGTCCTTTGCAGGGATATGGATGAAGCTGGAAACCATCATTCTCAGCAAACTAACACAGGAACAGTAAACCAAACACTCATATTCTCACTCATTAGTGGGAGGTGAACAACGAGAACACATGGACACAGGGAGGGGAACATCACGCACCAGAGCCTGTAGGGGGGTTGGAGGGAAGAGGAGGGAGAGCATTAGGACAAATACCAAATGCATATGGGGCTTAAAACCTAGATGATGGGTTGATAGGTGCAGCAAACCACCATGGAACACGTATACCTATCTAACAAACCTGCATGTTCTGTGCATGTATTCCAGAACTTAAAGTTAAAAAAAAATAAAATGCTTGATGCTTGATGCCCTGTCTGTCTGCATGGGATAATGTCTCACAACTAAGAGCTGTCCTGACTTTTCATGCTCTCAGACACATTATTTTAAACCTTTCAAAGTATTTTAATAGCAAAATGAATTTACTCAGTAAAAATATTATTAAAAAATACTATTTTAAGTGACTGGCACATAAGCCTCAATAATATAAGAACAGTAGTTGAAAACACAGGTTCTCCTGCCTCAGCCTCCCAATCAGCTGGGATTACAGGAGTGCACCACCATGCCCGGCTAATTTTTGTATTTTTTAAATTAGAGATGGAGTTTCACCACGTTGGCCAGGCTGGTCTCAAACTCCTGACCTCAGTTATCTGCCCGCCTTGGACTCCCAAAGTGCTGGGATTACAGGTGTGAGCCACCATGCCCAGCCAAGAATGTATTTTTGAAGTCCCTTCTGTTCCAACTCTGATAAAAGTGAGGTTCAACATAGTTAAGGGCTTAGAAGACTAATAACCAGCAAATCCTTATTCTCTTAAAAATTCATTCATTTCTCAAAGCCATTCAAATTGCTCCTACAGGATCCAAACAAAAACGTCTCACCAAATTTAAGCAACACAGAAAAGCTAAAGCTCTTGTTTATTTTTAGAACGATTGTCATAAGATTTCCATCTGTACCATAGAATGCTTCAATCAAGATATTTTGAAATAGTGTCCAGAACAGGATAAGATATTTACATACAGAACATATATTTTGTTTCTTGTATGGTTTATATACACACTATATGCATTTTCAGATTTTTTTCTTCTTCGGCATAATGATTTCTGTGTATGTATTTTTTTATTGAGAAAAAAGACTAAATTTTCAGAAAACATGCGCTGCAAATAAGTTACTCAATTACAACACTTCAACTCAAATCTTTGATTATCTACGGAGGCATACTAAAATGTCGTTTTTGCCATATGGTTGCCTCTAGTTCCAGTTACACATATTTGAGAGCTACCAACTAGACTTAGCAGTGGTTACTTGCTGATACTGAACCAGTGTAGAAGACATCAGACACTGGGGCCATTAAACTTGGCAAGCATCTTCATGTCCCACTCTGTACTTTTTTTTTTTTTTTTTGAGATGGAGTTTCACTCTTGTCTCCCAGGATGGAATGCAATGGCATGATCTTGGCTCACTGTAACCTCGCCTCCCGGGTTCAAGTGTTTCTCCTGCCTCAGCCTCCCAAGTAGCTGGGATTACAGGTGCCTGCCACCATGCCCAGCTAATTTTTTTTATTTTTAGTAGAGACAGGGTTTTACCATGTTGGTCAGGCTGGTCGTGAACTTCTGACCTCAGGTGATCCACCCGCCTCAGCCTCCCAAAGTGCTGAGATTACAGGAATGAGCCACTGCATCCAGCCCCACTCTCTGCATTTTGATAATGAAATAGTGAGTCTACTTTTGACATCTCCCAAAGTCTTCTAAATTATTTCGCCAACATAAGTGTCCTGCATTCTCGCATTATGGCACTAATGGTATTGTAAAGAGCCAAGCTTCTTCCTTCTTCCTTCCTCCCAAGAGAGCTACAAAAACTTTCCCTGTATCCAACCATTCCTCACCTTTCCACCTTCAATTCCACCCTATATACAGTCACCAGGTTTCTCTTCCTAAAACACAACCCTGACCACATGGCTTCTAATTTTTAAAATCTATTCGTTCTATGCATACACACACACACATATATATATATATATGTTTTAAATATACATATACAGTTCTCATTCTCAGAGGTCTTACAGCCCACTAGGGAGGTAGCCAAGTGAGCTGGTGATTTTAACACAGTGCGATACATGCTGTTTTTGTTGACATGCATAAAATTGTATGAGATTAGAGAAGAGGCAGTAGCACGGACTAGGGACAAGAGTATAAGAACAAAGACTTCCTTCCGGGTGTTAAGTGCTAAAAAAAAACCAAAACAACAAACTTCAATTGCTTCTTACAGCAAGTGGTGGATACCAAATTCTGCAGTTGCAATCTGGCATTCCAACCCTCCATAGAATGATCTCAACTGAGCTAACTTAGAGCAGTTTTCCACACTCTATAATCCACCTGACTTGTCTTTTTACAGTTCCACAAAAGAGCCCAAGCACCAGCACATTTTTTCCAACTTATTTGCTCATTTACTTCTCTCAGCCTAGAGTGGCCTTCTTCCCCATTATTATTTTTCAAAAAACAGGTTAAATGCTCCCACCTCTACAGGGAAGTCTGCTAAAATGCCCTCATCAGAATTAACTTATGTCATCTTTCCTCCCTTGACCAGTGTGCCCTGTTTTAAACTAATCTATGCATACATCTTTCTCTCCCATTGCCTTGTGCACTAAGAGGAGGCGGATGTCATGTCTCATTCATCTTTGTAGTTCCCAAAGGGGCTTTTACAATAATGGGCAGCACCTCACCTAGGAGGTACTCTGTGAATGCTGTTTGAATTAAATTAAATTAAAATGATTGAAAAAGCATTTTCATTCTTCATGATCTTTGGGCACTTCCCTGAAAGGCCTTCTATTCAAAGGATTTAACCTTTTGGCAGAAGATGTTCATGTTCTTTTTTCAACTCTGAGGGAGGACTTTTTAACAGAACTAAAAGCCAAAAACCTCTGTTTGGCCACTTAAAAATTATGTGCAAATAAAGTATTATCATTCTTTGTTTCAGGGCTTTTCAGATGCTTTAAAAATTGTTTTGAAACCAAAAGTCAGAAAGGGTTTAAAATTCCTGCCTGAGTGGACAGAGAATAATAAATGAATTTAAGATGACTTCAAAAAACTGGACAGAAACTAACTGTGGTGTTCACACTGCCTTGTGCTTTCTGTCTACAGAGTCTTATTAAATATTTTGTGTTCCCACTTTGCAGAGTTAAATAATTTACATAGAATGTAGCCCAATGAATGAAGTGATAGTTAATAAACAAAAAGATAACAGAAAGTTATAAACTGGATAATGGATGAGCAAATGCAAGACAAAAGAAGAGTAAAATACTTTTGCTTTCATTTACTTATGAGATAGTTTTAAATTTTCAAAGGAAAAAAATAGCTTATGTAATCATGTCCTCAAAATACTAATGCACCAGGAGGCCCTATCAGAGTTATGAACGTATCTATGAGAGAGATAAGGAAACAATGACTGGCTTAAAGTCACACAGCCAGCTAGTGAAAGAGAGATTCGAAACCACATCTCCTGAACATCAGTCCTCTACCTATCTCAACAGTGTTAGGTCATGATGCCTCCAACAAAGCGTCATGAATTATATTCAGGGTTAAAACACAGAATGTATATGCTAAAGCAAGAGATTTCCAGGAAAACTATGTTTCTCATGTGTCCATTTTCACTTTTAATATTGTGTTCCCATTCAGACAAATCTCTTGACCTAAGTGACTGTGTAATCACCTCTACCTCACATCAGTGGTTTTCCAGAAAAATAAATATCTTAAGTTCCAGCTATTCTATGACTGCACAGAAATGTCCAATTTGATGCTTGAAGCACCTGTAGCTTGTAACTGGGTGGAGAGAGGAGGAGAGAGGGGAAGAAGAAGAGAGGCTGCTGATGTATTAGTAGAAAGCATTCCCTGATATTTTCTTGGTAACAGCAACAAACAACTTTTGTTTTACACTTTATCAGCTGGACTTCTGGAAATTAGCAGAATGGTTAAGAATGGTAGGAACTGGATCAGATAGCTTTGGTTTGAATTCTGGCTCTACTATTTAGTGTGACTTCAAGCAATCTTCCCTACGAGCAAATTGGGATAAAAATAGTTATCTTCCTCAAAGCACTGTTGGAGGGGTTAAATAATATATGCAAAAGTACTCAGCACAGATTTTGGCACTTGATAATTCCCCACTAATTTAGCTATTATTATTAGTGGTAGTATAGAATTATTAATTTTGCTTTTCCATGTATAATATGATAGAAAGGAGAAACGAGGGTTTGGGTGGGGATGGAGATAAGTAACTAAAGAAAAAGACAAGTATTTGTGAGAAGAGACTAAAAGTGATTTGGAGACTGATTTCAAAGGAATGAACACACCATAAGCTCATGATTTCAGAATGATTTTATTTTCCTCAAAGGAGAAGAAAAAAGAACTAGAGTAAATTTCAGGGGGATCTAGAATGATGGAGCATGAACAGAGAGGACTAAGAGTAAAAGGACCCTTTAAAAGATTTACCATTTTTATTACAGTGTCACCATTCATTACAGTCCCCAGTTAGGATAAGTTAAACTTGATGAAGACGTTTAAATCCTCAGTTTGGGAATCAGCCTTGACTGACCACTGTGGGAGTTGCTCTGCCCGGGCAGACAGTGGGCTGCCTGACCAGCTCATCTGTATCAGCTATGAGCAGGAGTACAAAATGCCATCACCACCAAGTGTTTTCTCAAGGATAAAGTGGCTTACAGTGGACTACGCAGCTCTGGCCTTTGTATATAATCTCATAGAATGAAAGGTACACACTATCATATCTATGTATTCAAAGAAGCTAGGAAAGCCCCTGGTAGTTGCATTTATTAAAAAATATTTTATGACAGTGTTTCTTAACTACTAAAACTTTGGTTAAGAGAACTGAGGTACTTCTGAAGCATATTCTCACATTCCATTTTTCTAAATACTCTTTGCTCTACCCTGGATTAAACCAGACTTCCAGAGAATCATGAATTTATACTGCATCATACTGGTGAGTTATCAAGTTGTTTTTACTAACATGCAATTTGACACTGTAATATCAGCTTATATTAAGAGACAGTACATTAAAAAACTATAAAAATATAACTGTATGACAACGGTTACATAGATTTTGTTCATTACAATCCACAATAACCACTTTGTGACTCTCCATGGGGAAAACGTCTCTATCATTTCCTAGTCAGTAGCAGTCGGCCTTCTGCTAAGCAACTGATTTGTTTGTTATTCTCTTATGGACACTGTGAATTGTGTAATTCATCTTGTGTTCCCCTTTGCACTGGGTGCTGGAAATCTTGAGGCAAATCTTTGTTTGATCTTGAAGAATATATATAAATCTTTTAGATATATTTTTGTGTTCTTTTGGCTTTATTTTACTCTTCTACCATTATACTGTCTTCAACTTATATTTCTTTTTATTAAAATTTTAGTTTACCTTGCCATATTATACGCTGACTTCAATCACATACTGTAACATAATGAATGAATCAATTATTCTAATAATAAATAAGTTATACCATGATATTTACTAGGATAAAAGGCAGAGCATATGTCAGCCTATATAAATATATAGAGTTCTAATATAACAAGAATTCTAAAAATAAGCAGTCACTAGAATGGGTTCCGTTGCTCAAACAAGTTGGATTTAATGTCTCTTATATCCTTTACGTCTTTTCCTCATGTTGACATAATGGCTATGCAGCTCCACTAATTTTGCTGTTTATTAGAGCAAAATGAAAGGAATAGGGGCAGAGGCAGTGCCAGTGGACAGCCACCTACATATCAATGGCTATGCCTGAGTTGCACTGTCACCCATACTTATAAGGGAGATCAGAAAAAATAATCTGTAACATTTACAACCTATAGAGCAGGGTCAGGTGAGTGAGTAGGGTTGGAATTAGGTATTGGGTGTGAAAACATAAATTATGCTACTGGTATCAACTATGTAAATATGGCAAATTTTCAACTGTAAGTTTAAGTTCAAGTCAAATTATCTATTTTCTAGGAAAAGCAGGCTCATGTTTAAAAAACAGAAGCATTTACACAATTAGTGATTTGATTTAGGGGTAAAAAAAAATGAAGGAAAGGCATTTTCTTCCAGACAACTTAGCAGGCCCTGTACCCCAGAAGCTTGAGCCAACTGTGAAACATGACACTAATGCATTAGTTCTGGGTAGTTCTTTCTTTTTTTTCCTCTTTAGAAAGCATTTCAACCTAACACACTCGCAGTTATCCGGAGTATATCCTCATTTGCTTAGCCTTATTTAAGTCGGAAAAAAATATATGTGTGTGTATATATATATGCATTGCTGAAGGTGAAAATAATAGGTCACTACCTCTATGGCTTCTTTTTACTGAAATTCCCATGTTTTGTTTTGTAGCCACACCCTCTTGCATGAGCTAATAGGAATAACCCATGATTGTCTGTAGGAGGCACTACCAGCTGAGGTGACAATTCTAGAATTTTTAATGGAACAAGCTCCAAGCCATGAAGTTATTCTCTTCTTCAGTTCCAAGTAACTTTAACAATTAATTCTAACAGATTTGGCAGAAGTTCCTTGAGTCCAGTCAATTGTCTAATTTCAAGGTCCTGCACAATGCATAATAGTTGTACAGGAAATCCAGGTTTCAACGGCATGCCTTCACAGAAGCCATGTATTAGAAACAGATGGAGTTTTAAAAACAGAAGCATGGAGACTCTAACTCATTAAAATAAGATATAAAAATAGAATTAAATAAAAAATCAACCACAGTAGCAGGTATATTAACATTCCTGTGTACTCCAAAAAGAGAAAACAACTGATGTTGCAGTCCTTTACTAAAGGCTGGGCATAAAAGCACTTTCAATGGACAATAGAGGTGTAAGTAATTTCACTTTAAGAAGGAATTCATAGAGAATTTCCCCAAATAGGTGACTTTATTGAGCTTGATACGGGTTCAAGCAAAGCTTAGGATTTTACCTAACTGCAGTATCTGGACTCATTTATCATGACTTAGTGGTTTAAGTAACAGTTTAATAACTGAAAATTGGTCTTACCAATGATTTTCTCTGACCTGGAACTAGGCACTTGCCTCCACAGAATTGCTTCTCTGGCTTTTATTTTTGTTCTATAGAATACAAATAACTCTAAAAAATCGTAGATCAAATATACAAGTAACAAAACTGAAAACATTAAACAAGTAACAATGTCTTCAGTGATATCTCAACATATTTTGGAACTCTAAATACAGATTTGTTTTGCCACTTAAACAATTTCACCTTCTCTGTAGGAGGCACAGGGACTTGAATAAAAATAAAATGAAACATTGTCTCATTTTGCTGAAGTTTCTGTCTATATCTGGAATGTCTACTATTAAAATGTCATTCTTTATTAACTTTTGGCAGCATCTGGTGCACCACTAAAATATGCTTTTGTATGGGACAAAGGGAAGATAGGAAATCTATTTCTTGACGAGCAGGCGATTCTCTTTGGTTTGTGGGAAGTATGACTTGAGATAAAAGGATTTGACTAAATTACCTTTTGAGCTCTAGTCTAATCTGTTTTACTGTTGCACTCTTTTAGCAGAGAGATATTACCTACTAGATCCAAGTATGGAAACACACATACTGCACATTTCCATACACACATATACCTGTGTGTTTGCACATGAGGTAAAGGAGGTTTAAGGTGTTACAGAAAGGACAATTGTAGAGAGAGAGAACAGAGTGGGAAGAAAATGATTGTCGAATGCTTAAAAAATATCAAACCTGAGAAAAATAGCCTGAAAAGCAAAGAGAGTTTTCATGAGGATCTGCCTAAGATTTCAGTGTCTGTTCCTTAGTAGTGGAACCCACAAATCATCACAGCATTGAAAATTCTTGCCTGCACCTCTTAACAGATGAAAACCAAATACACTTGCAAAATGATGTGTTTCAGCTTTAAATGAAAACGTAAACTGAAAAAAAGTAATAGCCTCCATAAAAATGGCTTCTCATCTCTTGCTCATTGAGAAAACATCAAAATTTTAAGAATGAGCAAAAAACACAAATCATGCATTCTTAAACAATAGAAGGGTCAACTTCTTATGCTGAGGATAGTCAGACATTATTTGCATAAGACTGACTCCCTCTATGAAGTATAGGTCCACCAAATCATAATTTTACATATTCCTGTTAGAATAAGTATTTATTTGATTATGTAAGTATAGGGACACGGCCGTTTTCTGTTATTCATTAATTCTAATAACAGTAATAGGTAATACTTAGTGTAATATGTGCTAGGAACTGTTATCAGTATTTTATATTTAGTATACACATACTCACCAAAACCCTTGATAGAGGTACCATCATTATCCCTATTTTCAGACATAATAATGTTTGAACCTAATTGCCCAAAAGCACGCAATTGAGACTAATATCTGAGATCAGTCAATGTGGGTCTAGAATCCCTACTCCTAATGATGATACTGACTCCTAAGAGTGTTTTATTTTTAAATTAATTAATCTTAGCCTAAAAATTGTAAGGACAGCATACTGCAGAAGACAAAGGTCATTAAATCACAACGATTCCTCTTTAAGTCTCCCACTTCATTTGAGTGAAACAACATTTTATGAAATTTTGCTAATCTTTCAAGAGCCTAACAGCAAAAGCCCAAGTGAATAATGGATCTTTGATTTCTAACCAGAACACACGTAGCCGTGCTGTTTTATCATGTAACACCAGCCACTCCTTTCTACTGTCAAATATTCTGCTAAAGACCATAGCTTCGTGTTCCGAAAGAGTGGTGAGTTCAGGGATGTACCTGCCCTTACAATTCTAGGACACTAAGTAAACTACAAGAAAGAGCACTGAGCTAGGCAACAGGGGACTTGAGCCCCGTTTCAGTTTTGTGATGTGGAAATGATACCAATCTATTCACAGCCAGGGTAAATACATGAATGAGAAGACAGATTTGTGGATAATTTAAAATTCCTAGAAGACATCTTGAGTAGACAATCAATTTCTGTTTTGTTTTCATTATGTCCAAATAGGTCACATTCTCTTTGGATTCCTGGAAAATGTTTGGCTTTTTCTGGATCAATAAAATAATTGAGGAATTATTTATTTCTAGTTCTACCACTCAGCGTCAGAGGAGTAGTTTTACTTGAATTGTGGAACCTCCCACTATAAAACAATCTATTGTGGAATATACTCTCCTTTAAGAGAAAAACCTGATGGACAAAGAAAAGCCTCTGGTCTTACAATGCATTTTCAAAACTTATGAACCAAAGATCTAAACATTTCCTCCAGCAGGGAGAGATCACACTCACAATAGTATAAGACAAGTACTGATGAACTGTGGGGCTCAGACAGAAGGAGCTGAAAGGGCAGCAGAGGGCAAAGGAAGAATTAAAGCTGGAGGAAAGACAGTGTGCGAGAAAGTACAGTGAGAGATGGAAGAGTCTGAAGGGCAGTGGAGAAACGAATGGTAGCAGAGGAATGGCACCTCTGCCCTGGTTGTTCAGCATATTTTCCCCTGATTTTGGAGGCCAGAAGCAATTACTATGGATCTCCCTGAACCTCTGGGGCCCCTGATGTCCTAGAGAGTGGAGTACTTATTCACTCCCACTTTGCTCATTATTCTTTGGGAGTCACGGAGACTTTCCAAGGTTGAACAACAAAGAACTTCATCTCAGTCCCCAGATGAATGATCACTTCTATATGTACTGTAAAGAACATACATAGTTCTGATTTCTTTCAAAAATTTGTCTGATTTCTTTCAAATTTGTTTTGAATATTGTTCTCCATTTATAATCTCAAAGCAGAATTAAGGAATTAGTGGGTTTTAGAAATTCAGTTTTCATCCAATCCATGCTAAATAATTCACCTTTTATATACAGCTCCAGTATGCCCCAAACTCACTTGCTTTCAAGTGCTTGGTTTTCTGCACAAGTTATTAAATTTAGTCCTCTATCGGTTGGACACAAATGTTTGGGTTGTCACAGCTTCCAGGAATATTTTTCTTTTAGATATTCAGAAACACATAAACCTTTTTTTTAAAAAAAAATCCTCTTGTGTCTCTAAAAAGTTTTAAAAATTATAATTTCTCTGCAAGCGTGTGACAACAGAAAAGACATACTATGTTTGCATACCAGAGCACCAGCACCAGAAAAAATAATTTTGCTCTGTCCAAATCCAGTAATGGATATCAATTACTTGGAAAACAGTTTGTAATTTAACTCACTCTTATCTCTTCAAACAGGCTATTTATAATAGAAGTCAGATGATATCCTACCAAGTTTCATGAGGAGAGTGGTTTTCTGGGTTTCTTTAAGTGAGCTGACTTCCAAAAGATTTTTTGATTGGTTCTCAAGACTGGAAAATTTCATTATCAGCCTTATGTCCAAAAGCAAAAATCTGTCATTTTTAACGGTAAATATAAATAGCAATTATCACACATTGTTTGTCACATGTCAAAATAAGAACATAGCATTTCCAGTTGGAAAATAATCACATGCGAAGTAGTACAAAATACTTTTATATTTTTACAATTATATTTTCATACAGAGGTGCACAGAGCACAGCAATTTACTATGGAGTTCTATTTATTGCTGTTATTTTATTAATACACAAAAGTCACTATTTGTGTTTATGTGTAATATGGTCCAACTCATAGTTTTTGAAGAGCAGTAATATTGTTTTAATATCTCTAAGAGAAACTATAAAGAATACAGCAAACCAAAGATCAGGAACAACCATCTTCATGTTTACTCAATAATTTAACACACACTAGGCAACACAGTGACCTACTCAAATCCCTAGAGGACTTTACCGTTGTCAAAACCATAAACAGAAGTCAACCAGCAGCCCTTGGATGCTGAATTTCCATCAATGTCCAAGACACTTGAAACATAAGAGTTTCCCTTAAGTCTCCATTGCCAGATTTAATTAGCAAAATCAAAAATAGAAAGCAAGATTGTAAAAGACTATGATCATTTGATATTAAAAGCCATCACTAGATATTGTCTCATTATAAAATAGCCTTCGAATTAAAATTAATATGATAAAAGACAAATGATCTTGAAGTTTGAGCTCTAGTCACTTTACCTGCACAATTTTTATTTCCCTCAACTGAAGAGAGACCAACAGGCCTGCCTTACTTACCTCACAAGGTTATGGAGAGGTTCAAAGGAGATAATATATATGAAAATTGTGGGAAGTGCAAGGTGAAATATAAATGTGAAATATTATTAGAAAATGCCCATGAATCTTATGTAGGGTTTGTGAGAGGTTTTCTTTTATAATTTAGATGGACATGATGCTTATAAATTATCTAAGGTAATCTGCACACTTTTTAATAATTATTATTATTCTAATCTTTTTCAGGTTTTCCACTTGGGCAAATGGAACACTACACAGGTGATATTAAAGTAGATTTTCAAGGTGTAAATGTTTTTGCCTGTGCTACAGGCTGAGTCCTATCTCCATATATAGTCACCTTCAGCAGTTAGCAGGAAAAGAAATTAAATTTAGTTCTCATTTTATTAAAACAAGAAAATTGAAAAGAGAAGAATAGTTTTGGAAAAATTCTAATAATATTTTCAAAAAAGGAGTATATTGGTGATTCTCCTACATCTCTGGTCTTTTTTTGGAAAATATTAGGTTACCTCATGATGTACAAGTGAAAACACTGCTTGAGCAAGACACAGCATCCCCTTTAGTGAAGAGTGACTTGGGAGTAAAGAGGGTCTCTAACAAGTTACTTCATAAGCTTTCTAAAGTGGGACTGAAACATTGATTTCTTTGCTTGAATGTTTTAATTAAGGGCTGAAAGCTCATCTTTCCTGACGCTTAGTTTATAACTCAGCCTTTCTGTTCAAGAATTTGTCTCCTGTAAATGAAAGACACAAATGATAAATATGCATGTGTCCAGAACAGACATGCGTGCTCTGCTGCCTGCCCCTGCTTGGGCCCATCTGCTCTGATGGCAAAGTGCCCATTGGCAAGCTGGTCCATCTTACTTCAGCAGAGCGGCCAGCCTTCTTAGGGGTCTGTGTGTGGGTATACTGTGGTGAGAGCTAGCTTTCTGCAAGGAGCCCTTCCACCCAACATACATATGGGTCTATTTGCACTTGACCACACTTGTTGGCTCTCATATGTCATAAAACAAATGCTCCTAGCATGAATAAAAAGAGGGCAGAGCTGCACTAATATATCAGGCATCAGTTAACATAGAACACATGCAAAACTTCCTGTAGGAAATGGCTCAGAGTGGTCAAGGAGGCCATGGACAAAAGGAGGAGGAAAATGATCCATTTATCTATTATTAGTGTGAGAGGTAAGAAGCAATGTTAGCTTGAAAGTCCCAGTGTGAGCATTTTGTCATCCCACATAAAAGTACATTTCCCTATCTCATACGGTTCTATAAAAGTCTAGAAGAGACAATACGTGTACTCAGAGTATTTCCCTGTCTTTGGGATCACTGTTGACCCAATATAGCATGCCCTCTTTATAGCCCTCTTTCAACCTAAATCTGAAAGCCCCAAAGCCAAGAACAGGATGCAAAGCCCAGGACTTTATAATAAAGGGATAACAGTGAAATATTTTAAGGACTAAACTGATCTAGGCATGGCTCCGTTCTTTATAAATATTAAAGTGCAGTTACAAAAGGCAAACAAGGTCATGAATAAAGTGACTGACAGAGATCAAGACATGTCATCTAAATTTTTAGGAATTTCATGTATAAGCATCAAAGGCACTGCTGCAGAAGAACCCAGGAGAGTGACAACTGCTATAGTTACTAATTCATTCATTCAACAAATACTTAATGAACCTCAGCTCTGTGCCAGGTGCTAGGGATATAAAGGTGAACAAGAAACAGATAAAAATCCCTTCCCTTGTGCAGCTTACATTGTAGTGGGGGAGAGAGACAATGAACAGCCCAATATATGTATGCTTCAGTGTCAGGTAGTAAAGAAGGCTATGAGGAAAAGTAAAGCAAGAAAAGTGGATAAAGAGGGACAGGGTGCTCTACTAGGCAGAATGGTAGAGAAGTCGTCACTGAGGATATGTGAACAGAGACCTGTGTGAAGCGAGAGAGTAAGCCGCGGAGATGTGGAGTAAGTGCTCCAGGTAGGGGTCAGAGCAAGTGCAATGGTCCTGAGCTGGGCAAAAGCTTGGCTTATTCAGAGAACAGCAGTGAAGCAGAGGGACGGAAGTCAAGGAATAGAGTAATATGAGATGAAGCTAGAGAGGGAGGTCCAAGCAAGGTCACCTAGGACTTACAGGTCATGCTTTGCAAGGGAACTGATTTTTAACCTAAGTGTGATGGGACATGACTGAAGGCTTTAAGTCAATGAATTATATTACCTCTGATTTATACTTTTGCATGATTATTCTTGGTTCATTCTGAAGGACTAGCCATGGAAGCCGAAGGAGGAGCAGGGGATACAGTCATCCAGCTACCAAAATAATATAATAGTGATTTGGATTGAATGGCTCGTGGTGGAGTAAGAAGGGGTTAGACTGGGACATATTTTGAGGGCACAGCTGACAGAACTTACTGATGGACTGGTTATGAAGTGTCAGGGGAAATGGGAGACAAGAATAACACCTACTCAGCATTTGATGACTGCTGGAAACATACTGGGATGAGGGAAGCCTGGAGGAGGAGCATGTATCAGGAAAAGGAGTAATCAAGAGTTGTTTGAAATATTGAGTAAGCAGCTGTAAATAAAAGTCTATAGTTGAGACTTCTTTCATCAGAAAATACAGTCCAAATACTAAAGACACATCTGTCACCTAGTGAATGCTCAATAAGTGATGGCTTTTATGTTGTGGTTGTTATTGTTACTACCAAACTGACACCATCTTTTGCCTCTAAGATGTTACTTTAGGAAGGAGTTTGATATATGGGAGCCGGGGGACTCAGATAGGGTAGGAATTGTTTAAAACATCTATCAGCACATGTTCTAGTTCTGAACTAGAGAGAAAATCTGAGGACAACTATAAAGTGTTCAAAAGCAGTAGTTACCTAGGAAGGAAATGGCAGGAGAACAGCAATGAAAACTTCAAGAGGCCTGAGATAAACAATAGAGAAAGGGTTCTCAGATGTTTCAGCCTCACCTGGAAAGAACTTTATTTTTTATTATTATTATTTTTTTTTGAGACGGGGTTTTTGCTCTTGTTGCCCAGGCTGGAGTGCAATGGCAAGATCTCGGCTCACTGCAACCTTTGCCTCCAGCGTTCAAGCAACTCTTCTGTCTCAGTCTCCCTAGTAGCTGGAATTACAGGCATGTGCCACCATGCCCAGATAATTTTTTTGTATTTTTGGTAGAGACAGGGTTTCACCATCTTAGCCAGGCTGGTCTCGAACTCCTGACCTCAGGTGATCCACCCACCTCGGCCTCTCAAAGCGCTGGGATTATAGGCATGAGCCACCGCATCTGGCCCTGGGAAGATTTTTTAAATGAGATAGTAAAGATCCACTTTGGGTCAAGTGACTCAATCTTCAAGGATCCATCCCAGAATCTATTATTTAAAAGTGTTCTTTGGATAACTGCATGTTTGAAACCAACACCCAAGGACACAGTCTTCTAAACCAAAATGGGAAATGTTTGTCAACACTGGCTGTTAAGAGAGCAGGACAGAAAGAATATCATGATTGTCTTTTATATCAAGTGGGCCCACAAAGCTCATTTCTTATCAGAAGGTACCTATCAAAAAGAGGCTTTTTCAGAAGGATGCATTGGAGGCCACAAATCACAGAAATGCCACTGTACCTCAAAGAACATTTAAGACATCAGCTTCTTCTAGAACTGTACCTACAGTCACCTATGCAAGTAAACATTACAATGTGAGTTATAGGTACTATGGTATTTCAGAAAGAATATGAAAAAGGGACGAGAACCTAGGGGCTTAAACCCGGGTGTGCCTCCAGCAAATCATGTGACTTGAGAAAACTTTCTTTACCTTCTTAGATCACAGTGTTCTTAACTTTAAATGGATGATCTTATTATCTTCGTGATTTACAAGAGTCTTATGTTGCCACATTGTTGCTTCAATTGAAAACTTGGGTAAAGAGGAGACTGCTTTGCTTTTAACTGTTTTCCAGTTCTGTATGAGACTTCATTTGAAAAAAGAGTTCCCTTCCTTTAAAAAAAGTAGCTTGAAAAACATTATAGTAAATAATCTCAAAAGTATCTTGTAGGAATAAAGGAACTAACATGTGCTAAACCTTCATTACAGGACAAGAATTTTAGGCTTGTCATCTCATTTGGTCCTCAATGCAGTCCCAAAAGCTCTAGGGCCATGAATACACCCATTTCACAGATGATGAAATTGTGGCTCAGAAGAGTTATTTATTTATTTATTTAATGAAGTTTGTAATCAGAATCACTCTATTTCAGATTCATACCTGAAGTGCACCAAAGCTCACAACCTCTACATTAATCCTTAATGTTTCCTTCTAGAGTTTTATGATTTCTGTTTTTGACTTAAAACAGTACAACCTAAATTTATAACATCTTTCCTTAGCTGTAAGTGATTTCTGGTGATTTTCAAAAATTGTCTGCCATGAAATTCTCCCACAAGCTTTAGCTTCATATCGGAAAACAATTACTAGGACAGTTCCTCCTGGATGTTTAATGGCTTTCTCAAACTCAAGAAGTTTAAAACAAAATCATTATCTTCAATCCAAACCTGTTCCTTGTTTTATCCTTTTGGATAACATCACCATCCACTTTGTTTACCTTTGACTCTTCCTTCTCACTAAACCATTCTCTGCAAGGCTCTGATAAATACTCCTCAGATCTATTCACTCCTTTCTGTCTGTAAGCTCCTGCTTTAATTATCTCTCATTAAGCTATTGCAATGGCTTACACCTACTCTGCCTGCATCCACTTGTATTGTTCAAGTCCTTTTCCTCTGTGCATTATTCTATATTTTAATTTAACCTACAATTTTGAAAATATTGCTATATGTACCTCCCCCACTATACCAGGAGATATTTCAGGTGCTGCATTCTATTAATGTTCCCGTCTTTACTACCTAATAGTGTCTCACACATAGTAGCTTCACACACACACACACACACACACACACACACACACACACACGTTTGCCAAATTAAAAAAAAAAACGGTAAGTCAAAATTGAAGACATTTTTGTTGGAGCAACTGGACATTCATAGGCAAAACAATAAGCCTCAACCTAAATCTCAGACCTTATACAAAAATTAACTCCAAATAGATCATAGACTTAAATGTAAAATAATGAAACTTTTAGGAAAAAAAAAGAAAATCTTCAGGATAGAGATTTAGGTAAAGAATTCTTAAAACTTGATACCAAAACTGCAAACCATTAAAATAAAAATGGATTATTATCAAATGGTCCTCATCAAAATCAAAACTATTTGCTCTGTGAAAGACTTAGATAACAAGAAAAAAAGACAAGATACACACTGAAAGAAACTATTTGCAAACCACAAATCCAACATATAGAATATAAAATGGACTCTCAAAACCTACCAGTAAAAAGACAAACAATCCAATTAGAAAATGGGCAAAAGATATGAAGAGACATTTCAAAAAAGGGGTTACACGGATGGCAGATAAGCACATGAAAAGATGTTCAACATCGTTAGTCATTAAGGAAACGCTTAGTAAAACCACAATGAGATATTACTACACATGTATCAGAATGTCTAACATAAAACATAGTGTTAACATTAAATGCTGGCAAAGGCAGAGAAGTTTAATCCCTCACACATTGTTTATGGGAATGTAAACTGGCACATCCATTCTGAAATATAGCTTGCAGTTTCTTACAAAACTAAACATCCAGCAATTGCACTGTTGGGCATTTATCCCAGAGAAATGAAAGTTTACTTTCACACAAACCTATTCACAGATGTTCATAGCATATTTACTTATAATATTCAAAAACTGGAAAAAACTGAGATGTCCTTTAACAGGTGAATGGTTATACAAAATGTGGTATATCCATACCTTGGACTACTACTCAGAAATTAAAAGGAATGAACTATGGACACAGGGGGTAAGGTGGCTAGAACTCAATGAAATTATGTTGAATTTTTAAAAATCTCAAAGGGTTTTACATACAGCAAAATTCCATTTATATAACATTTTTGCAATGATAAAATTATAGAGATGAAGAGATTACAGGTTGTCAGAGGTTAGGGATGGAGGGATGGAGAGGGGAAGAGAAATGAGCATGGATATAAAAGAGCAGCACTATGGAACTGTTCTCTATCTTGATTTTAGTGATATTTATACAAAGCTACATATGAGATAACATTGCATGTACCTAAATACACACACACACACACACACACACACACGTGTATATAAAACTTATTAAATCTGAATAAGGTCTGTGAATTGTGCCCATGTCAATTTTCTCATTATGATATTTTATTACAGTTTTGCAAGCTGTTACCATTGGGTAAATTGGGTGACAAGTTCATGGGACCTCTGTATTATTTACTGCAACTGCATGTGAATCTGTAATTATCTGAAAATAAAGTTTTTAAACACAGAAGGCATTTAAGAGTATTAAAGAAATTTAGGGCAGCTTCAGTGTAAGACGTTCCAACAAGTTTTTGAGCAGTAGCAGCTGCTTTGGTTAATCTTATGCAACAGTTATGTGGATGGCTGAGTGTTGTGGGAAGTCAGGGACCCCGAACAGAGGGACCAGCTGAAGCCATGGCAGAAGAACATAAATTGTGAAGATTTCATGGACATTTATTAGTTCCCCAAATTAATACTTTTATAATTTCTTATGCCTGTCTTTACTGCAGTCTCTGAACATAAATTGTGAAGATTTCGTGGACATTTATCACTTCCCCAATCAATACTCTTATAATTTCCTACGCCTGTCTTTACTTTAATCTCTTAATCCCATCATCTTCATATACTGAGGATGTATGTCACCTCAGGATCCTGTGATGATTGCGTTATCTGCACAAATTGTTTGTAGAGCATGTGTGTTTGAACAATATGGAATCCGGGCATCCAAAAGGAAAAGGATGGCTGCGATTTTCAGGGAACAAGGGAGATAACTATTGGGCCTGACTGCCTAAGGGGCCGAACAGAACAGAGTCATATTTCTCTTCTTACAAAAGCGAATAGGAGAAATATCGCTGAATTCTTTTTCTCAGCAAGGAACAGCCCTGAGAAAGAGAATGCGTTCCTAGGGGGAGGTCTCTGAAATGGCCGCTCTGGGAGTGTCTGTCTTATATGGTTGTAGATAAGGTATGAAATAAGCCCGGGTCTCCTGTAGAGTCCCCAGGCTTACTAGGATTAGGAAATTCCTGCCTAGTAAATTTTAGTCAGACCAGTTGTCTGCTCTCAAACCCTGTCTCCTGATAAGATGTTATCAATGATAACGCGTGCCCAGTGGGACATGAAACTTCATCAGCAATTCCAATTTCGCCCTGGTCCTGTGATCTTGCTCTGGCTTCATTTGCCTTGTGATATTTTATTGCCCTCGAAGCATGTGATCTCTGTGATGCACAACCTATTCATACATTCCTCCCCTTTTAAAATCACTAATAAAAACTTGCTAGTTTTGCAGTTTGAGGGGCATCATGGAACCTGCCGATATGTGATGCCTTCCCCGGACACCCAGCTTTAAAATTTCTCTCTTGTACTCTTTCCCTTTATTTCTCAGACCGGCCAACACTTAGGGAAAATAGAAAAGAACCTACGTTGAATTATTGGGGGTGGTTCCCCCAATAGCTGAGATTCACTGTATTAGTTAAAATTTCAAGCATGGTTATAGAAAAAGATTGGCTAAAAGGTCTTGACCCTTAGTCATTTTCTGTGTGACTAATTTAGTGTGTGACATTGAGCAGTTTGTTTAGCTTCTCTCTTAAATGAAAGGGTGGGGCTAAATGATACCTCTGCTTCTTTCAGTTTTAATGTTCCACAAGCACGTCATGATCCTAAGACAAAAGTAGAGGATAAGAGCTGAGTTTGACAGAAGAATATGAAAAATATCACTGGGACCTGGTTAGAAGAAAATGGCAGAATCTTTCCTTTTGGTAAGGTCGCCAAGGTGGTTTTGGGACAGCATTTGTTGGTTACGAGAAAATCTAATCTCTGGAAACAGGATACATTAAGCAATGAACAGTGCTTAAGAACACTTTCTTAGCAAAACTGGAAACGTAACACAGCACCATCCTATTAAAACACAAGTAGTAGAGAACAACAGTAACATATTTCATTTATTACAGCGATCAGGATGCCCCACAATACAATCGAATACAAGGCTTATTTCACAAATACAACTATGACTATGGAATAGTAAGATGTTTTTAAGAATGGTTTTGTTGTGTTTGTGTGTATGTGTGTGCAAGTATTTTCGAAATAATTGACCAAGGTACTAACACCCTTTTGCATTGTAATAGTATTTTTCAAGGAAAGGTCTGTGTAGGAAGTTAAAACTGGAGATGCACAAGGACCCAGATTTCCTGAGCAACAATTAAAACTGTAAGGATTAGCTGACCAACAGTCCAAACAAAAATTAAGGGAGTTTTTTCTTCAAGGGAAGAAAACTCAAGGGAGTTTGCCATCTAACAAGCCAAACAAAACCAGTGAGCTTACTAAGAGAAGTGAAAAATCCTGTTTGGAATGGGTCAGAGCTGACGTTAGGGTAGAGAAAGTCAGGTGGAATGAGTTGAGCCAGCTGTTTTGCAATATTCTGAGCAAGAATTTTAAAAGGCATCAAGCAAGGGGAGTCTACCCTAATAGCTGAACTAAACAAACCCCCAAAGCTTTATCAACCCAAAAACTCAGTCTACCCTCCCAACACCCACACTGCAAAATTTCAAGGCCAGCACAGGGTGAGTTTCATATTAAAACACACATCTTGCTATGGTCTGAATGTCTGTGTCCCCCTGAAACTCACATGTGGAAATCCTAACACCCAAGTTGATGGTGTTAGGAGTGAGGCCTTTGGGAGGTAATTAGGTCATGAGGACAAAACCTTCATCAATGGTATTAATTCCCTTATGAAAAAAGTCCCAAGAGAGACTCCTTGCCCTTTCCACCATGTGAGGACACAGCAAGGGTTGCCATATATGAGCCAGTAAACAGGACCTCAACAGGCACCAAAACTGCCTTAATCTTGGACTTTCCAGCCTCTAGAACTGTGAGAAATAAATTCCTGTTCTTCCTTAGCCACCAGCTTATGATATTTTGCTATAGTCTGAACAGACTAAGACACACTCATTTGGCCACACTTCAGTACCCCATTTCTTCTTTAATACTGCCTTAGATATTGCATTTAAATGATTCACTTTTTAATAAAGTCACTGTGATTCACCATGAGCCTTATGTGTCATATCGATGACTCTTAAAGTTTGGTCCCTGGGTCAGCAGTGTCAGCATTGTCTGGCAACCTGTTAGAAATGCAAATATTGGTTCCCAGTCCAGACTGATTAATCAGAAATTCTGGCAGTGAAGCCCAGCAAGCTGTGTTTTCACTCCCCCCAACAACCAGGTAATTCTTAGGCATGCTAAAAGCTTGAACTACTGTTTTATACATACATTTATACACACACACAAACACACATACACAAACACATGCACACAAAGAGCTGATGTGGAATTAGGACAAAGATAATAAAATCATAGATTTCCTTAAAGATGGAAATTGATCCTTCAGCCTAATAAAATAACAGATAACTAAGAGCAATCTTTAGAGTCCTTAAATAGCCACTGTGGAGTGAATTCTGACCACTAGAACCTCTGTGCACAATTTAAATGAGATTTTATTTTTTCTGGTCCATTCTCCCAGTTTCCTACAGGTAGGGAAATCTATCTTGTCAGAGTCGTTACCTGCATAGGCAAAGAACTTACAATGTGGAAGCATCCAAGTAGGACTCAAGTTCTGTTTAGGTTTCTATTGAAGAGATTTGAAGTAGGGTGCAGGTAGTAGTTAATGGTAAAATCTACTTGTTCATGCAGTTGTTGATTCAAGAAAGCCACTAAAATGTTGTCACATATCTCCTCATAGCCTTCTTGCTTCTCAGAATGTTTAGATATTTTCTCATGTTTCATACAATTTTTTCTTTCTTCATCTCATGTTGTTTCATTGTTTCTTAATTGCACCTCCCAAGTAGAATGTAAGCTCCCTGAGGACAAGGGAGTGGTGTCTCCAGCTGCTCAGTGTGATCCAACTGTACATAGACACTGATGAGCAGATGCCTTCATCTTCCTCCAGTCTCACATTGGGTCACCTAGACAGCTGAGATGTCACCTTGCAGCAGACCGATGGATTCTCTAATGAGAATTTAGAGCAAATCATTCAATTATCAGCTTTGTATCTGGCAGAGCCAGAGAAACATTTTAGGTATTGCTAAAGAAAATGATGTTACCAATAAAACATTACTTTTGTATTTGAAATTTGCCATATTTTCCTCTTAGCCTATCGCTAGGTAAAGACTGGCACATGTTATGACCATAACTATTTAGTTTTGCAACTATTCTATGTCAAGTTTACTATTAGCATATAGGTGTTGTTAATTAAGCTTTCTGCTTGTGTTATAGATTTCTATCAATCTCAACCAGTGTTTTCTGGATTCATGGACATGGAAATTAGCATAACAAATCCAGCTCACAGTAATGTGCACCTTGGCAGTTTTAATGGATATGAGGCAAAAGGCTTTGGGAAAATAAACGGAGCTCTAAAAGCTATGTCTTTGAAAACACATGACAATCTAAAACAGTGCTGCTGTTAGGTTTACCATCAATCCTAGGCAACTATTAAAGTTTTCCATGGATTATTAGATTCATGCAACCAAACTTCATTCACTGTTGTCATCTTGATTATAGCAGTGGTCACATCTTATGTGAAACCAGTATTCTTCTATACTGGTTTGCTAATTTGTATTCCACAATGCAATGGTTACTTTTCATCACAGTGGAAAAATTTTATTTTTATTTTTTGACCAAATATGCAAAATCTGGTAAACTATAACCTGCAAGATGCAAACAATGCTTATGTAAGCATTGGAAAGGGTTGTTTTCTGAAAGATATCAATGCAAGGATATACCATGTTTTTATGACTAGGGCCCTAAAGTTTTCTATGCTCAGCAATTTATGTAATTCTCACATATACCTTTCAGAGAACAGTAACACCACCACCATTGTGGAGTTACGGTTGCACTCCTACTTAAAAGAATCCCATAGTATCAACTGCAATATCACACACTGCCACTGCGCCATCCATCTGCTGGATTCACCACCATAAAAGATGGAAGGTTAATGTTTATGCTGAGGAGTTTTCAGGGACTGCTAGTGGCAGACATTTATTTCATAGATGAGAGGGCCATTCACTTTTCCTTTCTGAGAGAGTAAGGGTTACATTTCAGTAGTAGTTAACAATCTGATAGTTCCTAGCAGACTGAGGAAAACAGCCAGAAATATGATTTACTAGTGTGTACCTGCTGTTCTGAGATGAATTTGTACATTTATAAATAACCCCATTTCTCACACAGTAAGGTACTGAAGCTTAAGTTAAAAAGGCAAACTATATAAATTTTTTTAGAAAAAAAAATGGTTGAGGGAGTTTCAATACTAGGGATATCTAACATTGCTGTCCCATAACACAACTCCATTGCCTAAACCTATAACAAAGTCTCCTAAACACACAGCCTAGAGCCAGTGGGACTTCTGGGATTAAAAGAATCAAGGGCATATAACCAGCAGGGTGACCTAAGTTGGCACTGTGCTTAGGAAATAAAACTCAGAGTAATGATTGGGCATTCAACAGATGCAGAGACTCAGAACAGAGTCACAGGAGAAATGCAAGCTCCATAAAAATCCCCCCAAATAACAGAAAATATGCTTGAGTTGGAGCTAGTGGAAGCTCAAGCCAATTTCACTCAAATTTTCTGAGTCAAAGTGACCTAAGGACTTGGGGACATTCAAGAAACTGATACACGCATACTCACCTAATATATTTAAATATGCATCTATTATTATATATTAATATTTACACTAGCTATTTCTATAAACTGTGATTCATTTTTCCAAATGTGACTTTGAGAGCAGACTCTGATTCTGTATATCTTTCACTTAATCACAGTTCTGGAGAGGTTAAGTTAGACAAACCACAAGGTTCTGACCATGATATCACCCTTGATCCACCCAGGGGCTATTCATTCTAGTTACACATGACTTGAAAGCATCCTATCCATATGAATGGCAGTTTGCACATTTCTTTCTTCTTCACCAACTAGGAGCTATGCTGGCCCCATTTGATTGCTTACTTAGATGCTAAGGCCCAGCCAACTCTCAAGTTATCTTCTTTTTTTACTAATAACTAAGTCATAGAGCCCAGGAATTTCAGCTCTACCTTTTGGTGGCTCTGTCATATTCAACAAGTTACATAGGATCACTTTTCCTATCTTTTTCTCATCTAGAAATTAGAGCTAATAATACTAGCACAAAGGGTTACTGAGTAGGATTGAGATAATACAGATGAAATGTTTAAAATTGTTCATAACAGATGGGTCTTAAGTATATATTCACCATTTTTATTCAAATAACTTTCTTTAGTCTGACTCCAGGTTCAAGAGAAAACTTATAATAATTTTTCTTTCCGTGGGGATCAGCCAGTAGGGTAAGAATGCCTTACTCATGCTGATCCTAGTAACAATGACAATTCTAATTGTGATTAAGCAAATTCTTATTTATAGCTCAGTCTCTATAAGCTTAATGTGGCTTTGTCTTTCAGAGAAGGATCTGGGTTCTGAATTTATAAATGAGGATAAATCCATGGACTTTCATGAATTCACTGAAAGTAATGCTTTTCTGTCAATACCAATCTCCATTCTTACATTTCAACTTCTACAGCACATTTCTGGTTGTTACCGTCAGCTGCATGATTTAAACACACAAGGCCATTTAAGTGGGAAACTAGGGGATGAGATCCATGCATTCTGATTTTTTAAAAGTTGCCCTGGATTGTGACATGCAGATCTGGACTAGCCCCTATCATTACTATTAGCCTTAAAATTCTAAACTCATAAAGATAGATTCTGATTCAATGTGTGGCTCTAGAATGGGTTTTAGATACCTGTACTTTTAACAAACCCCCCAGATGATTCTGATGCAGGTGGTCCTTGAAATATATTTGAGAAGCACCAAAAAAAAAAAAAAAAAAAAAAGAATGGCCAGTGTCCTAGTCACATTGAGCCACAGGGGCTCATAAAAGGCGTGGCAAGGATAACCTATGCCGAAGACTAGCTCTGCCACTGATTATAAAATACTGACTCCTAGTAAATAATATGGAATGACTGATGGAACAGGGAGGAGGGAAAGCTGAAATATGCAGTCTTGTCACGGCCTTGGTGAAAGCTTCGAGAAGCACACGCAAGGAACCAAAATGTTTTCAATTTCACTATGCTAGGAGCACATCTCCTTTCATGACCATCCAACTAGATGCTAGATGCTAGTCGGGGTACTGAGGGATGAAAACTCAGAGAAAAACAGAGAACACACACAAAAACAAAATAGATGGAGAGAACAGATAAATTTGTAGGAAAAAAAATCTAATTGGCATAGATTAGCACTGTTCATAAATGGGCAGGAGCAGTCAAAGCTAAGAAAGAAGTGAAACGCTGATATCTGTCACCTTCTCCCACCTGTGACCAAGCTCAGACTTAAAAAAAAAAAAACAACAACAACCAAAAAAACCACACACACACACACACACACACAAAATTACACTCACTCACATGAAACCACAGGACTATTTTTATCCCTTAAACTACTATTGGGTGAGTGAAGTTAGATTATTTTGCTTTTATAACCACTCCATGGCAGACTGGTAATAGAATACCATTTCCTTTGGGTTCACTTCAGTTGTTTTTCCTCCTTGTCTATACAAGGATTCAAATTGTATAACCATGGGACAACTCTCAATCTCATATCTAAGCTCAATCTGAAATATTAAAGGTATTTAGAGAACTTTTATTTTTAGCTGTTACATCATATGTTTGGAAAGTAAGGAAGGCATCAAACAGAAACAAAAACTTAAATCCAAAACAAGCAAACAAAAAGCAGAAACAAAAAAAGGTTTAAGCACTATGTTGACACTGAGGCAAACAATAAAAGAACAGCTAGATGATTTGAAATGTTTTCCTGTTTTGAAAATGATTCATATTTTGATCAAATTTTCAAAATCAATCTGACTCATATATCACTTCCTAAAGGGTATTTAGCATCATTAGCAAAAATCATTATTTTGTATACACTCTTATGATAAACATTATTTTTACAGTGTTTGGGTTAAAAGGAGGAGGCAGAATTTATCTGCATGTGGAAAAAAAATCACCTGACACATTTTGTGTTTATAAATAGCACCGAACACAGTAGGGGAAAATCTGGACCACTACCCACAGAAGACACAGTGTGTACTTCCTATCAAAGCATTTTGGTGCTGATTTAATTACCACATTTAAAAAATGTCAACCAAGTAATGATTATAAGAAAGAAGACATCTGATTAGTATTGCCATGGCTGGGGGCCTTTATTTTAGAAAGGATGACTCTATGTAAGAGGAAACATCTGCTATACCATTTAAAAATCTGTTCCTAAAGGAGTGGTTCCTCCAACCTGCCCAAATGGTATTATTGAGCAAACATTGTATAATGAAGGTTTGGAAAAGTCTTATCCCCAAAACACTGCAGAGGCACAACCATTTAAACGCCCAAGCAAAATGAGTAAATGATAAATAGTATCAAATTGAATGCACAAATGAAACAGAAGGAATAAAAAGAGCCTAAGACAACTGGTGGTGAGGAACAGTGAAAGGATAGAAAGTAATATTTTTCTAAACCAAGAATATGTGTCATCTTAAATGAAAAGCAGATTTCCTCAGCTCACACAGAAAAAGACATTTTCAAAAAAGTGTATAAAGGGTATATGTAATTGAAACATACGATTTACAGAAACTAAAAAATTCAGCTTAAAAAATTATACACAGTAAAATGTGATGCCTAATCCAAAAGCTAAAATATTATTCATCAGAAGAGGTGGATACTATGTGAATACCGATTATGCCCTCTCAGTTTAGCAAATTGCTAGTTGAAAGTGTAAAATTATATAAAATACTGTCCTTAAAATACAATGAAACTGAATCATATTCAGGGCTGGAAGCCACAGACTACTTCTCAAATCTGCATCTGTCTATATTTCAGCACCATCATAAAACATTTTAAAACCTTTTAACCTTTTACTTCTTGTTGATTTTGTCTTACCCTATCCTGGGGTTTGGAATTCTATCTCAGTTATAAAATATCTATATAGAAATGCAGCTTTTCTTTCCTCAGGACAGGCTTTTAGCCAAGATGTCCTTTAATCTCACATGACCCCAGAGAAAAATGCCAGCATACAGTAAACAGTAAATCCCCCATGGTAGAGCTGATGTAGTAATGACAATGATTAATTTGGACATCCACATACGCATCTGTCTCTAACAATACTATGTGACAAGATCTCCTAAAAAGCATCTTCTTCAAATAATGCAGAGACACCCCCACTCTCACCTCCAAATACCTAATGATGGGTGTCATCTCTAGAAAAGAACATAAAAACAGCTACAAAATCCATTAATGTATGACTTGGCAACTATGAGAAACAAATGGAGGGAAGTGTAGGCCTGGCTCATTTTTTTGATGTCAACCACAAAATCAGACATGGAGTAGATCTGGGTTAAGGATAGAAAATAATTGCATAATCATTAATATGTATCAACCAAGGAGATAGTTTTAGGTAATGCATTTTTAATTTCCTTACTATATTTACTTGAAAAACATTTATAATATGAGCACATAAAATGTTAAATATAATAAATACATTTTCCAAAAACCCAGTCAAGGATCACTGAAAGCATAAATTTAGCATATTTTTCAATGGTTGGAGGGATTACTCTAGTGCAGTGGTTCTCAACGTTAGCGTGTAGCACAATCCCCTGTATAGCTGGCTATAAGACAGATTGTGGGATCAATCCCCATAGTTTGTGATTCAGTGGGTCCAAGATAGACACTTAGAATTTGCATTAACAAAGAGTTTCAAAGTTGTGCTGATGCTGCTGAGGCCAACACTTTGAGAACCATTGCTCTAGTAGAGTGAGAATTTCAAGGTTGGCTACAATGTCAATAACTTGATTTGTCTTTTTCATGAATTTCCCTAGACTGTTGTCCTTTGTGATCTCCTCCATGTCAACTGTAATCCCTCAGCATATTGGTTTCAAGCAGAGAATTCTTAGCTCCATCTTTTGTACTTAACCTACCAAGTAGTGATCAAACAACTTGACAAATCAGAACATTTATTTTTAATGCATAATTTTTACATCAAAAGAAATTAATAATAATAATTTCTAGGAGGTGCTCCTCAGTTAGATTTAAATATAGATTCTGCATTCACTATTTCTTAGTTTACAAACATTTTCCCATGCACGTACTGGTCCAAAACTACATTTCAGGTGGATGATATTCCTGGAAACAAAGAGCATTTAGTGAGAGTAGAGCAAGAGCTGGGATGGTGTGGTTCCAGCATCCCACCAGAAAAGACATCTCTGAGAGTGGGGGAAATCTCCAACTATGCCACAGCCTACAGTAATGGCTTTCCAGGAGGGGAGAGAGAATTGATTTGGGGGAGTAAGGGTACCTGCCTGTGGTCCATGAATCCTACAATGATGGACTGCATTGTGAACCCATCTATCTGCAACACCACTTGAGGATTCACTCATCCCACTTACCTGTCAACTGTTGATTATTCAGAAACAGATAAGCAGTAACCCTCTGAGGTTTATCCTCTGAGAATCAACGGGAGTGATATTTTTTCAGTTTATGCTTGCATAAAACATATAGATTGGGCTTTTGCTTCTGTGAAGAAGGAGAAAAAGCACTTTCCCCTACTCTTCTTACTAAGTACAACTGAAACCCCTGTATTTTATATATTAAATAAACATACAAAGACACTGAAAGCTGGAGAAGAGAAGACAAATCAGCTAGGGGACCTCAGAGCTCAAGGAATGACATGATGGTGAGTTCCCTGGAATCGTGTGTTGCCTCACATATCCAATTCTTGGGGCTAAAGAAACTGGAAACCCAGAAATGCCATCAGGCACAACTTTTAAAAGGGTGCCAACAAAACCATACTCTCTCTGGCCTAAGGAACAGGAAAGGAGCATCATAGCTAGATAAAAAAACAAATTTAGGCAATAACTGCTCTATTGTAGCCACAGAAGAAAGAAATAATTGTGGTTCCACCACACCTATGCCAACACAAGCTGTGTGGGAAACCTACACTTCCATCCTTGCCAAGCTGTAACAAGACACCCCAACTTCTCCCATCCCCACCGTGATGATGTCATAGAAGGCCAAGTAAAAAGCTGGGACTTTCATTTTCACCAGTGGTAATAAAGACCCCCCCTATTCCTCACCCCCACTATGTTGTCAATAGTAATGGTGGGAGGATCCTGGAGTTCTACCCCTGCCTTGCAGTACTGAGTCTCCCTTCTCCTTCTCTCCTGGGATGGTGTCACAGGTGGCTTAATGGAGAGTCAGAACTGTCACTAAGACCCAGCAGTCATTAGGCCCCCTCTTCTGTCCCCCTAGTGTGTCAGTGGAGAGACCACATGGGGAACATAAAGGAGGCACTTCTACCCTTCATAGCTGGAAGTATCAGTGAAGACCCACTTTGCCCTACAGTAATGTGAAGTCCCCTCAGGTGTCAAGGGAGACTGAGTGAGGAACCTAATTTCTACCCCCCACCTGGCACTGATGCTCACTGAGGTGATGTTAGTGGAACTCGGCTAAATCAGAAAGTTTAAATAAGATTCAGAGTCTCTTAACATATAAGAAAATGGCCAAGTTTCCATTGAAAATCATTCATCATACCAAGAACCGGGAAGATTTCAAACTGAATGAAAGACGACAATCAACAGATGCTAAAAGCAAGATCCCAGAGATGTTAGAATTATTTGACAAAGTTTTTAAAGCAGTCATAAGAAAAACATTTCAATTGAATGATTATAAACATGCTTCAAATAAATAAAAAAATATAAAACTTTGGCCAAGAAATAGAACACATAAGGAAAAACTAAGTAGAAATTTTAGAATTGAAAAAAATACCCAAAATATAAAAATCAGTGGGTGGGCTCAAGAGCAGAATGTGAGTGACAGAAAAGAACATGGGAGCTACAAGATAGAAAAATAGAAATCACTCAATTTGAATAACAGAGAAAACAGATTAGAGAATAAAAAGAGAGAGAAAGAAAGCCTCAGAAACCTGTGTGTGGTAAGCTGAATAATGGCTCCCAAAGATATTCAGCAGAATGGCTCCAATCCCTGGAAGCTGTGAATGGAAAAAAGAGATTTGGTAGATGTGATTATTCTACAACTCTTCAGATAAGGAGAATGGCCTGCACTATCCAGGTGGCTCCTAAATGTAATCACAGTGTCCTTAAAGGAGGGAGGCAAAGAGCAGAGATAAATCTGGCCGCAGAAAAGTAAGTAGGAGATACGATGACAGAGGAAAGAAATTGGAGTGATCCAAGGAAGGGATTGTAGTCAAAGAATACAGGTGCCTCTAGAAGCTAAAGAAAGCAAAGTAATAGATTATTCCTTAGAACCTCCAGAAGGAAGCAGCCTTGCTAACACCTTGACGTTAGCCCTGTGAAACTGATTTTTGAGTTCTGGCCTTCAGAACTGTAAGAAAGTACATGTGCACTTCTGTAAGGCATGCACTGTATGGTAATTTGTTACAGCAGCCATAGGAAATCAATACAATGTGTGACAATAACAAAAGGTCTAAAATTCATGTCTTGGAGACCTGAAGGAAAGGAAAAATTGGGCGAGGCTGAAAAATTGCTAAAAAATGGCTGAAAACTTCCCAAATTTGACAGAAGTCATAGACCTACAGATTTAAACACCTGAGTAAATCTGAATGCTAAAAAACCTTCCAAGGATATCCATGTCAAGACACATCATAGTCACATTTATGAAAATTAAAGACAAAAAAGTTTTATAAACAGCAAGAGAGAAATGCTACTTTACCAAAGAAGAAAATCCATTAGAATGACAATGGATTTTCATCAGAATACATAGAGTCCAAAGGAAGTAACACAACATATTTCAATTGCTTTAAGAAAAGGCCTCTCAACCTAGAATCTTATGTCCAGTGAAAATCCTTCAGGAAGAAAGAAAAAATCAAGACATTCTCAGCTAGAGGAAAACAAAATATTTTGTCACCAGCAGATCTGACCTGCTCACAAAGGGTGGCTAGAGAAAGTTCTTAAAACAAAAAGGAAACAATAAAAGAAGAAAGGTTAGAACATCAAGAAAAAAGAACATGGTAAGCAAAAAATATGAATAAATGCAACAGACCTTCCTTCTTTGCTTGTTGAAGCAAAAATTATAACACTGTCTGATGTGGTTCCAAATGTATGTACAGGAAATATTTAAGACAATCATATTATAAATGGAGGCTGTAAAGGGAGGTACGGTTTCTATACTTCATTCAAATTGATAAAATGACAATGGGAGTAGCCAGTGATAAATTATGTGTATATGATGTAATACTTAGAGTGATGATTAAAAAAACAAAACAAAACAAAAAAATACCTGGCCGGACACGGTGGCTCACACCTGTAATCCCAGCACTTTGGGAGGCCGAGGTGGGCAGATCACGAGGTCAGGAGATCGAGACCATCCTGGCTAACACAGTGAAACCCCATCTCTACTAAAAATACAAAAAAAAAAGAAAGAAAAAAAATAAAATTAGCCAGTGTGGTGGCGGGTGCCTGTAGTCCCAGCTACTCAGAAGGCTGAAGCAGGAGAATGATGTGAACCCGGGAGACGGAGCTTGCAGTGAGCTGAGATTGCACCACTGCACTCCAGCCTGGCCAGCCTGGGCAACACAGCGAGACTCTGTCTCAAAAAACAAACAAACAAACTCTGTACAGTGATACACTTAAAAACACTATACATATAGAAGTGGAATTCTGTAAATGCTCAAGTAAATAACAGGATGGTAGGAAAAAAAAAACAGTGAAATCCAAAATAGAGATAACAAACAAAAAATGGCAGATTTAAGCACTAAAGTATTGTATTAATATTTACAGTAAATGTAAATGGTTTAAATATACCAATTAAAAGACAGATATTAGCAGAGTGCATTAAAAATATGAGCCAACTAGGCCAGGCGTGGTGGCTCACGCCTATAATCCCAGCGCTTTGGGAGGCTGAGGTGGGCAGATCACGAGGTCGGGAGATCGAGACCATCCTGGCTAAGGTGGAACCCTGTCTCTACTAAAAATACAAAAAATTAGCCAGGTGTGATGGTGGGCACCTGTAGTCCCAGCTACTCGGGAGGCTGAGGCTGGAGAATGGCATGAACCTGGGAGGCAGAGCTTGCAGTGAGCCGAGATTGCACCACTGCACTCCAGCCTGGGCAACAGAGTGAGACTCTGTCTCAAAAAAAAAAAAAAAAAAAAAAAAAATGAGCCAATTATATTTTATCTACAAGGAACTCAAATAAAATATAAAATATGGGCCAGTGGAAAGTACAAGGATGGAAAAAGAGATATGCAAACACCCATTAAAAGAAAAATGAGTGTCTATATTAATATCAGACAAAGTAGTCTTCAGAGCAAATAAAACTACCAGATACAGAGAGGGGCATTATTTAATAATAAAGTCAATATAACAGAAGACATAACAATTCTAAATACATATGCACCAAATAACAGAGCTATAAAATATGTAAAGCCAAAGTGGCAGAAGTGAAGCGAGAAATAGACAAACTCACAATTATAACTGGAGACGGCATATACTTTTTCATTAATAGGAAAACTAGACAGAAAATCAGCAAAGACATATAAGAACTTGACAGCAACATCAACCAACATGACTTAATCAGCATTTATAGAACACTCTACCCCGAAACAGCCAAATATACATTCTTTTCTAGTGCCCTTGGAACATATACCAAGGCATAGCACATTTTGGGACATAAAATAAACCTCAACAAATTAAAAGAATTGAAATCATACAGCATGTGTTCTCTGAATACAACAGAATCAAACTAAAAGTCAATAACGGAAAGAAAGCAGGAAAAATCTTCAAACATTTAAAAATTGAACACTCTAATTCTAAATATCCAATGGGTCAAAGAGGAAATCTCAAGGAAATTTAAAAATACATTCAACTAAATAAAAATGAAAATACAATATACAAAAATGTATGGGATACAGTGACAGCAGAACTGAGAGGGAAATCTATAGCACTAAATGCATACATTAGAAAAGAGGAAAAATCTCAAACCAATAATCTTAGCTCCCTGTCAAGAATATAGAAAAAGATATTATTATCTTTCTCCAAGAAAAGTAGGAGAAAATAACAATTATAAGAGCAGAAATCAATGAAATGGAAAACAGAAAAATAATAGAGAAAAATTAATGAAACAATGTGTTCTTTTAAAAGTGAATAAAATTGAAATCCTCTAGCAAAACTGACAGAAAAGAGAGAAGACATAAATTAGTAACATCAGGAATGAAACATGGGATAGCACTAAAGACCATGCAGACATCCAAAGAATAATTTGAAATATTAGGAGTAATTCTACACAAATAAATTTGACAACTTAAATGAAATGGAACAATTCCTGAATCAACTTAAACTACAGTAACTCACACAATATGAAACAGATCATTACTGTGTCGTCCCACAAATTCATATGTTGAAGTCCTAGCCCCCAGGAACTCAAAACGTGACTCTATTAGAGATAGGACTTTTAAAGAAAGTGATTAAGATAAAAAAGAGTTTAAATTAAAATGTAGCTGTTAGGGTGTGTTTAGGGCCTAATCCAATCTGACTGGTGTTCTTACAAAAAGAGGAAATTTGGACACACAGAGAGACACCAGGGATGCTTGAGCACTGAGGAAAAGACCACGTGAAAACATAGTGAGAACTCAGCTATCCGCAAGCCAAAGAGAGAGGCCTCAGAAGAAACCAAATATGCCAACTCCATGACCTTGGACTTGTAACCTCCAGAACTGTGAGGAAATACATTTCTGTTGTTTAAGCCACCCAGTCTGTGGTATTTTATGTCAGCCCTAGCACACTAATATAGATATTAAAGAAATCGAGTCCCGTAACTAAAAACAAAAAAGCCCTAAAGAAGAAATCTCCCAGCCCAGGTGATTTCACTGGAGAATTCTACCAAAAGTTTAAAGAAAAAAATAACATGAATCCTATGTAATCTCTTTCAGAAAATAGAAGAGGGAACACATCCCTATTCATTTTATAAAGCTAGTATTATCCTGATACTAATACCAAAAACAGTACCAAAAAAAGAAAACTACAAGTCAATATTCCTCATGAATATAGATGTAAAAATCTTTAACAAAATATTGGCAAATCAATTCAGTAATTCATACAAAGAATTAATCATACATAATGAATAAATGGAGTTTATTGCAAGGATGCAAGGCTGGTCCAATAGTTAAAAATTGATCAATGTACTCCATCATATAAAGAAGCTAAAGAAGAAAAATCATATGATCACATCATTTGGTGAAGAAAAGCATTTGACAAAAATCAATACTTATTTGTGATTTTTTTTAAAACTCAGGAAAAAATGGAAATCAAAGTGAAATTCTTCAATTTGATAAAGAACACTTACATAAAACTTACAGATAACATTATACTTAATGCAGAAAGAGTGAATGCTTTCCACTGAAGATTAGCAAAAGGCAAAGATGCTTGCACTCTCTACTTTTATTCTATATAGTACCAGAAGTTCTAGCCAGTGCAATAGGACAAGAAAAGGAAACAAAAGGCATATAGATTATAAATAAATAAAATTGTTTCTGTTTTCAGATTACATGATGGTGGTCTACATAGCTAATCTGTTAGTTAGCATGATTTAACATGTCACATTGAATACATATATAGAAACATCACATTGTACCTCATTAACATACTCAACTATGATTCGTCAAAAAAATATAGAACTGGCCGGGCGTGGTGGCTCATGCCTGTAATCCCAGCAGTTTGGGAGGCCGATACAGGTGGATCACCTGAGGTCAGGAGTTCGTGACCAGCCTGGCCAACATGTTGAAACCCCCTCTCTACCAAAAATACAAAAATTAGCTGGGCGTGGGGGTGGGTGCCTGTAATCCCAGCTACTCAGGAGGCTGAGGCAGGAGAACTGCTTGAATCGGGGAGGCGGAGGTTGCAGTGGGCATAGATCGTGCTATTGCGCTCCAGCCTGGGCGACAGAATGAGACTCAGTCTCAAAACAAACAAACAAACAACAACAACTATATACACACACACATACACACACACACATAGAATTAATAAGTGAGTTCAGGAGTTCCCAGGATACTAGATAAACATAAAAATCAATTAAATTTCAATATATTTGCACTGAATACCTCAACACTGAAATTAAAAATACATTATTATTTTAAATTGCTTAAAAATTATTCATATGTAAGTCTAGTAATATATGTACCAGACTTAATCCCAAAACCTACAGATCACTGGTAAAAGATACCAAAGACATTCTACATAAATGGAGAAACATGCCACATGTATGGATTAAATATCAATTATCCTTAAACTGCTAAGCAGTTTTAACATAATTCCTATCAAAATCCCATTAAGACTTTTTTGTTAATATAGACAAGATAATTCTAAAGGTAATTCTAAAATTTATATGAAAAGGCAAAGGAATTAGAATAGCTAAAACAATTTTGAAAAAGAAAAACAAAGTGGGAGGAATCAATCTATTATGAGTTCAATAGTTATTTACATGTAAAACTATGTAATATGTTTCCAAAGAATAAGTAACCCCAAAATAAATCCAAACAAATATTCCCAATGCAAACCACATATCTTAGAAAGAACAATTATTGAGAATATATAAAGAATTCTCAAAACATAGCATAAAAAACTCCCAAACAATCCAAATAGAAAATGAAGAGACATTTCACTAAGGAAGATATTTAAATGACAAATAGGCACATGAAAAGATGTTCACCATCATTAGTCTTAAGGAAATGCAAATTGAAATCACAATGAAATATTGCTACACACCTATCAGAATGGCTAAAATACAGCACAGCAATAACACCAAATGCCAAATGCTAGCGAAGATACAGAGAAACTTATTTCTCATATATTGTTGATGGGGATGTAAAATGGCACATCCACTCTGGAAAAGTTTGGTAATTTCTTATAAAAGTAAACGTGTAACTTCTGGGAATTTATCCCAAAGAAATTAATACATATTATACATTAATACAAAAATATTTACATGAACGTCTATCGTAGTTTTAGTTGTAGTAGCCAAAAAATTGGAAAAAAATAACCCAGATGTCTTTCAATAGGTGAATGGTTAAACAAGCTATAGCTCATGTATGCCACAAAATACTATTCAGCAATAAAATGCAGTAAGCTATTGGGACATTCAACAACCTAGATAAATCTCCAGAAAACTACGCTGAGTGGAAAAACCAATCCCAAAAGTTCCCATTATGTATAATTCCACTTATATAACATTCTTGCAATGACAAAATTATAGAAATAGAGAACATATTAATGATTGCAAGGGATTAAGGGGTTGGAGGTGGGTGGTAGTTACAGCCAAGTTGGTGTTGCCATAGAAGAGCAATAGGAATTATCCTTCTGGTGCTGGAATTTGTTCATCACTGTATCAACGTCAACATCCTGGTTGTGATATTGTACTATCATTTTGCAAGAATTTACCACTGGGGAAACCTGGGTAAAGGGACCATGGGATCTCTGTATTACTCCTTACAACTGCATATGAACCTCAAATTATCTCAAAATAAAATGTTTAATTAAAAGTATTGATTGAATATATTCTAATTATGCAGATTATGTTTGGCAATGCAAAATAAATGTATAGTATGATTTATATGTTTGCATACTTTTTATAGCAATGTGTGATAGCAGAAATTATACTTTTGTCTATTTTGGGGTATGTGACAAGAAAAGATACGCACATAGCTGTTCTGATTTCTGTACCATGTTGATACTATCAAATCTGTTCAGAAAACCCAATTTGGTTGCTGTGGGCAGGTATTGGCACTGTTCTAGACTTTCACTTGCTGTCAAATAGGCTACCACATGCATTCACTCAAAAATAAATCATTGCTTTTATTATTCCTTGACTAAATACAACTCTCACTGGAAAAGAGTGAGAGCATCAGTTATTGATAAGTCTACTTTTAAATTGAGGAATAAATCATTTTTAGGTGATTAAATTATTATTATTATTATTATTATTATTATTATTATTATTATATTATTTTCTGAGATGGAGTCTCGTTCTGTTGCCCAGGCTGGAGCACAGTGGCGCGATCTCGGCTCACTGCAAGCTCTGCCTCCCGGGTTCACACCATTCTCCTGCCTCAGCCTCCCAAGTAGTTGGGACTACAGGTCCCGCCTGTAGGTCTTGCCACCACCCCCAGCTAATCTTTTGTTTTCGTATTTTTAGTAGAGACGGAGTTTCACCGTGTTAGCCAGGATGGTCTCGATCTCCTGACCTTGTGATCTGCCCGCTTAAGCCTCCCAAAGTGCTGGGATTACAGGCATGAGCCACTGCGCCCAGCCAATTTTTGAATTTTTAGTAGAAACGGGGTTTCACAATATTGGCCAGGCTGGTCTCGAACTCCTGACCTCAGGTGATCCATCCACCTTGGCCTCCCAAAGTGCTGGGGTTACAGGCTTGAGCCACCGTGCCCAGCCTTAAAATTCTTACATTAATTAATGATCACAGAACCTTTAGCTGTTAAAGATATTTTCCTGATCATTTGAAATGCTAATATAGATACTCTTGTACTTTTGATTTTAAAAATTTTAATAGTTTCAAATGGTGCTCAATTTACCATTTTTGAATTAAAAAATACATAATATAATGAAACATTTCTCATAATCTATTAGTCATCTGTTTTTGTCTAGCACTCACATATCTTCATGTTTTGTATATTTTTCACGTATAAAATATGGGGCAAAAAGTATTCATATAAAGGAAGTTCTATTTTTTCCACTTTTTTTTTTTTAAACAATGGAAATATCAGATTAGGGGGTGTTATGATTTTCAACAGCAATGGAAATTTAATTCAGCAGTAAGATTCTGAGCCAGGTATTATACATCAATATTTAATAGTATGAAATACAGAATCAGAATCCTTTGTCTTAAACACCATCTCAAACTATGTGACAGTGGTTAAGGTTACTCTCCCCGTTGTGTTTCATTTTTCCCTTCTATAAAATGGAGATAATGATATGCAAGCCTCACATGGCTTTTGTGAAGAGTACGTCATTTAATTTATATAGAGACCACAGAATGACGCTCAGTATACAGTACATGTTCAATAAATTTAGTCACTCCTATGTTTGCTTGAACTCATTAATATGAATTTCCCCAGCATCTTCAGCACTCAATATCATCTCCATCACTATGAAGCCTCTTCTCTTCTTTTGGGTAGTTGAGACAATCTCAGGGACTGTGTGATAAATCAATTAAAGTTCTATTTTGAGACATCCTGGCACTTTATCAAAAACAACAACAACAAAAAAACCTCCCAAACCACACAGAACTACTTCTTTCAGTTTGAAAGTAGTTGCCAAGGAAAAGAAAGAAAATGACTATATTACATTAAACCTAAATAACTCTTTGCAAATAGGCAAGTAACCACATAAAGGTAGCACATGTTCCATGTGCTTTAAAAAAAAGTACTGATAGTTTTGTAAACCTCCCCATGTCCATGGATGGATAATGAGGTGAAATAGTATGTCTCCTGGTGAATACAGAAGTAACTAGAGTGACACACATCTCTGATTCAGAACATAATTCAGAAAATTAACATGCAAGCATTTAGGAAAAGATTACTGGAATTAGTACACACCTTCTCACGTGTCATTCCTGCACAAATATGTGGCTTTTCAGGCATCTTGTTCTGACCTCCATGTCTAGTCCAGAATCCTTTAATAGATATTCTCATAGAACTTCTTTCATTCAGGAAACTTAGCTCAACTTACAAGTAATCATTTATTGGTATAATTATTTTATTAAAACTTGTCCCCCTGTGCAGTCAGGGCTCACAGATCTTTCTGCTCACTATTGAGCCCCACTCCTGCACCCCACACCTGGAAAAAAGAGGCTCTGTAGAAGCAGAAGCAGTACAATTCTTTCAAACTAGAGGTGTGGGACTTGAAAGGAAAAGGTCATGTCAAAACTACCAAGTGAGATAAAAGTAGCAAGCTGTCTCTAAAATAAGTAACAGACGCTAGAAAACTGGAACACTGAGTTAAGAAAGGATATATGTATGTATCACAGGATTTATGTCTTGATAACAATCAACACTATATATAAATGGACTTGGAAAAATCAAATTCAAGTTCAATATCAAAAACATTTGTGACTGATAGCATACAACCACTCTGACCACAGGACTGCACTGTAGCATCCCAAAATAAAGATGTAGCCATAATTCTGGTGTGTGTGTGTGTGTGTGTGTGTGTGTGTGTGTGTGTGTTGCAGGGAGGGGATGGTTAACCACTGAAGAGCCAAATATTTTTTCTCATATCCACAGATCATGTTTCCGTGCCGTTTAGTTGGATTCCACTCTCTTTTTACTTATAATGTTGAGTAAGTGTGAGTTTGAAATTATACATATTGAATTTAATTAAAGTGAAAGATGAGAATTAAAGGAAATCTATGAATGTCAAAATAATTTTGAAACTCGTTATGTGAAGAAGCAATTAAAATTTACTTGAAAAAAATAACAGATGAAGAATTAAGAGACATCTGCCCAATAAAATGAATATTGTGAAAGCTCTATGATAAGCTCAAATGAAGAGTAATTCTCTAAATATGTGAGAGTAATTCTCTAAGTAAGTTGGAGCTCACCCCATTGAGACCTTTCTTCACATCACGGTTCATTTAAAACAAGTGGAGATTTTAAAAGTATTTCAACTTAGAACTAATGAGAAAATTTGATTTCAGTCTTCACCGCTACACAATTCTGTATAAAGTACATACAATTGGCTAAATGACATGACAGACTCGAATGCCCTTAAAATACAGCTTGCTTTTAATCACTGATAGTTGAAAGAGAATTGCACAATTCTTCTTTTAAAACCGCCCAACTCTCGCCAGAGTGAGTGGGTTAAATATAACTAAACTTCCTCAAAAATCTGGAAGATGGTGTTCTGAAGAAAACGATGGTCATGATCTGAACAAAGAACAGACTAATAACCTATGAAATTTAAAATTAAGTGCAAACAAACATATAGCTTTAGCCATTTGCTTTATAATAATTTACTTTGCTGATACATCTTAACGGCTGAAAATCTCAACTTTATGGTGAAATGCAACTTTAATCATTGTAGGACATGCAACTTTAATTACTGTAGGACACTTGGTTAATTGTGCTGAAAGGAAACTACTCAAACGTTATTTGCCATAATTTTAGTATTGAAAGTTAGAAGAAGAAAAAGTAGAAAAAGAGTTAATTGTTCTGAACATGCAGCACATACCTATTAAGGTTCATCTTCATAGAAAGATGTGGTCAGTATAGAAGACTTTAGGTATAATGAGTTGATTAGGGGCGCATGAAAAGCCCAACTAGACTCCTAACACTTAATAAATGTATGACCTTGGGTAAGTTATTTTATCTCTCTGTGCCCGGATTTTCTCACCTGCAAAAGTTGTTTAATAACATTACCTACTCCCTTGGTGGTCTAAGAATTAAGACAGTGAATAAATCTAAGCCATATAGAACCGTGGAACATGTGGAACACTTTTTTCCTAAAGTTTCCACCTTTGGAATAAGCAAAAGAAAAAAAAAACCATTATTTTTTAAAGAAATCAGTAACTGTACACTTCAACAATACAAGTATCTCTGAGGTTCAAAAGGAAATACAAACACATTAAATGCCAAGTGATGACATATAACAGGAAAACATAAGCATCAACTCAAAAGACAATTTTTTTAGAATAAGAATAAATGTAAAGCATGGTAAGCTTCACTGCAAGGCACATCCAATATTTGCGCCTCCCCTGCCCCCTCCCCCTGCGCCCCTCACGGCCAAGTTCTACAGTTATCTTTCCAAAGCCATACCCCAAGCCTACTAAACAGCAAAGTTTTACCTTCAAGTCCCAGGAGTGGTACCACTGAGTCCCAGCCTCGCCGTCGCCACCCCTCTTCTCTCTTTGGCTTTGGTCTTTTGACAGACACCTCTCTTCAACTCCCACTCCGGATACCAGAACGAACCTCCCGCCTGCCCTCTGTCCAGCAGAAAACTTCGAAGTGGGCAACAGGCTATAAAAGCCGAAGACACTCACCCCCGTGCCCACCCGCCCCCGCCGCCCCCCGTCCCCGGGGCCCGGAGCCCACTCCCACCCAGGCATCGGCCCGGGCACCGCAGTGCACTGCAACACGAAAGGACGCCGCTGGCTGCAAAGGAACCCAACGCGGATGTCCCAGTCAGTACCCCTCAGACTGTTCCCCGACGTGAGTATCATCCCTAATGGAGGTAGACACTCCACCTCCCACCAGCTCAGCCCGAGAGGATGACCAAGAGGGCAGCGACCACAACGAAAACAACTCAACCCGCGACGCGAAGGAGCCGGCTGCCATAGCCACCCCCCGAGCGGCGCCGCGGCAGCAGCAGGGGCTGCGGCGCTGCGAAGGCCTTCGAGGGCGGGGGAGATTTACCTGCGCGGCCCCGCGCCCCCGGGCCGGACATCCTGCAGCAGCCGCTACCGCCGCCCCGCGGGCCTGAGGCGCCGCCCGCCGCCCGGGGAGGCGCCGCGCCGCAGTCCTGGCTGCGGCGCCCGGCACATGCTTCGCGCTAGCCGCGGCCGGCGCCGGCGCACAGGTGGGAACCCCGTGAGTGGGCGTTGAGGCGAATCCCTGCCCCCGCCGGCGCTCTCCGCCCGCTTCCACTCTTGACTTTGCTCGGTGCGCGGCGCCTGCCCTTGCTCCAGCGCCGAGCCGCCTGTGTCCGCGCCCCGGCGCCGTGGGCGGCTGCGGTCCCTGCGCAGCCGGGGCTGCGCGTCATGTGCACCTCCCGCCCCGCGGCGGGCTCCTCTGCACCGGGCGGCCGGGGGCAGCGCGGCAGCCCGGCCTCGCGCCCACTCCTCGCCCGGCACACGGACCCCCTCCACCCCCGCGCCCTCCCCCACTCCGGAGCTGTCAAAGAAGAAAACGCCGTGCACACACCTTGGAATGGACGGGCGCTTCAGTCACTGACTCGCCAAACTCTTAGAAGGTGTCCATTGGTCTGCAGGGAGGTTTGAGCCTGGAGTAGGAGCCGCTTTCTTATTATTTAATAATGTTGGAAGTGCCGGGTCCGCTGCCAGAGTTGTGGGTCATGTGGGCACAGCAGAGGCTGGCTGCTGCCAGTACCAGGGTTTCCTGAGGATCCTGAAACTATGATCTCATCCTCCTCATCCGCCTCCCCCGCCCCTCTCTCCGCGGGCGCGCACGCACAGCACACACACACACACTCACACACACACTCATGCTGAATGCACTATCTTCCTTCCTGGACCGAAATATTCCTCTAGGGAAATAGTGGGCACGCTCGTCATTGAAAAAAAAAAAAATCCTTCAGATAGAGATTTTTCTCTTCCAAAGCTTGATTTATGTGCTTTGTTTATTTCCTACAGTTTTCCCTCACACGTGCAGGAGATTGGAACAGAGAATCAGGTTTAAAATTAAAAATAATTATTCTCTTATGTTGACCCAGATTTTGGTCAGAACCCAAGAACTTAAACAGTACAATTTCAATTTAAAACAGAGGCAAAATATACAAGGCTTGAATATGGAATATTCTTAGATGTATGCAGTGGGTTTCTTTCCCAAGCTGCAAACATTCCCCAAACATTACCTCATTTATTTGCAGAGCATCTTTGCAGAGGAGGTGGATGAAAAGGCAAATAGTATTGTCACTTCAGAGACACAGAAGCATAAGTAAGATAACATGACCTATCCAAGTACACATAATAAGTCAGTATCTCACTATAAATATTAATTGCATAGCTACTCACAGGTTGCTTTTTCACTATGATCAATTCCCAGATACTTAGTTTACTGAAAATAATGAAAACATTGTTGATTATTTTTAAGTTACCAAGATTGAAAATTATTTTATCTTACTATATGTATGTTTTCATATAATTTTCTCTTGTATTATATTTCCAATTTCACGTTTTCATATAATTTTCTTTCTTTTTGGAGGAATGTGGCATGTATATGCATACATTTATATCCAATTGCATTGTTTAAATCCTTAGATAGTAATTTCAAGCAATTTTAGCCAATGTTTCTGAAGTAGTCACCAATTTCATAATTTGTATATGTCATTCAAACCCCTTTCACCTGGTGTATGTGAAGAGCTACGCTACATTTTGAAGGATAGAAAGAAGTTTAATATAAGTATCTGTCTTTAGTTTACATCTAGTTGTTGAAACAAGATACATATACTGAATGACTGCAGATAAAAACCTTTATTATTTTGGTGGTGTGAGTTATCACAAAGAAAGTACAAAATACACTTATTTTCTTTTTACTTAATTTCTGTTCCATGTTCAAATCATCTCATTTGCCTATGTGCCCTATATTTCAATCTGTCATTAACCCTCCTACCTTCTAAATGGCCAAGGTAATTATGTCTAACCTTGCCCTTCTCTTACACTGGCACCATACTCACATAAACAGTAAATGGGGATTGTTTTATGTCGTAAAATTTCCCAGAAGGAACACTCTTGGGTAGCTTCTGTTCAGTGTAGATAAGGAACTCCAGCAGCTAACTAGCCTTCTAATAACCCAAAAAGAAAACAAATAGTATGAAAGAGAGAATGGTCAGAGAAAAGGCAGAAGAGAAAGCAGTCAAGAGGGGGGAAAAGGAGGGGGAATTAAGTTACAAGATAAGAAAGAAGAGAAGGAAACAAAAGGAGAAGAAAAAGAGGATCAACTTTCGTGTGAAAGCTAAAATTTTCCAAATTTTGGTGCATGGAAAACAAATTCAGGAAATTGTAGACTTTCTTATTGAATTTTTTTTTCCTAAACAAACTTACAGGAATTTGGTGGCAATGACACCAGGTGTTGGTTCTGCAGAGGATGTGCTGAAAGATCTCAAGTTTTTAAAAAGTATAGGATCCGCTAAAAGAAATATGTAGACCTATTAGTATAGTGTAATAATAAAAATGACAATGGGATCAAATAGCCATGGTATATAAATTTTTAAGAAGAAATTAACACTGAAATTAAGGGAGATAGATGGGAAAGCAAAGGCACTGGTATAATAAAGTAGGCAATGAAGAGATAAGTTTGCAATATTTAAAGCAAAATAATATTAATAATATATTTTAAAGCACTTTCAGATTTTTCCAGATCTTTTCATACATTTTTATGGAGTCTAATAATAATCAGAAGTAGTCCCCTTTATGGACTTCATTTTTAAAGAGTGATAATTGTCCCTAATTTTTTGTAATACATGTTGAATGGAGAAGTACTCAAAATTTTCATTCATTGTTTTGAAACTATTATATTTTCTGATCAGTCAACTCTAAATGTTACTTAGTATATCGTCTTCCAATACTTCTCCTAAACAATAAGTCTAGATGGATTTCTGGGCGTAGATTGTAACAGTGATTTATAATCCAGGATTTTACACATGCTTTTGGAGTTAAACTAGAAGCTTTAGTATGCAGCAGACTCTAATGGCTTTGCAGCATTCCTGGGAGATTTCTGCAAAAGAGGTGGAGGGCTAAATTGAACAGCAATATATCAAGAGCACTTTCCTTTTGATCAGCATACTCATAGCAGGATTTGTTTTAATTAGAGATATATTTAGGTTTGATGATTATTACATGTGTTTCAGAAGTGCATTACAACTTCGGTGGCTCAACAATTACTAGCAGTTTGTGTCAGAATTCCTTCATTTGGGGAAAAATATTTTTAATGTGGTTATGCACAAACATTTATGGTTTGTACTAATTTAAGCTATCATTATCAACGAAAATACATTCCTGATGTTTATTGTTTTGCTCTTACAATTTCTTGCTTTTTAAAATTATAATTGATATGAGAATGGCCATGGGTAAAATCAGAATGTTCACTATATTATGTTAATAGTAAAACTCTATGTGTGTACCTATGGTTTAATATGTAATGATATATAGAGTATACATGTGCTTTGGGTCAAATGGGGATGGTTACTATTATCTATAAACTGATAATAGTTTGGGGGCATGAGGAATTAACAATTTTGGAGTATTTAAATGATTCAAAAGAGTTGAAAAAATAAAGACACTGCTATTTTATCAATTAGAAGCTCTTACCCCTTGGATGTAGACTGTTTCAGGGAAGAATGGGGTCTTGAAAAACACAAAATATACATAAATTTTGCTTCCCCAACCGACTGGTTAGCTTTCAAGAATGAGAAGTATGTTAGCAGTCCCACACGGGTCAAGAAAATAGATCAACTGAGCTGTGGCGTGGGGAATTCATGGTTAGTTTTTTTCTTATGAGCACTACCAAATTTTGAGGCTAAGGTGGGCCCTAGGCAGAATTATGAAGTAGATGAATTTTGTCTCCCTCCATTTTTCCCCCAATGTCTCCTTCTTCCTGCAGAAGCCCTGACTGCCTTTGGGCTCCCAGGGATAGTCAGCAACCCCTTGCTGTTCTCTCGCTTTTCCGAATACCCGCATTGTGGAACTCATCAGCAGTGTAAAACAGATATCATGTTCTGACCTCCCCTGAAATGTGTAAATGGTGTCCTAAGTATTCATGAAACCTGAGGGGATGTGAGTATGTGTTCATATTAAAAAACACCAAGGGTGTCTGTCTATTCAGTCTCCTTCTGCATCACTTCAAGATGTATATTTATATAAGTTTAATATGTATTCGCCTATGAAACTCAGCATTAAGACATGGCCCTGTCAGCTGTTAGGGGGTAATTGCTAAGTCTAAGAGAGCCGAGGTAGTCTTCCTTTCATCCCACCTATGCTCTGTCTCCTTAGCTAGACTGAAGCCCCCTGCATATGAGCAGGGCCTCCGAGCTCGGCAGTCCCTGGCAGTGCCTATTATGGTGCTCTGTTGTGATGTCTCCTTTGTCGATCTTCCTGTCTGGCTGACAACCTCAGAAGAAATGTTGTTTCCATTCTCCACGGTCTTCTCAAACTGAAGGAGAGAACCTAGCTTCAGAACTGGTGTAAGCGGTCAAGTGTATTTTGTTTCTTAGTGTTAGAATGAACAAATCTGTTGACATTCTAAATGGCTGTAAGTCCACCTTATAATGGCAATTCATTAAATACATATTATGGTGATTCACATCTCTCAATGGCATCATACCAGCATGCCCTTTACTCCTGGGAGAATTTATTTTCTCAATGGACCATAAACAAAATACAAATGTTTTAGATGAAACTTTAATGCACTGTCACGGTGAAGCCACAGCAGGAAAAAGCCACCTGGAGAATAGCTTTTGAGAAGGTGCTTATAATCTACTCACTTTACTGCTAAAACTGTTTTTAACTCTACTTTAAATTGCTTTTTGGCTGAATGTGTGTGTGTGTGTGTGTGTGTGTGTGTGTGTGTGTGTGTCTGCCCAAGAATACAGAATATCTTGATACATGTAACCATGGATTGTACTGAATAAATCAGAAATATCAATGGCAAATACTGGCAAATAAATCTGTTCAACATAGATGACTTATCCAAATAATTAAAGACCAGAAAACCCCTACTACTTATTGCACATTAATTATCTGAATAGCTGTCTACTTATTTCAGGAAAATGTCAAAATTTTCTTTGATGTTTTCTGAAGAAAACCTAATGTTTTTAAAAAATACCAAAGAAACTGTTACAAAGTGAAAAGCTTAGTCAAAACAATTTTATTTATGAAAAATCAGCTTGACTGATTTAATTTTTTCCTGCTGAAATGATTCTTTACATATCAGGTAGATACAGCCCAAATCTCTTGTAGACCATCAGGAACTATGTTAACAAGCACACATTTTAATTTGAAAGTTAATTGCTACAGCAAATACCATATAATTTATTTGATGTTGAGAAGCCTTATGTGTTATGAAAAACTAAATGAAAAATAAAGGAGGGAGGATGAAGCTAAACTAACCAATTTGTCATCTTTAAAATTGTGTAGTAAATATGTGGGTAGATCCATAATTAAAACTTATTGTTGGGAAATAGAATATTTTAGCCTTTAGGGGATACATTTTGAGATAGTTCAAAGTGTATTTATATGTGTAATGATTTTTCTAATAATATGCAAATTTTCTTTGTTAATCAAGATGCTTGTATTTTATATGTGCCACAAATATCACACAAGATTATCTTGATCTTTCCTCCTTTTTGTCCCTGACCTGCATCACCAGATCAGCTTGAACATTCCACCTTGTTTCAGTGCTTTCTCATTTACATATTGCTTTAACTTCCCCCTTTTTTATGTCAATCAGGTAGTCTGAAAGAAACAGGGATAGCAGGGATTTTACATGTTTTATCATAACCAAAAACCAAAAGCTTTAATTTGTACCCAGTTCTTAGTCTGTGGTCAGCATTGTCTTTGCTGCTCAGTAGACATATCTGAACATTTCCTGATATTGAAATTGTTGCTATTTTCATTTGCACATATCTCAAGAAGCATTTTAAGATTCTCAAGGACAGTGCTTATAATGAAAAACATTCTATTACTTTTTTCTTCCCTAGAGAATCAAGCATGTTTATATCATGTAGAAGGTTCTTGGAAAATGTTTATAAGATTAGGATGATAGAAATATTTTTAAAAATTACTTCTGGCATTACACAGCATATGGAAATAATTTTTTGAGCTTGTGAATTCCTTTGACAGATCATGTTTTTATGTTTTATATGAACAAGATGAACTGGATACCTTGTTTGGTTTGCTTTTGCCATTGGGGTACCTTTTGGTTTGTATGTTTAAAACACATCAAAAAAATTTTGGATGGCAGAATTATGTATATGGAAAGGTTTTCATTTAAATTGTGTGATCAATACCACAGCCGTCTACTTCATACTGTAATGACAGTAATTTAATGAAGGAAAAGAATTGTAACTTCCCTCATTTATATCTGTGTCTTAAACGATTACGGTAAAAGACTGTGAGCATTTAAAAAATATTTTATATAGCCAGTCATGGTGTTGCATGCCTGTAGTATTGGCTGCCTGGGAAGCCGAGGCCAGGGATCACTTGAACTCAGGAGTTCAAAGTTACAGTGAGCTATGATCGCACCACTGCACTCCAGTCTGGGTGACAGAGCAAGAACCTATGCTAGGATATATATAAAAGAAATAGTGGATAGTTTACGATCTTTTGTTTTTTATTTCAAAGAAAATAAAAACAATTTACTTATTTTATAGTAGAAGTGGAGTGAATACTTTAAGGATTATGGTACATAAAGTATTCCATAATAAATATTCCCTCTCATTTTCTTACCATCATTCAAAGTGCATCCTTCAGCCTGGTGTTATTCATTTTCTTTGAGCTCGTATCAAAGACTTACTCATGGAAACACTATCTTAAAACCTATTCATATAATGTGCCGTATTGTTGTCTAACCATTTCATGTGTATTAGACATCAAGATTGTAAACTTCTAATCCAATATATCAACTGTACATTTCACAGCATCTTGCAGTTATTCTACAAATACTTGCTGATAGCTTTGTTGATTAACTGAAAATAGACTGCTATTTTGACATGACACTGCCCCAAAATTGGAAAGAGTAATTTCTTCTCTATTTATTATTAATCTCTATGAGTTTCCAAATATTTAAATATATTCCTAGTACAGCATTAAAGTTGTTTATAATAATGTCATAAAATTGATAACAAGTTTTGTATCTGTATTTATACATAAGTGAATAAATAAAAATTAAACCAAAATCAATTAGTTGTTTATTTGTACGTGTGTTCTTTTAAGTTCCTACCTTAACCAGACAGGATTACTGTAGTTACCATTCATTCTGGGTAATGTAATTTTATTTCTTATATTAAGAAACTTCTACAAATGCATCTGGAGTTAATTAAATGCAAAGGATTTTCTCTCTTTGCCATTTTTTCTTCGTTCTTACAAAATTTTGATAATTTAAAATTTTAAGCTGATTTACTTTTTCAATTATTTGTCAATCATACTACAAAATGGTTTATATTTGTTCAAAGAAAATGAACAAATATTTCAAAAACCAAAAATATTTATTGAATGCCCAATATATAATAAGCACATTTGTTTAACAATAGGTCATATCAAAGAGTTGCTATCTACAATATCTAGTCTTCAGGAAATTCAAATTTACCACCTGAGTTTTTGTTTCTAAAATAAAAATCCAAATTATAGTATTTTTCACATCCTGGATAGAAAAAAAAAATACGCTAGGACCTGCTCCACTGCTACCTCCACCCCATCTGACATGAACACCTTTCCAGTCACTTTCCTGTTAGTCGGGATGATCCTTACTGGGCAGTGATGAAGGATTTGGCTCATCCTTCACTTTTATTTTTACTGCCCCCCTGGGGCACCTTTAACCTATGAAATTTTCCTGATACAAAACAAGCAAAACCAGCAATCCTCAGTCTAACCAGAACAGGATAATCCAGTAGGTGGACTATGCATGGGCTTTTAACATTAGCGACAGGGGCACTAAAATACTTAAAAGATTCTTTTTAAACTTCAAAGTCATTTATGAAAAGTAAATGAAAACTTCTCTGGAATTAGCACACTGATTTTATGGTCACTACATTTTTTTTAAGCTTGCTTTTTTTTTTTTTTTTTTTTTGAGATGGAGTTTCATGCTTGTCGCCCAGGATGGAGTGCAACGGCGCAATATCGGTTCACTGCAACCTCCTCCTCTGGGGTTCAAGCTATTCTCCTGCCTCAGCCTCCCGAGTAGCTGGGATTACAGGCGCCTGCCACCATGCCTGGCTAATTTTTGTACTTTTAGTAGGGGCGGAGTTTCACCATGTTGACCAGGCTGGTCTCGAACTCCTGACCTCAGGTGATCCACCCACCTCAGCCTCCCGAAGTGCTAGGATTACAGGCAGGAGTCACCAAGCCTGGCCTTTTCTTTTTAGCTTTCCGTTACTGAGAATTAAAACATATATAACAGTACCCATTATTGAGGTGCAGCAATTACTAATGCATGGCCGAACTTTCCACATACCCATTCATCCCTCTATCCATATTATTTTGAAGCATATTCTAGAAAGAAGATAAATCCATCCATATTATAGTATATCATTATTACAATTTTAATTTAAAATTACATTATGTGCCTAAGTAAGTCAGAATACTGTATTATCTGTGCATAGAGGTTTTAAAAATCTTAACTTGGCTTCGACTGCAGCATACGTACATCCTTAAAGCCAGTGTGATACTTTACAAAGTGGACATTACACAAACACAATTACACGTGCTTAGAAATACAGTAAATAACTTAGATTGCTCATTCCTGGAAGCTCCTATCCATTCTCTAAAGGCTGTTTCTTTTTATCTTAGTGTTTACTTCTGAATTTTTCTCAAAGTTGATGTTTTATTATTCTTCTATGCTTTTATCCCTGATCCAGGTTAAATTTTTCCCCTAAGACCTGGACAGTTTTTTGTTTTTCTTTTTTTTTTGTCCTTTTATAGTCTCTCTCTCGCTCGCTCGCTCTCTGTTTCTCTCTATTTCTCCTGTTTCCCTCCCACTTTCCTCACTTTCTGCCTCCCTTTCCCTTCCTCCCTAGCTCTTTCTGATCTTCAGTGCACAGTTTGACTTTTTGAGAAATGTAACCAATACCGATCAATATGCAGACACTGATATCACCAAGAAAATTCCCCGTGCCCTTTCCTGGTAAATCCTTGCTTACCTCCTCCACCCAGAGGTAATGACTGTTCGATATCTGCCATTATAGATTTGATTGGACTGTTCTAGAATTTTGTGTAAAAGAAATTATACAATATTGTATGCTTTTGCGTCTGTCTTAGCACAGCATCATGTCTGTGAGATTCATCAATGTCATTGTGTGTATCAATAGTTGGTTTCTTTTATTTTTCTTTGCTTAATTTTAATCCATTGTGTAAATATATCACAATTGGATCAAACATTCCCATGTTGATAGACATTTGAGTTGTTTACAGGATTTGACACTTATGAGTAAAACTGCTACAAATATTTTTGTGTGAGTATTTTTGAGAGTTTCTATTTTTATCTCGGGTAAATACATGATCAGTTTTATCTTTTTGGATCTATATTTTTACCTTTCTTTGGTAAATACTTGGTAAGTCTTATAGAGGTTATTAATTTCATTTACCTATTCAAAAACTCAGCTTTTGGTTTTTCTTGACTGTCTTTTTTGTTTATCTGTTTTCTTTTTTTTATTGGTTTCACTCTTTATGCCTACCTTCTGCTTACTTGAGGTTTAATTTACTCTCCTTTTACTTGTTTCTTATGATGGAAATTTAGATAATTGATTTGAGTGCTTTCCTCTTTTCTAATATTAGAGTTTAATGTGATAATTTTCTCTCTAAGCACTGCTTTAGCTGCGTCCCTCATATTTTGATTTGCTGTTTCTCACTTATATTCAGTTTATTTTTTCCTGATTTTTCCAGTGACCTTTTTTTGATCAATTTTATTTAGAAATGTGATTTAAATTTCTGTATATTGGGTGGTTGTTTCCAGACATTATTCGCCTATTGATTTCCCTTTCCATTGTGGACAGAGAACCTACTCTGAATGATTTCAATCCTGTTTAATTTATTGAGGACTATTTTATGGGCCAGAATATGATCTATTCTAATGAATAATCTGTGTTCACTTGAAAAGAAAATATTTTCTTTTGTTATTGAATGAAGTGTATAAATTACATTTAGGGAAAGTTGGTGGTAATATTTTTAGAGTCTTCTGTAATACATCCTGAATTTTCTATCTATTTATTCTATCAATTATTGAAAAAGGGGTGTTGGAACTTTTAACCTGTAATGGCTATGGTAGTTATCTATTGCTACCTAGCAGATTACCACAAAATGTAGTGACATAAAGCACCTATTTATTATTTCAGAATTTCTGCAGGTCAAGATTCTGGATGTGCTTAGCTGGGTTCTCTGGCTCTGGATCTCTCACAAGTCTTCAGTCTTCTCAAGGCTTGATGGGAAGGACTCACTTCCTGGTTCATACATGTGCTTCTTGGCAGGACTCAGTTTCTCTTGGGTTGTTGGGCCGAGGCCTCAGGTTTTAAGAGCTGTTGCACAGTTGGTTCTTTTCACATGAGCATCTCACAATCTGGCAATGGTTTCAAAAATGTGAGGAACTGAAAGAAGAAGTGAGAGTTCCAGGGAGATAGGGAGTTCTAGCAAGACCTTGTATCCTAATCGCAAATGTCACATCCTATCACTTTTACGATATTCCATTGATTAGAAGCAAGTCATGAGATTCAGCACAAACACAAGTGCATGAACACTAGGAGATGGAATCATTGGGAGCCATGTCAGAAGCTGCCTATTACAATAGTGGATTTGTGGCAGTCTCTTCTTATTTCTATCGGTTTTTACTTAATGCATTTTGAAGCTTTTTATTAGGTGCATAAACATGTAGGATTCTTACAATCTCTTATAAAATGGACTCCCTTTTCACTATCAAATGGCCTTAATCTTTTCTGTGTTCTCTCCTGATTTTCTCTCTCTCTCTCTCTCTCTCTGTGTGTGTCTTATTTGTCTTGAACAGTCTTGCTTGAGGTTAATCCATTTTGTTGATACTGTCAAAGAAACAAACAACTTTTGGCATATATTTGGATCTTGCTTTTTAATGTCTTCTGAAAATCACTATACTTTAAATGGGATGTTAAGTTAATTAACAGTTAATGTAATTCTTAATATGGTTGGATTTAGGTTTCCTATATTGTTATTTAATTTCAACTTGTCTCCTTTGTCCTCCTTTTCTGTCTTTGTTGTGAGTCATAGGATATTTTTAGAATCTTAAATATATTGGCTTTTAGCATAGCTCTTTGAATTATTGTTTAATGGTTGCTATAGGAATTACAACATACATTCTTACCTTTTTACAATCTATTTAGAGTTTCTATTGTACCACTTTGTGTAAAGTATATAAATCTTTCAAACATATAGGTCAATGTATCCCCCCACCTTAACCTTGATGATAAAACTTTTGTATATATTTTTTCTATTTATGGTATAGGCCCCATGCTTTAGTCCAATTTTTGTTGTTATAATGGAATACCTGAGGCTGGGTAATTTATAAAGAAAAGTGGTTTCTTTAGCTCATGATTCTGCAGGCTGGGAAGTTCAAGGACATGGCACTGGCTTCTACTTAGCTTCTGGTGAGGGCTTTTACACTGTGTCAAAATATGGTGGAAGGTCATAGAAAAACAGACTCCTATAAAGAGGGACCAAACATTAGTAGGAACCTCCCTTTATACAAATCCATTCTCAGGGGAACTAATTCATTCCTGTGAGAATTAATCCAGTCTCTCAAGAGTGAGAACATACTTGCTACCTGGAGAACAGCACCAAGCGATTCATGAAGAATCCACCCCATGACCCAAACACCTCCCACTAGGCACCACCTCCCAACACTGCCATATTGGGGACCAAATTTCAACATGAGTTTTGGCATGGACAAAACACATGCAAACAATAGCATCCCATAATGTTGTAATTTTTTTTTTAAACAGTAATATGCATTTTAAAAAAATTAAGACGGATCAATAGTGTTTTATATTTACCCAGATGTTTGCTATTTCTGAATTCAGAGTCCAGAGTGCTTACCATTACACCATGGAACCCCACAATGATGTTTGCTATTTCTAATGCTCTTATCTCTTTTTAAATATCTGAGCTTTTGTCTAGTATCATTTCCTTTTATCCTGATGAAATTCTATAACCTACAATTTGGTAAATATATGTTTTACCAAATTTCGGATATAGTCATCCACTATGTATTAGAATATTATTTCTGCCCCATTTTCTTACTCTTGTCATAATAAACTTTAATTACAATATATTAAACCATTTGGTATTGTTCCATAGGAACCTGAGGCCCTGTTAATTTTTTCAATCTATTCTCAGATTATTATTATTATTTTTTTTTTTTTCCTGAGACAGGGTTTTGCTCTGTTGTAGAGGCTGAAGTGCAGTGACATGATCACAGCTCAATGCAGCCTTGACCTCCTGGGCTTAAGTGCTTCTCCCACCTCAGCTTCCAGAGTATCTGGGAATACAGTCATGCACCACTATGCCCAGTTAATTTTTGTAGTTTTTTTTTTTGTAGAAATGGGATTTCACCATTTTTCACAGGCTGATCGACTCAAGCCATCCACCCCTCTTGGCCTCCCAAAGCATTGGGATTATAGGTTTGAGCCACCATGCCAGATGCAGACTGCATTCTTTATAGTTATCTATCTTCAAGTTTACTGTCTCATTTGATTGTCATCTCCATTCTGCTTTTGAGCCTGTGCTGTGATTTTTTATTTCATATATTTTATTTTTAAATACTAGTATTTAATTTTAGTTATTTTTGGTATTTTTTACTTCTTTTTTGAGATTTCCATTTTTTACTCTGAGAATATTTTCTTTTATGTCATTGAGCATTTTTTTTTTTTTTTTTTTTTTTTTTTTTGAGATGGAGTGTCACTCTGTCGCCAAGGCTGTAGTGCAGTGGTGCGATCTCGGCTCACTGCAACCTCAACCTCCGCCTCCCAGGCTCAAGCGATTCTCCTGCCTCAGCCTCCTGATGTCATTGAGCATAATTACAATAGCTTTTTCAGAATTTTTGTCTGCTCATGCCAATGCCTTGATTGTCTTGGAGTTGGTTTCTGCGTTTTTTTTTCTTGAGGATGGGTCACATTTTTTTTGTTTTTGTTTTTTTGAGTAATTTGGGATTTTACCTGAACACTGTGTATATAATTTTGGAAATAACCTATTTTAAATTCTTCCAAAGAGTGTTGATTTTTTCATTTGATTGTATTAGCAGGTAATAAACTTGGTTGCAGTCAAACTGCAAACAATCTGTTTTGCAGCAGCTCAAATCTCAGTATAGTTATTTCATTCTTAATTAGCTTCTGTGGTCTGCCTCATGGGTGTGTGGTTTAGGGTTCCGCAGAGCTTGTAAAGAAAACTTGGGGTTTCTTTTCTTTGTCTCTCCTTTCTGGGATTATTCCTTTACTTTTCACAAGCTGTGGTATCTTTGAACTCTATCCTTTGTTTCTTTGAGTCAGAAAATCTGCGGATTTTCTATAGGAATTGTATCCACTCTGCATGGTGCCTTCTGCAGCATTCTTTTAGCTTAAGAGCTATAAAAAAGGTAAAATACTCTGTGTTATTCCATTTTAAAGTGTTGACCACCCCTGATATCCATTCGCTTTTGTTCACTCTATGGTGCTTTCAGATGATTGTTTTGTTATAAAGGCAGTCCTTGCTACGCACAGTCCTTGCTATGCACAGTACTGCATCAATGGAAACCTGTGAATTTTGTAACTGCATCTTCTCTTTGCACATTAGCTGATACTATAGAACTATATAAAGCAATGACATAGTTCTCATATGCACGACTTTTAACATGGTTTTAGGTAACATGCGGACTGCCTATATTTTTGTCCAGAGTCTATAGTTGTCTTCAGAAGGATTATTCTTGCTGGATCTTTCTTGTCCACATCAGAAGAGGAACTCTTTCTCCTGATCATTTTTTATAATGGTCTCATGCTTTTTTACTTCATAGCACTTTTCACAAATTTATAACTATTTATAGTTCTAACTATGTCTGTGTACTTATTTTCAGACTGTTTTGTTAAAATTTTGTGACAAATAGGAAGCAATCAATAGATATGCATGGAATGAAAGGGTGAAACATTGCATGACTAAATGATGTCTTCCATTATGGTAAAACAGGTAGCAAAATGGTTTTAATTACAGTCCCAAAAGATACTTCCAGGGACTGCAATCAGGTAAACAGTATCATCACAGGGGTCCACATAAGATCTCTATGGTTGTTTAAGAGCTAAAATAGACATTTTATTTGGAAATTATAATAACAAGACCACTTCAGTCCTACTTTTAGATATTTCTGAATAATGCCTAACTGGGGAGATGGGAAGGGCTTGACATGTTACTATTCAATAATAAAGCAAAGTTTTAAACACAGATTTTTGTGTCATCAAATGATTAAGAATCAGTGTTTGTACAGTTTTAACAGATCACAATAATGCCATATTTATATGATTAGAGAGCAGATCTCAAATTTAACAGTTTAGAGACTCTCTTTATATCAGACGGCTACTGTAGCACTTAGCATAGGGTAGATGCTCAAGAAATGTTAGTTTATGTCTTTATCACCTCATCCTTCTACTATTCATAACAAATCAAACAAGTACCCTTTCCAAACAGCTCAGTTTGCTAGTTTTCAAGTATAGATGTAACCCTCTATGTTAATAAAGCTTAATGAAGCTTAGGTGGAAATTGTCATTTGTATATTACTTAAAGCAAACTGTAGAGCAGATAAGAGTGGAACATTTATTGTAAAATGAATAAGAACATATGGATCTTCTGTTTAGTTTTCTGGATTCGCTTTGCTTTTGCCCTGGTGAATGAAGGTACAAATAATAAAGGACCTCGATTAAGATTTTAAGCTAAATTTCTCCAGGCGCTAATTTCTTGGCTAGAGTAGAGCAGGTCTTCATAAATGGTCTGCATCATTCTTAAGCGAAGTCTAATTCAAGCTATTTCCTTCATGAAGGACCTCTTCAGATTTACATATTTTCATTCACTAAGTGTGTGACATTAGAGTGGGTGGTATCATAAAATTTAATTAACTGAAGTCAAATAAGGCAGATGGGATTGCTACAGATAGATGGTATGAATTTCCCTATTTTCGGGATGTAGATTTAGTGGGATTATATATCACTGTCTCTCAAACTTTAATGTGCATAAGAATCACCTGGAAATCTGGTTAAAATGCAGATTCCGATTCAGCAAGTTTGGAATAGAATCTGGGTCTGCATTTCTAACAAGATCCCAGGTGATGCCTGTACTGCTGATCTGAAGACCACACTTCAGCTTGCTAGATTATACTACAGACTTGTTTGCTATGTCAACTGAGATGGGGCTTAGGATATTTGCTGTTATTTCCTCCCTTTTGAAAAGGTAGTTAATGCAAACCTGGAAATCTTTACATTTGCTAGGTAGAAAACTTTGTGTATTAGGTTGGCACAAAAGTTTTTGTGGTTTTTACCATTACTTTCAATGGCAAAAACTGCAATTACTTTGGTACCAACTTAATAAAATAAATTCCAGGTGATATTAGTGAGGACACTCCATGATTTTAGAATTTCTTGGAATTTTTAATTTTGACACATTTTTAGTACACCTGAAATATTCAATAATAAGATCTTTTTGTTTTTTTCAATGATGTAGTGTTTATATATAATAAAATGTGCTCACTGAAAGGGAACTTAGCTGTCATTCCAATTTCTCATTGCTCAAATAAGGAGACTGGGGCTAGTTTAATTACAGGACTTGACCACTTACATGTTCTGAGGCTCTTTAACATGCAAAAAGAAATTATATTGATTTGGAAGAAGATCATACTGTGGTGCTACCCCAAATATATTAAATTAACTGCTTTGATTGGGACTTAATCAATCAGTTCCATAAAACAGAATTATTTTCCCACTGCTTTGAACCCGTTACGTTAGCATTAGTAGGCACAATATATTCAGAGACCTCTTTTGCTAAGAAAACTAGCACTACTCATTTCTGTTCAAGGTATTAATTGGGAACACTTAATTAAATGGTAAAAATTATTCTTTGATAATAAACATTCAGTTTACAGAGCTAAGCTCTGCCAAATCAGAAGATATTGCTTGCAATATTCCAGCAAAGCACATGAATAAAAGAGACATGATTAAATTGAGAAGATAACTAATATGTCTGAGGATAAATTAAAAACATGGTAAGTAATATAAATGACTAGATCTCTTCAGTTTTTCAATGCGATGTTCAAATTGAAACCTTACTATTTTATCTGTCTGTTTTTTTAAGTGAAGTTTTACTTAAAATTAAAATGGATACAACTCTGACCTCTCACCTAGGCTTGCATTTTTCGCTGCAAACAGCATATTTCCTTTCTTATGTCTATTTATGCTTCAAATTGAAAGCCTCTAAAACTGAACTCATATTTTCTATTTTCTCTAAGAGCTTTCCATGTTGAACAAAGTAAAAATGTAATTCTCCCAACATAAAATTGGAATTGTCTGACTTTCTTCTCATTAGCTTGATATATCAGCCAGTTTCACTGATTCTTTTTTCCAGATTTTGTTAGTCTATGAATTCTTGCTATTCTATGACATCACCTTGCTGAAGCTATGATTAGCTCACACCTATTTTACAAACATCCCCTCTATTGATTTTTCTTCTTCCAGCCTATCTCACTTTTAATTCATTTGTAATTGTTAACACTAGATCATTCCTTTTAAACCATTATTGTGCTCACTTTAACTTGAACTCCTGAAACAGTTTTCCATTATCTGTAGAATGATACACAAAATTTTTAGCCTACTGTTCAAGGCTATTTATAATTCTGCTCCAAACTACCTTTCAAGCTGTACTTTGTACTAATCTCAACATAAACCCTCTGCTGTAATCCAATTGCTTGATTCTATCTCCCAAACATGTAATGTACTCTGTGTCCCTTATATCTTTTGCCATTTTCTTAGCCTTATAGGCATTCCCTTCTCCTGTGTTCTGGTAGAAGTAAATTTAAGTGGAAAGTGAAAAGTACAAAATTTTTGACTGGGAAGAATCTTTAGAGTTAATTTAGTTCAACTTCTTACCTCTTGTACCATTTTAACATTGAAGAAACTAAAAATCAGAAAAATGTAGGTTTATATTTACTAATATCTAATGAGAATTACACTAATAATTACAAAACTCAGTTATTTAAAAAATTATGTGATTCATTTCACATCTACCATATTATATAAGTTTACATCAAGTTAAAATTTTCTAAAGACCAAAAATCTGCTCAATTTGACTATCATAATCTATCTCAAGAAAATCCAAATGAAGCTCAATTTCCTAGATGTTCTATGGACTGGCTAGCAACAAGTTCTGAACTGACTTCATTGACTCTTAAGATTTTCCTGGTTCCAATAAAGAAATGTTCACTTTGTCTTGCTGATATCATGATCAGTTCCAGTAAAAGTTCAGAAGCTGGGCTTTAAGTATCATGTTAAAATCTCTCAAGCCTTATTTGTGTGTGTGTGTGTGTGTGTGTGTGTGTGTGTGTGTGTGTGTGTTGAGGGGGTTGCGGACAAATTAGATGACTGTAAAAAGTAGGTCAACTAAAATTTGGTAAAAATAGCTTTTTATAAGAAATGATAGTGATAGAGGAGAATTATTCTCCTTTATACTAAGGATAAATAGAACTTGCCACATACAAGTTGATATTCTTCTTCATTCTGGGGACCCATTAAACATTTATTATTGAAAAATGTATGTTTTTATAGATACATAATAATTGTACATCTTTATGGGGTACATGTGATATTTTGATACATGCATACAATGTGTAATGATACATCAGGGTAATTGGGTTATTTATCATTTCAAACATTTACCTTTTCTTTGTGTTGGGGACATTACAATTCTTCTCTTCCAGCTATTTAAAAAAAATAATTATTGCTATCTACAGTTACCCTACTGTGCTATTGAACACTAGAACTTATTCCTTCTAAGTGTATTTTTGTACCCATTATAGATTAACATTCTTAAAAGTAAGAATTAAAACATATGCTATGTTCACCTTGAAATAACCTACTACAGATGATTGTATTGTTTATAGAATATTTTCTTAGTCAGGTGGCACTACCGTAAAGTGATTCAGCTGCAGATATTCCTGATTATTTGATATAACCTAAGGTTAAAAAGGATATGATTTGCAGACAACATTTGTACTGCAGTTTAAGTTTTACACACAAAATAATTGCAGATATTTGATAACTTGTTATAACTTATGAAAATAATATTTTCAGTTGACAAAGTATCAATATAATAAAATAGTATACAAATTCTCAAAAAAGAGTGAACACCTATGAGATAAAGAGTCCTCTAGAGAATTTTTTTTCAGCAAGTTCCAGACAGGGAAGATCAAGATGTCACCTCTTCTCCAACATAATGGCACTCTCTATACCCCAGAGCTTAGAATCAGGGAGAGAAATCACAGGGAGAGGGAAGAGGAAGGGGAAGAGAACAAGTAAGAATATGAAATTTTTATTGGCTGAGTGAAATCCTCAATCAATTGGGTTTACTTAGAAAAGATTAAGCTTGCATATGCTGTCACCAAGTCAATTGTTGGCTCAACAAAAATATATTTTTTAGGAAAATAAAGGAAGTTACTTCTATGTGTACCTGAGTACATCGACTGTGCCATAATAATTGATGATTCTCGGAAAGAAGTCTATCAACAGTAAGTTAGATGTTCTATTCAAATCTGTTTTCTGCAGAGAATATCCAGTACCCCAGTGCCTAGTGAGTTATAAAGCTGGTTATGTTGTGTGTGATTCTTTTGCTGTAAAGATATTTTACTATATACAGGTAACTTGTTGTGATCTGTGGTTTAGTCTGAGTCTGGAATTATAAAATTAATGATTGTTTATGTCCACGAAAAGCCAGTTAAAAGAAGGTTCACAGCAGCTTTATGCATAATGGCCAAAAACTTGAAGCAATCCAAAAATCCATCAGAAGGATAATGAATAAAAAAATTGGTATATTTACATAATGGAATGCTACTCAGCAATAAAAAAGAATAAACTTCTTGCTTATTATTCCTGTTTTAGAACCAACATGTAAAGAGCTTGGAACTCACTATTCCTGTTTATTCTTGCTGAATACATTGAACATTAATGACTTTCTTTGGATCCATCAAAAAACTGAGGTTGGAGCTAAGTGTCCATAAGCGGATGAATGGATAAAGAAAATGTGGCATATAGACAATGGAATACTATCACTTTTTAAAAGGAAGGAAATTCTGTCATTTGGGACAACATGGACATTATGCTAGGCGAAATAAGCCAGACACAGAAAGATGAATAACATGTGATCTCACTTATATGTGGAATCCAAAAAGTAGAACTCATAGAAGGAAAGAGTAGAATGGTGCTATGGGAGGCAGATGGATAGGGAAAAGGAAGACAATGGTAAAAGGGTACAAAATTTTAGCTAGACAGGAGGAATAAGCTTTAGTGATTTATTGCACAGAATGGTGACCGTAGTTAATAATAATGTACTTTAGATTTCAAAATTGCTTAAAGACTAGATTTTAAATATTCCCACAAAAAATTGATAAGCATGTGAAGTGATGAATATGTTAATTAGCTTTACTTAATCATTCCACAATGTAAACATATACCAAAACATCACACTGTACCCATGAATATATACAATTATTATTTGTCAATTAAAAATGAAACAAAAGTTGAAAAAACTGAGGTTATGGGAAGATTTAAATGATAATTTTGATGAATTGTTGGAAGCTGAATGTGGACTAGTATGAGGGTAAGAAATTCTTGGGGATGCATTTTGGGGGGCCCCAAACTTTTGTGGGTATTACTTTCAGGAACTCCTCCAAATTTTCATGATGAAGAGCTAAGAAACATCTCCTTATGGCTCTGGAAGGAGGAGGAGTAGGGTAATCATTGTGCAAAAAGCCCAGAGCATTCTCCATAACAAAGGTCTACTCTCCAAGGAAGACTATATCTTATAGCAGAGCGTTATCTCAGCTGGGGTAAGCACACTGCTCTTACTTCAGCTCTCTTGAGCCTTGGCATCTTACCTAAGGGTGAAAAAATGTTATGATATTAGAGATGCACTTATGGTCACAGCACAGAGACATATACCTAAAACTTTAATAACTAAAATAAAATGGACCAATTCATTGAAGATACAAACTATAAAAACTCATGCAAAGAAAATTAGATAATCTAAATAGGCCTATATTTCCTGAAGAAATTAAATCAATAATTAGTAACTTTTCAGAAAAAGAAAGCACCAGGCTCAGATGGTGTTATGGGTGAGTTTTACTGAACATTTAAAGAGGAAATAATACCAATTCTTTACAGTATCTTTCAGAAAATAGAACTAGAGGGAACACTTCCTAATTTATTCTGTGAAGCTAGCATTACAACAATAATAAAACTAGTTGAAATTTATGTCCATGTAAAAACCTGCATTTGAATGCTTAAAGAAACATAATTACTCCAAATTGTAAAAAGCCAAGATGTCATTCAATAAGCCAATGGATAAACGATGTACATCCATACAATGTAATATTATTTAGTAATAAAAAGAAATGAGCTATGAAGCCATGAAAAGACATGAATAAATCTTAAATGCATATTACTAAGCGAAAAACATCAGCATAAAAAGTCCACATAATGTATGATTTTATTATGTGACATGAAATAAAGCAAAACAATGGAAACCATACAAAGATCAATATTTGCTAGGATTTTTTTTGAGGTGGGGAGGGAATGTTGAAAAGGTAAAGCACAGGGAATTTTTCAGGGTGCTGAATCTATTCTGTATAATATTGAAATAATAAGTATATGACACTGTGCATTTGTCAAAATCTATAGGGCCTTACAGCTATAAAGTAATGCTTAATGTATGTACATTAAAAAGTAATTTAAAAAGTTAAGGGATGGAATACAGAATGTGACAAAACAATCTCAATCTAATTGTAGGAGGTAAGGGCAAAATGTGCTGAGATAAGTAGCTTTGAAAATGTGTGGAGTCTGTAAGATTATTGGCAAAACTGTACTAAACATTGTATTCTAGTGGATAAAATTGTTCCCACAGAGGTATGGGTTAATAATTCTGATACCACCACACATATATATTGGAATTAAACAGTTATGTAAATGGATGGTGGATGTTGGGAGCCACATGTCCCACTTTTGGAACGTGAGATGGTAGATGAGTAAGCAGAGGAGGCTAGAATGAGACAGGGGTAACAGATTAGAGTGTGAGAAATCAGTATGAACTGATGCTTAGCTTAATATAGATACATATGGTATTGTAGGTGTATTCATTTGCTAGGGCTGCCATAATAAGATGCCACAGACTGAGTGGCTTAAATATTAGAAATTAATTTTCTAATGGTTCTGGAGGCTAGAGTTCAAGATCACAGTTTCTGCCCGTTTGGTGTCTTCTGAGGCCCCATTCCTTGGCTTGCAGGTGGCTGCCTTCTTGCTATGTCCTCACATGGTCTTTCTCTCTGTGTGCATGAACCTTTAGTATCTCTTCCTCTTATAAGGACACTAATCAGATTGTATTAGGGACCACCCTAATTGACCTCATTTAAGGCCCTATCTCCAAATATAGTCAAATGCTGAGGTATCGGGGGTTAGGGCGTAGGCATGTGAGTTTTGCAGGGGCATAATTTAGCCCACTGTAGGCTTAATAATGGTATTTCAAAGAAATCCACATCCTAATCCTAATAGACTGTGAATACATTATTTTATGTGAAAAAGGGATTTTGCAAATGTGATTAAGAATTTTGAGTTGAGAACATTATCCCAGATTATTCAGGCAAACCCAATGTAATCACATGAGTTCTTATAAGAGGGATACAGGAGAGTCAGAGCCAGAGAAAGAGGTGTGACAATGGAATCAGAGGTAAGCGCAATGTGGAGCCATGAGCCAAGAACATGTGCCAAGGAACTTACAGCCTCTATAACATAAAATGTCAAGGAAACAATTCTGCCCTAGAGCATATGGAAGGATGACAGCCAAGCTAACTCATTTTAGAATTCGAGCCTCCAGAACTAGAAAGATAATACATTTTTGGCATTTAGATTTTTGGCAGTGTGTTACAGAAGCAACAAGAAACTAATACAGATGCTTACATATATAAATATTTATAGATATGTATGTATACATGGGTTAGTATACAACCATGTATTTCCCTGCTCTGTCAGCTGACGGGGACTAGAATTAATGGCACCCGAGTTACAATGAACATATCTAGCACTCAGATCTTCATTTTTAATACCATTCTCCAATAAAAGGATCCAGGAATCCTTGGAGAAATGGCTGATTCTAGGACTGGAGGTGGAAATACATGAGATGAGCCTGGAACTTCTTATTGTGCTAGAAAGTAAAGAAGTCAAACTATGTCTCTTCACTGACAATATGATTCTATGTTTACAAAACCCTAAAGACTCTACCAAAAGGCTACTAGAACTGATTAATGATTTTAGCAATTTTTCAGGATACAAAATCTATGTAAACAAATCAGTAACATTTCTATACACCAATAACATCTAGGCTGAGTCAAATCAAGAACACAACCCCATTTACAATAGCCACAAAGAAAATGAAATATCCAGGAATACAGCTAACCAAGGTGGTAAAAGATCTCTAAAGGAGAACTACAAAATATTGCTGAAAGAAATCAGAGACAACAGAAATAAATGGAAAAAACATTCCATGCTCATGGTTTGGAAGAATCAATATAATTAAAATGGTCATACTACTTAAAGCACTTTACTGATTTAATGCTATACCTTTTAAACTACCAATGTCATTCTTGACAGAATTAGAAAAAAAAACTGTTCAAAAATTCATATGAAACCAAAAAATAGCCTAAATAGCCAAAGCAATCCCAAGCAAAAAGAATAAAGTCAAAGATATCACACTATCCTACTTCAAACTATACTACAGGCTACAGTAACCAAAACAGCATGGTACTGGTACAAAAACAGACACATAGACCAATGGAACAGAATAGAAAATTTAGAAATGAAGCCACACACCTACAACTATTTGATCTTCAACAAGGCCGACAAATACAAGCAATGGGGAAAGGACTGCTTATAAAATAAATGGTTCTGGCATAATGGCTAGCCATATGGAGAATGAAACTGGACCCTTACCTTTCAGCATGTACAAAAATTAGCTCAAGATGGATTAAAGATTTAAATGTAAGACCTGAAAGAATAAAAAGCCCAGAAAAAAACCTAAGAAATATTCTTCTCAACATCAGTCTTGCCAAATAATTTTTGGCTAAGTCCCCAAAAGTAATTGCAATGAAAACAAAAATTGACAAGTGTGACCTAATTAAACTAAAGAGCTTCTGCCCAGCAAAGAAACTGTCAACAGAGTAAACAGACAACCTACAGAATGGGATATAATATTTGCAAACTAGGTATCTGAAAATGTTTAATATCCAGAATCTGTAAGGACTTTAAACAAATCAACGAGCAAAAACCAAATAACCAATTAAAAAGTGGGCAAAAGACATGAACAGGCACTTCTCAAAATAAAATATAAAAGTGGCCAACAAACATGAAAAGATGCTCATCATCACTAATCATTACAGAAATGCAAATCAAAACCACAATGAGATACCATCTCACACCAGTCAGAATGGCTATTATTAAAAAGTCAAAAAACAACAGATGCTGATTAGGCTGCAGAGAAAAGGTGGGAATGTAAATTAGTTCGGCTACTGTGGAAAGCAGGTTGGAGATTTCTCAAAGAACTTAAAACAGAGCTACAACTTGACCCAGCAATCCCATTACTGGGTATATACCCAAAGGAAAATAGATAATTATACCAAAAAGACACATGCAGTCATGTGTTCATTGCCATGCTATTCAAATAATGAACACATGTGTGTTAGTCAAGGTTCTCTAAAGGGACAGAACTAATAGGATGTACGTATATATGAGGGGGAGTTTATTAGGAAAGAAATCAGAGACAACACAAATTAGGAGAATTAGGAGAATTGACTCACAGTATCACAAGGTGAAGTCCCACAATAGGCTGTCTGCAAGCTGAGGAGCAAGGTAGCCAGTCCAAGTCCCCAGACCTCAAAAGTTGGGAAGCTGACAGTGTAGCCTTCAGTCTGTGGCCGAAGGCCTGAGGGCCCCTGGCAACTCACTGGTGCAAGTCTAAGAGTTCAAAAGCTGAAGAACTTGGAGTCTGATGTTTGAGGGCAGGAAGCATCCAGCAAGGGAGAAAGATGAAGGCTGGAAGACTCAGCAAGTCTTCTCATTCCACTTTCTTCTGCCTGCTTTATTCTAGCCACACTGGCAGCTCATTAGATGATGCCTACTCAGATTGAGGGTGGATCTGCCTCTCCCAGTCCACTAACTCAAATGTTAATCTCCTTTGGCAGCACCCTCACAGACACATACAGGAATAATACTCTGCATCCTTCAATCCAATCAAGTTGACACTCAATATTAACCATCACAACATGGAATCAACCTAGGTACCCATCAATGATGGATTGGATAAAGAAAATGTAGTATATGTACACCATGAAATACTACACAGTCATAAACAAATGAAATCGTGTCCTTTGCAGCATAATGGATGGAACTGGAGGCCAATAATCCTAAGCAAATTAACTCAGTAACAGAAAACCAAATAATAAATGTTCACACTTGTAAGTGGGAGCTAAACATTGAGCATATATGGACAGTAAAATGAGAACAATAGACACTGGGGACCCTACTATGGGGGGATAGAGAAAAGGGACATGGATTGAAAGACTACCTATTGGGCACAATGCTCAGTACCTGGGTGCAACGTAACAAACCTGCACATTTACCCCCGTACCTAAAATAAAAGTTGAAATTTAAAAAAAAAGAAATGCTCAAAAAGAAAAGAAAAAAGCAAAATAAAAATTCATGGGAGAATGTCAAAGAGACACAGGAGTTGAAACAATTTGAGCAAAAAAAATACTGGATTGAAGTCCAGAGTATAAAGTAAATATACAGACTCTGTGCTGATATAAATGATTAAATAAGTAAGTAGATAAATTAGGGGAAACAGACAGCTCCTGTAGAGAAGAATCCAAGTAATTTATATAGCTAGCCCATCGTCAAGGAGGCAGAGCATAACTTCCCATTCTTTCAGTATGGGCATATAGTCATTCCCTGACAAAAAGTAGAGTATGGAAATGGGGGGAAAGTAACTTTACAATGGAGAAATTTGACAAAGACTACTTCAGCTAGCTGCTCAAGGTTAGTATCAAGAGTGACAAATTATGTGATTATATTTACTCTTGATAAGATCAGATGAAAATTGCACCTGACCATCATGGCTTTCCTTCTGAAACCTCATAATTACTATCTAATTATGAGAAAAACATCAGATAAATTTCAGTAGAAAGGCATCCTACAAAATGCCTGACCAGTACTCCTTAAAACTGTTAAGGTCATTAAAAACAAGGGAAGTTTAGAAAGCTGACACAGCCACAGACAAGCCTAGAGAGGTATAATGAGCATAGTGTGGTGTCCTTTATGGGATCCTAGAACTGAAAAAAGACATTAGGTAAAAATTAAGAAAATCTGAGTAAAGTATGGGCTTTAGGCAATAAAAACAAAGAAGAATAAATGACTGTTACACATGAACAAGTCTTAGGGAACTAATGTTGAGCAAAAGAAGCCAGATAAAAGAGAGAACATATATGTGAAACTTAAAAGGTGGCAAAACTGATCTCGAATTACAGTCAAAATAGGGGTTACCTTTGGAAGGGAGTATATCTGGAAAGGAGGAAAAATGTGCATGCTAGGGTAATGGAACTGATCTGTTTCTTATCTGGGTGGCAGACACATGAATATTACATTAATAAGCATGTATCAAACTATACACTAATGCAGTCAATTTTTCCCTCAGCAAAAATATTAAAAATAGAAATAAAGAAATCACAGAATTTAAAAACTTTGCTTGTTCTGAAAAGAAGGGCTATTTTCCATAATTCAGATGATGTATATATATATTTTAAAATGGCTCTATTGAAATCTAACTTAAATGCCTTATAATTCACTCATTAAGTATTCAATGATGTGTGATCACTCCCACAGTCAATTTTAGAACATTTTCATAAACTCAAAAAGAAACCTCCTGGCCTTTAACTATTATCCCTCTAATTACCTAATTATCCTGCTCTCTCCAGCCTTAAGTAACTACTAAATTAATTTCTGTCTTTGTAGATTTCTCTGTTCTGGACACTTTATATGAATGGAATCATATAGTATGTTGTCTTTTGCGACTGGCTTCTTTAACATAGCACAGTGTTTTCAAGGTCCATCCAAGTTGTAGCATGTATAATACTTCTTTCATTTTTATGGCCAAACAATATTATATTTAAAGTCTATATCACATTTTGTTGGTTGATGGACATTTGGATTGTTTTAACCTTTTGGCTATTAAGAATAATGCTACTATAAACATTTGTGTACAAGTTTTTTGCATGGACATATGTTTTCATTTTTCTAGGGTATATACCTAGGAGTGGAGTTGCTGGATTATATGTTAACTCTATGTTTAGTCATCTGAGGAACTACCAGACTGCTTTCCAAAGTGGCTGTACCATTTATATTACCACCAGCAGTGAAAAAGTTATTGATTTCTCTACATCCTCACCACCATTTGTTGTTATGCGACTTTTGGAGTCTAGCCATCCTAGTAGGTATGAGTCATATCTCACTGTGGTTTTGATTTGCATTTTGCTAATGACTGATGATATGAACCATCTTTTCATGTGCTTATGGGCCACTTGTATATCTTTTTTAGAGGAAATGTCTAGTATGTCTTTTGACCATTTTGAAATTGAGTTGTCTTTTTATTATTGAGATATAAGATTTCTTGATAAATTTTGGGTACTAGTCCCTTTTCAGGTACATGATTTCCAAATATTTTCTCCCATTTTGTGGGCTGTCTTTGTACTTTTTAAATTGTGTCCTTTGAAGCACAAAATTTTTAATTTTGATAAAGTCCAAGTTATTTTTTTCTTTTGTTGCTTTTGGTTTTTGTGTTATATCCAGAAATCCTTTGCTGAATACATGGTCATCAAGATTTACTGCTATGGTTTCTTCTAAGAATTTTACAGTTTAGTTCTTATGTCATTCTTTGATCCATTTTGAGTTAATTTTTGTATATGGTTTGAGGTAAGGGTGCCAATTAATTCATTTGTATGTGGCGATCCAGTTATCCCAGCACCAATTGTTGAAAAGAAACCATTGGATGGTCTTAGCATCTTGCCAAAAATCAGTTGACCATAGATGTTTGGGTTTATTTCTGGACTTTCAATTTTATTCCATTGAACTATATGTCTAGCCTCATGCAGCTACAACAGTCTTGATTACTGTGGCTTTCTAGTAAGTTTTGAAATTTAAAAAATTGTGAATCTTTCTACTTTTTTTTTTTCAAAATTCTGTCAGCTATTCTCAGTCCTTTGCAATTCCATATGAGTTTTAGAATCAGTTTGTCAATTTCTACAAAGAAGTCATCTGGTATTCTGATGGTGATTACACTGAATCTGTAGATCAGTTTAGGGAGTATTACCATCTTAAAATAGTCTTCTGATCCATGAATACAGGACATTTTCCCAATTATTCTGATGTTCCTTAATTTCTTTCAACAATGTTCTGTAGTTTTTTTGAGTATTCATTTTACATTTCCTTTGTTAAATTTATTCCTAAATATTTTATGCTTTTTGATGCTGTTGGAAGTGGGATTGTCTTTCAAATTTCATTTTCAGATTGTTCTTTGCAAGGGTCTAGAAATACAATTAATATTCATACGCTGATCTTACACCATGCTAACTTGGTGGGCTTGCTAATTTGTTCTAATACTTTTTCAGTGGATTTTTTAGGATTTTCTTTATGTGGCACATGTCATAGGCAAATAGAATAGTTTTACTTTTTTCTTTCCAATCTGGATGACTTTTTATTTTTTGAGATCTTCTTCCTTAATACAACATAGGCATTTGCAGCTATAAATTTTCCTCTAAACACTGTGTTAGTGCATTCCATAAATTTTTGTATGTTGTATCTTGGTTTTCATTCATTTCAAAGGATTTTCTGATTTTGCTTTTTCATTTCTCCTTTGATGCATTGATTATGTAGGTGTGTGTTGTTTAATTTATACATATTTGTGAGTTCTCAATTTTTATGCTTTTGATTTATAAATTTATTCCATTGTATTTAGAGAAAATACTTTGTATTGTGTTTGTCCTTTGAAATGTATTGAGGTTTCTTTTATGACCTAGCATGTGGTCTATCCTGGAGAATATTTTATGTGCTCTTGAGAAGAATGTATATTCTGTTGCTATGAGTGGAGTGTTCTATATTGCCTTTAGGTATTGTTGGTTCAACTTCATTAATTCTTCTGCCCAGTTAAATCTACTGTTGGGTCCCACTAGTGAATTTGTTATTTCAGTTATTGGACTTTTCAACTCTATAATTTACACTTGACTCTTTTTGATAATTTAAATCTCTTTTTTGATGTTTCTCTTTTTGATGCATCACACAGTGCAGCACATATCAGATAGTCAAAGAAGATTGTTGGGTGAAAAAATGACTATTCATGTAAATGGGTATTGCTTTACCTCCTTTTAATTAGTTTATCTTTTCCAGTTACTTGATTTTTATTTTCACCGTGTTTAGCCTGTTTGTCATTATCACTGTTCCTTTTTAACCCTCTCTCTAAACCATCATCATTTATATGCTTCTTTGCTTACTAGGGTATTCCTAGGATAACTGGAGAAAGTAGGTAAAATATAATGCCAACAGGAGGGGGGAAACAGAAGATTCTCCAGTGTAATTTGCAAATTAAAAAGCCTCATCAATTTTCAAAAACAAATGTAATGGCAATGTTATAGTACTTTAGGGGATCAATAAATATTTGCTAAATGAAGGAACAAAGGGGAAAACACTAAATATTCTTAATAATGAGGATAAATGGGCAGGTACAGAATCCAAAGCAAGTAATGTTCCCCAACAACAGATGAAGCAGAAAGAGAAGGTAACTATTCCCAGAGATTACATAATTATCTGAAGAGCTGATTTGCAGATCTGGGTAACTGAGAAACCAAGTAAAATTTAAACAGTCCTCTAATAGTTAATATTGAAGTTGGGAAACATTTATTTAAATTAAAGTTTTACTTATAGGTTTTAAAATTTATTTACTTTCATCAAAATTTTATATTTATAGATTACAAACTGCATATTATGTATTATATAACATGTTACATATTATACAATTGACATGGTTTGGCTTTGTGTCCCCACCCAAATCTCATCTTAAATTGTAATCCCGTGATCCCCATGTGTCCTGGGAGGGACCTGGTAGGAAGTCATTGGGTCATGGGAGCAGTTTCCCCCGTGCTGTTCTCGGGATAGTGAGTTCTCATGAGATCTGATGGTTTTATAAGCTTCTTGAATTTCCTCTGCTGGCACTCATTCTCTCTCCTGCCACCCTGTGAAGAGGTGCCTTCTGCCATAATGGTAAGTTTCCTGAGGCCTCCCTGGCCATGCAGAATGGAGTCAATTAAACCTTTTTTTAATATAAATTTCCCAGTCTTAGGTATTTCTTCATAGCAGTGTGACAACAAACTAATACAGTAAATTGGTAACAGGAGTGGGGCACTGCTATAAGGATACCCCAAAATGTGGAAGCAACTTTGGACCTGGGTAACTGGCAGAAATTGGAACATTTTGCGGAGGGCTCAGAAGAAGACAGAAAGATGTGGGAAAGTTTGGAACTTCCTAGAGAATTGTTGAATGGCTTTGACCACAATTCTGATAGTGATATGGACAATGAAGTCCAGACTGAGATGGTCTTTGATGGATATGAGGAACTTATTGGGAACAGGAATAAGGTGATTCCTGCTATGCTCTCACAAAGAGACTGGTAGCATTTTGCCCCTGCCCTAGAAATCTGTGGAACTTTGAACTTGAGAGAGATAATTTAAAGTATCTGGTGGAAGAAATTTCTAAGCAGCAAAGTGTTCAAGAGGTGACAGAGCACAAAAGTTTGGAAAATTTGTAGCCTGACAATGCAGTAGAAAAGAAAAACTAATTTTGAGGGGGATAAATTCAAGCCCACTGCATAAATTTCCATAAGTAATGAGGAGCCAAATGTTCATTGTCAACACAATGGGGAAAGTGTCTCCAGGGCATGTCAGAGGACTTCACAGTAGCTCCTCTCACCACAAGCCTAGAGGCCTAGGAGAGAAAAATGCTTTTGTGGGCTAGGTCCAGGACCCCCTTCTGTGTGCAGCCTTAGAACTTGGTGCCTTGCATCCCAGCCACTCCAGCCATGGCTAAAAGGAGTGAAGGTACAGCTTAGGCCATTGCTTCAGAGGGTACAAGCCCCGAGTGTTGGCAGCTTCCATGTGGTGTTTGTCCTGCAGATATGCAAAAAGCAAGAACTGAGGTTTGTGAATCCCTGCCTAGATTTCAGAGGCTGTATGAAAATGTCTGGATGTCCAGGCAGAAGTTAACTGCAGGGGCAGTGCCCTCATGGAGAACTTCTACTAGGGCAGTGCAGAAGGAAAATGTGGGATCAGAGGCCCACACAATGTCCTCACTGGGGAACTGCCTAATGGAGTTGTGAGCTGCCTAATGGAGTTGTGGGGAACTGCCTGTGGAGTTGGGGTCTTCTGGACCCCAAATGGTAGTTCCATCAACAGCTTGCACCATGCACCTGGAAAAGCCACAGTCACTCAATGCTAGCCCATGAAACCAGCCAGGAGTGGGGCTGTTCCCTGCAAAGCCAGAGAAGCAGAGCTGCCCAAGGCTGTGAGAGCCCACCCCTTGCATCAGCATGACCTGGATGTGAGACATGGAGTCAAAGGAGATCGTTTTGGAACTTTAAGGTATAATGACTACACTGTTGGATTTTGAACTTGCATGGGGCCTGTAGCCCTTTTGTTTTGGCCAATTTTTCCCATTTGGAAAGGATGTATCTACACACTGCCTGTACCCCCATTATATCTAGAAGTAACTAACTTGCTTTTGATTTTACAGACTCATGGGCAGAAGGGACTTGCTTTTGTCTCAGGTAAGAGTTTGGACTGTGGACTTTTGAGTTAATGCTGAAATGAGTTAAGACTTTGGGGGACTGTCAGGAATGCATGATTGTATTTTGAAATATGAGAACATGAGATTTGGGAAGGGCTGGGGCAGAATGATATGGTTGGGCTTTATGTCCACACCCAAATCTCATCTTGAATTGTAGCTCCCATAACACCCACGCGTTGAAGGCAGAACAGGTGGAGATAATGGAATCATGGGGGTGGTTTCTCACATGCTATTCTCCTTAAAGTGAGTGAATCTCATGATATCTGATGGGTTTATAAGCATCTGGCATTTCTCTTGTTTGCACTACTCTGTCTTGCCACCCTATGAAGAAGGTGCCTGCTTCTCCTTTACCTTCTGCCATGACTGTAAATTTCCTGAGGCCTCCCCAGCCAGGTGGAACTGTGAGTCAATTAAATCTCTGTTCTTTATATATTACCCGGTCTCAGGCATTTCTTCACAGCAGTGTAAGAATGGAGTAATACAATAATCTAATGGTATAAGGCTATTAAAATAATTTTTGTAAATCAATAGTTATATGCAAAGAAAATTGCAATATATTGTTATTAAGTAGTTTATACAAAAAAGACTTCTGTGTTTATTAGAAAAAGTAAATATGTAGATAGCCATATATACAGGAAACTCTCTGGAAAGATCTGGACAAAATGTTAATTGTAAATGCCTGTAGGCAGTGAGGCAAAGCAGATTTTTAACTTCTTTTGGTATCTTTTTAATGTTGCATATTTGAAAATGAAATAAATCTAAATCAAATTTTAAAAAACAAAATCAAACAGTCTGGCTATTCTCAATAATTTGTCTGTGCTTTTAATACCATCTGCTGCTAATATTCAATGATATTAAACGGTATCTGGGGCTTACACAGGGAGGAAGAATGGTTGGCAAGAGACACTGAAAATGAGAGTGAATTCAGAAAAAAAGAACCCTCCCAGAAATATTTGGAAGTTATAATTAGGTTCCAAGGGAAGGCTGCCTTTCCCTCCTTAAAAATTTCTCTTTACTAATATTGCCTGACATATGAGGAATTTGAGAATGTGGGGCCCCTGAGGTTGCAGCAGCAATGAAAAAATGCTATATCCCAGTGGTGAGAGTAGAAGAAAGAAAGATGACAAGATGATCAATTAGTCTAAAATGATACTCATTGGCATCTATCCAGTAAAGTACCGCATAATCTACTTACCGGGTTTTTAAGTTTTAAAGCAAAGTGAAATCAATTATTTTGAAATCTGCTTAAATCAGCTCTTTGGAATTTGTTCCATGTCTTTCAACAGATTAAACACATGTAAAAATAGATAATATCTATTTTTAATATATTTCACCCCTAATATAACCAGTTGTTGCGCAATATGGTGATTATGAATTGCTAAAATTCATTAATTACATTTTGAAAATATTAAATAATGCCACCATATTTTAAAAGTAAAGTCAATTTGAATTTTTTAGTCCTCAAATTAGTACTTTTTAAAACAGGGAAAGATTATCTGAGGGTGGAGTACAACCCAAAGGAGAACTCTAATTTTTATGGTATTGATGTTGACAAATGTAAAATGACTATAATGAATAAAAAAATAAAATATTTAAAATATAGAGTTTAAATTTTTCCTCTACATCATTAATTCTGTAATACAAAGGTGTTACTGTATTATTAAGAATAAGGTAAAATTGATGTCAGATAACAAATAATAAATAATATAGTATATAGTTTTCAAATGGTTATGTTAATAATAGTCAAGGAAAATGTCAACATCCAAGATAGTAATTGAACTGACTGAAATTTTGGTGGCAGCTGATTTATGGGTTTATCATTTGGCCTCCTTGATTGTGTATGAGGCAATTTCCTTGCAAACCTTAAGACCCTATTTTGGGTATGTATTAGTCCATTCTCACACTGCTATAAGAAATACTTGAGACTGGGTAATTTGTAAAAGAAAAGAGGTTTAATGGACTCACAGTTCCACATGGCTGGGAGGTCTCACAATCATGGCAGAAGGCAAAGGAGGAGCAAAGTCATGTCTTACATGGCAGCAGACAAGAGAGCTTGTGCAGGGGACCCACCCTTTATAAAACCATCAGATCTCATGAGACATTCACTATCACGAGAATAGCATGGGAAAAACCCGCCCTCATGACTGAATTACCTACCACTGGGTCCCTCCCATGAAATGCGGTGATTATGGGAGCTACAATTCAAGTTGAGATTTGGGTGGGGACACAGTCAAACCATATCAGGGTAGTTGCTCCCAGATGAACCTTAGAAAGTAGCTTATAGTTGTTTACAAAAAGTATGCTTTCCTTGAATTAAAAATCCCAAAGGGAAAAAGATGATAAACACACAATTGAGTCATTTTCTGCTTTTAGTGACATAAAATATTTTTATTAAAATAAAGAATAACTGTCCCTGTTTACTTTCTAATGCTTGCGTATGTATCTTAAACATCATATTACTCAGCAACTTGTAAAGCAAATTCAAACTTCTGACTATGATTGGGTTTTTTCCCTCGCCAAACTTTATCTGCTTCCCATCTTTTTTATTTCAGATTTCATCTCACTCACTCTGAACTTTGAATTAATCAAAATTATTCAGTCTCCATGTCTAATTTTTAATTCCATAGCTCACATTTTAAATCTTATTTATAACTCTTTAGGGAAAAATTATTGTCACTTTTCTAATATTCCTATTATTTATGTGAAAATGTTGGGTAACTATAAACTATAAGTGTATACTAGTATTATTGTAATTTTTTTATTTTTTCAAGAAAAAATAATGTTTTAAACTAAAGGTGGAAGTAATATGGACTAATGGAAGTGATACAAATCATTGCTACTATTCATACATCTTGATATGACTCACATTTAGCAGGAAATAAATGATTAACATCAAAACTTCAGCAATCCAGCATGTGAAAACAATTTTAAACATGGCTTCAATTTTTATGGATTGAATGAAGAAACAACCATAGAGAAAAAGCTTTCCTGGTTAGTAAAAATGTTTTTCTGATGTGTAATGATGGCATGCATTAGTTTTGGAGTGAGATGTACCTGAACTATTTTTCAAAACTGTATTAATTTTTAATCACACAAGTGCCTTTTGAATACATTTTCGTGATAAGAATTCAAATACAATAGATGAATTGAAATCTAAATCTTTCCCCACCTCCAATCCCAGTCACTTTACAGAAATAACCATTGTCAAGTTAGATATATTACCCCAGAATTTTTCTAAACTTTTATATAGATACACCCTATAAATATATTATAGTTGTTAGTATATACAAATAGAGTTCCATGGAAAACATATTTTTCATTGACATTTTGTTCACTCAACACTGTGTCAAGAATTTTTCCATAGCTAGCAATGAACATGAAAGTTTGTTTTCATTCATATGCTATAAGAATCAGTAAAATAGTAGCAAAATAAATATCCTTGTGTTAGCTTCTTTGTACAAACATAGTAGTAAAATTGTAATTGTAAACTCTCCTTGTATTTGCATTTTTTGTGTTTATGTAGCACTTACGTATGTACTTAGCTGTCTTATGAATGTGAGGTAGGCTGTTATTTCTCCATTTTACAGACAGGGAAACTGTCTGACATAGGGAGGTTAAGTATTTTTAATAAAAATATGGAAACCGAGGCAAGACAGATTAAGGAATCTGCTGAAGATTACATGGAGATTAAGTAGTAGAACAAGGATTTGAACCCAATGTATGTCTGCATGCTTCACCATGTTGCTATGCTGTCTCTATAATAGATACTACCAAACTGAACAATTACCTGAGCAGATTTGGACCCTTCCAGGTGAGGGAGGCAATCAGCAGGACTTGTTTTCTGAGTATTGGTCACAACTCCACCAATCAAAATAGGATGCATTAAAGAAACCAAGCAAAGCCAGCTAAAACCAAGATGGTGATGAAAGCAAGCTCTGGTTGCCCTCACTGCTCATTACATGCTAATTATTATACATTAGCATGCTAAAAGACACTCCCACCAGTGACACGACAGTTTACAAATCCCATGACAATACCCAGAAGTTACCTTATATGGTCTAAAAGGGGAGGAACCCTCAGTTCCAGGAACTCCTCATCCCTTTTCTAGAAAATTTGCGAATAACCCACTCCTTATTTAGCATATTGTTAAGGAGTTGTTATAAATATAGCTAGCCAGCAATCCATGAGTGCTACTCTGCCTATGAGATAGCCCTGCTCTTGGGGCAGCCGTTTTCCTGTACTCTGTTGCTCTAATAAACTTGCTTTGCTTTTGCTTCACTCTGTTGGCTCACTCTTGAATTTCTTCATGCCTGAAGCCAAGAACCCTGTCTGGCTGAGCCCCAATTTTGAGACTTTCCTGCATCATTAGCACTGTATGTGAGTTCCCATTACCCCACACCTTTACCAATACCAATTGATATTATAAAATGTTTAAATACTTGCCAATTCGATGAACAAGAAAGTGTCTTTTTATTTTAATTTGCAATTTCACAGATTTCTGGCAATGTTGAACATAGTTTTATAGTTTATCAGACATTTGTATTTCCTTTTGCTGTGAATCATTTTTAACATCATAAAATGGAAGATTAGAGGTAAAGGTGAACTGAATCCATACTCTGGATCTATCTTTCACTACACACACACACACACACACACACACACACTAAGGAGTTGACATGTGTTTCTATATGCATAAAGTTAATATATACAAAATACATGAAACATACAGTTAATGTGTGCACACATGTAATACAAACAAATGATTTGAAATGTACAGTGCAGACTTGGTGCTGATGAACAATGCATTTTGTTCTGGTTATTGTCAGCTTGTCCCCTCTGGGTCCATTGTCTATCTTTCTGTGTCCTGCCTTGAGAGAACGACCTCTATGGACTGTATCACACTGGCTGCTTTGCCCTTTGGCTTCTAGTTGTCTTTGTCAATGGAAAAAACTGCAGGAGATCGGAGGGCGGTGGGAGAGACAAGCTTGGTATTTATGTCTTTTTTCCACTGTTGTCTCACTGTGGTTCTGGCAGTGGTTACCTATTTCATAGCCACAGCTCCTGTAGGGCAGATCTCTTGCAGGGCGACAGCTCTTACCGGATTCAGCTTCCCACTGTCCCACCTCCTGAATGTTTCCTAACCCTTATTGGTCCCATCACTCTGCCCACTCTTCTGCAAGTAGTCTTTTCATTGAAATCTCCTTAGTTAAATGATTTGGGGTATCTTAACTGTTTCCTGCCTCGACACTGCCTGGTCTACCTTCTAATTAGAGTACTAATGACATCCTAATGTAAGAGTAGCTAGGCCGGGCGCGGTGGCTCACGCCTGTAATCCCAGCACTTTGGGAGGCCGAGGCGGGCGGATCACGAGGTCAGGAGATCGAGACCATCCCGGCTAAAACGGTGAAACCCCGTCTCTACTAAAAATACAAAAAATTAGCCGGGCATAGTGGCGGGCGCCTGTAGTCCCAGCTACTTGGGAGGCTGAGGCAGGAGAATGGCGTGAACCCGGGAGGCGGAGCTTGCAGTGAGCCGAGATCCCGCCACTGCACTCCAGCCTGGGCGACAGAGCGAGACTCCGTCTCAAAAAAAAAAAAAAAGAAGAGTAGCTAGGAAAATGCCTTTCCTGATTTTGATCCAAATCCTCTTCTTTAGAAAATTAGATTGCACATAATCTACTTATTTATTCTGCATCAAGCAGATTCATACCAGTCAGCACTGTACTGAGCACTTGCACATCTTATAGCTGTGATTCTTTCTAGTGAGAGTAAAATTTGAAGTTCAAGCTGATGTTTAGATGATTTCACCAATTGTTTTGTGTAGTTTAAGCTGATGTCCCAAATAATATATTTATTTTTTATTTTGGAAAATTTTGAACATATACAAAAGTACATAGAAAAATATAATGAACCCACATATACCTATAAGTCAGTTTTAATAATTATCAACACATGGCCAATCTCATTTTATATACACCTCCATCCACTTGTGCCTTACATACTGTTTTGAGGAAATTTTATATATTTTGTCAGGTATTTCTAAAAGGTCAGGAATCTTTTAAAAATATCTAGCATTCACCATTGTTACAAATAAAAATAGTAATGATTCCTTAATGTCATCAAAATGTATAGTGTTCAAAATTTCAATTGTCTTATATTTTTAATAGTTTGAATCAAGATTTTAATAAGGTTCTCATATTTCAATTGATTATCATGTCTTAATCCTGTTTTCACTAATAGTTTTCTCATTCATTTCTCTTTTTTCTCTTGCAACTTATTTGTTTGAAAAATTTCTCACCATTTGAAATTTGCTGTTTGCATCTCCATAGTGTTAGGCAATATGTCTCTCTAAACTGTATTTCTTGTTAAACTGGTAGTTAGAAGGTGGTAAGACTGATCAGATTCAGGCTAGTTTTTGCTTGTTTTTTTCTAACGACCATTTCACAGGTGGTGGTGGTTTATTTATTTATATATATATATTTTTTTAATTATACTTTAAGCTTTAGGGTACATGTGCACAATGTGCAGGTTTGTTACATATGTATACATGTGCCATGTTGGTGGGCTGCACCCATTAACTCATCATTTACATTAGGTATATCTCCTAATGCTATCCCTCCCCCATCCCCTCACCCCACAACAGGCCCCGGTGTGTGATGTTCCCCTTCTCATGTCCAATTGTTCTCATTGTTCAATTCCCACCTATGAGTGAGAACATGCAGTGTTTCTTTTTTTTGTCCTCGTGATAGTTTGCTGAGAATGATGGTTTCCAGCTTCATCCATGTCCTACAAAGGACATGAGCTCATCATTTTTTATGGCTGCATAGTTATCCATGGTGTATATGTGCCATATTTTCTTAATCCAGTCTATCATTGATGGACATTTGGGTTGGTTCCAAGTCTTTGCTATTGTGAGTAGTGCTGCAGTAAACATATGTGTGCATGTGTCTTTATAGCAGCATGATTTATAATCCTTTGGGTATATGCCCAGTAATGGGATGGCTGGGTCAAATGGTATTTCTAGTTCTAGATCCCTGAGGAATCACCACACTGTCTTCCACAATGGTTGAACTAGTTTACAGTCCCACCAACAGTGTAAAAGCATTCCTATTTCTCCACATCCTCTCCAGCACCTGTTGTTTCCTGACTTTTTAGTGATCCCCATTCTATCTGGTGTGAGATAATATCTCACTGTGGTTTTGATTTGCATTTCTCTGATGGCCAGTGATGATGAGCATTTTTTCATGTGTCTGTTGGCTGCATAAATGTCTTCTTTTGAGAAGTATCTGTTCTAATGATAGACCTAAAACCATAAAAACCCTAGAAGAAAACCTAGGCAATACCATTCAGGACATAGGCATGGGCAAGGACTTCATGTCTAAAACACCAGAAGCAATGGCAACAAAAGCCAAAATTGACAAATGGGATCTAATTAAACTAAAGAGCTTCGGCACAGCAAAAGAAACTACCATCAGAGTGAACAGGCAACCTACAGAATGGGAGAACATTTTTGCAATCTACTTATCTGACAAAAGGCTAATATCCAGAATCTACAAAAAACTCAAACAAATTTACAAGGTGGTGGTGGTTTATTCTTTGAGCAGGAAACACCTAATCTCTAGTTGCCTCTCTTTAAGTGGTGTTAGTAGCCTTTGATTCTCAAAGCGTGGTTCCATATGTTGTTGCGAAACGGTAAGAGCTATATTCTATTATTTCTACTTCATTTATTGGCTGGAATACTTCTGTTAAAAAATGAAAACAAACCCAGAAGCAAAACTTTTCATCTACTATTTGGTTGTCCAGGGGTACAGTACATGTTGGAAAAGCAAGAAAAAAGCTCAAGTTTTTAATTACTTTTTTTTTTTTTTGAGACGGAGTCTCATTCTGTCACCAGGTTGGAGTGCAGTGGCCTTATCTTGGCTCATTGCAACCTCCACCTCCCAGGTTCAAGCGATCCTCCTGCCTCGGCCTCCCATGTAGCTGGGACTACAGGCACATGCCACCATGCCCAGCTAGTTTTTGTATTTTTAGTAGCGATGGGGTTTTACCATGTTGGCCAGGATGGCCTCGATCTCTTGACCTTGTGATCCACCTGCCTCAAACTCCCAAAGTGCTGGGATTACAAGCGCGAGCCACCATGCCTGGCCCCAATTACTATTTTCAAAATATTCAGTTGGCTTACTATATCCTCCAGCAGTGAGTAATGAATGTATTTTAATATTATTATGAATTCATGTATTTAAACATATTGATGTTCTTCAGTTATTCTTATTGACAGTTAAATTGCTTTAACTTTGGCTAGTGGGAGTTTCTTCAAGTTGGTTACATGTCTGATTGACATAATTCTAATAGCCTTTAACAACTTTCTCACTATTGGATGTTCTAAACTCATCTTATACATTCCTGGCCCTGATTGGAAATCAGTTCCTTCTCCAAGGATCCCTATTTTATTTATTTATTTATTTATCTAATTGAAAAATGGTTTTTTAGGATCAGAATCTGGACATTAGAGGTATTAACATTGTTTTGCTCAGTGTTTCTAGGCCCTTCAATTAGTAGAATTCAGGGGAAAAATAAGATATAAAATACATTATGAGTTTTTATATGCACATGCAAATAATGCAAATTTATTCAATGCAATGCAAATTCATTGCATTTGTAAATGCAAACTCAAAGTCAACCTTTGAGTTACTTTTCTCCTGAACTGAATGCAAGTCTCAAGTTAACTGGGAATAAGAACTAGAGCATCATGTAATTTTATTTGTTTTATAGTCCAAAAATGTGTATAGACGTACAACATTATATTGCACTTTGCTTTATTGTGCTTCACTGATACTGTTTTTTACAAATCGAAGGTTCGCGGCAACCCTGTGTCTAGCAAGTTTGTCAGTGCCATTTTCCCAACATCATGTGCTCACTTTGTGTCTCTGTGTCCATTTTGATAATTCTCACTATAATTCAAACTTTTCATTATTATTTTATAGATCATGGTGATCTGAGATCAGTGATCTTTGATGTTACTACTGTAATTGTTTTGAGATGCAAAGAACTGCACTCATATAACATGGAAATTTTTTTTTTTAACTTTATTTTAGTTTCAGTGAAACAAGTGGAGGTTTGTTCTATAAATAAATTGCATGTTGCAGGGGTTTGGTGTATACATTGTTTCATCACCCAGGTAAAAATTGTAGTACCCTATAGGTAGTTTTTCAATCCTCAACCTCCTCCCACTCTCCACTCTCAAGTAGGCCCCAGTGTCTATTGTGCCTTTCTTGTGTCCATGTGTACTCAATGTTTATCTCCCACTTATAAATGAGAACATGCAATATTTGATTTTCTGTTCCTGCCTTAGTTCGCTTAGGATAATCCCCTGCAGCTCAATCCATGAGGTCAGAAAACCAAAAGCAAGCACATGATCTCATTCTATTTTATAGTTGCACAGTATTCCATGATGTGTATGTATCACATTTACTTTATCCAGTCTACCATTATGGAGCATCTAAGTTCATTCCATGTCTTTGCTGTTGTGAATAGTGCTGCAATGAACATATGCGTTCATATGTCTTTATGGTAGAACAATTTATATTTCTTTGGGTATATTCCCAATAATGGGATTGCTGGGCCAAATGGTAGTTCTGTTTTAAGTTCTTGGAGAAATTTCCAAACTGTTCTCCAAAGTAGCTGAAGTAATTTACATTCCCACCAGCAGTGTATAAGTTTTCCTTTTTCTCTGCAGCCTCGCCATCATCTGTTATTTTTTGTCTTTTTAATTGCAGCCATTCTGCCATTTCCCCATCTCTCTCCCTCTCTTCAGGCCTCTCTACTCACTAGGACACAATAATATTGAAATTAGGCCAAGTAATAACCCTACAATGAGTTCTAAGTCTTCAAGTGAAAGAAAGAGTTGCGCATCTCTCACTTCAAATCAAAAGCTGGAAATGGTTAAGCTTAGGGGGAAGGTATGTCAAAAGCCGAGATAATCCAAAAGGTAGGTCTCTTGCATCAGTTAGCCAAGTTGTTAATGCAAGAAAAATTTGTCAAAGGAGATTAAAAGTGCTAATCCAGTGAACACACATATGATAAGAAAGTAAAACAGCCTCGTTGCTGTTGTGAAGAAAGTTTTAGTGTTCTGGATAGATCAAACCAGCCACAACATTCTCTTAATCCAAAGCTTAATCTAGACCAAGACCCTAACTTTCTCCAATCTATGAAGGCCAAGGGAGTTGAGGAAGTTACAGAAGCAAAGTCTGAAACTACTGGAGGTTAGTTCATGAGGTTTAAGGAAAGAAGCTGTCTCCGTAATATGAACATGAAAGGTGAAGTAGCAAGTGCTGATGTACAAGCTGCAGCAAGTTATCCAGATGATCTTGCTAAGATAATGAGAAAGATGGCTTCACTAAATAACAGATTTTCAATATAGACAAAACAGTCTGCTATTAAAGAAGATGCCATGTAGGACTAACTTAGGGAGGAGAAGTCAACTCCTGGCTTGAAAGCTTCAAAAGACAGGTTGACTCTCTTGTTAGGAGATAATGCATCAGGTGACACTAAGTTGAAGCCAGTACTCATTTACCATTCTGAAAGTCCTAGGGCTTTTAAGAATTATGCCAAATTGACTCTGTGCTTTGTAAATGAAACAACAAAGCCTGGATGACAGCACATTTCTTTATAGAATGGTTTATTGAATATTTTAAGCCCACTGTTGAGATCTCCTGCTCAGAATACAAAAGATTTCTTTCAAAATATTACTGTTCATTGACAATGCAGTTAGTCACCAAAGAGCTCTGATGGAGATGTACAAAGAGATTAATGTTGTTTTCATGCCTGACAACACGATATCTATCCTGTAGTCCTTGGATCAGATAGTAATTTTGACTTTAAAATATTATTATTTAAGAAATACATTTTGTAAGTATCTAGCTGTCATATATAAGGATTTATTTGAGAAATCTGGGCTAAGTAAATTGATGTACTTCCTCAGAGGAGGAAGTAACTGCAGATGTAGTACACATAGCAAAAGAAGTAGAATTGGATGTGGAGCCTGATGATATGACTGAATTACTGAAATTTCATGATAAAACTTTAATTGATGAGAAGTTAATTCATGCTATTGTTTCTTGTGGATGAACAAAGAAAGTGGTTTCTTGAGATGGTATCTACTCCTAGTGAAAATGCTGTGAATATTATTGAAATGACAGCAAAGGATTAAGATTATTAAATAAATTTAGTTGATAAAGCAGTGACAAGGTTTTAGAGGACTGAATTTTGAAAGAAGTTCTACTGTGAGTAAAATGCTATCAAACAGCATCACATGCTACAGAGAAATCTTTTGTGAAAAGGAAAGCCAATTGATGTGGCTGACTTCATTGTTGTCTTATTTTAAGAAATTGCCATACAGCCAGGTGTGGTGGCTCATGCCTGTACTTAAAAGTGCTACTCCAGTGAACACACATATGCCAAGGCATGAGGATTGCTTGAGGCCAGGAGTTTGAGACTGGCCTGGAAAAAACAATGAGACTTGGTCTCTACAAAAAATAATATAAAAAATTAGCTAGTCATCATGGCACATGCCTGTAGTCCTAGCTACCTGGGAGGCTGAGGCAGGAGGATCACCTGAGCCCAGGAGCCCAAGGCTGCAGTGAGATATGATCATGTCACTGTACTCCAGCCTGAGAGACAGAGCAAGACCATGTCTAAAAAAAACAAAGAAATTGCCACAGCCACCTAACCTTCAGCAATCACCACTTTGATCAGTAAGTAACTATCAACATGGAGGCAAGACTCCAAAGCAGCAAAAAGATGATCACTTGCTGAATGCTGAAATAATTGTCGGTATCTTTTTAGCAATGAAGTCTTTTAAAATTAAGGTATGTACATTTTTAAGACATAATGTTATAACACACAATATAATATGATATAATTATAACTTTTGTATGCTCTGGGAAATCAAAACATTTGCATGACTTGCTTTATTGCAGTGCTGGAGTAGACCACACAATATTGCTGAGGTATACCTGTATATAACAATTTAAGAATACCAGTAGTAGGCTGGGTGCGGTGGCTCATGCCTGTAATCCCAGCACTTTGGGAGGTCGAGACGAGCGAATCACTTGAGATCAGGAGTTTGAGACCAGTCTGGTCAACATGGTAAAACACTGTCTCTACTAAAAATGAAAAAAATGAGCCTGGCATGGCGACTCATGCCTGTAATCCCAGCTACCTGGGAGGCTGAGACAGGAGAATTGCTTGAACCTGGGAGGTGGAGGTTGTGGTAAGCCAAGATCGTGCCACTGCACTCCAGTCTGGGTGACAGAGAAAGACTCCGTCCAAAAAAAAAAAAAGAGTACCTGTAGTAGCACTACCACCAGCAATGTTTACTCAAAATAGCTGAATTATGAGTATTATTACTGCACTTCTTTTTGTATTAGGCTATATCCGAGCCAAATTATTATGCTTTGAAGCCACTGGGAATTGTGCCTGTCTGTGTGATTGTGCCATAAATCGTATTTTCATTTGTGTTCAGTTGTTTTCATATTCTTCAGAAGCCTTCTCTAACATTGCCCATGTCCAAAATCCTCTTTTTTTCCCTCAACTCTCACAGTTTTTACACAATGCCACTTACCTTGATAATGTACTTGATTATGTAGCAAATTAATAGATATTGAACATAATTCAGTTATTGACATTCACCAAGTGAGCTAAATCAGAAACCTGGAAGTAATTCTGGAATCTTCAATCCCTCCACATAATTTTTTCCAATTTTTCCCCACCTCTCTACTGAATCCATCAGTTTCTCCCTATTAGCACTATTTCTACCAAAGCAGTCTACATTTCTCTTGTTGTCAGCTGGACTTCCCTTCTAACTAGACCTCCTTTCCCAAGTCTTGACTCATATGCATCTATACCCCATAAAACAACCTAAGCAATCTTTCTAAAAGGCAAATTCCCCCATTTAAATCCATCAATGGCTTTCTATTGCTCTTAGGGCAAAATCCAAACTCATTAATATGGCTGACAAGACCTGTACATTCTGTTCCCAGGCTTATTTTAAGATTTCCCCACTCTCTTCATCCCATGTACCTTGTACTTCATGCTTCAGTCACCCTGATCTCCTTGAAGCTCTTCTTTTGAGCATGCTCTATCCCTCCTCAGGATCTTTGAGTCTGTTAGTCTTCTCTCTGCCAGGAAACGTCTTCTCCCTTCTGGCTCCCTTGTCTTGGATAACACTCTTTTCTCAGGTCTCAGCCTAGACATCACTCACTCACAGACACCTTCCCAAGGTCACCAACTCTGAGCTAGCCATTCTTCCTTTGCTTTTCTATAACATAGTGTATTTTCTTTGTCATGCAACATATGATTATATGACATACAACCATACTGCTCTTGATTGCCTGTTTACTGTCTCCAGAGAGTAAACTCGAGAGCAATGGCTATGTCCATCTCATTATACTTCTATTGTCTAGCACAATTCCAGGCACAAAATAGACATACAATAAGCACTTATTGAAAAAAGGATGAAAGAAAGGAAAGAAGGAAGGAAAGAAAACAGGGTGGAAGAAGGGAAAAGTAGGTGGGAAAGAAGAGATTACCCATTTCCATCTAAACTGTGAACCCTTTACAGTAGACAGGATCTATGCCTCAAAGGAACTTCATCAAATTAACTCATAGACTCTGCTAATTGATTTATGACACCCCTGGCATACTCCAGCCTTAAGGCCTTTGCAGATGTTCTCAATGCTGGAAACTTCTCCTTTCAGATATCCACAAGGCTATACATCCAAGGATATCCTTCAACTTTTTCTACATTTTACTCAAATTTTGCCTACTTTTAGACTTGAATTGCTACCCATTCCACTCCCATTCCTAGCATGCCCTGTCATCTTTCTTCTCTTTCTTACATAGCACTGATTAGCCCCTAAAATACTGTATTCATTTTCTATTGCTGCATAGCAATTTGTCACACATTTAGCAAGTTAAAATAATACCCATTTATTAGCATACATTCTGAAGCTCTGAAGTTCAGCATAGTGTGGTTGAATGTTTTGCTTAGTGTCTCACAGAGCTAAAATCAAGGGATTGGCAGGGCTAAATTTTTGACTAGAGGCTCTAGGGAAAACCTGTTTTGGGGCTTGAGTTGTTGGCAAATTCAGTTTCTTGCAGTTGCAGAAGTGATATCCCCATTTTCTTTCTGGCTGTCAACCTGGGGCTGTTTTTCGCTCCTAGAGGATCCTTGAGGTTCTTGCCATGTGGTCCTTCTCCATCTTCAGAGTCAGAGAATATTCCTCACATTGAATTTTTGTCACGCTTTGAATCCCTGATTCTCTGTTTCCAACTATAAGATCCAGATTTAAAGGGTTCATGTGATTAGGTCAGGTCCACCCAGATAATCTCCTTGTCTTAAGTTTAACTCATTTAGGACCTTAATTACCTTAAAAAATATTTTCCCAGATATGGTAAAATAATCACAGGAGTGATATATTTCATCACATTCACAGGTTCTATCCCAACTCAAGGGCAGAGGATCACACAAGGGCAAGGGTCTAGGTGACATCTTAAAATTCTTTCTAACACAAATACCATACAATTCCCTTGTTTATTTTTGTTTGGTGTCAGTCTCCCTTCATTAGAATAAAAGCTTAATGAGACCTGAGATTTTTATGTTTTGTTCAGTGATGTGTTTCAGTGGTGCTTAGAATAGTGTCTGAACTATAATAGCTGCTTAATAAATATTTCTTGAATGAGTGAATGTCTCAGATGGCTAAATATAAATTTTTGCCATAAAATTTGAAGGTATTTTGGAAAACCTTTGAAATGAAGAAATGAAGTTCTGATATCTAAGGGGATATGAATTAAACTCATCTATTCTTGTAATTTACTATATCTTAATCAATTCTTTGTGTGGTAGTGGTTTCTATTTATGCTCCCCCTTTTGTCACCTTGAGTATGAAGCAGAGATAACCCTAGCTGACAAGGAAACAATTCACAGTAGCTTTCATAAAATATTGGTGTCATGTTTTATCTTCTTTGATCATTCTTCTAGACCTTGAAAATCCAAGAGAAGTTGGCATGCTTTCTGTCTCTCTCTTTCTCTTTCTCTCTCTCTCTCTCTGCCTACCACCAGGACACTAGTAAGAAGTGATTTAGCATGGCATTTATTCAGCTCAGTCGGTTAGACTTGAACTCTAGTTGGCCTAATGAAGGAATTAGTTATGCATGGAGGGTGAAAGATCAAATTTATATATAGTGTTCTAGGATAAAATAAAAACTGAACTTATAGTACAAGGTACTATTAGAATGAAAGGAATATATTAAGATATGCTGTTCTGGTAAAATAATACATTCTGCAAAAGGAATGGAATATATTAAGAAGCACATACCTAAATATAAAGCAGTTACATACAATTATAGAAACAAGACTTTCAAGAATGTGAATCAATTTCTCTATCACATGCTTGAGTCTTTTTTTACTCACAATTATTTTGAATTGTGATTTTGAATAGCACAAATGGAGTGACTTTCTAAAGTCATGTTGAGAATCAGTGATCCTAGATGCATTTAAACCTAGGCATGTATATTTTTGAAACATGGGTTATGACTATATGATGATAGAGAATTAGTGGCTATATCACAATATTTAAATTGATTTGGTTTTAATTAAACTAAGCACATAAACAGCAACAAAAGTGCTTTAAAAATTCTAGAAACCCATTGTTCCATTCAGATGAAGTATTATGACAATACATTTGGAAGAGGTGTGAGGGTGGCAATATTCATTAAAAATATAAATTTACATAGTCTTTGATGCAGCACATCTAAAACATTCTCTTATAAAAATTCAGGTGTATGTGACTAAAGGTAAATAGTAAGCCAAGAATGTACACTGTACCATAATATGTAATAGAGAAAAAAATGAAAAATATCAAAATGCAATTCATTAAAGAATTAGATATGTAAATTGAGGGAAAGATAAAACAAAATATGACTCAACCATCTAAAATTTGACAGTAGAGCTATATATACTGAAATAGAATTTTATCCATGTTTCTTGTTAAGAAAAATAAACAAATTTCAAAAGAAAACCAGGTATAGTCCCATTTTTATAAAAACAAAAGGTAACTATACACATAAAGTTGTTTTTGCATAGGAGCAAATTTTCAAGTAATATATTCTAAATATGCACCTAAGCACAGATAAGGAGGATGAATATTTCTACTTTTTATTTTGTGCATTTCTGTGTTACTGAATACATTAGAGTAGGCATAATCTATGCTTCCAGCCACAAAGAGTTAATGGGTATAGGATTTGCCCTCCCAGAAACAAGAGAAATAGGTGGAATGCTGACACAATGTTTTTTAAACATTGGAAAAGAAAAAGCAAATGACTGATTATTTAACAAAGGGAAACAAAGGAGGTTATGCCTATCACTTGGCCCTGGCTTACTGGTAGAGTTTTGACACCACAGTTTAAAAATTGGGAACCTGAACTGAGTTCAGCAGACTTACTGAACTGAGGAAACAAAGATAGGTGTTTAGGGAGGCAAAGGTTGCTGTGCGAGAACACCCCAAGATGAAGCTGCACGGAGAGACAGATCAGGATAATTCTAGGTAATAAACTGGAGAGAACCACACTGCAATCAATGATATATAATAATCAAACTGCTTGGACCCAGTGATAGAGAAAAATTGTAAACATTTTAAAAAGTAGCCAAAGGTAAATCATATTACCTCTCAAGCATAGTTTAAAGACTAGATCAATAACTACACAAGCACAACAAAAAGTCATGCCTCATAAGACATTAATGGAGATAAATGGAATTTAAAAATTCTCAATGCAAAAAACATAGGAAAAAGGAAAAAAAACAAATAGAACAAATAGAAAACACATAAGATATTAGGCTTTAATTGCATAAGTATATTACATTACATGTAAAGGTATAAAAATTCTAATTAAAAGGCAGAGAGGAAGGGGTTGAAAAAAAAAGCAAGTCCCAACTATAAACTGTATATAAGAGCACCATTTTAAATATAAAGATTCATAGGTTAATAGTAAAAAGATACAAAAGATTTACCACAACAATATTGATCAAAGGAAAGCTGAAATATTTATATTGATATTAGACAAACTAGACTTTGGAGAAAGGAATCAAAATGAGGGATAAAAAGAGATATTATATAAAGACCTCAATTTACCAATAAGACATAAAAAGCTTAACTGTGTATGCTCCCACTAACAGATCTTCAAAATTCATACAGAAAAATCTTGTACATTGAATTGAGCAAGAAATAGAAAATTCCATAGTAATAAGTAAAGACTTCAACATTCCTTTGTAAGTTATAGCTTAAATAAACAGAAAATCCCTACAATTATTAAACGACTCAAACAGCTGGACCAAATTGATATTTACGGAACACTTTACTCAATAGCAGCAGAATACACATTCATTTCAAATGCATATGGAATACCATATGGTCTACATGATAGACCATAGTTTGGGTCATAAAACAAATCTGAACAAATTTAAAAGGATTTAAAACAAAATATGTTCTTTGATGACAATGGGATTAGATAAAAAAATCAACAACATAAAGGATGTCCATCAAATCCTCCAATATTGGGAAATTAAACAACATACTTCTGAATCAATAAATCAAAGAAGAAATCACAGGGGAAAGGATATTTTGAAGTGATTGAAATTGAAAGTGTTACTGTGGTAGGTAGCCATGGGAATGTGCCTCTTGGAACAGCTTTTAAGAGAACACTATTGAGAACTGCGAAGAATCTGACTTTTACCTTGCTTTCAACTTAACAAGTTAGTTAAATAAGTTGTTAATTAACAAGTTGCATTAAATTTAAGAAACCTAACACAGTTTCTTAAATGCTAGATTAGAGACACAGTACTTTATTACCCATGGCTTAGCAAACAGCATGAGAATCAGCGTATTTACATCAGTTCCCCTTGTTCCCAAGTCCCATGAGTGTATCAATAATTGCTGAACATAGACTGGATCATTCTTACCCAATATGAAACTCTTCTAATTACTTTGATGAGTAATGTTTACTCTGGGACTCAGTATCAGCTTTGCTATGATACTCTCAGAATTTTCGTTCAGTCTGAGGCTTTTTCCATCCAATCCTTCTTTTTTCCCTCACTCTTTTCACTTTTCTCCATCATATTCTGAAGGTTCTCCACACCTGTTCCTGTTCCCTCTCCTTTTTATCGCTTACAGGTGTTTTTCCCAAGAAAGTTCTTGGGTGCCGAATTCTGTGATGACATCTGCTTCTTAGGGAATCTAAACTGACAGCAAATACGGGTAAAGGTCTGAGAAAATATGCAATAAGATTGAGTTTTGCGATTGGATCACCCACTCTCTAGCTGCAATGTGGTGCACAAATAATCTCCAACGAGAGGTGATGCCTTCATTCTTAAGAATTTAGTGGTGGTGACCATGGAAAATGTCCTCAGCCAGCATCACTAACTGGGAGCTTGTAGGAATGCCTGATCCATAGGTAAGGAATCCTACATATTGTAACATGTAAATAGATGACTCATTTCATAGTGAAGGAGGTGTAAGATTCAGATTAATTTTAAAAATATAACATGCAACACAATCCAGAATAAGTTTGTTCAATGGAGCATTAAAATGGTCTGTGGAGTCATGAATGAGGCACAAGCTCCAAGGCAATACTCTGCAATGATGCGGTGCCATCCTTTACTTCACAATACATGCACTACATCAGAGACTCCTATGGCTCTGTGTTTCCAATAGGAAGAATTTATGGGTCTAGAAACCAAGGGATTGAAGCAAGATTAGCTTTACTTACCACTTCCAATGACCCGTTTGGAAAGCTTTGTATCTTACATAGACACAACTCTAGGATCTGCTTGGTTAAAGGTCCTGGTCTGCAAAGAGGATATCCTCTTGATAGGGGACATAGCATGGATATGTCTGAACTATAAGCCACAGACACTGCCTTGCCACTTTTGTCTCCTTGTTTCCAGAAACCAAATGTCAAGAAGTCAGCATATTGACAGGGGTAATTGACCCTGATTAGCAGAAGGAGTAAAGCTGCTTTTACAGTGGGGAACAAGGGCAAACACATGTGGAACCAAGGTGATCCATTTAGGTCCCTTTTGGTACTCTTTGCCCAGTTGTAAATGTGAGTAAACACATACAGTGACTCCATCCTAAGAAGCTGATTGTTATCTTGTAAATTAGACCCCTCAGGAGTGAGGGTTAGGGTAAGCTACTGTTAGGTAGATGGAGTGCCCTGGTAAGTAAGCTATAAAGATCTGTAGAAGTTGGGGTGGATAAGCTACTAAGATCTTCAGAAGTGATAGCTAAGGGTGAGGGAACTTTGAATGAATAGATAGTGGAGAAAGACAGTGAACCTCTTGTGATCTGGAGACCAAATGGAGTGATGGGGACTGCAATTTGTCTCACTTTCCCTTTCTTAAGTTTCCTCTCAGAGGGAAAGAGCCATAGAAATTGTGGAGAAGTTGTTTGCTGAAAATAAATGAAGAAATGGATCATTGTGGTAGAAAAGATGGACTGTGGCGGCCATGGGAGTTTGCTGGTTAGATTCTCCCATAAGAGAAAACTTGCTGAGGAGTGTGATTAGGTAACATCTTTGGAATCTCTGGCAGCACTAATTTTGAAGGCTTTGCTTTCGTGCTGTTTCTTGGCTATTACCGAATATGGTGGGGATATAAAGTTAGGCCATTTTGCTTAATGAAAGCTCCTCTAATAGGCAATATTTTCACTGAGGCTCTTCAGTGGCCTTGCTGAGATTGCTACAGAACTCTACTGCAGTTTTATGTTCTTTCTAACCAATTTATCTTCCTTCCTTTTCTCCTTTCACAGGTGCCACACATGCATTTTAGTCTGAAGTTTTGCTAGGTCTTATGTTTCCTCCGAAACATATCTGCCCCTCAATAAATTTCTTGAACATGTAACCTTATTTTTAAAACTGCTTTTGGAGAACCTGAGATAACACAACTTATCAAAATTTGTGGTATGCAGATAAAGCCATTCTTAGAGGAAAACTCACAGCATTATACACCTATGTCATAAAAAGTGGTCTAAAATCAATTATTTAAACTTCTACCTTAAGAAACTAGAAAAAAGCAGACTTACCAAAGTAAGAGGAAGGAAAGAAATAATAAAAACTCCAAAAATTAATAAAATGGGAAACATACAAAACAATATAAGAAAATCAGAGAAACCAAAAACTTTGAAAAAAAAATCAATAAAATTGATAAGCTGCTAGTCAGGAAAAAAAAAGGACACAATTACCAACATATGGAAAGAAAGAAGAAATATCAATGCAGATCCTACAAAACACTTAAATATAACAAGGAAATAATCTTAGCAATACATGGTAATAAAATCAATAAATTAGATGTGATGGAACAATTACTGAAATACACAAACTACTAAAGCTCACTCTTAAACAAATTTTAATCTGAATAACTGCATATTTAGTAAAGAAACTTACTTATTCAAAATATTCCTACAAAAAACCTTATGGCCCAGATGCCTTTGCTTGTGAATTCTACCAAACATTTAGGAAAAAATAATACAAATTGATACAGATTTCCTCAGAAAATAAAATACCTGGGAACTATTTTTACTTAATTTTATGAGGACAGCATTGCCCTGATACAAAATTAGAAAAAAGACATTGTAGAAGGAGAAAACTCCATACCATTATCCTTCATGAGAATAGATGCAAACAAAATTCCTTAACACAAGTGTATCTAGCTAATTGAATCCAGCAATATATAACAAGGATAATACATTATGAGCAAGTGAGATTTTCCCTAGGAACGTAAGATTGGTTTAATATTCAAAAATCAACCATAATTCACGATATCAACAGACCACATGATCATCTCAATAGGTAAATAAAACATATTTGACAAAATTCAACATCCGTTCCTGATGAACACTCTTGGAAAACTAGGAATATAAGGGAACTTACTCAACCTGATAAAGGGTATCTATGGAAAATCTATATCTAGTAACATTCTTAATGGTGAAAGACTGAATGGTCTCTTTTAAAGATTAAGAACACAGTATAGCTGTCTATTCTCATCACTTATTTTCACCATTGTACTGAGGTTCTAGCCAGTGTAATAAAGCAAGAAAAATACATGAGGGAAATAATTGCAAAGGAAGAAGTAAAAACTGTCTTTGACAGTAAAAACTGTCTTTGTTTTCAGTGACGTTCTGATTTTTATAACCTAAAATGCCAATACAATTTGGGGGTGGTGGGTAAAATTGAGCTATGCCAAATTTTTGCTGCCTCTATCTTGTTTTCTGTCAACGGGTAGTTTGAAATGGCTATTTTTAAAGACAAACTGCAGTGCAGATACAATTAATTTCACTGAAGATAATAATACAAATGTGAATTCTTTTCAAACCAGACAACATCAAGCTATCTGCACATATAAAACATATTATTACCCTTTGTGCAGGAGGTGAGTTTTATGGAAAATAAAAACACATATTATCCAGCAAAGTCAAACAGTCATGAAAATACTACAATTAATTTGAAAAATAGGCTGATCACTAAGCATGGAGGAAATTACATATAAAAATATGAAATAAACCAGTGTAGTACTATTTTCTTCCCTCAGAGTTATCTACATGATTTAAACATTAGTTTTGGTAGATAAGTTTTTTTTTCCTTTTAATCTCGGAAATAGAATGTAACTGCCATATTTCTTAAATTTTATTTTTGTAAATAAAAAAAGGCAATATAAACGTAGCCATGACTGTTTGGTTCATAATTCAGCTTTTAAATGTAGATTGTGTAAAACTACAGTGAAATACTGGGAAAATATAGATAATGACTTTTAAACCACAGAGGTAATTTCTGGCTTTTGAAGCTTCAGTTCTCAGATTGGCTTTATAATAACTGGTTTATAAGTTCTGTTCTACAAAATCATAATAGAAATAAGGCAGCTGTTGTAATCCTGAATGCAAAATTATGTATTTTGACACCAAGTATTTTCTTTCTGGGAACTTTATTATGAAAGGTCCAGAAAAATGCTGTCTTAACAAAGTGGTAAGTAAAATTCCTGTGAAAATATTTTATATCCTAAGCATTGTAAAGAAATTTTGTCCTAATCCTTACCTTACAACTAGCAAATAGCCTGCAGTTTTTTACTATAATTTTCCTCTCTCTCTCACTCTCTCTCTTTTTTTTTTGATGGAGTCTAGCTCTCTGTCATCCCAGGCTGGAGTGCAGTGGCATGATCTCGGCTCACTGCAACCCCCACCTCCGGGTTCAAGCGATTCTCATGCCTCAGCCTCCCTAGTAGCTGGGATTACAGGCACATGCCACCATGCCCGGCTAATTCTTGTATTTTTAGTAGAGACAGGGTTTTACCATGTTGGCCAGGCTGGTCTCAAACTCCTGACCTCAAGTGATCCAACCACCTCGGCCTCCCAAAGTGCTGGGATTACAGGTGTGAGCCACCGTGCCCAGCCTACTATAATTTTTCATATTCAGACTTTCACTGCCCGTGTTCAAGAGAGTGAGTTAACTACAACTACACAGTTCTTTCCTACTATTTTGAAGAAGGACATTTAACTAAAGTTCTCTTTTTCTCACCATTTTAGTTGCGACAACCACTGCCTGGGTACCTATCCATGTTTATCCAGTAATCTCCATTATTATGCATAATATTATGAAATAAACAAGACAGGAAAATCAGGATATTTTCTAGTTTCATCTCTGTCATTAACTCACTTTGTGTCTATGAATATTTCAGTCTGCAGGGGGCCTCAGTTATCAGTAGACTGTAAACAATGATAGTTACCCCATATAGCTCAGGTGTTAAGGATGTGAAAATAATTTAATTTATTTAAACATATCATTAAATGGGCAATTTGTCATTTAAACTTGATTGACAACACCTGTAGTTTGACAACATCTGTAGCTTCTATATCCTATGTCAGGAAATTTATCTTAACAATACAGATAGAGTAGTAGAAACAGCACAGTTCTAAGAACTGTGAACTCTTACTAGCTGTGAAATCTCAAGCAGGTTACTCAAACTTGTCAAGTAAATCTACAAAATAAAATCAATGTCCTTTTGTGGAGTTTTGGGTATTAGAGTTAATATATAACGTACTTAGTGCATATGCTTAATGTAGGTGCCGTTATTATTAGATCATATGTACTGTAGGAGGGCATTTCAGAGCTGGAAATGGAATGACAAATATCTACATCATCACTTCATACCACTCTGAACTCTGCCTCATAGAGGCAGCATGTGTGGGAATTTTACCTCTGCATGGTAATATCTGAATAACTTGTACAAGTCAACTCCTCTATTTCTGTGTTTGTAAAAGCATGTAATAATGTCATCTTCCAAGGGGTTTGAAGGGAAGATAGTCAGATATAGCTATTGATATCCATAGAACTATGTTACCTAGCACTATTTGGTACATACTAAATGATTGATAAATATGTAATTGTTTTACTTAATAATTATTGGTAGTATAATTTTTTTTATTTTGCCACTTGCCTATTACACTAGCCCACATACATTCGTTTTTTATCTTTCCTACATAAGATCTCTGACATGCCCCATAGTTTTCCTTATCATTTTTAGTCACAAGAACAAATCTCATCTCAGCAATTTAAATGTGTGTTCCAGTATAATAAGCAAAACATTAAAGTCACTCAACTTGAAGTTTCACCTCTTTCCCTGCTCAGGCCTTGGGGCCTGTAGTGATGGCAGAGAACAGGAGTTTCTTCTTGTTTCTTTTTTTTCCCTCTTTGATCCTAGTTTCATAGATGTCCTCTGTCTACTAGGCAGCATTTTTGATCCCACTAGGATTGAGCTCAAGGAAAGAAGCATTAGGGGAGAAAGCACCATATTGCATGGCCCTTGGCTGTTTCTTTGGGGTCTGATGCACAGTTGCTGACTCTTTTTTCTTATGAGTGCATTTTTTAAAACTTTTTATTTTCTGGAGATCTTTCAGTGGTGTCCCTGGTCCAGGGGAATGTTTCTCTTATAAGGGCCATTTTTTGCTCTCCCTACACCTGCCGTCGTTCTGGCTTTCCAGTCCACACAGATGATCCCTATTGGGATTCCTTTGTTCTCTAGAAAAGTAACATTCTTGAGCAGAGTTCCTTTTATTTACAATGGACTCAGGTTTGTGTTTTCCCAAAGATTATCTTGGCCCAAGAGAAAAGTGATGCTTTCTTGCCCCATTTTTTGTTAAGGCACTGTTTCCTTCTACTTTTTTGTTTTCCTTGCTGACTTCAGGCCAAAATTCCATGGGACACTCACCAGGCTCTCAGAGTGATCTCTGAGAAGCCCCTCTGGCAGTTTATGTTTATGATATCCCTGAAGGGAATGGTTGAGGGTGGAAGATACATGCAGCCCACCAACAACTATTCCCAAACTCACTTTCTCTTGGACTCCTTATTTTCCAGGATCTTCTTACTTTAGCTTGTAATGAGAGGAAAGATTTTAGCATTTCAGGGACTTTCTCCAAAGGTGGTCTCTTCTTTCCTCTTAAACAAAGAGTGAGTGATCTAAAGTTGGCAAAGCCAGTTTCACAATTGAGTAGCATGTTTTGCATTTAATCTCTCACTCTAAGATCTAAAAATATTTGGTGTCAATTGTGTTGTTCTTAGACTTTGAGATCTCAGCGTAAGGCAGAGTAATCTCATTTAAACATTTGTTGGAGATATTGAATATTGCAGCTGAAAGTTGGTCGCCTCATGCCCGGGCATATAATAGTTCTTTATTTAAAAGAAACACAATGCTAACCTCTAGAAAATATAAAAAGCATTAAAGAGTAGTTTAAAACTTTACAATTTGGTTTCACCAAAAAATTCTGAAGCTGGAATTATACTGTATTGCGCTGTCACATCAATATTAACTAGTATACTTACAGTTATGAGAGAGTATAATTCACAGATCAATTAAATACCTTAGTGTTTCTAAATGAATGTTACATGGGATGAAGAATTAGAAGAAACAGATAAATATGACTTTAATTAATTCAGAGTCTGAAGTTGTATGATCAGTCCATAAAACTTTTAATGACAGAAAGTAACTCTCTTTTATTACATAAAATTAGTTTAAAAAATTATCTATAACGATGTTAAAAAGTCTTCTTTGACACAAAAAGACATTACAAATTTTTTCCCTAATGTAGACATGATTATAGAAACACTATACTTACTTATATAAAATATATTTCTCAAAGGATGAATTTATTTGGAAAACTGACTGGCTAACCAAGCAACCAACCAGATTTTTTAGATCTTTTTTGGTCTATAAACAGTTGAACATATTTTATGTTCCAAGTACTACCAAAGTGGACAAAGAAGACATGATACCTACACCCATGTAGCTCATAATTTAGTCAAGGATGGTAGGAGCAAACCTGACCAAATGATTGCTAGAGGTCCCAAAGACATTGCAGAGGGTAGCAATAGAGGTGCAGGAGCCTGAATTTCATTATGGCTATATATTAGAATTTGGGGTAAGGAAAAGGGGTCACTGATGGAAAAGAGTAAAGCTGAATGGCTGAAGTGAGACTAGATCATGCAGTCTTTTAGGGAGTTTAGACCTGATCCTAGGGACAATAGTAAGTAAATTAAGAATTTTAAGTTAGATAATAACCTTATGTGTCTTGACTTCCTTTATAGATTATAAATCCCTTGATGGCAAAATTCAGTGTTCTGTGCTTTCAATGATATCAACATTTAGTCCAGTGTTTTATACATAGTAGGGGCTAAATATGCTCATTACCAATGAGAAGGAAGATGTGTTCCTGGAACATTAGTTTTATGGGAGCAAATAACTTAAAGTAATCCCCTAAGAGCTATGGAATATCAAGTTAAAGAGGAGATAACATATACTTTTAAAAACATTTAAGTAGGCTGGGCATGGTAGTTTACACTTTGAATCCCAACACTTGGGGAGGCTGAGGCAGGAGGATTGTTTGAGGCCTGAGGGTTGAAATCAGCCTGGGCAATATAGTGAGACTCTGTCTCTAGAAAAAAAATATATATATTAGCTGGGCATGGAGGTGCATGCCTGTAATCCTAGCTACTCAAGAGGCTGAGGTAGGAGGATTGCTTGAGCCCAGGAGTTTGAGGCTGCAGTGCAATTCAGCCTGTGCAACAGAGGGGTAGCTTGACACAAAAAAAAAAAAAAAAAAAAAAAAGAAAGAAACAAAGTTTAAGTATTTAACAGCTAGTTTCTCTGTATAAAACACTGGGAAAAATTTAAATGGCATTAATGAAAAATTAAGTTTTCATTAAAGATGGTTGTTACCAAAATACCAGGAGTTCAGTGTAGGTCCTGCTATTCAGTGCACAGAAAGCTAATCACTGAAACAACCAGTACTGCCAGAGAAGAAGACCCATTTGGGTGCCACAGCCAAGGAGATGAGAGATCAGTCTCAACTCCCATCTCCCTGTTTGACTAAAATTAGGGGGTTTTGTAGCAAAAATGTAACTAGATGCAGAAAAAGAGGAATTAAGGAGTGGTAAGGAAGAGGAATTGGTCAAGAGGAAGCAAGTGATTGAATTAGCAATCACGATGGGTAAGAGGTTTGGCTCTTTATTTTTTAGATGCAGTGGTCTGGTAAGTTTCAGCTCCTTGATACTATCTGGGTAACCTGATGATTAGTTTCCAGAGAAAGGAACTCAGATAAAACAATTGTAAATTTCTCAAGTTTGAAGACTAGGAGGGACACTTTTTATGTTTATTCAGAAGGAACCATAAACATCAGTTCTATGGGAAAATTGAGCAGGTTTCATAGTCAAACCTAAATTTTTATTCTCTACTTCAGCATATCTACTTGCTATGCAACCTTGGGCCTCAGCTTTCCACCAATGAAGTAAAGTTGTAAAAATTAGACAGCGAAATGTGTGATAAAATACCTGATTTAATAAATAATAGTGAGATTCCATACACATGCAATCTTTTAAATATTTCTGTTTCATGGCCTAAAAAATGTTTTTGTATTCATAGTAAAATTTATTCAAATAATCGAAAAAGATTCCATCTATTGTCTTTATTACAAATGAAAAATAATAACTCACAATTTTTTTTCTAAAAGTTGATGTTAGTTTATTTTTTTCATGGTCAGTAAGTAGTAAAGTGTTGAATAAACCCAATGCACAAGTAATCTGTGGAAGAAAAAATTGAATTCAGCTCCTAGGGTGTGAGGGAGAAGGACGCAAGGTTATGTGGAAAGATTGTGTTCTGAATAAAAGCTCTTAGTCAGTAAAAGAACTCACTGATTTAAGTGGCTAAACTCAGGGTTCCTTTGGAAATGTTAATAGCAGTGCATTGAAATTTTGTTTTGAGAACATTTAGTAGAGAAAATTTTAAATTATTTCCTGCAATTAATAAATTTTATGTGCTAATACTTTAACATTATCAGTGAAAATCAAGGTAGAAAATAGATTATATGTGTATTTCTTCCAAAATTAAAATAACAATTAAATACAGTTTTATGCTTGAGGAAAAAAGAGATATTCCAAATTCCTCTGCCACTTACAGTGCATAGTTACATAAAAAAACATAATCTAATCCTATCTCATTCTAAACAAAAGCTTTAGAAAAATATTCTTAGCGAATACAAACACATACAGGCTTCATTTATCATTTGGCTCTGTAACTGCCCAAGAGATGCCATCATGACCATCATTAGGAGATGCCCTTCCACAATTTCTTCTCATTAAAATGTTGGGCTTCCAGATGGAAGACTAAAAGATAATACAGGAGTAATGATGGATGAAGGCAGAATAATGGAAAAGCAACAAAAGCAATATATAGCTGGAATACACATTCTCATTGTTCCTGCCTTAGAAATTCAGGTTCATCCTTAGATGTCAGCTCAAGATGATCTCCTCAGAGAAGTCTTCCCTAAACCCCTGTTGTGGATTAAATTGTGTCTCCCCAAAAAGATATGTTGAAGTCCTAACCCCATCATGAAAGAGATTTGGAGACATAATGACACACAAGGAGGAAGGCCATATGATAATGCAGGAAGAGATCAGAGTGATGGAGCTACAAGCCAAGGAATGTCAAGGTTTGTTGGCAACCACCAGAAGCTAGAAAGAGGCAGAAAAGGACTTTTCCTTAGAGCCTTCACGGAGAGTATGGTCCTGCCAACACCTGGATTTCAGACTTTCAGTTTCCAGAACTGTGAGAGAATAAATTTCTGCTGTTTTCAGTGTGTGGATGTTTGTTATGGCAGCCCTAGGAAGTTAATTTACCCCAGAATAGATCTATTTCACCTTTATAAACCTCCATGAGATTTTGTTCCTCTTCCTTACAGCCCTTTCAAAATTAAGATGAATGAATTAATGTGTAATTAGTTTTAAAAATCTTCTTGCTTGCTAGAATGTAAGAAGAATATTCTGTGACAGGTTTTGTTTACTCCCTGTATCCTCAGTACTACTACATTCCCTGGAATAAATAGGTACTCAATAAACATTTGTTAAATGCAGAAATGAATTTCTACTCTGTTTCTTCTTAAATACGTATAGATAATAACTCCATGTAATACTGAAATCAAGTCTGTCAGTTCCTGTGTCAGTAAGAAATCTTTTGGTTGCATGGAATAGAAAACAAAATAAAAAAGCTAAAATAAACAAATGAACTAAATGTACATTGGCTTTACATCTTAAAAATCCAGTGGTACAACTAGCTCTGGATGAAGCTTTACTCAGCTGTTTAAACAATATCACTAACATCTGGATTATCTCTCTCTGCTCTGCCTTCACTTATGCCAGCTTTATCCTTAGGAACTACATGGTGATTCCCCTGCTGGTCAAAAAACAACTAAGTCTTTACCAAAAAGCTGTTAGAAGTGATAAATAAATTCAGTAAAGTTGCAGAATACAATATCAACAAACAAAAATCAATAGCATTTCTATATTTAAATAATTAACTATCTGAAAAAGATATTAAGAAAGCAAAGCCACCTACAATAGTAACAAAAATTTAAATATTTAGATATAAATTTGACCAAGAATGTAAAAGACCTGTACACTGAAAACTATAAAACACTGGCAAAAGAAACTGAAGAAAACACATATAAACCGAAAGATAACCATTGTTCATGAATGGGAAGAATTCACAATGTGAAAATGTCGGTACTATTCAAAGCAATCCAGAGGTTAAATGTAATCCCTATACAAATTTCGATATTATTTTTCAAAGAAATAGAAAAATATTCTTAAGTTCACATGGAACCACAAAAGACCTCAAATAGGCAAGAAAGTCTTGAACAGAAAACCCCAAAACCGGAGGTATCACATTTTCTGACATTAAAACATATTATAACGCAATTGTTATTTAAAAACCATGGTATTTGTATAAAAACAGACACATCAACTGAAGCAACAGGAAGAAAACCCAAAAACAAACCCCTGCATTCTTAGTCTATTGATTTTTCACAATAGCACAAGGAAACACAATGGAAAAAGAGAGCTTCTTCAATAAATGGTGTTGGGAAAACTGAATATTGACATGCAAAAAAAAATTAGACCCTTATATATGAAAGTCAACTCAATATGGGTTAAAGACTCAAGTATAAGACCTCAGATTGTAAAACTACCAGAAGAAAACGTAGAGGAAAAGCTCCGCAACATTGACTTGAACAATCATTTTTGAGATATGATCCCAAAAGGACAGGTAACAAAAACAAAAATAGATGAATTGGATGATATCAAACTAAAAATCTTCTGCACAGTGAAGGAAACAATTAACAAAATGAAGAAACAGCCCACAGCATGGGAGAACATATTTTCAAACCGTACATATGATAAGGGGTTAATATCCAAAATATAAAAGAAACAACTTGAAAAACTCAATAGCAAGAAAACCACTCAATTAAAAAATGAGCAAAGCTCGAACAGATATTCCTCAAAAGAAGGCATACAAATGGTGAAGAAGTACATGAAAAAATGCTCAGCATTACTAATCATTAGGGAAATGCAAAATAAAACCACAATGAGATATCACTGAGATAAGTGTTAGAGAGGATGTGGAGAAAAAGGGACTCTTGCACAGTGTTGGTGGGAATGTGAATTAGTATAGCCATGATGGAAAATGGTATGGAGGTTCTTGAAAAAACTAAAAACAGTACTACCATATGATCCAGCAATTCCACTTTTGGGTATGTATCCAAAGGAACTGAAATAAATTATGTCAGGGGGATATCTGCACTCCCATGTTCATTGCAGCATTATTCACAATAGCCAAGATATGAAATCAATGCAAGTGCCCATCAACAGATGAATGGATAAAGAAAATGCGATATATATATATATATATATATATATATATATATATATATATCTCACAACGGAATATTATATATATATACTATATATACACACTAAGCTATATATATACACACGCAAAAAAAATGGAATACTATTCTATATGTACTATATACTATACTACACATACACACGCGCACACACACACACACACACACACGCACATACCCAATGGAATACTACTTAGCCTTAAAAAGGGGGAAGTCCTGTCATTTGTGAAAATATGGGTAAATCTGGAGGACACTGTATTAAGGAAAATAAGCCAGTCACAAAAAGACAAATACCACATGATCTCATTTATATGTGAAATCTAATGAAGTTACACCATAGAAATAGAGTAGACTGGTGGTTACTGGAGGCTGGGGTAGAGAAGTGTGGTGGGAAGAAAGGGAATGAGAGTTGCTGATGAAAGGGTACAATGTTTCAGATAGATAGGAGGGATAGGTTTTGAGATCTGTTGCATAGCAGGGTGACTACAGTCAATAACAATGTATTGTATATTTCAAAATAACCAAGAGTAAATTTCAAATGTATCACCATAAAAAAAGATAGGTGAGCTGGTGGCTCTTTTAGTTACCTTGATTTAACCATTCCGCATTATAGACATATATCAAAACATCACATTCTACCCCTATACCTAAGGCATTCCCAAGCCTCACACATTTAAATTTTATCTAAAAGGACAAAGATCAATGATCATAGCTATCCACATCATAGAATTTTTCTCTTTATTGGTCCAAAATTGGACAAGTCTGCATTCATGAACAAATCACAGGGCTTAGTTCAAAGGCTGGAGATGGGATTCACCTTACCCCCAACTACATGGCTGAGGACTTGGATGGAGTAAACTCCTTATGGAAAATCTGAGTAATGTTGGTGAGAAATAAGAGTGGATCCTGAGGTGATAACCAACGAATATCTACGTTGGTTACAATAAAATATCCTCAGGTTGAAAATATTTGGCTTATTCATGAGTAATCTTGTGCAATAGAGTAAACTAGATGACTTAGTTTTAAAATGTACGAACACATTTGAATGAATGAATGCCAAGTCCGTTTTCTAGACGTGGTTTTAGGATTCCAATTGAATTAATTTAAACTGTCATTCTTATTACATTTTACATATGTATAAAGAGTAGAATGATGTAATTTTTATTCCTAATATTTACTCACCTCTCTTAGCCTGCTTAGAATAAAATCATGAACCTAGCAGAAGATAAATCATGATTATAGTCATAAGAGAATTCAGACTCAAATTTAGTACACATTCTTCAGATGACTCATAAACATAATTCCATCATTTAAATTAAATTTACAAATATTATGGACATTAAAGCGATGTAGAAAATGTTAATAAACCCGAGAAATAAAGCATAATCTACATTTTCTTTATGTACATGACAATGCATTGCTTAATAATGATACTTTAGTAGGAAAGTTAGTCTACAAAATAGATTATTTGACCCAGATGTGAACCTGGGAAAATTTTGATTTATACAAAGATTATAGTAGACAGTTATCTTAGGCCCATGATAGGCACTGATATACAAAACTATAATAATAGTAGATAACATTTGGTGACTACTTACAGATATATACAAAATACAAATTCAGCTTGAATGACAATGATACATATAGTGTTGCAATCTACTCAGAAATGTGCATCAATTTATGCTTTATTATGTGGAATCACTTTCTTCCTGTCTTTTAAAAAGAAGTGGACAGGCAGAATGTATATGCATATGCAACATTCTTCTAGGGGGAGAAAGAAAGGAATATTAATTTAGCAGGCTTAAGTACTCTGTCTCTGAAGAGAGTTTCTCTATAATGGGGAATTGATAGACTTTCCTACAATCCGAGTGAAATATTTTTCAAGAACATCCAATGATCTATTATTTTATGCTCACTAAATAGATTTTTCTGATTCACTTCCTGAATGTCTGATTTATTGGAAAAGGTTTGCCCTGGCTAATGGGCCGAGCTATTGATGTACACTCTAATTTAAATTAATAAACTGGCATTCTTGTTTTTAAACAGTGTCTTGTGGGCTTGACAAATTTGTCTTATCAGTTCAGGGAGAATTGATGAAACTGAACTCTTGGAGCAGTCCACGTGGAACCAAACATGGTACCATGGTGGCCGCTTCACTCTGCGGCCCCTAATCATCCCCTGCTTCCTTCTTCAGTTGCATGTATTGGGATAATTAATGCAAGGAAGTGCAACAGAAGAAGTATAATTGTCATTTTATAAAGAAAATGAAAGTGGACATAACACTTTATAAATAAGCTTAAACAAAAAGTGTTCAGGATTCCCAGTCAAGAAACTCCACTAGAGCTAGATAAATAAAGCAGAGTAACTATAGCATATCTATGAGGGAATTAACTTTAATGGGTCTTACCTGAAAACATGTATAGTAAATCCTCACTTACTATTGTCCATAAGTGCTTGGAAACTGCAACTTGAAGCAAAATGATGTTTAATGAAACCAATTTTACCATAGGCTAATTGACATAAACAAGAGTTAAGTTTCTACTGCATATTTCTGGTCACAGGAAACATCACTACACTTCTAAATAAAGATTCCAAGCACTTATCATACTAAACATTGAAATAAATGTGAGCTATACATACATTTAAGAAAGATTTATCAAAACAAGTAACATAATTATTTACCTAATTTTTGGTGAATCAGGAATGAAGGAAGTTGTAGTGGTGATGGATTAAGTCAAGGAATAAATGTCTGCCAAGCAAAATTGTCAGAGCATCCCCTTACCACCACGCAGTTCAAAAACAATCATAAAAATGGTGGGCTCCAAGCCAGGGACTTACAGATAAAACCTCCATATCCCTGGGACATAGCACCTGGGGGAAGGGGTGGCTGCGTGCACAGCTTCAGCAGATTTAAACGTCCCTGCCTGATGGCTCTGAAGAGAGCAGTGGACCTCCCAGCACAGTGTTTGAGTTCTGAAGAGAGCAGCGGACCTCCCAGCACAGTGTTCGAGCTCTGCTATGGGTCCCTGATCCCCGTGTATGCTGACTGGCAGACACCTCCCAGGAGGGGCTGACAGACACCTCATACGGAAGAGCTCTGGCTGGCATCTGGCAGGTGCCCCTCTGGGACAAAGCTTGCAGAGGAAAGAACAGGCAGCAATCTTTGCTGTTCTGCAGCCTCTGCTGGTGATACCCAGCCAAACAGGGTTGAGAGTGGACCTCCAACAAACTCCAGCAGACCTTCAGCAGAGGGGCCTGACTGTTAGACGGAAAACTAACAAACAGAAAGAAATAGCACATTCACTCAAAGACCCCATCTGAAGGTCAACAACATCAAAGACCAAAGGTAGATAAATCCACAAAGATGGGGAAAAACCAGAGCAAAAAGGCTGAAAATTCCAAAACCAGAATGCCTCTTCTCCTCCAAAGGATCACAACTCCTCACCAGCAAGGGAACAAAACTGGACAGAGAATGAGTTTGATGAACTGACAGATGTAGGCTTCAGAAGATGGGTAATAACAAACTCTCCAATCTAAAGGAGCATGTTCTAACCCAATGCAAGGAAGCTAAGAACCTTGAAAAAAGGTCAGATGAATTGCTAACTAGAATAACCAGTGTAGAGAAGAACATAAATGAACTGATGGAGCTGAAAAACACAGCATGAGAACTTCACGAAGAATACACAAGTATCAATAACCAAATCGATCAAGTGGAAGAAAGGATTCAGTGATTGAAGATCAACTTAATGAAATAAAGAGAGAAGGCAAGATTAGAGAAAAAAGAATAAAAAGGAATGAACAAAGCCTCCAAGAAATATGGGACTATGAGACAAGAACAAACCTATGTTTGATTGGTGTACCTGAACGTGATGAGGAGAATGGAACCAAATTGGAAAACACTCTTCAGGGTATTATCCAGGAGAACTCCCCCAATCTAACAAGACAGGCAAACATTAAAATTCAGGAAATACAGAGAACACCTCAAAGATACTCCTCGAGAAGAGCAACCCCAAGACACATAATTGTCAGATTCACCAAGGTTGAAATGAAGGAAAAAATGTTAAGAGTAGCCAGAGAGAAAGGTTGGGTTACCCATAAAGGGAAGCCCATCAGACTAATACCCATAAAGGGAAGCCCATCAGACTAACAGTGGATCTCTCAGCAGAAACCCTACAAGCCAGAAGAGAGTGGGACCAATATTCAACATTCTTAAAGAAAAACCCAGAATTCCATATCCAGCCAAACTAAGCTTCATAACCGAAGGAGAAATAAAATCCTTTACAGACAAGCAAATGCTGAGAGACTTTGTCACCACCAGGCCTGCCTTACAAGAGCTCCTGAAGAAAGTACTAAACATGGAAAGGAATAACCAGTACCAGCCACTGCAAAAACATATCAAATTGTAAAGAATATTGACATTATGAGGAAACTGCATCAACTAAAGGGCAAAACAACTAGCTAACATAATAATGACAGGACCAAATTCACACATAACAATATTAACCTTAAATGTAAATGAGCTAAATGCCCCAATTAAAAGACACAGACTGGCAAACTGGATAAAGAGTCAAGACCCATCAGTGTGCTGACTTCAGGAGACCCACCTCACATGCAAAGACACACATAGGCTCAAAATAAAGGGATGGAGGAACATCTACCAAGCAAATGGAAAGCAAAAAACAAAAAAACAAAACAAAACAAAAAAGCAGGGATTCCAATCCTAATCTCTGATAAAACAGACTTTAAACCAACAAGGATCAAAAGAGACAAAGAAGGGCATTACATAATGGTAATGGGATCAATGCAGCAAGAAGAGCAAACTATTTTAAATATACGTGCCCCCAATACAGGAACACCCAGATTCATAAAGCAAGTTCTTAGAGACCCACAAAGAGACTTAGACTCCCACACAATAATAGTGGGAGACTTTAACACCCACTGTCAATATTAGACAGATCAACGAGAGAGAAAATTCACAAGGATATTCAGGACTTGAACTCAGCACTGTACCAAGTGGACCTAATAGACATCTACAGAACTCTCCACCTCACATCAACAGAATATACATTCTTCTCAGCACCACATAGCACTTATTCTAAAATTGCCCACATAATTGGAAGTAAAACACTCCTCAGCAAATGCAAAAGAACTAAAATCATAACAAACAGTCTCTCAGACCACAGTGCAATCAAATTAGAACTCAGGATTAAGAAACTCACTCAAAACCACACAACTACATGGAAACTGAACAACCTGCTCCTGAATGACTTCTGGGCAAATAACGAAATGAAGGCAGAAATAAGATGTTCTTTGAAACCAATGAAAACGAAGACACAATGTACCAGTATCTCTGGGATACATTTAAAGCAGTGTGTAGAGGGAAATTTATAGCACTAAATGCCCACAAGAGACAGCAGGAAAGATCTAAAATGGACACCCTAACATTACAATTAAAAGAAGTAGAGAAGCAACAGCGAACAAATTCAAAAGCTAGCAGAAGACAAGAAATAACTAAGATCAGAGCAGAACTGAAGGAGATAGAGACACGAAAAACCCTTCAAAAGATCAATGAATCCAGGAGCGGTTTTTTTGAAAAGATCAACAAAATAGATAGACCACTAGCCAGACTAATAAAGAAAAGAGAGAAGAATCAAATAGACGCAGTAAAAAATGATATAGGGGATATCACCACTAATACAACAGAAATACAAACTACCATCAGAGAATGCTATAAACACCTCTACACAAATAAACTAGAAAACCTAGAAGAAACGGATAAATTCCTGGACACATACATCCTCCCAAATCTAAACCAGGAAGAAGTCGAATCCCTGAATAGACCAAAAACAAGTTATGAAATTGAGGCAGTAATTAATAGCCTACCAACTAAAAAAAGTCCAGGACCAGATGGATTCACAGCCAAATTCTACCAGAAGCACAAAGAGGAGCTGGTACCATTCCTTCTGAAAGTATTCCAAACAACAGAAAAAGAGGGAATCCTCCCTAACTCATTTTATGAGGCTAGCATCATCCTGATACCAAAACCTGACAGAGACACAACAAAAAAGGAAAATTTCAGGCCAATATCCCTGATGAACATCAATGTGAAAATCCTCAACAAAATACTGGCAAACTGAGTGCAGCAGTACATCAAAAATTTATCCACCACAATCAAGTTGGCTTCATACCTGGGATGCAAGGCTGGACATACGCAAAACACACAAATCAATAAGCATAATCCATCACATAAACAGAACTAATGACAAAAACCACGTGATTATCTCAATAGATACAGAAAAGGCCTTCAACAAAATTCAACACTCCTTCATGCTAAAAACTCTCAATAAACTAGGTATCAATGGAACATGTCTCAAAATAATAAGAGCTATTTATGACAAACCCACAGCCAATATCATACTGAATGACCAAAAACTGGAAGCATTTCCTTTGAAAACCAGCACAAGACAAGGATGCCCTCTCTCACCACTCCTATTCAACATAATATTGGAAGTTCTGGCCAGGGCAATCAGGCAAGAGAAATAAATACACGGTATTCAAATAGAAAGAGAGGCAGTCAAATTGTCTCTGTTTGCAGATGACATGATTGTATATTTAGAAAACCCCATAGTCTCAGCCCAAAATCTCTTTAAGCTGATAAGCAACTTCAGCAAAGTCTCAGGATACAAAATTAATGTGCAAAAATCACAAGCATTCCTATAAACCAATAATAGACAGAAAGCCAAATCATGAGTGAACTCCCATTCACAATCGCTACAAAGAGAATAAAATACCTAGGAATACAACTTACAAGGGATGTGAAAGACCTCTTCGAGGAGAACTACAAATCACTGTTCAAGGAGATAAGAGAGGACACAAACAAATGGAAAAATATTCCATGCTCATGGATAGGAAGAATCAATATTGTGAAAATGCCCATACTGCCCGAAGTAATTTATAGATTCAATGCTATCCACATCAAGCTACCACTGACTTTCTTCACAGAATTGGAAGAAACTACTTTAAACTTCATATGGAACCAAAAAAGAGCCCACATAGCCAAGACAATATACTAAGCAAAAAGAACAAAGCTGGAGGCATCATGCTACCTGACTTTAAACTATACTACAAGGCTACAGTAACCAAAACATTATGTTACTGGTACCAAAACAGATATATAGACCAATGGAACACAACAGAGGCCTCAGAAATAACACCACACATCTACAACCATCTGATCTTTGACAAACCTGACAAAAGCAAGCAATGGGGAAAAGATTCCTTATTTAATAAATGGTGTTGGGAAAACTGGCTAGCCATATGCAGAAAACTGAAACTGGACCCCTTTCTTATACCTTATACAAAAATCAACTCAAGATGGATTAAAGACTTAAATGTAAGACCTAAAACCATAAAAATCCTAGAAGAAAACCTGGGCAATACCATTCAGGACATAGGCATGGGCAAAGGCTTCATGTCTAAAAACCAAAACCAATGGCAACAAAAGCCAGGATTGACAACTGGTATCAAATTAAACTCAAGAGCTTCTGCACAGCAAGAGAAACTATCAGCAGAGTGAACAGGCACCCTACATAATGGGAGATAATTTTAACAATCTATCCATCTGGCAAAGGGCTAATATCCATAATCTACAAAGAACTTAAACAAATTTACAAGAAAAAAACAAACAACCCCATCAAAAAGCGGGCAAAGGATATGAACAAATGCTTCTCAAAAGAAGACCTTTATGCAGTCAAAAAACATATGAAAAAATGCTCATCATCACTGGTCATTAGCTAAATGCAAATCAAAACCACAATGAGATACCATCTCACACCAGTTAGAATGGCAATCATTAAAAAGTCAGGAAACCACAGATGCTAGAGAGGATGTGGAGAAATAGGAATGCTTTTACACTGCTAGTGGGAGTGTAAGTTAGTTCAACCATTGTGGAAGACAGTGTGGCGATTCCTCAAGGATCTAGAACTAGAAATACCATTTGACCCAGCAATCCCATTACTGGATATATACCCGAAGGATTATAAACCATTCTACTATAAAGACACATGCACACACCGATGTTTATTGTGGCACTATTCACAATAGCAAAGACTTGGAACCAACCCAAATATCCATCAATGATAGACTGGATAAAGAAAATGTGGCACATATACACCATGGAATACTATGCAGCCATAAAAAGGACGAATTAATGTCCTTTGCAGGGACATGGATGAAGCTGGAAACCATCATTCTCAGCAAACTGTCACAAGAATAGAAAACCAAACACTACATGTTCTCACTCATAAGTGAGAGTTGAACAAGGAGAACAAATGGACACAGGGAGGGGAACACCACATTCTTGAGGCCTGTTGGGGGTTGGGGGGCTAGGGGAGGGATAGCCTTAGGAGAAATACCTAACGTAGGTGGTGGGTTGATGAGTGCAGCAAACCACCACAGCACGTGTATACCTTTGTAACAAAACTGCACATTCTGCACATGTACCCCAGAACTTAAAGTATAATAAAAAAAAATGGTGGGCTCTCTGAGCTCTTTTCTCCTGTATCATTTATTGCTGCATTTGTATGATTATCTTATACTTTATGAATTATTATTTTACAATCATCTGTATTCATTCATTGATTTTCCAACCCACTTTTTCCAGTTCAGGGTCACTTCAGGGTGCAATGCAGGATCCAGCCCTGGACAGGATGATGCTGTTCCATTGCAGGGCACACTCACACACACACACACCCTCATGCCAATGACACAATATACACATGCCAATTCACCAAATGTGCATGGCTTCGGGATATGGGAGCAAACCAGATGATCTGAAGAAAACCCATGCAGACATGAGGAGAATGTGCAAACTCCAAACAGACAGTGGCCCCAGAAGAAATTGATTATTTTTCTCATCAACGTTACAACAAAATGTCATTCAAGGACCTGTTGTTTATTGCAATTCACTTTTAGTCTAAACTCAAGGTTTTGTGTTAATTTCTCAGAAATTAACATTTATTTACATTTCAAGGAGGAAAACAGCTCACCATTTTTAGTAAGGTTTCTCAGACGTTTTTAATTTCTTCTTAATATGTATTCCAACTTAGATGGAAAAAAAAAGCAAAAATAAATAAATAGATAATAAATAAGTACATTATTTTTAAGGGTTTGGAAGATTTTTTTCTGCAACATTTAATTCACGCAAACAGCCAAGGCTACACAGCCAAATCACTTGCAGGAAAACTGAAATGCCAGTTCTACTGCTCTGATTTTAACTATTAAAATAGCACATTTTGAAATATACTACACCACTGTTTTATTTTTGCTGTACATTCATCCATGTATTCAACAATTATGTACCAGGATATCATGATGAACAAGACATCCAAGTTTGTCCTCATAGAGTTTACAATCTAGTAGGGAAGAAAGACACTTATAAAACCAATTACCATAATGAATAATAAGGGCTCATCATATATCACATAGAACTTCTATCCGTTAGTTCCATTAGTTCAAGCAGTAACTCTCAATTACTTTTCTGCCACAGACCCCCAAATAGATGATATTTCCAGTGAGATACTGCCTGTTTGGCAATATTCAAGGTTAGGTTCAATTATCATCAAGGCTACTAACTCAGTTCTTTTTCTTTCCATCAGAAAAGTTTATTGGAACCTGAACAGGAGAGAACAATATAATGTAGATGAACTTTAATTAGCTTAGAAGTGAGTAAAAGTAGCTTGAAAGTAAATCATTCGTAAATTGACCTGCTTGCTGCAAACCTCAAAGCTTTGGGATGACATACCAAAGTCTCAGGACCATTTATATACTCAACACTCAACAATCACATACATGATATATATTTTTTTGAGACGGAAAATTACTCTGTCACCCAGGCTGCAGTGCAATGGCACAATCTCGACTCACTGCAACCTCCGCTTCCCAGTTCAAGCGATTCTCCTGCCTCAGCCTCCTGACTAGCTGGGATTACAGGCATCTGCCACCATGCCCAGCTAATTTTTTGTATTTTTAGTAGAGACTGGGTTTCACCATGTTGGTCAGGCTGGTCTCGAACTCCTGACCTCAGGTGGTCCGCCCACCTTGGCCTCCCAAAGTGCTGGGATTACAGGCGTGAGCCACTGCACCTGGCCCATATACATGATATTTATTCAGTCTTTCAAAATGGTTTTTGAGACACAACTGACTTGAGATAAAATATTTATCATAAATATGACAAAAAGTTGATAATACTTTTTATACATGAAGAATTCATGAACTTCCCAAAGAAAATGGACAAATGCTATGAAAAGATCATGTGTAGATAAAGAAATCCAATGACTAATAAATATATGAACAAATAGTAAGCCCCAATTGCAAGTAGAATATGAAAATGAAAATAACTAAATAACTAGATAGTATTTGTATATATCAAATAAGGAAAGATTAAAAAGAAAATTACTACCTATTACTAAGGAGGCTATAGTTGAATTTGTACCCTCGTGGAGTTTTGGTAAGAAGACATGGTTTATTGCTTTTAAGAATATTTAATTGCAAGACAAAGAATACACAACATAATGCCATAGGAGCAAGAGTAAAAATAAATGATTTACTTCATAAATTGTTACGTCAAGAATCCTTATATTAACCGTCAAACAGTGTCAACAAATAGCCTTCCAAATGGATCTATAAAGAGGCTCCCATTATGCTAGAAACACAGGGTGAGAAAGAAAACGACAGTGAAGAGGAGGGGTGCCATGAGCCTCCTGAGGCTGCCCACCCATCAACCCATGAAAATGGTGGGGAACTTGGCATGCTTTCCTTGGCAGACTTCAATGCAAGGACAGTAATGAAGAAATCAAGGTACTATAGAGGTGAAAAAAAAAAAAACCAGATAGAGTGGAGGAAAAGGAAAAGCTTGCTGTATGATGCATTAGACCATGGAGGAAGAAAGAACTATTTCAGAAGTAGAATAGCTGTGGTCAACCCCCTCCAGAAATCTCCCCTTCACTAGGATCTAGATAGTAATGATAGATTGGAAATGTTTGAGAAAGGTACCTTCCTGCTAAGTTCACACTGCTTGGTGCACAGGATGCAATATCAAATTGGAGTTTCTAGTTCCTCTTCACCTAAGAGATAATAGGGAAAAAACTTCTACTCTCCTCTGCTAGGTGGCAAAGTGTCCCACTCAACAAAGTGTGTGAAAGGATTGAACATCCATTCTTACTCCTCCCCATTCAGGAATCAATAAAGGAATTTTTGTCCTTTTTAAATTGTGATTTTTAAAATTCTTTGCCTTCTTCTTTCTCTCCTTCCTTTCCTCTTTTCCTCCCTTCCCTTCTCCCTCTCTCCCTCCCTCCCTCGTGGATTCCTTTTCTACCTACCTTCCCCTTTTGGGTATGAAACAAAGGAAAACACCAATCCTCTTCCCCCACCCGTAATGAGCCTCTGGAAGCCTAGAAGGAATGAAAGAAAAGGAGTCTATGAAGATTTCCCTGACTACAAAGAAAGTGTGTGTGTGGAAAGTGTAAGTGAGGAATATGTGAGGCAGGGCGGGGGAGGAGATAGTAAGAAGAGTCAATGTGCTATAGAGATGGAAAAATGCATGAAAAGACAGAAGGGAGTCGTGTGGGATACTCTCCGGACACTCTGTGCAAGTTGAGAGTATATATAGCAAGAGAGTAGTGGCAAAAATATGTAGCAAGTTTGCAGAGTAAAGCTTTAAATTCATTTAATGTGCTCGAACACAAATTAGTTAAATTGAGTTTGCCATACTCAACATTCATGCTTCTCAGGTCTATGCATAGTTATCATCTATCACTCTAACCTGAGGTTATAACACGTGTGGGCATGCTTGCTTGAAAAACGGGATCATTCCCTGTCTGTTCCCCTAATCAATTGATGGCAGCTACTGGAGACACCTTCAGGAGGAAGGAGAACAAACATTTTTAAGTCCAAGCTAAGAAACATAGTGTCTAAAATGAAATATATCAAGATGTTGTCTGTGGTTATAAATGGGAAGGGATCCTGGACACTCTTTCCTTTCTTTTCCTATCTTTTCTCTTACTCTTTTTTCATATTAAAAAATTTTTAATAGTCTTTATTTTCTGTAGTTTATCCAAATAAAAAAATAATGCTTTAGAAGAGTACCATTGGTTTGCAAATCTCTTTAACATTTAGCTTAATAGATTCTCATATCTGTGTTCAATTTACTGCAATTTATCGTTTCGATTGGGGTATGATTGACAAGCACTTGGAAAAGGGAGCAGCAGTATTTTAATAGCTTTTTTTTAGATAGTTGTGAATATTCTTTGATACTACACCAAAACTTGACAATTAATAATTTCTTAAAGGTTCGTTGTGATGTGTTATCTGAAATAATATCAAATAACTTTGCTTAATTTGTTATGTGCTTGATTACATTAAAGTTCATTGATCAGTTTTGCCTTTTGAATGGATGTTTTTCTCCATCAGGATTTTATAACATCTATATAACATGGAGACCTAAACGTTGACACATTTCATTATAATATATTTTTAAAATCCTGTTTCTATCATCACTTATTCATCACAAAATGTGCTAAGAATTGAAAAACTGAAAATGTCATTGTGGCAGATACAAGGTTTCCAAAATTTAAATTTTCTCTTAAAAGCAAAATTTTGTCCTTGACAACAATTTTAAGAAAAGCAACATCTTGATATATGTTTGCTTTTCTAAATAATGAGAAGCTCACCTTTATGTTAAAAAAGATGTCTGATAATACTCTAGTCTGAATAATCATAGTGTGTCTGCAAATTGTTCTTACAAGTAAAAAAAGTGTTCAAAAAAATGTAAAGTTCGTTCAACTTGCAACTCAGTCATAAAAGTGCTTCTTCTCAAGACAGATGTCCTATTCCACAGTACAGCAGAATACTTTATGCAAACTTCCCATTTTGTTGCACATAATATTAAAAGCATATGCACTCGAGATTTGCCATGTAATATAATGAACTTTTTAATTCTGCTTAAATGGCATTTTGAAGTGAATCTGGCACTTTTTACTGTGGATGCATATGTGTGATTACTGGTACAGCTGGGTGTCACTGCCTTGAATCATGCTAAGGTGCCAGCAGTCTTACCTTGTTTTTGTACCATCTGTGCAAATGTCAACCCAATAAAAAAGACTAACATTTTTTCATTTTGACCTCATAAACTACCTCAAAGGGTGAGATTTTTAAAAAGTGAAGAATGCAGAGATATTTAAAACCCTATCTCCTCCAATCTAAAACTTATTTGTCCCTCTTCCTTTTGTCCCTCTTCCTTTCTAGAGAGGAACACTATCCTAAGTGAGTGTGCATTCTTACCATAGTGCATATAAACTTTTTCAGCATGTATACATATTGATCCACAATACGTACCACTTTAGGTGGTTTCAAACATTACCTAAATTATATTTATATATTATATTTTATTATGTTATACATATTTTTATGCAAACTGTTTTATTCCTCTCTCCAATATGCCCTAATATACATGTTGGTACATGTAGATACACTTTATTTATTTTAAAGGCCGTACAATACTCCATTATATAAATATTCAACTTTGTATGTATAAATAAATATATATGTAACATTGATCTAGTTCCTTTCACCTATTAATAGACCCTTGGGTAGTTTCCAAGATTTTGGCACCACGACACTGCTGGATTTAACACCCATAGACATATCTCAGCATGTATAGACATGAGAGTTTCTTTATAGGCATTTATTTAAAAGAGGTACTGGGCTATGCCGGTTGGTTAAAAAAAAGAAAGAGGCCGGGAGCGGTGGCTCACTCCTGTAATCCCAGCACTTTGGGAGGCCGAGGCGGGCGGATCACGAGGTCAGGAGATCCAGACCATCCTGGATAACACGGTGAAACCCTGTCTCTACTACAAATACAAAAAATTAGCCGGGCCTTGTGGCGGGCACCCGTAGTCCCAGCTACTCGGGAGGCTGAGGCAGGAGAATGGCGTGAAGCCGGGAGGCGGAGCTGGCAGTGAGCCGAGATCGTGTCACTGCACTCCACCCTGGCAACAGAGCGAGACTCCATCTCAGAAGAAAAAAAAAAAGAAAAAAAAGAAAAGTAATATAAGAGGATGAATTTACTCTGTTATTGATAATATAAATCTATATATTTATAGGTTGGCTACATTATGGAGTGAGCCTTTCTGGTTTTAACTGGGCAGCAAGTTACTATAATAAACTATTTGTAATATCCCTTCTACAAGGAAATATATTTCAAATTTTAAAGAAAATGAAATCAAAAGACAATGTAATGAAATGTAATGTGCTTTTAAATTGAGAATTGTTAACCTTTTTTACCTCTTCCTCCAGAATTTAGTAATAATATAATAACAGAATAACTTTTAGAAATAATGTTAACATATGGCACATTCATCTCTAAAATCCTCTACTCAACAAAGATAAGCTCAAAGAGAATCCCATTTCCTAATGTGTAAGAGAATCAAAGAAAGAAAATGGGAAACATTTTTCACTAAAGCCTATAATCATTGTTGCAATTTCTGAGGTCTGAGGGTAAAGTAAAAATGGTGGATAATGGAGATTCATTATCATGACTTAAAGGAAATAAATTACTCTCCCGTAAATTCTGGGTAATTTGTCTTTTTCAAGCTATATAGTAATGAATTTCTATTTGTTTACAGATCAAGTAAGAACACCTTTTTCACAAATGGCTAGGGCAACTTGCCATATTTTATCTGTCTTCATTTATCCAAAGTTTGTATGGATCTAGAATTTGTATTTCTTTTTTGACTTTAAAGCAGGTAGATAAGTATGAAATTCCATATTTGCTGACTGAAAAGGTATAATCATTTCTAAGGGCTAATTTCATTTAGTTACAAGTGTGCTATCACTGCATTGGTAAAGAAAGATCTAAGTGGAATGATCAATATGTGGGGAAAATCTGAAAAACTGAATTGGATATGAGCTAATAAAAAACTTAACTGCTTCCTATTAACATAATATTCTTGTTAAAACTTCTCATGCATTAGAGAGAAAAGACTTTTCATGCTCTTATTTTTCTAAACAGAGAGCTGATAAATTATTAGTTCTGTGAGTTTTATTTCTTCTTCATAAAAGTCATGTACTACCTGTGGGAGCTTTTTAGAGCCAATTAAGTTCATCAGTTCCTATAATACACCATTCAGAAATTTTAGACTCAATTTAGAGTAATTAGCTATAGTAACTTAAAAAATATCTAATAAATATGTTTATTATTAGTTTCTAATAGGTGTTCTAAAACTATATGAACTTTACAAAGCTATTTATGGTTGCATTTTTCAAGATTCATTTAAAACGAAGAGATAAAAGCCTACCTAACCTCTTTAACAATATAAAAGTTGGAAAAGTAAATGTGATGAAGATTACTGATGATTTAAATAAAAATCTCACAGGATAAAGTTGAAGGACTTAAGGACAAATGTGACTTTTTTTTTTAACATTTGTTACACTGAGTAGTCAAGGAATTTATTCCTGACTTCAAATAGACATTTTTTTCTGCTGAATTGCATTATAATTTTAGATTTAAAAAATGAAGCAGACTGCTGTGTAAATACTATTAAGCTCTTGTCTAACTATGTTATTAAAATTTATATGTAAGTTCCAAGACATTAGGTTTTCAAGCAAAATCATAGAATGAGAACATATATAAACAGAAGAGTCACTTAGCACCCACAAGAATTCCTCCGGGCCTTCCAAACTCTTCCTTCCCATAGGCTAACAACAACAACAAAAAGATAACTATCAAAACTACATAAAGCAGCTATGTAAATAATAAACATAAATCCTGGTTTTATTTTGTAGTAATGTAAAAATCAGAAATAGTCTACAAGGTCAGAAAATAAAATCACAGAAAAGATGAGTGCCTTTTCCCGGAAAATTTCACTCTCAAAACAGTCAAGTAATGTGTCCTCTTCCCTACCATTTTAATCATCTATGTCTCTGTATTTCACAATTTATTTTGGAATTTTTACCAATGCAATGATATATTAATAATGATTAAAATGACAAAAACATATGTATTGTGATTTGTTGCTATGGAGAAACTGGTATTTTTACATCTGGCATCTATTAGCTATTTATTTCTGCCTATCAGTTTTTCCGTTGAGAGGTGATAGTGGATGATGGTTCAGAATATAAACTCTGGAGCATGTGATTTGAATCCGAGACCCACATTTACAACCTGTATAACCTGGTAGAAGTTATTTATTCATATAAGCCTTTTCCTCATCTGTAGAATGGAAATAATATTGGTACCTATGGCCAATATTTCTTTTTCTGGGGATAAAATATATTAATATATGTAACATGCTTGGAAAAGTGTCTGGCACATAGTAAACAATATAAAAGTGTTTGCTATTGTTATCTATTTGTTTAAATATGGTCTATAATATTCATTAAAATAAAAACTAATGTCTTCAAGAAGGATACAGTCTGGGTGCAGTGACTCACACCTGTAATCCCAGAATGTTGGGAGGCCAAGGTGGGCGGATCACTTTAGGTCAGGAGTTTGAGAGCAGCCTGTCCAACACGGCAAAACCCCATCTATACTAAAAAATACAAAAATTAGCCAGGTAGCCAGGTGTGGTGGCACTGCCTGTAGTCCTAGCTACTTGGGAGAATGAGGCAGTAGAATTACTTGAATCTGGGAGGCGGAGGGTGCAGTGAGCCAAGGTCACACCACTGCACTCCAGCCTGGGTGACACAGTGAAACTCCATCTCAAAAAAAAAAAAAAAAAAAAAAAAAAAGATACAGAGAGTGACAACAACAAAAAAATGTTATCACTTTTTTGATCTTTACTTCAAAGATTAATGAAGTAAAGGATCTTTGATCGTAAGGGAAATAGGTGGCTGTGACCCAGTGGGGTACTAAAGTCAATCACTCTGCATTGGTCACCGGGGTAACTTCAGCAAATGTGGATATAGAAGTCTCACTCACAGGAACCCGAGCTTGTTTTAGGAACTCAGAGACAATCAGGCATAACACCATTTTCTACAACAGGACTTGTTTGTGATCGGCTCCTCCATGAGTTTTACTGAGTAGGTTCCTCTGTGAGGAAGCTTTCTGCTTTCAGGCCTACACTGACTTTGTCAGTCCAATACTCAGATTTGATATTTGAAGGACCACATGTGTCATATCTGCCTCGTTCACAAGTATGTCACATTCTCAATACAGCTCTACCAAAACTAAAAATCATACTTCTATTTTCCCACCTGCTTTTTAACTTTTCTTATCGCATAATTGGTTCAGAATTTGGGAGGAAAAGTGGAAGGATAAAATTTATTGGATCTTAAGTCATATTCTTGTCTATTCTTTTACAAAAACATCAAAAAAAAGAAGTGTAATTTCTAGACAGAGGTTTTTCACAATAATATTTCAAATATATATGTTTTCCAACTAATTGCTGGGGACAGGCTTCAAGATTTTACTATACGTAAGAATAAGAGACAAAAGTCACAATTTACAAATTTTAATGGATACCTAAGGGAGAGGCAGATGTCATTAATTATAAGAACTGGAACTTAAGCATATAGATGGAAATGGGAACCTGACATTTATTTGAAATCATTGTCTACCCAGATTGACTAAAAACATTCCATAGGCAAATGTATGAGTACTTCACGTGCATTGTAGAGCCAATGATTATATTGTAGAATGACATTGGAAAGACGGCAGTAAAGTTTATATATATATATGTATATATGTGTATATATATGTATATATAAAACTACTTCTGATTTCTTCAAGCATATATGAAGGAGGAAGGAGGAAATGGTGTTAACTGGGGATAAAGAGTTGATGTATCTGTGACTCCTTCCTGGTTAGTGGGGCTCCTGGACAGCAGCTTTTCTGTGCCACGTGACCACTCCTAGAGTGTGCTTTTCTGTTTAGGATCCTGCCCAGTTTAATCTGAGGGAGTGGATTAAAATTGACTGCCACAGAACAGCACATGATCTCCTCAGAAGTTTTCTAAATGAAGACCACACAACACCCAGCAATGCTAGAGAATCAGGCTGTCTGCCCAAACCCTCAAGTTCTCAGTGTGTTTGTGCTTCTGCAGCCTTGATCACAGGGGCAGAGACCATGAATCAGGGGCTGGAGGCCTGTGTGTGTAGCAGGGATATTCTCACTCAGTTATTGTGGAAGAAATGAAAGTATTTTCTAGGCGGTCAAAACTGTTATCATTTATTAGGGAAGAGGAGGAATGATGCTTGCTTGGGTTATGTGTACCTTCTTACAGGCATCAGTATTCTATTAGGGAAAGTTGGGGAAATGGAGTAAAGAGTCAGAAGTCTGTTTAGGAAAACTAATTTGGGGCTAACCTTCTTATGCATGGAGGACAATGGTCTGTGCAATGGACAATTTGGTGGGCTCTGAGTATCATTCATTGTTTTGTTCTTCCTCCTTCATATATATATATGCTTGAAGAAATCAGAAGTAGTTTCTTCTTTTGATATATGCTGAGAAGAACAGACAAGTTTGCTTAATTAACACCAGCTGAGAATAGGCTGATAACAGATGGGGAACAAACTAATGTATAATCCCAAGATATTTCAAGGTGAGAGAATTTGAAAAAAAGCAACATTTTATGTATATAAGTCTAAAAACCACTCACTCATTTTACCATTATGACTATTTAAATCAGTTTTTTTAGTTTTATGTCTTTTTCATCATATATAATTATGGGTAGAAATTGGTATAATTTAAGTATATGTGCTTTTGCAATTCAATCCTTCATTTTTATAGAAAATAAAACCTCAAAGAATGAATGGTGTATCCTGTTCTTGCCCACTAGGTTATTTAAGCCTGACCTACAGAGGGCTACACTTATTGGCAGTTACTATGTGCAAGATATTGATTGGTCTAAACATTTTACCTCATTTAATCCTGACAATAATTCTTATAGATTGTTACTAATATCATCCACATTTTTCAGATAAAGTGATTTTTTTAAAATTTTATTTTAGAGAAGCTAAGTGACTTGCAAAGGCCACACCATTTTTATGCAGTGAAGTTGAGTTTTGGAGACCAGAAGTGTAACTAAGCTCTGCTCTAAAACTCTTTGAGGAAGGCTTAACTAATGAATCTATTAGAAACAGGTTGTCAGTAGGCACCTCAGGAGGCATAGAGATTATAATCCTGATGAAAGAAAAAGAAAAGTGATGCCAATGGAATGATAGATTTTGGATATACTTTGAAGGAAAAAATTCCAAGAATGGGAGTTATTAACATGGCCTAAAATCAAGCAAAGCCTAATGAGATTATGCATCATAATACGAAAAAACACTTCATGCAAAATTAGCCACATGATATGTTATAGTTTATGGGTTTTTTGTTTGTGTGTTTGTTTTTGCTTTGCAAGTAAAAGACCATATCATAGAAGGCAGGATTTTCAGAAAGAGTGATGAGCTTGGCAGACTCCCCACCAACCCAGAAAGTAATTATTTAACTGGATAAAATGATTAAAAAGAAATCACTTATTTAAAGTTGCTGGAAATGGTCATCATCATAAGAGCATCAAGAAAATAGTGAAACCATCATCTAGGAAAATCAATTAAGTCACTGCAAGAACAGCAAGAGTCTGTAGCACTTGAGCCACCACTTACTCTTCTGTCCCATCCCCATCTATGTAATCTTTTCTCTGGGCCACTACTATGGGAGAGTGAAGTCAAGAAGATAGTGCTCTCTCTCCCACCAGCTCTAAATCTAGGGCTATGGGAGGGGCAGGCCACAGATCTTTCTTATCACCACAGCCCCTCCAGCCCCATGTAGTAGAAACACAATTCTAGATATTAAAAAAGCAGCACATTATGTAATTTCACGTATATGAAATGTCCAAAATAGGCAAAGCCATAGAGAGAGAGAAAGAAAAAAAAATTAGTGGTTCCCAGGAGCTGGGGGGGAAGACAGAGTAGAATGTTACTGCTCACAACTATGGGTTGATAAGAAATGTTCTGGAATTAAATTGTGGGGTTGGTTGTACAATCTTGAGAAGGTACCACAAACTACTGAAATATACAATTTGAATGAGTCGATTATGGCATGCGCATTGTAACTCATAAAAAAGGAAAACAAAACAACAAAAATTGACAGCACCATAGTATTTTACTCATTGATGCTGCTAATTAACATTATCTCTAGTATCTCAGAAAATAAAAACAAACATAAACTCCTTAAACTGTGATTGCAGCCTCCAAATCACATACAAATCCAACGATAAAACATAAAAGTCTAACTAGCCAAGAGGGCTTAGATATAGCCTTTAACCAGTAAGTGACCTATGCTGACCCAGGGTGATGTAAAAGTAGACAGACTAAAAGATAAAAGCAAAGAAAAACAAAATGTAAGGAGAAACCTCAGAGGCTGCACACCATGTGATAACATCAAGAGCTGATTTCTTATCAGTAACAATAAAAGCCAGAAGAAAATTGGATTCTATAGTTAAAGTACTGAAAGTCAAACTACATATGTGAACCAAGAATCTAATATGCATAATAATGAAGGCAAAAATGAGGACAAAATAAAGATCTTTCCTGATAAACAAAAGGGGATAAAATTAATTATTAGTAAACTTTTCTTACAAGGAAAAATAAAGAAAAATTTTTAGGTTGAAAGCAAGTGACACCAGACAGTAATTTGAATCTACACAAAAACCCAAAAAGCATTAATAGAGGAATTTGTAGATTACTATTAACAATAATGTAATTTTGTACTTACTCTCATTTGTTTTCCTGACTTATTTAAAAATCAATTATCTATATACAATCAAAAGGCAGAGACAATGAAACTGAATTTTAAAAAGATTCATCTGTATGTTGTCTATAAGACTCTTTATACGTATGCACACACACACATATGTTGTATATGTTATTAGCCAAACTATAAAATTATATATATATGTGTGTGTGTGTACATATATGTGTGTACATAGGTATATAACTATGTGTATATGTAATTGTATAGTTGGGTTAATAACGTATACAAGTGAAATTCATTAAACAATACCAGCACGGAGGAGGCAGGTAGAAACAAAGCTGTATTCAAGTAAGAAAATAACACCATAGAGTAACTCAATTCCATAGAAAGAAATGAAGAGAATCAGAAATGGTAAACATAAAGATTAATATGACAAACCTATGCTCTCATCTTTCAACTTCTTTTAAGAAACATAAAATTGTATAAAGTTATAATTATAACAATGTATTATTGATTTTGTTACACATACAAATGCAATATGTGTAATAACAGCTACAGAAGGAGAAAAAAGGAATAGAACTATACAGGAATCATGTTTCTATATTTTCCTGGAATTAAATTAGTTAACATTTGAACTAGATATTTGATAAGTTAAAAGGTATAAGACAAAACCAACCACTAATAAAATAATTTTTAAATACAATTTAAAATTTATTAAAGAAATTAAAATGTTACACTAGAAAACATCTACTCAATTTAAAAAATGTAGTAAAATGAGGAATAGAGAAAGGAAAAGAGATTAAGATACGTTCAAAACAAAAAGCAAAATGGAAGACTTATTCTAACCATATCAATAATAACATTAATTAAATGTGAATGGATTAAATAATACAATCAAAAGGCAGAGATTATAAAACTGAATTTTAAAAAGATTCGTCTGTATGTTGTCTGTAGGACTCTCTACATTCAAAAATACAAGTATTTTGAAAGTACTGGGAAAAGACCTATCATATAAATAGCAAACACCAGAGAAATGGGATGTCTATATTATTATTCAAAATATAACTTAAAATAAACAAATAAAAAGGTTACCAGAGAAAAATAGCAACATTTCATAGTGAATTAAAGAAAGGTATAACAATTATGAATGCATATGTACTCAATTACAGAATCCCAAGACACATGAAGCAAAAACTGACAAAATTGAAGGAAGAAATAGAAAATTCAATAATAGTTGAAGACTTCAATAATCCACTTTCAATAATGAATAATAAAATAACTAGAATGAAGATTGATGAGGAAATGGAAGACTTTAGCAACACTATACAAGTGTATGTATAACTACATATAGAGTTAAACATAAGAAACGTCTACAGAACAGGCTGCTCAATAGAAGCAGAATACATATTCTTCCCAAGCACAAATGGGACATTCTCCAAAATAGACTATATGCTGGGCCATAATAAGCCTTAATAAAATTTTAATAATTGAATAATATAAAATATGTGAAGTATGTTTTCTAATCACAATAAAATGAAATTACTAGCAAATGACAGATGGAAATTTGAGAAATTCAAAAAGAAGTGAAAGTTAAACAATAAACTCATAAGATAACCAAAATGTTGAAGAAATCACAAGAGAAGAAGCATCTTGAAGTGAATAAAAAACGTAACATCACATATGAAAACTTGGAGATTCAGTTAAAGTAATATTAGAGGGAAATTCATAGTTGCGGAAAACAATATTAAAAAAGATTTCAAGTCAACAACTTAAGTTTTCACCTCAAGAAACTCGAGAAAGAAGAGAAAACTAAATCTAAAGTTAGATTAGTTTTCTAAAAGCTTAGGCAAGGAGAGAGAAAGAAAGAAAAAATATTACAGCAGATAAAAATGAAATAGAGACTAGAGAAACAATTGAGAAAATCAGTAAAATCAGAAATTGGCTCTGTGAGAATACCAACAAAATTGACAAGTCTTTAGCTTGAATTAGTAGGAAAAAAAAAGAAAGAAGACTCAAATTACTAACATAAGGAATGAGAGATGGGGCATTGCTACCAAATTTATAGAAATAAAAAGGATTACAACAAATATTATGATCAACTGTATGCCAAAGTATTAGATAACTTGTATGAAATGGGAAAATTTCTAGAAAGACAGAAAGACAGAAATATCACACCAACCAGAAAAAAGTCCAGTAAATGCAAAAAGAAATAAATGAAAAGAAATCTATACCTCAGCACGTAATAGTAAAAACTAGAGGAGATAACCAATAAAGGGAAAATTTTAAAATAGGGATAAAAAATAATATTACCTATAAAGTAGCAACATTTGACTGAAAACAGACTTCTGTTGTTATTCATATCTTACAGGTGTGGAAACTGATACAGAGAGTGGCTAAGGAACATGAATAGGTCACACAGTGCCTTAGTGGAGAGAGAACATGAATCCAGGTGGTCAGTTAAGAGTCCATGGTGTAACCCTGAAGCTTTTACCGCCATAATGACTCTCCCATACTCATTCCTCATTCCTCAGAAAATGTTGGGGCCAGAGAAAAGAATGGAAGAATTTGAAAATGGAACTATTGGGGCTGTGACAAGATGTTGAGGGTGAGGGAGAAGAAATAAATAATATTTAGGTTTAGACATTTTCAATTTAAATTTAAGTTGTATTCATAGTCACATCTTCTGAATGCATTAGTATTTTATTTTTTATTAATTGCCTATTAATAAAATAATTGTATTTTTATTTTATTAATTACTATTTTTCTCAAATGAAAACAAAATGGCCAGTAGACAAGCCATAATTTTTTAAGAAACACCAAAATCTCTTAAATGAAATGTATTAATATAACACATTTGGTTTAGACAAATTTGGTTACTCTCAGGCTCCCAATGTTTACTTTGGAAGTAAAATGGAAAGACTGCCTTCTTAGGGAAAGTAAGAAAGTTAGTTCACATAATGAAATTAGATTATAAAGCATTAGGTGAAATACCTATGAAAGTACAAAAACCTGAGAACCAATGGTTTAAATTATTACAAACCACAAACAAAGAAACACATCGAACAATGGCTTTTGCATTCAATTAACCAGAGGGGAGACACATACAACACTGGAAGAAAACCTTTATCTACTTTGTTGTAAATTTTCTTTTGCTCTGAAAACTGATAATGCAGGAAAAGCTCGTCTAGTAACCATCCTTAATAATATCCAGGAATATGCTTCTATACAAAGTTTATTTAAACTTTCACCATGAGGGGAGAAAAAGACCCCTAACTCTAAGCACTAAATAACGTTTCCCAGTTTTGTGGGAAAGTTAAAAACAAAAAACAAACAACAACCCAAAGGATTATAAATCATTCTATTATGAAGACATATGCACATGTATGTTTATTGCAGCACTATTCACAATAGCAAAGACTTGGAACCAACCCAAATGCTCATCAATGATAGACTGGATAAAGAAAATGTGGCACATATACACCATGGAATACTATGCAGCCATTAAAAAGGATGAGTTCATGTCCTTTGCAGGGACATGGATGAAGCTGGAAACCATCATTCTCAGCAATCTAACACAGGAACAGAAAACCAAACACCGCACGTTCTCACTCGTAAGTGGGAGTTGAACAAGGAAAACACATGGACACAGGGAGGGAAACATCATACACCAGGGCCTGTTGGGGGGTAGGGGACTAGGGGAGGGATAGCATTAAGATACATACCTAATGTAGATGATGAGTTGATGGGTGCAGCAAACCACCATGGCATGTGTATACCTATGTAACAAATCCTGCACGTTCTGCACATGTATCCCAGAACTTAAACTACAATAAAAACAAGAACAATGGCCAGGTGCAGTGGCTCATACCTGTAATCCCAGCACTTTGGGAGACCGAGGCGGGCGGATCATGAGATCAAGAGATCAAGACCATCCTGGCCAACCAACATGGTGAAACCCCATCTGTACTAAAAATACAAACATAAGCTGGGCGTAGTGGCTCATGCCTGTAGTCCCAGCTACTTGGGAGGCAGAGGCAGGACAATCGCTTGAACCTGGGAGGCGGAGGTTGCAGTGGGCCGAGATTGCGCCACTGCGCTGCAACCCGGGCGACAGAGCGAGACTCCATCTCAAAAACACAAACAAACAAAAAAACAAAAACAGAACAAAAAAACAGCAACAACAACAAAACAGCAACAACAACAAAACAGCAACAACAAAAACAGTCTCATGAAACATATAACAAAGTCAGCTTTTTTTTTGTCAAAAGACTATGTAATTGGAGAATACTGTTTATCTCATCTATAATTTGAGGAGTATTACATTCTACATGACAGAAAAATCACAGAGGGGACTAGTTTTTTTTTCTGTTGCTTCAGCCATATCAACTAATTTTTCTAATACTCTCTTCTGAGTTGCATGGCTTTTACTTACTGTTGCTTTTTACAGATGTATAGTATATGTGCACTCTTTCTTATAGTGTGTTCTCAATATCTATTCCATTATCAAACTTCTAAGATAGAATTTTGTACATTATTGTTATTGATTTAATCAACATAACCATTGGTGGGAAAAATTCTTATACAAGCCACCTTACAAGCCACTGTAGAATCTGTAGATTATTCTTTCTTGGGTAAAGTAATAATTTCATTTCAATTTGCAGTGGCCAAGAAAAGATGTTCTTCTGGAGCAGAATATGACTATTTATAGGACTCATTGAAACAGATACAGTCTGAATGCCTAGCCTATAAGATGGGGAAATAGTGGGGCTATGGGCAAGAACATTTACAGACATTAGGGCGTTAACCTATCCAGCAGAACAAAGGAATGAAATTGGCTTTTTTGATCTCCTTGCAAATTGTGCTAATTACTGGCTAACATTAGTTAATTCAGTCTTCACATAAATCCTATAAAGTAGGAATTATTCTCCATATTTTATAGATGAGATAAATAAAGCTTAGAACAGCTGTCCAAAGTCATAGACATCAAAATTTAGAAATACATAGATTCATATTTAACCGTTATGTCTCTATGTCTTAATTCCTTTTCTGTTGTTTATAACAATAGCTGGAACTGGGTAATTTATAAAGAAAATGAATTTACTTCTTACAGTTACGGAGGCTGAGAAGTCCAAGGTCCAGGGGTGGCATATGCTGAGAGCCTTCTTGCTGTTGGGGACTCTCTGCAGAGTCCCAAGGCAGCACAGTGCATCACATGGCAAGGGGGATAATGTACTGGGTCAGGTCTCTCTTTCTTTTCTTATAAATCTACCATTCTCATTCCTGGATAACCCATTAATTCATTAACCCAGTAATCCACTAATCCATGAACGGATTAATCCATTCATAAGGGCAGAACCCTCATGACTCAATCATGTCCTAAAGGCTCCACCCCTCAAAACTGCGACATTGGAGATTACATTTCAACATGAATTTTAGAGAGGACAAGTATTCAAATCATACACTGTACCAAAATCTTTTCTCTACTTACTATATTCATCAATACCAGCAGATAGATTACATTCTGGAACTCAGAGATAATCTAATTTTAACAAGATTCTTAACTTATATTGATACAACTAATTAAATAATTGGCCATGATATCTGTGAAAGTCTAAGTTTCACAGTTATTTAGGAGGAGGATTCTGTATGAAACATAGATTTTTCTCTGGAATACACTTTCTTCAAGCACAGAGTTACTTACTACTTATTAGTATGGTGCCAACTATACATAGTGGCCCAGGAGCCATCTGAAAAGGTATGTTAATTATAAAGCACTACATAAATAAATGTACTACATTATTTTTCTACTACTATCACTAAAGAAGTTTCTGGAAATATATAGTAGTAAGTATTGTATTAATTGGCATCCAAAATTAGATATATGTGAATGGTTCATAAGGCAGATGTCTCTGTACTTTGAAGGATATTACACAGAGTTTTACAGAGTTACAAACTTATAAGGAATTTCTGAAAAATAAACTTAATGTTAACACTCCACATACTGCATTTTATATTTTCACATATTCAATTATTGTATTTTACATACCCAAACACATTTCTTTCTTTCTTTCTTTCTTTCTTTTCTTTCTTTCTTTCTTTCTTTCTTTCTTTCTTTCTTTCTTTCTTTCTTTCTTTCTTTCTTTCTTTCTTTCTCTTTCTTTCTTTCTTTTTCTTTCTTTCAGAAAATTGGAATTCTACTATAATGCTTTGAGTTGCCTTTTAAATATTTAACATATCTTTAGCATTTTCTTATGTTCTTAGGAACTTTTTTTTTGAGACGGAGTTTCGCTCTTGTTGCCCAGGCTAGAGCGCAATGGCTCAGCTCACTGCAAACTCCACCTCCTGGGTTCAAGCGATTCTCCTGCCTTAGCCTCCTGAGTAGCTGGGATTACAGGCATGTGTCACCACACCCGGCTAATTTTGTATTTTTAGTAGATATGGGGTTTTTCCATGCTGGTCAGGCTGGTCTCGAACTCCTGACAGGTGATCTGCCCGCGTCGGCTTCCCAAAATGCTGGGATTACAGGTGTGAGCCACTGCGCCTGGCAAGTACTTTTCAAAAGTATCATTTTAATGACTGCATAATATTCAAGTGTATAAAATGGATTATATTACATTAAACCAATAGAATTTTTCATAAAGGAGCCATGTTACTTTTCTTCCTATTGTTCCAATTTTACTATGTATGTCCCATAAATGCACTCTCATAAGGATATTCTTTAATGTTTCACAGACATCTGAAGATTAATTTTGATTGCAACGTTTAGGATCTTTGTGTGACCTCAGAGGTTTCTTATTTTTCACGGCGTACAATTCAACGTCCTTGGGAAGAGCTGGTTTTCAAGGCCATGCTGTGTGTTAACAAAACTGGACTGTTCTCTGGTCCATATTTATGGTTTGCTCCATGTTCTCATGCATTCATGCTTTTGTTCATATGCTTGGGTCAAACTGCTTAGGATTGTTTTCTTGATTTCTCATGTGTAAATTCTTCCCCTTTTCTAGGACCACCTCATGGTTTACTCTCACAAGAAACTTTCCTTCCACCAGTCAACCAGGAAAATCTATTTCTCTCTCAGCTGTCACAGCTCTGTAGCCATGTGGATTTTTCTTGTGACACTCATTACTTCTAATCATTGGCTATTTTAAGGAACTGTGTATCAAACAGCTAATACATCAGATTCAAAGGGGCCCAGTACACACAGCTATCTCTTTTCTCCCTGCGTTTTGAACCAAGTGACAAATAAGAGTCTAACAGATGAATCAAATAGCTCCTTAATTACTAATAAAGCGAAAACGTGATTTCTAGCACTACTTACCTTGTCATCAGCAATGCTAGCTTTGTACAATTTGTGGTGTACAAAAAGAGACTCCATTCGGCACTTTGTATACAACTGACTCCCAAGTGGAAAAGGAAGAAAGGAACTTGACTTTGAATACCCAGTTCCTCTCTCAAACTCACTGTCAGGTAATTTATTTCACATTTGTGGGAAAGACTTGAGAAGAAGGCAATAGTATTTAGTGATAGTCTTTCCTCATGAAAACCCAAACATACCCCAACAACACTACTTAGCTTTTTTTGGTCTCTTAACTGATTGGACTTAATCACTGAGCCCTGGTCGCTCAGAGGTGTGCACAGGTGTATCTATTTTCCTCTGGGGAGGTGATCAGCTACCTATTGGAAAGTCCTGCTTCTACCTTCCCTGGCGCTGCTTCTCAAACCTCACACCTTTGTGGATTTCCTGTAGGGGTCAATATTTTGTAGCAGAAGACTCAGGAATATGCATGGAGAGCTATTTTAAAAGATTCCAGGGCCACTCTATATTCAAGACTAAAACTTCCCTCCCTTTTCTATTACCACCCCAAATTATGTCCAGGAATTTTGCCTCCTGTAGAGTTAGACTCTTCAGTTCCACATCTGGGGCTAAAATTCACTGGAATGGGTACAGTTTCTTTTAGGCTCTGACTTGCTTCACTGTTAAAGCATTTACAGGTCACATAGCCTTTCACTCACGACGTTTAAAAATGAAGCACACATTGCCAATGCTTAATGAAGTATTCTAAGGAAAATATATGTTGCCAGAACCCATTACTTAATGTTGGCATGATAGAGACGTAGTGACTCTTGAGGGAAGAAGGACCAGACAGGGAAAACCTTGATATCTGCTTCTCCAGAATCCCAGTCAATCTAAGCCAGTTGTCTTGAGTCCATGACCTGCAAATAAACAGTTGGGAGAACTCTCCCTGCATGAGAGATTCATTATCATATCTGGGGAACAAACACTACTTAGCTTTTTTTAATTTACCTTCTCTCATGGTGAGATTTGACTGACTTCTTGCAATTTTTAAAATGTGCAATGCTGGCAGCAACCACAGGCAGACATTTACTTTTTATTTTGAGTTGTATTTTTAATTCATCATATTCAGATCCCTTTAATTTCCATTTCTCCTCTGAACCCCAGGGATATATTATGAGAGAACCTCCTCTCTACACTTTTGCAAGAGGCATTGTTAATCCTTTGCCTCCAACATGTGATCCCCAAACCATATAAATGTTTCAGGCCTTGCCTGGAATAGCAAGAGCAGTTAGGAGTCAATTAATTATCCAAGTGTCAGAAAATGGTAACTTGGATCCAGGTAGCAGTGTTGGGAGAGGGTGAAATGATCAGAACCTGGGTGCATTTTAAAGATAGAACAGCCAGGATTTGATTTTAGATTGGTTAGGTGTTGTGGAGAGAAAGGGAATGGTAACAACGATTATTTATTTATTTATGTTAACCTGAGCTACTGGAAGAAGGGAGTTGCCACCTACAAATTGGAGTATCACCGAAAACTCACCCAAGAATGCTGTTAAGTATTTAAAGCACTATCTCCCTGGTTTATCCTTCAGATCTGCCCAAAGATTTTACAGTCACTTGATATATCTCTTCCTATATTTGAAGAGTTGTTTCCCAATTACTTACACTGTGGCTTCTCTATCAGGGATTCTACCAAAATAGTTCTTAGTAGCATCTAGATATAGGCTGTCTCTGTGGTGGCGGTGGGGTTGGGGATTCTTAACTATTTTTCCATCACCCTTTTGTGAAGTCTGGTGTAGCCTGATTGCATTTTATAAGAATAATGCTTTTAAATATAAAGGGAACCAATAATATTAAAAACAGTTATCAAACAATCTTAAAATTTGTATCATAGTTATGTATGTGTTTCTTTATTAATGCATTAAATAAAAAGATCTAACATTGAGCCAAATATAAATGGTATTTTTATATCTTGGCAAACAGGGTAATGTGGTATAAAAATATGCATCATTTATATTAGTAACAAAGTTATAGGTACCGCAAATCCCATTGTTGTCTGTTGCCTACAGTTATCATTAAAAGACATGCTAAATTTCAGTTCTCCAGATGAAATTAATGAAAACACAATGTATTTTCATTGTTGTCCAAGTTCACGGACCTCCTTTGAGGATGAAGGAACTGACCTGAAAATGTGTTCTCTAATAGCACATGTTTGAAGTTTGGAACGAGATGAAAGTAGTATGAAGGAGGTGAAAAGTAGGTTCACTCCCAACACCTATTATATATAAGGTACTACACCTAGATTTTTAATGTACATCAGCCCAATTAATTGTCAAAACAATGTTGCATGTCAGACAGTATTTCTATTTCATAGACTGTGAACTGGAAAATAGAGAGAGTGATTTGCCTAAGTTCCTGTAACCCGGAGTTTCCAACTTGGGACATCAATTCAGGCCTGCTCCATTCCAAAGGATATACAGTTTCAACCAGGAATAACTATGACATCTCAGCACGTGGGCAGAAAATGTATCACCTCTACTAGTCTGTAAACTCCTCATGCCAGAGTTCAAGTTAAAGTCTTCTCAGCACCCACTACCAGCTTTGCAGTTTCATGTGTTGCCTTAAGCCTGTTATATTTTGATTTGTAATTACTAAAATAATTTAATAGCTTTAAAAGACAAAACACATGTCAAAACATGTTTAAGTGTCACTATTTTTTATCATCTTTACAGAAAAGCAATGTAGGAGTTAATGGAGGTGACTGCAGGGGAATCTGATCCAGAGAGATCCTGGTTAAACTTACTCTGTGTCAGCTACTGAATAATATCATGAATTAAATGCTTTCCTGGAGTTCCTCACCGTGCCAGTGGATGTATTCTTGCTTAAGAATTACATACAGAAACTGTACAGGGAACTGCATCCAAATCTGTAAATTAACAGTAATCATATCAAGAATGAACATGCTAATTAATATTAACTATCATGAAAATACAACTACTTATTCAATGATCCTGATTACATAGTTCACTTAGTAAAGCACAGGCTTAGAAATTTCTTTAACTGGGAGAAGTAATGGCTGTTAACACTAAATCTTCTCTTTTTCCATTAAAGTCCTCTAGCATATTAATTGCATCTTCAGATCATTTATTGATCTTAGTGCCTTGCAGTTTGCAAAAAATGAAAGTCTCTTGGGTTGTTTAAGGATTCCTTGAAATTTAATACATGCAGTGGTTTGGGGATACAGAGTTTCCATTGGCCAGTTTTAATTAAAAAAATACAATACAAATACAATACAATGAAAAATAAAACTCTAGGTTAGCCAAATTATTTTTTGTTCAGTGGGGAAAAAATCCAGATAAATCAGACTTTCTTGCATTTACATTACTAATGAGAAAGTACAGGCCAAGAAAAATAAATCTTTTTTTTTTTGCTGAAATGGCAATTTGTTAGAACGAGAAGCTTTATTTCTCATTGATTAGGTAATAGATATAAAGAGACTAATTAGTCTTGAGTGTCCCAACTTGAAAAATGATACCTTAAGACAACTTCAGAGGGATTTGAGTTACTCTGTTAGTTCACATATAAAGGATATGTATGTTCTGTTTTGTTGCTTGTTTGCTTTTTCAGAAATAGAAGCAAGTACAATAGCAAGTACCAGCATTTCCAATTTATTTTTTAAAAATATAATACAGCCGGGCGCGGTGGCTCACGCCTGTAATCCCAGCACTTTGGGAGGCCGAGGCGGGCGGATCACGAGGTCAGGAGATCGAGACCATCCCGGCTAAAACGGTGAAACCCCGTCTCTACTAAAAATACAAAAAATTAGCCGGGCGTAGTGGCGGGCGCCTGTAGTCCCAGCTACTTGGGAGGCTGAGGCAGGAGAATGGCGTGAACCCGGGAGGCGGAGCTTGCAGTGAGCCGAGATCCCGCCACTGCACTCCAGCCTGGGTGACAGAGCGAGACTCCGTCTCAAAAAAAAAAAAAAAAAAAAATATATATATATATATATATTACAGCATTAGAAACCATAACATTGAAAAACTATTTTCTTTTCTTTGAATAATTTTAATTTCTCAAGCTTGATGCTTGGGCTCACTTGAAAAAGATAGCACATTGGATTACTGAAAAAGGTCTAGAACCTAAAATATTAAAAAAAAAAAAAAAACAGCAGGATTACCAAGCACATCTGTGTATCAGCAGTGGTCCCCAGGCTGCAGTAATATTTACACATACAGTGTGGGAACTATTCCTGAACTCTTTCTAATGTGATATTTGGGGAACATCTTTCTATTTTTTGCTAATTGGCAGAGTATGTAACAGAGACCCAAAAGTATTAGTCATTCTTATTTTTATTGTGCTGCTGTGTGATTGAATAGCTTGCCACAAAACTATCTTTGGCAGCGCAAGAAGATTTCTGACTCCACTCCGTGGTTTGATGGGGCTTTAGTGAAGCCAAATTAACTAACCTGCTATGTACTTTGTTTTCCACTAGAATTTCATTTTACTACTATGGAAAATAGGTGAAGCCAACTGTGGGCTTCAGGAGTTATAAGCCAAGGAAACTGATCTCGGGTTTTATTTTTTGTTTGTTTGTTTTTTTCCTCAGAAATCTCATAGTGTCAATTTACCTAAGCACATTCAAGCTAATGGAAGTGATAACATATGGGCTTAGAAACCAGATGCTTCCAACTGGGCAAAGTTTCTCGCTAAGGTAGCAAATATCTTATTGGCCTAGATGAATTTGCTTAAACTCTTTGAGCCTCATCTTCTACAAGTGCAAAATGGGGAGAATAAGACTAACCCTATGGATCTGTGGTGAAGAAAAGTAATCATAGGTGCAAACCACCTGACTGAATTCCTAACACATAGAAGGTAATCAAAAAAGGAGAGCAGTGTGGTAGCATTGGCACAATATAAAAAGACCTGACTAGACTTTTTTAAACCCTATTTTGACTTTTTATTTATATATATATATTTTTTATTTCCATAGGTTTTTGGGGAACAGGTGGTATCTGATTATAAGTTCTTTATTGGTGATTTGTGAGATTTGTGTACCCATCACCTGAGCAGTACACACTGAACCCAATTTGTAGTCTTTTATCCCTCACTCCTTTCCCACCCTTTCCCCTGAGTCCCCAAAGTCCATTGTGTCATTCTTATGCCTTTGCATCCTCATAGCTTAGCTCCCACTTATAAATGAGAACATACGATGTTTGGTTTCCATTCCTGAGTTATATCACTTAGAATAATAGTCTCTGATTCCATCCAGGTTGCTGTGAATGCCGTTAATTCTTTCCTTTTTATGGCTGAGGAGTTTTATATATATATATATATACACACACACATATATACCACAGTTTCTTTATCCACTGGTTGGTTGATGGGCATTTGGGTTGGTTCTACATTTTTGCAATTGGAAATTGTGCCGCTATAAACATTTGAGTGCAAGTATCTTTTTCATATAATGACTTCTTTTCCTCTGGGTAGATACCCAGTAGTGGGATTGCTAAATCAAATGGTAGTTCTACTTTTAGTTCTTCAAGGAATCTTCACACTGTTTTCCATAGTGGTTGTACTAGTTTACATTCCCACCAGCATTGTAGAAATGTTCCCTTTCCACTGCATCCAGCCAACATCTATTATTTTTTGATTTTTTGATTATGGCCATTCTTGCAGGAATTAGGTGCTATTGCACTGTAGTTTTGATTTGCATTTCCCTCATCATTAGTGATGTTGAGCATTTTTTCATATGTTTGTTGGCCATTTGTATATCTTCTTTTGAGAATTGTCTGTTTATGTCCTTAGCCTACCCTTTGATGGAATTGTTTTTATTTTCTTGTTAATTTGTTTGAGTTCACTGTAGATTCTAAATATTAGTCCTTTGTCAGATGTATAGATTGTGAAGATTTTCTGCCACTCTGTAGGTAGTGTGTTTACCTCTACAATGAAAACTACAAAACACTGCTGAAAGAAATCATAGATGACACAAACAAATGGAAACATGTCCCATGCCCATGGATGGGTAGAATTGACATTGTGAAAATGACCATCCTGCCAAAAGCAATCTGCAAATTCAATGCAATTCCCATTAATATACCACCATCATCCTTTGCAGAACTAGAGAAAAACAATCCTAAAATTCTTATGGAACCAAAAGAGACCCTCCATAGCCAGAGGAAGACTAAGCAAAAAGAACCATTCTGGAGGCATCACACTACCTGATTTCAAACTATACTATAAGGCCACAGTCACCAAAACAGCTTGGTACTGGTATAAAAATAGGCACATAGACCAATAGAACAGAATAGGGAACCCAGAAATAAACCCAAATACTTACAGTCAACTGATCTTCAACAAAGTAAACAAAAATATAAAGCAGGGAAAGGACATCCTATTACATAAATGATGCTGGGATAATTTGCAAGCCTCATGTAGGAGAATGAAACTGGATCCTCATCACTCACCTTATACAAAAATCAACTCAAGATGGGATGGATCAAGGATTTAAATCTAAGATCTGAAACTATAAAAATTCTATAAGATAACATCAGAAAATCCCTTCTAGGTATTGGCTTAGGCAAGGATTTCATGACCAAGAACTTAAAAGTAAATGCAATAAAAACAAAGATACATAGGTGGAACTTAATTAAACTAAAGAGCTTTTGCATGGCAAAATGAACAGTCAGCAGAGTAAACTGACATAGACTTTGATCTTAGATATGTTTGATAAACAGAGTAGAGTGAGAGCTGGGGGTTCCGGGTAAATCCCAAAGCTGAACTCTGAAAGTCTGGGACAATAACATAGTTCCAAAGCTGATTCCCAAGGCAAAATGTTAATTTACTTATTTGTGATAAGGTCTCTACAATATGGGCATCTACTATACGTGATACTGATATCCTCTACCCTTTCTAAAAATCATTATTCACACAAATTATATGGGGATACAATATAGTATTAATGATTTTCCAACTCTACCTACTATTGCACTGTCATTCTGCCTCTGTGTGAAGAGAAGCAAAGGTTGTGTTTCACTCAATAGTTAAATGAATTGTACATTTCTCAAGAGTCTAAAGGGCACTCAGATATTACCATCATGGATGCTTTACAGAAGTGAAACATAACAAATGACACTTCAAAAACTAAGCAAATATGGACAGGCCCACTGGAACATGGTAATTGACATTTATTTTGCATACGTTTTATTTTCAGAGTGAATCTATTTCAAGGGCTCACTCTTCCAGCTAGGATCCCAGACTGGCAAATCCATTTTTAATTCCTCTCAGATTTAACCAGATCAGTCTTCATGTCCTGCTGGCAGTCAGCACACGTCTCCCTTGATCTATGTAAAATCAGGAGGCAAGGCGTTTTTTCTGGATGTAATTGAACAGTTAATCCTGATAATCACTTAACGTTTAGCTCTGAGCTACAACACCTTTATCTCATATTTTACCTTGGTCAGAGGTGCACTCTCACCCATAATACAGTGTATTCCACAAGATACACAGATAGTGGTCCAGGCACTATCTGCTTCAGAATAATTTAGACTGCTCGTTACAAATGTTGATGCTGGAGTTTATTCCATATCTGCAGACTCTTTGAGGTTGGGTCCCGGGAACCTTTATAAGATCCACTATTGCTAGTGATGATGATGGAAAGGCTCCTAGAATCCTTCCCTCCCTCTTCTGCCAAGAGGAGCTCAGAAACCAACTGGGAGCCTACTATGTCAAGGGGCTGGGAGTAGGATTTTTGTGGGACAAGCACCATGCTGTTTCCATGTAGGCTTGGCTTTCCATCTTAAGAGGCATATCCCATGTGACACATGCAGTTAATGAATTCAGATGTCTCCATCTTCACTGTTTAGCAGAGGAACCAGAAAACACAACTAGGCCTAAGAAAGAGAAAGGAAGGGCTCACACCTGGTCTAGCTCAGTTCATAGGGGTTGGAGATAGAACAGAGTTTAGGAACCCAAACTTCAGCTAGTGATAAAAATGGACATTTGCTATAGCAATGATTTTCAAATTTGTTTAAAATCTCAGCCCCCCTTTACACTGTTAAAAATTACTGAGTATCTTTTGTTTATGTTCAGTTTTTCAGTTTTTACTGAATTAGAAATTAAAATTGGGCAAGTTTAAAAGATTAATTGATTTTTAAAAATTACAAGTTAACATAATTAGCATATTTTTATTTGAAAAATTACTTTTATCCAAATAAGATAAATTATGAGAAGAGATATTATTTTATGCTTTTATAAGTATATTTAATGTCTGGCTTAATGTAAGACAATTCTTATATATCCTTTTGCAGTTGATCTGTTGAAATGTGTTATTTTATTTGAAGTATATAAAAAGCATAGCCTCATATGGACATATAGTTCAAAAAGAAATATTTTAATAGATTTTTCAGATAATTGTAGATTTTCTTCTTTTATGCTGCACCAAAAGCTAACAAGTGTTAGTTTTTAAAAACTTAATTGTAATATATTGTGACAAACCATTTTAATGAACTTTTTGCACTGGTACGTTAAAACCCATTACAACCTTGAATGGGTCTGTTATCCACGTATAATCTTATAACTTCACACATCATTATTTGGAAAATACTAGTTCACTTTAACATAGAGATCTTCCAAAAGTTGACACAGTTTCATTTAACAATATGAAAAAGAAATGCTGTATTAGTTTCTTATAGCTACCATAAAATATCACAAACTGAGTGTACTGTCTTACAGGTATGGAGGCTAGAAGGTAGAAATCAAGATGTCAATGGGCCATGTTCCCCTTTGAAACCTGTAGAGGAATCCTTCCTTGCCTCTTCCTATCTTCTGGTGGTTTGCTAGCAATTTTTAATGTTGTTTGTCTTGCAGATGCATCACTCCAATTCTTAGTGTTTACATGGTGTCCTGTGTGTTTCCCACCTGTGTGTCTTCACTTAATCTTCCCTCTGTTTAAGTCTGTTCTGTGTCCAAATTTTCCCTTAAAAATAACATCTGTTGTATTGTATTAGAGCCTAGATCATTCAACTCTAATAATCTCATTAACGATCTCATTTTAACATGATTATCTCTGTAAAGACCCTATTTCCAAATAAGGTCACATTCTGAGGTAGGGGCATTGGAACATCAACATCAACATATCTTTTTGGAAGGAGCAAAATTCAACCCATGGGAACTGTAATCATTAATATCACCACTGAACTCTTTCAAAGAAGTCTTTAATTATTATGAAGAGATCAAGATCACAGCGATGGGTACAAGTTTCACAAAATTTTAATTTTTGCTTGACAGCTTGCAATTTATCATTGGCAATAAATACTATCAATTATTTTCCTTGAAGCAACAGACTCACTTTATTTTTAAGAAAATGCTTGCCAAATACCTAAGTTTCAGTAGCTAGTTTTTCTGTCAGTGGTTTTTTCAAATAAAAATGGCGCTATATTAAAAGGGCGCTAGTTCAGCTTGCAACTCAGTGACTTTTCCCTGTGACATTGTGAATGAGGAGTCGGTCTCTTGGTTAAAAATTTATGTGTGATTTTTCAAGCCTGACTACAGGCAGCTATGAAAACTTTGCCTGGCACACCTCACTGGGGAGAGCTGCGTTTTCCACACCATGGTTGGTGCGTGATCCTCATATTTGCAGTCTCTGAAAGCAGTTGCGGTCATGGACTCAGACGCCTGGTTTGTCTTGCTCTTCCCGTATTTACAGTCCTAGCTCTAGGACTTTCATTTCTAGGTCCCTTTATCTAAGGCTTTGGTAGAGGTCTTCTTCACTAGCCACTTTATGCAGGGAGGTGACAGAAAATTTGAAGACACTTTTCCTCAATCTGACTCAGTACCCAGTACTTTTCCACTCCCAACCCTTCCCTTCACCCTCTCCTACCTCAACTCGGGGTCCATAAAATTGTCAGAGCTTTCTGCTTGGGGCTCCCTCAATGGTGAGCCAACCCCCATGTCCCTGCTAATCTACCTGATCCTCCACTGGTGTGCCATTCTGGCGGGGGAAAATGGAAAAGGGGAATTGGCATTTTCCTTATTTTAGCTTCTTGCTTATATCATCACAGTAACTGATTACAACCCTTACTTATTCATTTTTGGCTTGTTGCTTAAATTAGCTACTTTGTCACATGAAGTCTCAACTCTCAGCTCAGCTGAGCTCTAGAGCTTTTGCTTGCAACAACTCTCATACTTTGGGATGTAGCAAAAGTTGTTTATGTGTATTTCCCATTTAGTCATACAGAATATTCAAAAGCCATGCACTCACAGGTTGAGTTTAATAATATTGTAATTTTTTTACTACAAAATCAAAAATATCCTTAATTGAACTTGGCTTTTTTTTCTTTTGCACTGGAAATGAAAAAAATGAACGGTGGTAAAGTTACAACTACTGGTACAATTTTCTTGCCACTGCCTTGATTTGTTCAAATTCACCAGTAGTTTTACAAAACATTGCTTCTGTATCATTGGTGAAAATGTCAACACAGTGCAAAAGGCAAACAACATTTTAGTGTTTCTGAAAGGGTTTCAGGGACACCCAAGTATCTATGCATCATACTTAGAGAACTGCTGTGTAAAGGTATTCTCTTAGGTAAATATCCTCCCTTGTGGTAACCTGGCAGCATGATATTACAGAAGCTCATAAGGGTTGTAAGGATTTGGTAACTCCTAATCTCAGGGATCTTCCCATCTCGAATATCTGGTAGTTTGTCAGACTAAGTTAGGTATGTATGCATTCCAAAACATCAACTGCAAAAGCTAGGCATATTCAAGTGTATTTAGCAAGATCCCTGAACCAAAGAGGGTCTGATACAGATTTGCTTTCCTGGGGCCAAAGCCAAAACAAGAGAAGAGTATATCCATCCTTTTACTTGCGAACCAAGTTCTATACGGAGAGAGCACAGCATCTGTTATAAGCTAGACCAGCAAATTTCTGATACTGGCAAGGTTAGAAATGTTGGTTTTCTTAGAGATATCTGCAAAATCTTTCAGGGACCTCAAATGACAACAGAGCGTTTCCATTTGCAGTGCTTCCTCTGCAAAATTTTGGAAACCTGTGATTTTAGTAATATTTTGAAAATAGTTTTGACTTTGAGGGCCCTCTCAAAGGGTTTTAGGGACCACTAAGTAACTGTATAACACACTTTGAGAAACCTGTGATAACAGTAGCTAATGAAGTGCAGTAATTGTGTACAATAAAGATTTGACAAAGAAGGGAGGGATTTTTGATCTTGTATTAATATTTATAAAACAAAAATGTAGTCATTCCACTGTCTTTCTTACAATTTCCCAGGAGTGTTCAAAATGATAATCATACTTTACTGAAAACACAACACAAAGCGCTAGTTATTATTTTGGTCTCATTTCTAACCCTGCTCTAACGCTGATTATTGTTTTGGTTCATCTCTTGTAGGTTCCCGCCCTAGCTTCCCAACCTCCAGCCATCCAAAGTAAGAGAAGCCACATTCTCTAACATTTCTCCATCACTAGCTACCCTGTCCTTCTGCCTGTGATAGCTTTCTTCTATTTCCCCTGATCTCTTCACCTGGCCAGCTCTCAGTCATCCTTCAGAACCCAGCTTATGTCTACTGAAAGTCTTTTTTGTGCAGTACCTGACATTTGGATTTTGTAGACATTTTAGCATTCCAGCTATATCCTAAAAGCCAAAGCATTGTATCTCATCTATATCAGTCACTCACTCAATCCCTGCCCTCAATCCATTCTCATATTTCCATAGCTCAGATCCGGGCTCAGGAATGGGACAACATTTATACAAGGAATGAAGTCCAAAAACACTGTAAAGGAGCCTGTTTTATACACTGTTTGATAATTTTGAAAAGGTGAAATTTAATTTTAAAATGTTTAGGCTATGAAATATTCATGGTCTTTAACAGTTGCATCCGAACATCATGATTTATAACCTAATCTTGTCAGGTACATTGTGTCTTAATTATTTACTTATTTGTTTATTCCACTGGGTTTTTTGGTAGCAAGGCTTTCCTCTCAATCTCCCCCCAACCTAGGAATAATTCACACTCCCTACTTTCTGTCCTATCCTCTGCCCCATTTATAAATCTATCGTAGCACCTGTAACATATGGAGTTTTTTTATTTATATGTTTCAAAATGTGGCTTCTAGACCACAAACCAGTTGATCATTTAGACCATTATTTATTGGTCCTGTGTTCCCAGTTCCTGACATTTTGTCACATGTGTTGTACGTTGACTTACATGAATTGACTTCCTGCCTCTCTAACGTCATCACCTCCAGTGTGTCTTTCTCCATCTCATACTCAAGTAGCTCCTCAAAGTGTGAGGTTTTATACTTGCATTCCTGTAGCATAACTTCTGTCTTTGCTTCTTGGACGCATACACACACATTTTCAAACCAATAATTCTATGCTTTAGAATATCTTGTCTTTTGCTTTGCTCGTCACAGATAACTTTCTATGCTATCATATTGCTCATTTACTTAACTAAAAATATATGCATTCATTGCCTATTAACAGGCCTGTGATAAAGGCTTACTTGAAATGGCATTCTGCCTTGCTATTTTCTGAAGGATAGGCTCTGTTACACCCGGGGTAGCTCCAGTTATCATGGCCTTGAGGAATCTGGTCAGTTGGATGGCACTACTGAAATTTTAAATAAATCTATAACTGCATCCTCCTGGGGAATACAGAGACTACTGAAGGCTTGTTCTGTAAGATCAAGAAGAAGACAAGTTTGTTCACTCTCACTACTTCTACTTAATATAGTAGTGGAAGTTCTATCCAGAACAATTAGGCAAGAAAAAAGAAATACAAATAATCCAAATCAGAAACAGAAGAAGTAAATTTACTTCTGTTTGCAGATGACATGATCCTATATGTAGAAATCCCTAGAGACTTTATAAAAAAGTATTAGAACTAATAATCAGATTCGGTAAAGTTTCAGGATAAAAAAACATAAAAATGTATTGCATTTGCATACACTAATAATGTATCATCTGAAAAGGAAGTTCTGTGTAGAACTATATGATTTTCCTTATATCTCAATCTAATGGTAGTAAATATTAGCACTAAGTTTAAAAACAGCCAAAGTAATGTAACAACTACAGTATATTTATGATAAATAATTTAATGGTTTGTGCAAAATAATAATTGCAGTTTATCATGTAAAAGCTAATTTTAAAGTCAAAGATAGCAATGACTATAAAAGTGTGTCTAACATTAATATGTAATTTTCTCTGAAGTTAGGCTTCATCATGTCTTTTGTTCCATTAGTATTTACTTTTCATCTCCTATGTTCTATATTTTGTTCAAGCAATGAAGCACTTTTCTTGTCTTCCAGGAGTTTACAATGTGGTTGGCTAAATGTACATATATTTTAAAAAGTCATTATATTTTATTGTGTTGAAATTGCTGTAACATTTATTCACATTTTCAATCAGAATATATTGTTTGAGGCTATACTATGAGCCAGATACTGTTGTGGGCACATAACATTAATGAATTATGACTTCTGTGCTTAGAAGTTGTATGGTTTTTAAATATTTGTTACTCTTCTCTGTTAAACCTCTTCACTCTTTTTATGAATAGCTTCAAAAATAATTTAGAATTCACAGAAATGGTGAAGTCTTAGTAAATAAGTGATAGTGAGTTTAAAAGATGCATGATATCTTTCATTAAGATAAATTTTATCTCCTTATAAGGAGAAAATATCTCCTTATTTCTCTATAAGGGAGAAAATGGTCTCCTTGAGCAATTATTCAATTCTAGTTTCTAAAAGGGAACAACAATAGCATTGTCTAAGAGTCAAATAAATTATTTTGGTTTTAAGTATATTCTTTGAAATATGAAAAATGGTGATTTATGTGTATTACTGCAATGGACTTCAGAAGAGTTAGTTAGCTTAGTATTTGGAGAAATGTTTATATTACTTAACTTACCAGTAAAGATTATAGTGTACCATGCCCTTAGTGTGAAAGTATTTGAGATGATACAAAAAGACTTAAAGATGACTTCAAATCAGAAGGAGAAGACAGTGCCTGAGTATGACTATGAACTGTTATTTCCTTGTAGAAAAAATAAAAAGAAGACCAGTATCTTTCTGATGAATACATTTATTTTTTCCATCAAGGGCGTCCTGGTAGGAAAATAATGGGTATTTTTTTTCTCCCAGTGAGAAAAGTCAGCTTTAGAGTCAAGAAGTGAAAATTGGCTTGATAACTCAGAATCAAAGAGAACTGCCTTTACCTGAAATATTCAGAACTCAGAATTGGAAGCTTCGAAGATCTAACACCAGCATTAGAGCAGAAACTAATCTGGTGAAGCTGGAGGCATCTGAGCTTAAAACTAGGGGAGATATCTAATGGCGTTCCCTATTACAGACAAAGAAAACAGTAAGTCATGCATTGTGTGCAATATTTAATTTTTTTAAATCTAAAAAATAGTTTTAAGTTGACAACACTTGTATATATTTATGGGGTATAATGTGATATTCACATACCTGTATATACTGTGGAATGATCAAATCAGGCTAATTAACATATGCATCACCTCACATATTTACCATTTTCTTGTGATGAGAACATTTAAAATCCCATCAACCTTAAACCAGAAGAAAATTCTGTCATTTGTGACACATGGATGAATCTAGAAGACATTATGCTAAGTGTAATAAGCCAGACATGGAAAGATAAATACTGCATGATCTCACTTTCATGTGGAATCTAAAAAAGTAGAACTCGTAAAAGTAGGCAGCAAAATGGTGATTACCAGAGTCTTGGGGAAGGTGTGGGCCAGGAAAGGAAAATATTGGTCAAAGGGTATAAATTTCAGTTAGATAGGGAAGATAGGTTCTGGTGGATCTATTGCACAGTATGGTGACTGTGGTTCATAATAATAAAATTTTTACAATTAAATACATTATTACAAAAGTATAACTACTCTTAAATTTCAAAGCACTGAGATTTGGGAGGGTGCCATAATCAGAAAAATGATTTCCCAGAAACATAAGCAAATAGAACAGTACTTCCAAGAAGACAATTAGCAGTCTGGAATAGTGTTTTCATTTTAAATGAATGCTGTAAATCTGAGTTTTGATATTCCTATTTTTACAGACAATAGATTTACTCACTAAAATTTGTAATTTGTATGTGTGATAAGAAAGGTTAGTGATCAAAAAGGAAAATAAAAGTTTTGTAGTTTTCTTTAAGCACTTTGACCTATTTAATTTCAAAATTCAAAGAATAGATTTGCTTTTTAATGCTTTTGAATTCATGCAGGATATTGTATTTATTTCTGCCTTCTTGGCTGCTCCAATTCCATTGCCTCTGGGTATATTAACTGAAGAGATTAAAAACACAAATTATCATAACTAATAAAAGCTTCCATAGGCCATATAAGAGAAAAAAGTACTTCTATGGTCACATGTTTCATACTGACCATGCTAATTACTAGTCTCATCAAAATTATGTTTTCCTTAGGCATATATTTTGTAACAGAAGAAAACAAAATTTTCAACATTTTTGACTCTTTGACTTAACCCATTAATTATTCATAGCCATCATAATAGCTCATGTATTTTTTCTTTTTTTAAGCCCTCATAACAGCTTATATATTTTTTCTCCAATTGTTTGAATCAAGATTTAGTAAGTCATATTTTCTGATTGATTGATAATTCTTCTCTAGACTTTCCCACAGTTTGGATTGTGCAGATTATATCCTTGTGAAATTGTTCATCATGTTGCTGTGTGTTAGGTATTTTCTGTCAATCAAAATTAGTTGCAGAGGCTTGATCAGATTCAGGTATGATTGCCTTGGCAAGATAGTAAATTCTTCCATCAGGAGGTGTTCAATGTCTGTCTATTTCTCATTTGGTGATGTCAGCAACCATTGGTAGTTACTCATTTGAATCCAGTAGTTCTTGGGTGTTACATAAAGACGATATTATTAACTATCATTTTTTTCTGGTCATTTATTATTTGGGATACTTTTATTAAGATTTTTTGTTCTCTTTACCTATTACATTCTTGTGCAGCATAATAATATATCAGTTAAGAATGCATTGCATATACAGTGGTGGTCTCATAAGAGTAAAATGGAGCTGAAAAATTTCTATACCTCAGTGGTACCATACCTGTCCTAATGTCCTAGTGCAATGCATTACTCATGTGTTTGTAGTGATGCTGGTGTAAACAAACTAACCTCACTGCCAGCCATGTAAAAGTCTAGCACATTCAATTAAGTACACTACGTAATACTTGATAATGATAATAAATGACTATGTTAGTGGCCTGTGTATTTACTATAATGCAACTTCTTCATCCTTCTACACCAAAAGTCAAGAAACATGATTTAAGACCACACTGGGAATTATAGAACTAGAATATCACATAATTACTCAATTTCTTTATTCCACAACTCACAAGTAACTGTTTCATAATAACAATACCAACATGCCACTACCAACACTACTGCCAATAATATAATAAGTGAAAAAAAGAGTAAGGTTTTGTTTTTGTTTTTACAGTTATTTTTGTCCTTAAATTATACCCCACCAGGCAGTGAAATTACTGTGCTTTAAGGTCACTTATAGCAGTTTTTTTATGTGTGGTTATACCACCGGTTAGATACAGATTTAGTTTCATTTATTTCATTTTATTTTTTATTTGTAAGGATTGCTTTACATTTTAATTTTATTTTATAAGGGTCAAATTTAATCCTCACAATTTTCTTTTTTTTTGGCAGGAGGCAAGTTTTATTGACTCTATTTCACAGGTAAAGAAATTGTGGCTCAGAGAATTCTACTAAATCATATAAGTCAAACAGCTAGAATTTGAATCTACATTTCTGCCGAAGTACAATTTTTAACTATATGACTAAATAAATTTGTTGTAAGTCTAAATTAACTATATAGTTTAAAGTCAATAAGTGAGCTTCTGATTTGGGGTATAGTTATTGCTGAATGTTTAATTAAAGAAAAAGTGAATTTTTGCTTCCACTCTAGTGTTTCAATATTTCTGTAAAATTATGCAGATAGTCTATAGTTATTGTTCTGATTTTGGATTTGTAGCTGGCATGTTAGGTAAGACAATTTATCTCTTTGCTATCAGTTCCTTTTTCTATAAAGTGGTACCAACATCCACTATTTTACTTATTTAGCAACTATTTATTCAGTTTCTACTATGCTGGTAAATATGCTGGTATGGGAGAGAGGAAGACAAATAAGAGCCTTCCTATCTCAAGGAGATTGCCCTCTAGATGGGAAGACAGAGAATGCTAAACAAGTAATTACAATGTAGTATGATACATGTCATACGAGGGTAGGTGCTAGGTGCCATAGATACAAGTAGGCATGGCAAATCACCTAGTACTGACGTAGGATTTTCCTTCTTGCTTACTTTGCAAGCTGGGGACCCCCAGCCAGCAATGCCCTGCCTGGGCCTGGCTCGAACATTCTGGCATGCCCCAGCTCACCTGTGTTACAGCCTGTGCCCACGATCGGCGATTCCCAAGCTCTTGTACCATGCCCAAGAAGAATGAGGATACACTGGACATTGAACAGTGAGGAGGGTGGAGAATAATTTTATTGAATGATGAAAACAGCTTTAGACAGAGAGGGTACATGGGGTTGGTACTCAAAGGCAAAAAAGTTTCCCCCTGTGGCTGGGTCCAGGGCCTTTCATGGGCTCAGAATGGGGAGTGCAGGCTGATTGGTTTGTGAGTACGCAAAAAAGGTTAAATTAAAGACACCACTCAAAGGTGGGCATGACAGTGTAGAAAACCAATTAGGAAACGGTCAGTGTATGTAAAATAGGTGGAGGATAGGAACAAATCAGAGGAAAGTGTGCCAGACAGGAAGCCAAGTTCTCAATCCTGGGGGAGGATTTAACTTGCAGCTTGGCTTTCAGGCTTTAAACTGCCTTTGGCTTGGAGGTGGGTTTCACCAGGGACCCACTCCTATCTGCGTAGGTATTTGGCTGCCTCTTGTTGCCATCAGTACAGCTGTGGGAAGGTACAAATATGTATCCTCAGAAAGTTTTTCCTTGGTTGAGTGCTGAAGGAATAGTTCAAATAAACCAGGTTAGGCATGAAAGAAATAAGATTTTCAATATGAAAGAGTACAGAAGTTTAATAAATTGAAATATTAATATTATTACTTTGAAAATTGTGTTTCTTTCTCTGTGACTCCTTTTTCCCTGAAGCCTTTCCAACCTTAAAATCAGACTTCAAAAAATAAAAATAAAATAGGAAGAAATCTTCATGTATTAATGTTCTTAAAAATGGACTTTGCTAACTTATTAGAACCAAAGTTGAATTATTTTAAAGGGAAGAATTAGTGTTCTATTTTATTTCTTAGAGATGTAGAAAAAAGAATAAAGCAACTTTCATTTATAAGCACAAAGTAAAGTAATGTTTGGGAATTATACAGCTAATTTCATCATTTCAGACCAGGCTGAACAGACTATATTGATAAAATTTCCTCTTGTAATACCATACCTTTCATGGTGTCATTGTGTAAGAAAGTTACATTTGTTTTATGGTTTTCTTTTCATTCTGTACATTTCCTGGAATTGCACTGAAGTCCTTATTGAAAGTCTAAAATCATAATGGTTTGTTGCCATAAGTATGTGGATGTGAAAGCCAACATGTCTGAATAATTTATAAAACCTATGTTCCAGCAAAGTAACATTTGTTCGTATACTTGTGTATATGTAAATCTTAAAATTATATGTTAATGGACTCTAGCATATTGTGATTTAGACATTTTGAATTAATGTAAATAAATGTATTCTTTAGAAAAAAACTGGATTTATTGCTTGGGAAAGGGAAGAAAATAACCCAAGAAGAATGGACTCAATTATTTTCTTCACTTTGAGTTTCATTATGTACTTTTTGCTAAGTTCATAGCAGGCAGTATCTTGAAAGTAATTCTGAATTGCAAGAGGCAGACACTTGAGAGAGAGAAAAATGCTTTGGAATGCTAGGGACTGTTCTTTACATGTCAAGTGTAAAGCCTGGTTGAATCAGGGCATTGAATTCCACCTCTTAAACCACAGGGAACAGAAAAGAGGTATAATGACAAAAAATAGTTTTTTCTGTTACACAGTGAGAAAACTTAAGATCCTTCTTAATTGAGGTGGAGCCTGAAGAACATTGATAAGGGCAAAAAGAACATTTAGGTCAGTGTAGAGTTCTGCAGTTGTCCTCTGGCCTCTTCTTCAGAGTGAGAACCTTGAAAAAGGAGGGGCAATGGAAATCCTGTATGGGTTTGGAGATCTGAACTCTGAGGAGAGACAATATTGCAGCCCGCCTGAATGCCAGCAGAGGAGAGGGGCAATGTAGAGAAGGTAAGAGATGATGTGGCATCCCAAGTCTTTCAGCCTCTGTGTGACATAATGTAGATCAAAAAGTTCCAGTGTGCCAAAGCAGGGTGCAGAAGAGATCTGGGAAGAACAGCGTGCTTCTTGGGAGACTCCCTTCTCCATACAGAGGGTTGGTAATGAGAGATGAGATAGGGGATGAATCAGCAGGATAGACCACTCATGCTGGCCTTGCCCCAGTGACCACCATACTTTGTCCATGCAGAGAAAATGGAGAAGTACTTAGAACAGTTATCAGTAGAGAAAGCCAAGGGCAACACCATGGCAAGGAGGGACAAATCTATCAGCAGAGCCCAGCAACAGAGGATCGCATTTGGAAAGGGCTAGACATCCCTTTCCAAATGTGAGGAAGACATATATCTCTCTAGTGGCAAGAGAAAGAGGAAGGCCATAGCTGAGATTATAGAAATTGTTCTTAAACATGTTTTTTGAATTGGCAAGATTATGTTTTCTGTTAACGGAGATGTGTCAAAACTCATGAACCAACTTAATTTCAGTTGGAGAGAAATTACAAACATTGCATTTGTTACCTTAAAAATCACAAGATTTATGAATTTGGAAAAGGAAACTTGATTTCTTAGACAAGGCTGCAGCCTGCACAGTGGCCATTCTGTAGGCTGGAAAGCTCCAGCATAGACCAGTGACAGGCATTTTGAAGAAGAGGTAAGGGCTTTATGCTGAATGGAATGGCTAAATGTACATTTTTCAGCAGGTTACAGAAGGAGCTATGCATATTCATAAAGGTTGTGCTGACACATACATATTAACAAACATGCATGTAACATATGACCCACATTCACCTTGGGGTGGAGACTTAACATTTACATGTATTACAATTAGGTCCTCTGTGTCAAAATGTCTTTTCAGGATACAAAGGCATTCAAGTGCTCAGCTTCTGTAAACTGGCTAGAACCAGTCCATGGTTGGTGGTTTTCTTATCAGTAAAAAGTTACTGAAATCAGTCTCTTGTTCAACCAAAGCTGTAGTTAAGGCTGGTGGAGCAGGTGTTTGGTTACTTGGTGTCTGTGAGCTGGATGAGTTGCAACTGTTTTTACATTGCTTATTTTATGACCAGTGCTTGTTTAGCTAAGAGAGAAAAAGAAAAACCTTATGACAGTGTTTGTAAAGTCTATAGTAAAATTCTCCGTAAAGTCTACAGAGAAGAACATCATTTATTCTCTAAGTGTAGGAGTGCATGGGTTAATCCTTGCCTGGCATGAACTTAGGCCTTGTTTATAATTTGGTATCTTATTGACACAAAGAGTCCATTCTGTCAGTCTTGAGATCTCTATTTTAACATTAATGCTGGCCAAGTGTTGTGTCTAAATTGCAAAAAGAAAGGGGCATAATGAAGTGTGTGTGAACTCCTGTCTTGTTATGGTTGGGAACTCCAGTTTTAAGCTTTTTTCTGGGGTCTCATTTGCCAAGAGCAAGTCCATTCACTTGGTGGAGGGCTTAGGATTTTACATTTAGTTTACACATTTTTCCAAGCATGTGATTAGAAACTTTACACCTGCAGATATAAGCACCATGGACATAATTCCAAGGAAGGTTTGTTCACAGAACTGCAACTTGTTCTGTGACAATGAAGCAAAGAGTTTGAGAGTTTGGTGAGGGAAGCGAATTGAAGTACAGATAGATGGAGGGAATGGCCAGATGTGGCTGGAGACGTCAACTGGGGAAGACATTTATCCCATGTTAAAGAGTTTAGTAGTTGTTTAGTGAGGAACTTTTCATAGATTTAGGCAGAAATATATAATAATAAGGTTTGTTTTAAAGGCATGATCAGTTTAAATGTAGTATGGAGAATATATTGGGGAGAGTTGACACTAGAAAACCCTGCTGTCACAGGAGAATATTGCTTAATCAGAAGAGATTGATGGAGGCAGGCAAGAGGATTTCAGAGTGTAAATCAGGAATCAAGAGGGTTCAGTGATACTTCATACCTCTCCTGACATATTTTCAAAGGTGTATCTCTGGTGTCATGCTTGGGCAACTGCTTGATAATTACGCCTTTCATTGGAACCCAGGAAACGGAAGAGACTCTGATGAGACTGGATTTTGAAATGTTGCTTTTTGAGGTCCTTGTGGTGTGTAAAAAGAGAAACCTTTATAGGAGCTAAAGTGAGTATTCTAGAATAGAGATAGAACTTTGTAATTATGTCTGTAAATGATGATTAAAACCTTGTCAGTGGTTGTGATCACCCACTGAGACTGTGTGTATGTTTTGCCTGGAGTGTGACAGAAAAAATATAAGGTGGGAAGGAAAAGGATGCAGAGCAAAAAAAACAAAAATCATTTCTGAAGCAGAGGAAAGAATAATGAAGACACAAATGGAAATTTTTCCCTGGATTTAGTAGTAATACCACCTTTGGCTATGAAGGGGGAGAGAAAAACAGGGAACAAGCCAGAGAGGGACATGAAGCTGAGGCAGGTCAGTGTAGTTGTCAGAAAGTACAAACTCTGCAGTAACACAGCCTGGGTTCTGAGTGTTACTAGCTGCATGGTCTAAAGCATGTTTCTCAGCCTTTCTATGGCTCAGTTTCTGCTTATTTAAAAAGGGTATTTTATAAATATGTGAAATTATTATGTATTAATAAAAAAATTAAAAAACCAAAAGGGAATGTGTGTGTGTGTGTGTGTGTGTGTGTGTGTGTGTGTAGTAATACAATCTGTCTCATGGAGTTGTGAGGATTACGTGAGTTGACCCCAAGTTCATACTCTATTCATGTCAGCTGTTATTGTGAAGGGAGATTTTGTTTAATGTGAGATTCTGAGCTTGTTGAAATTCCAGTGGGAAGGTGATAACAAAAAGTCCCTAGAGAGACTGCCATGCCACACTGTGGCATCATACTTCCCTTCAGTCATTGGGTGGTGTCTTTATGTCCTTCATGAGGTCCTTTCCTCATAAACAACTCTTTAGCTTGGTATACAGGTCTGTGTGATAGGATTCCAATAGACTTTCCATCTTTACCTCACTATTTATCATCTCAAACTATAAGCTCCAAGTATATTGAATATCTTTCATTTGTAGAATACCTTGGCTTTCTGCACATGCTATTTAAATTACCTGAAGTATTCCCCTGGCCATACCTTTCTCACACTTAGAAAGAAGCTCTGCAATCTCTCACCCCCAGCCTCATTTGATATCTCTCATACATCTTTTTTTGGCATTCTATATGCCTTCATTTTAATTTTTATCAATTAATTGCAATTCTGTTTGTCTGTATTGTTCATTAAATTATAAGATCCCTCTGGGATCTTGCAGAGGAATAGAAACTATAAGATCCAAGAAGGATCTTATAATTTAATGAAGAACACCCAGGGTGGTATTTGTTTTCTATATAATTTATTCCATCCCCTGGGATGAAGTCTGGGATATATCTTCTCTCTCTCTGTCTCTCTCTCTGTCTCTCTCTCTCTCTGTGTGTCTCTGTCTCTCTCTCTCTCTGTCTCTCTCTGTCTGTCTCTCTCTCTCTTTCTGCATCTGTCTCTTTCTCTCTCTCTTCATCCATTCTAAATGATAGCATTATCACTTGTCTTGGCTAATGGCACCACCAGTAATACTGACATCAAATCAGAATCTACTGTCTTCCCTTTTTTTCATCATGAAGTTTTATTAGTTCTATCTTCCTACCATTCCCCCTTCAGTTCCATTGTTATTGTTCCAGTTCAGACCTTCACCATTATTTACTGGAAACATAGCACTAATCATTAAACAATTCTCTTTCTTTCTAGTTTTGCTCCTTCAAGCTACCAAAACTTTAAACCCAATATGTTGCTACACTATTTAGAACTTTCCTACTTCAATAGCTCCCTCACCTACAGCCTACATATCTGGCATTAAGAAAGGAAGTCCCTATAGCAGCATGATTTATAGTCCTTTGGGTATATACCCAGTAATGGGATGGCTGGGTCAAATGGTATTTCTAGTTCTAGATCCCTGAGGAATCGCCACACTGACTTCCAGGACTGTTGTGGGGTGTGGGGAGCGGGGAGGGATAGCATTGGGAGATATACCTAATGCTAGATGACCAGTTAGTGGGTGCAGCGCACCAGCATGGCACATGTATACATATGTAACTAACCTGCACAATGTGCACATGTACCCTAAAACTTAAAGTATAATAATAAAAGAAAAAAATAAAGAAAGGAAGTCCCTTGTTATTTCTTCTTTGTTTGCTTTATGTCTCGTCATCCCCCCGCCCAAGGCTCTCTCTTCTGGTCTTGCTAAACCAAGACTTGGAACACGTTTTGTAAAGGACCAGATAATAAATATTTTAAGTTTTGTGGCCACAAAGTCTTTGCCACAAAGACGTTTGCCATTGTAGCAAAAAAGCAGCCTTAGACAATACAGAAAATAATGAGCATAGCTGTATTCCAATAAATCTTTATGAACATTAAAATTTGAATTTCATAAAATGTTCATGTGCCATGAAATATTCTTCTTCTTTTCATTTTTCCTTCAACCATTAAATATAAAAAGCATTCTTAGTTCATAAGCTGTATAAAAACAGGTGGAGAGCTAGATTTGCTTTGTGGGTTATACTTTGCTGACCTTTGCTCTAAACCATTCTAAGACCTCTGAACATGACATGAGCTTTCAGGCACATGTTTTCTTTGTCTGATATGGCCCTGTTGTTTAGACTGGAGAGCTCCTCCCTAAGTGGGGCTTAAAGAGATGTTGAGAATTAGTGTCATCTCCTGGGGTGTTCCCTGATTATTTCACTTAAACTGAGGAGAAGTTTATCGCATCTTCTTGTATGTTTTCAAATTTTCTTGTAGATACTTCTACCATAATAATTTTCATGCTATCTTGCCACTGTTTGTTTATTTATGTGTCTCCACCATTCATTTGGGGTATGGATTATGTCTGATCTATTTTTGAATTTCTGGCTCCTTGATACCTAAAACCACGGAACATTTTTGTTTTACAGAGTCACCAAGGAAAAGTACAGCTGGGAAGACTAAGTTCTACTTTGTAGATAGTCATCTCAGGAGCAAAAAAAATTTCAAGATGTAGAGTGGGTGGTGGCAACTTTATGGGTTTCTGAGTTGCAAACTAAAACTGTGAATGGTGCCCACTGGAGTTGGGCAATATTGTGTGTCTGAACCAACTGTAGAGAGAAATTAAACTAAATGAGTATCTGGGACCTTTTAACAGGGAGAGTAAAAAAGTATAAAGATTGGATCTGGGCCTAAGAAGTGGCCTGTATTTAATAGTAAGACTGTCACCAGAGTCTGTTTAGTCTGTCCAGGGCAGAAAGACCCTCTACCCACCACGGCAATGTGAAAAGCCTTGAGCGGGTAGGCCATGATAGAGAAGAACAAAGTATGAGAAGATGGACAATCACTGGGCTGATATTTGCCTCTTTGGAAGATCAGATTTTGTAAAACTAGTCTATTTGATTATTATAGTAATGGGAAAATTAGAAGAACTAATTCACTTAGAATCTGGCATTGAGTTAAACAATTCTTAAACATATCAGTAGTGATTTTTGCCAATAACCAATATAACAAATCAGTTTCAAAGCTGACTACAAGTACAGAATAGTATAGAACTACTTGGTAGGACTTTAATCAACACTTATTTCTGTTAATTATTATTGCTAGTTCTAAAATAAAATTATCTAATGCCTAATATAGTTAAATTATTGGAAAAGATGATAGAACAAGTCTATTTATTATGAATATAGAAAATGAATGCAAAAAGTGTAATGTAACTAATATTTGTGTAGCACCGTATATTGTATATCTCATTGAAGAATCATACAGTTTTTATGGATTAATCCAATTATTAACAAAAGTTATATTTTAAAATATCTAAACTAAAATATTTTTGCTCCATTAACACTACAGAGCTGGACAGAATCATGTGAGTTCTCATTTATTATATCTTATTTGTGAGTGTAAAAGAGGCATTCTGGATAGTAATAAAAAATAATCCAAATGAGAAATACAATTAGTGACTGGATGATCGGTATCTAAAATAAAATGTACTACAATGTACATTAAAATACACATTTCTTTTAAATTACAAGAAAAGATTTATTTGGAAGTTAAAAGCAAAAGTTCAATTCTGCAAATTAAACAATGTATAACTCTTATGTCTTACCTTTTCTTGCAATTTATATTTCATGAAAAACTTAATTGTGAGTAATATTCCATCTTCTCTTTTGTAAACATAATATTAAAGTATTATAGAAGGACTTCTATCAATTATGTTATCCTAAAACTAATTATAGTAAATGAAGGAATAAAAATATAAATCATGAAAAATTACATCAGCACTGAACCCAGAGCATGATGCCTTCCAAACTTTATAGATTCTGAGAAGCCTTCTTTACATATACTGTAGAGAGAAATAGTTTTACGCAAAAAGCAAGATCACAAATTTTGTTTTTAATAAAGAAGTATAGAAACAGAGAAAATAGCAAAGGATCTGTAACAAATTTACTACCATCCCCTAATTTTGGATAGTAAGAGTTAGAAGCAAGGATAAACCACAGAAAAGATTAGGACCACCTCATTTTAAACATCACTTGACAATGTAAGTCAGGAGCATACATATATATGTTGTCTGTCTATCTGTCTGTCTGTCTGTCTGTCTATCTATCTCTATCTATCTGTCTGTCTATCTATCTATCTATCTATCTATCTATCTATCTATCTATCTAGCTATCCATCCATCCATCTCTCTCTCTATGCTACCAGGGGCAAACTTGCCCACATTTAATATACATTTTACAGGAAGTAGGGCTTCTCCTTTATGGGAAAGCTTACTATTAACAGATTGGGAAGTTGAAACAAGAAAGGAAGAAATAATATCCACCATTCCAAATGGAACAAAAATTTTAACATGTGAAGATTAATGTGAAGACTAGAGATGGGAGGTTGGTCATTATTGCAATAACATTAAAATGTGCAGAAAAATGCAAGCAAAACCAACAAACAGCAACAAAAACAACACAAACTTACAGTTTTAAGCTTGAAACAAATAGGTAACAGAAATAAAACAATAAATTTAATTGCTTGGATCTAGAGTTAAATTTTCATAGCGCCACGGTGGAAAAGTCATTTCCTATATAATGTATTGAGTTAATTACATTGTGAAGTTGATGGGGGAGACAAAGGTCTAGAGAATTTTTGTGTAACTTTTATTTATTTATTTATTTTTACAGATAAGGTCTTACTCTGTCACGTAGGGTGCAGTGCAGTGGCACAATCATAGCCCACTGTAATCTCAAACTCCTGGGCTCAAGCAATCTTCCAGACTCAGACTCCTCAGTAGCTGGGACTACAGGCATGCAATACCGCACCCAGCTACTTTTTAAATATTTTTAGAGATGGGGTTTCACTATGTTGCCCAGGCTGATCTTGAACTCCTGTACTTAAGTGATCCTCCTGCCTCAGCCTCCCTAGTAGCTGGGATTATAGGCATAAACCACCACACCTAGCCTCCGTGTAACTTTTTAATGAAGATGTTTGTTTCTCAACATATAATTTAGAGTATAATACATGTAATTATGTGTGGAATTTTGTAGCCTGTCAGGAAGATTGTCACATAAAAGTTTGTTTGTAAAAATATGTGTGCATCATCCTGCACTTGTACCCCAGAAATAAAAATAAAAATTATTTTAAAGGTGTGTATAGTTTTAGAAGAGTTTGTTAGATGTCAGATATTATTCTGCAACTCATGAAAGGTAGGGACTGCATACAGTCCTCTTGAGCTATGATTCTTAGTAACAGCTACAGTTACGTCCGATCTCATTTCTGCTGTTAGCTTTACAGTGGAAGATCCACAAATGTACATAATTATTCTGGTCAAAATCCGTAGATTATCTCTGCCTTATGAGAAAAAAAGGAATGTCTAGGCAGGTTTTCTAAGATGTCTATGCCCATCGAACAGTACCAATTTACACTTGTTGAATTAATAGTGCCTGAAAATCTGAATTTTGTCAGAATCCAGTACAATATAGTTGCCATGGTGCCTTTACCCAAAATAGGCTTGTCAAAGAAGTCCAGAAACAAAATATAAAATCTGTTATGGACTGAAAGTTTGGGCCCTCCCAAAATGAATATGTTGAAATCCTACCCCACATTGTGATGGCATTAGAAATGGAAACTTCAAGATGTAATTAGGTCATAAGAGTGGAGCCCTCATGGATGGGATTAGTGCCTTTATGAAAGGTAATTCAGAGAGCTCTCTGGGGGCTGTTTCCACCACGTGAGGAGACAATTTGAAGATGGTAGTTGGAAACTTAGAAAAGGTCCCTCAACCCAATTGGCCATGATGGCACCCTGATCTCACATTTCCAGACTTCAAAACTATGAGAAATACATTCTGTTGTTTATAACCAGACATTCTATGGTATTATAGCATCCCAAACTGACTAAGACAAAAAATCAATAGCTACCAATGTTGTTAAATTCTGTAGGCTGAGAAAGCATACATCTCACATTTTGTTTCTATTAGTTGTTGTAATTCTGTGATAGTTTCCAAACCCATTGAGTTTATTAAGGAAGTAACCATAGGAAAGATGATTTATCATTTTGTGGGAAAACGATGAACGAGATCAGCATTGAAGCCGTATATATCTGTAAAACTTACCGTTACAGGAAAACAATAGATTTTTTCCCCTTGAGGTTAAAAAAGAAAAAAACACCAAAATCTGAACAAAACTTGTAATGAAGACAGCAATGAGTTTAATGGCAATTAAACAAATATTCTGCCACAAAACTTTCTTTTCCACTCTTCAGAAGGTTAACAGTAATTTTAAAAAGAATGTTTTGCCACAAAAACTGGCTTTCTCAATTAAAATAATATATTTCCAAATAATAAGATCATAGATGCTGATTCTACTCTTCAGAGAAAAAGTAAATCACCACTGTAAATAGGAATCTATTATTTTCCTTTTGGTAATTAATATTTTAGCTGTAAGGCATATATTCATTATTTTATGAGTATTTTGCCTCATATGAAGTAATTCATAAACCAAAATAGATTTTATTTTTTATGCTGAAGATAGCCTTTGAAACTGTGATTAACTTTGAGGCAAGGAGATAATAACAATTTGTAAGTTTTCTCTGCTTTCAGGGAAATTGATCCTGATCAATGCAGAGACAAAACTACTCCAAGAAATTCAGCAGAAAAATTATTTATAGCCAAAAGAAATCATTATTTTGAGGGAAATAAATGAACAAACTCAGATAATGAGGAAGAAATGTTGTCTTTTGGTTACTTTTTTTTTTGGAAAGATTAACTTTTGGTTTAGGAAATATATCTGTCACATTTAGGCACATTTGCGTGAGTTTCATGCAACTAATTTCCATAAAAATAAAAATTTCTCTCATATAACTGGAGAAACAGAGATATACACACAATAAATGTCATTCCCTTAATTTTTCAGTGTTATTTATTTTGTAATGGGTAATACAAAATATGTAAAACACATAAAAAGACTGTATAAATCATAGTCATTTATACAGCTTGCATGAATCCCTTACATACATATTTCTTTTAGGACATAAAAAGATCATTTGGAAAATCAAGATAAAGTCTTTGCTGAACAAATTATAGAATCAATCACCTTGTAATAATAATATTTCATATTTATATGGTGTTCTACAATTTATGATGTACTTCCCTACATATTATATCATCACGGTTTTAACCAACATCTTCCCTAAAATTAAATCTGAATACTAAAAATTATCCAGGTACCACAGGTAGAAGGGATAGAAAAGAGAAGAAAACAAATGAAAGATGCTGACATGAATGAATCAAAATAGATGATGTCTTAGAAGGCAACATAGATGATTTCAAGGAGGGAATGGTCAATATTATCCATATAAATTACAGGAGAGAAATCAAGTCAGATTCAGACTGAAATTTGTCTATTAGAATTGGCAATTCTGCATATCTCTCACATATATGGAGGGAAAGTAGGGGAGCAGTTGGAGACAAGTTGTGGGCAGAGGAGGGTTTACTGTGAAGGTAATGGAGTTTAAGCATCAGGATCACTCGAATGCACATTCCCCTTCAGATTCCTAATTTGTAATTCATTTCTTTAAGCAGGCCTCAAAACTGTAAGCTTTAGGTCCCATGAAGCCTAAGTCGCTCCTGATTTTGGTGATGGAAGCTCGATAGGAGTTGAGATGTGAATGGGCTAGGAAACAACAGATGGTCAGCATGGGCTCTTCTTGAATATTCCTAGCACAAAGAAATGATGAGTGCTTGAGGTGATGCATTTCCCAATTACTCTGATTTGCCCATATCACATTGTGCGCATGTACCAAAATAGCACATGTACCCCATAAGTATGTACAACTATTATGTATCAATTTTGAAAAGGAAGCTTGCCTGTGGTCAAGGGGGTTGTGTAAGTATATACTAAGCCCACTTTAGGGGTGTGTGTCCAGGACAGTCACATGGTGCTTTATGCTAGGAGGGGCCTCACACTTGGGGTTTAATGCCCTTTCAATGCTATCTTGAGATTCTTAACAACTCCATATTTAATTTATGTTTTGTGATGTCTGATCAGACAATGAAACATGTACTGGAGCTATCCCTCAACCTGCTACCTCCCACCTCCATGGGACAGGCTTTCTGCTATCCTCTCCCCAATCCTCTGGCCCTTCAGGTCCACCTGGCCTTCACCTCTCTGCTCCCCATCTGCAGCTGCTATAGCCTCTGCCCATGGAAGGAACCTGGATGAGGCATGAGAAGGGTCAGGGTTGGGTGTAGAAGTCCTGCTGCATCTTAGGGCTGGGAATGGTGACAGATGTCCCCATGCTAGCTGGCAGTATCACAGAGTGTTTGGTGAGTGGCTAGACAGAAGCCATATGATAGCTCATCTTTGACTCACCACTGTGCAGGTATTTACTTCTTCCTGGCATGGAGGTTTAAAGATCCTTAGGTTTCACCCAGGAATGATAAGCCCGTGGAAAAAGGAGACGATGCCTGACTACATTTCCCAGCCCCCACCCCTGTGGTGCATTGGTGGGGCTGGTGCGAAGGGGATCCTGGCAGTCATAAGGCACTAGCCAGTGCAAATGCCCCACATGGTGCAGCAGCTCCCTGGGTGCCTGTCAGTGTCTTTACTCACAGTCTCTCAGGCTGTGACTGGAGGGATCTGCTCTTTTTTTCAACTTCCCCGATTCTGGCTTGTATTTGTCTATCTTGAATAGCTTAAGGCACTCTCTGGGGATGATCTACAAAATATGACTTTTATAATTTTGGTGACGATACATAAAAATTAAATGTGCTGATATTTGCATTTATGACTGGCATTGCACAACATAAACGTGAATGGCAAAACTTAAACGCTAGAAATTTAACATTTTAACTTTACTATGCAGTACTTAGAATTACATTAAATAGAAAAAACCCAGAGTGACAAATGGAGAGAGGGAGATTGTGGAAGACAGGAAAAATGCTGTACATGTACTTTTATGGTCACTTCCTTTTTTTTTTTTTTTAAACAAAGGCACTGCATTTTTATTTTCACTAGGCTCTGCAAGTTTTGTAGCTGGCCATGTGTGTGTATATTTATGGGAAAGAGTGAAGCACATTTTACATGGTTTCAGAAAGGAGCAGAAAGACAAAAGCTAGAGACAGAAGAAAGCTGGAAAAAGCCATCTGTTGATGTACTGAATGTTGATAGCTAAAGATAAATAAATATTTGATAGACAAATTAGCTATCACCTCTGATGGAAGGAGAAAGCTTTTCTGAGCCTCCTGCTTAAATCAATCAGGTGTGTCTGATTGGTGGAACCTAGTTCATATGCCTGTGCCCTAGCTGCAAGGGAGGCTGAGAAAGCATACATCTCACATTTTGTTTCTATAGTGTTAGGTATCGCTTTTTTCTACCAAGGGTTATACAATTAGAAATTGTCTAAGCCTAAGAAGTAGTTCAGAGGCTGAAGGTGAAACTGTTGGTGGCTTGCTCTCATTTGAACCTTACCACTTTGGCAGGCTCTGGGTGACTATGACATCCAACTTTCAGAGACTTTGCTTGAAGGCGATTTCAAAAGTCAGTGAAGAGACTCGGCTCAGTCACAGGGCTGGCCAGACGCACTGAGAGAACTAAGTCCCAGAAGAAGTCCCCAGCCAATGACTGATGGGAGCTCCCTCTCTTCCCTCTCTCCTTGGGTGGGATAACTATGAGATATGTGTTTTAGACCCTTTCCCACCATTCTCAAGTGAGGTTAAATTCTAATCTCTCACTGTGGCAGCTGGCTTGATAACCACTCTTAATTGGCTGCCGTCCCTTCCCTAAGCCAATTCCCCTCTCCTGGCAATGTTTCCTTTACTTCTCAAATAATTACCTTGCATTGGAATATTTTTCTCAGTGTCAGCTTTTGGGGCAACTCAGACAGATGCTGAGCAGCTGAAAAGAATGTCACATGTCTGCCCCTCCTCATGATATAAGTATCTGTTTCTCTGCTTCAATAGCAGATTTCCATGCATATTTCTTTAAAAAGACATATCTTCATGATATAATATTTTTCTCACTTGTCCCTTGGTTAGGCCCACAATATCCAGTACCACATACTTGTGACTTTGTAGTCTCAGTGTTCATTATGGAGGCTGTGTGTATTGGGTGCCTATAAATATCTGCCAGTACACCACACATGAACAAACTCTGAAGAATGGTTACATGTTTATCTAAACATGAGGGCTCATGAAAGGAGTTACGTGAAAAATGTTCATCATATCACTGGTTTCTGAAATCCTGATTGAAGAGATTGTGATTTTCTCTGTATTTTTGCAATCTGTCCAATTTTGTTTTTGGCCCGATTCCTTTGTAGGTGTAGGCATGTGATCAGCATTAATTTGTGCATGTGAGGGTATGCAAAGAACAATGCCCTACTGTGTTTTTCTTTTCTTTCCTTTTTAAAATATCCTTGAAATTAGAAAGAAGTGTCTCCAATATCTGTCTTCAATATGGCAAATAATATTAAGCAGACCTTATACTTGATGGCAAACCTTGTCTCTCTTACCTGATGCCTGAAAGTTTTTTTTGTTTTTTTTTTTTTTGAGATACAGTCTCGCTCTGTCGCCCAGGCTGGAGTGCAGTGCGCGATCTCAGCTCGCTGCAAGATCCGCCTCCCGGGTTCAGGCCATTCTCCTGCCTCAGCCCCCCGAGTAGCTGGGACTACAGGCGCCTGCCACCACGCCCAGCTAATTTTTTGTGTTTTCAGTAGAGATGGGGTTTCATTGTATTAGCCAGGATGGTCTCGATCTCCTGACCTCGTGATCCACCCACCTCGGCCTCCCAAAGGCCTGTAAGTTTTTGAGAGATCCGGGGGATATGTATCTTACCAGTGACTCAGCTCAAACACACTGTTCTATCCCATGAGTTTGGTCCCAGTGTTTTCCATAGAGGTGGCCTTTTAACAATTTTCTTTCTGAGCTTTTGTGCTGAATTTAAAGCCAATGAAATATGCCAGCTCAGGGCTTCTCAAATCAGAGGATCTCTGTTTCCTAGAGAATAAGTTTGGCACACAAGCGCCAACACTACCCACATTTGAGAACTGTGCCAGAATATAGGCTCCAAGCAAATGTCTATGCACAGCCTTTACCTTCCCCGAATAAAAACATTTTTGAAAGTGTATCAATTTGAAGGTCAAATCTCCTGATTTATCTTTTACTGCTTATTTCCTTTTTCACTTTTTATTTTTTTATTTGTTTATTTCAATAGCATTATGGGTATAAGTGCTTTTTGGTTACATGGATGCTTATTTCTTTTGCCGTGCAGAAGCTTTTTAGTAACAGTTTAATTAGATCCCATTTATTTACTTTTGCTTTTTGTTGCATTCGCTTTTGATGTCTTACTCATAAATATTGAGAAAATGACTATATCACCCAAGGCAATTTACAGGTTCTGTAAAATTCTTATCAACATACCAATGTCATTTTTCATTGAATTAGGAAAGAAACAATTCTAAATTTCATGTGGAACCACAAAAGAGCCTGAAAAGCCAAAGCAGTTCTAAGCAAATAAAACAAATTTGGAGGCATCACATTACCCAGCTTCACATTATACCACAGGCTATAGTAACCAAAACAGCATAGTACTGGTATAAAAGTAGAAACACAGACCAATGGAACAGAATAGACAATCCAGAAATAAAGCCAAACATTTACAACCAACTGATCTTCAACAAAGTAAACAAAGACATAAAATGGGGAAATGACACCGTATGTGATAAATGGTGCTGGGAAAGTTAGATAGCCACAGGCAGAAAAATGAAACTGGATTTCTGTCTCTCACCATGTGCAAAAATTAACTCAAGATGGAATAAAGACTTAAATCTAAGACCTGTAACCATAAAAATTCTAGAAGAAAACCTAAGAAAAACTCTCCCAGGCTGACTATTTTCATAATTAGTTTTCCCTTCTTTCTTTTTTTTCTTAAAACAATGAATGACAAGCGTGCAGATGACAGAATGTGTTAAAGGCAGTGAGCAAGTGTCTGTTAATAGTGAAGGAAACAACAATGAGTTCTTCAGGCACTCAGACACAGAGTAATTTGCCAAAGCAATGAAAGCAAAATATGCTTTTTTGTGTTCCAAGTCAGAGATCATTGCTAGTTTGAATAATAGAAAGTGAAAATCTGAATAGCTGGATGGGGCAATAAGCATATCTGCAGGATAATCAGTTGTCCCCAAAATAAGTAATTGAATGGCTAAAACTTCAGCTTTATAGCAACTAAGAATTTTTAAAGTGTTGTGTATTTTTTTAAATTTCCTACTCTGAGTTAATGTTCGAACGTGGGCATATTTCATTAGTATTTTTTTAAGTTGGTGACCATATTTTTTTGACTATAAAAAAGGCTTTTTTTGTATTATACTTTAAGTTCTAGGGTACATGTGTACAACGTGTAGGTTTGTTATATATGTATACATGTGCCATGTTGGTGTGCTGCACCCATTAACTGGTCATTTACATTAGGTATATTTCCTAATGCTATCCCTCCCACCTCCCCCCACCCCACAACAGGCCCTGGTGTGTGATGTTCCCCTTCCTGTGTCAGAGTGTTCTCATTGATTATAAATCATGCTGCTATAAAGACACACACACATATGTTTATTGTGGTACTATTCACAATAGCAAAGACTTGGAACCAACCCAAATGCCCATCAATGACAGACTGGATTCAGAAACTGTGGCACATATACACCATGGTGACCATATTTTAATAAAACTTTTTTAATTTTAGAATCACTATGTTTCAAAAAAGTTCTAAGGTTTCATTAGTCTCCTATTGCTTCTGTAACAAATTACCAAAAATTTCATGGCTTAAAAAACATAAATTTATTATTTTATAGCTCTGGAGTTTAGAAGTCCAAAATGAATTTCACTGGACTAAAATTAAAGTGTCAGCAGGAATATGTTCCTCTGGAGGCTGTAGAGGTGAATCCATTTCCTTTTCTAGTTTCTGGAGGTTGCCAAGATTCCTTTAATTCACAGTCCCCTTCTTCCATCTTCAAAGCCAGCAATGATGAGTTGGGTTTTCACATCAATCGATCCATCAGTCTGACTCTGACTCTCCTGCCTCCATCTTTCAGTTACAAGGTCCCTTGTAATTACCCTGGGTCTACCTCGGTAATCCAGGGTATTCTCTCCAGCTCTAGGCCAGCTAATTAGCAACCTTAATTCTGTCTACAACTTTAATTCTTCCTTTCCATATAACATATTCACAGATTCCAGGGTTTAGGAGGTAAACATCTCTGGGGACCATTATTATGCCTACTACAAGATGATTTATTTAAAAATAAAAAAACAGCAAAATGACACAAACTGAAACTAAGTGAAAAGGATATGACAAAGAAAAAGTTGATAGAGATATAAAATGGATGTGGAAATTTAACCAACTCAAAAATGCACATGAATGAGGTCCTGTACACCTCCTTTGAATTCCACATCCGTAAACTCTGGGTCTAAATCTTACTTTCAAATGCTATAATTTTTGGTGGCATTTCTGAGGGGATTAAAAGAATCAAAAGAAGACTAATTATGTAACCAATAATTATATCACAATCACTGCCCCATTATAACTCTATCTTCCATTTTTATTAAAGCAATCATGGTTAGAACACTTGATTGTCCTTAAGCACAGCCATTGCTTAAATAGAAATGTTTATTGCTTAGGCCTTATTCTATAAATAATGGGACAAAGGTCTTGCATGCTCTTTAAAAACCTTCCTTTTAGTACCAGCTTAATTTTTCTTTAGGACTCTCTTACCTTGTTGCAGCAAGATGAACCCCACTTTATACTCTATTGAACAATTTGTTCAGTATAACATTCCAGTTGGTAAACATTTCTGTGACGGTAGGTATACTCAACTGAAACAAACAAACAAAATTTAAATATTAGTCAAAATATGGTTGCACACAGTTATACCAATGGGTCAGAACAAACTGGTTCCAAGCTCTCTATCATCAAATCCAAAGAGAGATACATATATTAGTTTACATCTGATCTGTAACACAATTCATAATTCATAGCATGTATAAAGTAAAATCAGATTAAATTCTTAGCAGAAGGAAAACTATTCCTAAAATAGCTAATATTCCTACTGTGCTTACTGTATCTCTGATATAACTAGCACTATTTTAAGTGCCTTTGTGTACTTTAACTGACTTAATCTGCCCAATGAAATGGGTTCCCTATGTTTATAATCATTTTACAAATGAAGAAATTAAGGCACATAAGGCTAATTGGTGTTCCCAAGATCCCACATTTCTATTAAGTCATTAGCAATGATTTATTGATAAGATCTCTTTATTACAAATAAATACCAGAGATTTGAATCCAGGTAGTCTAGCTTTGGCTATACTCTTAACCACAAAACAAAGTTGCTTTTAAGAACTTAAAAAAAAAAATAAAAAAAATCCCACCATCCTCATAAAGATGACAATGTGCCAGGTTTTTAGTGACACTTACTGCTTTGCATAATGCAGCCTATGAGACATTGCTACCAATGTGGAAGAGGGGGGTAGAATGACACCTTATAAGATCATTGAAGGAGATGTTACATTCATCTAGAAAACTTTGCATGAAATGTTCTCCTCCTTTCTCTTCCCACCTCTTTATTGATTAACTCCTTCTAATGTAGATCTTGGAAAAAGAATCACTTCTTTAGGAGACTTTTGTGTCCTTTCCTGTCCTCAGTCTTAAATTACATTTTTGTTTTAACTGAGGTAATAAAAGGTACTCTTTTCTTTGGTAGCCCTTATTTCAGTTTGTAATTAATTTATATAATTATTTGATTAAGTTGTATATCTTCACTGGTCGTACCATTCATTAAAGAAAAAATCTGTGCCAACTATTTGCTCCACAATGTACCAGCAGACTTACCATGGTGCCTGTCACATAACAGTAGATAATTCATAAGCATTTGTGGAATTAATGAATGCAATCTTAGTCTCACTGTATTTGTCTTTCATTTCATTTTTTTATTAGAAGCAATTTCATATCTCAAACGATAGAACAGGACTAAGGAATTTGGTTGCAAAAATGATTTGAAAATATTTTATTCTTTCTGAAATTCTGTATTTATTACATTGAACAAAACATATTATTTACATAGATACAAGATGAAAAACGATGTCTAGCCTATGACAAGCCACTGTCCCTTGCACATGGCCTCAAACCTCTTGCTTCCCACTGGATTCTACTCCCTTATCTAAGTCAAAATCCAGTTAAATCCAAACTTTTGCCTCTACCATAACTTCACCTGCAGAGTTGATCAATGGTGAAGAAAAACACAACCATGGTAACTGGTAATACCTTAAATCTATAATCGCTAAGTGATTCCTTAATACTGCCTGGCAATTAAACCATAGTTCTTTTTATTGTTTGCTTGTTTCTTTATTGATACATAATAATTGTACACATGTATGGGGTACAATGTGATGTTTTGATACATGAATACATCGTATAATAATCAAATCATTAAAAATTATGTAAAATAAACATCTCAGCAGGAAAAAACCCATAGTTGTCTCCTCCGTTTGCCCATACTCTTCTAAGACTATTTTTCCTTTATATTTGAACATTGAACACTGCCGTCCCTCCCCTCACTTTCAACTGAGATTCTTGTTCTGATTTTACTGAGAAGAAAACTTATACAATGCCATACTACCACCCCAACCACCTTCCTGTGTTTAGACTTACACAGTCAGCCTTCTCTCCTGCTGCCAAGGATGAGCTGTCCTTACTCCTCTACTAGATCCCGCTCTCTCATGATTCTTCATGCTCAGTCTTTCCAGCAATTCTCCCTGCTCTCCTGCAGCTTCAATTTTTTTACCTATACTTTCCATCCCCCCTTTCTACTTTATTTTTATTGATAGCAGTTATCGCCATCTAACATACTATATATTTTACTGATTTGATTATCGTTTGTTCTTCCTTCCCCAACCATCCCAAAATTGAGTTTCTCAAGGACAGGGATATTTTATCTTTTATTCACCGATCTATCGCAGTGCCTAAAATAATGCCTAGCACGAAACAGGTGTTCAGTAAGTGCTTGTTGAATGAATGACAAAAGTGAGGAAACAATACTTTGTGTACTTCTTTACAGCTGGTAAGGTATTTTTATATTCATTCCTTCATTTGATCATGATACCTCTGTAACTGTAAAATAAATGGTATTAGTTTTCCACATTATAAAAGTAGTAACTGAAGTTTAGAGAGTTCCATAGCTAATATGCTGAAAAACTAGCATTAGACTCTCTGTCTTCTGCCTTGTAATTTATTGTAGTTACTGTCATTCACTCAATCACCAATTTTTTTTTGAGTATTTGCTCTGTACCATGCGCTGTGCTATGTGTTTGGGATATGGAGATGACTAAGGTATAGTCTTTACCTTCAAGGGACCCAGAGTCTGATAAAGCTCACCAGACACTCAGGTCCTAGGATAAAAGTCTGAATGGTAGAAGAATAGGTGAGGCAGTAGGAACACATGGGAAACAGTGGCCAATTCTCCCTGGTGGGATCAAGAAAAACTTACAGGTTACCTTTGTGTTGCATTGTGAAAATTAATGACAGATTTACCAGGTAGGCAGAGAGCAGAAGAAAATTCTAGGCACAGGTATAAGTGAGAGTAAATACATCATGATTCTGCTCATTTTGCTAACAGTGACTTTAAAAATAATAGACTGTAATGAATTAAATCCCTTTGGTTTGGCAGAGTATAAAATATTTTTAGAGGATGGTAAGGAAAAAGACTAACTGTAATGAATGGGTTAGGTATTATATTAGAAAAATGTTCATATGGGGATATAAATAGAACTCTTTTAAAAAAAATCAAAAACTTCTGTTTGAATTAACAGGTGGATAGGTTTTTGAGAAAGTAGCCCAAGCAGAAGGTATAAAGCATGCTGATCTCTGAGGGTGTATTGATTTGAGTACAAATGAGAATCAATTTGCTATTAATTTGTCAAAATCTAGCTTTAGCTGGAAGGGTGTAGGTCTGATTGTTTTAAGGCTCCATTGCACAAATGGCTGCACATCTCATCCTGAAACCCCATGGGCGGAAGTATCCACTTCCAGATGCATCAAATGTTTAACTCTTTCTTAACAAAGAACTTTTTTGTATTTAACCCCTGATGATAAATGCTTGCATGTGCTTTGGTGGTATGGTTAGAGTTGGCAGAAGGAGAGAAGGTAGAAAAAATCCTGGGCAAGAGAATAGAAAAAGGGCATGAAAACATCAAGAAAATTGTAATTTGAGGTTTAAGAGGATAACAAAAATATATTAAAATTTCAATGTATGTATAATTCAAAACCGAGTTATTTTCTCAATATTTCTTTTTTAAATTTAATGTCTATTTTAAATCAAAGTAATACATACTCATGTTTTTTTTGTTTTGTTTTTTAGTTTCAATAAGCACATTTAGAAAAACAGCAATTTGCCTTGACCCTCCTCCCTCCTGATTCTGACTCTCTGGAGGCAATCACTGTCAACTCTTTAAACCGTTTCTTTTATTTTCTCCCATATTTCTAAATAATATACTTATATTGTTATGTCTCTATTTTTTAATCTCAGACATATTTTATTGACTCTTACTCTGAAAGAGGAGTAATTAATCCCCTTATCACCACACCCTCCGTTTCCATACAACTTTGTTCTTTTCCACCTCCCAAATACAGTTGTTCTGCAATTTGGGGTTAAGTCAATATTGCAGTTATTTACATTATTGGGACTCTGAGAGGGCATTTTATGTGTTTGTTCAAGATAGTCATTTGCATACACTTACAATATTTGTGTTTACTTTGGATTTCAAACATGATTCAACTTCTTAGTGTTAACAAGTTTTAAATGTTTTACTGTAAGTTTTTAACTTCAGCTTACAAATTTTATTTTTCTGTCCATAATCTATTGGTATTGATAGTATGTATAAAGGGTCCTTATATTAATGTTTGGTGTCATTTACAAACTTAGTTCATTAAAATTCTGTAATTAACTTTAAACTTTGTTTTCTATTTAATATTTTTAAAGTATTTTATTTTGCTGACTAATATACTAAGCCAACAGTCATAATAAATTCAGCAAAGTAAACTTGTAACTATGGTGATTCTCCATTTACCTTAAACATCCCAACATGGTTGATATACTTTCAAAAATTCTCTCATAGTTTCCAACAAGGCAAAACCAAATACTCCAGAATGTTAGGACTAATCTGTTGAATTCACTAATGAGTTAGCATGCCAAATTCTTAAATATCTGATTACAACGAAGATATTCAAGAATTCATTATGGGATATATTTAATGTATTATTTTATATGTTATCTATTATTTCATACTTTAAAGACCGCTGCACTAAGGAAATAATTACCTTTTTCTAAAATAATTGGGATTCTCACATCAGTAGATGGTGCTGGCCCAGGCCAAAGTGTAGAATTATATTTTTTATAGGTAAAGCCTTTAAAAAAAGTTATTACTCATTACTTAATTTTCAAGTTTGATTTGAGTCTGAATCCCTCCATCTCTATAATCCAACGGTCAGGTTATTTCATCATTTGATTTGATTATTTCATTAATCAAATTCTGAATTCTTTTAATATTTTTCAAGTTTGGTAGGATCCAGACAGCTACAGATATGAATAGCATCCAGTTTTATTTTGTATACTTCTCATGTCACAATGCCATTGTACATGTCATTGTCATGACTAAATATTACTCCACCAGAGCAGCCACATGATGTTCTTCCATTATTACATTTCCTATCTTAAACATCTTATATTTAATTGTTTTTTATTTGCTTTGTTTTTTTTTCTCCTACTATAATTTATGGATTCTCAGCCATGCTCTCTTCGTCATTTTTTTTCATGTTAACATATCTGAAATCTTAACTCCAAAAGTAAGAGTTTAGAAATGCCTTGATCAATTTATTTTGTTTCTATATCCTCTTTATATACAGCCAGTGTGATATAAATCTATGTCTACAAAAGTCTAAATTTCAATAATTATAAAATAAAACATTAGTCATGTTTAATTGGTAAACCATCTTTTTTCTTAGTAGTACATAATATGAGGTTAAATTTTAGAATCTGATAGCTTAGATTTGATAAAATACGCTGTATTTGATAAAATACGCTTTTATTTTAAAAGTCTCTGAAAGAGTGTAGAAGTCATTTCAGTATCTCCAGGCATGTCATATCCTATCGAGGTATTTCTATGACACTGTTGCGGTTTAGTCTGGCTGTTCCCCACATCTACTGCTCAGCTGTTAGAAAACTTCCATCCGCCATTATTCCTGGAACTGCCTTCTCTCTCTCCTGTCTTGAATTCTCTATTTCCAGGATCTCATGTCTCCTTCTTTTATTTTCTCTTTTGGGAAAGCTCATCATTGAGATCTTGAATTTCTAAAAAATGTTTTAATCTAGCTTCATAATCGATATTATTGTTTTGATAGTTTCCTCATCTGTATTCTCCATATAAGAAATTTTATTTATTTTTTTCAGAAACATTTGTCATTTAGATACTGCCCATCCTACGTTGATTCTCTTTTTTTCTTTTTTCTTATCTTTTTTCCCATATTTTTTTCTTTGTCTTTATTTTCTCTATTTGTAATGATTTTCTCAAATATATCTTTCAAACCTTCAGTTGAATCTTTAATTTCTGGTATTCCATGTTTAATTTCCAATAGCTCTTTCCTGTTTTTCAAATATTCTTCAAAAGATTTTATTCTTTTTAATTATCTTATCTCTTGTACCATGGCAAATTTATTTTCATAGTTTTATTTTTTTACCTGTATTGTTCCTGTTTCTTCCAAGTTCCATTTTATGTTTGTGTGTGTGGTTTTTTTTTCACATTAGATGCCTCCTTCAAATATCTGGTGGTCCTTTGTTCTCTATTCAGATTTAAGAGTGAGGTACTTAGAATTTGATTGGAAGCTCTGCACACTTGGGTAGGATTTGTTAACTGGCAGCTCTATAGTTAGATGGATCACCAGGTGTGAATGTAGCCCTTCTGTGGGGATCCTCAAAGGTCAGGATCCTGGGTGAGCCAATTTGATAAGACAGAAATACTTCAACCTCTGTTGAGTTATAAGCCCATATCAGTGATCAATGAGCTGAATGGGGAAAGGAGCTGGGGAGAGAGCTCGATTAAACTCCCTGTTTCATGATCGCGCCTTGTCTCACTTCAGTCCTGTCTCTGGGTCTATGTCCAGAATCTCTCAGTGCAGCCTTTCCTGTCCAAAAAGAAGGGCTCTGTCTTTAGCCTAAATTCTGGGTTGGGAGTGGGATGGCGTACTATATGGCTTGAAGTTACGGGTGCGGTCCTGATTTTTCTAATGGGGTATCTACATAGAAGAGAAAGGTATAAAAGGTATACCCCAATTGGTGAATGGACATTTGAAAGACAAATTTATCCTACAGAAAAGCAAGATCAAGTCAAGTGTATCTTGTTTCATTTCCTCTTTTATTCACCCAACAAGTATTTATTTAGTATTTACTTTGCATCTGCAATAGACAATACAAATACTATGGTCATCAAGAAGATAATCACAGTTCCTGTTGTCATGGTGCTTAGAAACAAGCTAAGCAAAGAACATTAAAGAAATCATTACATAATTAATTAATGAATTACACTTGCACTAAGTGCTTTGGAGTAAAAGACAGTGTGTGAGAGGATACAAAAAGGGAGAATAATGTGTTCTGATGCACAGGTGTGTGTGTGTGTGTGTGTGTGTGTGTGTGTGTGTGTGACTAAGAATTAACTAAGCAAAGTTAAGGAGTGGAGGTGACATGTGGAAGGGGAGGTATCCCAGGCAGAGGGAATAGTATGGTTACAGATTATGTAGTCCAAAGGCTGGATGAAAGTGTGCTTGTTCAGGAATGGAAAGGACACCTGCATGGCTGGAGGACAGTGAGCCAATAGGAAAGAAGTGCAAGAGGAGAGGGCAAGATGAGTGGGCAGGGGACAGCATACTCAGGTCCAGCAAAGCCATACCAAAGATTTAAGGAGGCACTCGATCCAGTCTGGGTTTTGTTTTTTTTTTTTTTAAAGATTACTCTTCTTGCTGATGGAAAATTCATTGAAGGGAGAACATTTAACTGCTGTGTGGGTGTAAAATTATGTAATCATTCTGATAAATGATTTGGCAAAATGTATCCAGAGCCTTTAAAAATTCATAGCCCTTGGTCTGTTCTAGAATTCTATCTAAAAAGGTAAAAAAGAAAAAGATAAAATGTTAAATACATACATAATCAAGCTATTTATAAAAAATAATAATTAGAAACAACACAAAACTAAAATTAGTATAGCAACAACTACACATATTGACTGTTTACTGTCAATCTAGCTATTTATGCATATTAAATTTTCTATTATTTTTATGAGACAGGTAATATTAATATTTCTGTCTACAGAGAAGGCAACTGAGGAGTTAAGTACCTTTTCCAAGGTCACAGGAAAGTGGCGAATGAGAGTCCTGTGATTCCAGTCTAGGTCATCTGAATCTAGATCCTGTGTTCTTGACCACTACATGAAATTACTGACTGGCAACCAGGTAAGCAGCTGCAGATCAGAGGATGGAACATTCTACAAACATTAAAATTCAATTCTCAAACAAAATTTTAAGACTTTGACAAAATATAAGACAATAATGAATAAAAATATATCAAGACATAAAACTGGCTATGTGTGCTTGTGATTTTGTAAAATACAGGTACATACATGTGTGGTGGGATTATTAATCTTTATTAGACTGCAATTCTTTTCCATTTTTCTTTTCTACCTAGATCATAGAATTCTCTTATTCCTACTCCAAGGAGCCTTTTCCCAAGCCTATTTCACACTGTAGGCATGGATCACCCACTTCAGAAACAGTTCTAACGACTATAAGTCTCAAAGACAGAAGTTGCAAGCTACTGATGTGCTGCATAAAAATACTCACAGGCTTGCCTGAGGAGCAGCTTTTTCTACTCCCTGAAAGATGTGTAACTGTGGAAGAGAGAGAAGAAGGCTGAGAGAACAAGCAGATGGGAGGAAGGAACTGAGATACCTCAATCCTTGGGGAAGAAAACAGAACCTTCCTTTGCAAGTACCAGGGAAGTGTAGACCGTGACACAATGTGAAGAGTCTTCTTGTTGCTGGTCAGAGAGTTTTACCAACTACCGGCTTAGTGCCCCAAATCATCTGCCTCCATCCGACTGGTTCCCACAGACAATTCACTAACTGATGGTTCTGGAAACGGGTAGGGAAATTAGATGTCCAGTGAGGAGATGATGGCTGGAGGAGAATTTGGGTGGAGACAGCAACTAATATACCTCTTCTGTTACAGAGGCATAGAAACAAAGGAGAGGAAATACAGCAACATGTCAACCATGCTCATATTTAGGTGGTGATTATAGGTGACTTTTATTTCCTTCTTAAAACTGAATTGTATTTTCAAAGTTTTCTATGATGTATGACATATATAATCAGAAGATGGTTGAAATAAAGAACATCTTCATTGGAATATGTGCCTGATATATGGCAACTCCATTTTCATGCTGGGTTTGGCCAAGAGAGCACCCACAGCTGTGCCAAGAGTTCTCTTTGAAAGTCCATCTGGGTTCAGCCCAATTAATAAATAAACTCAAAGGCCCAGGGTTCTTCATTGTGATGCACAGGCATAATGATTTTAGCTTGATCACCCAAGGGCATAGTCCAGAAAGAGAACAGTCTGAAGACTACTAGCTTCAAGACAGGATGAAATTAAAAATGTTTGTCTATGTGGTACTCTGCACTGCTGGCATAAATTTTGGTCTACAATCTCCTCTGAGTGACTTCCTCCAGAGAAGTTATCTCAATTGCACTTATACTTATTTGTATGACTAATGCCTGCCTACTTCAGTAAACTATAAACTCCACGGGAATAGAATCTCCAATATTTTATTTCTTACCATTGAAAATCCAATCCAGAGGCTATATTTGTGTGTGTATATATATATATATATACACACACATATGTATATATTTTTGCATACACGCTGCTCAATAAACATTTTATTCATTTGACTGAAAGAAAATCATTTGTCTATAAGAAAAGGGAGGTTTTCCCCAAAGTACTTTTAGATCAGCAAAGGTCAAATTAAGCCTTGAAACTTCTGATTTGTGATTATGTTCTATGCAGAGATGCTACAAGGCAGGACACTAATTAATTCTCCGTGTTATAGGCCAAGGAAGTGTCTTGTAGCACTTGCCACCTAAAAATAGTCTTAAAAGATAAAAAGAAGTTAGCCAATTAAAGTGGAGTGAATTTCAGGGTGTTTAAAGCCTTATGGAGAGATTGAGATGTGGAGGCCAATCATGGAAAAAATATGACCATGATGTGGCAGTAGCACACACAAGCTTTGTGGGTGACACTTTGACAGGTTTGAATGCAGGGGAAGTCCCTTCCAGCAGGAGTGTGTTCTCAGGCAAAGGCATAGAGGTTGCTACTTACAAGAGAAGGGCAGGGAAACTCCCAGGAGACAGTCAGAGGAGAGAGTGTGAAAGGAGATTTACGTGTCTAGGTGAAGTCAGCTCAGCAGCACAGCGAGGAATTTTTTGGGTCAGAGATCTCTGAAGGGCAGCAGCAGGTAGGGATCCTCATGGCTCAGGCCTTCTCTTGTTTATCTCCAGCAGATGTGGGGTGAGGTTTGGGGTGGGTAAGGGTCAGCTAGGCTCACAGGGGCTAAAAAATGTGATTGTTCGAGCTATTTAAAAAAATAATTGGACATACAATCTTCTCTGAGTGCCTTCCTACAGAGTAGTTCCCCTTTATCCTGGGAGGAACAGTTCAAGACCTCCAGTGGATGCCTGAAACTGGGTAGTGCCAAACCTCATATATACTGTGTTTTCACTATGTGTACATACCTACAATGTTTAATATAGGACTTATCACACACTGTGGCCGTAACTTTTCGGTTTAAAGTGTGACAGCAAAATGAACACGGATTTCTTTTTCCATCTTCACAATTTCACGGAGAGAAGATTTGTTCTTACTGTAGATCTTAGCAGTCTCAGCATACAATCTTTTTCCTTTCCTTATTAAGTTGTGAACTTTCACCTTTTCACTTAAAGGAAGCACTTTATGGTTTCTCTTTGGCATATCTGATTTACCAGCATCACTACTCTTTCTCTCTGGGGCCATTATTAAATAAAATAAGAGCTACTTGAACACAAGCACTGTGATACCACTAGGGTCAATCTGATAACCCAGACGGCTACTAAGTGATTCACGGGCAGGGAGCATACACAGTGTGGATCTGATGGACACAGGGATGGCTCATGTCCTGGGCAAGACGCAGCATGGAGCTAGATTTCATCATGCTACTCAGAATAGTGAGTAATTTAACACTTGTGATTTATTTACTTCTGGAGTTTTTCATTTAATATTTTCAGACTTTTGTTAACTAAGGGTAACTGAAACCACAGAAAGCAAAATGGCGGATACGAGGAAATGACTGTACAAAAATTTGAGTTTGGTATGGACTGGGCTTTAAGCTAACAGAACTCCACCTGCTGTGAAGAAGTAAACAATTTAGAGGCCAACACACCAAGGTCATCTTTGAGTCATCTCTACAAGAAGCATGGTGGGCTTGGGGGAGATCACCAGTTGGAGTTACTAGAAGAAATGGGGTAATGGCAGCAGAGCAGGACAGGATTCTGTGTGGAGGAGCCTTGTGTGCCATTCTGAGAGTCTGAACTCCAGGCTACAAGCAATATAGGAGCCATTAAAGAATGTAATAGTTCTCAGACATCTACACTTTTTACAAAGGTCCTCATGTGACTGAAATAGTTGAAAATGAGTTGAAAAATGCTGTTCTAGAGCCTTGCTATCAAAATGCAGTTCATGGACCAATGGGATTGACACTCCCTGGGAGCTTAAGATAAATGTACGATATCAGGTCCTACTCTAGCCCTGCATTTTCAACCAAATACCAGGTGATTCCTGGTTACATTATACTGGCCTAGAGTAAATGACCAAAGATTTACCTCTACACTTCAAATACAGAATTATTCAGAAGAAGTCATCTCTTAATAACTTTTAGTTCCTTCAAAGTTATGTATAAATGTTATGTAAGTGGTAGAATAGCTTTACAGGCTTGTGATGAAAAATGACAGTATCCCACCTGTTCCCCCATTCTGGCTCTGCAAAGGCAATCTTTGGTGGGGTACTTACTTTGTACTCATATATACTATTTTTGTATTTCTATCATTACTGTTTTTAATATTGAGCATATTTCTACTAAGTTTTCACTATAAAAGATGAGTATTTAGCACTCTTTCACCTCTACTTCCCACCCCATATAATCAAAATTCTCCCTTATCTGTCTTAATTTCATTTATAATTTTTGTTTAAATCCATATTCAGTGTTTACATTGATATGACTATGAAAAATCCTATTTAAAACTGTAGTTAAGTAGAGATTTCATTTTTTCTTTTACTTTATTTTTTAACCCCTTAAGTTTTCTTTCTTAATGAATGACTATTCATTAATCTACTATCCCCTGTCATAAGTATAAAATTTCTCAAACAAATCAGTTATCATATTAATTAATTAACAACTTCTTCTCCTCCTCTTCCTTGTCCCTTTTTTTTTCCTTGTCCTCCTCCTCTTTCTTGTTTGTCATCTGACATGTTCCAAAAGGAGCTGGGTGCTCCCCGGGCCTCTTCCACAGCTTCCATCCTGCAGAATCCTCAACAATTGCCTTGTGCCACTCTACCATTCTCTCTTACATTGGATTCATTTCTTGAATCCCATGTCTTCCTTTTCTCTGCTTATGCCATCCTTTATGGTGGACCATGTCATTCTATAGATGCTTGAGAAATGAGTGTTTGCAATCTCATGTCCTTGTTTTACCCTAACATTTTATTGGTGTTTTAGCTGATTAAGAATTTTAGGTTAGAAATTACTATTTTTCCCTCAAAAGTTTGAAGACATTTCCCTACTGTCTTCTTACTTCCATTATTGTTGAGAAATCTGATAGATTTTTATTATTGATCCTTCATAACCATTGATCCTTCAAAACCAGCTCTCTTCTACTCCCTTCCCCAGTTTTTAGAATCTTCTCTTTACACTCACTCAGATCCTGTAATTGCACTGTCATGTGCTTTGCTGTGGATCTATTTTCATCTATATTATTGGATACTTGGTGGACCCAGTATTAATTACCTAGGTCTGCTGTAAAAAAGTACCACAAACTGAGTGGCTTAAAGAACAGAAATTTATTGTCTTTGAGCCCTGGAGGCTGTAAGACTGAGATTACATTTGACAGCTGCTTCTGAGAACTGTGAGGGAGAATCTATTCCATGCCTCTCACCTAACTTCTGGAGGTTTACTGGCAATGTTGGGCATTCATTCCTTGGCATGTCGATGCCTCACCCCGTCTCTGCCTGCATCTCCATATGGCCTTCTCACTGTGTGCCTCTAGGGCTGTGTTCAAATTTCTCCTTTTGTAATGACACCACCAGTCATTTTGGACTGGTGAGGATTAGTGACCTCATATTTAGTTGATTATATCTACAAAGATGATAGTACCAAACAAGATTACATTTTGAAGTACTGGGAGTTAGGACTTCATGCACTTTAACACATAACAGCACCTTTGAATTAGAAATTTAATTATTTAATACTGAGAATTTCTTTGAATTGACTCTATGAAAATTTTCCTGTTTTTTGTTTATTCTGTTCTCTCTGGAACACTTGCTATTTTGATCATAGAACTTGTGAAGTGAACTTTTAAGTGTATTAAACTTATTTCTTACTTTTCATCTCTTTCTCTTAAAACATTACCTTTCAATATTTTAATTCAATGTTTTATATTTCCTATCATATACAAACCCACAATACCCCACCCACCATCTAGGTCTATGTGTATATCTAAGGGCTCTACTATATTCTCTTACTATGTTACTTTTTATACCATTGTGCTTTTGTTTTGAGATCATACTATATTGCCTTTTCCATCTAATGGCATTAATGATGTTTGATGTTTTCTTCACCTGCCATTGTTTGTTTACTCACTTCCTTTTTGTTTCTTTGTCTGTTGGGGATCTGTTTTTGTAACTGAGAAGTGGAGCATAACTAGCTGAACTGATGCACTTTGTGTGCATTTAGGGCTTGCCAATTAGTGCACTTTAATCTTGGATGGTTTGGATGGGTGCATTGGGACCATTTTTTCCCACGAACCTCCAAGGACTGTGTATTTATGCTCTGCAGCAAATTCTTCAGATTTCTTATGTCGAAGGCAAAGGTCTAGAGGCCTGAATTCTGGGCATCCAATGAAGAAAGGAAGAGAAGGTTTAATATTTTATTTATTTTCTCAGTTTTAAATCCTTTAGTCCCAGACGGTTAAGGCACTCTAAATCACAGGATGAGATAGGAAGTCAGCACATAATACAGGTCATAAAGACCTTGCTGATAAAACGGGTTGCAGTAAAGAAGCCGGCCAAAACCCACCAAAACCAAAATGACGATGAGAGTGACCTCTTGTTGTCCTCAACTCTACACTCCCACCAGCGCCATGACAGTTTACAGATGTCATGGCAATGTCAGGAAGTTACCCTATGTGGTCTAAAATGCAGAGGCATGAATAATCCATCCCTTGCTTAGCATATAATCAAGAAATAACCATATAAATGGGCAACCAGCAACCCGTGGGGCTGTTCTGTCTATGGAGTAGCCATTCTTCTACTTTCTTAATAAACTTACTTTCACTTGAAAAAAAATAAAATTAAATTCTTCAGTCCTCATCTGTACCTGGTGTTTCCTTTCGGTAATGAGTTTCCAAAAATGGCCCTGTCCCATAATGAACCCACATCTCCTGGTGGTCACATTTTTCTGTGCTCCACTCATCTTAAATCTGTGCTGGCCTTGTGAGCGTCTTCTGACCAATATAATGTGGTAGAAGTGATGGTGCATGACTTCCAACTCTATGTCATAGACTCTCTGTGACTTCCACCTGGATCTCTTGGAATGCTTGCTTTAGAAAAAGCCAGCCTCCCTGGAAGAGTTTCAATTTCTCCGAGACTGCCAAGTTATGATGGGCCAAACCAGCCATATGGAGAGTCAGTGTGAAGAGAGTAGCACCTGGTCAGTCTCTAGCTGTTCCAGCCATCCCAGCTGAGGTTCCAGGCACGGGAGCAAAGAACTCATTTTGGACATCCAAATCATTTAAGTCTTCAGAGATTCCAGGCCAGACAGGAGACATCTGACTGGAACTGTGTTAGAGAGACCCAGTGAGATATGCTCAATTGAGCTCAGTCGGCTCATAGAACCATGAGGTATAATGGTAGATGGTTATACCTATGTTTGGGAGAGTGATTTGTTACATGGCAATAGATTAGATAAACATCTCTGGTCCACAAGATCTTTGTTTCTTTCCTTTCCAAAGAATAAACCTCCAATTTTTTGTTGGGGCAGTCTCCTAGCTTGCAGAGCAAGAATGGGGGCCTAAGGGTCCAACTGCTCCTTAAAATGGCATTTAAACAATCCCCTGCTTTTCAGCCATATTGTTACCTCCGAAGCCATCAGCTTCTGAATGGTTTGGATGTTCTGTAGTTAAATTCTATTGCTGCACGACTGCTACCAATGAAGCTCAGAATTCATCTCAAGTTTTCTGAGCAGTTATTCCAACCCATCTGCTTGCCAGCTTCCAGAATTCTGTTTCAGTTAATTCCTCTGTTGTTAATTTTGTCTTAGTGGTTTTATAGTTTTTAAGGGATTAATTTATTTTGTATCTTTAACCAGACATCTCTAGAAACCATTTTCTTAAAGGAACTTACTCAGAATAGAACATTGTAAACAAAATAAATAGTGATTTCAAATAGATTAAAACTAATTACTTACAAATAGGTAAGTCTGAAGGCCCACTTAATAAAATTTGAGACTTCAGTTCCAACCACCAAAGTTCCCTAAAGAACTAGCCTGGGGCTCCCTCTTTAACTGCATATTACAAAAAACAATACACAGGCAGGCAAAGGATGTTCTTAAAAAACACTCTTGCCAGGGATTCTGTATAAATATTGCTCAGACTTATAAGATTTCAAAAGGATGCAATATGGATCCTCTTTCTCTCAATGCCTCTCTCTTCCCCAGGAACTGTCCTGCTACAGTGCAGTTCTGTAATTCACATATACTTGAAGTCCTTTGCAAAAATAATTTGCCAGATGACAGCTTATTATGGAAGTGTTTTTTTCTGTCATAAGCAACAAAAATAACAATTCCCAACTTCTTTCAAGATGAGTCACGTTTTTTGAGACCATAGCCAAGTATTCTTAAATTTTAAAAATATCTTATTTTGCTTATAGAAAGCAATATGGCTGTCCACAGATGGTTCAAAAGAGCAAGGAAACTTGCGGGGAGTTATGAAGGACAGAATTAGGGAGCAAATGATTTAAGCAACACCAACTTAATAGAATTTCCCTCTGATTTTTATGTCTGAAAATGTAGCTTCAGTTTATGAAAGCCTTTAATATGATTTAATAAAAGACCCTCAGACAAACCTTTTCTTCTAAATGCAGTGTAACGTGGTTATCAAGAGGCCTTAATTTCAAGTTAATTATCATAATATGCTAGTAGGTTTCATAAAACCCTTTAGAATCCCTTGGGAATGAAAGCATTACATTCTGCTGCCCCCTGGCAGACATTTTATTTACTGAATGTTGTGAGCTGCCCTAAGAAATATGAAAACAGGATAGAGGCAGCCCTGTTTTTCTCTACAGAAGATAAAATACTCTTTCAGTGTTTGTTGTTTGATGAACAAATATTAGCACTGGATGAAATTTGTTTGAATTAGAAGGTTGCTGAAGCAGAACAAGCTTGTCTGAGTTCCTGGCCTCAATTTCTCTGTAAGTGGAAACAGTTAACATTAAATGAAATGTTAAAAGCAGATAAATGTTATAAATAAGCAATCAGAGACAAATGCTACAGTCACTCTTCTAGGTGCATTGTCAGGAACTCAACCTATCAATCACAAAGCTAAATACAGTGAAGTTGACATCTATGTACATTCTCAAAGGTCCAGGATAATGAGCACCTTGCAACTACAAGCATCAATTGTGCACACCTGCTAGAGTGGAAGAGGAAAAACATTGAGCTGGTGGAGAGGAGTATAAACATCATCCCTTCCATCACTTTGCTTATGTTAAATTTCTGTTAGAGCATTTACAAAATCATGCTCTGATTCTGAGAACCCTCCACATGAGAATGAAGAAGTCCTGTAGATAATTCACAAAATGAGGGCGAAATAAAATATAAAGTATTGATATTTTGTCTCCACTTGCTGTTTCTAAGAGTAAAAGAAGCAATGAACTACATTAATGGTGACACTATGGAGATTTTTTTAATTGCTTGGGAGTTTTTTAACTGACATGTTTGTGGGGAATATTTGATGAAGAAGTCAAGTGGGAGATAACCTGATTTTGGCTGCATCTCACCCGTGTCAGAATGGTTCTGGAGCTGGAAAAGTGAGGTAGAGTGGAAGTGGATCAGAGAGGGATGCCAGATTTCAACAGCAGCCAGTGACTGTTGTTATCTTCTCTGGCCCACCAGGATTTTAATTGATTTCCAAATAGAATAGAGTAGTTTTGATGCAGGACAGGAGAGCCCCAAAATTGGGACTTACCCCAGGAAAGAATTCAAGGGCAAATCAGTGATGTTCAACAGCAACTTTTATTAAAGCGGCAGTGTACAGCAGCAGCAGAGATATTGTTCTTTGTGAAGCAGGGCTACCCCATAGGCAGTGTACCCATTCTTCACTCATATTTATAACCACTTTAATTACATGTAAATTAAGGGGTTAGTTATTCCAAAAGTTCTAGAGAAGGGGTGGTAACTTCTGGGTCTTTGCCATGGAAAGGGGCAGTAGCTTCCAGGTGTTGCCATGGCAATAGTAAACTGAGATGGCACTGGTGTTATGAGATCTTTGGGGCCAGAAACATCTGTGGCCAGAGGTGCCTTTGGCCGAGTTCTTGTCCCACATCCAGGAAGAATGAGATATGCAGAAAAGTGGAAGGTGAACAAGATAGATAGGAGCTTTATTGAGTGTTACAATAGCTCAGAGGAGACCTGCAGTGGGTATCTCTTCTCTGTAGGCAGATCATAATCCCATCAAGTGTTCAGCTCTCAGCAGAGAGAAGGTCCTTGAGAGGGTAGCTCGTCTCTGCAACTTGTCTTCTCCATGTCTGCAGCTCTCAGCAGAGAGGAGGCCCTGAAGAATGTGGCTGCTCTCTGCCTGCAGGTTATTCTAGAGCCTCTGCAGCTATCAGCAGAGAGGGTAGCCCCTCTCTGAAGCTGGTCCTCCCATCCTCTGCCCTGCTCTGGTTGAACCCAAGGCTTTTATGGGCCTCAGAGCAGGGAAGTGTATGCTCATTGGTCCATGGGAAGCCATGAGCAGGCCCAGGATAAAGCATCATGAGCTCCCCTTCCAGTGTGCAGGACTGCCAGCCCACCTCCTAGGCTTCAGGCCTGCCCTGGCGTGGAGATGGGGTTTCACTGGAGACCTGCCCCCTTCCACACAGGATCCTGTCTGCCTCCTGTGGCCATCCATGGTACCCAGGCTGCTGGCACCAAGGAGCACTTGCAGGCCAGTGCCCAGCCACCCTCAACCTCCCATTAGCTTCCCCTTCCAGAGGGGAGCCCAAAGTCAGGAGGGGCAGAGGCAGCAGGGGGCTGGCATGTCAGTACTGCCCTGAGCATGTGCACACCCAGCTGGGCTGTGACAGTGCCCGGATGTGGTCCCAACCCCCAAGATTGGAGCAGGTTCCAGGAGCTGGGAGAGGCCAGGCAGTGAGAACAGGGATCTTCGAGCCTGTGTGGCAAAGGGGGCCTTCCCAGGCCCCCCAAGAGTACAGGGCTGCCTGGGTGGGCAGCCCTGGTTTGGGTGGCTGCAACTGCACCCTGGGGGGCAGAGCTTCTGTCCGCTCTGTGGGATGGGAGGCCCAGATCCACAGCCACAATTTGGACAGCTGCAGCCCTGCCCAGGAGGGCAGGTCTCCTGCCTACTCCCAATTCCCAAGAGCACAGGGGTGCCCAGGTCTTGGCTATTCGGGCTCTTTTTTGGTTCCATATGAATTTTAAAATAGTTTTTTTCTAATTCTGTGATGAATGTCAATATAATGGGAATAGCACTGAATCTATAAATTACTTTGGGCCGTGTGGCCATTTTCACGACATTGATTCTTCCTATCCATTAGCATGAAATGTTTCTCCATTTGTTTGTGTTCTCTCTGATTTATTTTAGCAGTGGTTTGTAGTTCTGGAAGGGGTCCTTCACTTCCCTCGTTAGGTGTATTACTAAGTATTTTATTATTTCTGTGGCAATTGCGAATGGGAATTCATTCATGATTTGGTTCTCTGCTTGCCTGTTGTTGGTGTATGCAAAAATGTTAGTGATTTTTGCACCTTGATTTTGTATACTTAGACTTTGCTGAAGTTGCTTTTGGGCTAAGACTATGGGGTTTTCTAGATAGAGGATATTGTCATCTGCAAACAAGGATAGTTTGACCTCCTCTCTTCCTATTTGAATACGCTTGATTTCTTTCTCTTGCCTGATTGCCCTGAACGTCCAATACTATGTTGAATAGGAATGGTGAGAGATGGCATCCTTGTCTTGTGCCGGTTTTTAGGGGGAATGCTTCCAGCTTTTGTCCACATGGATGATATTGACTGTTGTTTTCATAGATGGCTCTTATTATTTTGAGATATGTTCCTTCAATACCTAGTTTATTGAGAGTTTTTAACATGAAGGGATATTGAATTTTATCAAAAGCCTTTTCTGCGTGCATTGAGATCATCATGTGTTTTTTGTCTTTAGTTCTGTTTATGTGATGAATTGTATTTATTGATTTGCATATGTTGAACCAATCTTGCATCCCAAGGATGAAGCCAACTTTATTGTGATATATAATCTTTTCAGTGAAGCTGGATTTGGTTTGCCAGTATTTTATTGAGGACTTTTGCACTAATGTTCATCAAGGATATTTGCCTGGAGTTTATTTTTTGTTTTATTTCTGCCAGGTTTTGGTATCAGGATGATGCTGGCCTCATACAATAAGTTGGGGAGGAGTCCCTTTTTTTCAAATTTTTGTAGTAGTTTCAGTAGAACTGGTATCAGCTCTTCTTTTTACCTCTGGTAGGATGTAGCTATAAATCTGTCTGGTCGGGGGCTTTTATTTTATTCTTTTTGGTTAGTAGGCTATTTACTACTGCCTGAATTTCAGAACTCATATTGGTCTATTCAAGGATTCAATTTCTTCCTAGTTCAGTATTTGGAGGGTGTATGTATCCAGGAATTTGTTCAGTTTTTCTAGATTTTCTAGTTCATGTGCATAGAGGTGTTTACAGTATTCTCACATGGTTGTTTGGATTTCTGTGGGGTCAGTGGTGATAGCCCCCTTATCATTTCTGATTTCCTACCTCAATTTTATTTTAGATTTATTTCATTTTGCTCCTTAGTGTACACAAAAAAATAGCTTAGGTCAGGGTTAAGAACATTCCCACTTTCGTCAATGTAAACCAGTGTTTTTCAAGTATATTTTGCAGGCTCCTTGCACTAGAATCACCAGAATGATAATCAGGTCCTCTCCCTAACCTAGTGAATCAGAATCTCTGAGGATCAATCTAGGAATGTGCATACTAACATCCTTAGACAATATTGATAAAGTGTGAATTTTGGTAAGGCAATCTTTGTTATGCTGCATATTTTCAAGTAGTGTCTCTTAGAACTTTATGATAAAGAACATGTATGTGATACCATATTGCAGAGAGTGGCAAATTTCCTAGATTCCTCACATGCTTCCTTGGACAAATACCAGATATAAATCCCATGTGAGTATACTCAATTTAAGATTTGGTTCCATTAATAAAAGTAATTGGAAATGTAGAATTATGCCTTAATGTAATGAAAGCCTTCTGAGAGATTCAGCCTGAACTTTTATTCCAGGGTCAGGATTTCTCTGCCCTTAGCAATCTTTTTGTTTAGGAAGTTCTATGGAACTCTCTCAGAGTAATGAAAATAGGCTAGAGAAATTAGCACCAAAACCCTGAAATAGTTTTATTTGTGCAGTTAACCCTGAGTTAAAGGATTTCTGCTTTCTTTCCCTATGCAAGCATAGACACACATACTCAAATATGTTTCTAATGTATATGTCAATGCTGGTTTGTTTATCCTAGATTATGTGTTGCATTTTGTTATTTAGAGTTTTTTATTTGTTTTTTTGAGTTATTTTGTATTATGTGTTATATTTTCTCTCTGTTTCATAATGTGTGTCATTACGTTAAGTGAAATAATCCAGGCACGGAAAGACAAATATTGCATACAATCACTCATATGTAGGAGCTAAAAAAGTTTGATCTCATGGAGGTAGAGAGTAGGAAAGTACTACTCTCTAGTGAGAAGGGGCATGAAGAGAGGTTGGTTAATGGTGCAAACACACAGTTATACAGAAGGAATGAATTCTAATACTTGATAGCACCATAGGGTAAATATAGTTAAGGAGAATTTATTGCATATTTCAAAATAACTGGAAGGTAATATTTGAAATGTTCTCAACATAAAGAAATGATAAATATTTGAGGTAAGGGATATTCTAAATATCCTGATTTGATCATTACACATCATAAGAATGTATCAAAATATCATATGTACCACATATGTATACATTATTATGTATTAATGAGAGAAAGATTTTTGCATAAGGATGTTTTAATTTTTCAATATTATACATAAGATATGGTGGTAATTTAAAATATGTCCACAAATATTTTAGCTCCTCCCTCCATAAGGTGAAGCCAAATTCACCTCTCCTTGATTGAGGTCTGTGCTTAGTTGCCTTTTTCTTGTAAGCAGAATACTGTGGAAATGATGTTGCATGACTAGACTGTAAAATGCGTCACTGTTTAATCCTTGCAATCTCACTCTTGGTTTATTTGTTCTGGGGGAAGACATTCAAGAAGCCCTGTGTAGAGGCTCAATTAAGAATGAACTGAGCTGAGTTCTGCCAATAGCCATATGAGTATACCATCTTGAAAGGGAATCCTCCAGATCAACAGGTCCTCCAGCATACTGGATGCTACTTGAAAAGGCAGTGGTGAATAGGAATGTTGTATGGAGTGTTTTCCAGGGTCCTATAGGCAAATGACAGAGCAGATTATTGCAATTTTGGAGGAAAGCTTTGCCATCCTCTATGAATTACAACCTTCCAATTGAGAAACATTTTTGGTTTGCTTCAGGGCTTTAGTGGAGACTGAACATTTGACCACAGGCTACCAAGTTACCATGCAATCTGTGCTGCCATCATAAACTGGTATTATTTGACCCATTAAGCCATAAATTTTAGCATGCACAACAGAAATCCATTATCAAATGAAAGGGGAAACATACTAGATTAGGCTCAGATGGGTCCCAAAGGCACAATTAAGTTGCATGAGGAAGATTCAGATGCCCATGGTCTCTTCTCCTATTACATTGTCTTATTTCTTTCAAACTTCTTAACCTATAATCTCACCCTATGATGAACTGATTACAGAAGAAAGAAACAGGGCCTAGTTTAACAAATGGTTCTGCAAAATATACAGGCACATCCCAAAGGTGAATGGCTGTAGCACTGTAGCTCCACTCCAGGATGGCCCTGAAAAGCAGTGATAAAGGGAAGCCATCCAGTGGACAGAAATTCGAGCTGTTTATTTTTCCTAAAGGAAGAGATGGCTGGAGTTATGGTTCTATACCTATTTCTGGACTGCAGCTAAAGTGTTGGCTGGATAGTCTGGAACTTGGAAAGAACATAATTGGAAAATTGGTTACAGAGAAGTCTAGGGGAGACGTATGTGACTAGTCCTCCGTGAATGGGCCCTTGGTGTAAAGATGTTTGTGTCCCTTGTGAATGCTCACCCAAGAATGATCTCAGCAGAAGGAGATTTTAATAATCAGGTAGAAAAATGACTTATTTTGTATATGTCAGTGAGCCTCCATCCTCAGCCATTGCTGTTGCTGCCCATTGAGTTTAGGAAAAAAGAGTCCACGGTGGCAAGAAGGGAGGGTAAACATGGGCTCAGCAACACAACTTTTAAATCACTAAGGCCAGTCTGGCTATAGCTATGGCTTAGTACCCAAACTGCTCCCAAGTTGCTTTCCTTGTCGGCAGTATTTCTGCCAAAACTACCATCTATGGATTTACAGAATGTCTTATCCATCACTATGACATTAACACAGCATTGCTGATAACCAAGGAAATCACTTTGCGGCAAATGAATTGGAGCAATAAGCCTATGCTCATGGAATTCACTGACGTATCATGTGATACCATTGTCCTGAAAGAGCTGACTTGTTAGGATGCTGGAATGGGCTTTTAAGAATTTGATTATGGCACCAGCTCAGGTACAACAACTTGGAGTTGGCAGTGTCTTCCAGGATATGGCGTATGTGCTAAATCAGAATCTAGTATTTGGTGCTCTTTCTCCAATAACCAGGATTCATAGGTCCAGAAATCATGGGATAGAAATTAAAGTGGCTCTTTTCAACATTAATCCTGTAAGTCCACTAGCAAAATGTTTGCTTCCTATTCCCATAACTTTAGGCTCTGCTTGTTAGCATTTAATTACAACAGGAGGAAGTCTTCTACTAGGGGATATAATGCCATTGAATTGGAAGCTGAGATGGCCACCTGATTAAGTTGTGTGTCTCATGCCATTGACTCATGAAACAAACAAGGACAAGACTGTACTGGGTGGGTTATATTTTCCTATCAATAGGAAATTGGTTGCTACTATACAGTTAGGATAAGGAGTGGTATGTCTGGAATACAGAAATGATGCCTGTGTGTTTTTCTTTCTTTTTTTTTTCTTGTTTTGTTTTGGTTTATCATGTATTACATGTAAAATTTGCTGTGTGGAACTTATATTCATTTATTTTGCAATTATTGAATAAATAATGTAATGAATGGAATTTGGAGTCAGAAGTTACTCAGCACAGAGGAATGAGTCACAATTTATTCTCCTAAAATTTCAATTCCTAATTCTCCTTTATAACTAGCAATATATTTCCAGAGTAATAAGGTGAAATGGTCCAGAGCAGTTTCTCTTTACCATGGTTGTTTTAATTCCATACACATTCTTCTACATTTTTTATCCTTTTTTTCTGCCCTCAATGCTCCTTTTCTTTATCTCTACCTTAGCAGTGTGGTTGCTGAACAAATTGCTTCAGGCTTTTAAAGGGAATAGACAAGACTGCTTTTTGTCATTATTAACTTTTGGGATTTATGAGGAGGCTGCTCACAAAGTGTGGGCAGAAATCATCCACTACCTATATGTTGCTGGCACTGGCAATATGTAAAATCTATGGAATAATTCTGCACAACCACACTTGCATAATTATTAAGAACACTTTATTTGAAGGTCTGAGGTTTTGTCTTATGTCCCTGGACACTTTTCTTACCAGTTATTTAACCTCCAAAGTAGTTACCACCATCTACCTTTCATTATCTTAAAAATATTTTAAGATATTGCAAAAGTAGGAAGAATTAAATGCATATGATGAAGATGAGTTGGAAAATGTGAATTCAATTCAATTTTTAGAAAATTTGTATCGACTTGGATTAGGTAGTAATTGGGTTATAAGGAAATAAGGCTATTCATTTATTTTGTGGATGAGAAAGAGATATTTTATTGACTTCATTCTTAAGTTATGAGTGGTATTCTGCTATTTATGCCTAATCTTATCTCTTAAAGGAAATCTAGCCTAAGTTCTATAGGTACAAAAACTTCAATGCCCATTTTAAAGATGAGAGACTACTGAACTTCAGAGAGCTAAATGGCAACCCGATCATTTGCGTAAGTGATAGGATGGACCTAGAATCCAGGTTTCTTCCATTCACATCCATTTATTTGATTCCTAGTCACATTAATACCCATGGCAGTGGGAGGGGGCGGAATTATTTTCTTTAATACCTTAGTTTGATTGTTTCTCAGGTTCTCACAACTTGAGTGATTACTGGCACATCTGCCATTTCAGAAGGTGAACAGAGTGACTGTGGGCATAAGAGTAGTGAGAGATGGTGGGGAGTCTTGCTGAGAAATAGATGGAGCCTGAAGAGGTGAGGGGCTGGGGTTGTCCACTCCAATGCATAGTTAGTTCCAGAAACACATTCCTTTTATTTTGAAAAAAAAAAAAAAAAAAAAACTAAAGTAGCGGTCACTAAGCTAGTTTCTAAAATATGTAAGTGATTCTCAGTTCCTTGGTTGTACCTGAATTTACTCCTTGTGTGATTTTGACATGAGAGGTGGGTGTCTTTTGAATCTACAAAAACGCCTCCCAGTTCCAAAGAAAGCAAGCATTCAAGTAGGTGATTTTCAAGTGATGGAGTAAGTTCTACCCACAGAGATCAGTGATATAGGAAAAGATGTGAGACTAGCAGAGATTGTCTATGAAATTTAATAACATTCTACACTTGATTTAAACAGAAATTACTGATTATTTTACTTTACAAGTAATTTTGCAATATAACACGTAACCAAATCATATTTTTGTAACATAATTGATTGAATAGAGAAACAAAACTTAAATAGCAACCTCATCATTTAGACCCCTTTGAAAACGGTTGTAATGGTATATATAGAGGCATTGTAGCATCGCAGCTCAAGAACTCAATCTCAAGAGTTAAATGGACAATGGTTTAAATGTAGGCTCCAGTGTTCACCACCTGTGTGGCTGTGGGTAAGTTATTTACCTTTCTAAGCTTCATTTTCCTCATCTGTAAAATGGCAATAATAATTGCAACTGCCTCTTAAGGTTGATGTGACAATAACGTTATGTTCACTTTTGTGGCTAATGGAACATTCTACTGGCAAGTGTTAGAATACATTTATTCTCTTTGTGATCACAAAACCAAGATCAGATACCATAAATATGTATATCACAGAGGGTGGGAATGGAATAGCAGGACAGGGGCATTCCAACAAGAGGGGATTGAGAGAGATGGTGAGGAAATGATTAATATAATGTGCCTAGAGGAATAGGTTGAATCAAGTGAAGCCCTGAACAGGGGGAAGACAGGAGAAATTGGAGAAGTGCAGAGACCAGATCAAATGGTCTACACTAGGGGTAGACTGAAGTTATTGCAGGTATGAGCTGGAAGGACAGGAGATTATGCTTAGCAGGTTAGTGTTGGTGAATACACTTTCTGAGGTGCGACAGTTGTGGGTAATGACAAAGCTCCAATTGTGTTCATGCTGAAGAGAAGGAAATAAGGAGATGACTGGAATTAATTGTGAAGGTCAAAGAACCATGAAGCCAGGGTAAAAAATGGGTGATTTACACATTCATAGAAGTCCCCAGAATGATGGTAGAAGTTGGCTTGGAAAATGAACAGCAGGTGGGAAAATGATGTGGGGGTCAGGAAAGGCAGAACTCCAAGGAGGATGAGTTATTTCAGGAATTTCATACAGCATTTAGGAGCCAGATGGTGAGTCACACCTCCTGGCCGGAGGCATCTGGGCTTTCTGAGAAACAGTCCAAACTTGAAAGAACTTGGAGGAAGGGCAGGATTTGGAGAGGAAAACTAAGTTGAAGATAGGACTAGAATCTGGGGAGCATGGAGGGTTAAGATTCTTATTGCACTGCACATTAGAATCACCTCCTGGGGCTTTAAAAAGTCACCCATGTCTGAGTGCTTCCTAAAACCAACGGTGTCTAATCTCTCAGCTGAGGCCCTGTCAACCATATATTGTAAAAGTTCAGAATAATGGGAAGGTTAGGTAAAATGTTGCTTAGGTCAAAAATGAGTGAGGTGGAAGGAAAAATCAAACATTAGGGAATGAGTCTAGAAAGATGGAGATGACAAAGGGACTGGCATTTGAGGCTGTGATGGGGACAAGAGGCATGGGATTAACTGCTCTCTTGAGGTAGGATGGGGCTTTGAGCTGCTCACGCATTTTAGTGGTCTCTACATAGCTTCCTGGAAGAGTTTCATTACTCCCACAGTGGATATTGTGTGGACAGCAAGAGAAGAAGGCAGCTAATGCTGTGAGGAAATGCTTGGGATAAAAGGTCAGAAGTATATACTGACCTTTATTTCCTTCCTGCTTCTTTCTTTCTCTCTCCCAAATTCCGCCTCTAAAGCCCTTGAAATCAATGGAACTTGTTTCTCTCTTTCTTTATCTCTCCCACATTCTCACTCGAAAGCCCTGAAGTCAATGGAACTTTGTTGCCTCGTGAAATATAAGTAATTTATTCAGTCATGGTCATCACTGATGGTGGACGCTGCATCTGCTTACACTATTACCTTTTGCTCTGCACTCAGCCACAAAGCCCAGTCCCTTCACCAGTTTTCTCAGAATCTCTTCTCACAAAGCACTAAGCAAGGTTCAAAAGCACCTGCATTTAGGTTTAAGGGTGATCTGGATGGTGAATGGAGTCCCAGAGGAAGATGATGCAAGATATCTCTACATACAGAGCCAGGGACATGCCCCAAACTTGGAGATAAAGCCAGGCAGTTCTCTGGTTACCTAATGACCTCAATTCTGAGTCCCAGATATCCCATACTCTTTCTCTTGGCAGTGGCCATCAACTTTTTTGTAAATTTATATAGTTGTATAGGTTGCTGTATCACTCACTTCCCTTAAAAATCCACCTTGGCTATACAATTCTTATGCCCTGCATAACCATAAAAGTATATCTAAACCATTTATCTTCACAAATAGAATGTATATACTGTGTGTACATATAGATACATGCACACTATATATATATGTATTTTTATTTTAACCCCTCCCCCACCCCCAAGAGCAATTCTATTCTGATAAGGCCTAGTAGTTACGAGGTTAAAGTACTCACATGGCTCCATCTTTTTGGATTATAACCAGGGTCCCACACTGGCAGCAAGATGGAAAACATGGTGTCTGATCAGGCCCCATGGATTGGATCTTGTTTACTGGGGATTCATCCTCAGGGGCTTGAGGCACTCTTTCAGTAAAACCAGTCTCCTAAATCAAAAATGTGGATTCAAATTTCATCCTAAAGTGGTGTTGCCTCCCTATAACCTTCTGAATATATTTCACTGACGGAAAAAAATGGGGGATCCTTGGATCTCTTTAATGTTTGTGTTTCCCAAGTAAAATGTGCCCATAGTAGTTTGTTTCAACTAAAACTAAAGTTTCTGAACTATATCGAACAGCTCTGTGTTATGGTTTTTAGTGCATTCTTTGGTTAGAACACATGCATGGAGGACTCCACTCTCATGACCTCATTATTTCTCAAAGGCCTCATCTCCATCGTGTTGAGGGTCATGATATCAACATGTGAATTTTGAGAGCATACAAATATTCAGTCCATTGCATGGAGGAAAAGCATTCTTGGCACAAGGACCAACAGATACAAAGGCCCTGAGTTGGGAGGATTTCTCACATGTGTAAGGAACAGTAAAGAAGCCAATGTGTCTATAGTGACATGAAAAATGGGGCCATATCAGGAGATGAAGTCAGAGTTGTGGGTAGATGGGGTTGGGGGTGGGCATAGTGGATATGAGGGGAATCAGACTGTAAGGGACCTTGTAGACCATTGTCAGGTGCTCTGAGGAAGAATGGATTGCACCAAGCAGAGAAGTAACACCATTGGATTGAGAGTTACCAGGTTGCCTTGTTGACAATAGCCTGGAGGGGAGTCAGGGCAGAGAAGAGCAATCAGGTAAGAGGCTATTGCAATAATCCAGGGGAGAGATTTTGGTGTATTAGACTGGTGGTGGCAGTCAGGGTGGCTAAGCGTTGATCAGGTTAAAGAGATATTTTGAATATAGAGTTGAGAGATGTGTCAGATATGGGGTATGAGACATTGAAAGGAATCTAAGGGTTTATTTACAAATGAAGGAGTAGAATTGTCTGGAACTGAAAGAAGAAAACTGAAGGACGAGTAAGTTTGTTGGGGAAGATGAGGAGCTCAGTTTTAAATACATGTTGAGTTTGAAATGTATTAAACATCCAAGTGGATATTTTGACAAGGCAATTGGATACATGAATATGGGGTTTAAGGAAGGGATTTTGACTGAAGTTAAAAATTTAGAAGTTTTCAGCATATGTTTTATTTAAAACCATGAGACTGGAATAAATATAGATTTAAAAGGGATGGTTGACAATTCAGTAGGTAAATCCATCCCCTTAAGAGTAAACTACATCCCCATCCAGAGGCAAGAGGCCTTGCTCTAGAGCCCTCAAAACCCCTCAGAATAAACTAATCTAACTTCAGAATTTTTTCCGCAGTCCTGCAGTTCTGTAGGAATGGTGGGTTACCAACAGATTTGTCAGCATGAAGCTGCATCAAGCTGAGATCCATCCATTCTCAGACACTTCCAGCTCCTCCTCCAGTATAAGACCAGGAATATACCTGCATGTCCACATAGAGTCCCCAGTGTCTCTACTTACAGTTTTTGTAATGCTAACTGTTTCAATAAAAATATCTAAGCACAAGTACAAATCACTAAATTCATATGGAGAAAAAGAACATTTTTCCACCAAAGCATCAATATCTGTGGAGACATAATTTATATGACTATCCAGAATAGTTATTGTCTCTGACTGAAACAACTGCATTTAAGTTACACTGCGTTTAAGATATTTTTCAGGAAAAAGGTGTTGCAATTGATTTATTTGTGCAAAACAAAAAGGCCCATGGTGGTGGTTTTATAATATAATAAGACAGTTTTTCTCATGGATATATTTAAGATATTCTTAGAGGGCTGAAGTTTGTAAGTTGTCAAGACTAGACTGTTTCTACTTTTAAGAGTCCTAGTATATCAACTTATACATCTGTGAATAAGTACACATATACAAACACACACAAATATTTCTAAGAAGTAGATTGAGGTGCATCTTTAGAATTAAGAGTTTTTAAGCTGCACCTATGGCTAGTGATAAAGAAATAATATTTAGAATTTATATAATATATTCCTTCTTTTATACCATATCTATATTAAAACTTTCTCAGATAAAACTAGTAGGAAAGCCTTCAAATTTTTAAAAAATTGCATATTTATAAAATAATTTAATTTGAAAATAAAATGATTAGGACTGGATAATAGCTGCACAAACTTGATAAGTGGTAAAAATTCTCAGGATACTTATAAAGCAAATTATACAGACAGAGCATGTAGGAAATCTGAAATAAGAGCACCACAGAAAGAAGTCCATTGGTCACTTCAGAAAGCATATTAAATATGAGTCAGCTCAGCGATTCTGTTATTAAAGAAGTAATTATGGCATTGGCATGCTAAATGAGAATTCAGAGTGTGGGAAGTGCTTGGCAACTTTCCCATTAGGTACTCAAAACTGTCAAAACCTCTACATGCTCAATTCTGAATTTGTAATTTAATGAGGCAATGTACACAAGGAATATTCATAGGATGCCAATCTAAGACAATGTAGACAATGAAGAAGTTAACAAATTGATATTATTTATTTGAGGGAAACATGACATAAGACGTATGATATAGTCATCAATTTGCTGGAAAATAAAGTCACCTATTAAAGAGAAACTGTATTATAGTGGGAAGGAACAAGGGATTTAAAGCCAAACAAGCACAGGGTAAAATCCTTGCTCAACTAATAACTTGTCTGCGGGAAAGTAACTAAACATCATCTACTCTCCTCGTCTACAAATGAGGATAACCCTTCATGAGTTATAAGAATTCAGTTAAGTGAGATAATGTAAGTAAAACCCTAGAAAAACGTCTGGTAGAGAACAATAATAGAAATCACAATAACAAACGGATAAGGTTTGTTAGTGGTATTGACATTCATTCTGGCTGTACTGGATAGTGGTTGAGAACATGATTTCTGAAGCTATATTGCCTGGGTTCAAAATCTAGCTATATGACATCCTAGTTGTAGGACCATGGACTAGTTATTTAAATTACCTCACTTCTGTCATCTGTTAAACCAGGATTATCCTTATAAATATTGTGAGGATTACATAAGTTAATATGTAAAATGTTTAGAATAGTGCCAGGGACTATTCTTTTATTCTTCTTCCTTTTGTTCTTCCCTTCTGTTTCTGTCTCCTCTTTCTTCTTCTCATAATTTTTATGATTCAATGGCAATATTTTTTATATTTCTGATAGGCTGCAAATATAGGTATTGAATCACTGCAAAACATGCAACATAGCCGATCTCATTTGTCTGCCCAGTCCTGTTGTCTCTCCTTTCATTCAATGTGGTAATCCCAAGAGCACATCCTAAAAAATCTTCTGCATGCTAATTTCTATCTAGATTCTACTTTCTCAGGAACATAGCTCATGACAGTCACCACTACCCTCTTCCCACAAATAGTGACATCTTCATGACTATAATAAAAACTAAAACATGAATATTTATGATGTACTGTATGCTTTGCTAAATGTTTTATGTGTATTATCTAATATAACATTCAACTGAAAAGTACCATTATGATGTCCATTTTATATATGTGGCAATTGTGGCACAGAGAGGTTAAGGACTTTTCCTTGTTCACCCAGCTACAAAATGGTGGGGGTGGAATTTAAAACCATGTGGTTCAGCTTCAAAGACTGCACACTTTATCATAATATTCTACTGCCATTTAGTAAGTGTTCAATAAATATTTACAGAAGATTTTAAGGTGCTTTTGGTATTTTCATTTAATTGTTTTCAGAATCCTCTCATCCTGATAGAATTTTTTACTGTATGAGTCCATTGTTGTTGATAATATATATAAACAATCAAGTGAATAGGTACTAAAAATGAGGAAGACAAGCAGATCAAGACATTCCTCTGAGGGAAAAACTTTTGTTCAGAAAATAAATGTATTAAGGAATGTTGAATACATAATTTCATAAAAATGCATCCAATGTCATAAGCATTTGAGGAGATGTCATTAAAACGACACTAAGACACCATCATATTGACACAATTGCAAATGCCAATGTTAGCAAAACTGGGAAACTAAACACCGGTCATACACTGCTGATTAAAATTTTCATAAGTACTTTGGAAGAAATTAGATATTTTCAAGTAAATTTGAAAATGTACATATCTTATAACTTTGCAGTTGAACTAAAATACCTACAGAAATTCTTGTGTATGTGCATTAATAAGGAAATATATGGACACTCTAGCAACATTTTTTCTGAAGGTAAATGTTTTTGAAAAGTTCAAATATCTACCATTAATGGAATGGTTTGCTATATTGTGGTGCTGTATTTATATGATGGAATGTTCATACAGCACTTAAAATAATTTAATGTAGTATATTTTTCAACATGGATAGATGTTGAAAATGCAATGTTGAAAGAAAAAATGAAGTTTCAAAGTGTTAAATACAATATAATGCCATTTGCATAAGTTAAAAAATAATTAATATGTGCATATGGTTAATGGATACACGTGTGTGGTAGAAAATAAACATTTAAACTACAGAGAAAATCTATGATAGTGTTTTTTTTTAACTTAGTAATATTTTTCTTTTTCTTTTTTTTTTCTTTTTTTTTATTACTATACTTTTAAGTTTTAGGGTACATGTGCACATTGTGCAGGTTAGTTACATATGTATACATGTGCCATGCTGGTGCGCTGCACCCACTAACTCGTCATCTAGCATTAGGTATATCTCCCAATGCTATCCCTCCCCCCTCCCCCCACCCCACAACAGTCCCCAGAGTGTGATATTCCCCTTCCTGTGTACATGTGATCTCATTGTTCAATTCCCACCTGCGAGTGAGAATATGCGGTGTTTGGTTTTTTGTTCTTGTGATAGTTTACGGAGAATGATGATTTCCAATTTCATCCATGTCCCTACAAAGGACATGAACTCATAATTTTTTATGGCTGCATAGTATTCCATGGTGTATATGTGCCACATTTTCTTAATCCAGTCTATCATTGTTGGACATTTGGGTTGGTTCCAAGTCTTTGCTATTGTGAATAATGCCACAATAAACATACGTGTGCATGTGTCTTTGTAGCAGCATGATTTATAGTCCTTTGGGTATATACCCAGTAATGGGATGGCTGGGTCAAATGGTATTTCTAGTTCTAGATCCCTGAGGAATCGCCACACTGACTTCCACAATGGTTGAACTAGTTTACAGTCCCACCAACGGTGTAAAAGTGTTCCTATTGCTCCACATCTTCTCCAGCACCTGTTGTTTCCTGACTTTTTAATGATTGCCATTCTAACTGGTGTGAGATGGTATCTCATTGTGGTTTTGATTTGCATTTCTCTGATGGCCAGTGATGATGAGCATTTTTTCATGTGTTTTTTGGCTGCATAAATGTCTTCTTTTGAGAAGTGTCTGTTCATGTCCTTTGCCCACTTTTTGATGGGGTTGTTTGTTTTTTTTCTTGTAAATTTGTTTGAGTTCATTGTAGATTCTGGATATTAGCCCTTTGTCAGATGAGTAGGTTGTGAAAATTTTCTCCCATTTTGTAGGTTGCCTGTTCACTCTGATGGTAGTTTCTTTTGCTGTGCAGAAGCTCTTTAGTTTAATTAGATCCCATTTGTCAATTTTGTCTTTTGTTGCCATTGCTTTTGGTGTTTTGGACATGAAGTCCTTGCCCATGCCTATGTCCTGAATGGTAATGCCTAGGTTTTCTTCTAGGGTTTTTATGGTTTTAGGTCTAACATTTAAGTCTTTAATCCATCTTGAATTGATTTTTGTATAAGGTATAAGGAAGGGATCCAGTTTCAGCTTTCTCCATATGGCTAGCCAGTTTTCCCAGCACCATTTATTAAATAGGGACTCCTTTCCCCATTGCTTGTTTTTCTCAGGTTTGTGAAAGATCAGATAGTTGTAGATATGCGGTGTTACTTCTGAGGGCTGTGTTCTGTTCCATTGATCTATATCTCTGTTTTGGTACCAGTACCATGCTGTTTTGGTTACTGTAGCCTTGTAGTATAGTTTGAAGTCAGGTAGTGTGACGCCTCCAGCTTTGTTCTTTTGGCTTAGGATTGACTTGGCGATGCGGGCTCTTTTTTGGTTCCATATGAACTTTAAAGTAGTTTTTTCCAGTTCTGTGAAGAAAGGCATTGGTAGCTTGATGGGGATGGCATTGAATCTGTAAATTACTTTGGGCAGTATGGCCATTTTCACGATATTGATTCTTCCTACCCATGAGCATGGAATGTTCTTCCATTTGTTTGTATCCTCTTTTATTTCATTGAGCAGTGGTTTGTAGTTCTCCTTGAAGAGGTCCTTCACATCCCTTGTAAGTTGGATTTCTAAGTATTTTATTCTCTTTGAAGCAATTGTGAATGGGAGTTCACTCATGATTTGGCTCTCTGTTTGTCTATTGTTGGTGTATAAGAATGCTTGTGATTTTTGTACATTGATTTTGTATCCTGAGACTTTGCTGAAGTTGCTTATCAGCTTAAGGAGATTTTGGGCTGAGACAATGGGGTTTTCTAGATTTACAGTCATGTCATCTGCAAACAGGGACAATTTGACTTCCTCTTTTCCTAATTGAATACCCTTTATTTCCTTCTCCTGCCTAATTGCCCTGGCCAGAACTTCCAACACTATGTTGAATAGGAGTGGTGAGAAAGGGCATCCCTGTCTTGTGCCAGTTTTCAAAGGGAATGCTTCCAGTTTTTGCCCATTCAGTATGATATTGGCTGTGGGTTTGTCATACATAGCTCTTATTATTTTGAAATACGTCCCATCAATACCTAATTTATTGAGAGTTTTTAGCATGAATGATTGTTGAATTTTGTCAAAGGCCTTTTCTGCATCTATTGAGATAATCATGTGGTTTTTGTCTTTGGCTCTGTTTATATGCTGGATTACATTTATTGATTTGCGTATATTGAACCAGCCTTGCATCCCAGGGATGAGGCCCAGTTGATCATGGTGGATAAGCTTTTGGATGTGCTGCTGGATTCGTTTTGCCAGTATTTTATTGAGGATTTTTGCATCAATGTTCATCAAGGATATTGGTCTAAAATTCTCTTTTTTTGTTGTGTCTCTGCCTGGCTTTGGTATCAGAATGATGCTGGCCTCATAAAATGAGTTAGGGAGGAGTCCCTCTTTCTCTATTGATTGGAATAGTTTCCGAAGGAATGGTACCAGTTCCTCCTTGTACCTCTGGTAGAATTCGGCTGTGAATCCATCTGGTCCTGGACTCTTTTTGGTTGGTAAGCTATTGATTATTGCCACAATTTCAGCTCCTGTTATTGGTCTATTCAGAGATTCAACTTCTTCCTGGTTTAGTCTTGGGAAAGTGTATGTGTCGAGGAATTTATCCATTTCTTCTAGATTTTCTAGTTTATTTGCGTAGAGGTGTTTGTAGTATTCTCTGATGGTAGTTTGTATTTCTGTGGGATCGGTGGTGATATCCCCTTTATCATTTTTTATTGCATCTATTTGATTCTTCTCTCTTTTTGTCTTTATTAGTCTTGCTAGCGGTCTATCAATTTTGTTGATCCTTTCAAAAAACCAGCTCCTGGATTCATTAATTTTTTGAAGGGTTTTTTGTGTCTCTATTTCCTTCAGTTCTGCTCTGATTTTAGTTATTTCTTGCCTTCTGCTAGCTTTTGAATGTGTTTGCTCTTGCTTTTCTAGTTCTTTTAATTGTGATGTTAGGGTGTCAATTTTGGATCTTTCCTGCTTTCTCTTGTGGGCATTTAGTGCTATAAATTTCCCTCTACACACTGCTTTGAATGTGTCCCAGAGATTCTGGCATGTTGTGTCTTTGTTCTCGTTGGTTTCAAAGAACATCTTTATTTCTGCCTTCATTTTGTTATGTACCCAGTAGTCATTCAGGAGCAGGTTGTTCAGTTTCCAGGTAGTTGAGCGGTTTTGAGTGAGATTCTTAATCCTGAATTCTAGTTTGATTCCACTGTGGTCTGAGAGATAGTTTGTTATTATCTCTGTTCTTTTACATTTGCTGAGGAGAGCTTTACTTCCAAGTATGTGGTCAATTTTGGAATAGGTGTGGTGTGGTGCTGAAAAAAATGTATATTCTATTGATTTGGGGTGGAGAGTTCTGTAGATGTCTATTAGGTCCACTTGGTGCAGAGCTGAGTTCAATTCCTGGGTATCCTTGTTGACTTTCTGTCTCGTTGATCTGTCTAATGTTGACAGTGGGGTGTTAAAGTCTCCCATTATTAATGTGTGGGAGTCTAAGTCTCTTTGTAGGTCACTCAGGACTTGCTTTATGAATCTTGGTGCTCCTGTATTGGGTGCATATATATTTAGGATAGTTAGCTCTTTTTGTTGAATTGATCCCTTTACCATTATGTAATGGCCTTCCTTGTCTCTTTTGATCTTTGTTGGTTTAAAGTCTGTTTTATCCGAGACTAGGATTGCAACCCCTGCCTTTTTTTGTTTTCCATTTGCTTGGTAGATCTTCCTCCATCCTTTTATTTTGAGCCTATATGTGTCTCTGCACGTGAGATGGGTTTCCTGAATACAGCACACTGATGGGTCTTGACTCTTTATCCAATTTGTCAGTCTGTGTCTTTTAATTGGAGAATTTAGTCCATTTACATTTAAAGTTAATATTGCTATGTGTGAATTTGATCCTGTCATTATGATGTTAGCTGGTTATTTTGCTCGTTAGTTGATGCAGTTTCTTCCTAGTTTCGATGGTCTTTACATTTTGGCATGATTTTGCAGTGGCTGGTACCGGTTGTTCCTTTCCATATTTAGCGCTTCCTTCAGGAGCTCTTTTAGGGCAGGCTGGGTGGTGACAAAATCTGTCAGCATTTGCTTGTCTGTAAAGTATTTTATTTCTCCTTTGCTTATGAAGCTTAGTTTGGCTGGATATGAAATTCTGGGTTGAAAATTCTTTTCTTTAAGAATGTTGAATATTGGCCCCCACTCTCTTCTGGCTTGTAGGGTTTCTGCCAAGAGATCCGCTGTTAGTCTGATGGGCTTCCCTTTGAGGGTAACCCGACCTTTCTCTCTGGCTGCCCTTAACATTTTTTCCTTCATTTCAACTTTGGTGAATCTGACAATTATGTGTCTTGGAGTTGCTCTTCTCGAGGAGTATCTTTGTGGCATTCTCTGTATTTCCTGAATCTGAACGTTGGCCTGCCTTGCTAGATTGGGGAAGTTCTCCTGGATAATATACTGCAGCGTATTTTCCAACTTGGTTCCATTCTCCCCATCACTTTCAGGTACACCAATCAGACGTAGATTTGGTCTTTTCACATAGTCCCATATTTCTTGGAGGCTTTGCTCATTTCTTTTTATTCTTTTTTCTCTCAACTTCCCTTCTCGCTTCATTTCATTCATTTCATCTTCCATTGCTGATACCCTTTCTTCCATTTGATCGCATCGGCTCCTGAGGCTTCTGCTTTCTTCACGTAGTTCTCGAGCCTTGGTTTTCAGCTCCATCAGCTCCTTTAAGCACTTCTCTGTATTGGTTATTCTAGTTATACATTCTTCTAAATTTTTTTCAAAGTTTTCAACTTCTTTGCCTTTGGTTTGAATGTCCTCCCGTAGCTCAGAGTAATTTGATCGTCTGAAGCCTTCTTCTCTCAGCTCGTCAAAGTCATTCTCCATCCAGCTTTGTTCCGTTGCTGGTGAGGAACTGCGTTCCTTTGGAGGAGGAGAGGTGCTCTGCTTTTTAGAGTTTCCCGTTTTTCTGTTCTGTTTTTTCCCCATCTTTGTGGTTTTATCTACTTTTGGTCTTTGATGATGGTGATGTACAGATGGGTTTTTGGTGTGGATGTCCTTTCTGTTTGTTAGTTTTCCTTCTAACAGACAGGACCCTCAGCTGCAGGTCTGTTGGAATACCCTGCTGGTGTGAGGTGTCAGTGTGCCCCTGCTGGGGGTGCCTCCCAGTTAGGCTGCTCGGGGCTCAGGGGTCAGGGACCCATTTGAGGAGACAGTCTGCCCGTTCTCAGATCTCCAGCTGCTTGCTGGGAGAACCACTGCTCTCTTCAAAGCTGTCAGACAGGGACATTTAAGTCTGCAAAAGTTACTGCTGTCTTTTTGTTTGTCTGTGCCCTGCCCCCAGAGGTGGAGCCTATAGAGGCAGGCAGGCCTCCTTGAGCTGTGGTGGGCTCCACCCAGTTCTAGCTTCCCGGCTGCTTTGTTTACCTAATCAAGCCTGGGCAGTGGCGGGCGCTCCTCCCTGCCGCCTTGCAGTTTGATCTCAGACTGCTGTGCTAGCAATCAGCGAGACTCCGTGGGCGTAGGACCCTCCGAGCCAGGTGCAGAATATAATCTCGTGGTGCGCCGTTTTTTAAGCCCGTCGGAAAAGCGCAGTATTTGGGTGGGAGTGACCCGATTTTCCAGGTGCTGTCTGTCACCCCTTTCTTTGACTCAGAAAGGGAACTCCCTGACCCCTTGCGCTTCCCAAGTGAGGCAGTGCCTTGCCCTGCTTCGGCTCGCACACGGTGCGCGCACCCACTGACCTGCACCCACTGTCTGGCACTCCCTAGTGAGATGAACCCGGTACCTCAGATGAAAATGCAGAAATCACCCGTCTTCTGCGTCGCTCACGCTGGGAGCTGTAGACCAGAGCTGTTCCTATTCGGCCATCTTGGCTCCTCCGGATAGTGTTTATTGAACTGGAGAGAAGGAGAGATGGTAGGTAGAAGTGGTGAAAGAAATGGATGGGTTTAATTTTTACTCCAGTTTTATTTTCTAAAGCAAACTGACAATAACAAAAAAGACCTGATGCAAATATAAAAATAAGCCAGTATATTCTGTTTTGGGCCAGTAGATTTTTATCTTTGTACTTGGCTATATTTTATTTATGCCTTCCAAAATGCAGTACAATAACAGTAAAAGAGAGAACATGTGTGTAATTTCACAAACGAATTACTTTGTAAAGGGAAATCTTAATCTAAATGTAGCTATTTAAATAGACTCTAGATGTGTCGATTATTTCCAAATGGGCTTTACAGTTTGATTATATTTTACATGAAGAAATTAGGAAATTTTGTCTTTAAAGAAAAAGTTTTTGTTTTTGTTTTTTTAATTTTTTTCGTGGAGGGTGATTTAGGGGTGCCCTTTCCTGGTGCAAGGAAAATACAATCAACCAGTGGTTCCTAAACCTGGCTGATCTTCACTGTCACCTGGGGAGTCCTTTAATATGAAAAGTCTTAGCCACACCCCAGGTTTATGAATCATTCTCTAGGGATGGAGCCTGCAGATTTGCTCCCTTTATTTCTGTACTCTTTGATAGCTCCCAGGGGAATGTGATAATTCGCCCAGCTTGGAAACCTATCTCCAGATGTCTGCTCAAGTTCCTGTCCTAGCAATTATTGTTTTAGAGATTAATTCGTTCAGGATAGTGCTGAAGTCTAGTTCTTCCTCAGGCCAGGTCAGGAAGGGGGTGGTATAAAAAGTTTCCAGTTTGTAAAGTAGGCCTTTTAAAAAATCAGACTAGGCATATTCCTGCCTACCTTACAAGCCATCTGGGGCTTAAGATGACCCATGGTGTTTAAAAATTAGATATTTCCACATATAAAATCCTGAATGCTTTGCTCACCTTGTTGGCTGCCTAGTCATTTTTGTCCTTTCTTACTCTTCAAGAATGTTACAGACAGTTGAATATCTGTAAGAGCATTATGGTTTTGGCTGCCAGGAAAATAAACATTATTGCAGTTCTATTTGTGTGAAACTCCTTGTCAGTACAAAGGTAACTAGTAAGCACAGATCTTTGATTCTGATTAAAGATTTTGGCTCTTTGTACCTCATTTGCAGGTGAATATAACCTCCAGTACGACAAAATAAAAAAATGAAACAGTGGTTTGTGCCTCTGAGGCATTTTTTAATTTTTAAGGGAGACCTCACCTTCTGTGGGTTAGTAGAGGAGTTATGTGTCTTACAGGGTCTGAGACTATAAATATTCGGGTCATAAAGGGAGTGCCTCCTGACAGAGGCTTCTCATCTGTATCTGATAGGATTTTTCTGAGGGTTGGAAGAAAGAAAGACGACAGATGAGGAAATGTCAGGGAAGAAGTTTCCTGTGGAAGCATTTTGTATTTACTAATTTTTAAAGACTGTGTCCTAGGAAGTAGACTAAACATATATTTGTAAATAATTTTTCAACATGAAAAAATAGAAGTAGCAGGTTGCTATTGGTCAGGAGATCGAGACCATCCTGGCTAACACGGTGAAACCCCGTCTCTACTAAAAATACATTTAAAAAATTAGCTGGGCGCGGTGGCGGGCGCCTGTAGTCCCAGCTACTGGGGAGGCTGAGGCAGGAGAATGGCGTGAACCCGGGAGGCGGAGCTTGCAGTGAGCCGAGATCGTGCCACTGCACTCCAGTCTGGGCAACAGAGCGAGACTCCGTCTCAAAAAAAAAAAAAAAAAGAGTGATTATCTTGACATTTTCCTTTAGTTGTTTCCTCCAATCTGAACACAGAGTTTCACAGAGTTTCTTTATGTTTGCTTTGACCTTGTGCCTTTAGCCCATGTGGACCCCATACCCTCTACTTTGTCAACATCCAATACAAGGGGACTCTAGGAGCCCAGGTGATGCTCATAATCAAAGTTTTGGACCCTGTTCCTTCATCTCATTCTTTTCTTTTATTTTGAGACGGTGTCTTGCTCTGTCGTCACCAGGCTACAGTGCAGTGGTGCGATCTCGGCTTACTGCAAACTCCGCCTCCCGGGTTCAAGACAGTCTCCTGCCTCAGCTTCCCGAGTAGCTGGGACTACAGGTGGGTGCCACTACGCCCAGCTAATTTCTATGTTTTCAGTAGAGACGGGGTTTCACCATGTTGGCCAGGATGGTCTCGATCTCTTGACCTTGTGATCTGCCTTCCTTGGCCTCCCAAAGTGCTGGGATTACAGGCATAAGCCACCATGCCCGACCCTTCATCTCATTCTTGTCCCCTGTCCTGCTTCATTTGTATTCACTCAGCTCTTGACCTCTGGCTTTCCTGCCTAACACTTGCCTCTGAGATCGAATTCTACTTCAACTTTTCCAACTTGACCCTCAAATCTGCTGTTAGCCTCGATTTTGCCCCTTCGTCCTATGTGTTCTATTTCTGACTCCCACATACCAGCCTAGCATTGTCCACCTGTGCTCTTTTGACTGACCCAACAAAGGAGGAAGACACTGCTCCTTCTCAAGTGATAAGGGCCAATGCTCTCTTGCCCAATTTTGGTATGAAGATCTAAGTAGGAGTTTTCATCAGTCCTCCACTCATATCTGAGTCTGTCTGGCTCATCTTCATTTGTAATTACTCATCACATGTGTGCTGGGCCTTACATATACTCTTATGTTCTTCAAACATTTGGGGAAGGCCTCATTTGGAATTGCCTTCTGAACACTTCTTATACAATAAGAACTCAATTGTTGTTTGTTGAATGAGCCAATTTCAGATATACACAAAACATCATTCTTGTTGCTTCATAAGAATATTCCTTGTTAGATTAAAAAAATTTCTCAACTTTATCACCTACCTTATTCATAACATGTGTCACCAGATGACTACGGAACTTTTAAAAAACTAAATCCATTCATCCCTTACCCCAAGACTGAAGATTTACCACCATCGGAGACATAAATGCATGTGCCAAAGACTGGAAAAAATTTTCCCGTTCATGTGTTTGATGCCACTTTAAAATATCAGCACCAATATTTTATAGCTACCCTTATACACTGAACTGCCTAGAAATAGTCATCTTGACATATCTAGTCAAATGGGACTATAGCACCATTTGATTTTACTTTATGGAAGTTATCTAAACCAGAAGACAATTTATCCCCAAAGAAATATCTAATTCTTATAAAACTATAATAAGTAACATATCCAGTGAAAAAAAATGTGGAAAATATTTTATTTTACTTGTCATTTCCTCCTGTTTGGGTTTTAGTTGGTTTCTCAAATACTTTATTCACTATTCCACAAACATTGCCTGAGCACTTTCTCTATTCTGTCATTGTTCTTGGAACTGGTCATGTAGCAACAAATAAAATAAAATAGTCCTGATCTACAGGAAATGAAAAGTTGCTTTGGGATGGATAGGCTCATAAACAAATTTTCTTTTTTTTTTTCTAATTATTACTTTAGACTCAGAGGGTATCTGTGCAGGCTTATTACATCAGTAAATTGTGTGTTGCTGGAGTTCAGTGTACAAATGATTTTGTCACCCAGGTAATGAACATAGTACCCAATAGGTAGTTTTTTGGTCTTTATTCTCCTCCCACCCTCCACTCTCAGGTAAGTTCTCATATCTATTGTTCCCTTCTTTGTTTCCCTGGGTACTCAATGCTTAGCACCCATTTAAAAGTAAGAACGTGCAGCATTTGGTTTTCTGTTCCAGTGTTAATTTACTTGGGATAATGGCCTCCGGCTGCATTTGTGTTGCTGCAAAGGACATGATTTCATTCTTTTTTATCACTGTGTAGTGTTCCACAGTATGTATGTATCACATTTTCTTTACCTTGTCTACCACTGATGAGCAGGTAGGTTGATTCCATGTCTTTGGTATTGTGAAAAGTGCTATAATGAACGTACATGTGCATGTGTCTTCATGGTATAATTATTTATATTCTTTTGGGTATATACCAAGTATTGGGATTCCTGGGTTGAATGGTAGTTCTGTTTTAAGATCTGTGAGAAATCTCCAATCTGCTTTTCACAGTAGCTGAATTAATTTGCATTCCGACCAACAGTGTATTAGCATTCCTTTTTCTCTGCAGCCTTGCCAATATATGTTGTTATTTTACTGTTGATATCTCATTGTGGTTTTCATTTACATTTCTCTGATGATTAGTGATGATGAACATTTTTTCATATATTTGTTGGCTACTTGTATGTCTTCTTTTTAGAAGTGTCTGTTCATGTCTTTTGCCCATTTTTAATGGGGTTATTTGTTTTTCACTTGTTCAATTATTTAAGTTCCTTATAGATGCTGGATATTGGGCCTTTTTCAGATGCATAGTTTGTGAAAATTTTCTTGCATTTTGTAGGCTGTCTCTTTACTCTGTTGATGGTTTATTTTGCTGTGCAGAGGCTCTTTGGTTTAATCAGGTCGGTCCCATTTATCAATTTTTGTTTTGTTGCAATCGCTTTGGTAATCCTCATCATAACATCTTTGCCAAAGCCTATGTGCTGAATAATATTTCCTAGATTTTCTTCTAGGGTTTTTATAGTTTTAGATTTTATGTTTAAGTCATTAATCAATCTTGAGTTAATTTTTGCATATTGTGAAAGGTAGTGGTCTAGTTTCATTCTTTTGCATCTGGCTAGCCAGTTATCCCAGCACCATTTATTGAATAGGGAGTTCTTTCCTCATTGCTTGTTATTGTTGACATTATCAAAGATCAGATGGTCGTAGGTGTGTAGCTTTATTTCTGGATTCTCTAACCTATTCCATTGATCTATGTGTCTGTTTTTGTACCAGTACCATGCTGTTTTGGTTACTATTGCCTTATAGTATAGAATAAACACATTTTCTAACAATGCTAGTTACTCTTTAGTGGCTTGTGAAGAATGCTCTAGGATTATAGAAATGATAAGTTGACTAGGAGACTTGGATGGAGTGACTACTTCACCAGAAAAATAATGTTGATATAGACCAGATATCAGCAAACTTTTTTTGTGAAGTGTCAGATAGGAAATATTTTAGGCTCTGTGGCTAGTCTCTGCTGTACGTATTCAACTCTGCAGTCATAGTGCAAAAGCTGTAATAGACAATATAGGAATAAATGAGCATGGCTGTGTTCTAATAAATCTTTATTTGCAAAAAGAGGTAGAGTGGCAGGTCAGATGTGATCCATGGTCACAGTTTGCTGACCCCTAATCTTGATCAGGAAGGATGAGTAAGATCAATGTATTTCAGGCACAAGGGACAGTATGATAAAAGTTCACTAGCAAGAGAGTGTCTGTATCCCTGGATAATAGCAACTGAATATAGCCAGAATAAGGAATGCTGCAAATGAGCTGCACATAAATGATTAAGGCTACATTTGGTAAAGTCTCATATGCCAAAGTAAGAAGTAGGTTTTTACCCTGCAGGGAGTTACAAAATGAGCTTCTGTCCTCTAAAATCTGTATAAATCAACGTGTTCATCTTCCAAAGTCAGTGGTAGAAGAAAGTCTGTTAGAAGAAAAAAACACAAAGTGAATAAAGATTCTTATTTCAGCGTTTTTAATGGCTAGCAGTGGCTACATTTTCTTTTCTTTTTTCCTTTCTTTTTTTTTTTTTTTTTTTTTTTTTTTTTTTTTTTTTTTAAGACAGAGTCTTGCCCTGTCTCCCAGGCTGGAGTGCGGTGGCGTGATCTCGGCTCACTGCAACCTCCGCCTCCTGGGTTCAAGGGATTCTCCTGCCTCAGCCTCCCGACTAGCTGGGATTACAGGCACGCACCACCAATCCCAGTTAATTTTTGTATTTTTAGTAGAGACAGGGTTTTGCTATGTTGGCCAGGCTGGTCTCGAACTCCTGACCTTAAGTGATCCTCCTGCCTTGGCCTCCAAAAGTGCTGGGATTACAGGTGTGAGCCACCAGGCTGTGGCTACATTGTTAAAAACACATTATAACTTTTTTTGTGTACTCTTTTTTCCACACAGCAAGTACCAAGAACCTGACAAAGGCAGCATGCACATGTATCAGTGATATATCCTCTCAGCCTACTTTGTCTTCAGCAGACAATTTACTTTTGTTGCTCACCTAGAAATAATAGGGCATTTGGGAAAATTACTCCTTCTAATGACATTTCTATAGAAATTGGGGAAAAAAGCTGCTGGAAAAAGCAGCACTTAGGTGAAATGCTAAAATAAGTCAAGTACAAAAATGAAAAATCACCCTGTAGCTCAGTATATTTTATAATTTGATATTTCATCACTAAGACAGTTTAAAAAATAATCCTCCAAGACAAAGAATGTTTCAACATCAACTATTAAGCATGTGATACTAAGAGAATAGAAGCTTCTTCTGCTCAGAAATTGTCTGAACCTACCACCAACTGTTTGTAAAGAGGTTTTAAAGCTACCGAATAGCATAGATGTATTATTATAACGAGCTGATTAGATATTTTAATAATCTCTTTTTCAGTATTTTCTAACATAAGAGTAATGTCATTTAGACATCAGTGAGAGAAAAGATCACAATTGTGGAGAAACAAAGTCATCTATGAGAAAAGCCATGGCCTGAGTCAGAAGACTTCCAGTTCTCCTGGCAAGTCTGGCTTTCTCTTTCTCTCTCTCTCTCTCTCTCAGGCCAGAAGATATTCTTTTATTACAATGAACTAGCAATCATGCAATATCAAGAAACAGCCATGAAGGCACCTGCAGTAGGGATTACTGCAGGCCTGTAAATAAGAAGTTTCTTGAGGGGTACAACTGGGTAATTGCTGGGAAGGCAGAAAAATGTGGGGAAGAAATGTTCTGACCTCCTTTATAATTTTCATACAGGTGACAAATTAAGAGGCCAAGGTGACATTTTATAACAACTTTTTTTTTCATTGATTTGGGGCACTGATCAAAACTTCTGCCTCATATATATATATACTGTAAAATAACTGAAAAAAAAAGCAGTCATAAGTCCTCGAAGAAAGGGACATATTTTGGCAAAGAATATTTAAACACATTGTAATTTCTAAAGCAAAATTTGAAAGAGTAAGGAATCTTCAGACACGATATGGGTCTTTTTCATCACAAGCAAGCTCTTTCTTAGCAAGGACACAAAGACAGCACACTGCACAAAAGCAACAGTGACAGCATTAATGATGACTTAATCTCCTTGCAGAAGAGAAAAATCATTTCACCAAGGTGTCCAGAAGGTTTCAGGTCCTTTTTAGGTAGTTTCCCATTGAAATACCTGAATATGCAGCATAAAAACAAAACACAAATATCTTCGGGCCAGAAATGGACCTAAGATACAGTGAAAGCAGATACTGTGTGAGCTTCTGGGAAGCTTATAATATAGTGGCAGGTGACCTCAGTGACTCTGAGATTAAACTTTGATCAGGAGCCCATAGTGGCAGAATGTCCATGGACCAGAAGATCTCAGGCAGCTCAGGATGCTCTGCATCATTCAGTAAGCAGACACTGGGAGTTAGGACATGTATGTGTGCCATACGTTTGGTGCCTAGTGATATCTAGGGATAAACTAGTCCCTGAAATGACACAAAGCACACTTGTCATATGCTGGCTTTTGCCTACCTCCTTGCTATTCTAAGCCTACTTTTGATTTTGTGAACTACCCTTCATTGCATGTAGTCTTGGCCAGACTGTAAGTCAGGGCCCCTGGACAAAGGTTGGTCAGAAGATCAAGAAAAGCTAATCACGCACTCTCTTCCAGAATTTTAACCTAAAGCAGAGTGTTACAAGGACACAACATGATTGAACTCATTATTCGAATTGATGAATGAGATCACCTTTTTTCTATCTGCTCACAAACAGCAACCTCACAACCAAACAAATAATCTAGAAATCCACTAATACCAGCTGATCTCTATGAGGAATTTGCAAAAAAATGTGAGTATTCATGAAGCAGAGCATATACTTTTCTGTTCCTGTGTGCTAGTGTTAGCTCGGTTCTGTTTTTTTAAATAAGGCAATTAAACAAAATAACTTCACTTTAAAAATGACACCAGTGATAACCTTACACAGTTTTAAATGTGAGAGTCATTGTCATACCTTCTAGAAATACGATGATAAAAAAAACAAGGCTATCACCAAACTTTCGAAAACACGCATGATCTTTATTATTAAGTTTTCTGGCTTTTGTCACGATGTACAATTTTTTTCTTGCAATACTTTCTCAGTCTGCAAACCCACTCTAAGCCCGCGTGCGTCCATAAAGACTGCACCACATGGTGGCGCTCTGGTTGTGCCTTAAGTGAAATCGCTAGCGTTTTCTTTTCAAGAAAAGGGTTGATCAAAAAATGAAGTTAAAAATAAAATTCACTACTCAGCTTTCCATGGTCCTAGAAAATAAATATTCTTTTTAATGTTTTCTCTACCTCCTCTCTGCGTCATTCTCCCTCTGGAAAACCTGCAGATGCCCTTTATTTTGGTTCATGCAGTTGGAGCCACCTGGACCCAAGAGTGAAGACCAGGTGGAACCTGTCCGGTTCTGAACAATAAGGAAACTGGTTTAATGATACTCCCAGAGCTTTCTTGTGGCCACCGTTCCCCTCTTGTCCATTCAGAACTCTTGTCATTCTCTCTATAAATGAATCACCGGGGAATTTTCAGCACACCCCAGCTTCCTGACCAACAGCTTGCTCACTTGCTGTAGCCATCTTGAAATAAAATGTACTACTGCGATAAAGAAAAACAAAGTTTAATGGGTAGAGTTCTTGTATGAGGCCATTTAAATTTAGACTCCCAATCTCCACAAAGCAAACAGTCCTGGGGTAGAGAATGCTCTGAAATAGCAGCGTCTTGTTTTGTGTTTTGCCTCCTGGGATCCTCTGTTTTTCCCTTGAGGGAAATTGCCTTAAGGTAGAGAAAGGTCCAGTTCTGCCTACCTGGAGAAAGGCTGACCTGGTGATTTATAGTACATAATTAACAGAAGGTACGTGTACACCGGGGGCCAGTGTACTATCTCAAACTGTGGATGAGAATGACATTTCAGCTGAGCTACATGAAGAGGAAATTATAAGTAGAATGCCTAAGAAGTATTTTTCAATATAAGAAACAACTATTAAATTATCTACTATTTTCTCTAATCATAGAGGTATATTAGATTTCTACTGTTATGTTACAAATTTCCATAACCTTAATGGCTTAAAAATATCCTTTTATGAGTTCACAGTTCCGTAGATCAGAAGTCTGGGAATGGCATGGTGGAATTCTGTGCTCAGATTATCACAGCGTTGACATCAAGATGCTTTCAAGCTCAATGTTTTTGCCAGGATTCATTTCCTTGTGGTCCTATGACTGAGGTCCACATTTTCCTGCTGTCAGCTAGGGGCCACTTTCAGCTCCTAGAAGCCACTCACAATTTCTTGCCATGTGGCTCCTATTGGAAATTCACAGCATAGCGTTGCTTCTTTCCAGGCCCAGAAGAACATGTGTTTCTGACTTCTTCCTCTGTGGCCTGCTTGAGAAAAATAAAAAATCTCTCTGCTTTTAAAGGGCTAATGAGACTGATTAGGTCAGGCCCACCCAGATAATCCCTCCGTTTCTTAAAATTAACTGGCATGGGTCCTTCAGTGGAACTGCAAGACCCCTTCACAGCGAATCCAGATTTGCATTTGATTGAATGACTGGGAGTAGGTGTGGATACCCCAGGGGTCAGCATACTATCTCAAAATAGTGGCTTTCTCATAACTTCATTCCCTTACCCCTGTTCTGATACCAGCATACAGCAAAGCTAAGGAGAGGTCCCCGGTTTACTCTGCCTGAGGAAGGGTTATGGTTTTAGTTCTTAGGCACTCTATTGGTCTGAGTCAGAGGATATAAAGTTAGAGCTGGAACAGACTTTAGAGATGGGTTCAATGTATCTGAGACTGTGAGGAGTTCAGAAACAGCTCAGGGTCACACAGAGGTTGATTGCTGTGGCCAACGCCTTCTACTTTCCCCTGCTAGCCTCTTCCAAGCAGCCAGTGCTGCTCCAAATGGGCTTGTCACCAGGCCCAGGGAACATGAATAAAATAACAATAATTTAGTAAGTTTTCAATAACATTATTCTTGATTTAAATAATCTTCCTTTATTATGTGATCATACTGCCTCCTTTCCCTTTTTTTTTTTTTTTGGTGATGGTGAGGAATGAGCTAGATAGAGCACAGAGAACTGATCTGTGCAGTTATTCCGTAATTCACTTTTTAGCTATAATTTTTTTTTATTTCCAGGTCAGAACTTGGTTGACAAATATGACATCATGTTCTTCAGAATGTGAGAGAATTCCTTTAAAACAGGAAAAAAGAAACCCACATTCAAAATAAAAATAGTATGAGACAACTATATCAAGTGTTTAGTCTGCTTTCTAGTTATTATTGTTCTTAAGAAAATTCCCTGTCTTTAAAATTTTCAATTTATTTTATACCCTCACCCCACCCCTGTATTAATTCCTGTAGTGGTGAAGAAATTTACCACTTAGAAAAGTCAAGTATTATCATTGAAACTCTAGTGACTATCAGGATGAGGCCATAAACCCCATGAATTTCTAATGTATTTTATAACTCTAGCTCCTGTCATGTTTGGAATATACCCTGTGCATGATAATTATTTTTCCTATGGGATTGGTAACTGTATTTGAAAAGACATTAAAAATGAGTGACAATGAAGAAAATGGATAAATATAGAAAAGCTATCATTTAGTGTCTGCCACTACGTGTCACAAGGCACTTTGATACAGTTTCTCTAATTCTCTCATCAACCTGCAAGGCAGATGGTATCGTCTTTACCCCACATATAGATAACAATTTTCAGAGAGATTAAATAACTTGGCCACAGTCAGAAATCTTGGAACTGGCAGAGATGATTTTCAATCTCAGGCTCTATAGTCCAGGTTCATTTTGCTACAGTGTGCATGACCATCCATTCTCCACTTTTGAGCCTGGGCATATATCTTTACCGCTGCATAAGGATAATAATTATATTCAGAGATGACAGATCATACTGTAGCCTACACCCCCTATACCTGGAATGGAGTGGTTCTAGTCTTGATTTTGTCAGTAAGTATGATGAACTTGGGTGAGTAACTTTGTTAAGTTTTCTGAGCCTCAGTTTCCTTGTCTGTACCTGTAAAACCGAGTAGTAGGATTAAACGATTCTCTTTGGTGTCTACTGACTTAAAAGGCTAGTGCCCTTACTTTTAGGTTAACTTTTCATATTTATTTGTGCATTGAATTGCTTATTTACTCACTCCTTTTGCTATTTATTTCTGTGGCTGTTACAATTGCCCCTGCTAATCTCAACATTATTGTGGCTACTACCAATATTAGTATGCTGCTGCAATCACATTTAGTGCCACGGTGACTGTCTCCAGTATCACTCTTAACTACAATTGTGTATATTCTCTTATTTGAATCCCCAAGTCTCTATAAAACAGTTATGATTGTCTTCATTTTACAACTGAGAATAAAAATGCTTGGAAGAATTTTTAGAAGGTACTTGAGGTCATATCACTAAACAGTGGTAGGTACAGAATTTAAAATTATCTTCAAAGCTCATGATCTTTACCACAACTACCAACATGACATTTATTAGATTCTCCTTATCCAATGTTTGCTTTAATAGAAAAATAATCTTTTAAACATGACTTAGAAAATAAATGGATTTTCCAAGAAGCTGGAGAGATACTGTGTTTATCTTGTGACTGCTCATGCTCCGTGGCACACAAGGGCATACCCCTGTGAGTATGCATGCACAAATTTGAGAAATTGAGGGAGAAGGATCTAATGCTGAAATTGCATTTATTGAAGAGATCTTTACTGGATTCTGTTCCGTGACAGGCGCTTTGCTAGGCACTGTAGATGCAAGATGAATAAGACACAATCCCTGCCCAGGGGTAGTGAGGGAATAGACTTAGTTTTTTGATAACCACACCACTGGCTTTCCAGTAGGAGCGGGGAGGCAGAAAGTTACCACTTAAGCTGTCTCCTGAAAAGGAACACTCTAAGAACTCTGTGTCACTGTCCTGTATTTCAGTGAAAGATGTGAAAAGCAGCATCTTCTAACTGGGCAAATATAGATGCTGTCCAGTTTGGTGAACAGCGATTTTTCTTTGAAATGGAAAGATTTGGCTTTGGGGCCTAATGTGGGAAAAGGATATAGAGGAAGCAATAGGAATGAACTGTCCCTGAGGCACTGAGGCGAGTTAGGCTGAAAATGATTATTTTCAGCAATGAAAATGAGCACAAACTCAGAAGCCCAGCAGCCTAAAACGGAGCATGGAAAGACAGATACCTCCTCTCCGTGACTGGCCAGGGAATTGTGTGTGTTTGTGGGTGCATGTGCCTGTGCGTAAGCGTGTCTCTGTGGGTACATTTCTGTGCATGTATGTGAGTGTGCACTTGTGCATACCTGTGCACATGTGTGCATGTGTGTCTCCTTGCACAAGTCTGTGCACTCAGCGCAGTGTGTCTCGTGTGCATGTCTGTGTATGTGTGTGTGATTGTGCACACACACACTAAGGAAGGGACTCTAGCAGGGTGTATTCTTGTTGATGCTGTAAGTAGATACCTATTTGCTCTTAATTTAGACTGGAGAAATACAGGAAAATCCTATCAGCTCTTAATTTAGAATGGAGAAATACAGGTTGTGGCCAGAATCTCTAATGTAAATTTTAAAGATTAACAATATATTTGCTATTTTTGCTATTTAATGATTCCAAAAACAACTTACAAAGCTGTAATTTTAGCCAATGAGATCCACACGGTATGTGGAGTGGGTTGGAGGTGAAAAGGGTTTATTTTCTGTTATTATCTATGCTTTCTATAATGCAGCCCTTTACGTCTCCTTATGCCCCATACTTGCCACAGAAATTGCTTCCTTTGTCTGAACTTGTTTACAACAGATGCCTTATTACAGCCTGGGTTTTAATTGTCCTTATGAACACTGAAAACAAAATGAAGGGAGAAAAAAACAACAACAACAAACAGTATCTATCTGCAAACATTTTTAAACCAGTGCTGGAGGAAATGAAAAATGTGTTTCAAAATTATTTTAGTTTGATAAGGAGCCTGGAAGACTGGTCTTTTCCCCAAGGGGTTAAGTCCCTGGGGCAGAGATAATGATGTCTATTTGTGTTTCTTATACACATAGAACTGTAGGATCTGTTGTCCTTCTCTCTAGCATATGATATCTGTTCAAGTGGGCTTCTGCTAAAACTCAGCTTTCATGTTTATTTCTGAAACTGACCGTAGTTCTTTTTCTGTCATCCAAAACAAAAATATTGAATTTCAGGTACTTGTTTGATAATAATGACATTCCATACCTAGAATGCCAGATACTTGTTTTTTTTTATAGGTTATTTTCATCTGTGCATATGAATGTGATGCTGTATTAAAAAGAAAGCAATAAATCTCTTCTTTTGTATATAATTATTTATAAAAGCAAAAACTAAATATAAATCTAAAGTCAGAAATTACCAAGCTTTGGACATCTAATTTTTAAAATAGTCTCTGGCTCTCAAAAGGCCATCTTTGTATACAGCTGGGATAGGCCTTTGCAAAGCCCTAGAGCAACTGAACTACAGGTCAGGGCAGCGGTGGCTGCTGCCATAGAGTAATCCAGCTTTTCCTGGGTAAAAAGTGCCTCTTTTAGCTCCCTAATCAGTAGCTTGAAGAATCCACTGATTAGAAAGAGCACTAGAACACCTCCCACATTCACTTTGCCTTTACAATGGACAGTGTTGAAGTAGCTTTACATCATGTAGCACTTAGTCTAATACTTCTGTTAAAATCAATATATTGAGGAAAGGAGGAGATGCTAAATATCTTGGCATCTCTGAGTACTAAGCACACTGTGTCCCTTGCAAATTCTGAAATATATTGGTATTAAAGTAACTCAGTGTGCAGGATGAAAAATGTCCTGGCAAGTGACAGCATGTGCCTGCAGACAAGGGGCTCTAATGAATAGGACATTAGAAGCCAATTGAGGACTACCTGACAGAGGGCTAGGGAGTAGGCAGGGGAAGACAGGAGGTCAGAAGACTCTGCTTTTAAAGCAAAATGGTGCATGGTGGAGCTTCCGCATAAGCAATTATGAAGAGGAGAGCAAATTAAACTTCAAAGAAGTATTTAAAACACAAAAAGGTGGGTGACTTCCACAGTAAGGAAGCTATCACAAAGGCAAGGGGAGAATGAGTCATTTAAAATTATTGACCATCAACAAAATCGTGGACAGTTTATGAAATTCCAGCTGGATGAAATATATCCTAAGAAACTATAGATTTATGATTGTGGGTGAATTATACACAGGGTCATGGGAGGGAATAGCATATTCAGGGAAATGGAAATAAGACAATGTTCCGGTCAGTGTTAGCTAAAGAGAAGCTTTCAAATGGGAGATAGGACTCAGGTTTTTCCTCTAATACCCCATCAGGATAACCACTCCCTTCCCATTTGAAGGAACTGGTGGGGTCCTTAAGTCCCACTGGTTAAGCTATAGAACTATATTTCCAGTGGACCTATATAATATGAAGATATGTGGACACTGGGGTAGGAAGTCATGGTGTCCTTGAATGTTAGAGCTGGAGGAAACTTTAAGAATCATCTCATTAAACCCTCTTAAATCATAGATGTGGAAACATGATCAACAAGATGAAAAGACCTGGCTAAAATCTACTCAACCAGGTAGTGGCAGAGCTGGTGGGATAATGGGTCTCCTGGAGATTGTTCTGGTCTCTTTGTCTCTCATTTTAAGTTTTTCCTATTCCTTTGAGACAAAGACAATGTCTCTTTTAGTGATCAATGAGATTGATTCTTTTAAAAAACCTTTCACACGTTTATCTAAATTCTAAACACAGAAAATACTCAAATACTCAAGTCCACCCCTCTCCGCTTCCTTTTCTTTTAGTTAGCAGCTCCCATGTGTCACATCATCCAAAACTGGGAGGTAGCATTTTGACCCTGAGAATGAATCCACCCACACTGTGGTTTCACACAATATGCGAAAAAGCAGTCAGTTGAATTAAACTTCATCCAGCAGGTGCTCCCGTAAGAATAGACTCATCCAATCTCCAAACCTATTTACTTAAATTTTACTTTGAGATATAAAACCATGACTTTTCACCAACGAGTTCATTTATTCTTTATTCATTTGAGAAAATCTGAGCTGCTTCCATGTGCTAAGCCATGTGCCACAGTAAACTGCAGAGACACAATTCCCATCCCTGACTAGAGCTTGCAGTTCAGCGGGGAGTCACTCCTATAAAGCCACAAGTGCATGTCAGTAACAAATGGTGATAAATGCTATGAAAGCTGATCAATTGTTTCTGCTACAGTATCTTTATTCATGCACTCACCACATAGTAACAAGCCTAAGCATGAATGGGAGGCCAGCTAGAAAGCTTAGATCCAAATAACTAAGATTCCAATTGCATCAGAAAGGTGTCATTTATAGTCTTTTTTTATGTGTCTCTCCTTGTTTGGCTGTTTAACCTGAGCACTTTTCAAAGCCTATTTTCTCTTTTCAAAGCCTCTAAAAGCACTTGTGTTATACAAGCCAGTCGACTTCACAGCCCTTATTACCATTGTCCTTGTACTGTTGAAGCACCTCAGCTATTAGAAAAGCCAACACTTCATCTTCCATTGCACTCAGTCCAATCCACCATCTATGAAAATCTTGGTAACTCTGATCTGCTTCAAGCCAGGGTATAATTTCACTGGTTTACAGATATAACACTCAGATCCAAACTGATCAATTGAGGTGGAAGCCAAGTCCCCTTGAAGAAGAATCCTGCAATGCTACTGCAAATATATACAATAATCATTTTACCCAATCTTCCCCCAAAGGAATCTTCAGCCATTTACCTGGAGAAGAGAAAATACTTAACAATTTGAGTGTTGTTAGACAATAGATCTGAACTGACACTCAAAAATCCAACAGTTCAACATGATTCAAGGGTTAGAGTAATTAGAGATCAGGAAATATACAAAGTTCTGGCTCAAGTCTCTGATGATGGGTTCATGAACCCACTCTAAGGTTATTTACTCATTTCCTGAGTATATGGTTGATGTGAATGTACTAAGCAGATAGCAGAGCCCTCACATTGGTTCACTGACCTGTGGAGTAATAACCATTATTGTAGGAAAGGCTAAGTAGACGTCCCGGAAACTATCTTACCTCTCGCCCAGATCCCAGCCCAGCCAAAACAGAAAATCACACCCCCGGTAAAACTGCAGAGATTAGAGCATTCTTAGTCTGCTTGGTCTGCTATAATAGAATACCAGAAATGGGACAGTTTATAAACAGCAAACATTTATTTCTCACAGTTCTGGAGGCTGCAAAGTCCAAGATTAAGGCGCCAGCAGGTTCAGTATCTGGTGAGGGCTGTTTCCTCATAGATGGCACCTTGTCCCATGTCCTCACCTGGCAAACAAGGCAAAGGAGCTCTCTCAGCTCTCTTTTGTAAGGGCACTAATACCGTTGATGAGGGTTCCGCATTGAACTGGCATTGTTTTCCAATCCTATTCATAAAGATGATCCAAAGCAGTTATATTATGTTGGGAGACTATGAAGGCTGTAGCCCCAGGGCTCCATTAACTCTCCTGATCATTGTCATGATATAATTATCATGGATCCTGATTAATTTCATATTTTGAATAATATTGCATCAGTCTACTATATTGATGAAATATGCTAATTGGACTTGGTGATCAAGAAGTGGCAAGTACTTTGTATTCCCTACTAAGGGAAAGTGGGAGAATAACACTGTGGAGATTTGGGAACCTGTGGTATCAGTAAGGATGTTAGGAGTCTAATGATCTGGGGCAGAGTAGCATTCCCTTTAAGGCAAAGAATTGTCGCCCATGTACTCCTACCCACAAAGAGACACGCCTCTTGGTGAGATTTTTTGAATCTTGGAGGCTACATGTAGTGTGCTTAGGATTACTGCTGTAACCAACATAATGGGCACCTTGGAATGCTGAGGCTTTTAGATGGGGCCCAGAGTAAGAGAGAACTCTGCAGTCAATCCATGTGACCAACACGTCAAAGGCTGTGTATAGTCTCTTTCTAGTACAAGAAGAGCCTTTGCACAGGGAGATGCCTGGAATCTTTAAGCAACATCCTGTAGTCTGTACCTTGTGAGTTAGAGAACTACTTGCCATTCGTAAAAGCAGTCTCTGCCATTCTCCTGGGCACTAGTAGAGGACAAGTGCCTGATGATGGAATATCAAGTTATTGTGTGACCAAAGCTTCCCACCCTAAACTGGGTGTTATCATGCTCACCAAGTAAGAAACATGAACAGTATAATAGCAATCTGCCCATAAGATGGAAATAGCACATATGAGTTCAGGCTCAGTGATGTCTAGAGGACATTATTAAGTAACATGAACAAGTGGTTTAGATTCCCATACCCCTTAATTCTGTTGCACGCTCTTCTCTCTCAGCTCACACGTATGGTCTTGTAGTGGGAAATGGATATTCTCTATCACCACCTAGCAGAAATAAAAGCCCAGGCATGGTTCACAAATGGATGGTTGTGTATGTTGCTTCTAGGTGAAAGTGGACTGCCACAATACTATTACCCCTCGGGATGGACGTATAAGAGTTCACACAAACATAAGGATCTCTATGGCATATGATATTGCTCACCAGAGAGCATCTGTGGTAGAGGAGACAATCAACAACTAGGGAGACAGGAGTACTTGTTCAGTGGCAACAAATTATTACATGAGACAAAGGGACACATTTTATAATTAATAAGGATAACAATGACTGCATGAACATAAGATCTACTAGTTCTGACATACACTATATGGCCTGAAAGTGGACAACCTCACTGAATGATAGAATGGTTTATAAAAGATACCATACAGGTGTCAATTTGGGGACAATGCCCTGTAGGGCAGGAATGCTACCTCCAGGATGTGGTATTCATACTGAGCCAATAGCTGACGTTAAGACACCATATTCCCAACAGCTTGAATGCACAGATCTGAGAAGCAAGGAGTAAAAGAAAGATTGGCCTCTCTCACTATATTCCCTGCTACCCACCTATGAAATCTGTGCTTTCTGTCTTAGCAATTTTAGTCCCTACTGAATAAAACTCTTAGTTCTTTGGGTGTGGGAGATACTTCCATTAAGGGACACAGTAAAGATTCCACTTAACCTAACTATCACTTGACCACTTTGGGCTCTTTCTGCTAGTGCGTCTGCACACAAAGAAAGGAGGTACGATATAGGCAGAAGTAATTGGAACTGATTACTATCAGAGCCAAGATTACTAATAGGAAATTGCTACTAGGAGCTCTTCTGCAACCCAGGGAATTCCCTGGAGTGTATCTTGGTGCTTCCATACATAGTGATAAAAGTAAATTGGCAGTGTCAAAAACGATACCCTAACAGATAAAACTACTAAGGGTTCTGAGACTCTGAAAATAAAAGTCTGACTTTCTCCATCAGCCAAGCAATTCAAACTCAAGGAAGATTCTGAAAAGGTAGTAAAATATTTGCATGCTTATATATTCTTGTCATTACCATGTTCAGATTATCCCACACTGGCTGTGCTCTAGTCCTCTAGCTTTTGCTTTGCCTTGTGTGGTCTTTTATTCTCCCCTATCCTAGATTTATTTTTCTTCCCAGGAAACCTCCACTATGTACTCTTATGATTTCCCCAAATGCTGGGCTCTAATATCTGTGTAAAAAGTGGAACCATTTTTGAAGGCAAATGAGATGACATTTGTATGCTTTCTTTCTTCATCTTCCACCCCAGAAGTTAATAAGAAACTGTGTAGCTATTTGAAAAGAAAAAAAGTGGTATATTCCGAGTGTTTTAGAATTTATTAATGTACAATATTTGAGTAATCATAAAGACTCTGTGACACTCCTAATTTGTGTATTAGTATAACCAGCTTACCCATGCTTCAGTATGATTACTAAAGTTTTATAGACACAGTATACTTCTCTATAAATTGATTATTCAGAAAGATTTGATTTTATTCTAGATGGATGTGCATTCATTCTAAATCAGTGAGTAGCAATTCAAAAGAGCTATCACTTGATTTTCAGTGTCAATCAGAATTCAGAAGACCAAAGCTATACATTCCACGTAGCTCCTGGTACTCATTAACAAGTTAATAGTATTATTTACATAGTATGTCAGAGAAAGAATAACATATTTTCCCCATTTCTCCTTTAGCAGCATTTGCACACATATATAGCATGTGTAATGATGTGTGTGGGGAAATCAATCTCATCCAATTAAGCTCCCCTTCAATAGTGTCTTTCAAGTGATGAATTCCAGAGGGTGTTGCAAACGGCTGATAAAATTAATGCTAAAAAATTCTACAAGAATGTAAGTCAAATAAAGTAACTCAAGATCAGATGTGAGGTATAAAATTGAAAAATGTATCACAGAATGAGCCTCATAGAGAGAGCTCCAAGAGGAAAGTGAGTGGAAAGATCCTATCTCAGAAATGTTTTAAGCTAATGGAATCAAAGATGCATCCAGTATCAGTGGACTTCAAGATATGTCATGTAATAGAAAACTTGAAGAAGACTCACTTTTTCTATGTCAGTATGTGAATTTTAAAATATAAAAGGCAATTTATTAAAACAATTTAACATCCTAACATTTTTGTAAGATATCAAAAGCAGTGCTCCTTAGAGATATTTTCTATATGTTAGTCTATTTTCCATAAAGAATCATAATATAGTTCAGTCCTAAGATTTATGAGCTCTGTTTTTACTTGATTGTTAAATTTAATTTTAGTTCAGGTATTTGAGAAATCTGTTTCTTCTTATCTGTCTCATAAACACAAACACACACACAAGCACTCACACAGTATTTTATGAGTAGCAATTATAGTTGGCCCTCTGTCTGCACAGGTGCCACATCCACAGATTCAAACAACTGCAGATCAAAAATAAATGGAAAAAATTTAAATAACCATACAACGATAAAAATAATACAAATAAAAATACATTCTAACAACTATTTACATTGCATTAGGTATTATACCTAATCTACAGATGATTTCAACTACACAGGAGGTTGTTGGTAGGTCATATGCAAATACTATGCCATTTTATATTAGGGTCTTGAGCATCCCAGGCTTTGGTATGCATGGAGGTCTTGGAACCAGTCATCCACAGATACCAAGGGATGACTGCCCAGTTTCATATTCACACAATTATTAGATTACTATTTTTCTTGACTTAGACCTATAGACATAGTAACATTTTTATAAACAGTATTAAAATCAATAAAAAGAATTTGAATATTTTCATGAAATTTAACACATCTTTTGACTTAGTAACATTGTCAAGAGATTAAAACATTCTGAAGTGTCAAATGTATTTTTCTTTAATTTTTTTTGAATGACAGTAATGACCAATATCCTCTATTCTTCAAATACCAAGCAACCCTCAAAAGATATCTACATAAATGCCCACATGTGAAAAGCATGGTTTTAATTCTGATAGATTATTTTTGAAGTATCATTCTTACAATGTGAGAAAAATACTTAATAAAAGGTATTAAAATCAAAAGCTGTTTAAATATGACTTTCATAAATGAGTAAATAGAAACTTTAAGAGAAAATGAAATATTCATGGTTTATGAGTCTATCTCCAAGGCAAGCTTAAGGTTTTACTGAGAACCCAAACTCTAACATCTTTATGTTTCCAACACCCAACCTAATGCCTAATGTAGAGCAGTGTTTAATGACTGAATGTGGAATAAAAGAATACATAGGTGTCACACCTGTAATCCCAGTACTTTCAGAGGCTGAGGCAGGAGGATAACCTGAGGTCAGAATTTCAAGACCAGCCTGGCCAACACGGCCAGATGCTGTCTCTACTAAAAATACAAAAATTAGCTGGGCGTGGTGGCAGGCACCTGTAATCCCAGCTACTTACGAGGCTGAGGCAGGGGAATTGCTTGAACCAAGGAGGCGGAGGTTTCCATGAGCTGAGATCATGCCATTGCACTCCAGCCTGGGCAACAAGAGCGAAACTCCATCTCAAAAAAAAAAAAAAGAAATAAAAAAGAACACATAGGTGTAATAATCTACAAATTATCCTCTCCGTGTCCACCATTATTTCCATTTTGAGGGAAATTATTTATTTTTGGACACTTCTTCCAAAATATGAGACTTCTTCCTTGGCTCAGACAGGCAATTCATTGTTTGAATAACATGAATCCATAATGCTTGTATACACAGAAACATAATAATGCCTCATGAACCTAGAAGCCAATCTTCATGTAACTTAAAAGCATGTAGAAAGCCTGAGCCAGAAAAACAGACACTGGTAGGATGGACAGCTTCTGGAAAACGTTGTTGAAGAAGCTTCCGAGACTGTGTCTGACATAAAGCCACTGGCTAGTTCACTGACCAGAAAAAAACAAGTTTGATTTTAAAGCCAAGTTGCTGGTGTGCAAGCCAAGGTGATGGAAGAAATGGAAGAAATAAAGAGAAAAAAAATAAGTGAACACAACAAAGGGAACAGATCAGCAAGGAGCAGCAGCAATAGCAGCAAGATGGTGGCAGTAAAGGAAATGAAAAAAAAAAAAAAAAAGGAAGGCAAATTGTAATGGCAGTATGGTACTCACCTTTGTTTTTCCCAAGGGCATCACTGTGCCACAGTTAAGACTGTAGGAACTCAGGCGGAAAAAAACAACAACAAGACTGTAGGTATGCAAATGGTTTCATATATGTCTATAGAAAGCATTTAGAGAGAAGGCAAGCTAAATTTCACTCATTTTTATTGTCTCAAAGCACATCAATATTCAAGTAGTGTCATGCTTAAGGCAACCCAACAGCTGTCTGTGGCCCATTCACTATTGTTAGATAAGAGTTCACTTTAATAGGGTAGAGTGCTGATGTCAGTGCTGCAGTAGACAGTTATCAGGTGATGCATATAAACTGTCCTACACCATGATTCAAAACTTCCCCATTGCCAGCAAACATCTCTCTTTGTACTCAGTGCAAATTGAAGAACCAAAGGATTTTGCATGCAAACGCTCTTGACTGAGCTGTGTGAGACACAATATTAGAAGGCTAGGTGTAACTGTTTTTTTTTTTAAACAAACAAACAAAAAACAAAAAACAGAACGCCATGAAGTTACAAAACAATTTTACCGCTTTCCCCTTTTGAAAACTGCCTAGTCCCATAAATAGTTTTTTTTTTTTAAATGTTGATGATGTTGGCCTATTTTGGCAAAGCTTTCTAAATTCTAGCCCAGCCAGTGGATCAAGTGCCTGAGGGTATAAGAAGAATAAAAAAAGCCAAACTGCTATCATATGTGCAAATATTTCAGGCTTCTACAAAATCAAACTCCTAATGATGGAAAAATTCCACTGTCTAGAGTTTTCATAGGTGTCACAATTTCTATATTACTTCTAGAGTGTAAGCTGTTTCATAAAGGAACAGAGAATTTGTTCAATTTCCTTCACAATGTATTTATTTGTTTTCACACTGCTATAAAGAAAACTACCTGAGACTGGGTAATTATAAAGGAAAGAGGTTTGTTTAATTGACTCACAGTTCTGCAGGCTTAACAGGAAGCATGGCTAGTAGGCCTCAGAAAACTTACAATCATGGTGGAAGGTGAAGGGGAAGCAACCACGTCTTACATGGTGGCAGGTGAGAGAGGAAGCGAAGGGGGAAGAGCTTCTTATAAAACCATTAGATCTTGTGAGAACTCACTATTATGAGAACAGCATGGGGGAAACTGCCCGCATGATTCAATCACCTCCCACCAGGTCCCTCTCTCAACACCTGGGGATCACAATTTGAGATAAGCTTTGGGTGGGGACAAAAAGCCAGGCCATACCAATAATAATATTCTTGACTTTATTTCTGATCCCAGACCAAGAGTGAACAAGAATGAGCTGACCCCAGAGAAAGGGCAGAGGAGATTATGCCAGTTAAGGTTTTAGTATTGAAAGCCATATTCTGGGAAGCTTTCGGTCTTGGGCAAATCAGGATGGTTGCTCACACTAGCTCCTAGTATATTTTCTTTCTTTTTTCCAGGAGCTATTTGCAGATGTGCATCAGAAACCTGAGAAGTAGGGCAATGCTGTTGATAAAACCTAAGGAGCATAACCAAAAGAAAGGACTTGATAGTATTTTAGATGATGTAGGGTTGTGGTTCTCAACCTTGGCTGTGCATTGACATCACCTGGGGAGCTTTAAAAACTACTAGTACCTGTGTCCTAACACCAGAAATCTTGATGTAATTGTTCTGGGATGTGGGCTCTACAAGTTCCCCAGGTGAATCTAATGTGTAGCCAAGGTTGAGAACTACTGACATGGCGACATTTAAGTGTTTTCTCTATTTCCTGTGTTAAGTCTCCAACTTTAATATATATTTTTCATTTTTTACTTTAAATTTTTTATTTTTTAATTTTTGTAGGTACATAGTAGGTGTATATATTTATGGGGTACATGGGATATTTGATACAGGCATGCAATGTGTAGTAATCACATCTGGGTACATGGGGTATCCATCACCTCAAGCATTTATCCTTTGAGTTAAAAACAAAATTATACTCTTAGTTATTTTTAAATGTACAATTAAACTATTGTTGACTATAGTCACCCTGTTATGCTAGAACATACTAGATCTTATTCATTCTTTCTAACTATTTTTTAGACCCATTAACTGTTTCCCCAACACCCCAAACCCACTGCCCTTCCCAGCCTCTGGTAACCATCCTTCTACATTCTGTCTCTATGAGTTTAATTGTCCTAATATTTAGTTCCCACAAATAAGTGAGAAGATGAGAAGTTTTTCCTTCTGTGCCTGGCTTATTTCACTTATCATAATGATCTCACATTCTAACCATGTGGTTGCAAATGATGGAATCTCATTCTTTTTTACGGCTGAATAGTACCATTGTATATATGAACCCCATTTTGTTCATTCATCTGTTGATAAACACTTAGGGTACTTCCAAATCTTGGCTGTAAGTGGTATTGCAATAAACATGGGAATGTAGACATCTCTTCAATATACTATTTTCTTTTTTGTGGGGGAGAGGGTGGGCATATACCTAGCAGCGGGATTGCTGGATCATATGGTAGCTCTATTTTTAGTGTTTTGTGGAACCTCCAAATTTCTCCATAGTGATTGTACTAACATTCCCACCAACAGAGTATGAGGGTTCCCTTTTCTCCACATCTCACCAGCATTTATTATTACCCATTTTAGAATAAAAATTACCTTAAGTGAGGTGAGATGATATCTCATTACAGTTTTGATTTGCATTACTCTGATAATCACTGATTTTGAACACCTTTTTATAAACCTGTTTGCCATTTGTATTGTCTTATTTTGAGAAATGTCTATTCAGACCTTTTGCTCATTTATTAATCTGATTATTAGATTTTTTCCTATAGAGTCGTTTGGGCTCCTTAAACATTCTTGTTATTAACCCCTTGTCAGATAGGGCCTTTGCAAATATTTTCTCCTATTCCGTGGGTTGTCTCTTCACTTTGTTGATTGATTACTTTTTTGTGCAGAAGCCTTTTTAAATTGAAGTGATCCTATTTGTTCATTTTTGCTTTGGTTGCCTTTGCTTGTGGGGTATTACTCAAGAAATCTTTGCTCACTCCAATGTCCTGGAGACTTTCCCCATTGTTTGTACTTAGTAATTTTATAGTTTGAAGCCTTATATTTAAGTCTTTATTTCATTTTGATTTTATTGTTGTACATGGAAAGAGATAGGGATCTAGTTTCATTCTTCTGCATATGAATATACAGTTTTTCCAGTACCATTTATTGAAGAGATTGTCTTTTCCCCAGTGTATATTCTTGTCACCTTTGTCAAAAATGAGTTTGCCGTAGGTGTAGGTGTACAGAATTGTTTCTGGGTTCTCTATTCCATTCCAGTGGTTTATGTGTCTGTTTCTATGCCAGTACCATGCTGTTTTGCTTATTACAACTCTATAGTATGATTTGAAGTCTGGTAATATGATTCCCACAGTTTTGTTCTTTTTGCTCAACATAGGTTTGGCTATTCTGGGTCTTTTGTGGTGTCATATAAATTCTAGGATAGGTTTTTCTATTTACGTGAAGAATGTTATTGGTATTTTGATAGGGATTGCATTAAATATGTAGATTGCTTTGCTTACTATAGGCATTTTAACAATATTGTTTCTTCCAATCCATGAACATGGAATATCTTTCCATTTTTGGTGTTCTCTTCAATTTCTTTTATCAGTGTTTCATCAGTGTTTTATACTTTGCCCTTTATTTCTTCAATTTATTTTATCAGTGTTTTATAGTTTTTATTGAAGAGATCTTTCACTTCTTTGGTTAATTTACAGGTATTTTATTTGCAGATATTTTAAATGGGATTACTTTCTTGATTTCTTGTTCAGATTGTTTGCCACTTGCATATTGAAATGTGACTAATTTTTGTATGCTGATTTTGTATCCCACAACGTTACTGAATTTGTTTATTAGTTCTAAGAGTTTTTGGTGGAGTCCTTAGGTTTTTCCAAATACAAGATTATGTCATCTACAAACAAAGATAATTTGACTTCTTCCATTCCAGTTTGGATGTCCTTTATTTCTTCTCTCCTCTGAGTTTTATAGCTAGGATTTCCAGTACTATGTTGAATAACAGTGGTGACAGTGGTCATCCTTGTCATGTCCCAGATATTAGTAAAAAGGGTTTCAGTTTTTCCCAATTCAGGATGATACTAGCTGTGGGTCTGTCATATATGGCTTGTATTATGTTGAGGTATATTCCTTTTATACCCAGTTTTTTTAGGGTTTTTTCATGAAGTGATTTCGCATTTTGTCAAATGCTTTTACAGCATCAATTGAAATGATCATATGTTTTTTGTCTTTCATTGTGTTGATATGATGTATCTCATTGATTAATTTGTGTATGTTGAATCATCCTTGCATCCCTGGGATAAATCCCCCTTAGTTATGATGAATGCCTTTTTAATGTGTTGTTGAATTCAGTTTGCTAGTATTTTTTTGAGAACTTTTGCCACAATATTCATCACAGATACTGGCCTGCAGTTTTCTTTTCCGTTTCTTTCTTTCTTTTTTTTCTTTTCTTTTTTCCCTTTTTTTTTTTTTTTTTTTTTTTATGTCTTTGTCTAGTTTGGGCATCAGGGTAATATTTGGCCTTGTAGAGTGAGTTTTTAAGTACTCCTTCCTCTTCTATTTTTTGAAATATTTTCAGTAGGATTGGTGTTAGTTCTTTAAATGTTTGGTAAAATTCAGCGTGAAGCCATTGGGTCTTGGGGTTTTTTATGCTGGAAGACCTTTTATTGCAACTTCAATCTTGTTATTTGTTGTTGGTCTGTTCAGAGTTTGGGTTGCTTCATGTTTCAATCTTGGTAGGTTGTATGTGTCTAGGAATTATCCATTTCTTCTAGGTTTTCTAATTTATTGGCATATGTTTGTTCTTAGTAGCCATTAATGATCCTTTGAATTTCTGTGCTAGCTATTATAATGTCCCCCTTTTCATTTCTTATTTTATTTATTTGGGTCTTCTCTCTTTTTTTCTTAGTGTAGGTACAGGTTTGCCAATTTTTTTTCTTTTCAACACACCAACTTTTCATTTCATTGATGTTTTGGATTGTTTTCTTTGTTTCAATTTAATTTATTTCTGCTTTGATATTTATTCTTTCTTTTCTTCTCCTAAATTTGGGTTTGGTTTGCTCTTGCTTTTCTAGTTATTTAAGATGCATCATTAGGTTATTTGAAGTTTTTTTTCTCTTACGATGTGGGCACTTGTATCTATTAACTTCCCTTTTAGTACTGCTTTTGTTGCATCTCATAGTTTTTGGAATGTTGTGTTTTCATTATCATTTGTTTAAATTTTTTTTCCAATTTCCTTCTTAATTGCTTCATTGACCCACTGGTTATTCATAAACTTACAGTTTAATTTCCATGTGTTTGTATAGTTTCCAAAATTCATCTTATTATTGATTTTTAGTTATATTCCATTGTCGTCAGAGAAGAAATCTGATATTATTTCAATATTTTAAAGACTGTTTTAAGACTTGTTTCATGACTGAGCATATGGTCTATTCTTGAGAATGTCCCAAGAACTGAGAAGAAATATGTGTATTCTACAGCTATTGGATGAAATGTTCTGTAAATATCTGTTAGATCTATTTGGTCTATAGTGCAGATAGAGTTCATTGTTGCTTTGTTGATTTTTTGTTAGGAAGTTCTGTCCAGTGTTGAAAGTGGAGTGTTAAATTCTCCAACTATTATTGTATTGGGGTCCATCTCTGTCTTTAGCTCTAATAATATTTTCTTTATGTCTATGGGTGCTCCAGTGCTGAGTGCATATATATTTATAATTGTTATATTCTTTTCCTGAATTGACCTCTTTATCATTATGTAGTGTCTTTTTTGTCTCTTCTTATAGTTTTTGCTTTGAAATATATTTTGTCTGATATAAGCGTAGCTACTTCTGCTGTTTTGAAATTTCCATTGGCATGAAATATCTTCTTTAATCCCTTTATTTTCAGTTTGTGTGTCTTTATAGGTGATGTGTATTCCTTGTAGGCAACAGATTATTGGGTCTTGTTCTTGTATTCATTCAGCCACTCTATGTCTTTTGATTGGAGATTTAGTCCATTTACATTTAGTTATTATTAATAAGTAAGGACTTTTCCTCCTGCCATATTATTACTTGTTTTCTGGTTGTTTTGTGGTTTGTCTTCCTCCTTTCCTTCAATCCTATCTTCCTTTTAGTGGAGGTGATTTTCTCTGGTGATATAGAATTTAATTTCTTGCTTTTTATTTTTTATGCATCCATTGTATGTTTTTTGGTTGGTGATTACCATGAGGCTTGTAAATACTACATTATAACCCATGATTTTAAATTGATGACAACTGAACACAGATTGTGTAAACAAACAAACAAGTAAAAAGAAAACTAATAAAAACTCTTCTCACTTCATCCTCCTTTTTACCTTTTATTCTGTTTATATCTTATTGTACTGTCTCTGCCTTATAAAGTTGTTTTAGTTATTATTTTTGGTTGATTCATCATTTAGTCATTCTACTTAAGAGTAGTTTACCCACCACAATTACAGTGTTGTAATAGTCTATGTCTTTCCACGTACTTACTATTACCAGTGAGTTTTGTACCCTGAGATGATTTCTTATTGCTCGTTAACATTCCTTTCCTTCCGATTGAATAACTCCCTTTAGCATTTCTTATAAGATGCAGCTAGTGTTGATGAAATCCATCAGCTCTTGTTGATGAAATCCATCAGCTCCCAAACAAGGGAATTCAAACATTCCCTCATGTTTGAAGGATATTTTCACTGGATATATTATTCTAGGGTAAATTTTTTTTTTCCTCCAGCACTTTAAGTTGTCATACCACTCTCTCATGGCCTTTAAGGTTTGCTCTGAAAAGTGTGCTGCCAGATATATTGGAGCTCCATTGTATGGCACTTGCTTCCTTTCTCTTGCTGCTTTTCCTTTCTTTATTCTTGACCTTTAAGAGTTTGGTTATTAAAAGCCTTTAAGTATTCTTTGGGTTAAACCTGCTTGTTGTTCCATAAACTACTTGTACTTAAATATTTATATCTTTCTTTAGGATTGGGAAGTTATCTGTTATCCCTTTGAGTAAATTTCCTACCACTATCTCTTTCTCTATTTCCTTTTTAAGGTCAATAACTTAGATTTTCCCTTTTGAAGTTATTTTCTAGATCTTGTAGGTATGTTTTATTCTTTATCTTTTGTCTCTTGTGACTGTGTATTTTCAAGCAGCCTGTCTTCAAGCTCACTAATACTACCTTCTGCTTGATCAATTCTGCTGATGGGAGACTCTGATTCATTCTTCAGGTTCAGAATTTCTGCTTGATTCTCTTTAATTATTTCAATCTCTTTGTTAAATTTATCTGATAGAATTTTGAATTCCTCCTCTGTATTATCTGAAATTTCTTTGAGTTTCCTTGAAACAGCTATTTTGAATTCTTTATCTGAAAGGTCACATATCTCTGCTTCTCCACGATCAGCCTCTGGTTCCTTATTTAGTTCATTTGGTAAGGTCTTGTTTTCTAAGCGGTCTTGATGCTTGTGGATGTTGATCAGAGTCTGAGCATTGAAGTGTTAGGTATTTATTGTAGTCTTCCCAGTCTGGGCTTGCTTATACCCGTCCTTCTTGGAAAGGCTTTCCAAGTATTCAAAGGGTCTTGGGCATTGTGGTATAAGTTGTATATGCATTAGGGGCACTGCAAGCCCAGTAATGCTGTGATTTTTTTCCAGACACATGGAGGTACTGCCATGGTGGCCTTAGATAATATCTGGAAAAATTATACGGATTACCAGATTATTACCAGAGATTATTGTTCTCTTCCCTGACTTTCTCCCAAACTCTGTGCTGAGCCACCTCGAACTTGGGGTGGTTGGACACATGCACCCCTGTAGCCAGCACCACTTGGACTATGCTAGATCAGTCTTAAAGCTAGTACAGAACTGAATATGGCCCAAGGCCCCCTGTAACCACTATCTGGCTACTGCCTATGTTTGCTCAAAGATCTAGGACTCTACAATCAGCAAGTGGCAAAACCAGCCAGTCTTATGTCCTCTCTTTCAGAGTGACAAGTTCCCCCAGGCCCCACATGTGCACAGAGATGCTATTTGGGAGCCAGGGACTGGAGTCTAACACCTTAGGACTCTACCTGGTACTCTATTCTATTGTAGCTAAGCTGGCACGCAAACCACAATACAAAGTCCTTCCTGCTTTTCCCTCCCCTTTTCACAGTCAGAGGAGACTTTACCCATGGCCACCACTATCACAGATCATGGTTAGGGGGTACTGCCAGGCTACTGCCAATGTTCACTTAATGCCCAAAGATTCTTCACTCAGTTTGTGGTGAATGCTTCCAGGCCTTGGATTCACCGTTCATGGCAGTGGGCTCCCCTCTGGCCCAGGGCAGGTCCATAAATGTCATCTAAGAGCCAAGGCCTAAAATTAAAGACCCTAAGAGCTCATACGGTGCTCTATTCCACTATGGCTGAGCTCATACCTGAAGCCAGCATGTCTCAAAATCTCACTGAAAGCCCATGGCTTACTATCTGCAAGTATTGCTGCTTGCTCTTCAGGGTACAAGAGCTCTTCAGTCAGCAGGTGATGAATCTTGCCAGGATTGCACCCTTCCTTTAAGGCAGTAGGTTCCCTTCTAGCCCATGGTATGTCTAGATATGTTATGCATGAACTAAGCCCTGGAATCTGGGCCTTATAAGTCTGTCTGGCACCCTATCCTACTGTGGCTGAGCTGGTATCCAAGATGCTAGACAAAGACCCCTTTACTTTTCCTTTTGCTTTTCTCAAGCAGAAGGAGTCTCTCCTCGCAGACCCCACAGCTGTGAATATGCTGGGACTCATCTGAAGCTGGTCCATTTCAGAGTCTCATCCAAGGTCTACAGTGTACTACCTGGGTATTGCTGTTTGTTATTTAGGGCCCAAGGGCCTGAGTATCACTGTTTGTTATTTAGGGCCCAAGGGCTCTTAATCAGCAGGTGATGAATCCTGCCAGGCCTGGGTTTTTCATTTCAAGGAAGTAGGTTTCCTTCTGGACCAGGATGTGTCTAGATATGTTGTCTAGGAGCTAGGACCTGGAATAGGGACCTCGTAACTCTGCCTTATGCCTCTTCTACTGTAGCTAAATTGGTATCCAAGATGCAAGAAAAAATCTTCTTTACTATTTCCTCTCCTCTTCTCAAGCAAAATGAAGGAATGCTGCCTGGGCTTGTGGAAGGGTGCAACCACTCCCTTGGCTGCCCTCACTGGTGTCTCTGTAGGTCTCATGTCCCCTTGTCCACTGGCTCTGAGCTCAGCTCAGTGCTAGAAGTTGCCTATGAATTGTAGTTCTTGTGGCCTAGACTGCTTTTCAAGTTTATATGCAGCTCCAGAGCAGTTTAGCCTGTGGTGGCCAAGGCTCCCCAAAACTCAAGTTCCACCTGCTGGGATGGGCTATTCCCCTCTGGCTAGGGCTGTTCCAATTGTTCCCTCCGTGGGCAGGCATTGGCTGAGTTCAGCAGTTTTACTTTCTGCTGTGACAGGACAGCGCTAAGTTCAAAGCAGCGTGCTATAATTGCAGTTCTCTCTCTCTCTAACAAATGCATAGATTCTCTGTGACATGCAGCTGCTGCCAGGGGATGGGGGATTTTGTCAGTGATACAAAACTGTCTTTCCTACCCTCTTCAGTGCCTCTTTCAGTGATATGATGTTAAAGTCAGGTACTGTAATAGGTCACCTGATTTTTGGTTCTCATGAAGGTGCTTTTTTGTATAGACAGTTGTTGAATTTGGTGTTCCCATGGTGGGGATGATCAGTGAAAGATTCTATTCTACCATCTTTCTCTGGCCTTCTGTATCCAACATGAATATATTTTGAGTTAATGATACTGAGTCCTATTTAATACCAATTAGTGACATAATATTTAAAGTTCACCTTATTTAATATCAATGATCACATGAAATAGCCTGTGAAAAAGATTAACATGAACTGGTTTAACAGAGTTCTCATTTTATCTTCAATTTTTGAAGTATGTATTTAGTTATTAATCTGATTAATTGCAACCAAAGAATTTAAATTATGCATTTTTACAATTAAGCCTTTTAAAAATATGACCCTTTTATATTTCACATGTAATAGTTAACAATCTTAATTTTTTAAAGAACAGTTCCAGTCCCAAATGACTAATTTTTCCTTTCAGAAAATTCATAATCTCTACTTAACCTATTAATTACTCAACAATGAGAGTTATTGAGTAGTTTGACATTCATAATATTTAACAGCCAGTAAGGGGCAAGAATTGACCAATTACCGAAAGCTTACATTTGAGCAGGATCCTGAGTAAACCCTAATGGGACAGAAATAAACCATTAATTGCTGAATCAAAATGTGGTGCTGGGGGACCACAACCATGTCTGAAATTGATACTGGGGGGTTTTGCACAATGTTATTTAGCTAGCCAGAAGTATCTAAGTATTTAACAATTGATATTGCTTTCCAAATATACATTTGCTAAATCCTAACCCAATAAATGGTTAATCACAATTTTTATTTAAAAAGTCCACAATAAAAAATTTCAGTAGTGAAGCCAATGATAGAGGATATCAATCCAATGCTTCATTCACTATGTTAAACAATTTTGTAGCTACCATTTTGTTTTGCAATGGGGAAAGCGGGGAAAGCATATAATCTTTCAGTTCAGACCTGGCTATTAATTCCAGCTTTGCCACTTATCTTGAGTAAAGTGCCTTTTTTAAACAACGTTCCCATCATTGTTTATGTTTTATGAGGATTAAATGAAGGCAGGAATCTAGAATCTTATTACATATTTAATGAATAGTAGCTATATTTATTATAATAGTGAAGATTTTCCAGCTTCTATTGAGATATTTTTATTGCTCACTATACTGCTATTCATCTCTAGCTGCCAGAAAGTTGCACCTTATTACAGTAGATTGTACTTTTTTTGTTCAAAGTATTCATTATTCTTCCCCATGAAAGGAGTATTTATCTTCACCCATTTAATATCAAGTGTTACCATATGAGTTGCTTCGGCCAGTAAAGTATGAACGAATGTGCCATGTGCCACTTTCAGAGAATAGCTTGAAGTGTCAAAATTCAAGTCTGCCTTTAAACATTTTCTCCTTACAAGATTATCAATGTCTCAGATAGAAGCTTCTTGGCTGGCCTGGGTACCAGGATGAAGAACACATGGAGCAGACTAATTTACAGTGGATATATACTATGAGTGAAACTTGTAATTTCATTTTTGTAAGCCACTGAGATTTAAACTTACAGATTACTATAACACAGCATTGCCTATTATTTTTGATATGAAAATTGGTACCTAGGAGTGGGGTGCTTCCATAAGAAGAAGTTTAAATTTCGTGACTTTGGTTGCAAGATCTGGCAGTAGGTGGCAAGAAAACTGTGTTTAGAGGCTGGAAATACGTCAACTCACAGTATGCAGAGAAAATACCTTTGGTAAAACAATCCACTGGCATAACTTAGGAAGCAGATAATGTAGTGAAAGAACCTGTGCTTTAAGAATGGGTAGGGGAAATAATACTGGTTGTGTGCTTTGGTCATTTGAAATAATCATTTGAAATACTCTACAAGAAAAAGATGACCTTTAGAAAGAATTTGCCACATTGAATATGAGGATGAAAGAAAACATGAACAGGCCACAAATTCTAGAACTTTGCATGTTAGAAGATTCGACTTTTTCTGATGTCTAGCAAGTTTGGGTGTGGCTGCCAGGCCTTTTGTTAAAAACTTTATATTGATTCAGATAGCACCCAGCTAATGTTTTTAGTTGAAGAAAATGTCTCAGAACAAAGAGACTAAAGAATTGACTCTCCAATGGACTACTAAGCTTATAATTAAGTCTAGAAAGAGCCATCTCTTGAAAAGAACTGTTGGTGTGGGTATTGGCACATGGAACAAATTCAAATAAATTAAAAGTTATTGTTTTCAAAGAGTGTTACTGCCAAAGGAATACCATCTTGGATAAAAATTGACAGTAATTGTTTGAGCCTTAAACTAACCTCAGGTCCCCAGTCTTCTCTGGGAACAAAACAAGCTGAGAAAGCTGCTTATTACTCATAGCTGTGGCCTATTCAGATGTGGCCAAGAGGGGAAAGGAAGGACCTCCCAGAGGGCAGAATGAAGTGTTATACAAAACAATGGACCAGGAAGCTACTCTCCAAAACAAAAACTAAGGTCTAATCAAGGAACAATTTTCACCCTGAGAATAGAGGGCTCCTACAACATGTGTACCTCAAGATTTCAGAATTATTCTGACCCAAAGACTGCTATATGCCTCCCATTCCCCCCTCTTCCATATAAGAGCATTAACTATGATCACCCTGTACTGTTTGTTGGGTGTCAGAGGAGAATAGGAAGAATAGGGCAGATGGCTTGTCCTTTTAGTTAATAGGTCTTCAGCTTAAGCAGAATGGATGAATAAGTTGAGGTATATTCATTAAAAAAAAAAAAACTTCACAGCAATGGAAAATAACCATTGCTAAAACTCAACAAAATGGGTAACTCTTATAATATTGTTAGGTCAAACAAAATTCCAAAGAATACATGCTATATAATTTCATTTACCTAAAATTTCAAAAAACAAGCCAAACTAACATACAGTGATGAAAGTCAGAATAACAATTTCCTTTGGAGGACTGCTGACTTATAGAGCAAGTATGAGAGAGTCACTTGGGTGTTTAAAAAGTTTTATGTCTCCATTTGGGTTTGTTTACATGCATATAGATGTATGTACAATTCAAGCTGCACACTTAAATCTTGTACACTGTACCATATGTAAAATATGTCTCAATGATTTTTTTAAAGCTGTGTATATTTTTCTTGTCCTTTTCTCCCCTAAGCTTCACGTCATTTAGAGGTTCAGTCTTGTTGAAATTCTTCCTATAAGTTCACCAAAACTTTTTATTTTACTTTGACGTTTTTGCAACATTTTCATCGTTGTTTCTATCTATTTAATATGAGTTCATCTTAATGCTCCAAATGCAATATCTCTGGTTTCCTTAGACATGCACGCTTGTTTCCCTTATATTGGAACTAATTCTTCATGTCAGAATTTTATTTTAGAGAGTATAATCACTCTTCTGTTTTAATTTCTTTCTCTTTGCCCATAAGACCACATATATAATTTTTTTTTCCTTTGATTTGGGACTCTCTTTTCCTAAAACTTTTATTTAAACAGACTGATAAGCAGCATTGTTTCTCTATATCATCACGAACTCCAGTGTGATATTGTAATTTTTCTCCAGTAATTATTTCACTTCCCCATTATCAGCCAATTCACTCTAATTGGATTCAATTATTTGCAGCATGGATAAAGATAAAGAGATCAAAGGGTAGATCTAGCTGTGTGAAGCCCTAAACCAAGCCTGTTCTTATAGGGTGTCCTTACATGGTAGGAGGCTTATGCCCTGGGGAAGATTCATCTGGTGAATCTAAGGAACTATACTACTGGGTGCCAGAGCCAATTTTATAGTGAGTACTGCATGACTGAATGAGCATACTACAGAAGTGGGAATCATCCTTAATATCACCTCAAAGAAAACACTCAGCTGTGCAGAAGTCTGCACCACCAGTAATGGAGGCTACCAGAGCAGAAGTCCCAGTGTCTGAGAAAAAACAGCAATCATGATATTCCAACATGAAAGCAGCAGCAAAACCCTAGTGTTTATGCATTGTATGTATTCAGCTATGACACAGACCTCCATCTTTGGTGGCAGAGAAAGACAGTCAGTGGGAGCACATTCTAGGGTAACCAGACCTGGCAATGGTTCAGGAGTTCACCAGGCTGAAGGGTTGCATTTGAGTTTCATTTCCAGGGATAAAGTGAAAACAAATTGAGTTGGACTTTTGAATACAAGTAAGACTCCTGAGGGATTTTTTTTGGACATATGTGAATGCTAGACAAAGGACATAAAGAGGAGAGGACACATTTTCTGCTCAATTGTAAATTGAACCTTCTGAGTTACATAAATAATTTTGGGCATATTAATAATTATAGGCTGGGCATGGTGACTCGTACCTGTAACCCCAGCAGTTTGGGAGGCTGAGGCAGAAGGATCACTTGAGGCCAGGTGTATTAGTCCATTTTCACACTGCTGATATACCCGAGACATACCCGAGACATGGGTAATTTATAAAGATATACTGAGACATACCCGAGACTGGGTAATTTATAAAGAAAAAGAGGTTTAATGGATTCACAGTTCCACAAGACTGGGGAGGCCTCACAATCATGGCGGAAGGCAAAAGGCACATCTTACATGGTGGCAGGCAAGAGAGAATGAGAGCCAAGTGAAAGGGGCAACCCCTTATAAAACCATCAGAACTCATGAGGCTTATTCACTACCACAAGAACAGTATGGGGGAACCCACCCTCATGATTCAATTACCTCCCACTAGGTCCCTCCTGCAACATGTGGGAATTATGGCAGCTACAATTCAAGATGAGATTTGGGTGGGGACACAACCAAACCATATCACCAGGAGTCAGGAATTCTAGACCAGTCCAGGCAACATAGCGAGACCCTGACTCAATTTAAAAAAAAAAAGAAAGAAAAAAGAATTACAGGCTCTCTTTCTTATTCTTTCTCCATAGAATTACGCATGCCACCTTTTTCATAATAAAAGTAGTATCACAGAGTGGTTAAGAACCCAGGCTTTAGAATCAATGCTGAGTTCCAATTATTATAAGCTAGGTATTCTTAGATTATTTAATGCCTCAGACTCTCAGTTTCCTGTATTATAAAATAATATGTGCATATTGAGTGGGATAATTTATGTGAAGTACTTAGCAGAGTGCCTGGCACATATTGTAAGTTCAATAAGTTATTATTATTTTTATTATTCCATGGAATATATATCTTCCATGGTATTTATTTTTTACTTTAACATGTATGTTTTCATGCTCTTACCATCAAGTTTCAGTTTATATATATATCTTAATAATATTAACGAACGTCTTTCCAGTTTTCATGCAGCACATATTGGCTCTTGGCACAAAATATTCTAAATACTTTATATAGTTTTGTGCTAGAGTGTGCTAGATTATGCTTGGTTTTTAAAATTTAAACTCAGAAAAAAATTAGTTAGATTTAAGATGTGCTTAACATATTCCTTGATAGTAAAAAATTTACTAGTATTAAAAAATAAGACTGGTTTATCAAAACAATTTAGAATGCTAATAAAAATGAAGATCACTTTCTAAAGAAAGTAGTATCTTTAATTCCTCATGTGTTTACATTAATGTTTATAGAGGATTTTTGTGCAATAAAATCTTTGTTACTACTTTGAAATCAAATATCCATAAATAAAAGGAAAAGGAGATAGAATCTCAAGGTACTAGGTATTTAATACATATTGATAAATGGGTAAATCAAAGAGCCCACAAATTCATGGCTTTTTGTTCAATAGGTAAAATATATAAATATAAAACAATTAAACATGATAAAACAATGTATATCATGAAATACTAATGATTAATCTTGGCAATTATTGTTTAAAAATTTCAAGTGCCACTGTGTTTAAAGACAAACCATACATATAAAAAGTAATTGCCTTTCTGATATCATAGAAAGAGTATACTATTCAATGTATACTAAACCAATATTTGAGTAACATTCAGGACCATGTTTCTCATGAAATCTGCTGTATCAATTGATATTGGATAAAGTTCAAGCACCTTCTCAGGGGTTGAAATCTGGATGAAGAATGAAAACAAAGATGTTGGCCAGATGTGGTGACTGACGCCTGTAATCCCAGCACTTTGGGAGGCTGAGGTGGGTGGATCACCTGAAGTCAGGAGTTTGAGGCCAGCCTGGCAAACATGGTGAAACCCCATCTCTACTAACAATACAAAAATTAGCTGGGCATGGTGTCAGGCACCTGTAATCCCAGCTACTCTGGAGACTGAGGCAGGAGAGTTGCTTGAACCCAGAGGCAGAGGTTGCAGTGAGCCGAGATCACACCATTGTACTCCAGCCTGGGCAACAAGAGCAAAACTCCATCTGAAAGAAAACAACAGCAGCAATAACAACAACAACAAAACAAAAACAAAAACAAAACAAAACAAAAAGATGTTAATATATGGCAATGTACGAAGTTAATGGTGGTAGAGAGTGATGTGAGTTTTATAGGCTACCTAACATCTCTATTAATTGTAGGAGTAGACAGCTTGTAACAAAACTTGCAGAGGATTATACATTAGGAAATGCCACAAGCACCACTGAAAAGCAAGAAGTAATTGTAGATGTAAAGACATTTATAAACAAAAACTGCCATTAAATATACTGAAAGAAGATGTATCAGTAAAAGTGAAGATTTCAAACTCAACTGTTCCCATTTTCTGAGTTTCCAAGGCAGAAAACTAAATAAGCATCTAAAAACATAAATACAATCTTTGAGGTTAATGATGATTTTTTCTAAGATTTTTAAGCATTATCCTAAGCTATTTTTAAGCATTTTTTTTAGAGCTCATCACTTTCAAGGAGATACTAAAAGCCATGTTTAGAGAGCAAATTTCACTGTGTTTGTCTGAATAGGATACTAATTTAGATGTTCCTGGTCCATATCCTGTATCTCTACACATGAGTCCTTGTTTCATTGTGGAAACAGTCATTCCAAGTTATCCTAAAAAATGGGACTATGGCCCTAAACAGCAATCCATAGGGGCAGAATTTTTACCACTTTTGTCTTCTCGTGCCAAACTGCCTGTCTGAACTGTTAGGTATTATGCAATCTCTGACATGCTTGATGCTCAACTTATCTTCCTCCTATCACCTGTTGCTGAATGATTTTTGGTTCTTTCATTTTCCTCTGGAGGTTCTCTCTAGTCTTAGCATCTAGCTGTCTCATTTAGAGTGTTCAAGAGGACTAATGCCCCATCTGATAACTGACAAATGCCACTGCCACTGTTTGGAAAATCTATTGTTGTCTCAAAGTCAACGTTTCTAAAGAGAATCCATTATTCTTTGTTGTTGTTGTTGATCCCTAAGAAGATTCCTCTAGTGACTTTTCTATTTGTCAGTGGTGACAGATTTCACCCAGGCCAACAGGAATGGAAACTAGAGTTGTCTTTGACTTTTCTGTATTCATGACCTTCTGTATTCTATTGTTCACAAAGTCTCTCTGAGCCTTCACTCCAAATTCATATTAATCTTCCTCTTTCCACTCACATTTTTACTTTTCTTGCCTAGGCCCATATCATTTCTATTTGTATGATTTTAATAGCCTTGTGGGGCAAATAAAATAAAAATAATAGGTTTAATGTTACTATAAAAGTAAGCACATATAACTAAAGAAAAATGATTGTCACTATGTCACCCTTCCATAAAAGAATACTCAAATGCTCAAGGATAGAGAAAAACAAACAAACAAACAGGCAAACAAACAAAACAAGGTCAATTTAATACAACCTAGATATACCTGGGGTTCATAAGCTTTTACCAGAAGTGAAGGTCTGGTTTTTCATGGTTTTGACCATGTATTATTACATACCCTTGGGTGAAGACCGATCAGCATTAGGATTATTACTAAAGAAGAGCAGGGCTGGGTTCACATAAATATATGATAAATGCATGCTTAAATAAGGAGATATGCAGGTACTGAGGGCATCCCAGGGAGTGAACACACTATGTGAGGGTGGCAACTTGGAAGAAGATGAGAGCAAAAACAAGGGAAGCAGTGTTTAATTCATTTTCATCTTTTAAAATAATAGTAAATATGTTTTAAGCATTTAAAATATATTGAGAAAAAATACAAACTAATTATACACATTTTGTCCTCACAACAGCCCCATGACATAGATATGTTTTAACTCCATTTTTATAATTGATGGATGAGGATCCAAATATATCCCAAATGTGGACCCTTCTCTCTGTATCTATAACTACCACCATGGCCCAAGCTCCCATTGTCTCTCTTTGTAATGCTCTCCTAATCTGTCCCCCTGCACCCACTTTTGCCCTCATTGATCCTTCTTACTGAAGAATCTAGAGTGATCTTTCAAAAATTCATATCATATCACATCATTCCTCTAATTTAAATCTTTCAGAGGCTTCCTCTATGGTCTGAAAGTGTCCCTTCAAAATTGGTATGTTGAAACCTAATTGCCAAAATGATAGTAGTAACAGGTGTGGGCCTTTAGGAGGTGATTAGATCATGAAGACAGAGCCCTCATGAATGGTATTAATGCCCTTATAAATGAGGCCCTAGGGAGATAGTTTGTCCTTTCTACCATGTGAGGACACAGGGAGAAGGCTGTATGAGGCACCAGCCCTCACTAGACACTGAATCTGCAGGTACATTATTCTTGGACGTCCCAGCCTCCAGAATTGTATCCCATAGGTTTTGGTAGGTTGTGTTTCCATTTTCATTTGCTTCAAGAAATTTTCCAATTTCCTTCTTAATTTCTTCATCGACCCACTGGTTATTCAGGAACATATAAATGGTGGTTGTTTATAAGCCATCTAGTCTATGGTATTTTGTTATTAGCAGCCTGAACAGACTAAGATATTTCCCATTGTATTTAGAATAAAATCTAAAGTTCCTCATAATTGGTACAAGACTCTGTGTAATCTGATGCTCATTTCTTTCTCTTCCCACATTTCTTGTCAAACTCACATTCTTTACAGTGCCTTTGCTACATTGGCCTCAGGTTACTTCCTCTAATGTCCAGATTCTTCCTTCCTTGGGGGTTTTGCCCAAATTATTCCCTTTGCCTCAAACATTTTTGTCCCAATCCTTTAGTTTGCTCATTTCTACTCATTCTTCAGGTTTTAGCGTAAACTTTACTTTCTCAGAATGCCCTTGTTTTGTTTTTATTTTAGAAAGTGTTTTCCTTGTTTGATTTTTAAATCTTGGTTTATTAAGGTCTAATATAAATACAGTAAAATTTATTGTTGATGACATTTAGTAAATGTAAACTGTCATATAACCACCAATAATCAAATATAGAATATTTTACTTTATTTCAAATAATCTTTTGTGTCCCTTTGAAATCAGTTCCCTTTCCCAACTCCTAGCCCTTGGCAACCACTAATTTCTGTCCCTATAAATATGCCTTTTCCAGAATGTTATATAAATGGAAGCATACATAATATAACCTTTTATGTCTGGCTTGTTACTTGTCATAATTATTTTGAGATCCATCTATTTTGTTGCATGTGTGCATCATAATTTGTTTATCTGCTCACCAGTAAATGGAAATTTGGGTTGTTTCCAGTTTGGGGCAATAATGAATAAAACTACCATAAATAATTGGCACAGATTTTTATGTGAATATATGTTTCATTTTTCTTGGTAAATACCTAGAAGTAAAATTATTTAGACATGTAAAATGTATATTTATTGTTATAAAAATTGCCAAAAACTGCTTTCCAGAGTGTCTGTGCCTTATTGCATTACATTAGAAATACGTGAGGGATCAGTTGCTGTTTACACTTGCCAGCATTTAATATTGTCAGTTTTTAAATCTTATTTTTATAAGTGTGTAATAAATATACAGTTTTATTTTGCATTCTCTTGATCAGTAAAATTGAATATATTTTAATGTGTATATTTGCTATCTGTAACTCACCTTTGATAACCTATCTTCAAATATTTTTCCTACTTTTATTGAGTTGTGAAAAGTTCTTTGCATATTATTAATAAAAAATCTGTATCAGATATATGTTTTGCAAATAGTTATTCACAGACTGAGTTATCTTTTCATTTTTTAAGTATATTTACAAAAGCAGAAGTTTTACATTTGAAAAATTCTATTTATCAGTCTTTTATGGTTCTTTTTATGATTTCTGTTTTTGTATTTTTACATCGCCAAAGGTGACCGAAAAGTATCTGCTCTGTATTTATTTTCTAGAATTTTATGGTCTTGGGTTTATGATCCATTTTCAGTTGACTTTTGTATTTTAGCCTATGGATAGAGAATTTTTGGTACATAAATATTTATTGTTTTGGTTTTGAATAACTATATAATGTCTAAATTAACAGGTATGGACCTTTGGGGGATGATTAGATCATGAAGATAGAACCCTCATGAATGGTAATAATGCCTTTATGAAAGAGGCCCTAGGGAGATGGTTTGCCCTTTCCACCATGTTAGGACACAGGGAGAAGGCTCTATCTTCTACATGTTTGGGGAACTCATGAATGAACTGCAGCTGACATATTCAAATCTTAGCTATACTCTTCAATGCATACTCTGCACTAGCTCTTGTTTAATCTACCTAAACATAATATTAAGTCACTTCCTCACTGAAAACATGAAGTGATGAATGCCCACAAAACACAGTATTAACTCCTCAGTTTAGCTTTTAAGGTCCTTCATAATCTGGGCCTAACCTATATGATATAGTTTGGATATTTGTTTCCACCCAAATCTCATGTTGAAACGTAAGTTCTGATGTTGGAAGTGAGGCCTGGTGGGAGAGGTTTGAGTTATGGAGGCAGATCCCTCATGGCTTGGGGCTATCCTCACAGTAGTGCATGGGTTGTTACAATATCTCATTGTTTAAAAGTCTGTGGCAACTCCCCACCTTTCTCTTGTTCCTGCTCTCACCATGTGCTACACAATCTCCTGCTTCATCGTACGCCATGATTGTAAGCTTCCTGAGATCTTCACCAGGAGCTGAGCACATGCTAGTGCCATGCTTCCTATAGAGCCTGCAGAATCATAAGCCAATTAAACTTCTTTTCCTTATCAATTACCCAACCTCAGATATTTCTTTATAGCAACAAAAGAATGGCCTAACACTGAAAACTGGTGCCAAGAGTGGCATGCTGCTGTAATGATACCTGAAAAGGTGGAGTCAACTTTGCAGCTGGGTAATAGGCAGGAGTTGGAAGAGATTGGAGGTCTCACAAGAAGACAGAAAGATGAGGAAAAGTTTGGAACTTCATAGAGACTGGTTAAATGGTTATACCAATATGATGATATAGTGATATGGACAGTGGAGTCCACGCTGATGAGATCTCAGATAGAAATGAGGAACTTATTGGGAAGTGGATCAAAGGTCACTTGTGTTCTGTCTTAGCAAGGAGCTTGACTGAATTCTGTTCATGCCCTAGAGATCTATGGAAATTTGAACTTTAGAGTGATGATATAAGATATAGCGGAAGTTCACATTTGAACTTAAGAGGGATAATATAGGATATCTGGCAGAAGAAATTTATAAGCAGCAAAGCACTCAAGAATGGTGTGGCTGCTTCTAACAGGCTATTCTTAGATGTAAGAGTAAACAAATGACTTAAAGTTGAAATTTATATTTAAAAGAGAAGCAGAGCAAAAAAAGTTTTGAAAACGTGCAGCCTGGTTATGTAGCACATAAATAAAAAGCATTATCAGGAGAAGAATTCAAATAGGCTGCACAGCAACCACTTCCTAGGAAGATTTGTATGACTGAAAGTAAGCCAGGTGCTGATAGCCAAGACAATGGGAAAAAGGCCTTGAAAGCTTTTCAGAGATCTTCAGGGCAGCCCCTCCCATCACAGATCCAGAGGTCTAGGAGGAAAGAATGGTTCTGGGGGCCAGGTCTGGGGCCCTGCAGCTTTGGGACACTGCTCCTTACATCCTGGCCACTCCAGTTCCAGTCATGGATCAAAGGGCCCCAGGTACAGCTGGGGCCACCACTCTGGAGGGCACAGGCTGTAAGCCTTGATGGGTTCCATGTGGTGTCAAGCCTGTGTATGCACAGAGTGCAAAAGTAAAGGAGGCTTGGAAGCTTCTGCCTAGATTTCAGAGGATGTATGAGAAAGCCTGGGTGCCTAGGCAGAAGTCTACTGAAGGAGTGGAGCTCTCACAGAGAACCTCTACTAGGGGAGTGGTAAGGGAAAATGTAGAATTGGAGCCCCACACAGAGCCCCCACTGGGGTACTGCCTAGCAATGCTGTGGGAAGGGGGCTGCTGTGCTCCAGACCCCAGAATGGTAGAATCACCAGAAGCTTGCAACCTCAGTATGGAAAAGCCACAGTGATAGAGCTGCTCAAGGCCTTGGAATCCCACCCCTCATACCAGTGTGTGCCCTGGATTTGGAACACAGAGTCAAAGGAGACTACTTTGGATCTTTAAGGTTTAATAACTGCCCTGCTGGGTTTCAAACTTACACAGGGCCTGTAGCCCTTTCGTTTGGGTGATTTCTCTTTCATTGGAATGGGACTGTTTACCCAATGATTGTACTCCCATTGTTTCTTGGAAGTAAATAACTTGTTTTGATTTTACAGGATTATAGGTGAATGAATTCATCTCCAGATGAGAGACTGGACTTGGACTTGGGACTTTTGAAATAATGGCGGAATCAGTTAAGACGTTGGGGGAATATTGGGAAGACATGATATTTTGCAATGTAAGAAGGACATGAAATGTGGGGGGGCAGGAGCAAGGGCAGAATGATATAGTAGTTTGGATATTCATCCCTACTCAAATCTCATATTGAAATGTGATCCCCAACATTGGAGGTGGGGCCTTGTAGAAGGTATTTGGGTCATGGGGGCAGAATCCTCATGGCTTGTTGTCTTCATGGTAGTGAGTGAGTTCTTGGAAAATCTAGTTTAAAAGTGTGTAGCATCTTTCCCCTACACCTTGCTCCTGCTCTCACCATGTTATATAAGGGCTCCTGCTTCACCTTCCACCATGATTGTAAGCTTCCAGAGGCCTTCACCAGAAGTTGAGCAGACGTCATGCTTCCTGTACTGCAAAACCATGAGTCAATTAAGCCTCTTCTCTTTATAAATTATCTAGCCTCAGGTATTTCTTTATAACAATGCAAGAATGGTCTAACACACTATATAATTAAATGCATTTCATATTCTCTTTAACACAATCCACATGACTCATCCAATTGGTTTCTTCAATTTTCTTTGATATAATCTGTCTCCCAAGCAAATTAAAATGCCAAAGATTAACTTGTTGGACTCCTCTCTCCTCCATTTAACCAAACAATTCCAATCCACACTTTAGAACCCAGTCAAATACTTCAGGACATCTTCCGTAACACTCCAACACCAGATCAGCTCAAAACCACGAAGCTGAATTGTCTTCTGAAATATTTTGGCACTTTATTGTCTATGCTACTCATTCTGGAATTTTACCTTACATTTTCTGGCATCAGAAATATCTCTCTTGGCTAATTCTGTAAGATCAGGAACACTTTATTCATTAAACATGTGAATAACAGGAATACCTGCTATATGTTGGGAAATCTGCAGTCTAGGGTTTCAAGATTAATAACAAAGGTATGGGCTCTGCCTTTGAGTACTTACAGTTTATTAGAGGAAATAGAATGAGAAATTATAAATGTACTGAGGTTATAGATGGAAAATTACTAGGAATTATGAGGATGTATAATAGCAGACAGACCTCATGCCATTTCATGCTTTTTTTCATTAGTTTTTGTTAATTTTATGCTTTTCTTTTTTCTATGCTATATGTTTTTTAGATTTCAAAATTAATATATTTTCTTATGAATCTATAAATGTACTAAAAAGTTAAATTAATTAAAAGAATGTAGTGCTAAGATATCTATGAATATATGGGTGCATACAATGAATAACAGTGATATTCCATACATACGCAAGGAAAATAGATTGTTGAATAAATTGCATTGGCAAAAATTAGCTCTCCACTTAACAACAAAATGTTAATTCAAATATCTGCATCTCTTATATACACATGCTCAATTCTAGATGGACTTAAAATATAAATATAAAAGATGTAACACGTAACACTGTTAGAAAATGTAGACTACTTTAACATTCTTGAGGTAGAAAATGCTTTCTAACAAAACATAAAACCCAAAGACCCCTGAAAAGCAATGGGCAAAGGGCATCCACTGCAATTCACAATTGAATAAACATCCCATAAAAATGAAAAGATACATTATGTTAATAAGAGCCAAAGATTTATAAATTAAAACATCAGGCCAGGTAGGGTGGCTCATGCCTGTAATCACAACACTTTGGGAGGCCAAGGTGGGTGGATCACCTGAGGTTAGGAGTTCAAGACAAGCCTGGTCAACATGGCAAAACCCCATCTCTACTAAAAATACAAAAATTAGCCAGGCATGGTGGTGCATGCCTGTAATCCCAGCTATTTGGGAGGCTGAGGCAGGAGAATTGCTTGAACCCTGGAGGCTGGGGTTGCAGTGAGCCAAGATAATGCCACTGAACTACAGCCTGGGTGACAGAGTGAGACTCTGTCTCAAAACAAAACAAAACAAAACAACAACAAAAAACAGCAATAGGATATGTTAACATTATCAAATGAACAAAGTTTACAATGTCTCCTAATGTCTGATTTTAGTAAATGTCACAGGGAAACAAATCACACTTATTTTACACGTAAGTGTGCATTGATACAACATTTCTGGAGAACTATCTGAAAAAATTCATTAAAATCTTTAACTATGTTCCTGTTATTTGAATAATAAATATGTTCATAGGAATTTCATATAAGAAAATAATCAGTCAAGTGTAAAATGGTATATTTATTAAGTCAAAAAATTGGAAATAATTACTTGTTAAAAAATAATTGTTTACAAATTTTAAATAATAATTAAATAATGGCTCATCAATTCAATGAAATAATTGGCAACTGTTCAAATAAATATATATAAATATATAAATATACACAAACACACCCCTTGTCACTGAGTCAAAAAAGTCGGTTCAAATATGGTACATACAGTGTGACTGAGCCATTTTACATTTATGTACAAAATGTGTGCATGTGCATGTGTGTGTGTATATTTACATCTAAGTACTAATAATATTTATCTCTGGGCAGCAGGGTTTGAAATGAAAACAGAATTTCTATTTAAACAGCTTTGATATCATTTGAGTTCTGTTTATCCTGTGTGATGGTTTTTATAATATATGTTAAAGTTATCCATATTCATCATAGAAAAATTGAAACAGGAAAAAAAAATCACACAACACAGGGACAACCACTGTTCAGATTTTGCTGCATTCCCTTCTACAATGTTTTTCTATGCCTACATACAGGTGTTTAGACATATTTGAGGTCATAATACAGAAAGAGTTTATAGCTGGTATTCCTGGGTCTCTCATTCACCAATCCATTCACTGGGCATTCATCACCTTTTTGTGAAAAACTCCAGTTTATATTATGAGGAATGCAAAAGAAGGAAAGAAAAATATTGAGAAGAGAAAAAATCTGCCAATAAATAATTCTCATTTACCTAAGTTATTCATTCAGCAAGTATTTATTGAGGGCCCTTTACCTGCCAGGCACTGTTCTAGATGCGACAGGCATTTACCAAGCAATTTTCTGTTCTTAATGGAAACAGAAGCCATCAATATTCGTTTGACATTTCTTAGTTTTTGAGTGAATAAAGATATGTCTGATCTTCAGATGATCTATCAGGCATTTAGTATATTAACTATGTTAAAATTCTTTAAATGACTAGAGATTTTTCTCTTGAGGCTGAGGTCACTATCATTTAAATTTCTTCCAGTGAACATATGCTTGCAAACCCATGCCAGCTGAATTAATGAGCAGAAGATAAATGTGTCTACTGATGGAGAAGAAGAAAGGACCAATGGAAAGCCACATGTAGTCAGGAAATGAATTCAACATTCGTCTTTGTTATAGGGCCAAAATGTGGGATGAAGACAAAGACCATATGGGAGATTATTATTGATATCAATAAAATTATAGTAGCTATGAACACCTTCCTTCCTGTTCCTTGCTCTGATATTCTCTATTGCTCTTCTATTTTGTATTGGGGAACTGGCTTCTCTCATGACAAATGCAGATACAGACAGACTGGTTAAAGCTAAAAGCATGGTGACCACCCTGGTGACCAAGTAGAGGCCTTGGTCCAGGAACCAGGCAGGTCCTGGCAGGGGTGTGGCAAGGCAATGACAAATACAGGCAATCAGGCTTTCATGGGAGGAACTGAGACATCAAAAAGTTCAGGAGGTTGCAGTGTAGATGGGATACAGACGGCAAATATGTCTCCAGAACAAAGTAAGGGTTTAATTATTAATGCAGAGTGTTAGGCTAGAGAGATACCAAGTTCCTGGCTAGATTCATTTTTTGTTCCTCTTGAAAATCAGGTCCTAGAGCTACAGGTGAGCCTTAACCTACAAATAAAGCTTCACTCTACTCAGCTGTGGAAACCAGCTTTTAAAGAAACTCATTACATAAAGTGGTTATATCCCCTTAATAGTATGAAATCCAACAACTTAGAGGGGAATTGGAAAATCATGATTCTTACATAGACTCACATCTTTCTAGATCCTCTGATTACTATTGTGGACCCATTACTTTAACTTCCTGAGCCTTGTAGTGCTATTGTGAAGACCTCCCTATCTCCTTTTCCTTTCTATTTTCATTTTAGATGAAAATGAAAATTACATTGAAAATATTGTTATGGTAGAGATTACTCATGACATCTTGGTATTTGTGTAAAACAAAAGCTGATGCCCCTCTATGAAGAGGTTTAGATAACTTTGTACTCTGCATATATGCCTAGGCTTGGTCAGTTAACAGGTAGATTGGATGTAATAGAAAAGGAATTTTATCTTTTCCTAATAGAATGCATAAGTACTACCTGTTCAACCCCAAGGTCTCCATTCTCAGCCTGGGTTATGTTAGGGTTCCCTGGGGTTATGCTGTGTACTGCCTATATGGCTGTGGGTAGTGACCCTGTATACACTTGTCATGTTATAGGTAAAATTTAATTTTCTGGTGGTGAGAAATCTCTTAAATTATTTCATGTTTGCATACCTTAACCCGAAAAGAGAAGATGGCAGTCAATCTCTTTTTTCATGTATGTATTTATTATTTGTTGGAATTTCTGAATCAGTGATAAAGAAACCTGCGTTTGTTATAAGTGGAAGGAGCTTAATGGAATATGTTGGTTTTGCTCTATATGGCTATTTGTAAGTATGAGGAAACCAAATGCCATCTGGGAAGTAGAAATCACTTTTTTCAGTGCAGTATTTTTAATTATGTCTTTTCACCTGAGCTCCAGGGCAAAAGTTCCATTTTTTTCCCTGCTCACTATTAATAAACCCCACAAGTACAGGGTTTTTTAATTTCATATTTTAAGTGAATTTTGCATGCAGAATTTTCTGAAATGACATTAGCTATGTAGTTAAGACAATATGTTGGCTCTGGAGTTTCTTCGCTTCATACAAATCTTTATATCCTACTTGGATTGACTACCCTCCGTGCACATAGAAATACTTATTCATACACAATCTGCATGTTACTGAAAGTGTTTTCAGTAGCTTGTGGTGATTATTGTTTGTATGCTACATACATTTGAAATTGTGTGGATTATTGTTTGTATGCTACTTACATTTGAAACATATGGCAACTATATTTGTTTTTTTTTTTTTTGGTCTATTATTTGTGTTGAGTGTGATATTGTGCACTATGCAGACTTGCAAGCATTTTGAAATTAATTAACCTGAACAAAATTGAATTCACCAGTCCAGGTTCCTTAATAATATCCTGCCTAAGACATTAAATAATAAATGAGAGGAGAATGGATGTGGGGAGATTCCAAGGAGACAGAATGAGAGATCAGGCCTCCTGAATTTTTATTCCCCGTTCTGCCATTGTGTCCCTCTGTGCTCTTGAGTCAGCCACTCTCTGCTTTTGTTTTCCTGGCTGTAGCATGAGAGTAATAGCAAGCCTGGGCAGTATTGTAGTGAGAGAGAATGAATGCCTAAAATGTGCTTTGAGAGCCGCAAGTAAAACACACTATGCCACGTGTGGAAATTATTATTGGTTCATTCTTCATGCACTTTTGGTCCTTGCCCTCTAGGCTCAGACTGCCAGCCAAGGCACCAATTACTGTGGATGGGGCTGTTGGTTCTTGTGATGTGAACACCTGTCCTCCAGCAAATGAGTTGAGATAACATACCAATTTACTCTGTGTGTCATACACCCTACAAATTGAATCTCCAAAATACACTCAGAGTTGAATAATAAATAACACTGGGTTTAAATGACAGGAAATAGATGCAATACAATTGCTTGGGCATCTGTGTCCACCCAGGCCTTTGTCCACCCAGTCTGCTGCTGTAACGCCATGCCAGACTTCCCTCTGCATTTTCAGAGCTGACTAAGGGGCCATCTGTATGGGGAAAGTCACTGCAGAATTGCTGGCTTCCCTGGGACAGCCTTGGGCTGATTAATTCAGTCAAGGCAGGGCTTGGCAGACCCTGCCCTGCGCTGCTTATCAGGTAAGACAAAATTGCAACCTAATACCATTCCAAGGACCTTCACATTTATATTTTAAGAAGCATTCATTAGGCAGTGGGACAAACTGCAACATAAAAATTGTTGCCCTGAAGTTTACAGGAGAAAAAATTTCAGAGGGAAAAAGGAAAAGAAGGAAGCATAGGGTAGGGGTTGAGGGAAAGGACTTTCAAGGGCAGTCAAATGCGGGCATGAACCTTGGCTACCCCGTTACCAGCTGTGTGACTTTTGGCAATGTCATAAACCAAAATTTCCCCACTCTTCAGTTACTTCACTGAACTGTAAGTTGGGACCATGCCTAACTTGTTCATCCTTATAACCCCGATCCCTGGCACAGTATTTGGCACATTGTAGATGTTAAAAAACAATGGATGAATGTAAGATTTTTCTGGAGTCATTTTTACTACTTGGTGAAGCTAGGGATTTAACCAGACAGGATAGGCGCACAACCATCTGTGTCAGCTCACTCCGTTGCCTTCCAGTGGTCTCTATGGGAACAACCTCTGGGTGAGGCAGAAAAGAGCTTCTTCAGAGTTTGGTCTGCTCTGTTTAAGAGCCCAGCCAGGAGGTTAAGCATAAGGCTTAAGCTCATTTTGTACCAAATCAACTCTCTTCCCTCAAATAATATATAGTGCACAACAAGGATTTCATATTTGGTACATTTCTGATATCCTTCGCCTATTAGTATATTTACAGAATTGTGCATATGTAGAATTTTGCAGTGTTTCTAATGGTTTTCTTTCAGTTAATTAAGTGACCCTCAAATAAGTACAGATGCATGCACCTCCCATGGCTATGTTTTATGTAGATACCTACGTACATCCATTTTTCCTTTCTTTCCTATTTTTAATTTCATGCTAATCCATCAGAACTGCATTGCTCCAGATACTCTTTTCTATGGCCATTCACTCTGAAAATAACCTCTCAAGATTAAGAGGAAAAGTGAGGATAAGAACAAAATAGGTACTAATTTATTCACCTTTATTTTATGTCCTCCAATCTTTAGCTAGCATCTCCTTTGGCTGAATCTAGCAGGAAGCCAGCTGACAGAGTATCCTGAGAAACACTGCCTTCAGGGTTTGGCTTCCTGTGTTCCAGGGTTGAACAGAGCTAGGAGGAGGCATGAATCTGAAGGTGGACCAGCTTGGAACCAGCACAAAGCACTTAGTGCTTCACTTCATGTTTGTTTATGTAGATATCTCCATTCTAAGAATGTGAGCTGCCTAGAAACAGAAACTGCATCTTTTTCTGCTTTGTATCCCCTGCTACCTGCACATTGCTTTGAGTAGAACGTAAGCTTAACAAGTGTCAAATTGGTGGATTTGTTTGTGGAGTTAAGTAGCATTCTTCCCAGGAAACACGTTTGCATTTTTAGTTGGATAGGTTTGGACCTGTAGGAGCCCATGATCTAGTAATGGGTATAAATGGGTACGTAGCATAGTAGGGAGGGGATTGAAGGAAGGATCAACTAAGAATTATTTACAATTCTTCAAAAGGCTCTGTTCAATTTGACAAATACATCTGAGCAAAATCTTAGCATTAGCTTGGCTTTGGATCTTTGGTGGCTTCCCTTAATCGAGAACAGCATGACCCAGACAGTAGTTATTTCTTCAAAGTGCTTTCCAGAAAGAAAACTCAGAGCACAGAACTGAGCAGAACCTGTTAAAGCCACAGCTGACTTGCAGACCTCAGGTGATTTAAGCAAGAAATATGCATTTGCCATTGTGAACTGATAAGGTGTATGTATTATGAGATGATAAGGAAAATGTATTAATTTTCTATTGGTGCTGTAACTAATTGCCGTAAACTTAGCAACTTTATCAACACCAATTCATTCTCTTTAGTTCTTTTGGACTAAAGTCTGACACAAGTTTTACTGGGCTAAAATCAAGATATTGGCAGGGCTATGTTCTCTTTTGCAGACGCTAGAGAAAATCTGTTTCCTTGCCTTTTCTGGCTTTTAGAGACTGCCCACATTCCTTGGATCGTGGATCCCTTCCATCATCTTCAAAGCTAGCAATATAGCATCTCTCTGACCATTATTCCACACTTACGTCTTCTACTGAATGTCTTTTTCTGCCTTCCTTTTCTAATTTCAAGGACCCTCATGATTTCATTGGGCTCATCCAGTTAATTCAGGACCATCTATTTCAAGGTCAATTGATTAGCAATCTTAATTTCTCTTTGTCATGCAGCCTTAACATATTCACAAGTTCTAGGGATTAAAATGTGGACATTCTTGGGGCTATTATTCTGCAGTGCGGGTATTGTAATCAAGGCATCAAGCATGATGATGTTGCTAAAAAGAGAACTAGAAACTACTTCAAAAATGAACATGAAACAGCAGCTACTTGTGGTTGTTTGAAGTCACAAGATAAAATATAAAGCAGAATAACATTAAATTTGATGACCTGGCTGTATGCCCAGTACTGCTTCTAGCTCTAGCACCTTGGGCAAGTCATTTGATTTCTTCTACTCCTCTTAATTTTTTCAACTGCCACATGGAAATAATAACTCTAGTGCTATTTATCTTTCAAGTTTATTAAATAGATTAAATCAGTATGTGTATACATACATACATTTGTGTGTGTGTGTCTATACTGTTTGTTCTTTCATTCTGTGTAATGAGATATATATATCATTACAGAGATATATATATCATTACAGATATATATATATGTAATGTGCTTATTTCACATCACATGCCTGTATCCAAAACATGATGTTAATAAGGCAAAAAAGTCATATGCAAATTAAAACTTTACCAGAGGAATAATAATTAAACATGTATTACATAAACTATGCCATAATGGCACTACATGCCATATATATATATATATATATATATATATACACATATATATACACACACACACACACACACACACACACACACACTAACAGTTTGTAATAGGATCATCAGATTCAACCTTCCTCCAAATTTCTCTTTTAAATGCATCCTGCCTTATGTGTCTATTTATTGGCTTGTAACTGACCTTTTGAATATAGATTAGGTTAATTCACTTTTTCATTGAAAAAGTAATACATCTTCCAAAAATGCACAACTTCTTCATCTCTTCATCAACAGTAACTGTTCAAACTTACTCAGTAATCAACAAATGAGATTAAGATCTAATTTTCATTGATTTAAAGTCCTATGTTTGGAAACAAATACACTTGTGTACATTTTTGTTCTACATTGTGAAAATTTTTCTGTACTTAATCTTTTATATCATATCACGATGTGGTCTTGACAATTCCAACTTCAATTATATAGTATTTCAATGGAAAACTCTCATTAGAATGAACATATACAATGCTTTTCCTTTTGTTGGGGGTTTGGCTTGGTGTTCATTGTCTGTGACCATCTTGACTGACTCCTAAGGCAGCCCTGGGTAAGTAGCTGTCTCACTCAATGGAAGATGGAAGCTGTTCTTCTCCCAGCATCCATGGAATGAGAGTTTATCTAATCATTCCACATATGTTCCTAAGAGATCAGGATATTATAGATAACAAAAAAAATCATATATTTCTGTATATGTTATTCTTTTGCCTTTTTAAAACATATACATTACTATTTAGCTATGTCCAATTAAATGCTCTCCAGTGTGTATGTATTAGAATATGTACAACACATAGATATGTGCCTGTTTTTAGAATAAACTGTTATACTTATCCAGTGACAGATCCACTTTTTAATCTGCTGTTTTCAAGAAATCACAAATTTGTCAGTGGGAAAGCTAAATATTTTCAGCAAAGTAATGCAATGAAAGAAAAATGTCACTTGTTAAGAATGTTTCCCACATTCAAGATAGAGGTCTATGACCATTCCATGGACTTTGAAATTATTCTATGCTAGCATAAACATGAATATAAAAATTAGTCCAAAACATGATGTTAATAAGGCAAAAAGGTCATATGCAAATTAAAACTTTACCAGAGGAATAATAATTAAACATGTATTACAAAAACTATGCTGTAATGGCACTACATGCCCCTAAAAGTAAAAGCAATTGATTATTCTGAGAAGTCATCTTGAAAATTAGTGTCTAATAAAATGAAAGTACTTTACTCCCTTGCTCAGCTCTAGTGTCTGAAATTAAGTATTTTGAAATACTTTGTTTTATAGCTCATTGTGTTGTTAACCACCATACTCATTATATTTTTATATTTATCTAAATATTCTTAATTTATCATTTCAGGCAGTAGCTGTCTGAAGTAACAGAATGAGATATCAAACACAATACATTTAAAAAATTATAAGCAAATGAGATAACCTATTCTCCATGATGTGCTTATTTCACATCGCATGCGTGTATCAAAACATCTCATGTACCCCATAAATATATATGCCTATGTACCCACACAAATTTTAAAAAATAAATAAAATTACAAGCATACATAACAATTCATATTTCTTGAAAACATATAAACAAAAAGTTTTACACTAAACACAATACAATGACTGTCAGGGAAGGAATGGAGAATGGGAGTGAGAGATGACAATTTAAAAAATCAATAAATGAATGACTAAAACAAAAGGGATTATAACATGCTACGATTTAAGGGGTGTGATTAACTTAACCTTCTGCACCAGGGGTTCAAAAAGTACTAATTTGTTTGCATTTTAGCTTCTTTGGGGGCAGTGGTTCAATACTGAATGCAAATCGTAGTGACCCAAGGAGCTTTTAAACAATGCCCCCTCTTAGACCCAACCCCTAGAAGTTCTGATTGATGTCTGGAGTGAAAATTATGCATATATATTTGTTGTGATTAAACATTACAAGGTGAATACATCGGCATACCTATAATCCTTGGCAAAGCAATAAATATTACCAGAATTCCGGATGCTCCTTCTCACTGGACATGAATACTCTTAAAAGCTCCAGATGTGATCCTAATGTTTGTGCAAAGTTGAGGACCATTCTTCTACTTCATACTCAGGCTGTTCGTTTCTTATGGCACTCTTTCCCTTGCATTTCTTTTTCTTATTTTGTAATTTCCTGGTGTTATTTCTCATAGTGGGTAAGAAGGATTTGTACAACTTTTTTATCTTTGGTTGTTAAAAATGTATTTATTTTATACAAGTTTCATTAATAGATTAATTATACATCACATTCTTATTTAGAATCATTTTCCCACTCAAACTTTGTAATATTTTCCTCTGTTTTTGAGCATCCAGTTTTTCTGAAATCAATTTGGTTTCTTTTGTTGTACATTTCTTATTATTATATTTTTCTGAAAAATTTATTGATTTCTTCTTTATCTTTAAAGCCCTGAAATTTTACCAGTGTTATTCATATGTGACTTTCTGCTATATAACCAGCTCAGCACCTGATAGGGCCTTTCAATATACATTTTTTTCTATTATTTCTATTATTTCCTTGATTACTTTCTTTCCTCCATTAACCATTCCTGAAATGCTTATTAGATTAACACTGGCACTCAGGAATTGTACCTGCATATTGTAACTTTATAAATAAATAAATATTGGAATTAAATATTGGAAATAAATAACATTGGATTTTTTAAAACGTAAACTTTCCAATACTAAGTTTGGTCTTGCTTGATTATTTTCTTATTAAATGCATTGATTTCTTTCTTTTGTAATCACAATTAAAATTTATTTTCTACAAACTTATTCTCTGGTGTTTCTTTTTTTTTAATAGGTCATTCTTGTTTTATGGATGCAATATCATCTTCACCTTCTCTGAGGGAACTAATTGGAATATTTTTAGCCTTCATTTTGGTTCCTAAATTATTTGTTTCCTATGGGGCTAATTTTTTGGTTTATTTATTTTGATTCTTGCTATGGATGCTATTGGTTTTCCTCCAATATGTGGTGATATTTAGATATCAGTTTATATTTACTGAATGAAAGATTAGGATGATTAATAGAGGTATTGTATTGTTTTTCTCACAGACCTTCAATTATGAGAGTTGTGATTTTTTTATGGGTGAGGGGCTTTGTTCATATGGAGAGTATGTGTCAGTAATGTATGGCTCTGTAGGTTACTGAGCATGAAACAATAGAACAGTTTGGTTGCTGAAATTCTGAGCTAATCCTTGGTTATTTTGAGAAAGAAAGATCTTTCATTTAGTGTTTAAAGCTGAGGCTTTCTCCATCATGTTTTCTCTTCCCAATTATTCGCTATATTCCCAATTATTTATTCCCAATTATTGCTATAATTGATCTCATATATAATTGATTCCAATTTAATTATTTATTCCCAATTTATCAAAATTATTTGCAATATTCTCTAAAGCTTTCTAGTATACTGCTGGCTCACTTTTCCCCCACATATTCTAATTTTCATTAAAAAACATTTCAGTGGACCTGAAAAAGAAATGGAGATAATTGTTTGCATTAAATTTGACAACTTTTACACTGAAAGCCCTGATGAGCATATGATAGGTTTTCACTAATTAAAAGGAAAAAGGCATATAGATATCAATATGTTGAAGTATATTAATGAGTAGATTCAGTAAGATTGTTACCTAGAATAAGGCAAGATACTGCTAAGAGAAAACAGTAGTTAAGATACATAATATAGTATAATCATTTAAATGAAAAATTTAGAATCATTAATATAAACAAACGTGGGACATACTGGTAATTGCAGAGCTAATATACACTGTCAATATGTTTGCTGTAGATAGGCCAATATTTTGTAGATATGTACATCTGTTTGACTATTCATCCACATATTTGTCTCCTTATTGCTTTATTCATGCTGCTTTTCCTGTATCTATGCAATGAGTTTTAAAGAAAACAATAAAAAGTATCCAACTTTTTTAGCCTTCCAGGTAAAGAAAAAGATAATGGCTCTAAAACTCTTTAACCCAATATTCAAGTTACAACAGGGTTTATTACTTTTCTGTGCTGTGGACCCCATGGTAGTCCAGAGAAACCTACGGACCCTTTCGCAAAATAATATGTTTAAATATGCAAAAAATAAACACACAAGATTATACAGGAAACTAAGTATAGTAAAACATATTTGTTAGAATAACAAAAAAACAAAAATTTCTTACATATTTCACATTTATAGCACGTGCTCTTTTTCTTGATTAGTTTTACCAGAGGACAGTCAGATTATTGGCCTTTTCCAAGAACTACTATTCAGAAGAAAGTATTACTATTTTTGTTTTCCATTAACTTCAGAGCTGTCTTTATTTCCTCATTTCTTGTGTCTTTAGCTTTACTCTGGATTTATTCTGTTTTTCTTTTTTCTACACTCTTAAATTGGAATATTACCTCGTTAAGTTCCAGCTTTTCTTCAAGTATAAGAATGTTAAATCCATTAGCATTTCTCTAAGTAATGCTTTATTGCATTTCATACTTTTTGGTACATAGTAATTTTATGATCACTGTTTCAATGTATTTTCTATTTTTTTAAGATTTCTTTTATGATCTGAATTATTTAATAGCATATTTTAAAATTTTCAAATGTGTGAGTGATTAAAGTTAGTTTTCATAATTGATTTCTAGCTTAAATGTAGTCAGAAAAGATATATCTAGCTGTTATGGTAATGAGGTTTTAGAATTTACAGATGCTAGTTTTATGGTTCATTAAATGAGTAAATTTTGCTCTGAGTACTTGAAAAGTACATATACTTTCAATTTTGGGAGTGTATTTTTTCTATAGAACATGCTTGTGAATTGTGATATTTGAATCTTATACATCCTCAAATTTTTTGGTCTGATTTATCTATATCAATTACAGAGGAAGTTATATTAAAATCTGCTATAATAGTGAATTTGTCAATTTTGCCATATAGTTTTGTCCTTTTGCTTTAGATATTCAAAAGATACATTATTGGATGAAGTTTAGAATTTTACATATTACTAGTGAATTGGGCCTTTTATCAATATACACAGCTTTTCTGATACTTTAATTCAAATAATGTAGCCTAATTGTGATGCAGTTTTTTTATCTAGAATTTAATTTTAATTTTTCCTTGAACCTTGAGGGCAATTTTTTATTTAAATTTGGCACCTTTGATAGCTGTGTCCTCTTGCATCTCGGGCCTTCCTTCTGAAACCATCTCTTGTATTTCTAAAGTATATTCACTCACTGTTCTCTTATAAGATTTTGTGTTTGTTTTTGTGGCGATGTAATCTCTATTTCATCTTCATTTTCGTTGTTGTTTGCTAAAAACGTCTGTATATCCCTCTCATTCCTGAATGATAGTTTTGGGAAGACATAACATTCTGGTTGGCATCTATTTTCTCTTCTTTGAAGATATACATTCAGCTGTCTTCTGGCTTCTATTTTTGCTTTTGAGAATTCAGCTGTTTTGTTGTTCCTTCATAAAAAATGTCTTTTCTCTCAGACTGCTTTTAAAGTCTTCACTTTCTCTTTATTGATCTTCAGTGCCACTGTAGTTCCTATAGTACATCTACGCGTATGTTTCTCTTTAGTAATCCTGCTGAAAATCTATTGGACTTTCTGAGCCTCAGAATTGGTGTCTTTATCATTTCTGGAAAATTCTCAGCCATTATCATTTTGAATATTGCCTTTTATCCATTCTCCCTATTCCCCTCTCAGGAACTATGAATAGACATATAGTGACTTTTTAACTTTATCCTCAATATCTCTTAACTTCTATTTCATATTTTCATTTCTTTACGACTTTGGGCTACATTTTGGGTGACTTTTTAAGCTCAATATTCTCTTACATAAATTCTCTCTTTACCCAGTGGCCAAGAGTTTGCTTTTTGTTTTTGTTCTTGTTTTTGAGACAGAGTTTCACTCTGTTGCCCAGGCTGGGGTGCAGTGGCGCGATCTCAGCTCACTGCAGCCTCTTCCTCCTGGGTTCAAGCGATTCTCCTGCCTCAGCCTCCCAAGTAGCTGGGATTTCCGCCACCATGCCCAGCTAATTTTTATATTTTTAGTAGAGACAAGGTTTTGCCATGTTGGCCAGGCTGGTCTCAAATTCCTGACCTCAAGTATCTGCCCGCCTTGGCCTCCCACAGTGCTGCGATTACAGGCTGAGCCACATGCCCGGCCCCTAGAGTTTGCTTTTTAACCCATCTATTGAGCTACTCATTTTAATGATTGTAAAAATTCTATTTAGAAATTTTGAAACATCTCTCTGGTTATTTTTGATAATCTCTTGTTCTGTATTACATATTTACCTGTATTTTTTTTTCTTTAAGCCTTTTGTTTTAATATTCCTGACTTGATAATACCAATATTTGTATCTTTGGGGTAGTATTCTGTAGGTTTTAAAATATTTCCTCCTGCTAATTCAGTTTTTCTATCTTTCTCTGATGGTAGTTATTTTGCTAATGTGAAAATGTTATGAAGTTGAGATATAAAACCCATTTCTTCAGAGAAGAATTTTTCTGTTTTCTATAGTTGAGTGTGCGGTAGGATTACTTAGTGTTTGACTTACAGAATTTGTTGGCCAGAAAGGTAGTACTACTTAATTTATTTCTCAATCTCAAGTAAAGGCACACTCATGTTTGGAAAATTTCAGGGGAAAATTTTCTTTTTCTTTCTAGTTCTACATAGATTCATGGCCAAACTAGGCAAATATTCTACCATGTCCTTCTGCTTTTTTCTTTCTTTTTCTTTTTTTAATCTTCCTAATTCAACCACACAGTGCATTGCCTTTCAGGATCTCAGGTTCTGTGTGGTGGTTTCTGTTTTTATCTTTCTTTTTTGAGTGCTCCATAAACAGTAATTTTGATTGTTCTCCATGTCTGTGGCTCATTAAAGGCCAAAATGCTACACCACCATAAGTGTTTTCTTACCTCTTTAGATGCCTCCAAAAGCTTCTATTTTCCTGCCAACTCAACCATGAATTTAAAAATTATTTTAAAAATATTTTATCTAATGAGCACACCTAATGTCCAGATTGTGGTTTCTAAATACTATTTTTGAGAAATGGCTGCTGTAGGACTGGCTCATGGAGAGTACACAGTGAACCTGATACATCCTGTTATGCCAGAAAACAAGCAAACTCTGTATGAATGGAGACATGCACACAAACCGAGAACCAGTTTTGGAATAATTTGAGCATCAAAAAGGATAATGAACAGAACTGACTATAACCATTAAATACATAAAAATCTATGACACCACCATGGTGTCAGACAGTAAGATACCTGCTGCAATGAGGAGATTATTATACTAACTCTTTATTTTTAAAATTAGTAATTAGCGGAAAAGTTAATCGTTTGTTATCACGCTTGCAGGAAGTACATTTCAGACGATGGTATGAGATAAAGCTCTTTAAAAACAATCAAACAAACAAATACCAGAAGTTTACTAATGCCGGTTTAGAGAAGAGAGGGAATGAGGGAATTAGAAAATGATTATTTTTTAACACTGAGTAAAATAGTTCAGAAAAGGACTTAGAGGCTAAAGTCATTAAAGAAAATGTTTTGGAGAAACAGGATATTTACTAAAAGCAAAGCATCACAACAAAATCACTTGCTACTTGCATAAAGGGGGAAAATATTCACCTTTAAATTGTAAAGATTTGGCAGTCACCATCTTGACCATGGGATGAAAAGCAGTCTCTCTAACAGTGGACTGCTTGACATCATGTTTCCTGATGAAATGGGGCAGGGCGTGAAACTTATTCTTGCCCAGTGTGCTACACCTGGATAAGATCAAGCCTCTCTCTTTAACTTCCTGTGTTGTAGGACATACACAGGGTTAGAAAAATGACACCATGAGGGAAAGAACACATCTAGACTGTGGAACCTTGTACAATTACACTGCCTGAGTCTCTTCAAAATGTCAAATGCACAAGAAAAAGAGAAGTGGGCAGTGTGAATTTTGATTGAGTCAAAGTTCTAAAAAAAAGGCTAAAAGTATATTTTGGAGAAAATTGAGAAAATTTGAGAATGGACTGGCTCTTAAATAATATTGTAGAATTACAGATTGAGTATTTCTTATCCAAAATGCTTCGGATCAGACGTGTTTCAGAGTTGAGAATTTTTTTTCCAGATTTTAGAATATTTGCATATACATAATGAGACAACTTAGGGGTAGGACCCAAGTCTAAACACAAGTTTCATTTATCTTTCATTACACCTTTTATTATACACATACCCTGAAGGTAATTTTATACAATATTTTATATAATATTGTGCATTAAATAAAGCTTTTGTACATAGAACCATCAGGAAGCAAAGGTGTCACTATCTCAGCCACGCATGTTGACAATCTGTGGTTGGTTGGCAACACTGCCTCTCCTGACTCGATTTGTATGCTATAAGCAATAATTTTCTCACACTTATTCTCACATAAGTACTTAACAATTAAATGTATGACATACAATTAATACAGTGAAAAAATAATGTGTCCAGGGTAACTAAGCAGCCCAATGGCATTACTAAAATACCTGTTTCAGCTGCTAAACAACAACAACAATGAACAATGCCAGGCTTTCTGTCTCCACTTACAATGCTGTGTTTTGGCTAAAAGGTTACTATACACTCTATTTTATTTTCTCAGGTGAGAAGAAACATCAGAAGCAGTTGAGAGACTGAGAAGTGGGTTCTCTACTGATGAAAAGGCATTCTTCTGGATGGCTGTTAAAAAATGTTTCCTAGAGTCATGTGCCTCATTAACAACAGTTGTCGCCTTAGAAGTCTCTCTTTGATTTGTTGATTGTATAAGCTGACACAATTTCTTGTTATGAATGCATGCTGTTCTAGTCCTTCAATAAGCCCATTATATATTTTCACCATGTCATCTATAGGCACTTTTTTCTACAGTGTTAACAATGCCAGCTTCATTGTCACTATTGATCAAAATCACCTTGGTTCAGAATTATTTTGGCTATCTCACCATCAGTCAAGGAATGAACAACTGAAGCCTCATTACTGATGTTAAAAACTTCAATATCTACTTTTTCTAGCTCACTGATTAAAGTCATATTTTTGAAAATATAAGGATTTCAGGCATCATTTTTTCTCATATGACATACAATATCCTTCAAAGTCACCACCTTGTTCATCATGATAACTGAACATAGTTGCAGGCCAGAGGTTGTGTCAGGCATCCAGAACTGTGTCTCTAGTCACTGTGTTCCAAGCATTGGCAACAATATATATATAGCATCCTTCATCCTAAACTCCTTTTGGAAACCTACGCCCATGCCTCTGTTCACTGCTGCTAGGCATGCTGTTCATGAAAATGTTTTTACATTTACTCTTCATTGATCTAAGGATATTCTGGTTACATCACTGAATTAATAAAGTTACATTTTGTGGAAGAGCACAACATAACCATCATTTGTGATGAGAATTTCAGCTGAAGGATGAACAGAACAGTTTTCAAGGAGTAACAATATCTTGCAGTAATCATCCAGTCCAGATTCCCTGCAGTTAGCATGAGCCACTGGTACACAACGTTTGTGAAACCCATCATAAAAGATTTCCCTAGTGATCCATACATTTTTCTTAGCATAATAATGGACTGGCAAGAAATTCATTTCTTGAAAGCAGTGAGGATGCAAGGTTATGTCTATCACAGCAAATTTTCACTTAAGTGTGTCTGCCATATTAGCACATCCCAGCATGGTTATTCTGTCCTCGACATCCTTCATTCTTGTAGGAGCTGTCTCATCAGCTCTACTCAATGTCTTTCTAGGGCAACAATGCCAAAATAGTCATATTTCATCAGAATTATCGATTTGTTCTGGTGTTTTATTTTCATCAGCAATGACCTTAGCTAACTCATCAATGAATTTCTCCACAGTTTCATGATCAGCAGATGCTCTGTCACCAAAAATCTTTGAAAAAATTAATGTTATGTCTTTTTTAAAATTTCTTCATGCAGCCTGTTGGATATTTACAATTCCCTTCAGTCTTCAGTTCATGGTGATAGATTTTTGTTGCTTCATGTCTAGCATACGATTAAGGTACATGTATTAACTGTGATGCTGATGGATCCACTCTTTGAATACACAATTGAGATCTTCATTTTTAGGTTTATGTGGTTTAAAAAATTGTTTTTTCATTAACTTCTCTTCATCAATTTCAGCATAGAACTTTAGCAGTTTATTCTTCTGTTTCTTCATGTCACACATGGTGGTCATTCCAACACCATACTCTTCTGAGATGTTTCACACTTATGCCACTGTCCAGATTCTCCAACAGCTTGACTTTCTGTGCTATAGATAAACATAAATGCCGCCTCTTTTTGTTATCACAGTAGTATCTGCAGGCCTTTTTAACATCTCAACAATACTCTTATACTACAGAATAGAGAATAAACAACAAAACAAAACAACACAAAACACAACACAACACAAAACAAAAAACAACACAACACACACAAAACAGTGAGTAATACATTAGGTCTTGGTCCTATGTGGGGCATTGGGGAACCTGCTGTTGGTATGACCAGCCTGCAAACATGCTGTTTTGTTACCGTTTGTGCATGTGTTCCCTGGGGGAATCTCACAGCTAAAGGAAGCTGAGACGGTCTTTTATCCCTTGGAGGCACTAAACAAACTGTGTTGTGCATCTATATTTTGTGACTCATCACATAAAGTCAGGTGTAAAATTTTCCACTTTTGGTGTCATGTCAGTATTCAAGGAGTTTTGGATTTTGGAGCACTTCAGATTTCAGATTTTAGATTAGGGATGCTTAATCTATATGGTAATTTTAAATATATGATGATGTTTGCATTAGTCAGAGTTTTCCAGAGAAACATAATGAAGAGGATGTGTAGATAGATAGATACATATCTATACAGATATATCTCTATGTGTATCTATAAATAGATGTATATATATGTATACATATACATGTACACACACAGAGATTTATTGTTGGGACTTGGCTTTTATGATTATTATATTAGTCCGTTTCATACTGCTGATAAAGACATACCAGAGACTCAGCAATTTACAAAAGGAAGAGGTTTAATTTGACTCATGTGGCTGGGGAAGATCTCACAATCATCGCGGAAGGTAAAAGGCACTTCTTACATGGTGGCAGCAAGACAGAATAAGGAAGATGCAAAAGTGAAAACCCCTGATAAACCCACCAGATCTCGTGAGACTTATTCACTACCACAAGAACAGTATGGGGGAAACTGCCCCCATGATTCAAATTATTTCCCACTGGGCCCCTCCCACAACACATGGGAATTATGAGAGTACAATTAAAGATGAGATTTGGGTGGGGGCACAGCCAAACCATATCATTCTGCCACTGGCCCCTCCAAATCTCATGTCCTCAACAGTTCAAAATCAATCATGCCTTCCCAACAGTCCCCCAAAGTCTTAACTCATTTCAGCATTAACTCAAAAGTCCACAGTCCAAAGTCTCATCTGAGACAAGGCAAGTCCCTTCCACTTATGAGCCTATAAAATCAAAAACAAGCTAGTTACTTCCTAGATACAATGTTGGTACAGGTATTAGGTAAATACAGCTGTTCCAAATGGGAGAAATTGTCCAAAACAAAGGGGTTACAGGGCCCATGCAAATCCAAAATCCAGCTAGCTGGGTAGTCAAATTTTAAAGCTCAAAAATATTCTCCTTTGACTCCAGGTCTCACATCTAGGTCATGCTGATGCAAAAAGTGGGTTTCCATGGTCTTGGGCAGCTCTGCCCCTGTGGCTTTGCAGGGTACAGCCTCTCTCTCAGCTGCTTTTATGGGCTGGCATTGGGTGTCTGTGGCTTTTCCAGGTGAACAGTGCAAGCTGTCAGTGGATCTACCATTCTGGGGTCTGGAGGATGGTGGCCCTCTTCTCACAGCTCCGCTAGGTGATGCCACAGTAGGTGATGCTCTGTGTGTGGGGGCTCCAACCCCACATTTCCCTTCTGCACTGCCCTAGCAGAGGTTCTTCATGAGCACCCCGCCCCTGCATTAAACTTCTGCCTGGGCATCAAGGCGTTTCCGTACATCTTCTGAAATCTAGGTGGAGGTTCCCAAACCTAAATTCTTGATTTCTGTGCACCCACAGGCTCAACACCACATGGAAGCTGCCAAGGCTTGGGGCTTCCACTCTCTGAAGCCATGGCCCGAGCTGTGTATTGGCTTCTTTCAGCCACGGCTGGAGCAGCTGGGATACTGGGCACCAAGTCCCTAGGCTGCACACAGCATGAGGACCCTGGTCCCAGCCCATGAAACCATTTTTTCCTCCTGGGCCTCCAGGCCTGTGATGAGAGAGGCTGTCATGAAGGTCTCTGACATGGCCTGGAGACATTTTTCCCAGGATCTTGGGGATTAACATTAGACTCCTTGCTACTTATGCAAATTTCTGCAGCCAGCTTGAATTTCTTCTCAAAAAATGCTTTTATTTTTCTTCTGCATCATCAGGCTGCAAATTTTCTGAACTTTTATGCTCTGTTTCCCTTTTAAAATGGAATGCTTTTAACAGTACCCAAGTCACCTCTTGCATGTTTTTCTGCTTAGAAATTTATTCCACCAGATATCCTAAATCATCTCTCTCTAGTTCAAAGTTGCACAAATCTCTAGGGCAGGGGCAAAATACTGTCAGTCTCTTTGCTAAAACATAACAAGAGTCACCTTTGCTCCTGTTCCCAAAAAGTTCCTCATCTCCGTCTGAGACCACCTTAGCCTGGACCTTATTGTTCATACCACTATCAGCATTTTTGTCAAAGCCATTCAACAAATCACTAGGAGGTTTCAAACTTTCCCACATTTTCCTGTCTTCTTCTGAGCCCTCCAAACTGTTTCAACCTCTGCCTGTTACCCAGTTCCAAAGTCAATTCCACATTTTTGGGTATCTTTTCAGCAACACCCCACTCTACTAGTACCAATTTACTGTATTAGTCTGTTTTCATGCTGCTGATAAAGACATACTCAAGACTGGGGAATTTTCAAAAGAAAGAGGTTTAATTCGACTCAGTCCTACGTGGCTGGGAAGGTCTCACAATCATGGCAGAGGATGAAAGGCACTTCTTACATGGCAGCAGCAAGAGAGAATGAGAAAGATGCAAAAGCAGACACCCCTGATAAACCCATCGGATCTTGTAAGACTTATTCACTACCATGAGAACAGTATGGGGGAAACCACCCCCATGATTCAATTATCTCCCACTGGGTCCCTCCCATAACACATGGGAATTATGGGAGCACAATTCAAGATGAGACTTGGGTGGGGATACAGAGCCAAAACAAATCAATTATGGAAGCTTGTTCAGTCCAAAATCTGATGAAGGAAGCTGGCAGGAAGGAGACTAAGGAAAAATATCAGAGGTCAAATTCAACTGCAGTCTGCTGGTAAACCAGAAGGAGTCAATGTTGAAGTTCAAGTCAAAGACTGTGTGCTGGCAGTATTTCCTCTTGCTTGGGGGAGGTCAGCCTTTGTATTACTCAGACCTTTAACTGATTGAATGAGACCCATCCATATTATGAAGGGCAATTTGCTTTACTGAAGTTTCACTGATTCAAATGTAAATCTTATCCAAAAATACACTCACAGACACCAAGAATAAAGTTTAACCAAATAACCAGGCACTGTGGCCCAGTCCAGTTGTTATTATTCTTAGCAGATGCCTGCAGAACTACTTAATGATAAAGTATCATGATACCAATAGCTCACTTCAAAATGATTGAGAATATACACACACACGTATATGTAATATATATACCTTCATATAAACACGCACACACATAGTAAAATTTCAGCAATTGTTTATTCTGAGCACTAGGTATAGCAAGTTATAGCTTAAGAATCTTTTTTTAATCTAAACTTTTTATTTGGTCCTTTGAAGGGATTTTTGTTTTCGTGTTTGTTTTTGTATGTGTACTTTAAGATATACCTAGAGTACATAATAGGCAATATTAATTTTATTTTTAACTATTATTCATAAATGGTTGAGGATTATAATTCATCTAATTATTTTTGGCAATTTGCTATTTCTTTTGGAAAATAAATTGCCAAAACCCAGTGTGAACTTATCTTTTTCACAAAGTATGAAGTTAATGTTTTCATAATTTAGACTCTAGTTTATTAGAATAATTTGTAACTACATTATAATACATGTTCAAAGCATGTGCTTGTGATTATATTAATGTTATCAATCTTTCAATAACTGTTTTCATTAATCATATTTCATTTGTTAGTATATATAGGAGTTAGTTACTTTTATGCATTGTTTAAAAGTAGCAAAATTACATAATATTTTGAATATTTATTGTATTTATGTATCCAGGAATTTAACTCTTTTTATTATAAATAAATGATGTTTATTCCACTTTGGATCTTTTCACATGAGCATCTTTGTCATCTTTTTTTCTTACTTTTCTACTAATGGGGGAATATAACATTAAAAATCTGGCAATTAATGAAACAATGAGAAAAATCAATAAAAGTTAACATTAAAAATTTTCCTGAAGAATAATAATTTTTGTCTCTAGATATTACCCTGTTGCATGTTTATAGCTATCATTATGTGGAAATACTAACTTCTCTGCTAAAAGTACAAAATTCAATTACTTTTAAATTCCGATTAATCATTTTAGACATACGTAAATGACCTAAATGATATCCAAGTCTTAGTTAAGACAAACACATTAAGATTTAGTAATGAAGGACCGAAATAATACATTTCTTGTTATTTTCTACTTCAAATCTATGCTGTCAATTGGTCTTTTATTCTTCGACATATTTTATTAAAACTATATTTTGGTTTGCAAGAGATTAACTATCTTGGCCAGGTGCAGTGGCTCGTGCCTGTAATCCCAGCACTTTGGGAGACTGAGGCAGGCAGATCACAAGGTCAGGAGATAGAGACCATCCTGGCTAACATGGCGAAACCCCGTCTCTACTAAAAATTACAAAAAATTAGCTGGGCATGATGGCACGTGCCTGTAGTCCCAGCCACTCAGGAGGCTGAGGCAGGAGAATCGCTTGAACCTTGGAGGCAGAGGTTGCAGTGAGCCAAGATGGTTCCACTGCACTCTAGCCTGGGCGACAGAGTGAGACTCCTACCTCAAAAAAAAAAAAAAAAAAAAAAAAAAAAAAAAAAAAAAAAAGAGAGAGAGAGAGATTAACTATCTTAAAACAATCAATTATACTCTAGGAGAGACTAATGGAACACAATAAATTTAAACAATATATTTCACGTTTTTTTATGCTTATTCTCTTTATAATTCAACTGAGGCACTTAAAACCTTCAAAGGAAAAACATCCCAATTAGCAGTAAAGTCATCTCTCCTCTCTAGGAATATCTGGAAAGCAGAATTCTGGGTTAACATACTTTATTCAAATAGGTTCCCTTTTCCCCAGAGAAGAAACAATTTTTGGTGAATATTTTAGTTTCACCCTCACTTTTTAATTTCTCATTAAAACTGTGACACATTATAAAAACTCCTATTTATGAAAAAGAATGAAATTTACATATTTTAATTCACATACTTTTGAAACAGTCAACATTCTTAAGCAAAAATCTTTACACATAAGTTTAAAGCAAAACAAAACCTTAATCAGCTACTAGTGTAGTTTTCTTAGAGTTTTTGAAAGTCCAACATGGGAGCAATTTTAGACACTATTTCCAATCTAATAATTAATATTACCAAGAGTTTAGAAGCAAGAGGATGTTTTAAGTAATGGGAAAAAGCCTGGATTCCAGAGTCAGAATAGCTATTTGACATTAAGAATGCACTCATCTCAATGTTCTCATTTCTTTAAAAAGAGACAAAATATTACCAACATTTCCTACATGTTGCTTTACTACTTAACTTGGCAATGACTTAGGATTTCATTCAACACTAAAGCACTCAAGTTATTCTTGGTTAATGTTTACCTTACTACTGTCCCTGAGGCTTTCACTCAGGGAAAGTAGAAGCAGCCTCTACTTCATTCTCTGCTTTCACTATTACTCCAATCCTATTCACTTTTTTCTAAAGACAAAGTTCTCTGAGGTCCAACCCAACTTTTTATTTTAAACAGAACTGCAATTCCCAAAATGTTAATCTTGTTATCATAGATGAGCACTTACTAGGCTTGTACATTCTATTTAATGGTTTTCTTATATAGATATACCGAGATTTCCCTAAGTCAAGCTCTGTGCACTACATAGCGACATGATTAACTTTCCTTACTTAGGACAAATTTAGACAGTTGTACATTAGCTAATGTATGAATGTTTTATAGTGCTGTCAACCAGTGGTGATTGCATATCCACCAACAACTTAATTTTGCCAGAATTGTCATTGTTATACAAGTGTTTGTCTAATTATTTCAATAATCTAGTGAACTGATTTTTATTGAATTGCACGTGTAGGCTCAGTTCTATTTCAGGCACAAGGGCTTCAACAAAAAAGAAAACAAGATTAAACACAAATAAACAAAACTCTTGCCCTTGTGGAGCTTACATGTTATTACACTTTGTTCTCTTCTAAAATAAAAATGAGAGGGAAAAAACCCAGAAAAATAAAGAAAGCTTGATTATGAGAAATGTAAGACACACAATTTTACATAATTGCAACAAATTAGGTGGCAATAGTGGAAAATTTTATACCTGGATGGAAGCTCTTTGGGTTGACTATGTTCAACTATGAGTTAAATAGCAAAATTAAAGATCCAAAATTCTGGAAATATACAACTGTCCAAATGAAAAACAATAAGGACTTTACAGTACTTTAGACTGTAATTTATTTTTCAAAGAGGTATGGGTTAGCAATTCTGAAACTGTCTATTTTAGCAATGAACAAATATATATATATTATACACACACACACACACACACACACACACACACACACACACACACAGTGGAAAATGAGAGCCAGATATTTTTATGGAAAGTAGTTACCAATAAGGAAAGGGTTAAAATTTAAAATAAACATGGATGCAGGTAAGTTTGTATACATATATTTATGAGCTTTCTCCATTGACAGTGTCTGGAAGAAAGGACAATTTAGTAGCATAAGCACAATTACTTTTACTGCCCAGATCTTGGGTTCTAAATATCATTCTTTAGTAAAACAAACCTGTGTTTTGAAGAAATGGCTGTTTCCAAAATTGGGACAAAGAAAGTAAAAAATGAGCCTTGAATACTTTTTTGGGCCAGAAAGTAAAGACATGCTCAGAAAATGATGAAAGTATTTTGAAAGGACACTGTAGCCAATTTGAGGTACCCAGTGGCTGTATCTGGTTCAATTTGAGCAATAAAATAAGTGACAGTGATGGAGTATAGCCAGTAGAATAAAATAATTTTCTGCGAGTTTATACTAGTATAGTTATTATAATTGAATGAAATCTTAAAGGGGAAGAAAGAATATCTCTTAATTACTGTAGAATTCCATTTAACAAGTGCAGAAGAAATGATACATATATTTTTAAATCACCATTTGTTGTAATCACCATTACAGTGATACTTGTTGTAGACAAGAATTGTCAATGAATTTTTTTAAATTAATGGGAAAAGTATCATGAGAAAGAGAATCTCTGTAATTTCAAAGCATTTCTCCCATGAGATACTTATTATTTATAAAGGGGAAAATAGTAACCTTACAATGGAGAAATCTGGCAGACATTATCTGAACCAAGTAATCAAAGCTAACAGCACCCATAATAGCACATTGATATGATCCTCAGAAGGGCATGTATCATTTCAATGTTATTCTTCCCCAAAATGCATAAGTTGAATTTAACCATAAGAAAACATTAGACAAACCTAAGTTGAAGGACATATTACAAAGTAACTGGCTGGCTGGCATTCTTCAAAAAAGTCAAGACCATGAAAATCAAAGAGACAAAGAACTATCCAAAATGACAGGAGACTAAGATACCATCTCACGCCACTTAGAATGGCGATCATTAAAAAATCAGGAAACAACAGATGCTGGAGAAGATGTGAAAAAACAGGAACACTTTTACACTGTTGGTGGGACTGTAAATTAGTTCAACCATTGTGGAAGACAGGGTGGCAATTCCTCAAGGATCTAGAACTAGAAATACCATTTGACCCGGCAATCCCATTACAGGATATATATCCAAAGGATTATAAGTCATTCTACTATAAAGACACATGCACATGTATGTTTATTATGGCACTATTCACAATAGCAAAGACTTGGAACCAACCAAAATGCCCATCAATGATAGGCTGGATAAAGAAAATGTGGCACATATATGGAATGGCACACCACAGAATACTATGCAGCCATAAAAAAGGATGAATTCATGTCCTTTGCAGGGACATAGATGAAGCTGGAAACCATCATTTTCATCAAACTAACACAGGAACAGAAAACCAAACACCACGTTATCTCTTGTAAGTGGGAGCTGAACAATGAGAACACATGGACACAGGGCGGGGAACATAACACACCGGGGCCTGTTGTGGGGTGGGGGGCTAGGGGAGGGACAGCAAGAGGAGAAATACCTAATGTAGGTGATGGGTTGATGGGTGCAGAAAACCACCATGGCACGTGTATACCTATGTAACAAACCTGCATGTTCTGCACATGTACCCCAGAATTTAAAGTATAATTTTTTTTTAAAAAAAGGAGAAAACCTTAAGCAAGTTTAAAAAAAAAGAAGAAGACATGACAACTAAATACAGTGTGCAATCCTGGTTTACATCTTGGGTTAGAAAAAGGACATTTATGGGATAATTGGTGAAATTTAAATATCTATAGTTTAATAGCATTTTCAACTTTCCAGTTATGATAATTACCCTATGGCTATTGTAAATATTAATTTGGGGTCTAAGCTAAGTCATGGCTATGTTGGAATTCTTTGTGCTATTATTACAAATATAAAATCATTTCAAAATAAAGAGGTTAAAAATTAATATTTAATATAAAGTATCTCAATTTAAAAACATTTTATCAATTGAAATGAAGCTTTTCCTTCCAATCCAATAAGACTCAAAACTTGTAAATCTTTCATTCTATATTCACCCATTCAAATTTTTGTATGATTTTAGGAGCTCATTTTGTGACTCTTGGAGAGAATCTCTAGAGTAATAAAATCATTAAAAATGACTAATTGAGTAATGTCTTTTTTTTTTACAACAGGTACAAAGCTAACAGACAATTTAATTGTCAAATTATAACTGGACTAGATAATTACGGTTAAACATTACTGCTGATCAGTGGTTTTTAAACTCAAGAGGGCATCAGAACCTCTTGGAGGGTTGGTTAAAAATGAAGACTCCTTGGTGCCAAACTTCTGAGTTCTTAATTCAGTAGGTCTGGGGTGGGGCCTAAGAATTTGCACTTGTAAAAATTTTCTAGGTGAGGCTGACAGGGCTAGTCCTGGGGACTACAAATTGACAATCATTGGCCTAAATATTAATTTGAAATTGTAAGATCAATGTGTCACATCTCTATTGCTTCCAGTGTATACAGTTAAATATATAGATGAATAAAAAGACTCATTCTAACTCCATTTTGACCCAATTACTAATCCAGAATATAAATATTTCAAAACATCAAACAATTTTCATTATAATGTTGAAGCATCTTTTATTGACCCAGGTCCCCAAAATCTAAAACTTTTTTGTGACTTTTGATTTTAAATCTGATATGTAAAACACTTGGGAATCACCACTCTTCTAATTACATCAAGAAAAACGGAGAAAAAAAAAATCAATGACTTATTTTTGGACTAATCAGAGAATTGAAGTTGCAGGGCAAATCACTTTTCTGAAATCTGGAGAGAAAGACATATCCAGCCAGGTGCAGCTAGTATGTGCTAACTGGAACAGAAGTCACTGGAATCCTAAACTGATCAAAACACTTAAATATTAATTTTGATGTATTCATGGAGACTGAATGTGGACTAGTTTGAGAGAGAAATTCATGAGGGTGCAGAGCGAGGTGGTTCCCCTTACTCTCCTGGTTGTTTCCTCTAAGAATCTCACTAAGTTCTCAAGATGAAGATCCAAGAAAGATATCCTCAAAGATCTAGCAGGGGCTGGGAAACAGCAATCATTGTGTACTACGGCCGAAGCCTTCCTCAAAACAAAGGCTTACCTCTGGAGTAAAAGAACTTGCCAGAGCCTTATCGCAGGCTCCCTGGGGGAGGGGTCGCTGCCTGATTTCATCTCCCTCTAGCTTCTCTGTCTAACCTAAGGGGCAGGATTGGGGAATAATTAGTAGGGGGTCAGAGTTTCAGGGAAGGCAGTGTGTAGCAGGAGGAAATAAAAAGCTATACCACTGGAAAGCACTTTTGATGGTCACAGCTTGAAAACACATGCTGAGAAAAAAATGAGATTTTATTTAAAAATTATAGAAAGGCCCCTCACCCACTTCCTTGTATAATACCAATAGGGGTCCAATATAATATCAGTAATTATAGCTGAGAAAGCTGAAAACACAGACTATCTCTGAGATGTAGTACTTAAAGAAGACCAAAATTAAGAGGTGAGACAAAAACAAGGACACTAAAGGATTATGAAGTCTCTGCCATTTGTAACTACAGTAAACATTAAATATAGCCTCACTTCTACCCAGATGAGCATAACTCCTTACTCACATTAAAGTTTATTTATGTTAGTTCCTATTGCCTGACACATGTCTAGTTTTCAACAAAAAATTGCAAGGCATGCTAAAAGGCAATAAAAAATGCAGTATGAAGAGTCAAAGCAATTATTAGAATAGGCTTAGATATGATCAAAATGTTGTAATTGTCAGACATAAAATGTAATATAATTATCATGATTATGTTAAGTGCTCTAATGCAAAAAAATAGAAAACATGCAAAAAGACAGATGTAAGCAGGGAGATAGAAACTCTATGAAGCAAAGAGAAGTGTTAGAAGTAAAAAACAATGTACCAAAAATAAAGAAGGTTTTCGATGGATTATCAGTAGAATGAACATATTGAGAAAAGAATAAGTAAACTTGAAAATATGTCAGTAAAATCTTCCCAAACTGAAATGCAAAAAGGAAAAAAAAACAGAAAAGAGAAGAAAAAAGGAAAAAAGAAGCAATGATAAAAACATAACAGAACATCCAAGGACTGTAGGACAATATTGCAACGATTAAACATACCCATTGTTAGAATACCAGAAAGAGAAGAAAAAGATAATGTATCAAAAGAAATATTTGAAGTAACAAGGCCAAGAAATGTTCAAACTAATGAGAGACAAACAATTCAAGTAGCAGGAAGCTCAAGGAACACTAGCAGGATAAACACAAGAAACAAACAAAAACAACCCCCATATATCTATCCGTATCATATTCAAACTGTAGAAAAACAAAGACAAAGACAACATCTTGAAAAAAGCCAGAGGGTGAAAACATATCTATTTATACATTAACAGGGATAGAAATCATAACAAACATCTTGTCAGAAATCAAGCGAGTAAGAATAATGTGAAAGAAAAGTGTTTAAATCTTGAAAGAAAAAAATCTACACACTTAGAATTCTATATCCAAAAAAACTGTCAATTAAAGCAAAAGAGAAATACTTTCTCAGATGAACAAAAACTCAGGTCATTCAATACCACTAGACCTTCCTTTCAAGAAATATTAAAATAAATTTTTTATAGGGAAAGAAAATGACATAAGTCAAAAACTCAGGTCTATATAAAGAAAGAAAGAATGTTAGATAAGGAATAAAATAAGGTAAAATAATATTTTCTTTGACTTATTCTTTGCTGATCTAAAAGATAACCATTGGCTGGCTGATTCTTAGCTGATCTAAAATATAATCATTGTTTAAAGCATTATTAATGTATTGAGGTATTATAGCATATGGATACATTAAATGAATAATGGTTATTGCAACAAACGACCTCAGTTTTTAAAATATATTTTAATCATCCACTTTCTTTTTCTTTCTTCCCTTCCCTCTTACCCTTTTATTTCTTCCCTGTCTAGATACTCCCTTCTGGCAATCCATGCTTACCTAATTAAATTTTTGTTTTAGAAATTTCAGTGGCTAATCTTGGAACAAACCAGGCATGGAGCCCCAATTGCAGAAGCTTCCTGCTAAGGGGAATTGCCAGGCTGAACCAAAGATAACACCAACCAGACTTCTAGATGGGCAATTACCAAAGACAGCCATCAGAACGAAGACACACAGACCCTGCAACCTGCACCACTCCCATGCCTCCTGTACCAAATTTGCCTTTACAAACCCTATGGAAAATTTTGAAATTTAAGATGTTATTTGAGAATGCTAGTTCATCATCTTGGTTTACTGGCTCTCTGATTAAACTTGCTCTTCCTTGCTCCAACCCTCACTTCTCATGTCTTGTTGTCAAGCAGTGAGCAGCCCAACCTAAGTTCAGTTAGAAATTCAGTGCCCAAATGTGGGGCTGCAGTTTGGGTGGTCTAGCCTGCTTGGTTTCCAAAGGATGGAGCAATTTACTACAGCAGTGTGCCAGGGCTTACCCATTTATGCTACCAGGCAGAGCAACAGATGCTCATGAGTGCCAGCTACTCATGGTTAGGTGACTTCATGGCTTCGACTCCAGAGATGTCCCTGCAGCTGCCAAGAACGCTTTTGTCTTGGGAATTCTCTCATCTTTCTCCTTTCTGGCATCAGCTGCCTGAAATGCTTTGTTGAAGCAAGGAAAAGTGGTGTCTGAGGAGTTAACAGGCTGAAAGGTTGGTAAGTCACTATGGTGTGTTCAACCAGGAACTACCTTCCCATTTGGGCTTTTCCTTGGAATAAACCACTTTTTTTTTTTTTGGTTGGGGTACCCTTTTGGAGACAGGAATAGTTGTTGGACTTCTATCAATTTGAGAACTAGTTCCTTTGCATTTGTCTGTTTGTGGACCCTGGGCTTACATGTTTAATAACATGGAAAATACAAAGGCATGCTAAGTTTTCTGGGGCTCCAGCTAATAACACGTTATGGGCAGTTTTTGTACATATCTTAAACTAATAGGCAAATTACAGCAAGAAAAAGTCAGAGCTCAAATGGTTACCCTGCAACTTTTTTGTTAAGTAGGCTCTTCTAAAGCTGTATATCAATTTATCTTTTCTACCTACTTTGAACCGGAGGTTATTAAGCTACTGCTGTTGAGATAAAACTCACTAATTCAAGGATGAATTTGAGTTTAGTGTCAGATACCAAAGATATTTTATTTTTCTTATACAGTTATGCCCGTTCTAGCTAAAATATAAACATTGGAAATTCACTTGAAACTGAATTTAAAAAGGGGGTAAAAGAGGTTTTTCAAAAAGTAAACTGCTATGGAAACTACCCAAGATCTTGATCCACAGCCTTCATTGGAGTATCTACTGGGGGAAAACAAAGTTTAGCCACGTGGACAGGTTCCAGTTTTGTCAGTCCATCAACTAACTGGAAGCCGTAAAAGATCTTACAACCTTGCAGTGATTAATTTTTATAGCTTTTTTTTTTTTTGAGATGGAGTCTTGCTCTGTCGCCCCCAGGCTGGAGTGCAGTGGCGCAATCTCAGCTCACTGCAACCTCCGCCTCTCCGGTTCAAGCAATTCTCCTGCCTCAGCCTCCCGAATAGCTGGGACTACAGGCTCTGCCACCACGCCTGGCTAATTTTTTGTATTTTTAGTAGAGACTGGGTTTCACGGTGTTAGCCAGGAAGGTCTCGATCTCCTGACCGCGTGATCCACCCACCTTGGCCTCCCAAAGTGCTGGGATTACAGGCGTGAGCCACCGCGCCCAGCCCCTAATTTTTATAGCTGTGATAAGCCCCAGCAATAAATCAGAGACTTAATTTAGGATTTGATTTTGAAATAATTTGTCAAAGATGTTAAAAAGCTCAAAGCATTTTATCAAAACAGAATCACAGGTTATTGTAAAATAATAATCATTCACTTAACCGAGTAATAATTAAAATAACTCAAAGGGAATGCAGAAAGTCTCTGGGCTTACAGACGAGATCTGCTGAAGCATCATGATACGAGGGGTCAGAAGCTTTTGGGAAAGCTGGTCTTGCATTCCCATACATAGTGTGTAACAGCAATACAATTTACAGCAAAACCTATCCCTATAATCATAGCTAAAATTATGAGTAACTTTTTCCACCAGGAGGGGACTGATAAAAACCATAAAGAGAGTCAGTATCACCACCTCCAGCCCCCTGAAAATGTCCTTATCATATGCTATTAACTAATCCTGTGCTGTTAAGTTACAGGGCTTTGAGTCTTGAGTAAACATATCTAAAGAAGGCATCAACTCCTGCCACTCTCTGACACCAAACTCAAATTAACCAATGCCTCATTGTTAGATCCTAGTAAAGGTGACAATCAAAGTAAACTGCTTTCATGAGACACAGAGACAGGCCTGTATTCAAAAACATTAAGATTCATTTAATAATTTTGCATCTATCTGAATTAATAAAATGTATTCTATACCTTGATACTAAATAATTTAAATGTTTAGCTACATGTGAGCTTCCTTTTCCTGTCATTCTCAGAATTAGGCAGGGCTTATGACCTTTCTGTTTAAAACATTGCTAATTTGTTTGTTTGAGACAGGGTCTCACTGTGGCACCCAGGCTGCAGTGCAATGGAATGATCTTGGCTCACTGCATTCTCGATCTCCCAAGCTCAAGCGATCCTCCTACCTCAGGTTCCAGAGTAGCTGGGACCACAGACACACACCACTACACCTGGCTAATTTTTGTATTTTTGGTAGAAACAGGGTTTCATCATGTTGCCTGCCTCAGCCTCCCAAAGTACTGGGATTACAGGCATGAGCCACTGCATTTGGCCCACACTGCTAATTCTTTATGTCTTGTTTTACCTCCAGAATTTGAAACTATTTAATCCCTCCAGGCCCAGGACCTATTGTGGAAGAGGTGGGTGCATGAGATTTTAAGGGCCAGTTTTGAGGGATAAAATTAGTTCAGACCCCCAAATCAAAGACAGGTATACAGATGCTCAACACAGCAGTCCTCAACTTTTTGGCTCCAGGGACCACTTTTGTGGAAGACATTTCTTCCACAGATGGGAGAGGGGAATGGTTTCAAGATGATTTAAGTGCATTACATTTATTGTACACTTTATTTCTATTGTTATTACAAACTCACCATAATGTAGAAACAATGGGAGCCCTGAGCTTGTTTTCCTGCAACTAGACAGTCCCATCTAGGGGTGATGGGAGACAGTGATAGATCATCAGGCATTAGATTCTCATAAGTAGTGCACAACCGGCAGGGCGTAGTGGCTCATGCCTGTAATCCAGCACTTTGAGAGGCTGAGGGGGGTGGATCACGAGGTCAGGAGTTCAAGACTAGCATAGCCAAGATGGTGAAACCCTGTCTCTACTAAAAATACAAAAAAAAAAAAAAATTAGCCGGGCATGGTAGCAGGTGCCTGCAATCCCAACTACTTGGGAGGCTAAGACAGAGAATTGCTGGAACCCAGGAGGCAGACGTTGTAGTGAACAGAGATCACGCCACTGTGTTCCAGCCTGGGAGACAGAGCGAGACTCCATCTCAAAAAAATAAAAAAGTGCACAACCTAGAGCTTTTGCATGTGAAGTTAACAATAGGGTTCATGCTCCTATGAGAATCTAATGTCCCTGCTGATCTGACATGAGGGAGAGCTCAGATGATAATGTTTGCTCACTTACCACTCACCTACTGCTGTGTAGCCTGGTTCTTAACAGGCCAGGGAGCAGTACCAATCCATGGCCTGGGGGTTCAGGACCCCTAGCTCAATATATAGAACGTATAGACAAATCAATTTTATAACCTTGTTTTTTGGTTTTTGGTTTTGGGCTCTTATATTGCTTAAAGGAGTTTGGCTTTTAGTTTTTGGCTCTCATATCGCTCAAAGGGTTAATAAGTGCCAGCCTACTTTCATTCCCATCTGGCCTAGAACATTTAATTGGCTATCTGTAAGTCTTTTGACTCTAAGTCCTTTTGCCATAGGAGTTCCACTGAGAGACATGACAGATCTGATGCAGGTAGCCACAGCACCTCAGCATTGATATGGAACAAAATAAACACTTGGCCATTGATACCGCCCCTGGCATATATTGACCAAAAAAGGAGGAATATAAACTAAAAAACAAACAAACAAACAAACAAACAAACAAACAAAAACCCAAGTCCACTCTCTGAATGGACTCTCCTCCTTATAGCTAAGGGGATCTCAAAGAAACCTAAAAGCTAGTTTCAGGCTATGACAGGAAGGGGGTTGGACATGACTCATTTTATCCTCCCCCCCCATTGGAATTCAGGTACAACTGACCAACATTAACATTAAAATAGAGATCATAAAACTGGCAAAACAGACTCTCTGTAATAATAAGATACCAAATCATAAACCAGACCTAAGACTATGACAGGCAAAGGTTAAGTCGGACACTCCTACACTTAAAAGGTGAACCATGTTCTAACTGCCACAACGATTTTATTTTTCCCAAGCAGTCAAATAAGCACTGGCTTCAAGATAAGCAATATTGAAACAATTTACAGCTCCACCAAATGCTGACTGACCCTCAGCCCCTGTTCCACCAGCCATAACTATAGCTTTAATTAAACAAGAGGCTGATTTCAGTTACTTTTTCCTGCTAAAAAGACTACTGACTGTGAACTGGTTCTGGCCAGTTGCTAACTTGCATACTTGTGTGCCTTGTGTCCTAGTAAAAACCCCTTTGATGTATAAAGACATTTAAATGTTAAGTGTCCACCCCAGAATGAACATGGGTCATATGTTACATGCATATTTTTTTCAATATACATGTGTCAGGACTACCTTCCTAAATATTCAAAGTTTCTCCTGTAACCTGCGAAATATGTATGTTTAGCCAATCTGTCATCATATACACACAGGAGCTCTGGGTATAATTGACAGTGGGGAATATGTGCTGTAATTAAGACTGAATGCTGTATGTACATTCTGGATAACTCTGGAAACATATATTTAGCCCTACAAGTCATGCACAAGCAAATTAATGCTATGGCTGATCCCACAAGGTCTTTAAATCAATGGCTCTCTTCATGGTTCTTATCCGTCCCCTCTTGGTGGAAAAAGTTACTCATGATTTTAGCTATGATTATAAGAATAAGTTTTGCTGTAAACTGTATTGATGTTACATACTATGTATGGGAAGGCAAGACCAGCTTTCCCAAAAGCTTCTGACCCCTCATATCATGATGCTCCAGCAGATCTCTTCTGTAAGCCCAGAGACTCATGAATATTTTCAACTCCACATGTTCCAGATATGGTTTAGATATGTTTCCCCAACCAAATCTCATGATGAATTGTAATCCTTGATGTTGGAGCAGGGTCCTGGTGGAAGGTGATTGGATCATGGAGGTGGATTTCCCCCATGCTGTTCTCATGATAGGGAGTGAGTTCTCTTGAGATCTGGTTGCTTAAAAGTGTGTAGCACTTCCCTATTCTCTCTCTTCTTCCTGCTTTGGCCATGTAAGATATGCCTCCTTTCTTTTCAACTTCTGGCATGATTGTGATTTCCTGAAGCCTTGCAAGCCATGCTTCCTGTACAGCCTGTGGAACCACAATTAAACCTCTTTTCTTTATAAATTACCCAGTCTCAGCTAGTTCTTCATAGCAGTGCGACAACAGACTAATACAGAAAATTGGTACCAAGGAGTAGGGCATTGCTATAAAGTTATCTGAAATCGTGGAAGTGAATTTGGAACTGGGTAATGGGCAGAAGTTGGAACAGTTTGGAGAGCTCAGAAGAAGACAGGAAGATAAGGGAAAGTTTGGGACTTCCTAGAGACTTGTTAAATTGTTGTGACCAAAATGCTGATAGTGATATGGACAATAAAGTCCAGGCTGAGGTGGTCTCAGAGATGAGGAACTTACTAGGAAATGGAGTAGAGGTCACACTTGCTCTGCTTTAGTAAGGAGACTGGAAGCATTATGCCCTTCTTCTAGGGATCTGTGGAACTCTGAACTTGAGAATGATTATTTAGGGTATCCGGCAGAAGAAATTTCCAAGCAGCAAAGTGTTCAAGATGTGACATGGCTGCTCCTAACAGTATATGGTCATATGCCTGAACAAAGAGATGATCTGAAACTGGAACTTACATTTCAGTGAGAAGCAGAGGAGAAAAAATTAGAAAGTTTGCAGCCTGATTAAATTTACTTATGCAAATTTCTGTAGCAGGCTTGAATTCCTCCCCAGAAAATGTTTTGTTTTGTTTTTTCCTACAAAAAGACAAAAACACATACACCATTTTCTGGGGAGGAATTCAAGTTGGCTGCAGAAATTTACATAAGTAGAGGAGCTTAATGTTAATAGCCAAGACAATGGGGAAAATGCCTTAAAGGCAATTGAGAGACCTTCACACTAGCCCCTCCAATCACAGGTTTTGAGGCCTAGGAGGAAAATCACTGTTTTGTGGGCTAGACCCAGGTCCCTGCTCCCCTGCATAATCTCAGGGCGGCACTGCTCCCTGTGTCCCAGCCACTCCAGCCATGGCTAAAAGGGACCCAAATACATCTTGGTCCTCTGCTCCAGAGAATGTAAACCAAAGCCTTGGTAGATTTCATGTGGTGTTAAACCTGTGGGTGCACTCTTGGGAGCCTCTACCTAGATTTCAGAGGATGTATGGAAATGCCTGGATATCCAGGCAGAAGTCTGCTATAGGAGCAGAGCCCTCATGGAAAAAGCTGTACTACAGCAGTGCAGAGGGAAAATGCAGGGTTGGAGCCCCCACACAGAGTCCCCAATGGGGCACTGCCTAGTCAAACTGTGAGAAGAGGGAAACCATCCTCCAGATCCCAGAATGACAGATCCACCAACAGCTTGCACTATATACCTGGAAAAGCCACAGACACTCAACACCAGCCTATGAAAGCAGCTGGGAGTGGGGAGGTACCTTGCAAAGCCACAGGGGTGGAGCTGTCCAAGGCCATGGGAACCCACCTTTTGCATCAGCATGACCTGGATGTGAGACATGGAGTCAAAGGAAATCATTTTGGAGCTTTAATATTTAATGACTGCCCTGCTTGATTTCAGACTTGCATGGGGCCTGTAGCCCCTTCATTTTGGCCAATTTCTCCCAGTTGGAATGGGTATATTTACCCAATGCCTGTACCATCATTATATTTAGGAAGTACCTAACTTGTTTTTAATTTTACAGGCTTATAAGCAGAAGGGACTTGCCTTGTCTCAGATGAAACTTTGGACTGTGGAGTTTTGAGTTAATGCTGAAATGAATTAAGACTTTGAGGGACTGTCAGGAAGGCATGATTGGTTTTGAAATGCAAGGACATGAAATTTGGGAGGGACCAGGGCAGAATGATATGGTTTGGCTGTGTTCCCACTCAAATATCACCTTGAACGGTAATAATACTCATGTGTCAAGGGTGGGGGCAGTTGGAGACAATTGAATCATGGGAGTGGTTTCCCCCATCCTGTTCTCCTGGTAGTGAATAAGTCTCACAAGATCTGATGGTTTTATAAACGGGAGTTCCCCTGCACAAGCTCTCTTGACTGCCACCAAGTAAGATGTGACTTTGCTTCTCCTTTGCCTTCTGCCATGATTGTGAGGTTTCCCCAGCCAGTTGGAACTGTGAGTCCATTAAAACTCTTTCCTTTATAAATTACGCAATCTTGGGTATGTCTTTATTAGCAGCATGAGAACGGACTAATACAAACCCTATGGTAAATTTTATAATTTAAGATGATACTTCAGAAATCTGGTTTGCCATCTTCTTGAATTGCTCACTGTCCAATTAAACATGCTTTTCCTACTGTCAATCCTTGTCTCTTGCATCTGAGTTTTGATTGGTAAGCAGGCAAACGTGGGCCCATTTACATTGTGTCACAAATGATGAGACAGAAGAATTGGATATTCTATTATAAGATACATAGATTTCTGTACTACACATGACATGGTTGTGACTTATGTGATGGTAAACTTAGAATAGTAGAAACTGTATCATGTAAACACTGGGGTCACTTAAATTTTTTTAAGGATTATAATTGGTAGATTAAAAGAGGAGATAAAATGAAATCGTATACACTCAATTAAACTAAAGAAGGTAGAAAAAAGGAGAAAGTAACAGAAACCAATTGCAATGAATAGTAAAAAAATTGTAGATATTAATCAAACAAATTATTAATCAATTTTAATGTAAATCTACAAAAATGCCAAACAAAAGGTAGAAATTATCAAAGTGAATAATGAAAGAAGACCAAACTTAATGGCATCTGCAATAAACCCACTTTAAATGTAAAAGCTCAGGTTAACAGTAAAACAGTGATGAAAGATATACCATATTGACACTAATAATAAGAAAGCTGAAATATCAATATTAATTTTAGCCAAGGCAGACTTCATAACAAAAAATTATAATGGGTAAAGAGCATAATTACATAATGATAAATGTGTTAATTTCCCCCAAAAATATAACAATCTCTAATGTATATGTAATTGATGATAATCTTCAAATACAAGAAACTAAAACGGAAATGGTTGAAAGGAAAATAGACAATTCCACCATTATTGTTGCATACATCAACATCCCTCCTCAGTAATTGATAGAGCAGGAAGAAATCATCAAGGTTGTAGATGATCTGCAAAACACTATCAATCATCAGGATCTCACTGACATTTATAGGACACTATATATGAAGATACCAATATAGACAGTCATCTCAAGCTTACAAGGGACATTTACCATGACACATTACATTGTGGAACATAAAATAGACTTTCCAAACTTAAAAGTAAAGAAATTATACAAATTATGTCCTCAGATCACATGAAATTAAGTTAGAAATCAACAACAGAAAGAGAGCTAAAAATAATCTCCAAATTTTGGAGATTCAAAGAAAAAACTTCTAAATAACACTTGGTAAAAGAAGTCTTCACAGAAATTTGACGATATTTTAAGCTAAATGATAATGGAAATACACCTTACCAAACATTATGAGATGCTGTAAAAACAGTCCTTAGAGGGCAATTAGTAGCATTAAATGCATGTATTAGAAAAGGGGATTTAAAAGCAGTAACCTGATCTTCCACCACATGAAACTCAGAAAGAAGATCAAATTAAACTTAAAACAAGAAGAAAGGACATAGTACAAAATTAGAGCAGAAATTGATGAAATTGTAAATAGGACTAACAGTAGAGAAAAATCAGCAAAACCAAAAGCTGGTTATTTGAAAAGAACAATAAAAGAAAAAAACCTGTAGATACACTAACCATAGAAAAAGAGAAGACACAAAGTACTTAATGCAGAAATGAAAGTTCATTATTATTTATTCCATGGACATTAGAAAGATGATAATGGAATAGTATGGACATTAGAAAGACGATAATGGAATAATATGAACAATTATATGCTCACACAGTTGATAACGTAGTTAAAATCAACCAGTTCCTTGAAAGACAAAAACTACCAAGCCTAAAACAGGAAAGATCAACAAGTTGAATAGACCTGTATCTATTAAATAATTTTAATTGAAGCACAGTGAACAGTGGACTACCTCCTGCTCTGAGTGGTCACTGCCACCAATGTGAATGTGCATAGAGAGCGCATATAGTCCTGCATCAATCAGTGTCCTGCCTCCATACTAACACCACCACTGGCACAAATGTATGCACAGTCATTGGTGAAGGCCCCTTGGACCTCTAAGTCATGCTGCCATTGTCATTGCTGCAAACACCCACATGGAGGCTGGCACCCTGGCACTCACTACCACCCTGCCATGGCTGACAAGTGTGCACCCTCCCCATACTGTTGCTGCTGCTGGCAGGTGTGAACGAGGATAAATCCTGCTTCTCCCACCCTATGGCATGCTTTGGCTGGGACCACTCAACAGAGTGTTGTGAACAGCAGTCCAGGAGCACTTTGACCCCTCCATTGCAGAATGTTCCCAAACTTGAGGAGCCAAAGAAAAAAGATGGGGCCCAACACCAATTTCCCAGAGTTTAAACATGTAGTCTAGGACCCTGAGATGAGCTGTGGCCCCCTAAAATGTTCCAGAAATGAAGCCAGTTAACTGAACCCACCTTATGCCACAATCAAAACCACAAGGTCATCAAATATGATAAAATAAAAAAAAACACAGCCAAAGAACAGCAACTTCAAAGATTGAAGGAGCATCAGCTCACAAATATTGGAAAAAAACAGTGCAAGAACTCTGACAACTCAACAAGCTAGAGTGTGTTTTTCCTCCAAACGACCACACTAAGTCTCAAGCAAGAGTTATTAACTGCGCTGAGACAGCTGAAATTACAGAAATAAAATTAATTACATCAATAAGAACAAAGATAAGCAAGATTTAGGAGAACATTGAAACCCAACCTAAGAAAGGTAAGAATTATAATAAAATAATATTGGACATAAAATAGACAGTATAGAAAAGAATGTAAGCGACCTGATAGAGCTGAAGAACACACTACAAAAATTTCACAATGCAATTTCAAGTATTAATAACAGAATACACCATGCTGGGAAAAGAAACTCAGAGCTTGCATACTGATTTTCTGAAATAAGACAGACAAGTATAAACAGAAAACAACAAAAAGGAACAAACAAAATCTCCACAAAATATGGGATTATGGAAAGACACTGAATCTACCACTTATTGGCATCCCTGAAAGAGATGGGAAAAATGGCAACAACTTGGAAAACATATTTTAAGATATTATCTATGAGTACTTCCCCAACATAGCTAAACAGGACAAAATTCAAGTTCAGGAAATGCAGAGAACCCCAGTAAGATATTCTACAAGAAATTTATCCCCAGGACACATAATCATCAGACTCTCCAAGGTCGAAATGAAACAAAAGGAAGCTAGAGAGAAAATATAGGCCACATACAAAGGGAAGCTCATCAGACTAGCAGCAGACCACTCAACAAAAGCCCTACAAGCCAGAAGAGATTGGAGACTTATATATAACATTCTTAAAATAAATTCCAATGAAGAATTTTATATCCCTTCAAACTAAGCTTCAGAAGTGAAGGAGAAATAAGATCCTTTTCAGACAAGCAAATGCTCAAGAAATTTGTTACCACCAGACCTGCCTTACAAGAGCTCCTGTGAGAAGGACTCAATATGGAAAGGAATGACCGTTACCAGGCAATATAAAAACGCATTTAAGTACATAGACCAGTGACACTATAAAACAACCGAACAAGTCAGCATAATAAACAGCTAACAATATGATGACAGTATCAAATCCAGTCATATCAATACTAACATTGAATGTAGTCAGGCTAAATGCTCCAATTAAAAGGCACAGAGTGGCAAGCTGGATAAAGAACCAAGACCCATCAGTATTCTTCTTCAAGAGTCCCATCTCACATGCAATGACACCCATAAGCTCAAAATAAAAGGTGGGAGAAAAAAACATCAAGCAAATAGAAAAGAGAAAAAAGCAGGAGTTGTAATCCTAATTTCAGACAAAACAGACTTTAAACCAACGAAGATCAGAAAAGACAAAAAACGGGCATTACATAATGATAAAGGGTTAATCAATAAGAAGATCTAATTATCTTGAATATGTAGGCACCCAACTCAGAAGCACCCAGATTCATAAAGCAAGTTCTTAGAGATGTACAAAGGGACTTAGACTCCCACACAATAATAGTGGGAGACTTCAACACCCTAGTGACAGTACTAGACAGATCATCAAGGCAAAAAATTAACAAAGGTATTCAGAACCTGAACTCAACACTAGATCAAATGGACTTGATCAATATCTACAGAACTCTCTATGCAAAAACAACACAATATACATTCTTCTCATTGCCACATGGCATATACACTAAAATTGACCTAACAATTGAACATAAAATAATCCTTAGCAAATACAAAAGAACTGAAATCATACCAACCACTCTAGAACCACATCACAATAAAAATGAAATTTAAGACTAAGAAAATTGCTCAAAACCATACAGTTACATAAAAATTTAAACATCTGCTCCAGAATGACTTTTGGGAAAGTAATAAAATTAAGTCAGAAATTAAGAAGTTCTTTGAAACTAAACAGAACAAAGATACAACATATCAGAATCTCTGGGATACAGCTGAGGTAGTGTTAAGAGGGAAATTTATAGCACTAAACACCTCATCAAAAAATTAGAAAGCTCTCAAGTTAACAACCTAACATCACAACTAAAAGAACCAGAGAAGCAAGATATAACCAACCCCAAAGCTAGCAGAAGACAAGAAATAACCAAAATCAGAGCTTAACAGAAGGACATAGAGACATGCAAAACCATTCAAAAAATCAACGAATCCAGGAGCTTGTTTTTTTTAATTAAGATAAACCACTAGCTAGATTAATGAACAAGAAAAAAGAATATCCACATAAACACAATTAGGAACAACAAAAAGGACACTACCACTGACCCCACAGAAATACAAATAACCATCAGAGACTACTATGAATACCTCTATGCAAACAAATGAGAAAATGTAGAAGAAATCAATAAATTTCTGGACACATACACCCTCCCAAGACTGAACTAGTAAAAAACTGAATTCCTGAACAGATCAATAACAAGCTCTGAAATTAAATCTGTAATAAATAGCCTATCAATCAAAAAAAAAAAAGCCCAGGTACAGACAGATTCACAGCCAAATTCTACTAGATTTACAAAGAAGGGCTGGTACCACTCTGACAAAAACTATTGCAAAAAACTGAGAAGGGACTCCTCGCCACCTCATTCTATGAGACCGGCATCATCCTGACATGAAAACCTGGCAGAGACACAACATAAAAAGAAAACTTCAGGCCAATATTTTTGGTGAACACTGATGCAAAAATCCTCAACAATATACTAGCAAACTGATTCAGCAACACGTCAAAAAACTAATCCACCATGATCAAGTAGGCTTTTTCCCCTGAAATGCAAGGTTGGTTCAACATACAAATATGAATAAATGTGATTCATTATATAAACATAACTAAAGACAATACCCACATGATCATCTCAATAGATGCAGAAAATACTTTTGATAAAATTCAATCCTTTCATGTTAAAAACTGTCAACAAACTAAGTATTGAAGGAACATACCTCAAAATCATAAGAGCCATCTATGACAAACCCACAGCCAATGTCATACTGAGTGGGCAAAAGCTGGAAGCATTCCCCTTCAAAACCAGCAAAAGGCCAGGCAAGGTAGCTCATGCCTACAATCCCAGCACTTTATGAGGCCAAGAAAGGCAGATCATATTGAGGCCAGGAGTTTGAGACCACCCTGGCCGACATAGTGAACCCCCATCTTCACTAAAAATACAAAAATCAGCAGGTTCCTGTATTCTCAGCTCAGGAGGCTGAGGCACAAGAATTGCTTGAACCCAGGAGGTGGAGGCTGCAGTGAGCCAAGATCATAGCACTGCACTCCAGCCTGGGCAACAGAGTGACAGAGTGAGACTTTGTTTCAAAAAAAAAAAAAGGAAAACCAGCACAAGATAATGATCTGGTCTCTCACCACTCCTATTCAACATAATATTGGAAGTCCTGGACAGAGCAATCAGACAAGAGAAAGTTATAAAAGGCATCCAAATAGAAAGAGAGGAAGTCAAACTATCCCTGTTTTCAGATGACGTAATTCTATATCTAGAAAACCCCATAGTCTTCTCTCAGAGGCTCCTTCAGCTGATAAACAACTTCAGCTAAGTCTCAGGCTATAAAATCAACATAGAAAAATCACTGTCATTCCTGTTCACCAACAACGAAACCAAGAGTCAAATCAGGAATGCAATCACACTCACAACTGCCACAAAAAGAATAAAATACTTAGGAATACAGCTAACCAGGGAGGTGAAAGATCTCTATAATGAGAATTATAAAACACTGTTGAAAGAAATCAAAAATAACATAAACAAATGGAAAAACATTCCATGCTCATGGTTTGAAAGAATACATATTATTAAAATGGCCATACTGCCCAAAGCAATTTATAGATTCAGTGCTATTCCTATCAAACTACCAATAATATTCTTCACAGAACTAGAAAACCTGTTTTAAAATTCCTGTGGAATCAAAAAACAGCCTGAATAGCCAAGGCAATCCTAAGCAAAAAGAACAAAGTGATATAGGAGTTAAGATGGAATTATTTAAGCAGATAGCAAGACTATGGGAGTCCTCAGTAAGGCTTTTCTTTCCTTTCTTTTTTTTTTTTTTTTTTTTTTTTTTTGACAGAGTTTCACTCTTTTTTCCCAGGCTGGAGTGCAATGGTGCAATCTCGGCTCACTGCAACCTCCACCTCCCAGGTTCAAGCAATTCTCCTGTCTCAGCCTCCCGAGTAGCTGGGATTACAGGCATTCGCCACTATGCCTGGCTAATTTTTTGTATTTTTAGTAGAGACGGGTTTCATGGTGTTGACGGGACTGGTTTCGAACTCCTGACCTCAGGTGATCCACCCGCCTTGGCCTCCCAAAGTGCTGGGATTACAGGTGTGAGCCACTGTTTCTGGCCCAGACTTTTCTTTTTAATGAAAAGCATCCCCAAATCATTTTCTAACAAAGAGCAGCCTGTAAAGTTGAGCCCCAGACATAGACAAGCAAGCTGGGAGCTTCCATGGGTGAACGCCGGCAGGAACCAAGGATTAGAAATGTTCAAGACGGAGACTCCATCTTCCCTTCTCTGCCAGCCACGTGTAGTGTAAGTAGACAAGATCGCAGGGATCAACTGGAAAGCCCATTTGCATAATAAGATTAGGGTGGGGCAACAAGCCTTCCCTGTGCAGTGTGTAAATGTCATACCTGATCAAACCAGTCTATAAGCCCTATGTAAATCAGACACTGCCTCTTCAAACTAGAATATAAAATTTGGGGCATTCACAAAGCTGGTCCTTTCTGCTCAGAGACCCTTTCCTCTATAGAGGAAGCTGTTTCTCTTTCTCTTCTCCTCTACCTAAACTCTGCTCTGAAACTCCTCATGTGTGTTCGTGTCCTAACTTTTCCTGGCAAGTGACAACAAACCCCAGTGTATAAACTGCAGTCAACGTAGCTGCTTCAAAAAAAGGAGGCATCACTTTACCCAACTTTAAACTATATTACATGGCTACAATAACCAAAACAGCATAGTACTAGTACAAAAACACACACATAGAACAATAGAATGGATTGACAGCCCAGAAATAAGGCCACACACCTACAGCCATCTGTTATTTGACAGAGGTGACAAAAACAAGCACTTGGGAAAGAACTCTATTCAATAAAGGGTACTGGGATAACTGTCTAGTCATATGAAGAAGATTGAAGAAGATTGAAACGAGATAGCTTCCTTACATCAGACACAAAAATCAACTCAAGATGGATTCCCGACTTAAATGTAAAACCCTAAACTATAAAATCCCTGGAAGATAACCTAGGCAATACCATTCTGGCCTTAAGAATTGGCAAAGATTTCATGTTAAAAATGCCAAAAGCAATTGCAACAAAAGCAAAAATTGAAAAATGGGATTTAATTAAAGAGCTTCTGAATAGGAAAATAAATTATCAACGGTGTAAACAGACAACCTACAGAATGGGAGAAAATATTTGAGAAAGGTCTAATATCTAGCATCTATGAGGAACTTAATCAAATTTACAAGAAAAAAACTAACAAGTGCATTAAAAAGTGGGCAAAGGACATAAACAGACACTTTTCAAAAAAAGACATAGATGCAGCCAACAAGCATATTTTAAAAAGCTCAATATCACTGATCATCAGAGAAATGCAAATCAAAACCACAATGAGATACCATCTCACACCAGTCACAATGGCTATTACTAAAAAGTCAAAATACAACAGATGCTAGCAAAATTGCAGAACAAAGTGAATGCTTATACACTGTTGGTAGGAGTATAACTTAGTTCAACCATATTGGAAAGCAGTGTGGTAATTCCTGAAAGAGCTAAAAACAGAACTACCATTCAACCTAGCAGTCCCATTACTGGGTATATATACCAAAAGGAATACAAATTGTTCTATCATAAACACACACATGTGTATGTTCATTGCAGCACGATTCACAAGAGAAAAGACATGGAATTAACATAAATGCCCATTAATGGTATACTGGAATTTTTTAGAAATGTGGTACATATACACCATGAGAATTTATGCATCCCTAAGAAAGAACAAAATCATGTCTTTTGCAGGGACATAGATGGATCTGGAGGCCATTATCCTTAGCAAACTATCGCAGGAACAGAAAGCCAAATATTGCATGTTCTTACTTATAAGTGGGAGCTAAATGATGAGAACACATGGACACAAAGAGGGGAACAGCAGTCATTGGAGTCTACTTGAGGGCGGGAGGGAGAGGAATAGGGCAGAAAAAATAACTATTGAGTACAAGGCTTAATACATGGGTGATGAAACTTGTGACACAACTTTACCTAAATAACAAACCTGGACATGTACCCCTGAATCTAAAATAAAAGTTTAAAACAATGAAGAAAATAATAAGAATTTGAATCAACAATTAGCGACCTTTCAAAAGAGAAGTTACCAGATACAGATTGTTTCATTAGTGAATTTTATGGAAGTATACCATTTAAGAAATAAATGATTTCAATTCTCCATAATCTCGTCTAGAAAGTGGAGACAGTGTGAGCACTTCCTAACTCATTCTATGAGGGCATCATCACTTTAATACTGAAGTGAGGTATTATAAATACCATAAAGAAATCCAAAAAAAGAAATCTACAGACCAGTATCTCTCTTGAACATAGATGTAAATATCCTCAACACAATATTAGCAAATTATATACGATGACATAGAAAAGCAATTATACACCACAGCCAGCTTGGATTTATTCCAAGTATACTAGGCTGGTTCAACATTTGAAAATCAATTTTGGTTTTCTGTCACTTCAACAGATTACAGAAGAAAAGTAATATGATCATATCAATTGACATAGATAAAACATTTGACAAAAATCCAACACCAATTCATTACAAGATCTTTCAGCAAGCTAGGAGTAGAGAAGAACTTTTGTAACTCAATGATTAACATTTGAAAAACAAAATGCCAACTGCAGCTAACGTACTTAAATGGTGAGAAATTGACACTTTCCTCTTAAGATCAGGGACAAGGCAAGAATGTCCTGTCTTAGGAATCCTAGTTAACATCATACTAGAAGTCCTAGCTAGTGAAATAAGATTAAAAAAAAAAAAGAGAGAGAGAGAGAAAGACAGACAGAGAGAATAAAAGGTACATTTGGAGGGAAGAAATAAATCTACCTTTGTTTGCAGATGACATGATTGTCTATGGAGAAAACCCTACATAATCTTTAAACCAAATTTTATTGAACAAACAAGTGATTAAAGCAAGATTGCAAGCTACAAGATCAATATTACAAAAGTCAATTTGCTTTTCCATAAAGCAGCAATGAATACTTGTAATTTGAAATTTTAAAATACCATTTACAATGGCATCAGAAAACTATGACATACTTAGGTATAAATCTAACAAATGATGTAGAAAATCTATATGTAGAAAACTACCAAACTCAAGTTATTTTGTAGAAATTAACACGTTGATTCTAAAATTTATGTAGAAAGTATTAAAAAAAAAACTTGCAGAGCCAACACTATACTGAAGAAGGAGAACAAAAATGTAGGACACACAAGACCCAATTTCAAATTTTACTATAAATTCACAGTACTCAAGATACCATTTTCTTGGCTAAAGAATAGACACATGTCAATGGAACAGAGATCCAGAAATGAACACAAATATACTGACAAGGGAGCAAAGGCAATTCAATGCAAAACAAGATATTTTTTCAAGAAATGATGCTGGAACAACTGGACAGTCATATGCAAAATAAAAGAAAAGGCTAACATAGACCTTATATTTTCCATAAAAACTAACTCAAAAATATCATAGACCTAAATGTAAAACCTAAAACTATAAAACTTAGAAAAAAAGTCTATGTGAACTTCAGTTTGGAAATGAGTTTTATATACAATAATAAAAGCATAATTTGAGAAAAAAGGAGATTTGGATCTTGTTAAAAATAAAAACATCTCCCTATGAAAAACACAATTAAGAGAATGAAAAACTAGCTACAGATTGGGAGATAATATTGCAAAACATATACAAGATAATGTACTTATATTTAAAATATACAAACAACTTTTAAAACTTAATAAGAAAACAAATGACTTAATTAAAATATAGCTAAAGATCTGAACACATACCTCACCAAAGAAAGAAATTATACAGATGGCAAACAAGTCTATGAAAATAGGCTCAATATATATTACATTAGGGAATTTCAAATTAAAACAAAATTGAAATACCATGATATACTTATTAGAATGGCTAAAATTAAAAAAAAAATCTGACAATACCAATTTCTGGGAGTTGTGGAGCAACAGGAACTCTCATTCATTGCTGATGGGCTTGCAAAATGGTCCAGTTGCTTTGGAAGAGTTTGGCAGTTTCTTACAAAGCTAAACATAGTTTTGTCATACAGTCTAGCAATTGCATGCCTAGCTTTCAACCCAAATGATTTGAAAATTTATGTCCATACAAAAAATTGCTTGTGAAAGTTTATACCAGCTTTATCATCAAAAACTGTAAATGACCAAGAGTCCTTTAGTAGGTAATAGGGTAAACAAACTGTGCTACATCTATCCAAGGGAATCTTGTTCAGAAACAAAAGCAAATGAAATATCAAACCATAAAAAGACACTGCTAAATCTTATATTGCCAGGTGACAGTCTAAAACAATTACATACCATCTCTTTCTAATTATATGGCATTCTGAAACAGAAAAACCATAGAAATAGCAAACAATCAGTGGTTCCCAGGTGATTAGGATGGGAACGATTTGAATAAGTGAGGAACGGGAGTTTTTAAAGGAAAATACGGTAATGGTGGATATAAGACACTATACATTTATCAAAAACCATAGACCTTTACTACAGAGTGAACCTGAATGTATGCAAATTTAAAAAAGAAAAACATTTCAGAGGTCAGGGAATCCCAAGATGGAATGCAGAACATGACAGAAAAAAAATCAACTATATTACAAATGTATGATTACAATCTCATTGAAGTGGAAAGAGGTGAAAACCTAAGTAGTCTTGCAAATAAGGAGTCTACGAAACTAAAAGCAAAAGAAAGTATCCAGTTAATAAATTTATTTTCCATGAGGGTAAGAGTTAACAATTCTGATGCTTATATACATGTATACATGAATTGAACAATTAAGTAAACGGATGTCAGGTGGTAGGAGACAGATTTCCCACTGTTGGGATGGAAATTTACAGATAAGCAAGTGGAGGGAGTTAGAATGACCTATGTGTTCATGGATTAGAGTTGGAGACATCAGTGTTAACTCAAGTTTTAACTTAATACAGACACAGGCAGCTGCGTATGGAAGTGTTTTCAGGTATGTAATACATAAGGTAGTATATACACATGTATGTTTCCTTGCTCTATGATCTGAGAGGGTCTAGAATAACACCTCTGTAGCAATGGGCATAGTTAACACTGAGATCTTGTAAAATAGAAGGAACCAGGGCTCCTTAGAGAAATGGCTGATTATTGGACTGACGCAGGAAATTAACATTAAAGTTGATCCTGGAGATCTTGTAATGCCAGAATGTAAGAAGCAACAAAACAAAACAAAATCATAAAGCAAAATAAGGAACCATGATAAGTTATGTCAAAGGAACACAGGAGCCAATTACAACAGCTCCCAGTGGCCAAACCTGGAAAATTTGAGCAAGCATTAATGTGCTTTGTGAAGTAAAGTGCTTTGTGCTTTGTGAGTGAAGAAATTCATCATAGATGTCTTCTAAATTACGTCCATCACTCCACCAGTCAGTAAAGTGCAGCTCTCCTAAGGACAGAATGTAGCTGTCTTTCCAGTGCTCACCATCATTACAATACAGTCATTTAAAAACAAGTGCTGTTTATATTGTCTTTGGACACCATAAGAATCCCAGAACCAACAAAGATGTGAGATGATCATAGACATGTAAAAGTGAAAAAGCAAAGCCCTGCAAAAAAAAAAAAACTGGACATAACTAAGAAAAACATTCTTTTCGCTACTCTTCAGCAAACAAACGCACCCTTAAATTCTATCTAAAGACCAATCAGTAGATGGATAATTTACATAAACAATTTGGTCTTCTAAATGACTTGCCCTGGAACCAGGAGTAGAAGCAATTTCTTGAATTTGAATAATCTCCAGTCTGAGTATTAAGAGTCTTCTATACACAAATTCACAGGGTAAACAACACTGAATTTTTTTCCAAATAAGGATATTACATCCATAGTTTTCGTCTTTAGTGGTATTTATTCTTTGCATAGGAGATTACTTGGAAAGAAGTACTACTAAAGCTAATGTTGTATTCTTCAAAAATGCTAGAGAGTGGATGTGAAGTGCTCTCACCACAAAAATGGTAACTATGTGAGGTAATGCATATGTTAATTGGCTAGATTTAATCATTCCACAATGTATATGTACTTCAAATTATTACATTGTGCAAGAAAATATGTATATAATTTTGTCAATTAAAAATACTAAATTTGAAAAAACAAAAATAAATTAAAAACTAAAACATTTTAATCTGAAACACCAACTTACCTATTTTTTCTATTTCATGGATTGGTACCTACAGTGTTTGTCTCAAAACTCCTCACCATATTCAAGGTTCCAGCAATTTTTCTCTGATGTTTTCGTCTAGGAATTTTACAGTTTTGTATTTTACATTTAAGTCTATTACCTATTTGAGTTTCATTTGGTAAATTGTGTAAGAGCTATGTCTAGGTTCATATTTAAGCATATAGACATCCCATTGTTACAGCTCTATGGCTTGAAAAGACCACCTTTCTCCATTGAAATGTCTTTGCACTTTCGCAAAAATGTTATATTTTGTTTGATTCTAATTCTGGGCTCTCTGTTCCATTGATCTATGTGTCTGGTGTTTCACTAATAGCATGCTGTCTTGATTGTTGTAGCTTTATAACAAGTTGAAATCTGATAGGTTAAGTTCTCCAACTTTATTCTTCTTTAATAGTATGTTGATTATTCTAGTTCAACTCCCTGTATAAATTTTAGAATCAGCTGGTTGATATCTACAAATAGCTTCTGGGATTTTGATTGGAATTTCATAGAATCTATAAACAATTTGGAAAGAACTGACATTGTTAAAATACTAAGTTCTCCAATTCATAAACATGGGACATCACTACATTTATTTAGATCTTTTTTGATTACTTAGAGTTTTGTAGTTTTCTACACGTAGAGTTTATACATTTTCTTAAGATTTATACAGAAGTATTTTTATTTTGGTGTATTGTAAATAGTAATTTCAAATTTCAAATTCTAATTGTTCTTACTTGTACATACGAAAGTAGTTGATTTTTGTATCTTGAATTTGTATCCTACAACTGTGTCCAAAATTGGTGGGTTCTTGGTCTCACTGACTTCAAGAATGAAGCCGCGGACCCTCGCGGTGAGTGTTACAATTCTTAAAGGTGGCCTGTCTCGAGTTTGTTCCTTCTGAGGTTCAGATGTGTTCGGAGTTTCTTCCTTCTGCTGGGTTCACAGTCTCGCCGGCTTCAGGAGTGAAGCTGCAGATCTGCACGGTGAGCGTTACAGCTCATAAATGCAGTCTGGACCCAAAGAGTGAACAGTAGCAAGATTTATTGCAAAGAGCAAAAGAACAAACCTTCCACAGTATGGAAGGAGACCCCAGTGGATTGCCACCATGGGCTGGGGCGGCCTGCTTTTATTCTCTTATCTGGCCCCACCCACATCCTGCTGATTGGTCCATTTTACAGAGAGCCGATTGGTCTGTTTTACAGAGAGCTGATTGGTCTGTTTTGACAGGGTGCTGATTGGTGCCTTTACAATCCCTGAGCTAGACACAAAAGTTCTCCATGTCCCCATTATATTAGCTAGATACAGAGGGTCGATTGGTGTATTTACAAACCCTGAGCTAGACACAGAGTGCTGATTGGTGCATTTACAAACCTTGAGCTAGATACAGAGTGCTGATTGGTGCATTCACAATCCCTTAGCTAGACAAGTATTCTCCAAGTCTCCACCAGATTAACTAGATACAGAGTGCCAGTTGGTGCATTCACAAACTCTGAGCTAGACACAGGGTGCTGATTGGTGTGTTTACAAACCTTGAGCTAGATACAGAGTGCTGATTGGTGTATTTACAATCCCTTAGCTAGACATAAAGATTCTCCAAGTCCCCACCAGACTCAGGAGCCCAGCTAGCCTCACGCAGTGGATCCAGCACAGGGGCCGCAGGTGGAGCTGCCTGCCAGTCCCGCGCCGTGGGCCCGCACTCCTCAGCCTTTGGGCGGTGGATGGGACTGGGAGCCATGGAGCAGGGGGCGGCGCTCGTCGGGGAGGCTCAGGCATGGCCGACTGCAGGTCAGGCGAGAAATCGAGCACAGCAGCTGCTGGCCCAGGTGCTAAGCCCCTCACTGCCCAGGACCAGCGGGGCGGGCCGGCTGCGCTGAGTGGGGGCCCGCCAAGCCCACGCCCACCTGGAACTGGCGCTGGTCTGCAAGCGCTTCGCGCAGCCCGGGTTCCCGCCCGCGCCTCTCCCTCCACGCCTCCCCGCAAGCTGAGGGAGCCGGCTCCCAGCCTTGGCCAGCCGAGAAAGGGGCTCCCACAGTGCAGCGGCGGGCTGAAGGGCTCCTCAAGCGTGGCCAGAGTGGCGCCAAGGCCAAGGAGGCGCTGAGAGCGAGCGAGGGCTGCTAGGGCTGCCAGCATGCTGTCACCTCTCACAGCCTTGCTATATACTCACTTATTTGCTCCAGGAATTTTGGTTTGTAGATTATTTATGATTTTATACATAGACAATCATGTTCCCTGGGAATAATAGTTTTCTGTCTTTCCAGTGTGTATATATATTTTTACAGCTTTATTGTATTAGAAAGGATTTTTTTTTTTTTTTTTTTTTTTTTTTTGAGACACAGTCTCGCTCTGTTGCCCAGGCTGGAGTGCAGTGGCGAGATCTCGGCTCACTGCAAGCTCTGCCTTCCGGGTTCAGGCCATTCTCCTGCCTCAGCTGGGACTACAGGCGCTGCCACTACGCCTGGCTAATTTTTTGTATTTTTAGTAGAGACGGAGTTTCACTGTGTTAGCCAGGATGGTCTCGATCTCCTGACCTCGTGATCCACCCTCCTCAGCCTCCCAAAGTGCTGGGATTACAGGCGTGAGCCGCAGCGCCCGGCCTGGAAAGGACTTCTAATACAATATTAAACAGAAGTGGAGAGACAGGATATTCTTGCCTTGTCTCCTACTTGGAAAGCGTCCAGTATCACTACTAAGTATGATGTTAGTTTTAGAAGTTTTGTAGATCTTTAAAAATCAAGCTGAGAAAGTTTTCATCTATTCCTAATTAGATGACAGTTTTATCACGAATGTGTGTTGGATTTTGTCAAATGCTTTACTGATGTCAATTGATATAGTCATATGAATTTTCTTCTTTAACCTCTATATTGGTGGATAACAATGATTAGTTTTCAAATATTGAATTAGCCTTCAATATCCGGAATAAATCTCATTTAGTCATGATGTATTTCTAAACATATATTGTACATAATTTGCTAGGTTTTTTTTTAGCATGTTTGCATCTATATTCATGAGAGATACTGGTCTGTATGTTTTCTTTCTTCAGTTGTCTTTATCTGGTTTTGGTATTAAGGTGATGATGGCCTCACAGAATGAGCTAGGAAGTATCCCCTTTAATCTATTTTCTAGAAGATATTATGGAGAATTGAAATTATTTTTTCCTTAAGTGGTAGAATTCAGAAAAAAAGTCACCAATAAAATCATCTGGGTCAGGTTCCTTCGTTTTGGAAAGATCACTAATTGATTAATCAAATTTATAAATAGATATAAATCTATTAAACTTGTTGATCTATCCTTGTTTTAAGTTTGGTAGTTTCTGTCTTTCAAGAAATTGGTCCATTTTAACTAAGTTATCAAATTTATGAGCATAGAATTGTTCATACTATTCCTTTACCATCCTTCTAATGTCTATGGGATATTATTTTCTCTTTTATTTCTGCATTAGGTACTTTGTGTCTTCTCTCTTTTTTCTTGGTTAGTCTGGCTATAAGTTTTTTAAAAATTATATTGGTCTTTTCAAAGAATAAGATTTTGGTTTTGCAGATTTTCTCTACTGCTTTCCTATTTACAATTTCAATAATTTCTGCTCTAATTTTGTATTATGTCCTTTCTTCTTCTTGATTTTGGCTTAATTTGATCTTTCTTAGTTTCCTGTGGTGGAATGTTAGGTTATCGCTTTTACATCTTCTTTTCTAAGATATGCTTTTAAAACTATAAATTTCCCCCTAAGGACTGTTTTTGTTACATATCACAAAGTTTAGTAAGATGCATTTTTATTATAATTTGGTATAAAATATTTAAAAATTTTCTGTCAAAGCTTATTTGACCCAATTGCTATTCATAAGTGTTTTGCTTGATCTCCAAATTTGGGGGATTTTTTTCAGCTCTCTTTCTGTTATTGATTTCTAATTTAATTTCTTGTGGTCTGAGGACATATGTTGTATCACTTCTGTTCTTTTAAGTTTGTGAGTTTTGTTGTTTCATCCAAAATGTGTTATACCTTGGTATATGTCCATGTGAGCTTGAGAAGAATGTGCATTCTGCTGTTGTTGGAAGGAATACTCTAAACATATCACTTCAATCAAGTTGATTGATAGTACTGTTCAGGTTGCCTATAGCCTCACTGACTTTTTGCCTGCATTGTCTATCAATTACTGGCAGGGGAATGTTGAATTCTCAACCATAGTAGTGGCTTTGTTTATTTATCTTTGCAATTCTATCAATTTTTGCCTGACATTTTTTGATGTACTGTTGTTGCGTGCATAAACATTAAAAACTGTTATGTGTTCTTGAAATAAATCTTGCACTTTCAAGGGTCACCCATATTTCAAAGTTCATTTATATTTGTTTTCCTACATGTACACATACACCCATAAATATTCTCTCAAACAGCTTTCTTCATAACCCATTCTCTACCATTGACCCTCGAGGAGCTGTTCCATCTTCCCTTTCTGTGTAGGTGTTTGCTCCAATCATCACACCAAATTATACATTACTGGCTAACATGACTCTTCAATGTTCAATTGATTCATAGCTTCATTGTACCTAGTGAGGTTATTAATAAATTATGCTGTACAATATGTTAGACAAATTCTATCTCATGCACAAATGTGTAAGACTGTGCCTTGAAGATTGATTCAATCCAAAAATAACATTCATTAAGATAAATGCAAGTGTATCACCCTCATGTTGGTGCTCTTCTTTACCAGGTTAGCAAAATCAGGAAAGGAGACAGTTGAAGTTGAATTGCCTAAGATGTATTTTTGCATTTAACATGAACACTTAATTTTTTTAAGTTAGCTTTCATTTCCAAAACTCCACATAAACTACTATAAGCACTTTTTTTGGAACATCTAAATATTTTCTGTTTTTTGATCAAGAAGATTAGTTAAAGACTTTCTTAAAGACTTGGGGGATGTTCATTTTAGAAGACAAAAAATAAAAGGGAAATCTAAAACTTTTTTTTCTTACCTTGCTCTTAAATCCTATTAGTATGATCCCAGGAAAACTGGGGGTGGTTATTCCTTCAGCTTCCCTTATTTCAAAGTTAGCATTGTTACCACTATTTTACAGATTCTGGTGTTTAAGCTCAGATGGTTCCCCTGTAAAAACTATTTCTGGAGTCTGTGGTTTTAGCCAAGAAATCTTTGTGTGCCATTCTTGTCACTTTTATACTGCAAGTTAAACAAATGTCCTAAAATGATTAATCATGCACTTTAAATAAGATATAAGGGCTAGATGATGATGGTAAGATATGAATTGGTTCACTCAGCAGAAATCAGAATAAAAACTGGAAGTATCGAAAATATAGTGGGAATTGAGCATAGGTGTGTTGCTCCTTCATCCCCAAATAGTTTTTATTTTCTATGACAAAATAACTTCTAAAAATAATCTAAAAATTCTATAATAGTACTGTCCACTGAGTTGAGGACGAATATGTGGATTACTGTTTTAAGACATATTTTGGAAGAAAAGATAAGCCATATGGCTAGTGGGAAATAAAGCAATATTTGGGTCCAGAAAAAAATGTATTTTCTTCTCTGTTACAAGGGACACGAACACCAGACTGTTAACTTTGGACTTTATCATAGCTATTGCAGCTAGATGAAAATGTCGGATGGATGAATGTTGAATAAATCCATATGCCACTGTCAAAATGCAGGAACTGGCTGTACCATGGACTTGCTCATAGGATCATGTTAAAAGTAGAAATTAAAGAGAAATTTAGAAAATCAACTAGACTATCAAATCTAATGTGTTCTTAATTTGCACACTTAAGTATTTATGGAAATTAAATTTTGGTTAACGCATAATATGTAATGAAATTCTTACAAAACGTAAATATCAGTAAATTTGGGCAAAACAAAAAACATCAAATTTTTAATCTTTTCTTTTGGGTTAGAAAGTGGAATAAAGATACTGATATTACAGTTCACAAATTAAAATATGTGTTTTTCTGTGTCTTAGTAATCACCGCCATAAAGATCAGAAAAATATTTAAACTCTCTCAAAAGTGTTTCTTTTCTTAATTAAAGGATAGCTATTGCATACTAAAGACAGGCTCTTTTCAAAATTATTTGGTAGAAGAGTCAATACATTGGAAGTCAACTAATAAAATCAGATTTGTGACAATTTCTACAAAGTTCCAAATTTCTCTACCTGCATAAACAGGGCATTTCTGCTTTGTTTATTTTGTGTCATTTTGAAAAGTTAATAAATTATGTCATAATCAAGTTGCTGATTGAGTTGGTCATTTGCTTCCTTTACAACTTTCTTTTCCTTGACGGGATTATTAATAGACTTTTAACCCTCTGAATGCATAATAACGTTCAGAACCTCAGCTTTCAAAGTAGCAAGTACCATGCTCCATAATCTCTAATCTAGCTAAAAGGCTCAAATTCTTTTATGAACTTAACTCAGTAGACAAGTCTCTAGTCAACCCCTTCAATGGGAAATGTGATCATAGGACATCCTAAAATTTGATTCCTATTTTAGCGTGCCTCCAGGTCCTGATCTAATCCAGAATAGGTCTAACCAAAGCTTTCACAGCTTCACTTTTAAGTTTTAAATGATTTTAAGTCCATGTAAATTTGGAAATTACTAACAGTTTAGGTCTAGTCAAGGATTCATCCAAACTGCTTTGCTATTTTTCTCAGGTTTTTCCCAATACCAGTATTATATCAATAGAAGCCAACTTCTGCTGCTCAGTACATGACATTCTATTTTAGTCATAAGGTATTAGTATATACAAACTCAATATCAAAAGATGGGGGCTTTCCCTTTTTGTAGGAAATGTGGACAAAGGTGATGTCATTCATTCCTATGGCTTTAAATTCCCTGTATTTATATCTCCAATCCAGACTTTTCTCTGTAGTTCAAGCTTCTATATTCAATTCCTACATGAACAACTCTCCTGGTATTTCAAATTTAACTTCTCTGAAATTAAATTCTTTCTTCCTGCCTCTCCACCCCAACTTGCTTCTGCTCCTCCCTCAGCCTCCAACTCCCAATCTGTTCCTCCCCCAAACATTTCTCTGTAAGTCAATGGCTTCACTAGCCTCACTACTAAAGCCAGAAACCATGTAGTCGTCTTTGATTCAATCGTTTCTCTCATCTGATACATGCAGTCCATCAGTGTATTAGTTCACTAGGGCTGCTATAACAAACTACCATAGGCTGGGTGGCTTATAAACAACAGGAATTTATTTCTCACAGGTCTGGAGGCTGGAAAGTCCAAGATTAAGATGCTGGCAGATGTGATGTCTAGTGAGACTCCTCTTCATAGATGGCCATCTTTTCAGCGTCCTCACATGGAGGAAGTGGCAGAGGAGCTCTGTGAGGCCTCTTTCATGAAGGCACCAATTCCATTCATGACCAGCTCTCCTTTCATTACCTAATCAGCTCCCAAAGGTGCCACTTCCTAATACCATCACCTTGGGGGTTAGGATTTCAACATATGGATTGTGGGGTGGGGGCAGGGGGGTGGAGGAGATACACATTCAGGAAGCTCTATTCTTTCTTTAAACTGTATCTTCAACCCATCACTTCTCTCCCTCTACCTCCTCTGTTAATACTCTAATCTATCGCCGTAATAGTTCATCTAAGCTACTACTTCAACTATCACCATTTTTTCTAGCTGGTCTTCCTGCTTTCATGCTTGTCCCTTTCCAATCCTTTCTCCTCAAAGTGGCCAGTGACACTAATAAAAATGCATATCATATCATATAATTCTCCTGCCTGAGATATCTTACTGGTTTTCCACTGGACCAATAAAATATAAGCACTTATCAATAAAATGTAAGCAATGCCCTACAAGATCTGGCTGCAGAAGTCTACTCAGATCTCACGTTCTACCTTTCTCTTTCAAGCTCCAGTTGCCTTGGCCTTCTTTCTATTCCTCAAACATGCCAAGAGTTCTTTTACGTTAGGACCTTTGCGCTTTGCCTATAGTTCACCTTCCTGGCTTCACATAATTGACTCCTTTGAATCTTCAGGTCTCATGATAAATGTTACCTACTCAGAAAGATCTTCCCTAAGCTCATCAAGTCTCTCTACCTTGTCACTGTTTTCTCTTATGCTGCTATTTTTCCCCCTCCCAGCACTTACATAAAGCTCTAATTATTTATTTCTTGCTTTGTTGTCTGCTGTCCTTAGAAGAATTTATGTTCCATGAGATGGGAACCATGCATATACATCTGTCTTGCTGAGGACGTTAACCCTAGAACCTGTGAGAGTAACTGAAGCTTGGTTAATATTTGTTTAATAAAAACCACAATTATTTGAAGGAATGAAAGCTTGTTTATTCTTTGAACATGGATTTTCTGATTACAGATTCTATGTTGTTTGTACTCTAACATTTTGCTGATGAACACATAGTGTTGTGTAAATATTTGTGATTGATAATAAAGTGCAAGATTTTCTGGATTTTTAAAATGTCATTTACAAACTGACCATGAAGTTGGAAGAAATTTTACTTCTATAACAAAAATCATATTGATGATAGCCCACGTTTTGGATTATTTTAAATTAAAATATAAGTTTCACATACCTTTTTGCCTTCCTCTTCCTCTCTTTTCTTCCTCTGCCTGCCAGGCAGACAGGACCCCTGGGCCCAGATTGGGGATTGGCATTCAGAAGGGGTGAAGAAAAACATTTCGGAGAGATATGCTTTGTAGCCAGGCAATTCTGAGGAAAGTGTCCTGGGAACATACCAGGTTAAATCCCAGGCAGCCTGTTCACATGAACCATATAGCTGAGGAAGCAGCTCAGGATGACCCTGAGATGGGGCTGGTCAGACCTGACTCTAGAGAAGTTCAAAGAAGGAAAATTAGTCCAGAGTAAGTTGCTGAAGCAGATTTTAGATTTTTGTTAGGTGCCTACCTTCCTAGGTGGACAAGATATGGTTGAAGGTGTTGGCTCAGCCAGCACAACTAATAATGGGTGCAAGTACAGAGCATATTACACTTTGGGTTCCACTGAAAACAAGAGAATCTGCAGGGCTCTGAGACTTAGGACCCTTGAAATCTTTGAACCCTGTATTCCTTTCCTCCAATGCAAACAGTCTTTCAGTAGTTAATCATTTACCTTTTCTTCTTAAAAAGAATGTATTTCATATAATCTATTTCATTTTGTGGGGTTTTTGTGCTTGTATATCAAATCTAGTGAATACAAGTGGGGGTTGATGACATATTTATCTTCTGGGAGTTCTGTATGTCTAGGGTGTTCTAGTTGCTATGCATTAGGGTGTCAAGTATAGTTATAAATACAATGAACACATGTGTGTGTGGTAAAGCCCTGTCATTTCCTTAAGACGGGGGACCAACTTCAACCAAACACTACCCAGCAAAAGCCAACAAGAATGGACAAAGATTATGCCTACCTTCTTCCTTCCTTCCCTTACTCTTGTTCTCCTTCTTTCATTAATTTATTAACTCAATTTATTAAGCACTTACTGTGCACATTGTTCATTGCACAAAACAAGAAAAAAGACATAAACTTTCAAGGGTTTTCCAATTAAGATTTTATTTGACCAACAAAACATACTCATATGAAAATATAAATAAGGTAAAAGGAGCAGTGTAGTCATTATGATCTAAAACAATATTTTTCAAATTGTAGGTTGCCAGTCATTCTTTGCTGGGTCATAAAATAAATTTTTTTGGTTGGGACTATACTTTACCAAATAATAATAACAAAATCAACAGGAGAGAAAAAGGCAAATATCAGTGTATATTGCAGGTAATAAAATAGATGTTTTCATAAAATTTTTGCAGAACAAATGTATGTATGCACTACATGTCAATGTAAAGTGTATGGCTTACTACAAGACAGGGCTAAAAAATGTTTGAAAGACACAATACAGATGATTATAGAAGAAAGTTAATATTAAGTTGAATGATTAAGGAAGGTTTTTGGAGGCTGAAAGTACATAAATAAAGCTTAGAGGGGATGGGATGCCTTTTTAGATGAAAAGCTGCATAAAATAGTTCTATAATTGTGAACTATAACCATATGAGAAAGTGAATTCTATAGAACCAGCTTATTCTTGAATGACTACCCCAGGACCAATTATCTTTCCAGAAACTTCCAGGAAACACATGACCAATATCTAACTAAATTGAGCTCTGATGCCACAAAGGGAAACTTAACAGAGTTGCTCCTGTGAAGTATACCCCACTAGAAGGGTGGTTCAGGATATCTTCTGTCCAATTGCGTGTTTCAAATATTTATGTATTTAAGATATTAAGATTTTTTTAATGTGAAATATCTAAAGATTCACCTCAATAAATTGAAAGTGATATTTTTCCCCTGAGTCCCTTGTATTAGATTCACTTGTGACTTCATTGGACAGTGTCTTCTCTGAGCTCTATGGTCTAATACGTATTGAACAAAAATTCAAGGACTCAACAACTGATTTATTTTAGCATTTCTTTTTAATACAAAAGAAGGAAATAAAAGAATAAAAGCAGTCGGGGTGGCCTCTGGAGAAGGGGAGCTGTTGTTGCAGGAATCTTGCAAGTTAATGAGAATTCACCCGGGACTCAAGAGGGATGGAGAGAGGGGGAGAAAGGAGATGGGGGAATGGGGTGGGGGGATAAAAACTCTTCCTTTGCAGCTGGCCCTTTCCCTCATTTGTTGCTCCAATAAGCAGTAATTAGGTCCTGAGCTAATGGTGTCAGCTGATCTGCTGTTTTTAGGCTAGACCCAGAGGAATCTCCATGGAAACCCTGCTGGAGTCGTCCCCCCACCTGGATGCTGCGTGCTCCTTTCTGCCACCTGGCTGCCGCCGGGCCCGCTGCTACCTCCTTCTGCCTCTAACCTGCAGCCTGCAGCATGCGCACTGCCCCCGGGATCCCTAAATGGGACAATTCTGCCCGTGACGTCAGCGCCCAGCCGTCTCCACAGAAACTTTTGTCCCATTGGCCAATCAGAGAGCTTGGAAGGGGCCGGGGAGGGTGGGGGAAGGAGAGGGGAGTGGGAGGGGTGGGGGTGAGGGGAGAGGCGAGAGGTTTAGCGTGTGGAGCTGCCTGCGCTCCGCCCGGGCTGTCAGTCCCGGCTCCAGCCGCCGCGAGACCTTCCCGGAGACGCGCGCACACACAGCGCACCCCCTGCACACCGCACACCCTCGCTCCCTTGCTCACACACACGCACACACTCAGCCTGGCCGAGCAGGAGCCACTGACCATTTTGCAAGTGTCAGGACCAGCTACAGCGCGGTGGGCGCAAACATCCCGCTTTCCCTTTCCGGGATTTAGTCTGGGAGACGACGACGAGGGAAGAAGGTGGGCTCGGACGCAGCCCAGGCGCCGGGCACTGGTCGGGCCGTTTTCCTGGCAGAGCCGCTCCCCGGGACGGGCGCGGGCCTCGGGTGAGAGTAGAATAAAGAGGAGCGGCCGCAGCCGCCGCGCGAGGAGGATGGGAACTCCCCTATTTCCAGCTCTGGAAACAAATGGATGGAAGTCCTGAATGGAGCAACTGCTGACTTCATCTGCTTGGAAAAATAGTCCAGAGGAACTCATATTTGGCTACTCAGAGCAGTGGAGGGGGTGTCCATGACGTGGCAGGGGGAAAATAGACAACTGAAACCTCCCGTGTGAACTGCAAACTGTGACCAAGCAAGGGGAAAATGATCTTTCTGTATATATTTTAATTTCGTGCAAAGGTTTTCAAGCATCTGTATCCTAAACTTACTTCTATGTCTTGTTCAGCAGAAACCAGAGGAGTCCTGTCTGGGGGTCCCATCATTATTCGGGATACCCGCCGCCAGCGGCCTGCCTTCGGTTACCCACATCCCCCTGGAACGGATATCTGTTTGGGGCACTACAATCTATCCTGTAGAACTATGGCCAAATCTCCATCAATGCTTTGCTAATTTCTGGGACTTAACTCGTAGAATCTACATACAGGGCTGGAATTTATTCAAAATGCATCTGAAGAAATGACATTTTAAACCGTTTTAAAAAATATCTTGATAAAAAATTCTGTAAAACAGAATTTGATAGGTTTAAAAACATGACAGGTAAGAACTTTCTCTTTCTAGTCCCTTAACACCCGTCGTGGGGAAGGTCAAAGCAGGACCCAGGAGGAAGGAGAGATCCGGGACCCGTGTGCCCTTCGGGGCTCAAAGGCGCTGGGCGGGCGGCTGCTTTCGGGAGAGGCGCAGCCCTCACTCCTGGACCACGGGGCCAGTGGCTGGGGAAGCTTCTGGGGCGCGCGCGGGGAGGCGGCGCTGCGCTCCACCTGCCCAGCCCCGGACGCAGCCCGGGGGCGAGGCGTCTAGGGACCACCCCAATTCAATATTGGGATTTTTAATAAACCAAGGAATGGGATTTTAATTATTGAAAACCCAGCTCCTCTGGGCCAGAATGGTGTTGGGATGGTCCTGGTCACAAAATATTAAAGAGACCGACCGCTAAGGGAACAGGAAAAACGTCCGAGACAGCCGTTGCAATTACGAATGGACCAGACTTGGTAGCACGGGGCATTGATTGCTGGTGCCCAACCGGACCCTCCTCCCCTCTTCCCATCCCTTCCCCCACCCAAAGCAGGCTCCCGCTGCGGCCGGGACCTCGCATCCCTGCAACGTGGCCGGGGCTGCATTTTTCATGAGCCTAGGGTGAACAGGTGCGAAGTGCGCTGGGAGCATCCGGCCAGCGGCCGAGCGCGGGGAACATGGAGAGCGAGCGCGACATGTACCGCCAGTTCCAGGACTGGTGCCTCAGGACTTACGGGGACTCAGGCAAGACCAAGACGGTGACCCGTAAAAAATACGAACGGATCGTCCAGCTCCTCAATGGCTCCGAGTCGAGCTCCACGGACAACGCCAAATTTAAATTCTGGGTCAAATCGAAGGGCTTCCAGCTGGGCCAGCCGGACGAGGTCCGCGGGGGAGGCGGCGGCGCCAAGCAAGTGCTCTACGTGCCTGTCAAGACCACGGTGAGTGACTCGCCTTCCTCTGTTATTTGTCTGCCGGAGCAGCCCGGCGGGGAGGGAGGAAGGAGAGAGGCGGGAGAGAGGGGGAGCCGTGAGCCGCCGTTGGCTCGTGTGCCCCCTACCTTCCTCAACCCCCTCCCCAAGTCGTCCCCACTCGCATTAGCCAGGCGCGTTTTCCCCACTGTACAGTCTTTGTGGTCCTTTATTTTAAAGCGGCAGCGCACCTCCAGAGCTGGCCTCCCTCCCCGCCTCGGGTTCCCGGACCGGCTGCAGGAGCTTCCTTCCCCGGGTCGGGCGGCGGCGTCTGGCGTCCTCGGGCTGGGCCATTGTCCCATGTCCTTCTCTGGGCGCCTGGCGCGTGTCCCACCGCCGCCACCGCGCCTAAAGGCCAGGCTGGAAGCCCGGCCGCACGCTCTGAGAGCAGACGAGTCTGATCGATAGTCTACAGTGTCTCCTTATTGGCATAAAGCCCGAATGTAGCGCTAGCGGTGGATGTGGGGTTTTCCCCAGGACACTGTCAGGTTTTATCGTTAGATCGCTGCCCGGGAGGCACGGGGCAGCCCGAATGCCTCGATCACTCCCAGAGATCGTTGCCGCGACTGTTGAGATTGTAGATAAGGTCCTGGAGATTCCTCCTCCCCGCCCCCCCATTCCCTTCCTCACTTCCCTCTTCCACAAATAAAGCCGCAGCTAGAAGATGAACAACAAAGAAAGATGGGTTTAGGCGCTATCGAATGGTGTGTGTATTTGTTCCTTTTTCTGGGGTGGCTCTAGTCTCATGGCCACAAAGCTCTAGCCCAGGCGCCGCGAGGCACTGGCATTGAGAGCCCAATGCATCTCAGCCTCACGCTGCAGAAGCCAGTGGGGCTGGGGAGCCGCAGCAGCGTCGATTTTCTTCACAAGAAGATGGGAACTGTGGGCTACAAGTAGGATGGCAGATCTGATGCAGGAGACCTTTCTGCATCATGCCACGGTGGGTACTCGCCTGGAGTAGGGATGGGGGAGGCTATCTGGCATCCTTTGTATTTTTGCCTCGCTTTGGGGTTTCTTGAGCATTTCTTCCTTTCCCCCCTCCTGTACTGGCAACTGTTTCCCGGTGCAGTATTCCTGGAGGATGCTAGAAAGGAGACGCTTTGAAAGCTATTCTATCTCTAATGGAGGTATATTATATTGAATTGAAAATATGTGCATGAAAAGTTTTTTTTAAAGCATTATTTGGAAGGGTCTTTTAGGTTTGGAAATCAGTTTATGGTTTCCTGAGATTAATTAGAAATAGTTGTTTGAAGGATGTATATTTATTTTAGAATTTATATAGAAATTGGGAACCAAAAGTAAAAGTGAAATGGAAACACATATAAAAGTTCTGTGGTGGTTTTTTTTTTTTTTTTAACAATGTACTATTGTTGGGAGATTTCTAAGAGTTGGACCTATAAAGGTGTCTTCTCCTTTAGCATGTGGCACTACTAAAGACAATGGTGAGATTATTGTCTGGCTTTCCTAAATAATGAGGACTAGATTGGCATGATTTAGAACTGAGGTTTATTTACATCTGGATGAGCCAGAAATCTGATATACAGAATGAAGTGCTTTGATTAATTTGTATTGGGAATAATATCAAGAAATGATGTAGAAAAATAATTTATTGTTAGAATTCAAAACATAAACATGCATTTTCCTTTGGACAAAACTGAGCTAACTGAATGGATAAAATCATTTAAGATATCTTTACTTAAGGTATTATTTCATAATATCATGTATGTTTTAAAGAAACACTGTTAGTTGGGAAGTTTATTTTTCATTCCTTTTATGTTAAACTTAGGTCCCTCTAACTGTCAGATAGCTTCACGTGGATATTGGTACAATGAGTTTATACTCATATGGATTTGACTACACCCACTATATGTGTTAACATATGTGTCCTTTTAAAGGATTGACTATTTTAAATAACATAAATTCTGAACAATTTTAGAGATACTAAGATCATCATAAATGTCAGTTATTCAAACTAGCATTCACGCATTCATATACCACTATTTTCAGTCAAAAATTTATGCAGAATAGCTAAAGAATTACTGCTAAGACATCTAGTATAGAGTGACAACTTCAGGGATAATATTAAAGTAACACGTGTTTATTCAGTAAAGATTCCATATATTTATGGGAGAGAATATAATTCATCAGGTGATTGTTAGATAATGGTTCTCATGTAGTATTTAAGAGCTCTGCTTTTCATTCAAGCCTGTTTTGAAATATTGAAGAGGTTTTTAATTTATGAACTCGTCTATTGCTCTTTATAAAATTTTTATACTGCTCCCGACATAGAATTATAGGCTCCTCCTTCTCTGAGAGACAGCCAATCATCATTTCAATGAGTTAAAAAATAAAGGATCCCCTTTTATCATGTGTTTCCCTACATTTCAAATTATTCCTTCCTTAATGATACATTGATTTTTCTTTCCGATGGTAGGAGTACAGTCACCAAGAAGACAAAAATATATTTTCTCTTAATTCCAAGGCATATATTGATCAAAATAAAATACTGTATTTGAATGGTATTTTCGTGCAGACTAAGAATCATTCTTAGCTGCTTGAGGTTTGAGGGTTCACGGCTGGCTTTGCTGTCAGTAAGAGATGCTTTGCTCCTGATGTTGCAGTAATCCACTGCTGCTGATAATTAGACATCATTACTACTGCGAAAAGGGAAAGAGAAAAGGGGAGAGGACAGGCTGAGGCTAATTATCTACTTTAGTTTAATGAAAGAAAGAGAGACTGATGGCACCTGGGAGGTTATACTAGAACAGAGTAGACACACCACATAGACTTAATTGAAACAAGACTATCTTTAAGTCTCATAGTTAAAGAAGCTTGGTTCTACTCTTATTTTCCCAAAAGAAATATAGCTTTCCAACTACTCTTCCCCCTAAAGCCTAAACTTAACTGATGATAAAATCGAGCAAGTTACAACTGACTTAAAATAAAAATATTGACTACTGGAAAGGATAAATATGTCCTTTAATATTTGTCCTGGTCATGTCTAAACCTGAGGGGACATATCTGCCACTGATGTTTAGACTGCTTTTTGATGGAGTAGATACTGTTTGGTCACCAAGCAACAACATCCGGCAACTCAGCCATTTTAGGTCTGGTGTGGGACCTGTGCTTTTGCGAGCCCGCCTGCACTGCACACTCACGCGCACGCGCATATGCAGTTTGTTGAGCAACCCATCTGCTTTTTAGATAGTACCACTGTTATTTTTATACATTCTTTCATTAAAAGTGTCAGAAATTTAGAAGAATGAAATGATGAATGACTTAAAACAGTTCCGAAAACGATATAGCAAATGGTTGACATTGATTACATCCAACTTTTAAGCAGCGATAGTTTTAAATTCACTTAACTATGGTAACTCTGTTTTACACATTTGGTAGTTCCAGTGTAGTTTGTTTTTAGAAGCTTTTGATCCTGATTAACGTTTTCTGGCAACAATTAGTGGAAACATCACACTTGCAGTTTAAACTACCAGAACACATTATACCATTTGATATTGTGAATGGTAAACTTAGAAAAGGAGAAAATTTATTAAACGCTCTTTTTAAAAAGTCCTCTGCATTGTATAAAACATTAGGAATTTGGTAAGCTCATGTTTTTGTCTTTCAGTATCAAGCAAAGAAAGTAATGAATATGAATATTGAAACTGTATAATCAAAAGATGTAATACTTTTCTTAACCTATATTTGTAGGAACAGACACAAAGGTCTAAATTATGCCTTTCTTATATATATTTCTTTCTTATATTTATTCCAATACAGGTCTTAAATGAATTTCCATCCAGAAAGGAAAATGCATTATCTTTAGTTGTGCTATTTACAAATGATGATTTATTCAGTTCTGCAATCTGTAGCCTCAGATTTCATATTGTTCTTGCTGTGCATACTACTAATTGATTACTGTACAGTGATTATAATGAATATTCATGGACTGACTCATAAACAGTAACTGTTTTTGTTATTTTTCTGACTGTGGTTTTGGTCATAAATCCTTTATGCTACATCAGAGTGAAAGAAATAATACCCCATGAGGAGTCCTGTATACCTTTCCACCTGGCCTAACTTTATGCCTAAGGCACCTATATTAGGCCTTGATCTGGAATCTGCTACAGACCCAGTTATTTATCATGATACTTTGTATCTATGACACAAAGACAAATCATCATAGTGGTCACTGAGATGGAAGCACATTTTTGCTTCTATAGTGGACATTGCTGTTGATAGCCCATGCATTTTTCTTTTCATTAAAGTACTTTGGGAGATCCTGTAGCATAGGATTTGGGGGTCAAATAGATCCCGAGAATGAATATCAGCAATGTGGCTTATTAGCTGACTTAGTGATTCTTTGTGGAGTTGTGAAGAATAAATCATCTATGACAAGTCCCCAGCATAGGTCAGCTCGCAGGGAACAGTGGGGACCAGTAGTAAAGGCCATTCTGGCTTGAGTATTAAGGGGCAGGAGATTTCCTCTGAATATAAAGAGGAAATATGACCCTGTTCGTGTATGAAGACTATCCCACACTTATTTCTTGAGATACCAGTTTTTTATTTTTCCGTTGGTTCTTCCTTGTCCTATTAGTAGCCACAATAGGGAGATGGGGCAAGATTTGGCACTCGTATATATTTCTTCTGTAATCTTCCTTAGTTTGCTGGGATCCTGCTCCCTACGGGTTTACTCTCTAGACTCACTGCATAAGACGGAGGAATGATGAAGTAGAAAATACAGGCATATGGCAGGAGAACTTTCAAGGACTTTAATTTTGTGTCAAGTCTATAAAGACCTTTTCCTAATAGCTGTTGTGTTTGCTAAGACTTTCACTCTTTGTTTTTTGTTTTTTTTTTTTTGGTCTAACTGGGAAAGATGAATGTGAATCTACTATGTTTTAGGTTATATTCATTTTTACAATCTTTATATAACAAGATAAAACAAACTTCATGGATAGCATAGATGGCAAGAAACATGGCATAGTGAGTAGAGTGTTGATTTTACAGCACAATTTAAATCCTGGCTCTGACGTTTACTGGAGTTCTGGGTCGGCTAAAGTTTAACTAAAGATGCAGTTTCCTCTTGTAAAATGTTAGTATTAATACTAGTCTTACTAGTTTTGCATAGTTAGTAGTGTATATAATATATACTAACATATACTATATATGCATATGCACACATATATACACATACATATACACACACATACACACAAGCATGTGGTATATGTAGCATATGCCGGGGACATAGTAAATGCTAAAAAAAAAAGTTGCTTAAAATATGATTCATAGAACATGAAAATCACGATGTAATTATAATTAGGTATATTTTATGAACTCAAAATCACATTGCAACACGGAGCTAAAATACAAGGTCAAGCGCGGTGGCTCATGCCTGTAATCCTAGCATTCTGGGAGGCTGAGGCAGGCGGATTGCCTGAGCTCAGGAGTTTGAGACCAGCCTGGGCAACACAGTGAAACCCCATCTCTACTAAAATACAAAAAAAATTAGCTGGGTGTGGCCATGTGCCCTTGTAGTCCCAGCTACTCGGGAGGCTGAGGCAGGAGAATTGCTTGAACCCGGGAGGCGGAGGTTGCAGTGAGCCGAGATCGCACCATTGCACTCCAGCCTGGGCAACAGAGTGAGACTCCATCTCAAAAAAAATAAATAAATAAAAAAAAAGAAAGAAATACAAGGTATACTTGTATGTATTTATGTACATATGTATTATTAAGATTTATTCTACCTACTCCATTTTTGGAAGAAAAAATGACTGTTATTGTAAAAGTGATACTGTCTCAGTTTTTTAAAAAAGTTAAATGAAAAGGAAAGAAATAAAGAAAAAGTCATACCAAATGTCCCATCAAAATATAATCACCGTAAGCTAATTATGAACATCATTCTAGATTCCTCTCTAGAAATATATGCCAAAAGAAGAGTCGATAAAATGACTGATAGTTGCATATGGACAGGCAGAAATAATTTTCTAAAACTAGGATGATGATGATATGCTAATTTAAGTAAGAATAAGAAAATATAAGATTGTCAATGCGACAAAAGAAGAAATACATAAAATTTAATGAATTGCTAATAGATAAATGTTTCTTCTCAAAGATATTTATTCCTGAAGTTAATGGAAAAGATTAAGAAAAACTTTAAGATGTTGAATTACACTTATTTTACCAATTACAAATTTCCGTTTTATAAGTATTATTGACTTTCTCTAATGATAAATGAGAAGCATATTTTCACTTCTTCCCACCTCCTTGTTTCTTAGATCCTGGTTTACATTTCATTTCACTTATTATATTATACTTATTATATATTATAATTTATTATATTCATTATATTATAATTATGTTTGTGTTGTCAGGGTTGTTGATATTAATGTTAAATTATGTAATTTCATTTTAAACATTATTTTCCTATTTAAATGTTTATTATCTGTTTTGTTATCTGGTTTCCTTTACCTCTGAATTCCTTGATTTGATTGACTCTAATTACAGTTTATCATTTTTTTCCTAAAGTAGGTCCATGCACTCTATTCTTTGAATTTTATATACAATTGAGAGTATTTGTCTTTTACCTTTATCCTTGAAGGACAACTAACCAGATGCAGATTCTGTATTTTACTTTTTCTCTCAGAACATTATAGATATTGTGTGTGCTCTGTAAAATTCTAAGGCAAATTGATTTTCCCAAATTTCATGAATTGTTTACTTCTTTATCCTTGAAATTAAATTATTTTGCTAAGATATATTTGAATTTCTTGTCTAACTCTATATTTTGTCCTGCGTAACTGTGCCCCTGTTTATGACTTCAGTTAGGCCTGTGTTCTGGTGACATAATGTATATCTTCTGAAGTCTAAATCTGTACAGTTGATCCTTGAACAACACAGGTCAGGATTGCCTGGGTCCACTTGTATGTGGATTTTTTTCAATAAGTATTTGGAAAATTTTTGGAAATATATAACAATTTGAAAAAACTCTCAGATAAACTGCATAATCTAGAAATATAAAAAATCTAAGAAAAATATATGCCATGAATGCTTAAAATCTATGCAGGCACTAGTCTATTTATGGCTTAATAGACTATCTTTTTGCTAAGGCTTGCAGTCAACAGTAGACTATTAGTAGTTAAGTTTTGGGGGAGCAAAATTATATGCAGGTTTTCAGGGGCAGAGGGTGTCAGTACACCTAACCCCAGGTTGTTCAAGGGTCAGCTGTATTTTCGATTTTCTATTGGGTGTTTTCACCAAGATATCCCAAAATATCTCAAATTAAGTATGTCTAGAAACACATTTTTCTTCCTTCCATTTTCCCATCCGAGGTCCTCCGAGCTGACACATCTTTTTCTTATTCCCTCTCTCCATGGATAGCAGCACAACTTTACTTACCTGTACAAGGTGAAATTTGTATGGCAGCCTTGATTTCTCCCTCTTATAGTCAATGTTCAACTGTTGGTTGATTCTACTAAACTAATATTTCTTGAAGCCATCAGATTCTCACCATATAATAAAATATGCCTATTGCTTAATAATTTGTTAAATTTCCACAAAACTATTTTGAAGAAAGATTTAATCTCCAGTACCTGGCATAATGGGTGATGCATTTTGATGTTCAGTATTAATGGAATAAATAAAAATCACTTCCCAATCTGACATGACATAATGGGACATTATACAACAGCTTCTTATTTACCACCACACAAGAGCTTTTTAGTTTTATCTACATCTATATCTATCTGTCCAACTGTCCATCCATCCAACTATGTGTTTTAATTGTGATAAAAAAAACACACAACATAAAAGTTACCATATTAATCATTTTACATTGTAGACTTAAGTAGTGTTAAGTATATTCACATTGTCTTGCAACAGATCTCCAGAGCTTTTTCATCTTGCATAACAGAAACTATATTATACAACAGTTCCCCTTTTTCCTTTCTCTCCATCACTTGGTGAAGTGCCATTTTAGTTTCTGATTATATGAATTGAACTACTTTAGATGCCTCATATAAGTGGAATCATACAGAATTTGTCTTTTTATAACTGACTCATTTTACTAGCATAATGTCTTTAAGATTCATCCATGTTATAATTATATGTGACAAGATTTTCCTCCTTTTAAAGGCTGAATAATATTCCATTGTAGGTATATGCCATTTTGTTTGTCCATTCATTAGTTGATGGCCATTTGGATTGCTTGTACTTCTTTTATTGTGAGTAGTGCTGCAATGAACACGAGTGGGCAGATATCTCCTCAAAACCCTACTTTCAATTTTTCTGGATATGTACACAGAAGCAGGTTTGCTGGATCATATGGTAGTTCTAATTTTTTGAGGATCTCCCTACTAATAATAATAATTTGAAACAAAAAGTCCCTTTAATCTTCACAATAGTCCTATGGTATTAACACTTTTTATTATACTTATGTGAAGATTATGGTTTACATTAAGGTGAATTTCTAAAAATCACACAGCTTGGGACAAGAAACCATTTGGATTCTAAGGCCCTTGCTTTAAATCACTGGTTTCCAAATTCTAATGATAACGTAACTCATTTGCTAAAAAAGATTCCCCCAGTATATACACTTTTATAAACTACATCTATATAACACTCTACCAATACTTAACCCATTATAAACTATATTTAAAAGTACAAATATATTGGGCTGAGATTAAAATATATATAAATCCAAGTTTTAACATTTCCTTCTTCACCTCAATAGGTTATCTTATGCACTGCCTGAGTGTACACATACCAATTTGAATACCTTATTCTAATTTATAACACCATATTGCCTCTCAGAGAACATTGAATTTAAGACTTTACACTCAGCTAAAATACTTTCTGTCATCTTGTAATAAAATATTTTTATATGTAGAGGGAAACTAAGGAGGAATAATTGTTGACCTCTTAGTTATTAGTACATTCACAACTACAAAGATTTCCCATTGGAGAAATCCTACTAAAAACTCAAGTGGAGAATTCTATATGGAGTACTTATTTAAATATGGACCTTTTAAAAGTAAAATGAATGTTTCAAATGCTTCTCAAAACATTAGGTTCATGCTTGAATGCAATATTCTAAATTTTACCCCATTTTTTCTTAATTATACTTCTTTGATTTTATACCTGTCTTAGTCCATTTTGTGTTGTTATAACAGAATGGTTAATTTATAAAGAATGAGGATTTATTTCTTACAGTTCTGAGGGTTGGGAAGTCCAAGAAGCCTTCTTGCTGCCTCATCCCATGTCAGAAAATAGAAGGGAGCCCTTTTGTGAGAGAGAAGGGAAGGGGTCTAAACGCATTATTTTATTAGGAACTCACTCCAGAGATCATGACATTAATTCATTCATAAGAACAGAGGCCATGCGCAGTGGCTCATGCCTGTAATCCCAGCACTTTGGGAGGCTGAGGCGGGTAGATCACAAGGTCAAGAGATCGAGATCATCCTGCCCAACGTGGTGAAACCCCGGCTCTACTAAAAATACAAAAATTAGCTGGGGGTGGCGGCGTGTGCCTGTAGTCCCAGCTACTCAGGAAGCTGGGGTAGGAGAATCGCTTGAAGCCGGGAGGCGGAGGTTGCAGTGAGCCAAGATTGCACCACTGCACTCCAGCCTGGGTGACAGAGTGAGACTCCATCTCAAAAGAAAAAATAAAAATAAATAAGTAAATAAGAACAGAGCCCTCAGGACCTAATCACCTCTTGAAGGTTCCACTTCTCAACACTGTTGCATTGGAGATTAAGTTTCCAACACAGGAACTTCGGGGAACACATTCAAACCCTGGCAATAACCATATGCCTCTATCTACCATGAAGGGTTCTTCAGTGTTTTGTACATTGTGGTGGTCAGAATCCTAGGATGAGTCTCAGATGGCCCCCACCCTTGTATAATCCCTTCTCCTTTGAGTGTGGGCAGCATCTGTGAACATGACGAGCCCCATAACTCTCATAGTTATTATCTTATATGGTAAGGCTGACTTTAAGAAAGGGGGGCCTTTCATGGGGATCTGATTTAATCACATTAGCCTTTTAAAAGCAGGGAGTATTTTCCTGGCTAGTCCAAGAAGGGGAAGTCAGGGTGGTTTGAAACCTAAAATGTACTTGCTGCAGAAGTTCTCTCTTGCTGAAATGGAATGGGGGCATGTGGTTAAGAGCTGAGAGCAGTCTCTGGATGCTGAGACCACTCTTGGCTGACAACGAGCACAATAATGGGGACTGTAGTTCTACAACCACAAGGGAATGAATTCTGCCAACAGCCTGAGGGAACTTGGAGGTGGATTTTCCCTAGTGGAGTTTCCAAATGAGAATGCAGTTGGCTGACACCTTGATTTCAGCTTTATGAGAACCTGAGCAGAGGACCCAGTTAAAACATGCCAGTCTTCTGACCCACAGAAAATGAGATAATGTTTGAGAAGTTGTAAGCCATTCAATTTGTGGTAATTTGTTACACCATAAAATGGAACTGATACATAGTTCTTTAATGTAAAATTTACCAAAAACATGTGTGTAATTAACAGGTCAATTTTTAACAAGCGTATTTGACCAAGATTATTTGTGGTTTAGGATACAGCTGAAAATAGCTTAAATGTTCTTTTTCTCTAATACCTTATGTATTGCCATTTCTATGGTTTTTGATGAGATGGTCTATAATTTAGTAAAAGATGTAAGCTCTCACAGATTATTTGACATATTTAGTGACTAATGACTGTCATTAGGAATATGTATGTATATAAAAGTTACTTTGATTTTTCTCTAAATGTTTTTATTTTTGATCATTATTTACTTCATGATATTCCATTCATCTCTTGAGTAGAATACAAGGTAGCTTACTGTTTTAGCAGTAGGATGGAGAAAGACAAGTACACATATCAAAGGAAATTGTTATTCTCATAATTATAATTAATTTACATTAAAGGATTTTTGAAAACTTACAAGAAAATATAACAATATAATATTTGTTCTCATTTATTAGAAATAACCATTCTATAATTTTATTTTTTTAACTTATTTAAATATTACACATTTTGAAGAAGATCTACCTAACATTTGGGGAATAGAATATAAAAAATAGCAGTAATTGGCAAGTCTTTTTCTTTTGTCAAGATACTGGAGGAAATTGTAAATTAGTCTCTCCTCTCTACGTTGATTTTATTTTGATTTTCTTCCTTTCTATCTGAGGTTTATTCAATAGCCTCTTATGTTCCACTCTTTCTAATTTTAATCAAATATTCATTTGTGATAGTTATTCTCACAGTTACGAGTTTTTGAAGTGTTTTGGAGCTGTTAGAAAATTGGAAGGTTGAGAAAAACTCAGAGAATAAATTTAAGAAGTTGAAAGACTAATTTTGAGAATAAGGAACAACCTTATTGGTTCTCACTGGATGTAACTACAGTTGCCAGATGGCTGAAGGGTTTTAGGGGTTTAATCTAGGGCCATGGGGTAAAGCTAAGAGGCACATATGGGGATCTAAGGCCTAGCCTGGTCATACTAGCGCCATGCTCTACCCAATTGACCTAATTAGATGAGATTTTTCAAATCTAATATCAAAGGTTTGTTTGAATATCAGATGTGGGTCATTGTTCTCTAAGCACTCTGTTTACATGGTCATTGTTGTTTACCTGAGGCCAAGAAAGAATTTTTGCTATGTTGTTGCTCATTTTTCCTCTGTAAAAGCTACCATCACAATCAATTAGTTTATTTGTTTGTTCTTACTAATTTAGAATATGTAATTCATAATTAGCAGTAATTTGAACAGGGGTAAGATGACATTTACCTTGAACTACCTATTAAAGGAGGATTTTTCTTTTCCTTCCTTCCTTCCTTCCTTCCTTCCTTCTTTCCTTCCTTCTTCCTTCCCTCCTTTCTTTTATTTGAGAGTCTTACTCTGTCACTCAGGCTGGAGTGCAGTGCTGCGATCTCGGCTCACTGCAACCTCCACCGTAAAGGAGGATTTTTCTACAAATTCATGATAAGATAGCAGAGGGGGCATGCTTTTCTACTACAAGAAAAAACTTTTTCTTAAACTTTCTCTGTCCTTATATAAACAAATTATATATCTATTCCACTATAAATGGTGCTCTAATGTAAAAATTAGGTGTTATAAGTACCCTTTAGCTAATTTGCATTACTTTGTTGTAAATGCCTAGTATTTTCAAATAAAAAAGGTCACTCTCTAAAATTAAAACTTAATCAACATAGTTAATACAGTGATATCCAAAGTCACTTTAAAGTGACAGAATGGCTATAACACTGTATGACCAGACTGTAACTTGCTTGAAAACTTACTAAAAGCTCTTTTAATAGAGCTTCACTAGTGAACTAACACTAACTTTCTCTTTCTTCTGTATAACATAATGACTGATACCCAGGGCATGGACAGGCTCACTCATAGTGATCTGCTCTGTAGTTATTTGCACTTTGTGCACATACAGTAGAGTTGCAGGCATAGCATTGGTTATGTTTTTCCCATACTATTTTTTGCTAGTTTCACTTATAATTATGTGATTTAAATATATCATAAACTGAGAAAATGAGTGCAAAATTTAAATTCAGTGCATTACAAAGACTCAAAATAAGGGTGAGTTACTAAAAAGACCTATGGGAAAAAAAGAGAACTTCGAATTCTGAACTACTTAGATTGCTTTACAAGTAATTACTAACTTCCCATTCTACTTTAAAGTAATTGAAACTGGAAATTACAGACAATGTTTCTTGGAAGGGTTATACACTTGCAATGCTCAACATGCTTAATGACTCATACTTAAAGATCTTTGTCCTATCACAAAAGTTTAGCAAATAATTATACATTAGTATATGTTAAATGGAAATTTAATATTAAGAAATATATGATGTTTTATGCCTTCCAACTTTAACTTCTTGTGACTGAACAGCTTCACAATTGATAACAAGAGCTTTTTAAATTAACATAGGAAGTGTTAATAAGTTTTTGGTCAGCCATAGAACTATGAATTAAAGATATAAATATTGGATGTGCCCATAGAATAATCTATTGTCTTGATAACTGAGGAACTTAGTGTTTCCTGAAGGGTTATCCCTATTATTGAGGAAAATATTTATATCCATAAGAGCCTGAGAACCCTTAAATACTTGCCATTATTTTAACCCCTTTAAATCAATATTTAACCCCTTTTAATTATTTGCGTTTCTAACTGCCTTGACCAGAGAGAATTCACGGGTTGAACTGTTGCCAATGATGGCACTATTTAGCAGTTCTATTTCTCAGTATAAATTAAGTAATCTTAGGTTTTATACTACTTCAATTTCTTGTGAGTTTTGATTGAGTTCAGAGTCTATATTTTAACCAGTCTATATACACAAATGAGACCTCCAAAAATATAATCACTGGGTGGCTGTTGAGAAGAGGAGGGCAAATGGATGTTAGGGAGTCCACTATAACCTGACTCGCTTAGAATTTTCCCTTTTCTATAACCATTTTTTCTTGGATTTCAGTTCTCTTGCCATCCTGTTCATCCATTCTAGTTCTCTTGCCATTCATCATGCCTAATGAATGGATTATTTTAAAAAATATAATACCTAGCATATTTTTTAGAGTTATGGTTTAAAATATAACTTTCAATTCTGCTGTTTTTTATCAAAATTATTACCATCAACATTTCTCAATGTTGCTACATAATAAGCCTTTACAAATAATCAAGTATATGTAGTGTAATTTTATTTACCATTTCTATATAACATGTGATTTTACTTATTTCTTTTTTTTTTTTTTTTTTTTGGAGACAGAGTCTCACTCTGCCGCCCAGGCTGGAGTGCAGTGGTGTGATCTCAGATCCCAGGTTCAAGCAGTTCTCCTGCCTCAGCCTCCAGAATAGCTGGGATTACAGGCACCCACCATCACGCCCAGCTAATTTTTGTATATTTAATAGAGACAGGGGTTTCACCATGTTGGCAAAGCTGGTCTCGAACTCCTGACCTCAGGTGATCCGTCTGACTCTGCCTCCCAAAGTGCTAGGATTACAGGTATGAGCCATCGCACCTGGCCTATTTCTTGCTTTAAATCCCCTTTCCCAATGAATTATGATAATTACAGTTTTCTTTTCATTTTTTCGAGATGGAGTCTTGCTCTGTTGCCCAGGCTGGAGTGCAGTGGCGCAATCTCGGCTTACTGCAACCTCCGCCTCCTAGGTTCAAGTGATTCTCCTGCCTCAGCCTCCCAAGCATTTCAGGCTACAGGCATGCGCCACCATGCCCGGATCATTTTTTTTTTGGTGATTTTAGTAGAGACGGGGTTTGACCTTTTAGCCAGGCTGGTCTAGAACTCCTGACCTTAGGTGATCCACCTTGGCCTCCCAAGGATTAATCCTGTGCTAGGATTACAGGTGTGAGCCACTACGCTCAGCCAATAATTACAGTTTTCATTTAAAAATGTATATGTGTCTGTTTGTATATTACAACTGACATTTTGAACCTTGGAGGACTTTATATGAATCTTGTTAGTAAGATTCTGAGAGTTTTTTTTTTTTTAATCTTTTTCTTGTCATCTAGCTGAGGACATCTCATCTATTACCATGCTTACCAGTCACCTGAGGATCTTGCTAAAATGGACATTCTGGGTCAGGGTAGGGCTCATGAGTCTTTGTTTCTAGAAAACTACCATAGGGTTCCAGTGCTGGTTAAGCTCACTATGAACAATCCCTTCCACTGATTATACTAAAAACTCTGGAAGGAATATACAACATAACTCCCTGAGAACTCTGAGAAACAAACAATAGCAGGGTAAATGAGGATGGATGTCAACTGCAAGTACACAGCACAAGGGGTGAGTTTCCTTTGCCCTGCCCCCTTCATCTACTGGATTTAATCTAAGGGCAGCCTCAGTCATGAAACTGCACAATGAAAGCAGACAGTACAAATTTTGAAGAAAAGCTCTTTCTGTCCAGAGGACCAGGAATAGGGTTCCTTGACACCTGCAGAATGTGGAGGGATCACCATGTCTATTTTTTTCCTCCCATTTTCACTAATAGCCTAGCATGAGGGCAGCCCTGCTCATGGAGCTGCACTGCTGATGTGATGGTGGCAGTGCCAGCAGAGAGGGGCCTAAAAACCTCAGTGGAAAAACCTGTCTCTGGCCAGAGGAACAGAAAACAGAAGTTCCCTTGGTCCCTGTGGCAAAAGAGTGTGTGTGAGATTCTCTTTTTCAGGGCTACATGTTCCTGGAGATGGCCTCAATCCCATGGAATTGTGTAACAGTGCACATAACTAAAACTCTAAGAAGTAAGAAAGTTTTCAGGCAAGAAACATCAGAAAAAAAGTAATCTGTTGGGAATTAGAGAGTGTGAGGGAAATTCCAAAGAGAAGATCCCCTAAATCTTGTATTAACTGTGTTCATTGTCAAGCTAAGAATGTGCAGAATATATGCAAAGCACCATGGCAAAGTCTTTGAGAACTGAAATATGATATAAACCACTGCACAAACTAAGACTGACCTCTGAGTTGCATGTATGCAAGGTAGAACCAAAGAAACATATCAAAATTTAAAAACTGAACTGACATTGGAATCATTAACTGTGAAGACAAGACAGAATTTTTGGTGTCAGTCTAATGGGATTTACTGCATGCTATCCAAATATAATATTTTTTTTCTGGAGGATTTTAACAAGACTAAGAGTTCCACAACATAGTATTCAAAATGTTCAGGTTACATCTGAAATTATTTGGCATATAAAAACAATGAAAAGGGAACAAATCTTAAAAAAGAAAAAAATCAGAAGATGTCAACCCTGAGTTGGACCAGATGTTGGAATTATAAAGGATTTAAAGGCAGCTAACATAATCATGCTCTATATTGAAAATGCAAACACTCTTGAAGTAAATGAAAAGATAGACCTTTTCAGCACACAAACTATCAAAAGAATCAAATGTCAATATTTGAATTAAAAAATACATGATAAAAATTCACTAGGTGGGCTCAAAAGTAGAATGGAGATGGCAGATGAAAGAGTCCATGAATTTAAAATTCATGGACTCAATAGAAATTATCGTTGCTGAAAAACAGAGTAGAAAAAATATTTAAAAAAACAGACTCAGGAATCTGTAGTGCAGTATCAAAAGATCTAATATTTGTGCCAGTGGAATCATAGAAGGAGAAAACAAAGGAATTGGTAGATAAAAAAAATAGAAAAATAATGGCTGAATGTTTTCCAAATTTGTTCGCAGGGCAATTCAAAATGCTTGGTGGAACTGAAACAAGATAAACTCAAAGAAAAATGATTCCCAAACACATCATAATTGAAACTAATGAAAGAAAACCATCTTGAAAGAAGCCAGGGGAAAATTACACGTTATTTGTAGGCAAACAGTAATTGAAATTACTGCAGACTTAGTCAGAAACCATGAAGCCCACAAGACAAAAATTTCTAAAATGCTGAAAGAAAATAATTGTATCTCTAGTGAAACATTTTTTTAGAAAACAGGTGATATAAGATTTTCTCAGATGAAGAAAAACCATGAATTAATTTCCAGCAGGCCTATTCTAAAATAAATGCTGAAGGAAGTTCTTCAGTATGAATAGATATGATATTACAAGGATATCTGGAGCTTCAGTAATGTAAAAAGACCAAAAGAAATTATAAGTAGATTACTCTTATTCTATACATTATTTAAAATATGTATGACTGATGAAAAAATACAGCATTGTATGGTAGGGCTTTAAATCTCTGTGTAGATGTGATATTGTGATATGTATGGCTCTATGCAACATACAAAGGATGTTCCCTGACCAGAAAGGGTTTAAACTACAAATCTGTAAGAGAAAGTTGTCTGGAAATTCCCTAAGTACTTAAAGATTAAATAACATTCATCCAAATAATCCATGGGTGAAAGAAGAAATTCAAAGATAAATTAGACAGTATTTTGACGTGAATAAAATGATAATGTAGCATATCAAAATGTGTGGGATGCACCTTAAGCAAGGCTTTGAGGAAAATTTATGGCAATACATGCTAATATTAAAGATAAAATGTCTTAATAATTTAAGCTTCTGCCTAAGAAATGAGAAAAAGAAGAATAAATGGAACTCAGTGAAAGCAGAAGCTTAATTTTAGTTAATTCCTGGTGAATTAATTTTGTTAATTCCTTGGTAACTTTGAGGTATCCCTTTGCCTGGGGTTTTAACATTCAAGGATGGTCCATATAGGGTCATATTCCCAGAGTGAGGAGGGGATAGGGTCTTGGTTATCTGCTAATCACCTTGGCAACTGCTTATATACACATTTTCCCATACAATTTGCTTCTGACATGTAGGTTGTCAATGTGATTCACTTGCTTCTGAACACAGGGAATATGCAAGATTAGGACCCTCTTAAATATTTTCGTCTCTTTCTTGCTGCGACATCCCAAGAGTTCATGGGATGAACTCACCTAATTTCCCAGGTGAGGCTGTCTTATACTAACATGCACCGGCATTCAATTATCTCTATTCTACTGCTCAGAAACCGCTTTGGGTGGAGAAAAGTGTAAAATACATGCCACCCGCTGATACATTTGGAATTTCATAATTTTCCAAAACTATTTGGGTTTCGTTTCCTAGAATTCTTACACACTGGGGAGGCGTAGAAAGCAGAGCTACTTCTCGGGAACTCATGAATATCTAGGCTACATTTTCTTTTCATGTCTCTTTATCTACTGAGAGAATTGTTATATCATTTAAAGTGTGAAAACTGTCTATTACTTCATCAACATTCCTTCAGGTCTATTGTTCATGGCATAAATAATATTATGATGAGTTTTCCAGACTTTAAGTTTCTGAAGCTTGAAAGCTTAGGATTCTGTAAATCCAAGTAAACTTTTGAAATTTAAAATCCAGGACTTAAACATTTTTCAAAAAACCTGTTTCCATAACAACCTTAATCCAGGGCAGTAAGGATGGAATGCCTTAACAATCTGGTTTAGAGAAAGGACTAGGATACACATAGAAATGCAAATGACAGAAATTGGTTCACACTTCAACATTTTTCTCAATATATGTGAAATGGGGACAGTAAATGATATCTACTTCACATGGTTATTGTGATGATTAAATGAGTACATTTAACAATACATGTGATGTGATGCATGTGCCAGTTTCTGACAACTAAATTTAATTCTTCTTCCTTTTTTTCTCCATTATTCTCACCTCTTCCTTTTTTACTTAGTATTGTCACCTTTTTCTTATATAATTGGTATAAACTTATGGGTTCTGAAGTACCACCTCTGACTAAAGATAATGGAAAGATGTCTTAGGGTTTATTCATTTATCTATGAAACAATTCAGAAAAATAATATGCTTGAAGGGAGGCTTGTGCCCATGGCACTGAATTAGAACCCAGCTGGCTAAAGGCACAGTAGGGATTTAATTTTCTTCACTCATTCTTTTTTCCTACTCACTATTTAGAATACATTTTGACCAAAGCACATTTGTAAAAGTCTTTTCATATAAATGGAATGCTTTGTTACCCTAGCCTTAAAATGCAGCATATTCAAAATTATAAAAGGATAAGAGAAGGATAAGAGAACCTCAGAATATTAAACCTCAGAATATTAAAATAAAAAGGAATGAAATAAGACAAATATGATAGTATTACTGGAAAGATTGCTTTGGGGACTAGTGAATTAAACAATACATATTGCAGACTACAAGAACTAATCATCACCTGAGATTATTTGTGATAAGGGGTTTAGAACTCACTGTCAAAGAGCACGGACTTTCCTCCAATTGCAGAGACTACACATAATAATCAGATCATGGGAGAAATAGCATGTATGTTATTGCAGAATAATAAGGTGTTATATATGTGTATTTTATATGCACATACTAAAGTTTGTTGAGCACCATTTTTGGAACAAATTGAATTTTTAATGAGTCAGCACTCTACAGGGTGGCTTCAGGTGAGGCCAGGAAATAATGAGGAGAGGTATACACTGTCTACACTGTCTTATCAGCACTTGTCACATCCTATTAATTTTTTAAATAGAAATAAAGGGGTATATTTTTTTCTCATTCAAAATAAAGTCAAAAGTAGTTAGGGTACGGATGATGTAGTGGAGTCCCTGGGTCATATGGGACCAAGACTTCTATTTTTCTGCTTGCCATCTTTAATGTATAGCTTTCATTCTCAAGGCCACTTGCTGGGGTTGATCTAGTGCTGATAAATATGCTGCTTTCTAGGCAGAAAGGGCCGTGTGTGTGTGTGTGTGTGTGTGTGTGTGTGTGTGAGAGAGAGAGAGAGAGAGAGAGAGAGAGAGAGGGAGAGAGAGAGAAAGAGATCAGGGGGCTGTTCCAGCTCTCTAATCCCACTTTTTTGAACTGAATTTTTTATTGAAATAATTGTAGATTCACATGCAATTGTAAGAAATATTACACTTACTCGACTTCCCACCAATGGTAACAATTTTCAAAGCTATAATATAATATTATCACATCCAAAATAATTGTATTGATATAATCTACCAGTCTTTTTTGACATTTTCCCAGCTTTACTTGTGTGTATGTGTGTGTGTGTGGTGTGTCTGCATATTAATTTCTATACAATTTCATTGTTTATGGGTTTGTGTATCCACCACCACACTCAATATATGGAACAGTTCTAATACCACAAGGAACCCTCAGTCTGCTCTTTTATAATCACATCCACCTCTTTCCTGTTCCTTCATCCTGCCATGACCCCTGTTCCTAACCACTGATCTGTACTACATTTCTAAAATCTCTGATTTCAAAATGGACCTATATAGCACATAACCTTTGGGGACTGGCTTGTTTTTTTCACTTAGTATAATTCCCTGGAGATTTATTGAAGTTTTCATTTGTTTCAATAGTTTGTTTCTTTTTGTTACTGAGCAGTATTTCATAGTATGTGTGTATCACTATTTCATCATCATTAATCTGTTGAAGGATAGCTGGTCTGATTTCAGCTTTGGGCTGTTACACATAAGGCCATTATAAATATTTGTGTACAGGATTTTGTGTGAGCACACCTTTTCATTTCTCTCAATTAAATGCCCAAGAGTGCAATTGCTGTGGTGTGGGTTAATTGTATGTTTAGTTTGTTAAATTGTTTACCAGAGTGTCTGTACCATTTTACTTTCCTACCAGCTATATATGTGTGGTACAGTTTCCCTATCCTAGCCATTTTTTAAATGTAATGGTAATAACAATTTATACCAATAACAACATCATGAAAGTCACACTTTCTCTTTATGAGCAATTATTCAGTGGATTTGAAGATAACTGTCACTAACACAAATATGACCATAGAGGTATCATTTTAATATTTTCTCAATTTTCATGTTAGAACATTTATGGATGTTTACTGAGTTTAGTCATCTCCACCATCAATACGTTCACCTTATAGATTGTGTGTCACTTTCTTTGATAAGTTTCTTACTAGTGCTTTCCATTTTAGCCAAAGTTGGGAAAATTGACAGGTCTAAATCGTCCAACCAGGTGGGTATCTTCATAAAATAGAAGCTGTAGAAATGAATATTTTCAATATTAATGTTTATAAACAGTGAAAGAAAGGATTCAGTTTTTAACTCTAAGATTAAAGTATTGATGTGAAAATGATAGATTACAGTAAATCATGTAGATGTGCAATTTATTACTTAACAATTTCAGTCTAATGGACTAACAGGGATATGCTAAAATTTGTCTTTCAAACATAAGCCCTTAACAGCAGCAATACTTACCTTAATCATCTTAGTATCCTTAGAACCCTGCATGGTATCTAACTCAGAGCAAGTGCTTAATAAACACTTAATATAATAATTAAATTAGAGTAAAAGTGGGATTTGGACTGACTTTCTTTTAGGTCAATACAAATTGAAATAAACTTTGTTGTTACTAAAACTCTAACTGGTTACCAGATCCAGGACAAATACAATTTAATGAGATTGTTTAACATTTTTAATGTTCCAAAATAAAATAATCAAATATATTTGCTGATAATAAAAAATATTTACACAAATCTAGGTAAGTAGAAAATTTCCCATATAGAATAAACATAGATCTAGATGTATATGAAAGAAGAGATAGTTTATTTCTTGACTAGACCATTAGTAACAGAATATTGGTATTTTCATAGCACCGAATATAAAATTTATATTAATGAAACTGATATATTTAAATTATAGGTTGAAATAGAAAATTTACAGATATTTTAAAAATATAATTCTGACCCTAGAATATTTTGAAAGATTTCAGGTGGTTGTTATGGAACTGAGAACTATCATGTGAAATCTGTGGAACTTAGGAATGTATTGAATGTGGCCTAATATTTGTTCAGGTGGGCCTAGAAGTAAAATTGTGAAAGAAACCATGAAAAAAACCTCAATATTTTATGTTAATGGAGAAAGGATGCAGATGAAAAGTATCAAATAATTAGGAGTTATTTGCAGTATTTATATAACTATCTTTGTGTAATCCTTACAGTGAGTGTGTTACTTTTCTGTCTCTTGGGATATATAATTCCTACCATTAATTTCCATTGACAGTAAGAGTAGCGGTTAAGAACATGAACTCTAAAGGCATGCAACTGCCTTAGTTTTATTTCCAGCTCTGTCATGTGTTGGCTGTGGGACTTGTGGCAAGTTACTTAATGTCTCTGTGCCTCAGATTATCTACATACAGAAGATGGTACTTACTTCATGGGATTTTTATGAAGATTAAATGAGTTAATATCTTAAAATACTTAGAAAATGCCCAGTATATAGTAAATGCTATAGAAGTAATTTCCAAGTAAGAATAAATGTGTTTTTGGAAATGATAATGTAAAAAACCAACAGAATATCATTTTCCCCTTTCTCTTCCTCTGTCCCCCTCTCTTGCTCTCTCTTTCTGCTGCCTTCTCTTCTTTCTCCCTCTCTTTTTCTTTGTGTGTCTCTCACAGTCTCTCTATCTTATGCAAACATCAACCCTATATAGAGCAGCATAGGAGTATAGTATTATATTAATTTGTTCAATTTAAGACAAAAATGAGCCTCTTTTTTAAGTCAGAAGCTGATCCTCAGTTTGAAATTTCTTATCCACTCTAAGGAACTGTCTTATTGGTTAGAAACATTCTGGGAAAAAAAAATTGTCTTTCTTATGGAACTCTTCTTGCCACATGGAACTCTTCCATTGAATGTTTTTACTGAATTAGCCAGTTAGTTCATTTCAACAATACATTTCTTATTTTTTTCATCTGAACAGATCAACTTTTTTATATTGGCAGCTGACTTTTGGTACCGCAGTGACATGCCTAAGTGTATGCCCTGCATTGATTGAGAGATATTGTATGTAATATATGAATATATTATTTTTTCAGAGTGGCTCATTGGGACTTTTTAGTTTTATGGACTAGTAAAAGATTCGTAAAAGTTAAGCAGGAGACCAAAACCAATTTGCCAAGTTTTTGTTTTGCCATATGAAGATATAAGAGCATTAAAGAATAAACTGTCATCTATCATACCAACATTGTATCAAAGAATAAGTCAACCTAACAACAACAACTAGGAAAGATTTAGAGTCAAGATTTTTAAATTGAATAAGTTTAACTTAATAAAAAATTCACTTTATTTTAAAAATTATTTCTTCTCAAATAGGACTACATTACGATCTGGCACCGGTACTGAGACAATTTCATCTCTTTATGAGGCACGTTTTGTTTGGTTTATCAGGATATATTAATTACAGGAAGAACAGCCAATGAAGTGCTACCAGGTCAACAGGGCTTGTGGTCCAGTTTATAAACTGCTAAAAGCGATGGCTGAAAATGAAGTTTCTAATGAGCTTTTCCTCATAGTAGTAGTTTTCTTCTCCAATAAAAAGTAACATGTTTATTTCTCTGTCAACTCTTAGTTTGCTTACTTCTGTGATGACACTCTGTAGATGGTGCCAGGGTCTGAAAAACAACACAACAATTACTAAAATGAAAACTGAAGAACAAAGTAGTCATTGTATAAAAGGAATTATGTATATATCCCAGCTTAAGATGCTGCTGCTCTTGTTGGTATCCAGTTATAGGACTAGGGTTGACAGCAGCTATTACTTACCGTGTGCTTATTCAGCAAGCCTCTCCTTCCCTCTCTGAACTGTAGAGTTTGATGTGAAACAATATTTTTAAATGAACAATTAAATAATTGGTGCTTTCTGATTGTAGAAATCCCTCTTCCTACCTCCTAGAATTCACTGATATCACTGTTTTTTCTAACCTTATGCCATAACAAAAAATGTTCCAGGATATTCAAATCTTTAGTTCTCTAACTCCAACAATGAGCTATGCCACTGATTTCTAGGCTTGTGTCATGATAGAATAATAGGTTTACAGAACACTGACGTGTTCATCTTCTGGTGTTATGCATAAGTTTTACTTGGCTTTTATGGTTTGGGCTGGGATACAGTGAAGTTAAAAACTACATTTGATGCTGTGGATTCAGAGTTAAGTTGGGATTCTTTCCCTTAAGGAGCACTTTAATTGTTTGTTTACTTATTTGTGTGTATTTGTGTGTGGGGGGACAGATAAACCTGCTTATGTTACCCTTTAAAGCATTTTTAGATCATTTTTGCTCCTCTTTTTATTTGAAGCTACTGTCTCATTTTAGCCAGATTTCATCTACTTAAAATGCTGATTAGGTTGGAGGCTAGCACTTTAACAGCTGTCCATAGGCCAGCAGATGTGGCCCTGGTACCACATAAGGTATGAAGTTTGAACTAAATCCCTTCATAGAGCTGAAGCCATCTAAGGATTTTGTTCTCAGTAGAGGTTGGACTAGGGTATAACAAAACAAAACATACAAAAAAAAAAAAAAAAACTTCTCTGTCCCAGGCTTTGCTCTGAAAAAGAAGGAACATTTCCTCTGAGAATTCATAACCATAAGTCCCTCACTTATGTTGATTTGTTGTTCCAATATGCAATAGCAATGCAATCATGAAGATTCAAAGTTAAGAGATTAACATTAGTGAATAATAGGTGGTAGCATCTGAGGGTGACTGACAGAAGCTTTTACAAAATATCTTTGGAATGATACACTTAACACAGGCCCCTAGGATTCCAACAGAGAAATCACAACTGAACTTGAACTTGAGCTTGTATGCTGCAAGTAGTATGAATTTTGTCATATATAAAGCAACATTTGACAGAATTACAATGAAAAATTGGCAAAGACACTATAATAGTGGAAAGCTTGTCACATATTTTCATTCAATTCTTGTTTGGTTTGACTGCCCTTTACTAAAAAAGTACAAGATTTAATCTAACAGTAAAGAAGCTTGGTCAAATGTACAGGTATTTTACCTGTACCTAGCAATGACAGCATCCACATTGTTCCCAAGAATATGCAATTTTTTTTAAAGTTGCATATGCATTATGCTATAAAACAGGCATCAATACATTTCTAAGATGGATTCATACATTTAATTTGAATTCTTAATTTAAATTAAAAATTAGAAGTGAATTTTTATTTGAAAATATAATGGGAATTTTTAAAAGCACACTGAAAAATAATTCATCTATCAAAGAAAAATCAAAATGGAAATTAGAAAATATTTTGAAGGAAGTAACATATATTTATGTCAGAAATTTTATGAGGCAGACAAATTGGCGTTTGTCACTTTTAGTGTTTCTCTTTATGGAGGGTGAGGAGGATTGGAAATCAATGAGATATCCCGTATAATTTAAGAAGTCAGAAAAGTAAAAAATAAAGACAATCTAAAATAAGTGTTTAATAAAAAAAGTAGAAACTAATATACCCTTTCAAGACTGTGGGTTTGTATACTTTCTGATGAGAAATCCACAAAAATTCAAGTTGTTTTTATTCTGTATGCAATGTATTTTTATTCTCTAGTTGCTTTGAAGATTGACATTTTCTTTGATGTTCAACAGTTTCACTGTGACATGACTAGGTTTCACTGTATTCTCCTTGTGATTTGGTGTCTTGACTCTTGTAAATTTTGTTTAAATTTATGTCTTTCACTAAATGTGAGTTTTTGCCCATTACTTCTTAGAATATTTTTCTACCTCCCTTCCTTCTGGGCCTTTAACAACCCACATGATAAAAATTTGGATATTGTCCCATAAATCTCTGAAGCTCTTTTCATTTTTATCAACCCATTTCCTCTCTTTTCACATCAGGTAATTGATAGATCTATTGATCTGTCTTTGTTCATGTCCTTAAATTAATGATGCTTCCTCCCTACAAAGGCCTTTTCCTATGTTGTTCCCTCTGCCAGGAATTCAAACCACCTTCCACCACCCTCTCCACCGAATTAACTTCTATACATCCTTCAGGTCTCATCTCAAGTGACACTTTTTACAGCATGTCTCCTTAGTATTTCTTCTTAGTGTTTATGTCCCTTTATGATAATACATGTGCTAGTGTGATTATTTGATTAAATCCTGTAATTCCCATGAGATAAACTCCACTGGAACAGGCAGAGTTTAAATTTTCTGCCACTATTCGTTAGCTTCTGGCACAAAACAAGCATATAATAAATGTTGAGTATAAAACATATAGCTTTGTTCTTTCATGGTATTATCAGCCTATACATCTGTGTTTACCGTAGACAAGTCAAATACTCATTTGCTTTTCTTTTTGACCTCTCCTTGCTGAACTATAAAATTAAGAAATTGGATTAGATTTTACCTATAGATCTATTCAACACTGAAATGCCATTTTTTAAAAAATCTATTATTGGTTTAAAAGGATGCTTTTAATAGAAAAAGGATAAAGATCATAGCTTTCAGTTTTCTGTTTTCTTAATTGTAAAATCATAATGAAATGGAATAGAATATTGACTATCACTAAAACCTGCTTAATTCCCATGTTATATATTGCAATTTCTATATAAGTTTAGCACCCTTTTGTAGTTTTTCTCATGCACAAATAATTTTCTATAAATGAGAGTAATGGATCTTCATAAATTCATCATTATATTTTCTACTCCTAAAAGAAAACAGAAGAACTCAAAACCTTCACTATACCTATTGTTTGATATCAAAGAGATGGCAAAATCAACAGGAATGTATTTCAAAAAGTTCTAAAGTATCTGCTCATTAATTTACCAAGCCTTCTCGAAGACTGTTATCAGAAGTATATAAGGAGTTATAAAATAGTTTGTATACCATATATAATAAAACTAAACTCAATTATTTGTTTAATATTATTTAGTTTCTTGAACCTTTAAGTGTAGATGAAGGAATTATAACATGGAGAAAGACAAAAGTTAATGGAAAATAAGTTAAACTATTGTAAGGGAAAAGTCCCTTTCTGCTGTTTTCTGTAAATGCCAAGTAATCTTTCCATTGCATGGAAGTTTGCTGCAAATACATGTTTTGCAGTTAACAAAGTGTGAATAAACCCTCTCAGAAATATTTGCTTGAGGGCCCCCAAATCCCTGCTGTGAACATCTAATCAAAATTCATGTTCTACTGACAATAGCTCAGTAATGTCAACTTCACTTAGAGGACAGGCCATTTACTTTATTATTTACTGAATTATGTTGTGATCTAAACCACTTTGTGATTCTGACTCTGCACAGTTGAGAAGACTGTGAATGTGTGTGGTGATCAGTCTCAAGTGGCTCTGATCAGCAATTTTCTAAGATGTCATATAATGTTGTCAGCAGTTACCTTCCTTAGTTTGAGTAAAACAAGATGATAGAATCTTTGTAAGCTAGTTGACTGTCCTTAGTATTTCTATGAGGGTAAGTATATGCACACATTAAAGCAGACAGCTCCTCTTCTTGAACTTGACACAATGGTAGAAATGTTTATCTGTGTCCTAGAGAAATATGAGGGAAACAATGTTTTCAGCATAGACATTCCTGAAGAGAATCTGATATTTTGCAGTTAACACATTTTGTTCAAACATAAGAATAAAAAGCAGGTATACATAATCATCTTTTTTTTTGGTCAGAAAATGAGATTTATTAGTTTATTGGTTATTCATGAGTACAGCTATTTCCTGTGTGACCTTCTACAGTTATCTAAATTGTTAAAGTAAGAAAGTTAGAGAAAGGTTACCCTGAAGAACAGAAAAATGAATTCTTTATCTACTGGGAGAGATTTCTTAAAAATAAAAGATTGTTCCATCTATACATTAATGCTAATGTCATGATATTTTAACTTACTGAAGCAATGCTAGTGAAGAATCCCAGGCAAGGTGACATTTTTTAAACTTTCAGGTATCTTCATCATTGCAATGGAAAATAAAATGCATACAACTAGTTGTAAAATTGGCATAATTGGCCATAATGCAGTGGCCACAAGAAGCTTATTTGGCACACACCGGTACAAAGCTTTGTTAAATTTAAATAGCTTTTTTTTTTTTTTGAAAAGTAACATTTGCATTACAAACCTTGAAACTTAAAGGAAAACATGGCAGTATTATTTGAAAAGGTAACAATCTATCAAACATACATAAAATATAAACAAACTGGGTTTGGCCTCTTCAGTATTTCGTACTAATAAAATCATCAAATTTGCAAATTTTGTTTTTTCTTCCCTACATCAATTTCTACATTGATAAATATTTTGTTATTTGAGAGTCATCCTTAGATTATTTTTATTAATTTTAATGTTGAGAAAGAATTTAGAAACAGATGATGCCAATTGTCAATAGTAATATCCATAAAGTGAAGATTTAAGAAAAATGTTGCAGTGATGCCTTAGCATTTCTTGAAAACTGTATCAGTAATTTCTGATAAAGTATCTTTTAAAATTTTATTTGTAATTGATTTAACAAGGCTGTAATTAGAAGATTTGGGTAATTCATTTGAAAATCCTTTTTTACTGTAAACTTTTCATTAATTTGAATTAAGTGGGTTGGAGTAAGTAAAATATCTGTATGTTAAATAGCTCTTAAAAAGATATTCACATATTCACATTTAGGTAGATAGTTTTTCTTTTTCTTTTCTTTCTTTTTTTTTTTTGAGACGGAGTTTCGCTCTTGTTTGTTGCCCAGGCTGGAGTGCAATGGCGTGATCTCGGCTCACCCCAACCTCTGCCTCTCAGGTTCCAGAGATTCTCCTGCCCTAGCCTCACGAGTAGCTAGGATTACAGGCGTGTACTACCACGCCCGGCTAATTTTGTATTTTTAGTAGAGATGAAGTTTATCCATGTTGGTCAGACTGGTCTCAAATTCCCGACCTCAGGTGATCCACCCACCTCGGCCTCCCAAAGTGCAGGGATTACATGCGTGAGCCACCGCACCCAGCCTAGGTAGGTAGTTTTTATATTAATTACATGCAAAAATTATTTATAACTTTATTATCCAAAAACTACTGAGGATGACAGAGCTAACATAATAGCTCTTGAAAAATGAGTAAGATGAAACAATGTGTAAACATATTTAAATTTTGAGCAAAGACACTTTGAAATGCTGGTAATGGTACATTTTTTTTCCCAGCTTACTTACGAGGTAATTTAATAAATCCAATAAAAATTTGCTGCTTTTCTTCATTCTTTTCTCGCCTGCCTGCCTGCCTGCCTGCCTGCCTGCCTTCCTTCCTTCCTTCCTTCCTTCCTTCCTTCCCTCCCTCCCTCCTTCCCTACCTTTTTCCTAATCTTTCTTTTCTTCTTTTCTTAGTTGCTTTTAAAATATTTATTTAACAATTGGCAAATAAAAATTGTATATATTTATCTTGTAAAACATGTTTTGAAATATGTATAGATTGTGGGATGACTAAATTGAGCTAATTAACATACGCATTGCTTCACATACTTTTTTGTGATGAGAATACTAAAAATGTACTTTCTTAGCAATTTTCAAGAATATAATACATTTTTTAACTGTAGTCACCAAATCATACATTCTATATTTTGAAATTATTCCTCCTAAGTGAAATTTTGTATCCTTTAGCCAACATTTCCCCAACCCCTATCCCCCACCCTAGCCCCTGGTAACCACCATTCTATTCTCTTCTTCTGTTTATTCAAGTTTTATAAAGTTCACATATAAATGAGATCATGAAGAATTTATCTTTCTGTGCCTGGCTTATTTCACTTATGTCCTCCAGCTTCATCCATGTTGTTGCAAGTGACACAATTTCCTTCTTATTAATGCTGCATGTATTTGCTTGTGTATGCATACCACATTTTCTTTATCCATTCATCTGTTGATGGACACTGGTTGATTCTATATCTTGGCTAGTGTGAATAAGATTGCAATGAACATGAGAGTATAGATATTTTTTCAACATTATGATTTCATTTCCTTGGAATATATACCCAGTAGTAGGATGGCTGGATCATATGGTAGTTCTATTTTTGATTTTTTGAGGATCCTCCATATTTTTTATAATAGCTGTATGAATTTACATTCCTATCAACAGTGTGCAAAGGTTTTTTTTTCCTCCACATCTTCTCAAAAGACTTTTATATTTTAAAAAGAATAGCCATTATAGTGCGTATGGGATGATATATCATTGTGGTTTAAAATTGCATTTATCTGATGATTAGTGATTTTGAGCGTTATCCTGATATTCATATTGGCTGTTTGTATGTCTGCTTTGAGAAATGTCTGTTCAAATCCTTTGCTCATTATTTTTCTGCTATTGAGTTGAGTTCCTTATATATTTTGGATATTAACCCCTTTAATATATGCATGGTTTGCAAATATTTTCTCTCATTCCATAAATTCTTTCTTCACTCTGTCAATTGTTTCCTTGGCTGTGCAGGATCTTTTCAGTTAGATGTTATTCCATCTGTCTATTTCTGCTTTTTTTGCTGTGTTTTGGGTATATATCAAAAAATCATTGTCCAGACTAATGTCATAAAATTTTTTCCTTATGTTTTTCTCTTGCAGTTTTACAGTATTAGGTCTTGTGTGTAAGTCTTTAATAATTTTGTGTTAATTTTTGTATATGGTATGTGCCTTAGTCCATTTTGTGTTTCTGTAACAGAATACCAAAGACTGGGTAGTTTATAAAGACTAGAAATTTATTTCTTACAGTTCTGGAGGTTAGAAAATCTAAGGTCGAGGAGCCTGCATCTGGTGAGGGCCTTCTTGCTGCATCATTTCATGGTGAAAGGTGGAAGTGCAAGAGCGCATGAAAAAGCAATAGAGCAAGAGGGGGCCTAACTTGCTTCTTATAACAATCCACTATGTGATAAGCAACCCACTCCCATGATAATGCCGTTAATCCACTCATGAGGGCACAGCCCTCATGACCTGGTTACCTCTGAAAAGCCCCACCTCTCAACACTGTTGCATTGGGGATTAAGTTTCTAACATGTGAGCTTTGGAAGACACATTTAAGCAATAGCAGTGTGAGATATGGGCCTACTTTTATTCTTCTCCATGAGGATATCAAGTTGTCCCAATACCATTTATTGAAGAAAATGTCCTTTCTCCATTATGAGTTCTTGGCACCTTTATTAAAAATCAATTGGCTTTAAATGTGTGAATTTACTTTTGGGTTATCTATTCTGCTCTGTTGGTCTGTGTGTCTGTTTTTATTACCAGTACCATACTGTTTTTATTACTACAGCTTTGTAGTGTATTTCGAAGTCAGGTAGTGTGAGGACTCCAGATTTGGTTTTGCTCAAGATTGCTTTGGCTATTTTGCATCTTTTGTGGTATTATACAAATTTTAGGAAATTTTTTCTGTTTATGTGAAAGTGTCATTGGAATTTTATTAAGGATTATGTTGAATCTGTAGATTGCTTTGGGTACTATGGATGTTTTAACAATATTCTCTCAAATCATGAACATAGGATTTCATTTATTTGTGTCATCAATGATGTCTTTCATCAATGATTTGTTTTACTAAAGAAGCAGTAAATCTCAAAGAGCTATAAACTTGTGACAGCTCTTTGATTTTGCAGATACCAATAAAGGATTCTTAATCCTTTTAGCTGAAAATCTTGCCAAAATTTCAGAGCTTTAATATACAATCCTGACATAGTGGAGAGATGTACATCTGATAGCTTAGCACATCACAACAAACAGTATCTCCTTTACCTAAGCTAGTAATTGCAGGAGGAGCATGCACATGTGCATATGTGAGTCAGTATGTGTGTGTGTAGGGGGAGAATAGGTTGGTAGGTAGAGGAATTTTTAACCATGTAGGGTAAATTAGACAAATATACAGATATGACAGACTTGTAGCTAATATCACCAACCTGTATTCCTCTATTGGCCTTTCTCTGCTGGCGTAGTCGGCTTCCTTTTGTAAAGTTTGAATGTGCTACACACTTGCTTTTCCAGCTTCCCTGGAAGCTAGATATTTGGACTATAAACCCCACCTATAAAACAAGAGCTAAGGGAAAGTCTTTTGTAAGGCTTTCAGGAAAGTTATTTCTCCATAAATAAAGAGATTAAAAGAATAAAACAGTCTTTGCTTGACACGGCAAGCAAACATGAAGCCGGAGACTTCTGAAGTCATATTGCAAACAACAGAGAGATAGAATTATCATGACGTGGATGACAAAGGATAAAATTGGGAATTACTTACATGGGTCATGATGATACCTTCTTGACTCAGAACCAAATGGAAAAGCACTGCCTCTGGAACTTTTTGTATATGAAATATTAAATGTGTAAGAATTTTAAAGTTGGATATTATGTTAATTATAGTAAAATCATATTAACTGACAAGTGGTCAATTATTGTGTTATGTAGTACAATATTATGTTATATATGTATGTATTTTATATAGTATAGTGTAAATCAATTTCTGAAACATTTAGAACAATGGAAATGAAGAGAGTGAGACTTAATAGTATTTTCAACCGATAATATATTCTAAAATTAGGAAGTTAGCAGAATTGGGTGGGGATACAACCAAGTACTTGTGGAATTTTCTTGTTTTATCACATGTCCACGACCTGAAATTGTGTAATCATGTAGTCGTATTTTTAAGAAAACACAGTAAAACATAGGGTCTTTCTACTTTCTGTTCTACAATTTCAAACTAAAGTTTATTTGCTTATTCAGTGATTTTTAAGCAATATCTTTATATTTTTAAGTAACATGGGATACTTATAATTCTTTGCCTGATGAGATTCTTTGGCTGTGTCAGAATATTTTTGTAATATGTGAAATAGTTTTGCATAGTTAAGCCAGAAACCTATGTATAAAATGCTGTTGATATGTTTTGGAATATAAAATTATTTCTATCATGTTCTGATCTGAATAACATTAATGTACTTTTTTGGAGTGTGAAATAAATATACAATTGTAATAAAATGCATAATTTAAATTATTGGTAAAATATATTTATGTGTATATTTAAATATTAATTAAATTATAAATAATCAAAACCTAACATTTCATTTGCTGTTTTTATATATTAAAAATGTCTTTGTACTCTTCCTTTGACCTGTTCTACTCAATTTATGAATATAAATTACAAGGATAAAAAAGAGACTAGGACTCACTGTAAACAGATAAACGTTACTGATAATTCAAAGCACACATTTTATTTTTGGTGACTGGGATTCTACCTTCATATATAAAGGACAGCACATTTATTCATATAAATTTTGAATATATAAACATAATACAATGTTAATATATTGTTATTATTTGACAGTTATTTATATAATAGTATTTGGGAGATACATACAATCATATACACCATTTGTCCAGTTGCATTACATTTTAAGAGACCATTTTAATTTATATTCCAAGCTTTTATTTGCATGCGATCTGTTACAGATGGCCTCTAGCCATACTTACCAAGAGCTAAGCATTCTCAGCTCTTGTAATTATGGTAAATGAATATCAATCAATCTGTTTTGCCACTTTATATAGACCATAATTCCAGATGGAAGCTTGCTGTTTATAAATCTGAATTCCTGCCAAAACAGAGATGTTGAAATTCGTTTGGATACTATCTATATGCAAAAGATCTAATACATATATATGCGTGTGTGTGTGTGTATGTATATGTAGATATAAAATAAGTAATATATATAAAATAATATGTTATATATATAACAAGCTATATATGTGTGTATATATATATATGCATATATCTAACTTTCTCTACTATTGGAATTGTAACTCTAAAAAAGAGCAATTGTCCAGTATGAAGTTTAGATGGAAACCTCATGATGTCATAGCAACCTGCAAAATAGATGTTTAAAATGAATCTCCAAGTCCATAGAGCACTGCCAATATGACTCTTTTGGATTCAAATAACTCAGCCTTATGGGAATTAAAAAATATGTATTTATTTTGCAAATGAGGACTCAAAATAAAGTACATATTTTGAACTCAGTTTAAAATGGCTTAGTATTATTTTTTCAGATTGAATTATTTCTAAATAGAATACATTAATTTAAAATATACCAGGTGGAATATAGTCTTAAAATGTATTATTACATATAATGGAATAAGCTTACATGTGTAACTTGGTAAAATTAACTTTTTCATTAATAGGGATTCTTTGATTTTGCTCACTAATACATTTCTTGTTCTAGAATAGGGCCTCTTATATAGTAAACACCCAATGAATTTTTGCTGAATAAATTAACTTTGAAAGTCAAACTGCTTGCTACGTTTTGAGTGTATTCATGAGAATTCATGTGTTGGAAATTTGGTCCCCAGCACGGCAGTGTTCAGAGGTGGGGCCTTTAAGTTGGATTGGGTCATTAAGAGGTATTAATGCTGCTCTTGTGGAACTGGTGAATTCTTAGGGAGTGAGCGAGTATCACTCTTGCTGGACTGGAAGAGTTTCTATGAGATCAGGTGGTTATTAATATAAACTGAGACTGCTCCTCATGTTTTGCCTCTTTTGCATACACTCACTTGCACTTCCACTTTTGTGCCATGTTATGATGCAGCACAAGGCCCTAATCCAACGCTGGCCAGATGCAGCCACCTGATCTTGGACTTTCCAGCTTCCACAACCACGAGCCAAATAAACCTCTTTGCTTTATAAATTACCTGGTCTCAGGTATTCTATTACAGAAACAGAGAACAGACTAAGACATTGCCATTATTCAAGGTTCTTGGAAGTCTTTGATAGGAGTTAATATATTGGAAATATAGCTCATTTTACCTTTAATCTTCCTGAGTCTATTTTTAAAAAAAGTACCAATATTAGTATAAAACATTGAGGTCATGTACCTTGGGTTCATATGTTAATTTTGTATAGGTGAGAATATTCATTTGGGTCTAAATACAGATAGTCCTCAAATTATGATGGACTTATGATGGTTTGACTATGGTTTTTGAACTGTACAATGTTGGGAAAATGATACACTTTCAGTAGAAACTGTACTTCAGATTTTGAATTGATCTTTTCCTGGTTTAGTGATACGTGATATAATACACTCTTTGGGTGGTAGGCAGTGACAGAGAGCCATTCTAGTTTTCACTATTGGTAGAGTATTCAATACATTAGGTATTCACATTTTATTATAAAATAGGATTGTATCAGACAATTTTGCCCAACTGTAGGCTAATATAAGTGTTCTGAGCAGATTTAACATAGGCTAGGCCAAGCTATGATGTTCAGTAGGTTAGGTGTACTGTATTAAATACTGTATTGTCTGCTATAATATTTTCAACTTACAATGGGTTTATTGGGACATAGCCCCACTATATGTTGAGGAATATCTGCAATATATACATTTATCAAAATGTGAAATTACTAAAAATTTAAGCAATAGCTAACTCTGGCATTGTATCTTAGACACCCCTGAGACTGAATTTGCCCTGCTAATGAACTGAGGCATATCTCCTTGAATTCTTTCATTTTTTTTTACTACAGTCCTAGCATATATTCAACAATTATTTTAGTGGCAAGTATATATGAGGCATTATACTGTATTCAGTTAATGACAAAAAGATGAATGACTTTTGATACTCTTAAAACGCCTGTAATTAACATGGATACACAGTGTCTACAAAAATAACTACAGTACTTGACATCATGTGTAATTAGGACATTGCATGCAAATTAAAGCACAGTGAGATTCCACTACCTACCTATTAGAATGGTGAAAATCCAAAGCACTGACAGTACCAATGTTCGTGAGGATGTGGAGCAATACAACTCTCATTCATGGTGGTGGAAACGCAAAATAGTACAGGCACTTTGGAAGACAGTTTCATGGTTTTTTAAATAAAACAGAATCCTGCAATCAGACTCCTTGGTATTTACACAAGTGAGTTGAAAAACATAGGTCTACATAAAACCTGCAAAATTTTTTTAAATAAATTTTTAAAACCTAAAAGTAACAAGTTCTTCAGCAGGTGATTGGCTAAATAAACTGGTATAGCCAGACAATGAAATATTTTAGCATTAAAAAGAAGTGGACTGGCCGGGCGCGGTGGCTCACGCCTGTAATCCAGCACTTTGGGAGTCCGAGGCGGGCGTATCACGAGGTCAAGAAATCGAGACCATCCTGGCTAACACGGTGAAACCCCGTCTCTACTAAAAAATACAAAAAAGTAGCCGAGTGTGGTGGCGGGCGCCTCTAGGCGCCTGTAGTCCCAGCTACGCGGGAGGCTGAGGCAGGAGAATGGCGTAAACCCGGGAGGCGGAGCTTGCGGTGAGTGGAGATGCGCCACTGCACTCCAGCCTGGGCGACAGAACAAGACTCTGTCTCAAAAAAAAAAAAAAAAAAAAAAAAAGAAGTGGACTATTAAACCATGAAAAGACATAGAAGAACCTTAAATGCAAATTACTAAGTGAAAAAATCCAATCTGAAAAGGTTACATGATGTATGATTCCAATTATCTGACACTCTGGAAAAAGCAAAATATAGAAACAGAAAAAGTATCAGTGGTTGTTATGGGGTTAAGGAGGAGGGAGGGATGAATAGGCAGAGCACAAGGGAATTTTAGGGCAATAAAACTATTCTGTATTATATTACAATGGTGGATACATGTTATTTGTCACAACCCATAAAATTGAGAACACCAAGAGTAAACCCTAATGTAAACTATAAGTCCACTCTGGGTGATAATGATTGCCAAGGTAGATTCATCAACTGTGATGGAAGTACCACTCTGGTGCAGGATGTTGATAGCAGGGGAGGCTATATATATGATAGGATACAGCATATATGGGAAATCTCTTTACTTTCTGTCCAGTTTTGCGGTGAACCTTCTATCCAGTTTGGCTGTGAACTTACAACTTCACTAAAAATAAAGTTGTTGTTGTTGTTTTTTTAAAAAAGCTTCAATGTGAATAAATTTTGCAGAGTGCCAACAAAAACAAAATCCATGTGTTTGGGAATTTATAAAAGGCAGTTTATTGGTTCTGGTTAAGAAAAATTTTATGAAAGATGTAACCATGATATAAGGTTAATATTTTATTACAGGTAAGAGTTAAATATTGTATATGAGAGAAATGGCAGTAGCAAAAATTTTAGCAGGTATAGCACTCTCAAAATGCTTTTCTGTGGAATGGCACATAGTTTCATTGGACCGAAAAGCAGAGAGCAATTGGTAGAGTAATGGAAGCTAAGATTTAGAAAGCAGACTTGTGTAATTTTACAGCTAGAATGTTTGATGTGTTCACTCCTCATTTTATACATATAAGGAAGGAGGCTTACAGGTAGGATAACACAATTAGTTATGAATATTTGTCACCTAATCCCTAGTTCTAAATTGTATTACATTATACTTTAGTAATTACACAGGGTCCTAGAACTTTAAAATAAGAAGTTTAAACTTTAATTGGCCATCAGTTTTGTTGTTGTTGTTGTTTGTTTGTTTGTTGTGCTTTCTTATTTTGGACAGTAGCAAAATAGAACATCATCTTCGAATCAATATGGTAGAAGTGAGCAGAATAGATTATGGAGAAAATGGAGATACCCAAACATGGAGAACATTCATATTTGGATAATGCAGACTTGAGCTAAATAATACATTTTATAATAAAATGGATCATTTTTGTCAGCAAACAGCAAAAAGATTCCAAAAGCAAAATGATGTATTTCAGAACTAAAGATATCATTACCACAACAAGCTTGATGACTTCTCCTGAAGTTATAAAGCCTAGTTTTAAACCTAATCACTAAAATGAAGTAAGAAAAATATTCCTGCATCACAGGACTGTTAGCTGTCATATTAGGCACACAGCATGAAGAAAAATTGCTGTTGCATGTATGTTCTAGTTATTACAAGTCTTTTGAGGTAGAGCAAAAGGACCTCATGACAATTATTCTTATCTCTTTGGTGAAGTAGGAGATACGTCATGATTTGGGTAGATTGATAATGTTCTTTGGAAGTGAAATTGTATTCAAGCCTTATTCTTGAAATGAGAGGTACAAAGCTCATGCACTCTATAAAGTGAAAGAAAGTGCAGAATAACTTGGGGCCTGAATAGAACTTAATGAGAAACAAGAGATTCTCATGGAACACAATTGAAAAGAGTAGAGTTGGGTCTGACAAGAGCTGAAAAGCTTGTCTTTCTTCCCCTTTGTGAAATTGTACAGTGGCTTGGAAATTCTTCCCTTTGAATAATTGTTCAATTTTTCTCTCTGAATTTTACCTTGAAAAAAAAATAAGCCTCTTTGCAAATTATCTGCCCATTGTAAAAAATTCAGTTTCTCTGAGCTCAGAGTTTCTTTCCTGCAGCACACCTCATGATGTGCACAGATGTCATCTGGCCTTCTTCCTGTTGCTTTGTGAGAAGTGGGGTGTGGAGAACTATGAAAAATCCCGATCCTTTGGCTATTGCTATTCCTAGAAGTAATCCATGGTCTTTTATTTCTGATTAGAAGTCTTGTATGTTCTGCCAGAATCCGTGAAATTGTAGCAGGCTAAATTATTAGCTTGCAAGTAGGGCACAATCTCAGCTCCTTCACAATTGACAGTTTTCAGATTAGAACATCAACATTGCTTTAGTGGTTGACCATGGGAATCTAGTGTAAGGAGGCAAGTGAAGCTGAAAAGAGTACTGATAAATGGAACCATGAGACAGGAGGAAGTAACTGAAAGCCTTAACTAGGGACAAGATAGAGATTGAGTGTTGTTAGAGGATGAGATGACAGGTAAGAAAATTTTGAGTCCCTAATCTGAGGTCCTATTTAGCCTCCACAGGTTTCTGCTCACCGCTTCTGAATTCCAACTTCTGGTTACCCAAATTTCAGTTTCACCCATTAGTTACTTGTATGTCTTCTTCACCACTTACTTTATACAAACCCTATTTTTAAGTGGTTTATTTTCATAAGTTGTTTGAGAGTAGACAGTTTGATTGCTCCCACATGTCAGCTGGAAGTGCCCTTCCTGTCACATCTAAATGGGATTGGTTTAGCCTCCATTCTGAAATTTGAAAAGTCAAATGCTATCCCCTAATGTTTTGTGAATTCATAAGGAGCTTTTATTTCCATATCACCTTTGGAACTGAACCCCCACCTTCTCAGAATTCTTGCTGTTCACTCTGTCGCTTGTGGATCTTCCTTTGCCATCAAACTAGTATCAACACAGAACTCAGTCCCTTCCTTGACTCCTTTTCCATCATAACCACTCCCACTTTCCAACTCTATGTTCTTTTTCTTTGTTTTGGGTCTTCCTAATGTTGTGGAAGAATGTCAAAGTAGTGGCAACAACTTATTAGTTATCCCTTCTAAATGCTCTTTGACTCTTTTTCATGCTGCTTTTCCATATTCCATTATATTACTAAATTTGAAATTGATTCATGCTTCTTAGAAACATAATTGTATCATGTTATTATATATAAAATATTATATTACATGACATAATATGCAGTTATTATGGTAGTAATAACAATGATATAAATAATTATCTTATTTAGGTAAATCCAGTACATACTCAGAATTAGCACTGAGCCTGTTTGCAGTTTCAATTCGGCTGAAGCTTTGAAATTACTTTGCAGGGCCATTTTGTTCAATGTTTAGATAAAAATACATTTTAAGCTCTGAGTGTGTGTGTGTAAGTGTATGTGTCATTATATGCTTTGGGATGGGGTTCATTTGCATAGTTAACTTTATTTCATTCTTTTCATATCCTATCAGTTGCATTTTTTTATCTTGAATACATTTTATATTCATTTTTATTTATATTTTTATTTACATATTTATTTACATACAGTAAAATTCTCTTTGTTATATACAGTTCTATGGGTTTTGACAAATGCTTAGAGCTATACATCTACCACCACAACCATAACATTGAACAGTTCCATTGTCTCTGAAATTCTCTCATTCTTCCTTTTTGTAGACAGCTCCTCTAACCACTGGTGGGTTCTCTTGTCTCTATTTTGCCTTTTCCAGAAAGTTATATGAGTGGAACTGTGGAACATATAGACTTTTGAGTCTGGCTTCTTTCATTTAGCCAAAGGCAGTGGAGGTGGTATGTGAATCAATAGTTTGTTCATTTTAATTGCTAAATACTATTTCTTTGTAGGGATATACCACAATTTACCCATTTACTTGTTGAAGGACATCTGAATGATTTCCATTTTTGGCAATTATGAATAGAGCTGCTACAATTGCATACAAGTTTTTATGTGAATGTAAGTTTTCATTTTCTTGTTTAACTTTATAACAAGTTGCCAAACTGTTTTCAAAAGTGACGGTACCCAGTTTACATTCACACTAGCAACGTATAGTGTGTCAGTTGCTCTACTCTTCACTGGCATTTGACATTGTCAGAGTTTTTAATCCTCCATTATAATAGTGTATAGTGATATCTTGAAGTTTTAATTTGCATTTTCTCATGAATAGGGCTATTGAACACCTTTTCCTATGCTTATTTGCATCCACATATTTTATTTGGTGAAGTGTTTGTTCAGATCTTTGCCTACTTATTAAATTGGATTGCTTATTATTGAATTTTGAGAATTATTTTTATGTTCTAAATACAAATCCTTTGTCAGAAATGTGATTTGCAAATATTTCCTCCTACTCTGTAACTTATTTTGACATTTTTAAAATTGTGTGTTTCACAGAGCAGAAGTTTCTTCTTTGTTAATATCCAATTTATCAATTTTTCTTTCACAAATGATATTTTTGTGTCACACTGAAGGATGCTTTGCTTAAACCATGGGTAAACAGATATTATTCTATGTTTAATACTAAAATATTCTGTAGTTTTATGTTTTAAATTTACTCTATAGTTCATTTTGAGTTAACAAAGTGTGAAGAATGGTCAAATTTCATGTACTTTTTGGTAAACGAATGTCTAATAATTTCTATTGGCCATTTTAATTTTATCCATTTTTAATTTATCAACTTAATTCACTTAACTATTTTTGGATTATAAAGTTAATGCAATTATTTTTTAAAAATGAAAGAAGAAGTTTAATTTTTTTAAAAAAAATCCTTATTCTCACTACCCAAAGATATTCACTATAAACATTCTGGAGCATATCTTTTCAGGCTTTATTCCTCCTGCACTCAGTTGATAATAAATTAGTGAAGATATGAAACTATTCACAAATGTATCAGTGTATTGATTTTTATTAATGTAATTTACCTAGCTTAAAATTCACTGTTTTAAAGTGTATATTTTATTGGTTTTAAATATATTCACAAGGCTGTGCAACCATCACCACTATATAGTTGTAGAATATTTTCTTCATTCCAGAAAAAAATCATTCACACCTGCTAGCATTCAGTGCTTATTTTCCTGTCCTTCCAGCCCCTAACAACTATTCAACTTTCTATCTTAATGGGATTTGCTTATTCTAAACATTTTATATAAATGTATTGATACAGTATGGGAACTTCCTATCTGTTTTCTTTCATTTAGCATGTTCTCAAGTTTCAGGCATGTTATAGTGTGCCTCAGCATATCATTCTTTTTATGGATGAATATTCCATTATACCGATATGCCATATTTTGTTAATCCATTTATTAGTTGATAGAAGTTTGAGTTGTTTCCATTTTTCAGCTATTACAAATAATGCTGCTATGAACATTTGTGTATAAGTTTTTGTGCTGATATATATTTTTTTGTTTTCTTGGATATAAACCCAGGAATGGAATTGTTGGGTCATATGGTCAGTTTGTGCTTAACTTTTTGGAGAACTGCCAGACTCTTTTCAAGGTAGTTGTACCATTTAGATCCCCAGAGCAACGTTATGAGGTTCCCATTTCTCCACATCCTAACATGCTAACATTTGTTATTTTCTTTTTGTCTTTTCATCACAGCCATCCTAATGGATGTGAAGTAGCATCTCATTGTGGTTTTGATTTGCATTTCCCTAATGACTAATGATGTTATGCATAATTTAATGTGTTTATTGGATGTTTGTATGTCTTTGGAGAAATGTTTATTCAAACACTTAGCCCACTTCAATTTTTTTTTCAGTGTTAAGCTGCAAGAGTTCTTTATGTAATCTAGAATTAGACCCTTCTCAAATATATAATGAGCAAATATTTTCCACTCTTTGGGTTGGCTTGTGACTTCTTTGATAGTGTTATTTATATGCAAAAGTTTTTAATTTTGATGAAGTCTAACTTCTCTATTTTTTCTTTGGCTGCTTATACTGTATATGTCATATTTTAAAAACTGTTACTTAAAGCAAGGTCATAATGATGTGTACTTCTGTTTTCTTCTAAGATTGTTATAGCTTTAGCACTTGCATTTAGGTGGTTGATCCATGTTGAGTTGATTTTTGGATATGATATGACATAGGTATTCAAATTCATTTTTAACGTGTGCATATCTAGTAGTCACAGCACCATTTGTGGAAAAGATTATTATTTACCAGAGTGAATTGTCTTGGCACCCTTGTCAAAAATTATTTTACATAACTATATGTGTTTACTTTTGGATGCTCAATTACATTCCATTGATCTACATGTCTATCTTCGTTCTAATACCATGCTGCTTTGATTATTGTATCTTTGCAATAAATTTTGAAATTTGGTAGCATGAGTTCTCCAACTTTATTCTTTTTCAGATTGAGCTTTTCTGGATTCATTGCATTTCCATATGAAATTTAGAATTAGCCTGCCAATTTTTGGCCTCCTTCCAAAAAAAGACATTTGGAATTTTGATAGGGATTTTGTTGAATCTGTAGATAATTTATAGAGTATTGCCATCATAAAAATATTGTCTTACAACCTATAATCTTGGAGTATATTTTCATTATTTTAATCTTAATTTATTTCAATAATGTTTTGAAAGTTTACAGTGTACAAGTCATTTATTTTGTTAAATTTATTTTTGCCTATTTTATTCTTTTTAATGGTATAAAATAGATTGCTTTCTTAGTCTCAGTTTAGATTTTTCATTGCTAGTATATAAAATGAAACATTTTAAAAATATTGACATCATTTATTAATTCTATCAGTGTTTCAGGGGATTCCTTAGGATTTTCTCTATACAAGATCATGTCATCTGCAAATATAGTTATATACTTCCTCTTTTTTCATCATGGATGCTTTTATTTTTCTTGCCTAATTGTCTTAGCTAGAATCTCCACTATAGTGTTGAATAGAAGTGACAGAAGCATACACTCTTGTCTCCTTCCTGATCTTGGGGGGATATTATGCTTAATGTTACTTGTTGGTTTTTTGTAGATCCCCTTAATCAGGTGGAGGATGTTTCTTTAAGTCCCCAGTTTGTTGAGCTTTTTTGTCATGGAAGCATGTTGGATTTTTCTCAAATACTTTTCCTGCATCTCTTTAGATAATCATGTGTTTTTACTTTATTTTATGAGATATTACATTGCTAATTTTTATCTATTCCATCAGCTTTGCATTTATCCATATGAGATAAATTCCATATGGTGATAGCATATGCTTTTGTATATGTTGCCGAATTTGGTATGCTAATATTTTTTGAAGATGTTTGTGTCTATATTAATAAAGGATATTGTTCTGTAATTTTGTTTTCCTGTGAAATCATTGCATGATTTTGGGATAAGGCTAATACTTGCCTTATAGAATGCATTGGTAAGTGTTTCCTCTCCCTCTTCTAATTTTTGGAAGACTATGTAAAGAGAAGATGTTAATTCTTTTTAAAATATTTGATAAAATCACCAGTGAAGCCATGTGGTCTTTGGCTTTCTTTGTAGAAAGTATTTTTTTTTTCAATCTGTTTAATCATCACAGGTTTATCCTTTTTTCTACTTTTTCTAGACTGATTGTCTTACTCCATTTGGGGTGCTAAAACAAAATACCATAAACTGAGTAGTTTATAAACAAAAGAAATTTATATCTTACAGTTCTGAAGTCTGGGAAATCCTAGATCAAATCACTGGAAGATTTAATTTCTGATAGGGGCCTGCTTTCTGGTGCACAGAGAGTATCTTCTTGCTGTGTGCTCACATGGCAAAAGATATCCCCCATCCTAATACCTTCACAATGGTGATTCGGTTTCAATATATGAATTTTGGGGAACACAAGTATTTAGGCCATAGCAATTAGTTTTGTTAGTTGGGGTCTTTCTATGAATTTGTTCATTATTAAACATATTAATCTATTTTTTTGGTAAACAGCTGTTTGTAGTATCACCTTATAATCTTTTTTAAAAATGTAAGTTGGTAGTAATATACTTTTTTTTCATTCTTTTAGTAATTTGAGTATTTTCTTTCTTTAAAAATAATTTATTCTAGCTAAAGATGTATCTGTTTTGCTGATCTTTACCACAAACCAACCAACTTACGGTCTTATTGATTATTCTCTGTTTTTTCTAGTATCTATTTCATTTATTTCTACTATAATCACTATTATTTCCTTATTTCTGCTTGTCTTGAGTTTAGTGTGATTTTTCTTTCTAGTTTATTAAGGTGGAAGGCTGTTTTTTGTTTGTTTTGTTATTTTTGTTTGTTTTTGAGATCTTTCTTTTTTAAATGCAGGCATTTACAGTCAGGTTTTGCTCAAAGAAGTTATTTTGCTGCATCCTATAAGTTTTGATACGTTGTGTTTTTATTTTCATTCATCTCAGAGTATTTTCTAATTACCTTTATGACTTCTTCTTTGACTCATTAGTTTTGAGAGCACGTTGTTTAATTTCCACATTAGTGAATTTTCCAAATTGATTTATGTTGTTGATGTCTAATTTCATTATATTGTGGTCATAAAACATACCTTGTATGATTTAAGTCATTTTTATTATTTTGAGACTTGTTCTATAGTCTAAAATATCACTTATCCTAGAGAATGCTACATGTACAATAGAGAAAACTATGTATTTTAGCTATTGTTGGATGAAGTATTCTGTAGCTGTCCAAACAGGTTGGTTTATCACATTGTCAAGTTCTCTATTTCTTTTCTGGTCTTCTGTCTAGTTATTCTATCCATTTTTGAAATTGGGTTAAGTCTCCAACTATTATTTCTGAACTATTTCACCCCTCCATTCTGTCAGTTTTTATTTCTTGTATCTTGTGGCTCTGTTGTTAAGTACACATATTGAAAATTGTCATATATTCTTGATGGCTTGACAACTTTATCATGAAAAACTGTCCTTTTTTCTCTATAGTACAACTTTTGCCTTAAAGTATATTTGATCTGATATTTTTATAACCTCTCCACTTCTCTTTTGGTTTCCCTTTGCAGCGTATGTGTTTTCATCCTTTTACTTTCAACATTTTTGTGTCAGAATATCATATATGTCCATTGTATGCATATTTTTGGATAATTTTTATCCATTAATTTAGTCCATTAAAATTAATATCATTACTGATACAAAATAACCTGCTTCTATTTTGCTATTTGTTTTCTATGTCTGTGTCTGTTTTTCTTCCCCGCAATTCCTTCTTTACTGTCTTCCTTTGTATTGAGTAGTTATTTTTTTGTTTACCATTTTAATACACATCTTGTTTTTTTAACAATATGTTTTTGAGTTATTTTCTTAGTGGTTGTTGTGGGGATTACCATTAATATCTTAATCTATAACAATCTAGTTAACATTTATACCAACATAATATCAATAGTATATAAAACTTGTGCTCCTAAATAGTCTCAACTAGTCCTTATGCTGCCACAGATTATATCTCTATACATTGTTTGTCCATCAACACAAGGTTATAATGATTGAATTATGCAGTTGTCTTTTAAGCTAGGTAGGAAAAAAGAGGTACAAACAAAAAATACATCATTTATATTTAACTCTCCCTTCATATACTTATCTGTGTGGTTACCCATTAGTAGAGGTCTTTATTTCTTCTTGTGGATTCAAATTACTTTCTAGTTTTCTTCATTTCAAGCTGAAAAATTCCTTCATCATTTCTTTTAGTTCAAGTATGCTAGTGACAAATTCTTTGAATTTTTGTTTATCTGGGAACTAATTTATCCTTATTTTTGAAGAATAGATTTTCTGGATATAGAATTCTAGTTGACAGGATTATTTTCTTTAGTGCTTTGACTATGTACATTCTGGCTTCCATGACGTCTGGCCATTGCTTTGGCCTTCCTAATTTCTTATTAGAAATTAACTCTATCTTCTTGAAAACATCCCGCGAAAAACCTAATAGCAGCCTAGCCTGAACACACCTGTGCTAATTAAATGTGTATTTTCTAGTTCTGATATTCAGCAAAAAGGGGACTCACACTCAGCCTGTCTCAGTTTTCATGCTAAACCATATCAGCTAGATTTGTTTAAGTTTATTATTTGAAGTTTTAACAAATTTATTTAGGTATGATTGACGTACAATAAATTGTACATATTTCATATGTACAACTTGATACATTTTGACATATGAATGCACATGTAAAGCAGTCAGGATAATGAACATATCCATTACTCCCCAAAATTTCCTAATGCCTCTTTGTAATCCATTCCTCCTGCCTCTCCATGACCCATCTATCCCTATCTTTAGGCAAGCACTACTCTGCTTTATGTCACTATGCTATATAGTAGTTTGCAATTTCTAGAATTTTATGTAAATGGAATAATCAATGCACTCTTTTTTTGACTTGCTTATTTTCACTCATCCATGTTACATGCATCAATAAGTTATACCTTTTTATTGCCTACTAGTATGCCAGTAGGTTTGACATATCATTCGCCTATTTGTCTGTTGCTGCACATTTGGATTGTTTCCAGTTTGGGGCTATTTTAAATAACTATGACCATTCCTGTATTTAAAAAAAAAGATATCAACTCTATCTTATAAAGGATCCCTTCTATGTGATGAGTTACTTCTCTCTTATTGCTTTCAGTAATTTTTATTTGTCTTTGGCTACTGACAGTTTGTGATGTATATAGGTAGCTTAGCATTTTTGGCTGCCATAACAAAATACCATACACTTGGTGGCTTAACAAACAGAAATTAATTTTCTCATAGTTCTGGAAACGCAAGTCTAAGATCAAGGTGACGGTATTGTCAGCTCCTAGAGAGAGCTCTCTTCCTGGCTTGTAGATGAACACTTTCTCTCTGCATACTTTCATGGTAGAGAGAGAGAGCGCTCATGCTCTCAATATTTCTACATATAAGGGCACCAGTCCTATTATGAGAGCCCATTCTTATGATCTCATTTAGCCCTAATTGCCTCCCAAAGCCCCATTTCCAAATACCATTATATTTGGTTAGGGCTTCAACATATGAACATTGAGGGGAACACAATTCAGTCCATAGCACTGTGTGTGGACCTCTTTGAGTTTGACCTATGGGGAGTTCAGTGTGTTTTCTGGATGTGTAAATTAATGTTCATCAAATTTGGGAAGTTTTTCTTCTGTTATTATTTCACATATTCTTTCTCCTCATTTCTCTTTTGTTTCCTAGGACTGATTGATGATATCTTGCAGGCCTCTAAGGTTCTGTTCACTTTTCTTTGTTATTCTTGTTTTTGTTCCTCAGATAATAATATCACTTGACTTCATGCTCATTGATACTTCCTTCTTCGTGTTCAAATATGCTACTAAGATACTCTAGTAAATTTTTAATTTCATTGATTCTCCTTTTCAAATCCAGGATTTCCACTTGGTCCTTTATTTTTTTAAATAATTTCCGTGTTCTTATTAATATTCTCCAGCTAGTGTGACAATGTTCTTATACTCTTCTTTAGCTCTTTGAACATATTTAAATTGGCTGATTTAAAGTCTTTGTCCAGTAAATCCAATAAACTAGTTTCCTCCAAGACATTTCCTATTGATTGTTTTTATTCCTGCTTGTGGAACATACTTTCTTGTTCCTTTGTGCCATTCATTTTTTAATGAAAATTGATATTTTAAATAATATTATATGGGATCTCTAGAATGAGATTCTTGTCTCTCCCCAAGATTTGCTGTTGCTGCTTATTGTATTTATAGTTGTTAATTGTTTAGTAAATTTTCTAAATTTAATTTTTAAAGTCTATATTCTTTGTCATGTGTAGCAACTGAAGTCATTTCTCAGCATAGTGATCTAATAATAGAACAGTGATTTCCTTTAATGCTTGGAACCAATAAATTCTCCAGCCTCTGCCAATGGGGTCTGTAGTCTACATTAGCACAAATATTTGACATTCACCTAAAGTTGAGAGCTCTTTCCTAACCTTTACCTCTTGCTTGTACAGTGCCTTAAGTTCAGTCAGAGGTGAAAGCTTAGCCCAGTCTTAGATTTTTTCTGAGCATGCACATATATCTGTACATGTGTGGTCATCTGGATTCCTAGGGAATATGCTGCAGAGTTTCAAGAATCTATGGATTTTTTCATTCGCTAGTTTTTCCTTTAAGCTTTTTGTTTAGTTTACTATTTGATTCAACTGTTATCCACAGCTTTAGGCAGCTGCAAAGATAAAACATTTTCCTGTAATTGTTTTTTACATGGGTGCTGAGGAGAAGGTTTTTCACACTGGGTGAAATCCAAGTCAGGTCGACAAGAGGCAGCCTGTTAAGTGGGGTCTTCCATGGAAGCACTAGACATGTAAAATAATGTGATAATTCTTTAGGATTGAGGCGTTGAAAAAGCCCCAGTTCCATTCTCCTTTCTCTGGTGGCTACCAGGCTGTATAGGAATGTGGGCCATTGTGAATAGTGCCGCAATAAACATATGTAAAAAACATGTAAAGTGCATGTGTTCTTTACAGTAGAATGATTTATAATCCTTTGGGTATATACCCAGTAATGGGATTGCTGGGTCAAATGGTATTTCTAGTTCTAGATCCTTGAGGAGTTGCCACAATGATTCACAATAGCAAAGACTTTGAACCAACCCAAATGTCCATCAGTGATAGACTGGATAAAGAAAATGTGGCACATAGACACCATGGAATACTATGCAGCCATAAAAAAGGATGAATTCATGTCCTTTGCATGGACATGGATGAAGCTGGAAACCATCATTCTCAGCAAACTCACATAAGAACAGAAAATCAAACACCGCATGTTCTCACTCATAAGTGGTAGTTGAACAATGAGAACACATGGACACAGGGAGGGGAACATCACACACCGGGGCCTGTCGGGAGGTGGGGGGCTAGCAGAGGGATAGCATTAGGAGAAGTACCTAATGTAGGTGACGGGCTGATGGGTGCAGCAAACCACCATGGCATCTATCTATCTATGTAATATAAAACTGCATGTTCTGCACATGTACCCTAGAACTTAAAACACAATAAAAAAAGGAAAAAAAATGTGGACCATTATTTTTCAAGGCTACTGAAACATACAGAGCAGAAGATGAATCTAGAGCAAGCTAAAACACCCCAAATTTTTAGGTTTTTTCACCAAGACTTAGCTTTTTTATTTCTTTTTAACAAATACATATTGGATTGTTGTGAAACTTTGATAAATTAAGAGTTTTTGAAAAGTTGATTTTGACAGTGTTTGCCAGTTTTAAAATTTTTTATGAAGAGCAAATTTTCAGAGGTTCTTTCTCTGCCATTTTCACTGATTTTACTTCTGTGCCCTGGATTTAAATAGTACAGATTAAGTTTCCTTCTTTGAACAGTACAATTTTAGCCTGACACTTTAGTTTCGGGTCCCCTAAAGGAGCAAGCAAATTGGTAGGACACTACTCATTGAATGATGTAAGACAGTTTGCCAGTCATTATCCACTTCACTTATTGTTACATGGTATTGTACTGTTCAGCTGCTCTGGCTCTGATTCACTCCATTAGGTCATGTTTCATAAGAGATTTTTAAAGTTCAATTGAAATAATTAATCAGAATCATGAATCGGCATTAATTGGAGGCTCCTAAATGAGAAAGTAGTTAATAATGATTACGTTTGAAGTTAAAATAGATATTATATCATTCACATTAGAAAAGGTGAACATATCACTCATGTTCAGAGGATCCTTTTCCTTAGTAAAAATGCATTCATACAACACATGGCACTGCCAAGATTTAAAATTCATACATCTGTAATATCTGTGAACATGGCAAAGATTTGCCTTTCAATAATTCATATAACACTCTGTCATAGGCTGAGACAGATCAAGATATGTGGAGCCCCACAGCAGGTTGGTAACTTGGCACCACTTAAACAGATACTTTAAAAATATTCTTTCAGCATTTATTTGGTGGATACAGAGGGAAATTGATTTTTTCCTTACTTATTTATTTTCATATCAAATAACTTTAAAACACTATTTTATTATTTTATTTTAATTAATTAACAAATAAACATTTTATATATCCAAGGTATACAACATGACGATCTGATATACACATATACATTGTGTAATGGCACAAGTGTATAGTCAAGTTAACATATCCACCATATTCATAGATAACATTTTTATGTATGTGTGCATATGGTAGGGACATTTAAAACCTGCCCTCTCATCAAATATCAAATAATACAGTATTGTTAACTATAATCACCTTGCTGTACATTAGATCTATAGAACTTCTTTATTTTATTACTGAAAGATTATGTTTTTGACCAAAATCTCTTTATCCCATCCTCCAGCCTCTGGAAATGACTGTTCTACTCTGCTTCTATGAGCTTGATCTTTAAAACATTCCATATATTAGTAAAATCATTCAGTATTTGTCTTTCTGCATCTGGCTTGTTTTGTTTAGCGTAATGTCCTCTAGGCTCATCCATGTTGTTGCAAATGGCAGAATTTCCTTCTTTTTATTGTTGAATAATAAAAACACAGGCAAAAAAAGCAAAAACAAGGCAAGGCAGGCTACATCAAACTGAATAGCTGTTTGCAGAGCAAAGAAAAAAATTCAACAACATTGAAAGACAGCCTATGGAATGAGAGAAAATATTTTCATATCATATACCTTACAAGGGGTTAATATAAAAAATGCAAGATACTCAACAGCAAAAAGTCTAAACAACACAATTTAAAATGTGCAAAAACCAGAACAGATACTTTTCCAAATAAGACGTAAATATGGCCAACAGGTATATGAAAAGTTCATCAGCATCACTAATCATTGGGGAAATGCTGATTAGGACCACAATGAGATATCACCTCATACCTGTTAAGATGGCTATCAAAATGGCAAGAAAAACAAGTGTTGATATGGAGAAAAGGGAACCTTGGTGTACTGTTGGTGAGAAAGTGAATTTGTATAGTCATTATGGAAAACAGTATAGTTTCCTCAAAAAATTAAAAACAGAACTACCATATAGTGCAGCAATTCTACTTCTGGGTATAAATTCAAAAGAATGAAATCAGTATCTTGAAGAGATATCTGCACTCGCATGTTCATTGCAACATTATTGACAATAGCCAAGATATGGAAAACAAACCTAAGTGTCTATTGGCACATGAATGAATAAAGAAAATAGTATATGTATATACACACATGCATATGCACAATGGAATAAAAAATAATACAATTTTAATTTACTTGGAAGTATAAGTTGATTTTTTACTTTAATCAGCATTTAAAGCTGGGTGATTCAGTTATATTAGTCAAAAGATTAATTTCAATAAATACTTTGATGTAGTTATCCAAAAATATTTAGTTCATTTGCTTTAAATAATGCTGCAAGTGATATAGAAAAAATAATTATTAATCTTTTAGTTCCTGATCTTAAAGCTTTTACGTTTATGTTAGAATACCTTATTAAATATCATAAAACCAGGACTTCTGTTCTTCATAGCTTTCTTCTGTTCTGTGCCTCCAGAACTACAAGTTAAGTCAAGTTCTCATTTTGAGGTGTTTGCTTTTGTACAAAAGCTCTCATTCTTTTGTACAGGCAAGGCTTCATTGCTGGGTATTGTATTGGAGTTTTGCACCAAATGGTTCACCAGTTAGTAATGTTTAAGAACTTGATTACCATTTGGGATAGAGAGTATAATTCTGATTAAGGCTAGAATGTAGTTCTAAGAGTCTTAATTTAATGCTGCTTGATAAAAATAGTGACTTAGAATACTACTTGATAAAAGTCATGGTCAGAATATGTGGCTCAGACTCAAAGTTTCTGACTTTCCTGAGTGACTACATTCAAATATCTATCCAATTATCATCTCTTTATTTGTAGAAGAGGAAGAAATGAAGTAAGAGCAAGCATTACTAGAAGAATGTTGACTTTCCCTTCACACTAGGCCCAATTTTCCTCTGCTTTGGTTTTCTCTGTTAACCTAATTGGACTTTTAACAAGTAAGACTATGGTCATTCAGGTATTTGACTATTTCTTCTTGAAGGAGGGTACAAAGTGAATATTCTGGAAACTCTACAATATCTTCGATTGCTACTTTAAATTTTAGGGAGATGAATGACATAGGTGATATGGTGGCTCATAAGAGCAAATTAATTACAAATTTATTCTCTATTCTATGATGAAACTTTTCCTTTTGTATTATTTCTTGAACTAGCCAAGCCTATCAAATGGTTATACAAAGTGTACTACCTTCTTTACTTAATGGTAGCCTTTGATGAAAACAACAAAACAAAAAACAACAACAAAAGGGGGATTGAGATCTTAGAGTGGTAGAAGGCTGAGAAAACCTAAATCTACATCACATTTCATAACATAAACCAAGAAAATGTGTTGTATGATTACCTGAAGAACCAATAAACCTGAATTGAACTAATAACAGTAAATGTAACATCTGGTAAACTACAGTTATAATGCAGTTTTTCTTATGTGGACAAGAAAATGAGAGGCTAACTAACCATTTATTCTATGAATTAAAAGAAAGCCTCAAATATTTATTCCCTCAAAGTCATGTTCTATCTGCTAAAAATGCTGATCAATGTTAGCTTAATTATAGAAAACTGTATTTTATTTATAGCAAACTGGATGTTTACTGGTAGAACTGTGCATAAATATACACTCATTATATATTTAGTGTTCATTTAGGCTGCTCAACATCTTGGTCTATTATAGGGGAAATTGTAATAAGCTTGAAGCATAGTTCTTAGCCATAGTATGTATATTGATATCCTCTTTTTAAAGACCATTTGCAAGATTTGAGGATCATTTTTAGGTATGATTAGAATTTCCTAATGAGAATTTTCAGTCTATTAAAAATGGCTACACCAGCACTATCCAATAGAAATATAATGTAAGCCATAGATGTAATTTTTGAACTTTCTAGTAGTCATTTTAAAGTAAAAACAGATAAAAATAATTTTAACAACATATTTCATTTAACCCAATATATTCAACATTTTACCATTTCAACATGTTATCAGTTCAAAACAATTATGAAGGGAGGTATTTTACTTTTTATGTTTTAGAGAATTATCATCCGGGCGTGGTGGCTCACACCTGCAATCCCAGCACTTTGGGAGGCTGAGGTGGGTGGATCACCTGAGGTCAGGAGTTTGAGACCAGCCTGGCCAACATGGTGAAACCCATCTCTCTACTAAAAAAAATAAAATAAAATACAAAAATTAGCCAGGCAGTGTGGCACGTGCCTGTAATCCCAGCTACTCGGGAGGCTGAGGCAGGAGAATCGCTTCAACCCAGGAGGCAGAGGTTGCCATGAGTTGAGATCATGCCATTGTACTTCAGCCTGGGCAACGAGAATGAGACTTCGTCTCAAAAAAAAAAAAAAAATAGTTCTTAAACAGCCCATCTCAATTCAGACTATTCACATTTCAAGGGCTCAATACCCACATGTTGCTACTGACTACTGGTTGGAAAGTGCAAGTTTCTACCTTTATCCTTGAGATATTTAACTAAAAATATGCTTATGATTGCCAGTAGAGTTTCCAAAAAGGATCTGTAGAATGTCAGAGATGGCAGTTAAATGGAAGAAACAGAACAGCATATACAAAGTCTAAAAAGCAAGAGAGAGAATTGATTAAAAATAGAAAAATAATTGTATATTAGTGCATATTATGTATAAAATATAGTAAAATTTTGTCCTTAATTCTGATAAGGAAGTTCCTTATTCCTACTTTCCTGAGAGTTTTTATTAGAAATGGATGTGGGATTTTGTCAAATGTGTTTTTTTGTGTTATTGAGATGAACATTTTTCTTTTTAGTTTGTTAATACAATGGATGACAATTGATTTTCTAAATGTTAAACCAACCTTGTATTCCATTGATAACCTAGCCCTTGTAGTATTGGCATGGTGCATATTCTTCTATCCCTTTATTGGTTAACTATTTGTGACTTTAAATGTGAAGTACATTTTTTGTAAGTGGCATATATTTGGAGCTTGCCTTTTAATCTGATGTCTGACTTTCAATTGGATGTTCATTAGAACATATACATTTAATGTGGTTAGGTTTCCATCATCATCTTGCTGTTTTTTTTTTTTTTCCTGTTTGCCCAATCTGTTATTTGTTTTTTTCACCTTCTTTTTCCTGCACATTAAAAATTAGTTAAATACCAATGGTTACTTTAGGGTTTACAGTATACTTATTTACCTTATTTAAGTCTACCTTCAAGAATTATTATGCCACTTACATGATGTAAGGAGCTTAGAATACTTCTATTTCCTTCTTGGTTTATGCTATTGTTGTTATATATTTCTCCTATACATATGTGATAAATCCCAATATACACTGTTATTTTGTTCAGATATCAATTATATTTAAAGTGATTTATAGAAAATAACAATAAAAATCATATATTCATGTGGTTACTATTTCTGGTGCTCTTCTTCCCTTTTTATAGATCTGTATTTCCAACTGACATCATTTTATTCTGCTTGAAAGACATTTCTGCCTAAAGGATATTGATATTTATTATAAACAGATCTGGTAGTAGTGAATTATTTTAGCTTTGTATGTCTGAAAATGTGTTTTGGTTTGCATTAATTTTTTATAAGATATTGTAAGTATTTGTATATTTCTATTTTTAATATCGCATTCTTTGTATTCTTGTCATATCTATCTTGTTTATTTTTTAATGTTTCCTTATCCACTACTTTTAACTGTAAAATTATTTTTTATTCACCTTCCCTCTTGATTGGTTTGGAATTTATAAATTAGAATTATCTTAGAAGTTTCCGTTTAAATTTGAAAATGCAAACATATTAAATTCTACATCTTAATATTTCTGCTAATCCTTTGACTCCTACCATATTGTAGTGAATTAAAATCTTTTGTTATCAAGGGTTTAATTTTTTTCTTTTGAACTCCAGAACATGGACAATAGCCTTCTTCTTCTTCTTTTACATTTCTTTTAAAATATATATTATAAATAACATAAATATCAATTATCCTTACTAGATCCACTTGTTTTCAGACTCATCTTCCAATTTACTAGTTTTTTTCGTTTTTCTTCCCCCTACTTTCTTTTCCTATCTGTGGGGCTTTTACTCTGCAGACCTTTTTTCCCCCCTGAAACTATTGCTTTAGAAGTTCCTTTAGTTAAAGTCTGTGAATGGTAAAATTTCTTAATTTTCTGGCTAAAAAAAATTTATTTATATCTCTTATTTTAACTTTTTAAACATTTAAATATTTACACACATAATTTTATTTTCTGTATTCCATTTTACTTCCTATTGAGAAATGTGCAGTTTTATTGTCTTTTTGTAGTAGAGGATCAGTCTCTTGCTTGACAGTCTTAAAATTTTTATCTTTTTTTGGGTATTCTACAGGTTCATTGCAATGTTCTAGGTGTAGATTTTAAAATAATTATCCTACTTGATATATGACATTTTTCCTAAATTTCTGAATTCATGATTTTGTCACTTATAGAAAATTCTTTCATTATCTCCTTGAATCAAGAAAAAAAGATATTAAAGTGACTAGACAGATTTATAAAATAAAACAGAAAAAAATGTAAAATGCAGGAACTCAATTGTTTCAATAGAAGCTTAGATAACATTAAAAAGAGATTTAGTGCACTGAAAAATGGATGTGAAGATATTGTCGAAAATGTAGTCATTTTTATATTATTCCTTTCCCTCCAATTCCTTGCACTTATAAAACAGCTACATTTACCCAAATTTACTAGAATCCAAGACTTCACTGCTTCTCCCTACTCCCTCCAGTCCTCAGATGTTATGGTTCCTGGTATAGGAAATTGCTCTCAGATAGGCCTCTGCTCTAGTTTTCTGTTATAGCTCACTAATCTGGTTTCATTTTAGCATTTATTTAAATTTTAATTTTGGGGTCCTTGAAGATTTCACATACATATGTGTGAGCTTAACAATACATTTAAAATGTGGTTGTTTCTTCTCCCCATACAAACCTCTATCTATCTGTCTGTCTGTCTATCTATCTATCTATCTATCTATCTATCTAATTATTTGAGGAAACAGTCTCAGATTTTTCATTTTAGAAAGATACTTTAGGCACCTAAGAGAAGAATGAAGGGGCCAAAATATGAAACAGGTAGAAGAAGTAGTAAATTGAATAAGTAATCCAAGCCAGAGATACAAGCAAGTATCGACAGATTAGAGAAGTGTTTAACAATTAACACTTAGTAACTGGATATGTAGGAGGTGTAAGAAATCAAAGATGACTTATTTTAAAGGTGAACTGAACGTTATACGGTATTCCCTTGGTATCCATTAGGGATTGGGTCCAGGAACTTCCTGTGATGCTCAATTCCCTGATAGAAAATGGTCTAGTATTTGCATATAACCTATGCACATCCCTTTGTATACTTTAAATCATCCCTAGGTTACTTATAATACCTAATATGATATAAAGACTTTGTAAATAGTTGTTATACTATATATTTTTTTTTACTATTTTTTTTTTTTTTTTTTTTTTTTTTTTTTTTTTTTGAGACGGAGTCTCGCTCTGTCGCCCAGGCCGGACTGCGGACTGCAGTGGCACAATCTCGGCTCACTGCAAGCTCCGCTTCCCGGGTTCACGCCATTCTCCTGCCTCAGCCTCCCCAGTAGCTGGGACTACAGGCGCCTGCCACCGCGCCCGGCTAATTTTTTGTATTTTTTAGTAGAGACGGGGTTTCACCTTGTTAGCCAGGATGGTCTCGATCTCCTGACCTCATGATCCACCCGCCTCGGCCTCCCAAAGTGCTGGGATTACAGGCGTGAGCCACCGCGCCCGGCCTTTTTTTTACTATTATATTTTTATTTTTTCCCAAATATTATTCATCCATGGTTGGTTGAATTGGCAGATGCAGAACTTGCAGACCCAAAAGGTCAACTGTATGTAAATTATTCCATATTTGTTAAAGTTACAGCATGATTGTTATAAATTTATGAGCTTTAGTTAATATTTTTCTATTGTGTTAGTGACATGATTGCATTTATGGACATTTACCATTGGCTCCAGTTCAAATGATAGATCTTTGATAATGGGACTTTGGGAAAATGGAGATAGACAAATTTTCACATTATCTACTTTCTGTAAAAAACAAATACCTTTCAGTTCTCCTTTTCCCTCTTCTAGACAAAGTCTGTTTACTTACTTCAGTTCCAGATACAAGATCCATTGTTTAAAGTGGCATACCTTGTTGAGAGGGAATTACAAGTTGGCTATTTTTATGTTGTTCTTTTATTGTTTTATTAATGCCTTTTCATCAAATACTTTGACTCCAACTTATAAATTCCTTGGTATCCACTGGCTCAGATAAACTATAATGTTATATTCTGAAACATCAGTAGATAAAAACTGTCAGCATTTCATCATGTGCTTTTAAAATTTGAAAAGCTTATACAAATATTAATGAATATTTAAAATATTACAGTTTCTTGTAATATCATATTGTTTATTAACTAAGCTAGAGACTAAAGTTTATCTGGCCCTGTAATTGTTTTTAAGAATCGGTGAAAATTTCCCAACTTTTGGAAAGACATATTTTGTAAATTTTTATTCTATTGGCTTTTTTCTAGTACACAGTTACAGCTTAAACATTCTAAAATATTGAAAGAAAGTGTTGTTAGTAATAATAGATTAAAATAAAGAAATGTATGACATACTTTAAAAAGCCTATTTACCAATTTTAAAAATATAGTATTGTTATTATTCAATTATATCTGCTTATTATATATTTAAAAGTTAAAAAAAGCAGAAGAAAAAAAGAATCACCTCTGGTTTGATTATCTAGAGATGTCTACTATTAATAAAAATTACGTATTTGGGGTATGATATCTGATTCTAGATTCTTTAAGATCACCTCTTAACTTTTTCTAGTCTCCTTAATTCTAGTGTACACTAATGTCAAATAAGATAATTATTCATTGTGAAAGCTTTCATAAGAAGATATTTGTTACTCTCTGTAATTTAATGTCCTACTATATATTGTGCATTGACAGAAATAAAGCAGCACTTCAATATGCAAACATTGAGACCCAGCTGGAAAGCATGCAATACCCACTGAGGCTTCTAATGCTATGTGAAATACACAAAGGGTGGTGTGCTAGGCTAACCTTTTCAAATGGCAGAAGAACCAGTCCAGAAGACTAAAAGCTTTTCTACTTACTTTCCCATTCAATTAAACATCTACACACTGGAACATGGGTGTTCTGATCATTTCCCATCTGCTGTGAGATACTAAGGATGTAAACTGAGGTTTTAAACACTAGTCTATACACAGTCTTTATTTTATTTTATTTTATTATTATTATACTTTAAGTTTTAGGGTACATGTGCACAATGTGCAGGTTAGTTACATATGTATACATGTGCTAGCTGTTGTGCTGCACCCATTAACTCGTCATTTAGCATTAGGTATATCTCCTAATGCTATCCCTCCCCCCTTCCCCCACCCCACAACAGTCCCCAGAGTGTGATGTTCCCCTTCCTGTGTCCATGTGTTCTCATTGTTCAATTCCCACCTATGAGTGAGAATATGCGGTGTTTGGTTTTTTGTCCTTGCGATAGTTTACTGAGAATGATGACTTCCAGTTTCATCCATGTCCCTACAAAGGACATGAGCTCATCATTTTTTATGGCTGCATAGTATTCCATGGTGTATATGTGCCACATTTTCTTAATCCACTCTATCATTGTTGGACATTTGGGTTGGTTCCAAGTCTTTGCTATTGTGAATAGTGCCGCAATAAACATACGTGTGCATGTGTCTTTATAGCAGCATGATTTATAGTCCTTTGGGTATATACCCAGTAATGGGATGGCTGGGTCAAATGGTATTTCTAGTTCAAGATCCCTGAGGAATCGCCACACTGACTTCCACAATGGTTGAACTAGTTTACAGTCCCACCAACAGTGTAAAAGTGTTCCTATTTCTCCACATCCTCTCCAGCACCTGTTGTTTCCTGACTTTTTAATGATTGCCATTCTAAATGGTGTGAGATGGTATCATTGTGGTTTTGATTTGCATCTCTCTGATGGCCAGTGATGGTGAGCATTTTTTCATGTGTTTTTTGGCTGCATAAATGTCTTCTTTTGAGAAGTGTCTGTTCATGTCCTTCACCCACTTTTTGATGGGATTGTTTGTTTTTTTTCTTGTAAATTTGTTTGAGTTCATTATAGATTCTGGATATTAGCCCTTTGTCAGATGAGTAGGTTGTGAAAATTTTCTCCCATTTTATAGGTTGCCTGTTCACTCTGATGGTAGTTTCTTTTGCTGTGCAGAAGCTCTTGTGTTTAATTAGATCCCATTTGTCAATTCTGGCTTTTGTTGCCATTGCTTTTGGTGTTTTAGACATGAAGTCCTTGCCCATGCCTATGTCCTAAATGGTAATGCCTAGGTTTTCTTCTAGGGTTTTTATGGTTTTAGGTCTAACGTCTAAGTCTTTAATCCATCTTGGATTAATTTTTGTATAAGGTGTAAGGAAGGGATCCAGTTTCAGCTTTCTATGTATGGCTAGCCAGTTTTCCCAGCACCATTTATTAAATAGGGAATCCTTTCCCCATTGCTTGTTTTTCTCAGGTTTGTCAAAGATCAGATAGTTGTAGATAAGCGGCATTATTTCTGAGGGCTCTGTTCCGTTCCATTGATCTATATCTCTGTTTTGGTACCAGTACCATGCTGTTTGGGTTACTGTAGGCTTGTAGTATAGTTTGAAGTCAGGTAGTGTGATACCTCCAGCTTTGTTCTTTTGGCTTAGGATTGACTTGGCGATGCGGGCTCTTTTTTGGTTCCATATGAACTTTAAAGTAGTTTTTTCCAGTTCTGTGAAGAAAGTCACTGGTAGCTTGATGGGGTTGGCATTGAATCTATAAATTACCTTGGGCAGTATAGCCATTTTCACGGTATTGATTCTTCCTACCCATGAGCATGGAATGTTCTTCCATTTGTTTGTATCCTCTTTTATTTCACTGAGCAGTGGTTTGTAGTTCTCCTTGAAGAGTCCTTCACATCCCTTGTAAGTTGGATTCCTAGGTATTTTATTCTCTTTGAAGCAGTTGTGAATGGGAGTTCACTCATGATTTGGCTCTCTGTTTGTCTGTTGTTGGTGTATAAGAATGCTTGTGATTTTTGTACATTGATTTTGTATCCTGAGACTTTGCTGAAATTGCCTATCAGCTTAAGGAGATTTTGGGCTGAGACAGTGGGGTTTTCTAGATATACAATCATGTCATCTGCAAACAGGGACAATTTGACTTCCTCTTTTCCTAATTGAATACCCTTTATTTCCTTCGCCTGCCTAATTGCCCTGGCCAGAACTTCCAACACTATGTTGAATAGGAGTGGTGAGAGAGGGCATCCCTGTCTTGTGCCAGTTTTCAAAGGGAATGCTTCCAGCTTTTGCCTATTCAGTATGATATTGGCTGTGGGTTTGTCATAGATAGCTCTTATTATTTTGAGATATGTCCCATCAATACCTAATTTATTGAGAGTTTTTAGCATGAAGGGTTGTTGAATTTTGTCAAAGGCCTTTTGTGCATCTATTGAGATAATCACGTGATTTTAGTCTTAGGTTCTGTTTATATGCTGGATTACATTTATTGATTTGCGTATGTTGAAGCAGCCTTGCATCCCAGGGATGAAGCCCACTTGATCATGGTGGATAAGCTTTTTGATGTGCTGCTAGATTCCGTTTGCCAGTATTTCACTGAGGATTTTTGCATCAATGTTCATCAGGATATTGGTCTAAAATTCTCTTTTTTGGTTGTGTCTCTGCCGGGCTTTGGTATCAGGATGATGCTGGCCTCATAAAATGAGTTAGGGAGGAGTCCCTCTTTTTCTGTTGATTGGAATAGTTTCAGAAGGAATAGTACCAGTTCCTCCTTGTACCTCCTCTGGTAGAATTCAGCTGTGAATCCATCTGGTCCTGGACTCTTTTTGGTTGGTAAGCTATTGATTATTGCCACAATTTCAGAGCCTGTTATTGGTCTATTCAGAGATTCAACTTCTTCCTGGTTTAGTCTTGGGAGGGCGTATGTGTCCAGGAATTTATCCATTTCTTCTAGATTTTCTAGTTTATTTGCGTAGAGGTGTTTGTAGTATTCTCTGATGGTAGTTTGTATTTCTGTGGGATTGGTAGTGATATCCCCTTTATCATTTTTTATTGCGTCTATTTGATTCTTCTCTCTTTTCTTCTTTATTAGTCTTGCTAGCGGTCTATCAATTTTGTTGATCCTTTCAAAAAACCATCTCCTCGATTCATTAATTTTTTGAAGGGTTTTTTGTGTCTCTATTTCCTTCAGTTCTGCTCTGATTTTAGTTATTTCTTGCCTTCTGCTAGCTTTTGAATGTGTTTGCTCTTGCTTTTCTAGTTCTTTTAATTGTGATGTTAGGTTTATACACAGTCTTTAATTTATACACAGACCTGTCTCACAGTTGAAATATACATTTGCATTTAGCGTGGGCAGAAATGAGCAAATTTGGCACTTGAGGGTATGGATAATATATTTGGGGAGATAGTAGATTTCTGCCGGCATAGAAATAGTTTGGCAGATAGTTTAGAAGTTAGGAGGATAATTAAATTAAAAATTAAATAAATATTACCTTTACTAATCTCCTATTTACTGAATCACATTTAAAGGGAAATTCCTTAGAAAAATAATCTATGGAAATGACTACCTTATAAAGTTGAATATTTCAGTGCAAAGACACCAGAACATATCTAAATTAACAATCAGGTAACACTTTAGTTGGTATTTTAAGGCATATATCTAATCTCAAATCTCTAATTCACATTTGTCAAGGAATTAATATTCCAAATATACAAGGAACTCAACTCAACAGCATAAAAAGAAATAATCTGATTTAAAAATGGGCAAATGATCTGAATAGACATCACTTAAGAGAAGATGTACAAATGGCCAACAAGTATATGAAAAAAAAATCTCAACATCATTAATCGTCAAGGAAATACAAATCAGAACCTACAGGAGATAACATCTTACCCCAGTTAGAATGGCTATTATCAAAAAGACAACAAGAAATGCTGGAGAGGTCGTGGAGAAGAAGGAATAAACATAATAGTGTTTATTTCTTGCAAAATTGTCCTCCTTTTGATGTATTATACAAGGTTGGTGGGAATGTAAATTAGTATAGCCATTATGGAAAATAGTGTGGAGGCTCCTCATAAAACTAGAAATAGAATGGCAATCCCACTACTGGGTATCTATCAAAGGAAAGAAAATCAGAATGTCAAGGAGACATCTGCACTCCCATGTTTATTGGAGCACTATGCACAATAGCCAAGATATGATATCATCCTAAGTGTCGATCAACAGATGGATAAAGAAAATATGGTATATATACCCAATGGAATGCTAGTCAGCCATAAAAAAGAATGAAGTCCTGTCATTCACAGCAACATTGCTGAGCCCGAAGGACATTGTGTTAAGTGAAATAAGCCACGCACAAAAAGATAAATACCACGTATTCTCACTCATGTGGAAGCTAAGAAAGTTGATCTCATAGAAGTAGAGAATAGAAGAGTGGTAACTACAGGATGAAAGGGTGAAGGGGAGAGAAAATAGGGAGAAGCTGGTTAATGGACACAAAATTATGCCTATATAAGAGGAATAACTTCTAATGTTTTATCGTACTGCAGGGTGACTATAGTTAGCAACAATATATTGTATATTTATAAATAGCTAGAAGAGAGGATCTTGATTGTTCCCAGAACAAAGAAATAACAAATGTTTGAGGTGATGAATTTGCTCATTACCCCAATTTGATCATTACACATTGTACACATATATAAAATATCACACCGAACCCCATAAATATCTACAATTATTGTGCCAATTAAAATTTTTTAAAACTCTAATTAAAAGATCATTTGTTTTAGTATTTAAAGTGACCACATATATAAGAATTCATTTAAAACTTTCTTCAACAAAATATTACACTAATTCCATTTGGCAAATGCTTTTCATTTCCTTATGCATTTTCTCTAGTTAAAGGTTATCTTTGCCATAGGTGCTAGTTAGCTAACAATCATTCAATGATACATAGATTCACAAGCATCTCCATTAATCTCTGGAAAATCAAGTATATAATATATATAATCAGAAACACATTTATTACTTACAATATTTTTTAATTTAAAAATTTTGAGAATTACATTGAAATATCACAATAAAATCTTTTTTCATGAAAAGCCCTAGTTACAGCAATAAAATATTAAACATTATTCAAGAGGAGGATAGGTCCATTTTGTATACTTTAGAAAAACTGCCCTCAAAAATTTTCATTTTTTCAATCCATATAGAATTGAAAAGTTGTTTCTTTGCCTTTTTCTTTGTCTACAGCTGAACAATAGAGTTTCTTGCAAAATTTTCCTCCTTTTGATATATTGGAAAGCGAGGCAAGAGTCCCCGTTGACTTAGCTGCCAGAAAAGACACCCTTCTCCGCCTGGGTTTGTTTTGCTCCAGTAAATAAAAACAGGATTCAGTTGGGCTCTGAGCAAAATCTGTTCCTGTATGCAATTTTGAAGTCCATTACGGGTGCCCCTACTGAGCACTTAGTTTACCTGGCCAGGGATGACTGGATATGGCCAGCTGACAACTCCACCCCACCCCACTCCCCTCCCCGCATCCCTCTCCCGCTGAGAGGCCTACAGCGAGCGGGGTCGGGTCCTGGGTGCTCTCTGGTCTTGTCTGAGCGGGCAACCTTTTCTGAAGGCCTCTGACCCTTCCTTTGCTCCCCAGACACCCGGGAAGGGCAGAAAAAAGGGAGAAAGGATCCGGCGTTATAGTCCTCGAAGATAATTCTAGGTGGGAGTGAAGGGACTGGGAGAGTGTGCTGCCGTTGGTCGGGTCGGGACATACAGGGAATTAGAAGAGAAGGACTAAAGCCAGAGGGACCCCTCCGGCGAGGCGGGATGGATTGGGGTGGGGCCTGCTCTCTAGGGGACTCTCAAGCTCTTGGAAGGTCACGTGCTCAAACTCGGCGTGACCGTGCCTCCCAGGCCCTGTCCCCCACCACCCAGGGGAGGAGAAGGCGGCGGCGGCATCCACGGATCAGGGTCAGGCCCGCGGCTTCGAGCCCGCGTCTCCTGCTCCTCCGAGAGACCCAAGCTCATGCTCGGGTGAAGCGGACGCAGATCTCATCCAGGCCCCAGCACTCTGGGTACTGGTGGCGGGGGACGTCAGCGGGAGAAAAGCCTTGGCCTTCCTCCTCCGGCCGTTGCCGCGGCAACTGTGATGTCTGAGGCGGAGGGTCGCGGGTTGGGAGCACTGCTCCCCCTCGCGGAGCGCGGCGCCCGGAGCGCTTAGCGCGCCTGCAGGTCGGGGGAGGCGAGGAGGAGGCTGACAGGGTGGAGGGCGCCTTTCTCCCTGCCACCCCCTCCAGCGTTGCTATGGACACCGCCAGGGCAACCTCACCTGTACCCGCTGCTCCAGCCGCCGCCGCTGAAGTAGAAACAGCAACCCGAGCTCTCTTTTGCCCCAGCATCTCTTCCAGGGACTCTAACCCAGCAGCTGCCACCGCTTGTCTCCCACAAACAGGAAGTGAGAGGGCAGACGTCCAACATTTGTCCTTGTTCCATTACCATGCCTGCCTTTATTTGGCTTTCCATTCTACATTTTGTATCTCAGCATCTTCCAGAGTAAATGGTCTAGAGGATGGAAAACGCTTCCTTTTATACCGTCTGCCACGCCTCTTCTATTAGCAGACAGCTGGTTTAATTCTACAAAACACTGTCCTGGGCCCTATTTAATTATCAGAAGAAATATATTTTAAAAGTAGCGTGTTTCTTGTATTACAGCAGATATGTAGAATCCCTAGTTTTCATTAGAAGGATATATAGCTATTTATAGGAATGTTCTCTTGCTGCTAAGCACCCCTGAAATAAACACTTTTTGACAAATGAGTAGAACAATTCTGTGTCAGGATATCTGGGATACATAGTACGTAAAAACGAGCTGTTTAGAAACCCCTTCTTTTCCCATCTCATTTCCAGTTCTATATGCCAGTGCTAAAATCTCTTTTCTGGGCTCTAATCCATCTGTGTTTGAGGTCAGTTTTTGACTTTGCAAGGGGATTTATTTCCACATGGCTCTGTTTTTGAACTCGAGGGTGGGGGGTAAATTAAATATTCGACTACTTACACTCAGCTCAGGTGCAAGATTTAGTGCATAGATGCATCTCTACTGACTACCGACGTAAATGCACTTAGTAAAAAAGACTCTCCCTGATTAGAGCAAATGGAGGCATCTGTGATCTTGAATTGCCAGCCATACCCTGGCAGGCTCTGTGAACTACTGTTGGTCACAACCCCTTGCTCTCAAATTTCTTTTCTGTTGAGTGTATATATGGTAAAGCTTTCATTCTCTGAAAGCACCCCGGTAGCTTTTGCTACTGATAATCATGAGTTTCCTTACATAGTTCTGCAAGTTTGAATAGACAAGCCTTTTCAGCTGACTTTGATACTACCTCTTTAGAAAATCCCAACAATGCAAGATAACTATTTCTTTTTTTTAAAGCTGATAGGTGGGATACTTAATAATTTCATTTTGTCACACTTTCTGTGTCATGGTGTTTTCAAAGCCACTAAAAGAGATTTTGATATAGTGCAAGCCCTAGGTAAAGCTATGAATTCGAAACATGTTTATCTTCAATGTCCTATCTACCCTGTTCCTACCTCTCCCAAAGGTCACCTGGATTCCTAAATACCAAATCGAATGGTCCCTTTCATTTGTCATCCTACTTAACCTCTTATAAGAATTTGACGCTCTTGATCTAACTTCTCATTTTCCTTGATAATCTCTTCCCATCTTCTTGTGCTCTCTGACCTATTTGAAGGTCCCTTCTCAGTCTTTTTACTTTTCTCTTTTCCTTTTTTGATACTGTATTTTGATCTGCTTTTTTTTTTCATTCTGCATATTTTCCTGGGCCTTTTCATCCACATCAATTGTTTTATCTGCCATCTTATTTTCTTGTCTTCTAAATCTGTGTTATCTTGTGCAAACTTTTCTCTGAGCTCTAGACCTTTTTTCTGAGCTACTTCATGGACAATTCTATATATCTTACCTGCAGGCATCTCAAATTCAACCTGTGACTCACTGAACTATTTTCCTATCCAAAATTTGATTTTCTTATTGTATTTTCTATCTCAGTTAATGACCCTATGCCCCTACTTACACAAGATCAGAAGCATGAGGGCCATTTATTGAGGTATATATTTATCTAATGAAATTTTCTTACTGGCATCTACCATATGCCAGACAGTGTCATGAAGCTTAATTCTAGTAGAAAAGAAAGATTAATGTATTTATGACCAAGTAATATAATTCCAGCTTTTGGTAAATTCTACTACAGAAATAAGCCAGGTGTTATATGATAAAGAAGAGCTGAGAAGAGTACTCTACACAGGATGGTCCAAAAAAGTTTTATGTGTTAAACCAAAATGAAGAATGAGAAGAAGCCAAACATGTAAGTTGCTGGAGAAAAAAAACATGTCAGGCAGAGATAATAGCAGTCACAAAGATCCTGCAGTGGGGGAGGGCCTCCTGTATTCAAGAAAATGACGTAAAAGCCAATATACGTGATGAGAAGGGGACAGTGGGGTGTAGTGAGTGTGGGAAGGAGGCAGGGGACAGATTTTGTATGACTCTGTGGGCCATGATGAGGAATTTGGATTTTATACTATGTGCAGCAGGAAGCCATTGAATGTTTTTATTAAGAGTGGCTGAACTGTTTCATACTTATAGATGATCATTAGGCTGTAGGGTGGAGAATGAATTGGAATGGTGACAGTTTGGAAGTGGAGAGGATATTAATGACAATGGAAGTGTTCCGGATCAGCGATGACAGTGGTATGGAAGTAGAGAGGGAGACGAGTGAACAGACGTGAGGTATTTTCAGTGATCTTTTGTCTTTATCACTCACTATTGTGTGTCAGTCTCATTTCTGTCCTTAGAGCACTCCATGCCATATGGAGCTTTCCACATCCCAAGTCCTTACCGATAAATCCTATTTTTATGGTTCTTATACTTTTAGAACCTTAACTGAATGATAGTTACATGTTACCTGACAAGGAGAAGGTAGAGAACAATAGTTAAGAAAGTAGGCTCCAGAGTTAAGCTGCCTTGGTTCATAGCCATGCTCCAATGACTTACTAGCAGTGTCACTTGGGCAAATTGTTTAACCTTTCTGTTTCATTTTCTCCAGCTACAAAATAGGAATAACAGTAATAATAATTATTTACAGGATATTATGGGGATTAAATAATGCATATAACACACAGTATATGGCAAGTCTCAGTAAATTTTAGATTATGATGTTGCTGCTGATGGAAAATGATAGAGGATGTAAGATCTTACTCTGGTAAACATTTTAATATAATGCACGGGAAGTTCTGCAGCCTTTCCTTGTAACTTGTTAGTAAGACTAAGAATCAGAAGAGGAAAGGCATCATGTCTGGCATGGAAGGAAATGGGAAATATTCTGACAAACAGGCATCCAAAATAGTTGCTCATCAAATCTCCCTTCTTGGGGAAACCCTTCTATAGGAAAGCATTTTCTGTTCCTTTCTGATTTCTTAATCTTGCTTTCTTTGAGCCTGCATTAAATCATTTTGTTTTTCTTGTTACAGTGATTAGAAAGAAAATGGATATGAAGTTTTTAATCATGACAAGAATAATAGAATACCTTTAAGCTGGAAAAAGTTGAGACTTGCTACTACTTGGTGATTTTCTTTATGTCTTGCTAATTCAATAGGAAACACTCCTTAGTACAATCTTGTCCTGCATAATAATGTTTTGGTCAAGGATGAGTAGTGTATATGATGATGGTCTCATAAGATGATAATACTATATTTTACATACCTTTTCTATATTTAAATATATAAATACCCACTGTATTAAAATTACCTACAATATTCAGTACCGTAACATGCTGTATAGGTTTGTAACCTAGAAGCAATATACCATGCAGCCTAGGTGTGTAGTAGTCTATGCCATCTATGTTTGTGCAAGAACACTCTATGATGTTTGCATGATAAGGAAATCACCTAACAGTGCATTTCTCAGAATATATCCCCCTCATTAAGCAATGCATGACTGTAATTCCAAACTTCAGTTTTCCTGCATTCACAACTAAGCCAATATTGACTGCCTTGTTTTATCAAGTTATTAGTATCCTTCATGAATGGTCTGTATCTCATAATTTTCCAACTCAGTTATCAAGGTTTCTCTGATTTATTGAATAAATCAGTGATTCTTTATAAAATATACCTTTCAACATTTTTCTTTCTTTTCATTGTTGTTTTCCTCTGTCTAAATTAGATTCTCATATTTTTCAAATATATATATATATGTTACATTTTTAACATCTCTCTGACCAACTTTCACGTATTTGTGGCAGATTTATTTTTTCGAAGTATGGAGCTACTCTTGTCATCCTTTCATTCAAAAATTCAAAAACTCTTTACTAAGAAGAAAGTTACAAATTGGCAAAAGATTCGTATTCAGACTTTATAGAGAACTATAAGAAAAAGGGAGACCAGCCAATAAAATATTGGGCAAGTGACTAAGAGAGATATTCAACAAAAGAGGGCGTCTAAATAACTAATAAATGTAAGAAAGGATCCACAACCTCAGTAGTCATCAGAGAAATTAAAATTAAAACCACTATCCACACATGTATCAGAATGACAACAATGAAAGAGAATGCCATTCCAAAGAGTTTGTGAGAATGTTGAGCAATCAGAATGTTAGTATACTGCTAGAGAGACATTTAGTTAACACACCCACTTGGGAAAAACTATTTAGCACATTTTACAAAGATATATATATATATAGCAATAGTATATGACATGAGTGATGGGTGCACAAAAAAAACACGAATGAAACCGTTATAGCAGTATTATTTCTAATAGTTAAAAAACATAAATGACTCTAATGTTTTTCCTGAAAAAAATTGTTAAATAACTTATTGCATATTTTACTATGCAATACTATGCAACAATAAAAAAAGTACTTCTACACACTACAGCATGTATGAATCCCACAAACATAATGACATAACAAAATAGGCAACACGAGTCTATGTTGAGAAGCTAAGGTAGTAGCTATCTCTGGGGAGATAAGCAAGATTAGTGATTAAAAAACAGTCAAAGGGAGCTTGTAGGGGTGCTGCTACTCTTCTATTTCTGGAACTTGGTGATCCGTATGTGGAAGTGTTTAATGTGTACATTCATTAAACTTTATACTTATATTTTGTGCATTTTGTCTTAGTTATATTTCAATTATTTTTTTAAAGACTTGTCATTAACTACTGTATTAAGTCACTGTCTTCAGCCTCTGCCTGTTGGATTTTAACCTGTTTTCTGGCTGTTTCCTCTTACATCTTTGCATGTGTCTTACGTTTTCAACAGATTTGACTAGTAAATGAATTTTTCTTCATATTCATTGTTTTCATCCTTTTAGTAATGGAATCCTCTGAATGTTAGCTGGACACATGTCTGACTCCTTTTGGCCAATCTTCTGACTACATTTTCTAGCCTGCCTCAGCTCTACATATGGCTGTGTGATTAAGTTTGGGCCAGTTATTCATAGCAGAAGTAATGGGTCCGATTTACTTCCTGTATGTTACTTTCACTTTTACTTCCTGCTGGGAAATAGCAATGTCTGGGAAACCTTGGCAACCACATGTTCTAGATGGCAGAGCTACCATGCTGGCTGTGGATCACTGGACTGTTAGATGAAAGAGAAATTAATTTCTGTCTTATTTAAGCTATAATATTTTGAGGTTCCTTTATTACAATATAGTCTCTGTCTTAACACAGTTTGTTATAAATATTGCAATTCATATGTGTCTCTGTGCATTGATTTGGCTAATCACTCTTTCCAGAGATGACCTGACCTACTGAAATGATCTCCAAGAAGTGCCATATTCACTGATTTATATCTTGCAGTGCTTTCCATTTCTTAGATATCTGACCATGGGGAATGTATTCATTTATTTGAGTCTCAGCTTCGTTACCTGTGAAATGGGAATAATAGATAATTATTATGAACACTAAAGGAGTTAATACTTGTAAAGTGTTTAGCAGTCTGGAGTACATATTAAGCACTCAACAAATATTATTTTCACCTAATAGTTTTAATGTAAATAATTGATATGGAACTGAGCAATAGCACAACAAAGAAACTCAATGTACATTGGAAGAGGATATGAATTAAGGACATTTAAGAGACAATCATTTCATGATTCGAGCCTTCTAGAGATTTGTTATTATTTTATAAATATTGGAAATAGTGTAATGTTAATATAAATATACCTTATGACCAAGTAATTCTGCTCCTAGTGATGTATCGAAAAGAAATGAGTACATGGGTATATGAAAAATATAACGAAAATATTTATAGCAGCATTACCTTTAATAGAAACAACTGGAAACAACCCCGTTGTTTCCTACACATAAGAGCAAAACTAACTCTTAATTTTGGCAAATTTATTTTAACTGTCCCATGCTTCTCTTTCTTCTTAAAAATTGGTAATAATAGTTCCTGACTATTGATTACTTAAGAATATGACTTATCTATTACAATGTGATTTGGGGAAAAATTGCTAAAAGTCTCTAAGTTATTAAAAATAAATTGCACTTCTATTTTTAGTATTCCCTTTCAATTATCTTCTAGCAATTTTCTTTTGTCTAAGTACTTCCTTTAAGTCCCTTCATTAGGGTGGTAAATGTTTTTGGTGTGTTTGCCAGAAGAAAACCCTCTTTCTTGCACGATAATTTTTCTGATTATATAAATCTATATTTTTCAGCATTTGCCCTCAGAGTCGTGAAGCTATTATTGTATTGCCTTCTCACTTGGTGACTATTGAGAGGTTTGCTGTCGGACAAACTCTTGTTCCATAAGGGTGATCTGTCTCATCTTTCTGGCTGTTTTTTCTTTTAATATAATCAGTTTGTGGTTATCTGCAGTTTTATACATAGTAATGTATGCAAGAGTGAATTTTTGCAAACAAAATTATCCTGTGTAGGATTCACTGTGTTTCTTAAATCTGAGGTCTCATAGCTCTATTAATTTTCCTCCATTGTTTTCCCAAAAGATTAGACTATTTTGTTTTCAAACCAAGAGCCAAATAAACCTAAGACACATCACCTGGTCATGTCTATTTACAAGTAGTTCATTCATTCACTGCATGTGGACATTTTTTTAAGAGTCCTATTTTTACATGAACATTTCTGTTTCAAGTCTTGTGGCCCATTGCTCACATGACCCTAGAAATTTACCTGACTTTATCAACTCTGCATTTTAAACTATGCTTATTAGTCATTCTTTCTAGTTGTTTTATAATGGAAGATTTCTTTCTTTTTAAAAATAACATTAAAATAAGTTAATGTTTCATTTCCTATCCTTGGCAGATTTTTATTTTTCAATATGAATTGTTTTGAAAAAAAAGTTAATGATACATGCACTAAAAAGGGATACAAAGATTTCGTTATTATATTTTAATTTAATGTGAATTTTTCATTTTTTCAAATTGATCAAGCATAGTTTACAAAAAATTCCTTGAGCTGGTTGTCGGTCCACTAGAATAACTTTCCTCTGTTGCCGCACAGGACAGCAAGGCTTTCACTCCTCCAAAGAGTATATCCTTTTCCCCCTCTCATTTTAAATAGACTTCAGGTTTACAGCAATACTGAGCAAAAGTACAGAGTTTCCAGGTATCCCCTGCCCTCACAAGCTCATAAGCACCCCTGCTATCAACATCCTGCACCAAAGTGGTACATTGGTTACAATCAATGAAACTACATTGGCATATCATTAAAATCCAAAGTTTACATTAGGGTTAATCTTGGTTTTGTACATTCCATGAGTTTGGAAAAAGATGTATAATGACATGTATCTACCCATATAGTGTCATACAGAATAGTTTCACTGCCCTAAATATATGTTGTGCTTTGTCTATTAATCCCCCCCTTCCCATAAGCCCTGGCAACCACTGATCTTTTTACTGTCTCCTTAGTTTTGCCTTCTTCCAGAAGGTCAGATATTTGGAACCATATAGTATTTAGACCTTTCAGATTGGCTTCTATCACTCGATAATATGCATTTAAGATTCTTTCATGTATTTTCATGGCTTGATAGTTCATTTTTTAGTGCTAAGAAATATTTCATTGTCTGGGTGCACCAGTTTATTCACTCACCTACTGAAGGACATCTTGTTTGCTTCCAAATTTTGGCAATTATAAATAAAGCTGCTATAAACATCTGTGTGTAGGTGTTCTTGTAGACTTAAGTTTTCAACCTCTTTGGGTAAATACAAAGGTAGATGTTTGGTGGATCATATGACAAGAGTATGTTTAGTTTTATCAGAAAGTGCCAAACTTTCTTCCAAAGTGCTATAAAGTTTTGCAATCCTATGCACAATTAACGTTCTTTTTGCTCCATATCCTCACCAGCTTTTGGTGGTGTTAGTGTTTTGAATTTTGGCCTTTCTAATAGTTATGTAGTGGTATCTCATTCTTTTAATTTGCATTTTCTGAGTGGCATGTGATGTCGAGCATCTTCTTTGGTGAGGTGTCTGTTCAGATCTTTTGTACATTTTAAAATCAGTTTGTTTGTTTTCCTATTGTTGAATTTTATGAGTTATTTGTATATTTCAGATAACAGTCCTTTATCAGATTTTCTTCCAGTCTGTGGCTTGTCTTCTTCCAGTCTGTTGCTTGTCTTCTCCCTCTCTTGACTATGTCTTTCATGATCAGAAGTTTTGAATTATAATGAAGTCTAGCTTATCAATTCTTTCATTCATGGATCATGACTTTGGTGTTGTATCTAAAAAGTAGTCATATCCATGCCCAAGTCATGTAGATTTTCTCTTATTTTATCTTCTAGGACAAAAGTTGTATATATTTTTTGTATTTAACATTTAGTCTAGGATTCATTTTCAGTTTTCTTTTTGAACAATGTAAGTTCTGTGTCTAGACTCCTTTTTTCCACACGTGCATATCCAGCTGTTCTGCAATGTTTGTTAAAACTATCTTTTCTTCATTGTATTGCTGTTGCTCCTTTGTCAAAGATCAGTTGACTATATTTATGTAGGTCTATTTTTGGGCTCTCTATTCTATCCTACTGATACTCGTTTGTTCTGTTGCCAATACATACTGTCTTGATTACCACAGCTTTATAGTAAGCCTTGAAATTGAGTAGTGTTAGTCCTATGACTTTATTCTTCTCCTTTAATATTGTGTTGGCTATACTTGGTGCCTTTAAATTTCCTTCCACATTTTTTGAGGGCACTATTCTCAACATTTTCTTCATGTAATAGGCTTAGTCATATATTTGAAGGGTAACTAACACTTACAGATAACTAACATTTGTTGAGTACTTATTAAATTCTGGGCAAAATTCAATTAATCATAAATTAAACAGATATATTATATAATTATCATCATATTTTAGATGAGAAAACCAAGGCCCAGGGAAATGTAAGAAAATTCCCCAAGGCAACTTAGGTAGTAAATAGAGGAATACGATAGTCTGCCTCAAAGGGACATAATGTGGTATCACCTCCCAGTACCTACAGCATTAACTAACTTTCAGCAAGGAAATTCTTCAAATAAACCAGGTTATAGAGGTATAAATTCTACTTCAATTGAATATTTGCTGATTACGTACTATATACCAGGGACAATTCTAGGTATTCCATTTTCAAAATAATGATCACTAAGCATTTTCTCTTAATGAGTTCATTGTGTAGAGTGTCATATAGTGAACAGACAAGTTAAAATAAAATAGTAGCTTTCTCCAAAGGGTGCCACACTGGAATCAACCTAGATGGTCATCAACTGGAGAATAGAAAGACAAATTATGGCTTCATCATGCAATGGGATATTATTCATCAATAAAAACATAGGGTATGATGATAACAAAGTTTTGATATCTCTCTCACAGATCTTACTTGCTAAATCTTCATGTTTACTTCCTATTAAAACACTATCATAGCTATTCTGATTAATTTAGTAGTGAAAGAATAATCTTTCTTTCTAGGCTTCAAATCCTTTCCCTTGTATTTAGGTTAAAAATTCTTACTTTGTGGCCACGTGCACCCTAACAAAGTTACTAGTCCCAGAATTTTCCCAAAATAAAAGTCCTTTTATTTTCTGGGATTATTATTCACAAGATTGACCCTTATCTCTGAAGGCTTTAAAGATTTTTATTCTTTTGGCATTTCTTTCCAATATACTCATGTATTACAGATTGTTGGCTATGGACACCAGAAATATTTTGACCTATTTTTAATCATTAAAATCACTATGAATATTAGCATGTCTCAACCTAATTTTTATTTTCTTTGCTCTGCATCCTATCCCCAAAGCTATGAAAAGGAATTTACTGCTCTATCACACAATGATTATGCCTAATAATTAAGGGAAAATGCAGGAAGATGTAATTGTACTTCTCAATTGCAGTCAAACACTGAATTAGCCACAATAACTAAAAAAGATAGCTCAAATGATTAAATCTTCAGAGGAACCCTATATTTATATTAAATAATTCATTTCTCAAGGAAAAAATAGTTTGTATATATTTTTGCAAGAAGAGCTAACTATCCTAAATATATATGCACCCAATACAGGAACACCCAGATTTATAAAGCAAGTCCTTAGAGACTTACAAAGAGACTTAGACTCCCACACAATAATAGTTGGAGACTTTAATACCCCCCTGTCAATATTAGACAGATCAACAAGACATACAATTAACAAGGATATTCAGGATTGGACTCAGCTCTAGACCAAGCAGACCTAATAGACATCTACAGAACTCTCCACCTAAAATCAACAGAATATATTCTTCTAAGCACCACGTCTCACTTATTCTAAAACTGACCACATAATTGGAAGTAAAACACTCATCAGCAAATGCAAAAGAATGGAAATAATAACAAACAGTCTCTCAGACCACAGTGCAATCAAATTAGAACTCAGGATTAAGAAACTCACTCAAAACTGTACAAGTACATGGAAACTGAACAACCTGCTACTGAATGACAACTGGGTAAATAACGAAATTAAGGCAGAAATAAGTAAGTTCTTTGAAATCAAAGAGAACAGAAACACAATGTCCCAGAATCTCTGGGACACAGCTAAGGCAGTGTTTACAGGAAAATTTATAGCACTAAATGCCCACAGCAGAAAGCTGTAAAGAGCTAAAATTGACACCCTAACATCACAATTAAAAGAGCTAGAGAAGGAAGAGCAAACAAATTCAAAAGCTAGCAGAAGACAAGAGATAACAAAGATCAGAGCAGAACTGAAGGAGATAGAGACAAGGAAACCCCTTCAAAAAATAAATGAATCTAGGAGCTAGTTTTCTTTGAAAAGATCAACAAAATAGACAGATCGCTAGCCAGACAAACAAGAAAATAGAGAAGAATCAAACAGACACAATAAAAAATAATAAAGCAGATATCACCACTGATCCCACAGAAATACAAACTCCCATTGGAGAATACTATAAACACCTCTATGTAAATAAGCTAGAAAATCTAGAAGAAATGGATAAATTCCTGGATACATACACCCTCCCAAAACTAAACCGGGAAGAAGTTGAATCCCTGAGTAGACCAATAACAAGTTCTGAAATTGAGGCAGTAATTAATAGCCTACCAACCAAAAAGACCCAGGATCAGATGGATTCACAGCCAAATTCTTCCAGAGGTACAAAGAGGAGCTGGTACCATTCCTTCTGAAACTATTCCAAACAATAGAAAAAGAGGAAATCTTCCCTAACTCATTTTATGAGGCCAGCATCATCCTGATACCAAAGCCTGGCAGAGACACAACAAAAAAAGAAAATTTCAGGCCAATATCCATTATAAACATTGATGCCAAAATCCTCAATAAAATACTGGCAAACCAAATCTAGCAGCACATCAAAAAGCTAATCCATCACTATCAAGTTGCCTTCACACCTGGGATGCAAGGCTGGTTCAACATACGCAAATCAATAAACGTAATCCATCACATAAACAGAACCAATGACAAAAACCACATGATTATCTCAATAGATGGAGAAAAGGCCTTTGATAAAATTTAACACCCTTTCATGCTAAAAACTCTCAATAAACTAGGTATTGATGGAATGTATCTCAAAATAATAAGCTGTTTATGACAAACCTGTAACCAATATCATACTGAATGGGCAAAAAGTGGAAGCATTCCCTTTGAAAACTGACACAAGACAAGGATGCCCTCTCTCACCACTCCTATTCAACATAGTGTTGGAAGTTCTGGCCAGGCAATCAGGCAAGAGAAATAAATAAAGGGTATTCAAATAGGAAGAGAGAAAGTCAAATCGTCTATGTTTGCAGATGACATGATTGTATATTTAGAAAACCCCATCGTCTCAGCCCAAAATCTCCTTAAGCGCATAAGCAACTTCAGCAAAGTCTCAGGATACAAAATCAATGTGCAAAAATCACAAGCATTCCTATACACCAATAACAGACAAACAGAGAGCCAAATCATGAGTGAACTCCCATCACAATTGCTACAAAGAGAATAAAATACCTAGGAATCCAACTTACAAGGGATGTGAAGGACCTCTTCAAGGAGAACTACAAACCACTGCTCAAGGAAATAAGAGAGGACACAAACAAATGGAAAAACATTCCATGTTCATGGTTAGGAAGAATCAATGTCATGAAAGTGGCCATACTGCCGAAAGTAATTTATAGATTCAATGCTATCCCCGTCAAGCTACCAATGACTTTCTTCACAGAATTAGAAAAAAAAAAACTACTTTAAATTTCATAAGGAACAATATAGCCAAGACAATCATAAACAAAAAGAACAAAGCTGGAGGCATCACACTACCTGACTTCAGACTATACTACAAGGCTACAGTAACCAAAGCAGCGTGGTACTGCTACCAAAAGAGATATATAGACCACTGGAACAGAACAGAGGCCTCAGAAATAACGCCACGCATCTACAACCATCTGATCTTTGACAAAGCTGACAAAAACAAGCAATGGGGAAAGGATTCCCTATTTAATAAATGATGTTGGGAAAACTGGCTAGCCATTGCAGAAAACTGAAACTGAACCACTTCCTTACACCTTATACAAAAATTAACTCAAGATGGATTAAAGACTTAGATGTAAGACTTAAAACCATGAAAACCCTAGAAGAAAACCTAGGCAATACCATTCAGGACATAGGCATAGGCAAAGACTTCATGACTAAAACACCAAAAGCTACTATATAAACTGTTTAATAGGCACTAGAGCAGTGAAATAATGACAAAGCAGAGAAACATGCAGCCTGAATAAATGGCTAGTCAGTACCTCAAATTTGAAAATTACTTGCATTTTAAGGGAAGCAACAGCAAGTGTAAGGGATGCAATGGAAAGTCCCTTGGAAGACAATATCCAACAAGTAAAGCTCACTTAGCCAGCATCTGCACATATGGCCAAGCAGTGTTTTTCTAGTCTTCTTTTCGCATGGGGATTGGCCAACTAGTAACATGGACTTTTTGTGCTAGAAAGAAGATGAATATTCTATGTAAATAACTGTGAGTATTTTATATAAATATATATGTAGTCTCACTGAAGAAACAAAAACTTGGAATTCAGTGTTGTTTTCTTGGGTAAATCATTAATTTTGGAAAGAGTAGATGTAAATTTTATCTGCTTTTGCAAATGAATTGCTGGTATAAAATTAATAATTTTTGTATATGTTTGCTTTTCACAGAAACAAATTTTTTGAAGTATTTCAAGTTAAAAATTGAGTTAGTTTTTCTTTTATGCTACTGTTACTTAGTACTGTTGTTTCTTTTCCCCGAGATAATGTTCATTTAAAATTCTTATGTTTTTCTTTTCCTTTTTAAAAATAGTAACTCAAATACATGAGAAGATGTCAAGGAATGCTGCATATTAAAAATTCTTAGAGTTATAAACATACTATTTGTGAAAATTAGATTATTTACAGATGATCTCTATAAATTCTTGAGTTTAGGACTCTTGAAAATTGAATGCTAGAAATTTATATTTATTTTATTATCTCCTCTTTTATATTATGTCATTCTTTTATTTGTTGTTTATAAATTAGGAAGTTTAAATCATACTGCTTTTATTTGTAAATGTTTTACTAAAATTGCTATCAATTACATGAGCTACTTTATAATGATGATTTTGCCCATTAGAATATCTGATTGATAATACTTAAGACTAGAAAAGGTAATAACTATTTTCATTCATTGAGTCCTAGAAGGTAAAATTGCTATATTGACCTTAGTTTGAATTCTCTATTACAATTTCCATAAAAACCTTTCAGTATATGTTTGATATATCAAAATTTTGACTTTCAAATATTATTTTTAATTAATTGGAAAATGCATGCAAACTATCCTGTTTCAATCTGACTAGTATAATTGAGCAATATAACAGTGTTCTTGTCTGTCAATATCTTGCCAAATTACCTCCAAAGCAGATACAGTGGCCTGTGGAGAATAGGAGTTAGGAAGAAGTTCAGGACAGTGATCTACTCCATAATGGTTATTTCTGCATCATTTCTTCCTGTCTGTTTTCCTCATACTGGTGAAAGTCCAGAATTTAAAAAGAAGTTGAATTTGAAACTCAGAAAAAGCATATTCCAAGTAGATCCTATAAGGAGAAGAGTCATGGAGAACTGCATGTCAGCCTTTTAACGTAAAGGGCACTTTGATTTTATCGTAATAAAAAAGTATCTCTAAGCATAGTGTCTCTCATTTGACAACTTCATACAATTGCATTAAATTTTTATATGCATGTATATTATCTTACCAATTGGCAATTAGTGAGAAAACGTAAAGTTAAATAAGGGGTAACTCGTTTTTAGCCTAACTTTTCTTTCCTTCAATCATTTCAGTGTGTTAATATAATACAACAAAACTTTAAATAAACCCATCATTTTGTTGAGCACAGACTTGCTATCACTAACTCGATTTACAAATTTGGTTAGTTTTTCTATCAAATTAGCTTTAATGTAAAGTTTTTTCAGTAGTAGCTATGTTTTTCATAGCACCCTGAGGTGTCACATTAGATGAGTTAGTTTTTTGAGTTCTTGTTCTTTGAAGCTTTTTATGTCAATAGTTGACCACAGGAACTAGTCTATAAAATCGTCACTGAATTCAGTGAATCTGTCATTTACTCATCTTGAATGACATAAAAATGTTGATATCCTGGAGCTGGATTGTACTAACTCATGAGAGCTAACAGGTAACTTTTTGGAAATTTTGCAATCCATTTATGAAACACAGCAATTACCAAAGGTTGAATGATATAAACTTATTAAGTAATTAATATTAAAAGGGAATATGTGCTCAAAACTCGTCATGAATAATTATTTTTATATAGTGTAGTATTGTCTATACTCTTGAGGTGGTTCATCTGGTTTATAGTATCATTATGGTGAAAATACCATATAATGGAGGATTATTGTGATTCTCTTTTCAACTTCACGTTCAGTGATTTCCCACTGGTAGCTTGAAAGAAGCAATGATAGAAGTATTTATACAACATAGAAATTAGCAAATGACATAAGTCAGGACAGATTTATGATTTTGTCCATTGTCTTAGTAGAGCTGAAAGAAGTTTCAGGTTTTTTTTTTTTTTTTTTTTTTGAGATGGAGTTTTGCTCTTTTGCCCAGGCTGGAGTGAAGTGGTGCAATCTTGGCTCACTGCAACCTCCACTCCCTAGGTTCAAGCAATTCTCCTGCTTCAGCCTCCTGAGTAGCTGGGATTACAGGTGCGTGCCACCACACCTGGCTAATTTTTGTATCTTTAGCAGAAACAGCCTTTCCATGTTGGCCAGGCTGGTCTCGAACTGCTGACCTCAAGTGATCCACCCGCCTCGGCCTCCCAAAGTGCTAGGATTACAGGCTTGAGCCAACTCTCCAGGCCAGAAGTTTCAGTTTAATGAATAAAATTTGTATAAGAGTGAGAAATAATTTAACAGTAAATCACATACCAAATCAATTACAAAAAAATATTGAGAAAAGTATTCAAAAGTTGTATGGAGTTTTATTTGCCATATCATAGTTCAATCAAAACCATAGGTTGGCTAGATATACAAGGGTTCAGCAAAAATCAATGAAAGTATTCTGTGAGAATTGGTCACTTATATGAAGTTTATAGTAAGAGTTATTACATATTTTATTATTTATAAATTATATGTTACACATCTTTTATATCAGTACTGTTTATAACCTTATGTATTATGTATGTTTTCAAGAGACAGTCTTAAATAGTTACCAGCACACTCTCATAATCACCACTGTAGTATTGGTTGAGCCACTTCTGTTTTCACTCCGCACTCTACTCTACATTGTGGATTGTTTGAATTTGGATTGCATGAGCTCCTCCACTTGGTTTCTTCCCTTCCCTTCGCTTCCCTTCCCTTCCCTCCCCTCCCTTCCCCTCCCTCCTCGTTTTATTAATTTTTACATCCTTGAACTCAAAATCCAAAACCATTAGCAACTATTTATTTTAACAGCTTTATTGAGCTAGAACTCACATTTTTTAAAGGTTTGTAATATTTTTATTGTACTGTTATTTTTCCTGAATATTTTTGATTATCAGTTAGTTGAATCTGTGGATGTGGAATTCATAGATACCAAGGGCCGACTGTATTGCATATTTCTTATTTATTTATTTATTTAGACTTTAAGTACTAGGGTACATGTGCACAACGTGCAGGTTTGTTACATATGTATACATGTGCCATGTTGGTGTGCTGCACCCATTAACTCGTCATTTACATTAGATTTATCTCCTAAAGCTATCCCTCCATCCTCCCCCCACCCCACAACAGGCCCCAGTGTGTGATGTTCCCCTTCCTGTGTCCAAGTGTTCTCATTGTTCAATTCCCATCTATGAGTGAGAACATGCGATGTTTGGTTTTTTGTCCTTGCGATAGTTTGCTGAGAATGATGGTTTCCAGCTTCATCCATGTCCCTACAAAGGACATGAACTCATCATTTTTTATGGCTGCATAGTATTCCATGGTGTATATGTGCCACATTTTCTTAATCCAGTCTATCATTGATGGACATTTGGGTTGGTTCCAATTCTTTGCTATTGTGAATAGTGCCACAATAAACATACATGTGCATATGTCTTTATAGCAGCATGATTTATAATCCTTTGGGTATATCCCCAGTAATGGGATGGCTGGGTCAAATGGTATTTCTAGTTCTAGATCCTTGAGGAATCGCCACACTGACTTCCACAGTGGTTGAACTAGTTTACAGTCCCGCCAACAGCTTAGAAGTGTTCCTATTTCTCCACATCCTCTCCAGCACCTGTTGTTTCCTGACTTTTTAATGATCACCATTCTAACTGGTCTGAGATGGTATCTCATTGTGGTTTTGATTTGCATTTCTCTGATGGCCAGTGATGATGAGCATTTTTTCATGTGTCTGTTGGCTGCAAAAATGTCTTCTTTTGAGAAGTGTCTGTTCATGTCCTTTGCCCACTTTTTGTTGGGGTTGTTTGTTTTTTTTGTAAATTTGTTTGAGTTCTTTGTAGATTCTGGATATTAGCCCTTTGTCAGATGAGTAGATTGCAAAAAATTTTCCCATTCTGTAGGTTGCCTGTACACTCTGATGGTAGTTTCTTTTGCTGTGCAGAAGCTCTTTAGTTTAATTAGATCCCATTTGTCAATTCTGGCTTTTGTTGCCATTGCTTTTGGTGTTTTAGACATGAAGTCCTTGCCCATGCCTATGTCCTGAATGGTATTGCCTAGGTTTTCTTCTAAGGTTTTCATGGTTTTAGGTCTAACATTTAAGTCTTTAATCCATCTTGAATTAATTTTTGTATAAGGTGTAAGGAAGGCATCCACTTTCAGCTTTCTACATATAGCTAGCCAGTTTTCCCAGCACCATTTATTAAATAGGGAACCTTTCCCCATTTCTTGTTTTTGTCAGGTTTGTCAAAGATCAGATGGTTGTAGATGTGTGGTATTATTTATGAGGGCTCTGTTCTGTTCCATTGGTCTATATCTCTGTTTTGGTACCAGTACCATGCTGTTTTGGTTACTGTAGCCTTATAGTATAGTTTGAAGTCAGGTAGTGTGATGCCTCCAGCTTTGTTCTTTTGGCTTAGGATTGACTTGGTGATGCGGGCTCTTTTTTGGTTCCATATGAACTTTAAAGTAGTTTTTTCCAATTCTGTGAAGAAAGTCATTGGTAGCTTGATGGGGATGGCATTGAATCTATAAATTACCTTGGGCAGTATGGCCATTTTCATGATATTGATTCTTCCTATCCATGAGCATGGAATGTTCTTCCATTTGTTTGTGTCCTCTTTTATTTCGTTAAGCAGTGGTTTGTAGTTCTCCTTGAAGAGGTCCTTCACTTCCCTTGTAAGTTGGATTCCTAGGTATTTTATTCTCTTTGAAGCAGTTGTGAATGGGAGTTCATTCATGATTTGGCTCTCTGTTTGTCTATTATTGGTGTATAAGAATGCTTGTGATTTTTGCACATTGATTTTGTATCCTGAGATTTTGCTGAAGTTGCTTATGCGCTTAAGGAGATTTTGGGCTGAGACAATGGGGTTTTCTAGATATACAGTCATTGTTAGACAAGCAAATGCTGAGAGATTTTGTCACCATGAGGCCTGCCCTACAAGAGCTCCTGAAGGAAGCGCTAAACATGGAAAGGAACAACCAGTATCAGCCACTGCAAAAACATGCCAAATTGTAAAGACCACTGATGCTAGGAAGAAACTGCATCAACTAGCGACCAATATACCCAGCTAACATCATAATGACAGGATCAAATTCACACATAACAAGATTAACATTAAATGTAAATGGGCTAAATGCTCCAATTAAAAGACACAGACTGGCAAATTGGATACAGAGTCAAGACCCATCAGTGTGCTCTATTCAGGAGACCCATCTCATGTGCAGAGACACACATAGGCTCAAAATAAAGGGATGGAGGAAGATCTACCAAGCAAATGGAAAACAAAAAAAGGCAGGGGTTGCAATCCTAGTCTCTGATAAAACAGACCTTAAACCAACAAAGATCAAAAGAGACAAAGAAGGCCATTACATAATGGTAAAGGGATCAATTCAACAAGAAGGGCTAACTATCCTAAATATATATGCACCCAATACAGGAGCACCCAGATTCATAAAGCAAGTCCTTAGAGACATACAAAGAGACTGAGACTCCCACACAATAATAGTTGGAGAATTTAACACCCCACTGTCAACATTAGACAGATCAACGGGACAGAATGTTAACAAGGATATCCAGGAATCGAACTCAGCTCTGCACCAAGCAGACCTAATAGACATCTACAGAACTCTCTGCCCCAAATCAACAGAATATACATTCTTCTCAGCACCACATCACACTTATTCCAAAATTGACCACATAGTTGGAAGTAAAGCACTCCTCAGCAAATGTAAAAGAACAGAAATTATAGCAAACTGTCTCTCAGACCACAGTGCAATCAAACTAGAACTCAGGATTAAGAAACTCACTTAAAACTGCTCAACTACATGGAAACCGAACAACCTGCTCCTGAATGACTACTGGGTACATAACAAAATGAAGGCAGAAATAAAGATGTTCTTGGAAACCAATGAGAACAAAGACACAATATACCAGAATCTCTGGGACACATTTAAAGCAGTGTGTAGAGGGAAGTTTATAGCACTAAATGCCCACAAGAGAAAGCAGGAAAGATCTAAAATTGACACCCTAACATCACAATTAAAAGAACTAGAGAAGCAAGAGCAAACACATTCAAAAGCTAGCAGAAGGCAACAAATAACTAAGATCAGAGCGGAACTGAAGGATATAGAGACACAAAAAAACCCTCCAAAAAATCAATGAATCCAGGAGCTGGTTTTTTAAAAAGATGAACAAAATTGATAGAGCGCTAGCAAGACTAATAAAGAAGAAAAGAGAGAAGAATCAAATAGACGCAATAAAAAATGATAAAGGGGAGATCACCACTGATCCCACAGAAATACAAACTACCATCAGAGAATACTATAAACACCTCTATGCAAATAAACTAGAAAATCTAGAAGAAATAGATAAATTCCTGGACACATACACCCTCCCAAGACTAAACCAGGAAGAAGTTGAATCTCTGAATAGACCAAGAACAGGCTCTGAAATTGATGCAATAATTAATAGCTTACCAACCAAAAAAAGTCCAGGACCAGACAGATTCACAGCCGAATTCTACTAGAGGTACAAGGAGGAGCTGGTACCATTCCTTCTGGAACTATTCCAATCAATAGAAAAAGAGGGAATCCTCCCTAACTCATTTTATGAGACCAGCATCATCCTGATACCAAAGCCTGGCAGAGACACAACAAAAAAGGAGAATTTTAGACCAATATCCCTGATAAACATCGATGCAAAAATCCTCAATAAAATACTGGCAATTCAAATCCAGCAGCACATCAAAAAGCTTATCCACCATAATCAAGTGGGCTTCATCCCTGGGATGCAAGGCTGCTTCAACATATGCAAATCAATAAATGTAATCCAGCATATAAACAGAACCAAAGACAAAAGCCACATGTTTATCTCAATAGATGCAGAAAAGGCCTTTGATAAAATTCAACAGCCCTTCATGCTAAAAACTCTCAATAAATTAGGTATTGATGGGACATATCTCAAAATAATAAGAGCTATTTATGACAAACCCACAGCCAATATGATACTGAATGGGCAAAAACTGGAAGTATTCCCTTTGAAAACTGGCACAAGACAGGGATGCCCTCTCTCACCACTCCTATTCAACATAGTCTTGGAAGTTCTGGCCAGGGCAATCAGGCAGGAGAAAGAAATAAAGGGTATTCAATTAGGAAAAGAGGAAGTCAAATTGTCCCTGTTTGCAGAACTCACATATTATAAAAGTAATCATATAAAGTGTATAATTCAATATTTTTAGTGTGTTCAGAACGTTGTAGAACCACCATCCTCTAATTTTGGAACATTTTGTCCCTCCTAAAAGATACTTTGTGGCTATTAACAGCCAGTCCTTATTTTTTTCTCCTCCCCAGTTCTAAATAAGCAATAAACTACTGTCATTATTTTTATTTTTATTTTTTTGAGGTAGTTTCTCACCCTGTTGCTAAGGCTGAAATGCAGGGACACAATCACGACTCACTGCAGCTTCAACCTTATGGGCTCAAGTGATCCTACAACCTCAGCCTCCTGAGCATCTGGGACTACAGGCATGTGTCACCATGCCCAGCCAATTTATTTATATTTTTTATAGTGATGAGGGTCTCACTATGTCTAAAACTCTTGGGCTCAAGAGATCCACCTTCTGCAGCCTCCCAAAGCACTGGGATTACAGGCATGAGCCACCACATCTGGCCCTATTTCTATCTATATACATTTGCCTATTTTCTACATTTCATATGAATTGAATCATACAATATGTGGTCTTTTATGTCTGGCCTCTTTCATGAAACTTAATGTCTTCAAGGTTTATCCATGGATGAATCAGTACTTATTTCTCTTTATGGTAGAAAGATATTCCTTTGTATGGTTATGCCACATTTTGCTTATACATTTTTCAGTTCATGGACATTTGAGTTCCCACTTTTTGGATATTACACATATGCTACTATTAATATTCATGTATAATATATTTTGGGTGAACTTATTCCTTTTGAATGTGTGTATGTGTGCGTGCGTGTGTGTGTGTGTGTGTGTGTGTGTGTGTATTTCGTATATACATGATTTTGGCTTACCAAGTCGTCTGGTAAGTCTATGTTTAACTTTTTGTTACTGCCAGTCTGTTTTCAAAGCAACTGCATTATTTTGCATTCCCACCAGCAATGTATGAGGATTCCAGTTTTTCCAGATCCTTGCCAATACTTGTTATTTAATATAGCAATCCTAGTGCATGTGAAGTAGTGTTTCATTGTTATTTTGATTTGCATTTATCTAATCACGAATTATATTAAGCATTTTTTCTTGTGCTTGTTTGTCATTTAAACATCTTTTTGGAGAAATGTCTGTTCAAATTCTTTAACAGTTTTTAAATTGGGTTATTTGACTTTCTATTACTGAGTTGTGTTTTCATATATTATGGATGTAAGTCCTTTATTAGGTATATGATTTCCAAATATTTTCTCCCATTTGTATGAGATGTCATTTCACTTTCTGGTGGTATTATTTGCATCATAAACATTTTAAATATTTTTGTAGTTCAATTTATAATTTTTCCTTTTGTTGCTTTTAATTTTGACAGTTATGAGGACTTTGCGTTACCCAAGGTTACAAACATTTACTTCTGTGTAACCTTGTACAAATTTTGAGTTTTAGCTCTTACATTTACATTGATCATTTAATTTAATTTTTATGTATGGGTTGAGGTAGGGACCTGACTATTCCTTTTCATTTGGGTATATAGTTGTCCTGGCATTATTTGTTAAATTCTTTTCCTACTGCATTGTTTTGACATGTCTTTTGAAGATGAACTGAATAAATGGAAGGCTTTATTTCTGAAGTCTCAATTTTATTCCACTGATCTATATGTCAATTCACATGCCAATACCACACTATCTAATAAAGACTTTAGTGTAGTAAGCTTTGAAATTAAGAAGTGTATGAACTCCGAATTTCTTTTTTTTAAAGGCTATTTTGGCTAATCTCGTTTCCTTGAATTTACATATAAATTTTAAGGCCAACTTGTCAATTTTCATGAAAAGCTATTTGGAATTTTGGTAGTGATTTCAATGATCCTGCAAAATAAGGTTTATATTGTCTTCTAGTCTATAAACGTAAGGTGTATTTCAGTTTATTTAGCTCATATTAAATATTTTCAGCAATGTTTTATAATGTTCAGTGTATAAGTCTTACACCTTTTTTAACATTATATCTAAATTATTCCTAAGTATTTTAGTGTTTTGAAACCCTTATAAAAGAAATTATTTTTCCCCCTTCATTTTCAGATTGTTCATTGCTAATAAAAACTACAATTGATTTTTAATATTGACTGGAACTCATTTATTAGTTCTAACAGTTTTTTAATGGATTCCTTAGAATTTTCTATATATGAGATCATGTCATTCGTGACACACAAAGCATCTACAAAGATATTTTTACTTCTTCCTTTCCAATTTGGTGTATTTTCTGTCTTTTCCCTGATTAATTTTCCTGGCTAGATTCACCAGTATGATGTTAAATAGATGTGGCTAGAGCACACATTCTTGTTTGGCTTTTATTTTTAGGAGGAAAGCATTCAGTCTCTCACAATTAAATAAGATGTTAGTTGTGGGAGGTTTTTGTAGATGTCCCTCATGAAGTTGAGGAAATTCCTTTCTATTCCTAATTTACTTAGAATTTTTGTCAGGGAAGTATGTTGGCTTTTGTCAAATGAGTTTTTTCCTGGATCTATGGAAATAATAATATGCTTGTGTCCTTTATTGTATTAATATGATATATTAAATTAATTCATTTCATTGTATTAAACTAACCTTGCATTCCTGGGATAATCCTACTTGACTGTGGTATATAATAACTTGTAAATGTGGTTGGATTTGGTTTGCTAGTACTTTATTGAGGATTTTTGTATCTATATTCATAAAATATATTGTTTTGTATATCTTTTTTATCCTGTGATATATTTGATTTTTGTATCAAGATAATGCTGGCCTCATTGGATAATTTGGGAAGTGTTTTGTCACCTATTGCTTTAAAAGAGTTTGTGATGAATTCCATTGATTCTTTGAATGTTTGGTTCAGTGAGGCTGTCTGGGCCTGGGCTGCTTCTGTGTGTGAAAAGCTTTTTTTTTTTTTTGAGATGGAGTCTCACTCTGTCGCCCAGGCTGGAGTGCAGTGGTGTGATCTTGGCTCACTGCAAGCTCTGGCCTCCCAGGTTCATGCCATTCTCCTGCCTCAGCCTCCCAAGTAGCGGGCACTACAGGCGCCCACCGCCACACCTGGCTAATTTTTTGTATTTTTAGTAGAGACAGGGTTTCACTGTATTAGCGAGGATGATCTCGATCTTCTGACCTCGTGATCCACCCGTCTCAGCCTCCAAAGAGCAGGGATTACAGGCACGAGCCACCGCACCCCGCTGTGAATAGCTTTTTTAATTACTAATTTTGTCTTTATACTTGTGATAGGCCTATAAATTTTTTGTCAGCCATTATCAATAATTTAAGTCTTTCTAGGAATTGTTAATTTTATATTATTAATTCTAATTTGTTGACATACACTTGTTTATGGGTTTTTGTGATTCTTTTATTTTTGTAAGGTCAATAATGATCCTTCTTTTATTCCTAATTTTAGTAATTTGAGTCTTCCCTCCTCTTTTTACATTTTTATATAAGTAGAGCTTAAACTTTGTCATTTAAAAAGTTGTTTTCACATATTGCCTTTTAGTTTTGCTGATTTTGTCCATTGTTTTCTACTCTCCATTTCATTTGTTTCACATCAAGTTTTTACATATTCTCTCCCTTCTGCTCGATTTTAGTTTACTCTTTTTCTGGTTACTAAGGTGAAAAGATAAGTCTGATTTGAAATTTTTCTTATTTTTTAATACAGGCATTTAGCACTGGTTTGGGCATGTTGTGTCTTTGTTTTCATTCATCTCAAAGTATTTCTAGTTTTCCTTTGGATTCGTCTGACCAATTAGTTTTCAGAAGTATGTTAATTTCTTTATATTTGTAGTTTTCCCAAATATCCTTGTGTCATTAATTTCTAATTTAATTCCATTTTGGTCATAAAACATGTAAAATATATTTTCAATCCCTTAAATTTATTGAGGCTTGTTTTATGATAGCATGAGGTCTCTCATGAAAAATGTGTTACTGTTTTGTAGAGTGTTCTATGTATGTCTATTAGTTTTTTTTTAAATTTTAAGTATTGTTCAAGTCTTGTATTTCTTTATATATCTTCTGCCTAATTGTTCTACTTTGGAAGGTGAGCTTTTACGTTTCCAGCTATTATTGTTGAATTGTCTATTTCTCCCTTTAATTCTGTTTTTGCTTCATCAATGTGTGTGTGTGTGTGTGTGTGTGTGTGTGTGTGTGTGTGTGTGTGTGTCACTTGGAGTCTCTTATTGGGTCCATATATGTTGATCGTTGTTTTGTCTGTCTGGTGAGTTGAACTTTTTATTACTATGAAATGAGTCTCTTTTTTAATTATATTTTTAAATTATATTTTAGTGGTTGCTCTTGAGCATACAATATACATTCAAAATTATCAGAATCTACTTCAGATATATAGTATGTTGGTTACAACCAAGTAAAGAAATTTTAATTTTATATAGCTATATTTTTCCCACTTTTTTGTTCTGTGACTGATATATATTTTGTTCTATGGCTGATAAGTCATAAAACTGACACACACATGTAAAACATCTATATATGTTAAAATACAACAATATATTGTTATAACTATTGCTGTTTATAATCTTATGTGTTTTAAAGAAGCTGAGGGAAGAAAGTAGAAAAGTATATATATATTTTGAGGCGAAGTCTCACTCTGTGGCTCGGGCTGGAGTGCAGTGGCGTGATCTCAGCTCATTGCAACCTACACCTCCCAGGTTCAAGCGATTCTCCTGCCTCAGCCTCCTGAGTAGCTGGGACTACAGGTGCATGCCACCACGCCCAGCTAACTTTTGTATTTTTTAGTAGAGAAGGGGTTTCACCATATTGGCCAGGCGGGTCTTGAACTCCTGACCTCATGATCTGCCTTCCTTAGCCTCCCAAAGAGCTCGAATTACAGGCCTGAGCCACTGAGCCCGGCCAACTTTCTTATTTGACCTTTTTGGTTCTCTTTCTTTCTATGTGTGGATCTGCATCACCATAAGGTATCATTTCCTTACTCCAAACTCCAATACACCTTTGTTTCTGCCCCTTTTCTCTGTTATTGTCAAGTGTGTTACATTTCTCTATGTTATTATTCCAATAAATCAATTACCTATTGTTTTATCCAGTTGCCTTTGAAGTCATTCAAGAACAAATATGCAATTATACTGTCTTTAACATTAATATATTACATTACATTATATTAATTTGTATTATATTATATTATTTTTACCTTTACTGGTGTTCTGGATATTTTCATGTGAATTTGAATTACTGTCTGATGTCATTTACCTTCAGCCCAAATAACTTCCTTTAGCATTATTATCATATGTTATGTCTACTAGCATTGAATTCTCTCAGTTTTGTTCATCTGGGATAGTGTATTTCACTTTTTTTTTTTTTTTTTTTGAGACGGAGTTTTGCTCTTGTTGCCCAAGCTGGAGTGCAATGGTGTGATCTTGGCTCACTGCAACCTCCACCTCCCAGGTTCAAGCTATTCTCCTGCCTCAGCCTCCCAAGTAGCTGGGATTACAGGCACGCACCACCACACCCAGCTAATTTTGTATTTTTAGTAGAGATGGAGTTTCTCTATGTTGGTCAGGCTGGTCTCGAACTCCTGACCTCAGGTGATCCACCCCCCTCTGCCTCCTCCCAAATTGCTGAGATTACAGGTGTGAGTCACTGCATCTGGCCTTCACCTTAATTTTTGAAAGATAGGTTTCTCTGGCTATAAGATTCCTTGTTGACAGTTTTTTACATTTAGCAATTTGAATATTTCATCCCATTGCATTCTGACCTCCTTTGTTTCTTTTGCGAAGTTAATTGTAATTGGGGTTAACTTATATGTGATGTGTCTTTTATCTCCTGGTGCTTTCAAGACTTTTGTCTTTGCCTTTGGTTTTAATTTCTACTGTACTGTGTCTATTTACTTTTTTTTTTTTTTTGCGTTTTTGAAACTTTGGGTTTGTTGAGCTCTAAGCTCATTAAATATATTTCTTCCAGTTTCTGAATGACTTAATTATACCTTACTGTCTAACTCATGATATTTGGCTGATTTATATGGTAGACCTAACCTCTGAAGGCATTTTTGATTTTTACTTATAGAGTACAGGTGTATTGTGCTTAAATCATAGTTGAGAGTAAACAGGTCCACATAACAAGAAGATAATAGACAATTTTCCTCCACAAATATGTGATTTTAATATTATCCTGACAAACACTGAACTTCCAATTTCTTGAGACAATGTTGACTGTTAAGAAATGCTTGTGAAACTTTTCAAATGTATGCTCCTATGGCACAATTTGTATCTCCTGTGCTCTAACTCATACCCATTGGTAGTTGGTTGAATAATGGCCACCCTAAGATACCAAGTCCTAATTCTTGAAACTTGTAAACATTATCTTGTTTGGTATAAGGACCTTTGTAGATATTATTAAGCATCTTGAGAAGATTACTTTGGATTATCTGATTAGGCTCTAAATCTCATCATAAGGGTCCTCACCAGAGAGAAAAACGCAGAGGAGAGATGCACAGAAGAGACAATGGTAATATAATGCAGCCTCAAGCTGTGAAATGCTGTAAAGCACCAGAAGCTGGAAGAGGCAAAGAATGGGTTCTCTCCTAGAGCTTCCAGAAAGAGTATAGCTCTGTGGACATTTTGATTTTGGACTTCTGGCCTCCAGGATTATGAGAAAATAAAGTACTCTTTTTGAAAACCACTCATTTTGTAGTAAGTTGTTAGAGAATCCATAAGAAATTAATATACTACCCTAGCAACCATTTCTTTAATACCTATTTTCTGCATTAAACTGTAAGCTTCACAAATGCCTCAATTATCTGTCTTACACATCTTGCTAACTCCAGCTACTAGCAGAGGGTTTAGTAGTATCTGGGCCTTGTTGAATACTTATTGATAAAATGAGTAAATAGGCTGTGATCCCCACATCACTCACAGTTGAGTATTTAGCTAGATAAATGAGTGAACATGTGAATGAATTAAAGGACAAATATATATTTATTCCCATAAACAATAAATACAGACTAAGTGTAAAAGATTATCATATTTTTTGTTTTTCCAGCAAAGGAACCCTCTCAGTTCCTTTGCTGGAGACTGTACAAATTTCATGGCTGGGAACAAAGAAGACAAAGTTTTATGGGTGGTTTTACTAGTGGGTACAGTTAGAATTTGAGTTTTCAGCCTAGGAAAGGTGGTTATTCTCTCAGGTATAGGGGATAGGTCAGGAGGAGGCATATGAAATTGTGTTTTTAGCTCTTTGACCTAACATGTGATTTCCTATATATAGTTGTCTGAATATGTTGCTTCAGCCACCACTACTCACAAGGCTTACCATGTCAGAAAAATAAATGAATAAATAACAAAAAACTAACAGAAAGCACCAGGTGACTTACTTTTGTTTTTGCAGTGAGCTCAGTCTGCTGGGGTTACTGTTCAAATAAACTCTTGCCATCTCACTGCATAATGATTTTGCTCAGATTAATCACTCTCTTGTGCTGTATGCTGGGGTTAATGGCTATGTTATGTTACTTCAAATTATATCACAGGGTCCAAATAAGAAGTGTGTGTGTGTGTGTGTGTGTGTGTGTGTCGGTGTATGTGTGTGTGTGTATGTGTATGTGTGTGTTTGCAAGCAGGAAGCCCTTTCATGTTGCAGTCATGTAAGATTAACTTTATTATCTCATTCCAAACTTATTTCTTACTCCTCTCTATTATCCATGAAAACTCTTTGTTCTTTGCTGTACTTCCCAGCAAAATGGCTTTTGCCTGGCTCCAACTCCAACCTGTGTTAAATTATATTTCTTCCTGGAATCTACTTCAACAGAAGGTGATATTTTCTCTTAATTCTTATAGTACTTTGCATATTTTTATCATGGTCCTGAAAATGACAAGAGCCACCATTTACTGAGGGTTCATTATGTGGTAAACATTGGATTACATCCTTTAAATATGTCATTTCATTTAATTCTTACAACAGTTTTGTGTAGTGGGCTCTTTATTTTATAGGAGAGAAAAACTGAAATTTAGAGAAGTTTAAGTGATTTGCACAAAATATGCTGCTTCCAAGTAGAAGATCTAAATTTCACATAGATAATTTCTAGAGCTCATGTTTTTAACCTTTACCACATATTGTTCTTTAGACCAATACTGATAGAATAATAAATGTGTTTTCTTTCCTAGGTTATGCAATAACCTAGGATAACTCTGTATCATTTTTTTCATTTCTCGAATTACAGTTTCCAGGGCCCAGCAACTCAATATTGTTTGGATGAATTAATAAATATCTAGAATTTAATTATTACAATAAAAAATTACTGGGCCTCAAAATATATTTTAAAATAATTTAAGAAAATCGTACTGATGGCAACAAATAAGTCATTATAAAAACTTAAAAGATGGAATTGATGGGTAAGCATGATTTATTCAATATTAACTATGCCAAATGTCTTCTCTCATGTTTTTCCAAGTTCTGTATGTAAGTAATGCATAAAATATTGAAATATTCATTCATGAATTTTTGACGTTTCCTATATAGATGATTTTGTTGAGGTTATAAAAACATTTTGTTTTAAACAATTTGTGTATTAAATGCAAATTAGTTTATTAATCTTATGGGTTTTTGTTGTTGTTGTTTTGTTTCCAGGATGGCGTAGGGGTAGATGAGAAGCTATCTTTACGACGGGTAGCTGTGGTTGAAGATTTCTTTGACATTATTTATTCGATGCATGTGGAAACGGGGCCAAATGGAGAACAAATTCGGAAACACGCTGGACAAAAGAGAACTTACAAAGCAGTAAGTTAAAAAAGAAAAAAAAAAGAGCATGCATTTCGAGACTTGATATTATGTATCCTTGTTTAAATGGGTTCGATAATTATAAATATTCTATCTTCAACATAAATTAGGCCATATGATGGTCATGCCCAACATTTAAACTATAATTATTTTGGTTGTATGTTCACTAGTCTATTCATATAATTTAAAACTGTCTCTAGAATTTTCATATTGTTGCCTTTAAAAATGTATAATATGTGGTAGTCCCAATCAAATGTCCACAAATGGGGACATATATTATATATTATATTATGAATATTATATATTCAATGAGTCATAGCATATGAATTATGGACTGGAACATAAGAACTTTTATACTACCACTACTGTCAACAATTATTTTCCATCAAATCATATTAATATGTTTAGGTATTTTCTAGTTCATAGTAATAATAAAGTCATGAGGAATATTTTATGTACTTTTCTTATGTCTCCTTATATTCAATGTATTTATCCTGAAGGGTATGTATTTCTTAATTTTCCAGGATAGAATATTAAAAGATATGTGTTATTGTAATAGATCTAATGCCCTTGAAAGTTTAAAAATGGAAGTATATGATGTTTTTGTCATAAATTTTGTAAAAAGCAGATTTAATTAACTGCTAGATATCGAAATATATAGTGTCAAAATGGAGTAATATATTAATCTAAAGTTTCTAATTATACCTACAGTTTGATCTAGACACTTTAATCTAGCTTTTTATTTAATTAAAACCTTTATAAAATCATATTACTATAGATATTTCATCCTGTCTAGGAAAATTGAACAGTAAATTATTCTTCTCCTATATGAGCAAAATGTGCATCCGAATTACTTTGTCAGCAATGAGAATAATATCCTTTTTGAGAATTCTTATTGAATTTTGCTTTTGGCTACCTTTATATTAACTGTTTTCAGCTATATTGATATACAATATCAGTCTGGATCCATTTTTTTTTCAGATACAGAAAAATGTGTGAAATGCTCAAAGTTTCAAATACAGGTACCTATGTTTGAAAATTAGCTACTGAGCATAAGAAATAGCTTCTTTTTCATAACTATTTTTTGCTATATTTCCAGGGTCATATTGAATCTTTGTAGTTGCATAATAACCCCTAATACATGTTGTATTTATCCCTCCTCCTCTATGGTTTTGTTTCTTGGCTGTTTCCAAATTGCATGGTTTGTGGGCAGGCACTATTGTAAGTTTCCTTACATAAATCTGCCACATAAACTTTCTTTTGACTTACACATTCCAGGAGACATTCTTTTCATGACTAATGATAATGGCCTAGCTTCTTGGGATATTTTTATATAGACTAACATTACTGAACATACTCATTTTGCCTGTCTCCTAAGCCAGGGCTATTCCTCTGGACAGTAATAGGAAAAAATAAATGTATATTGATCTACTAATATCACTAACTGTGTAATCTTATAATAATACATTTTCATGAAATAGCTACCTGAACTCGACAGGACTTTGTAAAAGGACTTTGCTAGGGATGCATAATTTCAATTGTATTAAATGAATAAAAACAAAAACCAAAATAACAAGCAAAAATCAAGTGGTTTCGTTGTCAATAGTAGTGTGGCAGCCAAATCTGTTTAGGTGCCAAAAGCAATTTAAAATAATTTAATCTTTGAAATGCATTTATTATAGACCTTTAATCAAAATGCAAAATGAGTCAATGATTTAAATCCAAATCTCTTGCCCTGTGTTTTCTTAAATGAAATGTAGAGAATCTGATCCATTGCCATTATGCATGCTAAACACTTGTAATAAATTGATAAACATGTTTCCAGTGTACACAATTTTGAATTAACATTAGGAAGACATTTTCTGCATTTTGGGGTAGAGATATAACCTTTGAAAGTATGTCCAGAATCTGAAACCTTATCTAATCCCTCTTGAGAATGTCCTATTTGAATATTCTCTCTTTTCCCAAGTTTTTTCTTTGCACATCTAAAGTGTTGTCACCTTTTCCTGATACCATGAAGGTTCTTTTTGGCCTAAACTTTTTCCCTCTGATCTCTCTCAGTTGAATTCTAATTGGGAAACATTTCCTTTTTATGCAGTAATAATTCATTATAGGAAAGAAACAAAATATAGAACTGCTTGCAATGCCAGTGAAACTGTGCATGTGACTCTACAATGAATTTAAGTCTAATGTTAAAATTTGATGTAAGTGTTCAATTAATGAGGCATAAAACTAAAATGTGATTTGAAATAGAACGGTTTAGTGCTATTAAGGCCATAGACTGTTGGGCCAGACTTTAATTCTTAATACTAATGCTGAATTTGGCTAGTCATAGGTAGGATTAGCTAGATAACTATTGCAATTATAATGGTTCCCATTAAGTTTAAGATTTCTTCTAATTCTTAAACATTAGCTTATAGAGCATGCATGATGATTATGTTTATTGACCTTCTTTTTCTCCTTTTTCCTACATGGCCAAGAAACCATACTTATATAACTAATCATTAAAGTGTATCATACTGTCTTAACAATATTATCAATAGATCTAGTGGTCATTTTATTTACTTTGCCTTTTTGCAAATCTTTCTATGTTTTCACTCTGCAGGAAATGGTGGTCCTTTAATGTTGGATTAACTTTTGAATGCATTTGTTTTTTCTATCTGCAGTATATCATTCCTTGAAATATCTAGGCATTTATAAAGCTTAAACTTTATTGTAATCTGATTTGACTTTAGATAAAATTGGAGGGTATATATATTATTTCTTATGAGCTCTTGAAAATCCCACACAAAATGACACATTTTAGGAATATGTAAAGGCAATCATAATTTTTTTTTCAATCATTATTGAATTATAGTGACTCTTAGGTCTCTTTATTGCATTTGTATCTGTGTATATATTAACTGTTACTGGTACATTGAATGTGTTTCAGTATATTTGTCTGTAGTCTACTCTTGGTTATCTACATGAACAAAACGGAGAAGAGGTGTAGACATCTCAATATCACTCATGTTTGAACTTAAAATATATCCTTTTACTAAAAAATATAATCTGAATGCAGATGTGGTTAGCAATTTGGAAAGTCACTTCAAAATTAATGATGTGGCATTATAAAAATAACTTGGGACCCTGTTTTGTCTTCCAGTGTTTAACTTTTCTCAAATTCTGCCAAAACTTCACTTTCTGTGAATACATCACTGTTTTCTGGTTTTCTTTTATCAATTGTATTATATCACAGGGTAAGCGAGTTCAGACACATTTCTTAAATTAGGGACTAATCAAAGGGTTAAGTTTCAAAGCTCTTTCTTGCTACATGTAAAATAAGACTAACTGGTAGAAATCCAGGAACTAAGAGGGAAAGTCAGTGTTATCAATAGAGAAAACAGTCTGCATATATCTATGTATAAACACATACACACATACAACTCATAGTGTGATATTGTAAACTTATATGTATTACTCATATATATAACTGCCAATAATTACATTCAAGTCAGGAGTGGAGAACATATGCTATAGCTAAAAGGAAATAGGCTGGAAGCCAGACTAACGCAGTTTCAAATTTCAAATCTAACACTCATTTCGTATCTGTGCCACTTTTGGCAAATTATTTACTCTTTTTCTTTATATGGTGGATAATGATATACATTGTGTGCTAAAATGAATGAGTTACTATGTGCAAAGTGCTCGGCATATAGTAAACTTGTGATTGGTGTTACTTCTCTCCTTCTTTGTCCAATCACTACTCATGTTTCACGTAGAAGGACAGGCAGCAAAATTAGCATAGCTCTATCATTTACCCTAGTTACAATTATGGATCTAATTTCCTAGGCCCGCTCTAATGCCTCTGTGTTGGTAGACAGGAATAGTAATAACTTCTCATGCAGGCATTTTTTTTTTTTTGGTGCATCCTGTAGATGTCACTATCCCTGGAAGTCCACGGTTTGGGTTTATAAGAAAGCATGAGGAAAGGCCAGAGTTCTTGTGTTTAGGAGCTCTCCTGCCAAATGAAACTCGTGAGAGTTTCAGTTATTTCATTTGCTTTTCCCAAAGATTAAATCTGTTAAACTAATTTCAAATTAATTTTCTGGAAAAAAATAAAATTGTCTCTTTTTTTAAAAAAATGCTTTTAATATGAATGGAATATTCCTTTCCAGAGATATGCTGTAGAATAGTAACATATTCATGTAGAATCTCTACAGCCTTACTCCGAACATTAATAAAGAAAATATTTATACTATCATATCTAGGACACTTAACCTTAAAACCCTAGTTAGCATTATTTTTTGCCTAGTTCTTTTTATAAATATCTATTGGTTCACTGTCTCTATTGCTAAATAGAATATTCTAACTTGCACCAGTTTCTGCTAGTTTGTCATGTAAAAATTCCCAGAATTTTTGTCAACTTATAATGGGACTAATTAACCAAATTTGCAGCCATATGGTGTGGAAAAGTAGCACTAAAGTCAAACTCAAGAATTCTGAACAATTCATGTAGCCTCTTTGTGCATAGGCCACAATTCACTCACATATATGATATAATTCTGTAGTCTAAGACAGAGTTTGTAGAGTTTGCAGATCTTAACAGTATTGAAATAGGGGTTTATCTACATACCTTTTTGATTCATGCCAGGAAGTCTTTGGTCTCAAGCACATTTTCCTTCTGTGTCATAGTGCCTCAAGTTTTACAATTAGAACTCAATCTATTTGGGTTAAACCATTGACCCCTGTATTTTTATATAAAATTCAAATATCATTAGGCAAGAGAAGGTGGAGAATCAATTAAGCTGCCAGCAGTCATTGATACCTTATATGATCATTTAACATACTTGTTTCTGTCTCTCATCTCTAGCTAAATTTAACTTAAGTCAGGAGTGAGATAGAAAGAAAATGTGAGTTATTGGCATAGAGCAATCTATTGACCTCCCAGTTAGCATAGGACCTGTCTGATTTTTTTTTTTTTTTGAGACAGTTTTGCTCTTATTGCCCACACTGGAGTGAAATGGCATGATCTCAGCTCACTGCAACCTCCACCTCCCGAGTTCAAGTGATTCTCCTGCCTCAGCCTCCCAAATTGCTGGAATTACAGGCATTCACCACTATGGCTGGTTAATTTTTTTGTATTTTAAGTAGAGATGGGGTTTCACCATGTTGGTCAGGCTGGTCTCAAACTCCTGACGTCAGGTGATCCGCCTGCCTTGGCCTCCCAAAGTGCTGGGATTACAAGCATGAGCCATCGCATCAAGCCTTGATTCTTATATGAGTCCTAATGTGGCATCACACCTAATAGCGTTTGGTATGTGTTTGACAGTTAGAAGTTAAGAAGCATGTCATCAAGATGAGGAAGAAGTCTCAGCAAACTCCACAGAAAAATCTTTATTTTCAAAAAAAGGGGAACTATGTCTATTCAAAATATTTAAAAATGTTGGAGTATATTTTGAAATAAATGAATATCATTAAATGAAAAACTGAGAATTACATACATTTCTTAGAAAAAAATACTCTCTAGGCACAATTCACTCATAGAATATAAAAATACTGTGTGTTTGAGTCTCTTTCACTTCTTTTTACTATTATGAATTTTTCCCTTTCTTGCCACGGATCTTAGTGCAAGTATAGATTGTCTTTGAAGCAGAGGGGCTAAGAAAATCTCTATCAGGCTTAGAACTTAATTTCATTTCTGTAGCCAAATGCTTTAATGTAGAAAGAAAATTAAGGCAAAATAACACAACAGACAAATATAGGTTCCTGCCTTTTTAATACAGATGCATTGTTTTTTCCCCATTTTATTATTACAAACTAGAGTACCTTAAATAAGCTGCTGTTCTGGATGTCTAACAGAGATAGAAAAACTTTAAATGAACTATTCCAAGTTCAAATTTTTGGTAAACTTTGTCCAGTATTGAACTCATTAATAATTTACACTGTTACACAATAAATTTGTGATCTAGAATTGTATTTTATAGCTAGTTTACCTTAGAGAGTTTATCAGTATAAAATAGCACTCAAATGTAGATATTTTACAGATAATTTTGTTAGGTTATTTTGCTTTATGTCTCTCTATATAAATATAAAATATCTAGATATATCTATAGCTATCTATAGATAAATAGATCTATGTCTTTCTATATCTATATAGACATATATGTATCCATCTATCTCTCTATATATACATATATATCTATTAGATATATAGATACATATCTATATATACATATGTAGGTATATCTCTCTGTATCTATATAGATATAAATATAGAAAGATGTAGATCTATCTCTCTATATATATTCTCATATATATATAGAGAACCATATATATATATATATATATATATATATGGTTATCACATATATAATGATATCTCATTTGAGGTAGAATATAAACACATTACTTTTCACATTGGTTTATTTATCAGTTACACACATACACACACACCCCATATCCACACAAACATATATAGGTTTTACACAAGTGATTTCTAAATATTAGCTACAGCTACTGAATATTATTCAGATTATTGTCAGATGTGTACAACATCTCAGAAGGAAACAGTTAAAAATAATTCAGCATGATAATTAAATTTATTAACTAGCAATCCTAAAACAAAAGAATAGCTTACTGCCATTCATTAAAATTGAATTATATATCTCATATAGGTGTAGTTGCTCACCGCAGTGGCCAGAGTAATACTGCAAATCTGTTAAGATTCAGAAGCTGTCTTCTTGGTAGTGGAGACAAAAAAAAAAAAAAGACGTAAGAGCTTATCCAAAGAAGTTTATCATCAGCTAGTGTCACACACCACATCATCAATAATTTTTATATTAAATTATAATATCCCAGTGAATATTCTTTGAAATATAATTTACCTTTTGGAGAAACTTCATTAGTTGTTTATGACAGCCTAGTAAATTACTACTTTAGTGCTCCCTAGTGGTGAAAAGGAGCCAATGCGGCTTTAAAAAGTAGCTGGTTAATGCCTCCTAGTGGGTGATTCTCACTCAGATCGAGAGGTTTGTTTTCCTTGCTACTCTGATAGTGTAAAAAAAAATAAAATGACCAAATTTCTTAAAGTGCCTGCATGTATGCACCTGTATAAATAACTATATAGGTAATGAATTTGCAATGAGTATAATAGCAAGGAGATGTAAGACATGGGAGACTGGCATGAGATTGTGGAGACAGAATGGTCCAGCTTTGATGCCAACTAGACTTGAGTTTAAATCTTGATAGTGTAAGTTCTACATGTGTGATGTTGGCATGTTATTATTTTGTAGGGTTGTTTTTAGGGCCATAAATAATATAGGTAAAGTTTTAACATAATAATTGCTTCAAACACTATAGATATTATAATAATGTGACTAGAAAGATGGTTTTTTTCTTTTAATATGGAGTTGTTTTTGGGGTAACAGATGTTCTAAATTGCTTTTTTCCCCCTCTTAATCAGGTAATGAAAAGCTTACTTCTTTTTTTGTGTCTACTATTCTCCTTAGTGACCTATGGATAACACCCACCCATGTCTTCATTTATGATTTTCTCATAAATTTGAGAATATTATTAACTAGCTTTATGAGCAGCAGACTTAGTTGTCTTATGATAAGTAAAGAACCAGCTTTTACCTATTTTTATCCATCTATCTCTTCTGCTCCCCATTTCCCCCTCCACCCTCATTTTCCTGGGAATGTCCTCTCAGAGTGAACACTTTCCTCAGCTGAATTTAGTTCTTTGGTTACGGGTGAATTCTGAAAGAAACTGAGTCAGTAACCTAGTTGCTCTTCTGAGAATTTGGAATTTGGAACAGGAAATTTCTATCTTTCTGTGCTTTTTCTTATCAATAGATAATACATAGACGTGATATATTTGGTCAGATATATTCATTAGTGTCTAATTATTTACATAGTCTAAAGTGTTATCTCTCAATTGGGCTATATAGGCCTTAGGGGCAGACAGGTGGCATTGTCCCAAGTACTCCAGGCCTTTTGATATCCCATAATATGTTAACTTTCAGCACCACCAAACCCCAGATACTGTAATAACCAAAATGCCTTCTTGTTCTCTATTTGCAAAAGTCACCTAGTGAGAACAGTAAACACTCCCAGTTGAGAGACATTTTATAAAGGAAACCACATAGCCAGTTCTCTCCTTGGTACCTTTGAAAAATGTGTTTCTTATTTGCCAGTTGTTTAGCAATTCAATAATTCAGACAACTGATTCTGCAACCATAGTGCACTGTCGTCATCTCACAGACTCTGCACTTTGCCTCTTGCATAAATACATGAACGATATGCAAATTACTGGAGTCCCTAACAGAATGAAGTGAAATCTTCGCCGTCTTTCTCTGTCTCCCTAAGATGGCTAATTATTGCCTGCTTTGAGTGGCTACAGCAACTGTATTCTTGGATATGTGTTCAAAAAGAAATGCTTGCTCCCCACAGACCAGCAGTGTGTAAGAAAGGTAAACTTTAACAAGGGGAGTTGCAACAGAAGTCTAGGAGGTTTTGAACATGCCAATGAACTCTAGACCAGAAAAGTGGCATTCTTTGTGGTTCTCCCCTAGGGCCCAAGGGAAATATAAATGTATCATATTACACATACTCTTCAGGAAAAATCAAGACAGGAAGAGGTTTTCCACACTCCCATGTAAGTACTTGTGTCTTTTAATGTAATTCTTCATGTCACAAGTAATTCTATAAACAATGACTTTGCTGAGTTATCTTATTTAATGCAATATTTAGGAATTCTCTTTATTTTATGAATAGTGAACATGTATGAAAAAGATCTTTTTCATTGCCCATCTACTTATTTTTTCATCTAATATAAGAATTCTCTGTTATGACAATCTTTTCCTTAGCAGCCAAATATTCAATCATAAGAAATAACAGCTGAATGTGGTGGCACATGCCTGTGATCTCAGTGCTTTGAAAATTAATTATAATTTAACATAAACCACTTTCTATTTTCTGCTTGATTAACTTCAGTCTACTAATGTATACTGATATAGTACCAAATTCATCTGATGGTGCCCTAGAATGCTGCTACCTGTATATGTTTTCCTCCTCTAGTTTCTTTATATCATATGGTGAAATGCTTTGCCTTCTTTTAAGCTGTTTTTGCCTCTGGTCTAGCACTTGTACCATTTCCCTATCTTTGGAGAATACTGACTTCCTACCTCTGTAGCACATTCACTTTTCATTTCTTTTACTCTGTGTTGAATGCATTTGCCTCAAATCTCCAAATTGTTTTTATCCGTCTGAAAAACTGACTTGAACTATCTAAAAATACTCCTGCCTGCTTTATACCTTCTTCAGATTTGCCTACTTTTATTGTAAATTTGACCACATACTCATCAAATTCTCAGCACCACAAAATAACTTTGGATGGACAGAGTGCATTCCTCTGCTTTAGAACAGTGTTTTTTTATTAGATGTCATAATCCATTTATGACTCATCAAGTTAATTTAGTGGGCTGTGATCACTTTTAAAAATGAAATAGAGAAGAGAATAGAAATGATCAGTTTGATTTTATGAGTGTGTATATGTGCTAGCTTATGATGTAAAATGTATGTATACCTGTGCTGTCGATATAGAATGTTGGAAAGCCTTGCTTTAAATAGGCACTATGATTTCAAGCTGCCTGCAGACTCTCCAATAATTGCTTCCACCTACCCTATCACTTCTGCTTTTGGTATATCCTTAGATTTTCCTGACATAACAATTTTTTCCAAAGTTAAAATTACCTTCAGACTCAAGCCAATATTTTCATTCATATTAGATAAATATAGTCTTTAAGGCTGCTAGATTTAACACACACAGGATAACCAGTTATATTTGAATTTCAGATAAACAATAGTTTGTAATACGTTTGGCTCCAATATTGTATGTTTATCTAGAATTCAAACTGAACTAGGTGTCTTATATTTTATCTAGCAAACTTAATCCTATTTAAAAATCAGGCCGGGCGCGGTGGCTTAAGCCTGTAATCCCAGCACTTTGGGAGGCCGAGGCGGGTGGATCACGAGGTCAGGAGATCCAGACCATCCTGGCTAACACTGTGAAACCCCGTCTCTACTAAAAGTACAAAAAAATTAGCCAGGCGTGGTGGCGGGCGCCTGTAGTCCTAGCTACTGGGGAGGCTGAGGCAGGAGAATGGCGTGAACCCAGGAAGTGGAGCTGGCAGTGAGCCGAGATCGCGCCACTGCACTCCAGCGTGGGCGACAGAGCGAGACTCCTTTTCAAAAAAATAAAAATAAAAAAAATAACCCAGATACTCCTGACTGGGCTAGATCACCCATCTCAACTAGGTAAAAAAGGGAAGGGTAGATGAACGGGTGGGAAGACTGAGGGAGAACATGATCAGAGAAGAAGGGAGAAAAAGAAAATGTGGGCAGTGCTTTTCTACAAATGGTGCATTGGAGTAATGCTAATATTGCCTGAGTCATGGCAAAACAAGCAGTACTGCAGGATTGATAGGAACTCAAAGAAAACATAAGAATCCTCCACCAGGGAGTATGGGGATTTGGGGGTGATTGTGCAAATCTGGCAGTTTCCTGGTTTTGCTATTGGAAACATCATTTAGGCACAGGAATTCTTCTGGTCTTTAACAGGCATTCAAAGGTCAGATAGATACTCTATCTATAGATAGATAAGTAGTTAGGATTCCGAAGCAAAAATTTTTGAGAGATACAGTGATTACAAATTTGTTTAGGCAGGCCAGTATGTCTGTCTTTTGTCTAACTGATTGTTGCTAGACAAGAACTTTTTATCTGAGAGTTTTCTTTTTGAGTCCTGATTAAAGCCTTTTTCAGAGTTGCTTTGAAACTAATCAAATAACTACCAATAGATAATTCCAATAATTTGATATATCCAGGCACATTAATGCTGTAGAACCATATTGAGTAGTATTCAGGGGTAATTATGGTGCCTATGCATTCAATAGATATTTGCTGAATAAATAAATATGTAGTTGAAAATGTCTTTATCTTTGCAAGACTGTTTCCTTACACATCTCTGCAAATTAATTATTTCCTCTGCAGTAGTACAATGATGTACACTGCTAATCCTTTTTCATGGACAAATGGGTTAAAATATATTTTAATAGAAAAGAAAATTATTGTCTGAGCATTTCAATTTTATAACACATCTAGAAAACTATCAAAGTCATAGCTAATGTAAGTTATCACATTATATTCCACTTGGGCTCAAATGTGACAGTGATTGCATACCTTGTAAAGTCCTAAATGCAAAGATATTCAATATATAAAACAGAAAAAGACAGATGTTCCTTGAATTGAAGATATGCATAGAGCCTAGATTTATTTTCCTCAGATAGAGGCCGCTCTGGAGTTTGGTGTTCTATATGTTTATGAATCAGGACACACAGGCTTTTAATAACATTTGGATTTATAGGCTCTGTTCAATTTAATTTCAATTTTATGTTTTACAAATAAATTTTCTATATCTTAATTTAGTTACATATATTGCAGAGGGTTTGTGATACAAATTTTCTCAAATCTAGTAAGATAAAAAAATTTCACTAGGAGATTATTTCTAATTTATTCTTTATCCATGATCTGCAGGATATTGATAAGAGAAAATGTCAGAAGTTTGGCCTTAAGGGCAAATTCTTTTAGGTACATACAGTTTGATATTTGCCAAAAACTATGGTGTCCATATAATTATTCTAGTTAAATAAAGCCATTATTGCTATTCTCTAAATTCATTTTAAAAACAAAAGGTGGAGAAAGGTGATTTTAAAAATTTGTGTGATTATATTAATTATTGTTTGCTCTAAAGTTCAGTATCTGAAAAGGAGCACAATATACCAAAGCACCAAGTTACATTTTCAAACTACTGATATTTAGGAACACTCATCATTTTTTTATTACACTAGTGAATTTAGGTTAAAATTGTATAATTTTGGTTGATAAATCTTTTGATTAGCTTATTTTTGTTTGCTTGCTTTATAAAGTGATTGTTACTACTCATGATTTGCCAACGTTATGTGATGGCTTTATTTCAGCTCGCACATTAGCTTCAAATCTTAGACCAAGAATGGCTTCTCTGCTGGCGAATTTCTTACAATTAGATGTCTTGTTCCTTTAGGAAGAGGCAGTTATTTACATTCCTCTCCTAAATTCTATTAAAAATGGAAGTCCAACGCATTTACTGACTGGCTGCTAAAATATTACAGCATTGTCACAAAGCCATCATTTTAGTCCTCAGTTTTGCTGGAATGGAACAGATGGCCTGTTAATTTTTTCCAGGCGGAGCTCTGTGTTGTTACTCCATAGTCTGACTTGTTCTTGAGAAACTTTGTAACCTGAGACAAGGTACAGAGTGCTTGACTGACCCTTGTATTCAGAAAGGTCACCCCAAACTAGTTAGAGCATTTTACACTTATAAAGAACTTCACACCAGGGAGCATTATAAACATTTTAGAATAATTAACCTATGCTGTGAGGTTAATATCCCAGCTCTTTATGGATGAAACAGTCTCTATCTTTTTTCAATACTGATAACTAGGAGTGGCTGTAAAACAGTGGTTAAAGTGATAGGCTTTGAAACCACAATAGCAGGTGAGTCCTGTCTCTTGTACATAATTGGCAAAATACACAACCTCTCTGAAGCTTAGCTCCCTCATCTGTTACACAGAGATCATGATAGTGATCATGGTAATCTATTCGTGGGACTGTTGTGAGGATTAAATGATGAAACTCATGTAAAGTTCTGATTCAGCATAATCCATTTACTAAGTACTCAATTAATGGAAAACAATCAGACATAGATTGCTTGGTGACATTTTCGTCCATGTAATGCAGCCAAAACTAGTAATTGTCATGTAATTAACGAGAATCTTAATTTTGAGGATTGCAAATTCTCTACCATTTCAGGAACCAGAGGTTTGCAGGTTTATATATAATACAAACTGAATAGTTAGAAACCCTTTTTATTGAATAACTTAGAAATGAAACATTGTTGCAATTAGAGAGGAAGGATACTTGGGACTGAGAAAAGAAGACATGGTCAAATTCTCCATGTTTTAAAATTATTTTCCGTTATTTTTTTCTCTTAATTTGCACTATTTTATGGCTTGAGTTAAGGAGATAAACTTACGTTACATACTTATGATACACAGTCTGAAAAAATAGAGCAAAACAACAATTTGTTATTAAATTTTTTTGATTAATTAACTTCTTCAATTTTTCTAACTTTATGTTACTTCAGATCCAAGTTGGAAAGGTCATTTATTTCTGAAGACTCTGATACTAAAAAAGAAAATGTGAAAAAACTTTAGTATTATATATTATTGAATTTACAAGATGAGTTTTGCAAATTAGATTGCTTGTGATTGCTTTTAAAATTTCAGATTTTTGGATAACTTATAAGTTTACCTTAACTGCATTGTGTTAAAGGCGAAGGCTAGTAATACTCAGGAATGGCCAGTATTTGGCTTTATAGTTGTAGGGCTTCTTAAAGTACCATTTTTTTCTTCCGAAAAGCAGAACATTGGCAAGTAGACAAGTATATTTGTCCGTGGGATTTTCAGTAAGGTATTCCCAAGAGTTTGCTTGTTTTTTTTTATAACCCACAGATGGAAGATAGGAAACCATGCCCTTTATAGAACTTGATCATTGAGCTTTCTGCAGGTGGATAAGTTTGTCACTGGATCACTAATGTTGTGCTGTTATTGCTCCAGAGGCTGATTTTATTGTTCAGTCCATCAAAAGAGGCTGTGGTTAAATTACTTTTATATGGAAGTATTGCTATACTTTTTGGATGGTAGAGGTCATTTCTACTTCTAATTTATGGAAATAATTTAATCTATTATTTTCTGTTTTACTGATGAATTCCAGTCCTAAAGGACTTAGACTGTAATATTTACACTGAAAACACTATCCATGTTTCCCAATACTCAAATGAATTAAGGCCTTTACAAGTGGTAAGTTATGAAAAATGTACCTTGTGCCAAATTCCCCCACTCCACAACCGTAGATAATTCTGAAATGGCCTCATTGTCTGGGGTGACACTGAAATTCTTTGTCTCACTGCCAAGGAAATCAAGAACGTGGACACACCAAGGGTGAGATTAGAGCAGAAATTTAATAAGCAAAGTAAAGAGAACAGCTCTCTGCTGCAGAGAGAAGTCCCCGAAAAAGGGTTACCGTTCTTCAGGGAAATGCAAGGGTTTTTATAAGCAAGTTACTGGGGAGGGAGTATTTCATCTACATAGGGCGTAAAAAACCTATTAGGACTAGGTGTGTCATTTGCATAGGGTGTGACACTCTGGCAGTCCCCACCCCAACCTTTTATTGCCCAGGCAGGTCTTTAGCCTAAGTTATTCCATGTTGCTTATCTTTTCCCCACTGTGCATGTGCTAAGGGGGAGGGGGGTGGGCAAAAATTTAAAAATTAGTTGTGCATGGTAGATTGTGTCTGTAGTCCAGCTAGTCAAGGAGGCTGAGGCAGGAGGCTTGCTTGAGCCCATGACTTTGAGGTTGCAGGGAGCTATTATTATGCTACTCCACTCCAGCTTGGGTGACGTGCCTGGCCATGGTGGATGTGACTGGCCCAAGGTAGTTCTTTCGATTGGTGCAGCTGCATGCACCACCTTCATGCAAGCTTCCAGCTTCCTTACTGGTGTATGTCCAAAAAAGGAAAGGAATGTGCTCACTAGGGCCCACAGTGCTTACTGGGACCCACTGTATGCATGTGAAACTTGCTAATTACACAGGAGACTCCATCTTTGTGCTCGAACTTGCTTCCTTATCTATGTCTGCAGCCTGATCTTCCAGGCTGCTCTTTGTTAGAGCAGAAATTCTGCCGAGGACTCTTTGCCCTATTTTCCTAGCTAGTTTCTTCCTTCCTTCTCTCTCAATTCAAGGTTAAAAAATAATAACAATAACAAATCTTTCCCATGACTCAAGTTGAAGATAGTTTAACAAACACTGAATTTTTCTGTGATGACATTTTGATACTTTGGGTTTCTTGAAATTTTTTTTTTTTGTCTGCTTTCCCTGGGCCCTTAGCATTTGTCTTGTCTGTTGGATAAGCCACCCATGGTCCATTAAATTTACAGAAATAGACCAGTATTTGGGAAATCCTTGTTTGACTTCCAGCATTTTACTTTGCCCTCTGCTGTGTAACAACGACAATTCATTTCATCTCTTTACAGCAGTCAACCAATTTATCAAAAAGTTACTGGAAAATCTGTTTTAACCATTTGCTAAAATAATGGTAGTAAAACCACAGTGAAAAGTATAACATTATATAAGCATAAGAAAACAAATCTAGATTCCTAGAAAACAACATTTGTAAGAAATAAATTTCCCATAATTATTTACTTGATAAATAATGTTAGGTCATTAGTTTTAAGGTTCAATGTGGCCGTGTTCCAGTTCATCCTTAACATGTTTGTTTCTGTTGTGAGCAATATATTTAATATGTGGTTTGTCACATGGAAGTTGTGATTTTTTTAGTGCTTAGTTAAGAGAGATCAAGACTAACATCCATTCTATTTTGTGTCTTATCACTATCAAGGGACAGTGTTTCTGTGTTCATAAACAAATTCTAAGGAAATACTCTATCTTTCTGAAATATAAAAATATTTTTAAGAATACATTTTCAAGTGAAACATGTTCTCACCAATATTCTAGAAAATGTTCTGTACTGTATATTCAAAATCCAATTTCCATCTAGAAGCAGAATATTCACATTGGAAAACTGGGTCCAAGACATTTATGACATTTATGAATGATTATAGTATTTTACATAGTTAATTGTAATATTAGTAGAATAGTATTTTTAGTATCTGAATCAAAATCTTTTTAAATTTCTGTTCCTTCTAGGTTTTATTTGCAACTGCTATTACATATTGCGAGAAAGATATTAGGACTTTGATAAATGGGCTACCTTGAGGGACATGTCCCTGAGTTTTATCACCATTTATGAACATCTATTTAAAATTGATTTAACATTTCAAACATTAATTCCCAGCAAATGAGAACAGGCCTTTCATTAGGGTAAGAGTCATAGAGGTACTTAACATAGGCCTCAAGTTGGAAGAGGATTGGCACATAGGCTTTCAATGCTGTCTCTGAATTAGGTTAAATAAAGATGCCCACAGAATCAAATGGCAGTATTTCATCATAAAAGTTTAATTATGAAATGTAATTATTCAAATATACCATAATTTAAGAATTTTCCAAAGACAGGACACTGTTTTAATTTTTTTTTTTTAAGAGGCACTGTCTCACCCTGCTACCCAGGCTGGAGTGCAGTAGCATAATAATAGCTCCCTGCAACATCAAAGTCATGGGCTCAAGTGAGCCTCCTGCTTCAGCCTCCTTGACCAGCTGAGACTACAGGCACACACTACCATGCACAACTAATTTTTAAAATTTTATATAGAGATAGGATCTATGTTGGCTGGGTTGTCACGAACTCCTAGTCTCAAGTGATCCTCTAGCCTCAGCCTGTCAAATTGTTGGGATTACAGGTGTGAGCCACCATGCTAAGAACTTCAGTAATGAAGCTTGTCTAGGATATTTTCCTTTTTTGCTAGCTTTATTGAGGCATACTTGGTAAATGAAAATTGTAGCCAGGTGCAGTTGCTCATGCCTGTAATCCCAGAGCTCTGGGACACCAAGATGGGAGGATTGCTGGAGGCTAGGAGTTCAAGACCAGACTGGGCAACATGATGAGACCCCATCTTCACCAAACAAAACAAAACAAAACAAAAAAAGTTGGGCTTAGTGGTCCGCACCTGTAGTCCTAGCTAATTGGGAGGCTGAGGCAGGAGGATCGATCACTTGAGCCCAGGACTTTGAGTCTACAGTGAGCTGTGATTGCAGCCTGGGCAATAGAAAGAGACCCTGTGACCCTGTCTTGAGAAACAGATTTTATATATGTTAGGTGTACAACGTGTTTTCATACACATATACATTGTGAAATTATTACCGCAATCAAGCTAATTAGCATGTCCATCACCTCATATAGTAACCATTTGTGGGTACATGTGGTAACACTTGAGATTTACTCTATTAATGAATTTTAAGCATACATTACAGAATTATCTACGGTTACTATGCTATACATTTGATCTCTAGAACTTACTCATACTACATGATGGAAACTTTGTACCCTTTGACCAATATCTCCTCATTTTCCTCACCCTCCAGCCACTGGAACCACCATTGTATTCTACTCTCAGCTTCTATGAGTTTGACTTTTTCAATTTCCACTTACAGGTGAGATTATGCTTGTCTTTCTGTGTCAGGCTTATTTCACTTACCATAATAATCTCCAGGTTCATACATGTTGTTGCAAATGACAGGATTTCCTTCTTTTTTGGGGATGAATAATATTTCATTATGTATGTGTAGTGACATGAAATATATATGTATATATACACATATAAAATTAAATATTGATATATATTTTATATCATGTTTTCTTTATCCATTCATCAGTAGACACTTATATTGTCCCCATATCTTTTTTTTTTGGGGGGGGACAGTCTCACTCTGTCACCCAGGCTAGAGTGCAGTGGCACAATCTTGGCTCACTTCAAACTCTGCCTCCCGGGTTCAAGTGATTCTCCTGTCTCATCTTCCCAAGTAGCAGGGATTACAGGTACCTGCCATCACACCTGGCCAATTTTCATAATTTTAGTAGAGATAAGGTTTCATCATGTTGGCCAGGCTGGTCTCGAACTCCTGACCTCTGGTGATTCACCTGCCTCAGCCTCCCAAAGTGCTGGGATTGCAGGTGTGGGCCACCGTACCTGGCCTAGTTGTCCCCATATCCTGGCTATTGTGAATAAGGTTGCAATGAACATAGGAGTGCAGATATCTCTTTGAGATAATGATTTCCATTTCCTTTGGATATATTCCCAGAAATGGAATTGCTGGATCACTTGGCAGTTCTATTTTCAATTTCTAGGGGAACCACCATATTGTTTTCTATAATGGCTGGGTTGATTTACATTTTCACCAGTAGTGTACAAGGCTTCCCTTTTCTTCACATCATTGCCAATACTTTTTGTCTTTGACTTTTTTATAATAGCGATCCTAACAGGTGTGAGGTGATATCTCATTGTGGTTTTCATTTTTATTTCTCTGATGATTAGTGATGTTCGACATTTTTTCATATACCTGTTAGCCATTTGTATGTTTTCTTTAGGGAAATGCCGATTCATGTCTTTTGCCTATGTCTTAGTCTGTTTGGGCTGCTATAATGAAATAATCTAGACTGGATAATTTAAAAGTAATATAAATTTATTACCCATAGTTATGGAACCTAGGAAGCCCAAGAGCAAGCTACCAGCATATTTAGTGTCTGACAAGGAATCATTCCACGTAGATGATGCTTTCTTTCTTGGTGGAAGGGCAGAAGAGACAAGCAAGCCCCCTTAGACATCTTCTATAAGGGCACTAATCCCATTTATGAGAGTAGAGCCTCCAAAAGGCCTCACAGCCTAACACTACTAGACTGGGGATTAAGTTTCAAAGAAAAAGTTTAAGAAGACACGGACATTCAAAACATAGCAGCCTATTTTTAAAACAGGTTGTTTTATTGCTATGAAATTTTTTGAGTTCTTTATATGTTTTTGAAATTAACCCTTTATTATGTATGGTTTGCAAATAATTCCCTCCATTCTATGGGTTGTCACATTCTATGTGTGCACACACACATATGCACACATTTAAGTCTTTAATCCATTTTAAGTTTATTTTTGTATAAGGTGTGATACAAGGGCCAATTTATTTCTTCCACATTTGGTTATCCAGTTTCCAAATACCATTTATTAAAGAGATTATCCCTTCTCTTTGTGTGTTCTTGGTATATTTGTCAGAGATTATTCTTTCTTTTTTATAGTTTTCATTGTATATCTCTTTTATCGTCTTGATTGAATTGTTTTTCTAGTTTATTTTATTTTTGATGCTATTTTAAATGACATTGTCTTCTTATTCTTTTTTGTATAGTTCATTGTTATCTATAAACATTCAGCTGATTTTGTATCCTGATTTTTTTGTCCTGCAACTTTACTGGATTTGTTTATAAGTTCTAACATTGTTTTGGTGGGGTCTTTAGGATTTTCTGTCTATAAGATAATTTCACTTGTAAGCAAAGAAAATTTTATTTCTTTCTTTCAAGTTTAGATGGCTTATCTTTTTCTAACTTTTTATTACTCTGACTAGGACTTCTAGTACCATATTGAATACAAGTGACAAAAGTGGGCATCCTTGTCTTATTCTTGATTTTAGAAGAAAAGTTTTCATTTTCTCACCACTGAATATGACATTAGCTGTGGGCTTGTTACATATGGCTTTTATTATATTGAGGTACATTTCTTCTATACATATTTGTTAAGAGTTTTAATCATGAATAGATGTTGAATTTTGTCAAATGCTTTTTCTGAATCTGTTGAGATGATTATATTACTTTTATCCTTCATTCTGCTAATGTGGTGAATCTCATTTATTGATTTGTGTATGTTGAAACATCCTTGCATCCTAGTGATAAAACCCACTTGACTATAGGGTATAATCCTTTTAATGTGCTTTTAAATTTTGTTTGCTAGTTTTTGTTGAGTTTTTCATCTATGTTCATCAGAGAAATTGGCTGTAAACTTTTTTTGTAGCGTCCTTGTCTGGCTTTGGTATCAAGGTAATGCTGACATGAACTTGGAAGTGTTCCCTCCTACCCAGTATTTTTTTTTTTTTTTTTTTTTTTTTTTTTTTTTTTGTGGGAGGGCGGGGATGGAAGGAGTTTGAGAAGGATTATTGTTAATTCTTCTTGGAATGTTTGGTAGAATTTACCAGTGAAGCCGTCAGGTCCTGGGACTTTCTTTATTGGGAGGTTTTTGATTACTGATTTGATCCCTTACTCACTATCGATCTGTGCATATGTCCTGCTTTTTATGATTCAGTCTTGGTATGCTGCACATTTCTAGGAATTTATGCATTTCTTTTGTGTTATCCGATTTGTTGGCATATATAATTGTTCATGATTCTTGTGATTCTTTGTATTTCTCTGATATTTATAATATCTCTTCATTTAATTATAATTTTATTTATTTGATTCTTCTCTGTTTCTTGGTCTAGGTAAAGTTTTGTCAATTTTGTATATCTTTTCAAAAAATAAATAACTCAAGTTTCATTGATCTTTTTTATTGTTTTTCTGGTCTCTACCTTTTTTATTTCTATTCTGATCCTTATTATTTCCTTCTGTTAACTTTGGCCATAATTTGTTCTTCTTTTTCTACTTCTTTGAGATATAAAGCTAGGTTATTTGAGATCTTTTTTTCTTCTTTTAAAAATTAATTCATTAATATTATTATTGTTTTTAGAAACAGGAAACAGGCTCTCCCTCTGTCACTCATGCTGGAATGCAGTGGCATGATCATAGCTCACCGCAGTCTTGAACTCCTGGGTTCCAGCTATCCTCCCACCTCAGCCTCCTGAGTAGCTGGGACTACAGGTGCATGCCACCATGCCCGACGAATTTTTACTTTTTATAATCTTTTTTAGAGACAGAATCTCACTATATTACCCAGGCTTGTTTCAAACTCCTAGCCTCAAATGATCCTTCCTTTTCAGCTACCCAAGTAGCTGGGATTACAGGCATGAGCCACCACTTCTGGCTCTTTTTTTTTAATGTGGCATTTATTGCTATACACTTCCCTGTTTGAACTGCTTTTGCCGTATTTCATAAGTTTTGATATGTTGTGTTCCCAGTTTGTTGCACTCAAGATATTTCTGGATTTCCTGTTTGATTTCTTCTTTGCTCAGGAGTGTGTTTTTTATTTTCACATATTTGTAAATTTTTCAATTTTTCTTCTATTATTGATTTCTAGTTTCATACCAGTGTGCTCTAAAGATTTTTCATATGTTTTCAGTTTTTTAAAATTTGTTAGGACTTGTTTTGTGGCCTAACATATGATCTATCCTGAAGATTCTTCCCTGTTCACGTGAGTAGTATGTGTATTCTGCTGCTGTTGGGTGATAAGTTTTGTATATGTCCATTAGGTTCATTCAGTTTCTAGTGTTGTTCAAGTCTGCTGTTTCCTTATTCATTTTCTATCTGAACTATCTATTTACTATTGAAAGGGATATATTGAAGTTCTCTGCTGTTAACGTGTTGCTGTTTGTTTATCCCTCAGTTCTATTAACATTGGCTTTATATATTTAGGTGCTCTGATTTGAGGTACATATATATTTACCATTGTTATATCTTCTTGATGAATTGACTTTATCATTATTTAACGACCTTCATTGCCTCTTGTGACAATTTTTAACAAGCACCCTATTATGTTTGATGTGAATATAGCCAGCCCTGATCCCTTTTGGTTACCATTTGCATGGGATATATTTTTCTATCCTTTCACTTTCAGCCTATGTGTCCACTTATAGCTAATGTGATACTTTTGTAGACAGCATATAGTTAGTTCTTTTTTTTTTAAATTCATTTAGCCACTCTGACTTTTGATTGGAGAATTTGATCCATTTATATTTAATGTAATTATTGATAGATAAGGACTTACTACTGCCATTTTACTAACTGTTTTATGACTATTTTTCTTTTCTTCCTTTCTTGGTCTCTTCCTTTGTGATTTGATGATGTTTGTGTAGTTGTATGTTTTGATTACTTTTTCTTCATCTTTTGCATATCTACTTACAGAATTTTTCTTTGTGGTTACCATAGCACTTACATAAAATAACTTATAACAAACTATTTTAAGCTGATAACAACTTAACTTCAATGGCTTCAATACTTGGTGCCTCGAGTGTAATGGAGGGCCTGTTGCTAGGGTCCAAAGTGAAGCTGAAGTTGAGTGCTCACTTCACTCTCCTTCAACCATGTGGAGAACTTCTTTCTCCAAGTTGTGCTGCATGGGTTTGAGGGAGAGTTGACATATATAATGTGAAACCGTCTTTTCTACCTTATTCATTGAGTCTTTTCTTATTTCTATGCTCTACTCAGGTGCTGTAATCACTTACTTGGATTCCTTAGTTGTTGTGAAGGTATTTTTGTGCATGGATGGTTATTCAAGTTCATGTTTCTGTGAGGGGACAAATGCTGGAAACTCCTATTTCACCATCTTGGTGACTCCTGAAAATTCCAGGACTCTTAATTTCGAATAGGCCTGGGAGAAAAGATTCTGAATAGGGAAAAAAGTTTTTTTTTTTTTTTCTTTACGTGCGTTGCAGGAGAAATATTTTTTTTCAGAAATGAGTATGAGATGTGAAAAGCCTGCTTGGAGGATCTTTCTTCCCTGTGCATAGGAGGACTCTGTGGTCTGTGGGCCCCAGTGAATATGAGGTGGGGAAGAAAAGATTCAAGGGGAGTGGAATGCCATGGCAGGTGTCCCTATAACATGAATTCTAAACACCAAGAAAACTATTCCCAAATAAGCGCTTTTATCTTATGTAATAGATAGTGACATGGCAAGTACTATGTTAGAGCCATACCGGAAAGAATAATATGATAAAATATTTGCTTAAAAATATTTTCTAAGATACAAAGTGGGCTTTGTATTATTTCATGCACACATGTATACATGAACACAAACATTTTTGACCATTACATGTAGTATTTTTCAGAGTAAAGCTATAAAACTAATGTGATATGATTATTAATAATTTCAAGAAAAATTGATTTGGGGCTAAATGCTGCTAGACAAGTCATAGGATTGATTCAGGTCAATGATAAATCTATCCTGAAGGGTTTTCTACACAAGTGCTTCATTAGCATGGGGAAAAGAGAAGATTTCAGAAAGTATCAGGACCGTGGAAGCCAATGGAGTGTCTCTCCAACTCCAGCACTTACCTATCTTTCAATGAAATATTTCTCTTTTATAAAGTAGATAAAAAATTTAATAGAAATCTAGAAAAACCAATGGAGCCTTTACCTAAAATCCTACTTGATAATAAATTTACTGGTCAGACGCATTAGTTCTAATGGACTATAACTCGATATGCTTTGAAATATAAAATATAAGGATGAAGCATGCATTATAGACTTTTTCTTCTGAATTAGTATAAAATATTTCTTCAGAGAGTAAGAAAATAATGATCTCTAATGAAATAAGTCAGTTAGAAGTGTTTATTCCCTCTGTAAAAACAGAAAAATAGGATTCAAATTCATATATGCTGTGTGTGTTTATAGGGAAAGAGAGAGAAAATGAATGAGAACCTAAATTATATATATATTTTCTTATTAAATAATATAAAATTTTTCACAAAATAGTTTAGAATTGTTCTGATCATTTTCCTCACACAATAACTGCATAGTCTGAAGCAGTATTTTTTGAAATCTGGATATCTTACTCTGTCAATATAATATTTAAAAATAAGAGTTCTATATTTCAACCCCTAAGAGTGTTGAATTTTAATGACCTGAATATGGATTATCAATGGCAGATTTTAATTGTAAGCCTGTTTCTCCTCTTCAGTATTCTTATGGCTTCTTTTCCCTTAAAGTCAATAGGATAGGCTATGTGGTATAAACTGATTTTAATATTAAATTAAGAGAAAAATGAGCTTTACAATTTTGGATCTTAGTATATGGGGTTTTCTCAAGGCTAGGCTTCTGTAGCCTGGCTAAGCAAAGTTGACTCCATCACCACTAAGAGAACTAGCACCCATTTGCACTCAATTATACATTTGTTGCACATTTCCCCTCATTTTTACTAATTTAAAATACATCAGTGTTTGTAAGGGCTATAGATGCACCTAAGAAATCATCTGTGGCATTTATGTCTTATTTGCAACTCATTTATTCCTATTGCTTATCTTATATTTCATGTAAAATGTTAGTGCTATGGTGGAAAACTGAAGCCCGGCATCAGACTTCTTAGTAGCACTGTCTGAGTCACTGTCAGCTTTTATTTAAAGATATTCAACTATCTATCAGTTTCACATAAGGAATTATTTGCTTTGATGAGAGAACTTGGTTTTAGAAAATTAATATTTATAAAATTACTGTAATGGTAGTATGGATTTCTAACTTGATTCTAGATTATGGTTCTGAAAACAAAGCTCTATATAGGCCACAGAAAAGGCTTGCTCTGACAGTCAGTGTGAGCTATTATGGACATACATTATAAAAAATTGACATAAAATGAATGAAATAGGTGGCCTAAATGCATTTCCAGATGTGTCATTTTCTGTGGAAGGGATGATTCACTGCAGTAAATATATACATAAGTTCTGTTTGAATTTATTTTTTATTCTCACTTAAAATATTTTGAAAAGCAACAATGAAGAAATGTTCATTGTGCAAAATCCAGAGTTTATTGCTCCTACTTGGGGCTAAATTACAAAAAAGAGTATTTAAAATTGGATACAAATTTGATTGTGCTAGCAGTAAGTTTAAAAACAATGTTGGCAATGTTTAATAATAAGGAAAATTCACTAGGACATCTGTACACTGTGATTATTTTACCTAAAAGAAATGCAAAATATAAACAGATGCCCATCGAGATGTGGTTGATTTTTGTCTCCACATGGCATTATTGGCTTTTATTAAAAGACATCTAATCAAGTTTGATAGATATTTCTTGAAATGATGCATGGTATGCAATGCATGCTTTCATTGTGCTTCCTGCCATTATGGAATAACGTGTCTTATTTGGAAATACAATGATCATTTCTGTTAAATCATGCTCAGTGAGCTTATATAATAACACCTGTATTTTGTGAATCATTTCAGATTTCAGAGAGCTATGCCTTCCTACCAAGAGAAGCGGTGACACGATTTCTAATGAGCTGCTCAGAGTGCCAGAAAAGAATGCATTTAAACCCAGATGGAACAGATCATAAAGGTAGCTGCAGTGTCAAATAGTGAGATTTAAAGTAATTTTATTCATAATGGCCATTTGTATCTCACATTTTTATAAAAACGTGGTAGACTGAAACAGTTCAACAAGTCAGATCATCTCATTTATTCAAGTAGGAGGCAGTGAATTTTGAATATCCACTTACAAAGTAATTCAGTGCCCATTCTTAGAAGAAAGACAGTTTCAGCTGTGGCAAATAACATTTTTCCCTGTAATCATGTTTTAATTTTCATTTATTATATGTATTTCATGCTATTTTAGATATATTCAGCAAGGAAATTGGTTTCTATCAATGTCTTTTTAAATCTACCAATTCCTTATTTCTAAAAATTATGAATAATGTGGAGTTTCTTTACTAAAAAATTTTACATTAAAATTATGATTTGGATTTAGCTCTCATTAAAATTATTGAAAATTATTTAGCTAAATATGACTTCCTCTCAGAGATTATATCAGTCTCAGAGATACATTTTTTGCTGGCTCATTCCTGTGTCTCGAAGGTTAAATCGAATGGCCAAAAGCAAAAAATTGAGCAGATTTCCTTCGGCATTCAAAAAATACATATAGAAAGTAAAGCAAAGAAGAAAAATACAAATAATTGTGTTAGTAACCACATTAGGTTTATTTATTGTTATTCAGGATGTTTAAAAGTTCCCCTGCATTTATAAATAATTTATTAGTACTGTTAAACAGTGTCAATACACCTTTGTAGAACCTTACTAGTTGTTTTTTCTACCGTCCAACTATAATGCTACCATGCTTTAAGACACTTGATATCTAAAATCCTGTTTCAATTTGGAGAAATAGATCATTTTAAAATTACAGGTAGAATGCAGTATTACTTTCATTACCCATTAAAAATGTTTTATTACAGATAATGGAAAACCTCCCACTTTGGTGACCAGCATGATTGACTACAACATGCCAATTACCATGGCCTACATGAAACACATGAAGCTGCAGCTGCTAAACTCACAGCAAGATGAGGTAAAATAAAAACATCTACATTTGTATTACTTACAAATTGGAACGAAGCTTGATAACCATGACTATCATATTAAGCATGATGGCATTTTGAAGACAGTAATTTATTTTTTAATGAATGAATCTCACCACAGTTGCACAGATGGGAAAAGTGAGCAGAAACTCCTAGTCCACAATACAGAGCCCCTGCTTAACACCTCTGTCTTAGTGTTATGTGGGAATTTGTTTGTTCCCAAGAAAGCTACATTTTCCTTAGTAGACCATCACTGAGCTGGCCTTGGTAAAGTGCTACAAAGTTCAGAGGGGGTAAGTTCACAGTAAAGTATCCGAAATAATTGAGATTCTAAGGAAATTTAAGTACTAAGGCTATTTTGCATGGCAATCAGAAAAGTAGAGTTAATGGGTATTTCAAGTATTATCATTTCTCCATCATTCAAACCTTATGTAAATTTTAAAGTTATTTTTTAATTAACTGCTATTCTATATATTATTTATTTACTTCTGTGCATTTCCTAGAGACAATCTGTGGTCATTCTTAATTAGAAGTGTTTTGATGTTTTAAGTTATCCTATTTAATTTGTATAGTGAAAATTTAGCAACATGCTGCATGTATAGACACTAAAAACATATTTCTTAAATACTCTGTAGGATTCTAGTTAGCTAGCCATTTTGGTTGAAGCTATGTCAAAGCAGGGACTAAGTTATATATGTATGGTTTATATTCTCCAAAATAAATAACAATAGCAGATATACAATAGGTGCTTAGTACATCCTTGTTGACTAGTTAATACTCAATAGATGCATTCAGGTTATTTATATTAGAAACAGGTTCAGGTCCTCAGGCTAATAAATTATCTTCTTGAAATTTCTCTAAAACAGGAAATGAGGTTAAATGTTTGTTTTTCAAATACAGAATTATTTGCTAAGCTATGATTGCATTCTTTTAAAATTACTTTGTTGAACTTACTTTATTCATAAAACTCAAATCAAGTTTTTAGTTTTCCTCTGTATTTAAGCAGTTTTAACCTCCAAGCTATATTTATAAAATTGTTTGATCTCAATAGATGTTATTCAGGGTATACTCCATACAAAAATTCATATTAGTGCAGTGGCAATATTGGATTTTATATTGCCATATGGCTACATATAAATAATTGAATAAATAGTAATAAAATCATTGGGTTAAAGATATCAATGACAATTAAGAAAATACTAATGTCCTTCCATCCCTGAGAATGATAAAAAAAAACTATCTTCATGATTCATTATATAGTTGAAAAAAATTTTTAAATGTCTCATTAACTAGTTAGAGCTGTCAGATTATTTGTAGGAAGCTCATTTAGATGTTGATATGTTTATTACTAGGCCAAAATGTAAGAAGATCCACTTTGTGCCAACAATGCGCCCACATATGCTGATCCCTTCTGGCTTCTAAAAAATCATAAGTATTTTACACAAAAGAAATAGATCCTTTAAAATTTATAACTAGATTAGAAAAATAACTCTTATCCTTACATTTTGAAAATACTAAATTGGATGTCACGCTTCCTTAAAATATTTAGATAAATGACTAGTTAGATTATTTGCAAAATTTTTAGAAAATTGTGTTTATTGAAAGATGAAAAAGAGGTTAAGTAAAGGAAGTCACATTAAAATGGAATGTAAGTGAAATATTCCTGTCTAACAAATTATATTTAAATTTGAATAAGCATTAATCCAATAAGTTCAACCAATATTTATTCAGTACTTACATGTATCTGGTCCTCCTGAAGAAAAACAGTGAATAAATTGAGAAAAATCTTTGTCTTTTGTGGGGGTAAACATATAATAAAGAAAATAATGGCCATAGGTATATAAGAATATGCTAAAGGCTATTAAGAGAAATAAAGAAGGCCAGACATGGGACTCCCTTTAGAACTAGGGAATCACAAGTTTAAAAGGCTTTATTAAAATGTATCATTTGAATAGAAGTGAAGGAAATGTGTGCATGTAGCAGAGGGATATAGTGAAAACTTCCTGAGGCAGGTATATATCTAGTAGCTGCAGGAACAGCAAGACAGTCAACATGGTTGGAACAGAATGTTCAAGGAAGAGGAAAATAGGAGAGGAGTTTAAGGAGATAGTGGAAAGCCAAGTTATATAGAGTCTTACATTTTAAGAACTTTTAAATTTTACTCTGAGTAATATGGGGAGCCATTAGAAGGTTTTGAGCAGAGAAGTCATGTGATCTGATTTATATTTTAACATAATGATGGGGGCTGAGAATAGATTGAAGAGGAAAAAAAAACTGGATGCAGGGACACCAGTAGAAGGTTATTACAGAAATCAGTGTGGGTAAGGAGTTAACAAAGCTCTATTCCTTCCTGCATGAGAAATTGGCCTTTGAATAACTTTTGGAGTTTGCGCTCCACAAAACTGCTAACATTGAAATGATAACTCTGTTACTAGGCAATGTTCCTATGGCAAAAATGATTCCAATTGATAAACTGTATCAGAAGACTAGAAATATCTGGTTAGAATCTTCAGATTTCCTTGAGTTGGATGATTTTTGCAATTGGCATGTCCTTTGTGAGGACCTTAAGTTATTAACTGTGGTGTGATAAGAGATTTTTGTCTCTTTTGGGGCATGGGGCTTCTCTGCTAAGTTTCCAACCTACCCAGTATGATTACTGCTTTCTTGTACCTGAGCTATATCACAGGAAGAGCTAAAGAAAATATGTCTAATTAACTATGTGAATTTCTACATGGCCCCTGCAAGGGCTTCCATGGAAGAGAAACACCTGATGCTGCCCTACTGGCAAGAGTTTCCTTTGCTACATGTTTCTAGAAGAAGCTAATGCCAAGGGTTTTCAATGGTCCTCTTATGAGTATACATTTTAGTTGGATTTAACAAAAGCTTCTGATGGATGTTTCAGGAAAGAAGATAATAGTGGCTTGGATCAAAGACAGTGGTTTAGGTAGTGAAAAGAGGTGAAATTATGAATAGATTTTAAGTTTTGCTGACAGATTCGATGTGAAGCATGAAAGTCAAGAGGTAGTAATGGCTCCAAGGTCTTTAATCTGAACAAGTAGGGTAGAATTGGTATTAACTAGTGTAAGAAAAACTGTGGGTAGAAAACATTTGAGGAATGATACTAGAAGTTCATGTGAGCTCTTCATTAGAAATTCAAGTATATTTAAGAGGTTTATTAGAGATTCAAGTAGATTTGTCAATTAGACAGTTGGCATGTGTAATTAAGAGCAAAGAACTAAGCTAGACATAAGGCCAAGCATCATCGGCAGATAGTGTGTGAAGCCATGAGACTGAAGATACTACCAAGGTAGTGAGTGTAGACTGAACAAACAAAGCCCAATAACTTTGATTTGGGAAATTCCAATGTTATAACATCTGGCAGATAGGGAGGAACCAACAGAGGATACTGAGAAAGAGCACCCAGGGTATTAGGAGAGGCAGGAGAGTTTGTGAACTAGAATAAAACTGGAAAAAGGTTTTTCAATATGTCTACAGTAATGTATTATGTCAAATCAAGTGATAAGTCAATTATACTGAAGTCTGAAAATTAAATTTGTGTTTAGCCTGGTGGAAGTCAATGGTGTTCTTTACAAGAGCAGTTTTTATGGGGTGCTCAGGATGACAGCAGCAAGGCCATTGAAGAGTTTGCTATGAAGGGGAGCAGGGGAAAGAGGTAGGAGATGGAGGGAGCATGGGAACAGGAGTTTTTTATTATATATTTTTTTCTAAAATCAGAGAAATTATAGCATATTTACATGTTGATGAGATTCATGTAGCAGAGGAAAATAATGATTTAGAAAAGAGGAAGGAGAATTGATGAAGCAATATCCTTGGCATTAATAGGTAGGATTTCTTGTACAAAATTGGAAAAGTTGGCCTTAGAATGGAGCACAGACAGGAGGGATCAGATAGAGGTAGGCGAATGGAAATAGTGGTGGAGATTATGGAATTGTTCTGCTGTTTGCTCCTAATTCATCAGTTAAAAAAAAAAAAAAAGCAAGACTAAGGATGTTTGAGAAGGTGGTGAAAGTTTGAGAAGAGGAGAGGATGTGAGAAGTAGAAATCTAGACAGTGAGGAGTGAATTGACCAGGAAAATGGACCTCTTTTGAGTTTCAAGTAAAGTCATTTAAATAATTGCTCATCTCTATGTCCAGCTATATAGGGGCATGGGTAGAAGACAGTAAGGGAAAAAGAGAATTACTCACATTTTGGGTCTTGTCAAAAGAATAGAAGTGTTATATAAGGGTATGATTAAAATGACAAGCCATGGAATTCTAGCCACATAAGAATATAAGTGAGATCATGAGAGAGGTGGGGCGAGAGCAGGGGAGGTCAATGCAAAAGGGTTAGAGGGTTAGAATCAAGGGGTGATAAATATCAGTGGGATAGAAATTTCATCGGAATACTAGAATACATGCAATACTAGAGCAAGTGAGCTGGGAAATTTGAGCTGTTGTGTAGAGAGTGAGATGCTTAAAATCAAGGTTTTGGAGGATGTGCAGTTGCTGGTAATGAAATGCATAGAACATGATTATGAGAGCAAAATGGTTGAAGAAAGGCAGAAGACCAGATCATTAGGGAAGAGTTCATGAAAGTGACAGGTCAGGATGTTTCCAGAGACACTGAAGTAATCAGGGACCGAAGCATGCGTAGTTGTCTTTTTTTTTTTTTTTGAGACAAAGTCTCACTCTGTTGCCTAGGCTGGAGTGCAGTGGCGCGATCTCGGCTCACTGCAACCTCCGCCTCAAGGGTTCAAGCAATTCTCCTGCCTCAGCCTCCCGAGTAGCTAGGATTACAGGTGCCCGCCACTATGCCAGGCTAATTTTTGTATTTTTAGTAGAGATGGGGTTTCACCGTGTTGGCCAGGCTGGTCTCAAACTCCTGACCTCAGGTGATCCACCTGCCTCAGCCTCCCAAAGTGCTGGGATTACAGGTGTGAGGGTGCCTGGCCTGAAATAATATTTTTAAACAGTTTGCTAAGACTGTCTTGTGAAAAATGTCAAAACATGTTCAAATATCAAAATTCTATTAAATTACTCTTTTTATGTACACATCAAAGAAAGAATTGATGTGGAGAGAAAAAACACACAGGAAAATTTAGGAAACTGGCCGTAAATAATTTACTACTTAGAACCACTGACATGCTGCTCTACCTCCATTTTGCAGATGGGGCACCAAGGTTTTTAGCTGATAAAACTTGCCCTAATGATTAAACTGGTAGAGAGAAGATTGGATATTTGAACCTAGGTTTAAATAACTTTGGAGCCCAAAATCTTCCTACTGTGCAACACATCCACTTAAAATTAGTATTAACTATTTGTTTTTTTAAGCAACAAATCAATGTAAATAGAATGCTATGGTGTAGCTCAAAGGGGAGAAATTAGATGTTTTTCAGTTTTCTTTTGCTATGTACCACCCCTAAAACTTAGTGTCTTAATACAAAAATGATTTATTAATACTCATTATTCTATGGGTTAAGCAGTTAGCCAAGAACCTCTGGGTGATTTATTTTGTTACTTCTGGCATAGGCTAGGATCATTTACTCAGTGACATTCAATTGGTAGCTGGACCTGGCTGGATAGTCCAAGAAAACCTCACTTAAGTACCCGGTTCCTTGATGCTCCTTTATGCTCCTTTACGTGACCTCTCACTCTCCATGTGGCTGGCTTATGCTTCCTCACAGTGTGCTGGTCTCAGGGTAGTAAGACTTCTTAACTGACAGCTTTATTGTATGGCAGCTGGCTTCCAAGAGACAGGAAGTGGAAGCTCCCTGTTGTTCTGGGACTGACACAGCATCACTTCTGCCATATTTCTATTGACCAAAGCAAATAACAAAACCAGCCTAGTTTCAAGGGGAGGAGAGAGAAATACTGTTCCTTGATCTAAGGAGCAGCATGCATGTAAGGGGCAGTGGGGAGGGGAAGGGATCCATGGTAGCCATCTTTGGAAATTATCCACTACATGGTCAATATCCATAAAAAAAACCCCAACCTCCTTTATTAACCAAAATAAAATTTTAATGAATTAACTTGTTATTTGAGGCTTACTGCATTGAGAAAGATTTTACAAAATACTGTATCCAATATGAGATCATTTGACCTTCTTATAAACTGTTGGTGAGGGTTTAAACTCGAACAAACTTTCTGGGGGATGATTTGATGATAATTATTAAAAACTTTTCAAATATATTTATATTACTTGACTAGAAATTTATCCTAAGGAATGTGATATATGAAACAACAATTTATCTATTAAGATGTTTACTGTATTGCTAGTAGTGAATGACTGAGTATATTTTCAAGATTTCACAACAAAGGATTGTCAGTTATGCACTGCCTAAGATGGTAGTCATTAGTCACATGTGAATGTATAAGTTTAACTGAACATTAATTAAAATTAATTAAAACTAAAAATTCAGGTCTTAAGTCACACTAACCACATTTCAAATGTTCAACAGCCACATACGACTAGTATTTACCTTATTGAATAGAGAATATTATAGAGCAATTCCATCATTGCACAATGTTTTCTTGAACAGCACTGGACTGGGCAGATAGCCAGCATTAAATAGCTCATTGAGCTACATGTTGCAGGACACCACCCCAAAGATTCTAATTCTAGGTCTGATATGTGGGACCTGGGGATATGAATTTTTAACAGGATCTACACTCATGCACACTGAGATTTGAGATGATGAATTTCATAGAGATGCTGATAATGTAAGCTTTGATTTGATTTGAGCAGATGATAAGTTTTAAAAAATCAACAGAAGAGAAGATTGGTGGGAGTGGTTTTTAAGCAGTCTTATGGGAAACCGTAAATATTTGATTGAATAGCATACACATTATTTGATAAACAATGGATAGGGCTGCAAATTTATAAGCAGAGAAGTGACATGTTCAGAAATGGGAAGATTAATTTGGCAATTGTTAATAGGCAGGACTGGTGTAGAGAAATTGGATGTGGATAAGTTAACTGGGAGACTATTACTACATAGTTTAGGAAATGGCAAAATGCAATTTTGAACTAATCAGGCAGGACAATAGCAGGCGAAATCAGGAGGTACATGGTAGAGACCCTTTATAGATAATATCTGGAACTTGAAAACTAAAATGAAATATGGAGCAGATTAGGGGTCTCCATTTCAAGCAACTTCTGAAGATAGAAATAAAAGCTCAATAACAAAGGTTTTGAGAAATAAATAAGTGCCGTGTTTAAAAGGGAAAAGACTGAAAAGAAAATTATTTGTTACAGTTAAATTGTTCTAATATTAAAACATTAAGTTTCAAGGAGGCAGAATTACTATGGTCTCTGGCCATGACTTTCATTATCATGAGATTTTAGTCATGTAAGAAATAAGCTCACACAGTATGATGTGGAGAGTTTTTTTCTGGTTGTCAAACAAAATAGATTTTCATAGAGGAAAGGAATTAGATGAATGGTCTAGAGATAATCATGAATAAAATACTTAATATCAGATCAGTCAAGTTTTCTGATTCTTTATTCTTAGAAGCCTTCAGTAGTTTCTTCCTAGTGTAATTAGTATTTTATCTATGTTGGTAAAAAAGCACAAGCTTATATTTCATATACCTCTGCTAACTTTTATTAAAAACAATAATTTAATCAATTATTAACTAAACTAGAATATACAGAATGAATACATGCACTTAGTCTCATTAAAGCTCTTAACAAAAGTATAACAATTGAATTCTAATAAGGAATGTAATTGTGAAAATGAATTATATTTCATATGTAGTAGTGGAGGAAAATATTTAAAATATTCTCAATCATTAAGCCACTTATGATGGTAAATAATTTAACATGGTTTTTTTAATTACAAAAATACATAAGTATACATTTGGTTACATAAACATTTTAATCTCTCATCTGAATTTATTAAAATGTATGCTGGCAAGAGTGTCAGCATACATTTTAGTGGTGATAAAAAATATATTGATTTTCCATAATATGCTGTGGCTGTTTTTACAACCATTTCATAGAACAGAGGCTGTGACTTGAATATTTATATTTAGCTCTTCTTTAAACATAAATACACACACACATACATATCCTCATATACATATACATTTTACATATTTATATGCCATATAAATGATATTTTACTAGATTACTTATAGTTAGCTTTTTGTGACCTTTATAACAAATACTTATAAAGACTGTTTATATGTTTATGTAAACACACAGCTACTTTAGTAACACATTTTGTTTGCCTTTACCATTATATTGAAATGTGTTATATTTTGTTGTATATGTTCATATACTGTAATAAATGTGCATAATTTTATATACTGTAGAATGTATTGTATATTCCATATAGTAATATTAAACCATTTTATTGTGCTTATCATGTACCTGACATTGTTCTAGATACTTTAAATATAGTACACGCCCTCACTCCACATGTGACTCTGTGAGAGCAGCACAATTTTTATTTCCATTGTATAGATAAAGAAACTGAGGCACAGTAAGTTGAGGTAACTTGCTTAAGGTAGCATATCTAATAACTGGCAGAATATGGACCTGAATCTAGGAAGTCTGGCTTCTGAGAATATCCTCTAAAATACTATGACATCACAGAAAGTAAATATAGTGTATCTAATAGATATCTGTATCATCTATCAACGTGTGTATATATATATGTATGTATTTGTATATGATCAACACTAGTAACAAGTCCACATTGTTATCACTGATAATGTCAGTCCACATTGAAGTCTCTTATTTTTGCATACACACACACACACACACACACACACACACACATACACATTAGAATTTAGAATTGGAGTAAACATAATGTATTGAGAGAGGGCATGCAACTAAGAGAAGTCTATGTGGCTGATTGTCCATGGATCTGACACAGTGGCATTTCCTTACTGACTTAATGAAGAGCTAGTGCTACTCAGTGTGCCCAAGCATGACCCAGTCTTTGATAAAGGAAAGACACCACAGCCAAAACCACCAAGCCTGATATAAGAATCAGAATGCCAATTTATTAGTCTACCAGGATAGTCTTGTTCGTTAATAATAGAAACTCCTTTGCTGATGCCAAGATGTCATTTATGAAACCAGGGTAATTCTTCCTATTCAAATATATTGTTTCCTCGAGTCTGGATGACTTCATATGACTACCGGTTCTAGTATATAATAGCAGGGAAAATGATTTAACTTCTCTGTGCCTCAATTTCTTCATCTATAAATTGTTTGCAAATTTATAGCTAATTCATAGTTGTGATAAAATATAAAGAACAACGTGTGCAACATAAATAGCAGCACTACTACTGCTGATTATTATATTCGTGTTAAACGTTCAGATCAAACATTTACAAATTAAAGTCAAAGCTAGAGATTTTGATTAAACATTTACATTTTGCACAGGTTTCCCGGGCCTTCCAGCCTGTATAAGTATACCATTTGTCCAAAAATCAGTTCTCCAAACGAAGTTTGCTTCAGAAAAATGACTGCAATAATATATCCTAGATTTGGTTTAACATTTGGAAAGTTTTGATAAATTGGCCATTCAGCAAACTGGCCTTTTGGTAATTCCATTTTATGAACTGACTTTTAGTAAATGTTTCATGCACAATTTTACCTAGAACTCCTCTTTGTGGTTGCCGTGCAATTTATATTTGCTTGTAAAGAAAGAAAGGGTGTACTAAGATTAGCTTGCTCTCCATTACATGTGGACTTTGAACCTAATATATAAGTTGGCTATATTAGAATCTATCCTGTTTGCCAATGAAAATTTTTTTATAAAGCCCTTTCTGCATTCTAAGATTTCTGCTTACAACATTTTTTGGTCATTTAGTTTTAAATCAAAACTTGTATTTCTCTTTATGTTACATTTTATGATTAACTCTTTTAGAAAGTATTTACTATAAAATCATTCTTTATATTATTTCACAAGTCTTGAAATTCCTTGAAGGGAGAAATTATTCCATTGTTTTTTTGTTTGTTTGTTTGTTTGTTTTTTTGAGACGAGTCTCGCTCTGTTGCCCAGGCTGGAGTGCAGTGGCTTGATCTCAGCTCACTGCAAGCTCTGCCTCCTGGGTTCAAGCCATTCTCCTGCCTCAGCCTCCCAAGTAGCTGGGACTACAGGCACTCACCGCCACACCTGGCTAATTTCTTTCTGTATTTTTAGTAGAGACGGGGTTTCACCGTGTTAGCCAGGATGGTCTCGATCTCCTGACCTCGTGATCTGCCCTCCTCAGCCTCTGAAAGTGCTGGGATTACAGACCTGAGCCACCACGCCCGGCCCATTGTTTGCTATTTTAAACATCTATTAGTTTGTAACATATTTTTCTGAATTCTGTAAAAATTTACTGGTTAAACTTCAATTGACTGTGTAGATAAAATGGTTATTATTTAAACGTATTATACGTTAAAATGCTTGATGATATTTTAAAACTATTTTCAGGATGAAAGTTCAATAGAAAGTGATGAATTTGACATGAGTGATTCAACACGGATGTCAGCTGTGAACTCTGATCTTAGCTCCAATCTTGAAGAAAGAATGCAAAGTCCCCAGAATCTTCATGGCCAGCAAGATGGTAAGCCTTTCAGTTTGACTAAATAAGCAAAACAACAGCAAAAAAATGAGTCAGAATGCATGGAAACAACAACTACCTCTTAATTCTTGTGTCAATTTTTAAAAATCTACCCATTTCTATGGGAACTTTTCTCTATGTATTTAGGTTATATCATCCACTTCACTATTTTTTAATTCAAAACTGTTCAAAACCAAGGTGTTAGACTGATTTATAAGCAGATATTGGTTATAAAATTCAAGTTAATTCATGTTTTGCTCCCTGAACTTAAAATATGTGTTATATCAATACAGTTTGGTTTCTGTGATATTTTCTAGCTTTGATTTCTTGGGCTGTCATTCTTCCGACTAAATTAAGCATTTAAATATGATCAAAAGATTAATTTGGATGTTTATCTTTTATGTAAAAGACAAGTTTCAACTAAGAATCACTAGATATTAAAGGAAATTTTACCAGAGCAATAGTGCTGAGTAAGACAATATTTGCTGTGATTTTTGAGCTACTTTATCCAGCTGTTAAGGAAAGAAAGTTCATGATCTCTTATTCCTGGGTTCATGAAAGATTTCTGAATCAGCCTATTCTTGATAGGAAGAAAGCTAGATATGTAGAGAAAGTAGATGTCATACTAACATTGTAGGCCTAATATTTTTGGAGATCTTTGAACACTACCTTTGTAGATTTTTGTCTTTGTAAATATACAATTATGTATACAAGTCAATGTGACTTATTTTGGTAATTGCTGACAAAAAGGGTTTTAAATAGAAGGAAATTGGCCAGTTATATTCAAAATTTGTGTATTATTTCTGTATTTAACAAGTTCATATGAACTTTTTGATTGAAGAGTTTTGTACTTACATTTATAGATACTGAAAAAATCTTTGCTTTCTCTGACAGTTGCTATTACAAACTGGTTGCAAAAGATTGCTGTATTTCTAGCTGCTATTTGTGTTCTGTTTGTGTTGGCAAGGCTTAAGAAATCCCTAGTTTTAAGCATAAAAAACGTCCAAGAACAGAGGGGCTTTTCTTTTTCTCACTTCAGATTAATCTTAAAAGATGCTGGTGTCCTTGTTAGCATGAGTTATAAGAAAATGAGGAATGCATTGATTATCAGTGACTTTAAGATAGTATCTTAATTGCTACGTGCTATAATAGCTATTGTAGTAGAAAAGCAATTTATTTGGAAATATTATAAGAATGAAGTTTTTCTGATTTAGATATAAATTTTCTCTTTTCTTCTAAAACATGAGTAGGCATTCCTCAGATTTTGTATTTTTTTAATGGCCATTGTATAGTACCAAGATCATAGAGTAACTGAAATATTCTTAGTAATGTATATCACTCCATTAATTTGCTTATGCATTTAACTTAGGTATCTCCTTGCCGTCTTAGTCTATATATAATTTTAGGGAATATAGATAATGTAGAGGGTGTATAGAGAATGTAGAGGATGTCTCTCATCATGCAAATTCATTGTTTACTTGACTGAAGTTGCAAGCTGCAGGTCTTTGGCTATGGCACAACTGCTGTGATATAAATCTATATTGATTTTAATCAAATGCAGTAGAATAACTCCAAATATTATATACTCTTAGGGAAAAGCACTTTCTCATGATATATTGATGATATTCTAACCTAGGCCTAACCCTTCCTTGCCTTACATGTAAGATACTTTTTTCTTACATTTCTTGCTGAGTTTTCTCTTGCAGTGATCCGTCCTCTTTCTCCTGCATCAGAGGTTTTCCCCACTCTACTGGATTATTAGAATCTACATACAAACATAATTTGATAAATATCTTCTTTAAAATGCCTCGATTGATTATGTCTTTTTCCGTTTCTGCTGCTACAGCAAAATACCTGAGACTGAGTCATTTATAAAGAACAGAAATTTATCTCTCACAGTTCTGGAGTCCAAGATCTGGGAGTCCAAGATCTAGGTGCCAGTAGGTTCAGTGTCTGGAAGAGCTTGTTCTCCCACGATAGTGCATTATTGCTGAATCCTCCCGAGGGAAGGAACACCATATCCTCTCATGGTGGCAGGATCCAAAGAGGGGCAAACTCCTTCTGTCAAGCCCTTTTGTTTTATTTTGTTTTATTATTTTATTTTTAAGATGGAGTCTTGCTCTGTTGCCCAGGCTGGAGTGTAGTGGAGTGATCTTGGCTCATTGCAACCTCTGCCTCCCGGGTTCAAGCAATTCTCCTGCCTCAGCCTCCTGAGTAGCTGGGGCTACAGGCACACACCACCACACCCAGCTAATTTTTTTTTTTTTTTTTTGTATTTTTAGTAGAGATGGGGTTTCACCATGTTGGCCAGGCTGGTTTTGAACTCCTGACCTCAAGTTATCTGCCCGTCTCAGCCTCCCAAAGTGCTGGGATTACAGGCATGAGTCACTGTGGCTGGCCTATCAAGCCCTTTTATAAGGGCACCTAATCCTATTCATCAGATGAGACTGACACATCCTAAAGGCCATACCTCTTAATACTGCTATGCTGGAGATTAAGTTTCAATATCAATTTTGGATGGGACAGAAACATTCAACCATGTCATATCCCATTGCACCTCTTCATTCATCACCCTATTTCTCTGCACCACCCCTGCAAAAGACTTTATAGTGAAACTCTGAAAGAGTTTTCCCGTTATTTCCACTCTATCCTTTTTGGCTCATCTCAAGTAGGCTTTCATCCTTGCCACCAACTTCACTTGTTCTTGTGAACATCACCAGCAGGCTTCTTATTGCTTAATTCATTGGTCAACCCTTAGTCCTCATCTCCTTCAACGCTAATGTTTAAGGACAATGCCTCCCCCCCTTTTTTTTTCTGGTGCCATTTCTGTCTCATTCATCTCTGTGGGCTCCTTTTCTATGTTCTATTCTATAGATGCCAGAGTGCAGGCTTCAACTCCCTCTTCCTTTTTCTCACTCCCTAGTACACTACATCTAACCATGTTGCTTTCCATAACATCTCTATCTAGATGAATCCCAAATTTATTTCTCCAAGCCCTGACATCTTTCCTGAGCTCAGGACTATCTCCCCTTACCTATTTCCTAATTGTTAACATTCTTCAGAGGACTTATCACTGTATGAAACTGCATTATTTTTCTCAATTATTAGCTGTTTCTCTTCTAGAATGAAAATACCATATTAATTAATGAGTTTTCACATGCTTAAAGTTTTCCTTTCATTGGCTTCATTTGAGTTAGTTCTTACATTCTCCATCATTTAAATGATTAAAATATAACTTTTTACCATAATTATATTTTGTAACACAAGTTTTACATATTTATCTTCTTTTCTTCTGTCCTTCCTTCTGACAATGGTACTCTCCTAGGTAATCCATATTGACAACCTTCTGTAAAATTTCTTTTTTTCCTGTTTACAAATACACACCCATATACATACTCAGAAAATTTTGTCATCAAAAACCTAGAATTATGTCATTTATGCTCTTCTGTATCTTGATTTATTTGTCTAACATTACCTTTCTTTTAGAGCTTCCTATATTAGGGGTGTGTGTGTTTGTGCGTGTGTGTGTGTGTATCACAGTAAGAAAAAAAAAGGCATGGGACCTACCTCATATAACACACAATTTTAAGGAATGTATATCAAACTCAGTGTTGCCACTATTGACACACAACTCTTTGTTGGAGAGGGATGTCCTCTGCATTGCATAATGTTTAGCAGCTTCCTGGCCTCTACCTGCTGCATGTTCTTAGCTCCCCTTCTCCCAACTGTGACAAATAAAAATATCTTCAGATGTTGCAAATGTCCCTTGTGGGACAAAATTACCCTAAGTTGAAAACAAAAGAAAAGCCTAGGAATCAGTGCCCAGTTGTCTTTCTGCAATCTCAGAATAGTTCTTTAGTTACACTGTCCAACTTGATAGTCGCTCTCCACATTGTGGCTATTGAGTACTTGAAATATGGCTAGTGTTACTGAGAAACTATTCTAATTTAATTTTAATTCAAATTTAAATAGCTACATGTGACCGGTGGCTACTGTGTCAGACAGTGTAGATATAGATCATTATTTTATTTTGACTGGCAGTTAAACTCTGTTCTCTGCAGCCATTGGTTGAATGTGTCTGAAGTCTGGAAAAACTATAGAAGAAATTCCTATTTTAACAGTTGACTGAAATCCCTGTTTAATATTTTGAAAATCTAAACAATACAAATTATTTTAAGTTAAATTAAAATTTTTTTTTAACATTAAGTGATTAAGATTTTATTTAGAGAAATTGAAGTAGGACATTATGATTTTTATAAATCCTTCCTAATAATTATAACAGGTAGGTATAAAAATGTCCTTATTGGGTACCATATAAAATGAAGAGTAAAATAACTTTTTTTACAATTTTTATTTCACTATGGTTATAGAAAATTTGAAAAGTATTCATTAAAAACCAAGGGAAAAGAAGACTATCAAATGTGCGTTGTGTTGGAAATACATATCTGGATATATAGATATGTATACACTCAGAAAAGGTGAAAAAGAAGAAAAATATTTTTCCCCAGGCTAGATAATTAGATAAAGGTCAAAAAGACACAAACCTGAATGAAGAATTTGTAATAAGAAGAATGCTTCAGGATTAATGTATAGTATTCTGCTTCTTTTGCCTTTTTTAGGTTTATAATATTTCCCTAACTCAATAAAAACATAAAGGCAAAAAATGCTTAGAAACTGAATCTTCGCATAAAAAGTATTTTACCCTCATTTTTGGTTTTGAGGAAACTAAGTTGAGCTATTTAAATTTTTTTTTACAGACTTAAAAGAATGTTTTTAAGTTAAAATCATTTAAAGGTTATATATACGTCTGCTTTACTCATGAAAGCATGAGTAAAAGCAAAACACCTTGAAGGTGTTGTGGAATATAAGGGACTTATTATGAAGGAAGTTTTGCTATGCAATGGCTGCGGTTCACAGAATTTCAAAAAGCATCTCGAGGACTAACAGCTAAAGGCATCCTTCAAATATTCAGCAGTTTGTAAGCATTCTTCTTGTTCTGCCAGCCATTTAAATGGATTAGAAACAGAAATTTTGTCACTTGAGCTTCTGTGTTTGAATCTCAGATCCTAGTCATTTATGGAAGCATGGATTAGCTCAAAAATGTATTCCCTTTCCTAAATCAATTACTTACTTTATTATGAATTTGTACCTTCTAAAACAGCTGATGTTCATTCCTTGTCTGGGGTTATTTTTAAAAAATATCTGGCAAAAGAAAAGTGTCAGATTTAGAAACAGACTTAAAGTTTCAGTTCAAAATAAGCATTTTACTTCATTTTATAGAAGGATACTTTTCTAAGAACCATTTTAATCACTTTTCTGAGTTAACACTTTAATGTAAACTATTGATATTTTGTAAGGGAGTATTTGTGCTTTTTTAAGCACAAATAATTAGAAAGATTATTAGATATTACCAATATATTTATGTATTTTTCAATTGCAACAATTTATATATATATATTTGCATTTTAAAAAAAGATAATAGGAATAAAAGGAATGTTGAGGCATACCCTTAAATTCTCTGTATGTCAGCTTAATCAGCTATAAAAGCTATTAAGAAATCCATTTAAAATATTTCTATATTAAATATTTTCCCATGGTCCTTTGAGCCTTTTGGCCTCCATAGTAAAAATCTTTGCCTCCCACTAAGACACATATGATATATTAATAGAATTCACCAAAAATAGGAAGCATATTCAGAGGCTAGGTAGTCAAAAAAAAAGGCAAATGTACCATTCAGAGATATAATTCTAAAAGGTAACTCACTTGGATCCTTGGGTATACTTAGGACAAGGGTAAATGATGTGAGGTCCAATATTTCATTATTCACTCAACTAATACATATTAAATTCTAGCATAAGTTGGACAATGGATTTACAAGCATGAACATTGCATATTAGATTAAACCATATGAAATTGCCATACTTCCTTGATTTGAACTGATGGTTCAAGCTTTAAAATAGCTTAAACTAGAATATGAAAGATATGGAAACAAAGTGTTTTTGAAATTGAGATGCATTTCTGTTTCAGATAGCAATGATGCTCACATATGTACATTGTGTATCTCTTGACTTGTACACTCGAAAATTATCACAATCCTCTTTTCAGTGGAAACATAGAGGGGAGTAAGTTAACAAAAAATAGCAATCTGATTGTGAGATAAATAAGTACATTAACAGATATAACTGTTGGAGTTTCACTTTTTCTTATATCCTAATTCAGATTATGTGCTAAACTGGCCTCCTGAAACTCCTACATTGGGAATTTATTTTAAAAATACAGATTCATGGGACCCATCTCAGATGGGATGACTAAGACAATTGTGTGGGATGTAAGTATGGGAACCAGTGCTCCACACTATGCTTGTGAAGATATTCTTTACTATTCTACCTAGCTGTTCTGGAGTGCCAAAATGGCAATAGGTCTAAAGGGGATTAAGTCACATTGGTGCACTTCATGCTCAAATGTTGTGACCAGTAACTTCTGAGTTACTTTTTGAATGAGGAATAGCATGTAAGTTCATTCCTAGTATATGTATGTGTTTGTATGTGTTTCAATTAGCTCTGTTTTCTTAGTTATGACAATTGCCACATATGACAGTTCTTTTGTAAATTTTGAAAATGCTCCTATTCTACTCTAAGAAATTTTACAGTCTGTTTTCAGTCTTATGTATATGAACACTGCACACACTGGACTTTAGAACACGCACACAAACACACATGAAATACTCCTTTGAAATGCTGTTTTTACTGCCCAGTTTATATGTGAATAAAATTTTAGTAAAAATATGCTTGTGGCTAAAATTGAATTTAATTTGGTTGAATAAGATAGTTTTATGTAATTATTAAAGTGTATAAACCAGCAGTAAAAGCAAGAACTATGTGCTGTTCACCATTTAATTTCATTGGAAAATCTAATAAAACATGTTTTTAATAAAAGTGATGTAAAACAGTATACTGAATAGGAAATTAAATTCAGTGGTTAACTTTTTTGTGATGGTGAATTTTAATCAGAAAAGCTATTAAAATGTTTTTCAGGCTGAACACCAGATTCCCTGGAGAGATTATGTTGTCTTGTGTAAGTCATTTTCTTTCTTGTGCAAGTTTGTTTTCTTTCAGTGTTTACAATTTCTTAGGAAACTTGGGATAGAGCAAAAATTGTTAAAAGGATGTTGATTCTTTTATACAAATGTAATAAAATATTTGACTTCAAAATTGAATTCGTTCCTAATAGTGTTTTTACTCTCACTTTTTAATTTGCATACACTTCTGGACTTAAAATACCTAAAAATGATACAATGCTGCTCTTTTTTCTTAATTCAAGTTGTTTTAATGCATTATTAAACCTAATTCACATGATGAATTTGTTTAAATATTCTGAATTGAGTTAGTTAATTCGATGAAGCTTTTAGAAAACTCTCTTTATGGCAGTTGCTCTATAAATAATTGTATAATAATTTACAGAAGTATAAACTACCTTTATAAGTAATATAAAGAAAACAAGTAATTTGAAGGAATGTTACTATGAATTGGAGGAGATTTTGATTATTAAATCCATTCATAATATTGTTATTTGTGTGTATATGTGTGTTCATGTGTAAGTATTTAATCATTTGAAATTGCTTTTAAGCAGTAATTCTCTGTTTCCAAAAGCAGAAGAAAAGGCAATTTGACTTACATATAAAGGATAGGTATGAAAAATGATGTTTAGTTGTATATTTATTTAAAATGCATATCTAGGGAATGTTATTTACTTTTTACATTTAAGATCACTTATTTGGGAGTTTGCTCTACCTTTTTTAGTGACAATTCTGCCTTTCAATACTTTACTCATATTACATAAGTGTGTTTTCATATAAACGAGTGCTTGTTTAGAGAATTAGCTCATTGATTTCAGGCTCAAACTTGCCACACCCTAGAGACCAGTCCCATCTTAGCTAGGTTCTGATCCTCTGGGAAACTAGGGGAAATCGGCTTGGTTACATGCTTGCTTTGGAGAGTCTAATCTGATCAGTGAAGGACGTCAGATTAATTTGAAATTTTACTGCTGGGTTAGTTCTTTGTTTTGAGATATTGCTCTTTTGGTTTTGTCACTATCTTCTTGACAGTGTTTGCCAGTCCATGAATGTTTATGTGGATCCAAAGTTCAATCAGTTTCAGCACCTCCAGGAGATGCCAAATTTCTGTTAGGACCAAATAGCAGATGCTAGACCGTTTAATCCTTAAATATGGATTTCTGTCTGTCTGTTAAGGCATAAATAAAATTAAGAAGCCTCATAACAACTGGAGAGATGTTAGACAATACATATCCTTTCTGAATTTATTCAAATAAATTTTGAACCTATTGATTTATATATCCAGCTATATTATAGAATCAGACCACCTGCATTTCCAACTTGAAAGTCTTGAACAACTGTCTTTTTTGTCTATTTTTGTTTTTGTTTTTACTATCACCTGGCTAGCCTTTATAAACTCTTACCGTAAACTGAACACCATGCTGTGTTCCTTTATAACTTTCTTGTACTAATTTGGGTCAGCTAGCTACTACTTCTTTTAAAAACAGCTTTAGCCTTTAGGCAAAGCAATTTCAGTGTTTAGTAGGGCTTTGAAGCTGGTGTTGCATGCCAGCTGTGCAGACAGATAAATCAACTACAACGTAGGGGTAAATTGGCCATGAAAATCTTTATTTACTAGGTTTATAGAGATCCTAGTTAGATTGTGGGTGATATAAAGAAAGAACAGTTGGAAAGTATTGAAGAAAGGGGTTGAAAGGATATTTCATTATAATTATTATAAATTTACAGTGTAATTATTTTCTTACCAGTCTCATTTCTCCACTTGACTGGGAGTGCTTTGGGGACAAAAAACAAAGTATATCTTATGTATCCTTGCATATTCTCTTTGGAGCCACACACAGTATTTGAAATACAATAAAATATAAATACTTTTTAAATTGAAATAGTATTTTGAAATTTCTTCCCCATCTGCTTACTTTTATAGTGAAATGCACTCAACCCTTAGACTCAGTTATTCTTGCCAAATATTATATAGGCAGTTGCTTTCCTTATCCTCGACGGGCGGGGCCTCCCTGTTACAATTTCAGCATCCCTAGCCAGGGGTTTATGGACAGAACTCTGGTATCCCTGAGAAGAGCCCCTAGGAGGAAGGGCGACCGCAGTATCTTGGATCAGCAGCCCTAGTCTTTCCTGTCTGCTAGCTCTGGAGAGTCAGGGCAGCCCAGAGGAGGGGGATTCCACCCAGCCCAGCACACCCGCTCCACCAAGGGGCAGCCAGACTGCCTATTTAAGTGGGTCTCTGATCTGGCTCCTCATGACTGTGTGAGACCTCCCAACAGGACTCTCCAGACACCTCATATGGGAGCGTTCCAGCCGGCATCAGGTCAGTGCCCCTCTGGGAAAAAACTTCCAGAGGAAGAAGCAGGCTGCCATCTTTGCTGCTCTGCAGCCTCCACTGGTGATACCTCCAGGGGCAAGAGGGACCCAGGTGAATAGAGTCCAGAGTGAACCCCCAACAAACCGCAGTAGCCCTAAGGAAGAAGGGCCTGACTGCTAAAAGAAAACCACACAGAAAGAAACAACAACAACGTCCATGGATGAATATTCTGTCTTTTTTATATCTTACTTTGGGGTTCCTGAGGCCTGTGAATTCTTCCTTTTCTACAACCACAATCTACTATGAAGCAATAAAATAATTAGTAGCTTTGGTATGTTAAAGTGAATTCATTAAGAAGACAGCATAAAAGACCTCTCAGCCATAAATATTGACACTAGCTCGGCCAGTAACTAGTTCTGCAACATTATTTAAGTATTATTGACAACTTTGGACAACCTTTTCTATATTTGTAAATGAGAAGCTTTAGATAATCTCTCTCTAAACTTTATTATAGTTCCAGAACCATCTGTGTGTTCACCCTGTTAGGGTTCTCTTTCTTGTTCCTAACATTTTATCTTGTCTCATTTTCTGTACATCTCTAAACTGGTTTAGTGCTTTCTTAAACTAGAGAAAGGAATTAAAAGCAATGGAGACACCCCCATTTTTCTCCCAGCTGGCCCTTCCTTAGAAAACCAAGGTGATTCCTGAAAGAACAGACTTTCCACTCTTCTAGTTTCTCCCTCCCATCCTGGCTGCGAGAGTCATTCAGAGTTGTTTCCTCCTTTTTCCTCCCAATCTGCCACTCCATTTTCAAGAAACTATAGTCAACATGAAAGCTCACAAATATTGCCAAAATATTGTGAAATCATCACTTCCTTCTTTTTCCTCTATGAAGAATCTCATTCATAAGAACCCTTATCCCTAATCCATCTTGAACGTACATGTGTATATATGTATGGGTATGTGTATATATAAAGACAGAGAGAGAGAGCAAAATTTAGCTGTTTCAACAATAATTTTTAATTTCCACTCAATCACTTTTCATAAAATATTTCCTGAGGTTTTGAGGTACTGGAGTATTTCTTGGGATTTCCTTCAACCACTGCATTGTTATGTCTTTGGCAACCTTAAATGTTCATATACATTTTAGAAATTTTGAGGGTTTCTGGCAGTCACATATCATCAGTCAGCCCATCTCTCCCTATGAGGTTAATTCACTAACATGTCATTATTGTTATGGTGTAACAATGTTAGGGAGAATCATTCCTGGTGCCATACAGAATAAAACGTGCAACTCATCACTGCTTAGCCCTGTCTTTATTCAAATCTGTGATGAAACAAACAAGAGAAATCAGGTTATCAGCATAGGGACAGTGGAGTTTAGTGCACTGAATGGTGATGTGGGGTTCTAAAGTGGTCTCTGTGAGGACATGCCTACTCTCTTAAAGCATGCCAGCAGAACCAGTAGTTTGTTTATCTAAAATATTGTGTGCATGATTCTATTTTAGAGTCAATAAAAACCATATAAACTCTCATTCAATTCAACCATATAAAATCAAATTATTTTTAAAAGGCATTTCTAACTCAAAGGACAGATGATGACGAGAACTAAAATTTCTTGACTGTTTACTGAACGCTAGGCGCTGTTTGAGGAATAAGCTTTTTAAAGTTTTTACTAGAGCCATTTGAGGTGGACACTTTTTTTTTTTCTTTTTCTGGTATACAAGAGGACACGGAGGCTAATTTACTAGCCTATCATCACCACAACTACTAAGTAGTAGAAACAGGATTGGAACACAGCCTTCTGGTTCTGATGCCCATGGCTTTAAGCATGAGTTTCTAAGTTGCCACAAGCCCAGCTGTGTAACCACCGCATTTATTATATCCTATAGTTTATGCTTGCTCACACCTATTGTTTTATGCTTTGCAGGCTCAACCATTCCATTATGTTCTTATTTTCTAAACAGAAAATTAATAATATAGCTAATATTTTTATATAGCTTGTGCTTTTATAATCTGTCTATAATAACCACTTGTAGATGTTTTCCTGTAACTTCCTATTATCATGCATGTATCCTCTTTGTTTCTGCATTGTTATAAAGAAATTAAAATATTATTTGTAGCCATTGAAATGTATTGGTTCTGTCTAGCTCTCTAAAACAGGAGTAGGAAACCTAAATTCTGTTTGTTCAGTAATCTCTCTTGACAATAATTGCCCTGTGTTTAAAATTCATATTTTCTTATATCTGTTAAATATGTAATTGACTTTTGACAGTTTCTTTCATTCCTTCCAATTCTCCTTTGTCTGGAAAGGACAATAGGAAAATGTGGCTGCCCTCTTTGGCTGCATTTATTATTTTGTATCTTCTCATTTCATTTTACTGTGCTTTATTCTAAATAATAAGACCAAGCTATGATGGAAGGAAAAGAAAAACACTCTTCATTCATGACCATCCACTCATGTCAATAGTGATGTACCTTATCTTATAAGCTTATTTTATAACTATTCAGCCTTGCTTTGTGTGACATACAATAAAATATATATGTTATTGATGAAGAGTGCCATTTTCCTACATAAAGCATTCAGAAAAATAGGCTATTTTCAGCTATCAATTATACAAGTCACATGTCTTAAAATAACATACATTATATAATAGTGATAGTCATTTCAATCTAATAAAATATTTTAAAAGAATATTAAAATGTGTATAATGTGGAAATTATCCAGATTATAGTTAAGTAGACTTATCAAATATGTTCAGTCCTACACAAATGTGAGCAAACTTTTCAAAATAAAATGCCAAACTTCAAAAGAAGTTTTAATATTATTAATTGAAGTTACTTGCATTTGTGGAAATAAAGAAACTAGACCAATAACATTCATTAAAAGTACTTAAAAGATATTGTGGTCCTGAGAACTTATGTTTAGTAAATTGAGAAGTTAATAATAGAATCAGTTACCACTTAGGCATATTTTCTGTCTAACAATTGTGAATCTGTAAATAGGCCAGCTTCTGCATTTGCATCAGTAGATAAAGGGCCATCTTCTAATTTCTTAAAAAGAAGACTGCAGAATGTTATTCTGGGTATGAAAATTTTATAAATAAGTTCCAGATAGACTAGATACTTTGGCTTTTTCCTTTGAAAACTGTTTTTTTACCCATTGAGGTACTATTACAATAATGACTATCATGTAGTTTAACAATCAAATTAGTATCTTATGTCACACATTATTCCCATTTCAAAGCTAAACCTTACATTTTATTTTCTTTCCATTAAACTGTGCTTCTTTTTGCCATTAACAATGATGCTTTACCCAGTTAAACATGTGTTTTCTAAGACTTCTTTATAAAGCACATCCTAACTGTTATTAAAGATGATGATGTTTGTGGCCAGCCTGGGCAGTGTAGCAAGAGCCCATCTCTTAAAAAAGGATGAATATGATGGACAAGGATGTGGTACAATGGACGTAGCAGTGGCCCAGCCTTCACAGTATCAAAGTTTAGATCCCAGTTCTGTGATATAACCTGTGTGCCCTGGTGCATGCCGCTTTTTATGTTAGCCTATGAGCCCTTCATTTCAATTAGGGGTAATATATGCCTTATTAACATCGGAGTCTATAGGAACTTATTAGATAATAAAGTCATTTACAACAGAATGTTATTGACCACCTACTATGTGCCAGAACTATATGCAGGGCTGGAGATTCAGCAGTGTGCAAAATAGAAGAGGCCCACAATCTTGCAGATGATATGTAATCTGGTTGCAGGGGTGAGGCCATTAGATAACTATAGGAATATATGTATAACTACAAACTGGAAGAGGAGTCTTATGAGAGAGTCTAGCAGTGGCTACAGTTTGACCTGAGGATGGAGGAGCTGCAAATGCTTCTCAATGTAAGGGACAGAGATCCAGAGGATGAATGACACATCACAGGTGACAAAAGGCACAAGAACATGTAAGGCAGAAGCAATAGGATGTGTCAAGGCCTCGTGCCTTCTAAATTGTTGTGGTACAAATGGGGCAATATTTTGGTATTAGGTATGCTTTGTTTTTCAATGCCTTTTACTTCTGCTTACCACATCTCCTTTAAGCAGAATTCAGGATTTTCCCAATGAACAGCCCTTAGGCTAAGTCTGGTATAGAAAGAAACAACAATCAATTGCTTGGCTTTTGAGTGTTTAAGTAGATATTTTAAAATTAATAGCATAGTTATATATCTTTAAAACCATGACTTTGACTTGCAAGATGCAGGCAAAGAACAGAATTCTAAAAACTTGGCTTTAAATAGGAGCAAAAACCTAAAAGTCTGAATGAATAAATTATAGAAGAGACAAGAATGCATAATTACATAAGAACTTTTTTTTTCTTCCAAAAGAAGTTAATCGTTCAATCATATGTGTGTGGGAAAGAGCAATTTGGAGAAATAAGATGTGATGCTCACTGGGAAAAGCATACTGGATATTGTCCCTGTGGCAGGGTAGTTGGTATATGGTTGAAGGTACAAGATCGGAGCAAGTGTGTGTCTCATTACTCAAGGTGTAGTCAGGAAAACTGCTAGCCTCATTTGTCCAACATGGCACCTGAAGGGTTCAGCAACAATGGCATGGGGTATTTAGGTACTTACACTAAAGGAAAATCTCACAGATACACACTCCAGCCTAGGATGGGGTGGCAAGGAGAAGCAGCTGGGAGGTTTGGTGAACTGGGAGAATCTCCTTAACTGGAGATTCAGGACACAGAAGTCCTGAATCTGTCACCTGGAAGCCTTGACAAGTTCATGGTCATCATCAGCAGATTTAACAATGATAGACATATGATGCGAAAGTTACTCTTCGTTGGGGATAATTAGGGGAGAATACACTTGCCTCCTTTTTCTGCCAACCCACACTTCCAAAGCCTCACAAAATATGGTTATTTAGGTTCCTAGAGAGAAAGGAGTGGTGGTAGAATCCTGACAAAAGTTACTGAGTTTTAGCGGGCTAAACTGAGTTTTAGTTGGCTAAGCGAGCTTCATTTGGCCCCGGTTTCCTTCCCTGACCAGAAGTGGGGCAAATAAACTAGATTCAATTAAAAAGAAAAAATGTCTTCTATTTTTGTACAGTTGAGTTGATGACCATGTGAATTTATGCCAGTCCTACCTGAAGTGCAAGTGTTAGTAACAACCGCTAACCTTAGGTTTGGGGCAGAGGCCAGAAATTACCATATCTAGAGCTTCACAGCTACCTTAAATTTATCATCCTGATAAATGTCTCTCCTTTTTTAATACCTTGTAGTAAATTGGATATTATGTTTATTATATACCTATGTTCTTTTATAAGTGATCACGAGGCATTTTAGAATTCCTTCTCTAGAGCAAAACATTTTAAAACTGTGTTTGCTGGATATAGTATTTTGTTCCCATGTAAGTAATTATTGAATTATTGTTTTCATATTGGCTTGCCATTATAGATACACCAATAAGTTATCTTGAACATGAATTATTAAATGTTTTATCTTCTCCTACACTTCCCCTTTTGAAATGATTTGATGATTTGTAGGAATGAAATGTATTGTTACTTGTGGGAAGTAATTGATCTGTTGAAGTGATGGCATTGAGGTTGTCCATCATTGTCCTATGGAGGTAATTTTTATGTCCATGACATCTAGTTTCACATCAGAAATGGCGTTGCTTAAAGACATCCTTTACATTTTGACAATTGTCTTTACTAATAAAGGTGAAAAGTCATCCTTCAATAACAATTACTTAAATTTAAAAGAAGGGAATTAACTTCACTTCAGACACAATTTATGTCTCCCTAAAACAAATTTCTGTGATGTGACCAATGTTGATAGGGTTACGACCACCATCCTCTGAAGCTAACATTCATTTCATTCTAAGGTAAAGATAAATACAAGTATTTATTTATAGCTCACATATTTAAATTTTGATTAAAACATCTTGACATCAAGAAAATGCCAACATATTGTAATTATCTAAAAATGAGAGAAAGTAACATACAGATATGCAATGGGTTTCTCTTTCAGTTCATGGAAATTTTATGATGAGAAAAGTGAATTTCTAAAATTAAGCATGTATAAGGACTTTTCTTAGGTGTAAAAATTATTTTATTTGTTAGTTTGTGGTTAACTTATTAAGTTAGTTTAATTGTTTTGCTTTGTTTTCCAACCTACATGAGTAGGTTACTATTTGTAGTATTGCCATGGGAAATAACATTTTGGCACATTTGAAAACTGTTTTAGGTCACAGAAAGCAGTAATGGAGAGTAGTAAAATTATCAGTTACTCTAATAACCACTAGAGGTCTACTGATATCAAATTTCTGTCAATATATTTCCTTTCTACAAATATTTTAAATTAATTATTTCATATGAATGAAAGTGAATTTTCTCTTCTTTGTTTTATGTATTTTTTATTCTGTAGACTTTAATTCCACTTAAAATTAGGATCTTTGGTAGGTTTTAGTTTGTTTTGTTGTCCTTGCATGTTGTGTTTAAATACTATATTATGACTTATATTTAAAGTTAATCGTTAGGTGCTTTGTGGGAATTAAGTACTTTAAATATGTATACATATATATACATGCATATGTGTGGATATATACACATTTTTATATGTGTGTGTGATTGTGTGTGTGTATATATGTGTATATATCTATATATATGTAGATATATGAAAGCATTAGTAAAAGAGAAATATTTGTCTTGATTTTTAATTCAGTAGACAATATGAGTTCCATTTGATTTGTTTTGTATTGTTTTGTTTTGTTTTTTGAGACAGTCTCACTCTGTCACCCAGGCTGGAGTGCAGTAGCATGATCACAGCTCACTGCAGCCTCAACCACTGGGGTTCAGATGATCCTTCCACCTCAGCCTCCCAGGTAGCTGGGCCCACAGGGGTGTGCCATCATGCCCAGCTATTTGTTTTGTATTTTTTGTAGAGACCGGGTTTCACCATGTTGCCCAGGCTAGTCTCAAACTCCTGGACTCAAGTGATCCACCCACCTCAGCCTTCGAAAGTGCTGGGATTATAGGTGTGAACCACTGTGCCTAGCCCCATTTCTTTCTAAGGCAAGAATTTCCTGCCTGGTGTTAGATATTTTCATGCTAACTTGTGAATGCACCCCTGGGAATTTGTAGATGTGTGTGCAGATCAAATATAAGCAGAGAGTTCATCATTTAAAGACTCATGTTTATCAGTCATGTTGCTAAAAAGAGACATTTTCTACTTTATTATAAATGTTACTAGCAACGATTTTGTAGAAAATTTGTGTCTAAGAATTCTGGAAGTATTAAGGGTTACTTTGCTATTCAATATGATTTACCATTTTGCATTCTTTTACATAAAAGAAGGTAGTAACTCGAATCTGTGTGAAGGAATTAAGGAGCCCATCTTTGAACTCGGACGCATAGGAGGAGCTCAGTACAAATTGTTCAAGTGACTTCTGTTCCTGGAGTGGGACTCAGGTGACATTTGAATCACTAAGAAACACCCTCCAGTCTGAGGGTCTCCTGCAACTGCAGTACTTTGAACAGTCCCAGCTTTCAAAGCTTAGTAGGAATATCATTTTCATCGTTCTTTCAAGTCTAAGGGTAACTTTTGCTCAGTCCAGTTAATGGGCAGTATTTTTTGTCACATTGTTAGATAATCATTTACACTATTCAGGATGACCTTTGGAGTAAGTAGAATAGGCCACTGCCAATGTGAGGGATTTGGTGGATGTCAGAAATGGTTCCTCCTGGCCGCTCCGTATGGGTATAATAAAGTGAAAAAGTTTGTGCGCACTACAAAGCTGCTAACCATGGAGAAAGTAGAGGCCCATTCTAGGTCATGTTCTGCTTTGCCAAGCCAACTTTGCTAGTGGGAAGCTGCATTTGCGTAGGGGAGAGGGAACCTTTTCATAATTCATCTGACCAGAGGAAGCACCTTTCGTAAATAGGCAGCCCTTCTGTAATTTACTCACAGATATACTCTATGCTATTGACTGTCCTCTATTAAAGTGTCTCTCATTCACCTATGATAGTATTTAAATTTTTACCATCATAACTTGGGGATCTGAAACTTCTTATATTTTCTTTCTTATAAAAAATTTATACTCCCCCCACAAAAAAATAAAGCCTTAGCAATTATAAATGAACACCTAAAATGAAATGACCAATTAGTAACTGGGAAGGCTCTGCAGGAACTTAGAGGTTGTTTTCTGCTTTTATGGAAATATATATATATTTCACATACAACTCATATACAAAAATTCAAATGCACTCAAAGAAAGTACTAGAATATATGAATGTACTCGTCTTCCAGCTGTAACAGTTATCCATGTGAAAACTTTTCAAATTGGAGGAAGAGGAACATAAGAGAATGTGTTTTGACTTTTCATAATTTTGTCTCACCTTGACCGTGTCTCTAATGTCATGACTTGCAGTAAGATTTACATGGAGTGTAGCCTCTTCCCCACTTTTGTTCAACTGTGATAAACATGACATAGGTTGAACATTCCTAATCCAAAAATATGAAACCCAAAATGCTCAAAAGTCTGAAATTTTTGAGTGCCAACATGATGCCACAAGTGGAAAATTCCAAACCTGACCTCATGTGACAAATCACAGTCAAAATGCATGCACCCAACACAATTTCTTCAGTATTCTCAGAGGGAAAAAAGACCCTTGGCTCTATTCAGTGGCAATATATATTTTCTGCACACTCCTAGATTCTCTCACACACACCCACAAAGGTTAATAAAATTGTTCAATGTACATAAAATTGAATGCAAAAAATGATTTAGAATGTTGGGTAAAGTTAACTTCAGGCTCTGTATACAAGGTGTATATGAAACATAAGTGAATTTCATGTTTGGACTTTGGTTCCATCCCCAAGATGATTCATTATATATTTGCAAATATTCCAAAATCTGAAGAAAAACCTGAAAGTTGAAACAATTGTTGTCCCAAGCATTTCAAATAAGGGATACTCAACCTGTATAATGTACGAAGAATTTTTTCACTCTTGGAAGCACTTCAAAAATTTCATAAATATGATTGAGGAGACAATTGTTAATATACTGAGTTTTAAAATAATCCATCCATTTCTTAATTATTAAGTACTTACTATGAGCCAGACATTTGTTTATTACCAGGGCTATTGCAATAAGCAAGTCAGACAAAAGATACTTTGTTAACTGAAGTCTTAATGACTTAATGAGTAAGCCAATTACATAATATAAGCTAAAACATTAAACCCTACATATGAGAGGAAGTATAGAAAAGTAAAACCATTTTGTATTGGAACAATAACAGAAATACTACTTTATTCTCTTAAGAACCATTTTTATTAAAATTGTTTGATAACCAGAAGAGAAAAGTCCAAAAAAGTATCTATCTGTTTATTACACTGTGCCCTAATATTCCCTTAATTCTTGGTACTCGTGAAATATCATCTTCCTTGGGCTATGAAACTTATTCCTCTTCCCCATTATAAAACACATTTTTATTATTCTTTATGCTTGCATTAGTTTCATGATTTGTGATATATTGCTTATAAATTTAGATAAGCATAAAAAATGGATACTATAAAAACTGACAATTCAAAGTGTTATCAGTTAAGTAAAACAATATAAAAACTTGCAAATTTCTTAGTGTATGTATTTTTTGTTTGTGTTTATTACACAAGGTTATATATAATACCACAACAATATGAAGAGTGTTATCTCTAAAATACATTAAATATGATTTTTCTTTTCTTTAGACTTTTTGTATTTTTCAAAAATTCTATAATGAGCTTATATCATTGTTAATTTAAGTTTTAATGAAATAATGCATATAAATAATTTACAATCTCAGATATTAATATGTAATATTAAAAAATATGAATATTGAAAAATCCAATTATTTGAGATTTACAATGTTAAATATTACCAAAATATTCCAAAAATATGAATATTTAAAAAATACAATTCTTTGACTATTCTCCTTTTTTCTTATTCTACAAAAGTAATTACTTCAAATATTTTAGCTGTTTCCTCTTATTTTCTAATGTATTTATAAGTAACTTCTTGTTTTTGCTATTTCTTGATTTTTTCCTTAGTTAGACATTATATATTGGCTTTTTATAGCATTCACCCATTCTTTCTCCCCTATCCTCCCAATTTAGTCATACCACATTTTTTGGTTAGACATTATTTAATTGTACATTGCTTTGGCTATGTAAGTGTTGTCCATAGATGACTATGCCTTCTTTCCTATAAAAGTTTTTCTATTGTTTTTTTCTTTTCTGGAAGAAACAAATGCCTAGTTTTTTATTTGATTGCATTACTATATCCCTATTATTTTGTAGCTTCACTACTTAATATATACAAGGCTATTTACATTTACTGTTCCCTTTTGTCACAAGTGTGTTTTAAAAGTATTCAGCCCTCTTCATCCATGGGTTCCACATTCCATGGATTCAACCAACTGCAGATGGAAAATATTTATTAAGAAAGAAATGGTTGTCTCTGTACTGAACATGTACAGACTCATTTTCTGTGTCATTATTCCCTAAACAATATAATATAACAAGTATTCACAAAGCATTTGCATTGTATTAGGCAGTTTAAGTAAGCTAGAGATGATTTAAAGTATACTGGAGTATGTGCATAGGTTATATGCAAATACTACATCATTTTTTATAAGAGATTGAACATCTATGGATTTTGGGATATCCATGGGAGTACCAGTTCCCCCACAGAGACCAAAGGACGACTATCACCTCTCTATTTTATCTAATTTGCCTAATTTATTGGCTTAAAGTGTTCAGAATAACACTTTATTGTCCTGTGAATTTCTGTAGAGCGTGTAGTCATATCACCTTTCATTCCTGATATTGGTAATTGATGTATTTTTCTTTTTATTATTTTCCTGATTGGTTATTTCAAGGGGTTATCAATTTTATTAATATTATCACAAATGAGCATCTAGCTATATTGTGCTTTCTCTGTATTTTGTATGTTTTGTATTTAATTGATGTCACACTTATTAACTTAGGATTTACTTCATTCTGTTAGTTTGCATTTAATTTGTTTTGTCCCTGGCTATTTAGTTTTAAACTCCTCATAGCTAATACTAGCATATAAAACTATATATTTCTTTCTAAGCACAACTTTAGCTTCCTTACACATGTTTTGATACATTTTGTTTTCATATTAATTTAAGCAAAAATATTTTACAATGTTTTGTGATTTCTTACTTAACCAATAGATTATTTAGAAGTTGGTGTTCAATTTCCAAATATTTGGTTTTATTTTTTAGATTTTATATTGTCTTCTATATATAAAAAACAGCTTAAAAATGAAATGACGGACAAAGGCATTTAAGTAGTTTAAAATTTTTTGTAACTTGCTGTATGGTCCAGCACATGACCTGACTTGGTAAATGTTCGTGCGCACATGAAAATAAGAGGTATTACACAGTTGTTTTGTGTGGTATTCTGTTTATGCAAACTAAGTCAACTTGATTGATAGTGTCATTCAAATATATAGTCTTTTTCTTTTTTTCATCTACTTGTTCTATTAATTTGCCATAAAGACATGTTAAAATCTCAAACTACGATTGTGCATTTATCTACTTCTCTTTAATTCTCTCCATTTTTGCTTCATGTATACTGAAGTTGTTATTAATAATATACACATTTAAAATGATGTCTTCCTATTAAATTGACCCATTGGTCTTTATGGGATGTCCCTGAATATCTCTGGTGCATTTTGTCTTGAAATCTGCTTTGTCTGATGCTAATATAGCCACAACAGTTTTCTTATGATTAGGGTTTGAATAGTGTGCCTTTGTCTGTCATTTTATCTTTTTTTGTTTGTTTGTTTTTTGAGATGGAGTCTCGCTCTGTCACCTAGGCTGGAGTGCAATGCTGTGATCTCAGCTCACTGCAACCTCTGCCTCCCGGGCGATTCTCCTGCCTTAGCCTCCTGAGTAGCTGGGATTACAGGTGCCCACCACCACGCCCGGCTAATTTTTGTATTTTTAATAGAGATGTGGTTTCACCATCTTGGTCAGGCTGGTCTCGAACTCCTGACCTCATGATCTGCAGGCCTCAGCCTCCCAAAGTGCTGGAATTACAGGCGTGAGCTACTGCGCCTGGCCCCTTTCATTTTATCTTTAAACTGTTTTGTAATATTTAAGATATAGCTCTGTAGGTTATCATATAGTTAGGTACATTCCCCCCTCATTATGTGCGTAATATACATATACTGATGCTCCTTGTCTTACGATGTGTTACATCTCAATAAACCCATTATAAATTGAAAATATTGTAAGTGAAAAATGCATTTAATACACCTAACCTAATGAACATCATAGTTTAGCTTAGTCTAGCTTAAAAGTGCTCAGAACACTTACATTCACTTATATTAGCCCACAGCTGGTCAAAATCATCTAATACATGGCCTATTTTATAATAAAGTGTTGAGTATCTCATGTAGTTTATTGAATAATCTACTGAAAGTTAAAAACAGAATGGTCGTATAGATACTCAAAGTATGGTTTCTGCTGAATCTGCATCACTTTCATACCTCTGCAAAGTCAAAACATTATAAACTGAACCATCGTTAAGTCAGGGATCATCTGTGTGTGTGTGTGTGTGTGTGTGTGTGTGTCTGTCTGTCTGTCTGTCTATTTGTGTATATCTTCAGCCTGACAATCTCTGCCTTTTAACGGGAGTATTTTAAACTCTATTTTTTTAGTGGTTGTCTGGGAATTTCAATATGTATCTATATTATAGCAAGTTTTGAATTCATACTTCACCATATTATTTTACTTTTTGTTTACTAAAAGAGCTTTGTTCACTATTTTGTTTTAAATTAACACAATCTTTGTACGTATTTAGTGGGTACAATATAAATTTTGATACATGTATACATTGTGTAATGATCAAATCATGTTTTTTGGTATATCCACCACCTAAAACATCTATCATTTCTTTGTGGTGAGAACACTCAGAATCTTCTCTTTTAGTTACCTTGAAATATACACTGTTGTTTACTATTGTCACCCCTGCTATGCTATAGAACACCAGAACTTATTTCTCCTAACTGTAACTTTGTACCCATTGACCACACCATTTTATTTTAATGTAAGAATTTTAAAATTATATATTTCCAATTGTTTCCTTTGTTCTTTGTGTTATTGATTTTATATATTACACTTGTTCATAAATTATAAGATTCATGTTTATATTGTTATTTTTGCTTATAATAGCCTTTTACAAAGAGTAAGAAGCATAAAGAATCTTTATATATACCTATGTATTTATTATTTCTTTCAACTTTCTTTTAAGCTATGTTTCTTTCTGAAATAATTTTTCTTTATACTGAAAAATTTACCTTATCATGTCTTATAGTGCAGCTTCTACTAGTGACAGATTCTCTCAGCCATTGTTTATGGGCTGTGTCTTTATTTTACACTCACTTTTAAAGGAGGATGTTTTCACTGACTGTATAACTCTACACTGTGAACATGTTTTCCGAGTACTTTAAAGATTGTGTTCCTTTATGTTCTGGCTTAAGTTGTTTATGTGCAGTCAGACATCATTCTTATGGTTGTTCCTCTCTATATTATGTGGAAATAAATGAAAATCAACAAATGAGAAGAGGCAAAGTCTATTTATTCAGGGCTTGGTATAACAAGGGAGTCAGCCACCATCACGTTTTCATTTGTCAGAGACTGAAAGGCAAGTAGAGATGTGGTGAAACTTTATAGTGTAAAAAAGGCAAGGCGGGCCGGGCGCGGTGGCTCACGCCTGTAATCCCAGCACTTTGGGAGGCCGAGGCGGGCGGATCACGAGGTCAGGATATCGAGACCATGGTGAAACCCCGTCTCTACTAAAAATACAAAAAATTAGCTGGGCGCAGTGGCAGGCACCTGTAGTCCCAGCTACTGGGGAGGCTGAGGCAGGAGAATGGCGTGAACCCGGAAGGCGGAGCTTTCAGTGAGCCGGGATTGCGCCAATGCACTCCAGCCTGGGCGACTGAGCGAGACTCCGTCTCAAAAACAAAACAAAACAAAACAAGGCAAGGCTACAGGTATGCTCTAATTGAAGACTGTTGGCATAGCGAAGCTGGAGGTGGGCTACCTAGAACTGGGGTATCTTATATGATTAGTGAGGGATGCATAGGACTTTCTCTGGTTGGTCCTAAGTTGGAGGCAGGACTAAAATTAGGAGATCTGTCTGTTATTAATCAAGTCTTAGCCATTTGGGACCAATTATTTCAGATGTTTTTGTTTGATTTTGTGAAATGGTTGCTAGAGATAGTGGTCTGACTTCATACAAGTCTGACATGGAAAGTAAGCTGGCTTCCTGAGCGGGTTACTGTGGATAATGGGTTGGTTTTCTGGACTGGTTGCTGCGATTGTGGGTTTGTGTATTTAGTCTCTCAGTCATGTTCATTTTGTCTCTCTTCTTTTAAAATTTTATTTTCTCTTTGGTTTTCATCAGTTTGCCTATGATATGCCTAAATGCATTAAAAAAAATTCTGCTTAGTGTTTGTTGAGCTTCTTAGATCTATGGGTTGATATTTTTCATCAGTTTTGTTAATTTTTCAGTTTTCTTTCTAGAAATTATCCGTCTTATTTTCTCTCTTCTCCTCTTTTGAGATTCTAATTACATAATTGTATGTGTATTTTTGAAGTTTATGCCACAGGTCACTGACCATCTGTTTTCCACTTGATTTTACAATCTTTTTTCTCATGTTTTAGTTTAGATAATTCCTTTTCACTTGATTTTAAATCCACTTATTCATTCTTTACCCATGTCCAATCTTTTGTAAAAGGGATCCAATGAATTTTAATTTCAGACACTTTTTTCTACAACTCCATAATTTCCATTTGGTGTTTTCTTAGAGTTTCTAATTTTCCAACTAAATATCCCATTATTTAATCCACTATATCCATATTTTGTTGTCAATTGTTTCACACATCAATAATGGTTATTTTAAAGCCCAGACATGTTAATTTCAATAACTGAGTTATACATGGGTCTTATTCTTTTTATTTTGCTTTACCTTTATTATGGATAATTTTTTCCTTCATGTATCTTTTAGAGTTTTATTGTATTCTGAGTATTGCTATAAAAGAATGATTAAATAATAATATTTTATTGTTTTTGTTTATTTCCCAGATAATAAATCCCTTTTCTTTCACCATAGTTTTAATAATATTGAGTTCATCTTTGAGTTGCCAAACCTCTAATCTCCCAGACATAGCTTTTTAAATCTAGTCAGTACTTGAACTGAGAGGATGTTGTATTGCAATTCCAGATATGGTTATTCACTATTTAGTTTAAATTGGAAAAGCTTTTGGAATACAATTACTGTGAGGATGCTCAGAAATAAGCAATTCTCTGCCAGGCGCGGTGGCTTATGCCTGTAATCCCAGCACTTTGGGAGGCCGAGGTGGGTGGACATGAGGTCAGCAGATCGAGAACATCCTGGCCAAGATGGTGAAACCCTGTCTCTACTAAACATACGAAAATTAGCTGGGCGTGGTGGCACGAGCCTGTAATCCCAGCCACTCAGGAGGCTGAAGCAGGAGAATTGCTAGAACCAGGGAGTTGGAGGTTGCAGTGAGCCAAGCTCGCGCCACTGCACTCCAGCCTGGCGACGGAGTGAGACTCTGTCTCAAAAAAATAAAAAATTAAAAAATTAAAAAATTTTAAAAAAAGAAATAAGCAATTCTCTTAGCATTGTTCCTCCTTCACTGCTGCTGTTTTCATGTTACAATTTAGGGAGGAAGAATTAGTTGACACACTAAGATATTTGTCTTTATATTTGGGGCTATTTTCCATTTTTTAACCATTTTGCCACAGTGAACTGTCACCTAGTCTTGGCTGATTTCCCCAGCCCTGCAAAGCCTCTCCCTCTGTAGCAGGTCTGCTTCTCCATTATTCATGCACATTAATGCCCACTTCATGTATGGAAGCCTAAGAGGGTCTTTGCTCACCTCCTAATTTTCCTCCCACCTCACTGGCTTTTCTTTCTCATTTTCTTTCTTAATTTTTTCTCATTTCTCCCATCTCTTTACTTTGCAGTGCCTTGTGGCTTCATCTTTGGATGGTTTTTGTTGTTTTATATACAATCACTCTCTTGATGATATTGTCTAGACACATCTTTAACTACTGCCTATGCACTGATGACTCATGTTTATATCTCCAAACCAGACCCACCCCCCAAACCAGGCTTATATACCCAACAGGATATTTGACAGTACCATTCAGGCACAAAATTAAAAAAAATAAACACATCCCAAACTGAGCTTATCTCTTTCACTAAATAAATAAATAAAATAAAACCTACTCCACCTGCAGTCCTTTCCTTCTCAAAGGCAACTCCATCCTCCCAGATGCTCCGACCAAAAGACTTGGATTTATAACTCCCATTTTTCTTGAATACATATCATTCTGTGCATCAGAAGACTCTTATGTTTGTTCCTTCTGCCTTCATAATGTACCTAAAATCTGAACACTTTTCTCCACTTTCGAGTCTCTACCCTAGTCCAAACCATCTCATCATTTGCCTGGTTTATTAAAGTAGCCTCATACCTGATCTCCTTGCTTCTACTCTTGTATTTTTTCCTATCCTACAGTAGATTCTAAGCCCGATGATTCTTTTAAGACTGGAGTCAGATCACATGGCTTTTTTTACTCAAAGCCCTTTCAGGGTTTCTCATCTCTTAGTGTAAAATTTAAAGTCCTGTAAATGGCATAGCTACAACAGCCTCCCTGCTGCTCCTCAAACATGCCAGGAATACACTGACTTCAGAGTTCTTTTTGATCATTGGTACTTTTGCCTAAAATTCTTTTATCTACTACATTTCTTGCCCCATTGCCTTTTTCAAGAGTTTGCTCAAATATAATATTCCAAGTGAAATCTTCTATGATTGCTTTCTTTAAATCGCAAATCCTGTACACCACCTCCATTTTATGTTCTCTATAACACATCTTTTCTTCTATCTATATAACTTACTTTAGTATTTTGTTTATTTTCTTTTTTCACCCATTGGAATATAAGTAGGATGAAAAAATATATTTTCTATTTTCTGTATGCTTTATCCATAGAATAATGCCTGACGTATAAAGGTATTTTTAAATGTGTTAATACATTAGTGGCTGATTCTTTATTAGTCAGCTATTGAGTTGTATTACCAACGAGTCTAAAGATGAAGAGCCTTCTTTGTTTTATAGTAATTCCTGACTTCTTTCTGATTATTCTTTTACATTAATTATATATAGAGTTTTGGAATTATTGTTAGAGATAGAATAGAAAAAGCCAACACAATTTTCTTGAACAAAGGTTAAATGTTATCTTAGGAAAGGAACATACACTTATACTTCAGTGTTGTTTTTTTTTTTTTTAGAAGAAAAGCTTTGGAAATAAGAAACTTTTCAAATATAATAAATTAAAATATTTTGTTTCATAGACAGTTTTGGAATACTTTAGTACTGATTTGACATGCAAGCTTTCTACTAGCCACTACATGCTGCTTTGAAAGGTTGGGGTGTACAGTGTAAACATATTTGAACATTCAAGTTCTATGTAAATAGTTCAATATTGTTTGTAACAGATCTCCAGAATATTTTCTCTTCATAGCAAATTTAAGGCTATATTGTAGTAATATTTTAAGCAGCTGTGAAGACTCTTAAATAATTGGACACAGAAAAATTAAGAGTAGCTGCTCACAATTTAAGAATGGACATAAGAAACTTTCTATTTTAATGTAATAAAATGATAGCATCTCTTGAGAGTTGTTTGATAATTCTCAAGTGAATGAATCATCTGTAATAAAGAATGACTGTTTTACCATATAACTTTGCAGAAAAGAAAATGATATTTCAAGTTTGCCTTCTAAATTAAATTATTTATACCTATTATTTTTTAAAACTTACACAGAAATTACATTGAATCACTGCATATAAATTCCCAAAACAAATTTAAATTTTTATTTTTGTTGTTAGAATATATACTTCAAATCAATCCTGTGAACCTGCTTATAATTTTTGAGATTAACAATCCCCAAGTCAAATTCGTAAGGGTTATATTTTGAAAAGCTATACAGATATTTAAAACCTCTCAAAGTATAATAACTATATGCCATTTATTGGCAAAGATTTGAAATTTCGACTTCCTTTTTATAATAGACAAAAATCTCCTCTAATATTCAGCCGAAGTCCTCAACTAAACCAAAGAAACAGGTGTTTTGAAAATTCTTAGAAATCAATTACTTAGCATTTAATCTCTTATCAAAAGTTTTTATGTACCTGTAATGAGACTATGTAGTTAATAGATTATTCAAAGTTTTAAAAGTTATTATACTATGTACTAGTGAGTAGACATAGATTTGCATGATTTATAATAAAAAAATAAAATGAAGCTTCACTACAATTTCTGTGCATTTTGTAATGTAATGACAGAGAAATCCATTTAAAAATGTTTTGTGTGGGGTGGGGCTCATTTGCATGCCAGAATCCTTACTAGTAGCACAATTGATTTAAAACATTCTGCATTTTAGCCTTAAAAAATGAAGCATTGCTTTACATGAAATTATTGGGTAGTTACTTTTACAATACTTCATCTTTCTCTCTTTTAGTCTCTAAATTGTAGAATGCACTGTGACATCATTTTAACTTCAATAGGCAGGTAGGGAGGATGCATTTAACCGAAAGGGTAATGGAAACCAGTTTATGTGAGGGTTAATAAGCTCTTACTGGTTCTTAGTTTCTTTAACATTTTAACCTCCAGAGAAAATTAATAAATATTAAGTGTCAAAGGGGCTACACAATCAAATGAATTTATGAGATGATTGGGGATCCTTGAGAGAATAAACTAAATTATATGTGTGTATTCTCTTTCAAGCATTTGCTATCTCTTCTAGGCTGGATTTCTATGCTAGTTTCTAAACAAGACTAAGCTCCTTTCTCTGCTAAAGGACGTAGTGATATCATTATCTAACCCTTTTTATTCAAGTTGACTGCCTGTTTTTATTGAATTGCTTTAATAAATCCAAAACATTTCTATAGATTGTTTCTATAGATTATGCAAGTAACTATTGTATATTTTTCTTTTTTGGCATAAAAACAAGACACATATGATGTGTGTGTGTGTGTGTGTGTGTGTGTGTGTGTGTTAAAAAATACCATAGGGAATAAAACTCATGGTTTTTGAAATTTTTATGCATTACAGTAATTATAGTAAGCTCCTTTAGATAGAAAATATAGAACATACTTGTAAGATTTGCAAGACTTAAGTCAACTGTATCAATTTTGGGGATACTAATCATACATAAAGACAAACCACAGAACTTTGTGTAATGATTGACTTACATTGCTATAATACAACTGAATTATGTGTCATAGAGAGTACTACTATTAACTACTGCATATTTATTTATCATTTTAGAATTTCAAAGGGTAGTTTTCATAATAATAATAATCTATGAGCATAAATTGGTATTTCATAACTTGGAATGCATGCTAATCTATCAGGATAAACTGTACCATAGTATATGATCCTTAAAGAACAGTTCCCCTTTTTAATGATTAGATGTAGATTCTGCAATTTCTCTGATACTATTTCAGACGAACTTCTGAATGGAGGGTACAGGGCCCAAGGTTTTTATAATGTTGTAGTAAATGTGGAGGAGGAAAAGGACATGTGCTCTGAGGCTGCATACAATCTCAGACAATACAACGAGTACAACTGCAGTATTATTTGCATAGGGTATTGATGGCAATCCTTTGTTGTAGCTTTCATTTTTCTTTATTCCTTGACCTGCTTCATTAAATTTCAGCAAATAAGAAAACTTGGCTAAGGATAGATTGTTTAGTCCTGTGGTCCCTGCTTCACTTTCCTTGGACTCATTCTATCTTTCAATAATGCTCACCTTGCACCAATAAACGAGTCAGAATGCTTTGTGTTTCATAAGTGACAATATGCCAATTGTATTCTGTAGGTTATATTTGATTTCATATGATGGTCTTTGTAGTCTCATAATTGTTAATTATTTCTAAACACAAGAACCACTCAATTATACCAGTCAGTGTGTGGCAAGGAAAAATAAATGTCAGCTTCCAACTTCATAAATAGAGTTAATTGTTTTCTCTAGAGTGGTGTAATCATAATAAAAGCACTTTTGTAGAACTCCTAGGATGTGTTCTTTTAAGCAATATAATATCACCTTGAGAGAAAATAATCTATCTTTAATGTAATATTCAGTGATATACTACTGATATAGTTTATATATTTATTAATTATTATCATATAACAAAGCAACACATAATATCTGGAAACAATAATGTTTGTTTATATTTTTGTTTCACATCATGATTTATAAAGAGAATGTACAGACATTATTTTATTTGGTCCTAACAAAAATTCTTTAAGATCAACAGAGGGTTGGTTATGTTCACTTAACAGATAGGAAAGCTCAGATTTGAAGTGCTGACTTGTGTCCAATAACACATTTTAAGTGCAAGAGCGAAAACCTCACGTACTTCATTTTAATACTGAATATTTATTCTTCTACATTGCAATTTCTGTTGTCAGAGATTGTAAAATTTTTATTAAATAATTTTGATTAATTATAGTCCCTAAAACATATATTTTAGGGGTAAGATGGAGTGCAAATGGAAGGGGAAAATAAGATAATTAGTGGATATTAAGTAATGGGATGATAAGGACTGAAAATTCCACTTAATTTATTTTGGAAAAGCAAAATATTTGCCCAACACATATTCCTATAAGGGAGTACTTGTGTTGAGACCTTTGGCTCAGTGGTTCTACATTGCTGCTGCTGATTTCAGGGCTGCTGTCCATTTGGCTTTATTTCCCATAGTCTGATCACTCCTGTTGGATCAAGTCAAGAGATAGCTGTGGTTTCTCTTCTCCATTTACTTCATTTGGGTTCAGTTTTTCATCTTTCATCCATACCTCACCCAGCAATGAGTGATTGAGGAATGAGTGAGATGTAAAAAATATCAAAGGTAAATCACTCTTCTCTACCTTTTCAGAAGCAAGGGTTCAATGCTAATAGAAAAGACAATATAGCATCCATAAGTAAATTCTCCCGTAATTCTATGATATAAAGTTGATTGAATGATTAATGGCATTATATTTGACAAATTTGAAAATGTCCAACCAGTTCTGTATATTAGCAACGTTTTTGGTTTGGGATTTTCATTTACTTCAAATATTCAAGACATTTTATTCTGGATATAGATAGTTTCTTATATGAATATGCACTATGGCTTTCTATCTGCTAGTATAAAAGTCCAAGTGGCTTTCTTCTATGACAATAGCTATAGACATATTTTCCATCTACCTGCCTATTTTTATTTTGATATACAAAAAAGTTGGACATTTGAGTAAAATTGAATATGTTATTCTATTTTTAAAAGTCATATAACCCCTTCTTTAACACATTCTGCATTCAAACCAGATTAAATTTATTTCTTAGAAATTTTGAAAATTTCAAATGGGGAATGGAATGGAAATGGCAGGCATTATTGCTGCTGCATGTTATACACTTATGAAGAAAGGGTCATACTGTACTTCTTTAGCTAATTTATAAATTCCAGAAGAGGTTCGGCAACTTCCCCTCCTTGTCCCTTAGGTGAAGCTCAGATATTTGAGATCTAATTATTCAGTACTAAATGAGATCTAGCATTATTCAGTGTTACATTTCTGGTTATCTGAAGTATATAACTAATATCTCTTATTATGTCTCTTCTACCAAATTTTTACAGCCCCTTTTCTTCTTTTGTTCCTTTGAGTCTTTCTGTTAATTATTAACAGCACAAACTTTGATATTTGGCATCTTTTAAAAAAAAACTTTTTTTTTAAAGTTCAGTGGTACACTTGCAGAATGTGCAGGTTTGTTACGTCGGTGAACAGAATACCAAATACGGCATGTTCTCATTGGGCATTTCTTATTTTGAGTCTTCAATTGCTTCCTTTGACCATTTCCCTTAGCTTGCCAAGTCTTATCTTTACCTCACTTTTATCTGTGCTCCTGCTATATATTTTTTCCTATCTTGGTAGGCTTAACGTCTCTCTCAGTATATGTCATTCTGAATAATACACAGTTATTTCCTTTGGTAATTGAAGAAAGAGGTAGTTCCTGATAACATGACTAGAGGAGTGTAGCAACTATGATAAATATTGTTAACTGCCTACTGACTGTTCAATCATTCTGGATATTAAAAGAAATACAATAGATATTTAAGACGTGATCCCTTTATCTCAATTAGTTTATAATATTATGAATAAAAATATTGCCCAATATAAAAATAAACAGTAAATATTATAATAAACTGACTATATTTTATTGTCTTTCATTTATTCGTGGTTCTTAGGAGTTATTACTCCACCATTTAGGAGTTATTACTCCACCAGTGTGGAATTAATGAAAACAACAAGGTCGTCCTTCCTGAGCCAACTTTATAATCAACACAGTAGTGTCATTCAAGCTATGTTGTATATGTGCCTTGAAAGAATGTGTTTAGCTTGACTATTGGTTGACCTTTTAGGTAATATTTTAAAGCCCTGGCCACCATCCCATAAGCTCATTTTGTGTACATGATATTTTTCTGAAGGGCTCTGAAACTGTCTCAACTTATAATCACAGTAATGAGTATTATAATAGATTAACAGATTAACAGTGATCTTCTTTCCCCATATAATTAGGTCTACAGGATTTGCATATTGTCAATAACACCTCATTATATTTTTCTTACCCACTGTATGTGGAAGAGTATCATTAAGAATAATGTATTCCTTCAACACTAATTCAGCAAATATCTTTCATATATCTATGATGAACTGATAACTAAGCCAAATACATGTATATAAACCTAGATTTTAACTATGTTCTCTCTTACATTTTTATATCTTATAACATTTAAGTGAGTGCTACATGATAATATAAGGCTGTTTTTGTTTTATATAAACCTTGGGGTTTCTTTTTCTATAAAACTCACACTCTTAGGGCGTGTCAGCGTCAGACATTTCTCTAAGTAATTTTGAAGTTCTATCTTCTGAAGAAAAAATGCTGAATGTCTGAGAAATACCTTTGTGACTTGCACTACATCAAGCAGCAAGGCAGGAATGATGTCTTTGTGCATTTACATAGCACTTTTATTTTTAAGAGGTCAGGGAATTTCATATGGATGATCTTTTTCACCCAGATTTTCCTTCTGCAGTAGTTGCCAAAACATAGAGGAATGAAATTTATTGCCTCAGGTTATGTAGTCCTTCTTAGGCACCACATGTGAACTTTCTCTAAGTCCTGGTTTTCTTTACAGTGTTGTCTCACAGATTTGTCCATTTCCTCCTAAAATGAATGAATTAATTCAAACAACAAGTATTGAGCATCCACTGTTACTAGACACTGTTCTAGGTAGTTGGGAGAAATCAATGAACAAAACAGGATAAAAAACAAAACAAGATCAAGCAAAGCAACCCTTTCTTTGTCCTCCTGAAACTTATATTTCAATAATGGGAAGAAGGGTGTGGGGAAGACAGAAAATAAACACCACCCATTAATAACATACAGTATTTTAATAAGAAATAAATGCAATGGAAAAATAAAGTAATTATGAGGAAGTTAGGCCATGTGGTTGGGATATGTAAATAAGTTAAGCCAGTTGATTCAGAAATGATTTAAGTTCCCAACCATATAAAGCAATATCATTAAAAACTAGTTCAAAATTGAAAGAGTAAACACAATCCTGTGTTTACATATTCAAATGGAGAATAATTAAATTTATTAATTCAATCAGTAGACATTCATTAATGACCACTTGGTAGAAAGTGCTGTTCCAGGGACTGTGAGTATGGGGGTGGATATAGTGTAGATTCACTCTCAAGCTGTTCAGAGACTGGGGGACAGGATATTATAATTACTTATTGCTAATTAAAAATAACCATCCAAAAGCATAGCCCTTTAAAACAATAACCACTTTAGTATCTCTTGTGATTCTGTGAGTTGACACAGCTTAGCTGGTGATGCTTCTGCTTCTCCCAGTGTTGGTGGGAGCTGTAGTCCTCCGAGGACTTGACTTGCCCGGACTGTCAGAGGTGGCTCACTCAATGACCGATGCTCTGGTGGGGGAAGGCTGGAAGGCTCATCTCGGTAATGAATTTGGGATACTAGACCATTTGGGTCTGTTTCTCTCCGGGTGTCAGAGCCTCTTCCTCTTCATGCGACCTCTCCCTACATGGTCTCTGCACATGGTTTCTCCAGCAGATAGTGAGACATTTACTTGGTGGCTCAGTGGTACAAAAAGTGCTAAAGAACTTGACAGACCTTCCCAAGAGTTAGTTCCAGAACTTACACAGGGTCATTTCCTCTATATTCTACTGGTTAAAGGGAGTCCCAGACCAGACCACTCCAGATTTAGGGAGGTTATTTCACAAGGAGAAAGTTATGGGTTTCACAGATTATTTGAAGCCATTTTTGGAAGCTAGTGATCCCAAGCGACAGTGTTTACAATATACACAAGGTACTGTGGAAACCCTGAAGAAGATAATCTATCAATCTGGGTGCATTCAGGTGAGGCTTCCAAGAGCAAAAGGATGCTGAGCTAGACATTAAGAAAAAAAATCAGAATTAACCAGTCAGTGAGGAACAGGATATGCCAGGAAGAGAAACAGCATGAGACATATACAGGACATGGCATCAGAAGAGAGTGTGGTGTGTCCAGAGAACTTCCAGTTATTTAATATGAGAGTGAGGTATAAATCCTTTCAGTAAATGCTGAGAAAGAAGGCTGCATAAGACAAAACTTTGAATCGGGGGTATTTTATAAAATGAAGACAGTACTCTCACAGAGAGTTGGTCTGAGGACTAAATTATGTCAAGTATCTGGCACATATAAACTAAGCATGTGTATATATATATATATATATATATATATATATATATGTATATCTATCTATCTCTCTATATATATGTGTGATTTTTAACATTTTTTGTCATGATAAAGGGTTTGAATTTCAACCAGAAGTGGATAGGAAGCCAATAAAGAATAAGATTTGCATTTTACAATGACCCCTTTGTGCAGAGTCCAGAGAATTTATGAGAAAGATAGATGCTGAAGAAAGAATAATCAATTTGATGGCTTTCTAGGTCAACAGAAAAGACATACAGAAGGCAGAGGCTGTGGAAAAGGATTTGAGAAAAAACTAGAAATTGTAAGTTAAATACACAACTTGTTTTAGTTTCCTTTTTTCCTAACATGGTAGATCCATTTAATAATTCATTCATTATTGCAATATGTATATTCATATTTTTTAAGGTCTCTCACAGTGCAGGCACTGGGTTAAAAACTGTGGATACAGTTTCTAGTTGTGAGATACAGCTTTACATTCATGAAGTTCACAGATTTGTTATGAAGATTGCAATATTAATGATAATTACGATGGAATATGACAGGTGCTTGCTAGACGTAGGCACATAGGAGTCTCATTACACCCAGATGGTAAATGTCTGTGAGGGTTTTTCCAGTAAAGTTTACTCAAGACATGAAAGCCAGCAGGAGAAAATTTTAGAAAGATAAAGGCCTCACCTAGCAGGACAAAGCAGGGGCAAAAACAAAGAGTTAGAAATAAGGAGGCCGGGCGCAGTGGCTCATGCCTGTAATCCCAGCATTTTGGGAGGCCAAGGCGGGCAGATCACGAGGTCAGGAGATCGAGACCATCCTAGCTAACATGGTGAAACCCCGTCTCTACTAAAAATAACAAAAAATTAGCCGGGCGTGGTGGCGGGTGCCTGTAGTCCCAGCTACTCGGGAGGCTGAGGCAGGAGAATGGCGTGAACCCGGGAGGCGGAGCTTGCAGTGAGCCGAGATCGTGCCATTGCACTCCAGCCTGGGTGACAGAGTGAGATTTTGTCTCAAAAAAAAGAAATAAGGAACAACAGGCCAGCAGAGGAAGAGCACAATATAGACCTGGAGATGTGAGCAGGCCTGTTAAAGTGAGGAGCTGGATATAGCATAGCATCATTATGGCCAGAACTTAGTATACAATGAAGAGAATGGGAGAAATGACATTTATGAGAAAAAATAACTGGAAAATTATCAACAGCTGAAATCAATAAGCAAAAAAGTCATTTACAATTCCTGAAATCATGCTCTGCATTTTTTAAATCCATGAAGTGCAGAATAATCATAGAAGCTTAAAGATAAAGTAGGCAAATGTGTTAGTAACTTACACTGTGTAATAATTAATATTAATTTTTATGAGCAGTATTTTATATTAACTTGCTATTTCCATAGCAATGTGCAACTAGAGCTGAGATGTATAAGGCATGATTCTTACCCTCAAAATCTTTCAAGTGCAACTTCCTTCAGGAAATATTCCTTGACCATCCAGTGCATGTAATCATATTCTAATTTGTATTTAACAAATTGCCTAGCAAGTAATATTGTCAATAGATACTGTTACTTATTACTATTATTATTAATAAAGATAGATCACAGATCTTTCAGGGCAACAGCAGATGCCACTGATAGGCCATTTACCCACACTCCTGAAATTCAGTTCTACTCTCATTCTAGAAAACAGATTTGATTGAGATGTTGACCAGGTCAGGACAATGGCACGTATACAAGGCAAAGAACATTTTAGTTTTACCTGGGCTTAACCTTAGGAGCCCAATGTAAACAGAAACCGCATAGTTTTTCAATATAGCAGTATTCTTTATCTGAGCACCAGGTGAATAAATCATGTGCCAAATTATGTGTGCTCGTGAGTGTACATATGCACATGTGTGAATTTTGGAGGAAGAGAGGATATATGTAAATATAAGTACATGGTGGTGGGGAGGGGTAGATTTCTTTAGATTCTCAAGAACTCCAAACAGTGTAAAATCCCTGCCTTAAGGTGATGCTTAACTGAAATTCCTGCTTTAAGGTGATGATTAATATTAGAATTGCCCTGTTTCTAAGCCTTTAAGAGGGACATGTCAGGGTTCATTAAGCACTCCAGGACTTCCTCCTATGCCTGAAGCTAGAGAAGAAACAAATCTTCCTAAGTCAAGGGTTGTATTGCATTCTACTAAAGCCTTGTTCAATGTTACTTTTCAGTAACCAACTATCATCTTTAAGTATTTCTCAGCATTTCAGTTAAAACTAAACTAACAGAAAGTGATGTTGGCAAGATGGCAAACCAAGAGGCCCGAGGCCCTAATTCCCCCCTTGAAGACACTGAGTTAACAATATATGGACCAGAATCCCTTTTTAAGAACTCTGTTGACCAGTTAAGAAGTAGCGGCACCCAGACCAATGCAAAACCAAAAAAAAGATCCTAGTAAAGTTCAGAGAATTTTGCATGCCCATGTCCTTTTCTTGAGTCAGTGTAGCATAGTGCACACTGGAGGAAACATTCCATACAAGGGCTCTTCTTTTACAATAGCAACAAGAGAGTGGATTGTGAGTCAGATATTCTGGTTTGTCTAGGGGCTTCCTGAAGTATTGGTTTCTATATCATAGCACTGATGGGAACAGTAGCAGAGTTTGGAAACCACTGAAAAAAGAGGCAAGCGGTTTGGCATGGTGGGTCCTCAGAGCTGCAGAGATTCTGTAGTTCTACAGGCAGATGCTAGAAGGAGCAGGAGATTATGAGCTCCTGAGAAAAAAATGGGCAGGCTGCTTAGGGAATTTGAGAGAAGTAAAGACATACACGAGCCCAGAGGAGAAACATCCTCAGAAACGTTTTGAGAGTCTCCCAAACATATAGCTAGGCTCATTGATGAAGGCCGTTCTCTGCACAAATCCAGTGCATAATGGCTTGGGCAGGTGAATGTGTTCTCAAATGCCCAAATCTCAAATATCAAGAAATATCACAAGGCATGCAGAGAAACAAAGAAATGTGGCTTGATGAAATGTACAAAACAAAACCTTGGATATAGAACCTAAAGAAAGGCAAATCACTGAACTTTCTGACAAATAATTAAAAACAACTATTTTAAATATGGTCAGTAAGCTCAAAAAAGAACATAGAGAGATGACTAAACAAAATCCAGAAAACAATGTATGAACAAATTGAGAGTATCAGTGAAAAGGTAGAAACTATAGGAAAGAATCATATAGAAATTCTGGAGCTGAAAAATATAATAACTGAATTGCTGAATTGAAAAATTATTTAGAGAGACTTAATAGCAAACTTGATCAGGCAGATGAAAAAATCAGTGAACTTTAAGACAGGACATTTGAAATCATTGAGATAGCGGAGAAAAAAAAAGGAATGAAGAAAAGTAAACAAAACTTAAGGGACTTATGGGGTACCATCAATCAGACCAATATACAAATTATGGAAATTCAAGGAGTAAAGAGAGACAGAGAGAGAGATAAAGGGGCAGAGTTTATTTGAAGAAATAATGACAAAAAACTTCCCAAATTTGAGGAAAGAAACGGATATACATGTTCAAGAAACTCAACCAACTGCAACCAGGACGAATCCATAGAGACTCCACCAGGACCCATTACAATCAAACTGTTGAAAGTCAAAGAGAGTTGTGAAAGCAGCAAGGGAAAAAAGACTCATCATGTACATTATAGCCTCTATAAGATTATCAGATAATTTCTCAGCAAAAACCTTATAGGCCAAAGGAAGTGTGATAATATTATTCAAAGTGTTTAGAGAAAAAAATGCTGTCAACCAAGAATACTACAGCCAACAAAATAATTCAAAAATGGAGAGGAATTTAAGATTTTATCAGACAAATCTGAGGAAGTTCATTCTACTAGATCTACTGTACAAGAAATGCTATAAGTGAGTCCTTCAAAGAATGCTAGATGAAAATACAAACTTCAGTAAAGAAAAATACATGGCCACATATAGGAACTAGTATTATTATAATTTTGGTGCACAAATTTACTTTTAATTCTTATATAAAATTTAAATGACAAAAACATAAAAACAAATATAAATATATGTTAATGGATATAAAATACATAAAGATGTACTTTGGGACATCAATAACATAAAAGTAGGGACAATAAGGAGTAGAGTAAGTTGTTAGTAGTTTAAAATAAAATGTTATAATTTGTTTAATATGTTATATATAAAATATATATAATATGGAAATATGCAATATAGAATATATTAATATATAACATTATATAGAATGTTATGTTACAACTTTAATGTTTTGTCTAATTGCAACAGTAACAATGTATATGAAAGGAAATGAAAAGAAAGTCAAAGCATGCCATTACCAAAAGTCAACAAAAGACAAAGAAAAGCAGTAAGAGAGGAAAGGAGAAGTAATAGAGCTACAAGACACACAGAAAACAATTAACAAAATGGCAATAGTATCTCCTTCCCTAAATCAGTAATGACTTTAAATGTAAATGGATTAAACTCCCTGATCAAAAGATATAATTTGCTGAATGGATTTAAAAAATCAAGATCAAACTATATGCTGTCTACTAGACTAACATTAGATGTTAAGGATACACATAGGCTGAGAGTCACAAAGATTAAAAACATATTCTATGCAAGTGATAACTAAAAAAGAGCAGAGGTGCTATACTAACATTAAAAAAGGAGACTTTAAAATAAAAATGGTTAGAAGAGACAAATAATAATATCACATAATTATAAAAGGGCCAATTTGCCAAGAAAATATATAATATTTTATAAATATTCGTGCACCCAATATCAGAGTTCCCAATAGATGAAGCAAACATTGGCAGAATTGAAGGAAGGAACATACAGCAGCACAATAATAGTAGGAGACTTCAATACCCCACTTTTAATAATGGATAGAACAACAACCAAACAAAAGATGAATAAGGAAATAGAGGACTAGAGCAATTCTATAAGCTAATTGGACCTAACATACATATAAAGAACACTCCAGTCATTCTTCTCAAGTGCACATGGAACATTCTTCAGAATAGACCTCATGTTAGGGTACAAAACAAGTCTTAACATATTTAAAATGATTGAAATTATACCAACTATCTAGCATTTAAAAATAATTATGTGAGAATTTGCTTGCATCACTTACAAGTATGTGAATTTCCAGTATTCATCTTTAACATTCACTTTCATCTTACTCATAAACATGAGTAAATAAAAAAATGAAACCATATCCATGTTGAAGTATACTTGATTGTCAGTTGCAGTCATCTTGATTGTCACTGCCTACAAATATAATAGTTTGGTAAAAATCAATGTGAGTATTCTGAAAGAATCAATTGGATATATTAAATTTATAATAGAGTATTGAATATTTTATAATTCAAAAACTGTGTTAAAAATCTTTTATATCAGTATAATTATAATATTGCTCCCCCTTTTTTGGAAACTGGTTATTAAACATTTATCAGCATAGAACTGATATTACCATTTATCTGTTTCCTATATGTTCCTAACATTATTTTCTTAAGTATGTTTCTTAAGTCTGGACATTATGTATGAAAAATAGTAGAGTGATAATAGAGAGGGTCTTAGGAATGTTATCTGGCTCAGAGACAATTTTCCATCTTCCAGCAGATAAGGGGGCACAGATCATTTGAATTAAATTAAGTATTGAACTGGCTTGATGCTGGGTTTTAGTTCTTATAATAAGCTTTTTTCTCCATATGTTTCCTTCCACTCATAGGGTCTAACCTACTGGTTGTCCCAGCTGAGATCCAGGACTCCTCATAAAAGCTCTTCCTCCCTAATGGTCCTTGGCTTTTTAGTTTAGAACTGAGAGTACAGCAAACACTACTGTATTTTTTTTTCAACAGTTTTCTGTTTGTCTCATTTGTCTTTTGCTCTTGGCAATTTAAGAGTATGCAAAGCCTTAAAGGCAAATCCATAGAATGGTGGTCTTACTTCTCTGCTACTACCTTCTCTCTGTAATCTTGACTACTTACATCATTGCTACCATCTTCAATCTGAAATCCATTTTTTCTTCAGTATTTTAAGAGTTCCAAAAGTTCTCTACCTATTAGCAATGTATGTTCATATTCTTCGTCTCTCTTTTCACACCAAAATTGGTGTTTTCCCTGAGGGAAAAAGCTGCTTACAGAATGTTGGTTCACATTTCTCTGATGTCCTTCCCTCAGGGATCTTGGGCTCTCAAGTCCTAGTTCTCTCTTAGCTGTCTGATGCCTTTAAATATATTTTAATCATCTATATTTCAAAATTAGCTTTTCTGGTTATTCTCATTGGGAACATTGGACTGCTCCAATCTATTCCATTATGACTGTATCTACATGCTTGTTATATGATTTCATAAGCCTACCTCCCTGTACCAGGAAAAAGTTCTCTCCTAGATTCTCTCGTAGCATTCTGTGTATAATTTTATAAAAATAATTAGCACTTTGAATCATAAAGTCCTATGTTTTTGTCCATCTGTACTATAATACTAGACCATGAGCTTCTAGAAATTAAATACTATCTTATTTTTCTGTCTATTCCTAATACATTGCACATGATTGCTGCTGAATAAATGATTGTTTAATAAATAATTTAAAAGTGTGGGAATAGATTTGTAGATTTCTGGACCAAACAGCCAATTATTTACCTGACAGATACTCCAAAGTTTGTTTTCCTCTATGTTTGTGTTTAACACATTTTCCTTAACTTCTTTCAGTACTTGTACAGCTTTTTAAAAAAGAGTTAAATGTTTAAGCCATCTGGAATTTATTTTGCTGTACAAATAAAGTGAGTTATAATTATCCTTCTTTAGTTGTTTTTTATCTTAGAAAAAAAAAGACAATGGTGTCAAAGTAAGGGCAATTTACTTTTACTTTTATAGATCAACCATGTATTACTCCACTTGCTAGAATAACATGCTTTTTAACTAAAGGAATATTTTTGAGCATTGTAAACCTATAATGGATTAGTTATTAGACAAATTTCTATTTCTGTCCTGATACTTTAGTATCCTTAGATAGTATTTATTCACTTTGTTTTATTAGATATTAAATTATATAGATGATGTGAGTAAATGCTAGTTAATATGCAGATAAGAACCTTTTTACATATTTAATCCTCATTAGATTTTTACTACTCCCTCTGTGAAGCCTTCCCATATTCCTTAGGAGAGAGTTGGCCACTCTTTTTCCTAGTTGCATGGTGCTTTCTTTGTGGCTCTTTTATGGCCCTTATCAATTTGCATTAAATGTATCTTTTTAAAATTAAAATTTTATCCCTATTTCTACTGCCTTTCTTATTCCAAAATTTGAATTTATTTTCCTCTGAAGCACTAATACTTAAAATACATTCATTTCCCCTGCCGGAAAACACACACACACACTCTCTCACACACTAGCAGGGAGAAACTTCCTTATAGTAGACATTTCTTTCTGTTTGGTTCACTATCATACCCCCAGCACCTAGAGCAGTGTCTGGCACATAGACTATGCTGAGTGACTGTATGCTTCCTGCATTAAATTGTGAACTCACTGAAGACAGGCACAGTGGTCTAAGCCTTTGTATCCCAGCACCTACTACAATATCTAATAAAGCAGATGCTAAATCAATTTTCTAATAAGTGATAACTCATTCTCTTATAAAACTAAAGGAGATGTTATTGTTATTCACAGTCAAAGATAATCCTACTTATGTTGTTTACTTATTGTTTAGCAAATAATTCTTAAACTATAAAAAGTATAAAAGAACAAGAAATATTTAAAATTTAGTTCATTGATTACTTGAATACATATTTATTTATTGAATTTTATAAACCAATAATAATTATGTAGACAGATTTACATTTTTCTTCTGACACATTTAGAATTCTAAAGTATTGTCTATTCACTTTGCTTTATTAAATATTACAGTCATATAGATTTTATTAAAAATATTTATTTTCATTTATTAAGTATATACCTGATAGCAGACTTTGTATTAAGAACAGGGGAGACAAAGCTGAATAATATTTAGTCCCTGTCTTCAAGGTCCTAAATGACACCTAACATTTACATAGTATTTTCAATATGTCAGGCATTATTATGAGAAATTTATACATATTTACTCCTTGAATTCTCATAAAGATACTCTTATTATGTCCATTCTGATGGTGAGAAAACTGAAGCAGAGAGAGATTAGTAATGCAGTTTGTCATTAGAGTCTGTGTTCAGTGTCTAGCCAAAGTCTAGAGGCTGTATCCAAGCCTTTCCATGAAAGGCGGCTTTTTAGAAAAAAATTGTTCTCAACTCCGCATTTGTTCCCCTTACTATGTAGGCTCCAATATTTCAGTCTTTTTACTCAGAACTGCCTTGGGGTTTATATTTAAAACTTGTTTTGTGAAAAGTGCTGTTTTTCCTACTCTCATTTTCCCTATTTCCCATAAGACAAACATATTGTTTTAATTTACCAGATCTGCTGAATATTATGTTGAAAAATTAGGGCTCATAAAAATAATACATGAGGAAAAATTTAAAAACTATAGAATTTCTTGCAGTAGTGATTTCTGGCATTCATATAACCTTAGTTGTTTATAACTCACTTTTAACATCCAAATCTAAGTTGTGGCACACTCACCATAACTACTTAAATAATTTTTTCTACAAACAATATTGTCTTCTTGGGGAAGCTAGACAATATATAATATGATCGATGTCCAGGTAGTCAGTCCTAAAGGAACAGCAGATAGTAACATTATCTATTATAGCAGTAAATTATTTCAACACATTTTTAACTAAGAAATGATTTAGAAATAATTCTGGTTGATTGATTTTGAAAGTAAACCATATGTTGTTTACATGTGTTGGCATTTATCCAGTTTCCCTGAATATGAGAGTGAATTTTTTTTTTCCAAAAAATGAAAGCCCTTTACTAATTAGATAATAATGAACATAATGAAAACAGGTGCTATAACTTTTTGAATTATGAGAATGCATCTTCAGAGCAAGCTCTGAAAAGAGGATCATGAAGGGAAAATTATCTGCATATATTGTGAAGTGGGTACATATGTATCCTGGAGATATATTCCAAGGCACACATTAGCAAAAATTTAACAGCATTTTTTACTATGATGGAAATAACAAATACAAATCAAAATGAGTTTTAAAATATGCTGTCTCTTTTAAATGAACTACTAAATGTAAATACATGCATTATGTGCAATAATGAGATTCTAGTTAACATCATAAAGCTTTTCAAACGCATTAGGGTGACAAGCAAGAAGTAACTAAAGATAGCCCTATGATTTTCTAGAAGGCCAATGTGGCATTGAATCTGACTAACATATAGATTCTCACACCTCTGAGTGACAGCGACATCCATAAAGTCCTGTTCGCTCTCAGCACTTGAAAGAATAGATGTAGATGATATAGATTCCATTGCTTCAGCCACAAAGGAGAATAATTACAGACAGTGGGGGAAGGGTGGTATGCAGGAATAGATGCTCCTAACATAAAAGGTTGAGAAATAGAAAAGATTACGGGGAAATTAAGGAGTAAAGAGGACAGGTCAGATGACTCCCTGGGTGAGAACCTGAATCAGAGTGATTGAGTAAACTGAACCTCTGCTGCTGGGAGGGGAAAACTTTTCCTGCCCTGTATCTTTCCTTCCAATTGAAAAGGATGTACTCATTTGAATCGCAGTAATGTTTCTGAAGAAAAATGAATGTTCAATGTTCAAAATAGTCAGAACTATTACAGTATACTATCAACTGTTTAAAATATATATTAATATACGTGTTCATTATTTTCCAGAAAATTTAACTGCCATGTTTGAAAATAACGTATGAAATCTGCCCTCCTACAATGTGGCTTGATACTAGATCTCTTCTGCTGTGGCACAGGCACTTAAATTCCGGTTATAATTATTTTTCTAAATGATTAGCAGTTATTGTGATTATTCTCTGGATAATATATGTATGCAAAATGTGGCTGCAGGATTTGCTTTTGTTAGCATACCCCTCCCCCACCCTGAAACCTCAAGGCTCCAGACGTTGATGCTGGAGAGAGAAAATGGATGTGTGTGTGTGTGTGTGTGTGTGTGTGTGTGTGTGTGTGTGTGTGCGCGCGCCTGTATCTAACCTTCAAGTTGATACAATGGTGATGATATACAAACAAAAAAAAGGTAAAGCTTCTCCTTGATAGTGCCATTCTCAACTCATTGTAATCATTTTAAAAAATCTAAAAGTAAGCAAAATGCTTTTAATTTAAAGGGGGTAGTGTTTTAACAAGCTACACAGAGTATTTAAACTGGAAAATTATTAAAACTGAAAATGGCACTTTTATTAAATAACTCTGTGATCTTCCAGCCATGTTCTTAACCAGTGATCTCCCTGTAGCAAAATGTACAGATAATCAACAACCCAGTCTGACAGTAAACTTGTTGGGAGATTAAATCCTCAAGGAAGGAGCCCATAGCCCTGGAGGAAGACTGAGTGCATGTTTCCCTGAGTCTTTGAAGGCTCATCTCAGTAGTCCCACTGCTAGAATGTGCTCCGTTGTCATAGCAACACCATCTCCTGCTTCATACAGGAAAGATTAGCTCTTACTGTGCAGAGGAGAGAATTTAGGGGAAGTCAGACTAATCCCTGGGTGCACTTCGAGAGAAAGGTTGGACCTCGCCTGAGGGATGCTGGATCTGCAATGATAGAATTGGCCTGCCACAGACATTGGTATTTAAGTTGAAGAGCAGAATTCACAGTAAGTGTCAGCTCCTCCAGAGTAGAATATTGATGAATGAGGTTTGTCTAAGTCTTGTTGAAGACTGTCCCATGAAGCAGTAGAATGACAGGAGTAGACTCTGATAAATGCCAATGTTTTCCTAGTTCAGTTGTTATTTAAAGGTCTGACCAGATTAGAAACTTGAGGAAAAATTTTAGGTACTTTTTAAATATCCATCTAAAATCTCAGGAGCATGGTAAAATTAGATAAGCAAAAAGAATATATTATATGCTTTTGGCATTTAATTTATTTACCCTAGATTGTTGTGCATTTAAACCTAAAATTCCATCAAGAGAGAGAAAAAATATTCATGGACAAATCTGCATGTGTAAGCAAGTTGTGTTTCTTCAACACCAAAAGTGATGAAATTTCATTTTAGGTTTGTAAATGTCCTTTTCTAATTATGCATACATATTTTAAAAATCCATTTAGAAGTATGCAAGTGGTGTGGTTTTTTAGGTCATTATAATATGATGAAAAGGCATTTTTGAGTGAAGAGCAATTAATATAGCTATTCTGTTTGGTGCTGGTACTTCAACTTTTCAGCATAAGGCATGTGCAATGTGTATACCTTTCAGGATTTTTTGTTGATCGCCTCAGATGGATTTTGTTCTGGGGGGATGTCTACGTCTATGTGGGTTTGTTCATTTTCTTTTCCTCTTTGGTTTGTGCTTACACAGTTCCTTCCCCAATTCTTATGAAGCATATGATTTTTAGCTTAGAAGCTAGAAACCTTGTATGAATTTTAAATATTTGATATTAGTGTCTATTGTGAAGATATCTAGTCTTTCAAAAACTTAATTACCTCAAAAGACACTTTAATCCACATACAAAATTGAAAAGAATTTTTCAAAACTATGTAGATTTTACATATTATATTAATATATAACCCTTGTGTTTATGACTATCAATGGGTATTCCCCTGAATGTATTTATTTAGTATTTAAAATATTCATGATGAAAATTGTATCAGGCTACATCCGTGATACATGATGTTTTTTAATTGTTTCCATCATGTTTATATATTTATAACATATATTTAGAAACTGGGATTGTTTCCCCTGTGTAAAATCCTGCTAGTAATGTACTACACACTACAAATAACATTACAGTCTACGCTAAATATAGCTATTATCATAAAAACATTTAATTGCCAATTGAAGTGTGCTGTTTTAATTTCTCAGAATAGACAGACTTGGGTGTTGCTGCAAAAACAGAGCACAGATCACACATGCACTTCTTTTCCCTGAAACTTAATGCTAGAAGAGACCATTGGTCCTAGAGTTGAACAGGTATATTAAAATGTTGGATAAAATTATTATCTTCATATGTTAGGAAGTACACACAAAACTAGAAGGGTTATACTTTGCTTAATAGCATTTGGGTTGTAACTATGCAGAACCTGGTACTCTTAAGAAAATGGAGACAAAGCAGGAAGTCAGGGAGTCCCTCTCAATGAATGATCATAAATTATTCCAACAACCTTTTTGGTGATTTCTATTAGTAGTTCGGGATAGGACCCTTAAAAATTACAAAAGGAAAGAGGTAATTGTGTTCCTTTTGTCCTCCCCAGAGAACAAATTAAAGTAGCTTATCTCCCTTCATAGATTTTGGATAGCAAGGAGACAAACCAATGACTTTATTTCAGAAAGAGTGAAACTTAGAGGGTCACTGCAGAAGGCAGTGAGCAGAATTAACAAAATAGGACTAGGAAAGAAAAAGAATAGCTAAGAAAAAAATAGGCACCATTTATTGAGATAGCAGAGTAAAGTACATATACATATATATATATATATATATATATATATATGTATAAGTAAATAGTAAATTTTAAAAATGGTCAGGGACTTAGCCAATTTACTACCTTAACCAAAGTTTTTCAATAGGTATTCCTAACCAGTTAAAATAAAATTTTATATTTCTTAGAATTCTCCATTCCCTGTCTTCTGTGCTTATGTCTTTTGAAAATATAGTGGTGGCTGACCTAGACACAAATGCTGGCTGTCAACTGAAGACTGGCAGGGATTTGTAATCTATCTTAGGCAAGTTTTGGTTTGGCCCCGTCTGCTCTTCTAAGGTATTGCTTGGTGAGGACCAGGTCATCCTCCATCGTCAGATTCTCTCTCGAAAGGCAATGCTTCAGGAATCTAGGAAAGAAGTTGATCTATTCTGAACTGGTCTCAGAGTTTGGAATGGCATTTGGAAAGTCCAGGAGTCATTTTAAGAGTAAAAATCTTCAGGTCGCCAAGGTCTTCTGAAAGCTCTGGGATTATTAGGTGATATGGAAATGGTCTGAATTTTTGCATGGGAAACCAGAGTACAGAAAAGGGCAAGAGGAAGGAATAGACAGGAAATTTACAACAGAAACCTCTGCTAGGGAACACTCAACAAACAAACACATGAAACATTAATATATATTTGCATAATGGTATAATGGTCTGTTACATAAACTAAGGAGAGTTTCTAAAACTGCCCATTGTGATTGATGGTTGATGTGTGTATTTTAAAATATATTGAAAATAAAAATGTTATTCAGCACAAGAGATAATACTATAATATGAACACGTTTTGTATTTGCTTTTAAAAATCAGATTAATGTTTGATTTGAGCATATTTGATTCAATACTATGATACATTGTTAAGCTAGAAGGGCCACTTTAGAGGACTGTTAAATAGCAACAATTTCTATTTTCTTTCTTAAATTTTGGGATTTATGCTGCCATGAAAATTTTTTATCTATATGCTATAAGTTTGACTTCATATGTCTCAGGAAAATTATGTCAGATGCTAAATTTATTTGTTTTCTTAAAGTTGCATGTAAGCAAATTGATAACATGGTGTGTGGGGATAGCCAGAGCAGTTGTTGAAATTAGACTGTAGAAAGAAAAGAATGTCAGACTGGAATATGTTCTTTCGATGACATATACTTTTGAGGGCAGATAGGGGTCAATGGGCATTTGTGAACCAGGAATGAGAAGTAGAAGCAGTGCTCTGTTAAGATATATTTATTCTTCAAATGTTGAGTAAGATGAATAAATGGTAGGGGTAATAACTGGGGAAGGCAATTAGGACTAAGAGCCTAAACTAGTATAGAAACACTAGAAATTAAGAATAGAAAATAAATGGGAAAGAAATCATAGGCCTATAATCTATGGAATTTCATTTATTAATTTATTCAACCAAGATTTATTTGACAGCCCAGGCTCACGGCAGGCAGTGGCTCATGCCTGTTAGCCCAGCACTTTGGGAACCTGTTGCAGAAGGATCACTTGAGGCCAGGAGTTCAAGACCAGCCTGGTCAACAGAGTGAGCCTCTGTCTCAAAAAAAATTAATATAAAATAAAAGATGATTAATTTGGCTTCATCCAAATAACAGATGAAAAGATAGATGATAAGAAGGACAGAGAAAAATACTAATGTTCAAGATTTCATAAAAACACTCAGTCTGGTGAGCATGACCAATGGAAAATTGTATTATTTTGTAGTGGGCAGTGTGATAAAGTAAGCACAGACTATAGTCTTGGCCCATGACTGGGCAGCATTAAAGAAAGAACCTTCAAGACTGAAAGTGCATGGGTGCCATTATAGACATAGGAAAGTCAATAGAAAGAGGGAGTTTTTGAAGAGAGTAGTGGCGGTAATGGGAGGCAGGAACGAATTTGATTTTAGACATCTTAAGTTTGATCTTTAAGTCTTTAAAAGCATATATTGCATTTAATTATAATAACTAACTTACTCATAATGTAGATCATTGACAAATGTCTGTTTTAAGTTATATTATTGCATAAAATTTCAAAGCATCTTTAGCATTCATTGGACTACTCTATATGTTGTTTCCTCTTTAATATTGGTATATAGCATTTAGAGTATATGAAAACTTGTCATGTATTTTTCATTTAAAGTATACAGCTTCTTAGTATAACAAAAAATTGTCTTTTATTACTGGAGTCTGACAGTTCTAAAATTTAATAACTTTTAATTTGGGAAGTTTTATACTTTTGATCTTGGCATTAATATATGATAAAAATAAATTTGAGGCAAAGGAAAAAAGTAAATATTCAGCTGAGTTTTGGGAAAAGCATTTTGTAGTAATTATCCAATTAGTTAAAGATAAAAGTATTTTATTTTCTTTTCATATGGATAATTGCTATAATTTTATATCATTGTGGTCCTGAAATGATCATAATTATAATAATTACAATAACAGCATCAACAATTAACAGTTGTTTGGTACTTTATAGTTTTTAATTGATGGAGAAATAAAACAATTCTAACAAAAGATCCCTCTGTACCTATTTAAAAGAAAGAGAAATAACACAATTTTTTATAGAGTTAAGTGACATAAACGTGACTATGAAGTCTGAACAGAATTTCATACACATACACAGTAAAGTGAGAAGAATGAGCAGTTACAATTTCTCTATCTTCTTGATAGATATGGATGGAACTCTTTTTATTTATCCCATGAGAGAGACCCCTAAGCTAATTCTGGAGGTATACATTTACAGTTTTAATGGTCAGAAGTCCCTAATCTTGAATTAGAAAGTCAAAAGGTTGGGCCTTTTATTCAGGCCTATATGTTTTCGAGATGGCACCCTAAAGAGGAAAACACACTGAAGAGGGTATTATGATGAAGAGGCAACTGCCTCCCTGATTCAAAGAAAACTTATCCCTTAACCCTTACACTGTGCACCCTTTAATTTACATTATCTCATTGGACTATCACAACACTGTAAGACACATATAATTACTATTATGTCCCAGATTTATGAGTGAGGAAACTGATGCTAAGAAAGATCAAGGAATATTTTTAAAGCGATATAACTAATAAAGAGAGGCTGATTCCAGCTCATTCTGCACCTCACATTGTCATTTCTTATGATGCATTGTAGAGAGTCATTCTTGTATCCTACAAGAATAGGTGAAGAAAAAATTATTTTTATTGTTTTTTCTTGGGTACCTATGTATAACTTTGATCTCTGTAAAAATAAGCAGATTATTGGTCATAGTCGGTTATCTCACAAAAATTCATCCTACTCTAGGAAGAGGAAAATTGTAAAGATGATTGGAGCTTTAATAGGAAAACTACTGTCTTAGGATGCAAAAGATTATCCATTCATCCATCTATACATGCATACATACATATTTGCATACATACATTAATTCATTTATTTGTCATTCATTCAATGAGCATTTAATAAACCCCCACTATGGATCTGCTTTTGCCAAAGCACACTGTATGTACATGAAGAAAATCATGCACACTGTAAGTACATGAAGAAAATCAGAGGCTTTCTCTCCCTTCAAATACTACCTTCCTTGATGTGGACCAGGTACTGGGCTAGCTACTCTGCAAACATGAACTCATTTATTTGTAACACATGTACTGTAATGTAAATCCTACAGCTACCCCTGTTCTCCTTATAAGGAAACTAAGGCTCAGAGAGATTACGTCCAAACCACACAGGTTGTGAATGACAGGACTAAGTTCTGATTATATGTTTTTCTGACTGCCAAGCTCATGGTCTTAACCTCAATGTGATTCGACCTATTTCCCAAGTGTGAAAAATGTCATGATGAAGATTAGTGCAAGATGTAGTACTGACAGAAAGGAGAATGTGAGGACAAGTTGGTAGTGATCGTCTGGGAAGGCTTTAGCACATGAGATTTCTCTTATTTGTAATATGGAGATAACTAGTTCATGGAATTGTTTGGGGAATTAAAGGAAATAACTAATATAAAGGAACTTGCTGCACCGGATGCTTAATAACTGAAAGCATCCACTCATTATCACTTATCTACCAATTTCAGTTTCAATTACTGGTCACATTTCTTTTTCTTGCCTTTCTTCCTTCTTTGATTGGTGTTTCAGAAGCATTTAGTCTATTAATATACATGCTACCTCTCCTACACTTTACTTAAACTTTTGGAATATGATTAAAGATCAACAGACAACTTGTCAACATTTGATCATTCATGTGAATCCACTGGGATTTGTAATTGGGATAGGAATCATGGACATATTCCTCTCAACTTTAGAAAATACCATCATGTTTTCTGGCACAGTTTTATTCTTTACTTGCAGATAGAAAGGGGTTTGGTGGGAGGGATGTCTTCAGAGTTTTTCATCTGGGAAAATGAGCCATCATTACTGGCTAGGGAGCTTGCCTCTTTGTGTATGTAGCCTTATTCAAATATTTGATTGAATGGGTTGCAGAGAAGTGTATGAAAATTAGAGTAAGGAAAAGGCAAAGTGTATAGTCAGCTCTTAAAAGAGTCAATGAGGTCAATATCTGAGCCCAAACATCAGAATTTACTAAAGTATATTCAGAACTTTGTATTTATAGAAAAAAGTCTTCATTTTTTGCTCCTGACTTCATGCCTATGTATAATTTTATATTGCTGCCTGAACCTATATTTTTGTAAATCACATGCATAACTTCATGCAACAGAAAACTGTTTAAAGATTATTATTTTGTGATAGAATAAATTATATCCCATACCTTTTAGTAAAATCTATCTATAGCAATTATAAACTGTAGCCCTGTATAATAAATATTAAGAACAATAATCAACATTACAATATGGCTAAATATGACTTGTAGAACAAACCCAAGGTGTATTTTAAAGGTAGAATAAGAAATTAACTTTGATTGATACTGTCTGTAACTTCCAACTTTGTTTAATATCGGTCACCCCAACTACTAAAAGGTTAAAATTTAAAAAGGAAGAAAAAAAAGAAAATCTATAATGCTTTTCTAATGCTTTGAAAGAAGTTTAGAAATTTAGAAAATCCCAGAAGCCAGGGCTTTGTTAAAGAATGCAGCAAATGTGAATTCACTTCCTAGAAATTGCTTTAAGCATGTAAGAAATTTAAGGGTGATAACGAAGTGGCTTTTTTTTTTCATTTTAGCTAATAAGGTCCCCATGGATAACTATTTCCCATATCAGGAAAGAGACATGTGCTTCCCTTAACACCTGCCACATAGAGGAGGATATTAAGGATTTTCTTTGCCTTTAGTTCTTTCCTCTGTTTGCCATTCTTCACAGTAGGGATTGGGGGTAAAGGCCCAAGAATGTGATTTTTTTCACTCAGTTTTTGTTACAATTGCTCAAGGCATTGTTCCCAAGTTCTTCTCTTAAGCTGAGAATTTTAACCTTTTACTTTAGCCTTGCTTCTTGTTGACCTCAAGACTTGATTTTCTTAGTGGCTCATCCTGTCTTCAAATTTATATCATAGTTTTTATCATCTCAAGAAAAGTAACAATGCTGGGACTAACATTATTAGTAACTCTCTTATTTTAAATATTTGGGTTCAGAGGAAATAGTAATTGAAAGCAAAATATGTGTTATTGGACCTGCAATAGAAAACTCAATTTATAATCTGGCAAATTTTTTCATTACGTTTTTTCATCCTAGAATATTTTTGATTATCAGACAAAATTATCTGGAGTGTTCCTTGCCAACTTAAATGTTCTCTGCACCCATTTCTAATATTTTGAAGAATAAACACTTCTTTTACTAATTTTACAATTAAAGGACGTGAATATAAAATATATTTCTGACCAAATTTATATGAACAATTTTCTCATGGGATTGCCCTGAATTCTGGGCTGTATCAATGTCACCAGAGCATATCACACATGGTTCTTTTCGTTGTTTATCCTCCGTGATACCTAAGTTAGAAACACAAGGAGATTCCATTAAATGATACAATTGACTCATTTTTCTTATCCCTGCAGCATAAGGCAGTGGAAAGTACACAGACTATGGCTTAACACACTATCTCTGTTCGTATCTCAGACTCACATTTCCACAATGGTTTGTGCACCCATGTACTAATGGGCTAAGAACCTCCACCTCGCATGTTGTTTTATTTCAAAGTTCAATTGATTAATAAAGTATATTAATAAAATATAGATTTGTTTTAAAAATACATATTCATGATTGAAGCATTTTTCCTCAGGAAAATAGCTTCAATCACTTCAAAATAGTTTCTATTTTGAAAATAGCTTCAATCACCTCAAAATAGCTTAATCCTCAAAATAGCTTCTATCAGCAATGTAAGATTAATAAAATATTACATATTCATGTGAAGTATATAGTCATGAAAAAATTCCAAAAAGTACCAAAATGTATAAAGAGAAAGGAAGGGTCCCCTATTCTTCACTCCCAATCTACTGTGCCCCCAACAATAATCTCCATTAACAGTTCGGTATGTACCTTTCCAAACGAGAGATAAATAGATCAATCGATCGTTTTTATTAAAAATATAGTCACCAAAATTTTGAATACAGATGCTTCTCAACTTACAATGTGATTGCATCCCAACAGACCTATTGTAAATTGAAAATATTCTAAATCAAAATGGGTTTGATATGCCCAAGGTACTTAACACCATATCTTAGCCTAGCCTACTTTAAAGATGCTCAGAATACTTACATTAGCCTACAGTTAGATGGAGTTATCTAACACAAAGCCTGTTTATAATAAAATGTTGAGTATCTCATGCAATTTATTGAATGCTGAGCTGAAAGTGAAAAACAGAATGGTTGTATGGGTGCTCAAAATGCTCTTTCAACTGAATGTGTCTTGCTTTCACACCATCATAAAGTCAAAAAATTGCTAAGTTGAACCATTGTAAGTCAGGAACCGTCTGTATATGTTTTTCCTTTATATCATGATTTTGAATCAGTTGTTGGAAAGAACATTTTGCCAATGTTTTGCTGATGTTTTCATTGTGTTTAAACTAGCTGTTACTACAAAAGAACTAACAATTTACAGGCTAAAGAAAAGTGGAATGGGATTGACCACACACTTATTTTTTTGGAACCATTCATTAATTGTGGCAAGGGTTTTGCTGAAATGACAAGTAAATGCACATCTTAACTTTATACAGAAATGGAGGCTAAGCCAAATAAAGACTTGCTCTTAAAATATTGGTCTGCAAATGTCTGCAGAGCTGAAATGTGTAAATTAGAGATTCATTGAAGTCTGCTAGCCAAAAGTGAAAATGAAAGTGCTTTCAGCTTGCTAATTAATGCTGCCTGTGGAATTTGCAGGGGAAAAAAAAAGCCACCCAGACCTATGAGCAAAAGTAGTGATCTGGTTGTCAAAAGAATTGTGTCTCATTCTATTATGCTATTATGCTACTCAATATGGAACCCTTAGTAATAAACCTGTCTTTTTTCCCCAATGTAACCACTTAAAATTAGGTGACATATTCTCTACTTTGTTATTGTGTGACAATAAGACGAGGGAAAAGAATATCCAAAATTGTTCAAATTCCAGAATAAGATATGATATAACTATAATATATAGCTGAGATTTTAATGTTCTGATGTCTATATTGTTTATATATTTTACATTTTGTTTCTTTTATTGATACATAATACTTCACATACTTATGTGATATTTGTATTTTTTACATGCATAGAATGTATAATGATCAAACCTGCTTATTTGGGGGCACCCATCACCTTGAGTATTTATCATTTCATCACCTTGAAAAGGGTAACATTTCAAGTTCTCTCTTCTAGCTATTTTGAAATATACAGTATACTGTTGCTGATCATAGTCACTTTAGGCTGTTATCAAACATTAGAACTTGTTTTTCTATCTAAACTGTAAGTTTATACCCACTCATCCACCTCTTTTCATTTCCCCTACTCATTCTAACACACTTACCCACCTCTGGTATCTATCATTCTGTTCTCTGTCACCATGATACTAAGTTTTTTAGCTCCTACATATGAGTGAGAACATGCGGTATTTATCTTATTATACCTGGGTTCTTTGACTTAACATAATGACCTCCAGTTCCACCCATGTTGCTGCAAATGACATGATTTCAATCTTTGTTATGGCCAAATCATATTCTACTATGTATATGTACCACATTTTCTTTGCCCATTTGTTTACTGATGGACACTTAAGCTGATTCCATATTTTTGCTATTTTGAATAGTGCTACAATAAACATGCTAGTGTAGGTATCCTCTTGATATACTGATTTCCTTTGGATGGATATCCAGTAGTAGGATTGCTGGATCATATGGTAGTTCTATTTTTAGTTTTTTGAGAAATCTCTATGCTGTTTTTCATAGTGCTTGTACTAATTTACATTCCCACCAACAATATGTAAGTGTTTGCTTTTCTCCACATCCTTGCCAACATTTCTTACATTTTATTTTTTATAATAGCCATTCTGACTGGGATAAGATGATCTCTCATTGTGGTTTTGATTTGCATTTCCCTGATGATTACTGATGTTGAGCATTTTTTCATATACCTATTAACCATTTGTATGTCTTCTTGTGGGAATTGTCTGTTTATGTCCTTTGCCGAATTTTTAAGACATTATTTGTTTTTTTATTGTTGAGTTGTTTGAGTTCTTTGAGTATTTTGGGTATTAGTCCCCACTGGATGAACAGTTTGCACATATTCTCTCCTATTCAACTGATTGTTTCTTCACTTTGTAGTTTGTTTCCTTTACTGTGTAGAGCTTTTTAGTTTAGTATAATCTTATTTGTCTTTTTGTTTTAGTTTCTATGCTATTGAAGTCTTAGCTGTGAAACCTTTGCCTAGACCAGTCTTGAAATGTTTTCCTTACAGTGGTTTTATAATTTTGGGTAAGTGTAAGTCTTTAATCCATCTTGAGTTGATTTTTATATACGGTGAGAAATATGGATCCAGTTTCATTTTTTGGCATATGAGTATTTAAATTTCCCTGTATGTGTATCGAAGAGGGTGTCCTTTCCCTAGTATATATTCTTTGTATCTTTGTCAAATTAGCTGGGTGTAAATATAAAGATTTATTTTGGGGTTCCCTATTCTGTTCCATTAGTCTATGTGTTTATTTTAATAACAATACCATGCTGTATTGGTTACTATTGCCTTGTAATATAATTTGAAGTCAGGTAGTATGATACCTCCAGCTTTGTTCTTTTTACTCAGGATTACTTTGGCTATTCTTCTCATTTTTGGTTCTATATGAACTTTAAGATTTTTTTATTTCTGTGAAAAATGACATTGTTATTTTGATAGGGATTGTGTTGAATTTGTATATTGCTTTGGGTAGTATGGTCATTTAACAACATTAATTCTTCCTTTTCATGAGCATGGGATATCTTTCTATTTGTTTGTGTCCTCCTGTGTTATTTTAATCAGTGTTTTGCAGTTTTCCTTGTAGAGACCTTTCACTTCCTTGGTTAAGTTTATTTCTTGGGATTTTTTGTAGCTATTGTAAGTGGAATTGCCTTCTTGATTTCACTTTCAGCTATTTCACTATGGTGTACAGAAATGGTACTGATTTTTTCTATGTTCATTTTGTATTCTGCAATTCTACTAAATTTGGTTATCAGATATAAGAGTTTTTTGGTGGAATCTTTGGTTTTGCTAGATATAGGATTATGTCATCTGCAAAGAGGGACAATTTTACCTTCTTTGTTTTTGCAACTGTGATGCTATTTATTTATTTATTTTTTTAAGATGGAGTCTCACTCTATTGCCCAGGCAGGAGTGCAGTGGCACAATCTTGGCTAACTGCAATCTCCACCTCTCGGGTTCAAGCGATTCTCCTGCCTCAGCCTCCTGTAATCCTGAGTAGCTGGGATTACAGGTGTTTGCCACCACACCCATCTAATTTTTCTATTTTTAGTAGAGACGGGGATTCACCATATTAGCCAGGCTAGTCTTGAACTCCTGACCTCAAGTGATTCACCCACCTCAGCCTCCCAAAGTGCTGGGATTACAGGCATGAGACACTGTGCTGGGCTGATGCCATTTATTTATTGCTATTGCCTCATTGCCTTGGCTAGAACTTCCAGAAATATGTTGAATAGGAATGATGAAAGTGAGCATCCTTGTCTTGTTTCATATCTTAAGGAAAAAGCTTTCAACCTTTCCCATTCAGTATGATGTTAACTGAGGGTTTGTTGTATACAGCTTTTATTGTGTTGAGGTATGGTCCTTCTATGCCTAATTGGTTGAAGCTTTTACATGAAGTGATGTTGAGTTTTATCAAATGCTTTTTCGGCATCTGTTGTTTTTTCCCTTCATTTTATTGATATGATGCATTTCCTTTTTACTGATTTGGGTACATGAAACCACCCTTGCATCCCTGGTATAAATCTCATCTGATCATGGTTTATTATCTTTTTGATATGCTGTTGCTTTCTGTTGATTAGTATTTTGCTGGGGATTTTTGTATCTCTGTTCATCATGAATATTGGCCTGTAGTTTCACTATTTGTCAAATCCTTGTCTGGTTTTGGTATCAGGGTAATATTGGCCTTATAGAATGAGTTAGGGAAAATTTCCTTCTCTTTGATTTTTTTGAAATAGCTTGAGGATTATTATTATTTCTTCTTTATATCTTTGGTGGAATTCATTAGTGAATTTATCTGGTCCTGGTCTTTGCTTTGTTGGAAGATTTTCATTACTGATTCAATCTCACTACTCATTACTGGTCTGTTCAGGTTTTCTATTTGTTTCTGATTCAATTTTAGTAGGATATATGTTTCCAGAAAATTATCCATTTCCTATAAGGTTTCTGGTTTGTTAGCATATAGTTGTTCATAATAGTCTCTGATGATCTTTTGTATCTCTGTTTTATCAGTTGAAATGTCTCCATTTTCATTTCTGATTTTTTTTAATTTGAGTCTTCTATCTTCTCTTCTTGGTTAGTCTAATAATTATTAGTTTTGTTTATTTTTTAAGAACTACCTTTTGGTTTTATTGTTTTTTGTATTGTTAGTCTCTATTTCATTTAGTTCTGCTTTAATCATTATTTTTTTTTCCTTTTGCTGTTTTTGGGCTTAGTTTATTCTTGCTTTTCCAGTTCCTTGAGGATCATCATTAGATTATTTGAAATCTACATTATTTGAAAGATTATTTGAAATCTTTCTACTTTTTAAATGTAGGCATTTATTGCTATAATATTCCCTCTTAGTACTGTTTTTGCTATGTACCATGAGTTTTGATATATTATATTCCTATTTTCATTTGTTTCAAAAAATTTTTAAATTTCCAGCTTAATTTCTTCATAACCCAGTGGTTGTTCAGGAGTATATTGTTTAATTTCCAACTATTTATAAGTTTCCAAAGTTTAACTTGGCGTTGATTTTTAGTTTTATTCCATTATGGTCTGAGAAATACTTGATATAATTTTTAATCTTTCAAATATTTTTAGACTTGCTTTGTGGCCTAACATATAGTAGGTCCTGGAGAATATTCTATGTGTTGATGAGAACACAGTGTATTCTGCAGTTGTTAAATAAAATGTAATGTTTTTTTAAATGTCTGTTAGGTTTATTTGGTCTAATGTGTAGTTTAATGTTTCCTTGTAGATCTTCTGTCTAGATGATCGGTGTAATGCTTAGAGTAGGGTGTTGAAGTCTCCCACTATTCTTGTTTTAGAGTCTATTGCCATCTTTAGACATCTTTAGATCTAGTAATATTTGCTTTATGAATCTGGGTGCTCCAGTGTTGGGTGCCTATATATTTAGAATGTTTATATCCTCTAGCTGTTTTATTGTTTTATCATTACATAATGACCTTCTTTGTCCTTTTTTTTTCCATTTTAGTGTTTTTGACTTGAAGTACATTTTATCTGATGTAAATATAGCTATTCCTGCTCACTTTGGGATTGTTTATTGTTGCTTTTTTGGGGGGTGGGGTGGGGCAGGGTCTTACTCTGTGGCACAGGCTGGAGTACAGTGGCGCAATCTCCACTCACTGTGACCTCCACCTCCCGAAGTTCAAGTGATTCTCATGCCCCAGCCTCCTGAGTAGCTGGGACTATCGGTGTGCACCACTATGCCCAGCTGATTTTTGTATTTTTAGTGGAGACAGGGTTTTGCTGTGTTGGCCAGGCTGGTCTCGAACTCCTGGCCTCAAGTGATCCACCCGACTTGGCCTCCCAAAGTGCTGGGATGACAGGCATGAGCCACCGTGTCTGGCTTCCCTTTTGGTTTTCTTGTGTGGAATATCTTTCTCCATCTCTGCACTTTCATTCTATAATGAGTCTTTAGAGGTAAAGTTTATTTTTTGTGAGCAGTTTGTAGTTGGATTATTTTAAAAATTCACTCAGCAAGTCGATATCTTTTAGGAGGAGAATCTAATTCATTTACATTCAAGCTTGTTACTGATGTGTGAGATTTTGTTCCTGTCATGCTGTTATTTTCTGGTTTAGTATATTCTTTGTTCCTTTATTTTTTCCTTATTGTCTGTCATTTTGGTTTGGTGGTTTTCTGTAGTGTTATCATTGAGTCCTTTCTCTTCCTCATTTGTCTGTTTGCTTTACCAGTGAGTATTAGTTACAACGTGTTTTCATGATGGTAAATGCTGTCCTTTCGCTTTTGGGTTGAAGACTGCCTTGAGCATTTCTCGTAGGGAGAGTCTAGTGCTAATGAATTTCCTTTGCTTTCAATTGTCTGGGAAAAATTTTATTTCTCCTTCATTTATGAGGGTTAATTTTGCTGGGTATAGTATCCTTCGTGATTTTTTTTTTCTTTTTAGCACTTTGAATATGTCATCCTATTCTCTACTGGCCCATAAGATTTCTGCTGAGAATTCTATTAGTCTAATGGAGTGTTCCTTTATAGGTGACTACATGCTTTTCTCTTGCTCTTTTTAGAATTCCCTATTTATCTTTGACTTAAGCTGGTTTGACTATAATGTGCCATGAAGATCTTGTTGCATTTTATCTGTTTGGGGATCTCAGAACCTCCTATATCTGAATGTCTAAATTTCTTCCTAAATTGGGGAGTTTTCATTTATTATCTATTTAATAAGTTATAGAATGCTTCAATTTTCTCTTTGCTTTATGGGACTCCCATAATTTTAATATTTGATTGCTTTATGGGTTTATCATATGTCACAAAAACTTTGCTCATTCTTTTTATTCTCTTTATTTTTTTCTGACAAGGTTATTTTGAAAGACCTGTCTTCAAGTTCTGAGATTTTTTTCTTCTGCTTGATCTAGTTTATTGCTGAAGCTTTCAAATGTATTTTTAACTTTATTCAAATAATTATTCAGTTCTAAAACTCTGGTATTTTAAAATAATATCTATCTGTTAAATTTTCATTCATGTCCTGAATTGTTTTTTCTGATTTCTTTAAATTGTTTTTCAGATTTCTATTGTAACTCACTGAGTTTCTTAAGAATCAATAATTTAGTTTCTTATTCTGGGATTTCATGAATTTCTTTTTGATTGGGATCTATTGCTGGAAAATTATGGCCCTTTAAAGGTGTCATACGTTTTTGCTTTTTCATGTTTCCTGTGCCTTTACATTGATATCTCTGCATCTGGTATATAGTTATTTTTTCCAAATTTCTGAATTTGCTTTCATCAGGGAGGACTTTTTCCTGAATATGTACCTATGGTGTTGGTTGAGCAGGGCACTTTGGCTTTGATTTTAGATGTGTGCGGTAGTGTAGTCTTTGTAAAACTTCTTTGACTGTAAACATCATCAGTAGTATCTGTGATTTTCCCAGTGGCTTAGGGTGCAATTGTTATTGGAGGCTGTGATGAAGTTTTTCTGTGGGCTAGGATGTCAGGAAGGCCAGTCTTTAGGCCCCAGTGATGGCAGCAATGGGCTGGGATGCCTGTCCTTGGGTCCCAGAGTGGTGTACCCTGGTGTTTGTTGGTTCAGGTAAACCTATTCTTGAGCCTCCAGGTGGCTTACTCCAATTCTGGTAGGCAGCAGTGGGCCAGGTGGGTGGGTTCTCAGGTCCCTGGACAGCTAGAATGGCATGGGTGAAGGTAACAGGACAACTATCTGGATCCCACGTGGTGAGTGCTTATATTGGCAGTGGGACTGTGATGAGCCGAGTGGGCCAGTCTCAATGCTCACAGGTGCTATGTGCAGATAGATGCCAGCTGTGGTGGTAGCTGGGTGGGTAGTCCCAACCTCAGGCCCCAGGAGGAGTGTTCATGTGCAGTGGTGGTGGACTGGGCTAAGCAATCTTTTTGCCTCCAGAGTCTGTGCTCTGGGATGGGAGAAGTTGGGCAACACTGGGCCAGGTGAGCTCATCTTCAGGCCTCCTGATGGTGTGTGTGGGTGTCAGCATGGTAGGCAGGGGTGGGGTGATCCCCAGGCCACCATCAGAATGCTCAGGTTGTGGGCAGCAGTGGTTATGCTGCAGCCCTGCTACTGGATAGGGTGGTGCTACCTTCCGTGGCAGCAGCCTAGCCTGGTGGCTGGGGAATGTGCACACCACTTGCACCCAAGCTTTAGTAGAATTCATACCTAAGACCTGCTGTGGTAGCTGGCTTCTTGCTTGCACTTTCTTTGTGCTTTCACCTTAGACGCAGTAATATTTGGTGGTTGCTCACATCTAAGCCCCAGAGGCAAGAGCCAGGGCTTGTCTAGCACCTCAGCTGCAGCACCACTAGTCCCCGGAAGAGTGCAGTGTGTTGCCACTGGCACTCGAAAATGGCAGCTTGTTGTAGCTGCTTAGATCTCCAGGTGTTTTTTGGGACCCACTGTGAGCCCTCTCTCTGGGGCAGTGCCATTGCAAGGTCTCCCAGCAGCTCCCTTTGTTGGTTTCAGGACCTATGAAGGGTGAAGAGGCTTTCCTGTGGCTTGGATTGCCACACTCCATGTTGGAAATGTGGACTGTTGAGGGTTTCTCACTTACTCTTTCCTTGTATTGAGGAGTCTCTCTTGGCATCTGACACCCAGTTGATTTCAGGTGAGCAGATGCCTCTCTTCCTTCTACTTTAGGTAGTTCCTGTCACTTTCATATTGAATTTTAGTGTTTTCTCTTGGATAATCATCTTTTGAAAGTATAAAATATCTACTCACTATTTTGTTTCTTCTTAGTGAAGGAGGCATATATGAAATGCCTCTAGGCAACCATCTTGAAGCTCCTCTACAAATTTTTAATGAGGGTCTATCAAATCAATAAGAAGTTAGTGGATTATTGCTGGTGACAACTGCTGGTACATATCAGTGACAAGATATGTACAGGACTTGGAAACAAGCAATGATATATCTGTTGAATCTAATAATAAATGGGCTTGGATTTTACATGTCTTTTCTTTACATTTCATGTTTAAAGTTGTTGCTTTTGTTTTGTTTTGCTTTACAAATTGGTTGTCCATGATAAATTAGAAACACAGGACTGGAGTCTTCATCGCTGAGAGTTTGAGAAGCACTGCAGTAGGGGACTAGCACTGCGCTAGATACAACAGAGAACAAAGACGGACATAGCCTGTTCTCTCAGAGCTTGAGTCCTGGGAGACACCCGGATATTAATCAAATAACAATTCTCCAGTGATTTTGTTATTCAAACTGAGATAAGTGCCCTTCCTGAACTACTCTTCTCCTCTCTCCATCCCTTCCCTTTTATTTTCTCATCCATTCAGCCCCCTTGTGATTCCCTATCCTGCCACCTCTTTACCCATTCATCTCTCCTCTCCCTCCCTCTCCCCACCATGACTTGTTCTCCCTATTGTCAACCTTAATCTTCTATTTTTTTACATATTTTGATTTTTATATCTGAAAAACTTTATCAATTTAAGCAATAGAGTAAATAATCATCTTTTTAAATTTTATTTTTAATTGACAAATAATAATTGCACTTATTTACGGGGTACACAGTGATGTTTTTACATATATAGTATATGTAGAGTAGATCAGAGTAATTAGTATATCCATTACCTAAAGCATTTATTATTTCTTGGTGTTGAGAACATTCAATATGCTCCTTCTAGCTATTATTTGAAACTATATATTATTATTAACTACAGTAATCCAAAGTGGTACAGAAAACTGGAACTTATTTCTCCTATCTAGCTGTAATTTTGTATCCATTAACACATGTCTCTCCTATCAACAAATACAAAACAATTTCAATATTCCAATTTTTGAAGATTATTATATTCTCACTTTGATTACCAAAGAGTATATGCCTATATCCCTTTTCCTTTGTCCCTTCCTCCTTTCCTTCCTTTCTTCCATCCTTCTATTGAGGAATTTACTTAGAATCTCTTGAGCCCTTGCTATGTGGTGAAGATTAGGCCTTTTGTCCCACTATATGCATGACCCTGTTTCCTCTCCATACCCCCAGAAGAAAAAATAAGCAAAAGAAATAAGAATTTGAATTCAGGATTCTTTGAATATTTAACCTAGTTATGCTCTGTCTTAGGATGCAGTTTCTTTGCATGTATCCTTTAAAAATGAGTAGAGATTAACATTTATGGCTTTTGAAAATTATTAAGAATATCAAATATAATAGGCATTGCTCCTTTTTCTAGAAGCCCAAAAATATAATCAAAGTGGAATTTTATTTAGATCATTACTTTACTTTGACTTTGAGATAGGACTCATTATATAAATGAAGAAACAGTTTATTTTCTGAAGCACAGAATCACTGAATTATAGTACATTTCCCACTACTTAATAACATTTGTAAGTAATAGCTGAAGTGATTTGTATGTGAAAATTTGTGGAACTTTTTCCTGGTTTAATTTACTACTTTATTTTAGATTTTTGTCACTATATTTATTATTGAAAATTGGTTATTATGTTGTGTTGGTTGTATAAAATAGTACTTTAAAGAAAAATTATTTGAATAGAATTTTTAAAATCTCACCTCTTGGCTTTGTATTATCTAGAAAATAATGCTCAATCCACACTACAAAGCGTCTAAACATTTTATCAGAAAACTAGAGATACAGAGCATAGTATCCAATAAACAGAAAGTTTCTGTGCCCTCAGAGATGTTCATGTATGGCATGGTTTCCTCGCATGGCAGGTGTTCGCAGTATCACCAGAGAATTGGGAGACATAAGCTCATAGCCTGGAAAGGTACATGGTGGAGAGAAAAGGCCACAGATTATGGAGTCAGCTGCTCCTGAGTGTTAAGTGGGCTTTGGCACATAGATCATCTGGAGAAAGCCATTCAATCAGGAGCCAAGGATATGCCCCTGTGACATTAGGTAACCTGGGCTTGCTTTGAGGATTGATAAATTAGTACCCCAGTATCATTTTTAATTACTCTTTAGTGGCACCTAGTATCTACTAATTAAATAGTAAAATTTTTATGTGTGTGGGCTACTTCAAAAAATCAGGGCACAAGGGTGTCAATTTTTTTAAGAATGATGTGTCCCAATAAGGGAGACAGTGATTTAAGGGACCCAAGACTAGAATGTGCAGAACAGCTAGGCCATAAATAAACCTCACTGAGTTTCATACTGAGATATCATATAGTTTATTGTCTAAACCAGGATATATTTGAGATCCAAAGGGGGGCATGATTAGTAATTGTACTGAGAGAATAACTGTACACCAAGACTGTGTGAGGTAGACCCTACACAGTTCCCTTATCTTTTCTGTTTCTACGTGTCTCCCTACTTGGCTTTCTCTGATGAATTTGGCTCAAGAGATTCTAAGTAAATTGCTCAATAGAAGGATGGAAAAAGGAAGGAAAGGAGGAAGGGACAAAGGAAAAAGGGATATAGACATATACTCTTTGGTAATCAAAGAGAGAATATAATACTCTTCAAAAATTGGAATATTGAAATAGTTTTGTATTCATCATGGACCCCTGTAACTTCTCCAGCTCAATGCTCCCCTACCACTTTTACTTCTGCTGCAGCTACTAACGAAGTTAGTGGTTTCAACTTTTCAAATTTTACCATGCAAATGAATCTTCTGGGAGTCTGGTTAAAATGCAGATTCTGATTTAGTAGGTCTGGGATAAAGTCTCTGATTCTGTATTTCTAAATTCACTGGTGGTTTTGATGTGGTCATTGGCCCTTAAGAAGAAAGTGTTAGTTCAAATTCCAAGAGATGAAATCCTTTGGCCTAATTCATTTTTCCGGTCTGGCTGCATTGGCTGTGGGTTTGACTTGTGGTTTCATTGCCCTTTGGTCAGGCGCCTGCCTTGGCAGTTTCAGCCTGGGCTAGTTGTGTGGCTATCAATGCAGTAGGCTGTTGGCATGTTGATTTGTACTAGAAGGGAGCATAGAAATGAGATGTGTACAACCAAATGATATATTCAATGTAATTCATTGTTCTGTTTAGTTTAGTTGCATGGATAACCACTAAATAAGGATCCTGGAAATGTGCCATCAGCAGTGAACACTCTGAATCAGGTGCTGCAAAGCTCAGTAAATGTTCCCTGTTTGGCTTAAGTAAAGAAACAAGGATTTTCAAAATAGAATCTACTGCGCTTTATCCAAGGAAAGATTTTATAGATGGCCATGCTTATGTGACATTGGTGTAGCAGCATAAAACATGGAATGGGGTTGGGGGGGTACTATGACCAGCTCTTGATTAATTAGTAGTAATCACATTGTGAGAGCTCTTAATTTGGCATTATTCAAAGAGTTTAAATTGATACAGTTAGTACAGTAACTTAGATTAGTTTTTCCTAATGGTCATCCAAGACAGATTTTTAAATTTTGATTTGATGAGAACTCAATGTTTTATTCTGACAGAAACAGTTTAAATGAAAATGAATATATATACCACTACTATAAAAAGGATACTCATTATCTGGGAATCCTTTCTATTCTTAGTTGTGTTTTTTTCCTCAAATCAGTCTGACATTACTTCTTGGCTATCCTCTTACTATGACAAAAATAAAATATCCACAAAAACAAAATGTTTTCTCTTCTTCTGTTGATTTTTTAAAATTATATTTTCATTTGGCGATTTGCTGTATGTACTGCTTTACACAAAGAACTGTTAAAGTAAGGTCCTCACTACCTATGACCATTTGGGAAAATATGACTTACATCCATGAAAAAATTAGTGTATAATACAATATAAAAGTTTTGGGCTATGAAAATCATGAGTTTAGAAAATAGAATAAAGGTGGTTTAGAGTCATTAATTTATAGCTTTATGCATTTGCTGAATATCTACTATACACAAAGCATAATGCTGGCTTCAAGGCATACAGCAGTGAAGAAAAGCCTAGCCCCTGTCCTCCACCTATTTGTAATTTAGTTGATTTGCTCCTCAGAGGAAGAGGTGTTCTCCTTGGAGGGTTGTTTCTCCTACTTCAGTACCTCCAGACATTAACCCCCAACAATTATCACTTAATTTTTGATAATTCCCAGGATATTTATTGCTAATCCCATGATTCCTGACCCCAACACCCTTTACCAAATACCTATTCTCCAACCCACATGAGAGCTCCCTACTACTGAGCTTGTTCCAAACCACCGTCATCATCACCTTTCTCTCATCATCTTTCTCCTCTCTATCCTCCTCTCTGTTCTTTGCTGCTGAGTTTACTTTCTTTATATTCTACTATTTCTATAATCCAACTCTTTCTAAAGCCTGCCTTCACTGAGAGACAATATAACATAGAGAAAAGAATGTAGAATGCGACACATGTCATTAAGTGCTAGTGTTGCCATTAATTCCTCATAAATCTAAAATTAATTCATTTTCTTCCCCTACATAACATAGCATCTGTCTTTTTCAGGCTCCTCTCCTCAGAATACCCAAACATGTGTTTCCTGCTGAGATATACTAGTAGAATTTAGATGGAAGTTTATTTTGGAATTAGGAAACCAGTTTCTAATACTATGTTTGTCAACAAAACTTTTATTGATTTTTCATTCTTTAAGATGTCGATAAACTCCCTTAATACCACTGTTACTGACGGTAATTAATTTCAATGCAAGAGAGAGAAACAGTAAAGGGAACTGGGTGAAATTATCTTGTATATCAAATAATGAATTTATATTATTTAAAAAATTACAAAATATCGTTTATAATAATATCAAAGTTTTTAGACAAAAGTCTTGAGGCTAAAGGAAAAGAAATTATATCAGTTGGGATTGGGATCCATCTGGAAAATGGAGCCCATTCCATGACATCCATTAGGAAAATTTAACACTAGGCACTATTTACAGTGGTGTTTGAAGAGCTAAAAAGCCAAGCAGGGGTTAGTGAAGCAACTCTGGAATTGATAACAGAAAGAGGCGGCTCCCATAGCTAGCAGTGGAAGGGCCAGGGAATAGCTGATATTACTAGAGCTCAAGCCCAGAGCTCCTACATGGGAATCAGATTCACAAAAGAGGCTTCTTAGCAGGAACTAGGGCATAGAGGATATACTCCCCATGCTGGAGATGGAGAGACTGCCTGAACCAGAGAGGGTGTGTGCATGGGGAGGGAGGAGGGCATAACCAGGCATTCTCTCTTTGTCCAATTATCCATCTCTTCCAGTGTCTCTCATTGTCTAAACCCAGTCATAAGGCACTAGGCAAGAAAACCTAGGAAATAAAATTTGCAATAGAAGGAGAACAGATTTGAGAACAAAACAGCCAATGACCATTGTGTTAGATAAAGGAGCAGGTATTGTGGATCCTTACAGAATAATTATTTTAGGATGTATTTGTTCTGTAAATCCAGGAAGAGGTTCATAGCTCAGGCTTCTTGCTGTCTCAGAATATTGGCAATAAGAAATTCAGCTACATCAATGAGTAGTCCTGGCTCACCCATTACCATAGGGAGAAGAACTGTTGAAGGGCAGGGGTAGGAGAGTTTAGGAGAATACCTAAAGGAGTATACATTCTAATCATTCACCTCTAAGTTACTTTAAAAACATGGGTACTTAACAGGTCTAGTATGATCACAGGGTTTCTCTCTCCGCACAAACTCCCAAAACACAATACACTTCACCTGCTTGCTAATGGCTGAAAATACCAAGAGAAAAAGCCTTTCATTCTGCAATTAGAGATAAAAGGTTTAAATTACAACTGCCTAGTTGAAGTAACATTTTTCTGTGAGGGAATTTCAGATAAAGGATAATCAATCAATCAATCTGTCAATCCATTACTCAGTAAAATGACATACATAGAGCCAGTGTGCACACAAATAGCTGGAGAATTAGTGATCAAGAGGGGAAAGAGAACATGCAGGACCCAGAGGACACACTTTGATGGTTTTGACAATTCTTCCCAGGGTGATACTCTTTACCTGCTATGTGAGCAAAACTGATAGTGACTTCAGCACATGTGAATGCTTATATGATAGGCAGCTCTACTTTAGAAGGGGAGTAAAGATTCTTGATTTTCCAAACATACACTTGACCCAGGTAAAGGCCTTTTCTTCCAGGGGTTTGTTAACCAAGGTAATTAAGTTTATCCTTTTCCCCCAGATAAGGTTTATAGCTCCTTAGTTACACATTTACCTTTAATTCTTTGGGCAAGATCATATCCTTTCATGAGTCTTTTTAAAAAATGGGACCATTCTGGCAGTAAGTATTTTTGTTTATTAGTTTTGATAAAGGGAAAGAATATTTGGCTTTTGGCTTCTTTTTCTGAAATTTTTCCAGATTTTTATAAAATGAGATTAAAATATCCTCAGATTCAGCCTTACTGAACCCAGAATTGAGGGCTGTTAGTCATCTTTAGTTCTGTTGCTATCCACAGTTGCCTCCTTTAATTGCGTATTCTACTGGGTAGTTGTTGGATATCATCTACATTAATTTCTCACATATGGCTCCTAAGCACTTATATGAGAAATGCTTCTAGATTCCCTGACCTCAACCAAAATAAATTAAACCAAGATTTCTAGCCTTTATTGTGTTAGAGGTTTTAGTGCCCACATGGATCCTACAGATACATATTTTTAATCATCTCCCCCAGGAAATTCCAAAGCAATTAAAGTTTGAGAACTACTAATACACATCTATTATTCGAAATATACTATGTATATTATTCCAGTATAGTATTCCAGTATACTGTGCTGGAAAGTGCTACCAAGGATTCATTCAGCCTACATTACCTGCTTTGTGTTGCAGAGTAAAGGCAGTTATGGTGTAAGATTTAAGGTATGGCCTAGTGATAGATAAGCTTCCTTTGTTGTTGTTGTTGTTGTTTGTTTTGTTTTGAGCCTGGGAAAAGACAGAGCAGAGACCACAAGGGGTAAAGGAGAGTTGCACTTAAACTATTTTGCAATTAGATTTCAAAGGAATTTTTAATTTTTTTTCTTTTTTGGATATGAAGGTACTAATCTTTTCAGCAAGGCTATTTACATCTATATTTTGGACCTAATACTTAGTTTTACGGTAAGATATGAAAGAGAAGTTTTCTAAGGGGGGCATCAAAGGACTAGAGGAGGAAAATTGTGGTGAATTTGGGGAAAACAATAAAATCTTTGTGGACCCTGTGAGCATCTGACCTGAATTTTGGGACTAAATTTCCAAGTACTAATGTTAAAATGAGGATTTTATATATATATATATATATATTTTTTTTTTTTTTCCTGTTTATTTTGCCTAAGGCACTTGGCCTAAAGGACATGATGCTGAGCTACTGAAAGTAACTGAATAAGAAAGTAGGTCAGGTACTTTGGGAGATTACATATACACACACACACTTAAATACACACACAGGTACACATATACATTAACATAATATTTTAGGCCAATTCTCTTCATACAGAGAGAGCTAATTGTTGAATATGATGCTGATGAAACCACTTTTCTACAAAATGCTGGTGGGATAACTTAACAGTATTTCTAGGGTCTCTACTAATTCATGGAGGGAATGGGGAGTAGCAAAAGAGAAACAATAAAATGAATAATCTGCCATTTACTGTGTTACTAGACCTTCTAGACAAGAAGGAGTCTCATCTGTGCTCGCAGAGATAGCACAATAATTCTCCAACACTAAATCCATCCCATCAAAAGTAGCCACAGAACAAGTTAACTCCCGACGTCCAACTGCCCTCCTGATGTCACTAGATTCCACACTTCCTTGTCATCACATTCCACATTCTCCTCTGTTGCTAGGTACCCTGGGCACTCTTATTTTCCAAAGCTCCAGGTGCTGTTTTCCTTGGGACTCATATACAGAGTCTTTGGTTCAAATGCTATGGTACCCAGGCTGAAACCTTGAGAGAAGAACCACCGCCTTGGCCCAGTGAACCTGAAGGCCATACCCACAGACCTAAATACTGCACCTTCTGTGTAGCAGCTACTCAGGATGGACCAAACTATGTTGGGTAAGGAAGCAGATTACCCCTTTAAAGTGATGACCTGATATGAATTGGTTACAGGAGTCTGAGATCCGCGATTTTAAATTCTTAAAAAGTATCTTTTAGGGAGAGAGGGAAAGAGAATAAAAATGGTTAACATGATTACATGAAACTCAGCAATAGAAAATTCTTAATTTGTCCTCAGTTTAATATCTGCTTACTGTTCTATATGGTATTTTTAAAATAAAGACATCAAAAACTTTGTTTTAAATTTGGATTTATAGGACAGTGTTGTGAGACATTATTGTTTTTTACCATTTAAATTGCAAAATATGTGAGTATGTATATTTGATACAAATGAGTAAATCATGTATTTGTTTTTCTTAAAACATACTGATTTACTCAGGAATGAAATATGTAACGCTGTTGAATTTAGTTACCTTGGTAACATCTGGAGTGAACTACTCCATCTAAAAATATTTTCTACCTTATTGTTTATACTTTTTATTGATATAAAAACAAGGCACTTATTAAAGCCTTTCCTGACAAATAATAATGTTTACCTTACCTGAAAAATAAATGAATGATATACCATTTATTAGATATACATAATGATTTCAGATTGAAGAAACAGATGTAGGATGTTTAGTTTTTAACCAAGATAGATATTGGATTTGTCTTATGCTAACGTAGATTTTATTTTAAAATATAATATATACTTAGGGTTATTTAACCTAATAACATATTGACAAAGCTTTCATACATTAAATGTTACTATATTTTTTAAAGGATTCTAGAACACAAATGTTAAATCACTTTTTTTCATGAATTAAAAATTGGAGTTGAATATTTTCATTGTGCTCTTCTTTGGACTTTTGTGGGAAATAATAAAGTAATAAAAATCATCTTCATAATTTAGCGTAAGAATTTGAATTGGCATAAAAAGAACATGCACACATTTATCTAAATTACTTATATAAGTCATCCCCTTAATTCTGCATTTCAGAAACCCTAGACATTTCATGTTAAAATAATATTTTGAATCCCTGGATTAATACCTATGGAAAGTACCATGTAATAAAAAATGTCATATTATTTATGGCCAGTTTCCTAAATTTTCCTATGTATTTTTTCTTTCCACATCAATTCTTTCTTTGATGGGTACATAAAAAGTAATTTACTAGAATTTTGCCATTTGAACATATTTTAACATTTTTCACAGGGTAGTCTTAGAAAACTGTTTAAAAATATTATTTCAGGCCAGGCGTGAAATAATATTATTTCATTACAAATTAAACTTAAACCTAATGTGCTTTGTTTTTATATTTTTTATTTTATTTTATTTATTTATTTATTTTTTTTGAGATGCAGTTTCGCTCTTGTTGCCCAGGCTGGAGTGCAATGGCGCGATTTCAGCTCACTGCAACCTCTGCCTCCCAGGTTCAAGCGATTCTCCTGCCTCAGCCTCCCGAGTAGCTGAGATTACAGGCACATGCCACCATGCCCGGCGAATTTTTGTATTTTAAGTAGAGACGGGGGTTTCACCATGTTGGCCAGGCTGGTCTCAAACTCCTGACCTCAGGTGATCCACCCACCTCGGCCTCCCAAAGTGCATGAGCCACCGCGCCCAGCCTGTTTTTTAATTTTTTACTACAGATCTGGCTTCATCTTAGACTCTTGCCTATTCCATTACTACTAGTCGTACCAGTTCTATTCTCACGATTTTTCTAATTGTCTCCTCTTTTTCTGCATTGCCACTGCTTCAGAAGTTTGAGCTTTTAAATATGCCAAATTAGATGACTTCTAAATCTCTTAACTGGTCTCCCCAACTTCCATTTTGCCCCTTCATACCATTCTCCTCATCAGAGTCAGAATAGTCTATTTGAAATATAACTTTTTCCATGTCACTTCCCACAATAAATTAAAACTGTTATTTGCTCCCAGAATAAAATCCAAGTTCTTTGATAAACAAAATGCTTTTCTTGGTATTCTCTTTTTTTCTTCTGTTTATCTTTTCCCATTCTCTTTTCTTGCACTCCAGACTACTCTTACTTCTCACTTGCCCTGCATATGCTGACCTCTGTGACTTTGCACGTGCTGATCCCTCTATAGAGAATGCTCTTCCCCAACTTCTCCACCTGGTTAAGGCTCACTCACCTTTGAGAATTCAACTCATATCACCTTCTTTAGGAAGCCTTCTATGATGTCTTTATCCCTTGTATTAGATCACAGCCTTCTTGCTCTGCATTTTAATAGCATGTTTGTTTTTCTGTCTCTCTTAATTATCTGTGACCTTGTTGAAGACAGAGTCTTTACAGGCCAAATACTTAACCCCATATTGGTCAGAGTAAGCACTTAACAAATGTTAGTGAATAAATGAAGGAACATGTGAGTTATATCACTCTTTCAGAATTTGAATATAATTCCCATGAATGTAATTGATTAGAAAACATTAACTATTTCATTACATCCCTCAAAAAAACATACTTGATAACATTCAGAAAATTAAAAATCACAAGTATTGAATAATATTTCTTTTGCTCAGCCATATTTATATGATTTCACTACTAGCTTTTAACTAAATGAAACAATTTAATACCTTTTCCATCATAATTTTTAAAAATCAGTAGCAAATTTTTATCATATAAGATAAAATTAAGAAAAATAGAATGTTATTTCATGTAATCTTTGTCTATGTGTTTTTTTTTAACAAAATTGGGATCATACCAACCACACTCTTTTGTAGCTAGATTTTTGTGTTTAGTACTTCATGACTCACATCCCCATATCTTAAAATGCAATATTGAATAACTACATAATAATCTAACAATTTCAACATTTATTTAAATAATCTATTTGTGGTAATTTAGGTCATTTCTAATTTTTTGCTATTATGAACAACACTGGTATAAATGTTTACCTACAAAGAGATACACACAATGATTAAACTTCTTAGGTATTAAACTCCCAGAAGTGTAATGACTGGAACAAAGTTTATGAGGACTTTTAATGCTTTAGATGCATCTTAAACAGTCATTCAGCTAATACTGATGCACATTCCACCAGCAGGATAAATGATGCTTTTTATCAGAGAATTTTTACCAAATCTAGATATTCTCACTGGAAAAACAAAAACAATTTGCAAAATAATTGGTAGTTATTTAATTCTCTTTGTTTTTTTTTCTTTGAGATTGCATTTGAGATTGAACTGTTCTCTCAATTCTGTTTTCTTCTTCCTGTTTTATTTCACTTATTGTGCCTAAATGTGCTGTGTTAGCCCATTTGCGTTGCTATAAAGGAATACCTGAGACTGGGTAATTTATAAAGAAAAAAGGATTATTTGGGTTACAGCCCTGCAGACTGTACATGAAGCATAGTGCCAGCATCTACTCCTGGTGAGGGCTTCTGGAAGCTTATAATCATGGTGGAAGATGTAGGGGAGCCAGTTTGTCTCATGGTGAGAGAGGGAGCAAGAGAGAGAGAGAAGAGGTGCCAGGCTCTTTTTAAACAACTAGCTCTCCTATGAACTCCCAGAGCAAGAACTCACTCATTACCATGGGGATGGCACCAAGCCATTCATGAAAAATCCACCCTCATGACCCAAACACCTGCCACTAGACCCCACTATGGACATTGGAGGTCACATTTTAATGTGAGATTTAGTGAGGACAAAACATTCAAACCTTATCATGTGCCTACTAGATTAAAAATAACAATAACTGCTTTACAAGCTTATTGCTGAGGATGAATTACATATTGTATGTAAAATGCCATTCATATAATGGGAGCTCAATAAATGCTAGTTGAAGTAGACTCTGAATAGCATATTAATTAAAATCAAAATATAACTTTTCCTTTCCAACAGATGATTCTGCTGCAGAGAGCTTTAATGGCAATGAGACTCTGGGGCACAGTTCAATTGCTTCAGGGGGAACACACAGCAGGGAGATGGGAGACTCCAACAGTGATGGCAAAACTGGGCTGGAGCAAGATGAACAGCCACTGAACCTGAGTGACAGTCCCCTCTCTGCGCAGCTAACTTCGGAATACAGAATAGATGATCACAACAGTAATGGGAAAAACAAGTATAAGAATCTTCTAATTTCTGACCTCAAGATGGAACGAGAGGCGAGAGAAAATGGAAGCAAGGTATGATCACATTACAATTTCCAGAATTTTTGAGTTGGTCATGAAGGTCACAAAAAATACCTATGCATATAGCAGATAAACATTATTGTTAATAAAAATATTATAAACAAATCCAATAAGAGGATACCAAGAAACTTATCACCAAGCATATTGTGTGTTTATAACATATGATTTCAGGAATAATAGCAAAATGAATCGTGTCTCAAAGCTGTGGGTGTTTTTAGATCCGGAGAATCACTTGAGTTAATGTTTCTCATGTATATAATCTATTTGTATGAATCTCTCTGGGAATTTGTTGAGCTCAGATGTGACAGTTTCAGTCTCGGTACACAATTTTCTACTATAAAAGGATCACTATCTAGTTTCTCCTAGATGGATAGGTGTAAGTAAAGATAAAGTTTCAATTAAATTCTTCAGTTTGCTTTGGAGACCTGGGGACTTTGATCAGTAATTTTCTTTGTGGACACTAAATAACTGTTAAGTGTGAGGGTCCTGGATGAAGTTTGTGGATTAATTATTTTAAGAAATGATTTATCATAAATTATATCATACAAAAGACAAAAACATATTTCAGACATATCTAAATGTTTAGATTCTTTATATTAATATTAGAATAAAGTACAACCCTCTCCCATTCCCAGCTGACTTTTTTTTAATTAAGCTTAAACTTCTGCTAGTTTGAGATAACACATGCTGGTGACTTTGCTCTATGATTTTTGAAGGTGTACTTTGGAACATATGAGGGTTTTTATGGAATATACCTTTTGAGTGCCTTCCCCAGCCCTTACCTCTAAGTCAGAGTTGTAGAACTTGTTTTTTGACATAGATCCTTAAAGCAAAATGTCTTAATCTGGATTAATTTCTGAATTTGCTAAGGCATTATGCTTCCTAAATTGGCTCTATTTAAATCTTCTGGCTTGCCTGGGGGTGTGTTGTTTTATCCTCTTTTAAGCAAGTCACTGGACATTAGCCGACACCTAAGCACTCCTGCCTGAGGGAGGCTGCTACAACTTTTGCTGTGGCAAATGTTCAAATATCCTCCTCAGTGGTTTAAAGCCAAATTACATAAACACAAATGATTTTATATTTGATGACATGATCTGATTCACTGTGCACTGTGTTACATTTTACAGAACAAAATAACTCCTAAGTTTCCCTGCCCTCCACGTAAACCTGTCTTTATGAAGTTTAAATAATCGTGAAATGCTCTTTCTATGCTATGTGTCTATTAAATTTTTTTCTAAAATTATTCGATAGTTTGCTCTTCTTTTTTTTATTCCCTTATTCAGTATTACTCTGGGAACGATGCTTATTAAAACATATTCTTGCACATATTAGACAGAATGAAGTGACTTTTCTACCTCTGTTACAATGGAGTTGAGAAGCACAGATGGTTTGGGCTGCTTGTGAGGGTTAAGATGATAAATGAGCCTAGAAGAGAAGAAGATACCCCTGATGCACTTAATAATTTATGGCTTAGTAAATGAAGAATGCTTCCCACAGCCAACTGAGGAATAGCCAAAGACGCAGAAGAAAAATCAGAAGGGTGTAATGTATGAAAGCTAAGCAAAGTCCACCTTTGAAGGAGAGTGTAGGCAGCTCCAATGGACAATGTTGAGAAATCAAATAAGATGAAGATAGAAAATAGTTAAATTTGTGAGAGAAGTTTTGATAGCACATTGGGAAAAGAATCAAGAGATATTATTTTTATTATTGTCTTCAAAAAGAACATAGTAAATACTTAGCACCTATGAAGGACAAATACATCTAGAGATATAAACGGCAGGAGTACTAGAGCTAATAATATCATATCATCTATTGAAAATTTGCTAAAAGTAAATTTTAGATGTTCTTACCACATGGAAGTGATGGCTCTGTTAAGTTGCTTACCTGGAGTAATCATTTCACTATGGATAGGTATACAAAACATCATGTTGTACATCTTAAATTTATGCAATTAAAAATACTTGGCATACTTGCAGCAATGGAGTAGGTAGCAGAGACAACTCAGAAATAACAGTCTTTATTCACAAGGCTCTTGATACTTAATTTTGAGAAAGAGGATACACATACATAGAAAAGTTTCTTAGAACAAGTACAGACAATACTTATTCTCGTATTAAAACAGTAAGAGTTTAAGTAAGAAAATGCTATTTGAAGTAAGAGTCAAAATAGGTTTCCTAGAGGAACTGAGGCTTGAACTTTGAAGGAAATATAAGATTACCATTTTATTTCTTTCAGAAGGGGTCTCTTGCTAGACACTATGAAGGGCCTGGAATGCAGATAGGGAAGATGACTTGGTCTCAGGCTAGGGAATCATTGTCCATTCTGACCTCAGTATGATTTTATCACTTCCTCATGGCATTGAGGAAGAACATGACATCCTTTTGCAGGATAAACTAGTTGCCACCAATTAATTTATTCTCCAAATATTTACTAAAGGATTCCTACATGCAAGTCACTGTTGTAGGAAGCAAAAATATGTAAATGAGAAGAGCAAGATTCCTGCCCTTTAAAAGCTCATGGTCTAACAGTGGGGACAAACTTGTGGTTACAGTCTGATTCTGTAAGTGATATGAGGGACATATGGTCAGGAGGGTGAAATGAAAGAACAGAGGAAGGGTGCTGAGGGACTGTAATGATTCTTCAGGAAAACTCTAAAGAGAGATTGATGCCAGAGGTGAGTGTGGAATGGCAAGTAGGAGTTATTCTGATTATGTATGGGAGAGGGGTAAGCATGTTTTAAGGCACAGAGCCATGAGAGAGCGTACCTGGCATGGGTATTTGCAAGGAGCTTAGCATGGCTGCAGCAGAGAACAAGTGTGAAGGGATGAAGTATAAAGCGGCTCCACCAGTAAATGTAGGTCATTTTAAGGACTTCGGATTGTCTAATAGAAAGAGCTTAGTGGTCAGCTTAGAATTTTAGAAAGCCTGTGGTCAGCTTGGAATTTTATAAAAATTATTCTGGCAACGTTTTGGTGAATGAATAGGATAGGCACTAGAAAAAAGTAATGAGAGAATGCCGGTTAGAGAGCTATTGTGGCAATCCAGGAGGAAAATATTGACAGTTGGAATCAAATAACTGACAATGAGAAAGAAAAGCAGAGATATAGTACAAAAAATTACTGAACATGTTATTTTTGTTCTTTTGACATTGTATTTGCAGGACTACCTATCTAACCTCCATAGGTTGTATTAATATATTGCCAAACTCCTGGGAGTGCCATTCACATAGCCTACAATATGAATAGCATATTTACCTTTCTATATCCCATTAATGTGAACATTCTGTGAATATAAGAATGATGTTTACCTTGTCCACTGCAGTATGCCTTACACCTGGCTTACTATCTCGTCCATAGATGTTTCTCAATACTTTGAGGAAATATACAAAGGTTTATTGAATATGGAAAGCAAAGCATAGAGGAACATTCTAGAATGACTCCAAGATTTTTGGCTTTGTTGCCTAAGTGGATGACGAATCCGTTTACTAAGATTCAGAATGAGAAACATTTGAAGAAGCAGGTTTTGACGTGTAGTTTACGGTGCACATGCAGTGTCCATTGGACATATTTAATAGGCATTCGGGGGACATGTGTCAGCTCTGAAGAAAGGTACAGGATGGAGAGAGAGAGACATTTTAAAGATTTCAGAGCAAAAGTGCTGCTTGAAGCTGTGGTGGTTGATAAGATCACCTTGGGAGAGCATAGAATGAGGAGAGAGTTGAAATATGTCACCTCGCAGAATATCAATCCATTAGGAACAAGTGATATAAAAGGAATTTGTGGAGAAACATATACCCAAGGAGAAAATGAAAGTAACTAGATAAGAAGGGGATATTTTAGAAGCCAAAATGTGGAGCATTTCAATATTGATATAAATTGTTAAACTAAGCGATCCTTAGATGAAGTGACATTGGCCTGAACCTGAACATTGGTTAGGAGAGTTAGTGCTCAGAGGTGGATTCAAATCACATGGCAGAAGAAACACTAACAGAATTAGTGGGAAATTTGATTGAAGACAGTTATAGAGGCTGAGATAGGAAAGCAGAATCATTTTAATTGCGAAGGAGACTGTGTCTGGAATTTCACTTTAGAGATTCTTCCTGCAATCTTAATCCAAATGTAGAGTGCTCTAGGATTCCCGCATCTGGATCAATACTTGCTTTACCCCAAGGCTATGAAGTGAACTTCATAGTAAAGTTCTGTTCAATCTGTGCAATCTTTTGTAGTCCTCAGGATTGTTCCATCACTTCTGTGTGACCTTTTGAAGTGACACTACATTTCTTCTTCCTTGGAGGGCTATAAAAGCTTAATTATATAGAATATGTGAAAAGCTTAGATTCCAGTGAGTTTAATATTGACCTGTTTCACAATTTTATTGTGAATAAAATCAAACAAAAATGATTATAAAGCATTGAAAAATTGAACAGTGAATAGAAGTGCTTAAAACGAATAGTTGAGTTGGACTATGTCATTTACTGATTACTTATTATTATGCAAATTAACTCACTAGACTAGCAGGGAATCACATTAACTAATCTAAGGACTAAATGTATTGCACTGAATGAAGTTAGGTGATATTTATTTTCTACTTGCTGATGGCCGCATTTTAAAAGGACAACTAATAACATTAGAGCTCCAAAGAGGGCTGAAATGATGATAAAGAGCTTGGAAAATGAGACCCATGAGGAAGTGTTAAGGGATTAGCTATATAGAAAATGAAAGGCCAATCAAACACCAATCTAGGTATAGATGTTTTAAATTATTAATCAATGAGAATAGAAAGAATTCTAATGGCAGTGAATACTTAAAAACACTGTATTATTGACTTTTTAATTTTTGTTTTCTATTTATCTTTTAGTATTTGTAACCCAGCTGCATTTTACTTTATATGGTTAAATATTCTGAAGCAATTTCCCAGAAGAATAATGTTTCCAATAAGGACTGCGGTGGGCACGTGATTATTGTTGAACAGTTTATGTGCAACTGTGGTTACTGCATATTTGGGTCTCAGTTCCCAAGACCCCTAAATCTTCACTTTATTTAGTAGTATTTTATTTTGTCCACTGTGTTTCATGTAACTTTTTTCAATTAATCTTTAATTTTTTACCAAAACTGATACTACCAGTTAGTTTATAAAATATTAATGGTAACTAACATTAATATTTGCTATATTTAATTTCATTTAAATATGATTAATGGAAGCAGCACAAGTTTCAAAATATCTCTTTAAAAAAAGAAATTGTCTTTTACAAACTAAGAGCGATGGATTGACTTCTGTAATATTATCTTTGTCTTTGTTATATGGATATTCCTGCTCATTATTGGTTCAATTTAATGATTTTTAATGTCTGGCTTTTAGGTGTTATACATTTATTTGGCCCAGGTGTTGTTTAGGGTAGAAGCAACAACATGTATTCTTATTCAGGGTAGAAACAACAATAGTAAATGTGCTTAATATGTGTGAGACACTCTCCTGAGTGCTAGACGGACAAAGTTAAAAAAAAAGAGTCTCTATCATTAAGAATTCACATTTTGGCTAGAAAAAGCAGACATATAAATGAGTGTATTATAATACAGAAATTGATTTGTGTGTGAGTCTCCTCTAGGCTTACTTATGCCTTGGAAGGTTCCTGAGTTAATTCTCATTGGTTAAATAGGAGATGGCCACTTAGCAATAGGGAATAGAGAATTCCAAACAGAGGAACATTGATGAACAGAGCACTGAGGTAAGGACTAGAAATGCTGAAGATGGAAGATGATGATTTAAGTCTGGAGACTAGAGTGTCAGACTAGGGAAGGTTTTGAATATCCTTTTGAAGCTTGGATTTTACTCTTTAGTTGACAAGGAATCACTTAAGGGTATAGGATGGAAAATAGTGTGGTCAGATTGTGTTTTGGGGTAGGAAAAATTCTGGCGTGTGTTTTACAAGATGACTTTAGGTGGCATAAGAAGGGAGAAGTCTGCTAACAGAGAATAAGACTTGCCTTAGTAAGGTGGTAGTTGGGATGGAGAGGAGGGCATAAATTTAAGAAATATATAGAAAATTAAATGGACAGAATTGGGTGTTTGATTAGATAGGTGGTGGAGAGTATAAAAGAAACTTTAGCCACAGGATAAAGGATATATCAGTTTTGATATTGGGATACTATATCAACTGTAGTAATGATGAATATTGTGTAATGCTTTCTTATTCATAACTCAAAGCAACCCAATGTAAGAAGAGCAAATACAGTTATTAGCTTTATTTAAACAAAAGGAAATAAACTCTAGTGCCATTTAAGACATTCCAGCGACATTATTAATACAATCAGATAAGTGATAAAGCCTGGTATTTAACCCAGGTCACCTGCCTCTGCAGCCCATGTAATTTTCGCTACACCCACACCTGCTGATGCTGTGTGAGACCAATCATCTCTCTGGATCATGTGGTGACTATGACAGGCAAGCTATACAGAAAGGAATAGTATCTAATACAATCAGTGGATAGCTTCTTGATAAATAGCAAATACTTGCAATGGCATTTCTTATTTTCTTATTTGAAATATTAGTTTTGCTTTTGATGTTTTAGTTACTTTATACCATGAAAAGAATGTAACAGATGCCTCTATCATAAAACTAAGCATTTCTTCAAAGTATCCTTTTATTGCTTTGGTTCATAAATGTAAATGAATGCGTAATTGAATGAGAGTGGTTCTTTTAACAGCTCTAGGGTAAATTTTGAGCTTATATTTTATTAAATACCAATTTAAAACAGCATCTTCATATTATATACATATATAAACATATGTATTTTGCATATAAACACACACACATATAAATAGTATATTCCATACTTAAAGATCACATATTCTTCAGTTCTGCTCATTACTGGATACATTTTTTTATTATGTTCTTAGTAGATTTTTTAAAAATAAAATGATACATAAGAAAGATATAATAAAGTTAATAGCTTTATAGTATATGTCATATTGCAATCTAAATTTAAATGTATACAATGCTTTTATGAATAAATACCCACATTACTAGGGATTGTAAAATCAACTATATTATATAGAATAATACAACTTTAAAATCAGGAACCACTTCATTTTACAGACGAGGAAATTGAGACCCACCCAAATGACCTAACACCCAAATCAGTGTCCTTTTGAATCATTATGCTACCATGTTTGCCATTGCATATGCTCATATTCTCTATATGTTATTGCAGGAAGATGAAGGACAGGGCCATTAATTACAAGTGCCTATGCCTACTATGCATGTTCCAGTCCATGTTGGTTCATTTCACATTTTATATCTCAGGAAAATGAAGAAGGTGAGGGGCTTCTATAATTTATGCCTTGAAAAGTGCAAGGTGAAGTTGATTTTAATTCTGCACATTCGGTGAAATGTGCATTTTGAGTTCCTTTTTAGACATATAATAGTTCATATGAGTTAGTACAAAATCTTAACTAGCCCTCCAGCTTCTGATGCCATGTATTCATAAATAATCTGGTTAGTTATAGATTGTATTTTTGACCAAAATACAAAACAAAGAAAATTGACCCGTCATTATCCTTATCTTTATTTGAGGGTTCATCAATACCTCAAAAAGAAGTTGTCTATTTTGTTTATTTTTGTATTTAATTTTTGTTTATTTGTTTATGGGCTTTCTGTTTTTTGTTTTTTATTTTTTGCTTAAGTGTGTGTGTGTGCTTGTCTTTTTCCACTTGAGTTCTATCGTTAAGAATAAGGTCAAATGCTTAAAAATATCATTCCAGTCTGTAGATGCCTTGAGAATAGTGGAGAATCTCTAAGAGAAAGAACTATATTTTAAATACTCAGAAGTGATTTATATATGTCTCAAGATAATTGCTATTACCAGGACTCCTTAAAATATTCAATATTGACCCAAATTTGGAGAAAGAATAAAAGAAGAAAAATTAATACTAGACTCATAGAGTTATAAATTCTAATTTGTTTCAATATGCTAGTTTACATTTTCATTATTAGATGAGCCTTACATTATGCACCATAAAGCAATTATCTGTAGCCTTCTTATTACTATTTATTTTATTTTTATTTAAAACTTTTAATTATTATGGCTACATAATAGGCATACATATTCATAAGGTATATGTGATGGTCTCATACATGCATATGATGTGTAATAATCACATCAGTGTAATTGGAGTTTCCATCACCTCAAACATTTATCATTTATTTGTATCAGTAACATTCCAATTTCACTATTTTAGTTATTTTAAAATATGTAATAAATTATTATTAACTGTAGCCACCCTGTTGTGCTATAAGGTACTAGATCTTTTTCATTCTTCTAACTATATTTTTTGCAAACAACCCATCTGACAAGAGATTAATAACCAAAATATACAAGAAACTCAAAGAATTTGATAGAAAAAAATATGATAATACAATTTAAACAATAGGCAAAAGGTCTGAATAGACATCTCCCAAATGAAGACATACAAATGGCTAACAGGTATATGAAAAAATGCTCAACCTCATTGATCATCAAAGAAATGCAAATCAAAACTACTATGAGATGTGATCTCACCCGGTTAAAATGGCTTTTCTTCAACAGACAGGCAATAATGAATACTGGCAAGGATATGGAGAAAAGAGAACCCTCATATACTATTGGTGGGAAAGTAAATTAAAACAACCACTATGGAGAACAGTATGGACATTGCTCAAAAATCTAAAAATAGAACTAGCATATATTTCAGCAACCCCACTGCCATGCATTTGTAAATAATCTGGTTAGTTATAAATCGTATTTTTATAAATTGTATGTTATAGATATATTTCTAAAGGAAATTGGTATATCAAAGAGCTAGCTGTACATCCATGTTTATTGCAGCACTATTCACAGTTGCTAAGATTTGGAATCAACCGAAGTGTCTATCAGTGGATTAATGGATTAAAAATGTATTACATATACACAATGGAATACTATTCAGCCGTAAAAATAACGAAATTCTGTCATTTGTAACAACACGGATGGAACTGAAGGACATGTTAAGTGAAATAAGACAAGCACATAAAGACAAATTTTGCCTGTGTTTACTCATACGTGGAAGCCAAAAATTAAAACATTTGAAATCATGGAGATATAGTGTAGAATGATGGTTACCAGAGGGTGAGAAGAGTAATGGGGAGAGGGGGGAAGTGTAGATGGTTAATAGGTACAAAAATATGGTATGCTTTTTAATACTTTTAAAATGGCGATCTTAGGGTTAGCTGGGGTCAAGAGGATAACTCAGATGACAAGGTTAAAAAAAATAGCCAAGTCATAAACTCAGTCCCAAGGAAAAATGAAAGTGTATATTGAGTACTTGTATACTATGTGCCAGGATTATTCTAATAACTAACTTATGTAATTCTCACTGTGATCCAATGGAATTAGGCTCTGTTAGTTTTCTCATTTTTACAGATTGGAAAACCAAGATTCAAAGAAATTGTATATATGATTATACTAAGAATTTCTAAAATTTGTATTTAAACTACAAATAATTTAACCCACCTTTTAACCACTATAATGTTAAACGATCATGGTGTAGGCCTTGAGAATGAGTAGCTGCAAACTTGACCTGATGCTGAGACCCCCAGCTACTAGTTTGGGGTTCATAATTATTTCCCGATCAGGAAGCACACTTATCAGCTCTGTGACTTTGAACAAGTCTCTATCTTTTGAGCTTGGACAGTTCATCAATAAAATGATGATAATAATTCTTAACCTATAGGCAATTATCAAGATTAAATAAGATGGTGTGCATGTTTTACAATAAATGAAGTTGCTGCAGTGGTTGTTATTGGCTCCAGAATTTAGGGTTTAGCTGAATCTTGCAAAAATGTCTTCCATTCGTTAATATTCATTTGGAAGTTTAATACCTGTTTTTAATAGCCTAAAAAATTCTTACTGAGATTGGCAACTTGAAGAAGAACATTGATTTATTTAAGCTAGCAAATACTAGTTTTCTTTTCTTCTTTTGTCCCTTCTTCCTTATTTCCTTTTAGTTACACTTATTATCCAGGAATCTGGAATATACACATTCCCAGAGGCATTTTATAGGCATTCTTGATCCCATTTCTGTGAGTAACATGCACTCATAAAATAGATTCTAGGATGTCTTATCTCTGCTCCTTAATATCTTTCCTGACCCCATTGGAATCTATCCAATTAAACTGTTACTTCCTTCATACCACCTCTCCTGATCACTACCTCAGCTAGAAAAAAAAAAAAATCTTTTCTGAACTTCTGGAGGGGAAGATCCATGAGGAATGAGGGCAAGATGGCAGGGTGTTGGGTTGTAAGGTAGCACACTAAAGTGATTTACATGCGTGAAGCTTGCTTCCTGTCAAATGTTTGTTAAATAAAATGCAGTGACATGGGAATATGTTGCATTGATCTTATCCCATACACTTTTTCATTCTGGTAATTTCTTCTCATTGCCATTTGGCTTCCCTGAACTCCCAGCTATGCAGCTGACTTTAGCCTTAATTTGGAATAGAGTCTTTTCTCTTTCAGGCAAGGTGTAGGCAATTTTACCTCTCTGATGCATATATTCCCTTTTGAATATTTCACCAAAAACAGTGAATCAAATGAAATAAATTTCCATTATGGTGATTAAGGAGGATTGCATCATGGCGGGCTGGTAAAGGAGATATTTGGGGCCTTATGAGCTTTGCATTGCGATTCTCAAATCACAATGTGCAAACTTCACGTAAAATAATTAAGTATTTTTTATCAATTACATTTTCACGTATGAGACAAATATTTTAAAGTAAAAATTAACCTGTAATATTTATTTTTACATTTTTCATTAACTAAGATATTATCACTGGTGTTAGTCCTCTGTATTATTCAGGATTCTCCAGACAAATGGAACCCATAGGATAGATAGATAGATAGATAGATAGATAGATAGATAGATAGACAGACAGATAGAAAGTGATATGTTATGAAGGACTGGCTCACACAACTGTGGAGGCTAAGAAATTCAATGATCTGCTGTCAGCCAGCTGGAGGCTCAGGAAAGCCCTGGTATAGGTCCAGTGTAAGCCTGAAGGCCTGATAACCAAGGGAGCCAATGGTGTAAGTCCCAGTCTGAATTAGAAGACCATAAACCCAAGAGTGCCAACATCTGAGGGCAAGAGAAGATGAATGTTGCAGCTCAAAAATGGAGTGGACTTGCCCTTTCTCCACCTCTTTCTTTTATTTGGGCCCTCAACAGATTGGATGATGCCCACTCACATTGGTGAAGGTGATATTCTTCTTTGACCAGTTTACCAATTCAAATGCTAATCTCTTCCAGAAACATCTTCAAAGACACACCCAGAAATAATATTTACAAGCTATCTCAACACCCTATAGCGCAGTCTAGTTGACTCAGAAAATTAGCCATCACAAGTCCCCCACTTATTAACTCGGCACCCATATGCAACTTCTTAAACCATACTGAATCTCCAAATAAAAAAAAATAACAAGGAGATAATTCTGCCTGACATGATACAACTATACTACACGTAACAGAAAACAAACTAATGCCTTACCCAGAAGAGGAGGTAAAATCCATGAATGATGTTTATTCTTCTGATATGCAGTTGCTTAAATATGATGATGTAAAATGAACAATAATTAAATACCCTAATATAGCGTCAGTACATCTTTTGTTATTTGTGAAGGAAATAAGACAGGAAAGAAAACAAAGATATTTGCTTAATATATGAATATATACATATAAGCATGTTCATAACAAAATAGGGAGGAAACACTCCTGGCAATTATTTTCCTATATTCAGTATCTAGTCTTGTCTTGATAGCTGGTATTTATACCTTCTTCTATTACCCATTCTGTATTCCATTTTCCTTCAACAAGCACCTCAGCTAGTCATGGTTCTTAACTTCAGATTAAACCCAATCTTTCTTTTTGAAGAGTATGGGTTATTAGTAGCCTTGTTTGGATTGGGTTATTGTGATTTTTAATTGACCTTATATCACAGGGCCTGGTAACACTAAGCAATGCCCTAATGGATCTCCTGTATTCCAAACATACTCTTCCTCATCCCCACTGTGGAGTATTACTCAAATTTCTTTGTGGTAGCCTGGAGCAATTACCCCAGCCAGCACAGCAACTCCCTTCTTATCCTATTGATTCAGAGGCATGAGAGGCTCAAAGAGGCTGGGTGGCAGTTTTGACTTCCAGCTGAACAGAATCATTGTTGTGTCTCCTGGTGGAAGCATTTATCTCCCTGGAACTAAGACCTGTAGGCCAGCAGAGCATAAAGTCATGGGAACAGGAAGCAAAACTTTTTCTAGTCTGTCTCTAGTGGTAATAATGAGTGATACCACTCCCATTTTCACTCCTTGATTCCTGGGCTCATAAATCCTGCTATCAAAGACACAGCATCATACATTAATTGCTGATTTGAAGCACATGTAGCCTTTGAAGAACCTTGCCCCAGCCCTTCGAGGTATTCACACCTAGCTGGCACTGTAACTGAGTCTTCCAAAGATCATCCCACCATTCTATTAATCAGCTGTTTCAGGATGGTAGGGAACATAGTAAGACCAATGAATTCTATCAGGATAGGCCTATTGCCACACTTATTTTGCTGTAAATTGAGTCCCTTGATTAGAAGCAATGCTATATGAAATCCCAGGTAGATAATGCATTCTGTAGGTTCATGGATGGTAGCTTTGGCAGAAGTGTTGTGTACAAGAAGGGAAAATTCATATCTAGAGTGTCTGTTCCTTCCATGATGGAAGCAGTCCAGTTGAATCAGTCTGTCACCAGATAGCTGGCTGGTTACCCCAGGGGATGACTCTACATCTAGGGCTCAGTATTGGTGTCTGCTGCTAGTAGATTGGGTACTCAGCAAATTGGTTAATGCCCAGCCACACTGGTGAGGGTGAGCTTTTTTACTCTGTTTACCAATTGAAATGCTGATCTCTTCCAGAAACACCCTTGCAGGCACTCTCAGAAGTAATGTTTTACCAGCTATCTGGGCACCCCTTAGCCTAATCAAGTTGACACATAAAATTAACCATTACATTTTCTCCTTAGAGATGTCTTAGAATGCTGAAATAATTTAATAAATTTAGTATTATTTGGAACAATCTTTGGATCAGAACTGTACAAGTTATCAAATATTCATCAGTTTCTATATAAGTATGGTGCCCTATTAAAGACTGAGAGCTATAAAATTGTTTCTGAAAGAGAAATACCAGTTACTGAATTAACTAAAATAAAATGTAAAAAAAAGTCAGTTTTTATATGCAAAAAATGTTCTGTGAAAACACAAAGTAGGAAATTGAAGAAGGCTTCAAGGAAGAAGGCATGTTGTATGAGCCCAAATTATAAGCATCACTTTCATGAGAGAAATTTGAGAAGGTGAAAAGAAAGAAGAGAATAGTCACAAAAGCAGCAGGCAGCAAGGTTATCTGGGAGAAAATAACCATGGAGTTCAGAAGGACTGAGGGGTGCATGAAGGCAAGTCAGGAGAGGCACTTTCCAGAGGGTTAGGCCTGGCAGGCTATTTGATTTTTTTCCCTGAGTATGGGGAATCATCGAAGTATGTAAGCATTACAGTGATGCAATGAGTGTGAGCCTTGGCCAGGAGGACATCTCAGCACTACGTTGAATGGTTTGAGGATGCAAGAGACAGAAGGTGGAGATCATTCTCCAGAGGACAGGCGTAAGAGCCATTGCCAGGGCAGGAGCATTGCCAGCCTCAGTTTTGAGATTATGGAGTTTCAAGTGCTAGAGGACCATTAATTTTGGCTGATAGCTGGCAATGTGAGGTCAATAGTGAGGATGAGGCCCAGAAAGAAAAGAAATAGAGGCCTGAAGAGTGTCACCAGGTTGCCATAAGGGAAGTTGCCAGTCAGAAGATCTGAGCCTTTCACTAATGTATGAAAGAAGAGAAAACAGTGATGAAGGATCAAGATGAAGCAGAGAGCCAGAAAACAGGAAGAATCCAGCATAGCCAGTCCCAAAGTACACGAAAAGATGGCAATGGATCATTTTGAAGGATGCAGAGAGAGATGGAGTAGATGGAAAAGCAAAATGGGCCATTGAATTGCATGTCCCTGGAGGACAAATCTCAAAGCACTGAGGCATGAACCAATATATGATTTCTTCAGAAAAAGAAAAAACATGTAGTAAAAGGATTCATTGCATTTATATTAGTTTTTAAATTACTTTTGGTTATAATATCTGTATGATTAAAACAATAAAATATAAGATAAAGTTGGTATTTTAACACGGTATCTCAACATTTACTTTTCAGTTGAATTTAGCAGTTTGAGCACCAAATAGGAAATAAGCCCTGAAAGTGCAGAAATGGAAAAAGCATAGGTTTGCACTCCCAAGGCATCAAGAAAAGCAAGGAGACATTAAACTTGCTACAACATGACAGTCTGATAAGTGCAATAAAGTAATATTGAAAGTAAGTCATGAATATAAGAGGAAGATTCATTTTATTGAGAGGAGGAATAGGGATGTCAGTTTGAGGTGGTCTGGGAAGATTTTCCTGAAAATGTCACCTTACCTGGGTTTTAAAAGAAAAATAGTTTCCAGCCAGAAAAATGAATAGAAGCAATTTTAATTTGACTAGGGTGTGTGGGTTTAGATAGTTAATCTCTCTTTAACTCAGTTTACTTAACCATAACATGAGAGAATGATCTTTATTGCAAAAAATTATTTATATAATCATCAACATAGGTTTGCTTTTTATTATATGCTAAGCCCTGAGTAAAATGTTAAGGATATGGGAACTGTGATGAAAATCAAATGAAAACAAAACAAAAAATATCTTTAAAATGTTTACTGTTGTTCCAAGACAAAATTAAAAGGTGCTGTCATTACATGTGTTATAACTATAAATGAATGAAATGATGCTGTTGACAAAAAGAATCAAACTCTGCAAAATATTTGAAGAGATTTATTTTGAGCCATATATGAGTGACCAGTGGCCCATGGCACAGCCTTGGGCGAGCTTGAGAACTTGTGCCCAAAGTGGTCAGGCTGCAGCTTAGTTTTATACGTTTTTAGGAAGCCATAAGACATCAATCAATACATGTAACATGGACACTGGTTTGGTCTGTAAATGTGGGATAACTGGAAGGGAGAGGAGTGGTTTCCTGGTCATAGGTGGATTCAAAGATTTTCTGATGGGCAGTTGATTGAAAGAGTTATCTAAAGACCTGGAATCAATAAAAAGTAGTGTCTGAGTTAAGATAAGGGATTGTAGAGAGGAAGTATTTTATTATGCAGATGAAGCCTCCAGGTAGCAGGCTTCAAAGAGACTAGATTATAAATGTCTCTTATCAGACTTAAAGAATCTGTCTTAAGGTCTGTATTTTGATGTTAATGCTGGTCAGCTGTGCCTGAATTCCAAAGGGAGGAGGGTATAATGAGGCACGTCTGACCCCCCACTTCCCATCATGCCCTGAACTAGGTTTCAGGTTAACTTTGGAATGCCCTTGGCCAGGGGGAGGATCTGTTAGTTAGTTGAGGGCCTTAGAATTTTATTTTTAGTTTACAAGGCAGTAAGTGAAGCAAATGATAACCAAACAGTCTTGCTGAAGAACAGGAGAGTGTGAAGTGTGTATGAGAATGATGGGCACTAGGGCATCCTTATACCAGAGGTGAGGCAGTAATGAGAGGAGATAAGGCAGGGGCCAGAACAAGAAGGTATCATATGCATACTGAAGGGCTTATACTTTATCTTACAGGGAAAATTAATAAGAAAAAGATTTCCAGCAGCAGGAAATATGTGGTTGCATATACATTTTTAGAAAGCTAAATGATATGCTCTTCTAAATCCTTAAGGTTTTTAATATAATCAAAGTGTTAGATTTGCAAAAGTGGTAGGGTAAACTTTATTTCACTTTTTAAACAAATATTTATTCAGGGTGTACGATATGCCACATATCATGCCAGCCACTGAGGATGCAAAAATCAACAAAATGCAGTTGCTACCCTATAAAAGCTCAATCTATTGAGTGAGACAGCTACATAGATAATTATAATAAAACACATACAATAATAAAGATACTCACTAGGCAGCATACTTACATGAAGAAAATTTCAGAACCCTGGGAAATATCAATAAAATCCAGAAGATAATCATGTACTTTAATGCTTGTTCTTAAGAAGTTCACAGAAAGGGTAGATTTTTGAACTAAATGCTCACGTAAGTAACAAAAATAACATGTAAAATTATGTCTGCACCTCCAGAAAAACAATTATTATGCAAGGACACAGAGAATGATTTTGAGTGGGTTTTCCTGGCACTCCTCTTTTTGAAAAATGGGGATAATGTTTACTCATACAAGTTTCATATAAAGAATTAAAGAATGCCTACATCATGATCCCAGGTTTTTATCTTAAATGTAAATCATGGTCACTTCAGACTTCAATTACAGTAGAGTAAAATGTGAGCCCTTAATGGAACTTTCATGAATCCACAATGATTCTGAGTCATCATGTAGTGCCTTTTTTCATAAATAAGAAAGTAAATGGGGACTTAATTGGTATGAGTATTGCAAATTCTTATTTAACATTTAGATTGGAGATTTTTATTTAATAGTACATTTTGATGCAAAGTGTTTACATTTTATTTATCATTTAATGAGTATTTATTAAGCCTCTCCTGTGAGCCAAGTACTGTGTTGCTACCTAGAAATACCAGAGTGAAGAAGATGGAGGTGGTTCCTTTTTCTCAGAGGTTCTCATCTGGTTGGGTCACGCTGTTCATTAGCAAGACGTTGGAGGTGGAACAAGAAGACATGGTATGGTCAAAGTGCAGGAAAAGACACTGGTTTGGGTCTTGGGAGTCAGGACTTCTTCTCCAGAAGGTATAATATCTCATTAGGAAACTAAAGAATGCGTAGGAGCTAGACAAGAAAGAAGCTTTGCATTCTAAGCTAAAGGTCTAGCCCCAGGTGGAAACAAAACTTGGAGACAAGCCTAAGCATGGCATGTTTGAGGAACTGAAAGAACATCAGTGCAGCAAGAGCTTGGAGAATGGGGGGGCTACTGGAAAAAAATGAGTCTGAAAAAGTAAAGAGGGCCACATTTCAAAAGTCCTTATAAATTATACTTATAAATTTGACTATTGTCACTACTATGAGTAGTGAGGATAAGATTTTAGTTTTAAAACTGTTGAGAACTGGATGAGCCAAGGTGGAGTCAAGGAGACAATTTAAAATGCCTTTGAAATAATCTAAGCAAGGTATTTTGTTGACTTTGTTTCTGGCATGGGGACCTGGGTGAGTGGTACTACAAGTCACTAAGGTAGGTTTCTGTGTGGATGGCACTGGCCTCAAGCTGCTGTGACACCCAGTTTGAAGATAATTGCCTCTCCTAGTCCATGCTTTCACAGCACCCTCTATTCTTCCCACTTCAGTACCTAAATGTAGTATTATGATTAATTTCAGTATTAGCACTTAACGCTCTCTATGGTGAAACCTGAGTTCCAGTCTTTATGAAATATTGTCTTTGTCTGGTCTGAGTGCAGTGGTGTTTACAATTAATTGATCACACACAGTTACAGATTTCTTTATTCCTTGTCCATTCCCATTGCTTCACTTGACAGGCCTAAAAATAAAAATAATAATAAAAAAAGAAATGTCATCATCGAACAGGTTTTTCTTCTATGTAGAAAGTTCATTGTGTCTGCTTTCCTTATCCTGCCCCACCCCTCTACCCTGCCCTTGCCATCACACAAACACAGACACACACGCACCTGCACATGTCATGTTGACGTGGTGTGCTTCTATCCATTACTTAGACTGTGTCAGGGCTATGAAGTCTTTAAGACATTAATATTTAGCACAATTTCTAGCAGATGTTTACTAAATCAGACTAGCTGAAAGGTAACAAAGGGAATATTGTTCTTAGCTAATGCTATAGGTATGGGAAGAATAAAAGGTAAGGACAATTATGTAGTTTGGAATTGCGTAGTAGAACAAACCTACAGTCCGTGATTAGGAAATGTAGTTCGCATTATTTGCAGCGCTAAAAAATTAGTGCTTTGGAATGCATGCTAATCTCAGTCTATTTAGGAAGAATTCACGTAAAGAGAAGTTGTATTGAATTGTACCCTACTATACTAAAAATGATTATGCTTTCTGAACCATCTATCATATAGTTACTAGGAATAACTGAATTACAATCACTCTTACACTGAGACTGTTGATGTACATTAAGATATATTGTCCTAATTTCTAAAATATAGGAACATATTCCTTAAGATTTACTTTCTTGTTTTTCTGTGAGGACCTACCATTTCAGAGTTTAAACTGTTTACATTTTATTTTTGTTACATTTTCTATATTCATGTTTATAATTCCTTTAGAAAATAATTCAGTATGAAATCACCATCTCTCTCTAAGTCATGTTTTTGAATGTTAATAACTTCTTTGTTATAACAGCATTATTCAGTACTTCTGAGTAGAAAAAATAGAAATTAGCATTTTATGTTGTCTGCAGAGAAGTTTCCAGGCACTGAGGTATTTTAGATAACCTTTGCCCATAATTAATAATATGGATATTTTTGTTCCCTTGAGATGGAAGAGACATTATCAAGTGCTTACACTGTCCAGAGTTTTAACCTTTTGGGATTCTTTGATTTAATTTGGGAGAATATCACCAGGTCTCAAGAATATGATGTGGACATTGAGATCTTGATCCAATTACAGTTGCAAATCTCTTCCTAGTCTTTCTTATCAAGACTGAAACTGACTGATATGTTCCGCAAGAATTTTGCCAGTTTAATGGAAAATAAAGAACTATGGGAGGAAAAGACTGGTATAAAAACATACATAGGTTTAAATTTCCTTACTCTATGATAGTTAGAATGAAATAAATTGAGGGCAAACACAATGTTTTTATTCATAGTTGAATCCTAAATACCCAACAGAGTGTTGAATCGTGGTATAGTATAACATTCAAGGAAATTCTGACATTGACAATCTACAATACTTGCAAAGAGAAGGTTGTGTTTTATAGGCCTTTTGACTGGCTTCCCACTCTGAGCAACTGGCCAGCTCCTGAGCAGGTTGACTGTACGGACCACATTATCTCTTAGAAATTAGACTCCTCATGGACAGTCAGGATAAATGCCGAATGATTGGACAAGTCTACAAGACTATTTGTTATCTACCTAACCTGGATTTCTTGGATGAGATATGTTCCCAGTCAGAATGACAATTGAATATCCTCCATTTTAGAAATGACAAATAGTTTTCATCTTTTGTCTTAGTTGCAAATACTTGCTAGTGGCTTCCTATCCTGCTGATATATTATGTTCTGGCTCAGAAGGAAAAATTATCAATTAAAAGTTGTCAGGCTGGGCATGGTGGCTCACACCTGTAATCCCAGCACTTTGGGAGGCCGAGGCAGGTGGATTACGAGGTCAGGGCTTCGATACCAACCAGGCCAACATGGTGAAACCCCATCTCTACTAAAAAAATACAACAATTAGCTGGGCATAGTGGTACATGCCTGTAGTTCCAGCTACTCGGGAGGCTGAGACAGGAGAATTGCTTGAACCTTTGAGGCAGAGGTTGCAGTGAGCCGAGATTGCACCACTGCACTCCAGCCTGGTAACAGAGCAAGACTCTCTCAGGGAAAAAGGAAAGGTGTCTCATGAGCATGGCATAGGGGAACACCTTTGCCATTCCTGAGATAACGCTGTACAGCTCAAAATTATCAGCATCATCTTCCTCTGAAACATCTGGTCCCAGCTCACACAGGTACTCCACTCCCAACCCTGTAAAGGAAATTACCAATAAACATTGACCTATAAAAATAAGCTCATAAAGATACTAGTCAATAAACATATTATATGTACATTCATAATTGCCTTAGAAAATAACATTATATTTTTATAATATTTCTTAGTGTGTTATATTCATAATAACAATGTAACCATTATTGTGAGTATATAGATATTATAAAAGAAAATAAAAAAATTAGCATTATCTAGCCAGGTGTGATGGAACACACCTACAGTCCCAGCTACTCAAGAGGCAGAGGTGGGAGGATTGATTAAGCCAGCCCAGGAGTTAGAGCACACAGCCAATAAACTATGATTGTGCCACTGCACTCCAGCATGGGCAATGGAGCAGACTGTCTAAAAAAAAAAAAAAAAAACTCAGCATTATCTGTATCAAAAAAAAGTGTTGAGGGACAATACACCTACTTCTCTGAATTTAGACATCATAAAAATGAGGGAGTTGCACTAGGTGGTCTCTTCAGCTCAAAAATCCACTGTACAAAATCTACTTTAAGTTTTCTGAAGGACTGTTAGCAAGCAGTTTAAGAAAACTGTCATTGTCTTCTCTCTCCACATTGTTTTTTACATTCTACTCAGCAACTATAAGTATATGGTGATGAAAAATGTAAGTGAAGCATGTGGAAGGGGAAGAAGAGTGAGGAGGAAAATAAATACATTTCAAGGGCCATCTATGTACTAAACTCATGGAAGTGTTTTCCCTGCAGATCCTCTGTAGCACATCTCCTGGTCATTCATTAATTTAATTGACAAGCAAGCAAACATTGATTGAACACTTGTCACGTGGACATACTGAACCTGTGCCTCATTACTGAAACACTAACTTTTAATTTTCATATATTTAAAAAGTGTTGTCCAAAAATATACCATCTATGGGCACATATCTTTGTTTCCCCATATATTTTCTCTTTTTCAAGTCAGTTTATTCATAATTTTGCAAGCTTTTTCTCTACAAATCATGTAATAGATAGCATAAATATAAGAAAAGGCTGGGCCTTTCTTTTTCTGCCCACCAGTATATTCTTCTGGCAGTTAATCACATTTTCTCCTTCATCTGTTATTCCTGACCTCAAAAGGTATATAATACTGGGGAGCATTCATGGAGAAAAAGAGTGATTTCATATAGATAAAAAAGAGGTAAGCAAATCTATGGTTTATATTGAAAGGGAATTGGCTAACCCATTCCATCAACTCTTTCTTTTTTAGTAGCATTATTTGTAAAGATTCATATACCATGCAATTCACCAATTTAAAGTGTACATTTCAGTGGTTCTTAGTATACTTGCAGATATATGCAACCATCACTATGGTTAATTTTTGATTTCCATCACCTCACAAAGAAACATTATACCCCTTAACTATGACTCTCTTTCTTCCCATCTTACTCATCTCTAAGCAACCATTAAACTACCTCTGGCTCTGTAGATTTTTCTATTCTAGACATTTCACATAGGGAATCATATATGATGTCATCTTTATGACTGCTTTCTTTAACATAGAATATTATTTTTTAAGATCTGTCCATTTTGTAGTATGGGTCCATATTTCATTCCTTCATTATTCAGCCCAATGGACAATAATATGTCATTGTACAGCTATACAATACCAAATTTTGCTTATCTATTTATCAATTGATGGACATTTGGGTTGTTTTTACTTTTTGGCTATTATGAATAATGCTGCTATGAAATTCATGTGCAAATTTTTATGTGAATATATGTTTTCATTTTGTGGTATTTCTACATATATGGAGTATATATATAAAGTATATAGAGTATATATACTTACCTATAAATATATGTGTATATATTTATATATAAAGTATATGTGTATATATTTATGTAAAGTATATATACTTATTTATATATAAAGTATATATGCGAAGTGTATACTTTGAAGTATAGTTTGATGTGAGGTAATGTGATGCTTGTGGCTTTGTTCTTTTATAACCAGAAAAGTCAAAGCAATCCTATGCAAAAAGAACAAAGCCAGACGATCACATTACCCCACCTCAAACTATACTTCAGAGCCACACTAACCAAAACAGCATGGTATTGGTACAAAAACAGATATATAAAACAATCAAAAACAATAGAGACCCCAGAAATAAAGCCACACACCTACAACCATCTTTGACAATGTGAATGCAAATAAGCAATAGGGAACAGACACCCCATTCAACAAATGCTGCTGGGATAATTGGCTGTTGATATGCAAAAGAATAAAACCAGAAACCTATCTTTCACCATATCAGAAAAACTAATCCAAGATGGATTAAAAACCTCAAACTATTAAAATTCTCCAAGAAAACCTAGGAAATACCCTTCTGGACATCCGCTTTGGCAAAAAATTAATTAGTAAGTACTCAAAAATAAATGCAACAAAAATTGACAAGTGGAACCTAGTTAAACTAAAGAGCTTATGCACAGCAAAATAAATTATCAACAGAAAACATACAGAATTGGAAAAAATATATTTGCGAATTATGCATCTGACAAAAGTTCAACATCCAGAATGCGTAAGGAACTTAAACTAAGAGTTGAACTACCATTTGACCCAGTAATCCCATTACTGGGTATATATACACCCATAGGAAAATAAATTATTTTACCAAAAAGACATATGTACCTGTATGTTAATCACAGTGCTATTCGCAATAGCAAAGACATGGAATCAAGCCAGGTTCCCATCAACAGTGGACTTGATAAAGAAAATATTGTACATACATGCCATGGAATACTATGCAGCCGTAAAAGAAGAATGAAATCATTTTCTTTCTAGCAAGATAACTGCAGCTGGAAGCCATTATTCTAAGCAAATTAATACAAAAACAGAAGACCATATGTTCTCACTTATAAGTGGGCCCTAAGCATTAGGTACACATGGAAATAAAGATGAGAGCAACAGATCCTGGGAAATACCAGATGGAAGAGGGAAAGTGTTGAAGTGCTACCTATTGGATACTATGCTCACTACCTTGGTGATGGATTCATTCATACTTCAAACCTTAGCATCATGCAATATGCCTTTGTAACAAACCTGCATATGTAATCCCTGATTATAAAATAAATTTGAAAAAAAATCTTGGACTTAAATTAAAATAAATAGATACAAAATTCATTTTTGCATTGTTCATTACAAATGTACAGAAATACTATTGATTTTTGTATATGAATCTTGTATCCTTCCATTTTCAACTTTCTATAATTATTTCTAATAGAGTTTTAGGAGACTGCTTAGGAATTTCTCCGTATGAGATTATGTCATCTGTGAATAAAGTTGGTTTTCTTTCTTTTTTTTCCGTTCTAAATGGCCCTATCTCCTTCTTATCTAACTTCACTAGCTAGAATCTCCAGGACAATTTTGAATAGAAATAGTGAGAGCATGCATCCTTGTCTTTATTCTGATCTTTGGTTAATTCATCCAGTCTTTCAACATTAAGTATGATATTAGCTGAAGTAGATACTATTTCAAGACTTCAATACCCTACTTCCTGGAATGGTTAGAATAACTAGGCAGAAGAATAACAACAACAAAAAGAAGACTTAAACAACATTATACTCCAGCTAGACCTAATAGGATAGACTACTCCACCCAACAACAGCAACATACATGTATTCTTTTCAATTGCTATGGATCATTCTCCAAATTAGGCCATATTCTAGGACGTAAAGCCAATCTTCATGAATACAAATTTATTGAAATAGTACAAAATGTGTTCTGACTCCAATAAAAATTAAATTAGAAATCAATAAAAAATGACATTTGCAAACTCAAAAATATGTAGAAATTAAACAATACATTCATAAATAACCATTCAGTCAATGAAGAAATCAAAAGGTAAGTTAGAAAATACTTTGATGTGACCCAATAGAAGAAAGGAAAGAAAGGGTTTTGGTAGACGTTTCTCTGAGATTCATTAAGTTCCCTTTGATTTCTAGTTTGTTAAGTTTTTCTCATGAAATGATGTTGGATTTTGTCAAATGCTTTTTGTGTGTCTATTGAGACAATATTTTTATTCTGTTGATATGATTGACAGTTTTTTAGATATTAATTCAATATAGTCCTGAATAAATCTTAGTAGATCATATAATAGGTACAATTATATTCATGTGCTTCTGGACTTGGTTTGCTAATATTTTGTTGAGGATGTTTGTATCCATATTTATAAAAAATAGTAGTCTTTAGTTTTCTTTCTTTGTGATGTCTGTAGCTGGTTTTGGTATCAGAGTAATATTCAATTCATACATAAAGTTGGCAACTGTTCCCTTTTCTTCTATTTCTTAGAAGAGTGAATAATTGATAGTCATCTGTTTTTAAACGTTTGGTAGAATTCAAAAGTGAAGCAATTTGGGACTTGGCTTTTCTTTATAATAGTTTTTGACTACTAACTCAGTGCCTACACTTATATGTCTACCATGATTGCTTATGCTTAAGTCAGTTTCAGTAGTTTGTGTATTTCTAGGAGTTTTTCCATGTCATCTAAGGTACTAATTTATTGGCATTTAATTGTTCATAGTATTCTTTATAGTCTTTTTTATTTCTGTTAGTTCCCTGTTTCACTTATATTTGGAACATTAGTTTTTCTTTCTTTTCATTGTTGATCTACTAAAGTTTTGTCTTTTTGTTGACCTTTTCAAAGAACCAGCTTTTGATTTTATTCGTTTTTGCCTATTGTTTCTCTATTCTCTATTTCATTAATTTCCACTCAAATCTTCATTATTTTCTTTCTTTTGCTTGTACTACGTTTTGTTTGTCCTTTGTTTTCCTGTGTGTTAAGGTGGAATTTTCAGTTTTTGATTTGAGATCTTTATTCTTTTTTAATATAAGTGCCTACAGCTAGAAATTTTCCACTAAGCACTGCTTTAGTTGCATCTCACAAGATTGGGTATGTTGTGTCATCATTTTCATTTACTTAAAAGTATTTTCTAACTTAACTTTTGATTTCTTTATTGACCAGTTGGTTATTTGTGCATGTATTGCTTAATTTCTACATATTTGTGAGTTTGTGATTTCTAATTTAATTTTTGTTGAAGTCAGAACACATTTTATACTATTTCAATAAATTTGCATTCATGAAGATTGGCTTTATGTCCTAGAATATTGTCTAACCTGCAGAATGATCCACATGCACTTGAAAAGAATACATATATATTGCTGTTGTTGGGTAGAATGTTCTATCAATGTCCATTAGGTCTAGCTGGAGTATAATGTTGTTTTTAGGTCTTCTGGTTTTTGTTGTTGTTCCTCTGCCTAGTTATTCTATCTATTCCAGGAAGTGGAGTGTTGAAATCTTCAACTATTATCTATTATTATTTAATTGTCTAGTCATCTTTCATTGATGTTATTTTTTCCTGTTTATTGGTATAATACTGTATTATTAGGTTCATATAGTTTATAATTGTCATATCTTCCTGATAGATTTTGTCATTGTAAGATGTCTCGTTTTATCTCTAGTAGCAGTTTTTTGTTTTAAAGTCTATTTTGTCTTATATTAATGTAGCCACTCAACCTTTTATGGTTTCTATATTCATTATATATCTTTTTCCATTCTTTTACTTTCAGTATATTTGTATCTTTGAATCTAAGTGTTTCACTTTTAAAAAAGTTGTATTTTGTGTTTTCTTTTTTTTCCTCTTTCTTCTATCAGGTCAAATCTACTGTTAATCCCTTCTAGTAGATTTTTTTATTACAATCACTATACTTTTCAACTCCAGAATTTCCATTTGATTCTTTTTATTATTTCTATTTATTGATGTGAAATTCTCATCATATCTTCCTTTACATCTTTAATCATCGCTTCTTTTTGTTTTTCCAACATATTTATAATGGCTACTTTGACATCTTATTCTGTTAAACCTAACATCTGCTCACTCATACAGTTTCTGTTGCCTATTTATTTCCAGTATACGGGCCATACTTTCCTGTTCCTTTGCATATATTAGGGTTTTGTTGTTGTTGTTGTGGGAAACTTCCCATTTTAAATACTACAGGTATTTCCCACCTCCTAACCCCCAACACAGGGTTTGTTATTGTTATTTGCTTGTTTATTTGGTTAGTGACTTTCTTGATTATTTCAGTGAAGTCTATTTTTCCCTTTCTACTACATCATGTTAAGGGTCTGATGTTGCTTCTCAGGGAAGTGGAGCTTTGGGTATGCCCACACTCACCCTGGATGACAGTGGTTTTGTTAAGCTCTCTTAGACTATTTATTTCTCTAATCACACCCAGCTATTAGTTGCCACTAATTACTGGCTGATATTTCTATTATTTTCAACAATGCACTGGAGTATAATTTGCTGTTCAGACTAATGCTGTACAGACTAAGGCAATAAAACTCAGGTGCCTTTGAAGGAATGGTTACCAATGTCAGTGTTTGAGATTTGTTCTGTCCCCAGGAAGGCACCTCCTAATTGTCTCTTTCCTTGTTCTCTCCTGCAAACTTAACTGCCCTACAGTTTAGTCTATATTTTCAATTAATCTGCCAATCTCCTTCCAGTTGCCGTCCACTAAAACCTCTATTTAGTTTTTGGAAGTTCCCTTAGCCTAAAACTTCTCTTTGCTCTGTTGCAAATTAATTTAGTTCCTTTAGTAAGAGATTAAGTGCTACATTATGGTCTCCTTCTCCTCCCAGGCAAAGTCTCCGGAGCTGGGAGTGAGGACAATGACGTACTTCTCTCCAACTGACACCTCTACCTTAGGAACTGAGCTCTAGTGTAGGTGAAGCTTTCATTCTATGAGTGAAGCCTGATTGAAAGAGATGTGCTCCCACTTTGACTACATTTACCTAGAACTTGGCTTTAGCAATAAGGAGCTGAATGCCAGATGAGAAATGCTGAGATCTTGCCCCTCCTGGGTAGATAGCCCTCTTACTGGTAGCTTTGAATTTTTGCTACATCAGTGTAGAGTGAAGTTTCTGTCTCAACTGGAAGGGGGTTGTTGTGAGAGTGATCTTGGTTCAAATACCACAGACTCTCACTGTTATTACTAAATCTTAGCTGTTATTTTTGAATAGATGTTTCCTCATTTACTGTATGTCCTTAGGATGACTTCCAGAGACTTTTTGTTCGTTGTATGTTTTATAATTTTCACCAATTTTGCTGAGGTATGGGTCTACAGAGCTCTTCATGCTGTCATAACAGTGTTGATCTGGCCTGTTAACTCTTGAGAAGTGAAATTAAGTAATTTAAAAAGACATCCATAATTGTTAACTGTTCAATACATTTTTAGGGAAATGTATCAGTATATCTTACACCATTTTGAATTTAGACTACAAAAGAAAAATAGATTTAGGGTTGAAACGTTAGAATGTGAATTTATTTAATTTTATAAATCACAACTTAGTTATGCAAATGCCAAGCAAAATTTCAGGTTAAGTAGATCAGAATGGAGAGAAAATAGATTTCCAAAGTATAAAAACCATTCTCATGTTGTACTGGAGTATCTATCATTAACATTCTCCTGTTAACATTTAAAGAAGATCTATGCACATGCTTATGGGGGAATTAACCTCTGAATCTGTAACTTTATTAATTTTATTTGCAGATATATCAAAAGTACAAAAACCTAGGACTTCATTTTGTCTCATTTTATGCCTCCTATTGATAACCTATCCATGTACAGTATAGAATTCAGTTTAGCTGGAGCAACACTGTTCGATAGAAAGGTTTGCAAATGACAGAAATGCTCTGCTCTGTCTAGTATGGCCACCACTGGCTATGTGTGGCTATTGAGCATGGGAAATATGGTTAGTATGACTCAAGAACAAAATTTTTAATTTTACTTAATTTTACCTGATTTAAATTTAAATTGGTACATGTGGCTAGCTGCTATTATATGGGAGCCACAGGGCTAGAGTAATTAGCTAATGGTAATTCTGATGCATTGATCCATTTATAATTCCCCTCCCTATCTCACCTCTGTCAGCACACATAGAATAGCACTCACCAACACCACAATTGTAAAAAAAATGCAGTGTAATCATTTCACTGTAAAAATAATAAGATAGGATTAATTGTTGTATCCCAGAGAAACCAAGTATACAAGATAATTTAATGGCTGTCAACAGAGTAGATGTTAAACAGTAGAAATAAAAACATTTAGTTTATTTTTATTATTTCTACCATTATATTTTGAAGCAATGTGCAATTTAAAATAAAAATATACATTCACTTATAAATAAAGTTTCAGTTGGGTGGATTTTTACATGAGAGATCCAAGAAATGTTGAGCAATATAATAGGTAAGTTTCCCAAACTCTGTGGCAGGTTCAATGGGTGGTAGAGTCAGACTGATAGAGAACAGATGTTTTCCATATTGGAGTCAGCTAGAGGTGGAGGGGTAAGCTAGTTGTGGATATCGGTGAGAGGATGCTTAAGGATATAATTAAATATTTAAGTTGAATGAGAAGAAAATGAAAGTGAGCAGAGACTGGTAGATTGGGAGAAATTTGACCCAAAGAATTGGACACCTTTATGAAGGCAGGTAACAGGCATAGCGGGTATAAGATATTGAAAGTTTGTAAATAGAGTAAGTTTTAATTAGATAATTGAAAATTCAGATTTTGTATTTTTAAAAAAGCATTCATTATGATAACAAGATCTAGGATATGAGCTTAAGCCTGTCTGGCTGAAATGGCATGAAAATGAATGTCATTTGAATTGAGGAGTATGTGGAATTACTAGACCAGATATTTGTTTAAGGACATGGAATTCACTCAGGACAGGGATGCCATTTAGGATGGAAAGGAAGACTGTGGGCTAGGTGATAAGTACTTCTTTAAATTCTGGGAAGTGGACAATAGGTAAATGATAAAGAGGCAGGAGCAGGGACTGTTTAATTGGATAACACAGATTTCAAAGGAAGAGTTATTTTCACGTAACTGTAGAAGAATAAATGGCTGTAAGGGGCAGTGTAGGTCTAGGAGTATAGCAGCCCAATGTCTAGACCTTGGCAATTTGTAGGATTTGGACAACCATGCAGTATAAATCGACAAACTGCACAAATAAGGCAGGGACTCAGGGAAGGCCAGGTTCAACATATGGCAAGGAGAAACAGGAAGCATGTTCTGTTCTACAAAAATTAAGGGGACAAAGAGATGTGTCTGCTATGGAAGGGGGTGGTTTCAGAGGGTACAGCTGGAAGATCTGGGAGTCAGAGGAGGTAACCTATGTGAAAGATATACAGCATAATAGGATGTTTCAGAGAATGAGTGAAGTGTGTACATTTTGGGTAGTGACCAGTTATGATCTGATGTGAGATACAAAAAAATAGCTCACTTCTATTTTCTAAGAGAGGTTATTTTGTAAAGTTGTTTTGCTGTCACTAAAACTGACAACTTCTTTATCTTCCTGTCACAATTACAATACCTTATTTGATTTTTCATCATACACTTCAAAGTCTAAAATTATCTTGCTTACTTGTTTTTGATTATCTTCCCTCCCTAGTACAAGATAGTTTCCCATGAGAACAGGATCTTGTGTTTTAGTCTGCTACTACACCTCAGCCTCTAGAACAGAGCCTGGTACATAACAGGTGCTCAATAAATATTTGGTAAACAAAATAATCAACTCATTTATATTCTGATATGTGATCATGAGTGGGAGATAAGACTAAAGGAGTTATACGTTGTTTAATGAACATTGCACGTGCTATATAGGGCATAATGATCATGTCACAGCTATAATGAAGTAACAGTAAGGAAATTGTAACACAGGTATGGTAATACCTTTTATTTTGTCAGACATTTACACAGTGCTTTAATATGCCAGGAACTATTCTAATAGCTTTACTAACATCAACTCTTTTATTATGAATGATGAATTGTTATACTTCCCTAGTAATTCCTTAAAAACCTGCTTCGTGCTCTATAAATATTTGGCTTCAATCTTTGAAATATGCTGAGCATGAGAATGTCATCTTCCCTCTGTCTCTACAGAAAATAAATATTATAAAAAGATTAAGCAAATATCCTTAGTAGATCTTCATTTGGGCTACTCTTTACAAAATTGAATCTTTCTTTTTCTAATGCCACACAATAACCATTCAATAGATGCTGTATTAAAAGTTATCTCTTGGCTTGGTTTCTAGCAAGCTATTTTCATTGTCTTGTGTAAATACATGTATGCTATAAATTTTTCGTATTTTTTTACTCAGCTGGTTCATAATTATTAACAAATGCCACCATTCAACTTACTAGGATGCAATGGTGAATGGCAGCGTATCCCTTTAATATCACTAACCAGCCTATATTTTAGGCCTTCATTCAGAATGACTTGCCAATGATTTTTTTTTTTTTTTTTTTTTTTTTTTTTGTAGAGATGGGGTCTCACTCTGTCACCTAGGCTGGAGTGCAATGGAGTGATCATGGCTCACTGCAGCCTCGACCTCCTGGGCTCAGTTGATCCTCCCCACCTCAGCCTCCCAAATATCTGAGACTACAGGTGTGCACCACTATACCTGGCTAATTTTTTGTAGAAATGGGCTTTTTTATCTTGCCCATACCAGTCTCAAAGTCCTGGGTTCAAGCAGTCTTCCAGTTGGCTTCCCAAAATGCTGTGATTATAGGCATGAGCCACTGTGCCCAGTCTTGCCAATAATTTTAAACCTCTATTTTAAATAACTTGATAAAAATTTCCAAATTGTACTTGGTTCCATTGCCCGCAGAAAAGGAAGAAGGTAAAATATAGAGGCTTTCAAGGCCTTTTTTTGTCTTTGACAGAATTCCAATATATACAGTGTATATACCATGTGGTGTAGATGTCTTCTTTTCCTTCCCCAGAGGATGCATATCTGGCTATCTTGGGTGGGGGCGGGAAACAAGTGTCTGCATCCAGGTAATCAATTTTACTCACTCTTCAGCTGTGTCAATCTACATCATCTATACTGGGTTGAGCCTCACTGCCTCCAAATCTATAGTAATCAGTGGGGGAATGCTTTTTGTGTTTCAAGAGTCCACAAAGAATCTCATGCCCATGAGGAGAGTAACTATGAAAGAGGAGCTGCCCCCACCTCTCCTGCATCTTCTTACATGAACAGGGTTTCATAGTTTGGACCATTTCCTGGGTTGAGTAATCTTTCCCAAAAGAAATGATCAGGTCTCAAGTATCTTTTTATGTTTGAACATTTCACACTTCTAGCATCCTCTGAAACTGAAATCTCCACCTTTGTCTGGTTTTATGGCCACTCCCATGTATAGAAGTAGGGAGGTCTAGTGATAGCCTCTTGGGGTGGGGAAGAGTGGAGGAATAATATTGACAGTAGGCATTTTACTTCTCTGGCTAAGGGTTTAATTTCCTCCGAAGTGTAGAGTCAATTACACCTTGCCCTATGACAGTGTTTTTCTTTTTCAAAAACAACCTTATGGCCTGCATAAGAATTTCATATTTCATTAAAAACATTTGGACCTTGTTTTCTAACCTGGAAACCCAAGACTTCATATGCTAAGTGAGCCCTTCCCCCTGTGTTTGACCTCCTCCAGGAAAATGGCAGGAAATGACGAGTTTCTTCTTGGTTCTTGATTTTCTTCTTTGGTTAGGAAAGTAGTAGGGTAGTGTATGTGGAGTGGGGAGGGTGCTTTCACTTCACCAAGCTCCGCTGATAAAAGCAGAAATCATCTGGCTTCAGTATGCATTGGGACATCAGGGTGGCTCCAAGTCTCCTCAATTCAGCCTGCCCACTGGTGCCTACCTACTGCTATGCCCTTCCTTCTAGGTGGCTGCTAGTCCATAGGAGATCAACCGTATACTGGGAAAAGAACAGTGTTTAGATTCAGGAGACCTAGGAATAAATCCTGGCTCTAATACCTTTGTCACTTTGGGTTAATTATTTAATCTTTCTTTGTCTCATATAATTCATTTATAAAAATGAGAACACTGATACTTTCCTGCAGTTATCGTTGCTTTTGGAATGAGGATTATCACAGATTCTAAATCCAAACACACATTGTGTGCTGCAAAGGATCAAATATGGGATAATTATATTCTTTTCCAGCTTAAGACCACAAAAACAGGCTTTGCCTCATTATTGTGCAAACCATAACAGTTCTGAGCTCCTACTTAGTCAGGGAGTGAATTGTTTTCCCCTGCTGTTCTCCTCCCCATGTCATTCCTAGAAGCTTTAGTGAATGCTTTCCAGTCATTCTCGTGATCAAGTGTCATTCATCTATGGCATGCTTCTGTGAAGCTTTCAGGGTCACTTTCCAACTGCTGTATGATGTACTTTCCAAGCTCCGATCATGATCACGGTCATTTCAGCCCCTATCCCCCAAAGCAAATAGGCCCTAGTGTTATTTTTCAGTCTAGCTTTTATGGTATACTTTATATACAACAAAATTCACCATTTTTAGTGTAAAGTACTATGAGTTTTAACAACCATATATAGTTGTATAACTACCAACAAATTAAGATATAGAGAAGATTCACTATAAAATCCCAAAAAATATCCCCCCAAATTCCCACTTTCCATTCTGGAGTACATGCCTGCCCCAATCCCTACCCACTGACAATCACTAACCTGTTTTTTGTCTCTATATTTCTGCCTTTTTCAGAATGTCAGATCAGTTGACTCACACAGTACCTACTGATTAGTATCGCAATATATGGATCTACCACAATTTATTTACCAACTGAAGCACATTTGTGCTTTCTCCAGTTTTTTTGCAATTATAAATAAAGTGGCTGTAAACATTTACAAACAGGTTTTTGTGTGAACTTATGTTTTCATTTATTTTGGGTAAATAAGTGTGAGATTTTTTTTGATTCTATAAACATATGTTACATTTTTTAAAAATGCCCAACTGATTGTCAAAGTGGCTATATCATTTTGCATTCTGGCAGGTAATTCTTTCCAGTGACTCTACAGTAGTCCCCCGATCTTTGGTTTGGCTTTCCATGGTTTCAGTTATCTGGGGTTAACCATGGTCCAAAAATATTGAATGCAAAATTTCAGAAATAAACAATTCATGAGTTTTAAACCATTCTTTGTCCTCAGTAGTGTGGTGAAATTTTGTGCTGATCCTCTCAGTCCTGCCTGAGTTGTGAATCCTCCCTTTGTCCAGTGTATCCACACTATACATGCCTTCTGCCCATTTGTGTTTTTATAAAAAGTTCAAGGGCATATTTAGTTATTTATTTAGCTGTTTGGACTATTCTGTTTCATGTAAATTGACACCTTTACATTATACTTTGGTTTACAGTTCCTCTGAGTTGTAAAATAAAACAATATTATTTGCTTTTGTCCAAAAAGTAATAGATCAATACTGGATTTCAAACCAATATATTGAATAGCCACAATTACAGTTTTTAACAAATATTACTTTCAAATTCATAAATATAAGAGAATATAACATGGTTTGCCTCATAAAGTACTTGTTGATTTACATAATTAGAAAGTTCGTATCAGGCACACTTGCTTTTCTTCCTTGATTTATTTTATTTTACTTTGGCTAAAGAATAAAGCCAAATCATTTTATTTTCATAAATGGCATATTCTATAAAGCCAAGAGGTTTATTTGATGAAAAGTTTATGACCATTTCTAGTGATTATTTATTCATCTACATATCTATATCCCAATTTCTTCATCTGTAAAATGTAAGTAGGTGATAACCATTGGCTCTTTGATTACTCTCGGCTCAAGTCTATGATGAGGCAATAGATTTAGAGAGATTAAGGAAGTCAGAACTTTGCATTCATTTTAAATCTACTTCTGTATTTCATGCCTTTCCCAACATACAACAAAGATAGATTATGGATAAAACTTTACCCACTAATCTGCTGAATGTACAGCATTTGCTACAAAACTAAAAATTTTGATAGCACTTTATTTCACCCCTATTGTGACAGTTAGTGGGTTTTGCTATAATAGAAAATATTGAGGAAGACAAGACATGAGGGTCTTTTCTTATTAGCCTAGAGGAAAAACAAATTGGAGTGACTAAAAGGCGATTTTTGAGGATCAGGTCTAACCGTGATAATAAATCATTGGTAAGCAAAAGTGATGGTCCTGAAAGTTTCATCCTCTCAATAGATGACATAAAATAATTTGTATAGGATTGAAAAACACAAACAAAATGTGAAATACTTGATAACATTTTATGTAATCAAAATACTGGAAATTAAGATATTTAGAAACTCACAATTATGTGCCTATCAAGGTTTTATTTCCCCATTGGTCAGAGGATATGTGCTGCCTCACCAAATACTTTTAGATTCCTGAATTCCTCAGGTGTCGAAAACATTACCCTCAAAAATAACCTCGTGTGAGATTTTACAACTGTGGTAAACATTTAGAGTTGCTTCTTTAAATTTTTAAGAAAGTTTTAAAGCTAATTGTTAAAATAGTTAATGTTACTCATTTGATGCATTATATCATCTTTTTTCTTTGGGAAATAATTTTTGATCAGTTTTTGTTCTGAAACACTATCTCATTTATTCCTCATTATAATCCTGTGAGGTAGGTACTGTTATTATTCTGTTTTTAATGAAGGATCTCAGACTTAGGTAAAATAAATCGTCCAAGGTCACACAAATAACAAAAGGGGGAAGGGGAATGTGATTGCTTAAGTTAAAGATAGTCCTTGTACAAATGCTAACACTTTGTAAAATCTTGAGGCCATATCACCCTTTTCCAGAGTCGAAAAAATGTAGAATTCACTAGGTTTTGTGTTATTGTTGTTTTGTATTGTTTTACTTCAAATGATAAAATTGACCAGTGTATTAGTCTATTCTTGTACTGCTATAAGGAATTACCTGAGACTGGGTTAATCTAAGGAAAGAGCTTTAATTGACTCACACTTCCTCAGGCTGGACAGCATCTGCTTCTGGAGAGCCTTAGGGAGCTTTTACTCATGGCTGAAAGGCAAAGAGGGAGCAGACGTCTTACATGGCCAGAGCAGGAGCAAGAGAGAGAGGAGGGGAGGTACCACACACTTCCAAACAACCAGAGTTCATGAGAACTCACTATGGTGATGATAGCACCAAGGGGGAATGGTGTTAAACCATGAGAAACCACCCCCATGATCCAGTCACCTCCCACCAGGCCCCACCTCCAACACTGGGGATTATTATTGAACATGAGATTTGGGTGGGGACACAGATCCAAAACCTATCAACTATTATAGCATTGGGAAGCTTGCAAATTCTCATGCACCAACCTAGAGGGATATTTCTATGTAAGTCTGATATATATGGTGTCTATCCTGAGGTATATTTCACTGTATATTTGACCCTAGGGTAAGATATGAGTGAAAATTAGATCAATACTCATTCTGCATTCTATTTCTTCATAATTTGTTGTGTACTATGAATGTATTGAGATTTCGTTTGTTGGTAAAGAAATAATGTCTCCTTAGTTTCTTTGTTGTTGACTAGATATTGCCCTAATCAAGAAAACATTTTTTTTGACCCTCTCACATGTAAGGTATGAGGACTCGATTTCCTATGATCCTGGAAAATATTTTTTCACAGGCTATATCTTGGTTGAAACCCAAATGATTTCTTTAGTCTGTCTCAAATTATGTGCAAGCAAAGAAATACATCATCTTTAATACATTACTTTGTAAATTAGGCATTAGATTTTTACTATTTTTTCTATTGTTAATTTTTAATTAGTACTACTTAAAATTGTCAATATTTGACTTTTTTTTGACTCATATAACAAGTCTGTATGATTCAATCTAACATGAATGCAAAAGGGCAACTAAGCTTTTGGTTTAACTTCATGTTAAAGAATATTTTTAAAAAGTGAGGGAAGAGTGAAAAAGAAAGCCAAAGATTCAGTGAGTGGTTTGAAAGCAACAATGTTTAAATATATATGTAAATATATATTATGCATGTTTACATATATGTGTATATGTGTATATACATATGTGTGCATATATGTGTATATGTGTGCATATATGTGTGTATGCACCTCCTATTTATATATATTTATACATACACATACATATACCTAATATTTATATTTGGTTTCATAAATATGTGTATACATATATATGTGTGTGTATCTGTGTGTGTGCATGTGTGTGCGTGTGTTTATACCACCTATGTATACCTCTCATCTACCTCCTATTTCCACATGCACATACCAACTCTTCTACTATCAACATCCCTCACCAGAATGGTACATTTGTTATAATCAGTGAACCTACAATGACACGTTATCATCACTTAAAGTCCATAGTTCACATTAGGGTTCATGCTCAGTAGTGTACATTCTATGGCTGTTGACAAGTGTATACTTATATTATAGTATCATATAAAATAGTTTCAGTATCTTAAAATCCTTTGTGCTCTGCCCATTTATCCCTTCCTCCCCCTAACCCCTGGCAACCACTGATCTTTTTACTGTCTCCATGGTTTTGCCTTTTTTCAGAATGTCATTTAATTGGAATCATATAGTATGTAGCTTTTAAGATTGTGTTATTTCACTTAGTAATATGCATTTAAGATTCTTGGGCTGGGCACAGTGGCACACACCTATAATCCCAGCACTTTGGGAGACAGAGGCAGGTGGATCACCTGAGGTCAGGAGTTCGAGACCAACCTGACCAACATGGTGAAACCCCATCTCTACTAAATATAAAATATTAGCCACGTGTGGTGGTACATGCCTGCAATCCCAGCTACGTGGGAGGCTAAGGCAGGAGAATAACTTGAACCCGGGAAGCAGAGGTTGCAGTGAGCCGAGAACGCACCATTACACTCCAGCCTGGGGAACAAGAGTGAAACTCTGTCTAAAAAAAAAAAAAAAAAAAAAAAAAATCCCATTGTCTGGATATACCACAGTTTATTTACACATCCACCTGCTGAAGGATATCTTGGGTTAAATTGTGTCCTTACTGATTTTCTGCCTGTTGGATATGTCCATTTCTAACATTTGTTGAAGTCTCAAACTATAATAACAGACTAATCTATTTCTCCCTGTGGTACTGTTGGTGTTTGCCTCATATATTTTGATGCTCTGTTGTTAGGAGCATACACAATACAGATTGTTCTGTCTTCTTGGAGAATTGACCCATTTATCATTAAGTAATATCCTTATTTATCCCTGATAAATCTTCTGGCTTTGAAGTCTGCTCCATCTGAAATTAGTATAGCTACTCCAGCATTCTTGATTAGTATTAGCATGGTGTATCTTTATTCATTCCTTTATTTTTAAATTACATGAGTATTTATATTTGAATTGGGCTTCTTGTGGACAGCATGTGGTTGGATCTTGATTTTTGATCCACTCTGACTATCTCTGTTCTTTCATTGGTATATTTAGACCATTGACATTCGGAGGGATTATTAATATAGTTTGAGTAATGTCTACTATGTTTGTTACTGTTTTCTATTCATTGCCTTTGTTCTTTGTTCCTGTTTTTGTCTTGCCCTCTTTTCCTGCCGTATGCAATTTTATTTGAGCATTTTATGTGGTTCCATGTTCTCTCCTTTCTTATCGTATCAATTATATTTTTATTTTTACTGTTTCTAGTGCTTGCTCTAGAGTTTGCAATAGACATTCACAATGAACTCAAGACCACCTTCAAATAAGACTATATAGATTCATGAGTAGTACAAGTACCCTATAACGAAATACTCCTAATTCTTCCCTCACTTCTCTTATGTTCTTGTTATCACACATTTCATTTATAGATAAACTATGGTTATTGTACGATTGTTGCTAGTATTATTAAAACACAGTTTTATCTGTTAGATAATTAAGAATGAGAAAAAATATTTTTATTTGACCTCCACTTATGCTTCCTCTAATGCTCTTTGAAAAAATAAGTCCAAGTCATTAACCTATATTATTTCCTTCAATCTAAAGAGCTTCTTTTAACATCTCCTGCAAGCCAGGTCTCCTGGTAACACATTCTCTTATTATTTTCTGTTTTTTAGTCTCAGAAAGTATTCCTCCTTCATTTTGAGTGATTATTTTTCAAGATACAGAATTCTAGTTAGCTGGGGCTTTTTTAATCATCACTAAGTATTTCACTCCAATCTTTTTGTTTGCCTCGTTTCTGAGAAGTCAGATGTAATTTTTATCTTTGCTCCTCTCTAGCTAAGTTGTTGTATTTTCTGGCTTCTTTCAAGATTTTTCTTTATCATTAATTTTCTGTAGTTTGACTATAATAAGGCTAGGTGTAGTTTTTCCCACATTTTTCTTGTTTGGTGTTTTCTGAATTTCTTGGATCTGTGGTGTGGTGTTTGACATTTTTTTTTTTAATTTCAGTCATTGCTTCAAAGATTCTGTTTTTTCTCTTTTTTTCCTATCTTAATTATGTATATTTCATACCTTTTGTGGTTATCCCACAGTTCTTACATATTCTGTTCTGTTTATTCAGAATTTTTCTCTTTGCTTTTCAGTTTTGAAAGTTTCTATTGACATATCCTCATGCTCAGAGATTCTTTCCACAGCCATGTCCAGTCTACTAATGAGCCTATCAATGGCATTCTTAGTATCTGTTACAATATTTTTATCTCTAGCATTTTTTTAATTTTCTCAAAATTTCTATCCCAGAATTTCTATCTCTATGCTTACATTATCCATCAGTTATTGTATGTTGTCTAGTTTTTCTATTAGATTCCCCAGAATATTAATCATGATTATTTTAAATTTATTGCATGATAATTTCAACATGCCTGCCATACCTGCGTCTGGTTCTGATGCTTGTTCTGTCTCTTCATGTTATGCTTTTGGCCTTTTAGTGTGCTTTGTAAATTTTTGTTAGAAGGAATACATGATGTTCTTGGTAAAAGGAAATGAGATAAACAGGTCTTTAGTAATATATTTGTAAGATGTTTCATGGGAGGGGAAGCATCCTATAGCCCTTTGATTAGGTCTTAGTCTTTAGTAAACCTGGACACTAGACTGTGACTTTCACAAATGCTTCTCAGTTTTTCTCTTTTATTGTCTTTCCACTCTTCTTGGTGGTACAGGATGCCTAGAGCAGGCTAGAGTTGGGTAATTTTCTTCCTCCAACTCAACTGGACTCTAATAAAACCACAGCAATTTAGGCTCTGGTAAAATAATTTCTCTTAATAACCGGAAAGAACAGAATGCTCTGGCATGTTTCAAAATGGTTACTTTTCCCCTCCTTTTGCTATAAGCCTAAGGGTATTTTTATCTGATATTCACTGTTAAAAACTTGGTAGAAATTCTTGGAGGTAAAAGCTCACAACTTGTGAGGACAGCTCTATGACTAAGTTCTAAGTTTCCTTGGAGTTTTTCCTTTTCAGGCTTGTCCATCACACTGAGCTTCCAGAAATTTGTCAATTACAATTTAGGTTTTCCTTCTCCAATAGTGGTTCCCATGGATGTGGGTTTCTGCTTTAGTGAGTTGTGATTCTCTCTATCTACCTGTTTGTCTGTCTGATTTTTTGAATAGCAATCTGACCTAGAACCTCACTTCTGTGACAAATCCAAAAATTGTTTATTTTTCAACTGTTTAGCTTTTTAGTTGTTAGGATGGAGTGGCAACAACTAAGCTCCTTATATGTTGGAGTGGAAACCACCAAAAACATTGGTTTTGAATACACTATATAATAATTGTTTGAAAATTTTGTGGCATTTAAATACTTGTAATTCATTAAAATTGCTTTCTTATGAGGCAGGTCAGAAGCAATATCTAATTTAAACACTGAATAATTTATGGTGTTATGAGCCGACAGTTCCCTTTCCATAATTCTAAAATTCAAATGGCTCTGAGAAATTAAAGCTTTTGCATAAGTTTGTGGCAAACTAATTTTTTGGCAAAAGCTAACCAGAATGAAAGTTTTTTATGGTCTTTATCCATTTTAGTGTAAATACTCACATAATTTTCTGGAGAAATATCAATATATTTTATAGGATGCTTTTGGAGTATTTCAAAGTACATATTTATACTCCACATGCTATTTCTAAATACAAAAAAAAAATTCTAAGTTCCTCAACATTTATGGTACCAAGAGCTCTAAATAAAGGATTGTGGACCTGTTATAGTATTTTTAATGTCATAATTTAAGATGTGTCTTTACCAAGTAGTACATTATTTTGCACTTAACTAGAGGTAGAATAAGATAATATGGTTAAGACATTTTATAAATAGGTTAAAAAATAGTCAGAAAATTTAATTTACAATTTTAAAGGATAATATTGTATCTGGCATGTTGCTTAAGCATAAATAAATCTCAAATTTCAATAAAATAACTGTAAAGAATATTGTCATATTTTAGTTATCATTGTCTTCTTTTTGCCCTCTCATCCTTCTGTTACTACCTCTAAAGGGGAATGGGGGGTGACTTTGTTTATGTTTTGTCCTGGTCCTTATGAACAAGCATGTGATAGTGTCTATTTGAGTCTTCCTTCTAAGGTTTTACCTCTATAATCTAAACATTCATCTGTTTTATATATTAAAAACCAAAGCTCTACAATCAACCATTTCTCACATACCTACCTTCAAGAGTAAATGTCAAAGTAAAATAGTCTGTGTTTCTATTAGCCTTTATTTAATTTAAATTTATAGTTCAGATCCTCTTTTTCACTCCACAGTTAAACATCAATATTGCCCAAACAATTATACACCAGGATTTATTAAGCACTTGCTCTATCCCTGTAGTTGAACCTCCCTATTTACATGTTCTACATCAATGGATTCAATTAACCTCAAATGAAAAATATTTTTTTAAAAAACTTAAAATTAACAATATAACAATAAAAATGATAGAAACAAAAATATAATAATTATTTAAATAGCATTTATATTATATTAGATATTATAAGTACTAGAGATGATTTAAAGTCCAGAGGAAGATGTACATAGGTAGTATGCAAATACTATGCCATTTATATAAGGGACTTGAGTATTCACAGACTTTGGTATCAGCAGGGGTCCTGGAACCAGTCTCCCCTGGTACTGAGGGATGACATTATACATCTAAATTAATACTTAATAAACAAACCCAGAATATCTTGGGTGCTTGCTTTGTATCAATAACTCATGCAGTTATAATTCCTCAAGGAATTTCATAAGTTCTCAAGGAAGCTTAATTTCTTGTAACTAGGACAGATAAGAAAATAGTAATTTAGAAGATAAATCCTTCTTATGGAAGAGAAAAAGTATCATCAGTAGAGACCTGACTAATGGAATACTACACTCACTAGCTCTTTCTCTTGACACCCAAGTCTCTCCTTTGGCCAGAATTTGGCCATTTTTCCTATCCTACTCTACCTTCGCAAGACTCTTTGTCTGTACTGGTATATACTGGTATCAGTCACTTTGATATATGCATATGAAATTTCTAGAAAAGGTAGACATATATCTTTCAATAAATATTAATTTTGGAATAAGAAAATATAAAGAGAATATTCAACAGATAGATAGGTAAAGACCAGTTTGGCAGATAGCGGCCAACTGGTCACCAACCCAATATTCTCTTCCTCCTGAGCACACAGTTAAACAGCATTTCCAAATTTTCCTTGCCCATGTGACTGAGTTCTGGGCAATGGAAAATGCATGGAGAGAAAAATGCAGTTCCAGCACCAGCCCATAGCAACTTTCCATGCATGATTCTTCTTTCCTTCTCTACTGGCTGGATACAAAGGTCTCCAAGGCCTAGACTTCCACAGTGGGAAGGAGCCTAGGAAACCACATGTGAAGTCTTTTTCCAGTCAGGGAAAACATGTTAAACTTCATGAGAATGATAACCAGACTGTATTTAGTCACTGAGATTGGGGGGATTTTGTCTGTAACTGCAGCTAGCATTATACTGACCAATACATATATGAACATATAATTTAATTTAAGAATATATTTATATGTCACATGACGTCAACATAATAAATATCAAACCAGATATTATCTCAGTTAAACCTTGTATTCGATAACATAGTAGGTATGGATGGGTAGGCATTGAAGCTAGATGTATGAGTTCATTTTCATACTGCTGTGAAGAAATACCCTAGACTAGGTAATTTATAAAGAAAATGTGGTTTAATGTACTTACAGTTCCACATGGCTGGGAAGGCCTCACAATCATGGTGGAAGGCGAAAGAGGAACAAAGTCACATCTTACATGGCATAGTCAAGAGAACATATGCAGGGGAACTGTCCTGTATAAAACCATCAGATCTCATGAGACTTATTCACTATCATTAGAAAACCTTGGGAAAAACTCTCCCCCATGATTCAGTTGCCTCCCATTGGGTCCCTCCATGACACGTGGGGATTATGGTTGCTACAATTCAAGATGAGATTTGGGTGGGGACACAGCCAAATATCACTAGGCTATAGAGTTTAAATTGCAACTCCACTATTCACTCTCATTTTTCTCACTGCTAAAGTGAATGTAATAGTATCTACCTCATGGGATCTTTGTGAGAATGAACTCTGATATGTGTAAAGTACTAAGTACTGTTCTGGAATATAATAAGCACACTATAAGACCAAATTATCATTACTGTATATATTATTATTATTAATGAGGATGATGATGTTGCTATCATTTACTATTAGAGTTATTTTTAAAATAAGACAAATGAAACAAAACTATTCTATATGCAACCTAAGAGTAGTGCAAAAATAGATGCCAGGCTGGGCAATTCCATTGTTAAGCAGCAATTGTCTTTTAATGTCTAAAGCCTAGGCCAGTGAAATAAATATTTATATAAAACTACTTCCTTTTGAATAAAAATATTAATAGTGCCCTCAAATCAATACAATATTATAATTATTTGAATTGGTGGTGATGAAATTAATTACTGGGAGTTCAAATCACCTTCAAGGCTCACCTCTAACTCAAACTTAACTCTAAAAGGAGAAAAATGTAGTTCTATAAATATGAGATAACAGTATAGTAAAATCAGACTTACAGAAATTCATTAACAGTATGCATAACTTTTTTTCATCATCAAACATCAAAGTACTTTCCCAAAATCTAAATGATATTCACAATAGGCATCCTGAGATCTGATATTTTTACCTTCTACTATTTCAATTGTGGAAACTAAACTGAGGTATCAAAAGATGAAGTTTGCCATTTTGGGACTTCTACTTCAGAATGATAGGTAATAACTTTAATAATTGTGTTTGTAACTTGGAAAGGAGTTAAATCTAGGATTGACATTTTAAACTTAAATTGGTTAAAATATATGTAAACTCTCTCAAGAAATTCTTTTACAAGGAAGTATGTAATAGCTTCAAATAAAATGCATTGCTTTTGACATATGCCTTGTATTCCTAAATGAAATCTGCAGAATGGTGGAGCAATTTTTCTCTGACAGAAAACCTTCAATAACCATATAGCACACCAGGCTTGTGTGCTGTGAGACGGTCACAAGGATCAGTTGTTCTAAACCCATTTTATAAAGACAGCTTAGCCCCTCCCCAGCCCCTGACCTGTATTTCTCTTCTCTTCTGCCTTGAAATGTGTTTAGTGTCTAAGATTGTTATCTGTTCAGTGTTTAATTTCTCTGTGTGATTGTACTGCCTGTCTCTAAGGCCCTCCATCCTCAAAAAACTCTTTCTCATAAGATGATTTCCTGTCATTAATAAATCAAATTACATTCATCAGAATAAAAAGTTTTGTGTTCAGCAAAAATCCATGACAGCTGTGTTCTCAATGTCTTCCTTACTATTCAGAAGTTGTGTCCAACAGTGCCTTCTGCAAAGGACCACCATTAACTGAGAGAAAAGGGAGAGATGCTTGACATGAGGGCATTTTATTTCCATGTGTATTAATTTCTTCACCAATTGCCTTTTTAAAATTAATTTATTTACTTTTTTTACATCTGGGCTGGAGTGCAGTGGCGCCAACTCGGCTGACTGCAACCTCTGCCTCCTAGGTTCAAGCAATTCTCCTGCCTCAGCCTCCTGAGTAGCTGGGATTACAGGTACCCGCCACCATGCCTGGCTAATTTTTTTGTATTTTTAGTAGAGACAGGGTTTCACTATGTTGGCCAAGTCTGGTCTCAAACTCCTGACCTCGTGATCTGCCCGCCTTGGCCTCCCAAAGTGCTGGGATTACAGGCATGAGCCACTGCACCCGGCCTTTTAACAACCCCATTGTATTGTGAATAGTGAGCTCAGTCTTGTGAAAACAAATACATGAGAGTAGATCAGAGTAAAGGAAAAGAAGAAGATATTCCTTACCTTATAATTAGATTTCTTCTTTGTACAAATGGTAATTTTTAATGAAAATATTTTATTTCTGTTTTTATGGTGGTATAAAAAAGTCTCATAATTTTAGCATCTTAACTATTTTTAAGTGTACAGTTAACTACATTCACAATGTTGTGCGACAGATCTCCAGAACCTTTTCATCTTGCAGAATGGAAACACTATACCCATTAAACAAGAATTCCCCTTTGCTTCCTTCTCCCAGCCACTGGTAACTATCATTCTACTTTTTATATCTATGAGTTTGACTGGTCTAGATACCTCACGTAAGTGAAATTATCAGTATTTGCTTTTTTGTGAGGGTCTTATTTAACATAGTGTAATGAACTCAAGATTCATCCATGTTGCAGTGTGTGATAGGATTTCCTTACTTTTTAAGGCTGCATAGTATCCCATTGTATGTATATACCACATTTTATTTATTCATTCATCCAGCCATGGACAGTTGAATTGCTTTCACCTCTTGGATACTGTGAACAGTAAAGCCATGGATATGGGTATGCAAATATCTTTTGAGATCCTGCTTTCCATTCTTTTGGATACAGGCACACCTTGTTTCATTGTGCTTTGAGTTATTGTACTTCACAGATAGTGAATTTTTTTTTTGCAAATTTAAGTTTAGAGGAAACTGTGTCAAGCAAGTCTATTGGCACCATTCTTCTAATAGCATGTGCTCCCTTTGTGTCTCTGTGTTGCATTTTGGCGATTCTTGCAATGTAATAAACTTTTTCATTATTATTGTATCTGTTACTGTGATCTATGATCAGTGATCTTCAGTGTTAATATTGTAATTGTTTTTGATCACCACAAACTTCTCCCATATAAGATGATGAAATAAATAAATGTCGTGTGTATTCTGACTACTCCAATGACTGGCTGTTCCCCCATCTCTCTCCCTCTCCTTGAGCCTTCTGAAGAAAATTAAAAGTCCTCCTCCATTATTCATGAGCACATGAATAATAAGAAAGCAAAACAGCTTTATTGCTGATATGGAGAAGGTTTTAATAGTCTGGATAGAACATCAAACCAGCCACAATATTCCCTTAAGCCAAAGCCTATTCCAGAGCAAGTCCCTAAATTTCTTGAATTCTGTGAATGCTGGGAGAGGTGAGAAAGCTTCAAGAGAAAAGTTGGAAGCTAGTAGAGGTTGGTTCAGAAGGTTTAAGGAAAGAGGCCTTCACCAGAACATAAACATGCAAGGTAAAGCAACGAATGCTGATGTAGAAATTGCAGCAAGTTATCCAGAAGATCGAGTTAGTATTATTGATGATGGTGGCTATGCTAAACAACAGATTTTCAATGTAGACAAGATAGCCTTTTATTAGAAGAAGAAGCCATCTAGGACTTTTATAGTCAGAAAAGTTAATGCCTGGCTTCAAAGCTTCAAAGGACAAGCTAACTATCTTGTTAGGGGCTAATGTAGCTGGCGGCTTTAAGTGGAACCCAATGCTCATTTATCATTATGAAAATCCTACGGCCCTTAAGAATTTGCTAAATCTACACTGCCTGTGCTCTATAAATGGAACAGAGCCTAGATGACAGCCCATCTGTGTACAGCATGGTTTACTTAATATTTTGAGCCCACTATTGAGACTTACTGGTCAGAATAAAAGATTCGTTTCAAAATATTACTGCTCCCGCACAGTGCGCTTGGTCACCCAAGAGCTCTGATGGAGATACACAAGAAGATTAATGATGTTTTCAGGCCTGCTAACCAACATCCATTTTGCAGCTGACAGATCAAGGAGTAATTTTGACTTTCAAGTCTTATATTTCAGGAATACATTTCCCAAGGCTGTGGCTGCCATAGCTACTAATTGTTCTGCTTGATCAGAAAAAGGTAAATTGAAAACCTTCCGGAAAGAATACAGTATTCCATATACCGTTATAAACATTTGTGATTCATGGGAGAAGATCAAAATAGCAAAATTAACAGGAGTTTGGAAGAAGTTGATTCCAACCCTCATGAATGACTTTGAGATTCAAGCCTTCAGTAGAGGAAGTCATTGTAGACGTGTGGAAATAGCAAGAGAAGTAGAATCAGAACTGGAGCCTGAAGATGTGACTGAATTGCTGCAATCTTATGATAAAACTTGAACAGATGAGGAGTTGCTTCTTATGGATAATCAAAGAAAGTAGTTTCTTAAGATAGCATCTACTCCTGGTAAAGATCCTGTGAGCATTGTTGAAACAAACAAATAAACAAACAAAAAGATTTAGAATATTACATAAGCTTAAGCTTAATTGATTAAACAGCAGCAGAGTTTGAGAGGATTGACTCTTATTTTGAAAGAAATTCTACTCTGGGTAAAATGCTATCAAACAACCTCACATGTTACAGAGAAATCTTGAATGAAAGGAACAGTCAATGAATGTGGCCAACTTCATTGTTGTGTTATTTCAAGAAACTGTCACAGCCACCCTATGCTTCAGCAATCACCATGCTGATCGGTCAGCAACCATCAACATGGGGGCAAGACCTTCTTCCAGCAAAAAGATTATGACTTACTGAAGGGTCCAATGATTTTTGGCATTTTTTAGAAATAGAGTATTTTTAAATTAAGATATGTGCATTGCTTTATTTAGAACTAGTGCTATTGCACACTTAATAGACTACAGTATACTGTAAACATAGCTTTTGTATGCACTGGGAAACAAAAATATTTGTGTAAGTCACTTTATTATGGTATTCACTTTATTGCAGTGGTTGAAAACCCAACCTGCAATATCTCCAATGTATGCCTGTATATACCCAGAAGTGAGATTGCTGGAAAATATGGTAGTCCTATCTTTAATTTTTTGAGGAAGTGCTATACTGTTTTCTATGTTAGTTGCACGATTTTACAATCCCACCAATAGTGCGCAAGGGTTCCAACTTTTCCACAACATCCTCAACACTTTTTTAAAAATATATATATAGTTGCCATCCTAATGGGTGAGAGGTGGTAGCTTTTTATAGTTTTGGTGTGCATTTTTCGGATAATTAGTAAGGCTAAGCATCTTGTCATATGTTTCTTGGTCATCTTTAGAGAAATGTTGATTTAAATACTTTGCTCATTTTTTAATCAGGTTATTTGTTTTTTTTTATTGTTGAGTTGCAGGCATTTTTATACATTTACTTTTAGCTTTAAAAAATTGCAGCATACCATAAATGATTTAATCTTTGGACTAAATTTTTGTTTAAATTTTTTTTTTTTTTTGAGACAGAGTCTCACTCTATCTCCCATGCTGAAGTGCAGTGGCATGATCTCAGCTCACTGCAACCTCCACCTCCCGGGTTCAAGCCATTCTCCTGCCTCAACCTCCCGAGTAGCTGGGATTGCAGATGCCCACCACGCCCAGCTAATTTTTGTACTTTTTAGTTGAGATGGGGCTTCACCATGTTGGCCAGGCTGGTTTTGAACTTCTGACCTCAGATGATCCACCTGCCTTGGCCTCCCAAAGTGCTGGGATTACAGGTATGAGCCACTGTGATCAGCCTTAAAAAAGTATTTTTGGTTCAAATGTTAATTTACACATCAAAGAGTCTGATGTTTGTAGGATTCATAAATTTTAGCTGTAGACAACAGGCTTATTACAGCAGAAAAAAAAATATTTATATAAAGTAATCTCTGGAAGGGGTGGAGAATCAGGCTTGGAACCTTTGCAGGCAGGAACAGTGCCCCGGTTTACTTTGCAGAAGTTACCTGATGAAAGTACTTTAAGACTGAGCACTAGTAATTACCCCTAGAACTGTACATTTTCTCTTAGGTCTCCCAACATCACTTACAGTTCTAAAAATTAGAAATACTTCCTTTGTAAAATGCAGTTCACAAGAGTAAACTGAAAATATGACCCCTCTACAAAAATACATCACCTCAAAATTTCATTGTTATTGTAAACAGTTTCAAGTCTAGGATCTCTGAATAATGTCCTTTTTTTCTTCTCATTTGATCATTTTCCTATCTTGTAAAGGACAGATCCAACTGCAAAATTCTCATACACAGAACACTTTCTACAAAACAATGGAGGAAAAGAGAATGTTCACTGTCACTTCTGTATGCATTTGAGTTGCTGCTAATCATCCCAATATAGGAATAACTTCCAGAAATATTTCAACCAACAAACGTAACTGCATTATGCCACACAGGTGTTTGGGATTACAGATTCTGATATGAACATGTGCTATTATTCCTGGTATGAAAGTATAAGGGAAATGGAAACAGGAGAAACAAAAACTGAACTGTTTTCAGCCATAGTTTAGAATGAAAAACATTCTTTCACGTTCTTCCAATTATTATACATGTAAAATACAAAATGTAGGATTTGTATCTCACCGACACCTAGTCAAAATGAAAAGGTCTGTCCTTTGAAGAAATATTGAATAAGCACACCACCTTTTCCTTCTTTTATTGGAATCCCACACAAAAGACTTTATCTGAATTCTTGTGTTTGCATGACATAAACTCATAGCAGGCCCGAGAACACCTAACACTCTTTTCACACATTGTATGGATCTCACCTATCGAATTTCTCTCAGCATATTGTATCAAACATATAATTGTCCAGATGAGGCCTGGAAACTCCGAGAGAAATAACATACAAAGTTGCCACTGACACACACATACACATACACACACACACACACACACACACACAAATAGCTTGAAGAAGTAAGTTTTCCAGTAACGAAAGTTCTATATATAGATTTATCTAACATTCTGTATAAGTTATGAGGATAATGTGATCTGTATAAGTTATGAGAATAATGTGATCCTACAGTTTAAAACTTTTAATTTTTAAAGTATAGGCCTTATTATTTGAATTATAGGCCTTAATTTTATAATAATTTTGTGTATTTCTTCAGAATCATTGGTCATTCTACAATTCATACATAAAAGAAAGTAAGTATGTCACATGAAGCCAAAATAATGAAAGACTGGCATAAGCTTAAAAATGTCAGTATGTCAAAGATTCAACAAAACATTAATAAACAATTTTTTCAACCATATTTTATGGGAAAGATAAAAATAAAGTGTCAAACTGATGAGATACTGACCAGTTTATTTAAAAACCAAAGGTCATATATACTGTTTTGTTGTAAACTACAATATTTTCAACAAGACAAATATTACATATCTGGGTTTTTAGAATGGATAAATATATTAAGAACTCTCAAATATCATGAAGATTCCATGGAGCTCATAATGGCTATACTTATTTGAATTACATGTAAATCAAACAAAAACACTAAGAACTCAAAGTGTGTTCCTCAGACTTTCAGGAGCTGCATCACTTGGGCTCTCGCTAGAAATCAAAATTCTTGGACCCCACTGTAGACCTACTGAATGGGTCCAGTAACTTGTTTTACCAAGTCCTTTGGGCGATTTCAACGCATGACAAAATGAAAATAACACTGCTCTAGCCAGACAATATCTTGAAAAACAAGGCTTAAAATAATGTTCTCTATCATTTTGAAGTGCCTAAAAAATGTAGCTGAGGTTTAAAAATTATTAAGCGGAAGAGATTTTCATTGGCAGGTTATGATAAAAGGATTTATTTTTAAATGACAATTTCATGGGAATCTTCAAAGTAATTGTTAAATTTGATCTTTTTTTTTTTTTTTGGACAAGCACTGGAAAAATGTCAAAATGCAATGTCAAATGTGACTTATTTGTCCAAAATTGATTAAGAAGAATTAATGTAAATAATGGGAAAGCATATACAAAATGGTAAATGAGTAAACCAGATACCATATACCATCTATGGTTATACAAATGAATAATTGCAGATTCACATGCAGTTGTTAAGTAATAATAAAAAGATATCTTGTGTGCCCTTCACACAGTGGAATGTGACATTTAAACTGCAATTTCAATTTTGACCTTTTGGAAAAAGCTGAGAAATTACAGACTCCTAATTTGGAAATATATGAAGAAGCCTACATCATTTTGTTGTCTATTTATTTAATACAAGATTGAGAGCACATTCAGATAAAGTGCTAATGTAATATGAAAAAAATAAAGATGAAAAGTGAAATATAAAGAATATTTCTCTGATAATGAGAAGTGAGTTGCAATAAACTTCAGTCCATATCGAAGGTAATATTTCTTTAGGAGGAAGAAATAATAGAATTAATGAAGAGGAATGAATTATATTATCATATTGCGAGAAGATTTAAGTTGCATGTTGGATTTGACAAAAAATATTGATATCAATGAAGAAAACATAAGACTCATAAACGCTGCTTTAATGAAGGCATCAATCACTGCGCAGGGAAACTTAAAATGTCCTGAAATCTCATGGTTCAGACATGAAAGGAACTTGATTAAAGGTTTCCCCAAACTAAACATAATCTAACAGTTTGCATGATATTAGCAATAATTAATTTGAACAGTAAAAAACATAAACTGTCAAGAATAAAAGACATTTTCATTAGACAGAATAAAGACTGAATTATTTTTCTATTCTTTCAATAGAATATATTACTACATAACTGTTGTCGTATGAAGAAGCAGTCAAAGAGCATGCAGCCAAGAAAAATGGGAAAATGTCATTTATTTTTGCATTTGTGTTGCTTGTGGCACTTAGAAGATTTTTTTAAAAAATTAGATTCCCGGGGTACATGTGCAGGTTTGTTACATGGGCATATTGCATGATGCTAAAGTTTGGGGTATGATTGATCCCCTCACACAGGTAGTGAGCATAGTACCCAATAGGTAGTTTTTAAACCCTTTCCCCACTACCCTCCTTCCTCCTCTCTCTAGTAGTCTTCAAAGTTTGTTGTTCAAATCTTTATATTCATTTGTACCCAATGTTTATATTCCCTTATAAGTGTTGACATGTGCTATTTGGTTTTCTCTTTCTGTGTTAATTCCCTTAGGATAATGACCTACAGCTGCATCCATGTTGCAGCATGATTTCATTATTTTATGGTTATGTAGTAGTCCATGATGTATATGTACCATGTTTTCTTTATCCAGTCCACCACTGATGGGCACCTAAATTGATTCCATGTCTTTGCTATTGTGAATGGTCCTGTGATGAACATATAATTGCATGTGTCTTTTTGGTAAAATGATTTGATTTCCCTTGGGCTTGTATGCAGTAATGGGATTACTGGGTCAAATAGTAGTTCTGTTTTAAGCTCTTTGAGAAATCACCAAACTGCTTTCCACAGTGGCTGAACTCATTTACATTCCTATCAACAGTGTGTAAGCATTCTTTTTTCTCTACTGTCTCGTCAGAATCCGCTATTTTTTTATTTTAATTTTTATTTATTTATTTATTTATTTATTTGAGATGGAGTCTCACTCTGTCACCCAGGATGGAGTGCAGTGGCACGATCTCGGCTCACTGCAACCTCAGCCTTCCGGGTTCAAGCCATTCTTCTGCCTCAGCCCCCCAAGTAGCTGGGACTAGAGGTGCCCGCCACCACGCCTGGCTAATTTTTGTGTTTTTAGTAGAGACAGGGTTTCACCATATTGGCCAGGCTGGTCTCAAATTCCTAATCTTGTGATCCGCCTGCCTCGGCCCCCCAAGTGCTGGGATTACAGGCATGAGCCACCGTGCCCAGATTATTTTTTGACTTTTTAATAATAGCCATTCTGACTGGAGTGAGATGGTATCTTATTGTGGTTTTGATTTGCATTTTGCTAATAATTAATTATGATGAAGATTTTTTCATGTTAGCCACTTGTAAGTCTTCTTTAGAGAAATGTCTATTAATGTCCTTTGCCCACTTTTTAGTGGGGTTGTTTTTTGTTGGTTGAATTGGTTAAGTTACTTATAGACTCTGGATGTTAGAACTTTGTTGGATGAATAGTTTATGAACATTTTCTCCTATTCTGTAGGCTGTCTGTTTACTCTGCTAATTTGTTTTGCCGTGCAGAAGCTCTTTAGTTTATTTGGGTCCCACTTGTCAATTTTTGTTTTTGTTGCAGTTGCTTTTGAGGACTCAGTGATAAATTACTTGCCAAAGATGATGTCCACAAGAGTATCTCCTAGGTTGTCTTCTAGAATTTTTATAGTTTGAGATCTTACATTTAATCCACTTTGAGTTAATTTGTGTATGTGGTGATAGGTAGTGGTCCAGTTTCATTCTCCTGCATATGGGTAGCCAGTTATCCCAGCACCATTTATTGAATAGGATGTCTTTTCCCTATTGCTTGTGTTTGTCAATTTTGTTGAAGATTGGATGGTTGTAGGTGTGTGGCTTTATTTCTAGGCTCTCTATTCTGTTCCATTGGTCCATGTATCTGTTTCTGTACCAGTTTCATCCTGTTTTCGTTATCGTATCCTTGTAGTGTAGTTTGAAATCAGGTAGTGTGATGCCTCTGGCTTTGTTTTTTGCTTAGAATTGCTTTGGCTATTTGAGCTTTTTAAAATTCTATATGAATTTTAGAATAGATTTATCTAATTCTGTGAAAAATGTCATTGGAAATTTGATAGGAATAGCGTTGACTCTGTAGTTTGTTTGGGGAATTATGGTCATTTTAATGAGATTGATTCTTCCAATCCATGAGCATGGGATATTTTTCCATTTGCTTATGTCATCTCTGATTTCTTTAAGTAGTACTCTCTTTGTAGAGGTCTTTTACCTCATTGGTTGTATATATTCTAGAGTATTTCATTTTTGTGTGTGGCTATTTTAAATGAGATTGCATTCTTGATTTGGCTCTCAGCTTGAACATTATTGGTGTTTGCATTGTTGATTTGGTTCTCAGCTTGAACATTCTTGGTGTGTAAAAATGCTACTGATTTTTATATGTTGATTTTGTATCCTAAAACTTCACTGAAGTGGTTTATCAGTTCTAGGGTCCCTTTGCTGGAGACTTTAAGGTTTTCAAAATATAGAATAATATCATCTGCAAAGAGAGATGATTTGACTGCCTTTTCTATTTTGATGGCTTTTATTTCTTTCTTTTGTCTGATTGCTCTGGCTAGGACTTCCAGTACTATGTGGAACTGGAGTGATGAGAGTGAGCAACCTTATCTTGTTCCAGTTCTTAATGGAAATGCTTCCAGCTTTTGCCTAGTCAGTATGATTTTTGCTGTGGGCCTGTCATAGATGGCTGTTAATATTTTGAGGTATTTTATATATTTAGAAGCTTTCAAAAATTTTGTAATTTGTGGTTATTCTCCTCATCTTAAATAAATAGTAACTTTTTAATCTAATGTTTCAAAACAGCCCCCTCTCTAAATTTTATAACTTTCAGGCTTTACAAAATGTGGATTCATCCAATCATGTGAACCTAAAACAATGCTCTAAACATGAAGTAGTGCTTCTTAAATGTTGTTGAATAAGTTAATATAGAAATAGTCAAAACAGAGGGGATATAAAATCAATCACAACATTTATAAACTTAAATTTTATTTTGAAAATATAAAATATATTTTAAAATAGAGACTACAATGAACCAGTAGTACTCATCACCTAAACTGAACAGTGTTTAAGACTTTCCCACATTTTTTAACTTTTTAACTTTTTTTCTGTAGTATTTTAATTTCTCTTAAGAGACAGGGAGTATTAGTCCATTCTTATGCTGCTAATAAAGACGTACCCAAGACTGGGTAATTCATAAAGGAAAGAAGTTTAATTGACTCACAATTCAGCATGGCTGGGGAGGCTTCAGGAAACTTACAATCCTGGTGGAAATGGAAGAAAACACATCCTTCTTCACATGGCAGCAGTAAGGAGAAGTGCTGAGCAGAAGGGGAAAAGCCTCTTATAAAACCATCAGATTTCATGAAAACTCACTATCACAAGAACAGCATGAGGAAAACCTCCCCCATGGTTAAACTACCTCCCACTGGGTCTCTCCCATGATACATGCAGATTGTGGGAACTGCAATTCAAGATGAAATTTGGGTAGGGACACAGCCAAACCGTATCACAAGGTATTGCTCTGTTGCCCAGGCTGGAGTTCAGTGGCAGGATCATAGCTCACAGCAGCCTGGGATTCGTGGGCTCAAGCAATACTACTGCCTCACCCTCCCCAGTACACTTCTAGGGATGCATGCCACCATGCTTGTATAATTGTTTTTGGTTTTTGGTTGGTTTGTTTGTTTTTTAGGGATGGAGGTCTCACTATGTTGCCCAGGCTTGTCTTAAACTCCTAGCCTCAAGCAATCCTCCTGCTTTGACTTCCCAATGTTCTGGGATTATAGACATAACCTGACCTTCTATAGTATTTTAAAGCATATCTCAGGCATTCTTGTCGTATCATCTCCATATCTTAACTTGTATCTCTAACAAGTGTGGATATTTTGTTACATATTTACTTAACCAAATGTTAAGGTATTACATCTAACAAAAATTAATAATTCCATGTTACTATATATTTTCCTCATCTATAATAGAATATTTTTACTTTTCTCAAAAAATGTCTCTTGCTTTGGGTTTCTTTGAATCATAATACAAGCAAGGGTTACACATTTTATTTGATTATATCTCTTAAATCTCCTTTAATATATCTTATTTCTCTATCAGTAAATTGTTGCAAAACCAAGGTCAATTGCCCTGCCCAATGTCTCATATTTTGGATTTACCTGTGTGCTTTCTCTGGTGTGATTTAACTTCTCTCTCTGCCATTTTTCTTACAAATGGAATTTAGCTCCAGACAAGTGGTTCTCAAGCTTGACTGTGCCTCAGAATCTCATGGAGGTCATGTTAAAACACAGATTGCTGGGCCTACATCCAAAGTTGATCTTGGGAGGGAGCTGAGCCTTTGCATTTCTAGGAGGTTTCCAGGAGATGCTGATCCTGCTAGTGCAACCAGCACATTTTGAGAACCACTGTTTCTAGATTAAAGTTTGGGTTCAACTTCTCACTCTTTCTCTTCCTTCCTTCCTATCTTCCTTCCTTCCTTCCTTTCTTTTCTTTCTTTTCTGTCCTTTCTTTTCTTTCTTTTCTTTGTTTTCCTTTCTCTCTTTCTTTCTTTCTTTCTTGATGGTGAGTTTACTTCTTGAGTAGTGCCATGTGCTTCATATAATATCAGAAGACACACAGTGCTAGATCATTACACTTATAATGATACTGACATTGCTTGTAAACTCACTGATGAATAACTGATATTTTTTAAAGGAAATATAAGATAGTTTTTAAAATTGCAATTTAAAAAATTAAATCATCTTCAGTGTAACTCAAAAGTGTAATCAGTCACTCACTCAGAAAACGTTTACTTTATTCCTTCTATGTGTTTGGCATTGTGCAATGTTATAAAGATGAAAGGTGCCTATGTGACTCTCCCCTCAAGTAACTCTCAGACTGCATGGAATATGAACATATAAACTCGTTTGCATGATACCTTACGATCACTGCTGTGACATAGATATGCAAAGCACGTGAAAGCATAGACACCTGGCACTGAATTCATGTGTTCTTCCCTCATTTAGGACATAATGAGGAAACACAGGTTCGCCTTTTTTCCACTGGCTGCAAATATCAGACACAGCTCCCAACCGCAGCTGTGTCTAACACCAAGCACTGTGGTGTTGCTATCTGAGCCATCCTAGGCTCTGACTACAGATAAGCAAACAGGTCACGTTTCCTTCAAGTGGGAATTTTCAAGGCCTAATGCTGGCAGTTCTATTGGGATGGGAAAATTTGAGAAAAGGAAAGGTCAAATGTATTCTCAGAAGCCTCTTTGCTGAGGAAAGCCACGTTTTATCATGGGAGGAATAAGCAAAGTATATAGCTAAGGCAAAAATCTACCCTTATCCCCATAAGCCAACACCTGTGTTTTGAGGATAAGCATGTATCCATCTTCCATAGAGCCTAAATTGTGGTTCTTTAATAACTTTGGATCTTTATTTTAGTTCTGGTTTGGATTTTTTTAGGTTTATACTTGAAGTAAGAAAACAATTGCACCTGAAATGAAGGTTTCCTAGGCTATAGTCATCCAAAGTTCTTATTAAGGCAAGGCAGGCTTATGGGGCAAATGGCTGCCATATATTATATGGGTTATTTGGAGACCTATAGTAACTTGTATTCCCTGAGCCTATGATACCATTCCAATACTCACATTCCCCCATTTATGAAAACCAAATAGTTTTATAGAAAAAAGAGAAATTATAGTCAGTCTTGAATTGCAATCTGTAAAGCTCATGTCTTGGATTCTGTGAGGGATATGTGTTGGTTCTTATCTCAGACTAGTTTGAAGAAAAATGCAAATTAATATGGAAAGTAGAGAACAATTATAGTGTTTAAATCTGTGTCAAATTAAGTAACTTGGCTTCACAGTTTAGGGAAAGATTGAAGTAGACTAGGGTAGAAGCTGGAATCTTTGTGGAAAGTGAACTTAATTCGGCCTTAAATGATAGGTCCTAAATGGTAAGAGAGGCAAGAAATGATAATCCAGCTGAAAAGCAGAATTCAGTTATAAAAATTTCAGTTTGTTTTGTAGAGCAAAATAACATCAATCATCCTTGAGATTTAGATCCTGAATATTTTCAGATCTGCAAGATTGCACGTTCTTTAAAACTTGAGTAAACAGGGCTATACATTTTTTACTGTTCCAACTGGTTCTGTGTCCATCAAACAGCTGCATTGAATGAATTAGCCCAGAATATTTGCATTCAAATAACCATATTGTAACATTTTTAAATATTTCACATTGCCATTCAAAATATATTATGCTTATTACATTTTAGATTTAAAAAGATAGACTTTTCAAACCTATGGAATATTTTCCTTAATATATTTTATTAGCTAATTCCACCTTGTTAATGATGTGAACTGTAAAGATATTATGCTGATTTTTAAAATTTAACTTTACTGTTAATGTCAGAGATCTGTTCTAGTTTTATTATTCCTCCACTGACTATATAGTTATGATATGTTAGTATGATCCTTAAAGCATGCTACACATATGTTATCATTGCATGGAGGCAGTTTTGAACACTGTCAATTTAAATTTTCCCTTCATAAAGGTTATTCACTATCATTTTACTTTGTTGGTAGATTCGAGAATATCTCCTGCTGCTTACAAAGATAGTATTATTCATTTGGCTGGGGCCATCTATATATTTGAATGATCATGTGTGAAATCTATATTGTTAATCTGGCTTCTAATGATTGGTGGCTGTGCCACTCCAGATTCAATCTCAGGTGACTGAAACTCAAATTTAAGCAAAATTTAAAAGCATGTGGGTGGGTGGAGGATGTATGGTATTATACAACTTAAGGGTCCAGGGCTTAATTTCAGTAATAGTGAGATCTAGATGCACAAATGATGCTATCACGACTCTATGCTCCTTAGCTCTGCTGGATTCAGCTTGATTTGACTCAGGCCAGCCATCTCACGTAGAGGCAAAGATGCATGCTTAGCATAGAGAAGGTTGGTACCCAAGGGATTGGCAATTTTACCTGGTAGAGCGAGGGGCCATTTCTGAAAGAAAAAGGTGCTGGGCCAGCAAACAAGTAGGAGATACCATAACAGGCCCCGTGGTTGGTCTTGGACACAATTATAGAAGTTAATGAAAATTGTCTGGATTGGCATTCATCTTCCTTTACACACTTGCCTTTCTCCTTCTACTTTGGCAATCCACTGAGATTCCAAAACTCAACATTTTCATTTCTTTTGCTAACTCCCATGATCCTCCAATGCTGAAATCCTGTGTAGTGTTACCAGCCCAGTGATGAATGGATGGCCTCTACTTAACTTCTCTACCACTCTTCTCAGTGTCGGAGGTTATCTCATCAAGTTAAATTAACTGAGCCTTAATGAAGTCATTGATAATGTGAATAATATAATTACTACTCAGGGTTCTCCAGAGAAACAGAATCAATAAGATATATAATATATAGAATAAAGTATTGGCTCATGAGATTATGGAGACTGAGAAGTGCCATGATCTGCTATCTGCAAGCTGAATATCCAGGAAAGCCAGTGGTGGAGTTCAGTTCAAGTTTGAAGCCCTAAGAACCAGGGGACTCAGAATTCTCAGTAAGTCTCTTAGCTCAGCAGTCAGGCAGAATAGGCAAATTTTCCTTCCCTCTGCTTTGTATTCTATTCAGGCCCTCAAGACACTGGATTATGCCCTTAGGCCCTCCCCTCACCCACCCTACACACACACTGTGAAGAACAATCCGTTTTAGTGAATCCACCACTTCCACTGCCAATCTCATCCAGAAGTATCCTCACAGACACACCTGGAAATAATGGATAGCCAAATACCTGGACACCGTGTCATCCTGTCAAGTTGACACATAAAACTAACTGTCAGATATATTAATATCATTTATTATTATTATGTATATATTTGAAACCATTTATAATGTAATATATTAATATATTAATACTAGTTCTTCTGTGAAGTTATTATGTCAAGGTTAAAGCTCCATGTAAATTTTAAGATGCTTCATTAATACAAAACATTATTAAATAGGCTCCAGCCCATATAAAATACATATATTCTATTAGATTGGCTCAGGGGAAATTCATAGTTAGATGTTAAATAATGAAATGGGTTTAATATGTCTTGTCACAGAGGTACTTCTATTTTAAAAGTTGGTGTCAAGAAATACAGTGCCTTAGGAATTGATTTCTACTGATATTATAACAATAACCTCATAAGTAGTCATGCTATAGAGACAGCATAGAATAGTGTTAAGATGATAAACTCAGAGCCAAACTGCATGGGTTCAGATCCTTTTTCACTTGCTAGCTATGTGACATTGGGAAAATCACTTAACCAGTTCATTGTAAATGAGTCATATATTTAAAAGGCTTAGAATAGTGCCTGATGCATAATAGCTGCCCATAAATACTTTGTTGAATGAAAATTGCTCTGTGGCAGAGTATCTTGGCACAAAACCAAATGTGTAGTGATACTTAATGTAAAGGTTTGCTGAGGGAAGAAATGATTGACTTTGAGATAGATACTTGGAGTTGGAGCAGGAGATTTTAGAAATTACTACTAACCATGTTGGTCTTAAAAGTTGTATGTTATTGCTGTTTATTAAGAGTTTATTCTCTTAAATATATATTTTTCCTAAAATAAATATATTCCAGAATATGTTTAGTCCTAAGTTGAAAAAAGAAAGCTTGTCACTATTTCCTTCTATAGATGTTTTGTATTTAAGAAACTGTAATTATCTGCATTTGATTACAATAGTGTATCTTTATTCTACTTTATCCAGCAAAACAAATAAGCAAAACTGTGTATGAAGCACTAATAAATTATTTAAATAGATTCTATTATATGTGGAAATTTTATAGCAAGTGATAATTCTTCTTACTCAAGATTTATAAATTGCAGCTTACTGTTCTATAAGAAAATGTAAATAATGTATCCAATTTATTTAGGTGGAATAGCAGTTTTAGGGGAAATCACTTATAAAATATTTTGTTTAAAGATTAACATGTACATAAACCAATGCATATTTTATGTTCTTTCAATTATACACACATGTGCATACACGCACACACACACACACACACACTTAGAAAGAAAAACTTCATATCGAGGAGAAAACCTTATGTGATCACTCTTAGCTCTTAGGCAGACCTAGGTTCACACAGTAGTTATATAATCTCATTCTTTAGATAAGAAGAGGTTGTTTAGATGTTCTAAAGCTGTTTCCTTATCTGTAGAATCTGGAGGATAATCCTTTCTCACCAGGTTGCTATGAAGCTTAAGGGAACCAATTGACTAGGTATGCAGTTGTTCTAAGTACTAATTTCTTCTCTTTACCTCTCACTTGCTTCATTATTTGCTTTATTGTATGTGATGTCTCAAAAAATATCTTTTATATCATGAAACAGAAATAAATAGAGAATACTCATTTTTAAATTTGATTACATCTTAGTTTAGTATCTTATCAAAACTACCTAGAATATGCTAAGAAGATTGATCAATGTTATGGTCTCAAAGAGTATATAAAATAGTTTGTGGTTATGCTGTACATGGCTGATTCAAGCTCCTTATCACACCATATACTTGGATTTTCTGTATTTCCAGGTCACTCTTCCAAACTTACTCTGGAATAATCCTAGAGGGTCCCAAGAGAAAATATTTGGAATAAGTGTAATCCCAAAATGAAAAGTGATCAAAGCCAGTTTATTTATTTTAAACAGCCCCATTAACATGTAGATATACTTATGCATTGTATTCTGACAACGGAGGCTCTACGAAGGCTATCTATCAGCTGTTTCATGTGAAAATGAACTGTTAAACATTTTCAATTTTTCAGATGTTTAATTATTTTTACATGGAAATATGTGTCACTATTATTTAATTGTTCTTGCTTTAAATTTGTTGTGTCTTTTGAATGGTGTTAGAATCCAGAAACATTAAACTTAACAGAGGATTAGGAAGAAACCCGGTTCCCATTTTCTAAACCCAAATCAGATGACCTCTTAAGACTCATAGACAATTAATACATTTATTTTAAAGCATGTTAACTAATAACTAATAGTCAATAATATTTTGTATAGCTCTTGCTGGGTAAGTTAATTGAACATCCCTCAGTTTCCATAACTGTTTAAAGAATACTAATAAAGTTAGCATAATACTGATATGATATAATACAATATTATATAAAGTGTAATACTAGTACTAATATTGACAATGCTCTGAGGTCATATTAAGTTCTAAGAATATGTGACTCAATGATTCCCTTGCAAAATCGATTACAGATTGCTTTTTTATTTGGAATATGAGTATTGAGAGGAAACACTAATTGCTCTTGCATAGCTAAGTTCAATAAAACTTTCTGCAGTGAAGGAAACGTTCCATGCAGCTAACAAGTACTTGCAATGTAACTAGTGTGACGTGACCAAGGAAATGAAATTTTAATTTAATTTGAATTAATTTTTATTTAAACTAAAATCACCACAGCTCTAGAGTTATCAACTCATAAACAAGATTTTTGAGAAACAGTTGAAATTAAAGATGAAACATAAAACTTATAAGCTTGTGCAATGAATTTAAAAGCAGTTATTTCACCTTCTCTTTTCAGTCTCCTGCACATAGTTACTCCAGCTATGACTCTGGCAAAAATGAGAGTGTAGACCGAGGAGCTGAGGACCTCTCACTAAACAGGGGAGATGAGGACGAAGATGACCACGAGGACCATGACGATTCGGAGAAAGTTAATGAGACAGACGGCGTTGAAGCCGAGCGGCTGAAAGCTTTTAATGTGAGTCCTGCCACACTCCAAGTGTGGTTTAATTTTTACCACTTCACTTTCATGTTGTTGCTTGTTGGTAAATGTGGATATTTTAGAGACATGTTTGTTTAATTTACAGAAGGATTTAAAAAGTACATGAAACACTCTTTGCCAACCAGACACCAGAATTGCTGTGTTTTGTTTAGAATTTTAAAGCCAAATGTGAGCTGAAAACTGGAGTTGTGTTGTGTGAGTATGCATGTTTACCTAGTGGATGGAGGGGGCCTCAGCTTAGTCCTCGGAAGAGTACGCCCGTCATCTGTTATTTCTTTTGCTTTCCTAGCTTATCTAATTATGCATGACAAAAGAGTCAGTTGTTTGATTTCAGAGATTAGTCCACTGTGCAGTGTAGCAATGTAACAGTCGTATTCATCATTAATAGAGATTGTAAAGGGGTGCTCAATTGTCACAGTCTCTGTTATTTCCTGATTTTTTTCTACACGATAGTCTATTCTTTTCTGTATGTTTGTCTGTCTGTCTGCCTTTCTCTCTTTTTCTCTCTATTTTTTAATCCAACCATTTAGAAAGTCTTTAAAGAGTGTTTGCTTAAAATTTCTGGCTTTCCATTGCAAAGTTCTCCAGTGCATAAACCAGAAAACAGTATTTTCCTATCGGTAATCAAGACAGGAAGCTAGGAACAGAAGAGAGCAGCCCTCCAAACCCTTCTCCTCTGTCTCCCTCTTGCCAACAGATGTTTGTCAGGCTGTTTGTAGATGAAAACTTGGACCGAATGGTCCCAATCTCTAAGCAGCCCAAAGAAAAGATCCAGGCTATCATTGACTCATGCAGGCGACAATTCCCTGAGTATCAAGAGCGTGCCAGAAAACGTATACGTACTTACCTCAAGTCCTGCAGGCGGATGAAAAGAAGTGGTTTTGAGATGGTGAGTTTTGAATTAAAACACAGCCCTAGACTCCATCAAAATCCCACATGTAAACCATGACACTATTTTTTTTCCATCTTAGTGTCTTTTTTTATTTTTTTCCATAATGTCAGGTCAAAGGGGGTTTTGTTTGCTCGTTTGTTTTTTCCCCTTCTCCTTTTCATCTTCCTGAAGTATTTATTCTCTTTGTTTATTTAATAAGGAATATCTTGTGAGTCCAGTGCTCACAGAACCACGTGGTACCATGTCACAGAAAATAAAGGTGATATGAGTAAACACCAGTGAGAACCAGCATCTCGTTCATATTTGTTTTCTTTCTGTCGCTACTAAAGTGGGCATGAGGTTATTTAAGTTGTGAACTGAAGCACCAGTCACTGCTTGAGATGGCATGTAACAATGGCATTCTCTAAATCAAAAGGAAACAGATGGATCTACCTAGGAATACCATTTTCATATCAATGGTTAACAAATTGCAGTCCTTGAAAGTAAAGATCAGAGAATGAAAATGCTTAGGTGAAATATAAGGATTTGTTGTACTGGATATGTTTATTTGTGTGCTGGTGGATGGTACCAAGAGCTTTCATATTCAGGTGGATGTTATAGACAGATGAGATTATGTTGACATTAGATTACTGATAGGGTGGAGATTAGAAATCAATGATTTTTAAACTTTATTCTATTTCACCTTGCTCTAATTGTTACATCTAGAAATAACGCACACATTTACAATGTATGCCTTTCCCATTTTCTTATTTCCTATGTATGTGAGCAGTTTCGAAATTTTGTGAAACCATTTTTTTCTTGTCTTATTTGAGAAGGCGCCATAAAAGCCTAGGCTGTTAGTGTTTGTGATCTGTGAATCTAATTAGTTAGGTGTGATTGGGTAGGAATTGGTGTACATAAGAGAGGTTTCAGAGTATGTCTGTACCAATTATCTCAAATCATAAAATCTCCAGAGTTGGATATAAAAGGCCATGCTTTATGAAAGATAAATCTAATAAATCTAATGTTTGATCAATACTGTCTTCATTTTCATTAGATTTTAGAAACCCAATGAGTTAAGTAACCATTAAATTAATCTGTAGACAAATATATCAAATTGTTATTGAGTCTGTTGTGTGGCTTTGATGCTCAAATTCAGCAATTTCTCTGAAGAATATTTATTGTTCCAGAAGGTGTCCTGATCTTAAATTCATAGTAATAGAAAAGTCCATAAAAAGCACAGCTTTATGAACAAGGTAGGGCATCTCCAATAGGTGACATGATTTCTGTTTTTTGTTTCCTGAATTTGCATTATGAGACTCTTTCACCAAGGTGCATACATGTATTTCTGTAAAACCCAAATGACAATATTTAGGGAATATATAGGAGACTTTTAGTCCATTGCTCCTCTTGTATCCCAAGTTTTGCCACTGTACCTAGTTAAACCAAATAGCCTAGATATTTAAATTTAATAATCTCAATCTATTGAAAAATTACCTAGATAGTTGCTTTTAATGTTATGCAATTGACTCTTTTCCCTTGTAGAAATAAATCTCATGCAAGTTTTTGTATTGTCAAGGTCATTGTTTACTAGGCTGCTAAATGTCCATGACAGAAAATCTGATTTCAGAAGTTTCTTCTAGAATTTAATGCAAGAAAAATAATTGTTTTCCTGAGGAAATGGAATGCTTTTACCTGTTCTCAACACCGGGACTGTGAACCTTAATATGTTCACTTTTGTGCCTTACTGCCAGGGAGTTCAGAGCCAAACTCTCCATTGTCTTTCTGTTTAATTTATCTTGGTGGAGACAACTTTCCTTGGTGGATTTGATAAATTTTAATGGAAAAGAGGAGATATAAATTTAGAAACAAATAAATAAATAGTCTAATTATGAAAGCACCAGAAAGCAAGCCTTTCATGTTTAGGAAATTATATGTTTTTTTAGAGGATTTAACTTTTCGATCATTTGCTTCTATTTGTCAAACACAGCTCACAGTAGAGGGATCAGACCTTGTTTTCAATACATAGTTTCCCTGATATCATAAGCATGGGAATAGCTACAGTGACACTTGCTATTAACTTTTTAACAAATAGAAGTATTATAAAAATGAATTAAGCGATTCTTTAAACTGAAAATTATATCAAAAATATACCTAGCCTTTCATATAAGATCTTGATAAAAACTTTATAATACCTATGTAGCTATTAATATTCTTCACGCAACATGAGTATAACTATGTGTTTCTCTTTGTCACCAATTAACTTAATTGATGCTAATTAGCAAACACATTTTGTTTGAATTTTCCACTTGCTATTTGTACTAACTCTTGCCCTCTGTCTTATAGTTGTCATTTACCATCCCCCAGGTTACATTCACATTCTCTAAGATCTTTATTTATAATCTTTATTTTTAATTGCATCCCATAGTATCCTCCTTATTAATTTTGATATCTAAGCTGATTTCACATTTCTTTTACCTTTTCCACTTCAGGGATCTGGATCTCTCTTTCACCTCAGTCTTTATTAGCATGAATACACCTTGGTCTTAGTCATCACTCCAAGAGCCTGAACAAGCAATATTAAAAATTTCAAAGTTTTCTAAATGTTCTCAAGTATTCTCTGGTGACTTTACAGAGGAAAAGTCTTGTTCTTATTTGCCCTGGATAAATAAACCTCACATCTCTGCCCCCATATAATTCTACCTTCTTCAGAGCATTGCTCCATCAACCACCCCTACTGTTTTATATATTCAGTTTTCCCTTTTCAATGAGAGGAACATTTAATCCCTTTTTCCTAAAAAAAAAAGTTCTCAGATATCAAAAAAAGTTACATCTCTTCTTCTTCTTCTACAATCTGAGTTCATCTTTCTTTCTCAGGTTTCTCGAAAGAGCATTTTATACTCACAGATTATACCTATTACCACCAAATCCTGCAGTAGTCCCTTACATTCAGATTATCCAGACTATGGTTCTCACCACTGTGTAGTCAGCCGTATAGATCTGCAAGGTCTGCATCTATGGATTCAATCAACTAATTGAAAAATATATGGGGAAAAAATAAGGGGATTGTGCCTGTATTGAACACGTATAGACATTTTTTACTTGTCGTTATTCCCTAGACAACACAGTATAACAGCTATTTACATGTCATTTACATTGTATTAAGATTTATAAGTAAGCTAGAGATGATTTAAAGTATATGAGACAGTGTGCCTAGGTAATAGGCAAATACTATGCCATTTTGTGTAATGGACTTGAGCATCCTCAGAGGTGCTAGAGCCAATCCCACACAGATACCAAAGGATGACTCTACTGAATTAGTTCTTATAAAGATCACATGACCACCTTTGCACAAAACTCAAAGACTGCATATTCAACTAAAGTATATGCTCTTTTTCTTGAAACTTGTTGTTTCTGTTCCTCCTCATTTACTCTTACCTGCTTTTGGGCAGTTACTACAGTTCCGTGTTTAGCCACGTACTGTATATCACCCTAACCACAATTACAAATGTCTGTCCTTGTGTACAGTGTCCTATTCTCAAAGTACAATACCAAAAATATACAAATCTTTGGTATTTAATTCCAAATGTCAGTCGGACACTAGGGCAATAATTATATCACACTGAACTCTATATTCTCCAGCACCTATTTTCTCCACTGATATTCCACTTCATTTATCAAGACACCAGTAAGTTCCTCTTGACTTGCCTGCTGTTAATAGCACCATATTGTCATTTTTACCATTGCTCAAAAATGTAGAATGAGATTTGACTATTTTTGTGTCTTGTATCCTACCACTTAATGAATTCTGCTTATTCCTCCTTTATTCTGTTTCCCAAATAAATCTTACAGTTTCCAATTTTATGTGTTCTTATTTTAGTTCTAGTCTTTCATACCTCATACCTGTACTCTTGCATAATCCTAACTCAACTCCCTACTTTCCTCTTACCCTCTTCACACACATTATGCCTAGGCAGAGGCAGAAATAGGGTTTGTAAAACCTGAAGATTATATGACTTGAGATCTTTTTGAAAAGAAAAGTAATACACAATTATGAGCAAAAAATTAGGTAGAAAAAATGAATGTGTATTTGCAGTTTAAAAATATCCTACACAAAAGAAATTTAGAAACCACTGAAATCTTGAAGATTAAAACGCTTTTCTTCTAACATCTCGTTAGACAATTTTCAGACACACTTACATATAAATGCTTCCAGATTTTAAAGTGGCTTTCCCTTCCTACCTAGAATGCTTACAACATCCAGGAACTCCAGCACTTAAGAGGCTCATCCAATTGAGGCATCCTATGCCTCACTTTTATTGACTTTATGATAAATCTGCCTTTGCTCCTAGAGTAGTCTTCCTCAATTTTGGCTTTGATAATGTGAAACTCTGTCATGTTAGAACATTTTGTTTTTTTGAGACGGAGTTTCACTCTTGTTGCCCAGGCTGGAGTGCAATGGCATGACCTCAGCTCACCGCAACCTCCACCTCCCGGTTTCAAGCCATTCTCCTGCCTCAGCCTCCTGAGTAGCTGGGATAACAGGCATGCACCAAAACACCTGGCTACTTTTGTATTTTTAGTAGAGATGGGGTTTCTCCATGTTGGTCAGGCTGGTCTTGAACTCCCGATCTCAGGTGATCCACCCGCCTTGGCCTCCCAAAGTGCTGGGATTACAGGCGTGAGCCACCACACCTGGCAGAACAAATTTCATATTTCTTTCTATAATGTTTTAGCGTATGACCTTTTGAAACTGAGAGACCTAGCTTCAATGCCTTGCTTAGTTCAATTCCTGTACAAGTGTGGTGTTTCTGAGTCTCTTCTAAAGGATAGGGCTATTGGGGTACTATATGTGATCATGTATGTATATGTATAGCATATAATATGGTACCTTTCTATCCCTTCTTCTGGTATGTTCAAATTATATTCTTTCAAACCTTAGTTCATCATATGAGACTGCTGCTCCTTCTTTCAATGGGTTGTCTCTTGGTTCACTAATTTTTTATGACACAGGAATTATGGGTACCTTTGCTCATTGTTTACTAAATGCATTAAAATTGAAGAATAACTAAGTTGTAAAGAATATAGCCAATATATTTTTCAGAGCTACTTATCACTGCATCTTTTACTTTAAGCAAGGTGTTGACCTGAGCCTCATGGGGTATGTTCTCTTCACATTCACACACCCCACCCAGCTTCCCACCACAAACACATACAAATCCTGAATATAATATAACAATTTAAAAAATATTCAGCTAAGCTCAAAAGAAAGAAAAGGAAATTTCCAGGTACCTGAAATGAGTAGGAAACTCTTAGCCAAAATTGTAAGCCCTTTGGATTGGGTAACAACTTAGAAAGATAGAAAAAGTAAATGTAGAACCAGACAGATTAGGGCTGGGGTATGAATGTCCACCCAAGTTCAGGATACATGCATTTTAGTTTGTAACTAGATAGGCATATAAACTGAGAAATGTATATAAAGCTGGGCCCAAGAAAGGCTCATTCTCTATTTTCCTCTCTATGAAAGTGGAATTAAGAAATAACCTAATACGACTTTCAGGAATAAAAATGACAGACATTATAAGCATTGAAATTAAAACCTTACTAAATGGGTTAAGTAGAATATAATATTCAGGCAAGGAGAAAGTAAACTGGAACACAGAAGTATGTAAGTTACCCACAGGAAGAAAAGAGAAGTTAAATATGAAAAAGAAATGAAGATGGATAAGAGAATGATAAAGATAGATTTAACAGGCATTCCAGAGGAGAAATTACAATAAAAAGGCAAATTGAAAAAGATAATGATGAAGAATTTTTCAGAATTGATTGGACCTCAATCCTAATAACAGATAAGTAGATTAGTCCTAAACAGTATACATTTTTTTTAAAAAAACTCATACCTAGGGATATTATAGTAAAACCACAGAAGAGCAAATAAATTCTTAAATGTACCAGAAAGAAATAACACATTATCTACAACCGAAAACCAGCCTGAACAATTTCTTCAAAGTACTAAGAAAAAAAGTCTTCAAGAGAAACTACTTTTAATTCACAAATCAATGCCCAGCTCAGCTCTACTTTCAGAGTGAGGGGGAAAGAAATACTTCAGATAATTTCTGAGGCTACTACTCATACAGCCTGACTGATTCCAGAGGAATGCTTCTATAATCTAAGAAGAAGGAAACTGAATCCAAAAGGAAATAATAAAAAATTAGCAGCATTGGTGAGCATCTGAAGAAAAGCACCTGGATTTGATAGTCAGTGAGCCTTGGTTCTTGTCTGTGCTTTTCCAGTTGCTACTTGTTGATTTTCTATCTCTGAGCTTTGGTCTCACCCTGGAAAAGAAAAATGGAAATAATAGCTCTTATCCTAAAAATGAAAACCAAAAGCACTTGAAATAACAAATGTAAAAACTCCTAGGACAGTACCTGGTACACCTAGTATGGTACCTGGTGTGTGTGAGAAATGTGATAAAATGCAATTTAATCTGAAATTGAATTTCACAGTTCCCTTTCCTGGGAAACCTGCACTGTCAATCTGTTGAGCTACTTGAAGGACTAAGTCAACTAGGTCTTTGTCTATTTAATCCTCACTGCTAGCTAACAGCAGCCTCAAATCTCTCTTTCTTCTGTGTGCAAATTGTACTTTGTGGTACATCTTTTGTAGTTTTATTTTATCCTGTCTTATATTGCTGTTATCCATATATGGGCCTTAGCTCTTCAAGAAGAAATTATGTTCCTTGAGTACTATGCTTCTTAACTTGTTCATCTCTGTATCACCCACAATGTCTTATATAATACAAGTAGCTGCTCATGAAAGTTGCTCAATTCATGTTGAATTCAACTGAATTAAAATTGCTGAATGAAAGATTGAGTGACTGGATGGATATTTACTAATGTGCTTCTTTGTGGTAGAAATTAGTTGAGAGATAAGATAATTTTTATTGTGTGACATGAGTTTCATAGCATCTTGCAACTGGTATTTTAATTTTAAAAGCTACTACTAACTGAAAATATAGCCTAATATATTTTAAATGTTTAGCGAGTTTTTTTTTCACAAAAGAAAACAGTTATATAACATTTAATTTTAACTCTTTTTAAACTATTAAAGTGTTAAAAAAAAATTACACTTGATCTTAACCAAAAGGCCAAGAATTGATACATTAAAAAAATTTAAATCTATTTAACAATTAGTGGGAATAGGTAGTGATATTAATTATATGAATGGAATTGGTATACACTTTTATTTTCACAAATAAATAATTAGGAAATCTACATCATAATGTACAATAATTGTAAGTTTATATAACACTCAACTTTCAGAATATATACAGTGTATATAGTATATACAAAATATATTTTATATATTTAACATAAAGGATCATGTAGTTAAAATTAAAGCATGTTATTTCAGTTGTTAATTTAGTTGATCCTGTGTCTTGATCAGAGGCGTTGTCAGCTGTTATTAACTAAACTGTGTTTCTAAATCTTCAACTAGAAGACTTATTAATTCCCCATGTAGTCATAAAAGATCATTATTAATGACCAATAATATTCTAAAAATAAGGCCAAGACATAGATCATTAATTCATAAATGAAATATTTCTAATCAAAGCCTAGACAAAGGTTAACTGGCTTATATTCCACTTCTGTTAAAACACACTTTCAAACTCCTTTTAGTCAAGAGAATTTTCTCAAAACAACTAGAAAGTTCAAGAATTCACACATAGTAGATCCACGGGCTCCAATTTCAGGGGTTTGCTGCTCTCCTTTTTCTTAATTATGCTTCTCTTGTGTATTGATTTACATCTTAGACAACTTCTTGCTACCTGTTTGGAAATGTTGCCACCAGCAGTTCCAGGCCTCCATTCTTAAAACTCACAACCCAAGATCAATCCTCCAACTCCAGGTCTCAGTTCCCAGGAAAGAACTTTGCTTGGCCCTATTTGGATTATATGTCCACCTTCTTGGATCAGTCATTGGAAACAAAGTATTGAGTTCCCATGATTGCCCAGGACGAACTCAGGTGGCCAGGGTTAATTGAGGAAGGAACTTTCTTTATGACTTCCATCAAAACCATGTGGAATGAAATAAGGACAGTTGAACTACTATTTTAGTTTGCATTCACCAGTTTGTCTGAAATCTTGGCTTATCTATGGTTTGGAATTTAGAACTTTTCAGTTTTGGGACATGATAGAGTGCATACTAGGTTTGTTGCATAACACCCATAGTGGGGCCTAGAAAAACATCACAAATAAAAATATATCAGTATTTCTGCAGCAAAACATATGCATATTCACAGAAATTAGGAAAAAGTAAAACCTTAGGTATTCATTTATCAGTTTTTTTCTGCCAGCTGAGTTTATCCCAAGTTTCTGAAAAATCTTTTAGGTTTATACAATATTAGAGCTTCAGAATTGATTACAAAAGGTTGTGAGTCTACTAAACACACTCTTAATAATGCACTTCCGTGTATATTATAAAGTTATAACCTATGTGCTAGGCATTGTACCAACTTGTCAAGTAAACTCTATGATGGCAGAGACCATATTGGTATCTTCAAATCTCTAAACTTGGCACAGTTCCTATCATATATAAAAGTGCTTATAAAATATGCTAGTGACTTTATGCACATTTCTCATGGACTTCTAAAAACTACTCCATAATGTGGAGATTATTTTCCTTATTTATAATTTTCTGACTGAACCTCAGTTTTGTCATTTTTAAGAATAAAAATAGTGATACCTAGCAGGATGACTGAGACTCAGATTAAGTTGCAAAAATGGTCACATGGCAAGTAGCTGGTTATAGAATAATATTCAGTTCAGTATGACTTAGTTGCAGACTATCTCTATTCCACTGCTGTATAAGAATGAAACCACCTGCTTAATAGAAGGAATCTCTTAGAACATGAAACTTTATATATGTATATAACCTGGACAATTATGCCTTTAGGTATAGATATGCCACTTGGGGGAGATAGTGTGTGCGTACCATCCAAATTACAGAATTCTTAATAATGTGTTTTATAAAGTAACAAGTTTAGGAGGAATAATCTTAATTCATCACACTACCTAAACTCTTGACTACTGAATTATTATCTTCAAAGTGCTCATTCTACTTACAACCTTGGGTGGATGTCACAGTTGCTCCCAATCTGGCCTTAACTAATACTTGATTAAGCTTCACATTAACTGTGGAGTCTGAAGAGCATCACCACATTAACCCATGACCATAACCTGACATTCTTAAATTTCTTTGTACTTTTTTGTAATTGCAAAAATCCTGTGGCATCCTAAATGTACAGCTGAAGTTCAGAGGACTCTAAAGTTATTTCATGTATAGTTTTAGACCCACAAAAATGGAAGTTTGTTGGTGTGACGGTACATTTTATCAACATATATAAGAAGAGACACATTTACATCATGCCAACAGCAATTACATCTTAAGTCCCCAATTAAAATGTGACTTTTTAAACTCCAAAAGCTCCATGTGATGGTTTAGCCATCTGTTTAATGACACAACTGCCACTGATTTGAGCAGTGATAATTATTACAATAAGAACAGTGCTGGAGAAAGATCAACTCAGATCCCAGTTAGAATGTCAGTTAATTATGAAGAGATAATTAATGAGGGTAGGTACCATTATCTTATATACAGAGAAATAAATATGTAATAAATATTCCCAATCCAGGTGTAGATCATTTGAAGTGTATAATTAAATCCATTGTAAACTAATATTTTAAATATTCTAAGATATAGATAGAGAAAGAGAGAGATAGATATCAAATAGTATATGTATTTACTGAGTTATCTTCAGCCACAGGAGGTGTTATTTTCATAAGTTATCTATTGAATTTATTGCATTTGGTTTTTGCATCAAAATATTCCTATCTCCAATTATTACATGGAAGCTTTGTGTTTTATGGCCACTCTTACAAATGTAAGAGGGAATTTTCAGCCTCATTCCTGGTGAAATCTATGACCATATTCCCTAACACACTCTGCTAATTATGTTTTAGAAAGACCATACTGTGGTGACATTAGAATAAGCCCTCAACTGTCAAATGTAATGATGAAAAGGAGAGTTCAGAAGGAGATGATTCTCAGAGCACGTACTAAACACTAGTTTTAAATTTCTCTGTAATATTACTTTTATAATGAGAAAAATTTATTAATTTCCTTCTCACTCTCTCGATATTAGTACTTTTGAGTTGTTAAGTGATAGAAGCCAAATTATAGAGAAATTTTTTTAAACTTTTGTCTTTGCTATCTTATAACCAAATGCTGCACACTTGAGCCCTGTGTGTATTGGAGAGTATTGGCATTTATTATTGGCTCATTAATATTAGAAGCAAAGAGATTTTTAGCATGATTGCCTCACAGGAGGGAAAGAACTTTTCTGCCTGGCTCCTGTATTCTCATTTTGGGCATGAAATTAAGCTTTATTATGGTTCGTGTATAGTAATTTATTGACACTTCTGGCTGTATAAACTTTAAAATCTTATGAATTCAGATTACATCAGTTAAGAATTTGTGGCATAACTTAGCTAAGTTACATTTTTGTCTTTGTGCTTTTAATGAAGATCATAAATTTCATAATTTATAGAATTTATAGGAAAATATATTAAAGGACTTCAACCATTTAACTGAAGGATGCTAGGGAGATCTTGATATATTCTTTGCTAAATGCAATGTGTGGTTAGCTGTGATTGAATTTCCTCACAGGAATGTGTAGTATTTAAGAATTCTAGATTTATTTAAACTCAGTGGGGACTTTGTTGTAAAATGTGAATAATAGTTCACTAGGGATTATAACTCCCAATTCATCATCAGACTTGAATTTGAATTCAGGTATTTCCACATACATCGCTGCATAATTGTGAGCAAGTTGCATAATCTCTCAGAACTTGAATGTAGGTTATCTAAAATATGAGTAATATAAGTACTTTTCTCAAAGATTGTTAAGGAGATTAAATTTGATAATAAATCTAAGCTTTTGGTATTAATACCTGAATGTCCTAAGCACTCAATAAGAGTTAGATATTATTAACATTTATCTAAAAATTAAATTAGGATGGTACTGGATTTCTATTTGGAGGTACACATTATTGAGATATAGTACATTCTCTGCAAAAATACATTTAAAATATAATTTTTTGATTGTAACACAGATTTTATGATTTATTCTGCCTTTTTCTCCAATGAGCTTGAGTTAATGATGATTATAACACATTCATGTACATGTCTACCTTTGTTCTGCTTATTTTTTTAGTTGAAAACAATGGTTTGTATATACAGATTTTTTAAAGAATTTTTTGTTTTATTAATGACAAAGTATGTAAAAGTACTAAATATACAACAGAATTTAGGAAAGTGAGAGTTGAAAATTGGGAGACACGAAACCTGAGTTCTGGATCTAGTTCAATTTGTCCTTTTGCAATTACTTAATCTACCTAGGTTTCAGTTCTTCAAAGTTGAGAGAAGAAACTTGTACTGGATGACTTCTATGGCCATTGAGAGTTGTCAACTTATGATCCTACAATAAACTCAGTACAAATCTATTTTCAAAATTATACTGTTTATCTACGGGAAGTATTGAATCATGCATCTTTGATTCTACTTATTTTTTCCACTCAATAGGATAGTGTGCATGGTTGCTTTATCTTGAAGTTAATTTTTAAATATTAGGTTATCACATGACCTTAAAATATATCTAGTTCTAATTAGCCAGGACATTACTCTAGTTTATGAGAAGACTAATTTCACACATCTAGGAAAGATCCAACTCTCCCTTTCATCTTTTCTGAAAAGGAAATTACATAAATTATTATGCATAACAACTTTTACTGCTTTAGTAGAAGTTGAGTAGTAAAAGTTGTTTTTAAAAATTAATAAGAATTTGAAAGAAAATGCCATGAAATAATATTAATTGAAGGGGTATTTTACTTACGTTCTCCATGTTAAACGAACTTTTATGTATTTAAGTTACTTGTGTGCCTATTGATACAATGTAATCATTTAGTAAAATTCTATAGCTTTATATATTCCTAATTTTTAATGGTGATAGCTGAAAAAAAGAGAGAAAAATCGAGGTAACGAAGAACTGAATATGTCTCTCTGAATCCCATGTGGCTCTCAATAATTGGATTAAGAAAAGGATGGTTGCTGATATTTTATTTAGATTCTCTTAATTTCATCCCTGGAAACAAAAGATCTAATAATGTACTTTATAAAGATATAAACTCTCACTCCTATTTGAATAATGCTAACTACAATCAAATAATTTGTTTTATTTTTTGATAATGTAATGTTCTTATTCCCATTTTTCCTATAACATCTTTGCCTCAAAAATTAGCTCAATCAAGAAAGATATCAATGAGTATCTAATTCCCATGTAGTTGGACTACATTTTTGAGCCAGGCAGTGATCATCGGTTAATGAGACTGATTTTATAGCTTAATTTATTTGGCTTTGGACTACAATATTTTCTTTATACTTAGTGAAGTAGAGAATGAAATGAAGAAGCAATATGAGTTTTGAAATTATGCTTACATCTTTATGGCAATTTATTTTAGATTTGCCTCATTTGACCCTCTTTTCTATTACAAATACCCAGTCCTGGCTTTCTAATTTCCTTCTCAAAATGCTTATATTGCATTTTTTTCCTGCCACCCATGGACCTCTTTTCTTCTTTTTTGCAAAAATGACATTCCAAATATCCAACTGCTTTATTGTCAAAGTAGTGTAACCATCATTTGAGATGTCCCATGGGGTTAGCAGAAGAGTATGTACCCTATACCTTTCCTACCTTTTGCCTCCAGAGGCTACTTTGGAGGGGGAGTAGTGAGGAAGTCTGCTAAGGCAGCTGCAGAAATTGCTTCCTAGTTCACCCAAGGTCAGAGCCTGGTCTCTGTCTACACTGTACAAATTTAACTATGGAGTGTCTGTTAAAACGGTGTGGTCTGAATTTAGCTGTTCTAGAATATTATTTGAGATGTAAGCCCTGTGTTCAATTTGCTGAGACACACTCTACATGCCAGAGTTGGTAAAATGAGTCATGTATAAAAAAGGTTTGTTTCAATTCCTTTAGAAAAAAATTCAAAAGGTCTCAATTAGTTCAGGCTTCTAATAAATAGCATTCACACATATTTTCGTTTGAGGCTTTGAAAACCCTAAGGTGGCATATACTGTATATGCTATATTCCCAAAAGATACATTTATTTCATAATTTCACATTATTTTACTACCTCATTTGGTTTAATTTTGTTATTTCTCATCTATCATTTGCTTATCTTAATTTAAAAAAAACTTCTATATTATTAAGTATTTCATCTTTCAGTTGGATGACTTTGCATGTAATTATGGAAAAAAGAATGAAAATCATAATTTTTGTTATGGTTATCATGAATGATATTGAGAGCTGCAAACAATTTACAGTTAATCATGAGCTTAGTTGGAGAATTAATTCTTTCTATGTGGGCTACATAGAAGATGGATTTCAACACGTCCCTATAAAATATCAGCTCATATTTTATAAGTAAAACAAAACAGGCATGTACACATAGGCAAACATATCTCACATCTAAAGCACTAAACCTTTAATATATAAAAATCATTGTAGGACTGACTTTTTAGTTTTTAATTATTTATATTTAAAACCATTGTAATCACATCAATTGGGTCATAATTTAGAGTGTAAATATTCATAATATTTCATATTAAGACTGTTTGACATGGTCTGAGTGTCTATTAGGTTTTTTAAACTCTATTTTAGCCCTGTCACTTGTTTTTGTTTTGGTTTTTTTTGTGCATGTCATATGTTGTAGTAGAATTAAAGACCTTGTTTTATTTGCAAAATCCAGTCAGCAGTTTTGCCACTGCCTGTTCAAACTCCAGCTTCATGACCCAGGCTAGATACTTGTGACAATGGATCTATGGGAATGAATGATGGATCTGTGTAGCAACGATAGCTTTAACCTCTAACTAGCTTTCATTTTTCATCTTTACAATTTCCATTTCCTCTTTCTATTGAAACAAGTTCAGTTGAAATAAATGGATATTCCTGCACATGTTGATGATCCTGAGAGCTCTTCTGAGAATAGCATTGGCCTGTTAATGATACTGTTAATAATTTTTTTCATACTTTTCTCTTTTTTTTTTTAGTCTCGACCTATTCCTTCCCACCTTACTTCAGCAGTTGCAGAGAGTATCTTGGCTTCAGCTTGTGAGAGTGAGAGTAGAAATGCCGCCAAGAGGATGCGTCTGGAGAGACAGCAGGTACTGAGGCATCTTGAAGTCTGGTGAACACCAGCTATAGCAAATGTAGTTCATTTAATTTGATTTATGTTGAAGAGTAAAAGCTCTTGAATGGATTTAAAGTACACAGAGATATAGTTTTTGTGTCCTTATGATATGAATTTAAACTTGAAAATGTGTGTTCATGTGATCAATGAAGGTCAAAGAACAAAATGTTTCTGTGGCGAAAATGAACAGTAGCAAAACTAACGAGTTATGATTCTGTTTAGTATCCAATTTAAAGGTCAATTACTTATTAAGAGGTTCTAGCTGATCATTTCCAACAGCTTTGTAAATTTACCTCATGACTTATGAGAGTGACCTGATCATGTTCATTTCGAATGAAATGAACCAACCTCTCCTTAATTTCCTCTGGCCTACTACCGCATGCCAATACATGATGCTGAGGGTGGTGACAGTACAACACAACTTTGAAAGACTAGAAAGTCACAAAATGAGGATATACATAATGAAAATTCATGTCTTAGACTTAATCTCTCATTAATTAATCATTTATTGTATGCCAATTGCATGTCATGTTTCAATATCTTTTTTCTAAGGCATCTGTGTATTGGCGATGTTTCTTTTTTTTGTACTTTGCTCACTGGTGTTTCCCTCAGTCTTTCCCTTGGGTTATCTGTATATTTCTGTTTCTCCTTCTCATCCCAGAAATGTCTTTCTCTTTGTTGTATGTACCCCCTTTCTCAAGTATCCATAGTAAAAATCTAAATTATCACATGATATACTAAATATTCTGCATAAAACTTTGCCACATTTTCACTTGTAAAGTATTTTTACAACAAATGGATTATATGCTTTATATTGCTAATTGAGGATGAGATGAGTCAAGACTAAAGTAAGTTAGTTCAATTTTGATTCTACAGTGAGCCAATGGACTTCGAGGAAAAAAGCAAAAACGTTTTTTCATTTCAGGCTTAGAATACTTTAACATGTTTCAGAATTACATCAGCATTGATTTGATGTGTTTATTATTAAAATGTCATGTGCTAATAATTCTAAATGCCACAAAAGATGAAGCCTTCAGTTAAATGAAAAATACAGTATTAGTCTCAGATAAAAACCATGTGAAAATGTCAATTTAGAATGTGCTAATCGTGCCACCAGTGTTGATTCACATATATGTGCCCTCTGTTAGGAGTTTTATCATTGTTATATCTATAAAATGTATCTATACAATGAGTTATAACACTATGTATAATACCATCTGGCATAGTGATTAGGGGAGCACATTCTGGAACTAAATAGACCTGGTTTTGAATCTCATCTCTACCTTTTCTAATTGTGCAAACTTCACCAAGCTATTCCAGTTCTGTGTGCTTTGATTACTCCATATGAAAGACAGCAATAGTAACAGTACTCATCCTGTGGAGTCGTTATGAGAACTTTAAATGACAGATTCATGTTATGTACTTAGCATTTTGCCTGGTGCATAGTAAGCATCAATAAATTCAGTCTAGAAAAGACTGATGCTAGCTGTTTTGTCATTGTATTGATATCAGTTAACTAGAAGCAGGCATTAATAACACTACCTCAGATACTGAAGTTTCAAAGGCAAAGTCCATTTGAGAACAGATGCTAGTTCTAGAAATTGAGATTGTAGAATTCTGGGATTAAAAGGGCTCTCCTGGTTGTTGTCTAGCTATACATCCCACCTAATGTACATTCTAGAATATCCCTATATAGTTTTAATCATGTGGAGTTGTTATAAAAATTAAATGACTTATTCATATTATATACTACCTATAATATCACTCTACAATATTCCCCAAAGCTGGTCATCAGCTGATATTTGATCCAGTCACTTAAATACTGTTGGCCTAATCTGTAAAATGGGACATACAGATATCAGATTCATAGAGCTGTTGTGAGGATTTTATAAGTCAATTCATATAAAAGCATTATGTATTTCATACGTTTATATGTTGTTAAAGATATATTTGTTATTTGCTTTAATATCTCAAATCTCACACTGGTACTAAAGATCTGCTATTTACTGACACACTTTCCTACTGTCAGAGATTTATCATTGTTTTTGAAGGTCTTTACATTGAGCTCAAATTTACTTCATAGACTTTCTACCCACTGAAGAAAAACTTCTAAAAATAATTAAAAATGGGACTTCTTACTCCTGCACCAGGAGTAGGGACTAGAATGAATGAGGACCAGTGGTCCTTGGCCCTACTCTCCATATTCTCTCCTTTTTATATGTCCTCATATATTTATTGCAAGGCTCTGTTTCTAGGAATGGAGGATATCCAATAATATCTCCACACAAAAAAATACTGTTTTCTTTTTTTCCCCCGTTTTTGTTTTGTTTTGTTTTGTTTTGTTTTTTGTACTTTAAGTTCTGGGATACATGTGCAGAACGTGCAGGTTACATAGGTATACATGTGCCATGGTGGTTTGCTTCACCCATCAACCCATCATCTACATTAGGTATTTCTCCTGATGCTATCCCTCCCCTAGCCTCCTACTCCCCGACAGGCCCCGGTGTGTGATGTTCCCTCCCTGTGTCCATGTGTTATCATTGTTCAACTCCCACTTATGAGTGAGAACATGCGTGTTTGGTTTGCTGTTCTTGTGTTAGTTGGCTGAGAATGATGGTTTCCAGTTTCATCCATGTCCCTGCAAAGGACATGAACTCATCCTTTTATATGGCTGCATAGTATTCCATGGTGTATATGTGCCACATTTTCTTTATCCAGTCTATAATTGATGGGCATTTGTTGGCTCCAAGTCTTTGCTATTGTGAATAGTGCTGCAATAAATATACATGTGCATGTGTCTTTATAGCAGAATGATTTATAATCCTTTGGGTATATACCCAATAATGGGATTGCTGGGTCAAATGGTATTTCTGGTTCTAGATCCTTGAAGAATCGCCACATTGTCTTCCACAATGGTTGAACTAATTTACACTTCCACCAACAGTGTGAAAGCGTTCCTATTCCTCCACATCCTCTCCAGCATCCGTTGTTTCCTGACTGCTTAATGATCACCATTCTAACTGGCGTGAGATGATATCTCATTGTGGTTTTGATTTGCATTTATCTAATGATCAGTGATGATGAGCTTTTTTTCATATGTTTGTTGGCTGCATGAATGTCTTCTTCTGAGAAGTGTCTGTTCATATCCTTCTGAATGGGCAAAAACTGGAAGCATTCCTTTTGAAAACCAGCACAAGACAAGGATGCCCTCTCTTACCACTCCTATTCAACACAGTATTGGAAGTTCTGGCAAGGGCAATCAGGCAAGAGAAAGAAAGAAAGGGTATTTAAATAGGAAGAGAGGAAGTCAAATTGTCTCTTTGCAGATGACATTATTGTATATTTAGAAAATCCCATTGTCTCAGCCCAAAATCTCCTTAAGCTGATAAGCAACTTCAGCAAAGTCTCAGGATATAAAATCAATGTGCAAAAAATCACAAGCATTCCTATACACCAATAACAGACAAACATATCCAAATCATGAGTGAACTCCCATTCACAATTGCTATAAAGACAATAAAATACCTAGGAATACAACTTACAAGGGATGTGAAGGACCTCTTCAAGGAGAACTATAAACCACTGCTCAAGGAAATAGGAGAGGACACAAAAAAATGGAAAAACATTCCTTGCTCATGGATCGAAAGAATCAATATGAAAATGGCCATACTGCCCAAAGTAATTTATAGATTCATTGTTATCCCCATCAAGCTACCATTGACTTTCTTCACAGAATTAGAGAAAGCTATGTTAAATTTCATATGGAACCAAAAAAGAGCCCATATAGCTAAGACAATCCTAAGCAAAAAGGACAAAGCTAGAGGCATCACACTACCTGACTTCAAACTATACTACAAGGCTACAGTAACCAAAAGAGCATGGTACTGATACCAAAACAGATGTATAGACCATTGGAACAGAGCAGAGGCCTCAGAAATAACACCACACATCTACAACCATCTCATCTTTGATAAACCTGACAAAAACAAGCAATGAGGAAAGGATTCCCTATTTAATAAACGGTGTTGGGAAAACTGGATAGCCATACTCAGAAAGCTGAAACTGGACCTTTTCCTTACACCTTATACAAAAATTAGCTCAAGATGGACTAGAGACTTAAACGTAAGACCTAAAACCATAAAAACCCTAGAAGAAAATCTAGGAAATACCATTTGGGACATAGGCATGGACAAAGACTTCATGACTAAAACACCAAAAGCAATGGCAACAAGAGCCAAAATTGACAAATGGCATCTAATTAAACTAAAGAGCTTCTGCACAGCCAAAGAAACTATCATCAGAGTGAACAAGCAACCTACAGAATGAGAGAACATTTTTGCAATCTATCCATCTGACAAAGGGCTAATATCCAGAATCTACAAGGAACTTAAACAAATTTACGAGAAAAAACAACCTCATCAAAAAGTGGGCAAAGGATATGAACAGACGCTTCTCAAAAGAAGACATTTATGCGGCCAAGAAACATATGAAAAGAGCTCATTGTCACTGCTCATTAGAGAAATGCAAATCAAAACCACAATGAGATACCATCTCACACCTGTTAGAATGGCGATCATTAAAAAGTCAGGAAACAACAGATGCTGGAGAGGATGTGGAGAAATAGCAATGCTTTTACACGGTTGGTGGGAAAAATATTATTTTCAAACCCAGAAGGGTTCAAAAAGCTTTGGAATTGTGGGGAATAATGAAGAAATAATTTTTTTAAATTAAACTCTTTTAAGATTTACTAAAAACTTGTTGGGCAATTTCTAGATACAGTTTCATTTACCATTCTCAACAACCCCATGAGAAAGGATATTATTATTCTCATTTACATGTAAGAAAACTGCGGCCCAGAGAGGTGGAATGATTTGTGCAAGGCCACCAGCTGCACGAGAAAGCCAGAATATGAGTTTATATTAGATAAAACTAATGCCTGACATCTTTTCACAATCCTATAATGTATTTTCATGTATTATGTTCATGGAGGGAAACCCATAGCCTAGAACAAACATTTAGGACTTGTATCATTTGTGCCTCTGCTTACAAGGTTTTGGCAGTGCAGTTTTCTTGTGGAAAATGATTTACTTTATTTACAAAAATTTTGTACTTTACTATAACTAGCAATCTAGAGTTTGCCTGGATATCAGCCTAAAAAAGGCTACAAACTTCCCAAAGTGCTTCACTTCATCTGGAGAGCTGTTTATGCACTGTAAACACTAGTTTACTGTTTATAATTAGTATCTTAAAAGTGTATAAACTACTTTTTTCTTGCTGTAAATTCTATAGATTTCCTTAGCTGTGTCACACAGAAACTTCTACCAAGTGATTCTACTTCCTACCAAAGCATGTAATTGGCAGGGATCCCTCTATTAGTTGAATCAAACCCCTCTTTGCCCAACTAGAGAGAGCCAGAGTTCTTTTGCATGTTAGCAAGAAGATCACTCTTCCTGTGTGCATTCTTAACCTGACTCAAAATTTTTAGAATTTTCCAGTGACTAAGAGATTCTTCATTATGCCCCCAATTTTCTGTAGGCACACAAAAGTTCAAAACATGAACACTCAAAATTGGCTTTCTGTTAAGCCACTCATCTGACTGCTTGCTGCCAGTGGTTAGCCACATGTAGAGATGTAATTATGTATGTCTTTCAGAGTTTATGAAGCTTGATGAATTAATTGGATTTTATAAAGCTCTTTGAGCTATGAACATGAGAGGTGGTATGGATGTGTTAAATACTTTATTCCATATGTCCATTTTGTACCAAAATCCAGAGGAAGCTTGTTATTATGCAGCCTCAGCCCTGAAGCAAGCCAGTGGCAAGGACAGGAGCCTACTGCTCCTTCATCAGGAATCAGATTTCACAGAAGTCCATTCGCAATGCAGTTTGGAATATATATAGCATTTTTCTAGATTTAACATAAAATTTGTATTTTTTACGTTATCTAGGAAATTCTTCTTCACTTTGACAATTCAAAAGGGGCAGCCAGATTTCGCATTTAGAGTTCTATGACATAGCTCAAAATTTGTGGGTTCTTTTCTCTATATATTTATTATTTAGTAATTATTTCTTTTTCCTTAAACCAAAAAGATCTTATAGTTATTGGTTACATTTCATTTGAAGACAAAGAGGCAAAAAGTAAGAGGGATTAGAACCAGTTACTTGTTGGTGATTTATCTCCTATCAGTGTATTATTTTTGCTGGTTTTGAGGGATGACATACATTTTATTAACAGGCTTGATGACTGATTAAGGTAGAAAGTTTCTGGAGAATGTGAGGGTTTCCTTGTTATGTTTTCTGCTCTTAGTGCTTTCAGTTAAATTAGTTCGTAGTTCTGTAGACAAGATCATATAAAACCACCAGTTAAGGGCTTCCCCAGCAGGAGCCCAGCAGTTACTGCCCTAGAAGGACAAAGCGGGAATGCTGGGTGACAGATTTTGCAGTAGCTAAGACACACGGGAAACCAATGGTTGACTGTGATGTGACACCATTGACTCTATTGAAAAGAACACAGTGGAGGGAAGGGGAAATGGCACGTTACTTACCTGTGGTGTAATAAAAAGTCAGGAAGAAGAAAAATAAAGTACTGAAAACTTATACATCACTAAGTTACCAAAAAAAAAAAAAAAAAACTCACTGCTAATTAACCAGCATGAACCCAATGGCCCAGGACCTAAAAATATTTAGTAACTGTATAATTCCTTGCAACTGTTTTTTCCCTTAGTAGTGGTGAATTCACTGTCATCTGTGTCTCTTCATGATTTTTCTTTGTTTTATTAGGATACTAATAAGTTGGAATATTATTAAAGAAATGTAATTGCAGGTGCAAAGGTTGAAAATGTAGCCACGTAAGCGTGGGGGCAATTTTAATATGACTTTTTTTTAAAACTATCTAACATACCATGATTAAGACATGGTTTATGAGAGGCAGCTTTTCTTTCACATTTAATTCTGCAGTTTTGTGTCCTTTTTATAACATTTATAAACTTTAACAAATACCTAACTGAAAGCAACACCATTCAATAGGGTTTTATTCTTAAATTTAGACATTGTGATATTAACAAGATATGGCTTGAAACTTATTTCTATGGCCTGCCAGTCCACACTTATTCTCAGTCATCCTCAGCTTTTTACTTTACTCCTGGCATTTTTCTCTCTTACATACATATGTTAGGGGGAAAACCCTGTATCTTTGAGTTTCTCAATGTGCTTCAACATGACACTTTCATTCACAGAAGAAAATATACTATATAGGAAAAATGAAGCACAAGCATTCCTCATTTTATTGAACTTCACTTTGTTGTGCTTCACAGATATTGCAGTTTTTACAAATTGAAGGTTTGTGACAATCTTGTGAGCAAGTCTGTCAGCACCATTTTTCCAACAGCATGTGGTCACTGTGTGTCTCTATGTCACATATTGGTAACTCTCCACAATATTTCAAATTTTTCATCATGATTATATCTGCTATAGTGATCTGTGATCAGTAATCTTTGGTGTTGCTATAGTACTTATTTTGGGACACCGTGAACCATGCCAAATTAAGACAAAGAACTTAATAAATGTGTGTATTTTGACCACCCCACCCACCAGCCATCACCCTGTCTCTCTCTTTCTTCAGCCTTTCTGATTCCCTGAAACACAGTAATATTGAAATTAGGCCAATTGATAATGCTATGATGGCTTCTAAGTATTCAAGTGAAAGGAAGAGTCTCATGTATCTGACTTTAAATCAAAAGCTAGAATGATTAAACTTAGTGAGGAACACATGTTGAAAAGCCGAGATGGGCCTAAAGCTCTGCCTCTTGCACCAAACAGCCAAGTTGTAAGTGTGAAGGAGATTTAATATTCTTGGAGAATATTAGAATGCTACTCAGCTGGCTGTGATGGCTCACACATGTAATCCCAGCAGTTTGGGAAGCCAAGGTGGAAGGACTGCTTGAGCCCAGAAGTTCCAGACCAGCCTGGCGAACATAGTGAGACCCCCATCTCTACAAAAATGTTTTTTAAAAGATTAGCAAGGCATGGCGCAGTGCATCTGTAGTTCTAGCTACTTGGGAGGCTGAGGTGAGAGGATTGCTTTAGCCCAGGAGGTTGAGGCTGCAGTGAGCCATGATTGTGCCACCGCCTCCAGGCAACAGAGTGAGACCCTGTATCAAAAAAAAAAAAAAAAAAAACGTGCTACTCCAGTGAACACAAGAATGATAAAAAAGCAAAACGGCCTTATTACTGTTATGGAGAAAGTTTTCATGGTCTTATAGAAGATCAAACCAGCCACATTCCCTTACACCAAATCCTAATCCAGAGCAAGATCCTAACTCTCTTCAATTCTATGAAGAGTAAGAGAGGTGAGGAAGCTGCAGGAGAAAAGTCAGAAGCTATTACAGCAGAGATTAGTTCATGAGATTTAAGGAAAGTGGCCATTGCCAGAACATAAACATGGAAAGGGAGGCAGCAAGTGCTGAGGTAGAAAATGCAGCAAGTTGTCCAGAAGATCCAGCTAAGATAATTGAAGAAAGTGGGTACACTAAAACAATAAAGATTTATAATGTAGATGAAATCACTACATCATCGTAGTGAATCATTGGGAAAAGGTGCCACCTAGTATTTTATAGCTAGAGAGAAGAAATTAATGCCTGGCTTCACAGTTCAAAGGACAGGCTGCTCTACTGTTAGGGGCTAATGCAGCTGATGACTTTAAGTTAAAGTCAGTTTTCATTTACCATTCTGAAGATCCTAGGGCCCTTAAGAATTTCATGAAAATCTACTCTGCCTGTGTTCCATAAATGAAACAACAAGGCCTGGATGATTGCACATCTGTTTAGAGCATGGTTAACTGAATATTTTAAGCCCACTGTTGAGGCCTACTGCTCAGGAAATAAAAAAAAAAGATTCCTTTCAAAATATTGCTGCTCATTGACAATGCACTTAGTCACCCAAGAGCTCTGATGGAGATGTGCAAGGAGATTAATGTTGTTTTTATGCCTGCTAACCAACACCCATTCTGCAACCTATGGATGAAGGAGTAATCATACTTTCAGGTCTTATATTTCAGAAATACATTTCCCAAGGCTATGGCTGCCATCGCTAGTGATTCCTCTGATGGATTAGGAAAAGGAAATTGAAAACCTTTTGAAAAGGATTCACCATTCTAGATGCCATTAAGAATATTCACGATTCATGGGAGGAGGTCAAAATAGCAAACCTAACAGGAGTTTGGAAGAAGTTGATTCCGACCCTCGTGGGTGACTTTGAGGGGTTCAAGACTTTACTAGTGGAGGTAACTTTAGATGTGGTGGATAGCAAGAGAAGTAGAATTAAATAAAGCCTGAAGATGTGACTGAATTGCTGCAATCTCACGATAAATCTTCAGTGGATGAAAAGTTGCTTTTTATAGCTGAGCGTAAAAGTGGTTTCTTGAGATAGAATCCACTGCTGGTCAAAATGCTGTGAATTCTGTTGAATAAAAACAAAGCTTTAAAAACATTATATAAACTAAGGTGATTAAACAGTGTCAGGAATTGACTCCCATTTTGAAAGAAGCTCTACTATGGGCAAAATACTATCAAACAGTTTTGTATACTTTAGAGAAATATTTCATGATAAAGAGCATCTGTCAGTGTGGCAAGCCTCATTCTTGTCTTTATTTAAGAAATTGTCACAACCACACTAGCCTTCAACAACCATCACCTTAATCATTCAACAGCCATCAATATCGAGTCAAGACTCTCCATCAGCAAAAAGATTTTGACTCAAGAAGACTCAGATGATTGTTAACATTTTTAAGCAATAACGGTTTTATGTTGTTGTTTAAGGTAAGCGCATTGGTTTTGTTTTAGACAAATGATATTGCACACTTAATAGACTACAATATAGGGTAAACATAAATTTTATATGCAGTAGAAAAACAAAAAGTTCATGTTACTTGCTTAAATGCAATATTTGTTTTATTGCAGTGGTCTAGAACGGAACTTTCAGTATCTCTGAGGTATGTCTGGACCATCGGGGTAGTTCTTGGACTATGTTCTATCTCCTATGTAACATGTATACTTTATCTGGGATAGAACGTATTTTGCAAGTCATTTCATTCTAATGGGTCTTGACATCCTCTTTAATAATAATGTCAATAACAGCACAGCAGAAACATATATGAATGTGGGACTATGTGAAGTGTTTTGCAAGCCTTTCTTTTATAATTGCCATACTTTTTATAAGAGTATAGAAATTGGGGCTCAGAAAAGTTGAAAAAATTTCTCCAGGTCACAGAATTGCTCAGGATGGGGCCCCATTTTGATCCAATCCTCATGACTTTAGAATCATACTTTAAAAATATTTTCATTTTTAATACTCTTCTCAATCACATAGGATTTTTTATAATTAGGAAATAATGAAATACATAAATAAGAAATTTTACTAGTAATTCCACCACCTCATTTTTTAAATATTAAGTGCTAATTTTACTTTTTTTCTATCATAATTTGCATATGAAAATGATGCCTTGCTATTTTTTAGGATAAATTATGAGAAGTAGAATTACTGGGTCACACAGCAGCAAGGTTTTTAAAGGTTTTAATAAACAGGTAGTGTGTTCTTATTTTCTATTTTATTCCTATAAAAGATGAATTTTAGTTTATTTTATAGGTATATGCCTATTAAAAGCTTGTCTTAACTTTAAGAAATCTTTGACGCAAAGCCAGTAATTCCTAATCCTAAAAAACATGGCATTATTTTTTACAAGAATTACCTTGAAATGCCCTACCTTAAGACCTGAAGTGCAATTTATAATTAATGTTATATATGGCTGCAATTAAAAAATATATATAAAATGTCCTGATATTAATGTAAATAATACATTAAAGAAAGTAATATGTAATAAAATAATATGTATTTCAATGTGGAAATGTGGGGATACTATGGCACTAAAAGAGATAATGAAATCATCAGGTACTATTTGCACCTATACCACAAATCAACATGAATGCAAGAGCTAAAGTGTCCTCTGACATGTATATGTTGTGACAACTCACAGTGATCAGTGACATGAACTTTCCAGATGGTAAGAAACTGCTGGTAAACTTCTAAACAAAGCATAGTACAATATTTTCTTGATTTGCATGATAGTGGTATTCCTTAAATAATTCATTATATATTTAAAAGCAGTTTTAAATATATATATTTAAAAACATAAAAACTTTGCATTTATACCAAACTAAGATTATGTTTTAGGCTCAGAAAATTCTAAAAAGGCTTTTAACTGATATCTGCAAAACTTTCATTTTTATTAATTTTCTTTTTAATTTTATTAAGAAACAGATTCTTGCTCTGTCACCCAGGCTGGAGTACAGTGGCATGATCAGAGCTCACTGTAGCCTCATACTCTTGGGCACAAGCAATCCTCCTGAATCAGCCGCCCAAGTAACTGGGACTACAAACACATGTCATCACACCTGGCTAATTAAAAAACAAAAAAATTTAGAGACAGGATCTTGCTGTGTTGCCCAGGTTGGTCTCAAACTCCTGGGCTCAAGTGATTCTCCAACTTCGGCCTCCCAAAGTACTAGGATGACAGGCATGAGCCACTGTGCTCAGACACTACTTTAAAAAATTCCCAGGGGAACAGATACAATTCTTGGTCACATGAGACTGCCTGGAAAATGTCGGGGCTTGTAGTAAACTTTTCCCCATCACCCCACCTACTTAATGTCAGTAGCACCTGCTATAGAGTTCCCCAATGTTCCCAAGAGGGTAGTATCACTGACTTTGAAAAGCACTGCTATGGACCGAATAGTCTAAGATTTGAAAAGAGGACTAAGAATCCTAAATTGTCAGATTAATTCTTTGATAGTGAATCCTTATGCCTCTGTTATTTCCACTTTTAAGAGACTGAACTTGAGGCTCAAAGTCCTCACATTTTCAGTAGGCTTTGCATTTGTTATGTCAAATAAATTTTTCCTCCATCCTTCCTTTCTTCCTTTCCTGTGTTTTTTTAATTTGCCAGAGCCTAGAAGTAACAATGATGTGGCATAAGATAAAAATTACTTAATGTAGTACTTTTGGTTTAAGGGAATTATTAGCAAGGATAAGGCAATTAAGTATCAATGGCAATATCATCATGCCCCACTAAAAAACTGAGTCACATATGATTTCTAATTCCAGTTTTATTCTTGAAGGACAATTCCATTTTTTATTTTTCATTCAACTATTTTAAGTTGTCTCCTGATATACATTTATATTCTTTTTAATTTCAAAAGCTATCATAAATTAAATTTCTGTTTGATATTCACAACACAGATACCACAAAATCCAATATTTTGCTGCAAACAGAATGCACAAAAATGTCAGGCTAGAGAGTCCTAAAAAATGTGTGCTTTTATCAGTTTTAATAACCTATAAATATACTTTTTGTTTACTCAGCATTGGAGAATGTGTACTTACTTGCTCTTTGGTTTCAGTGATGGATTTACACTCAACCATCTATCTACTCACATGGTCTCTAAAGTTCCTGGTACTGTGTAGTAAGGTGTAATCTTCCAAAACAACATGACTTTTTCCCTATGTAGGAAATAGCTAGCACAAGTGGATATCAAAATATAACCTTAAATTCATGATCGCAAAGTGGTGAACAAATTAGAAAATCAATACAGAGAAATGTGATTACAAAAATTATCACTTCTGAAAACTTACCATCTTACCTTTATTAGTCCAGAACAGATTCTGGGAATGGTTATAATAACATTTATAAACAATTAGCTATTGAAATAATAGATGTTCCATTATATTTTTATAAACATAGAAATTTTATAAACATAAAAATGAAGGAAACACAAATATATACATATTAAATTAAAATGTTTTACAGATAGATATCACCAGTAAATATCTACAATGGACTTTTACCATTCTAATTTAAAAACTTGAATTCATTGTGCACATAATATCATATTTAGTAACATGGTTAAAATAATTTTGCTGGAATTTTGTACTTGCTGTACATGAAAGAATATTAGACCTGAATTCTGTTGGTACATGTAAGCAAAATAATTGCCTTACTAACTTGTATTCTTTCAGTACTAGCTTACCAGTGTGGCTGGATTTTAAATATGAATGAATTCTAATTTGAGTTCTTGAAAGATAAGTTTTTAATGACAGAAGTTATAAACTTCTAAATTTTCCATGGTTTTTGAACTGTTCTAGTTATTTTCTTAAGTATTTAATATATCTGTATCAACAAGGAATATGATTAGTAGGATAAAAATACTTCTAAATAGGTCCTAAAATAGCTTGTTTATTTAGCAAATATATATTAAGCAGTCATCATATGGCAGATATTTTACTCAGTAAAGAAGCTACAAAACAAGTGAGGAAGAATAACTTTTACTGAGAATTTTTACTAAGTGCCAGATTTACTTGTATGTACTTAGCACTTTATAGTATCATATTCTTAATTCTGACAATATCACCACTGAGCAGGTGTTTGTATACTGCAGATGAATATGAATAAGACATAATGGCTTTCCTCAATCAACTCACATTCTGTTAAAGATAAGTGAAATTAGCATGGTAAATGAAATTATAAGTCTGTAATCAGATTGCTGTGAGAGCCAGGGGAGCATTGCTAACTGCCTGAGGAATCCAGGAGGGCTTCCTAGAGGAGGAACTGTTAAGGCAGACCTTTTGATTAATGAAGATATTGACAGAAAAGCTAGAGGAGGGTATTCCATACAAATGAGGTGTTTCCAAATGAGAGAGGCTCTTGACTATCAAAAACAGCAGTTTCTTATGGAGGAAACTTGAGATTGTTGTGAAGAAATCAAAGAAGAGATGACTGGGCATAGAGGTGCAGGGGTCTTCTATGTCCTTATGTCCTGTGAAGTTACGTAGACTGTAAGTACATGCTAGAGAGGAGTGGTAAAGAAGACTATGCCCAATTTGTAGGAAGTTTCAGAAGCAAACAGACAATGGGGTGTAGATGAGACTATGGGAAAAGTGAGATCCCGATACTGTGGGAATCACTTTCCCATTCACCTCTCATTTCAGGTTTTCTATTTAAATGCAATGATATTTAAATCTGAGCATATGCCAAAAAGCAATAATGAATATTAACTGCTACAAAATAATCTTATGGTTACAGGGTATTTCTGAACTAAACATGAGTGATTTGGGAATGTCTATTCTTCCATGCCACATTAGCTCAGCTAATTAAGAATTCAAGTTTAACGAACTATAATTTTAGCTTATGTAAGTACATACCAAGATTTCTATTCTTCCTATCTTAAAGACTGCTTTTTAGTGGTGCCTCCTTAAACAGACATTATTGTTTTCATCAAACAATGCATTTTTTAAAAAAAACTTTAGAATAAGAGTACTTCTGTTTAAATTTCTTCCTTAGTGCACATATTTATGTAATGATATATCAATATATATCTGAGTGGTGAAGTATAAATGTCATTGTATTGGTCCCTCAGTAGTACTGTGAGACATGTAGATGGCTTCCCTCGTCATGGATGGAGAATCTGAAGCTGAGAAACTTTATTTCTTCTGAGTGACCTCTGGTTTTTTTCAAGAAGTTGGAAATGAGCCACAATTTCTGATGTTTTTCTTTCCATTACTCATTCTACTTTACTGTTTGGTTTTCTGGTTTCATTAAGCATTCTCCCACATTTATATGGAAAATTTGATGTTTTAAATTTTTGAGATACATCTTTGGTTTAGGCTGTTGTTAATTTCAAGGAAATAATCAGCAGGATACAAGTAGGTGGTTTAAATTACGACAGAAATATTTAACCTACGATGTTGATACACTTTTGGTGCCAAAGACAGGGAAACATATGGTTTACTGGGATCTCCATGAAGACAACATCTTTGTTAATGTTATTTTTAAACCAATTATTTTTAGGCTTAGTGGATAAACGAAGACCTGACATATTTGGTTTATGCCACGTGGATTCATTTTTATAATTTATTTCTCATAATTTGTTCATTCCTTGCCCTGTCCTTTCTCCTCAATCTGTCCACTTTAAAACCCATTAGTTACTGTGAAACAACAATATATGTGTATTAGAGAAACTGAACTAGAGTCACAAATTCATTATGGAGTTAGATAATATAATAGCTGGGGAAATTGGGCTATGCTTCCTAAAGGAAGCGGTGTGTCATGTGTGACATGTCTCGTGTGGTCCATATGGTGAGACTTGTGGCCTCGAGGAACACATACTTGTTACCTCAGTTATTTAGCACTTTGGGGCATTAGTGTTTCTACATAACTGGGATTTCTAAAGAGCTGGAGATTACTGATTTAAATTTATTTTACTTTTTTTTACTTGTATTTTTAGTTAAAATCTTTCCAAAATATAATCAATGTATCTTCATTTCATGACAAAAGATCAACTTTCCTGAAATGGATAAATCCTTATACATTTTTCAAATTTCCACCCTCAGGAAGAACCCCAATCTTTGCTGTGTTATCAGTGTCGTCTTCCTTTGTCAATAATGTATTTTTAAACCTGGGAGAGTGTCAACAGTCCACACACTGACTCTTAGATGACTGCAGGACAGGCTGTACTTGTTCCTATTTACACCCTGTTAAGGAGATACAGTGAGGAAAGAGGACACCCTCTCATTGCTTTAGGAGTTTTCCAAAGCTATTTTCTATGAGCCCTTACCTATAGCTTCATCAGGAGAAAAATGATAGGAATATGGACCAAAACCCAAGTTACATTTATTTTTAAGTTCCTTTTAATGTTTTGCCTTTAATACACCATCAAAATAGCATTTTACATGATACAGTTTAATTGAAAGTCCTACAATAAGATCAAACCACTTCTCCAGTTACATTCCAGGTGCTTATTGTAGATTTTCTTGGTTTTATTACTTAAGAAAACAGAGTAGTACACTCTGGCACTCAGGAAACTCCCAGAACATGGCAGGATCAATCACGTTTTTCATCATGTTTCTGGTTAGTCTCTTGTTCCCAACTCCTCTATGAAAATGTAAGTGACATTTAATAAAACTCATGGTTCTAACTTCTGGAAAAAGGACAGAGAGCCAAAGTACATAAAAAGATTATAGCTGTAACTATAAACTTAATTAATAAAATACTATAGTTCAATGTGAATGAAAAGTTTCTAGAGGAAAAAATTCTTGGCCAGGCCCGGTGGCTCACACCTGTAATCCCAGCACTTTGGGAGGCCAAGGAGGGCGGACCACGAGGTCAAGAGATTGAGACCATCCTGGCCAACATGGTGAAACCCCGTCTCTACTAAAATACAAAAATTAGCTGGGCGTGGTGGTGGGCGCCTCTAATCCCAGCTACTCGGGAAGCTGAGGCAGGAGAATTGCTTGAACCTGGGAGTGAGAGGTTGCAGTGAGCCGAGATCACACCACTGGCCTCCAGCCTGGTGACAGAGCGAGACTCCGTCTCAAACAAACAAACAAACAAACAAAAATCTTATTTCCATCTAAAAACCCAGCAACTAAAGCAAAGCCTTTTACTCTACCAATGTCTTTCTTGTTGGTTATTTCTTTATCTTTGCTACATATGTAGCATGGAAGAGATTGTTTTCAGAAGACATCTAAGAAGGCAGAGGAAAAAGGTAGCCTTGATTTAGGACTTTAAATAACAAATACAGTAGAGAATTGAAAGTAGTGAGATGTCTTTTTTTTTTTTTTTTTTTTTTTTTTTGAGATGGAGTCTTCCTCTGTCGCCATTTTGGAGGGCAGTGGCATGATCTCGGCTCACTACAACCTCTGCCTCCCAGGTTCAAGCGATTCTCCTGCCTCAGCCTCCCAAGTAGCTGGGACTACAGGTGCGTGTCACCGCACCCAGCTAATTTTTGTATTTTTAGTAGAGACAGGGTTTCACCATGTTGGCCAGGATGGTCTCGATCTCTTGACCTTGTGATCTGCCCACCTCGGGCTCCCAGAGTGCTGGGATTACAGGCATAAGCCACCACACCGGGCCTAAGATGTCTTAAATCCATATGTAGGCATGTACACAAAGTTGCTATACTTGAGAATTGATAGTATACAACTTTTCAAAAGAGGATCCTTTATTTTCAAATTATTCAAATTATAAAATTATTTATTACACGACATATTAGACTCATTAAAAAAGTTATAGCTACAGGGAACTTTACAGGCCACTTAGCTCAACAAATTTATTTTATAAAACAAATGGGCCTGGAAAAGTTAATTCTCCTTTCAGCATAGATTTTCCTTCCTTTCTTGTTTCCTTCCTTCCTTCCTTTTTTCAAAGCATTTTACATATGCCACTGGAAACAGAATTTCCCTTTAAAAAGGAGAAAAAAGACCAACACAGCACAAAATATTTAGCTCCCTTTGGATTTCAGGGTAATGTTCTGAAAAATGAAAATCAGAATGCTTCATAAATTTCAACTGTTAATGTCATCATACATTCATAGCATGCAAGAATTTGAATACTACGTTGGTTGCAGAACTCAGAAAGTCACATTAGTTTAATTTAATTGCATTTTTATATCATTAATTATTGCCTATCAAGCAAATTTGAGAAGTCCAATGAATCTGTCAGGATTTTTTGAGTCTCTGTATGTGTGAGGAAAATTTCTTTCTAGGGAACTGTCCAATTAACAATGGGTTTCTTTAAATCTTTTTACAGAATCCTGCATTTGAGCTAGTTTTTTTAAAATACAAGATGCTTTCTATAGGTCTTTACATTAAATTAATTTGTCAACTATCATTTATTTGATAATTTATATTCTAGCTACAAAATTTGTTGAAACTATTTCAAAAACCAGATCCAGGTTTCAATTCCAAGTTCTTCACTATTCAGTTATCAAAGTATCATTTTGACTACATTTGTAAAATAAGTCAGGACATGTATGCAGAGCACATCATACATAATCGTACTAATATTTGTGTTATTGTATATTTTAAATTTGTATTAACATATTTTCTCATTTATTTTTTTCAAAAACTCAGGTATACATTATCACTATTATTATTTATGACTGAAATTTACACAAGTAAGAAATGTGTTTCCTCCTTGTTGCTCCTGTTTTCTTTCTGCATAAATGATACTTGGGGGATTGAGATATATTTGAGAGTGGCACAGCTGTCCTAGCTCTTTCCACCAGGGTGTCTTTATCCAGGCAGTTTCTCAGTTCAATTTCACTCCTATGTTTATTTGTAGACCCATCTCAAAGTGCACCTGCTTTAAGAACAACACCCTAGATCAAATATTAGTCCACAAAATTAAGTCCCTTTTCTAGTTCTCTATGTAGCAACAACTATCAGCACTACATATTTTAGTAATTAATTATATTCCCCGCTAACATTGTAATGGCCTCCAGATGTCTTTTGCACTCAACAATTGTTTGACTCGACAATTTTATATCACTTTGTAGGAATAAAACAGCATTGCCTTTTTATCACAGTGAGCCCTAAATATGTGTATTTACATACTGGGATGAGGGTAGGTACGTAATAAATATCCATATGTAACTTCTTGCATAGCATCACAAAAAGTTTACTTTTAGGGAGGGGAAGAGGCTTTGAGTGAGAAGCCCACCACACGATAGGAATGCTGGTGCCTGAGAATGGTAATAGATGGCCCAATAGAGAGGTACTCACTGGGATTAATGCCGTAGTTTAAAATATTGTCCAACAGCATATTAAACACAGTTTTAGCACCAAATAGGGAAAATCACAAGTACAATATGGTCAGAACCAAGGGTGTAGGCAGTGGAGCAGATAAAGAATGTCCCAGCATTTAGTTCTTTGGCTACTGTTGCCTTTCACTGTTCTGAGAAAAAGAAGGCAGCTATTAGTTTTGACAAAGCAATTATACCAAGACGCAGCTGCAGGGAGCTGACCTGATATTTGCCCCCGATAGTTGTCATAGCAGCAGGCTGAATAGAGCAGCTTGATACAAGTGCTACTGCAGACACTGGAGGAAGTTCTGCCCTAAATGCAACACGTTTGAACATTAATATACAAGTGTGTGTATGATTTCTTAGTAGTGGCCATCTTTCTCCTTTATTGGATTCTTATCTAATTTTTAAGTACTCATTTCTTAGGAAATCCCTGCTTAAAGGTAACAATAATGATGTGCCCCTTAAGTACTAGTGGCACCATCCACCAGAGTAGATACTATGTATCTAGGGTAATGCTGCAGGGGGAGAAGATATTTTAAACAGTATAGCTGACAAAAGAAAGGTTTAGATGCTGTAAACTGGTTGTTGCTTTTTAAAAAACTATATGTACTTTGTCTATACTTAGTAAATAATTTTTGTTCTTATTTACTTTTTGCTTATATGCATATACCTCTATACATCTTATACACAAAAGATAACGATTTGAAGTGATGTATAAAAAGATGTAAACATATACAATACATTATGTACACATAAGGAAGACGGTATTTGTCAATATGGTAAATAATACTTTGGGTACATTGTTGAGGTAATTATTTGATGTTTTTAAATATTACCTCTATTTTAGTAGCCTAAACTTAGCATAAATGTGGAAGTGCTTTGTCAAAACTGAAGTTTTAATGACAACATTAAGATATATATCATTATGAAATAATCTTTTATAATGAGTTACAATTCTTAATAATACATAATATCTAAACACTCAGATAAACTGTTAATATGTATAAAATAGCAAAAAAAATTCTATTTCAATGATGACTAAGGTGTGTGATAATCTATGATAATTCTGCTTAAAACACAAAAAGGATAAAAGTTTTAATAATATGTATGATCAACAGAGAATCTATGTATTCAAAGTAATGACTTTATAGAATTTCTAAATCAGTTTCTAAATCATGACCTTATGACATTATGAAATAGACATCAAGAAAGGAAGACAAAAAATTGGTATATCCAAATCCATGAGGGTATTCTTTGTTTTATTCTTTCTTTCTCAATCAATATATACTTCCACCTATAGGAGAAATTTTAAAATTGTATTTTGTCATTCAGTTGTTTGAATGTATGAAAATTGTGCAGCTGACAGGTAAAATATATATACAGTATGAATAGTATGGCTTTTATGCCTAAAGCTTGTGGAAAATGAATATGTTGACTCTATAGTTTTTAAACAGAATTTCAATAATTACAAAAGGATGTATATATGATAAATTGCACTGGATACATAATAAATTAAATTCGATATTTAGAATCAAAAGTACATTTGGTTTATGTTATGAATCAAATCAGAAATTAGGAAAATTTTCTAAAAGATTTGGAAGCACAGTTTTGATGCAGGAATGTGTAAACATTAAAAAATTAGCTTGTTAATATATAAACTAAACTTTAAGAATGTATTTCAAAACATAAACTATATTAGTTTCAGTAGCACAAAATTGAGGGTATATTCAATCTAATCTAAATCCATATGTAATATGAAGAGATGCTCTTGTATATTTTTCCCCCAGGAAAAAATTAAAGACAATTTGTCTGCTCTTTCAGGCCATTGAGATGCAACTGACTAAAGGTCTCTGTAATACAGCCTGCAGACTGCAAGACTAAGTGCTAGAAATGAAAGCAGCTATGAAGTACACATTTAGAAATGGGAAATCTGGTTAACATTTTTCCTAAAAAATAACTTTATGTAGATAATAATCAAATTATTTCATTGATGAAGTTATCAGTGAAACACCTGAACAAAGGCTTCACTTTATTTTTAAGTCTAGAAGTAAACCAGGAGAAAACAATCTGGTATCAGTGATGGCTGAAAGCAACTGAAGGAGGGCAATGTTAAGAACTGGCAGATTTAACACATATGAATCTCTTGAAACTGTTACAAAATTTAGTCAAAAATGGTGTAAGCAGAAGGGAATTTATTATCTTGGGTGACTCAAAATTGTAACAGTAGGGCTAAGTTTACATATGGTTGATTGAGTGTCTCATAATTATGGGTCTTCTCTCAGAGATCTCTTGGTCCTGCTCCATTTTTGTTATTTCTATTCTCAGACAGGTTATCCTCTCATAGTAGCAACATAGCTGCAGCAGCTCCAGCCTTCCATCTTCCCCATATGATTGGGTTACATATTTATCCCTGAAGCAATTGCTGAGGCCAGAGAAATGGAAAGTGTATAGGCCACATATTTAGTTTTGGAGCCATTGGTGGAGTAAATTCTGTAAAACACATGAAACAAGAGTAGGGTAGGAGGATCAGATACAGTTACTAAAAGGGGAAGGGGGATGAATGCTGGAAAGCCGATGAAAAACAGTGTTCACTACAGTGGACATTACTGGCTTTCTAGGGCTGCCAACACAAAGTACCACAAACTCAGTGATTTAAAATAGCAGAATTTTATTCTCTCACAATTCTGGAGGTTAAAAGTCCAAAATCAAAGTATTAGAAGGGCCCTGCTCCCTCAAAAACCTCTAGGGGAGGATCCTTCTTTGCTGCTTCTAGTAGCCCAGACATTCCTTGGTTTTTGGCAGCAAAATTCCAATCCCTGTTTCTGTCTGTGTCTCTTCTCCTCTTCCTAAAAGAATACAAGTTATTTTGAAGTAGGGTCCACCCTAATTCAGTATTGCCTCATCTTAACTAGATTTACTTGCAAAGTCCCTTTTTTCAATTCAGATCACATTGATAGGTATCAGGGATTAGGACTTCAACATACTTTTTGTGGGGACACAATTCAACCCATAGCAATATATTCTTTGCACCCTCCACAATTCATGTCCTTCTAACTTGAAAAATCTATCCACCTATCCCAACATCCCCAGAAATCTTAATTCATCCAGCATCAACTCTAAGTCCAATCTCCTCTAAAAATATTCAACTCAAGAAGTCCCAAATATTGTCTTTAAATCATCTCAATCCAGTGTGAGTAAGACTCTGGATATGGTCCATCCTGGGGCAAAATTTCACTCCATCTATAGACCTGTGAAACCTAGAAAACATGTTACCTGCTTCTAAAAGACAATGGTGGGACAGACATAGGATGGACATTTCCATCCCAAAGGGAAAAAATGGATCAGAGTTCCCAAGCAAGTTTAAAAGTCAGCAGGGTCAATTCCATTAGTTTACTAGGACTGAGAATAATCATCTGTAGCCCCATGCTCTGTCTTCCTGTCCCACCTGGCCGACTGCACCTTCCTCTTGGCCAGCCTGGGCAGTGGCCGCGACCTCTTCGCCAATGATGTCCAGCTGGCTGGCCTCAACCTCTGGGCTCATTGCTTTGCCCTTGGAATCATTCTTGTTTCATTCAATCCCATCTCTGTCCCTTTTCAGTCTGGGCTGACAGTTTTTCTGCTGGTATAAAATTTTCAAAAACTTTGTCAGTCTCCTGTGCATGTCAAGGTAATCCACACTATTAGACATGAGTATTCTTTACACATTCTTCCTGAATAATCTCATCTCTCTTCCTGGAGTCTACTAAAATGGTTGATTGGACCCATAAATCACATACCTAATCTCTTTAGTGTATAGTTGTCCAGCCACACCTGTTTTCAGAGCATGCTATCTGAAACATTTTCCAAATCATCAAGTGCTGGTTCTTCATGTAGGCAAATTCAATCCATAACATAAGCTAACTCCAGTTTTTACATTGCACTTTTTGAAGAATGCATGTATGGCTTTATGCTCATTAGCTATACCTAATAAGAATTTACCAGCAGAAATATTGAAGGCACATAATTTAAAGTGTATTTACAGATGCAAAATATATAACTACCACCAACTCTCTTTAAGTGAGGGAAAACTACTTACACATTATTTTAGAGTTTTATTTATTTAAAGATTTGGGGTACAACCAATATATTCATTTTTTTTGTATTTTTAAGTTGCACAAATTTTAACATCAGGAGACTGTAATAGACCTCTCTCTCCTTCTGTCTCGTCTCTCTCTCATCTTCCCTCTCTCCTTCCCTCTCTCTATGTCCCTCATACATACTATATAAAAACTCTTATACAATATGAAATTTTGTATCAAAATATGAAGAAATTACAGTAATCTAAAATCAATGATAGATATGCAGAGCATAAGTATTGGAGTTGTCATTTAAAAAGAATAAGGTGAAACATGAACCAATAGGTACATGATTGCTCTTTCATGAATGTAGAAAATATACGTAGTCTATTATGTTGTTATTGTTAAAAAGGTAAAATGTTTCACACATACACACACAGCCCCCCATCTATTTTTAAATGCTCTTAATCATTTTTCCTAAATGTTTTGCTTAGTTGTAATCATAGTTATTCAGTTTAAGATGCAAATTCAATATAGATTTAAAAGGGCATTGTCTAGAGACAAAGCTGTTACCCAGTGATTCACATATGCATACCCTGTACACATCCTCTAATTGGAGCCCACTGTAATTACACTGCAAATAAGCACTTCTTAATGATGATGAAGAAGCCAGTTACTAAGGAGCTGCTTCTTGAAAAGTACTGTCATTCATAGCTGTAAAGGGCTAAACAAGCCTTAAATTATATCTTCCGTTCTAAAGTCAAACTAAAAATAATCTATACATGTCTTTTGTTTATGTGCCCCATTGTTTTCCTCTAAATATGAAAGCTCTTAAAATATTCAGCAGTGACTTATGCATTATGGAAGTGACCACTGAAGGCAGCGTTTCTGAAAAGTTATATGCAAGTTAGCATCAATGCAAGCCCAACAGCAGCCCAGGTCTAGCCCTGTTCAAGGCTCAGGGGGTAAACACCAGGGCTGCCTGGGTTCAAATTCCTTCCCTCAATTTTTACCTGAGCTCTCCACTCACAAGGAGGAAAGGGCATGCCTCCTTGTTTTTGTGACACATCAGGGTCCCTTGTTCTTAGAAGCTCAGATGTGTAAAAAATGCTGTGGATGCTTTTAGATCAACTTAAGAGTGCCGGGAGCTGTGCTATAGCAATGGCAACAGGGTCCAACCCAAAGATGACACGCTCATTAGGTCTTACAAGTATTTCCAGAAATAATTCAATCTACCCTTGATTTGAGACAAATGATTTACTTCAACAAGTCCTAAAAAACACTGCTCCAGTATTCTGCAAAAATAAAATACATAAAATACATAAAAATAAAAGGTATTTTATTTAATCATTTATTTATTAGTAATCTCTATATATAGATTACTAATAGATACTAATCTATCTATATTATTAACCTATCTATCTATAGGGTAGTAAGTGGCAAAAGTGTTTTATTTGGCCTGAACGTTGTTGCAAAATGTTACATTTGAATGCTCTTGAATTTAGCACTGTCTTCATAACTTCCTATTGTTCAATAGTCAGACCTCTTTAGTTTCGCTTGGTCCCTAGAGGAAGTTGAGTTTGACAGGATTTTTGATTCACCTAGTTTTTGGCAAGTGTCTTATCACCCAAACATATATGCCAAAATTTTTGCATTAAAAATTAAAGCCTTGCTGATTCTTCAAAAAATAATTTGAATGAAAAGTAAGTTTAGTCTTTAGATGTTTTACTTCTTCCAAATGGCACAAATGCACAGACACTGCCTCCTTTACACGTTTCTTTAGTAGACAGAAAATTATGTTAAAAGAATAGGAATAAGAATGCTGTTTAAATTTGATACTTCCCTTTTCTAGATCTTAGCATGGGTGAAGATGTGGTTTTGCCCTTGAGAGGATACTTGCTATATTATAAATAACATATATATCAGTAAGAATATATTAATAACATACGAATAAATATATGAATACACATCAGTGAGTGTATGAATGTAAGTTCAACTCATGCTGAATTATGAACCTCATCTTTAACCAACCACTGAATTAAGGTACTTCCTTTTTAAAATTTCAACATTTTGTGTGATTCCTGTGAGCTGCTTTGAAACCAGCAGCCTTGCTCAGTGCAGAACATGAAAGGGGAACAATTGAGCAGATTTTTCCCCCTCTTGGCATGAATCTATCAGTACTCATTTTGAACTGAGCTGTCTGTCATTCCTGACAAGTCCTGAGGGGAAATAAGCCTTTGGGTCCCAAAATATTAATAGGTAAACACGTTATTCATGTTTGGCCATAGCAAAGATACGTTTAATTTTAAAATGAGGCCAGAGTCCCTAAACTAGAATAAGATGTTTGTACAATGACAACAATAAAATAAAATCATTTAAAATGAAGAATGCCTGGGATTAAGTGTTCTGAAAACCCACAGTTCATAAAATGTGTTTAAAGCAGTTGAGGCAGGAGTGAGAAAACCCAGTAAGGAAAAGACAGCTTCAATTAGCAATCCCCAAAAGGTGTATATTTCAGAACAAGGTTCTTATTTAAAAATTAGCCTTCTGGCTGGATGCAGTGGCTCACACCTATAATCCTGGCACCTTGTGAGGCTGAGGAGGAAGGATTGCAGAAACCTAGGAGTTTGAGGCCAGCCTGGGCAAAATAGCGAGACCTCATCTCTACTAAGCATTAAAATAAAAAAAAAATTAACTAGGTGTAGTAGCACCCACCTGTAGTCCCAGCTACTGGGGAGGCTGAGGAGGGAGGATTAGTAAGCCCAGGAATTCGAGCTTGCAGTGAGCTATGATTACACCACTGCACTCCAACAAGGGCAACAGTGAGACCCTGTTGTAAAAACATTAATTAATTAATTAAAATTAGCCTTCTATAGAGTTTAAGACGATCATGTTGGATTTTGTTTTATATACCCTATCTGTATAGCATTTTACACTACTCAAAAAGCTTTATAGAAATTAATATTACCTAATTTATGTGGATTCCTGAGATCAGACAGAACTGTACCCCTTCATCCATCCAAACACAGCAGGATAAAAGGAGGGGGTAGTACTGGGCTCAAAATTTTACTGAAACTCTGGACAAGCTGCTGAACAGTAGTTCAGCATACTTGCCCACAGTTCACAGATCTACACACACAACTGTGCCCGTCATTTCTTTTGCAAGACCTCACAAAAGGCAAAGGAGGAGGAAAGAAAGTTATAGTTCATTTGCATAATCTAGGCTCCTGGTAATTAAAAATTATTAATTACCTTGCTGATAGTTGTAATAAAATGAAAAAAAAGCTGCTTATCAGCAAATCCAGCCTTCTGCATAGTGCCTGGGTTGAAACAAACAGAACAAATCCCATCAAAGAGAGGTTTTCAAGTAAAGATAATGCTGAATTCATGGAGAAATAGTCTATGTAGTTCCATTGTTTTTCACTTTGATTGCTTTTATTTTAATGACTATTTTAGAATAAAAACACCCTATCCTTTCTAATTGAATGTTTTACTTGAAGCTATACTTTAGGACAAATAGCTAAGTTTAGAAGATTAAAAAACAAGTTTGAATGTTTGCCTATAAACATCTGAAGTTATACCTAAACATAGATACATTTAGTACTAGGCATGTCTAAATAATATTTATATTTAGCAATTATTATACAACGTTTTGTTTACTAGCAAAACAGATATGAAAATAGTACATTTTTAATTTGAATATTGGCACAGATTTTACATTAAAGTAAATAAGCATTGGATATTAAAACTATGTAATCAGACTTCTCTTTTTATTTTTGCCATTTGCTTTCTTAATTGCCTAACAAAATTAATTTATACTTGTGGTTCACTGAGTGGGTAAGAGTTGCTTTGGATACCATTTTCCTTCAACCTATCCTAGCCACCTATAAAAGAGTTCCCAGATGACTTTGACAGAGTACGCCTGATAAAGATTGTTCTCTGATGAGCCGCCGGTCCCTAATGGAGAAAGGCCAGAATTGCAGCCCGAGAGGCTGAAGAGTTACCTGCTTGTCATCTTCAATTCAATTTAATAAATATTAAGTGCTTCCTATACACAGGCCATTATCTGGAATATGCAAGATGAATTTAATCATTTATTTAGAACTCATGAAACATAGAGAGTCATTCTAGAGCTTGGAATAAGATGGGAAACTGAGACTAACTTTCCCCAATCAGAAAATAGAAGCATAGCACTCCAAAAAATTGAAAAATGTTTACTCTATCACTCTTACACTCTCCCTGAAAATAGTTAAACTTGCTCTACTGCATCCTTAACCTTCAGTCACTTAGTGTTGTTAGACCATAGCTTTGGGAGTCACTTAGACACCTCCCCCACTGCTGTGCTACTCTGTACTCGATAATGTTGGAACTCAATCCATGTGACTTTGATTCCTCCTTTGCAATTTGGGAATAAATTTTATCTTGTAGAAGTGTGAAAACTAAATGAAATCATGTATACATTGCATACAACCTAGTGCGTGACTCAGAGTAAGCACCAAAGAGGAATTGACTTTGTTACCTGGTTCCCAGGAGAGAGACCTTACTACTTTTCAAGGAGAGCCCTACTAGTTCCAAATATCATTTATTGAAATTTCTTTATTTCTGTTGTTCTGTAATATTCACCCTTTTGCTATATTCTACGCTATTTCATGACACAAAATAAGTATCTCCTCTTTCATAAGACAGTTCTTCATATATTTAAATAAATTATTAGAAGCCATATATCTCGCCTTCTCCACTCTTATTTAGGATGAGCATTTCATGCCTCTAGCAGAGCAGTCCGTCTCCTTATTTACTGCATCCCATCGCCTCTCGCCTATTCCAGCAATTCTCCCTGCTCTCTCTCCTCCAGGATCACTTTCCCCTTTACACTGGATTCTTCCCATCAGCATGTGTAAATACTATTCTCCTACCACAACCAAAAGAAAGCAAACAAACCGAAAAGCAAAAAAAATAAAATATTATCTACACCTTCCCTCAGTTTCCACATTTCTCTTTCCCTTTACAACAGTAGTCCTTAAAAATGTTGTCTTAAATGACTATTGCCAAATTCTCTCCTTTGATTTCATCCTGAACCAAGTCAGGTTTTTGCTACCACCCCGTCACCAAAGTTATTCCCTTAAAAGTCCACTGATGACTTCCACATTTCTAGAGCCAATGGTCTATTTCTTAGTTCTCGTCTTACTTGCACTATCAGGGGCATTTGTCACGGTTGATTACTTTGTTTTCCTTGAGAATTTGTGCTGCAATTTACTTTTAAAACAACATACGAATTCTTTTCCTGCTTCCTTGCAGTTCCATCTCACTTGCCTATGCTGGTTTCTCCTTGTCCTCTAATTCTAAAATTTAGAGTGCTCCTGGCTTTAGACCTCTTCTCTTTTCTCCTGTAGTCCCACCACTTTCAATACCATCTGTAATGTGATGACTCACAAATTGATATGCCCAGCCAGGACTCCTCCCTGAACTCCAGATCCATATATCCAACCACTTCCTCAGCATGTACTCTTGGATGGATGTTAAATGGAGTAAACATAATGTGTACAAAACAGACCTCACAATATCAACCCCAACCCAGTTAATGTCCTTCATTCTTACAGTTGGCCTGACCAGAATCCTTGGGGTTACCATTGAGTTCCCCCTTCTTTTCACATTACACATCAATCCTTTGGCACTACCTTCAAAATATGTCCAAAAGTCAATCTGCCCACACTGTTCTTACCTTTTGTCCTTTTCCAACTCACCATCATGACTCATCTGAATTATTACAATGACTTCCTAGCCAGTCATCCTCTTCCTCTTGCTCTTATCCCTCATTTAGTCTGTTGTTTATATGTTGCCAGAGTAATCTTGTTAAAAAATTTCAGTTTATGTCATTATTATTTGACTGAAAACTTCCAGTGGCTTTCCATCTTATTAAGAGAGAGCACCAAAGTCTTTACTAGGCTCTAAAAGGCTGCACTTAGACTTTGTGTCCCTTCTCTCACCTCCTCTCCTATAATTTCCTACCACACAGACTTCCTTGTAGTGTTTTGACACAGTGGCTATGATCCTGTCTCAGGGTCTTTGCACTTATTCCTTCTACTTAGAATGCTATCCCCACCCCAGCATTCACGTGGCTTGCTCCTTTGCTTCCTTCTTTACTCAAAAACCACCTTTTCAGTGTGGTCTTTCCTGGCCATCCCATTTAAAATTCCAAAGCATTATCCCTCAAATTTTATATCCTCCTTTCATGCTTTTTATTTCTTTTTGGTGCTATTTACTGTCCTATAAAATGCATATTTTAAATATTTACTTTGTAAATAAATGTTTGTTCATTTCTGCATTAGAAGACAAACCTCTGAGAGAAGGCACTTCGTGCTATGTTTATTCTCTACACTGGGTCATTACCAAGCACACAGTGGGCATTACATAAATATATGTAGAATAAATGAGTGACTATTACCCTTTGTCTTCTCTGCACTAATTAAAAACCTCCTATTCATGTGGGTTCATTTTTAAGTTTTGAGATCTTCCAGGAACCTGCTTTTTTCACACACATAGGTTTAGTTTATTGTGTGTCTCATAGTGTGGCACCCAAGGAGCCTTTGACTTGCTCAGTATGGCAGAGTAGTGAATTCTTCCAACTCTGGAGTGGAAGTTCACAGGTTTAGATTTCAGTTTCTGTGCTTATAGTTGTGTGACCCTGGATATGTCTAAAATATGCAAACAGAAAGACTGCATTTTTTCTACCATAATGGCAACATAAGTCGTTAAACCTTTTAAAATGGGTTAAAAGTGTTGAGAAACAACACATACTAAACTCACCTCATTTTCTTTGTGATGGAACTATTAAAAAGGTGGACCATTGTGGTTTTCTAGAAGTAGAACAAATCATTTGACAAAATAAAGTAGTGTGTACTGAAATATAGTATCGTTAGGATGGTTCACATCTAATGGAATGACGACATCCAAACACTGATGATTGGATTAATCTAACTAGAAAAAAGGTTTTGCATTGCATGTCATGGGCCTAAGCCCTATCCCCTTTGTTACTCAATATTTAAATTAATGAGACAGATAATGTATTGGTAGGGTACTGAACAATTGTGTGATAAGAAGAAACAGGGATATGAAGAGGGAAGGGGAAGACTAAACAACATGCAATGTTAATGGAAAGATAATTTGAACAATTTCATGCAATGTTGATGGAAAGATAATTTGAACAATTTCATTACAGGCTGGTATTTCACAAGATGAATTTAATAGGCCTAAAAATATAGCCTAACACTTAAGTATACAAGTTTACCTATACATACAAAGTGAAGAATAAATGTCCTAACTTTGGCACCCGTAAAAAATAGAGATATAATGAGATAAAACGTTTATTAAATACTTACTGAACACATATACTGATCAAGACACTGTAGTTTTGGTGAATAGTAGAGAAAGAATATCTGCTTCCAGTGAGCTTTCATGTTAGCAGGGAAAACAGGTAACACTTTTGCAATTAATTATAATTGATTTTAGTCTAACAAAAGAGTTATGGTTGCATACAATGGGGACCTAATGCATAGATGAATTAGGCAAAATATTTATAATGTCATCTTAGGTCACATGAATAAAAGTATATTATACCTAGTAGAAGAGAGTAATATTTATTGAGCATTTGCTCTGTGTCAGAAACTATGCTGATTGTCATATTACCTTAATCCACACAACATCCCTATGAATCAGACATTATTAAACTCTGATTTCACAGATTGAAGAACAAAGGAACAAAAGGCTTATGTTGCCATTATGGTAGAAAAAATGCAGTCTTTCTGTTTGCATATTTTAGATTATCTTTTTCTATCAAAGTTTTCAGATGGAGTTTACCATCTCACATTTTAAAGCCTTTCAAATGTCAAGAAGCTGAAATTAAAAGATACAAATAAAAACTTAATGTACCTATCCTGATTCTAACTATATTATATTAGAAAATTTGTCCTATCTATAATTTCATACATATATTAAGGTTTTAAAGTGTGCATGCCTTTTGATATGGAAAATTGAATCCTTGCATTTTATTTGTACTTCCTTCCAAAATGCTACTATAATGACTATAAGTGAATATATAAAGTTTAGATTTACAAAAAGATTGAGAATGAGGAAGGACTCAGGAAAGGATGAGACATTTCAACTCAATTTTGGAAAATGAAAATCTGCCCCCTAACTGACTATAGGGTGACATCAATTAGAAGCCACTCAGTCTCTGTCGACTCTGGAAAGTCTAAGAACTGAAGACACTACATATTATAGAGAATTGACTTATACAAATATGAAAATAAGAGAATTGACTAAAGTGTATCTAACAAGTTGTTAGACCCAGGTCCCATCCCCAATTCTGTATTGCCAGGAGACATTATTTTCCTACCCAAGTAGGAAATGGAGGGTTCATTATGTAGTGAAATAAAGGCAAAAAGGTCTAAACTCAGGATACCAGAAACAATAATAGTGGAAAAATATGCTAAAAATGGGCAGAATAAATTAAATTATTCAAGCTGAAAGCTATACATCTCTGCTGCAGGCCTTTTTTCAGTTTTTAGCCACAAGTATGGAGACAGTCTGATTATATCCTCCACTGAAAAGACTAGAATTGTTCCCCAGAAACGAAGAAGCCAGAGGGGGGAAATTATAGTCCTGGCACTTAAATATCAGAAGCAAGACATAGTATAGAAGGAAATTTTAAAGCAAAATATAATTTATATCCTCAGAAAGATAAAGCAAAATCATATTTCATCCTTGAAGTAAATAGCAAATGCATGAAAAAGAACAGCAAGCAAAAAAGAACTCCTGGGATACAAAAACATATACTGTGTATGATAGAACTTTTTTAAATAAGTGGAAGATCATTTGTTAAATCACTCAGAGTTTTCTTTTTAAATAGACAAAAAATAGAAAATAAAGTAGAAAGGTAAAAAATATATTGTAGAGGGTCAATTTAGGAGGGTGAGCATCTGGCTAATGAGAGTTAGAGAAAGAGAAAAAGCAGAGGGAAAGAAATTATCCAAACAAAAAGAGAGAGAGAACATTTCTCAGAAATGAAGGATATGCATTACCAGACTGAAAGAGCACATAAAATTACCAGGATAGTAAATGCAAAAGAAAAGACCATGGCAGTCATATTATCATGAAAGTTCTGGAACACATGAAATAAAGGCAAAATCTTAAACATTCCAGAGGGTGGGGTGGGGGGGAGGAGCACATATAAAGAATCGGAAAGCCAAATATGTCAACCAACAAAAACTGTCCCAAACACTAAAAATCATGGGTGCAAAGCCTGTAAAATTCTGAATAAAATTCCTGCTCACCCAAATTATAGCCGAGAAGAGAGAGACTGAAGGGAAAGGAGGTTAAAGAATGATGCTGTGTGGCAGGCCTGGAGAACAGTCTTTCCAGATTGGAATAAGAAGTCTCCAGGAGATAGGTGTACCGGGAAATATTAAGTGATGCAACACCTAATATATTTGACAACATGGAAAATATTCCAAGAGGGTTGTATACTTTTGTTAGAGAATTTGGGAAGAACTAGTAGTAATGGCTCAGAATACTAGCCAAACCACACCAAAACCCCCAAAATGAGTTTTAATACTGAAGGAACAAACATTTGGAGAGGTATACTCATTGCTCACCAGTTGGCTCAATAGTGAACAACACCGTCATCCTGGGTCTCAGCAGGAGAGAGATATTAATAATATATTCAAAATAAATAATTGAAGAGTATCTAATAAATGGGCTATTTACATAGGCGTGGGGTGGGTTAGGGAAATCAAGATGAGATGGTGAAGGACTAGCAAGAGAGAGGAACCCTCACCACTGAGAGCTAGGAGGAGCAATGGGAGGGAACTGAGGCCCTGGGAGAGGGAATGTCTGTCAGGATCCAGGTTCTGCCATGGGGAAACACAGCATCTGCCCAACCATGACATGGCAGGAAAGGATACCGGGAAATAAATAGGCCACGCACTGTTATCTTTCAAACACTAGACTCTTGTCGGTGTGTTTCACTGATTTGAAACCCTAGAGTCCAGAGAGCAAGTAAGCCCAGCTTACTTAAGTTCACAGTGGGTATACCCCCAGGAAACAGTGTTAGAGAGTGCATTTGGGGCCATAAATTAAGAATGTTCATTGTGCCAGAAAAAAATAGTGTTGTAATTTCATGTTGTTAAAAGAAGTTCTAAACTATGTGAATACTACGTGGCACAATTAAACAAAATCCTCAAGAGCATAGTCAGAAATCTTTGGATACAAAGAAAGTTTTATAGCAAATGTAGGATGTATTTCTGTGTAGTGTGGACACACACATATGTACACGCACACATGCACTTAGCCTATGTCTTCACATGACTGCCTTTTTAAAATCATTCTTTTGATGGCTTATCGGTTTACATGTTTTTCTCAGAAAGACCTTCCCTCTTGAACACCCATCCCCAATCATTAGTTTACATCACCCATTTTTTTCATTATTAATGGTTATCACTGCATGAAATAATTTTTTTTTTTATATATTTTATCCTTCCTCTTGCCTATCCTTCCTTCGCAGCCCTGGAAATCCCATGAGGGCAGGGATCATGTTTATTTTTTCTGTTGATATATTCCCAGCACCCAGATGACCGTCTAGCCTAGTAGATAGAAGGCATCCAACAGATTATTAAGTTTTTATTCATAAACAAAATTAGACTGTATAAGACTTGGTCCTGGGTTATAGACATGAGATAATAAAAAGGGGACGGTTGATTATGATTCTCCTGAGTCTCTAACTCAGGAAACTGGATAAATGAAAGCATCATTAATTAAGATCAGGATTTCAGGAAACAGCAAATTATGGCTGGAGAAGTGATTGCATGGGAAGTTAAAGTGCACAGTTTCGGATATAATGCCTAGGAAGTAATCGTGGGATATGTAGGTTGTTATGTCCAGTAGCCACTTGGAAATGTGGACTTAGGAAAAGGTTTTAATTGCAATTTTAGATTTAGAAGTCATTGGTAAAGAAGTGGTAGATAAAGTCATAAACAACAGATGAGATCTTGCAGGGAAATTATGCAGATAAAGTAAAAGACTCCTAGAGAATAAAAATGGAAGGAAAATAGAAGCTTAGATATACTTTTCTACCAAAACTTAACATGAGGTGGAGTAATATATTTCAATATCTTAAGGAAGATAAAACCACTACTTTCCAAATCCAAGTAGTGTTAAATAACATTGATAGGTGCATATGTGCATATTTTTGAGAAGTTACAGTAGAGAACACCTAAAAATTAACAACTTAAATAACAAGTTGTTCTTAATGGAAATAAAATTATAAATTTTATATTTAATGTCTGAAGAAATATGCCAACAGTGATATTTGTCTTCCTATTGTATGCGCTACACCCATAGTCAATATGATAAATCAGAACACTTTATAGGGCTAAACTGAAAGTAATGTAAGCAGTACTATTAAACAAGGGAATATTAACAAAGAGCATAGTATTTTCCTCATGTATACACCATATAACACCCACACATATTCTGGCTTATGCAACTTGTTTTAAATCCATCACTAGATTATTTTTGTCTTTAGATAATTTCATGTTATCTATGCGTGTTCCTCTTAAAATTTAACTTCACATTAATATAAAAGCATTATCACTCAGGCATCACCATATTGATGGCTTATCTAATTACCTTAGTTTGACTATTTCATAATTGATATGCTTGAAATACCAAAACAGATGGGCAATCTTTACACTAAGTTTAAATTAAATTATAATAACCTATAAACTTTAATCTCAACACATAGGAATTAAGATCACAATTTTATGACTCCTTCAAGATATATAATCCAGATGGAATTATGTTTACTATATGATTGAACATAATGCTCATCAAAAGTTGCTACAAAGAAATCCATTATGTAGTGATATTAGGAAGGGATAGTTCTTCATTCTGCTCAGCCAACCATGTTGGCACACCCGTTTCTAATTTCAAAACCATCTATGATTATATCCTAATGTCAGTGTTGAAATCACATCATCAGTCCAAGTTTTTCTACTTGCTCGAAAAGAAATATGAAAAGATGAAAATTTACTGTGATGGCTAGTTTTCTGTAAGACATTAATTGTATTTTTCAAAGTTTTGTTTCTTAGTTGAGCCTAATTTTCTTAAGTCAGTAGTGAGAACACCAATGTTGGGTAACTGACTCCTGTGAAAAATGCATAGTATCTGAGAGGGCACTTTTGAAGTATCAGGCCTGAATTTTCTTGACATGCCCGTAGAACCATTTGTGACAATCAATCTAACCATAATTTTAACATAAATTGTAGGTCCTGTCTTATACTCTGGGAAAGTTGATAACAAATGAAAAGAAAGTCAAGTTGTTTCCTTAATTTGTCTTTTAAAGTGGCATATATTGTTTTTATTTGATTTGAAATAAAATGTTACAGTCAAAACAGCATTAACACCTATGAGTTTATTTTAGCCTTGACCAATAATGTATACATATTATTATATATAGACAAAATAAATATGTAGCCTTATTACCAAAAGAGAATTGTTAAGTACCAGACATGAATTAAATCCCTTTATAAAGCTCCTTTATGTGTCACAAATTTGATTAAATTGCAGATAAAATAATGCAGCTCTTCACCCTGCCCAACATCATGCTCTAGACAGCTATTATGCAGATGCTAGCCTTGATCTTCCAACATCACCACATTAATAGGATTGTGTAGTAGCTAACGGTTAACTCCTATAAAAAAATGTACCTCCATTGTGCTTCTAAAAGTTTAACAACAAAGGTATTTGTTCTGAATTTTTATTACAGCTGTAATATTTTTATAGATAATAGACTGTAACATAAATATTATCCTTAGATTATTGCTTTGGGAGAAAATGCTTATTGTTAAAACACAACTGTGTTGATGATCTTTTTAGATTTTGTTTATCTTCAAGGGAAGATAAACATTGGTAAAGATTATCTTCTTTAATGTTTATTATTATTTCTTTCAAGGTCTTTTTTTTTTTTTTTTTTTTGAAATGGAGTCTCGCTCTGTCGCCCAGGCTGGAGTGCAGTGGAGGCGATCTCAGCTCACTGCAAGCTCCACCTCCCAGGTTCATGCCATTCTCCTGCCTCACCCTCCTGAGCAGCTGGGACTACAGGTGCCAACCACCACGTCTAGCTAATTTTTTGTATTTTTAGTAGAGACGGGGTTTCACCGTGTTAGCCAGGATGGTCTCGATCTCCTGACCTCATGATCCACCTGCCTCGGCCTCCCAAAGTGCTGGGATTACAGGCGTGAGCCACCGTGCCTTGCCTCTTTCAAGGTCTTTTGTAGCAATCTGAAAACTAAGTAACTAATTTATATACAATGAAAGTCTTTATTTTCTCTTAAAATATATTTTACTATTTGCTGTTATTGCATTTTTCATAAAGATAATTATATAACAGAACAGACCCTGCTTTTTGTGTGTGAAAGTGTCTGGGGGATAGATTAGAGAATTAAAAAGAACAGTATATTCTGTTCATTTGGAACACTAAGGGTGTGGAAAAGGAAAATATCATCTTTTTTCTCCTTTACTTTTGATGAAAGCCATATCTAAGCCTGCTTTATCTACATAACACTTTTCAATTTCACACAACAATGTTTTAAAAGTTCTAAAATACTACAAAGAAAAAAATTAATTTGTTATTCAACAGATACATATATTAAAGATTTGCAAATTACATTAAAAATTAAATGACAAATTATCCGAAGATACAACACCCATTAATTATGAGAAACTTCCTATATATTGGTCATTTTACATGGCCTAGTTATGACACTAGTAGGAATTGTTTGGTTTTAAAGTCTTGTATCTGATTCCAAACTCTTTCAGCTCACCGCACAACAGCCAGTAAGTTGAGAGACAAGGATTTGGAACAAGGTCAGTGACCTTATTTAGAGAGCTAGCAAACTAAGAACATGGTGGACTAATGTCTTAACCATCTTAAGTCAGTAAACATTTCAGGTTGGTTTTATGTTAAGGGAAGGGGAAAAAAGAAAGGGTTGGAGTCCAGAGGTGACTCATGACCACAGATATCTGGGTGCCAGCATGGGTCTGGTCTGAGGAGGCCATGAAATGCCTCCATCCTTGGTCGGGTCATGACTCTCCGACAAATACTCAACACTACATTGTTACGTGTGGGTACACTATTTTTATCTTCTGGGTTAGTTTTCATAAGGAACTGTTATTTGCTTTCAACTATACACCAAATTCCTCTCGTAGTTAGCTTGGCCTACATGCAGAAATAAGCAAAAGCAGTTACCCTAAAAGATATCACCACAAAAGGAGTGATGAGTTTAGGAGCAAAATGGAGTTAGTCATGCTAGGCCTCCTTTTCACTGCTACAATTTCCCCACTCTCAAAGGTTCATTCCAAAATCTTGTGGAATTGAGGACAATGGGATGTTGTCTCCCATCTGGGTACTACTGGTTGGATGGGGTTGATGAGGGATGACTGTGGAATAAAACCATTTGACCTGGCTAAGGAAATATTCCCCTTGTAGGCTTGTGGGTTCCCACTATCACTTTGCATGTAGTGTCTAATGAGAAGAAGTTGAGTAAGAAAGAAGCATGGAACTTCTGGGTGCATGCTTCCTGATATACAGCATATAGTTGTACTCTATATACCCTATATACAGCAACAACTATATGATCAGAGTTGTCATGTACTGAACAAGGTGTAGGATGGCAAATTCAGCAGTGGGGGATAGGTTAGTGGAAGTGGCAATAGACTGAGAAATCCTAACTACTTGGGTTGCCAAACATATGAAAATCTCCAAAAGACAAGCAAGACACATAGGGTTTTCATTTTTATTTCATTTATCCTTTTGTGAATGAGTAACTTTAGGTCCTTCAAGAGCTCATATGCCCACTGTTTTCCTGGTTTCTGGAATGGTGGGGTGACCTGACCCAAGTATGATATACCCATGGCTTTAATCCATCAAGTTTAACTGATGAATGGGTATTCAGCAGCACCTCTAACAGTCCCATTCACTTGGCAACAAATTGGTGTTCAGGTCCTTTTTCTTTCCAAGTCTTTAAGAAGACCCCTCCTGGTCAAAAAGGATGTGAGACCACATCTGTGGGATGAGTGATCCTGCTAGAAGAAAAGTCATGAACAGAAGTTAGTACAGTGCCTACAGTTAACATATTTGGCAATTGCTAAATCTCTTAAAATATCAGTTCGTTCTCCAGCTGAAACTTGCAATGACCTATCATATAATGTTTCAAAGAGATTCAATTTGAGCATACTTGAGGGAGCTACTCTAATCTATGGCAGGGCAACTGGCAATGCCTTATTCCAAGTTAAATTAGTTCTTTGAAAATTTTGATGCTTCTTTTTAGACTGTGGTTTATCTTTTCAATTTTTCTGTCAGTTATCGTCTCCAAGCTGACAATTCAAAGGTTTCAGGAAGGAATGAGTTACAGCTTCCCTTGACATTCATGTAACCATCATAGTCTTCTTCAAATCAGGGATAGATGGGTGTTAACTACAGAATCTGTGGCCCCTGCATCAATAAGAAAGTCAGTAAGTTTCTTCCCCACTATCAATTGTACTGGGACTCCTATGGGGATATGATATCAGGTTGGCTAAACATACATATTTAACAGGTTATAGGAGAATCTATGAGTATTTATAAAGGCAGTCCTAACACAGGCATATTTACAAAACATACAGGTAACATATGGTTACCTTCAGGTGAAGACTTAACACTTGCCTGTCATGGCCTTATGTCCTGTTTATGATTTGGTATCTTATTGCCACAAAGAGTTTGTTCTGTTAGTCTAATGGTCATTAAGTCTGCTGAGTTATTTTCTCTAAACCATAAAAGGGAGGAGGGATAACATGACATATCTGACCTCCCATCCCTTAGTTCATGGCTGGGAACTAAGTTTTTAAGGTTTTTTTCTGGGGCTCCCTTGGCCAAGGGAGGTCCATTTAATTAGTGAGGGACATAGGATTCTACTTTTTTCGTTTATATACCCTCTTTTTGGTCAAAATATGCCAGAGACAGCATCAATGACCAAGCTTTTATTTTTTTCCATATCATTGCTGGGGTAGTGTGGCTACCTGCCCTAGGTCCATACTATCCCTCGATGGGACCCCTATGGCAAAGAGAGTTAGACCCAAATGACTTAAAGCTAGTTAATAATTCTAGGCATCTGTGGGAATGGAGTTGGGCAGATACTCATTAACCATTATAACTTTTTCAAGTAACATAAGAGCCAAAAACCAAAAGCCAAAAAGCAAGATTATAAAATCAATTTATCTATAAGTTTTATGTGTTGAACCATCAGCCATTTAGGCATCTGTGAATCCATCTTTGATTTGGAGAGTTTGAACTAGTTTTAGCTCTCGAAACAGACCCTTTAAAATTTCATGTGCCCATCTCTTCTGCAATAGTCCCTGGGCATAGAGGGAGGGTGGTTGATTTTGTATAACTTTAACAGCAGTATGTTTGCAGTGCAAAATGGATTGGCCTAGTGGGATTGAATTGTTTTTAAATTCTGAAGAGAAACAAGACATAAAGTATTAGCAAGGTTTCAAGCAAAAAGGTCATAAGCCTTGTCTAGTTATGGGAATGACTGAAAAAGGAAGCTCACAGGTAGCTAAACATTCAAACTATCTAGCATCAAGGATATAGATAGAGGCACAATTATAAAATGAATCCAAATCTCTTTGAATAGTGGCCTATCCCTGTGTCTCATGAAAGCAGTTTACTTTGATTGTCATCTTTTCCCAGATCTAAAGATGAGGCTTTGGTTAACTTGAGTTTGGTGTCAGATAATGGCAGGAGTGAGTGCCTTCTTTAGATGAGATATGTGTACCCAGGAGTCAAAACCCTGTAACTTAACAGCACAAGGATTGCTTAATAGTACCTGATAAGTATTGATATGGTTTGGTTCTCTGTCCCCACTCAAATTTCATCTTGAATTGTAATCCCCATATGTCAAGGGAAGGACCTGGTGGGAGGTGATTGGATTATGGATGCAGTTTCCCCCATGCTGTTCTCATCATAGTGAAGGAGTTCTTACAAGATCGGATGGTTTAAAAAGTGGAAGTTTCCCCCTGTGCACTCTCTTCTGCTACCATGTAAGACGTGCCTTGCTTTCCATTTGCCTTTCACCATGATTGTAAGTTTCCTGAGGCCTCCCCAGCCATACAGAATTGTGAGTCAATTAACTCTCTTTTGTTTATCACCTGGCTGGAAGTTATAAAAAGATTCTGAAACCTTTAAGTGATTAACTTTATAGCTTTGACAAGTCTCCAGTAATCTGAGACTTAGTTTTAAAATTTTATTTTGAGGATGTTTATCAAAGATGTTAAAGGGCTCAAAATATTTGAACAAAACAGAATAATAGTTATTCATTTAACCAAATGTGATAATCAAAAACTTTAAAAGCAATACAGAAAATTACATACATGTAGAAATTTTAAGCCTTTTAAATTTCAGTTTGCCCAAGTAATTAAAAACCTATAAATATAACATAGGGATTATTTTGATAAAATGTAAAAACTTTGTTTTTTAGGCCAGTTACGAAAAAGGCAAAGAAAAACCTGCAATGTGATTGCTTCTCCTTATGGGAAACTCATTTAGATAACCTGGAAGTCAAACTTGATGAAAAAAGGACTCAAAGTCAAACTTGATGAAAAAAGAACTCACATTCCATCAAACACAGGAAAAGTGTGTCCCAGGTTATTAGTATGTCATGGAAATGCATGACTCTTAGTGACTGCATGGGAAGTTCTTGGGTTACATGGAAAAATTCAGACATATCAAGAAAAGCTGAGTACAATATCAAGTTGTATTCAAGGAAAACATTGCTTTTCTATATAAAACATTTCCGCATCAGTCTACAACAACAGTTAAAACTGGAGGAAAAAAGTTATGGAATTGGATGAAGAAGTTGAAGGAGAGCATTATCATCTTAGGCCTTCTCAACAGAAGAAAAAGCTGAAAGCAGTGAGATACAACAAAAGTTGAACTTCTGAGATATGAATCTGAAAAGTTTTCAAAAAGAAACAGGTTATAGAATTAAAAATCAAAATTCTAGTAATTTTATTAGGAGCAAACCAATGCCTTAAGAAAACCTCATTTAACATAGAGGACCAATCATAGAAGAACTATTATAAATAATTCCCTTTTAAAAAAAAAACTAACTGAATCACATCAAAATTGTTTTTATAAATTCTCTTTCACAAACCTTATTACAACTTTCAAAACCATCTACAGCATACTTGGACTTTCTGATTTGTTCTGTACTTCCCTCTTTTCTCAATAACTAGCCATTTTACTTTAGGACCAAAATTTACCATATAAGATCCTTTCTTACACACAATTATTCTCTTTTTAAGCTTTCCTACTAAAAATACATCTTCATATTCATAGCCTTCTTCATACTTCTGTCTTCTACTTACTGGTTCCTTTCTACCTTATTTCAGAAACAACTTTTAAATAATCTCCATATCACCTAAATTTATTTTTTCTCAATAGTAACACAGCTTTACATGTCTTATAATTTATTCTCTCATCAAAGCCCACATCTTACCTTGACACTTTATATAGAGAATTATTATGTCAACTAGAATTCTTACTTTTAGTAACCTTAAATTTTAGTGAAAACCTAGGAGGCAAGAAATCCTGAATAATCTATCAGATATTAATATGTTATGGATGAAAACACTCCAAAATTTTTATAAACGTGTTTCCCCATATCAAAATCCTTTCTTAATTGAAAATGACTCAGATATCCAATCAGCACCTATTTATCAATTGAAACTAATTTTAAGATTTTAAATTACACAAAGTAAATAGAATCATTTATTCTATTTACATGTACTCAATTCTTTCACTTATGACACTTTACCTAAATTACATCTTAACTCAGGTATTAAACAAAGCCAGTCATCATTTAAATTTATTTCCCTGTTAACCATTTTTAAAGCCTGTGAACATCAGGGTTCATCTAAGTAAGAACCTTAAAGTTAACTCATGAGCATTTTGCCAATAACTCAGATGATTCAGCTGTTTTCATTGAACAAACGATCTTGTATTCGTCTTATTTGTCAAAAAAATCACATAAACAAAGACTATTGTGTTTTTGGTTGGGTTTATAGTCTTATGATCTGATGCCAAACCCTGATATCTTAAAATATCTATCAAAGGCAAATATAAAATAATCAGTAAACCCAAAAATGTGTGGTGAAAATTCCAAAGACATTTCTATTGTATTTTAGTAATAATTTTGAAACCATTTTTATTTACCAAAGATACCTAAATTCACATGAACTTGCAAAGCATTTGAGCTTATTTAATGTACAAGTACTCATTTACTTATAAACCAATTTGTAGCATGCTAGACATAACAAATAATGCATCTACATACACATAAACACATCTAAACAGATATATACACACACAAGCCAAGATCCAATTGTTTTTACCTTAAAATTCTAGCCATAAGATGGCATCACAAACTCACTGGCCTGTAAATGCCACCCCTGTGGTCTACTGGCTAACATTTGGTACTTTCGCTGGCCTCTAAAAGATAGCTGGATCCAAATTATGTCTGAAAACATATGCCAAAACTTTATTTTCCCCAGTAGATAATCTGGTGAAGGATGTAGACCAAAATTATGGGTAAAACAGTTTTCATGGCAGTTTAATTTTTTTAAAAACCTGTTTTATCTTTTTTTCCTTCCGTTTCAAATGAATTTTCAATGTTTACATTTTAGCTAGAACTTGCTGAACTCTATAAGGAAACAGAATTTCCAAGTAACTTCAGATTAGTTGGTGCTATATAAAAAGTGAGTTTTATCTCAACGCCAGTAGCTTAATAATGGGAAATTCAAAGCAGGCAGAAAGGAAAGAGAGCAATAGAAAGTGATATGGTTTGGATATTTGTCCACTCCATATCTCATGTTGAATTGTCATCCCCAGTGTTGGAGCTGGGGCCTAGTGGGAGGTGTTTGGGTCATGGGGGCGGACCCCTCATGAATTGCTTAGTGCTGTCCTCACAGTAATGAGTGATTCTCAGTCTATTAGTTCACCCAAGAGCTGGTTGTTTAAGAGCCTTGTACCTCCTCCTGTCTCTCTCACCATGTGACACACCTGCTTCCTCTTCTTCCTCGATGAATGAAAGCTTTCTGAGACCTCACCAGAAGCTTTCCAGAAGCCAGCACCATGCAAAACCATTAGCCAAATAAACCTCTTTTCTTTATAAATTACCCAGACTTAGGCATTTCTTTATAGCAGTGCAAAATGGACTAATAAAGAGTTTTAGAAGACACTACTTAACTCTGTAGTTGCAGGTTAACAATTTGATCTCTGATTTTTCTTGCTATAATTTGCCTATCAGTTTAAAATGTACACAGAAATGGGCCATAATATGTAACAGCTGTAATCCCAGAAAACCTAGCATGCATTTGAACTTTCTCATATTTTAAAACATATAGCCCAGGGCCCACAAAAACAAAGACAAATGCAAATGAACTGCTTCTCAAATCAGATACAAGTCCAACACTATTCCCCCTCTCCAACAGGATACCCCAGGGTAAAACAAAATGGCTGGTTCAAGGAATGAACCCAAACAGAGGGAAAAGGGAGTTCCCGGCTGTAAACACCAGAGCAACTTGTCCTGCTTCTGAATCGAGTCCATTCACTCATAGAGATTTTTCAATACCTTGTTTCAGCAGTATGCATAGAGACAGCCAGTACTGCCAAGGGAACTAGCAGGGGTCCCTGGAGGAAAAAGTCTCCAGCAGCTGATAGGGACATAGCCAGGAATTCCTTAGCTGGGGCCAGCTGGCCAGGAGCAACTTCTCCTGGCTGCAGGCTTCCCCAAATTGTGAGTCCAAACTATTTCTGCTTGCTGCATGACAGCCAATGCATTGAGAGACAAAGAGTTGGAGGAAGGTAGACAACTTTATTTCAGGGAGCCAGCAAACAGAAAAGATGGGGGACTAACATCCTAAAAAACCATCTTAAGTCAGTACAAATTTCAGGCTCCTATTATGTTAAGATCAGGGTGAAAAGAAAGGAGTTGGGATTAAGAGGTGACCAATGACTGCAGACATGTGGGCACCAGTGAGGGGCTTAGGAGGCCATGAAACGTCTCCATTTTTGGTCAGATCACAATACCCCCACAAATTCTCAACACAACATTGTTACTTGTGTATTCACCCTCTTTATCTCCTCAGGGGTTAGTTTTAGGAAGGGAGTATTATCATCTTTTTTTCAAACAATAAATGAAATTCTTCCCCTAGTTAGCTTGGCCTAAATTCACAGATAAGCAAAAGTATTTAACCTAAAAGATAGCACCCCAGTGGAGTGGGGATGGGTGTTGTGAGGTTACAGGCAAAATTGAGTTAATAATGTTAGGCCTGCTTTTCACTGTCATAGTCTGACTAGAGTGTAGAGTGCCATAAGGGCAGGTGACAGAAAATGTGGCTGGCAAGATTGTTTTCAAACTCTGAAGAGCTCTGCATGCAAGGAACTTTGGGTTTTGTTCTCCAGGAAAAAAAGAAGTCTCAAAAGTTTTTAAAGATCAATCAACATAAGTGAATAAAAATTAACTTAAGAAGATGTGAATATGAAAAAAGAAACAGGATTGGTATGTTATCACAATAATTCAAATGAGAGATGATGAGCTTTGAAGTTACGCATTGACAATAAGTGCTTCTCAGATGACAAGAATTGTCATTTTCAACATGTCACTGACAGGACTTGGAAATTATTTGACTGAAGGAAGTGGTACTAAGAGAAGAAAAAATGGCATGGTGCATTAACTAGAACAAGGAACACTGGTGATATAACGGGTGTTGTTTCTTCATAATTAAAAATTTTTCAAGGGCTATGTGGAAGGAAGAGGAAATAAATTTAATACCAAAATTTAAACTGAAAAATAGACAATTTGGGCATAGGCCTCAGAGGGGAAAACTGAGACTAGGGGTAAGAATTTGAGAGTGACTATTACATATAGGTAGTAACTGAAACCATATCTGCCATGTGATCACCAGCTAAAGCAATGCAACTATTTTACCAAAAGAGAATGTTGTGTCAAAAGGGGTTAAGAAAAAAATAATTTAGGAAATATTTTTGGTTGGGCACAGTGGCTCACATCTATAATCCTAGCACTTTGGGAGGCCAAGGCAGAAGGATTGCTTGAGCTCAGGAGTTTGAGACCAGCCTGGCCAACATAGGGAGGCCTTGTCTCTACAAAAATTAAAAAATATATATTGTCTGGGTATGGTGATGCCCACCTGTGATCCCATCTATTCAGGAGGCTGAGGTGCGAGGATTGCCCAGGAAGTCAAGGCTGCAGTGAGTTGTGATGACACCACTGCACTCCAGGCTGAATGATGGAGTGAGATCCTGTCTCAAAAAGTTATTTTAAAAAGGAGATTTTTTAAAATAAATGGAGCCCAATTATAAACAATGGAATGGTTTCAAAAATGGTTAGAGTTGTCCTAAATGTAGTTTTTTTTAATGAAAGAAAAGAAAAAGAAACATACAATGATGATATTATTAGAAGAAATTATTTTTTAACTTTTATTTTAGGTTTGGAGGTACATGTGAAGGTTTGTTACGTAGTCAAACATGTGTCATGGGAGTTTGTTGTACGTATTATTTTGTCACTCAGATATTAAGCCCAGTACCCAATAGTTATCTTTTCTGCTCCTCTTCCTCCTCCCACCTTCCTCAAGTAGAACCCAGTGTCTGTTTCCTTCTTTGTGTTCCTAAGTTCTTAACATTTAATTCCTGCTTATAAGTGAGAACATGTGGTATTTGGCTTTCTGTTCTTGTGCTAGTTTGCTAAAGATAATAGTCTCCAGCTGCCTCCATGTCCCACAAAAGACATGATCTCATTCTATTTTTATGGCTACATAATATTCCATAGTGTATATATACCACATTTTCTTAATCCAACCTGCCATTGATGGGCATTTAAGTTGATTCCATGTCTTTGCTATCATGAATAGTGTTGCAATGAACATTCACATGCATGATCTTTATGGTAGATGATTGCTATTCCTCTTGGTATATACCCAGTAATGGGATTGCTGGGTCAAATGGTAGTTCTGCTTTTAGCTCTTTGAGGAATCACCATACTGCTTTCCACAATGGTTGAACTGATTTACACCCCCACCAACAAGGTGTAAGTGTTCCCTTTTCTCCATAACCTCACCAGCATCTGTTACTTTTTGACTTTTTAGTAATAGCCATTCTGACTGGTGTGAGGTGGTATCTCACTGTGGTTTTGATTTGCATTTCTCTAATGATCAGTGATACTGAGCTTTTTTTTCGTATGCTTACTGGCCGCATGTATGTCTTCTTTTGAGAAGTGTCTGTGCATGTCTTTTGCCCACTTTTTAATGGGGTTGTTTTGCTGTTGTAAATTTTAAGTTCCTTATAGATGCTGGATATTAGACTTTTGTCAGATGCATGGTTGGCAAATATTTTCTCCCATTCTGTAGGTTGTCTGTTTACTCTGTTGATAGTTTCTTTTGCAGTGGAGAAGCTCTTAAGTTTAATTAGATCCCATATGTCAATTTTTGCTTTTGTTGTGATTGCTTTTGGTGTCTTTGTCATGAAATCTTTGTCTATTCATATGTCCAGGATTATATTGCCTAAGTTGTCTTCCAAGGCTTGGATAATTTTGGGTTTTACATTTAAATCTTCAATCCATCTTGAGTTGATTTTTGTGGAAATGATCCAGCTTCAATCTTCTGCATATGACTAGCCAATTATCCCAGCATCATTTATTGAATAGGAAATCTTTTCCTCATTGCTTGTTTTTGTCAGCTTTGTTGAAGATCAGATGGTCATAGATGTGCTGCCTTATTTTGGGGCCCTCTATTTTGCTCCAATGGTCTATGTGCCTGTTTTTGTACCTGTATCATGATTTGGTTACTGTAGCCTTGTAGTATAGTTTGAAGTTGAGTAATCTGATGCCTCCAGCTTTGTTCTTTTTTCTTAGGACTGCCTTGGTTTCATATGAATTTTTAAATAATTTCTTTTCTAGTTATGTGAAGAATGTCATTGGTAATTAGATAGGAATAGCATTGAATCTGTAAATTGCTTTGGGCAGTAGAGCCATTTTAATGATATTGATTCTTCCTATTCATGAGCATGAGAAGTTTTTCCATTTGTTTGTGCCTTCTCTGATTTCTGTGAGAAGTGTTTTGTAATTCTCATTGTAGAGATTTTTCACCTCCCTCGTTAGCTGTATTCCTAGGTATTTTATTCTTTTTGAGTCCATTGTAAATGGAATTGCCTTTCTGATTTGGTTCTTGGTTTGGCTATTGGTGGTGTATAAGAATGCTAGTGTTTTGTACATTGATTCTGTATCCTGAAACTTTGCTAAGTTGTTTATCAGCTGTAGGAGCTTTAGGGCTGAGACTATGAGGTTTTCTAGATATAGAATTATGTTATCTGCAAACAGAGTTAGTTTGAATCTCTCTTCATAATCGGATGTGCTTTATTTTTTTCTCTTGCCTAATTGTTCTGGTTAAGACTTCCAATACTATGTTGAATAGAAGTGGTAACAGAGGCCATTCTTGTCTTATACTGGTTTTCAAAAGAAATGCTTCCAGCGTTTTCCCATTTAGTATAATATTGGCTGTGGGTTTACCATAGATGGCTATTTTTTTTCTTATTCCAAAAATGTAATATGATTTAATGTTAAAGACACCATTTTTTTCTTTGTTAAAATTAAAAGATGTTTCTGAGGTGAAAAATACTATGATACACATATAAAACCAATGGCCAAATAACTTATATCTGTAATCACATTTTTGAACCTCCAGAAAATATTTCTTTAAAAATTTTGATTTGGTGATAATAACAAACTCCAAATTAAATGTTACCAACCTATAAAAAATACATTTACTTTTTAAATATGGAGTTTTTTGGTTAATAACTAAATGGAAAGTGTTACATTTAAACCTGTAATTTAAAAAATGTTGAGTCTCCATTTTTACTTTTAATAACTAAGCTTTATGTTGATCGGGGAAGTTTTAAGAGTAGATGACTTTGCATTGCATCTAGTTACTTCTTGCTAGTCATGTATACATATAAAATTAGTTGAGGATTATCACTACTGTATTTATTTTGTATTTTTCTTTAAGCCTATCATTCTCAAATTTGTATTTTTCACAGTAATGCATTTTTAAGGAATTTATTCATATTATCTTGATTGACATATTGTACCATAATTTTAAAATGTATAGGGTACAATGTGATGTTTTGATATATGTACACAGTGTAGAATGATTAAATCAAGCTAATTGACATATCTATCACTTCATTTACCTATCATTTTTTATGGTGAGACATTTGAAATTCACTCTCTGAGTTATTACGAAGTATATATCATTATTGACTACAGTCATCCTGCTGTGCAATAGAGCACAAAACCTGTTCTTCGTGTCTGTCTGAAACTTTGCACCCTTTGATCAACAACCCTCCATTCCATGTCTCCCCACACTGGCTCAGAGGCTGGGTAACCATAATTCTACTCTCTACTTCTCTGATTTCAACTTTAGTATACTCCACATATAAGTGAGATCAAACCTTTATTGTTAATAAAATCATGTAGTGTGTGTATGTGCATGTAAATATTGCTACAAAGAGAATTTGTTAAAATAATAACCTGTTATTTGAAGAGTTTGATAAAATTCTGGTAACAGGTATCCTGCGGTGACTTTGGCTTCTCAAGTCAGAAACAAATTTAATCTGGTTTCCTTGTCATTTCAAAGCTTGTCATTGGTTGTCTGGATTTAGTCAAAACATGAATTTACTTATTATCTGTCTTAGTGGGTTTGGGAGCATCTTTGTAAAGAACAAAGTTCTGTGTTGGGTACTTAATCATTTGTATGGCCAGCAAGGACAGCACATTATACAGAATGCTCCTAACTACATGAAAGAAATTATTTCCTGTGTGTTGTTGTATATGTGAGGGTATGCGTATCTGTATCTGAGTGTGTTTTGTTGATGCCATCAAAAATCACTTCTCAACATCCTAAATAATAATCACATTCCCTTTAACTGCAGACAGTTTTTCTTAGCAGAAAAGCATTTTAAATAGGAGCACTGGATCTCGCAGAATTTCTATGAATTTTCCTGGAAACTCAGCAATTTACTTAGTTCTGGAACACTTGCTATCAAATGCAAGAAGAGAAGCTTTTAGAAGGTAGAGCTGTTTTCCAGTAGTTTATATATGAAACAAATTGCACTCCCTTGCCCCATCTGTACTAATGGAGCAAAGGAGACATTTAGAGCAGTAACTTCAACAAAAATACTTTTTCATATAGATTACAAAGAGCATGTAAGGGCAGGAGAAGTCCAGTAGAAAATCTTAGAGGTAGCAAAGGCAAACTGAGGCCTTCATTATCCACTTGTTTACTATTTTACAGTGGTAATATTCTTAGAAGTTCAGTTTAAGGCTCTTTACCTTAAAACAGTGGATCACTAATACCCTGCCCTGACCACATCACATGATATTCTCAAAATGTAATTCAATCCTAATGCAAAAATGCCTTGTACACTTCAAAGTGCTATAAAAATATCAGGTAAAATGCAAACAGAAACAAGGTATATGTATTACTGAATATAGCAGTAATTTTATTGAAGTTTTCTGATCTTTAAAGGCAGAGAAAGTTACTGAAAACATAAAAACATTCATTCGATGGTAGAGAATATAAAGTCTAAACAGTGGAATTCTTGGAAGATTTAGAAAAGTTAATGAAACATTTTATATGCAATTTTTATTAAAACCTATTGTCAAAAAGTTGAATCGAATCAATGAAACTTCATTTTATAAATAACATGTCTATCAAAGGTACTGCAATAAAGGTAAAGCATTTCTTAGGCATCTAGAGTAAGTTAGGAATTCAGTGTGTTGGCTCAGGGTCCAAATCAGTTTAACAAACTCAAATTTTGTATGTGTCCAGTTTCTAAGGACAAGAGTACAAAGGAGTACAAACCTGTTTTCTCAAACAGTGTGCCAATGGCAGGCCATCTGTACTCTTCTAAACCACTCTCAATCTTGCCCTTAATCTGTAAATATCACCCATCCTCTTATAAATCCCTTTTTTTGGATATATGAAATGCATATTGATACATATCAAGAATATATTTATTGATAAGCCCAGAGCCTTGTTATGTAAGTCAGCATAAGTGTTTCTTTAATCTCTTATAGATTTTTAATCAAATAAATCTAATCAAAACAACTCCGTGCATTATCTAGTGTATTGTATGTGGTCATTCACTGATTCAATTTTATTTTCATGATATTATAAAAAATTTGAAATATGTCTAATGAAAGCTAGGATATAAAATTATTTTCTGGATGGGTGCAGTGGCTCATTCCTATAATTCCAGCACTTTGGGAGGCTGAGGTGGGAAGATAGCTTGAGGTCAAGAGTTCGAGACCAACCGGGGCAACATAGTGAGACAGTCTCTACAAAAACTAAAAAAAGAAAAAAATTAGCCAGGAAGGCAGTGTGCACCTGTGGTCCCAGCTACTCACAAGGCTGAGGCAAGAGGATCACTTGAGCCTGGGAGTTTGAGACTGCAGAGAGCTATGGTGGTGCCACTGCACTCCAGCCTGGGTGACAGAGCAAGACCCCATCTCAAAGGAAAGAAAAAAAGAAGAAGAAGGAGAAGGAGAAGAAGAAGAAAAGAAAATTACTTCATGGTGAATAAAATGTATTTCATTGCCTTGTAATGATGTGAAGCCTTGTAGCATTTTAATATTATCTTCTTGTGAAAACAATCTTCATGGTAACCCAGGAGGCAAGCTGTCAGCTGTGAGAACTTTGGGAACTCATAATGATGATTATTTCATTTATTTATTTATTTATTATTTATTTACATTTAGAGAGATGGTCTCACTCTGTCACCCAAGCTAGAATGCAGTAGCACAATCACAGCTCACTATAGTCTCAGACTCTTGGACCCAAGTGATCCTCCCATCTCAGCCTCCTGAGTAGCTAGGACTACAGGCACATTCCACCATTACCAGCCAGCTTTTTAAATTTTTTTGTAGAGACAGGGTCTTGCTTTGTTGCCCAGGGTGGTTTCAAACTCCTGACTTCAAGTGATCTTCCACCTCAGCCTCCCAAGCATTGGGATTACAGGCATGAGCGACTGCAACTGGCCCTGGAACTAATGATTGTTAAAATTTGCTTCCAGTGGAAAATATGGCTCCAGGGATATTTAATTTTTATGTCATTAAAAACCTTTCTTTAAAAACAGTAATAATAATCATTCAAGATGAAAACATGAATTAACTTTATATTAAACTTTTGCCCAAAAGTCACTATGGACCAGATTTTATTGGAAGTTTCATTTATTGTATTTCTCAACATATTGTGGACTGCCAAAAACATTAATAATGCAAATCCATGTCTGAATACAAATGAATCCCTACAAGGCCAGTGTTGATTATTAATGGAATAAATTATCTGGCTACTTAGTGCAGTTACTGTGGTTTGGAATACCAGTTAATAATGAAAGAAGGGAATTTTTAAAAAATGTATCTCATAGTTTGAATTGATTCTACCATACAAGAGATCAAAGAGAAAATACTGTGGCAACAATGCCTTCTCCCTTTTTCCTTTTTCTCATCAATAAGAAACTCTTCTGCAAGCGCATTTCATTGTTATTTTCCAAATACGAAGAAGTAGACTTGTATTTTTCAGAAGAGCCACCATTTTTCCAAAACCAGAAACTCAAGTTTTATGTTGCCCAAGTTATTTCTGCTACAGGAATGTTGGGACTGTTTGAGGCTACCTTTTCCCAAGGACCCCAAAATTGCCTTGAAGTATAGAACATTGTGTCTTCTTTCAGAGTTTCCATAGCTACAAGTATTTGCAGAAAGAATACTTTGCACCTTGGTAGTTTTCATAATGCTTTATTTGTGGTGATTTTATAAGTGTAAAATAGAAGAAAGCAGAGCTGCTAGTCTGGTTAAAGAGGACATGAAAGCATATTTATATGCCTTCACCCATAAACTCAGGAAGACACTGAGCCATTTCCCCCAGAAGCCTTACAGGTCTATGGACATCAGCTTGAAATCAACTACTTACAGGAAATTGTTGTATGCATGAGAAAAATTAATCCATGTGAGCATCACAGGTTCATCTCTTAATCTTTTGGCAAGATTTACTCATTTAATAAGCTTAACCTGAATATGACATGCCTATTATAGTATGGAAGAATATATGTGTAATCATATAATATATATATTATATTATATAAATTTCTTTCTCCAGACAGAAAGGTTTGCTCTCCAAGATGGGAGATTTTTCACTGTACCTTTATGAAAGTTTGATGGATAGTGTGTGAGGTGTCGTAATTTTTGGTTTGACCACTTTCCAGCCACCCACTCTGTCATTGTAACATGCCATCTGGTTCCAGACCCTAATGATACCTATATTTCTCTACCACTATTTCTTTATTGATAATTCTTGTTTGCAGTAGCACTATAATAATGTGATTATTTACCTCTGACCTGCGTATTAGCACACACACTTCCAGAAACAACAGATTTGTTGAAATATCATTTTTAATGTCTAATAAGTTAAACTCCCTTACTATCTATAATATAAAAGTTCATCATAAGTACAAAAGGAAACATATATTGTTTGCCTACATATCAAATAGAAATATGTATTTTAAAAAGTTCTCATTATCAGCTGTAAATTTGATGCTGGCCCAATATCATTTTTTATAGAGAACCACAGTATAAAACTCACCCTGTTTTTGGTTCCATATGAATTTTAAAGTTTTTTCCAATTCTGTGAAGAAAGTCATTGGTAGCTTGATGGGGATAACATTGAATCTATAAATTACCTCGGGCAGTATGGCCATTTTCACGATATTGATTCTTCGTATCCATGAGCATGGAATGTTATTCCATTTGTTTGTGTCCTCTTTTATTTCGTTGAGTAGTGGTTTGCAGTTCTCCTTGAAGAGGTCCTTCACATCCCTTGTAAGTTGGATTCCTAGGTATTTTATTCTCTTTGTAGTAATTGTGAATGAGAGTTCACTCATGATTTGGCTATTACTGGTGTATAGGAATGCTTGTGATTTTTGCACATTGGTTTTGTATCTGAGACTTTGCTGAAGTTGCTTATCAGCTTAAGGAGATTTTGGGCTGAGACGATGGGGTTTTCTAAATATACAATCATGTCATCTGCAAACAGAGACAATTTGACTTCCTATTTTCCTAACTGAATATGCTTTATTTCTTTCTCTTGCCTGACTGCCCTAGCCAGAACTTCCAAAACTATGTTGAATAGGAGTGGTGAGAGAGGGCATCCTTGTCTTGTGCCGGTTTTCAAAGGGAATGCTTTCAGTTTTTGCCCATTCAGTATGATATTGGCTGTGGGTCATCATAAATATCTCTTATTATTTTGAGATATGTTCCATCAATACCTAGTTTATTGAGAGTTTTTAGCATGAAGGACTGTTGAATTTTGTCAAAGGCCTTTTCTGCATCTATTGATATAATCATGTGATTTATGTCATTGGATTTGTTTATGTGATGTATTACGTTTATTGATTTGTGTATGTTGAACCAGCCTTGCATCCCAGGGATGAAGCCAACTTGATTGTGGTGGATAAACTTTTTGATGTGCTGTTGGATTCGGTTTGCCAGTATTTTATTGAGGATTTTCACATCGATGTTCATTAGGGATATTGGCCTAAAATTCTCTTTTTTTGATGTGTCTCTACCAGGCTTTGGTATTAGGATGATGCTAGCCTCATAAAATGAGTTAGGGAGGTTTCCCTCTTTTTCTATTGATTGAAATAGTTTCAGAAGAAATGGTAGCAGCTCCTCTTTGTACCTCTGGTAGAATTCCTACCAGAATCCGTCTGGTCCTGGAATCTGTCTGGTCCAGGACTTTTTTTGGTTGGTAGGCTATTAATTATTGCCTCAATTTCAGAACCTGTTATTGCTGTATTCAGAGATTCAACTTCTTCCTGGTTTAGTCTTGGGAGGCTGTATGTGTCCTGGAATTTATCCATTTCTTCTAGATTTTCAAGTTTATTTGCATAGAGATGTGTATAGTATTCTCTGATGATAGTTTCTATTTCTGTGGGATCAGTGGTGATATCCCCTTTATCATTTTCTGTTGCATCTATTTGATTCTTCCCTCTTTTCTTCTTTATTAGTCTTGCTAGCAGTCTATCAATTTTGTTGATCTTTTCAAAAAACCAGCTGCTGGTTTGATTGATTTTTTTGAAGGATTCTTTGTGTCTCTATCTCCTTCATTTCTGCTCTGATCTTAGTTATTTCTTGCCTTCTGCTAGCTTTTGATTTGTTTGCTCTTGCTTCTCTAGTTCTTTTAATAGTGATGTTAGGATGTCGATTTTAGATCTTTCCTACTTTGTCTTGTGGGCATTTAGCAAAGACAATCCCAAGCAAAAAGAACAAAGCTGGAGGCAAAATGCTACCTGACTTCACATTATACTACAAGGCTACAGCAACCGAAACAGCATGGTATTAGTACCAAAACAGATATATGGACAAAGGAAACAGAGCAGAGGCCTCAGAAATAACACCACACATCTACAACCATCTGATCTTTGATAAACCTGACAAAAACAAGCAATAGGGAAGGAATTCCCTATTTAATAAATGGTGCTGGGAAAACTGTCTAGCCACCTGTAGAAAGCTGAAACTGGATCCCTTCCTTACACAGTATACAATAATTAACTCAAGGAAAATTAAAGACTTAAATGTAAGACCTAACACTGTAAAAACCCTAGAAGAAAACCTAGGCACTACCACTCAGGACATAGGCATGGGCAAGGACTTCATGTCTAAAATACCAAAAGCAATGGCAACAAAAGACAAAATTGACAAATGGGATCTAATTAAACTAAAGAGCTTCTGCACAGCAAAAGAAACTATAATCAGAGTGAACAGGCAACCTACAGAATGGGAGAAAATCTTTGCAATCTACCCATCTGACAAAGGGCTATTATCCAGAATCTACAATGAACTCCAACAAATTTACAAGAAAAAAGCAACCCCATCAAAAAGTGGGTGAAGGATATGAACAGACACTTCTCAAAAGAAGACATTCATGCAGCCAACAAACATGAAAAAATGCTCATCATCCATCACTGGTCATCAGAGAAATGCAAATCAAAACCACAATGAGATACCATCTCACACCAGTTAGAATGGTGATCATTAAAAAGTCAGGAAACAAAAGGTGCTGGAGAGGATGTGGAGAAATAGGAACACTTTTAAGCTGTTCGTGGGACTGTAAACTAGTTCAACCATTGTGGAAGACAGTGTGGCGATTCCTCAGGGATCTAGAACTAGAAATACCATTTGACCCAGCCATCCCATTACTGGGGATATACCCAAAGGATGATAAATCATGCTGCTATAAAGACACATGCACACGTATGTTTATTGCGGCACTATTCACAATAGCAAAGAATTGGAACCAACCCAAATGTCCATCAATGATAGACTGGATTAAGAAAATGTGGCACATATACACCATGGAATACTATGCAGCCATAAAAAATGATGAGTTCATGTCCTTTGTAGGGACATGGATGAAGCTGGAAACCATCATTCTCAGCAAACTATCACAAGGACAGAAAACCAAATACCGCATGTTCTCACTCATAGGTAGGAGCTGAACAATGAGAATACATGGACACAAGGCAGGGAACATCACACACTGGCGCCTGTCAGGGGGTGGGGGCTGGGGGAGGGATAGCATTAGGAGAAATACCTAATGTAAATGAGGAGTTGATAGGTGCAGCAAACCAACATGGCCCATGTATTCCTATGGAACAAACCTGCACATTGTGCACATGTACCCTAGAACTTAAAGTATAATTAAAAAAAAAAAAAACTCACCTTCTTTGGTACTTTCTAACAGCAAAGAATAACTTTCAGAATTAAAATATAATAATAATCTGCAATTTGCTGACTACCAAATCTAAAGTAATACCAACAAAATGTGATTCAGGGTTCCTTCCTTAAGACATTTTCATTTAGGATTATGCTATTCTAAAGTAGTTTACTTTTCCAGGGATTTCTGTGATTTATTTTTTAAATCTTTTTTATTTCTAATTTTTGTGGGTATATAATAGATACATCTATATATATATACACATATATCTAGATATAGATATATCTAGATATAATATATATAGATACAGAGATATATATATCTATATCTAATATATATAGATATATATATTATATATAGATATATATTAGATCTAGATATAATATATCTAGATATATAGATATATATGTATATAGATATATCTAGATATATAGATATATATGTATATAGATATATCTAGATATAATATATCTAGATATATAGATATATAGATATATATGTATATAGATATATCTAGATATAATATATCTAGATATATAGATATATATGTATATAGATATATGTAGATATATCTAGATATATAGATATATATGTATATAGATATATCTATATACGTATATAGATATATCTATAGATATATATATATAGATATATCTATATATGAGGTACATGAGATGTTTTGATACAGGCATACAATGTGCAATGAGCATATCATGGAGAATGGGCTAGCCATCACCTCAAGCATTTATCCTTTGAGTCACAAACAATTCAGTTACACTCTCTGAGTTATTTTAATATGTGAAACTAAGTTATTATTGACTATAGTCACCCTGTTGCACTATCAAATAATAGTTAATAGTTCATTATTTCTTTTTTCTTTTTTTTTTTTTTGAGATGGAGTCTCACTCTGTTGCCCAGGCTGGAGTGCAGTGGCATGATCTTGGCTCACTGCAACCTCTGCCTCCTAGGTTCAAGTGATTCTCCTGCCTCAGCCTCCTGAGTAGCTGGGATTACAGGGGCCCACCACCACGCCCAGCTAATTTTTGTATTTTTAGTAGAGACGGGGTTTTCCCATGTTGGCCAGGATGGTCTCGAACTCCTGACCTCAGGTGATCCACCCGGCTCAGCCTCCCAAAGTGCCAGGATTACAGGCATGAGCCACTGCACTCAGCCATTTATTCTTTCAATTTTTGTTTTTACCCATTAACCATCCACACCTCCCACTTCACCATCCCCTCACTCCCCTTCCTAGCCTCTGGTAATCATCCTTCTACTCTCTATGTCCATAAGTTCAACTGTTTTGATTTTTAGGTTCCACAAATAAGTGAGAATATGCAATGTTTGTCTTACTTGGCCTGGTTTATGACTTAAGATAATTATCTCCAGTTTCATCCATGTTGTTGCAAATGACTGAATCTCATTCTTTTTTATGGCCAAATAGCACTCCATTGTGTATATGTACCACATTTTCTGTATTCATTCATCCTTTGATGGACAGAGGTTGCTTCCAAATCTTAGCTATTGTAAACAGTGTTGCAACAAACATAGGAATGCAGCTACATCTTTGATAAATTGATTTTCTTTCTTTTGGATAGATAACCCACAGTCGGATTGCTGGATCAGATGGTAGTGCAATTTTTAGATTTTTGAGGAACCTCCAAACTGTTCTCCATATTGGTTGTACTAATTTACATTCCCACCAACAGTGTACAAGGGTTCCCTTTTCCCCACACCCTCACCAGCATTGATTATTTCCTGTCTTTTTGATATAAGTCATTTTAACTGGGGCGAGATGATACCTCACTGTAGTTTTGATTTATAGTTCTCTGATCATCAATGATGTTGAGCACCTTTTCATAAGCCTGTTTTCCATCTGTATGTTGTCTTTTCAGAAATGTCTATTCAACTCTTTTGCTCATTTTTTAATTAGATTATTAGATTTCTTCCCTAGTTGTTTGAGCTCTTTATATATTCTGGTTATTAAACCCTGGTCAGATGGGTAGTTTGCAGACATTTTCTCCCATTCTGTGGGTTGTCTCTTCACTTTGTTGATTGTATCCTTTGCTGTGCAGAAGGTTTTCACTTGATGTGATCCTGTTTGTCCATTTTTGCCTTCGTTGCCTGTGCTTGTGGGGTATTGGGATTTCTATGATTTAAATAGCGAGAGTTTAAATTACAATTAGACATTCTAGTTCATACACCAATTTCAGTCAATTAATGTTTGCATTAAATATATCTCAGAGGAATGATTTTTTTTAAAAAAAGTAATGCTTGGAAAATAAATTTATATCAACATTCAAGTTTTTAAAATATTGTCCCATGTTTTCCTTTCAATTTTTTTCTTATTTTTACTTCAATTTGCTTTGAGATATTTTGCTGTTTATTTTATAGTCTTACTATAAATGAAAATATTTGAAAGCCTATAAATTATGTGTCTCATGTGTACAGCTGAGTATAATGGTCAGAGTTGAATGGGTCAGTTAGATTTGATTCAGTTTGATGAACAAGAGCAAAGCCATAACTGTGTTATGCTGATAGTCACGGCAATAATTTCACAATATAGATGGTCATAGTATTCTCAATACAACAGTACTACTGTTTCAATAGAGCAAACTAATTTCATATTTCCTCGTTTTCACCCCTTTGGGGCCACAAAAAATGTATTTGAAATTTACTTGTTCCATTAACCACATACTCAACATTTAAAAGCTGCAAAATACTTCTGATTGTGACAAAAAACTCTCCTAAGAATTCCCTAGAAATCTCTTTATAATTCTTTCCTATTAACAAAAAGTAAAAAAAAAAAAAGATGAAGAATGCAGAAGGAAAGTGAATTCATATATGTATATATTTTAAGTCTTATAAATTCACAGCTGAAGGGGAATTCAATCTGTATTGCTATTGAAAATATATACAGTTTATTGCAATTTAAACGTTTTATTTCCTCACAGTTTGACATGATTAGAATGATTGAAGAAAATTTTTTAAACACTAGCGTAGCTTAAAAATGAGCAAACAAATAAAAAACTGAAAGGTTTGGATGTATTCACATCCTTGTCAGTCTGTTATAACGCATGTAATGGAATCAGCTTGGAGTCGGCACTCAAATTTTGTTATAAACAAAATAATAAAAAGAGAAAGACACACACACACATACACAGAGGAAGAGAGAGACAACAGAGAAGGAGAGAAAGGAAGATAAAAGGATGCAAAATGGATTTCAAGAACCCAACTTTTATTAAATATTTATTTTCCATTGTAATATCTCTTCATTTAATTTTTAAAGCCTAGCAAGTTATTTTAAGCAATTCTAACATAAAAATTACCCTTCCAACATTTTCCAAGTGTGCAGTACAATATTGTCAGCCACATCCACATGGTTGTGCAGTAGTGCTCAGAACCAACCCACCTCCACCCTTTCATGACGGAAACCCTATACCTTTAGAAGACTCCCCAGTAGCTCCTCCCCAAGTGCTGAAAACCCTCATTCTACTTTATGTTTCTTTGTCTTTGATTACTTTTGATACCTTATAAGTGGCATCACACAATATTTGTTTTTTTGTGGTTGGCTTATATCACTTTGCACAATGTCCTTAAGTTCATCCATGCTGTAGTATGACAGGGTTTCTTTCATTTTGAAGCTGTATAGTATTCTATTTTATGTATGTACCATATTTTCTTTATTCATTTATCTGTCAAGAGATGTTTAGGCTTCTTCCACCACTTGGTTATTGTGAGTAACTTTCTTCATGTCATTTTATATTCAATTGAAAACTGTCAATTGTTCCATCTCCAATCTGCCCACATTGTTATTTTGATTTCCTAATTTTAGTTTTTAGCAAAGATGTTGAAAATGTGCATCTGTGCTTACTTAACATTCACTATATATTTTTTCTTATTCAATGCAGGTATTTAGATAACAATAAGGTAGTCCTGTTCAAGGTGAAATAGCACTGTGAGGTGATAAATAATGGAATGCTGTCTGTCCTTGCAGGATGAGTCTGCTCCAGCTGACAAACAGTGTAAACCAGAGGCGACCCAGGCCACTTACTCAACATCAGCTGTTCCAGGCTCACAGGACGTGCTGTACATCAATGGAAATGGGACCTATAGTTACCATAGTTACAGAGGGCTAGGAGGGGGTCTGCTAAATCTGAATGATGCTTCCAGCAGTGGTGAGTATTTATCATAGATTGTGTTTTTTTTTTAATTATTATACTTTAAGTTTTAGGGTACATGTGCACATTGCGCAGGTTAGTTACATATGTATACATGTGCCATGCTGGTGCGCTGCACCCACTAACTCATCATCTAGCATTAGGGATATCTCCCAATGCTATCGCTCCCCCCTCCCTCCACCCCACAACAGTCCCCAGAGTGTGATATTCCCCTTCCTGTGTCCATGTGTTCTCATTGTTCAATTCCCACCTATGAATGAGAATATGCGGTGTTTGGTTTTTTGTTCTTGCGATAGTTTACTGAGAATGATGTTTTCCAATTTCATCCATGTCCCTACAAAGGACATGAACTCATCATTTTTTATGGCTGCATAGTATTCCATGGTGTATATGTGCCACATTTTCTTAATCCAGTCTATCATTGTTGGACATTTGGGTTGGTTCCAATTCTTTGCTATTGTGAACAGTGCCGCAATAAACATACGTGTGCATGTGTCTTTATAGCAGCATGATTTATAGTCCTTTGGGTATATACCCAGTAATGGGATTGCTGGGTCAAATGGTATTTCCAGTTCTAGATCCCTGAGGAATCGCCACACTGACTTCCACAATGGTTGAACTAGTTTACAGTCCCACCAACAGTGTAAAAGTGTTCCTATTTCTCCACATCCTCTCCAGCACCTGTTGTTTCCTGACTTTTTAATGATTGCCATTCTAACTGGTGTGAGATGGTATCTCATTGTGGTTGTGATTTGCATTTCTCTGATGGCCAGTGATGATGAGCATTTTTTCATGTGTTTTTTGGCTGCATAAATGTCTTCTTTTGAGAAGTGTCTGTTCATGTCCTTCACCCACTTTTTGGTGGGGTTGTTTGTTTTTTTCTTGTAAATTTGTTTGAGTTCATTGTAGATTCTGGATATTAGCCCTTTGTCAGATGAGTAGGTTGCAAAAATTTTCTCCCATTTTGTAGGCTGCCTGTTCACTCTGATGGTAGTTTCTTTTGCTGTGCAGAAGCTCTTTAGTTTAATTAGATCCCATTTGTCAACTTTGGCTTTTGTTGCCATTGCTTTTGGTGTTTTAGACATGAAGTCCTTGTCCATGCCTATGTCCTGAATGGTAATGCCTAGGTTTTCTTCTAGGGTTTTTATGGTTTTAGGTCTAACGTTTAAGTCTTTAATCCATCTTGAATTTATTTTTGTGTAAGGTGTAAGGAAGAGATCCAGTTTCAGCTTTCTACATATGGCTAGCCAGTTTTCCCAGCAACATTTATTAAATAGGGAATCCTTTCCCCATTGCTTGTTTTTCTCAGGTTTGTCAAAGATCAGATAGTTGTAGATATGCGGCTTTATTTCTGAGGGCTCTGTTCTGTTCCATTGATCTATATCTCTGTTTTGGTACCAGTACCATGCTGTTTTGGTTACTGTAGCCTTGTAGTATAGTTTGAAGTCAGGTAGCATGATGCCTCCAGCTTTGTTCTTTTGGCTTAGGATTGACCTGGCAATGCGGGCTCGTTTTTGGTTCCATATGAACTTTAAAGTAGTTTGTTCCAATTCTGTGAAGAAAGGCATTGGTAGCTTGATGGGGATGGCATTGAATCTGTAAATTACCTTGGGCAGTATGGCCATTTTCACGATATTGATTCTTCCTACCCATGAGCATGGAATGTTCTTCCATTTGTTTGTATCCTCTTTTATTTCCTTGAGCAGTGGTTTGTAGTTCTCCTTGAAGAGGTCCTTCACATCCACAGCCAATATCATACTGAATGGGCAAAAACTGGAAGCATTCCCTTTGAAAACTGGCACAAGACAGGGATGCCCTCTCTCACCACTCCTATTCAACATAGTGTTGGAAGTTCTGGCCAGGGCAATTAGGCAGGAGAAGGAAATAAAGGGTATTCAATTAGGAAAAGAGGAAGTCAAATTGTCCCTGTTTGCAGACGACATGATTGTATATCTAGAAAACCCCATTGTCTCAGCCCAAAATCTCCTTAAGCTGATAAGCAACTTCAGCAAAGTCTCAGGATACAAAATCAATGTACAAAAATCACAAGCATTCTTATACACCAGCAACAGACAAACAGAGAGCCAAATCATGAGTGAACTCCCATTCACAATTGCTTCAAAGAGAATAAAATACCTAGGAATCCAACTTACAAGGGATGTGAGATTGTGTTTTTTTGCTTTGTTTTGTTTTGTTTTCTTTTGGTGAGGGGAGGTGGTGGTAAATTTTTTAAACTTGAGAGAAGAAAATGGATAGACTGTGATGAGAATAGTCCGTGAGAATCTGCTATTAATAAAAACAAGGCCATTTAATACATAATGATTGTCTCTCTACATGGGTGTCTCCCGCTTTTGTTGCTGTCTCTGAAAGTGGCAGCACTATTATATAACTGAATGATTGCTGTTTATACTAAAAAAAAAAAACTCAACTAGAGAAATAGCAAATGCTTTTCTTCTAAATAGTGATCCATTCTGCCACCAATGCTGTAATGCACATTATTTCCGTGTTCAAAGAGGCTTTTGATTTGGAAAATTTGAGGGGCCAGGAATTTCTCCAACTTCATGAAACATACACAGTCATAACTAAGAACATACAAAATGAAACAACACATGGAAAGGACGCATGGGTCTCCAGAAGATAGTTTGTCAATGTCAATGGCATGCTCGGTCAGCAGTGTTGTACTGGATCAAGCCTGTACTGACTCTTGGTTGGTAAATTTTTAGGAATTTTCTGAACTTATATACCAGGTTGAAGTCTAAAGGAGTCTAAAGTCAGAAATTTAACTGTATAATATAAAGCTATGCATGTATGAGGAAAAAATACATGGATAGTGTTCTTATAATTGGGTGGTAAGAAAAACTTTCCTAACTATACTTTAAATCCAGGAGAAAAGTTTCATTACACACACACACACACACACACACACACACACACAGACCCCTTTTGCATGACAAAAACACCATAAAAAAGTAAAAAGATAACTGGAAAATGTATTAGCTAACTCTACCACAAAGAATTAGCAGGTCAATATATAAAGGTCTTCTATAAAGAAAAACTATACCCAAAATCATATGATAAAAATACTAGAAAAGAAACACATAATTCACAGAAAGACAGTGCAAATGTTCTTTAAATATTTATAAAGTTGTTCAACCTCAGTCACTCCTGATAAGAGAGATGCAATTTCTACCCATCGGTTTAGTAAAAATCCAAATGCTTAACAGAATTTTTTTAACAAGACTGTGGTTAAAAAGGTACTATCATGACTAGCTCAATGCAAAAAGTTAGAGTGGAATTTGACAGTATATATTAATAGAAAAAATGAATGTACATTTACCATTTGACCCAGCAATCTCTCTCTTAGGAACCTATTTCAAAGACCCACTGACAAAGTTACAGAAAGAGATATGCTCAAGGCTATTTAGTGCACTGTCATTTATAAATGCAAAAAAAAAAAGTTGCCAATAAAAGTGCCCAGCAATACATGGCTGACTGATTAAATTATAGCTCATCCAAACAAAAGAGTATAAATAGTAATAGGAACTATCTTTTTTATTTTTAGGACAGGGTTTCACTCTGTTGCCCAGGCTGGAGTGTAGTGGTGTGCCCTTGGCTCACTGCTACCTCTGCCTCCCAGGCTCAAGTGATCCTCCCATCTCAGCCTCCAGAGTAGTTGGTACTACAGGTGCATGCCTCCATGCTGGGCTAATTTATTTTTATTTTTATTTTTAGCAGAGACAAAGTTTTTACCATGTTGCCCAGGCTGGTCTTGAACTCCTGATCTCAAGTGATGTGCCCACCTTCGTCTCCCAAACTTCTGGGTTTACAGGTGTAAGCCACCATGCCCAGCCAGGAAATACCTTTATATAATATTATATAGTGATCTCCAGGTAGTGAAAAGTACTTATAGAATGCCAACATTCATGGAATAAGGATTTATACTATTGGATGCATAAACTATAACTTTTTAAAAAAAGTTTATGTAGATGTGGCAGTGGGGAGAAAACAGTATAAGGGGCAGGAATAAAAGCGAGAATATTCCTAATGTGTTTGGTTTTTACACTGTTTCATATATTTAACTTTGGAACTATATATATTTATGTAACTATTAAACTGTTTTTTTAAATTCTTCAAATTAAAAGAAAAGTGATGCAAATAAACTTCAATTGTTTAACGAGTTGTTGGCATAGCCTCACATAGAGAGGAACTCGTCCAAGTGATTCCAAAAATCATAATTTGACTCCATAAGTTTGAAGCCAGTGATTAAACCTTAAAGTATTTTCAGTAATCATATTATTATTTGGGGACTGTTGTCTATATATTGTGGTTAAAAGCAAATTGCCAATTATGTGGGTGTCAGTGAAAGCTAGCATTTTCAGCACGGGTCAAAGTAGACACAGATGTAAAATCAGTACATTTAAACAAAAACTCCGTAGTCTTGTATTTGAATTGGTAGTACCAGTAGGAACTTCCGATGTATTTTTTTGTTTTTTAAAAAACACAAAATATATCTCCTTTTCCCGGAAATGCTTGGAAACCATGGCCAACTTGAATTTAAAATTTTGAATTAGGCTGGGTGAGCTTATATTTTGGGAGAAATTACATTATTAGTCTGAGTTTATACTCTAGGAAATCACTTAGTTTACAGTGCTGGAAGTATGTTTCATATATAGCTAGATAGTTTTGGGGGCTCAATGCAAAATGAAAACATCAAGCCTCTTGTTTAAAACTTAAAAATTTAAGGCATTGACTGTAGAGAATTAACCTAAGCATGGAACTTTTCTAAGCACATGGTACTGTGGGACTACAAACACTTCATGACCCACTTTGCCCTTTTAATTTACTTAGTAAGCCAGAGGAAAGCATTGCTTTTTCATTAAAGGCAGAGAGCTACCAGTGGTAAGAAAGATAACGTATACAAATAAGGAAAAGAATAATACACAAGTGAGAACACTTTGAAAGAGTATTTTGAGAAGAAAAGAGAGCACTCTGGGGCAGCTACCAATCCTGGGTAAAAATTGATAACAAATCCAAAAGAAAGTTTTGTTATGCATTGTTAATGAACAGGGCTCCCAAAGTCCTTCCTGACTTTCAACCAATTCTCCATAGAGGAACCAAAATAATTTTTAAGAAAAGGCAAATCTGATCACGTCACTTCACCATCTAAAACCTTCTATGGGCTTTCATTGTTCTTAGGGAAAGGATGTGAGCCAGCTCTTCCAGCTTCAAGGTCTACTCACCTGAAGTTTTCTTTCACCTGCTTCTCCCCCACTCTCTCCTCATTCATTGAACACCCTTTTTTAAATCCAGAACTCCAAGTCTAGATGAAGTATAGATATACACTCTCATAGTATCCTCAATTTAACCTCTGAAGCATGTATGATAGCGCACACACACACACACACACACACACAATCACACAACATTGGTACCTATTCCTCAATTATATTTTTCAGTGGTGCCCAAAAGCCACATAGGAAATTTGGTATAAATCCCAGGTATGCAGGCATATAAGTGTTTAGAAAGCATGTTTTATAAATGCACAGTTTGGATATACATGCTGTAGTACTATGTTGAGGTCTATTTTTTCTGTATGTTTCTCCCCAAAAACTTTCCTATCATAAAATGACAGAGGCTAAAGGGACATGAGAAATCATTTGATAGCAACCACTTCATTGTGTAAAGACCACAAAGAAAGAAACAGGGCTGGAAATTTATGTGACTTGCTCAAGGTCATGTATAATGATTTTGGAGTTGTTTAGTTAATTCATGCCTTGGCTCTTTTTTTTTTTTTTTTTTTTTTAAGGCAAGGTCTCCCTGTGTTACCTAGGCTGGGGTGCAACTGCAATGCTTCCACCTCAGTCGTCTGAGTAGCTGGGACTATAAGTGCTCACTGCCACACCTGGCTAATTTTTAATTTGATTTTTTTAATTATTTTTTGAGACAGGATATCACTATGTTGCCCAAGCTGGTCTTGAACTCCTGGGCTCATGCAGTCTTCCTGCTTTGGTTCTTATATGATGAGATGATGATATCTCAAGGACACAGCAACCAATAACATCAAACACTTCAGGCTGTCTGTGTACACTTCAAATGAAACAAAAGTAACAGATTAATCAGTATGGCATGCAGAAAATTAAAAATGATGTGAATTTCTTTGAGCAATGACTTTGGGCTGAGTGTAGCTGAATTTAAATAAAAAACAGCAATAACAACAACAAAGATCAAAACACTAATCTTGGCAAACAAAAGCTTTAGTCTCAAACCAAAGAGAATTTGTCTAGTGTATATTTGAGAAAGGATTCTAGCAATGTAGTGGTAGCAAGGGAAGTGATGTTTCCCTTGTTACGTATCAACTCTAAATACCAGTTTCGTTTTCTTCACCCAAAAAATGTATACTACCTGTAACAATGATATTGTCTCCTGCTCTTTTACTTTTGTTTGTTTAGTTTTTGCTTGTTTTAATCACAGAAAGGCAGCTAGATTGATTGGGCCCACAATGTCCTTTATTTGTGTACTTTCTTCATAAATTCTGGGAATTCCAAATGTTCTGACTTTTTAAAATGGCATTATCATATCTATCATTTCTTCATCTTTAAGACATCAAAATAGTCATTCCCTGTAACAGTTTTGGAGCTCTGGAGAAAGAAACTACATACATATGCATAAATCTTGAGAGCTAAAAAGGACATAACAGAAGATTAGCATTATATTAGATGCCAGCCTCATAGCTGATGGATGACAACTCCAGTTAATCTCAGTTTGAGAATTCTTGAGTTTAGGATTTGTAGAGATCTGAAATGTGTGGAAGGGAGTAGTAACTTCTAAGAGATCAAGTAGAACTAACCTTACATATGATTTAATTTATAAAATAGGTGAAAACAATCAGAATTCAAGCCACTCTCTGGAGAAATTGTGAAGTATGATGCAGGTTGGCAATAGAATTAGGAGTGCAAAGATTGAAGGGAAAATGATGTTTCCAGAACCTTTAAAACAAATGTCATTAAAATAACACTATCCATGCAGATTATATCATGTTCAAGACAAATCTATAGGCAGAAGAATAAAAGAGCATACCTTAGCAGCATTTGAATTTGATTTAAATATTTTGGAGTTCTCATGTTCAAATCTTTGTAACTTTAAGAGAAGCGAAGTTGGATAAGGCAGAATCAATGACATCAAGTAAACAAAAAGAGATATATTCTTCCTCTTCTTGTCTATATGTCAAAATCCTTTAGGACTCTGATTAAATACTCCGTTATTCTACCTCATCATCCTTCCACTCTTTGGAAGATTGATCACTCCCCTGCATGTGTCTTTATTCTAATACCTATCTTATTGAATTGAGAGATACATTTTCAAGAAAATTTCCCATTATACATATGCATTCCTTGAAAGCAGAAACTTCATCTTGTTCACTGTTATATCCCTCTAAGTAAGGTCAGACATATAGCAAGTGCTCAATAATATTTGCTTAATAAGTGAATATTTAGAAAAAATAGAATGATATCAAAAGGAAAAAGGCTACAGAGATAATTATGTACCTTGGATGGCAGGAGGGAAGGGTTAATCTTAGATAAATCAAAGCAATTGGAGGCAAGGAGAATGATTAAACTGAACTTGGGGATTCTGTGGGTGAAAGAGGAAGGCTCCAGTTCATTCATCAGTTTATGGGTCTACAGTAGTTTTAGAGTTTTATAAACTCCTGTTTAATAGCAATAGAAAATCTTGCCCGATTGGAGACTTCATAGCAAGGAAATATTCTGTCTACCAATGATGCCAGGATGCCCTTCAAATCCATCATTAGCCAACCTCCATTTGTTTGGAGCTGGCAAGGGGCTGCACCCAACAATCCAAATTTTCAAGTTGGAGAATTATCAAAATGACAGCAGTTACAATCTGTATAAAGAATTTATTCAAATTATCCAACTGAAATGAGGAGCAAGCAAGCAGCCAATCCTCCTGTTATTATCACACCATTTACATAGGACTTTGGACTGCTTTCTTTCTATCAGGAAGTTCACATTGAGCTGTCTAAAGAGGGCAATTGTAGTTCACTGCAGTTATTCATTGGATCTCTTGAGTCTAAATTATATGCATAATGCATAAGTTAACTACTGATGTTTCTGCTCTACAAACTCCGTGGGGGGAGACTTTTCAATTTGTTTTTCAACTCTGTTATAAACTGGGCTGATATACAGACCAAAATCTATCAAGACCAAATTGTAGTAATAATGACCATAATCACTAACATTTGTATGGCAATTTCTAGTTTTCCCAACTCTTAACATTCATTAGCTTCCTTGCTCTTCATTAATATTTGGGGTTTTGTCTTTAATGATTCCTCAGCTCAGGTCCTTTAGTTATGAGCCTAAGGAAACTTGGCCATAAGATTCACCATCACACTAGAACTGGTTTACAGTGGTGTGACTGGCTGTGTGTGTTGATAGTGCCAGAAACCAGCATTCTGAAACATATTTTTCATCTGAAATGTTCAAAGGAGCATTTTTATTCATTCACTGCCTTCACTTCTTACCTCCCTTTTACTTTTCATTCCACGATAACCAGCTTCTCCCCACCATTTTGCTGAAACTGGCCTGGCTAAGTTTATAGTGACTCTACTTATTGCCAAACAAAAGATGGATTTTTGCTCTTTACTTGACTAGATTTCTTAAGCATATTTGAATCTTGATGATTAGAATGTTGAAATGTCCACCCTGTTGGCAACTATGCTTATTAGCCTCTTAGGGGATCTTCACTGTATCCAAATGAGTATGGGAATAATCAGTTGGAGTTAAGGATGTCTTCTTAAAGTATGTTCTCTTTTTCTCTTAATACCCTAAGGAGCACAATATTGGAAGAAGAAGAATGTTTCATATCAAACATTTTAGAGAAATATCTTGAAATACATAAATTCTTGAAATACAATTTCATGGTACCTTGTGCTTCTCAGATAATTTTTCTTTTGCTGCCTTTCTAGAATTTCTTTTGTACTCATGCCCCTTCATGCTTGGATTCTCTCAACATCCCACACTTTTCCCTTTAATCCTTGTGTTCTGCATAATGACCAAGATAGAACTCATAGCTCTTACAATTTCAACTAGAAAATACTCCCAAATGTGCATAACAACCCCAATCTTTCCCCTAAGTTTCAGATTTTGTATCCAGTTCTCTACCATGATCTAGACATCCAGAGAAATCTAATATTTGATTTAACAAAATGAATTCTTCATCCCCGTGCATACTATTACCTGTCTCTGGGGTTATCTCATGCAGAGATACCCTCCCTTGCATCTGACTCATATCAGCTATTATGTTCCCTAAGATACCGTTTCTGTTTACCTCACTAATTTTCTGGCTAAATTTTCTTCCAATATGTTCCCATGATATTCTAAGCGTATTTCTTATTATTTTACCTGTCCATTATGTGCTGCTTTCTATAGACTATGCACAAGGGCAGGCAAGGTGACATTTTTAAAACTGTCTTACTACCAAGTGTTAGTAGGTAACTACCTTATATGAGTGTTCAATAAATATTAAATGGATAGATGAATGACTGAGTGAAAGAAATTGCTTCAATAAAATATTATGCCTCTTAAGGGATCTTGACTAAATCCAGTTGACCATGGAGATAATCACTTGAAGTTAAGGATGTCTTCTTAAAGTTTGTTCTCTTTTTCTCTTAATATCCTGAAGAGCACAACATTGGAAGAAGGGAAATGTTTCATATCAAACGTTTTAGAGAAATATCTTGAAATACATAAATTCTGCTTTGAAATCTATTAAGCTTAAACCCCTAGTTCAGGAAAGACATGTTTACCATAATTAACCAGGGTCATAGGAAAATGTGCTTTTCTTCTTTAGCTTACACTCTTAATAGCTTGTTCTGGCTCACTAACCATATGCAAAGATGTAGTGCAGATGTGTGGGGAGGGAACCATTGTCATCCTGCTCCAGGAGACCAGCTGGATGTTTCTTTTGTGTGAAAAACACATAAAGTCTATTATGTAAAACTTTGTAGATAATTTTATAGAGTATAGCCTAAAAGTAATTCACAGAAGCTAAGCAATCCCCCACGGTGAATTTGTATGACCTTTACACAATTGGAAGATCTGCGTGGTAGTAACATATTATGTGAAGAAAAGTGACTGTGTGATCTAATTGAAGTAAACGTAACTGGAATTATGCAGTTATTATATATCCAAGGAGGTCCAATGAAACCTGAGTGAGTTGTCAAAGCACATTCTGCAGCACACAGTGAAACTTTGGTTATAAAAGAAACAATGTGTTATATTTAGGAATTTTTTCTGCCAGTGTGCAGCTTGCTGAAGCTCTCCCATCTGTTTCCTTGATGACCTGACTTAAAGTATTTTCCTATTTTAAATACTAATTTGTATCCATATTTTGATAGTTTTCTCTTTCTTTCAAATATAATTTTATGTAGGCCTGTGCCATCTAACATTATAGCCACTATCCATATGTGGCTATTGAAATTAAACAAAATTCATAATTTAGTTCCTCCACCGGGATCTATTTCAAGTTTTCAATAGGCAAAATAGTGAGAGCCTACTGATTTAACAACACAAAGAAACATTCCCATCATCACAGAAGTTTCAGTTGGACAGTACTGATTCCAAACTCAACTCTTCTCACCTTATTCACATTATTGCACTGGCCTTTGGGTCATTTTGTCATTGCAGAATACCTTTTCTATGTCTATTCCATCAGGTTCTTTGTATTTAATCATTTATCATATATCATTCACTCCTCAATGAGATAAATGGGGTCAATGAACAACCTTATAGAAACTTAATGCTGATTCTTAAATAGTAATGTTTTTAGTTCAAACTGCCTGGCTTTTAAATAACATCCGGTCATGTTAAGGTTCTGAGAAGAACTAATCCCAGTGTGAGTTATAATGTAGGCATTGAAAACCACTTTGGCATAGGCTAGGATTACTTAAAAACTAGAAACAAAACAAATTTTAAAAGAATTTAATTGTGACAGAATTTGAAACTGTGTAATGTTTAAGGAAAGCAAGCTTAAACTCAAGGTATTTGAAATGTGACCACATTTTTGACACTGAGCTTATTCTTTGTTTCCAGATTTCCCACAAATAGTATGATAATGACCTATAATTTAATTGATATTGTGAATTATTTATAAAGATATATATTGAGATACATAGATTCAGAGAGATGATTCTTATTTGTAAATTTTGATGATTTACAATTATGTTAATCATTTGCTGAAAAATTGAAAGTAAAATTGTGTGAAAAATTATCTGCGAATATAATTAAGCAGCTTTCAGTTTATCTGGCTGAGCCCTCAAATCTTTCACTGGTTTACTGCAGGGCAGAAAGCCTCCAAGAAAGGCCCTGAAAAGGGAGGTGAGTGACCCTGTGTGTTCCCTGAACTATCCAGCACTTGTAATTGGTTTTATAGTTCAACATTGATCAGGCTTTTCTGGCAGCAGCTTCCTAAAAGCCTGTTCTCTAACTGTACAGTAAAATGGATATTTATATACTCTTAAGAGCCTCTTGGGAATTTTGTGGTGTGCCTACTCACTGAAGGGAAGGAATGAAAAGTATCCTGGGACCTTCCTTCTTGAGTCTGCTAGTAAACTGTTTAGGGTCTTTCCAGGTGACATGGGCTCATTACGGTTGGCTTGGGTTGTTTTCTTTAAACAGCCTCCTTTGAACTTTGACACATCCTCTGGGGAGCTATCTGAACAAACCAGTTAAATATCACTGGTCTCACCAGCCCTCTGCCACTTAGGAAGGGGTTCTCCTGGGGATCTCAGAATGTCCTGCTTTTTCAGGAAGTCAGAAATCTCACTCTTTATATGGACATTGAGCCAGCCATTGTCCACATTACCCTTTCCTGGGCTCGGGTACTGATGGAATTTCCAGAAATAGGAACCAAGCTTGTTTGCATTTGCCTACCTCCACCAAAGAGCTTGGGTCTGTCTACTTGAATCATTCCAAGAGTGTAGTCATGCTAAATGTGTCTTCGTTTTTCCCTCTTCATAAACTTTTCAACCTTTGAGCATGATGACAATTATTATGCTAACATCTTCTTTTGTGATTTCAAGGCACAAGTTAATTTTTAAATGTCATTTGGCTCTTAACTCACTTAAAAATGTTTTTTCTGTAAACCCTTTTTTCATCCACGAACAATTGCTAGAACTAGTGGAAGTAGATACATTTGAATGTGAGTCCACACAGTGCAAGTTTTGCCTCCTGAGTTGTTGCTTGGTCCACTCACTAAAATTCAGAATTAAAACTGATTACAAAATTAAATGTGTGATTGACGAACATTCTGGCCAATATCTAAATGGCCACGGAGGGAAACAAATTATTTCTTATAATTTAAATCCATTAGGAAATATAATCCTCTTGTGTGTTCTGAATGGATCTAAAAGTAGCTTGTACAGTCTTCTGAATTTAGGATTTTTTTTGTTGGTGCCTATTTCAGGTGATATAGGTTATTATGTCTTTTGTGTTATTTGGGACAATATTACAAGAATTTTTTTTTTACATTTTATTCCTGAAAGCATATTTATGAGCACAGTTTATCCATAATTGTGAAGGAGGTCATACTATGTTTATTTTCATTGTGTTTTTTCAAATCAGACATATCTTTCGTACATTTATAATATACTCAGCTCTCCATGTTTACATCCTTTAAAAGCCATTCTTCATGCACCACTCTGTCCATCTGTGGTCTGCTCCCATGATTTCTTCTGTTTCTTGTAAAATATTAATTGGTTTTTTTCAGGAATATAATATATCAGCATTAACTATGCCATACAGTAGATTTCTTGAACTTACTCCTCTAATCTAACTGTAAACTTGCACTCTTTTGCCAACATCTCCACAATATTCCCTACTCCCTATTCACCCCAGCCTCTGGCAACCACCATTCCACTCTCTACTATGTGAACAAATTCTTTGGATTCCACATATGAGTGAGATCATGCAGCATCTGTCTTTTTGTTCCTGGTTTATTTCACTTCATATAATGCCCTTCTTGAAAACTGCTAAGTGAGTAGAAGTAAAATGTTCTCACTACAAAATAACTAGGTGAGGTAATGCTTTTGTTAATTAGCTAGATTTAACCATTCCATGATGTATGTGTACTTCAAAACCTCATGTTGTTCATGATAAATACATACAATTTATGCCATTTAAAAAATAAATTTGAATAAAATACTAATTTGCTTTCTAAGCAACTTAATAACAAAGGTGAGAAATGAGGAGACAGGCATTAACATTAATGGGAATCCATCCACCCTGCCTTTCTTCATATACAAGAAATTATGCTGTCTAGGTTCACGAAAATGATTGTGCTTTATTTTTAAACCTCTGGATGTTTGATGAAGCAATGTAAATATTTGATAAGAAATCACTAAGAGAAGTCAGACACATGTGTTCTACATCTAAGTACAGATTCTTTAAATTTTCTATTCCTTAAAATTGTAATTTTGCCTTCATGGCTTATTGACTAATAGTATAAAAGAAGTAGGTATTTCAGTGTAAATACTCTATATTTCATATGAGTTACAGTTTCATAACATAAAAAATATCTTATGTTTATGGTTGGATGATTGTAGATTAACTGTGATTTCTTAAATATGCAGAATATCCATGCTTGCTGACCTTTGGTTTAGTTTAGTGATTCAACTTAATTATAGTCTACTATTTGCTAGACTTCCATCATTTATTCATTTACAAACTTAGAGCCTGGTTTTCTCTTCCTTACCTTAAATTATTAGACTCTAAGAGCAAAAAGGATACTCTAGAGGTAGCAGGATCTACCCACCCCAATTTCATCCCTACTCCCAAAGCAACAAATATTAAAATTAGCTTGTCTATAAAACACTTACACATCTTCTTAATACGTAAGTTGATTAAAATTTGCTGATTCTCATTTGACAAAAAGTAAAAAAGAAGTCTCTTAGAAGTTTAAAAACAAATGGATCAAACTTAAACCATCTCATGTGTACTTTGTCCTATAAATATATACCTTATAAATATGAACTTATATTTATAGTATTCTATATAAATATCTTATGTGCTGTAATATTATTTTATAATTATTATCTACTTACAGTAAAATTTGAGGGACTTAAAATATGTGAATACAGATGACATATCATAGGTACCTACATATTTGTTAGGTTATTGATAGTGATAGGAAGCAGCAAATTGCCAAAAAGAGGACCATTTTTTTAATGTTGTACTTTAAAACAGTGAGACAAATTATTTCACAGCACCTTAAGAAATTTGTAATAATATTTTCCAATATAATAATGACTAAACTGAGGGTTGTATTGGATTTTTATAATACTAACATATTATAGTATCCTTAACAGCTATCAATTTCATTGTTAATTACTAGTAATCTCAATTCCAGAGGAGCTAATTCTTCACTAATTCATGTGTCTTACCTTATGAGGCATCAGTGTTTCTGTTATAGATTTTCATTGTCCCAAGTTTTTAAAGGAGTGGAATAAACTACCAAATTTAATCACTCTGGGATAAACGTGTGTGTGTGTGTGTGTGTGTGTGTGTGTGTGTGTGTGTGTGAAATACAGGAATTTAAAATATTTCATATGACCATTAAACATACAGAACAAAAAGCAACTCCTATTAAATCTTGTATTGTTGTAACAGGCATCTATGTTATAGTGAACATGTCTTAGTAATTATCTCAAAATATTGAATGTGATTTAGAATACCTTCCCTTTGGGATATTGTAAGGGAATTCTCCTGAATAGAGTATATAAATGTGATGGTTAATTGTATGTGTCAACTTGACTGGGCTATAAGATGCCCAACATATGACCAACCATTTTTCTATATATGTCTGTGAGGTGTTTCTGTATGAGATTAACATTTGAATCAGGGTGGGCTCAGTGGCTCACACCTATAATCCTAGCTGAAGCAGGTGGTTTGCTTGAGCCCAGATGTTCGAGACCAGCCTGGGCAACATAGCAAATCCCCATCTCTGAAAAAAAAAAAAAATTACCCAGGTGCCCAGGTGTAGTAGCATGGCCTGTAGCCCCAGATACTCTGGAGGCTGAGGTGGGAGGATCACTCGAGCTCTAGAGGTCAAGGCTGCAATGAGTCATGATCATGTCACTCCACCTGAGAATGGGCAACAGAGCAAGACTCTCTCAAAAAAAAAAAAAAGATAAAGAATCAGTAGACCGAGTAAAGCATATTGCCCTCCCTAATGTAGGTGGACATCATCCCATCAATTGAAGACTTGAGAAGGACAAAAAAGGTTTAATAAGAGGGAATTCTCCTGCATGACTTCTTGAGCCAAGACATTGGTCTTTTTTTACTTTTGGAGTCAAGCTGAAATATTAGTTCTTCTTGGGCCTTGAGCCTCCTGGATCTTGGACTAAGAGTCAGCTCTCTTGAATCTCAGGTCTTCACACTCAGACTGGAACTACACAACTGGCCCTTCTGGATCTCTAGCTTGCTGACTACAGATCTTGGGACTTTTCAATCTATATAATTGCATGAGCCAATTCTATATATATATGGAATTGTGTGTGTGTGTGTGTGTGTGTGTGTGTGTTTACATACACACACATTAGAGTCTTAACTTTCCAGGGATTTCCAGGGATTAGTATGAATTGTGGTAAGCAAGGGGCGTGATAAGACGAAAACCTCCAAAATGCCCTGAGGAAATACCAGACAGTTTTATTCTTTTACAAATTTATTTTATTTCACTTTTAAGGGAACAGAAAATCAATAGGCCGCAATTTTTTACTGTCAGTTGTAAAATTTATCTGTACATTTGTGTTTATTCAATCTATTTCCAGAAATATTTGAAGACTCTTTAAAGATGTAAATTAAATGTTCTAGCTTTGTTAGAGCACTGATAACTCAAGAAAATAGTAAAAATTTACTAATGAGTTTGAACTTGAACACAAGTTTAATCTCCAAATGATGAAATCTCATTTAATATACAGACAAAAATTATGCAGCACACAGCTATAAGATAGTAAAATTAGCAAGTGGAAAACCCAGGTTCAAATCTTAATGTAGAAACTTCCAAGCTATGTGAATTTAGGCAAACAATTAACCCCCTACGGTATTTACAAGTAAACTATAAATAGTACTATTTTCCTTGTTTATTTGTCAGCTTGTTGAAACAGGAGAAATGAAGTTGAATTATGAATGGTAGGGGAGTACAAATCATAAGATTCTCTTTTCTTTAACAGTGGCCAGAGAACCCAATGGTCTAAGCAATTGTGATATTTTTGACCTCATAGGCTCTCTGAAGAATAATAAATTCATGCTTTATTCTTTCTGGTTTTAGGGATTGCTTCCTGTTATTTGAAAATGTATACATGTATGTAAATATATACATAAACAAATAATACAGTAAATCATTATGCCATTATGTAGTATGTTTGTTCAGCTTAAGTTAAAAAGTAACTCTTCTCTCTCCTGCAGTATTTGTATCTTTTCCCAGAAGCCAAAAATTGCCTGGAAACAGAAGCATGCTAGGAGTCTTTCGCTTTACAAATTTCTAAAACTGCTGGGACACTGATTCTCACTTTAGGTTATCCTGTGATTTATCAAAGGATTAGTTAGGTCTCCACAAAATACTGAATTTGAAGCTTGGGTAGAAAGGTCATTTACTGAATAAACTCAGTCAGTTTACATAGCTGAGTACTGAGAATTAGCAAATGCAAGTAGAGGAAAGATTAGAAAGGCCAATGTGGCAAATAACTGCTTCTCTTTAAAATTAATGTGTAGAAAACCCCCTTAGATAAAAAGCAAAATGCTGAGATGTTCAACAGCAATTTTTCTGTCTTTTTTTAAACAAGGTGAATTTAGATCAGAAAAATGAAATAAAACACAAATGGATAAAGACAGTGGGAAAAGAAGATTTTAAAATGTTTTAATTGGTGTAAAAATTTAGAATTTAAAAAAAGCAAGTCCAGGAGATTTGAGTTTTGCAGTACTTAATTTTTCAAACGTGTGGGAGATTGATATTTACAGTCTTAAACTAAAATTAATCTTTTAAGTAAACATTCAAAATTGCCCTCAAATCAGTCCAGGAATATATTATGAAGGAGATCTAATTTAACCTGCAAATGCTGTCAATGTTTGATCCTTAGCTTTGCTAGAAAGAAGTCTTACAACTTTGGTGGGGGAGTACAGTCTATAAGGTTCTCTTTTCTCCCTTGCATAATGCCTTAAACAGTTACTTGGCCTTGACAGTGATACATTTCTTGCTTTTTGTATTTTCTTAAGTATGTGTACAATATGTATCTTAGCAACTTGTTACGTTGTAGAAAATGATACTATTTATTGGTAACCTAATATTGATTAATCAATGTTAACTAAATAGAGAAGTGTAAACTTAATGACATCAGGAGGAGTTAAGTGTTTGAAAGCACAATCATATTAGGGTTACAGTTAGACCTAACTGGTTTGAAAATGGCTTTGGTTTGACATAGACTGCAGAAGAGACAAATAGTTACCACCAAACTGTAGTATCAATCTTTTCTCTAATCAAAGGGTAAGTTATCTGAAGATGGAGGGTTCCAAGACCTTATACTTACCTCTCATATTTGGTCCTGTTGTTATCCACCATTTGTTAAAGGACAAATTCTCAGGTGGATGCATAAATAAAATGTAGTTTTTTTTTTATAGCAGTGACCCAGATAAAATACAATCTTGCAGAAGTATTGAAAGAATTTTTATGTGAGGGTGTATGACATTACAGCTGTCCCTCTGTGTCAGTGGGCTCCATATCTCCAGACTGAACCAACGGCAGATCAAAAATACTGGAAAAAAATCGAAAGTAACAATACAACAAAAATAATACAAATGAAAACATACAGTATAACAAATATTTATATAGCATTTACGTTATATTCAGTATTATAAGTAATCGAGAGATGATTTTAAACATATCAGAGGATGCACATGGGTTATATCTAAATACTGTGCCATTTAATATAAAGGACTTGAGTATCCTGGATTTTGGTATCCTGGACCCAAGTCCCTAAGGATACTGAGGAACCACTGTAACTGGCTTTAATATGAAAGCTTAGGGGAATTAAATATTTATTAACTAATAATGAGAGTAACTGTTCACCAGAAGGTTACAATTGTCTAGGTACTATTGATATGATTTGGCTCTGTTTCCCCACCCAAATCTCATTTCAAATTGTAATCCCCATAATCACTACTTGTTGAGGGAGGGACATGATGGGAGGTGATTAAATCATGGGAGAGGTTTCCCTCATGCTGTTCTCATGAAGGTAAGTGAGTTCTCATGAGATCCGATGGTTTTGTTAGTGTTTGACAGTTCCTCCTTCACATACTCTCTCACCTGCCACCATATAAGATGTGTTAACTTCTGCTTCTGCCATGATTGTAAGTTTCCTGGGGCCTCCCCAGGCATGCAGAATTATGGCTCAGTTAAACCTCTTTCCTTTATAAATTATCCAGTCTCAGGTATTTCCTTATAGCAGTGTGAGAATAGACTAATATAGGAAATTGGTACCATAGACAGGGGGAAACTGCTATAAAGATAACCTGAAAATGTGGAAGCAACTTTCGAACTGGGTAAGGGGCAGCAGTTGGAACAGTTTGGAGGGCTCAGAGGAAAACAGGAAGATGTGGGACAGTTTGGAACTTCCTAGAGACTTGTTGAATGGTTTTGACCAAAATGCTGATAACGATGTGGATAATGAAGTCCAGGTTGAAGTGGTCTCAGGTGGAGATGAGAAACTTCTTGGGAACTGGAGCAAAGGTCACTCTTGCTATGCTGGTGGCAATTTGCCACTGCCCTAGATCTGTGGAACTTTGAACTTGAGAGGGATGATCTGAAATTAGAACTTATGTTTCAAACAGAAACAGGGCATAAAAGTTAGAAAATTTTGCAGTCTCACAATGAGATAGAAAAGAAAAACCCATTTCTGGGGAGAAATTCAAGCCAGCTACAGAAATTTGCATAAGTAGTGAGGAGCAGAATGTCAATACCAAGACAAAGGGGAAAATGTCTCCAGGGCATGTCAGAGATCTTGGCAGCAGTAACTCCCATCATAGGCCTGGAGGTCTAGGAGGAACAAATGGTTTCCTGGGCCAAGCCCAGGACTTGCTGCTGTGTGCAGCCTTGGGACTTGGTGCCCTGCATCCCAGCCACTCCAGCTCCAGTTGTGGCTAAAAGGGGCCAAGGTAAAGGTTCAGCCATTGCTTCAGGGGATGCAGTCCCCAAGCCTTTGTGGCTTCCACATGGTGATTGACCTGCTGGTGTACAGAAGTCAAGATTTGAGGCTTCGGAACCTCTGCCTAGATTTTGGAGGCTGTATGGGAACACCTGGATATCCAGGCAGAAGTCTGCTGCAGGGATGGAGCCCTCATGGAGAACCTCCATTAGGGCTGTGTGGAAGGGAAATTTGGGATTGGAGTCCTCACATGGAGTCCCCACTGGAGCACTGCCTAGAAGAGGGCCACCATCCTCCAGACCCCAGAATAGTAGATCCACTGACAACTTGCACCATGTGCTTGAAAAAGCCTCAGTCACTCAATGCCAGCCCATGAGGGAGCTGCCCAAGGCTGTGAGAGACCACCCTGTGCATCAGCATGCCCTGGATGTGAGACATGAGTCAAAGAAGATCATTTCAGAGCTTTAAGATTTCATGACTGCCCAACTGGGTTTCAGACTTGTATGGGGCCTGTAGCCTTGTTGTTTTGGCCAGTTTCTCCCATTTGGAATGAAAGCATTTATGCAATGCCTGTATCCCCACTGTATCTTGGAAGTAACTTTTTTTTATTATTATTATACTTTAAGTTTAGGGTACATATGCACAATGTGCAGGTTAGTTACATATGTATACATGTGACATGCTGGTGTGCTGCACCCATTAACTCATCATCTAGCATTAGGTATATCTCCCAATGCTATCCCTCCCCCCTTCCCCTACCCCACAACAGTCCCCAGAGTGTGATGTTACCGTACCTGTGTCCATGTGTTCTCATTGTTCAATTCCCACCTATAAGTGAGAATATGTGGTGTTTGGTTTTTTGTTCTTGCGATAGTTTACTGAGAATGATGATTTCCAATTTCATCCATGTCCCTACAAAGGACATGAACTCATCATTTTTTATGGCTGCATAGTATTCCATGGTGTATATGTGCCACATTTTCTTAATCCAGTCTATCATGGTTGGACATTTGGCTTGGTTCCAAGTCTTTGCTATTGTGAACAGTGCCGCAATAAACATACGTGTGCATGTGTCTTTATAGCAGCATGATTTATCGTCCTTTGGGTATATTCCCAGTAATGGGATGGCTGGGTCAAATGGTATTTCTAGTTCTAGATCCCTGAGGAATCACCACACTGACTTCCACAATGGTTGAACTAGTTTACAGTCCCACCAACAGTGTAAAAGTGTTCCTATTTCTCCACATCCTCTCCAGTAGCTGTTGTTTCCTGACTTTTTAATGATTGCCATTCTAACTGGTGTGAGATGATATCTCATTGTGGTTTAGATTTGCATTTCTCTGATGGCCAGTGATGGTGAGCATTTTTTCATGTGTTTTTTGGCTGCATAAATGTCTTCTTTTGAGAAGTTTCTGTTCGTGTCCTTTGTCCACTTTTTGATGGGGCTCTTTGTTTTTTTCTTGTAAATTTGTTTAAGTTCATTGTAGATTCTGGATATTAGCCCTTTGTCAGATGAGTAGGTTGCGAAAATTTTCTCCCATTTTGTGCGTTGCCGGTTCACTCTGATGGTAGTTTCTTTTGCTGTGCAGAAGCTCTTGAGTTTAATTAGATCCCATTTGTCAATTTTGGCTTCTGTTGCCATTGCTTTTGGTGTTTTAGACATGAAATCCTTGCCCGTGCCTATGTCCTGAATGGTAATGCCTGTGTTTTCTTCTAGGGTTTTTATGGTTTTAGGTCTAACGTTTAAGTCTTTAATCCATCTTGAATTAATTTTTGTATAAGGTGTAAGGAAGGGATCCAGTTTCAGCTTTCTACATATGGCTAGCCAGTTTTCCCAGCACCATTTATTAAATAGGGAATCCTTTCCCCATTGCTTGTTTTTCTCAGGTTTGTCAAAGATCAGATAGTTGTAGATATGTGGCTTTATTTCTGAGGGCTCTGTTCTGTTCCATTGATCTATATCTCTGTTTTGGTACCAGTACCATGCTGTTTTGGTTACTGTAGCCTTGTAGTATAGTTTGAAGTCAGGTAGCATGATGCCTCCAGCTTTGTTCTTTTGGTTTAGGTTTGACTTGGCGATGTGGGCTCTTTTTTGGTTCCATATGAACTTGAAAGTAGTTTTTTCCAATTCTGTGAAGAAAGTCATTGGTAGCTTGATGGGGATGGCATTGAATCTATAAATTACCTTGGGCAGTATGGCCATTTTCATGATATTGATTCTTCCTACCCATGAGCATGGAATGTTCTTCCATTTGTTTGTATCCTCTTTTATTTAATTGAGCAGTGGTTTGTAGTTCTCCTTGAAGAGGTCCTTCATGTCCCTTATAAGGTGGATTTCTAGGTATTTTATTCTCTTTGAAGCAATTGTGAATGGGAGTTCACTCATGATTTGGCTCTCTGTTTGTCTGTTATTGATGTATAAGAATGCTTTTGATTTTTGTACATTGATTTTGTATCCTGAGACTTTGCTGATGTTGATACACTGCTAGCAAGACTAATAAAGAAAAAAAGAGAGAAGAATCAAATAGACACAATAAAAAATGATAAAGGGGATATCACCACCAATCCCACAGAAATACAAACTACCATCAGAGAATACTACAAACACCTCTACACAAATAAACTTGAAAATCCAGAAGAAATGGATAAATTCCTTGACGCATACACTCTCCCAAGACTAAACCAGGAAGAAGTTGAATCTCTGAATAGACCAATAACAGGAGTTGAAATTGTGGCAATAATCCATAGCTTACCAACCAAAAAGAGTCCAGGACCAGATGGATTCACAGCCAAATTCTACCAGAGGTACAAGGAGGAACTGGTACCATTCCTTCTGAAACTATTCCAATCAATAGAAAAAGAAGGAATCCTCCCTAACTCATTTTATGAGGCCACCATCATCCTGATACCAAAGCCGGGCAGAGACACAACCAAAAAAGAGAATTTTAGACCAATATCCTTGATGAACATTGATGCAAAAATCCTCAATAAAATACTGGCAAACCGAATCCAGCAGCACATCAAAAAGCTTATCCACTATGATCAAGTGAGCTTCATCCCTCGGATGCAAGTCTGGTTCAATATAGGCAAATCAATAAATGTAATCCAGCATATAAACAGAACCAAAGACAAAAACCACATGATTATCTCAATAGATGCAGAAAAGGCCTTTGACAAAATTCAACAACTCTTCATGCTAAAAACTCTCAATAAATTAGGTATTGATGGGACGTATCTCAAAATAATAAGAGCTATCTGTGACAAACCCACAGCCAATATCATACTGAATGGGCAAAAACTGGAAGCATTCCCTTTGAAAACTGGCACAAGACAGGGATGCCCTCTCTCACCACTCCTATTCAACATAGTGTTGGAAGTTCTGGCCAGGGCAATTAGGCAGGAGAAGGAAATAAAGGGTATTCAATTAGGAAAAGAGGAAGTCAAATTGTCCCTGTTTGCAGACAACATGATTCTATATCTAGAAAACTCCATTGTTTCAGCCCAAAATCTCCTTAAGCTGATAAGCAACTTCAGCAAAGTCTCAGGAAGTAACTATTACATTTGTGCAAAAGTAACAATCACTAACTTGCACAAACTCCTAGACAGAAGGGCATTGCCTTGTCTCAGATGAGACTTAGGACTTGGACTTTTGGGTTAATGCTGGAATGAGTTAAGGTTTTGGGAGACTGTCAGGGAGGCATGATTGGTTTTGAAATGTAAAAAGGATGTGAGATTTGGGGGGAGGTAGGGGCAGAATATGGTTTGGCTCTGCGTCTTCACCCAAATCTCCTCTCAAATTGTAATTCCCATTATCCCCATGTGTTTTGGGAGGGACCTGGTGGGAAGTTATTGGACCATGGGGGTGGTTTCCCCCATGCTTTTCTCATGATAGTGAGTTTTCACAAGATCTGATAGTTTTATAAGTGTTTGACAGTTCCACCTTCACATGTGCTCTCTCGCCTGCCACCTTGTAAGATATGCCTGCTTTCCCTCTGCCATGACTGTAAGTTTCCTGAGGCCTCCCCAGCCATGCATAACTGTGAGTCAATTAAACCTCTTTCCTTTTTAAAATAACCCAGTCTTGGGTATTTATTTTCATTTTATTTATTTATTTTTGAGACAGATTCTCACTCTGTCCCCCAGGCTGGAGTGTAGCGGCATGATCTTGGCCCACTGAAACCTCTGCCTCCTGAGCTCAAGCCATTCTCCTGCTTAGCCTCCCAATTAGCTGGGATTACAGGTGCCCACCACCATGCCGGGCTAATTTTTGTATTTTTAGTAAAGACTAGGTTTCACCATGTTGGTCAGGCTGGTCTTGTACACCTGACCACAAGTGATCCACCCACCTCGGCCTCCCAAAGTGCTAGGATTATAGGCGTAAGCCACTATGCCTGGCCTCTGGTATTTATAGCAGTATAAGAATGGACTGATACAACTATGTACCCCAATAATAAAGCCTCAAAATTAAATTAAAAAGTAACAAAATAGCAAGGAGAAATTGAAAGTCATAATGATAGCCATAGAGTTTTGACACAAGTCTCTCAGAAAAACAAAAAACAAACAAAAAAAGTTACACCAGAAAAACATTTGCATTTGAAACAAATAATTAAAATTTAATCTAATAGCTATATCTAGAATCTGACCCCCAACTGTCTAACAATACATATTCTTTCACATATATTGACCACCTAAGCAAATGGAAACATCCAAATAATCATTAACATACAGATCGCATTGTGTTGATAACTATTTATAATTATCAAAGATGAAAATGCTACATAACTAGATTTATGGAATATAACTAATTTAGTATTTTGGCATACACATTAGAAAAAAATATAAAGTTAATGAACCAATGATTTAACCTGAGAAGTCAAAACAGAGAAAACCCAAAGACAATAGAATAAGTGAAAAAATTGATTAAATACAAATCAAAGAAGCAATAGGGAAGACTAACAAAGGCAAAAGCAGCATTCTTGAAAGGGCTTTTTTAAAAATATGACAAGATGAATAAAGACAGATGAAACATAATAGAAATTTTAAAAAATAAAAGTTTAAACAGTATAAAATTAATATTTTTATACCATTATACTTGAAAGTTTAGAGATATTAGACCATGTTTTACAAAAGCATAATTGGCCAATATTAATTCAAAAATGGATATTCCAAATGAACTTGTAACCATTACACAAACTGAATCAGTATTATAAAAATCTGCCCATTAAAAAATATCAGACTCTGATGGTTTTACAAATTTTTACCAAGGCTTCAAAGGCTAGATAATCTTCACTTTAGACAAACAATTCTAAAAGAAGGAAAAATGGATAAAAGAGGAGAAAGTACTCCAGCTCATTTTATGATGCTACTAAAATTCTATCATCAAAAAGAGTATTAGAAAGGCAAATTATAGTGTAATCAGACTTGTGAATATAAATGAAATTCATTAGCATGTTGAATCTAGCAATGTATATTTAGTGTGATATTTTAGATATCTTTAGCCCATTGATAAATATTTAGTCATCTGGAGAAGGAAATTACCACTTATAGAATATCTAGTATAACCAGGCATTGTGCTGGATGGATACTTTATCTATATTAGCTAACTTAGCTAAAATCCTGAGGTTTTATAGTTGATTTTTTTTTTACTCTTTGGCAAAAGAACTACAATATCATCATGAATACCTTGATTAAACATCTGATCACAAAAATAAGAAATGAAATGGCCTACAAACAAAGTTTTCAAGGGGCGAATTTGTTAGCCAACCAGGGAAAATCACTTCATTTACTGATAGCAAGTTTATTAAATCACATTTTACTGCAAAAGCTAAATAATTGTGTCCAGAAAAATAAGCCTTCTTAAGACTTTTAGCATTATGGCAAGAACAGTGCTTGAAAGCTTGAGGAAATTGAAATATTGCTAATATGAATAGTCAATTAACAAACAAGGTAACTCTAGTTTGAAGTAGTTTTCCTTGCCTCTTGAGTTGAGATGGTACTAATACTACTCTGTTGTTGCTTATTGGAGGAGTCAATGATAAGTTTGAAGTGATGAATAATTAGCCTCTATGAATAGTAAGTGTGGAACACCTATAGGTGAGAATATTTTCAAAGTTGCAAAAAAACTAATTCAATACAATCCGAAGTGGAACTAAGAGGTGTGAAGCACAAAGAGGGTTATTTGGACATATTTACAAAGTTTGTTAAAACATAAAGCATATGGTTATTCCTTGAAAGAGCCATTAGCAGTTGTATTGTGGAAAACACTTCAGTATTTCATTCATGGTTAAAACAGTGCTATCACCTTTAAACTTCATTTGTTCTCATCAATTAACCATGTTCATTACTGTGAAATTTTGTCAGAATAGAATCTGAATATACTGAGTTGTCCTACCACACAGCAGTTGGATGGCTTCCTGGTAAAGTTTTATTACAATTTTTTTTCCAGATCAGGGCTAATATTAAATTTTTTCTGAATAAGAACTGCCCTCAGACACTATCAGTAAACACTCAATGGTTTTGGAAATTAATTTTTGCTGCAGAATTGGCAATGTTTCTTGTTGAATTCGATCTGAAATTACAAGATAAAACAATACTTATATGCAAAGCTTATGCTGTGGTAAAGTTATTTTGATGATGGCCAATACTGTTTGAATCACAGTAATAGAAAACTGCTTATAAGCTTCTTGTCCTATCAGAAGTTAAAAGAAGAAGTAAAATCTCCATTCCCAAGCAGATTTGCGTGGATATATTTTCTGAGCACATACCACAGACTCAGCAATATTTTAGTACATTGATGCAAACGCAAAGTAAATTCTTATATTTCACATTCCTTTTCACTGTTCAGTTGAGGAGCTTCCAGTTTAAACTTTAATAGGAAGTAATTAATCTGCAGTGTATTGACCTAATAAAAGGTAACTATCAGGAGAAGGATCTAATAGAATTCTATAATGACTTTTAAGTGATGAATATGCTCAATTAAAATAATATGGTTGTGACTTGATAAAAGTATTTGAAAAAAATTTATAAAAAGACATTTTCAAAGATGAAACACTTAAAATATCACTACAAATCTTCATTAATAGATGAACATTTGCAGTTGATTTTGATGAAAAGGAACACTAACGGTGAAGCTCAATTAAGAAAAAAGCTTTTTACTCTCCTCAGTAGTAGACCTTTATTTAAAAACAAAGACTCAATTGTTATAGTTTGAATTTTGTCCATGAGAATGTTGTAATCTGCTTTCTCTCTTTTTGTATAAGTACCTGCATATTATTAATATCTGCAATTCTGCCTCATGGCTTAAGATGACTAAAATATTTACTACCTTGTTCTTTGTTTAAAAATTTCACCAACCCCTGTAGTAAAGAATTAATTTAAAATGTTCTTCACTTATTTAAATTGTTGAATTAATTGCCAGTTATCCAGACATTTCATAGTCTATTGCTTGGGAGTGGAGGTCCTAGCTGAAGAAGAGAATGTAGGAGAAGGCTGTATGAAGCTAGGAATTATTTTATATTCAACTCAGGACTCATGGTAATATTTAGTGGTAAAGCAAACATGATTATTTAGGAAATGGACAATAACTTATTTTTCTCTATCAGCAATGGTTCATGTGGAAATCACTGTACTCAAGCAATTACATTTTTATAATTTTATATGACTTTTATGGCAATAATAATATTTCCATATATTAGAGGTTACTTTACTTGAATAAGTCACATTAAACCATCGTGGTTTTTGTCTAACTAGTTTTGTTTTAACCATAACTAGTGCTATTAATAACATCACTTATTTCCTATTTCTTAATTATTGGCTATAGAAAGAATCTGGCACTTCTCATTTATTGATTCTACAAATACAAACATCCATCAGTCACTGATTATTATTGAGGCTTCCTTTGTGCCAGGCACCAACACATCTCCACAGAATGATACGGTAAATGAGACACAAAGCGTGCCTGCGTTTATGGGCCTTGCATTCTTACCTTCAGTCTAATTTTTGATAAATAAAAATGTATGCCATAGTCTTTCAAAGAGAATTTACACTGCAAAAACAAAACTTTGTCCTAAGGGGCCCTACTACCTAAGGATAAATGACACTAAAATATGACCATAAAAATAAGTCTATTTAAAACAACAACCAAAAATGCACCATAAACGGGAGAAGTATTCAACTGATAACTTAATTTGAAAAAGAAAATGAAGAAAAAGAAAATGAAGAAGTAAAATGAAAATATACATTTTCATTTAACTGAAATTTATTTATAACTTAAATATCCCTCAAACCTCAAAAAATGAATCAATAATTCGTTTTGGTGTGTGGAGCTTAATTTTTCAAACAGCATTGTATGTTAGCATGAAATATCTTTTGTCTCTTATATTTTCAGAATGATCATAAAGCAGGTTCGCATCACTTTGGTAAAAATGTGGGCACTTGGATAAGTGTGGGCCTAGCAAGTTGCCTTGGTATGTGCCTTTAACCTTGGATATCAAAATCCTTTCTCTTGAAGTATCTTTTGTGTCACTCTCCTTGGTCATTTCCTTGTTAACTGGTCCAGCTTTTCCAGAGCCGTGCTTCTCAGTAGCCTTGTGTGAGATTTTAGCAGGTCTCCAAGAATACTTTCCTAGACTTAATTAAATGTAGCATCTTTATAACATTTGAATTTTTACTTGTAATTGATATGCATTCTAATCAGATCATATTGTTGGGGATAATGAAGCCAAACCAGTCAAGTATGGGATTCACTCAATGAGGCAGAAATGAATGGTAGCAACCATCAGTGAGGGCCATTTGGTCCCTAGTGAAATATCTTGTTTATTTGCAAATATTTTTATTTTAGCTTGATTCCTTGCTCAACCCCATAGTAGTGAAGACATGGATAACAAACACTCAGCTAAAGGACTCCTTATGGTTTTGGTTTATGCACTCTATCCTGATCCTGCAGATCTGAAAAAAGCCAAGATAATGATGTCAACTTTCTTTCAGACAAAGAATAATAATAACTTGGGAGATGTGAATAGCCTCTAAATGGCAGAGCTTTCTCTAGACTATGCCTGTGCTAACAAAGGTCTGAAGGAAAGTGAAAGCTAGGTCTTGGTTTGGAAGCTTAGAACACTGAGCCAGCGGTAGGGTGTAATTCAAAAACTGCCGATTAGAATAAAATCAATCTCCCTCACTTTAGAAAGAACTGGAGCCCTAGCCTCAACCCTTTCTCAATTTTACTTAAGGATGCCAATCAACTTGGATTGACAGCAAAAACCATCAAAATGTTACACCTTGTAATGAAATAATGACAGTCAGCCAACCAGATACTAGATAACTACATAGCTGAGAGGAAAACCCTTTCAATATCTGTTATAAATATCTGTCCTTGTACTGGGCTTCTTAAATATAAAGAAAAACAAAACTTAAAGTGGGTTCATCTGGAGACCACTACTCCTGTTATAATGCCTTTTTAATCCACTCAGAATTTTCCAAATAAACTCAATGATGTTAATGATTTGCCTCAACACAGGTTCAGTAACTTCTGTTTGCAAATGTGACATCGCACATCTCTCTTCCAGCTTGTCGTGTCAGTCTCATGATTTTGTAAATAGCAGAACAAATGGAACCTAAGTCCTGCTAGAAAAATCAAAGCTTTGAAAGGCCACTACAGAAGTGGAAATACATTTCTCTCAGATGTCAGAGTTCTTGTGTGCTAGTCTTGTCTCTGCTCTAATTAAATTCAAGTGAAGCTATTTCCCTCTCATGGGACATCTGTCTCCTCTGTGGAGGTAGAGGGTGGAGGGGGTTGGGTCTTGACCTATCTCCATCATGCTTCAAGGAGAACCAAAAGGATAAAATAACATCTCTTGTTTTAGTTCATGAAACGAATACCATTATCTGAAAATTTACGCATGTTTAGGAAAAGTCTGTTAAAACATTTTCAAGTTATAGAATCATTACAGTTTTGGAACACATGTTTAGTTATGTGCTTAGTACTGTTTTATTCAAGGATTTAAATTTAATACTGCAAATTTAATAACTACAGTAAATGCTTAATGTCAGCTAAGAAGTATAAAAGTGAACACTTAAAGAATAATTGAAAGAAGTATCTTCTCAACACAAATGACTGAATAAAAGATTTTAAATAACTTTATAAATACTTTTTAAGTAAAAATTTACAAAATGTTGTCAAAAAGCATACCCACCAGATGGCTTAAATATGTAAGAAAAAAAGGTTTCGGCACATGAATGTGTTTTGTGCAAATAAATACAGAGATGACATTAAATTCCTAAACACGTAAGTCAGTATTCCAAATGTCTAGGTTCTCTGTGGTATTGTTTGCAGTAATCACTTATTGCACTTCTAAAGCAAATTCCAATGTAATATGTCAACACTTTTAATACTAATCAACATGGTAAACAACATCTGCCTGAAATGAAAAATAATAATAATAAAATACTTAAGTCAAGTCCTGGTTGTGCCACTTAAACGTTGTCAAACTCTAAACATATTCCTGAAGTCCTTTAGTCCTTAGTTTCCTTTTTGCTAAGTTGACTAGTTTGTACTCTAAAGTCATTAGCATCACAGTTTTTTTAAATTGCAAATTGATGCGGTCTAAGATATCTGTTAATGAATGTAACAAATGAAAAATGTTTGTAATTCCCATCATGTTATGCTACTATGAGAAGCGTCTACAACATATGGAAGACAGATTTAAAATTGAATTTTTCAAAAAACACATGTTCCAAGAAAGTTTTCACCATCTCTCTACAGCAAGAGGTGATTTCCAGAGGCTGATTTCGGCATCTGAGAGAAGACCGAAGAGAAGCCACTCGGTTACCATTACATTGCTCATTAATCTTTCTGAGAGTAGATGTATTTGATTAAAGAGATCACTAGCTTCTTGTGGAAGAATTCATTAATTCATTCAACTATAATTTATTGAATGCTCACATCCAAGATGCTGGAACAAATAATATTTATGTCTAATTTTGTGATGATTTTCTTTCTAGGACCCACTGATCTCAGCATGAAGAGACAATTGGCGACTAGCTCAGGATCCTCCAGCAGCTCAAACTCCAGACCCCAGCTGAGTCCAACTGAAATCAATGCCGTGAGACAGCTTGTTGCAGGATATCGAGAATCAGCTGCATTTTTATTGCGATCTGCAGATGAACTGGAAAATCTCATTTTACAACAGAACTGAGACAGACGACCACCATATTCACTGAGGTCTAAATTTGCAGTTTCCACTAATGACATTTTGATTTCCCAACAGAGATACTTCTGGTCTTACTGCACAGTCTTTTAAGAGAAATACTTCCATTATGCCACATTGTCCTTGATCCGTAAGTGATGTGTTAAGGTGCTTCAAAGGAACTCTGACCTCTGAAGTACTTGAGCTACTTTAGTATGTCCAGCCTATTGCTTTTTGTTTTAGTGTGTCACCATAAATATCAGGGGCATAAAAGGCTATCTATTCTTAATTCAAGGATAAAACAGAAGAAGCTTGTGGTATAAAACAATAGTTCAAGATCCAGCTGAAATATTAGTGGAATTTGCTACTGACTCATTGGACTGAAAGCTGAAGTACCTGGCAAAAAAAAAAAAAAGAAAAAAAAAAGCCAAATTTCTTGTTGCTACAGGATATAACAACAATGAAAAGGATCTCGTATTTTAAAAAAATATGTAATTTTTATAAAAAGAAAACTTGTTTTTCATTCAAACTTGTCATTTTTACTTTGGTAACTTTTTCATAGGTCCTAAAAGAAAACTGTTTTGAGAAACTACTGTAAGTACCTTTTCCACATCCCTTTGCCTTCTCCTCTTTCCAAATTCTTTCTACAAAAATAACACTTGATGCTGGAAAAACCCTTGCCTACGTTCTTTCAATCGTCACATCAGGAACTACTTCCAAGAGAAGCCTGCATTTCTGCTCTCATGCTGATCTCAAAAACCCCACTCAACACTGCAACTTTATCATAGCAGTTTTCATCCCAGAATTTTTTTTTTAATAATGACAAGACATGTTGTTGAAAAAAAATCACACCTTGGTTTCTTAGAGCTGCTCGTTCCTGATTGCCGCTGCTGTCTCCAGGCATCCCTCTAGCAGCACCTGGATGTAGATGACTGAATGTTAAGAGGTTGCAAGTGACAATCTGAAAATTTGCACTCTTGTGTGTAGTTTTCTTTTCATTTCTTTCAGAAATAGTTTCCAAAAAGACCATTACATCTCCTGATATGATTTGTATAATTTTCAGTTCTAGCTAAAAATAATGTAAGGAACTCTCAGCGGATGCAGCTGCAACTTACAATGAACTGTGCCCTCCTATCCCCCATACTTTACCCTTCTTTCTTATTTTATAGTGTGGGATACACATGAGTGATGTTTTCTTTGTGCACTGAGACAAGCCTATTTTTTAAATATTTAGGGAGAAGTACTTTAGTTCATGCTTCTTATACAACTTTTTTCTGTTGTTTAGCTTTGGTTGGATTACAAATTCTTTGTGCATTCCTGAATTTGCCTTATTTCATGTAAAATTTATGTCATTCAGTTTTTGACAATGAGTTTGAGGCATCAGTGATATTTCTTATCTACTTGTTACATATAGTTTTTCAAGTAATGACTGTGATTGTGACCGAGTAATGTGCACTTTTTCTTGTAACTGTGGACATTGCTATGCTTTTTTCTTCTAGTGTTTCTAGAATTACTGTTCCTTACAATTATGTAAACAAAAAACAAAAAAAAAACTTTTGTGATACTGTTGGTGAATATAATGTGAAAAATCTTATTGAAATATGAGTATTTTGGAAATACATAGCTGCACAAACATCTTTTAAGATGTGGATTTAGAGTTTGCTTATTTAAATGAAAATTCAAAAATTGAGGGCTGGTATAATTTTCTCTGTTTTGTTTGGTTTAATAAACAGATTTCTGTGTTAAAAGAATGATTGTCAAACCTTATAAACTTTCTGAAGGGTATAATGCTTAATTTTTAGCCATTTACTTTTAAAATCTAAAACGCCATTTTCTACCTACGTTTAGCACAAAATTGGCACTTCAAATTTATTTCTCAAGAATATCCTAAGATCCCCCAGGGTCTCAACATTCATTCTAATAAAGAATTTATTCCAAGAATGGGTAAGGAAATTAGGAAGCCAAGACTACTTCATTTGATTATTCAAATATGAATAGAGAATATTTTTGTATATTTTATTACTTTTTTTTTTCAGGAGTAACCTGTTATTTTTTAGTTCTTCCCGATTTAACATCTTGGATGAAACACATGCCTGTTTTAAGTGCATGTTTTATACTTTGCCTTTTGCTGTAATAGTATTTAAAGGCTTGGACAGGGTTTCTATTTTGCAAATTAACACTCAGGCTTGAATTTAGGGTATATGTCAAAAATTCTTGATGGTTAAGAAGCAAAGGGAGTAAAGAAGGTAAATTCCAACAAGATGCACTTGTTTCTATTTCATTTTCATCTTCAATTATAACTCCCACATCCACTCACCAAGGACAAAATACCCAAAATCGTCTGTGTTTGGCACATTTGTTCAAAAGAATGAGTATCTTGGGACTCCCATCATTCCTGGGAGAGTACAAAGGCCAAAATGAAGTCCATTTTTTTCTTTACTTGTACCTGAAAAACAGCCTGGTCCTTTTTTTTACCCTCTGTCACAGCAGAATAAAGAGATCACATTTCTTTATAAAGCATTTTGGAGAAACCGAGTGAAGGTTCATACTCTCATTCAAATGAGGCGATTAAAAAATAGGAAACTATCATTAACACAGAGATCAAACAGAAGCTTCTGTCACTTCTGCCAGGTAGCTTATCATACAACACCAGTTTCTTGTCACATATGTATTATTTTATCATGCTGATAAAAAGTGCCTTGAAATAACCATAGCACATGCAAGCACAAAGTCACTGAATCTTAAATTGTGTAGTACAAATAACAATACTCAGTGAAAAGGGCTTTAAGATATCTCAGCCACTATTTAATGATTATTTACCAAGGAAATGCATTTTGCTTCCTTTACTTCTTATAATAACCTGAGATGAGCATAGTCACTCTCCATTCTACAAAGTCGTCTCCAAAAGAGGAAATTAGTAATCAAGAGCACAAAGACAGTGAGAGTTGAAGCCGTCCTTTGAACCCAGGCACACCGGATGCCAGAGCCCACCCTGTTGCTCACTGACATCTGCTCCTTCACGAGTACTAAATAATTAAATTCTGCACTGTATCTTAGAACCAAGCTTTTACACTAAATTTTAGAAATGTTATATGTACAAATAAATCACAGTTATTTATTAAAAATGCACATAACTTATCCAATTATTTGACTAAACACAGTTTTATTCTGCTATACAAGATTTAATTTCCTTTACGATATGTTCTTTACAAATATTAAAACCCACCATAAAACCCACCACTAATGAAAATCAAGTACACAAAGCATGAAAGGGAAAGGCAGTGACTTTTTATCAATGGGGGCTTGTATTGAATTCTGTAAGGAAAAGTAAAAGGGATTATCCAGTTGAACTCATAAAGAAAAATTCATTCACTTGAGGTTTTTGCCCCAGACACTATACAGGTGCTATCCTGCTATTGTCATTAACCCTGACAGCATGAACACAATCATTCAAAGATTAAACTTTCTATGGCAAAAATATTTTCTAATTTCATGTGGCCCACGTTTTAAGATGTTTTGTAGAAAAAAAATTCAAAAATAATGTAGGTAGACATTATCATATCTTTTGAAGTGTGTTTGGGATGCTGATATTCAGTAAAGTAAATTGAACACAAGCTAATCTACAGAAAATTACTATATTAGTTATAGCTGTCTTCTTTCTTAAGAAAGTTTCTGAAAGGACATACAATGCTATTAATAAAGTAACCTCTCTCCAGTTTTAACATCAGTCATGTTCAACATTTAATTTTTTCTGATTACAAAAGAAACTTGGGAAGTGGAAGAAAAAAGATAAGAAATAAAAACAAAGAAAGAATTAAATGTCAGCATCTATAGAGAACCATGAGAAACATTTTATAGTGTATCTTTCAGATTTTATCTGAAGTGTATATACGTATTTTTTTCTGTTTTTTACCATATGTGGTCTTTTATCATAACCTAATTATATACCATAAATATTTTCCAAATCATCAGGCATTCTTCTTAAATTACTTTAATGATTGTGTAGTGTGACATTATGGGAGTGTACTAGTAATAGTTTTCCATTGCTGCTTCAAAACCCCAAACAATGAATGTATTACATACACCAACCATAGGTTAGGTGTTTCACTGGTCTAAAATCAATGTGTTGGCAGGCCTCTGCTCCTCTGTGAAGGCTCTAGGGGAGAATCCATTTCCTTACCTACTCCAATTTCTGGAAGCTGTCTATATTACTTGACTGGGGGCTCCTTCCCCCATCTTCAAAGCCAGGAACATAACATGTTCAAATCTCTCTATAACTCTGCCCTTTTCTTCCTCTTCAAAAACATTTAAGGTTCCTTGTAAGTATACTGGGCCCACCTGAGTAATACAGCATACTCTCCTTATACTAAGGTTCGTTAATTAGCAACCTTAATCCATCTGCAAACTTAATTCCATAATTTGACATGTAACAAAACATATTCACGGGTTCTATAATCAGGACGTGACTATCTCTGGGGAGCCATTATTCTGCTTACTGCTGTACTTAATTTAATTTCTTGTTTTTTCTTTTAAAAACCACTCTGTACCCAGTTGCATTTTTCCATTCACTTGTAGAAAATATCTTAAGTCAGCAGCACAAACATTTATGAATAATTGTTAGCTGCTGCACCTATAATTCTTCTTTTGCATAAAGGTTGTGATCTTTGGAAATTATTTTAATGGTATTTTTCTTGAATGTCTCTCATTCAAATTAAATGTAATAAACAAATATGATAAAAGTGCAGCTAAGTCTTTCAAGGGAAATAAAACAAATACCTCTGGACCTTTTCCTCCACATTGATTTCTTAGAAGGTGTTTCTGCCCAAGAGATTCCCTGAAATATGGTTGAGAAGGCTCCAACTCATTAGGAGAAAAGAGTACATGAGAATCCAAAGCTTAATTAAATTCGGAAAGCAATCCAACCACATTCATAAAACTTCTCATTGTAATTACCAGTGGCATTTTATTTACTCTGAACAATTAAAAGATATATTTAATGTTAGATGTAATTAGATGACATTTCTTTTAAAAGAGAGTGTTTGGCAATAACATATCTATTGAATGTAGAATGATCAACTGAGTTTAAAAATTAAAGCTCTCCCTTAATTTCTTTGCTAAAACCTTTTTTATTTCCATATTAAAAATTGTATTTCATCTCATTTACTATGTTTTTTTTTCCCCATTCAAGGCTGAAAGAAGAGAAAATTAAAGATAATTTTCAGGACTACTTTTAATACTATGAGAGAAAAAATACAGTAAAGCATAGACCACACAGACCAAATGCTATTACTAAAAGTGTGGGATTGGCACCAGTTTTTTCCCTTGAAAGTTTTAACTTCTAATATTCTCTGTTTATTGGGGAGTGGATTAGATAGGGCTGCCCATGAGAAATGTCTTCTATTTATTTAAGGCACTCCATCACGGTGATAATATGGTGGCCAGAGATTCCACAATAGATTATTTATTCTTATTTCCTTTGCTGGCGGAAGGATTCAAAGGTCTGATATGAGCCAAACCCATAGAGTAAGTAAACCTCTTAGCTCATTTTAATTGTCATTCATTTAATCATTGTGCATTCTTTCCCTACTATGTGCTGAGCATTGTGCTCTGATACAGAAAAATTACAATTCGTGCTTCAAAGAGTCAACGTCTAATGGAAGAGAGGGACTGAAGTACAGTTGGTATAATACAAAAGGATAAAGTGTAACAATACAACATGCAACGATAGGACTGTACCAGAAAGGTCAGGGGAGGGCACAGACCCCATCGTGGGGGCAGAAGAATGAAGGGAGGGTGTAGCTCATTATAAAGACTGGATCATTAGGGAATACCTGGCCAAATGTTGAGCATCTTTTGAGAGAATAGGGGAAAAGAGAAACGTGTCAAATGAAGGATGTTTCAACTGCAGGGGCAACAAAATGGGAGGTACAGAGGAGGCAAGGGATAACAAGTGCACAGTCACTCAAGAAGTTTAGTGTTGCTGGAGGGTAGAGTTTGAGGATAAGTGATTCCTGGAGAAGAATAAAGGGGCCAGATGGGTCGTGTAGAGGATGAAGAGGCACTGACATATTTTAAATAGTGGGGTGGTAAATGTGGGTTGGTCCTTTTGTTGAATATTGCATGATGGCTCTGAGCAGAAGCTTCTGGAGTAAGATGAAGTAATACTGCATCATAGAACCTTCCTTCCATCACCAAAGTGAAAATACCAAAAGGGAAAACAAAAAACAAAAATGATTGCATGAGCAGCATACTCACAAGGAAGGAAGGAAGGGTCTTTTTGCTATAAGCATTGTAAGGTGGGAGCCAGAAAAAGTCAGAAAATGCCACATAAGGGCTCAACAAAAGCAAACCCAATCCAGTCTGCTCCTAAGTATATATATAGAGAGAAAATATTCTCAGCCTGTAAGTGGTTTTGGAAAGAAGGATACACCAATTAAGTCTGGCAGGGGAAAATTTCTGTGAGAAATCCTGTACCAACATGACATTGGAGGCACCAGTCAGGAGTACAACTTCCTATTGAATTCTAAGATTATATATAGAAATTTGAATTTGACCTTTGGCGTTGGCAATATCTGCAGCTAGGCTGAATACTAATGAAAAAAAAAGGAGAATAATTGCTTTAGGAGTGGCAGAGTCATGCCGTAGAATTCCTGCTGATCTAAGGTCCAGCACTACTTTGCTGTCTGCGTGGGATGCATACAGTATGAGTGATGCAATGGGTCACCTTGTCCCATCTTCCAAAGAAAACACTACCCATGAGGAATTGTCATTTCACTAGTAAAACCAAACTAAACTAAACTAAAACCCAACATGAATACCATATCATGAGGTTGCAGCTTCATTGCCAAACTAGTCCTTCTCCTATACCACTAAGGAAACTCTGATACAGTCTTTTTCTTCCAGTCTTCCGAGGGGCCCCACATTCTGTTGGGCTGGCATAATGTCTAAGGCACCCACCCTGCATTGCTGTAGTGGATAGAAAATGTGTGCAACAATAGACTGCTCTGTTTTTAGGAACCCTTTGAGAAAGAATCCTTATAATTAAAGATTTGCCATAAGGTGACATCATTATAATTTAGGGTTGTCAAATGAGGTGAAAACGTGTTTCCCTGCTCTTATGGTTTATTTTAGCAAGCACAGCATTTATTGAAGAAAAAATGTTTTATTGGAAGATACTTTAAATATAGTTTCTTTTTTTTTAATTTTTGTGAACTCTTCTCCCCTGTCTGCCTTCCTTTCTTCCTATAAAGTGTCATGTTGTTTCTTTAACTTTTGTTTATATTTAAGGGGCATGCTCTTTTTAATTTACTATTTGTCCTAATGTGGTATGATTAAACTCTCCCTGACATCTCTTTCCCATGTCTGAAATGTACACCTTTGCTTTTCAGTTCAGCAGCTGAAGTGTTGGGTATTTGAGTTCCATGCACAGAGAGCAGAGGCATGGGAGGTGTTTCTGGCACTGAGCTTGGGGCAGTAGTCTCTCATATTCTTCTGCCATTTCACTGTTAGTCCAGAACTCACTCCACTTGGGCAGGACTACGTGTGATCTGTATTTGGGGATGAGGAATTAGCCTTCAGATTCCCAAATTCCCCAGTCTCTGGGTAGACCCGTAGAAGCTTTGCTTTTGGTAGAGGCAATAAGACCCAAATATGTATTTCTCCTAATCCTTTAACCCTTCCCCTCAGTAGCTTCGCCTGTTGTCCTGCTTGTCAGAAGGAAAATACAATAAGAGAAGCCGAACTCATGAATTCTGGCCCCTGTGTTGATGAGTGGTGGGGAGGTGGGTCACAGTCGAGGAGAAAAAAAGAGGAAGAGACAGGAAGGGGGTCGCCCCAGCTGAGATCTGTTTATTTTTATAGAAAATTTGCCCTGGGTACCACCATCTTCCTGCCTTTAGTCTTTAGCCCTTCTTTTCTTGCCAGAGAACACACAAAATGGCAAGTCCTGATGAATTTGCTACTTAGGGAGACCTGTTGTGAGGACAGGGAGGTACTGTATTTTCTCCATCTGGGCCTCATTATTTCACATTGCATTTCTAAGAGTTATTTATTTTATATGTCACAAACATATACTATCTGTGTTTTTCTAATTTCTGATACTCATTTTTTGACACACTTATAATGTTGGAGATTTTTAAACCTAGGTAATTTTGGTTTTCTCTCCTCCTTCACCTGTCGGTTTTTTGTTTTGTTTTTGTGTTTGTGATTTTTTTTGTCTTTTTCATAATAAAAATTCATTAAGAAAGTCATTCAACCAGGATGTATTAAATGCCTCTAACCTGCAGAACCCCATGCTTCTCTGGAGTCAGAGTTGGGAGATTAGATAGAAAAGAAATCTGCGTTTATGAAGGATCTGTAAGTCACCAGTGAGTATTTCGGCACCAGGCCCTGTGCCAACAGCCACTGAACTAGATCTGTTCGTCCATGTGTAAAATGAGAGTAAGCTCTTTCTCAAATATAAAAGCAGTAAATATAAAAGCAGAAGGTTTTGCTGTATATACTGAATAAATAGATTCCCAGAGTGCTATTTCTTTTTACATTTCCACTTGAAGCTCTCAGCTACATTGTTTAATTTTAGAAAATAAGAACAATTATCTCCACTGGCCAGTATAACCAAATGAAGGCAAAAGACATACGAGCTTATTCCTGTATTTGATGGGAACATGCATTTGAGCCCTACTTTGCACTCCTAGGCATCATAGGACATTCATAAATGCTCCAAAAGTTGCTTACACGAGGTCCCTGTTGGGACTCCAGGTACACTAAAAACAACAAAGCTATAGGTTTATTTTAAAATTTGCACTAGATCTAATTTTCAATCTGCTCACTCTATTTTGGACATGGTCATTTAGCAATGGGAGAAAGGAACATTTGAAAAAAAAATAAACTCTAATAATAAAATTTTCATTCACATTTAAATCCCATGTGGGTTTTTTCTCATTATTTTTGTCCATGAGAAAACTGAGGCACCTACAGCTTAACCACTTGTCCAGTGTGGCACGCTAGTAAGCAGTGGAGATGTGATTTTAGCTCTTGCCGTCCAGATATAGAGGCCATGATTTGGTTACTCTTCAAATACACGTCCAGTGCATTCCATATTTCTATAAGGAGCTCCCACCAAAGACAATAAAAACTTACCTCTTTTCACTGTTTTAACTGAAAAAATAGAGATAATGCAGGATTTACTACATTTTCTGCATTACCAGAGAGGAGTGCCAGGTAACAGTCTGATGCCCTGGTCCATAATAGCATGAAAGGTAAATAAAATCTCAGGGCCGGGAGCGGTGGCTCATGCCTGTAATCCCAGCACTTTGGGAGACCGAGGCGGGCGGATCATGAGGTCAAGAGATTGAGACCATCCTGGCCAACATGGTGAAACCCTGTCTGTACTAAAAAATACAAAAATTAGCTGGGCGTGGTGACATGGGCCTGTAATCCCAGCTACTCTGGAGGCTGAGGCAGGAGAATCACTTGGACCCGGGAGGTGGAGGTTGCAGTGAACTGAGATCGCACCACTGCACTCCAACCTAGTGACAGAGTGTATATATATATATAGATACACTCTCTATATATCTATATATATATATATATATACTCTATATGTATCCATATATATATCTATATATATACTGTATATATACATATATAGATACATATAGAGTATATATAGATACATATAGAGTATATATATACAGATACATATAGAGTATATATATATAGATATATAGAGAGTGTATCTATATATATAGATACACTGTCACTAGATATATGTACTCTATATGTATCTATACACACACACACACACACACACACACACACCAATATCTTGGGACCCTAAACTCGCCATGCAAAAGGGAAAAGTTAAGCTGCAAAAGGGAAAAGTTAAGCTGCAAAAGGGAGCCATGCAAAACTCTGCCCTCCTTTTGTTCCTACACAGATAGCTGCAAGACAGAAGGCCATATATTACCTCAGGTAGCCTCCCTCATCCTGGCAATGTAAATGCACACCTTATTTTCACAAGTATAGGGAAAAGACAAGACTAGAAATCATCCCTCAGCCCACTCCAAGACAGATGCATATTTGACTTTTTCCTCTGCTCTATGTTTACTTTATCATATGTAAAATGCAGATTTACTGAGCTAGTGATAGATGCATAATTGACTGTTTCTCTTTCTCCTCGTGCCTGCTTTTTCCCCTTTAAATACTGAAGTCCTCAAAACCCTCTTTGGATCACAGGCCACAGATCCTACTATAACTTGCATCTCTTTTTCCCAGGTGTATCCTCAATCTTGGCAAAAGAAACCTCTAAATTGATTGAGACCTGTCTCAGACGCTTACTGGTTTACAATAGCTAGCATTCCTTGTGCGCTATGTGTCTACTCTTAGCGAGTAGAACTTCTTACACCTTTATCATGTTTATTAGGGAGGTAGCATTATTTTCATATTACAGATGAGAAATCTAAAGCACAGGAAGACAAAATTAGCTTTTCCAATATCATTCAACTAAAAAGTAGCAGAAACTTAGCTTCCAGGCTCTCCTTCCTCTAACAATTTATTGCATATCAGTGAAAAATCCTAAAATTTACATACAGCTTCAACTTATGATTAGAAAACAAAACAAGTTCAACATGAACACAAATAAACATGCCAAATCTCGTTTATTCTCTAATTGTAAAATTATACCATTTTAACGCCATTCTGTATCTCTCTGATCCTAAACAATTCTTTATCCTAAAGCAGTATTTCTCACAAAGTGTCAGCTGTATTAATTTTGACTAATATTTTAATTTATTTCCTTTTTGTGTGGGGAAGGCGAGAGAAGAAGTGTGCGATATAAGCACATCTTAATTGTGAAAACAGTTAAGCTTTCTCTCATGACTAGCATAAAACACCCCCGCTCTTCAGCCACAATGAATAGATAGCGCCTAGCACTGTGCCAGACACTGTGGGCTGGGTCAAGCCTCAAGAACAAATTAAGGTAAGACAGCCCAGCAGTCCACAGGCTTTTTCTGTGGGCTTCTACTTCTCTCTCTCCTCATCCTCTCTTATCTCTCTCACTTCCCCAGTGTGCTTCTCTGGGTACTCAGCTGAATATTTCAGGCAATGAGAAGTGTCTGTGGTGGCAGAATTACCGTGTGAAGGCAGGTGATTCTTGCTTCTCCTTCAGAAGAAGGAGCCCTCACTTTCTTTTTTTTTTTTTTCTTTTGAGACGGAGTCTTGCTTTGTCACCCAGGCTGGAACACAGTGGTGCCATCTCGGCTCAGTGCAACCTCTGCTTCCCAAAGCAGCCCTCACTTCCTCACTTTGTGCTAATCCACATCCCCTGATGCCAAACAATTCTTTACCCTGGAGTAGTATTTCTCAGTATCAGCTGGAGGACCTAGGGTGATATGTGTTAAAATTTAGACGCCTGAGGGCCATCACAGCTGTATCTGAAATCAGAGAGGGGGGTAGGTGGGGTGGGGGATGGGCATGATAGTGTAGTTAGGTCACAGCAAGCTCTCATCTAGTAAGCTAAGCTCTCCCAGGTGATGCTGAGGCAACTTGATTGCTTTAGAAGTTCTAACCTGGACCAGAGAAAGGGAAGAGATGGGCCAATAAGTGGACATGTTTGAGGAAAAATTAAGTGATGGCCTGAGAGCCCAGAATTGAGACATGTTCCTAGAAAGTTATTTTGTGGAGAAGCTCTTAGATCCATGGCTCCTACTTTTTCACAAATAAAGCACCCAGCTCTCTCCCTAGAGACCCCACTCTATCCCTTAGCAGCTCTCCTGTGAGGAAAGGATGGCCCAGGCAGTAAATCTCTTCTGGTTTATAACAGAAAACACTGGGTAGTTGGGAGTGTTCCTATCTCTTGGACTGAGTAGAGACATATTTTTGGCACACTGAAAAAGATCAGTAAATGCTTCTTATCACACAATTATTGCTATATTTGGGAGTTAAATTGCATTATAATGTACTCCAATTACTTATACTTTTATCAATATAGTCATAACTATGCATATATTCCGAACAAGGGTCATAAAATTAAGGCCAGTGGACCAAATTTAGCCTGCCTCCCATTATTGTAAATAAAGTTTTATTGGAACACAACCATGCTCATTTATTACATGCTGCTTATAGTTGTTTTCACGCAATAACAGTAGAATTGAGTGAGTAGATACAAGAAAGATGATATGGCCCACAAAACCAAAAATATTTATTATCTGGTCCTTTATAGAAAATGTTTGTCTAGAGGATTATATTATAGATTATAGCTCTCCACCACTACTGTATGCCAGGTACTTTACTTGGCTCCCTTGTGCATTATCTTTAATGTTCTCAATAACCTTCCCAGTTGTTATGATCATGATATTGCAGGGGAAGAGTGTTAGACAGGTCAAGGGATCTGTTTAAAGCAGACATCCGGAATTCAAACAGTACTTTGTTTATGTTTTCTGACTGCGAGTCTTTTATGAGCTGTGCTAGGGATATAATCACCATGTTACACTTTTAATGGGAAAAGTTGTTCTTAGTGCCAAAACATGACCCTAAAAAAATGTGCTATGGGAAAGCAGTCCATATGCAATTTGGGGAACTGACTCTCAGTCCCCAAAGAGTCTTTCCTGATAATCTGGCTACCCCAACATTGTGTACCCTATTTCATTTTTATTCCAGTAATTATAAGTGCTTGAAATTATTTTATTTATTTGGCCATTTCTGTTTGGATTGTTTTTCTCCTCTCAGTGGAATGCAGGATCCTTGCCGGCAGAGTTTCTCTTCCATTTGCATCTGTAGCCCAAGAGCTGGGAGCATGCCAGGCACAAGTGTCACTGTTCAGCAAGCATTTGCTGTGTGGCTCCTCTTAGTTAATAATAAACGTTTATATTGTTTTCTTGTCCTAAAATACAACATCTGAATATAGACTGTAATGCATAGCAAAATTTGTCTTGCTTATTTGCCAACGGTGGAAAATTCTTTTTTGAAATCCTTGGAAGCATTCTAGAGGAGAACTGGGGTAGGTGTTGATTTATTGCAATGCGGTATTTTGAAAATTATCACAATATCTCTTTAGGGGATTCAGTGGAAGAAACCAGGATCATATACACCACGAAAAAAAAACCCAGCTTTTTAATTACTTAAACAGCAACTCGAAATGAGCATGATACTCCTCCTCATTTAACCCCTTAGAAGTGTGAGTTCACAGATTGCTACATCCTGCCCTCTACTGGAAGAGAGAGTAATGACAAACAGGGACTAGCAAAAGAGCACTGAAGCTTTTTTTTTTTTACCAAGAAACACAATTTTTCTTTTTGCTGGAGTAAATTACATGTTACAACTGCTCTTCCCTGCCCCACATTCCTTTCTACTTCCAGAGTAAATAAATAGCAAAGCAAGTGGAGTACAAGATGGCTACCAGTAAAATAAAGAGAAAAGCAAACCTATATATAGGACACGTTTTGAAAACAAAATTAATCTTTTATTTCTGTAGAAGTATTTTTAAAGTGTGATTTGTTTAATAATTAACTCTGCACCTCAGTTCTTATCATCTGACACTCTGTTGAAGAATATAATTGGAAAGGCTATCTAAGTTAAACTTCTAAAAATTAAACTTCTGAAAATTAGAGATAGCATATATTCATATTTACTTGTATTAACTCATATTTAGTGCAATATCTTTAACTTTTAATTCATAGAGTAAATGTCATGTCTGATATAATAAATATAATAATAAAATATATAAAGTCCCTGATTTTAAAAATGCATATTGTATAAGATACTAAGTTTCTTTTATAGAGAAGACTGATTAGTTACACCTGACCTTAATGTTTTCTTCTGGCCTCATGTGTCCCTTCCAGTTTCACAACTCACCCTACCAAACCTCACGTGTATGTCAAGATAAAGCAAGCTATCCCTACCCCATTACCCTGCGCTTACTTAGATAAGAACACCATCCTATAAACCAGCATACTGACCTCTACCAGTATATAATTTTTTTCTTTAATCAACAATATGCCCTACATCTTTTAAAGCATTAGCTAAATAAGCCAACTATACACTGATTTGAAGCAGGTGCTTCCAAAATCTCGCTTAAAACATCTAATATGAGCAAGACAGGTTAACTGAGATATCTTCCAGTACCTTTAAATTCTGACCCTGTGCTAAGTTCCAACACCACAAAACAAAGTGTCTATGTCTCCGAACTGTAGGTTAATGCTCTCTCTCTAAAGGAGTAACAAAAGAATTTGCTTGTAAAGAATGTATCATTTCTTTGGGAAAACCAGCATCATATTTTTGATTTCCATGTTTCCATTACATTACCAAGTCCACGGCTCTACCAAGTAAGGTTATCTTAGAATCAGGGCAAGGAAAAGCTTTTATCTATTGGTGAACTCTTAGTAGATAGCAAGAAGAACCATTATGGTTAATAGCATAAACCATAGAGTCACATTGCCTAAATTCAGATTCCAACTCTCTCTTGTACCATGTTACCTTGAGCTAGTTATGTTAACTTCCTTTGTCTTAGTTTCCTCATCTGTAAAATGTGGGTGTCAATAGTACCTGCCTCATAGGGCAATTGTGAAAGTAAAAGAAGTTCATATGTTAAAAAGTCCCTTGGAACCAGACTTGGCACACAGCCTTTGAGAGATGTCAGCTGCAACCCAAATTTGTTTCTGCATCCTACCCTGTTGACAGAAGGCTCAGAGCTACATGTCAATTCTTTCGCTGTAACTGATTCCAGACACCTGCTTCTTCTTTCTCTCTCTTCCTCAATTTACTTATTTATTATAATTGCTCTGTTTCATATCATTTTTATTAATATAAGCTGATGAACTATTTTAAGGAAATGAACAAGAATGAAATTATTTATTAGGTGGACTAAACTGAACTTGGCCTCTTTGGTCAATTATTTCAGTCCAGATTACTTAATTTTCTGCTTTATAAAATACTCCTAAATTAGGTCACATCAATTTCAGAAAGCACGTCTTAGAATATGACATCTTCCATGTGCAAGAAAATCCAGAATTTAAAAAAAAATCTTGTCTTCATATGAGACTTCTTGGATGACATATAGGTGTTAACGGTTTAATACATGCATATAAAGAGGTACCTCTTAACATGTCAAATATGTTGATAGGTTTCCATGCTCATTAAGACTCACATGGATAAGGAATGGAGCAAAGAGCAGCTATACTCTACTGGCACTGTGCTGGGAATAATTTGAAATCAAGCTTCTCTTCTGCAAAGCCCAATTCTAGTTAAAAGGTGCAAGAGGGAAATCAGTACAGAGTGCAAGTTCATCAGAACAGGTTGATCTGGTTTGCTGGAGACTCTTAGAAGCCTCCTGGGAGAAATGGGGATAAAAGTTGTTGAAATAGATAGATAACTCCAGGACTTAAGCTCTCAAACACAAATGATGAACAAAGACCAGCTTTACCTCCTGGAGAGTGCCTTCTCCAAATAAATGCAGGTAACTCATCAAAGCCTCTGCCCTGAGTACTTAATTGCTGGAGAGGGAACATTTGGGCTGCATAACAAAAAGCATTACTTTTATTTTCTCAGATCAGCCTTAAGAAAGTGTCCCAAGTTTCAAAGGGAAAGTACCTGAGACAGACATAGTAAGTTGATAAAGAGTTGTAATAAAAGAGGCATCAGAAATTGAGGCAACAAGGCTGTTTTATTGGAGATATTGAGTGGGGATGGCAATGGGATTAGTAATAGAGAAAGAAAGCAAAAAAGCATACATTATCCCTGTTGACTATCAGCAAACTGAATGTGGCTCAGAATACCAGTCAGGAATACCCACAGGGTAAGAAATGTGTTTTAAGAGTGGAAAGAAAAGAAAAATCAAGTCTTGGGATGCCAGTGGCTTCACTTTTGGTAGTTCAGAGACAAACTCTAATATTCTTTGTCAACTCAAAAATGATGAGGTTCATACATTTGGAAAGGAGAGCTTTAATTCTCATAAAGTGTTGCAGCCCCCAGGGTAGCCATTCTGACAGTCGGGGAAGTGTAGCCTCTGGCCAGAAGCCAGAAACAGATACACTGGGGCTCAGCCAACTAGAACAGGGATTTATGCTGAATGAGGTGGGCAAATATACATATTCAATCGTCTATAGAAGGAGTCATGAATATTTATGAATGGAGAAACATGTGAATGTACAACTGGGCTTCATGTCTCTACCAAGGGTAGAGTATTTGGCCCTCTGATGTCGAAAAGTGAAGCGGAAGAGAGGAAAGTTTTTGCTGTGCATCCTCTGAAGACTGGTCAGAACTACTGCTTCCTTGGTGGTCTCTTATCAAGAAGAAAGGCTGGTTGGTTAGTGTGCCAAAACTGCAAAAGGAGGGGCAGTAGCCAAGCGGTTGGTTGATATCCACAGTGGAATCTCTTGAAAAGGGCTGGTTTCTGCTTAGCTTTTAGGGAAGAAAACCTCATGTCAACTAGGGAGTGAGGGGAGATAACAAGGTGTGTGGGACTTCCCATTCTGTCATGGCCATGAACTCGGTTTTAAGGTTTTTCTTGTGTCCCTTCGGCCAAAGGTTGGTCGTTGGGGGCGGGGGGTCTGTATAGTTGGTCCTGGGGCTGATAATTTTATTTTTATTTATCATCCTTGTTATTTTTCCCTCTTCAGTGGTGAAAGCTGGAATGGTAAGTGCTATAAAGAGGGGTAAAAAAGATATGCCTCACAGGACTCATTTGTTAGAAGAAGAGGCAGTCTGCGATGTAAAGTCAGCAATCCCCACTTGTAAATGTTATTTGTGCCCCACACCACACTGAAGCAGGACTCAGTACCTCTTCTCACAACCCAGGAGGAAATCTCTAAAACCAAAATTTTAATTGTAATCATATTTTACAGTCTCATTTGGAATATGGGAACAAGGGGAAGTTAGATCACAGAATTACCGACAAAATACTTAAAAGTTTTAACCAGATATGCCTGTTTTTTTTTCATTCCTCTTTCCCTATACTATCAACAGTGTGGTTTTAATCTTCCTAACTTCACTAAATTTTGTCTCCTCTCTCCTGGATTTCCCTCTCAAACCTCAAGTGTCTCTACTATTTATGGATCGAACAATACCCTCAAGTCTGCGTCGCTACATCATCATCATCACCGTGATGATCCTCATGGTCATGACCATAGCAAACATTACTGTGTGTACTTTTGTATCCAATACTTGTCTAAAGATTGATTCACTTAATCCTCACAAACACTCAATAGGTTAGGTTTTATTTATATTGCGTAATTGAGGAAAGCATTGGAAGCAATAAAAATTTATAAATTCATATTTATTTATTTGTTTATTTTTATTTATTTATGTATTTGTTTTTTGAGACGGAGTCTCACTCTGTGGCCCAGGCAGGAGTACAATGGCACAATCTTGGCTCAAATACTAAAAATACAAAAAATTAGCCTGGTATGGTGGCATGCACCTGTACTCCCAGCTCCTCGGGAGGTTGAGGCAGGATAATCACTTGAACCCGCCTCGGCCTCCCAAAGTGTTGAGATTACAGGTGTGAGCCACCGTGCCTGGCCAAAAATTTATAAATTGATTTTTATACTACAAAATGTTAAGTAATAAAATAGTTATGGCACAGTACAACTGAAACTTCGAAAGTGTGGGACTCTTCAAGAAAGTATTTTCATGGAAAGTAAGCTGAGTTTTCACAGATGTAAGGAGTTCAACAAGGAAAACAGACACTGTCACTACAGGAAATGCATTGTTTAGGTTAACAATGGTAAGAAGTTTTATTGAAGGACAGATTATTTGAGGAAGAATGGTCAATGATATACCAAAACAACAAACAAACAACAACAAAAATTTGAGGCAAAATAATAAATTGGATTTTAATGCCAAATAAATAGATGTGGTCAATTTTAAGTAGCAGGAATTTAGAGATTTTCAGCACAAAAATTAGATAATCAAATTTATATTTTGGAAAATTCACCCAAAGTGATCAATGGAGGACAAATTGGAGGAGGTCAAAAAGTATGTGTAGGGTGGTGGTGCTGGATGCAAACATATTAGTTAGGCCACTATGATTGTTAAAACAACAGCTTTAATTTAATCCTCAATTCTAAATATCCAAAAGTATCTGCATTCCTTTTTTCAGGAAAGGCAAGTGATGGTAACAACCATTCCACCATTTCCTTAGGCTTTTCTTTTCTTTTTTTCTCCAGATTTTTCTTGTGTATTCTAAAAGAATGATATTATCAGAAACCATTCAAAGCCAATCCATTTCTTGCTTTGAATCTATTTTCCTCAGCTTAAAATTCCTAGACTTAGAGTCATTTATTCATTGATTAAGCAAATCCTTACTGGGTGTCTACTACCCAACAAGCATAAAAATGTATTCCTTCTGATTTTCTGCTCCTTTAAGATGGACTGTTACCTTTTGGGGAGGTCCAACCTCTTAAGATCTTGTGGAAAAGACAAGGTAAGAGGATGAATTGCTCATTGAGGGAAACCATCGCGTGAAAAGACTCAATATCTGTCTCTCTCTCTCTCTCTCACACACAGACACACAAACACACACACACACATTTAACGACCTCCTGAGATCCAGGAGGTTGGAGGGAAATATAACATGGACCACAGAGAAGCACATTGGAAGCTAGGCAAAGAGGTCATCTTGGGTAACCCCAAGCTCTAATGAAATAATGTGTATCCTGTAAACCACATAATCTTTCTGTGATAACCGTTTCCCTGTGTTATGCTCAAGTCTTCTGAAAATTCTTGTTTCAAAGTTCCAGTAGTCTCCATTAAGGGAGGATACCAGTTGTCTTATTTCCATACCTGGACTCTGTGATCAAAGAGAAGGAGTGCCCCCTTAAGGCCAGTGAGGTGAAGCAAGAATTAATTTAAAAAGTGAAACTTGTAGGAAAAAAGTTAATAATACTGTGTTGTTCACTTGAAATGTAATAAGAGAGCAGATTTTAAGTGACCTCACCACATACCTACACAGATACACACACCCATACTCACACAGTGGTAACTATGGGTGGTAATGAATGTGTTAATTTGATTGTAGTAATCATTACACAGTGTATACATGTATCAACTCATCATGTTGTACACCTTGAATATATACAACTTTCGTCAGTTAAAATGTTTTAAAATAATAAAAAAAACCCAAACAAATAAAATTCAAGACGGGGACTTCCAGTTTCAGCCCCAATATATAAAGAGCTTAGAAGTCACTCTTCCATACGTATAATAAGAAAAAGCTGGACAAACTGAAACTCAGTGACTTTCCTTGAACACATCAAAGAACTCAAGGCTAACTTCTACCCAGTAACCTGAAGAGAGAGGTAAACACAAGCCATCACTAAGACTCTTGCTTATCTGGAGCAGAACCATTCACATAAACTGGTAGAAATGCTTAAATGGGAATTTTGACAATTTTCTGACAGCTAAATGTGGACGACTGAACCAGTGAGAAATCCTAGGGCTTACACTCAGGAGAGGGCCCACCTTCAGGTATTTTCTCTCCAGTAGCCCCATTCAGCTATCATGGTGAAGATCCATGCAAGATCCCCAGATGTCTCAGGCAGGAAGAAAAGGAAGTTAACCATTGTGAAATAAACAGGGAGTTCTTCATAACAACAGTTTCCTCCTCAGGAGAAAAATCTTTACCAGAGACTTATCTCAACTGGGGAAAGGACATTCTTGCCATTTCACACCCCCATCCTTCCTCTCTCAATGAAAGAGTTGAGGGGGCTCTATACAGCTAGAGAAGAGTTGAGAGGGCACTATACAGCTTTGTGAAGATTAAAGCCCAGAGACAAAGGGCCACTAAAAGACTAAGATTTAATCTTAACATTAAAGAATGTTCCCCCCTCCCACCTAACTTTTATACCAATAGGGTTTCAGTACAACAGTAGAGTGCAGCTAAACAAACAACAGATAGACTTGTTATTCAAAGGAGGAGAACTTAAGAAACCCCAAATCAAGGAAAAAAAAAAAAAAGGCAAAGATACTAGAGGAGTTTTAAGCTTCTGATATCCACAGCTACAACAAACATTAAATGCAGCCCAACTTCTAGACAAATAATAAATCCTCACACTAAAAGCCTATTCACTTGAGTTCATGCTATGGACTGAATGTTTGTATCCCTCCAGAGTTAATATGTTGAAGCCCTAAACCTCAATGTGATGGTATTTGGAGGTGGCGCATTTGGGAGGTAATTAGGTCTTGAGGATGCAGTGCTCATAAATAAGATTAGCACCCTTATAAAAAGAGACACAAGTGAGATAATCTCACACTCCAACATGTGAGGATATGGCAAGAAGGTTCCTGTCTGCAAATCAAGAAGAGGGCCATCACCAGGAATCAAATCAGCTGGCACTTTGATCTCTTCCTTCCCAACCTTCAGAAATGTAAGAATTAAACTTTTGTTTTTTAAGCCACCCAGTCTATGTCATTTTTGTTATAGCAATCCAAATGTACTAAGGCAGTTCTTACTACCCAACAAAACATGTCTGGCTTTCAACAAAAAACTACAAGGCATGGAAAACACTAAGAAAAAACACAATCTGAAGAGACAAAACAAGCATCAGAACAAAACTCAGAGAACAAATCAGATAGTCTGATAGTTCAAACTATCAGACAGGGATTTTGTGTGTGTGTGTGTGTGTGTGTGTTTTGTTTTTTGTTTGTTTGTTTTGAGATGGAGTCTCACTCTGTCACCCAGGCTGGAGTGCAGTGGCGTGATCTCGGCTCACTGCAACCTCCGCCCCCTGGTTTCAAGTGATTCTCCAGCCTCAGCCTCTCAACTAGCTGGGACTACAGGCATATGTCACTGCGTCCAGCTAATTTTTCTATTTTTAGTAGAGATGGGGTTTCGCCATGTTGGCCAGGATGGTCTTGAACTTCTGACCTCAAGTGATCTGCCCGCCTCAGCCTCCCAAGGTGCTGGGATTGCAGGTGGGAGCCACCGTGCCTGGCCCAGACAGGGAGTTTAAAATAACTGTGATCAATATGTTAACAGCTCTAGTGGATAAAGAAAACAATATGAAAGATTAAATGCATAAGGTAAACAGAGATGTAGAAACTCTATAAAAGCATAAAAATTAATGCCAGATGTCAAAAAACTGTAAGAAAAATGGAAAAGTCTTTGATAGGCTTATCAGTCGACTGGACACAGATGAGGAAAGAAACAGTGAGCTTGAAGATTGGACAGACAAGATAATTTTCCAAAACTGACATACAAGGAGAAAAAACAATATTTTTTAAAAAGTCTAGGAAATGTGGACCAGTTTTAAAAGGTATAACATACATATAATTGGAGAATCAGAATGAGAGGAAAAATAACATGAAGCAGAAAAAGTATTTTTATTAATAATGACTTGAGACTTTCCAAAATTTATGACAGAAACTGAACCATAGATACATGTAGCTTGATACAAGCATATAAAAAAACACAGATTTATCAAAGAGGTAAATATTTTTATTTATTTATTTTTTGAGACGGAGTCTCGCTCTGTCACCCAAGCTGCAGTGCAGTGGTGTGGTCTCAGTAGTTCACTGCAAGCTCTGCCTCCCAGGTTCATGCCATTCTCCTGCCTCAGCCTCCCGAGTAGCTGGGACTACAGGTACCTGCCACCATGCCCAGCTAATTTTTTGTGTTTTTAGTAGAGATGGGGTTTCACCATGTTAGCCAGGATGGTCTCAATCTCCTGACCTTGTGATCCACCCACCTCGGCCTGCCAAAGTGCTGGGATTACAGGCATGAGCCACCACGCCTGGCCTAAATATTTTTTTTTTTAAAGCTACAGGTCGGTATATATATTAAAAATGTAAAAAGAAAAAACAAAGATAAAGACAAATTCTTGAAATAAGCCAGAGGAGGAAAATACAACCTTATCTATAGGGGAACAAGAATAATAAATTCTTGTCAGAACAATGTAAGCAAGAAGAGGGGAAGTAAAATATTTAAAGATTTTAAAGAAAAAATATCTCAACATATAATTCTATGTATAGCAAAACTATCTTTCAAAATCGAAGGATAAATGAAGACTGTTTTAGATAGAAAAACAAAAACAAAAACTGAGAGAAATCATTGCCAGCTGACTGTCCCTTTAAGAAATGTTAAAAGGAATTCCTCAACAAGGAGGAAGATGGCATAGGTCAGAAACTTGGATCTAGTTAAATAAAGGATGAGCATTGGAGAAGAGAACATGAAAGTCAAATATTTTAATTTTTTAGTTGATCAAAAGATAACTGTTTAAAATAATAACAGTAATAATGCATGAGGTGATTGATCACAACATATGGATAAATGAAATGAATACTAAGAGTGTTATAAGATTTAGAGAAGAGAACCAGAAATATGCTGTTACAAGGTAACTGCACTGCACAAAAAGAGATTATTATTTGAATGTGGACTTAGGTTAGTTAAAAATAGGATAGTCCTATGAATTTTTTTACTATGTTTACTCTAATGATATCATTCTAGTACTTTGGTCTTTACAATAAAAAGCGCCTTCTCTATCAGCATGTATGGGCATCAGCTTACAGTACCAGATATAATTTTGCATCCCATAGGAACTGATTTTTAATATAAATTATGGATCATATTAATTGTGTACCTAATGATTTCTCTTTCTTTTTTATTGTTCCCCAGAAAGCACTTTATGTCATGCCTTTGGGCACTAAACCACACTATCCTGAATTCATTTTATTTAAACTTAGTTTCCCCTTGCCTCATTGTTTCTTTGATTTCTTTTTCCATTTATTTTTATCATGCTATACTCTATGGATCTCTGTGAACTACTTTAAAACCTTTTTAAAATAAGATAAAGTAACACAAATAAATGAATCAGTATAGTTCCAAGTGTACTCTAGAGGAATATTTGTAGAAAAAATTATACTAATCACTTACAGTAAACCAAATGGCATTTATCCTTTTAATCACTAATGAAGTTATTTTTATAGCTGCCTCATTGTCTATGAACCACACTGAAAGAGCAATAATGTCACTATGGCTTTGTCATTCTTTGATACCGTTTCTTATGTCACATAGTCATTATAGTACTTGTCACTCTGAAAAGCATCAATTAATTGCCAGCAAAATAACAAGGATTATTATTGTGATGTGGTTTACACTCGTCATTTCACAGTCACACATAATCCTAGAGTTGGAATCTATTTCAAAGGAGCATTTGTTCCAGTCCTTGCCATCAACTGATGATTATTTGCAAAGGTCCCCAATTACAAAACCCCTGCAGGTTCTCCTAGTGCTGTTGAAGGATCTGTTTGCTTTATTCTTCCAATAAACATGGACTGAATATCAAATATTTTAATTTACAAAGAAAAATCTTTCCTTATCCACAGCAAACACTTCATTCTTCCTCAAAAAGCATTTAATAACATGATCTGCAAACTTTTTTTATTTCTAGGAGATGGTTATTAAAAGTCTTAGTCGAGGGCAAGGACAAGTAAAGTTGTAAAAAGCTATAAAAATTGAAGTCAGATAAGGCTCAGATCTCTCGGTAATTAACAGGCAACCTGAAAAGGCGCTGGTACAGTACCACTATATATGCATTGTATACATTCTTAAGCCATCATTCCAGATCCCCCTCAATTTCCACTAGGCTATATTAACAAATAAAGTCGGGTTTGCAAAGAGAGACAAATCTTAGTCCTAATGTGTTGACCTATGGGAATGTACGGTGATGCCTGCATTCTTTGCATGTGCCCTCTGCCACAAACCATGTAAGAGGAACTGGGTAAAAGAATCACTAATAAAGACTGAAGGTTCCTTAAAAATGGCATCTCATTCAAACTTGGGTGTCTATTTAAAAAAACCATCAGTTGTATCATCTCTAAGTGATGGGGGCCTCCTGGTTTGCCCCTGTGAGCTCATCCTCTCTTCCTTTGAGTACAGTATCAGCTCATTTTTCTATCTCCCCCACAAAAATTGTTTAAACCCTCTGAATTCAAGTATAAAATCACTTTCTAGTAAAATATATTTTAATGAAGATTTTTGAGGAGACAGAGGAGGCAAACAGCTGATTTCAAGGAGAGTCAATACAGTGAAGAGTGTTTAACAGATTTATTATTTCATTTTCACAGATTATCTTGTGGGACTGTTCTTCCATAAAACATATATTGGGCAATGTTGCACTAAACTCAAAATCAGCAGCAAGAGAATAATGCCCATTCACATCTCAGTATTACTACTTACTATTGTTTTAAGTTTTAATCAATGAACTAAGAACAAGAAAATAACCATAAGAAGCATAATTATTGGAAAGGTGATAAATTATTGTAGTCAGAGAAGCCATGACAATAAATTCCAAAACTCTAAGAATTAAGAAGAGAGCTCAGTGAACTCTACAGGCACAAGGAAAAGGCTCAACTATTAATAACTTCTGTGCATACAAGCAATAAAGAACTAAAGACTACAAAGTGAAAATATTTATTTATGGGGTATCAATAGAAAACATTAATTCATTTAGAACACCTCAGAGGAAAATATAGAGAACCCTTATGAAGAAGGCTGTGCAGCTTTGCTAAGAGATTTTTTTAATGCTTGAACAAAAGGAAGAATATGCCACATTACTGCAGAGGAAGACAATATTATAAAATGTTAAATCCTTCCAAATCAATTTATAGTATTAATGCAATTAAGATTAAAAATTTTTCTGAGTTTTTTTTGTCACCTGGAAAAAGTATTTTGAAGTCACCACAGCTGAATAAACAAGTAAGAGGAACAAATAAATTTTGGGGAAAAATTGAATAAACATTTTCACTATCAAATATCAATACAGATCACAATCTTTAATTATAATGTGGTAATGGCAAAAAGTCAACACATAGATTAATGAGATAAAATATATGAATCTCTGAAATAGTAATATATGTAATAGGCACAAATAACAAAAGATTCATCACAAATAAATTAAGAAATAATTTAATAGATGAGGTTGAGAAAATTGGTTAAATATATATACAAAAAATAAAGCAGACTCTTTCCTCACGTGATGAAACAAATAAATTCTGCAGAGTTTAAGAAAGGTACTTAAAGAGGAATAAAAGCATACAATTTTTAGGAGAAAATATTTGCCACTGGGATGGATCCTTCTCTACTTAAGACTTTTACACAGAGGAAAAATTTAATTAGCCTATATATAGAAGCAGCAGCAAGCTCCAGTATACTGTGGAAATTATCACATATATACATGAAAAGGAAATGAAATATAATTTGTCCTCTCATACTTGAGAATTCCAAAATCAAATCTTGTGTCCTACCTCTCTCCCTCTAACAGTTACACAAATTCTCACCTAGTGCTTGCTGTGCATCGGCTGTTTTTCTCTTACTCTGCACCAGCTTCCTTGCAGCTCTAATCCCAAATAACTTTAGTGAGCTTCCTCTATACATAACATACCTAAGAGCTCAAGTTCTTACAGGTGACCTGCAAAACATCTGTTTTGAATTTCTAGAAAGGGGGTCATATGACTTAGCTCATATTTTTTTGAGGCCAGTAACACTTATCCAGAGGGTGACATATTTTCTCATGTAAACCAGGACCATTTTGAGAGCAAAAGCATGCTCAGTTTGTGATTGGGGCTATCCCAAGCAAAAAGGGGCTAATGTTTCCCCTAGCCTGTCATGAGCCAGCCAAAGTTCAGTTGTCTGCTAGTCTGGTGCTCATCCCTACCAACACAGTTGTGGTCACATATGACAAGGGAATTCATGCTGCTGCTAACCAGACTTTGGGCTGGAACAGGGTCTCTGAGAAATGTACATAGGCAGAACAAGCACTTTGAAATGTGCCCCCTCTATGGGAGAAGATACAGAAAAAAAAAGAAAAAAGATGGGCTTAGTAAAAATTATAAACTTCTCTTTGCCAAAAAAGTATAAAAAATATTGAAAAATGATAAATGAACAATATGTGCAACAAATATGATGTAAAGTGTTAATATCTTCAAATCTTTTTCTGTCCTAAAGTCTTATATTGTACTATAAAGACTACAACAGAAATTTTCATTAGCAGAACTACAGTACTTGTATTCACAAACCAATTGAGACTAAACAGGACTACCTGAGAAAAGTGGAAATTTGAACTTCAGTTTCGTAATTCATTTTCAACTCCTTACCCTGAGGGGAATTATAATCAATGCTTCTCATTATCATCATAATTTAAAAACAATAATTTCCAAGAAATATCTTTGCTTTTTGTTTTTATCTATGACAGTTATTTCACATAAACTTACTTAGAAATAAAAACAAAATTTTTAGACATGACATTTCTAATTGCTTATTCTAGAACATTTAGAACTTTAGGGTTAGAATTAAACACATACACGCATACACAATTTCCCACTCTGATCTCTAGTACTCCACTCTGATCTTTCGTACACCTCTGATCACAAGGTTTTGGTCAGTTTTCATATTTATTTTAGACTAAGGCACCTGGTTTTGCATCTTCCTCTACACCCTCACATTCTATCATCTTCAGTGACACTCACGTTACCATGACTGCCCAATGTTCTTGGTGCTCAGGACACTCTGGTCCTTGAAACTCTCATGCCCAATAACTGTCTCTTCTCCACCGAAGCTTCCCAAATCCATGGTCACAGCCTGGCTGTTGACATCATCTCTCAGTGCTTTACCACTAAAATCATAAGTTCAAGTGTCCTACTCCTTCACTCAATCCCCCTCACTCAATGTTTAACGGTTTATTTACTCTAGTCACCTGATATTGCTTTCTTGTACAGCTGTTCAAATTGTAGCCATTATTTTAACTCATAACGATTTCTAGTTCTTTGACATTTTCATTTCCCCAAACCTCCATACTCTTCCTTTTTAGCTTATATAGCTGAAACTCCTTCAGTGATAATTTAAATAATTATTGCCAATAAGTTAATAATCTAATTTACTGATCCATCTGTAATTTTTGTCTTAGCTATTGGGCAAAGCCCCAACCCTAGGTGAATATATCTATATGATTTCTTTCTGGTTGGATCAGTGAAGCCAAGATTTGGTGTGGACAGTTACATGCAGTCGAAGACTGGCCCCACAACAAATTCCTGGTGGCCTCAAATGGGACTCAAAAAACTTCAAGGAAGGATATTTCTGTCATCAGTTCACTCTCTTATTCTCCACAATGACTATTTTTAAACCTTCTCATAATTAAAAAAAAACAAGCTCCCCCCATTCATATATTGCCTCACCCTGTCTCAAGATGTTTGTATACCACAGATGTATGATATTCTTAAATATTTCTCAACTAAATCATCTACAACTTATCTGCAACTACTGTTACAGAATTGCCTACCCCGTATCCATTTGATTTGTCCTTAATCTGTCATAGCAAAGCTACGATTCTATTCACAGAAGCAAATTCTCAGACTCTTTCTGGAGTTAGGGTTGCCCAGTGAGATGTAGGTAGCAGCCATTGGGCAAGACTGCCTATACATTTTTTGAAAGGTTGCTGACTAATTTTGGATAATTGTTCCTTCTTTCCTTCACTTTCCTCCTCTTTCTTTGTGCCTGGAACATAGAATTGATGGCTGCAGGGTCAGCAGCTATCTAGGCCCTTGAGGTGACATGGAGAATGGTAGCAATGAGCTAAGAAGGGTGAGCCTACCTTCAAACATATTTTACACAACAAAAAAATAAATTTTAATCTGATTTATGCCACAATTATCTCCACACTTTGATATTAGTAGCTGGATTCAACTAATAACAAATGTATCCACACACATCCTAACATCATTTGTCCTGTGGAAAAATTACCTCTTTTCTACTAAGATCTAAGCCTCTATCTTATGGTTTGGATCTCACCTACTCCTGTCATCTTGGAAAAATTGTATTATCTGTATCATTCCATTTTTGTATATGCAATCCTTCCTTGCATCATGCTGAAGCCATCTTGTGTAAAATAAAGAGAAAAAGGAAAAAAACCTTTATCGATTTCCACAGCACTTTCATGATTTTATTATTTCTCTCACTCTTTGTATAGCAAAGCTCTTTTAAAAATTATCTATATTTATAGGCACCATTTTCTCTTTTTCTGCTCAATTTTCTTGTTTTCTGTTCAACTATTAACTTACTCTAATATGGCTTCCACTCTCTTATCTTCACCAAAATGGCTGTTGCTGAAGATAAAAATGTCTTCTATGATATAAATTCCAATAGACTGTTTTTAAGTCTTCATCTTGTTTGACAGCTGAATGGTTAGGCACTTGTGACTATTTCCTCCTTGATTTTTGACCCTTGCTTTATTTGGCCTCTAGGAAGTCGTATCTTCTTATTCCCCTGGCCATTTCTTTCCCTTTATTTCTCCTTTATAGAGTAATCATTTTTGACCTTGCTTTTAATGAAATCATTCACTACCAGGTCCTAAATTCCTTCTTGTTTCATTCATCCCCACAGTGTCCATTACCATCATATAGAGGTAACTCAAAATTTTGTTTCTCAAGCTTCAGCATTTTTATTTTCTAGTGAACAGTACCACCGTTATTACAGTTACACAACCTTGGCAACTAGATGCCATGTTAGGTATTTTTCATTTCCTTATCTCTTCATCCAGTCCAACACCAAGCTCTGTTGGGTCTCATTCCCAAGATAGATTTCAAAGCCTTCCAATGCTATCTCCAGCACTCCAGTAGAATGCACATACTTGACCTTCACTGCACTTATTATAGAAATAATTTATAATTTTTCTGCAAGAACTTTAAATTAATAAAAATCTCACCCACTAGACTACATTCTACATGAGGGCACAGCCATACCTGTTTCTTTACTAATCTATCCCTCTCTCTGTTATAGCACCCCACAATAATAAATATATACTGATAAAATAAACTAACACATATACCTCAATAAACATATTACATCTCTTAAAAAATGACTTTAAGGCAGGGCACAGTGGCTCACACATGTAATCCCAGCACTTTGGGAGGCCGAGGCAGGTGGATCACCAGAGGTCAGGAGTTTGAGACTAGCCTGGCCAACACGGTAAAACCCCATCTCTACTAAAAATAAAAAAAAAATTGTTATGCGTAGTGGCACGTGCCTGTAATCCTAGCTACTCAGGAGGCTGATGCAGGAGATTCGCTTGAACCCGGGAGGCAGAGGTTGCAGTGAGCTGAGATCACGCCATTGCACTATAGCCTGGGAGACAAGAGAGAGACTCTGTTTAAAAAAAAAAAAAATTAAATGCTCCTAATGCAGTGCCAAGAGCTGTGCTTACAACTGAACTCTCTTTGGTACAATATGGATACAGTACAATATGTGTGGACTGTAAGTCCCTTTCTTTAGCACATTCTTCATGTAAATCCAGTTCTGAATAGTAACTGCTTTCATGTAGCTTTTGATTGTACATCACATTGTCATTTCTTGCCTTGTAAGGAAAAAATATCAGGAAGTACATTTTCTTTATTGATTAAATTCTATATTATTTTAAAGCATTTTTTGGCAACTGATGTATGCCATGCACTGTGCTAGTTACCAGGAAGTGCAAAAGAAGGCATAAAACCTACCATACAGGTCTCATAGTTTAGCGGGAAAGATATTACAAGTGTTTATTTGTTAGGATTAGATTTTAGTGCAAATGACAAAGCCCAAAAGAACAGAGGATCAAATAAGATTGAAATGTATTACCTTCTCATAAGTATACGAAGTTTAACACAAGTATGGGAGTTCTGTAATAATTAAGATCACAGGCTCCCTTCTCATAGCCTGGCATGTTTACTCCTGTGTCAGCCTGAATGGCAGCAAAAATAAAATAAAATGGGAGTGTGGGGAGGAGGGCACACTTCCTTCCTTTTTAAGAAAAAGGCACACATTTTCTGGATCTTTCACACACCAATTCTACTTCTTTCCCTTTGACAAAACTTAGCCACAAAGCTATTCCTAGCTGCAACAATAATCAGAAAATGGACACCTAAAACTTTAGAAATTGTAACACTGAGGATGAATGTAAGAATGGATACTGGGAAGCATTTTCTATCACAATAAGAAATACTAATATGAAGAAAAGAATGATAAACCAGAAGTATAAACTGTAACAGACAAACACAGGAAAGAAAGTAATTCTGACTGGCATGGAAAAGATTTCACTATCATAAAAAATGGTCCTTAATATATAAAAAGAATTTTAACAAAATAGAAAAAGAAAGCAAGGAGGAGGCATAATTGATATATGAAATCCAGAAAATATTGAATAGTGTGGGAAAGATGAATAGTCAAGGCTGGCCAGAACCCTGCGCGTGGAAGGTTTAGCTATGGGGAGGGGAATCTGTTGAGACATAAGGTAGGGTGAGGTAGGATAGGGTGAGGTAGGGTGAAAGGTAGGGTGAGTTTAAGATATTGAGGGCTGTAAATTCTAGACTGAATATACATCCTTGGCATTGATTAATAATCAAGAAATGTAAACTGCTATTCTTACCATTAATTATACTTTTCTATTAAACTTTCTATTTTATCATCTCTCCATTATTTCAGGAAGCTTGGAACCAGTACTTTCAACATTACATCTTGCTAATCAAGATTTTGGCTTTGTTAATGTCCCAGACATAGCTCCTTGAACCATGTTGTTATTTTATAACAGAAAGGAAGTCAAAGAATGGAAACCATCATTGCTACTCTGTTTCATCCTGTCTGGTTGAAATTAATTATATTCCTTAGTGACACAGGCATCCGTGAGAACCAGTGTGACACATTTGAAATGGGCTTTTATAATGAACCAACTTTTTAAAGTAGAGCAATGTATCCCTCCCCAGTAGCGTACTCCCCAGTGAAACTTAACAGCCTTCAGTTTATCCAGCCAGGTAAGGAACTTGCACTTCTTTGCTTTGACTATTGGTAGGGGAAAGGGGAAAGATCCCGGCAGCTGATTCTTGTCAACTCAGAGCATCAGCTTATGAAAGAAACCACCTGAGATTAGGCTGAGGCTAAACTGCAATCACTTGCTGCTGATATGTATTATTAGGAAAGCAGCAGGAAAGGGGGTTTTTCTTTCTGACGCATGAATATTTGAATCTTGGGCTTTTGTTATAACTTTTCTTATTGGAATAAGTTCAGATTGAAAAAGTAAAAACAAAACACTCATGCCTCATATTTATGTTGCCAATCATTTCTCTGTTCCCTGTAATTACACAAGACATGACTAATGAAAGCTTTACTTTCTGACTCATTGCAATGAAGACATTTGGCCATATTTAGTCTTGGCCTATGCAAATTGTGTGAGGTCACATGACCTTCATAACAACTTTAATATCCTGGAGAGAAAGATTTTGCTGTTATAGAAAGAGCACAAAGCTTTATGTGTAAGGATCTGAGGTATGGAAACATATCTACCATGGAAAATGGAAGGTCACTGAGATATGGCTTATGTAAATAAATTGGGAAGTTGAGTGTTTTTAATTTTTTTATATATACAAAGCAGAAACTTTTGAAATGTTCTTCAATTAATTCTTGAGCCTGGCCTTTACAATTTATTTAAACACACACACACGCACACGTTTTTTATTAGGCAGTATTTCTCAGAAAAACAAAACCAATAGGACATACATCTACGTGTTTGTGTGTGTAGAAATTTACTATGGAAATTGACTCATGTTATAATTTATTATGGGAATTATAGAGGTGGAGAAATCCCATGATTTGCCATCTGCAAGCTGGAGAACCAGGAAAAACAGTGGTGTAATTCAGTCAACTCCAAAGGTGAGATGGGGGAGGGAGATGGGGAGAGACTGAAGTAAGTCCCAGGTCAAGTCAAATGTTTGAGAACCAGGTGTGCTGATTTCTGAGAAGGGGAGAAGATAAATGGCCTAGCTCTGAAAGAGAGGGTAAGTTTTTGTTCTATACAGGCCTTCAGTGGATTGGATGATGCTGGCCTACATTGGTGAGTGCAGATCTTCTTTACACAGCCTATTGATTCAAATGCTACTCTGTTCGGGAAACATACAAACACACTCAGTCAAGTTGTTAATTTAAGATAAAATTAATTCGTTGTTAAGTCAAAATAAAATTAATCATTACACATTTCTATCAAGGTCTGCAGTGAGAAGCCAATGTCTCTACCAGTAGAGAGTAACCCAGGTTACCCAGGTTTAACCCAGGTTTTGAGAGGTGACAACGTTCTAGCAGCCCTCGCTCCCTCTCGGCATCTCCTCGGCCTAGGCGTCCGCTCTGGCCGCGCTGGAGGAGCCCTTTAGCCCGCCGCTGCGCTGTGGGGACCCCCTCTCTGGGGCTGGCCGAGGCCGGAGCCGGCTCCCTCTGCTCGCGGGGAGGTGTGGAGGCGGAGGCACGGGCGGGAGCCCGGGCTGCGCGGCGCTCCCGGGCCGGCGCGGGTTCCGGGTGGGCGCCGGCCCGGCGCGGGTTCCGGGTGGGCGCCGGCCCGGCGCGGGTTCCGGGTGGGCGCCGGCCCGGCGCGGGTTCCGGGTGGGCGCCGGCCCGGCGCGGGTTCCGGGTGGGCGCCGGCCCGGCGCGGGTTCCGGGTGGGCGCCGGCCCGGCGCGGGTTCCGGGTGGGCGCCGGCCCGGCGCGGGTTCCGGGTGGGCGCCGGCCCGGCGCGGGTTCCGGGTGGGCGCCGGCCCGGCGCGGGTTCCGGGTGGGCGCCGGCCCGGCGCGGGTTCCGGGTGGGCGCCGGCCCGGCGCGGGTTCCGGGTGGGCGCCGGCTGGGTGGGCCCCGTACTCGGCGCGGCAGGCCAGCGCCTCCTGGGCCTGATGGGGGACGAGCTCCCTCTGGGCTGCCGGAGTGCCTGGGCTAGGTGCTGCAAACTCCTGTGGAGAGTGCCATTGAGAGGTGAAGCTGGCTGGGCTTTTGGGTTGGGTGGGGGACCTGGAGAACTTTTCTGTCTAGCTAAAGGTTTGTAAACGCACCAATCAGCACTCTGTGTCTAGCTAAAGGTTTGTAAATGCACCAATCAGTGCTCTGTGTCTAGCTAATCAGGTAGTGACTTGGAGAACTTTTGTGTCTAGCTAAAGGATTGTAAATGCACCAATCAGTGCTCTATGTCTAGCTAAAGGTTTGAAAATGCACCAATCAGCACTCTGTGTCTAGCTAAAGGTTTGTAAATGTGCCAATCAACGCTGTGTGTCTAGCTAATCAGGTAGTGACTTGGAGAAATTTTGCCTCTAGCTAAAGGATTGTAAATGCACCAATCAGTGCTCTGTGTCTAGCTAAAGATTTGTAAATGCACCAATCAGCACTCTGTCAAAACGGACCAATCAGCTCTCTGTAAAATGGACCAATCAGCTCTCTGTAAAATGGACCAATCAGCTCTCTGTAAAGTGGACCAATCAGCTCTCTGTAAAATGGACCAATGAGTAGGATGTGGGTGGGGCCAGATAAGGGAATAAAAGCAGGCCACTGGAGCCAGCAGCGCAACCAGCTCAGGTCACTTTCTATGTTCTGGAGTCTTTGTTCTTTCACTTTTTGCAATAACTCTTAATGCTGCTCACTCTTTGGGTCCTGCGCAGCCTTTATGAGCTGTGACAGTCACCGCAAAAGTCTGAAGCTTCACTCCTGAAGTTAGCGAGACCATGAACCCACCAGAAGGAAGAAATTCCGGACACGTCTGAACATCTGGAGGAACAAACTCTGGACACGCCATCTTTAAGAACTGTAACATTCACAGTAAGGGTCAGTGGCTTCATTCTTGAAGTCAGCGAGACCAAGAACCCACCAATTCTGGACACAGTTTCACCAGATTCCTCAGCTGCTGGGTATGAGAGGGAGGTCATATGAGGATGACACTAAGCTGATGCTTCCCTCACTACACGACCTCACTGACAACACGCAGGGGATTCTGAGGATGTTTCCTATGTGCTAATGAAGTGGAGAGGTCCCCGTTGTCCACTTCAAGTCACATTATGCTGGCTGCCTTCAAAGTCCATGAGAGAGGTGCTCATTCTCGTTCTCACCATGTCCATGCTTGGTGCCTGGCTTGCTGACCCAAAAATGTAGAGTTTCTGGTGTGGCATTGCCTTTCTTTCACTCTTTATTGTCCCAGAGCCACATTACATTCTATGCACAGTGGGAGAGTTTGGGCTTCTCATCAACTCCAGCTGCACTGTTGTCTACTGGAATCTGAAGTAGCAAAATTTATGCCAAATGTCCTTGGTGGAAACAGTCCCATAAGTTCTTTTCTTGTTTTCTGTTTTTGGTTTATTTTTTAAAATTTTTACTTAAAAAAATTTCACCGTATCTAAGACTCAAGATTCAAGACTGTTCCCTGTGAGCTCAAGTTGGGAAGCAGAAATCATAGAGGCCTCTGATTCCTCAGCTTTTCTATTTCTGACTTCAGGCACTGAGCCTAGGCTGTCATTAACTCCATAGGCTATAGGCTTACATGATTCTGGAGGCTGAAGAGTTGCATCATCTACCCTCTGCAAGCTGGACACCCAGGAGTACCAGTCATTTGTGGTCCCAAGGGCTGAGAACCAGGAGAGCCAATTGTGTAGGTTCCAGTCTAAGTGCACAAGAGCAATGTCTCAGCTTGTAAACAGACTCAGAGTAAATTATCCCTTACGCTACTTGTTGTTCAACTCAGGCCTTCAACAGGTTGGCTAATGCCCACCATATGGGGAGGGCAATCAGCTTCACTCAGTCTATGGACTCAAATATCAATCTCATCCAGAAACACTCTCACAGTCACATCCAGAAATAATGTTGATCAGATACCTGGCCACCCATGGTCCAGTCAAGTTAACACATTAATGTAACCATCCCAAGTCTACCCCTTGTCAATTTGGCACCCATACACATCTACTTAAACCATACTTAAGCCTCAAATGAAGACACAAACAAGGTCCTAATTTATCCTAACATTGTATGACTATCCTACTTAAAACATAAAACCCGCTTATACCCTACCCAAAACAGGAAGCAATGTCCTTGAGTGGTTTACTCTTTCTTATCCTTGATATACTGTAACTTAAATATTATTATGTAAAATTGACAATATTTAAATATTATAAAGTTAATACATCATATGTTACATAATAAGGAAACAAAATATTTTGTTCTACATCCATATCTATCTATATATATATATATGTCTATATATAGATTTTGCTCTATAACTAGATAGAGGTATCTCTTTGTACATATAAATATATACATACAAATATACATTTGTAGCAAAATATGTAGGAAATACTCATGATGGTTACTCTCTTCAATTCTGTAACTGGTCACATGATCAGAGCTTGTATTTATGACTACCTTCTTCTACTACCCATTATTTACTCCCTTTACCTTCAGCAAGTACCTCAGCTGGTTGTGGTTTTTTACTTGGTGGGGCGATCCAAACCTTTATATCTGAAGGGTCTGGGCCATTATTAGTGCTGATTAGATTTTTGTAGTTTTCCATCGACCCAGGGCCTGGTAATAATAAGAGATGTCCTAAGGGATCACTGTATTCCAAACATTCTCTTTATTATCTCAGTTGTGGAGTAGCAGTCCAATTTTTCCTTGGTAGTCAGGATCAGTCATCCCAACCAGCACACTAACTCCCTTCTTTGGCTGTTGATTCAAAGGCATGAGGATTCCAAAGTGGCCAGGTGGCAGTCTCAACTTCCAGCTGAATGGAATCACTGTTGTGTCTTCTGGTGAAGGCATTCTTGCCTCTGGCATTTAGCCCAGCAGGACATAAAGTTCTGGAAACAGGAAGCAAAAATTTAACTAGTGGGTCACTAGGGGTAATACTGAGTCGTACCATTGTCATTTCCACCCCTTAATTCCTGGATCCATGAAGCCTGGCTATCTGAGAAAGCTGATATATTAGAAGCTGATTCAGAGCATCTACAGCCTTCTGAAGAACCTTGCACCAGCCCTGCAGGGTATTGCCACCAAACTGACACTGTAACTCAGTCTTTAAAAGGTGATTATAGCCCTCTATCAAGTTAGCTGCTTCAGGATGGTGGGGAACACAGTAAGATTGGTGAATTTCACGAGCATGGGTTCATTGCCACACTTCCTTTGCTGTGGAGTGAGTTCCTTGATAGAAGCAATGCTGTGTGGAATAACATGATGGTGGACAAGGCATTCTGTAAGTCCTGTGGATGGTGGTTTGGGCAGAAACACTATGCAGGAAAGGCAAACCTAAATCCAGACTAAGTATCTATCTCAGTAAGGATAAAACACTGCCCTTTCCATGGTGGTAGAAGTCCAGTGAAATCAACCTGTCAATATGTAGCTGGCTGGGGAATGGTGTCATATTGGGGACTCAGTGTTGGTCTGTGCTGCTGGTAGATTGGGCACTCAGCAGTGGCCATAGCTGGGTCAGCCTGGTTGAGTAGAAGTCCGTATTGCTGAGCCCATGCATAATCTCCATCCCTGCCATCATGGCTATTTTGTTCATGAGCCCCTTGGTTCATAGCAAAGTTACTGAGGAAAAAAGCCTAATATCCACTCAATAGGTTATTTCATCAACTTGATTATTAAAATTATCCTTTGCTGAGGTCACCCTTTGGTGAGCTTGCACATGGCACATAAATATCTTCATGTTTTTTGCCCATTCAGAGAGGTCAATTCACACAACCCTCCCCCAGAGTTATTTGTTACTAACTTTTTAACCACATTTCTTCCAAGTCCCTGACCATCCAGGCATGCCATTGATCACAGCCCATTAATCAGTATTTAATCACATGTCTGGCCATTTCTCTTTCCAAACGAAGTGAATAACCAGGGACACTGATCAAATTTCTGCTCATGAGGAGGATTTCCCTTCACCACTGTCCTGCAGGGATGTTCCCAAAAGGGGCTGTAGTGCTGCAGCTGTCCAGTTTCAGGTGATGCCTGCATATTATGCAGAACCATCATGCACAAAGGAGGCCCAAGTCTTCTCTCCACCTGTCAACTGATCATAGCGAATGCCTATGAGGCCATAGGGGCAGGATGGGAGAGAGAATGCCATGTTGCAGAGGTGAGGACCATGGGCATTTGTGCCACTCTTTAATGTACATGTGCCTTCAGGGCCTGCTTTGGCCTGGTTACATATGTACCATTTTCATTTGATGATAGAATGCTGCCATGTGCGCCCAGTTTCATGGGTTGGTAACCATATGATACCCAGTTCATGTGGGCAGCTCAGGTCACATGGTAGCTTGATGGCCTATGGCTAAGCATTCAGTCTCTATTAATGCTCATTAGCAGGCCAATTGATAAATGTAAAAAGTATAAGAGAAATAGAAAATCACTAACATAACACTGCAATATTAATTATTATAAGCAAGATCCCACAATAGGGTGAAAGTTTGAGAAGAAAGGATATCGTGGTAAACTAGGAAGTGGGAAACGTGACAGACACAACCTTCATCTAGTGACCAAGGTTAACTTCACCATTTATAATGCATATCAACCTTATATGACTTGTGATGTGATGAGGCACTGAGAAAGTCACATTACTTCTGTGATACTCTTCCTAAAAATGTATAACCTCAATCTGATAATCAGAACACATCAAACTCAAATCGAGGTACATTCTATTAAAAAACAGACCAATATTCTTCAAACATTTTGAGAAAAGACTCAGAAAAATGTCAGATTGGAGAAAACTAAGTAGGCATAACAACAAAATGCAATGTTGGATTCTGGATTGGATAGTGGAAAAGAAAAAGGATGTTCATAAGGAAATTGGTAAATCCAGGTCCAAATGAAATTGTAGTTTAATCATTATTATACCGGTGCTCATTTCTTGATTTTGATACCTGTGCTACAATTACACAAGATACTAACATTAGAGAAAACTGGTAGAAGGATATACAGGAACTCTGTACTATTTTGCAACTTTTATCTAAGTCTAAAATTGGTTCAAAATATAAAGCTCTTGGTGCTTTTAATCACTTTAGAAGATTGTAGGAGTTATGGAAAATAGGAGCTTGACTAATAAACACAAAAACATTTTATTCCTCAGTGTCGTTTCAACGCTATCTAAATGATATATTGCCAAGATAAATGTATAACTGTATTATGTTTGTGCCAGAAATGACATTCTGCCTCATAGTATATAGATGTATGTTTTATATTTCTTTAACTAAAAGGATCATTCCTAGTATTTCTTAACAAGAAATAAAAGTCTACCCAAAATGGGAGTTGAAGCCTCTGTCTGGAGAAGAACTGCTGGCAACTTGTGACTGCTTTTCCCACTTCCTCTCAAGGTTCCAAATATGCATGTCAGCCAGGGAAACTTGTTGATAATAACATACTCTGGGAATCCACAATATGCTAAGTGTATTGAATCAAAAAAGAATGCTTTTGGTGAAAATATTTATGAGCCTTATGATATCTCTGCAATAAAACTGAGATTTTATGATAAATGTCAAAGCCTCCATTTCAGAAATTGAAAATGATGATACTTAACAAAATTCAACTAGCTAAATTTAGGGCAATTAAGTGAGTCCAATCAAAGAATACTCTCTGGCTTTGGGCCTACCACACTTCATTTGATTGTGAATAAAATACGTTTCCATTCACAGCAATCACTTGACTTCCAGCACTTGGTTATTCTGAAAGAGGCAACAAGTATCAATAACCATACTGGGTCCATGATAGCTACTTCTTTACATGAAAGATCTATTTATATTTATTATGGCCAGCTCCAGTTGGCAACATGCTTGTTGACAGTTTACTACAACAATCAGGAAAGACATGATTTGGTTTGCCTGACATACAATTTATACCCAGGAAGCCTGATCCCTTTTCCTCTTTGAAATAATGTTTTACTTTTCCTAATATAGTACTAGAGACTGAATCAACAGATTCAGAATGCAACATACATTATTTATGCAAGTAGAAGACTATAGGAATGTGAACATGTTTAGTTATTCTGTTTTCCGCCCCTCCTGAACCCTTCTCTGCATTGCTCTGTGCAGACTGGCAGCCCTACTTTCTGACTTCCATGTGGGTTTGGCTAGTGTCAGTCACAGGAAGAAATAGAGAGTTGCAAGGAGAGAGAGATCAGGGTATTTTCCCCTGCCTTGCAACACTTTTGGCAGTGGTTGCAATTCTCATGAGAATAAATATATATTCTAGACGTGAATTTGCCTCCCCTTTCCAATATGCTCTTGCCAGACCTTTGCACTTAAAGTGACTAAATGCATTATTTATTGCCATGGTGTCCTACACAACATCATCTGTTACGGTCTGATTCTTTGTCCCCTTTTCTTCCAAATTCACATGATGAAATCCTAGACCCCAAGGTGATGGTGTTATGAGGTGGGGTCTTTGAGGGGTGATTAGATCATGAAGGTGGAGCCCTTATAAATGGGATTAATGCCCTTATATAACAGGCCTAGAAAGCTTCTTCACTACTTCCACTTTATGAGGACCCAGCTGAAAGGCACTGTCTATAAGGAATGAGCCCTTACTAGACACAAAATCTGCAGGAGCCTTGATCTGGATGTCCCAGTTCTCAGAACTGTGAGAAATAAATTTCTGTTGTTCATAAGTTATGCAATTCATGATATTTTTGCTATGACATCCCAAACTGTTACATCAGCTTTATCCTTTGGACATTTTAATGGCAAAAGATGTTTGGCAATGCAATCACCTCAAATTTCACTTGCCTTACCACGAACCCCATCATCCAAAAACAGCTGATGTTTAGGTTTTTGTAGGTATTTATTGTCAAATGAGGGTGTTTACTTCCAGTTTTATAAGCTCAGAATTTTTATCATTAATGGATATTAGATGTCCATTTTTTGCATCTATTGATATGATTATATAATTTTTTCTTTAGCATATTGATGTGGTAGATTACATTAACCGATTTTTTAAAATATTAGACTAGCCCTCTCTATCTGGAGTAAATTCCACCTGGTCATGGTGTATAAATATTTTTATACATTATTAGATTTGATTTGCTACTACTTTGCTGAGGATTTTTGCGTCTATGTTCATGAAAGATATTGGTTTGTAGTTTTCCCTTTTGTAATTTTTTTTCTGGTTTTGGTATTAGGGTAATGCTGGACTCATAGAATGTGTTAGGAAGTACTCCCTCTGCTTTTATCTGGAAAGGAATGTAGAAAATTGGTATTCTTTGTTCTCCAAGTGTTTGACAGAATTCACCAGGGTATCCATTTGGTCCTGGTTGCTTTCTGTTTTGGAAGGTTATTAAGAATGTATTTGATTTATTTAATGTATACAGACTTATTCAGATTATATATTTCTTGTGTGACTTTTGGTAGATTGTGTATTTCCAGGAATTGGTCTATTTCATCTAGGTTATTAAATTTGTGGGCTTAGAGTGGTTCATAGTATTTTAGTGTCCATGGGATTAGTAGTGATGCCCCCACTTTATTTTGAATATTAGAAATTTGTGGATTTGTACCTTCTCTTTTTTTTCTTGGTCACCCTAGAGATAGAATGCCATGGAGCTTTCCATGTTGGCTGGTGGAGCCTAGTGAGAGGTGTTTAGGTCCCGCATGAATAAATTGATGCCATGCTCCAGGTGGTGAGTCAGTTTTTGCTCTCCTGAGGCTGGATTAGTTCTCACAGGAATGGACTTGTTTTATGACTTTATGACCTACCCACAAGAACAGGTAGTTGTAAGGCAGGTCCGCCTCCTTGTTCCCTGGCTCTTTGCACATACCTGTTCACCTTTCTGCTTCTCTGCTATATTGTGATACAGCACAAGGCACTCACCTGAAGCTGTGCACATGCTGGTGTCATCCTCTTGGACTTGTCAGTGGCCAGAATCATTAGCTAAATAAACCTCCTTTCTCTATAAATTACCCAGCCTCAGATATTATGTTGTAGCAAGACAAAAATGGACTAACAAATGGTCTGAGTGTATACTTTATATAGTATATATATTTTAAATATGTTAAGGTGTGTTTTATGGACCAGAATATGGTCTATCTTGGTGAATGTTATGTGTGAGCTTGAGAAGAATGGGTATTTTTCTGTTGTTGGATGAAATATTTTATAGATGTCAATAAGATCCACTTAAATAATATTGTTCAGTTAAACTATGTCCTTGCTGATTTTCTGCCTGATTGTTGTGTCCATTTCTGATAGAGGGGTGTTAATGTCTCCAAATATAGTAATGGATTGATCTATTTCTCCTTGCACTTGTATCATGTTTTGCCCCATGTATTTTGACACCGTACTGTTAGGTACATACATATTAAAAACTGTTATGCCTTTTATTTTGATTTTTTTAAATTTTATTATTATTATACTTTAAGTTTTAGGGTACATATGCACAACGTGCAGGTGTGTTACATATATATACATGTGCCATGTTGGTGTGCTGCACCCATTAACTCGTCATTTAGCATTAGATATATCTCCTAATGCTATCCCTCCCCCCTCCCCCTACCCCACAACAGTCCCCCGTGGTGTGTGATGTTCCCCTTCCTGTGTCCATGTGTTCTCATTGTTCAATTCCCACCTATGAGTGAGAACATGCGGTGTTTGGTTTTTTGTCCTTGCAACAGTTTGCTGAGAATGATGGTTTCCAGTTTTATCCATGTCCCTACAAAGGACATGAACTCATTATGCCTTTTAAAGGACTGACCACTTTATCATTATGTAATGCCTCTCTTTATCCCTGAAAATTTCCTTATTCTGATGTCTGCTTTATCTGAAATTAATATAGTTACTCTAGCTGTCTTTCAGTGTTAGCATTATATAACTTTCTCTACCCGCTTTACTTTTAATCTACCTGTGTCTTTATATTTAAAGTGGTTTTCGTGTAGAAAACCACTTTCTTTATTCACTGTGGCAGTCTCTGTCTTTTCATTGGTGTATTTAGACCATTGATATTTAAAGTGATTATGGATACAGTTGGTTTTTTATCTATCATGCTTTTACTGTTTTCTATTTGTTGTCTTTGTTCCTTGTGGGTTTTTTGTTGTTGTTGTTCTTGCCTTTTACTTTTTTTCTGCCCTTTCTGATGTTAACTGATATTTTATATAATTCTATTTTTCCCCATCTTAGCATACCAACTAACTTATTCAAAAAAATTTTTTAGTCATTGCCTTTGAGTGTGCAATATACACTTGCAATGAATCCAACTCCTCCTTCAAACAGTAATATCCCAGTCTCCTTTCCTTTATCTTATAACATCATTGATATTAATCTCACTTATCCATAAGCTATACATCACTGCTATTATTTTGAGCAAAATATTGGCTTTAAAATCAACTAAGAATCAGAAAAATATTTTATTTATCTATTTCTTCTCTAAAACTCTTTCCATCTTTATGCAGATTTGAGATTTTGACATATATATGTATATATACATACATATACATATATACATATATATATATAATTTACTATTTTTCTAAAGAAATTCTGTAAATGTTTCTTGCAAGGCAGGTTTACTGGCAATAAAGTCCCTGGCAAATTTTTGTCTGAAAAATCCTTTGTTTCTTCTTTCTTCAGTTTTGAGGGATAACCTATAAGTTGGTGTTTTTTTTTTTTTTTTAATTTCATCACTTTAAATATTTCAGTCCTTTTTTTTTTTTTTGAGGCAGTGTCTCACTTTGTCCCCCGGGGTGGAGTGCAATGGTGGGATGATGGGTCACCACAGCCTCAACCTCCCTGGGCTGAGGTAGTGTTCCCATCTCAGCCTTCCTAGTAGCTGGGACTACAGAAACATGCCACCACACCCAGTTAATATTTTCTGTTTGTGTGTTTGTTTTGTGTGGAGACAGGGTTCTGCTGTGTTGGCCCAGACTGGTCTCAAACTCCCGGCCTCAAGTGATCCGTCCGCCTCAGCCTCCACTGAGCCTGGCTTAATTGTTTTTCTGCCGTTTGAATGTGATATTCTTAGGTGGTTTTGTTTGTTTGTTTTGCATTTATCCTGCTGTGTTCCGAGCTATCTGGATTGTGGTTTGGTGTCTCACTTTTTTAAATTTCAGAAATTGCTTCAAATATTTCTTCCTCTCTTTTTTCTCCTTCTGTTAGTCTCATTGTACATATTTACACTTTTTGTAATTGTCCCATGGTTTTTGGATATTCTGTTCTATTTTGTTCTTTTTTATCCCTGCATTTCAGTTTTTGAAATTCCTGTTGACATTGCTTTCTTATTGATAGCCAAACATAATGTATTGAGTAAAATGAACTCAGGTAAATAGGTCTTCAGCATTAGGTTTTATGTTTATCTGACTAACAGGCTATATTTACTGTTAGCTGCAGTTGTGAATGTCAAAGGCTAACATTTCTTATGGGTGTTCCTGTTTCTGTCTCCACTATTGCCTTTGGTTTTTCCCTAGAGACGTCTTAAATAAAGTTTGAGACATACAGTTCTTCCTTGTCGTTTCTGTCATATACAGAAGTGCTATTGATGTGGTGGAAAGGCATAGGGAGCACAGAAGTATTCTACAGTCTTAAAATTAAGTCTCAATCTTTTAATGAACTTGTGCCCCTACTCTGTAACCTTAACCAGTGCTTTCAATTTTGTGCCCCCTTATACGAGACAGAAAGTCTAGAGGGGGCTGGAGTTGGGAATTTATCCTACCCTTGGTCAGTTAGACTCTGGTAAGTCCTGTTAGTTTGCCTTTGGTAAAATAATTTCTTTCAAGGGAAGATTTTGTTAAGAACAGAATGCTTTGGGCATATTTTAATATGGCCACTTTTCTCCTTCTCCTGCTGTAAACAAACGAGTATTCTTTTAATCTTTACTTTGAGAATCTGGTAGGGCTTCTGGAGGTAAAAGTCACAAAAGCGTAGGACCCCCCACTAAGCCTGGCTCCCTCTTGAGTTTCTAACTTTCAAATATGTCTATACCGAATCTCCAGCAATTCAACAATTACAGTTTAATTTTCCTACCCTGATACTTGTTTCTGAGGATGTTTCAGCACCAGAGTTTCTGCTCCAATGGGCTCTGATATTCCATATTTACCTATCTCTCCAATTTTGGTGGCAGTGATTCATTTTGTGGCCTCAACTCTTTGATGAATCTAAGAAGAGTTGTGGGTCTTCAATTTGTTCTTTTGTGAAGATGAGAATGACAGCTTCCAAACATTTCACATGCTGGACCAGAACTGGAAGTTCTCAGCATGTTATCTTTAGTTCTAAAAGCTGAAAATCCATGAATGTTCATTACCAGCAATGTGAATAAATACATCTGTGTTATATAATAAATTATTTTACATTAGTAAATTTAAAAATTAATGAACTAGAACTTTCAATCTCAATAATGATAAATATAATAAATATTTTTCTGAGGGAAAAAGCAAACTGATTTTGATACTACTTATATAAAGGTTAGAAACTGTCAGATCAATATTATGTTGTGTTTAAGGATGCATAAATATGTAATAAAAGTATAAAGAAAATATAAAGAAATGCAAAGTAATAATACATCACATATTCAGGGTTGGCGTTAATAGAGGAGGGAAGAGGATGGGGAGGGAGTGTGATGGAATCAGGGAGGGTTACCCAGTTCCCAAAATGTTGGTAATACACTATTTCTTAAACTGGACAGTGATTTTATAACCATTATTCTTTGTACCTTTTACCTTAAATACTGTCAAATAAATGTATATCTATACCTTGTAATAGTATTGAGCTAGCAAAATGAAGAAAGTAGAATAATATATATAGACTTGGAAAAATCTCTAAAGTATCATTTAAAAAAAAACAAGTCATGCAATCATGTGAATGGTACGAGCATGTTCGTGTATAAGTGGATATAATACACATAAAGAATAGCAAGTTTCCATAGCAAACTTTATTTTTAGTGATGGTTACCTCTTAGGATGACAGTTACAGTTTAGGGGAGAAAAAAATTTTTTAAATTGTGTTCTACTTTGCCTATTTTTGTATTGTTTGATTCTTTTACAAAAAGTATTTACTATTTATGCAACAAAACTAAATGGCATTGTTCCTTTCTCCTAAAATGCTTATACTGTATATATGTTAATAGTATATAACTGGGGAGAGGGAGCTAATTAGGAAGAGGATAAAAGGAGAAAGTGAGAGGACTAAGCAGGGAAACAAAAACTCAATTCTCCAAAATTGCAACACTGAAGTAAGGTGAGGAATACCTTCTTCCCCTTTATAATTCATTTTGATTGACTTGTTGAAGTAGACAGGACTAAAGAATCTGTGGGCAGTAAATAGAAGAGGTGGACAAAATGATGGTTCAGCTACCCAAGAACCTGAACTCTTAGAAAAAGTAATTCCTGGAATAGCATTATAACACCCTTTTTAAAGTCTCATGATTTTCTTTTCTATGTATATTTATACAGTATAATCATAAATATCACCCAATAAACCTCATTCAAAAAGATTCACCAAGGAGGGAACCTGATATCTGGAAAATGTTGGCTTGTTTTGGAGTTAGTTAATAAATCCTAAAGAGGAGCTTCCTAATTGTTCCCTTGTGATCCAAAGTTGTAAACTCTTGGCTTTGATTCCATATTTTTGATTTCTCTAAAAGAAGGAGAGAGATTTTCTTAGATGGTTGGTTAAGCACTTGAGTGATTGCATAACATTAAAAGTTTTACAAGGGTTTAATATTCACATCTTGCAGAATAAAATTACAGTCTTAAAATTTTGATCCAGTGTTGTTAAAATTAAACTATAAGTCACAAAAATATTTTATTAGCTTGGAAGGAAAGAATATTATTTTCCAATTCCTTGGCATTTCAAATTTTTATGATTGCAAGGTTATAATATTTATATTATATTCAGTGATCACAGAGTAAGCAATGTACATGCTAAGACGCAAGATGGAAAGGATAAAGGTCCTATTTAAATTTATGAAGGCTCTGTCTCTTGCTATGTCTTAGTTATAATACTACAAACAGAACACTAATCTTCAGGAGATACTCAGTGGGAATTGCAAGTTAGTTTTGTGTTTGTTTTTCTTGACACATTAAATAGTTCTTATTCATCTCCTGGGAAGAGGACACTCAAACTTCATAAGGCATGCAAACACTGTATTTTTAATTTAGTATACAGTATATACTTGTTAGAGGAAATGGAAAATTTTCATTTAAACTGAAAATAAACTGACTAGCCTTATGTATCAACAGATAAATTATGTGGGCTACTCTGTTAGAAAAGCACTCGGACCCCTGGGTCTATATATGACAAGCAAAATATAATACTGCCTCTAGCAGACCACAATCCATTCACTGTCATATACAAAATCACACTCTGTGTGTTTTTTTGGCACAATTTTGAATTTTTTCTTCTGTAAATCAAAAATAGTTAAGCTAACTTGGATGGTAATTTCCTTATAAGACTTACTATATCTAGTCTAATTAGCTGTTCTTTTTCACTCATGCACACGTGTTCTTAATCATTACTGCTATCAGTCTTTTAACTATTATAATCAGTTTTCTCAACATTGATTTGATTATTGACTACCTGACATGGAAAGTTCATAAGTATTAAGATATTAATATTCGAATATAAATTTAGGTTTCATCTTCATTAGTTAGTACATGAAGCGAAAACAACAATGATACAACTATTATACATTTGCAATATGAAGTTTTCACATTTATATCTAAAAATACAGGATTTTGGAGTTCAGAGAGTAAGCAAGAAAGAAAGGCCGGGCGCGGTGGCTCACTCCTGTAATCCCAGCACTTTAGGAGGCTGAGGCGGGCAGATCATGCGGTCAGGAGTTTGAGATCAGCCTGGCCAACATGGTGAAATCCCATCATTACTAAAAATACAAAAATTAGCTGGGCGCAGTGGTGGGCACCTGTAATCCCAGTTCCTTGGGAGCTGAGGCAGGAGAATCGCTTGAAGCGGAAGGCGGAGGTTGCAGTGAGCCGAGATCACGCCACTGCACTTCAACCTGGGTGACAGAGCAAAACTCCGTCTTGGGGAAAAAAGAAAAGAAAATAACTGTTGTAGATTTTTAAAGAAATCATTTCTTTAAAGAAAATTACTCACTAAAAGAAAATAAATGAGTAATAATCTAATCTTAATAGCTATCAGCAATAGACAGTAATTAGAGTTTATTTACTGAGAGCCAGGCTTTAGGTAGTTTATCTGAATTATCTATTTAATCTTTTCAGTAATGCTGGGAGGTATAAAATTTCATATCGTTTCAGTAAGGACAAAACCGATAAAGAGAAAAAGTAAGTAACTCACTCAGAGCACACAGCTGGAATTGAAATAAATCAAAGCCAGACTGTTTGGCTCAAGTCGGCCCTTTTAATCTTACCATTAAACCATCCAATATCCTATTTCCATCAAGTATACTGTATTATCCAGTTCACATCCAGTATACTTGTTTACCTGCAGCTGACACCAATGAAACGACAAAGCAATACCCTCAAATTGTAATGAGCATCAAAAACAGACATGTGCCAAACCCACATCCTTGAGTTTTTCTAAAACCTAAAATAAACAAGGAACAACTTCTCCATTGTTCCCAGTATTGGTGAATATAATGCAGGAGTCTTCTAAATGCATTTTTAAATATTTTTCTCTACATATATGTTCTATATTTTCTTTACAATATTTTTACTCACCATGTAGTTAGTTCATTATTCTTTTTCCTTCTGACCCCCTACAAAGAAAATGACTTTTATTTGGCTATGTTATTTCTTATAAAAACACCGTTCTGCTTTTTCCATACATCAACTATCCCATATTGATAACATTAAATCCTTATAGTATCCCTAAGGGGGTATATCATTAGACTGCCAGAGGAGAGAATTATCTTTTCCTGTGTGCATTCTATCTGCTTCAACTCCATATCCTTTTATCCTTCTGTTTCTGTGTTCAGCAATGCAAAAGGTCAATTCTATTTTACATAAAATGTATATTTGCCACCTGGTACTTTTCCTGATTAAAAAAAATCAGCTTCTCAACATGGTTTAAAAATTTTTTGATAGAGGCAATGTAGAATCCTGGCAGAAACTTGGAAATAGTAGCACATTTTTTTCCTCCAGTATAATAACCTCTGAATTATTTTGTGACAGTCTTAAAATGCTACCTAATTACAATGGTGAACAATAATGAAGGTTTGTGCCTGATGAAACGGGAAGTTGAAGGTTACATGAAGCTTGATATAGTTAGTAAAACTAACTTGGAGTTTCACGAGCATTAAATCAGATGGTTATGAACTATTTCCTTGAACGATGGGGAGGAGGGCATGAAAGACATTTCACACAAAAGGCTTTTCCACATAAAGTAATACATCATATTCTGAGTGGTCACTTACAACTATAAATGCCAAGATGTGGCCATTTTCCACCTCAATGAATATGAACCAACAAAGGTGCTCCTAGAATGAACTTGGTCTGCTCAAAAATATTTGAATTTAACCAAAGGAAAAAAAATCACATTTTTTTCTAGTGCCTTAACTTGTGAGAGGTACTATCCGGGATGTTTTCATATACTGTCATTTAACTGAAATTCCCTCAACAGCCTTCTGTTGAAGGTGTTGATATTGTTACCTCCATCTTTACAGATGAAGGAACAGAGGCTTAAGGAGCTTGACTCAGTTGGCAACTGGCCAAACTGAGACTCAAGTTACTGCTCCTCTGTGCAACACACAGTCTCTCCCAAGGCAAGACATATCGACTTCATCAAGGAGATTGAAACAAACGGGACAGTTATGAATAATGTGCATGCAAACCACAAATACCTTTGCTTCCCAAATTCCTCCTTTCTCTGCACTCTTGTTAGCATTTCAGAATTATGTTTGTTTTTTAAAAAATATTTACCTTTGAGTTAATATATATTATTTTTCCCTAAAATGCAAATGTTTTAGGGAGATGTAACAGAATATTCTATAGCTATCATTGATGCTTTAGTAAGCATAAGTTATATTTCCTTCTGGGGGGGGCAGTTTTAATAGAGGAAAGTAAATGGGAGAGAGGGGTATATACAGGGTAGGTAGGTTGAAGATACATTTCAGATACTTCAAACTGTTAGCTCTGTATGGCTCCCTTGTCTATGAACAGAATATGAGGCACATTTTCAATGGAAAACTTAAAAAAAAATAGGAGACAGCTTTAAGATAGCATCGCTGGACCTCCTTTTTGAATTCATTGAGTTTCTACAATTCTAAAATTGATGGAAAAACGTTTTCATGGTAGATGGCTAAGGCTTGGCAAGTTTGTTTTAAAAGGACGTCTGTATGTGTCTCCTGAGTTCATCTGGGATTACTTCACCAAAAAGAAAGTTGTGATCTAACCTTCAGAAAATTTTTAAGTTTCTATTTCTTCCACAAGGAATTTTCTATTGCTTGTGAAAAGGAAACTAAAGGCCCCAAGTTACATATATATTTCCCAAAACAAATAAATTCAAAAGCTGTGGTGATTCTTTTTATTTATTTTATTTCTAGTATGAGAATTAAGGTATTTTTCCCAAGTCAGCTATTCTAAGAAGAAAGTTGTTAATAAAGCGAAAGATAGTGAGAAGCTTCTCAGCATTGGGAGAAAATTGTTTGATAGCACTATTGTTTTATAAATCAGTTTGGTAAATGATAATTAATAACTAAAATGTTATGTCTTTAAATAACACTATTTTTCTATTTGAGGTGTTTCTATGTTCTCCAAACATAGCTGATAAATGTAAAGTCATAAAATTCTCTTATTACTCAAAATATGCTTGTCAACAATGGCAAGTAAGAAAGTGCTTACATATCATATCACTTCAGCCCTTGGTGGAGGATGGTATAGCCATACTTCCTGCTCTGTCAGCTAAACCCACACAAGATTAAATGCTATGTACATAATAGCCAGTTAGTACAGGTCTGTCTTGGAGGCTGGCAGGTGTTTCCATGAAATTTCACCCCGCCTGTCACAGCACACGGGGCAGCCAGCACCTGGCAACCTCCTCAAAAACAGCACACTCTTTAATTGCTTTGAAACAGCACAAGCAGCAGCAGCTGCTGCTGCCAACATTGTTAAGTAAACAACAGGTTTTGCACCTGCTGGAACAAAATCCTGACCTTAACATTGGCCAGTCAGGTGACCCCCATGTAACTTAGACAGCTTGTCCTAATGCAAGTGGCCTAGGAGATGAGCAGCAGTCCCTCAGTATTGATCCTTCCCCCAGATATGTAATATCTGCCCCTTAGTTGCCTTTTGAGGGCATCGAATTCAGCCCCTTTATATGAAAATTTGAAGAGTTAAATTTTTCTTATGGGCAGTTCCTTCTAGTTCTTTCTCTTTCCCTCCTCTGTCTTCTTTTGAGAATGCTAATGAGAAAAGATGACTTGGCTCTAATTTCCCATATTCTGTGTTATCAGTGATTCCTCTTTAGAAGTCTACAATGAAGAATGGGACTAGAGCAAATAAACTTTCTACCACTGACCAAAGACCCAACCTTTTAGCCTCTGTGAACAGAAAAAAATGAGACGATAAAACAAAATATTTTTATATACAATGTAACAGCTGGGCTTTTCAAAAATACAATTTTCAGTGTTTTATGGCCTTGGATGGGTATCTTCTCACCGTGTAGTGAGACGAGGAAACTCAGCTGTAGCAGCCAAGCGAAAGTGAAGTCAAATTTAACTCTGACTCTCACTGGAAAGTCCTTCTCAGCCTCCACATACATACATACACTGTTCTTATTTAGCAGGATCAGTTCCTAGGCACAGTAAGAAACACAGTTTAGGCTTTAGGGAATATAGTCCAGAAAAATGGAGAAGCAAGGGGCAATGGAGAAATACAGCCCGAAAGCGTTCATGACCATTCTCCCCCTTGTTCACAACTTCTACAAACTGTAGAAGTCCCTCCTAGTGGATAAAGCATTGGATTTGACTGGAACATACACATGCACATCACAACTTCTAGGTGGGGAAAGACAAACTCCATAAGGTGATTTTAAAGAGCAAATCAAGTAATAGTCTCAACGACATCAGATGACAATTAACTGGTGATACAGTTTGGCTGTGTCCCCACCCAAATCTCATCTTGAATTGTAGCTCCCATAATCTCTATGTGTTGTGGGAGGGCCCCAGTGGGAGGTAATTGAATCATGGGGGTGGGTTTTCCCATGCTGTTCTCCTGATAGTGAATAAGTCTCATGAAATCTGATGATCAGATAAAAATCTGATGTAGGGCAGTTCCCCTACACATGCTGTCTTGCCTGCCACCATGAAAGACGTGCCTTTGCTCCTCCTTCACCTTCTGCCATGATTGTGAGGCCTCCCCAGCAACATGGAATTGTGAATCCTTTAAACCTCCTTTGCTTTATAAATTACCCAGTTTTTGGTATGTCTTTATTAGCAGGGTGAGAATGGGCTAATACAACTGGGTTTTAGCATGCATTTATTTGTGTGTTGTTTAATCCCCAGAACAAGTCTTCTTGTGATTTGGCTGGTTTCTAAAAATGATACAACAGAGGGTTTGGCTTATCAGAGAGAAAATATATTTTCAACAAAGAAAAACATACAAACAATATAAACTGAGCCTTGAGATGGAGAGAGATAAATGGAATATTGTGAACCATGAGTGAAAATGTACTCGAATATGTTTTAGGTTCTTTAATTCTCATCATAAGCACACTGAATTCTTAACCCAGTAGAACAAAGATTGGATAGGCCTGCAGGCAAATGATCAAAAATCTGTTTCAAATCCTAAAGCCAACAGAACGTTTTGCCTATGGCTTGTTTATACCATTTGATCAAAAAGAATAATGCAATTGTGAGTTAGTCTGAGGTTGAGGAATTTTTCCAATGAAGTAAGTTAATTATTTATTACTATTGATTTGCTAGAGTGTTTCTGCAAAATCAAAGTATATTTCTTTTTCCACTTTAACATTTCTAAGAATTATGTAACAACTCTCCAAAGTTGTTACTAAACCTAATAACTATATTTTATAACATTCTTGATGCAGCTGATCAATTCGCTACATCAAGCTTATATATTCATGTTTTAAATAAAGTAACATATGTTATGTGCCTCATACATAATAATTGAAGAATAATGACAAAAATGTAAATTTTCCATTTTAGACCATCTCTTGAGTCATACTAACCACTAAAAGACCGAAATATACACACTGAGATAAATGTACTAAGAAATTGATGGGGGAAACCTCTAGTGGCTCATTGAATCCAGGCTGTCAAATTTCCAAAGAACAATTAGATGCTTTTAGCCAAGATCTATAGATTATATAAATGACATGTTAAGAAAATAGCAAAAATCATTCCAACTTTTCCTCTTCCTCTATCCTCTCTTTTAATATCTGCAGCAATATCACAAGAAAAACATATATTTAAGGTAGAAACAAAAGGCCAGTATCATGATCTGGATTATACCAAGATTCAGGAGTCTTTGGAGTTTATAAACATTAAAATATTTTATTTGTGTTATGTAATGTCCCTTTTATTTTATCCTATGGAAGTATACCTTTTAAAATAAAGAACAAATAGGCTAAAATAGTTTTGTGTACAATTAGAAAATTGAGGTGTCTTTCAATTTATTGCCGCTGATATCGTTTTTTAAAATCTTATGTATATTAAAAACTGAAGAGCTTCTTGCTATCCTCTAAATCTGTCTATAATCAGCAATAAACTAGGATTTAAAACATCCCTAACTCTAGGGCTTTTTCTGAAGGAGTAGGGCAGGAATACACTCTTTGTTCCTGAAATATATGGACAAGTACTTGAGGTACATAAATAGAATCATACAAGGAAAACTAATTATTCATAAAAATGAAAGGGGGGCATTACTACACCTGAATCCCAGAGTTTTTGTGTCTTTGTATGTGAGTCTGAGAACATATGGCCTTCTGAGCTTCAAAGTTTTCATCTGTACAAAGAAAATAACAAATTGACATTCAAGAGACTACTGTGTCAAATATCTGAGAAGGACGAGAGTGAATGCTTGAGGCTTATTGTCCACCTCTGCACGTGCCAATTCTCTTAAACATAGTTGTGGCTGTGTATTTTCAAAACCAACAAAAGAACAAAACTCTGTGAAAATATTACTCTTCCTTAAATCAAAACCAGTTTCAAAATGTTTTTAAAGATAACTGATAGGGAAGGCCAACATCTACGTGGAAAAGAAAGAACTTTTGTAAGTTCCATGAAATGATGTCGTGTTAAGGCTTTTTGCCTTATACCTAACAGAGCCTACATAATTATTGCATTAAAAATTTAGTCAGGTTCAATTAGGTATAATTTACCTATGATAAAACACATGGGTTTTAAACATACAGTTGAATGCATTTCAACCAATGTATATACTTATATAACTACCATCTTAAGATATGGAATATTTCCATTCCCCAAGAAAGTTCTCTCATGCCAATAATCCTCACTTCCCCTTTCTTTTCCAGCAAGCAACCACTGATCTAAATTCAGAAGCTATATTTAATTTCATCTGTTATAGAAATTCATAGAAATGGAAGCATACAGCATATATACTTTTTTCAGGCTGTTTTGTCCAAGAATGTTTGTGAGAGTCATCCATGTGATTTTGTGTATCAGTACTTCATTCATTGTTATTGCTGACTAGTATTTCACTGCGTTATGTACCATAAGTTGTTCATTTACTCATCTGTTCAAAGACATTTAGGTTGTAACCAATTGTTTGGCTACTGTGAATAAGATGCTAGAAACATTTAAATGCAAATATTTGTGAACTACATTCACATTTAAGATGTCAAGTTTTTTGGCATGATGTTATATATAATATTCATAATATCCCCTATTTCTTGTTTTCCTGCTTATTTTTGAGTTAATTCAGCACTATTATGATTCCATTTTATCTCTTCTCTGGTTGGTTTATTTACTTGTTTGGTTTTGTGCATGAGCCGGCATTTACATTTCCAAACCATTTGCTCCAGTTAAAGTTACCAAAGGGTTTTCAAGCAGAGGAAGGCACCAGAGGAGGAAATTGTCACAGTCCACTGTCATGGAATACCCTACTTTGTATACAAAATGAGAATTTACTTCAATTTTCTCCTGTGCCACTGATCAATTTATCTTGGTTCCAAACTCACCCTTCTTTGACTGCTCTGTGATAGCATAGCTGGATCTGTTAATATTTTTCTTATTACAGCTGACACACACAACGTTAAGTTTAGGCAGTAGAAAGTACTGAAGAGACAGTGCTCCTCTCTCTACATGCCTGCATGATGTGGCTTTTCCAGTGTCCAGCAGTCAGCAGTTTTCCCTGGCACATAATAGGAGGCTTTGCAGTACATTCAATAGTAAGTACTTGTCTGTGGACAGCATACCCCAAAACCACAGAGGATATATTTCCATCAAGTCCCACTAGTTCAGCACCTCAGTGACCTCTCTACCATTCAATGAGCCACAGTTGGCCACATCCACAAAGGTTTGGGGCTGGGCTTTGGGAATGGGTGTCTCTCTTTTGACCACTCTCTCTGCCCTAGGTGTAGTGAGATAAGAGTGGGAAAAATAATTTTTTGTATTTCCCTAGTCCAACCTTCATTTCTCTGGTCCTCTGTTAAATATAATAATTATGAATATGAAACTTTCCCTATTAAAATTACTGCATGATTTCTCTCTTCTGCTTTAACTCTTACTGAGATAGAATTAGCACCAGAAAAAAATTCTAGGTGTAGCAGCCAAAAATATGACATTGTTTACTGCAGTGGAAAGTCATGGCTTCTTATCCAGTTTCTAAAGCTGAGTTAATTCACTGGCCCACCGCCTCTTAATTGAAGAGAAATTCTGGACACCAAAAAGGAGGATCCTCCACTACAGCCATAGCCACATACCGAAAATCTTCACTGAAGGCACCCAAAAAGAAATGTGTGGCCATTTACTAGAGTCACTGTGCATTAGCAAAAAGACAAAAACCCAAACCTTTAGATGATTACTGGACATTTGGCTCTGAATGGAACCTAATTCCTGGTGACCCAAAATGCCAATGCAGTCAGGTGATGGACAGAATATTAGCTCAAGTCCAACTTAAAGTGTGACAAGTTAGTCCACAGCCCCATCTTGTGTTTAGGTCCCTGGTTCCCGAATGTATGATTGCAACAGAGACACTCGGCAACAGTCAGAAACCCCATATTGACTGATTCATAGATATGGACCATTATTATAGAAAGGGCTAAGTGAAAGCCCCTGGAACTTCCTCCTCAATCCTAAGATAACATACCAGAAGCAATGCAGTATCACTGGGGGAATTTTTTATGTAAACGCCATAATCAAAAATTTGAAAGCAGCAACAGCGGTGAAATCTAGCTATCCTTATATAACTCAACAGTTTAACCTGTGGAGAAATCAGGTAGATATTAGAGAATGATCATGGACTACTGTAAGCTTAATAAGTTGGTGACTTCAACTGTGGCTATTGTCCCACATGTAATATGTTCACTGGAACAACACAGGCCCTTTCATTTGGAATGCCACTCTTGACATGGCTAAGGCAGCAGTATACCTGCAGATACCTACCTGCTCCCTGCCAAGTAGAGTCTGCAGAGGTCTTTGTCTTTATGACACTTAGAAAAGCATACACTGGTCTACTGTATTGATGAAGCTGTGCTTATTAGATACAGTCAGCTGAAAGTTACAAACATTTTAGGTGCCTTAGTAAGACATATATGAACAAGAGGTTCCAAGTAAACCAAAATTTAGGGATTCGCTTCAGTGAAATTTATGGAGAATTAATGTGGAGATATTCCCTTCAAGGTGAAAAACAAATTGCTTCACCTCACATCAACCATCATATAGAAAGATGCCCAGTGCCTGGTATAATGTTTTAAATTTTGTAAACAACCTATCCCCCATTTGAGAGTATTATTTCAGGCCATTTTCAGAATCATCCACAAGGTGGGCAGTTCTTAGTAGAGACTAGAGTAAAAAAAACTGTGAAGCAAGTTCATTCTGTAGTACAAGCTGATCTGTCACTTAGGCCTTAGGATTCAGTAGATTTGATGATATTCAGTGTCTGCAGAAAACAAAGATATTGCATGCAGACCCTGACAAGCACTGATAGGAAAATTACAGTGTGATCTCTAAGATACTAGAATATATATATATTATATATATATATATAATATATATAATATATAATATATATATATATATCATCCACAGATATGTAGGAGGGTGCGTGTGCATGCATGCACATGCATTCACACACATAAAATCTGCAGATAACTATTCTCCTTTTGAGAAATGGCTTCTTGTTTTGTATTGAGCCTTGGTAGGAACTGAACACCCAACAATAGGACATCAAGTGGCCACATGATCCAAGCATTCTGTCATAAATTGGGTTGTCTGACCCACACGGCCACAGCAACCTATCATGAGATGAAAACAGTGTATAAAAGACCAAGCTTGGTCAGGTCTGGAAGGTTATGAGGAAGCTGCATGAGCAGGTAGCACCAGCTCCTTTAATATCAGCTAATGTTGCATTGTCTCTTCTTTCAAGCCATATGCAGGGCCTCCTGGGATACTTATTATGACCAGTTATCTGAAGAAGAAAAACACTCAAGCCTGGATTCCAAATGGGTCTTCACAATATGATAGCACTAATAGAAAGCAAATGAATGTACCACTACAGTCCCACTGGGTGACCTGAATGATGACAGTGAAAGAAAGTCTTCTCAGTGGGCAGAGCCTTGAGCAGTACATCTAGTTGTCCATTCAGTCCAGAGCTAGGGCCAAAAGTATAGATTTACAGGATTCTTGGGAAGTTGCTAATAATGCGGCTGAATTGTCAGGGACATAGAAATAATAGTATTAGAAAATTTGTGACAAGAAAATCCGGGGAAGAAGTATTTGAATGGGCTTTACAAAATGAGCAAAGACTGAAGATATTTGTTACCCATGTAAATGCCCACCAAAGTGCATCCTTAGAGAAGGTTCAAATTACACCTCTTTGGATGTCAGTTCCCTTTATCAGCTCAGTGGCTACATAAACAAAAATGACATGGGTGCAGGGATGGGGGCTACACAAGGGCTTAACGACATGACTTTTTCTTCCAAGGCTGACATAACCAACATTACAGCTAAGAGCCTACTCCATCAGCAAAAGAGACCAACACTAAGCCCCATTCCCTAGGGAACCTGCTTAGCCACATTATGGCAGTTCATTTACATTGGACCTCTTGCACCATGGATGGGGCAGAGAGTCTTCCTCACTGGAATAGACACACATTCTAGATATGCATTTTTTTTCTCTCTCTGTAATGCTTTTAGTTCCACCATCTGTGGACTCATAGAATACATTATCTGTGTGACACTTCCCATAGCTTTGCTTCTAATTGAGGAACTCTTTTTACAACAAAGAAAGTACAGAAATAGGCTCAGACCTGTAAAATTAACTGATCTTTCCACATACCTGATCACTCAAAAGGGGTTAGGCTAAATGAAAGGTGAAATAGCTTATTGAAAACTCAGTCATGGTACAAGTTGGGAGACAATGGAATTCTGTTTTACATAATCACAGAATATACTTTTGCATCTCCTGACTCCCCAAAGAGGGTTGCATAGCAGAGTGCCACCAGCCACGTACTTCCACATGACTAGCTTCCCAGTGGAATCTACAGAACATCTTTATAACTAATGAGTTCAGCAAGGTTGTAGGATACAAGATCAATATTAAAAATCAATTTTATTACTATATTCTGGCAATAAATAATTGGAATTCTGAATTTTAAAAAATAGTGCAATTACAATGGCTTCAAAAAGTGAAATAGTTACACATCTAATAATACATGTACAGAATCTATATGTAGTAAACTACAAAACACTGATAATATAAATGAAGGAAGACAAGTGGAGAGATATACCATGATTATTTTGTTCCTATGTCAATTCTCACGTAATTGATCTATGGAGTCAATACAAGCCCATTCAAAAATCCCAGATGGCTCTTTTATAGATAGTAATAAACTGATTCTAAAATTGACATAGAAAACCAAAGGAACTAGAGTAACCAAGACAAGAAGTCTGATGGTTGGACCAGGGGTTCGGGGCTTTTTTTGTTATTGTTTTCATTATGCCTGGGTCTTAGGCAGTGTCTTAGTCTGTTCGTGTTTCTATAAAAGAATACTCGAGGCTGGGTAATTTATAAAGAAAAATAGGTTTATTTGACTCACAGTTCTGCAGGTTGTACAAGAAGCATGGCACCAGCATCTGCTTCTGGTGAGGGCTTCAGGCTGCTTCTACTCATGGCAGAAGGTGAAGAGGAGCAGGAATCACATGGCAAAAGGAGAGAAGCAAAAGATAAAGAGGGGAGGAGGCCAGGTGCGGTAGCTCACACCTATAATCCCAGCACTTTGGGAGGCCGAGGCGGGTGGATCACCTGAGGTCAGGAGTTTGAGACCAGCCTGACCAACATGGAGAAACCCCATCTCTACTAAAAATACAATAAATTAGCCAAGCATGGTGGCACATGCCTGTAATCTACTTGGGAGGCCGAGGCAGGAGAATTGTTTGAACCCAGGAAGCGGAGGTTGCGGTGAGCCGAGATCATGCCATTGCACTCCAGCCTGAGATCGCGCCATTGCACTCCAGCCTGGGCAACAAGAGCGAAACTCCGTCTCAGAAAAAAAAAAGAGGAGGTGCCACACTCTTTTCAAAAATCAGTTATGGTTGCAGGAATTAATAGAGGAAGAACTCATTCATTACTGCCAGGACAGCACCAAGACCAAGCTTTTCAAGAAGGATCAGCTCCCGTGACCCAAAAACCTCCCACTAGGCCCCCACCCCAACACTGGGGATCAAATTTCAACATGAGGTTTGGAAGGGACGAATATCAAAACTACATTAGGCAGGCACTGTGTCCCCAGGTGTCATGCAGCTGTGGGTGCCTCTCAGGGTTGCTGTCTCTCCTTCAGCTGAATTCTGGGCCCAGTACTGTCCATCTGCTAAGGGTAGAGGTAATTTGTTTTCCTTCTCTCAACTAAAAAAGGTTTTCAACACTACAGGCGGTAGCTGCCACCCCCACGCACCCCTGGCCTATTTTATTTTTTTTTATTTTAATTGCTTTTTATAGCTTGCAATCAAGTAGACAATTATAAAAAATATTTTATTATTATTATTATTATTTCTACTTTAAGTTTTAGGGTACATGTGCACAACGTGCAGATTAGTATACATATTCCATGTTGGTGTGCTGCACCCATTAACTCATCATTTAACATTAGGTATATCTCCTAATGCTATCCCTCCCACCTCCCCCAACCCCACAACAGGCACCGGTGTGTGATGTTCCCCTTCCTGTGTCCATGCATTCTCATTGTTCAATTCCCATCTATGAGTGAGAACATGCAGTGTTTGGTTTTTTGTCCTTGCGATAGTTTGCTGAGAATGATGGTTTCCAGCTTCATCCATGTCCCTACAAAAGACATGAACTCATCAATTTTTATGGCTGCATAGTATTCCATGGTGTATATGTGCCACATTTTCTTAATCCAGTCTATCATGGTTGGACATTTGGCTTGGTTCCAAGTCTTTGCTATTGTGAATAGTGCCGCAATAAACATACGTGTGCATGTGTCCTTATAGCAGCATGATTTATAATCCTTTGGGTATATAACCAGTAATGGGATTGCTGGGTCAAATGGTATTTCTAGTTCTAGATCCCTGAGGAATTGCCACACTTGACTTCCGCAATGGTTGAACTAGTTTACAGTCCCACCAACAGTGTAAAATTGTTCCTATTTCTCCACATCCTCTCCAGCACCTGTTGTTTCCTGACTTTTTAATGATCGCCATTCTAACTGGTGTGACATGGTATCTGACTGTGGTTTTGATTTGCATTTCTCTGATGGCCAGTGATGATGAATATTTTTTCATGTGTCTTTTGGCTGCATAAATTTCTTTTCAGAAGTGTTTGTTTGTATCCTTCACCCACTTTTTGATGGGGTTGTTTTTTTCTTGTAAATTTGTTTGAGTTCATTGTAGATTCTGGATATTAGCCCTTTGTCAGATGAGTAGATTGCAAAAATTTTCTCCCGTTCTGTAGGTTGCCTGTTCACTCTGATGGTAGTTTATTTTATTTTATTTTATTATTATTATACTTTAACTTTTAGGGTACATGTGCACAATGTGCAGGTTAGTTACATATGTATACATGTGCCATGCTGGTGTGCTGCACCCATTAACTCATCATTTAACATTAGGTATATCTCCTAATGCTATCCCTCTCCCCTCCCCCCACCCCACAACAGTCCCCAGAGTGTGATGTTCCCCTTCCTGTGTCCATGTGTTCTCATTGTTCAACTCCCACCTATGAGTGAGAATATGCGGTGTTTGGTTTTTTGTTCTTGGGATAGTTTACTGAGAATGATGATTTCCAATTTCATCCATGTCCCTACAAAGGACATGAACTCATCATTTTTTATGGCTGCATAGTATTCCATGGTGTATATGTGCCACATTTTCTTAATCCAGTCTATCATTGTTGGACAATTGGCTTGGTTCCAAGTCTTTGCTATTGTGAATAGAGCCGCAATAAACATATGTGTGGCATGTGTCTTTATAGCAGCATGATTTATAGTCCTCTGGGTATATACCCAGTAATGGGATGGCTGGGTCAAATGGTATTTCTATTTCTAGATCCCTGAGGAATCGCCACACTGACTTCCACAATGGTTGAACTACTTTACAGTCCCACCAACAGTGTAAAAGTGTTCCTATTTCTCCACATCCTCTCCAGCACCTGTTGTTTCCTGACTTTTTAATGATCGCCATTCTAACTGGTGTGACATGGTATCTCATTGTGGTTTTGATTTGCATTTCTCTGATGGCCAGTGATGATGAGCATTTTTTCATGTGTCTTTTGGCTGCATAAATGTCTTCTTTTGAGAAGTGTCTGTTCATGTCCTTCGCCCACTTTTCGATGGGGTTGTTTGTTTTTTTCTTGTAAATTTGTTTGAGTTCATTGTAGATTCTGGATATTAGCCCTTAGTCAGATGAGTAGGTTGTGAAAATTTTCTCCCATTTTGTAGGTTGCCTGTTCACTCTGATGGTAGTTTCTTTTGCTGTGCAGATGCTCTTTAGTTTAATTAGATCCCATTTGTCAATTTTGGCTTTTGTTGCCATTGCCTTTGGTGTTTTAGACATGAAGTCCTTGCCCATGCCTATGTCCTGAATGGTAATGCCTAGGTTTTCTTCTATGGTTTTAGGTCTAACGTTTAAGTCTTTAATCCATCTTGAATTAATTTTTGTATAAGGTGTAAGGAAGGGATCCAGTTTCAGCTTTCTACATATGGCTAGCGAGTTTTCCCCAGCACCATTTATTAAATAGGGAATCCTTTCCCCATAGCTTGTTTTCCTCAGGTTTGTCAAAGATCAGATAGTTGTAGATATGCGGCTTTATTTCTGAGGGCTCTGTTCTGTTCCATTGATCTATATCTCTGTTTTGGTACCAGTACCATGCTGTTTTGGTTACTGTAGCCTTGTAGTATAGTTTGAAGTCAGGTAGCATGATGCCTCCAGCTTTGTTCTTTTGGCTTAGGATTGACATGGCAATGCAGGCTCTTTTTTGGTTCCATATGAACTTTAAGGTAGTTTTTTCCAATTCTGTGAAGAAAGTCATTGGTACCTTGATGGGGATGGCATTGAATCTATAAATTACCTTGGGCAATATGGCCATTTTCACGATATTGATTCTTCCTACCCATGAGCATGGAATGTTCTTCCATTTGTTTGTATCCTCTTTTATTTCACTGAGCAGTGGTTTGTAGTTCTCATTGAAGAGGTCCTTCACGTCCCTTGTAAGTTGGATTCCTAGGCATTTTATTCTCTTTGATGCAATTGTGAATGGGAGTTCACTCATGATTTGGCTCTCTGTTTGTCTGTTATTGGTATATAAGAATGCTCATGATTTTTGCACATTGATTTTGTATCCTGAGACTTTGCTGAAGTTGCCTATCAGCTTAAGGAGATTTTGGGCTGAGACAATGGGGTTTTCTAGATATACAATCATGTCATCTGCAAACAGGGACAATTTGACTTCCTCTTTTCCTAACTGAATACCCTTAATTTCCTTCTCCTGCCTGATTGCCCTGGCCAGAACTTCCAACACTATGTTGAATAGGAGTGGTGAGAGAGGGCATCCCTGTCTTGTGCCAGTTTTCAAAGGGAATGCTTCCGGTTTTTGCCCATTCAGTATGATATTGGCTGTGGGTTTGTCATAGATAGCTCTTATTATTTTGAAATACATCCCATCAATACCTAATTTATTGAGAGTTTTTAGCATGAAGGGTTGTTGAATTTTGTGAGAGGCCTTTTCTGCATCTATTGAGATAATCAGGTGGTTTTGTCTTTGGTTCTGTTTATATGCTGGATTACATTTATTGATTTGCATATATTGAACCAGCCTTGCATCCCAGGGATGAAGCCCCCTTGATCATGGTGGATAAGCTTTTTGATGTGCTGCTGGATTCAGTTTGCCAGTATTTTATTGAGGATTTTTGCATCAATGTTCATCAAGGATATTGGTCTATAATTCTCTTTTTTGGTTGTGTCTCTGCCTGGCTTTGGTGTCAGGATGATGCTGGCCTCATAAAATGAGTTAGGGAGGATTCCCTCTTTTTCTATTGATTGGAATAGTTTCAGAAGGAATGGTACCAGTTCCTCCTTGCATCTCTGGTAGAATACGGCTGTGAATCCATCTGGTCCTGGACTCTTTTTGGTTGGTAAGCTATTGATTATTGCCACAATTTCACATCCTGTTATTGGTCCATTCAGAGATTCAACTTCTTCCTGGTTTAGTCTTGGGAGGGTGTATGTGTCCAGGAATTTATCCATTTCTTCTAGATTTTCTAGTTTATTTGCGCAGGGGTGTTTGTAGTATTCCCTGATGGTAGTTTGTATTTCTGAGGGATCGGTGGTGATATCCCCTTTATCATTTTTTATTGCGTCTATTTGATTCTTCTCTCTTTTCTTCTTTATTAGTCTTGCTAGCCATCTATCAATTTTGTTGATCCTTTCAAAAAACCAGCTCCTGGATTCATTAATTTTTTGAAGGGTTTTTTGTGTCTCTATTTCTTTCCATTCTGCTCTGATTTTAGTTATTTCTTGCCTTCTGCTAGTTTTTGAATGTGTTTGCTCTTGCTTTTCTAGTTCTTTCAATTGTGATGTTAGGGTGTCAATTTTGGATCTTTCCTGCTTTCTCTTGTCAGCATTTAGTGCTACAAATTTCCCTCTACACACTGCTTTGAATGTGTCCCAGAGATTCTGGTATGTTGTGTCTTTGTTCTCGTTGGTTTCAAAGAACATCTTTATTTCTGCCTTCATTTTGTTACATACTGAGTAGTCATTCAGGAGCAGGTTGTTCAGTTTCCATGTAGATGAGCGGTTTTGAGTGAGTTTCTTAATCCTGAGTTGTGGTTTGATTGCACTGTGGTCTGAGAGATAGTTTGTTATAATTTCTGTTCTTTTACATTTGCTGAGGAGAGCTTTACTTCCAATTATGTTGTCAATTTTGGAATAGGTGTGGTGTGGTGCTGAAAAAAATGTATATTCTATTGATTTGGGGTGGAGAGTTCTGTAGATATCTATTAGGTCTGCTTGGTGCAGAGCTGAGTTCAATTCCTGGGTATCCTTGTTAACTTTCTGTCTCGTTGATCTGTCTAATGTTGACAGTGGGGTGTTAAAGTCTCCCATTATTATTGTGTGGGAGTCTAAGTCTCTTTGTAGGTCACTCAGGACTTGCTTTATGAATCTGGGTGCTCCCGTATTGGGTGCATATATATTTAGGATAGTTAGCTCTTCTTGTTGAATTGATCCCTTTACCATTACGTAATGGCCTTCTTTGTCTCTTTTGACCTTTGTTGGTTTAAAGTCTGTTTTATCAGAGACTAGGATTGCAACCCCTGCCTTTTTTTGTTTTCCATTTGCTTGGTAGATCTTCCTCCATCCTTTTATTTTGAGCCTATGTGTGTCTCTGCACGTGAGATGGGTTTACTGAATACAGCACACTGATGGGTCTTGACTCTTTATCCAATTTGCCAGTCTGTGTCTTTTAATTGGAGCATTTAGTCCATTTACATTTAAAGGTAATATTGTTATGTGTGAATTTGATCCTGTCATTATGATGTTAGCTGGTTATTTTGCTCGTTAGTTGATGCAGTTTCTTCCTAGCCTGGATGGTCTTTATGATTTGGCATGATTTTGCAGTGGCTGGTACCAGTTGTTCCTTTCCATGTTTAGTGCTTCCTTCAGGAGCTCTTTTAGGGCAGGCCTGGTGGTGACAAAATCTCTCAGCATTTGCTTGTCTGTAAAGTATTTTATTTCTCCTTCACTTATGAAGCTTAGTTTGGCTGGATATGAAATTCTGGTTGAAAATTCTTTTCTTTAAGAATGTTGAATATTGGCCCCCACTCTCTTCTGGCTTGTAGAGTTTCTGCCGAGAGATCCGCTGTTAGTCTGATGGGCTTCCCTTTGTGGGTAACATGACCTTTCTCTCTGGCTGCCCTTAACATTTTTTCCTTCATTTCAACTTTGGTGAATCTGACAATTATGTGTCTTGGAGTTGCTCTTCTCGAGGAGTATCTTTGTGGCGTTCTCTGTATTTCCTGAATCTGAATATTTGCCTGCTTTGCTAGATTGGGGAAGTTCTCCTGGATAATATCTTGCAGAGTGTTTTCCAACTTGGTTCCATTCTCCCCATCACTTTCAGGTACACCAATCAGACGCAGATTTGGTCTTTTCACATAGTCCCATATTTCTTGGAGGCTTTGTTCGTTTCTTTTTATTATTTTTTCTCTAAACTTCCCTTCTCGCTTCATTTCATTCATTTCATCTTCCATCACTGATACCCTTTCTTCCAGTTGATTGCATCAGCTCCTGAGGCTTCTGCATTCTTCATGTAGTTCTCGAGCCTTGGCTTTCAGCTCCATCAGCTCCTTTAAGCACTTCTCTGTATTGATTATTCTAGTTATACATTCATCTAAATTTTTTTCAAAGTTTTTGACTTCTTTGCCTTTGGTTTGAATTTCCTCCTGTAGCTCGGGGTAGTTTGATCGTCTGAAGCCTTCTTCTCTCAACTCGTCAAAGTCATTCTCCGTCCAGCTTTGTTCCGTTGCTGGTGAGGAACTGCATTCCTTTGGAGGAGGAGAGGCACTCTACTTTTTAGAGTTTCCAGTTTTTCTGCTCTGTTTTTTCCCCATCTTTGTGGTTTTATCTACTTTTGGTCTTTGATGATGGTGATGTACAGATGGGTTTTTGGTGTGGATGTCCTTTCTGTTTGTTAGTTTTCCTTCTAACAGACAGGACCCTCAGCTGCAGGTCTGTTGGAGTTTGCTAGAGGTCCACTCCAGACCCTGTTTGCCTGGGTATCCGCAGCGGTGGTTGCAGAACAGCAGATTTTCATGAACCACGAATGCTGCTGTCTGATCGTTCCTCTGGAAGTTTTGTCTCAGAGGAGTACCCGGCCGTGTGAAGTGTCAGTCTGCCACTACTAGGGGGTGCCTCCCAGTTAGGCTGCTCGGGGCTCAGGGGTCAGGGACCCACTTGAGGAGGCAGTCTGCCCGTTCTCAAATCTCCAGCTGCGTGCTGGGAGAACCACTGCTCTCTTCAAAGCTGTCAGACAGGGACATTTAAGTCTGCAGAGGTTACTGCTGTCTTTTTGTTTGTCTGTGCCCTGCCCCCAGAGATGGAGCCTACAGAGGCAGGCAGGCCTCCTTGAGTTGTGGTGGGCTCCACCCAGTTTGAGCTTCCTGGCTGCTTTGTTTACCTAAGCAAGCCTTGGCAATGGCGGGCACCCCTCCCCCAGCCTCACTGCCACCTTGCAGTTTGATCTCAGACTGCTGTGCTAGCAATCAGCCAGACTCCGTGGGCGTAGGACCCTTCGAGCCATGTGCGGGATATAATCTCCTGGTGCGCCATTTTTTAAGCCCGTTGGAAAAGCGCGGTATTAGGGTGGGAGTGACCCGATTTTCTAGGTGCCATCTGTCACCCCTTTCTTTGACTAGGAGAGGGAACTCCCTGATCCTTTGAGCTTCCCGAGTGAGGCAATGCATTGCCCTGCTTCGGCTCATGAACGGTGCACTGCACCCACTGTCCTGCATCCACTGTCTGGCACTCCCTAGTGAGATGAACCCAGTACCTCAGATGGAAATGCAGAAATCACCCATCTTCTCTGTCGCTTACACTGGGAGCTGTAGACTAGAACTGTTCCTATTCTGCCATCTTGGCTCCCCTCCCCTCTGATGGTAGTTTCTTTTGCTGTGCAGAAGCTCTTTAGTTTAATTAGATCGCATTTGTCAATTTTGGCTTTTGTTGCCATTGCTTTTGGTGTTTTAGACATGAAGTACTTGCCCATGCCTATGTCCTGAAAGGTATTGCCTAGGTTTTCTTCTAGGGTTTTTATGGTTTTAGGTCTAACATTTAAGTCTTTAATCCATCTTGAATTAATTTTTGTATAAGGTGTAAGGAAGAGATCCAGTTTCAGCTTTCTACATATTGCTAGCCATTTTTCCCAGCACCATTTATTAAATAGAGAATCGTTTCCCCATTTCTTGTTTTTGTGAGGTTTGTCAAAGATCAGATGGTTGTAGATGTGTGGCATTATTTCTGAGGGCTTTGCTCTGTTCCATTGGTCTGTATCTCTGTTTTGGCACCAGACCATGCTGTTTTGGTTACTGTAGCCTTGTAGTGTAGTTCGAAGTCAGGTAGCGTGATGCCTCCAACTTTGTTCTTTTGGCTTAGGATTGACTTGGCAATGCGGGCTCTTTTTTGGTTCCATATGAACTTTAAGGTAGTTTTTTCCAATTCTGTGGAGAAAGTCATTGGTAGCTTGATGGGGATGGCATTGAATCTATAAATTACCTTGGGCAGTATGGCCATTTTCATGATATTAATTCTTCTTTCCCATGAGCATGGAATGTTCTTCCATTTCTTTGTATCCTCTTTTATTTTGCTGAGCAGTGGTTTGTAGTTCTCCTTGAAGAGGTCCTTCACGTCCCTTGTAAGTTGGATTCCTAGGTATTTTATTCTCTTTGATGCAATTGTGAATGGGAGTTCACTCATGATTTGGCTCTCTGTTTGTCTGTTATTGGTGTATAAGAATGCTCATGATTTTTGCACATTGATTTTGTATCCTGAGACTTTGCTGAAGTTGCCTATCAGCTTAAGGAGATTTTGGGCTGAGACAATGGGGTTTTCTAGATATACAATCATGTCATCTGCAAACAGGGACAGTTTGACTTCCTCTTTTCCTAACTGAATACCCTTAATTTCCTTCTCCTGCCTGATTGCCCTGGCCAGAACTTCCAACACTATGTTGAATAGGAGTGGTGAGAGAGGGCATCCCTGTCTTGTGCCAGTTTTCAAAGGGAATGCTTCCGGTTTTTGCCCATTCAGTATGATATTGGCTGTGGGTTTGTCATAGATAGCTCTTATTATTTTGAGATATGTCCCATCAATACCTAATTTATTGAGAGTTTTTAGCATGAAGGTTGTTGAATTTTGTGAGAGGCCTTTTCTGCATCTATTGTGATAATCACATGGTTTTTGTCTTTGGTTCTGTTTATATGCTGGATTACTTTTATTGATTTGCATATGTTGAACCAGCCTTGCATCCCAGGGATGAAGCCCCCTTGATCATGCTGGATAAGCTTTTTGATGTGCTGCTGGATTCAGTTTGCCCTGGCCTATTTTAAAGTCTTGGTTTAAAAGGGGAGAGTGGAGAGAAGGATCTGAACTGCATGTTGTGAGTTTCTTGTAGCAGCGCCTGTTCCCCTCATCCTGGTCTGTACCAGGAGGGACACGTTCTCAAGACTCTTGCCAATTGTTCTTGTGGGGACTCAGTGAAGCCCATGAAGAGTTCACAAGTGTGTTCAAATTCCCCTTTCTGGCTTTCTGCATCCCAAGCAGAAATAGGTTTTCTGATGTATAGAACTTTTAGATTGGCAAGATTTGTTTGTTGTTTTGTTTTGCTTTTTTTCCCCTGTTTTAATTTGGGCACTTAAAAATGCCATTATATCATCTTCTAACATTCATTGTTTCTAGTAAGAAATTATGTCTTCTTCTTGTTGTTCTCTTGTGTGTATTGTGGTAATTTTCCTCTGGCCCCTTTTAAGATTTCTCTCTATATTGTTGGTTTTTCAGCAGTATCATTAGGATGTGCCTAGATTTTTTTTTATTTATTCTGAATACATGATTTGCTGCTTTCTTTTTAAATCAATTTAAATTTTATCCATTTTTTAAAATATTACTTTATTTTTCATTCTTTCTCTTCCTTTTGCCTGGTATTCCAATTATATGAATATTAAACTGTTTGCTGTTATCCTACCGTGGCTATGTTCTCATATTTTCAATCTTTGTCTCTCTTTGCTTCCATTTGCATAATTTCTACCTGTTTTCAATTTTAATGATCCTTCCTCTGTCCAGCCCGATGTTACCCCCCACCCCAATTAAATGTTGTTATTGCAAAAACCATATTAATCAGTTTCAGTTCTTGGCTTCCATTTGGTCCTTTCTGGGGCTTCAAATTATTTCCTGAAACTCTCCATCTTTCCACTCATTATATCATGCTTTTCTGTAGATTCTTTAACATATTTATTATTATTTGTGTTATTATAGCTATTTTAAAGATCTTGTTTAATAATTCCTATATCTTCATCATCTGTGCATTTGTATCTAATGCATGATTTTCTTTTTAACCATGAGTCATCCTCCTTTTTTGCCCTTTTTATTATTTTCTATTGTATACTGGATACCGTGTCTAAAATATGTGTGTATTATTTATTTCTTTCTAAAAATAAGGAATACTACTTTCCTCTGTCAGTGTTAGGTCACTGGGCTGAATTAGGGTGAGAGGCTGTTCAGTTTGATTCAATCAATGATTGAGCTGATTTAGAGAGACACTGTGGTTTTGATTCCTCTAGGAAGGCTTTAGAATTAGAATACAGGGAGTTTCATAAATCTGTCCTTGCTCTTTAGCCCCACCTTTGTATACCAGCTCAGTATTGATATATTTGATCTCATCAGAAGTTGAATTGGGTGGGAGTTCAGTTATGACTTTGGTAAGACTCAACTCATGTCTGGCTTTGAATGGTTTGAAGTTACCTTCTCCCTATACTGGGACCCTGGGATCAAATCACAAGACTGCTGGACCTCAGAACTTCCCATCTGTGAAAGCCTGAGACTGTGGGACTATGAGATTTCAAGACTATAGGAATACAGATAACAAGGCTGCAGACATTGACTTGGAGAATCTGAGTTTTCTTTCTGCTTTCCCACCCTACACCCAGGTTCTGTTACTCACCAAAATTCCTATGTAAGGGAATTACTTCACAGAAAGAATTGTCTTTGTTTTTGAGGGTCCTGCAGCATTCCAATCCATGGGCTTGTTAAAAGGTGCCAGGTTTGCCTCTGTCCAAGCCAATACTGTTTGGATTCTATTCTCTACCAGCCCTGCTGCCACCCACAAAAATTGGTTCCAAGTATGAAAACATCAGCTGTCCCTGAGCTGTTTCTCAGAAAGACTCATCCCTCTGAAGTTTAGTTCTTTTAGATTTTTAAATATCCACAGCCCTTCATTTGCTTTGTAGAAAAGTATAATTTTTTTTAACCTGGTGATTTGTTCTTCAGTGGAAATAAGGTGTATATGTGAAGATTATATATGGCCCACAGACAGAGAATATCCATTTCTAAGCACAGAGAAATACCTTAAGAAAAGAGTCAGATAATAAAATTAATAAAAATTAATTTTTAAAACAAAAATATAAAAAAATCCATTAATCTCATTGTTCCTTTTTAATTATTTATATTAAAAATCAAAATTACCACTATGCCTCTCTGATTTGACTCCAGAGTTACTTATTAACATTTTGTTGAATACAATTTAATACAATTCCTCACTGGATATTTTGCTATACTTATAGAGGCATAGCCCTATATACATATAATTACATATATATTTTTATTCAAAAAATTGGTTAATACAACACTTATTGCCCTATAATACATTTGGCTCACAGTCATCTTTCCAAATCAAAATACATAAGTTCTTGTTCTTTTTAATTGCTACAGAGAATACTCTTGCACTGCCAAGCCAGTATTAATAGCAACAGTCCTCTACTGATAGCCACTTAGGTTTCTTCAATATTTTGTACAGACAATATTCTTCAAGTTATATCTTTATACATTCCTAAAATAATGTTTCCTAAGAAATAAAATATAGATTTTAGTAGACAAAAGACAACTTTTAACATTCAAGAAAAAAGTAAAGCTATTATATTTGATTTCATGGTTTAGCTTTTGTGTTTTCTACCTAGTAGCTATTTATATAAATGCACTTGTCCTGGTAGATATGCCTGCAATTAATCTTTATTTTTGGCCAAAGTGTTTGGTTTTTAAAATATTTAATGCAGAATCATAAACACTCGAAATGCTTCAGTAAAATACAGAGGGAAGGACAGGGGTTTTGTTAGCCATGTGCAGCCGTGAAGCCCAGCTCTGCCGTGTAGTGGCCGTGTGTAACATCTTTCAGGGTGTGAAGTGAGCACAGCAGCAATTCTGTGCTTTATAGTTGTTGTGAGGATTAAATGAGAATTTAGGCATTTAGACAGTAGGTATATACATAGCAGTTCCTAGCTACTATCATTGTCATTCTGGAAATATTGACGACAAAGAAAAGAAAATAGGGACTAGGAAAAAATCAAATTAACAAAAATTAGTCATTAACAACTAAAATAATGTTTACAGATAAAAATCGGAGCAATCATAGGTAAAAAGAAAAGAACTCTAGGAGAATGAAATGCCAGTTTTACATTTCTGAAGTGGTCAACATCAATACCAAATAAATTAAATTGAAATATTACATAATCAATTTTTGTTGATGGAGAGGAACATTTAAAATAAATAAAACTTTTTATGTAAAGAAAAGGAGTTTTGGGGATAAGGGCACTCCAAAGAGGATCATTAAGGCTTTTGTCTCATAGGCAGAAAAGGGGGATGACTGGCAAAACAGTGAGATATCTTAAAATAAATGATGTTCTTATGTACAGAGGTCATTTTGTTCTCCAAATACCAAAAAACAGCATACCTGTTTCATACCATACTGGTTAATTAAGCTACAGAAAATAAAACCAAACAAACCAATTACCGTTTGTGCTCTTTTTCTAACATAGTATTATCTTTAAAAAGATTCAAAGAAATTTTCTTACAAAATCCTAACTCTTTGAACCGTGATGCAGCAACTTTCTCCCTGTACAGAACAGAGTCATAATGACTAGTGAAAGAAAATTTCCTAAAATAAGGCCATGTGGTAATGCTCCCTTGGATCCCATACAAGATAGAGTGGTTGGAGGAATCCTAAATAACCTACTAGTAATCCCCTATTAGGTGGGAAAAACACCTTACATTTTCAGCTGGCCACTCCTTCCCACTGAAGCTCATGTTGCTCAAATGTTCCTGCCAAGACTGAAAGGAGAGAAGCTCCCTGAGCAAGTGTTACAGACTGACAGCTCCCTTCCACCAGCAGCTATGTGGCACACAGAATGTCCATTACTATTTACATTTCATGAACAGGTTAATTAACTACAAACTGAGGCTACAGACTGAGCAGAGGCTATGGAAAATTAGATGTAGGTGCCAAATCCACCCAGCTTCCTTTAGTGGGAGCAGAAAAAGGGTATCAGAACCCAAGCTTCAGTTTTTATCAGGTTTCTCTTGTGTCCAAACATTGGAAAGCAGATCCAGACATGATCATTACAAGTTAATGCCATAGTCTCTCCCATTTAGCCTCATTCTGTGCATGGAAAACACAGTTAACAACCATTCAGAAGCTGACCATACAGCTACCGAATTTCTCCGTGCATAACGGATAAATAAATCAGCTGTGATTATGGAAAAAGAAGCCAATACTTAAAATCTGTTTGTTCTCTCCAAGGGTTGGTGCTTTATATTGCTATGAAAAGGGATCCCTCTGTATGTGAAAGGCCTCCTACCCCATCTGTTTTCTGATAATCCAGGAACAGGAGCTTTTAACACAGCTAGATTTTAATCAGCTTATTTTGGAAGCCCTAACTTACGGTGGTTTGAGAAACTTTTAAAACAAAGCACAGAACTGTGCATCATCTTGTAGGCTAGGGAGGAAAATTCATGATGAAAAAAATTACACAGAAAAAGAGACAAACATATGTATAGTTTAAATAGTTTAGATATTTGGCCCCACCCAAATCTCCTGTTGAATTGTAATTGCCAATGCTAGAGCTGGGGCCTGATGGGAGGTGTTTGGATCACAGGGGCGGTCCCTCATGGCCTGGTGCTGTCTTGCCAATAGTGAGTTCTCATGAGAGCTGGTCATTTAAAAGTGTGTGGCACCTTCGCTACCCCCCACTCTTGCTTGCTCCTGCTTTCCCTATGTGATGGTGCTTGCTCCCACTTCACCTTCCACCATGATCGAAAGCTCCCTGAGCCTTCACCAGAAGTTGGCAAGTGCCAGCACTGTGCTTCCTGTAAAGCCTGCAGAACTATGAGCCAATTAAATATCTTTTCTTTATAAATTACCCAGTCTCAGGGATTTCTACCAATGCAAGAATGACATAATACAGTAGTCAACTGTTATTTAGAGATATATACTTTACCTGTTTTGCTTTTCTTCCTTGCATTTTACTGCTCATTAACTACTCTACCAGAGAATATACAAAAATTATAAAAGAAGGAAATGACCAGTTATTTTTTGGCAGGTGCCAAAGGCCCTTTGGCATAAATTTCCCATACTAAGCATGGGAGGAAGTCAGGAGCCTGAAAAGCTACTGCTAAATGGCTTCACAAGTGAATCAGCATATATTAGCATATATTGTGTTCTCATCAAGATCTTCTTTTTAATTATAAATTACTATGTGTTGTAGAACTTTCTCGTTTATTTATTTGAATAATCAACCAACCTTTACTAAATGTGGGGTGTGTGTTTGTGTGTGCATGTCCAGGACTGTGCAAAGAACTGGGGATCCAGGGACTAAGATTTTTCCTGCCTTTTAGAAGTTCACAGCCTAGGGAGGGAACTGGTAGCCGAATTCCAAGCACTAGGTTCAGAGTTACCCCATTTGTGTCTTGCACCAAGCCTATACGGTAGGTTCATGAGCTATATTTCATAAATGAGGATATTGAGGCTCAGAGATATAAAATAATTTACCCAAGGGCATTCAGCTACTAAATGGAAAAAGTAAAAAGCAACCCAGTCTCTATGGCTCCAAAGCACAGGTTCTTCCCACTATAGCACACTGTCTATAGTAGGAGAGCCAGGAAAAGTAAACAGATGATACAATACAGCCCAGGGAGCAATGGACAAAGAGCTCCCCCAAATAATTCTATTTTTCTTCCTCCCTCTAATGTTATGGGCTCTTAATCAGAAGGAAAGTCAATATTGTGACTGCTTGTTTTTATATTTCTGCCTGACAATTCATATAAAAGGCTTTAATTTTGGATATCTTTGAGAACACAAAGTCTCAGAGCTCTGAAGCATTGATTCAGTAGCACTTCTAATTAAATGGTTTAATAGCAAGATTTATGAAAAATGTACATAGACACTAAATGGCCAACCCCCTCACTTTCAGTAAATCATGTTTTCCTACCATGGGTGAAGTGATTGATTTAACTGTGGCCAACATTCTGTCCGTATTTACAGTCATCCCAACTTCTTTTTCTCAAATCTAGTCCCTTCAAAGTCCAGTGTTCTCAGTGCAATTTTACACCACTTTCTCCAGTTCTTTGCTCCTCCAGTATTTTCTGCACTTTCCTATATTTTTAATGTCTATCTTGGTTGAAGAAAATTCAATTCACACATATGTGAAAGTCTGTTTTATTCTAAAATAAAAAACAGCAAAACAGAAACAAAACACAACCTAACTCTGCGTCACCCTTTATTGCTTTTGTCTCCCCACCTTTCTTAGTGTTCTGAGTTTTGTCTGTATTTATTGTGTCCAATTTCTCAGTTTTAATTCTTTTTTGTTATTGTTGTTAGATGGAGTCTTGCTGTGTCGCCCAGGCTGGAGAGCAGTGGCATGATCTTGGCGGCCCACTGCAGTCTCCGCCTCCCGGGTTCAAGCAATTCTCCTGCCTCAACCTCCCGAGTAGCTGGGATTACAGATGCGTGCCACTGCACCTGCCTAATTTTTGTATTTGTAGTAGAGATGGAGTTTCACCATCTTGGCCAGACTGGTCTTGAACTCCTGACCTCGTGATCCACCTGCCTCAGCCTCCCAAAGTGCTGGGATTACAGGTGTTAGCCATCGTGCCCAGTCTAATTCTCTTTATAACTGCATGTGTGGTGGTCTCTGGCCCCTCAAAGAACCTGAATTACGGCAGTACTTAATTTTTCTACTCATTTAGTTATTTAACATATTTATTAAGCATCACAAAATGCCTTGGAAGTTCTGAAGTCCATGATTTCAAATACACAGGATCCCTTAGGTCCTGAATTTTACAAGCACTTTTAGCTGCACATGATACTGTTGACACTCGCCTTCCATGGTATTTCCTCTTACTCCTTTTCTCTCTCAACTATTGTTTCTTAGTCACATTTGAACTCGCTTTTGCATCTTGTGACATCATATAGGGTTATCCTGGAGTTCTGTCCTCTGTCCATTGTTTCCTTCTCTCTCCACACTATCCTTGAACACTCTCCTTAATTCCAATCGTTGAACTAGCATGTGTAAGCTTATAACACTCTAATATTTATCTTTGGCTCACATCTTTTCCCAAAGCTTCAGAATCATTTATTTAATTTCCTACTACAATTACAATTTTGATGTCTCACTAGCATATCAAAGTCAATATATCACAAATTGAGTTTTACAGAGTTTTACTAATGGTATTCTCTTTCTTTGCTTGCTAACTTAGATATTGGTATTGTTATACACCCAACATTGAAAACTAGGGTTATCCTAATTTTACCCCCGTCATTTATCTATTCCCTCCCTGCTACACACACCTTAAGGGGATTCCCAAATCCTGTTTATTCTTGCTCTTATACATCTCCAAAATCCATCTTCTATCATCCCTGCCCTTATGGATCAGATTCTCAACATCTCTTTCTTGACCTACTGCAATAGTCTCCTCACAAATACCTCTGTCTGTCTGGCTTTCCTTGTTCTCCTTGTTCTCTACAGTGGCATTAGGGTTGTTTATACAAAATGTAAAACTAACCTTATATCAGCCCTGCTAAAAATTCCTCAGTGGCTCACTATCACCAATGGGATGAAGCCCAAACACTTTTTGTGGGACAGGAGGCCCTCTATAACCTGCCCCTATATACCCCCTCCAGTGTCTCCCTACCACGATGCCCTACTCACACTCTGTGCTCCAGCAACAATACATTGCTTAAAATTTCCTTTCTATGCTATACTCATATATCTTCTACTCTCCCTCCACTTAAAATATTTATCACTATTTATTTTGCCTGGATAAGTCCTACTCAATGAATATTCAAGGTATAGATTCAGCATGGCTCTTCTAAAAGCCTTCTTTCAATCCCTAATCTGAACTAAGTGATGCTTCTGTGTGCTTTCACAGCTACCTACATCGTAACATTTGTCACATTATTTTGAAATTTCTATTTAGAGGTCATCTTCCCATTGAAACTAAAGGATATTAAAGCACAGCAACCATTGTTAATTAATTGTTTATCTGCAAAACCTACCACAAGGCCTGTGTCAGACAGACACAGTAAATTTTTGCTGAAATATCCATTACAGATTTGGTCTTGAGGAATATGTTCTGTGTGTTTGTGTTAAAAATGAGTCTAGTTCTGTAGTTTAGCTGAACCAGATGGGCAATTCACAATATTCCCAAAACAACATACTGTTCCTTTGATTACTTTTGGAATAATTAAACAAATCATGAATAAATTGCTATGGGTTTCCTATTTGGGATCTCTTGTTTCTTGTCTTAGGATTATTTTGAGATGCCCCCAGTGATGCCCGCTACATACTTCTCCAAGAAAGAAATAAAACAACCATAGATATTCATCCATTATTAATGTTTTAAGGGAAAACAAATAACTTTATGATGAGTAATAGGCTAATTTTTTTTGAAATTATTTTCTCATATTTACTACTTTTTTTTTCCTTGATCATTAAATTAGCCAAGAATCTTCATAGTTCAAGATGGCAGCTGCTTCCTTGCCAAAAGTTTATTATTCAAATCTACATAGTATATCCCTCTGAATTAAAGTATTAGTGTTAGCTTACATGACAGTGATTAGCAGTATCAAATATTAAAATCTCACATTTGTACAATGAATACAGTTTTCCGAATGGTTTACATATATATTATCCCAATCTTTAGAAAAGCCCTTATGATAAGTATTAATATACCAATTTTATATTGTATATGTAAAGATGAGAATCCATTGAGAATATTAAATCAATGCATTTTATTCCCTGCATGTAGTCATGTTTCTGCACACTATTTTTGCCATTGTAGCCTCTGAAAAAGGAAGGGGATGAATGACCCACTGGGAAAGAAGAGGCCATGATGCTGAGTGGAGCCGTGGCAAATGAGGATGAGCAAGGAGTCCTTCCTTCTTGGCCTTGAGTGGTTACTGAGATGAAGAAGGAAATTAAGTTCAAAGGCTGGTGGAGACACAAGGTTGTCATGGCCTCCCTTCCTTTGGAGCTAAAATTCCAAAGGAAAACATTTGTTGAGAACAGAGTTAGAAGTAAAGGGGCTTTTGTACTATTGACTAGTTGGGACTCTGAGAGAGACCTGTCTCTCAGAATGGCCCCTGCCCTGGTGAGGAGGTACATAAAGGATGATCAGAGGTAAATTAAATAGGATGCATTGCTGTAACTGTGGGGGACTGCAGTTTTAGCAAGGTCAAAGTGAGGCTGGATAAGCAGAGGGAACTATCAGAGCCAGGAGAAAAAAGTTCAAGGACTCAGCTGCGGACACTTGCTGAGCAAGTGTTAACCAGCAACACCTCTGGGAAGACCCAATAAGACACAGAGCAGTACAGGAACCTGAGGACATATGGAAGGGATCCCTTCTACACCTCCACTATAAGATCACATATACCCTTTCTCTCAGATTCTCAGATGTCATCTTAGAGAAGAACAGGAGACGGAGAAGGGAAATACAAGATGGGGACAGTTACTTAAAAGAGGATGTAACTGCATTTTTGGATTTAGCTCCCACATCTAAAGAACTGGGAAGTCATGATTACTGTCCTACAACAACAACAGCAACAAAGCTGAACAAACGAAAAATCAATGAATTTTCTTGGATCCATGAGAGGACTGACATCACAGGAAAACATAGTCAAGGTCTACTTATGTGAAGCACAAGTTACTGGAGCCAGAAGCTGACAGGAATACTTAAATGGTAATTTTTAAATGCTGCTGGAAACTGAGGTGGGTTAGCTTGCAAGTGAGAAACTCCTGGGGTCGAGAGTCTTCGGGGCACCGAGAGTTTCATGAATTTTACAAAGAGGGACCAGATTATGACTGAAAACAGCCAAAACAAACAAAAACAAACAAACAAAACACTTCAGGTATCTAGTGGGAAAAGAGAAAAGTAGTTATTTTGAAATATTCTCAGTAAATTATCCATAATAAATGCTTAATTTCCTGGAGAAAAGACTTTACCAGAGCCTTATCTCACCTAGGAAGCAGGAGGACAATTAAACAATGCTACCCACCTAATTCCTGTCTCACCTAAGTAGTGGGGAAGAAAAAAAAAAATCTAAGAAATACTTAAAAAGTTATAGTCCAGGGACTCAGGACCAAGAAAAAATGATATTTAATTATAACATTATAGAATATTTCCTCTCCATGACTTCTTACCACCATATAAACAAGGCTGTAGTACAAAAACAGCGGTTTAGAATTGAAGCACAGACTGTGTTTTTTTTTTTTTTTTTTTACTATTATACTTTAAGTTTTAGGGTACATGTGCACAACGTGCAAGTTAGTTACATACGCATACATGTGCCATGTTGGTGTGCTGCACCCATTAACTCATCATTTAACATTAGGTATATATCCTAATGCTATCCCTCCCCCCTCCCCCAGCCCCACAACAGGCCCTGGTGTGTGATGTTCTCCTTCCTGTGTCCATGTGTTCTCATTGTTCAATTCCCATCTATGAGTGAGAACATGTAGTGTTTGGCTGTTTGTCCTTGCGATAGTTTGCTGAGAATGATGGTTTCCAGCTTCATCCATGTCCCTACAAAGGACATGAACTCATCATTTTTTATGGCTGCATAGTATTCCATGGTGTATATGTGCCACATTTTCTTAGTCCAGTCTATCATTGTTGGACATTTGGCTTGGTTCCAAGTCTTTGCTATTGTGAATAGTGCCGCAATGAACATATGTGTGCATGTGTCTTATAGCAGCATGATTTATAGTCATTTGGGTATATACCCAGTAATGGGATGGCTGGGTCAAATGGTATTTCTAGTTCTAGATCCCTGAGGAATCGCCACACTGACTTCCACAATGGTTGAACTACTTTACAGTCCCACCAACAGTGTAAAAGTGTTCCTATTTCTCCACATCCTCTCCAGCACCTGTTGTTTCCTGACTTTTTAACGATCGCCATTCTAACTGGTGTGACATGGTATCTCATTGTGGTTTTGATTGGCATTTCTCTGATGGCCAGTGATGATGAGCATTTTTTCATGTGTCTTTTGGCTGCATAAATGTCTTCTTTTGAGAAGTGTCTGTTCATATCCTTCACCCACTTTTAGATGGGGTTGTTTGTTTTTTCTTGTAAATTTGTTTGAGTTCATTGTAGATTCTGGATATTAGCCCTTAGTCAGATGAGTAGGTTGTGAAAATTTTCTCCCATTCTGTAGGCTGCCTGTTCACTCTGATGGTAGTTTCTTTTGCTGTGCAGAAGCTCTTTAGTTTAATTAGATCCCATTTGTCAATTTTGGCTTTTGTTGCCATTGCCTTTGGTGTTTTAGACATGAAGTCCTTGCCCATGCCTATGTCCTGAATGGTAATGCCTAGGTTTTCTTCTAGGGTTTTATGGTTTTAGGTCTAACGTTTAAGTCTTTAATCCATCTTGAATTAATTTTTGTATAAGGTGTAAGGAAGGGATCCAGTTTCAGCTTTCTACATATGGCTAGCCAGTTTTCCCAGCACCATTTATTAAATAGGGAATCGTTTCCCCATTTCTTGTTTTTGTCAGGTTTGCCAAAGATCAGATGGTTGTAGGTATGTGGCATTATTTCTGAGGGCTCTCTTCTGTTCCATAGAGAAGCAAGAGCAAACACATTCAAAAGCTAGCAGAAGGCAAGAAATAACTAAGATCAGAGCAGAACTGAAGGAAATAGAGACACAAAAAAACCCTTCAAAAAATCAATGAACCCAGGAGCTGGTTTTTTGAAAAGATCAACAAAATTGATAGACTGCTAGCAAGACTAATAAAGAAGAAAAGAGAGAAGAATCAAATAGACACAATAAAAAATGATAAAGGGGATATCACCACCGATCCCACAGAAATACAAACTACCATCAGAGAATACTATAAACACCTCTATGCAAATAAACTAGAAAATCTAGAAGAAATTGATAAATTCCTCGACACATACACCCTCCTAAGACTAAACCAGAAAGAAGTTGAATCTCTGAATATACCAATAACAGGCTGTGAAATTGAAGCAATAATTAATAGCTTACCAACCAAAAAAAGTCCAGGACCAGATGGATTCACAGCCGAATTCTACCAGAGGTACAAACAGGAGCTGGTACCATTCCTTCTGAAACTATTCTAATCAATAGAAAAAGAGGGAATCCTCCCTAACTCATTTTATGAGGCCAGCATCATCCTGATACCAAAGCCTGGCAGAGACACAACAAAAAAAGAGAACTTTAGACCAATATCCCTGATGAACATCAATGCAAAAATCCTCAATAAAATACTGGCAAACCGAATCCAGCAGCATATCAAAAAGCTTATCTATCCACCATGATCAAGTGGGCTTCATCCCTGGGATGCAAGGCTGGTTCAACATATGCAAATCAATAAATGTAATCCAGCATATAAACAGAAACAATAACAAAAACCATATGATTATCTCAATAGATGCAGAAAAGGCCTTTGACAAAATTCAACCCTTCATGCTAAAAACTCTCAATAAATTAGATATTGATGGGACATATCTCAAAATAATAAGAGCTATCTATGACAAACCCACAGCCAATATCATACTGAATGGACAAAAACCGGAAGCATTCCCTTTGAAAACTGGCACAAGACAGGGATGCCCTCTCTCACCACTCCTTTTCAACATAGTGTTGGAAGTTCTGGCCAGGACAATCAGGCAGGAGAAGGAAATTAAGGGTATTCAATTAGGAAAGAGGAAGTCAAATTGTCCCTGTTTGCAGATGACATGATTGTATATCTAGAAAACCCCATCGTCTCAGCCCAAAATCTCCTTAAGCTGATAGGCAACTTCAGCAAAGTCTCAGGATACAAAATCAATGTGCAAAAATCATAAGCATTCTTATACACCAATAACAGACAAACAGAGAGCCAAATCATGAGTGAACTCCCATTCACAATTGCTTTAAAGAGAATAAAATACCTAGGAATCCAACTTACAAGGGAAGTGAAGGACCTCTTCAAGGAGAACTACAAACCACTGCTCAATGAAATAAAAGAGGATACAAAGAAATGGAAGAACATTCCATGCTCATGGATAGGAAGAATCAATATCATGAAAATGGCCATACTGCCCAAGGTAATTTATAGATTCAATGCCAACCCCATCAACCTACCAATGACTTTCTTCACAGAATTGGAAAAAACTACTTTAAAGTTCATATGGAACCAAAAAAGAGCCTGCATTGCCAAGTCAATCATAAGCCAAAATAACAAAGCTGGAAGCATCATGCTACCTGGTTTCAAACTATGCTACAAGGCTACAGTAACCAAAACAGCATGGTACTGGTACCAAAACAGACTGTGTTTTAAAAGTTCTTAGGGAAAACCAAAGACCATGAGAAAAAAGAAAAGAAGGACTGTAGTTTAGGGAAATGTTAAGCATCTAGTCACCACAACTCTAGAAAACATTAAACTCAACCCAATGCCTAGCCAGACTAACATAAAATCTCAGTTTAAAGTCCTTTCTATCTCACTTCCTATTAGCTGAAATTGAATCAGTAGAACTTGAGTCTAAAAGAGAAATTACGAGGCCCTAGATGATTTTACTGATAAATTCTACCAATCACTTAAAGAAGTAATTCCCATTCCCTGCAATATCTTTCAGAAAGTGAAAGCAGAGGAAACACTTTCTCATTTCAAGAGTCCAGAGTTATTCTAATACCAAAATCAGATAAATACATTATTAGAAAGAAAACTATAGACAAATATCTCTCATGAACATAAATGGAAAGTTCCTTAAGAAAATGATGGCAAATTTAATCCAACAGTATGTGAAAAGAACTTTACATAGAGATCAAGTGGCATTTATTCCAGGTACACAAGTCTGGTTCAACATTTAAAAATTAATTAATATAATCCACTGTATCAGTAGGCTAAAGGAAAAAAGCATACAATCACATTAATACATAAAAAGCACTTAACAAAATCCAGTACACATTCACAATATAAACACTCAAAAAACTAGGAATAAAGGGGAACTTCCTCAATTTTATTAAAAAGAAAATTCTACAAAAAACCTACAACTATATCATAGTTAGCATACAAGGTGACCATACAAAGCCGGCTGCTTTCTTATATACCATCGATGAGCAACTGAAATGTAGAATTAAAAACACAAAAATCATTCACAATAGGAACAAAAAATGAAATACTTAAGTATAAGTCTAACAAAATATGAGCATTATCTATATGCAGATACCTGTACAACTCTGACTTTTCAAAAATAAAAAAACTACATAAATGGAGCTATTCCATGTTCATGGATTAGAAGTTTCAATAGTGTTATCAATTCTTAACTCGATTTATACAGTCAATGCAAGCCCAGTCAATATTCTAGCATACTATTTTGTAGCTATTGACAAACTAATACTAAAGTTTATATGGGAAGACAAAACAAAACAAAAAAAACAAAAAAAAAACTGAAGAAACAATACAATACCGAGGTAGAAGAACAAAATTACAGGATTGATATGACCTGACTTTAAGACTGTCTGTAAAATTGCAGCAATCAAGGCAGCATGGTATTGGCAAAATAAGAGACATATTGATCAATGGAACAAAATAAAGGGCCCAGAAATTTACCGACACAAATATCTTCAATGATCTTCAACAAAGGAACAAAGGAAAGTCAACAGAGAAAGGACAGACTTCTCAACAAGTGGTACTGTAACAACTGGATGTTCATGTACAAGAATAAACTAAATATAGACTTCATTTCTTTCACAAAAATTAACTCAAAATTAATCAAAGCCTAAATGTAAAATGTAAAACTATAAAACTTCCAGAAAAAATCTGGAAGAAAATTTATGTGACCTTTGGTTTGCAGGTAAGTTTTCAGATACAGCATCAGGAGCATAGTCCATGAAGGAAAAAAATGTTAAACTTTACTAAAATCAAAAATTTCCACCTTTGTAAAAACTCACTATAAGATAATTAAAATACAGGTGATGGTCTTGGAGAAAATATTTGCAAAACACAAATTTGATAAAGTATATATATCCAAAATATACGAACAACCCTTGTTTATCTTCAGATAAATCTTTCACCTTTTACAAAATATACAAACAACTTTCAAACCTCAACAATAAAAAAAAACAACTCAATTAAAAAATAGGCCAAAGATCTGAATAAAGGACTTGCCAATAAACATACAAATGGCAAAGAAACATAGGAAAATATGCTAAACAGAAAATGTCATAAGAGAATTACAAATTTAAAGAACAATAAGATGCCACTACAAATGTATTAGAATGGCTAAACTTTATATTAAATGCTGGTGAGGATGGAGAGCAACAAGAATCCTCATTCATGCAAGTGGGAATGCAAAATGTCACAATCATCTTGGAATACAGTTTGGCAGTTTTTATAAAGGTAAACACGGTCTTACCATACAACCCAATAATCAGGCCCCAAGGTATTTACCTAATTGATTTTAAAGTTTAGGCCTCACAAAAACCTGAACATGAATGTTTATAGCAGCTTTATTCATGATTGCCAAAACCTGAATCACCCAAGATGATCTTCAATAGATAAACTGATAAATTGTAATACTTCCAAACAATGGAATATTATTGAATGATAAAAATAAATGAGCTATAAAGCTAAGTGAAGACATGGATGACCCTGTATCTAGCTAAGTGAAAGAAGCCATTCTGGAAAGTCTACATACTCTGTTATTTCAATTATACAACATCTGGAAAAAGGCAAGACTCTGGAGACAGTAAAAACATTAGTAGTTGCCAGGAGTTTGGGGAGAGAAGGAAGGGTTGAATAGGTAAAGTACAGGACATATTTAGAACAGTGAAATTATTCTGTATGATACCATAATGGTAGTTACATGACATTATGTATTTGTCAAAACCCAAAGAACTTTCCAGCACAGAGGGTAACATTAATGTAGGCAAATTTAAAAACAATTGTTTCGGAGGCCAGGAGATTGCAGGGTGGAATGCAGACGTATCGAGAATCTACTTGTATACAAATTTATAAATAATCTCAATGATGGGAGTTGTGGGAATATCTGCTGACTTAAGTAACTTTGGGAGTGGCTGAAATTCATTAAACTGAAAGCAAGAGGAACTCTACATTAGTACTGTACCCTAGTTGATACAAATTATTTCCCATTGTGGTATAGGTTGAAATTCTGATATTGCTACACATTTATATTGAAATTGAACACTTAAATAAATGGATGGTGGAAGCAAGCTTCTCACTATGGAGTGGGAATTTGGAGATAAGTAAGGGATGGACAGTTGGATGAGTTGTATATAGTAATGGATCAGAGTTGAAGACATCATTATGGATTCATGTTTAGCTTCCTAGAGACATAGATGTTTACTTATATAAATAGCCGTGAAAACATGAGTAAGTAGGCCCACATATACTGCCTTATTCTCTCAACTGAAAAGGCCAAGAAGCAATGAGAACCCAGTAACAAGAAACCCATCTAGTACCCAGATGTTGATTTCTAATGCCATTGGTTTCGAATACCATTTTCCAATTAAAAATATCTTGGAGAAATAGCTGATTTTAAAACCAGGGCAGAAATTATACAAGATGAACAAGATGCATCTCTGAAAATACCTCAAAAGTACTCCTCAAAACTTATACTCATCAATAACTAGAAAGTCTTGGAATTATACACTATGAAACTCGAGTATCCTGTGTTGTTATTATAGAAAGTTAAGAAAGTGCTCAAAAAATTTTTAAAAGACCAAAAATATTTTAAAACCGCCAAAACACTCTACATTGATATAGATATTCCAAAGAAACACAAGAGCTAACTGAAGGGAGATCCCAATGGCCAAAAGCAGAACAATTTGAGCAAGAAAATGAAGTATTGGATTATAAATTTAAAATAAAGATAAATATCCACGAGTCCATACTGGTATAAATGAATTATTGAATAAATATATAAATAAATGAGGGAGAAGAGAAAAAATCTGTCTTGAAATAATTTATGTAGATACCCTGTTCTCAAGGAACATATAGTGAATTGAAATGTGGCTCTCTAAAAGATACGTCTACCTGGAACCTGTTCATTTGACTTTATTTTGAAAAAGGGTCTTTGCAGATGCAGTGATGTTAAGGATCTTAATATGCAATCATTCTGGATTATCCAAGTGGGCCCAAATCCAGTAGCAAGTGTTCTTATAGGAAGAGGGAAAGACATTTGGGTTGGTTCCATGTCTTTGCTATTGTGAATAGTGCCGCAATAAACATACGTGTGCATGTGTCTTTATAGCAGCATGATTTATAGTCCTTTGGGTATATACCCAGTAATGGGATGGCTGGGTCAAATGGTATTTCTAGTTCTAGATCCCTGAGGAATCGCCACACTGACTTCCACAATGGTTGAACTACTTTACAGTCCCACCAACAGTGTAAAAGTGTTCCTGTTTTCTCCACATCCTCTCCAGCACCTGTTGTTTCCTGACTTTTTAATGATCGCCATTCTAACTGGTGTGAGGTGGTATCTCATTGTGGTTTTGATTTGCATTTCTCTGATGGCCAGTGATGATGATCATTTTTTCATATGTCTTTTGGCTGCATAAATGTCTTCTTTTGAGAAGTGTCTGTTCATATACTTTGCCCACTTTTTGATGGGGTTGTTTGTTTTTTTCATGTAAATTTGTTTGAGTTCATTGTAGATTCTGGATATTAGCCCTTTGTCAGATGAGTAGGTTGTGAAAATTTTCTCCCATTTTGTAGGCTGCCTGTTCACTCTGATGGTAGTTTCTTTTGCTGTGCAGAAGCTCTTTAGTTTAATTAGATCCCATTTGTCAACTTTGGCTTTTGTTGCCATTGCTTTTGGTGTTTTAGACATGAAGTCCTTGCCCATGCCTATGTCCTGAATGGTAATGCCTAGGTTTTCTTCTAGGGTTTTTATGGTTTTAGGTCTAACATTTAAGTCTTTAATCCATCTTGAATTAATTTTTGTATAAGGTGTAAGGAAGGGATCCAGTTTCAGCTTTCTACATATGGCTAGCCAGTTTTCCCAGCACCATTTATTAAATAGGGAATCCTTTCCCCACTGCTATTCACAATAGCAAAGACTTGGAACCAACCCAAACATCCAACAATGATAGACTGGATTAAGAAAATGTGGCACATATACACCATGGAATACTATGCAGCCATAAAAAATGATGAGTTCATGTCCTTTGTAGGGACATGGATGAAATTAGAACTCATCATTCTCAGTAAACTATCACAAGGACAAAAAACCAAACACCACATGTTCTCACTCATAGATGGGAATTGAACAACAAGAACACATGGACACAGGAAGGGGAACATCACACTCTGGGGACTGTTGTGGGGTGTGGGGAGAGGGGAGGGATAGCATTAGGAGATATACCTAATGCTAAATGACGAGTTAATGGGTGCAGCACACCAGCATGGCACATGGATACATATATAACTAAACTGCACATTGTGCACATGTACCCTAAAACTTAAAGTATAATAAAAATAAAAAAAAAAAGAAGAGGGAAAGACTGACAGGGGCCTTTTGAAAACAGCAGCAGAGAGAGTTATGCAGTCACAAGCCAAGGAATGCCTGAAGCTACCAGAAGCTGGAAGACACAAGAAAGGATTCTCCCTAGAACTTTCTGAGAGAGCGTGATTCTACTGACCCCTTAATTCCAGACTTCTGGCCTACAGAGCTGTGAGAAAATACATTTCTGTCATTTTAAACCATAAAGTTTGTGGAAATTTGTTACAGTGGCCCTAAGAAACTGTTATGGAGAGGGAGTGCACATTCCCACTCCTTTAATGCGGAGTGTGCCTAGTGATACTCCTTTCAAAGAGTACAGGATGGAAGGGGGAAAATGGAGTACTTTGCAGTAGAAAAACCTGTTGTTAATAAATACCACTTCAGTCAGGTAATCCATGTCAGTATCAGCAGTGACAAATCATGTTGATGTGATGAGGATTTCACTTTATCTCCCTTCTTCCTTCCAAAGCCCCATATCTGCATTCTAATCATGAAAAAGACATCAGATAAATTCCAATAAAGATGCATCTGTGAAGGTACCTCAAAAGTACTCCTCAAAACTTATAGTCATCAATAACTAGAAAGTCTTGGAAACTCCACAGCCAACAGGAGCCTATGAAGACATGATTACTAAGATAATATAATACCCCAGATGGGATCCTGGAACAGAAAAAGACATTAGGTAACACTAAGTAAATCTGAATAAAATAGAGACTTTAATTAAAAATAATGCATCAATACTGTTTCATTAATTATACTAAATATACCATACTAATGCAATTTGTTAATGACAGGGAAAACTGCATCAGGGTATATGGAAGTTCTTTGTATTATCTCTTCAATTTTACTTAAATCTAAAGCTGTTCTAATATATATATATCTAATATATATTAGATATATATATAATATAAACTGTTCTAATATATATTAGAATATAATATATAAGAACAGTTTATATTATTATATTATAGATTATATTATATATAGAACAGTTTATATTATTTTTATATATAAAATATAATTTTTATATATTATATATAATATATAGTTTATATATAAATATATATATATTATATATAATATATAAAAATATGTTATATATATAATTATATATATATATATAGGGGTGTTACTTTAAAGGTAACTTTAAGTTATTTGATCAGACTGAGGTTACCAGACTTGGCTAAATTTAATTTTTGAATTTCCCTCATGCTAGTGATCTTTAGCTAGAACATAAGGAAGCATTTTATTTGCACTTTTAGATGGCGTATGTGCAAATTAGCCAAGGAAATTAAGAATCAGAGACTTAAGAATCACAAAGCTACTAATGGTAGAGCTCTTACTTGAACCTCAGATCCCAGACTGTAAAGTCCAGATTATTTAAACTTTACCTGTGCAAAGCACCACAGGAGGTTAACCAAAAATAAAAGTCTTTCTTTCAAACAAGCTACATTATACTTATCACAGATCCATTTAAATATGTTAAATAGTAAATTTCAGGTGATCTGAGAAACCCAGGCAGGATGGTACAGACAGAACCATATTATGGACGTAGAATATGTTAGATGCATAGTGGAGAAAATGAGTCAAATTCCCTTCTGTAATGATTGAAAGATCCATACTTAGGAAATGAAAGAGAACACAGTAAACTCAATTATCCACATTAAGAAAATATTGCTGTGTCTTTTATGAGCTTTGTCCAAGGTCTTCTGGTTGATGTGGATCAAAAGCTTAAAGGCCTCACCTGTCATCTAATTGTTTATGGTTTATTACTATTTGATAATCTAGAGGGTAAAAAATGTAAGTACTTCACTTTACAACAGTCACATTTTAACACTGCAGTAGTTATTTATCCAATATCTGAAGTATCCTCTCTTAAAATTCTAACCATAAGTACTTATTTCCACACCATGATTAGGAAAAATACAGAAGAGAAACTTAATATTGTAAAATTGTATATTAGCAAAATATTCATGAAGGCAAGTGTTACACAATTAGCCAAAGTCTTTAGTGATCAACTGTGTGAAAATTCAAAGGTTACTTTAAGAACATTAGGAATATAAATAGATTAATCCTATGAATGAAATGCAATAAAGTTAACTCCATATTAAATTTGTAATATATGATTTCACATATATATAACAAGTATGCTACAAGATATTTAGAATAACATATACTTCTTCAGTGACGGAAATTTCCTTCAAGAAGTGTACCCTTCTGGTTTTTGCAAGAAGAAATAAATAATTACATAACTCTAGTTGATTCAGCATAAGGGCTGATAACAGGTTAGAAAATAAATTAAAGCAAAAAGCTTTCATTTTAACCAGCAGGACACATTTTCTTTTCAAGTGAAATGCTCTTTAGTGAAAAGGCTAATAGAATATAATTATTAAGTACATTAAAATTCATAGAGTGGATTTTAATTCATCAAAAACTTGCTTTTATCACCCTACTCAAATAGCCTGTGTGGAAAACAGTCAAATAAATTTAAAAGGTAAAATGGAAGAAACAGAAACCCTGGAGCTGACACTAAATTAAAAAGGCAAGGGAAAGGAGAAATATCGTTTGCTTTTGTGCTATACTGGACACTGAGCTCATTTTATGTGTTTACCAAGTCCCAGCTCATATCTTTTTCCCACAAAATGAATAAATTATTCTTCTCAATGTAAGGTCACCTCTCCAGAGGTATTCATAATATGAATTTCACTGTCCACTCTTCTCCAGGAAATATTAAGTTCTTAAGGGATTATTATAGTTACACTACATGTAAGGATACTGTAATGATAGATGACAATCACATATTTTAATCTCTAGACTATGTATATCAGAATCACCTGAGTTGCCTATTACATATGTAGATTCTTGGTTCCCATTCCTGATGTACCAATTCTGATGGCAGAGACCCAGAATCTACATTTTTGACAAGTATCCACATGAATTCTTGGCACACTAATACTTGAGAATCTTTGCTCCAGACTAATAAAATTGATTACAGTATAAGATACATAATTACTGAATAGGAACTGAAAATGGAAACATAAGATATAAAAGTTTAATGAGCTAACACTTGAATTTGTTTATAAAGTTAAATAAGAATATTTTTAAGAATATCACAATACAAATTAAATAATAGTAATATGGATACATCACAAATGGATTTCAGTACTGTTTGAAGATAATTTGTGTTGGAAAATAACACTTCTTTCCTTCTTTTCTTTCTTAAGAAAAAGTGAAACAATCACTTATTACTATGCTGACTTTGAGATTTGAAAAATATAAAAGTATCATATCTATGCTGTTTAAATGATTACTGTGTTTTAATATTTATCCAAGTCATCCTTCAAGCTTTGTATTTAACAGTTATAATTTTACAGAGAAAAATGAAGCAGGAAAAGTGGAAGAGAGAGAAGTGAATGGGGAAGCCTACTGTATACCAGTGGTCAGCAAGCACTTAATCTTATAGAAACAAATACTTTAATGGGTCTTAATGTATTTCCTGTCTTCTTTACTCAATATTTACAGTTTCATCAGTAATATAAATGTATATCAACTGTTATTGTTCTGAAACTACGGAGATGAATTTTGATTGATTTTAATAAGAGTTCAGAAGCATAATTAGAACAAACATGTACCGAGTCATTTCACACATTATTAATTTAACAAAATATAAATCACTATGTTTCTAAATTAGTCAATAGAGTACAATCAAGAATTTATTCCTTTCAGGTTTATAAGGCACTAATTCTCCAAGAAGGGAGAAATAAATGACAGATCTCAATTTGCCATTCAGGTAACAATCTTCCAAAGTCAAAATCTGACACAGCAAGCCATACCAAAAGGGTGACATAAAGGTAAGATCCCTGTAACCAAAGCAAAAACAAACAAACAACAAAAAAGTGAAAATCATGCCTATCCCTCTAAGCTTAAAATGACAGGCTGGTCCCAAAGAAAGATCTCTGCAAAAATGAAAGACCCTGAGATTCAAGTCTGTTTAACTGACCTTTCTTTGCCCTACCTTCAAATCCTCCAAAATCTGCTTCCCTAGTTTAGAATTAATAACCTGTAAGGCAACATTCATGAGTGTGATTTTCACAATTACTGAAGGGTTTTCCAGTCTTCTGTATTCAGAACAACCATAGTAGATCACCATGGCTTAATCAGAATTTGAAATTTGCTATTGTTTTATACTAGTGCTTTTGCATTCATTTTCTTCAGCTCCAAAATTACTTTTTGACAGTGGCTTTCCAAAATTTTGATTTAGGATTGGCTTCAACTTTATGAGTTGTCTTTTCAATCAAAAGATGTCTCTGTTTTACATTTGTCTGACCTGGTTGCTCTTTGGGCCTCGAATTGCCTTGTTTTGTGTTGAGGAATCTCAATCTTCACCCCTTCTGAAATTAATGTCTTCTTTTGGAAAATTGACCCCTATAGAGGCCTGCCCAAGACTATTCCAGGTTGTTGGTTTTTTACCTTCTACCCAAAGGAATGCAAGAAGAAGCCACTAGCCCAGTGCTTAATTATCTTTTCCTTCTATCTCACAATACATATTTCATAGGCTTTAAACATTATATTTATTGTTGTGTACGCTCTGTAACAATTCAAAAACTAGAGAGGCGCAGGAAGGTAGTTTTCCTGTCTGTCCCACACATATCCCACCACCACTGATGATATTTGGGTGTGTATTTCTTCATTCTTATGTCAAGGCTTTTGCAAATCTATGCAAACACTGACTTACGTAGTTAATTTTTGTATTTCTCATTTGGTTTTCTAGATGTGGTTTGTTTTCTAAAATGTCTTAGTAAGTTGGAGAATTTCTTAGAATTGGAACTTGTTCAGATATATATTTTCTTATTTTTCCTTCATGGTTTTATATATTTTCATTTAAATCAAACTCTGGGGGCCTTGCCTCAGCTATTAGAAGACCTGAAAGACTTTGTGTAGCTGTGCTCCTGATGAACTGCAGCCGGCTGTCTTCTCTTGCTGGTCCTGAGGGATGTCCAACTCTAATTTGACTTCATCCACAGCTTTTGTCTTCTCTGAGTTAAAGGTGATTGGATCTAATTCGGCAAGCAGGTGTTAGCGACTGCTACTGTGGGGCAACTGTCCTTTGCACAAGACTTATGAAAAATTAGCTTAAGAAGGACTCTGTTATAGCAAGAAAAAGATTCTATAATTTGCAGCACAAATAATGTCTGTTGGCAGATTAGCCATGTGGACTCAAAACATCTTACTGTTGTTCTGTGGAAAGATTTCTCTCTGACTTGATATGCTTTAATTGGTTATTCCTAGACCTAGAAAATCACTGCTGCTTCAGAGCAAGTTGATTCTACCTACAAGAGTGCTCTTTGTGAGCAACTTTACTGGACAATTAGCTAGATGAGCAATATATATAAAACAGATGGAGCAGCCACTGGGTGGCAGCAGAAATGTAATAAATACCCTGTACCAATGTACTATCTTATTGTTTAATCCTATCATTTATCATGTAGCATGCTAAAAGACTATTATTTTCAATAAAATATCATATGATAGATAATATTCATCTAATTAATCTCTGTAATATAAACTAGCATATTCAACTATGAGAAAAATAAACATTTAAAACAAACTTAACTACCTAATATTCTATGAATATAATTTTTAATATTACCTAGAATGGCTTTGTGAATTTGCATAGTTGCTTTCCCCATACTTAAAAGTTGCTATTACTTTTAATAGCCATAGAAACCTGCTAACAGAAGTCACACATATTGAGAGAAGAAATGAAGAATTTAGAAAAGACAAATAAATTTACTCACAATCTTCACACCTAGAATTAAACATTAATAGTCACTTGCGATTATATATATTCTCTTTTTTGATGTAGAGTTGTTTTTTCAGCAATACCAATTGGCTGGGTGCCATGGCTCATGCCTGCAATCCCACACTTTTGGGAGGCTGAGGTGGGAGGATCACCTGGGGTCAGGAATTCGAGACCAGCCTGGCCAACATGTGAAACCCTGTCTCTACTAAAAATACAAAAATTAGCCAGGCATGGTGGTGGGCACCTGTAATCCCAGCTACTCGGGTGGCTGAAGCATGAGAATTGCTTGAACCCGGGAGGTGGAGGTTGCAGTGAGCCAGGATCTCACCACTGCACTCTATCCTGGGTGACAGAGCGAGAGTCCATCTCAAAAAAGAGAATAAATAAATAAAGAGGTCATTTTTACATAACATTTTTAAGTGTTCACTCATTTTTCACTCAACATAGTACAAGTTACATGTCATTGGTTATTTTTCTCAATATTCTATATGGTGATTGCATAATATTCCCACATGGCTAGACCAATTTATATAATCAGTTCTCTTTTGTTAAATATTTGCCAATTTTTCTAATATTTACTTTTACAGATAACTGTTGTTAGTTTTGAAGGCTAGGTAGCCAATGATTTTCAGCCTTCCAATGTTAAGTAGTATATAAATAGTTTATATAGAGAAAGATTCTGGTACAATGAATTTGTTGCTTTCTGATTAGAACTTTCTGATTAGAATCACTTAAGAGTCATCCTACATCAAAACCTCAAGGGTGAGGGCCAGAATTCTGCATCTATTTCAATGCACTTTAAAGTTTCAGAACCACTGGCAATCTGAATAAAATTATATAGGCAGATGACCTCAACAATAACATTAATAGAAAATGCACAAACTTGGAAGAACATTTAGCTTTCATTTGTCTCAATTTCTTCCTTTATTAAGTGGAAATGATGATATATCCTAACATTAGGGTAATATTAAGGGAACAATGGTGTTTATCAAGAGTTCATTTCCAACTTCAAAATGCAGGCTTTGAAGACTCTGTTAGGAAGAGTATGACTCTTTGAATACTAGAGATCACATATTGTGATCATAACATACAACAAACATTATGCTAAGCAGTATATATGTATTCTACCCCTCACAACAATCTTGCCAGGTTACCATAATTCCATCTTATAGGTAAGCTTGGATGGTCAGTTGGGTTAAGTAACCCAGGTTACATTGTTTGTAAATGTCAAAATCTGAATTCAAACAAGACTTTCTGGTCCTATGGTGTGTGTTCTTTCAACTCTAGTATTCTGTCAGGCAATATGCAGAAAGGTAGAGGTATAGCCAGCCAGACGAAGTTTCTTCCTGGTTCAGTATAGAGTTATTGTATGCTTACTAGTTTCTTTCTTCTCCATGGTACTTAAATATGGCAAGGGAGTATTCAGAGCAGATGCTTTTATAGACTTTATTGAAAGGCAAACCTTGAATTTATGTTTTTTGGATTTTTTAAGACTTTGCATTTTACAGGCTCTAATTGTCAAGTACAGGTCAAGTGGTGTATACAGTGTTCAGAAGTTTTGAAAAAAATATAACGAAATACTCCACTAAACAAAAACATATCTCTACTGACAGTTTTCTTAAAATTTACAGCTAGCCAGGTGCAGTGGCTCATGCCTATAATCACAGCTACTCTGGAAGCTGAGGTGAGAGGATCAATTGAGCCCTGGAGTTTGAGGTTACAGTGAGCCATGATACACTACTGCATTCCAGCCTGAGTGACAGAGTGGGGACCTGCCTCTAAAGAAAAGAAAAAAGTACAGCTACTCACAACAAAGAAGACTGGAGCAGTCCACGCACGCTGACATTTACCTAAAACTCATGGTTTATAAAGGGCAGGACCTTTGGAGAAAGTGGATTCCTTCAGTTGACTTAGTATCTTTGACTCTTACTTTATCTGAAAATGAGAAAACCAACTTCTTAGTTCTCAGAGGTGGCTTTAGATCTAGCAAAGCCTGAGATAAAATGATTAATACATAAGGCCCTTTATTATCTTGCTTGGTGAATAAATAATCCAACTTTTCCTTAGAAGTCTAATGACATGGGCAAAGGAAAAATAAATAATTTAAATCATTTACTGAAAAAGTTATACTTTTTGTCAAGTTAGGTCTTCGAAAATAGCTGATCTCATCACTCATGCAAGAACCTTGATAAACAGACAGCCTTACAAGTTCATTATCTTACCTTCTATAGGAGCCTCCTCTTCTTAGTAGGAGATTCTGAGAGTAATTTTATTTTAATTACCTACCATAGTACACTGGGATCCAGAGCCTTACATTTGTTTCTGCCTCTGCATGGGAAGTCTCTCCACTTGTTGTCCACTTGACATGGTCCCACACCTTCACACTTTCTTCCATTCTCTACGCAAATATTCTTTCCCTCTCAATTATCTTGGGCTGCACAACAGAATACCATGGACTGGTGGCTTCAACAATAGAAATTTATTTTCTCACAGTTCTGGATGCTGGAAGTCCAAAATCAAAGTGCCAGCAGGGTTGGTTTCTGGAGAGGTCTCTCTTTCTGGCTTGCAGATGGCAGCCTTCTTTCTGTGTCCTCACATGGTCTTTCCTCCATGCTCACATGGACAGAGAGATATCTGGTGTCTCACTCTTCTTATAAGGACACCAATTTTCTTGGATTACAGCCCCACCATTATGACCTTATTTAAGTTTAATTACCTCATTATAGGTCTTATATCCACATACAGTTACATTGGGTATAGAGGTTCAGCTTATGAATTTGGTAGGGGGGCCACATTTCAGTTCATAGCACCTTTTCAGCCAGGCCTTCTCTGGGAACCCTTTATACATTACAACCTCCATACTTTGATTTTTTTTTATGTACTTACAATGCTTTGTTTTCCTTTATAGCACTTATCACTTTCAAATATACTATACATGTTTTGTATTTCTCTCTTTGTTACCTGTCTCCATCCACTGGAATAAAAGCTCAAGAATGATGACAATTTGTTCACTGTGGTACCCACAGTATCTCTGTCATGCCCTAGCAAAGAGGAATCTATGATACAAACATTTCTTGTGTGTATTAATGAACTATCCCTATGTTACGCACGATGGAAGCTACTACAGATACCAAAGTAGAAGAGATACTACAACTTCTCTTCAGTAACTTTTAGTCCAGAGATAGATAAGGCTCACCATAAATGAATTGTAGCTCCCTGTAACCATAAGATATAACTCAGGGAATGACCAAAAAGGAATATAGGGATCTGTATCGTGCACAGTCCAGAAAGACATTTGCTTTCCACACAGAAACTAACTTCATCAGATTTGCATAAATCTATTTGCTAAACTATGAGTCAGGAAATCATATTTTTCCATTATTAAAGTTAACATTCATTTTTTGTAATATTTATATGAGCCAACTATGAAACATAAAAACAGGTCAAATCCGTGTGTGGAAGGATGTTTTAAAATCCACCTTCACAGTCACAAACAGAAATGTCCCATGACCATATTTTAATAAACAACCATGTGTTAGAATAACTGATTACAGAGCCCAGTTTTTCCTTTCTGAGAAATTACTTTGATAGTCTTTTTCTTAAAAAAAAAAAAAAAAAAAAAAAAAGAAGGAAATTACTTTTAGGTCTTGACCAAAGGGTGTTCCAAGTGAAGAGGTCCCAAATCTTAGTAAGCGGGCAAAGGTGGTTTTATTTTTTTCAGCATTGCTTCATTAATCTGAATGTAAAACTATAGAAAAAATAGTCTCTAATTTAGCTAGAAAATAACACTCATTTGCTTGCTAAGGTCTAGCAACAAAAGAATGTTAATGCACATTACTACCTATTACTACAACAGTGAACACAAAATGAAATGAGCAGATGCTGATTTACCTTCTCTGGTGAATCATGCATGGCACGAAACTGCAGTCCTGAAGCAAGCTAGACCATCTGTGCTGTTTTCTCCAGATGAGCCAAATTTGATGACAAACCATTCTCCATATATAGGAGTTTTTCTTTCTTTCTCTCCATTTTATATTAGAAAGTATAGTTTCCCCAATAGAAGATGCAGAAAACTATTTTGCATCTTCTACTATATTGCTAAATATTTTGACTCTGAGCCTGGATAAAGCAGTCTGGAAATTAAATATAACTTCAAAAGAGACATCTTTTCAGAACTTGCATTCCTCAATTATTCTCTCCATCCATATGCAAGCTGTTCTGGAAAATAGGATGGCCCAGAAAGGTACATTTGAATGGCATTTCTGATAAATTTCTTCCACCTTATGATAATGTTTTATGGTTCAAATTTTCTTGAAAAATCAAGTCATGAGAAAAACCATGTATTCCCTGTAATTCAGGGCCTAGCATAGAGATGGTGATGAAAAAAATTTTTGCTTTTGAACGTTGGATGAATTTTGGCACTGAAAGTGCCTTCATCTTTAGAATCCCTTGACAAGTATTAAAGGTCAAGGAGTGAGGTCTTTTTATATTCAGTGAGATGACATGTTTTACTTAAGTAGAAAGGGAAGTTAAAATATCTCTTTTTGAAAATAGGAAAATGCAATTTCTCACTAAATCTAAACTTAAAATTTCTTAGTTTCACAATATCTTCAAATAAATACTTATCAAGATACTTAAAACATTAGGTTGCCAGATGGCTTTAAGATAAATATTTGCAAGCAAGAGGTGATAAAAGATGGGTTTGGCCTGTGGGCAAGATGATGAGTCAGACACGGAGCAGGAATGTGAATCACCCAACGTCATGCTCTCACAGCTGGGGCAGGATGACAATGCAGCGTGGACCACTTGGTGCTACAGACGAGGCTTCTCTATGGAGTGACAGTCATCGCTTATGTCCTCAGTCACCAGTGTGGAATTAAGAGAGTGGTAGGATTCACTTAAACAGGCGAGCATTTCTTGGAAAAATACTGATACAGGTGAAGCTAATCTCTGGCACTATATATATCTTGGTGTTATCAGCTGGATGACTCTTGTATGCTTTTTCATTTTCTGCAATGATCAAAATATTTTCCTTCTGTGATCACCAGCAGAGTGGGGAGCTTTTATTTCTCAAAAGTACTGCATGACACATTTATAAGTTCCCTGACTTCAATCCAAACTTGCAGCTTGCATGTGTAACTCTTTGTTTTCTTATTTGAAACCTATTAATATGAATAGTCAGAAGCAATTTCTTCTCTTTTAAAAAAATTAATTGCTCACATTGCAATTTATATCAAGATACTCCATTTTTTGGCATTGGTTTCGGTAACAGTCTCTGTAACACTAGTTAACTTTTACATACAGGAATATGTTTTATATTTTTTAAAAAGTATTAAAGAGTCAATGACCACCAAGGACATCAGGCACCGTAAATATTGTTTCAATATGTTAACTTTTAAAACGTCAATTATTAACATTACCAACATCTGAACAAATTCCTAGATTCATGAAAGAAGGCTTTGGGGACAGAGCTCTGAACTATGTAAAAGATCTGTGAGACAAAGTAGTAAATATAGAAAGCCATGTTTGCTCACTTCTGCCTGCCAGCATAATTTCACAAAGCCCCTGACTCTGTGACAAGATGCAGTTCTCTGGAAGAATGCTTTGAGGACAAAACTGGATAGAGCACACGGTTCCCACATCTCTTGAATGAAGTCACCATATTCCTTAAAGGATAAATGACCCTAGACCTTGCCTTTTCCTATAATAAGATAATGTCTGACAGGGTCAGTGATTATGCCTCTACTGTCTATAACCAGATGTACTCTTGCACCCAAAATTTGATATGATTTTGCACGTACTGAACCTTCACTGCCTGTATATAAGCAATGAGCCAAAACAGTTTTGGAATAGTCTGATGGAACCTCTCTGAAAGATCTCTCCAGGGCTATAGTCCTCAGTCTACAGTCCCCAGTAAGACTTCTGAATAAAACTAACTTTAATTCTTTACAAGCTTGATTTTTTTTTCTCTAGTGGACGGTCATAAAACTCAAAAAGATCATTATCAGAAAAAAAGAGTCTCATTATTGATGAACCCTGTTCCAGGAAAGTAACTGGTATACTGATGGGGAAGAACTTGCTCTCCTGCCCCGTGGTACTGCCCTTAAACCATGGCAGATGAGGGGAAACATGTGCCCTTCTAGAGGTCTCATTCTCAGCCACTGGCAACCCTAGTTTCACCCACTTGGTTGCTTCCTTCCTTATTGAACCTTGCACGTCTTGGTTATATTTTTGTCACATTATTTTATTGTTTTTCCCACTAACCTATATTTTTTTCAAGGTCTGAGACCCTCTGATTTTTCTTGGAATCCCCAGGAGTTAGCAAAATCTGTGCAGCAGCCATTGCATCTTCTAGCAGGTAAGAGGATGGGCTTTTGTTTCTGATAAATCTTTATACCCCAAATCTTAGCTGAGTGTTCTTAACTTTAAGCTCTCTAAGCCTCAGATTCCTTATTTATTACATAGATATAATAATGGTGCTTCCTTTATAGTTTTTTTTTAAGAATAAATGTGATAATACCTGTAAAATGCTTTGCGGCACTTGTTACACTGCATTTCACTAATATTATCAATTATTTTAAAATTATTTGTTAATACCTTCAATGTTATCAACTATTACTTTTTAATCTTTTTTAATACCCATTTTAAAATAATGTTAACTGTTATTTTAAATAATTTAATAAATTATTTTTAATGTTATCAATTATTTCTAAATGAGTATTTTTTAATAAAGCCTTTTTGGAACAGCTCTGGAAAATCGCTGTAGTATACACTTAAAACTCTTCAAAGTTTATCGATATGAAGGGAACTTGTAAAATCTCCATATTCAGATCGTGACGTCTTCTTTAGATTTATTTTTTAAGGTAATAATATTACTGAAAGTCACAATTATAAAACTGGAATTGTAAGGACTGGTAGCTTTGATTATTCCCAGTTGTTGCCAAGCAAATCTTTTTGGACAGGAAAGTTTCTACCAAAGACCTTTCCAGTATCAACATATGAAGAAGAAGAAAGAAACTGGCTGTTACCGATCTCACAGTCTTTCTGATGGACAAAAGGTGAGGACGTTCAGTGAGTATTTATCGAGGAGAGGTAACAGATTATCCATAGAGTCCTACTCTGAATATAGTTTTTAAAAGCTTTAAAATTTGTTGAGGTTTTCTAAGCTACCAGCTAATTTTTCATTGCTTTTACTTTTCTTCCTGGAGATGTAAAGATTTTATCAAAAATATGCACTGAAAGAAAAAACGAAATCTACACTGAGCTTACAGGTTAAGGGAAGAAGGGGTATAAAATGTGTTAGTGGCTTCCACTTAGAAGCCATTATAGAACACTGTCCCTACTCCTACGCCAACCCTTTCAAATCCTCAATTTAAGACAAACTGATTTGCAAATGATGTTTATATTACAGTAGGAAATGTTTCATTTCTATATAAATGGACACACATAAATGTTGTCACCTATTGGAGGAGAGAAAAACCCAGGAAAAGCTCACATTTTCTACAGTTACTGAGGTCAGTCACACTTTGCTATATCTAGGCGACGCTGTAACATCCCAGAATTGTACATTGAAATCAATCAAAGAAAACAGAACCATAGTTCTGCACTCCTTTGAGGTCCCTCTGTGTTCCTTCTTCATTGAAGAATGAAGATTCTGGGCACAGTGTTTTCCTGAAATAAAATCACAATATGAAACTACAGATACAGGTTGAATCAAAAGTGAAATCTATTTTCCATTTACGAACTTTTGACAAATAAAGACTTTGTGATGACCCTATAGAAAATGAGATGGAATGTGTATAACTTCAAGTGTCCGAGACCTTGTTTTAAAGTAGCTGGTGCCCCCACTCTCGGGCCAAGTTGTTACTTATGAGGAGTGTCCATTTGCACAGCATGGTGAGTATAGTAAATAAGGACCTGTACACTTCAAAACTGCTCAGTACATTTCAAATATTCTCACCACAAAAACAAGTATTTGAGATGAATACGTTCACTAGCTTGATTTAACTACTCCATATTGTATTCATAAATTGTAACATCACTTTTTACCCCATAAATATGTACAACTATAATTTGTGAATTACAATGAATAAAAATTTTTAAATGAGACTTTAGCTGGTAATTTTAGCTTAAAAAAGAAAGTACCTCCGAAACAGACTTTCCCATAAATGCAATGAAGGTACTACGTAAAAATCCAAACTACCGATAAAAGCAGACTCAGGGGGCTCCTTCATTCACAGAACTGACATTCAGCCATTCTTCACTGATTTGTTTTTATAGGGCCACTTCTTTTGTGTAGCATGTGTTTAGATTGGTTGGTTGACCCTTACAAGATTGCTAAATATTTTTAATACATGCTTTACTTATATTCAGGTAGCACAATGGGATATTTACTATAGTTGCAGAACTTAAAACTGGTTAAATAAAATGGTCAAAACTTCAACCTTTGTTTTGTTAACTCAGGTGATTTTCCTCTAAGTAGTGAGTCTATGGTAGTTACATTGGCAACTTGGTTAAAAGTTTCTATAGGGATGAGTACTGGGTTCATCACTCAATTTAGACTTCTAAATTAGTTGTGACATTTGATTATTTCAACTTTTCATTTTTGCAGATCACTGTGAAGCACTGTGTGTGATCTTCACTTGAAATATTCAGTCTAGGCGATCTACAGTTAAAGAAAGACTTCAAATAATTTTATGGGATGTGAAACACTTTCTAGGATTTCTGTTCAATTCTCTTCTCTAGCAAGAAGCCCAAAACTGTTCTATCAACTACACTGCTAGCTGGGTTCCTTGTAAATAACATAATTATGTTTGATTACAATGAAGTATTTATGTGAATAAATACTGGATAAATCACTTGTTCTTTGATAAGTGCTATGATGGATACAAATAAATACTTTAGATCCTAACATAAATTATAATTCAAATTAGGCTACATTATTGTATTAAAAATAATGGCACATTTATACAAGAATTGTGTCATTGTACTTTTATGAAAATAAAAACACACAAGCATTCAGATAAGTTTCACTAAGCGACAGCTTAGAGAATGCTGAGCTGTTCAGTTTTATCCTAATAGGTTTTGGACTAGATAATGCCTGTGGGGTAATGCAATGAGAAAAAATTTTTAAAACAAACTGCAATTCTAAATAAAATTAAGAAAGCATTTTGTAAATATGTTAGTAGAAAAAACAGTGGAACAAAAAAGCATCATCATTGTCGTGAAAATAATGTAATTAATGTAGAAATATCCATCCTCTACTGGCTTACCTGAATAAATTTGACTTTTAATATTATTAAATTTGGTTTTTGTAGGAGGAAAAAGTATTTTCTTTTTTCCTACAAAAGTAAATATCCTCTTTCGCCATCTGGTGGCTAAACACAACATCTTCTGTGTAGATGAAAAACAGGAGATTTAACAGCCAACTGTGTTTAATGCTTTGATCCATCTTACTGAAAAGATATGCGTATTTCTTTAACCTATGTAAATATAACTGAAGCAATTTTGTTTTAATGGCTCACAGCATTTCATTCAAGTAACTCTAGTTACAATATTTCATGTAGGATTTTAAAAAATTAACCAAAGCAATTCTTCTAAGGGATCATTTTCTGAATTATTCATTTTGAAAGTTAAAAATACATGTGATAGTAACAATTTGTTTACCTGAATGCTTTTTGGTATAAAAAATTAAGATCTTAATGAAAACAGAAAGTCCAAATATAGTCTTAAATGATAAGAGTAACAGCTACAATTTCTGAAGTTTCAGTTTTAGCTTTTCCTGTTTTAACCATAGTTATAACCATATGTTGACAAGTCACCATTACCAAAAAGAAGCGTGGGTAATTTAAGAGTATATGGTTTAAGTTGTCCCTATAAATTTTAAATAGAATTTCCAATTATTAGTACATTTAACATATATAAATTACTTCATTTCATTAAAAAATTAAAAATGACAATTATTTCATGTTTAATTTCTTTATTTTCTCCAGAATATCTTAATATTGAAACCCAAGTTGTTACTTTGAGAAAGGGAAAGACAGAGAAACATGAAGAGACAAACATTTCATTTCATTTAACTTATGGTATTGTGAGCAGTCACTTTTGTAGGCAACACTTGTTTTCTTTGTAGAAAAGAAATAAAAAACAAACAGCACCATTAAAGAATGCATGATCCCTGAATTCTAAACAAAACACTGTCTAAAAATTTTCTTAAATGCTTGTTGCACTCAGTCACATTTAGTCAGGTATCAAAGCAAGCGTAACAGTATTAAATTGTCGCAGTCTTACTGAATCAACTGCTCCCCCTTCTGAGGATTTTACACACCTTTTCTGAGTTTTTCCTGTGGGAATAATATATTCTTTGGTAGAGGACTGAAGGAGGATTTTACTTTTCTGTATGCTGATATAAAATGTCTATGTAGGTTCAGGGCCTTCGCCCCCAATCTGTGTTTGTCATGCATGTTATGTTTGGGTTGATTTCACATTTTGCTGTTACACTGTAGGAGTAATACCGCCTTTAAAAAAGGCATTAAATGGCTAATGTCAAACAGATGTAAACATTCAGAATACTGACCAAAAAAAAAAAATTGTACAAACGAACACACATTAAAAAAAAAAAACTACTGAAAATATGTATCATATCAGGTTTCCATGAAGCAGGGGAAGGAGGGGAATACAGCAGTACAAGAAAATTATGGCAACCAAGTAAAGCACTTTCTTTGAAACATTCAAGAACAGTACAAATACAACAAAGTTTTTCTACAGTCTAAATTATTCTGCAACTATCAAATATAGTACAAAGCGAAATAGTATGTGCTATAAAAAAGCAGCTCCTTTAAATTATAGTAAAAATGCTTTTTGTTCTTTTTACAGTGACAAAGCATGAAGACTGAAGACGACAGGAATTTTATATTTAGTAACATTTTGGCTACATAGGCCCCTGACAGTCTGATTCAGAGTTCCTGTTCTAGGACTCTTCACAATTGTTCTCTGGGAACGCAGATGGACAGTGACTCTGGGCTCTGCATGCTCAGGGGGTCATTCCCACTAGGCAGCTACCGCTGTGCTGGGCCTCACCACCGTACAGACGATGCTACCCTAGGCTTGGCTTCAGCTTCTAAAACCTGGGACTTCATTACACCACGGAGGAACTGGGAAACCAGAGGCCACGGTAACTTCCACTTTTGAAATTGTGCGGGGGTTTGTAAAGGAAATGGGGCTACAGCAACATGTATTCTTACTCTCGACTGCATTATAAAGCACCATATGTACCAGCTTGTTTTTGTGTATTTTGAACCGAGTAAGAATATCCAAGGTCCAGCAGTCAACTAAACTTTCTATATAGCTCATCCCAGAAACACATACCATCCCAAAGTCTTTATAGCAACCAGGCTCAACCTCATAGGTTTGTTTTCAAGTTTTTTTTTTCTTCAAACTAGACCTTCGCAGGGAAATATTATATAACTATGGTGCTCAGTTCACCAAAATTTCTACTATTCTCATTTTGGGGAAGAAAAAATTATTTTCATTTTGAAAATGAATTTGCATCACAATGCTCTTATTAACATGCCCATTAACTAACCTAAATGTCTTTATACACCTCAGGCATATGCATATCTTATAGGAGGAGGATTAGGGAATAGCAGTTTTCTTCCTTCCCCTGCTCCAAAAGTGCTACTTAGGGAAATACATCCTTTGTGATTAAAAAAAAAAAAATTGTATGGTACATGTGCAAGTTCTATTCCTGATAAGAATAAAACTGTGTCCAGTAATCAGGATAATGCACATGCTAACATTTGCACACTACACCACAATAACCATGTAGTAAATAATATACTACATTTGCACATAGCAGACACATGTAGAAATCAGAAAACTAAGAACCTACTCAGAATATACTGGATTTTGTGTGTATATATATATTAAATGGAAACCTATAAAATATCTGACCCACATTTTACATCTAAATTTCTCTTCTTCCTTTCCCTTATATTTTAGCTTAAAGATATTAATTTTTCAGTAATATAAACCATATGAGAACACTAGGAATTTGAACTGGAGCAAAAAAAAAAAAAAAAAGGGCGCAGAAAAATTATGCTAATCGGACCTGGATGATAGAATCCATGCACTATCAACAACTGATTCTCCAAGCCTGTTATGTGAAAAATCAAAACATACAGAAGGACACTTTTTCTTATTCCCAATAAGCAACTTGCAGGCAGTATTCAACAATGAAGGAACTGATAATGAGCTCAGTATCTCATCAGCCTCAATTGTACCTCACATACTGAGTGCAAAGGTTCTGTAGACTGGAGTTTCTTCCGACACCATGTCAGTTACTGATGTGATGGTTTTCAATTTGCTGGTGTAGACAGTATCTGACACTGGTATAGCAGTGAATGAATTTGGAAGGAGTTGGCATGCAAGTGTCTATATTATAGGGGTGCCCCGCTGTGAGACTAACAGCATGATCTTCGAAATCAGGATGATATCAGAGCCAGGCAGACAAAGACACCACTGATAAGGATGCCACCCCAACACAACCTGGCAGGCAGTGAAGAGAAAACTAAGGATCCACTGGAACTTATGCTGCTTTCCTCGGGTAAGGCTGGTTAAGTGCATTGCTAACTAACTTTCTCAGTCATTAGTTTTGCCAATTTTACTGTGAAAAACAGAAATGACAGTACTGAAGCACCAAAATCATGGCTACAGCAGCAGGCCTTTTCTTTCTTTCTAAGATAAAGTAAAGTACCTCTCACTATCAGCAATTTGTTATTCGAAATGATGTCTCTATCACCTAAAGAAAGAAATTTGGCAACATCACAATAAATACGGAGAAAAAAACATATTATATAGTTGGTTATTATAAAAAAATCACAAGTGTTCTTGTTTTCAGGAATGTAATTTCTGCTCATTCCAGTCAACTTTTAAGACGTGTTTTACGGGAATGTCAAAAAGTTTACAGTGATTAGGATGATCCCATGTGAAAATATTGGTCATTCTTACCCTGGATACAGATGATTCCCCACCCCCCCCATGTTTGCTTTTTAAATTCTACAGCCACAATCAATCAATGGGTTAATGGCACTCCACATTTTGTGCTCTGTAATCTGAAGTTAAATGGGCATGGTTGGTTTTTGTTTTCTTTCATCTTCCCTCAATGTGCATGTGCTTTTGAACTTGCTTTTGAAAACAGAGCCTCCTGAACTACGGCTGTCCTCTGGTATGAGGGTGGCCAAAATATATGGAATGTAGCTCAAATACTCAACACGCAGACTTTACTGGATGCACACTGAAGATAACTGTTAAGATGCAGTATCCCTTTTTCAAAAGCAGTTCCCCCAAATATGAAGAATGTATTGAATATACCTGAGGGAAAAAACAAAACATGCCATACCTAGAACAGTTTTTTTCAAAATAAGGGTTATTTCAAAGTTGAATTATATAGGTTGTAAATAATGAGAAAAGCAATTGTTCTGAAAAATGTTGACGCTTTAGCCTTGGGTAGTCCCTTTTATCATCAATGACACTTTTAAAAAGATATGGCCAACCTCTGCAAGGTCTGAAGCCAGAATGAATGGGTGTCATCAATAAAGGGCTACAATGATTTCCACCCCCCACTTTTAATATCTAGTAATTCATTAGCGTGAATAGGATATTTACATTATCAATGCATTTATGTGTGCATATACAGCATCTTATTTCCTTGCTTTGAAGTTTAGGGTCTTTTTTTTTTTTTTTTCAAACCTGCTCTTAAAAGCCACACATGAAGCTCTAAAATCCTCTGGGCTTATGGCTATTGGCTGGCCAATTGCTCTCATATTATCAGGTGTCAAAGGCCTAGAACCAGATTGCTGGGCATGAGTCCCATGCAATTTCAGATGTAGGACACATTTCACTACAATATGTGTACAAAATCCAAGGAAGATCCAGATATTCTGCCATAGTCTCTGAGAAAGTACAACAGGAGGAAAGATAATACTCAGGACAGTGGATTTCATTAATGGCATACCTCCTTTAATATATCTTTTGTGATAGGAGCAAATACAAGGAATCACACATTTAAATCAGATTCCCCTTTCTAAATAGGATTTAATCACTGTGGTAAAGCTAGGTTCAGAGAAGTCAACTGTAAAATTCCTTGCTGTAATGGCTCATCTATAGAAAAATGCATAACCACTTTAACTCATTCCTCTCATTCTCCTTACACATCTGCATTTCCGGTTATTAAGTAATTAAAAATGTCCTTTTCCTATCTACACCTCGGTTAAAAGAAAAACAAAAATGGGGCATTGACTTGTATACACATGGACAGATAGAAACTTTCCAAAGCTAGGAATGGCAACTGAACACATAAAAGACATGCCAGTGAGCCATTCAGTTGGGATGCATCCTCCCCTTTATGAGAAATGCAAGAAAATAATGCCATAGAGGAAAGGTACCTGCTCCAAAGCAAAATAAATTAGCATGATAGAAACCACTGCATTATTCTATTTGTTGTTGCTGATGCTATTTGGCTTTTCCGTGTGGAAAAGGGATACTGCATCTTTCACTCAGCTCTTATCGTACAACCAGGCATGCTACACAAAGTTTTGAAGGACCTATGCAGTCGTCATGGCAGAAGGCCCCACAGCCTTTGCACACAATCATGGCTTTCAGCCGGCAAGAGCATTTCAGTTCCAATTCATCTGCATTGCTGCTGTCGGCAAAGTTCTGAACGGGCATCTGAGCGTTCTGACCAGACAAGCCTGTGGCAGGATTGGAGCCACTTCCCAAAATCCCAATGGACTTTTCAATTGCAGATGCTGCCCTTTTGAAACTCGTGCTACCAAAGTGTATTGTTGGATAATTTCCACAGAGCTGCTGTTGTTGCTGCACCTGCATTTTCTGAGCAGCTAATTGGGTAAAAGGCTTTTGTGGCTCAGAAAGCAAATAGGAAGAGAAATCTGCACTTTTTAGCGCGAATGCTTTTAACTGTTCTTTCATTTCATTCTGGTCATAGGAAACTTGTTTCATGCCCAGTTCACAGCTGCTGCTTAAACCTTCCTCAAAAGAAAGAGGTTCCGATTTTATATTGCTACATATGCCCGTGGACTGTGGCCAACTAAGTCTCTTAGTGGTTTCCATGGTAACTGGAGGTTGTTTTTGATCAGATGGGACTTCTGCATTAGGGAGAGGTGGAGGTAGCGGAGGTGGTGGGGGGGGAGGCGGGGGCAAAGCCAAGGGTGGAGGGGGAGGGGGAGGCGGTGGCGGCGGCGGATGTACTAGTGCTTTGTTTGGCATTGTGTGTGCAGTGCCTCCCACCTCATCACCTTCTTTCATGGGCATATTGGGGGATAACATGTTGGCTAACCTTAGCTGGTGAGGTGCTGAGGAAAGACTAACCTCTCCCAATCCCTTCTGTTCAAGATGCCTGTTGAAGGCAAATGCATTACACCCCACTGGGGTCTTGGAAGAGGCCTGTAACAGAGCTGCAGTAGGAATGGGGCCCCTGGCAGCCACAGGCATTTGGTAAAACTGCTGTCTGTGTGAGGTACCAGCGTCAGTGTGGAAGCCGCCATTCTTGTCAACATGAAATAGGTTCTGCTGGAAGCTACACGAGGGGAGCAGCCGCTTTTGCTGTTTGACCTCAGGGCTGTGAACAATTCTGTTCTGCATGGAGTGCTTGTTTAGCCATTCTTGCTTAAATGGCTGGCTGTGTCCTAGCTGACTGATGCCGGAACTGATGACACAAGGCACCCCTTTAACATCTGGCTCCACCAACAATTTTCCTGGTTCACATTTAACTTGAGTGTGTTCTCCTACAGTCCTAGCTACTCTCTTTTTGGGGTGGTTTTCTCGCTTTCTCATTTGGAGTGGTGCCAGAGTCCCTGCCAAGTAGCCCTTACCATCTGGATTTGGAGAGCTGGGCGGAATTTCAACGTTTCTCTCTGGTGCTGTTTTACCCACTGAGGTAGTTTGAAGAGGCAATGGAAGCCTGTTGATTTCAAGCTTGGCTCCCAATCTGGGCTGTGGCAACACTTTTTCCAAAGGCAGGTTGCCCTGTAGTAACTGCGTCACCAGCGGATTGTTAGCCTCCACAGAGGACAGACGACAGCCTGAGCTCCCTGCACCAGGGACTCTCTTCAGGGCATCGGTAGCCAAGGAAATAGCCTCTTCCATGGGACTTGAGGTGGAAGCTTTCATGTTCTGTGTTTGTTGTACACTAGAGGCTCCCTCTGCAGCCGGAGGAGGCAGCTCAGGGCCAGGGAAGTCTTCAGTGTCCATTCTAAAGCCCTTGTCTGCTTCGTGAAGTTCAGATTTCACAGGAAGAGCAACATTTGTTACAAGATTCCTGGGATGAAGTTCTGACACGTTCAAGTAGTTGGCATGTTCAGTTTTGATAGCCTTTGGACAGCTTTGCTCTAGATATTCTTTTTGTTTACTTGAACCCGAGTGAGTAACCAGAGGCTGTCCTGTGCTCCTCATCCCATCATCATTCCAGCAAATCCGGTTACTTGGGTTATACTGATTGCTACAGGTTGTGTCTGCTTCACTTTTGAAAGGAGCTGGGCCACGTGCCTGCTCAGCAAAGTTATGACTGGGAGCAGTCGGCTCATTTAATTTATCTGGAACAAGGGGTAATTCTCGGAGACTTGTGCAGGTGGCCGGCAATGTTTTACTGTCTTGTTTTGCTGCCGAAGCAGCAATGAAAGTGGAACTGTGATCTATACCTTCGTTGGCAACTGGCTCAGGCCTGCTAATCACAGACACCTGAGGACACGCCACGGGCTGTACGGATGCCTCTGTCCTCACTGGTCTGCCCTGCAGGTCCAAGCTGGCTTCTGAGCTTTCAACGGAGACAGTCAGAGACAAACTGGAGGTCAGCGTGGTGCTGTGGTCAACGATGACTTTACACGGAATTGATCGGTTTATGGCTGCTGGTGCAAAGCCCCCTGGTGGTTGCTGAGGTTTTCCAGAATTATCTGCCCTGTTTCGAGGCCCTGAATTTTTGTCCAAGCTTTCAGCACTTAACTTGGGAGGACTATCATAAGAGTTTATTGTCAGCATGTTTCCAGTAAACATTGCGACGGTCGGGTGTGCAACCAGAGAGTCTGTGACCGCTACAGAATCACTGCAGCTGAGGGCTGCTCTCACAGTGGTACCCATGGATACAGTGGCCTGTTCTTCACTCCCAGGTATGGCTATCTTCTCAGAAGGAAATCTGTTGTTAATTCCCATTGGGGGAATCAAGACAGAGCTAGTGGAGAGGTTTGGCAAATTGTTTCCGATGGAGGGAGTTGGCACAGAGGTGTACTGAGTGGAGACTAAGTTACTAGCACTGCTGCTTGATATTAGTAACTGCTTATCATCCATGGAGCTTGATATGCTGGAGCCCTCTGTAGTGGCTGAAATGGGAGTGCTTTCAATACATTTTGGTATAATGGCTATGCATGGAGTGTCAGTTCCCTGGATGGTTTTTAACATGCTTATATTACAAGCAGAAATTGTAGTGTTTGCACTGTCAACAGACATTAGGACAGAGGATTTATCAACAGAACTCACAAAGGGATGTTCTTTAATTGCTCCCGATATAGCAGTGCTGCAAACAGATACAGGGACAGAATTTTTATTAAAAAGCATGGGCACACTGCTATTTTCAGAAGAGGTAGATGAAACAATTTTCTCAGATAAATGTGACACAGGTATGTTTTCATCAGAACTATGCACAGATAAGTCAGTGGCAGTTTCTGGAAGTTTACTTGGGTTAAGAGACTGCTGTAGTACAGTGGTGGTCTCCCGGAGGTGGGCAGACTTGTTGCTAGGAGATCTACAGTTTGGATTGACAATAATGACACCAGTCGAACCTTCCATTTTTGTTTCAGGGGTAGAAGAGACTTCTAAGTTTGGAGGCCCTTCCTTTGAGCTGAGCGGAGGAGGCAACCGGGTCTCTTTAGAGGTCTGGAAGAGATGGGCTCGAGCTTGATGCTTTGCAAAGAGCTTAGCCTTTGTCTGCTCTTTGATGTGTGCCAGAGTTCTCGTCTTTCCACCCTCTCCTGGACTTCCCATGGCTCCAGAGACAATGCTCGCTGCAGCAGCCACAGCAGCAGCTGCAGCAGCCTCTCGCTGGGCCCGAGCTTGTTGGGCCCGGGCCTTGATATCTGCGAGGGTCCTGGCTCCTGTGTTCCTCCCGCCACTGACAGATGTGCTAGTGGATGCTCGAGACTCAGGTTTGGAGACTGGTTGGCTCTTGATTATAAAAGGTGGCCCAATTTTGGAAAGCTGAATCTAAAAGGAGGACAGAAAAAAAAATATAATGTGCTTCATACATGATCACAGAGGAGGCACGTAGAATGTGATAATGCAAGGGAAAAGACTAGCTGCATTCTCTCCTAATATGCCATGAACTACACCTAAATCCCTGGATGCACCCTTAGGGCATAAAGCAATAAGAAACGTAGTATGAATGGAAAAAATTAAGTTTTTAATCTGTTTTTTAATCTACAAAAACATCCATTGTAACTTCATTTGGCATGGAAATGAAGAATCTTCTTAATGCATCATACAAATGGATACAAAATTCATGCTTCTAGAAGTGTAGTAGGCTAAAAAGAAAGACTTCAAGATATTTAATTTTGAAATATCTTTTTTAGTGGCATAAAAAAGTGGAACTTCAACTCTATTTGAGTTTGTCTGTCTTAATTTGACCCAAAGAAAAAAGCCCTGACTGAGATATTGACAACTAGAATTCTCATTTTGACTTTACACAAAGGAACTTTGTGATCCTAGGCTAATCATTGTGTACCTCAGTTTCTCCAATAATCTCTCTGAGCCAAGAACTCTATGATTTTTATGCACTCCTATGCTACCTTGCATGCTGCTTTATACATATAAGAACACAAGAGAAGTTTGTAAACTCAGTTGTAAAATGGGACTAGTTATTTCTGATCTATTTCCTTCAAAGGGCTGTTTTAAAGATGGAATGAGACTACATTTGTCAGCGTGTTCTGTTTTCCAAAGGGATTGTATTATCATTGCATTTGCATAAAAGCAAGGGAAACTCTGATTTTCTGTCTCTAAAGGATTTATGCATTGGGCAGTTTCTTTTGATATTGGTAATCCACAATCTGCTGAATTTTGTAAACGTCCCAACCCATACTGTTTACCAATTCTTGGTAATTAAGAGACTCGCAGAGTCATCACCAAATTCATGAGGCACAAGGTCTAACAGCCAGCATTCCATAGCAAGGCTGTGTTGCTCTAGTCACTAAAAGCATTCTTAGTCATGGCTGTGTAGAGCTGGAAAGACTCTAGTTGACATCCCTCATTTCACAGTTGAGGAAACTGAGGCTGTGCAGGTAAAGTAGTTTGCCTTGGGATTATATAACTAGTGAGTGACTAGAGCCTTTGGACTTCCCATTTGGTGGTGTTTCCATGTATTCTGTTTCCTTTTTCTCCAGATTATACATATCAATTTAGAATTATGCTTTGGAACTTTGATGGATGAAATTGTCTTCCTGAGCTATCTTGTTTCTCATTTTCAAACTGCTTGTGAAGTCTCTGTTCTATTCCAAAGGCCAAAAAAAGAAAAGATAGTTTTGAGGAGAAGATTCAATTTGCTCTTTTAATATTTCTCCTATGTAAAAAATTAAACATATTTTAAATAAACTTAAATATCCTTAAGCAAGAGCTCTTAAGACCAAACATCAAATATTCTTGTAGTATTTACCTTTTTTTCACATCAGTGCTTAATTTATTAATTAATATGCTCAATAATATGGCAAGATAGTAACATCTTGCAAGATTCTAACATATCACAACCAGGATACTGACATTGATGCAATTAAGATTCAGAACATTTCCATGACTACAAATTTCCCTCATGTTGTTATCTATCTATCTTTACATAAAGTCCATATGACTTTGAAAATAAGCTTTTGACAGACTGGCATGTTTAAAAATATCTCCTATGGAAAGTTTATATTATTATTTCTATTGCTTCGGAAATTAAAATGCATAGTAAGTTTTTAATTGAACTTAATGCTCATCTTTTACACCTCTAGAATCTTGCTTACTAGAGACTGCTTTATTAAAAAGAGTAAGTACAACCATAATTTTAAAGTCAGCCTGTGGAGAACATGAGTCATACATAAAATGAAAATTTTGTAGATTTTATATCTACATATAAAGCATAATATTTTTAATTTAAAAAGCTTGAGATGTTTATAATTCTAGACCAATGCTATGATGGAATAATCCACTTTACTGTACAACAGTATAAATGCACTTAGATAAAAGCATCAAGTCAGTATAAGTGACAGAGAGCAGAAACTTAGAAAAAATTACACTGGGTTTATGGTGTAAGTTCTCTAAAGAACTTTTATAGAAAACTAAATTATCTTTCACATTTTCCCAGGTTTACATAGGTCTCTGTACTACACCTTGAAATCCCCATAAACCCAGGTGTCTCAGTGGCCTGGAGACATTTCCAGGCCCTATTCTCTCTCAATTCTTTTTCCTTTAATGCTGGGTCTAAACATATGCATGTATCTAAACTGCTTTTATGAATTCAGTACATAGTCATAAAGAGGATCATTTACTATTAGAGGATTAGATTATAAACTGCTGCATAAAACCTAGAAGGAAGAAAATCTAATTACTCTTGAAAAATTAGGCTTCTAAATAGGAAAAGCCTATCTACGGAATTGCCTTTTGTTTATTTAATACCATACCTTGAGAGGGGGAACCCTTGGTTCCTCTCTGGGAGGCTGTTCTTTCTCAGGTGGGCTGCTAGATGATATGTTCCGGGTTGACTGATCATCTTCTATCCTAGCTCTCTTTTCCTTACAGATTCCAAAGCTGTGTTGCTCTGCAGTTTTTCTCTTTGATATCTCTGAATCTCTACTTTCATTTCTTATCCCATCAGGTGACTTGGAGGGCTCTGATGACTTGGAAGTATGTGAGGTTTCTAACCGACTCTGTGTACTCCCTTGCTTATGTGTTTTATTTCTAGAGCCTTCTGAAAATGGAGCCTTATCCACTGATGAGATATATTGCTTGTCCTGTAATTTAGCAGATGGAAGCTCATTTCCCTTATTATCTGTCCCTTCAGAAAAGACAGATAATTCCAATGGTGAAGGTAACACTTTTTTTTCTGTTCTTTGCAGGACGCTATGATTTTTAACTTTTATCATTTCAGTAGAAGCAAGTTCTGGAATTGAAGCAGGGTAGGGCTTCTCAGTGTCAACATGTGATTTACAGGTTTGCTGACTCAGGGTCTTATTGTGCAAATCTTCAGACGGAAATGCTTCAGGAGCAATGGAAGAAGAACTCATTATGATGGGTTCGGGAGTATTAGACAGATTCTTCTGCTGGGAGGTAAGGTTCTCTCCCAGAGGTTTGGCAGTGGCGGAAGACTCATCTTTCTGCGGGGAGAGTGGCTCTTCAGATACAGAAGGTGACTTTCTTTGCTGATGTGCCATTCTCTCATTTATGGAAGAGTTGGAAATTGGAGATGTTTCTGAAGGAAGTGGCAAACTGGATACAAAAGTGGTCTCAGAGGTGAGAAGCATGGAAGACACTGAAGAAGTTTCTGATGTTAAAGGTAAGTCAGACATCGGTGAGGTTTCTGATGTTAAAGGTAAGTTGGATACTGGTGATGCTTCAGATGTTAATGGTAAGTTGGACATAAGAGATGCTTCTGATATTTCAGGTGAAGTGGATATTGGAGATATTTCTGACATCAAAGATGCATGAAAGTTTTCATCAGTGGAATTTCTCTGGTTGTATTTGTCTGTATTTTCAGTGCTAGATACCTCAGAACAAAATGTTGTCTCAAGGGAGGCTGGAGTACATGATTCTTCTGATGTGGACTGTGTTTCCCCTCCTGGAGAAGGCAGGCTGGTACAGGCTCCCTCTGGGCTCTCAGAAGAAAAGGACGTTTCAGAGATGCAGGCATTTTCTGAAAGCTGTTCTTCAGGGTCACTCTGTAGCTCCATATCTATAGCAATTCCTTCATTTGGAAACTGGCCTTCTAGAGAAGATGACCCTGTTTTTATTTTGGGGGTACTGGTCTCTACTGCAGTTTCTGACTCCTTATGTTCTGTGTCACTGACATGAGTCATAGATGAAGTGGAAGGAATAAGAGAGTCACAGACTTCTAACTGATCGATAACAACTGTCATTTCTTCCTGGGGTGATTCTGACTTCCCTTCTATCTTAACTTCAATATGAGGCAAAGTTTCTAAAACATCATTCATCATAACACAGGATTCCAAGTTATCTTCAGGAGGTGCTATTTGGGGTTCTTCATGAGAATTGGTTAGACTTTCAGCCTCCTCAGAAAATTCAGGTATTGTCTTATGATTTTCATCCTGGCATTCACAGATACTAGTCTCTACCTCTTCTGCAATTTCCTCCTGAATTACAGATTCTTCAGGGATCAAGATATCCTCTGACTCCAATTCTGCCATTATATCTTTAGGTGGAATTTCTACCATAGGGCAAAGAGTAGCACAGAAACCAGGCTCTGGAGAAGCTGGGCTTTTCATGCTTTTTGGCTGTTGTTCTGCCAAGGCTGTCTGTGCAGAAACTGGAAGGCCAGAAGTCCCACATGAAGAACTACTTTGAGCTCCAGCGTTGTTTGGTCCAGTAGTGAGCTTCACAGATTCCTCTCTTGACATGCCCAGCCTGTACAGAAATTAGAAATAAATTATTGCTCAACCACAAAACATAAAAGGTACAACTGGGATCTCTCATGAATGTAGTATTCAATAGAAGTAAATGCATCAAATTACATTTATAATCATTAACATGCTTAATTTATGTAAACCAGTTTACAATGATGATGTTTCTTTGCTGCTTTTATAATCTCAACTAATACTCTGCTTTTGGTTAAGAACAGTCTAGATTTTTATTTTGTAAAGCAAGGAGATAGGAGCCTTACCAAGTGTTAGTAAAGGAATATGAAAATTACATACAACAAAGTATTAGAAAATATTTATAATCACTAACATGCTTAATTTATGTAAACCAGTTTATAATGATGATGCTTCTTTGCTGCTTTTATAATCTCAACTAAAACTCTACTGCTGGTTAAGAACAGTCTAGATTTTTATTTTGTAAAGTAAGGAGATACGAGCCTTACCAAGTGTTAATAAAGGAATAAGAAAATTACATACAACAAAGTATTAGAAAATATGAGCAGAAAAGCAAAATAACGTATAAAATATATATTTTTTAAATCTGCAAGTAGAAAGATGCTCTTATAATAGAAAATTATATAGTTTTCAGAGGATGTAAGAAAACCAAGAAATTAAGATGAACGGAAGATGAATGAAATTCATCAAATTCTGAAATTGAAATGAGTTCCAAAGATTGGTTTTTGTAAACTAATCTAAGAAGTATTACTCAATCACCTTATTTTGGCATCTAACTGTCTAACCTAAGACAACATGCAAATTTCATTAAAGAATAACAGAACATATTTGGGGTTATCAAAGTTATTCTACCAGCTTACATTTGTGTGAAGCAAGACTTTTAAATTCTTTTATGCAGATCTCTTACTGTAAAGATATTCCATACGTGATAGGTACAGAAAATCAAGAAATAATTGAGCATGATGTTCAGGTCTTAAGGCAAATCTAATCAGAGTTACAATCAAGGGTACTGTAAATCACTGTTTTCTATCATATAATTTACACTGTCAGCATCAGATGGTAGAGAAATATGCTGCTCTAAATGAAGTTAAATTAGCGTAAAGGCAATGAGAAAGATAAGCAGGAGAGAGAACATTTCTAGAGGAAAAAGAACATTTAAGTGAAGAAATATAGTCATGGTAACATTGATGCAAACAATACCTCAGTGAAAACCACTTTAACCTTTGCTTTTTAAAAATCCTCAATGTGAAAGGGAAATAATGTTGAATACAGTTTTTGGGTATTTGGCCATAGCCTTCTTTATTTAAATTCAGAAATCTCTGAAAAGGTAGAAAATACTGCCTTCATACATATTCTCTTTCCTTTCAATGTTCTCTAAGATGAATTCAAACTAAGCTACAATTTATAACTATACTATACTGAGAGTATCAGAAAAACAACATTACAGATAAATTTAAAGCAGAATAATCTGCAAGAAATACGGTTCCTTGGGACTAGGTCAAGCAGAGGTACCACTGATACTAGAATAAGTATGTAACATTCAGAAATCTATCCACTGGCAGCCAAATTTCTGCTAGTTGGTTAATAATATTATTAAATATACATATAGGTAAGTGTATATGTACAACAGCACTGTATAAAATATACCCATGTCAACATTTTCTTATTTTCACGGAAAAATAGATTTAAGATTGCATAAGGCATAGGAGGAAGATGTTCACAGTTCCCCATACTACGCAAAGGAAAACCCTGGCCTCCAGAAATCTAGACACAAGTTCACAAGCCAAGCCCTGTAATACTTGGCATTTATACAAGTGATGTAAACCAAATATACAATAATATATTACAAAGAGATTAGGCAAGTGAGAATCATAATAAATATCTAAAAAAATTGAAAACTAAATCAGACAGATCTTAACTGCACACTAGTATGAATGTTTAGACACATTTTTGAAAAAGCGTACAGCAATGAAAAGGCACGTGGTGTCAGTCAACTAAAAACTGGCTGGTGGTGGGGGAATAAAGGTAACCTGGGGGCAACAAAGAAGGGCAGTCAATGAAATGTTCAAAATGTATCTGCCATGCAACATGTGATGAAAGATAAAAAAGATCAAGAGAAAAGTCCAGTGATGTGAGAGCACAAAAGCTACTGATAAACTACAGCAAAAAAAAGGGCTAAGTAGAAGCATGCTTTGTATTCAGAGCTTGGTGACGGCAATGAGGGGGTCATGTTTATTTATAATATCATAGCTGTCATCTTCTAGGGAAGGGGCCCTAGATCTGATATCCAAGGGAATCTGGAAAGCCCCTAAGTTTCATGCAAAAATTGTGCATGTATGTGAATTTTTCTGAGAAGGATTTGCAGGATTAAGACCCCAAGCAAGTTATTTAATAACCTCACGGTTATAAACCTGGGGAAATTACTTAGCTTCACTTTCCCTCAGCTTCCTAAGTTAAAAAAATTATGAATAATGGTATCCATCTTATGGAATTGTTGGGAGGATTAAATGAAATATTTGCAAAGCTCTTAGAAACACATCAGAGCCAGTGTATACTCAATGATTATTTTTTGCATGAAAGAAAGCTCTCTGTAATGTAGGTCCCTTGAACTGAGGCTCTCTGGGAGCAGAGCTTAGGTAGTCCTACAAACAGTTGCATCCCTGGCATCCAAGAGAGTGTCTGGCACAGAGGAGATGTTAGATAAATACATTAAATTAATAAAAGAATGGGTCTATCACTAAAAAATTAAGAACCAATGCTTTGGAGGTACTATCTCAGTTATGCTTCTGCCATTACTAAAAAGAGAGCTCCCCGCATTTTCTTTCATAGGCAAAAGCAGAGGGAAGAAGGCTCCTAAGTGGTCTTTAATCTTATCCTCCAGGGTTCTTAATCCTGCTGGGCATCAGCATGACCTGGAAAGCTTCCAAAACACAGACTCCTGGGCTCAACTCCTAGATTTTGATGCAGCCAGGCTTGAGTGATATTGTTGGTGACTTCATGTGAAGACATATAACAACTAGCTTGTCACATTTTTAATCTTTGAGAAAAGACATTAATTATCTTTATTTGGTTTTGCTTAAAAATATATATATCCTGGCACAGCAATTAAAAACAGGCCTTCCTACTCAAAAGGACTGCCATTTAGGACAATTCATGAAGGGTAGCATACTCTGAGCACCCTATTCCAAGCAGTCTGTTAATTATCTAATTTCTTTACATGAAGAGCTCTCACGTGAGACTCCTTCTGGCATGTCTTTCTTTTCCCCATTTACAAGTGTAATTTTGTGAAATGAGATCACATGACATAGGTCTTGTTACCTGCAACCATCTGTGTCCTTTACACAAAATAACAACTTTCAAGTATTGGTTTGTATGTGGGAGTTGGAGCATAAGTTCCTCTAAGGGGGATCTGAAGTGACCGTCAATAGTAAGTTCTTAAACCCCTCCTTTTTTAGGGATCTGATTGTCTAAGACACTAATATTGCCAAAGCAGAATGTGTCTCTGTTAAACCTGAGGCAAAGGTGAAACTGCTTTCAGGGTTAGTTCATTTGCTACCACGCTATGATGTAAACGCTCATGTCACTTAAAAAAAGCAGCACACATACAGATAATAAAGACAGATGACATTTGAAGAGGAAGATAAAGCAAAAGATAACATTTCAGGCTCTCCCCAAAAGAAGGACTAAACAAAGATTAAAATGCATTAGACACAGTCAATATTTTTAGAAAAGTGTGAGAATTAAATACATGACTAAAATTATTTATCTATAAAGCATTAATTCATGAACATACTTGAAAACAGGATAATTTTACTCAAATCTATTAAGAAATTCAAAAGTGACTACTTTAAGATTTCATGTGCTATTTTCAGCCCAAAATAAAATTTCATGAACAAGTTATAAACCCTTGAAAATGCATTTTTTAAAAATTTGAGTGCTGATATCCCACTATAATTTCATCTGCAATTTCTTACACTGAGGGACTATTGCCTTTTATCACAGGTTTATTAAGTTTTACAGCATATGAGTGTGCTATGTGAAGCAGAGAATTACATTTTCATTTCTTTCTCAGAGAAATGAGAAAAAATACTCTAGTACTTACTTTTCTCCATAAAACCTCTCAAAGAATTTTTCTTTCCAAGGTTCTGTTTTCTTTTCCTTCTCAATTTCTTGCCTTATCCGCAACTGCATTTCTGGGGTAAACTCTCCTAAAAAGAAAATGCTAATGTATTGAATAAATGTGGTCACATCTTTTGCTAATTAATAAAGAAAACATGTAATTCATTTGAGTAAACTTTTATGGATCTTGAAAAGTACAAGGACAAATAATGATAACATTTCTACATCTTCTCTTTTTATGAACATCACTCAAGATGTTCATAAAAATGCTAAAGCTAAATGCTTTAGAAGAATGCTAAAGCTAAATGCTTTAGAAGAATGCTAAAGCTAAATGCTTTAGAAGAATGCTAAAGCATTTAGCAAATGTATTACCTGCTAGGGGCTACAAATAAAAGAGCGTATATTCACTGTCCTTAAGGAAATCAGTCTGCTGGAAATAGACTATAATACAATGTATGAAGCCCTGTATAAGCCATAATAATAAATGTAGTGAAATATAGAAAGTAAAGCGCTTAATTCTGCCTAGGTCGATTAAGGAGGACCACATATAGGAGCTGATTCTTGAGTTAGATTTTGAAGGTTGCTCAGGCTTTTATAAAGTAATTAAATCACAAGGCACAGAGATACAAATCCATATGTTTATGATCTTTTGAGTGGCCAATTGTGAGTAAAACAGCAAGAAATAAAATGGGAAATAAAAGCTGAGGCCAATTACCCAATAGATGTTCTAAAGAAACTTCTTCATTTTTCTATGAGAGACAGAGGGAGGTTCTGGTGGCATTCAGTGTGGAGGGAATATGGCCAAATAAGCTGTGTAGAAAAACAGGTCTGACAACAGAGTGAAGTAATTGGAGGACTGCAGTTATAGGACTGCTGAATACCACACAGGAAAGGTGGAGATTACAGCTGGGCCAGTAGCAACAGGATGCTGAAGAGGGGTCAAGTACAAGTAACAGTTCATGACCAGATAGGTGTGGAGAAAAGGAAGAGGGTCAAAGACATCAGTAAGGTTTTAAACTGAGGAACTATGAGGACAGTTGTGACATTACAGAAATAGAGGAAACAGAAGAAGGAGTTGAGAGGGAAGAGAAGCTCGTGAATTTAATATTAGGCATTTTGGTTAAAAGTGCCTGTTATTAGCTAGTGAGATCTGCTAAGCATTTGAAAATAAAACACTGGGGAAGGAGTAGGGGGATTAGGCAAGGGGGTGAAAGCCAGATTTGAAAATTCTTGGCACGCTGGCAATAGCTAAAACCAAGGTGGTGAATGAGGCAGCTTAGGGAATACTATGATTAGAAAATAAAATGCTGGAGGCATCAGATGGAAGAATAGGAGATCCTGATGAAAGCTGAGCAAGGGCTGGCAGAAACGTAGCCCAAGAAAAATAATTTATAATCTGTTTTTAAAATCTAACGTAGATGGTTTCAAGTCGGATGGGGTGAAAAAACAAATGAGATATTGGTGAAGGAACTTGAAATGTAAGGGCTGAGAACAGAAAATTGGAATTTGCCATCAGTAATTTTTTTTTTTTTTTTTTTGAGACAGGGTGTCACTCTGTTGCCTTGGCTAGAGTGCAGTAGCATGATCAGTAGGTCGATCACTGCAGCCTTGACCTCCTGAGCCCCGGTGATCCATCCACTTTAGACTCCCTAGTTGCTGAAGACTATAGGTATGCACCACCATGCCTGGCTGATTTTTGTATTTTTTGTAGACATGGAGTTTCACCATGTTGCTTAGGCTGGTCTTCACTCCTGAGCTCAAGCGATCTGCCTGCCTAGGCCTCCCAGAGTCCTGGGATAACAGGCCAGTGAGCCACCACGCCTGGCTAGTATTCTTCTCTAGGAGGAATATTTCAGTTGTGTAGAGTGGGCCCATCCCTGACTATAAAGTTTGAGTGTGTAAAGAGGAAAAATACAGTAGCATTGGGCATTCTGTAGTCTTTCAAGAAACTTGGTGATTAAAGGAAGGATAAGGTGAAGCAGTAACTTCCGCGGAAGAGAGCGTTAAAAGAAGTTTCTTTAGGTGCCAGGATGCTTAAGAGAATGCATAATGGATCAAACAATGTCATTAAAATTACCATCCGCAAGAAAATGTTGCTGCATCAAAAATTTTATGATGTCCAAGATAAAATTATGCTTTCTTCAAAAATATCTGACATCAATAATGTCAAGTATAACAAAAGAATCAGTGAACTCATTTGGAAAGGGATATGAGTTTTTACTAAATTAAAGTGTACTGTGTCGGGGAAAAGACTGAAAAATCAGAGAAAGGTACAAGCTCAGTACGGTATGTGTACTCCAATATGTCACATAATAATAGAAAATACAAATTTACCTTCTGCCAGTCGCTGTTTCCACCCTTGTGCTGCATATGCAAAGAATTCATTATTTAGAGCTGAAGTACTGAGGCGTAAAATTCCATCACTTCCCATCTAGGAAAATAAGCCGACAAAAACAAGGTTCCATCAGGAATAAGTCAAAGCAAAAGTATGCAGGAAAGAAGCAAAAATTGAGTGGTGTTGGGCAGTGTATGTGTGAGGAGGAGGAAGGGGGAAGGAGACAGAGAAAGGAGAAGGGAGAGAGAGAGCAGGAGCTCCAGCGAGAGCATGTGCAGGGTAGGAGGCGGAGAGGAAAGGGACCCAACAAAAGATTGGTCTCCTGGGATGAATACTAGGAGTTTAGATGTATGCATTGTGCTTGCTGATGTGTAGGAGACAGAAATAATTAGTGTTCTCCTTGGCTGGCTTCTTATGTAGTTGGTGAGTGAATTTAAAACATATAACAAGTTAAACAATGTCAAGCATTAGGTGAGTGAGAATTAAGAAGTTCAAAATGTAAAAGCTCGGAGAATATATGTATGTGGACATGAGAGTGTAGGAAGAACCTGATGCAGCCGCATGAGAGTCTAAGAGGATCCAGACAGAATGGTTAGAGATAAAAGCATAAGGTATACTGTCAACGAGCATGAGCATTACTGTAGAAGCAGAACATAATGAACTATCAGTAACTGGGGCATTTATGAAGGTGTGAAGATGCTTTCACCTGGTACTAAAAGGCCTGGCAAACTGTAACCCCAACTAGATCTTCAAAGATTTCCTGTTACTTCCACATATAGAATTCATATATCCTAAGCACTAATTATAATTACCTGAAAACACACTTTTAGAGATTTCTTATCCTCACTTTTTTGTTTGTTTTTGATCTTTTCTACACTCCATTTTCACCTATTGAAATACTATCACTCTTCTAAAATTTAACTCAAATAATGCCTTCATGCATGTTTCAGTTCAATCATCATTCAGGAGCAAAGGAGAATATTGAACATAAAGAACAAGTATATTATCTTAAGCTGGATAATGTCTAATCAAAGCCAGCAAAGAGAGACACTGAGAACAAATGCAAGATAAGCTTATTGTTGACGCTGTGACATTTATAGGGAGGCCACAGATTCGAGATCATGAGGGTCTTCATTTAAGATGGCACTGGTAACCACACTAAAATATTCAATACATTTGAAAATTTTCAGGCAGGATTTCATTTATTAATTGATTTATTGTTTACTCATGCTCAATTATTTCATCTTATTCAACAGATACTTGTTAAGCCACTCATATGAACCTATGTGCAGGGCACTTGTATGGGTGCTGGAAATTCACTGGCAATAAAGAAAAATCCTCTGTATTTATATTCTGAATATATTCTACATAGAACAAATACTTTTGGTCCTTGTACGTGCTTTTCACCCGCCTGGGTTCAGCATGACTGATGTACAGTTACATCACCATGCCAATGTCCCACCTCATAGGTTTACCAAAGCCCTGATATATGAATGAATGTCTCAGCTTCCCCATCTTTTGACTGGATAACTCTAGGACACTATCCTCTGCAGTGTGGTTTATGCACTCAACCAAATGGATGCTGTTTGGTGCTATGTTCCCAATGGCTAGGCTACATGGATCTGGGAACTAAGGGGCAGAATGAAAGAACCTTTGCACTATCATTCCCAAACAACCACTTGCAGACTGCATGCATTCTGTCCCCATAGCTCTAGTCTCTGTGGGATTAGAAGTCCAGGTTCCCAGCGGTGAATCACTTCTATTAGAGCAGGGTTTCTCAAGATTGGCACTCTTGTCATTTGGGGCCAGATAATTCTTTTTAGTGGGGGCATGTCCTGTGTAATGTCGGATGTTTGGCACCATCCCTGAACTCTACCCAGTAGATCCCAGGAGCAACTCCCTATCAATTTGACAACAAAAAACATCTCCAAACATGGCCAAATGTCCTGTGGAGGCAAAATCATCCCTAGTTGAGAACAACTGCACTAGTGGACAATGTAAGGGACCCACTGTAGCCAAAGCTTTGTCTGGTTACTTTGTATTATTCATTCTGTTGGACCAGTAGGCAAAGAAAGGAGACAGATAGGATAATCAATCAGCCCTAACCATCATGAGGAAATAAGACTGCTGCAATAGGGAAGGGATGGACAGAAGGGTGTTGGGAACGCTGGGGATTCCCTGGGACATCTCTTGGTGTTATTCATGCCTGGTGATTGACATCCTGACAGGGCAAGACAACCAATGGCTCAAACTCCTCAGGGATGGCGGTCTGGGCCACTTCTAGTAGAAGTGCCGACTAAGAGTGAGAAAATCAGAAATGAGTAATGAAGGAGGGAGATGATGAGCTACAACATCCTTAAAACCAGCTTGAGACTGGCACAGCCTATAGCTGATCCACTAAGCTTCTGGTCATAAGTCTTGTTATTTTCATTTTTTCCTTCTTTCCAATACATTAATATTATGACCAGTTACTTTTTAAAGAGTTAAAGACAGAGGGAGCTTAACGTGAAGCACAAGATCTGAGTGGTACAAGAGGAAGTCTACACCAAACATTTCTGATACTCCACTTTATATCATCTTGGCTACATGAGTACAGAGCAAACAGGGTAAACAGTTGAATCCACTTAGTTCCAACATAAGTCTATAACACTCTAAGACTTTCTCTGAAGCAAAAAGAGCTTCAAGTTCCCCTGCAGGTACAGCCTGGAGATGCAGAGTTTGTCTCTGGGCGCAACTCCCAGTTCATGAGAGACAACAGACTGTAGAAAAATGCTTCACTCTCCTGCTGTCCTCCTGTGGAACAGTTCTGTGGCTCATTCTACACATTTTCTCCAATAAATGAGCGACAGTTGTCCAAAGGGCTTCTCTCTTCCCTGTCTCACCCTATTTAACCCCTGGCTTTGGCTTTAAAATGACCTGTCCTACAGTTCTTGTTCCAGGCCCTGTTTCGGGAGGAAAGAGCTGAGGAGGTTCCTAAGACAGACACCAAACCTAAAGAGCTTGGGCTTCATGCTCTACATGGGAGCAGCCCAGTAAATGTACCATAGGCCCCAGGTTAGTGGCCTCCAGGTCCAAGTTTCCCCCTCAGTTTACTCATGCATATGTATTACCTTTTTCAATATAAGCCATGATGGTGGAAAGTTGTGAAGCACCACTCTAGGTAGTGGGAAACGTATCAAATTTTTGAAGCCAAGGAAAAAACCTAAAAGGTATGTGCTTAAAAAGATGACTTTGGTAGCTGTGTAACAGAAGAGAGAAGGAAAAATGAAACTGAGACATTGCTAGAAAGGGTATCGGAGTATTTCAGTAAAAGGCAACAAAAGAAAGACAAATCTGAGATATATTTATGACTGGGTGAAGGTCTTCAGGATTAAGAAGGTAAAGTCATTGGGAGAACATTTCAGGAGACATTAAAGTTGCTCAGGATGATTCTGGGAGATGGGGGTGGATGAAATGATGGCCAACCTTGAGTGTAAGTCTTTAAGAAATGTTATTAAGGAGTTTTGGTAAAGACAATAAGGATGAGGACAAGATAGTCATATAAATGATATACCTCTATGAAATCTGAAATTTTTCTACAAATATTAACTTTGAATATATGTCCTTGTGATTCCAGCAGCCTTGAGAAAATGGCAACTCAATTTAGAAAGATTAAAAGGGAAAAGGTATTCATATTGTACAGATAGATTTCAATTAGGACTAATAGGTGGAAGGCAAGTTCTCTGAAGAGGTAGAAAGAGTTACTCATTGTGGAGTACATGTATAGAAGACACAGTGGATTAGAATTATTGTGCATTTGAGGACTTAGATTTTGTCTTATAAACTTTTATAGTCGGTGTAACACTTAGCATCTTGCAGATGGTAAATAAAAGTTTATTGTACTGCCCTTGCTTTGAGTAGTGAAGGATTTAAAATTTAACTCCAGTAGCTGATATACAGAAGTTTAGTTCCATATATCCTACCAAGCCAGGGGCATGATTAGTTAGTAATTAAAATTTCAGCATAATTTTAAGACACAAATAAATACCAGATCCAGATTAGCTCTGACAGATTCTCGAGATCTCAGCACATGGAAATGCAAGGCAGTGTGACATAAACACATTCAAGAATATGAAAGCTAGCCCTGGAGGAAAATATTTTTATTTTAAAACAGAAAAATAATTTTAACTGCCAGATCCCCAGGCTGTAACAGACAGTAAAATTAAATACTAGTGCTGAATTTGATTTAGGAAATAAATGCCAATAAAGTGTTTTAAATACACGATTAATTTTATGGGTTTTAAGAAATACTGTACAAAAGATATATTTGAATGAACTGGAACAATAAACATTTCTGAAAGATTTATTTATTCCTAAGTTAGTTACAATGTGTTTTCCTGATTAGCCAAAATAGAAATGTTCATTCCCAAAATCACCTGTCTTATAATGAAGTATCTAACTATTGATAAGTTATAGTTCCTATTTCATTAGGAGGAGAAAAACTCTGATCATAATCTTTGTTCCAAAGGAAAATAAACACTAATAAAGAAAACTTACTCACATAGAGATACTTTTATAAAGGTTTATACTCTTTCTTGGTAAGTATATCATTTGTCTTTGGTATGGATCCTATTAACATACATTTTAAGGAATGGGTGCCAACTGGAATTCAAAGGTTTAAATAAACTTTCCTCCTTGCATATCATACAATGTTTGAAGAAGAATGAATGTTAATTCAGTGCAATAATATATTTACATTTAATAATAATCCTTTAAACCTCTATTTTCTAAACCACTTTTTTCTTATTTTGTGTTTCTTACAAGTGATTCTAACTGCATGGTATGAGAGTTGCTGAGAACAGTGAGTGCTGGAGTTAGAAAGTGGCTAAATAATAACGGTGCACCGAGAAATACTAAGCAATCTAGATTTCATTCTACAGACAACGAGGAGTCATTCAAAGTAAAGCCAAAACATGAAGAAAATATTCACATTGAGTATGTGCGGGGAAGATGATTGCGGCTCTAAATAGGGTATCAGGATGAGCCTCTCTAATAGAATTAATAAGAGACATTTGAGCAGAAAGAAATGCAAAAGCAAGCCACACAGCTAGCTGGGAAACAGCCAAGCGAAGAGAATATAAATGCAAAGGCCCTCAGGTGGGGCTTGCACAGAGGCCCTTGGAGCTAGAGAGCAGAAAGTGGAAGGAAGAGGAGCGGAGGGGACAGGATCACACTGGGCCTTGTCACCCACTATACAGACTGCCTTCTCCCTTGAGGGGGCTGGAAAGCCTTTGGAGGGTGTTGGTCCAAAGAATGATAAGAGCTGACATTTCCAAAGGGTAGCTCTGACTGCTGTGTTTAGAAAAATATTTAGAGTACTGCTGTCTAATAGTATAAAGGTGAGTCACATATGTGATTTCAATTTTTCTACTAATCATGCTGGAAAAAATAAAAGAAACATGTAATTAATTTCAATAATGCATTTTCTTAATCCAAACTATCGAAAATATTATTTCAACATATATTCAATATAAAATATTGTTAATGAGATATTTTACATTCTCTTTGAATATGAATTCTTCAATATCCAGTGGATCTTTTTAATAGCACATCTCATTTCATATTCTAGTGAGCCGTATTTCTAGTTCTCAAAAGCCTCAAGTGGCTAGTGGCTATTGTACTAGACAGCATAGCTTTAGCAGATAAAGATCTACCAGGAACACTAGTATATAGGGTTTACAATAATCCAGGAAAAAAATGATAGTAGCTTGGACTGGGATAACCGCACTGGAGGCAGCGTGAAATGGTTAGGTTCTGATTACATCCTGAAGGTTGAGCCAGCATAATTTGATGATAGATTAAATGTGTGGTATGAAAGAGGGCAGGCAAGGCTGATATCAAGAATTTTTGGACTTAGGAATGAAACGTAGAAAACTGCTAATTAGTTTTTAAAAGACAAGACTATAGGCAGAGGAGGTTTGTTTTAGCACTACATCAGGTTGAGATGCTGATTATAATTCCCAGTAGATGTCTTCCATATGTTACTCCTACTGCAGTGTAGAGGATGCCCTGGACAAAGGCAAGACTAAGACAGGGATTTCTGTTAACTAGCATCAAGAGCAAGCGGAACCAATGATGAAAAGTCTTAAGATTGTTCAGGTAGAGGAAACAGAGAGGAAGGAGAATATTCAAGATAAGTATACAAACCAGAATTGATGGCACTGAGTGATCACTGGGGCTGAGAAAGATGAGACAAAAAGATGTGGAAGATGCTTCCCAGGAATAAGGCTTGCTAACTGAGTACATGCTGGCACCAAACATCAGAACAGGAAAAGGCACAAGAGGGAAACAGTATTTAGAAACAAGAAATGAAGGCTTTGGATATGTTGATGTAAGGATATCTTGATGGCATCCAAATAAAGATGTCTAGTCAGTAACTGAGAATAGGGCAAGATGCTCAATGGTAAATATTGTTTTCAAATAGGAATGATTAGCAAATAAAGTGTAGTTGGAAACATGGGTATAGATGAGAACATTGGAAGAATATTTACCAAAAGAGAAGGTGGCTTAAAGCAGAGTCCTGAGGAATACTAATGTAACAGGAATGAGGAGGTAAAGTAGATCCTGTTAGGAAGACTAAGCAAAAGTAGAAAGAGGTAGGAAGAAAATCGGAGCAAGTGGCATCATATTGATAGGTGTAAGGGAAGAATGTGTTTGCAGAAGGTGATCTGTATTGTGGATGTGCTAATATCTATCAAGCCTTTTAGCATTACTAAGGTAAACAGTGTGTGCAGTATAGTACATTAGCTGTTGTGTCCAATACAAAAATCAATAGGATCTTTAGAGCAAAGACAACCCAGACAGTGAGACACTAATCAGGAGTCTAATACAATACAAAAGAGCAATGAGCATATGAACCATCATATGCTGTTATCATTGAGCCACTTATACCCTGCATGATCAAGCACCCAGTGCCCTTGTAGTCTACATCCCAGTACGAATAAAAGCCAGAGTATTGACTCTCTTTAAAAGGTAAATTTTAATTTTTTCCTTACCACTAAGTATAATTCAGATGGCCCAGGAGACTCTATAGACATGCTCAAGATTTATCCACAAGGGAAAATATTATTCTTTAGAATAACATAAAGATAGGCATAAAAATGAAAGAAGGCTGTTAAAAGGGATGGATTCCCTAAAGGAGATAGATCAGCAATATGCCAAAGACAATTTTGCAAATAACTTTTCAAAGATATTTCCAAAATTGCAGTAAGACAATATTACCAAAATTGTGTTTTGCAAAATAGGTATTTTAATAGGTAAATCCATCTAAAAGAAATGCAGTCTTCCATACAATAAATATAGCCTGACTGTATTAAATATGGTTAAGTAGTTTCATTTACTGTATTATCTAATATGCTAAAATTTATTTTAAATTCTGAAGAATAAATTATACAGTATTTCCCACACTTTTATACTTTATAATCCTCTCACAGAACAACCATCAGTATCTCATAGAACAACTATTCCCCAGAATAGTTTGGGAACTGATGCATTAAGAGTTGTAAAAGTATCACTGACAGAAACAGCCACATGTGATAAGCATGAGACAATGAATTTCCCCATGCTAGAGACTATATTCCTCTTTAACAAATGAATATAAGTTTCTAAGATCTGAAAATGGGACAATTTTGAGAATATTGTGAGAACCAAGTATTCAGAATAAATAGTGACAAAATATTAAAGATGATGTAATAAACTTTAACCTACAAGCTTGAACAACCTCAAGTTCAAAGCCACTGAAGGAAACAATTCTTTGCAACCACTGTCAAAAAAGTCCTAATATATATAATAATTTTTTAAATATTGTGATTATAATGCTGTAATCAAGACTCTATCTAGTCATATGAGGACTCAATAAAAAATGTTATACAGGCATATCACAAAGACATTGCAAATTCAGTTCCAAACTACGACAATAAAGTGAATGTTGCAAAAAAGTAAGTCACATAAACGTTTTGGTTTCCCAGTACATATAAAAGCTATCACTATACTGTAGTCTATTAACTGTACAATAGCATTATGCTAAAAATCAATTTACATACCTTAATTAAAAATACGTTATTACTTAAAATGATAACAGTAATCTGAGCTTTCAGTGAGTCATAATCTTTTTGCTGACGGAGGGTCTTGCATGGATGTTGATGGCTGCTGACTGATCAGGGTGGCTGGTGGCTGCTGAAGGCTGGAATGGCTATGATAATTGCTTAAAATAAGCTGACAATAAAATTTGCTGCATTAGTTGACTCTTCCTTTCCCAAAAAACTTATCTGTAGCATGTGATGCTGTTTGATAGCATTTTGCCCATAGCAGAACGTCTTTCAAAATTGGAGTCAATTCTCTTAAACTCTGCCGCTGCTTTATCAACTAAGCTTATGGAATATTCGAAGTCCTTTGTTTTTACTTCAACGATGTTCACAGCTATCTTAACCCAGAGTCAATTTCATCTCAAGAAACCACTTTCTTTGCACATAAGAAGCAACCCCTCACTTGTGAAAGTTTCATCCTAAGATGGCAACAACTCAGTCACATCTTCAGGCTCTACTTCTAATTCTAGTTCTCTTGCTATTTGCACCACATCTGCAGTGACTTCCTCCACTGAAGTCTTGAACTCCTCAAAGTCATCTATAAGTATCAGAATCAACTTCTTTCAAAGTCCTGTTAATGTTGCTATTTTGACCTCCTCCCACGAATCACAAATGTTCTTAATGGCATCCAGAATGGTGAATTCTTTCCAAAAGACTTTCAATTCACCTTGCTCAGAACCATCAGAGGAATCACTACCTATGGCAGCCACAGCCTTAGAAAATGCATTTCTTAAATAATAAGACTTGAAAGTCAAAATTACTCCTTGATCCATATGCTGCAGAATAGGTATTGCATTAGTAATATGAAAACATTATTCTCTTTTTACATCTCTGTCAGCTTCTTCAGTGACCCCACTGCATTGTCAATGAGCAGTAATATTTTGAAAAGAATATTTTTTCTGAGCAGTAAGTCTCAACAGCGGACTTAAAATATTCAGTAAGCCATGTTGTAAACAGATGTGCTGTCACTCAGGCTTTACTGTTCCATTTACAGAGCAAAGGCAGAATAGATTTAGCATAATTCTTAAGGGCTGTAGGATTTTTGGAATGGCAAATGAGCACTGGTTTCCACTTAAAGCCACCAGCTGCATTAGCACCTAACAGAAGGGTAAGCCTATCCTTTCAAGCCAGGCATTGACTTCTCCTCTCTAGCTATAAAAGCCCAATGGCATCTTTTTCCAATTTCATCTACATTGAAAATCTGTTGTTTAACATAGCCACCTTCATCAATAATCTTAGCTAGGTCTTCTGAATAACTTGCTGTGGCTTCTACATCAGCCACTGCCGTTTCACCTTGCACTTTTAGGTTATAGAGATGGCTTCTTTCCTTAAGCCTCATGAGCTAATCTCTGTTAGCTTCCAAGTTCCCTTCTAGCACATCTTCACCTCTCCAAGCTTTCAGAGAATAAAAAAGAGTTAGGGGCTTGCTCTATAGTAGGCTCTGGCTTAAAGGAATATTGTGGCTGATTTGATCTTCTAGCCAGACCACTAAAACTTCCTCCATATCAACAATAAAGGTGTTTCACTTTCTCATCATTTGTGTGTTCAGTGCAGTAGCACTTTTAATTACCCTCAAGAACTTTTCCTTTCCATTCACAACTCGGCTAATTATTTGGTGCAAGAGGCCTAACTTTTGGCCTATCTCAGCTTTCAACATGCCTTCCTCATTACTAAATGTAATCATTTCTAGTTTTTGATTGAAAAGTGAGACTTATGCAACTTTTTCTTTCACTTTAACTCTTAGAGGCCATTGTAGGGTTATTAATTGGCCTAATTTTAATACTGCTCTGTCTTAGGAAATAGGGAGGCCTGAAGAAAGGGAGAGAAATGGGAGACAGCTGGTCAGTAAACAGTCGGAACACATTTATGGATTAAGTTCACTGTCTTATGAGGGCATGGTTTGTGGTACCCCAAAACAAATGCGATAGTAAAAAATATCATTGGTCATATATCACCATATATAATAATACATTATCATATTTTAATAATGAAATATATTATAATAAAAATGCTTGAAATATTATGAGAATTACCAAAATGTGACACAGACACACACAATGAACACATGCTGTTGGAAAAATGGAATGATGCCCATAGACTTGCTCAGTGCAGGGTTGCCTCCAACTTTCAATTTATAAAAAAAACAGTATTTGTGAAGTGCAATAAAGCAAACTAAATTAAAACAAGGTAAGCCTGTATAGCTTTCATCCTTCCTCCAAATAAGTTTTAAAAGTATGCATGGAATCAAGCAAAAGTGAACACAAAGTAAATTTTAGAGAGAAATATTACCGAACAAAGCAGCACTTAGATGGAAATGTGGAAGGCTTTTTGTCATTATTGTTATGATGGAGTTTTAAAGTAGATGTCATAATAAAAGCCTCTCTTCTTCTGAGCTGTCTTTTTCTACTACTTACTGCTTTTGTGATATGTGTATGTATGTACATCTCTATATCCATCTAAACATATATACACATGTACTTTAATATACACATACATGGAACATGCATACACATTTATGCAATTATCTATATACATACATACATATATATATGTGTGTACATATAATTTTTTCTTTTTCCTTTGCAAATAGAATTTTTAGCCAATCCAACCACTTGGCCAAAATAATGGTCTCCTTTTAAATGGAACCTTTTGCTGTTATCAAGAGAACGAGAACTATCCTCCTGATCCCACCACATGACCTGTCTAAATTTCCAAATCAGCAGAGGATATAATCAATCAGATGCTGGGGAGGCTATTCCTTAGAATAAGACTGTAGGAAAGCAATTTCTTAGGCTCCAATTAACGAAAGAAAACAATTCTCTTATTCTAAGAGAAACAGGTTTCATTATAATTGCTGCTAAGGATTTCAGAATATATAATCAGGAAAGCCATATTTCAGGGATGTATGCAATGTTAAAAGCAAATGAAACAAGGAGAATATTAATATTGATTATTGAAAGGTTTCAGGTATTCAGTTTCAACTATTGTGCTTACATGGGATTTCCCTTAAGCTTTCATTCAATATTAGTTAAAACAATAATTATTTTCCAATGATATTATTCTACAGTTTAAAATTCTGACACCTTTTCTAAGAATCAATCCATTTTCAAATTCCAAAAACAGGAATTGCTCAGAAGAGATGTAGCCTGTGGCAAAATCAGTAAAAACAACTGAAATAAAGACATCTAAAGGCAAAAATAAAGCCTTTGACAGATCACACTTTCACCAGCTTCTCCACAATTAGAGAAGGGTTTGGTGTTCACAGTGTATCTACTTCATGACAAACAAACTTGTGGAGGACCTTTGGCCACATCTTGGGACATTCTGCTGGGCCTCGATGAGAAGCGATGTTTTCAAAATTGGAACAAGTTGTAGCAAATATGAGAATGTGTATGTTTTAAAAGACAACGTTTTATAATTGTATTTTCTTTAATGTTCCCTCTGTGTGTAGCAGAGGGGGAAGGGGGGAAAAAACTTCCAATGTACCCAACCATGAATACTAATGTTTTATTTAGTGAAACTCAAGCTCATGTTCTTGTATAGATAAAATAAGGTTATGTTATAATGTAGTGGGAATCAATGAATCACTGTTTCCATTTGTAATACACTGAACAGCTGTGTTTAAGTGACTATCTATTAGTCATTCCTTTCTTTAACAAACATTTCACAGCATCTACTATGTGCCAGGAACTGTGAAACAGATAGACAGCTTCTGCTGATCCAAGAGCCTTGCACCTAGAGTGGTAAAGGGTAAAATGTCTTTTTTAATAGCATGGGGCGTGCCTGAGAAGGAAAGGATGCTAGGAGAGCCCCCAAGTCTGGGTATCTAACATATCTTTAATTCCCCCTTGTAGCCTGGTAATATCTATGCCCAAAGGTAACTGTCTTAGCCTCTCCTCCCCTTTAACAATGGCCCTGATCTACTTCTTCTTCCATAAAAACGATAACTAACAACAATAATAATAGACTAACTGAGTGCTTTCAACAACCCTGAAGATGGGTGCCTTAGTCTGTCTGGTCTGCAATAACAAAGTACCATAGACTGGGCAGCTTATAAACAACAAAAATTTATTCCTCACTCCTCCGGAGGCCAGAAAATCCAAGATTAAGGTACCAGCAGATTCAGTGTCTGGGGAGGGCCTGTTTCTTGGTTCACAGATGATGTCTTCTTGCTGTTGCCTCCATGGTGGAAGGGACTAGCTAGATTTCTGGGGTTTCTTATAAGAGAACTAATCCCATTCATGAAGACTCTGTCCTCATGATCTAATCATCTCCCAAAGCTCCACCTTCTAGTAACATCACTATGGGAGTTAGGATTTCAACATATAAATTATGAGGAAACACAAACCTTCAGACTCTAGCAGTAGGTAAGCAGCAAAGTAGGATTTGACTCCCTAAAATGATACCTTTTCCATTATACCACATGACTTTCTTTAGTTAACATGCAGGCATTCATTCTTCCACTGAAAAAGTTTATATGCTAGATGCTGGAAATACAATGAACAAAGAAAGGCATGGTCCCCGTTTTATCAAGTTGTAACTATAAATGGTGTTAAGGCCTCTGAAGAAAACAGAAGTACAAGAAGGGAAAATTCTAGGTGCATGCGTGTGGAGGTAGGACTCTCCGAGGCATTTATTTCCAAGCAGAGATGTATGTGAAGGAAGGGCAGGAAAGAGCCCTAGAGTAAGGGCAGAAGGAAAAGCAACCACAGCTCCGAAAAGGGAGGTAAGGAACCTTGTTATGAAGGGAAATGATGCAAGAGTGTGGTAGCTGAAGGACTGTGTGGCATCAAGATTGTTGCTGTTGTTTTCTCCTGTTTATTTTTTGGATGGATATTCTTAGCTAACAAGAATCCACTCTCCATGGTTCAGTTTAATTTCTAAACTATGAAAAACAAACTACTTCCTAGAGTTTTTTGTGAGGATTAAATGAATAAATATATATGAAATATTTTGAATAGTGCTGGCTTACACAAAGTTCTCAACAAGCTGAGATATAATATTTATTATTTGGTAGGAGGTGTAGCAGACATACTCTAGGAGCCCCTGATGAGTCACACACTTGTAGAATTCTCTTTCATTGATTATGGGAAGGACCTATGACTTGCTTATAGCCAATAGAAAATGGAGGAGGTAATGGGCTATTACTCCCTTGATTTTTTTATATTACATAAAATGTCATCTTAGCCAAAAGGGGCAGAAATATTCTCCTGCTGGCCTTGAAGGAAAAAAAAAAAGAAAAAGAAAAAGATTGTAAACTGCCTAAGGGGATAACCTTTAAGAGCTGTGGTCTTCAGCCCCACCACTGTAAGAAAATGAATTCTGCCAGCAACTTGCATGAGCTAGGAAGAGGACCCCATGCTGCAGTTAAGAATAGAGATGTCAGTGCGCTGATTTCACCATGTTAAGATCCAGAGCAGAAGAATCAGCAAAGCTGTGCCCAGACTCCTGACCATGAAAACTAACCTCACTCACTCCCAACCGATGGAGATAATAACTGCATGCTACTTTAAGCTGATAGATTTGTGGTAATTTGTTACACAGCACAGAAAACTAATACAGGGAAGGTGAGAACAACTCATTTGGGTGCTGCTCCTTTCTTTATCAGTTGAGAGACAAAATTATATGTGTACATGAGCTGGGTATGTTTGAGTGTATGGGATATGGGTCTATGGGATACATAATAAGGGACTTCCCACAGTACTAAATGCCAAAGATGACGGATTAGAAAGAGCAGACTATAATCTCCCTGAAGGCAGGGATTTGCATAGCATGACAGAGTAGGAACTTAATTAATGTTGAAGGAACTCGTTTTGCCATGATTTAGTTGTATTTGATGCCTCTACTTAACCCTACCAGTTTTGTGATACTTTTGTTAGGGAGTATAAACAACAGATTTTATAAGGAACATATAGGTAGTAGGAGCTACTTTTAATCTTTGATGTGAAGTAACAAAGAGATACAGAAAGAAGACAATAGATTTTAGCTTTTGCTTAGGGGTTATCAATACTACAGTTACGTTACTGTTACACAACCTTCCAAAGTGCAGACAATTTATGGCTTCTTATTAAATGAATTAGCTGTGCACAAACCAGAAAACGGGAGGTAAATTCCTTCCATTTAATTTGGTATTATTTTAATTTCTGTATATCCTGGTTCCTCTATCATCCTCTAAGGCCAAAAAAACTAAACCAAACCAAAACAAAACAAAAACAATAAACCAACGCCCAGCCTCTCCCAACCCACAAAGCATCCTTCTGATGTATTCAAGACATTCCATGGTAGTCTCCTTAAGTAACCCAACAAGTCACAGTGGAAAGAGAGCTTGATTTCAAGTTAGAAAATTGGTCTACTAAGCCCAGCTCTGTTATCTTCACAGCTGTCTGAAGATGCTCCAATTTCTTAACAGCTTTGAGTGGCGGTTTGTCTCATTATTCAAATGAGGAAGTAAGCATACTTGCAATGCTGTTATATGAACTAGAAATAATAAATGCAAATAACCTAATATGCTACCTAACATATGAGGAGTAAACATTTAAAAAATTAATATATAATAATACTAAGTGCTTAGCTTGTGATCCTTTAAATCATAGCATTCTCAAATATGCCCTTAAAATGGAACACAGATATCATGATATTTAAGAAGCAACAATCAGAAGTGACTCTCTACTTTGAAACTAGGTATCACAACTGCAGAGTTTAATGTTTTGTTGCTCTAGTGCTGGCTGGTCACCCGACCTCTACTGTCACTATTATTCTACTGAGAAATCAGCTCTTTAGCCTTGAGCAAAATCAGTCCTATTACTCAGGCTATAGCTGATTGACCTAGAGATCAGTGTCGGAGCCAAAGCTGTACCAGAGACATATTACATGACTTAATTAATTAATCACCTCCTTGATGTATAGGGAACGAGAATCTGGGATACCAGAAGAGACACTGTGAGATGAACAGATACCCTAGAAATATATAACAAAAGAACAGAGGTAAATATAAATGTATGTTTAACATCACCTCCCCACTCAATTACTTTTTTTTTTTTTTTAACCAGCAAATCTCCATTTCTTGCAATCTGAGCAAGGCCAAAGTAACACAACCAGAAAGTATTACACTGAGTAATCTATTATACATTTTCCACCTTGAAGACAGTATACAGTTCATTGAAGAAAGAAATTCCATTTGCAAAGAAAGCCTAAGACCATGAAAAATGTTGGACTGCAAAGTAATTACAAGCCAACAGTTCACTTTATAGAACACTATAAGGGTACGGTTTCATAAAGACTGCAAACCAACCTTTAAATTTTCCTAACAAAATGCCAAACATGCCACCTAAATTACACCAATCCCAAACACCTACACAAAAATCCTAAAACATACAACTCTCCTATTTCATTAGTAATAGAGAAAGCCTGTCATCTGACTTTCGAAACACCTATGCCACAATTAGCAACATGTCAAACCTTCATGCTTTTACTTCCTTGTTTCCCAAAATAGATTCTATTATAGCAACTGATGAGAAGTTCCTAAGGAAATAAAGGATTTTAAGATCAATGAAGTTTGGGAAACACTATTTATACAAAGTTTAAATGTTTTCTTCACTGCAGAGCTCTGGGACTTTTACTATGCAAATGAATGTAGCATTTCCCAAACACATGAAAGCTCAGAACACTGCTCTCTATGTTCCACGGGTCTGCTTTTCTACAGATTGTGTTCACCGTAAGAAATGTTGCTGTACAGTATCTGTAAGTCAGAGCACTGGAGAATTATAAACCTAGAATCTACTTTTGCACTCTATCCCTGAATTGACACATCTTGCTAAACTTCAGTTTAATGAACTCTCAACTTACCATTAAAGGCCAGAATAAGAATTGGCCTTTATGAACAAGGTCTTTGCCCTTTTAACAAAATTGCCATTGAGACTTTATTCAAATGCTGCTTGACATGACTGACACTCAAACCAATGATTCCTTTTACTAAAAAATGAGGTCGATGTGACTTACTGTGTTTGTCTTTTGCCTTTGCTGTCTGCAATGTCTGAAATAAGTGTGTGTTCACATCCAGGCCCCTCACTCAAGAGCATTTCTGACATAATGGCTACATTCTATCCCCTTCTCTTTATTACCTACCACTCGTCTCTTTACCTATGTCTCAAAGATTTTATTTTTTGATATGTACCCCCTCAATTTTTAAATGTAAAGAGATCATAAGTAATAAAAGCAAATTTTAATACCCTCAGGTTTTCTGTAGATATTTGATTTAAAACATTATCCTTCCCAAAACTAAAGATAAAAATTAGAAACGTTATTGTTAGTAACAAAAATATTAGTCACACAAATATGATGTTTTAGAGAGTAATCACATTGAGTTTTCCAATAATTACAAATCAGCACTGGGCCCATTTCTACAGCAAAATCACCCTTCCTTCCAGTTACTGTGGCTTGATGGATAACAGAAGGCTAAGCTGAATGTGTATAATGTGTAAGTGACATTTTAAAAGTCTAATGTGAAAAGCAAAGTGATAATATGGGGCAGAATGTGTAGCCTACTATTTTTTAATATGCTAACATATATAGTAGATCTGTATATGCCAGATTGGCTTTAGAGTGTAAAGAATGAATTTGCTGAATTTTTAGAGAACCTGCTAGTTTGGAAGCAGGTAAATGAACAAGATTCTCGAAGGAACAGGGAATTTGGGAAGTTTCAACAAGGTCAAGTAGACTCAAGATAAATTAACACATCCACACATGCACAACCTAGTCATAATATTCAGCCCCAGAGTGTGGACACAATGACACTTTGAGAAGCAAGAATAAAGTAAACTATAAAGTAAAATGCAGAGGCCTCACGTGACCTTCATGTCCATTGTCCTGAGTCAGTTACTGAAGGGGGTGTACTGAGGGAGGAGCAGGGCCTTCTACCAGCTAGAAGAACCCTACACCTTCGTTCACTCTCACTGGGATTTGAAGCTTTGCAATCAGCTGTCCTTGTTAGGTAACTTTACCAATTACAAATTGAACTGAATTAAACCAGTCCACAAGAAAAAGTGGACAAGGGGTATGAAAAGGTTCCTACCCCAAAATGGATTCAAGATAACACTAATAAGCCAATTTAAACAAAAAGAAATAGAGGAGAGCAGGCACAGGTCCTTCCCCTAGTATGAATTCATGTGTGTCAGATGGAGAGAAAGACCGGGGGAGGAGAATGGGGGAAGAGTTGGGGGCCTGGTGGAACATGTACCCCACAGGTCCAGAGAATGCCATCAACTCAAGAAAGGAGTGGTGGTCTAAAGCTGAGTTGGGGAAAACGTGGACAGAATGAAAAGGGAGCTTGCTTCTTATGGGAAATACGAGAGCAATAAGAAATACCCGTGGCCTGTTTTAGAGTTAGAACGAACCATGTGTTTTGGGGCAAGTTACTGTTAATGTGAAAGTGATTAAAATAGATCTCTTAATGTTCCTTCAAGATCTAAAGTTCTATGGCATAGGTAGAGCAAAGGAAAAAATGACAATAACTAGGTTCAAAGAAGCAGCAGTTAATGAAAAGAGGGTGAAATGGAGTTAGGAAGGACCTAAGTGCTGCTGGATGAGTAGTGATTCCATGATCCCGGGACCTGCCTATATTGAATTCAATTTGAGCCCTTGGCAACGTGCTGTGCTGAAATGTAACAGAGAGACATTGTTGAGACGCAAAGCAACACAAAGTATGAACACAGAGTTTAAATGTTTTCTTCACTACAGAAAAAGAAAAAGTGACGACATCCAGGAGAAAAACTTTATAAAAATAAGAAATACCACTTGAAATGTGTCTGAGAGGGAGGGCAGTTTCCACAATTAAGGTGGATTGCTGGCCTTTTGTGGGCAAAAAGGAAAGATACAGAGGCCTTGTCATGTGCACACACTCACCCACCAGCAGGAATTGCCAGCACCTCTTATGCCATACAAATGACTCCATGGACACACATGCAAGTCAAACACCCACTATGATGACTTGAGACCAGCATGTAACACTGAAGTTTTGCATGGGTTTTAACACATACAAAATTTTCTTTCTAGGAATGTACCTAACCTGAATTTTGGGAGAACACTGCACTTTGCTGTGTTAGAACTTTTATAACGGTTGTTCACGGAAAATTATGTTATGGAAGTTACCGCTTGTGGTATTTCCATCAATATTCTACCATATGTGTATCAGTCTCTAACTGCAGCTCTTGCAATCATGGTCAGGTGATGTATACATGCAGTTATCCAGATGGCCTACGCCCCGTTATGTCAACATGGATGCTCAGGCCTGACTGCTGACATCCTAGAACACATAAGGTTTGAATATTAAACATTTCCTTTTACATAATATATGACATATATTTGATGAAGACAATGAATGAAAGCTCAGGCCGGGCACGGTGGCTCACGCCTGTAATCCCAACACTTTGGGAGGCTGAGGTGGGGGTGGACCACTTGAGGTCAGGAGTTCAAGAGCAGCCTGGCCAACATGGTCCATCTCCATGAAGAATACACAAAATTAGCCAGGCGTGGTGGCAGGTGCCTGTAATCTCAGCTACTGAGGAGGCTGAGGCAGGAGAATCACTTGAACCCGGGGGGGGGTGGAGGTTGCAGTGAGCCAAGATTGTGCCACTGCACTCCAGCCTGGGTGACGGTAAGACCCTGTCTCAAAAAAAAAAAAAAAAAAAAAAAAAACAAAACAAAACAAAAAAAACCTTCTTGTGGTAGATTGCTAACTGCCTCTCTGTATTCTCCCCCTCATTCTTGTATTGTAACAAACCCTGATTTTGTATAGTAACAAACCCTGATTTTGAGCCACACTAGAGATGATCTTTCCCAGACTCCCTTGAGGTTACTGGTGGCTGTGTCCAACTTCTCAACAAAGGAACGTGAGCACGTGTGATGTATGTAACTTGTGCACTCCTAGTGTATAGCCAGTCATTTAGCTAGAACGTGGATGAGCCAGCTTCAACCACTGAGAAGGAGTGCAATAGCCTGGCAGCAGATGGGACAAAAAGAAGAAACAGAAGTACTGCACAACTTGAAGGAGCAAAACTGCCAAACTCCCACGGATGCACTGGCTACTTGCAGACTGTTATTAGAGAGAAAAACCACTATCATGTCTAAGCTACCATTTTCTGGGACTCTTTCTTACAGCAACATAGCTTCTACCTTGACTAACACACCTTGAAAACCAACTAACAAATGCACACATACACACAAACATATAGACATACATACATGCAAAATACTGCAGAAAGTTTCAGGAGTATCCTGGATCCTTGAAGTCTTTCTTGGTATTCTGAGCTAAATATTTTATAGAAATTGGGGTAGCTAAAAAGTATCAGGAAAACTAGCTTCAAAATCATCAGAGGAGCTTTTGTTTCAGAACAATCACAAGAACACTCGTCAGCTAGTATTGTAAACTACAGGTGAAATAAGAGAGCAGTCTGAAATACAAAAGAGATTAAATGACTGGCTCCTTCCCCAATAACCTAAATTCTTTCATATCTCATCTTTATTTTCAGGCCTGCAAGCAAGTAATCTCAATGAATGTCAAAATCTATTTATAAGTGTGTCAATGTTAATGCCAGGAGCAACAATCACTTAGACTCTAAAACTGTAATACAATTTTTTTTAAATGACAGAAAGCATTAAAATACCATCATTCATATTCTCTGTCAGTAATCAAAGCTGAAATTTTAAAACAAATATATTCTACAATAAATAAATAAATGTATCAGGTGGAAAACAAACAGCCAAAATCATACTTTATGATTAACTACTATAAACAAATACAAAAGAATTTTTGCAAAATAATAGCAACTGGAGCATCAACAACAGTTCTCAAATTTTTGCCAATACATTATCTAGTTTCCCTTTAATCCTGTATCTCATCTTAAACAAATAACACCTAAAATATAATATATTGTCTGTAAACCAGAAATTGGAGGAGTACATGGAACTGTTTTCATATAGCATGAACATTTAAGAAATAAAGATTGCATATTTTATGACATTATCACCATTTTTTCCAGCAACTGCAGGAATGTCTAAAATTTTAATCTTTTTGACACAGTTTTTTATTGCTGAGTGATATATAAGTGATTAGACCAAAAATGTAAGAGTGTGAGCCCTGAGATAAATTAGCAGGGAGGCAACTGCTATGACAATACAGCCCTGGCTCTGCAAGGGATCCCCATAGCCTCTCCCAGACACCGAGTGATCTAATCACACCATATGGTCTCACCCACAGGACTCACAGGATCTGTGCGCAAACAACCAACCATCTAATTTATTCAAATGATAAAGGGGAGGAATGGCTTTTAAAATTCCAAGCTGTTTAAAAATCAGTTACCAGTGACACAATTCATTATCATAACTGAAAAATGTTTCCATTTAATTAAATAATAACCATACACTGACAAGTTAACAATTAGTCATTTGGGAATTCAGATTTTCCATAATATGATTCTTACCTCATAAAAAGAAATAAAATGCAGTTAATATATATGTTGTAAAACTCTGGACAAGAGGAGTCCAGCCAAATTTTGGAAGAAGATCACATATATTTTTAAAGCAACTTTAAGGCATATTGCACAAAATCAAATACAAAATTAAATGAGAAGAATATTCATCAAATTTGCATACAAGCGCATAAAAAAGAGAAAGCAAATGTGAATTCCATGGACATTAAAAATAAAAAATTGTCTGTTTCCCCAAAAGGAAGAGAGAAATTATGACAATAAAACAAATACAAACATCTGTTTACAATGGAAGATGTAATTTGGTTATTTAGAAATCAATGCAAGAATAACCATGATCTCTACATTCATTCTAAAATGACAAAATTGGACTCTGGGGCTAAAATATAGGAAATTAAATGGAAAATCTAAACGAAATAATTTATCTGGCAAAACAAAAAAGTGAGAACATTTTAAAATCAACCTTAGAGAAAAGAGTACAATTATATTCATAAGGCAACAGCATTTTGTATGCAAATTTATTTTATCATAACATTTTTCAAGCATTTTATAAAATAAAGGCTTTGTTCCCCCCCAAACAAAAACCCATAAAAAATTCAGTAAAGAAATAAAATTAGAAGTTTAATATGATCAAGTGAAATGAAAGTGCATATATTTTAACTATATGTTTAAAGATGATAGCTTGATGTACACTTCTGTCTTGTTTGAAAGAAGTAAAAGAGAAAGTGAAAACGGTTAACCTTCACCAATAGATCTACATCTAAATAAGTAGGAAATTCTAAATTAGATCATTAAGGACAAAAATTCAAGAAAAAATTGATATTGGTTGGAATTGATCCTATTTAAGAGTGCCTAGAAAGACAATATGTCTTTAATAAGATAAAAAGAAATGGTCTAATTTTTATGTCTTTGAGCATATTCAGAAGCACACATTCAGAAGAACAAGTTCAGAAAGCATTCCTTTACGTGAACTATGACCCACTGAAAGAGAAAACTCAAATGGAAAAATGAAGTTAATTATGGACAATTCTTTCTAGCACATACATTCTGCTGTCATAGTTTCTTACACTAAAACGATTGCCAATAACAGTTTCCTAGCTAGCCTTAGTGAAGTGCCAAAGATACAAGGTACAAGTGGGGGAAAAATAACACATTGATCAATGACCACCAGTCAGTTTTGTTTTGTTTTGTTTTTTTGAGACGGAGTTTTGCTCTTGTTGCCTAGGCTGGAGTACAGTGGTGCGATCTGATCTTGGCTCACTGCAACCTCCATCTCCTGGGTTCAAGCGATTCTCCTGCCTCAGCCTCCTGAGTAGCTGGGATTACAGGCATGTGCCACCACGCCTGACTAATTTTTGTATTGTTAGTAGAGTCTGGGTTTCTCCACGTTGGTCAGGCTGGTCTCAAACTCCTAACCTCAGGTGATCCACCCGCCTCAGCCTCCCAAAGTGCTGGGATTACAGGCATGAGCCACCGCACCCGGCCCATCAGTCAGCTTTTAAGTCAGACTTACTGTACATCCTGACAAGGAGCTAGGGGTCATGGTGGGAGTGGAAGTGATTAGGAAGCAGTGGTCAGAGTGGGGAGAAACATAACTCCAGTTGCATGTGTGACAGAACAGACTGTTCATTGCAGAGCCAAACAAGTTAGGGCGGAAGAATAGTCATTTTCTTTAATTTTTGCACATGTGACATATTTTCCTTGAAGTGTAACATATATAGAAAGTGAATGAATCATAAGCATGGCTCGAATCACTTTTACAAAATGAATACTTTTTTGTTATCAGCAACAAGATTAAGAAACAGAACATTAACAGCACTTGGAAGTGCTCCCTCCCAGGTACTAATCCCTAAGAGTAATCTAACACCACAGATTAGTTTTGCTTTTTTTGATCTTTATAAAAATGGAATTACACAGTACATACACTTTTGTATTGGGCAGTTATGCTCAACATTGTATTTGTGAGATTCATCCATGGTGTTGCATGTAGATGTCGTTTGTTCATTCTCATTGTAAATTCAAACACTGGAATACTATACAGCAATTTATTTATCCATTATGCTGTTGATAGGTATTTTGGTAGTTTCCAAGTTTTGGCTATTGTGAACACTATAGCTATAACTTTTCTGCTCATGTTTTTGTTGTTTTTTTTTTTTTGGTAAACATATCAATGATTTCCATTAGGTATAAACCTAGGGAAGAGTTTAAATGCTAGGTCAACTTTAATAAATACTGTCAAACCATTTTTCAAAGAAGCAGTTCACTCCCACCAATAGAGTTCTATTTGCTTCACTTCTTCACCAACATTTGTTATTGCCAATATTTGCTTTTTATATTTATGTATGTTTGTTTTTCATCCTCCTGGTCAAGCAGTTGTATTACACTGTGGTTTCATTTATGTTTACTTGATGACTAATGAAGCTGAGCAAATTTTCATATGTTTATCGGCCATTTAGATATTATATCAAGAGCTACCTCATGTATGTTTTCCCAATTGATAGAAATTATTAGCATTAATGAGTGACTGTAGCAAAATTGTTCAATCATAATATAACTGATTGATTAAAGTCAATGTCATTGCTAAATGTTAGCACCAAATATAAAATTAAATTTTGGAAAATTATATATAACCACATGAAAAATACCTTGGAATAAATAAATTCAAACGAAAGATGTGTGAGATCTCTACGTAAGTGGTTCTTCAATCTCTTAGCCTTGGGGAATTTTTCCTCCTGGAACCATTTGGCAATTTCTAGAGAATACTTTTGATTGTTAGGGACTGGAGGCAGGGGATGCTAGTTATGTCTAGTAGGTAGAGGCCAGGTATGCTGGTAAATATCCTATAAGGACAGGTAACCATCCCCAAGTCCATCCCCCACCACAGAGGATTATCCAGTACAAAATCAGAAGATGGGAGAGGGTGTTATATAGTACTTATGGACTGGAAGACTCAATATTATATACATGTCAGAGTGTACAAAGAAACTCTCCAGAGTGAAAGATATGTCCATTATTTTGATTTTGATAATGGTTCCATTGAGTGTGTTTATATGTCAAAGTTTATCAACATGTACACATTCAATATGCATGCTATTTTACATCAATAGAGCTGTTAATTTTTTTATTCCCAGAAACAATTTATGAAAACTGAGACGATAGAAAAGTTCTACAACTATTAAAGAAATTGAGTCGGTAATTAAAAGTTTTCCCAAAAAGATCTCTAGTCTAGCTAACTTTACGAGTATAGTTTTCCTAACATGTTGAAAAGATATAAATCTTACACAAACTTTGGCATCAGATAGAATATTTACTAGCTAATTTTAAGAAAGCATCATTACTTGTATTACCAAAAACCATCAAAGACATTTTAAAAAACGAATATTACAGGCCAATCTCCACTTGATCAAAACTGTAAAAATTTACAACAAAATATTAGCAAACTGCATTTACATGAGCATGCATGGGCATGTGTATGTAAGTTCATTCTAGGAATAAAAGGATCATTTAATATCTAAAACAATTGGTCATTTATCACATTAATATAATAAAGAAGAAATCATCTTAAGAGATACAGAAAGCACTGTTTGTGATTAAAACTGAGAAAACAAGGAATGGAAGGAAATTTCCTTAATATGACAGAAAGCATCTATAAAATATATCTGCTTTAAGCATCCTGCATAAAGATGAAATAATAAAATCTTTAAACCGAAGTTTAAAAACAAGATATAGATGCCACCTATCACCACTTGTCTTCAACACTATACCAAAGATATTATCCAGTGAAATAAGGCAAGAAAGGTATAAGCATTTAAAAATAATACATAAAACTGTAATTATTATAAACAATATAACTCTGTGTATTGACTGAGAGGATAAAAAACCATACACTATTAAAATTAATACGTGAATTAGCACATTCACTGGAAAAAAATCAATATATAAAAATTGATTTGTATATCAACAAAAATAGCAACAATTTATAATACCAGCAAAAATCAGCAAAGACACAGGAACAAATTGATCAAATGATGTACTACCTTTCCTAAGGGAACTATGAAATATTGAGAGAAATTAAGGAAGACCTAAATAAATGGAAAGACAAGTTATGGTCATGGATTGGAAGATTCAATGTGGCAAAAGTTTCAATTCTTCCCTAAGTTGTTCTATATATTAGATGCAATCCATAACCAAAATTCCTGTGCTTTTAGGAACATTGACATTATTATTCTAAAATTTCTATGAAAATACAAAGGGCTTCTAATCAAAGAAAAAGAACAAAGATAGTGAGCTACCTCTACAAGATATCAAGCTACGAATAATCAAGATAACATGGTTTTGGTGTAAGGACAGACAAACAGACCAATGCAAAGGAACAGTGTCTATAAATAGATGCTCACATATAAGGTCAATTGTTATGACAAATGTAACATTACACTGTGGGGGTGGGGGGAAGAATGACCTTTTAAATAAGATATGTTTGGTCAACTGGATATGCATCTAAAACAAATTAATCTCTATCTCATGTCATACTCAGGTGGTTTGTAGATATAAATCTAAATGTAGCATAAGTACATCTCTTTACATGATGCGAATAGACAATATATTAAGACAAATAAGCAAATTGGAGTACATTAAAATTAAGAACTTCTCTTCATCAAATGACAACACTTAGAGAATCAAAAGACAAACCACAACATAAGAAGATACCAACAATATATTTGACAAAGGACTTATACTCTGAATTTATAAGATCTGACACAAATCAACAAGAAAAAGATGACCCAATAAAAAAAATACACTAAAGACTGGAACTGGTAATATACAAATGGGGATATCCAAGTATCCAAAAATGTGTCAAGTGTTGCTTAACCTCATTAGTCATCAGATAAATGCAAACTAAAACCACTATGAACAATTGTAAAGTTTGATAATATCCAGTCCTCGTAAGGATGCTGAATACCATAAATGTTCACATATCACTGGTGGCAATATGAACTGGTGTAATTATTTTGAGAAAGTATTTAAGATAGTTTAATACTATCTTGAAAAGCTGAATCTATGCATACTCTATGACCCAACAATTAGACTTGTAGTCATATATCTCAAAAAATTTTGTATTTAGGTGGACCAAAATCATAGCTACTGAAATGTCCATGGAAGCAAAACCATAAATACCAAAATGTCCATGTTATCTTGATTATTGGTAGCCTGATATCTTGTTGAGGTAGCTCTTTGATCTTTTTCCTTGGTTTTTAGAAGCCCTTTGTATTTTCACAGAAATTTTAGAATAATAGTATCAATGTTCCTAAAAGTACAGCTACTAAAAGTACTCCAAAATGAAAAAAAAAAAAGTGCATCAAGAGAATAAGGAATTATTATGTCACTCAATGGAAATACTACACAGCAATGAGAACTGTTGCTACACACAACAAAATTATCTAAATACAACAGAGTACATACTGAATGATTCCAGTATATAAAGTTCAAAAACAGACAAAAGTAGTTGATGGTGAAAAAAGTCAGGATAGTAGGTTCTTTTGTGTGGGTATTAACTAAAACGGCAACGGGAGTTTCCAAAATGCTAGGGTATGTTCTCTCTTTTTAAAAAATCTGGATGCCAGTTATAAGGATATGCTACCATTTTAGAAAAAATCATTAAGCTGTACAGCTATCAGGTGGGCACTTATCTGTATGCATGCTGCATTCCAATAAAACTTTCACACAAAAATAAATGAATGATTATTTTTTCCTTCCATAATTTCTTCACTTTCATGAATAACTGATCTGTAGAACAATAAAGATAAATACAGTAGTTGAGGAACATTTGGCATTCATAATATCAGAAACGGACAGGGAAAATTTGGAGCTTGTTGAATATAATGTGGGTCTTATATTTTTCTGCAATTACCTGTAGTTTGGCATATATTAAAAATAAAAAATATACAGAGTTCATACTTGATTTTGCTGCTGAAAATGGCTCATTTTATATAAATTAGAAGTTTGTAACAGTTAACTGATCATGCTTTAAAATTTAGTAAATTGTCACACACGTTTGATATAAGGAAAATATTTTCAGTTAAATTAAAAAAAAAAACAAAAAACACATTTTCCAAACACTCGTTTGGGAAATGGGTCTATATAAAGTTGGTGGGATGGTATCCCAATACTGATTCTTCCCCAGTGAAATAAATATGTAGTAGACATTAAAAACATAATAAATGGTAGCTTCATTGTTATCTTATGTTATCTTCTGTATTATAAATTTTATGCATGCATATTTTAAGATATCCAGAAAACAAAAATATTAATCTCTTAAGAATCAACTGTATATTGAAGTATTAAAATATATTAATATGATAAATATACCTAAGCTATTAAACATGTCAAATAATATCTGAATATTAATAATAGCTTATTCAATCTTGTTTAACCAATTTTTCTTGGCTTCTTTCCTTTCCTGTCAATAGAATTTCTGAATGGATAAAACATTAAAAGAAAAATTTAACTAAGAACACAGATGACAGAAAGTAACACTCTGGAAACTATCCCAAAAGGAGATTAAAGAAACTGGGTAAACTGAACCACTTAAAACATTTCCTCAACCTTCCATCAAAACAACCTTTCTATACTCACCATTTATTTAATGATACTTCTAACGTATAAAACACAATATTTAAATAATCAGGATCTTGGTACTAAAATATTAATGAATAAAAACGAATCTGTACAGGCTTAACACAACATTACTCTAGGCAAGAAAATCATATTCTAAATATCATTAACATCTTTGACTTCACACATTATCAATGGCAATGCTTGTGTTTTAAAATACTGTACCATTTTCTAAGTTTGCATATCTGACTGCTTCTAGATTATAAAATGTTGAGCACAGGCACTATATCTACTCATTAATTTTAATCCCCAATGGCTGTCAAAGAAATGGGACACTTATGAGTAGCAAAATGCATTTGTATTATTGTGATCACTTAAAACCTACCATAATACATAATGATAAAATAAAGGTAAAAATCAAAAGAAATGGTCTTCTTTGAGGACACAGTACTTTAAACAATTACTTATTAAAATAGGTACTTATAATGGAAACTGTCAACCTCCCTGTGTTAATGACAATCTATACTTTAATATAATTCTTTTTTCAGAGGCATCTGTAATATCAAAAAGCTTGACAAACTGCAACTTTTCTTGAATGTGAAATGTAACTTAATAGGAAAGAATATAAAGGAGTTTTTGTGAGGTGTTTTTAGTCATAGAAATAAGACGTTAATATGAATTTCATTAAAAAATAATTATTGAGTACCTACTACATTATAGCACATATTGAAATATGCATACACTACTAATATGTCACTTTTTGGAAAAGAGCAGTTTATTTAACAAATGCCTTTGGCATACTTGGAAATCTAGCACAGGAAAACAAATTGAAACCAAAATTTATTACCATATAAAAAAGTTACATAAAAAATCTAAAGGTAGTAGAGTTATTCTTCCAGAATGGTGGTGTGGGAAGCTCTGTGGAACTGTTCCCCGGAGAATCCATCATAATGGTAAAAAATATTTTTAAAATTACCCAGTTAGAGTATCTGGAATTTGCCCTAAGAGCATATAACAAATGAAGAAACAGTTATTCAAAAATTCTGCTAAATCTTGGAAACTACTGCAAGAATCTGTGTCACTTAAGTTCTGACCCATCCATTCCACCCAATAGATTCATGTGAGGGAAGCTCCTCTCCAGGCAATTTTGGCCAAAAAGTGAGGAGAGGGATGGGGGTGGGGGTTGGGGGGGAGTGATTTATCCTCCCTCAATTCCCAGTCAGTTGACACAGTAATTCAATGGGAGAGGCAGAGGCAGGTCCGCAGCATTTCTCATCCCTTCCAACTTCGAGTTCCAAAGGCTAAATACCTGGCAAGTACAACCAAGAGGTCAAGGGCTCCTTTCTTTTGGGCAGTGGGCCACTGTAGGGTGGTGGCTCCACCGCATGAGTGACAGGCCAAGAATACTAGGGCCTTTGCCCCAGCTCATTCATAGGGTGGATGTTTCATTCCAGAAGAGGTAAGCTGAGCACCCCCACCCAATGCTCTGCTACTAAAGCAAAAATGTTACTTCTGTCCCCATCCGAAGCAGAGACTCTAGATTTTGTCCAGGTAGAGAGGAAGACCATAAGAACAGATTTCTATGGTCTCCCTAAAGCAACTATTTAATATAGAGTACAGGTATAGGGAAGTTTGTGCCTAAGAGTGATCTTGAAACCAATGGAGATTTTGGTCGTGAGCAATTAAGAGGAGACTGGTAGCTTTATGAATGTAACAAGCTAAAAAGTAAATCAACTAATGTACCAGAGAGAACCAGGGAAAGAGATAACTAAGAAGAGCTCCCTTGGGACCTGAACCACCTCAAAAACTGGCCTAAAAAATACTCTGCAAAGGAACTGAAATTTAATTTTATCAGACTATGGAGCAATTTATGCCCACCGCATTGTTGAAAACAATAAAGCAATCAGGCAGCAATTAATGGACCTAAGGTCTGGGTGTGATATCAAAGCAGATTATAAAATCTTGAGCAGTGATTATTATCTCCCTAATAATTTTATCCCCATTGCTTATCAAGGAAATAGTATACTTAGAAACAGGTTCACAATGGCAAATGTAATTTTACTGTGAATGGCAAATGTAATTTTGCTGTGACCATTGAAAACCTAATATAATTTATGAATGGCAAATGTAATTTTACTGTGACCACTGAAAACCTAACATAAATTAATTATCCCATTCCCCAAACCAAATATAAACAAACTCCTAAAAATTATGGTATATAATGATAAAATAAAAGTACAATTAAAAGAAATACTCTCTGTCTCTGAGGAAAATATACTTTAAGTAATTACTACCTTTCACTTAGCCATTCATAATAGTTTAACAGAGGGATCAGGGAAAAGGGGAGTTCCATGGTGACTGTGCTCATGGCCAACCAAGGCTGTGCCCCTTCATGCTGCAGAGAAAGTAGCTTCACTAAAATAATACACTCAAATCTCTAACCAAGTTACTAAAAAGACAACAATAAAAACAATTCCTGAAGGAAGAGAGGAGTAGTATATATGGATGCTATAAGATATAACCTACAATATCCACTTGCAAAAAAAAAGAGTAAGAGAGAGAGAGAGATGCAGATATGCAAAGAAACTGGAAAGAATGACAGTCTAGAAAACAATCAGACAAGAAAATCTTCTATGAAATGCTTGATGTTGGATTTAACAGAAAAGGTTTTCGAAGTAGGCATTTTAAATATCTTTAAATATCTAAAGTAAACCATGTTTACATAAATTAAGGAAGGTATAATGACAGTGTCTCACCAAATACGGAACATCAATAAAGAGAGAGCAACAATGAAAAAAGTGAGATGGAAATTCTGGGTTGAAAGGTAAAATAATGAAAATGAAAATTTCATTAAGAGGGGCACAATAGTAAATTTGAACTAGCAGATGAAGGTGTCAGCAAACTTGAAGATACAGTGATAGAGATTATGCACTCTAAAGAAGACAGGAAATAATTTAAATAAGGAACAGACATCATAGATATGTGGCGCACAAGTACTACTATGGGTAGTAGAAGTGGTGAGAGAGGAAAAGGAGAAGAAAATAATAAAAAAAATGTTTAACTTTCTATATTTGATGAAAAACAGCCTACAAATTGAAGAAGTTCAACAAACGTTAAGTAGGATAAATGCAAAGTGATTCATACCCAGACACATTCTGGTAAAAATGCTGAAAGCCAAGGATAAAATTCTGAAAACAGCAAGAGAAAAAGGACTTGTCATGTACAAGAGAACTAGAATAATATTAACAGCTGGCTTCTCATCAACCCAAAAATCAGTGAAGAAAAAAACCCATATACAATAACACTAAAAGAACAAAATAGTAAGGAATAAATTTAATAAAAATGTAACACTTATACTCTGAAAACTAAAAAGCATTGTTGAAAGAAGTTAAAGATCTAAATAAGTGGAAATTCATCCTCTGTGGACAGATCAGAGGACTTGGTATTGTTAAGCAATGACAACACTCCCTAAAATGATTTATAGATTCAAAGCAATTCCTATCAAAATTCCATCTGGCTTCTTGATAGAAATTGGCACACTTATCTTAAAATTCTTATGGAAATTCAGGGACCCAGAATAGACAAAACCATCTTGAAAAAGAAAAGCAAAATTGCAGAACTCACACTTCTAAAAATCTAAAGGGAAAAAATTTTAAATATAAAAAGATTAGAATACTTTGGAGGATATTCATATATTATTAATGTAGGGAATATATTCTTTAACTAGACTGAAAAACCCAAATCATAAAGAAAAAGCTCACAATTTTTTGTATAGCTAATAACTTTTAAAAAAAAAAGACAAAAAACAACAGATCTTTTGGAAAATACTGGGTAAAATGCCCCAAACTGCTTTATTACTGTAAGTTTTAACCCCTATCGTGCTCTTCTCTCTGACCTCGCTAGCATGTTAACTTCCTCCTACCATGACCATTCTTGAACTTGTGACCCACTGTGTTGACTCATCCCTTTACTTTTACCCAGTTCATTGTTCTTTCTTCATTCCCCTAGTTTTGAAGTTCAGCTTTTCTGGTCCATCATGTCAACAAGATTCTTGCCCTTCCTGTCTTTTGGATACACCCATATGGCTAAAGCTCAATCTATAGTGGATGGTTCCATTCTATAGCCAACACTTTTGGAAAAATTTAAGCAGAGAGGTTTGTTAATAAAGCCTTCAAATTCAGGGCCCTTATCGCTCTCTAAGGTAGCCTGATGTGCTGCTTTCAGTGAACTCACTTTCTCACTTTTCAGTTGCTATTTCAAACTTCATTCTCTTTCAGTTGCTATTTCAAACTTCATTCTCTTCTGCTCAAGCTTCTTACCTTCCTCCCTACCCTCATCCTACCTAGCACTACCAGTACATGATCCTGATATCTACTTTCCTGGGGAAAAAAAAAATGAACCTGTGGTGATCAGGCAGGAATGCCCTAGATTTTCCACTAGGAAACTTCAAATACATTGTATTTACCCACCATCTTCCTCTCTTCCAGTTTTTCTGGAAGCAGTCCTCTGTCCCCTTTCTATGAAAAAATATCTCCACCAGTGCCTCAATAACCACCTATTCCACCCCTGCCTTCAGGGATCGTTACAGTAAGCCACCGATTCCTATTTTTATCTTGATTACTTAATTGCTCCCTCTCAAAGGGAACTCTATCACTTTGATCTCTAAACATATTAAATCCTCTGCCACATGAAAAAATAAACCAAACAAAACCCCATCTCTCTCCTTAACATGCTGTTCCAGTTACCCCTATGCCTGCTCCACTTTCAGGCAAATTTACTAAAAGACAAGTCTGCATTCTCAACTTCTTTCTTCTCTAACTTACATCTTATTTAACTCCAATCTGGATTTCTCCTGAACAAATAAATGAAATGGTTCTCAAAAAGTATGCTAATTATAAAGGAGATAAAATTATCATTCTTATAAGCGATATATTTATCTGAAAAACTCAATAATATAAATAAAAAATAATGTATAATTATCAAAAATTGAGTAAAATGGTCTAAGAAAAAAATAGCTTTCACATACACAAAACACAACTATATTATGAAATAAAATACCCCATGTATTACAGCAATTTTAAAAAGAACAGTGGCCTCAAAATACTCAGCAAGAAATTCGAAGATCTAATGCTCCATTTTGTTGTTCCATTGCACACGTTCCATTTTCATATTCTTTGTAGGGGAACATGAAAGAGTTCTATGCAAATATTCTCCTTCCAGTCTCTTCTGAAACCACTCCAAACTAGTTTTTCACCCCAAGAATGCTACTAAAATTGTGTCTGTCAAGATCACCAGTGAACCACATCGGTGAAATGCATGGTAAACTCTCAATCATCATCTTACTCAATACATGAGTAATACTCAATAATCTCTATCACTCCATCTTCAAATTTGCCTATTCTTTCATTTGCCAGTTCAAATTTATTACTGTGCCCCTCTAATGAAATTTTCATTTTATTCTACTCTTCAACTAATAATTTCATTATTTCTCATTGTCACTATTTCTTTATTGATGATGTGTATTTGGTGTGACACTGTCATTATACATTCCTTAATTTATGTAAGCATGGTTTCCTTTAGATATCTGAAGATATTTACAATGCCTGCTTTCAAGCCTTTTTCTGTTCAATCTAACATCAGAGCATTTCATAGAAGATTTTCTTGCCGGTTTTCTAGACTCTTGAGTCATTCTTTCTTATTTCTTGGCCTATATATGTATCTCTCCCTCTCTGTGTCTCTCTTTTGAAAAGTGGATATCTTAGACTATATTTTGTAGCATTTCTATATACTGTTACCCTCCCCTGCCTTCTTCAAGTCTTAGTTTTATTGTTGTCTTTTTATTAACTTGGTTAGAGATTTGGCTGTATTATTTTAGTGAAGCAACTTTCCCTATAGCACGAACGGGCACAGCCTTGGCCATGAGCACAGTCACCCTGGAACTCCCCTTTTCCCTGATCCCTCTCTTAAACTATTATGAATAGCTAAGTGAAATGAAGTAACTACTTAACACATATTTTCCCCAGAGACAGTGTTCCTTTCCCCTCCGAAAAAATAAATCATGGCCTCCTTCCTAAATATTCACTTTCTAAATATCATTGGAAGTGTATTCAATGATAGAATTCTGGTTTTATGCTACCCCACTTCACTGATGATTACTTTTCTGTCTCCTCTGTAAGCTCATTCTCTTTTATTCAGCCATTAACATTTGGAAATTTCAGACTTTCATCTTAAGCCCTCTTCTAAATCTATTCTATAGCCCTTTTTGTTTATATTCATGGTTTTAATTAACAGGCATACATCAATGGTTCCCAATTCCTTTTAACTCCACCTTGGAAGTTTAACCTCCAGACCTGTATAGCCAATTAGTTATTCACTGCTTCCACACAGATTTCTCAAATGCACCTCAGATCCAACACGTCCAAAATGGAAAACATGCTGTCTTTTTCATTTGTGCTGCTAAAACAAAACACTCAAGACTGGGTAATTTATAGAGAACAGAAATGTATTTTGTCACAGTTCTAGGGGCTGTGAGATCCAAGATCAAGGCACCAGTAGAGGTGATATCTGGTAAAGGATATTCTATGCTTCCAAAATGGCACCACGTTGCTGTGTCCTCACTTGGCATAAGAGAAAGAAAGTCCAGGCAGGCCTCTGAAATCTCTTTTATAAGGGTTTAATCCCATTCACAAGGGCAAAGTCCTCCTGACTTAATCACTTCTCAAAAGGCCCCACATCTCTTGATAACATCAGCTTGGAGTTCAAGTTCCAACATTTAAATCCAGGAGGGATACCTACATTCATACCATAGTACATATTCTTCCATCTTTACCTATCTCAGTTAATGGCACCACTATCCATCTACTGGGCTAGCAATACACTGAAGCTGAGTCAGGGAAAACAATGTAGTTATAGGTCACAGGAAGAGAACAGGAGAAGACAGAGTATCATAGAGAGAAAATTCTGGAGTTCTTCAGCTGAATGTTTTCTAAAATTATTATGATTTTTTTGAGAGACAGAGTCTCATTATGTTGCCCAGGCTGGTCTCAAACTATGGGGCTCAAGTCATCCTTTCCCCTTGGCCTCTCAAAGTGCTAGGATTACAGGCATGAGTCACTGTGCTGGGCCATCAGCTGAATGTTGATCAGCTGTGTGAGAAAATTGCCCAGAGGTTGGGCAACAACCACCTGAAATGTATAGAGGTAACAGTGTCCTGTGCTCATACAGGGCCAGGAACAGTGCTTGTTCTCACTAGTCAGATTGGAAAATCATACGCCTTAGTCGTGGGGAAGACTTCACTATAAACTGAGCACAAATCTGGTTCTGCCTAAGATATCATAAGATTCCAAAGTATCAAACCGTTTCCAAAAATTCAACTGCATCAAATTCACTCATGTGCCAGCTCAGAAGCTCTCTTTTCTGTTCTTCAAATTTGTATTTCCAGGGAGCTTAGTGCATGTTCACTACTTCTAATGTTGTTTCTCTTGCTAGACTATAAGCTCAATGAAGGCAGGACTCATGACAATCTCATGCAACACAGTATTTCCAATGTCTAGAACCTTGCATAGCCCACCATAAAATTTCAATTGATATTTGTAAAATAAGTATATTCTTTTGAATCAATTCAACTTTATTAATAGATACTGTTCAGATCATTTTCATCCTATTTCAGTAACACATAAAGGGTCTTGTTCTCTGAATTGTCACACAGGTTCTCTTTATTTAAACTGCCAAATCTTTTCTATGCCTAGTTATTGATTTCTGTCCTTTCCTTCTAAGAGGGTGAGGTCAGTAGGTGTTAGATCAGTCATAGATATTGAGATGGTTTCCATCAGAAACTCTGTTGACCCTGTACAAATATTTCATCCACAAATAAACAATCAGGAAAAAGTACATGTTTATGTTTACTTTAGCTGATGTTTGTCCAAGTTGAGGTTTGGCACTTGTGAGGAGCAGAGATTGATTCTTTAACAAATAACATTTTACCCATATGTTTGGTGATACATCATTGAGGCTGAGCCTTCCTTTGGCTAGCAGGTCAGTTAGGCTTTGGATAGAACACAGGACAACTCCATAGCAAGCACAGCCTGGAAACATTTTCTGCAATCGGATCTTGCTGTTATAGAGCATAAGTCCTGATGAACACTCCGAGAAAGCAAGAATGATATTGAGATGTGCTCCTCCTGACTGCTCCACCCTTGCCTCCAGCCCCCCTCACTCAGAGCTAGTTCTGGACAGGACAAATCAGCAGTCTCTTCCAGTCACATCCCACAGAGTTTCCTCCTGAGGCAGTCACTCCCACCCATTATCCCTCTGGTTAATCTAATCTCACTTTCATTATCTCCTGCAGAAACTCCTCACAGCTTTTGGCATCTGGATGGCGTTCTTCCCCTAGGTTCCATGACTGATAAGGAAATATATTAATGGGGAAAAGCCAATGTCACTTTAATGAGGAATTAGAAGTGGTGAGGGGAATTACATATGCATATTTATACTAACACTTTAATCCAGAAGTTCAAACGTCATTACACTGTTGATTTCCTGCTTAGAATTGATTCCTTTATTCCTTTACAATGAACTTTAACAAATTTTACAACTGGAATCAAAGTATTTTCTTGGGCAACTATATTTTTTTAATAGGGTATAATAACTACTAGGAGTTGTAAAAATGACTTCATAAGTGAAATCAGTTTTCTTCTCTCTAACTTTGACCCTAATTTAGGGGAGACTCACTGTATGACACCTGTTCATAATGGTCAGTGGTGACCTTGGCCTTAGAATGCTCCTTACTAAAAGAACAGGCACTAATGTGTAATCTACCACATGCATGATTCTCCCCCTCAAACTGTCTCTTTTTCATATTTAGGACAAAGCTAATGTTAAGTCATTTACCATTCCTGCATAAACTGGCAGCTAAGAATTACACATACATATATTATTAAGTAAATTATGTAAGAGAACAAAAAGAGAATTATGTAAATATTAGAGGGCAATACTAAGTATTTAGTAATCCAATATGCTAGTGGTAGTGGATTATACATGGACAAAGACACCCTTCCAGGCTATGAAGCTGCCACTTAGTAGCCTGTACAAAAGAGAAAGAAAGTGGCTTAATGCACAGAATAGTATGTTATTCAGGTTAAGTGATTTTGTGTTTCTCTATTAACTGCCTTATGCATAGACTAGAATCAGCTCTGTAAGTTAGATTGCCTATTATGTGCAATTACTTGAAAATCTGTAATTTAATTGAGTCTATAGTTATTTTACATACACTGAAGCAGATACCGATGAACAGGATTTGACGTTAAATATCAGTTAGCTAAGAAATGAATAATATATAGGTAAAATTACTTTCCTCCATAAAGAATTTCCATCTTATTAAATAAATTATATATACCTCCATACCCACCATAAAGCCCAAATGGTGAGAATGAAAATATCCAAGCATGATTGGCCAGAATATCTCTGGCTATGTATGATTTACTATCACCAGTAAGTGACTTAGGCAAGAAGAAATAATGGATCTTCTAAGTACTTTTAGATACGCTTTCAGACTCAGCGAAAAAGCCAAAGTGTCAGTTCCATTAAAATAATTACATTTCAAACACACACTTACTTTTACCTAAAGGCTTAAGATACTAGTATTTTTCATATATTTAATACTTTTGAATTTTATAATCTTTTAAGTAAATTGACATTTCATTATATACACTATTTGTAGAATAAAATAACAGTATAATTTTTAAATCAATATATTCAGTACATAGAGCAATCTCTAAGAGGAGCCTGAGTTATCGAAAATGTATGAGCTATTTCCACGGAGGGAAAAGACGGAAAGCCCTTTCGCATTTGCATTTATAAAGGCTGCGTGACTTCTTTAAATATATACACTGATGCCAACAGAGCCATCAGAAATCAATAAATCACATTCTCCTGTGCTGTAAAATGTCTGACAGACACATCCATTTTCCTAGTCCAAAATTCTCTGCAAAAGGGACTGTGTAAATGTTCCATTTTAGTTTAATGACATTCTCCACAGTTAAAATTATGTGCATTATTGCCAGTGAGTGCAGAACCGGAGGAACACAAAGACAGATAGGATTTTAAAGAGCCTACACAGTACCTACTCTTCAGTGACTAGTTATTTAACAGACCATAGACAACACAGACATAAATGCAAAAGAATTGAGAGTTTAGTAAAAATTGACTAAAATGCTGCAATTACCATTTGGACAAAAAAAAAAGCAGGCACAACTTATTTAGAAGCAGTTGGGGGATGGTCTTATAAATATTTGCAAAGATAGCCCCGTTAGCCCTGATAGCACCAAATAGAGGGAGTCAGAGAAGAACATCAAGTAAAAATGATATCGATGACAGAAATGACAACAACCTACTCATCAGTGAGGTTCAATTTGAAAGTGTAATAAAAACTTTAATAGGACTCCACTTTAGTTGACATTTATTCCACCAGCTGCCATATATTTTTAAAAGGTCACAAAATTGTTCTACGTAGACACATTTTATAAAGTACAAATTCTTAAAGAAAGGAGAGATCCGCTATGTATAATCAAGGAGGTTCTAAAAATTCTCCAAGCACATCTTGCAGAACGCTATGCACAAAGGCATGTCTGGCTACAAACCCAAGCAGTGAATTTATTAAGCCAACATTCCCATAAGGGGGATTGAGGGAAGAACTAGTTATAATTCTACCTATCTGCTACCACTGACCAATCCTGCTCTGACTTCTTGGTTTCTCTGTATTTCATCTCTGAGCCAAAATGCTGTGGTCAAGAAGATGACTTTGACCCATGTGTTTGCCTAAACCTGATCATATCCAAAGTGTGTTACTCTAGGACCCCATAACACTTCATTTATCAACATACTTTGCTTCCTTCCAACCTATATTTTCCTGTCCGCTCAATCAGCCCAGCTCCTCCAACCTTACTTTCCTTCCTATGCTGCCTGAACCTCATAATCAACCACATCTAATCAGTCAACAAGAACCTTACAAGTCTCCTAAAATCCATCAACTCCTTCAAATTTGAGCCTTTGTAAATCTCTGACTTTTGCAAAATCTAACTTCTGGCACATGTGTTACCAAGATAAATGCATAAATATTTAGCATTGCTGGGGTGAAAAACACATAAATAGACCAACTATTTGTCCACTGCCATCTCTTCTCAAATGTGCCCTCAATGATTCTCAGCAACTACTTTTTTCTGCAGGATGAATCTCTGAAAATACACCAAGCCACTTTTCACGGCCTTTTTACTCTCCTGAAATCCCTGATCCTCTAGTCTCTTAGCAGACACTTACATACACTACCATCCAGGGGAAAACTCCCACTTTCTACTGCATTTTTCAAATTTACTTATTTTTTACTCTTTCTTTCCTGCTTCCCTATGATCTCAGAAATCAATACTTTTTTCTTCGTTTTTCTAAATAAGCTTTGTCTCCAATTTAAGTCAATTCTTTCTTATGTATTCTAAAACTTTTGTCAGTAAATCAAATCCTCTCTCTTCCATCTTAAATTTCTCCAATTAACTGCCTCAATTTTAAGCCAAAAGTATGTTTAAGTCTACCCTAGCTTTAAAAACTTACCAATCTTTTGCTATTCTCAAATGCACAATAAACATAATACCAAAAACATGTATTCAGCACCTCCTTCTCCCCTAAATCCAACTACCAAGTTTTGGATGACTACTTCCAAAATGTTCAATATGGACTGAATTGCGCCTCCACAAAATTCACATATTGAAGCCTTAACCCCAACATGATTTTCTTCGGAGATAAGGCTCTTAAAGGGGTAATTAAGGTTAAATGAGGTCATAATAGCAAGGCCCTAGACCATCAGGCCAAGGAGAGAGGCCTCAGGAGAATCCCACCATGCTGGCACCTTTATCTTAAACTTCAAGCCTCAAGAACTGTGAGAAAATAAACTTCTGTTGTAAGCCACCCGGGCTGCAGAATTTTGCAATGGCAGCATGAGTAGACTAATGCAAAGTTCTTTTCCATTCTCTAATATCTGTGGCTAAGGCTTTTACATTTATTAGACAAGTTAAATTACCTTGCTAAGTCATTTCTCAGTCTATATTCACTCAATCACTCATTCGGAAAACCTTTACTGAGCACCTACTATGTGCTAGGCAAAATGAGGAGGAGAAACAAAGGACTGTCCTGAGGCCATTATTCCAATGAGGAAAACAAATACATGAATAAGTTAATCAGAGACTATAGTGAGTGCCAGGAAGGAAATAAACAGAAAAATAAGACAAGAAACAACTAAAGAAGGTGTTTTAGATGGGAGGGGAGGCAAGAAAAGCTTTTGTGAGGAGGACTTTGAGCCCTGGTGGATGAGAAGGAGCTGGTCTTGCCAAAAGCATCCCTGTCAGGAAAGCATCCCTGCAGAGATAGTAGGAAGCACAGAAGCTGAGACACAGAAAAGGCTTGGGTTTGAGGAACAGAAAGGAGGGTATGGCTAACTCCCAGCAAGGTGGAGAGTCTGGGACTCCTCCTCCTCTGTTCTATGCTTCAGTCCCTCATCACGGCTCTTTTTTAAAAAAACATAATTATACGTATGTCCTGCTCCAGTGCAAAATCCTGGCATGCTCTACATAGCTTACTGACATTTGAAGCCTTTTTAAAAAATGCTGTTCTAAGCTACCTTTGTGGCCTCAATTTACTCACATTATATCCCAGCCATTTCAAATTATGTGTTGACAGACAAAATGTACTTTTCTGCCTTTGCATCTTGGGGACAAGGAACATCATGTGGAGAAAAAGCATAAGCTTGGAGTTGGACAAACCTGTGTTTCCATTCTCACTCCCATGGTTTTACTTGGAAAAAGTTGGGTTAGACCTTTTTCCTCCCTGACCCTCAGCTTCTACATATAGAAAGTGGGGTTGATAATACCGTTTAGAGCATTATGGTAAGAATTGCTGATAATATATGTAGAAGACCTAGCAGTATACATAATCATTATTACTGGCACATATTGTTTCCTCTATTGGAATGCCCTCCACATTTCTTTACCTGATAACCTTCCTGTATCTTTCCGGACCCGGCCCAAATGACACCTCCCCTTTCAAGCCTTCTCTAAATCTTACAGACAATGTAATTATCTCCTCTATGTTCCCATAGCATGATATATAAACTACAATCAGAGCACTGTTCTGTAATTACAGGCTTTTACATCTCTCTCTCTCCTCTAGAACAATTCTCTCTTTCAGGATAGGAACTGTAACTTATTAGCAGTTACATCATCAGAGCTAGCAGAGTCTGGTGAATTGTAGGCATTAAATATGTTTTGGTTGAATAAATGAATGAAATATACATTCCATTCCTACCCCAAACCAGTATAATTTTCTTACACCTCTATTACTCAACTTCCTCACAAGGTCTGCCAGTCAAGAGTCTTAGCAGCCACAACAGCTCCTTCAAGTTAGGATCATTTGAGGAGAGTAAAGTGATGACTTAAAAAGGTATGGCCTAGGGGCTGCAACACCACAGAGAACAGTGAAGTAAACTAGAATTAACAATGGGAGTTAGTGTGTGACCTGAAGTGTGAAGGGACGCAGGGCTTATCAGACCACGGGCAGAGAGGGGACTGTATGGAGAGGACATCCTGATAGGAGCTGGCCAATGAATGAAGCCTGTGCTGTCATTGCAGGGAGGATATGATGCTCAATCTCACTTTTCTTTCTCCATTCAATCCATTGCTGTGACTACCCAACAGCTGAACCTAATCAGAATCCAGACAGCCTTCTCTTCCCTCTTCTGAACATCTAGGTATGAGGCTTAAAGCATTGTAAGCGTGTAGAGAAGGGGAGAGGGGTACAGCCATGATCATGACAGTCCAGGAGGGAATCACAGAGCCAAGTGGGGTGAGGTAGCACAGAGAGGTGGCCTGGAGAGGAGTTTTAGAGTCCAACCATGGTGAGGAGGGCACCTGCACTGAGGAGTAGCCTGATGTGCAGTGTTAGAAGTCTAACAGGAAGAGGAAAATGCAAGGTGGGTGGCCTGTCATCAAGAGTCACAGCCTGTGTGTGATGAGGAGACCATCCACATGGCAAAGGTATGGTGGCCAAGATGGAAGACTGGCTACCTACAAGGCAATAATCAAATATCTAGATATATTAAGAGTAAGAGGAGCTGGTTTCTCACTGTCGGAGAAGTAAGAGACATCTATGGAAAGACAGAAAACTAGAATGGACCATGGGGTATTAGATTAGCATTGGGGTTAGTAGATTAGGATTGGAGGTATCAGTGTGAACTCATGGCTTACAAGATAGAGCTATCTGGAAATAAATGTAGATATAAACTGTGTTATGTTTATATATTACGTAAATAGGCTCACATACTTTCTTCTACATGATGTTCCTTGTCTCCAAGACAGAGAAGTTAAGGAAGCATTCACACACACATATACAGGTGCATGTACATGGGTATTCATACCTATACATAAGTGTAGTTTTCTGAGATCTCTCTTAGATCTAGTAACAGCAACATCCTAAGAAAAAAAGAGCACACCTTTCATGACATCTTGATTTCATGACATCCTCCACTAATGGGAACCATGGCTTCTTGAAGAAAGGGTTCATTCCTGGACTGGGGCAGAGAAAGTATACTATAAGATCAGAACACTTTAACGTGCTTCAAAATAAGGAAGTGATCAAAGAATGACTGAGGTTGAGCATGGTGGCTCACCCCTGTAATCCCAGTGCTTTGGGAGGTGAAGTTGGTGGCGGGGGACCACATGAGGACAGGAGTTCAAGACCACCCTGGGCAACACAGTGAGACCCTATCTCTTAAAAAATAAATAAATAAATAAATAATAATGGAGACATGTCAGAGGGCACAGCAGCCAGCTTTAGTGGGCTCTTGTGGACCAAATGTGGGACAATTTAAGCATAATAGCCTAGTGAAAAGAAGGAAATAATGAAGGCATACATATAGATGCACACACACGTGTGTCTGTGTGTGTTTGTACATGAATTAATACATTGAAAATCTGAAGAGGAACAGGATATTTACACAGTTTAAAAGAACTTCCTCACAAAATACTATTTAATTACAAAAGGGAAAGGAGCAAGTTTACACTGGAAAAGCTTGACAAATACACTTTAATACAATGATCAAGTTAACAGCATCAGTACTGAGTCAAATCAAAGTTGTGTGCCACCTAACAGGATGCAAGAAGAACGCAACATCATTTACTGTATTTCTCCCAAAGGTACATAATCTGAATCTGAGTAGGAGATATTATGAAAACTCAAATTGGTTTATAACATTCAAAAGTGTCAAGGTCATGAACATCATGGAAAGACTAAAGAACTGATCCAAATGAAGGAGACTACAGAGACATGACAACTCAATGCAGTGACAGATTTAGTACTGGATGCTGTTGCTAAACGTGACATTACTGGGACAACTGGCTAAATTTGGATAGAATCTAAGAATTACATGATAATCATCACTGTTAATTTCCTGATTTTCACTGGTTACACTGTACTTATGTAAGACAACACATCCTTGTTTATAGAAAATACACCTTTTGGCTGAGCGCGGTGGCTAATGCCTGTAATCCCAGCACTTTGGGAGGCCGAGGCGGGTGGATCACCTGAGGTCAGGAGTTCAAAACTAGTCTGGCCAACATGGCGAAACCCCATCTCTACTAAAAATATAAAAAATTAGCCAGATGTGGTGGCAGGCAGCCATAGTCTAGCTACTCGGGAGGCTGAGGCAGGAGAATCGCTTGAACCCGGGAGGCGGATGTTGCTGTGAGCGGAGATCACGCCACTGCACTCCAGCCTGGGTGAAAGGGTAAGACTCCATCAAAAAAAAAAGATAAAAAGAAAATACACCTTTCAAGTCATCATATATTGGGGGAGAAAGTGACACTGGATCATCTGGCTGCAAACTTATTCTCAAATATGCCTTCACATTTTCTAAAAGTTTATGATTATTTCAACACTTTTTTCAAAAGACGATGGAGGGCACAGGCCCTCCTGATACAGTAGTCCACATACAGGCTAGCCTTCTGGAGAAAAGCAGCACAAAGAAGACTGAAGTGTGGATGTGAAGGGATAAATGAAAGATACCTTACTTAGTCTCCAGTGACTTCCTATTGTACATTTGACACTATTGCCTACATATGATTGGCACATTGTACATTTGACACTATTGCCTATATATGATCGGCACATTGATGATCTCTCATGGATTTGTTATTTTCTATCTATTTTCTGTCTCTTTCCCATCCTCTTTTTTATCCACACTCTCCACAAATACATATACTTCTCTGTGATGACTATGCTATCTCCCAATCTCATCAAATCCCATAGCAGACACAGTAATCTATGTATATGTTATCATTAACTCCATCTTCTACTGTCTTAAAACCTGCACACATAATGATTGTCTGGACATTTCAAATAATGGAAGAATTTCAATCCAATATGTTAAAAATAAAACTCAATTTCGACTTGTCTTCAACAGGCGCTGTTAATTGCCTACGAAGCATCTACTCCAACCTGTGTATCCCCTGATAAAACTTCTAAAAAACAGATTTTTACAGTATCTCTGACCTCTACCACAAGTGCACCATTTTACTTCAGGAGATGATGAACACACTCTCTGAGCTCCAAGGACAGGCGTACTGGGTTTAGGCCAATTTGTATATTCCATTCCCTTGGCTACAGTCATTGTTTAAGAAATGCTCATGTGATCTAAACGGTACTATTAGTGTGAATCTTAGGTCTTTTGCATGAAATACCAGTATTCTCCCCATGCACTGAGGCAAGTGCTCACATCTTGATTCGGGTAGCCATCCTACACAAAGGGATTAGGGTTTAGAAAATGTCAACAAGGCAGAAGATTTTATGAATTATTTATTTAAATAATGAAATGGTCCTTCAATAATAACTGAGACCTAGGACCAAGAACAAGAAGCCCACCCAAACTTCTGTCTTCTAATTAACTGAGCCAATAAATGTCCTTTTATGACTTAAAAATCTTTGAGTTGGACTTTCTTTTACTTGCAGTATGTGTGAAGAATAAACTTAAGTATAAAACTAGATGCAGCAATGTGATGAAACAACTAAGGGTAAATTAAAAATATAATCTAAGATAAACAGAACTCTAAAAAACAGAATGAGAAGTACAAATATAGGAAAACAAAACACCCAAAAAGATTGCCTTAACAGCTGGCATTGTCAAGATAAATGCGAAACTCAGCTCCCATATTTTGAGGATGTAATACTGGAATGAACCCGTTTCATTTGGGTCCAGAGTAGGAGGCCCTTTTAGGACTACTTCATACTAGAAAGAGCAGAAACTTGGGGTAGTCAAAGGAGGAAAACAAGAAAGAGAGGAGTTTCAGATTTTGTAAAATATGTGAAGATGTAATTGAAATTTTAGGTATTTCACATAATTGTAGGACCTTCCACTGGCTCAAATAAATCTATGTAATCAAATTCACATTTCCATGCCATCTCCACTCATTATGGCCATGAAACAGTGGTGTTCATCTTCATTTGGACATTTGCAATAAGCTAGACTAAAACAGCAGCAGTTTTGCTTGTTTGTTGCACCAAGTCACCCGTCCCTTTCTGCTAGAAAAGAGGGTTGAGCCCACCTTGAGCAGAAAGAGAGCATACTAGCTCTAAATTTCTTGCTATAAAATGCTGACAGGCCCACAAAGCTTCTCTTTCTTAAGTTACTCTAGAAAAAATCTCTAGTTGCCTTCTAGACCTTTAACAATCCCATTTCATAGCTGTCATTTATTCCTATTCATCCTGGGTAGAAAATATGTCTGGAATTCATTCCTTCCATTTCCAACTCCAATACCAAGGTCAAACATTTATCTCATATCTCAACTACTGCAACTGTCTCCTAACCAGCCTCTCTGTGTCTTATCTTTCTGCTGTCCAATCCATCATTCACAGAGATACCTGCTCCCAAAAAAGAAATTAAGGACTGCATTTTATTTATCCTTTGGATTCTCTTCCCTTCTTCTATGCCCAGGCACGAAAACATGTGTTTAAACTATTTCTTGCATGTCATTTCCCATCTGTCAAGTTTTTGATGGTACCTACTGGTTTCAGAAAAAGTTCAAAGAGTTTAGCCTACAATCAGGCCATCAAGGTTGTAGACTATATTCCCCCTCAGCAGAATAGCCCACCATTTTCTCCTTTAGGTGGCTCCAGTCATACAGAGATATTAAGTCTTCTGGAACATATAAGCAATATGTCTTTGTAAATGGCATGCCTTTCCTTTGTAAAATTCACTTTTCTTTGGCTCTACTCAAGAAACACCTACCAGTCCTTTAAGGTTCAACTTAAGCATCCTCTCTACTATAAAAATCTTCTCCAATACTACATTCAGATTAAACTTCTTCATCCTCTACATCTTCAAAAGACTTTCTTCATACTTCTATTATGACATTTATGTGATTCTAACTGGTTTTATACTAAACTTGGTAAAACACTTATCCATTTATTAAACTTGTTTTCTAGTAGTGAGCACAGAGTATTACACTTGCGTATGAAGTTGTTTTTCTCCCTTCTGTTATTCTTCCACAAGATTCATTCTTGTATCCTCCACAAGATCCATTCTTGCGTATAGTACACAACACATGCTCAGTAAATATTTCTGAATAAAAAAAGTTTCTCAATGGACTAAGTGTTATTCAAGGATGAGCACTGTGCCTTATTCAATTATATTTCTCACAGTGACTACAAAAAACTGAGTAACACAAACTGCTAGAGGTTGAAGAAAATATTGGGCTTAGATTCTGGCCATCAATATTCGACTAAAACTAAGACAATCCGTTATTTCTTCATTACAAAAGTATTTATTGAGTACATTGTTGATATGTTTTGGGGGTTTTGTCCCTTCCAAACCTCATGTTGAAATGTGACCTCCAATACTGGCGGTGGGCCTAGTGGGAGGTGTTTGGCTCATGGGGGCAGATCTCTCATGAATGTCTTGGTGCTGTTCTCATAGCAGTGAGTGAGTTTTCCCTCTGTGAGTTCAAGACAGATCTGGTTGTTTACAAGAGTCTGGCACTTCCTTCCTCTCTCTCTTGCTCCCTCCCCTGCCATGTGACATGACTTCACCTTCTACCAAGAGTATAAGCTTCCTGAGGCCCTCATCAGAAGCAAATGCCAACAGTATGCTTTGTGTATAGCCTGAAAAACCATGAGCCAAATAAATCTCTTTTCTTCATAAATTACCCAGCCTCAGGCATTTCTTTATAGCAATGCAAATGGACTAATGCAGTTGTAGATGCCAAACCTTATTTCTGAAGCTGGAGACAGATTTGTAAACAAGATAAACTACACCTGTGTTGAAGTGGAAGAAATTGTTGTATAAGCTAATAAATCAGATCTTTCCCCTAAACGTTTCTAACACCTAAATTCTAAGTCACACAAGCTTATAACGGAAGAATCATCAGTGGCTCCTCCCTATACCTGCTTCAAGTGTTATTTGACAAAATGTAAAATTGTGACTACTGGAGAACAAGGTGGTGAAGGAGAATGAGGATAAGGATGATGACGGCTGCATTTTTCTTCTCCTCTTTAATTTCAATTCAATCCTCGAAAATCAAACCCTCATTGTGCCTTTAGGGAAAAACTAAAATTCCTTTCTAACTATTCTTTCTACTTTCATGTTTCCCATGCCTATCATTCTCTTTCAGTACTGTCAGAATAATTTCCTTAAAAAGTAATGGTCTTATTACATCACAGCTCCATTCAAAATCCCTCAATGGCTTTGTATTACAGACACAGGGAGAACACCATTCAGACTCCTCAGCTTCATATTCAAGAAATCTTCCAAAGTCAACTTCCAATCTGTCCTTCCAAAATCATTTGCACCATTCTTCCTACAATCCAGACTTCCACCAGATTAGCTTTTGATTTTGTACCCCTGGACTCTCACTTGGCACTTTTCCATTCATTTTATTCAAATTCTACCTCTATATCTCAAGGCCCAATTCAAGAATTTTAAATTTGACTCTGATATTTCCCTTCTGCATATAAAAGTACAATATACTTTGTACTTTTCCCCTCAAGCTTACCTGTTTCTAACTCATATTTTGGTTATTTACAAATACAGTTTATGTATCCAACTACAGTGCATTTAATCACTCATTCAATAAGCATTCACTGTCTTGCTATTACTCCAAAGCACCCAGAATATATCATATTCAGGGTAAATATTAAGTAAATGTTATTGAAAGAGAAAAAACTCCTATTGAAATGAAAATGTACCCAAAATCAAAATAATCTCTTTCTAAATATGAACAATAATCACCACCAAAGAGATACATATAAATTGTAGCAAACTGTTGCTTATCATATTTAAATATGTATGAAAGAAGATGGGTAAGTCAATAGAAAACAGAAGCAAATAAAAAGCTAAGAAAACTTATTCAAAGTAATATGGAAATATTGAATGAATTTTGTCCACTTCAATTCATGGATGTACCTATCATCTCAAGACACAAATTCATAAATATACATGCATTAAGTCCATCAATTGAAAATGATGCACAGTTTCAGAATTCACTGAAATAAGAATCATAAGGGAATGTTTCCTAGACAGCACTTAATAAATTTTGTGAAATTTAATAAAAGTTTATGTGATAAAATTTTTTTCCTTTTCTTTCCTAAGCAAACAGCTTTAAAAGATGATTGATGGCTGCCATTATGGGTCTATATTTGTATTTCCTCATTTTAGAAGCTTTTCAAAAATATAAAAATACACTTAAAGCATTTCCAGTTATATTTTAAAAATGGTAAAAGGTGATTATTTATAGGCAATCATATTCATACTGATAGACTCTCAGAGAGCAATTGCAAACATAAATTTTAAATGCCTTTTGGAAATAGTTGAGGATGAAAACATTTACATAATTTTTTAGAAACCCTGGCTTTTTATTGCTGCATTTCAGTATTCCCTCTGGGCAAAGGAGCAGCTACTCTAAAGATTTATTTGATAATGGAATGTTTGATTTCTTTGTTTTCCCTTTCCAATGTAAGTTTATAGTTTTCACTCTACCACAATGTACCGTATTTTAAAATTTGAATTGGCTCACTATTAAGAATAAAAATGGTTCTGTTTTAGAGGATTAAATAAGCTAATGACAGCAATAAATAGAAATGCATAAATTACAGAAATTACTATATCCATATATAAGTCATCTTTGATAATAGACCTTCCACTTCATCATAATATAACTAGTGGCTGGTATCAAATGTCTAAAACTTCTACTTACCTGCCTATCCACTTCTGGGAGCAAAAGCAGGAGGTATTGTTGAAAATGCTGAGGTAAGGAAGCAAACGTATGTTTATTTATTAATGCCCTCAAGTTAGTGTTGACAAGAATAGATCCTGGGGTTTCTATGTCAATGTCCTCAGCTTTGGTCCATTTCAAGTGCCCTGTGATGAACAAGCAAGAGGCATGAATTTACTACAGGTAGAGGGAAACGTGTACGTACGTACACACAAACACAGCCACATATATCTAGTGAACATGTATATTCAATTTTATGTTTACTTCTACCCCTTTTACAAATGGTATTTCAGAAAAGAAATTCCCAAAGCTTCTTCCATTATGTGTCTGTCTGTCTTCAGTTATCTTTAGCTGTCATAATGTATACTTCACTCAATATCTTCTCTACTTTTAGCTCAAAGTAGCACCAGGTTCCAATAAAAAAATTTTAATTGTGAGCTTCCAATTAATCAGCATTTTCAAAAACTCTGAATGCCTGAATAGTAACAACTACAATTTATGTAAGTTCTATAAGACCTAAGGCTAATGATAACAGAAACAACAGTACTGTTAATTTTAATAGAGATACTGATAGCAAAAATAGCTGTGTGTTCCTCATGTGTCAGGCAGTGCACTAAGCACTGGATTATTTCAGAAGGTTCCTATTCAGGGCATTTCTGAGGGTGATAATTTAAAAAGCATTGTTTTAAAAAAACCTTAGGTTCGGCACAGTGGCTCATGCTTGTAATCCCATCACTTTTGGAGGCTGAGGCAGAAGGACTGCTTGACCTCAGGAGTTTAAGGCCCGTTTGGGCAACATGGTGAGACCACATCTGCACACACAAAAATTTTTTTTAATTAGGCAGGTGTGGTGGCATGCACCTGTGTTCCCAGCTACCCCAGAGTCTGAGGTGGGACGATCACTTAAGCGCGGGAGGTAGGGGTGCAGCGAGCCATGACTGCGCCACTGCACTCAGCCTCAGTGACAGAGTGAAACTCTGTCTCAAAAAATAAAAAATACAAATAAATTAGCCACTAGGTCTGAAATGCAAATATGCTCTGCAGGATGATTCCACAACTCAAGGCACACTGACCTCCAACAGAAGGCTGTATGTAGAGTTCACATCTCAAAATCATGAGACCCAAGAAAATAACATACCATAAGGGACAGTCAACTGATGCATCAAACACAGACAGAAGAATTACCATTCTGTTACTTGAGCTACGATAATGACTTGAATGTGATTTTATATAAAGAGTATGTTTTAAATCAGAGGTCAGAAAATTATGGCTCATGATTTATATCTGGTCCAATGCCTGCTTTAGCAAATAAAGTTTTACTAGAACACCATCATGTCCAATTGTTTATATGTCGTGTATGTCTGCTTTTGCACTACGATGTGGAGCTGAAGAGTTGTCACAGAAATCACCTGGCCTGTAAAGCCTATAGTATTTACTCGCTGGCCCTTGACAGAAACAGTTTGCCAATCCTTGTTTTAAATAACTAAAGACAAAAGAGTGACTTTTTTTAATTATGAAAATACAGGATACCATGATAAAAGAACAGTCAAATTTTAAGGAGAACCAGATAATACTTCTAGAAATACAAATTAAGTTAAGAAATTTAAAATTTTTTCAGTGGACATAACAGGGGAAAAATTATTGAGTAATTAAGATACAAACTTAAGGAAAATATATAGAGGGCAGTATAAAAATGATGAGTCAAAATGTGATAGGGAACAAATACAAAGAATGTAATAAGTCAAAATGCATATTTATAGAAGTTTCTGAATTTTAAAAAAAACACAGATTGCAGAGAGGCAATATTTGAATAGCTAATGACTGAAATATTTTTCAGAACTGAAATAATGATTAAAGTTCTTAAATAAAGCTACATACCAAATCTCAAGAAAGATACCCATTCCTCCATCTAGTGTGTTGAAATCTCCAAACATCAATAATAAAAGGAGTATCTTAAAACCATTTTTAACAAAAAATTGATTATCTCCAAGAAATTACAGTGTGATGGATAGAAATATTATCAATAAATCAATAAAGACAGTGACATCTCTTCAAAAGGGCAAGAGAAACTGTCAATTTAGAATTTCATTTGTAACTATGTCTCTAAAAAATGACAATTATAGCAATTATAAGAATGTTTTTGGTATCCTAAATCGAAACTCTATCCTTTAGAGAATCTTGCTGAAATAACCACTAGTGTATGTTCTTAACAAATAAAGCAATTATATCAAAGAAGAAATGCAATGGTTGCAGAGGCAATGATAAGCAAAGTGACTAATAATAGACATGAGTAAATCCAAACAAACATTCATTGTAAAAAATAATACTAATGACCTACGGAGGAATCAAACAAAGTGGAAATAAAATAATTCACAATAACTGTATGCAACATGGTAAGATGTAATTGAAATGAGAGCACTATAAAACTCTGGTATGCTCTGGGAACAAGAGAGATATGAACTAGTTCTTTATTTCATTAAAACTCTGGAAGTAGCTATTGGAAGAAAAAAAAAAGAATTATAATTTCCAAATAAATGGATAGATGGAAAAACTCAATCAAAAGGAAGGCACAAAAGGAGGAAAAAAATTAAAATTAAGCACAAAACAATCACAATAAAGGTAACTGGATTTTCACATTAGATTTTAAAAGTAACAACATCCATTTACTTGCTGCTTAGAAGAAATACACATAAAATAAAAATTATATGGAAAGAATAAAAATTTAGAAAATGAACAATAAACTAAAAACTACTAATCAGAAATTCAAAACAACAAAAAAGTCATACTGCAATATTAACATCAGACCAGATAAACAAAGGTAAAAAAATATATTATTAGGGATGAGAAAGATCATTCCTTAAGTGTATAAGGAATAATTTACTGGGAATATATAGTGACCTTGAACCTACATTCATTTAAATAGCACAGCCTCAAAATGTCAAATTCAGGTAATAAAAAAGAAATTGACATCACATAATGTTACCAGAAAGTCTTAACATACATTACCAAAACCTGATAGATTGGATCAAAATAATTGTCTTAAGGCTACAGAGAACTTTTACAACTCAATAATCAATCTTGAACCAAAGACTTTAACACAGGGCATTGTACTGAACCATTAGAGAAAGCATGTTTTTCCCCCAGGATTCAAAAGCAGCAAGAAAACAAAACACAACACAACTGTCCAGTGAGTCTCAACAGATACTGAAGAATAATATACAGCCTCATCTTTCTGTCCCAAATTAAATACAGTACCATATTAGAAAGGTATCAATTATCTAATACCCTACATATCCATTATATGTTTAGATGTTCAAAAGCACACTTGCATGTGCTTTACACGTTACAGAAAAAAAAATTGTAACGGAAATTATAAAGTATTTGAATTTTTAATGATACCGAAATTTTTGAAATGCCACTCAATTGGTTTTAAAGGTAAACTGCATATATTAGAGGGTAGAAAAAAATTGAAAATTAAAGGCTTACGTGTAAAAATAATGAAATTAATAAATGAACTAAAGAATAATAAGAAAGAAGGAAAGATGAGAAGAAAAAAGCAGACATTCGTTAAACAGAAAAGAATAATGAAAACCATCAACAATAAAAAAGTATTTTTTATTAAGCTATTAAAGGACATCTCTGGCCTGAGATGGTATAAACAAATGTGAAGAGGAATGAAAGGTAAGGACACAATACTTGACAGAGTACATATCTAAAGGCAGATGTAATTAAAAGTAGATTTTAAAAAGCATAATATTATGACTCTTTGCAATGTCATTGAATACAAATATTTTAAGCTTTATACATTTCCAAATTTAACCTGAAAAGAGAATGATAAATGTGTAAAAACTTTTTAAAAAATGAATCAGTACGCAACGCCCTCTTTCCCACATACACACAAAGCACAAATTGTAAATGGCTCTAAAGATAAACTTTATGTGAGGTGGGAGACTTACTTTCTTGACCTATCTCTGGAACTCCCTATTTCATTATACACATATTTCAGAAAAAAAGAAAAAACTTCTTCAATTGACTTTATAAAAATAATACAATCTTTATTACAAAAGAAAGAGCAGCAAGACAATATGAGAGAGACTGTATTAGCCAATCTTACTTATAAATACATAAAATTTTACAAGTTGTTTCCATTAAAAAAATCTAATATTTGTTGAGTTGAGATGTTGGGTATGTAGGTGTCTGTTCTACTAGCATCTGTATTTTTCCATATGTTTGAAATATTTCACAATAAAAATCTTAGACCAGAATTAGGAAGAAGCTTCTTTTCTCAGAAGTAGAGGCAAAGGCCAAACCTAGAGGCAAAAATGTTAAAATATATATATAGAGAGAAAAAAATTTGCTTAATTCTTATTATATGGCATAAATATTCTCATGTAACAGAGTTGAGGTCATTTATTGAGAGTAACTCTGATTGGAGGAAATGTTAGAAAACTGAGAAAAATGTAAAACGTTTTATTTTCTACTTCCGAAACATGTTATGAGCAATGTGAGAAATAGGAACTTACACTGCTATTATTTAGCATGGTTCAAAATGTTTAAGAATATCATAGAATAAAGACACTTCAGAGAGGCACACAGTCTTTTATGACAAAGTCAAAAGAAGATCTATTTCAAAGATGTCCACCTAAGCAAAAATGTGTTTTATGATTTTGGAACAAAGACAGAGAAGATGAACTAAATTTGTTGCCACAGAGGATGTTTAATTCCATTTTAATTATCCTTACACGTGTACTCTTAATTGGCTTAAGAACAATCCAATTATATATGATTGTCTTATCTCATTAAAGTTGGTACCTCATATCTCCCTATAGTACCCAGAGAAGGAAAAAAGATGTAGTCATTTTAGCGTTTAATTCCCACTTAGCCTAGAGGGTCTGAGGTAGGGCAAAGGGGAAAAGAACCAACAATTGCTACGTTGCCACAGCCTATGCTATACAAGAAGACACCTGACTGATCTCATGATAAAAATCATGGGGAATGTGTTCCATTAAGGTCAGGGAAATTCTCTATTATCTTGGCCACAGGGAATTTGAAGACCACAATTTGTGAAAGTTGCAGGCTCCAGAACACTTATTGATCACTGGGTAGTCTGCTGGCTTCAGGACTCACATTTCCCAGAAGGGAACCCACACAAGGATTATGCATGAAGTGTGCACACACAGAGATGCAGACACACTCACATAGAGAAGCAAACACAAAAGGCAGACCAGGCAGACAAGAAGCACTGCTCAAACACTGAGTTCAAAACCAAAGAGTTCTTCATGATCTCAAGGAATTAGAGAGGAATGATTCTGAAAAACAGCTCTGCTAGGTGTAGTGGCTCATTCCTGTAATCCCAGCTACTCAAAAGTCTGAGGTGGGAGGATTGTTTGAGGCCAGGAGATCCAGACTAGCCTGGAAAACAGCAAGATCCTGTATCCAAAATAAATAAATAAATAAATAAATAAATAAATAATAAATACATAAATAATAAAATTAACATTGGCATAATGGCGCATGCCTGTAGTCCCAGTTACTTGGGAAGATGAGGCAGAAGGGTTTCCTGAGCTCACGAGTTTGAGGCTGCAGTGAGCTATGATGGTATCACTGCACTTCAGCTTACACAAAAGAGTGAGACTATGTCTCTAAAATGAAATTAAATTAAATGGCGCTCAGAGAAGAAAAATCGGCTTTCAAAGAATAAAGTCTAATGGGAAAAATATCTATCAGAAGGCAAAATCTAATCAATACACAACATGAATCCACGTAGTCTTCACAAATGAAGAAATTGTGTAAAAAGTCTACATGGAGCACTGAGTCCATTAAAATATAGTACCAGGGTTAATGAACTATAGGAATTATGGTTAAACAAACAGAACATGAATGTTATCAACTTCGATATTCAAAAAGTATTGTAACGAAAACATGCAGGTAGGAAGGTCTGTAGTGTAATTATGTCCCTATCTTTTTATAATACATTGTCCAAAGTTGAAATGAGTAGTTAAAAAGGTAATCACTCTTATTTCAGTTTCTTATATTTGTAATAACTCTGGAGAAAACTTTTAGATATAAATATATCTTGTGGCAATATTTAACAATTTTGTTTTTTAGTTTTACTTTTTTATTTAATCTAAAATTAATTAAATTTTGTACTTTTAATTAAAATGGTATAATACAGGTTTTCTAATATCTCTGGCTATAGATACACAGTAAGAAATGTCAAATAATGTTTATAATGCACTGGAGATAATTATTTTGTATGAAAAGATGTGGGGTTATTATTCAAACTTTATTTTTATATTTATGCTTTGATTTATTTAAAGAGTATGTGCCATTTTATAAAACCAACAAAGCTATAATTCTTCACTCCAAAAACATTAAACCAAATAAAATACATTGGAATGAATCCCAGAAGTTAAGCCCACCAAGGACATTTATTAAAACCCCCTCGGAGACATCCATTAGAAGCTTAGATTTGTTTAGCAAGCACTTTTTAAACTCTTACTATGTGACTGGGTAGGAAGAAGTATAATTAAAACTAGTTTAGGTCAATGACCTTGAATTCAAGGAACTTACATTTTAGTTAGAGAAAATTGTAAGATATCAAGATGTAGAAAACAAATGGTAAGAGTATATTACTAAAGAATTTTTAAAGCATTCACAAATCTATGTTCTAAGTGCCATGAAAACAGTGAGATGATAATGTATTAGGGTTGTCTCAGAAAACTTCATGGGGGAGGGTTTTAAGTGGTTTATCCTTTGCTAAGACAAGGAGAGAGGGTATTATTAAAACAACTGATTAGGCAAGAAAAACACATGCTTCAAACCGCATTTGCAGCAGGCACCTACACTTCATCCCAGCAGATAAAGTTTCTACTGCCTGGTTATTTGGTAGTCTAACATTTACTGTTAAAATAATTTTCAAGGTCTATAATAAAGGAGTCCTTGTAGACATTGTTAGCATTTGTTTTATGCATATCAGAACAGTGTTTTCTATTGTACTTGATTAAGAAATAGGAAAGGGACCACCAAAGTTTTGTTTTGTTTCATTATAACCTCATCAGAGAAATACATACCATTTTAGAAGCACTGTATTTTTCAACTGCACTCACCCCGTGACCAAGTCTATTCAATCAGTGGGCTACTCAGAGAAATATCATCATAGTTTTCATACATAACCCTGGCCATGGGCAAACAAACAGAACAAAAGAAAAACCCTACATCAACAGTCGTAGCTTCCCAAGCTGGGTGGTATATTTCTCAGGAGAACGTCGAGGTTACCATCAGAATTAGAATGACTGAATAATTTTTTTTTTTTTTTTTTTTTTTTTGAGACGGAGTCTCGCTCGTCACCCAGGCTGGAGTGCAGTGGTGCCATCTCAGATCACTGCAAGCTCCGCCTCCCGGGTTCACGCCATTCTCCTTCCTCACCCTCCCGAGTAGCTGGGACTACAGGTGCCTGCCACCATACCCAGCTAATTTTTTGTAGTTTTAGTAGAGACGGGGTTTCACTGTGTTAGCCAGGATGGTCTCGATCTCCTGACCTCGTGATCCGCCCGCCTTGGCCTCCCAAAGTGCTGGATTACAGGTGTGAGCCACTGCACCCAGCCAACCGAGGAATTTTTTTCTTTTATTTTCAACTTAACATTTAAAATTGAGATTGAGGAATTTTGAAGCTTCTTCTTCTTATTGTTGTTTTATTGTGCGCTTTAACCCTCTCTAGGGAAGCTGAGCATGAAAGGGTCTGAGGGGGTCCATGGTGCCTCCTGTACTGAAGAGTGTTGAGAGAACATACTGGGGTCCATTGTCTCTTAGGCTACACTCCTTAGATGCTAAGGCCCAAGTGAAACTCAGGCCTTGCACAGGGTGAATATCTTGCAATCTGATAAAGCAACTAATTGCTAGAAATCAAGAGGAAGCACTTAGGGGACAATCAGAAGAATTTTCTATCCTTTTAGGAAAATATCACAATGAGAAAAAAATTGTAGACTAACACCCTGAACTCTGGTTTTCACTGGATTTTGTTTCAGAGTTATTAACTTAAATTAGAACAGACTTACAGCATTTGTTTTAATTCAGCATGGTTTCAACAGGTTAGGACTTATACATACCTACCACTACCTAGAGAAGGCAAGGACAGTAAAAAACCTCATTTCCAAGACCATATGAATTAGATGTCTAACTCAGGTGGAAAAAATAGAAGAGGGAATACAGGCTGTCTCTATCTGGCTGGCTAAAGGATATGAGGTGGGATCACTCCTTTGCACTGATTCTGCTACATGCTGGTATGCAAAGAATGACCTTCTCCACAAACACAGGATCATTTTTATTCAAGAAGATAGGAGGAGCTTCACTATGGACACCCTAGGATGTGTCATTCATTCATCCAAACTTCTAGGCCATTCAGTTAATTAGAATCAGTCATTCATTCCAAACTCATTGAGAACCTACTAAACAGAAGGGCTATGATGGTTGTAGTAAGGACTACAGATGTAGACAGAAAGGCCACTGTTCCAAGGAGTTAACAACTTAATGGCAAAGAGCAGAATGTACGTAAATAACCCTTACAGAGTATTAAATATCAGTCTGATTCTAATAGGGCATTAAAAACATCATTGTCTAAAAAAGACATGGGTGGCTGGGTGCGGTGGCTCACGCCTGTAATCCCAGCACTTTGGGAAGCCGAGGCAGGTGGATCATGAGGTCAGGAGATCGAGACCATCCTGGCTAACATGGTGAAACCCCGTCTCTACTAAAAATACAAAAAATTAGCCGGGTGTGGTGGTGGGCGCCTGTAGTCCCAGCTACTCGGGGGGTTGAGGCAGCAGAATGGGGTGAACCCGAGAGGCAGAGCTTGCAGTGGGCCGAGATCGCACCACTGCACTCCAGTCTGGAGCGACAGAGCGAGACTCCGTCTCAAAAAAAAAAAAAGACATGGGTTACTTTCTGGAGATGGTTACATTTAAGGCCCATCCTTTCATTCCATGTTTTTTCATTTTCTACTGCTGGGCATATATTGGAAACTTTGAAAGTACTACTGACTTCATTTGCACAAAATAAGCCATTCCATTCAGCTGCTTGATAGGTTAGTCAGCCAGTCACAGTTCCTACCCAGTAAACACTTGCAGTTTATTTTTGACAGAATTGTACTTCAACTGGCTTATTTTAAATCTCACCTTCTTCCTCCTTGTGTTTGATACAGGATAGGGTGAGAAATCTTACAATTGCTAGCTCTCCTTCCATGTGTAGTTAGACCTGCACTTTAACACCTATGGTAGTCTCACCATGTCATTTCTTGTATTTCCCTCAGTGGCACCTACAGGTCTAAAATATAGGTTAGATGATTTGACATTCAGATTCTATCCAAAATGAATGGCTTAGACTTTGGAGTTAGATATGCCTTGGTTTGTATCACTTAGCTGTGTCATCTTCATGTAACCTCCTTAACCCTTCAGGATCTCAGCTCCTTCAGCTGTAAAACAGACGTCATTCTACTGTACAAAACTGAAGTAAAATTAAAAGACATAACTTATGTCAAAATACCTAGACCATTCCATTATATATGGCCAGTGAATGTGACTTCACTTCTCCATTCCTCCATTAAAGTAGTTTCATTATCTCCATTACTTTGTAGTCTAGAACAAAGCAGGTTTGAAAGATTGGGGGCGCTCTTTCATTATCTTTTAATTTGCTAACAAGTCAGCGGAAATACTTCAGCAACACGATATTTAACACATAAGGTATTTAGTGGCATGCAGGATTTCCTAAAAGCAGGCTTGTATATCAGTCTTTATATCTTTCAGTTGACTTTCAGTATTAAAACAAATTCTGATTCTCTAATTCATTGAGCATGGACTTCAAGGTACAAAAATCAGAATACAAGAAATCCTGGGCCAGGCATGGTGGCCCACTGCAATCCCAGCACTTTGGGAGGCAAAGGCAGGCGGATCACCTGAGGTCAGGAGTTTGAGACCAGCCTGGCCAACATGGTAAAACCCTGTCTCTACTAAAAATACAAAAATTAGCTGGGCATGGTGGCAGTGCCTCAGCTACTCAGGAGGCTGAGGCAGGAGAATCACTTGAACCTGGGGGCAGAGGTTGCAGTGAGCTGAGATGGCACCACTGTACTCCAGCCCAGGCAACAAGAGCGAAACCCTGTCTCAAAAAAAAAAAAAAAAAATACTGAAGATCTCAGCCCCTGAGAGGATACTGATAAGGGTATACCTTAGTAACTTTCGCTCCTGAAGTTACTAAGGAAATAAATGGGGATGCCCCTGTGCCTTAAATTTTTGTACACTCATTACATGGCACTAACTTTACAGAGGTTGGTAGCTGTTTTTAACTAAAGGCCGCAGATGTTTAAATTCCTTAGTGTATGATAATGTGGTACTGTTTTGGATTTTTAGTATATTCTTTATCTATCATTCTCCCACTATAGTTTTCTATTTCAGAAGTAACTTATATTAAAATACTTACAACACCCAGAGTATTAGGAAAGAATATGTCCATGTACAGGTAAGTATGGTTATACACAAACATACATTTTGGGATAGAGAATAACTAAAATTATTTGGCCTTAAAATAATGCAAAACAAAGAAGTATGCTATATTTAAAGACTTTAAATAAAAAAGAGATTCTGCTTTCCTAAAGGTCTCTTATTTAAATATAAATAAATCCTATTTAAAGTCTTTTTATTAGAAGTATGTCCCAAGATTTAGCAAAATGTCTGTCATATAGTAGCAACTGACAAAACTTTACTAAAAAAAAATCAGATAAAATCTTGAATTTTATAAACAAATACACTCTGCAAATAAGAATTATCTCAAGTTGCCAAGAAAGTAAGTGGCAGAACAGGTAATAAAGTTCACGTCAATAAATTTGCAGTTTCTGCCAAACATTTTACAAAATATTGTAACGATCCAGGTTATTATCATGATCCTATTCACAGCTAAAACAACTCAGAGAAATGAAGCCATCAGGATCTAGGTGCAGCAACAAGCCAGTGGCAGTTGAGAATTCTAATGTTCAAACCAGGATATGTTTATTTTTGTCTTTCTAATTCTCATGCTCTTTTCTCCCTGAATGCTGTTGGGGGTTCCTGATGAAAAGTTATCAGGAAAGAAGTATGTTGAAGAAAACCTGGTGCTGATTTGAAAGACCCGTGGCCTGTGTCTCCAACATTTCTCAGCAATTTTACATTTTTTCAGACAGGCACTACTAAATATTTTAAGAAGCATAGACAAAAAGCAAGGAAGAGCAATTTTACTGCAGCAGACCCCACTGACAATGTACTCTCCAGTTCAGTGAACCCTTTATAAAGACTGCATTTTTTTCTTCCAAGACAGCATATTCCAATAAAGTGAAACCTAGTTGCACAGACAAAACACCGCACATTAGATAGTATCATGACCCGGCAGATAATTATTTTACATGTATCATTTTAAGTCTCATTTTTACCCTCTGCTTCATCCAATATTATCATTCACAAATTTAGTAATAGGCTTAAGACCATTCAGTTGTAACTAGAATGTTTCCTTATTTAGCATTCTTTTTGGTTTTGATAAATGGAGGGAAATTTTAATTTCCTTGTTTAATCATTAAAAAATGTTCTGAAAATTTTAGATAATTTATTTGAGAAAACACAAATTTCTAAAATGTGAAATGGCATAGTCTATTAAACACTCACCTAAACCAGACTTTTTTAATCGTTTTAAGTGCTGACTTGTTTGTTTTCCAGTGGGAGATTTTTGCCCATGTTTCATTTCTTTATCTGAACTGTCTGCTTCACCATTTTTAGATTCAGATCCTAAAAAAGGAAATAGTTATTATGTCATTATCTTCTCTAGCTGTCCTTGAAAAGAAAAATCTAAAATTGTTTGAGGAACTGTAGATATAATCTCCTTTTCTAGAGTTAATACACTACCTTTGGCCACAATCTGATTCCCCTACTGGATATAAAAAGAGAAGCCCAATAAATCAATCAAACAGAACAAAAAGCAAGAACAGATGGCCTAATAGTGGAGTCAAAACTACGTTCATTGATCTGATAGCTTTTAAAAGAAATAGAGTCAGGTCTTTTGTAAAATACACGAATAAGCTTGAACAATACTATGCCATTCTGAGACAACACAAGACAGACACGGAAAGATGAAAAAGAAAGGAATCTTGAAGAGAGGGAGAGATTATACCTTTATAAATAGCTTTATGTTGAAGTATGAACAGAAAATACAAACGTTAATCCACAATAAATAGAATAGTACATAGCCGATAAAGTGACACAAGGTAAATTAGAAGACAAGGTCAGGGCTGCACTGGGGTGAGAAGAATGCTGCCAGAACACAAAAACTAATAAAAGGATTTCTGACTTTGCAGCACAGGACTGAAAAACAAATTCACACTCACAGAGAACTGCTTTTGATGGTATTATACATCAGCATGTGGTCCACCCTTAAAGTTCAACATTCAAACAAAAGCCAAAGCAACAACAACAACAAAATTCGCCTACACATTTTCTTACACCTACTGTCATTAGCAAATGAAGACATTTGCTGATGATGAGGCAAGCAAGCTGGTACCTTTTTCTTTTCTGAACTGGAAATAGTCTATATTTTTGAATCACTGAGTCAAAGGTATAAAGAAATTAAACCAAACCTCAAGTGGAAGTATTATTCAGTTTCAGAAAAAAAATCATGACATCTCTTTCAGTGAGGAAGTCTCCTCCAGGAAGAAACTGGCCAAGCATATGATATTTCAGCTCTTTACCTGAAGGCGAATCCGACTGCTCATCAGACACCTTTAATGGTGTCAAAACAACACGAGGAACAGTCTTGTTTACCATCATTGAGACTCCATTTCTTCTTTTCTGCTGCTGCCTCAAAGCCTACAAAACATAATAAAAAGATATAACATAAAAATATAGCCAAAATAATTTCTCATAATTGAATTAAGTGACTCATTTGTCCATCATTACATAGAACCTCTTAAGAGACTTAAATTCCACAGAGCCCCTAATTTCTCAGGATTCTTAATAGTTACCTTCATGTCATTTTCCCTCAAAAGCATAAAATCAGGCTTTGGCAAAGGGTATAAGCCCGAGACCATTTTCGGTATAATTCTAACAACAAAGCAGCACTTAATGGTTTCTTCTACCTTAGCACTGTGGCTTGAGAGTCCATGGAATTTGAAACTATGACTCCCAAGTCAAATGAATGTAAAATAAATGTTTCGAAACCAGGATAAAAATATATGTGTCTGCACTTCTCTCGCAGGTGCGTCCTCTCCAGCGTACCGCTCAGTCAATCAAGTTAACACTGAGTGTCATCAGTATGTACAGCATGTAAGGACTACAGTATTGATGCACTCACTCAGCCATGGGGAGCACTGCACAAAATCACTCAACATGGCAGGAATCATTTATTTCTGTGAAGGGAATCAGTCCTAATCTTGGAAACCTTGCAGCACTTGGCTTCTGTCTGCTTGACTTTGGGCATTAACCTTCAGAACACGAACATGACAGATTCTAGCAAATCCAGGAAAAAAATGAATATAAGAATAAATCTGTCCAAATGGGAGCACTTTGTGTTTCATAAATGAATCGACCACGGTGATGATAATGTAATAAAAGACATTTAAAAGTTTTGAAATACAGCTTATCTAGCTGATCACTTTATACAGAAAATTACCTGTAATAAAAAGGGTCTTAAGCACACGAAACTGAAGAGCCATTAAATTCACAGCCACAGGAATGCTAAAACTCCTCAAAAGGTTAAAAGGCTGGCTTCATACTGCCTCAATCCTTTTTATTCCTAGTTTCTGTGTAATTTCTACCAATTTTACAACATCCCAGTTACTTGATTAATGTTCTTCGACTGAGAGTTGTCAGAATCTCCTGAAAGACTGCCTTGACTGTATTTCCCCTTGCTATCAAAAAACGATGTCCTTTTATTTGCAAAGGGTATTAGCTGATGTCCAACTTGTCAACCATAAGATTTAGCAATCAAATAATTATAGAAGTGAAAATTAAATACCATTTAAATGAGAGAAAGCATTTAAATTATGCAGACAACTTATTCAGATAAGATTTAAAGCCTGATGAGAAAGTAAAGGCTTGGGAAATCCATTACAAATGATATGGTTGCTAATGATAACATAAGACATATTTTCTTTGATTCTTACATTTATTAAGTTTTCATAAAGTACCCAGGTACTATATATGGGAGAGGGGCAAAAAATACAAAGATTAATAAGATGCCATCCTTCTCACCTTTAGCCTGCTGTTATTAATATATTTAATGAGGACATATGTGTTATAAAATATTTAAGACATTTACTCTTTCTTCAAGATGTATACATAATTGCACATAAATTTTGCACATAATTGAATCAATCTGTCTAGCATTGTATAAGAATTCAAAGTACTTTATAGAAATTAACCTATCAATCAATAATAAAACAGAATACAGCAACATAGCATAGCAATTTAAATTACAATTAAGTCCATCTTTGCCCATTATGTAAGACTTCACAAAACAATTAAACCTGCATAAAGAGTGATCAATTTTTAGGAGTCTTTATAGCATATATTTAAACTACTTCTCATGGAAAAAAAAATTAGACATTTTAAAAATAGTTTGTGTGTGTGTGGTGTGTGTGTGTGTTTGGTTAGAGTTTATTTTAGAAAATATTTAGGGAAAAAAAGATGAACTAATTAGAAGCTGGAATCATAAAGTCAAAGCTGGCATGTCTTTTTAGAGCATTTGTGGTAAATAATAATTAAAGCAACGAAAATTTTGACCTCAATTTCTAGAGCTGAGAGGACTCTGCTATAGAAAAATTAGTAATCAGACAGAAGAAAACCATAATAAAAATGATATAAGAATAAAAACCCATAGCAATTTTTAATTTTAAAAAGACAAGGTATAGTCAAGGCAAGGATAAAGGAAGGTGACCAATATTGAGCCTGTTTGTATGATGTTTTTTGAATATATGTCTCCTGATCAGACAACCTGACTATTTCTTAGTACAATATTTTTAAAAGCACTGACACACATTATGTGTCTGTAGGCAAACAAAACTAAATGCCTACTATATAAAAAGATTTTTTTTCCTATTTTTTTTTTTTTTTTGAGATGGAGTCTCGCTCTGATGCCCAGGCTGGAGTGCAGTGGTGCAATCTCGGCTCACTGCAAGCTCCACCTCCTGGGTTCAAGCAATCCTCCCACCTCATCCTCCTAAGTAGCTAGGATAACAGGTGTGCACCACCACCCCTGGCTAATATTTTTTTGTTTTTAGTAGAGACAGGGTTTCACTATGTTGGTCAGACAAGTCTTGAACTCCTGACCTCAAGTGATCTCCCTGCCTCAGCCTCCCAAAGTACTTGGATTACAGAAGAATTTTATAGAATTTCAGAATTTTCTGAAAAATTGGCAGTGTGATGCAGTGGTTAAGGAGTTGTAGAGAAAGATTTAACTAACTAGCTGCTGGGTAAATGACTTGGGTCAATGTCCTACAAAACAGAGGTAGTAGTGCAGGCAAGATGCTTTAAACAGAAAATCTGCACAACAGTGGTTAGCAGAGTTTACCTTACATAGTAAATACTCAACAAATATCATTTTTTGTTATTTATATAACTTATCCTTTCTGCAACCAATGCATTTTTGAGACCTTATTCAGTTCTATGGTAGCATAAGTGCTGCTGATTTATAATGGTGAATAGGGACAGTAGTTTTAATTATTCCACATTTTAGTGAAGGATTGACAAGGAAATACATGAAATAATATAAGTGTTTCACTCACATATAAGTGCTAAGAAAATTATGCCAGAAAGATGAAGTAGGGTAACTTGGGCGGGGAGAACCAATTTAGAGTGGGATGTCAGATACGGCCTCTCTGGAGGCAACAAAGGAAGTGAGACATAAATGACAAGAAGAAAGTGGTTGCGTGAAAATTGTGGAGTCTCCAATAAGTAAAAAAATAGTATCACATCCACTAGCAGGGATAACTTTTCATTATTCCAGAAATTAAAAAACAAAAAACAAAAAAAGAACGGAGTAGATGGAAAAAAGGAGTAGGGAGTTTACAGAGAAAGCAAAGAACTCCAAAATGGTTGCCAAGGCTTTATAAATTAGATTCGAGGACTTATATTCAGGATTAAAAACATGAGGTCAAATATAAAGCTTCCCTTCTAGCCTCCCCAGACCATGCCTAGGTCTCAAATCAGAAATTTCACTGGGAAAGGGTTTCCTGATTTTGTTATTCCTTTGTTTCCTCTTTCTTTTTTTCTGAGATCCCCAGGATTAGGATTCAGAATAGGAGTGAGAAGACTAGAGCAAAGTTATCTTAACCAGTGTTGTCATAGCCATGACATCATAACCTTCTGGGAGGCAGAAGGCCAACTGCTAGATTTTTATGGCCTGCATTAGTGGATACATAAGAGGCTTTTGCTGGGAGGCCTCTGAAACTACATTCAACACTGACATAAACCACGCTCTCTCTAGCTGACCTCCGCACTTCCCCTCAGTGCAGGCTCTATATACAGGGCTCCTCTCACCTAAGTAGGCAGCTTTCCTAGGCAAGGTCTTTACAAATTCCCCATGCTTGACTAGCTGTTCAGCACCTGCTCAGGCCACAAGCACAGTCAGCATCCTTGTCCCACTGTACGACGTGTAGCCTAGCCATTATGGTCAGCCCTCTGATTTAACAAATCTCATAATCCTTCAAAATACAAGGTTTGGAACACACACACCCCAAATCTTGAGTTATTTTTTTTTACATCTGTTGGGGGTTGTTCAATCGACCATCTGGCCTTCTCTTAGTCCTGTGAGGCTATGTCTAACACCTCTCTTCCAAACAGGGTTACTGGTATCATACTGTCTGCAGCTTTGAGCTTTTGCTGAAATTCTAAGAAAACAAGAAAATTCCTACTTTACTTTATGCTACATATATAATAGAAATCATCTGCAAATTAACTTGTGATTATCTATATTTGGGTATCTCACAGCCTGGATATTATAAATTCATGGAATAGATTAAGAAAATAGGATTAAGAAGATCACTCTAGATAGTCATGGATGCTGTGTCCTGCACAGGGGTACCCTAAAAGAGGGGATGTTATATTTTGTTGTGACAACTTGGAAGGGGCAGCTTTTTCTATTACACATCAAAGTCTTAATTAGCTAGTGGTGGCCCTGTTGGTTTGTCTATAATGTGATTTATTTTGACAGATATTACATAATCAGTCTATTTTAGTCTAGATTCATTTCAGGGGGGGATATAAATGAGACACCTCCAACTGTCTCAAGCCTTAGCTGTACTGTGGAATGCTAATGGACTATCTTGTAGAACAACTTTAAATTCTGTCATTTCAAATCCAGAAAGAAGCAATATCAGAATCAAAATAAACAAGCAGATGGTGACTGTAAATGCAGTCTACTATGAAGGAATGTACCTTCAAGCCGGTCATATGTATAATGTTCCACTGTCCAAACCACACAGAGTACAATTTCAATATCGATGGTGTTATGAGAAGGAGTATAATTGGATTTCAACTTTAATGCTTCCAGGTATTATTCAATATGAAAGAAATTTACAAGCTTAACCCTAGAAATAAATGCACTTTTCAAAGGAAACACACACAACATAGCTAATGCAGTCTAGGAAAAGTAAAGATCATATCACACTCACATCAATTCAATTCTGGCTCTAAGTGCAAGGAAAGAAATCAAAAGATGCTGACTGTGCATGCTTTTCTCCAGTGACATATTGCAATACTTTCTTCCAAAAAGAGAAAAAAAAAACCTTTAAATAAACATTTGATTTTTCAGACAGAAAGCCTGTTAGATAGTTCTAAAAATATGGATTGGTTTCATTCCTATCCTAATGGAAAAAATAAAATAAAACTTCAAATCAGAGGCTTTTGTGTTAACTTGGAATTTTAAGCAAGTAATGCCTGCTTTATTTTAACAACAAAAAAACACAAGCAATGTAGCTTAAGAATGCATCGAATGCAGTAACTCTTCCACTGAAAATCTGAAAATATCACATGCTGTGAATGCTAAAAGTCAAATGATTAGAAATACACATAGAAAACAGCGGGCTGTTTCAGGCACCAACAACTTGCATTGCCGCTAGTGTGATAAATGTCAATGCCCATGTTCAGAAACTACTATCATGCAATATAACCTTTGGAATTTCACAGTATTGGTCAAACATATAAAGCTAAAGCAAAATACCAAGAATAGATCTGCTTTGCAATATCAAAAAGAAAATGCATCTGCAACTTTATGAATAAACTCTACCACCCTAAATAATGAAGGAAGTCAAATAAACCAACACAAACAACATAGAAAGGTTATGTTCACTACCATGTCACTTGCTGTAACACAACTCATCCTTCTTTAACCTTTAATTATCTTGTGCCGGTTTAAAATTTCCAAAATTTAATCTTTCTGAATTATATTTTAAAATTCAAAATCTAATCTTTTTACACTTTTTAGGATCATAACTAAAATACCCAGGCAGAAAGAAGACAGGGAACAAGGTAATAATCAGCAATCTGCTGCTCTCCAGAGGCTTCTGAATATGCTTATGCAGAAAAAAAAGACAACTACTGAAATAACAATATGTTATTCATGCAATTATGCCCAACATATGATGTTAACTAACGTTTTGAGGATTAGAAAGTAAAAGGGACTCAAATATTTGGGAGCAATAAAAATATTCCATGTCAATCGTCAAGGGACATTATAGCTTCCAGATTGTCCAGCTTACAATTACACTGCAATCAACAGTGCTATGACATCAAAGAGCCCTGTAAACATGTAGCCCTCTCTGTAGCAACATGCTTTAGGCAGGGGTAGAAAGTACAGGCCTTCAGACTTGAGAAATTATGCCTGGCATATTTTGTAAGACAGTTTGTTGTAAATTATTTTTTTTACTCCACTTATGATTATAAAGCTATTTGGTTTTAGGAATTTTTTAAATCTACTTATTTCTAAGAGTCTACGCTGGTTAATGTATAGACTACTAAAGTCCTACTGAATCACAACATATTTCTAATAAAATAACAATGACATATATTTGAGTGTGTGTTATCAGTATGGGCTGGTACTGAACATAAGCAGCCTGTGTTCAGAAATGCTATTTTTAATAACTATGCTGTATTGCTTTCCATATGCTATATAACAACTCAAGTATGTAGATTTTCTTGGATAGCATCAAAAATTCGTCTATACTATTACATAGCACATGCTGAAAGGCAGTATTTGTGAAGAGGGCAGAATCTGAAACTACGGTTCTGGATTCAAACATCATCTCTAAGATTTACTTGCTGGGTGATCTTGGGCAAGTTACCTGACTTGGGTCTTAGTTTTTTCCTTTGAAAAATGGGGATATAAGTACATACTTCAAAGCATTTGCATGAGAATTAAATAATATATCCCACGTAAAATGGAGAGTACAGTGTCTAGAAACCATAACAGCTAATTATCAGCTAATGTAATTATTTTTAAGATCATTCTGCTGGCCCTAGGTTCATATGATTATGATTGTGCATGTATACATACACAAGAAACATATATTCACAAACACAGATCATATGTATATGGAAATATATATATATGTATTTAATACACTTACAAAAATTCTACATGGTCATAGCCATTCAGCTATCCAAAAGAAAAGAAAGCTGTAGATTTGCTGAGGTTGCTACAGTTTAAAATGCTGCATGTTCAGTCAATTTTTGCAATGCTGTCTTAAGAAATTCAGCAATTACATGGAATCTGGGCAAAATTCTGCAAGAATAGCTTTTCTTCTAAATATATTTCCAATCTGAATTTGATTATTAATCAAATATTAGCATATTTGCTACATATTGAGCCATATTCTCCTGGTTACTTATTTGCTATAGGTTAGAAAACAGAAGTTTTAAGAAATGAATTAATAACTCTTTCAGGACATTAAGAAGCTTTCAGGACATGATTCTTAAAACAAAGCTTAGACTCTAAGCAAGCAGTGGCAGTTCCCATGAATATATGCTCCACAAAAAACACAAAAACAAAAAAATCACTTAAAATTTTGTAATGTTTTAGTAATCGTAAAAAATGTTCAAATAATACAAAACCAAAATGATGAAAGTACAAATTAATGATATAGAACAATACAGAGAGTTGTACCTTTATATTTCCATTCATATACAGGAAGATTTCATGGTGTGCACATTTTCCAAGTCACTGAACCTCAGAAGTATGAGTTTCATTTATGATCCCATTTATGTTTCTTAAATGCCACAGCCACAAGTGTCCATTTTTGTATCTTTTGTTCTATTCTGGTTAGTATTTTATTACCTGCATCTTATTTGCTGTCTGAATGAGTAGCCCAGGCTTTGCTACCTACAGCTGTTTTTTATTTCATCAATTAAAAAGGGATCTCAACACCAATTTCAATTTTGTTCTCTGGCATCTAAAACATTTCAAATGCAGTAAGTGGCAAGCTTTCCAAAGGATACTTGACCTATGCAGGGTGAAATACTGTTACTACCTTCAATATAAATGCTGCAATGTCAATAATATGAAATAGGAAGGTAACATAATTCAGCATAACCATGTTAAGTTTCTTTCCTATGTTTTCTTGTCTGAGGTACAGGAGAAGATAGGTAGAGATGTCTAAGTCTAGAAGTTTGGATGTGCATATTAAGAAGCTTCAGTGGTTGGTGGAACTTAAAAAAACTCTATTTTAGAAAACATAATTTTTCTTTTCCTTGTGATAAATATATCGCTAGAATGATACCTCTAATCCTGGATCTGGTAAAGGTCATCAATGGGTGGCTGAAGGGGGAATTGTTATAGAAGGATCAAAATAGATGATTGTATCAGAGGAAAGCACTTAAACAAGGGGAAACTATGAATTCAGAATTAAATACGTGAACCTTCCATTTACTGACACTCTTTGTGTTATCATCATACGATGGCTCCATCTAACCATAACATCTCCTCCTTTTCTTCTCTGCACAATTTAGCATTTGCCAGTATGACAGAAGTCACTATTATTTCTATGAGCCACTCACTCTACCATGTGCTTTCATCCTATTACCTCAGCTAATTCTCGGATCAATCCCAGGAGCAAGATACTATTATTTCCCACATTTTCTAGATAATGAATTTAAGATTCAGAGAGGAGAAGTGGCTTGCTAGAGACAGCAGGTGAGTAGCAAGAATTCAAACCAGGGCATGTCCGTGCCCAGAGCCCAACCTTGTGTCTATCCCTGCACCATCTCAGTGCAAGGCCACAAAGGCCCGTACTGCCTCTGTGACGGCAGAATAATATGGCAACTTTAACTGCCATTCAGCACCAAACAACACTCATAAATGAATATTCCAGATATAAGTAAGCAACACTATTTTTCTTATTTGTAACTTAATGTATCTCAGTAACAAGAAATAAATTATCATTTATTTTTATACTATCAGATAAGCACAAAAAACATAGATGTTATTTTTTAAATATGCAATGCATTTATGAACCCAACAGATTTACTACTATAAATCATAAATAGACACACAAAATGTTAATACAAATTTTTACATATTTTCAGTGGGTGCATATTCCTTCTTCTATTTTACATCAAAGTTCTCAGTCAAGCCTCTCCTAGTTTTTTTTTATCACAGATTAAAATTATTGAACTGAATATCATGGATGGGATTGAATTCAGGAAGATTCTGCTTTCTGATTGCTAGGTTATTGTTTACTTGATCAGCAAAACACACATTACCTTAAGTATGCAGAACTGAAGGACAAAGAATAAATGGCAGCTATCTTACCTGTTTAAGAGCCTTTTTGGTGTGCTGCTGGAAGGAAGACACTAACTTGCTTTGCACTGCTGTGTTAGTAAGGCTTGAATCTCGAGTGGAAGATGCTTCATCAGTTACCTGCTTCGAACAAACTAGAAACAGAGAGAGATAATGATATTACTAATTTGAATTCCTTTTTTATATCCACTGTAATTACACACTTGGAGCTTTTCTGCAATTGAAAATGGATACCTAAAATAAAGCAAAATAGCACAGTAAAAAGAATAGTATCTACATATGAAGAAAAGGAATCATTTAATAACTGTGTGGCCGCAATTCCATTTAACCTTTTTAAGCTTTCCTGTCCTAACCCGCAAATTGATGATAATTTCTATGTCATTGAGCTATTGTATGGACATAAAAAATAGACAATATCTGCCTCAGGAGTTGGGAGTCAGTAGGTACTATTTGAATTTGAATATGGAGATTAGGCAATGCATAGTATTCTAAAAACAAACAAAAAAAAACAATATAAATTAATGCAATTGTTTTAAATCTACCCAGCCTCACAGATATTATGATGCTTCTACTTAACAGCCTTACTACTATAGAATCTGTGACCTATGGGACATGTTTATTTTCTCTTATGGGCTGAGTCATAAAGCATGGATAAGGAAAAAAGAAATCTGAGATGCTTGTTATCAATTCAAGATAATTATTTTGAGGAAAATGGTGTTCTCACAGATTACAGTACAACTGCTCATTTTTATCAGAGTCAGGCTTGCATGTTGTCTATTCTACAGAAGACATTTTCTTCCAAAAGACCGCTTTTTAGGAGAATCAATGTCTCACTGACTTGGGTGACCAAGTAGAGCCCACAGGCAGTGTCTGCTCTCTGAAACCTATGTTTGAGCCAGAACTCTACCTTTAGTTCTCCTCAAACGGACAGACTTCTGAGTCCTCATTTGACTCCTTCTCAAACTGAGAGACTTTAACACTGAAATGGTTTGAGTAGGAGCACAGATGCAGGCCCTTTTCTGTATACACTGGGGGAGAAGGAGTTTGGAAAATTAAAACGAGGAAGTACTATGATTAGCGACAGAATGGAGGCATATGTCAAAGGCAGGAGGCAAGAGGAAGTCAGAAGAAAATAACTTGAGAACATATTGTAAAAAAACTCAAAACATGACTTTTTAAGGGCACCAGGGTTAATGCTAATTCAAGAAAACTTTCCAAGTGATGGTAACTTGAGAGGGTTCTGACCTGAGTTTTAAAAGAAGGTGAAGAAGTAAAAATTATTGTAGTAACAAAGGAAGCACAGGCATATGCACCTTGAGAACACTCAAGTGGCTTCTGATAGACTCAAGCACACCTTGCCTAGAAATAACTATGCGGCCCGTGAGAGGCAATTCTGGGAAGAAAATAATCAAGTTTTTTGTTAATACAGAAAGTAATCAGAAAGACAAATGAACAAATTTAGGAAAATAAAATAACAGTTATTAATGCCATACACTTCCAACATGTGATCTGATTTAATCCTTGCAGCTTTCTTGTAACACAATAAGGTATATATTTCTATAATGGAGGAAGAAAACTAGAGCTCAAAAAGGTGAAATAACTTGCCCATGGTCATAGGGCCAATGAAACTGCAGAGATGGGATTCAAGGCCAGCCTAGTCTAGCTCCAGAACCCATGATTTTTCCACTTACAATATTTGGTTTCAAAAGTCAAGATCTGATACAGAAAATATCATATCTAAAGAAGCATAATTTAGTTGCATGATACTGAAACTAGAAGTTAACAAAGGCAGGGGGAAACAAGTCACTCAGCCCCCGACAAGGAAAAACTTAGAATTGTAAGTGATGGGTCTAGGAAATACTATGGTTGAAGTAGCAAAAAGATTTGCAGATGAATATAGTGAGAAAAGTCATTGAATTAAAGATCATATGACTTTTTTTACTTAATATGATTTTTTTGCTTAAGACAGTCTAAATGTTCTAGCTAAGAAACAGTTTATTACATTGATCACATAAACTATGCTTCCTAGGCTTCTCTCCTTTAAATAATCACTGGAATAATTTTTAACACCTTGCCAAAGCTTATTTATCAAGAAATATTAGAAATAATAATCAGTTTATAGTCTAAACATAAATTTATGGTATTTACTGATAATACAGATAGCCTTTTCAATGTTCTGAAGTCTCTATGAAATGTGACCAACTGAGGAGGTGACAGAGAGACGGCAGATAAAATATATGATCCCAAATGAACAGATCTCATGTATGCCCAGCCAAAAGTAAAGTGTGCATTAGCATATATGTTTTATTACTTTCACATTCTTACAATGGCATTTACATCTAGAAAATTGGAAACTTACAGGTTAGTTCGTTTAAAGGAGAACTAAATGCAGTCCATAGATATTAAGGAACTTAGGGAAAATATGAGAATGCTTCTGCATACTGGGCGTCTAAATGTACTTCCAATTTGTTTAGAAAATGCTATTATTCCTCTGTCTTTCAAAGGCAAACTCCACTTCAGCAGGATTAAATAATAACAAATTCTGACCCAGTGTACATGTAATTGAGGCCTCGCATCCCTCCTATTTTCTGAATAAGAAAATAAGCAGTATGCAATCATCTGTCCTTCCTGAGGGTAACTGCTACATAGCTCACCAGTTGCTCTATTTCTGACCTAGGAAACCATCAGACATTGGGATACCTATTTCAGTATCAGCATATACACTGTACATTTTGAGTTAAATTTATTATGGCACTATGTTGATAGTGATTGACATCTATTTATATATGTTGTATCCAAAAGAAAGATTCTATTCAATTTAGAGCCCAGAATTTCAGAGGGAGGGCAGGACAACAGTTGAAACTGCACTAAGGAATACCATGCAGTTTGTTCTAAAAATGATTCATTTTCCTTAACCCAACTTTATTTGCTTTATCTTACACTCCATTCTAGACCCAAGAAAAACATCAAGAATACCTGTCCTAGGTAGTCAATTTTCTCCCTAATCCCTCTTTCTGGAAGTTGTTCCTTACTTTATTTCTCTGGATCAAACCATATTTCCCTAATTATTTACTGACACAATAACTATAGAACTTTAAAGAAAAGCAAAATGTAACAGAAAAAAAGTATGTGATTGTTCCTTTGGGTTAAATAACTTATTTTTAAGAACAAAAAATCAGGAAAGAAAAAATGGGTAGGACATATTTGCAATTCACCCATAGGCTTCAATCAGTGTGCTCATACACATTTTTAAATTACTGACAAATACAGACCTTTTTTCATGGGCATTTGACTTGCTTTATTCATTCTTTTTCCATGCGTATGACGTGAGAATAGCTGAATCTAAAAACACTAATTCACTGAGTACAGTTGGCTGTGCAGGTTCGTGCAGATTCATATTCTGACAAAATGCAAGGTTTTCACTTTTACTTATTCTTGCAGCTTTCTTAATAATAGATGTGATAAATAAATAATGAAGGACTCATTTTAAACAGTTGCCTGAATATTTATCTAAGAGACTGACTTTGGCCTCTGAAATACAAGCCAAAGGAAAATTAATGTTAAAGAAAGGATCAGGGAAAATCCCTTGCATGTAAAATTACAACAGGAGCCAGGAAACTGAAGAATTAGGACAGATGTTTTATCCAATAAATATCAAAGACTGACATGCAGCTTAGAAAGTGATATCTTCTTGGCATTCAGAACAGAACAGGAGCTATCTTTTCTAACTATGTACTGGCATGATCACAAAACTAATGCCAGGACCTTATACTTTGAAATCCCACAATACAGCCTGTCCTTTTCAAACTGAAGATGAGGAAACAAAATGAGACTAGTTCTCCCTAGAATTTTTATCATTCCACATTTTTTAAAAGGTATAAAAATACTATTTCTGTCTACATTTTGCTTGCCTGCCAAAAATAGGCAAGCCAAAAGCATAGTTAAAAGCTAATCTGCTGATTTTAAATTTGCCTCTCAATACCTCTACTCGCACTCCCCAAACCCTCCCTCAAAATACTCTATTTAGAAGATCAGGGAGCAAAAGGAGGTGGGAGATTATAGGTAACCATGAGACAGCCTTGAAGGCTAGAGAACTGGTGACTGCTCCAGCAAAACTGCGGGCTTCAGTGTCTCCAAGTTGTCTGTCTCTCCTTTTAATTTACCATTCAACTTGAAAATACTATGGAACTAGAAAATGTAAATTAGAGTTCCTATTTTTAAAGCTGCATGCTAGGGAGGGGATATGGTTGGTATTCCCTCCTAATGTAATTACTAATCCACTGACAGGTGTACAAGAGGACATCCACAATTGTAACTGTGACTTACAACCCAGGATATACAGAAAGGAGCAATCAGAATACAAACTTGATCTATCTCTCTTGTCTCACATCCTGCCAGCCTCCCAATTCTCAGCCTCTATAATCCAGCCAATCTGGAGACTCTTCAGTGTCTTCTGAACACATCTACTTGCTGTGTTTGTTGTACTTGGTCTGATTGTCCCTCCTCCAAATATCCTTTCCCAGCACTCTGCCTGGCAAACTCATCTTGGCAGTCCAAATTCTGAACAGCTTCCCCCAAAGCTTCTCTGACTGTCCCAGCTTCTGAGGTAGACTTGCTCCTCCCCTAGCCATGCTTTCTTGGAATTTAGTGTACAAATTCATGACAGTCCCTGCAATTCTGGTGCTGTCATCTGCCTCAGCAGCCACAGGCTTGGAAACTCAGGGACTTACATGCGAAGATGGGCACAGAGCAGTCGATCTATTAATGTTCATTGAATTTTTTAAAAATCAAATTTTAAAGTATCAAATTCAAAAATTTTGTTTAAAGTATTTTTGAAGTTAACTTTCAACTATGATTTTTAATAAGAATTCATGAAAGTGGAGGTCAGCAAAGCTATTTTTTATGAAAAAGTATGTATAAAATGAATTGTTGTAAACTTGAAAATAGAAGCCTTCTTAAATTATTTTCTCAAATTATTCTAAAGTCAATTAGGGATAATATGAAAGCCAAATGACAGAATTTCCTTTGCAAGACAGTAGGAAGTTGCACGACCTGCCACTAATTATAGATAGATTTCTCTTTGCCATCTTTACTCATTGTCTTATTTAACGAGTAAAGTCAGTTTTGTGCTTTTGCATGGGGAAATAAAAATAAAATTTAAAAGTCAAAATTAGAAATCACAATGCTTACATAAAATGGCAGAAGCTGTGTGGGTGCAGAACCACAACACAGACCAGGATCTGTACATTATATAGTCTCTGCAACACCGATATTGTGTACTATTAATTGCTCTCTGTCCCACTGAGCCACCCAATAAGTAACAAGCTATCTGAGGAAACTGGTGCTCAAAGACCTAATAAAGACAAGGAGGGGTGCAGCCTTTTACCAATTTCATTTCTGTAAGTTCTCTTTCCAAACACTCCCTTTCATTCTTCTGAATAATCAGACTAGATTTGCTCAAATCACAACAGTTTTCTGTATGAATGATCTTGACATATATTATAGGTTGGTATTCCCTCCTAATGTAATTTTAAAAAGTTATATGAATAAAAAATTTAACTCAAAGGATACATAGTGTATTAGGAATAACACTGTGGTACATTGTTAGAAGTCAATAAAATCTGAATAGAGGGCGGGGTCTTAGAGGAAGTTTATTGGTTTATTGATGAATCATTCAGTTGCACAACTTTTATTGAGTACTTTCCCTCATGCCAATCACTGTATAAGATGCTGGGGGAAAAACAGTGAAAAAGATAGAATACCTGAGTTGGAGGCCATAAGAATTTTTAAAAAATGTTTTCAAAGAACAATGGTCTAGATATAGACCATTAATTCTACCTGAGGAGAACTACCGATGAAAACTTAACAATAATAAATTTGTTTTGAAAGATCAACAAGCAGACAATTCAGAAGTATCCCCAAATGGCAAATAAACACAACAGTTTATGTTTGGGTTATAATTTGTTTTATGTATAGTATTTACATTTGAAATTGTGTATATCAGATATTTTGGATATATACAGCCAGAAAATACATGCTACAAATTGTTAAAAAGACTTGAACAGGGAAAACCATCTAACCCCAATTAAACCATTCCTGAACTCTATTTTTAAAATCCTTTTTGCATTCAGCCTAAGCAGAACTGCCTTTTCTAAAAACATCTGTTTCAAGATAGGTATAGGTATTTGGGTTTAAGCAAATTTCCTTATTACATTAAAAGAAAATCCAAAGGATATAAGTTGCCAAGAAAAGTCAGTAAATAGATTAATAAATTGCTAGTAATACTAGCAATAAAATAATGGAAACAGCAATTTTTTCCTAAGACCCTTTCAAAGGACATGGAGTCTAAAAATTACAAGCACTGATTCTCTTTATAACGTTTAGAACAATATCTTCTATAATGAAACATACCTAATGTAACTGGAATGATTACTATATTTTATAACCTGCTTCATTAGCCCAATTAAGCCTCTTCTTATTCAGAAGAGATTTTCAGAAAAAATGCAAAATAAACCAAGAGGAATGTTGAATCAGATAATAATTATACCAACCATATATGAGTGACAAAATGCTGCTGCAAAATGTCATCATGCCAGAGACCTTAGTGATTTGGGTGGCTGATATCATATGATGCAAATGTCGTTCACCTGCCACAGAAATGGATATGCCATCACCTCATTACAATGGCTACAAATGGTTCACAAACATTTTGGTTAGAACACTGAAGCTCCAAAGGTAACTAGGAAGACCATTGTATACATAAGACGTAGCTATAAGAATCTCTCCTACAAGTACTCAATTTATCAGCCAGGCCAATTTAGTTATACTATTATCTCTGGATATTCATAAAAATATCTCCTTAAACACAGAAGAGAGAAAACTCAAACCAAAAATAAATATATTTAGTAGGAAAAGCATATATTGTAGTTACCAGCCTTTAGCCACCTAACCTCCTCCTACCATAGAACCAACAAGGATTTCGCTCACAGGGTAATGGAGAGTAATAATACTATATGCTGTTTGTGTGGGAAAAATGACATCAGAGGCTTATTTATTTTATACTGGTATAACCCCTGTGATCTACACTGCATCAGGTTCCTGAAACATCTGCACAGAAATAAAGCAATCAGCCTAGAAAATGAGAAACAGAAAAAAGTGGACAGGAAGGAGATCAGCAAAAGTTTGGCACAGGTCAAGGTTAAGTGTTTCATTCATGGGCATCACTACTAATTATTTCATACTTTATCATATAAACTATAAACTCCGATAAAGGGGAATCAGGTTAGCTATCCAGATGGCAGTTTGAGAAATGCTTATACAATATAACTAAAGAAAAGTGAGAACGAATTATCTGGCATCAATGAAAAAGTACTTTTTTTAAAGAACATGAGTGTTTTGTTCATATCTACAGTCACAGATTATATAAATCAAACAGAAAATTGGCTAGTTAAGATGTGTAATTGAGGGAATACCTTCAATTCTGTTTTTGAGAAGTAGTTTGTTGTTTTATTATGAGATCATATTCTGTTCTCAATCTTTAGTTTTATGAGATCATATTCTGTTCTTGATCTGTATATTATGAAATATTTATCTCACAATTCAAGAAGAGAGATGAAAGTATGCTTAAATGGGTCACTTCATCCCATTTAAAAAGAAAACGTTTTCCTACATGACTCTGGACTGTTAAAATTGACCAAAATCCATCTAGACAGGAATGAAGTTCACAGTTCAAGAGGAAATATGTAAGAAAAAGAGGTCTCTAAAAGATAAAAGAAATGAAAAGTGTCTGTAAGTAATGTTTGAAAGAGTTGGGATAAGTCATTTGGAGAAGTTAAGATGAAGGGGTGACCATCTGTTGTTTATCATCAGAGCACAGAAAAAAAAAAGGAGCAAATTAGCTTAATTAAAAGCACAAAAGATTTCAACATAAAGAAAAAAATATTCTCTATAAAAGTTATCAAGAACACAGGGAGAAGTATAAGGGGGACTGTGCGATTTCTATCCCCCGGATCATATACTATTAGAATATTGTCTACTTCAATTGAGTGGTTTAAGAAAAACACTGGCAGGAGAGAGGAAACAGGGCTTCATGATCTTTTGAAATTCCTCACACTTCTTGTGAACTGTATAATCTGGGGGCTGGAATAAAAGAAAGGAGAAGGAGAAAGAGTGGGCAATGGAAGTTCTATATCCTGCCAATGGTCATTTCTGACTGTGAAGAGTATTCGCTTTCCTCTGTGTTTTCTTCAATGTGTAACTAAAACAACATAATTCTCACATACTTAAGTTTCTCTAGGCCACCAATGTAGAGCAGGTGTCTCCATGAGCAAACAAAGCTGTTGCCTAAAATGCAGAGCTGTTGGATGAAAGACAAATTAGCTTAGTCTCCCAAAATTAGGGGACCTGGTTCAGGCATAGAAGGAATATCCTTCCTGCCCCCTGCAAGATTCTTAGGAATGGCTGCCAGGTAGTTGGTCACACTGTGTCGTCTTTCTCCACGATCATGTAGAAGCCTGTTGACACTCTCCTACCCCCACCCTCCTGAACACAAAGATGCAGACACAGAACATCCAATGTAAAACTACACTGGAGCATTCACAGGCAAGTTACTGTAAAACCTCCAGCAAAACAAGACCAGAATACCAACTGACACTGGGTAGGTGGGCAACATCTTCCAAAGTTACTCAAAACACTCCCTTCACAACTCCACAGTCACCCTCATTTTCCTTTTTTGTAGCCTTGTATAAAATTGCCTCATGAGCTGTCAGTGTGACTACTCCCCAGGGTGTCCAGACCTTTTAAATGTATGCCCCAATTTCTCCATGAAGCTTCTCATCTGCATGTAACTGATGTCTCAATTGAGATTATATTCACACACTTCAGGCCTCCTTAACACACTTTTCACTTTTGATAAAAGACCCCTCAAACTGTAGCCTCTGAGCCAATGAAAACAAAGAGTGAGCTGAGTAACGTTTCATTAAGTTAACACAACTCTGCCAAGAATCACACAATCAGAAACCCACTTATAAAACTGGCCATAAAGAATAATGAAAAAGGACTTCATAAAATTCTTCAAATGTTGGAATCATTATTTGCCCTGGGATCTAAGGTCTAAAACATAAGATTCATGTTCTTTTTTTTTTTTTGCCCCAACAGAAACTTTTAAAATACTAATTCCCTTGCTAGAGTGCTGCTTCCTCCCTGAAAGCCATTAGGGTTAATAGCAAGCAGAACCTTTTTTGATCTCTGTGGATAAAATGTGTACAATCTCTAGTTTCCTCATTTAAAAGAAATATATAGGATGGTTGCTGTTGATTTTAAGCCTGAACTATATTAGGGCCACAAAAGGAGAAACTTAATTTTTCTTGTTAATAACAATTTATAGATAGAGGATGAAGAGAGCGAAGACTGTCTACTGATGGTATCATCTCATATAAAATATGTATGAGTTCTGCAGACCAACAACACATTGTGAGTCAACTTAATATGTGTTAGGAAACTCACGATATATCAATGTATTATGCTCAGAAAACAACTCAGACACAAACATACCCATAAATCTCTGACTAAAATAGACCATAAAATTTATAATATTTTACTTGGGTGGCACAGATTTATACTTACATAGGCATAAATGGTCATGGGTTGTCAACACGGATATATCAAGTAATTCACCTAAATCATTCTTTGATCTCTAAAGCTTAGCTTGTAAAATGTGAAGTTTACATTCTCAAGTCTAATTATTATTAACTTGAGAAACTCTTCAGAAGTCAAAGAAACACATAACCATAGTTCTGTGTCTTGTAAATTCCACAATTAAAAATATACCACTTTTCCTACATTGTAAAATTTTTCAACAAAACTTTGTAACAAAGTACCTTGGCAACACATCTCCCATTTTAAAAGAATGTTTCCCTGCCCAGTTGATCCCAAGAAGAGGACTAAAGTATTATAATCATTATCTTAACTCTGCCTAAGGACTCAAGTGTTAATGACTGGAATCAAACTAAGATTTCTTATCAGTTTTTACAAAATACTTTCTTCTCAAATACTTCTCTGCTTATCCCCTAAATGGTACAGCAAATGTCAATAAATAGTTGTCAATCCAATATAACACTATGGTAGCAGCGGCTTATTCTTTCAACGCATCAAGGGTATGTTACAAATTGATGGTTAATATTCTTCTCAATACTCCCCAGTCTTTCATCCCAAAGGATGAATATAAGAAGGAAAGATGAATAAAATAGCAAAACAGATGGTGTACTCATCTCCCACTCCCTCTCTCCCTCCTTTCCAACTTTTCTCTCCCACACCCCTCTCTCTTGCTCCCTCACACACACACATCCACTCATATACCCAACCTTCTCTCTCTGATCACATTTTCAAAGTATATTTGTACAGCTGTAGGAAGTGTGGAAAGTATATCCATTCTAACTTTTGGTTCAAATATATATTAGACACAGAGTAAGCAAGGAAATCACCTAAAGCAGTTCAGTTTCCTGAAATCTATTATTGAATTTTAAGAAATCATGTGGTATCCCACTATTTTATTGGGATAAGCCAAGGGTTCCTCTTTGTCAAAGTCTTAAGTTTAGGATCATAATGGATGTGAACTAACATTGGAAAGGCAAACCGTACCAATGATGACTGGCTACTAAGTGTTCCCTGTGGTTCCAGGCAAGGTATCAGAGTAATGAGAGTCTGGCCTTTGGTGTCACACCTGGGCTTGCAATTTGGATGGGACATTTAAGCTAAGTTTGTTCCCTCAGAGGTAAAAATAAAACAAAATAAAAAAGTACTCAATACATTTTCAATATCTAGGTTTGAAAATGTGTCCTAAGGCTAGATTAATAAGCTATACATAGAAGCACAGGGTGCCTACATGGAGATGCAATTGTGGTTTGCAATAAGATGCAAAAGTGAGCAAGTCAAGGAATACTCAAGGAAATAAGCTATTTACTATTCTTTCACTGCTTTCCCAAAGTAATTTCCCGAATGCAACTTCAAAGGAGAGGTCAGGAAATCTAATTTTTGTCACATTAGCTGGATATGTTTGGGTATGTGTTATTTGGTGAAGTGCCTATTCACATTTTACATTAGGGAAGTTTGCTTATCCCTGTTTTGGTTTCACTATTGGCTGAGTGCTCTCATGCTATCTGTCACCCTTTCTCAGCTACTAAACTCCCAAGGTTTCCTCTGGAATTTAGGATGTCATTATCAAAATCTCCTGCAGCCTCCATATTTTCTCTGAAAACTCCCTTTACTTCTTAATATACAAAATCTGGCTGTCTTCCCAGCTAGGACACTGGTTCCTCTGGAATGCTCTCAGGTGGTAGCCTTTTTCTTTTCTACACCTCTTGTACCACTGGGCCTGGAAATGGAATAAGTGACCTATATTCCCCTCACTGTTCCCTCCAAACCATTCTCCCTCCCTGGTTCCTATGATGCCTCCAGCATTGTATCTCATGCCATCAGACTATATTACTAACTATTCAACCTACTGTACTTATCTGCCAACTCTTGGTTACTCTCCTTGATTTTTTGAATATGTTAGCTGCTAATATGACATCTTGTCAATGTTAGTTCTACTATAATTGTCTGTTTCAATATCCATGCTGATGATTCTCTAATATCTTATGCAAGGGCCACCACCAGCCTTTAAAACATCTTTGTGCAAAAAAGAAAAGGCAATCTTTTTTCCAGGTGGACCCAGTCCCATCCCACAGCACCAGGTTGGGCAAATGGAGGGGTGCTGAATTTCAGCCGCTGATGCCACCTCATCCAGGCAACTCTTGAGTGCACACATGGCCTAAGCACTCTTGATAGCCTGAAACCTAGCCCCCTTCTTTCTTATCAGCTCTGAAAATACATCCCATAATAGTATCCTAAATTCAATCCATGCATTCCACTCTCATATCACTTACACTTCCAACTCATTTCCTTCAGAACACCAGATCAAATAACCTTTTCACACCAATGAGACTTCCTTCTTCACACTATCCTTTACTCACCTCCACATCAGCTTAAATTCTATGGACATTTGCCTTCATTACTCCACTTCATATACCCTTAACTCCTTTCTTCCTCTCTTGCTTCATCATTTACATTTGGCAAAACCCCAGCTTCAGTCACTATACACATCTTCTGTACTTGTAGAGTGGTCCCGAACATGACTGGAGAAAAATGGACAACCATGTAGGTTGGTCTCCTAGTAAATTCAGGATGACTAACCTTAAGAATGTCCTTAATGCTGTCAGACTCTCTCAGACAAATATTTTCTATCTTCTCCTTAAGTCTACAAAACTACCTCCCCTATTCTCACCCTTAACTGATGGACTACTTTTCTATTTTGCTGAGAAAAATAACACACACAGAAGCAAACTTCTACGAGCCCCTTCCACAAGTACTGGCCTACCTTCACTTCTACTGAAACACCCTCGCTTTTCCTACTGCCTCCTTTAGAGCACCTGTCTACATCTCTTGCTAAGACCAATCTCTCCATTTGCTGAATAGTCCCATTCTCCCTCATCTAACCAAACCATAACAGAACACCTCTGCCACATTATCAATTTTCCTTAACTGAAATGTTCCCATTAGTGAATAATTTGCTAACAATTGTTTCCCATTTTTTTAAACTGTCTCTTGATTCTTTCCTTTCCAGCCATTTTCCCATTCCACTCCTTCCCCTGACCTCAAAATTCCTTGAAAGAATTGTCTACACTTGTGGTCTCTAATTCCTCTCCTCTCATTATCTTGAACCCACCTTATTCAAGCTATGGTCTTACCATTCCACAAAAATTACCACTGCCAAATTCATCAATACACTCATAAAGGTAAATCCAGTGGTAATTTCCTAATCTTCATCATGAATTCACATTTCAAAAGCATTGACACATTTGAGTCACTTCACCCTCCAAAATACTTTCTTCATATGGTTTCCAGGACAGAAAATCTTACCGTGTCCATTTACTTTCAGTCTCACTGTTTTCTATACTCTCTCCAAGCTCTTAAAATTCAAGTGCCCCTGAGCTCAGTCTTTGGGTCTTTTTTCTTTTCTATTTACCTTCAGTTCCTTGGTAATGTCATCCAGTTTCCTGTCTTTAACTACCATCTATAAACTGGCCACTTCCAAATCAGTATCTCCAAGAAGGATCTTTCCCATAATTTTCAGACAGATAAAATCAGTTATTTAACATGTCCACCTAGATATTGAAAAAGAATTTCATGTCCAGAACTGAGCTCCTGATCAACAACGCCCCTCCCCTTAACTGGTTCCCTTGAAGATTCTTCCATCTAAACTAAGGACAATGCTATTGTTCAACTTGCTCACATACTCAAACTCTGGAGTTATCCCCAACTCCTTTCTCTATCTTACACTCACATTTATCTGCCAGCAGCTTCTGCTGGATCTACCAGAATCCAATCACTTTTCATCCCATCCACTGCTAGTACTTTCCTTCAAATCAACAACACCTCTCCTCTAGATTACGACAATAGCTGTCTAATGGGTCTCCCTGCTTTTTTCCTTGTTCTCGTATCTTTTTCGTAGTTAGTGATCCTGCTAAAACCTACATGTGGCCATTGCCTTTCTAGCTCAAAACTCTACAATGGCTTAATATCTCACTCAAAACAGAAGCCAGCATCAAGGCACCATATAACCTGGCCCCCATAACTTCCCTGGCTTTGTTTCTTAACATACTCTCCCTTGTTCACTTTGGCCTCACAGCCACACCAGCCTCTTGCTATCTCTGGAATATTCCAGGCACTCTCCTGCCTCAATGCCTTTGTAACTGCTGTTCCCTCTACCTGGAGTTCTCTCCCCTGAATGCCTGTTCTCTCATGCTCCTCAGGTCTTTTCTAAATGTAACCCTCTCCCCTACTCCCCCACTCCCTTATGTATTTTGCCCCATATCACTTGTCACCACTGAATAACCTATACATTTTAGATATTTATTTTGCTTATTTTCTGTCTCTCAAAGAAAATAAGCTTCATGAGAGATTTGCTTTTGTTTTTCACTGCTGTAACTGCAATGTCAAGAATAGTACTTGGCACATGAAAGAAGCTCAGTATATATGTTGAGAGAGCACATGAGCGCTCACCCAGGCAAGAGTACCACACTAGGAGCAACTGCAGTTAAGATTCTCCTTCACCCTCCTGAAAGGGAAAAGTATGCCCCACTCACCTCCCCTTTTAGAAAGCCAGAAATTACTGTGATTCTCTGCCTTTTCCCCTCTCTAATCACAAAGACCAGCCAGGGTTCCACCATTACCACAACAATTGGGGGGATACTCAAAAAGCCTGGGAATAGGGACAACAAGTCACATGAAAAGTAAAACATCCATAAAGCAGTCTGCAGCCATTCTTGTAATTTCCTTAGGGCAATAAACTGTGTTTTTCCTACATTAAATTCACAACCTTTGCTACAGATCAGAGAGGAACGGAAGCAGTAACAGTCTTACAGGGTCTATCAGCACACAAGTTTAAAGAGAGCATTCAGTGAGCATGCAGAGGACAAACAAAGGGACTCTATGGCCATTAATAAAATGAATGACTTTGGGTTATTACTGAAATACAATATTTCTGCAAACATCCTTTAAGGTTTGTCTGTTTAAAGGTAATTTACTGATTCCTATGAGTCTACTGACAGAGACTTTAACTACACAGTTTTCTCTCAAATCATGATCTGGGTCCCTTTGTGGAACCAGTGGGTAGAGTAGAAGAAAGCACTGCAGCTATTGTGGGACAAAGATTTGCCAAAATTGCAGTGCAGAATTACATACACCGAAAGGATCACAATATAATTGTCTTAAGGAAGACAAAAATAAGTTCACATATAAAATTCAGAGGTGAAAAATGCCCCCCCCCCCCGCTCCCCCTTAAAATTCTGGAAGGTTCACTCACTTCTTAAAAGTGTCTAACAAGAAAATATCTTATTTGGCCCTCTTTTCACTGTGAGGAATGATAACACTGAGCTTCATTTGCAAAAGACAAACCAAGGAACAAAGCTGTTATAAAACTACTTGTGATTACAGGAAAAATCAGCACAATCAGAAATAAAACATTAGCATTCTCAGTCCTCCCATAAGAATGAAACCACTAGATGCCCCCAGTAACCCTCTCACTTTGCAGGAGAAATATGTTGATACTTAAAGAAGTATTTAAGAAAATTATTCAGGGAAATATGTACTGTTAAAAAACAACAAAAGCAAAGAACTATATACTTCTTTTAGATTTTATCCTTTTTGAATCAAAACACCTTGATGATAAATCTCAGCGGTAAAAATTTAGAAGAAAACTGTATTGATAATGGTGGGAAATTCAATTAATGAATCATTGGCATTCTATATAACTTTTAAGAGAACAAGGGATTATATTTTGGAATTCATCACACTTACCTCCATTTTCTTCTCCATGGGCATTTGCCTCGGCCATATCTGTACCATCCAATTCAGATTCACAGACTAAATCCAACGTGCCATCTGCTGGGCATGACGACTCCTCTTTCTGTATTATTTTGAAAAGTGATGATTTATGGAGAAGATGTATTAGCAACTAAAAACATTCAAAATACTTGCAGAATCCTACAGTATGATCAGTTATTTGTGACTTAACATTTCAATAATGATTTACTTTTTAATGTAAAATCATTCTTCCATTAAAAAAAAAAACTGGGTAAAGCCCATTGCTACTGTTGATTTTTTTTTTGGATAAATTTTTAAAATCTATACCCAAAAAAAGTTTCCTTTTGACATATGTTGTTTCCATCTTTTTTCAATTCTACAGTTTTCCTCATGTAAAGAAATGGCTTACCAACTCAGAATTTTAATCAGTTACTTAAATACCCAACTTGCTACAAAAAGCAATGGAAAAATTGCAAGTCTTTCTGATTAACCTGGGTTATTTTCTGAAACACACACAGTAGACCACAGCCTGATGCTTAGTAGCTAAAGAAGAATCCCTGCTTTGTTGTCTAACTTTTGACATTAAAAAAAAACTCACATGTAGTTAATGAACTTTAAATATAATCCATGACTTATTAAAGCAGAGACTTCTTTTTAATTTCTAAGAAATAACACAATGAATGTACTTATTCCAAGTTACACAACCATTTGTAGATTATAAGCTTTTGTCTTCTGGAATGTTGCATTTCAGGTGGCATTTCCCCTAGATAAAAATGGGAATGCCTTTAAAATAATTATACTAAAATAATTAAGACTCAGTTATCTGAAGCTTTTATTTCTCTCTTCTTCTCATACAAGTGTGCATTAGTAAAACTTCCTTGAGATCACGATTTGTTTTAAAATTGAATACTAGATTTAATTCAATGTTTTCAAGCAGAATGAATAAATGTCTTATTTTTATAAAAGACAAGGGCATACAGGTGTGAAGCCTGTATATCAACTGACGGTCATTAAGTCAAAGAGTTCATGGTAACTCTGCTCATCTTAAACTCCTGGCCAATGACCCATGACACTCCTCCCCATAAACTTTAAGGAATCAAGAATTTTAAGGAAGCTACAAGTATTCTGCATTACCATATGTCACGGAGTGAAACCACAGATATGCTTTCCTTAAAGAAAAATGTCATTGTTTATTCTTAATATGAAATCATTTCTAAGACATCTGTAAACATTTAAAGGCATAGGAGTCATTCTTCTACTCTTCAAATCTAATTTTGTTTACCTTCACATGTCTGAAAAAATGCATGATAATAGTAATAACAATATGCAGAACAATGCAACTTACTTTGAGAGCATAGAGGCCTGACTTTCCAGGGATTTTGAAGAATGTTCCATCCCCTATTCGAGTGTTAGTGTGAAGCATTGCATTCAGACAGGCTAATGGAGAGGTTCCACTAGAAAATAAAAGTGTGCAAAAATGAAGCAGTCTGAGGTACAGCTTCTATTGCAAAACTGTTCTCTGAGTCTCGCTCGCTCTCTCTTAAAAAAAATAAAAAAATAATTAAAAAAAGACCTCTTTGCATGCCTTTTAAAAATACCCTCTCAACCCTGAAAACATCTACATTACAATAAAGGGCTAGTCCAGTTTCACCAAAGTTAATCAGATGCATCTGTCTTATAAGGCTTCAGGCAAAAGTCTCTTGAATTGAAATTATGCTTTTATTCATAGAGTAACCAATACTATATTTTACAGAAACCAAAGCCCAAATACTTATGTGGTGTTATTTTACAAATAACACCATGAAGCCTTAGCTTTTAAATATTACAGACAACTTGATGGTTGCACTTGAATGATCAAAAAAAAAAAAACAAAAAAACCCACCAAGTTCAAGAGCAGCTCCATCCCATTCGTTTAAAAGCAACAAAAGAATAATAAACCAGGGAAGAACTGATTTGAAATTATAAGTATTTAAGTTACTCACAGGACTGCATTTCTCACATGGCAAAATAAGAATGTACATATGTGTTTCTATCTCTGATACAGCCTCTACAATGACATCCTTTTCTCAGTTAGATATGTCAAAGAAATATGTGTTGGGAAATTCTGTCCAGCTAACAGAATTCTGTAGTAAACATGCAAGTGATTGGAATATCAGATCACTTTTTAAAGAAATCAAACAGCATTAAACTAACATTTAAAATATCAAAGTACATATGTATAAACATTATTAGAATGAGTTCATATACTTGAATGATGTTTATAAAATATAAAGTACATATATATTTCCTGGAGTAGATTTTGGAACAAATTTTGTGTTTTGATTGCAAACTAATATTTAGAAGCTAAAATTTAGAGCTACAATTATTGCCTTTTAAAATTATACATCCATATACATTTTACTTCCTAATATGCCGAAATATCAATATCTGGTCAAACCAATTTTAGTTAAAAGCCCTAACCCCACTACACTCACATGCTTCTTAGGAATTATGGGTATTTAATTCACATTCTGAGACAATACAGCCTTTAGGATATGAAGCTTTCAAACTTTGAATTCGTAAGTTCAGAATTCTAACTTCAAATTTCAAGGATAAAGACATAATTTTGCTCCTAATTAAAAGTTTTCTAAAGATCAAGACTATCAAATCTCTTACTTATAATGAAAACTCACCAGTAAAATGGAAAAGTCAAATATGCTGAATTGCCAGAACACACTTAATAGCAAGGCAGCATATATATACATCATGGTCATAAGGATTTATAAGTATTATCATCCTACAAAGACAATTATTTTAGGAAGCAGCTTCTCTGTGCCAACATATAAATATGACTCCATTGAATTTGACAGGAAACAAGAATCTTAATATAAATTTGGTCACAGAACAATGCAGTTGTAACATTAAAGTACACATGGAAACAATGTTGTGTTTAGGTAATATCTTTCCTCATGAAGCTCCTACAAGTTTGCAGACCTCATTTCATTATTTTCTCTCACAAAATATTTTTCTCGTATTTGGAGAGGGCCCAGGCATACCTATAAAGTAAAATATATTCATCTCCCCAGAAATGTCTTTCCATGAATAAATTCCAAATAAATTATGCAATACATGTTATACTGAACATTGCAAATACATATTTTTACATTATATTCTTCAGACAAAAGCATAGAAAATTTGAAGCTAAGAATGATTATGCCAGATTTTTGGAGTTTTAATTTAGTAGAACTGTCAGAAATACAGACTTTCCGTAGGGACTTGGCAAGAAGATGTTAACACGACAAGTAAAATAGAATCCAATACATAAAAATGACACAATGTAGAATTTTAAAAATATAACTTAATAAAATTGTTCACCTAATATGAAACCTCACAATGCTGTTTCTTCTCTTTATTCCTAAGGCCCTAATGCACATGATTCCAACAACTCAGATTCAGCACGTTAAATAACAATACAGATTTAAAGGCAACGACTAAGTACTAAACAAATGTAACATTACTATAATTTACATTTCCTTTCTAAGGTATAGCAAGCTAAAGATAATTGTAGAAGATAAATTGGCTATTAAATAGCAATTTAATGCTGTGCTTGCTGCAAACATATGTGATAAGCACCCAGTTTTCTACAAATAATAAGCTCTATTAAGCATGAATATATTATTAAATTATACTGTTTAGTAACTCAATAAACACAAGATTTACTACGGAAAAATTTAAAAATATGTAATTCACAATCACAACATCTCCAAAGTCTCAATAACTATTGCAATTTCTATAAATCTTTCCCAAAAGAAACTTGTTTTATTTCAAAACTATACAACATTTGCATTAGAAAATAATTTGCAGTCAAATGCAAATTTTACAACTAAAATCACTCACTGATTAGTCACTTAGTTTTAAGCACACGAGTTTCATTCCTTTATGGAGGAAAAACTAGTTATTCTGGTCCGTTTTTTTAAAAAAACAATGAAAAATACGCATCAAATGAGCTAAATGCTTATTAAAAGGTAACTGATTCATCCAATGTAAAATATACAGAGGAAAATGTATTTCAAAAACATTTCATACCATTTCCTTATTGCTGCTATCCTCATCAATTCCATAAACTACAGAAAACTTAGACAACATTTTCTGCAGAAATATCTTAACTGCTATTGAATAGAAATAAATATAAGTCTTATGTAATTTTATTATTTTTATATTCAGAAAAAATAGAATTGGCATGTATACTATATATTGTATATACACATATATATATCTTAAACATAATGATTAACTGTGGGTAAAAAATGAGGCAGATGTACATGCTTTAAAAGTCTGTACTCTTAGATAGAATTGATTGCCTTCTATGTAATGGTTCTTATTTTTAATTTATTCAACAAAATTTTCTTCACAGTTAATGCAAAAGCTCATCACCTCAGTCGGAATTTAGAAGTTTGAAATCCTGTAACTATATGTGTGTGTATATGAAATAATAAAACATCCAAGTTTTAATTTAAAAGTCTCTGAAATTTCAAATTTACTTACTTTCTAACAAGATGAATTGGAAAAACCACGATATCCCGATTTATAGAAGGAAAACAAAAAGAAAGGAAGAAAACAAAGTTAGTTTTCCAACTTAAAACACAATTCTTCATCTTACCATTTCAACAAATAGGACAATGCACAGGAAACCCACCAAAGCCAAATTTGGCTGCCTATGGGGAGGCTGGGAAGAAAAAACTGGGGCACTGGGCTAAAAGGTGGCTTCGATTTTTTCCCCTAATACTTCTACGATGTTTTCATTTTGTTCAGAAAGCCCATGTATTTCTATATAATAAATATAACTAGAAATAAATAAGCAGGACACTATTTGTCCCCAATTCTTTTCTTTCTCCCATCCCCTACAATTGGGCCCTTTCCTATACACCTGCCAGGGTAGATATACAGCTTATTCTACTTGTTTGTTTTTCCCCCTGTACTGTAAGGCTGTGGACCCTTCTGGTTTGTTTTCATTTCCCACAACCCCTGAAGCAGAACGGGGTGGAATCTGGAGGCAAGGGAGCAGGCATAATTTAAACTGTCTAGACATCAAAGAACCCCTAGAGATGCTTTACAGAGCCCCAGTGCTGTGTGAAATACAGAAAAACTATTGCTTTATATTATCAAATTGCTGACGGAATACACACAATTTTACCGACAGTGAATACTTAGTGAAAGGAATGAAAGGCCTATCTATTAAATAATTTTAAAAACTAGACAGAATACCTGGGGAATGCAATTGGAAGACTATTTGCAGGCATGACAAAGAAAATATAATTGAGAGCCACTATTCCTTTATATATAACATAATGATTTATAATATTTCAGTAATACATATATTAAACTATTTTATTATATTGTTATGTCTTAATAAAAATTTCAGATGTAATCTATTTCCTGCTAACATTTCTTTTAGCCTCATTTTTTAAATATAGAAATGTAAAAAAATTAATTCTGTACAACAAAAGCATAAAAACAACAAATTCAAGCAGTTATTAAACACCATAATTAGTTACTGTGCTTAGTGCTATTAATATAAATTAATATAAACAATTATATGCTCATTCTTTCAAAAAAATTAATAATGCTTCTTTCAAGCATCTCAAATGTTAGCTTTGAGAAAATATAAAGAATATATTTTAAGAGTAAGTTAGGTGGGTCTCAGGTGCAAGTAACATTTTAATTCTTGATACAGTATCTGTGTTCACTTTGTGAAAATTGTTTAGAATTTGTGGACTAAACTCTGTATATACTTCACGAAAATTATTTTTGAATGTTAAAACATTAATAATGTACACTTAGATTTATTTATTTAATGGGCGTGTCTCTACTAGTGGAGAAGAATGAGGATGGCTCCTAAACACACATAGTAACCCAGTGTACATCAACTGACAACTCAGTAACCTAGATGATTACAAACCACCCTAGAAAAACCAAGGCCAAATGAACTTATTACTCTTGGGAGATATTATTGTCAATAAGAAACTCTCTAAAATGACTGAAAATAAAATCTTAAAATTTAGAGGGCTTTATATATGTTATCTGAATGATATATATATATATGTTTGTAATATATGTATATAGTTATATAAGTTAGCTGAATAATTCCAATACAAAATGATCTATACTAAGCCTCAAATTTGATAGTGAAGAAACAGTGTCCCAGACTTCATGGTCTCTCTACAATCACTAGTGAAAGCTTTTATTGTGCAGTAACATAAGAGGAATAAGAAAGATTTAGAAAATATAAACATAAATGGGAATAATCCATCAAATAAGAGACGGGTCACATTTCAAAGGAAGATATTTTGTGATTTTCTATGTGAGGATATGTGGTTTTTGATATTCAATATGTCTCTAAAGTAATGTTAAAATGCAGTATTGGCACTCTTTTTATCAGGAAGGATTAAGACAAAAAATATTTATCAAATAATATATGTTGTACACTTTAATTCTTAAATTTAGAGAAAGAACTTCGAACTCCAGACCTCAGTGTGTATCTCTTGTTGGCATGAATATGTCTGTTTGTACAACAAGTAGAGACATACATTTGAATTTAGAACTCTTATCCTATTAAAAACTACCAAGATATCATTAGATAGACTATAGCGATTCGTACAGCCACACTCACTAAATGGACCTATTGTTTTAGGAATCAAAAATTCAAAAACATTAATACAAGGACAAAAGTTTGCTTAGTATTATTTTAAAACAAGATCTACAGGGAAATTAAGAAATAGCCCTACATAAGCATAAACCAAAATATATGATCTGTATCATAATTTTCAAAGACCCTCAACTAAAATAGGAGGTGAGGTGGTTATCTTTAATTATAGACATCTAGTAAAGAACATGCCACACATACACCTAGACACTGACAATTGTTCCTCTACAATTACACATGCCATGACATGCTATATTACCATCCCTATGCTGGGGAGGGCGGTGGCGAACAACGAGGAAGACTGTGGGCTCTGGAGCCAGTCAGCCTGAGTTCAACAAGGTTGGGACCATTTAGGAGCTGTGTCACATTGGACTTCTCTAGGTCACAGGTCCCTTGACTCTAAAATGTGGATAATAAAACTCACTATGTCCTAGAGAATTAATCCGAAGATTAAATGCATTAAAACATATAAAGCACTTAGAACTGTGTCTGGTACGTGGTAAATGTTCAAAAATTGTGACTTATTTTATTAATACTACTACTGCTAACCATAGTAACCAACATCTAAATGTAAAAAGAATGACAAATGGAAAGAAATTAATATTTCACAGCTTGTTTAAAGAATTGGCTCAGGTAATATTTTAATTTTTAAAAAGATTTTAATTTCTAATTTCATTTTCATCTCAGTATCAAAAATAAGTGAAGACACAGGCATGTGTACACAGCTCGTCCATAGTCTGTCACATGTGGATAGTATTAAAAATAACTGATAACGTAGTAAGGGGACAGGGAGAAGAATGATGGCAACACATCTATTACTATAGCTACCATTTATTGAGCATCTATAATGTGCCTGGGCTTTCACAACTATTATCTATATGCCTCATAGCCACTCCAAAATGTAGGCATGATTCCCAGTTTTATAGACATGACTGAGATTCAGAGATGAGGAATCTTACAGAAGTCAGATAACAACTAAGTGATACAGATGAAATCTAAATTCTAATCTGATTCCAAAGCCCGTGCTCTTTCCACTATCTCACATTCTCTCTCCATAGAACTGCCTCCTCTATTTAATCTAACTTGAACACTTAAGCAAATATTTAGCACTTCAAGGAAATACATTTTTAAAGCCAGATGCTGCTAAATAAGGTGACCTGCTTCATTCTCAATTCTGACTTCTCCAGAGTAGATTTCAAATATAAAGAACTAGGCTGCAGAAGATGACATTGTTGGTTATCTTCCTCTGGTAATGTCACCAATGAAAACAAAGGAAGAAGAAACTTAAAGAAAATATGATAGAGGCCAGGCATGGTGGCTGATGCCCGTAATCCCAACATTTTGTGCGGCAGAGGCGAAAGAATGGCTTGAGATCAGGAATTCGAGACTAGTCTGGGCAACACAGTGAGACCTTATCTCTACAAATATATATATTTGTGTATTTGATAATATATATATATCATAAATAAGATATATATACACATAAGATATATATATACACACACTATGTGCGTGTATTATATATATATATACTATACACATGCACATATATACATATATGTGGTAGAGAATTCAGATCCATAATTGAGATGCCTCTTTATTAAACTGGATCATTAAGAAAAAACACAATTCTTTCACTGAACAAACATTTATTGAGCACTCTATTTATGTATGTCAAGCTAATCTTGAAATAAATTTGTACTCCAACAGTGTTTTGCACATAATAGAAATGTAGGCTGAGCTGAACTAAATTTTCTGAATACATATGAAATGACAGGGGACTCAGCAGAAAGGCAGCCTTGAGGCATGCTGCAAACAAGAGAAAACCATTTGGAATTTAAATGTTATCCTTAGTTTATTCCAAGATGACTGAGATGTGATCATGTACAAACATATCATGTCATTGACTCCTATGCAGAGGCAGTCAACCCATGGCCATAGGTGGCTCTTCAGGACTTTTAGCCTATTTCTCCACCCCTGCAAGCTCAAAAAAATTATTTCCAATTAGGTCAAAAACTGTATCTTACAAAATAAAATAGTAAATTTTATATATTAAAAGAACAGACATTGTAATTATATCTGGTATGAGTTAGTTTCATACTAAAATGTAAGTTTCTATATTCAACCTGTAGCTACTCATTCTCTCCCATCATATTAGCAATGGTCAATACTCCACCATTTCCAGAATCTGTTCTGTGGGATATCTGTCCCAAGTGTTGCTCAAAAACATTCTCAAATGTGTTTGAGAAATGTATGTTGCATTCTCCTTTTGCACACTCACCAAATACATTAATATATATTATTGAAGTCTCTGAAAAATCCTGTTTAACTCTGTGTTTTCTGATCATATATAATGAAAGAATCCTCTCCACCATAACATTTAGCAACAACGCCTATCATGGCATGCCAAAAAATATACTTAGAGAAATGTTATATCATATTTATATGATTAGGATAACTAGGAATAAAACACCTAGCAGTCAGCACTCCCAGGAATGTTTAATTTTATTAAGCAAATGTTAAAAGATTACTTGAAAAATGTGCAAAAGCTCTCTTTTTCTGTGAAAAATACAGTGTGATGATTATTTTCCCTGTATAAATTCATAAAATTGAAAAACACATCCAGGAAGTGTAAATAGCATTGAAAATTCACAAACGTATCTCTATGTACTTAAAAATACTATGTATTTGCAATACAGGTTGAGTAGCCCAAATCTGAAAATTTGAAATGCTCCAGAATTTGAAACTTTTTGAGCACCGACATGATGCTCAAAGGAAACACTCATAGGACCTTTTAGGATTTCAGATTTTTAGATTTGGGATGCTCAACTGGTATAACACAAATATTCAAAATTTTTTTAAAAAAATCCAAAATCCAAGACACTTCTGGTCCCAAACATTCTGAATAAGGGAAACTCAACCTGCATTATATTACCCAACAGATGCCACATCTGACATGAAATGCATCTCCTCAGAGCAGATCTTCCTCCTGATCCCCACTAGCCTCACTCAGCCGTGGGCACAATCTTCCTCCTCCAGTACCCATGACTGATGCATCACAAAGCCCCAACTACGTTCACCTGAAACCTTACATTTTCACTTCATTACATTCTATTTCAAAAAATCTTTACCTCATTCACAAGACAATTCTATAATCTCTAACTGGTCTCCCTGCTTCAACTCCCAGGTCCAATTCGGCCTACACACTGGTGCCAGATAATTTTCTTATTTAAAAACAACAACAGAAACACTGCTCAGACTGCTTCTTAGCCATGCCATTCACTGTGGCTGTGGCTGTTGTTGTGGCTGTTGTTGTGGCTGTTGTTGTTGCTGTTGTTGTTGTTGTTGTTGTTGTTGTTGAATCAGTGGTTTTCACTGCCCACCGAAGGAGGCACAAAGTCCTCAGGCCAGCATTAGGGTCATCTACAACACAGTTGGCATCTACCTCATCTTCATCTTCTCCAACTCTCAGACCACTCTCCTATAATCCAATCCAACTCAGTAAATCACCAAGCTTCTATGGTTTCCCATGTCTGCTCTGGCTACCATCCGTATGGGGAAGCCTTTTACGACCTAAGATAGCCCCATTCCTTTAGAACAATCACGATACTTTGCATATCTCTCATGGTTTATTTTCTTTGAAAATTGTTTACACCTTTAACTTTCCTGCCCTTACTACTTCCAACAAGTTTGGAAATTCCACAGGAGATAGACATATTTATTTTTATATTGCCTGACAAGCAACACCAATGTACTCAAAAGTTGTTTGTTGAAATACATTTAATCACTAAAATAAAAGCTGTTACGATCATGGATGTGTAGACATAAAATACATGCAATGAACATCACCAAAATTCTTTTTAAATTCATGGCTGCAATCATGTCTGTGAAGGACTCTATATACCAAAAGGCTGCAGTGGCCATCTTATATTTGCATACCCTGCATTCTTTTCTTTTAGGGACTCTCCCTTTCATAACAATGTGATTCCAGTGTATGCATCGATAAAATAGGATTGATTTCATCACCAGTAAGGCTGGCCAGATTAAACTATCTACTTGGTCATAGAAATTGGTAAGCTGGTGGAATTTTGAGTGTCTTTTCAAAAACAGATACAGAAATAAAAGGAAAGAGTATAAATTATCTTCCAGTAATAACATTAGCTATAAAGACACAAAAGAGAATAGCTGGTGCCTATCTCTGCCTCCACAAGGCCAGGGCCTGCAGGGGATAAAGCTAACCAGAGGAAAGCAGAGTAAAGCATGGAAAGAAAAGGGGAGAAAAGATCATGGGAACTCCCGTATTGCCTGGTCATGTTGAAGATCAACCTGATGGATGCCCAAGTTAAATAAGCCAATAAGTCTCTACCTAGTTTTATTTTGGATGCCAAAGAGAGAGCTTATATGACTTGTACAAGCTGACTATTTTTCTAGGCCTCATTTACATAGCGATAGTGAGTTTAAAATACACGTGTTTTGAGGCTCTATTAATCCATTTCTGGTTAAGGTTTTAAGGGCAATTAGTAATAGTTTGACTATTAGCTTTCTAAAGCCCATTCCAATCAGGCTGCCTCTCAGCATGTTTCTCTCTTCCTCAATGCCCACTGCTCTCCTCTCTTCCTACTCATTTGTCAAGATCCCCTCATCTTCATCTCCTAAAAGCTACTAATCACCTCTGCAGTCCACAATGATGTTCTCTGCACTTCCAAAGGCATTACAGCCTATGCTACTATTGTAGCATTTAGTTCTGTGCAGTCTACCACCACACTGCTTGATGGCAACTAGCTCCTTGAGGACCCTGACTTTAATAAAGATTCTAGGTGTTCACCTCATAGCGCCTTGCCAGGTTTGAGTGCTCGGAACACATTCAGGGGCTTGTTGATAAGCTAACATTTTACCATTTACAGAAAACAAAATTTCAAGCCTGACAATTCCATGTGTTGGCTGAGGACATCCAGAAATGGGAAATATTAAATACTCCAGTGAGAGCATAAACTGATATAACCAATTTGGAAAGGCATTTGGCAAGATCCAGTTTTTAAAAAAACTGTGCATGCTCTACAGATCAGCAATCCACTTTTTGGTACAGACCATAGAAAAACACATACTTTCACAAAAAGACATTATTAGTTATAGGAAAAATAAATTGTAAATAACTTAAATGTTCAATAGGTTATAGCTATAGATTTAGATATATTTCCCCTATAGATTCATAATAAAAGTATAAATTCTGAACTATGACAATACCCAGCAAATCTATGACACTGCTTCTGAGGAGAAAGAAGAGGAAATCAAAGCAACTTCAGCTTTTTGTTAGACTTTATTAAAAAAAAAAAAAAGAAGCAACTATGCCACATCCACAACTGTTAATTCCAGCTACTGTTTGTTGGAACGTGGGTACTCTGCTGTATTTTCAAAGCAGAAAAAAATTGTTTATTATTTTCTTCCTCACAATGTGACTCTTCTCTAATTTTGTCAGATTCTTGCCTTGATTCAATTAATGTTTTCATGCAAGCAAATGTAATTACATGGAAAGTGCAAAAGTACATCATTATACCCAGTTAAAAGTCCTCCTCAACTCCCCTCAATCCCATCCACTGCCTCAGAATGAATAACTATTAAATGTCAACCATGATTTCTTCCCGATCTTTTTGTATTTACATTCATATATATGCATATATTCAACTTTATGGTTTAGATTTTTACATTTATTTTCAATACAAATGAAAACATTTTTTGCTCTTAATATTCTATAGAATTCTTTCAATGCCTTAACATTTTACTTTATTAATTGTTACTTGAATTTTTTTTTTTTTTTTTTTTTTGAGATGGAGTCTTGCTGTGCCGCCAGGCTGTAATGCAGTGGCCTGATCTTGGCTCACTGCAACCTCTGCCTCCCGGGTTCAAGTGATTCCCCTGCCTCAGCCTCCCGAGTAGCCAGGACTACAGGCACGCGCCATCACGCTCAGCTAATTTTTTTTTGTATTTTAGTAGAGACAGGGTTTTGCCATGTTGGCCAGGATGGTCTCAATCTCCCGACCTCATGATCCACCCCCCTTGGCCTCCCAAAATGCTGGGATTACAGGCATGAGCCACCGCGCCATGCGTGAATTTTTTACAAGTGTATATTCTGCTTACAAATAGTGGAAAATTGATAAGATGTATAAGGCATTAATGTAATTTGACATTACCAAAAAGTAACATATCAAAAATGCAAATTAGTTTAATTATAAGATTTTGAATGTTTTTAATATCCACGTAATGTTCTTAAGAGTCTATAAAATATATGTACTGTATCATAATTCGTTTAAGTATTTCCTTATTACAGAACACTTAGTTTGCATTTAATTTCATCCATGAAAAAAGTGCTACAATAAAGAGTTTTATATAGTGTTCTCTTTGTTTATGTACAACTATCTTCCTACAATAAATAAAAAGATTGTATTTCCAGTTGGAAGTGTGCTTTGTAAATTTTAATAGCTACTTCCAAATTACCTTCTAATGAAAGTAACTAGTTAATGACGGATAGTATCAATCTTTAAATTTTTGCTAATTCACTCCAGGGGTGGAGATGAAAAGGCCATACCACGTGGGAGGAGCAGCACAAGGGAAGCACAAATGGACAGAACTGAATGTGGTGTGCAGGAACGTGATTCCAGAGCGAGGAGTAGAAGAGCGAATAGGATAGGAATCAGATTCCAGAGGGAAGGTCCACACCACTTCATGGCTCATGACATTTAGTTCCACAGTTTAAATGCCATGGCAAGGAGCTTAGACTTCATGCAGGAGATGATAGAGAGCCCCAGAGGACTTTAACAAGGAAGGTGCTCTTGTCCATTTATTAGCACAAAGATAGATTTCAGCTGAGATACACCTAGAAGACAGACCAGTTAGAAGCCTGCGGGACTGGCCTGCAGGGAAGATGGAGCAAGCTTCGCCAGAGAACTAATGGTAGGCAGCAATGTGGAGAAAGTCAAGAAATACATGCAAAGACAAAAAACAAAACAAAACAGTAGGCTGGTTTTTTCTTGTTGCTTTTTGGACAAAGACACTGACAAAATGTGTGAGATAAAGGAGAAGAAGGAGTTTAGGACTGGGAACTAGAGAAGAATGGTGGTATAATTAAGATGGACAATACAGAAGAAATCAGTTTGACAATATGATGAATTTAGTTCTGGACTCAGTGATTTAACAGTATGCATCCAAAATTCAGATATGTACATGCATCAGAGAGTTAATGGTGGTGTTCAGGATAAACACTGGGGCAGCTACCAGTATACAGACAGTATTTAGAAAATGGTGACAAGTGATTGTCATGGTTGTAGAGTAATAAGAGAAAAATGACTGATGTGAGTTCTTTATATTCCAAACTTCAGAAAACTATATGAGAAAATATTACTAAGATCAAAGAAAGGAAAAAAATCCTATAAGAATTTTATTATAATATGATATATACCCTAGCATCAGCATATAATTGTTTTATAAGCCAGAATAAATCTCTCTACTCATAGGTAGAAATAACCTGTAAGTAGGAAGCTATCTAGGCGATCTGGCCAGAAGGAACCATTTCTTTAAATACAGTTTTTTCTTTGTAATACAAGAACATTACTAAATGCAAATTGAAGAAAAGATGAGAAAAATCACTCAATATACCAACTCCTGAACATAACTCTAAGCACTTTGTAAACTTTCTTCCAGCCTAATTCTTTCCATTTTAAATTTATAATTTATTTAAATGCTGAATAACAATATTTATATCATTTTACATACTACCACAAAACTATCAAAAATATCACATCAAATGGTTTAAAATATTCTGTAAACTTGTTTCAAGTTAGTGGTCTTCAACCTGGCTATATATTCGAATTTTAGGGAAATTTTTAAAAAATGCAAATGTCAGGGCCAACTTCACACTTATTAAGTAAAAATATCTGGATGGGGCTGAGGTGTCAGTGTTTTCTTAAATCATTCCAAATGATTCAAATGTGCAACCAAGTTTGAGAGTCGCTGATATCAGCAGCGAACATTTAAATTGTCCTTTAATTACAATTAAAATAGCACTGCTATGAATATCTTAATGCATATTATATTCTTTTCTTATATAATCAAGAATACTTTATATTAGGTTTGTAGAGTGGCATTATTAATTCATGAGATATGGGTTATTTAATGACCTTTGTGAATAATGCCAACTGACTTTTCAATGTATTGTTTTGGTTTACATTCTCACCAGCAGTATATAAGCAAGACGCATCACTTGGAATCAAGAATGAGATGCAAAGACTGATTAATTTATTAGGTGAACTAAAAAAACAATTCTCAAGGGTTGCTTTAACTCTGATTTTTAGGATTATTAGTAAGACTGAATGCTTATCCACATATTTGTTTATTCCTTAGTTTTATGCGTTAGAGCTCCTCTGCTGTTCCTGTCCTTTGACCATGATGCTAGAGGGTCATTGGTTTTTCTTGTTGTTTTAATAATCTCTTCATATAATACCTCTAGCATATTAACTAAAAATATTTTCTCCATGGTTTATGACTTAATGTTTTGTTTTTCATATGCAGATACATAAAATGTTATGTAGCCAATTATCTCCATCTTTTCCTTTGTGGTTTATTTCACAGCTTCTAACTGTGAAGTTATTTCCCTGTCAAAGGTGGATTTAAATGTTACATTTAAATTTTTTCTAATTTTTTTCTATTGGTATGACTTTTCATATTTACATTTTTGATTGTGTCTGTATCTTTCTCAACATAAAACACATATTACATGTTGAAGAAAAAATTATTTTCAAAATGTAAAAAAATTACATGTTGAAGAAAAGCATATTACATGTTGAAGAAAAAATTATCATTTGTAATTGTTTTCTATGGTTCAGAAAGAAAAACAGCAGAGTTTCCTTGTTCATTATCTAATTTTTGATTCATCCTCCTACCCCTTTCTCTCCAGAAAATTCTGATACTACTCATCTGAAATTCCTTGATCAGCAGAATGTCAAAAGAATTCAGCTCAGCATTTTGCTGGCTATGGGAAAAATTTTACCTTTAAATGTTTGATAAAGGAAATGTCTAAAAATAACTAACTTAACCACTAGTGTTAAGACTGGCATTCATAACACAAGACGAGTGCCAATTTAATTTAGCTTCTTTCTCCTCTCTCCTCCTCCTTCTTTATCCACCTATATTCTCAAGGTACTTTGTCCACTGGTGGTTTCCATTTTGATTAGAAGTGCTACCATATAAACATACTTTTTAAAACATAAGCTTTCTAGAAAAAAAAAAGCCATAGGTTTCTGTAGTAAACTGAAAGTTTTGTGAAATTCAAACATCATAGTTATTTAGGATGGTGTGAAATATATATATGTAAAATGCAGATAGAATTATGAAGTAAAAACAAACTTTACAAAAGGACGAATTTCAAAGTAAGTCCTCTTATGGAAACAAGAGGCTTTAGAAAGGAAGTATAACTAGAAAGAGCAGTGAATTTAAGCACCCTTCCCCTCCCCAGACTTAGTATGTGACACTTAAAAATACATCTTAAGAATCCAGTAGTAGGCCTAAAAGAAATTCAATACACCTAGTTCTTGTTTTAATTTCACCCTCAGGGAAATATGATTCATGAGAAACCTAAGTTCAGAGCAGGGGGTCGCAGAAATGCCTATGCTTGCTACAAGCCAATATTAATACTCTTCTTCCGTACATTAAAACCAGTAAAATAAAGGTCAAGATGACTAGGATCAATGTAAATGTTTAAAGAGAATAAATAACAATGTTGCAAGCTAATAGTTTTTAAAATTTATAAAATTATACATACATATTAATAAATTCCACAAGCAATGCTACTAATCAGTTATGTAAGTATTACTTTTGTTTTACAGAAATATCTTCCTTAGGAAAAAACGTGCGTTTTGATTACCCATGAGGAGAAATGTATCTATAAACAAAATAAGATTTCCTGTGCATTATTTGACAGCAATATCAATGTTCCAACCAGACACACAGAGACTCTCCAGAGAGCAATTCCAATAACGAAAAAGGAGAATATGTAAATGTAATCGGGGTAGAAAAGAGAATTGGAGAGCCAAGGTAGTAGTTCAAGAAAAAAATTATCTTAAACCTGGGCCCCTATTTAATCAACTAACTAAATGGCAACTGATTAAACCATGGCTAAAATTATAGAGAACTACCTAGGTTTACGTAACAAAAGGATAAATATTCTTCTGTTTCCCTTCATTTTTCAATCTTCCTAAAAACACAACTTGGGATATCACAGTTTCTGGCCATTTGGCAAGCATCTTATTTAAGTAAGCACAACTCCAACCAACTCATTTAACTTGAATTAATGTTCTTGGTCTTTTATATTGCCACTTAAAGCTTTCAGGAAATAGTTTCTGGATACACCTGCCACCTAATTTCATGAAATCAATATCTCACTAAAGCTAAGTCAGGAAATCTTAAGGTGCTGAATTCAATTACAAATGTTACTTCAGGAGTTGATAGTAGATAAAATATAGCATTGACATTGAAAATCATTACAGTTAAAGGGCTTTACTTCTTTTGGCGTGTGGGGGGATTGTTTTCTAAGGTACTAGTAACAATCAGTAATGACAACATGACGTTAGGATAACAGTAACAGCTTTAACCTTTCTAGTGTCAACGTCCATTTATAAGCACAGAAACAACATCCTCTCTGACTACACCTGAAATAAATCTATTGTAATGATGAGAGACAGCGATCATCAACATAAAAATGAAAACTGCTAGTATGAATTCAAACTCCATCCAAAGATGAAAACAACCATTTACTGAAATCCAGACAAGTTACTCTTTAAGTAGAACACAAGAATTCACCACATCTCTGTCATATGTACCATGTTATACTTAAAAGCAGTGGTAAGCCAACGTTCCACATAGAAAAATTTTTGCAGACACATTAAAAACAAAAAAAGCTTTTATAAACAGTAAACACCTGATATTTGTCTTCAAATGCTGTCTTTCCTCAGATAATTAATTACTAACCACCTGATTGCCTTCCATGCACAGATCCTTAGAGTAAGTTTCTAGGATCCAGTGTGGGGTATCTTTACTTCATTTTCAGCATAGAGTGTGAAGAAATGTCAGAACAAAGATAGAAAATCCAAAATTCTAAACCTGTTCATTTGATAATCTTAAAATTGTTCCTTTTATCACTTGGCTTTTCAAACTAAGTGTGAGGAAAACTCTGGAAATTTTCAAAATCAACATTATCCTAATACATTCCTATGTCTCTCATTTCCTCCTTGGTTTGTTCATGTCTCCTAACCATCATTTTCTTCTTCTTTTCAAAATCTTTTCTCTAGGGACCCCACTTCAAGTCTAACGCTTGCCTGTGGCCCACAGTGACGGAAATACTGAGCTTTGGAATGGGCGAGACCGAGGCCAAATAATAGATCTTTCCACTTATCATTGTGTGAAGTTAGGCAAGATACCTAGCTTCTCTCAGCACCAATTTCCTCATCTGTAAAATGAAGAAACAGCACCCACTTCTCAATGTTACCATCAGGAATAAATCAGCTAAAAAAAATAGAAACTGCTTGGCTCAGTGCCTGACACTGATCAGTTACTACATAAATGTTAGTTTCCTGCCTTTTTGCCAAAATGACATTGAACAGACAGTTCTAATGATATTTACAGACACATACATCTGTGTTTTCTTTTCAGTTCTTTACCTGTATTCTACTCTTAGACCTAATAAACTTCTTTCATGTTCAACACTCAGCAAGCTTTTCATTAGTCTAAAGGAAAATACTGAAATCATATTATATAAATAAATAACCAAGAACAAGCACCACATTTCTAAGCAACATGTTCAAAATTGGAGAAACTCTAGTATATTCCTTGTAAAAATTTAAAATGCATGAGCAGTTTAAGGCAAAGTAGAGGCAGTATTTATGCTGCAAATTCCTTAAAACTACAACCCAATTTGATTCTTAGGAAAGCAGAATCAGAATAATGAAGTGCTTTCAGTGAAGATAAAACAGTCACCGGGAAAAATCAGCCTCAAGAATATTTATTAATGTCATCATGCTACTTTGCTTAAAAGGGTCCCAAGGAAAAGAGTGAACAAGGAGACTACAACTTCAGCAAGAAAGATCATGGAGATGCAGTCAATGTTCACAGGGAAAAAGGCTCTGGATATATACAAGAAAGGAAAATAAAACATTTCTATCTAATATTACATAGGATTTTCATGTTTAGATAAATTTGTGGTTAAAATATGGCCACAGTTTACACAAACTGTTAATTCAGACAGAGAAATTAGAAAGCACACCAGAGCCTCTCAAATTTTCACTTTCCAACAATTCACACTTTCTCACTTTCCATTCTAGACTGCACTGTCACACTGACAAAACAGAAATAACATATGTGAGCGACACCAATCTGGGAATCACTCTCATAACCTTCTACCCAGTCATTCAAATCGCACTGCCTGGCCTTCAGTTGTCCATTTGTCCTCTCATGCCCACTAAATGACAGGGGAATGAGTGACTCTTATGGGGTTCCTTACGGGAAGACCCTCAATGTCCATTTTCACCCAACGTCACTAGCTGGTACCTACCCGGAAGGAATGAACGGAACCACTCCAATGCAATCCCAGCCACTCCTGCTAGTTCAAGCATTCGGTTCAGCATCACCTCATGACCAACACGAAAGCAGCTGAGGCTCTAATATAATCATCATGGAAAGTTGTCCCAAATCCTTCATTGGAGGAAGATCCTTCATACACACCAACGCTGTCTCCAAGCCATGCCGGGGTCTGAAACCAGACTGGAAAATATTATATATGTGTATATATAGTAAAACTCCCACAAACCACTCTTCTATTTTGTCATATTTATTTACAGCTGCTTAACCAATCCTATATATATATTGCCTTCTCAAGATGAAAATATGAACATTCAAGGAAAGATCCTTTCCATAGCAGAAGGTAAACTTAAAAGCATATGAAGACCTGGTGCTGCCTGTTAAGGTTGTTGAGGTGATCCCAAATGGAAAATAGTTTGTCCTGAAGGGAAGAAAGAAAACACAATATTGGTTTCCAAGGCTAATCTTCTAAACAGGGTGGACAGAATCCAGTATTTAAAAGAGCATGAGGAAAAAAAAAAAAGCCTTGACCCAGCAGATAGAATAGCAATGCCAGATTAACCCCTGAAGGTCTATTTGATATTATAAAATGTGCCTTGACTCCTCCTGAATCCCACCACTTTCATAAGTCTAACTACCATCACCTTGACAGCATTATCTGACTCCCTCCTGATCAAAGAGCTCAAGACTGATTGCACTTGCTTATGATGGAGCAGGGCCAGGAACCTTAGAAGGAACAACAACTTGAAATGGTAAGATTTTTTTTTAAATGATCAATGGAGCTACAATAGCTATCATACATAAAAATCAAAAAAGAATTCAAACCAAGTAAAAGAATTTCCATTTTCCTTCTCCTTAATGAATAGGCTTTTTAGAAACAAAGTAATAGACATTACATAGAGTATTTAAAGTTGAACCAGAGAATTCACTGTTTTTTTTTCATTGAGTCCTTTATTATAAAAAGACTGAGGACTATTTCCTTTCCGCTTGCCCCTTTCACCTAAACTACCATAATAGTGACAACTGGAACTTTTAGTCCTACTGCCAAATTTTACCAACTTCCTCTAGTTCCAGAATACATCTAAAACAAAATTAAGTGGGTTAAATCACTGCAGCATTATTTTCTATGTACTTACCCTAAATTATTTTTGAGTCAAGCTGCTATCTATAAAAATGCTCATCATATATAATTGCATTTAAGGTTAACAGAATTCTGTCTTCTTATCTCCACTTAACTTGCTCTACTTGACCCCATTCCATCCTTGTCAGTTATTTTCTATCTATATTAAAACAAAGAAAACTTGGAAATATCCACTTGGTGTACTGCCTCCCCTACCTACTTGGTATATATTTTGGTTCCTATGTCAATTATTCTGCTGATGTCAGATACCTAGAAACCTTTTAGATAGATTTGGACCTGAGATAGCAAACATAACATTCATTATGTTTTTCTGGACATCTTCACTAACTTCACTATATCTCATAAAGAATAACATGTCTCTCACTAAGGATAATGCAAAGAATTGACTCACCTAGGCATAAAACTCAGAAAACATTATTTTGAAAGAGAGAGTTCACTTGGTTGCTTAGTAATATGAAGTAGTTTTCTTCCTAAAATTTTAAATTCTCATGTTTGACATACTGACTTCCTGTTGCATAACCTGAGGTTCCAATCACAGTCAAGTACAAGAATCTTCTCAAACCATTCCTTATACAAATATTGGCTAAAGATGTCTAAGTAATATATGTTCAGTCAAATAAACATTTGCTGTGATGGCCACTATGATCTAGGAATCATACAGGACGTGCAAACGAGTGAGATATGCTACCAGCTTTCTTGGAATTCATAGTTTAGTTCAGAGAAAGAGTTATTAAAAAAACAACGATAATGATACACTAGAAATTCCCCCAAGGAATACAAAAGAAGAAACCATATTTCTTGGGGGAAGTTTCCCAGGAGCACTAACCATCTGTATCTTAAATGATAAAGGAGTATTAACGTGGCAGTGATCCTAATAACCAACAGAGGCTAAAGCATTAGTGTATGTATGTGCAATTTACAAGAATCTCGGAAACCAGATTACTGTTCATAATTAAAATATATTCTATGCTGTATTTAGTTTAACAGGCAGCAAACTATTTCAGTATAATGGAAAAATCCTAGCATATAATGAATGTTCAATAAATATTAAACTGAGGATCTCAAAGACAGAAGCGCACAAATAATGACACAGATTTTCCAAAGAATTATTTCCTACATACATATGCACCTCCTAAGAGACAGCAAATTGGTTTTGCTCCCTAAAGTCTCTTCTCCAAATTTCCATTTTGTGTATATGAAGCTTCATAATCACATTTCAAACAAAATTTGGATGACGGTGCAGACACAGGACTTTAAGACACATCCCTTTTCCCCAAAAACATACCCATCAGATAATGGGCAGAAATACTGTCGGGATACTACTGTTAACACTTATGAGTATGGACGGTGGGAAAGCAAGGGAAATTCTACATCAATATCATACATTCAGAAGGTTGAAGTGACCTAAGTATGAAAATAGCTAAAGAAATATCACCACTGCCTCCACCAAAATACAACAACAACAAAAAAACCTGAGCACTAATATGTTAAGTGAATTGGGATTTATTGTAAATGAACTGTCATTATACCAAACATGGCAAATTAGGAAATATCAATAGGTATAATTTGCTACATAAAGTTTTAACTTCACAGTAAAAAAAAAAAATGCTGAGTTACAAATAAGATCCAAATAAAGCATCTCAGTTAATAAAGGATAATTTACTTATAGGTAGAGTGTACATCAGGAAAATCCCAATCCCTGATATTGGAGTCCCAAAATTAGTTTTTCTTTTTAATTTTATTTTTGAGACAAGGCCTCACTCTGTCACCTAGGCTGGAGTGCAGTGGCACAATCACAGCTCACTGCAGCCTGCATCTTCTTGGCTCAAGCAACCCTCTCACCTTAGTCTCCCAAGTAGCTAGAACCACAGGTATGCACAATCACACCTGGCTGGTTTTTTTTATTTTGTACATAAGGGGTCTTGCTATATTTCCAAGAATAGTCTTAAACTCCTGGCCTCAAGCCATCCTCCTGCCATGGCCTCCCAATGTGCTGGGATTACAGGCACAAGCCAGCATACCCAGCCCCAACATTAGTCGTTAATATATATTAAAAACAACTGAGGCTCTGCTTCATTAAGTAACAGTAGTTTTATATCCTGTCATGGAATCTGAATAAAGAACACTAACTAGACTCCCTTTTCTAACTACTGATGAAATTTTAGATAAAAAATAAATATCAGATATTTTAATATTTCTTATGGAAACATGAAACATTTGGCACCAGTATGCCAAAATACTGCTGTAAAATATCTTAGAATGCAAATTGGATTTCATTCTATCTTGATTATCTTTCTCCAAATTTCTAACAATGGCAGCAAACAGTGACATCTCATAAACTAAATATCTTACAACTGACAGAACATTTTTCAAGTTTTTGCAAATTATTTTATTTTTATAATAGTTTGATGCAAGAATTATGATTTCCCCTGTTTTACTGGAAAGACAAGAAAAATAGTCTAAGTGACTTATCCAAGATAACACATTATGTTCAAAGAAGAAACAGAGCTAGAATTCAAATTTCCACTCATTCAATCTGAAAATATCACAAGTCCAGTATTAACAAGGACACCATGGGGAAGAGAAGATCAATGAGACGTGAACTCTACCAATTAAGCAAACTGCAGTCCTATTACAAGAAAAATTGAGAGAGTTTATTAGATACTGCAACAGAAGAACACACATATTACGTTAAAATGAAATTGCAAAGATAAAGTGATTAATTGAAGCTAAAGGAGTGAAAGAATTCTTCACAAGGAGGTGCTATGTGACATTTGAATTAGGCCTTGAAGGTGGGGGTGGAGAGCAAAAATTGGTGAAGGCCATTAGAGGCTCAGCATTGTCAGAGAGACCTAAAATATAAGGAGTGTCTGTGTAAACTATATAGGTAATTTTTTTCAAAGGTAAAAAGTGATAACACATCTTTAATATAAATCAAGCCCACACATGGGATTTAATGAAAAAACAGATTTGGCAGAGGCTGGTGGTTGTTCTCCAAGAAGGACCCTTCCCTACAGTTAAGATCCTCCACTTTTTATCTTGGAACATGCCTCCTCGAATAAAGATCTATTCTCTAGCCTCCCTTTCAGCTCAGTGCAAGTGTATGTCTAAACCAATGGGACATGAGTAGAACTGTTTATTCAACTTTCAGAGCATGTCTTTAAAGGGACTATGCATGCCCCTTCTTCCAGCTGCAAGCTATCTGAGACCACTGGGATAAGAACAAAATCCTAGAGACAGCAAAGCAACAAGACAGAAGGACCTAGCTTCCTTGATATCCTGGGGTAACACAGCTATCTCATAACTCATAGGACTACCCACCTTCAGACTGCAACATGCAAAGTGAACTTCTATTTGATTATGTCATTTAAATTTTGGGACTCCATGATACCCATGCAAACTTACACATCAGCTTACAGAATAGATTGTGCTATAAAGTAAACAGCTAATTTCTTGGATCTTGATTCTCCAAACTAAGAAAAACAATCTGAAAATATTTAAATTAAATGCAAAGGGTTTAATAAAATCAGCAGCATACACTTGTAACAGGCTATCAAATGCATGTTTTAATTTTAGTCTACATAGCAAGCCTAGACAATAGGAAGGTCAGGGATCAATATCACCATTTTGTATGTGATGAATAAGACAACACATAATGAATTAATTACACAAAGCATTTGATAGCTCTGAATTATATTGGATTTAGCTGCTTTTAATCAGTAAAATAATCATTACATATATTATATACTGCATTTGATACACTAAAGATCCATTCATGAAGAAAATTTAAATGTTACTAATGCCAGAAAAAATAATCGGTAAATGAAAACTTGATTCTTACTGTCTCTTCACATTACTTCACAATGCTTTCATTTACTGATTGGGCTTTTCAGACCATTATATTTTACTGTGATTATATTTAAATATTTAATTGCTATCCATTTTATTTTTTATAGAGAAACAGAAGGAAAATTCAATCAGAAAACATAAAATATAATGTAAATAAAGAAACAGAGTGGGTTGTTAAGTCCATGGGGAAAATCTGAAAAGAGAATAGCTGTTGGACAAACCCTCTTAATCAAATTGTCTACAGACAAATCTATTGGCCCTTGCCTCACATATCCCATAGTTAAATGCATTCCAAACAAAAACTGGAAAATAATACTCAATTCAATGATTTCTCTCTGCGAGGTCGTCATTGGCTCACCATGCCTTACTGAGCTCAATGGCTCTCTCCACCAACCCATGGTGGGAATCTGAGCCAGTCACAGTCCCTTCCTTGTTCTTTTCAGTCTTCCTTTGGGTGAGGTCCTGGTGGCAACAAGAAGCCAATGAGACCAGAATCAAAAATTTTAGATCACTATTTGAAGTACAAATTATAGTACAATCTCTCTTGCATCCCTAACTCCTGCCAACAGTTTTACAACTATTTACTATTAGGTAGGTGCAAAAGTAATTGCGGTTTTTGCCATTCCTTTCAATGGCCAAACCCACTGAATAGTACCTAAGAACTATTTCAATAGTTCCATTTCAATAGTACGTAAGAACAGAACATTGATCCTTCTTTCTTTACACAGGGTTCAGCCTTCACTTACTTTTGAATATACTTTTGTACATTCTTCTTAAATTCTGAAATAATCAGCCTCTTCTAAGCTTAAAGATGAGTCAAATATTCATTGACTATCATTGTGGACAACTCACTCACTTTTCCTAAGCCTTAGTTTATTGATTTGTGAAACAAAAGTCTAAAACTATATGATCTAAAACATCCTTACCAGAAACAAAATATAATTCTCAGATAAACCTCATTCATGTCTTAGTTTGCATCCTAATGTGGTAGGGGCTGTTTTGAATGATCTGTTTTGAAGAGGAAGCTTCCTCTCAGATCAATTCTCACAAGCATGGTTTAAAATTGGGATAGTAATAAACAACAGTAAATGGTCCATGTGGAAACTAGTCCTGGCCTTCTTTTTACCAAAGGACACAACTCCTTAGCTATTAAAAATTATGTATCCCCCTACTCTCTTATCACAAAGGTACCCTTTTAATAAAGACTAGAAATTGTTGGGGAAATTAGGTGGTTGGAAGTTGGGTACAGGGAAGACTGGATTCAAAAGTTTAAATAATTATCTGCTCCAGGTTACTCAAAATGCTTCAGAGACTATTTCACAATCCCTCATCACCTTCTTATGAGAAAAGGAGAGAAGACTTTACCACTCTATGTACTATAAAAAGTAACTTATAAAACTTTGGGAATTAAGTTATAATTGGATGACTTTTAGTAATACAATAAAAAAGAAGGGAATTGAAAAATAATAAATAATTCTCGTCTTAGCAATCAAGTTAAAATTTCGAAAAGTTAAATAAAAACAGAGTAAGCCGTAAAAACTTTGGCAATTCCTACTAGTACTTCCTGTATTCTTGTTCAGTACTTTCCTTCTCGTAGTGGGGGAGAGTGGGAGAGTGGGAGAGGAGGCTTCCAAAGTGAGCCTTGCTAATCCTAACATTTAAGAAATTAAGATCTGAGCTATTCTTTAAACTACCTCACTGACAACAATCTGTTCCAACAAATCTTAATTAATGCCAATTTTCTATTTCTAGCTACCATCAGGTCATCTTCAATGAACACAAATTAAGCTACAAACTGAATAATCATTGTACGAATTGTATTTCCTGCAGACATGCTAGAGAAGAACTACATTATGAATTTAAGATAGCCACAGTGGCCTGAAACATGCCCTGCTTGGCAATTATGCATATGTCTTTTATAAAAATAAAAAGGAAAGGGTGAGGTTTTCATACTTCCCAGTGGGAGTATAATAAATGGGTGATAGGAGAGTGGATGAACAAGTGGTCATGATAAAGATTCTGCTTATTCTCTGCTTAAGAACACTTCCTAAAGGATGCAGTCATGCTGCTTCTGAAACTATACTGGGGCATTCATTCAGGCCTCCTTTTCTTTGCCTAGACACGTATCTCAAAAGGAAAAACGATGTTAATAACTTAGCCTCCCTCTACCTCCACCTAAACATGGTGGACCTAAACATTGTGGAGGTAGACAATCTCAACTATTTCCATGCAATTGTTTCCACAAGTGTAGAAATTGACACCTTCTAAAATTACCTTTTGGATTATCTACATTTTGTTAGCAATTATGATTTGACTAGTAGGTTAGCAAGAAACAAGAATTTCAATCTGTAAGTCCAAGATCAACAATAAAAAATTGAGTTTCATGAAGTCTTTAGTTCTCCCATTACCCACAGTACGTTTCCTGCCCTCAGAGCACCATCTTCTAAAAACAAACAGTACGAAGTTACATTTAAAATATGTCATGCTGCTGTCCATAAGCCCAAATCTTTACCCAAAATGGTCATCCTCATGTTGGACAAGCAAAACGGTGTGAGGTTTTGCATCCTCCAAATGTAAGTGGGTTGTGGAAATGTTTTTTTTTTTTTTTCAGTCTTCAAAACTATTTACAACTAGGGTATAAACTGAAAGAGTTTCAACATACCTGTCTTTGACAAACCAGACTTTCATTTTGGTGAGTAATCATATAGGATAGCAATAATCAGGCAGAAAAACTGCCAACAGCAGTAGGGGAGTGTTTACTCGATAGAATCTTATAACCAATACTTTTTTAAATCACAGTTTTATTAGACTTAGGCCACAAATGTTTAAAAAGGTTAAGAACAATTGGCTCTAAGTCAGACATCAAATCCCAGGTTTATCATTTTCTAGCTTGATGAACTTTTTCAAATTACTCACCCTCATCTGCCTCTGATTCTTTACTGGTAAAATGGGGAACATAGTATCTACCCATCTCAAATCTTTTGTTTCAAGGTAATTTATGTAAAGTCCTTGGCATTAAGCCTAATATAAAGGATCAATAGATGTTAGGTATTATTTTTATTATCATGTCCCTATTTATTAATTTGCTTGACATACTATATAAAACACAGCATTTCAGCACTATGCCAAGAAAATTAATGGTACAAAGGTATGAGTTCCTTTCCTTTAAGAGCTTATATTTGTGTTGGAAAGACAATACTTTTTAACATGTTGGAATATCATATACATGAATAATTCAAGAGATAATTTAGAAATTATCAACTTTAAAATCAAAAAATAACATCAAGTATGAGGCTTAAGATATGCTTCACAGAGAAGAGGCTGAAAGACCTCATTAAATAACACAGAAAATGGTCTGAAATACTCAAAGGCAGAAATGGTATTTTATTCATCTATTAACCCCCACAACTTCTACAGTCTCAAGAACACAGAATGTGCTGAATAAATGTTAATGGAATGAACATATGCCTTAAAACTTCCAAAAAGTTATCAGGATCTTACACAGTAAACACTGAGTAGGCGCTTAGTAGGTATTTAATTAACTTAACAGTAATATCTACATCTCCACAACTTTATCTTAATTTCTCTGAGGTCCTCTAATTTCTGTGATGTTCCTCTAATTTGACAACTAACCACCCTGCATATATATACCTGAGTACTAAGAACAGGCCCAGGAGATGATTACTAGCAGACTACAGAGAATCCAGATATCATATAGACATCTTGCACTGCACCAGCACAGGCCTTAACTTTTTAATAAAAAAGAAACTCAATAGAAAAACGACCTGAGTTCCAGTAAACAATTATCAATTTCATTTTTGCTTGGGTGTGTAAGAAGACAAAGGATAAATAGTCTTTTAATTGTCCTAAAAGAACTAAGACTTATTTTTAAGAATTATGTGCTATTGCTTTTAGAAAAACTGGCTCAACAAAAATATAATTTTTATTCCTTCTGAAAACAAATCAACTATAAAAAGAAGTCCCTATGTGAGCATATCAACTGTTCTGCATTTGAATTATGTTGTCAAGTTCAAAACAATGAAGCAAAACTAAAATCATTCAGGCGTGTGGCAATTAAGAGCACAAGCAATGAAATAAGAGAGGAAGAGAAGAGCTCCACTTAGAAAAAAAATTAAATAAAATCATCCCAGTTAAATGCCTATTCCTCCTCAAAGATTTTCACCTGCATAGGATACTTGGAAAGACTCACACACAATGTAATTTTACATCCATTTTGGGTCCTATTTCTGCACTGAAATATTTATAGAGTGTTCAATGTTTCTGGAGTAAATTATACCTAGATCTTGATAAAGCTGAAATCACTGAAATTACCTTTTTTTGCTCAATTATTTGGAAGAATGGAGAAAGAAAGCTTGACAGCATAAAAAGATATATTAAGAAATGGCCATTTCGTGGCTATAATTGCATAGCTTAGTGGTTATTGATGCCTTGAGGCATCAATATACATGCAGTCACCACAGCTATTTTTACCAAAGGTTTCAAATAAAATCCAAGTGAGTTTATGTTATGTGAACATACACATTATATTTGTTTTGTTTTGTTTGAGATGGAGTCTCACTCTGTTGTCCAGGCTGGAGTGCGGTGGCATCATCTCAGCTCAATGCAACCTCCGCCTCCCAGGTTCAAGCAATTCTCCTGCCTCAGCCTCCAGAGTAGCTGGGATTACGGGTGCAGGCCACCACTTCATGCAAATTTTTGTATTTTTAGTAGAGATGGGTTTCACCGTGTTGGCCAGGCTGGTCTTGAAGGCCTGACCTTAAGCAATACGCCCACCCCAGCCTCCCAAAGTACTGGGATTACAGGTGTGAGCCACTGCACCCAGTCAATATTTGAATATAAAACTTCTTAATTTTATTGGTTTATATGTTAGGAATAACATATGAAAACACATATGAGTAGTAAGCAAAAATAGAACCATGGTACTGTGTTAAGCATATTGTTATAAATAACTTTCAAAATGAATCAGATACAAAAAATTTCTAGAAATATTCTTATGTTATACTATGAATTCTATAAATCTTCCAAATTCTGAATCACGGTTATGGACTGAATGTCTTTGTACTTTCAAAATTCATACATTGAAACCTTAACCCTCAGTGTATCTGCATTTGAAGATGGGCCCTCTAGCGAAGTGATTAAGGATAAATGAGGTCCTAAGGATGGGGCCCTGATCCAATAGGATTGGTGTCCTTATAAGAAGAGACAGTAGACAGCTTGCTGTGTCTCTGCGCAGACATATGGAAGAAAGGCCAATGTGATGACACAGCAAGAAGGCAGCCAGCTACAAGCCAGGAAGAAAGCCCTTACCAGAAACGGACACTGCCAACCTTAATCTGGGCTTTCTGTCTTCCAGAACTGTGAGAAAAAAATTTCTGTTATTTAAGCCACCCACTCTATGGTATTTTCTTACAGCAGCTTAAGCTGACTAAGACAATCACAATTAAGTCTGGGAGGACTTAATAGTAATTAAGAGTCCTCTTCCATGCTTACTGCATTACTGTGAGGCATTCTGTATAAAAAGTATTTCCTTCCCATTCAGCAATCCAATCTTACATCAACAATGTGATAACTACCAGAAATGTGAGTGCCTATGCATGCACGTGTACACACACACACACACACACACACACACACAGGCACACACAACAGTCCTTGAATTTCTTGTGGGGCTCGACTTCTACTTTTCATATCATGAAAAAAATAACGGGACATTTCACAATGAACCACAAATACTCAACTATGGCTGCAGTATCAGATGTTTGACTATAAAGGCTTTACAGTTACCCAAGCCCAAGTCGATTAGGATTGTGCTGAAAACTTGAAACCTGATCTTGCTGGGTAACATTTCACATAATGATTTTCTACTCAGAAAATGCTACCACAATAATATCTAATCTTATCATCCTCCTCAAGAACTACTTAATTTTGTCCCTACATTTAAAAATAGTTTTAAGTTAAAAGAAGCTTAACTTATTAGAGATTACACAGTTATTTTAAACAATTAGTGATATTCATGTGCAGACTATGACTTATTTAATCAATGTTATACCATTTAACTCAAAACTAATTAAATATGTACAGAAAACATACAGTGCCCCAAAACATCTTAAGTGACATATTTTGGGTAAAACCAAATGTATATAAAAACGGCCAGATTAGAAATTCAAAATTTTATCTAAATGTAAGGTGTAATGTAGGCTTTATCATTCATATATAAGCCCTATAGTATCAGAGTATTATATAATAGATTTATCCAGATACCATCTAACTAGAAAAAGCACCATATTCAATTTAATCAAACAATCATCAAACATACAAAAGACTGTAGCTTTTGATTAATCACATTAAGTGATTAATATGTGTGATACAGTCTCTGGAATTTAGGGATACTTCATGTTTTGTGTGTTTCACTTTATTATGCTTCGCAGATATTGCATTTTTTACAAATTGCAAGTTTGAGGCAACCCTGCATCAAGCAAGTCTATTGGTGCCATTTTTCCAACAGCATGTGCTCATTTCCTGTCTGTGTCATAGTTTGGTAATTCACAATATTTGAAACTTTGTCATTATTATCATATCTGTTATGGTGTTCTGTAATCAGTTATCTCTGGTGTTACTACTGTAATTGTTTGGGGTGTCATGAACAGTGCCCATATAAAATGGTAAGCTTGGTCAAAATTCTATGAAGGCTAGGAGAGGTAAGGAAGCCGCAGAAGAAAAGTTAGAAGCTAGCAAAGTTTGGTTCATGAGGCTTAAGGAAAGAAGCCATCTCCATAACATAAAAGTGCAAAGTGAAGCAGCAATTACTAATGTAGAAGCCCCAGCAAGTTATCCAAAATATCTCGCTAAGATCATTGACAAAGGTGGCTATATGAAATAGATTTTCTATGTAGACAAAACAGCCTTCTGTTGAAAGAAAATGCCATCTAGGACTTTCATAGGTAGAGAGGTGAAGTCAAGGTTTGCTTTCAATGCTTCAAAAAACAGGTTCACTCTCCCGTTTGGGGCTAATGTAGCTGATGATTTTAAGTTGAAGTTGATCATTTAGCATTTCGGAAATCCCAGAGCACTTAAACATTATGTTACATCTGCTACACCTGTACTCTATAAATGGAAAAACAAAGCATGCATGACACCACATCTGTTTGCAACATGGTTTACTGAATATTTTAAGCTGTTAAGACGTACTGCTCAGAAAAGAAAAAAAAAAAAGATTCCTTTCAAAATACTACTGTTCACTGACAATGCATCTAGTCACCCAAGAGATGAGGGAGATGTACAAAGAGACTAATGTTGCTTTCATACCTGCTAAGATAACATCTATTCTGCAGTCCATAAATCAAGGAATAATTTTGATTTTCAAGTCTTCTTATTTAAGACATATATTTCCTAAGGCTGTAAAAGCCATAGATAGCAATTCCTCTTATGGATCTGAGGAAAGTGAATTGAAAATCTTCAGAGAAGAGTTCACCCTGCTAGATGCCGTTGAGAACATTCATGATTCACAGGAGTTGGTCACAATAGCAACATTAACAAGAGTATGGAAGAAGTGGATTCTGATCCACTTCAACACTTCAGTGGTGGAACTAACTGCAGATGTGGTAGAAACAGCAAGAGAACTAGAATTCGAAGTGGAACCCAAAGTTGTGACTGAACTGTTTCAATCTCATGATAAAACTTTCACAGGTCAGGAGGTGCTTCTTATAGATATGTAATGAAGGTAGTTTCTTGAGATAAAATCCTCTTCTGGTGAAGATACTGTGAACATTGTTGAAATACAAATAAATGATTTAGAATATTACATTAACTTAGTTGATAAAAAGCAACAGCATGGTTTGGGAGGGCTGACTCCAGTTAAACTAAGTTCTACTATGGGTAAAATGTTATCAAATAGCATTGCATGCCACAAAAATCTTTCAACAAAGGAAGTGTCAATCAATACAGAACACTTCATTGTTGTCTTACTTTAAGCAATTGCCACAGCCATTCCATCCTTCAGCAACCACTATCCTGATCAGTCAGCAGCCATCAACATCAAGACAAGACTCTCTCTACCAGCAAAGTGATTATGACTTGCTGAAGGTTCAGATTATTGTTATCATTGGTTTTCAGACAGGGTCTCACTCAGTCACCCAAGTTGGAGTGGAGCGGCACCATCTCAGCTCACTACAGCCTTGACCACATCGGCTCAAGTGATCCTCCTGCTTCAGCCTCCCTAATTAATATCTGGAACTATAGGCATGTACCACCAAGTCTGGCTAATATTTTATTTTTTATAGAAACAGGGTCTGTTTCTGTTACTGTCCAGGCTGGTCTTAAACTCCTGGGCTCAAGTAATCCTCTTTCCTTGGCCTCCCAAAGTGTTGGGATTATAGGCATGAGTCACCATGTCCAGCATAAAGTATTTTTTAAATTAAGGTATGTACAGTGTTTTACATACATAATGCTACTGCACACCCAACAGACTACAGTATACAAATACGACTTTTATATGCACTGGGAAACCAAACAATTTGTGTGACTCCCTTTTTTGCAATATTCTCCTTATTGGGATGGTCTGGAATCAAATCTGCAATATCTTCAACATATGCCTGGATTATGGATTCCTTATTAAGAAATGCTACTATAAACTGCAGTCGGTTTTGAGGAAAAAAATAGATTTGTAAAGGGGGAAGGAAGACTTGGGATAAGATAACCAGATAAGAAGATAGTGCAATAATCCAGGTAAGGTAAGGAATAAGTATCTGAAGAATTGCAAAAAGTATGGTACACAGAAAGAAAGACGTGTTTAGGAAGATAAAACTAACACTACCCAGAACCATCTGGCCATGATGATATAGGAGAAGGGAGTTAAGAATGGCACTGATTGAGATTTCTAATCTGAGTAATGATGACAAGTAAAATTTTATGTCAACTAAGAACTAGATTATTCTCGAAGCTTGCTTATACACATGTACACACACAAATATATGCAAATTGCCCTATGTTTCTGTTTAATAACACCATTGTCTCATACATCCCTCTCTAAGTAGCTGACTGTGCACACCATTTACACAATGAGAGAATTAGATGTTAACAAATGGCAGGGATGACACTGTGAGCTAACACTGTAATTCTAAAATGCCCAACACAAACAAACTAGACCACCATTTCAGTATTAAAGGAAGGGCACCAACATGGAGTCTGCAGATAAGAATTGATTTTGCAGTAGAAATTACTTGCGTTTATTTCTTATCTCTAGGCAAAACATTGCAGCGGCAAGAAAGAATCATCTCCTAAAGCACTAATTAGCAACGTAAATCTCACCAAGAGCAATGCCAAGAAATTTTATTGTTTGTCACTATACATGGTAATAGAATTTCTGACATGTTATCCCCCTAAAGAAATGCAACATATTTAATAAACCACAGTACAAAGTGGAGATTCTAATTTCAGCATATCATAACAGAGACCGCAAAACAGAAAACATAAAAAGTCTTAAACAAAATGAGGTAAAAATAAATTCCAGAGTTATCAGTGGAATAAAGAATTCTCATTGATACTAGAATAATGACAAAATCTGGGATGTCAATGCATGTTCTACATCATGAAATCTAAAATATGTCCATTATTCTGAGGAACGCTAAACACAATAGATACTGTTTATAAAACTTTTTAAAATGTCCCTACTGGAATATATATTTATAGTCTGCTTCTCTTTAAACAGTTGATGAAATTTAACATAGTTTTTAAATCTAAAATATGGCATCTCTAATATTGTTAAAATGTACCTCATAAATATTGTCTTGCTTTCAACCCAACAGAGGTTTTCTTAATTGCTTTGTGTGGTTTGTGTATATATATATATATGTTTAATTTTATGACCACTTCACCCTCATTATAAACTATTTGCCTATTACCAAATAATATAAAAACTAAATCACAGTTCATGCTACATTAATGACAGGTATCTTGTAATGATAATGCCCAGCACATAAAAAATTATTCCTCACTGATGAATGGTTGTTTTGCTCTCACTATGTAAGTCATGCAAGCCTTACTCCATAACCTTGCAGCCCCTGGATATGTTACTATAACAGAGCACACATTTCTTTGGAAGCACCACTTTAAAAATTACGTAAGACATGGCATCAAAAAACACATCCTCAGGCATCAAAAACCCCATAGTCCTCTTGGTAAAGGAATGATAACCTCTGAATGAGCAAATCAAAAACAGAAAATCAGAATTGGGATGTCCCCCAAAATCACCCAAAACAACACTGTAACTAGACGTACTCCTCTCTTCTAAATGAATACTTTCACTTACTGCAGACAAGAACATATTCCATGGCAGCACCCTAACTCCCTAAGGAAGTGAGGATGTTTATCTAAGAAGTCCAAAGAGGGATATCAAATATCCATCCACAAAAGCAGCAGACTGGAATATTCACATTTTAATCCCGTCTATAGAAGCAGCATGGCCATTTGATTATATGATTCCAATCATCTGAAAAGCCTTCCAATAACTTTGATTGATCAACTGTTGACAATCAATAAACATAAAGGGCAGAAGCCCTAAAAATACTCAGAATCAGTGAAGCAAGCACACAGAGGGACCAGAAGAAAATGACATTAATAAAATCTTCTACCCTATTATACAGAGGGAAAGTAAAAATTACCAAGAATATTTTCATAAGAAAGAAAACCAGATCTTAAAAAATCATTCTATTATTTTTTTTCAACAAAACCACATGTCCTTCTGACAATTTATTATATTCATATTTCTTTTTTACCCACATGGAAGGTACTTATTTCATTCTGGCTTTTCCAAATAGAATTCAATCCTACTCTACACATTTCATCAATAATATGAAGATGAGACACAGAACATGATGTAAAAAAGTTGTCCTATCTTTATCATGTCTACATGAAAATTATATTTAAAGTGTCAGTTGTAAAGAGGAAAATATAGCATACAATGTCAAATTTCACCTCAGTCAAATAACAGTAACATATATAACGAACACATTCAAATATCCTCATTAGTTTTAACAAAATTATAATGTAGTTTTTCTATTATAAGTTGCAAGTTCAAACCAGTGGCTTTCACAGTGTTTGAAAACAAGCAACAGCACCATAACTTTAGTTGTTCACAGATAACCTGCTGGAAACTATCAGCATACATATATTTAATGGGATTTCCACAAACGTGTTAAGTTTCTTTTGATGTTAAAAATAACTACTATTAAATATCATAAAAATATAACATGTAATGTCAAAAAGAAGCTTCTAACTCTGAATGCAAGCCGAAGTTGTTACTAAGCACCAGCAAATTAACGTCTTGAGAATGAAGATTATTGACTAAACAACTGTTTATTGAGTATCTGCCGAGAGCCAGGAGTGTTAGGTACCCTGCCCTTAAGGAGCTCACACACAGGCAGGGAAGACATACAAAGACAAAATTACAGTACAGCGAGGTAAGTGCTCTCGGAGACCTGCCTGGCACACATAGAATGAAGGACCCCGATAGCACTTGAAACAAATGGCCTTGCTTTGAGTACAGATTGGAATGATGATGGCTGAAGACCTTATCTTCTACTGTCTAGAACTGCTAGGTACAGTGGAGGACTGTTTGGGGGAGGACCATTAAAACATTACCTTTCATCCATAGAAGAGACCACCAGAGGGTTATGGCCATATTAGTAACTTCACAAGCACTTCCCTGTATTTAATCAGGCATATTACCAATGTGCATTTCTTAAAACACATCATTAGTAAATACCTAGAAATCAATCAGCTTATGTTTGACTTCATGAAGGTGGAATTTCTAAACTTTACTTAAGAAAAATACATACAGTTACACTTCATTTACTCAACTGCCTTAAATATTTGGAAAACATTTAAAAACTTGGAAAGTAACAAAACAGTACATTAAGTAGGCAAAATAAATGTCAGTATCTGCTCCTTGAAACAACATACATACATACAGGACAGTCCTAAACTTACTCAAAAGCTAGGTATGTATATTTTAGAGGTGACTCAAATAAGCAAATTAGAACTAGAAAGCAAGGGAACAGTGAGCAGAGATGCATGAGCCATAAGTAATGGATTACCATTGACAAGAAGGGGGAAATTTAAAGGAATAGAATGAAAAAACAAATGGGAGCACAAAATGCATAGTCTGAGGCCACTTGATGCAGAGCAGATTTTACAGAAGAAAACTTCAACTGTGTTCTCTTTCTTTGCCTTTCCCTTCCCTATTCAAACTGGTAATTGTGTGCAGGTACTTTCACTAATACTATACTGGTTCATGAGTGTTTGTAACAAAGGACTCTTTTTCCTTACAGAAGGACAAATAGTGATGTAGTGGGTGAAGTGGGGAGAGGGATTCAATTTAGAGGACTAGGGAGTTATGTTTCCCATTTCAGTGTTCTTTAATTACTCTTTGAAGAAGTTGGTTTTTAAAATTTGTTTGTATTTGTTAACTATGCATGCTGAAAGCCCTCTTATATACCATTCTGGGAGGACCAGCATTTTGAAAAAATTGAAATAATGATATAATGATAACAAGTGTAATTAAAATGTTGTGAGCCACGGTACAGGGATTTTTATATCTCTAGCTTCATAACAACTGATAACAGCAGAGTCATTCCTGTGGAGAAGAATATCTTAATGAACGAATTTCAAACGTCTGCTTTTAGGAGGTGCTTTTTATGTCCAAGTTGGCAGATTCCTCTGGCAACAAAGCCCACATAAGACAGTAGACATCCTTAGATTTTTAGCCCCTCTTTTCTTTTGACTGTGGCACAAATATTTTCAGTGCTTTCTAAATGTCATAAATATTTCCAGGGTTACTGACAGGTGGCAAGAAGAAAATTAATCTCCTGTTTTCCTGATTTTGTTCCCTAACTCCTTAAACTGACATCCGGGTTAAAATAGGATCTCCTTTAACAGAATTGTTAGGTACTGTTAGCAACTAATCTATCCACTGCTGCCTCCACTTTCTGGGGGAACAACTAGCACAAACACAGCGTGGTTATATTATCTTAGGCTATTTCTCCAGCGTAGGCAAAAAAAAAAAGTCTCCAAAATAAAAAATGAAAATTTGAGCATAGGTGTCCTGTACGCCAGTAAATTGTGATGTCCATGGACCTACCTTGCTAAATAATACATTTTAAACAGCTAGAGGCTGATGTTACCCACACATTAAAGTTACAGGAGTTATAGGTGAAACCTATTTTTCACAAAAAGTCAGCCTCAGAAGGATATTTATTTATCTTAGCAGTTTCTATATCCACATCAATGAAAACATTCAAAAGGCAGTTCAGTAGGTTTAATTTCATCAAGTTGCAACTACTGTATGCTCAATGGCTTACAGATGGACAATTCATGTACACAAATCTATTCTATGTAACATGGCTGATTACATACACATATGACAACATCATAGTTGTTTTATCCTATAGTAAACCTTTTTCTCCTTGAGTAGTATCATCTATATGGCCCTAACCTGCTATCTAAAGCCAAAACCATAAAATTAATACCCAAGAATAAAGAATCATCAGTGAAATACTACCTGCAACCAAAAGGAATGAATTCCTGATATATGCTACAACATGAGAAAACCTTGAAAATATTATATGCTAAGTCAAATAAGCCTTTCACAAAAGGCTACATATTAGATGATTCCACTTATATTAAATATCTAGAATAGCAAGTCCATAGAGACAGAAAGTGGACTAGCAGTTGCCACAGGCAAGAGTAGTTGGGATATGGAGTGACCGCTAATGGGTACAGGGTTTCATTTTAGGGTGATGAAAATGTTCTAAAGTTTGATAATGTTGATGATGCAGAACTTTGTGAATATAACATAACCCACTAAACTGTACATTTTAAAAGGATAAATATTAGGCTCAACAGCTATTACGGGATGCACCAAGTAGAGTTCTTAAATATAAGAGGACTAGATTTTCAACCACATTTATTGGCACTGAATTTTATCAAAGTGAGCTCATCTTTATATCCTAGGATCTACCTATTAAACCTGTAAAAGTGTTTCTCTTTCACCATTTGGTTTCAGAAACACAATCTCCTCTTACAAGAAACAGGAATAACTTCAATGAGGGGCTAAGTCACACAGTGCTGTTCTTTGTTAAGAAAGTACCTCCTGTATCAATCCATCTAACGTAATGTATTAAGGTAACAGGCAAGTCCAAGGAAATCTTAAATCATCCAACGATTTCTTAATTAGAAAGAATTTGTGGGGAGTTAATTCACAATCAACTACAATATCAAAATCTAGATACACCTATCGCTTAGCAACGAGTGGCAATTATTATTTAATGAAAACAGAAAATGTTTTAAATATGGATACTGACCTTGTTTCTTTTAACCCTTCTTTCTGAATGACTTCCAATATCTGCTTTGCTGTCATTGGTGAGTTGGGGTGTTTTTCTAGTGCCTAAAATATAAACATAAGATTCCTAGATTATTGCATGGCAGCATACAAAATGAAAATGTATGTGAATCATGCATTCTCTGCTTATTTTATTAGAGGGGAAGGGGCTTTTACATCAAAAGCAGTCCATCATACAGATCAGGTGTCCAAAGGAAGAACGTAATTTTTTTGGACATTTAAATCGGAAATTTCTGCAACAAAAAGGGGCCATCCTTCAAACATGTCACAAAGGCGTACATACCAAAAAAGGAATGTGAACCCTAAAGAAAACAAGTTAACAAATGTATATAATTTCCTTTATTTAAAAAGTTGCTAAAATTTTATGGTGAAAGTCATGTTTTCAGGCTGTTAAAATGTTTCCTAAGATTCCAGGTCCTTGGAAACATGGAGCCTGAATACTACCAATAGAAGAGAACGGAGTGCTGGTCACAAACAGCCTCACTGGATTCACGGCCAAAATGTTGAAAGAAGCATACAGGAACCCAAGTAACTCATTACAGTGTGTTTTCCAGTTCAGCTCAGTTTCCTTTCCTTTGCCTTTTCCAATTAATTTCAAGTAAGCCCTTTCCTCTTCCGATTTAGCCTATCTCAGTCATATGAACTCAGTCCCATTCTCTTTCTCTCCTCTTCTGCCCTACTTATCTTTTGTGAAAGGGGTTCTTTTAAACAAAGGGTGTGGAATACACAGGACATAGCTGATTATTTCCACAGGTCTTAGACCATCAGCCCTGGAAAACAGGTTCCTTTATTTTGCAGGGACTTAACCCCATGTGGTGGAAACAATAAGCAGCAGTGCCCCTATTGTGCACCAACATGAACTACAGGGACCACATCTGGGTACAAGAAACAAGTTACACACATCTCCACAATGACCTACTCCAAGGGTAGATGACACCTAATTAAAGATGCTATGCAAGAGCTTCATGCTCAAGTCATGGCCTCTTGTAACTTAGAGACACTAGAGTTCTAATCTATGATTATTGGAAGAATCATAATTATTAAGAATTAACAGGGTCATTCTGAAAATGTAAACTTGAAAAGGCTTCCAAATCTGTTCAAAATGGCTCTGTGATCTCTTATACTGTCAATAACCAAATTTCAACTGATTCACAAGTGAAGGCTCTGTTCATCAAGGTCCCTCAGTGTGTTGCACACAGCCTGCCCATCCTAACCTTTCAGACACTTTCCTATTCTCTCTTTCTAGTTCCCAGGAAATTTCCTCCTTTTTCCCAATCCTGATCAGCCCCTTCCTTACTCATGTTATAAATTATTAAAAGAATACAGAAATATGAGCCACACTACAACAAGGGTATGGCAACGAATATGTGAACGGGAAGGAAGGAAAATGGTCCTTGCAGAAGAGGACACTGTAGAGGTGAACTGAACACTCGAAAAGGGGAAACAGAAACATAGGCAAAGTTGTTTAGGGAAGAGGAGTATAAATATATTGGAAAAAAGGCAATAAGGAAACTGCATAATAGAGCTGTAAAGAAGGAAAGAGTAGAAGAGCACAGGGAAAAGAGGAAGAAGCTGATATGAAAACAAAAAGCTGACAGAAGTTTTAAAATAAGAACTGTAAGTAGAACAGTACATAATTATGAATTACTGAAAGGAGATGCTGTGTTCACATGGACTATATATAGTGTGGGCACTGCCTCAAATGAAAGGCAACGGGTCTCTCATAAAAGATATGGGCAGGAGGTCAATAGACACAGACACACAGGAAGCAAGCAAGGAAGAGGGCAACTGGAGGGAAAGGCATACGATGGGGAAAGAGGAGACAGATAGGAGGAGGGTGAGAAAGGAGGAAAATTGAGCTGAACTGGGAATGTCTAAAGGCAAACTGATTAAATCTAGAAAGGGCCAAAGAAGAAACTCTAGTGTACTAGACAATGTTTAAATGGAAATTTGGGCACACTGGAAATTGGGGTTACTCACTGTGGAGGATTCCCTGTTTCTCTTCCTGAGTACAGGCCCCTCAGCACACCTGGGCAGCTCCTCCCAGCAATTGAGAGAATTTGGATAGCCCTGTCCCCTTCTCTATGACATCACATCCTACTCTACAAAGGAAGTAAAAGTGCCAAGAATTACATCATGAAGTGGATGAGAGGCAGGAAGGAAATGATGAAGCCACACAAAACACCAGAAGCCACCCTCAATTCCTGCAAGACAGAGAACAGAGAGAAGGAGAGGTTCCTGGGTGTGAACAAGCTTTATTGATTGAGCTGTGTAAACATTAATAGAACAAAAGATAAGGAGAAATTATCTTCACAGAACAAAACATTGATGCCATCAAAATAATGTGACACATGGCAGAGACATGAATCAGACTCACAGACAGCCATACTCTAATACACTGAGTGGGGCAAGCCACAGTCAGAGCACAAAGGCATCTTAAGCTACCAGACCCAAACCTTAGACTAACTGTCCATTGCCCCAACAATCTCTTGACCATAAGGCACTACCTGGTCTTGTTGTTGCTTACATTTTGGATGTTTTGGTGGGAGATCTGTTTTATTTATTGTTACACAAGCAACTATTCATCAGGCTTTTCCATTAACTTCTTTAATGTTTAGAAATTCCTTTTATCCAGAGAGCATGCAAATACCTACAAGTATTTCTTTCAAGTACTTATTTTTTAATTCATCTCGAATTTATATTTTTTGCTAAAGTGAAATATTAACATCTGCCCCCTCCTCCCCACAGTAAGCCTTATTTCCCCAACATAATTTGTTTCATATGCCACACATTGGCTAGTGAGGCATCCTCTACCATATGTTAGTAGTAGGGCAATAAAAACTTTTCAAAATGTGAAACCTAAATATAAATGTGGGAACCCAATATATAAAACACACAAATGCAGAGCTGTTCATGTTGAGCTGGAGATGAGAGAGCTTGGACCCCCACACTTACTCCCTCTAATGGCTAACGGCACTTCTGGGAATTTTAAGAGTCTCCAGAAGAAACTGCATAACGCTGTCCTTGGGGGGCTTTGTCCAGGGGTCCCACTAGGTTCCACTGATCTTTCCATCAATTGCTGAGCCAACACTACACTGTTTTAATTGCTGTAATATTATACTTCACTCTCTGAACAGGACACTGCTCTCATTACTCCTTCTTAAGTTTCTAATTATTCACTTTATTTTTCCAGATGAAATTGAGATTGGAATTCAACGAAACATCTAATTAAATTCCGAGGAATTTTATACATCATTCCACTTAAGATTTATTTTGTAACCTGTAATAAGCTTTCTATTATTTTATATTTTCAGTTGCAACTTTGAATATACTTTTTTCATGTAATAGTCCCACGTTCTATTGCTAATACATATAAAAGCCACTAAATCAGGGTAATTATTATCTATATGAATAGTTAATTGAGTTAATAGTTTTAATAGCACAGAGTATACAATCATGTTTTCTACAAATATTGTGAATTGCTTCTCCTTTATAATAGCTGTATGCTTTATCTTTCCTACATTATTTATATTGGCTAACAATTAATCTTTCTTAGTCCATTTCAAAAAAATTTTTGCTGAAAATCTGAGCACTTTACAATTCATTTCCTCAAAAACAGTCCCCTAAAACTGCTGAGTTTCGCTAAGAATATCTGTAGCTAGAATTATTGGAACTAGCACTGCCAGGAAGATTGTAATTACAAACCACTGGCCACATATCACTGTCTCTTCACAAATCAGATTCTGAAACAGTGCTCAATTTTTACATAAAATGTCCTTTCTTTCTTTGTAAAACAAATTGTTCTCTTGTGTTAAAACTATATTTGTGATCTTACTTCACTCAATCTCTGAGATGTCTTGCATCTCTCATGGACTGAAGTCTTTTCAATTCCCAGCTACTTTCTTTTTTCTTCACTTCTACTCCATGAAAGGTTTCAAATTCAACATTGCTCTCCACAAACGGGACTCTCCACGGCTGGTGCACAAAGCAAACACACAACTAGCTGCCTTCCTAGTGGTGGATCTATTTTTCACAGGAGGTAAACAGATGTACAGAGCTAGCAAACATACCATTACATTCCACCTTCTTATCTAACTAACTCTATCAGGGCCTATCTCAAAGACATATACATTCATACAGTTTTGAGGCAAGATAGTCTCATTCCAGAAATTTCCTCCCCTAGACTACTACACGTCCTAGTATGGGGAGAAAAAAAATGCAAAAAAGGACCTGTAATACCTGCAATATAATTAAAGGAAAGAGAGATGATTTGCCAAATCATTTAGGGCCAAGTTAAGAATGCAATTTTCTATGTGTTAACTTTGGTCCTTAAGTACCTTTCTGGCCCAGGAACACTGGCTCAAGCATATTAAGGCTTACTCAAGAATTCCTTGGTGTCTCTCAAAGAGAAAACTCATTCTAAGTATCTCTAAGATCAACACATTAGACCAGTGTTCATTTAAAGGTTAAAATTTTTGCCCTTCTGGCCCAAAATAAAACTTTCTGAGAGAGCTTACTTATTTGACGGCAAAATAAAAAATAATCCCTACAATTTAAGTACCATTTCAATGATAGATGTCTACATTTGTGGAATTCTAAGTGGGTATCAGTGACCAGGCTTTCTCCCTTTTTCTAACATTAATGTGTCATCTTCCCTCAATCAATACTGGCAGTTCATTAAAGTGTTCAGATGTTTAGGGCCTCATGTCCAAGGTAAACGATTTTGGGGTTATAACAACAATAAACCATTATATACCTCTTTACAATTACAGATGACTTTTATACAACATATTTTATTTCATTTGCTTCACACAACATATGTTATTTTATTTGATCCTCAAAACAACTCAGTGAGATGCATAGAGAAGTATTATTAACATTCTCTGAGATGTACAAAGCTGAATTGGCTCAAGGCCATTAGGCTAGTGACTAGATGAACAGGACCTGTATGCATTACGATACTGATGACAATGTTTAAGTATAATAAGAGCAGCTAATATTTATTAGACAACTCCTATGTGCTAAGTCCTCTCTGGGGGCTTTCCATTATTACAAAAGACTTAGAATTAATATGTTTAACATTCCCTATTTCTACTACTCTTGAAAACCTCAAAGGTCCATGTCATTTTGATGAAACATGAACTTGGATTACTGATAGCCTTCAGATGAGAAAATAAATTACATCAAAAGTGACAGCACCTCAGCAAATACCCAGTATTCACAGCTCAATCAGGTTGTTCTTCACTCCCAGCATATGTGGCTGCTGGATGAAGGGTTAAAGATGATACTAACAATTTTCTATTCTATTTAAATGTACTTTATGGTAAAATTATATGCTATTGTATAGCTGTCCCCTACCTTTTTGGCACCAGGGACTGGTTTCATGGAAGACAATTTTTCCATAGAATGGCAGGGGGGAACAGTTTCTGGATGAAACTTCCACCTCAGATAATTAGGCATTAGTTAGATTATCATAAGTCAAGGTATCATCGCTCTCACAAACCCCAGTTCAGCAATTTCACACTTAAGAACAATCAGCCCAGACGTGGTGGCTCATGCCTGTAATCTCAACAATTTGGAAGGCTCAGGTATGCAGATCGTTTGAGCCCAGGAGTTCGAGACCAACCTGGGAAACACAGTGAGACCCTGTCTCTAAAAAAATAAAAATAAATAAATAACAATAAGCAAGGCATAGTGGTGTGTGCCTATAGTCCCAGCTACTTGGTAGGCTGAGGCAGAAGGATTGCTTCAGCCTAGGAAATTGAGGCTGCAGTGAGCAGTGATTGCAACACGGCACTCCAGCCTGGATGACAGTGTAACACCCTGTCTCAAAACAAACAAACTATATATATACAATCAGATATTTACTTAAATTCTCAGATAATGGTTTAAACTATACATTCCCTTGGTATAGGACCTGTCAAAATTGTCATTAATTAGTGTTATCTTGTTTAATGATATTCTTCCTGCTCACTGTAAACCTCATGTAATCCTGGGCCTTGGTCCTCATTCACATCTATATCTCCAAATTGTAGCACTACTAAATAGGCTCCAATAAACAAAGACCAAGTTAATTTGGGGGAATGTTTTCAGTCATTCTATATTTGGAACTTTTTATAGAATAATAATGAAGGTTGTGAGCTCTGGAATCAGATGAACCAGGAATCCCTACTCACTAGATGTCTGATGTTAGATAAGACATCAGAAATCTCTGAGTCATAATTTCTTCTCTTCCTTACTCACAAAAATATTGTGAGGACTAAATGAGATAATGAATATAAAGCACTTATTATTCCAATGAGCCAAATGACTGCCTACAGCAATGAGTGTTAATAAATAGTAGCTAATATTATTGGCTGAAAAAAAAAAGCTGGCCCCTTTGAACACAGCCTAGAAACACAGATTTTTTTCAATACAAAGAAGAGCGCTACCAGAAAATCATAGGAATTAAATGTGGTCTGAGATTTCCTAAGTAAACTTCACTAGTTACTACAAATCAGACTAGCCACATATTCTCATCCCTCGTTGCCTGACCAATTCCAAACGTATTCCACCAATGAGGCACAGGAAAGCCTGCACCATACTGTGCCTGGTTTCCTCATGGCATGCTTTTAGATACTGTTCAGATGACTAGGAAGAAGAGCATACTAAAGGACCAATTATCTTGTTTTGCTTGTTACAAATCAAAAATATAGAATATCAACAGTAACAACTTACTTCCAACAACATATACTGAAACTTTCAAGCAATTATGATATATGGTATCATAGAATATTCATGAGAAGGAAACTCTGTTTTATAGCAACATACTTCAGTTGCCCAGGGTCATAAAACCTGAGCACAGCTGAAAGACATGGTTTTTGGAGTTTCAAACAAAGTGGTCATTCCCTGAATTTGCAGATGAAATTCTATGCAATTGAGAAGTGAATCCTAATTTCCTGCAGGATTTTGGCAACTTTTTTGGATCTCAGTAAGTTTCTAATCATTTAAAACACTTCGCATTCCTTTTTCACACAGAAAGAAAACAAAGTGGCAGACACTCAGAATTTACACAATGTTCTAAAAAGTAAGAAAAGAATAATTGTTTAAATAATGATATGTAAAACTTGTTTTACAAAGTAAAACTTCTCTTAACAAAAAACAGAGAAATCTTCCTACTACAGAAATTTGCAGGCAGTCTATTCTCTTAAGAGCTTAGTAACTATTAAAGTTTTTTCAGTACTTCAAGTAAACATTATGCTTTCCTTTCATTTCTATCAAGTAATCCTAGTTTTTGCCTTTGAATATAACAATAATTATTTAATGTTAAATTACAAACACTGTTTTATCACGTAAGGTCAAAAGGCAATTGTGTTATATAAGTTTACAATTATGGGATTCAATAAGTTATACACAAAATACGTTGCCACATATTTTTAAACACTATTCAGACCAAGTCTCCCTTTGTTTCCAGACTAATAGATCCTTAGTTTCTTCATCAATCTTCATATAAAGTAGTTTGCAAACACAGTCACCCAAATCATCCTTCTCTGAACATTCTTGAGTTTTCCAGTGTCACTTTTAAAATACATTTAAGAATTACACTCATTAAAATAAATGAGCTAAAAATTGATAAATATTTTAACTGTAGCTTGATCCAAATAGAATATGGGAAAATCATTTTTTTCTATCTGCAGTAACTACATTAACCTAATATGACGTGCTTTTTTTCAGCAGCCACCTCACATTGTCACTCAACTAAAAGTTCCAGATCTTTCAATATCTGCTTCTGAAATTGCACCCACAGCTCTGTGGTGTGTTTTCCAAACTTGCCAGGCATAAGCATATCTTTGTTTTAATGCACTAGTGTTTGTTTAATCCAGTTATTTAGGCTCTGAAATCTTATTAGTGCCAAATAGCTGATTATTGAAAGTAACAGCTAAACTCATCCCAGAAATCTCCTCCACTGGATTTCTACATGCCCCAAAAAAACCTGCTGCAAAAAAGGACACTGTGATCTCAAGTAAATTTTATCTTTTAGTTACATATTATTTTCTCAAGCTTACAAAGTTCTTTTGTAATCCCCATTGTTTTCCAATTGCTCGGTTTCCCTTATTTTATTGGCCACCTATTTGACAAGCATGATTTTGACTTATTCCTCCAAGTTATTCATGACAGAGCTAAACAAAGCAATGGAAAACAAACTGTTGTGGCTGCCACTGGGATCTCTTTTCAGACTGATACTGATTACTCAATCTATATACTTTATCTATACATGTTCAATCCACTACAAATTCATTTAATTATACTACCACCCAGTTTATAAGTGTCCATCACTTATGAATGAGTTTTACAATAAACAGACTTATATCAAATGACTGGCTGAAATTTAGCTCTAACATATGCATCTTCCTGATGTATAAGTCTAATAATCCTATCAAAAATAAATTAATTTAGTTTGACATGAATTAGAGAATCCATAATGCCTTCCAGGGATATGATCTTCCGCTTCTATATGCTTACAGTCATCTGTTTAACAATACACTCTTGTATTTTACTGAAGGTTGAGATGAAGCTCAACAATCTATAATTAAAAATTTTTCTCTTCTCTTTTTTAAAATGCAGTTACTCTGCATTAAGCATTATTCTAACATGCATATGAGTTCATTTAATACTTTTAACAACCCTATCACATAGGGCCTATTGTCCCCCTCATTTTATAGATGATAGATGAATTAATGAAGATACAAAGGAGTTAATTTAATTTGCCCAGTGTTACACAGCTAGAAAGTGGGAGAACAAAGATCTGAACCCAGGCCTTTGGACAACTGCTCTCCTGTTCTCCATGATTATCCCCATGGTTATCCACAATACCTCCTGGTCATACCTGCAGATTCTTACAGTGTCTTGTCATCGAGGTTCATATGTCATCATTTCTTATCCCAGATAACTTATCTCATGTAACTTTTCTTATCACATCTCCTTGAAAGAAACTTGCACTAGTTTAAAAGAGACTAATCCAGTGAAATGCTTCAAAAATGAGAAATCATGCCCGATGATAAAGTTGCTGTGACTTTGATCTTGAACATTGTCCCAATTTTATGGCAGTTAAAATGTAGAGGCAGACATTAGTTAACTCTCATTAGCTGAATGAAAGAAACATGAGTTTGTCAGAGCAGATAAACGCTTTCTTATTTCTAAACTAAGAGAAGTGTCTCACATAGACATTTTTATACAGAGGCACTGGGGGGCAATGGACAATATTTACAAGGAGGGCTAAGTAAAAGCAAACATGGGACATATAATAAGTTTTGTTATAGAACCTCCCATAAAAATCTAAACATAACACAAAAATATAAATGAGAATATTAGATGAAATAATTAAAGTAGACAATCTTCCCAAGATCTAATATGATTAAATCAAGATTAGATACTCTAACAATTTGGGGTTTATATTTTACTACTACTAGTATAGATAGATATATAACAACTCTGAAAACAATATTTGCAGATGTAGGATTAATACAATATTATGAAAATTAAGGTGCTTAGTGTATATTTTTGCCTACATATGAATACTAAACACCTGTCCTTATGGAAACAGACAACAGGGATACCCAGCATTCCCTGCAGGATAACGTGAAGAGCAGCAATCAGTCAAGACCCTAAAGTTTTAAATCTTGGGAATCCATATAAGATGCTAGTGTTAATAAGAGCAGCTAATACATAATGCTAGAAAGCATTTCGTAATCAAAATAGGCTAGGCATTTTTCTAAGAACTTGACTTATGTTAAGACATTTAATTTCACAATCACTCAGGTAGATTTGTTTTGTTTGTTTTTTGTTTTTTTTGTTTTTTTTTTTTTGTAGATGAGAGAACTGAGACACCAATACATTAATTCACTTTTAATTCACTTATACCAGGTTATTCCCAGGTAAGAAGCAGAACTGGGATTCAAATCCATGCCTCCTTGTCCAAGTGTTTCACCATCACAATATACTGCCTTGTATCAAATGGTAAAATCTCACTTGGAGGATAATTTAACAGTACTATTACAATGTAAAAGGTAGGCAGTCTCACTTACTGAACTTCATCTACCTTTAGGTATTTTTCTTACAAAAATTCACAGCCTATCCTGCATGTACAATGAAGCATTATATGAGATTATGACTCCAAAATAATGAGACGTAGTCTAAGAGGGAGATGGTTAAATAAATGAAGGTACATACATACCATAAAATAATAGAAATAATAAGGTAAGAAATAAGAAAATATGTACTGACATGGGAGGATGTCCATGAGAAAGTGGTAAGTAAAAATAAACATGTTGAAGAACAATACATAGAGAGGACGCATATATTCCAGTGTCTGTGGTGTACATATACATGTACACCACAAAGTCCCACCCACATCCCCGCCATATAAAAATATTAGCGTTAATAATTGTAATCCTGGAGACTCTACATATTATGTAATTTATATGACTTATGCATGTATTATATAAGTTATATAGTTGTTAACAGCTGATTTAAAAGTCAGCTCAAGGCTAGGCGCAGTGGGTCACGTCTGTAATCCTAGCACACTGGGAGGCCAAGGCGGGCAGATCGCTCGAGCTCAGGAGTTCGAGATCAGCCTGGTCAACATGGTGAAACCCTGGTCTCTACAAAAAGATAAAAAAATTAGCCAAGCGTGGTGGCACGTGCTAGTCCTAGCTACTTAGGAGGCTAAGGTGGAAGGATCTTTTGAGTCTGAGAGGTGGAGATTGCAGTGAGCCAAGATCATGCCACTGCACTCCAGCCTGGGTAACAGAGCCAGACCCTGTCTCAAAATGAGTAAATGAATGAATGAATGAAACAGAGAGAGAAAGAAGGTCAGCTCAAAAACAAAACAAATATGAATACTCAACCAATAACAGAAACAGTTACATGCCTTATACTGTAATCATAGTGAAGAAAATAAAATACAGGAAGACTGAAATTTTTCCAAAGCAAACATTACTCATCATTCAATCTGAGTCAGAAAAATTATTCAATGTTATTCCCACAAACTAGTCTGAAATGACACAGCATCCAGATGTATCTGCCAGAAGAAATTAGTTGTAAAATATATCTTTAGATAATCGTATAAAATGACTTTGTTATATGAAATTATTTGATTCTGCCTACTTAAATGTTGAATAACAATGATGTTTATTTTGTCACAGTTAATAGTAATTCTTTTCTCCTGACTATAGATGGACACCACCACCACCACCTCAATAATCCATTCAGTTAACAAATATTTACCAAGCACACACATACACTAAAATGAAATACAATAAAATTTGCCATTACCATTGCTGGAGACATTTACTCTCTGGCTTACTACAGTGGGGGAAGGGAGGGTGGCAAGCATTTAATTTACTTAGAAATAGATTTAAAATGAAAGGAAGGAACTAAGCTATATGTCTTCTTTCATATTCATTCAAAATGCTAATCTACTCTACATAGAAATGACCGCTGCCTACCCTGTTTCTAGTGGTGGTTTTATAATTCAGATTCTATGGAATTGTTATCTTGATATGTGTTTGCTGCTATATTTCCAGTAACTAGCACATGTAGGTGTGTAATACTTGCCTAATGAAAAAAAAAAGAAGACAATGAATTGACAAGAAAGAATTGATGTACTCAGTTTATTATTCCCTACTTCCTTCTTCCAAAGAATGCCCTTTCTCATTTTGATTTGAATGGAAGCTGTTACATTCCTGAAGCTGACATATCCCTGTCATATTCCTTCAGGAAGAAACAACTCCTGAAGAGCTTCCTATTAAGGATGGGAAGGAGGGATGGCTGGAGTTGGGGACACAGGGAGAGCCAATCATTAATCTTCTCCAGGATGTACAACCCTAAAACTCAAGAAAACACATCTTGATTACTTTCTGGTAATGATACTATGTGAGGAGAGCCTGAGATTTGCTGGAAGCTATGTTCGTAGGCATGTGAGCCAGGCTCAGAAAATAAGCATACTCTGCAGAGAGAGGATGGGAGAGTCCTAGTTACTTTCATTCTTACTTTCCAAGTATTACCTAGAACCTCCCATTTTGCTGCAATGGCTTCTAACTTATGAGTCTTCCAATAAACTCTCCTTTTCATTAAATTGGTTAGATGACCAAAGTTTCATGACCAATGTGTTCATTATACTAATTATTGAGCCTATAGTTGATTCCTTTCATAGGATATTTTAAAAAGATACAGGATATATAATAAATGCTTTTAAGTCAGATGCTAACTTATCTCCTTCCTTTAGATTAACAGAAAGATAGCAATTTCTAAAACCTCATCACTGGCAATGCAAACTCTTAATAAACAAAAATTCTGAGAAGCAGGGTGTATTTCTTTGTTAAATATGCACTTGACCCATCCAGAAGTAATATCTAAAAAAATAAACATTTTACAACAATGGGAGTCCACGGGCAAAGTTATAAATAATTCTAGCGGTAAAAGTTATTTACCTAGAACTTTGATGAGTAATAGGTGAAGAAATTCCTGATTCCAAGGCTTCAAAAATAGGACTAACATTTTAAAAATATGAAGCAGGTATCCTAAGAGTTTAGAGTTTAGACCACAGGCTTTCTACAGACCAGTAGACTTAAGCAAAATGTGTGTTCCTGTTTCCAATTTGAGTCATGCATAAATATTTACCATAATGGTTTATACTACAAACCAACTCAAAGAACTCCCAGCCTGATTTACTATACTCAATTATGATGTAATTAAAATATCTGCATCAAGATTTGTGCTAAATAGGCCAGGCATGGTGGTTCATGCCTGTAATCCCAGCACTTTGGGAGGCCAAGATGGGAGGATCACTTGAGGTCAGGAGTATGAGAGACCAGCCTGGTCAACATAGTGAGACCCCATTTATATATATATAAATTAAGATTTATGCTAAACGAATTCAGGGCAAATATTTCTACATGCTTCTTGATGTACTACCTACCTTAATATTACCCCAGTTTTCCAACCCTCCCCAGTTTACTCCTCATTTCTGGTCTTGTTTCTTAAACTATGTGCTAGAGGAATTAAGGTATATTTATAAGCAAGCAGGACTGGTTTCAATCAGCCAATGTTTGTTGCTATGAAATAGGGGTTGGATCTCTTTGAGAAGTCAATGGAATATTAAAACTTGCCTTTGCCAACAAAAGATTCTGCATGAAATCAGATAGTCCCTGTTGCTTCCTAGCCTTCCTTAGTCCTGATTTTACAAGCTGAGTTCTGCTTACAACCAGGTTGGGAGCTCATTATACTGTAATATCACATTTTGATGACAGAACGAAGAAAAATTATTAACTTTCATGTGATCAAAATACCCATCCCTTTGAAAAAAGAAATACAAAGTAAGAGTTACCTTTAGCCAACCCTAAATTAGGACTCACAACAAGTCTTACTTAGATTTTTCCCAGAGGTTGCCATTCAGCATTATTAAATTTTGCCTAAAGATAAATTAGGCCAGATGTTGTTCTCTTATATTCGGTCAACTGCAGACAGTAGGATTTAAGCCCACAAGGAATCCGTCTTCTCAATGCAAGCTATCTACAGAAAAAGTTTTGAGAGTGTTGTTAATTACCCCTGCATTCAGGTTTAAAAGATAACTATGCCTGCCATCAGGTATGGAGGACATATAATAATACAAACATCTGGATAATCTGTAGGTGTTCCAGTAATAGGGGATATAAATGTAAAATATCTTTTATTTTATGGGAAATTAAAACAAAAAGATGGGAGATTTTGTTTTGTGACCTTAGCAATTCAGAGGTAGCCTCACCTATAATAATATTTCAGTGGCTGCATACCCATATATAGGCTGAAAATTTTAAAGATAAAGGAATTTGCTGTGAAAATCAATGTCTCCTGCAGATAAATTATGCCATAAACAAAATACAATTTAATATGTAAGCAACTGTGTATTTACAACTTAATCCCTGTTTGTGAGAAGGATTGGGAAAAACCTCCTGGTTCTGAGGTTTTAATTTACAGCATGAAACAGATATGGCTGAATATCAGTAAGTTGAAGGACTGGACAAACGTCGCTCGTCTGGTTTAAGATGCATGTGGTCAACACATTCCTTGTGGTATGAAAGTCTGCGGGCTTTCAAGACCAGTTTTCTTCATTTTTCCCCCTTTTCCTACATGAAGGGGTTGGGCTCAATGGGGAATCTGTGAGCTGCCAGGAGTTTCTGCATGGGATATCTAAGGAAGAGTGGAAACTGGTGGGAAACAGCCCGAGGGTAACTGAGCCCTCAATGGATGGGAAACATAGACTGGAATCTCTGAGACAGACAGGCTGGGAAATATAATCTGCTGGTGGGGGTACTTCTCTCCCAGCACTGCCCTAGGCCAAAAAAAAAAAAAAAAAAAAAAAGGTGGGCATAGGGGGAGAAAGAAAAGAAAAGAAATAAAGAAAGAAAGAAGTATTGTTACAGTGTCTGCTTTCCCCTTCTCAGTGGTGTGGAAATCTGGCCATACCTTTTCAATGAAACACAATTTGTCTCAACTTGGGAACCTGAACTCATTTAAAATGTCCAGGTGCCCTTTCTCTATCTTTTCAACAATCTTGGAATTCAATTCCTTGTTTACAACGATTGTTCTACTCTCTCTGGTTAAAAAACTTTCCTCCTCAGTAGACAAGTGGGAGAAAAGGCAGTTATTTTGTAAGGCAAAAATATAAACAAGATTATCTTAAGACGGAATACAAAAAGATTTCCCTTGTAATGAAAAATTTTTTACTGGTTTTACAAGTTTAAAATAACAAAATATAAATACTGGAAAGGAAGATTTTACAAATCAATTTAATGTAATGGAGAAGGAAAAAAACACAAAAGAACTTAACCTTGTTTTCCTAACAGATCTCTGAAGCATGTAATTATATATTTTAGTGCCTCATAAACAAAAGTAAAGGTGGGCCTGGAATAAAAACACCTGTTTTTCTTATAAAGATTGACTCTGTCAGGATAGGCAGAGATATGCAACAGTAAAAATCAACCCCAAAATCTCAGCAGATTGAAACAAATGCTTATTTCTCACTAACATCTACATTTCCAGACAAGAACCAACTTAACTGAAATTCCATCTTGTCACCGGCTTCTGCGATCAATACAACCAGAAAAGAAATAAAGTGAATAAAATAGTGACCCTCAAAAGCTGCAAGTGAGAGGTAACAAAACAAAAACGGTTATGCCTAATTCAAGGCAGCAAAGAAGTATGATGCCACCACATGTCCCTAAGGAGGAAAAATGAAAAAACTGTCCATCAACCTAATGCTTATGAGGTAATATCTACTTGCTCATGTATTAAAGACAGAGAAAGATTTTTATTTAAATAACTTAAAGACTTTTTTCTTTGTAGATTCTATTTAATATAAACATGTACATACAAACACACATGAAAAAACTTCAAACACTGTTTTATTAAAGTCCTATTATTTGTTTCCCCATCACCCATTTCTCTAGATGATACCTTTCATGTGCTTAGATTTGCTTTCCCCATCTGAACTGCCTACGACTAGCACCTAGCACCAAGAAGATAAAAGATAAAATTTCATACAAAGATAGGAGAGGGTAGACTCCCCTGATTAAGGATTTCATTCTCCACTAAAGCTTTTAACTAAAGGAAAAATGTGTTTAACTTTCATGAGTTCATTTCCTACTATGAAGTTGAGCTCAGAAAATAGTGAATTCCAAAAAAAAAAATAAGTAGTGTTGCCTGTAATCCCAGCACTTTGGGAGGCTGAGGCAGGCGGATCACGAGGTCAGGAGATCGAGACCATCCTGGCTAACATGGTGAAACCCCATCTCTACTAAAAATACAAAAAAGTAGCTGGGCGTGGTGGTGGTCACCTGTAGTCCCAGCTACTTGGGAGGCTGAGGCAACAGAAGGGTGTGAACCCAGGAGGCAGAGCTTGCAGTGAGCCGAGATCGCGCCACTGCACTCCAGCCTGGGCGACAGAGAAAGACTTCGTTTAAAAAAGAAAAAAAAAAAAAAAGTAGTGTCATTAGAAGATCGAAAGGAAATGCAATATCTAGATTTATGCATTCATTTTTCTTTTTCCTGCTGACAGTCCATCTATTCCTATTTAGTTACTGGAACTTGGTTTGTAAACAGAGCATTAGCAAAAAATGACAAAGAAATAAAAATTGGAGAAAGGATGAGAATAGGAGATAATATTTTTGTTTATATTCAATAGCATGTTTCTTTTTCTCATTCGCTCACTAAAGATCCTGGTGGATCCAGACTAAATGTGTATTCTCTTTAAATAGTAGCAACTCTGCCCAGGACAGAGCATGAAAAACATCAATTCTCAGAACCATCCACTTTCCAAGCTGAAAAAGTAGAGATAAATTTCCACAAAGCTAAGTAAAATGTGTTAAAAAGAGGGAGAAGGAGAGAAAAAAAATTTCTGAAACACTATATTTGATTCATTTGGGCTCTAGGAAAGGAGAAATGTTGTCAAATGAATAAACAGCAAATGGCAGCAATAAGACTGTGATGTCCATAAATTCCTACATGAAATAAGGAATCATTATCTGATGCTGACCTAATCTCAATATTCAGAAAATGAGTGAAGATTCATTCCATGGAGAAGAAACATTTGTTCTCTTCGGTAAGTTAATATCATCTAAGGATTATGATCAATAAAGGTTCTTCTTGGGCATTTTAGACAGTGAATAAAAATATTTACTTTCATCCAGAAGGTACCTGGAAGCTTCACGAAGAAATGTATATTTTAGTGTGTTAAGATCTAAATAGTACTTGGATCCTAAATTGTGTCAAACTATCTTATAAATATTATATATAGACTATTCCTATATAACCATAAAGAAACTAGTCTGTGGGGGAAAATAGAACAGAAATCATCCATGGTAACTTCTAGCTTCTAAATCAGGAAAGTAGGTTTCAGTAGAAACAGACCAAAGAGATATTTAGGTTCTTTGTAATGGATGCCTGAGCTTTAACATATATTTAGTGTAAAATAAATATTATAAAAATAATAACAGAAGTAATGAATGAAGAGTACCTACATTAGAACACTTAAGGTCTAAAGTCAGGCAGACCCAGACTGGAAACAGTCCTCCACAACTTACTAGCTAAGCAAGTTAATTCACCGTCTATATAGCAAAGGCAATGTCATTTATAATTTGTTTTTCCAGCATACTTTCCATCTGCCTTTTATTGGTGCTTTTTTGTAATTTTCCTCCTCTCTACATGATCCTTGTGTAGCAATCAATCGTGATACCTGATCTTGGCAATTGCTGTTGGTGCAGGAATGGGCATATCAGCCAAGCAAGGATAAAGTAAAATCTTCTTTGGCATTAGCACTTAAAAAATAAGAGAGAGATATGGCCTGGGGAGGGGAAAAGAGACTGAGATTGTCTTTAGGCTGTCGTGGCTAAGGTTGGACAACACACGTAGGTTGTGCCAGTGGCCATCTTACCTTGTCCAATACCTAAATAGAATCCTGCCTACACCATGAAGCCAAGAAAAAAACAAAGCAAAAAAAAAAAAAAAAAAACATAGAAAGCAAATACCTTGACGACATTCTCTAAGTCCCTACCTCACCTAGAACTGAAGTTCATTCCTGGATTTCTCAGTTATGTGAGCCTTTTTCCTTAAACTAATTTGAGTTAAATTTGTTTCACTTGTAACCGGGAGAAACTCAACTAATACACACTCTAAATCTCAATTTCTTCATTTGACAAATGTGAATAATATTATAAAATGTCTCCTAAGCTTACTCACAGGATTAAGCAATATAATGCATATAACAAGTTTAGTTCAGCATGAAGCACATAAGTACCCAATCATTATTAGTTCTTATTGCTATTTTTATTAATTAGTGATAAAGGTATTACTGTCCTTTAGTAATAATTTTATTATGATTGATATACTAAGGTTATTCCATCATATAAAATTCCTATACTCTTAAAAGGAGGCTATGACACTAAGTTTAAGAATAGTTTACTAGCACATATAAAGGAGATTATTTACTTTGCAAACATTTCCAATCTGTGTTGTAATCAATGTACTAGACAATAGTTATCTTGATATGAAAGTCAGAGCAAGCCTTTTTTCTCTCACTATATCCTGTTCTTTTCTTTTACTGTGCCCTTTCTTCAATCACCCCTTCAAGGTAATGCCGTCTATTTCCTACAGTACTTAGACTCAAAGCGGGTACCATGAACCAGTTTCACTTTTAAATAAGTGATTATAAATGCAAAAAGAATCATTCTCAGTGAAGGCAAGTCTAGAGTCAGTGAAACAAATTACAAAGTTGTTGCAGGAACTTCATAAGATGGAAGCTACCAAATACTAACATTAACTGGCATCTTATAACGTCAGACACAAAACTACGCTACACACATTATCTTATTTAAATATTGCAACCACTCTTTACGGTAGATATTATTATTCCTTTATTAAACAATAGAAATAAAATTGAGAGATGTTATGTAACTTTCTCAAGGTCAAACACATAGTAAGTGGCAGACTTTGGACTCAAACTCAAATCTGCCTGACTCTTAGGACCATCATTAATCTACACTGTCTCCATAACCCATATAACAGCCTGAATTAAGGTAAATGACAGTGGAAATGGATGTATAACTATAGTATTTAAAAACAAGGATCTGAAGAGTAGAAGAAAAAAGATGAAGGTGGCAGAAGTCAGTGATTTACTGGGTATAAGAAAAAAATATAAGAATGTATAACACTGACAAGAGGGTTTGTGGCTTGAACAAATGTGGAAATGGTGGTGGCTTTACTGGGAAATGAAAGAAAGGAGGAGAAGACTTGATGGGAGTGGGAAAGAGATAAGGCATTCAGCTTTAATGTTGTGGACTTCATTGTTGCTATGAAAATGCAAATGGAGATATTTCACTACAGGAGTTGAAGGGGCCATATATACTTTATCATCGCTCTCTGGCACCTAAGGTACAGACATGGGACCTAGAGTCTGCCAATTTGATTCTCCTGAATGTGTATTTTAATCTTCAACATGGGGTGCAAAGACAGCAAATTACGAGACTATTCATGACACACTGGGAACAATGGCAGTGTCTCATGCAATAAGCATGGAGTCATGGTGGTGACTATTACTGATGATATTAGTGCCCACAGCAATATTCCAACTAGGCTATTCTTGAAGCATGACCTTGTCTATGTGTTTTCACTGCCCAGCCTCTATTGATCCCTATTTATCAGGCCTCATTCTCCAGATCCTTTTTGATTATATGAAATACTTTATGACCTCCAAAAAAAAAAAAAACCTGCTCCTTTTCTACTTAAATTAGGAGGAGTTGTGTTCTGTTGCTTGCAGTCCATAATTCTGAATAATAAAACCAATACATTCAGCACTGCATCATGTACAGGATTAAGGGAGTCCTTTCCCCATTGTTCTTGTATCATCCCCAACCCATAAGCTAGATAACGATCTGCTAGATGTTAAGGGAAATCTTAAAATACTTCAAATAATTCATAGACTAACAGTGATAAAATGCAATCAATAGGTTATAAACCACAGCATGATCCACATTTTAAAGCAAATATATATATATACACACACATACACACTAAGTAGAATAAAGATAAATCCACCCATAAACATTAAGACAGACTATTAAAACTGTACAACTTCAAAAATAAAGAGAACATGTAGCAACTATCAGATATAAAATGTATATTATACCTCTTTAAGAATAACAATTTAACTCATGGACATGACAAATGAACATTTCCAAAGTACTAAGGATAAAAAATAATCAGCCGACTTTTATAACTAGCTAAATTATCATTCAAAGGTGAGGGTAATATGAGATCTTTTTGTTTTTTCCTACTAAGTTTCTCCTTTTTTTTTTAATTGTAATCTACAAATTCAGCGGATACTGCTTCAAAAGGGTGGCTTTTAATTATTTTTGTACCCAATCTTGACTGTATTCAGATTCAATTTTTTGAGGATAGTAAGGATTTCAGGAGAGAGTAAGAATGACAGGGAGAAGATATGTGACCATCTATTCATCCTTTTATTTTCTAACTTTTACAACTTCATGTGAGTCTGTATCTCAAAGTTAAAAAGTTTAATTAAAACATATTTTTAAAGGTGAAGGCAAAACAAAAACATTTCACCATACAAAAACTAAGAATATTTGCTATCCAAAGACTTTCACATAAAAATTATAAAGCTGTGAAAAGCAATTTAGAAAGAGGGAGCGTGATATAAGAAAGTTGAACAGAGAAGTTGATTAAATAAGCTGATAAATGTAATCAATTAACTAATGTCAAAAATAACTAGTTTGATGTGTTTTAAAAGAAAATAACATAAATCTAAGGCTGTAGAAATTGCTACAAGATTGCAGGGGTTGTGTGGTGTATAACAAATAAAACATGCTAAATTCTGCATATGATTAGAAAATTCAATGATATATCACTTTAAAACAGTGTTGTCAGTTTTGAAAAGGGCTTCTTACGGCCTGGGGTACTTTTGGTTAAAGGTAATCACAAACGTTTTAAACAGGAATGATTCAGTAAAATTGTATCTGTTCTTGAAAAATAACTACAGCTTCAGTAAGATTTGGAAAAGAGGTTAGAGACACAACTATTTGGAAGGTCAGAACTAAGTAAGATGTAGTGAATGAATAGAGGAGGAGTTAAATGTGAGCTATACTCGGAAGACAGACTCTACCACTTTCTCTGGACACCATGTGCTTAGGGACACATAGATAATCCCCTAATAGACAGGAACACTGTCACATTCTTCTTTGCCCAATGCATGACACAATTGTTGAAAGTATCCAATAAATGTTTAAATGAACTGGATAAATTTCATTTGAAATATCCACAATACATGAAGACAGACAAAAGGAATTATTAACAAAATTCTAAAATTCAGGGGAAAGATCAGGGCTGACATCCTCATCAGAGAAGACTTGACATTGGGCTAGGCAAGCTGGCCAAGGGTGTGGGGCGACGAGAATAAAGAGGAGGGGGAGGAAACATCCTGAAATACACCAACACTAAAGGGGCAACTGAGAGAAGGGGACACTCAAGTGAGCAGGAAAGAGTTAAAAGTGATGGAAAGAGAAATGAAGCTATCAAGAAATCTGATTTTTAAAAATTAATTAAATCTCTAAGATTTACAAATGAGAGAGACAAGAAATGAAGAAGAAAAATATTACAACAATTTCTAACTGCAAGGTTTTGAAGACATAATACTTTAAAAAAAAAGGAAGGCAATTTTCTTATATATACTTGTTAAAATAAGGGTTTATTTGTTGTGTGCACATTTGGGGTGGTGGTGGGGGTGGAGGGTCACAAAGAGTCCTGATGTTCCAGACAGTGACTTAGTTCTGGGGCTATGTCAACAAGGATTTGATGTATGTAAAGATTACATATGTAGTAATTTATTTTGACATTAAAAAAATGGAGAATAAACAACAGCCTCACTGTATCATGACTCTCTATGACCGAGCTGGAAAACAAACCCAAAGATCCAATTTCAGTTTCTATTTACTGAAATTTATTAAAATAGGTTCTAATACATTATGGTTAATAGTATCTTAGAAATGCCATTCACCTTCTGAATAAAGAATGGTCCATCCTATTGCCTTCTATAAGTCATAAATAATTATGATTGACTTTGATTTTTTTAAATCAACAGATGCATAAAGAATAATGGAATACGTGTACTTGCCAAAAATACCAATTGTGCAATTGTTTTAAAAAATCATAATCTAGTTTTCTCTGGACTAATTTATGCTACATCTATGCAAAATAAAGCAATAATAATTGTATCATAAATTAGACATGCATATATTTAGGAAAATCTTACAATTCCTAAGCCTGTCCACTGAGTCTAAATTGCACCGCCTTGGAGAATTCCTCAGATTCTAAAAGTTCCTCCAAAGCTAAGGCCTTGGATGTCATTTAAGTTATATATTTCAGATATTAAAGGCAATGTTCTGACAAGCCCTTTGGCGCTAACCCCAGGGCATAAATTTGCCTTAAAACTACGTAAGAATGTGTCAGAGGGCTATATGTCAATCAACCAGGAGACCTGCCTATTCCCAATTTAGTGTTGTCAGTTGCTGACATTAAAACCAGCAACAGTTAATTGTTACTACTTCAAGTGGGAATACTGAGGGAAGAGGAGAGGTAGGTGTCTAAATTCAGACTGATAAAGCTGTTAATTGCTACTCCTTTTTGTAGATTTGTTTAATAATGAAAACAACGTGGTTAATCATATAATGTTTCTATTTGTTCCCCAAGGGCTCTTCAGGGAAAGTTTCCGTCAGGGCTAGATTTTGGCAGCTACCAACTGTGCAGGGACAAAAGCAGAACAATCAAGGCACTCAGTGCTGGCAAATAGCTGAAAGTGGTTGTATACAGATGCCCCTCCTCCTGGCCCTATCAGGAAGGAGCCAGGATCTGCCACTGATGAGCTTTAAAGGAAAAGTTTAAAATGTAAAAGAAGATAATAATTTCAAGCAGAATGTCAGAAGGAAAAGAGGGAAGGAAGGAGGAAGACAGAGTGAGAGGAAGGGACTGAGGGAGGAGAATACATATGTAGGCAATCCAAAAGGCAGGGAATAAGTATGACATAGGCTTGGGCCCTCCCTACGCTTCCATGTAACAGATCAATTAAATTCACATCACTTTAAACACCCATATTGTTTTTTTAAAAAATGACAAGTTACATAGAAAAAAAAAAGTATACACACACACATACAGACACACATACACACACACACATATATACACAACATATAAATATAAAATGTGTATGTGTATGTGTGTGCATGCACAGACACACATACATATATATTGTCCCAGCCTTGCTTTTATAGACAGGATGATGATATTGGGTGTATCATTAAACCACTCTCAGAGACAGTTACTGGGATAGTCCTAGCTACTGACTAATCTCAAGAGGGTATTTTAGGGAACAGAGTGCTCTATGTAAGTCTTATACAAATGTAATGTATATAATTTACTGATTTTTTTTTCACTTTGCCTCATTTGGTAAAGAACATGAGACAGAATTAAATTGTATCATTTAATTTGTTTTCAGATTCTTTAGTATCAAGTAATGAAAACATTCAGAAACAGCTTCAGACCACTCACTGGTGCACCCCCCATCACTGTACAAATACATATCGTAAGACTTATGACATAAGTGATATTCATTTTGTTTTGTGCTTCTTTGTGTGTGCAAGGAGAATAGGGGGTGAGTCTTTAATTCCCTTTCTATTACCACCTAACTACAACAGCCCCATAGTAAAACTCACTGAATATGAAAATGGCTTTAAATCCCTCCCCAATCTGATCGCAATTACATTTTCAATTCTGTCCCAGTGCCTATGCCCCCCCAAGTCTTCTGGTATTTCTAGATTCCTCCACTCATCACCCCCTGAACCTATCCTCTTGCCTGCACCTCACCTCTGTCCATGTCGTTCTCTCTTCTTAGAAGGCTCTCTCTTCACCTGCTTAAACTTACTCATATTTCAAGGCCAAACCAAGTTTCACCTAATCCATTGAGCATTCCACAATCACCACATACCACATAGCTTTTCCCTTCTGTAAATCTGTAAATGAGCACCTGCTTGATCACTCATGTGTCACCTACAGATGGTGTCAGCTCAGTCATCCTCCACTTTTTCTTGTTCCTCTACCAAACTTTATACTGCTTAAGGATGTATCTTTGTATCCTCAACAGCATCTGAATCATATACATAGGAGCCTACAAAGTGTTTAGGGGCCATATTTCACTTTTCCAGTGCATTTCATTGAAGTTTAAAAATTATTACATTATTAAATGTTGAATTCAATTCCTCTATCAGTTAACTTTTCTGTGGTGAAATTCCCTTCCAGGTACAACTCTACAAGTCTAAAAGCCACAGTACACCAAGAAAATAGTTCATTTCTGGCATCTAAGAAATCATCTGTTACTCATGAATTTGTCAAAAAAATAGAAAAACTTAATGTCGGCAGGAAATAAAAAATTAACAACCTAAACACCAGGTCTAAGTTCACATTACTCATTCTTTCAAGTACATTTTTATCCAGCTTGAAACTCATTTTCTTTCTAAATAGGCATAGAGATCATTAAACTCTTTTTTATCTTTCAAACTGTAAAACAGAAATTTAGGTTCCATGTTTGAAAGAAAAGGTGATGAGATATAGATATAAAGAAATGATGCTATGTGCAGACCACAGAAAAGAGCTGAATCAAACCAACTGAAATTTTAGTGATTAAAAATAAAACTACATTTGCAAAACTATATTAGCCAGGCTCATGATCCAACTACATTGTCAGTTATGCTCTTGTGTACCTTTGGAGTGACCCAAATCACACGTCAAAATTCTTCAACTCTTAAGAATACCTGATTATAACCTGAAATCAAAGTACCATTAACACAGTGAGAAAATGTCAAAGGCAGTACACACGCCCTCCCCTATCACCATGCTTATCACTCCTAAAAAATTATATTTATTTCCCAAATACAAAGACAAAAGGCAAGGCAACCAGTAAATTACACAATTATGAATTGCTTTTTAAAAATTTTAACAGCTACAATACCATTCAGCTTTATTTTATAGAAATCCTAACAGTTTATTTAGAATGTAATGTATTGCATAAATAAATCCTAACAGTTTATTTAGAATGTAATGCATAATATTTCCTCTATTAATTTAAGGAAATCTGTGTGAATCTTTTGTTCAGTGTAGATTAATTTTTAACACAATATGATTTACCAAATTTTAATTTACTTAAAACCTTCAGTAACCCTGCTGTGTCGTAAAAGGTTATGTGCCTGTTTTCTTCCAACAATGAGGTGAATTTGTCATTAAAAAATTTTTACCCAAAGGTCACCTTGAACTACCAAGAAAACACACACACACACACACACACACACACACACACAGAAAAAAACCAACCAACAAACTGATGTTCATTATCTGTGTGCATGTATCTAAACTACAAGTAAATAAATCAGCCATGTTACCAAGCACAAAGCTATTGAAATAGTTAAGATTTATTTTCAGGTGTCACTGAGACTAAACAAAGATTGTAAGGAATAAAATAAAAGGAAACTCAGGGAACAAATTAATACATTAAACTATTATCTTAAAAGCAGCATTCCCTATAGAACAAAGTGATGAAGATATCAAAAAGCACTTCTCAAAGCAATATTTTTGCATGTCAAAAAAAGAATTAACCTAGAATAAATATATAAATAACAGTATGTTCTGTGTTAAGCCAGTAACAAAGAAACCCCTTAGTGCTGTAAAACAAAGTCCTGTCAAATCCCCATTTTTTACAAAGAAGCATGAAGATCGTTTCACAATGGTTTAAACTGTATTTATAGTAACAGAATGAAGACTTGAGATAAAAGTCAGAAGGATTAAAGTCAAAGCCCCAGCTCGACATGAGTTATGGTTTTGATTTTTATTCTTATTGTGGTCTACAAATATTAAGACAGAAGATACTTCCATGTGATTGTGGGATCCTCTGAGACTCTACAACCTTAGAAGAGCAGATAAAACAGATGAAAATGCATCTGGTTTGGGAGCAGACTCCATATTAAATGGCAATGCGCAAAGTAACACAACTACAACTGCAGAAGGCTGTGGGGGAGGGGAGGAGGCTAAAGCCTGAAATTTCTGCAACTGATGCAGGGCAGAAGAAAAAAGAAGGGGAAAAAAAGATGTGGTATTACTGTTTTAAAATGGCAGCCTGTTAATAATCACTGCATTCCTGAAAACACAGGCAAATTGTACCACCATTCCTTCTTTCATACACTAAGCAAGCCTAACACATACAAGCATTACACACTTCTTTGAGGAAAATGATACAGCTTGATAGCTGCATCTGTATCTAAAACAAAATCCCTAAAGTTGCCACTCCAGAGTTTACAAATTTGGAGACCATATACTTTTTCTCACAAAGAAAGAAAATAGAAATTCTGTTGTGAACTGGAAAGTCTTAGTTACACTAGAAAGATTCTTCTTCCACATATATTTTTCTTTAAGTGAAGGCAAAGCCACATTTATACATAAGCTTTTGGTCATGGTTCAAAATATCTATTTTGCATTTCCTCTCCCCTGATGTCCTATCTTTCAAGAAAATCACACACACACACACACACACACACACACTCACTCCAGCAAGAAAGATATATATAACATATTCTGCATGAATTGGAAGATCATTCTTAACGTTAATTTGAGTACTCTCTCTTTAGTTCATTTATTGCAAAAACCACATATTGAGTTATATATTTTCTATCCATCCTGAATCTTTACTTTTAAAATCAGGCACCTCATTTAATATTTGATGAAGAAAAGGCTAAAGTCCCTAACAACAACAGCAAAATCATCAGAAGCATTGTGTAATATGAAATGATAGTATCTATATCACAGAAATGCTTAAAAACTTTTTTTAATTGAGAGTTAAGAAATACTATCAATTATAAAAGTAAAAATATTTTATCATGCAAGTTTAGAAGAGAATTCAAGTCCATATGTATTCACGTAATCATAAAGAAAATATGAAAATTAACCAAATATTAATTTGGTTAATGGTGACCAGTTATCACCGTTAACCAAATGGATCAATTTCTCCTTTCTTCACAAAATAAGAATTAGATAAGTCACTTATACAAATCATAAATTTCTGAAAATTATATTTCCAGTACGATTCCTTGCAATTTTATTCAGTATTTGATTTTAACTGGCACATTTTGAATACATACACATTTATACAACTACCAGGGGAAAAATAACTTAAACCAAATTGAAAAATTACCATAACTACTAGTTCAATATGTCTGGTTAAAATAGAGACATCTGGTCTATCGTTCTTTTGTGTTGATGACTCCTAGTGTGTCTTTTCCCATCAACGAACTTTTCGAGAGGAAAATCCAACTTTTAACAAAAACCTGTGACTTAGAAATCTCTTTCAAATTATATCAATACAGATATATCATTATTAGATCAAATAAAACACAGTACCTTCAAGAATAGTAACATATACTGATTGAATACAAATGGCTAGCTTTAAATTCCATCAGAGTAATGTTATTTATTAAATAATTCTCTGCAGGCAGATATGGCTAATTCATGACTTATTATTTTTAAATATTTATAAATCAACTCATTGTTCACTTGCTTAAAATATACACTAAAGCTCTCTAATAGTACTTGATTGCCACTCCACGGAACCTGAATAATGCATTTTCAGAAGCCTTGCACATCCCCACACAATTCTGAATTAATGGCCGAGCAAACAATAAGTAATGTACTATGCTCCAGCAAAAACTCATTGACAACATCAATCTGGCATCTACTTAACACTTACTGCTTACTTCTCACATATTCCCCACAACTTAAGTTTCCTCTTCCAGATGCAGTTCATTAAAGAATCACTATCACCTGCCCATTCATCCACAGAGTGAGAGATTTAGCGATTAACGCAATCACAGATAAGTGGAGAAATAACATACAACACTACAAAATTAAGAGATTAAGTAAAGGGACCTGGGCACTCCAGCTACCAATAACTAGATTGCAATTAAAAAGGACTTTGTCACTTCTTCGCTGGGCAATAGGGCCAATTATCTAAAACCCTTTGCTAGAATCCAGATACATACCAGAGCAAGGCCCTTCAACCAAACTCAGATAATTACTTTTGACAAATGTTCTCCTTGAGCATAATGTAGTTACTCAAATGCTTTTCAAAATGACTACAGTTACAGTAAAACAATCTTTACAAAGTCAACCCAATAACACGTCCTGCTCCCCCCTCCCAAAACCCCCGCTGCATGCAGTCTGCTTTCTTTTGGCCAATTTATAACAGATAGTAAGCTGGCGAATAAATGTTTAATTTATGCAGCCAAAACCCTGAAAGGCTTAGCTTCAAATGTAATGCCTGGCATTCCCGAGACACACTGTACAGAAATATCCTTTTGAAAAATCCTTTTACAGCTGTCCTTTAAAAGAAGATAGGAAGAAAAAAGAAAGAAAGAAAAGAAAAACCCACACATATACATGCATCAAACCAAAGACGCCGACGCCCCTCTGCCAACCGGCATTTCTATAGAGACATTCTTTCGATGATTAAAACGTAAGCTCCGAAAGGTTAAAGAAAAGGAAAAGCAGCCAAGTAACACCGCCCAGGAAGCCAGCAGTAAAATACACCTAGCTGTACACTCTTAATAACCTCCCACTACAAATGACACTGACCCAACTTCACCAAACACACACACACCCGAAACACACTCACAAATTGCACACACGTGCACAGAATGTACACACAAACATCGAGCAGAGCACAATACCTACAAACACAAACGAACTGGAGCCACACAAAACATGCACGTATCAGTGTGCACACATAATGCACACGACATGGCACACAGACACGCAACCACCTAGCCCACATGCACACGCCCCACAAGTCCGTGTCGGACACACACCATGCATGCACGTGTAAAATGTTTGAACTCACAAACGCCGAACATACACACAGACTGTGCACAGAGTTATTGATGAAATTCCGGGGGGTGGAGGGGCCGGGAGGGAGTGGTAATTGCCACACAAAGGTCTCCGGAGCGGCAGAGAGGGAAGTCGAGCTGCGCCGAGCGCTCGGAAATTCACCCGTGGAGAAGGCACAGCAGAGCCCCGAGAGCGAAGTACGGGGAGAAGTGTCCCGGGCGGTCCCGGACGCGGGGCTCCCGGAGATAATCGCTGCGCCCCTCCGCGCGCGCACGCACACACACAGGGGCCCCCGGGCGAGCCCACTCCCGCAGAATAACAAAGAGCAGGAGCCCGGCGAGCGGGCGGCGGCTCGGGCTGGAAGTGGCCGTCTCCGCCGCCGCGGACCGGCGCGGGGCGAGCGGCGGGGCCGGCGGGAGGCGCGGGCGGCGTGTGGGGGGCGGTACGTACCAGGCGGGCAGCCTCGGCCCAGGTGCGGTCCTTCTTCTTCCTCTTGTCTTTCATGTTTGCATCTCATTGATGGTTCTGATGATGACGTGGGGGATTCCACGGGGTGCTCGGGGTTCGGGCGCGGAGACAATGACCCAGTGACCCGGTGACCCGCACTCGCTCCGCGGGGGGAGGCGCGCGGGCGGTGGCGGCGGCGGCGGCGGCGGCGGCGGCGGCGGCGGCGGCGGGTGGGAGGGATGGAGCGAGGGGGTGGGGTGGAGTGGGTGGGGGCGCGCGACGGCGGCGGCGGCGGCGCGCGGCGGGCGGGCCGGGGGCGGGGGCGGCGGCAGCAGCGGGGCCCGGGCCAGGGGCGGGGGCGGCGCCGGCCGGGCTCGCTCGTGCGGGGCTCGCGCTGCGCCACCGCCGCGGCCGCTGCGGTGACAGCTCCGGGGATGCTCCGCTCGGCCCCGCTCACAACAATACACTCTGACGTCACGGGGAATGGCGACGCGGCCGCACACTCACCGCGCTCACACTCGCCGCGCTCACACTCGCCCTCTCGCGCGCGCACACCCGTGCACACTCGCCGCGCGCCCCCTACTCCAGCCACGCCCTGAAACCCTCGCGAGACCCCTCTCCCTCCAACTCAGCCCCCAAATTCCTGGGGCGCTGCCCACTCCGTGCAGGCCGTTCCACCCGCTTCCCGCTGTCCCGCTCAGGCCGAAAGCCGCGGACACGGTGGCCTTTGGAACTTGTGTAGGAGTCCGCCCCGCACCTCGACGCCTCTGTCCTGTGCGCTCACGCGTGCACACTCACTCACACACACACCGCACTACTCTCCTCTGTTGGACTGCCTTAACCCTGTCTCTGCTTGGCTGGGGGAACTCCCAGAGCCTTGTTGAAAGGGTACAGAGCCAGTGTCTTCGGATACAGAACTAATAATGTACGTGCAACTTAACACAATGTTGAACCACCTACAGCATCTCAAACAATGCAGGACCAAAGAGCCGTCACCGTGGATCCACGCGATGCCATACCGTAGGGCTAATTATATTTAAACAGCGTGTAGTCAACATTCTGTAGAGTAAAACATGATGCACATGGAAAAAACTGAAAAGCTAACGCTTGTGTATTTTTTAAATTATAATTTTCAGGTCTGGGATACATGAAGTGTTGGATTGTTATCCTTATTAGCGAACTACCAAAAAATATGTTAAGACTTAAAAGTTTATGGTAATCTTTCCAACTTCATACATCTCTAGTGAATTGTTTGGGTCAGTAGAGTTATTTAAGCAAAGAAAAAAATGACGCTGTGACCCACACAGTAATTATGTGTATTTGTCTTGAGTATCTGAAAACAAAAAGGTCACTTCTACTGGATTATTTTTCTGAAGTTATTTCCTGAATAGGATATTAATGGTATATAAATAGTACTTTGTGTTTTTTCATACACATTATATCGTTTGATCCCCAAAACAGCTCAGTTAAACATATATTTCCCCTCTACTGTACAAATGAGGAAATGAAACTCAAAAACATGACAATGTATCCAAGATATCTTGCTAAATCATTTTTAATAATTCAAGTCTTTTGACCCTAATCTCATGTTGTTTATTCAATTCTATACTGCCTGTTTAAAAATAGTCTTGTCTAAAAAATGAACACTTACATCTAATGAAGAGATTTATGTCTCAGAATGAGAACAATTATAGTAAGGTGATTCCTTTGAGAGCACTGTCAAATGATTGGAGTAATAAAAATGTTTGATTACCAAAAATTAAACAGAGACAGTTCATAATCATAAAGAGCTGCATATGATAATTCTTTTAGAATATTTGTTTTATTAATTCATTAGACTGAGAAAAGACTATGCATCAGTTTTAGAAAATATCAAAAGATTATCTGCACTTTTTCTTTTTTTAAAATGGATTTAGAGAACACGCTGAAGTTATCCCTAGGGGAAAATTTTATCCATGCAATTTGCATAATTCTATCCAGGTGTATTATATTTTTACTTTACATTTCAAATATATTAAATTTGAATCACGTTCACATCTGCTTTTATTTTCCAGAATTCTCTTTATGGCTAAAGTAATTGATATATTTTCAAAGTATTTTCATTCTAGTGTTTTTTCTTCTACTCAGAAATACCTATTTTAAGCAATCAGACATAACATATAATTTGTTATTTTCTGTGAAATAGTGCTTAATAAGGAGTTTTGGAGCCAGCTAAAGGAAAACATACATATTCAGTTATTTCACAGGAAGGCCAATTTCTGGTTATTAAGAGAAAATATATTGTCCTACTTAAGCAGATGTAAATTGATGTTTTAAAAAAAAAGCTATTGTTTATGCATTCATTCTCTGACAGAGAGCTAAGTATAAATAACCAATCTTATGAACTCACTCTTAGATTCTACCTCACCTTTTGGGTACTTGAATATAAATAGTCCATAGCAGGTAAGTCTGGTTAAAGACTTGGTGAATAGTCTATGTCAAATTAACATATTTTACAGAGCACCATTTCCAAGAGACCATTGTTAGACTTCTTTCTTCTACATTTACTTTGTGTCAGGGGGCAGGAAATAGATTAATCAATTACAGATGTTTTATAATTTGGTAAATTATATGAATAGCTTTTCAACATAAAGTGAAATACATTATAAGAAATGTACAAGTAAATTTCTGTGAAAATTAATGGGAGAAATAACTCTGCTGGGGAGATTAAATAAAGCTTTAGTAAAGAGAAGTTTTCAGGTGGGATTTGAGGAATGGGTAGGATTTGAATATTCACACTTGTAGGAATGGAGAAAAGCTTTTTCAAACACAAATGCAATAAAGGTCAGTCAGGACAATTGAAAACTAGGAAAATATTAAATTAGATAGATGACAACTACCAAGCACTGCTTACATTCAATTAAATTCATATCAGATCACATATATTTCAAGAACTCTTTTTTTAAATGAGTAGAGAGGAATAACTCAGAGAACAGGCTCCAGTTAGAATTGCCTATAAATCCTCCCTTTTCTGAATCCCCATCCCAATTATACAGTAATGGAGATCCCTCCAGAGTTCAATTGGCATGTAACAGCAGCTTCTCTGCATTCCACTGCTTTCTTCATTTCCATTCCTACTAATAGTTCTGAATTCAACAACTTAAACATTTGTGCATATCTCCTCTCAAGAATTCCAGCAGATTTTTTTCATTTCCTGTAATGTTTATTGCAACATGCTTAACAATCAATAGAAATAGGTATATAATCCAAAGAGGAAGAAATATTAATTTACATATGACAAAATAGAGGTGTTGGAAAATGGTTTACCGTACAAAATGGAGGTTTACTGGAAAATGGGCTAAGTTAATGTGAGGCTCCAAAAGCAAGAGAAGAGACACCTAAGGATTTGAGGACAGAAGTTGTTTGTTCATATCTGTGGTCCCTCAGGAGATACAAGCTTTTGCCATGGATCCTGGTCAAAGAGTTCACCAAATATGGGAAACTTTAGGTGTTTCAGGCAGGGATAGGGGGCTGGGATTCCTTCGGATTCAGACTCCTTGTGTACATGGCTACCATCCACGTGCCTGTTGAATGTTGTGTGAGGAAGTCTGGATTAAATAAAAACATCTTCCATTCCTCTCCAACAAAATCCCACCAGCGGGCACAACACAGAACAGGAGGTGGAGTGGGGAAGGAGTAATAAAAGATGAGGGGAGAGAATGGAAGCCAGGGTTGCAGGGGAGATGGAAGAGGTCTTTGTTGGTCTGATGGCCATGCCCCATGGGTTTTATTTTTGAAGTAAGTTTGTTTACTATGCATAAGCTTAGAATCTCTGAATTTTCAAATAATAACATTTAATAATTTTAGTTTTTCTAAACATCTTTTGTTAATGATCATTTAGAATCTGACTGGTCTGGAAAATCCATGAAGGTGAGCCCCTTATCTCCTTTGTCCACTGCTCAATTCACTAAATTTCAAGCAGTAAGCAAATTCCCTGTCATACTCTAAGGTGCAATAAATATTTACTGAATAAAAAATAAACCATTGGAAATAAAGGAAAATGATCCCTTTTGTTTTTAATACAATAAACGTCCAACAAATCAAGTTATAGTTTTATCATTTTACTCTTAGTATCATTTTTTCCTGTCCTATTTATAGTCCACTGAACAATTTAGGAGATATAAAGTAAAGTAAAATAAAGCCAAGTGTCACTATTATTCATTATGTGTAGTCAAGTATTACTGAGTGATGCTCCTAAGGGCAAATGAATTTTGACCTTGTCTTTTTATTTTTTTATTTTTATTTTTTTTTGAGACGGAGGCTCACTCTGTTGCCCTGGTTGGAGGCAGTGGCGCGATCTCGGCTCATTGCAAGCTCCGGGTCCGGGTTCACGCCATTCTCTCGTCTCAGCCTCCCAAGTAGCTGGGACTACAGGTCCCCGCCACCATGCCCGGCTAATTTTTTGTATTTTTAGTAGAGACAGGGTTTCACTCTGTTAGCCAGGATGGTCTCGATCTCCTGACCTCGTGATCTGCCTGCCTCGGCCTCCCAAAGTGCTGGGATTACAGGCGTGAGCCACCGTGCCCGGCCTGACCTTGTCTCTTTTATTCTACTCCTACATATCCTTAACTTTTTGAGTCCCTCATTATATCTATTTAAAGTCAGTTTTCCCATGAATATAAACAAATTAGCTTCACTTCAGGACATATAGAAGTCTTAAAAATATTATCCGAAAGTAAGATTATCTAAACTTGGGACGATTCTTCCACTACGACATGAGTAGGATAACTGTGATCATTTTGTTTTTACTTGCAATCTATAACAGTTTAATACTTTAAGATTTCAGCATATTTTAATTATGAAGATATGTGTAGCTATAAAGACAATTAAATTTTCATTTTCTTCAAAAATTTTCTTTAGGTGATTTTATTTATATTGTCAAAGCATATCATTAAAAAGATAAATTAGAGCTACTTTGAGACTCATTTTTAAATCTCTGGCCAATTTGTATTGTTTGTATATTTCAGTGCACTAGTTGAAACATAAAATTTTTCATCATATATCGAGACCCTTAGCAGCTAAAGTGTTCTTGAATCTGAGGAAAAATAGAATAAAGTAGCTAAAAATATTTCCATAGTTTTCTTTTTCACTTTCTTAAGTTGCTCTCTTTTCTGCTTTATCTTTCTCCTTTCTTTGTGCAATAACAAACTCTCCTTCTGAGTAGAGCCCTTCATTCAAGAATTTACCTTTTTCCCCTTTAAACCCTTAATTAGCCATAGAGAACACAGTCTGATTTATGGCCTAGCGTTTAACAGGACTCACACTTAATCCATTACACAAAGAGGGATACACATATTCCCTAACAGCACCACTCATTAGTTTATACAAGATGAAAAAAAAAAAACACTTAGCAAATGTAAATAAAGCGTTGCGTGATACTATCTTCTTATGCATATATAATGTGATCAGAATTTCAACATTGCAGTCTAACAGCTTTTTGCTTATTTTCAAAACTACAAATTAGATTTCTCTAGGTAAACTCTAATTCAATCCCACATTTAGTGGATAAGAAGGAAAATTACATGCTGCTAAATTTATCTTTATGTAGAAAGAATTTCTTAGTTCACAAAGAAGACTAGAATTCTGATTATAGTTACTGTCTCAGACATAATGGAATCCTGGTCATTTACTGATATGATGTTTCCCTCTGTTTTCATGTTTACCAAAAGAGTAAATTTTGTGATGGAGACCCCAAAAAAAGAACTTCAGAGGGATCATTAACAAGTAATTTATTCCAGTAATTTTGTACCTAACTGCTATTATAAGTTGTACAGTAAAACATATGAAGTATACCCCTTAGATAGTAACCTGATATTGGAATGTCCTCTCCTTTCTATGCATAGCACCAAAAGCTCAAAGGAAGATATAAAGCTATTCTGCAAGTTTTAAAAGGATGGATTGAAGTGATGGGGAGATAGGGCTCCTTTTGTAACTGAAGAATTCTTATTGCTTTCCCATTGAGTTTTATTGCAGGGGACACGGCTGATCATTTTAGCCAACACACTTCCAGTAACCATGGGGTGACATGATTGATTAGTTAAATAGCAGAAATAACTGGAAGATCTCTTAGGAGCCCATTGTGGCCAAGGAAATGTCATCCAATTGTCCATTGGCTTATGTGGGGAAAGAAAGAAAGGCAGGGGGGAGCACAGGAATTGCCAACCCCACTGAGGCCCACCTATTAATGAGTAAAGCAGTAGGACTATATTTAAGAAAAAAGAGAACAATGACTCTGCAGTGGCAGAAATCTGTTCAGCATTTTCATAGCCCCAGTGAGGCTGGGGGTGAGAACAGAGGTAAGCCTGTTTATCTTCTGTGTGGGAATAGAGAGATCCAGAAAAAGAGATTCTTGCTCACCCACTCTCCGTGACTTTCTACCACTCTATCACATTTAGGCAAGGTATCCCCAAGGAAAAGGATCAAAGATAGTTATGACATTTAGATGTCAAAATAATGAATCATGCATTTTAAGAATATCTGGATTGAGTTGCTGGTAGGAATTTTAATCAATGCGCATTTTTTAGCAGAAAATTCTTTTCTCTGGAGACCCTCCCTTTTTTAGGCCAAGAGGCGATTAACTCCATAGTAGATTGTCTAGATCACTTTTCTACCTAACCTATAATCATTTAGTTAATTTCTATTTTATAAAACTAATCTCCCCTTTCTGTTTGTGGGCTTATTGCTAAGTTCTCTATGTAGTCAAGGAGTGTTTCACTTTAATAAAATTTCTAAAGTTTGGAAAATTTTCTATTGTTTTTTACTGGAGGCATAATTAACATAAAATAAAAGGCATAGGTCTCAAATATTTGGTCTGATGACTTTTAATAATTGTATATTCCCTAGTAACTATCATCCAAAACAAGATACAGAGCATTTTCATCACCCCAAAATATTTCCTTATGCCATTTCCAGTCACTCCTCATGCCTTCAGAAACAACCACTCTCAGACTTCAATCACCATAGATAAGTTTGGCCTGTTAATAGTAATTTCCCCTATTGGTAGCTCCATCTATTTATTTTTGTAATGGTGTCAGGTGTATTTGATGAAGTCATATATATATATATATATATTTTTTTTTTCTTTTATGGTTAGGGTTTTTGAGTGTTACCCGAGAAATCTTTGCCTACTCCAAATTTAAGAAGCCATTCTCCTTTCTTTTATTCTAGAAGCTTTATGGTCTAGGTTTTACATTCACATCTATGATCTAACTATAATTAATTTTTGTGTATAGAATGAGACAGGGATCTAATGTTTTTCATATGGCTATCCAGATGTTTCTATACAGTTTATCATTATTACTCTTACTAATTGAATTGACTTGGCACTGTGATCAAATGTTAATTGACCATATATGTATGAGCCTATTTCTGGCCTTTATATTTTATCGTATTAACCTGTATGGTTACACTTATACCAATAACAAACTGCTTTGATTTCAGTAGCTTTACAGTGATCTTGAAATCAGATACATAAATCCTAAAATTTTATTGTTCTTTTTCAAGGTTGTTATGGACTTTCTAGATTCTTGCATTTCTGTATAAAATAAATTTAAAGAATCAGCCATTTTTATATGGATGACATTGAATTTCTGTACTAATTTAGAAAGACATTCACAATATCAAAATTGGTATATCCATAAAGTTGAATTCATTTTTGAGGGACTTCTTGAATTTGTGTCAGCCATGTTTTAAAATGTTTGATGTAGTACTCTGGGATATGTTTGTTACATTTATTCCCAAGTTTTGATATTTTCTATGCTATTCAAAATAGTATTTAAATTTGATTCTTGGATTATTAGCTAACAATGTATAGAAATAAAATTGATATTTGAATGTCAATCTTGTACACTGTGATGTTAAATTCACTTTTGGTGTTATAGATTCAAGTAGTATTTTTATATGTATATGTAGAGTATGTTGTCTATGAATAAGGGAAGTTATATTTCTTGATTTAATAAATTTTGTTTATTTTTCTGGCTTTATTGCACTGGCTAGGACTTATGGGACAATTCTGAACATGCATGGTGAGAGTAAACACGCTTACCCTATTTACATCCTTAAAGTTGGAGTAAAGAGATACATGTTTCACTTAAGTATCATATTAGCTGCATGACTTTTGCAGATACACTTTATCTGATTCAGAAAATTATCTTCCTTTCCTAAAAATCTCACAGTTCCTTCCCTCTTTTCTGAGTAGGTCTTAAATTTTGTCAAAAGCTTTTCTGTATTTTTTTTTTTTTTTGAAATGGAGTCTCGCTCTGTTGCCCAGGCTGCAGTGCAGTGGCACGATCTCAGCTCCGTCTCCCGGGTTCAGGCCATTCTCCAACCTCAGCCTCCCAAGTAGCTGGGACTACAGGCACCGACGACCACGCCCGGCTAATTTTGTTTTTGCATTTTTAGTAGAGATGGGGTTTCACCATGTTAGCCAGGATTGTCTCAATCTCCTAACCTCATGATCCACCAGCCTCGTACTCCCAAAGTGCTGGGATTATAGAGACTTTTCTGTATTTATTGATACGATCATAAGATATTTTTATTCTGCTGATGTAGTATGTTACATGGATTCATTTTCTCATGTTACACCTTTTATTTCTACAATATACCACTCTTGTTCTTTTTAAGTTTACTTTTATATATTGCTGGATTTTTTTTCTAATATTTTGTTATGATGTCTGTCTTTATGCTCATGAAGAATGTTAATCCTTCATTGTTGATTTTTTAACATCTTCTAGATATCTTATAGTATTGGTCAACTCATAAAATAAATTGGAAAGTTTGTTCCTTCTTTGTATGCCAAAATGCTGAAAGAATAGTTGTTAGGTTAGTATTATTTCTTCCTTAAATGTTTTGTAGAATTCATTCCTGAAACCACATAGGACTGAAGTTATAACTGTGTGCGTACAACATGTGTGTGTATGTATGTAAAGGGTTTTACAGCAAATTCAATTTCTATGATGTATGATAGGCTATTTATTAATTTTCTCTTTTGTTTCTCCGAATTATATTTATTAAAGTTTCATAAATTTGGCCAGGCATGGTGGCTCTTGCCTGTAATCCCAGCACTTTGGGAGGCTGAGGCAGGCAGATCACAAGGTCAGGAAATCAAGACCATCCTGGCTAACATGGTGAAACCCCGTCTCTACTAAAAGTACAAAAAAAATTAGCTGGGCATGGTGGCGGGCACCTGTAGTCCCAGCTACTTGGGAGGCTGAGGTAGGAGAATGGCGTGAACCCTGGAGGCGGAGCTTGCAGCGAGCCGAGATCGCGCCACTGCACTCCAGCCTGGGTGACAGAGGGAGACTCCATCTCAAAAACAAAAAAAGTTTCATAAATTTTATTGAAATTTATAAATTTATATAACTTGCATACCTTGCATTTACCCAGTGTAATTGTATAATTTGAGGTTTTTATTTGTGTAAATATATACCTTTATGCAACCACAACTTTAATTTTACAACTGACCATCCCCCCAAAAATGCCTTCATGCCCATTTGAAGTCAAATCCAGTTTCTACTTCCAGGACATGGAATCACACAATGTGCAGCCTTTTATGTTTGGTTTCTTTCACTTATTTTGCATTTATCCATTTTTGTTGCATTTATCAGTAATTTGTCTCTTTTTTTATAGTACACTACTTTATGGATATGCAACATTTTGTTTATCGATTGACAAACTGAAGTATATTTAGAAGGTCTACAGCTCTTGGCAATAATAAATAATAGTGCTATGAACATTTGTGTATAAGTCTTTTTGTGGTCATGTTTTCATTTTTCTTGGTAAATGCCTACAAATGGAATTGTTGTATTTTATGGTAAATATATGAAGAAATTTTCAAATTGCTGCATCTTATTTTAAGTACATGTTTCCAAAGTGACACGATATTTTTGGTGAAATGTGTATTCAAATATTTTATCCATTTTAAAATTGTGTCTTTCATCTACTTGTTATTGATTTTCAAGACTTCTTTATATATATTGCATATAAGTATTTTACCATATATGTGATTTATAGCTAGTTTATCCCAGTATATGACTTATCTTTAATTTTCCTAATGGTATCTTTTGAAAAGCAGAAGATCTCAATTTTGATGAAACTCAATTAGTCAAATTTGTGTGTATGTGTTTGCGTGTAGAGTATGTTTATAGCATCATATCTAAGAAATCTTTACCTAACCAAAGGTCATATATTTTTTCTCATGTTTTCTTCTAGAGATTTTTTAGGTTTAGCTCATAAACTTATGCATATGACTTACTTTGAGTTAGGGTGTGGATTTTATGTGTGCTGTGAGCTAAAGGTATCAGTTTATTGTTTTAACATATGAATATCCAATTATTCCAGAATCATTTGTTGAAAAGAAAATCCTTTTCTTGATTGATTTATCTTGGCACATTTGTCAAAAACTTGATCAACCATGATTATATGGGTGTTTTTTGGCACTGTTTATTGGGTTACATTCTTATATTTGACTTCATGCCAATATCACATTATTTCAATTAGTATGATATTATTATAAATATTGAAATCAGGTAGTATAAGATCTTGAGCTTTGTTATTCTTTTTGAAGTTGTTTTAGCTTTTTAGGATTCACTGATTTTTCACATAAATGTCAGAATCAGCTTGCCAATTGATTTCTGCCCAAAAAGGGGGATAGTGAAGCTGCTGGTATATAATCTGTATCAAATCTTTCCACTATCTTCTCACTTGCATTATTTATGATGAAATATCTGTAGTCATCCTCATCTTTGCCCTCTGTTCCTAACAAGCCTTTTTTCTCCCTGGCTGCTTTTAAGATTTTTGATTTATCAGTGGTTTTGAGCAATTTTATTTTAAAATCTTTGGTGTAGTTTGCTTTCTGTTTCTTTTACTTGCAGTTCATTGAGGTTCTTGCGTCTGTGAATTTATAATTCTCACCAAATTTGGAAATGTTTTGGACATTATTTCTTCTAATGTCTTTTCTTTTTAGTAGTTAATCCTCACCATCCTCCCCAGTAACTAGATACATTCTAAGAAAAGGAATTATGTCTTTATTGCAGCACTGTGACACCATGATTAACCCAGGGCCTAGTACATATGACTCGTTGACCATTATCTGAATAAACTAATATATGTATTTCCAAGCAATAAAGATACCATTTGTTTTACTCACTCATTTTGCTTTGGCAGTGTGTATCTGAATATTACTATCTTTGGTTAGACACAATTAAGTGATTATATGTCACCAGTTTGGATTAATATAATTATCAGTCTTTCCCAAATTACCTCCCACCATCTCAGTCCAGGACACTACAACGTGACTTCTCCATTTATCCTTGTATTTCTTTAAAGTCATTGTCACTCCTGTATACAAAAGGATCATGATAGAAAAAGGAAAAAGTGAGAGAAAAAGAAGTAAAGGGAGAGGAGAAGAGGGGAGATTCAGTTGGACTCTTCCTTTCAATGCTCTTATGATCAATATAAAATGTTCTGACTTTCACATTCACAATGCTACACTTAGAGAAATTTTAATAACATTTTTATGTATCAAAATAGTCAAATATTTGTTCATGTTAAGGACAATACACATGTAGAAATAGATGCTTCTTGGGAATGTGCCAATTATATTAATAACACTAGCTAACATTTATTGATCACTTATTATACCATTGGCATGGTAACAAGTACTTGATTTACTTATTACTTGCAACAATATTATAAATTATGTACTATTGAGACAGCCAAATGCCTTGGCAGATAAAAAGGGGTCCCCAGAGAATCTCCAACCCACACTGCATGTGTTAACATCAGGTGCTTTTGTGTACATGAGGGAACCTGCCGAGGGCCTTGTCTGAGCATGCCCACATGTGCACTGGGGTGGAGTGCACCCATTGGGGTGGAGCCACAAGCTGAGAGAGGAGCCTGGCCTCTTTAGTTCCTGTGTGGTGGCCTGGAATAAATCTGTGAGGTGGGGGACCTAGCAGCAGGATTCCATCTTGCTTTGCTGAGGTATTATTATTTTTTGCTTTTTTTTGCCCAGTAAAATCCTGTTCTACTCACCCTTCGATGTGTCTATGTGTCTACATTTACTGGTCATGTGACAAGAACCTGATTTTAGCTGAACTAAGGAGCAAAATTTTGCAACATTTTGGCACCCAATGTGGGGCTTGAGAAAGGGTGAATAAGGTGTGAACCAAAATATCTTTTGCTTTTTTGCTTTTGAGCCTTTTTGTCCTCTGACTTCTTCTGAGGGTAGAAGAAACTGTGCACCACCCCACCCCACCCCAATGACTGCAGGCACCAGCGGCTCCCCCACCCGCCTCCCAGCTGGGGTTAGGAACCCATTTGTACAAGAATAAGAGATATTGCCCCCAGGCTCAACACTGCACTTTAAACTTTTTTCTACCTTTCCTCTAACCCTGAAAGAAGTTAGCACAGTCCTGCACTTTAAGCTTTTCTTTTTTCTTACATCAGGTCAGGAGTTAACTTTTTTTTTTTTCTTTTGAGAGGGAGTCTTGCTCTGTCGCCAGGCTGGAATGCAGTGGCACAATCTCGGCTCACTGTAACCTCCGCCTCCTGGGTTCAAATGATTCTCCTGCCTCAGCCTCCCGAGTAGCTGGGATTACAGGTGCGTGCCACTACGCCTGGCTAGTTTTTCTATTTTTAGTAGAGATGGGGTTTCACTCATTAGCCAGGCTGGTCTCAATCTCCTGACCTCATGATCCCAAAGGTGGGATTATGACCTCATGACCTGATGATTTCCGACCTCAGCCTCCCAAAGTGCTAGGATTACAGGTGTGAGCCACCACGCCTGGCCAGGAGTTAACTTTTAAGAGAGAGGTTTTTTTTCTTTTTAGAAGATGTTTTACTAGGCTAGGTAAGATAAGAATCACTGTTTGTATCCTCTGTAAAGTTTTAATTATGAAAACGGATTTGTGAGGTTGGTCTTAAGCTGTAGCCAATCTGATGTGCTTTGCGTGACTTTCTGTATGGTCAGTAGGAAACTTTGCTGCAGGCTTCCATCTAGTTTTATGTTCTTGGGAATGTGACCCGTAACCACGTGGCCATGTTTTGTTTAGCCTCCATTGTTTTACAATGGCGGCCAAGTTCAATCTTGGCTTAGGGAATGAGTCCTTTCTGGTTTGATATCTGCATAACTTTTGCTGTTTATTCTCTTCCCCTCCGTGAACCACCTTGTATTTTCATTTCTCCGAGCACCTGGGGGTCACCTTTGGTAAAGCCAGAAATATTGTCCACTTGGTGCAGCTAAGGTCAAGTAACAAGGGATTTAAAAGGATTTTCTTAAAGAGCATGCAGCCTAATTAAAAGTGGATATCCAAGTTACAGGTATATTTAAAAGGCCTTTATATTTTATTTTCTTGAATCTTGTTTTGCTGGCAAAAGGGTTTTTTCTCAGTCAACTGAATTCTTTTTCTCCATTTTGTCTTGCCACTCTTAATGCATGCATGAGAAGCCAACAATTCAATCAGGAGATCGGCAAATGAAAAATCTTATGGCTACCGGTTTTTTCCTGCCTGTTTGTGTAGTTATATATGTGTTGTGTGTGTGATGTCTATAAAAAGAACTCTAGTTAATTGGCCTAAAGGAAGACAAGTGCTTGGATCGAATGTTTTTAAAGGGAAGATAAAAGCTGTGGTACCTTTCAGTTCCTGTTACTTTAATCTTTGAAAAATAAAAACAACCTTAAAGATTATTGGTAAAATGCAGATGTCACCAAAATGTAAATAGGTAGACTAAATTATGTAGGTCAGTTACTAGGTTTGATAAATTGTTTAAGGTTAGAAACTGCTTTTTTTGGTTTTTGAGAACTGTTTGACTTGCCTGCTTAACAATTGGTAAGGCCTGGGACATATGGAATTAACCACGCCCTTAATTGTTCTAGAAGGAGTCAAACTTTGGCTGCACCTTATACATAATTAAAACAACTTACCAGGTTTTACATTAAAGTTAAAAATTGCTAGGAGTTACCAATATAACATGTAATTGAGAGTACTGGAAATAGATTTACATATGAAGTGTGTAAGAACAATAAGATGTATATTTAGTAAAAGGTTATAAGAAGGCGGGGAGATGTAAATTCTTGCCTAGAGTTGGTTGAAGGATTGTTTTGAATTAGATAAGATAAAGCTGAAGGTTTAAACAAGTGATGGAAGGACTGTAAAAATCAATCTTGCAAAAATTCTGTGTGTGGATATATTGACTACATTCAAAGGGTATAATATGGGTTTTCTGTAAATTGAGCATTGAAAGAAAACACAACTAGTTACTTTTAAGGTGCTAATCTGCTCTTTAGCAAAATTTGTAAAGGGTTTTATTTTTTGCTTTTTAAAATTTCTGAATCATCATTTTGGCAAGATAAATAATTTAGAGTCATCTCAAATTCTATTTCTTTTTTTTTTTTTTTTTTTTTTTTTTTTGGAGACGGAGTCTCGCTCTGTCGCCCAGGCTGGAGTGCAGTGGCGGGATCTCGGCTCACTGCAAGCTCCGCCTCCCGGGTTCATGCCATTCTCCTGCCTCAGCCTCCCGAGTAGCTGGGACTACAGGCGCCCGCCACTACGCCCGGCTAATTTTTTGTATTTTTAGTAGAGACAGGGTTTCACTGTTTTAGCCAGGATGGTCTCCTGACCTCGTGATCCGCCCGCCTCGGCCTCCCAAAGTGCTGGGATTACAGGCGTGAGCCACCGCGCCCGGCCTCAAATTCTATTTCATAGCATCAAGTGTCAAACCTCTAACATATTTAATAGACTTCTCAATATCAACCTTCAGTTTCAAAATTGTCTTTCCTAATGCCTGGCTTTTGGATGCTACAGAGCACCCCTGGAGTTTCCAAAAGAGAGGTAGACAGGAGTATTTGACATGTTTAGTTACATGAGATTGCCAAAATGGTGTTCAATCTTATTTAGGTTACATTTGGGTGAATAATACTAATATATGTTCCAAAATTTAATGACATTTCTAAAATTCTAATGTCTGAGTATATGCTATCAATCACAAGGTTGTTATGTTATTGTGTACCATAGAGATAAACAAATTTATGTGCCAATTGTGATTCTGACTATAACCATCCTGGACATTTTGTGCTTCACAGATAATTGTCTTGTTTTGATCCTCTTCAAAGCATGGTTTATAATCAACTATAGAACTTTGACAGATGCTCTCAAATGCAGATTTCTGATAATTTTGGAGATTGTAACACTAGAATAAAGGAAAAATGTACAGGACTCAACTCATGAAGAGCTGAAATGTTCACAAATATCAAGCAAAATAAAAATTAACTGAGTGGACTGAACTAATAGAAAACTGAATTAATCTTTTTTACTTTTGCTTGGAATATTGCTGATCCTTGTTTTGTTTTTCAGTAAGTCAAGGAAACTTATTTTGGGCTATTTACAGCCTTTAATAATTAATAAAGCTATACTCCTGTCTAAACAAAATTTGGAGCATGTTTGTTTCTCTCTGCCTGGTTCCTCTAGAATGTGACAACTATCTGTGAGTATTTTTAACTTATGGCAATATAGTTGTTTGCCTCAGTGTAATAAGAATGCATTCTCTTTTGTAACAGGGCACATTTGGAGAAACTGGTTGTTTTACCAAGGCTTTGACTGGAAGAGTATATTTCCCTTTAAGGAGACAAGCTCAACTTTCAGAGCCGATAAGAGCCTGTTGGAAAAACTGGCCTCCTACCCTTGTTTACACAGTCCCTGTACAGGGTTCCTAACTTGCTGTGGGTAAAGATTGTCACTTTTCAACAGGCCCAGGAACCACATGCTCTTGGAACCTCAAAAAGAGAGGAGTTTACACAACTTACAGGTATTTGCAGATACAAACCCATGGCTGGGCTAGGCTTTAAAAGGTCTTATCTAAGATTCCTTGTGGAACAGAACAAAGTCAATCTAAAAGACCTACATAGAAATAATTATTCTTGCTGCACATTGTATAAATAAAAAGGCCAAGTGTAAGACTAAAGTATATTTTGCAAAACAACACAGTCCTATCATGATCTGTTTTTAACAGAAATGAGGACTAGAGAGAGACAAATTATGTTGCACAACATATCATACATTTGTCATTAAATTCTAGACTCAGTTGTTTTTTAAATTTTTGCCTACATTTTAAACCAACTGTGCTTATTCCTGTAAACCAACCAGCAATTTGCAGCTGCAGCTCAAAAGGAACAAGAGGGATTGTTAATGTAAAAATCTGGATCAATATTCTAGTTCTGAGCAACTATCCTGCAAATCTTGCCAGTTTATGGATATAAATAGGGTGCACATTACCTGGAGGTTTCCTTTTTGGGAAAGTAAGACCAAGGGAGCTAACCAAAGTCAAGCTCCACGCATGCAAATCTTAACAACATGACTATAGCCACCAGATATCTGGGCACGTCACAAGAGATCCTTTTCTCTCCCTTGTTGGGGGAGGACTCAATTCCACAGCTTCACCTTAGCATTTGGCTTATGAGAAGGAGTCCATACAACACCCCCAAAACACATTTTTGGCCCAAACTCAATTCCAAGCTTCAGGTGAAAGCCCTAGGAAAGAGAAGTAGATCTGAGGGATCCAGAGGCAGATGATAATGGAAGTTAAAAGGCATAGAGCAGGTGAGCATGACTAATTCCTGCCGATTAAGCCAAGCTTTGTGTTTCATGGATAAAGATCATGCTAGTATCCATGGCATAAATGAGGTCTAGGGAATTCAAAGGCTACTGACAGCAGGGGAGGTGGGGTGTATGTGGGTAAGAGCAGATATTCTCACCCTTGTACCTCCTGTTAACATGGGTGAAATCTGCTTTGACACCCTGGGTGGCACTCTGTTGTGGTTGCCAGGACTCGGGAATACAAGGATGTAGGAAAGGAAGAAGATTACCTAGTTTTCTCTCCCTCAAGTACCCTGGGTATTTGCTAGGAAGAGAAAGAAACCAGAGATGCCTGCTCCCCACTTCCTAGATAAATAGCCATTCATCTTCAGTCTGTACCACTTTCAAATGTATCCTGAACCCCTGAGACTCCTCTGAAAAAAATGCCTTCTTTTTTCCTTTTTATTCCTCTGTCCCCTCTTCACTAATAAGTAATTGTGTCTCTGTACTATGGGAAACTTCCCTCAGATGCATCCTCCAAATTGGGAAGAGTTAATTTCCCAAACCTTACACTGGTTGGCTTAGGATTGGGCTCAGGAGAATGGAACCCAGAAGCCTGACATGACAGCAAAAGGGTAAATGGTTTTGTTTTGTTTTGTTTCTACCAGTTATGCTTTTGGCCTCCATTTCCCTGTGCAAACTGGTAAAAAGGCATCAGGATTTTTCAGCTGTACTTACCCCACATTTATTTTTGATACTTGTTTTCTAATAACCCAGTTTGTCTCTTGTCACATTCAGGCCATCAAACTCCAAACAGTCATGCAACCGGAGCCTCAGACGATAGCCCCTTCTGCTGGGGACCCTTAGATAGGCCTCTCAGGGAGCTCTAACTCCCGTTTTCCAAAAACAGAACCCCCTGTTGGCAGGGAGCTGTTAAGATCAGTCTTTATCCTTATCCTTATCCTTATCCTTATCCTTATCCTTATCCTTATCCTTATCCTTATCCTTATCCTTATCCTTATCCTTATTCTAATGGCAGTTAGATGTACATCTTTCAAGCAGAGAATGAGACAGCCAAATGCCTAGGCAGATAAAAAGAGATTCCTGGAGAATCTCTGACCCACCCCACAAGTGTTTACATCAGATGCTTTTGTACAGATGAGGGAACTGCCCAGGGACTTGTCTGAGCATGCCACATGCACGCTGGGGGAAAAGGTGGAGCCATAGGCTTGGGGAGGAGCCTGGCCTCTTCAGTTCCTGTGTTGTGGCCTGGAATCTATCTGTGAGGTGGAGGACCTGTACTCCATCTCACTTTGCTGAGTTTTTTTCTTTTTTCCCCTTTTTGCCCAGTAAAATTCTGCTCCATTCACCCTTCAATGTGTCTGTGTGCCTAAATTTTCCGATTATGTGACAAAAACCCAGTTTTAGCTGAACTGAGGAGCAAAATTCTGCAACACTATTATGATTCCTGTTTTAGGGAGGAGGAAGCTAAGCTGCAGATAAGTAAATTGCAGAAGGTCATACAACTTGCAAATGACAGAGCTGAGATAAAACTTGATGTGATGCAAGTCAAAGTTTGTTACTTGCACCTATTCTGAGAAACTACACCTTTACACAACAGAATACAATTTTCTACTATAAAATATTTCTTTATTTTCTTAAAAGGTGAAAACAAGGATACATATTATTATATCTCGGATTCTGTTGAAATATATTTGCCACAAAGAGATTCTGAGTCAGTTATTGACATATTTTATTCACGTATATTTGTAAAGAACATTTCTTATTTTCTTATCTTTTTATGTGTATATGTTTATTTAGTAAAGCATGCTCAACATGTACTTGATTTCCTTAAAAACTTTTATATAATCATTTTAGAAATAAACTTTGTATTCTAGAACCGTTTTAGATTTATAGAAAAATTACAAAAGTATACAGAGTGTTTTCCTATACATCAGTCAAGAGTCCCATATTATACTATTATGGTTTGTTTGTCACAGTTGATTAATTTATATTATCAATATCTACTTCATATTGTTATAAACTAAAGCCCATACTTTATTCATGCTTCCATGATTTTTTACCTAATGTTCTTTTTGTTTCAGGGTCCCATAAGGGTACCATATTCATATAGTTATCATATTATATCTCCTTTGATTCATTTTGGCTGTAAAAGTTTCTCAAACTTTTCTTGGTTTTGATGACCTTAACAGTTTTGAGGACTACTGGTCAGGTATATTTTCAGATCTGTGATAGGATGCCCCTCTATTGGAATTGGTCTGATGTTTTTCTCGTAAGTAGAATGAGGTTACTGTTTTTAAGGGAAGGCCAGAAAGCTTAAGTGTCATTTTAATCACAGCATATCAAGGGTACATACTATCAATATGGTTTATTACTTTTGATGTTGACCTTGGCTACATTGCTGAAGTAGTGTTTGTCAGGATTCTCTGTAGTAAAGTTGTTGTACCCACTTTCCTTTTCATGCTGTACATTTTGGAAGGAAGTCACTATGTGTGGTTACATTTAAGAAGGAGTGAAGTGTCTACATAAATTATTTTTATTCTTCTGCATACGAAATTTGTTTATTTTTCCATTTATTCAGTATTAATATCCTTTATTTATTACTAATATCACAGTGAGGTAATTGATATTTATTTTATAGTTTGAGTTATTTTCTTTCTTTTTTTTTTTCTGAGATGGAGTTTTGCTCTTGTTGCCCAGGCTGGAGTGCAATGGCACAACCTCGACTCACTGCAACCTCTGCCTCTTGGGTTCAAGTGATTCTCCTACCTCAGCCTCCTGAGTAGCTGGGATTACAGGTATGCGCCACCACACCTGGCTAATTTTGTATTTTTAGTAGAGATGGGATTTCACCACATTGATTAGGCTGGTCCAAACTCCTGACCTCAGGTGATCCGCCTGCCCTGGCCTCCTAAAGTGCTGGGATTACAGGCGTGAGCCATCACGCTCAGTCTGAGTTATTTTCTAATACACCTTTATTTATTTTGGTGCACAAAATGTTCCAGGTTTGGTGATTCAGAATTCTTTCAGATGGTTCCTGTGTCCTTTTCACATACACCCATCACTATTTTTTTGAGCACTTCCTTATTTGCTGGCACTTAGAAGATGCTCCAGTGAATCTTGTAAATTGCCTGTCCTAGTCCTAGGATCCTCATTTCCTGAGGAGTCCTGGTTCTTTTATTGGAGAAGAGTGTTAGAAACCAAGCTTGCAGTGCGAGGTGCACTTGTTGCTACTGAAGTGTTATTTTTAGCTCCTCTCAGCTGAGAGTTCAAAAAAATACATGCATGTATACTAACTGATATACAGTCATGAGTCACTTAATGACAGGGATACATTCTGAGGAATGTGTCATTAAGCAATTTTCTCATTGTGTGAACATCATAGAGTGCACTTACACAAACCTAGATTGTATAGTCTACTACATACCTATGCTATATAGTACACTATATAGTATGTTTATATAGTATGTAAACCTGTACAGCATGTTACTGTACTATTTCCTATAGGAATTTGTAACACAATGGTAAGCATTTATGTATCTTAACATATCCAGACATAGAAAAGTTACAGTAATAATATGATATAAAAGACTACAAAAGATACAGTAGTGTAGGGAACTTACCATGAATGGAGCTTGCAGGACTGGAAATTGTTCTGTGTGAGTCAGTGAGTGAAAAGTGAGTGAATATGAAGGCTGAGGACATTACTGTATATATACTACTGTAGTAGACTTTATAAACACTGTACCCTTAGACTACACTAAATTAATTAAAAATATTTTTTATTCAACAATAAGTTAACCTTAGCTCACTGTTATGTTTTTACTTTATAAACTTTTTAATTTTTTAAAACTTTTTGATTATTTTGTAATAAACTTTAGCTTAAAACACAAACACGTTGTACAGCTGTACAAAAATATTTATTTATATCCTTATTCTATAAGCTCTTTTCTATTTAAAATTTTTTATTTTTATTTTTTACATTTTAAACTTTTTATTAAAAACTAATACTGAAACACACGCATTAGCCTAGGCCTACACGGGGTCAGGATCATCAATATCAATGTCTTCCACCTGCACAACTTGTTTCACTGGGAGTCTTCAGGGGCAATAACATGCATAGATCTGTCATCTCCTATGACAGCAATGCCTTCTTCTGGATACTCCCTGAAGGACATGCCTGAGCCTGTTTTACAGTTAACTTTCAAAAATAAGTATGAGTGCACTATAAAATACCAGTAATAAGTATAACATAGTAAATACATAAACCAGTAACACAGTCATTTATTGGTATTATCAAGTATTATATACTGTACATAATTATATGTGCGATATACTTTTATACAACTGGCAGTGTAGTAGCTTTGTTTATACCAGCAGCACCAAAACACATGAGTAATTCACTGCTCTTCGATGTTATAACAGCAATAATGTCACTGGGCAATGGAAATTTTTCAGCTCCATTATGATCTTATGGGACCACCCATATTATAATATATGCAGTCTGTCATTGACCAAAACACTATTATGCAGTACATGACTTATATCCAGATCTCTGTAAACATTTTTGGATGCAGTAATCTATATCTATATTAAGGCAAACATGAGTTCATATTTATGTCTCCAACTCTTAATTCATTTCCACATGGATCATTCTATCATTCTCTTCTTACTTATTTATGACCTCCCACTACAACAATGAGAAGCTTGGTTCCCACCATCTGTCATCTATTTACTTGAATTGTTCAATTCTAGTATACATGCATAGCTATATCAGATATTATTTCAGCTATCTTATGGCTCCTAACAATTAGGAGTTGGCCTCTTGTCCTAAACTTTGTGACTACAGCAACTTATGCTACTATGCTATCCACCCCTCAGTGAATAACAGTACTTATGATCATCCTCAGCCATCTTTTTCTTTCTTTTCCTCCTAATAAGAAATACTACGCCTTGAAATTCCTGCGGCAATAAAGAATGTTGAACCACAAACTCCTAATGGCAAAACAACAAAAACCTATCCACATTCATTTTACAAAATAAGTCATTTCTACTTATAGGCATGTAAAAACAGCACCAGCTCAGACTCTGTCCTGCCCCAACACTTTTGAAATACATTGAATATGAAGAGGTTATGACTATGTCTGTCTCTGAAAATGTTGCCTTTCTTCATTAAGTACACAATTAACACAAATGTAATAGTAGGCACATGCATAATTGAGTTCAAAAACCTCAGTTTGGAGTTCAGATCGATGCCACCAAATCTCTCTCCTGTGTGATGTACTTCTTTATAATTTTGTTAGCATGCCAGATGTTTTATTAATATTTTATAACAGAAATTAAATGTCTTGAGATTTCAAAATCATCACAAACTGCTCCAGCTCCACTCTGTTGGTTATTATAATGTCATCAAAATCCTTTCATATATGTGTAGAAACCTCCTTACTGGAACTAGTTTTAGTTCCCAGTTTGTACATATACAGAAAGGGGAAACCCTGTGACATTCAATTTTAATGACATTGAAGATTTGGAAGGGTGTTTTGGAAATCTGTGTACATTTTTGTCTTCTGGGTGGTTCCCATGAAGAATATTCAGCACCTTTTTTTTGTTTGTTTAAGGAATCAAACCTCTTGAGTTTTATTTTTTTAATCTGGCCTCCTCGTTAAAAATTGACTAGGAAAAGATTACAATAGAATGAATATAAATAGCAGCTATAGAATACATTCTGCCAAGAATAAATCCTGTGTTAGAATAGTTGATATATTAAAGCTGCTTTATAGAAAAAAATACTTTGGCACTTCTTACTCAGTGAAGATCCCACTCTCTCTTTCATTGAAACTAGGAACTGTATATATATGAACAGACAGAAATGGGAAATTAAGGCATATATCAAAAAAATCCTTTCAAATGAACGTCTTTATATAACAGCAGCCCAATAATTACTTTTGAATAGAAGAATATTTAGGAAATATATTAATAAAGTTAGTTGTTATACTAGATATACGGATAAAGAGTTTTATTCTTCAAGCTTTTCACCCTAAAAATATTTAAACAAAACTAAAAGCTAAGGAATAAACACATATATTTTCCACCTAGATTCAATAATTATTGGTGATGTATTGTTAATTTAGCACTCGTTCTGTATGTATTTATGTATTTGTGTGTAAATAGCTTTAGCTATAAGTTTGCAAGTTTGTGTGAAGAGCTCTTTTATTGTCCCCATTTCACTGTGGCATGGAGTTCGAGGGTGTAGTTAGCCTCAGAGAGGATTTAGAAGGCAGCTGTAACATCAGAGGCAGTGTTCTTGCAACTTACTTTTCTAAGCATATAACCCAAAGAGCTAAAATGATATATAAAAGATATATCAAGACATGTGCTACTACTATACAACTGTGTACTATATTAGTACAGTAGCAAATTTATATATTATCAAACATAAATAAAATACAAATTATAAAGTTCTAAAGATTAACTAAGATTCTGGGTGTGGGTGTGTTGGCTCACGCCTGAAATCCCAGCACTTTGGGAGGCCGAGGCGGGTGGGTCACCTGAGGTCAGGAGTTCGAGATCAGCCTGGCTAACATGGTGAAACCCTGTCTCTACTAAAAATACAAAATTAGCTGGGTGTGGTGGCGCATGCCTGTAATCACAGCTACTCAGGAGGCTGAGGCAGGAGAATCGCTTGAACCTGGAAGGCAGAGAGAGGTTGCAGTGAGCCGGGATCACGCCACTGCCCTCCATCCAGCACTCCAGCCTGGGCAACAGTGACACTCCATCTAAAAAAAAAAAAAAAAAAGATTAAGATACATTTATTTTTTATTTTTAGTTAACTTATTAACAATAGCAAGTATTTCTGTTCTCATTAAAATATCAAATAATCAATATTAGTTTTTAGTGAAAGCACTGTAATTAAAATTAGTTTATTTTTTTAAAAGCTCATTTAATTCTAAATTAACTAATTAACTAAATTAGAACTAGAGCTACTTTTGTTCTAAATTAAACTGACTTCAAGTCCAGTTTCTAATGGTTTTAGAGCTGAAAAGTTACTTCAAAAAGATACATACAACTAATGTGAAAGGTTTCATTGGATACATCGTGATACACATATTTCAACCATATTTGCCAGTGATGTGAAGAGTTCTGTAGAAGTTCAGCTAATATTTCCATCTTCTCCAGTGCCAACCAGTTGCTTTAGCAAACTACTTGCCAACTGGAAGATGTTAGATTTTAATAATTTTAGCAAATTGGTTAAAAAGACATTTCTGAAATTTTCATTTGGAAGATAAGAGGTTAGAAATACTGTTTCCACTTTTTTTTAATTGGCCATGTATGGCAATCTTTTTACCAGAGTTGAAGTAATTATCATTTCGAAAACAGAACTGCGTAATAATAGTAACATTTTAAACATGTTCCTTTATACTATGAGATTCTTAGATTCTTTTGAAAAAGAAGTTATTTTTCTCAATTATTGTTAAAATGGTATCTATCCCATTTAGTTAAATAAGTAACTAGGTACATATATTTTTATTTCTTCAAATGTCTGTAGACAACATACTGCTGACAGTGTTACCATATAAAAGACCTATAAAATTGAAACAAATGTATTTTTATTAAAAAAAAAAAGAAGCATATAACTCATCTTTAAGCTCAATGACTTTTTAAAGTACTTCACTATTGGATCTTCAAACTGCTGTGTGGTACAAAAGGTTTTCAATGTTACTTCTGATATCTTTACAAAGTGTTACAAGGATTCTACCATTTAAAACAGTATATTCCATGAAGCCAGTACACTCAATAACTTGAATCAATGAGTTAGAGGACTATCAGGGCTTTCATGTTGTATAACTTCTTTTCTTCTCTTCCCCAGGTTACTTCACATTGTCTCCATGTATATATACCAGCATCACTCTACATATTAAATAATAGGGAAGTATCCTTTTTTCCATTTTCCTTTTTTATTAAAAAACCTATAAATATGAAAAATCTAATATTTATTTGCAGCTCCTCAACACGTGATCTTACGTGTTCCCTGGGATATGTGCATCTTTTTGTTGGCGACCATAGATGTAAAAGATATTTGCAAAAGATATTTCAAACTTGGGTGTAATTCAAGCAGTCTCCAATAGCAGAGACAATATGCCTTGAAGAACACCTATGTCAGGAAGGCTCACCCTGCAACAGTTCTCAGGAAGATCTTTCCAGGAGATCTGCCCGGGAAGAGCAGACATGCAACAGATTCAATCCTGTGGGAAGATTACTCTGTCAAGAAAGAGCAAGGATAGCCATTCACAGGATTGCACCATGAGGCTCATGGATTAGAAATTAAGATGATAGCAATGAGATCAAGAGTGTTAAAAGCAGGAGCAGAGTGTAGTTGTGGGGCTTGCCTGCAATATCTGATTGGGCATTAGCTCACAGTGGAGAAGTCTGATGGGAGAGGAGTGCAAAGGAATGAAGGAACATAATATCCATGGTTGGCTTTGGATCCCAAGTATGACTCTGTTGCAAGACCCATTGGAAGTTATAATAGAGGTTGTGCTACATACTTCTTCCATCAGTCTGGATTGGCTCTGAATTGAAGATAATTATTCCTGCAGTATGTAGAGAAAGAGCCAAGAAAGAGATTGATTACAAATGGAAGATAATTGCATTAACATTTTGTGAGATATTATTTAAAATGTTTGTCAACCATAAAAGGTAGTATGGTGAAATCTGCCAACTTAGTTAAGCTTCATATTTCAGTGTAACTGTCAAGTTAGCTTATATGCTGATCTTTATCTGTTAGATTATTTAGTAGTATCTAGGTATCTACTAGATTTCCTAAAGGCAGTCAGTCACAGGGGCTTCCAAATAAAAAATACTTCAGATTATGACCTGGATTTGAGACAAAATTCCACCATTCACTATCTGTGTGAACTAAGGAAGTTGTTTATTTATTGTGAACCAAAGTTTCTTTCTTTCTTTCTTTCTTTTTTGACAAAATCTCACTCTGTCACCCAGGCTGGAGTGCAGTGATATGATCTCAGCTCACTGCAACATGTGCCTATCTGCCTCCTGGGCTCAAGTGATTCTCGTGCCTCAGCCTACCTAGTAGCTGGGATTACAGGTGTGTAGGTGTGTGCCACCACTCCCTGGCTATTTTTTGTATTTTCAGTAGAGATGGAGTTTTTTCCATGTTGGCCAGGCTGGTCCCGAATTCCTGGCCTCAAGTGATCTGCCTGTCTTGAGCTCCCAAAGTGTGGGGATTACAGGTGTGAGCCACCCCACTCAGCTCCCTCAGTTTCTTTAAGTGTGAGGTGAAGATAATAATCTGTATCTCATAGCTTTCCTCTGAAGATTAACTATATTATTTTAAAAGATTTTTAACACAGTGTTTGACATACACTAAGTGCTTAATAACTGATAGCTATTATTAATATTATTTTTAAAGCCTCAGTATTCTATGAATGAAAGAACAAATATATCTAATCTCAAATGTTTATATTTTGAAAACTATCTAGGCTTACACTGATCTTATTCATGCAATAAAGAGGATAGTTCTGGAGACTGCGCATTCAGGGAAGACAGAATGGGTTAGATGTACTTTCCTATTCCTGCTGATAAGTACAGTTAAAAATCCTGGACATCTTATATACACAAAAATATAAAAATGTTGAAAGGTGAAAAGGAAGAAGTAAATTGGCTTGAGAATTTGGGGACCCAAGGGACAGTACATAAATGAGTTCCCTGGATTTTGTATTTTGGTTTTTGTCTCATATATCCTAGACAGGGTATTAAAGAAGCAGACTACCAAGAGATGCCAAGGTGCAGAAAAAAAGCACCAGCAAAGGTCTACTGTCTCTAAGCAAAGGACCAGGAAAGGGACAGCCAAGGAAGACACAACACTTACTGTGCTATGCCAGCCAAATACCCCAAGAAGAAACCCATGGCTCTGTCCCTACTCATGCCAACAAAGACCATGTGGGCATCCTGGACATCTATTTTTTTTTTTTTTTTTTGAGACGGAGTCTCACCCTGTTGCCCAGGCTGGAGTGCAATGGCATGATCTCGGCTCACTGCAACTTCTGCCTCCTGGGTTCAAGCGATTCTCCTGACCCAGCCTCCGGAGTAGCTGGGATTACAGGTGTGTGCCACCACACCCAGATAATTTTTTGTATCTTTAGTAGAGACGGGGTTCCACCATGTTGGCCAAGCTGGTCTCAAACTCCTGACCTTGTGATCCACCTGCCTCAGCCTCCCAGAGTGCTGGGATTACAGGCGTGAGCCACTGCACCCGGCCTGGATGTCTATTCTTACCTGAATATGATGAGGTGCCCCAAGACCTCTTATTCCTACGCCTCCCAAACCCTTATGCCAGGGTTGTATCAGAAAAAGCTAATTGGGGCCTGAGACTTTCATCCATGCCAGGTGTTGAGAAGGTTCCCCTATCCCTGCAGTGTCAGTAGAGACCACATGGGGAGCCTGTACCCTCACCTTCAACTGGTGGTAACAAGGCATCCTTTCTTTTCCCTACTGGTGTGGTGTTGGAGTAGGCCTAAGGAAGAGCTTAGGCTTTTACTAGGGCTTGGGTATAATATCCAAATCCTCATGATGGAGGTCACATGGGGGGCCTGAACTTCCAGCCCATGCATTAGTAACAAGGAGTACCCTCCTCTCATCCACCCAGGTGTTATAGGAATCTGAGTCTAGGCATAACATTATATATACATAGCTTACCACAGTTTTCTAGTGTTGAAATTTTATCAGTTCAAGTAAAGTGTAGAAACCATATTTTACATCCCTTTACCCTCCCCCATTTATAATAAATTGTTTTAAATAATATCTATTATCTCTGTATATAGTAGAGAGTTATTGAGAGCCACTGTAAGCAGTGTTTATGCTGTGTTTATAGCTGAGACTATGCCTAGACTTCCACCTCATTTGGCAGTAAGGAGGCAGAGTCAACCTTTACCCCACAGGAGAGGTGGGTCAAAGTGTTGCTAAAACACAGGATTTAAATAAGAACCAGAGTCTCATAGAATAACATAAAAATGTTGGGTATTCATCAAAAGTTATCATACCCAAGAACAAGAACATCTTTACTTACATACGAAAATGTAATCAACAGATGCCAACACTGAGATGGCACAGATGTTGGAATTATCTGCCAAAGATTTTAAAGCAGTCCTCGCAAAAAATGCTTCAACAATCGATTGTAAACATGCTTGGAACAAATGAAAAAATGGGAAGTCTCAGCAAGACATAGAAGATATGAATAAGAACCTAAAGGAAATGTTAGAACTAAAATATACAATAACTAACATTAAAAATTAAATGGATAGGTTCAATAGCAGAATGGAGAAAACAGACAAGAAACAGTGAACTTGAAAATAGAACAATAGAAATCACAATCAGAACAAGAAAGAGAAAATAGACTAACAAGAGCTGAACGGGGACTCAGGGTATGTAAGACTTTAACAAAAGCCATAACCTTCAGTGTTGGCATTCCAGAAGGACAGAAGAAAAAGAATGGACTTGAGAAATTATTTGAAGAAATGATGACTGAAAACTTCCCAAATTGGCAAAAGAAAAAGAAAGTCTGCAGATTGAAGAAGGTGTGTGAACCTCAAACTCAAATAAATCCATGTTAAAGCACATCAATAGTTAAATTTATGAAAACAAAATACAAAGAAAAAACTCTTGGAAGTATCAAGAAACTGATACATGACTTACACAGGAACACGAATTTGAATGAACAGCAAATTTCTCATCCAGAGCTATGGAGGACAGAGGGAAGTGACACACATTTTTAAGTGCTGAATGAAAAGAACAGTCAACTCAGAATTTTATATCCGGCAAAAATCCGTAAGAATAAAGACATTCTCAGCCAAAGTAAATGAAGAGAATTTGTTGCAGACAGACTTACCCTAAATGAATGGCTAAAGAAAGTTCTCTAAACAGAAATCAAATGATAAAAGAAGAAATTTTTAAAGATTAGGAAGGAAGAGATAATACAGTAATTAAAAAGATGGATAAATACAATAAACTTTCCCTCTCTCGAGTTTTCTAAATTATTTTACATCTCAAACAAAAATTATAACACTGTTTATGGTGATTCTCAATAATGCTCTACTATCTACAGAGATAATAGATATATTATTTGAAACAATTTGTTATAAATAGGGGAGGGTAAAGGGACGTAAAGTATGGTTTCTACACTTCTCTTAAACTGATAAAATTTCAACACTAGAAGACTGTGATAAGCTATGTATATATAATTTTACGCCTAGAGCAACCACTAAAAAAGTATGCAGAAAGACACTTAAAACACTGTAGATAAATCAAAATGAAATCCCAAAACAAAAAATGTTCACATAGCCCCAGGAAGGAAGGCATGAAAAAGATTAAAAAAAAAAACTGTAGACATACACAAATTATTCCAAAATTTACATAGAAAGGCAAAGGTCTTTTCAACAAATGGTTCTGGAGCAATGGGATACCCAGAGGCCAAAGAATGAGCCTTGATTGAAACCTCACACCATTTACAAAATTGTCTAAGAGTTAACTGGAAAAACTTGAGAAGAAGTCTAACGATGAGCATTTAACATAGATAGTTGTAAATAAATACTAAAACAAAGGTGAGGACATGAACAGAAGAATAATGTATAAAGGGGCATATGTTTTGACAAAACAGATAAAAGAAAACTAAAAAATAGGAGAAGGAAGAGAGAAAGAAATAACATAAGACTTGTTAATTTTTACGTAGACAATATGTAAGAATTAAAAGATATCATCACCAACTGATAGAACAGATACTAAAAGATTGTATAAAAATAGAGGACAAAGTGCAAGCAATAGGACAAAAAGCAAAGCTTCCTTAGTAAAAATAATAAATTTTAAAAATAAAACAGCAGGCTGGGCGCAGTGGCTTTCGCCTGTAATCCTAGCACTTTGGGAGGCCGAGGCAGATGGATCACCTGAGGTCAGGAGTTTGAGACCAGCCTGGCCAACATGGTGAAACCTCATCTCTACTAAAAATACAAAAAAATTAGCTGGGCATGGTGGCGGGCACTTGTAATCCCAGCTACTTGGGAGGCTGAAGCAGGAGAATCGCTTGAACCCAAGAGGCAGGGGTTTCAGTGAGCCGAGATCACACCATTGCACTTCAGCCTGGGCAACAAGAGCGAAACTCCATCTCAATAAATAAACAAATAAAACAGCAAAGAAATCAAATCACATAAAAACAAACAGGAAATATAACACAATACATGCAGTTATAAGATAAAATGGCAAAGCTAGTGACTAAGCATAACAATGCAATCAATAGATCACATTTATGTTTCTACAAATAAGTGAATGAAATTTTTACCGCATAAAGCAAGAACTAACTCTTCCTGTATACAGAGACAATCCAAAAACAGAATGATGCAGAAAAGCTATAAATAAATCAAAAATGTATTAGACAAATAAAACATGATAAAAGCAGAGTTTGCAATTCTGATATCAAAATAGAATTTAAATTAAAAAGCATTAAGCCATGAAAAAAGAGGAAATACTTTACTTGTAAAGGTCCTATTTTATAACATAAATATAACTGGTAATGAATATTTATGCTTCAAATAACAGAGCAACCACCTTTGAAAACAAAAGATGGAAACAGAAAACTTTCTCTTCTGGAAATTTAAAAACCTTCTATTAAACAACTTTTGAGTGAAAGGGGAAATAAAAACAAATATTATCAATTTTTTTTAAATAGTGAAAATTCACCTACTACATAGCAGGCCTCATGGGAAATAGTAAAAATGTAGCTACAGATCATATAAAAATAAAAAAGGAAGGTTAAAAATAAGGGCATTAAATTTCCAATTAAAGATGAACTAGAAAATCAACAGCAAAGTAAACCAAAATACCATATTAAGAAGGAAATAATAAATATAAAAGCAGAAATTATTGAGTTAAGCCCAGAAAATTGATAGCTCTAAATAATAAATAAAAAATGTTGTTTGAAAAACAGCAAAATATTCAAATGTCTAGCTAATTTAATAAAGACAATGGAGAAAACACAGACATACAAAGTAATAAATGACACAAATTATTTTGTAAAATATTGAAAAAGGCCACTTTGCAAATCCATATGCAAATAGATTTGAAAGCCTAGATGAAATTAATAAATCATTTAAAAATGATTGTTACCAAAATTGGCCCCATTAGAGTTAGGAAATTTAACCAAACCAATTTCTGTAGAAGAAATAGAAAAAGCTATTAAGGAACTACTCTACAATTAAGCACCAGGCTCAGTTAGTTTCCCAGAGGAAATCTACCAAATCTCCAAAGAACAGATAATCACAATATAGTGTAAAATGTATCTAGCAGAGTAAATGACGAAAAATGCCCCAACTTTTACTTTTGAAGTTACTTTAACATCAGGAAGTAAACCAAATAAAGATAGGACAAGAAATAAAGCTGCAAACTCATTAAAAAAATCAGTAAAGATATACTATAGAACCACATTTAAGTGGTATTTATTTCAGGAATGCAAGATTGATTCTCTCTCCCTACTTACGCCCACCCACACATATATCTGTAAACAAGAAATAAGGCAAATATTCCCAATTCCCCCTCTATTTTTTTAACACTGTACTAGAGGTATTGCCCAAGTTAGTTAAATAAATCAATTAGAAGCATATGAATTAGAAAAGAGAAAGTAAACAATTCTCTATTAGAGGAAGCTAGTATAGTACACCTAGAAAACCTAAGAGAATCAATGATATTGCTAACCAATAAAAATAAGTCAAGTAGCGGGACATACAAATGATATACAAAAATCAATAAGCTTCATCTACATAAATAGCCAATTAGAAAATAAAATGATAGAGAAAACTGTTTTCAATCGCTGCAGAAAAAGAGATCATTAGAAATCAATTTAACAGGAAATGAGCAAAACCTATAAGAAGAAAAGTCTAGTCCTAAAAGTCATAAATGTAGGTTTGTACACATTCTTTAACAAGTCAATATCATAAAGATGTCAGTTATCCTCCAAGTAATTTGTAAATTTTACACAATTCAATAAAGTATCAATGAACTAGTCATATAAAGCCAGAAAACTTGATACAAAATTTAATGTGGAAAAATAATCATGCAAGAGTAGCAAGAAAAACAATGAAAAAGAGAAACTATAGGGGACTAGCCTCACAAAATATTAAATAAATCAATACTCTCTCTAACAAAAGCAATATAGTATTGGCCCATAAATAGAAAGACCTGTACAGAATAGGTTTTTCAGAAACAGACCAATGTACATGTAAAAATTAAGTGCATAATAATGTCATAAGAAATCACTAGGTTAAAATAGGCTTTTTAATAAATGGTGCTGAGATAGATGGTTAACAATTTTGAAAAAGATTAAGATTCATGTCTCACACTATACATGAGGAAAATAAATTTCCAAATGAATTAGTGACCTGCATTTAGAAACTACATACAGTTAGTAAAAGGACACACTTGTAAGTTTCTCAATAACCAGGATGTTGAAAAGGCTTTTTAATGATGACTCAAAATTCAGGTGTAATATTTAAAAGTTGGTAAATTCTACTATATTAAAAAAATGCAACACTTTTGCATGGCAAAGGCACAGCAAAGCACATCTAAAGACAAATGAAAAACTGGAGAAAAAAATTACAATTTATAGCACAGCTAAAGGGCTAGTATTCCTAATATGTAAAGAACTATAGATGGCTTCATAGTGACTGTCTTGAATAGAAGTATTAGAGTCATTATTCAGTTTATTTCTGACACTTCCTTGTCATAATCATAACCATGTCTTTCATATAAGAATCATCCATGTGTAATTTTAAAGAAAACATACACTTCCCTTATTTAAATTACATTCGAGTGTAGCTATAAATTCAAAATACTGGGCCTTGGGCAAAATTGTCTTTTGCCAAATTGAACTGAAAATCATTTGATTGCAAAAGTCATATCCACAACTTGATTTTACGCTAATTAGCTAGGTAATTCAGGTTTTAAAAGCAAGTTTCTTTGCCTCATCCCCTAATCAATGTATTGCTTTGTCTTTGCAGTTCTACTGTGTGTTCTGGATAAGTCTATAGGTAAATCCACCACAGTCTCTTTCACTAAACGGATGTTAATGAATACAATATTGAGCTATTTTTCTTGGCTAAATTACCTCTAACAAGACATTTTAGAGTTGATTTAATGAAGTGCACTAGGAAGTTAAGTAAGTGGCTTATTTCATTAAAGGAGACAGGTTGGAAGAAAGTAAACACAATAAATACTGTAAGGTGTAGGTAATTCTATTGTTTACAAAGTATTTTGAAATCTTTCAAGCATTGCAGCTTTTTCTACTTTAGGATACTATTTGGACATATCTATTATTAAGTTTGCATAGCCACATCCATATACTATTATTATACAGTTTAAATAAATTAGTAAAATCATCCTGGACAACAATAACAACACATAAAATAAATTTACCAATCTAATATTCAGGGAGATAAGCTAGAATAAAGTGATTAATGACAGAAGTTTGCATTTTCATTTGAAGGATTTCAAAATACTTTGTAAACATTAGAATTACCTACACCTTACAGTATTTATTGTGTTTATTTTCTTCCGTGTCTCATTTAATGAAACAAGCCACTTACTTAACTTCCTAATGCACTTCATTAAATCAACTCTAAATAACCATTTCTGAGGTTCCATATTTCTTGTCCTTTATCTCCACATAGAGCAATAAATTATGTGGTTGGAATAAAGATTAATTTAGATTTTTCTCTGGAGTTTCTATTTCCAACATGTTTTACTAAAACTAACATTGGAGCAATCTGGTACATTATTTCTAAAATTATAACTCTAACTGTAAGCTGGAACTTTTCTCCTTAAATTCATAAGTCCTCCTTAAATCTAACTCTCCTGCTATGTACATGGATGGTCATGAGTGATGATAAGCCCTGGCAATTACTAATAGTTTTCTGGTGAGGGCCCTACTGTAGGGTCTGGCGAATAAATCTGCTCTAAGAGAATATGCAGTCCTCAACCTCTGCAGGTTGTTTTGCATTGACATATTGGGATATATTTTTCAATGAGAAGAAACTATTATTCTCTTCCGATGTTGTAGACCTTACTGCCTAGGTGTCTGCCTGAGTTCTTGTACCACCACCACCAAAACGTATAAGACTGGGAACAGGGAAGAACCAAAATTCTGTTAAAATATCTAGGTAAAACTTTTAGAATTTTCATTACAAAATTAACAGTGCTTAACAATGTGTTATCTCATAGATCAATGATTTTCAAAGTGAGGTCCTGGAACCAAATAGCAGCCCATGGAAACAGATTCTCTGACCCAACCTCATACCCACCTACTCTGTGACCTACGATACCTTAATCTAGCAGTGGGGCCCAGGACTCTGTATTTTAATAAGCTTTTCAGGTGACATTGGTTACAGGTCCAGGTTTTTAAAAATTGCCTTCTTAGAACAATCATCATTAAAGTGGAAGTACTTTTATTCTGTTTTCTCCTCCATTGATTTATTGAATCAAATTTCAGAAAGCGCTATAGGCATTTTTCTTGGTGTTCTTTCCTTATCTGAATTATTTTTTCTCATTTTTTTCGTCTGTATTAATCAAAATCTTAATTGCTATCAACCTTTTAGCTGTTAACTTCCATGATTGAGTACTTCTGGGGTAAACTCATTCCATTGAGAAAAAGTTACCCGAATGTGCAAAGGCTTTCAAGCCACTTTACCCTCAGATAATTCCCACTTTAAACACAGCGCAAGTAGATATGAATTCCAAGGATGTTAGAGAGGTGTTTAATTTTTAGCTAATAAAGCCCGAGGGAACCCTTCCAGAAATTTCTGCTTGAGTCCCTGGTCTAACACTTTTATGTGAGGAGTCTCTTTAAGCTAAATTTTTGGTCCTCAGATGAACAGAGAAATCCTTTCTTTCCCCTCCTTTAGTATGTGGTATAACTTGCTAGCTCCCAGCTATTCAGGGATGAATTTGGAAGCAATTACTTTGATGCATGTGTGATTGACTGAATTGGGCTCCTCCTGAATATTAGCTGTATCCATTAGAGAGAACCCAGTTTTCCTACTCACTTATAAAGTCAGGCAAAATTCAGGTTTACTTGGCCTCTTCTCCTTTGTATTTCCCTAGATACTATACTTCTGCTTCTTTTTTTCCCGCTTGGACTCTTTCCCAAACCACTTCTTTCTATTCTTTCCCAGCTTAATTTTTACTTCTCACCCCCTCTTTTGTTCTAACTCTACCACTTTTCTTTCTCCTAATTTTATCCTGATTCCTTTGTTATGTACCGGCTGGTTTCAATTAAGGAAACCTTATGTTTACTCTTTTAAGATTCACACTTGAAAACAGGCTCTGTCATAGATAAGTATATTTATTGTTAAATGTACTAATCCTGTTCAGAGATACAACAGTATTAACAATAATGAGATTATTGGTTGTGGTTTCAGATGAACCGGAAAATAAAAATCTTGCCCAAGATCTTGATCTGCTAGGCTTCCCCTGCCCCCATTTTCCTTGCTCAATGGTTTATTACTTTTTGAAGGTATGCTCTCAAAGCCAGAAAGCTTTAAAACCATCCTCTAATGAGCCCTACCCATTCCTTATCATTCTTTACAAAGTGCAGACTCTGTTTTTTTCCTCTTGCTTTTCTAACAGACAGCATTCAGATTATTTTGAAGGGCTTAGCATCTAGGAAATACTATAAACTTGCAGTGCTGCTCTAATACCCCAATGCCTTGAACAAGATCACAATATTTCTCTTTATCTTCTCTTAGACAATGGAAATGTCACATATCCCTGGAGATTCTTTAGTGCCATACTTTAATAAGTTCACAGAATTCAACTTCACTCTTCCTTTGGCTGAGTAATTACAAAAAGGACTGGGCTGATACATATTAAAGTCTGCCAGTAAAAGCTGCAATCTCACTCATTGGTGATATGCAATGCTTCTAAATGTTCTTAACTTGAAGTTTTCCAATTACGTTAAACAAACCAGTGTCCTAAACTATCAGTCCCTAAGTTTGAAATGCTGTAAAAATATGAAATACTTATTTATCATATCACTAATTCTTTGTTCCTTCAGTTCTGAGGTATTCATCTAATGTGCAAATACGTGGAAGATTATGCTACAGCTCCTCTCCCATGTCAGTGTAGCTGAGAACTCTAAAACAGTTTCTTGGCATTCTTTAGATTTTGTATCCCCAGATTACACTTAATTCTCACCAATTTGGTTGAAGGAAGTTCTGTGCCACATTAAATGAAATAAGAGACAGTTTGTTTATTTTAGTTTATCCTGTCACTTGCATGACCAGAAAATAATAGTTTCAACAAATACACAACAATCTAGTTATACACAATATGATTAACTTGTTTAGATTACTAAGTGCTTATATCTACTTTGAAGAATGTAAGTACTTAAGTATACTTATAAATCAGATATATACATATATTTTTTTGAGATGGAATTTAGCTCTGTCACCCAGGCTGGAGTGCAATGGCACAATCTCAGCTCACTGCAACCTCCACCTCCCAGGTTCAAGTGATTCTCCTGCCTCAGCCTCCTGAGTAGCTGGGATTACAAGCATACGCCACCATGTCTGGCTAATTTTTGTATTTTTAGTAGAGACGGGGTTTCACCATGTTGACCAGGCTGATCTCGAACTCCTGACTTCAGGTGATCCTCCCGCCTCGGCCTCCCAAAGTGCTGGGATTACAGGCATGAGCCACCGCGCCTGGCCTAAATCACGTATTTTCTAAAAATTATTTTTTAAAAAAATTAAAAAAGAAAAGTACACAGAAATTGTATAAACAACTGTATGTACATACTGAAATTTATAAGCACTTACATTTTCTCTTATTTGCTTTGTAAATTATAATAAAAAAATTATAGGTACAGTTATAATTTGTTATAACTTCTATGATCAAAACACCAAAAAAAATGTGTATTGTCCACTATACCCATCACTTCTATTCTTCACTATGATGAATTTGATGTAGGTTCTATCAGTTCCTAGTGTATATTTTCACACACACACACACACATATATATGCATTTATGATTAAAATACAATTTGCAGGTGGTGTTTTAACATTTTTATTTAAATGATATCATACTATTTAGTCATTCTGTAACTGACTTAAAAAAATTTGTACTTTCCAATGTGTAAACCTGGTTTATATAAAATAATTTTCTACTGTATACTATTATTCTGCTAATCTACATTCTTAAATCAACTTCCATATTGATAGCTAGTTTTTTGCTGTTACAATTTTACAGTAAACAACTTTGCATATATTACTTTTTATGACCATATGGGGGTGTTTTTTCATTAGGGAAGATATCTTTAAAATTGTTAGATCATAGGTATGTATATTTTTAATTTTGCTGGATTTCATTAATGTGTTGAACAAAGTTGTTATACCAATGTATACTCCCACCAGTTGTGAGTAGTTTCAGCTTGTTCACTTATTAGCCAATACATAATAATGTCAAACATTTAACAATTGTCAACATAATGAGTGACAGATTTCATTACGGTGTTAGTTGCACTTTTTCTGATACTCAGACTTCCTCTTTTGTGAATTTCCTATTCATATCCTTTGTTCATTATTTTTGGATCTTTCGTCCTTTTCTCACTTGTCTGCAAGAATTGTTTTATATATTCTAGATACAATATCTTTGTTTACTGTACTGCAAATATCTTTTAGCGTGTTGCTTATCTTTTAACATTGATTATGGTGTTTTATACATACACCTTGTTTTTAATTATTATGAATTTAGACTATAATGTTTGTTCTGATTGACCATGAAAGTATAATAATAATTCTTGTTCCACTTCTTCTTGCCATATAATTCCAACTTGACATTCAGGTTGAGAAGTAATATTTTAATTTTTAGCTAAAATGTGTTTCAAACAATGTCCTTATTGAGAATACATTATAATTATTATTATGCTTCTTTGGTAAATAACATTAGTAGGCTTTGAATTCATAAGGGACATAGAACTATATGTTACTGATTAAAGACTAGTTTTACAAAGTTTCTACATCCTAGGGCAGAAAAGGCCCTTAGAGATAGCCTCTTCCTCCCTTTACACGCAGTGGAAATAAAGTCCAGGAAATGCTGGGACTAAAGGCCACTGATCATGGGGAACGTGCAGCTAGAATCGATCTCTATTTATTCCTAGTTCAGAGCACTTTCTATTGAGCCACAATCTAAGTATCTCTAAGAACAAATGGATGTTTTCACTTTTCAGATTTAAAGTTAGTGTTATTCCTAAATGGCCTATTTCCTTTCCTTCCAGGAGAGTGACAATGGACTCAGTACTCAGATTTTTAGGTAATACCAGCTTTCTTCATGATTGGGAGAAGGTAAGAACATCAATTAACTTAGGTTCTCTAAACCAGTGAGTTAAGGAGAAGGGCAAGTGTGCACATTAACCACACATGCTGCTTTTCCTGTGGGCTCCACTCTGCAGGTGGCAGGGAAACCAAACGGAAATGAATCTACCAATTTCAGCTCCTAGCAAACTGTTCCCACATTCAGAGAAATTCTCTAGTAAAGGCTGAACAAATCCCAGGTTTCCATACACGAAAGTTAATTTTTGGATGTTTTTCATATTAGGGAGAATGTTAACCATGGAATAATTACACCGTAATTATCTTGTTTGAATTATATGCTTACAACAAATTCCTGTAGCTGGAAAATTACTAAAATTTGTAAATGCTTAATTACTTACTTTTTCCTTTATTATATCTATATTATAGATACACATCCATTAGGAACAACAATCCATGTATTCATTCAGTTTTGTTACTTTTTCTACAGAAAGAGCCTGTGGTTGATATGGGGATTAAATACATATGGCTAAGAATACAGCTTTGGGTCAGTGTACAGCTATTTTGAAGGGCAGCTGAAATGCTCTCACACATAACCTGAGCTTTTTATTCCCTGAGCTGTTTGAAAGTAGGAGTCCTTTCATCTTTCTGTGGCAGTTCACCATTTATTTATATCTTCTAATAGTAGGTTTTCTAGTTCTAACATCAAGGACTATGCCTTCTGTCTAGTTTGTTCGATTAGTGATCCAAGTAAAACTACAGGGTATTGGAAGGAGAAAGAAAAAAATTATAATTGTCATAACACTGTAGTACTGTAGTGGGTGAAGGATATGAACAGACACTTCTCAAAAGAAGACATTTATGCAGCCAAAAGACACATGAAAAAATGCTCATCATCACTGGCCATCAGAGACATGCAAATCAAAACCACAATGAGATACCATCTCACACAAGTTAGAATGGCGATCATTAAAAAGTCAGGAAACAACAGGTGCTGGAGAGGATGCGGAGAAATAGGAACACTTTTACACTGTTGGTGGGACTGTAAACTAGTTCAACCATTGTGGAAGCCAGTGTGGCGATTCCTCAGGGATCTAGAACTAGAAATACCATTTGACCCAGCCATCCTATTACTGGGTATATACCCAAAGGATTATAAATCATGCTGCTATAAAGACACATGCACAGGTATGTTTATTGCGGCACTATTCACAATGGCAAAGACCTGGAACCAAGCCAAATGTCCAACAATGATAGACTGGATTAAGAAAATGTGGCACATATACACCATGGAATACTATGCAGCCATAAAAAATGATGAGTTCATGTCCTTTGTAGGGACATGGATGAAGCTGGAAACTACCATTCTCAGCAAACTATCGCAAGGACAAAAAACGAAACACTGCATGTTCTCACTCATAGGGGGGAATTGAACAATGAGAACACATAGACACAGGAAGGGCAACATCACACACCGGGGACTGTTGTGGGGTGGGGGGAGGGATAGCATTACGAGATATACCTAATGCTAAATGACGAAGTTAATGGGTGCAGCACACCAACATGGCAGATGTATACATATGTAACAAACCTGCACGTTGTGCACATGTACCCTAAAACTTAAAGTATAATAATAAAAAAAATTATAATTGTCATAACACTGTAGTACTCTCACATAGGAAGGAAATCTACTTCACAAGCGAGTATACAGATGCAATTCCTATAGCATAAAGCACTCTGAATTTTAGAGGTCGGTCCGTTTCCCACATGATATTTTCTAGTTGCCATGGCAATTACTTGTTTTCACTGGGTAACTGAGCGAATGGCCACATCTGTTCTTGCTGTGCTCTCTTTCCCCGCACCTAACACAGAGCATAGGGAATAGATTCACTTCTCAGTGCACAAAGATTTATATGCATAACTGTCTCCACATCAAGGGGAGGCTGTAAATCTCAGGTCAGAGAGACACACTTGCCCTTGAATACCCTCTTTTTTGTGCCCAAATGTTCTTCTATTCTTCTATAAACACAGCTAAATATGCATTTATTCAGTGGAGAAAGATACATAACATTCCCCTTAGGCAATACATAAATAAATATACATGTGTATAGATATATACTGAAGACAGGATAACTTGTGCACTGGTACGATGATATTCTGGAATTCAAAATAAAAGATTCATTTGGATAAACTTAGTTACATCTGTTTTTTTTTCTTTTACATAAATATGTCTTAATTGGTGAGGTCCTTCAGGTAAATAAGTATTCAGATACTTTAGTTCTGGTGCTAATTGGAAGTAGAAGACCTTTGGCACCTTGTTAAATTTGTACTAGCCTCAGAAATAAATAACAGCTGCACAGAGTCAATTCTTTTTTGCTTTTCTGCATGCCCAGAGTGAGACTAGTGATAACAAATGTGTGTAGAGATATTCATGTCAAAATTAGACTCGATAATAGAGTCATGAGGGAGATAACTTCTGGTATTAATTTCATGTCCTTTTTATTTTTGAAAAAAGTATTTTATTTAAATTTAATTTAGTTCAATTTTAAATTTAGGGGTATATATGCAGGTTTGTTACATGGATATATTGCCTAATGCTGAGATTTTGGCTTCTAGTGAACTCCTCACCCATAGTGAACATAGAACCCAGTAAGTAGTATTTAAACCCTTCCCTGCACCCCAACCCTCCTCTCTTTCAGAGTCCCCAATGTCTATTATTTCCATCTTTATGTCCATACGTACCTCTTGTTTGGTTCCCACTTATAAATGAGAACATGTGGTATTTTATTTTCTGTTTCTGAATTTTTCACTTGGGATAATGGCCTCCAGCTCCATCCATGTTGCTGCAAAAGACAGGATTTCATTCATTTTTATGGCTATGTAGTATTCCACATATATATATGTATATGTAAAACATTTCCTTTATTCAGTCAACTATTGATTGACACGTTGATTCCATGACTTTGCTATTGTGAATAGTGCTGTTATAACAGCACAGGTGGCTTTTCCATAAAATGGTTTCTTTTCCTTTAGATAGATACTCAGTTGTGGGACTGTTGAGTTGAATAGTAGTTCTATTTTTAGTTCTTTGAGAAATCTCCATATCGTTTTCCATAGTGGCTGAGTTAATTTACATTCCCATCAACAGGGTATAAGCATCTTGTTTTCTCTGCATCCTTACCATCTCTCAACTTTTTACTTTTTAATAATAGTCATTCTGACAGGTGTCAGATGGTATCTCAATGGGATTTTAATTATCATTTCTCTGATTATTAGTGATGTTGAACATTTTTTCATATGTTTGTTGACTGCTTGTATGTTTTCTTTAGAGAAGTGTCTGCTCATGTCCTTTCTCCACATTTTAATGGGGTTGTTTATTCTTCTTGGCTTAAGTTCCTTACAGATTCTAGATATTAGTCTTTTGTCACATGCATACTTTACAAATTTTTCTTACATTCTGTAGGATGTCTGGTTACTCTGTTGATTGTTTCTTTTGCTGTGCAGAAGCTCTTAAGTTTAATTAGGTTCTATTTGTCAATTATAGTTTACAATGCATTCGCTTTTGAGGTCTTAATCATAAATTATTTGCCTTGGCCAGTGTCCAGGAGAGTTTGTCTAGGTTTTCTTCTAGGATTTTTACAGCTTGGGGTCTTAGCTTTCAGTCTGCATCCATCTTGAGTTAATTGTTGTATATGGTAAGAGATAGGGGTCCAGTTTCCTTCTTCTGCATATGGCTAGCCAGTATTCACAGCACCACTTATTGAATAGGGTGTACTTTCCCTATTGCTTATTTTTTGTCATCTTTGTCTAAGATCAGTTGCTTGTAGATATGTGGCTTTATTTCTGGGCCCTCTATCCAGTTCTCTTGAGCTGTGTGTCTATTTTTGCACCAGTTCCGTGCTGTTTTGGTTATGCCAGCCTTGTAGTGTAGTTTGAGGTGGGATAAAGTGATGCCTCCAGCTTCATTCTTTTTGTTTAGGCTTGCTTTGGTTACTCAGACTTTTTGGCTTCATACAAATTTTAGAATTATTTTGATTTGATGAAATATGACATTATTAATTTAATAGGACTTGCATTAATTCTGTAGATTGCTGTGGACAGTATGGTCATTTTAACAATATTGATTCTTCCTATTCATGAATATGAAATGTTTTTCCATTGGTTTGTGTAATCTGTTATTTCATTCATCAGTGTTTAACAGTTTCCTTGGAGAGGTCATTCACTTCTTCTATACGTGTATTTTTAGGAATTTCCTTACGGCTCTCATAAATGAGGTTAAGTTATTGATATGGTTCTCAGCTTTAGTGTTTGTTGTTGGTGTTTAGGAGTGCAATTGAATTTTTTTTTTGCATTAACTTTGTATCTTGAAACATTTCCTGATGTCATTTATCAGGTCTAGAGCCTCTTGGAGGAATCTTTAGGGTTTTCTAATTGTAAGATCATGTCATCAGCGAACAGAGATAATTAACTTCCTCTTTGCTACTTTGAATGCCGTTTCTTTCTTTCTTGTAGGTAATTGCTTTTGCTAAGACTTCTAGTGTTACACTGGATAGGAGTGGTTGGGGTGGACATCCTAGTCGTGTTCCAGTTCTTAGGGAAAATGCTTTCAACTTCTCCTCTTTCAGTAAGATATTGGCTGTGGGTTTGTTACATGCAGCATTTATTACTTTAGCTATGTTCCTTTGATGCCTAGTTTGTTTAGGATTTTTATCATATGGGGTGTTGGATTTTATCAAATGCTTTTTTCTGTATCTATTGAGATGATCATATGTTTTTTGTTTTAAATTATGTTTATGTGGTGAATCACATTTATTGATTTGCATATGTTTAACCATCCTTGCATCCCTGGAATAAAATCCACTTGATTGTGATGAATTATCTTTTTGATGTGCTGCTGGTAGTATTTTGTTGAGGATTTTCTGTCTATGTTCATCAGAGATATTAACCTACAGTTTTTATTTTTTTGTTGTGTCATTGCCAGATTTTGGTATAGAGATTAAAGTGGCCAGGCATAGTAGCTCACACGTGTAATCCCAGCACTTTTGGAGGCCAAGGTGAGAGGATGGCTTGAGTTCAGGAGTTCAAGCAACATATCCTGGGCCACATAGCAAGACTCCATCTCTGCAAAAAAATAAAAATAAATACAAAAGAATGGAATGCTTTCATAGAATGAGGGAGATATCTCTTCCCCTCTATTTTTTTAGAATAGTTTCAGTAAGATTGGTACCAGCTCTTTGTACCTCTGGTAGAAGTCAGCTGTGAATCTGTCTGGTGCTGGGCTTGTTTTTAGGGTTGGGAGTTTTTTTAATTGCTTCAATTTCATAATTCATTATTGCCCTGTTCAGGATTTCGCTTTCTTCCTGGTTTAATCTTGACAAGTTGTATGTTTACAGGAATTTATCCATTTCCTCTAGGTTTTCTAGTTTTTGCACATAGAGATGTTCATAGTCATATCTGAGGATCTCTTGTATTTCAGTGGTATCAGTTATAATGCCACCTTCGTCATTTCTCATTCTGCTTATTTGTCTTCCCTATTTTTTTGTTTGTTTGTTTTTTTGAGACAAAGTCTCTTTCTGTCACCCAGGCTGGAGTACAGTGGTGCGATCTCGGCTCACTGCAACCTCCGCCTCCCGGGTTCAAGTGATTCTCCTGCCTCAGCCTCCTGAGTAGCTGTGATTACCAGTATGCACCACCATGCCTGGCTAATTTTTGTATTTTTAGTAGAGATGAGGGTTTCACCATGTTGGTCAGGCTGGTCTCGAACTCCTGACCTAGTGATCCGCCCACTTTGGCCTCCCAACGTGCTGGGATTACAGGCGTGAGCCACTGTGCCTGGCCTTCCCTTCTCTCTTGATTAATCTATCTAGCAGTCTGTCAATTTTGTTTATCCTTTCCAAGAACCAACTTTTTGTTTCATTTATTCTTTGTTTGAATTTTTTTGATCTCAATTTCATTTAGTTTAGCTCTAATTTTTGTTATTTCTTTACTTCTGCTAACACTGGTTTGGTTTGTTCTTGTTTTTCTAGTTTCTTGATGTGTGATATTAAGTTGTTAATTTGATATCTTTTTAATCTTTCTGATGTAGGATTTTAGTGCTATAAACATTCCTCTTAACAGTGCTTTTGCTGTTTGCTGAAGTTTTGGTGTGTTGTGTATCTATTTTCACTTGTTCCAAAAATTTTTAAATGTCTGCCTTAATTCTGTTGTTTCCCCAAAAGTCATTCAGGAGCAAGTTATTTAGTTTCCATGTATTTGTGTGGTTTTGAGAATTCTTCTTGACATTAATGTCTAATTTTATTGCAAAAGGTCCAAGAGTATACCTGATATGATACTTGGACCACTTGGACTATGGTCCAAGAGTATACTTGATATGATTTTGATTTTTTTGAATTTATTGAGACTTGCTTTGTGACCAAACATATGGTCACTTTTCAAGAATGTCCCATGCCAGTACCAGCTCTTCTTCTTTCTGAAGGATAGGGATATTCAGGAAAATCTACCTAATTTTGCTATCTAGGTAGACATCCAGAACAAGAAATTAGAGAACACCTGTGAAATATTATAAAAGATGAACATCACCAAGGTATATAGTCATGAAACTATCCAAGGTCTGAATGTTGCCCAGTCTGTGTTTCTTGAACTCCTGTGCTCAAGCCATCCTCTCAACTTGGCCTCTGAAAGTGATGGGAGTACAGACATGACCCACCAGGCCCAGCTACTTTCATCCTGATACCAAAATCTGGCAAGGACACAACAAAAAAGAAAATTACAGGTCAATATCCCTGATGAAAATAGGCACAAAATTTCTCAACAAAATACTAGCAACCCAAATCCAGCAGTACATGTCTTATAAGAATGCATACTCTGTGGTTGTTGTGTGGAATGTTCTGTAGATGTCTATTAGGTCTATTTGGTCAAGACTCCAATTTAAGTCCGGATTTCTTTGTTTGTTTTATGCCTTGATGATCTATCTAATGCTATCAATGAGATGTTGAAATAGCCCACTATTATTGTATGGCTATCTATCTCTTATGTTCAGTATTGTTAGTTTTATAAATCTGGATGCTTCAGTGGTGGGTAAATGTATATTTATGATCATTAAATCTTTTTGTTGAACCCTTTGTCATATAATGCCCTTCTTTGTATGTATGTATGTATGTACGAATGTATTTATTTTTTACCATGATTGATTTAAGGTCTTTTTTTTTTTTCTGATACAAGAATAGCTGGCCCTACTATTTTCTATTTTCGATTTGTGTGATATGTCTTTCTCTATCCCTTTACTTTGAGTCTGGGGTGTCATTACTCATTAGGTGGGTTTCTGAGAGGGAACAGATGGTTGGGTCTTGTTTTCTTTTTGTTTTTAAACAATTTTCCAATCTATATCTTTTAAGTGGAGAATTTAGGCCATTTACATTCAAGGTTAATATTGATATGTAAGGTTTCACCCCTGTCATGCTTTTCTTAGCTAGTTGTTTTGAGTCTGAATTGTGTAATTGCATTATAGATTGGAACTTTGTACTTTGTAGTTTGTACACATGCTTTTATGACAGCAAGTATTACCTTTCATTTCCGTGTTTAAAACTCCTCTGAGCATTTCTTGCAGGTCTGGTCTGGTGCTTCCCTTAGTGCTTGCTTGTCTGGGAAAGACAATATTTCACCTTCATTTATGAAACTTATTTTGGCAGGATATAAAATTCTTGGCTGGTTTTTTTTTTTTTTTTTTACTTTAAGAAGGCTAAATCTTCTAACTTGTAATGTTTCTGCTGAGAAGTCTTCTATTAGTCTGATGAGTTTACCTTTATAGGTGATTTGGCCCTTTCCTCTAGCTGTCTTTAAGATAGTTTTCTTTAGCATTGACCTTGGATAGTCTGATGAATATATACCTTGGTGATGTTCATCTTTTATAGTATTTCACGGATATTCTCTAATTTCTTGTTTCCACCTTAGAAGCAAAATTAGGAAAATTTTCCTGAATTATTCCCTCAAATATGTTTTCCAAGTTGCTATCTTTTTCTTTTTCTCTCCCAGAAATGCCTATAAGTTAAGCATTTGGTCACTTTACATAATGCCATATTTTTCAGAGGACTTGTTCATTTTTAAATGTATTTTTTTTTCCAACTGGATTAATTTGAAAGACTGGTCTTCAGGCTCTAAACTTATTTCCTCTGCTTTGTCTAGTCAATTTTTAAAGCTTTCAACTTTTTGAAATTTATTTGGTCAATCTTTCAATTCCAGAAGTTCCAGTTTGTTAAAAATATATCTATTTCATCTTTTATATCCGAAGTCTTTTTTTCTTGTGTGTGTGTGTGTGTATGTATTGTTTTTCAACTGTCTCTTAGATATTACTGAGTTTCTTTGCAATCTATATTTTGAATTATTTATCTGTCATTTCAGAATTTTTATTTTGGTTCAGATCCACTGCTAGAGAGCTAGTGAAGTTCTTTGTAGGTGTAGAAATATTTTGCCTTTTTGTACTGCCGGGAAGCTCGTACTCATTCCTTCTCATCTAAGAAACTGCTGCTTATTTTTGATTTTGCTATCATTTGGATGGGAATTTTACATTTTTATTCTTTTTTTCCTAGATGGTACAACTGTGATGTGTATTATGTTTGCTTGGTTGGCTTCGTTTCTCGATGTTTTCAGGAAACCAAGGCTCTATATGTGTTCTTTGCTTGTAGATGGCTTTTGTGCAGTGGCTTTCTCAAATGCTGCTTGTTGTAGTGATGTATTGGATGTATGAGCTGACACATTATGTCCTGCAGGGCTGAGAATGCAAAGGTTTCAAGAAGCTTATCTTGAACACTAGCACTATGCTTTTATGACAGCAGATTTTTTTTCAACTTCTATTTTAAGTTTAGGGGTACATGTGCAGAATGTGCAGGTTTGTTTCATAGGTAAAGGTGTGCCATGGTGGTTTGCTGCACAGATCATCCCCTAAACTAAGCATTAAGCCCAGCATACTTTAGCTATTCTTCCTGATGCTCTCCCTCCCCCAGCCCCCTCTGACAGGCACCAGTGTGTGCTGTTTTTAATCCCATGTATCTGTGTGATCTCGTCATTCAGCTCCCACTTATAAGTAAACACATGCTGTGTTTGGTTTTGTGTTCCTGCATTAGTTTGAGGAGGATAATGGCTTCCAATTCCATCCATGTCCCTGCAAAAGACATGATCTCATTCCTTTTTATGGCTTCATAGTATTCCATGGTGTGTATGTATGACGTTTTCTTTATCCAGTCTATCATTAATGGGCATTTAGGTTGATTCCATGTCTTCGTTATTGTGAATAGTGCTGCAGTCAACATATGTGTACATTACAAGAATAGGCTTAATGCAGAGCCTCTTCCCCCAGTCCAGAGCAGGCAACACTGCGATGTGTCTGCCCTCCATTCCTCTGATGGTGACACTGTGTGTAAGGAGGGGTAGATGGGCTTTGCCCTTCATGGAAGCCCATGAGGTGCAGGCTCATGTAAAACGGGAATGCAGCCACTACATTAAGCACTGGAAGGCTTTCTCTGTGTGCACACACGCTGGCCTCCGGTAGGGAGAGCCTCTGCTGCATCCACAACAGTAGGCAGTGGGAGCAGAAGATACCCCCACTCCATGTCTGTTCCCAGCAGCCAATGCCACCTCCCTCAATGATTGGCACCATGCCTGCATTTCATTTCTCCCAAGGAAGTGTTTGGTGGGCTGGGACCTCCTTCTCTAGGAGAAGCCTGCTCAGAAGGATAGATCTCCAGGGAACCCATAGCTTCCTAGGGACCCAGTGGTCTCCTGTGGTTGCCAGAGCCAAAGCTGGTTGTGGGGTGCCTTTGTGGGGGATCTGGTGATGTGACAACTCAGAAGTGTAGTTCTCCAGGCAGGGCAGTAGCCCACAATAGGTACACAACAGCTGTTGATGGAGAAGGTTCTGGCACCCCACTATAGGACTATACAAAAGGATTACAACATTTATTTAGTCATCTCAGAGGGCTTGAAATCAGCGAGTCCTGACTTTGAATGCCATAGCTCTACATTTATTAACTACTTTGGGGCATGTTACCTAATCTTCTTGATCCCCAGTTTCCTTATTTCTAAACCCTGAAAAATTATAGTTACGTATCTGTGATGTTTAAAATTGAAGTGCCTGGAATCATTTCATGTAGGTGCTCAACTGAGACTTTCCCTCTTTATACCATTCCCTGCTGATTTCTCCAATCGTCATTAGGCTATTTTATTTCCAATTCAGTTGATTTTTGTTATTGTTGCTAATGGAAAAGTACATTATTTAAATACATGATATAAAACTTAGAAGATTTGAGTTATGAAGAGAATTCTGGCAAATAAATTCTTAGTAGAATGCAACAACTGCAGAATGTTCATTCTTTTCATCAGCACATGGGAAATTCTCCAAGGTAGACCATATGATAGGCCATAAAATAAGTCTCAATAAAATTAAGAAAATCTAAATAATATCAAGTATCTTATCAGACTACAGTGGAATAAATCTGGAAATTAACTCCAAAAGGAACCTTCAAAACTATACAGATACATGGAAATTAAATAATCTATTCTTAGATTGATCTTTGGGTCAACACTAAAATCAAGATGGAAATTAAAAAATTATTAGAACCGAATGATAATAGTGATACAACTTATCAAAATCTCTGGGATATGGCAGAAGGGGTGCTAGGAAGAAAGCTAAGAGCTTTGTGATGTGGCATTAAGTGCCTACATCACAAAATCTGAAAGAGCACAAAGAGACAATCTAAGGTCACACCTCAGGGTGCTAGAGAAACAAGAACAAACCAAATCCAAACCCAGCAGAAGAAAAGAAGTAACAAAGATCAGAGCAGAACTAAATGAAATTGAAACTAAAAAGACCAACAAAAAACAAAAAAACCCAATAAAACAAAAAAGATAAACAAAATCGATAGACTCTTAGTAACATTAGCCAAGAAAAGATGAGAGAAGACTCAAATAAGTTCAGCTGGAAATGAAATGAGAGATATTACAATGATATCACAAAAATACAAAAGATTATTCAAGGCTACTGTGAACACAAACCAGAAAAATCTACAGGAGATAAATAAATTCCTGAAAATATATTCATACAACCCTCATAGATTAAATCAGGAAGAAATAGAAACTGTACGGACCAATAAAAAGTAGTGAGATTGAAAGAGTAATAAATTGCCAACAACAAAATAAAGCCCAGGACCAGATGGGTTCAAAGCTGAAATCTTTCAGACATTTAAAGAAGAATTGGTACCAATTCTACTGAAACTATTACAAAAGACAGAGAAAGAGGGACTGCTCCCGAAATCATTCTATGAAGCCAGTATCACCCTACTACCAAAACGAGGAAAGGACATAACAAAAAAGAAAACTACAGTGTGATACCTATGATGGACATAGATGAAAAATATTCAGCAAAATACTAGCTAGTCCAACAGCATATCAAAAAGATAATACACCATGATCAAGTGGGTTTCATACCAAGGATGCAGGGATGGTTTAACATATGCAAGTCAATAAATGTGATACATCACATAGAATTAAAAATGAAAATTATGTGATCATTTCAATAGATGCAGAAAAAGCATTTAACAAAGTCCAGTATCACTTTTGGCACAGAAGGGACATACCTCAAAGTAATAAAACCCATCTATGACAAACCCACAGCAAGTATTATACTGAATGGGGAAAAGTTGAAAACATTCCTCTCGAGAACTGGAACAAGACAATGATGCCCAGTTTCACCACTTTTGTTCAACATAGTACTGGAAGTCCTAGCCACAGCAATAAGACAATAGAAAGAAATAAAAGGCATCTAAATTGGAAAAGAAGAAGTCAAACTGTTGCTGTTTGCTGATGATATGATTGTATACCTAGAAAACCCTAAAGATTCATTGAAAACCTCCTAGATCTGATAAATGAATTCAGTAAAGTTTTAGGATACAGAATCAATATACACAAATTAGTAGCACTGCTATACATCAACAGTGATCAAGCTGAAAATCAAATCGAAAACTCAATCCCTTTTACAATAGCTGCAAAAAGAAAAACCAAAAGAAAACAAACAAAACAGAAAAATTAGGAATATACCTAATCAAGGAGGTGAAATATTGAAATATCTCTAGAAAGAAAACTATAAAACACTGCTGAAAGAAATCATAGATGACCCAAACAAATGGAAACACATCCTATTCTCATGGATGTGTAGAATCAATATTGTGAAAATGACCATACTGCCAAAAGCAATCCTTAGATTCAATGCAATTCCCATCAAAATACCATCATAATTCTTCACAGAACTAGAAAAAACAATTCTAAAATTCATATGGAACTAAAAAGCAGCCCGCATAGCCAAAGCAAGACTAAGCAAAAAGAACAAATCTGGAGACATCACATTACCCAACTTCAAACTATACTACAAGGTTATAGTTACCAAAACTTCATGGTACTGGTATAAAAATTGGCATGTAGATCAATGGATCAGAATAGAGGACCCAGAAATAAAGCCAAATACTTACAGCCAACTGATCTTTGACAAAGTATACCAAAACATAAAGTGGGGAAGGGACACCCTATTCAACAAATGGTGCTGGGATAATTGGCAAGCATCATGTGGAAGAATGAAACTGGATGCTCATCTCTCACATTATACAGAAATCAACTCAAGTTGGATTGAAGACTTAAATCTAAGACCTGGCACCATAAAAATTCTATAAGATAACGTCGGGAAAACTCTTCTAGATGGCTCAGGCAAAGAATTCATGGCTAAGACCCCAAAAGCAAATGCAACAAAAACAAAAATTGATGAATGAGATCTAATTAAACTAAAGAGTTTCTTTACAGCAAAAGAAACTATCTTCAGGGTGAACAGACAACCTACAGAATGGGAGGAAATTTCTACAGTCTACCTCTCTGACAAAGGTCTAATATCCAGAATTTACAAGGAACTTAAATTCACAAGAAGAAAATAACCCCATCAAAAAGTGGGCAAATGACATGAACAGACACTTCTCAAAAGAAGGCATTTATGTGGTCAACAAATCTATGAAAAAAAGCTCAACATCACTGATCATTATAGAAATTCAAACCATAACCACAATCAGATACCATCTCACGCCAGTCCAAATGGCAATTACTAAAATGTCAAGAAACAACAGATGCTGGTGAGGCTGTGGAGAAATAAGAACACTCTTATGCTGTTCATGGGAATGCAAATTAGTTCCACCATTGTGGAAGACATTGTGGTGATTCCTCGAAGATCTAGAACCAGAAATACCATTTGACCCAGCAACTGTATTACTGGGTATATACCCAAAGGAATATAAATCAGTCTACTATAAAGATACATGCACACATATGCTTATTGCAGCACTATTCACAATAGTAAAGACATGGAATCAACCCAAATGCACATCAACGATAGAGTGGATAAAGAAAATGTGGTACATCTTCACCATAGAATACTATGCAGTCATAAAAAGGAATGCAGGGACATGGATGAAGCTGGAAGCCATTATTCTTAGCAAACTAACACAGCAACCGAAAAACAAACACCACATGTTCTCATTCATAAGTGGGAGCTGAACAATGAGAACACATGGACACAGGGAGGGGAACAACACACACCGACGCCTGTTGGTGGGGTTGGGGGAGAGAGAGCATCAGGACAAATAGCTAATGTCTGTGGGGCTTAATACCTAGGTGATGGGTTGATAGGTGCAGCAAACCACCATGGCACATGTATACCTATGTAACAAACCTGCACATTCTGTGCTTATATCCTGGAACTTAAAATAAAATAAAATTTTAAAAAAGTGGGCAAAGGATACAAATAGACAATTCTCAAAAGAAGACACACAAATCACCAAGAATCATACGAAAAAATATTCAACATCACTAACTATCAGGGAAACGCAAATTAAAGCCACAATGAGATACCACCTTACTCCTCCAAAAATTGTGATAATTAAAAAATCAACATATAATAGATGTTGGTGTGGATGTGGTGAAAAGGGAACACTTTCACACTGCTGGTGGGAATGTAAACTAGTAGCCACTATGAAAAACAGAATGGAGATTCCTTAAAGAACTAAAAGTAGAACTACAATTCAATCCAGCAGTCTCACTACTGGGTGTCTACCCAAAGGAGAATAAGTCATTATATAAGAAAGACACGTGCACACGCATGTTTATAGCAGCACAATTTGCAATTGCAAAAGTATAGAACCAACCTAAATGCCCATCAACCAACAAGTGAAAAAAGAAAATGTGTGTATGTGTGTGTGTGTATATATACGTGTATATATATATATAATATACGTATACACACACACACACACACACACATATATATGTATGTATACACACACCATGGAATACTACTTAGCCATAAAAAGGAATGAAATAATGGCATTGCAGCAATTTGGATGGAGTTGGAGACCATTATTCCAAGTGAAATAATGCAGGAATGGAAAAGCAAATATTGTATGTTGTCACTTATAAGTGGGAGCTGAGCTATGAGGATGCAAAGGCATAAGAATGATATAATGGAATTTGGGACCTCGAGGGGAAGGGTTCAAGACAGGTGAGGGATAAAAGACTACACATTGGGTACAGTGTACACTGCCCTGGTGATGGGTGCACCAAATTCTCAGAAGTCACCACTGAAGAACTTATCCAAATAACCAAACACCACCTGTTCTCCCAAAACTACTGAAATAAAAAAATAAATAAATAAAAATTCTGGGTAAAATGGATAATTTCAAAGACTACAGTCAGACAAATCAAATAATATGAGCAAATATCTTCAATCAAGAACAGAAAGTCTCAATTTGTTGTTTCAAAGTACACTTGAGTTGTTTCATACATTAGTATTTACACAATAAATATCAAAATGGGGGTTTCAAATGATTTTATTAACATTAATCCATCTTCACAGTCAATAATTTTCCCCCATTTTTAAACATAGAAGGTAGTTAAAATCACAAAAGAAATAAAGCTTTCTTCCTTCCTTCTAAGTTTGATGGATTTTTCTGAGGGAAATCTCTGTGGATTATTTAAAACAATTCTTTGGGTGGAATTAAATGTCAATTACCAAATTGCCATGTTATATTTTTGTCATAGATGAATGTATTTCTGCACACAAATTTATAAACTATTAAAACAGCTGTTAGGCATGGTGGCTCACACCTGTAATCCCAGCATTTTGGGAGGCCAAGGTGGTAGGATTGCTTGAGCTTAGGAATTCAAGACCAACTTGGGCAACATAGTGAGACTCCACCTCTATAGCAACAACGACAACAACAACAACAACAAAATTAGCCTGGCATGGTGGCACATGCCTGTAGTTCCAGCTACTTGGGAGGCTGAGGTGGGAGAATCACTTGAGCCTGGAGGTCAAGGCTGAGTGAGGTCATACCACTTCACTCCAGCCTGGGTGACAGAGTGAGATCCTGTCTCAAGAAAAATTAAAATAAAGTAAAAAATAAAAAAGAGTAATAGCTTTTGATATAAGTTATGCTTATATAGCACAGTAGTTTTCTTTCATATGTCTGAACCAATAAAAAATGAATAAGCTGGACTTGCGTGGTGGCTTATGCCTATAATCCCCGCACTTTGGGAGGCCAAGGCGGGTGGATCACCTGAGGTTGGGAGTTTGAGACCAGACTTACCAACATGGTGAAACCCCATCTCTACTAAAAATACAAAAATTAGCCAGGTGTGGTGGTGCACACCTGCAATCCCAGCTACTCAGGAGGCTAAGGCAGGAGAATTGCTTGAACCCGGGAGGGGGAGGTTGCAATGAGCCGAGATCAAGCCACTGCACTCCAGCCTGGGCAACAAGAGCGAGAGACTCCGTCTCAAAACAAAAAAAAACAAAAAACAAAAACAACAACAACAAAAGAATGAGCTTTATTCAGTAGTGCATTTTTACATTTATCTTAATTGACTAAAAGTATAACCTGATTCCTTTGCATACTCATCAAAATATTGTGGCAATTACATAGGGAAGGAAATTGTCCCCTTTAAAATATTGGTAAAAACAAAATTCCCATTAACCAAGCTTTACTACGTATGTCAAATAATCATCCCTTTAAAAAACATATTTTCCTTTAAAATGCAACAAGATACAATTAATAACTATAATATTCTGCCTAAATGAACTAATAGCAACTATAATAAATATTTCAAGATAAAATTATAATGGAGACCTCTTTATGATATTATGTTTTTGTTATTATGATTGTGAATACAAATAATCTAGTTCATGCGACAGGTAAATAAAATACAATTTCTAACCTAAGTCAATGCTAAGTAATGCTTTCACTTGAGATCTTGGATTTTCCTTTTCTGTGAAGATTTAGACTTGAGGTTCAGATTTGAGGCTCAGACATTTCAATTAAGGGAGAAGCACAAATAATAAAGTGCTTTTGACTTAACACTGGTGTATCAGGGATTTTTTTTTTTGGCAGAATTGAACAGATAGCATCCCCAGGCCAAGCCTGCCCTGTGGCCATATCACACATCACTATTTGCAGTCCTGAGACATAACTGGGATGTAAAGATTTTAGGTAAGTGTTTAGTTACTTTGCCTACTCTATTTTTTTTTCTGTCTTCACATAAAGTCAGTTGTGAGTGAAAAGCTGTTTCTTGCAATTTCTTGAATTTAACTCGTTACGTGCTTTCATAAATGACAAAGCCTACTTTTCTTTTAGCTAAAATTGTTCTCTAAAAAAGTACTCTCTCCAGCTGTGAAACTGATTGATGTTTTTAAAACCCCCAAGGAACTTCTGCTGGCAGCTAAAGTTGTAGTTTCAAAGAAGAAAAAGATGTGATATGTGTTTTTAACCTAAAAAATAAAAACCTTGATTTCTATTTGCAGAAGCAGAATCATTATGCATGAGGTACTGAAAACAATCAATGTAATTAATCGACATTGAAAAATTGAATCTACTAATACCTAAATATTTTAAAATTTAAATTAAATTACTTAAAATATTGAAATATCTTCAGGCCAATCTAGCATTCTAGTAAGAAGTGATCTAGCTATGAATTTTTAAAGTGCTATATTTATTTTTATGAGGTTGTTTAGAGCCGGAAAAACCATTTAAAACCTATTTAATGGAAATTAAGTACATTATAATATTTATATAAATACATTGAGTTTCTGAATTCGTGGTAAGAGACAAGAGAAGGGAGACAAGGGAGAAGAAACAGAAGTAATATTTCTTACTCCTTATTATAAGGAGTTATTGTTTTCAACTGAGATGACTCAAGCCAGTTTGGCCATCTGTAATCAGAGCATTCTGCAACTGTCTGAGACAGGTGAGAGTGGTAAAAAGTTCCTCCACAAACTTTTTGCTAGGTTATATGTTATAATGAAAGCAATATTCAGGCAAATACTGCCACAATTAAATATTTATTAGCAGGCAAGCATAAAAATACTAAACCAATTATTTTCGACTTAGGGAAGTCTCACTCCTCCATCCTTAAGGAGTTGTGATAAAAGTACTTTGCATGAAACTTTTATTGCAGGCAGATGCTACAATATTCTAACATGATCAGATAAATGTCTAGTCAGATGGGAAACAAAATGCTCATGCCTAAATGAACTAACAATAACCACCAAAATAAATATTCCAAGATAAAATTATAATGGACATTTTTAAATGAAATTATCTCTGTGCTTATTATGTTTGTAAGTAAAACCAATCTAGTTTAAGTGAAAGGTAAATAAAACACAATTGTAAACTCAGTATAAGACAGAGCAGAAGAGAGTCATAGAAGACTAGCTCTCCTTTCTGAAGAATCTGTAAGTCCCATTCAGACAACAGTGCAGAAACGTGTGCAATGTTACTAGCGCTTCGGTTTGAGATTACAAAATTAAAGTCTTAACAATTGATCATTTATTTATTTTCCAAATTTTCTTTAATGAATATGTATTATTAATATAATCAAAAGTAAAATTGAAATGAAACACATACACAAAAAAATACAAAATTACTATATAGGGGATAAGAAGAACTAAAATGGTACCAATTTCCTGACTACAAACTTCCATATCTATCATGTCCTAAAATCATGTTGATTCTTCTTTCTTACCACCCATTTTCACAGAAAACCATTAGCTATCCAGAATCTTACTATGGTCCATTGCTTTTAAGAACATCGAATCTCCTGGGTTATTAACAAAGAACCAATATAAAATGTTGTTTATGGTAAGTAGCCTTTAACTATTAATCAAGGAAATTCGTCTGTGATTTTCTTTTTCTTTTTTTTTTTTTTTTTTGCAATTTGTTTTCCTGGTTTTGGTGTCAGGGTAATGCCTTCTCATTGAGTTGACACATGTTTCCTCTGTTTTTTGAAACATTTTGTATAAGAATATTATTTTTTCTTAAGAAATGTTGAATATAATTTACCATTGGATTCATCTGGATGTAGTCTTCTGGTGTCTTGTAAATTCAATTTTTAGAGGAGATATGGGGCTATTCAGATTTTCTATTTTGTTATTTAAAGTTTGTTTTTGACTTTATGGTACACTTATAGTAGATTTTCCTTTGGAGCTACTTTAGCTCTCTACAAATGCATGACCCTTCAGGGGCCCCTTCTGAAGGCTGCAGGTGTTCTGCACAGATTCTTTATTCTGGCTAATTGAAATACACATATCCATTTCTTTGTGAGCTCCGTAGAATATGCAGCCTACACTTTCTTTGTCATTCTTTGAATTGACTTGAAGATTTCTGGACCTCTTTTTCTGTGTGGTTCCCTTGTCTTGGTTACCGCGCCTTCCAAATTTCCAAGTACCTCTGCCTCCTAGAACTCTGGTATCTGTGCCGTCCACATAATAAGACCCTGCTTTGGTTCCCCTTCCCTGTGTCACAGATCAGAAATATCTCCAAGCAAAAAGCTGGGAAGATATAGGACATACCTAGTTTTCTATATATTCGTATGGTTTGGTACAATTTTCTAATAGTAGTTTACCCAAACCAGATTCTTTTGGTTCCTATTTGCCTGGCAGAATGCTTTCACTTTTTAAATGATTCAGTCTTTATAGGTCTTTATTCTTCATGTCTTTCTCTTGTAAACATCATATATCTTGATTTTGTTATTTTTGAAGTCCAATCCTAATATGTGTCTTCAATAGTGAGTTTAGAAAATTTACATTTCATCTATTTTTTAAATATTTTTATCTAATTCTATTAGTTCACTTTATTATGTAATTCTGTCTTTTTTCTGTTTTAAATCTTATTTTACGTATATTTTCATTTTTATCAATATCTCTCACTTCTAACAAGATGATACATTTACTATACTTTCTCAGCCCTCTTCTACACTCTCCTTTTGTTCTTACTAGTTTGATGTTTCCAAGATTTTAATTCTGTGGCAATACACACTTTGTTTTCTCTGATGCTCACTATATTTTAAAAGAAAACAACAAATTTTGCTGACATATTTAATCTGTTCTTCATATGTCTTTTGTAGCACTGCATAGATTTATTAAAATATAAAAATGTTATAATTTAAAATGTTACAAAAATGTATTTAAAACTGTTTCCATGCAAATCTCTTTTGGGGAAAACCTAAGGTTTTAAATTCATGAGACTATATTTCTAAAATATAGTCTCAAAAGACTAAATATTTGAATTATCTTGGCTAGATCTAAGCATCTATGTTAGATTTTTTTCAATGCCTTCGAAATATGATTCCCTCTTTATATTGCTTCCAGTGGTGTTGAAAAATGTGTTGATCTGATTATTTTCCTTGATCTGCTCCTTCCTTCTGAAGATTTTAGAAGTTTCTGTTGTCTCTGATATATTCTTTAATACCCAGGTGTGTTCCTCTACTAATCTCACCTGTTGAATAATTCTCTTGCACTAGAAATTGTTTAGCTGTGGTTTGAATATTTGTGTCCCCCCAAAATTTATATGATGAAGCCTAATCCTCAATATTATAGTATTAAAAGGTGGGGACTTTAGGGGATTTTAGGGTTGTGAGGGTGAAGCCCTCATGAATAGATTTTTTTCTCTTTTTAAAAGAAGCCTGATGGATCTTGTTTATCTCTTTTCTATAATGTGAAGTCATGGAAGGCGCCATGTGTGAGGAATCAGCTTTCACCAGTGGCTGAATCTGCTGGTGTCTTGATCCTAGACTCCTTGGTCCATAGAACTGTGAGAAATAAATGTTGTTTATCAGCCACACAGTATTTTTGTTCTAGCAACCAGAAAAGACTAAGATAAATTGTACTGATATTTTTTAATTCCTGAAAAGGATTATTCATTTTTTTAAAATATTTCCTCCTCTCAATTTCTATAACTGTTATTATTGGTGTTTTATTTCTTGTATATATTTTTATTCTACTTTCCAAATCTCTTAAATTTAATAAAATTTTTTATTTACATTTTAGTTCTTCCTTTTGGGTAGTTATTCAACTGGGTCTTACAATTACGAATTCATTTTTCAGTTATATCAATTCAACATTAACCACTGTACCCTTTCTATCAACCAACTTATTTTTCAACTCATTTTTTCAATGTGTTTTTATTGTAATTCACATTGAAAATATCTTGTTTCTCTTTTAATATATGTTAAATTTGTATTATTACATTTATTTAAACTTTTTGATTTGTTTGTTCTAATGCTTCAGTATCTGAAAGCCTGTTTTGCAATATGCATTTTTTCCTCTGGGAATGAATGTTCTCTTCAATATCTCATTATTTCATTCTTGTGGACATTTCCTCCTGGAAGTATTAGCTACTCTGTAAAACAACGTGTACGAGAGGTCAGACCTCAGTTTATAGAGCCCTGTGGGTTCAAAGAAGGAGAATGGACATGGATTATGATTTGAGAGCTCCAGAGGACAGAAAATCGCAAATAATCACTCTTCATTTGGAAAAATTCTCATTAGAGTTTCAAGTTTTATCTTTTGGTAAAAGCCAAATTAAGAAAAATGACACTTTATTTTCTGTCAGCTATTGGTGAAAGTTCATTAAAATCTTTAATATAATTGTAGATTTGTCTATGTCACCATTTACTATGTCAGTTTTTACTTGATATATTTTCAAATATGTAATTTTGTGCACATAGACTTAAGATTTTTATGTCTATCTGATGGATTGTCTCCTTTATTATTATCAAATGCACCCAACAACTCTGGTAATGCTTCTCATCTCTTTACCTTGAAATATTCTGTGTCATAGAATGTATGATTTATCTCTTCTAATTATCATATCATCAAAAATGAGTCTGGTTCTTATTTTATTGAAGTATCTGTTCAATTTAAATTTAATTATCTATATACTTGGGTCAATAGCTACCATCTTGCAATTTGCTTTACATGTGACAGATCTCTTTATGTTCATTATTCTATAACTTCTTGTCTGTCTTTGAATTAGTAAAATATTTTTAATTATTTTATTTTGCTATCCATAATACATTCTTTCTTTATTCTTACATATTTACATTCTTTCACTATTCTTTTTGTGGTGACCTTAGAGATTTCTAGACAGTGGATGTATGATTTAATGTATCTCATAAAATTATTGGTCTTTATCACTTTCTTGATAGTGCCAGATCCTGGAGCATTATAATTCTATGAATTCTATCATCATTTGCCTTACTATTGTCATGCATGTTAATTCTGTAGGATTTTAAATTCCACAACACGTTACAGTTATTATTTTGCATATACAATATACTTTTTCTATTTCAGGCTAGTCAACTGAAACTGTAGAATGCACAATATAATTTTATAAATACCTGCCTATTTACTCATTGGTCTTTATTGCTTCCTCCATTTCAAAGTAACTATTTGGCATCATTTTCATTCTGCCAGTAGAATTTCTTTTGTAGAAATTTTGTTCATGGTTTCACTCTCACTCTCTCTTTCTCCTCCCACTCCCACCACTTTTTCTTTAGATAGTCTAATTAGAGGTTTATATATATGTTTTATCTTTTCAAAAAGCCAGCTTTTGGTTTCATTAATTCTATTGATTTTATCTTTTCAATTTCATTGATTATTTGCTGTGATGTTTTTCTTTTTTAAGGCTTGATTTTGGCTTAAGGTATTTACTGTGGCTTTAATTGCTTGCTTTTCTCTAATTCCCTAAGGTGGAAACTTAGATTATTTGAGATATTTTTCTTTTCTAGTATATAGATTTAATATTATAAATTTCTCAATAAGCATTGATTTTGCTGCATCCCACAAATTTTGATTAGTGGTATTTTATTTTCATTTAGTTCAAAATGTTTTTAAATTTCTCGAGACCTCTTTTACTCATATATTATTTAGAAGAGTGTTATTTAATCTCATATTTATTTATTTATTTATTTCCCAGTTATTTTTCTGTGATTCATATCTAGTTTCATTCCATTGTTGTCTAAGAACATGCTTTGTGTAATGTCTATTTATTAATTTTCCAAGTTGTTTTGTGGCTCAGAATGGTGTATCTTGGTGAATATTTCATGTGAGCTTGAGAAGAATGTGTATTCTATTGTTGATGGATGGAATATTCTATAAATGTCAATTAGATCAAGTTGATTGATGGTGCTGTTCAATTCAGCTATATGCTTTATGATATTTTTTCACTGTTGGGATTACTGATAGAGCAGTGTTGAAGTCCTCAAGTATAATAGTGAATTTTTCTATTTCTCCTTGCAATTCTATCAATTTTTGCATTGTGTGTTTTGATGCTTTGTTGTTAGTTGCATATACATTAACAATTGTTATGTCCTTTTGGAGAATTGACTGTTTTGTTGTTAAGTAGTGCCCCTTATTATCCCTAATAATTTTCCTTGTGCTGAAGTCTGCTTTGTATATAGTTAATATAACTATTCCATTATTCTTTTATTTTTATTATTATTATTTTTTGAGACAGATTCTCACTCTGTAGCCCAGGCTGGAGTGCAATGGCATGATCTCAGATCACGGCAACCTCTGCCTTTTGGGTTCAAGTGATTCTCCTGCTTCAGCATCCCAAGCAGCTGGTATTACAGGCATCCACCACCATGACAAGCTAATTTTTTTTTTTGTATTTTAATAGAGACAGGGTTTTACCATGTTGGCCAGGCTGGTTTTGAACTCCTGACCTCAAGTGATCTGCCCGCCTTGGCCTCCCAAAGTGCTAGGATTACAGACATGAGCCACCATGCCTGACCTCTAGCATTCTTTTGATTAGTGTTACCATGGTATATCTTTCTCCATCACTTTACCTTTAACCTAGATGCCTCTTTATGCTGAGACCAGTTCAGTCATGGAGACCCTAACCCAGCGGCACTAGAGAAATTAAAGACACACACACAGAAATATGCAGTGCAAAGTGGGAATCAGGGGGCTGACAGCCTTCAGAGCTGAGAGCCATGAACAGAGTTTTACCCACATATTTATTGACAGCAAGCCAGTGATAAGCATTGTTTTTATAGATTATAGATTAACTAAAACGGGAAACAAAGGGATGGGCTCAGGCTAGTTATCTGCCGCAGGAACATGTCCTTAAGGCACAGCTCATGCTGTTGTTTGTGGTTCAGGAACACCTTAAGTGGTTTTTCCGCCCTAGGTGGGCCAGGTGTTCCTTGCCCTCATTCTGGTAAACCAGCAACCTTCAGCCTGGGCATCATAGCCATCACAAGCCTGTCACAGTGCTGTAGAGATTTTGTTTATGGCCAGTTTTGGGGCCTGTCTATGGCCAGATTTGGGGGCCTGTTCCCAACATCTTTATATTAAGGCAGATTTTTGTAGACAACATATAGTTGGCCCTTGTCTTTCCTTCACTATTATGACAGTCTCTGTCTTTTAATTAGAATATTTAGGACACTCACATTTAAAGTTATCATTGGTATAGTTGGATTAATATATACCATGTTTGCAAGTATTTTATGTTAATTGCAGTTGTTCTTTGCTTATCTTCTCATTTTCTTCATTCTCTGGTTTTAATTGAATATTTTATATGATTCTATTTATTATCTTTCTTAGCATATCAATGAGCTGTGTTTAATGTTCGCTGTAGCTATGGGTGCCAGAGGGTTCAATTTCTCTAGTATCCTTATTTTTCTCCTTTCCTATTATCTTTGAATTTCCCTAAGAATCCCTTTTAAAACAGATTCTGTGTCTTGCAGCTCTTTTAGTTGCAATTCAATGTTCTTATACTTTTGCCTTATTGATGTTGTGGTAAGGTGAGGGGGAGAGGAAGCCTTTGATAATCTTTTGATTAAAATCAGTGTTTTAGTGGGCCTGCATCCCTGAGCTGTGACCTTTTAAATGCTTCTCAACGGCCTGGTGTGGTGGCTCACACCAGTAATCCCAGCACTTTGGGAGGCCGAGGAGGGCGGATCACAAGGTCAAGAGATGGAGACCATCCTGGCCAACATGGTGAAACCCCGTTTCTACTAATAATACAAAAATTAGCTGGGTGTGGTGGTGTGTACCTGTAGTTCCAGCTACTCAGGAGGCTGAGGCAGGAGAATCCCTTGAATCTGGGAAGGATAGGTTGCAGTGAGCTGAGATCACACCACTGCACTTCAGCCTGGTGACAGAGCAAGACTCAGGCTCAAAAAAAGAAAAAAAAGAAAAAAGAAAAAAAAACTTCTCAGCTTTGTTTATTCCTTCTCTGGGTGAGACAGGAAGGATAGATGGTGCTAGAGTTGGCTAATTGTCTTTTCCACAGGTCAGATAAGCTCTGATAAAGTCTTTTCCCTTGGAGAGTAGGTCTTTTCTTTATCAAGAATGCTCTGGATACTCACCATTGCCCCTGCCAGAATCAGGAGGGCATTTTTATTAGATCTTTTCTTTGAGAACCTGGCAGAGTTCCTAGAGTTAAAATCCATGAAATGATGGGGCCCCCAGGCATTTTCACTCTCAAGCTTGTCTACCTATCCTCAGCTTCCAGCAGTTGATGAAAATGGCCATTACATGTTTCTAGCAGATTATGGCTCCAACAGCTCTAGGTAAGCAGATCTCAGGTGCGCCTCTGTATTCACATCTCTTTCCTAATTTTAAGGTGGTGGTTTGCCCTGTGATTTCAATTATCTGATAAAGAAAGTCATTGATTTTTAGTATGTTCAGATTTTGTGTTGTTCTAAGCATTGATAACTTACAAGGTTTTTATATAGCACAGCTCTAGAATTTTAATTGCTTTATATTTTTAGTGCAAGTTTGTAGGCAACACATTCTGGCAGTTTCTGTCTGAAAAACCTGTTTATTTTACCTCCATCAAGGTACAGTGAAAAATGCTTGTACTGGTTAAAGAATTCTAGGTTAGCAGCTTTTCCTTTCATTTCTTTGATTGTGTCATTCCATTGTGTTCCATCTTTAGTCTCATTATTCCTCCATTGCAGGTAATGTAGTCTTTTCTCCTCTCTTGTTGCTTTTAGGATTTTTTTCTTTCTTATTGCTATTCATCAGTTTTACCACAACAAGCCTAGGGTAACCTTTGTTTATCCTTCTAGGGATTCCTAGATATTTTTAAAGATGTTCGGACATGTCAAATATTGCCTATGGTCCATTCTCTCTCTCTCTCTCTCATTCTCTCTCTCTCTTTTTCACTGACTCTTATTACACATTTTACAGGTCTTTTTTTGTACATTATTTTGGGTTTCCAGTAATCTGTACCTTAGTTTACTCATGCTGTCTCCTGCCATTTCTAATTTGCTGGTAATTTCCTGCCATTTCTAATTTGCTTAGTAACTTTCTAGTTTTAGACATTGTATTTTAAGTTCTAGAATCTCAGTTGTGTATTTTTTCTTGTATATTTTAATTCTCTGATGAAACTCAATATTGTCAATAAATTGTTCTCTATTTTTCTGAACATATCAATTATAATAATTTTAAAGTCTTTGTGTGCTAATTCAAATATGTGTATTATATTTGATTATTTTATTAAAATCTACTTATTTCCTGTTGGCTTTGGTCATGTCATCTCTTGGCATACCTAATAATATTTTATTGAATATTTCTGATGATATTATTATGCTTTGAGATTATTTCCCCCTTTTCATGCTAAGTAAATATCCTTTTGCATATGGATATCCAGTTTTCCCAGCACCATTTATCAAATAGATTGTCCTTTCCCCAATGTATATTCTTGGAACCTTTGCCAAAAATGAGTTCATTGTAGATATATGGATTTATTCCTGGGTTCTCTGTTCTGTTCCACTGATCTGTGTGTCTGTTTTTATGCCAGTATCATACCGTTTTGGTTACTATAGCTCTGTAGTATTAATTTAAAGTCAAGTAATGTGATTCCTCCTTTTTTTTGTTTTGCTTACATTAGATTGGGTTTTTCTGGGTCTTGTGTGGTTCCATATCGTTTTAGGATTTTTTTCTATTTCTGTGAAGAAATCTGCTGTAATCATTGGGTTTGGTTTGCTTTTGCTGTTCTAGTTCTTTAAGATGCATTGTTAGGTGGTTTATTCGAAGTTTTTCTTATTTTTTGATGTAAGCATTTATAGCAATAAATTTATAGCTATAGTACTATAGCTCTTAGTACTGATTTTGCTGTTTCCCTTATGTTTTGGTATGTTGTGTTTCCCTTATGATTTGTTTCAAAATATTTCTAAATTTTTCCATAATTTCTTTATTCTAATTTTTTTTTTTTTGAGACAGAGTCTTGCTCTGTTGCCCAGGCTGGAATGCAGTGGTGTGACCTCAGCTCACTGCAACCTCCACCTCCCAGGTTCAAGTGATTCTCTTGCCTCCGCCTCCTGAGTAGCTGGGACTACAGGCACGTGTCACCATGCCTGGCTCATTTTTGTATTTTTTTTAGTAGAGACAGGGTTTCACCATGATGGCCTGGCTGGTCTCTATTCTAATTTATTTATTGATTCACTGATCATTCAGGACCATATTGTTTAATTTCCATGTATTTATATAGTTTCCAAAATTCCTCTTGTTATTGATTTACAGTTTTATTCCATTGTGGTCAGAGAAAATGCTTGATACTATTTCAGATTTTTTTTAATGTTTTAAGACTTTTTTTATGAAATAACATATGGTCTATCCTTGAGAATGATCCATGTGCTGAGGAAAAGAATGTGTATTCTGCAGCCACTGGATGAAATGTTCTGTAAATATCTATCAGGTCCATTTGTTCTATAGTGCAGATAAATTTTGATGTTTCTTTGTTGATTTTCTGTCTGGAAGATCTGTTCAATGGTGAAAGTGGGATGTTGAAGTCTCCAGCTGTTATTGTATTAATGCCTATCTCTCTTTAGTACTAATAATTTGCTTTATATATCTGGGTGCTCCAGTGTTGAGTGCATTCATATTTACAAATCTTATATGATCTGGTTGAATTGCCCTCTTTATCATTATATAGTGACCTTCTTTGTCTCTTATAGTTTTGTCTTGAAATCTATTTTGTCTGATATTCATGTAACCATTCCTGCACTTTTTGGTTTTAGTTGGCATGGAATATCTTTTTCCATCCTTTTATTTTCAGTATATATGTGTCTTTATAGGTGAAGTGTATTTCTTGTAGGCAACAGATCATTGGATCTTGGTTTTTCATACATTCAGCCATTCTGTGACTTTTGACTGGAGAGTTTAGACCATTTACATTCAATGTTATTCTTGATAAGTAAGGACTCATGAATACCATTTTTTTGTTTGTTTGTCTTTTGGCCTTCTCTTCCTTCTTTACTCCATTCTTGTCTTCTTTTTAGTAAAGGTAATTTTCTCTGGTCATATGATTTAATTTCTTGCATTTTATTTTTTGTGTATCCATTATGTATTTTTGATTTGAGGTTATCATGAGGCTTGCAAATACTATCTTACACCCCATTATTTTAAGCTGATAACAATTTAGCACTGTTTGCATAAACAATCAAGAAAAAAGAAAACTAATAAAAATTCTATTCCTTAACTTCATCTCCCTGCTTTTTAACTTCTTGCTGTTTCCATTTATGTCTTATTGTACTGTCTATGTCTTGAAAAGTTGTAGTTATTATTTTGGATTTGTTCATCTTTTAGTTTTTCTACTTAAGATAAGAATGGTTTACACACCACAGTTACAGTGTTATAATATCTGTGTTTTTCTGTGCACTTACTATTACCAGTGAGTTTTGTACCTTCAGGTTATTTTTTGTTGCTCATTAATTTTCTTTCTGACTGAAGTTCTCATTTTATAATTTTAGGAGGTCTGGTGTTAATGAAATCCCTCAGCTTTTTTTTGTCTAGGAAGGTCTTTATTTCTCCTACATATTTGAAGAATATGTTCCCTAATATACTATTCTAGGCTAAACTTTTTTTCCTTCAGCATTTCAAATATGTCATGCCAGGCCAGGCACGGTGCCTCACACCTGTAATCCGAGCTCTCTGGGAGGCAAAGGCAGGCGAATTACCTGAGGTCAGGAGTTTGAGACCAGCCTGACTGCTATCGTGAAACCCTGTCTCTACTAAAAATACAAAAATTAGCCGGGAGTGGTGGTGGGCGCCTGTAATTCCAGCTACTCAGGAGACTAGGAGAATCGCTTGAACCTGAGAGGCAGAGGTTGCGGTGAGCTGAGATTGTGCCACTGCACTCCAGCCTGGGTGACAGAGCGAGACTCCATCTCAAAAAAAAAAAAAGAAAAAAAGAAAAAAAAATATATATGTATGTCATGCCACTATCTCCTGGCCTATAAGGTTTCCACTGAAATGTCTGCTGCCAGACATATTGGAGCTCCACTGTATGTTATTTGTTTCTCTCCTCTTGATGCTTTTAGGATCCTTTCTTTATCCTTGACCCTTAGTAGTTTGGTTATTAAATGCCTTGAGGTAGCCTTCTTTGGGTTAAATCTGCTTGGTGTTCTGTAACCTCCCTGCACTTGGATATTGATATATTTCTCGAGGTTTGAGAAATTCTCTGTTATTATTCCTTCAAATGAACTTTCTAATCTTGTCTTTATCTCTACCTCCTCTCTAAGGCCAATAACTCCTAGATTTGCCTTTTTGAGACTATTTTCTAGATCCTGTGGGCATGCTTCATTATTTTTATTCTTTTTTCTGTTGTCTCCTCTGACTGTGTATTTTCAAATAGCCTATATTCAAGCTCACTATTTCTTTCTTCTGCTTGATCAATTTTGTTATTAAAATACTCTGATACATTCTTCAGTAAGCCAATTGCATTTTTCAACTCCGAACTTTGTGCTTAATTCTTTTTAATTATTTCAGTCTCTTTGTTAAATCTATCTGGTAGAACTCTGAATTCCCTCTCTGTGTTATCCTGAATTTTTTTGAGCTTCCTCAAAACAGCTACTTTGAATGCTCTGGCTGAAATGTCCCATGTCTTTGTAACTCTGGGATTGGTCTCTGGTGCCTTATTTAGTTTGTTTGGTGAGGTCATGTTTTCCTGGATGGTCTTGATGCTTGTGGATGTTTGTCTGTGTCTGTGCATTAAAGGGTTAGGCATTATAATCCTCTTAGTATGAGGTTGTTTGTACTCATCTTTCTTGGGAAGGCTTTCCAGGTATTGGAAAGAATGTGGGTGTTGTGATCTAAGCTGTATCGGCCTTAGGGGAAACCCTAAGCCCACTAATGCTGTAGTTCTTGCAGACTTGTAGAGGTACCACCTTGGTGGTCATAGGTAAGAATTCTCTGCATTACCAGGCAGAGACTCTTATGCTTGTCCCTTAGTATTTTCCAAACAAATGGAGTCTGTCTGTCTCTGCTCTGAGCCACCTAGGGCTAGAGGTGGAGCGACACACAAATACCCTTGTGGCTACCATCACTGGGAGTGTATTAGTTCAGACCTGAAGGCTGCACATCACTGGGTCTCACCCATGGCCCACTGTAACCACTACCCGGATATAGCCTATGTTTGTTCAAGGCCCTGGGGCTCTACAATCAGCAGGCAGTGAAGCCAGCCTGGCTTGTGTCCTTCCTTTCAGGGTGGTGAGTTTCCCTAGGTTCTGGGCAGGTTGTGAGGTGCTGTCCAGGAGCCAGAAACTGGAGTTAAGAACCTCAGAAGTCTACCTGGTATTCTACTGTATTGTGGCTGAGCTGGCACTCAAATCACAAGATGCAGTCATTCCCACTCCTCCTTTCCCTTTCCACAGTCAGAGAAGCCTCACTCCATAGCCACTACCACCACAGGCCCAGACTACTGGTGATGTTCACTCAAGGTATAAGGGCTCTTCATTCAGCTTGTGGGAAATGCTGTCTGGCCAGGGACTCAACCTTTAAAACTGAGCTCCCCTTTGGCCCAGGGCACATCCAGAAATTCCACCCGAGAGCCAAGGCATGGAACTGGGGACCCAAAGACCCTACTTGGTGCTCTATCCCTCTGTGGCTGAGCAGGGACCTAAGGTGAAAGAGAAACTTCCCTCTACTTTTTCCTCCACTTTTCTCAGGCAGAAGGAGTTTCTTGCCATATCATCCACAACTGAGAATGTGTTGAGACTCACCTAAAGCCAGCAAGTCTCAGAGTCTCACCCAAGGCCCATGGCATACTACCTGAGTTTTGCTGCTGATTGTTCAGGGGACAAACGCTCTTTAGTCAGCAGGTGGGGGTCCTGCCAGGACTGGGTCCTTCTCTTTAAGGTATGGATTCCTTTCCAGTTCAGGGAGTGTCTAGAAATGTTATCCAGGAGCTAGAGCCTGGAATAGGGGCCTCACAACTGTGCCCAATGACTTATCCTACTGTGACTGAGCTGGCATCCAAGATGCAAGATACAGTACTCTTACTCTTTCTTCTCCTGTCCTCAAATGAAGGAAAGGTGTTTCTTGTAGCCATGAATGTGCAGGTTGAGATGAGGGGAGGGGTGAGACAGCCTTCCTTTAGCCACCACAGCTGGCATCTCAATAGGTTGCATGCCTCTCAAGTCCACTGTCTCTTAGCCCAGTTCAGCATAAGGAACTTCCCTAGCAGTTGCAGTCCTTGTGCGTAGAATGCCTATTAAATTTATTTAGGACTTCTGTACATGTTAGTCTGTGGTGGCGAGCCTTGCTGAAACTCAAGTTCTGGCCATTGGGATGGGCAATTTTCCTCTGACTAGGGCTAGTCCGAATGTTCCCTCTGTGGGCAAGCATCAGCTGACTTCAGCCCAGTTTTGCTTTCTGTTGTGACAGGGCAGCACTGAGTTCAATGTAATGTCTCACAATTGCTGCACTCTCCCTCTCCCAAGTTCACAGTTTCTCTCTGTGCCATGGGGCCACTGCCTGGGGATGGGGTAGGGATGGCATTGGCAATTCAGAAATGTGTTTCCTACCTGCTTCAGTGCCTCTTTCAGCAATATATAGTTAAAACCAGGTACTGTGAGGGCTCACCTGATTTTTGGTTGCTATGAAGATGCTTTTTTATGTAGGTAGTTGTTAAATTTGGTGACCCTGAAAGGGAGATGATCAGTGGAGGCTCCTATTTGGCCATGATGCTCCACCCCTCCTCCCTATCTAGTTTTTCTATTGTTACTCTTGGAGGAGGGAGACAACCATCATACCTTTCTAACATCTTACTAGAAAACCAATCTAGAATTCTTCTTAATTATGTTAATTTATTTTCTAATAATTTCATTACTTTGTAGATTTACTCATATTACTTTCTACGGCTAACTAAATCTTATTACCTAAACACAAAATCACTATTTTAAAATAATATAAAGTAATGAAAATAACTGAATCCTAACTCACACTGGATAACATGACAATTTCTTAGTTTTTATCTATGTTTTACCTTTTGATTCATGTGCTTGAAGTGCTATCTATCTATTCAATAATTTGCAACAGAATGACCAGAATGACTGTGTGTATATGAGAGCAGAGGGATGGAATTATTAAATCCAGATTTCCGGACCCTTTTCACAAGTAAGGAATTCAAATTTGGGTTGAGGAGTAAGGCCCAATAATTTACATTTTTAACAAGCCTCTTCTCCCACGAAGATTTTGATTCATGTTTCATTTTGAGAACCACTCCTCTAAAAGCTCTGATACAAACATATTTATTTTCTAAAATGTTCATTCAATGCAAATGCAAAAAATGTTATTAATATCATTGTCATGATTAATTTAAAATTATTAATGAGGCTGGGTGCAGTGGCTCATGTCTGTAATCCCAGCACTTTGGGAGGGTGAGGTGGGTGGATAACTTGAGACCGGGAGTTTGAGGCCAGCCTGGACAACATGGTTAAACCTTGTCTCTATTAAAAATACAAATATTAGCCAGGCATGGTGGTGCAGGCCTGTAATCTCAGCTACTCAGGAGGCTTAGGCACGAGAATAGCTTGAACTCAGGAGGCGAAGTCTGCAGTGAGCTGAGATTGTGCCACTGCACTCCAGCCAAGGTGACACAGCAAGACTTCGTCTCAAAAAAAAAAAAATTAATGAATTAGACTTTAGTTTTCTTGGTTTGATTATTTGTTAATTACACTAGTTTAATCAATTGTTCATGTCAACAAACATATGATTTCTGTTTTCACTGCTTTTCATATTCCTATCCGGAAGGCAAATCTTTTATCAATGCAAGGTATGGCCCACCTGTCACCATTGCATATTGCATTGGCTTGCTAATGTCATACTTTTGAAATGATGCTATATTCAATTCTGTTTTCAGCCTTTCATTTGGTAGTTTTTTAAGGCTAAACATTTCCAAAGGACTTATACCTAGTAAGTTTTGCTTACGGTGTGCACAAGCATTATCTCCACTTGTGAAAAAGGACAATCTCAGTAATACAGATAAACACACATTTGTTATGGGAGAGGGGGTAGAGAGTATAGAATTATATATGTACTTTAACATTTTCTCTGGGGAATCCACTTCTTTGAAGTTAGACAGCTTTTTGTTTTCATCCCTTAGAACAAAAAGTCTAATTACCTTAACTTTTCCCAGACAACTGAATTGAACAGTTCATTCCTTCTAGAGTCCCTAAACTCATTCTTTAGGAAGGGGAAGGGCTTTCTTTAGTGATTCTATTATGGTTTTGGTATCTCTTTTGATGGAAAAAAGTTTAAAAAGCCTAAACATTTCATCTCTCATGTAGCCTGCTAATACAAATTTATTTATTTGTGTACTTAAAAGTCTTTGTGTAATATCTGTTTTGTTCACCTTTGTACAACAACAATCCCTGGACCATAGGGAGGTATTCAGTTCAGATATCTTGTATCTCTGAGTTTGGGGTTAGAATTTTCGGAACTTTTCACTATCATTCTCATATACAATCTACAGGCAAGATATATTTTCCTTGAAATATATTCCTGCTCAGTTTTAAATATGTAGCAAGTATTATCTTAACCCAGAAACTTGTGTGCAAAACAAACTAGTGACTAATTTTCTTTCCTTCTTTTCAATCACCATAGTTTTGGCCCCAAGTCTCTTTCCCTCTAGGTTCATGGGAAATTTCCCTTGTATCTCACTGTCATTTTTACTGGGTCAGAAACCAGAGTATGAATTCAGCAAAGCATTGGGAACTGAAATCCAGAGTTGGAAAAGAGAAATTTTGAAAGCATAAGTGATTGCTGACATATGAATAAAATGTATCTCCCCAAAAGTTCAGTGAAGCATGACCTCACATATCTGAGAAAGACATCTGGCTTCAAGATGGCAAGCTAAGTATATGAGAGAGACTGAGAACAGATTAAATCTAAATGCTGTTAAAAATCGTATCCTGCATGAGTATTAAAAGTTTAAAGGAAATTATTATTCTTGAAAGAAACTTTAAAACTTCTATATTTATAGGTAAGTAACTGGAACAAAGACAAATAATAGATAGAATTTTTTTAAAAAAAGAGAAAGAGTATCATATATATAGAACACCGTATTAGATGGCAGGACTAAGTTCAAATAAATAAACAATAATAATGAATTAATTTTTGTTAAATTATCTTAGCTCTTTATAGTTAAAAATCAAGCTGCATTTTAGTTACTAGATCCATGCCTAGAACAAAGTGACACCAGATTGTGAAAAATAAAGAAACAGAAAAAAAAAGATTCTAGCAAATGCTAACGAAAAGAAAATAACTAAATTCTATTAACAATGATATTATGATCAGAATTCAAGGCACAACATTAAAAAAGATTGTCTTTAAAAGTGTCACATTTACAAAAGGGATTACATTCAAAAGGCAGGTGTGTAAGTTGGGTGTCAGAAACATAACGGGAGAAACTCATGCAACTAAAGCTAAGGAATAGTATCAGCTCAACTTGACTGAAAGAAGGATTTGAATACTCAGTCCAATTTAAATAATTAAAGGACTTGTAATCTCCAAGAGGGAAAAAAAATACAAAGTCTGGCACATCAATACCCATTATTCTTGTGTACATGATGTATGAAATAAAACAAAAATTTATGAGACATGCAAAGATGCATATTTTCCTTTAGTTCTTCAGATGTGGTTTCCTTTTGTTCTTTGAGCATATTTAGGACAGTTCATTTAAAGTCTTTGTCTAGTAAATCCAATGTCAGGATATGCTCAGGGGAAGTTTCTGTCAATTGCTTTTTTCCCCCTGAATATGAGCTATACTTTCTTGTTTCTGTATGTAACTCATATTTTTTAAAAAATTGGACATTTAAAATAGGCTTGTTATTGCTGTTCACTACTAGTGTTTGTGTTATTGCTATTTCTTGTTAAATACTTTTAAATCTGTATTCTTTTAAATCTGTGGCTACAGATGTCTGCTCAGTTAGGTTAATGGTTAGCTAATGTATGACAGAAATTTCTTTAAATGACTGAACAACAAGTCTAACAGATTTTGCCAAAAGTCTCTGTGTGATTTGTGGGCATTGCTTCATTGTCCAGGCAGACAGTTTAAAAGTCCACCTTCACCTTTACTTCTTATTTGTGCAGACCTTCAATTTCACACAGAAGTGAGAGGTTAGGGTCATCTTCCATCTTTTATGGCTATGCTTACAGCCCTACATGTGCACATGTCCTTCCAGATTCCTAGGAATATATCAGAGTTTTTCAGCCACCTATGTATATCTCATTCCCAAGCTTTTCCTTTGAACGTTTTGGATCTGCTTGTTTGTCCTAATAGTTATTGCCACATGAGATATTAAATAATTGTGGCTGATTGTTTTTGACAAACGGCTTCAGAGAAAAAGCTATTTACACTGGGTCAGCTCAATGTCAGATCAAATAAAGACAAGCTTTGCTAGTGGGATTGGTCAGAAAGCTCCAGAAAGGTCAAATAATGATAGTTTTCTTGAAATTAGAATTTTGAGAAGATCCAACTCTATTCTTTGCCCTTTACAGTCTCCTAGGCTGTTGGTTTTCACTGTGATTTGGAAGTGATTGCTTTTCAAGGCTACCAACAGGCTAGTACAAAGGTCATGGAACTACGAAAGTTAAAATAGTACAAACCTCTCGATTCTTACCAGGATTCAGCCAGTATTCTTGAATAGACACTACCAGGTTGTTGAATACCTTTGGTTAATTTCCAGTGCTCTGAAAACATTGATTTTGACAAATTTTTGCCAGTATTATAAGTGCTTTTATGGATGAGAGGTTTGTTGGAGGTCTTTACTGAGCCATTCTTGCTGACATCCAGCAGGGTTCTTAGATTTGACACCAAAAAGCATGAGCCATAAAATAAAATTTAAAAATAGATAAATTAGGCCTCATGAAAATTAAATCTTTTCTCGCTGGAAGACTCTATTAAGAGAATGACAAGACAGGTCAAGCAGTGGGGGGCGGGGGGATATTTGCACATCACATGTCTGTTGAAGAACCTGTATCTAGAATACATGCAGAACTCTCAAACTTCAACATTAAAAAACAAACAATACCAGTAGATGGTGGACAAAAAACTTGAACTGATATTTTACCAAAGAGGATACGTAGATGAAAAATAATTACACGCAAATATGTTCAACATTGTTAGCTATTAGATAAATGAAAATTAAAACCACAGTGGGACATCACCACACAACTATCAGAATGCTCAAATAAAAAATAGTGATAATAACAAAGGTCAGTGAAAACATGGAAAACTAGAGCTCTTATAGGTCACTGGTGTGAATATAAAATGTTACGGGCACTCTGGAAAATAGTCTGGTGGTTTCCTTTAAGAATAAACATGGACTTTACATATGACCTAGCAATTGTATTATTGTGCAAATAGGGCAAAGAAATGAAAACTTATTTTTGTACAGAAACTTGTACATAAATGTTTCTAGCAGCTTTATAATAGTAGCTAAAACCTAGAAAATATCCAAACATCCTTCAGTAGGTGTTATGGTTTGGATTTGCGTCCCTGCCCAAATCTCATGTTGAATTGTAACCCCCAAAGCTGGAGGAGGGGCCTGGTGGGAGGTGATTGGAACGTGGGGACGAATTTTCCCCTTACTGTTCTCATGATAGTGAGTTCTCATGAGATTTGGTTGTTTAAAAGTGTGTAGCACCTTCCAGTTTGCTCTGTTTGTCTTGCTCTGGCCATGTGAGACGTGTCTGCTTCACCTGCTGCCATGATTGAAAGTTTCCTGAGGTCTCTCCAACCATGCTTCCTGTACAGCCTGCAGAACCATGTGACAATTAAACCTCTTTTTTTTTTTAAATAAGTTACCCAGTTTCGGGTATTTCTTTATAGCTGTGCAAGAATGAACTAATACAATGGGTTGTGGTTAATGAAACACTACTTCCATGCTATGGAATGCTATTCAGGAATAAAAAGGAGGAAACTATTAAAACATGCACTAACTCACTTTAACCTAAAAGAAATTATACTGAGTGAAAAAGCCAATCTGAAAAGAATATATACTGCACGATTCCATCATATAACATTTATGAAATAACATAATTACAGAGTGGAAAGACAAATTAATGATTGCTGGTGATTAGGATATGGAAGCAGGAGTTAATATGGCTATTAAGCAGTAGAATGGAGGAGTCTTGTGGTGATGGCACAAGGATCTTGACTGTGGTGGTGGTTACCTAAAGCTATGGATGTTACAGAATTGCATAGAGTTATGCCCCGTCTCTGCCACACACAACTAAGTGCACATATAACTGTTGAAATCTGAATAAATACTATTCATTGTACCAATGGTGATGAAAAATTACAAATAAAGTTTCAGCCATTCAAAGCAAGCAATGTGTTAACAGAACAATGTATTATGACTGTGTTGAAGGCCATTTGATACCTACTAAATACTCATTTCTCTTCTTCTCAAGTAACCAAAACTCTGATTTTAATTCAGTCACTAGTCTGGCCAACTTAAAATATATATATATTCTTCTCAATTTTTTGGAGGTTGAGTGGCTAATGAAATGCAAAAAGAAATTGTGGATTGTAACTTCTGGGAAGACTATTGTTTCCCTACTATTCACTTTTTCATTTTTCTGGCCTCTGATGAAGATGTGAGGGCCAGATCTCTGGTGGTAATCTTGGAATTACAAGGAAAAACCAAGAGAAAACAGAGGTCTTCTTTTTTATATACTTGAATTGCTGAACCAATATCAGCAATTGCTTTACTCTAGACTTCTGGTTATTTCAGAAGTATAAGCTTTTGTGTGTTTAATCAACTATAGCCCTGTTTCTCTTATTAGTAGCTCAATGCAATTCCTAACCAAAACACTGAACAAAAAATTTATTCATGTATTGCAACAATGGATTATGAGAAATTATATCAAGACAATTATCTTTGTTAATACACTAAAGAAGAAAAGTTATATAATTATTTCAATGGCTGCTGACACATAATTTTATAAAATCTAATATCCTTTTGTGATAATAACTCTTAAATAATGAGAAATAGAAAAATACTTTCTTAATGCATTAAAAATCACCTGATAAAAACCTAGGCAAACATATTTAATAATGAAATATTAGAAACATGTCCTGTAATGTCAGAAATAAGTACAGAATATCTACTAACTTTACTATTATTGAACAATAAGTTAGCAATTTAAGTTAAATTAGGAAAAGAAAAATTTACTTAAAGATTGAGAAGAGATGATCTGATAGTCTTCCTAGAACATTTCAGAGAATAAGTTCATAAACAATGGAACTAGTCAAAGAACTTAGCAATTTGCCTGGATAAAATTCCCCATGCAGAAATCAAAATTTTAAAATCATTCATCAGTAAAAAAGAAAAACTAAGAACCTGTTTACAGTAGCCTGGTTAAGAACAACAACAACAACAAACTAAAAAATTCAAGATGTGTATAAAGAAGGACATAACAATTCAATGCAATGCTATAAATAGACCTAAATACACAGAACTATGCTACATTTATAAATGAAAATATTCAATATTATATAAACATTCATAGAGTCAGAATGAGCAAAGTTTTGGGGAGCAATGGAATTGCTTTGATTGTGGTGGTATCATTTACTTACACTTGTATTTAGATACAAGCGTATTTACTTACACTTGTATCTAAATACACAGAACTACCTGCTACATTTATAAATGAAAATATTCAATATTATAAAAACATTCATAGAGTCAGAGTGAGCGAAGTTTTGGGGAGCAATGGAATTGCTTTGATTGTGGTGGTATCATTTACTTACACTTGTATTACAAGTGTATGTGTTTGTCCAAATGCAGAAGGATACACAAAAAGAGATTAATTTCCCTGTAAGTAAATGATACCCCAACATAATTTTTTAAAACTTAAGTGGGAAACATGCATCAATATGCGCCGATAAAAATTGTTGCAATTGATTCAACTATAAAAAAAACTGTCTTTCTCAAATTAGTCTAATCAGGAGAATATTTGTAAAACAAAAAAAAAGTGATTTTTTTAACACTCAGCAGAAGTAAAAACAAACAAACAAACCTGACAATAAAGAGTGTCAGTAAGTATGTGGAGAGCAAGACTTTTTCTAAGTTATCTTTAGGCTATGAATACTGTATATGGATTTGCTCACTTTAGGCAGCAATTTGGAAATACAATTAAAAATAAATGTCTTGAGCCTATGACCGTGCAATTCTACTTCCAGATATGCATACTTTTGGGCAAAATAAAGTTCACTACAGCATTATTTGGATAATCAAAACATCAAAAACAAACAATGTCTTTCACAAAGGTTTAAATCAAACATGGAATGTATATTTTATGAAATATTGTCTGTGAATTAAAATACACAATCCATAGGCATTAACACAGATACTTAAAAATCACATATTGTTTACTACATAGAATGTGGTACCACCAAAATAAAAACACACTCAAGAAAAAATTTATAACAGCACACATACATATTAAATAAAGGTAAAAAAATGGAAATATGAAGAAAGGACATAATAGTAATTACCTTGGGGGAATGAAAGAGAATACTGGGATTGAGGATGGAGACCAAAGGTAATTTTAGATTTGGTTGTAACTTACTTGAAAAATGTAATAGAAAATTAGCATTATGTATAGGTTGTGCAGATAAAAATGAATTAAAAGGGTCTGGTAAGTATTTCTGTAGGTGAGTTTTGATAGTGGTACTCTATTAAAGGGCAAAAACCAATTTTGAATCATACTGGATTAATACTGAATTAATATATATAACTTCTCAGAGATTCTATATAGGATACATTGGGGGACACCTAATAAAGAAGAAGAAGTTCATTATTTCCTTCTTAGGAGATATGAGGAGGTAAATTTGAGTTTTGAATTTGAAGGGAAAATTGGAATTTGCAAGTGAAGTGGGCCAGAGTGAGTAGAATGACCACAGGCAAGCATACCGGCAAAGGGAGCAGTATGTACAAAGGCCTCGAGTCCTGAATGGGGGTTAAAGCATAGTGTGACTGAAAAAACATGAGGATTTAGAAGGAATGGGCTCTACAGAAGCTGTAAAGAGAACAGAGGCTGGAGATAAAAATCTGGGGTGGATTGTGGGGCTTTTATGCAGTAGAAATGCATATGTTGTTTTCCTGGTTATTAAACTTTTCTCAAACATTTCTACCTGTACTTCTTAAACTGCTAGTTTAATTTAGTCCCATTCTTAAATTGCTAGTTCAAAGCCCATGATGCCTTCCTCAACTACCCTGATTTATTTTGAGCTTTCTTTTTCAGAATGCTTTTAGCACGTACAATCTGTATCCATCATTCTGATACTTAAGTGCCTACATTCTGGAAGGTTTTTATATTGCTTCAGGTGTCTTTACTGTCCAATAAACAAATAAAACAAAACACACAAAAGAAACATACACACACACACACACACAAACACAATAATTACATTGGGTTATATATTATTCTTGTATCCTGAAATGACTGAATAGGATGTAAAGCACATGATGGATACCTGTATTTTCTAAATTGAACTGAGAAGAGATAAAATAATAGTTTCCAGGCACTCCAATAAAAAATTTATCATTAATATAAGCAACAGAGTTACATAGAGTGGGGACACCAGGAGTAATTTATTTTGGTCCTCATTTTGTTTATTAGCTCTGGTTCTCAGAAATGTAGTTTTGCTTCTTTGTGACTTTTATCATCTATAAAGTAGGGGTGATAATAACATGATTAACATTTGTTGAGTGTTTTCCGTATGTTAGAAAAATTGCTAAGTTTTTTTTAAACACATGTAACAGGTACAGATTTCACCATGACACCTACATAAAATAATGGATAGATTTCTTTAGGTGTCTAAATCAAATCAGATCTGTCTTAATCTCCTCCACCTGGCAGGGTTTATGAAAAGACATTCTCAATAGTCCCCCACTCCACAATTCTTGGGATTGATATGAGATTTACACAAGCTAGGTTTACACAATCTGGGGAAGTTGTATTTGACTTAGTCTGTATGGGAATCATTTTATAAGTGTATTGTTCAATTTTAGAGGCCCATTCAATGCCAAGTGGCTTTGCAGCTCCTGGTATTTATTCCCCTTCATCCTTTCAATGACAAATTCAGTATCTAGCACTTTGCTGTATGCCACTAGTTCTCAATGGGAATATGGAGGATTTGGTCCTTCTGGAGACATTTGGCAATAATGGAGACAATTTTGGTTGTTGCAGCTTAGAAAGGAGGTGCTAATGGCATCTAGTGGGTAGAGGCCAGGGATGCTGCGAAACATCCTACGACGCATAGAACAGCTCCCACAAAAAAGAATTATGTGGCACAATACATCAGTAGGGTCAAGATGAGAAATTGCTCTCAGCTGCAGACTCATGAAAATTGTGCCGATTGCTAAGAACTAAGGCGTATGACCAAAACTCCGCTGATCCTAGTACTCCTCCACCTGCTTCAGATGCAAGACTCCAACTATGTCTTCTGTCTTCCTCAAAATGCACCAGCTGCCCTCCATTCATCCAACTTGGCAGAAATTGCAGTTTTCTTTCAAACAGCACTTTGGTTCTTTCAAAGACTCATTTGAGGTTTTTCTTAGGATGGATCTTGAAACCCAAAGAAATTGATTATTTCTGGAGCAGAGAAGCCAAGTAAACATCAGACTGGCTGTCCATACTACTACAAGAAAAACAAGGTAGGAATTAATATCTCATTAAATGATTCTGTAACATTTTCCAAAATAGAAAACTGAGCCTTGGGAGAGATAAAGCCACTTATCTAAGAACACTCAGTTTATCAAAGAGCTAGAGCCATAATTGAAACCTAATCTTAGCAGTCCAGTACTATCTTTTCTGTGATAAGTAAAGATCATATTTGACTACGAAGTTGAGAGATGCTTTAAGTCACTTTCAAAGTCACTTTATCCAGGAAAACTTAAAACAGATGGAAGATAATGCCTGTTCCCCTGTAGCACATGTTTTATTTTAAAATATTTTAGTGAAATATACACACTAAAAAGTACGCATGTCATATATGTACAGTTTGATGAATTATGACAAATTGAGTCTACCTATGTAACCAGTAAGCTGATCAAGAAACAGAACCTTACCAGAAGCCCCCTTGAGCTCTCTTACAGTCTTGAATCCCTCTCTTCCATCAGTGTAACATAATTTTTCGTATTTAGATCCTCTGAAGGTGTCGCTCAGGAGTTCATTATAATACCAATAATACCAAATTCTATTTTCTCTATATTTTGTCTTTCCCTTTCTTTCTTTCTCCCTCTCTCCATTCCCTCCTTTCACTTCCCCACCTCTTCCCACCGTCTTTCCTTCCTTTTATCTTCTTAACTACCATGAGTTCACTAAATATTTTCCTTCATCACCTTTAACATAATAGGGCAAATGTAAAGGAGAATAGGCCCTGAAACAGCAGAACTATTGCAGCAAATGGGAAACCCTACAAAGTTATGCCACTATCACCGTAATGCTACTTGTTTATCTAAATCCATTACTACTATGCACCTGGGTCCTAGGGAAGCCGGCATAGTGAATATGACTTTTAGAATAAGATGCCATGTGACTGGAAGAAAACCACATAGGCTGCCAAAAAACAGGAAACAGGAATGGTAGCCAGCATAAAAACAAAAATAAAAACAATCCCTCCTGGATTCTTCTTTCTCCTATGCTGCTTCTGAGTTTAACATTGAAAATCAATAAATTAGCACTTTCAAATATTCCATGGACCAATTTCCCCCTTGTGTAGTAAGGATTAGTAAATTTTTACAAATTAGCATAATATTTGAATTATAAATTATATGAGCCACTTTTTTTTTTAACAATGCGACTGAGGAATGGAAGAAATGGGAGTAACACCTGTTTTATAAATTAATTACATTGCCACAGAGCTTTATGTTAGGCAGCTGTTGTGTTTTACAGGGTGAATTCAATGAGTGGGATATCCAAATCTGGGGAATCATGAGCCATATGAAGTTGGAGTTTTTCTTTCTTTCTTTCTTTCTTTTAAAGGCAATTTTATTTCTAAGTACATTCAGTTATTCAAACTAAAGTGAAAAGCCCTGCCGAACGGAGGCCTTGCTGACTCTGCTCCAAGGACTAGAATAAAGGCACATCTGTAATTAGCACATTAATTGCTTTAGCACACATGGTTACTACTACAGTATTTGAAAACAGCTGCAAATAGATAAAACATTCCTAGGATCTTCATCTGTCAATTTGCTCGGCATATCCCGTCTTCATAAATAATGTAAAATCTGAATCTTAGTAAAATGTTCATAGATTTGCGTTAGTGAAGTTCTATCACATGAAATAATTCTATAAAAATCTGGGGAAATGACAATACTTATTAAGGTTGTGCTGAACCATACCAACAAATCAGCTGTTTTCCAGTTGATTTAGTTTATAAGTCCATCTTAACATGGCACAATTTACTTAATGAACTGTACCGGGATTGAATGGATCATTAAAATAGCCGAAAACTGCCCAAATTCGGATTTTAGGTCTTCTCTTATATGTAGTGGAAGGCGAAGTTTGTTGTTCATTTTTTTCTGCAAAATTTAAAAATATCTATCATCTTGGAGCACAATAATTTTTCTAAATATTTTTACGAAATAGAAATGATTCTACTTTACAATTATTAATCAATCTTATTGAATGTTATTGTAAGTATTTTTGTGTTCTGACTGGAATTTTAATTAGCCACTTAATTGCTGGCTTGATATTGGACAAAATTCAATAGTTACTCTTGTTATTCTTAGAAGAAACAAAATGTTTTCTCATAGCTTATAGGTACTTCATCGCACAATCACTTCTGTTTTTAAATAACGATTTCATTCAAAACAATACTTATTTCCTGAAATAATTTTTTGGTTCTCAGCTTGTAATACATACATATTTCAAGGACAGTTATCAATGTATTACATTTAAAGTAATGTAATTTAAATTCAGGTTTTCAAGGAGATATACTATAGTCTCTAACGAGGTCTTTCTGAGGCCAAAATTGAGATTCTGTATAGGATAGTATTTGAGAGAGTTTAAAAGTAATGCTAATACTTCATATTTGTCCTGTGGCTTTGGCTGCTCTCCCAGCTCAGACTACGATTTAACAAGCATGGGATCTGTCTTTACCACCTGACAGATGGAATTAATCTTTCCAGTTAACCAGCAAGTGACATAGGAAGACCCTGAAAAAATGGGACAAATATACAAATGCTGGGTTTGGGAAGGGCCATCAGAAAAACCCCTGAACCTGTGGCCTGGCCTGAGTTGGGAAAGGGAGGAAGAGGCACGTGAATGTGGGTCTTTTAGTAGTTAGAGACGGTACATGTAACATTCTAGTTTAATGCATTTCCTAGTTTTGCCTAAAGATGATAAGAGAAAATGGTTCCCCATGATACACTGTATGAATACTCTGAGCAGTACCTAACAAAATACCTTGTCTAGGAATTATTCATAGAATGGGTTTTTAATAAATACTTGATTGAGGAATGAAGAAAACAAGAGTGTAAAACTCATACACGTTTGGATTTTCCTAAATAAAATGCTTTGAGAAATGTTGTCATTGTTTTGTCCTCTCTTTCATGTTGGATATGTTTGATTTGAATAATAAGTTATTTTTCGAATGCTTTAAATCAGAGTGAATTAGTTTAGTATATATTCTAATTATTTATCTCTATCCATTTTCCAAATAGTACTGATTTAACTGAAATTTATAGGAGTGTATGCGTGTGAATTCTAACTATCCAATTCCTTAATTCATTCTGTTAACAAATGTGACTATTGCTTGCATTAAATGGTAATAACTCTTTTACATGTCTAGCAGTTTATTGCTTATATTGAAAGGAAAACCCTGAAGGAGTTTCACTTTTCTTTTTTTCTGTTTTTTGGCATTTGTCAGTGTACAAAAATAGAAGTTCTTTCTGTTTTATTTGAATAATAACCTTCTCATTTTGTGTTTCATGAATATTTTTCTCATAATCTTTATTGAACAAATTTCCATGTTAAGATTTAGTTTAGTTATTTTGCTTACATCTCATGGTCTTTTTAAGACTTCTTTTTTGAAAATGCATTTAGCTCAGCAAAGTTAATGAAAGAATGCATTACAGGCATTTTCAGAAACATTTGTAAATCATGAGATATGATGAAAATATGTTTCACAAATACATATTCATGATTAATTTAATGACATGACAAGCTAGCTCAAATGAAATACCTATGTATTATGAATAATTAACACTGTTACTCTATTAAAAATACAAATTTAACGAAAATAATTTCTAGCCCGGATTCATGGTGAGTAAATTACTATGCTATAGCAATTTTTGTTGAACTTTAAGCTATTTTTCTGCCTGGACATCTAGGAAGAAATGAAATTTTTATGAGAAAGTTATCCCCAGAATATAAATCTGCCCACTGCCTTTATACCCCTTTACAGCTCTTAAAGTAGGCTGTCATCAAAACAGCCCAGCCTTGACATAGCTGGAACACAGTGTGAGAGCATCCTCCCCTGTGGCATCCAGTAGGATGTTATTGCTGAAATCAAGCAGGTGGTGGCACTCTCCTCCACTAAACTCTCCAATATGACCCATCAGGCTTATTCCAGAAGGATGTTTTGTGAGCAGGAATGGGTAGGAAAAGGATTACAGGAAGGGCTGTTTCTTGGCAGGATTTCACTTGAGTTACACTAAAACAAGGATCTGTTATTTTTCTCTTATTCTGAATCTCTGCTGTAGGATCCTCTTAAAATTCTTTCCTAAGTAATTCACACGCCTCTAGATTGTGGTTCTAACAAATTGGACACGGCATTACTGTGTTCCTTTCTCCCTCTTTCTTCTTTTATTACAGCAAATCTCACCTCTTTTTAAGAACGTGAAGCCCACTTGGTTTTAATAATATGCTGCTCTGTGCTTCAACAAAGAAGATCTGTGTTGCTTTTGCTTTTATACATGTATTGCAAAAATCTTCTTTATTGTTTCCTCCTCTCTCTTTCTTGTATCTTTCCTTCCTTCCTTTATTCCCCATTTTCTCTTAAAAGCATTTTTGCTGTATGCCCAATAATGACCACCTAAATATTTCTACTTCCTAATTCCTAGAACTGTGAATGTTGCCATATATGGCAAAAGGGTCTTTATAGATGTGACTAAATAAAGATGCTTGAGATGGGGAGATAATCCTCGATTGTACCGATGGGCCCATTATAATCAAAACAGTCCTTATAAGAAGCAGGCAGAGGGAGTCAAAGTCATAGGAATAGGTGGTATGATGCTGGAAACAGGGACTGGGGTGAAGTGCTTTGAAGATGGAGGAAGGTGGCCACAAGCCAAGGAACACAGGCAACCACTAGAAGATGAGAAAGGCAAGGAAATGGATTCTGTCCTAGGAGCCTCCAGAAGGAATCAGCTTTGCTGACACCTTCGCCGGTGAAATGGATTTTAGACTTCTGATCTCCAGAGCAATACGCAAATGAATTTGTGTTATATTAAACCACTAAGGTTGTACAAATTTGTTACAGGAGTAGTATTAACTTCATATGACTTTCAAAAAGAAAACTAAGTCTAGGCCAGGCTCAATGGCTCATGCTTGTAATCCCAGCACTTTGGGAGGCCAAGTCAGATGAATCACTTGAGGTCAGGAGTTTGAGACTAGCCTGGCCAACATGTGGAAACCCCATCTCTACTAAAAATACAAAAATTAGCTGGGTGTGGTGGAGGGTGCCTGTAGCCCCAGCTACTTGGGAGGCTGAGGCAGGAGAATCACTTGAACCCAGGAGGCAGAGGGGCGAAGGTTGAAGTGAGCCGAGATCTCATCATCGCACTCCAGCTTGGGCAAGAGAGCAAGACTCCATATTAAAAAAAAAAAAAGTCTAATCAAGAAAATCAAGAAACTGGTATTATTACACATATTGTTTAGAAAACAAAACTATTAAATAGAGACTAAACATTGAGCACTGAGTGAAAAATTTCCTGCCAAGCAGAAAGTTCAACTGGGCACAGAGTCTAGGTCAGCTGTTAGGTGGAGTTCAGTGGAGAACCAGGTAGAATTATAAAGGCAAAATACTGTGAACTGTTTCTGTCCCATGTTAGGAAAGCAACATCTCTGAGTGAGGTTGACTGGCTGTGGGACCATGAGGGGCCATCCATGCAAGCCCTGGACTGGCTAGCAGTGATCTAATGGGACTGTGTTGACCTGACTAGTGATGACAGCCTCCAGCTGCCACGTGACATGCTGTTTTAGTCCGTTTAGTGTTGCTATAACTGAAGACCTGAGGCTGGGTAATTTACAAATAAAGGAAGTTTATTTTGCTCACAATTTTGGTGGCTTGAAAGTCAAAGATCAGGTGGCCAGATCTGGCTGGATCCTGATGAGGGCCATGTGTGGCATCACAACATGGCTGAGAAGCAGACAGTCAAACAGGTGTGTGCAAAGAGAACAAACACGAGAGGCAGCCTTGCTTTATAACAACCCACTCTCATGGGAACTAAGAACTCATGCCTGCAAATGGCATTAATCTGTTCATGAGGGCCCAACCCCGTGATCCAAACACCTCCCACTAAGCCCACCTCCTAGCACTGCCGTAATGGGAATCAAATTTCAACATGAGTTTTGGTGGGGACAAACTCAAACCATAGCACATGCCCCAACTGGGATTGTGTCATCCACTCAGGTCTGCACTGGGATTAGTAATGTAAGTGGCAGGTCGGGGTTTATGGAGAGAGTAGAAAGGAGAAGGAGAGCCATACATAAAATGTTAGTAACTGCATTGGAAAGGAAGAGATAAAATAGGGGGAGGGAAGTAAAACTAAAAGTCATAACAAAATGTAACAGCTAACACTTATGAAATACTATCGGCTAGGGATGTTTAAATTTTCAGCATTATTAAATCATTTATTACTTAAACCCTATAAGCAATAGTGGGGAAGGGGTTACTATAATTATGCTATTTTACACTAGGGAACCTTGGGTCCTGATAGATTTTATAACTTGGTTAAGGTTACATGGCCTGTGGCCAAACCAGGTCCAAATTCAGGCCTTCCTAACTCCAAACTGAGCTCTTTTTCTGCTACCTGTTGAACAGAACTTTCTTTGAATTCGTGTATTGTCTCAGTTCATTCTATCTTTTTAATTTGTTGACTGTGTGACATTTACCACTACTGCCATTAAAAATAGCTATGATCACAGTTCTGTGGGACTTAAATGATTACAAGTGAAACTTCACATCAATACTCAGTTCTATTTCCTGTATCACAAGGCTTCCTTCTTAACCTGTCCTATATAAATTGTTGAAAGAATGTAAGCTCAATATAAACATGTTAAGTCTTGCTTCCTTTCTACAGTATTTGTAACATAAAATTCATGAGGCTATATCTATCTTTGGTGCCAAAGCCCAAGGTTAAAAATAACAGAATCCATCGTTATTTATCTTTGTTTTTGTCATCAAATCCAAAGTTTATGCATTTGCTTAAAAGGTCATAGTTGTGATGATTTACATTTTTAGTAAGTCTAAGACATATATTATGTTTTATCTTATCATAAAATATTTTCCAGACAAGCATAGACTGTATCTGATGGATAAGCCACATATATACTTAGGGTACTTAGAGAGTGATACCTTTTTTTTCTGTTTCTTCTTTCCTATATAAGGAAGAGATATTCCAAGATAATGGTAACATCATGTCATTATCAAGACGAAGAAGGACTTAGAGATATTATTCAGCATGATAATAAAAAAAGATAGACAAGGAGGAGCCCATCTTCATAAGATAAAATGTCTAACTGTATAACAGATGCACTAATCATAAAAGTCAAAGCCTCCCCCATAATGATTGACTACTATAAAAATCACGTTTCCAAATAGAAAGGAACAAAGATGATATAGGGACGCAGAGCTTATAGGATGAAAAGAGAAGAGAAAGGGATTCCCTTGAAGGGAAGTGACTCTAGTGAGAGACACAGCCTATTGGTACAGACAACAAGCATAGGTTGAAGAACCTTCACACTTTGATAAAGTAGATTATACATTGAAATGAACAAAAGAGAAATTTCAGACCTTCCACATACTTCCCCCACTCATAGATTCCATTTATTTTGGAAAATAATGCAAAACTGAAGAGAAGGCATATTTTGTGCATATTCTGGACTATCTGTTGGCTTGACTATTAAAGCTTTCTTTTTTTGACTGTATTCACTATATTGTCTTCATTATTAAGAGTGGTTCCTGTGATGATGTGTAGATACAGAGCCAAGTACTTTGCTATGGGAGGAGGTTCAAGGGAGCTTTGCTCTGATGATCAAAAAAGCTCCCACTTTTAGAAGAGCAGGCAAAACAGAACCACAGTTAACCTAAACTAAGATTAAGCCAAGGTTCTGGGGTGATTGTGGCAACTATTTCTTGTGGCTGATGACTAGCAGAAAATATGGAAATGATTTAGTAGGCATCTGAGCAGATTCTGGAAACTTTGGAATGTATGTACACATCAGTGACTCCTCTATTTTCTTTTATAATTGAGCAAAACAGTTTATTAAAGTTAATGCAGCAAGGAGAAAACTGTCTTGGTAATTTTATTAATATCTAAAAAGAACGAAACTATGGAAGGGTATTTACTTTTAGGGTTTTTAGGGTCATAGTTGGGTAACTTTTTTAACTTAACTTTTGATTTTGAGATGAGTATAGATTCACATATTGTTATAAGATATAATACAAAGATCTGATATATCCTTTACCCAGTTTCCCCCAATGATAATAACTTATAGAATTATAGTATATTATCACAACCAGGAGAATGGCATTGATACAATGCACAGACGTCATTCAGACATACGAAGTTTTACTTGTATTCGTTTGTGTGTTTGTGTTCATGTATTTATTTCTATGCAGTTTTATCACGTGTAGTTCCTATATCTGCCACCAAAGTCAAGACACAGAACATTTCCAACACCACAAGCATACTTCTTGCTGCCTTTTTATAACAACACACACTTTCTCCCTACACCACTTTACCACCACTTGGAGTCAAATGTGGAAAATGTATTCTTATTTAGTTCCCTTTACTTTCTGTACTTTTAAATATCATTATCCTGAATATATCAGATGGTGTTATAGTTTACATTTCAGTAATTATGTATGATTTATAAAACTCATAAGAAGGATCACCTATTGTATAGATCTGTATTGTCCCTCTTTCCATTGTTCCTGCTGTTACTCCAAGATTTCTTCTTTTATCCTTTCCTTTCTTTTTGAAGATCATCCTTTTGCTATTATTTAAGGATAGTTCTGCAAGTGGCAAATTCTTTTAGTCTTTCTTTGTCTGACAATGTCTTTATTTCCTCTTCATTCCTGAAGAGTTTTGCTAAACATGGAACTCACGGTTAACAGCTCCTTTTTGTCAGAGCTTGATGAATGTAGTGTGACTTCCTTACGGCCTTCCCGTTTCACATGAGAAATCCACTGTCATCGGAAGGGGTGTTCTTTTGTAGATAAGGTGTCATTTTTATCTGGATACTTCCCAGATTTTTTTCTTTGTTTTTAGCTTTTGGCAAATTTTGTTATGCTTTGTCTTCATGTGGATTTCTTTTGATTCATCATATTTAGGGTTTGTTCAGCTTCTCAAATGTGTAGGTTTATACCTACAGGCAAATTTGGGACATTTTCAGCTATTTTCAAAAATATATTCTTTTAACCTCTCTCACCTTCTCCTCTTTTTCTGGGACTCCAGTGATACAAATGTTATGTGTCTTGTTCTTGCCCCTCAGTACCTGAGGCTCTGCTGATATTGCCTGTGTTGTTTAGATATGATAAATTCTATGGTGCTACCCTCAAATTCACCGATTCTATTCTCTGTCATTTTCATTCTACTGTTGAGCCTACCCAGCTAGATTTTTATTGCTGTTATTGTATTTTCCAGTTCTACAATTTTCCTTTTTAGATAATTTTTTTGTAAAAGTTATCTATTTTTAAAATTTGCTCCAGATAATTTGTAGTTGTTTGTTGAAAGCTTTTTATGATGGCCATTCTAAAAGCCTTGTCAGATAGCATCAACATCTAATTCACCTGAGACTTGACGTGAGTTAATTGTATTTCTGATTCAAGTTGTGATTTTTCTGATTCTTGGTAGGACAGCTGATTTTTTATTGTATTCTGGGCATTTTGGCTATTATGTGAGCAGACTGGCCCATTTAAGTATTTTATTTTGACAACTACTCACTGTTTAGGGTTAGCATGTAGGTCCTGGCTTAACTTATTGGGCTGTAGACTCAAAAGAAGTTTAATTTCAGAGCCTTTGCAGTGCTATTTTGGTCTGCTTGGTTTATCTGGTGTTGCAGAGGCTCTGATTGTCTCTGCTGGTGCTGCTTGAGGGTTTAGAAAGAGTTTCCACAGAGTAGGCTGCCTGGTACCTTCCCACAAAAGATGCACTTCCTGGGTTGGGTGCTTTTTGTTGAGGAGTCTTCCTTGCCTTCACCAGCTCCTACGCCACCCTGCTCCCCCAGTGTGTTTTACTAGGGAGAGGATTCTTGGGCCAATCAGGAAAGAGAGCCCTTTCTAGGCTAGGCACTTGCTGCTGTGGGACTCCCCTTCCTGTGAGAGATGGAGAGCATGTCCCAAAACTAGTGCTTGTTGTGGCAGGATCCCCTTGCTAGTGCTGCCTGACTATTCAGTGTCTCTTTGTCAGTGAAGGTAATCTCAGGGCAAGAGCATGAATCTCTGTCTGCTTATTGTCATCACACCTCTCTATCCATCACCTTTGCCAATGGTATTGGGCTTGCCTGGTGTTGTTGTTGGCTTGATTTGGGAGAGGAATGAGCCTCTCTGGGCCATCTTTTGCTGTAAGGTTGAGCATCAGGAAATGTTGGAATTGGGTTGCCTTTTTCTGTTGGGTAGTGTCTTAGTCTAGTCAGGCTTAAATGAAAGACATTTGTTTCTCACAATTATAGAGGCTAAGTTTGAATTCAGAGTGCCATCATTGTTGAATTCTGGTGGGGGCTCTTTTCCTGGTTTGAAGGTGACCATCTTCTCATTATATCCTCACACTGGGAAGAGAGAGATTGATCTTGTGTTTCTTCCTTTTATATAAGACAATTAATCCCATCATAACGGATCTACCCTTATGACCTAATCTAACCTTGAAAATCTCCCAAGGCTGAACCTCTAAATACCATTGCACTGGGGATTAGAGTTTCAACATATGAATTTGTGGGGGCACAAAGATTCAGTCCATAACAAGTGAGGATTCGTGTGGCACCCTTCTGCTGAGTTGTTCTTCAAGTCCAATAGTTCCTAACCAGTTTGTTTTCCTCTTTTCACCTTTCAAAGTTATGTTATGGTTGCCTTGTGTAATTTTCAGAGTTTATCATTGTACTAAGTGAAGAGGAACAGAGAAAAATAAATCTATGCCACATCCAATTCTCTCTTTCTTAATCACTCTCTGGAGAAATATCACAACCAGTTCAGGAATCTGGCTTAGTCTATTAGTTTACATGAAGCTGTCAGATCTAGGTGGGAAGGCAGAGGTGGGACTTAGTTTTTCCTGTAACTGGCCTGAGATCAGGAGCCAGTGAAGAGGAAAAACAAATAGGAAAATTTCTTTCCTTTCCCTACAAACCAAATTTTCTTTTATTTGCCTGAAGATTCCCTACAGCTATAGGGTATGCTCAGTCCATTAATTAGGCAAATAGGAAGTACATTTTATTGTGTGTAAATCATACTTCAGTAAAGCTGATTACAAAAATAGACCCAAGGATAAAATCCGATTAAACTACTTTTAATACATCAGAAACTATTTAAAATCTACCTTTGAAAGACATATCTTTAAAGCTTGTCTTGAGAAGAATTATGGCTATGGTTTTCATTTCATTGAGGGAAATTTAATGTGAAAATAATCTAATACATAGAGAGCCTACAAACCTTTTTAGGAGATTGTACTAGCAAGAAGGCTACCAACTTGGATTAAAATGGACTTTGGTTGCTCAAATTCAAAAAGGTGTCCCTGACCCACAATATTTTACAGTTAAAAGGCAGGCTATGAAAGCTAATCATCTGCAATTGTCCATAGGAAGGAGGGATGTCTCAGAAGACAGTAAATAGTAAAGGGTCCAAACTAAGACATAGATAGAACACTAGATAATGGAGCCATTCCTAGGAGCATAACGAGGACTTAATCAAGGCTCATTCCAATCACCAGAGTAAGAGAAACTTGCGACATTTTCCCTGGTGGATTTCAGAATTGTTATGGGCCAGGGACTGCTTATTATCTCTGATTCCCCATCCCTCCCCACCCCCTTTTGGGGTAGGACTCTTACATTTTTTAATTTTTATTTTTGTTAATTTTTAATTCATACATAAGGATTGTATATATTTCTGGGGGTACATTCCTCCCTTTTTGAAAGGAGACACTTGTAGCTATCCCATCCTTATCTTATTATTGCATTTTGGATGTGAATGGTCAGATAACTTATCTTTTTACTGCATAGATCTCCCCAAGAGCAACATCCAGGGAGTCACATTCAGATCTGATGCAGATCATGACATTCTGAGCTTCAAGGCTGATGCCCTAACAGGAAGAGACACTGGGGATCCTGGATTGAGGATAATGTTTTGCAAATGGGAGAGACATGAAATTTACAATTAGAGGGAATATTGTGGTAGAATTTTAAAAAATGACCAAACATTCTTTATCTTCCATCATAGGTGGGATTGATTTTTCCACCCCATGGATTTGCACTGGACATGTGACAAGCTGTGGCCAATGGGTCCTTAGCAAACAAGGACAACAGAGGCTTGAAAGGCATTTGTTCTTTGGAGCTGTGGTCCTCCAACACCAGTTTCCAATAACAGATTCTTGACACCCACACTCGCCCTGTCCCACGCTTTGAGCCTCCACTGGCAGCATGATTTTTTCTAATGGTTGGTTTAAGGCAATTTAGGCTTTCTCTATCATGACCAGCAAAATCCATTCTGTCTTCACCTCGGCTTTGTTTTAAAGCCATTCCCACATTGTTATGCATCTGTGCATAATGTAGCACCCCATTTCCAGCTATCAAATCTTTATTAGTTATCTATACTCATTTAACAATTTACCTCAAAACATAACAACTATAAAAAATATACAGAAATCCAGGCATGCCTTAGACAGGTTCTCAGCTTCATGGCCTCTAGCAATGCTGGAATCATGGCGTTGGCCTGAGATTTAAGTCCCCTTTAGAGGTTCTACTGGGGAAGGATCCACTTCCAAGCCCAAGTGATCATTTGTAGAATTCAGTTATTTGTGCGCTCTAGTACTGAGAGCCTCAGCTTTTCTCTAGTGTTTGTCTGGGGGTCTCCCTAAGTTCCTTGCCATGTAGGTCTTTAAAACATGACAGTGGCTGGGCGTGGTAGCTCACACATGTAATCCCAGCACTTTGGGAGGCTGAGGCTGGTGGATCACCTGAAGTCAGGAGTTCAAAACCAGCCTGACCAACATGGAGAAACCCCATCTCTACTAAAAATACAAAATTAGCTGGGTATGGTGGTGCATGCCTGTAATCCCAGCTACTCAGGAGGCTGAGGCAGGAGAAGCACTTGAACCCAGGAGGTGGAGGTTGAAGTGAGCTGAGGTTGGGCCATTGCACTCCAGCCTGGGCGAAAAGAGTGAAACTCCGTTTCAAAACAAAAACAAAAACAAAACAAAACCATGACAGCTTGCTTCATCAAAGTATGTAACCTGAGAGGGCAATAGAAAGAGTCAAAAAGGAAGTTACAATCTTTCGTAAACTAATTATAAAAATGTTGTGGAATTCTATTGGTTAGAAGCAAGTTACTAGGTGTAGCCTACACTGAAAAGGAGAATATCACACAAGCGTACAAAATCCAGGATGTTGAGATCATTGAGGGTTGTCTTAGAAGTATACCTATCACAAGGAGTCAGGAGAAAGATAGGTTGGGGTAATTTTATTTTTCTTTTTCCTTTCTGCTTTGAGACTCATTTCTGGCAGTTGCTGTATCTCTACTGATGGGCTGCCACTACTCCATAGTTCCAGTAACATAATTTCACCCCCTTTCCCCTTCAAACCAATGGGTGGAAATGTTTTCCTGTCATTGGTAATTTCTGGTTGCTTCGACACTTCCTCTCTCTTTCCCTTAATCCAATCCTTCTGCTACAGGTGTTTCATTCATTGAAGACTTTCCTTCTAAACCCATCTGAGTTTACTTTTGTTTTTGGCTGGGATCCTGACTCATGAAGTTGGTTTTTGCTATGAAGAAATACTTGTTTTAATGGGGTAAAACTTGTCTATTTTAATTACTGCTTTTCTTTTTTGTTGTCGTACCTTGAAAGGCTTTCCCTTCTTTCAGGTAAAGAAGATGTAGCAAAAATTGTTACCCTCCCTGTTTATCTCTAAAGTGTTTATGGTTGCATTTATTGTACATTTAAATCTTAGATCTACTGGAAATATATAAGCAGTGAAGTTATCTTATCTGAATACTACCCATTTATTGCACATTATTTATTTAATAATGTTTATTTTTCCCAATGAGAAATGTCACCCATACTACATATTAAATTCATATTTATATATTTATTTCAATTTTAAATTATCTCTATGTCATTTAACATACATTAGACCACACAAAGTGGAAATATATTTAATTTGTTCAATGAAGCTGATATAATTTTAATTATCCAAAGTTGTCCTAACAAAGCAAGACACTTTTTTCATTCTGAATAAATTTGCAAAAATCTTATATAAAGTGTTTGCAAATTGAAACTAGAACAGTGCTTTTAAAAAAAATAAGGATAAAGCAGGACTTATTCTGGGAATACAATATCAATAAATCTTTTCATTAACATTTATAATTACAATGTGTTTTAATTATATCGTGACATACTGAAAAGATGTTTGATATAATACTGCAACAACTTTTAAGAAAATCTTAAAATAGGAATAAAAAAATCTAAGTTAACAAAGAGCATATTCAAAAAATCGCTAACAAACTAAATTCTGAAAATCAGAATATTCAGGAAGACTCACTATTACTTCTGTGACTCAATATTTTTGGTGGTCCTTGCTAATGCAGTGAGAGAGGAAAATTCACATGACAGGAGACAAAACTATCTTCAGTTGTTGGTAGTCTAATTCTATACCTAAAAAAACCAACAGATTAATAAAATCTCCTAGAATTAATTTTGTTTAAAGTTTGCTGGACCGGGTATGGTGGCTCACACCTGTAATCTCAGCACTTTGGGAGGCTGAGGCAGGATAATTGCTTGAGTCCAGGAGTTTAAGGCTGCAGTGAGCTATGATCAGGCCACTGCACTCCAGCCTGGGTTACATAAAGATCAATATGATTTCTCTGTACAACCAATAAACACACAGGGATGCAAAGGATAAAAGTAATTCATGCACCATTGGAGTAAAAGCTATAAAATATGTTGAAGAAATTTAAGAAGGGTTGTGTAGGTCATATACTAAGTTTTTCATAAAATACAATTGAGCAGCATGAAGCAGGACCTGAAAAATTGGATATGTAAATTTAATAAATTTTTAAATAGAAAACCTACAAGTTATGGAATTTTTGAATGGAGAAAACAATCTCAAATTTCACATAAAAAAAACTAAATATTTGGGAATTGCCAAAAGTAATGAAGAAAATAGGGAGGGAGGACTGGTTTAATGGAATTAAAAATTGGTCACAAAACCACTACACTGCAAATAGCATAATTTTTACCAAAGAATAGCCATAAATATATATAAGTAGTAATCTAATGTATGACAAAGATGACATTTTAATTTACTGGAAAATAACATTTAGTCAGTAAACTGTGGTATCACGATTGGCCACCCATGTGAATATACATCAGTCAAATCCTCCAAATCCTCTGTCCCACACTGTATTCAAACAAATATTCCAGATGGGTGAAGGATTCAAATAAAAATTATATTATTATACAATTAATTTAATAAAGGCAGTGAATTTATTATTTAATAAATACAAGTTAATAAACATAATTTATTATATAATAAAGACAATTTAATAAATATGTATAATTTGTTGTATAATAAATACAACTTATTTATTTTACAATAAAATTATAATCAAGTTTAAGAAAACATTTGTATAAATTTGGTTAAAGGTAACATTCCCTAGCAAAACTGGAAATCCAGAAGCTATATTAAAAGAAAGATAAACTTGTCAGAGGAGATAAGGACAGTCAGTTTAGGTATGAAAAAGCTACCATAAAAAAGCCAAAAGACTAGTAATAAACTAGGGAAAAATTACATCTCATGTATGTAATATTACTAATATTCCAACAGATTTTATATGTAAGATAAGAAAATATCCTACAATTTATTGGGAAAATAGAGGCTACAAATTAGCAATTCACAGATAGGGAAATGCAATGGCACAAATATATGAGAGATGCTCACCCTCAAAATTAGTTAGAAAAATTTTAATAAAAGCAAAATGAAATAACAATTTCACCCTTCGCACTGGCCATGATTTAAAGGAACAATAAAAGAAAATGAATAAACTCATACATTGCTGATGGCAAAGTGAAACTTTTCAGAAAGTAATTTCATAAAACTTGATTAAATGCTTTGAATCAAATGAACTACTTTGGGAATCTTTCCTATAAAAATAAAGGTGCATGTGCAAGCGTGCACACAGACACAATTAAAATAAAGGTGCGTGTGCACATACACATACAGAAGAATAATTGTATAAGGACACTTATGGCATTATTTTTAGTAGTAAATGTTCGAAAAAACTGAATATGAAATATTATCTAGAATATGAAATATATGATTTTTTTAAAGAGTGAGATACATTTATGTTCATTGGCTGAAGGGAAGTTCTTGTTGTATTGTTAAGCAAAAAAGGCAAGTGGTGGATAGCATGATTCCATTCTGGTAAAAACCAATGAGCAACAATAATGCACAAAAAATGTGTGTGTGTGTGTGTGTGTGTGTATGTGGAAAAGTTGGTGAAGAAACATACTAGGCATTTACTATCTGAGTCTGGGTGGGGATTGCTGTGGTTTGAATATCCTCTCCAAAACTCATGTTGAAATTTTATTTTCATTGTAAAAGTGTTGAGAGTTGGGACCATTGAGGTGTGGTTGGGCCATAGGACTCTACCTTCATGAATAGATTAATGTAGTTATTGTGAGAATGGGTTGCTATAATAACGAGTTTAGCCTCTCTTACTCTCGCCTTGTCTTTCTCTTCTGCCTTCTGCCTTGGGATGACTCAGCCCAAAGGCCCCTACCAGATGATGGTTCTTTGATATTGGACTTCCTAGCCTCCAGAACTGTGAGAAATAAGTTTCTTTTTAAAATAAATTACCAGTCTGTGGTATTCTATTATAACAACAGCAAAACAGACTAAGACAAGGATGTACATTGAGTACACATAGGCACAAAGAGGGGAATAGAATAGTCCCCAGTACTGGGTACTACTTGAGTACTTGAGAGTGGGAGGAGGGTAAGTAAGGGTCAAAAAACTACCTCTCCAGTACCATGCTCACTGCCTGGGTGATGAAATTATTTGTCCACCAAACCCCAGCAGCAACTACTTTGCCCATGTAACAAACCTGCACAAGTACCCCTTGAACCTAAAACAAAAGTGGAAAGAGGAAAAAAAAAAGAGGTGGGGGGATGAAATAAGCACACACTCAGTTGAGGAGATGGACAGAGCACTCCTAGGCAATTATTTTCCTGTATTGACTATTATTTGATCCTTTGCTGCTGTTAGAATTTTCCACTTTCTTTGTATTTTTAAAAGCAGTGTAGTACCTGGTGTTGAGCATTCAAGTGTAGAAATCCAGAACCATCTTGCTTTGTTCTACATGGTCTAATAGCTTCAAGTGTTTTATGATACATATTTCTTTTCCCTCTGCTGAAATCATGGTTTGCTTTAAACTCTCCCCAGGCCTCAGATTTTGAGTCTGCTTAACTCTATTTCATTACTATTGCTTCCATTTTATATCCCCTGCTCAGAGAATCCATGAATATCTTTATAATTAATATATAGATTCAACTTTGACTCTGGGGCCATTTAAAGAGAACAGTCTCTTTTCCACTGATAATGTTTACAATTTTAACTTCCTTAATTAGCTGCCACCAGGTCTACCCTTATGTCTCATGGCATATGCCTGTCTATATCCACAGGTATATATAAAAAGTCATAATTGTGCCTTACTTTTTGGTTCTGGGAATTCATTAAGACTTTAATTAAGGTATTCATTAAGACCTATGATCAATGACAAAATTGTTTAAGCACTGGATTTTGGAGGTTCTTCACATTTCTAGTTCAGTAGTTTTCTTCTGATTTACCTTGTTTTCATTTGATATCTTCATTTTGAAAATTCTACATTGTTAGTTATTTGTAAACTTAAGAAAGAATGTTGCTAATAATTATCTATTGTCCACGCCCTGAAACTGTGATGAATATGTGCCTAAACAAGTGATTGGCAGAGCCAGGGAAATTGCTTCCTCCATTAGTGGAAAGATATCAGACCTGAGTAACATATGTCACCACCATTCTGGACATATTTGTTCATGTCTTCGATAAATATTTATTGAGTGTTTATTAGGTGACAAACATTGTCCTAGCAGCTAAGATGCTGTAGTGAATGAAAAGGGTAAAAATACCTGCTTTCATGGAACTTGAGTAGGGAAAGGCAGACAGTAATAAAAATCCATAAGTGAAATAGATAGACCACTGTACATTTTTAAGATGCCTAGTGAAAGATATGACACAAAAGGATAGGTGGTATCAGGAGATATAACATCGTTGAAATTCCAAATATAGTGGCCATGGAAATCTTAATAATAAGGTGGCATTTGAGCAAAAACTAAACTAAAAAGAGAAATTGATCTATGCATATACCTACAGGGAGAGTGTTCCGCGCAGAGGGAACAGCCAATGCAAAGGGTCAGAGGTGGGAGCAGCCCTGTTGCACTGGGGAAACAGAAGAACAATATCAACTTGGGTACAGCGGAAGAAGCAAAGTGAACAGATGAGTTCAGGAAGACTTGGGAGGATCATATAGGGGACAACAGGCCATTATATGTGATTTTCATAGAGAAAGGACAGAACTAAATTGCCATTTAAAATTACTGAAAGTGCTATATTGAGAATCAAATGAAGATGGCCAAAGACAAAACCAGGGAGCAGGCTCAACGAAGAGGCTATTGCAATAAGCCACTTGAGAGAAGATGGTGGCTTGAATGGTAGCAATAGTAGAGGTGATGATAACTGGTCAAAATCTGTAGAACTCTTTAAGGCAGATCTCTCAGGATTTATTGATGGCTTGGATTTGTCACATGAAGGAGAAGAATAAAAGACAACCACAAGAATTTTCACCTGAGAACTGACAGAAAGATTTGGCATTATCTAACATGGGGAAACTGGGAGAAGCAGATTTCAGAGGAAGATTAGAGTTCAATTTTGAACATGGTAAAATTGAAAAATTAATTATACAATTAAATGAAAATGTAAAGTAAGCAGTTGGATGAGCCTGCAGTACAGAAAAGACACTAGGAGATTAAGGATGAGAGGAAATGTTTGAGGTTTGAGGAGAAAGGAAAAGATAAAATAATTGCATAGGAGATTGGGGGAATAAATGCAATTGAAGAATATGGAATGATTGTAGGTTAGCATTAAAAGCAGATTTGAAGTTAATGATTATAAATTTATTGTGAGACAGCATTATTTAAAACTTTCCTCAAGCAGGTATACAGGTAGGAAATAGGTACTAAGCTGGATTTTAGAATGACTGGGTTTTGTCAAGACAAAAGAAGTCAGAACAAAAGAAAAGAGAATAGATAGTACATGGTTGGGAAGGATTACCATAACTGATGATGGAATTAAGCTAGATAAGAGGAAATTAGGGGGTGAGGGGTAGTGAAAATAGATTGTGGATCCCTATACTGTTGAGAAATTACTGGATTTGTGGCTGAAGGAGAGGTAAGCCTGAAAGACAGAAGGCGGTGATTATGGAATGGAGCTGTTAGTATGTAGGCTTTCACGAATTTGTGTTGAGCCCTAGAGTGTGATGAAGGAGATTGTCTTAGAATAGAGATAGGATGTCAAGATTACTGACCGTGAATAGGTCAACAAGCTCAGAGACCAAGATATTAGAAAGACTGTATGCCTGGATACTGAATTCACCCAAGAATTATGACAGGACTGTAATGAAGGGTGGGAGAGGGAAGCACAGACAAGGAAGAGCAATTGAAGGCTTGGCTGATGATTGCAACAAGATGGAGTCATAGGTGGTGAAGTCTGATAAGAAGATATTCAAATTGGCTGATTTTAAGGAGGAGGAAAAAAGAGTAAACTAAAAACTGAAATGAGGAGCAAAGAATACTCTTATTCCACCTCCAGGCCCAGTGGTTTTATGAGTGTGGAAGAGATACCAGCCACCAGTTGAGATGGCCACAAGTGAAGCAGTGTCCTCAGGGAGAACCAGACTTCGCTCAGAGAAAATGGTGAGGAGACTGAGGATACAGAATTGTTTCTTCCAGAGGGAATGTGGAAGGGTTTCATGAGTTAGGAAAGAGGGCAGATCAGAACTCTCAGCCAAAGATTAAACAAATCAAGAAAACCCTTCGGATATAAATAATACTCCTTAAAAGAAAATATGCCCACACATACCCAGCTCATAGAAAGTGGATTACTTACTTCATTATTTATAGACTTTCCCATCTTTGCACCACAGAGATAACCACAATTGTTCCTGGCAGAATAATTATGTTTCAAATCCATGGTACCCAGGTTAACCTTATAAAGTGCATATTCCATTCTATTGATTGAACATTGTTAGAATCTTCAGATGCATTTAAAATATACGTCACTTCTTTGGCATGCTTCCTATGTTCCAAGAAAGGTAGTGGAACAATTACAGGTGAGGAAGGATGAGAGATGATGTCAGAAAATGGGAAGTTTGAAGATGGTGGAAGGCCTGGAAATGCTGGGTAAAGGGCCATGTTGAGATTAACCCTGGTGATTCTGAGGCTGGCAGTGTTGCTGAGCCTGTCAGTGTTGGAGGTAAGGCAGGGTATAGTGTCTTGTGAATGTTCTATAGCTCCCACTTGACACCTCCCATAGCAGCTGCCTCTGAGCTCTCTGGAACCCTGGAATCTTCTTGGTCCTTGCCTGTGAAGTCATGATTCCCGGTAGTAAGCAGGTATTTCTCTGAGTGCAGTTTCCTTCTTGACTCCTGATAATGGAACTTTACAAGTGCACACAAAAAAACAACTCTAAAGGACAGATATGAGGTGAGATAGTTAAATATACATAATTATTAGGGTTTATTATCAGGGTTGTGTGATGATCCCAAGGGGAGTGTATGGGTGTCTTATGCTTAGAATAATTTTGGGGGTATACTATCCACTAACATTTCCCTGTGTATTACCTCTGGGTAGCCCCTATTCTATGAAGCCCAGTAGCTCTGATGTGATGCTGCCATGCACACAGGTGTGTTTTCTCAGGTCTGTCACCTCAGTGGCTATTTACTAGCCTCCCTAGGTTCCCTGAATAGGAAACACTCTTTCTGAAGGCTCTGTCACCTTCGCTAGGACTACACAAGAAGACTCCTGGCCAGGTGCGGTGGCTCACGCCTATATTCCCAGCACTTTGGGAGGCCGAGGCGAGCGGATCAAGAGGTCAGGAGTTGGAGAACAGCCTGACCAACATGGTGAAACCCCGTCTCTACTAAGAATTCAAAAAATAGCTGGGCGTGGTGGCGGGCACCTGTAATCCCAGATACTTGGGAGGCTGAGGCAGAAGAATCCCTTGAACCCGGGAGGCGGAGCTTGCAGTGAGCCGAGTTCGTGCCACTGCACTCCAGCCTGGTGACAGAGCAAGACTCCCTCTCAAAAAAAAGAAGATTCCCTTTTCTCAACCCTCAAGTTTCATCCCTTCACAAGGCTCTCTAGTCTCTATCTTTCAAACACTCTGGCTACCCACTCTGGGTGTCCATCTAACTCTCCTCAGTGATGTTAGACTTTCATGAACAACATTTTATCAATGTTTTGTCATCCTCTGGCTTCTTGATTTATCCTTGCAAATGTCCTTGAGCGTAGGAAATATAGAGTACAATTTTGCCTTCTTAATAGGAGAAGTGGTAGAAACGGTCAAAATAGGCCCAAATTAGTATTTTAATGTTATTTTATGATACGCAGAAGAGGAAAACCAAAAAGGATATGACTTGTGTATATGTCTTTCAAATTTTCTCTTTTGATTAAGATCAAATTTGATTAAGGTCAAATTTAAGCCACCTGAAAGGCTACAGGGCTTATGCCTGTAATCCCAATACTTTGGATCACTTGAGCTCAGGAGTTTGAGACTAGTCTGGGCAACATGGCAAAACTCTGTCTCTACAAAAAAAAAAAAACACAAAAATTGGTTGGGCATGTTGGCATGTGCCTGTGGTGCCAGCTACTGTGGAGGCTGAGGCAGGAGGATTACTTGAGCTCGGGAGGTTAAGGCTGCAGTGAGCTGAGATCGCACTACTATACTCCAACCTGAGTGACAGAGTGAGATGCTGTTTCAAAAGAGAAAAAAAAAAAAAAGAAGAAGAAGAAGAAAAGAAAAAGATCACCCTGGAAAATTTTCTTTTGTCTCAGATCATCAACCTTAAATTTGTAGGAAATCATTGTTTTCATTTCTATAGTTTTAGATTAGTTATGTCTACTTTTTGAACTTCATTTAAATAGAATCATAAGCATAATTTTTATGTCTGCTTTCTTTCAACTGACAATGTTTTTGAGATTCAACCTTGTTGCATATATCAGTATTTTCTTTTTAACTTGTTTGAAGAAATTCTATCATATGAATACATACATTAAAAATTTATTCTGCTATCAGTGGCATTTTGGTTGTTTCAAATTTTTGGATTTTATGAGCAACATTACTATGAGTTATCTGTAGAAGTGGAAAACGCTGATAAGTGGAATTGTTATAGTCAGGTGAATATTTAATTTTATAAGAAACTTCCTACTGCGTTGTAGGAATTCTTTTATAACCTGGGTATAAACCCTTCATCAAATATATATTGCAAATACTCTTTTTTGGGAGTGGGAGTTACCTTTTAATTTCTTAACAATTTCTTTTGATGAGCTGAAAATTTCAATTTTGATGGCCTCTGATATCGATTTTTTGTGTGTCCTCTTAAAGAAATCAGTCTTCATTTCAACAAATGTGATGGAGACATTTTATTTTTTCAGAAGCTTTAGAGTATTACCTTTATTTTTAAGTCTCACTTTTTGTCTATGTAAGCATCAATGTTAATATTATTTTTTTCTTTATATTAAATTCATTTGTTTCAGCACAATTTATTGAGAAGCCTATTCTTTTTCCCCCATTAAATTGTCCTGGTTCTCTTACTGACAATACATTAAACATATATATGACTAGACTATTCTATTGCAATGACCTATTTGACTATCTTTACTTCAATATCACATTGTCCTGATCTGTGTTTTAAGTAAATTTTGATATCTGATACTGTGTGATCCCCAACTTCTTTCTTTTTCTTTAAATTTCTTTTTACTATTTCAGATTGTTTTCATATGAATTTTAAAATTATTAATTTCTACAAAAAAGTGTATTTTGGGATTGTGTTGAATTTCTATGTTAACTTGGAGTGAATTGAAATCTTAAATCTATTGAAATTTTCTATTCACAAACAAGCTGTTTCTTTATTTTATTTTATTTTATTTATTTTTAAGTTTTGGAATGCTATAACACTGTATTTCTTTTCAGTATCATTTTACAAAATATTAATTGCAATAAAAACACAAATTTTGCCATCTTATACCTTTTTACATGTACAGTTTAGTAGTATTAAGTATATTCATTGTTATGAGGCAGATGTCTAGAACTTTTACATCTTGCAAAACTAAATCTCAGTAGCCCTTAAGCAACAACTGCCCCTTTCACCCTTTCCCTGGCTCTTGACAAATACCATTCTACTTTCTGTTCCTATGAGTTTGACTACTTAAGATAGCTCACATAAATGAAATCATACATTTCACCTCACATAATGTCCTACAGTTTTATGCTTATTGCGGCGTGTGACATGATTTTCTTTTTTTAGGTAGAACCATATTCCATTGCATGCATATGCCATATTTTCTTTATCCATTTATCTATCAATTTATTTTGATATTTTGATATTTTCTTTATCTATTTATCAATCTATTACAGGGGTGAGACACTGCACCTGCCCCAAAGTTTTTTTGTTGTTGTTGTTGATGTTGTTAACAGGTATTTAATTTTATCAAAGGATTTGTCAATATCTTTTAAAATGGTGAAAGATGGCTTTTTTTTTTCTGTTGAATAAATGAGCAACATTCTTGGTTTTCTAACATTGAATGAACTTTGCACTCCTGAGGTAAATCCTACCTGATTATGATTTATTATAGAATTATTTGTTGCTCTATTAAACTTGCTGATATTTGTTAAAGTTTTTTTTTAATTATACTTTAAGTTTTAGGGTACATGTGCACAACGTGCAAGTTTGTTACATATGTATACATGTGCCATGTTGGTGTGCTGCACCTATTAACTCGTCATTTACATTAGGTTAAAGTTTTTATATCTTTAGAAGATTTATTCGTATACCACTTTATTTTTATTTGCTGCTTTTGATATCATGTTAGTGCTGTGATAAAATGAGTGAATAAATATTCCTGTTTTTCCTATTTTTTAAAGGTATTTGTGCAGAACTGGTATTATTTCTCTTCTAACATTTGGTGGATTCGCCAGTGAAATCAGCTAGGTCTGGAATTTATAGGGGGGAATACTTTTTGTTACAAAGTCAACTTTTAAAGTAAGTATAACAGTATTCAGATTTTCTGTTACATTTTCTGTCAGTTTTAGTAAGTTCCTCCACTCCCCCCAGTAATTTGTTCATTTCACCCATGTGGTCAAATTTATTAGCGGAAAGTTGCTTATAAATTTTACTATCCTATTAATGTCCATAGGATCTCTAACGATATAACCTTTTCAGTTTTCATACTGGTTCTTTGTATTTTTTCTTTTTTGTTGTTGATCAGACTTACTAGTGATTGATAAATTTTATTAAACTTTAATGAGAAAAAAATTGGGTTTTATTTTATTTCATCTTTATAGTGACTTATTCCCCTTTACAGATTAAGAAACTAAGCATTGCCCAAAGCCCTAAATGTGGACTAGTAAACTGGAGCTGTGGGGATTCAAACACAATTCTTTCTAACTCTAAAGCCCTGTCTCTTCCTTTTATCTATAAGATTTCCTACTTCTCAAGTGGGCTTGATTGCAAAAACTGAATCTCCAAAGTTTCAATGTACAGCATAAAAATTGCCAGATACTCTTGTTTTTGGAATCTCAGTTACCCGAGATGAAGAGTCTAGGGTAACTTTGTTTTAATTTACAGAATTCACATTCAGCACTTCTCATGATAGCTCATCATTCAATGCGAAAGTCAAAAAACAGTATGAGAAAAATTATAAAACTATGCTCCCACATCATCTGCCATGGATTTCCTTAGAGCCACAAAATAAATAAATCAATAATGTTGCACTGGTTATCCTACCTGCTTACATGAAACAATTTAGAATTTCTTTTCTCACCTAGACATGGCTAGGGAAAAAAATGGTTTCAACCAAACAAGGGCATCAGCTCCCTTCAGAAATTTTTAACTGGATGCATCCTGTTAACTCTATATCTACCAAATCAGAAAATCAAGGAATGGACCTCCAGCATGTATGCTTTGGAAAAGTTACCATAATGAACATAATGTGTCCCTCTGGTAAATAATTTGTGCGCAATTAGTTGAAAAGTTATGCTGTGTATGAAGCAAATTATATGTGCTACAAGCTGTTGTCATTCATTATTAATATTTACTCCTTTTGAGTGTCTATAATATGAAGCAGATGGGCAAGCTAATCTGGATTATTTGTATGTTATACGTAGGGCCATAAAGAACTATTAGTTCTTTGGTTAATCTTAATTTGTTCTAATATTATTCTACAAAGCACATGAGGATTGTTGATATTTTGTAACATTATTTTATGTGAATTTTGCTGTAAGAACATTACATTTTCTGTCCATGCAGAGAAGAAAATCTCCAGGAGCTAGGAGACTGGAGTATGATGATATGAATTGGACTAGATCGAAGATTTAGCAATGGCACAGAATTGACTGGTCTAGCACAGTGGGTCTGATTTAAGATTGCTCTAGGCTATTGATTCCTATTCACCAACAGGCTACTAAACAAAACAGATGAGCTAAACCAACCTTAGAGTGGCCCAGAATGAGCTACAGAATGAACCTATACTTCCCAGCTCCTTTAAATAGAAAACATCCTGAGTGGGACAGAATCCCTAAGGCCATCATTGAGCTGACTTTATTCCAATGTGAGGATTTTTGAGATGAGTATTATAAAATTTCCTTCAGGCGATGCTTTATTTGATAAGCTGTTGACACTGTTATCCAGCAAAAGCCTTGATGTTAGAGTTGTTGCATATTATTTAGAAAAAAAAAAGTGTTTGAATGAGTACACAAGTTTGTATTCTAATGAATGATACTTTTGTTGACTTCATCGCCATCATTAATGTGAACAATATATTCATGTTTAATTACCCGTAGAATATATCTCACTGTGTTGAAATGGAATTTTTAAATGTGTAATCCCTTACTTTTTGTGGTCATGTAAATTTTAGTTAGTCTTGATGATAAAGACAAATGAAATTGAGGAGTAAAAATATAAATAAAGACAATGTATATCAGAATATAATCTTTATGATTCTAAGTATACATATATTACTAAAATAAAAGAGATTTATGTTTTCTGCTCACACGCTGAAAATAGGGTTGCTAGGTAATATCAATGATACCTATATAAATTTGAATTTCATGTAAATGAGTGATAATTTAATGATTTCCAAAATATTTGATGGGACATACTTATATTAAAATTCTATGTATTTTTATCTAATATTTAAATTTTATTCAGCATCCTGATTTTTCCCCCTAACTCTGGCAACCCCATTTGAAAAAGAAAGTAAAAATGCTTCAAGAGTTAATAAGCATATTTCACAAAGTTTGTTTTTAACTAAAGAGTTTTAGGTACTTTATTTGAATTATATAGCCTTATTTCATAATACATTTCTCTTTAAATATTTTACACTTGTGTTAATAAGAAAATTACTGATTAAGAGAAAGAAACTTGACAACGTATTTTTTAAAAGATCTAATTCATCAAGATTACGCTCACCTATAAAAGCATTTTCAAGTAATTTAAACAGATGGATAAATGTGCCAGCCACATTCAAAGATTCATCTTGACACGATTTATAGCTTCTGATAAGCTTTTCCTGTGGTTCTTTCTCCATGTGACTTAGTTAAGCCATCATCCAGAGGTTAAAAGCCAGAGTTCTCTGACATTTTAAGCCAGTGAAGGGTATTTTCTTCCTTTCACTTGTAAAAAAATAGTTTCTTTTGGTGCAAATCTAAGCCCATTTGCAATACCTTTGCAATCATCTGTAGAATTTAAGCAAAGAAAACAACAACCCAAAGTAAAAATGCCTTACTGAGGTTCCCAATCATTTATTTTCCCCAGTGAAATCTTTCAACAATTAAATTGTTCTATAGCTACCATCTAAGAACACATTTTAGATTCTACATTTCTTATTTAATATATAAATAGAAAATTTTAAATATTAGACAAGTAATCTGCAAAATATCTCCTATATTAAATATAGGAATTTTTCTTGGTAATTCATATAGTGCCTTTGTGATTTGGCTATATAAACAACATATTTTTCTGGTGATGTGGAGAAGATGACTTCCAGTTCTTTCTTATATTCTCATTAAATACTATCTGAATAAATGGATATTGTAATTGGAACCAAATAAAAGAAATCAACTTTCAAAGTAAAATTAAAGAGCACAATTAACTTACTGGCAGTGTACAAACCTGATAATCATTCCTAAAACTAGGAATCTGTCTAAGACTGAAATATTTTCATGTTTGGACATAATCAAAACTACAAAAGCATAAAGTTCAAAAGTTTTTTTATGGACTTATATTGGTCATAAATTTATGACTAATTTATGACCAATTAGTTTATACTAAATTAAATACCTAGGTTCAGTACCTATGTTGACAGAAGCTAGAGGGGCTATACAAGAAGCATCTCTCACTCTAAAATGGAATTTTAAAATATTATACATTAGAGCCATTTAACATAAAACCATATTGAAAGTTCCACTTATTGTAATAGACCCTCTCCTAAAAACACTACCTACCCAGTTTTATAGTTAGGTGTACATACCTCTCCCATTTATCATACGTTATTCCTCTCCATTCTAATTTCTGGTATATGTCTCTATTTTCCATATCAAATCTTAGCTCACTTAAGGAAGTGACAGTGTCATTTTTCTATTCCAAACTGAAAGAAAAACATACTTGTGAGCCAGTTGCAAATGCCATTAGCTACTTAATAAGAGCAGCTCATGTGATAAATTCAATGGAATAGGGAAAACAAAAGGAAATAGTAGTGAATATTAAACCAGATTGGAAAACAAAGGTAATAGATTCTTAATGTGAGTATAAAAATAACTATGAGGTCATAATTACTGGTAACTATAAAAATAAAATTTGGAGAATGAGAATTGATTTTGGTTTCAATGCAAGATAGGAATTCTAAAATTAAAAAAAAATCATATCAAGGGTTGTGATTATGTTGAGAAAATTGAGGGAAACAGATATATTTATACATATGTATTTATGTATATTTAATTGTAAAATATTTCCCCATATATATGTGTACATACATATATGATCTGTATATATACATATACATGTATGTGCTGTATATAGATTTACAAAGAGTCTTTTAAAAAATATATCTATATCTATATATCTATCTCTATATAATGACTTTGACATTTCCACAAATGTATAAAATTTTATACAATTCCTTTAAGAGATATGTTTCAATGGTATTATTTATTCATGGTAGAAAATCCAAAAAGTACAGTAAAAGCAAACAGAATAAAGAATTAATAATACTACTAATAGATGATGTTTTGGTTTATGTAATTTCAGAAGTACGCTATACACATACACTATTTTTTACTTATCAGACTCTTGAAGGAGGCTTATAATTATGAGTAGCTGGATTGAATGTTGAGGCAAAAGTTTGTCCTACATTTTGGGTAGGTTCTTTAATCATTATATTAATTTTAGAGAACTCGCTGTGGCAAAAATCATCCACTGGTTAATCCACTACCTTTACAGAGACCCTTTACTCTTATTGTCTTCAAAATATAGACTCTTAAAGCTAATAATGCTTTTCTTAGCCACTGTTTTGATCAACGAAGTAGAAAAAGAAATATGCTTTGATTTTATGAAAAAATGCCCCTTATTGTTTTTTCTGCCTTGAATATGGATGTGGTATCATGAGGTCTGAAATAAAGCAAATGCTATGCATGGTCAGGTAGAAAAATAATACAGCTGGGTTGTTAGTGGTATCATTGAGCAGCTGAAGCAATTGCAGTAAACCTTTATCTCTGGACTTCTTGTTAAGTAAGTAAAGTATTCACTATTTTTATTGGCATCTGTTATTTGGCCATTTTCTTGTTTGTGGTTAGAAACAATATTTACCTAATATGAGTCATTACTTGGAAATAGGATGCTACAAATAATAGACCCTAAAATATGTGTTTGACCGATTGAAGGAGATAGAAAAGTGCGCTGAGCAGCCACAGGAATTCAAAGCTCAAAATGGTAGCAAGGAAAAGTTAATGGCAGTTTCTAAAGCCTTTCCTCAAGTCTCATTTCTGATTTGACTCTTGGGAAATTTTCTTGTGACATTAACTCAAGGAATTGTTGATAGATTACACAGAGTTGATCCAAGGTATGTGAGAATTCAGTCAAGTTTTATATATTGGAACGAGCCTTTTTTCTTTTACATTCTCATTGCTATTAATAAAATATAACTCAGTGGTATTGATGACATAAAGCTGTCCCAGAGAACTATGACTAGGCAGTACAGCTGAGAAGGCTATGTGACCCAATGATCAAGAACATTTTGGGGAGTGGTGTGACTAGTCGCCTAAACCTGAGGGACTGCATGACTGGCCAGGATAAAAGTACCCTAGAGCTGATTGCTTCTCTTAGCTTATATTTTTCCACCCACATTCATCCTTATCTCTCATGACCATGCATATCTGGAAGGAGTAATGACTGAGAAACTGGAACGTATGTGTGGGAGTCCTGAGACTTCTCCGCTCTTGCTGTGAATGCTCTATTTTTTCCTGTTCTTTATCATTTTTAAAGGCAAGTGAAGTTGGTGTTAGGTGAACATTATTATGCCTCATAAGTTTAATTATGGAAAAATCTAAAATGTTGGCAGGTAATACTTACATTTTAATGAAATGTATCAGTGCCCTACAAGAAGTAGATAGACTAGAGGTAGCCTGTCTGAAAGCAAGAAGGGCAGAACATGCAGCTTTTTTGTTTCCTGAAATTGTAAATTGAAACCTTAAGTGCTGAAAAAAACCAACATTCCTATCCCAGGCTGAAATTGATACTAGCAGAGGCAGCAAAGTCCTGGCCTTAGCAGGATATTAGATTGGAGTTCTTATGCAGCATAAATTAGGATTATGGTATAATCTTCCTACTAAATCCTAGACTTTCAAAGAACATTTAGTTAATGAACACTAAGCAAAAGAAGATGATAGATTGAAATAATGGTTTGCAAGCAAAGGACAAGATTTTTTAGGTTTATTGAATGTGACTAGGCTATATCCATGTTTCTGGATACTTAAAAATGACCAGGCACAAATAAAATGGAACTCTGCTAATTTATTGAGAAGACTGTATTGCCAAAAATCACCAGCCCAGGCTTAACAGCCTGTGACTTTTAAAAGTTGTCATTTCCCAACCGTAAGTTCAGTTTTGAACAGGAAAAGTTTGAAGACTTTAGGTATATTGTAAATATGCATATAACCTGGATTTGCTACTTTTAAGCAGGCTTTAATTTGCTTAAAGATAGAAGTTTGTAAATGTCAAGCAATAGATAGTAGAGTTAAAACCAAGATACTATATATAGTGCAGTGAGAGTTCATAGTTTGGAAGGAAAGGCAATGACAGAAGACCTGTAGAAAATTTAAGGGTCAAGTAAAGGAGGCTGTGAAGAAAAAATAATAAAATGAAAGGAAAAAGAACTGATCATATTGGATCAAAAAGGAACATAAAGGGTAAACAGTATGTCCTCATTTGTATGAAAAGTTTTTAAATTTCTTGAAGCTTTCAAAGAACTTCTTAGGGATGGGGCACCGAAGATTTAGTGTAAGAAGATTTGTTTTTCCTTGATATTATTTTTGTAGCTTAGTGTTAAAAATTATATAGACATATGTATATTATTTTTCAATAAAAATAAAATGATTTATAAAAATAAAAAATTCAAGTAGAGGAATTGATGTAGAATAGGAAGAATATCACATGATCATATAGGAAGAAGGATGGGTCCAACTGTGAGTAATTTTCTGAAAGACCAGTGATAGTAACTTGAGGGTGTTTGTGGTGAAAATCTCACTTTTGTTTTACAATAAATTAGTAAGGCAGTTAAGGAATTAGAGGCTCTACCAGTACACTTTTGGTGAGTAGTGGTAGTATGAATGAGAGCGGGAGCTAAAAGGGAATAAATAAAATTGCTGAGTGGCATGGAGTGCTTAGATAACAATGAGCTCCATGACTTGAATTAGTATCAATCCAAATAAGATTTGCTCTTAAACAGATTTCCAATTATTTACATTATTCCAAAAATGAAATGAACATGTAGCTTTTTTTCTATGTGTCATTTTCCTGTCCATCTTCTTTTATTTAGCATAGAACACTAATAATGTATGACTATAATATGAATAATATATATTTCTGGTGAATTAATGTTTTATTATACATAGAGCAACCCTTTTATCCCAGATGGATTTGGCTGGTAATATATTCTTTGTCCTCTAAAATCAAAGTATTTCTGCCAGTGGGCATTGCTGTGACCAGAATAGATTACTAAAAATAAATGAAATTATCTTTTTGTCTCTCTCTTCCACACACACACACACGTACAACACACACACACACACGCACAAACACACAATTTAGAAATATCTTTAATGTTTTTGAGAATTGACAAATAGAAACCAAAGTCTGCCAGGGGCAAAATTTACTATTTACATACTAAACAGGCTACCATTATTTAAGCAACTGCCATTTTATTTTGTAACTAGATTTGTCTACTGTACTTTATTAGTGGCTTACTAACACACAATGCTTTCCTTAACCTCCAGGGCTGTGATGATTCAGGGTTCTTGCAACATTGCTGTCCTTACCATATTTAAGATTATAAATTTAGTATATGAGAGTATTTATTTTTCATAGCTCCTCTTCAATTAAAGTAATGTGCACTAGGTGAAGAGTGGTTTGGGAGCAGGAAAATGATGTGGTTAAAGCTGTGCTTTGAGGACATTATTCTGTCGGGATTTTGGAGTGCAGAATGGGATCTTCATGATTTGGCAACCCATTGTTTGCTGAGCAGGGTAGGGTGGGAGATGTTGCAGCACGGTCTTCAAATGTGACTCCAGGTGTTTTGGACTCTGAGTCTTTTAGGAGTGTTCAAATATGACTCCAAAGTCTTGTGTTATAAGTACCGTGAATATTAATTTGTATTAATCACAAAAGGAGGCAAAGGAACATAAGATTTGGAGAAGCTAGTGTGTGTGTGTGTGTGTGTGTGTGTGCACGCGCGCGTGTGTGTCTGTGTATTTTATTATATCCAATTTAAGATTTTGTGGCAATCTTGAGTATTAGTTTGAATCTGCATTCAGGAAGAAGACTAGGGATTGGATAGGATAGTTGCTTCATTAAATTTCATAAACTGGTAAATTTTAAACACATTTAATTATAACATGTTGTCTGGATGATTGTTTACAATAAAATAAATAGGCATAAAGGAAACATTGTAAAATATGAGACAAAAACATTAGTGTCAGACCATGACGTCATGTAGAAAATTTAATACAAGAATGGGACATTTTATGTATTAGCTTTCCCACTAATTAACTGCTGGCATCTCTCCCATGATGGTTACAATTTTTGATTAAAAGTAGGCATTTTCATTATCTGGAAACTGACTTCCAATGTCTATCAGGGCTTATTCTTAACTCTCTTGCTTTCACACTCTACTTTTTCTAGCTCTTCCCTGGCACATTAGTCTGTTCTCGCATCACCATAAAGAAATGCCTGACCCTGGGTAATGTATAAAGAAAAGAGTTTTAATTGGCTCATGGTTCTGCAGCTTCTGCTTCTGGGGAGGCCTCAGGAAACTTACAGTCATAGCAGAAGGCGAAAAGGGAGCCAGCACTTTACATGGCCAGAGCAGGAAAAAGGGGGGTGGGGAGGAATTACCTACTTTTAAACAATCAGATCTTGTGAGAACTCTATCATGAAAATAGCACAAAAGGCATGGTTCTAATCCATTCATAAAGGATCCACCTCCATGATCCAATCGCCTCCCATCAAGTCCCACCTCCAACATTGGGGATTACAATTGAACATGAGATTTGGGAGGGAACACAGATCCAATCAATATCACCTTGCTAAGTCCTTATTGCTTAATGATCATGAGAATGAACTCTGTGAACTCTGAATAATGACTTTTGTGCCTGGCACTGAGTCTTCATGGTCTGTTACTTTGGGAAATAACTTCTCTTTCTGGATCTTCCCAGTACTTCTATCCTTACCAATGGCAGTGGAGGTACAGAGAGTTCTGCCAACTCCATCCAGCTCCCTGTTTTCTGTTACCTTGAACCCCAAATTTAATGCTTCAGCAGCCTTTAACTAGTTCTCATTTCCCAGTTCAGTGAGACTGCCACTACCCTTGGGCCCCAGCTCCCTGTGCCACAGTAGGGGACCATATCCTGGACAGAGAACTGGGCAAATGTGCAGCTCAACTCATGTGCAGCTCTTCCTTCTCTCATAGATTAGAATTCTGCTTTGCCTGTTTTCTAATGTCCAAAAAAAAAGAGATGCTTATATATTTTGTCCAATTTATAGTTGATTGTACTGGGTTAAAAAAAAGTACTTAAAAAGCTATAGGATTATATCTGGAAGCAATGCTTCCTAAGGCTATAAAATTTTCACAAATAATTATAAATGTTTTGGAGTTTAAAACATTTAAAGTAAAAATTGTATATGTTTAAGGTATACAATATGATGTTTTGATATGCACATGCATGGTAAAATGATTGCTACAGTCAAGCAAATTAACATACCCATCTCTTCACAGTTACCATTTTTTGTAAGTGTCATAAGAGCACTGAAACTTACTCTCTTGGGAAACTTCCAGTTTATGATACAGTATTGTTAACTACAATCATCATGTTGTACATTATCTCTTTAGACAAATTCACTCTACATAACTGAACTTTTGTACCCTTTGACCAATATCTCCCTATTTTCCCTAACTCCCTGACCCTGGTAACCACCATTCTACTCTCTACTTCTCTGTATTTGACTTTTTAAAATTTCAATGTAAGTGAGATCATGCATCTCACTTTCTATGTCTGGTTAATTTCACTTAGCCTAATGTCCTCCAGGTTCATCATGTTGTCAAAAATGGCAGGATCTCCTTTTTAAAGAATTAATAGACATTCATTCATGAGTAGTGGTCCCTGAAACCAACTGCAGTTTCAGCGATTCACTAGGAGGACTCACAGCACTCAACATATAGTCATACTTAGGGACCTTGATATATTGACTTATTACAGCATGAAGATACAAAGCAAAATCATCACATGGAAAAGGCACATGGAGCAAAGTCTTGAAGAAACCTGGCACGTGCTCCCAAGAGTCCTCTCCTAGTGGATCACTTAATTCCTCTAACAATGTGTTGTGGCAACATGAGTGAGATATCGTCTGCCAGGGAGGCTCATTAAAAACTCAGTGCCCAGGGATTTTAGATTGAGTGCCCTTTGCCTAGCATGTACCAAAATCCCAGACTCCCAGAAGAAAACCAGGTATTTGGCAAGCTACACTGTTTGCACTAATACTTTATGTCCAGTGAGCCACCTTTATCAGTTACGGAATAGTAAGAACCCTCCTGAAATGTTAGTTCCCAAATGTCAACCAAGCACTAACTAGGGGAGTATCTCAGGATAGCAATATCAGGCCTATTAACATGTTAACACTTTTCTGCACAATTTGATAAGTCTACATGACTCCCCAGAGAGATACAGAAGTCAATCTTATATACTTATTTCACGAATGATGCCCCTCTATCTTATTTTTCTGTCTGAAATTTGTAGCTTAAGTTTTCACAAAACCAAATATATCACATTTGTTTTTCATGTAATAGGAAACTATACTGATATCATGAATACAGATAGGTATGTAATTGACCCTCATTGTTCCCAGATGTGATATTTGTAAATTTGCCTATTCACTGAAATTTATTTGGAACCCTAAAATCCATACTCAGGTGGTGAGAAATTGAAGTAGACACACATTCACAGTTGAGGTGGAACAAGACTATGCTCTGCCTTCTTGCTCAGATCTCATGCACAGATGACCAGAGAGTGGAGATGTTAGGAGCATTCGATGTAGTGCAAGAAGCTCCAGGTCTGGGGTTAGTGGGACCGAGTCTGACTCCCAACTCTGACACAACTTTGATATGGCAAGTCACTTAACACTCTGAACCTCATTTTCTTTTCTGCAAAATAAATAAAATAGAATCAACTATGATGTTATTTTTAAGATTTAACATTATATGTGATATATATATATATCTAGATATAGATGTATACCTATAGATATAGATATACACTTATAAATTTCTACCAGGAGCAATGGCTCAGAATTCAAAAATTCAGTTTCCAACACCTATATAGAACATCACTGTGAATAATGACAATCAGCTGTGTATATTTTAATCCCCATTTCTTCATTCTGTGTTGGATTTTCTTCTTGCTGAAGTTTATGGTTTACATATTTTAGTGTCTGCTCGATAGTGTTAACATATTGTAGTATTTTTTATTATAAAGTAATTTAATTGGGCTACCTTCTCGAATAATTAGTAGGGTATCAGATTTTGGGTTAGGTTGACAACTTTCATATATTATTCAATTTTTCTTGGCATTATTGAGCTGATAAGAAATCTGCTACAGGTTTAATTATTGTTCCCTTGTAAGTCAGCAGTTCTTGTCCTCAGGTGGCTTTTAAAATCTTCTGTCTTTGATATTTTGTAGTTATACTATAATGCATCTATGTGTTTATTTATTTTTTTTACTTCTGCTTTGCTGTCAGAAAGTCCTTTTGAATGGAGTACTAATGAATTTCTTTATTCCTGGAAAATTGTTTACCCTTACCTCTTAATACTGATTTTCCACCAGTTTCTGTTTTTCTTCTAGAAGAGAGATTGGCAAACTAAGAACATTGCCTGTTTTTGTTAACAAACTTTTATTACCCATTTGTTTTTGAATTGTCTATAGATGCTCTGGTATTGTCTGGCTTGCAAAACCTAAAATATTTACTATCTGGCTCTTTAACCCCTGATCTAGAGCTCCTACTAGATGTGTGTTGAAATAATGTTTACATTTTAAAATTCATTCTTCATATTTTTGAATGTTGTTATGTTTCTATATGTGTTCTTGGTTTTCCAATTTATTGATTCTCTTCAAGTTTTCAGTCTAGGGCTTATTAATTTTTTTTGCATTTAAAAATGTTAATGATGACTATATTTCCAACATTTTAATTTGATTCACCTCATATAGATTGCTTATGATTTATTTCATCTTGTTCTATTTCAGAGTTTCTTGTATATTTATATGAAATTATTTTCATTATTTCATCCATGGAATTTAAATTCCATGAAGGTAATGATTTTTGTGTGTCTTGTTTGTTTGGTGCTATTCCCAACACCTAAAATTATGTCTAGCATTGAATTGGCATTTCGTAGATATTTGTTATCATCTAGGATTCTAAATATAATTATTTAGAGTATTTTGCAAAAACCATTTAATTTTTTGTCACATAAAGTAAATTTACTTCCAAATTGTTGATTTTGTTGCTTCTCTTTTTTATATTCCTTATGTTGGTTTGCCAGAAGGTGAGTTTGCTCCATTTCTAGACATGTGGCCGCACTTACCGATGCCCTCTTTTTTCCTAACAGCAGAGTTTCATGTAAGCCATAAGACCCAACCAATGTTGGGGGCTTTCTTGTTTTTATCCAGAACCTGCTCAAAAGTAGGACCAGGGTAAACAAAAGGGTTCCAGAAGTAAGCTGAGTTCTGGTCACTGACTCTTGTAGAGCACTTTTAGTCCCTCTTATTCAGGATGACTTAAATTCCAGGTGCCTCTGTTGGTTTCTGGAGTACAGGAAACTCACAACTTCTGCTCCTGGTGCTATTTTTTATTTCTGTTCTGTTTCATCTCTTAGGAATATCTAACTTGTCTGTGAGGCCAGTTATATACTTCTAAAATGTTCTCTTTTTATAGCCTGTGGTTTGAGCCTAGTGGTTTATTCAGTGTGTAATTTTACCATGCTTCTTCATCCTCATTCTTCACATTTACTTAATTGTTTTGCACCCACATTTATCTTTTGCCTCTATTACATCCAGTGTTCCTCTATACTGGGCCATTTTCACTGCCACATAAGCATGCAGTAATATTTATTAGCTTACTAAAATATTTCTTTACCTCACATTTTCCTGCAGCTTCAGGCCATACTTTTATTTTGTCTTATATTACATGCCTCACAATTGTTGTGTATACTTCTATTTCTTCTCCCATCCTGTTCTCATTGCACTCTACTGCCTCACTGAGATCATGCAGTTGTGAACCCCAAAGACCTATACATCTGAGATTCACTGATTGTCAATCGTCACCTCATATAGATTATTTGACACACTCGATCACACTTGTTAGATCTTAAAACCTTTGGTTTGCTTCAATTTGATAATGCTCTTACTCTTCTGAGTGTCCTTTGTCTTTCACTCATTCCCAGGCTCTTTCTCTGGACCCTTGTCAAGTTTCTAGATTCAAAATAATAATAATAATAATAATAATAATAATAATAATAATAATAATGTTGTTGCCCACCAATCAGTCTCAGACTTATTCTGTAGTTATACTTACTCCTTAGAGACTTTCATTGAGTTCCATATTTTCAACTGCTATGCCTAAGATTCTGATGCAATGATTTATATGTCTCACCTAGCCTTTCTCTTTTATCTTGGAGTCTACATCCTGCCTTGGGTTTTTATTAGGTATTTCAATCTTAATATGTTCAAAATGAGACTGTTGATTTCTTCCTGAACCTCTGTTAAAATACTCCTTTTCCTGTGTATTCCATCATTTTAAATGATATCTACATTCATTTGGATTGAGCAAAAGAAAAAACCTTGTAGTTATACTTGACTTCTCTCTATTTCTAACAACACCTGGTCTATGAGAAAATCCTACTTGCTCTATCTATAACAGTATATTCACAATCTGACCATTTACTACCATAAGCATGACTAGATGATGTTTAATCTGCAATAATCCCTCATCAGAATAGTTAGCTAACACTTCAGTTTCCCTTTCTCAACTCCTAGGTCCTATCCTCTGCTCAACTGCCAGTGTTTCTTATAAAATGTAAGACAGGTTATTTTATTCCCCTGCTCATAACCTTCCAATTGCTTCTCATAGCACTGACAGTAAAATCTAAAGTCCTAATGACTGTATGATTTGGCCCTGCTGCCATATCTAAGTTTTACAGGATTTGGTCTTCGCTACATACCTGCTTATTTGATGTAATTTTCTAGCAGTTCTGTTCACTCATTGGCCTCCAGGCACACTGTCCTAATTTTTCTTCCACAAACACAGCAAGATTATTTTTCTCTATAATACATATTTCAGCAATGCAGGTTCACCTCTATTTGATAGGTGAGGAGGGTAATGATGTCAGCATAATGCAAGGTTGTACTACATCTATATATGATTGTTTTCCTAGGCAAAGGGAACTACATGGCAAGAGAAGAGTTGTAGCTACTTCCACAGGGAAGAAATAAGCCTTTGCTCAGCTGCTGTACTGGAGGTTAAGAACCCACTCTAAGAAAAAACAAGGCACGTTTACCAGCACACCTTACCCCCCAGCCTTGCATAACTCTCAGCTGTGTGGGTTGGACTGTCTCCCATGCCCACTCAATGGCTCTCTCAAACTCTTACAACTGCATTTTCTTCTTCATTCTCTCAGCTCTTGCAAGCCTAGGTCTGATATTAAGAGTTGCCAACTGATTTCAAGTTATTGATTTTGTGCATTTTAAAGACCCACATTATGGTAGCACCCAGTCATGCTTAACTACCTACCTAGGTGACCCAGTTGGTGGTACCTACAACTGTTTATGTCATCGCTTTTGAAGTTGTAAAAAATGTGTGTGATCTGCTCTGTATTAATCTGTTCTCACATTGCTAATAAAGACATATCCAAGACTGGGTAATTTATAAAGGAAATAGGTTTAATTGATTCACAGTTCAGCATGGCTGGGGAGGCCTCAGGAAACTTACAATCATGGCGGAAGGGGAAGCAAACATGTCTTTCTTCACATGGTGGCAACAAGGAGAAGTGCCCAGCGAAAGGAGGAAACGCCCCTTATAAAACCATCAAATCTCCTGAGAACTCACTCACTATCATGAGAACAGCATAAAGGTAATGGCCCGCATGATTAAATTACCTCCCACTGGGTCCCTCCCATGATATATGGGGATAATGGGAACTACAATTGAAGATGAGATTTGGGTGGGGACACAGCCAAACCATATCATGCTCCTAATATTAATTCCCTTTAAATCCAATTAATTTCAGTACATAACTTTTCAGAAAGCAGTTTGACCCTCTAACACTACTATAAATATATAAAAATAGCAGAAACATCTACATTATCTTGCCTCTGGGTCTTGGCATCTGTAGTTCCCTCAGTCAGTGACACTTCTCCAAATAGCCTTGTGACTTGTTCCCTTACTTCATTCAAATCTCTCTTTAAATGATTCCCTCTCCAAGAGATCTTCCTAAACAATACATCTAAAATAATACCCACCCTCATAACTCTACTTCCTTAACTTCTCTTATTTTTCTTCTTGGCACCTGACATTACATATCCATTTGTGTATGGATTAATTGTCTGTTTCCCATAGTGGAATGTAAACTTTATCAGGGCAGAGCCTTTGTTTTGTTCACTGCAATAAAAATTTTGGCAAATAGCTAAGTGGTTAGTAAACATTTGTTTAGTGAATGAATAAATGACTCAATGTATGGATAGTTTCATTTTCTAAAAAAAACACTTTATCAAAAATAGTTTTGATGCTGACTACTTTAAGAAAATAATTTCTCATTTCCAACTACATGTTAAATCAAATAAATTATTTTAAACCTAAGAGTTAATTTCATGAGTTAATCCATTTATCTACAAACCATTGCTAATAACTTAAATAAAATTGCTCTTTTAAATAAAACTTCTTAAATAAAACTTAAATAAAAATAAAATAAGTTTTAAATAAAACTTCTCTTAACTAAAAAGAATTGCTTTAGGATGCTTAATGTTATCATTAATAATTTTAAGAGAGTAATTTAAAGCTCTATGGCATAGTAGGAATGCTAGATCTTTAAATTAGAAAAAATAAATCTTACTAAATATAATAATACATTTGTTTAGTTTCATTCTTATTTTCCAATGAGATATTTAAAGAATCAATACTAGATCATACCAACATTTAACCTCTTCAGCTATTTGTTTCCTTCAAGGTTATGGTTATCACAGCCTGTTTTATTTTTCCCTCTGTTTATTTTATTTATGCTTCATGTGTCAGGTGGAATAATGGGCTCTCATTTCCCAGAGGTGAAAAACCTGCAGGGAAATAAAAGTTCTGATTGTTACAAGATAGAATTAGAGCTTGTCAGGCATTTACTATCCTCTTCACATATTCCTTGAGCTAGAAAGACTTCTATGTGGCATGGGTGGGAGTGGAGATGCATGCAAGTTTGTAGGAGGTGAAAAGCAGAGATAGGTGAGGGAGGACATAGGAACTGAAACCAGGAGGTTTTCGTGTATGTAGAACAATTTGCCTCACATATTCACAGGTGAAGCATTTCCTACATAATGTGCTATTTTGAAGATTTTTTGTAATCTGGAGGGACTAGTAAAGTAGTCATGGGGTATTTATTACAAAGAAATTCTAGTGTTAACATTATAACAAAATTGAACTAATTATAATGCGGAGGTAGATTTGCTATATTTAGAAATATCCCTTTAGCACCGAAGCCTAAAATATGTTTTCGAACAAGTTAATATGTTGTTTATCTTTTAGGATATTGTGGTGTTAGGCAATAACTTCCTCTGTCATCAAGGCTGCCACATAACATAGCTCTGAGATATTAAAGAAATGTATCTTTCAGGAAAATTAAACTTCTTTTTACGGTAAGTTTTTTTATGGTTGTTTCTTGAATCATATGATTTAACTGATCCTATTCTCCTAAATTCAGTTGATTCTAAAAAACATTTTCAGCAGATATAGAATTAAAATCTGATTACCTAAATTTTACTTAAAAATATAAGACTGTAATTTTAGAGTAAACAGTTTATATTTTCCTGTGTTTTCCCATATTTGCAGTAAGGCAGAAAAGTGGCTAAGATTATGAGTCTGTAATTTAGCTGCTTGGATTAGACAGCTTTCTGCACCTATTGTCTGTGATATTTTCTACAAACATACATTTGTTTATTCATCTATAAAAATGGCATAGTATTAGTAACTACTCCAGATAATTTTTGTGATGATTAAATAAATTAATGAATTTAAAGCATTTAGAACAGCATCTGATATTTAATAGGTATCCAGTAAGGATAATAAATGCTTGCTATACTTCCTTCTTCCTCCTAAATATGTTTGCAGATCAGTGGAGATTTAGCAGCAAAGAATTTAAAAATTAAGAGCAATAGCTAAATGCAAGCTACTTACTAGGTTAGTAGGTGCATTATATTTAATAATAATTTAAGAAGAATATTAATCTTTTAAATGTAACATTTTCCTAAATGCAACCATTAGTCCATGTAGCCTTAGAAACATTACTTTTGTTAGTGTGTTTTTGTATTTCGGTATACAATCATACAATAAAAAATAGAGCTTGAAGCAGAAAAATTCAATAAGATAGAAGATATAAAATAACATTTTAACAGACATGATGACATACTAAGAAGGAGAATCATTTTTGAGCTTCCAAATTATTAACAGAAATAATTCATATGACAAAAGACTTGAAATTATTGTATGTATATTTAAAGAGGTGACATATCTACCATAAAAACTTTAGGATCTGGTAACTCGGTCATAAAAATTACCTTGGGGCTGAAACCTGGCATATGCTGTGTTCATTTGAAGCACAAATGTCTTCTCATTATTCACAAATGTTCATTGTTATCTTTTAAAAATCAAGAAAAATATTAGTTTTATATTTCTAATGTATTAAAATTTAATGGAAAGTAGAGTTTTATTACAATGGAAATTTTTGTTTTGATCTTATGGTTAAACGTTAAAGACTGCAAGGAAACACATACACATAATCATAATGGGAATTCTACATTATAATTAATTTAGCAATAGCATCTTGTGTCAGAGGAAAAATTTGAAGGCTAAATAAGACATGTGGTGGTCATCACTGCTTGGACTTACACACCCTAGGGGCTTCACTAGGAATAATCACTGTGTTATTCCTTTTGTAAAATTTATAAGCTTTAAGTACTATCAGTTAGAAGTAGTCACAGATTAAAGTAAAATAAAATAACTGCAAATGTATGTTCTTCTTTAGAAACATAACTTTTTTATGACATTGAGCTATAGATTGTATGTAGAAGATAAAGCTTGTGGAGTTTAAGCTAAATGGTGCTGATTAACACAGTAGGCCATTTGGGTAATATATTTTATTGGAATTACAAATTGAAATGTCTGATGGTAGTCAGAACAGAACTATGGGTATTGAAAAATTTTTCTATTCACCCGGATCTCAATTTTGCTCAAATTATTTTTAGTGCAACAGACTATGTAGATATAATGTGTGTGTGTGTGTGTGTGTGTGTGTGTACAGCTTTCTGGGTAGGAATTTTCAAATCACATATGCAGGTGGCAAATGTAACTTTTTACTTATCAATTACATAATCTCTGTTTTGAATACTTGGTTGATGGCTCATAATTGAATCTAGTAGGTTTCAATGGAGCTTATATATTTTAGTACATTTTGTTTCAATTGCACTTAATGAACTCAGAGTATACTCAAGACTCCTCTACTCACCATGTTTTATGGAGTTTCTTGTCATCGATGGGTGTGGTATGTCCTCTATCTTATGCCACGCATCTGAGAAGGAGCCTACCCTGAAGTCTTTGGTTGTTAGCATCTAGTACCACTGGCATCTGAGGCCATGTTTAAGGTTCCACAGTAGCTTTTATGCATTGGTTTTTGGGTTCCATAACTATTTAGGGGATTTCATCAATTCGTCTCACCATCTCAGATGCCCTGTCGCCCTCTCAAGAAGAGCAGTGAATATGGGAAAGATTCAGTCTCACTTTCTCTCTTTTCTGTGACTGTGAGAGATTGGAGCATGATGGAGCCTTTCTCAGATTACCTCTACATGAAATTGCTCTGTCACAATTCCTAATATATTGTTATTATACCATGCTGGTTTTATGGACTGCTCTCTGAGGGTCAGCATCTTCTTGGGTTTCAACCAGAAAGTAACCCAGGAACCTTTTGTATCCTTATCAAAACTATCCTGAATTTCTACTATTTCCTATTATCTCTTATCCTGAGGCTAGACCCACATTGGGTCACGTGGGTTTAGGGCACCCTCCTAGACATCTGTAGAAGCATTTAACACCCCGTTGGATACTTTTATTTGCTCATCTGAATCTATTTCTTCACCATTCACCATCCTGCTCTGTGCTCTAAATGGTTGAATTATTTGGAATAAATAAAGGAGAACCCTTGCTTTCTGGCTTCCATCTCCTAATGGGATTTCCAGCAAGAGATTGGAGGGCAGAAGAAGGGTGATATTTGGAAATTAATTTTCCCGTTTCACTCTTACTACTCTACTGATAGCTAGAACTCCTGTCAGATGACCCTCTTCTAGGAGTATAGTTGATAATTCTGGGTTCTGTTACCTCTATTTCCTATTACGTGCTCTGGCTGTGGATGGTAAAAACTCACCATTTTGTTATTCCCAGGATTTTTAACCAATCATTTGATTTCCCCAAATCCTGCTCATATGTTGTATGTTATCCTTTTATTTGGCTCTCCACAGTACCTATTTGTAATGCCTTCTTTTTGTTCATAGCAGTATTTGGTAGCATATGTGGCCCCAGCAAACACAGCTTCAAATTGGGATTCTGAGATTGGTTTCTCATATAGCTAAGAAGCACATGGCCGACATGCTCACTAGAGAGAAATATTACACAGTAGTCTGAGTCAAGGGATAACATCATTATTCGACAGAATGTAAGGTGTTAGGAATCAGCTGGTTTGTAAATTAGTCTCTCTTTTGCAACAATAATGATTATAAAGGCTGAGTTGTCAGCTAACTTTGTCACATGACCCTGCATAGTATATACAGAGAAAATAACAAACTGAGGCCTTGAATACTAATTCAGAACATGAGTTGAAAATGAGAAAGCTCCTATGTCAGCTTTTGTTGAAGTCCTCATCTCCTCAAGTTTCAGGACAAATACGATTAAGAATCAAGCCAATGGCTTGACTCTAATGAAGGCAGGGATCCACCACCAATTAATTAATGGAGGCAGAGAGCCAGTACTTGGAAGAGACTTCTGGGTCTTTTATACTAAGTTTAGGGCAGGGGTGGGGACGCAGAGACTCACTGAGTAGTCAAAAGGGCAATATTGGGCAGAGATGAGCAAGGCTATGCAATTGGAACCCCCAAATCTCAAGGTACTTCTATTGTTGACTGAGTCATCCCTTTTTCTGCAGAAGGCTGGTGATGCACTTTACTGTCACATACAAGGTTGGAATAGTGATCATAATGAGCTTCACAGACAGAGTGACAGCAGATTAAATGTTCCATGGGAAACTGTGATGATGTTCAATTGCTCAGGGGGTCTCTAGGAATAAAATAGTTAGGCAGCCTATGAGGTGTTTTGTGACATAAGCTGAGTCTGTAGATCTGGTGGACAAAACCTAGATCAAGTCTCCTTAAGGGATTCATATACTTTTACCAAGTTTCAGACCTCAGCTTCCCAGAGGAGGCTGACACAAAATACCTTAACTGAGTAGCCACTGGCATAGGCTATGACTCTCCCTCTAAACCTTGCCTTGAAGGGCCTATAGCCATTACCATATATATTGGATAAAGGAATGTACCCAGAACTTCTGGTATTATTAGGTCCTGCCTCTGAAATAGTGCTAATATTCAGAGACCCTGAATACCACCAAAGTATAATAGAGTGAGGGCAATGGGAATCCCAGGGGATGTGGGGACTCTTGGTCCCCTTTCTCCTTCCACTGGATTCTTTATGACCATCCACAAATCATGTGGTTATTTTCCCAAATCCAGGATGTATATAGTGTAAATAAATATACTACATATTTAGCAGTGGTGTACAATATATCTTGGGTACATCAAGATATATTTTCTACAGAGAGATGCAAACGATGGCGCATTATATCACTAATCAAAGAGGCAAAAGACTTGGTGAACCTCTTTGGATATAGAAGGATAAATATACTAATTTTGTGTATGTTGCTCTGACCTGTTTACCAGGTAACCTTTAATGTGGTCAGTTTTGAGTTGCACCTGAAGCTGTAAACTGCTGTGTGGCATATTGAAGGTGTAGGGTAAACTATTCTGCTTCTTGCCTTTTGTCTTACCAAATGCAACAGAATTAGGGAAGTCTGTCACAAGTTGAGATGTTTTTCAGAGTGTCTGGCAAATGGCACTAGGAACCAAATTGCATTTGGTTTGTCAAAGGTCAAGAACTGTCCTGCTGAAAACTGTTATTTAAATAGAAAACTTGATACCAGGCTTCTTTAAAGGCATACATTTTAACTAGGACACCAAACTATACGAATATACTACCTTCCAAGCCATAGACATGCCTGGCTCAGATCTCCCTGGAAAAAAAATAAGGAATATGCTACAAGTAGTATAATTAGTCGACAGCCTCCAGCTGATGCATCTTAGAGGTACCTCATAGCATTCACACTGAGTCCATGCTCTCTTTAGGCTTCTCCCAGTCAATGCCTGAGCTTGGCAGAAGCACTAGAGCCAGGCCATATCTACCCAACATGTGACTTGTATATTAGACATTTTTTGCTTTGGAGTTTTGCATTGGGTTGGCTGAGACATTCTCAGAACTGCACTACAGCCTGGGGTTCATCCTGCTTCTCTCCCTTCACAGGTATCAGATATGTACATAAAGTATCTGTTCAGATCTTTTGGACATTTTTTAAGATAAAGTTGCTTGTTTTCTTATTGTTGGGTTTTAAAGCATATTTTGATAGTTCTTTGTATCTTTTATCACATATGTGTTTTGAAAATATTTTCTCATAGTCTGTAACTTGTCTTTCCATTTCCTTATCACCATCTTTTGAATAATAGGGGTTTTTAATTTTAATGAAGTACAACTTATCATTTTTTTCTTTCATGGATTGTGCTTTTGGTATACCTAAAAAGTCATACCCAAATCTAAGGTCACCTAGATTTTCTCCTATTTTATAGGTTTGTGATTTACATTTAGGTCTATAATCTATTTTGAGGTAGCCTGTGTTTTACATTAAAGTCTATGATTCATTTTTAGTTAACTTTGTCTAAATTCATTTTTTTGTTGTTGTTGCATGAGATGTCCAATTGTTCTGGGACCATTTCTTGAAGAGACTGTCCTTTCTCAGTTGAATTGCCTTTGGTTCTTTGTCAAAGACCTGCTGACTATTTGTTTTGATATTTCTCTGGAGTCTGTCTTCTGTTCCATTGCTCTGTTTGTCTGTTCTTTCACTAATACCACGGTCTTGATTACTGTAGCTTTGTAGTTAGTCTTAAAGTCAGGTGGCGTCAGTCATATGGCTTATTTCTTCTTCAGTATTTTGTTGGCCATTCTGAGTCTCTTGCTTTTCCACATAAATATTAGAATAGTTTGTTGATATCTACAACAAGGATCAAGTCATAATGAACTTTCATCTTTACAGTTTTGAATATTCTTATCCACAGACATATAATATCTCTCCATTTATTTAAATTTTTTTATTTGTTTCATCAAAGTTTTATAGTTTTCCTCACATAGTTCTTGTATATACTTTGCTAGATTTATACCTAAGTATTTAATTATGGGGAAGCTTAAGTAGATGTTGTTGCACTTTTTACTTCAAATTCCAATCATTTATTGGTGATACATAGAGAAGCAATTTTGTGTGTGTGTGTTTTAATTTGGTCTTTTGCAACCTTGCTATAATAATTTATTAGTTCCAGGAATTTTCTCATTCATTGTTTGGATTTTTTTATATAGACCATCATAGTATCTGCAAACAAAGGTGATTGTATTTAATGCTTCGCAATGTTCATACCTCTTATACCCATTTTTTGCAAGAGTTAGGAATTCCAGGATGAAGTTGTAGTGGTGGGAGGAGGCATTCTTGGCTTGCTCCTGATTTTGGGGGGAAAGCATCTAGCTTCTCACAATTAAGTATGATGTTATATGTAGGTTATTGTAGGTTTTCTTTATCAAGATGAGGAAGTTTCCCTTTATTTCTAATTTGCTGAGAGTTTAAAAATCATTAATAGGTGTTAGATTTTGTCAAATGTTATTTTTCTGCATCTAATGATAGGATCATATAACTTTGTTCTTCAGCCTGCTGGTGTGATGAATTAATTGATTTTCAAATGTTAAACCAATCTCACACACCTGGAATAAATCTCATTTGGTATTAGCATGGAATTCTTTTTATAAAATTGTTGGATTGAATTTCTTAATATATTGGAGGAGTGTTACATTGATGTTCGTAAAAAATATTGGCCTATAATTTACCTTTCTTATAATGTCTTTGTCCAGTTGGGTACTAGGTAATGCTGTCCCCATAAAATGAGTTGCCTCTGCTACTGTTTTCTTGAAGAGGTTGTAGAAAATGGTATCATGTTTTCTTATGTTTGGTAGAATTCACCAGTGAAAACATCTTGATGTGGTGCTTACTGATTTGGAAGATTATTAATTAGTGATTCAATTTATTTAATAAATATAAGCCTACTCAGGTTATCTATTTTTGGTAAATTGTGTTTTTCAAGAAATTGATTCATTTTATCTAAGTTATCAAATTTGTGGGTATAGAGTTGCTTATAGTTGTCCTGTATAATTTTTTAATGTTCATGGCATCAGTAGTGATGGCCTCTGTTTAATTTTTGATATTCATAATTTATGTCTCCTCTTCTTTTTACTTGGTTAGCCTGGTTAAAGGTTTGTCAAATTTATTGACCTTTTAAAAGAACGAGCTTTAGGGTTCATTGACTGTCTCCAGTATTTTCTTATTTTAAATTTCACTGATTTGTTTCAATTATTATGATTATTTTTCTTCTGCTTGTTTTATGTATTTATATTTCTCTTCTTTCTCCAGCTTCCTAAGGGGAAAACTTTATTTATTTATCTAATATCTTTCATTTTTCTATTCTGTGCTTTGCATGCTATAAATTTCAATGTAGGCACTGTTTTCACTGTATCCCACAGATTTTGACAAGTTATGTTTTCATTTTCATTTGGTTCAAAATATTTTCAAAATTTCTCGAGACCAATTTTTTGACCCGTGTATTATTTAGAAGTATATTGTTTAATTTCCAAATAATGTGGTACTTTCTGACCATTTTTTCTGTTATTGATTTCTAGTCTAATTTCATTATGATCTAAGAACATACTTCATATGATTTTAATTTTCCTAGACTTGTTAAGCTATGTTTCATGGTTCGAAATGTGGTCTATCTTGGTGAATGTTCCATGTAAGCTAGACAATAATGTGTCTTCTGTTGTTAGATGAGGTATTCTATAAATGTCAATTAGATTCAGTTGATTGATTATACTGTTTAGTTCAACTGTATCCTTACTGATTTCTGGTTGCTAGATCTCTCAATTACTGTTAGAAGTGTGTTGAGGTCTCCAACTATATTCAGACAGCACGTAACAATGTTTTGGACAACCTGGGACCACATATACAGTGGTGGTCTGATAAGAGTATAATGAAGCTGAAAATGTCCAGTGATGACATAGCCATCATAAGCTTGTAGTGCGACGCATTACTCACGTGTTAGTGTTGATGCTGGTGTAAACAAACCCACTGTCTTGCTAGTCTTATAAAAGTACAAGAAGTACAATTATGTATAGTACATACTTGATAATGATAATAAATGTCACTGATGTATGTGTGTATTATACTATTTATTGTTAAAGTATACTTCTACTTATAAGAAGAAAAGAAGTTCACTATGAAGCAGCTTAATGCAGGCCTTTCAGGAGCCATTTTGGAAGAAGGGATTGTTATGGTAGGAGATGACAGCTCCATACATATTTTTGCCCTGAAGAGCTTCTAGTAGGATGACATGTGGAGGTAGAAGAGGTGATATTGATGATCCTAAACCTGTATAGGCCTAGGTTAATGTGTGTATTTGTGTCTTTGTTTTCTAACTTGAAGAGTAAAAATAAAATTAAATAGAAAAAAATAAAATGAAATAGAAATAAAATTAAATAAATAGAAAATTAAATATATTATAGAATATATTTTTGTACAGCTGACAATGTGTTTGTGTTTTATGTTATTATTACAAAAGAATCAAAAAGTTTTTAAAAAGTTACAAAATGAATAAAGTTAAAAAGTTATAATACCCTAAGGTTAATTTATTATTGAAGAAGGAAAATATTTTTAAAATAAATTTATTGTAGCCTAAGTGTATGGTTCTTAAAAGTCTACAGTAGTGTAATGGCCTGGGCCTTCACATTCACTCACCACTCACTCACTGACTCACCCAAAGCAACTTCCAGTCCTGCAAGCTCCTTCATAGTAAGTTTCCCTATACAGGTGTACCATTTTTATCTTTTATATCATATTTGTACTGTACCTTTTCTATATTTCGATAGACTTAGATACACAAATACTTAGCATTGTTACTATTGCCTAGACTATTCAGTAATGTAACATGCTACACAGGTTTCCATCCTAGGAGCAATAGACTATACCATGTAGCCTGGATGTGTGGTTGGCTACACCATCTAGGTTTGGGTAAGTACATGTGATGACGTTTGCACTATGACAAAATTGCCTAATGATGGGCTTCTCAGAATGTATTTCAATCTTTATGTGACACATGACCACATAATGGTGGTTTTTCTATTTCTCTTTGCAGTTATATTAGTTTTTGCCTTATGTATTTTGATGTGGATACACATCAAGTTGCAAGCATATTCAGAATTGTTATGTCTTTTTGGAAGATTTACCCCTTTATCATTATGGAATTCCTATCTTTATATCTTATAATATTCCTAATTATAGAGTATGCTTTGTTTGACATTAATAAAGCCAGGCAATTTTTCTTTTAATTTGTGTTAGCATGGTGTATCTTTCTTCAACTTTTAGTTTTATTCTATCTGTGTCCTTATATTAAGAATGTGCAGCTCATGAGGTCAGGAGATCGAGACCATCCTGGCTAACAAGGTGAAACCCCGTCTCTACTAAAAATACAAAAAATTAGCCGGGCATGGTGGCGGGTGCCTGTAGTCCCAGCTACTTGGGAGGCTGAGGCAGGAGAATGGCGTGAACCTGGGAGGCGGAGCTTGCAGTGAGCCAAGATAGCACCACTGCCACTGCACTGCAGCCTGGGTGACAGAGCAAGACTCTGTCTCAAAAAAAAAAAAAAAAAAAAAAAGAATGTGTTTCTGGTAGACAACAAATAGTTGGGTCTGGCTCTTTAGTCACTCTGTCAGATTCTTTTTTAATTGGTGATTTAGACCATTTATAGTTGAAATGATTATTGATATAGTTGCGGGAATATCTAGCATATTTACAACACTTTACTATTGTTGAACGTTTTCTTGGTTGCTTGTCTTTTTAAATCTTCCCCTCTGTTTCTGCCTTTTCTGGTTTTAATAGAGCATTTTATATGATTTCATTTTGTCTTCTCTCAGGGTATCAGATATATTTCTTAATTTTTTAGTGGTTGCACTAGAATTTGCAGTATACTTTTATAATTAATGTAACTGTACTTTCAAAAAATTCTGCACTGCTTCATGGGTAATGCAGGTAATTTATTTCTAATTTTTCCCTCCTGACACTTATGACATTGCTGTCATTTTTTCATTTATCAAAATGGTAAAATCATTCAATACATTGCTTTTATTGTAATTTTGAACAGTTATCTATTAGACCAATTAAGAATACAAAGAAATATTTATTTTACCTTTACTTACTCATTCCCTGATGCTCATTTTTTAAATGTACATCTGCTTCTGAAATATATCATCTTACTTCTCTCTGAAGAACTTCTTTTAAAATTTCTTGGCCAGGCTTGATGACTTACGCCTGTAATCCCAGCACTCTGGGAGGCCGAGGTGGGTGGATCACGAGGTCAGGAGATCGAGACCATCCTGGCTAACATGGTGCAACCCCACCTCTACTAAAAATACAAAAAAAATTAGCCGGGCCTGGTGGCGGACGCCTGTAGTCCCAGCTACTCAGGAGGCTGAGGCAGGAGAATGGCATGAACCTGGGAGGCAGAGCTTGCAGTGAAGCCAAGATCGCGCCACTGCACTCCAGCCTGCGTGACAGAGCGAGACTCCGTTTCAAAAAAAAAAAAAAAAAATTCTTGCAAGGCAGGTCAACCGGCAACAAATTACCTCAATTTTAATTTGTCTGAGAAAGTCATTATTTTCCCACTTCTGAAGGATAATTTTGCAGGATACAGAATTCTAGGTTGGTGGGTTTCTTTCTTTCAAAACTTCATGTATCTCAGTCTACTCTTTTCTTGCTTACACGGGTTTTGAGAAGTCAGCTGTAACTCTGCTCCTTTCTAAGTAAGGTGCTTTCTTCCCTCTGCTTCTTTTATGATTAAAAAAAAATTTCATTTCTTTGCAGTTTGGATATGATGTGCCTACATTTGGCTTTTTGGGGGCATTTATCTTGCTCAGTGTTCTCTGAGCTTTCTGGATCTATTGTTTGGTGTCTGACATTTATTTATGAAAATTCTCACTCGTTATTGCTTGAAATATCTGTTCCTTCTCTCTTCTTCTTCTGGTATTCTCATTATGAATATATTACACCTTTTGTAGTTGTCCCACAGTTTGTGGATAGTTGGTTCTGTTTTTTTTTTTTTTTTTTTTAGTCTTTATTGTCCCAGATTTTCAAATTTGAAAGACATGTATTCAAGCTCAGAGATTCTTTCCTCAGCCATGCTCAGTCTAATACTGAGCCAGCAAAGACAATCTTTATTTGTTACAGTGTTTTTTATATCTAGCATTTCTTTTTAATTCTTTTTTAAGAATTTCCATCTCTCTGCTTATATTAACCATCTGTTCTTGCACATTATCTACCTCTTCAATTAAAGCCCTTAGCATAGTAATCATAGTTGTTTTAAATTCATAGTCTGATAATTCCAACATCCCTGCCATTATCCTGGTCTGGTTCTGATGCTTGCTGTCTTTTCACACTGCCATTTTTTTAAATTTTTTGCTTTTGTTTGTATGTCTCCTAACTTTTTGTATGTTTCATAACTTTTTGTTTAAAGACGTATTTGCCTATCATTCTCCAATTTGAGGGGCCATGGTTTACCCTGTGACCTCACTTCTGCAATGTATGTAAGAAACTTGTTTTTTTTTTTAGGGTAAAGTGGTGACTTCTAAGCTCTGTATGTGCCCGAGTCCATCCTTGCTTTCTCAGGCCCAGGAGTGGTGACAGCTTTCATTTATTGGTAGCCTTATAGAGTACACCACCCCTGAGGGTTCCCTTAACCTTGTCACATTTGGTAAACACTGTCTTTATTAGATTTTGCTCAGTGACCTCACTTGAGCATTTCATCTATTTCTTGACAGGATCCCAACTAATGAAAACATTGTTCTTTATGACATTCATCATCCACCTCCCTCATGATTATTATGACCATTTTGTTTGGCTCATGTTTCACAAGAAAAATGGAGTAAACCACGCTTAATTAGTCATTTGAAGATGATTTTTTATGTATGCCTATAAAACAGGCTGAGTAACATACTGTGAAGTGCACTGATTTGAGTCACAGTTTGGTTTGAGTTTAATTCTGCTCATTGCAAACTGTGTGGCTCTGGACAAGTCACTTAACTTGTTCCAAATCACAGTTGCTATGAAAAAGAAAGATAATATATATTTTTTCAAGAGATAGATTTGAGGAGAGGAAAGTGTACAATCTGACATGTGACAGTGTTCAATAAATAAATGGTAGTAAAACTACTGTAATTATTATTCAGAACTTTTTCAGGAAAAGTAAATCACCAATGAATAAACTTAGAAATTAGCAAGTGATTACGCTCATTGATTATAGAAATAGCCATGAGAAAAGACAAGTGTTTCTTCATTTTCTCTTAGTAGTTTTTTAGTGAAAGACAATTCAGGAGACCTAGTCATGATATGTGTATGTGTGTGAATATATATATAGACACACATGCATATATATATATATATATATATATATATATAGAGAGAGAGAGAGAGAGAGAGAGATAAATAGATGCACGCATATATATATATATATACACACATGTATCTATCTATCTATCTATCTATATATATATATATATATATATATACACATGTATCTATATGCCTCTCTGTTCAAGTGTATTCTCTATTGACTTGTTTTGACAGTTAAAGAAAAAGAAAATTTTATACCAGAATGCTAGGTTCCTACCATTAAGGGGAAAAAAGGAAAAGTCAAAGGAAATGAAGACTATCAAAATGGGAGGATGCTTGCTGACTAAAAGGACTGTTGTGCATGGTAGTTGAAATAGGATTTCTGGCATAGATAATAAGGTTAAGCCACCAGAAAAATTTTTCACTACAGGATTTAAATCTATTTCTATGAAGAGTCAGAGATGTATAAGCCATGCCTGTAACAGCTTCTGAGTCTGCTACTTTCCAAAATCATGATCAATTCTAGGACACTAGATTCAGTTTTAGACAATGCTATCTTATAGGCAATATCTAAATGTGCTAAGACTGTTATGAATCAGGTAACATCATGGCTATCTTAGAGAATAACAATTTAATTTTCCCCAAACAGTGCAGAAATAATACTGACAGCTTATTAAATGGCATGAATTTCACAGGCTGTACCTTTATTTAGCATTCCCTTTATATTCACTTTTATTTTTACTTTTCTACAACTCACTTCTCACAAAAAATTTAAGGCCAATACAACAAAAATATATAATGAAATACTAATATAACATAAGTATCAGTAGAAAATCAGGACCAAAGAGTTAACATAATTGCTTATATTAAGCTTAACATCTGGTAGACAAGACATAAGCGCCACAATTTATATGTGATTTACACTATTTTCCTGGGTTAAACAACTGCTGTCTGATTTTTCCTTGCACTCAACCTCCTTAAACCTTTCTCGTTTTTTCCCTCTCTCTACCCCCTCCCTCACACTAGCCCATGCACATGTGTGCACACACACACACTCGTTTCTTACATAGAATTTTGCATGGAACCATTGAATGATATGGTGGACAATATCATCTGAAACTTTTTAAAGTGTAGTAGTATGTTTCATATGTCTTTTTCATATAGTGCTCTTTGATAAATTAGAGTGATGGAACACAGTAAAAATGACTCTATAATGCAGTAAGGTAATAATGTTTTAATCAATAACCTGGCGTTGGTTTCATCTGATTCAGAAAAAGAGCTGAAAGCATGTCCAAAAGGCACAGTACTTTACATCTTTAAAACAACGTATATTCTGTAAATTGTATCCTTTCAGGCAAGCTTTATTAAAACTGCCCAGAGAGAGTCTGAGGCTGTGTTCTCTGATGAAGTGTTGGAGCCTAGGTATTCTGAAAGCATACAGATTGAGAGCAGATCCACATGCTTTATGAGAACCAGATGGGATGAATTAAAGCTTATGACAAAACTTGAGGTACACTGGCCTGGATAAATGACTACAACTTACAGAGGGTGACAACAGGGATATCTGTAGGAACGTTTAACATTTAGGATCATTTAACATTAGCTTTAGGAAGCTGTAATGGTAATCTTTAGCACATAAATGGGGTTAAGATGGTCTCCACATTCTATACCATTTATGAAAAGGCAAAATGGTCTGATTTGAAATATTTAAAAAAATAGGCCATTATAGGGAAATACCAGTAATACTCATTTGGAACTTCTTACTTTCTCATTGTATATCAGTGTCAGTTACAAAATAAAAATGAATTGGTTACTGTAAGAAGTAATTCGACGTAAGCAAATTGAATTTTGGAGAATGGCTGCCAAAGACAATAATTTTTAATTTAGAAAAATTGATATCATGTCACTCTTTCAGATATAATTAGATACCAGATCCAATTACCTACTGTGGACCCTTATGCTCTATCTTAATAAAACATTACTATTAGTAAGAGATCTTAGCTCATTCTCCATGACAGGTGTGATATACATTTAGTTACCCTAAAAGTGGCTGAAAATAATTCTGATGTAAGTTTTAAAAGGAGCATAGAATAGTCATCGTTAAATCTAATTCATGAAATGGTCTAGCATTGTCAGGAAATATATTAAAACATAAGCATGCTTAGGTCCTAAGGACTAATTGGATAAAAGATGGTTAGGGAGAGAAAACCAAGAACACTTGGAAGACAAATGTATGGCTGAACGTTTCATATACTGAAAGCTTTCTTAGATTTAACTATACGTCTGTCCAATGTCTTTACTATTTTCTTTCTTCCTAAAGTACACTGTTCAGTGTAGGCTGGCAAATGGTAAAATTTGTTTTTTTTTCTTTGAAAATATTTTTAACTCTGCTCCTGAATGATAGTTTTGTAGGAAATGTATTATTTGATTATTGTCTTCTCTCTGCATGATTATTATATCACTTTATTCTGTCTTTTATTGTTGCTATAGAAAAATTGGATATTTATGTTTGTTCTGCTTTTGTGGAAAATCTGGTTTGCTATTTGCTAATAAGATCACCTTGACTATTGTACTGGAGGAAAAATGTCCTTTCCTTTATACATTTAGGTTCATAGCTGAGGCCCCTATAACGAAAAAACATATGAACAAGAGAAAAGCATACACACTGAAGTTTTACATGACCCTGGAGCCTTCACAAGGAAAGGAATATCCAAAAAAACAGTTAAACCTGAGTGATTTTTCTAGTAGGTTCGATGAAAAGTGAATAGTCGTGGGAAAATATTACACACAGAAAGGGTATGAGCTAATGGTAATAAACTGGGGGAAACTTAACAAGGCCTGTTTGGTTGGATTCTTCTCTGTGTCCCTGTGTCTTCAGCAATAAGGAATAAGGATGCTCCTTTCCTCCAGGTATATGAGGGCACCTCCCACATGCGGGTCTTATGACCTGAGCCTGGGGAAGGTAAGAAAATCCTTTCTAGGTTTTATGACCTTCCAGGGAGACAGATGGAGAGGAAGGTCAGAGTGACTTTCCTGCTTCTGCAATTTTCTAAAATTTCTTCAGCTTAAAAAAATTTAGGGTAGCATGTCCTAAACCCCATCACTACTAGGTTCTTGTTTATGATGATAAGTCTGGTATTGATTTTGCAGTGTCTGATTTCTGTTCTATTTGAGTTTCAGCCACAATCCTGCACTGGGTTTACTGAGATACTCCTACATTTTTTAATTTCAAAATACCCACTTTTGTTTATGTGAAGTAAGTTAATATGTGTATTAGCTTTCTTTGGCTGTGTAACAAATTACGGTAAGTCTAGCAGTTTAAAACAATGTCCATTTATTAGCCTCACGGTTCTCTAAGTAAGTAGCCCAAGTGAGCTTGCCTGGGTTGTCTGCTCAGGGTCTCACGAGGCTGAAATCAAGGTGATGGCAGGACATAATCCATAATCTCCTTTTTTTTTTTTTTTTTTAAGATAGGATCTTGCTCTGTGCTCAGGCTAGAGTGCAGTGGCACAATCTTGACTCACTGCAATGTCTGCCTCCCAAGCTCAAGCAATCCTCCCACCTCAGCCTCCTGAGTAGCTGGGACCACAGGTGCGTGCCACCATACCTGGCTAATTTTTTTGTATTTTTGGTAGGGACGGGGATTCACCATGTTGGCCAGGCTGGTCTTGAACTCCTGGCCTCAAGTTATTTGCCTGCCTTGGCCTCCCAAAGTGCTGGGATTACAGGCATGAGCCACCGTGCCCAACCAGGACATATTTTCATTTTGAGTTCAGTGTTCTCTTCCAAGCACATCCAGATTATTTGTAGAATTCAGTTTCTTGCAGTTGTAGGACTGAGGTCCCCATTGCCTTGCTCGCCGTCACCTGGGATCATTGTCGGCTGCTAGAGGCTGCCTGCCTTCCTTACCATAGGGTCTTGTCAATCTTCAAAGGTGACAATAGAGAATATCCCTTTGATAAATCCCTCTGATGCTTCAAACCTCCGACTCCAGGAAGAGGTCAGTCCCTTTTAAGGGTTTACCTAATAAAGGCCAACCCATCCTGGATAATCTCCCTTTTTCAAGTCAATTGTGTCAGGTAACAAACTAATCAGGAAAATGAAATCCACCAAATTTAAAGTCCTAAGGATTATGCAGGTGTGTATACCAAGGGGTAGGGTCATGGGCGTCCATTTTAGAATTCTGCCTGCCACAACAGGGGTTTAGCAATTATCAGTGAGTTCTAATTAAGAGAAACTTGTCAATAATGAGATTTCTAGTAGGTAAAGTTTTATTTTATGAGAAAAAAATCTAGCTATTGTTTTAATATGCACATTTACATATTGTGAACCCTCATGAATACATATTTACTGGCATGCAAATGATTCATTTGGTTTATAATTTAACATTGTATTGAGAACAAGCCAAAGTTTAATAATTAATGGAGGGAGATGGGAAAGTGGAGTGCATTCTTGAATCCATTTTTTAATTACAAAAAGAGCTCTGCTTCTGCATATATTAATTTAAGATTAAGACCTTCCACCAGTTTGTTAGTTATTGCTTCCTTTTTTTCATCTTTGGCTGAAAGGACCACATTCCAGGTACGGACTTGCTGGTTTTCCCCTCTTAGAAAGGATTACTAATTAAATTGCCTCTTAAAGTAATAGACTTTGCTGATTTAACCTTGGCAGGCAATTGCCTGTTCTCAGTGTTGCCTGGAAAAATGATTTCTCTGGATGAGAATGCTAATCTTTATTCTGATTCTGTTTTTTTTTTTTAACCATCTTCAGTTTATAGTCCAGTGTTTGTTTTCATTGAAGAAGACGGTGACAATAGTGTAAGACACGACTGTCCTCTGAAGCCTATTTCAGTTCACAGTGTATATTCACAGATGAAGAAACAAAATGTAGGTAATACATTTTGTGCCACTGATTTATGTATTTATTGATCTGTCGCCCAGGCTGGAGTGCAGTGGCACGATCCCAGTTCACTGCAGCCTCTAACCACTGGGCTCAAGCAATCCTCCTGCCTCGGCCTCCCAAAGTCCTGGGACAGGACACGCCTGGCACAGGGTTGTGCCACCACACCCGGCCTGCCACTTAGTATTTTGTCAGAAGGATCAATGCTTCAAAAATTTGTTTTTGAAAGAAACAGACCCTTAGAGAAATGGCTTGAATTAGTCTTGAATTAGTCATTTTCCCCACTTTCAGACACTAGGAAAAGTTCTTTCTTCCTTAACAGTTTGTTGAGGTTTCTCAATACTGAAGTCACAACCAAACCACATGGGGTTATCGCATGGAGTCCTGGTTGTATCATCCCAAGTGGCAAGAAAGAAAGAGGTCCTGCGGTCCTCCCGAAGGTGGACGAAGTCTGTGATCCCCTCACGTTCTAACCTCACTGCTGTACGAAGGGGCGTTGACTCGTCTCCACTCCTTCCCTCTCCGGTAAAGAGGGAAAGGAGTTGGGTTGGCAAATCGGTTACAAGAGAAAGGGAAAGGCACTGGGAGAAGGCGGAGCGGGGGCGGCCTGGAGCGCTGATCGGGCGCCGAAACGCCGGGAGTCGGGGGCTAAGGGCTCGAGCCAGGAGGCCCCGGAGCAGCAGCCGCCCGCTCCTCACGCCGCCGCCGCCGCCCCCGCGGTTGCCTGGACACGGGATAACCGACTTGGGGCCTCGACCGCAGCAGAGCCGGAGGGGTGGGCAGGCGCGGGTCCGGGAGACGCGCGGGGAAACGCGCGGAGCCGGTGAGTCGGGGGCGCTTGTGCCTCGGCGCGGGCGCTTGTGCCTCGGCGCGGGGCGCTGCCGGGCGGCGCCCACTCCCCCTGGCCGCCCGCCTGCGCGACTCCCGCGGGAGAACCAAATGCAATTCCCTGGCCACCCTGAGGGAGTTAGAGTCGACTAGTTCTTCACCCCTTCCAGAGGCGGTGGGGAGTCCTTGCCCCGCGCGTTTGAAAACAATTCCCCAAATCCCCAGTCCCATAATTCCCCAGTCCCCCAGTCGTTTTGTCCCCCTGTTCTCCGTCCTCCAGTTTCCCAGTCCTCCAACCCCTGTCCCCAGTCCCCCAGTCCCCCAGTCCCCCAGTCCCCCAGTCCCCCAGTCCCCCAGTCCCCACTGCCGGGGGAAGGGAAGCAGAGTCTCCCTCCGCTGGCCGCCTAGAGGAACTTCGTCTTGTCTGTAACTGCGTCTCTAGCGTCTTATTCCTTTAAAATAATTATTTCAACTTTTATTTTGCTTATAAGGCCGCCTTGTGGTGGCTCATGTATTATTCCTTTGAACTGTTATTGATTTCTTTTCTTGATATTTAATTTTTTAAGTGTCTGCTCAATCAAGTCAAATACTGAACAACTTCCTGGCGGAGAGGCTGAGAATTTTATACTTGCTTGCTCGAAAGCACCCCAAATAAGATGATCCACGCCAACACCTCCCCTTTACAGGTGAGAAAAGTGATATTCAGAGCTGATTTGTGATTTGACAAAAGTCAGATCCAGCAATCTTCAAACTCAGGAATATAAGAATCTCCCGATTGCCAATTCAAAGCATTTTCTATTATTGTTTTCTTGACATTCATCCACTGCTCAATAAATATTTGTGAATTGACTTGGTAGCTTATCACTCCTATTTATCATTGGATAATCTGTTGTGTATTGATTGCTCTGGGCATCTTGACCCAAATACAGCATTCTTGACATCTCCCTCCTACCCTCAAAATATTGTTTCTTGGTCCTGCTGTAGTAATAGGTTTTAGAACACCACTTACCAAGTTTAAGAACTCAGAGACATGACTAGTTGTAAGACAAATCCAAGAATCCAGAGGATTTTCAGCTATTTATGTTCAATTGTTATTTAGACATTCGTACAGAAACTAGTGTATTTCTATCTTGAATATATAATACTTCTTACTTTACTGTTGCAGTCATAAAGTTTTATTATAAACTATATCTGTCTAATTTCCAGAACTATCGAAAATATGAGTTTGATTGTTAGTCTACCCACTATCCCTGGATGGGTTGGGATTGCTGCCAGAGCTTTTATCCACAACCCAGACTTCTCTCTCCTGCTCCCACCTCAGATTCAACACAACCTTAGACTCAACTAATTTGTTACCACATCCTCAGAATTTTTCTTCCTGTTCTATATTCCATAGCAGTGAACGGGATAATTGCATATATTCTTCTTTCTTTTATCTTTATAATATGGACTTCATTCTCACACTGGCTTATTCCACCAGTCTAGAACCATGATTTCCAAGAGCACTGGACTCATAAATTCCCAAACTTGCACCTATAAAGAAAATCTAGAAACACTCGATGAATTCTTCTTGACCTCAGTTGGTTCAATTTGCCTGTCCCAAGAGCATTTATGTTGGGGATAGGGTTACTACGATTGACAGCAATGTCAGACTATGTGGATGGAGTGGGAAAACAATTACACACAAAACAGGAGCCCTCTAGGAAAGACAATTTCTGGGGGAAAATCCATATTTGTCTACTCAGTTTATCTAGGCTTATGGGACTGAAGATTAATGAGGTTAATGAGAATATTGGCTGCTAAAATGCTAGATGGCAGATTACAGACAACATGGAAAGGAAGATGATGTATGGTGAATGAGCAGGGAAAAGCAGAAAGATTAAGCAACTGGAATATTTAAAGTAGACGAAGAATTTGTATTGAGGTAATGATATAGGGAGAGAATTGGACTGATTATTTTATAAGCATCTGGGTTATATACCTGGTGGAAAATTAGTACATCTACAAGCAGATGGTTGCATGTGTGTGAGCTCTAATGGCCATGGTAACTTCATGTCTGTTTTCTGCACAATAACACAAATTGTGTGTGTGTGTGTGTGTGTGTTTGCCGTGTGTGTGTGTGTGTGTGTATGCCGTATATGGCATTTTAAAATCGATGTTGAACTTTTAACTTCATTTATAATGCTGCTGAAATAGAAGAAGACCACTCACATTAGAACAAGCCAAGGCTATTTATTCAGATCTTGCTAGAGGAAGGGAGTGAGCTACTATTACTTGCATTGGACAGAGACTCAAATGCAGACAGGGGAGTGGGGAAGCTATAAAGCTTCAGGTATGTTTTGACTGGAGGTTGTTGACATGGGGATGCTGAAGGAGGGCTAACTAGAAGCAGGATACTTTATGTGACTGGTCTGAGGATCTTATCTGGCTTTCTCTGCTTGGTCTCGAGTTGGAACCAGGGGCAATAATTAGGAAAGCTGGCAGTCATCAACAAAGTCCTGACTGTTCCATGCTGATCACTGTGGAAGTTATGGTTTGGCTTTCTGGACTGGTTGATGCAGATGTGTGGATTAGAGTTTTATTTTCATATGTGGTCTGGCCATAGTCCCTTTATATTTTCAGTCAATGTTCATAAAAATTCAGTTAGGTAAATTTAAACTTATCCTTATATTAGAAAACTGATATTTGCACACATTGTATTTATGGACATGTAATTTGTTAATGAACCCTAGTTCACTGAATTTAAATTATTACCATGTATTAAGTGGTTATTATATGCTGGTGACTGGACTAAATATTCTGTACACATTATCTTATTTTAACCCTCACAATAACACTGCGAAGTATTGTTATTTTTACCATTTTCCGCAGCAAAAGGCTGAAGCTCAAATACATTAACTACCCTTCCCAAGGTCAGATAGCCAGCCAGTAATGGGGCCCATGAGGAACTGAATTCTACATCTAACTGATTGAAAAGCTATGTTCTTTGGCATTTGATTAAACTACTTTAATCATGATATGTCTATTTTATATTAATTTATATCTATGAACATTACCTTCTGGCCTCCCTTTCTGGGTACTTACTGAATGTGTGTGTGAACAGAGGTAATTAGAAGACCTTTCATATGAACCGAAGGGATTCAACCTACCCTTAGATCCTGGAAAACCTTTGGATTTAACCACAAACCAATGAACTGGATGAGATACCTGGGCATGTTAAATAAAATAGCAAAGGTGGAGGGGCAACAATATGGTTGAACAGACAGTAAAAGAACACAACCAACAAGTTATAGTTTGCATGGAAATTAGTTATTTGAACATCCCTGTATTGATGGTAAGTTGTTTAATGGACAAACTAGACAATTATTTTTGTTTCTTTAAAAATTTTCTTTGTGTAAATGAGATTTTATTATTTAAATTTGTTTTCCTTGAGGTAAAAACTATCCTCATAAATTGTAACTGTTGAGTCTAAAAATTACACTTGCGACAAATTCTTTGAGAGGCTGAAAAAGCTAAGCATTTTTGCTAGAGAAATTATGTTAGTCAGAGGTAATTACACTTTAATCACCTTAAGTGTTCCATTGCTTAAGAAACTCCATTTGCTCGGTTTGTACTCCCAGAACAACTTTATAACGGGCAAAGGATATAGCATAACACAGAAGCAACACAAGAAAAATATGCATGAAAAAGGACCTAGAGGTCCCAGGCACAGGTTTCTTTGTTCTCCCACCTCTGGGTCACGCAGATGCTCTTAGCCTGTACCAGACTGTAACAACTACTGGTGTGCATGTGAAGCACTTCTGTAGCAGGAGACCCAAATCTGCTCACAGTGGAGATCTCTTATAATAAGCTTTTCATATAGACATATTCTAGCTATGTTACCAGCCTTTACTTTGAATGTCTTCCTCCCCCAGGCTCCACTGAAATTAGGTGCAATTATAAATTCAATTATTATTACTAAACAGTGCTGGCAGGCTGATACATCTTGCTCTGAAACAATTCATGGACCCATGGTTACAAAACATCATTTATCTTTAGTTAATACATTTTACAGCATTGGCCAAGGGTCAGTAGCTCTGGAGATAAACTGCAATCAATCCAAACTGGCTAAGATGAACCTATTAGATGCATAGATTGTGGACACAGCAATAAATGTTCAAGTCTTTTCCCCATTAAAACCAGAAAACAAATAGCATCCTCCTTTGCATCTATATCTCACTTCATGTCTAGCTCTTTCCAGCTCATATCTGCTCAAGTCCTAGAAAGAGTGGTCTATGCATGTCTTTCATCATCCTCATTCTTGCTGTCCTGGACATCTTGTTACCTAAACTCTGCTCCTATCATTTATGGGAAATGTTTGTGTTAAGGTCATTCATGACCTTCTGCTAGATGAAATGGACATGTTTGTATTTTTTCTAGTCTTTGTCTTAATGTACTTTTTGGAAACTTGACTCCAGGTTGCAACTCCTTTCTCTTGTTTTCTATGATCCCATTCATTTTTATCCTTCAATTTCTCTAGAAATTGTTAATGTTAATTATTCTTGACTTTAATGTCAAAATTCCTTTTCTTTATTGCTGTTGTTATGTGATCTGATCCAACTATAGTTCTATAATAATAATTCCCAAAACTATGTATCCATCAAACCTTCTCATGAATATTGGACACACATATACCATCGTCATTAAAAAGCACCCATATGTGAAGTTTCAGTGGTCCTCTCTCCTCTGCTCACCTGGTTTTCCTCACGTAGATCTGATTTCAGATAGTGGCAGTGTAGGCTATTCATTCATGCCAGAGGTATGGGAGTCATTCTAGATCCCTCTTTCTCTGTTACTGCATTTAATTTATCATCAAATCACACTGTTTCTGTCTCTTAAATAGCATTTGATCCTTTTTCCTCCTTTCCATTTCTACTTCTTGTAGCTTAATTATTATTGTATTATAATAATAAATATTATTATTATAAATAATGTTTACTATGATCACTTCAGTAGTCTTCTTGATCATTTTTTGCCTCTAATCATGGTCTTCTTCAATAAGCCCTCCATGGCATAGCACTTGCCTCTCTCTCTCTGTAGTGTTACTGTCTGTTGACTGATATATTCCTACAAAAGATTTGAAGTAGTTAGAAAAGGGTCTCATTTATTCTGGCATCATCAGTGCCAAGCATATAATATATATTGAATACTTTTTTGAATGAACAAATTAACATACAATTTAGAAAATATGCATGGGAAATGAGGATATGGTGCTTACATGCTCTAAAACAACACTGTCCAAAAGACTTTTCTGCAATCATAGAACTGTGCTATGATGCAGTAGCCTATAGCTACATGTGACTATTGAGTAGTTGAAGGTGGTTAATGTAGCCAAGGAACTGTATTTTTAATTTTTAAATTGAATATGGCTAGTGGCTATGACAGAGAACAGCATAGTTTTAAGAAAATATGCCCCAAAATTGCTCTTTTTAAAAAATATAATTAACTCTTAAGTGGAATAAACTAAAGCTGTTTTTTTTCTGCTCCAATAATTATGACCATTTTAAACTAAAATTCTGCAGACGGTCCCTCATTCATAGTTCAACAATTCTGTTCAAGAAATATTTTTGAGCACATAATATTTGCCAGGTGCTGTGGGTTCAAAGATAAACAAAATGACAATTTCCACATTTGAAGATGTAGCCCGAAAATGTCACCTGATAATGGAATTTGATTTCTGAAATATTGAAAATTAGCGGAAAATTTGAAAATTGATGAAGACACTGGGAAAGAACATTTTAAATATTTTTTCCCTCTTCCTTCTCCTACATCTAGATTCTGAAGTAGCAGATGAGAGTTAGAATTGTCAAAATGAATCTTATGATGATGGGAATCATTTCACGTCCCCATGTGAAATATACACCCCTCCTGAAGTGCAGTGGGGATGAACTTTTGCTTGTTTCTTTGACCTATGTAGTTTTCATTATCTCCTTTCCTTTCTACCTTCTATTTTGTGTCTTCCTGATATCTCAGTTGCTTTCAGATTTATTAATTTCTCTGAAACACAATGTTGCAGACAGCCCCATGTCACAACCTCTGGCTCTAGACAGTTCCATCAAACTGTGTCATTTCTGGGGACTGACTGTGGTATGATAGCAAATTTTGCATCAGTATGACAGCATTTATAGCCAAGCTAATTTAGATTACTTAGCAAATATTATGCCATGAAATCATGTATAAAATTATATCAGTAGGGTCCAAATATATAGTATAAAATGTATTTCTTTACCCACTAGTTTGAACATTTCCATAGAAAACTGCTGTAAGAAACTGTTGGCGTAATTTCTTTGTAATAAATTCCCAATGCTGCTTATTATTTTTGATTTTCTTATTCTCCAGATGGCTACACATTTCCACTCTTATTTGTCTGTTATTTCACTAAACACAGATTTCTTAGTGGGTGTTATTATTTATTTATATTTTTTATATCTCTGGTTTGTTTTGCAGCAACAAAACCTGTTTCTCTTAATGAAGAATTTAACAACAATAGGAAATTAGTGGAAAGCTTAATTTTCCAGCTTCATTTAGTGCTTCTCAAAAGCTATACTGTTGGATGAATTTTGATTTCTTTACTGAATATTAACAAATTTCTAGAAAAATATTAAATATTGCTTGTATTGAGATCTTTGCTTAGTCATAGTGATTTAAAAGAGTCCAAACATTTATACTTAAACATATTTCAATAATAGAATTACTAATGAAAGCATTACTTCCTTTTTCCCCTATGGCATAATGATAAATCCAGAGTGATATCCATTTTTATTTTCTTTATGAAACGTATAAGAAAATATCTTTCCACACACACACACACACACACAAATTCTGCTATTGAATTATTGGTCAGTCATGGAGTGGGAAGCTATTAAGGCGCTTTACTGTTTAGAATGAAACATAACAGGAAACCTTAGCGTTTTATTACATTTTCTCAACTAACAGCTTAAAGCTGTAATTATGGGGAAATAAAACCACATTGTTCAAACTTCACTCTATTCTTCTTTATTTTCTTATTCATTTTAGTCTGATATTTTCCTTCCCTATAGATGGCTTACTGGGATCTGGTAAAGATTGTTAAGTGGAGGAACATTGAGTGACTAGTGGTGATGGGTTGGGGGCAGGGCAACAGTGTATTACCTGTTTTCAATTTAGTGTTTGAAGGCCTCTAGTAGGAAAAGAAAACTCATGACCTTTTGACAAGGTCGTAATTAAGGGAGAGTTAGTCTCTCCATTTTTATTAAATTTTAATTTGGTAGCTCATATGAACTAGAAGTTTTTTTATTTAGCAACATATGCTTTGTATTAATTCAGTAGTTCGCATTTTGAGGAAGATCATTTAGGGAATCTGGATGAATAAAAATTGGATATACTCTGGAGATGCCATGCCAATGCATGGATATCCTTTTGCAGAAGCAGAAAAATCAGCCCTAGGTAACAATTTTCAGTAGAATTTTAGATGTATCCTCTGTGGGAAAACTCAATACTCCCCTCACGTTATCCAAACTTTAAACCCTACAAGGTTTATAAAAATGACTAATAGAATGGAGTGTTATGCTTTAGAAGAATAAACAGAACTTGGTGAGTGTTAAAATTTCTAAACTAATGTTAACAAACACTGAGTAATTTCTTTGTAATTCAAACATAACCTCAGAATAGTTGATAATATCAGTCTCTCTTACAAAGGCAATAATTAAACCTCTTAAAGATCATATTTCATATGCCTTAATACCACATTAATCAATGTAACTGTGTTCTCAACATTTAGTTCCTTAACAGACAGTAGATTTGAAAAAGTTCAAGGCAGCTGTTTCTTGATACCTTTAAAAAAGTAATTAAATTAATGGACAAAGCCGTGCAATTAAAAAAAATATTTCTGACGTTTATCTTACAGAGCATCATAAATAATCCATAGGTAGAAACGGCATGAAGATAATGTTTCCCTTATTGGGAGATTCAGTCTTTCTTTAGATAAGTTACTGGATGTGTTTCTCAAAGAGATGTGTTTCTTTGCTACTGAGAGGGACCTGGAGTGTATAAAATTAGAAGGAAGAGCATCACGGGGTATTGGTATGTGCATCAAGGAGTATTCAGTTAGTGTGTGTGTGTGTGTGTGTGTGTGTGTGTGTGTGTGTGTGTATGGAGAAGGCATGAGAGAATTATATTAAAAATTGTGTTGGAGAAATCTATTACTACCATCTTTAAGCAAAACTTACAGTTCGCTTAGAAAAACTCTGCTAAAAATGTTTAGGCTCTACTAATATACTTTTGCTGGTATAGAAAGCATGGATCAGCCCAGAAACGGAGTATGTAAAGAACACCACACTTAAGATTTTTCTCTAAGTCAACTAAATTCCAATTCTGTGGTGCCTTTCTACTAGTTTAGCAGCAAATTTACCCTCAGACAATCTTACTACTTGCATCCGCCTCCCCATACCCAACCAAACCCTCCTGCCATGTGTCATCTCTTCCATTGAGAGTACCAGCCTTTTCATGGATCTCATAGATCACTGCTGACTTGATGTGGCTCCCAGGCCCATAAGAAGCTGAGTGCAGCTGGGAGCTCTCATGCCTGTGATGCAGCCTGCAGTGCACCCAGCAGTCATGTCTCCAAAATCTGGTCACCTCCTTTGCTGCTACCATAGCCTTGCTGGGCTCACAGACCTCTTCCATCACCACCTCACTGATCCTACATTCCTCTCCAGGATATCCCATGAATTAAGATCAAAGAGATTTCAGACTGCTTCAGCTTTTCTCCAGGCCAAAAACCTTTAGACAAAAAACTACAAAGTCTTGTTATGATATAAAAATGGGAGTAGACCAGCTGCGGGACTGAATAGAGAGAACAGATGCAATTAATAATTCAATATCTTCAGCTGATAAAATAATGTTTTAACAAACATGGTGCTATTTGGGGTGGAGGAGGGTGCAGTTTGATTACCTGGGAACCTACCATCCTTTATTATAGAGTGGCTCCTAGTAGGAGTATTTATATCACCTGCAGTAACAAGATTAGTTTAAAGTTGTATATGAAAATTTGTGTTATAATAGCTATGTATTTATTTTCATATCTACCAGAAAATATATAATCCTAATGTGAATTGGTGTAAATTGACTTAAATAACACTACAAAGAGTAAGCAAAAATAACAAAAAGTATGATAGTGGTATCCAAATAACCAGATGTGAATAGCCAGTATGACCTTGTTTCTGTGAAAAATCATGTTATTGAATTTTTAAAAAATTGTTATTATGTTTATAATTGAGAATGCCTAATTCAGATATTCTAAGGAAGTTGTGAAGATTCTTAGTATGCAGGAAGTTTTCTTGGCTTTCAACAAAGAAAACGTCCCAAATAATATAAATGGTTAGTTTCCCATGCTCTACTACTCCACTGTTAAAAGTAAAAAAAAAAAAAAAAAAAAAAGTTAAATCATTTGTATTTCACTTATGTAGACTTCATTCTTTTGGTTTTGAGGACAGTGAATCATCACCTGAGCCATTTCCATTATTGTTGCTGATGTTCTTTTTTTTTTTTTTTTTTGAGACGTAGTCTCGCACGGTTGCCCAGGCTGGAGTGCAGTGGCGCGATCTCGGCTCACTGCAAGCTCCGCCTCCTGGGTTCACGCCATTCTCCTGCCTCAGCCTCCCGAGTAGCTGGGACCACAGGGGCCCACCACCGCGCCCGGCTAATTTTTTTGTGTGTTTTTAGTAGAGATGGGGTTTCACCATGTTGGCCAGGCTGGTCTCGAACTCCTGACCTTGTGATCCGCCCACCTCGGCCTCCCAAAGTGCTGGGATTACAGGCATGAGCCACCGCGCCCGGCCTAATATTTTGATTAGTTAATAAACCTAATAGTGCAGCCCTCTATTAGAACAGGTTAGACTATGTTTTGCAAAAGTCCAACATCACAGTGGTTTAACAAAACAAAGATCTCTTCTTTGATGATGTTAGTGATGTGGTTAAGGCAGCTTTCCTTCATGGGGTCCTCTTGAAGGAGTGGCGTAGGGATCCAGCTTCTTTCACTGTAGCTTTACCATCTGGATCACATGGCTTCTAAGGTTCCATGGAAAGGAAAAGGGCTGGAGAGGCAAAAGGAATGATTTTAAGGTCAAGATCTACTCTACATTCCATTGGCCAGAATTCCAATTACATGGTCCTGAAACTGTCTTCAAGAGAGGCCGGCAAATATTGTTTTCCTATTTCTGAGAAAGAGGAAATTGTGCAATGAACACATATTGTTATTTCTACCACAATCCCAAAATATAATCCAGAGTAGTTAAGATATAAAAGACTATTTCATCAAAAGTGTTTCATTGTGCATTTCATATAATATTTACTGCTAACGAACAGTTATACATTGACAAAAAATAATGTCTAAGAATAAATAAAGCTCCAAATAGTTTTATTATATTTAGGTTTAGAAGCTGTCAGAGGCTTACTTTTATTTTACTCAAGTAAAGTTTTTGTGGCAATTTTTTGATTTTAGAACAACAAAAGTATTTTTTTTGTAGATAACTCTTTGTAGATACAGATATATCTGAAATGATTAATATAAATGCAGTTTCTGAACCAATATTATCTCTTAGCTTTGCTTTTATCATGTCACATTATTATCTAAATACATACTAAACTTGCATTGAAAACAAAGTTTACATTTTAGGTGGAAGAGACTATAATTTTACACACGAAAGGATTTATCCTTTGACACAGAACGGCTGGAAATAGCATATATCATCTACCTTTAACAGTAATGCTATCTCAAGTTTAAGCTTACTTTTGTTAAGAAATAGCTTCTTTCTTTGGTTCCCAGGGTTGCAAATACTCTCTATTCTCTAGCTGTAATGACCATTGAAGATAAGTGATTTACAACATGGTTATCTGAATTTAAATTTGCTAGATAAAAGTGATTTTTCTTTACATTTGTTATTTCATTAGGAAAGTTTCCCTGAATTAAAAGAGGTTCTTTTTATTTCATGCTTTCCTTTCTCAAAGACGAATGTGTAATATTTATATCATATATTATTTTCTATCCCTTATAGGATTTAATATTCACATTCACAACATAAATATGTTATTGCTTTATATGCCATTCTTTTGCAGTTTGCATGTCTCTACTACATTTTGCTATGTGATCATTTGATTCTTCTATTTTATTATAACTTCTGCAAAACTTGTTTCATCTTGTTACTGGTTACCGAAGACTGACTTTTGTCCCTTGCTTGCTCTCTCTCTCTCTCTGTCTGTCTCTCTCTCCCCCTCCCTCCTTCTCTGCTTTTCTCCCTCTCTCCCTGTCTCCTTCTCTCCTTCTCTTTCTCTCTCAGTTTGTGTAGGGGTTGCCAGTTCCAGGTCGTTAGTTCATCTTTTCTGTTTGGATATTTCATTTTTAATTACTGATTTTTCTAACTATTTATATATTAATCCAGAAAGTCTTTGTTATCCACATTTGCAGTATCTTTTCCTGACATGAGTGATAATGCGGAGAAGCTTTATATATTTATGAAGTCATAGCTCTAAAATATTTTGTGATTTTGGTGTTATGCTCGAGAGTCTGATCTTTTATAAATCATATTTCTCTTGTTTTTTTTTTTCCTTTTAAACTTTTAATCTATTTGATTTTGAGACTAATTCTATGGTCTCAAGCACAGACTTTGTAATTCTCCTAATTCCATTCAACCAGGCTTACAATTTAAAGTTTGATTGAAAAATACTGCACACGTTATTCTCATTTAAAAGCATTACTGCACACAATTGCACATTAAAGGGTCCTGAGAACTTTTTTTTTTTTTTACTTTTTTTCACCCTAGGAACCCTGTTATATTACCCTCACTCCATCCACTCCCTAATTCTTTTTTTCTTTTCTCTTTTTTTTTTTTTTTTTTTTTTTGAGACAGAGTCTCACTCTGTTGCCAGGCTGGAGTGCAAGTGGGCGATCTTGGCTCACTGCAACCTCCATCTCCTGGGTTCAAGCGATTCTCCTGCTTCAGCCTCCCGAGTAGCTGGGATTACAGGCGTGCACCACCATGCCCAGCTAATTTTGGTATTTTTAGTAGAGATGGGGTTTCACCATGTTGGCCAGCATGGTCTTGATCTCTTGACCTCGTGATCTGCCTGCCTCGGCCTCCCAAAGTGCTGGGATTACATGGTGACACACTCCTGGGCTAAATCCGACTCTGCACTGCCCAGCGATAGCACCTGGTAAATGGTTTAACCTCTCAGTGCTTTAGGATCTTCTCTACAAAAATAGGGCCAGTAGGCTGCTGAGGAGTAAATGAATAACTGGTATGTTTTAAGTGTAAGCTATCATTTTTGTTTTTCTTGGGTTAAGACTTTTCTAGATATTTTATGTGTTAGTAGTATCTCCAAATAAATAAAAACTTCTGGAGGGCAGGAGTTGTCTCATTATTTTCTTATATACCTCCATATGTCTATCAAACATCTGCAGAAGTGTTCAATAAATAGTTATTGACATTCTTAAAAATAGAATTGAAAGAAATTTCTTCAGGAACAAAAGCTATGTCATAATAAAACAGAATAGTACTTTCTAATTCACAAAATAGTTTTTTCATAAGAATTTTGAAGCTTCAAATTTATCAAAATTTATTTTACATTTGAGACAAAAAGTACTTATTCAATATAAATGATGTAAGTACTTTATATTTTGTCAGAAAATGTAAATGCTTGTAGGATATTCACTGCAAAATTGTTTGATGTAACTCAGAGGTGAAATAATAACACATGATACATGATATTGACCTAGGAAATAATTTAACATCGTGAAGGCTGATTTGAATTGCCTGTCACTCTTTAAGTCTCAAGTAATTACCAGAAGGTGAAAGGCTCATCTCTTTACTCAGACAAATTCTGAATACAGTATGAGATATCTTTGTGGATATATGGGTAGAAGCTGACTCTGTGAGTTCTAATTTGATTTATATGAGAAAAATGATATTTAATCTTTCCGAAGATGTGCTTGGCTTTAGCAAAACCATGAGATGTAATATTTAAAGCATCTTAACTCTAATCTATTGGATGTAATACAGACATAATATAAAGTCAATAGAACTTTATCAAAGAAAGAGAAGAGAGATTAGGAATCATAGTTACAGAGTTTAAAGATTTATAAAAGAAATTATTGTAACTGTGTATAGGAAAGATGTGGAACAATGATATTTTCATGATTTTTTACTATTTTGTAATACCTTCTGCATTGTTGCAAAAAATCTAGTCTATTATTGTACAATAAAAAAGATTGTAAAGAAGATATTCTTTGTGAAAGCAATTCTCAAGGCATGATTTATTCTTGTCTCCTATTAAGTTACTATAAATTTTCTAAAATAAGATTTTTACATTTTGGAACTTAAGTTAAAATAATAGTCAATATTTGACAAGTACATTTTTGGCATTTCTGTCTGCTTTTATTGTTTTTGCTTTATTTGAAAATCATTTTTCTTTATTGTTCTTTGAAATAACTTTGAAAATAATTGTTAAGAATGAATCATAGTGACTGCATCTTGAAAACTGGAATATTTTCCCTAGAATCTGTGAGTAGAATATTGACATATAGTTTATTATAAAATATGAATCTTTTCTATGTTTAAGGCAGGATTATGCTCCTTCACATTAAGAGCAAATATTAAGTCTGGAAGCTCTTTAAAATACATGTAAATGTTAATTATTTTACTTTATTTTATTAACAATAACTCAAACTTTGATTTTCAAGATCTCATTTTTCAGAAATTTTCCCATTGTTGACAATCCTCATTTTATTATAATACAATTAAATAATTTTATACTCTGTTGGGCTTTGATTATAAAAAATAAAACAGACAAAGCCCTTGCTGTTTCAGATCTCTTCAGTAGGAAAAGTAACACACGTACACAATTATTCAAGAGACTGTAAGTGCAATATGATACTGAATTGATAAGAAAGTACAAGGAAAGAAGAAAGCAAATACGTTTTGTAGTGAGAAGTAAAAGGAAACTTTATATTAGTTAGAGACCTAAGGAAAGGAAGAGTAAAGAGACTTTGCAAAGGAATGGCTTCATGGAAGCAGATGGCTTGTCTTAATGACTGGTGTGGTTAGAATACAGAACGTAAAATACAGAGGCAAGAGATGGCAGGAATGTATGATTTAATATTTTTATTGTCTCATGGGCATGTAACTTCTATGCCCTTTGAAAAAATTCCTTGCTATTACCAAAAAAGATGTGTCTGGTCAAATTGATGGATTCCTTGAGGGTGCAAATTGCCTTATTCATCTATTCATCTTTGTTTCCTAAATAAGTCACAGTGACATAAACATAAAGCTACAAGCTAATGTTACTAAAGGAAACAATGGGTGACTGAAATGAAATAAATCAAGCATTATAGAATATTAAAGTGGGTCTTAGAGAATAATTCAGTTAGGCCAGGCGCAGTGGCTCACGCCTGTAATCCCAGCACTTCAGGAACCTGAGGTGGGCGGATCACGAAGTCAGGAGATCGAGAATAATTCAGTTAAGTCTCTTAGACATTTCTTTAATCCCTTCTATATCATACTTAATAAATTATTTTATAGCTTCTCTTTTATGACTTCTAGTGATATAATCTTTGCTACCTCATAATATAGCTTTGTTTTCTGTTGAAAAACTGCTTATCAGGAACATCCCATCTCAGGTGTCTACAGAGATGAGATGAAAAAACGAAAAAAGAAAAAATATATCAGGAACATCTCTGCATGATAGCCAAAATATTTTTCTACTGGCTGTAGAACCACCACCTGTTAATCTGACTGCTATTTTTGGAAGAGAGCCTCTAGAAATGTCAACTTAGACTTGCTCCTCTCTTCTCTCCTCGGCCCCATCAGCCCCAGTATCATCATGAGGGCAGCCATGTTAGTAGACAGCATCCTCACCCCATCCATGAATGTAGCCAGGGAAAAGAGAACAGACTCAAGCAGCACAGTTCAAGTATCCTGACTTCCCAGCAACAATTGATTGGATCAGATACAGACACCTGGTCTAAGTAAGGCTAATTAAAATCCTCTAGAGATAATTGGAATCAAGTGTAAGAAAGAGTCAGCTTCTCTTTGGTGGCTGAAGCTTTATATTATAAAACTCAGGAGGTGTCAGCAGCTAAGATTTCTGAAACACGGAAAAGTCAAACTGCAGAAAGAAAATTGAAATGACTATAAAAAGAGAATCTGAGGCCAAGGCAGGGAGAATGCTGACAGCATGTGAGTCCCTGTAATTCTGTTTTTCTTATGGATTGACTGCTGAAATTTCCCAATATCTTTTCCATAAATATTGTGTTTCAGGTTACAGGTTTTTTTAAAATTTTTGTTTTTAAATTAATTGAGGACAGTCAATCAAATTCCTGTTTTCAGACCTTGGTTGAGATCCTGTCTCTGTTTCCTGTTTGCTGCCTTGCTCGATTGTTTGTGTATTCTGTGGTCTTATTTGTTATGTTTAACCTTGCATAGGGGTTTAGAAGCTGTATGGATAAAATATTGGACACTATTTTATTTTTTACTTTCAGTTCCAGGATACATGTACAGAACTTACAGGTTTGTTACATACGTATATATGTGCCATGGTGGTTGGCTGCCCCTATCAATCAGTCATCTAGGTTTTAAGCCCCGTTGACACAATTTTTAAACTATGTGTTAGGTCCACGACTACACCAAATATCACGCCTGGGGTCAGGTTCGAGCCCATGCCAAGGTTCGAGGGGAGTGAGTGGATGGGCAGATAGCTGAAAGAACACTCGGGGCTGTAGGCAGGTGAAGTGCGGTTTAATTCAGCAGCTCTCTCATCAGCAGCTGTCTTACGCTAGCTCTCTCATTAGCAGCTTTCTCACACTGTCCTATTCTGAGCTGTCTGCTCTAGCTCTGTGGCTCCTGCCACCCCCATGCCTGCACGTCAGCCTCTCCCTTGCCTTTAAGGTCAGCAGCTTAACTCTTTCTCCCTCTGGGCCGTGCCGTGGCTCCCCTGTGTCTGTATGCAAGATGGACAGTTGTGGTTCTCTCTCTGTCTCTTTCTGTGGGTGCCAGTGCTGTGTCAAGCCCTATGCACAGCGTCAGAAGGGTAGTTATACCTTCTACAGACACTAGTGGCTTAGAACCAAGTATGAACTTACACAAATAGGTTATATAACAAGTGGAGGTGTGCGCCTGTACACCAATCCAGCTGAGTCACGCAGGCCTGGATGTCTGCCTTGGCCTATTCCTTGAATAAGGCACATCCACGTACCTTACACTATGACATTAAGTGAGTTCAAAATTTCAGCTATATTATAGGTGTAAAGCTGGAAAAAAGCAAGTCGTTATTTTTCAAATATTCTATAGATTAGGAAGTATTTTCCATTGTTAAACCGTTTTTATCTTCTTTACAAAAGACATGTAGACTTCTAACTAATATTGGGCATATTTGGATAAAGTGAATCAGCTAAGCTATAGATAAAGACCAGTAAAAGTAAACAGGTGAATATGATCTTTATAATTACTGGAAGAATACCAATATATTTGCACTATTTACTGGAAAAGATAAAGGAGGGAAAAATGGCTAATGAAATTATTTAAGATGAACTAAACAATATTTTCATGAGAATATGAAAGAATAGGAAAGTAGTTTATTATTAATTGCATAGCTATATCAAAGCTATTAAAATAACATTGATAAAAAGAAACAATATGTTGAAGATAAAATCTATAAATACAGATAAGTATTAGGTTTTACAAGAGTAGATGGCACTTACCATCATTGACTTTGAGGCTTTAATTTTTATGGGTGTTTGGAATGAGTTTTCTAAGTTGTCTAGTTGCTAACTCTAGTAATTATTTGTGGATTTGAGCAATAGATGATCCCAACGAATGCTTTTTTCCATTAAAAAATCAACACTTTGTCAAAGAAAAAACATGGAATAAAGTGGGAGAAGATCTTCGTAATGCAAAGAATTAACAAAGTATTTTATCTAGAACTCTTGAAGGTAAAACACACACACACACCAACATGTGTTTCCCCACATGCCTGCCCTAGAGATACTCTAGTGCTATACACAAAGAAAAGTGTACAAGAATCCTTAAAACAAAATTGGTTACAAAAGGGAAAATATTTAAAAACAATGGAAGTGTTTATCAATAGGAGAATAGATATACTAATACAATAAAATTCTATACAGCAGTGAAAGAATACAATATAGCTGCGTGTGGTGACATGAATACACCTAAAAACGTGCCCTAAATAGGAAAATATTATGTCGAATTTTTTTACAGTATACTATTATTCAGATAGTTTTAAAGCTAACCCAACACTACACAGTATTTTGTTTGGAGGACATACATGTGGTAAAAATATACTGAAATCATTGGATTATGATTTTGATGGCTGTAGTTTCTGGTGAGGCAAGAAAGGAAATGTGACCACTGAGGACTGAATAGGAATTTAAATTGTATTATTAACTATTTTTTTAGGCCGGGTTATAGGGTACAACGTTATTTTTATACTGTTATGCAATTTTTCACTACAAATAAAGCAAGACAATTACCAATACAATTGTGAGAGAAAATGGGTAAAGTGAGATTTTCTGACCAGAATGATAGATCAGAATTTTTGCTTTAGCTATGAAGAAGCAAACAAAATTAGAGGAATATAGTGATTTGCTGAGATGCTAGCATAAGAATGGTGAAACAAAAAGATGTATATGTGTCATATACTCTTGAAATGTGGAAACAAGTAAATATTCTAATAAAAACTGGATAACAGAACCAATGCTAGAAAACTTTAATAGACAGAGAGCAAAGTGAACTTCCAGGCAAATCTGTAGGATTATAAACAGACTGCAGGTATTTCATTCATTCGTGTGTTTTTTCATCATGCTTCCTTTCATTTTCAACCAGACATTTTCAACCAGATGTGCCAGGCATTGCATAGATTTGTGCTGTCCAGTATGGTAGCCAATAGCCACATGTAGCTATTTAAATTAATTAAAATAAAATACAATTAAAAGTCAATTATTTGGTTGCTTTAGCCAAGTTATATTGATATTCAAGGGATCGGAAGTGATCTCAGGTGATACTGTGGCTAGTGCCTTCCATTTTGAACCGTACAGATTTAGGATATTTTCATCATGAAAGTTCTATTGGATGTTGCTGCTGAAGATGCTAAGATTAGAGAAGTGAATAACACAGATTGTATATTCTAATGGAAAAAAGAGAAGTAAAGGAAAAGATCATAAAAGTGTAATGTAATGTTAATGTGTCATTAGAAGAAAATAGAATAATTGGCCAGAGAGGAAAGGAAAATGGGTAAAGACAATCAGATTGTAAACAATAATGAAATGGTTTCCTTAGATCATAATATTGGGGAAAAAAAGCATTTCTATTTATTGTAATGGGGTAGAAAAGAAAAGAATGTGTGGCTTCATGCATGCCAAGAGAAACAATTATTCTAAGAAAAGAGCACAAAACAGATTTCTAGTAAGATAATAATTTAAAAATGGTAATTGAAGTAATAATTCAAGAGGATGTATGAGCTCCCTAGCACAAATAGAAGAATAAGAAACCAGTAGAGGAAGACCCCTGCATTGCCAAAGCAAAAGCATGTGAGGAAGGGCACAGATGTCTTTGCTTTGTGGGTTTTGGGATAGTGAATTCAAATCTAAGTCTGATTTCTTCTGTTTCGTTTCTGAAGTAGGAGGTGATTATTTTCAAAAGAGAGAAGTGGGAAATAGAGAGTTTAAGAAGACACAAGTTTTGAAACAATTGATGTGTAAACTTTTTAGACAAAATAGTACCTTTCCTTTTCTACCAGTCCATTTTTATGACTCTATTCATTCTCATATCCCTGTTTCTAGAACCACCAAATTATCTATTTATTGTTTTCTGACTGAGCGTAACCCGTTCCAGCATTGATAACCTAACCCAGCTCAGCCATTACATCTGTAATTCTCTCATCTGCTCTTCCAGTGACCTTATGTTCTGCCAAATGATACAGCGCTTGTCCTGTCTTTTTGTGCATCTTTCTCTGGTCGTGGTGTACTCATAAATGTTTAACAACTAGCTCTCAAGACAAAAACAAAAACAAATCTTGATTTGTAGCATTTGCTGATTTCTGTGTTATAAATCTATTCACCATGGTTCATTTTGAGCTACCAACAAAACCACAACTGGCTTGCAAAATTCATAAAATTTTAACAATCAGCTTCCTGGCAAGAACTGTGAAAGATCTAAGATTTTACCCTGGCAAGTTAACAAGCCAAGCTACTGCCACATTGATGAAAACAGCCTGAGGGTTGCAGGAAGGAAAGCTGGGGCCAGCATGATGGAATCCTTTGCAGCAATATCAGCTGAAATGCAGTAGATCTTTTTGTTGTTGTTGTTAGTTTATACTTTTGTACTAGAACTGGTTCTAGAATTAATAATTACCTATCATTACTTTATTTGGGCCACTCTAAGCACATTCTGCTATAGAACCTTTGCATATTTGTCAGCAATGCCTGGAAACTCTTCCCTAAAATCCTTTGGCACATTCCTTCAGTTAATTATAGGTAGATGTCACTTCATCAAAGAGAATTTCTCAGAAGAACCTGTCTAAAATAGACTCCCTCCCACTTCCACACCATCTCCTCTAATTGCTTCTCTGGTTGTATTCCACATGTTATGATATGTTTATATTCAAAATCATTGTCCAAAATATTTTCTAAGTTCCATTGTGATATATTCTTTTATATAGGTTATTTATAGTGTATTTTTTAATTTCCACAAGCATGAGGATTTTCTAGCTATCTTTTTGCTTTTCCTTTATGCCTTTATTTTAAGCTTTTTATAATTTTTTTTACTTTTTTTAACTGTTATTTTAATTTCAGTGGTACATGTGCAGGTTTGTCATATAAATTGTGTGTTACGGGAGTTTGGTGTTCAGATTATTTCATCACGGTAATAAGCATATTAGTAGTACTCAATAGGTATTAAAAGTAATGGCAGGCTGGGCACAGTGGCTCATGCCTGTAATCCCAGCACCTTGGGAGGCCAAGGCAGATGGATCACCTGAGGTCAGGAGTTCAAGACCAGCCCAGCCAACATGGCGAAATCCCATCTCTACTAAAAATACAGAAAATTAGCCGAGTGTTGGGGTGCATGGCTGTCATCCGAGTTACTCAGGAAGCTGAGGCATGAGAATCGCTTGAACCTGGGAGGCAGAGGTTGTGGTGAGCCAAGATCATGCCACTGCACTCCAGCCTTGGAGACAGTGAGACTTGGTGTAAAAAAAATAATAATAATAATGGCAAATCCACAATTATTTTTATACCAACCTAATAATTTTTTGATCCTCACCTTCCTCCCTCACCCCACCCTCAAGTAGGGTCCAGTGTCTGTTGTTCCCTTCTTTGTGTCCATGTGTACTCAATGTAAGTGAGAACATGTGATATTTGCTTTTCTGTTCCTGTGTTATTTCACTTCCAAGATTTAACAGTCTCCAGCTCCATCCATGTGGCTGCAAAGGACATGATCTCATTCTTTTTATGGCTGTGTACTATTCCATGGTGTAAACATTCCATGTTTTCTTTATCCAGTCTACTATTGATGGGCATTCGGGATGATTCCATGTTTTTGCTATTGTGCATAGTGTTGCAATGAACATACGTGTACATGTATCTTTATGGTAGAATACTTTATTTTTTTGGGGTATATATGCAATCATGAGATTGGTGAAAAAAAAAAAGAAGGAAAGAAAGATTGCTGGGTTGAATGGTAATTCTGTTTTGAGTTCTTTGAAAAATCATCCAACTGCTTTCCACAGTGGCTGAACTAATGCATAAGCGTTTCCTTTTCTTCACAACCTCACCAGCATCTGTTATTTTTTGACTTTTTAATGGCCATTCTGACTGGTGTGAGATGATATCGCATTGTGGTTTTGATTAGCATTTCTCTAGTGATTAATGATGTTGAGCATTTTTTGATATACCTGTTGGCCACGTGTATTTCTTTTTTTTGAAAAGTCTACATGTCGTTTGCCCACTTTTTAATGGGTTTCTTTGGTTTGTACTTATTAGTTAGTTTGCTCAAGTTCCTTATAGATTCTGGAAATTAGACCTTTGTCAGATGCACAGTTAGAAAATATTTTCTCCCATTCTGTGGGTTGTCTGTTTACTCTGTTGATAGTTTATTTTGCTATGCAGAATCTCTTTAGTTCAATTAGCTCCCATTTGTCAATTTTTGTTGCAATTGCTTTTGGCATCTTCATGAAATCTTTGCCAGGGCCTATGTCCAGAATGGTATTTCCTAGGTTATCTTCCAGGGTTTTTATAGCTTTCAGTTTTATATTTAAGTCTTAATTCATCTTTAGTTGATTTTTGAATATAGTGGTGTAGGGACGGGGTCCAGTTTCAATCTTTTGCATATAGCTAGCCAGTTATCCCAGTACTATTTATTGAAGAGGGTGTCCTTTCTCCGTTGCTTGTTTTTGTCGACTTTGTCAAAGACCAGATGGTTGAAAGTGTGCAGCTTTATTTCTGGGCTCTTTATTCTGTTTCATTGGTCTATGTCTCTGTTTTTGTACCAGTACCGCGCTGTTTTGGTTACTGTAGCCTTGTAGTATAGTTTGAAGTGGGGATTTTTTTATTTTTTTGGTTCCATATGAATTTTTTAGCATAGTTGTTTTCTAATTCTGTGAAGAATGTCATTGGTAGTTTTGTAGGAATAGCAATGAATCTGTAAATTGCTTTGGGAAATGTGGCCATTTTAACAATATTGATTCTTCAAATCCAAGACTATGGAATAATTTTCCATTTGTGTCATCTGTGATTTCTTTCAGCAGTGTTTTATAATTCTCATTGTAGAGATCTTTCACCTCCTGGTTAGCTGTATTCCTAGGTAATGTTTTGTGTGTGGTTATTGTGAATAGGCTTGTGTTCTTGACTTGGCATTCAGCTGGGGTGTTGTTGGTGTATAGACATGCTACTGATTTTTATCCATTGATTTTGTATCCTGAAACTTTGCTGAAATTCTTTATCAGATCTAGGAGCCTTTTGGGCAGAGACTATCGGTTTTTTTTTTTAGATATAGAAATGTATTGTCTGCAAACAAGGATACTTTAGCCCTCTCTCTATTTGGATGCGTTTTATTTATTCCTTCTGCCTGACTGCTGTGGCCAGGACTGCCAGTACTATGTTGAATAGAAGTGGTGACAGTGGGAATCCTTGTCTTTTTCTGGTTCTCAAGGGAAGTGAATCCAGCTTTTGTCCGTTCAGTATGATGATGGCTGTGGGTTTGTCTTATTAGATGGCTCTTATTATTTTGAGATATGTTCCTTTGATGCCAGGTTTGTTGAAGGTTTTTAACATGAATGGATGTTAAATCTTATCAAAAGCCTTTTCTGCATCTATTGAGATGATCATGTAGTTTTTAGTTCTGTTTGTGTAATAAATGACATTATTAATTTGTGTATGTTGAACCAGCCTTGCATCCCACTTAAAAAGCTGACTTGATTGTGGTGGATTAGCTTTTTGATGTGCTGTTGAATTTGGTTTGCTAGTATTTCGTTGAGAATTTTTGCATCTATGTTCATCAAGGAGAGTGGCCTGAAATTTTCCTTTTTCATTGTGTCTCTGCCAGATTTTGGTAGCAGAATGATGCTGGCCTAATAGAATGAGTCTAGGGAGGAATTCCTCCTCCTCAGTTTTTTGGAATAATTTCAGTAGGAATGGTACCAGCTCTTCTTTGTATGTCTGGTAGAATTTGGCAATGAATCTCTCTGGTACTGGGCTTTTTCTGGTTGGTAGGCTTTTTATTACTGATTAAATTTTGGAATTCGTTATGGGTCTATTCAGAGTTTCAATCTCTTCCTGGTTCAGTCTTGAGAAGCTTTTTATTTTGAAATAATTATAGTTTTATAGGAAATTGCTTAGAAATACACAGGAAAGTCCTGTGCTCCCTTCAACTATCAGTTCCCAATGTTATACTAACATCATATATAACTATAGTACAACAATAATAACAATAATACCATAAAATTTATATTGATACAGGCAATGGAACTTATTCAGATTTCAGCGGTAATACTTGCAGTTATTTGTGTGTGTGTGTGTGTGTGTGTGTGTGTATACAGCTCTGTGAACTTTTATTTTATGTGTAGCTTTGTATATCATCACCAACATCATGAGACTTACCCCACCACAGCATTCCTTGATATTACTCCTCCCCTATCTCTAGGCCTAGGCATCTGCTAATCTGTTCTCCCACTCTGTAATTATGTTATGTCATGAATATAAATGGAATCATGCAATATGTATCCTTTTGAGATTGCAGGTTTTTTCACTCAGCATAATTAGTATGGAGTTCATCAAAATTGTTGCATGTATCAATAGTCTTCCTTTTTTTCTGGATTGTATTCCATTGTATGGATGTACCACAATTTGTTTAGCCATTCACCCACTGAGAGACATCTAGGTAGCGTGCAGGTTTTGGCTATTGTGGACAAAACTGCTAAGAATATTCATGTACAATCTGAATGAAAATGTTATCTGGGATATATGTTTAAGAGTGCAATTGCTGCGTCTTATTGTTAAGTTCATCTTTAGATTTGAAAGGAACTGCCAAAGTATTTTCCAGAGTGGTTACATCATTTTGCATTCTAACCAGCAATGCCTAAGTGACCCAGTTTCTCCACATACTTGCCAGCATTTCATGTTGCAACTATTTTTTTTAATTTTAGTCATTTTCATAGATAGATATCTCATTATGGTTTTAATTTGCACTTTGCACTTTTACTGCTGGGCAAGGGTGGGAGTTCCAGCTCTTTCTGGCTGGAAGGGGTAGGAGGAATGCCTTGTTACTTCTCCCTATGTGGCTTTCACTGACACCTTGAGAGTGGTGTAGCCTTTTTACTGCTGGGTTGTGGTGCAAGTAATGTCTCACACTACCCAGTGGGGAAGAATAAAGGTACTTCTTTACTTGTGGGAGTGGGTGGAAGTCCAGGCTCCCCACATAGTTTCCAAATGATCATGAGGTGCTGGGAGAGTTGGAGAGTAGGGTGTGGTTCTTGAGTCCTATCAGTAAAGATGAAAGTCTTGAATCCCTACAGTTTATTTACTCTGATACCACTACCCACTAGGAAATTTGGGGTCCTCATTATAGCCTATCCAGGGTAGATATAGTCTAGGCTTCTGATTCAGTCTTTGTGGGGGCAGTTTTTTTCTTTTTTTTTTTTTCGAGACAGAGTCTGGCTCTGTCACCCAGGCTGGAGTGCAGTGGCGCGATCTCTGCTCACCGCAAGCTCCGCCGTCTGGGTTCACGCCATTCTCCTGCCTCAGCCTCCAGAGCAGCTGGGACTATAGGCGCCCGCCACCACGCCCGGCTAATTTTTTGTATTTTTAGTAGAGACGGGGTTTCACCGTGTCAGTCAGGATGGTTTCGAACTCCTGGCCTCATGATCCACCCGCCTCGGCCTCCCAAAGTGCTGGGATTACAGGCGTGAGCCATCGCTCCCGGCCCGGGCAGTTTTTTTCTGATGTGTTTAGCTGGAGTAGAGATGTTACTGTCTAAATGCATTCCCTCTTACTAAGCCGCCCCTTTCCTGGTCTCTTGACTAAAGAAAGCAGGCTTTTGTTGGAGCTTTATTTTGTCTATACCCATTGGCATTTCTGGGTTGCTGGTCTCTTCTACTTCAAGTTTGGAATATACAAAGCATAGAGAAAATCTCAGAAATTTACTACCTCCTTGTTTCTCTGGTAACAAGTCTCCTAGCTAGTCTGCCTTCTTCTCTACACCTTTCAGTCTTCTTATGTTGGTTTTACATATAATGCACCCAGAGTTTTTTTTATTGTACTTACAGGAAGGAATAAGGAAAAGTGTATATCTATTCCATCTTCCCAAAAGTAGAGGTCAGGAGTGTTGAATTTATGCTTGCTTTTGAATTTTCTTTTATTTCTGTTTTTTTTAAACTATACTTTAAGTTCTAGGGTACATGTGCACAACGTGCAGGTTTGTTACATATGTATACATGTGCCATGTTGGTGTGCTGCACCCGTTAACTCGTCATTTACATTAGGTATATCTCCTAATGCTATCCCCCATCCCCCCACCCCACGACAGGCCCTGATGTGTGATGTCCCCCTTCCTGTGTCCATGTGTTCTCATTGTTCAATTCTCACCTATGAGTGAGAACATGCGGTGTTTGTTTTTTTGTCCTTGCGATAGTTTGCTGAGACTGATGGGTTCCAGCTTCATCCACATCCCTACAAATGACATGAACTCATCATTTTTTATGGCTGCATAGTATTCCATAGTGTATATGTGCCACATTTTCTTAATCCGGTCTATCATTGATCGACATTTGGGTTGGTTCCAAGTCTTTGCTATTGTGAATAGTGCCGCAATAAACATACGTTTGCATGTGTCTTTATAGCAGCATGATTTATAATCCTTTGGGTATATACCCAGTAATGGGATGGCTGGATCAAATGGTATTTCCAGTTCTAGATCCTTGAGGAATCACCACGCTATCTTCCACAATGGTTGAACTAGTTTACAGTCCCACCAACAGTGTAAAAGTGTTCCTATTTCTCCCCATCCTCTCCAGCATCTATTGTTTCTTGACTTTTTAATGATCGCCATTCTAACTGGTGTGAGATGGTATCTCATTGTGGTTTTGATTTGCATTTCTCTGATGGCCAGTGATGATGAGCATTTTTTCATGTGTCTGTTGGCTGCATAAATGTCTTCTTTTGAGAAGTGTCTGTTCATATCCTTAGCCCACTTGTTGATGGGGTTGTTTGTTTTTGCCTTGTAAATTTGTTTGAGTTCTTTGTAGATTCTGGATATTAGCCCTTTGTCAGATGAGTAGATTGCAAAAATTTTCTCCCATTCTGTAGGTTGCCTGTTCACTCTGATGGTAGTTTCTTTTGCTGTGCAGAAACTCTTTAGTTTAATTAGATCCCATTTGTCAATTTCGGCTTTTGTTGCCATTGCTTTTGGTGTTTTAGACATGAAGTCCTTGCCAATGCCTATGTCCTGAATGGTAATGCCTAAGTTTTCTTCTAGGGTTTTTATGGTTTTTGGTCTAACATTTAAGTCTTTGATCCATCTTGAATTAATTTTTGTATAAGGTGTAAGGAAGGGATCCAGTTTCAGCTTTCTACCTGTGGCTAGCCAGTTTTCCCAGCACTGTTTATTAAATAGGGAATCCTTTCCTCATTTCTTGTTTTTGTCAGGTTTGTCAAAGATTAGATGGTTGTAGATGTGTGGTGTTATTTCTGAGGGCTCTGTTCTGTTCTTATGTAACTGCATGCTTCATTCAAGATAGTTTTTTTTTCTAAATTTGCTTTACTGATTCCTTATTCAGCCTAGTCACAGCTACATTAAAATTAAACCAGGGAGTTTAGAATTGCAGTTATGGCAGTTTTCAGTTCACAGATTTCTAACTGGCTGCTTTTCAAATCGACAATATTAATTTTTATTATTTTTAGTTTTGACATTTTAAAATTTGATGTTATAAACATGATCGATTTATAAAGATGTTAAGCAAAGTTTTCTAGTGATATATTATCTGGTAATTTTGCTATTTAGAGTGTCTTTGGATTAGTTTATGCTGTCTTTTGTTTCTGTTGATTTTGGTTACATAGTCATTTTGTATGTTGAGTGTCCTGTGAGTCAACACACAAAATGGGCAAGAATGGCCTTACTGAGATTTGGAATTACCCGGGTAATTTGAGGCTGGGCTTCAGTCTATGGGCAGTCTTCTCATAGATTTTATTTCTGTTTCATTCTGTTTCTTGAAATACAGACTTTTGGGGTCTCAGTCCTAGGAATGGGTTAATTTCTCAGGGCACCTACATTTGGCAGAGTCTGGATTCCATCTTCTGTTTCCAAAGTTTTGTGTGGCCCTCACAAGTACTGCCCAACCTCTCAGTTGCCTCTCCTGGGTCAGATGTTGTCCCCAGGGAAAGAGTGGCCTAAAATGTTAGTCTCACTTCTCTGGATTTTTGACTTCTATTAGATCTGGAACTAGGTATTCCTTATTACCTTGTTAATTCTTAGATGCTTTTTTGAAGATTCAAAAATTATATTTCAACCAGATTTTTTAATAGCAGTAGAAGCATTTTTTTTTCAATTTACCCAGTTCTATCTTACTGGAGGAATTCATTTTCTTATTAATATTATTTAATTTTTCCAGTAATTTTGTGTAGTAGAAGAAATAAAATTATATGTTTTAACTATAATCTTCATTGAATTAAAAAATGTTAATGTCCATAAAACACTGTTATGTTCTCTCAACATTTAGTTATGCTCTTTTCTATAGCTTACTTTTCTTTAAAAGTTGGTCTTTATGAGGTAGAGTGGTTTATTTGGAAGAGCACTAGGCTTGGATTTAGGGTTTTCTTTCATAGCACTTTTGTCTAAGAAGTCTTTTTTCATTGCATTAATTTACTAATTTCAGTCAAGATTTTCTGACTTGTAAAACAAACAAACAAAAAATAAATTAGATGATTTCCAGTATCTAAACTATATAATGATTTAGATCTGCAAATTAAATGAGACAATTGTTATTTCTGTGTTTATAGAATTATTTTCTTTCTGTTCAGCACTTTGAGTTTCTAATTAATACCAATTTGCAGGAATTATAGGGAACAGAGAAACTTGTTAAATACAGCACAGGGAGGTTGTTAGCGATGTGGAAAACTCTATAGGACAAAATATTTGATATTTACTTAGGTAAAGTACAGGGAGAAAAAAAGTACAGGGAGAACGCATAGACTAAAAGATAATTAAGAGACATTTCACTTAAATGCTATGTACGGACCTTGTTTGTATTATTGCTTTAAACAATTCTTAAAAACAGAAAATGTGAGACAAATGTGAACACAAAATATGTTTAGTGATATTAAGACATCATTAATTGTGTTAATTACATTATTGGTATTATGGCTATGTTTAAAAATTTTTTGAAATATTTACAGATACAATAATATGATACTTGTGTTTTGCTTAACCATTATCAGAAGTAGGTGAGACAGGGCAGTTTGTAGGTGTATAGAATTCAGAATTGGTCACAAATTGATAATTGTTGAAATTGGTTGATGGAGATATAGAAATCCATTGCACTTTTTGCTCTACTCTTAAAATATTTTAAAAAGGAACTGAAGGAAGGTAAAGAAGAGATAGATGGTAGTAAAGTTAAACTTTTATTATATGAAATGAAAACATTGTAGGTTCTAGAATCCCCCCAGGGCTGTGAACCCATAGCTACAATTGCCAATGCTAAATTATCTCGTAGTCAGCCTAGGTATTGGTTTAAGTCACTAGCAAAGTAGAAGATCAAAGATCCCTCTTTAATGAAGATTTTTATATTTGATATTTCTGAATGAGATCGTAATAGTCCTAATAAGAAAAAGAGTACATTGTTGGACTTCCTTACATTTTACATCCTTACATTTTACACTATCAGTTCTTGAATTGACAATTTTTAGTAAAATTAAATATAAACTAATTTAGATTCATGATATTTAAATATTTTTCTTTCTAATTAGGTTTTAAAATATTCTTATAACTATGACTGAAAACAAGACAGTTTCCTCTTCTTCCACTAGAGATGATCAAACCAATATAGGTAAGTTTATCATAAATTGATTTTCTTTGAAAATAGTTCATAGATAAATGGAATTCACATCACTTACAGAGGAGGGCAACTGCAAAGATAGTAATCTTTTCCAAGATAATGGTCACAAAACCAAAACTTACTGGGACCAGTAAAGTGAGCTAAGAGAAAAGAGTGAGTCAGCGTAACAAAAACACATTATCTGAATTATAATCAGTTTATTTTATAATTATGGATGAACTGTGTTATAGGTAATAAAATAGGTAAGCAGTACAACAATGGTGTGCTGTAATCAGCTCTTGTATATATCTCTTCTCGATTCCATTCCACTGGTAACTTCAAATTGGCCATGGTGTTAGTATTTATTACCAACTAACAGCTGGATATTAAACTTTTACTATCACATCACTGAAGCTAAACATGGAATATTAAAAATGAAAATACTAATATAATTCTATTTTTAAAATTATATGATTTTATTGCATTACTTTATTTTTTTGCATCTTGAGCTCTGACATCTTTTATTCTGTATCATGTTAGCAATGTCATATCTTTGCATGATATAAAACAGAGGTCAGTAAATTATAGCCCATTGCCCAAATCTGGCCAGCAGCCTTTTATTTACAGACCCCAAATTAAGAATGGTTTTTATATTTGTAAGGAGTTGTGAAAAGAAAAGAAAAAAGAAGACAATAAGGAATATGCAACAGAGACTGCATTTGGCCCACAAAATCTAAAATTTTTACTATCTGATGCTTTCCAGAAAACATTTGCCAACCCTGGTATAGAACTTAACCTTGAATACTTTGAGAACAATAGGTAGTCTTTGTATCAGTTATCACTGCTGCACTGATGCTATGTAACAACCAACCATAAAAATGCAGGTGCATACAGCATCATGAACATTCATTTTATGCTCACTTGTGCATGAGTCGGCTGGATGGTTCTGCTGATATCAGGTGGGCTCAGTACAGCTCACTCATGCATCTGGAGTAAGCCACAGGTTAATTCAGTACCATTACTGATCTTGCTTATTTTGGCTGAGCTCGTTTACAGGTCTAGGGTCTTGGCTGGGAAAATTAGGCTGATTCAGCTCTGCACTTGCTTGTCTCTCATATTCCAGCATACTATTAAGGGGCTTGATCTCTGGGTTTTGGCAGTTTCAAGAGGAGGGACAGAAGCACAGAAGACCTCTTCAGGCCAATGCGCAGAACTGGTGCCCTATCATTTCTGTCACATTTTATTGATCAAAGCAAATCACAGAACTGGCACAGATCTATGGGTAGGAGATTAGACTCCACCTCTTGATGGAAGATGCTGCAAAGTCACACTGCAAAGGAAAGTGAATACGGGGAGGAGAAAATTATTGGGGTTATTATTGCAATCAACTTACTACAATTTTCTTCAGGGTTATAATTGAAAGCAGTCATTTAGTAATTCCAAACGTGAATAAGGTCATGACAGAATGGATTTTATTTAAAATTATTAGCCTTGGGTTAGAATCTTATTTCATCACCACATATTTTCAAAATATTTGAAAAACCTTGGTTTGTAGCTCTTTATTTCTTCTATCAACATTAATTGAAAAAAAATGTTATTTCATTTTCATTTATAGAGTTTGTTTTGTAAAGCTTAAGCAAAAGCTTGTTTTTATTTCTGGAAATTGATCCCAATCTCAGATTAGTAACATGGAACAAGTTATTCATTTAAAATAATTTCCCCAAAAACACAATTTGGAATGAACAGAGAATCATACAGGTGTGTAACTCATATTTAAATAGTTGAAAGAACTGAAAGTTTTGGGGTTGATTATAATGCGAATTAAAAAGACTAATAGTTTGTTCCAAGACTTCAGAGAGCTGCGCTGGTGATTTTCCTTTGAATGACTTGACAAAGCCTATTCTAAATTGGAACAGAAAATGATCCAGTCTACACTCGTTTGCAAGCAAAAGCTAGAAAGTCAATCATATTAAGCATGACTTAAGCCACCCACCATCATTTGATGCAATAGATATACATAGCAGATAAAACTACATATCACATGATTTAATGGAATGTAAGTCTTCTGTGATATAGACATCTGTAAATGCATAAGAAATGAAAATATGTCTGTTTGGCTAACACTTTGGAAAAGAATATAGTTAATAAATTGTCTTTTAAAATGTGCTTGGTGAGCAAGTTTAGGACTTTTGTATTTAAGTGACATTAAAAGCCATATTTGAAATGCTAACATCAATGGGGATTATCAGTTAAAATTTACTTTTGTCACTTTGGCTTCACACCATCATCAGATTTCCTATTCTGTATGTAAGACAACCAGCCATTATAAACAACATACAGCTAATCCAGAAAAGCATTGAAATTTCTGTGTTTAAGCCACAGGAATTTATCAGTCCTGTGTGTTTATGCCAGTGTTTATTGCTATGTCTTTGAAGATTTTAATTATGTATTATATACTAACTTTTGAAAAAGTTTGTCATTAATTCTATCACAAGAACACCATGGGAGGTCATATTTACTAACTTCTGTGAAAGTACATTCAGCATAATAACACTTTTAAAATTATCCGAAATAAAATCATTTTTTGATGTTCTTTCGTTCATGATGTAACTACTGCAATCATATGGAAACTCTCACCATTCTAAAAATAATTAATGGGGCCAGGCGCAGTGGCTCATGCCTGTAATCCCAACACTTCAGGAGGGTGAGGTGGGTGGATCACTTGAGACCAGGAGTTGGAGACCAGCTTGGGAAACAGAGTGAAACCCTGTCTTTACAAAAAATACGAAAATTAGCCAGGCCTGATGGTATATGCCTGTAGTCCCAGCTACTGGGAAGCTGTGAGATAGGAGGATCCCTTGAACCAAGGAGGCAGATGTCGCATGCGGCTCTGCACTCCAGCTTGGGTGAAGAGCAAGACCCTGTCTCAAAAAACAAACAATAAAAATAAAAATAATTAACTGGATGATTATTCTGTGTTCTCAGTTGACATAAATCATAAAACAAATTACCAATCTTTTTCAAATTGTTCTGTAAAATTACAGCCATATATCTTAAACAAGCTGACCAATAGTATTTTCAGATGAGTCACATTTACAAATGGTTAGCTCTGTTTGGGCTAACAATTTTTATTGCAATTAACAGGACCTTTTAACAAACTATAATTTTTTGGCTTTGCAGGCAGTATTTTCTCTAAATACAAAACTGCATTTCATGGCAGCATCACATTTATTTGTATCAAAATACTGATAGTGCGTTTATTTATTAAGGTTTTTCCAATGTGTCTTTTCCATAACATGTTTTCTGTATAACAGGCAGAGAATGAATTTTTTTACAGAATAGTGTTTTGATATTTTAAAATAGAAAATACTTTGCATGTGTAAACATATCTGGAAAATACATGTAAAGTTTAAAGAATATTGATAAAATTATATATTTGTGCACTTATAATTTGGCTTAAAGAATAGAACCTGGTGTTCACTCATCTCTTCCAAATCTCATTTAATTTTATATATTACATATAAATATTAATGTAATACATATACAGTTCTATATATTTTATTTCATCTAACAAGTTTAACTCTCCTATTCACTAATGTTTGTTAAATCATTTGAAAATAGTAAGTTTTAATTTTTACTTTCTTCTCAATGTAATTTTTTCCCATTTTCTTCTCTATCACTAGGCTGGTTTTTTGTGTGTGTGCCCTGTTGAATGAAGGTGACTAAAATGTGCACACATCTTCCTGTTCATGATTTTTAAAGTGAGACTTTTAATGTTTTGCCATTAATTTTTTTTATGGTTTGTAAAGATCATTCTTTATAATTTTCTATAAATTGTGAACCTGTTGTGAATTTTATTAATACTTTTTCTACATCTACTAACATTTTTCTGGACTTTTTTTTCCTTTAATCTTTAAATTTAATGACTTGCATACATGGATTTACAACTTTTAAATAAACTTCATTTCTGGGACAAACAACTTTTTAAATTTTACTGTATTTTAATATATTTGTAGATTTTGTTTCATAATCATTTGTTTAGGATGTTTGCATCTTTCTTATTCAGTAACATTGGCCCCTAGGTTTTCTGAACATTTCTTGTTTTGGTAATGAGGGTTTTATTACTTCTAGATTGAATTATAGAGTGCTTCTTTATTTTCTGTTCTCCAAAAAAGATAATATATTTTTATTATTTTTTTTCTGGAGTATTTGGCTAAAATTACCTCTTAATTTGGAGGGATATAATTATTGATACAAAATATTTATTGGCCTTAGTACTACTCAAGCTTTCTGTTTATCTTCTATTCACTATTGATTAGCAAGTTATAATTTTTTCTTTTAAAAATCTATTTGGTTAAATATTAAATGTTTACAATACTGTTGTACAATAGTGTTAATAATAGTCTTTACTTTTATATCTCTCTATATGCAGTTGTTTCTTCTTTACATTCATAATACTGTTTTTGTTTCTTCTGGTTCTCTGTTTAGTCTTGACAGTCTTGCCAGAGGTAATTCATTTGTGTTAACCTTTTCAAATTGCTAATATCAAAACTTTTGGATTATCTGTAGGTTTTTGTTGTTATTTTGCTTTGTATTTTATGAATTTGGGATATTATTACCTTCCTTCTCTTCCTTCTACTTTCTTTGAGTTTGCTGTCCCACATATTTTAAATTTGGTTGCTTAGATCGCTAATTTTCAGGCTTTTTTCTTTTTTAATATAGTTATGTCAAGCTGTAAGTTTCCCTTGAAATAACATAGAGATAATAAAAAGGATTGGAGAGTCAAATCAAATCAGACTCATATAAAGTGTGTATCTTTGCTAACGATTTTAAGGCTATAGGAAATTCTCAAGTACAGTTGAAGCAGGGAGACATCTGGGACCATCAGAACAGCTCTCCAGGTCCTGTCTCACCTGGTTGGATGTACTCTGCTCCAGATTAAAGAATTATGTGTTTAAGCATGTATGTGCAGCCATGCGACTCATTCAGAAGACTGCCCTCTAGTCATGAAACAGCTCCATTTTTTATTAAGGTAGTTTAATAGTTAACATGATGTTTTTCAGGGAGCCATATCCCGTAAACACGTAGGTTCAGGTTTGTTTATGGTTATAATTCAAACAGCCAAAAACATCCTGCTGAAAGCTTTCTGTTGATAAGAACTCTCCAGTTAACAAACGTCAATTAGTATGTTTGCCAGAATTTCTGTTATTAGCATGTTTGTTAGGAGATTTGACCTGGTTACCTGTTTCCTTTCTTTGGGGGCCTCTCCTTTACTCCCCATGGGAAAGTATGGATTATAGACTTGCTATAACTTTTAGATTTAATTGGTTTTGATTTATTTTTGACATATATTATTTAGACCTATGAAATATTTTGGTTAAGAGTATAATATCTATAAGATCATCCTTATGGATTATGTCACTGAGATCTACTATATGTTTTTACTAATTTTTATCCTTTCAATCTTTATTAGATTGAGAGAAATCTGTTAATCTACCTACTTTTGGTAGATTTTTCTGTTTCTCTTTTCATCTCCTCAAATTTGGTCCCATGTAATTAGGTGCATAAATGTTATGAGCTGTAATACTATTATTTTATATAGTAGTCTTTCATATTATGAAATATTTAAACTTGCCCCACTATATTCTTTGATCAGAATTCTATGTTGTCAGATATAAAGATCATGACAATTGCTGTATTTTCTATTGATTTGCCTAGTATATTTCTGCCCATCACTTAAATTAAAACTTTCTGAATCACTTTGTGTGATGTATACAACATATTTTTACAGTTCACTTAACTATTGATGATTTAAGCCCGTTTACAATTACAAATAAGACTCATAAAGTTTCATTTTCATTACATTTTTATATTTAAATGCATTTATACATATGTATTTTGTACATTATTTGCTGTCCTTTTTAACACTTAGAAAAGTTTATGATACTAATATCTTACTTCTCTCTCTCTTAGATAATGTGTATTGGATCTTTATTATGAGCAATACCAAAATCAGCTAGGAAGCTTTTCTTGCCTTTGCATTCCGTCTTCCTATCATTTAATTAAGGAATATTGTTTTATTCCTGGCTTATACTTATATAGTATTCTTATTGTATTTTGCATATACTCCCACTCCACACCCAACACCATATTTTTGGTACTAGTACTGTATCTGCATCATCAGTACTGGATCTGCATTGTCAGAGCATAAGTACATAAGCCTTCCAGCCTATTATACTTTTCCCATCCTTCGATATTAGTTAAAAAGCTAACATATTCAAGATTCACTGCCTGTACTATGCCAAATTTCTCCCTTCATTTTTGTTGTACTACATCTACTTTCTAGTGGATTCAGAAAGGGATCCCAGGAAATATATTCTTTCATTTCTTGAATGTTCATAGCAATTATCTCTGGCCTATATACTTGAATGACAGTTTTATTTGATAAATTATTTGGCTTACTTTTTTATATAATTTATTTTTTGTTTATGAGAGTATCTTAAATGTATTATCTAATTGTCATTTGACATCAAATCATACCAATTTTATTTTCATCTAATTATAATCAACTTAGTATTCTTATGTAGATTCCAAAGGATTTTTTATTTTTTGTTTTTTACTGTTTAAAATTTTACTAGAATATAAAAATTTTGGAAATACAAAAAATATGACATGCCTAATAGTAAAACACTACTGTTTTCTTTCATATACATTATCTTTTAATGGATATAGATGTATTTATACAGATGCATTATAAGTATAATTTTAAAATTTAAATTATATAAATAACATACATTTTTGTAATTCTTGATAATTACGTTTTTATTGAATAATAGTTCTCAGTCTTCTTTATCATAATTTAAATAACTATTGTTCTATTTTGGCATATATGCTAAGTGATACTGTGTTTAGCTTTTTAAAATTAAGCTACAATTCACATAGCATAAAATTTACCTTTCTAAAGTTTACAATTTAGAATTTTTAGTATAAGTTTGTGTGGCCATTACCACTATCTATTTCTAGAACACTTTCATAACCACTGAAAGAAACCCTGTACCACTAGCATTCTTTCCCCATTCCTCCTCTACCCAGCCTCTGGAACCACAAATCTGTTTTCTTGCTCTATGGATTTGTTTACTCTAGATATTTCATATCAATGATTTTATAAAATAGTTGGCTCTGCATGCCTTTCACCTTTTCAACCAAGATAATGCTGTCAAGGTTCATCCATGTTGTAAAATGTATTCATATTTAATTCCTTTGTATGACTGAATACTATTATTCTTTATGGATATTCCACCTATTGTTTATACATTCATCAGTAGATAGATGTTTTAGTTGTTTCTGTTTTAGGAATATTATGAATAATGCTGCTATGAATATTTGAATACAAGTTTTTATGCAAACATATGTTTTCATTCCTGTTGGGTGTATAGTTAGGAATGGAATTGCTGGGTCATTTTGTAATTTCAGTGTTTAACTTTATTAGTAATTGCCAAATTGCTTTCCACAGAAGCAGCCATAGTTTACATTTCATAATACAAAATACATGGACTCCAGTTTCTCCACATCCCTACCAACAGTTATTAGTTTCTTGGTTTGTTTTTACTTTATTATTATAGCCTCCTAGTGGCTGTGAAGTGACATTTCACTTATTTTTTTTTTTAATTAGTAGACTGTCTTTAGAGTATTTTCAGGTTTATAGAAAACTGGTACATAATACAGAGCTCTCATATACTCACTATCTCCTAACCCACATTCACAATTTCCAATATTATTAACATCTTGCATTAGTGTTGTGTATTTGTTAAAGTTGATAAACCAATATTGATACATTTTTATGAACTAAGGTCCATGACTCATTCTTTTGTGGTACAGATCTCTGGGTTTTGACAAATGCATAATGTTATCTCATGCTTCTCAGATTTCTTTTCACCTTAGGTTTAACAAGAAGTCTAGAGGGGCTGAAGTGAATATTTCCCTCTTTCCATTGGTTAGTCTCTGTTAAGGTAGTTTCCCTTGAGGGGTAGTGGTAAACCAAACCTTCTGGGTATATTTCAAAATGGCAATTTTTACCCTGGCAATAATTCAAAATAACTACTTTTCCCCTTCTTCTAGAAGTCGAAAGGAGTATTCCTCAAATTTCAACTGTGAGAACAAGGTGGAGCTGGAGATAAAAGTAAAAATATACCTGGCCCTCTAATACTGACTCCCCAGAAGTTTTTAACTCTCAAACTAGTCCACACTCAGCCTCCAATAGTTAATCAATTAGATCTTACACTTCTCTACCCATTTTTGGCTCCAGCAACTTCTGCATTAGCCTGACCCTCCAGTTTTTGGGGTGTCAGTTTACATTGTAACCTTAATTCACTGATGGACCTAAGAAAAATTGTTGAGTATTTCCGTTCAGCTTTTTCTTTTAAGAGAAACCGAATGCTGACTTTCAAGATTTTTATGTATCAAAGTGTAACTGTAGTATCCAAACTGATTTTGACAAAAGTCTATTTGCTTTATTCCTCTGTATGAACCATTTGTCCGGTTTTTTTTTTTTTTGGATGTCATACATTTTTGTTGAAAACTGGGCATTTAAAATAATAGAACGTGAGAACCTGTGGTCATCAGATTGTTCTTCTTCTCTAGGGTTTGCTTTCCCTGCTGATTTTTGTAGTTGTTAATTTAGCAACTTTTCTAAATTAGTTCTCTGAAGCCCTCTGTGGCCACTCACTGAAATCTCTATCCAGTTGGCTTAATGGTCAATTAATGGCGGAACAGATATTTCTCTAGATTCCTGGAATCAAATCTCTGTCTTTGCTGAGCATCTTTATGTGCATGTTCAGATACATCTTCAACACTCATCCAAGGACTTGACAGCTCAGCCTTAGCCTTTCCTTCTGGCACATGCAGAGTCTCAAGGTCAACCAGAGGTGAGAGATTAGGGCTTTCATGGGTCTTTTCTGTGTGTGTGCCAAATCCTCAAATGATAAAGGGATTTGGTTATATGGGTGAGAGATGAGACTGAAGTAATTGTCTATTGCACTAGTTCTCAACTAGAATTGTGCATCACAGTAACCTGCAGAAAAATTTAAAAAAATCTACAAGTCTAGGCTCTCCCCTGAAGATTTTGATAGAGTAAGTCTAATAAAGCGTGGACATGTATGTTTACAAATATTTCCTTGAAGCCAGGCATGGCGGTGCAGCAGCTGTAGTCCCAGCTGCTTGGGAGGCTGAGATGGGAGGACTGATTGAGCTTGGGAGTTTGAATGTAGCCTGGGCGACATAATGAGACCCTTCCTCTAACAGTAACAACAACAACAAAGTCCTCAAAATCTGGATACTATTCTGGTTAAGAACCACTGAATAGATAAGTGTAATATGTAAATTCTCATATCTCAGAAATGTAAGATATCTCTAGAAGAGTTGGACTTTGATAGATGCTAATTCCTTTAAATCTCTTCTTTCCGATAATATTAGCCTGACTTTTTCCTGATCATGCTCACAGCTTTAGAAGTGAAGTCTTGCAGGGAATAACCAGGTATTTCTAAAAATGACAGTTCTTTAGGAATGAGGCTTGCAAAAAACTGCAACTCTCTTCTTCCTCCTCCGATATCGTAAATGTGGACCTTTATTTTTCAAGGCTCTGTTGACCTTCAGAGTCAGGGCTGGGACCAAGGAAAGTTAAGAAGCCACAAATGTTTGTGTTCTTACCAAGATTTATCTGTTTTTCTTGAATAGTTGTTCACACAGTTGCTGGAAGCCTTTGCTATATTTCTGGAATTCTGAAAATGTTGATTTTGACAATTTCGCCTTTTTAAATCTTTGTATTTATGGAGAGGTAGATTTTTCAAAGGTCTTTATCATTTTCTCTGATATCTCTTTTTAACTTTTGTCTTTTGTGGGTTTTTGTTTCAAGTTAAGTATTCAGAATTGAAATTTGGGGGACATAGGCTGTGAACATTTGTGTGGCCTTCAATATTTATTTTATATTGTTTTCCACAAATGTACCTCACATTCAACTGTTTATCAGTATTACCACAACATATTAATACCAGATTTTATTTGATTATTATTAAATAGCTAGTTTATTAAATAGAAAATGACCACAATTGCTCTACTTTACATTTTTATTACCAAAGAATATAAATAATTTCCATGTGTTCATTTAATTATTTAATCTTCTCTCATTTGGACCTTCTGATGATGGATTGTTAATAGTTAACGTTTTCAACTTATATAAATAAAACCTGAAGCCTTTATATATTATTTCTTTTTGTGTCATATTTAGTGAAAATAATTGCCCATCTACCTTTGAACTTCTGTCTTGAGTCAAAGAAGATAAAAGTATCATTTTTAATATATTGTTAAATTATTAAATCTAAACGCATGACTAAATGTTATATATCATGTTAATTTTTATAATTTTAATATATTTTGAAAAATTTTAAATTCTGTAGTTCATTAGGAATTTACATTAGAAAATTTGTTTACTGATAGAGTGGTTTTGATGAATACATTCTATTGGAATTTTGTAACTGGAATATTGTATAACAATACAGTTATCCACCAAGGCAGAAACATGAATTAGAGCATGAATTTATTTGAACCAATGTTTTTCAGGGTCTGTTTCATGTGCAACTCTTTGTAGAAACTGACTATAGGCACCTCTCGTTTTATTGCACTTCACTTTATTGCACTTTACAGATCCTGTGTTTTGTTTTGTTTTGTTTTAATTTGAGGTTTGTGGCAACTCTGTTTCCAGCAAGTCTATGGGCAGCATTTTTCTAACAACATGTAGAAAAACTTCATGTATCAATGTCACATTTTAATACTTCCTGCAATATTTCAAAAACTTTTTCATTATTTTTATCTGTTATGGTGATCTGTGATCAGTGGTATTTGTTGTTACTATTGTAATTGTTTTGGTGTAACATGAACTACACACATATGACAGCTAACTTAATCGATCAATGTTGCATGTGTTCTTACTGTTCCACTGTCTGTCCCCCACATCTATTTCTCTCTCCTGTAGCCTCTTTGTTCCCTGAGACATAACAATATTTGTACTTAGGCCATTAATAACCTTACAATGCCCTCTAAGAGTTCAAGGGAAAGGAAGAATTATGTGTCTCTCACTTTAAATCAAAAGCTAGAAATGATTAAACTTAGTGAGAAAGGCATGTTGAAAGCTGAGATAGACTGAAAACATAGTCTCTTGTGCTGAGCTGTTAGCCAAGTTGTGAATGCAAAGGAAAAGTTCTTGAAGGGAATTAAACGTGCTACTCCAGTGAACACAGGAATGATAAATCAAAACACCCTTATTGCTGATACGAAGAAAGTTTTAGTGGTCTGGATAGAAGATCAAACCAGACACAACATTCCCTTAAACAAAAGCTTAATCAAGAGCAAGGCCCTAACTCTATTCAGTTCTATAAAGGCTAAGAGAGGTGAAGAAGCTGCAGAGGGAAAGTTGGAAGCTTGCAGAAGTTGGTTCATGAAGTCTAAGGAAAAAAGTCATCTCCATAGCATGAAAGTGCACAGTGAAGCAGCAAGTGCTGATGCAGAAGCTGCAGCAAGTTATCCAGAAAATCTGGCTAAGCTAATTGATGAAGGTGAACATGCTAAACAACAGATTTTCAATGTAGGCAAAACAGCCTTAGAAGAACTTTCATAGCTGGGGAGGAGAAATAAATGCCTGGTTTCAAAGCTTGAAAGGACAAGCTGAGTCTTTTGTCAGAAACTAATGCAACTGGTGACTTTATGTTGAAGTTAATGCTCATTTACCATTCTAAAAATCCTAGGGCCCTTAAGAATTATGTTAAATCTCCTCTGCCTGTGTGCTATAAATGAACCAACAAAGGCTAAATGACAGTACATCTGTTTGTACCGTGGTTTACTGAATGTTTTAAGGCCACTATGGAGACCTACTGCTCAAAAAAAAAAAAAAAAAAATTTCTTTAAAATATTACTTCCACTGACAACATATACATCCAAGAGGTGAAATGGAGATGTACGAGTAGATTAATGTTTTCATACCTGCCTACACAATATCCATCCTGCAGCCTGTGGATCAAGGGGTAATTTTAACTTCCAAGTTTTATTAGTTAAAAATGCATTTCATAAAGCTATAGCTACCATAGATAGTGACTCCTCTGATGGATCTGGGTAAAATAAATAAAAAACCTTGAGGAAAGTGTACATGTGTACACCATTGAGAATATTCATGATTCATGAGAGAAGGTCAAAATACCATTAACAGGAATTTGGAAGAAGTTGCTTCCAAGTCTCCTGGATGACTTTGAGGGATTCAAGACTTCAGTGGAGGAAGTTACTGAAGATGTGGTGGAAAGAGCAAGAGAACTGGAATTCGAAGTGTAGCCTGAAGATGCGACTGAATTGCTGCAATCTCATGATAAAAGTTTCATGGATGAGAAGTTGCTTCTTGGGAATGAGCAAAGAAAGTGGTTTCCTGAGATGAACTCTATTCCTGGTGAAGATACTGTAGGCATTGTTGAAATGACAACAAAATATTTACAATACTGCATAAACATAATTGGCAAATTAACAACAGGGTTTGAGAGGATTGGCTTCCTTTTTGAAAGAAGTTCTGCTGTGCATAATATGCTATTAAACAGCATCACACGCTACAAAGAAATCTTTTGTAAAAGGGTTAATCCATGAGGAAAACTTCATTGTCCTACTTTGAGAAATAACCACAGACACTCCAACCTTCAGCAACCACCACCTTGATCAGTCAGCAGCCATCAACATTGAGGCAAGACCCTCCATCAGTGAAAAGATTATGACTTGCTGAAGGCTCACATGACCATTAACTTTTTTTTTTTTTTTTTAAGACAGTCTTGCTCTGTTGCCCAGGCTGGAGTGCAGTGGCGTGATCTCAGCTCAGCGCAACCTCCGCCTTGCGGGTTCAAGCAATTGTCTTGTCTCAGCCTCCCGTGTAGCTGGGACTACAGGCGCCTGCCACCACGTCCAGCTAATTTTTGTATTTTTAGTAAAGACAGGGATTCACCTTGTTGGTCAGGCTGGTCTCAAACTCCTGACCTCAGGTGATCCACCCACCTTGGCCAATCATTAACTTTTTAAAACGGAAATATTGTTAATTAAAGTATCTTTTTATTGTTTAGACATAAACAATATTTAGACAATGTTTAGAAATATTTTATTGTTTTAGATATAATATTATCACACACTTAATAGACTACAGTATAAAATATAACTTTTATATGCTTTTGGAGACCAAACACTTTGTATGACTCACTTTATTGCAGTTGTCTAGAACTGAACTTACAATATCTCCGAGGTATGCTTGTATTCTTGGTGTGGTCATTATTTCACTCTAATGTGTTCCCTCATTCCTCCAGTTAACTGTATTTTTCATTCAGCAAATATGTATTAACACTTACTATGTCTGGGGTTCTTTGCTACTTGCCGAAAATACAGAGGCTATAAATAGATATACTCCTTGCCCTCATGAAACTTGTGTGTTGAAGGAGAGAGACATCATAATTTATCTTGGTAATTTAGGAAAATCATTATGAATGCTGAACTTCGGGATATTCTGTTTTTGCATTTCATATGATGATTTCTTATTAGCACAAATCTCAATTTTATATTTGTAAATTGTAGATTTTCTAGTTTGAATCTAAATTTTTTAAAAATTTCTTTGAGATACCTAAAATATTTATAAAATTATCTGATAGCTTTTCAAAATTTTTAATTTTTGTGGGTATCATATCTTATCATGGAATATAATTTATTTTCATATGTCTGTTTTTGTATAGAGAAGAAACTGTTTCTTTTCATTGATCTAGACATTTATTTCTTGCAACAGTCTTTGAAATATATCCTTAGAATATTAGACATATTCAGATATTTAAAGGACAAGGCCCTCTCTCCACTACAAACACATGCACATATTTGCCATAATTTTTAGATTTTTTGATATTATTGCTCATTTTTAAAATTTAAAAATAATTATTAAGTCACAAATAAAGTAGGCCTCATATTTTTATAGGTTATTAAACTGGAAAAAGATACTTTTACAATGTTTATCTTCCTAATGTGAAGCATAATTTACATTCTTGTTTGTTTAAACTTTTTTTATGTTCTAGTAATATTTTGTACTACCACAGTTTTTTAAAGCCTAGATATAATTATTAAATATGTTCCTACATAAGTTATACTTTTGTAACTATAATGATATGTCTTTAGGGTATATTTTTAGGTCATTGGTGTTGGCAATGCTGTCTTTTCTTTTATAAAAATCATGCTGTATTATTTATGTCACATGTATGTAAACTCTCTTTAATCACTTTGATTTTGTACTGAGGATTTTCTAGAGATGCAGTTATGACGTGCGTAAATAATTGCGTTTATCTTTCTTCATGTATTGTATTTTTTCAATAAACTGGGCTATGTCATAAGGCCAATCTTACCATACTGTTGGATTTTTTAAATCCATATATAACTTTGGAAATTAGATTAAACCTTCATTTAAGTTCTCTTGAACACTAAACAGAGAAATTACACAGAAAGCTTCTATTAAAATTGTGAATCTATTTATCATCCCAGAATGTCACCCAAGATGACTTTCCATTTTCTTCCGCAGTGTTTTCTATCAAATGCCCTTTTGCAGAGAAACACCATCAAACTTTGTCTTTCTCTCCTACTTACCCCTTCAGCCCTTTCTTATGTAATTTAGCCTATATGTCTTTATTCTGATGCTGATTTTCTTCCCGTATCCTTACTAGTGCAATATAGGGCAGAATATTTGACTCAGGAAGCAGATATTTTATTTTGTTTTATTTTACCTTTTATAGGTTTAACATGTCAGGAAGTAAAGGCTCTCAGAGAGAAGGCATGGTCAAGGACAAATGAAGGTATCCAACAGCTATTATATATAATTTTCATCTCTTTTTTCTGTCACATATTAATTGTTTTCAAAAAATTATAAGCATGAAAATAATTTCAGGCATTCTTCTGTTCTTCCTAATTGATGTTCTATCAATGAGAATAATCGTAACGCTTCTTTAAAAAAATACTTATCTATTGCTAGTGTATGTTATGTACTCCATTTCCTGTGTTTCCTTTTTCGTTTTGAATAATGCATACTTAAGAAGAGTGTACAAACTTAATATGTGGGTTTTTTTCATAAATGATTATGAGGAAGCATCTGTGTCACCTTCACTCACTCCACACATAGACGTTCCCGGCATTTCAGAAGGTCTCCCTGTACTCTCCTGAACAATTCTTTATGCCATCCACTACCTGGGCTTTTGTGGTGCTAATTTCCTTTTCTTTTTAATTTTAACTGTAGTGTTCCATATGTGTGCATCCCTAAAGATGTAATTTAATTTTGCATGCTTGTTAATTGAAATTAAACTGAGTTAATATATGTTTGTTGCTGCCCTTGTTCAACATTACTTGTTATCTTTATCCTTGCTACTTTTTTTGCTCAATGTAATTTGTGGCTTTCATCCATTTTGCTGTACCATTGTACAATACCATTTTTTGTTATTTTGAATAATGCTTCTAGAAACCTCCTTGTACATATATCCTGTGTGAGTTTCTCTAAGGCATACCTATCAGCAGAATTGGTAAGTATGTGGTATATCTATCGTTGACATTATTTGATAATGCCAAATTATTTTCCAAAGTAATTACATGAATTTACAGTGACATAACAGTGTAGGAATGTTCCAGTTGCTCCATTTTTTTCCTACCACTTGACAATATTAGATTTTTAAAGTATTGACAATCCCCATACTATGTAGCAATGTCTTATTGTGGTTTTAATTTAAATTTGCCTGATTATTATTGATGTTGAAAATTTTTTCATGTGCTTTTTGGCATTTTGAGTTCCACTTTTGCAAATTGGCTAAATCTTTTTTCTAATTTTCTAATGAGTCATTTGTCTTTTTTCACATTGATTTTTAGGAATTTCTTGTGTAATATGAATACTAGTTCTAAATCAGTCACATATGTTAACTAATTTTTTTTACGTTTATGCCTTTTATTTTTAATCTATTTATATTGCCTTTTGATGCACAAACGTTATTATTTTTTCAAGTCAAAGCTTTTTACATATTATTCAAGGAAATCCTAGTCCAAGGTCATGCAGATATTCGTCCAATTCATCTTCTAAGCATTTTGGAGTTTTGACTTTTACACTTAGATTTTCAATCCACCTGGAATTGATTTTTGCGTGCTATTTAAGTTATGGTGTCTACCTTTGTTTTGTGTTTGATTACTTTGACTCTGTACTCCTTATTGCTTTTGAAAAATTATTCATGGGCATTCCATGATGCTTAAAATACAGATGACTTCTTCCAGAGTATACATGTTTTTGCTTCTGTCAGGAACATAGCACTGTACCGATATGGCACAAACTTAAAACAAATTCAAGCATAGAGGCTTCGGTAGAGTGTCCAATGATGAAAACCTAATCTGCAAATTTAAGTGATGAATAGCCAAAGTTTTAATGTCACAGGGGTGAGGTTTTCTGCTTTTGTTTTTATTTTTGTATATTTAGTGTATACTCAGAGAAAATGTCTCTACAGTGTCTTGAGCTCTGGTAGAGGTCATTGGGGTGGTTATTTCTGGTTAACCTTTGCTCCGAGGCTATAGCCAATTGTTATCCAAATTTAAAACGAGTTTTACAATTTAGTTGGGAGTTAAGGCATTCTAATTTTTTGTGCTATAGGCCCTTTGAAGCTTGTTGAAGCTTATACTCTCTGGCATGAAAATTATATTTTTAAATGTATTATAAGAAGTACAGAAATATTTTAAAAATAGAGTAATTTTTCCCCATCCGATTTCACGAATCACTTAAATTTTGTCTATGGAACGTGAGACTAGGTTGTCTTTTTATTTTCTAAAACTTACAAGTCATCAAACCCAGCCCAAATTTTCTAGGAATTGTCAATGACTTTTGTGTCAAATGTCATTTTGCACCCTGTGCTCCACTTAGAAGTATAGTTTCTGCTCTCCTTTAGATTTTGTCCTAGTAGTTTGTAACTATCTTGTTCATATATGTATACATATATATATATATATATATATATATATATATATATATATATATACACATACATATACAGGCTTTTAAAGTTATTTTCAGTGGAAAAGTAGATCTGATAAACCTAGCCTGCCATTCCAAGAAATATGAATTATATACACTATTATTTTGTATTGAATTATACATTTATAATAAGAGGAATTTTTCTGGCTTATATAATTTAACAAGTTTAATCCTCTTCTGAATTATATTTCTTCTCAAATTTGGGAGATAATGTGCTTTAGGACATATTATTCAAACAGTGTACTATTTAATATATATTCCAAGATATGCTTAAGGAAAATATAATTCTGAGGTAAAATAAAACTGAGAAATTTTGTATAATTTATATTTTCCTTGAAGTTTTTTTGATGAGCATTAACACTTTGAAAGCTCTAATAAGTCTTGCAATGAAAAAACCTTCTTAAGTAATATGTTATTTGAGTGTAGAACTGCAGCTTTCCATACTTACAAGAATCTCTTGGAATTATATATTGTAAACAGGATTTAAAGAGTGCTAGTGTAGTTGAAAGACTGGAACTAGACACAAAGTTTAAATCTTAGTTCTATCACTTGCTAACTTTGTGAACCTGGCTTGGTTCACTGCCTTTCTGGGCCACATTTTACTCATGTGTAAAATGAAAATTAATATGTGTTATTGTAAAGATTAAGTATCATAGTATAATAAATATGTTGAAGTCAACTGTCATGTATATGTTCAATAAATATTAGTCATTCTCACTTTGAGATTTTTTTCATCCTCATTGGTTCAATAAATTATGGTAAATTTATACTGCAAGATACCATGACACTGATGTTTTATGTAATGTAATATAATTCTAGTTGTATAATTTACCATTATTTTATAAACTTCTAAGAAATAAAAATCTACCAATTAAACTATTCCACATACCAACCTTGAATTTTAAGATGAATCCTGATGTGACTGATCTTAGTGTGTGAAAAAAAATTTTCTAACAACTTGAAATATAAAGTTGAATTTGAAGTATGGTTTAAAGTTGGTAAGGAATCTCTCTGTCCTGAGAATGAAAGAAATGTATGTATACGTGTCTCTTTACATATATTTTATATATATGCACACTTGAACACACTTATATACACACTCATTTAACAAACAGAAATGAAAGCATAGGTCCACAAAACTATTATCCCAGACCATTCATATAACTTTATTCATAACAGTGAAAACTGGAAACAACCTAAATGTCCATCAGCAGAAAAATAGATTTAAATAAATACTCTGTAGTTATGCAATAATATAATGTGGACCAGTGAAAAAGAATGAGCTGCAAATACATGGAGTAGCATTGGTGAATCTCAAAAATATATTGAGCAAACAAAGTCAGATAAAACATACTCGATGCATTTAATTTCATTATTGCAAGGTCCAAGAAAAAGACAAAACTAAGCTATGGTGATAAAAATCAAAATAACAGTTGCCTATAGTAGATGAGAAACTTTCAGGGGTGATGAAAATTTTTTCTAGCTTGAATGTCATGGTAATTACATTTATGTACACACTTATCAAAATGCATTAAATTATAAATTTAAGGTGGCATTTTCTTCCATGTATGCTATAAAATAAAAAAATTGTTTTACTCTAAAACCATTAAAACATTTTTATGTATTATAAATACACCATACACACATAAATATAAGGTTTAAATGCTTGCAGAATGACTTACATTAATATATACTAACAGTTACAGATAGAATATATGTTAAAGCTCACTAAAGCATAAAATAAGGCATACATATGAAATATTCTCATAGGTATAAAGGATCTGGAAGTACACACAAGAAAATTGTAACATTGGTTGCCTACTGACAACCAGTCTTGGAGTTGTGGTGTCTACTTTTCTTTTGTGTTTGATTGCTTTCACTCTGTACTCCTTATTGATTTTGAGAAATTATTCACGGGAAGACCATGATGCTTTCCACTGGATTACCATGGGGGCAAGAATGGCATTCAAGTGACTGATGCATTAATTTTCTTTTAAACTTTCAAATTAATTTTAACACAGTTCTATAGTGTATGAAATTTTGTTGATTTTTGTTTTATTTGCACTTAATATTTGCAGTTTTATTTATTTTATTTTTTAGAGAGAGGGTTTTACTTTGTTGCCCAGGTTGGAGTCATGGCTCACTGCAGCTTTGAACTCCTGGGCTTAAGTGATCATTCTGCCTCAGTCTCTGGAGTAACTGGGACTACAGGTGCGTGCCACCATGCCCGGCTTTCCAATTTTATATTTTTAATTCTTCTTTTTAAATAATAATGCATTAGGTTTATACAATTCTGATTATTTCGTGTCAGTATCTGACTTACACAAGAATTTGATTCTATTACAATTTTGATTCTTTCGTGTCAGTATCTGACTTACACAAGAATTTGATTGTAGAAACTTTATTCTTTTAATACTCTGGACATACCACAAAACTGCTACATTGCAAACCCCCCAAATCACTGGTTGGGGTACTGAATGTAGGGATTGGAGTCATTGAGACTCAGTCAAGTTGTGGGAACATCCGTTTGAAGATTAGAGTAAAACTAAAGTTCAAAGATAATACTGAGGTCTTAATTATGGGAAAACCTCATCTCGTCATCACAGAGTTTGAAGGAAGTGATTAGGGACCGGGACTGAAGTTGTGGTTACAATGCCAGAAGCTCAGCAGCTTGGAAAATAGGACATTTGCCTCTAGTGCTCTATTATAAACAAGCCCCTATGGGTTGGGGTGGCTGATATATAAGGAAGATTTTTTTTGCAGTTTTAGAATTATTTATTTCTGGCCAGGCATGGTGGCTTATGCCTGCAATGCCAGCACTTTGGGAGGCCAAGGCGGGCGGATCACCTGAGGTCAGGAGTTCGAGACCAGCCTTGCCAACATGACAAAACCCCATCTCTACTAAAAATATAAAAAATTAGCCAGGCATGGTGGCGCACTCCTGTAGTCCCAGCTACTTGGGAGGCTGAGGCAGGAGAATCGCTTGAACCCAGGAGGCAGAGGTTGCAGTGAACCGAGATCACGCCATTGCACTCCAGCCTGGTGACAGAGTAAGACTCCACCTCAGAAAAAAAAAAAAGAATTATTTGTTTCCTATGTTTCCCTTTAATGTCCTAGTACATATATATATATTTCACTTTTACCAGTATTTTAAATGGTATTTATTTACAATTAAACATTTAAGTTCTGAATGTATTTCTGTTTTGAATACATTAACATTTGTTTACAAAGTGTTTCCTTTTTCATACATATTTTTTATGACATGGAATCCTTCCTTGACACATTTGTTATTTGGAAATATACATTAAATTTCCAAATACCTTTGAATTAACTTTATGTGACAAATTTCTAACTGTACAGTAGATTAGTTATATAGTGCAGCTAGTTTCTACTTATTAAACTTTTTTGAATTGTTGTCTAACATACCTACTTTTGCTACCTTTAAAATGATGTAATCTGTATCTTTTTGCAATTCATAATATGTATATCAATATTACCTTATTGTACTCATCACATCCTGTATGTCATTTTGTTATTCTGAACTTCATATGCCACAGATGAATGACGGTGACTTAGATTTTCCCCTATATTTTTTCTCTAAATTTCTCTTTATGTTAAAAAATAAGATTTTTTTCTAATACAATATGCTGTTTTATTGCACGCATATAGATTTTTTATTATTATCTGTAACTTCAATTGTAAAGTAATAACTCTCGGTGTTGTTGAGCTTAAGGTCTAGATTTGTTCATATTTAGTCACATCAAGTTTTCTTTTTCAGAAAATAATTGTATACATTTTATTTATAATTTTTTTCTGTATTATTTTATATTTGGTTCTTTTTGGGTAAATTTAGTCATTTATATATTATAATAGCTATTTGATTAGCACTATCTTTTATCATTTTTATATTTTTTGAACAATTTCCTATTATTGAATATTTTTGCTATAAACTTACTTTTGCCTTATTTTATGCTTTAGTGAGGTTTAACATATAAATATTCTATCTTTAACTGTTAGTATATATTAACATAAGTTAATCTGCAAGCATTTTAACCTTATATTTATGTATGTATGTGTGTATGTATTTATAATATATAAAAATATTTTAGTGGTTTTAGAGTAAAACAATTTTTTTATTTTATAGCATACATGGAAGAAAGTGCCATCTTAAATTTATAATTTAATACATTTTGATAAGTGTGTACATAAATGTAACTATCATGACATTCAAGCTAGAAAAAAATTTCCATCACCCCTGAAAGTTCCTCACCTACTATAGGCAACTGTTATTTTGATTTTTATCACCATAGCTTAGTTTTGTCTTTTTCTTGGACCTTGTAAAAATGAAATTAAATGCATCGAGTATGTTTTATCTGACTTTGTTTGCTCAATATGTTTTTGAGATTCAGCAATGCTACTCCATGTATTTGCAGCTCATTCGTTTCACTGGTCCACATTATATTATTGCATAACTACAGAGTATTTATTTAAATCTATTTTTCTGCTGATGGACATTTAGGTTGTTTCCAGTTTTCACTGTTATGAATAAAGTTATATGAATGGTCTGGGATAATATTTTTGTGGACCTATACTTTGATTTCTGTTTGTTAAAAGCTTAGGACTGGAGTTGCTGCATTAAGTGTACATATATTTAGCTTTATAAGAAAATGTCAAATAAATGATAATATATTTTTATGTTTTAGAATTTTGAAACACTTCCTCAGAGACTGTAAAATAAAACGTTTCCCCTCTCTCTCTACATTTTCTCTTTCTAAAAATGACAGTTTCTTAATCTAGCAATTACAAATCCTACATATCTTATTTATTTATAATTATAAATCATACATAACTTATATAGGATTTATAATTAGAAATAAATCCTACATATCAATAGTTAACATAATTAAGATATATAATAGTATATATATGTATAAAATAGTATATATATATATACACATACACATGCATATCATTTTTTAAAAAATGATGACAAAGCTTACACACAAATCTCTGCCTTGCTAATTTTCACAGTGTGTCCTGGATACATCCTATATCAACACATAATAACTTATCTGTTTGTTTTAAACAGCCTCATGCTATTTTGAATACCTTCTTATGAAAGAGTCAAACCAATTGAAGAGCATAGAGAAAATATCTGAAGATACTCTACTGTGGATTTTGATTAATATTTGTATCATAGTTGTTTTTCTTTTAAGGAGAGCACTTCTCTAACGTAGTTTTTTACATGGTGGTGCTTATTTTAAAATTTTCTATAATATTAACTACTCACTAAAATATGTATTTTTTCTTTTTAAAAGGCAATGCCATGTCTCAAAGTTTGGTTCTATATGGAGCCTCTAAGGAGAACAGTGAAGGTTTTCATGAAAGTAAAATGACAAATACTGAAGGTGAGGACTGAATGTAAATCATATAGTAAACTATATAAACTATATTTATATTATCTCATTAGTCTATAATGTCAATACTATTTCTATTTTGAAATAAATCCTACATATCGTTAATTGTTAACATAGTAAATATATATAATAGTAAAGATATAATGTAGTATATTGTATCAATAGTATATTGTTAATGTATAATCTGGGTTTATGAATTGTTATGTAATTTCAGAAATGTATGAATTTTGAAATAAATTCTTAATCACCCAAGCTGTGACTGGCCTGTTCTAGATAGAACATTTCCAGTTCATTGAGGACATGTTTCTTAGAAGAAAAAGAAAGAAGACAAATGTTTTTGGGGGTGTATTTTTCATTTTTTAAATAATTATTTTATTTTATTTTATTTTAAGTTCCAGGGTACATGTGCAGGATGTGCTGGTTTTTTACATAGGTAAACACATGCCATGGTGGTTTGCTGCACTTATCAATCCATCACCTAAGTATTAAGCCCAACATGCATTAGCTCTTTTCCCTAAGGCTTTCCCCTAACCTGCCCTCCCCCTACAGGCCCCAGTAAGTGCTCTTCCCCTCCCTATGTCCACGTGCTCTCATTGTTCAGCTCCCACTTATAAGTGAGAACATGCAGTGTTTGGTTTTCTGTTCCTGCGTTAGTTTGCTGAGGATAATGGCTTCCAGTTTCATCCATGTCCCTGCAAAGGACATGATCTCGTTCCTTTTTATGGCTGTATAATATTCTGTGGTGTAACTTTGGGAGGCCGAGGCGGGCGGATCACGAGGTCAGGAGATCGAGACCATCCCGGCTAAAACGGTGAAACCCCATCTCTACTAAAAATACAAAAAATTAGCCGGGCGTAGTGGCGGGCGCCTGTAGTCCCAGCTACTTGGGAGGCTGAGGCAGGAGAATGGCGTGAACCCGGGAGGCGGAGCTTGCAGTGAGCCGAGATCCCGCCACTGCACTCCAGCCTGGGCGACAGAGCGAGACTCCGTCTCAAAAAAAAAAAAAAAAAATTCCGTGGTGTATATGTACCACATTTTCTTTATCTAGTCTATCATTGATGGGCATTTGGGTTGATTCCATGTCTTTGCTATTGTGAATAGTGCTGCACTGAACATAACACATGCATGTATCTTTATAATAGAATGATTTATGCTCCTTAGGATGTATATCCAGTAATGCAGTTGCTGGGTCAAATGGTATTTCTGGTTCTAAATCTTTGAGGAATTGCCACACTGTCTTCCACAGTGGTTGAACTAATTTATGCTCCTACCAACAGTGTAAAAGAATTATTTCTCTGCAACGTCACTAGCATCTGTTGTTTCTTGACTTTTTAATAATTGCCATTCTGACTGGCGTGAGATGGTATCTCATTGTAGTTTTGATTTGCATTTCTCTAATGATCAGTGATGTTGAGCTTTTTTTCATATATTTGTTGGCCACATGTATGCCTTTTTCTTGAGAAGTGTCTGTTCATATCCTTTTCCCATTTTTTTAATGGGGTTGTTTGTTTATTTCTTGTAAATTTGCTTAAGTTCTTTGTAGATTTTGGATATTAGACCTTTGTCAGATGGATACATTGCAAAAATTTTCTCCCATTCTGTAGGTTGCCTGTTCACTCTGATGATACTTTCTTTTGCTATGCAGAAGCTCTGTAGTTTAATTAGATCTCATTTGTAAATTTTGGCTTTTGTTTCAAATGCTTTTGGCAATTTCATCATAAAGTCTTTCTCCATGCCTATGTCCTGAATAGTATTGCCTAGATTTTCTTCTAGAGTTTTTATAGTTTTGGGTTTTACATTTAAGTCTTTAATTAATCTTGAATTAATTTTTGTATAAGGTGTAAAGAAGGGATCCAGTCTCAGTTTTCTGCATATGGCTAGCCAGTTCTCCCAGCATCATTTATTAAATAGGTAATCGTTTCCCCATTGCTTCTTTTTGTCGAGTTTGTCGAAGATCAGATGGTTGTAGATGTGCGGTTTTCTTTCTGAGTTCTTTATTCACTTCTATTGGTCTATGTGCCTGTTTTTGTACCAGTACCATGCTGTTTTTGTTACTGTAGCCTTATAGTATAGTTTGAAATCAGGTAGCATGATACTTCCAGGTTTGTTTTATTTTTTGCTTAGGATTGTCTTGGCTATGTGAGCTTTTTTTTGGTTCTGTATGAATTTTAAAATAGTTTTTTCTAATTCTGTGATGAATGTCAATGGTAGTTTAATGGAAATAGTATTGAATCTATAAATTGCTTTGGGAACTATGGTCATTTTCAAGATATTGATTCTTCCTATCCATGAGCATGATACATTTTTCCATCTGCTTGTATCCTCTCTGATATCCTTGAGCAGTGGTTTGTAGTACTCCTTGAAGAGGCCCTTCACTTCCCTTGTTAGTTGTTTTCCCAGGTATTTTGTGGCAATTGTAAATGGGAGTTCATTTGTGATTTGGCTCTCTGCTTGTCTGTTGTTGGCATATAGGAATGCTTATGATTTCTGCACATTGATTTTGTATCCTGAGACTTTGCTAAAGTTGCTTATCAGCTTAGGAAGCTTTTGGGCTGAGTCGATGGGGTTTTCTAGATAAAGGATCATGTCATCCTCAAACAAAGACAATTTGAATTCCTCTCTTCCTATTTGAATACCCTTTATTTTTTCCCTTACGTGATTGCCCTGGCCAGAACTTCCAACACTATGTTGAATAAGAGTGGTGAGTGAGGGCATCCTTGTCTTATACCTATTTTCAAGGGGAATGCTTCCTGTTTTTGCCCATTTAGTATGATATTGACTGTGGGTTTGTGATAAATGGCTCTTATTATTTTGAGGTATGTTCCTTCAATACCTAATTTATTGAGTTCTTTACATGAAGGGATGTTGAATTTTATCAAAGGCCTTTTCTGCATCTATTGAGATAATCATGTGGTTTTTGTGTTTAGTTCTGTTTATGTGATAAATTACGTTTATTGATTTGCATATGTTGACCTTGCATCCTGGGGATGAAGGTGACTTGATCATGGTGGGTAAGCTTTTTGATGTGCTGCTATATTTGGTTTGACAGTATTTTATTGAGATTTTTGCATAGATGTTCATTAGGGCTATTGGCCTGAAGTTTTTGTTGTTGTTGTTGTTGTTTTTGTTGTTGTATCTCTGTTGTATCTCTGGTATCAGGATGATGCTGGCCTCATAAAATGAGTTAGGGAGGAGTCCCTCCTTTTCAATTGTTTGGAATAGTTTCAGAAGATATGGTACCAGCTCCTCTTTTTACCTCTGGTAGAATTCAGCTATAAATCCATCTGGATCTGGGCCTTTTTTTAGTTGGTAGGCCATTTATTACTGCCTCAATTTCAGAACTTGTTATTGGTCTATTTAGGGATTCAAATTCTTCCTGGTTCACCCCCCGACCTGGGAGGGTGTATGTGTCCAGGAATGTATCCATTTCTTGTAGATTTTCCAGTTTATTTGCATAGAGGTGTTTATAGTATTCTCTGATGGTTGTTTGTATTTCTGTGGGGTCAGTGGTGGTATCCCCCTTATCGTTTCTGATTGTTTATTTGAATCTTCTCTTTTTTAAAAATTAGTCTCACTAGCAGCCTATTTTATTGATTCTTTTAAAAAAATAGCTCCTGGATTCGTTCATGTTTTTGAAGTGATGTTTATGTGTTTATCTCTTTCAGTTCTGCTCTGAGCTTGGTGATGTCTAGTCTTCTGCTAGCTCTGGAGTTTGTTTGCTCTTTGTTCTCTAGTTCATTTAGTTGTGATGTTAGGGTGTTGATTTGAGATCTTTCTTTGATGTGGGCATTTAGTGCTATAAATTTGCCACTTAACACTGCTTTAGCTGTATCCCAGAGATTCTGATACATTGTTGCTTTGTTCTCATTTGTTTCAAAGAACTTCTTGATATCTGTCTTAATTTCATTATTTACTCCGGAGTCATTCAGGAGCAGGTTGTTCAGTTTCCATGTAGTTGTGTGGTTTTGAGTGGGCTTTTTAATCTTGAGTTCTAATTTGATTGTACTGTGGTCTGAGAGAGTGTTTGTTATGATTTCAGTTATTTTGCATTTGCTGAGGAGTGTTTTAGTTCCAATTATGTGATCAATTTTAGAGTAAGTGCCATGTGACCCTGAGAAAAATTTATATTCTGTTTTGTCTGGCGAGTTCTGTAGATATCTGTCAGGTCCACTTGGTCTAGAGCTGAGTTCAAGTCCTGGATATCTTTGTTAATTTTCTGTCTCAATGATCTGTCTAATACTGACAGTGAGTTATTAAAGTCTCCCTCTATTATTGTGTGGAGGTCTAAGTCTCTTTGTAGGTCTCTAAGAACTTGTTTTATGAATCTCAGTGCTCCTGTATTGGGTACACATATATTTAGGATAGTCAGCTCTTCTTGTTGAATTGAACCCTTTAACATTATGTAATGCCCTTCTTTGTCTGTTTTGACCTTTGTTGATTTAAAGTCTATTTTTTCAGAAACTACAATTGCAACCTCTGCATTTTTCTGCTTTCAAATTTGCTTGGTAAATTTTCCTCCTTCCCTTTGTTTCAAGTCTATGTGCATCTTTGCATGTGAGATGTGTTTCTTGAATACAGCACACTGATGGGTTCCATCTTTGTATCCAGCTTGCCATTCTGTGTTTTTTAATTGGGGCGTTTAGGCTATTTATATTTAAGGTTAATATTGTTATGTGTGAATTTGATCCTGTCATCATGGCGCTGGCTGGTTAATTTTGCAAACTTGTTAATATAGTTGCTTCATAGAGTTGTTGGTCTGTGTACTTCAGTGTGTTTTCGTAGTGGATGATAATGGTTTTTCCTATCTATGTTTAGTGTTTCCTTCAGAAGCTCTTGCAAGGCAGACCTGCTGTTCACAAAATTCCTCAGCAGTTGCTTGTCTAAAAAAGATTTTATTTCTCCTTCACTTATGAAGCTTAGTTTGGCCTGATATGAAATTCTGGGTTGGAATTTCTTCTCTTTCAGAATGTTGAATGTTGGCCCCCAATCTCTTCTGGCTTTTAGGGTTTCCATGGAGAGGTACGCGGTTAGTCTGATGGGTTGCCCTTTGTAGACGACCTTGCCTTTCTCTCTGGCTGCCCTTAACATTTTTTCCTTGATTTTGACCTTGGAGAATCTGATGATTATGTGTCTTGGGGATAAATCTTCTCAGAATATCTTGCTGGAGTTCTCTGGATTTCCTGAATTTGAAAATTGGCCTGTCTTGCTAGATTGGGGAAGTTCTCCTGGATGGTGTCCTGAAGTATGTTTTCCAACTTGGTTCCATTCTCCCCATCTCTTTCGGGTACTCTAATCAGTCATAGATTTGGTCTCTTTACATAATCCCATAGTTCTCAGAGGTTTTGTTTGTTTTATTTCATTCTTTTTTATCTAATCTTGTTTGTCTGCCTTATTTCTGCAAGATAGTCTTCAAGCTCTGATATTCTCTCTTCTGCTTGATCGATTCAGCTATTGATACTTACGTTTGCATCATGAAGTTCCCGTGCTGTGTTTTTCAGCTCCATCAGGTCATTTATATTCCTCTCTAAACTGGTTATTCGAGTTAACAGCTCCTGTAATCTTTTATCATGGTTCTTAGCTTCTTTGCATTGTGTTAGAACATAATCCTTTAGCTCAGCGAAATTCATTATTACCCACCTTGTGAAGCCTACTTCTGTTAGTTCATCCATCTCAGCTTCGGCCCCATTCTGTGCCCTTGCTGCAGAAGTGTTGTGATTATTTGGAGGAGAATAGGCATTCCAGCTTTGAGAATTTTCAGTGTTTTTGCATTGGCTTTTCTTCATCTTCATGGATTTATCTACCATTGATCTTTGAGGCTGATAACCTTTGGTGGGGATTTTGTGGGGTCTTTTTTGTTGATGTTGTTGTTTTTGCTTTTTGTTTGTTGTTTTTCATCTAATAGTCAGGCCCCTCTTATGCAGGTCTGCTGCAGTTTGCTAGGTGTCCACTCCAGACTCTGTTTGCCTGGGTAGCACCAGTGGAGGATGCAGAATAGCAAAGATTGCTTCCTGCTCTTTCCTCTGGAAGCTTTGTCCCAGAGGGGCACTGACCTGATGCCACCGAGAACTCTCCTGTATGAGGTGTCTGGCAACCCTAGTTGGGAGGTCTCACCCAGTCAGGAGGCATGGGGGTCAAGGAACCACTTGAGGGGGTCATCTGTCCCTTAGTGGAGCTGGTGCATTATGTTGGGGGAATCCCCCTTGTCAGGATCAGCTGATCTCTTCAGAGCTGCCAGGAAGGAAATATTAAGTCCACTGAACCTGAGACCACAGCCACCCCTTCCCCAAGGTGCTCTTTCCCAGGGAAATGATAGTTCTGTCTGTAAGCCCCTGACTGGTGCTGGACCTCCTGCAGAGAGGCCCTGTCCATGCCCAGTGAGGAGGGATCTAAAGAAGCAGTCTGGCCACAGCTGCTTTGCTGCACTGTGGGGAATTCCACCCAGTCCAACTGTCCTCATCTCCTTAGCACTGTTAGGGGAAAACAGCCTACTAAAGCCACAGAAATGGCAGTCATCCCTCCCCGCTATCCCCTCCCCCTGCCCCTGCCTCCTGGGAACTCAGTCATCCCAGGGCAACTCCAGACTGTTGTGCTGGCAGTGGGAATTTCAGGCCAGTGGTTCTCAGCTTGCTGGGCACCGTGGAAGTGGGACCTGCCAAGCAAGACTGCTGGCTCCCTGGCTTCAGCCCCCTTTCCATGTGAGTGGATGGTTCTCCTGTCTCACTGGAGTTCCAGGTGCTGGTGGAGTATGTAAAAACTCCTGCAGCCCAGTGCCTGCCCAAACAGTCACCCAGTTTTGTGCTTGAGACCCAGGGCCCTGGTGGTGTAGGCTCACGGGGGAATCTCCTCATCTGTGGATTGCAAAAATCCGTAGGAAAAGTGTAGTACCCCCGCTGGGTAGCACATTCCCTCACCACTTCCTTTGGCATGGGGAGGGAGGTCACCTCACCCACTGCAGTTCCCAGGTGAAGCAACACTCCACCCTGCTTCTGCTCACTGTCCGTGGGTCACACCCACTGCCTAGTCAGTCACGATGAGATGAACTGGGTACCTCAGTTGGAAATGCAGAAATCACCCACCTTCCATGTTGGTCTTGCTGGGAGCTGTAAATTCCAAGATGGCTGTTTCTATTCAGCCATCTTGGCTCCTGTCAATTGGATGCGTACTTTTTAGTTCCAGAATTAAAGACTTGTACAGTGAGAATCTATAAACATTATCTCTGAAAGTGTTTCTAACACTCAATGTGGAAAGTGGTGGAAAGAGATGAGGAAATGTATACATATATCTATTGGGGTTCATACTTATTTCTTTTTAGGTCATTCTGGTGAAGAACTCTTTATCAAAAATTTTAATCTTGATTTTGAGAAATTACTACTCTGGGAATTTTTCAATTTTATGAGATTAAATTGAAATAAGTTACCATTTTGATTCTTTCATCTGTGTATGTCCAGTGGAAATCTTGAATACAAGTTTAAGATCTTGACTTAGAGTTTACTGCCCATAGTGAATTTTGAACAGATTTATAAGACGGCAAATAAGTGACTTATGAACCAATTAATTCAAGATACTGGAATATCTATGTGCTATTGTGGTACAGAGATATTTAAGAAACAACCCTCACAAAAAGTGTAAAATCTTGTAGGCCAAATAAAATATATGAAGGATAATCCTAAATTGAAAAAAAAAATAGAATATAAATGTATACAACAATTTTTACAATACAACATAAAATAATAGTTACATAGTGTATCAGCGGAGATGACACAAGGAAGTACGTGCCAAATGAACACCATGGATGACAGATATCTTCAATATTTTGACTAAGACCAATTTGCATGGTCTGCAAGCATTAAGAAAAAGGTTAATGGATCAGGAGAGATTTGAAATGAATTTTAAAGAATGCATTTGTATATGGAAAAAAAAGGTGAGGATAAAATTTAAGAAAGTAGAATAGAATGTGTCAACAGTGAGAAAATAACACAAGATTTAGGAAGCATAGATGTATCTGTCTATAGCATAGGGAGAATTCAGAAATGTGAAGATGGTTCAGAGAAAGGTAGAAATGACTGAGGTGCAATTAAGAAGGATTTTGAATTTCAGGCTCAAGACTATTAACTTCATTTCTCGGTCTCTGGTTATATATATATAAAACCAGAGTAGGGAAGTTACTGACTAAATTCTTTGCTTACAAAGTCTGAGCATGCAACACAGAATTATTTGGCTACAGGAATTGTCTGGCTATTGTGGTGGAGTGGGGCCCTCTCTGCTCCATACCCAGCTGGCTCTCCAGGCACTTAGAAACTGATTTTCTTATTACTATTGTTCAGGCTTATTGTAACAAGGTCCTGATCTAATTAAGATCAATGAATACGAAAGAGATTAGAGACATATTACAAAATAAGTGTTAAGATTTGGTGACTGACTAGTACTTACAGGGACTGACTATTCTCTCTATATTAATGTAGGAACTTGAATGAGAAGGTGGAGGATTCAGATGTGATTTAACTGTTCCAAACTTTCATAACTGCAACAGAGATGTAAAAAGAAAAGAGGTTAAATGGAGGGAAGATGAGTTTAGTTTTACAGATAGTAGACGTGCCTCGATGTGTGAATGAAGTTGGTCCCTTTAAGACTATCTCTGGCTTGTTGGCCTTGACTAAATCCGAATGTTTAAAACCAAATAAAGTTGTTGCTTTTTCTTCAAGATGGCAGATGAGAGGCTCTTAGCATGCCTTGGCCACTTGGAAAAAGCAAGATAGTGCATAAAGATCAACTCTCTGAGCGTTAATTCAAGAAGGAATATGAGAATCCACCAGAATGTGAAGGACATTCCAATTCCCAGGGAAGAGAATGCAGGCTAACAGCCTCCATGATGGCATCTGGGTGTTAAAAGTGAGTGAAACTCCAGTACACAGGAGAGTCAGAAAGGCTCCCTCTGTGATTTACCTTTCCACTAGGGATCTGAGCAACCCAGGCTGAAGGAGCACACTTTGTTTCCCCCAAGCCCTGGAGCTAACTTGGAAAGAGGCATAGAGACACTGTGAGGGAAAGACACTGGGAAAAGCTACAGGTACTTTCTTAGACTCAGCACTGAGAGCAGGAGGCCATTTTTAATCTGGGTGCACACAAACTCAGCCATTCTTTGGTGACCCAGCAACGTGTCTGCACAGGCACGTTAGTCTCAGACCAGAAATTAGAGTACTGCTTTGCTTTCTGTGGAGCAGGATATGTGCCTCTACAGCCAGAAATGTGGAAAGTGCTTAATTAGTAGGTGCTGGAATTGTATTCTCCCTCATCACAGGCCGGGGGCAGGAGCAGAGCTACCACAGTCCAGCTTCTCCTGGGTGATGAGACTTGCAATCACGATCAGCTTGGCAACCTGGGACTAGTTGCATCTATCTGTGCTGGGTGCCCCATCCTGATCTCCTGAGACTGTGGTGCAGCAGGACCCTCTGCACTCCACCCCCAGATAGAAATCCAGTCATTCAGAGTACCCACTTACCTGGACCAGCAGCCTAAGCTGGCCTTCTCTTTATAGATATACATTGTGGTACAGTGGGGCCCTCTCTGCTCCACACCCAGCCAGTTCTCCAGGCATTCAAAATACACCCTCACCTGGATTAGCAGCCTGAGTTGTACTACCCTTCCCATGCATAGATCATGGTGCAGTAGGGCTCTCACTACTCTGCACATAGGCAGATCTCCAGGCATTTGGAGCACCCACTCACCTGGAACAGCAGCCTGATCCACCCTACCTTTCTTGTGCAGAGATCTTGTTGTTTGGGGGTTCACTTTGCTCCATGCAAAGGCAGATCTTCAGACATCTGGAACACCCAATCACCTAGAGTTGGAGTTTAAGCCACCCTCCATCACCTTGCGGAGAACTTAGGAATGAGGATGTTTCCTGCTCCCTGTCTAGGCACACCTCTGGGTACCTAGAGGCTGCCTATTGGATTCTCCCTCAGTTCTAGTGCTTATTCTGGCCACTGGGGGACCTATAGGTGGACCTGCCAGAGTGTCCTGCCCATCTAGAGGGAACTCAGACTGTATACTCCAGGAATCATCCTATTGCATAAAGCAAAAAAAGAGCTTCTCCCAGTAAACAAGAATCAAGTGTATACCCAGCAACGTTGGCCACAGCTGGCTGCCACGCATAAGTGGCATCTATTGGCTTGTAGGTTGAATTGCACAGCCTAATAGAAAACCTGCTAACAGAGGTGCATAGCGCTATAGAACCAAAACCAAAAGACCCTACACACCATTCTCTACAATCACACTCCTAGGGAGGGGATTAGGGAAATGGAAAGATATATATATATATGGAAATATATATATATTATATATATGGAAATATATATATTATATATATGGAAATATATATATTATATATATATGGAAATATATATATTATATATATATGGAAATATATATATATACGGCAAAGAAATAAAAAGAAAAAATCCTACCTGCATGAAAATATTTACAAAATTTAGAGTTGCCAGCATCTCCAGATGAGAAGAAACTAATCCTACTGAAACTATTACAAAATATCAAAGTGGAAAGACTCCTCCCAAACTAATTCTACAAAGCCAACATCACCCTGATACCAAAACCTTGCAAAGACACAATGAAAAAAGAAAACAACAGGCCAATATCCTTGATGAACATAAATACTAAAATCCTCAACAAAATACTAGCAAACTGAATCCAGCAGCACATCAAAAAGTTAATTCACCATGATCAAGTAAGGCTTTATTCCTGGGATGCAAGTTTGGTTCAACATATACAAATCAATAAAGTAATTCACCACATAAGTTGAATTAAAAACAAAAACATTATGATCATCTCAATAGATGTCGAAAAACCTTTTGATAAAATCCAACATCACTTCATGATAAAAATGTTCAAGAAACAGGGCATAAAATGAATATACCTCAAAATAATGAGAGCCATCTATGACAGACCCACAGCCAGCATCATACTGAATGAGCAAAACTGGAAGCATTCCCCTTTAGAACTGGAAGAAGATGAGCATGCCCATTCTGACTACTATTCAACATAGTATTGGAAGTCCTTGCCATAGCAATCAGGTGAGAGAAAGAAATAAAAGGCATCCAAACAGGAAGATGTCAAAAAGAAGTCATTGTCCCTTTGCTGACAATATGATTGTATACCTAGAAAACCCTAAAGACCCTACCAAAAGGCTTCTAGAACTCATAAGCAGTAAAATTTCACAGTACAAAATTAATGTACAAAATTCAGCAGCAATTCTGTATACCAAGAATGTTCACGCTGAAAGCCAAATCAAGAATGCAGTTCCATTTCCAATAGTCACAAAATAATAAAGTATCTAAGAATGCCTCTAACCAGGAGGTGAAAGCTCTCTACAGGGAGAACTACAAAACACTGCTGAAAGAAATCATAGATGACACAGACAAATGGAAAAATATTCCGTGCTCATGGATTGAAAGAATCAATGCCGATTAAATGGCCGTATGGCTCAAAGCAATCTACATATTCAACGCTATTTCTATAAAGTTACCAATGTCATTTTTTACAGAACTGGAAAAAGAACTATTTTAAAATTCATACAGAACCAAAGAAGAACTGAAACAGTCTAAGCAATTCTAACCAAAAAGAACAAAGCTGGAGGCATCATTGTACCTGTCTTTATACTACATGGCTACAGTAACTAAAACAGCATGGTCCTGGTACAAAAATGGATATATAGATCAATGGAAAAGAATGGAGAACCTAGAAGTAAAACCTCACACCTGCATCCATCTCATTTTTGTCAAAGTCAACAAACATAAGCAATGGGGAAAGCATTCCCTATTCAGTAAATGGTGCTGAGACAGCTAGCTAGCCATAGGCAGAAGATTGAAATTGGACCCCTCCCTTTCACCGTATACAAAAATTAACTTAAAATAGACTAATGATTTAAATGTAAGACCTCAAACAAATGATAAGAATCCTAAAAGAGAACCTAGGAAACACCATTCTGGGTATCAGTCTTGGGAGAGAATTTGTGACTAAGTCCTGAAAAGCAATTACAACAAAACAAAACATTGACAAGTGGGATTTAATTAATCTAAAAGTCTTTTGGACAGCAAAAGAAACTATCAACAGAGTAAACAGGCAACCTACAGAATGGGAGAAAATATTCACAAACTATGCATCTGACAAAAGCCTAATATCCCAAATCTCTAAGGAACTTAAAAAAATTTACAAGCTTAAAACAACCCTATTAAGAAGTGGGCAAAAGACATAAACACTTTTCAAAAGAAAACATACACATGGCCAACAAGCATGTGAAAAAATGTTCAACATCACTAATCATTAGAGAAATGCAAATGAAAACCACAATGAGATAGCATCTCATACCAGTCAGAATGGCTATTACTAAAAAGCCAAAAACAACAGATGCTGACAACTCTGCAGAGAAAAGAGAATTGTTATACACTGTTGGTGGGAATGTAAATTAGTTTAGCCACTATGGAAAGCAGTTTTGAGATTTGTCTAATAACTAAGAGCTGAACTAGCATTCAACCCAGCAATCCTGTTGCTGGATATATATCCAAAAGAAAATAAATCATTCTACCAAAAAGACAACGCACTCATTTGTTCATCACAGCATTATTTGCAATAGCAAAGACATAGAATCAATCTAGGTGTCCATCAATGGTGGATTGGATAAAGAAAATGTGGTGCATATACACCATGAAATACTATACTGCCATAAAAAAGAATGAAATCAAGTTATCTGCAGCAACATGGATGCAACTGGAAGCCATTATCCTAAGTAGGTTAGCACAGGAACAGAAAACCAAATATTTCACGTTCTCACTTATAAGTGGGAGCTAAACAATGGGTACTCATGGACATAAAGATGGCATCAATAGACACTAGGGATTACTATAGGGAGGAGAGAGGGAGGGGGCCAAAGGTTAAAAAACTAACCATTATGTACTATGCTCAATACCTGGGTGACAGAAGCAATCATACCCCAAACCTCAGCATTACACCATATACCTGTGTAACAAACCTGCATATGCATTCCCTGAATCTAAAATGAAAGTCAAAATTATAAAAAAGGAAAACAAGAATCCAAACAGATTGGGGACAGAGGGAAGGCTAATTAAAAGTTTTATTTTGGAACATCTTTACTTTCTTATCATTTTGTTACAGTAGGTAGCCTCTCAGGTATGAGCAGGGCAAAAAAGGGCTCTCCCCTCCTGCTCACGCCCTCCCCGCCCCTCCCCCAACACACCAGGAGTGTTGGGTGACCATCAGGTGATGGTCAAGCAGTTGTTAACTGTTTATCTAAAGTAATAACTGCTCACAGCCAGTGCCAGAGAAAGGCAGTCTCCTAATAGAAAACACCTTAAACTCATCAGCAGCTTCCAGATAAAATCTCAGGAGTGGGGAGAAGTAATGCAGTATCTTGGAAGTATGCCAACGTATAAAAACCCAAGTCCATAAGTCAAGCTGCGCACTTGGTTTCTCAAGTCACCCGCTTGGCCGTTATCCAAGTTGTACTTTTCTTCTTTTCTTTCCTTCCTTTCCTTACTGTCCTAAAGCTTTTTAATAAAACTTTCACTCCTGTTCTGAAATTTGCCTTGGTCTGTCCTTCTGCCTTATGCTTCTCAGTCAAATTATTTTGTCTGAGGAGGCAAGAATTGAAGTTGCTGTGGACCAGTACAGATTTGCCACCAGTAACTTGGATACCTTCCACTAATAACAGTTCTTTTACTTTTCAAATCATTTCTGAGGATCCTCTGTACCAGGCATCATTTTCACTGCTTGTACTGTATCAGATCTCTTCCATCTTGAAGCTCCCATGGATGCCTCCTTTATCCCTTCCAGCTCTATGTCTGATCATACAAATGTGTCCCTTTTCTTCCGTAGCCTTTCTGCTTTGGCATTTTAATTTACTGTTGTGAATGTATTTCCTTGTTTGTGGTATATCAACTTCTCAATGGGTACATTTTAGTTTTATCTATCATGCTTCTCCCATTCTGCATAGGATTCTGCAGGCCCAGACCTCCCTTCCTTACTCTCAATGCCAGGATGGGAGTCTAGGAAGGACAGATTTGGGAAATTTGTACATTTTTGCAAGGAGCTCAGGGCAAGGTTAAGTCTAAAGCTGTTTAGTTAAGAGTTAAGCACTTAAAGGAGATGATCAAAGGAGAAAGTGTAGAGGAAAAGATTATTTCTTATCAAATAGTCATATTTAAGGAATATGAGAAAAAATAGGTGAACAGGAAGCTAGAGAAAGTTATTAAAAGAACATTTCAAGGAAGGACTGTCTACAATGTTTTTTAGTATAAAAAGTTAAAGTAGGAGAACGATACAAGGTTATTGAGTTCTGCCACTAGGATATGCTTAGTGGTCTTTTTTATAAAACAGATATATGGAGGTACAATTTAAATGCAATACAATCCACTCATTTACAGTGTATAAGTGAATGACTTTTGACAAACACACACATCCATTTAACCACCACCCCAAACACTGTATAGAAATTTCCATCTTTCCAGAAAGTTCATTCGTGCCCCCTCTACAGACAAGATTACTTTAACTCACTCCCACAACTCCAGTATGATTTTAGTTTTACCACTGTAACATTTCAAATAAATGAAATTATGCCACTTGTACTCCTTTGTGCCCAACTTTTTCAGACTCAGGAAAATGTCTGTAATATTCATCCATGCTGTTTCATATATCAGTAGTTTGTTCATTTTTATTGATCAATACCATTCCCTTGTATAATATTGCACAATTTATTTAGCCTTTAATGGAAATTTGAGATTTTTTCAATTTTTGACTATCATCAAGAAAGCTATTATGAACATTCACCTACAATTCTTTTTGTGGACATATTTTTATTTGTCATGGGGAAATATAAAGAAGAGGAATGCTGAGTAATATGGTAAGTTTAACTTTTATAAGAAATTGCCAAATTGTTTTCCAAAGTGTTTAAACAATTTTACATTTCCACTAGCAATGTATAAATTCTAGTTGTTCTATATCCTCTCTGATACTGGGCATTGCAAACCTTTATAATTTTAGGCATTATAGTGTGTGTGTGAAGTTGTATTGAACTGTTAGTTAAATGTGCATTTTCTTGATGACTATGACTAATGATGTTAAGCATCTTTTCACATTGCAATAGTCATTTGTATATTGTCTTTTGTGAAGAGTCCAAGTCTTATGCCTATTTTCTGAATATTAAGTTGTGAATTTTCTCTGCACATTCTGGGTAGAAGTTATTGGTCAGGGATTCTATGCCATATGTCAGAGGGGCCTCCCACGTGGGTTTCTGAGGCTCTTCTCTGCATTGCTCTGTCTTCTTGAGTTCCTGCCCTCTTCCAGATGTTTCCACTGTCCACGAAACTCATATTTACTTTTCAACTCAGCGGGATCACTGTGCTCTGTTTTTCTCCCAGATCTCTTTATTGCAGTTGGGAAACTGTCCCTTGGCAGAGAGCTTGGTGATTGTGGGACTCCACCTTATCAATTTCCCTTTTCTCAGAAATGAAAACCTTGAACTGCCCATTTTTCAAAGTCCAAAATCAGTTGTCTCATATTTTAAAATCCAGATTTAGAGTTGCTTATAACTGGAGAACTAATTCCACATCAGTTACTCCTTCATGGATGGTAGTTGATATACTGCTTAGTGGGATGTAAGAATGAATTTTTCATGGAGAGAACAAAAATCAGATTACAGCCAGGTAAAAAGTTTAAAAAATGATAGAGGATTTGTTTATTCATTTATTCAATAATTATTTAAGGCACTTAATATTGTTCTCTGGAAAGAACTTCATGGGGAAGATAGATAGGAAAACATAAATGTGATAACAGCAGAGTGCAATGTGATCCATTCTTATAAAGAGAAATGAAAAGTGCTATAGCTGCACTCAAATGTCTGAAAGAGCTGAGTATTCCGCACAGGCAAGGAACCTTGTAAGATGGATCTTAATATTTGTATATAAATTGTAATTTGAAGAAGAGATCAGATGAGGATATTGCAGCTGCCAGTATAAACAGTTCATTCAAAAAATTGCTAGTGAAAGCAAAATTTGATATAGAATAATAGCTATAGGAAGTGGTCAGGCAAGGTAGTGGGGAGACCTGTGAGCATACAAGGCAAGTAAAAAAAAATTGTATTGAAGTTGTAGATTTTGAAGAGAAGAAAATGGCAGTAAGTGAACACCAAACAGCGGCATTGCACATTGACTAAAGTTAGAGTAGAAGCAGTTTTTAGCCACTTCTGACTCTGAGAGTCCATGTGTATTATTCTAGATATTTAGTGATAAGTGTCTCCAACAGTTTAAGGTCCAATGAAAATGTGATAACTCTAATGTCAGTGAAAGGTGTTTTTATTTTTCTCATGTATAACAAAAGCTAAAGAGATCTTTGTTTTCCATAAAAGATTAAAGATGCTTTATGTTCATCATGAAAGAGTCTTTGCATGGAGGACAAATTATTTTTAACCTCAAGAGCACTGACTTATGTTACATTTTGGAAAGAAAATCAAGATGTTAAAAGGGATAACAATGTGAAAAGGAAATATGCCTTCAGCAGAGTTTTTCCTAAGCGTTCTGAGTTGAGATAAAGGGATGATAGAATAATTGGGGTAACGTACATAAAGGAAGTGCATATACAAAGCAGAAGAAAAGGAAGGACTCTTGTGATAAAATGTTGAATTATTGGAGCTGGGTGAATAAATTATATAAGGATCAAATTCATTGAGCAGTAAGAGTTGAAAGTTTATAAACATAGTCTTTCTATTTCATTTGCCCACACAAACAACTAGTTGATATTTTTTCTCAAATGGAAGTTTCATGTTGCAGAGTCTCAGCAAACCTCAACTCTGGCTTGGAGCCAGGAGGATCTTGTCTTTTATGCATTAATTCTGGGCAAGGAAGTTGGAGTCAGGGGCATGTTTAGAGAGGATGAAAGTCTCGCCGAGCTTAATTCTTAATATACTCACACTGACCATTTGTGCACAGGCTTCACAAGGAGGAGCTCCCTCGATTTATGTTTGGAATTTTAGGTGAAAAATATCTTATATAACATCCTACCAATACATTAATTTATTAAATAAGAAATCTGAGACCTAAAGACTGAATCATTTTAGCTAAAGATGTGCAGCTAGTTATCAGTTCAGTCAAGAAAATACAGACACCTAGTTCAGCTGTCTTTTGATTATATCATGCTGTCACCCTAAACTGAGTAGAATTCTTAAAAACTGAAAGTTTTAACTTATGCCATGCTTGCAATGAAATAAAAAGAGTAACATGAACCACTGAATTTTGGTTCAATCTTGTGCTACTTAGGATGTCATGTCTTTTACAGATTTTAGTGCAAATTTAAGTTCATAGTACGTGATTCCCATTACTTTACCATATGTTACATATTCAACCTAAACCATAGGAGTGCTATGGAAATTATTAGTATTCACAAAATAGGTTGAGAGTGGCACAGTCAAGAAAAATATAAAAGGAATCATTACTATTCTTGTTTTCACCAAATTTAATGAAGCAAAACAAATGTTTTGACTGTAACAGTGACTGCTTGTTTGTTAAATGTGTATCAAAACCTTCTTATTTCTAAAGGGAGGGCCAACATGCCCTTATCAAGATATTTGGATAGGAGATCAATATGCAATTTTTACTAGATTGTTCTTTTGGTCTTTTGACTATTACATATGTGTGTGTGTGTGTGTGTGTGTGTGTGTGTGTGTATATATGTTTATGAACTAAAGAGGAAAGATGGACTGTAACATACAAAAAATAGTTATAGCAAGTATATGTGTTCAGAGTATGGTCAAAGCAAACTAAAAGACATAGGATACCAGCACTGATATTATGAAGGAGCATTCAAAATGTAAAAACAAGCAAAACATTCAGGATGCCCTGAAATATATTTTTAGTACTGTTTCTCTTTATTTTGCCATACTTTTAAAATATAAAAACAGCCTTCACAGCTTATACTCCATAACCAGGGAGATTTAGTTCAAGTCTCAGTTCTCCTACCTACCTGTTCCGTAGACTTAGACAAGTTATATAATTTATTTAAGCCTTGATTTCCTCATCTATGAAATCAAGATAATAATCCCATTTTATAAGATTGTTGTGGGGATTAAAAAAATGTGGCATCAAAAATTTTTAGCTTAGCTTTATGTCTGGCACATATTTTTAGTGCTCATAAAAAGGTCATTTATATATATATACACATATATACACACACACACATATATGAGAGAGAGTCGAACATTGTAGAATAGACTGAACACTTTTATTTATAAATGAAACATGCCATTTTTACAAGAGATTGTGTTTCTAGAGGAAGATATTATAAGGCTTCATTTAAAAGATATTTAAAAGATTGCAGTTTAAATGAAGATACCAAAAATATTTACCATCTCTGTGGGTTGGCATTGAAACAAAACGCAACAGGATTATTTCTCTGTTCCCTCAAGGTCAATTGAAATGAGGACATCACACTGTTCTCATTGAGGCGCTGAGCATATTTTGTGTCTCCCATTTAAGATCAGTGATTGCAACTATAATCCAGCCCAATAGAGTCCTTAGAGTCAAAAGGACTGCAAGTAAGCACTTTGGTGGAGTTTCATGGACAACTTTGCTGTGCTTCTGCAACCTTCAGTCGATTTGGGACATGCTAGGATTAGAATCACTGAGGCACATCGGACTGAGTGGATTTTATGATGAGTACAGCTTGAATACTATAGTGAGAACATTAATCACTCTTCGTATGAGACTCCAATTTTCAGAAATGGAAGGTAGAAAATGAGGTTATTATGAGGATGAAGGAGACCTGCTTTTATTTTTTTCAGCAAGAGAAACTCATGCTGGATTTAAGGAAGAACTTCAATGCATGAGTAGTTGGATATTATTTACATTGAAAGAGAGCATCTCTTTGAAGGGAATATTTAAAATATATTTCAAAGTTATTTTTAAGAGATTCAGAATCTGTTTAGTAACACATGGGTCAACTGTTTTTTCTGCCTTTTTTTCCTTCATTTTTTCCTATGTTTAGTTCACAATGCTATGTTTTTCAACTTTGCTTGAAGTTTTATTTTGGCTTCTCGGGTTCATTTTTATTTGTTACAGAATTAAATCATAAATGATTATTTTATTTTAGCTTGTACGTTTTTTAAAGATTTGTTCTATAATTTTCTGACAGATTTCTCAGCCTCTCTATTAAGGAAACTAAGAGTATTAGCACTAATAAAGCAGAATTTTTTTGCTTATTCTGAACATCAAAATTTACTACTTTGTATAGAATGAGTAATGAACTTCTATTTGTTCTCTTTAGGGGTGAATAAAGGCATTTACTTTAGCTACCCATGTCGACGTCACAGCTGTGCCGTAGTAAATATTCCAGCACCTTGTGTCAACAAAATGATTTCACACATCCAAGATGTGGAGTCCAAAATACAGGAGCATTTGAAAAGGGTAAGAGACTAATTTAAAATGCTGATATTTTGGTAAGCTTTATCGACCCTCTAAGGATTGGTTATTTAAAGAACCCAGGAAACTCTGGACTTTTTAAATGATAATTGGAATGCTTTTTAAGAATCTTTGCTCAGTTGCATCATTTACTAGTCTAGACATGTTTTTGATAGTCTCACTCCAGAAGGGTGAAACGACCTTATTAAATCGATGTTTTTTTCCCTACCTGTTTGTTCTTTATCCAGAGGCAATCATGCTAAGTAGTAATTTCCATAAGCCAACTTCACTAGTAAATTAAGTAGTATTTACATACTTTTTGGGACACTAAACTGATTAGATGATTAAATTGGTGTATAAAAGGACAGTGTGCCCTTTTTAATGAGTTGTTTTATTCTAAAGAAATGCTTAATAGTTCTATTGAAAAGGAATATAATGATTCTATGTCTTTTTAACCTGTTAAAAGTTTGCCTTTATTATTCTGAAGGGAGTTCAATCTTGAAAGGCAATTATTTTCAAAGGATGATTTAAGAATGACAAAAAATACCACTTCTCATACCTTTTATTAAGATTATATTTCTGAACAACTAATGCAGAATTAGACTGCTCAAATGGGAGATCAATTTTCCAGAGACCTGTGCTATTTTTTTTTTCTCTCCACTGTTACTGGATCTGGCTCAGCAAACATTCTGATGGGCCACTTACAATTCTCAGTCTAGGATGTCACCTCTTTTGTTAGAGATCATTAGAGTACAGTCTTCAAGATTGCAGGCTTTAGAGTGACCTTAGATGGGAATGAAGAGATAGTGATACTATATTAGAACAAGTACCAGCAAATGATATGCACTCAATATATATTTGTCACTGTTACTTCTATATTATTTATATCATTCTATATCAGCATTGTGTTACCTTTGTTGTTTCTATATTTCTCCAAATCAGATTACCCCTTCAGGAAATGCTTTATAGGTCACAGGACTGATGGTGTCCTGGGCTTTGAAGACTATGGCAAGGAAATAAAGAGCAGAAATTAATATTTGTTGCTATGATATGCTATATACTTCCTATGAGTTTTAATTAACAATTACCCATGTTGTTAAAAATGATAAAAATCATAGGTATTTTAATAAATAATTATAACAACTACCACTTATTAAAATGGTATAATGGTATTTTAATAAATAATTAAAACAGGTATTTTAATAAATAATTATAACAGCTACCATTGATTAAAAAACTAATATAAGTCAGACATTATGTTTTACTACATCATTGCTCTTAGACCTTACAAAACTATTGAATGGTTATTGTTATACCTAATTGATAGATAGGGAAATAGTAGTTTAAAACAATTCAGCAACTTGTTCAAGCTCACAAGGCAGAATTGGGATTCACACACCCTCTGTCTGTTTTCAAAGCCCATATTCTTTCCTGAATCCGACTTGGTGCTCTGAACAGTTGATAAACTGTTAGATACTATGGATAATAGGGCAGGTAAAATATTACCTTAGATAAAATAGTTTACAAAATGAGCCAAGATATTTTATATCTTATCTTTAAAAAAACTGAAAAAAAGAGCTATTCTCATGTAAATATATTGAAAAACCTCAAAAAAGGAGAAGCACCAGAGCTGACTTCTTTACTCTTGTCTTCTGGGGCCTAGATTAGTGCCAGATAAATAGTAGGCACTCAATAACTGTCTGTTGAATAAAAAAGTAAATGAAGATCTAAAACAGAACCTTTCTATTCTGCATACATCTGAGGCACCTATCCACTCCATATGGTAATGGTGATTTATGTACCTAACCTCTCCTATTTTCTAGACATTTAATAAATATTTATTGTTTTGCCCTTTATAGAAATTCTACTGTACAGATGAGAATTCTAGGGCATAGAGAAGTCAAATACCTTATATGTACACATCACACAGGTAGTGAGCACTACAGTTGGAATTTGTACTTAGTTCCATCTGACTCCAAAGTCCATTCAACCTCTGTTTTATATCCTTGGAGAGAACTTAATTCTCATTTAGGAGAATATTAGTTGATACTTTGAGAAGAAACACACAATAACAATGATAGAAAAGTACACTTCTAGACAAAAATTTCAATAATGATAATTCTTTGTTTATGAATAAATAAATACGAGTTTTATCTGAAAGGAGATTCATTATGAAATAAATGCTAATGACAAACTTTCTGTTAATTTTCAAGGTTATTTTGTAGATTTTCTATTTTCTATATTTAAAAATTATCTTATTTTGTTTTATTATTGACTGTGCAGTTAGATTTGCTAGTGTTGAACTGGTAAATAGAACATAAGTACTATGTTTGGTGCAATGATGAGGACTCTCCATTAGATATTTAGTTCAAATCTATGCAGTATTTGAACTAATATTTTAAGAATGAACTGGTGGTCAGCTATCCTTTTGAAAGATGAAAAAATTTTTTCTGACTAACCTATCACAATAAGAAAAAAATCTTCCCATTATCACATGGAAAAAGTGATAATATTACCAAAAAATGTTGGTAATATTAGACAACCTTACATTGACATAGGAACTTAAATTTCCTCAAAAATAAAATTAAGCAGGCACAACTGGAAAGAACTCTTTGAAAGATAGCTTCTGATATTTTGAAATCAAAGCTAATAGCATCTAATATTTCCAAATAAGTAAATAAAGATCATAATTCAGAATTAACCTAAGCATAAATCCTCACGTCACATAAAATGAGTTATGTGTGTAAGAAATATTTAAAATGGCAATCCTCCATCTATTCTCTATATTCATGAGTTCAATTGTTTGGATTTTTAGATCCCACAAGAAAGTGAGAACATGTGATGCTTGTCTTTCTGTGCCTGCTTGTTTCACATTGCATGCCTGGATCAAAACATCACACATTCCCCATAAATATATACACCTACTATGTACCCACAAAAATTACAAATGGAGAAAATTTTTTAAATATTTAAAATGAATAATTACCTGCAGAAAATACTAAATATGAATGTGCGCTGGGTGCATTTTTCCTCCAGAATGTCTGAGGGAAATGCAGAAAAGGGATATTTCTTCTCAACATTTTTGCCACTTAACATTTTACCCAGTAAAGTTGTCAACTGACTGTAACTTTGAGAGGAAGTGGAACATTTTTCTGTCTGTAAATGTATCTGTATATACATATATGTGAATATATATTCATTCATCACCTACAGTCCCAGGCCCGTCTGATAACGTATCTGGTGCTGGGAGAACAACAGGACCACCCTTTCACCAGTTTCCAGGGGTTAGGCAGAGGGCAAAGCAAGGCAGAGGAACAATGCTTGGTGATGATCAGCTGGAGCCTTCACCCCAGTTACATATAATATGTAGTCATCTGTGATTATCATAATGGTTATACAACTCTGTAAATACATTAAAAACCACGGATTTGTATACATTGGTGAACTCTAAGCTATGTAAATTATCTCACTAAAGCTATTATTATATCTGTATATATACATCTCCATCATGAATTGCACAAAATTCTTATTTTGAGTTGTAGATCATCTGAATTCCTTTGGGTTTTAATGTTAGAGGTCAAAGCAAGCAACTGGTTTAATTATCTCTCTAAATTACCCATTATCTCATGTCTTATGACTCTAATTGTTACAAAAGTTTGGTGCAATGATGAGGAAGGACAGGCTGGCCAATGAAGGGCCCAGCAACAAGCAAAAGAGAAAGGGGTATTTGCCAAGTGTAAGTTTATTTAAACCCCTCCTGCTGAGGTCTCACTATGCTGGCCCTGCTCGTCTTGAACTGCTGGCCTCAAACAATCCTCCCTCCTCAGCCTCCCAAAAGGTTAGGATTACAGGCATGAGCTACCACCTGAGGCCCATTAGATAAAATTCTATAAGTAATTATAAAGCTTACATCTACCCTGGGTATAACGTACACTGAATGAGTAAAAGATCAGTCTTTTACAATTTTCTGTCCACAGTGATTTCCAATGTAGTCAGAACACTCTGGACGCCTGTGGTTAGCAGCAACGCATCTGCCACGGACTTTTCTATCCACTCCAGTTTAAGTGCAATTTGAATCTCCACTGAAAAACTCTTCAGAGTGGAGTTACTATGAGAATTTTCCCCATATTTTGTTTTTGCAAAGAATCTGGAAACATCACACAATGATAAAAATAATCATCTGAATATCTTCTCATACAAATAAAAGACTCTTGTTTTATTTTTTTCCTCTACCTTATTCTCTTAGACTGCCTAGACTGTAAATAGTTTTATTTAATTTAGAGTGAGCACTACAGAATTAAAATTTTCCTCTTCATTTAATCAATATCAGTCATTAGGATGCTACTGTAACTTAAAAGAATAACACAGAGAGAAAGCATTTAAAAAACATTCTTTAAAATGTTAACAATATATTGTACAAAATTAATAACATCAACTATGATAATAAAGCTAATATTTATAAAATGATTACCAAATATAGACTTATTAAACACTTAATATGCATAATTTCATTGAATTCTTATTAAAACCTTATTAGATAGAAACTGCCATTATTTCCAGTTGCAGATGAGGAAAATGATTTCAGAGGCTGATTTCTCCCGAGATCTAATGTCAGTGGCAGAGCCAGCATCCAGACCAGGTGTATCCGAGCTCTAAGCACATCCGGTTCAGCACTGTGCCATGACATCGTGTCCTTGACAATGTGTCAGCTATTAAGACCAAAGACATGAATGTTAAAAAGTTTGTCATTCTCATTGGAAAACTTGGCTCTTTTTATACCACTTCATATCTATTTTTTAACTCTGAAACCTAACATTTAACACCTGACTCTTTACTAAGTTTCTTATACTTTGAGTTCTCTCATTCTATTAGTTCTATTGTATTTAACTTGAAACTTATGAGCACTTCAAATGCTGATATATCTGGTTTCCTATTCTGTGGTTCCTATTTTCCTTTAGTTTCTTGCCTAATCAATTAATCTCTCTAAACATTCATCAGTTGGAGTATTTGGTCCTTTACTTTTTATCCTGTCATCCTTCTAGTCTGACAAAATGCCAACCCCAAATATCTCTGATGGTCTGCCATCCCCACTCCCACCCCTGGTCTGCTGAATGGTACTGGAGAACATTACCCAAAATTTAAGATGTTATGTAACCATAGTCTCCACCCTCAGTTGTACATTGTATAGTGCTCTGAAATTATTGTTTGTCAATTGAAATTTTTCTAGTAGTCTGTGGTGGCTACTCCAATGTTTTTTTGTTCAAACCTCTAAATCTTCTACCTTACAGCTCATTTCTTTCTTTGCAAAAAAAAAAAAAAAAAAGGAGCGACAACAGAAATGCTTCAAACTGTTGTTATCTCACCTATGGACATCCCTGAACACAAATATTGTTCTTTTTGTCCCCCACCCACCTAGAGCTGTTCCCCTCACTGCATTGCATATTCTACCTTTGCAAGGATCTTGCTCCGTCAGTTGTGTCTTCTCTCAGCATTCTGTCTTTAAAAAATCTCCTTTTTTTCTTAGCTCCTGTACACATTGAAGATACTGATGTATCTCCTATTTTTAAGAACATTTTAAAATTCTATACAGACCTTTAAATATCTCCCCTTGTCTTTCTTTCTCCATTCCACTTAGCATCTGAAAGTTGTCTATATTTAGTATCTAATTCCACACCTCCCAATCACTCATTTATTCTTTGCAGTCTAGAATTTTTCCCCATTCTAATGAAAATATTTTGAGCAAAGTAACCATTTATCTTTTTTTCTTTTACCTATTGGTATACATGCACATACGTACATATACACATGTACTCCAACACTTTGTGGCTAGAACACAAGCATTTACGTGGTTACAATTCAGCAATTTGTTCTGGACTCAGCTGGGCAGTTTTGCTGGTTCTTGCCTGGGACCAATCATGTGGATACACACATCTGGTAGCACAACTGGGAATAATGATTAAAATGGTCTCACTCACATGGTTGTTGGCTGTTAGAGCGTATTTCAAGAGGATGAATCTCAACAGACAAGTGCTTAACAAAGCTTTGCCTGTGTCATGTATGCTGAAGTCCCGCTGACCAAAGCAAAGCACATAGTCAATCCCACTGTTAATGCAGGAGAGTACTAGAAAAGATGTGGATCCAGAAGACAAGATTCTATGGGAACAATTTAGGTAGCAATCTATCAGTCCATTGCCACATGATTAATACTGCTCCCCAAATGCAAACTACAATGACCTTTTCTTAAAACAGTTTTATATCTTTCTGGTATCATGAATATCCATAATTACATGTTCTGTAACAGATCTGATACAGATGAAGTTCCTTGTGTGCAACTTCTTTTGACCCATAGATCTATGAACTAAAGTGAAAAGTCAAATACTGCTCCTGCATACTTAGTATACACAGTGAAGAAGGGATAGAATAATCACAATAAACCCCTCATTCAAAAAGGGGAAGAATGAAGACATAGGGCTTTCACTGATCCATAAAATTCTGAATTTTATCAGCATATGGTGTCAGGTTCCCCAAATCTAGGACCAAGAAATGTTTTTTTATTAGAACCCAGTTCTGCTCATTGGGAATAATTTATTGGTCTGTGGTCCTCACTGGCTGTTTGATTTACTCTCAACTCTTGGCTCCAGAGGTACTTTCATTTCTGTAGAAAATGGATCTGAGTTCCTATCTCAGACTTCTTCCTGCTTCTTATAAGTTGAGAGCTCAGAAGCTTCTTTGCATTTTCAACTGTCTCTTGGTTTTTAGTCCAAGATGCCACAATTCTAATGAAAACTTTGAAGTTTCGTATGAATCTGATTTGGTTTACTTCCATGCCCCAAAAGCCCCAGCCATATTCTTTTGCTTTATTTGCTTTATTAAAACATACTTTCCTTGAATTAGATAATTATGTTTTATGTTCCTCTAATTTGTTTTTTTTAAATAAAATTTTTTTAGAACACTTTAGACCTACAGAACAATTGAGAAGATAGTGTAGGGAGTTCATGTATATTCTGGATCCAGTTTTTAAAAATATCTCATTAGTATGGTATCTTTGCTGTAATTAATGAACCAGTATTGACACATTTATAATTAAAATTTGTAATTTACTCAGACTTCCTAAGTGATTTTAAAAGTTGAGGTGCAATTCACATCGCATAAAATTAACCATTTTTAAGTGAGCAACTCCGTAACATTTAGTTTATGTAATGTGTAATCACCACTATATTTAGCTCCAAAGCATGTTCACTACTCCAGAATAAAACCCCATATCCATTAAGAATTTACTCCTAATTCTCTTCTTAACCCAAGTCTTGCAACTACCAATCTGCTTTCTTTTGAAATAAATTTTATTGCGTTTATTTGAGGTTTACAACATGCTGTTTTGGGATACATACAGACAGACACATATAGATGGTATAGTAGTACAATGGTTACTATAGTGAAGCCGGCTAACATATCTATGTTAGTCTCATATATTTCACATAGTGACATCCTTGTGACAAGAGCAACAAATACCTACTTATTTAACAAAAATCCCTAATATAATACAATTTTATTAACTTTAGTCCTCATGTTTTACATTAGATCTCTAGACGTGTTCATTTTCCATATCTGCTGCTTTGTATCCTCTGACCTGCATCTCTGCATTTCCTCTTCCCGACTCCCACCTGTGGTAACCACTGTTTCATTCTCTACCTGTGTATTTGAACTCCTTAAAAAAATATATTCCACATGTAAGTAAGGTCATGCAACATTTTTCTGTGTCTGCCTTATTTCCTTTAGTATAATGTCTTCCAGGTCCATTCATGTTGTGGCAAATAACAGGCTCTCCATTTTTTATAAGGCTGAATATTAGCTATATATATATATATGTATATATATACATACAGACATACACACATAAACATATAGACACACATACACATGCATACATGCGTGTATGTGTACATACACAGAGACACAAACACACTCCTACATTTTCTTTATTCACTTATTCATCGATGAACATTCAGGTTGTTTCCATATCTTGGCTATTGTGAATAATGCTGCAGCGAATATGGGTGTGAAGATATCTTTACGAGCTGGTGCTTTCATCTCCTTTGGGTATATACCTAAAAGATGAATTGCTGGGTCATGTGGTAGTCCTATTTTTAATTTCTTTAGGAACCTCCATACTGTTTTCTCTAATGGCTGTACCATTCTACCTTCCCACCAACAGTTGTACTAGGGCTCCCTTTTCTCCATACCCTCACCAACATTTATCTCTTGTCTTTTTTATAGTAGTCATCCTTATGTGTGTGAGAAGATATCTCATAGTGGTTTTAATTTGCATTTCCTTGATGATTAGTGATGTTGAGCACCTTTTTGCATACCTGTTTTCCATTTATATATTTTTTGAAGATACGTCATGTCCTTTGCCCATTTTTAAATCAGGTTATTTGGTTTTTGCTAATGAGTTTAAGAGTTTTTAATACATTTTTCATATTAACTCCTTATCAGATATGTGGTTTCCAATTATTTTTTTCCTAGTATGTAACTGGACTTTTCATTTTTTTTTAGTTTGATGCAGTTCCATTTCTGTATTTTTGTCTTTGAAGTCTGAATTTTTGGTGTGATTCCCAAAAGTTGTTGTCAAGACCAATGTGAAGGAGCTTTTCCTCTATGTTCTTTTCTAGGAGTTTTATGGCTTCTGATCTTAAATTTAGGTCTTTTATCCATTTTGAATTGATTTTTGTGTATTGTTTAAGATAAGAGCCAATTTCATTCTGTTGGTGATAGAAATTTAGTTTTCCCTGCATCATTTATTGAAGAGACTATTCTTTCCTCATTGTGTCCTTTTGATGCCTTTGTCAAAAATTAGTTGTCCGTCTGTGTTTTAACTTATTTCTGGACTCTCTATTCTATTCCATTGGTCTATGTTTTTGTTTTTATGCCAGGACCATACTGTTTTGATTATGATTGCTTTGTAATATAAGTTTAAATCAGGAAGTCTGATGCTTCCAACATTACCTTTTTTCCTCAGTATTGTTGGGACTTTTGGTGTTTTTTTATGGCTCTATATTAATTTTATATTCTTTTTCTATTTCTGTGAAAATAGTCATTGGAATTTTTATCGACATGGCATTAAATCTATATATTGCTTAGAGTACTAGGATTATTTTAGCAATATTAATTCTTCCCATTTGTAAACACATATTTATTCATTTATTTGCATCACGCTCAATTTCTTTCATTAATGTTTTATAGTTTTAGTGTGCAAATCTTTCAGCTACTTGATTAGACTTATTCCAAGGCATTTTATGCTGTTATAAATGGGATTGTTTTCTTAATTTCTTCTTCAGCTAGATCATTATTCATGTATAAAAATGCTACTAGTTTTTGTACATTGATTTTGTATCTTGCAACTGCTGAATTTATTAGTTCTAACAGGTTTTTTTGTGTAGCATTGAGGTTTTCTGCTTATAGGATCATGTCATCTGCAAATAGAGATAATTTTCCTTTTTTCATTTTCAATTTTGATAGCTATATCTATTCTGGATATTAGATATAAATAAAATCATACAATATGTGACCTGCATTTTTTTCACTTGACATAATGTGGGAGGTCGATCCACATTGTAGCATGTTTCAGTACTTTGTTTCTTTTTATAGCTGAATAATCTATTGTGTATATATACAACGATTGGTATCTGTCCATCTGTTGATAGTCATTTGGGTTGTTCCCCTTTGTCTATAGTACAGAGGGCTACTATGAACATGCATGTAGTATATATTATATAATTATATATTATATAAGGATTTGATTAAGTACCTGTTTTCAGTTCTTTTGAGTATATACCTAGGAGTGGAACTGCTGTATCATGTGATGATTCTATATATAACTTATTGAGAAACCATCAAATTATTTTCCATAGCCCAACTGTTTTAAATTCCCACCAGCAATATAAATGTGTTCTAATTTCTTCACATCCTTATTAGCACTTGTTATCGTCCATTAAAAAAAAATTTCTAACATAAGGTTAATTATTTTCTTATTTTTACAGTGGAAAATAGAAGGTTTCATGAATACTTTTTGTCTCAATAATAGCATTAAAATATTTAAATATTTGGTAATAATTTCCAATAAAAATATAGACTTAAATAAACAAGGTCAATGGAAATGTTAGATTTATCAAGCAGAAGTTTGTGGGCAATGTGGCTTAGAGCTGTAAGTAAATGAAGTGTTTCATTTCCCCCATAATGTAATAATATTTTAAACTACATCGAATCGGGCAATTTTAGCTCTCCCTCCTCCTTTGTTTTCATTTGCTATTTTGGTAAAATCAGAAATGAGAATTGTATGGAGTCTTGTAGTTAGTTTGATATAATTGATTATATTAGGTATTTTCATCGAAGCATCTACATAACACAAATGTTTATGACAAGTGAAATTCTAAGCTTAATTATAATCAGGAATTTTATTTAAAATAATGATTTAAAGTGACTTTGATAAACTTCTAAAATTTGTCCAGATTTTTCAGATAGGCAGTTATGAATATAAGACTTCAAATGTTTCTCTGGAATTGTAGGCCTTCTCTGTGTTAACCACTTCAATATCCTGAATAAATAGTATTTAAATGCTAGGTACCAGAAATTTTGCCTCCACACATCAGATCAAAGACTGACTAAAGTAATTTTTTAATTATTTCTTTGTTACTTACTTCTAAACAAAGTTGCTAAGGTAATGTTTTGATATATTACCTTAAAACGTTTCTTCATATGAAATTGCACTCTGCTTCAAAAATTTGGAGTAATAATGTTTTATCTTTATAAAATAAATGATTTTCTATTGAGCTATAAAGATCAAGCTGAGACTATTAATTATTACTAACTTGTTGAGGACTTCAGAAGTTTTGGATAATTATATCACAATTCATTGAAGTGCCTCTTAACCAATTTTCCCCTGACTCTCTTGTGATACTTCAACTTCAAATGGCTTCTTAGAACTGTCACATAAATCAACATCATGTGGATTTCTGCATTATGCAGGACTGTGAATGCCAGTTTCCAAAATCAAGGAATAACATTTTCCTGATTATTAATTAGTTTAGAATCTTATTAACATGCTCACTGAATTTTTATTCTCTTCTCTGCAAAATGCCAATTTATCTTTTGCCACTTTCTTTTGGGTTTACTTGTATTTTCTTATTGACTTTTAGGAACTTGTTACCTTTAGTAAGTTGTATATGTTGTAAACACTTTCTCTCAGTTTGTGACTTGTCTTTTTACTTTATTAATTTTAATGTAATTAAATTTATCACTTTACTTTTGCTTTTAAGTGATTTGTGTCTTGTTTAAGAAAAATTTCCATACCACAATGCTATAACAGTTTTACTTTATAGCTACTAAAATTTTAATTTTTCTTTGGAGATTTGCTCAATAATGTGAAATTGATTTCTTTTTTGCATATGAATGGAATTGATAGCTAATTTTACTAAGGAAAATTAGTTTTTTCCACATTGATTTTATTTCAAATCCAGTCATTTCTTATAAATCAGCCATACCATATCCATCATACATCAAAGTTTCATGTATGATTTTACCTATTTCTGGCCTGTTCCATCCCACTAGTCAATTTTACCTCCCTATGCCAATATCTGCTTTCAGTCATTTACATGAGTCATAATATGTTTTGATATCTCATATGGTACTTCTTTTTACCTTTTTAGAGTTCTTCGGGTATTCTTGATGCAGTGCTCTTCCATATAAATTTTAGAATAAGCTTGTCATATTATATGAAAAAAATCTATTGGGATTTTAAACATAATTGCATTCCTCAGTTTTTTATTATGTACATGAATTTAGTCTTTTTCATTATTTGGTCAATGATGTACCACATATACAACAGTGGTCTCATGAGATTACAATATTGTATTTTTACTGTATCTTGTCTATATTTTGATATATTTAGATACACAAATACATTGTGCTATACTTGCCTACAGCATTCAGTATGGTAACACACTGTGCAGGTTTGTAGGCCAGGGGCAATAGACTATACCATATAGCCTAAGTGTGTAGTAGGCTATACCACTGAGGTTTGTATAAATATACTCTTATGATGTTCGCACAATGACAGAATTGCCTAGCAATGAATTTCTGAGAATGTATCACTGTCATTAGTGACACATGACTATATATGTATATATTAATGTGAATGTGTGTGTGTATACACACACACACACATGCATACACATATATATATATATCATATAATTTTTTTGTTCAGATTTTGGTAGGATATGGGAACTAGAGAGAAGTAATCATGTATGCCAAATAAACATCTTGAATGAGAGATAATCTATGAAACCTGTAACATTCTGGTTTTGCATTTTTGATAATTTATGACTTGTACAACCCAAGGTACTCTTAGAATATATCTGTAGAAAATAACCCTGCCAATGACTTTATAGTCCAGAAAAGGCATAATATTATGGAAAGCTAAATATGTGAACTCAGGTATAATTTTGTATTCACCACTCTTTGGTAACACATTACAATTCAATAGATGTCATGTACTTCTGACTGTTAGGAAAGTCTTTTGGGAATAAATAGCAGTTGAACTGTCCCTTGATGAATGTGTAAGATTTAGAATCACAGAGACAAGGTCAGAACAATTAGGTGGGGTTAAGAATAAAACAATATGAATAGATAGGAGATTTATGTACTTCTTGGGAAACAACTGTAAACCAATAAGTTTATGAGATAGGTCTTAATCAATTTAGAGGTTTATTTTGCCAAGGTTAAGAACCATGGTCCATGGCAGCCTCAGGAGGTCCCAGGAACATGTGCCCAAGGTGGTTTGGTTACAGCTTGATTTTATACATTTTAGGGGGGCAGAAGTTACAGGGAAAGACATAAATCAATACATGCAAGTTATACATTGGTTAGGCCTGGAAAGGTGGGACATCTAGAAATGGGGGCTTCCAGGTCATAGGTGAATTCAGGTTTCCTGATTGGTAATTGGTTGAAAGATATGACTTGCCTGAATTGTTGAATTCACCATTAAAAAAAAAAAGCCAAAGTTCTTGTCATGTAGATGAAGCCTCCAGGTAGCAGGCTTCAGAGAGAATAGGTGGTGAATGTCTCTTATCAGACCTTGAAAGTGTCAGGCTCCCTAAAAAGGACCTAGTAAGGGAAAGAGATTCTCTACAGAATGCAAACTTCTGCCACAAGAGACGGTTTTGCAGGACTGTTTCTGAATATGTCAAAGAAGTATATTTTGGAGTGAAATACTTTGATTTCTTTCAAGGCCTGTTATCTGTCATGTGATGCTATATCAGAATCAGGTGGGAATTTGGTATATTATTGCTACAAAGAGTCTTTTTTGTTTATCTTAAGATTTCTGTTTTAATTTTAATGCTGGTCTGTTGTGTCTAGATTACAAAGGCAGGAGGTTATAATGAGGCATGTCTAACCCCCTTTCCTATTCATGTCCTTAACTAGCTTTTTAGGTTTCTTTGGGGTCCCCTTGGCCAAGAGTTGGGGGGACCTACTCAGTCAGTTGGGGGGGCTTAGAATTTTATTTTTGGTTTATACAACCGAGAGTATAAGTACACAAAAATATAATGAAGTAGAGATATGTAAAGTAGAGAATTGACAAGTTTAAGTGACATTTATTCAGTTTTTTAATATGTTTAAGATTTGATTTTTATTGAGATCTTTTGTTTTGACAGTTTGAAACTTCTTTTGAAGAATGGTAAGAAAATTTCATGCTTTTTAAAACTATTTTATTTTTAATGTCCAAATTTCAATCATCTGCTATAATCCAGTTTAACTTCAAAAGGAATAGAAAATCGAATGCAAGATTTTTCACAATAGATATTGCAATATATTTTTTAAAATATAAGAATGAGGACATCACTGATAATGGCAAACTAGAGATCTCCAGAGCTCCACCCCTCCACAAAAACAACTATAAAATTTGCAAAAACATCAGTCAGAATCGACTTTTACAGAAATCTGGAATCCAGTAAAAATTTAATAACCACTAGGGGAAAATTCAATGAAGAAGGAAGCTGCTTCATTGCATTAAGAGAGCACTGTGGCATTGTAATTTGCCTGCTCAGCATTCTCCAGCCTTCAGACTGGTGGCAGCTATGAAGAGAGCAGTGTACACCTATGGTGCAGATTCCTAGTGCCAGAGGGAATAATAGGAACATCATTCTCAAAGAATTGTGTTTGAGTGATCTGATAGCTCCCAGAAAGACTAGCATAAGGACTTTGCTTGACTTGGAGGAATCACAAGGCTGGGGCTACTTACAGGCAGTGTTTGCAAAAAGCATTTAAAGGCATATACTTGCCATAGCAGCCTGAGGCTATAGATAACAGCTAGGACAAGCATTAACCAGACGAAAATTCCTGTGAAAAAATAGGTTGGAAAAAGAGATAGATACATGAAGGAAAATCTCTCAATATACTGGAGATTTGATAGAACACAGAGGGCTGGAAAAATGTTCAAAAAAGACTTGAGAAGATCCTAATCTTACTTCTGGCTGACCTTTAGGATCTGCATGGGCAGGAATTGAAGACAGAGTCAGGGTTTAAACAGCCTGGGTAAGCCTCGAAGGATTACCCTAACACAGACCAAATCTGCCAAGATTGGAGAGTATTGTTTTTCTTTTTCCTTTCTTTTGTTGCCAGCCATTTAAGTGAACTCACACAAAACACTAGCTCACCAGTAAGCTAAGGAAACAGATTTCAGTGATTACACATGACAAATAATACAGCCATTATGAAAGAGTGTTTGGAAGAGTCACTAAACAAACAATAACCCACTACAGACAGAAAAAGCAAATCCAATAGTGTAATCTGGTTTTTATTTCACATTAAAATATTCAAAATGTCCAATTTTCAAAAAGTAAATATGAAGAATGCAAAGAAAAGAAAGCTTGGGTCATTCACAGTGAAAAAGGATAAATTAACATAAACTGTTCTCAAGGGAACCCAAAATTTGGACTTACTGGACAAAGATAAATCAATTGACTTAAATATCTTCAAAGAGATAAAGGAAACCATGAACAAATAACTAAGTTAAAGCAGAAAAGTGATGTTTCAACAAATATAAAATCTCAATTAGAGAAATTATAAAAATTAACCAAATAGAAATTCTAGGCTGGGTGCGGTGGCTCATGCCTGTAATCCCAACACTTTGGGAGGCCAAGGCGGGTGGATCATGTCAGGGATTCAAGACCAGCCTGGCCAATATGGTGAAACCCCGTCTTTACTAAAAACAAATACAAAAATTAGCTGCGCATGGTGGCCTGCACTTGTAGTCCCAGCTACTCAGGAGGCTGAGGCAGGAGAATCACTTGAACCCGGGAGGTGGAGGTTGCAGTGAGCCAAGATCGTGCCACTGCATTCCAACCTGGGCGACAGAGTGAGACTCTGTCTGGAAAAAAAAAAAAAAAAAAATTCTGGAACTGAAAAATAAACTAACTGAAATTAAAAACTTCACTAGAAGGGTTCAGTAGCAGCTTTGAGCAGTCAGAATAATCAGTGAATTTGATGATAAGTTAATAGAGATTATCTAGTCTAAGAAACAAGAAAGACAAGAGAATAAAGAAAAATGAAAAGTGCCTAATAAGCCTAAGGGATACCATCAAGCATAATAGCAGTCAAAAAGTGAGAAGAAAGGGCTAGAGAATGAAAAAATATTTGAAGAAACAATGGCTAAGAAACTCTTCAATTTGATGAAAGACTTAAATCTATGCATCCATTAAACTCAATGAACTCCAAATAGAATCAAGTCAAACAGATCCACACCCATATACATTTTAGTTAACTTGTCAAATGCCTGGGACAAAGAGAATCTGGAAAGCAGCACAAGAGAAGCAACTTTTCATGTACCAGGGACCCTCAGTACGATTAACAGTGAATTGTTCATTAGGAATTGTGGAAGTCAGAATGCAGTGGGGTGACATATTTAAATGCCAGAAGAAAAAAAAGAAACTGTCAATGAAGAATTCCGAATCTAGCAAGAGTATCCTCAAAAATAAAGGAGAAATTAAGACATTCTCAGATAAACCAAAGGGGTGTATCACTAGCAGTCCAGTTCTATAAGAAATCCTATAAGTAGTCTTTCAGGCTGAAATGAAACGACACTAGAGAGTAACTGGAAGCCATATGATAAAATAATAAACAATAATAAAGGTAACTACAAAGGTAAGTATAAAATCCAGTATAAGTGTATTTTTGTTTTGTAATTCTTATTTGTTTCCCTATATGATTATAAGGTCAAATGGATAAAATTCATAATTATAAATTTATGCAAATGAACACAAAATGGATAACTATGTAATTTGTGAAATTGACACCATAAGAGAAAGAGCAGAGACATAAAGGAACAGAGTTCTTTATATATAAATAGATAGGTATACTATTGAAGCTACATTGATTTTAATTCAAGTTTTATAGAGTTAAGATATTAATTGTAATCCTCAGGATAAACACTAAGATTCTATTTTAGACAGTACAGGAAAACAAAGAGGGAAACTAAACAATATATAGAAAAAAATCAACTAGTTACAAATAAGGCAGTTATGGAGGAGTTCAGAAATAAATAATATAGAAAATGAATAGCAAAATGGCAAAAATAATCCCTTCCTTATCAGTAATTACTTCTTATATAAATGGATTAAACTCTCCAATTGAAAGGTAGAGCATGGTAGAATGGATAAGAATAGATAATCCAACTATTCTGTCTATGAGAGTCTCACCTGAGATACAAAGACATAAGTAGCTTAAAAGTGGAAGGATGAAAAACCATATTCCATGCAAATAGTAAGTAAAAGAGAGCTGGAGTGACTATACCAATATCACACAAAATAGGCTTTAAATCAAAGCCTGTTACAGAAGACAAAAGACTTGATACACTGATAAAAGTGTCATTCCACCAAGAAGATATATAAACTATAAATATAACACACCTAACAATATAACCTCAAAACAGACATATAAACTAACAGAATTGAAGGGAATAATAGACTGTTCTACAACAGGACTTTGAGAATTTAATGCCCCCACTTCCAATAATGGATAAAAGAACTAAGCAGAAGATCAATAAATAAATAGACTTGAATAACATGAACCAACAAGACCTAACCAGTTTATACAGAATACTCCACTTAACAACAGCAGAAAACACATTCTTCTCATGTGCACATGGACCATTCTTCAGGATAGATCATATATTATGCCACAAAATAAATCTCAATGAAACGAAAAAGATCAAAATTATACATGGTATTTTTTTCTGACCCAATAGAATGAAACTGGAAATCAATAACAAATGGAAAACTGGAAATTTCATATATATGTGGAAATTAAACAAATCATGTTTTACAAACCAATGAGTCAAAGCAGTAATCACAGGGGAAATTAGAAAACACCTTGAGGTGAGTGAAAATGAAAACACAATGTATTTAAACTTACGAAATGCAGCAAAAGTAGTCCACAGAGGGAAATTTAGAGCTATAAATGCTTACATTTAAAAAGAGGAACTCAAATCCAGTAACCTAACTTTATACCTTAAGGAAGCAGGAGTATGCTAAACCCAAAGTTAGCAAAAGGAAGGAAATAAAGGTTAAAGTAGAAATAAATGAAATAGAGGCTAGAAAAACAGTACACAGAATCAATTAAAACAAAAGGTTTTTCTTTGAAAAGAGCAATGAAATTCACAAACCTTTAGCTAAACTAACCAAAAATAAAAAGAAGACTCAATTACAAATTAACTAAAATAATATAAAAACTGGGACACTACAACAGATTCTGCAGAAATAAAGAGGATTAAAAGAGGATACTAGGAACAAATGGGTATCAACAAACTAAATAACGAAGATGAAAGGGACTAATTCTTAAAAACACATAAACTACTAAAACTGTCTCAGGAAGGGGTAGAAAACCTGAACAGAACTATGACAAATAAAGTGATTGAATCAATAATCAAAAATTTCCCCAACAAAAAAAATCTCAGGACCAGATGGCTCCACTGGTAAATTCTACTAAACATTGAAAGAAGAATTAACATCAGTCCTTCTCAAACTCTTCCAAAAAATAGAAAAGAAGAGAATAATTTCTAAGTCATCCTATGAGCCCAGCAATAACATGATAGTGAAACCAGACAAAGACATCAGAAGCAAACTATAGAATATATCTGAATATACATGACAGGCCGGGCACAGTAGCTCACAACCTGTAATCCAAGTACTTTGGGAGGCCAAGGCAGAGGATCACTTGAGCCCAGAAGTTTGAGACAAGCCTAGGCAACATAATCAAAACCCATCTCTACAAACAAACAACAACAATGAAAAAATGAGCCAGGTGTGGTGGCGCATGCCAGTAGTCTTAGCTACTCCAGAGACTGAGTTTGGAGGATTGCTTGAGCCCAGGAGGTCAAGTTTACAGTGAACTGTGATTGTGCCACTGTACTTCAGCCTGGGCAACAAAACAAAACAAACAAACAAAAAATGACAAAATCCTCAACAAAATACTATCAACCTGAGTCCAGCAATGCATTAATATAATTATACGGCCGGGCACAGTGGCTCACGCCTGTAATCCCAGCACTTTGGGAGGCCAAGGCTGGTGGATCACCTGAGGTCAGGAGTTTGAGACCAGCCTTGCCAATATGGTGAAACCCCGTCTCTACTAAAAATACAAAAATTAGCTGGGTGTGATGGCGGGCGCCTGTAATCCTAGCTACTTGGGAGGCTGAAGCACAAGAATCACTTGAACCTGGGAGGCAGAGGTTGCAGTGAGCCAAGATCGCTCCACTGCACTCCAACCTGGGCGACAGTGAGACTTTGTCTCAAAAAAACAAAGAAACAAACAAAAACTATACACACACACACACACACACACACACACACACACATCATGATCAGTGAGATTTATCCTAGAAATGCAAGAGTGGTTTAGCATACGAAAATTAGTTAACATGTGACACAAGCCCACACCTTTAGTAAAACTAGATTGTAAGGGAACTTTATTAAACACAATAAAGGATATTTATGAGAAACCCTTAGTTTATATTATACCTGATGGTGAAGACTGAAAGTTTTTATCTTAAGAACAGGAGCAAAACAAGGATGCCCACTCTTTCCACTTTTCTTCAACATTAGAACCCTTGCATATTGCTGGCGTGAATATAAAATAGTTTAGATACCGAGAAACAGTTTGTCGGCTCCTCAAAAAGTGAAACCTAGAATTACCTATCACTCAGCAATTTGACTGCAAGATATATACCCAAAAGGATTCAAAACATGTTCAAACAAAAACTCATATACAAATGTGTATAACATCTATATTCACAATAGCCAAAAGGTGGACACAATCCCCAAATCCATCAATGGATTAATAGATAACCAAATGTGTTGTATATACACAATGGAATATTATTCCACCATTAAAAGAAATAAAATTCTTCTACATACTGCAACATGGAGAAATCTTGAAACTATTATGCTAAGTTAAAAAGTCACGAAAGGTCACTTATATGATTACATTTCTATAAAATATTCATGAAAGTTCATCCACAAAGACAGCAGATTAGTCATTGCTATGGGATAGTGGGTTGAAGAAAGGGGAGAGACTGCTTAATAAGTAGCATATGTTCTTTTGGAGTGATGAAAATATATTGGAATGAGATGGGATGATAGTTGTACGATGTTGTGAATGTATTAAATGCCACTAAAGTTTCCACTTTCAAATGTTTAATATGTTATGAGACTTTGGCTCAATTAAAAAAATAGAAAAATTAGCATAGAATTTTACTGGTCCAAGAATTAACCGAACTTTAGAAGATAATACACAAAATGATCTAATTATGTATAATAATTTACTATATCATGTAAATGGTATTAAGCCAGCAGGGAAAGTACTATTTAATAGTTGATGCTGGGACAATTATTTTTCAATTTTTTAAAAGAAAAATCAGAAAAAATATACTTTTCAACAAAAATATTCTGAAATAAATATGAAAACTAAAGGAAGAAAATATAAAGGATATTTCTCTGACCTTGGAATTGACAGAGTTACCTAGATAAGTTGTGGAACAATGACAAGAAAAATAATTTGTAGCCATTAGAAATATGAAATGGTAGTAAAATACACTGAAAATAATTTCAAGTAACTAAAGCAGAATGTATAATTGTGACTCTAATTTTATAAGAATTAAAATATCATTAGACTATTCTATTTGATCTCTGAAGAATAAATATGGATTATATTATTTTTTATGATTTTTGGTATGTATACAGTTTTCTTAATTTAGAATACTTCTTTAATAAAAAATAATGTAATGAAAATTTCAAAAAGAAATTCTCTGCTTTGTTGTTGATACCAATTTTCTTGTAACTTTGATCAGAGAAAAAACACTTTTAAAAAATGTATAATGAAGGCTAGTTTAGGATTCTAGAATCACACCAGAGAAAGATGGAGAAATAGTTTATTATTCAACATACAGAATTTTAGCTAGAAAGGAAATAACATTTTAATTTATAGTCACCTCTCAAGACACTACAGTTTAGTGTTGTCCAGTAGAACTTTCTATGATAATCAATGTTCTATATTTGTACTTTCCAACAGTATAGCTACTAGGAAGGAAACAACATTTTAATTTAGATATTTTTCTAAAAGTTTATTATCTGAAATGATATTTTTACTCATTGTAATTTACATTGATTTCCCAGGCACTACTGAACTGAAATTACAGAAATCATTCATCCAAATTATTCTCACAGAATACCCTTTGTCTTACAGAAACACTTTCTAGGAATGACCAATTTCTTTAAAAAAATGTAGTTTTAATATCTTCTCAAGACATTTTGGGTCATTTGTAACTAATTTTAAGTTTTTATTAATTTACCGTTAAGTGTAAATCCCATTACCTATTAGAATTTTGCTATATTAGTCTCCTATCTAGTAAGATTATCTTGTATAGTAAGTTTCACCACAAATATTTAAAATTCAATAGAAGAGCATAACCTAAAATTTGTTTTACTAACTTTAAGTACTTCTTTACTGCTTGCTTCTTTCCCATTATATAGGAGCAGAACTTCTTCCACAAAAGACCTGAAAGAAGATTGGAGTGTAACTACACCAGTGAAAGAGGTCAAACCAGGAGAAAAGAGAGGTAAAGTTGTTCCTCCTACTTGAATAACTGTATATATTTAAAAGTTCATTGACTTCATTTAATATATTTCTGATTGTCACAATAATCATGTTTAAGAATTTTATAATTATTATGAATGTTTAATAGACAAAATAGTCCTCTATATCATTTGATTAAGCATTCATTCAACAAATATTTATTAGTGAATATTATACACCAAGTACTGGTTTAGGTGATGAGTGTATAATGATGGCTATCCACTTCTCAAGAAGCTATTTGTAGTTTAGTGTTGCCCAATAGAACTTTCTGTGATAATCAGTATTCCATGTGTATATTGTCCAGTAGAATAGCTACTAGCCACGTACAGCTGTTGAACCTTTGAAATGTGGCTAGTAAGACTGAGGAACTTAATTTTTAAGTTTAATGTGAATTAAGTTGCATATAAATGTAAATGGTTGCATGTGGATGATGACTACCATATTGAAAATTGCAGTTCTAGTATATATTTAAGTTGTGATAAATATTCTTATCACAATTTATAAAATATATATTTTATATACAGGTATAAAATTTGTGTTAACACTACTTCAGTGTATTTAAATATATTATTGAGATTTTATGTAGTACCTCCTCTTCCCCTACCACAAAAAATTGCTAAATCCTTGAGTGAAAACTAAGTAATAAACTCAGGACTTTTTAAAAGCAAGAATATTTTGTTTTTCAAAGCTTTCATTCATAGCAAAGCTTTGTTTCTACTGTTTTATTTTTCATTATTTGTGCCTATAGTGAAAACGAGGACCTTAATCATTACTTATCAAGTTTTCACATAACAAATGCTGAGAAAAAATAGATATATTAACAATCACAACTACAATTCCATTAGCTACAATTATGTTTATTATCAGTATGTACATTTGAGGTCTAAAACATACAGCAATAGCAGGATGAGGAAGATTTGTTGTAATCAAGGCCTTATGCTAAAAAATTGCAGGTAGTTGCTTAGAACAGTAATATGAAACTGCAAAACTGAGATGGCACTCAAGAAAAAAAAATGAGATGTTAAATACAATGAATTTGAGGCATCTCAAGTTACCTATACGGCATTTGTTTTGGAATTTATTATTGAAATAGTATAAAAGACAGCTCCTAGAAACATAATGAACACCTTTGCTAAAACACATATATATTCAATCAGAAGTATTTTAATTATAAGTGGTATTAATTTATTCATATATTCCAGACTGAAATCTTGTTATTGTAATTGATATGAATCACAAATTGGCTGGAGAACAAGTGTTGAGTGAATATGTTTTCATTTAAAAAAGACAATTAATTTTAAAGTATCCAAGATGTGGTAGAATTTGACAAAAGAAAACAATAGATTCAAAGATGCCAAATAAAGGACCAGTGTAGAGAAAATCATATTTATGCATTAAAAATAGGGAAACCGGTTTTATAAGAATGCTTCTGAGGCAGCATGCTGGATTTCTTTGACAAGTCCAATGGGTTAAAAAATAGTGATTGTATGACTGCTGAGCTTGCGCTTATCACCGTTATTTAATACTCCCATCTAGCAGAAAATCATTGTCTTTATTGTCCAAAAGCAACATAAAAAAGAAATGTATTCGTTTTCTTTCTTCTTGGTGCAGTTTAGCTATTTTTCCTCTAGCCTCAGTTCTTTCGGGGCCTTATTTCTTAACACTTTGTATTTATGTGTTTATATAACATTTTGGCAAAAGTCAGTGTTTATAGGCATCAGTCCTACAAGGATAGGACTCATATCTGTCTTCTTTACCTTACTTATCTCCAGCAAAGACCATGTGCTTGTTCCCGGAACGTAATGGGCTCTACACATTTATTTCATAAATGGTCAAATGAGTACCCATGGTAATAATTTTGTTAACATTAAGCCGCATCATTCCAGAACTGTGAACCAGGAATCACAAATATCTCTCATTAAAGGAGTTAATTGAGGATTAATTTAGTATTACAACTAAATAAATAGAGTTTCAAAATTCCAATGAATTCCTGGCAAAGCTAAGTAGAGAAGTTCTTATTGGATGAGATTGAAGAATATGTCTTGTTTCTAGGAACCATTATGATTATTCAGTATTTACCTGATATAATCATTATGATATGTTTTTCTTATAGAATAGGAGGACACACAAGCATGATTTTAAAATAAACCTCTATAGTACAGCTTATAAATAGCACATGTGTTTTTTCCTTCAGATAAAATGGTATTATTCCTGAAAATATTGGTTGAGATTTAGCTATTGTAATTATTTTATAAAATGTTTATTAAAAATAGGTCTTCAAAGTTTATAATTAATCTTATATTTGTATTATAATAAAACTTTTTTAAAAGGTAATTCATTTTTCTAACATTCTCTTATTAAATATATAGAAAAATATAATAATACAACTAAGGCCCATGTTCCCATCATCCAGCTTATTGACTGATTTATTAACAAATGTGAATATTTATTTCTGTTTAAGATGAAAAGTGTCCAGAGTTAAAGCAGGAAATGGAAACATTGCTCTCAGAGGCCATTCGTCTCATTAAAAGTCTAGAAACTGACCGGGCAGACGCTGAAGAAGCTTTAAAACAACAGAGATCAAGAAAGAATATGATTAACATGAAAATTGACTCTTGGTCAGTCTGGAAACTTCAAGAACTCCCATTGGCTGTGCAGAAAGGTAATAATAGGGATTTTTATATTACTTCTTATTCTGTTGGGGGCACAGATAATTAATTACAGGTCTGTATATTTTTAAAAAAATTGTCTTAGTGCCATGGCTCATGCCTGTAATCCCACGCTTTGGGAGGCTGGGGATGCGGATCACTTGAGCCCAGGAGTTCGAGACCAGCCTAAGAAACGTGGTGAAAACCTGTCTCTACAAAAAATACGAAAATTAGCCAGGCGTGGTGGTGCTCGCCTGTAGTCTCAACTACTTGGGAGGCTGAGGTGGGAGGATTGATTGAGCCCAGGAGATTGAGGCTGCAGTGAGCCCCAGGTGATAGAGTGAGATCCTGTCTCAAAAAATAAATAAATATCACCTGTTTAGAGTGACCATATTGTTTTGCATATAAACCAGCACTTTTGAAAGATGTTATTGAAGATAATGCTGGGTTCACAGATAAAAACTGTGAGACTGCACTGGACAAACCTGGACCTGATGTCCTTTGGGTCTGTTAGAAATCCAGTAGCATTTATGGTACCCACAGAGCATGCAAACATTTGGCATATATCCTATAATGACTACAGTATTTGAATTTCTAGAACTTTAGGAATTTAAAGTGATTGCCAGTTGGTGTCATTAGCCACATTTTTAGGTCTAGGAAAATTGAAAGAGTTTTAAGTGATATTTTAGGCACTAAATGCGTATGCTTTTGAGAATTTAATAGTAAATTTGCCTTGGGAACTTCTAGCAGGTATCAAAACCTAAAATGTTTCTAAGAGTCATGCAGGTAGCAAGTGTTTTACCTTTAACGAAAGGTAAAAAAGGAAATTCTTTTAGCTCACAGAGTGAGGGACCTATGGTGAAGGATTAAAGAATCTAAAGGTATTGGATTTTGTTTGTTTGTTTGTTTGTTCTACAAACCCTGTACCTATGAAAACATGCCTGACTTCCTGATTCTGCCTGAAGCTGAAAGATTTTTACTCTCTCATAGGATAAAAATTTTAATTCAGGATGCACATGTTTTGTAAGAGCTTTTTTATTAATATTAGGGTGCCCATATATGATCTATCATTTAAACCAAGAAATCTTCCAGAGAAAAAAGGGACATTATTAGTTATTACCCAGACCAACAGCCATTAATTCAAATTATAGGTCATAGTGTACTCATATTTAGACTTTTGTTATAATTTTATGTCTTCTAAAGCTGTAGTTACCAAAGTAGGGTGTATGAATTCCAGAGAGTTGCAAGAAAAGATTAGAACTTTTATATATATTTGTAAATTTTATCATTTTTGAAATTTTCTTTTTGAATAGAATTTGTACTGTGTATGCTCCACTAATATAGTAGATTTATATAATTTATAAATATATGTGTGTGTGTGTGTGTGTGTGTGTGTGTGTGTGTGTGTGTGTGTGTGTGTGCTTTAGAGGCAATGAGGCTACCATAGGGTCAGAAAAGACACCCTGGGAAATTCTGGATCCCAGTAGATTCTTGATAGACTCTGTTCACAACAACAGGAGTCATGCACAATTTTCCTAATTGTTTGGGAGGTTCTTCCCTGTTAGTAGTAGTAGAAAAAATATGGAGGGAAGGTTTTATTTAATTGTTTGCTGATAAATTTACATATAATCTCATATACCCTTTGTAATAGTGCTTAGGTATTGTAGTTTTAGGAGTTCTAGAAATTGAGATACATATGTGCACATTATAGGTACTTAATAAATACGTTTTGAACTATGGAATAAATATTTGTTATGGGTGACAACTTATTGTTGGGTTACCTTTTAATCAATACAAGATCTACTTAGAAAACAGATTTATGTTCGTCTGCGTTATTTTACGTAAGTAGCCACTATATGCAATGAAATTTAAATTCATTATTGTTATGTATTTTTTTTTTTTTTTTTTTTTTTTGAGACGGAGTCTCGCTCTGTCGCCCAGGCCGGACTGCGGACTGCAGTGGCGCAATCTCGGCTCACTGCAAGCTCCGCTTCCCGGGTTCACGCCATTCTCCTGCCTCAGCCTCCCGAGTAGCTGGGACTACAGGCGCCCGCCACCGCGCCCGGCTAATTTTTTGTATTTTTAGTAGAGACGGGGTTTCGCCTTGTTAGCCAGGATGGTCTCGATCTCCTGACCTCATGATCCACCCGCCTCGGCCTCCCAAAGTGCTGGGATTACAGGCGTGAGCCACCGCGCCCGGCCGTATTTTTTAAAGTTAATAGCTTTCTCTTTGAAACATATTCCTTTCAGGTAATGTGTTCTCGGGAATCTTCTGCCTTTATATTATTTATGTAGAATATAATCTCTAAATTTTATGAATTTGTTTACAAAGTATAGAGACATATATTTTTATAGTCTTTAGATTCTCAAAAGTATATAGCATGTAAGACAGGAAAAAATTGTAATCTCCTTAACAAACTTAATGTTAAGTATTATATTTGTTATAAATTTAGATACTTTTCAAAAATAAAATTAAGGAAACTCACTTCTTTCTAGATATTTTCTGGTCAGTCTTCCAGATTTATCTTTCCCCTCAACTCCCCAATCCCACTTAGATTTTTTGTTTTGTGGGCCAGGAGGCTGATTCATAGTGGACTGCATCAAAGATTTTGTTTGCATTCTGTCTTCCTGTTGGGCTCAACCCATGGGAATCTGTGGCAAGAGACCATGGGGAGATAATGGAGATGGGTGAGGCAGGGGAATTTATAGCACTGACTGCCCCACTCTCCATCTGGTCACTTTAAGCTGACTGCATGCCTCTCCTGAAAATGACAGCCCTTGCCATCCAACGTGTAGCCAATTAACTAGCAAATGCTTTTTGTTTTTCCTATCAAAAAAGATAACTAGAAATAAGCTTACCATCATGAATTTGGTAGTATATGATCCTACAAATTAAAAGTTGGATATGCATAGCAGTTTTCCCTTGCAAAATAAAAGAGTACCTATATTATATTATACCCAAACATTATCTGAAGACACAAGTAAACTTGTGACTCAGGCTCCTCAGGTATTCCCATCGTACCTGCTTCTATATATTACCTGTCTTTCCCATAATCTACACTATGGCTCCATGGGTATTTTCCTATAATGATCTGATGAAAGAGGAAAAAAAAAATCACAGCTCTGGTTTCTGAATGAATTTGAATAGTATGTAGACATAATTTGGAGAATTACTGCATTCCAGTCACATGATGGGAAGGGTGAAAGCTAATCACCCCAGGGGGTGAGACAGAAAGGGTGTAATCAGAAAGGACAGATTACAAAGATAATTATGTCCCATATATATGCTCACCAGAATGCCACTGCTATGGAAGAAGGTCTCAGTAATTAATGGAATGTTAAATCTTCCATTTTGTTTTGAATTGTTTTGTCTTTGTTAATTATTCAGTTATTCAGTTATTACTACAATTGTGCTTTGTAACAACCACCTTGGAACTCAGTGGCTTACAACAATAAGCATTTTCTTATTTGCTGATGGCTCTGTGAGTTGGCTAGGGAAGCTCTTCTTCAGGCCGCAGATCCAATTGCGCTGGCTCAAGGCTGTATGTTGGGTTCAGGTCAGCTTCATGTCTCTCTCATCCTCTTTGGCTAGCACCTTCCCAGGAGTATGGTTTTCATGTGGCAAATGGCAAGAATACAAAAGGGTGAATAGAAACGTAGGATGCTGCTCAAAGTGTCAGCTTGGAACTGGCATACCTTCACTTCTCACATCCATTTGGAGATACAATTCCAGTTGAGATTGGGTGGGGACACAGCCCAAATAAGTATCACATCCAAAACAAGAATCTATATGATAAGAAATTATCTCTATCCCAAGGGAGAGGGTAGTGAACAACATATCTATCATATCTTGCTTATTATATATATCATGTCTTGTTTCTTATAACTATTCCTGATATTCTATGGTTTCAACATATTTCATAGTAATCTCATCTTCAATTGTTAATTATTTATTCTGTAGAATTCCAATAAGCCTTGATTACTTGAAACATATCATATTGTTTCTTATATATATCATATCTTGTTTCTTATAACTATTCCTGATATTCTATGGTTTCAACATATTTCACAGTAATCTCATCTTCAATTGTTAATTATTTATTCTGTAGAAGTCCAATAAGCCTTGATTACTTTTTGCCTCTACTAGAATCCTAGAAGTTTCACTGGTTCTAGATCAGTTATCTTACTCATTTCTTAGCTGAATTTTGATCTCTAAACCTTCTTAAGTTTCAAGTTAGAGTTTTTCATTTCCTTGAAGTCATTATTTTTCTACCCAGGGTCATTTACTGAGTTTTTTTTAATCCATGCCAAACTGTTTAAGCCCAAAGTTGTCAGTAAATTTTTAATAGGTAAATCAATTTGTTTCCTAGTTTTAGGTCTGTATCAGTTTGTTTTCATACTGCTGATAAAGACATACCTGAGACTGGGAAGAAAAAGAGGTTTAATTGGGCTTCACAGTTCTACATGGCCAGGGAGAACTCAGAAAATCACAGCAGGAGGCTAAAGGCACTTCTTACATGGTGGTGGCAAGAGAAAAATGAGGAAGAAGTAAAAGTGGAAAAACCCCTGATAAACCCATCAGATCTCATGAGACTTATTCACTAACATGAGAATAACATGAGAAAGACTGGACCATGTGATTAAATTACCTCCCCTTGGGTCCCTCCCACAACATGTCAGAATTCTGGGAGTTACAATTCAAGTTGAGACTTGAATGGAGACACAGCCAAACTATATCATTCTACTGGCCCCTCCAAATTTCATGCCCTCATATTTCAAAACCAGTCATGCCTTCCCAACTGTCCCCCAAGTCTTAACTCATTTCAGCATTAACCCAAAAGTCCACAGTTCAAAGTCTCATCTGAGACAAGGCAAGTCCCTTCTGCCTATGAGCTTGTAAAATCAAAAGCAAGCTAGTTACTTCCTAGGTACAATGGAGGTATGGGTATTGGGTAAATACAGCTGTTCCAAATGTGAGAGATTGGCCAAAACAAAAGGGTTACAGGGCCATGCAAGTCCAAAATCCAATGGGGTAGCCAAATTTTAAGGCTCCAAAATGATCTCCTTTGACTCCAGGTCTCACATCCAGGTCATGCTGATGTAAGAGGTAGGTTCCCACAGTCTTAGGCAGCTGCACCCCTGTGGCTTTGCAGGGTACAGCCTCCCTCATGACTGCTTTCATGGGCTAGTGTTGAGTGTCTGTGGCTTTTCTAGGCACATGTGCAAGCTGTGGGTGGATCTACCATTCTGGACTCTGGAGGATGGTGGCCCTCTTCTCACAGCTCCACTGGGCAGTGCCCCAGTAGGGACTCTGTTGGGGGCTCCAACTCCACATTTCCCTTCCTCAGCACCCTAGCAGAGATTCTTTATGAGGGCCCCACCCTTACAGCAAACTTTTGCCTGGACATCCAGGCATTTCCATACATCTGAAATTTAGGCGGAGGTTCTCAAACCTCATTTCTTGACTTCTGTGCACTCACAGGCTCAACACCATGTGGAAGCTGCCAAGGCTTGGGGCTTCCACCCTCTGAAGCCACAACCCGAGCTCTATGTTGGCCTCTTTCAGCCATAGCTGGAGTGGCTGTGACATAGGGCACCAACTCCCTAGGCTGCACACAGCATGGGGACCCTGGGCCTGGCCCACAGAACCACTTTTTCTTCCTGGGCCTCCAGGCTTGTGATGGGAGGGTCTGCCATGAAGGTGTCTGACATGGCTGGAGACATTTTCCCCGTGGTCTTGGGGATTAACATTAGGCTTCTTACTACTTATGCAAATTTCTGCAGCCAGCTTGAATTTATCCTCAAAAAATGGGTTTTTCTTTTCTATTGAATCGTCAGGCTGCAAATTTTCTGAACTTTTATGCTGTTTCCCTTTTAAAATGGAATGCTTTTAAAAGCACCCAAGTCACCTCTTGAGTGCTTCGCTGCTTAGGGTTTCTTCCACCAGATATCCTACGTCATCTCTCTCAAGTTCAAAGTTCCATATATCTCTGGGGCAGGGGCAAAATGCCACCAGTCTCTTTGCTAAAACATAGCAAGAGTCACCTTTGCTCAAGTTCCCAACAAGTTTCTTATCTCTGTCTGAGACCACCTCATCCTGGACCTTATTGTTAATATCACTATCAGCATTTTTGTCAAAGCCATTCAGCAAGTCTCTAGGGGGTTCCAAACTTTCCCACATTTTCCTATCTTCTTCTGAGCCCTCCAAACTGTTCCAACCTCTGCCTGTTACCAAGTTCCAAAGTCACTTCCACATTTTGGGGTATCTTTTCAGCACACCCCACTCCTGGTACCAATTTACTGTATTAGTTCATTTTCACACTGCTGATAAAGACATACCCGAGACTAGGAAGAAAGAGAGGTTTAATGGAGTTACAGTCCCATATGGCTGGGGAGGGCTCAGAATTATGACCGGTGGTGAAAGGCACTTCTTACATGGCAGTGGCAAGAGAAAAATGAGGAAGAAGCAATAACAGAAACCCCTGATAGACCCATCAGATCTCATGAAACTTATTCATTATCACAAGAATAGCATGGGAAAGACACCCCCCGCCACTGCCGATTCAGTTACCTCCCCCTGGGTCCCTTCCACAACATGTGGGAATTCTGGGAGATACAATTCAAGTTGAGATTTGGGTGGGGACACAGCCAAAACATATCAAGGTCTCTCTTCCATTTTCTGTTGCTGCTTGAGTCATTTTCAGTAATTTATATCTTCTGAAGAATTTGTCCATTTTATTGTAGTTATCTAGTTTGCTGGCCTAAATGTTTTCATGAAATTCTCTTATAATTAATTTCTGTAATAGTAGTAGTGATGGTATCTTTTTCATTCCTAACTTTGGTAATTTGTGCCTTGTGTCTTTATTTCGTGGTCATTCAAGCAAAAGATTTGTCAATTTTGTTTATCTTTTTAAAAAGTCCACTTTTGCTTCCTTTATTGATTACTATGTTTCAGCTTTTATACCACTGAATTTTTTCCTCTGATTTCCCATATCTTATTTGCTTTGGGAATAATTTAAACCTCTATATTTCTCTTTTTATAAATTAGATGCTTTGATTATTTACTTGATGCCATTTTTATTTTCTAGAATTATCAGTTAAAAGCTGTAAATTTTCTTCTCAGAATGTCATTAGTTGCATTTTATAAATGCTCATATGCCATGAGTTCATTATTATTTACTTCAAAATATCTTTTCAAATATCCCTGTGATTTCTTATGGAATCTATTTATTTAGAAGTTGCTGGTTAATTTGCATTTATTTTGAAATTTTCATAAAAACTTCTGTTAAGGCTAATTTAATTATATTTTACTAGGAAATTTTATTTATTTATTTATTTTATTAGGTTTTTGGGGAACAGGTGGTGTTGGGTTACATGAATAAGTTCTTTAGTGGTGATTTCTGAGATTTTGGTGCACTTATCACTGTACATTGTGTACACAATGTGTAGTCTTTTACCCCTTGCCACCCCCAAAACTTGCTCCAAGTCCCCAAAGTCCAACAAATCATTCTTATGCCTTTGAGTCCTCATATCTTAGCCCCCACTTATGAGTGAGAACATACGATATTTGGTTTTCTATTCCTGGGTTACTTCACTTAGAATAATAGTCAGCAATTCCACTCAGGTTGCTGTGAATGCCATTATTTTATTCCTTTGTATGTCTGAGTAGTATTCCATGGTATATGTACCACATTTTCTTTATTCACTAAGTGATTAATGGGCATTTGGGCTGGTTCCATATTTTTGCATTGCAAGTTTTGTTGCTATAAACATGCATTTGCAAGTATCTTTTTCATATACTTCTTTTCCTCTGGGTAGATACCTAGTAATGGGATTGCTGGATCAAATGGGAGATCTACTTTTAGTTCTTTAAGCAATCTCCACACTGTTTTCCCTAGTAGCTGAATTAGTTTACATTCTCACCAGCAGTGTAAAAGTGTTTCCTTTTCACTGCATCCATGCCAACATCTATAATGTTTTTCATTTTTTTATTATGGACATACTTGCAGGAGTTAGGTGGTATCACATTGTGGTTTTGATTTGCATTTCCCTGATAATTAGTGATGTTGAACATTTTTCCATATGTTTGTTGGCCATTTGCATATCTTCTTTTGAGAATTGTCTACTCATATCCTTAGCCCATTTTTTGATGGGATTATTTGATTTTTTCTGGCTGATTTGAGTTCTTTGTAGATTTTGGATTAGTCCTTTTTTCAACGTATAGTTCGTCAAAATTTTCTCCCACTCTGTGGGTTGCCTGTTACCTCTGATTATTTCTTTTGCTGAGCAGAAGCTTTTTTAGTTTAATTAAGTCCCATCTATTCATCTTTGTTTTTGTTGCGTTTGCTTTTGGGTTCCTGGTCATGAAGTCTTTGCCTAAGGCATTGTCTACAAGAGTTTTTCTAGTGTTATCTTCTAGAATCTTTATGATTTCAAGTATTAGATCTAAGTCTTTGATCCATTTTGAGTTGATTTTTGTATAAGGCAAGAGATGAGGATCTAGTTTCATTCTTCTACATGTGGCTTGCCAATTATCCTAGCACCATTTGTTGAATAGGGTGTCCTTTCCTCACTTTATGTTGTTTTGTTTGCTTTGTTGAAGATCAGTTAGCTGTATTTGGCTTATTTCTGGGTTCTCTATTCTGTTCCATTGGTCTACGTGCCCATTTTTATACCAATACCATGTTGTGTTGAAATTGTGCTGAACAGAGAAAAGTTGAAAGCATTCTTCCTGAGAACTGGAGCAAGACAAGGATGCCCACTTTCACCACTTTTATTCAACATAGTACTGGAAGTCCTAGCCAGAGCAATCAGACAAGAGAAAGAAATAAAGGGTATCCAGATGGGTAAAGAGGAAGTCAAACTGCTGCTGTTTGCTGATGACATGAGCGTATACATAGAAAACCTTAAAAGACTCATCCAAAAAGCTCCTAGAACTGGTAAATTAATTCAGCAGAGTTTCAGGATAATAATTTTGTGTACAAAAATTAATGTACACAAATCAATAGCTCTGGTCTACACCAACAGCATCCAAACTGAGAAATTAGGAACTCAACTCCTTTCATGATAGCTGCAAAAAAAAAAAAAAAGCTTAGGAATATACCTAAGGATGTGAAAGACCTCTGCAAGGAAAACTACATAACACTGCTGAAAGAAATCTTAGACTACACAAACAAATGGAAACACCTCCCATGCTCATGGATGGATAGAATCAACATTGTGAAAATGACCATATGGCCAAAAGCAACATACAAATTCAATGCAATTCCTATCAAAATGCTACCACCATTCTTCACAGAACTAGAAAAAAGCAATCCTAAAATTCATGTGGAACCAAAAAAAAGAGTCTGCATAGCCAAAGCAAGACTAAGCAAAAAGAACAAATCTGGAGGCATCATATTACCCAACTTCAAACTATACTATAAGGCCATAGAAACATTTTTTTAATGTTTAATTTGTATTTAAAATTTTATCTGTCTGGGTGAATGTTCTGTTTAGTTCAAATTAATATATACTCTGCTGTTGTTGGGTAGGCTATCTATAAATATCAGGTCAATTTGATTGATAGTGCTGTTCAAGTGTTTTATCTCCTTAAGAATTTTCTGTCTAGTTATTCATTGAGTTTTGAGAATAGGGTGTTCATTTTACCTATTAATTCAGAAAATAAACCAGTAATATCAAAGTTATAATTTCAATTGTCAGATTTGCTCATGTAGTTTAGTTCTTCAAATCATTTAAAATATGCTGACAAGTTGTCAAGAACATAAGAAATGTAGCATGGCCAAAATTTAAGTTTGGAATGGAAATTTCTGGAAGTAAATAGACATCAGTGTTAGATTTAGCCCTGGGGGAATCCTTGAAACCCTGATGTCCTTGAGTTGCCATTTTGATATATGTGTAGGGTACAGGATACTGGAAATAAAGCTTAAGTCTCACCCAGAGTGACAAGTCTAATTAGAGATCAGGACATAAAAATGAGAATCCAAAGGTCTACTAATCCTCAGCCTAAGAGTGAACCATGAATCAACCTGTGGCTCAGATTGAGCAGCCAAGAAAGTTGTTTGTTTCTCTTATACAATGGAAGAAAACAATGCTTCCTGAACATTCGTAATGTACTAATCTCAAATAGATTTTTGATCCCCCACTGCCTGCTGTCTGTGTGCTTAAAAACTGTTAAGTGGAGAATGTCATTTAAATGTTCTGTACGTTAGTAGTAAAGTCAGGCAACTGACAGGATCAAAGGCACATTTGCTCTACAAGACTAAAATTTCAACCCAGGCACGAAAAATTTATCTCAGATAATGTTCCAAGAAAAGAAGTAGCTCAATATTAAATATCATAAAACACATGAAGATACAGGTTCAATGGGTATGAATCAGTAGAAGCAGACCACATAATTTTACTCAAAATGTGTCAGATATAGGATTATATCTGAGATTATAAAATAAGTGTTTGATACATTTCAAGAAATGAAAAGGTTTAAAAATAAAAGCAAGGACAAGAAACTTTTTTAAAGAAAGCAAAATATACAAATGAAAAACTATGAGAAATGAAAAATATATTACATAAAATTAATTTAATAATTGGTTAAATTGTTTATTAGACTCAGAGAGAAGTAATAGTTAACTGTAAAACTTGAAGAAATTGCATGGAATGCATCACAGCAAGACAAGGAGAGAAAAATATAAATAAAATATTTAAAACATGGCATATAGAATGAGAGGGCATCATGAATATTTAATAGAAGATCTTCATGGAAGTAATAATGGCAATACTTAACAAGATAATGTCTGACTCTTTGGAACAAAAATCTAACTGTCTAATTGGTGAGGGTAAAAAACATAAAAAAAGATATTATCAAACATTGCATGTATCAGAAAATAAAAAACATTTAGAAGTATTTCATTTAAAAAATCATTAAAAGTATCATTACATGTATGGGAAAAATCCAAGTCATTAAAGAGAAATCAGTAGCTTTTGTTATATCAAAAAGAGGGACTTAATTAATTATCAAAGTGTATGAGTTTAGAAGTTAGGGAAAAAAGCAAAATAAATACAAAGAAAGAAGGAGAAACCCAACAACAAAATGGTAAAATAATAAAAATACGTAATGCAGAAGAGATGCAAAGCTGAAGTTGGCTCAGTAGAAAGAGCATAATGTAAAACCAATGGCAAAATTAACAAAAAACACAGTGAGAATGTATAACTGATTCAGATTAGGAATGAAAATACATAGGGATATAGCAATGATTAATAGTGATGACGACATTAAGAACAAATTTCTTTGAATATTGTTGAAACTTTGACCAACTAAATAAATTTACAGAGAAAAATAGCTTGCTGAATAGATAATCAAAATATTCATATAGTCATTAAAGGAATGATTTTGACCCAGTAACTAAAAATCCTTCCTCACAAAATAAATAAATATATACATAGGGCCGTGGGGCTTAATATGCAATTTCAAACTTCCACAACATCTTAGAGAAAAGAAATCAAAAGAAACTACAGCTTATATAAGAAGCTATCATAAATTATAAATCAAAATTAAATGATCACAGCACAACTATAGAAAAATACAGGCCAAAATTACAAGTATAAATGCAGAAAATCCCAGGTAAAGACATCAGCAAATTCCATCAAGAAATTTATTTTAAAAAGATAAAAAAGAAAATAAACTAGCCCATCTAATTTTATTCCAAGAATGCAAGATTCAGTTAATGCCAGAAAGTTAAAATAATGAGAAAATCTTTCAATGGTTTTTTTCTAAAATTGTCCTTCTCTGTTCATTGGGATTTAATTAAATTTATACATTAATATAAGGAAATCCCTGTGCTTAAAATTTCAAATATTTTTATACAGAAAAAATAATTTTATTCATTTATTCAAATTCACTTTTGTGTTGTTTGATAGCATGCTGTCACTTTCCCCTTACAGACCTTACCCAGTTCATGTTAGGTTTATTAATAGATTTATGTAGTTTATTTTATGTTTTAGTTTTGCTATTGTGAGATATTCTGTTTTCAACATATTTATATATAGGTAAGCATTTTTTATGTTACTTTTACATGAACTATGTTATTTGTAATAATTTTCATTTCACTATTTCATGTGTTTTTCTATAAGAAAATAATAATCACTTTTGCCTTTTTCGTTCTGATATTTGTAAGTCTTATTTCATCATTTTCCTTCTAGGTGGTTTTGGAAGGCCTCTACTCTTGGAGTTCTCACTTTGAAGCAGTTACATAGAGTACTTTATAGAATGGTCAGAATATACATTGACCATACAACATAAACAGGATTTGTACTAAAATAACTATTATCTTATGAAACATATATTTTAATCCTTTTGATGATGAATTAAGAAAGTAATATATTTTATAGTACCTTTTATTTTAGAGGTAGTAAGATTTGGCCGGGTGCGGTGGCTCATGCCTGTAATCCCAGGACTTTGGGACGCCGAGGCAGGTGGACCACCTGAGGTCGCGAGTTTGAGACCAGCCCGACCAACATGGAGAAACCCCATCTCTACTAAAAATACAAAATTAGCCAGACATGGTGGCACATGCCTGTAATCCCAACTGCTTGGGAGGCTGAGGCAGAATTGCTTGAACCTGGGAGGCAGAGGTTGCAGTAAGCCAAGATCGTGCCATTGCACTCCAACCTGGGCAACAAGAGCGAAACTCCATCTCGGAAAAAAAAAAAAAAAAAAAAAAAAGTAGTAAGATTCACAAATAAGGAATTTCTGAAATTAAAATGTTTTATATTTATGTATTATCAAATATTTCCTCCAATCAGATTTTCTTTTGTTCTTATCCTTCTATATCTAGAACATGAGGCCTATTTGAGTGATGTTATAGAATTACAATGGCATCTTGAAGATAAAGCTAATCAACTACAACATTTTGAAAAACAAAAGACAGAGTTAGAAGAAGCAAATGCAAAGATTCAAGCAGACATAGACTACATGAATGAACATGGCCCTCTACTGGACTCTAAGCAGAATCAGGAACTTCAAGATCTGAAGAACCATTATAAAAAAAAAATGGAGGTAAATAAACGAATGCATGAGCATTTCATAAATTATTACTTAGTTATGCAAAAACTTTTCAACCATAAGAAATTAACACAGCTTTAAAGGTTTTTTTTTTTTTTCTTAAAATTGACCTGCTCTTTATCTCTACACATTACCAACTGTTGGTATTCATTTTAACTATGTCTTCTTTTCTTACCATTATATTTAAGATTATTAAGCATATTTAGTCAAACTTCTGGTAAAATTTTGGTCATTTAAAATAGCCAGGTAAGGCTGGGTGTGGTGGCTCATGCTTGTAATACCAGCACTTCGGGTGGTAAGCTGAGGTGGGTGCATCGCTTAAGCCCAGGAGCTAGAGATGAGCCAGAGTAACATGGTGAAACCCCATGTCTACTAAACATACAAAAATTAGCCAGATGTGGTGGCTTGTGCCTGTAGTATCCTCTACTTGGGAGGCTGAGGTGGGAGGCTTGCTTGACCCTTTGAGGTTGAGGCTGATGTGTGAGGATTGCTTGACCCCTGGAGGTTGAGGTTGCAGTGATCCATGACTGTGCCACTGCAATCCAGCCTGGATGACAGAGTGAGACCCTGTCTCAAAGCAAAGCAAAACAAAACAAGAACTTCAGAAAAATAAAATTGTGGGGTTTTTTTTTAAGCCATAATCATACTGAGCAAAAATAGAAGTAAAATATATTAATTTCATTGTTTATGAAAATATATAAATGAAATAAAAGTATTTTTAAAGGTTAATTAGATATTTAACTCTCCTATTGTGGAATATGAAAATAATTTATTGATAATTGTCACAAAATGAACAAATTTAAATTTGTATTATATTTATTTTTGAACATTTTAAAGTAAATAAAACAAGTTGTTAAATGTCTCCTGTGTTCCCCTCAACAGTTCCATTTTCGTTCCTCCTTTACCAAAGACAATCTTTATAATGAATTTCATGTGTTTATAAGCCAAATTTGTGTAATTATATATATGCGTGTGTGTTAATAAACAATACATAGTATTTTTAATCACACAAACAGTACCATACATGGTGCAATATTCTGCAACCTATTTTTTAATCTGACAATTTTTTAGTTTAATCAAGCTACTGTTGATATGTATAGCTCTAGTTCATTCATTTTACTTACAATGTTCCATCAGATAGATATTTCACAATGTAATTACTTACCATTTCATCTTCTGTTGGCCATCTGAGTTGTTTCCAATATCTGGCAACAAAACTGCTTATTTGACTGTAAACAATAATCACACATGAATACCTTCCTCTGTATCTGCATGTGAATTTTTCCTAGTGGGGTTATATACCTAGTTGGGTAGTTACTGGATTGTGGGTTATACACATTTACTATTTTATTAGATAACATCAAGTTATTTTTCAGAGTGCCTATAACAATTTCTATTACTGAAGTAGTGGCAATACTGAAGTCTCATTTCTCCACTGTGGACAAGAATGCAAGTACTGTCCTCCTTTTTTAGTAATAGACCCCTATATAGTTGGGTGACAATGTGTCAGGTTGGAAGATATTTCTCAATTTCCCTTTTCTCATTGTATTTCTAATGAGATGTAGGTAGGAGTTATTGGCTGCAAATTCTAGGAAATCTCTTTGAAATAGACTGCCTCACATAGGTAGTCTATTTGGCCATTTGCCTTAGCTATCATACCTAGGTTGCTGGAAGTTTAGAAAATGCCAAATAAGCTATTTACTAAACTTCCAGCAACCTTGATATGATAGCTGCAGCTCTAACTTCCATTTTACAGCATGAAGCAACCTTGGGGATGGAAGCCACAACTCAGGATGGCTGAAGAGCAAAAGGATAGTCAGATATATTTCTGTGAGAGGAAAGTTAACTGCAACCTTGTTTAAGCAACTTATTTGGTTTATTCCTATAACTTACAGCAAAACTCAATCCTAACTGGTATAACTCACAATTTAGTTAATATTTTTATTGTCATTCTTTAAAATTTTGTCTATATGTGTTTTAATTGGTATCCCTTTGTTTTACTGTGTTTTTCACTGATAGTGAACTTGGGTACATTATAAGCAGGGCAAGTGGAGTTGTTAGGCACCTGGAAGATCAGGCTTGTGAATGGGAAGAAAGAATTCATGCTAGCAGACCAAAAAAAAAAAAAAAAAAAAAAAAAAGCAATGTTTGTGTAAAGCTTATCAGGGCCAAAATGACAGTTAATTTAATTGTCAACTTATGGGGCCATGATGCCCAGATATTTGGTCAAACATTATTCCAGATGTTTTCAATAAATGTACATTTTTTGGACGAGATTCACATTTGAATTGGTAGATTTAGAGTAAAACATATTATTCTCCATATTGTGGGTAGGCCTTGTGCAATCAACTGAAGGTCTTAACAGAACAAAAACTGACCTCCTCTGAGCAAGAAGGAATCCTGTAAGCACACTACTTTTGGACTGGGACAGCAACCTTTCCCTGGGTCTTTAGCCTGCCAACCTACCCTGCAGATTTTGGACTTGTACCTCCAAAATAGTGTGAGCCTTGTCCTTAAAATCAGTCTCTCTCTCTCCCCCATCTTCCTCGCTCCTATTGATTGTTTCTCTAGAGAAGCCTGACTAATATGGTCACCATTAATGCAATGACTGCCCTTCTTTTATTTCATCATTATTGTGCTACTCCATCACATCTTAAATTCCTAGATCAGTGCTTCTGCTTACCTGCTTTTAAGTCAGCTGGTGACCTTCTAACTATTCCAGGGGTCAAAATGAGAGTTTAGACCTCTTGGCTTCTGTAGCGTGAGCCATAAACTCTGTGAAACCATCCACTGTGGGTGTACAATGCAAGGGAAAGTAATTCCCCAAGAAAAAATAATTCCCCATCATGAAACTGAGATGCTATTAAGAAAGGCTATAAATGTCATGCAGCCAAAATATGAAAACTCTCTAATATAAGGTAGAAGAAAAGTGATATCTTAGTAAAAGTAAACACATTTTTCTTTGATAAAATGAGCATAACTGACAATACTCAAAAATGAAAAGCAGAATTATGAGCACTGAGAGGCCCAAATACTTCCTCAGAGAGAAATAAAAATACATACATTGAGATAGTAAAAATTCTTGCCAACAAATTAGATAACCTAGATAAAATGGAATCAAGAAGAAATAGGAAATCTGAGCAGGTGTATAACAAGTAAAGAGATTGAATAAGTGATTAACCACCTCCCCACTCCACCAAAAAAAAAAAAAAAAAAAGCCCAGGACCAAGTGGATTCACTAGTGAATTATACCACACACACACACACACACACACACACACACACACACACTCTAATAATTCTCCAACTCTCAAACTCTTCCAAAAGGAAAAGAGGAAGAGGAAGGAACACTTCCTAATTCATCTATGTCAGCATTACCTAGTTACTAAAGCCTGATAAATATATCACAAGGAAGTAAATTATAGACCAGTATACCTTATGAATATAGACGCAAAAATCCTCAACAAAATCCTAGCAACCCAAATCTAGCAGCATATTAAAAAGATTATACATCATGAACAAATGGCATTTATCCCAGGAATACATATGTGATACAATATATGAAAATAAATCAGTTTAATGTACCACATGAATAAAATAAAGGAAACACACACACTCACACGATTGTCTCAGTTGAAGAACAAACAATGGACAAAGTCCAAAATTCTTACATGATAAAAACCCTCAACAAACTAGAAAAAGAAGAAAACTTGCTCACTATGAATAAGGACATTTTTGTAAAACCCACAGGTAATACTGAAAATAATGGTGAAAGACTTAAACCTTTTCCTCTAGGATCATAAATAAGAGAAGGATACCCAGTTTTACTACTTCTATTTGACATTGTACAGAAAGTTCAAGCCAGAGTGGTTAGGCAAGTAAAAGAAATAAAAGGCACACAAATTAGAAATTAAAAAGTCAAATTTTCTTTATTATCAGAGGGCATGATCTAACATATAGAAAATACCAAAGAATTCACAAAACAGTCTCTTAGTGCTAAAAATCACATTTAGCAAACTTGCAGAATTCAGCTCAACACACAAAGCTCAGTTATATTTTTATACATTAGTGGTGAACAATCCAAAAAAAATTAAGAAAACAATTCCATATACGGGTCATCAAAAATAATAAAATACTAATAATTTTAAGAAGATGAAAGATTTATATAGCAAAAACTATAATATTTTGCTGAAATAAATTGAATAAGAATTGAATAAATTGAAAGACATCCTGTATTCATGAATTGGAAGACTCAATATTGTTAAAGTGTCAATAGCACCTAAAAATATCTATGAAATCAATGCAATCCAGAACAAAAGCTCAATGATCTTTTGCAGAAATGGAAAAGCCTACCCTAATATTTACATGGAATTGCAAGGAACCCCAGATAGCAAAAATAATCTTGTTAAAGAAGACCACATTGGAGAAGTCACATTTTCCAATTTCAAAACTTACTACAAAGCTGTAGTAAGCAAAATATATTTGCCTAAGTATAAAGAAATAGATAAATAAAGTAGAACTGAAATTTCAGAAATAAACATATACATCTACGGCTAATTGATTTTTAACAAGGTGCAAGAACAATCATTTATTGAAAGAAAGTGTAGCCTCTTCAACAAATGATGCTGGGACATTGACTATCCATATATATTCAAAAGAATAAAAGTGGACCCCTACCTTACACCATATAAACATTAACTCAAAATGAATCAAAGACATAAATATAAGAGCTTAAACTATACAACTCTTAAAAGAAAACCTATGGATAGCCAGGTGCAGTGGTTCACGCCTGTAATCCCAGCACTTTGGGAGGCTGAGGTGGGCGGATCACGAGGTCAAGAGATCGAGACCATCCTGGCCAACATGGTGAAACCCCGTTTCTACTAAAAATACAAAAATTAGCTGGGTGTGGTGGCACGGGCCTGTAGTCCCAGCTACCCAGAAGGTGGAGGCAGAAGAATCGCTTGAGCCCGGTGGGGCGGGGGTTGCAGTGAGCCGAGATCGCGCCACTGCACTCCAGCCTGGCAACAGAGCAAGACTCTGTCTCAAAAAAAAAAAAAAAAAAAAAAAAAAAAAAAAAAAAATCTAGGGATAAATCTTTATGACCTTGGATTTGGAAATGGATTCTTAGATATGACACTGATAGAAAAATAGGACTTAGTCAAAATTAAAAGCATTCTTGCATCAAAGGACACTATCAAGAAAGTAAAAAGACAACCTATAGAATGAAAGAAAACATTGCAAATTATATGTATCTCAAACGGATATAGTTCCCAGAATATATGAGGAACTCTTCTAATTTGACAACTGAAAGACAAACAACTAAATTTAAAATAAACAGAGAACTTGCCATGAACAGATATACATATATCTGTTATATATCTGTTCATAGTAATGAACAGATAGACATATCTTCAGAAAGACATACAAATGGGCAGCAAACACATGAAAAGATGTATGTTCAACATCATTAGTCTTTAAAAAATGCAAATCAAAACCACAATAAGATACCAGTCATACCCATTAGGATAGGATTAAAAATAAAATGGAAAGTAACAAGGATGCCCTAGAGACACTGGAACCATTGTAATTTGCTGGTGGGAATGCAAAAATAGTGCAGCCGCTATGGAAAACATTTTGGTTATTTCTAAAATAGCTAAACACAGAATTACAATATTCTTCAGCAATTGTACTCCCAGGTATACATCTAAAAGAAACAAAAGCTGAGACTAAAAAAACAAAAAGAAAAGCAAAAACTTGTACATAAATATTCATTAGTAGCACTATTCACAATAACCAAAAGAAACAGCCCAATGTTTGTTTACTGAGATAAACAAAATGCAATATATCAATGGAATGAAATATTATTAAGCCGTAAAAAGAAATGAGGTACTGATACATGCTACAACATGAATATAACGTCAAAGCATTATGCTAAGAAGGTAGACACAAAAGGTCACATATTGCGTAATTCATTTATATAAAAGATGCAGTATAGGTAAATCCATAGACACAGAAGGATTAATGACTACCTAGGGCTGGGGGAAATGTAATATCGAGTTTTGTTTGTCATGTTTTGTTTGTAATAAAGTTTTAAAACTCTTTAAAATTATTATTTTTTTATTATGCAATCTTGACCCAGTTTTAAGGCCCTGGCTAGAGGCCTGCTGAAGTTACCCAGTTGCTTACAAAATTCAAAACCCCTAGCCAGTGTGCTTGGGCTTTAGTAAATGCTGCTGCATTACAACATGTCAAAGGACTGATACTTTGGGCTAATTGAGTTTTCGCAAAGGGAGTCTGCTATACCTCTTTAAGTGCACAACCCAATACCTGGGAGGTAGACTTGATGTCTTCGAATGAGAGAGAAGGCTGCCTTCAAGTTAGGCCAGAGGGCTGCTCAATCCCCTTTTTCTGTAACCACCGAGAAGGTATGCAATATAAGTTAGCAGACAAAGATGGTGACTAGAAGCCCAAAACACGAGAAAAAGAAAAAAAACCCAAAAACAACAAGATACAGAGTGGGAAGTAAAGAGTTGCCCCCTTTAGAGTAAACAACTCTGGGAATCCCTTGCCTCATAGATAGCCAAAATATAAATTAAGGTCCCACATGTCTCTAGATATGCTAAGGCCATAAAACAAGGCTTCCAAGGACACTCAGCCCCTCCAGAGTTCCAGGCATGATGGAGTAGCCAAGGCACATATTTTACCCCTTAGAGTACACAGTGTGTTGTGTTGTCTTACCCAGTTTTGAGGCTGTGGCTAAAGGCTGGCCCTCCCTTTCTTGAGCAGCTGATTAAACCCACATATCCAACCCCTTCCTGGGCCCTCACATTCCACACCACTATGTACCCATCCTATTCTCAACAGAGACAGGCCCCAGACAAGTAGGGACACCCCCTGTACTTCAGCATCTGCTGAAATGATTAAAATTAGCCACTCCACAGAGATCTCCTGAAATTTAGCTACCCACACCCACTGGTTGCCACCCATAAGCTGTCCCCTATAGCTCCAGCTTGCTGCTAACCTGTCCCCAGCTGAAACCCCTAACACAGCCCTACCTGGTAGCCATCTCTCCTTTGGAGCTGTAACAGAATTCTGCCTTTCATCTAGCCCAGTTTCACTGCGTTGTGTCTTCCCACTAGGAGAATCTTTTAAAATAGGAAGGGGAGACTAGGGAGTAACCATTTAATGAGTTCAGGGTTTCCCTTTGGGATGATGAAAATGTTTTGGAACTAGAAAAGGGTGATGTTGGCACAACATTGTGAATGCACCGAATGCCACTGAATTGTACACTTTAACTTGTCTCATTCTATACTATATAAGTTGTACTTCAACAAATAAACTTAAGAAAATTTAGAAGGATAAATTTCAAAAGATGCGTTGTAAGATCACCGCCCCATAAAACTAGAAAAAATAATTATACTCTCAAAAATACCTTAACCACAAGAAAAATCTTGTATGTAGATATTATTCCAGTATCAAAGGGAAACTCAAAAATAAAATATCAAATTATTGCACTTAATAATAAACCCTAAAGCTGGTGATACTGCACTTGCGTATGATCTAACCTGTAAAAGATGAATAATTTCAATATTGTTTTAAATATTTAGTCCAAAGAAGAGGAGGGAAATTTTTAAATTAAATGAAGGTGACATATTTCAATACCAAAACTTTATGGAAATTCTATAAAAATAATATTACATATATAAGTTACCAATAAATACATATTTGAAAAATTACTTAAATTATTTGCCAAAGAATTCTTCAGTGTAAGAGAAGAAAAATATATCACTCCAAAGAAATGTATTATAGCACTGTGCCAATGGTTTAACAGCAGAAAATCTAGGTATATAATTTATTGTATTAACATGATTAAAAAACAGAATTTTATCAAATGATGCTTAAAATGTATTCATTATTCAAAAACTGGCAATTATAATAATTAAAATTTGAAAAACACCTTAATTTAAATAAAGAACTATTTCACACAAGCATCCATATTAATCATTAAAATGCTAAAACTGTAATAATAGGAACAAATCAGGTAAACCTGACATCCCTATTATAATTTAACATCATTTTGGGGAATTTTGCTATGTAATAGGACAATAAAATGAAATAAAAGATATACATTTAAAAATTGTGAAATAAAATTATTTTAATATTATTATAATTAAAACACCAAATAGAAGACTGTTGTTTTCAAAATAAGTTTGTATTCCCAGAACTAAACCATCCAATACAGCATACTTTTACTAGCACAAATAAAGTTTTTTTCCATACTTTCAATAAATAGTTAAAAATATAAACAGAAAATTCCTTTACTACCAAGTCATTAAATATTGATGAAGAAACTTATAAAGGTATAGACATTTAAGACTACAATTATGAAATCTTATTAAAGAAAATAAAGGGACAATTAATGTAGACACATAATATATCCTAAGACAGGAAGGCTTATTGTAGTAAAAATGTCAATCATTCCAAAATTGTTACAGAAACAGCCATCAAATTCTAGTAAAATGTACACAATAACCTTTTGGCCTGTCAATTTAAATAATATTATTAGGAAAAAGTAGTATAAAATGCTGGAAAGAGTTTTGGAACATAGGCTTTCTTCTGTTCCACTGGTGAGAATACAAAGTGTTACCACTTATTCTGGAGAGTAATTTGGCAACCAATATTAATCAAAATTCTTAAAATATATGCTAATACCTTACGACTCAGAAAATTCTGTTTTAACAGTACGTTTGAAGAAAATATTCAAGAACCTGCAGTATAACTATAGATTGTGCAATTTCCTTACATGGTTCTTCATCACAGTACTGTTGATGTTATATGTCCCTCATACATGCGTTGTGCATGTCAAACTGTGCATAATGCTCATATAATTGACAATGAGTTAAATCATGAGTATGTGTGATATAAGGGAATGTTAAGTAAAAGTAATGTGATACAGCGATATACAGAGAGAGAGACAGAAGGAAGAGATGGAGACATGAGCATTAGTATGATGTTTGATAATTAGTAAAAGAGGAGATTAGTATGATGTTTGTTCATTAGTAAAAAGAGTAAAAACTGAATATTTTGAAGTATTACACTAAGATATTAGGTTGGTGCATACTTTTAATGGCAAAAACCACAATTACTTTTGCACCAACCTAAGAATAATGGTTTTTCTTAGTGGAGAGGAGTACAGGTCACTTTGTTTGCGATATTTCATCTTTGTTTTCTGATTTTTTAAATAATAAAGTATTATTTGAGTAATAAAAATTTTTTATGAGTGAAGAGATAATGATTTCATTTTGGACATGTTAACTTGGATATTGAAATTATTTTGTTCAGTAACATTTATACATTCCCAGCATTAATGCCTGTCAGGGCTGAAATTCCACTTACCAAACCATAGGCTAAATGTGGGAAGAAAATGTTTCTAAAGAACTTTTGATCTAAATCAATACTACACTAAGTTGAAGTTATTATTTTTAATTAACCATTAAGTGCAAATATAAGCAAAAATATTTTCATTTCTAGGTAATGGACCTACACAGAAAAGTTAATGAAGAACTTGAAGAAGCTTTAGAAGCCTGTGAAAATGCCAGATTGAAGGCTCAGCAAATTAAAGAAGAGATTGATAAGGATATTTACCAGGATGAAAAAACCATAGAGGCCTACAAGTAAGAATTTTTCGCAAACACTAATTATAGCATTTAGAAATTAAATGTTAAGTAAAAATGTAATGTATATTTCTATATAGAAAATTTAGATAAAGAGAAAAATAAAATTTTAAATTATTCATACCTGTCTTATCACCAAGTTTATATGTAAATAAAAAGATATATATTTCATATATGTAAAATTATTTGTGCATAAATCCCTAAAGTACTATATTTCTGTGTCATCTTAAAGCTCTTCATATATATTGCAAAATTGCCTGAGGACATGTTATAACAATAAATATCCCTACTATGTGTGCAAAAGTAACTATTTTAAAAAAATCCAGCATGGGATATGATTAAAAACTAATTAGGTATCAATAAATGAGTTGTAAACTTAGCATGCAATATTTCAACTTGAATTTATTTGATTACGAATGAAATAAAATATTTAAATATATAGATTATTTTGGCATATTATTTATTGAGAGTTTTTTTCTTTTCTACATTTGTTCCTGATGTATTTATTTTCTGCTATTCCTTCAGTTCCTTTTGTTGACTATAACTTCTTTATGATTCTGTGTGATGTAATAGCATTTTTATTTATTAAAAATTGATCAATGATTTAGTATAAAAGAATTTATAGTCACTATGGGAGTTACAGTCATATACATATAAGCAAAATTAATTTATACAAAATTTCACAACCTAGATAACATTCATTTCTTAAGGTGTTTATATTTCCTCACATCCAATGTATATTTCAACATGTACTTAAATATTATCTATTTAGTTAATAAAGAAATCTCTTTTATAACTAATCTGATTAGTTATATTTGATCAATTGGATATATTTTCTAATTTTTATCATGATTTCTTCTTTGACCCATGGGTTATTAAGAAATATGTATTTTTAAAATTTCTATGTTGAGTTCTAATTAATTTTTATTATTGCTTTCCAGTTGAATTGTATTTCCGTGAGAAAAATTTATATAGTTTCAAACCATGAAAATTGTTCAGTCTTAATTAAGAGTGCATTTTTTGGCATGTACTCCTTGTGTAATTGAGAATAACATTCATTCTTTACTTGTTGAGTGTACTGTTGTTACTCTTTCATTAGATCAAGTTTACTAAGCATGGAGGTTAATCTTTATACCACAACATTAACATTATCCAGGTGTTCATTCAAATTTCAGAAAATCAGACTCAATACAGACCTATTAAATGAGAATCTGCACTTTTAAAATACCCCGAGGTGATGTTTGAGAAGCATTGCTCCATTTATTAATTTTTTTTTAATTTTTCTGTCAAGTAATGAGGAAGGTCTATAATTGCCCACTATGGTGATACATCTGTCTACATAATTATTTTTATCAGTTTTTGCTTCCTATATTTTGAGGCTATATTCTCAGGTGCATGCAAATTTGAAGTTGTTAATATCCTCCTGGGATACCAATTAACCTCCTTATCATTAGGAATTGACCTTTTTTGACTCTTGGAACATTTTTGCTTAAACTCAATTAAGGCATGAATACAGTTGTACTAGCTTTCTTTTGATTAATAATTTTAATTAATCTCAATAATTTAAAGTTTTTATATTTTAGATATATCTGTTGTAAACACCATGTAGACACATTTTTTTTTCAGTTTGAAAATATTTTCAAGGGTGGACCATTAAGTGCGTTCATGAATCACTAACATATTTGGATATAAACTACCACATAACTTACTCTATTTGCCACATTTGTTGTATTTTTTTCTTTTTTATTGCCTTTTTTCATGTTGATTATTGGTATTTTCTTATTTCTTGAATTTGATTATTATAATTTTGTTTCTATTCTTTTAGTAGGAAATCCTATTAATTACCACCACAGGCAAACTTAATGTTGTCAGACTCTAAAAATATCTGATACTGTTATCCTGCTGACAATGAAAGGAACTAAGAAAAATTTTACTCTAGTTATTACATTTCTTCTGAATTAAATATTTGTCACTGTTGCTGAATATTTCATTGTATAACAGATAAGTACATTATTATTGTTTTAAGTAGTCAAGGTTATTTTTTAAATTTACCCACAAAATAACTATTTTTATTTTTTCCTTCATAAATGTTAGGCTTTTCATCTAAGATTACTTTCTTTGTAGATTCTGGATATTAGCCCTTTGTCAGATGAGTAGATTGCAAAAATTTTCTCCCATTCTGTAGGTTGCCTGTTCACTCTGATGGTAGTTTCTTTTGCTGTGCAAGAAGCTCTTTAGTTTAATTACATCCCATTTGTCAATTTTGGCTTTTGTTGCCACGCTTTTGGTGTTTTAGACATGAAGTCCTTGCCCATGCCTATGTCCTGAATGGTAAAGCCTAGGTTTTCTTCTAGCATTTTTATGGTTTTAGGTCTAACATTTAAGTCATTAGTCCATCTTGAATTAATTTTTGTATAAGGTGTAAGGAAGGGATCCAGTTTCAGCTTTCTACATATGGCTAGCCAGTTTTCCCAGCATCATTTACTAAATAGGGAATCCTTTCCCCATTTCTTGTTTTTGTCAGGTTTGTCAAAGGTCAGGTGGTTGTAGATGTGTGGTATTATTTCTGAGGGCTCTGTTCTATTCCATTGGTCCCTATCTCTGTTTTGGTACCAGTACCATGCTGTTTTGGTTACTATAGCCTTGTAGTATAGTTTGAAGTCAGGTAGTGTGATGCCTCCAGCTTTGTTCTTTTGGCTTAGGATTGACTTGGCAATGCAGGCTCTTTTTTGGTTCCATATGAACTTTAAAGTAGTTTTTTTCCAATTCTGTGAAGAAAGTCATTGGTAGCTTGATGGGGATGGCATTGAATCTATCAATTACCTTGGGCAGTATGGCCATTTTCACAGTATTGATTCTTCCTATCCATGAGCATGGAATGTTCTTCCATTTGTGTCCTCTTTTATTTCATTGAGCAGTGGTTTGTAGTTCTCCTTGAAGAGTCCTTCACATCCCTTGTAAGTTGGATTCCTAGGTATTTTATTCTCTTTGAAGCAATTGTGAATGGGAGTTCACTCATGATTTGGCTCTCTGTTTGTCTGTTATTGGTGTATAAGAATGCTTGTGATTTTTGTACATTGATTTTGTATCCTGAGACTTTGCTGAAGTTGCTTATCAGCTTAAGGAGATTTTGGGCTGAAACGATGGGGTTTTCTAAATATACAATCATGTCGTCTGCAAACAGGGACAATTTGACTTCCTCTTTTCCTAATTGAATACACTTTCTTTCTTTCTCCTGCCTGATTGCCCTGGCCAGAACTTCCAACACTATGTTGAACAGGAGTGGTGAGAGAGGGCATCCCTGTCTTGTGCCAGTTTTCAAAGGCAATGAGTCCAGTTTTTGGCCATTCAGTATGATATTGGCTGTGGTTTTGTCATAAATAGCTCTTATTATTTTGAGATATGTCCCATCAATACCTAATTTATTGAGAGTTTTTAGCATGAAGGGCTGTTGAATTTTGTCAAAGGCCTTTTCTGCATCTATTGAGATAATCATGTGATTTTTTGTCATTGGTTCTGTTTATATGCTGGATTACGTTTATTGATTTGTGTATGTTGAACCAGCCTTGCTACAAAGAACTCAAACAAATTTATAAGAAAAAAACAACCCCATCAAAAAGTTGGCAAAGGATATGAACAGACACTTCTCAAAAGAAGACATTTATGCAGCCAACAGACACATGAAAAAATGCTCATCATCACTGGCCATCAGAGAAATGCAAATCAAAACCACAATGAGATACCATCTCACACCAGTTAGAATGGCAATCATTAAAAAGTCAGGAAACAGGTACTGGACAGGATGTGGAGAAATAGGAACACTTTTACACTGTTGGTGGGACTGTAAACTAGTTCAACCATTGTGGAAGACAGTGTGGCGATTCCTCAAGGATCTAGAACTAGAAATACCATTTGACCCAGCCATCCCATTACTGGGTATATACCTAAAGGATTATAAATCATGCTGCTATAAAGACACATGCACACGTATGTTTATTGCGGCATGATTCACAATAGGAAAGACTTGGAACCAACCCAAATGTCCATCAATGATGGACGGGATTAAGAAAATGTGGCACATATACACCATGGAATACTATGCAACCATAAAAAATGATGAGTTCATGTCCTTTGTAGGGACATGGATGAAGCTGGAAACCATCATTCTCCGCAAACTATCGCAAGGAGAAAGAAACAAACACCGCATGTTCTCACTCATCGGTGGGAATTGAACACCGAGAACACCTGGACACAGGAAGGGGAACATCACACACTGGGGCCTGTCATGAGGTGGAGGGAGCGGGGAGGGATAGCATTAGGAGATATACCTAATGTAAATGACCAGCTAATGGGTGCAGCACACCAACATGGCACATGTATACATATGTAAGAAACCTACACGTTGTGCACATGTACCCTAGAACTTAAAGTATAATAAAAAATATATATATTTAAAAAAAGAGAGAGTGCTTTCTGGCTGAAGTAGATCCTTTAGCATAACCTTTAGCAAAGTTTTCCTGATGAAAAACTTTCAGAATTTTTGTTCAAAAGATATTTTCTTTTCTTGTAGAATTGTTGATTCTTAGTTGACCTTCATATATTAATTATAACATTTCATAATCTATTAATTTTCATTTTTGCCATTAAGAAGGAAGCTGACCATTTGACTTTCAGTTTTATGCATCTAATCTATATATTTTTTCCTTTGGCTGTTTTGCCTGTTTTTAAGACCATCTCTTTGTTATGAATTTTAATTAATTTTATTTTTCAAGATATTCTAGGTGTTAATTTTTATTTATTCCAGTGGGATTTGTTAGTCGTCTTGTTTCTATGTATTGGATTTTTCATTAATCTTGAGCATTCTGAGTCATAATCTTTTCAAACAATTTCCTTGGTCCCATTTTCTATGTCTTGTGCTCAAATTAAACATATATTAGATTTTCTTATTGTGTACTCCATACTTCTTGATCGTTTTCTCACATTTTCTGTTTTCAAGCCTTCTGAAGACTTTCTTCTGGCTTATTATCTATTTAAATCATTTCCTTTTGTCCTGAGTTTAACATGAAGACCATATGACTGCACCTTGGCAACCACCAACTACGAGAAATGCAATTGACCAAAGGACTCTGTTGTTAGCAGCATCTGACATGGCTTCCAATGATCTCAGCTTCTCCTCCCTGATATTCATTTTACTGACAAAGCCACTCACCCAGAAGATGGGATCTTTCCTTGTTTGGAGTCACAATACCAATACACAAAACCAAAAGTGAGTGTTAAGCAGTGCAGACCATGGAATTGAGAAGTAGTAACATGGCTCACAACTCAACTTCTCCACTAGTGAAGGGTGAGGGTGTTAAAATATAGGATTTATTTAATGAGGAGGTTGGACATTAAAAGCAAGGGGAGGGAATATTCTTATCTTTTCCGGAAATAGGTAGTCAACTTCCCAGAACCAGAGTGCTGCTTCATTTTTGTCCTCCTATGCCTTCTTCCGGTTGTTTCATGAGGATTGGCAATGGTCACGGTGCTGCTGGGTGCTCATTCCATTTAGCATGGAAATGAGATTATAATGAGGCCTGAGGTCCTTTTGAAGTCCTTTGGTTGGCTATCTTGGCTTAAACCTGTCTCAGCTGGTCTGGTTACAAAGGAAACTTTTTTTTTAATCACAGGTGTTCTGTTTCTTAAAGATAAGCAGAGTTAAGGCAGGGTAGAAATTCAGCTATGTCATGTAGGCATTGCACTGGATAACAAATCTCCCCTTTTCTGTATATTCACTCCTCATTCTTGAATGGTGCTGAGGAGTAAAAGTCTGTCTTCTACAACTTTCTGAATCTGAAGTTGGGTGTTAATATTGTTACAGGAAAGGGGTCCCAGTCCAGACCCCAAGAGAGTGTTCTTGGATCTCGTGCAAGAAAGAATTCAAGGTGAGTCCACAGTGCAAGGCAAAAGCAAGTTTATTAAGAGAGGTAAAGTGGTGAAAATGTGTCCAGAATTGGTGGGTTCTTGGTCTCACTGACTTCAAGAATGAAGCCGCGGACACTTGCGGTGAGTGTTACAGTTCTTAAAGGCGGCGTGTCCAGAGTTTGTTCCTTCTGATGTTCGGATGTGTTCGGAGTTTCTTCCTTCTGGTGGGTTCGTGGTCTTGCTGGCTCAGGAGTGAAGCCACAGGCCTTCACGGTGAATGTCACAGCTCTTAAGGCCACACGTCTGGAGTTGTTCATTCCTCCTGGTGGGTTCGTGGTCTCGTTGGCTTCAGGAGTGAAGCTGCAGACCTTCGCAGGGAGTGTTACAGCTCATAAAGGCAGTGTGGACCCAAAGAGTGAGCAGTAGCAAGATTTGTTGCAAAGAGCGAAAGAACAAAGCTTCCACAGTGTGGAAGGGGACCCAAGCAGGTTGCCACTGCTGGCTTGGGCAGCCTGATTTTATTCTCTTATCTGGCCCCATCCACATCCTGCTGATTAGTCCATTTTACAGAGAGCCAATTGTTCTGTTTTACAGAGAGCTGATTGGTCCGTTTTGACAGGGTGCTGATTGGTGCGTTTACAATCCCTGAGCTAGACACAAAAGTTCTCCATGTCCCCACTAGATTAGCTAGATACAGAGTGTCGATTGGTATATTTACAAACCCTGAGCTAGACACAGAGTGCTGATTGGTACATTTACAAACCTTGAGCTAGACATAAAGATTCTCCAAGTCACCACCGGATTAGCTAGATACAGAGTGCCGATTGGTGCATCCACAAACCCTGAGCTAGACACAGGGTGCTGATTGGTGTGTTTACAAGCCTTGAGCTAGATACAGGGTGCTGATTGGTGTATTTACAATCCCTTAGCTAGACATAAAGGTTCTCTAAGTCCCCACTAGACTCAGGAGCCCAGCTGGCTTCACCCAGTGGATCTCCCACTGGGGCGGCAGGTGGAGCTGCCAGGAGTGCCCTGCACCTGCTCTCCGGGCGCCATCCAGCAGGGGGCGGCGCTCGTCAGGGAGGCTAGGGCAGTGCAGGAGCCCACGGCGTGTGGGGGGAGGGGTGCGGGGGGCTCAGGCATGGCAGGCTGCAGGTCCGGAGCGCTGCCTCACGGGGAGGCAGCTAAGGCCCGGGGAGAAATCGAGCGCAGCAGCTGCCCGCCCAGGTGCTAAGCCCCTTACTGCCCTGGGCTTGCAGCCGGCCGCTTCGAGTGTGGGGCCCTCCCAGCTCACACCCACGGAACTCGCGCTATCCCGCAAGCACCGCGCGCAGCCCCGGTTCCCGCCGGCGCCTCTCCCTCCACACCTCCCCACAAGCTGAGGGAGCTGGCTCCGGCCTTGGCCAGCCCAAAAAGGGGCTCCCACAGTGCAGCGGCGGGCTGAAGGGCTCCTCAAGCTCCGCCAGAGTGGGCGCCAAGGCTGAGGAGGCGCTGAGAGCAAGCGAGGGCTGCCAGGACTGCCAGCACGCTGTCACCTCTCAAAAGGACAGATACTCCATAGACAGACTAGGACGTTTCTGAAAGTAAGAGGAGGAACGTGTCCACTCTAGGTACAATGCTTGTATATATGGGAGATGTGCTCTGCTACAAGGGTTTGTGATGAAGGATTAATTTTCTTAATTACTATATTTTGCAAGAATCGGTATTATTATCTTTAACACAAAATTAGGAATGCCTTTGTTTGCCAGATATGGGGATATATGGACACTCCCAAATCTGGGTCTGTTTAGTAAACATTATTAGTTTGTTCCCTTAACATAAACATCTAGAGGCCAGGAATGCCTAAATTTCTGAGAATGCAGCCTTTCAAGGACCAGCCTCATTTTCCTAGCCCCCAGTCAAAATGGAGTCACTCTGGTTCGAACACTTTTGACAATATGGGGCCTGTTAGAGGAGTGAATTTTTTCCCTAGCTAGTCTTAGGTAGATCTGGTTCTCTCCTGGGTATAAGCCTACCTTTTTATATCCGTGTATGGCCTCGATTTGCTTATACATAAAAGAGATCAGAGAGTTTAGGAGACAGAGCCTGAAGATCAAGATAAGTAGGATGGTAGCTAAAGGGCTCAGGAAGGGTAGAAACCGGGTGAAATCAGGGCTGGCCTGTTTTATCATTTTCATATTCCTTGAGGGTCTGTGCCCTTTTGGTTAAATTGGTGCAACCACTTGGTCTGGTTGTAGATGATTTTAATGTCTTTTCGTTGTTTTTAATCTTGAATTACTTACCCAAGCACAACAGAAAGAGCTGGTGACCACACGTACCTCACCTTTTTTTGCCAAGAGATAATCAAAAGTCAGACGATTATCAAGCACAGTGTTAGTTAGTGAGTCTAGGGAGACTTTGAGGAGGGTAAGGGCATCACTAGTCTTATAGGCTAGAATTTCTATACCTGTTGTGAGGTTGCAGAGGGTAAACTCATGGTAGGCAAACCTTCCCTAGGGGCTATGAGACCACCTGCTATCCCAGTACCAGCCAGAATAAGCCTAATTGCCTTTTATTCCTCAGGTGAGAGGGGGACAGGAAACCATTAAACATTTTGACTTCTCTGGGGATTCGGTGCCCTAGGGCTCATTCTCCAGGATGTCATGTATTTTAAGGTTTCCTGTGGATCATTTTGAGCAGGAATCTTAGATCTGACAGCAATTCAGCTTGGTTAGTGGGACTTTTTTCCTTAGGTTCTGAGGCTGCTTTTACTCAGGTGTGGTGAACCTAAGGCATCACTCCTGGTAACATTAAGGCAGAGTTATTTATGAGCATTACCAGATATGGGCTCGTATATTTAGGTTGTAAATGATCTTGTGGTCTCCCCCATCTGCAGGTTTTAAGTAAGCATAGTATCCAGTTGGAAGGGATGGAAGGTCAGATCCGACAGTGAAGGTAATTTTCAGTTTCTATAGGCCTGAAGGGCTTTTACTACTTTTTAAAATTTGGGTAGCATCTCATTTTTTTCCATATTTCTGAGGACCTCCTGGTTATCTGACCAGACTTGGACCAGTCTTAGCTCACAAGGCTTCAGTTTTATTTTTCTTTGTGGAACTATTCTCATTTTTAACAAGGACATGGGATGATACAAAATCCATGAGCGATGAGTTTTCTGGCACAATTTGGCTAAAGTCCTTTTGAGGGTCTGTCTGGTTGGTGTGCTTTACTTTACCCGAAGACTGTGGGCTCCAGGCGGTATGTAGGCACCATTGAATTTTTAGATCCCGAGAAGTAGCCTTAGTAATTAAGGATTTGAATGCTAGTCTATTACCACTTTGGATTGACCATGGCAGCCTGAATCTAGGCACAATTTCTTTTTTTTTTTTTTTTTTTTTTTTTTTTTTTTTGAGACGGAGTCTCGCTCTGTCACCCAGGCTGGAGTGCAGTGGCGGGATCTCGGCTCACTGCAAGCTCCGCCTCCCGGGTTCACGCCATTCTCCTGCCTCAGCCTCCCAAGTAGCTGGGATTACAGGCGCCCGCCACTACGCCCGGCTAATTTTTTTGTATTTTTAGTAGAGACGGGATTTCACCGTTTTAGCCGGGATGGTCTCGATCTCCTGACCTCGTGATCCGCCCGCCTCGGCCTCCCAAAGTGCTGGGATTACAGGCGTGAGCCACCGCGCCCGGCCCACAATTTCTTTTAATAGCACCTTTGCCACTTCATGTGCGATTTCAGTTTTGGTGGCAAAGGCTTTAGGCATTAATGGTGTCCTGAGGCGCTGAGCTTAACTCTGAAATCAGTTTGGCAATCTTCCCCTGGGCATCTGCCTTGGTATTGGACCAGCTGAGTGACCTATTTTTGGCCCTCCCATGCAGGGTGGGTATTAAGGTTATTAACATAGCAAGTGGGGCAAGTCTCAACCACCTCTTTGATTAGCTCCCTGAGAGCTCCCTGAAGTTGTAGCTCCATGAAGATCCCAGTCATACTTTTGCAAACCCAGTTATAAAGGACTTCCTGGCCAGAGTGTTAGAATGGGCTTTTTTAAAAAAATGGCCTGCAATGTAACTGCTTTTGGGAAAAGAAGTTTATGAGGGTTTATTAGCCATCCTGGATGGTCAGGACTTTTGATATAACTACATTTGGAGGCTTTTATTCCATTTTTTGAGAGAAAACTGGGATAAAAGGAGTAGGACCCTGGAAGGAAGGCAAAAGTGGCATTTGGAAATGACCCTTTGTCTGTTTTGACATAAGGTCAGCTTTATTTCTTTTAATTATCTCAGCCCCTCCCTTTTGGTGGCCATGGCAGTGAACTGCTTCCACCTGGGCTGGTTTTCTTACAGCCTCTAATAACCTTAAAATAACACCATTTTTTTACCTGTTTATTAACAAAGGTTAACATGCCCCTTTCTTCCAAATAGCCCTATGTGCATGTAAGATGGAATAGGTGTACCTGGAACTATTGTATTCATTGAGGACCTTCCCTTCCTCCAACTCTAATGCATGGGCTAGAGCAACAAGCTCTGCCTTTGGTGAAGCGCATCCCAGTGGAAGAGCACCAGCTTTTACACCTGTGAGAGAGACTATAGGATAACCTGCCCTCCTCTGTTCCTCTTGCATATAGCTACTCCCATTGGTGAACCATTAGGCTTCCCCATTTTTAATAGGTTTACTTTTAAGGTCTGGCCCACTGGAGTATACTTCCTTTGTCACCCCTAAGTGGTTGTGAGATAAGTGACCATCTTCAGATGGAAGGAGGGTGGCCAGATTCAAGCTGTTAAACATCTTCAACATTATGTGGGAATTACCAATAAGCATTACCTGTAACTGGAGAGCCCTGTGTAGCGACAGCCATTCCACCCAGATTTCTTTTATGACAGTCTGAGTCTGATGGGAAGCCCAAATGGTTAGCGGGTGCACAAAGGTTAACTTTCTGTTTCTTTTAAAAAGAGTTTCACAGCTGCAACAGATCAAAGGCAAGGTGGCTAGCCTTTAGCAACTGAGTCCAGCTGCTTGGAAAAGTAGACCACTACCTGGCTCAGTGGGCCCAACCCTTGAGTTAGTACTCCTAGGGCAATTCCTCGTCTTTCATGAACATAAAGATAGAAAAGTTTGCTTATGTTGGGTAGGGATACTGCTGGGGCCTCATGAGCTGGGTTTTAGGGTTTTGGAATGCTTGGTCACATGCTGCCATCCATTCAAAACTGTCAGATCCCCCAGGTCCCTTGTTAAGGTTTCTCCAAATATCGTGCAGGAGGTTTTTTAACCCCTGAGTTAACACAGTTCATGTTAGCTCCTGTTTCCTGCCTGTCTGGGGATCCTGATATTTGAAAGCAAAGGGGGACTGAGAGTCTGTATCCAGTGGAAGGCAGAAAAAGGCATCTAAAAGGCATCTTTTAGACCCAGGACTGAGTACTACATCCAACTCAGGGACAGAGTAACATGGTAGAATATAAGAATTAGTTACCACTGGGTGCATGTTTTCTGTTACCTCATTAATTGCCTTAAAATCTTGTACAAATTGATATTTTCCATTTAGTTTCTTAACAGAGATGATAGGGATATTGCATGGGGCTTGGCAGGCCCTCAAGAATCCCTGTTTTCTCAACTCATTAATTACTAGGACTATCCCTTTTAGTGCCTCTTGGTTGAGCTAGTTTATATTTTAGAGGCTCAATAAAGGTGCTGTCTTTTGTCTTCCTTCACACTCCTATAATCCTGCAATTTTGGTGGGTAAGTCTGCCCCAGGGGGTGTTCAAAACCTTGTAGGTGGTTCCTATGTCAACCAAGAAATCAACAGTCTTGCACCCTACATCCAGTAAAAGTTGTAGCTCCTTGGGGGATACCTGGAGGGCCAACTGAGGAGTCCCCAGGCCCTGTCAATCTTTTTTCCTACTTGGACCATCTTTCTGTGTGAAGCACCTTGGTGGCACAAGCCCTCTGTCCCTTCCCTTCAGATGTGGAGGGGACAGGCCTTTTCCCAGTGACCCTCTCTGAAGAAGCGGCACATTGAAGAAGGCACATTGAAGAAGACACATTGGTGTGGTCCTAGTCTCCTAGGTCTTCAGGATCCTTTCTCCTGGTTAGGGGACTGAGGGACACTCACTGGAGCTGAGGTTCTCTATTGATAGGTATCCTGTGAGTTATCCAGCTGGCACTGGAGAACAATAGCCCATTGGTAGGCTTGCCATGTGGCCTCTCTGTCTTTTTTATGTTCCTCCTCCCTATCCCAGTTGTTGAATACCTTATTGGCCAGGTCTACTAGTCTTGAGATGAGAGTGTCTAGCTCTAAATTTACTTTTAAGAGTTTATGTCTAATGTCTGATGTGCTCTGAGACATAAAATAGGATTGTTTGTCTTGTACTTATGGGCTCAGTCCCACTTCCTCCCAAGTCTGTTAGAGAACAGTTTTTTGTTGTTGTTTGTTTTTTGTTTTGTTTTGTTTTCCTGCTCCAGTGAGGAGAATGTACCAAAGGGACTGAACATCTTCCCAGTTAGGATGATGAATCTTATAATACTTCAAATGAGGTTTTGAAACCCCTAGGGATCTTTCCTTAGTCCTTTAGAATGAGACTTTCAGTTATAAAGATCTAAAGTTGTGAAGAGAACATACATATAGAGTACCCACCTCTTTTTTTCCATTGGAGACATGCCAGGACATCATAGAGGAAGACTGGCAAGATGCCCCACTCTGGGTTACTGTCTGGGTTGACTCCCTGAGAGGAGTCCAAGGGCGATTGGTAGGCAGGGAAAGTGTTGCCTGCAGAGGCCACTGGGAATAAGGGAACTGTATGTCAAATATTCTTAACAGAGTTAAAAATAAAAATGTCTTGTAATTTCATTGACAGTAAAATAATACCTTAAGAAAATATTATTTTAACATAGGGGGCCAATCTTAAACTATTATAAATTAATTATTTTTTTCAGAGGGGGTCTCACTCTGTCACCCAGACTGGAATTCAGTGTTGCAATCTCAGCTCACTGCAACCTCCACCTCCTGGGCTCAAGCAATTCTCCCTCCCTAGCCCCTTGAATAGCTGGGATTACAGGCATGTGCCACTATGCCTGGCTAATTTTTGTTTCTTGTAGCGATGGGGTTTCAGCTTGCTTCCCAGGTTGATCTCAAACTTCTGGGCTCAAGCAATCTACCCTTGGCCCCCAAAGTGCTGAGATTACAGGTGTGATATACAGTGGCCAGCCAGTAATTCCTTTTTAATTATAGCCAACTTAATTCCATGTACAATTTATCTTTTAAATGTTCTTTCACAAACTTTATCATGACATACACAGGCCATCTACACGTGTGGACCTTTTGATTTGTCCTATACTATCTCTTTTAGAATAACCAGTCATTGTCCAGGCGTGGTGCACACCTGTAATCCCAGCATTTTGGGAGGCCGAGGTGGGTGGATCATGAGGTCAGGAGATTGAGACCATCCTGGCCAACATGGTGAAACCCCATCTCTAGTAAAATACAAAAATTAGCCAGGCATGGTGGTGTGCACCTGTACTCCCAGCTACTCAGAAGGCTGAGGCAGGGGAATTGCTTGAACCCAGGAGCTGGAGTGAGCCAAGATGGCGCCACTGCACTCCAGCCTGGTGACAGAGTGAGACTCCATCTCAAAATAAATAAATAAATAAATAAATAAATAAATAAATAAATAAATAAAAGAAAAGAAAAAAGAAAAAAAAAACAATCATTTTGTTTTGGACAAATATTTACCATATAAGATCCGTTTGCATACAAAATTATTTTTATAACATTTCTTATGCAAAAATACATCTTTATGTCTATAACACTTTTACGTCTTTCCTACTTAGTTTTTAAAATATTGTTTTATAAATGAGTTTTAATCTCCAAATTACATAAAATTATTATTTTTTCTCAATAAGACACAACTTACAGAACTATAGATTCATTAGAATTCTTATTCTCAATAACCTTAAATTTTAGTGAAAGCCTAGGAAAAAAGAAATCATGAACTGTTTTTCAGATGTCGGCATTTTATAGATGAAACCACTTCGTAATTTTTAGAAACATGTTTTTTCATGTTATAACCCCTTTTTAATTGGAAATAACCCAGACATTTAATAAGCATTTATTATTCAATTTAAAATAATTTTAAGATTTTGAATTACACAAAGTTTTTCTACAAGCATGTATCCTATTTATGTGTATTTAATTCTTTCAATTTTTAATAGTTTATCTAGAGTACTTCTGAAAACTTGGATATTAGACAAAGCTAGTCATTATTTCCAGTCATTATTTTTTATTGGCCATTTTTTTAGCCTGTGAATATCAGGTATTCACCTAAGTAAGAACCTTAAACACATGGGTTAAATACATGGGTATTTTTACCACTGATTCACAAGTTTTAGCAGTTTTTGTGGAATGAGTTAATATTAATTTTTTTTTTTTTTGTCAAAAAACACAAAGCTTATTTTTGGCTATGTTCATAGCCTTATGTCATTTATGCCAAACCTTGACATCTTAAAATATCAAGCAGATATAAATATAAAATAATTATTAAACCAAGATAAAAATGTATGCCAACAATTTTGAAGGCTTTTTAAAATTTTTGTTTTATCAATAATTTAAAAACCATTTTTATTTATCAAAGCTTACTGTATTAATCCATTCTCATGCTAGTATAAAGAACTGCCTGACACTGGGTAATTTATAAAGAAAAGAGGTTTAATTGATTCACAGTTCTGCAAGGCTTGTGAGGCCTCAGGAAACTTACAATTATGGTGGAAAGGGAAGCAAACACATCCTTCTTCACATGGTGGCAGGAAGAAGTATGAGAGCTGAATGAAGGGGGAAACCTCTTATAAAACCATTAGATCTTGTGAGAGCTTACTCGCTATCATGAGAATAGTATGGGGGAACTGCCCCATCATTCAATTACCTCCCACTGGGTCCCTCTCACAGCACATGGGGATTGTCAGAACTACAATTCAAGATGATATTTGGGTAGGGACACAGCCAAAACATATCATTCCACCCCTGGCCCCTCCCAAATCTCATGTAATCACATTTCAAAACACAATCATACCCTTCCAACAGTTCCCCAAATGCTTAACTCATTCCAGCACTAACTCAAAAGTCTAAGTGCAGTCTCATCTGAGACAAGGCAAGTCCCTTCTGCCCATGAACCTGTAAAATCAAAAGCAAGTTAGTTACTCCCTAGACACAATGGGGGTACAAGCATTGGGTAAATAAACTCATTCCAAATGGGAGTAATTGGCCAAAAAAAGGGGGCTACAGGCCCCATGCAAGTCTGAAATCCAATAGGGCAGTCATTAAACCTTAAAGTCCCAAAATAGATCTCCTTTGGCTCCATGTCTCATGTGCAGGGCATGCTGTTGCAAGAGGTGGCCTCCCATGGCCTTGGGCAGCTCCACACCTGTGGCTTTGCTGGTTATAGTCTCCATCCAGCCTGCTTTCATGGGCTGGTATTGAGTGTCTGTGGCTTTTTCAGGCACACAGTGCAAGCTGTTGATGGATCTATTATTCTGGGGTCTGGAGGACAGTGGCTGTCCTCTCACAGCTCCATCAGGCAGTGCCCCAGTGGCAACCCTGTGGGAGCTCTGACCCCACATTCCTCTTCTGCACTGCTCTAGCAGAGGTTCTCCATGAGGGCTCTGCCCCTGCAGCAAACTTCTTCCTGGACATCCATGTGTTTCCCTATATCCTCTGAAATCTAGACAAAGGTTCCCAAACCTCAGTTCTTCAATCCATGCACCCACAGGCCCAACACCATGTGTAAGCTACCCAGGCTTGGGGCTTGCACCCTCTGAAGCAACATTCTGAGCTTTACATTGGCTCCTGTTAGCCATGGCTAGAGCTGAAGCAGCTGGGATGCAGGGCACCACATCCCAAGGCTGCACAGAGCAGGGGGAAAGACTGCCTACAAGACCGTTTTTCCCTCCTAGGCCTCCAGACCTGTAATGAGATGGGCTGCTGTGAAGGTCTCTGACATGCCCTGGAGACATTTTCCCAAATGTATTGTTACTTATGCAAATGTATGCAGCCAGCTTGCATTTCTCCCCAGAAAATAGGGTTTTGTGTTCTGTCACATCATCAGGCTGCACATTTTCTAAACTTTTGTGCTTTGCTTCTTCTTGAATGCTTTGCCACTTAGACATTTCTTCTGCCAGATACCTTAAATCATCTCTCTCAAGTTCAAAGTTCCACAGATCTCTATGGCAGGGCCAAAAAGCCATCAGTCTCTTTGCATAGCAAGAGTAACTTTTGCTCCAATCCCCAAAATGTTCCTAATTTCCATCTGAGACCACCTCAGCCTGGACTTCATTGTCCATATCACTATCAGCATTTTGGTCCAACCCATTCAACAAGCCTGTAGGAAGTTCCAAACTTTCCCATATTTTCCTGTCTTCTTCTGAGTCCTCCAAACTGTTCCAATCTCTGCCTGTTAGCCAGTTCCAAAGTCATTTCCACATCTTCAGGTATGCTTATAGCAGCACCCCACTCTACTGGTACCAATTTACTGTATTAGTCCATTCTCATGCTGCTATAAAGAACTGCCTGAGACTGGGTAATTTATAAAGGAAAGAGATGTAACTGACTCACAGTCCACAGGGCTGGGGAGGCCTCAGGAAACTTACAATCATAGTGGAAGGGGAAGCAAACACATCTTTCTTCACATGGTGACAGGAAGGAGAAGTATAAGAGCTGAGTGAAGGAGGAAGCCCCTTATAAAATCATCAGATCTTATGATAACTTATTATCATGAGAATATCATGAAGGAAACCACCCCAATGATTAAATTACCTCTCACCTAGTCCCTCCAAGGACACATGGGGATTATGGGAGCTACAATTCAAGATGAGATTTGGGTGGGGACACAGCCAAATCTTATCAATTACTAAGTCCACATGAATTTGAAGAGTATTTGAATTTAATTTATGATTATAAGCCATTTGGTAGCATGCTAGACATAACATATAACCTTATATATATATATAACCATATATATATAAAAAACCATATATAACCATATATATAACCATATATTATATATAACCATATATATATAACCATATATTATATATAACCATATATAACCATATATTATATATAACCATATATATATAACCATATATTATATATAACCATATATATATATAACCATATGTACACACACACACACACACACACACACACACACACACAAAGATCCAATAGCTGTTACCTTGGACTTTTGGCCATGAGATAATAACACAAACTCACCATTTTATAAAAGATAGCTGGGTCCAAATTATTTTTCTGACAAAATTGGAACCTGTTCCAGTGGCCAAACTGTTTTTCCCAATAGATAATCCAAGGAAGGCTGTGGACCAAAAGTTAGATAAAGAGGTCTTTATGATAATTCATTTTTTTGAAAAGGCTCTTTTACCTTTTATTCATCAATTTCAAATGAGTTTTTAATGTTTCCATTTCAGTTAGATCATAAAGAATAAGTCTTAGGACGAGCAACTTAATAACAGCAGATTCAAAGCAGGCAGAGAAGGAAAGAGGAAGACAGAGAAGTTTAGAAGACTCTAGTTAATTCTGTAGTTGCAGGTTAATCATTTTAGCTCTAAATTTTTCTTACTATGCAGAAAACCAATACTGGCCATTGCACCCAGGGATCCCTGGTGTCTTCTTGAAGGCCAGCTGAGTGTCCTTGGCTCCCTGTCTCAGGCAGTCTCCCCTAGGTGTCTTAACCTCATAATGCAGATTTCCTCCAATCCCCCAAAAATGATCCCTTAACTTTCCAGACTGTATGTCATCCTCCTGTTAGGGGAGAAGCCAAGGCCACTTTGTCTGTGGGGCTTCAGCAAGGAGGAGAAGAAGGAGGAGGGGGAGGAAGTATTTCTGGGAAGAGGGTAAATTTAAGCTCCTCTGGTGCAAGAAAGTTGGCATGAAAGAGGTTTTCACAGACATAAGAGTAAAATCACTAAGAGGAGTAAATAGAAACAGAGAAGAATACACATTCATACACAAAAGACGTACTGGCAGGTCATTTCTTGATCTTGCAGTCTAGAGTGTCAGCCCTTAGGTTCCTCTCTCACCTTTGCAGAGACTCTTAAGGGAGTCTCTACTCAGAATAAAACACTGGTCCCTCCTTCACCCTCTCAAGGACTCCAGCAGGGACCTCTACTGAGTACAGGACCACGACCTTGTGCCAGGCATCCCTGTGCACAACCCTGATTTGGGGTGAGTGTCCTCATCATACTTAGCTCTGAGCTTTCTTTCCAGTACAGCTATATAACCCTTTGCGTGCCTGCTTATGACCTCACAACAATGATATATTACCTTTTCCAAAGCTGATCCCTGGCACTCAGAGTCAGGACTAATGCATGTCCTTTGCTGGCAGATGCGGTTGTAAACCCTTACATGCCAGTTACTGGGTCTATGAGCATGTAAAAAAGCTTCCCAAATAAGGAAGTGGACTATCTAGTTCAGATGCTGGGTCACCAGTTTGATTACAGAGAAAGCTAATCCTTCAACAGATGGGGTCCTTCCTTGTTTGGTTTCATTAAGCTAATACATAAAACCAAAAGTGAGTGTCAAGCAGTGCAGAACACAGAACTGATAAGAAGGAGCAAGGCTCACAAATCAACTTTTCCACTAGTGAGGGATAAGGGGAGCAAAAATGAAGAGGTTGAACATTAAAATCAAAAGGAGGAATGTTTATGTCTTTTCTGGAAATGGGAAATGAACTTCCCTGAACTTGAGCGCTGCCTTCCTTTTTATCCTTTTATGGTGCCTTCCAGCTGTTATCATGAGGACTGTGAACTATCATGGTGCTGGTGAGAGGGTCATTTAGCATGAAAATGACATTATAATAAAGCTTGAGGTCTTTTTGAAGTTGTTCAGTCCAGTTGACCATCTTGGTTCTAACTAGTCTCAGCTGGCCCAGTTACAAAGGGAACTTTTTATCCAGGCATCCTGTTTCTTAAAGATAAGCAGAGTTAGAGAAGGGTTGAAATTCAGCTATGTCATGTAGGCATTATGTTGGGGAACAGTCACACTTTTGTAAAATCCCCGCTTGAATGTGCACTATACTCAGTTGCTTCTAATAAACAGAATAAAGCAAAAGTAATAGAACATCGTTTTATGATTAGGTTGCAAAAATTCGTGACTTATCTTGCTAGCATTCTCTTTCTTGCCATCTTGTTTACTTGCTCTGATGAATCAAGCTGCCATGTATTGAGATGCTCTATGGAGAGGCCTACAGTGTGTGGAAACAACATAAGTTTCAGTCCACCCACCTTTGAGAATCAACCACCCTTGAGAATTGCTGCCAACAACCAGCAATGTGATGGCAGAAGTATTTGTAGTATGTTAGAAAACAGGTCCTTGCCAGTCATGGTAAAAGACCCAGAGCTGGAGAACCTAGGGGATCACAGAACTGGTGAGATAGTAAATAGTAATGAATTTAGCAACTAAGTTTGGTTATACTTTTTATGCAGCAACGGATAGCCAATGCAGGCTCCTGTTGCTACACTTCAAAATCCATCACTTCTTTTTTTTGCCATGGAAATACAATGCACTATTCCTAGCTGATGACTGATTGTTGCAGGTATACTAAGGCAGGCATGCTTCTGGGAAAAATAGGATCCCCTACAGCCAACTTTGAGGATTCCCGGTGGCTTCTTCAAATATTCCATGAACTGCATAGGATGCTTCAAGCTTTCCTCCCTCTCTCATTTACTCTGGGGCAGACTTACACTCAAGACAGGCAGTGTGCCCTGACTACTGCTTCCTCCCAATTTCCTTTCTCACAAGCATTTCCCCTAAAAATATCCTTGAACTTGTAATGCTTTCATGATGTCTGGTTCTCAGAAGATGCAGATTAACACAACAATTTACCATTAAAACTATCTTCTTTTAGATTTTTTTCATAGTTTTTTTTTTTTTTAAAAACTAGACTTTATGTTTTTGAGCAGTTTTGGGCTCACAGCAAAATTGGGTGGAAAGTTTAGAAAGCTCCCTTTTATCCCTTCTCCTCATCCCCCATACTGTCTGCATCCCATACCAAACATCCCACATCCAAGTGGTACACTTGTTACAACATCAAACTTACATTGACACATCATTATCACCCAAAGATCATAGTTTACAATAGAGCTCACTCATGATGTACATTCTATGGGTTTGGAAAATGTATAAAGACATGTGTACACAACTATAATATTATTCAATAGTTGCACTGTACTACTTAAAAAAAATCCTTTTTGCTCTACTTATTCCTTGCTTCCTCCCACCTAACTCCTGGTAATCCCTGACCTTTTTATTGTCTTCACAGTTATGACTTTTTAAGAATGTGATATAGTTGACATCATATAGGATTCAGCCTTTTCAGATTGGCTTCTTTCACTTAGTAAAATGCATTACATTTCTCCTTGTCTTTCCATGGCTTGATAGGTTATTTCTTTTTAAACTTTAAAGATTGACATATAGAATATGTATATACTCATGGGGTATGTAATGATGTTTTAATACACATAATATATACAGTAATTAGATCAGGGTAACTGGCATATCTATTATCACAAACATTTACTGTTTCTCATGTTGGGAACATTCCAAATCCTTCTCCTAGCCATTTGAAGCTATATATTATTGTTAACTATAGTCATTCTATATTGGTACAGAACACTAGAACTTATTCCTTCTATCTAGCTGTAATTGTGTATCCTTTGAAAAATCTCTGTCTATCCCCCCTTTCTCCTACATTTCCCAGCCTTTAATATCCTCTGTTTCAATTTTTACTTCTTCTTTGAGATCAACTGTTTTTTAGCTTCCATACATGAGTGAGAACAAGCAACTTTGAACTTTCTGTTACTGTCTTATTTCATTAACGTAATATTCACCAGTTCCACCCATGTTGCTGTGAATGACAAGATTTCATTCTTTTTGTGGAGAATAGTATTACGTCGTGTATACATATCACATTTTCTTTGTTCATTCACCGGGACACCTAGGTTGATTCCATATCTTGGCTATTGTGCATAGTGTAGTGATGAACATGGGCGTGCATATGAGTTCTTCAATACTGATTTCCTTTCCTTTGGATAAATGCCCAGTAGTGAGATTGCTGGATCATATAGTAGTTCTATTTGTAACTTTTGTGGAATTTTCATACTATTATCCATAGCAGCTGTACTAGTTTACATTCCCACCAGCAGTGTAGAAGAGCTCCTTATTTTTATTTATTTATTTTTTTGCATTCTCACCAGCTTTGTTAGGCAGTTTTTGCATTGCAATAAAGAAATACCTGAGGCTCAGTAATTTATAAAGAAAATAAGTTTAGTTGATTTATGGTTTTTCACACTGTACAAACATGGTAGAAACATCTGCTTTGTTTCTGGAAAGGGCCTCAGGAAGCTGACAATCATAGTGGAAGGCAAAGTGGGAGAAGTGGGAACAGGCATGTCACATGGTGAGAATGGGAGCAAGAGAGAGAGGGAGGAGGTGTCACACACTTTTAAACAACCAGATCTTGTGAGAACTCAATCACTATCCTGAGGACACCACAAAGCCATTCATGAAGGATCCACTCCCATGACCAAAACACCTCCCAGCATGTCCCATCTCCAACATTGGGGATTACATTTCAATATGAGATTTGGAGGGGACAAACATTTAAACTATATCATTCCACCCTTGGTTCCTCAAATCTCATGTCCACCTCACATGGCAAAATAAAAAAAAGTCTTAACTCATTCCAGCATCAAGTCCAAAGTCCTAAGTCTCATCTGAGACTCATCTCCTTCCAACTTTGAGCCTATAAAATCAAAGCAAGTTATTTACTGCCAAGATGCAATGGTAGTATAGGCACTGGGTAAACATTACTATTCCAAAAGAGAGAAATTGGTCGAAAGAAAGAGGCAACAGGCCTCATAAAAGTCTGAAATCCAACAGGGCAGTCACTAAATCTTAAAGCTCTGAAATAATCTCCTTTTACTCCATGTCCCACATCGAGCACACACTGGAAGGGGTCAGTTTTTAAGACCTTGACAGTTCCATTCTTGTGGCTTTGCAAGGTGCAGCTATTCTCATGAGTTGGAGTTGAGTGACTGTGGATTCCAGGTTCAGGGTGCAAGTTGTCAGTGGAGCTACCATTCTGGGGGCTGAAGGGTAGCAGCCATCTTCCCACAGCTCCACTGGACTGTGCCCCAGTGGGGATTCTCTGTGGGGTCTCCAACCCCATATTTTCCTCTGCCATTTTCCTAGTAGAGGTTATCTGTGAGGGCCCTGCCCCTGGGTCAGGCTTCTGCCTGGGCCCACAGGCTTTCTCCTACATCCTCTGAAATGCAGCTAAAAGCCTCCAACCTTCCTTCACGCTTGCATTCTATGCACCCACAGGCTTAACACCATGGTGGAAGCCACCAAGGCTTATGGCTTGTACCCTCCAGAGTGGCAGCCAAAACCATACCTGGGGTCCTTTGAGCCATAATTGTAGCTGGAGCAGCTGTGATGCAGGGAGCAGTGTCCCTAAACTGAGCAGGGAAGCAGCATCCCAGGCCTGCCCCCTGAAACAGTTCTTTCCTCCTGGGCCATTTTCCTGTAATGGGAGGAGCTGCCTCTGTGATCTCTGTAATGCCTTGAAAGTCTTTTTCCCATTGTCTTGGATATTAGCACTTTGCTCTCTTTTAGTCATACTAATCTTTCTAGCAAGTGGTTGTTCTGCAGCCTGCTTGGAATTTTTCTGTGCCACATGGCCAGGCTGCAAACTTTCCAGACTTTTACTCTCTGCTTCCCTTTTAAATATAAATTTCACTTTTAAGTCATTCATTTGCTCCCATATATGATAATAGGTCATTAGAAGCAGCCAAGCTACATCTTGAACACTTTGCTGCTTAGAAATTTCTTCTGCCATATACTCTAAGTCATTACTCTTAAGTTCAAACTTCCACAGATCCCTAGGACACGAACACAATGCAGTCAAGCTCTTTGCTCAGGTGTAACATGGGTAATCTTTACTCCAGTTCCCAATAGCTTCCTCATTTACATCTGAAACCTCATCAGTCTAGCCTTCACTGTCAACGTTTCTATCAGTATTTTGGTCACAACCATTTGACCAGTATCTTAGAAGTTCCAAACCTTCTCTCACCTTCCTGTCTTCTTCTGAGCTCTCTAAACTCCTCCAATCTCTGCCTATTACTGAGTTTCAAAGTCATTTGCACACTTTCAAGTATCTTTATAGCAATGCCCAATTCCTTGGTACCAATTTTATTTATTAAGCCATTTTTGCATTGCTATAAAGAAATACCTGAGACTGGGTAATTTGTAAATAAAAAGGCTTAATTGGCTCACAGTTCTGCAGGCTATAGAAGCATGGCAGCAACATTTGCTTGGCTTCTATTGAGGGCCTCAGGAAGGTAACAATCATGGAGGAAAGTGAAGTGGGAGCAGGCAAGCAGGCATGTCACATGGCAAGAGTGGGAGCGAAAGAGAGAGGGAGGAAGGGCCACACTTAAACAACCATTTCTTGTGAGAACTCACTCACTATCCTGAGGACAGCACCAATTTATTCATGAGAGATCCATCCCCATGACCGAAACAGCTCCCATCATGCCCCACCTTAAACATTGGGGATTACGGCTCAGCATGAGATTTAGGGGACAAATATCCAACCTATATCAACAGCATTTGTTATTTTTTGTCTTTTGATAATATCCATCCTAATTGGCTGATATGATACCTCATTGTTGTTTGCATTTCCCTAATGATTAGTGATATCAAGCATTTTTGAGAAATATCTGTTAAGGTTATTTGCCCAAGGTTTTTTGTTTTTTGTTTTTTGTGTTTTTTTTTTTTCTGTTGAGATGTTTGAAATCCTTGTATATTCTGGATATTAATCTGCAGTTTGATTAATAGATTGCAAATATTTTCTCCCATTGTGTACATTGTACTTGCACACTGTTGCTTGTTTGCTGTGCAGAAGCTTTTTAGTTTGATATTATCCCATTTGTTTATTTATGCTTTTGTTGCTTGTAATTTTGAGGTCTTATTCATAAAACTTTTCCCAGGACAATGTGTTGAACCATTTCCTCTGAGTGTGTGTGTGTGTGTGTGTGTGTGTGTGTGTTTATACTAGTTTTAAAGTTTTGGTTCTTACATTTAGGTCTTTCATCCATGTTGACTTGATTTGTGTATAGGGTAAGAGATGAGGTCTATTTTTATTATTCCATATATGAATATCAGGTTTTTCAGAACCATTTATTGAAGAGACTGTCATTTCCCCAAAGTGTATTCTTTCTGTCTTTGTCAAAAATCAGTTGGTTGTAGATATGTAGATTAATATCTGGGTTTTCTATGTTGTTTAGTTGGTCTATGTATCCATTTTTATTGTCAGCACCATGCTGTTTTGGATATAACAGCTTTGTAGTCAGGTAGTGTGGTACCTCCAGCTTTGTTGTTTTGCTCAAAATTGCTTTAGCTCTTTGGGGTTTTTGTGGTTCCATAAAATTTTTAACTTTTTAAAAATTTCTATGAATACTGTCATTGGTATTCTGATACGAATTGCATTTAAATTGTAGGTTGCTTTGGGTAGTATGGTCATTTTGACAATATTCTTTCAATCCGTGAGCTAGGATATCTCCATTTTTGTATCTTCTTCAATTTCTTTCATTAGTGTTTTGCAGTTTTTCTTGTAGAGGTCTTTGACCTCCTTGGTTACATATGTTTCTAGTTTTTTTTGTAGCTATTTTAAATGAGATTGCCTTTTTAATTTATTTTTTGGTTATATCTTTATTAGTATATAGAAACACTGCTGATTTTTGTATGTTGATGTTGAATCCTGCAACTTTACTGAATTCATTTATCAGTTCTAAGCATTTTTTGGTAGAGTCTTCAGGTTTTTCTGTATACAAGATTATGTCATCTACAAAGACGGACAATTAGACTTCCTACTTTCCAAAATAGATGCTGCCCTGTATTTCTTTCTCTTGGCTAATTGTTCTGGCTAGGACTTCCAGTATTAGGTTGAATGAGAGTGCTGAGACTGGACGTCCTTGTCTTGTTCTAGATCTTATAGAAAAAACTTTCAGCTTTTCCCTCTTCAGTATGATATTGGCTATGGTTTTGTCATATATGGCCCCTGTATTATGTTGAGGTACTTTTTTCTACACCTAATTTATTAAGAGTATTTTTTATTGTGATGAAATGTTTAATTTTATCACATACTTTACTTGCCTTTACTGAGATGATCATATGGCTTTTGTCCTTTATTGCATTGATGTAATGTATCACATTTATTGATTCATGCATATTGAATCATTCTTGACTTTCTGGGATAAATCCCACCTGATCATGGTGTGTTATCATTTTGATATATTGTTGGAATTAGTTTCCTGGCATTTTGCTGAAGATGTTTCTATCTATGTTCATCAGATATATTGGCTTATAGTGTTTTTTTCTTGTTGTGTCCCTGTCTAGTTTTGGTATCAAGGTTACAGCGGTCTTGTGGAATGAGTTAGGGAGAGTTCCTTTCATTTCAATTTTTTTGGAATAGTTTTAGAAGAATTGAAGTTACTTCTTTTTTTTTTTTTCAGACAGAGTCTCGCTCAGTCGCCCAGGCTGGAGTGCAGTGTGCAATCTCGGCTCACTGCAAGCTCCACCTCCCAGGTTCACGCCATTCTCCTGCCTCAGCCTCCCGAGTAGCTGGGACTACAGGCGCCCGCCACCACGTCTGGCGAATTTTTTTGTATTTTTAGTAGAGACGGGGTTTCACCGTGTTAGCCAGGATGGTCTCCATCTCCTGACTTCATGGTCCACCTGTTTAGGCCTCCCAAAGTGCTGGGATTACAGGCGTGAGCCACTGTGCCTGGCCAGTTGTTTCTTCTTTAAAGGTTCAATAGAATGCAGTGGTAAAGCCATCTGGTACTGGATTTTTTGGGGGGAAGACTTTTTGTAACTGAGTCAATCTTATTACTTGTTATTGCTCTGTTTAGGCTTTCTGTTTCTTCTTGGTTCAATCTTAATAGGTTGTATGTGTCTAGGAATTTATCGATTTCCTCTAGGTTATTTATTTTATTAGCATATAAATTGTTTATAGTAATCTCTAATTATACTTTTATTTTTTGTGGTACCCATTGTGATAACTCGTTTTTCATTTGTGATTTTGTTTTTGGGTCTTCCCTTTTTTTCTTTGTTAATCTACCTAATGATTTGTCCGTTTGTTTATCTTTGAAGAAGCTAACTTTTTGTTCTGTGAATTTCTTGTATTTTTTAGTCTCAATTTTATTACTTCTGCTTTTGATCTTTATTTCTTTCCTTCTACTTATTGTAATTTTGGTTTGTTCTTGCTTTTCTAGGTCCTTGCAGTGCATCAGCAGGTTATTTTAAATCGCTCTAGTTTTTGCTATAGTCATTTACTGCTATAAACTTGCTTCTTAATACTTCTTTTTATGTGTCCCATAGAATTGGCATATTGTGTTTCTATTTTCATTTATTTCAACTAATTCTTTAATTGTATTTTTAATTTTTTTCTTCATTCACTGGTCTTTCAGGAATATATCATTTAATTTTAATGTATTTCTATATATTTATTTATTTGTTTATTATTTGAGATGGAGTCTTGCTCTGTCACCTAGGCTGCAGTGCAGTGACACAATCTTGATTCACTACAACCTCTGCCTCCTGGGTTCAAGCAATTCTCTGGTTTCAGCCTCCCGAGTAGGTGGGATTACAGGTGTACGACACCACTCTCGGCTAATTTTGTATTTTTAGTAGAGGCAGAGTTTCACCATGAGCCAGGCTTGTCTCAAACTCCTGACCTCTGGTGATCCACCTGCCTTGCCTTTCAAAGTGCTAGGATTACAGGTGTGAGCCACCACGCCTGGCCCAAAATATGATTCTTAATTAGACTGATACCTTGTAGGTTTTCAAGTGAACCACTAAAGTTCACTTTCCCCTATTTGAGTATGTGGGATTTTTTATGTGTCTTATCTCAATCTTGATAAATATGCAGGTCTGTTTCATCTAATATTTTGCTTTTTAAATCTTTATTCATAAATAATTATAGACTCATAGGAGTTTAGACATAGAGTCCTGTGTACCCTTCCTCCAGCTTCTTCCAATGGGAGTATCTTGTATTGTATATACTGTACTTGTTGTCAGTATTAAAACCAGGAAATTGAGATAAGCCTAATCATTTCATGATTTTTTACATATTTTCATGTATGTATGTGTGTGTGTGTTTATTATTATATGCCATTTTATCTCGTATAGATTCAGTAACTACCACTACGATCAGAATACAGACTAGTTTCATTCCTTGTGCTACCCTTTTTATTCATATCCACTGTCCTTTCTCTGTCTCCTGACAACCACTATTATTTTCTCTATCTCTAGTCTTGCCATTTTAAGAGTGTTATATAAATGAAACCCTATAACATTTAACTTTTGATTTGGGCTTTTTTTTATTAAGCATAATGCATTTGAGAACAATCTGGGTTGTTGAAGGTATTAAGAGTTCATTCCTTTTTTATCACTGAATGAGATTCCATTGTATGGATATACCAGAGCTTGAAACTATCTGCCCTTTGAGGGACATTTAGTTTGTTTTCAGTTATTTGCTACTTTGAATAAAGTTGCCATGGATATCAATGTAGAAGTTTTTGTGTGAACATAAGTTTTTCATTTCTCTCGGATAAATATCAAAAAGTGTGATTTTTTGGGATGTACGTTGACTGTAAGTTTAATTTTATAAAAAACTGCCAAACTGGTCTTCCAGAACGGCTTGTACCATTTTATATGAATGCCAGCAATGTATGAGAGATCCAGTTTCTCTACAAGAGAACACTATTTTTTTAAAAAAATTTCAGCCTGGACTAGTAAGTTTGTAGTGATATCTCACTATGATTTGAATTTGCATTTCCCTAATGGCAAATTGTGATGTACATCTTTTCATGTGCTTGTTATTGAATTCTCTTTTTCATACAGTGTCTGTTCAAATGTTTTGCCATTTTCCCATTGTAATGTTTGTTTTCTTATGGTTGTGTGTAGAGAATTCTTTAATTTTGAAAATATAAGATTTTTAATCGGATATGTTATATGTAAATATATTCTATGTTTTAGTAAAGTCTTGTCTTTTTGTCTTTGAGGGTGTTTTACAATGCAGAAGTTCTTAATTTTTCTAAAATTCTACTTATCACTTTTTTCTTTTATTCATCATGTACTTGGTGTCACACACAAGAAATCTTGCCCTAATCCTGTCACAAAGAAATTTGTTTTCTAAAAATATTATAGGTTTACAATTTATATTTAGATATATAAGCCATTTTTAGTTAGATTGTATATAAAATGTGAGATTTAGCTTGAGCTTCCCTTTTTTTGCCAATGAATATGTAATTATTCCATCACCATATGTTAAATTACTTTCATTAAATTGATTTTGTAAGTTTGTCAAGAATCAGACATGCTTGTGTAGCTCTATTTCTGGGTCGTCTATGACCATTCTATTTATCTATTTGGCTATCCCTCTGCCAATATCACACTTTCTTGATTGCAGAGTTTGCATAGTAATTCCTAACAACAGGTAGAGTGATTCTTCCCTTTTATTCTTCTAAATTTATTCTGATTTAGCTGATATAACAATGAGGAAATTTAAAATAACAGTGGAGACAAGCATAGTATAAACTGCTTTTCTGGGAAACCCTCAAAAGGCTGAGGAATTAGTGGCATCAACTTCATCAAAAAATTGGAATAAGTGAACCACTAAAATAATAACTCCCAAATTGCATGACAGTGGGCAATTGTCCATCACTCAGGCAAAAGTCCATAGTGTATTCTCTGGACTGGAGGCAATAGATAACACTGAGAGAAGAAGAACTAATTTCAAAAGAAGAAAACTTAATCAAACTTACACATTTTGAATGTTGAGGCTATCTAACTCTCATTGCCTAACTGGCTTCTAGGACTCTGACAGGTAAGTCTATACTCTGCAGACATGGAAATGTAAAGAATGTTGTTCTTGCCTATTTGTTTGTTCCTTTAATTTTCATTTCTATAGTGAGATTGTAGATTTCGGTTTCATTTGACTATGCTGCTGGAATCAGGGTTGGTGCATAAGAATCTGGGCCAATTCAATAAGCACACCATATATTTATTGGTGATTGTTCATATTCTCTGTGCCTTTTTCTATTGAACAATTTTTCTATTACATATTGACTTGTAGGAGTTTATTACATATAAACGTTTTACTCTTATGTGGGTTTCAAATAAATCTCCTAGTCTACTATTTTGTTTAAGGTGTCTTTAAAAAGTTGTAATTATCTATATTATTTGCTGATAGTTTATGAAAATGGTAATTTTATCATTTTCTCACTGTGATTTTTTTGCTCCATTAAACAACCATAACAGTATCTGAAGATAATATTTTATTTGGAAAGTGGTTTCTACCTGCTAGATTAGATAAAGGATTGTGTGGTTCACAGATTAGCATTGGTCCTCTTGGGAGGGTCATATAGGAACAAATAACTCTTTGACTATTACTTCTTTTTAAAAAGCCCTGTGTTTTCCTAAGCTACAATTTCCTTTATTTTACCTCTAAGCCTGTGAAAGCAATAACTGCTTGGTCTTTTCACTTCTGCCTCCTCTTCTCTTCTTTTTTCATCTTTTTTTTCCTTACCTTTCCATCCCTGTATTACCCAGCTTCTGAATTAAAAGTGTATAAATCTCTTACCTGAAATCAGATTCAAAGACAGTTTATTTGAAAGCATTTATAATTGATTTTTCTCTCAATTATGTTTTCCCTTGGAAACAATACTATTGATGACTTTTTTCCTCACTATTTACTTAACATCTAAGTAGTATTTTTTTAGAAATTGTCAAGTTACGTTGGGATGGATTTCCATTGATTCATCGGTGTGTTAAAGCTAATTTAAGTATAATTTATTTACTTACTCATTTATATAATTTTTTTGAGATAGGGTCTCACTCTGTCACCCAGGCTGGAGTACAGTGGATCAATCACAGCTCACTACAGCCTCAACCTCCTGGGCTCGATGAATCCTCCCATCTCCGCCTACTAAGTAGATGGGACTACAGGCATGTGCCACCATGCTCGGCTAATTTTCAATTTTTTTTTTTTGTAAAGGCATTGTCTCTCCATGTTGCCCAAGCTGGTCTTGAACTCCTGGACTCAAGCCATCTGCTACCTTGGCCTCCCAAAGTGCTGAGATTACAGGCATGAGCCACCAAGCCTGGCCTAAGTATAATTTAAAATATATTTTTTCTTTTAATGTGAATAAAATAAACTGTGTTTTTATCCCTAGGAGAGAGATATATCAACTTAACAGTCTATTTGATCATTACTCTTCATCAGTGATAAATGTTAATACTAATATTGAGGAGAAGGAAGAGGAAGTGACTGAAGCAATAAGGGAAACAAAGTCATCAAAAAATGAATTACATTCTCTATCAAAAATGGTGAGTTTTTCATATTAGAAATAAAAAATACTGATTTTTGTTTTGAGTTATAAATAGTAAACTTTTTTGTCAATAATTAAATAGCAATTGGCCAATTTTTTTATATTTAGCCAATTTGCCTGTATTAGTTTTCTATTGCTGCATAACAAATTACCACAAATTTAGCAGCTTGAAACAGGACCCATTTATTATCTCAACCTTTTCGTAAGTCAGAAGTCTGGGCACAGCATGGCTCAAGTGGTTGCTCTGCCCCAGGTCTGGCAAGACTAAAATCAGGGTGTCAGTAGCCTGGCACTTCTGTCTGGAGACTCCAGGATAACACTATTTTTAGTATACAGGTATCAAAATATCACACTAGACCCCCTATAAAATGTACAATTATTGTGTGTCAATTAAAACAAAAACTGAAGAAAAACTTCAGACAAAAACTTCTTCGGTTTCTGTTTCAATTGACACATAATAATTGTACATTTTTATAAGGGGTCTAGTGTAATATTTTGATACCTGTATACAATGTGTAATGATCAAATTAGGGTAACATTCAGCATTCTTTGTTTTGGTAACATTCAAAATCGCCCTCTTTCGAGGATTTTGAAAATCCTCGTGGAAAATACAGAATGAATTATTATTAACTAGAGTCACTCTACAGTGCTAAAGAACACTAAAACTTACTTCTCTATTAAGCTATAATTTTTTATCTCTTATCCAACCTCTCTCTATGTCCCTACCCCCTACCCTTCCTAGTCTCTAGTTATCACTGTTCTACTCTCTGCTTCTGTGAGATCAACCTGTTTAGCTTCCATGTATGAATGAGAACATATGGTATTCATTTTTCTGTGCTAGGCTTATTTCACTTGACATAATACCCTCCTGTTCCATCCATGTTGCTGCAAATAACAGGAATTCATTCCTTTTTATTGCTGAATAGTATTCCATTGTGCATCACATTTTCTTATCTACTCATCCATTGATGGAAGCAGGTTGATTTCATATCTTAGGTTTTGTGAATTATGCCACAGTAAACATGAAGGTGTAGATATCTCTTTGACATACTGATTCCTTTTTCTTTGGATATATAACCAGCAGTGGGATTGTTGGATCATATGTAATTCTTTTCTTAGTGGTTTTTTTTTTTTTGAGGAATCTCCATACTGCTGTGATCTCCACTCCACAGTGGCTGTGTTCATTTATAGTCCCAACAACAACGTTTAAGAGTACCTTTTCTCTGCATCTTCAACAGCATTTGTTATTTTTTGTCTTTTTGATAGTACCCATTCTAACTGGGGTGTGCAGTTTTGACATGATTTAATTCTTATGGTTTGAGAACTGAAGCCTTTGTTTCCTTGGCACCTGTCAGCCTGAGATCACACTCAGTTTTCAGAGGCTGCCGCATTCCCTGGCTGTTTGTTCTCTTCATCTCTAAAATCAGCAGTGGTGTGCTCCTGCTTGGAAGCATCTGACCTTTCATTATGACTCATCTTTCCTGAAGATGAAGCTTTCTTTTTCTGCCATATCTCATTCACTGTTGTATAAGAACATAATAGATAAAATAAATAATAGTATAGTAAAAGGAAATAATATATAAATTATTATGCCAATTTGCATTCCTACCTAGAGTTAAAGACATTCTTCTCTACAATAAGGCTTTTTAATTGTACCTCATTATGGTTTGTTATTAGTTATTAATGGAACTGAACATATTTTAATGACTTTTGCAGGGTGATTTGTATTTCCTTTTCTGTGAAAACCTGCTCATGATTTTCCTGCTATATACTGAGTGTCATCTCACTGATTTGTAAGAATTTATATATCATGGATACTAAATATTTTCTAGTTACAAATGTTAAAAATATATTTACCCAACCTTTTTTCATTTCTTTATGGTAACTTCTGATGAAGAGACGTTTCAGTTTAATGTAGTATCAGGTATAAATACATTCCTTTGTGCATTTTCCTTTTGTGAACTTGTTTAAGAAATTTTCCCACCCCTGAGATTATAAAAATATTTTCTGTTATTTCATTCTCAATGTTTCTGAATTCTGCTTTTAATATTTATGTGATAGTTTTAGATGAAACTATGTTTAGAATGTTCAAAATTTAGGGTTGTTTTTCTCGCTCTGCCTTCTATTTACAAATTTGGAAATAAAAAGCTATTTCTACAATTTTTGGAATGCATGTTTCACTTGCCAGATGTGATGCATAATTAATAAGAAATTAATGTATGGGTGTAATGTGAAGTGAGTTTCCAGTTACTTTTTTTATAATATAGAAAACAAGTTGTTACAATACAATTTACTGATGAGTTTTCTTTATATATTTATAATCAGTGCTATCTCTGTCCCATATTAGGCTTTTATGTTTGTGTGGATCTTTTTCCATTCACTTTTTACTTTGATCTATTTGACCATCTTCACCTGAACACTCCATGGCTACGTCACGAAAATTCCATAATGGGTGTTAATTATCTATTATAGTGAATCCTCTGATCTTATATTTTCTTTTGAGTTCTAGGCTTTTCTTGATTCTTGCCCTTCCATATAGGTTTCAGGATTATCTGGTTCATTTATTTAAAATTTTTTGTTAGAATTATGATTGAAACTGTATCCACTTATGGAATAATTGGGGAAGAAATCAAATCTGTATGATAGGGACTTCTAAACATACCCATGATCTATCTCTGTTTATTTGAGTTGTTTTCCCAAATTGAACCTTAATCAATATTCTTGGAACTTTCCAAAAGGCAAACTATGTCTTTGCAAAATCAGACAGTGATGAGATAAATTAACCCTTCCATCTTCATCTAATGTTAAAGTTATTTTTAAAAATTGATTTGTAATGTGATCCTGATATGTTTATAAAATTGGTCTATATGGTAGAAATAGTTTAAAATTTATTATGGTTTAATTCATGTTCTAATATATGGGCAATTTGCATAAATATTTCATTTGACAAAAATGTTTTCTCTGGTTTGGGCATACAATTCTAAGTAGATTGATTTAGCCATCTGTGCTAATTGTGTTATTTAAATCTTTTATATTTCTGGTTTATTTTCTGACACTTCTATCAATTACTGTAAGAGATGAATTAAAATATCTCAGGGAGATAGATTACTTTTTTCATTTTTCCTAAATTTTGCTTTATGAATTTTGAAGCCATAAGTTTAGAATTATTAGAGTTGAGCTTTTTTATTATGCTTTTATTTGCAAGGTTTGAAGTTATGAATTATTAATAAAGTTTGTGGAATGCATATTTCACTTGACAGATGTTAAGCATACTCAATATCTTTAACTTTTTCCTGAACAGTTTAGGGATTTTGTGATCCTCTCCTGACATATATTCAATTTTCCATCATTTTATGCATATCTTATTTACTAATTTTCTTAAGATAATTTATTATTAATTTACACAATAAATGTTTGTTTATATTTATTCCCAGGTTAATATTTTGCACACAACTCTATCTGTTCGTTAGACTTTCCTAAATGAAATTCCTTTTATCTTTTTTTAAAAAAGTTTTGTTGTTGTTTGTTTTTTTTTATTTCTTGGGATGGTAGTCTCACAGTGTCACCAGGGCTGGAGTGCAGTGATGCGATCTTGGCTCACTGCAACCTCTGCCTCATGGGTTCAAGTGATTCTCCAGCCTCAGCCTCCCCAGTAGCTGGGATTACAGGTGTGTGCCACCATGCCTGGCTAATTTTTGTATTTTTAGTAGAGATGGAGTTTCACCATGTTGGCCAGGTGGTCTCAAACTCCTGACCTCAGGTGATCCACCCACCTCAGCCTTCCAAAGCGCTGGGATTACACGCATGAGCCACCCTGCCCAGCCATTTTTTTAAATTATTTTTAAACTCTACCTCTTGCAAATAAGATTCAAGATTTGAGATTTTCAAAAAATTTTTAAATTTTATTTTCATTTTTAAATGTCTTAATTTTGTCTCATTCATGCAGTGTGGAGAATATTAACCTAAATTCATATGAGAATGACTTACACTGCTACATAGGCAAGAGAGAAGGATCCAGAAATAGACAAGGCTGAAAACACTAAACAAAAACAAAAACAAACAAACAAAAAAACCAACCCACTAAACCAAAAACACTGGGCTGAAATACTAGAGGAGGAGGAAATGGCATTGATGAGAAGGAAGAACCTGATCTTAAATAGATAGTAGTATGAGTTTCTCTACATTTGCCCTTGTTTCTGTCTCCAGCCTCTTTCTTGCTCCCACTTTCCCTCTGACTCTATACTCTAACCACCTGAAACAACCTCAGGACAACAGAATGTGCCACATATTTTCATTCTTCCAACTCTTTATAAATACTCTTCCCTCATAATATAATGTCTGTTTGACACTGTTCATTCTCTCAGTCCTATCATTGTGTAGCTGAAATCTTTTATTTTAAATCTCAACTTGGAAGGAAGAAAATCCTTGGTGAAACCATCTCTTAACTTTCTTCCTTATGCTTTGAACTCTAACTACACTCTGCGTTTACCCCTATGCTGGCGCTTATAACACTGTGTTGAAATTAGTGATTAGTTGTCTACTTCTTAAGGTTTTTAAGGGCAGGAGATGCATTGTGACTCTTTCTTTGTCTCTGTGTAATTTATCCAATGCCTTTCCCATGTTAGACAATAAGTGCTTGTTGAGTAAGTGAGTGAATCAAGGAATAAATGGAAGGAAGAAAGGGAAGGAGAGAGAGGGAAGAAAAGGAAGGAAGGAAGGGGAGGGAAGGAGAGAGAGGGAAGAAAAGGAAGGAAGGAAGGGGAGGGGGGGAGAGGAGGGGAGGAGAGCAGAAGGGAGAGGAGGGGACAGGAGGGGAGGAGAGAGGAGGGAAGAGGAGGGGAGAGGAGGGGAGGAGAGAGGAGGGAAGAGGAGGGGAGAGGAAGGGAGAGGAGGGGAGGGAAGGGGAGAGGAGGGGAGCGGAGGGGAGGAGGAGGAGAGGAGGAGGGAGGTAGGGAAGTAAAGGTAAATGGGAAGAGGGGAAATCCTACACCTTGTGAGCCTGTAAAGAACTTGGTGACCTGGAGTGTAGAGAGTAGCCATTCACAGAATCTTCCTTAATTTAAAAGAATGCCTGTAGCTTTCCCAGGGATTACTATAAAAGCCCCAGGGAAGTATAGCATAATCAATAAAAGTTTTAAAAATATTACATACTGTTGACAAATAATTATTACCTTGGTTTAATAATCATGCTGAAATTTGTCTATATCTATAAAAATGTCAGCATGAATAAAATTTTCAAAAAGGGAACAATTATTGAGTAAACCTACAATCAGTTTTTTATATCTTTGATCATCTCTAAAATGAATACGCTGGCCCTCCTCAATTTGATGTTTTAACAAAATGTTATTTATTTATTTATTTATTCATTCATTTATTTTGAGACGGTGTCTCTCTCTGTTGCCCAGGCTGGAATGCAGTGGCATGATCTGGGCTCACTGCAACCTCTGCCGCCTGAGGTAAGTGATTCTCCTGCCACAGCCTCCTGAGTAGCTGGAATTACAGGTGTGAGCCACCATACCCAACTAATTTTTTGTATTTTTGGTAGAGATGGGGTTTCGCCCTGTTGGCCAGACTGGTCTTGAACTCCTGACCTCAGGTGATCCACCCACCTCGACCTCCCAAAGTGCTGGGATTACAGGTGTGAGCCACCACACCTGGCCACAAAATGTTATTTTTGATGAGAAATTGGGTATATATTTATAAGGTTAGTGATATTTTTTAATTATAGAAATCATTTGGAGACTATCATACATTCTAGAAGAGATGAGAAAAATGAAGTTTAGATATATTAATTTTTTCTGTATTTTGCTCATTATAAAACCTTTAAGCTAGATTTTCAAAGAGCACATGTTAAGCATTCAATTAAAAGCAACGATGTGCATTATTGCCATGCATTATTTTTTGGTATGCAATTGAAACTTCCCAGTTCAAGAGAAAAATAGAAGATTTGTGCTGCCTAATTGCACATACAACTTAAAATGATTTTTTTTTTAATTTCAAGGCATTTTGTGCTTTCAATTGAGTCTTTACCTCATTAACATACACTTTTCTCTAATTTGTGTCATGGATCTATGAAAACACATTGTTTCCTTTTCATTTCTAAAAACAATGGCCTTTGTTAGCCAGAAAACCTCTTGAAATTGGCTCAGTGCATTAAAGTAATGTTGAGATCAAATACTTTTTAAATGTAAAACAAAGAATTTTCTATAAATCCCTTTCCCATGTTTATTGTCTACTCCCAAGGTTCAGAATATTTTTTAAGAAAATAATTTTATGATGTGCAATTTTTAGTTTCTTGTAATATAAAAAAGGCATTTATATCTGATTTTATCAGTTGATAATAAAAAATAACTTTTAGGGATTTAGAAATATTTATGAATTTTATATTTTATTGACAATCACATAGACACACAAAATTATTTTTTAGTAACTTAGTTTTCATATAAATGTTGCATATAAGTGGATTCCTTTGGCATATTAGTTGGTATTTTCATAATTTTTGAATATTGTTTTTCATAGAAATCTAATTTACATTACTAACATATTGGCCTATATATTATACAGTATGAATCTAAACACCACAAAATACCCATTCAAATATGCCTTTTGATTCATACATTTGCCTCGAAAATTTTCAAATTAAGCAAATTCCTTCTCAAAAATAGAGAAAGAATAGTTATTTCTAATACTAACAATTTATCAAATAGGAAGCCAGCCTAGAGAAGCTGAGTGATTTTCTAACAGACAAAAAGCTATTAAGTGGCAGAGCCAAACTACAACCCAAATTTTTGGACCATGAAAACAGTAGTGTTTCATTACACAGTATTCATATATGTGTTTTGTAGATAAAATAGGATAACATTTAGAAAAATACACATTGCTGGCCAGGCGTGGTGGCTCATGCCTGTAATCCCAGCACTTTGGGAGGCTAAGGAAGATGGATCACCAGGTCAGGAGTTCGAGACCAGCCTGGCCAATATAGTGAAACCCCCCATCCCTACTAAAATATACAAAAATTAGCCCAGTGTGGTGGTGCACACCTGTAGTCCCAGCTGCTCAGGAGGCTCAGGCAGGAGAATTGCTTGAAACCGGGAGGCAGAGGTTGCAATGAGCCAAGATTGCACCACTGCACTCCAGCCTGGGTGACAGAGTGAGACTCCATCTCAAAAAAAAAAAAAAAATACACATTGCTAATTTTTTAAATAATAGGATTTCAACACTTTTTATGTGTGTATTTTGTGTGGCATATATATTAAATATTAAATGACATCTGTGAAATTGGCTTTTACTATCTTTTATTTTAAAGAAGTGCTTAATGTTATCTAAATGCTGATTTCAAATATATACTAATGACCATGCTAAAGATTTTAAAAATATACTCTGATTATAAAAGCAGTTTACATAGGAATAGATGTTCATTTATAGAAAATGCTGTGAAGATGATTTTAGTTTCTCATTTGACCTATTGAGGTGATGTATTATATTTATATTTAACCATTTTTAAATTCATTAGATGAACTCTGCTTGGTTATGGTTTATTGTTCTTTTAATTTACTGCTGAGTTTGATTTGCAAGGATTTTATTTAAGATTTTGCATCCATATTCATAAGTGAGTCTGTATTCCGGTGTTCTTAATTTGTGCTATATTTGATAGATGCTCTTATCAGGATTATGCCAGCTTTACAAAATGAATTTTGAAACTTTTCTTCCATTCTTATTACCTAAATAATTAATACATATTTAAATAACTTTCTCTTGAAAATTTGATAGAACACCTTGGTGATTTTTTTCCATTGTTTGAATTATTATTTTCTTTTTCATGGGCCACTGTTTTATTTAATAACATAATTGTCATATCAGGCTATGTATTTCTTCCTGAGGTTAATGTTTAATTTTTTAATGGCCCAGGAAATAATCTAAATGGAGTAAGATTTTCAAATATATTACCATAGCATGACGCGGAATGCTTGCTTCCATTTTTGCTGTTATGTTATTTCTAATTGTATACGTATTTTCACTTTTTAAATTAGATTTTAAAATTTTTAATAATTTATTTAAAAAGAAACGATTTTTAGATTCAATAATTTTAGAATTTTCAAACTTTTAATGTGTTAATATGTACTTTTATGGTTACAATTTCTTTCTTTTTTCTTTAGGCTTATTCTTTCACTTTTTACTTTTCACTTCCCTGTTTTTCATGTTTAATGTGTGTGTGTGTGTGTCTGTGTGTGTGTGTGTGCATTCTTTCTTTCCCCAAGAGCTACAGTACAGTTGCATTTCCTGATATTCTTTGTGGAAAATTCTTTGAAAGTCATTTCTGTCTTCAATTTCTCTCCTTGCGTTCTCACATAAGATTATTCCAGTCGGGATCTGCCCCACAAACTCTGCTTCAATTGCTATTAATGAATCCTGTTTTCTTCCTTACAACCCTCAGAAAATCTGATGGGATTCATTATAGAAACTATGATATAAAGTTATTTTAAGGCATGTTTTGAAAGGCACAAATACTTAATGCTGATTCCTCAAAGTTTAGAATATACTCAAGCGAATAGAAGATATTGAACTATGATAACACCATCCAGATGTAGTCACTGTTCATTTTTTTTGTATATAAACACACAGGCCTTGTAATATATATGAATAATGATATTATCATATGCATACAGTAATTGATGGCATGTTTCTTCTTTCATGACATAAAAACTTATTTCAATATTATATTTTACAATCAATTTTAAAAGCTTTAGAGTTTCTTTTTTAACTTTTAAGTTCAGGGATACGTGTGTAGGTTTGTTACATAGGTAACCTTATGTCATGGGGGTTTGTTGTACAGGTTATTTTGTCACCCAGGTACCCATTAGTTATTTTTCCTGATCCTCTCCCTCCTCCCACTCTCCACCCTCTGATAGGTCCCAATGTGTGTTGTTCCCCTCTGTGTATCCATGTGTTCTCATCATTTAGCTCCCACTTGTAAATGAGAACATGCGGCATTTGGTTTTCTGTTCCTGTGTTAGTTTGCAAAGGCTGATGGCCTCCAGCTCCCACCATGTCCCTGCAAAGTACATAATCTTGTTCTTTTTATGGCTACATGGGATTTCATGGTGTATATGTACCACATTTTCTTTGCCAGGTCTATCATTAATAGGCATTTAGGTTTGATTCCATGTCTTTGCTATTGTGAATAGTGCTGCAATGAACATACGTACACATGTGTATTTTAACAGAATGATTTATAGTCCTTTGGGTATGTACCCAGTAATGGGACTGCCAGATTGAATGGTATTGCTGCCTTTAGGTCTTTGTGGAATCACCACACTGTAATCCACAACGATGAACTAATTTACAGTCCCACCAACAGTGTATAAGCGTTCCTTTTTCTCCACAATCTCACCAGCATCTGTTATTTTTTTGGCTTTTTAGTAATAGCCATTCTTTCTGGTGTGAGATGATATTTCATTGTGGTTTTGTTTGCATTTTTGTAATGATCAGTGATGCTGAGCTTTTTTTTCATATGCTTAGACACATGTAAGCTTTTAAAAAGTGTTTGCTCTTGTCCTTTGCCCACTTTTTAATGGGGTTACTTGGTTTTCTCTTGTAAATTTAAGTTCCTTATAAACGCTAGATATTAGACCTTTGTTAGCTGCATAATTTGCAAAAATTTTCTCCCATTCTGTAGGTTGTCTGTTTACTCTGTTGATACTTTCTCTTGCTGTGCAGAAACTGTTTAATTAGGTTCTATTTGTCAATTTTTAGTTTTGTGGCAATTGCTTTTGGCATCTTGGTCAAAGAAGGCACTCAGTCTTTGAGGTTGGTTACCTTCGGATTTTTTTTCTTTTTTTAATCCTGTTGATGACTTTGGGGGTTTAATTTATACTTAATATAAGGAGGATTCAGCCGACTGACTTCGTTTGTGGGAGATTTGAGGGGGCCAGTGTTCAGCTCCTAACTCCTAGACTGCATGCTCTGACTTGGGAGGACTTGTATTGGGCCCTGACTTTGTTCTTGGCTCCTTGAGGTTTGGCCTGCTCTGGGGGATGCCGAGGTGCAGCAGCTGCAGCAGAGTGCTAGTGGATGCAGGGGTGTCTGCCTCCCTGCTAGCTTTCACCACAGTGGCAGAGGCAATGCAGCTTGTTGGAGGGTGGGAGAAGGAGGCCCCTGCTGGAGACTCTGTGTGTGGTTGCCTTGGAGGTGGTGTTGGCTTGGGGCCAGAGTGCTGGTCTGGGCAGGTCTGGGTGCCTTCTCTGTGCCCTGCAAGCAGGAGTGATCACTCAGGGTGTGGCAGGATCCCCTGTTCTCTGCACAGTATTAACACAAGGGGGAGGCACTAGCGGGGAGCCGGGCTTGCTGGCTCTGGGCCCTCCGAGGTTCTCTGCAATGGCCATCAGCAGGGATGTTGAGGGTCCAGTTGCACTCCCATGTGCTGGCAGGGCAAGTAAAGCAAAAACTCTCCCGTGCAAACATGTGCCAGGTAGTGATGTGGTGAGTTGCCATGAGCCCAGGGAAAGCTGAAGTATGGAGAGAGAGCATGTGGGCTGGTGTGTGGGCACAGGGGCCATCTTACTGGAGCTCTCTATTTCTTAGGTATGGTTTACCAATGCAGAAGCTATGGTGTGGGCCCCACTCGAGACTGCCCTATAAGCAAGTATGGCCAGGCTGGGGACCCAGGAGAGGCCAGCAGACCAAGGAGTGCATAGGTCAGACTAGTCCCATCTGATGTGCAGGACCAGCTTGCAGAGATCAGGACCGACAGTTCCCCTAGGGCTGAAGTCTCTCACAGGAGCAAGTCGAGCCTAGAGGTATGGTGGCCAACCCCTAGCTGTGCTGCACTACAGATGCTCTCGCTCCAAACCCTCTGGGCTCCACATCAGCTGGCTTGCTGCCCTTACCACTTCTCGAGGAGGCTCTCCTTGCCACCTCAAGTGTCCATGGTGGTCAAGGGGTCCCTTCCTGCCGGGTTTCAGAGGCCCGTGGCAAGAGCAAGTTGCTCCTAGCCAGTTTCACTCACCTATTCCTCCGGAACTGTTGTGGTTCAAAAATGAGCCCCCCATATGTGATAGCCCTTGCAGGGTTCCCAGCTTTCTCCCCCTTCAACCCAGCTTCTGTGTCCACTCTTGGTGCCTTCCCTCTGAAGATCTGTTAAAAGCACGCCAGTAGTCTCAGTGCCTCCATGGGAGCTGTTCCACTTATCTGCACCTAGTTGGCCATCTTGCCCTCTCTCTCTTTACAGTTTCTTAAACCCTTGTCATTGGATATTAAGTGTGCTTTAATTTTTAAGTATTATAAACAAAGCTGTAATAAATATCTCTAAAACTTTTTAATTGAACGTAACTGTTCATTTTAAGCAAAATGGTATTGTGATAACAAATAATGAAAGTTGAATTATACAGTAGTACAAGAAGCACAGGTAAGAATGATACACCTTAGCATTCTGCCAAAGCTTAAATAATTTGCCAGTATTTTCACATTTTCCAAAATTCTTAAAACCTTAACTTTACCCTTTTCCCATTCACTTTTAAGAAGACATCTTTATGAATTGAATTTCATATCATTAATTCTGTGGGGTTATGAGACTTGTCACATTGTCTATTGGATCTTGTATGGCAACTGGTTCACAATTTTGTACTATGTTCACCCTTTAATTGTATAATTTAGATGTTGGTATTGGCATTGTTTCCTTGAATATAAAATAAGTTTTGAACATGACTTTAAACATAACCAAAACTACATAATAACTCTTAGTGATTATATTGTTTCAATCTAGAGGTGTCTTTCCTTCAATATAATTTACGATTTAAATTATTTATTTTTTAAGATAAAAATTGTTTTTGTCTTTAATAATTATTATATTGTAAAAGAGATAGATTTTGGAAGTTTTATAATTGATTTCAGTGAAATGGAGAACTAAGAAAACTTACTCTCATTGCAATAAATAGCACATATTTAAAATCACTGTAATTTTGTATACGTTTGATGCTGTATGATTAACTCTTAAATGAATCTATCCATTTTAATTTTATTTATTTTTTGTGTGTGTGTTTCTTTATTATTATTATTATTATACTTTAAGTTTTAAGGTACATGTGCACAATGTGCAGGTTAGTTACATATGTATCCATGTGCCATGCTGGTGTGCTGCACCCATTAACTGGTCATTTAGCATTAGGTATATCTCCTAATGCTATCGCTCCCCCGCGCCCCACCCCACAACAGTCCCCAGAGTGTGATGTTCCCCTTCCTGTGTCCATGTGTTCTCATTGTTCAATTCCCATCTATGAGTGAGAACATGCGGTGTTTAGTTTTTTGTCCTTGCGATAGTTTACTGAGAATGATGATTTCCAATTTCATCCGTGTCCCTACAAAGGACATGAACTCATCATTTTTTATGGCTGCATAGTATTCCATCATGTATATGTGCCACATTTTCTTAATCCAGTCTATCATTGTTGGACATTTGGCTTGGTTCCAAGTCTTTGCTACTGTGAATAGTGCCGCAATAAACATACGTGTGCATGTGTCTTTATAGCAGCATGATTTATAGTCCTTTGGGTATATACCCAGTAATGGGATGGCTGGGTCAAATGGTATTTCTAATTCTAGATTCCTGAGGAATCGCCACACTGACTTCCACAATGGTTGAACTAGTTTACAGTCCCACCAACAGTGTAAAAGTGTTCCTATTTCTCCCCATCCTCTCCAGCACCTGTTGTTTCCTGACTTTTTAATGATTGCCATTCTAACTGGTGTGAGATGGTATCTCATAGTGGTTTTGATTTGCATTTCTCTGATGGCCAGTGATGATGAGCATTTTTTCATGTGTGTTTTGGCTGCATAAATGTCTTCTTTTGAGAAGTGTCTGTTCATATCCTTCACCCACTTTTTGATGGGGTTCTTTGTTTTTCTCTTGTAAATTTGTTTGAGTTCATTGTAGATTCTGGATATTAGCCCTTTGTCAGATGAATAGGTTGCGAAAATTTTCTCCCATTTTGTAGGTTGCCTGTGCACTCTGATGGTAGTTTCTTTTGCTGTGCAGAAGCTCTTGAGTTTAATTAGATCCCATTTGTCAATTTTGGCTTCTGTTGCCATTGCTTTTGGTGTTTTAGACATGAAGTCCTTGCCCATGCCTATGTCCTGAATGGTAATGCCTAGGTTTCCTTCTAGGGTTTTTATGGTTTTAGGTCTAATATTTAAGTCTTTAATCCGTCTTTAATTAATTTTTGTATAAGGTGTAAGGAAGGGATCCAGTTTCAGCTTTCTACATATGGCTAGCCAGTTTTCCCAGTACCATTTATTAAATAGGGAATCCTTTCCCCATTGCTTGTTTTTCTCAGGTTTGTCAAAGACCAGATAGTTGTAGATAAGCGGCGTTATTTCTGAGGGCTCTGTTCTGTTCCATTGATCTATATCTCTGTTTTGGTACCAGTACCATGCTGTTTTGGTTACTGTAGCTTGTAGTATAGTTTGAAGTCAGGTAGCATGATGCCTCCAGCTTTGTTCTTTTGGCTTAGGATTGACTTGGCAATGTGGGCTCTTTTTTGGTTCCATATGAACTTGAAAGTAGTTTTTTCCAATTCTGTGAAGAAAGTCATTGGTAGCTTGATGGGGATGGCATTGAATCTATCAATTACCTTGGGAAGTATGGTCATTTTCACGATATTGATTCTTCCTACCCATGAGCATGGAATGTTCTTCCATTTGTTTGTATCCTCTTTTATTTCATTGAGCAGTGGTTTGTAGTTCTTGAAGAGGTCCTTCACGTCCCTTGTAAGTTGGATTCCTAGGTATTTTATTCTCTTTGAAGCAATTGTGAATGGGAGTTCACTCATGATTTGGCTCTCTGTTTGTCTGTTATTGGTGTATAAGAATGCTTGTGATTTTTGTACATTGATTTTGTATCCTGAGACTTTGCTTAAGTTGCTTATCAGCTTAAGGAGATTTGGGGCTGAGACAGTGGGGTTTTCTAGATATAGAATTATGTCGTCTGCAAACAGGGACAATTTGACTTCCTCTTTTCCTAATTGAATACCCTTTATTTCCTTCTCCTGCCTCATTGCCCTGGCCAGAACTTCCAACACTATGTTGAATAGGAGTGGTGAGTGAGGGCATCCCTGTCTTGTGCCAGTTTTCAAAGGGAATGCTTCCAGTTTTTGCCCATTCAGTATGATATTGGCTGTGGGTTTGTCATAGATAGCTCTTATTATTTTGAGATACATCCCATCAATACCTAATTTATTGAGAGTTTTTAGCATGAACGTTGTTGAATTTTGTCAAAGGCCTTTTCTGCATCTATTGAGATAATCATGTGGTTTTTGTCTTTGGTTCTGTTTATATGCTGGATTACATTTATTGATTTGCGTATATTGAACCAGCCTTGCATCCCTTTAATTTTATATATATTATCGTTCCATATTGTCCAGCAGATTTCTTGTACTTCACAGTCCGCATTTAGAGGTAACTTCTGTGTATTAAATACTGTCAGTATTTGTTGCTAATAGTAATATTCTCTAAAGGATAAATGCTAGAAGGTTGGTAAATTCAGTCATTTTCTAGTTGCTGTGTTTGTTTTGTATATGATAGAATAAAGCCTATATTCCGTATATAAATGCTAAAATTTGATTCCATATATAAATGCTGAAGTTTTATGTTTAGGCATAAAATAAAAATGTTATTCAATCAATTTTAATTGAAGTTACTTTTAGAAGGGTGGCTCTATAGGCTCCTTAAACAAGAGGGCATCAAGGAAATTTAAGGGTGTTACTCCTCAACTATTTCAGTGTAGCCAAAAATAGAGAAGTGATTATCTCTTAAAAAATGATGGATTTGGCTTCTTTCTCATGAAGTAAATATATATATATATATATATATATATATATATATGTATTTGTGTATATATATGTGTATGTATATAGATATATATATATATATATATGTATGTATTTTAGGATCATTGGAAAGTCATGATTTCTTTCTTTAGTTTCAAAGGTCCAAAAAAAAGAAGACATTTCACCCCAGGATATATCGAACCTATATAGTTTCATCTGTACTTGATTTAGATTATGAGATTTTGGACATTAGAGATAATAACATTTAGATGCAAGTTTGGGCTTTGGTTGGAGATTTGTGGGCACCCTCAGAGGAGGTGAATGTATTTTGCATATGGGCAGGATGTGGATCATGGGCCCAGGCAGTGCAGTGTGGTATGCAGAATCTGGATCCTCATAATTTGTGCCTTTCATGTCATGCTTGTAAATATGCAAGGTTACATGGGCAGAAGGATTTTGTAGATGTAATTGTGTTTATAATCAGTGCCGTTAGATTGGGAGATTATCCTGGATTGTAATGGTAATTACATGAGTCTTTGAAAGCATAACTTTCTTTTGGCTGAGAGAAGAACAAGTCAGAGAAATGTAGAGTCAGAGAGTTCCAAAGCATGAGAAGTGCTCAGCCAGTCATTGCTGACTTGAAGATGGAGGGGGCCACATAGAAACTGTGAAAACATAATACATTCTGCCTGGAACTGTAATGAGATTACAACCTTAATGAGATTAGAAATGGTTTATCCCCCAGAGCCACTAAAGGAGAGCCCAGGCCAACTGAAACCTTCATTACAGCTTGTGAGACCCTAAGCAGAGTACTGACCTAGCTCACCAGCATTCTGACTTATAGAAAATGAGATAGTAAATAGGCATTATTTTAAGTCAATAAGATGATACTATTCCAATTGTTCAATGACATTTTGTGTCAGGAGCATTTTTAAAGGGTTTCCTCATATAGAATTTGCAAGATTTTGAAAAGTGTATTCGTAAATTATTGTTTTGTACTTCTAGTTGAGGATTTCTCTTTTATTAATTCTTCTAACTAGTTATATTTGGTTTATGAAGTAAATAATGATAATTCTTACTGCACTAATTTACTAATTTTTAAAATTATTTATGTTACTCATCATTGTTTATCTGGGGTTTTCCAGGAATGCTATTATTTCATCTGCAATTAGAGACACTAATTTTTATTAATTCTTATGCCTTTAATCATTATTTTTTATCTGATTACATTGGTTAATACTTTTAATACAGTGTTAAATAGTAGTGGAAATAAGTGGCATCCTTGCTATGCCCCACTCTTAATGGGATTGCTACTAGTTTTTTTATTCCCTTAAATATGATGCTGGCTTTAAGATTCAATATACATTTTATCATGTTGTAAAGTATTGTCAGTTTCAATGTATTGAGTAGTTTTTTAAATTGGGAATGAGTATTGAATTTTCTCAAGAATCTTTTCTGCCTCTAGGGAGAAGCTCATGTAATATTTCTCTCATTATCTATAATACAGTATATTAAATTAATGGATTTTCTAATTTGAACCTTGAATTGTTGGAATAAATCTTACTTGACCATTATATCGTTCATCCTTTCTTAAACACACCCCAATTTTCTTTTTACCATCACCATTAAGCCTTAGGTCACCAGTGATTTCCATTTTGCTAAATCTAATCATTATTCTTTTGTCCTCATCTTTATTAGCTTACACATGCCACTTAACCAAGTTGATTCTACCCTTAGCCTTGGAAACCTTTTTCTTTTGGCTTCCAGAACACATTCTTCATGGTTTTTGCTATTTTTCTGGATTCTTGTTCTCAGTTCCCTCTACTGGTTTCTTTATATCTCCTCAAACTCCAAACATTTGAGAACCTCAGTGCTTAGTCTTTTGTAACAAATCTTATATATCCAACTGCCAACTCTGAATCCAACTGCCAACTCTGAATCTCCACTTAGATATCTAGTAAGTATCTCAAGTTTAACTGTCCTAAAATTGTACTTCAGATGTGGAACCACTCTATAACCTGCATTCTCCCCTATTTCAGTTTATGGCAATTCAAACCTTCCAGCTTTTCAGGCCACAACATTTGAAATATGCACTGAAATGCATTCATTTATTAAAATGAAACATTCATTTATTTTGTGAATTTCTAGGCCAAAGAATGCACATGTTCAGCTTTAGTAGACAATGCAAAAAAGTTTTCCCAAAGAGTTATGTATTTTTCCATGCCTAACATCATGTCTGAGAAGTCCAACTTCAGATTCACAGTCCCATCTAATATTGTCATTTATTTATTTATTTATTTATTTATTTACTCACTTACTTTAGAAACAGGGTCTTGCTCTATTGCCCAGTTTACATTTAGTAATCTTGCTCTTTTACTTAAAAATATATTGTGGATATATATCAAGGTTATTAGATATGAATCTAATGCACTCTTTTAAACAGTAAACAAATATTACATACTAGGAACATGTCATAATATCAATCAGGGCACAGTGCAGGAAACAGAAATCCCTCTGTTTTAGGTAGAAAAAAATTTAGAAACCAATGAATTTGCAAAGCTGGCAGAAAAAACTCTGGGTTGGACATGCAAAAATGTTTCCCAGATTGACCATAGAAGCTACAGCTTCCCTTCTCTCCCCGCTTCCCCTCCCTCCTCCCCTCCCCTCCCCTCCCCCCTCCCCTCCCCTTTCCTACCCTTCCTCCAAGTAAAACTAGAAATCCCTCCCTCCCTCCCTTCTTCCCTTCCCCTTCCCTTCCTTTCCTCTTAGTATCCCTACCTTCCTTTCTGTTCTTTTTATTTTCCTAGGCTTTGCTACCCAAGAAAGCCCATTAGAAGGAAAATGAACCTCAATGACAATGTATTCAATTATTTAACTTTTAAATAAATTCAGATTGAAAATAGTAACTACTGCAAACAATATTAAAATGAATAACTTTATATTTGTTGTTGTTATGAATTGGTTCTTTCTATGGGATAGATTCTCAAAAGTTGAATTATTGGATTAGAACTAAGTATGTTTTTCAAAATAAATATTTCTGAAATATTTTCTAAAACATATGTATACATATGCACATATATTTATATATTAGGAGCAATAGAAATGTATGATTTCTCTCATTTTTCCCAGAATGGTTGGTATTTTTAAATTATACCAACCTAATTGTTGGGTAAAAAAAGGTTACATTAATTTTCATGTTCCTGCCTGATAGCAAAGTAAATACATTTTTTTCTTATTAGCCACTTAAATTTCCTTTTTAATGCAAAGATTTCCGTTAATGGCATACTATTTGATTTTAGATATTCCAATGATTAATACTTTTGAAGTTGTACATTTATTATCATTTATATTAGGAAAGGAATAAGGACATAATACTAGTGACTCCATGGATCTTATTACTTAGGCCAGGGCTAAAGTAATCGTACTTATCCAAAAGTTGCAGATTGCAAGAATTACACATGCAATGCTTAAGGTGTGCTCATGATTGTCTCATAACTTCATTTAGTAAGCCTTCCACAGGCATTTATCAAAGGCATAGTGGTGCAAATCATTAATTTTGACCCTTAGGCACTGAATTTTCATGTATATTTTTTCATTTTTTTCCCATTGAAAAATACTTTGTAAACCTACTTCTGGAGATTGACAATTGTTTGGTATGTAAAATATAAAATAATTTTATGCATCTGAGCTACCTGAGGCAAGACAATAGACCCTGGTTTTCAAGGGTCCTTTATGTAGTAGAGTCTGTCAGTATTTTATTGCTTTTTATGACTGAGTAGTTTCCATTTTCTAAGTACATTACATTTTGTTTATCCATTCTTTAGTAGATGGATTTTTGGCTGTTTCCACTTTTTTTGACTCTTAAGAATAAAGCCACTCTTAAACATTCACTACAATTTTTGCATAATGTGTTTCATTTTCCTTGGTTATATATCTAGGAGTGGAATTGCCAGGTCATGTGATAGTTCTATGTTTAACATTTTGAGGAACTGCCGAACTATTTTCCAAAGTGACTACAATATTTTACATTACCATAGTGATTTATAAGGGTTTCAATTCTAACGTATTCTTAGCAACAATCAGTATTATCTGTCCTTTTTTTTTGAAACCCCTTTTTAAATAAAGCCATCCTTAGTGGATATATAGCGGGATCTCATTGTGGTTTTGATTTGCATTTCCATAGTCTCTAATAATGGAAAATGGCTTTTCCTGTGTTTGTCATTTGTATATCTTCTTTGGAGAAATGTCTATTCAAATCTTTTGTCCATTTTATATTCCGTTCTTTTTCACTTTTTATTGAGTTGTAAGTATTCTTTCTGTAGTCCAGATATTAGACACTCATCAGATAGATTGTTTGAAAATATTTTCTCCCACTCCATGTCATGTCTTTTCACTTTCTTGTTAGTATTCTTGAAGCAGAAGATATTAAAAAGTTTAAAAACTAAAAGTTTGTAATTTTGATGGAGTCTTATTTATCTATTTTATCTTTGGTTGCCTATGCTTTAAGTATCATATCTGAGGAACCATTGCTTAATCCAAAGTCTCAAAGACTTATATCTATGTTTTCTTCTAAGATTTGTATGGTTTTAACTATTACATTTATATTTTTTAATCCAAGTTTAGTTAATTTTTGTGTATGGTATGAAGTAGAAGTTCAAATTCATTTGTTTGTAAGTGGATATTCAGTATTTTCAGCAGCATTCTTTGAAAACACTATTTTATCTCATTGAATTGTCTAGACACTGTTGTTAAAATCAATTGGTAATTAATGTAGTATGGGTTAATTTCTACATTCTCAGTTTTATCCCATTGATTTATATGTCTTTCCTTATGCCAGTACTACAATGTCTTGATTACTGGAGTTTTGTAAATCAATGAGGAGAGCATTGTCATCTTAATAATATTAAGTGTTTAAATCCATGGTTACAGATATATTTTCATTTAGGCCTATTTAATTCCTTTTAACTATGTGTTGTAATTTTCAGTGTACAAATCTTGCACTGTTTAGTAAAATTTATTCCTAAATTTTTATTCATTTTGACACTATTGTAAATAAAATTGTCTTAATTACATTTTTGTATTGCTCATTGCTAGTGTGTAGAAATACCACCAATGTTTGTGTGTTGTCTTTGTATCCTGCAAGTTGCAAAATTGTTCATTAGGCTCTATAGTTTTTGAAAATACATTATTTAGGACTTTCTCTACACAAATCCTTTTATCTGCAAATACAGATGTTTACTTCTTTCTTCTCAATCTGGAAATGTTTATTTTTTATTTTTATTTTTATTTTTTTTTTGCCTAATTACTTTGGTTAGAGCATCAAATACAATGTTAAAAAAAAGACAATAAGAGCAAATATCCCATCCTTTCTGATGTTAGTGGAATGATCCACTTTTCATCAAGTATGATGTTGGCTTTCACAGGTACATTTTTATCAGGATAAGAAAATTTCCCTTTATTGTTAGTTTACTGAATTTTTTATTACAAAAGGGTATAGAAATATTTCAAATGATTTTTCTACATTCATTGAAATAATGGAAATGGCTTTGGTCCTTTATCATATTAATATGGTGTTTATTACATTTACTGATTTTTACATGTAGAACCAACCTTGCATTTCTAGATAGATCTCACTTCATCGTGGTCTATAATCCTTTCTATATGTTTATGGATTCCGCAACTATTTTGTTAAGGATTTTTGTGTCTAAATTCACAAGAGATATCAGTCTGTACTTTTCATTTCTTGTGATGTCTTGTCAGGATATGCTATCACAGTGAGACTGCCTCATAGAATAAGCTGGTAAGTGTATATTTCTTTTCTATTTTTTGGAAGATTTTGTGAAAGACCCATGTCGATTCATCTTTTAACATCTAGTAGTATTCACCAGTAAAGCAATTTGGTTCAGGCTTATCTTTGTGAGAAGTTTTTGATTATTAATTCAGTTTATTTGCTTGTTACAGATTTATTCAGATTTTCTGTTTCTTCTTGAGTAAGTTTTGTTAGGTGGTGTATTTTTGGGAATTTATTCATTTCATGTTGTTTATCTAATTTGTTGGCATAAAATGTTTTATAATATTCTCTTATAATCACTTTTTGAAGGTTCATAGCAATACTCTCTCTTGAATTTCTGATTTTAGTAATTTGAATCTTCTTTTTTCTTGGTTAGTGTATACAGTATTTTGTCAAATTTCTTGAACTTTCCAAAGAACAAACTTTTGGTTTTGTTGATTCTCTCCACTTTTTGCATGTATTAGAATTCATATTTTTCTCACTGTAGTTTTTTAAAAATTAATTTTCATTCTTTTACTTGCTTTGGGTTTAGTTAGCTCTTTTTCTAATTCTTTTAGATGTAAAGTTAGGTTACTGACATAAGAACTTCTTTAATGTAGGCAATTAGAGCTAGAAATTTCCTTTAAAGCACTGCTCTAACTTCATCCAATAAGTTTCAATATGTTGTACATTCATTCTCATTCATCTCAAAATATTTTCTAATCATTCTTGAGATTTCTTCTTATACTTGTTGGTTATCAAGGAACATACTGTTTAATGTCCATATGTTTTGAATTTCCTTCTGTTATTTCTTTGTGTTATTGATTTATAATTTCATTCCAATATGGCTGGAGAAGGCACTTTGCATGACTTCAGTCATGCAGTATCAAAGTCTCTGTTTTTGTCAAATTTTCTATTTCTCTCTTTAGTTCTGTCAGTTTTTGTTTCATGTATCTTGAAGCTTTGTTGTTGGGTGGATTCATATTCGTGATTGTTATGTCTTGATTAATTGACCCTTCTGTTATTATAAAATGTAATTCTTTGTTTGTTCTAGCAATTTTTATTCTAAAGTCTATTTTGTCTGATATTAATCTAGCCACTTCAGCTCTAACATGGTTAATGTTTGCATGGACTTCCTTTAACATGGTTACTGTTTGCATGGAATTTCTTTTTCCAGCCTTTACTTTCAACATATTTGTGTCTTTGATCTCCCATGTGTCTTTTGTGAACCGTATATGATAGGACCATTTCCTTCAAACTCATTCCGTCAATCTCTATACTTTAATTAGAGGGTTTAATTTATTTACATTTAATGTAATTACTGATAAGGTAGGATTTGTATTTGCCATTCTGCTACTTATTTTCTCTGTGTCTTATGTCTTTATATTTTCTCTATTCCTTCATTACTGCCTTCTTTTGTGTAACACTTTAATTACTTTGCAATTGATTTGACTATATATTTTTGAACTATTTTCCCTGCAATTGCCCTAGGAGTGGAATTCACAATGTAATTTACAAAAAAAATTATTTTGGATTAATACTAACAATTTCAATAGTATACACATTTCTTTCTCCTCTATAGCTTTCTTTCTTCCTTTATTTATTTGTCTTGCTATTGTATAAATTATATCTTTATACATTGTGTGACTATCAACAGAAATTTACAATTACTGCTTTATGCAATTGTCTTTTAAATTAGGCAATGAAGAAGAGTTACAAAATAATACGTTTATACATTTTTAATATTTACCTATAAAGTTATGATTACTGGTTGTCTTTATTTCTTCTGTGGATTCAAGTTACTGTCTAGCATTCTTTCATCTCAATTTGAAGGAATCAATTCCCTTGAGTATTTTTTATAGAACAGGTTTATCCCAATATTTGATTATCTGGGAATGTCCTAATATCTCTATTGTTTTTAAGTTATAGTTTTGCTTGATATAGGATTCTTGGTACTTTTCTTTCTGTATTTTGTATATGCTAGTATATAACTTCTGTTTCCCATTGTTTTGACTGAAAAATTGTCTGTTAATCATATTGAAGATCCTTGACATGTGAAGTGTCACTTTTCTCTTGTTGCTTCCAGGAGTGTCTCTTTGTCTTTGACTTTTGACAGTTTGATTGTGATGTATCTCGAGTATATATCTTTGAGTTTTTACAACTGGAATTTCTTGGGCTTCCTCAATGTGTAAATTAATGTATTTTAAACCAAATTTTGCAAGTTTTCAGCCATTATTTATTTGAATATACTTTTTGCCTCCCCCCTCTCTTTTCTTCTTTGACTACTTTTACTTTTGTATGTATATTGGTATATACTTCATGGAATGTCACACAACTATGAATCTCTGTTCATTTTTCTTTATTTTTTTTTCTGTTCTTTAGTCTAGATAATCTCAGTTGACTCGTCTTCAGATTTGATGATTCTTTCTTCTGCCTACTCAAATATGCTGTTGAGTGCAGATAGCAAAAATTTTTTAGTTCAGTTATTGTACTTTTCAACTGTCAAATTTATATTTGAGTTTTTAAAATAATTTATATCACTTTATTAATAGTTTCTATTTGCTAAAACATTATTTTAATGCTTTGTTTTAGTCCTTTAGATCCTTGAACATATTTCAAATTTCCAATTGGATTAATAAATAAAATGTCTAATTTTCCCCTGAGATAATTTCTATTGACTAATTTTTTATTCTGCATAGTCTATACTTTCTTAATTCTTTGAATGTCTCATTTTTAGTTGTTGAAAACTGAACATTTTAAATACAATGTATTTATACTGGATATCATATTTTCACTTATCCTCAGGATTTGTTCCTGTTGCTGTTTGCTGAAGTAGTAATCTTTGTTGTTTTGTTTTGTTTAGAGAACTTTCTAACTTAATTAAGTAAAGTCTGTTGTCTTTCTCATGTGCAGCCCATGAAGTCTCTTCTCAGCTGAGGGTCTGTTAATCATTGGATAATAATCCTTAAAATCTGAAAAAAATTTATCTCTGTCTTTGCAGAAAAGTTCTGTGTGCTTTCTTAGGTTCACCTTTAATAAACAACCAGGCAGTTGCCAACGTTGCCGTAGTTTTTGTTATTGTTGTTGTTTCCTGCTTTCATAGAGCCTCAAGATCAGCAGGAGGTGAGAGGTTAAATAGCTTCTCAGGTATTTCCAGAACATGTGAATACCCTGGTCTTTCACACATCCCTGGATATTTGCAGCCTTCTAGATTCCCAGGAGTTATGTTGGAGCTTTACAAAGTACTATGGATGTAATTCCACCAGCTTTCCCTTTTTAGTTTGTTAGTTCATCTACTGTTTGTTCCAATTTTTAGCCACAATCTCAGGTGGCCACAGAGTTTATCAATTGCCTGTAATTTTTTTGGACAACCATGCTCTGGGGAAAAAGCTTTTCTGGGAGAGAGTTTTTGTGCTGGTAAACTCTGCATCAAATCAAATGCAGACATCCTTGCAAGTGGAGGTTTCCATAAAAACCACCAGACAGGTCAAATAAAGACAATTTTTTTGAGAACGAGGCTTTGAATGCATTCTAGCCTGATTCTACTCTCTCTGGTGGCTGCCAGAAGGCTGCTTTTGACAATAAATTATTCTTTGAGGCTTCTGTGGAGCTGAAGTGATAGGACTAGAAGGTGAAACACCACAAAGTGCACTCTTCTTACTAAGTTTAGACTGTTTTTATTAAATCAGTGCTCCCTAGATTGTTGCAAGCCTTTGGCTAATTTCGAATGTTGACAAGGCTGATTTGACATTTTTTTATCAGTTTTTTTTATTACATTTATATAAGAGGGAGTTTTCAGAGACTCCTGCTTCACTATTTTCATTGATGTCTCTGCAAGGACATAATCTGGGAATGTTGGCTTTTTATTTTACATTTTTTTCATGGTCGTCTTATTTAATTTACATTTTGTTTATGGTGGTATTTTTTGACACATACTTTTATAAAATGTGCTGTCAAACCCATCAACAGATCTCTTGGTTTACTCGGCAAGGTGACACTCTCCTTTAGCCCAAGATTATGCAAGTGAAATCTTATTGATTACTCTAATTTGAACATGTTCTGTGTTTGCATTTAGATTTTTATTCGTCTGAAACATTACTTTTGTTATTATATGAGTTAGATGTGAGGTATAGAGACCACTTTGAATTTTTTTAAACAGAGATTTCACATTATTTCAGTACCATTAATTAAACAACTTCTCTCTCACTGAATTCAGATATCATTTTCTGAAAATATTGATTCAGATTTATTTCTGGCCTTTAATTTTTCCCTCTGATCTTTACTATGATTAGGAAAATAAATGTTGCCTTAATATAGAAGTATTATAGGATGTTTTAGTATCTGGTAGCAAATTTCCAATATTTTATTTTTCAGATACCTTTTGGGTAGTCTCAGATACCTTTTTTCCATGTGAACTTCATTTAATGCAGTTCAAAAAAGACTACTCCATTTTGCTATATTTTTACAGTAATGTTGGGAGAACACACATTATAGTCTATTAAACCATTTTGTAACAAATCATCCTTTTCATGTGAAACTTGATTTAGGATTTTTAATAAGAGTTTTTGTTTACTTTATATAGGTCCTCTTCTTTTTGTCAAATTTTTTCCCAAATAATTTATATTTTTGAGAAAACTTTACAATTATTTCTTCTGTATTTTAAAGACCGATTATTATTCTTATAGATAAAAGCTATTCATTTCCTAATCCTTATATCCAGCCATTTTACCAAAATTGTTTATTGTTGTTTTAAATAGAATTCTTCTATTTTTCTAGGTATTTAATTATGTTATCTAAAGTTGAAGATATATTACCTATTCATTTTCAGTATTATAATAGTAATATTTGATTTTATTATGTAATTGTTTACCTAGTCTTTCCTAAAGCATGATTAATAATGTAATAAAAGATAATATGATCTTATTCTTGAGTCTAATGAGGATACATTCAGTATTTTATAATTCACTTTGGTATTTGCTATTGTTTCTTTATATTATATTTGAATCATTTTTTTCTTGTACTAGTTTTTTTAAGATACGAAAACTAGACAGTGAGTGAATTTATTAAATGACTGTTTTGCAAAGTGTTAGCATGCTTATTTTCTCCTTTAACTTGTTGATGTGATGAATTATGATTCCGAATTTTCTATTGTTTTTCAATTTTTATGTAACTGAAACAAATTCTACTTTATCATGATTAATTTATTTTTTACCTTATGGAAGGATGAAAAGCTATACAATTCACTTTGTTCTGTATATCTTCTTTCTTAGCTGGAAGATTTGAGAAGAGTTTATGACCAACTAACCTGGAAGCAAAAAAGTCATGAAAATCAGTATCTGGAAGCAGTTAATGATTTTTATGCTGCAGTAAGTTGATTTTTTCCTACTTCCCACTTAGAACGCCATTTTCTATTTCCAAATATTAACTCATATATCTAAAAGTGATTTCATTATTATAGGTTTTGCCTTTTGATAATTAGACATGTATGAATGATTCTTTTATTCTTTTCTTAAAGAAAAAAACATGGGATATTGAGCTTTCTGATGTTGCAAAAGATTTTTCAGCTATTTCTTTGGCATGTACAAAACTGACGGAAGACAATAAAAAACTTGAGATTGATATTAACAAAATAACAGTAAAAACCAATGAAAGGTAAATTTGCAAATACTTTTCTTCTTATATACCATAATCCAATATGTTAAATACAATAAACCTCTCCAGTTTGTGTCCCTGGAGTTATATGGTGGTGTTTTTGTTTATCAGTAGCTTAAAATTTAAGTTCTATTCAAAATGTTGCCTTTAGTCACTCTGGGTTCCCTTTGAAAAGTCAGAATACATGTGCCATGTTGGTGTGCTGCACCCATTAACTCGTCATTTAGCATTAGGTATATCTCCTAATGCTATCCCTCCCCCCTCCCCCTACCCCACAACAGTCCCCGGTGTGTGATGTTCCCCTTCCTGTGTCCATGTGTTCTCTTTGTTCACCCTAAAACTTAAAGTATAATAATAATAAAATAAAGAAAAAAAAGAAAAGTCAAAATAATTGTAAAAGTTATAAGCAGCTTTACACAGCCTTATCTTACCTCTTTTTGACTATCCTCTTACACTAAAAAATACTTTAAACTTAAAATACAGTAGCCCCCCCTTAACCATGGGAGATGTGTTCCAAGACCCATAGTGAATGTCTGAAACCACAGATTGTACCAAACCCTATATATACTACAATTTTGCAATCTGATAACTGAGCTGGCTACTAAGTGACTAAAACACAGGTCGCATACACAGCATGGATATGCTGGACAAAGGGATTATTCACATCTGGGGCAAGAGAGCATGAGATTTCATTATGCTACTTAGAACAGCCTACAATTTAAAACTTATGAATTGTCTATATCTGGAATTCGCCATTTAATCTTTTCAGACTACAGTTGACCACAGGTAACTAAGCCTGCAGGAATCAAAACTTGCAGATATGGAGGATCTTATGTATGTCTTATCAAGCTCATGATCTCCTTCAGTCCACTCTCAATTTTTCCTGCAACTACTATACTAGTATTCTTGGTTTGGAAACCTATGAGTTTTCATGACTCCTCTATTTCAACTCTCATATTTAATGGATCAACAAGAACTATTCCACATACTAAATGTATTTTCAGTTTATTCTCTTCATTGCTCCACCAACAATCTAGTACAAGCTATCGTCATGTCTGGCATGAACTCACAGTGACTGGCAGAACTGGTCTACCTGCAATCACTCTCTAATACATTATCTACATTTTGATAGGCATGTTCTTATTTATCTTAACATAAGTATGATCAATTCCCCTCTATATCTGCATGAATTTTAACAGGGGTGAAAGGACCAAAGACCCCCCACCACATATCCTGCAAGGTCCCTTGAATAGGCACATCTGCTTCTACAGTCTCATATTCTTCCCAGTTCACCCTTATTACTTGGTTCAAATACAGTAGTAGTACTTCAGTTTCTCCCACTTATCACTTTTTCCAGCCCATACATGGTATTTTTATGCTACTTTCTTTTTCTAGAATGTTTTTACCACTTCCTTCTACCTAATTGCCACTTATCCTTAAGATTACAGCTGACTATCCTGTGAAATTCAATTCCTCTGTCATATGTACATGTGATACACATGCCTCTCTTTTTCACATCTCTTCTCATATTCATAATTTTTTGTGTATGAATATTTGATTCATTTCTGTCTTCCTCAAAAATGGGAAGATCCATGAGGTCAGATCATGACTACTTTTCCTTTGCTATTGAATCCTCATCATATAGCAGAGTCTGACACATACTATGCTATCAGGAAAAAATGACCATGATACTTGATTATTGTATTGGAAGTTTGATAAAATTTCTTAGAATTATTTTACCTTTGGAAATGATGAAATGGAACAATTTGTAAAACTTTCTTGTATGTGAAACATACTTTTTTAAGGATGTTGGTTTTTAAAGAATAACTTAAAACTGTAGTTGTTAATATTACTACATTTTATCATTTTATTTTATAAAGAAAAAGAACCAGAGGAGCAAAAGCAAACAAACATCTGAAGAGTCGGTGATCTAATAAGGACACTCATCTTGAGGAAAGGGAGAGTGTGTGACAGCAGGCACTTATTAGATTATTCTGCAGTAACACACAACCCCCAAATCTTAGTGACTCAAAATAAAAAGGTTGATTTCTCACTCACATAGTAATTTAGCTGGTAATAGAGGGAAAAGTACATTAGTGAGATCACTCAATGGCTCTTGTAGCTTCCACAGGAGGGTGATACATGTTAATACCACTCACATTCCTTTGAACAAAGCAAGTCACATGGCCAAGTCTGATGTCAGTGGGGTGACAAGTCTAATTCTCTCAAGAATAGACGTAGTGAATTATTGGGAACACAAGTACATCTATCACAAGCAGTGGGAATGCAGCTCTATTTATGGGGAAGGATTTCCATGGTGTATATCTTGCTTACCCAGAAAGCACCCTGAGATGTTACTTAATTATTTAATCATTTAATTTCCCCCAATTTTTACCAGGAATTAAAAATTAAATGGATAATTTTTAACAGCGGATTACATGGTGCTGAACAGAGAATTAATAAACAATCAGTAAAATAAAGTGAAAGAGAGATTAAGAGATTTGCAGGCAAGAGTCAGGTCTACTATATATCTAAGTCATGTTCCTAAAGAAGAGAAGATTAAAACTCAGGACAAAGAGATAATTACCAATTCATATATCAAAATAGTTCTTATATTCTTGTTTCTAACTGGTAACTATATATATCTATCACATTTATGTATATATGCAAATAATTTTATCTATTTCGATTATTTGCACATATAAACTGGCAAGTCTATATGTAGGCAGCAAGTATATATTACATTACAAATGTATGCAAATGTAATTTTTCATTTCCTAAAGTTTTATTTGCTTTTCACCCAAATCTGCTAGATTGTTTTATGATTTTTTTGTTTGACACAGATATTTAAAGCTTATCTTTTATCTCTTAAACAGTGTGAATAGTTATAATCTGCACCTAATAATTTAAATGTCTGTAGTCTTTGTAATTTGCTTCTACTTCTTATTCTTCTAGCTCATGCTTCAGTGCCTTTTTCACTTGTATTCTTGGCTATTTTTTTTTTAACCATGTGTAGTCCACTTGCTTCTGAACACTATTTGTAGAAAATCTTTAAGTCCTAGGATAAAGTTGAGTTAATCATTGCAATCTTATGTTTATGAAAAAGTTTCTATTTTTCAACTTGTGTCCTTGGATATGCTCTAGACTATGATTTTGTTTCCTACGCCATATTTAACAAAGCTCCATTTAACCAAAAGTTCCAGTGCCTTAAGAGTAGTAACGTCTTCTCTATTTAGCACTCTGTCTGTAACACGTTTGTGGTAAGAAATTTGGAAAATACAGAATGTACAAAAGGAGATTGAGACCCTAACATTGTTTCAATTCATAGAAATATAGCTATTAATATATTACTGAATTTTTTCCTTCTTACTAAATAACTAATTATGAGTTTTGATCTTATTCCCAGCATGATATAATAGATTTTTCACAATATTAAACAACTGTTAAATACACCATTTAAATAGCTGTATAAAAGTGTATTATATGGATGACCTATGATTTATGTACAAATTGCTGTTATTTGGATGGCTCTCATTTTTAACTACTTGTTGTAAATATTATGGCAGTGGATTATTTTGTTTAGAAATCTTTATCAACATATTGGCTTTTTAAAATTTAAAATAGTTTCATAGAATTTGATTCAGTATAATACTTTTAAAACTCCCACTTCATCTCTAAAAGTACTTTCCGGAAAGACTATCCCATTCATGAGGCTATGCAGTACATGAGCTTGTCCTCTCACACACCTGTGCTAACTTGAGTGTTATAGTTGGAACAAATCTCTCTCAATATGATAAATGAAAACTATCTTCCTAATATTGTTTTGAACTCCATTTATTTGATTACTAGGGAGGTTGAATATTTGTTCAACCTCTATTGAATTCTACTTTTTCTAAATAATTCTTGTGTGTTTCCAAGGAAGAAATGAGGAACTCAAAGTTCTAAGGTGCAAAGTGGCTTTCCTAAAGTCCCACAGCTGGAGTTTAAAATCTGACTTTCTATATTCAGGTTCAGAATATTAACCTCCTCTCATTTTTTGCAGTCTAATCTGACTTAAATTTAACTGACATTTAGTAAATGTTCAAATATGCTCGATAAATCAGTCAAATAATAACAATTACAAATAGTAGATCTAATGTTAAAATTGCTGTTATTAATATTTTGGGGCACAGATAAGATGGTGGTAGGTTCACAGAGTTACACTTTTGATGTGGCTGAAGCTTAGAGAAAGTGCATGATCTGACCTGTGTGCTTGTGTCTGGGTGTGTATGTGTGTGTTTGCATGCAATACGTGTTTTTATGTGGCAGGCCATCAGGTGACAACATTGAGTCTAAGGAACCATCATGCCAGATAATGAGTCATTTTAAGGCATTTTGACTCAGTTGAGGACTGTAGATGTCCACTAAAGAAGCCATATGATCAGACTTCCCTTTTAAATATGTCATTTTAGTGGTATTTGGATGAGTTAAGGTTTGAAAAACTAGTTTGATGGTGGTACCAGACATTAAGTGAAAAATGTGTAGATGAAAAAAAGGAAGGTTGGAGGGTAAATGTTGCTATGTTTGATTGGGATTGTGTATGGCACAATACAAATGTAAGTATCTGGAAATCATTTTGATTTGTGAGTCTGAAATTGTGGAAAGATAGTCATTGAGATAGATGTTAGATGTAAAATGCAGAAGTACTTTAAATTATCAGGCAAATATTTTCACATTTTTTCCTTCATCTGTTTCTTAAAAATTTGAATTTTTATAGATAGAACTTTTGTGGAAAAATTATAACAATTGGCCATATATAAGTATAATGTAAAATTTCCCCAATATCTGATAGGGCAGAATCAATAAATATAGTTAATGGCCTTTATAGACCCTATCTACTAACCCATAGTTTGGTTTTTCATGAAATCATGAATGTCTACTTAGAAAATATAAGAGAAAACCTCATTCATTAGAAAATTATACCCAAAATGCAACTAAGAAGACATACATAGAAAGTAGGAAGTTTCTATGAAGAGAGTACCAAATGTGATTAAAATATACTTAAAAATGAATAGAGAGATATGTCAAAAATTTGAATATGACCCAGTTATGAGAAAATGTCAAGTTCTAACCAAATAAATTAAAAGTCTTACTGCAGTTGTAACTAAACTCCTAATGTAATTTTATTTTATAATTTAATAAAATAACTAATCAAGGTAATTTTAAAATGACTATTTATGGGGACAAATAGCCCTATGGAATATTTAAATGTGAAAAAGATTATATAACCATTAAACTCTGTGGTATTGTTCAAGGTTGAGATAGCTAGAAAACAGAAATATCAGTAGATAGCAACAGCAATCAGAAATAAAATTGAAAAGATATCTCTTACAATATAATTTTGAAACATCAAATCCACAAAATGAATCTAGCAAGAAGGTGTCTGATAATACTACCCAGAAGACCACATAATATTGTTGAAGCAAATTAAAGAAGATGTAAATCAATAGAGGGGGGCATACCTTGGCCATGAACTGGAACACTCACTCATGCAGGCCGGGCGTGGTGGCTCAAGCCTGTAGTCCCAGAACTTTGGGAGGCCAAGGTGGGCGGATCACGAGGTCAGGAGATCGAGACCATCCTGGCTAACACGGTGAAACCCCGTCTCTACTAAAAATACAAAAAATTAGCCGGGCGTGGTGGCGGGCGCCTGTAGCCCCAGCTACTTAGGAGGCTGAGGCAGGAGAATGGCGTGAACCCAGGAGGCGGAGCTCGCAGTGAGCCGAGCTCGTGCCACTGCACTCCAGCCTGGGCGACAGAGCGAGACTGTGTCTCAACAAACAAACAAACAAACAGAAAAAAAAAACCCTGATATTAAAATGTATATGGAAAATTAAAGAAGGAGAAAATATTTAACAATGTTTTAGAACTAGGCTTCGGAAATTATAATACCATTTTTCAAAATTAACAATAGAGCTCAATATGTAAAATGACTCGTTACTCATGTTAGGGTAAAAAGACAGACCAGTGGAAATGAGTAGAAAGTCCAAAATCAGACCTATACGTATACATTCACCAGATTTGTGACAAGCGTGCCACTATAGTGCAGCAAAGAATAAATGGCCTAATAGCCTTATGAAAAAAAACAAAAAAAAAGTCTTACCTCTACCTATCTAACAAACAATAGTCTATTTTTTTGGAACATAGTTGTAAATGTGAAAGTTTGAACAATACAAAATTCTAAGAAAACATAGAAAAATATCAATAAATATGAGTCAGGTAAAGTTTTCTTAAACAGGAAAATAAATACCATCATAGAGAAAAAAACTGATGAATAAACATTCCATTAAGACAGAGAAAAGGTAAACCACAGACTGATAAAATATATTTGTTATAGCTATATCTGAGAAGATAAATTGATAAACCAAAAAAATTGGTGAAGAAAAATAAGTAAATAATAAAATAACAAATATATAATATAATGATAAATATAAAATAACAAAAATAATTAAAAATTATAGAAAAAGCAAATAATCAAACAGAAATCTGCAGAACTGAACAGTCACTTCACAAAAGAGGATAAACAAATGTGTAGTAATCATGAACGAGTAGAATGAATAGGTAAGATATAACATAGTCATACAAAGGAATACTCTGCAGCAGTGAGAATAAACAGATTTCAGCTACACACAACAACATGAATGAATCTTAGAAACATAATATTGAGTAAAAGTAGACAAAATGGCTGTATATACTATATGATCTTGTTCAGAAGCAGGCAAAATGGTCATAGGAGTCAGGATAGCAGTTCCTATTGGGTGGTAGTGACTGAGAGAGCACACTCCTGGGATTCTGCTGGCCATGTGTAATATATATATATATGTGTATTTTTTTTTCTGAATGAGGGTGGTACTGGTGTATTCACATTAAAAATTCATTGAACTATACTCTGATTTGTACTCTCTTCTGTATAAAAGTTCTACTTCAATAAAATGTTACTTTTAAAATAAATATTAAATTACATAAATTGTTAATTCAGTCCAACTAAAATGTGTTCAATCACTTATTAATCATTTATTGAATTCATATTGTATGCAGACATTATGGTAGGTTCTAAAGTTACAATACATATGTGGAAAACTTCCTGCCTTCAATGAGCCCCCAAGAAAATACATAATTATTATGGAAGTTATGTTTTTCAGTAGCTGATATGGTTTGGCTCTAAGTCCCCACCCAAATCTCGTCTTGAATCCCCACATGTTGGGAGAGGGACTGGTGGGGGGGGGTGATTGAATCATGGGGGCAGACTTCCCCTTGCTGTTCTCGTGATAGTGAGTGAATTCTCAGGAGATCTGATTCTTTGAAAGTGTGTGGCATTTCCGCCTTCACTCTCTCTCTCTCCTGTTCAGCCATGCTAATATGTGCTTGCCTCCCCTTTGCCTTCCGCTATGATTGTAAGTTTCCAGAGGCCTCCTAGTCATGCTTCCTGTTAAGCCTGAAGAACTGTGAGTCCATGAAGCCTCATTTCTTCATATATTACCCAGTCTCAGGTAGTTCTTTATAGCAGTGTGAAAATGGACTAATACAGTAGCCTAATAAGTACAGTAAGAAATGCAAGAAAGGAGCTAGCAGGAGCTTCTGCACTGCAGCTCATTTTAGCTATTAGTGACTATGATTACCTGGGATTAAAAACCAAACAAGCAAAAAAACTTAATTCTGTGGTTTCCTTTACCCTGCTTTCTGTGAAGATATTACATTTGTTAATTTTTTTCTCTTTGAAGTAATATGGCCTTGTGATGTTTTTACATATAAAATTAGAAAGATAAAATGCACAGCCTTTTTTTTACAGTTACAAACCCACACCTTGTAACTGCTTGCACCTAGGGCCTATGTCATCATTTCCCCCATTTTTAGATCCTCAAGGACTAACCTAGTTTCTGAAACATTGTTGATGTACGTTATGTGCTATACAATATTTTCAGGAGAAAATATTCATTTGTAGTATACTACGTGTAACTTGTTACATTGTATAAAATACATAAAATAATATAGAGATTAATAATTTTTATCTTTTAGCACTTTGAGAAATAGCTTCATATATCTTTATTTGTACTTCATTTAAAATGTTTTCAAACAGCAATTTAATAACATAACTATGATTCATAAACTAATGTTGTAAGTTTATACTTAGGACTAAATATATTTATATTTAAAGAAAACAGACTTAAAAAGCAGGTGTGTGAGTGTGTTTGTATGTCCTGAGCACCTGCTTTGTGTCTGACACTGTTTGAGGTGCTCACGACAATGTTTAAATTTACATTGTTGTATAGGAAAATAATAATAAACATGTTGACTAATGAATATATAGTTAAAATTGTAGTCATTGGTACTCTTGTGGGGACAATAAAACTGAATAATGTGGTAGAGAATGACAGGCCAGGGCAGGGTTGAGGACTCTGCTTTAGCAAGAATATTCGGTGTCACCTCTTTGAGAAACTAACATTGGAATTGAGACCGGAATGAAGACATGTCAGTCAAGCACGTCTGAGGAAGAGAATTCCAAGTATAAGAGGAAGCTTTGAGACAGATAAAAATTCTTTGTGCTCTGAAGAGAGAATGGAGGCCGGTGTTGCTAGAAAATTGTATGAGAGGGGTAATTCACAGAGACAAATGTTGGTAAGGCAGACAGGGCTCATATACTAAAAGCCTGTAAGTGTGCTAATGATAGAGGCTTATGATTAAGGCATTTTCATAATCTTATATTTTAGAGAGATCACTTGGGCTGCTTAGTGATGGATGGACTTTGGTGCATTTAAGATGGAAGGCTTTTTTTGGTAATTCAAAAAAATATAATAATTAAGACATATAGATAAAGGCTTTTGCAGTATAAATGGTAGGGCATTCAGATATGTTTTGGAAGGGATGCTAACTGGACCTTTTGGTAGGTGGGATATAAGACATGAAGGAAAAACTGGTTGGCTATTTGCTGAAATAACAAGAGCTTATAGAGGGTATGAAGAGGATTTGAGGAGAGAAGATATGTCTCCTTAGGCCATATTAAATTTCAGATTCTTATGAGCTCTTGAAATGGTAATGAGAAGTAACAATTAGGTACATTGGTTTACAGCCCAGTGATGAGGAGGATCCCAAAGACAAATTTGGAGTCATAAAATTAAACAATGGGACAGTTTGAGATGTCTAAAAAGAGAGTGTAGGCAGAGAAGTAATGAGAATTTACATTTTGTGCAATATGGACAATGGAGAACATGAAAAGTTTTTTGCTACAGAACACTTATAAATGGGGCATACACAGAGCTCACATCTTTTAAATGAAGAGCTGGGCTTACAGGCAAGTAAAGGAAATTCTCAGGGGTCAATGCATTGAAAGTAATTGAACAACTGCAGGCTGAATTCCCAACTGATATTTGGCTTCCCTGAAAATATGGGTGGAAGAATAGCCTTGTTGAACTTGGTAAACAAGGGAATTAAATTTTAGTGGCTTCAAATAATAGGTCATGGGCCATGGATCTGTGCAAGTGAAGGAGTTGGATAAAGTAAGGGCACTTAAGTGAATAGAAAATAATCTACCCATGAGCAAAGGCCGAAGGAAGAAAGTATCTGTCTACTTCTGGGACCTGGGTGAAAGAAAAGCAAGTGAGAACATTCCCAGTCTGGCCTCTTTTCACAATGGTTTGATGTTTTAATTTACATCATCAAAGTGTTTTTAGAAGGCCCTAACCAAGAAATTATCATAGAAAAGTTATCCTGCTCAGCTCAAATAGTCACTGGAGGAATAAACCCTAGACTGAGGCCATACAAGATTCTCACACAAAAAGTAAGGCTTTTAAAAATGAACTTACAAAATTATAAAGCACATAAGGAAAATTCCAACATGAATTGAAGTTATCAGAAACAATGATAAGGTTCTTAATTTATCAGCAAAAATTTCAAATAAATAAATAGAACTCAGATTGTACAATTATGAGATTTATTCTATCTAAGTTTTAAATAGTTAATGGGAACAAAACAAACTAATAGAACACTATCCAAAAAGTGCAGGCAGTTGAAAAAGAATCCACCAAAACTTGTAAAAATTAAAACTGGATTCATTTCTACTGAAGATTCTATTAATTGAATAGTAGAAAGAGCTGGGGGAAATTCATTAGTGTACCTAAAAATAGAACCCAGAATACAGCACAGAGAGAAAAAGAGAGAAAATCTGAAAGAAATATTCAAGTTGTGGAAAATAGAATGAGAAATAAAGGAAAGAATGGGGAAAGCAGTATTCAAAAAGATAATGGCAGATGATCTATAATTTTTAGAACATAGATTTTCAGCTTCAAACAGCAGCATAAATCCCACACAACATAAACTCAGAAATAAAACTTTAATTTATTTAAACCGTAGTTTACTCAAGTTGGAAGGAGAAATTAAAGGCCTGGCATGCTTTTTGTCAAACAAATGTATTCTATAGGGACAGCATCTGCATCCTTCCTCTTTAGATACCAAGGGATAAATAATACTTTTTGTTCAAGACTAAGGTGTCCATCTGTGCTGTTGGTCTCAACCTCTTCTGCCCTGTTCAAGACATAGTTTTACTCGTATCACTTCCATTTTTGAAATCTTTATTCACTATCTTTTTTCTTCCTTATCTTTTTAGTCTATAGACATCATTAATCCTCCTCCAATATAAAATGAAAGGTTTGCTTTCATCCTATTTGTACTTTTAGCAAATCACTCAATAGTTCCCTTTTACTGTTATTAAAAATTACACATAGTTAGCAATATTTGCTAGATTATTAGAAATATTTCTTTCACTATTAATCATTTTTTGACATAAAGCAGTCCAGCTTCTTAAATCCCATGCTACCAAAATTTATCTTAAGTGCAAAATAGACCTTTCTTCCTGAATACATGAGGCCATTTTTCAGTCCTGTGGTAGGCGTTTTTTTTTTTTTCTCTCTTTCTTTCTACATGTTACCCAAGCATTTGTGTCTATGCCCTCTTTGATGCTATCCCTTTTTGAGATTCAGGATGCCATTCTCTTGATTCTTCAGGTTCTTCCTTTAATTCTGTGAAGCTGTTCTTTTCAGGAATCCTAGAGCAGCTGATATATCTCTGCTGTCCTTGATTAGTTTAGGGTACTAATCTCAGCCCATTTATACCCTTGCTCCATCTCCTGTCCCAGAAATTTTGCCTGGTCCCCTTATTTTAACATGTACTGTACATTTTTTGACTCTTTAATCTCACTTGACATTCTCTAGCTCTACCAACAGTATCATGTGGAGTATCTACTCTCTCCCCTAACTTAAATCCTGCACTGTTATCCACCAAGTTACCTGTTTTGGGCGTTGTTCTATATCCCTCTCTCCTGGCTCACTCCAGCATCTTACCAACTTCTTTAAATATCTCTCCAATGGGTACTTTACTTTTTCTCTATTTCAATTACCAATAAAATAAACCAGGCCCTTATTGTCTCATGATGGGAACACTATTTTCCTTCAGCAGCTTAAAAACATTTCATAGGCTCCCTACCAGCTATTGGATAAAGTCATGCTTCCAGACTGATAGATTGGACACTGTAAACTGTCACCTGCCCAACTTAAAACTCATCTCTTATTATTCCTTCCATGATCTTAGTCTGTTTTGTGTTACTATAACAGAATACCTGAAGCTGGGTAATTTGTAAAGAAAAGAGGTTTATTGAGTTCATGGTTCTGCAGGCTTGGAAGTTCAAGGGCATGACCCCATCCTGGCTAGGGCTTTCGTGCTGCATCAGAACATGCTGGAGAAGGTCAAAGGGGAAGTGAACAGGTACAAAGACACAAAACTTGAGAGGCATCCTGGTTTTATAACAACCCACTCTCATGGGAACTAATTAATTCCCATAAAAACTAATCCAATCTCACCAAAGCAAGAGCTCACTATAGCGAGAACAGCACAAAGCCATTCATGAGGGATTTGCTGCCATGATTGAAACTCTTCCTGCTAGACCCCACCCTGTAACACTGTCACATTGGGGATCAGATGTCAACATGGGTTTTAACAGTGACAAACAAACTATCTCCAAACCCTAGCAATCCTTATGTTCTAGCCTATTAAAATGCTTATGCATCTGAACTCATATTGTTTTCAGCTTCAGTTTGGTCTCCAATATTCTTCTGATAGGAATTTACTTTTTCCTCCTTCTCCTTCCATCTGCTCCTCCTCTTCCTTCTCTTCGTCTTCTTCTTCAGCATGTTTTTAAATCTGATTAATTCACCCTTTGTATAATAGCTCAGACATTAGCTATTCCCAGAAGCTTGTCCTATTGGTAACTTATCTTCCCTTGTCTACAAACCAAAACAGTGTAAAGTGCCTCTTCCATTATTGTCTTATTATTGCACTGGAATCTGTTTTTTGTTTCCTGTTTCCTTCATGAGAGTATAAACTTGTTTCCATTTATCTTCATATCTCAGTCACCTAGCACAGCTGTTGACATATAATCAATGCTCAATAAGTATCCATTTAACTAACTTTCCTTGGTTCCATACTTCCCTTTTAGCACTTTCCACACTATGTACAGTTACTGCCGGTTTGCTTATTTGTTGCTTCCTGTCTGGCCTGAGCTGCTTAATTGCCTTCATTATATGTATCTGTGTGTGTGTGTGTGTGTGTGTGTGTGTGTGTGTGTGTGTGTGTGTGTTTCTCAATAGATGTTGAATAAATGACATAATGAATGAATGATAGCTAAATATAAAAGTTTATTCTTAGTTCTTCCTTTGCTTCAGTATCTCCGTCCTCCTATTCTCTGTGCTATGTATTCTGATGTCACATCCACTTGTGTCTCTTTCTGTTCCAAAGCAAGACTAATGATTATTTTTCTTATATTTTTTCCCTCTCATTGTGCGTCATCTCACTAAAGCAGAGAACACTATAAAGAGTCATGCAGTCTTTATATACTATTTTAATTAATAAAAACTTTATTGAATCATTTATGTTATTCAGTGCAGGTAAGCAGTATGTATATATTACCCTCAATTTATTTAATCTTGATTACAACTTTGATGATAGGTATTATTAAATTAATCTTACAGATAAGGATATTGAGTATGAAACCATCCTCCCCAATTACATAAGGAGCAATCAGGATTTGAATACAGGTCTACTTAACTCCAACATTTATGTTCTTTCCACTTAGCAACACAGCCTCTTCTCTTCCGTTAGGTAAGTCTTGATTCTTATTTCTGACATGTTGCAGAAGATTTTGGACACAAAACCTACTTCAAAAAAAATCAAAAGCTTATGGTTTAACTTAATTCTCCATCTCTACATTTGACTATATCCATTGTTTATCTCAGAAAGCTCTGTTCTTCTTACTCTCTCCTTTATTTTTTATCTTTTTTAACTCTACCATTTATCTGAATCACCTTCCCCTTAGTCCCAGTTTCTCTTTTTCCTTAAGTCCAAACATAATTTAATGGTTAAAAAGCAAATCACTGATTTCATAAGTCTAGTGAATATCCCCATGAAACATCCTCATATTGGAACTGTTATGTACACTAAGATTCCATTAGAAAACTATCTCAACATTTGATGTCATTTCCAGACTTTTACACTGTTTAAATAAATTACGTAATTACTGCAATATATGGTATACTGTTCATATATAGTTTACCTTCAGAATGCCAACGTTAAAACACAGATGCCATATTTGTTAACAGACTTTGTTCAGTTATCCTATACATACAAATACTTACTAGACCTTTTTGTGACAACGATGATGATATGATTGTTTACCTTGCAGAAGCAGTTTATAATTTGGTAATTTTGTCTTTCAAACCAATGAGCATCCATTAGAAATAGACCCTTTACATTTGGGACATTTGACTTGAGCAAACAATTTTACTTGATTGCTTATTCACATGATAGGCAGGGTTCAAAAACCTAAGTCAAGGAAAATGAGCTTGTTTAAAATGATTTGAAATTGATTAACTTAGATTTAGTTTGCTTGAAATTAACTGTGTGGTATGAATTTCTATATAGTCATTTTCTTACATTCAAGCTCTGTAAAATATTCTAAATATCTATTTCTAGTGTTCAACTGTATCTTAAGCAAGACAATGCCATTGTAACTGCAGTGAGCCAAAGATGGGGTTGGTAATTGAGGGAAATGAGCAAAAAAGCTATTGAATAATATAGAGATATATTGGCATATTTTATGAAGTTTGTTTTTTAAGAAGTAACAGTGTGGTGATTTATTTGTAGAGATAGCAATTCGAATATTACTGAAGTTGTTAAATAGCCTGGAATACCTAGAATGAATCCACAGGGTGCTGTGTTTTTCATACCCATTTAGCTATGTCTTACCAGTCTATTAATTTGAGTTGCTTCACAGAAGTGTCAAATTCTTCTTTTTCCAGCATTGCACAACAAACTTTTGCATCAATGTTTTAAATGATTTTACTTTTGGTTTTTAATTTTTTCAGACATTAAAAGATAAAAGTATACAAATAATGCATTAAAATGATATATACATCATCTAAAATTAACTACTCACCCACATGTTAGTTAGCCCATTTTAGACTTTTTTTTCCAAGAGTTGAATACTAAAAATAAATTATACTTTCTATTCCTACTTTCTACCTCTGCAGAGGCATTGAAATATGAATTTGGGTGATACAGTCCATGCAAGAACTTAGATTTTCAATCCATTAGCTTTCTCATTTTCAACAATCTTTTCTTCCGTCCTACACCAACCACCTTCTCTTATAGTTTTACTCTGTTTTTGTCATTTCCAAGAATTGAGTTATTTCCTGGTCTCAATTTTAATTATCCGCTTTCAGATAACCAATACCTCTTTTTCTAACTTACTCTACTAGCACCCTCACTCTAACAAATATTTGACACTATGATGACCAAACTATCATCCTTACTACATTTTTATATCCCACCTTATTGTCCTTCTTTCCCTTCTTACAGAACCTAGTTACATTGGATCAAAATAAGCACATATTTAAATAACATTCAAGACTGTGTTTTTATGACTTGAAAAGCCCTATCCCTAACTAAACCAGCAGCTTTCTTCATTGAACTTTTCCTAGCAGCTGAATGTGGCTAAAATAAAACACAAGTATGCTAAGTAGCCTCACAGGGTGGATCCTGGTTTGGTGGGCCCTAGAGGTTATAGTATATGGGGGCAGTAGATAAAAGAAAACAATATTATGAATACAAAATGCCCACAGTTACTTGAATACCACTTGAGAGAGGAGACCTTGTATTAGAAAGAGAGAATGATCTTCATCAATTTTGATTAAAATATCTTGTTTCTACAAACTTTATAAAAACATATGACCATGTGAAAACACTGCTAGGGAGACACTCGAAGGACTTTGTAAGGGACTGGGGCCAATTAGAGGCCCTCATGTTTAAGCTTCATTAGCAGCACAATAAATTTACTTCTGAGTAGAACTTAAATTCTGTGACCATAAATCTTGAGTGATATTCAGCACGACCAAGAAATTTCTAGACAATTCCACTTTTCTGATGACTGTTTTATATCTTCTCCCTCTCTTGACTCCTAATAACCATATTATCCTCAATTTAAACTAATCATCCTCTTCATAGGGAGTATAGATATAATGAATGAGAATTATCTCAATCTCTTACCAGCTTACTGGTACACAATACGAGTATATCCTTTTTCCCATGAATCATTATTCATCTTTAGCAGCCCATGAGCTTTGCATAATATTGCTCATTTTATAAAGTATGAAAACACAAAATAAACCTTAGTCCTGTAACTCATCTCTTTCTATTTTTTTTGTAGCAAAACTTTAAAAAATAAACACGTCTATTTCTGTGAACTCACAGTTAATTCTCTATTGAATCCACTCAACCAGGCTTATCTCCGTGTCATATTCTGGATCCAGTGTCAATTTTTCTCCTTAATTTGAAGGTTTTTTTATTGTTTTCTTATTCAGTTTTGCTTGGTAGGACATCTGATGACATTTTGGATATAATTTCTTTGTAAATAATTTGTCTTTTCTCTCTGGGAACTTCAGAATTTTCTTTTCTTAAGAGTTCTGAAATTTCACAATTTTGTTTGTAGCTATGTGTGTGTGTGTAATTTTTTCAGTTTAGTACTAAGTAAGACTTTTCAATTTGATGATCCTTGTTGGGTTTTGGTACTGAAATTTTTCGGGTATAGTTTTGCTATATACACCTGCTACCTATCTATCCTATTTCCTGTCCTATGATGTTCCGATAGGAGTCTGATAGTTGATTTGTGAATTGCTTCTTATAATTCTGCAATTTTATTACATATTTTGAAAATACATAGTCAGAGACATTGACTTAAATAAATATTTCATTTCTTGTTGAATTGTTTTCTTTTATTATCTACTTTTACCTTGTTTCTTATTCATGATTTTCTCATTAAATTATATTTTGTGATATTACTGTTGCTGCACTAATGTTTATTTTCAAATTTTTGAGTGGTTTAGTCCCCAGTCTATTTTTTAGGCAGCAGTGGAGCTTATTTTTTAAACATAGTATTATGATAAGCCTAATTAGTGACACTAGTTTTAAAACATGTTTAGATAATTCTAGACATTTTAAATTAATCTGGAATTATTTAGTTTTTCTACTGTCCTCCTGAGCATTACACATATTTTTGCAAAAAATAAATTACTATTGAACATCTTTACACTTGTCCTATTTTTAAAATAGTTATCTGGTGCCTTAGTTTCACTTTTAAATAATAATTTTTCACAATCAATACATATATTTGTTGACATTTCTCATTCATTTTTGTTTTTATATCATCTTGTTTATCCTTTTTGTTCACTTTCCAGTGGCTAAAATGATTCTTTAATAGTTATTTTAATAAAGAGAGAACCAAATCATGAGGGAACTCCCTTCACAATTGCTTCAAAGAGAATAAAATACCTAGGAATCCAACTTACAAGGGATGTGAAGGAACTCTTCAAGGAGAACTACAAACCACTGCTCAATGAAATAAAAGAGGACACAAACAAATGGAAGAACATTCCATGCTCATGGATAGGAAGAATCAATGTCATGAAAATGGCCATACTGCCCAAGGTAATTTATAGATTCAATGCCATCCCCATCAAGCTACCAAGGACTTTCTTCACAGAATTGGAAAAAACTACTTTAAAGTTCATATGGAACCAAAAAAGAGCCCACATTGCCAAGTCAATCCTAAGCCAAAAGAACAAAGCTGAAGGCATCACACTCCCTCACTTCAAACTATGCTACAAGGCTACAGTAACCAAAACAGCATGGTACTGGTACCAAAACAGAGATAGAGCTGAATGGAACAGAACAGAGCCCTCAGAAATAATACCACACATCTACAACCATCTGATCTTCAACAAACCTGACAAAAACAAGCAATGGGGAAAGGATTCCCTATTTAGTAAATGGTGCTGGGAAAACTAGCTAGCCATAGGTAGAAAGCTGAAACTGGATCCCTTCCTTACACCTTATACAAAAATTTATTAAAGATGGATTAAAGACTTAAATGTTAGACCTAAAACCATAAAAACCCTAGAAGAAAACTTAGGCAATACCATTCAGGACATAGGCATGGTCAAGGACTTCATGTCTAAAACACCAAAAGCAATGGCAACAAAAGCCAAAATAGACAACTGGGATCTAATTAAACTGAAGAGCTTCTGCACAGCAAAAGAAACTACCATCAGAGTGAACAGGCAACCCACAGAATGGGAGAAAATTTTTGCAATCTACTCATCTGACAAAGGGCTAATATCCAGAATCTACAATGAACTCAAACAAATTTACAAGAGAAAAACAAAGAACCCCATCAAAAAGTGGGTGAAGGATATGAACAGACACTTCTCAAAAGAAGACATTTATGCAGCCAAAACACACATGAAAAAATGCTCATCATCACTGGCCATCAGAGAAATGCAAATCAAAACCACAATGTGATACCATCTCACACCAGTTAGAATGGCGATCATTAAAAAGTCAAGAAACAACAGGTGCTGGGGAGGATGTGGAGAAATAGGAACACTTTTACACTGTTGGTGGGACTGTAAACTAGTTCAACCATTGTGGAAGACAGTGTGGCGATTCCTCAAGCATCTAGAACTAGAAATACCATTTGACCCAGCCATCCCATTACTGGGTATATACCTGAAGGATTATAAATCATGCTGCTATAAAGACACATGCAAACGTATGTTTATTGCGGCACTATTCAAAATAGCAAAGACTTGGAACCAACCCAAATGTCCATCAATGATGGACTGAATTAAGAAAATGTGACACATATACACCATGGAATACTATGCAGCCATAAAAAAGGATGAGTTTATGTCCTTTGTAGGGACATGGATGAAGCTGAAACCATCATTCTCAGCAAACTATCACAAGGACAAAAAACCAAACACCACATGTTCTCACTCATAGGTGGGAATTGAACAATGAGAACACTCGACACAGGAAGGGGAACGTCATACACTGGGGCCTGTTGGGTGAGGGAAGGGGGAGGGATAGCATTAGGAGCTATACCTAATGTAAATGATGAGTTAATGAGTGCAGCACACCAACATGGCACATGTATACATATGTAACAAACCTGCACATTGTGCACATGTACCCTAGAAGTTAAAGTATAAAAAATAAAAATAAAAAAAAATAAAGGCTTTCTGGTAAATTTTCTTAAGCTACGTCAGTTTAGCTCATCAATGTTGAATAATAATTTGGCAATGTATGGAACTATAGCTTCACATTTATTTTTGCTTAGATTTGAAGATAATAATTTTCTTTTGGCATTTATTACATCACTTTGTATGTCCTTAATAAGTATCTTTAATATTCTGCTGTTTTATCACAATATCTTTAGCTATAGATTTTTTATTTTTATAATGTTCAGTACTCACAATTGATTTTGTTATCTGGTCTGTGGTCCTATTTTTTTCTCAAGTCTAGAAATTTCTCGCATTTTTAAACTAATCTTCATAGGGAGTATGGAAAATTTCTCTAGTCTTTACACAACATACCTTATTATTGTTCCTTCTGAAAATCAACTGGAATGTCGCTTAACACATACTCAAACACACACCACACATTCATCCCACTCCATTTAATGCGTGGACTGTGTTTTCCACAAAACAAATACATGTATAAACATGCACAACATATATACACATACATGCACAAAGATTAACACACATATACACATATGTACACAGTAAACACAAAAAGTTTACACAAGCACAAATATGCATGTGTACACAAACATAAGTACCCATAGACTCAAAAGTATACATACACTATGTATAGACACAAACGTGCCACACATATATATTGTGTGTGCTTGCACACACACCCCATATTTTTTGTGTTATTTGAGTAAATACCTTAGTACTTCATTCCTTCCTATTAATCCAAAACTCTCTTTGTCTCTTCTCAATTTGGGGTTTTTTGGTTCTATTTCAAAACTATTTTAATTATTTCTGTCCATATTTCTTTTCATTATTCCTTAAAATTTGTTGTCTTCCCCATCTATCTATTTTTGTCTAATTTCTGCTGTGTGTCAAAATTTCTTTTCCTTTTACAAAATCAGTGATTTCTTTACTTAGATCTTTGAGCATTTTAAATATACTTATTTTAAGTTCTTTGTCAGAATGTTTCATAAAATCAGTATCACCTAAAGTGCTTTGGGTTCACACTCTGATTGCTAGGTCTTTGGAAACAAGATATTTCTTAATATGTTTTGGTGTCCTTTTTGAGGCCTCCCATTCTAAATAAGCAGGTCTCTTTTCTCTCTCTGTCTCTGTCTCTCTGACTCTGTCTCTCTCTCTCTCTCACACACACACACACACACGTAACACACTTACATATATACACATACACCCCTCTCTCTCCTACACACATATCTTCTTGTTTATCTCTTTCCAATTGAAATTATGTCATTGCTTCTACCTCACCCTACTTGGTCCCAATTAACCAATCTTTAAATTCTTCCATTTATGGTCATCTTTTCTGATTCCCAGTGATCATACAAAGATGATATTGGGGATAACATTATTGCAATTACTGATTCAATAGGCAGCATTGTTGAGTTATTGGTCTCAGGATCTGTTCTCCTCAATGCCTTTGCTCCTTGCTCTCTATGTGTCTTTAGCCCCAGTCAGTGAATGATCCTTTCACATCAAGCACAGCTCATGCAAAGCCCTGTCATGAGTCAGTGAACCTTGCACTGGTCGCTCATCTGGTGCAACACCTTCAGCTAGTTTTATGCTTCTTCTCCTCTACTTATGCTTTGATTTTTGACCCCATTTCTATTCTACCTTGTTTGTGAGCCTAGCTATGTCTCCTGCTTGCCTTGAATGTATGTTTATTCTTATTTCTACATCATTCTTTCATCCTATTTTGGAATAGGTGAAAATGAAGGATCAATGCAGCTCATCATCAGCTGATTTGGCCACACTAATTCAATCTTCTCTGTGTTCTGTTAAGTGAAAGCTAATCATGTGTATTCACCCCAACCTCTTGAGCAGTGCTACTTGAATGAAGTGTGATCTGCAACCAAGTGTCATCAACCTGGGAGCTATTCTCAGACCCATCCTGCATCTAATGAACCACATTCTGAGAGTGAAGCCTGGGAATCTGTGACTTTCAAAGCTCTCCCTGTGATTTTTATGTGTATACAAGGTTTAGATACCGCTCCAGTTAATATCTATAGTTTGCTTTCTGGTTGCATGTTAGAATCAAATGGAGTGCTTAAAAATAGTGATGCTGGAGCTTTACCCCAGATTTATTGTATATTATTATAAGCCTACTAATCCATTTTTAGAAGCACAAAGTTTTATTAAATGCTTTGCAGGTTATTATAATGTGGAGTTAGTGTTGAGAACCATTGCTTTATTCAAGTGGTTCTCAACAGGGATAATTTTGTACCTTTAGGGGATTTTTGGCAGTGGCTGGAGACATTTTTGGCTGCTACAACTGAGACAGTGCTGCTGGCATCTAGTGGAAGATGCTGCAAAATATCTTACTTACAATGCACAGGACATCCCACCTACAAAAAGAATTGTGCCACCACAAATGTTAATAATATCGAAGTTGAGAAACTTTGCTCTTGTATATGCTTTGGTTTTTGTTTAGGCTTTTCCATTGAACATATTCTCTCGTAAAAACACCTTTATGGAAGTCACAAATTGAAATGGAAAGGAGTATAGAAGGGATTTTGAATGTTCAAAAAGCCAAGCACCCGGATTCCCCAAGCCTTTCTTATTGATGCTCTTATGCTTCTGAAATTGGAAACAGCCTGACAATTAGGGGTAACCATCAGAAGCAGCAGAATAAATGGAGTCCTAGGACACATGTTCTGTCTTCAAGTTTTAGCTAATTATCCAGCAATTTTGTATTTTTGACAACATAAAATATGATCTTATTCTTTTTTACTATTATTAAATATGTTTGTCTCACTATATACTCAATAATATTAATTTTTGCTTTACTTTTACAGCATACGGAAAAAATCAAAATACGAATCTGAAATAAAATATTTGACAATAATGAAGTTAAAGAATGATAAACATCTCAAGAACATCTATAAGGAGGCTTATCGCATTGGTACTCTTTTCCACCTAACCAAACACAAGACAGATGAAATGGAAGATAAAATAGCAGAAGTGAGAAGAAAGTTCAAGGTTGTGTATCTTTGTGTTCCTCTTACTCATGATGAAAAAAAGAGTAATTTACCTGAATTGTATCGATTTCATCTTGATAATTAGATTTTAATTTAAGGATTAACAGTCTTTTCAAAAACTCACTTCTTATAAATGAGAAGAAAACCACCTCTCTCCAAAGGCTCAGCTTGAATAGAAGAGGATGAGGGCTCAATGTAGCTAATCCACAATTGTTTCTACTTTTTGCTATTATCAACCATAAACTACTTGGAGCACCAGGAGTGTGGTGCTCAGTTCATCTTTATCCTATATATCTAACACATAATAATGTCTGCCTGTAGTAGGAAGAAGGGATTCTGAGAGGTGTTCGTCTACCTTATGTAATGTGAGAATAGAAAGTACCTCTAGTAGGCCTATGAGTTGTTGAATTCTAGAGTACCTGGAAATTTGTAGACTACATTTCTGCAGAAATAATTGCTCACATGCTTCAAACCCACTCCTAAGTGAGAGATGTATTGGCTAGCAGCTCTCTGCCATTTGTGGTAGAGGCTTTGTATTAGTCCATTCTCACGCTGCTATGAAGAAATACCTGAGACTTAGTAATTTATAAAGAAAAGAGGTTTAATTGACTCAGTTCTGCATGGCTGGGGAGGCCTCAGTAAACTTACAATTATGGCAGAAGGCACCTCTTCACAGGGTGGCAGGAAAGAGAGCCAAGCAAATGGGGAAGCCCCTTATAAAACCATCAAATCACATGAGAACTTACTCACTATCATGAGAATAGCATGGGGGAAATGCCTCATGATTCAATTATCTCCACCTGGTCCCACCCTTGACATGTGGGGATTATTACAATTCAAAGTGTGATTTGGGTATGGACACAAAGCCAAACCATATCAGACTTGCAAAGTCCACCCCACTTTACTGCACCTGCAGGGCCACTTCAACAGGCTGCTTTCATCCATCTTACACACATACGTGTCTCCTGTCTTTGCTATTTTCTTAAAGACTTATGAGCAAAAAAAAATACCTAGAAAATATACAGTCTGTACACCATTTCCAACATCTGTTGCTAGCATTATCGTCAATGAATACTTTCCTTTGTGATATCTGAATTTCGGATGTGTAAATGTTTCTGTACTGAAAGATTGGGGTGTTTTTCCCACATTGAATCCAGCTGTTCAAATGACCTATGTCTCTCCTAATGGGTGTTGAATGGGTTAATCATATCTTCTATGAGATAAGTGAGTAAGCAAAGTAAGCATGCATAGAATAAATTAAAATACAAGGCATATGATTCTGTGGTTTAGCAATACAATAATATTGTAGATGTTTATAATTTTTAAAATAATATCAATATATTTCTGTATTTTGGTCAGTTAATTTTTTTTTCTTTGAGGATATCAATGAAGATATCATCATCCACTTACTTGGCCACTTAACTGTGTATTTCAATTTTTCTAATTGACTCGAAACCTTTGTCATCTTTCACATATTTTCCCCGTGGCTGTCACAAACTACATTTAATTCTTTGAACATATTGCTTCATTTATCTGAGGTACTCACTTATGAAAGAGATGTTGCACTGGATTATTTATTTTTCTAAATTTTTTTGATACCATAAAATAGAACTTACAGATTCAATGCAAGTTTGATGTAACTCTACTGTAATTGCTTTGCCAGCCCATAATAGAGTGCCCCTTTTCTGTTATTTTTAATTTTATTTTTTAAATTGACATATAATAATTGTAGATATTTATTGGGTACATAGTGATATTGCCATACATGTATAATATAGTGATCAGATTAGGGTAATTAACATACCCATCATCTCAAACATTTATCATTTCTTTGTGATGAAAATATTCAATATCATCTTTCTAGCTATTTGAAAATGTATATTATTCTTAACCATAGTGATCCTACAGTGGTATGGAACACGAGAACTTATTCCTTCTATCTAGCCATCATTTAGCATCCTTTAAAAAATCTCTGTCTCCTACTTCTTCCAACCCACCCCACTTTTCAGTATTCTCTGTTCTACTTTTTACTTTTGTGAGATCAATTTTGGTTCGTTTTCACATATGAATGAGATTATGTAGTATTTAACTTTCTATTCCTGAGTGACTTCACTTAACATAATGTCCTCCAGTTCCATCCATGTTTCTGCAAATGATAGGATTTCATTCTTTCTTATGGCTCAATAGTATTCCATTGTGTATATATACCACTTTCTGTTATTCATTTATCTGTTGTTGGACACCTAATTTGATTCCACATCTTGGCTATTGTGAATAGTGCCACAAAAAAAACATGGGGATACAGATGTCTCTTCAATATATGAATTTCCTTTGGATAAATAAACAATAGTGGGATTGCAGGATGATACAGTACTCCTATTTGCAGTTTTTTGAGGAACCTCTGTCCTGCTGTCCATAGTGTCTGTACTAATTTTAATTCCCACCAACAGTATATGAATTCTCTTTTTTCCACATCTCACCAGCATTTGTTATTTTTTCATATTTGTATACTATCCATCCTAACTGGAGTTTGATGATACAGTTGTGGTTTTGATTTGCATTTATCTGGTAATTAGTAATGTTGAACTTTTTTTCTTGTATTTGTTAGCAATTTGTATGATTTTTTTTTGAAAAATATCTGTTTAGATCATTTGCCCATTTTTAAATCAGATTTTTTTTGTTTTTTTGCTGTTGAGATGTTTGAGTTCCTTGTGTATTCTGGATATTAATCCCCTGTTGCATGAAAATATTATAAATATTTTCTCTTGTTCTTTAGGTGGTATTTTCACTCTGTTGACTGTTCCCTTTGCTGTGCAGAAGGTTTTTAGTTAAATATAATGTAATTTGTTTATTTTTGTTTTTGTTGCCTGTGCTTTTGAGGTCTTTGGAATAATATCTTTTCTTGGGCCAATGTTCTGAAGCATTTATCCTATGTTTTCTCTTAGTAGTTTTGTAGTTTGGGGTCTTACAGTTAGGTCTTTGACCCATTTGGAGCTGATTTTTGTATAGAGGGTCTAGTTTCATTCTTCTGCAGGTGGATATCCAGTTTTCCTAGCACCATTTATTGAATAAACTGTCCTTTCCCAATGTAGGTTCTTGGTGCCTTTGTCAAAAATCAGTTGGCTGTAAATATGTGAATTAATTTCTGGATTTTCTGTTCTGTTTAACTGGTCTATGTGACTGTTTTTATGCCAGTACCATGCTATCTTTGAACACAGCTTTGTAGTGAATTTTGAAGTCTGGTAGTATAATGTCTACAGCTTTGATCTTTTTGCTAGGAATGCTTTGGTAATTTGAAGTCTTTTGGGGTTCCATACACATTTTAAGATGATTTTTTCTTTTTCTATTAAGAACATATTTGGTATTTTTATAGGAATTGCATTGAATCTGTAGATTGATTTGAATAGTATGGTTAACATACTATTTTAACAATATTAATTGTTTATCAATTTTTAACAATATTAATTTTAACAATATTAATTTTTCCAATCCATGAGCATTGGATGTTTTTCCATTTTGTTTGTATCCACTTCAATTTCTTTTATCAATGTTTCATAGATTTCCTTGTAAAAATATTTCACCTCGTTAGTTAAATTCATTCTTAAGTATTTTATTTTTATTTTTTATAGCTATTGTAAGTAGGATGGCCATCTTATTTTTTTCAGCTAGTTCATTGTTCATGTATAAAAATGCTACTGAATTTTCATGTTGACTTTATATCTCGCAACTTTAAGGAATTTATCAGTTCTACAATTTTTTTGGTAGAGTCTCTCTCTACACACACACACACACACACACACACACACACACACACACGATCATATAATCTGCAAAGAGGGTCAATTTGATTTTCTCCTTTTCAGTTTGGATGCCTTTGTTTATTTTTCTTGCCCAATTGCTCTGACTAGGACTTCTAGTGGTATATTGAATGAGATTGGTTAAGAGTGGGCTTGCTTGTCTTGTTTAGTTCCTAGAGGAAAGACGTTTAGCTTTTCCCCACTCAGTATGATCTTAGTTGTGGGTTTGTCATATATGGACCTTATTGTGTTGAGATATTTTCCTTCTGTACCTAATTTATTATGAGGTTTTATCATGAAGAGATGTTGAATTTTATAAAATGCTTTTTCTGCATCTATTAAGATAACCATGTGCTTTTTGTCCTTTCTTCTGCTGATGTATGTATCACATTTATTAATTTACATGTGTTGAACCATATTTTCATTCCTGGATAAATTTCACTTGATTATGGTGTAATATCTTTTTGATGCGCTGTTGGATTCAGTTTGCTAGTGTTTTGTTTAAGTTATTGCCTCTATTTTCATACATATTGGCCTGCAGTTTTAATTTTTTGTTTTCCTCATGTGTATTTGATATTGAGGTTATGCTGGCCTCATAGAATGACCTAGGAAGAATTTTCTCTGCCTTAATTTTGTGGAATAGTTTCAGAAGAAATTGTTTCAATTCTGCCTTAAAGGTTAGTAGAATTCAGCAGTGAAGACATCTAGTCCTGAATTTTTCTCTGTTGGAATACTTTTTAGAACTGATTCAATCTTGTTACTTGTTATTGGCCTGCTTACGTTTTCCTTTTCTTCTTGATTCAATCTTGGTAGATTGTATGTATCCATTTCCTCTAGGTTTTCATATTTATTAGTGTATAACTGTTCATTGAAGTTTCTAATGATCCTTTTTATTTCTGTTGTTATCTATTGTGATGTTTCCATTTTGTTTCTGATTGTATTCATTTATGTCTTCTCTCTTTTTTTCTTAGTCTAGCTTTTTCTCAATTTTGTTTATTTTCTCAAAACATCGACTTTTTGTTCCATTGATTTTTGTACTGTATTTTTAGTCTCAGTTTCATTTATTTCTGCTTTCATCTTTATTATTTATTTCCTTCTAACTTTGGGTTTGTTTTGTTCTTGCTGTTTTAGTTCCTTGAGATCATTACATTTTTATTTCAAATCTTTCTAAGTAGTGTATGCATTTAGTGCTATGAACTTGGCTGTTAAAACTGCTTTTGCTGTGCCCTATAAATGTTGATATATTTTTTTATTTTTATTTGTTTCAGTGAATTTTTCAATTTTATTCTTAATTTCTTCCTTCACCCATTGGTCTTTCAGAAGCATATTGTTTAAATGCCATGCATTTGTATAGTTTTAATCTTCTACTTATTATCAATTTCTAGTTTTCTTGTAAGTGGTCAGAGAAGATACTTGATATAATTTTAATTTTAATTTTAAAAATGTTTTAAGATTTTTTTGTGTCTAAACATATGATTGATCCTGGAGAATATTTCATGTGCTGATGAAAAGAATGTATTCTGCAGCTGTTCAATGAAATGTTCTCTAAATATTGAAATAGCTCTAAACATTCTCTAAATATCTGTTAGGTCCATTTGGTCAATGGTGCTATTTAGATCCCATATTTCTTTGTTGGGTTTTTGTCTAGGTGGTCTGTCCAGTGCTGAGAGTGGGTTGTTAACATCCACAACTATTAATGTATTAGATCAATCTCTCTTTAGATCTAATAATAGTTGCTTTATATATCTGGGTGCTCTGGCATTAGGTATATATGTGAGTGTATGTGTTTACAAATTTTCTCTTACTGAATTAATCTTTTTTAGTATATGTTTTCCTTTGTCTCTTTTTACAGTTTTTCATTTGAAGTCTGATTTGTCTGATATAAGTACAGCTATTCTTGCTCACTTTTGGTTTCTGTTTGTGTGAAATCTTTTTTTTTTTTTTTAACCACGTCACTTTCAGTCTTTGTGTCATTACAGGTTAATGAAGTAAGTTTCCTGTAGGCAGCATATAGTTGGGTCTTTTTTAGTCAATCCAGTTGGTCTATATCTTTTAAATGAGGAATTTAATTTGTTTATTTTCAAGGTTATTATTGATAAATGAGGAATTAATCCTGTCATGTTAGTGATTGTTTTCTGGTTGTTTTGTATGTCCTATGTTTCTTACTTCATCTTTTACTGTTTATTTTTGTGATTGGGTTGTTTTCTGTAGTAATAAGGTTTGACTCTTTTCTCTTTCTACTGTGTATATTGGCTCTGCCAGTGAGTCTTATAGTTTTGCATGTTTTCCTGATAGTTATTGTTTTTTCACCACCAGATGTGAAACCTATTGGGCCTTTCTTTTAAGGCCTATTTAGTGGTGATGAATTTCCTTAGGTTTTCTGTTCTGTAGAATACTTTTCTTTTTCATTTCTGAATGATAGCTTTGCTGGATAGAATATTCTTGGCTGGCAGGGGTTTTTTTTAAGCCTTTTAAATATACCATCCCATTATCTCCTGATTTGAAAGATTTCTCCTGGCAAATCCACTGTTAGTCTTATAGCAAATTCTTATATGTGACGATGCTTTTCTCTTGCTCTTTTTAAATTTGTTCTGTCTTTGACTTTGGACAATGTGACTACAATGTGCCTATGACAGGACTTGTTATGTTGAATCTATTTGGCATTATTTGAGCTTCCTGGATCTAGATGTCCATCTCTCTCTCATGACTTTGGAAGTGTTCACCTATTATTTCATTAAACATGTTTTCTACATCTTTCTATTTTCTTCTTCTGGAATGCCCATAATACAAATGTATGTTCATTTATGCTGTCCCATTAATGGTGTCATTCTTTTCATTGTTTTCCTCTGCCTTGTTATTTCAAAAGACTTGTCTTCAGGTTCATAAATTCTGCCTTCTTCTTGTACTAGTCTATTATTGAAGCTCTTGATTCTATTTTTTTTATTTCATTTACCATATTATTCAGCTCTAGTTTTCTGTTTGGTTCTTTTTTAATAATATCTATATCTTTGTTGTATTTATCATTCAAATCATAAATTGTTTCCTGATTTTATTGAACTATCTGTATTCTCTTGTATCTCTCTGAGTTTCCTTATGATTATTATTTTGAATTCTTTTTCTGGCATTTTATATATTTCTTTATTATTGGGGTATGTTACTGGAGAATTATTGTCTTCCTTTGAAGGTGTCATTTTTCCTTGCTTTTTCATGTTTATTGTTTCCTTATGTTGGTATCTGTGCATCTGGTGGGACAGTTGGCTCTTCCGATTTTATGGAGTACGTTATGTAGGGAAACTTATTCATGTTGATGAGTCTTGGGGTATCAGTTTTTTAGAGTTTGTTGTATTTAGTCCCAGGTGGATACAGTAATGTAGTCTCTATGTAGTTTCTTCAGCTGTAATCTATGCTAGTGACATTTGCAAGTGTCTCACTTGCCTAAGCTGAGAGAATCTGTGGTGGTGTGACTTTGTTAAGAGTGGACTCACTGGGCTGTTTCTCAGATCAGGGACACATGTGTACACATGATGGGTCAGCTAACTTAGGGTCTGGCTCACTGGGGTTGAGGCCACAGGGCTGTTACTCTGTCTGGAAGTATGGGCATGCAGTTGCTCAACTGCCTTCAGGTGTGTCTTCAGGGCAACCCATGTTTTATTTATGTTTTTTTTTTTGTTTTTTTCAGTCTTGGGACCAGGTTCACAGCCACTTGGCCAACCTAGAGGCATGTCTGCCAGGGGTGGCCTGTGGGGCCGTTTCTCATGCCCAGCACATGGCCATATGGTTTCCTCGCTGGCCTGGAGTTGTGTTTGCTAGAGGTGGCCCATGGTGTTGTTTCTCAGGCCTAGAACATGGGCATGCAGATGCTTGGTTGGTATGGGGGGCATTTCAGCCAGGGGGAGGGGAGGGACAAGAGGCTGTTTATCGAGTCGACATGGGCACAAAGCTGATCAGCTGGCCTGGCAGCATGTTTTCTGTGGAAACCCATGGAGCTGTTTCTCAAGCCTCTGACATGGCTGTATGGTTTCTTGGCTGGCCTAGGGGCAGACCAGCTGTTTATTGGCTCGGGGACCTTTTCTACTCAGGGGTGGACATGCACTAGTTTGGCTGGTTCAAGGGTGGGTTTGCCCTGGGTGGGACTCAGATCCTTTCCTAGATGGAAGTGCTGGGGGTGGAGGGGTTGGTTTCCATGATGTGCAGGACCAGAGTCACAGCCAATCCTTGACCCAGGCTCCACACAGCTAGGGTTGTAGAGTGTAGCCACTGGGCTTGGAATGAAGATGGAGCGCCATTGCTGCAGAGGTGCAGTGGCTACTGGCCTCCAGAGAAGGGTACACTCTAGAGGTGGCTCTGGTATCAAGACAGTGCTGTGCTGCAGCAGCTTGGCTCACAGGAGGTGGGTGGGAGTTGGGGGAGTGCATAAGTTGTTCCTCTAATTTGAAGCAATGCAACAGTATAAATTTTCAGCAGCTCTCCAAACTGGGCTCAGGGCTTATGAGGACTGTGGAATTATCTTGTAGTAAATACTGTAGGTATTTACAGTGGCAGTGGGGGCTGATGAGGTTCCTCTGTTTACCTTTTTCCTGCAAAGGGAAGTTGCCCCTAGTTTTGGGCCCATCTGATTCAGGAACAGGAGATGGGGCTGCAGAGGCCAGGTGCCTTCGTGCTGCTCTCTTGGACTTCCAATTACCAGAGTTGCCTCTCCACTCCCCTGCTCCACTCCAGCATTCTCTCTTTGACACTGCATTCAAATCTTCATTATTTATTTGTTGCTTTGGTTCTTTTTGGGGTGCGGATGAACTCCAGGCACTTCTAGTGAGCCATCTTGTTGATGTCACTCTCCCTTTCTCTCTTTATTCATGCAAAATTAAAGAAAGTATTCATCATGTTGTTTCCTTACCTCATGGGAGCTGATTGATCACTGGAAAGAAGCAACAGAAAGAAACTGGTCCACTTAAGAAACCATTCCCAATGGTTAATCACTCCTGCTAATTTCTGAGCCTGAATATATACGGCATTAAAAACTTCTATAATATACACATGCATATCTGCTTCAGAGTTCAAAATAAATTCAAAATAAATTTCTAGATTTTCCTTAGATAATTCAGGTTTATAGTAATTCAAGTTTGTAATTTTTGCCTGTGTAATGACCCTATTATCTTTCATGGACTGATTCATGAAAATCTTTAGAACACTCTAAATCTGAGAATTATGTTTTCCTTTTAAGTAACTTTCTGTATTTGTTGAGCCTGGCCTGAAATTAATCTTTAATCCATCATCTAGAAATTAATTATAGGAATATCACTTCTAGGGTAGCTCCAAGAAATAGGCTTTTGAAACTCTAGAGGTAGAATTTATGAATTATGTTCTCTCAAGTTAATGCATCTGTAAAATGCCAGATAAGTTTTAGGCAGTCTTAGAGTAGAAGCAATCCTGAACAAGAAGTATGTCTAGCACTTTCTCTAATTTTTTAGCTATTACAAATGATTTGTCCCAGTTTTTCCATATTTTCAATTCCAATAACTGACCTATTCAGAAAAGAGGTGTTTGGCCAAGTGTCAGAATAAAATTAGCCAATTGGGATAGGGAATAAGTCAATTTAATAGTAATATGTATTCAATTATAGTGTTGATGGAATGAACAGAAAACCATCTAGAATTGTCTAAAGAATGCGACATTGCAACCAAAAATTTTGAGAGCTTTCACCAGTTGTTAAGTACTTCCTAGCACTCCAGCTGAAATCTTCTATGCAAGCTGCATAATCTCGAAGGGTTTTTTGCTTGAATATAATGGAATTCTGGTGGAAAAGTGAGAACATCAGGTCACTCTGGTTCCAGGTTAGAATCATAGTGCTAGAACTAAGTGGAAACTTAGTAAAAAGGAAGGAATAAAGTAGACATAAAGAGTTTTCTTCAAGCCTATTTTATGAAAAACCCCTTATACATGCTAATTAATTTAACATTCACAAAACTGTGCAATTGTTATTAACACATTCATTTTGGGAGTAAAGGGATTTTCCCAAGGTAAGCTTTTAGGTGACTGTGTAGAGTTTAGGGACCAGGACATCTCATGCCAGTCTTGGTAGAGTCGTAAGACATTAGACTTACATTGTGACCAACAAAGATTCAGTTAAGCTGAAAGCTTCAAAATAATCATACTGGGGGTGGGGGTCGTTTTCAATGCTAGAAAAAGACAGTGTGTCAAGTCCTTAGAAAGTTCCAGTCCACAGTAATCTGGTGCATAACTTTAGAAGTCTATGACTTGCCTTGAGTGCTTTTTCAGATATTTTAACTAATCTCAAACTGTTCTTTATGTTCTCAGACCTCCCTTCAACTACTATTTGTTCACCTCTGAGACAAGGTTTATAGGCCCATCCTTTGAGTAAAATAAAAGTCAGAACCTTCTCAAAAGTTTCTTGGAGGGCATAATTTCTGCTAGTACTTAGAGCATCTTTAGTTCAATCAACAGAACAAAACAGATCTAATAAACTAAAGCTTAATGTATGCACCATGCAACTTCTATAAGAATTCCAGATAAGACTGATAATATTTTTAAGTAGTTATAAAATGAACATTCTATTAATTCATTAATTTTTATCCCAAAGGATTTATGCCTTATAGCATGTCGAATCTGGAGCATATTACTCTTGTCCCACATGTAATAGCTTTTATTGAGTTATGAATTGCTATCACATCCTTGGCTTTTAATAAAGGTTGGTAAAAGTAATGGCTAAGATTGACCATTGCTTCTTGGTTTTTCAAATTAATAAGGGAGTTAGTCATATTGTCAATATGCTCAAAAAAACCTACAAAAGTAATTGACCTTAGATTTCCAAACTAAAAAAGTTGTTTTTTCTTGATAAAATTTATTTCTTTTTAATTAATAATTAAGAGTTCCCTACACTTTCTTATTTCTCTCTGAGTTAAGCTGCTTAGAAGCTCAGTTATTTATGCTGAACGTTTCTAGGATAATCACTTCCTTATCTCTCTCTGTTCCATATTTATAACTTTGATCTGGTATTTTTTTGCTTGTTTCATTGGTCTTCGTTTACTAAGATTCTTTTCCACTCCATTCATAGGCAGAATACTTTGCCAAAATTGAATGGAAAGGAATCTGCTATTAATCATAATATTGGGAATGTGTAATCTGTATTAGTGGGAAATGGTTGCCGGGAAAAAGGGAAGGAGAATACAAGGAAAACAGAAATAGTGTGAAGGTACAGCAGGATTAAAGTCCCACAATGGCTGCTAAGTAACCCCTTGGTCAAGCATCAGAAGAGTTCATTTTTCCTGACACATTTGAGGAAGTAAATAAACATGAAAATGTGATAGAAATAAAGCATTGAACATTTATGGATCTTGATAGTACAAAACATTTGAGAATATAATAAAACTTTATTTAGCTTGCTATAAATATCATATGGGAACATAATTTCCTTCTCCATTCTACTGGGTTAGTACTTTGCTTGTCAGAAATTGGATGGCAAGTTGACTTTTCAGTATTTCCATTTAATTATCTGAACTTTGTTTCTACTTTTCTTCTTCCTGTTTGAAAGGAAATGTGGTTCAATTGAAAAAGCATGGACTTTAGAGTCAGATGTTTCTTAATTCAAATCCTGGCTGGTTATGCTAATTATTGGCTCTAAGAATATTAAAAATATACTTAACTTTTCTTAGTCTAGGTTTCTCATCTCTTAAATAAATGTAACAGTATCTATATGGTACCTTTGGGTGATAAATACATAATATTGTGTATAAAACATTCAACCTGGAGCCTGACAAATAATAAATTCTTAAAGGTATTAGGCATAAGTAGCATAAAAATACTCCTATAGCGTGAGGCTACCTTTGTTGTTCAGGATAAAAAAAAAACAATCTTTAACAACTTACCTACATATTTTACTCTTAAGTCTGTCTCCCAGTAATTGTGATAAATGCGTGGGTTCTAAACAACACGTTGAACATAATGATAGTTATTTGTTGAGTACTTAATATGAGTGATGCCTTAAGCATATTACTTTATATACATTTTCTTCTTTTACCTCCCATACTTATTTTATGAAAAAAAGTGTTATCCCAATTTTACATATATAAAAACTGATATTTGATACTGGTAAAGATATTTTGCTATAACAACTCATAGGTGCTCAAGTATCCAATTCAGTGTAAATTAGAGCTTTCTGGAAAGCAATTCATCAATAGATGTAAAAAACCTAACATTCATAATCTGTAACTCAGTAACATTATTTCTAAAAATACAACTTTAAGAAAGTAACCAAGAACAAAGCCAACAGAGATGCAGGTTTAAGGATGTTTATTAACAGTTAACGTAACAGCCACTGAAAACATGGTTCATGAGGTCAACAATAATTGTTTATTTTGTATACACTGCTGCATTCCAGTGCTTAAACAGTGCTTATACAGATACTCAATAAATATTTATGGAAACCATGAATATATACTAATAACATATAATAGGAAATTTTAAATATACAAATTTCTCAATAATAGAATAGTGTTTAAATCTATGAGTATTAAGATAAATTATAAATTCATTCAATGTAGAATTTTTAAAAATTAATGAGACTTCTGCTTTTGTAGTAGATGAGAAAGATCTTGTTAGACTGACTCTACCAGAGATAATAACTTTAAATTCAGGACCTAAAAAAGAAATGACACCAAAAAGTCAAAATGCGTATCTGTGGATTTGAATATTTGTATTATTTCTTTTTGTAATTTAAAATATTTCACCAGAAACACATATACTTTCGTACAAAAAGAAAGATAACATAGTGTCATGTCCTATTTTCAGATAGAATCAGGTTGGGCTGCCACCTATACTTTCTGTTAGGGTCCTGGCCACCAAAATGTTTCCTAATAATGCACAACCATAGCCAGAGATACCTGGTCCCACTAATTCAGTCCAGCCCATAGTCACTTAAACATATCTCAAATTTTGCTTTAAGATTGTAATTCTTTAGAGTATCCATCTTCCTTTCCTGATCTCAAACCTTACATAACATAAATTCTCTAACTTTGCTCTTAGTGCTTCTCTGTCACTGGAAATGAAACTGAAGCCATTTCTTTGATTCTGATGTTAGATCTGTTTATGTAGTGTTGCTCCCTTTTTCTCTTTGAATGTGGGTTTCCGGACTCAGTATTGACTGTTTGTCCTCCTTTCAGCTATCTTTTGTCCTAGTACAGGAATCTATTCCAGCAGTGTAGCTCTCTGCTGCCACCTTCTGGTTTGTGACTGCTAAAACCAGGCTGCAGGTCAAAGGTGACTGTTGAATGTGCCCTCTTTCCAGCTTCTGAGATATTGTCACTTCCTTTGCTCCAGGCTTCTTCCAAGCTCTTCAAAGTGATCCTTTGATCTCTTTTATTCCTTTTCTCCAAAACCAGAATTGAGTCGTTGTGACAGAGACCTTAATCCGCAAAGCTTAAAATATTTACTATCTGGCCCTTTACAAAAAAAGTTTGCCATCTCTGTTCTAAAGAACACAGGAATAGCAAATGTAGGCAGCAGCCAGTGCCTGGAGGGCTGAGAGAAAGCACCCTAAGAAGGAACAAGCATGGAAGAGGCTGCTCTCTCCCAAGCAGAGTGAAGCTTTATTGGAGAGGGTGGGGTTGTGTCTCAACATAGGGTTCAGCAGCAGCTATCTGCGTGTTGCTGGAGAGACTTGATGGAGGTGGAATGGAGTTTGTGGGCAGAGAACCTCCCCACACACCAGCTGGTGGCAGTTCTGCAGGAGAATGGAGAAAATAACAACGGTCCACTGGAACAAGGAACCAGGACACAGCGCCCCTTGCTGCTGCAGCTCTGCCTGCCTGTCCCCTGCCCTCTGTTGATAAAGCCTAGCTTTACTCCAAAAGTAAAACTGCAAAAGGAAACTGCTCACAGGATCCACCTCCATTATCACAGATCAGAGTTAAAAACAGTAGATTTGGAGCTAAGAGGCAATAATTAGATAATGAGCACAAATGCATAGTCTACATGCAAATTTCTCTATTTCAATTGGTTGGTATATGTCATTGAGCCCCATGCATTGTATTTATCTGTTATAACTTTTGAGTCTCTTTTAATCTTAAAAAATCTCTACCTTTTTTTTAAAAAGTTGTCTTTCACTACGTTACATTTTTAAGAGTCTAGGCCAGTTACTTTGCAGGATTTTTCTCAATATGGATTTATCCTTTTGTTTCTTCATAATTAGATACAAGTTAAACACATCTGGCAGGAATATAACATAATTACAATAATATAATATTGTGTCCACAAGCACATGGTCTATGTTTGTCTCATTATCAGTGATATTAAGTTTGATCAGTTGGTTAAAGTTATGGTCAAGAAATGTATTCATTTCCCCATTGTAATTAATAAGTAATCAATTGAGTGATATTTAAGAATACATGGCTATTTTTTCCCAACACATTTCACCCAGTGGATTTAGAATCTATCAGTGATCCTTAGTAGAATCCATTATTGGAACAGTTGCTAAGTGGCAATTTTTCTGGGCTTTCGTTCCCTTTACAATGAATTGGCAATTTGAAGAACTTGAACGTTTAGCACAAGCTGGGCCACAGGCCACGTTTCTGGAGAAGGCAGTCTTCCTTCAGTGCTTTTTCAGGTATTTATACTTTAGGAATATATATTGCATGCAATCCTAAGTCAGAATCAACCTCACTGTCTTTTCTACCACCTGTCCCATCTCTCCACATCTCAGGAAAAACATCTCAAAGGCCTTGTTGTATCATCCATCTTAAAGATGCTATATATAAATGTGATTGTGACGTTGTAATGGGCCCTGAGCTTCTCCTCATATAAAGATTTTTTTTAAAAAATAACATCTTTTTAATTTGAAAGAATCTGAAACTTTTACAATTTAATTCCCCAACCTAGAGATCAAAAGCAAGCTTGTTTGTTAATCATAAACCCATTTGCTCAATAAATTATTCATTTGGCAAATATTATATAACAGACAAAGTGCTAGCAGCCAAGGAGATAGAGGAGGGAGCTTACTGTGAAGAGCTGTAGAATGTGTCCAGGCTCTAGTAGCAGGCAGTCCTGGTGCTGATACATGTTTGAAGACTGGTCCTGTGACAAATTCCATGACCTTAGACCTCGGTTTTATCATATTTGAAAGTGGATAATAGCTATTTCACTAATGGATATGATAATTAACTTACACACACACACACACACACACACACAGCCTCTGAGTTAATGTGGTTCCACTTACAGTTTTTCAACTTTACCATGGTGTGAAAGTGATGCATATTCAGTGGAGACCATACTTTGAGCACTCATACAGCCATTCTGTTTTTCTCTCTCTCAGTATGGCATTCGATAAATTACGTGAGCTATTCAACATGTTATTATAAAATAGCCTTAGGTTAGAGGATTTTGCCCAATGTAGGCAATCAGTATTTCACTAAGCAGACCACACTATAGTTCTTGTGACATTTTTCCTCTTGGTAATTTGAACTCATTTAACCCTGGCTTTTTCTCAGCAGCTACATAATTCATGTTGAATAATGAAAGGTAGTATCTCCCCAGGAGCCCATAAGTTTCTAGCAGATTCCATTTTAGAACCAACTATGGCATCACTAGCTAATTGGAACCCTTTCACCCAAAGTCTCAGTTCTTCAGTCTCAACTATAGGTGGCTAAGATTCAGAATTCAAAGAGGTGTCCCATTTGCCTGGAAAGCCTCATGTTAAAGGAGGCCCTACAAGAAAAGGGGCACATGAGAGTCAGAAGGCTCTACATTAAATATTCCTATAACTTTGAGGGTTCCTACATATCTGGGTGTCACTGAGATGCTCTCTGTCACATTGTGTAAATTAGTATCCTGGTTCCATCAATTGCCAGCTTTGTGTGCTTGGTCAATTTATGTAATCTCTCTGTCAGTTTTCCTATGTGCAAAAGGGACAATCATAACTATTTTATAGATTTCATTGTGAAGTTAAGACAAGATAATTCTACCAGAAAGCATATAATGTATCTTAGCCATCATTACTAGGAGTAGTACAAATGGTAGTTTTATCATTGAGGGAACACATGGCATTTATATTGTTATGTGAATGTAACTGCCCAGATTCTCCTTCAGGAATCATCTCAGTCACTTTGCTTAAGGTCATTCCTGTTCCTGGGGTAGCTCACATTTAATGACCAATAAAAATAGAATGATAGCCTTGCTACCTTAGTCCAACTTGGGGCAAATCTGATGGTCCATTATTGCTCATGGTTTGCTGTGGAGTTGATCGAGGTTGTTGTTGGGAGTCTATGGCAGCTCAGCCTATGTTTCTGTCCAATCCTGCTTCATTCCTCTCCTGTCCACAGGAGTTGATTCCAAATATGCTCCTTAATAAGTATCCTATACACTAAACTTAACTCTAGAGTCAGCTTTACAGGGAACAATGCCTGTGATAATAGGATGGGAAAACAAATAAATCCCCTCTCTCAGATGTTGGACCTGTAATCTAAGACCTTTGACCATCAGAGCTCTCCCTGTATCAGTCTTTGGGGTACTCTGTGGTGTTTTGAAAGTATTCAGTAGTTCTCTCAGAAACTGTGTAGCCTCTTGGCATTTTCCCAGTGCTTTGGGTAGACCATTTTCTGTAAAGAGGACCGTCTCATAGGAAGGCCTTGAGCATCTGCCTGGAAACACTCCCTGTGGTGTTGGGTCTTGTGTAAGTATGCAATTGGCAGCCCAGCCAGTGATAAATACTTTCTCTCCTGGTGACTGGTCATTTAACCTGGCTGTCTGGATCACAGAGGTTTGGGGGCATGGTAGAAAATGGAGCTTGGTAAAGTTCTTTGAGACGCTAGACAGAAGCTCCAGATGTTTTGCCCATGCAGTGTACAAATTTGTCCACTGGTAACAGGCTGAGTTGGTTTTGTACACAGATTTCAAATGTAGTATCTTTCTTCTTTTCAGAGAAATACAAGTGTCTTATTCTTGCAGCTTCAGGCTTCTTATCTATTTAAATGTCTCATATACTGCCTGCAGTTCTTTCCAAGCCACACATCCACAAGTTCTTTTCAAACAATATTAATTTATCCAATTTAAGTGACTTGAATTCATTTCAATAATAACTTGCTTTCTCACTAGTTGACAATTAAAAAAACAAACAAAAAAACTTCAAAGAATGAATGGATGAGTGAATATTAAGGAAACACAAATGAATCAATCCATATTGTAACCAGAGTGATCTAAAACACACACTTTGCTTACCATTCTTCACTAATTTTATTAATGTACCTGGAAGGTTCTGCATAATCTAAGAGTTGTTTGTTTCTTCAGCTTCACCTCATTCACCAAGTCTTTTCTCTAACACATAAAACACAACAAAAGCACACATGCCCATACATACACATTTTTCAATTAGTTTCAGACAAAGGTCAAATCGAGCTATTTTGGAATATGATATATTTTTCTCCAGTCTACAAAGCCATTTTGAATTTTGTTCCATTTCTATTAAATAATAAACAAACTGAAAAACTGTGCTGTATCTGCTATCATGTTAGAAGAGGTCGCTAATCTATTTAAAATTATCAAAACGTATTGTTGCATAAATTCATTTTAGATGTAGATATATCCTTAAGTAAAATGATATATCAAAGTTACTGCTTTATTTACCACCTTCATGTTTCCTTCTTTGGAATTATTCTTTTGCTTGAGGTAAACATAATTTTGCTGGTTTGCTATATTGAGTAGAGAAAGTGTTAGAGCAGAGGCCTGCTGGCTTGTTTCTTTGTATTGTCTCTATAGACCCTGGGATATGATGAGGGATTCAGTATTGAAGTAGGGGTATCAGAGACATTTCTGAATTTTTATTGTTCCTCCTTGCAAAACTATGTGTGTGTGTGTGTGTGTATATATATATATATATATATATACACACACACACACACACACACACATACATATATCTTTTGAATCTGGAGGACATCCTAAATCCCAGCCAACTCCTCCCTCAAATCAGGGGTTCCAAGATGTAATTTTAAGACAGAAGGAACTTTATGAACTACTTCCAATTCTGGTTTTGCGTGATAATTTAAAGCAAATCTATGAACAATTTACAACAATTTTTCCAGGTAGCAAAGAAAAGATTTTTCCAAATTTTTTCCCTACAAACTTGAAAGGTATGATTTAAAAAAAAAAAAAAGGAATTGTTCTAGCTAAATGGAGAGTCTGCTCTTATTTTGCACACTTCACACTTGACTTGCATCTATCTTGTTTTGAAAGTTGATTGTGTTTATTCCAGAAAGTAATATTAAAAACAAACTGATAGTTTTTAAAAGGAGAAATTGATGACTACCTTGTTTCACTTTCTTATTACTTTGATTTTTTAAGTTTAGGACTATAAAATGCAAACTGGAAAGACTGAAATTTTGTAGTCTAATTCCTGGTGCTGTACCACTTAATTACTTTACCTCGAAAAACACCAGGATTTTAAAAATACATATAATAAATTATAATTAATATTTTACTCTATATTGAAACATTAAAAATGTGTCTTATATTAGCAATTGTTTTAAAAAATGTTTTTGATGTTTTATGAAGAAAATCCTCATTTTAAAAATTTCCTAACATATAGGGTAGAGAAGAATTCCTGAAAAAACTCACTCAAGGTGAAGTGGCTGCTGGAATGGTGCTTCAGGTAATACTGATTTGGTTTTAATATTTTATTCTTCCTTTAATTTGCATTTTACTTAGCATTTTAAATTTGCCTGTAATGAGGCATCTTGTCACTACTTGGTTTGCAAGCCAGCAGTTTTCTCTCCTTAGCTGATGGCAGTTGCCCTCTGTGTACAACCAGCAGTGTCTGATCATGCATAAAGAAATTGACCTCCCATATACATATCTCATTTTGTGGCATAATGGGAATTTCTGCCAGTCTAGTAAAAGAGCAGTGGGATCTTATTTTTAAGTGTCTGACTCTTTAGTTTGCTTTGTGGTGATGTTATGTTTTCTTTACTGTTAGTGTCTTTCACTTGGATTTGTTTATTTAACCCTGAAAGAAAAATATGCTTTGATACTTCCATATAGAGATTTTGAAAATAAAGCATGTAAGCTGGCAAAAACAACTTGAATTTTTAAAATCTTTGTCTACCACCTGCATATCCTTTGGAATCCAGATTGGGTTTTTTGATCCATGCCGTGTTTCTAGAATGCCTCCCCTTTAGAAATACTTACATATTTGAAATTAGTATTATTATTATAAGAAAAAAAACAAGAGTCAAAACAGTTTCAGTGTTTTTGTTTGTTGGTGGGTTTCTGTTTTTGTTTTTTTGAGAAAGAGTCTTGCTCTGTCGCCAGGCTGGAGTGCAGTGGCACGATCTTGGCTCACCATAACCTCTGCCTCCCAGGTTCAAGTGATTCTCCTGCCTCAGCCTCCCGAGTAGCTGGGATTACAGGCATGCACCACCATGCCCAGCTAATTTTGTATTTTTAGTAGAGACAGGGTTTCTCCATTTTGGTCAGGCTGGTCTCGAACTCCTGACCTCAGGTGATCCGCCTGCCTCAGCCTCCCAAAGTGCTGGGATTACAGGCGTGAGCCACCACGCCCGGCCCTAACAGTGTTTTTTGAGATGATCTACACCTCTGCTTCTCTTGGAAGTAAACCTAAATTTTGTAATTTTTTTCTGTTATGAAATTTGGCATTTTCAAACATAGAAGCAGTGTTTGCTTCTATATGTTTCAAAACACTAAACTTCCTCATTTATTTCTATACGTATGTTTTATTTCTAAGTGTCTAACTGGAAAGACCTGTTAGTTGGTTTTGTCTTATATTGCAGTACTTGCATATATTCCACGATGTGTTATTAGTGTGTTCTCTAACTTGGTGTCCTCCAATCCTTACTTAAGAATGATTGATTTTGACATTTTGGGCTGGGAAATATTTTTTTAAATGTTTGATTTTTATTGTCTATTAAAGTGTTTCTCTCATTCCTTCTAACAATAACTGTATTATCTTTAAATATACTACATTCGGCAGTGTGTGGTGGCTCACGCCTGTAATCCCAGCACTTTGGGAGGCCAAGGCGGGTGGATCGCTTGAGGTCAGGAGTTCGAGACCAGCCTGGCCAACATGGCAAAACCCCTTATCTATTAAAAATACAAAAATTAGCCGGGCATGGTACAGGCCTGTAATTCCAGCTACTGAGAAGGCTGAGGCAGAAGAATCGCTTATACCCGGGAGGTGGAGGTTGTAGTGAACAGAGATTATGCCACTGAACTCCAGGCTGGGTGACAGAGCAAGACTCTGCCTCAAAAAATTTAAAAAAAGCATATATATATTATATTATATTACATCCATGAGATTTTTGGATATTATAATATATGTAATATAATATATGTAATATATATTACATTCGTATCCATTTTTTATGGTGACATTTATTGTATTATTTGATTTTCAAATAAAAACAAATATTACTGCCTGTCACTGAATAAGAGGCTCAATAAATGTTTAAGTTAATAACTGAATGATTTATTTAAAATCTTTGCTGGCAGAAAAAACTATATTCCATTTACGAAGTCCAGGCACTTGAGCGGAAAGAGCTTATAAAAAATAGAGCAATATGTGCCATGTCACTGGCAGAACTACAGGAACCTCTGCTTCAACTAGAAGATGAAGCTGAAAGAATCAGAAGTCTCGACAAAGAACATTCTGTTGTAAGCATTTAATTAATCCAAAAATTAATGTGCAGAAATATATACGTTAGTAAGTTACGCATGTGATTTTACATTATCATTTGGGAAATTATGATTTCACATAGGGGCAAACTAAGTAACTATTTCAGGACCACGCAACTTGATCTGCAGTGAAACTCTATAGCAAGACCATTAATGCTATTATCTAGAACCCCATAGTCTTAGAGGGTACTTGGGAAAAGCAGGTTTCAAGTGCGTGAGTAGTGACTTATCTGGTGTGAACGTTCATTATGTTAAACTTGATTCAAAGTCTTCACTCCTTCTTAATGAAATCCTAAAGTTGTGCTCATTTGCATATAAAATGTAAGAGATCTTGACATTTTCATGGTAAATTTTTGATGCATGTAGATGTTTAGACAGCTAGGATGAAAAATAAAGCAAATGTTGATAAAATATTTTCAAAATTACAAGTTTATGGCAGTAACTGATATCACTAGCCCTTCCCAAAGAAAAATTTAGTCGAAAAACATGTATTAATCCTGTCATTAGTCTTTTGGAGAACTAGAGGGTGTGGCAAGAGTTATACATTCTTGTCCTTCCCTGCAGGGAGGCCATACATATATTTATTTGAGACATTTCGGCACCAGAACTTTTTTCCTTTGCAAATAATAATGTAACTTTATATTTTTAGTCTTTGATAATTTTCAAAATGTCTTTATTTCTTAAAATTGTGATTTAAAAAGTGTTTCTATTTTAAAAGTTTATTTTGAGCTTCAAAGCCTTCCTATGAAATAGGCAAGAGGGAGTTTACTGGTATCAAAGACTTGAGAAAACTTGTGCTTAAAGAGCCTGAGCAACGTGTATAAGGTCATGAAGCATGGAAACAACAAATTCCGAGTACCACTGTATTTAGGGTTTCTAAATGCTATCATCATGCTCCTGCAAAGAATGTATAACCAGTACAAACATCTAGTGGGATAAATGATTTTAATGATGGCTCCCCCTTACATTAATGATGGAAATTTATTAATTGCATCAAAAGCCTAAGTGAGGTTGTCTGAGTACAATAATGAATTCCAGAAAAGATTAATGATCTTTGTTTCCTGTTATTTTATAACAGCCATGGTTTTACATCTTCTTGTAGTTCAGTAATCATTTTTGGTTTGATTATATTTTAATAGTTAATAAATTATAAGAATTAATAATTTAGCACACAGTAAGGAAGAATAAGTTTTTACATACTTTTTGGTAGTGATTGCTTACTATTTGTATTTGGAGTTTTAGTTTTGATTAAAACAAATATTATAACAAATATTCATACTTTCTATGTAAGCTTATTTATTTTTGTTACTTAACTAAAATTCATTAGATTTTGGCTTTCTCACATAGTGCAAATAGAATATTGAAATTTTTGGATATACAGTATATTTCTGTAATTTATGTGTGATGGTTCTTTCCCTTTATTTGCCAAAATAAATGCTGTTGTTATTAAAATAGTCACTTAAGTACGATTTGGCCTAAATGAGGATAACTGGGTTGCAAATGCTGCACATCTTAATATCTGAATGTCTTCTAGATGCTTAATAATATAATTGATCAGAAAGATCTTATTAGAAGAAAGGTGGGAAAAGTAAAGAAAAAATTACGAAAAAAGGGGAAGAAAACCCTTGATGCATTAATAGAAACTGAGGTAAGAATTTAAGTTCAGAATCTAATTTTGAATTTACAGTTTATGTATGTCAGTGAAAACTATTCAAGCAAGTTTAATTTTAAATGAATGTGTCTCATTTCTTATTGATTGCACTAAATCGACTAGGGATAAAAGCGCACACACTCACACACACACAGTCCTTGTGTTTTCATTTACTTTCTCTTGCAGTATCTTCCTCACTGGTCTAGTTTATCAGGGACATAGCTCCTAATCAGGATAAATACAAGGAAAATTAGATATTGGATTCATGCAGAAGTCTACTGCTTTCTGTGATGGCCATGCTGTCTCCTTTTACTTGGAGATTAAAAACCAAAAAAAAATGAAGAAGAAGAAAAGAAATAAAAAGGAAAGAAAACAAGAAAGAACAGAGGGAGAAAAGGAAGGAAAAGGGGAATTGCTATGGTCTGAATGTTTGTGTTCCCCCAAAATTCATATGTTGAAACATAATCCCCAATAAGAGGCTAGGCCAGAGGTGATTAGATTATGAGAGCTCGTTGGGATTAGTGCCCCTATAAGAGAGGCCCCAAGAATCTTGCTGGCCCCTTCTACCACATGAGTATGAAGGAAGAAGACACCATCTTTGAAGCAGAGGGTGAAGCTTCATGAGACACCAAATCTGTTGTTGCCTAGTTCTTGGATTGCTTAGCTCTAGAACTTTAAGACATACATTTCTATGGTTTATAAAGTACTCATTCTAAGGCGTTTTGTTGTAACAGCCTAAACAAACTAAGACAGGAAGAAAGAAAATGAAGGAAGGAAGGGAGGGAAGAAGGGAGGAAGGAAGGAAAGGAAGGAAGGAAGGAAGGAAAGAAGGAAGGAGGCAGGAAAGGAGGGAGGGAGGGAAGGAAGGAAGAAAGGAAGGGAGGGAGGAAGGAAGGAAGAAGTCAAAATTAAACAATAAAAAATAGCATGATTACACTTTTGTTAAACGGCTAGAATCTTCTATTGACATATGTCTACTGTTTTACCCCCAAATTATCAATCTGACACTCTGAAACTATAAAATATCACATTTAATATAAACATGCTTAAACTAGTGAGCATTTTCTTTTCAGTTAGAGAACTTAGAATCACTAATGTAATTTAATTATTTTTATATTAATATTGTATCATATAATTTGACTATACATTTTAATATTCCAAAAGATAACTTAAAATCATATACATAATTCTTTAAATTTTAAGCCAACTACTACTAAGATTTTGTTCTTAGAAAGCATCTTCACTTAGCCAATTAAGGTCAGCTTTTTCTATTCATCTTACTAGTGGTTTTGTACACAAAGCCTTTATTTAGTTGTCAGTTAAAATAAAGGATTGACTTTCATAGTAAAATGATACTCTGTTTTGCCAGGGAAAAGACCTTCACTGGCTTTGCTTTTGATGAGGAGAGCTTAAAGCAGAAGGTTTTTAAATTATGTGATTCCCTATGGGAGTCACAGCTTACAAAAGAAGTATAGTTCAAGAGCCAAAAAATAATTTTAAAATAATTTACTTTTATTTGCATTTTATAAAGGACACTGTGACCAGAACTGTAATGGTATCCTCATCACTCCCAAGGGACGCTCCTTATACATACCTCTTTGCCTTTCCGCCCAGTATTCTCACACACTACAGGCACTAAGTGTCTCATCAATTTTCTGAAAAGTCACCCTTCCTATTTATCTCATGTCCATCTATCTCTTTCCCTCTTTTACTGAGCTTTGTAGCAAGAATATTTTAATATAGCAGTTGGGCAAAGGCAAGACTCACTTCTTCAATAGAGGTGGGACTAGAGCCCAAACTCGACTGTTAGAGTCAGCTTACTTTTTAGCCAAAAGAAGGAGAGAAAAGTCAAAGAGCACTGCAAGTTTAATGCTGTTGTCTTCTGCATGAACTCAGTGCCTACTAGGTCTGTTAGGCACTATATTCACATCTTCAGGTGAAAGAGAGTGTAGCTTCTCTGAGGAAGATGACTGAGAGTGCGCGAGGCTGTGGACAGGGAGTAGACTTCACCCCTTGTGAGAAAAAATGAAGTGAGTGAATTGCAGGGTTCATGGGCTATATTTGGTGTAGACTTCATAACAGTAAACAGCTCCATCCCTGTCTGGTACGCAGGGCTTTGTGGGTTTCTCTGAATAGGCAAATGCTTAAATACATTCAAGTATACTTAAGAGAGTATCCTTGGTAGTGGCACTTCTCGCACACTAGAATTTGGGAATTAGGAGTCATAAGTGGAAGTTGTGATTATTACAGCAGTGAAAAATGACTGGTTCAATTCAGAGCAGAAAAGAAAATCATTTTCCCAGCATGGGTATTATCTTCAGCCAATGTTATCAGTAGAAGTCAGGTAGGTCAGCTACCTCTTATGAACTTCATTAATTATTATCAACGTCATTTATTAATGTTGATTTCAATGTGCTGACAAAGGGCAAACACACGGCTCAGATCATTTCATTGAATTCTCACAGCAACCCTGTGAAGTACTTAGTATTGCATTTATATAAATTAAAAGCTGAGGTTTATAGAGGTTAAATTCCCAAGTAGCAAGAATCCCCTTCTGTCCAATCTCAAAACTCATGCATGCCAATACCTACTATGTATAGTAAAATCTCATGTAATTTCTTTTAGCAGCAGTGACCAAAAAGCAAGGGCCAGTTTTGGTATAGAGAAAATAGTAAAGGCTTTGGAGTCAGAGAAATCTAGTGTTTAACCAGTCATCACCACTTAAACTAGCTGTACCATCCAGACTATTCTGGATTTTCTATTGTAAAATGGATATAACATTGATTATATTGCTACTGTGAGTCATAAAAGGCACAGTTCAAATACAATGCATAGTACAGTAATCGGTGCATTGTAACACCCACTGATTGCTCCCTTACCCCCATTGCCTTTTCTACAAAGTAGAGACTGGGATTTGTTCTCTACCAGAGAGTATTGTGTTTCTGCAGATGGGAGCAATCTACAGACCAAAACATTTGTTCCTACCTGACATCTAAATTTTACCCCCAAGTTAGTATGTATTCAGCATAAACAAATGGATGTGTGACTGGAGACTTTAGGGCTTTTTCCAAATTAGAAATATTTCCCCATGAAAGTTCTTATTGCTAACATTTCTAACTCGTGAATTATTGGCTGTAGGAAAGGGGAGAAAGTCAATATTGTCTTTATTATTATTATCATTATTATACTTTAAGTTCTAGGGTACATGTGCACAATGTGCAGGTTTGTTTATGTATACATGTGCCATGTAGGTATGCTGCACCCATTAACTCGTCATTTACATTAGGTATATCTCCTAATGCTATCCCTCCCTCCACCCCCAACCCCATGACAGGCTCCGGTGTGTGATGTTCCCTACCCTGTGTCCAAGTGTTCTCATTGTTCAATTCCCACCTATGAGTGAGAACATGTGGTGTTTGGTTTTCTGTCCTTGTGATAGTTTGCTGAGAATGATGGCTTACAGCTTCATCCATGTCCCTACAAAGGACATGAACTCATCCTTTTTATGGCTGCATAGTATTCCATGGTGTATATGTGCCACATTTTCTTAATCCAGTCTATCATTGATGGACATTTGGATTGGTTCCAAGTCTTTGCTATTGTGAATAGTGCCGCAATAAACATACGTGTGAATGTGTCTTTATAGCACCATGATTTATAATCCTTTGGGTATATACCCAGTAATGGGATGGCTGGGTCAAATGGTATTTCTAGTTCTAGATCCTTGAGGAATTGCCACACTGTCTTCCACAATGGTTGAACTAGTTTACAGTCCCACCAACAGTGTAAAAGTGTTCCTGTTTCTCCACATCCTCTCCAGCACCTGTTGTTTCCTGACTTTTTAATGATTGCCATTCTAACTGGTGTGAGATGGTATCTCATTGTGATATTGATTTGCATTTCTCTGATGTCCAGTGATGATGAGCATTTTTTCATGTGAAGGACCTCTTCAAGGAGAACTACAAACCACTGCTCAATGAAATAAAAGAGGACACAATAAATGGAAGAACATTCCATGTTGATCGATAGGAATAATCAGTATTGTGAAAACTGCCATACTGCCCAAAGTAATTTATAGATTCAATGCCATCCCCATCAAGCTACCAATGACTTTCTTCACAGAATTGGAAAAAACTACTTTAAAGTTCATATGGAACCAAAAAAGAGCCCACATTGCCAAGACAATCCTAAGCCAAAAGAGCAAAGCTAGAGGCGTCACGCTACCTGACTTCAAACTATACTACAAGGCCACAGTAACCAAAACAGCATGGTATTGATACCAAAACAGAGATAGAGACCAATGGAACAGAGCAGAGCCCTCAGAAATAATTCCACAGATCTACAACCATCTGATCTTTGACAAACCTGGCAAAAACAAGAAATGGGGAAAGGATTCCCTATTTAGTAAATGGTACTGGGAAAACTGGCTAGCCATAGGTAGAAAGCTGAAACTGGATCCCTTCCTTATACCTTATACAAAAATTAATTCAAGATGGATTAAAGACTTAAATGTTAGACCTAAAACCATAAAAACCCTAGAAAAAAACCTAGGCAATACCATTCAGGACATAGGCATTGGCAAGTACTTCATGACTAAAACACCAAAAGCAATGGCAACAAAAGCCAAAATAGACAACTGGGATCTAATTAAACTAAAGAGCTTCTGCACAGCAAAAGAAACTACCATCAGAGTGAACAGGCAACCTACAGAATGGGAGGAAATTTTTACAATCTACCCATCTGACAAAGGGCTAATATCCAGAATCTACAAAGAACTTAAACAAATTTACGAGAAAAAATCAAATGACTCTATCAAAAAGTGGGTGAAGGATATGAGCAGACACTTCTCAAAGGAAGACATTTAAGCAGCCAATATTGTTTTTAACCTAGTAATATGTCCTCTAGATGTATGTCAAATGTGGTTCCAATAGGATTTGTTGGTGGAAAGCATGTGGGCCATGAGAGAGAGGTGTCCTCATATCATTTTTTAAATGTTTGTCTTATAATGGGCCTCAAAAGAAATATTTAAAAAATTACAGAGAAAATAATAGATATTTGCTGCATGTTTTATGTGTGTCAGGCATTGTTTTAAGTGCACAGACATAACAGCACATCATTTCATTTTCATGATAAGCCTATGAAGAGTGTGCTATTACCTCTATCTTACAGTTGAGAAATCTGATGCTTTGTTTCTTAATTAACTTGTACAGGTTCACATAACTCATTAGTGGTAAAGTTGCAATTCCAACCCAGACAGTCTGACACTGAAATAGATGCTCTTAACCATTATATTGTATTGGTCATGTCACCCAAGTTTGCATACAATGAATTAAAATCAGAAATCAATGACAAAAATACAGGGCAAAAAGAAATAAAAAGTATATGCACTACTAGAAATATTTCAGAATCACATTTCTTTTATTAATTTGCTTCTGTGCTAAGAAATAACTAAAATACAAATTACCATTTATTTATACATGACCAATAATGACAAACTATACAGCAAAATTTATGACATAGGCCAATATAGTATTTTGACATTACCAATAAATGATTTTGATTTAAAAAAAAATCTAAAAATATTTAACATATTTATTAAGGGCAAAGAAGAAAAAATGAAAATTAACAGCCATGGGAGTGATTAAAAGGGGTATAATTATATACACAGTGAATTAAATACTACTTTGCATAGGAATTTGTTTTAAGATCTATATCAATTGTATGTATGATTTCTTTATAAAATGGTGAAAACTGGGTCAAAAGAAATAAAACACAAGAATAGATCAATGATCATAGAAGAAATTTAATTTGTCCAAACTCTACCAATAAAACCAAGAATCAGTCAAGATACTTTATGAGTCTCTCTACAAATACCACTTACAGAGCATAAGAAAGCATGGAAATCTTCTAAAATCATTCTATAATGAAACTAAAACCTTGCAACCATAACCAAAAATTAATAGTGCAAGAAACAAGTCCGTTGGTGATCTTGCTTATGAGCATAGATGACCAGATCATAAATATATTAGCTAAATAAATTTTACAGTGTGCTAAAAGATATACTATGCAAAACCAGATTCCTTTGAAGAGGAGACTCTTCAGCTAAGACTAAGAAATGAATGATGAAATCTGATCTAAACGTCAAGTTTAGGGATAGAGAGCATGGAGTACTTAGAGTGTCCATACTCACACCTGTCCGCTCTCTGTCTTTGGGTTTACTTCCACCCCCACCCAAATAACTTAATACTCCAATGGACCTATCAACAAATCTTAGTTAGTTATATTTCCACTACATTCTAGTATAAGGAGAAAAAATCCTTTTATTTATCAGTAGAAAATTATCAGAACTTCCAGAAAAGGAAGGAAACAAAGCAGGAAGGATGTGAAAATTCAAATGCAGTACCCAATGTTCAAAATCTTAGACAAACAGTAAGGTTTTATAGTAAAACAAATATAAAATATTAGTTGTTATTCTTGAAATCTATGAGTAAAGAAAGTATTTGGAAGCATATGGGGAAAATAGAAGATAGTGGAGGCAGAAGGAGCCATTGAGATCTGTAGAATCAGTTGGGAGAGTAACACTAATTAGCAGCCATGCTGAATGTGGGGAACAATTCAATAACAGTCCATCAGTGAGTCACTCAGTTCCATTTGAACACAAACAGTCATAAAGGGATGACACAAAAATAGATGCACAATCAAATGTTCATTCTGGAATTGCACAGGCCTACCATGGAAAGAAGTGCTGGTAGTAAATATTGGCTTCTTTTGCTGGAAATATCAGAACAATATATATATCCTTGTCCGCCTGCCAATGCACTTTGTACATGTTTGAAAACCAGTGACGACATGTTTGCATCTTGAAATGACATGCTTATAAAGTATGCATTTAGGTGTGTGTTTGGAAAGGGGAGCAAGTTTGTGTGGGACAGAGAGAATAAACAATTTTATTTTTTAGAAAATCAGATGTAACAGTGGAGAATATAAACCTCAGTTGTTTTTTTAGAGACAGGGTCTCACTCTGTCATCTGGGCTGGAGTGCAGTGGAGCAATCATGGCTCATTGCATCCTTGACCTCCTATACTAAAGTGATCCTCCCACCTCAGCCTCCCAAGTAGCTGGGACTACAGGTGTGAAACACTGCACCTGGCTATTTAAAAAAATTTTGGGTAGAGACCAGGTGCTTGCTTTGTTGTCCAGGTTGGTCTTGAACTCCTGGCTCTAAGTGAACTCCTGGCTCCTCCTGCTTTGACTTCCCAAAGTGCTGGGATTACAGGAGTGAGCCATCAGGTGTGGCCCACTATTAACTTTTAGTTGTTCACACAGCCAATGTAATTGTGTTCCTAAATAGCAGGGATTTGAAAATCCAAGTATTTAAAATAAACACTTGTGTATATTTTTTTTCAGAGTAAACGCTCAGCAATTTTTAAAGACCTAGAAGCAACTAAAAGTAAGACAATGATTTTTTATGCAAAAATAAATGAATTGAATGAGGAATTAAAAGCAAAAGAAGAAGAAAAGAAAAGTTTTGATCAGACACTTGAAATATTAAAGTAAGTACTTAAACTTTATCAAAATATGAAGTTTTTAAAAAATATTAATAAATAAGATCAAATTTCCATATTTAAAATGCATTCTTAAAATGGTTCGTATTTTTAATTATAACGTAGTGTGGAATATATATGTGTTATTTGATAATTTTAGTTTATAAAAGCATAATCATAAACTGCTTTCATTCATTATTGCTTCTCGGGTTTGTTCTTATTTGAATAACTGGAAATGTTTCTCCCTTTCCAAGGAGGAGAACTTTATTCTTTATGACATTAATAATATTCTTCATTACTTTCAGATGTATCAGTATTTATACTCCATGTTTAATAATTTATGTTTTTTCACCCAAATGTTTTTGATTAGTTTTGAGGTAAGAGTTCAGACTCAGATATTCTATGAAACCTCGTGCAATTTATTCAAATTTATCATTTCAAAAGTTTCTTATCAGTCACCTCATGAGTCGGGGATATAATTGTTCAGGGTTAGTAAGTCCTGAGAGAATGATCATGCTCTCAGGCTCATTGGGTATCCATAGACCCTAACCTAAAACTTATTTACTCTTCCTTTACTCATTTTGCTTCTCATTTCCTATCTTGTAAAACATTGAGAACTGGACTTGGAGGAGTATTAGAGGAACATGCACTGGCCACATTTAGGGACAACAGTCTGCTTTAAATAAAGAAGGTTACTACAAGCATTAGCAAAATCATAATGCTTGAGGGATAAAGTGTCAGAAAAAATTTATGCCCAGCCTGTTGCCATGCATTCTAATGGAGTCAAGTCAATGCCCCCATCAAGCATTTGTTTAGCTATTATCATAGAGTAAAACTTATTTTCAACATGATAATTCAGCTTTATCTGAAAAACACTACTCATATTCACTATATTATGTGAAAAAGCAGGGAAACATATCATTTACTTTTAAAGATATTTATCCACCTTGTTTAATACCTGTAAGAATAGCTTGGGACTCAAAGATATAAATATAAATGTATATAACTTACATTAAAATTATAAAGATCTAATTCAGGAGCTGATGAAAATTTTTTCTTCAGGCTTCCTCCCGTTTCAATCCTAACTTCTTCTGAAGCTGGATTATATGGCCTTTCAGACAAGAGTGGTTTCCATGTCCCAGTGAATCAGTTCTCTCTCTAAACTTGACAAAGCCCTGCCTTCCAACAAGAAAAGGAGAAAAAGAATTAGCCAATACTGTGGAATTACTTATACAACTATTAATTAGCAGTGATGGTATATAATGTCAAATAATATTTAAAGCTACCGTTGAATGACTTGCTATTGTGCCAGGTACGTCCTGGACAATGTGTGTACCTTGTCTCATCCAATTCTTATAGCAAGTGGTTAAATTGTATCATTTCCAATGAATGCTGAGAAACAGAGGCTCAGGGAATCTAAGATCACACTCTTAAGTAGTGGTAGAGGTAGCTTCAGCTTAGCTCCAACCTGTTCCAAGTGTGTGCCCTTTCAACTGACCCCCTAAAGTGGGATTGCAAAGGAAGATCAGCTGTTTTATGAATAATCTACTGATATTTTCAATAAGTTCCCACAACAAGCTACTTATTATTTATTGAGAACTCATAGTGGGCATACTGCCAGGCCCCAATAAGGACTAAGAAATGGCAAGTGGGAAAGTGTATCTTCAAGTGTCTGAAGATCTTTGCAGAGAGACAAACCTTATATAAACAAGACAATTAAAATATGGTGTTAAAAATAATGGCAATCAAAGCCATCCTTGACCCTCATTTAATTTTTATAATTGCTTCTTAACTAGAAAGTGGAAAATTAAAATCCAGACCCATAGGACTTCAAAGTCCACTTGTTTTATCACTGTGAGAAAGGAAACATTATTTTATTGCATAGATATACACGTACATAGTGTATATAAATGTCTGTGTAGATATTAATACAATGCTATAATTAATATAATTCAATATCAAAACAGTGTAGAGAACAAAGTACATGTGGTCAAAATATATCAATGTTTTTTTGGGATCAACTATGAACATTTTATCGTTTTGGTCACACTAGCTCCTTCCTGTGTGAATTTCATTGGTTCTCTCTGCTCCAAGATGTCAATATCATTGGCTACTGATCAGACATCACTTAATAATTTGGAATGTTTTTGGTATGAATGATGTAGAGGAAAAACCAGGGCAAGATAGATGAAAGAGGAGAAGAACCTTATTTCCTGTAGAAGAAGAGGCTCACATCCACTAACTGTAAACAAAGTGATATGTTTTCAAATTTGCTGATAACAGCTATAACGAAGAGCAGAAAAAAATGAGTACTTAATGTTGAACTGCTGAATCAGAAAAAGGCAGGACTAGATTTGAATTCTGGTTCTGTCATTTACCAACTAGTTGAGCTTACACAAGCTAATTAATTATCCAAGTTTAGGTTCCTCAACTCTAGGTGGCTATCTCATTATTATTTCATAGAGTGGTTTTTGTTGTATTAAATGGGATATTATTTAAAAGCAGAGATATTAGTTTAGTCCTTCCCAAAATATTAGTCTTGCTGCCTTTATAGCTAACTGTGCAAGTGATTTAATTTTCTGTATCGGTAGACTTGTTAACTAATGTGGATAGAATAAGACTGTGTTGAGCTTTTTCAGATACCTTAATCTGGACACTGAGTTGCTGCTCAACTTTGGCAAGCAAGTTATTGTTACCAGTATTGTTTTAACCATGTTTTGATATTTTTCTACTAGTATTGTTCCTTACATAACTACTGAGTTCACCATAAAAGTTATTTTACCTTTGCATTATGATGTGTTTAATTGCAAATGATAAAATACAGACATGCACACACATGCATACATACACCTATTCACATACCAGCTTAAACAATAAAAAAATCTATCATCTTATGTAACAGGAAGCATAAAGCAATAAAAAATGCATCATCTTACATAACACCAGCTTAAACAATAAAAAAGGCATCATCTTACATAATTGGCAGAGCAAGCTGCAGGGTTGGTTGATTCAACAGCTCAATACCAGGCACTCATTTTTTTCTCTCTCCACTATGGCTGTTGGCAGCAACCTTGAAAGCATGATGTGTAAGTCACATTTAGTGGGTATGAGCTCTTCTACATGGAATTAAGAGCTTCTCACTCATTTCCTCGAGCTATCTTAATATAGCTTCTCGCCCCTGGACAATGGGTCATATGCTGGTTGGACTAATCAGAATATATCTCTTGGAGGAGGGGTTTTCTTGAAATGCCTAGAGAACAAAAGCATGCTGGATAGGCAACCAAGAGAATACACTGTTCTTCCATAGATTTTCTTCCACCTGGATGATTTAGATGTAGCCCTATGGAAGTAGACCTTGAGAAAAACCAGGGAATTTTTCCAAGGCCTGTCAGTTCAAGGGTCTTCAAGATTTTTCATTTTGGTCCTTTTAAAATGTCTCATAAATGCATTTTGAAAAATAAAATGTGAATTGATTAGTGGCACATGGAATTCTTTCTTCACAGGAACAAATTTATAACTATGAGATTTAAAAGGGAACATGCACAAACTGTGTTTGATCATTATATGCAAGAGAAAAAAGACTGTGAAGAGAGAATCTTTGAGGAAGATCAGAGATTTAGAGTGCTCCTTGCTGTAAGACAAAAAACTCTTCAAGATACCCAAGTGAGTATTATTTTTGCATGTTTCAAAATGAAAGGAATATAGTGATAGTCAAATTAGCAGCTAGTTTGAGACAATTTTTATCCTGAAGTAGCAAGGGTGTTAAGATTTTAAAAATAAATTTGTTAACATAATAAACCTGGAAGTTTTCATTGTTTCTTCTAAGTAATTATGATATATTCATAGAGCATATTGTACTTTTCAATGCATTTTATGTGTACTCTCATTTATTATCGTACTTTATTTTGAAGTCTATTAATATAAAAATGTAGGCTATATTTATTCCAGAGTCCTTTTATGCTTTTAATGAAGGATGTGAGAATGAGAATGGTTATCATTTGTTTCTGAATAAATATACTTTGAATGTTTACCAACCACTTTTTTGAGGAATGAAAATATGTCACGCTCTTCTCCTGTAGAAAAATTTTGCATAATATTCTAATGGACCTATAAATTTACTTGTTTGAAACAGGGAAATTGTATTAAAAGTTCTTTTAGGCCTGAACTTTTATTAATCAAATTATATTAAGCTATACCTATAAAATGTTTGCATTCAGTTAAATGATTCCTATCCCATTTTAAATTTTGCAATAGTTTTTGTTACATTTAATTGTAATGAATTAGTACCATATTTAAATTACATTTAAAAATATTACTCATTTTTGGAAGATACAAAGGGACATCTTTTCTAAGAAGCAAAAATATTTTCCGTAGTATTTTAAAACTCTTTTCTGTGAAAGTTTTCAAAGTATATGTAGTATCATAATATATGAGCTATTTTTGATCTTCATATTTATATATTCAAATATGATATTTATATATTCAATTATTATATCAATATTTCCATTACTTTCCCTACTTTTTACATATCTAAAGACGTGTGAGAACTTTTTTTTAAAGACTATTTGGAACAAATGTACATTGCATGAACAAGTATGTGGGTGAAAGAACATATCTTCTTAGTTCTATTGGTTTGTCTATAAGAAAATTATTAAGAAGAGAATAATACTTTGTTAATAACAATGCTAAGTAACATTCTTCTATTTTAAATGTGGCCATTACATTTTAGAAAAGGGTTTTCTTGACCTAAAAATATGAAAATAATTGGTGCCATCTAGTGGCAATACGTGATGCCTCTTCTTAGAGCAGTTGCTGAAACCGATGGCTGAGTTTCAGATGTGTGAGCTACGAATGGATTGGAGGAAGCTTAGACTCCAATGCACCTCTCAAAGCAAGAAGGCTTAAGTTATTTACCGATTTAAGCATTCTTCCCCACCTCACATTTTATTAGAGCAGTAGAATTAGTTATTTGAATTCAACCACATTTTCTAGTCACAGTGGTGCTGAGAACACAGTGGGGTCTCAATAATCATTTATCGACTGGCATTCCAGCACTATAATGGAACAATAATAATTAGTGAAATGGCAAAAGATGGTCAGCAGGAGAGAGATGAATAAAACATCCTCTATAACCAGCCTCTAAATTATTGAGATTTGCATTTCTTTTCATCAAAAAGCCTGTCCCTGCCTTTCTACTCCCAACTGTACCCACCCCCAGCCACTTGGAAGCATTATATGGTCTCATGATTTTTTCTGGGCACTGATCTCTATCTGAACTTGTTTTGGTAATTCATTTATACCTGTCTTTTGTCTGCCTATCTCCTGCCAGAATAATTTCTTCTCTAAGGGGAGGGAATTTTCTTTTATATCCTTTTCTGTATCCTAAAATCTCAGTACTATGTCTGGCCAGAAGTACGCAATAAATATGTGTTGAATGAATAAATAGATAGATAATAGATGCTTTTTGGATAATTTTGCTGTCCACATGCTGCTAGTAGCAAGAAGCAGGAGCATTTCAGAAATACTGTTCAAACTCCACCAGCCTGATACTCCTGATACTTTACCAAACTCATCCTGGGTGCAGAAGCTGAATCAATCTCTCTCTGTCTGTGTGTGTCTCTCTTTCTCTCTCTCTCTCTGTCTGTCTCATTCTCTTTCTTTTCCTGATACTTCCTACTCTAGTGAAAATGGTTAAATCATCTATTGCTTTCTAGCACTTAAGGATTCTGTTAACTATGTCAACAGTGCTTGTCAGATAACCTTAAATTTATATGAAGTTGTCTCTTACCAGTTTCTTGGATAGCTCTTGTTGTGCATTCACCTTATGTGACCAGAATCATAGAGTCTGAAGATGCAGAGTTTAGAGATTGATGTGCCTTATCATTAATGATGCTATTTATTTATGATTATGATCAGTTATTGAGTGTTAAATGGTGAAAAGACGATGTGATTTCTCGTAGAAACCTGATCTCATCCCTGTTTAGGAAGTGGTAAAGGTGTAAATGTGTATGTAATGTAAAGGATCCCTGCAAAGAAAAGAGTCTCATTAAAGGCATCATTATAAATGTAATGTTACTAATCTGAGGTGTTCCTTTTGGGCAAAAGAATTGATCACAATTATGGATCATCTGTAGGGATGGTTTAATAAAATACTTCATAAAAGTCACAAGAGTTAATGGAGAATATGAGAAAACACACAATAGAATTAGAAATACCAACAGCTAATAAAGGTAAGAAAATATACACAAACTTCAGATAACATACAGACAGCATGGTTCTGGAGTTAAATTTGATCTCTCTTCAGTAGGCAATTCCATATCATATATCCATAAATGGTAGATTTTTTAATAATGTCATGGCATTTTTACTAACTGTCTATAATTTGCAAATGCCATTGCTTAAGATCAAATTTTCAGTGTACCATATTCATCAGAGGACTGTAGCTCTAGCTAGTGATGTTTGTCCTTGCTTTTGGAAAGATCTATACAAAATTGTAGGTTATATATGATATAATTTGTTATGAGTTGTCCTTAGAAGACCTGCTGTATCGCCTATGTCATTTCCTTTCTCTGTGTGTTCTTTCCATAGATTTGCTGTCCCCTCTGTAATTTAGCTTATGAGAGAAATACAATGAACTACACTGGAAGAACAATTTCCAGATTGAGTTCTAGTAGAGACAATCTCCCATTCCTTGTAGAGTTAATTGCTTTTTATTCTGCTCCATATTTTCTACTCTCAGGAAATACCTCTTCCTCTGGCTATAGCAGTCCCAAATTTGGATATAAAATTATTTTTGACACTTTCATGTGGAAAAGTTTTAGCTTAATACACTGTTTCATTTGACCACCAGGTACTGGAATAGTAAACATTTCAAACAAATTTATTCTCTGAGATATTCTAAAGATTATCACAATTTGTATATTATTCTCCTATTGGTCACTCTTCATTTCTACATTCTCACAACTATTTCATGAGTATTACTGTATTCAAGGCACTCAATGTTGAATGACCGAAACCCTATACTCCATTTTCAAGACACATCAGCAGGAAGATGGAAGATTTGAAAAACAGACTTGAATATAGCGGTCACACTCAAATTATAAATATCATGACCACATCCAAATTACAAACAGTAAATTGTGGCCTTATCCACTGTTCTAAAAAAATTAGAGATTACTTTGAGTAAAAAAAATGACATATTCTGTGGTCTAAATTGTGGGAAATGAATATGTGATAAATCTGGAAACATTTAGGGGAGCTGACCAATGGATTTCCTGGGCAAGAGTTATTTGCCTTAATGACAACCTTCCTGTCGCAAAGACTATTTTACTGTAACATGAATTTTTTTTAAGTTAGGAACATGTTTTACATAATTAATATTTCTTTTAAAAGTACTTTTGATAGGATTGAGCATCAATTAATCACACACAATTATATAAATTAGGCTTATCGTATTGCTTTTTAAAAGTAACTTGTTAAAATCTATCTCTGTTTGAGGAATGAACATTTTAATTTGAAGATGGTGGCAAGAGTGCTAATTTTGTATCAGAGATTACCTCATGTTTTTGCGCAGATCCGGTGCTTCAATGATCACAAGTACTTAACAGGAGAGGGTAGCACTAGAATATAGAGGAAGGATGGGGCGTGGATATGGGTGATTCCTAAATATAAATTTAATAGATTTTGAGTGTTTCCTTAGAGCATTATCCATTAAACAAGGAAGAAGCTTCTCTTATTTGTAAATCTCTCTCTAGCATCATGTCACTCCTTGTGAATATGTGGCAGAATTACTGCTAATACTATATTAAAGTAATATCTATCTGAAATTTGAATAGATTTTTTATTTTCTGCATTGACAATCAACTACCATTTTTAGCTTTTATTTTTTTAACTACCTAGAAGCATCTATTGCAATTATTTGGCTATAGTTCAATTTTTCTAAAAATTAGTATTTTTCTTATATAGTTGTGCTAATACCCAATGAACATACTTTAGATATTATGATTTTCTCAGGGAACATTCATTTTCCATTCCCACTGGAAAATGAATGTTCCCTGAGAAAATCATATTATCACTTTTGCAATGCCTTACCCCACTGTGGAGTAACAGCAAAAATATGTAGATTTTTCTCTTGATCAACTAAAATAATTATGTTTTCAAATATCAAATTGCATTTTTAAATATACGTTAATTGGCTATGGTTTATTAAATTTTTAGTACATTACTAGATTTAATTTACAAACATTTAATTTAGAATATCTATTGGTCTATAATTCTATTTTGTACTTTTTTAAAGATATTGGAACAGAGATTTACTACAGTTTTTAAAATGAAATAGGAAGGTTTATTTAGTTCTTTTTCTATGTTAAATTGCATGGGGCATTTCAGTTCCTTAAAGGTTTGATACATTCTCTCACGATACTATCAAGATATGTGAAGGGTCTGAGATTTTACCCTGGCAAGTTAACTGGTTAGCCTGCCATAGTTTCACAGATGCTAGCAGAAGACATGAAACTCCAGCCTGAGAGACAAAGGACTTTATTACTACACAACAGGCAGCATGAACTGTTTCCTTTGGCTTCAAGACTCAAAGGGTGATATGAAAGTGGTCCATGTGGATGCTACATATATCAGAGGTTTTTATCACAGCTGACAAATCCTTAATGTAGGAATCTCCCAATTTTATCAGGGGGCTTCTAGCAAACTTACCCAACTTTTACCTTGGAGGAAGACATTACCTTTGCTATACAAACATCATTGAAAAGAGAGTTCTAGATAGAAGCTGTTACAAGAAGTGTATGGTGAATTCATGGTGAATTGCTCCTAACAGATATTACTGGAGCTTGGCTCTTTTCTGAAGAAAAAATTTAACAATATATTCTTTTTTTTCCGTTTTGTGTGATCAGTGTTTACTAATTCCTTTTGAGTCAATGTTGAAAAGCTATATTTTTCTAGAAAAAAATTATTTTAACAAGATTTATGATTAATTATCATTAAGGTATATGAAATACAATTTTTTACTTCTTCTGCTTATGTAGTCATACTTCTTTTCTTGTGCATTAGCCTTTTCTTTTTTTACTTGATTAGCCTTGATAAATTTTTATATTTTGTTTTTCCACATACTCTGAATTCTTATTTATAAATATTCTTTTTTGTTTTTTAATTGATTAATTTTAGCTTTTTTCTTTATTATTTCCTTTGATTGACTTTCATAAGTTATTCTTTCTTTAAAGCAACTTGAGTTGTCTACTTTGGTTCATTATTTCTCATTTAGTAATTAAAAACAAATTTTTCAAATGATCAAGTATTCTCTGAATGCAATTTAGGCAATTTAAATATATAGTGATCGCATTTAATGTTTTTAGTTGCACATTGACCCAGTTACAATTTAGGGAATGTAGCTGCCTTGAGTCCTTTTTGGGGGGTGGGGGATGCAATTAATAAATAAATAGCTGACATAAATCATTATTTAAAAAACTTTTTTTATCTCCCCAGGTTGAAAGTGGAGGGTGTCAGCTGTTGTTTAAATTTATGTTAAACAGTCTCTTTAATTTGCATGGCTGGGGGCCAGGTACTGTGAGGCATGCCTGCAATCCCAACACTTTAGAAGGCCAAAGTGGGCAGATCACTTGAGCCCAGGAGTTGGAGACCAGCCTGGCAACATAGTGAAACCCTGTCACTACAAAAAGTACAAAAATTACCTGGGTGTGGTGGCATGGGCCTATAGTCCCAGCTATTTGGGAAGCTGAGGTGGGAGGATCACCTGAGCCCGGGAGGTTGAGGCTGCAGTGAGCTGTGATTGTGCCACTGCATTTCAGCCTGAGTGACAGAGTGAACACGTATCTCAAATAAATAAGTAATTGGTATGAGGTCTCCAACTTTTGCTCCATAGAGAATTTCTGAGCAAATAAGTCAATGAAATAATTAATCTGTTAACTAAAATTCCACATATTCAAAGTTCTTATATTTCAGTCTACTTGATCTGTCATAGACTATTCATGGTGTGTTGAATTTCCTACTTGTTTTATTTCTGTGGGCTTTGCTTTATATATTTGCAGGTCTTAATATTCAGTGAATATAATAGGCTATAATTATTAAATGATCTTTTGGATTGTAATTTTTTATAAAATGGCAGCTTTCTTTTGTAATATTTTAAAGTTAATACTATTAACTCCTGCTTTTCTGTGTATTACAGTACTTTAATTTTGCATTCTATTATTGACTCTTCTGACTTATTTTTTAGATGTGCCTTCTGTAAGCTTTATATAATAATATTTAGAGTGATTTTGCTTTTTCAACCCACTCTTATTTAGTGATTCATTTGTATGATAGTTTTATTGGTTCTTGCTTCTGTCATTTTAATAGTTTCTGTGATAGCTTTCTGCTTTTGTCATTGTTATTTTTTGGTATGTATACTATTGTCATTTAATTTTATTGCTGTTAATAGAAAATGGAGACATTCCACTTTTAGTTATATTTTTGCTTAAAATAATTAAAGGTATTCTTAAATCTATTTTGTATTAATTATCAAAGTCATAAATCAAAACTTTTACCTTACTCCAACAATATGAACAATTTGGCCCCTTTTCTTCTGTTATCCTTTCTCCCTCCTTGTTTCCTGGTCATAATTAATTGTGCTAAGAATTATGGCTTTCTTATCATTAACATGCTGTTATTGTTTTTACCATGTAAATTTCCACTTTCAGAAAGTGTTTAGTCTTTTGCATTTAATTTTGTAACCATATCTTCAATAATTATTTTTATAATATTCTACATAGTAAATGGATTTTCATATTTGTTAAGAATTCTTTTAACTATAACCTCTCCCACTTCAGTGATTTTAATATCAATACATCTCTTAGTTGATCAAGCCACACATTTTGGGATTTCTTTCCAGTAGGCAATTGAGTTTATACATTTTCCAAGTTGTCTTTACTCATGAACAACAAATGGTGGTATATAAATTTTTTAATGTCACAATCTCAGTCCTTAACTGTAAAAGAAAATAATTACAAGATGTGCCTTCGAGACTTCTAGTGAGAATTAAACATGTAAACATGAGCACTTAAAACAGTTTTTGGTACAAAATAAGTGGACATCACATTAACAGTTCTATTGTTGTCATTATTATTTCTTTTCAAAAACTACAGATTTTGCTCATTCGTTTATTGGTATTTTGTTTGGTTGAGAGAAACCCTGAAGGTATTTTTTTATTGCCTTTAAAGATAACCTTTCATTCCTATTTTTGTTCATTTACAATATCAAAAAGTTGCCTTTGTATATTTTAAATTAATAATTTTTCATTTTGCTCAAATAAATATGAAATATTTAATCTTGAACTCAGGGTTTTTTAGTTCGAGTTTGGGAAACTTTTGTTCTATTTTTGTCTTTCACTATTATTTACATTGCATTTGCTTTGACTTTTAAAATTTGATACCACTATTCCTGGACTATATTTTGTTTTCTGTTTTCTATATAATTAAAAATCTTTTGTTTTCCTTTGTCATGCTCAGGGAGATCTCTATTTGTGTCCTTCACATTAGTGTCAACTCTGAAGCCACTGGGATTTTGAGGTTATTTGTTCAAGAAGTTAGCTTCCCCTAACTCTTACATAGACCTCATTGAAAATCCACGTTGGATAGAGTCTTAAAAGAGCTATCATAGTTAGTCTTATAGACATTTGAGAGAAGAACATTCCAGAGACAAACTATTCAGTTGGCAGCATGCCTATATGTTCAAGAAACAGTAAGGCCACCAACTAATGTAGGGCAGAGGGAGCAATGAGGAGGATGATAGGTGAGGCTAGAGAGATAATGTGAACCCTTTTAAGGAATTTGACATTTACTTAGAATGAAATGGAGAAATATTTCAGGTTTTGAGCAGAGGAGTGGTAAGTCCTGACTTATGTTTGAAAAGATTGACTGAGGCTACTGGGTTAAGAATCACTGAGACTGCTGGTTCAGAGAACGAGAGTGGAAATAATAACGTCTTTATTTCCTACTTGTAAAGTTAATAATAACAGTAATAATAATAAGATAATGAAGTCATTATATTACTAAAATAATCAATGACTATGTAAATTATCTTGGCTTGTGAACGAGTTACTAGGCATATCAATAAAGCAGAGACAAGAAAGGCAAATGCAGTTATAATTTACTGCATAAGTTAAGATGAAGATAATGCCTAATAAAAAAGAAAAATTATGTGACAGGAAAGCAAACTTAAAAACAAAGTTAAAAGGCAGATGACTCATTGGAAAAAGAAAAATAGTTGCAAAATATGTGGCACCTAATATCTTTAATTTATTGAGTGTCTATAAATGAAAAAGCAATACAAAATATTCCAGAAACTATGAAAATTCAGTTCATAAGAGCAAATATGTATATTAAATTGATAAATATTTCTGATAATCTCAGGACTTGAATTAATACAACAATGATATACCTTAATATAGGAAAAGAGGAAATTATGCTAATATCCAGAGTTACAATAGCCGCATTGGAAATGTGAATTTGTCCATTCCTTCCAGATGGAAATTTTGCAATGTTTTCAAAACCTCCTAAAAGAATATATGCTATGATCTACTACTATTCAACATTAAAAATATGTCCTATAAAAATGATTAGGAAACTATACAAAAATGGTTATTTAGGAATTTCCATCTAAGTGTGCTTTTATATTAGTAATGTGATACACAATAAGAGATAAGGCTGAGAATACAGGTAAAGAATATATTGTGAGGACTCAGTGAAAAGTTTACACTTAATTTGCAGGGGGAGACATGAAAACTTTTTGTGGAGTGTAATGTGCTCAGAGATGAGCTGTATAGCAAGATCAATTAGAGAGCATCATACAGGATGAACTGAAATGAAATGTAGGCACTAGTTGCAGATAAAAGTCACAAAAAAGTGATTTGGTCGTCAGAGAAGTGATGAGGCACTGATGGAATAGGAATGCGGATGTAGACCCCACAGAGCCCAATGCCAAATCGTGTGTCATGTGAAGAAAACATTAGAAGGTAAGAGGTGGTGCCATCCTGGTTGACTGGTAACAGCTTTGCTGGCATTTTCAGTACAAAGAACTTTTGACGACTGAATTTTCTTAAAAGATGACCTGTTTTTAACATAGTAGATCCTTTTTTTTTTTTTTTTTTTTTTTTTTTTTTTTAAGATGGAGTCTTGCTCTGTTGCCAGGCTGGAGTGCAGTGGCGCGATCTCGGCTCACTGCAACCCCCGCCCCACCGGGCTCAAGCGATTCTTCTGCCTCAGCGTCCCGAGTACCTGGAATTACAGGTGCGCACCACCACGCCCAGCTAATTTTTGTATTTTTAGTAGAGACGGGGTTTCACCATGTTGACCAGGATGGTCTCGATCTCTTGACCTCTTGATCGCCTGCCTCGGCCTCCCAAAGTGCTGGGATTACAGGCGTGAACCACCGCGCCCGGCCAGTAGAGACTATTTAAGTGGAAATATGTACCCAGTAATTCACCTTGCAGAGGTAGAGTTTGGGATAAGGAGTAAGAATGGAGTATAAGATCTGGGAGTCAGCCACTGCGTTGATAGTTGAAACCAGGGGAACACATAAAAACCTTGAAATAAAGTAGAAAATATTTGAAGACAGAATCTGGATATGTTACTCAATACATTATTGTTTCTCAGCTCTTTTCTATTCAGTTTGGTAAACCGGTTGGGGGCTCTGCAACGTTTCTCCTTTGTCACCGGGCTCTAAGTTAGGCTTTGCCAATAGGGGGCACTAGAGGGAGACTGGAAAATTTAAGGAGAAAAAAGAAACTTGTTCCTTACTGCTTGCTTCCTTTAGCTTCCTGTCTGTTTGTGGCTCTTGTCAGCGTCTTCCTAGGGAGCAGCAGTTCCTTCCCACAGCTTCACCTTAATACAACCCACGGCTTTTGCAACGCTTGCAGAACTGATTTTTTCACATCCCACATCAAAGACATCAGAGCCAGCCAACTGAAGCCCCGCCTCTGAAGTCTGTGCTCCAGGCTGGCAGAGCCTGTTCTTTTAACCCAGAGACATTCGCATCAGTCCAGAGGTTTGAGTTTCAGCTCCACAGGGGCTCAAAAGTGCCAAACATTGCCAAAGTGTTGAGTTATATATTCTTAACTTTGCCATTAGGGAGAGCATCACTGATAAAAAGAGTGGCATCAGTCCATTGGTGAAGGCAGAAGATCAAATGTAAAGATGAAAGGGGCAAGTACATGGAAAGGGGAAGCTTTGAAATACTTTTTCAAGGGCTTTAGTAATCAAGGAATGTAAATGTTTTAATTTATTTGTTTGCAACTTTTAAATACCGGAAATAAATATTTTTCAGCAAAAGGGAAAGAGACAGGATTGAGGGAGAGATTGTATTATATGTTGTGTGATGCAGGATTTGCTTAAATATTTGGTTTGCATTTCACTTGGTGAATGCTTTGAAGTACAGAATAATACCTCACTCCTGTGAGCCTTCCAGGGTCTGTCACAATGTCTAGGACACAATAAATTATCAACATTTGCTGAATGGAAGTCCAAATGAAGTGACGCAACTCCTTAAATAAGTGAAAAAGTAAAATTTATATTTCAGTTTACTTTGGAAAAGATAAACTATATTGATTTTTGTTCATTCATTCATCGATGTATTTGTTCATTTTGAAGTCATGTGTTGTCAGAATCTGTGTGAGATTCTGAGCGTATTACAAAGGCAACACCTGCTTTTAATTAGCCCCCCTAAGCAAAGGTGAAAAAAACAGGCACAAGCCAATTAAAATAAGGTGTAACAAGTACTTTTCTTGAATTAAGCACAGAGTTCTCTAGAACCTGGAAGAGGGGCTTGCAGGAAATCTGAAAAAAACTTGCGAAGATGAGTATTGCAGAACTAAATCTTGGAAAGTGGGAACAAGACAGCCAAGAAAAGAATACTTCAAGTAGTGAAAACATTAGGAGGAAAGACATACAAGTGTCGAAAATCAGCATGCATTTAGGGAACTGCAGTTGGTTTATAGCGTTTGTAGATCAGAGGCAGGGAGAAAGGTCCTACATAGAGGTAAGAACCATGTCATGAAGGCTCTGAATGTCATACTAAGGAGTTTGTGTGCTAGGTTATGAATAATTGACCAGAAGGGTAACAAAGCTACACTTCCAGCTGAAAAACATCGCACTAAACTTCGCAGATGTTTCCGCTGGACTGCTGTTTCGCATTAGTGTTGCACTAACAGGCTATTGGTAGACTGAAACATTAATCTTGTCAGCACTTAGAGTTGTTGGGAATGGCCTAAGGATGGCTCGAGATTAGGCTTAGAAGCCTCTCCCATCAAAGAACCTTGTCCCATTACCCCAGTGCAATGAAGTGAAAATTTCTTTTTCTATGCATTCCATGACATAAACATGGTTCACTGTCATTGATTACATGTAATAAGTTGGAGACAGAAAAACGATATTTGATGAAGCTATACCAATGAAGAATTTAGAAGTGAAATTATGAAGTTCTAGTGAGATGAAAGAGTGAATTCCAGATTTTTTTGAGTTAATGTAGACAGAACTTGTTGAGTCTTTGGGTGCTGATGGTGAGAGGAATTGTCCAAATATATATATATCAGGTTTCTGACTTTGACAACAGGAGAGTTGTGGTGTCGGTATCCAAAACCAGAAACTATAAATTGAGGAATAGATTTGGAACTGGATTCAATCAAATGTAAAGTATCTTTGGAGGAGCTGAGTACAGTGCCCAGTTGAAATCTGTTAACTGAATCTGAAATTCAGTTAACAGAATACGGTTGCAGAAATTATAAGCATATGCATTGCATCAGAGGCTTCAGGAAATCTTTAATAATACAGGAACCTTGGAGAAGAAATATCAAGACACAGCCCTGGTTGGGTGATTATGAGATGGAAAAGGGAGTAAGAATAGCGGCAACAAAAGACTCAGAGGTTGTAATTAAAAAACGAAGTATAGGAGTTTGAAACTTCAGAGGTGGCATCATTCCAGATGACAACAAGTTAGAATGGTGTCCATGGGTATGAATGGTTAATGGAATGTGTAATTGAAGTTAACTTGATTTGAGTAATCCCATAAATTCTAAGATTAAAATGTTGGATAAGTCATCACAATAGATACTGAAGTAAAAGAGTATGATAGGTGGAACAAGAGATAGACAGGAAGAGAAGACTGAGTACCATGGGCCAAAGCCTTTGCTTTAGTGTGGAAAATGACCAGGAGACCATTGAGTGGCAGGGCAATAGGTGAGAGAAGGCAGAGTATTTTATTATTTAATCTATATAAATTCATAACAGGAGTATTTTCACATAAGCATGGAGGAATAATGGTTTGGAAGCAATAATGGACAACTAGGTATACACTAACTGCAATTAAACCTTCTAGTATATGGGTCCCTAATAAAGTAGCAGTCTGTAATTCAGACCCAGGTTTAATTAATACAAACAGTTGTATCTAGTATTCTGAAATAAGGATAAAATATAGCTAAGCTTGTTTACCGAGAAATGGCACCTCCAAAGTTCACATTGGAAGGGTTTAGACTGGGGTAATTGTTAGTTCAATTAATGAATATATATTGAGTTCCTGCTACATTAAATACACTATTCTAGATACTGAGGATTGTTGCAGTAAAGCACATCCCTTAACTCTGAGAAGCATATTAGCCTTACAGAGGAGACAGAATAATAAACATCATTTTAATATGCTTTGTTAACCACAGACAGAAACAAGAAAGAGGGACAGTGTTAAAATGCAACTTCTAAACATTGCCACCGTTTCTTTTATCAGAAAAGTTTTCAAGGAGAGAAAGCGAGTTACTGGGACTACCAAGACTTGATAGGTATTGCCTCACCTATACCATTACTAAAGGCATCGACAAAATATTAAGTTATTATAAGTATATATTTATATATCAGTGTCTATCATCAAGAATTTTTACAAATCGCATAAAATGGGCTAAGCATTGCTAAACATAGCATAAGATATTTTTAAATCTTGGTTGTTCATATAATTAAAAAGACCTCCAGTTGTCCTGTCCACCTTCCTTTAAATAGTATGAATTTTACTTGAGAGTTCTTACCTTCAAGAAGGTCACCTTGTCCTGCTTTCATAAAAAATGAATTTAATGTTGCATAAATGAGATAGCTACAGGATTATAATGTTCATAAGCATAGATCTTAGCCTAAAGTGTTCCACCAGAGCCAGGAAATTGTTTTTAGTTACTATACGTTTCTAGTTCATTTCTATTTGTTTAAGCCTTTTAGGAGAGGTAGAGATAGGGAGATAGATAGAGAGAGAGAGACAGAGAGAGGCAAGCTAGCTCTTACTTTGTCTTTAGTGAGTTATCAGTGGTTTTCCATAGAAGTAACAGCACCAAGTGTTCCCTGTTAAAGTTAGGATTTTTGAATGTGGCCCTGATGCTCTGACAAATATCACAAATATGACTTGCAGTGTCCTGTGGGGAGTATTGTTAACATTACCCAGGTAGCCCTCCCACTGTCTGATTTATTTGCTTATAGAGAACATGTATACCTGACTTCCTGAGGGAGCTGCATATCTCAAATTTGGGTGTCATGATAATAATAACAGTTTGAGAGAAAATGAAATAGGCTATAAAGAGAAAGGAAATGGAATATATAAACTATTGTACAGTGTCATGTTCATTTTCAGTACTATATAGAATAATGAAAATGTTTTTCAATAACCTTTGTTGATTTTTATAATGTGAAACACACTTTATGGAAAAAGACAATGAATGTACAAAGCAAAAAAAATTAGTAGAAATAGTTTTAGCTTTTGATTCAAATCTCTGCATTATTTCCCATAAGTTTAGAGTTGAATTCTGAAATAGAACAACTTTAAGATAAAGGATCCTTCTTTTCCCAGCTTTGGCAATTCTAAGTTGATCTTTCAGGGTTCGAGCATAAGTATTTTTTTTTTTTTTTGATAAAGCAATCCAGTGTGGTAGGCCACAAAGGTTTCATTTTTTTAATTTTACAGTTGCAGTTGGAAAGCTTAAACTTAGAGATATTAAACAAGACTTTCTCATAATCACTCAGCTTTTAAGTTTCACACCTGGAATTATAATGGGTCCCCCTTCTACTAACCCCCACTACCCCACTACACACAAATATCCTGAAAGCCCTCAGTAAACAATAAAGCAGTAGGATATTATTACCACTCCCTACAAGTGCCCAGATGCCCTTGCGTTTGTCATTGTTCTTTGGGTACTAAGATCAAGTGGCTGGATGCGGTGGCTCGCACCTGCAATCTCATCACCTGGAGAGGCTAAGGCATGAGGATCGCTTGAGTCTAGGAGTTTGAGACCAGCCGAAGCAACATAGTGAACCCTCAGCATTATGGAAATTTTTAAAAATTAGCCAAGAATAGTGGCACACACCTGTAATCTCAGCTACTCAGGCGGTTGAGGCAGGAGAATCGCTTGAGCCCAGGAAATCAACACTGCAGACAGCTATGATAGCACCACTGCGCTCCAACCTGGGTAACAGAGTGACACCCTGTCTCAAAAAAATTAAAATGAAATGAAAAAATTAAGATAAATCAAGGGGAATTAAGGCCCAATAAAGGCCCAAAACTTTGTGATCAAGTGACTTCTGAAGTTAAAAGGTAGACAGAATGCAAGCAATATATCAAGTCCTTCTCAAAATGTTCATTAGTAAATCAGGCTTACCTTTACAAGGGGCACTTTACTCAGGCACATAGAACAACAACAAAAAACTCCCCATTTCAGCAGGTTCCTCTCACAACACCATAACTATTACCTCTATGATGGGAGACAGGCAGGTGATGTATGTTGTGCTGGAAATATTATCAGAAGTTATGAGGTAATAAAATGTAGTACCATAATTTGCACCCCTAGTTTAAAGATATTCGTATGCTCAGCTTTTGTCGTCTTGGCATGTGGTAGGCCCTGTACCCATAACATCCAGAAGTTAAAAAAACTGCACAGCCAGAGAGCACAGTCCCCACCAGACTGCCCTCACTTCAGACACCAGTTGGCTACAAATTTAGGGGTCCCACAAGTACCCTGAGGTTCAATAATTTGCTAGAAAGCTCACGAAATTCAGAAAAGTGCTGTCTATAATTAGTTTTATCATAGTAACAGAATATAAATTAAAATTAGCCAAGGGGAAACATATAGCACCGAGTCCAGGAAGGGTCTAAATACGGAGCTTCCGTTCATCCTTTGCTCCCTGGAGTCAAGGATGGTGTTACCTCCTCTCTGCCACAAAGTGTGACAATACATACAGAGGATTGCCAACCAGGGAAGCCTTTGGTATTCAGAATTTTTATTGGAGCTGAATCACATATTGCCCCTGTGGCTGACCTTTATTCTCCAGCCCCTCCTGGAGGTCAGGATAATCGTTAGTTTTTCCAGAGGTTGGAACTGATGCTGTTGTAATTGCATCAGTTACTGATAAAAGTAATTGCCAAAATAACTTTTGCACCAACCTAATATGTGACCCAAAGTCCCCATTATAAGTTCCATTATTTGACTGTCTAGCAGCAAAGCCCCCAGACAAGTAAAGACATTCCAGAGGCCCAGAGGTCATCCCAGTAGGTGAGGGCAAAGGCCAGACTGCTCTTTAGGTAATTCAACTCTACACAAATAATTACTCAAGAAACCAGACATTACTTAACAGCTTGAAACATGAGTCCTTACCCACATCCAGCCTCAAAGGATGCAGATAAATATGTAGAATTCCATAGATCGTACATTTCCAGTAGGGGAAAGGAAAAAAGTAAAACATCAGTGTAGTATAAGTTATTATCATAGGACTCTGTCTAATAAATATAGAAATATAGCCTTGTGTCCTAAGAAGTTATTTAATCTGTGATCAATCATAATAGCAGATACCTGACTTTTAGGAGATAAACTATTCAAGATACTGTTCAATAGTCTGTGGAAGGGGAAGGTATATGAGGATGACTTGAGGAAAAAATATCCATGCATCTGAATGGTAAGACTGATGGAGACATATTTACCTGTACTACAAAACACAGGAGGAAAAGCAGGCTTGGCAAGAAAAGAGCTGCAGAATGAAGTTATGTGTGTGTTGAGCTTAAGGTTCGTAGGTTGTTTTTGAAATGAGGCCTAATGGACAGGTGCATATAAAAGGCTGATTCTTTCTCTCAGGTAACCAGGGTAACTTTTGTATCACTACTGGTCCTTTCTCCTATCAAATTTTCTCAGTGTGGCATTACAGCTTTTTAACTTAAGGCCATGAAACCCTAGAGGTTGGTTTCAGAGATCCAAAGATTTAGGCAAAAGATCAGGTAGACAAGCAGTAGTAGATCATATAGATTCATGTGTGAATTATCTGGAGTTATATATTTTACTAAACTTTTCTTTAGTATAGATAGTTAAAATTGTATTTTTCTTTTTTTAATTTTCTTTTTTCTTCTCTCTCTCTCTCTCTCTTTTTTTTTTAAGAGACAGTGCCTTGCTCTATCATTCAGGCTGGAGTACAGTGGTGCTATCATAGCTCACTGCAGCCTCAAACTCCAGGGTGATCCTTCTGCCTCAGCCTCACAAATAGTAGTTGGGACTTACAGGTGCATACCACTGCACCTGGCTATTTTCTCTCTCTCTCTCTCTCTCTGTCTCTCTCTCTCCCTCTCTCTCTCTCTTTTTTTTTTTTTTTTTTTGTAGAAACAGAGTCTCATTGTATTGCCTAGGCTGGTCTCACCCTCCTGGGCTCAAGCAGTTCTTCCACCTCAGTCTCTCAAAGTTCTGGGATTACAGGCATGAGCCACCATGCCAAGCCTGAAATTGTGTTTTTCATTTGCATGTAGCCAAATATCACAGAAAAAGTTAACCAGAGAAATGAGTCAAGAAGATCATCATCATATCAACTGTTGTATGAAATTGACTAGATAAGTATGTAAAGATTTCATCATAGAAAGCAAAAAGACATAAAAAAAGTGATGGGAAGAAAGTACGAAAGTTCAACAGGTCAAATGCAAAATAGAAATACAAAGTTTTATTGGATGGGGGAAAAAGCGAGTGTGGTGTGTGTTCAGAAATTAGAGTTGGTGAATGTGAAGTCACTAGTATTCAGGAGTTAATTGAAGTTAAGGGTAAGCATTGACTTGCCCAAGAGATTGTGCAGAGGGATAAATATATGTATATATTACTGGTGCTCAGGCACCACATGTCAGTACTTAACCACTTGAGCTCTCTAGTTGAATAGCTCTCAGTTCTAATCCTGACTCCAGGATTACCTATTTCATTATCTTGGTCAAATTACATAACTACTCTAAGTGGCAATTTTCTACCAAGCATATAGTTATAAAGATTATCTGAGATATTTATAAAGTATTTATTTAATTGCCTGGAAGATAGTAAGCTAGTAAGTACACAATAAACGTTAGCTCCTATATACAGAGGTTAATACATATTTACTTAGTGCTATGGTTTGAATGTTTGTCTCCTCCAAAACTCATGTTGAAATTTAATTGCCATTGTAACAGTATTAAGAGGTGGGACCTCGGAGGGTGTTCAGGCCATGAGTGCTCTGCCTTCATGGGTGGGATTAATACCATTATAAAAGGAACATATTTGGCCCCCTTTTGCCTCTGCCTGTCTGCCTTCCTCCATGTGATGATGCAGACACACAAGTGTTATCCCAGATACTTGGGAGGACTTGATCTTGTACTTCTCAGTGTCCAGAACCATGAGAAAATAAATTTCTGTTGATTATATATTACCCAGTCTTAGGTATTATGTCACAGAAGCACAAAACAGACTGAGACATGCAGTATGCAAATGAATGAATATACTCCGCTCTGTAAATCAAGAAAAGGTAGTATAACCACTTAAATATAGTTTACTATAACAGTTTTTCAATAAACTATGGGTATTTGATATATTTGGTAGTGACATTAACATTTTCAAAAAATATATTGATATAAATTAAAAGCTACTTCCTTGAACTGATCCGGAATTCTATGTGAGATAAGACATTATAGAAATCACCTATAAAAATATAAAAAATGTTGCAATGTTTTGTACAATGTGGAGTTAGGAAAGTTAAATATATTTCAACCTAAAGACTTTCAAATGAAGCATTCCACAGTAAAATGTCTACTATGTGAATTCCTCTCCATATAAACATGGGTATGCACGACTCAGTTATTTGAATTATATTTAACAAAGTCATTAATTGGATAATTTTAGTTTTTTTCCTCTGCCACATCCTTGCTCAATGGCTGCCCCCTCAAAGGCTTCCTCAGACCTCTTTATTAGATTTGTCTTTTTTTTTTTTTTTTTTTTTTTTTTTTTGTGAGACGGAGTCTCGCTCTGTTGCCCAGGCTGCAGTGCAGTGGCGCGATCTCGGCTCACTGCAAGCTCCACCTCCCGGGTTCACGCCATTCTCCTGCCTCAGCCTCCCAGGTAGCTGCGACTACAGGCGCCTGCCACCACGCCCGGCTAATTTTTTTGTATTTTGTTTAGTAGAGACGGGGTTTCACCGTGTAAGCCAAGATGGTCTCAATCTCCTGACCTCGTGATCCGCCTGCCTCGGCCTCCCAAAGTGCTGGGATTATAGGTGTGAGCCACCGCGCCCAGCCTAGATTTGTCATTTTATTCTCTGCTTCCACTGAGTCTTAGAGAGAATTTTTTCTTCTTTTTCTTTTTTTTTTTTTTGAGACGGAGTTTTGCTCTTGTCACCCAGGCTGGAGTACAGTGGCACGATCTCGGCTCACTGCAATCTCCGCCTCCCGGGTTCAAGAGATTCTCCTGCCTCAGCCTCCCAAGTAGCTGGGATTACAGGCACCCGCCACCATGCCCGGCTAATTTTTGTATTTTTAGTAGAGACGGGGTTTCGCCATGTTGGCCAGGCTGATCTCAAACTCCTGACCTCAGGTGATCCGCCCACCTCGGCCTCGCAAAGTGCTAGGATTACAGGCGTGAGCCACCGCGCAGGGCCCATAGAGAGGATTTTACTCTTCACTGTTTATTACAATTTTCTGTTGGAAAGCCTGCCTCTGTTGTAGATTGTAATAATTGTGCAGGCAGGGACAGTGTTTTTTTCTTTTTCTCCGATGCCTATCAGAGTGCTTTGATATAAAATGGAATTATTAATGTCCACATCATGTATTTTTTATATTGACCATGTCTCCATGTCTCTATTAAGTGTAAACGTGTTAGTATACCCTTTAAGTGCTGAGAAAATTCAGTTTAGTGTCTTACCCACAGACAAACTGAAGTCCTTTGTTCAGCTGCTTAACTGATCTATATCTAACGTTTTATCTTATCTAGCTGCTGCATGTATTTTTCTGTATTTTTATTGAATTCATACTATATTAAACTCTGCTATAGGAAATTACAACCAAGTTGAGGGAGACTTACATGTTAATATAACAGTTGTAGGTGACATAAGTACAATGGCCAACTGTACATAAGTACAAATGGTCCATGGAGGAAGCGACTGTTTTCATGTCACCACAGTACCTACTGTATATTATTTATTTATTTAAATTCAATTTAAACAAGGTTATGAAAGCTACAGTTATGGCTAAATATAGTTTTAAACATTTATTCATTATCAGTTTCTATCATATAACAGAACATGTGCAACTTTACCATATTTTTAATGTATTACTAATTTCTCAGTTGCCTTTGGAAATTAAGATAATCATGTTTATTACTTAAATTGATGGAGTTGATAATATATCATCACTCAAAATAATTTTTACTTAAATATAGATATTTATCTCACTATATTTTTTGTCCTGACCATGGAATTTGTATTTGTCTGTCTCTCGTTTTATTTTCTTCTATCTCATATTATTCATGGAAAGAGTTTATTTGATTACTATTCAGAAGTACAGATGACAAGGCATATAAATCCAATAAATATTAAAAGACTAAAAATTAAAAATTTGAACTCTCTATGCACATGAAACCTCTTCAATGCATATCTGTGAAAACTCCAATCGCCAAGTGAAATTGCTAATGTTATTAGACAGGAAAATTGATCTAATATTATATATTCTGGTAGGATGCATTACGTTAATAGAACGCTCAGAAAATACTTACATAGCCTGCTCTGAACCTAATTCTCTTAGTATAGAAAATAGGCAGCAAATTATTCTTATAATCCTTGAAAATAAATTCAAAGTTGAAATAAAGTAGTTATCATAAATGACTTCTTATAAAATATATGGGATAGTTTTTTTAGGACAAAATTTTCTAAAACAAACATTTGTTGACAATTTACCATGAATTAAGCATTATGTGACTTAAATAAAGATCTTGTCTCCAGTGAACTCACTATGTATTGGAGAGACCTTATATTAAAATAATAATAATAAATATGGCAAATCCAGTAATAGATATGTGTGTAGAGTACCACTATGGTGGCATCCAACCCAAACTTGAGGTCAGTGAAAGAAGGAATTCTGAATGTGGTAATCTAATTTCTTAGAGTTGTTTGAGAAAGCTAAGAATTGTGGAACATAACAGAATAATAGATAAATGTATAAGTTTAATAGTATAATTGATACATATAATTACTGAAACCATCATGCTGACATAGTTGAATATCATGCCTTAAAAATGAGATAATATGAGCAAGTGAGAAGCAAATTGCTGATGGAGGGGCAAAGTGTATTTGAATAGAAGGACTGAGTATATTGCTGCACTATTGGGATGTTCATTGAAAGTAATGAGAGAGAGAAATAACGAAGAATAAGTTAAAAGATTGAAAAATAGAGGTAAGGCAACACCCAAGATTCTGGCTGATGTTTCAGAGCAGGTATTTACAGGAAACACCAAACTGCAGATGTGAAGGATAATCCTCTATTACACTTAGCTTCTCCAGTATGAAAGTGAATCAGGGAATTTTATAATATTTTTCTCATTTCTGGAATTGTTCATTAGGGAGCCAGTTCTGCCTAACATTGCATCAAATGTCTACCTTGGAAATATGCAACTTATCTCAAGTTTGTAACATATGTAGAATGTATAAGCTTTTTTCATTGACTGGTTTCACAGTAAACACATATACTTAGAGAAAATAATTACGAAAAGTATTACCCAGAAAACAAAATTATAGAAAGGAAGAAACAACCAACTCATAAAAATTATAAACTTATATCTATTTGTAGTCTTAGAGGAGTCTCTGCTCAATAGTGTGGGCCTCATTCCTCAAATTCTGTGTAGCTGTGAAGGAATTTATATCAGTCAAGACTCAGTCTGAGAAACAGAGCCTTTTAGGAGCAGTATGGGAATAAGAGATGTGTTATAGGAATTCAACCTAATACACAATGAAATAAGCTTGAATGAAAGATCTGGAAAGAGAAACTGGAGGATTAGAGAGTCACTAATTAGTCTTCCAAATCACTAGAATAGGGGAGAAGTCTAAGCTTCCTAAAATTCTAAGAAGCCAAGTACATCCAGCCACTGAAGTAGAACCATGAAGCGGGGGCTCATGGAGAGTTCTGCAGGAAGCTACTGCTTCTAGGTGTCAGCTACCTTTGTTGTCCACAGCCAAGCACTGGTTGGTAGTCTAGGGCTTCTTTTAGCAGTGTCAATGGTCAGCATATGATCTGGTTGCACAGTAGAGAATAAGGGCACACTGGCATCCATTGGGTATCTCCGTATCTATCTGTCACCATATATGACCATGGTGACCACCCAAGATTAGGGCTACCACTTCAGTATGCTTTCAAAATTGCATGCAAATTCTTCATGTTTTTTCTTTTGACATACTCTAAACTGGAATCTTATAGTCAAAGGTTTTGTGAGAAATGTAGTTCCCAACTAAACCGAGTTGATAATAACATAATTCAATGCAGTCTACCCTTTTGAGCTTGACATCCACACATGCCTTTAAAAAATACGTTTTGCTTCTAAATAAAGTCAATTGCAAATACTTCTTCTGATTCTCATGTTCAAACTAGTCTCCATACAACAAAAGTATGCCAATTGCTTAGCCAAAACAGGATACACAGTTCATATCACTTTGTACATTTGACTAAGTAACATTCCTTGTATGCTATCCTGTAATGTAAATACCAAGATACAGGGCTAACCATTAATACTATATCTGTGTTAAATATTACTGGAAGTAGATGGGACAAAAATAACTTACATATATGTAAACATATAAATATGAATACATATATAATATACAAATATATTCATGTCAAGACAAAGAAGAAATAGCCATAATTGCAATTGTTCTTGTTTCTGCAACTGGTCATCGTTCACATATAACTTTACAACTTTATTTATAACTTTATTCTTCTGCTGCTTATACTACTTGCCCTTAGCAAACCCCTCATCTTGTTATTGTTGCTTGTCTATGCAGATGACACAAATCTTCATTTCCATGGGGTTTCTGTTATTAGCCATCCTGTCTTGGTTATAATTTTCCATTTACTTTCATCACAGGTCATGGGAGTACTAACTGATACCCCAAAGAAACTCCTGCATTTCAAACCTAGTCTCCCTTACTTGCATTAAGTAGTAGTGGCTCAATTTCTCTTTGAAAGTCATAATCAATCATCCAGGCTAGTAGACTATCACATTTTTTGCCTGTTGATTCACTGTCATCAGGATTCCAAAATGACCAGATGGAAGTTTCAACTTCAAGTTCAATCAGACGATTACATTATCCCCTCAGGAAAATTTTCTATTATTTCTATCCCTTAATACTTGAACCACTGTAGTCATTTTCTATTGCTGCCATAACATATTTCCACAAACTAAAATGCTTAAAATAACATCCATTTAATATCTTACAGTTCTATCTGTAGAAGTCTGACAAGCTTGGTTGAAATCAAGGTGTTGGCAGAGTTGCATTTCCTACTGGAAGTTCTAGGGGTGAATCTGCCTCCAAATGCATTCAGGTTGTTGGCTGAATTCAGTTCCTGTGGTTGTTAAAACTGAAGCCTCCACTTAGTTGCTGGTTATTGCCCATGGCCACTCTTAGTCCTAGAGACCTTTTTCTGGCCCTGACCTGTGTACCTTTACACCTTAAACCAGCAGGTGGATCTAATTCTTCTCACCTTTGAAATCTCTCTGACCTTCTCATTTGTTTCATCTTTCCTGCTTTCCTCTTTTGCCTTCTGCTGCTGCTTTTAAGGTCTCATGTGATTATGCTGGGCTTATTTGGATAATCCAGGATAATCTCCATATTTTAAGGACATTTGATTAATTCCCTTAATTTCATTTGTTAAGTCTTTTCTCAGTAGTGCCCAGAGTAGAGTTTGAATAAGCCTAAGATGGAAATCTTAGAGGGACATCTTTAAAATTTTGAGTACCATAACCACAAACCACAGACCCTATACTGATTGCTGATTTAGAGCATGTTCCACATTCTGGAGAACATTACCCTATCCTGCATGGCATTTTACCTAATTGGCACCATGACTGAGTCCACCATTTTATCACATTGTCTTTGCTGGCTTAGTGCTGTTATTTGTTCCCTACACTCCAGCATTTCTTTATCCCTTTTGCATTCAGATAATTGATTTTGATGGAATATTTCCCCAGGTCACTCTTAGCCAGCAAAGAATAACCGAGCTCTTGAAGAATGTTGGTATTTCCTTCCCCATTGTATTTTGCAAAGCCTTGGTGAAGGGAGTATCGAACTACCCAGAAAATATAGGCAGAAACTGTTAAGTAGATTTCACATGGTAAATCCACTTCAGGATTCTGATCTCCCTGAGACTGGCTACCTTCTTTCACATACCAAGGAAGTTCTAGCATTTCAACTTCATTTTACATTGGCCAACTTTGGGTCTTGGGTTTAGATAACTCACCACTCAAATGGAGATTCTTCTATCTGCTCAAGAAAATACTTTGAATGCAGAACCTCTCATTAGTGCAATCGTATGAATAAATTTGGCCTGATCCAGCCTTATTTCACCATAAACCAATATCTTTAGGCTAATTTCTATACATACCTAGCAAGTTTTTGTTTATACAAATTTTTAACATTTTGACATTATTTTGATGTATGTGGTGCATACTTAAAGGTCACATTTTGTATCTGATCCCTGAGTCCTCCCTGAACTTGAGTCTGGTTATAAGCCTAGAAGGAATGAGATGTATTGAGGGTGTGTCTTAAAGAGGTCAGTATTTCTCTGAAGGGGATTGACATTAGGAAATGTCATACAAGAAGAGAGTAACTTCCTTCGTCAGGAGAGAAAGGGTTGCATCTATTGCAAAAAGAGGCTACAGATGAAGATGAACTGAATATGGAGTCATGGAGTGGAGACAGGGTGGGCCATATCATGTGGTTTGGCTCTGTGTCCCCACCCAAATCTCATCTTGAATTGTAATCCCCACATGTCAAGGGAGGGACCTGATGGGAGATGATGGATCATGGGGTTGGTTTCCCCCATGCTGTTCTCATGATAGTGAGTGAGTTCTTATGAGATCTGATGGTTTAAAAATGTTTGGCAGTTCTCTCTCTCAGTCTCTCTCTCTCTCTCTCTCTCTCTCTCTCCTGCCGCCATGTAAGATGTGCCTTGTCTCCCCTTTGCCTTCCTCCATGATTGTAAGTTTCCCCAGCCATGCAGAACTGTGAGTCAATTAAACCGCTTACCTTTATAAATTACCCAGTCTCAGGCAGTTCTTTATAGCAGTGTGAAAACGGACTAGTACAGCATGTCTGTCTGTCCATCACAACCTCTTTCAACTGCTCTCTCTGACTGCAAAGGTCTTCTAAAAGTAAGAGTCAGTGCTTCACTTCCACCTTCCAAATCTGATACCAGTTAACGTATTGGTCACTTCTAATCTAGAATTGTGGAGGGAAAGAGGTTCTGGAAAAGAGTTTCCAAGTTAACAACATGAAAACATCACAGTCTAGCAGAAGGTCCAAATCTTGGTCTCTGGGCAATCCTTTATAGGCTAGGTAGATTCACGAGGATGCGCTGAAAGAAAAAGTAACAATCTCAATACCCCAACATAAAACTAAACAAGGAAACTCAGGGAGGAGAGTTTCTCTGCTGATGAATCATCATATGGCTCCATAGACTTTAACCTCAACTACGTCCTTGTTTCTCTTTTATTAATTATGCAGAATTAGAACATTGTCACTTAAAAATAATCTTTGACTATGTTTTGGTCACTACACATGTAAGAAAATACTTTCTCAGGTTGTTAACACACATACTATGGTCAGTGCGTCTGGTCTACAGACAGAAGAGGTGGTCTGGGATTGGCTGACACCATATACAACTGCTAAGAGTGCTAAGTTGCTATTTAAGATTAAAATACCCAGTTTAAAATACACACACACACATACACACTCTTTTACTCATGTAAGGCAGCTTATTAGATTGAAAATCAGAATAATTTCCTAGTAGAAAGAGTGATATGTAATTTTAAACATTTTGAATGGCAAATTCCAAGTTTTATCATGTACTGTACATATTTATGTGAGTACTAAGCATCTTGAAACAGGCCTCATCAACTACATCATATGTATCTAACTTGAACATATTACAATACTTGACATATATTAGATAATAAATTATTCTTAGAGGCATGACTGAATAGATGAAATATGGAATCATTAAGGCAGATGAAAGATGAACTCTGTAAGCCTGGAGAGATTTGTTGTTGCAGTTGGTGTTGGTGGTGTTGGTAGTGGTAGTGTAGTGGTTTTTTTTTCTTTCAAACAATACCCATTTTCTCACTCTAGAGATATTCTGGTGAACCACCAGAGCAAGAAAATAACGTTGGAAACTACTGACCCATAGGCATTTTAAGATGATACTTTCTATGTAACATCTTCTTTAACCTTCATACAAAAAGCCCAGGTTTTCTCTGCTCTTGTTAAGGGTATTCAAGATTACCTTAAATTAAGTGGTACCAAATCAGAACTTCCCCTTTTACTAAATATATCTAAATTTCTCTTTGTGAGAAAAATTTTTGATGTGTCTTTTCTATATTTGTTTACTGCGATCTCCTTGTGTAATAACCTTCTACTTTTGACTTTATTTTTATTTTGTAACGTTCTTTTTAAAAATGTTCCAAAGGAGGTTATTTAATTTCTCTGCAGACTGTGGTTTCATACTGTAGCTAATATAAACCAGATACTAGAAAAGATAATAATACATACTGGAGTATAATGATTTAGTGTGCTTTTTCCCCTGTGTTTGCATGTTTGCAAAGATTTAAAGCAGTATTCGCAATGTACTCTTACCCCTTTCATCCATATCTCTTTTCTGCATTCCTTCATTTTTTCATGGAAGGTGTTTTCCTTTTTCTTTAAAACAAGACTTTCCCTGCCACACTGCATACTCTGGAAGAAATTGGGGTTTTCTCTTCTTGTTCATCCTTGCAAGTTTCCCTCTGTACTTTCCAGTTTCCCCTTTCTCGTAGTAATTGTGATGCAGGATGAGCACACCCCTTTCCCGACCTTCTCTCAAATGATTTCTTTAAGCTGCAGTGCACCTTTCTGTGGAAGAGGGGGCTAAGGAGTCACACCCCCACATTCACCTGAAAGATATTAGATGGCTATCTTTACAGTATTGCTGTTGTCATACTTTCAGAAAAAAAAAGCTGTGTACAGATCTTTACTTGAGTCTTTTTGGTCTCGTATAGATGCAAATTAACTTTTCTATTCTGCTTCACTTCAGTGCAACTAGTTACAAGAAGCAGTAATACCACAGTGACCTGATTTCAATAAGTAACTGTGAGCAGGTTAAGTAAACCTGAATAATGACCACTTTGCTCCTTGAAAGATGTCAGTTTTTTAAAATTTTGTAATACTTATGTTAATAACTGCACACATTTTCCCATCATTTTTTAGTAAACTATATAATACTTCACTATTACAGAATGTGCTCTGGTAGTTCATCACTAAAGGAAATATAATTGGAAGCAATTGATTCATTAAACAAAATCCTGTAGGATTCTGAGTCTATGAAGTTTTCCCCCAAAAATAGACTAATATTTGAAGAAGGGCACAGTTGAATGCCTTTGGCTGCAGCAACTTTCTATTTTAAACTTACTAGGTTCTTCGTTTTCTGGTCAGTGTATACTGGTTAGTGTATATCTGTTTGGTTGATGGCAGTAATGTATGTATATATTAGACTGTCTTATTATTTAGTCTTTTGTCCTGCCTTCACTGCTTGCCAAGAACTATTGATTGCATTGCTTATTCCTCATATCTGAAACACTGAGTCATAGCTTTGGTTCCTTGTAAGTAGCCGTTACTTTGTTTGCTTCTTGGGTAGCACACTTCCTCTTATTCTGTACAATATCTTATATGTCAAAATTAGATGACAATGGCATTCCGAAGTAAATACATCATGAGTATTTTTTTCAAACAAATATCTACTAATGTTATATACTATGAACAAGAGAGGCATAGTCTCTTGACATAATCTGTGCTTGTGCACAAGTCATTGACATTTGTGACAGGCTAAAACAAAATATTATATACACTAAAAAACAAATCTAAACATCCTCTTTTTCCTTCTTGTTTGAAATCCAAATCTACAGTTCAAACTTAAGCTGAGAATAACTTATTTCCACTAGTTATACTTTAAGCTGTAGACATATTAATAGGTGGCAGTGATTCTGGGCTAGAGTAAACATAGATAGAGAACAGATAAGTCTTTTAAGATAAACTGAATCACTCTAATAAAATATTAAATAGCACATGTGAATCTCCCCAGATAATTTTTCATTGAAAATTCATAACAAGTTCTGTTGCTTCCTAAAGGCTACCTGAACACATCATGAAAATTCTATAGATCAGAGTGCAATGAAGTAAGAGTAATAACCACTGACTAGAGAAACTTGTAGAATAAATCTATTTAATTGCATATTTAAGATGAGCTTGGCTTCTGTGTGGGGGGAGCAGAGCTGAATGCCCTATCACAAACCCAATAGCGCCAGTGTCAGTGAGCTGTGTGAGTTGTCTCTATGGGTTGTAAATTGGATCCCCTCAGTGACCAGTTAATGTTTTCTGTATTTACGGCAGTATTTCTGTTTTTCACAGCCACCAGGGTACTTTGGCAACATAAAAATTTAAAAATAATTTTTAGCAATCATACCGTGCCAATTTTTTATAGTTAAAGGGGCTCATTTAAATTGGAAAACCTGCTAGTCTGAAATTTTCATCTGAAGGATTACCACCAGCCAGAGCTACTTGTCTGATGAGGGTTTCACATGGCTTATCTAATGTGAAATCTCCCATGTGGTATATAGTTTCATTAAACGGTGATCAAGAATACATTAGTTCAAAACAAGAAAAGGCAATGGAGCTTAATCCGCCAGGCATCTTGGCGCAACAACTTTAAAAGAGTTATTGAAGTGAAACAATTTGAGAATTAAAAGTCTTCCACTTATACAAGACTCCTGTCAAAAGCCTAAAAGTCAGCCTTTCCTTTTTCTGTTCTCTGTTTATATACCACAACAAAAAAAGAGCCCCTGAAACAATATTTTGACTGTTGTAAAGCCAATAAAATGCATATATCGGTGAAATAACCTAATCCTAATTTAAAAACCAGATTTATCAAGATAGAAAAATAAAGTAACTGGTAGATAATGTAGAAATAAATAGAAAAATAAATTCTTTAGAGAAAAAGGTAAGAAACAAGTATTGGTGTGATGTAATAAAAACTGAGATTCATATAGCCTATGTTTATGTTTTAAAAACAATAGTATTAGCTCCTCTTACTTAAGAATTGATCATTAAACCAAACGGTCACATTGCAAATATACTTTTTAAAGAGACATTGGGATATATTTATGATTATATATGAATATAAGACAAATGTTAATGATTTTCCATTTTAATGTATAGAAATTCACAATAATGTTAAATGATTTTAGAGTTACACTTTTTTATATATCTCAGTAATGTATAATAGAGCAATAACTAAATGTAAAATTAATTTGACTTGTCATGTTGACATATATAGTGAGAGACTATGCATACATTCCTTTGATCTAACTAATCATTTTCATCTATTAGCACTTGATGAAAAATGTATTAGCTTATGTCAGGAAATTTCAACTCCCAGCACCAAAGATTTGAAAGATTTCTCAACATGCTTTAGCACACAATATAAAGAGTGAGATTTTAAAAATGTTATTACAAGTATATTTTGAAGAGTTTGAAATTTGTTATATTGAAAGATAGTATAAAAGACAGACTTATAATTTGATTTTTTAAAATGTAATCTTATTGTAGTACTTTAGAAAAATTACAATCATCTGAATTTAAAAGATCAGCTTCTGGAAATATCTGCCACTAAATACTTATTTTTCTACTTGTTATTCAGCTTGGATTTAAAGATACTATAAAGTGCATACTTCCCTACATTTCTCCACCAGTGTATTTCAGCCTTAGTCTTGAAGGAACTGTGTCTAATGGTGTAAAGATATTTCAGGTTATGTATTATTTAATCTGAGTTCTCTTGTGAAAAGTGATATATTCCATGATAAAACTGAGAGTTATAAACATTTTTTAAAATCTCAAACAATATGTGTCAGCTATTTTGCATTTTTTTACCTTTTTCTTGCAAGTCACAATGATACAAAGTAAAAATTTCTTTTATATATAAGCTTCACATTTTGGGGATTTTTTATTGTGGTATAAGGTGCTGTAATTATGATGTTCCCTTATTACACGGTATGGTGTTTGCCACTAAGGAAAAATGTTATAACTTAAGAGATTTTATGATTAGTGACTTTTTTTCTTAATATGTCATTTGCATATACTTCCCTATTTTGTTGTTGTTAGGTAGCCTTTGAAAGAAATTAATAAAGTTTATGTAGTTGGCAGCAAGTATAGCAACACAGAATTTAGGCACTCCCTAAATTCAATCAGAGTTTAGATAAAACACAGACTATATTAATGTATGGGCACTGTTATAACCTCTATTAATATAGTTGAAAGCCGTCAAGCACCACTGATTCTCAGAAACATAAAAAAGTTTGTATTAAAAATCACTGAACAGTACAAAAGTGGGAACAATACATATAAATTAAATTCAACGCTCAACTTTATAAAACACCTTTCTTTATAAAAGATGGCACATGTTTGCATGCATTTCATGTTGTAGTAAATAAAGGTTTTTAACTGGGAGTACTCAGATGCTTATTGTTTATTTGACAATTTATCTTCTTAGGTTAAAAGATTATGAATTTTTACCCAAAACACAAATGTCCTTTTATTTTTATAGTTTTAGGGGGCCCTTTTAAAGGAAGTTAGTATAAGAATGGCAGTATTTACTGTTGTCTGCATTTGAGTGGTTCACAGCTGAGCACTCCTCTTGTGTATTCAGTGACAAATGGCAATCACTTTATCATTTATCTTATGACAAATAGCAGATTCAGCCACAAACTGCTGGCCATAGCAAACTTACAGGATGAAGTTCTTTATTGTTTATGGTTTGTGGGTTGATGTATTCATGCCTTGTTTATTTGTGAAATGCAACAAAAATCAGTAAGCAGGCATGAACAGAAATTTGGCCACGCAATCAATTGTACTTTTTTTCCTCCAGTCTTCCAAGGACCTTACAAGGAAATTCGCTGAACTAGGTCTAAGCTATAAGCTGCCTTTAGAAAAAAAAAGTCATTAGAGGATGCACCAAATTGTGACATTATGCCCTTAAGCCAAAATAACATTGAATGGAGTTCCTACCTCGCATTAACCTCCTGAATAAGGGTCTTAAATTTGATAGCAAGCTATTGTCATAGACAAGTGGCATAGGCCAAGAGTAGAAGGAAATTACCCCATACTTTCACAATTTAAGCAATACATTAAAGTTTTTATTTCTTGTTTTGTATAGCTAAAGGAAATTTGCAAAGCAACTTTGTACAGCAATGTAAATTGTACCTGAATTGCATATACCAACTGTTTTGTGATGGCATATGTTCTTAGGTTTGTTGCTAATGTAGCTTATATAATTGATATATAAGGAAATATTGAAGTAGGTCACATTCTGTGACATGTTTGAGATTAAAATATGTGACACTGGACAATAACAATAGCACATTTTTAAAATTGTAGCAACACATAGACAGAAAAATGTAATTTTTATTCTAAGTCTATTTCTTCCAGGATGTCTTTGAGAAATTTAGTATGACTCATTGGATTATATTTTATAATTAGCATACCTTTAAAATCATTATGATATATTATACTGGATCTAATGAAATGTATCAAAATTACTGATCTGTTGAGTTAATAGTGAAAAAAATTACTAATAAAGGTAATCCAGTTAATAAAAAAGTATTAACATTGGGGGAAGATTTCTTCTTTTCTTTAAGGATACATGGATATAAAGAAGGACTTAGTTATACATAAATAGAAAAAATAAGATACCTATGTACAGTATGGAATCAAGTTTTGATATCTACACCACTAATACCAAATCAGCAAAAGAAAGTAATGCCTAAGATTTTGCCAATTTTCAAAACTCAGTAGGAAACTGTGATGTTTTAGGGTTAAATAAATGATGGACTCATTTAATAAAAATTTAATGTACGTTTATTTTCAAGTCATATTCTTAAGTGCTTTGCATAAAAGCTATTTGAATAGCCTCCAAGCAAATGTCTAAGTCCCATAATTTGGTGTTATAAAAAACAGATATTTGCAGCGTAATATATTTATCATTTATATCCTGAAAAACTTTCTGCCAGAAAAAAACAAGCCAAAAAAATTTTAAAAAAAGAAATCTGTCCCATTAATGTCCATGAAGTTTGTAGACTAGCGGTGTTAAAACTAATATTCTGAAAGGAAACTGAAGTTAGAGGTCCAGAAAAAGCTATTATGCAGCTCTGAGATTTGCATATGCTATCTGCTTGGCTCATCAGAGGTGAATGATAGTTTCCACTGCACTTAGTTACAAGCCAATCTAGATGCAGTTATTTGCATAAACAATTTGATTGGTAAACATTGCTCTATACCTCTGTGTTGAAAACTTTTGGGGGAAGAGACACTATTTTGCTATTTCTTTTTAAAATCACACTTGGGTTATATTTCCTTTGTGTTATGACAGAGAGAGACATTAGTTTGCTATTTCTTTTTAAAATTATACTTGGGTTATATTTCCTTTGTGTTATGGCAGAGAATAGAAGACAAAGAAGAATGATATACAGATAAAATTTGATCAAACAGATAATGCAACAAGAAGACAAAACATGGCTTTAAAAATATTATTTGAATTAAGACTAGTTAATAAAAGTATTTACTGAAATTACTCTGAAAAGAGAAAAGTTGTCAATAAACCCAGATCTATAATTCAACCATCAATATTTGGATAAATTTTTATGCTCTTTTTCTCTCTACATCTATATTTTTTACAAAACTGTAATGATTAACTTATAATTTTATACACATTTTTTCACTTAGCAGTAGATTATTTTCCATGCTACTATATGCTCCTTAAAACTATATATATAGTTTATATATATATAGTTTATATATATATAGTTTATATATATATATATAGTTTATATATATATATATATATATATATATATATTTTTTTTTTTTTTTTTTTTACTGAGTGCTTTAGTAGTCCATCAAGGAATAAATTCATTAAACAGTTCTGGAAGGACTAACACATGCCAGATATTGTTGAAAGTTGTATATAAAATTGTTATCACTATGATGCCGACTGCATTGAGCTTACAATCTAGACAGAAAAATGGAATGAGAAAAGAAAAAGTACAGGGTGATAAATGTGGGGTGCATTGAACAGTTCAAGAAGAAGCATCTAAATCAAAATAGGGGCCCATGGAGGTTTCACCAATAAGATGACTTTGATCTAAATTTTGATTTAAAATTTTTAAGAATATGTAGGAGCTAGCCAGGTAGAAACAGTATATGATAGAAATTTGGAAAGCACTTATTGACAAAGATAACAGTGCAATTGAAAACATGGTTTATCTCTGAATAGACCAGGTCAGCCAAAAGTAAAAGTCAGCATGGCCATGTAGTGGGAGACCTTCGTGTACGGAGCTGCAAATGGCACTGGAAACTAAATCTGAACATTATCCTGAAAGGAAAGAGAAGTGAGTCCAGGGTTTTAAGGTGCTAATGGATACACCCATTCTGACTCTTTATAAAGAGGATGACTGTCAGCAGTGTGAAGACTGAATTGTGATTGGAATGTGTTTGGAGACAGGAATACAGATGGGAGATTCTTACGGTAATCCAGGCTTAAAGTAATATTTCAAGAGAGGCAGTGAGAATGGGGATAAATAAAGAGAAGAAAGGAACATTTTGAGAGAAAATTAATGGGATTTGCTGAAACCTTAGTCACTAATTGGATGTGGGAACTGGTGGGACAGAGGAGTTGAGGATAAGTCTCAGGTTTCTAGCTTATGAAACCGGGTAAGTGACAAATGCCTTTTACTAAGAGGAAGAGCACCTGTGACGGAGAGGGGATTATGAGTTTAGTTTTGAAAAGATTGGGTTGGGTTGTCTGTCCCATCTAAGCAGAGATGTAAGATGTTGATACATCTCTGGATCCTAGGGACAAATATTGCATTGAAGTTTTGGGAAGCATTTGCATATGGTGTTATTAAAGTATCAAAAAAAAGTCCACTGAGAGAAGTGAGAGCAGGTTGCTAAGGGTACAGAGGAATTTGCGGAGCACTCATATTTCATGAGAACATAAGAATTTCATGAGCATGAACATTCAGAAGATCATATGAGAAGTTGTGGGAAAAAAGGAAGAAAACCAACCATCAGGCAAAGTAAAAAAATGGTTTCTACAGAAAAGGAGTAGTCAAACATGTCAAATAATGCAGAAAAGTAAAAGATACTAGAGATAATTAATAGATCATAGTTAAGAAGTTTGACAAAGTGGTGGAGGAAGAAGCCATATTTCAATGTGCTGAAAAGAAACTAGAAAGGTAGACAAATTCATTATAGCTTATTCTTTCAAAAGCATAGATTGTGTTAGAAAGAGGGAAATTAGTCGACAGAAATAGAGTAAAGGGACTTTTTTAAGGTGGGGGCACTTGAGCCTGCTTATTTGCCAAGGAGAAAAAACTAATAGAGGAAGAAATGTTAATGTGTTTTACACGAGCAAAGGAGATGTTTCACAAAGCCAACTCCCCAAGGATGCAGAATGGAATTGGAACACACAGAGTCCTGGCAGAAGCACTAACCTTGGTTAGAAAGGATAGAGAAGAAAGGTGGCAGATAAGATGGTTTTTTATTTAATTTTTAATTTTAATTATTTTATTTTATTTTACTTTAAGTTCTGGGATACATGTGCAGAACGTGCAGGTTTGTTACATATGTATACCTGTGCCATGATGGTTTGCTGCACGTATCAACCTGTTAAGCCACGCATGCCCTAGGTATTTGTCCTAATGCTCTCCTTCCCCTTTCCCTCAACCCCCTGACAGTCCCCCGGTGTGTGATGTTCCCCTCCCTGTGTCCATGTGTTCTCATTGTTCAACTCCCACTTATGAGTGAGAACATGCGGTGTTTGGTTTTCTGTTCCTGTGTTGGTTTGCTGAGAATGATGGCTTCCAGCTTTATCCATGTACCTGCAAAGGACATGAGTTCATTCAATAAGATGGTTTTTAAATGAGGTGAGTTCAATCTTTAAATAAGAAAATGAAAATATTGTAAAGTCAGAGATTTAGTGAAGAGGTTTATTGTTGAAAAGTATAAGTGAGATGTGGCTGGCTGAAAACATAGACGAAGCATTGAGGAAACAGATTCACTTATAGACCTTGAATGTGTAGTAGTAGCAGCAGGTCATTTTCTCCTATGTCAACAGCTCAAATTTAAAAGAAAACTCTTATTTTTTAAAAAAAATTCAGAGCTGGAATTTTGTAGATTGCTTGAGACCTAAACACAAATATGAAACAAAAAGTGTACTGAAGACAGTACACTGTAGTAATTGAAATGATAGAGTTGGTATCTAAGGAGGATAGGAAGGAAAAGAAAAGCAAATTTGCTAGTAAATGGAAAATACAGAGTAAAATCATAAGAGAACTTGTACCCAGATAAGTGAAGATATTTGTCTTCTAGTGAAAGAGGGGGAAAAATGGCTGTGAAAACCTAAATGTGGTGGATGGAGACAGGAGAAGCTAAGACAGTTCTCACCTTAAAGTTCTTATTTACTGAGTGAAATATAGAGAGTAAATCTCTTGATGGGCCCAGCAAATAAATCACAAAATATGATAGTAAGAGAAAAATATTATAGTTACAAAATGGGATGATTGGTTTAAAATTTCAGAAGTGGGACATTTTGGGGTTGCACAAATGGGTGTGTCAATGAGTTCAGGGGGTTACAGAGCTATGGATATAATCTTTGAGGAAGCCGAAGCACTCTAAGAGTGTCAGACTGGACAACTCCATGGATGTTAAAATCATCCAAGATAATTTCACTATTTAAGGTGTAAAGAAGTCTTTAGCAAAAGTAGGAGAGTGACAATAAGTAAAAGTAAAATGAAAGGTTATCAGGTGTTATACCTGGATGGCATGATCTTTAAAGGAAGTAATACATAGGAAGCTGGAGGAGGGGGTGTGTGGAAGGGGAAATAAAAGACAAGAGAACACACCTGCCTACCTCTCCCTTAACTACATAGGTGTCCTGGTGGAGATGTAGATTTCAGTTAAAGAAAAAAAAATCAGTAGGAATGTTCTATGAAGAGTATGAAAAAGTGGAGAATTGATCAGAGAACAGAGGTTCCAGAAAAAGCAATAGACATTTTTGGATGGAAGGCAGTTGTAGAAGCAAAGTGTGTTATTCCAATGACAGTAAAGAGAGAATAGAGGGATAATGTCAGCATATGGGGTAGAGACCAGCAGAGACAGGGGTGTCACTGCCAGAGTCACAGGCTTTAAGCTTCTTTCTAAAGTCCTGAAACTCTAAAGCAAAATGCTGTCTGCCCACTTGGTAGCTTCACTTCAGCGGTTTAAGGCCAGAGAATAATCACTGTAGGTAGTCAAGGCATTGCAGTGGCCTCTGCTTAGTGTTTCAGATAGAAACCAACAAAGCACTGCCTCTGCGAAGTTCAAAAACAGATGAAAGTAGGCATTATTTTGGTGCTTCAGAGATATATGAATTAAAATCTGCAATAATGAGAGTTGGGCATGGAGGGGGACACCTGTAGTCCCAACTACTGGGAGGCTGAGGCGGGAGGATATCTTGAGCCCAGGAGTTGGAGACCAGCCTGGGCAACATAGCAAGAGCCCATCTAAAGAAAAAAAACCCCACAAAACTGCAATAACAACTTTATCTAGAAAAAAATGTTAAAAGGAGAACTAGAAGCTCAAGCAAACATAAGGGATTATTCTGGTGGAGGTTGACTTTAAGGTATTGGTTGGGACAAAAGAATTTGAAGACAGATTTTGTGTTAATGCTTCTATTCTCATCAATACATAAGCAAAGAAGGATACAATAATGCGAAACAGAGGCCAGGTGCGGTGGCTTACGCCTGTAATCCTAGCACTTTGGGAGGCCGAGGCGGGCGGATCATGAGGTCAGGAGTTAGAGACCAGCCGCCAACATGGTGAAAACCCATCTCAACTAAAAATACCAAAAAAAATAAAAAAATAAAAAAATAAAAAATTAGCCGGGTTGTAGCAGGCACCGGTACTCCCAGCTACTTGGGAGGCTGAGGCAGGAGAATCACTTGAACCTGGGAGGCAGAGGTTGCAGTGAGCTGAGATCACGCCACTGCACTCCAGCCTGGGACATAAGAGTAAGACTCCATCTCAAAATAATAATAATACTAATATGAAACAGGAATTGTTGGTTAATGAAAAGAAAAAAGAAGGAGAGATAAGGTTACTCCTATTATTGCTGTAGTTTGGGATATAATAAAGATAGGAAAATGAAGAAGATAGGATTTTTTTAAAGAAAGTATTTGTTCTTATATAATTTGATAAAATCAAGACTATGAAACCAAATGAAAATGGAATGGCGTTGACATTTACTCTCCTCCTTCTTAAAATAAAGGATTTGTCTTATCCTCAGGTGGTTTCTATGCTGGGGTTTCAGAAGTGTCTCATGTGATGACCTATCTTTGGTCAGTGTCCTCTTTCAGTTCTCTCTGTTCACTATTCCAAATCTCATCCTCTGTCCTCATTCATAGTCCTTGGGAAGCTTCTATAAATAATATAAATATAACATTTAAGAGCCCATGCTCTGGAATCAAATGGACTCATTTCAAGTGTCTGTTATTTAACTTTGAATGTGGTGGATCTTGGACAATTAATTTAACTTCTGATATGGTTTGGATATTTGTCCCCACCCAAATCTTATGTTGAAATGTAATCCCCAGTGCTGAAGGTGGGGCTTGATGGGAGGTATTTGGGCTATAGGAGAAGAGCCCTTATGGCTTGGTGCTGTCTTTGCGACAGTCAGTAATTTGTTACAAGATCTGGTCGTTTAAAAGTACCTCCTGCCGACTCTCTCTCTGTTGCTCCATTCTCACCGTGTGACGTACCTGCTCCCCCTTTGCCTTCCACCATGATTGGAAGCTTCCTGAGGCCTCCTCAGAAGCAGATGCCACTGTGCTTCCTGTACAGCCTGCAGAACCGTGAGCCAATTACATCTCTTTTCTTATAAATTACCCAGTCTCAGGTATTTCTTTATAGCAGTGCAAGAATGGCCTAACACAACTTCTCCGTGTCTTAATATTATTCTCTGGTAAAAGCCAATTGTAAATCTCCTTACTTAGCCATGATAAGCGCTTTTCAAGGATTATCACTTTTACTCTAGTCTTTTGATTTGACTGTAAAACTCGAGAATACAGGAAAAATGCTAAATGATGTGAGGAGAAAGTTCCAGACGAACCCAGGACACACTGAAGAGAGAACTCTGTATACCAAGTGTTCTCATCAATGCAAGACAAAGGAAGGACAGTCACGGCAGAAGCTTTAGCTAGAGAAGGCAAAGATACATTAGGAGACTGACGCAAGGAATATTTCTGCCCTTTTCATGAAATTCAGAACCAGACTTGGAGAAAACATAGTAACAATGAGAATGCTTATGCAGGAAACATTAACTTTAGAAGTTGCTCTAACTTTAAGGAAAAAAGCATAACAAGAGCCCTAAGAGAGGACATCTGTTCTTTTTTATGGCAGCTTTTCTTTTTATCCAGTGACTCTTTAAAGCCGTGGCACCTGTAGTTTTGAAACTTTTGAGGAAGGTCAAAATAGCATTGCTCATAAAAATCCTACATGCTTTGTAGAAGGAAAATAGCAAGTAATTAGAAGTTTCTATAAAACTGAATGCAAGCCAGGCACAGTCTCATGCTTGTAATCCCAGCACTTTGGGAGGCTGAGGCAGGCAGATCACTTGAGCTCCGGAGTTTGAAACTGGCCTGGACAACATAGTGAAAACCCGTTTCTACTAAAAATACAAAAATTATCCAGGCATGGTAGCCTGCACCTGTAGTCCCAGCTACTCAAGAGGCTGAGGTGGGAGGATTACTTCAGCCCAGGAGGAAGAGGCTGCAGTGAGCCAAGGTCATGCCACTGCAATCCAGCCTGGTCAACAGAGCAAGACCCTGTCTCAAAAACAAAAACAAAAACTAAATGCAACTCTAAAATATTGCAAGGATTTTATTTTAAACAGTGCAATCAAGCAGAGCTGTACATAATGACCATTATTAGAAGATCAATTTGACATCCTCTGAAGAAGCATAAAATTATGATACAGGAAGGATATATATCAGTTATTAAAAATCATGGATTTTTCTTACAAGATAGAAAGACCTAAATGTGTACATTTCTTCATAAGTGAAAGAATTATGCATCCTTCATTAAAAACAGCAAAAACTTGAACAATTTGGAAGCAGCATGTTTTGTTAAATAGATTTCAATATAGAACAAATTTTGAAAACACCCACCAGAAGCCATAGATCTTCCAGAAAACAAAAATATAAACAAAATACAGTTGAACGAAGATAAGCATAATAAAAATAAAATACTATCTAAAAGCACCAGGGTTATATGAGATGTTCCTAGAGTGGTAAGGCCATGAGATTTGTTCATAGTAGAATGTCCCTAGTAAGGTTTTAACGGTTAGGAAATAGCATGCCTAATGTATTTGAAAACTATATAATTATAAATATAAATGTATAAACATAATTTTTTCATGATTATTATAGCTTTGATTCAAGCTATCTTTAAGTATTTTTTGTTTAATTTGCATATTATATATTTTACATTTAAAAATTCATTTTACGTATATTTATTTAACTCTAAATATATAATGATTGTATTTTAAGGCTATCTGAATTATACATTTTCCAGGGACAGGAGATTTTTGTCAACTACTTACATAAAATATAAACAGCTCTGAAGTCAAGGACAGGTATATTCAGAAAAAGGATATCAAGTGGTATTAATTGTATTTTAAAATGGTCTTTTGTTTTAAAAAGAATTGGCTGGGCGTGGTGGCTCACACCTGTACTCCCAGCATTTTGGGAGGCCGAGGCAGGTGGATCGTCGAGACCAGCCTGATCAACATGGTGAAACCTCGCCTCTACTAAAATACAAAAATTAGCCAGGCATGGCAGTTTGTGCCTGTAATCCCAGCTACTCAGGAGGCTGAGGCAGGAGAATTGCTTGAACCTGGGAGGTGGAGGTTGCAGTAAGCCGAGTTCGTGCCACTGCACTCCAGCCTGGGTGACAGAGCAAGATCCCATCTCAAAACAAAACAAAACAAAAAACAAAAAACAGAATTTTGGCATGAGTAAATAGAAGTTGTTTGAATACCAAAAGTAAAACCGAAGTTTCGCAAATATAGCAAATTCAATTCATTGCCAGGCACTAACCTTGGCATTGGGAACACAGGAAACTAAAGAAATATTGAGCCAATTTAGGAGTATTTCCTCAGCTCCTCTCTATGCAGAGACACACTGTTCCTCTACACATTTGCTCCAACAGCATGTCAACTGTTACCCCAGCATAGCTAGGTGCTGAGGTGTTTGGTTCCTCTATAATTTACAGCACAGGCAATTGCAGGAATTGTCAAAAACACACTCTCTATAGCTACGATCTCTTTGGTCAAAACTGCGATTCAGTAATCCATTCTTTTAGGTAATATAAAATCTCTTCTTGAATTAAATCAGACCAGCAGAAAGCTATTTCTGATCCCGTATTATCTCTTCTCTATAGAATTACTTACCTTGAGGGTCACTGTAAGAAATGGCTCTGATGAAGCTCATTGTTGTGTTCACTATAAAGAGGATGTTGTCCATTAAATTCACAATACCTACTTTAGGACCAGAAATTTTTGTCAGGTGTAAGTATCAGGAAGAGTGAATAGGATTTATTCTGCACCTTCTGTTTGTTTGATCTCAGGGGCACTGAATTGACCAGGTTTCCCTTTTAATAGTGTCTGCTAGGATATGTAGGCTTATACTCGTTATTTGCTTTCAGGAAGTAGATAGGTCTATTTTATGGCCCATGCTTATCTATTGCTCTTTTATTTTTCCTCAGCTGGTTTAAGTATATTTTTTCAGTTGTGTTTGTTCACAAATAAATTTCAATCCTGTCTCAGGATGGAGTAGGAAAGGGAAAAAAAGCAAAAACAGATTCTCTATATGCAAAATCCTGTAATCCAGAAATGAGTGGAAAAGGAGTCTTTCTCCAGGTAACCTATAGCATGGATAAGTAATACATAGAGAAACCATAACATAAAGCAGAAACAGTATTTTTTTCTAGAAAATAATGTGCTACTATAAGATGAATAAAGTTGTTATAAGAATGGCCAGAATAACACAATGGATTATTAATAAACTGAAAACATCTATTTAATTGGTTCTCTTGTCAAGCCAAGAAATAAAAAAATCCTCTGCTTTTAGGATAGAAAAACTTGAGCTAGTTAAGTGGTTTTTGTATGTGACATAAAATTGATATTAATTTTGTAACAATATGGCTATTTTATTTATTTCTATCAATTTATATTTATATCACTTAAACTATTTGTAATTTTAACATGTAATTATTTATTAAAGTCATTATTTTTCTATTAACCAATATTTTACACAATATGTATACAGTGATAGGATTTACCCCACGGCTGATATCATTATATTTATGCTGTATATATAACACCCAAGTATTTCAAAAGCTGTAGTTACATATTTTAAATTGCACTTTCCAGAGTAATTACTTCATTTTGTGATTATTTCGTTTTAATAAGTTCCTTTAATAAGTTCTAAATAATAAGTTATTTAGTTTTAATAAGTTCTTTTGGTTAAGAATCCAAAAGAACTTCAAAAGAAATATGCCCCTCTTAAATCAGAACAAGAAAACAGAAACATTTATGCTTATAGATTTCACAGTCTTTCTTGTTAGCCTATTCCAATAATTTATAAACAGGAACTTAACACAGAGGCTCTGGGTTACACAGAGCCTTAAACTCCCTGAAACCATATACTTCTTGCTTAGATTACAAGAGTAGCTAGAGAAGGACGTCTTCCTGAAGAAACATTACATGGCTTTTCTTACCCTTCTACAAAGTGAAGGAGCCATTTCACACACACAACACATACACACACACACACACACACACAAATGCCTGGGATATACCACAAAACATGACATCTTTGAACTTAATGAATTTCATGGCTGGTATTGGTTTTGAGGAAGAGAGATCAGCTGGTATATGTGGCAGCAGAGATTGAGAAAACTGAGGAAGGTCTTGCTTGCTATGTAAGCTGGTGATGAATATTGTCTTTGTGCAATGATACGTAGAGGTGGTACCTAAAGTGACCACCCAAAGAAACCAAGTCACATTCAATAATTGAATTGAAAATGATAATACTGGCTTTTGTTTTCTAATATAATCAAGCCATTATATGTTCCTATACTACAAGCACAGAGCATTTTTTTCACTATTCTAAAGCTTAAAATCTGACATGTATAGACAGGAAACAGCACACTGGTATCTAGCCTTTCAAACAGAAATTTTTATAAGAATTTTAAGTAAAGAGTTGGCATCTGACAGAAGGAATATAAAAGCTCATGATATTCAACCACCCCTCTGTATTATATTTTAGTGTAACCCTGAATTTATTATTTCTGTCAACTTTCTAATTTTTGTTTTTGGGTAATAGACCAAGAATAGATTTTTAGAGAATGGCACTTGAAGTTAGTGACATGAAACTTGAGCCTTTGCCTCCTGGTTATAGAAGCAGAATTTTTTTCTAGTGACCCACCACATTCTGTACTTACACAGTCTTTAAGCATTTCCAACCAGCCAAATTTTTCTATTATCAAAAATCAGTTAACTGCATGATTTACTCAGGCTGATTTCACTAGCTTAAATCTCCCAGTAAAATGTATCCCTAAGAGGAATGAATTGTTAAATTAGCTGAAATTGCACTTTTGAGAAACTGAAACAGGTGTGATTTGAATGCACATTTTACTTAGGTTATAATGCCTGATAGAGAAAGAAACTTGAATAACTAAAAAGAGTGTATTCTCTTTGCAAATTTCCGTAACTTACCTGCAGTTTTAGATATGTGGCCAAATGGTCTGTTTTGATTCAGTGACAATTGAAATGCTTCAACGTATTGGGCAATGGCCACTGCCTGTCTATCCAGATGTTAAAAAAAAAAATTTACCCTTGTAATGTAAGATAATCATGTACTCTAAATACACTGAACAATAGCTGTCAAAAACCATAACAGGATGTAGGCTGAGAAATTTGATAAACACTACTTAAATATTTGAATAACTGAATTGTAAGCAAAACTTTTTAACTGGGCTTATTTTATCTTTTGCAATTATGAAACTATTTTGGGTCCAATTAAGTTCTGTCAGCTCAAAATATTTTACAAACTAAGAGTAGTTATTTGTAAATAATAATAGAGCTCTGCATTCTAATCATTTACACCGTTAGGACATATTACTAAGTAAGTTCGGGTTAAACACAAAACTGTACATTCCTAAACATCTCAATCAATATGGTAGTTGTATTCCTAACTCATACTTCAAATGCTCTTAGTTTTATAACAAACTGCTTACTTTAACTTCATGTTTTTGGATTTTAAAAATTTATTTTTATTAACAGTTTTATTTGATTTTGTATAAACAAATTAACAAAGGACTGATTTTTTTAGATTGGAAAAAGTATTTTTTAACTTGTTTGCAAGTATTTTCTCTACTGCTACAAAGACAGACACATAAACCAATGGAACAGAATAGAGAGCCCAGAAATAATGCTGCACACCTACAGCCATCTGATCTTCGACAAAATAGACAAAAACAAGCAATAGGAAGACGACTCTCTATTCAACAAATGGTGCTGGGACAACTGGCTAGCCATATACAGAAGATTAAAACTGGACCCCTTCCTTACATCATATACAAAAATTAACTCAAGATGGATTAAAGACTTAAATCTAAAACCAAAAACTATAAAAACCCTGGAAGATAACCTAGGAAATACCATGCTGGACATAGGACCTGGCAAAGATGTCATAACAAAGATGCCACAAGCAATCGCAACAAAAACAAATATTGACAAATGGGACTTCATTAAACTAAGGATATTCTGCACAAAAGAAACTATCCACAGAGTAAACAGACAACCTATAGGATTGGAGAAAATATTTGCAAACTATACATCCAACAAAGGTCTAATATCCAAAACCTATAAGGAACTTAAATACAAGAAAAAAATACCCATTAAATGTTGGCAAAGTACATGAACAGACACTTTTATTATTTATTTATTTATTTATTTATTTATTTATTTAGAGACAGAGTCTCACTCTCTCACCCAGGCTGGAGTGCAGTGGTGCAATCTCAGCTTGCTGCAACCTCCACCTTCCGGGGTTATGCAATTCTCCTCTCTCAGCCTCTCAAGTAGCTGTGATTACAGGTGCATGCCACCACGCCCGGGTATTTTTTTTTGTATTTTTAGTAGAGACAGGGTTTCACCATGTTGGCCAGGCTGGTTTTGAACTCCTGACCTCAAGTGATCCACCTGCCTCGACCTCCCAAAGTGCTAGGATTAGAGGTGTGAGCCACTGCATCCAGCTGAACAGGCACTTTTCAAAAGAAGACATTCATGTGGCCAACAAGCATATGAAAAAAATGCACAACATCACTAGTCATTAGAGAAATGTAAATCAAAACCACAATGAAATACTGTCTCATACTGGTCAGAATGGCTGTTACTAAAACATCGAAAAATAACATGCTGGTGAGGTTGTGGAGAAAAGGGAATACTTATGCACGGCTGGTGGGACTGTAAATTAGTTCAGCCATTGTGGAAAGCAGTTTGGCAATTTCTCAACTTAAAATAGAATTACCATTTAACCCAGCAATTCCATTATTGAGTATACATAAATCACTCTACCATAAAGACACATGCATGCATATGTTCATTGCAGCACTATTAACAATAGTAAAGAGATGGAATCAACCTAAATGTCCATCAGTGGCAGACTGGATAAAGAAAATGTGATATGTATTCACCACGGAATACTATGCAGCCATTAAAAAATAATGAGATCACGTCCTTTGCAGCAACATGAATGGAGCTGGAGGCCATTATCCTAAGCAAACTAACACAGGAACAGAAAACCAAATACTGCATGCTTTCACTTATAAGTGGGAGCTAAACATTGAGTACATATGGACACAAGAAAGGAACAACAGACATCAAGGCCTACTTGAGGGTGGAGGGAGGCAGGAGGGTGAGGATCGAAAAATTACCTATCAGGTACTATGCTTATTACCTGAGTAACAAAATAATCTCTTCATCAATCCCTGAGACAAGTAATTTACCTATATAACAAACCTGCACATGTATCTCTGAACCTAAAAGTTAGAAAATCAAATCAGACCAGTATGAATTTTTACGTAAAAGTCAGCTACAGGCCAGCGTAGTGTGGAACACATGTGCTAGTTTAATTTGGCTTCCATAGTCATGAAAATAAATAGGTATTACTGATAGAAAGATGATGGGGACAGAGAGGTGAAAATGAATGTCTATTTGATTTGGATTTGTATTATCTCCTTTAGGTGTTAATGTTACTGAACCTTGTCATTCACCAATAGCACCACAACTCTTTCCTTATAGACACCTAGTAGGGAAACTATTCCCTGAAAAACGAGTTTAAGGGCTCTAAGCTCTAGGCCATCCAATTGGGATCAGAGTTGGAATCTAGTGCCGTAGGGAGATTTTTTTCCTTTTCTCTAAGTTTCTATGTCATTCATTTGGCCAGAACCTCAATAAGCAATAAAATATTTTGTGACAAAGGGAAACAGTTATTTTTAATAATCGTTTTATTGTATATAAACATATTCAGAAAATACTGAATTTTTTAAAGATTTGAAAACAATATTTTTAACTTGTTACCAAGTGTTTTCTTTATTTGTTCAGTGTTGTCTGGACCAACAGTTCCTAAAGTGTGATCTATAAGCCCTTGGGGATCCATAAGACCCTTTCCAGAAGAAAGAGGGGGAGAGGAAGGACCTATAAACTATTTTCAAATAGTAGTAAGATATCTGTCTTTTTCACTCTGTTGACATTTGTGCTCATGGTGTAAAAACAATGGTGGATACAACTGCTGATACCTTAATATAAACCAAGGCAGTGGTGCCAAAAGTACTCACTGTGTTTCTCACTGCCAGGCACTTGTATGGTGAACTGTAATTAAGAGTTTAGTTGTTGTTGTAAATATTAGGTTGGTGCAAAAATAATTGCTTTTTTTTCCATTGAAAGTAAAATAAAATTGATATTAATTGCATTAAATCTCAACACTTTAGTACATATTCTTTGTGATGAATTGTGAAGTACATTTAAAACAGTTCTGCTGCACATCAAAGTAAGCTGTCTCTAGGAAAAGCACTTGTGTGATATTTGGAGCTGTGAATTGAACTAGCCTTTTTTTTAAATAAAACATCATTTTTACTTAACAATTGACAGGCAAACTGTGATTATTCAGACTAAACCATTTGACATACATTTGCTTGAAAATGAACAAAATGGGCCTGTCACTTCAAATAAAACAAGTTATAATATTTATTGTCCATAAAACATTTGAGCTTTCAAATGAAAATTAGAATTTTGTAGAACTTATTCAGTCATCCTTCAGTGTCCAAGGGGGATTGGTTCTAGGACCCCTGCAGATACCAAAACCTGAGGATGCAAGTTCCCAACATACAATGGCATAGTATTTGCATATAGTCTACACACATCCTCCTGAATCCTTAAATAATCTCTAGATTACTTCTAATACCTAATACAATGTAAACACTGTGTAAATTGTTGTTATACTAGATTGGGTTTGTTGTTTAGAGATAGGGTAATGCTCTGTTGTCCAGGCTGGACTCCTGGGCCCAAGTGATTTGCCCACCTCAGACTCTGGGGCAGCTCAGACTACAGGCATGTGCACTGCACTCAGCTGTTTTTTTTTGTCTTTGTTTTTGTTTTAATTCATATTATTTTTGCATTGTCTTGGATAAAGAAACTTTCACATCTGCAGATTCAAACCACAAGTGTATCAAAAGTATTGTACGTGCTATTGAGAGCTTGACGTCCTTCCAAAATGTACAGACTTTTCTAAAAAGATAAGCATGATATTAACAAATGGGATTTTTAAATGACATAATGCATTTATCAGTATTTGGAAGACCTGCATAACTCCACAAACTAATACACCAAAATGACCAATGCATGATATTACCAGTGGATTTTAATTCAACAAGGTATAAAAGGTTTATTGATATGACTTCTGAGTCCAAACTGTAAATAATATTTCAAAAACTACCTCTTGCTGAGTTGGGGTGTAGTATCAAAGAAAAATATCCACAATTATCTGAAAATACCCTCCCATTTCCGGCTACATATCTGAGGCTGGATTTTCTCCAAATACTATAACCAAAATAACAAATGGCAATATACCCAATTTAGAAGCAGATAAGAGAATCCATCTCTTTTTTAATTAACCCAGATATTAAAGAAATTTGAAAAATGTTAAACACTGCCCTTCTTACCACCATTTTTTTTTTTTGCTAGGGAAGATAGTTATTTTGCACAAAAAATATGTTATTTATTATTGCTATTTATAATGAATTAATACATATTTTCTAATTTCTCAGTTTTCATTTCCAAAATGGTAATTATCAGTAGATACAACCTATACAATCAAAAGCCTTTTGCGTTTCTTAATAATTTTTAAGAATACTAATGGATCCTGGTTAGGGTGCAGTGTCTCATACCTGTTATCCCAGCACTTTGGGAGGCCGAGGTTGGCGGATCACCTGAGGTCGGATCACCTGAGGTTGGGAGCTCGAGACCAGCCTGACCAACAAGGAGAAACTCCGTCTCTACTAAAAATACAAAATTAGCCTGGCATGGTGGCGTGCACCTGTAATCCCAGCTGGCTGAGGCAGGAGAATTGTTTAAACCTGGGAGGTGGAGGTTGTGGTGAGCCGAGATCTCACCATTGCACTCCAGCCTGGGCAACAAGAGCGAAACTCTGTTTAAAAAAAAAAAAAAAAAAAAAAGAATGTAAGCGGATCCTGAGAACAAAAATGTTTGAGAATGATTAATGTAAGCAAATTTGACTTATGTAGGATACTCAGTTTAGTTCACAGATATTTCTATAAACCAAGTGGAAGCAGGGTGTGGCAAATATCAGCCATGGATTGAATTGCAGTTATACATGTTCTGATATAAAGTTACTATATTATTTCAAATATATTTTCGCATTTAACTTTCCACAGATGCAATTGATTTTATGCAATATGATTGGAAAAATTATTGCTGCACAGTAACACTCTTTTAAATAGTATAAGACTTAACTAAAACTTACTGAAACAACATTCTGACACCAAAGAATTATTTTGCTTGTTTAGTATCTTTTAATTGATGTGATTAGTTTTGGCTGCCAAAGTTTCATGACTAGTAAATATTATTTTCATGTCAAATGCAAATTATTTTATTATAGAATAGCTATAGCAATTTAGTAAAGTCAAAGTTCTTAGAAAAAGGGGGTACTGAAGAGCAGAATTGATTTATTGCATATGAAATCTTATCTAAAGCAGTTGATTCTTTTTATCAGGTACTTGACTTTTTAGTAATAGCTGATAAGTATATAGATAATAATTTTATGAGAAAAATGAATTCTGATTCCATCATTTATACTAGGGCCATGGTTCTCTATTTTCTATGTTATTATCATTGTTGCTTTAGAAATAGTAAAAAGCATCTATTTAAATGAGACTTGTGTTGTAGAATTGGGACTGTATGTACAAATCACATGTGCCCTGGCTTAGTCATTGAGTGTTGGCAGACTATATGTTTATATATTTTAACTTGACTTCTGAAAATTTAACATTGAAAAGGTATTATTTAAAATTATGTTCTTTTCAAAAGAAGATATGCATGTGGCCAAAAAGCATATGAAAAAAACGCTCAATATCACTGATCATTGGAGAAACGCAAATCAAAAACGACAGTGAGATACCATCTCATACCAGTCAGAATGGCAATTATTAAAAAGTCAAAAAATAACAGATACTGGCGAGGTTGTGGAGAAAAGGGAACGTTTATACACCGCTGGTGGGAGTGTAAATTAGTTCAGCCTGTGGAAAGCAGTATGGCAATTCCTCAAAGAGCTAAAAACAGAACTACCATTCGACCTACCAATCCCATTACTGAGTTTATATCCAAGGGAATATAAATCCGTCTACCCTAAAGACACATACACACGAACATTCATTGCAGCACTATTCACAATAGAAAAAAACATGCAATCAACCTGCATACCCATCAGTGATACATTAGATAAATAAAATACGGTACATATACAGCATGGAATACTATGCATCCATAAAAAAGAATGGCATCATGTCTTTTGCGGGAACATGGACAGAGCTGGAGGCCATCATCCTTGGCAAACTAATGCAGGAACAGAAAACTAAATACCTCGTGTTCTCACTTATAAATGGGAGCTAAATGGTGATAACTCATGGACACAAAAAGAGGAACAACAGACATTAGGGCCTGCTTGAGGGTGGATGTTTGGAGGAGGGAGAGGATCAGAAAAAATAACTAATAGGTACTAGGCTTAATATCTGGGTGATGAAATGTGTACAACAAACCTCTGTGACATGAGTTTACCTGTATAACAAACCTGTACATGTAACCCTGAACCTAAAATAATAGTTTAAAAAAGTAATAAAAACATAAAATTATGTTGAGAATATTTCAGCTAGATTTGTAGTTCAGATTGATAGTTATTACAAATGAACTTTAACAAATTATTTTTTTTAAATTATACTTTAAGTTTTAGGGTACATGTGCACAACGTGCAGGTTAGTTACATATGTATACATGTGCCGTGTTGGTGTGCTGCACCCATTAACTCGTCATTTAACATTAGATATATCTCCTAATGCTATCCCTCCCCTCTCCCCTCACCCCACAATAGGCCCCGGTGTGTGATGTTCCCTTTCCTGTGTCCATGTGTTCTCATTGTTCAGTTCCCACCTATGAGTGAGAACATGCGGTGTTTGGTTTTCTGTCCTTGCGATAGTTTGCTGAGAATGATGGTTTCCAGCTTTTACACTGTTGGTGGGACTGTAAACTAGTTCAACCATTGTGGAAGTCAGTGTGGCGATTCCCCAGGGATCTAGAACTAGAAATACCATTTGACCCAGCAATCCCATTACTGGGTATATACCCAAAGGATTATAAATCATGCTGCTATAAAGACACATGCACACATATGTTTATTGTGGCACTATTCACAATAGCAAAGACTTGGAACCAACCCAAATGTCCAACAATGATAGACTAGATTAAGAAAATGTGGCACATATACACCATGGAATACTACGCAGCCATAAAAAATGATGAGTTCATGTCCTGTGTAGGGACATGGATGAAGCTGGAAACAAATTCTTATTTATAGTAAGTCTCCAGAAAACCTGAAGGTAATTGTGAATGGATAGGATAACTCTATCCATTTAGGAGAATTCTAAACCTCTGCTCTTTAAATAAGATCGAGAGAGGATTCCTGCCAACCCTTGCCCATAGGAAATTTTTGAGGCAATTCAAATTGCAAACAAGCCTGGTGGGAATCCAATATATATCTATAAAATATGAATAGGAAGGCTGTCAGTAAAGGAGAGATTGTTAGCCTCGTAAGAAAAAGTTGGAAAGTTATGGGACAGAGAATGGCCTTTTCATATATTGTGTAGAACTAAATCCTGATAGAATGTGTCACCCATTTTCTCTACTCCACACATGTAGTTTTCATTAGTCTCGGTGTTCATGTGATAGCCTTGGAAATATGAAGTGGAAATTGGGCACAGGAAATGGGTAAAATGCTTTGCATACTTTTAAAAATAGGCTTTCAGTGTTCTGAAGCATTTCCTAAGCAGATCTTTGATTTTCCAAGGTCTATAGATAATTTAACTCCACTATTCTTTTTTCCTGGAATTCCATTCTTCTTGTTGCTCTCTATTCTTTTATACCTCTCAGTAGCTTGAGGTTAAAATTCTGCTCTTTTAAATCATATGTACAAGGCTAGAACAGTTGATCTATTTTTTAATTTTAGAAATGCTATTTTGAGAATTTGTTTACTTATGTGTGAAATAAAATAGATTTTCCAAAGTTACATATTTTGGGGACATTGTTGCCATTCTCTTTCCTATTTGGCATTTGGCAATCTAGAAAGGGTAGAATTAATCAGGGTAATTTTTTGGAAAATGTAATGAAGAGTCAAGTGGATGGGTATTTAGAAAGCATAAGGTATGTGAGGAGGAAGTAGTGTGGTTACTCGCCAAAGCTTGGAAAATATCATTCAAGTCTCCAAGACCATGAATAGTGGCTGAAGACTCAGACTCCTATAAAACAGAAACACTTAAACCAAGATGCTTCTTTGACTGGAACCAGATCCAGGAATGGTAGTAAATAAGGATTTTGTTCTGTGAGCAATGATGTTGACCTTTAACTAGGAAATAAACCCCGAGCCCAGAACCAAAGCACCCTGCTTTCTTGATGGACAGAGTATCGAGAGAAATACCTTTGCTATTGACCTGTGTCCTATGACTAAAGGAGAACATTAGAGAATATTGACCAAGTGTTTACACTTTGAAAATTCTACTTATCTAAGGCAAGATTGAGAGTCATGTGAATACTTGAATATAAAATTACAAGATAAAATAAATAATACTTGTAGTGGTTTGCAGTATAGGCATTTTAAATTGAATCACACAGATTATTTACCAAAAACGTGGCTAAAAAGACATATATGTCAAGTAAATTAAAAGAGGACATCTGTGAACACAAATTCAAGTGTATATTTCAATTCAAGAAAATATAATTCAATACCATTCATTTACCAAGACTGTCGTAGAAGATGAATAATAAATTTTAATTTCATATAAGTTATATGCCAGAATTAGATCTTTGGAATGGATGTTTCCCTCCCAGCTATCTTGAGTCATTGAAGCAGAAACTCAATTGTACAGAAACATGGAAGTAAGTAGCTTTCCTGAGGGCCATATTCCAATGCTTTCCTCTCTTGAATTATTTCTTTGGGCTTTGTCTTCTTCCTTAGAGGAACTCTAAATCCTTACATCTTTGAAAAGAGATAATTAAAGGCAGTTTTTGTAATATAACCACTTTCTTACTCTGATGATTGATAGGAATGCTATTGTTACTAAGTCAAGGGGTCATCTGTCCTGTTAGAAGTTTTCTGTATAGGTTAGAGTTAAATAACTACCCAAAAAGATAATTTAAGTATTTAAAAACCTGTTTATTTCTACCTCCAGATAGATACTATTTAAATGAGAACAAACATATGTCTTAAAATTAGTATTAATTCTGGTAGACTAAATAATGGTGCCCTAAGATATCTGCATCCTAATCACCAGAACCTGTGAATGTAATCTTACTTGGAAAAAAGGACTCTAAAGATGTGATTAAATTAAGGATTTTGAAATAAGGGGATTACCCGGATCTATTTGAGCAGGCCCAAAATGTAATAACAAATGTCCTTATAAGAGAGAGGCACAGAGATTTGACAACAGAAGGAAAAAGGTGACATGATAATGGAAAGTGAGACGTGATTTGGGGCTACTAGCCAAGAAAGCAAATTCTTTTCCTGGAGCCTCCAGAAGGAACTAGCTCTGCTAACCTCTTGATTTTAGCCCCATAAGATTTCTTTCTGACTTCTGATCTTTGGAACTGTAAGAGAATACATTTGTATTGATTGGAGCCACTTACTTTGTGGTAGTTGTTACAGCTGCATCAGCAAAATCATACCATAATGTTCAACAAAATGGCACTAGGCCACTTTCATAAAGATTTTACATTTTTTTCCTCCCAGTAATTTTCTAGAAAGAGGAATTATATGACATGATCTTCCACAAATGCAAACATCTGGGAAATTATTTATTGTTACAATCAGTTTTTACACTTTTGCCGTTAATTACATATGCCAGAAAATGGCCCAAAAATGTATAACTGTGACCCATAATAAATTAATCACATGGCCTCTATTATTCCGTATTGCAGAATCTGTTGTTTATTCATAAGAACATTTTTCTTATGAAAAAGTGAGTTCTATTATGCATAGTATTAAAAATTTTTATATGACAACGAGGCTGTCCTCATCCAATTATAAGAGTAAATACTGTCAAATTGTCAGCCCATAAACCTACTGCATTCAAATGATGTATTTTTAATAACTAACGTACCTTTAAAATGGGAGGTAAGCCTGGGTCTTCCATAAATACAAGTTTTATTTTTAAATTTTTCTTCCAATTTATTATCTTCACTCTGGCAATAACTTGGAAAAAATTCTGAGGCAGACACTTTAGTGTAGAGAAAATTGGCTTGTCATAACATACAAAAAATAACATTGTAATTCCTACTCCTTTCACTAAATATTTAACCTTAAACAAATCATTGTCTTTGAAATAAAGAATTTGGATTAGATGATCTTGAAAGGCCCTTCAGATACCACATTCTGCAATTCTGTGAATGTTTATAGTAATGATATTTAACTTATAGGAATTATGACAGTATTTGGCACTAAAATATAAATTGGTCTAAAATTTTCCCTTTTTAAATTATAATGCATATTGTTTATAAAAATTTTAGTTTTTTTAAATTGCAAAATTACGATGCATTTTAAACTGATATTTTAGAGTACATGAATTTAAAATTTTAATTTTTAGATAATTCTATGGAAATAAAGTACAGATATCAAATTTACAATTAACAATGATTTTTGTACTAACTGTAGATTGAAGGTAGACGTTTTCTGTGGAAATTCTGGGGCTACAAGTATTTTCATAGCTTTCTTAGGGAAAAAGGAAGATATACCAATTAGATCACTGAGAACTTTGGCAAATTAGACTACATCTTGAAGAAACAGTCATCCCCTTTAGGGAAGGCACAGAAATAATATTAGGAAAGTCTTGAGATCAGTGATAAGAAAGCAATTTAAACAGCTGTTGCATTCCAGAAAATGCTTGTTTGACACACTTTTAGGAAGGGGAAGTAGATAAACACTACTATCAAGAAGCTCATGTATCTAGTGTTTACAAAAGCTTCTCCAAAATCATTCCAGTTAGTCTAAGAACAAACCCTCAGATAAGTGAGCATTCCAAATCCAGTGGAAAAGAAAAAGTTACACCTACGTTTTAAAAAGCTGTAAGAGGTTCCAAATTACTTACTTCAAGGAGTAGCAATTTCTGTTGGCAAGATGCATGACAAGTGTTAGCCTCATGGGAATCCATTTGTGACAACAGAGCAGAAAGCGGCCCCTGCTCTAACAATAAAAAAGTGACAGATAATATAGAAGTAATCAATCTGAAAGGTATAGAATATTTAAACCATGAAATGCCTAAAAAGCCATAAGCGAGATCTTAAAATCAATATAGGATGCTACTGAAAGTCAGAGTAATGACTCAAGAATAGGAATGTTATACTGGTCCCCCAGAAAGGTTTTGTGTTAAGGTCAACAGCAAGGAGGTAAAATACTATGTCTGTGTATTTTTTTAAAACCACATTACTGTTAGATTGTTTTTTATAAAAGAGAAAAATTGTGCTGATGTTTTATAATATTAAAAGTGACTTAAAATACATTTAATATTTTCTAACATTTTGGTCTGTATTAATATCATTCCAAACTATTTCATGAGAACAAAATCATATTAGTTCATTTAAAAGAAGGGTTACAGAAAGCATAGAACCTAATAACTGCTTAGGTCTGGGAAGACTTAACTGGTTTTATCAGCACTTCACTTAAAATAGTCCTAAATGCAAGCAATGTAATTGCTTGTATCTAGGAAACTAAGAGGCAGTAAATCACATTTCAATGTGTATGACTGGAAAGTCAAAGGCAGAAGTATTTCTAGGTTTAATTTGGAAGATCAATCACAGATATTAAAAATGTATCTGAGAGGAAAGAAATACTACTGTATTCTGGTACTCTTTGAAACATTTTTATTTATTCATCCAGTTATCAGAAAATTGGGAATAATGAAAGGAGCATTTCCAGACATGTTTAAAACCAAAGAAAGTACTTAGCCATCATATTGATTTATTGAACCCACTTAAAAAATTATATGTAGACTGTTCTGAATCCATTGTATGTTGGATACAAAGTTTTAACCTATCTTCCTCCTTTCTAAGATAAATGTAGAGATAAAATGGTAACAATATTTCCTGGAATTAGATTTTATGAGCCAAGGCTAATTTTTTTGCCAACTGAATACCAGGCATTGCTATAGGAGCAGGGAAACTGGAAACCTTGTTTAGCTTATTTCTGTCTCTGGTACGTACATCTATTAGCAAGATCAGAAACTCTCGTAGTGGAAATCTTTTCCATCCCTCTCCCCACAACTCCAGCTCTTGCCAAAATCTTTGTATTTTAATTACAGCATCTGAAACAATTCAGTACTTCTTCTTTTGCTTTTATTTTCTCTTTTTTTTTTTTTTTTTTTTGAGAGGGAGGATTAGGAAGCAAAAATGATAGGAGAAATGGAGAAAATAAGAGCTCTTGTTAAGAAAGAATTGACTGTAAGTTTGCTTTGGAACAGCCCAGAAGTGTCATGCAGAATTAAAATCACAAACAGGTTAGTGAGAAATACTTCTTTCCTTTTACAATGCCTATTATTTTTGCTACCTGGGAGTTTTTTTTTTCCTTTATGGGTGATATTTCCACATATATTTCAGATTGTTTAAAAGAAAACGTTTTCAGCAGGGTGCGGTGGCTCACACCTGTAATCCCAGCACTTTGGGAGGCAGAGGCGGGCGGATCACAAGGTCAGGAGTTTGAGACCAGCCTGGCCAACATTGTGAAATCTCAACTCCACTAAAAATACAAAAAATTAGCTGGGCGTGGTGGCAGGTGCCTTTAATCCCAGCTACTCGGGTGGCTGAGGCAGGAGAATCGCTTGAACCTGGGAGGCGGAGGTTGCAGTGAGCCAAGATCACGCCATTGCACTCCACCCTGGGCGACAGTGCGAGACTCCGTCTCAAAAAAAAAAAAAAAAAAAAAAAAGTGTTTTCTAGCTGGCCAGACATCTGTCAACATGCTCTGTATCCTCAAAGATAACTACAGTAACCTGCTTTTTTTTTTTTACTAAAGATTTCTCTTGAAATGTTCTGACCATTTTTAAGTTAAACTCCCTCATTTTCAGTAGGGGTAGCCCCTGATAACATTCATTTTGTATATACAATTAAGTATGAATCACCAACTTTTTCAGTCATTTAACCACCATGAAATACCCCCAGTAATGTAGGACTTTATGTTTCTGTATCATTTCCATGTCTGGGTCTGCTAGTATGTGTTCCTGGCCCTAATGCAAACATGAGCTATGTCCTGTCTCCTTCTCTACTTTTCTTCCACAATACAGATCATCCTCTCTTTAAGCTCTTATAAGAAAAGTCAACCATCAAGTAGGTCCGAAGAAGTGTTTGACAAAAAAATTGCCTGAGATGCCTAATATTCAAGATAATTAATTTTAAAAACTAGATATTTGCAACTGATCTTTTTCTTTTTTTCTCATTTTAAATTAGACCACCAGAAAGTAATGCACCTGAGATTTTCATGATTACTCTCTGTTTTTAATTTGATTGATTTCTACTCTGATTTTCCTAATTCTACTTACTTTCAGTTAAGTTTCTTTGTCTAGCTTCTTAAAGTAAAAATTTAGATAACTGATTTTAAACCTTGTTTCTCCTAATAAAAGCAAATATGTTATAAGGTATTATCTAAGCATAGCTTTAGGTATATCACACATATTTTAATATTTTTATCTTTTTATTTTCATTCTACCGTAAATGTTCAAATTTCCCATTCAGTTTCTTTTTTTAACCCATGAGATATTTAGAAATGTGTTCTTTAATTCACAAATATTTAAGGATTTTCTCGATATCTTAGTGTCATTGGTTTACAATGAAGTCTATGTTGGTCAGAGAACATACGTTGTACAAATTCATTTTTGTAATTTACTGGAGCTTATATTATAATTTATTGTCTATTTAGGTGAAGTTCTTTTGCATTTGAAAAGGATGTATATTCTGCAATTGTTAGACACAAAATCTATAATCTCAATTATGTTAAGATAATTGTTCTTTTCTACAACTTCTATAAACTTCATGATTTTTTTGGTATTCTATCAATTACTGGACAAGAGGTGTTGAAATCTCCCACTATGATTATAGATTTGTTTAGTTCTGTTGGCTTTTGCTCCATGTGTATTGAAGCTTTGTTAGATATTTATACATATTTATGACTGTTATATCTTTTTAACCAATCGACCCTTTATAAAATGACCTTTATCACTGATAATATTCCATGTCTTAATGCAAGTTTTGTCTGATATTTTAGAAACACATTGAATTCTTTACACTGACATCTGCATGGTATGTGGTGTACCTTGCATCCTTTTACTTTATCTCTCTGTATCTTTATATATAAAGTTCATCTCATATAGGTGACATGCAGTAAATTTTGTAATTAGTAAAACTCTTAATTGAAGTATTTACTTCATTTGCATTATTTATATGTTTTATTATATGTATACATGATTATGTCTTTAATTCCATATTTATATTGTTGTTCTCTACTAAAATTTCTTATTTTTTCACTCATTATTTCCATCTCTTTCTTAATTCCTTGACTGTATTTATAACAGCTGCTTTAAAGTCCTTCTCTGAAATTTCATTACCCCAGATCACCTTGGAGTCAGTGTTCACTGAGTAAATTTTATCTTGTCTATGAGTCACAATTTGTGATATTTTTGGACATTATACCGACTCCAGACACTCTTATTTTTCTCTGAAGTCCGTTGATTTTTGTTCTGACTGCTAGGTGTCTTCCAAGAAAAAGCTGAGTCAACAAGAATCTCTCTCCCTGGGGTCTCCTTCTTTTAAGAACCTCCTCCAGGTTCTGCCTACTTTTGGTCACTCTCCAGTGCCTTCATATATTTTGTTTTCATATTGTGTGCACAGATTATAATTTCAATCTACAAGAAGCTACTATGTCATTACCAGAAACTGAACTCATTTCCATTATATTTTAAGGTTTTTCTATGAAATTACAGTTTCATAAAGACACAAAATTTTTAAAATATTTTAAGTTGAATAGTAAACCAATATTACGTCTTTTCTCGTTATATATAGTGATACAAAATCATTGCTGATAATCTAAAAAGTAGACAAAATAACAATGAAATCATCTTTCCATGTAACTTTTATATATGCATACCATATATATATATTATTTACAAATTTTGTATAATACTGGATATATTATTTTCCATTTTTCTCTGTTTACTTATATTTTAAATTAGCCTATCCTTATGGCATTACTCTTCAAAAGTATAATTATTTTATTGAAGAACATTTACTGTATAAATATATGATTGCTTGTTTCTAATTCTTGTATTTTTATGTGACTTCTAAATTGTTTTGTTCTTATGAAACACTGTGACAAAATTCTTTGTAATGCCTGTTATGCTTCTATTTATTTTTGTAATTATTATGAGAGATAACTCAAGGTTGAAAATGTTTAAATCTTTGCAATTTGTTGATAAGTATTTGGCCAGAGCTTTTCAAAGAAATAAGTATAGACATAATATATAAGATACATAGATACAAACATAGATATAAGATATGAGAGACATAAGAGATAAAAGTTTAGTAAGAGGTTCTTTCCCTGTGTATTTGTTGCTTCAATGCTTTGCCTATTTTCAATTTTAATTTTCTATTTTCCAAAATACAGTAGTTACATAAGTTAAAACATTAAACTCTACTCCAAGATCAGGAGCCCTCTGCCTCACTCTTTCATAATCCTCCTTGGCCCTCCCTAAAGGCAGCTACTGTAAAATATTTAATGTCGTATTTCAAATAACAGCTTTCTACTGCACACTCTTGGCATTTCTTACTGTGTTAAGCTAATATATATAATATATAATATATGTTATATATATATATATATATAATTGTCACTCACAACTGATTTAAAGCATGTAGCATGAAAATTTTCCATTTCTTATGTAATTCTGCTTCCCTGGAGTTAGTAATTGCCTCTTTGTGTTTCTTTGCCTGTTTTTTTTTTCACAAGTCTAAAATGACTTCATTTCTGCTTGTGTTTTTTCTTCGACAGTGCCTTCCTATAGTCTCTTTTCTGCTCCAGTCTGACTTGTTGCTCATTTTTGCTGCTTAGCTACTGTCTCGTGTCTAACTTCAAAGTATGTCAAGGCATTCTCTTTGCCACTTCCTAGCATTGGATCAACTGCTTCCTGGAACCAACTATATCTTCTTTTTTCTGCCTGGAGGTGTACATTCTCCAGAGGCTTCCTGAGAAAAGATGAGGGTATAGCAGTCCACTTTTGCTGTGTAGCAGTCCACTCCAACACTTAATGACTTAAAACAACTGTTAGTTCAATTCTGTGGAGTCAGCTGTTGTGGTTCTTGTGCTCTGGCTAGCTTGGCTGGGATGAGAGAATCTAGGATGGCCTCATTCACATATTTGGGACTTCAGCTGGATGGCTGAGATGGTTGTGGCCCCATTCCCTTACATGATCTTTTGATCTTTCATCCTTGGAGTCTAGCCTTGGCTCCTTCCTGGCGAGCTCTGGGTTTCCAGTGGCACAAGAGGTCAAGCCCCAGTGCACAGCCACTTTTTGAGCCTCTCTGCTTGTGTCATGCTTGCTAGTGTCTCATTATTCAAAGAAAGTCACATGCTTAAGCCCAGATTCAAGGGATAGGAGAAACTGCAAAATATTATGACCATTTTTGTAAAGATTCCCACTTTGCGTATTTGAAAATGATTTTGGTTTATATTTCATCTTGATTGATAATGCCCTGGGTGTAGAGTTATAGAATAGTGAGCATTTGCTCTCAAAATTGTAGGCCTTTATTTTCTGGTTTCCATTTGTCGCCTAGCCACTAAAAATTCAGATGTCATCCAGTTACTAATCATTGTATATATTTATCTCTTCACTCCTTTCCTCCTTCTCCTCTCCGAAAACTTTAAGATCTTCCCATTACTCCTAGTGTTGTGAAATTGCTTTTGGCCTGCATCTATTTTCAATAATTGTGTTGAATGCTGGGTGGATAGTTCAGATCTTGAGATACACACTCTTAGTTTGGAGACATACTTTATACGTAATTTCTTTTTAATCTGCTCTCTATCCCTTTTACTTTTTCTCCTGTTGTTGGAATATGTATTTTTCACCATAATAATATTGTTGTTGATACCAAATTCTGATACTTACTGAGTGTTTTCTTTATTCCAGTCATGGTTCTAAGTCCCTTTACTAACTCTCTTCACTAAGTTAATCCTAATGACAACTACATGAGCTGGGTATTCACTGTACCATGTTTAATAGGACATTATTGTCGTTGGTGTTAATATTATTATCCCGATTTGACAGATACAGAAATGAGAAACAGTTTTCTTGGGGTGATAACTTTCCTCAGTTGATTACTTTCTATTATAAACTTTTGGTTTACTTTTTGGATGATGCCTTCAACATTGTTTTTCATCCTCTTTGTTGATTTGAGAAAATATTCTCATTTACATTTCTAAGAGAACTGTTGTATTTTTAGAACTCTTTTCTCTTTGAGAATGTTAACTATAACTTCGTTTGCTTTTTTATGTTTTCTGCAAAGTCTTGTTTGTATTTAAGCTTTTCCGCATTTGTTTTAGTTCTCTTTTTTGAGTTAGAAGTATTTTTGCAGTATCAAGTAACTTACAACTCTGATGGTAAAAAGTACTTAAATAATATTTGAAGACTGTAGATATGTATTTTTTTCAGGTGCTCGCCACCACACCCACCTAATTTTTTGTTATTTTTCAAGAATTTATTTATTTATTTATTGCTATTTATGTTTCAATAGTTTATGGGGTACAGGTGGTATTTTGTTACATGGATAAGTTCTTTGGTGGTGATTTCTGAGATTTGGTGCTCCAAAATCACCCAAGCAGTGTACACTGTACTCAATACATAGTCTTTTATCTCTCACCCTCTTCCAGCCTCCCCAAGTCCCCAAAGTTCATTATATCATTCTTATGCCTTTGCATCCTCATAGCTTAACTCCCACTTATAAGTGAGAACATACATTTGATTTTCCATTTCTGAGTTATTTCACCTAGAATAATGGCCTCCAACTCCATCCAAGTTGCTGCAAAAGACATTATTTCATTCCTATTTATGCCCGAGTAGTATTCTATGGTGTATGGTTGATAGGCACTTAGCTTGGTTCCATATCTTTACAATTGTGAAATGTGCTGCTATAAACCATCCGTGTGCATATGTCTTTTTCATATGTCTTCTTTTTCTTTGGGTAGATACCCAGTAGTGCTGGATTGAATGCTGAATTGAATGGAGTTCCTTAAAGCTTCTCCATACTGTTTTCCATAGTGGTTGTACTAGTTTACATTCTCACCAGCAGTGTAAAAGTGTTCCCTTTTCACCACATCCACACCAACATCTCGTGATGTTGAACATTTTTTCATATGTTTGTTGGCTGTTTGCATATCTTCTTTTGATAATTGGCTATTCATGTCCTTTGACCACTTTTTGATGAGTTTTCTTTTCTTGCTGATTTGTGTTCCTCGTAGATGCCGGATATTAGTCCTTTCTCAGATGCATAGTTTGCTAATATTTTCTCCCACAAGATTGTCTGTTTATTCTGTTGATTATGTATTTTACTGTGCAGAAGCTTTTTAGTTTAATTAGGTCCCAATTATTTATTTTTGTTCTTATTGCATTTGTTTTGCAGTCTTAGTCATGAATTATTTGCCTAAGTTAATGCCTGGAAGAGTTTTTTCAGTGTTATTGTCTAGAATTTGTATGGTTTTAAGTCTTAGATTTAAATCTTTGATCCATCTTGAGTTGATTTTTGTATAAGGTGGGAGATGGTGATCCAGTTTTATTCTTCTACATGTGGCCTCCCAGTTTTCCCAGCACCATATAGACTAGGGTGTCCTATCCCCGAGATATGTTTTTTATGCTTTGTCAAAGATCAGTTAGCTGTAAGTATTCGGCTTTATTTCTAGGTTCTCTATACTTTTCCATTGATCTACATGCCTATTTTTATGCCAGTACCATGCTGTTTTGGTACTATAGCCCTGTAGTATAATTTGAAGTCAGGTAATGTGATATCTCCAGATTTGTTCTTTTTGCTTTGTTTTGCTTTGGCTATGTAGGCTATGTTTTGGTTCCATATGAATTTTAGGATTGTTTTTTTCTAGTTCTGTGAAGAATGATGGGTGTATATTTTTGACTGTTAATCTTCACTGTAGAATGTTTAATGAGAGCGAGCCATGTTATTGTGAGAATGTTCAAATACATAGTGTTTAATTTTCTTGGTTTAGTCAATTATTTAGAATAATTCAATCTGCTACATGTTTGTGGGGAGCAGGAAAGGGGAGATTGTATAATGGAATATTAATGGGTGGAGGAGGGAAGGGAGATGGAGACCTCATTATACAGCATATGGCCCTTCACTTATTCCTCTACTTTCAGTGTGGCTCTCTATTTTCACTGTGACAACTTTGCCTGGTGTCTGAGGCAAAGGTCAGAGTATCTCTGATAGTGTTGGTAGATGACAAATTTCTAAAACTGCTGAAGAGAACTAGCTTTCCTACTGTGTGGATACGGAAAGGCTTCAAGGATCTTCAGAGTTTCTTTTGAAAATTCCTAATATTCTTGTTTTTTGTTCACATAGCTCCACATTCTGAGATGGGTGATACCTTCACCTTTAGAGCATTTCTGGAATTTGGGGTACAAATTGACTCTCTTCTTAATCTCCTCACTGCTAAAACTGGTTAGATTCCAAGTCAGTTAGTATTTAACCATTTGCTTTCTGGCTTCCAGAAAACCCTAAGTCAGTTAGTATTTAACCATTTGCTTTCTGGATTCCACAGTGTGTGGATTTTTCCCATAGAGTATTACAATGTCCACTATAGATCCAAGGGAAGATTTCCTATGTGTGGGGATCCAGGTTGTTTTCATCTTGGTGATTCTTCATCCCAACAGGAGGCCTACACAATTAGTTTGACAGGAGAAGGAACCATAAGGATGGCAAACTAGCTCTTAAATATTTTAGCCTAGGAGTTATACACATCATTTCTGTTTACAGCGCATTGGCCAGAAACAGACACATAGCTCCTAGCAAGGGGGCTGGGAATAGCCCATGCAGGGGTTGGGGTGAGGGGACCACACCTGGATATTCACTGACAAACAATTGTCACTGCGACGGTTGACCCTTCTGGTTACAAAAATGTTTTCTTGCTCCCTTATTGTGACATGCCCCAACAAAAACCAACTAAGTCTCACCAAGTCACTTCCTTTAAGCTCAAAGTCTAAGTTTCTGCATATTATACTATAATCTCTAGATTCAGACAGATGAAATAAGAAGACAAGGTATCTGCATATCCTCAGTCGCATGACACCTAGTGTTTCATTGTGGAAATGGGATACAATAAAAGCAAAAACACATTCCAGAAAGGGAAAGAATGGGAGATATCCAGCAGAATTCATAGGAATTCTGAGATCTTGAAATCTTGGTGGGTAGACATTACAAAGATTCCCCAAGCCTTCAGAATGGTAGAAATCAGCTACCAGAGCTCTCCCTCTCCCTCTCCCTCCCCCTCTCCCCACGGTCTCCCTCTCCCTCTCCCCACGGTCTCCCTCTCCCTCTCCCTCTCTCTCCACGGTCTCCCTCTGATGCCGAGCCGAAGCTGGACTGTACTGCCACCATCTAGGCTCACTGCAACCTCCCTGCCTGATTCTCCTGCCTCAGGCTGCCGAGTGCCTGGGATTGCAGGCACGCGCCGCCACGCCTGACTGGTTTTCATATTTTTTTGGTGGAGACGGGGTTTGGCTGTGTTGGCCGGGCTGGTCTCCAGCTCCTAACCGCGAGTGATCTGCCAGCCTCGGCCTCCCGAGGTGCCAGGATTGCAGACGGAGTCTCACTCACTCAGTGCTCAATGTTGCCCAGGCTGGAGTGCAGTGGCATGATCTCGGCTCGCTACAACCTCCACCTCCCAGCCGCCTGCCTTGGCCTCCCAAAGTGCCGAGATTGCAGCCTCTGCCCGGCCAGCCGCCCCGTCCGGGAGGGAGGTGGGGGGCAGCCCCTGCCCGGCCGCCGCCCCGTCCGGGAGGTGGGGGCGCCTCTGCCTGGCCGCCCCGTCTGGGAAGTGAGGAGCCCCTCTGCCCGGCAGCCACCCCGTCTGGGAGGTGTACCCAACAGCTCATTGAGAACGGGCCATGATGACAATGGCAGTTTTGTCGAATAGAAAAGGGAAATGTGGGGAAAAGATAGAGAAATCAGATTGTTGCTGTGTCTATGTAGAGGGAAGTAGACGTAGGAGACTCCATTTTGTTCTGTACTAAGAAAAATTCTTGTGCCTTGGGATGCTGTTAATCTATAACCTTGCCCCAAACCCCGTGCTCTCTGAAACATGTGCTGTGTCCACTCAGGGTTAAATGGATTAAGGGTGGTGCAAGATGTGCTTTGTTAAACAGATGCTTGAAGGCAGCATGCTCGTTAGGAGTCATCACCACTCCCTAATCTCAAGTACCCAGGGACACAAACACTGTGGAAGGCCGCAGGGTCCTCTGCCTAGGAAAACCAGAGACCCTTGTTCACATGTTTATCTGCTGACCTTCCCTCCACTATTGTCCTATGACCCTGCCAAATCCCCCTCTCCGAGAAACACCCAAGAATGATCAATAAATACTAAAAAAAAAAAAAAAAAAAAAAAAATTAAAAAGGCAAGCTTGCAGGAGTAGGTTCTCTCTCTTCTGCCCCTCTGCCACCCGAGGACATGGTGTTCTCCTCCAGAGGATGCAGCATTTAAGGCACCATCTTGGAAGCAGAGAGACTGGGCCCTAACCTCCTGGTACTTTGATTTGAAACTCCCAGCCTCCAGAACTGTAAGAAATAAATTTCTGTTCCTTACAAAAAAAAAAAAAAAAAAAGAAATCAGCTACCAGATAATGCCTAATGTGCTCTCTGGGATTAGTGTTGTGTTCATTGTTCTTTATGGCTTTGGGAGTTTCTTCTGGTTTTCAGGATGTTCCATAGCCATGTCTGAAGAGGCTGTTGTGGAATATGCCAGGATCAGGGCTTCACAGTTTTCTTAATTAAGGTCTTGCCAGTGGAAAGTTGGGAGTCCAAGGACTGTAAGGCTGAAATAATCATGTAACTTTACGGGTATTTTTTCAGACTGAGTCTTAAAAACGCATTAGACTTTCCATCTGTTGTTACTGGTCAGTTTATTTGCTGAACTCATACCCAGACATCAGTATGATCTATTCTCAAATCTTTATTTCTTTGTTCTCATATCTTATGCTTCTCTATATTTAAGGAGAGCTATCCAGAAAGTGTCATACCAGAGACAGAAAGTCTCTTTTGTTTCACTTTTTCCCTGGGGCACCTTCATTAACGATAGTTTATTGATTGACTGATTGAGACAAGGTCTCACTCTGTCACCCAGGCTGGAGTGCAGTGGCATGAATATGGCTCACTGCAGCCTCGACCTTCTGGGTTCAAGTGATCCTCTGCCTCAGCCTCCCATGTAGCTTCCCATATGCCACCATATCCTGCTAAATTTTTATAAAAGTTTTTTGCAGAAACAAGGTCTGCCCATGTTGCCCAAGCTGGTCTCAAACTCCTGAGCTCCAGCAGTCTTCCTACCTCGTCTCCCAAGTGATAGGTTTTAAAATATGCAAGGAAGCCACTCTGAATCTGATCTTTGCCATCAAGCTGTTTTAACAGGATTTGTCTCTCAAAGGCTTTTTCAATTTTATCTCTCACTTTTTCCCAAACTTCTGCTTTCAGACTGAGGTATTCTTTGCTGAATCATCTTTCTTGTAATACTTTGCGAAACACAGCTAGCAGTAACCAACACACCCTTGTAAGTTTCCAGTTTCCAGTGTTTCGAATTCATTGCTCACATGATTGAAACTGCAACTTATTGCAGGCAGTAGCATTATCAAATATCAGTATCAGATACTGCTGTTGATCTTTAGTATAAGTTATCATGATCTTTCTAGCCTATACCAGACCACTCATCAAATGCCATATATTTTAATTTAGTTAGTTTTTTGGCTTTTAGTTTGTTTTTTAACAGACGTTACCCACTTCTTATATCAATCAATAGTATTAATCAGGATAGATTAGGTTGTGCTTCCTGTAACATTTCCCAAATCTCCAGGATGTAAGACTATATCTTTTGATTTCTAATCCACAGAAGTCCACTGGTTTCTCTGTGACTCTCCAGGGAAGTTCACTTTCACAAAGTAACAAAGGGCACTGGTTCATTTTCATCTTCTGGTTCCACCATCACAACTGATGCCCTTCATGGTCTCCTTGACAGTAGAAGAGAAAGCTGAAGGGTCACACACCATCCATTTAGTGTCTTGGCCTCAAATTTTTTTATGTGTATTCTGTTCATGACCCATTTGTGCAGAACTATTCTCAGGGCCCTTCCTAATTGCAGTGGGGCTGAGAAATGTGTGTGAGCCTATGGATATTTGGTAAGCAGCCGATGTCTCCCATTAATGCTATTATAATTTTAAAAATTTTGCAAAATTCTGGGTCAATATTGTGCTTTATGATGAACTAGATAACATTTCAAGTGTACTATACCCAATAAATCATACTTAAAATTGAAGAGGACAAGGATATTCTTAGCAAGAGGACTATAACAAGTTGGGAAATTAGTGGAGATATTGTATAAACGTGAATGTTCCTGTCCTGAGCCTGGAAAATAGCAAAAATTCAAACTCTTTTTAAAACATAGTTTTAAAAATACAAGGCGTTTGAGAAAAAATGAATAACCCCAATTTGAAAAGAAGGTTTATAAATGGAATCGTGATAAATATTTTTTGATTGGTAAAAGGAACCAGGTGGCAGAGACTATGAAATGGACTAATTCAAACTAATTCTTGAAACAATTAGTCCAAACCTTTTAAAAAGTATTTTAGATCAAGAATGGTTAGATGTCTGGAAATTAAGCTCATAATTATCAGATATAAAACTGCAAATCTTGACCATCAAAATAAGGAGATTCTTTGAACACTAGGAGGAAGACTATGGATGTTGGTTAGAGAGAAATAATGCGTATGCATTATTTTAAATATATTTGCCTAGTCCTTGTGTTATCAATAACTTACTAATAGCCTTCGAAAGAAATTTCATAGGAAGTGATAAGAAAATGGTGATCTTGGTCAATAGGCCACCAGGTGATTCATGGCACTGTTATTCTAGGAAAAATACTGCTCGTTTGTTGAGTTCTAATTTTCTTCCTTCAGTCTTTTCATTACATTTCTTCAGGAATTATTTTTATTCTGCTGACTTTTCTGTTATTTAGGCATTTTAAAACCGAATATGATTTTAGATTTGATTTTTTCTTGAAATTGCTTCTACAATTATTTCCTCCAGCCTTTTCAACATTAGAAATTTGGCAACATAATTGAAAGTAGTGCATAAGGAACGGAGATTATGAAGGGAACAAGCATATAGTTTAGGGTGTGGTCAGTCACTTCATTCTCTTCCTCTCCGGACATAATGACAATAGGCTTGAAAAAAGAGAAACTCACCTATTCATTGAATCGAGCTGCTTCTGCTAGCACTATAATATTATAATATCTTTAACACTTGTTTTATAATTTGTAAAGAACTTAATATTAAAGTATGACCCATTATAATGTTGCTGACATTTCAATGTCACAATATTAAAATATTGTGCCATTGAAGAATAAATCCTAGAAGGAGCAGGTATGTAAAATAGGACAAATTTAAGGAAAGCAAAGTAAAATCACAAATGACATCTAGTGAAAAAACCTTGAAAGGGAATTGTCTTTAATTAGTTCACAGTTGGAGATGGTTCATACTGCTTATTTTAGTTAAGTCTTTCATTTGAGGAGAAACAAGCTATTTAACTTTCAGGATGCTTGCGGGTAGTTGGAGAGCAACTTGAATCCTCTATCTTATTGAATAAAACTCTGCCTTCAATATAGTATAATTTTGATAGGGAAGAATATCATCTACAAAATATAATCTATTGGGATTTGTCACACATTAGAACAAAAACTCAAAGGTGGTGCAGTAAAGTAAATTTATGGCATGTTTATGAGTCTGTGTAGGAGTCATTGATATTTATTTTAATGAGTAAAACTGGCTCAGAAGCATTTCTAAGTAGATATCCTTTCTACTAAGCCCTAATACAAGATCTAAGCTTATGGCGAAAAGAATCCCCTGGTTTACAATATGTGGTAGATTTTTCTATGTAGAGAATATAAGGAATGAAAGAAATTCTGATAAACATGTTAATACTTTGGTTTTATAAAGGTTTATGAACAAATATCCTCAGAAAAGAATGAAACTTTTACACTAATATTCCACAAGCCTGCTACTTTGCTGAAATCTGGTTTTGTAATATACTGATAACCATCACGCTTATCTGTTGTTCACACAAGGTCTACCCACTTCAAGTATCTCTATATAATAATATTAGGGAACATTATTTCACTACAGACTTCATGAAAACAATGGAATCCTACCAAAGTTGAAGCTGCACCATGAATGATAGCTCTATGCATTTGTATAACACTTATTTAGTCATAATCTGTTTACAACAAAAATATAGAGATACAGCAGAGGATATTCAGGGGCTACATTTATAAATTTCCAGTTCCTCCTAACTCACAATGTGATGAGAACACGTAGCCAAATGTAACCACAAAAATAGTCTTTGGTTTTTACTTATATTCTGCTTCTAGGTTTTGTGATGCTTCTATGTGTATGTTCTATAAAATTCTTGTGCTCTTCTTCACTGAAAAGATACTTTCCAGTGTGATGGTCTCAAACTCTGTATTTATCCTCATTCCCAAAATTCGATTAAAACATATTATTTGTGATGACTGTTTTGCCCAATAAACTCTGCACAATGCTAGCTGCCTGCTTTGCTTCTTAATGAGGAAAAGGGTTTTCTATATCCCTCTCTGAGTCTTTCAACAATTCTGCTTTCTTTTCTCTAATCTTAATACTGTGCCCTTTTCTTTGTGCCATGTTTTCTGTAACCCGTGGAAGCATATAGTGATATTTTAATAAGGAGAATAACTTATTCATTAGATTTTACATGATAAATATATTATGCTTTTGTTAAAAAAATATGGATACCTTGACATTTCTTGTATAACTCCCTCTAACACTCCCAAGCAGCTCAGGGGATAAGGGGAAAATAAGATTTTCTATTACTTCCATTACTTTAAATGGCAAAAACTGCAATTACTTTTGCATCAGCCTAATATTTAGATATTCTTCTTTCTCTGTTTTAGGATGTTTATATGTTTGCAAAAATTAAAATAAATGGTGAAATGCCTGCTTTTTTCATAAAAATGTTTAATATCATTCTACAGGCCCAATATCTGGTCTTGATACATCTGCTTGAATTCTGTTAATATTACTTATTTCTTTCTTTCTGTTATCAAATTATTTCCTAATAAATCATGAATTTTCTCTTCCTATTTCCCCATCCACCAACAATCAGTTTCTAATAATCAAACTCTTAACTGGATTTCTGAGCTTTAGACATCTGAACTCTAGACTGCTACTTTCCATTACTCCTTTTCTAGTCATCCATTCTATGTAAAACCCATTTACTCTTCTCTCTTCCTCATTTTATTCTATCATGATACTGTATTGTTCAAAATTCCACAGTGGCATAGAATGACATAAAAAAGAAGTAATAGCACTTTCTAATGCCATGGAGGGGCTTTCCATGTTGCAGTATGGCGATCCCTCATCCTTGGCACAACTGACATCTCGGGCTGGATAAGCCTTTGTCATGAAGGGCTTTCTTGTGCATTGCAGGCAAGACATGTTAGACACCAGTAACATCCCTCTAGTTGTGACCACTAAAAAGTCTCTGGGGATTTTGCAGAGGTAAGGGAAGGGCAAAATTACCCCAGTTGAGAAACACTGTTTTTCATCCACTTTTGTCTTGATTACAGTCGTGTTCAGCTGCAAATACCCAAACACCTATTTAACTATAGTTTAAAGAATAGGCTTTTATTTGTTTGTTGTTATATATTTATAGGTGTCTGTAGGTGAGCATTTGCTGGGGTTGGTACAGTGGGTCAATAATGTTAGGACTAACATCTCTGAGATTCTCTTGGCCTTTCCCTCAGAGTTACTATGTGGCTGCTGAAAATTTGGGTATCACATCCTCTTGCAAACAAGAAGAAGGGAGGTGGGGAAATAGGGAAGGGACATGCTCATGAAACTTACATTGGCATCTCATTGAACAGAATGTTGTCGCATGATCAGCATTAATTCCAAGGGAAAGTAGGTCTAAAGTTAATCTAGGAAAAGAAGAAGAGGATTGGAAACATGTTGGAGGAGTTGACCCATAGAGTCTAACATGCCCTAACTTCACTTCTTCCCCAGAGGAACTTTCCTCTTTGTGTTTCTTTGGATAAATAATTCTAGAAGCTAAAACAAAATATCCCAAATTTTACTAAGTATAAGGAAATAAATGTTTATTTCTTGCTGAAAATGTCCAGTATGGCTAACCTTGAGCAGTGAGCAGTGTTCTGTATGTTCTTTCAGAAATTCAGTTTCTGTTTAGCTTTTGGTTTTGTCTTTTCCAAGGCCTTGGTCTCCCCAGCCAGCTCTTCTGCTTCTGATCTGCAGGAAGAAGGAGTGTCAAGGATTTTGCAGAATATGTTTGGGGGCTAGGCCAGAGATACATTTTTACCATGTCCATTGGCATCTTGGTGGCCAGAACATAGCTAAAAAGGCAATAACTAACTATAAGTAGCCCATCTCTATCACCTGCCCCAAAGAAAGTATTTGTTTCCGTGTCTCCCTTCTGTGTGCTTTTCTGAATTTCAATCGCCCATACCTTTTCTTCTTTCTGGATGTATTAGTCTGTTTTCATGCTGCTGATAAAGACACACCCCAGACTAGGAATAAAAAAGAGGTTTAATTGACTTACAGTTCCACGTGGCTGGGGAGGCCTCACAATCATGGCGGAAGGCAAGGAGGAGCAAGTCATGTCTTACATAGATGGCAACAGGCAAAGAGAGAGCTTGTTCAGGGAAACTCCCATATTAAAAACCATCAGATCTTGTGAGACTCATTGACTATCACAAGAACAGCACAGGAAAGACTCACCCCCATAACTCAATCACCTCCTATGGGGTTCCTCCCATGACACTTGGGAATTGTGAGGGTTATAATCCAAGATGAGATTTGGATGGGACACAGCAAAACCATATCATTCCATTCCTGGCACATCCAAATCTCATGTCCTGACATTTCAAAACCAATCATGCCTTCCCAACAGTGCCCCAAATTCTTAACTCATTTTGGTATTAATCAAAATTCACAGTACAATGTCTCATCTGAGACAAGGCAAGTCCCTTCCTTCTATAAGCCTGTAAAATCAAAAGCTAGTTATTCCCTAGATACAATGGGGGTACAGACATTGGGTAAATACAGCCTTTCCTAGTGGGACAAATTTTCCAAAACAAAGGGGCTACAGGTCCCATGCAAGTCTGAAATTCAGCAGGGCAGTAAAATCTTAAAGCTCCAAAATGATCTCCTTTGACTCTGTGTCTCACATCCGGGTCACACTGATGCAAGAGGTGGGTTCTCATGATCTTGGGCAGCTCCGTCCCTATGGCTTTGCAGGGTACAACTTCCCTCCCAACTGCTTTCATGGGCTGCTGTTGAGTGTCTGTGTCTTTTCCGGGCACACAGTTCAAGCTGTTGGTGGATCTATAATTCTGGGGTCTGGAGGATGGTGGCCCTCTTCTCACAACTCCACTAGGTGATGCCCCAGTAGGGACTCATTGTGGGGGCTCTGACCCCACATTTCCCTTCTGCACTGCTCTAGCAGAGGCTCTCCACGAGAGCCACGCCCCTGCAGCAAACTTCTGCCTCAACATCCAGGTGTTTCCATACATCCTCTGAAATCTAGGCAGAGGTTCCCAAACCTCAACTCTTGACTTCTGTGCACCCAAAGGGTCAACACCACATGGAAGCTGCCAAGGCTTGAGGCTTGCACCCTCTGAAGCCACAGCCGGAGCTGTACCTTGGCCCCTTTTAGTCACAGCTGGAGTAGCTGGGACACAGAGCACCAAGACCCTAGACTGTGCACAGCGTGGGAACCCTGAGCCTGGCCCATGAAACCATTTTTTCTTCCTAGGTCTCCAGGCCTGTGATGGGAGGCCCTGGAGACATGCCCTGGAGACATTTTCCCCATTGTCTTGGGGATTAACATTTGGCTTCTCGTTACTTACGCAAATTTCTGCAGCAGGCTTGAAATTCTCCTCAGAAAATGGGTTTTTCTTTTTGCATCGTGAGGCTGCAACTTTTCCAAACTGTTATGCTCTGCTTCCCTTATAAAACTGAATGCCTTTAACAGCACCAAAGTCACCTCTTGAATGCTTTGCTGCTTAGAAATTTCTTCTGCCAGATACCCTAAATCATCTCTCTCAAGTTCAAAGTTCCACAAATCTCTAGGGCAGAGGCAAAATGCCACCAGTCTGTTTGCTAAAACATAGCAAGAGTCACCTTTGCTCCAGTTCCCAACAAGTTCCTCATCTCCACCTGAGACCACCTCAGCCTGGAATTTATTGTTCATATCACTATCAGCATTTTTGTCAAAGCCATTCAACAAGTCTCTAGGTAGTTCCAAATTTTCTCATATTTTCTTGTCTTCTTCTGAGCCCTCCAAACTGTTCCAACCTCAGCCTGTTACCCAGTTCCAAAGTCGCTGCCACATTTTGGGTATCTTTTCAGCAACACCCCACTCTACTGGTATCAATTTACTGTATTAGTTTTCATGCTGCTGACAAAGACATACTAGAGACTGGGAAGCAAAAGAGATTTAATTTCCACATGGCCTCACAATCATGACAGAAGGCAAGGAGGAGCAAGTCATGTCTTACATGGATGGCAGCAGGCAAAGAGAGAGCTTGTGCATGGAATCTCCCGTTTTTAAAATCATCAGATCTCATGAGACTCATTCACTATTACAAGAACAGCACAGGAAAGACCTGTCTCCATAATTCAATTACCTCCCACTGAGTTCCTGTTATGACACGTGGGAATTGTGGGAGTTACAATTCACGATATGATTTGGGTGGGGACACAGCCAAACCATATCACTGAAATTCCTTCCCTTCTTTGTCTTGTTTGTGAAAATTCAAAGTTTTCAGTATCTCCTATTGAAGATTAGGGGACTGTACCACTTCAAGGCAACTAACTACTCCTTCCTGTGAAACTGATATCATGCCATGATTGGAAGAAGGGCTTTGGAGTCAGACAAAACTGGGTTTAAATGATGATATGCACTAGTTTTATAAACTTGTCCAAGTTTGACTTCTGTGAATCTTGGATATCTCATGTTTTAAATTGGGTCAATATTAAATTATGAATGAAATGAAATAAAGCCCTTGACATAGCACTTAACATACAATTTGCAAGAAATAAAGATTATTTTTTAAAGCTGATCTTCTTAAGCAGTTACTACCTATGCTGTGCATTGGGTAACTAGTTGAATATCACATTTTTCTTTTCTGTTAAATTCATTAGTTCCCTAGGCAGCTATAAGCAGTCCTCCAAGCAGGAGCTATGTCTTACTACTGTTGTATGGAGGCGGCACTGACGAAAAGACTGGGAAGTGAGGCCTACTTGTTATTTTCTCCCTAGGTGCAGGCTGATTGACCATCTGGAAGCTATAATAGTAATACCTGTACCTCATGAGGTGGAGATGCCCTTTTCTTTTTTCCTCACAATACAAATACAAAGTTCTTCTGTGCTTTCTCATGTAGATATACATAAACATTAATAAGTAGTTGACATGCAAAGAATTAAGTAACTGATCTTCAGCAACTGTGTATTTCTCAGAAGTTTAGAATGCTAGCATAACAGAGCATAACATTTATACACCAAGGCTTCACATTTACCAATAATGTTTGGTGGATGTAAATGACAATACCTTTATACCTTTCACATAAATTTCCCCCTTTTGAACTCATGTGAGACTAGGTTAGGCATTATTATTTTCATATTATAGATGTGCAACTTCAAATTCCTTGAGATTAAGCGACTTGCATAAAAAATAAATGGCTAAAGAATATATCCTAAATGTTCGCCTTGTCCACTTTCCATTACACTATTGAATTACAGAGCCATTCAATAGTAGCCTTACATAGGAAAAAAGCCTTGGAGCAAAATACAGGGGACCTATGCTCTGGATATGGCTTCCACTAATTGCCCGTGTGATTGTGTCTTCCAAGTCTTGCACCTTCTATTTGGCCAGTAGCTATGTCTGTGATGGTAACACTCTTAATTTAGCTTATGTATAAACAGGGATGCAGAAACTAAATCCACCTGATTTGCTATGGAGATTGGTTGTCTAAAGTAGAAACCACATATCCATTGAGAAGAAGTCCAGTAAATTAGTTGATGCCTGGAAATAATTGCTTTTCTAGATGGGCTTATAATGGATTTATGAAGTATAAATAGAACATAAAACAAAGTTACTTAGATAAAACCTGGGAAGGCTTTGAATCTTTGCAGACATAGAACAAACGTCAGCTCAGACTAGGTTCTCTTCAAAGAGTAGAACTAATAGTTGTAGAAATTTATAATGGTGTAAATACACAATTGCTAAAATAAAAATTTACATTACTATTAATATTAACCTATTTAAGGGTATTCTTTTTTACTTAATTCCTTATACAATCATTTGTTATGCCTTAGACTATATTTTATGAAATCAGTTTAAACTATAGAAAAACAATATATTACTTGCTTTTTAAAAAGTGTTTGCATGACAATGACAATGCATAATAGATGCTTAATGAATGCTTGTGAATGAACTGAATAAATTAATGAAATGTGTTCCAATGAGAGACTAACATTTTGATTTCTTTCATCATTTGTTTGCATTGGAGTGGAAGTAGGAATATTTCAAACTTCCAGATTGATCTCTTTGTCTTTCTTCTCTCTGGCTCTCACTCTCTTAACTCTTTCTTTCTGATTTAAATTGACCCAAGCAAAAGTATGTTACTTTAATTATGCCTCTTAAATTATATTTACATTGATATGGGATCAGGGATATTGCCTGTTTGTTCACTTGCTCACCACTATGGCCTCAACCCCTAAGAGATAGCTTGGCACCTAATAGGTGCTTAACAATTATGTATTAATGAATAAATAGATCACATAGATAATTTTTAAAATTTATTTCCATTTTTTCACTGGCCTCTTGACTCTTCTACAACAAATTATATGAAATAGAGTGAAAAATGTTCTTCAATAATATAGGTCTTCAAGATTATTGAGACCAAGTTATTTTCAGAAAAAATAGGATAGCACCAAATAAAAAATGTAAAATTAAATTTTACTGAACTTGAAATTTGTAAATTGAGTTAAACAGTGTGGCTTGTTTCCAAAATGAGGTCAAACTTCTTTTAACAGTCAAATCATATGACCCCAAGTCTTCATCCTGTGGGCCACACATATATTATTCTTCTGTCCCTAGGGTCCCTGTTGCTCTATTGCTAAGTCCAATATTGACCCTTGTTCCCAAAAGCTTTGTACTTAGGCCAAATAATCAACTCTAGTTATTCTAACCCTGCAGAGAGGAAATTAGAAGTCTGATTCATTCCCTGGAGAGCTCTCCAGTGCTTCTGCTACCTCATAGTGTCATTATGGAAAATAAGCATTCCTGAAGTCAGAGGTAGACATCTTCTAACTCCATACTTATCAAGGCAGTCACCAATACTTGGTCTGATGATCTGCTATTCTTGTAGTAGTTTTTCAAGGTACGTGGGGAGAAAGGGAACATGTCATTTCACCATATTAAGCCCCATTACATTTGTTCCACACTACAGTAGGTCAGTTCTCTGCCAACATTCAGTTCTCTGGCTTCTCAGCTCTTTTTGTTTAAGCTCTACACAGTCATTTCCCCTCTGCCTGCTCAAGGTCCCACGGAGGCTGGGTCAGCCTCTGCCTTGAACTTGCTCTGCAAAATAACAACCCAGGATCAGATTTTCCCCTTCCTCATGGTGAGTTTTCTGATCTTATTTGCTAGATTTATAAAACAGTCATTTGTACAGACTGGTATAAAAATTCTAAAGGGATCTTTCAAGTTTGCTGTAATAGACAACAAAAATCAGTTACATTGGATCACAGGCTCTGTAAACAAGAATCTGTGTCTATTACCAGAAGAAGGATATGGGAAACCTTGCAGGGCAGACCAAGAGTCAGTCTGTCACACGGGGTAAATGTCAGGGTCAGTGCCCTATTCTTCCCATCAGCAAGCTAGGTGGGCTACCCAAAAATTGTTGAAATTAGGCAGATTTTTAAAATGAGTCATGCAAAGTTCATAACAAGTTCATTCAATAGCATTGGTGAAACCGCTCATGCAATCAAAGATAGCTACATGCAAAAAAGATACCATATATCTGAAAGTTATCACATTAAAGAAACAGACTAGATCAGTTACAGGTGGTTATCACTTTGTGACTTTTACTTTCTTCTCTTAACTGTATATATTTCTATGTAATTCTATGTAATTGTGTGATAATAGTTACTTTTGTATCAGCAAAATCTGGGATAGCTTCTTTTTTACATCTAGTGCTAGATAGATCAAATTGATTTTTGATACGTTGCTGCATGATACTTAAAAATCAGACAGATTTTAATTTATATTTTTATGTCTCCTTGTAAAATACATTATTTTTTTGTGTGCCATCTAAATGATCTTACTAAGCTTTGCATATTTATTTACCAAAACTTTGACCATTATATTTTTAATGAAATAAAATTTTAAATTTAACATTACCTATGCAAATTGACTTTTCCAAGTTTAACTTTCACTGTGCCAATAAATCCAAGGTGCTCTTTTTATTATTAATGACAAAATTAATAAATATTTTAAACATTTTCACCTTCATCTTAACTTCAATTTATATTTAGACAAAGATTATAACTTCAATTCAGCATTTAGGGCAACTGATAAATCTTATATTTACAAAAATGCATTTTAATTTTATTTTTTTCTGAAATACTGCTCCCTTTTTTAATATTCCATTTTAATGGAATATCAATTTAGTTTTAGGTCCAATGAAATACAGAATTAGATCACTACAAATTACGAACTGAGGAATTAAGCAATATCTTTTGTTCATTTGTGAAAAACAGCACTTGCTCATTGGTTTGCCACCAAGAAGTCCTAATTGATCTGACCATGCTGGTATCTTCTCCTCTGCTAATGACAGAGAAACTTATGTGTGAAAACTCAATCTTTCATATGTACATTAAACTAGGAACAAGTGTTTATCCTAAACAGTGATTGTACAATCTGATACTTATGTGCTGTTTAATAAATATTAGAAGGAAAGAAGAAAGGAAGGAAAAATGGGATGGGCGAAACAAAGGGACATTTTGGTCATTTCTAATACAGGATTTAAAAATACAAATCTTGTTTTGAAAGCAGTGGCCATTTTCTTAAAACTCAGCTATGAAAATGTAACCCTTATATGTAGATAGAATAAATTACATATTTCAGTAGCTAATAGTGAACATTCTGTAGCTACTATTAATTTTTCTCAATTGCAATAAATTTCTTGATCATTATTATGAAATTTCTCAAAACATTTGAGATAATTTGGGATGCAAGCTTGTAATTACTGTTTTTAAAACTGCTGTTTGTAGTCACATGTTGAAATAAGCCTGCGATCTAAGCAGATGTTGGACACAATCTCTTCATAAAGTAGTTTTCAATTATCCTAACCCCCAACTATGAACATTCATAAATTATGGAAAAGGTACTCCTTAAGCATAATATGAATATTTTTATAACCATATGTGTGAGTAGAATATTAAAAAGTAATAATAGATTTATAAGTTCTAAAATTACTATTCCTGGAGACCTAAAATTATTATATAATTCTTGTTGATAACTTACCGCTCAGGTGCAAACTTTGATCTATGAGTTTCTAGCATTTTGTACATGTTCTTTAAATTTTTTTCTTTTCTTTTGTAATTGCCTGCAGAATTGATTAGCTTAAGTCTAACATGCATCTAAGGGGACAAAATCATCATCATTTTAGCCTACTTAATGATTTTCCTCTTTGCCGACATCATATGAACTACTCTTTTCCAGAAGTGTATCTCAAAATCTTGAATCTAGTGACATCATATTTCATTATATGATATCTACTTACTTTTATCCAAAGTAGAATTGAATTAATGTTTTCTGATCATTACAGGAAAACGTCCCAGAAATTTTAGACAACTAAGAATACAGCCTTGCAATCACTACTTTGAAAACTCCCATTCATAAATAGGCATATATTTAAATACACTAAGCAAAATGATCCTGTGAAATGTGGCTTCTTGGAGCCTGAGATTAGGGCTCAGAAGACTTCATGAGTTGTCTACGGAGTTTACTGGGCAATTTGGGCATGTCATTAATAGACTCTCTAATCGTTGAAATATAAAAAAATTTGTAAAACAATAGATACCTCACATGCTTGTTGTGGAAATTGATTAAAGAAAGATTTAGTGACAGTTTCAATTTAGAAAAAGGTTAACGCATATATCACAGCAGGCCTTCAGGGATAAATATGTTTACAGTAGTTTGAAAAGTTATTAATTTCTTTCTATAAAACCTAGAGGACACTAGTTAGGCATGATCAAATTTATGTATTTTCTCTTAAACCTGGCTTCATTCCTCAGTTTAAACTAGAATCAGAAAAAAATTAAACGTCTTTAAAAATTCTATTAAAAGATTAATAATATTCTTTATATTTAACTCTATAATAACATACAAAGTCATTTTGCCAAATATAAAATATTTTTCTGCTTATTGAGCATTTCTCACAGACGTTTTCGATAACATTTCAACATTTCAAATGAAATCATATCTGAGCTCTCTGAATTCCCTATAATAGCAAAACTCCTTCTTCTCAGTGCTTTTGAGATTTATTCATGTAACTCCCATTAGAGTTAATTGGAGTTACTAACATAAATTCCACTTGCTCCAAATAGAGACTAGGTTTCTTTAATGTTGTTTTTATTTTTTAATAAGGTTAGACTTAAAATAGAATCTTGTATACAATGGTCTCTTTTGCCTCGGGAAATTAAAATGCCTTTAACAACTTTTAGGGTTAGGGAATCGAAATCTGTTGCAAAGTTTTCTTTCTTAATTCTGCTGTATTATTACATCATCATTATAAATTACAATTGGTAATGAAAGAAATAGGAAAGTAAACTATAAAAGCATTTTTCCAGCAAGCCACCACTATTTACATACTATTTGTAGATTTATTTGTGGAATTACTCTGTTAATGGTATATTATTAACACTATTTAGAAAAAATTGTGTTTGTTGTTCTTAACAATAAAGAGGAAGAAGCAGATATTATATATTGAGAGAAAAGTACCATTTCAAATGAAAAGAAAAGCCAACACCTCATTTTTCATGAATGCTGTTTATAGGCAGATTCTTTTAAATTACCTTTTAAAATATGATTGTTAATAAATATTAGTCATTTAAACTATGGATAATTTTATAAGTGCAAATATTATTATATAAAACACTTGAAACCCAGTCTTTAAAGAAAAAACTTGATAAATGCTTTAACCAAAAGAAAAAACAACGTAATATATAGATGTTTGTCAGTTAAAGACGGTTTAATTAATAGACCAATGAATTTGCTTTCAATAGTGCATAACCTCTTTTAGATTACATGAAAACATTCTTTCATGTCTAGTACATTCTTGAAAAGTCGTTTGTAACTCAAACATTTCAAAGAGGATATGCAGAGAATTAATTTCACCTTAACTTTTTTTCATTTGTCTTCCTGGAGATATTTCCACAGAAAACAACTTATTTATCACAGAATAATTCAATAAAAATATACTCACTTTACTCATCTATCACCCTGCTAATATTTTTATAAAGCCATTAAAGACCATTTACACAATGAAAGTGTAGATGAGGTCAGGAAGTTAAAAGTCGTTAAAAAATGAGACTAGGAGCAGTTCTAAAAAGAGAGATGTCTTAGCTACATGAGTAGCACCAAAAAAAAACAAAGAAACAAACAAACAATCAATATAACTTTGAATTTTGGGGCAGCCGTAACAAAAAAGAAAAGGTGAAGTATTTTATAATTCTGTTTTGCCCCAAAAGGAGGCATAAAATGTATTTAGAAATATAAAAAGTTAATATTTGTAAATAACCTGACTTGGGCCTGGAATTATATTTAGTGGTTGTCATGGCTAGGTCATATAATCTAATGTGGTTTCATGTTATATTATTATTTACTGTTAAGGAAACTGAAGCTCAGTAAGGTTAAGTAATGCCAGAAGTTTACATACAGCTAAAAGTCTTCCAAGTTAATATTCATTTCTCTGAAACAATCATTCAGGGCAACAAATATTCTTTTAATGTTTAAATCCTATAAGAAATGGCATAATGTTGGTGGGTAAGTATATTAAAGACAGAGAATCATGCCTTTATTATTTCAGAAACCATTATATTCATAATTCTAAGATAATTATATTAACTATATGATACTTTTAATAAAATTTTTCTTTTTCCATAACAAAATATTACCACTGTAATTTTGAAATTGTCACTTTTATTGTTCTGAATTTTGTTACTTTCATAGTTCTGTTTGGGCATGATTTTTTTCATTTTTCCTTTTGATGAGTTTATAACGAACAAGTATTCAAATATTTTAAAATGGAACTTTTTCTAGTTAATAGCTATATTTACAATACATTATCTTGATATAATTTAGCTGTGCTGCATGTAGAAAACTGATTTAATACAGAAATAAAGTTGAGAGCACCTACAGTAATCGATAGTTTAAATGACCTTTTAACTTTCTGTTGAATATTTTCAGATAGAAAATTAATCATCATGAATTCTATCATTAAAATTCTATTCAATAAAACATCAATGAAATAATTTGGAAATATGGCTCCCATTAGCTCACAGCTCCACACTCAACTCCTTATATAATAGGCACATTTTAATTTTGTCTTGGTTTTGTAAAGGAGATAGGATGGTGAAGTGGGAATGAAGCACCTGCCTTATTGCTGGTGCCTTCCCCATCCCAGCTAAATCAATGTTAAATAAATATTTAAATTTATGCTCTAATTTGCTGACAGCCAGGGCAAAGGAAAATTGTAATAAATTGTGTAATTCCTTTTTGTCTGAGGAAAGGAAATACACAGTTTGTCTAGAAAACGTATTGAAGAGGAGACAAAATATTAGCCTGCCTATGTCACCTACCTGTCTGATAGCCTGTTAAGCTTGATAAGAGGAAGTACGTATTTCTTGCTAGTAGAACATATCAGAGACAAACCAGGTCGAATGTTTGCATTAATCTCAGCCATGGTAATTAGTGAACACAGTGATTTTTATTAGTCTTAATTTCTTGATATTTCTACCAAGAGAATGCCCCCTGGGGCAGCACTGCACAGTGTGTTTAAACATGACCTTGGAACCTAACACTCTTGGTTTTTAGACCTGAGTTTATCATATGCTAGCTGAATAACCTTGGGAATTTATTTTATCTCTCTGAGGCTTTGTTTCCTTATGTGTAAAATAGTTACAACAATACTACATACTCATGGATTTTTTGTGAATGTTAAGTCAAACTACATAATAATTTAGTACAGTGCCTAGCACATAAGGTTGCAATAAAATGGGGACAAAAATTTTATAAATGTTTGCTTATAAGAAAAATCTGAAAATCTACATTTTAATAGTATTCTAAGAAAATGAAAATACTACAGTTGTTAAAAGATATATTCCAAAAATTACAATCTGCTATTTTTTACAGATATTTTAAATTATTTAATCTCACCAATCTCACCAAAACTATCTTAACTTTTTCTTTTAATCCAGAAATCCTTGCTCTTCGGTAATGACTTTACACTTATGTCTACAACTATCTGAATACATAAGTCTATCTTAAATGAAATTTAGCTATGCTATCAAGTTATATATTACACTGCCAAAAGAGCATTAAATATGAATCTGTTTCTCTGTGAATTGTGAACATATATTTAATCCAGAATTAAAATTCTTGATGTACTTGCAAATAGCTAAAATATTTTACAAGAACATTACTATAATTTTTATATTATGAAATATATAAAACAGTAAGTTTTCTATGAAAATAGACTCCAATGCAAAGTAAAGAATAAAACAATGGACAAAAATTGACTTAAAATTCCTGAATCTCAGAAAATGACTAGAATTTGTTATTTTGGATCAGCTTTTGTCTGATCTGTTAAAATTGTAGCAACTACCCATAAGAAAATGCATTATAGATCACATAATGGTATATTTGCAGAAAACCAGTATATAAGTCTATAGACAAAATTGATGAAATGAAATCCAAATTCTTTACTATTTTTTTTTTGCTGGAACATTATTATATGGAATTTTTCTAATGGGACCATATCCAAGTTTTAGCATTAACAGATGGGATCCTGTTGGGGTTCCACATTTTTAGTTATTTAGGACTTTAGTAAACAGTGATTTTATCCAGTATGTGATTGGAACAGATGTGATCTTATCAGGGTTCCACTTTTTTTCAAGGGCATAAAATTGCCATGATTTGCTGTACAGTGCTGGAGTTTACTTTTTGTGGTTTTAGAACCAGAGTTCTTTTTAGCCAGAATTTGCCCTTGGGTTCTAAAACATCATAATAGGGAGTTAATGTTTTATTCTCTATTAATCCCATTAAATCCTTTTAATATTAGAGCATGTGTTGCTTTATAGCATTAACTAGTGTCTTGCACTCAACAGTATTTTCACAGTTTATGACACTGCTTAGGGCATTAACAAACAGCTGTTTGAATTAAATGAGCAGTTAAGGACCCTGTTCATTAACTCAAAAGTTTCATGTATTTTTAATTCCTTAAATCTAATGGTATCATCACCCTCCAAGAAATCTATCTTTGATTATAATTTGCTCTGACCACTATTGGTTATGGGGGAAAGTATTATTGTTTTTGAATATGAGTTATACCAGGGGTGGGTATCTTTAATGAATCTTAACTATCTCATAACGGTTTCATTCTTATGGGATATAAAACTTTAAAAGTTGTTTACGGCAGTTGTGTTAAGATTTTCTCCAATTTTGGTTACTGATGACTTCATTTAGCTAATGTAAAGAGGCAGTTGGAACAGAATTATTTGCATTTGAAATGGTGCAATCAGAGGTTTGAGACTGACTCATTTACAAAAAAAGAAAATTGTATTTGGACAGTGACAGATTATGTGATGCAGTTCCTGGTGCGGGGTAAAATGTTAGTCACTGATTTCTCTCCGTGTAGAGAGATTGTGCCTTCCAGAGCTTCCTTAGGGACTTTATTACCTTCAATTCAATCACAGTCATGGACATCTCGACTCAGTAATTTGAAGGGAAGTAATTAAATAAAAAGGCAATTTTAAATTAATGTGCCAAGGATTCTAAATAAGCTGCATGAGGGCCAGATTCTTGGTTGATTCATCCTCTACTCTAGTGTTCTAGTCAGACCTCACGAAATTCAGGGCCTTTATTGCACTTAGTAGGTACTAAGTCTTTTGGAGAGAATAATTGGATGCTTTAATTAAGACATTTTTTACCTGTTGGATAAAACTCTTCCAGGTTTCCCACAAATTGTCCCAAAATTTGATCTTCAGTTCTTTTAATTTTCTCTAAAGGGTCTGTAACTCTTAGAGGAATTTAGTTCACAGTTGTTTAATAATTAATTTAAAAGCATTATAAAATTATCAAGTGGGACATATGACTTTACCATTTTAACAATCATATTTACTTTTACTCAGTGCAGATGCCAAGGATTGACAATGTCAGTGTAGAGATGTTGTTTGTGTAGTAACTGAAAGGAATGGGATAAACTAATAAGAATGGTTCTCTAACAAGAAGTAGAAAACTACCTCTTCCTGCTCATTGCCAGAAATTGAATCCACATTTCTCCTGCCTTAAGTTAGAAACAGACTTAATGAGAGCTGGATTCCAAGCCTGGAAGTTTTCTCTAAATCAGTCTGAATTGGCTTGAAATTCATAACTGCCCCAGTTTCACCCATATCAGATGGCAGACGGTACCTTTTCCTCCTCTGCTTTGCCTCAGAATATCTCTGTGGGCTTCACTTCCTCCCTTCCAAATCCTTCATCCAGAGATAGTGGGTGACTGGAGGGTAGTTCAGATAAACTTTGAAGCAGATAGGGTTGTTTGAGGATTCCTCTCCAAACTTGACTACTAAATTTGTAAACAGTATCAGAGATTTCCTTTATTCTCCCTACTGTTAAAAATACCAACTGATCAGGGCTGGGCGTGGTGGCTCACACCTGTAATCCCAGCACTTTGAGAGGCCGAGGAAGGTGGATTACGAGATCAGGAGTTCAAGACCAGCCTGGCCAAGATGGTGAAACCCCGTCTCTACTAAAATTACAAAAATTAGCCAGGCGCGGTGGCAGGTACCTGTGATCCCAGCTACTCAGGAGGCTGAGGCAGGAGAATTGCTTGAACCAGGGCGGCAGAGGTTGCAGTGAGCCAAGATTGCACTGCTGCACTCCAGCCTGGGTGGCAGAGTGAGACTCCATCTCAAAAAAACAAACAAACAAAAAAACTGATCAGTTAAAATATGAAGCTATTTATGGGTATTTGGTCTTTAAGAATAAAATCTTGTAAAATCTAGAAATGTAGTCTGAACTCTAAGAGATTCCATTCTTTTCATTATACCAGAATCCTTAGATATGCTTAGATATGCTGCCATTTGTAGTGTTACTATGAAAGTGATCTCCACTAATATTTTAGGAGTCCACAGAGAATCCATACATTCAAATGAATAAATATCAGAAAGTTTATATTTTTAAATAACTGAAAAGGGAGATTTCAACATATAAAAGCAAATAAATCTAAAAAATAAAAACTTTAGTATACATAGATATCTATACACACATATACACATATTAAATATAAATATTTGAACAACACAGGTTTGAATTGCAAAGATCCATGTGTGTGTGTGTGTGTGTGTGTGTATATATATATATATATATTTTTTTTTTTTAACCAAATGCAGATAAAAAATACAGTAGTTGCAGCCAGGCACAGTGGCTCATGCCTATAATTCTAGCACTTTGGGAGACTGAGGTGGGGATCATCTGAGGTCAGGAGTTGGAGGCTAAGCTGGCCAAATGCAGAAAACCTGTCTCTACTAAAAATACAAAAAATTAGTCAGTGTGGTGAGCATGCCTATAATCCCAGCTACTCGGGAGGCTGAGGCAGGAGAATCACTTAAACCCAGGAGGCAGAGGTTGCAGTGAGCTGAGATGGCGCCACTGCACTGCAGCCTGGGCAACAGCGAGACTCTGTCTCAAAAACAAAAAATAAACAGTAAAAATAAAATTCAGTACTTGCAAGACATGAAAACCACGCATACAGGAGGACCAACTTTTCATATACATGAGTTCCACAGGGCTGACTGCAAGACTTGAGTACAAGTGGATTTCAGTATATGCAGGGGGTCCTGGAACCAATCCCCTGAGGATACCAAGATACCAAGATACTAGAATTTCTTTAGTATAGTTTAGTATATATATACATATATTTCATATATTACATGTATTATATATATATTTATATTTAATATGTGTATATATGTAATGTGTAGCATTAACACATACATACATATACTAATTAAATATATTTAATATATACACATATACACAAAATATTATATACATACTAAACACACCAAATAATACTACATACTGTATATAATACTACAATTATATACATATTCTACATACTATATATATACGTATATATAAATATTCTGATTTCCTGTCATCACTATTTGAAATCCATCCATGTCTACGGACACCATCCAAACCAAGTTACCATAATCACTTGCTTGAACTAGCCTCCTAATTGGTCACTGCATTCACACTTGTCTCCTGTCCACCTGGAGCTATTCCTTGCAAAGCAGTAAGCCCTAAGCCTTAAGCCAAAAACACAAACACACAAAACTAAAAATCTCCTGCCTGGACCTTCAGTGCTGAACATACTTCAGGGGCTTCCCTGGACTCCCAAGAGCCTGGAATCTAAACTTCTTAATGTGGCCTGTATAAGCAGGCATTGTGCACCTCTCCATCCAGATCTCAGGCCACTACCCATCCAGTTCTCGTCCTCTGGGACATTAAGCTTCTTTCTGCATTTCAGCTGAGTCAAGCTCTCACCTGAGCACTTCAGCAGAAGGCCCTCTCTTTCCTGGAAGCAGGTGTCACATGCTCTGAAAAGCTGTCCCAGCCTCTAGGCCCAAAGCAGGTGTTCCTTTTCAGGTTCCTGTTGCTCTCTTTACTATATGATTATTTGAGTAATTTATTTTTATTTTTCCTCTACTAGAGGTAAGATCTATTTTCTTAACCTCTGGATAACTGGTACGTCACAGCCAGAGGAGACACTCAATAAATATTTTCAAATAAATGAATAAACTCTGCATTTTCTTTAAGAACATAAAAAAGACATTTTTAAGAAAAGATTTTGCACCACTTAATTTTTTGATAAATGATCAAGCATATGTGAAGTCATTTAGGTGTTTTTTAAGATTATCATCAACATTTCCTTATTATTTTTAACTACTCTTTAAAACCAGTTAAGTGATGATTATACTCTTCTTCTGGAAATCTAATATTTATCAAATAAATAACTAGAGATTACACTTTTTTCTGGAAATCTAGTTCTTATTAAAAATTTTGCCTGGTAGCTATCAAATGTTGTGCTATCATTTTATATACCCCTTGAATGTATTAGCTTCTGGTTTTGTTCTAGTCTGAAGTGCATTATATTATGCAAAATCCAGAACAAAATTAGAGGAGTGCAGTGTGTCTGAAGATTACAAAGGTAGGATGAGATATTGAAGCCTGCCAGCCTGAGAGTGTAAACTGGGAAATAGATACCCACTATTGTGCTAGGCATTGCCAAAAACAGGAAAAAAAAAATCTCCTGGCAACAGGTGCTAAACACTAGCATCAAGCAAATGTGTGCAGGTGGAGGTAAGAGGGCACAGCTGACACTGAGGCATAAACTAAGGGGACCACAGGGACCATGTCTCAGAAATCTACTTTCAGCGTTAGCAGATACTAAAACCAATGCACATGCTTACAGGTATCCTTATTTCATTGTTTTACTTGTTTGCACAAGCCTTTGTATACACAAACAGTTTATAAACGCTACTGCTATTTTGATAATAAATAGCATACTCTGACACAGCCTTTGTGGAGAAAAGCAAATAACAGGTCAATTAAGTAACCTCCCATTTAAGGAAAATGTTCTTTTGCACGTATTATGAATTATTACTTCAATAATATCCTTCAGTATTATCCTTCAGTAAATCACCACTGTCAAAAGTTTTGAAAGAGAAAGAAGATACAAACAATTTATATATCTGAAAGTAGAGATTAAAAAGGGAAAAAGCTAGAAAGTAATTAAACTAAAGTTAGTTATCATTACTCACAAATGTTCTGGGAAAACTAGTATTAGTAACTAGAAAATAAATAATTTAGGAGCTTTTGGGGAAAGACTGTATGGTATCAGCTATTTATTGGCACTGAAATAACAAGTAAAGAACTCATCTTTCATTTTCTTACACATAAAACCTGTGGAAAGATTCCCATGGCCCCGGAATCAGGACTCACAGGTCCTGGGCTGAAGGGTTCACCAGCAGCCATGAGACCAACATTTGTTATCGATGAGACAAGTGCTGAACTGTTGTTCCAAGGCTGTTGCTGTAAAACCATAGTGCATTGTAGTTTGTTGGAGGTTAGTAGCACTTGTTAATTTGATCAAGGCTGAAGTTTACGGAGGATAAAGTAAACAATGCAAACTGCAGACACCATCAGTTTCCTATGGGCAGTGAAGTGTAGTCTGTTCCATTTACACTTCACAACAACATCTGATGGGCTTTGTCAGTACTGCACAGAGTAATTAAACCTGAAATCAATAGCAGGCATTTGTCATGTTTACAGCCGCTCTTTCTGCTGGGTTAAACTCATCAGTTTAGTGCCGTTCTGTTTTACTGCAGAGACACGCTCCATTATTTCTTCAGGTACAGTTGAGATATTCAGTTACATGCCCAATAGTTTGAATACGACATTAAGATTAAAAGGGACAGGCAAATGGACAGTTTTTGTAATATATTTGCTGATTTTCTTAACTGGTGTTGGATTTCCATTTCCTTCAATCTTTTTATGAAACCCTTTGTGGTCTGAGATAATATATTCCCTTAGCTCCCAAATTGGCAACAAGGCTCATCTCAAATTTGATAGAATTTGACATCGACTATAACTATACACAACGATTGCTGACATGTTTTTATTTGAAAAGAGTGAAGAATAAGATTCAAAACTGTTGCCTTATTTGAAGAAAATTGGTCTTTTCCATGTTCAATTAAGGATTTGTGATAAAATGTTCTTTTATGTCATTTTTTACAAAAAATCCTCACCTTTCATTTGTTTTGCTTCTTTTTAATTTCTTTTCTGTTATTTTTCAATCATTTAAATGATGTGGTTAGAGCATGGTGGTTTTTGTAGTAAGAGAGTCTGTAGTTCAATGCTAAACTTGAATTTGACATACATATTTGAATTTGTATATTTGAAGGAAGCTGAAAAGCATGCCCTGGTCCGAGTGTTACAGTCACTTAGTAAAGGCCCTCATTACTCTCATTTTATGCAAATCATCTTAAGCATCTTACCTTTCTGTAAAGTATTACTTGTCTTGGTACACCAAGGCAAACAGGATTGTTGTAAGAATGAATTTTACTGCCAATTAGTTGGTTATATATAAAACCATAGTACTTTTATATTATTTTTGCATTCATGTGGTATTTTAATATTTTAATACACAACTCTCCTCAAAAGTGAGCTTTCTACTACATGTGATGATAAAGATGAAACTTAGGTACTATATTCAAGATAGTGCTTAAACTCAAAATGGTACCCTGTATGCTGACAGCGAAATATCTGGAGACTGTGATACTTATTCAGGGTCACCAAGCATCTGACTTCGTTGAACTCTATCATGTGTTCTTAGTGCTTCTTGTTCCAGTTAACATAAAATGGGAGCTATTTCTGTAGCCGGTACCTATGAGAAATTTGATTAAGACTATGGATAGAGTGTTTGAAGGACTGTTTCATAGAACACTGAGGCTTGCCCAGAAGAAGTTGATAAGTCACGTAAAAGCAATATTAAAATAGCTAATTAGGCTTGTGAAAAAGCCAAGCAAATTCCAGTCATTAGCTGCAGTTACTTAGAGTGGGTCCTCTCAAATTCTCTGGGTCAATAACAGACTTTAAAAATGAATTAAGTCTGGAGATAGAATTCCATGCTAGTTGCATTGTTGCTCATTTATCATCTGTCCATGGCTGTTTGTTTTTAATTCCTTAGAAGACTATGATCTCACATAATTAGGGAATGGAGGGTCATCTTTTTTTAGCTTCTCTAAGTGGTGGGAGTATGAGTGACTTTTCCTGTTATATTCTTGCCTTTATATAGATTATCTAATTTTAATAACACAGCATTATGCCTGCTATGAAGGCTACATAAATATAAAATGTAGTAAAAATCATGAAAATTCTGCACCAATAATTTCAGGATTTTTATACCTTCTGTCTCTCTATAAGTGCAGGTATCAATATTTCTGATCTGATATGCCAAGCCCCAGAGCATCAGTTAATCAATATGAAGCATTTCAGAGAACCCTAAGTCCATGCTACAAACCTCCTCTAAATTCAAGTCAACTTCCATTTCAGTCATCCCCAGCAAGGAGATTACCACAAATAATGCAAGCATTCTTAGCCATTTAGCAAATTTAGCTTTTTGCAAAATGTATATAGTATTCTAAAGTCTACAGGACACTTTTGTATTTCATAGTTCACTTAATAACAGGGATTCCTTCTCAGAAATCTTTCATTAGGCGATTTGTTCATTGTGTCAACATAGTAGAGTAAGTATACTGATACAAACCTAGATGGTATAGCCTAGTACACACCTAGTGTATGGTATAGCCTATTGCTTCTGGGCTACAAACCTGTACAGCATGTTACTGTAATGAATACTGTAGGCAATCAAGTTTTTGTCTTTCTAAATATACCTAAAAATAGTAAAGTTGCAGTAAAAATATGACATTATAGTCTCAAGAGACTACTGACCTACCCACAGTGTGTCATTGACCTAAACATCATTACATGGCATGTGACTGTATTTTTCTCATCTGATGCTCACAACTCTGCAGTGAAGGTTCCTGAAATGCAGAAGAAATAAATGAAGTTCAGAGAGGTTAAGTGATTTTCTCAAGATTACGAGATTACGATGCTTTTAGTGGCAATATCTAGCCTCAGACTTGGGTCTTCCAGTTCTGATACTGATGATTGCTATAGTATCTTGCTACATTCCAAAAAAACAAAAGCCTATAGTGGTCAGAATTCCAAGATAGCCCCTCTATGAGGGTTCAGCCCAAGAAGCAGAATTAGTAGAATATCGATCCATGTCTATGTCTATATCTGTGTCTATGTTGATTTCTGTAGCTATCACCTATCCACCTATGTATTAATATATGTTTGTTCTTTTGTTTATTACAAATCTTACAGTATTATGGGGACTAGCTAAGTAAGTCTGAAATTTGTAAGGCAGGCAATCAGGAAGGGAAGATTTTGGGCAGCCTGGAACTCAGGGCACAAGCTGAAGCTATTGGGCACAGGTGGAATTTCTTCTCTGTCTATGTCTGTATCTGTCTCTTTGCCCTTTGACGCTACCCATTTCTGTTAAGCCTCAGCCCTGTTTCCAAGTCCTTCCAAATGGTTAAATCAGACTCATCCAGTTTATCTATGATAATTTCTTTTACTTAAAGTGAATTTATTAATGGATTTAATCAAATCTGCAAAATCCCCTCATAGCAACACCTAGAGTAAGTGTTTGATTAACTGAGGAATGAAGACTAGCAAAGTTGACACATCAAAAAATCAGTCACAGTCCACCTCGTGTCAACTTATCACTCATATATGGCTTTTAAAATTATACCTAATTTCCAAATAAAAACAGTCATATATTACCTAACATGATACTGCTATTCTACATACAACCAAAAACATGTTATGCCTTTCCCCAGAAAAGTATAAAAATCCTTGAATAGTATTCATTCTTCTTGTTTAATATCCTGTAACTTAAATAAATACTGAGATAATAAAGTTATATATCATGTTAAATAATTAGAGTAAGATAAGGAAGAAAACAAAAATATTTGGTTATTGTATGTATAAACATATTCATGTCAAAATAAGAAAGAAATCCATGTAACTATTGTAGTCTTCATTTCTGTAGCTGATCACATGATTGGAAATGTTATTTATAGCTATCCTTTTCACCATCCATTTCATATTTCTTTTACCCTCAGCAAGCATCTCAGCTGGTCATGGTTCTTTTCCAGGTGGGTTGACCCAAACCTTTATTTCAGTGGACATAACAATGATTACATTGTTAATGTACAATCCATTAACAGTCTTTCCTTAATTGAGTTGCATTCTTATGGTTTTTCTTTGACTTTAATCATAGAAGATGGGAGTAATAAGAGATGCCTACAGGATTGCCTGTATTTTAGAACTACCTCTCATTACCCACCTTGTATAATTGCAAGCCAATTTCCCCTTGGCTGTCAAAATAAATCAGCCCAGTCAATATAATATAATGACCCTCATTTTTGCTTGTTGATTGGGAGAGATGAGGAGCCCAAATGGCCTGGAGTAAGTCTCAATTTCTAATTCAGTGGAACTGTTATGTCCACTGGTAGAAGTTTCTTTTTTTTTTCTTTCTTTATTATTATACTTTAAGTTGTAGGGTACATGTGCATAACGTGCAGGTTTGTTACATATGTATACATGTGCCATGTTGGTGGGCTGCACCCATTAACTCATCATTTACATTAGGTATATCTCCTAATGCTATCCCTCCCCACTCCCCCCACCCCACGACAGGCCCCGGTGTGTGATGTTCCCCTTCCTGTGTCCATGTGTTCTCATTGTTCAGTTCCCACCTATAAGTGAGAACAAGCGGTGTTTGATTTTTTGTCCTTGTGATAGTTTGCTGAGAATGATGGTTTCCAGCTTCATCCACGTCCCTACAAAGGACATGAATTCATCCTTTTTTATGGCTGCATAGTATTCCATGGTGTATATGTGCCACATTTTCTTAATCCAGTCTATCATTGATGGACATGTGGATTGGTTCCAAGACTTCGCTATTGTGAATAGTGCCGCAATAAACATACGTGTGCATGTGTCTTTATAGCAGCATGATTGATAATCCTTTGGGTATATACCCAGTAATGGGATGGCTGGGTCAAATGGTATTTCTAGTTCTAGATGCTTGAGGAATCGCCACACTGTCTTCCACAATGGTTGAACTAGTTTGCAGTCCCACCAACAGTGTAAAAGTGTTCCTATTTCTCCACATCCTCTCCAGCACCTGTTGTTTCCTGACTTTTTAATGATCGCCATTGTAACTGACGTGAGATGGTATCTCACTGTGGTTTTGATTTGCATTTCTCTGATGGCCAGTGATGATGAGCATTTTTTCATGTGTCTGTTGGCTGCATAAATGTCTTCTTTTGAGAAATGTCTGTTCATATCCTTCGCCCACTTTTTGATGGGGTTGTTTTTTTCTTGTAAATTTGTTTAAGTTCTTTGTAGATTCTGGATATTAGCCCTTTGTCAGATAAGTAAATTGCAAAAATTTTCTCCCATTCTGTGGGTTGCCTGTTCACTCTGATGGTAGTTTCTTTTGCTGTGCAGAAGCTCTTTAGTTTAATTAGATCCCATTTGTCAATTTTGGCTTTTGTTGCCATTGCTTTTGGTGTTTTAGACATGAAGTCCTTGCACATACCTATGTCCTGAATGATGTTGCCTAGGTTTTCTTCTAGGGTTTTTATGGTTTTAGGTCTAACATTTAAGTCTTTAATTCATCTTTAATTAATTTTTGTATAAGGTGTAAGGAAGGGATCCAGTTTCAGCTTTCTACATATGGCTAGCCAGTTTTCCCAGCATCATTTATTAAATAGGGCATCCTTTCCCCATTTCTTGTTTTTGTCAGGTTTGTCAAAGATCAGATGGTTGTAGATGTGTGGTATTTCTGAGGGCTCTGCTCTGTTCCATTGGTCTATATCTCTGTTTTGGTACCAGTACCATGCTGTTTTGGTTACTGTAGCCTTGTAGTATAGTTTGAAGTCAGGTAGCATGATGCCTTCAGCTTTTCTTTTGGCTTAGGATTGACTTGGTGATGCGGGCTCTTTTTTGGTTCCATATGAACTTTAAAGCAGTTCTTTCCAATTCTGTGAAGAAAGTCCTTGGTAGCTTGATGGGGATGGCATTGAATCTATAAATTATCTTGGGCAGTATGGCCATTTTCACAATATTGATTCTTCCTATCCATGAGCATGGCATGTTCTTCCATTTGTTTGTGTCCTTTTTTATTTCATTGAGCAGTGGTTTGTAGTTCTTGAAGAGGTCCTTCTTTCTTTGGTTCTTGGGCCTCTGGATCAGCAGAGTTATATCATGAGAATGGGAAGCAAAACTTTTGGTAGTGGATCAGTAGGGATAATAGTGAGTGGAGCCACTTCCATTTATGCCCCTTGATTTATGCACCAGTAAATGGTGATTGTGAGAGAAATAGCACCATGCATTGGAGGCTGATTTAGAGTAGATATCACATCCTAGAGGACATTGCCCCAGCTCTGTCCCCTGTCTAGAGGACAATGCCCCAACTAGGAGGCATTGCCACCTAGTTGTTATCATAACTGAGTGCTCAAAAGGCCATTCCACCATTATATCAAGTGCCTGCTTCAGGATGATGGGGAACATGATAAAACCAGTGACTTCCATGAGCATTGGCCTATCAATACATTTCATTTACTATGGAGTGAATTCACTAGTCAGAAAAAAATGCTGTGCCAAATGATAAGGCATTCTGTATGTCTGTGGTTGTCAGACAGGGGTTACTCTGCTGGCTGCAGTGATTGATCCTGACTACCCTGGGGAAATTGGGCTGCTACTACACAATGAGAATAATAAGGAGGCCCTCCAGGGCCTCTCTTTGTACCCCCATGTCTTGTGATAAATGTCAATGGAAAACTACAATACCCCAATTGATCAGGATTGAATAGACATCACTCTTCAAGAATGAGGGTTTGGGTCACCCTACCAAACAACTACAACTAGATGAAGTGTTTTATAGCAGGGAAGGCAAGTCCATATCTAGATTAAGTGTCTCTTTCTTTTTTTTTTTTAATTATACTTTAAGTTTTAGGGTATATGTGCACAACGTGCAGGTTTGTTACATATGTATACATGTGCCATGTTGGTGTGCTGCACCCATTAACTCATCATTTACATTAGGTATATCTCCTAATGCTATCCCTCTCCCCGCTCCCCCCACCCCACGACAGGCCCCGGTGTGTGATGTTCCCCTTCCTGTGTCCAATAAACGAAGCAGTTTAGTGTAATCAACCTGCAACCAGGTAGCTGACTGGTCACCTCAGGGAATGTTGCCATATCAGGGACTCAAGTTGGTCTACGTTGCTGGCAGATTAAGGACTCTGCAGTGGCTGTATCCAGGTCAGCTTTGGTGAGTGGAAGTCAATGTTGCTGAGCCCATGCATAACCTCCATCCCATTAATTGCCATAAACACCATGGCCATTTTGTTCAGAAGCTCATTGGACAATGCCAGGCGTGGTTGAGAAAAGAGGCTAATTCATAATTGACTGAATGGACCATCTTACCCACTTGATTTCTAAAATCTTCTTCTGCAGAGGTGACCTTTTGGTAAATTTTAATATGAGACACAAATATCTTCATTTTTTGCCCATTAAGAATGGGCAATACATATTTGTCTTCCCCAGACCTCCTTTTCATCAATTTTCTAACCATGCCCCTTAGTAGTCCATGGTCATCCAGCCAAACTATTAACCACAGACCATCAATTGATATAGATTCATGCCCCTGGCTTTTTCTCCATCCAGACCAAATAAACAACTAGGTACACTGCTCATAGGAAATGCTGCCCACTGGGGGAATCCTCCTTCACCATTGTTCTTCATGGCTGTCCCAGAAAGTGATTGTAGTGCTATAGCTGTCTGCTTTCAGGTGATGTCTGCATATAATATAGGACCCTGTATCAACCAGGCCTGAGATTTTCCTGGTAAATTTTCTTTAAAAGAGAGTAGGCTTTTCCTGGTAAAAGAGATTCAGTGTGAGAGGGGCTTTGACAGGGGGTTCTTCCCTGCTGGCTTGAAGCTGGAGTGGGCCACCTGAGTGCATTTCTAGTTGCTGAGAGCAATGCCTGGCTGACAGCCAACAGGAAAACAGGAACCTCAGTCATACAGCTATAAGGAAATAAACCCTGCCAGCAATCTGACGGACTTGAAAAGTGAGCAACGGCTCTGGGTGTTTTCTGAGTGAGAACTCACTCCAGCTGCCACCTTGTGTGTCAAACACTAAGCCGGGAACCCAGCTGGGCCATGCCAGAATTTCTGACCTACAGAACTGTGAGATGATCCCTGGATGTTGTTTTAAGCTGCTTACTTTGTAGTGATTTGTTATGCAGCAATGCAAGACTAATACAAAGCCACTCCCTTGTCTATCCACAGTTTCATTTCTACAAGATTAATTTAGAACATCTTTGCCTTAGACTTTTCAACTACTCTTTGGAACCTTGGTTTTCCTTCCAAAGCATATGTTCTTAAAAGCATTAAGTGGGAGTAGATTTGGCCACCACAGTTATGACCCAAATCTCCCAAATTTCCCTGGTGGTAGCTTGAGGTTTAGAAAGGTAAAGCCCCCTCTGTAGTAGCTCAGCTTTGCAGACTCTCCTGGGTTGGTAAATCTGTGCAGCAGATTCTAGGTTAATAATTCACAGGTCCTGATAATTACCTTGACGGCTAAGCTCAGTGTGGCAATTCCTTGAAGAGTAACTATCAGAAAAAATTAGGAATATTTTGTGGTAATATTTTTTATTTTAAAAGTTTCAAGTTGAAAAACTGTCAAATTTCATTTGACATCAATTTAGTCAAAATAAACTTAGTAAGAATTAAAATAATCTAATTTGCAATAAAAGAGTCATCATGTATACTGTAACTACTTGAAATGCACTTATCCTAAATAATAGATTTTAGCAGATTCCTTTCAGAGAAAAATGGACCTGGACTGAGGCAGAACGATTAACTCCTTGAAAGGACTCAGAATGTGCAGGAGCACATCTGGGGTCTATAGTGAACTACTATGGTCACTATAGATGGTCTATAGTGACTATCAGCAATGGAATGCTAACGTAGCAGGGCGGCGGCGGGGGAGGTGAAGTATGCAAATGTATGATTTAGACATACAGGTAAAGTAGACAAATTTTTAAGGCTGTATGAAGAAAAATACAATCTTTGTTCGGTGATTACTAAAACTGTAGTCAGTATTTGACTGTAGACGCTATGGCTGAAAAAAAATTAAGATCTATCTTGGAAGTTTTTCACAGAACATTATAGTGATCCTAGTTTGAGAAACAGGAGTTTTAAGACTTGGTATCACTATTATTTCTAATAGTGAAAAAAGGATGGTGAGAATTGACTTTTTCATAAAATTCTCTTACAATAAGGCTTCTAAACAATTTCTGGATATAGTACATTTTGATAAACCAAGTTAAATAAAATAGAGCTATGTTGAAACATGATACCATTATACTAAAGATTTTACAGGCTGAGTGCAATACCCATGTATGAAAGGTTGGGCCTAAGTCAGTAACGAACATCAGGGACATGAGTAAATGGCGAAGATAATACCCTAAAACACTTCAGTTAAATTTAAACATTTTTGGTGAAGAAAAGAACCAAGCAAGGAAGAATAGCATTAATAAGAAGCTCAGGATGGACAACTGTTTTAGAGAGGGAAATGCTGGTATATCAGTTTCCTCTCTCTGGTGCAACATGAGATCGTGTAATCAAGAGAAGAATTTACCTCTATTCAATCTACCTGGCTCAACCCCAGAACCATGCAATCCAACCTCATCTATTTTTTGACCTGTAAATCTCTATTATTCAAATGACAACTAGGCAGCCACATTCTTTTTCCCTTGCTATTTTGGCTCATTACATAAAAACTTTGGCCTTTGGAAATATGGAACAGATTAATTTTCTCTCATCCCTCCACTTCTCACTTCTCCTAGGTGGTCTGTCCTATTAGAAGAATGAACAGTGTATTTGACTCTGCCTTTGCTGAGTTTCCTTTAAATAAAATATTTGAATATAGCTTAAAAAATTTAAACATTTTTTAAAAAGTAACTATAGCCCTGTTTCATTTAATCTACATATTGCCAAAGTTTGTGATTTAAGAATTTAACACAAGATAATTGAATGTGAAAAAGAGCTATTTGCCTCATATTCTGCTTTTGGATTTTCTGTGGGCTCCTTTAACTTAGGGACAGATTAATAAGTATGGACTATTAGCCATTAATTAGTAATAGAGTAATAACTGTTAAGTAGTTATTAACCATTATGAACCAATTCTGAATTCACAAAGTCCAATCCCCATTGCAGTGTTCCCCTTCTCAATTACTGGGTTCTCTTCCTTACAGACCCCAAGTTCCCCACCCCCCATTCTCTCGGACTTCTGTATGGTGATTTGGGCTACCAGGGTCTCTCCTGCACAGCATTCTCAAGGCTGATGCAGAATGTGCTGCAGACATTCTCTGACATCTGGCCTCTTCCTCCATATTCTTTCTCCTCACCCAACCTAGTAAAAGAAAAGGGATCCTCCAGTCCTTTCCTCATGCAGGTTTACATCTGTTTGTCCTGAAAGTAAACCAACCTCTTCATTTGGGTAGCAAAGATGAGGGTGGAAGGGGAGCTGCCTCAGAACATTATTTGCTACACTCATTTCTCTTTTTTGTCAATCTCCTATGATAGTCCAAAGTCCATGGGCATTCTATTCTTACTGTTTTTTCTTTTTTCCTGTGTAAACTACCAAATAGCATCTATAATAATGCTGGCTATTTCATGGCAAAGGGACTAACACCAAAATTTGAACTCTATAATTACTCATGTTCTACCTGACATCTGTAATGACCTTTGGTCACTAGCCTGGGAAGAATCTAAACCACCACTAAGGTGAAGCATTCTTTTAACAAGCCCCTGGATTTTAGGTTATATATATAAACCCTGTAATTTCTATAACATAGCCAAAGTAGTGTCCCTTGCATGCAGTCCAATAGCCTCTCATATAGTAGTCTGTGGCAGATGTTTCTGAGGGAGTAAAACATATAATGTACCTAATTTTGCAAAACTACACAATAGGTAGACATTTCTTTTTCACCCCAGCTGGTGATCGGTTTATGCCCTGAAGCTTGGAGATTTATAACCCTTGTAATTTTATCCTAAACAGAGTAATTGCAGGTGCTCTTCCATTGCTATTTTAATTAGTGATGAAGACTTTGCCAAGATGTTGAATCTCAAGATAATGAATTTCATCTAGTAGGTAGCTGTGACCATTTTAAGATATCAAGTGTCCTCAGAAATTATTTTATTGATTCCAAAGTTTTTATTTAAGATTTTAACCCCAGCTTATCCTAAAATTATTTAAGGAATGTTATGACACAAGTCATCAAATCTCTTTCCAACTAAAATAAATAAAGTCCAACAAAAGAAATACACATGTTTTTATTTCAAAGGTAAATGTTTCTCAACATATCAAGGATTATTGATTTTTAGCAGAAAATTTTCAGTCAATAATTTAATGTGCACAAAAGTGTAAAATAAATATTTTTAAGTTTTACTATTCAAGAAAACTAAACTATGATTCATTGTGTTTTTTTCTCTCAGCAGACTTTTAATCTTAATTGAGCATGTGTTTTCTTTTGTCATTGGATAGTCCATGGGGAATTAAAAAGAAATTCTTAGAGTTTGGCTTCTAAAGAATTTTCTTATAAGGAGAAGTCTCAATCAAAGACCATGACCTTATTTATGTAAAAACAAATTTACAAAAATATCTTTGGTTTTTATGAGTAGGAATCCTAGGGATTAGCCAAGTTAGGCTAACAGTTTAGAGTCATTTTATTTATAGGTGTGCATTTTAATCAGCATGAATCTCTTTTGATTTTCCTGTTTTCCCTCTGTGGAAAATGCAGGAATTCCCCCATCATCTTCTGTTTGTCTTGGACATAAATACGTGTGGTAGGGTATAGAATAATCACGAAAACAAATGGAGTGATAATAATAGGGAAGATGATTGGAGCCCAAGTGCTGATCTTGTTCCCCCAATTCATATGATGAACCTGACATTAAAGCTAACTGGCTATGAAAGCTAACAAAGTGAAACTTGCAGTAGATAACTGGTGTGACTCTGCTGTTGCAGACTCTTCTAGTGCTGAGCTCTTCACTTTATCTTTCAGGAAAACATAGTCTATCTTTGAAATTCTATCAGCAGGCTGTCTAATAAATGAAAATTGATAAAGCTAGAAAAAGGAGAAAGACAACACCAAAAAATAATTTGTAATTAATTTTTAGACGAAATCTTTTAAATATGGCTAGTAGGCTTAAATTGAGCATGATCATGTCGCTTCTACTTTGAATTTTATATCATTAATTCTTAAGTAGCACAAAGGTTGAAAATAAAAAGAAGAAATTTAATATGTTACTTTATCTAACAAAATTGGGCAGAGAATGTTGCTACAGTCCAATTTCCCTGTAAGGAGAACTGGAAGGAGACTGAGGCTGTGGTTGTACTATTATGAGCTTCCTTAGGTCAGAGGGGTCATCTTACGGAGCTTTGTTTAGAATAAAACTATATAAAAAACTATGATTTTTTCTTATTGAAAATAAGAAAGACTATGTTCATTACTTACCTTAAATTTTTATTTATAATATCAGTCATGAGTTTATGAAAGCAGAATAAACACATTGATGTATTCATTACAACAGTTTATTAAAGTCTCATTGATTTGAAACTTTCTCATTTGTTAGTTTTGGCAATTTGGATAGCTTTGGGAAAAATTAATAGCCAAACTTTGCTTTAATGTTCAAGGAAAATAAAAATACTAGGAAAGAAGATTCAAGTTACATTTCTTTATTAAATAGAACTTTAATACATAATAGATTAAGAAATAACCATTTAAACTTTATCTTAATAATATTTCTTGATAGCTTACCGTGTATTTTCACTTCTACCCAGTTATTTTATCTTTATAATCACCATGTTAGGCAGACGGAGCAGATTTTATTATTCTCATGAATGGAGGATAACAGTAACACACAGCTAGTACACAAATGATTTTGAAACCTGTTATTCCCATTGCATCTTAGTTCTGTCATCATATTAATTGTGTTTAAATGAATGGTTATTTTTCTGTTATCCATGGAGAAAAATAGCAGGTGAAAAGGTAATTAATAACTTGCAATGTTGGGTAGGGGAATGTTTGACTTACCCAAAATCAAAGTAAGCAATTTCCAGCCTTTAAAATTTTCAGTAAATATAATGTATCACATTAACAGAAAAATGAAGAAAAGGATCAAATAATAATCTCAATTGATATTACAAAGCCTTAGCGATATTTAAAACCAATTTATGATATTTTCAGCAAACTGGAAGCAGAAAATAACTTGTTTAACATGATAAAAGATGGCTTTAAAAGCTGTCATTATATGAGAACATTATTTGTACATAGATAACCCAAAGGACTTTACAGATAAACAGTAAGAACTAATAAGTGAATTTGTGAGAATCAATGGATATAAAACAAACAAAAATCAATTGTATCTCCATATACTAGCCACAAGTATTTAGAAAATAAAACATTAAAATAGATACTATTTATAATAGAATAACTAAACATCTAGGTATATATTTAACTAGGTATATATTTAACAAAAGATGTACAAGTCTTCTCTGAAGAAAACTACAAACCTTTCTGAGAAAAATCAAATAATTTCTAAATAAATGATCTACCAAATTTATATATTGGAAATTCAGTATTTTGAAGATGTGCATTCTCTCCCCAAGTTGGTTTATATGTGTGATGCAATCCTACTTAAAATTCAAGCAGAATTTTTGGAAATTGATGCATTGATTCTAAAATGCCTAAGGAAATGTGAAGGGCCAAGGGTCTTGAAGATGGACAAAGTTGAGAAATTACTGCCAGATACCTAGACTTACTATGAGGCCACATTATAAGAAATTGTGATATTGGTACAAAGACAGATAAGAGAACAACAGACAGAATAGAGATTTTAGAAACACACTTAGAATGTAAACATAGTCTCTTGATTTACAAGAAGATGCCACCAAAATACAGTGTAAAAAGATGTACTACATAGTATATGGTGCTGAATCAATAAATAGTACATGATCAATTGGATATCTAAATATTTTTTTAAAAAAGATACCTTGACTTTCTATTTCACAATGTACATAAAACCCAGTTCTACCTGTTTACAGATATAAATGTTAAAGTTATGTAAAGCTTTTAGGGAAAAACCTGTGAGAACATCTGATTTATTTTGTAATTGCCAGAGTTGTTTTAAATGAGACACAAGTACCAACCATGAAAGAAATACATAGTTTATAAACTGTACTCTTTTAAAAATTGAGATGTTCCATTCATCAAAAGACACCATTGAAGAATAAAAAGACAAGTTACATCTTAGGAGAAAATACTTTAGATACATATGTCCAACAAAGTACTCTCATCCATGATGAATAAAGAAACTGTAACAAAACAATAAAGACAGGCAGCATAAGTAAGAAAAAGTGACAAAGACTGGAAAATCGCTTCAGAAAGGAGCTATACAAATGTCCGATAAGCATATGAAATTGTGCTCAACATGATAAATAAATGCAAATGAAAACTACGATGACATATCTCTACACACTTCTCTAAATGATTAAAATTTTTAAATGTAGATAAAATGTAAAGCAACAGGAACTCTCAGACATCTCTCAGAAGGTAAATAGGTGTAGTCTTTTTTTAAATGTTGGCGCTATCAACTAGAGCTGAACATATGCATATGTCAGGAATTAGAGCACATGTGCAGCAAAATATGTTAATATTTTATACCAAGTGTTACTGTCAGCTTTATTCATAATAGCTCCCAAATTAATTTATGGACAGCAGAGTGCATAAATTGTTGTTTATTCATAAAATGGAATAGTATATAGTGATGATAATGAATGAACTGTTGCCACATAAAAAGTATGAATTAATCTGACAAAATTAAGATTGAGCAAAAGATACCCGACTCAAGAGAATATATACTATGGTACTATATTGTAATTATATGATTATAAAAAACAGCCAAAACCTGTGTGTTTGGGAGAATGGTTAATTATTGACTGGGAATGGAGATGAGTGAGGTTTCTGGGGTGATGATATTTTTTCTATATTTTCATGTAGATGCTAGTTATGTTGGTGTATTCATTTATAAAAAATGTATTAATCCCTATAACGACATATGCTGTATCTTAAGAATAAAGTTTTTAAAAGATCGAGGGATTAATATAGACTTTAATGAGTAGAAAACCCATCGACCACAACCTTTTTATAAAAGACATATACCAAATGCAAATGTTTTGCATCTCTTTTTTAGTAAAAGAAAAGTGAGTTCTGAAGATATATTCTGGATTTGAAAGAGTACAATAACATTTCTTTAAACATTTTATGGTTTCAATGCTTAAGCAATTTGACAAGTTTATTCTCCTTGTGTTATCTATATAAGGTTGTGATTAGCTGAGAAACCCAGCAATCTGTATATATGTATATTTGTAATAGTGGGTTAGTATTCTTGAAAGAATACAATATTATTTACCCAACAATTTCTTAGCCCACAAAAAGCTGTAATGTAGGTATTTCGTTCATTGTCATACTTGAATCTTACTTATGGTCACTGCATTGAATGTGGAAAGGGGGCAGGCTGGACCCAGTTATGCTTTAATGAAGAGCAACCATATGACTGTGCCATTACACACCAACTGACAGCTCAAAAATAAACATGCAGAAATAGACCTGGAGCGACAAGAAGGAAGAAGCAAGACCTTGATAACTGGAGGGGATATCTTGCTTATTTGCTGAATTTTTTTATAATTTCCCTAACACAGATAACATTTCTAACTAAAGTTTTATTTTTAAATTATAGCTTGAATTCTTACTAGTTCAAACAGAAGTTATCAAAGTACACACTTTTTTTAAAAAACCGTTTATATAGTTTGCTAATTAGTTAATCATAGAAAAGTTATTGGCTAGAGAGACTTTTGTACCTAACAGAATAGGAAGTTCATAATACAATTAAGCTATATTTAATTGTGATGGAGAAACATAAGAGTGTCAAAATATTCTTACTTATTTAATAATAATAGACCTTTAAAATATAATCAACAAATCATCAAGTGAATAAATAAATTTATTTTAAGGGAGGGATAATGGTTTAGTCTGTCTGTTATAGTTGACACAAACAAATCTAGTTAGGAAATCTTAGCATAGTCTACTCTATACCATATCAGAATTGATTTTTCAGCAGTTATTCACATGCTACAAGAGAAGCCAATCATAATTCCCAAAGATACAGTCGGGAATGCCATAACCTCAAATGTTGAAATCCTGTAAGATCAAAATCCTGAAAATATAATTCTGCAAAACATAATTTTTTAAAATTAAGATACTTATTTAAATTTTAATAGATTTGAAAAACATATAAAAACATGACAGAAAACTTCATATGCCACTTTACACAGTAAAATAAGCAATAATGACATAGATATGTTTGAAAGCATAAACACTTAGGTATACTAATGACAGTTCCATGCATATAATATATGAGTAGATGAACCATGTTCTTAAAGATATAGGTCAAAAAGGGAAATGTATAAACACTTATCACTATGGTTGGTAAATGTGTGCACCCAGCTTTATAGTTGTGGTCCTCTGAAATACCATGACAAACATCCTAAGTCTTTTGACAAAAATGGATAAAAAAACTTCAAAAGGTCACCACTGCATATGCAGTTGCCCAAAGAGCCAAGATCTCAAAAAATTTTATCTTTCACAAATGCAGAGGTACAAAAAGAACGTTTCTTCTCTTATTGAGAAACTTTAACATTTTTCCATACATGCACAATGCTAACACACAAAGAAACCCTTATGATAGTGTACTTTCAGGGAGTCAAATTTGCAAAATATGCATAAAACAAATTAGGACTCTCTAAAAGTCTTTACCCAATTTATACCTCCAGTACTGGAAATGATACAAACATAAAATACATAGCATAGCAAATTATAAGAAATAATGCTGACCATTTAAAATGGTGTTGAAAAATAACTAAGAAAAGAAAAAGAAAAACTGGAAAGAAAATTAGGCATGTAAAATTGTATTACAGGGACAGATTATGGGCAGTTGCACAAAGATAATCCATAAGAGCTGGCCTAACATGATGCAACCATCTTATTATTGTGATTTTCAGAGTTTTAGAAGTTAGAGATTTTAGACTTTTGGGATTTTTATCTTTAGGAAATTTTTATCTTTTGAGATTTCAACATTTTGGATTATGGCATTTGGGATTGTGTCTTTCCGGATTATGGTCCAGACTCTCTAAAGTCACTTGACATACTGTTAGAAAACAAATATTAAATGCAAAATAAATGAATAAATGATGGAATACATTTATTTATTAATAATTCATTTATTAATAACTTGTTTCCTGATTTTCCACTGTTAAAATGCTTGTTTCTCTATAATATCTTATTAATTTTATATGTCTAGTACCTAACACAGTTACCTGGGTTGCCACATTAGTTTTATATTGTTGTCATAACACACCAGCATGAATTTATAAGTTTAAAAAGACACAAAGTTATCTTATAGCTCTGTAGGTCAAAAGTCTGACTTGGGTCTTGATGGGTTAAGTCAAGTTGTTGCCAGGGCTGTATTCCCCTTCTGAGGGCTCAGGGAAGCATCTGTTTCCTTGCTCATTTGAATTGCTCAGATTGTTCACAGAATTCAATTTCTTGCAATTGTTCGTCTCTGCTTTCTTGCTGTCAGTTGAGGGCCATTTCCAGCTTCTACAAGCTGCCTGCATTCCTTGGCTTGTAGCCTTCTTCTTTAATCTTCAAAGACAGTTATAGGTTTGATGACGGATCTCAATTCCCATACATATTTTAAATTTCTCCTGCTTCTTCCTCCACATCTCTCTGAACTTAGGTAGAAAAGATTCTCACTTTTAAGAACTCGAGATTAGTTAGTCCCACTCAGATAATCCAAAATAATGTCTTCACCTCCAAATCTGTAACCTTAGTCATAGCTGCAAAGTCCCTTTGCCATGTAGCATAGCATATTCCCAAATTCCAGAGATTACCTTTCTTTGATAACTATCAAAGACACAACTTCTGAAGGGTTAGCTTGATCCCAGATGCCTGGAAGACTCAATGGCCTGCCTGAACTGCAGATAGTGTCCATAAGTGTTCCTATTCAAAATAATGTTCAGGAGTCTGTCAATTTCGGAATGTTCAAAATTTCAGTGCCTGACTGCATGTGAACAGGTTTCCGTATAAAGGCTATCCTCAGGTCAGTCATTACTCTGAGATCAAAGCAAGGTAAAAACTAATGATACTGAATATTTCTGGAGTGGATGTAGCATTTAATTCCAGAAGACTTGCTCTTTCTTTCTTCCTTCCTTCCTTTCTTTATTTTCTTGGGAAAATTGAAAGGAGGAAACTTGCAGGAAGGAAGGAAAATAGGTTTGACATCGGCAGGGTTATAAGTGTAGGAAAGGGCACTTGTTCTGACCTAGGACAAAGAAAGGAGGAATCCTGTGAAACTGAGGAGCATTGCTTCTCCCATCCGAAGAGACAGCAGTATATTATATAAGCATTGTTTCAATTTAGACTTGTGTCACTTCTCCATATTTAAGTCATTGAAATATGTAAGAAATTTATCATTTCTCTGTTCAAAAATATTTGGGATAAGGTCATTCAAATGCTGCATTTGTATTCTTATTTACTATTTTCACTTTTCTTAAAGTATTCATTTCCACTGGCAACTGTGAAGATCCTCTGTAATTTTTGAAAATCAACTACAGTCATTTCATGTGAAACTGTCTTACTTTTTTTTTTGAAATTTTAATCTCCTGAGTTGTGAGAACACAGCTTAGCAAAGTGTATGGAGGCAGCAAAGCAGGTAGTTTAGATTTCTGTTAGCCTTCCAAGGAAAACCTACAAGTAAACTGGAATGCAACACAGAGAGATTACACAGTAAAATGCTTTTGCAAACTAGGATTTAAGGAACTGGAAACCTTATTATTTTTCTCAGTGAAAATGTACATAGATAAATTTCTGTGTTTTTATGTTGTAAAAATGAATTGTGAAATGTTTCTCCACTGAATAAAAACACACACACAAACAAAATACCATTCCTGTATAATTCTTTGAAAAGTCCTCTCATTTAAGAACACATGACTCAAGTGGACACTTTTAAAATATAAAAATTATTAGTAATTAGTTCATCTATTTTCTTCATAAATGTACCTCTGTGCCCACGAAAGTATTGGTATTAATGCAGTTTCACACATTTACTAAATTGTTCAGTAATGTTTACTGAGAAACTACTATGTACCAAGCATAAGAGCAGAAAGTTTTTATGGCACAAAAAAATTCACAGAAGTGGGGAAATTAATATGAAGATAGTAACTATAATAAAACATGGTGATTGCAGTGACAGAGCTATGCATAGTGTCATGTAAAAAGTACTAACTGTGCCTGACTTAGTGGTAGTTTTCCAAGAATGCTAATTTTTACACATTTCTTCACATACCAATATGTATGCACAATATTTAGTATCAATTAATTAAGAATTACTTTTCAATAACAAATGCCTCATTACAAATTCCAGTTCTATTGCTTTTGAGTCCTGCATTCCTCCTAAGGAGATTTCAGCTTGTTTTGCTCCTTATCAGCCTCTACTTCTCTTCGTATCTGTCAATAAGTTACAAATATAAAAAGAATTATTTGTGTATTTGTGCATATAAAAGAATATAATTGTATTTGTCACATATTTAGCTTACTAATGGAAACTTATTACAATGGCACACTTACACTTCCCTACCAGGCTAAAATGTCATATTTATATAGAACTATAAAATACCTCTTACTAACTTTTCCAGGTAAACCAAATGTTTTTAATTTCATACATTTGTTACCATAACTACCCAAATTAATATATGGCCAACATCAAAAAGAAGGCAGCCATGTAATGAATTACACCATCTATGTTTAACCTTCCTTCCATCGTACTACCTGAAGTGTTTCATTTTGTGGGAAAAACGTAAAAGTGGGTCATTCAATATTTCCCCAGAGATTTTTAGTTTTTTGACGTATTTCTATTTCCACACCTTAATGTGGGAAGAAAGAGGGCTGAGGAAATGATGGGACGAAAAGATGGTGTTTTCAGGAGTGACAAGAGGACCTTAAATAATTGAATGTTTTGAATGTTTTATGCTTGACAAAGATAATGAGGGGAAACAAAAGGAAGAAAAGAGAAGATAGAAAAATAAATAGAAGTTGAAGAAAAACATAGATGAGATAAAAAGAAGGCATAGAGAGAAACAACCATGAATTCGGTAACTATTAATGATGACAGATTTTATGCCTTTATTTTTCTGATTGAGGCTAGTTGGTAGAAGAAATCTCATGGTTATGAATCCTGAGAGATCTATGGTTACAGAATTGGATTTCTAGACATGTTTGATATTTGGTTTACCTTCTTTAGAGGTTTTCTATTAAGCCCCTGGAAAAACCTGGAAGATCTAGATATCCATTTACTTAATCATTTTAAGAGAGAGCAGTGGCAGTGTCATTGCTGACCATGTAGACTCACATATCCTCAAAATATTAACTCTTCATTTATTTCCTCCCCCTTTGATTTGTAAATATTGTTTCTATCAAATTGCCCATTGGCACTTTCCTTTATGAGCTGATTTATGCAAAATTTATTATTCCGTTTCTGTCTTCCCTGCTCAGCCCCATATTTTAAAGTTCATTCTGTGTGGCTATAATATTTGTCTAGTCCATTTCTTCTCATCACTGTAGAGTCCTTCACAGTTTACTTAGCCATTCTACAAATGAATGGACACCTATGCTGCCCATGAAATTAAACTTTAGCTTAGCTCAGCAACATGAAATTAATTCTGAGCCCCCCAACAGAAGTTTCAGGAGTCAAAAACTGAGCAGACCTCTCTATCTACTTATAATGCAAGACCTCTATGAACCACTTTTAATTAAAGAAGGCGTGGGGTAGACACATTTGGGCAAGATTTATGGTATTTTAACAGCTCTGACTACTCTTTACAAAGTTATTGAGTCCATTTTGAGAGTACTTACAAAGCTCACAAAGATTTCTTTTTTTTTTTTTAAGGACTTCGAGATAATTTTGAAGTGACTGTTGATTGGCTGTGTCACCTTACTATGGTCCTCTGCTGGAAAAATAAAAATGCTTTCTAACCATGTTTTTTTATGCTTAGGCCTAAGTAGAGCCCAAATAGATCTTGAATGAGAGGTTTAAATTGGAACTTCATTAAGCACGTGATATGGTTTGGCTCTGTGTCCCCACCAAATCTCATATTGAATTGTACTCCCATAATTCCCAGGGGTTGTGGGAGGGACCTGTTGGGAGATAATGTAATCATGAGGGCAGTTTCCCCCATACTGTTCTCATGGTAGTGAATAAGTTTCACTAGATCTGATGGTTTTATCAGGGGTTTCCACTTTTGCATCTTCCTTATTTTCTCTTGCTGTCACTATGCAAAAACTGCCTTTTGCCTCCCACCATGATTCTCAGGCCTCCCCAGCAATGTGGAAGTGTAAGTCCAATTAAACCTCTTTTTCTTCCCAGTCTCAGGTATGTCTTTATCAACAGTGTGTAAATGGACTAATACAGCACGATACTAATATATTAATTAAGACTCTATAGTAGGGGTTAGCAAATGTTTGTCTATAAAGGAACAGGCAGTAAATATTTCAGGCTTTATGGTCCACTCAGTCTCTATTGCAATTACTTAACTCTGCCACTGTAAAGCAAAAGAGACTGAAGACAATATGTAAACCAATGAGTATGAGGTGTTCCAATAAAATTTATCTACAAAAGCATGCAGGGGCTGGATTTGGCTGGAGAGCCATAGTTGGCTTATCCCTGATCTAGAATATCATTTTCCCCTATACCAAGATTAAATTAGTTTGGGAAGTAGATACATCCCGAAATGGTTATCTGTAGAAAATTGCCTTAGATATTTTATATCATATTTCTGCTTGGGATACGTTGCAAGGTTTGGACAGTGCTCTAATGTGAACAACAGTACCAGGTGAGTAAAGATGCTCATAATCTCTTCCTTCCCAATAAAGCAGCAAAAGAATGAAGACATTACCAGTAATTCAACCCATAAGGATATTGTATTAGACTGCAAATTATTTGCTGAACTTCTCATAGTTGGCACATCTGTGGCAATAGCCCTAATGTTTTCTGACCCTGAATCTCCAAGGAAAAGACTGAGGCCTATTTTTTTTTTTTTTTTTTACTTCAAAGCACTCTCCTCCATGAGTATCTAATTTATTTTGAAAGGCTGATGTAATTCTATAGGGTATTCAGAAATTAGAGCATTTACATACTAGAATCTTAAGGGTTCTGCAATTCATACCCAAGATTAGGAGGGGATGTAAACCCAGAAAGGGTGTCAGACTGAAATTAGGGGGGACCCTAGCCTTAATGTTCTGTCCATGTGTGACCTTGGGCAAGAAATTGACTTCCGTTGCCCCTATTTCCTCATTATCGATGTAGAAAAATTTTTTTAAATTTTTATTTCTGAAGGACTTGCACCAAATTGTTAATGCTATCTCTGGAGTATAGAAATGACAGTCACGTGAAGAAAGGTTTTAATTTTCTACTCCATGTACCTCTCTGTTATTTTGTATATAATATAATCAGCATGTATTACCTCATAACAAACAGATTTCTAAAAGAAATATTTAAATTCTGATGTAACATAGATACGACAATAAAACTGGCATTAAATATATAAAGTGCTTTCAAAATTAACCATTTTCTACAAATGTAAAGTGGCATCAGGTTATCTGACTACATCAGTGGCAACTTGCAAAATATACATATTTTAATCATTCAAAGCTTTTACTTAATTTATGCCATAATATGTGTTCTGGAACCCCTTAGATCAGTTTTTCTCTCATTTGTAATGAAGTTTCTAGGTACTGTTCTTACAATTTCTGCATTTATACAGTACATTATTACTTTATGATAAAGTTAGTTCATAATTCCTTAACTGTTTTTGCTGATGACCTTTTAAAGTTGCATAATTAGAATAAGTTGTGGTTATTGTATTGGAATCTGTATCCCATGGGCCAAGAAGGCAGCACATTAATTCTCTGCATCACCCACTCGATGTGCAGTGCCATCAGTACAAAGATATTATTCTTTGTAATTACATAAAGAAAGGGTCTATTTAGTGTTAACTGACCTTTCTGTGACTGATCAGCCTTTTCCGCCAGTGAAGTAGAAATGTATATCATTAAAATGTGAGTAAATAGGAAACCTTTCTACATCTTAAACTGTTCAAATCAGGAGGTACACATGAAGAGGAAATGGTTGTTCAGCCTTTCACATGATGCCGTGAAAAGAGGAGCAGACTTTTAAAATATATATTTTAGAATATATATTCTTAAAATATATTTTAAAATATCAACAAATTAAAATATAATTAAATGATTATAATGCATAGGAATAGTTAACAAGGGCATAACATCAAATATGTTTCTAACACTCTTGATATCAGAAAAAATATTAAACTCAAAAATATATTCAGGATTAAAAATTTTAAGTTTATTTAATACACAATTAATAAATTTAGAGAAATTATTACTGTGCCTGTCACTTACTGAGGACAAAAATTGTGCCACGGATTATTCTAAGATGTCATATACTTTAAATACTGTAACCATTTAAATAATGTCCTTTAATTTAGAAAACATCATTGGGGATATAGATTAGGTGAAACCGATTTTTGCTCCTTTTCTTATTACATAATTTATTTCTGTAATCAGTTATATCAAATTATTTGAAGGGACATAAATGATTTTGAAGAAAACTTGACCAAATGGAAATTTAATAGCTAACATAAGTGGCATTTGTGTAAGGTTTTCTTTAAGTTATTCAATAGTTATAGGAGGAATACTATAGTCAGTATGGAGACAAATGTTTCTTTCTTTAACACACACCCACATTGATCAGGTGTTTTTTAATAATTAATAAGCATCTGTATTTCTGGGTCAGGTTTTCCCTGCTAAGACCACATACAGAGCTCTTATATGAAATATCTCCAGAAATCAGTTGACAAACTGATGCTTCCTTGAAACTTTGCTCATCACTTTTGCTGGAACTGATCTCTCATGGAACTACTATCGTTATGTGGATATGCCTTTTATCCTTCTTCATGCATAATGCATCCTGATGTAGTTAGCTTTGTGAATGCCTCTATTCCCTTATCTGATTGCAAGCTCCTTCTGCCATGAAATTGTGTGTTTTTTCATGTTATTATCAATAATTCTTGGTCAAATATATACAACAGAGACAAAAATAGTAATAGGGAACAAGCAAGGTTAACAAAAGATGTTCAAAAATTCTCAATGAATTTCTTCTGAGAGGCAATGTCATAATGTCCGTTAGTAAACTTTATGCATAAATTAATGCAGTAGCTAAATTTGTAACCCAGTCAGGAAAGTAAGCTGAGGAGTCCTTTGTGTCCTCATATAGTTGGGAGCTGGGGTAGGGCAGCTAACGGAAGTATTCCCCTGGACTCTGGCAGGGACAGGTATGATTCGTCAGCTGCGTGTCACAGGCTTTCATCAAACAGTGTCATAAAGGTGCCTCCACCAGTACCTCCCATACTGCTTTTCTGTCTTGCTCAGTACGTACTTTTGAATAAATGAGTGAATAGAGAGCATTTTGTTAAACATGATAATACATAGAGTTTAAGGTATGTAATAACCTTGATGCAGAGGATTGATTTGTTCATTTACAAATCAAGAATGTTCTTTTAAAACTAATTATCAGAGAACTCGCCTTGGACAAGAGAATGGTTTCCATGGCAGCACAGACAAGGAAGTGGGTCCTGGGAGAGTTAAAACAGTTATTTGCTCCTCTGAGGCTTCAGGGTATCGACACATATCATTCTTACAGACTTGCTTCTTGGAAACACTAGGGAGAACTCTTGCTTTCTGTAGTAATTGGTGTATAGATTTTAAGGGAGCAGCAATGCAATAATGCTTCTATGCACACTGTAGGTGATGCCCTTAATAAAGAAGATATTTTCTCCCTGTCTTCTACATTGTTAGAGGATCAGCTTGTATTTTAAACATTTGGGTTAATTACACTAATGCCCATGAATAAAAGTGGGGGATGCTTTTGAAGTTACTCACAAACAGACTTGGAGCCCGCTTGTCTTGTTTATTCTAAAATATATCCCCTGTACATGCTATGAATCAGTCTCCGCACCAATACCTGCTTTAAGGACATCAAAGCCTCACGGTATGCAAAACTATCATTCCAGTGCTCGAGAAGGGCAGAAATGTACCAAGGGCATATAAGAGGCCTGTGGGGATTCATTGGGATGGGATCAATGGTGTAATGCGTGGGCATGTGCACAGGATCATATACTATTGAAACAGTGGTGCTTGGAACTGACATTACTTGTAATGCTATGCATTGATAGGATACTAAATATGTGGATACATTTTATTGTTTACACTTAGTAATATGCTAAAGTCAAAAGACAGCAGAACATTTAACCTTATCTATGAGAGTTTAATTCACAAGCCATAGGCAACAATAATCTACTGTTCCTAAGGGGCCAAGAAAATATTTCTGTTGACTCTGACTCCTCCAAATTTGCTCAGATATATACTAACGTTTGTGGTGGGGCAGCTTCGATCTTCTGATTCAAATCAATGATTTTTTTTTCTTCTGTGAAGCTTTTTGTTTATGCTGTTCCCCCACTTGATAGAATCAATTCCACTGTAACTGGAATAGAATTCTTCACACTTCAGCCTCCTCCAACTACAGCTTGTAATCCTTGGCGAACAGGAATTATATCTTATCCTTTTTTTAATTCCTGGCCTAACCATAGAGCTGAATCCGTAAAGTAAACTTCCCAAGGGTTTGCTAAACAAATGATTAAATAAACAAAAAAATGAAGAAAAGGCTAGATGTGAGGATGCTCTGGAGTAAAATCAATCAATAAATACTAACAATACATTTTTTGTTTTCTGATGGTTCTGGTGGGAAGTCCATTCTTTCCATCCATGAGACTGAAGTGAATGTAGTGCGGTCTATGCAAGAATATGGATGTGGTAGCAAGAGCCGGCAGAGCTCTGGTGAGATGAAAGAAAGCAAGGAGCTGTCTGCAGTAAATTCTTAATAACCAAGAATTAGGGGATGACAGACAGATCATCAGAAAAGATTAGCTAAGACAGCAACAGACAGTTACATCAGGACAGGAGAGTAGAGTTAGAACTGGGTCAGAAGATGACAGCTCTCTTACAATACATAATTGAAAGAAAAACCTAGCCCCTCTGCCTGGTAAACTGGATCCAAATGCCTACATTAAGAATAATTAAGGGTATATATGACACATTGCTATGCATTTAGTCATAGACACCACGATGATTGTACTAACAATAAGGTATTTGTAAACAGCTATTTCACTTTTTGTACTTAAATGTATAGTGCAAATATTTTAATCATAACCACCTTTCTAGAATGTTTGAATCAAGTTTTTTTCTTGTAATCTCCTTTGGCATTAGTCCACCTTTGATTTTAAAAATAACAGTTCAAATAGATTTAAACTTTGTCCAGGATAAGTGTCTCTGGTGGAAGCTCCACAGATCTCCAAGGGTAGCATTATTCTACTGCATTCAACCATAGTCCACAGTTCTACAGGTCCCAGCTTTGAAGGTCCATGCATTTGGTCTTGCCAGGGAATGCGTCAGACCTAATCAAATACTGAGATATGGAATCATGTAGATCAAAAAGCACAAGAAACTAACAATATATAACCAATATGCCCATATTTATGTATAATTAACAGTAGCCTGGGACCACATTCTAATTTCCATAAGTGGCCTGTTTTACCTATGTCAAAATGCTGTGTTAACCAGATTATAATAAGACAGTTTCTTGGCAGAAATGGACTTAGAACTATGGAATTCAGTTATTTGATTTAATTATTTAATGTCATTACATTTTATGAAGACTGCATTGCATATAGTGTTTAAAAGTGCTGGCTCATGTTTGCGAAGGGAATATATTGGACGGTTAAGGGTACAGGATCTGGAGCCAGTCTGACTTGATGATGCAAAGCCCAGCTTCACTGCCTAATAGCTGTGCAAACTTGCACAAGATATCTGGCATTTCAGTTGCTTTGGTTGTATAACAAATACTCCAAAACATCATGGTGTAAAATGACTATGCTTATGATTCTATGTGCCAGACATTTGGACAAGGCCGAGCGGGGATGGCATGTCTCTGTTTCACCCTTTCTGGACATCAGTTGGATGACTTGGAGGCTAGGGGTTAGATTTATCTTCAGCTGACTCACTCACTCACAATTGATGCTGTTGCCTGAGAACTGAGCTAGGACTGTTTGCTGGAACACCTACACATGGCCTCTGGCCTAGATTCCTTACAATGTGGTGGCAGGTTCCAAGGGTGAATGCCCTCAAAGAGAGGGCCAGGCAGAAGCTGTATGCTTTCTATTATATAAGCCAGCCTGGGAAGTCACTTAGCATCATTTCTAGCATCCTCGATTAGCTGGAAAAGCCATAGGTCTACCCAGGTTCAAAGGAAGGAGAAATAGACTGTACCTTTGGATAGGGAGTGATAAAGTTCTGGAAAAAACATCGAGACTGAAAATATTGCTGTGGCCATTTTTGGAAAATACAGTTTACCTCAACTGATATCTCTCGGCCTTGTCTTTCTTACCTGTGACATGCGGATAATAATATAAAGTCTCAGATCATTGCTACAAGGATAAATTCAGTAAATACTGCATTCCTAGCACAGCTCCTGACTATAGTAAGCACTCCCTAATATTAGCTTTTACTCTTTTTCTAATTCTCATTTTTGTCATCAAGCTAATGTAACACAGTATAACTAATACTAGAGTGGAAGTGGAATGGTTTCCAGAACTGAGACGGTTGAGGCTTTGGGTCTGGAGGAATGTTTCCTGTTGATAGGCACCGGCTATGTTAGTGTCCCTGACTTTATTTCATTTTTGCTTCCATTGCTTATCAACTTCTTTTAAAGTGGCATATTCTTTTTAGGGAGAGGAGGGTTGTTAATATCTTACATTCAGTTACAATACAGATTTACTATCCTGGGTAATTTTCTTTCTTCTGAAGGTGACTGTGTAAGTCTCAGTTGTTATTTATTATATGTGGAATTTATAACTTAACAGGCAAGTTCAGCCTTATTTCTAATTTCCTTGCTGTATATCACAAAGTGAAACAGAAATATGATATAGGCTTTATATTTTTTATATTTTTATATTTTTATATAAAATATAAAAATTTTATATTTTTATATAAAATATAAAAATTTTATATTTTTATATAAAATATAAAAATTTTATATTTTTATATTTTATATTTTTACATTTTTTTCCCAAAAAGAACCAGTTTTCTGATTGGAAGTCCCTAGTCCCCATTTACCCAGTGAGAGATGAGAAGAAGGAAAAATAAACTGAAAGTGGAGAAAATTGAGGAAAAGTCCAAGTGGAATCTATGGCTTAAAGAACAAGAAAAGTCAAGTGGGGGGGGTGGGGAGTAGAACTACTATTTGTGTATTTTGAATACTCAACCTGTCTCCATTTTTCAGCATTTTTGCTGACAGAGAAGGAAGCCAAGCCTTTCCTTAGCAATGGTTCTTCCACACTTTGGGGATCATGGGCTAACTAAATAACCCAAGAAAAATGCTGTGTACAGTTTAATGAGGTTCACATACCTTCTGAAAGTCAATGATTCACCCAAAATAAAGAATTCTTGTTAAACCTGGACAATATGGTTATCTTTAGAATAGTTTTTAATACAAAAACATATGGTATGATTTCTCTTTATATACTTAAAAGAGTATATATACACTTAAAAGTGTGTATATATATATATACACCTCTCAAGTAGTACAGTATCAAATAGTATAATGAATGTGCCATATTATAATGGTGGTTATATTGCCAATCAGTTACTTCATAGAAGTTGAAAAATAAAATGTGTGGTTCCAAAGGGCACAATATATATATTTCTGAATTAATATTATGTGCATACATGCATTTATTCATTTACTGAAAACGTGTGCACCTGCTTATGTTAGATCTTCGCAGTGCAACATCTCTTAGGGCGAACAAAATGATGGTCTCATCCCTCATGGAACCTACAATCTAGATTTTGTTCAGTCCTTATAAGCATAATCTTTATTTTATAATAAAATATTGGGAAAAGAAGCTGTAATATCCCCGAAGTATCAAGGCTTAAAGAAAAATTTGTGATAATAAAGAACAAACCATCACCAAGTAAAATATTTTCCTTAATAAACTCTAGACAATATGGAAACTATTAACAAACATTCATTACATCTCTTCTCTTCAGCAAGCTATCTTCCTAATGTTTTACCATCTTAATAAGTATTAATAATTGGAATTGAGTAAAAAACAATAAATCTGTCTTTGAGAAAGTGTTATATGTACTTAGGCCTTTTGAGTGAATGTAATAGTATGGAAAATAAAAGAAGTGAAAAAAAAGAAGAATTCTACATTCCAGTTATCCTTTTATGAGCTATTTCCCTTGCACATATTTCCACCAATAATTATCATTCCCCATTTGTGTCATTTACATTTAACAATATTATTGGTTAAAGTTAAACAAGTCAAAGTTGTGAGGTGGACTCTCAATTAAACTTAAACATTTTCAGTGTCGAATGAATACTATTATTTAAAATTAATAAAACTTAAACTTCATTATACATCTGAAGGTCACTGACTTTCAGGAATAAGTAGTGAATTGATACATCCTTCATATATTCATTACTGGAAAATGATAATGTAAAATATTGTGACTGATGTAACGTTTTGAAGATTTACTGGCATAACTACACAATTTGCTTTTTTGGCATATATTCTAATTGCGATATATAAAGTGGAAGAACTGGTATCATTCAGAAATTGAACATGTATGCATTTAGAAATAAAACTGCATATTAAACATTGAGCAAAGTATATATTATAAAATATTTCCCCAATTAAGTTCCATTAAATTGGTAAAATGCAAATCCCGGAACTCTGTATCACTCCTCTCAAATTAAATGTTTGTAGTAGCCACCTAGAAATGGAAAGAAAAGCACCTGAGAAGTAGGATGTCTCAGATATCAGAGTTGTGCTTAGATTTAATCAAAAAAACAAATGAACAAAAAATTCAAAATGATGCCTATTCCTTTCTAAAGTAGAACATTTATCAATGTTACAAGTTAATCACTTCAGGATTGGATTTTAATATTAATGTCAAAATCTTAAATTAGTATAGCTATCTTTTGAAAAGAATCTCCACCAAAGGAAAATATTAATAGAACTTTGTCCTCGTAACAAAAAATAATTCAATGTGATTTTAGGCAAGTTTATAGATAGAAATTTCTGAAGTTTTAAATTATTGTGACAGAATTAAGACAAGGGCATTTAAAATGATTCTCAGTTGGTCATTTTGGCTTTTTGAAGAATAGCTATGACATAATATTTATCATTAGGGATCAATATGGATACCAGCCTTTCATGAGAAATATGTTTGTTGACTTTAATAAATCTTCAAGTGTGTAAATACAGAAATATTTGTACAGGCAATTTTCTGCTGAATTACATTTCCTCTATACACATTCTCGCATGGCAACATATTTTTTAACAACTTATACTAAGGGTTTGTTGTGATGGCAATTTTCACAAAGAAACAATTTTAATTGCTTCACAATGGTTATTTCTGTATCTAGTTATTGAATCATCATTATCGTCATCATGATTAATCTGCATTTATATGTTTTGACAACTTATTTTGCTATTATAAATAACATTGTAATGAATAAAGCATTTTGCTTAGGATAGATTCCCAAAAGAGAAATTACTGGATTAACAGGTTTGAAAATATTTAGAGCTATTGATAAATACCATATTTTTTAAGCAGTCAGAGTAAGTTTTCTGTGCAAGAAATGTAAAAAAAAAAAATCAGAAACTAAACTCAGTTCAGGCATTTAATTTAAAATTATAGATAGCCCCCAATTTGCCAATGAATAGTGATGCAAAGTTATTTTCTAAAGAGTTTATATTAGATTTGACATATATTTATTTAGTCATGGAGGAGGACATTATAAAGTTCTCAACTGCTCATACTAGCAGATTTAACTTTTATTTAAACATAACTAAAATATATTAATTATAAACAATGATGCTGGGTGCTTCTAAATTTTGCATTCCCTATTCTTTGTCTTTTACTCTTTCCTCATCTATGTTTTTAATGTTTTCTGTGGGTACCAACATTCTGAACTTCATGGAGATGAAATTCTAAGCTACAAGGTACCATCTACTCATTTAAGCACAGGGGCTAGAGAAAAGTATAAGAGGACAGGAAACTGTGAAAGTGCTCCTGGGATGCTGATTAAAGGGTCCCAGGACTGGGCACCTTTCAAGGCATGATAGAGGGAAGTTCAGGAAAAAGGCAGTGAAAAGAGGTGAATTAAAAGTCAGACTAACTCTGATGAATCACACATTAATGTTAAAAAAAAACCTGCATCAAAAAAGAATATTATTAAATCAACAAAGGATATTGGTATCAGGAGAAACATTTTTTGGTTATTTTGTTATTTTTCTACTATACATAATAGAGCATGTTTAGATAATTTAAAAGATGTAAAAATTCAAACAAATCCAAATGATTTTAATTGCGTTTATATATATATACACACAATTCAATTATATTTTTTTACCTTCTAGAAAATAATAGCTGATTCACTTGAAGAAAATCTGCGTTTAGCTCAAGAGTATCAACAGCTACAGATTACATTCTTAAAAGAAAAGGACAATTATTTCAATATATATGATAAACAGCTATCACTTGATACTTCAATTAGAGATAAGAAACAGGTATTGGTTTTTCTAATTGTTTTAAGGTGATGATTTATGTCATATATGCACTACAAAAGTAAAAAGTAGTCAGTTTGGGTGCCTCTGATCTGACGATGATATCCACAACATGGCCTATTTTCTCTGTGTAGTTTTGTTGTATATTTATATCAACCTTTTAAAATTGAATTTTGAAAGAATATTGGAGAAATGAAAAACTTAGTTTCTAATCCACTATTCTATAGTAATTTGATTTTGATTAATATGATGAGAAATGCCAATTTTTTATCTGTAGATTTAAATATATTATCATAGTCTTTATATTTCAATTCTAAGAGTGGGTGATTTCCCATGGCAGGCCTCTAAATTGTCCTTTTAGTATAGAGGCTCCAAATTCTGGTAACTATTTTCTTATTAGATATGGAGATTAATTGGAAACTTGGAAAAATAGCTGACTTTCTCTAATTACTGAAAATCATTGGGAATTCTAAATATATTTTATAAAATCTTCTGTAATGGTAAGTGGAAAGGTAAAGCACACAATATGCTATGAATCAGAAAGGAAGAAAAAGTTCTATTACTAGAGTGTTATAATACAGCCACTTCCTTTATATTCTCCAGATACTTAGTAACAATAAAAAATATTTTCCTTAAATATTTGTTTTCCCCCAGGATTCAAATTTCAGAAAATACAGTCATTATTTTTTAATAATTAACCTAACCATGAAAACCAAATTGATCCTTTCTCCTACTGGTATCACCCATATTGTTGCATTATAAATCAGTAGTTTAGAATAGCAGTGCTATACTTACGGCTATTATGGAATGTTGGGAAGGCAAAAGGTGGGATTTTAATGCAAGTTCTACTAGCTCCGTGAGCTTGGCAAGTTGCCTTTTCCAACCTCAGTTTTCTCATCTATAAAATAAGATTTACCTCACAGAGTACTTTGTAAGTAATAAAAAAGAGCCATTCATAATAAGTTACTTTAAAATTTAAGGGATGCTATACGACTGTAAGTAATTATTACATTCATCTGGCATCCCCCTATGTACTTCCCTATTTGCCATCCGTCTACTCTCATGAGAGTTAAAGCTTCTGAATACATTGGGAAAGAGAAGAATGCATTTTTCTCTTAAAATCTTGAAATGATAGCAAGATGAAGATACATCAAGGTACAAGTGTTTGGGAGGCTAAGGTGGGAAGATCACCTGAAGTCAGGAGTTTGAGACCAGCCTGGCCAACATGGTGAAACCCTGCCTCCACTAAAAATACAAAAATTAGCCGAATGTGGTGGCATGCCCCTGAAGTCCCAGTTACTCAGGAGGCTGAGGCAAAAGAACGACTTGAGCCCAGGATGCGGACATGGCAGTGAGCCAAGAATGCACCACTGCACTCCAGCATGGGCAACAGAGTGAGACTCCGTCTCAAAAAAAAAAAAAAAAAAAAAAAAAAAAAAGAATGAAATAAGTGTGTTTGGGAAAGAATTGATAATACAACTATCTGCCAAAATCTTAGTGTCCTCAAACCATTTTGCAGGACTCAAAGAAAGGGCATGTATGTATCTATGAAGAATTTGTCCAATCACTTCACGCATTTGACATTGTTATTTGAAATTAAATATGTTCTATTTGTTGTTCATAATTGAGAAGCAGAAAATAATCATTGACTATACTGTATTTCCTTTTCTAATCGGGGGGGAGCAAAAATAAATTATATGTGCAGTTATCTGCAGTTATCAGTTTATAAAGAATCACTTGGTGGCAAATGACAAATACATTCGATACATGCATAAATAGTGGAGACCCCATGCTTTTTAAGAGAAAGCCCTAACATCACATTTTCATAGTAAGAGCAAAATTATCTTGATCTCATTTTGGAATTAAAGCAAATCTTGATGCAAGATACAAGGACTGAGACTATAGTAGGAACAGACAGTGGAGATTGCTGGGAGATTGGGTTTATGTTTGTGATCCCTCAAACGAATCACTTTTAGCACACCTGTTTCAGGGAAACTTTCAAGATTTATTTGTACTTCCAATCATTTTTCATTTTCATCCTTCAGCGATGGAGGTCATTAAGTGCAGGCTGCCCTTGTCAGTGTCATGTAGGATCAATTTGCTGCAATGGACAGAGAGGCCTTATTGATGCTGTTAAATCTGTCAGTGAGAAATCGTATGTCATTAGCGTCTAATGCACTGCTTACAGGATGGAATTTGGCCAACAAAAATGGAAAACTCTTTAATATTTTAGTCCATTTCCTTGATATTGCAGCATTTCCCATGTATGCAGGTTTTAGTTCTTTGGCCAGTTTAGTTTGGGTACACAAAAGCACTATTCAGTCTCTGATTCCCTTGTTGAATTCCCTTGACAGATATAATGGATCTCACTTTTAGGAATTTTGTGCATCTTTTTCCTGTTTTAGACTAATTTCATTACTTCTGAACATGAATTCCTTTTGGCATAGTAAATAATTATATTTTAATTATTGTGCTTCTTAGGGACTATTATTCTCTCTATACAAAGTATACATTTTCATACTTCTTTGTATTCTTATGCCAAGAGTAATAAAGAAAACCTAATGAAAGAGTGAAACAAATGGAAAATAATGTCCCCTTACTTGACACAATCTTATATACACGTCTCAAATGTTAGAATGCTATAGTATTTCTCTTACTGTTAATATTTTGTCTGCTTTATTTGCTTGTGTTATCTTTGATACTTTCCTGTACTTTTAAAATTTGTAGCAATGGGTATTCTTGCCTTTAAAAATCAGAAAGAGGCAAAAGCAATTATGCAAAATTCTTATTTGCCCTGTTCATGGGTAATGATAGAAAATAATCCAATCTAAGACTTCTCAGATGTCAAAATTAAAACACTAGAAATACATGAAGGAAAATCTCTGAAAAACAGATTATACTTCCGTGTGAATATAGACATTTTTGTTAGAAGCTTTCAAATACTTTTTATAAAAATATGTCATTTTTAATATTTTATCTTTAAAGTTAAAAAAAGTCCATGGGTATTTTGATGAAGTCACCATGTATTTGTTTTAATTGCCACCCCAGATTCTTTGTGCCTGCACAGAAAGGTAAGTTAAGCAAGCACGCAGATATTGAAGTGATCTGTTGGTTGAAAACAAGATGGCTTCCAAAATGTGTTAAAATATATTTTTTAAATTATATAATTAGCCATTTGTAAAGCTTTACCCTTCCTTACTACAAATCTCAGTGCTTTCAAACTAAGGGAATGAAAATTATTACAGAGTCAGCCAACACGTAACAAATACTTGTGTGGACAAAGTATTTGTGCTATATTGTTTGCAAATGTTATCTTTTAGTGTCTCTCAATAATCCTGGGGAATTTGCTATTACTGTTATCATCTCTCCCAATGTAAGATATAGAACTAACATTGAGTGTCACACAAGATTGCTCAAGTAGAGGGAGATGCTGGGATGGGAATCAAATTCAGGTTTTTCTTATATCTAATCTATTTCAGAATTATAATACTACCACTTTACTATAGCATTAATTAAACAGTCCTATACATGGCTAATCAGGTTATGTAAAGCTTTGAAAAAAACATGTAAATTATATATGATATCTCTAGTGCTCAACTGAAATAGATTATTTGATTCACTAGTTGTTTTTGTAATTTTATTTCATTGGAGCCACTTTTTCAGTAATTTTCTGGGGAAAGGGCCACCTGTTTATTTGGAGGAGATTTAATTTTCATAGGGATTTTAGGTAGGTTTCATAATTCTAAATTGTAAAACTTTCTAACTAGAAGTGCCTTTAGAAATATTGCCCTCCTCTTTAAAAAATAATTTTACAGAGGAAGAATCTTAGGGAGGCCAGAGTGGCTTAGTGATTTAACACATTACACAATTAAGTAGAAGAAATGTTGTCCTAGAACTTAGTTTTCTTTACTCATGTTCAAATGTTCTTTCCAATAAACTGCAGATAAGCATATGCTATGATTTTTGTGGTAGGTTTGACTGGACCAATAGCTGAGATGTAAGCATCTCTTTTAAATGATTTGGGCCTGTGAAGGAATTACAGAGACAAGAATTAGAGGACTACTCTGCAGCAGTGTGTTGGCCTCTAGGGAATACTTCTGATCCTCATAGAACACTTGTAATTCATTCATTCAATTATTCAAAATATATTATTAATCACCAATTGTTCTATATACCAGCAATGAGCAATTGGAATGTGAAATTTAAAACACAATGCCATTTATATTAACACACACACAAATAAAGTGAATTTAACAAAATATGTATAAGATCTATATGATGAGGAGCACAAAATGAATGAAAGAAATAAATCAAAGAAGATCTAAATAGATGGAGAGATATTCCATATTCATGGATAGGAAGACTCAATATTGTTAAGATATCCATTATTTCCAACTTGATATATAGAGTCAATACAATCCCAATAAAAATCCCAACATATTTTGTGAATATCAATCAATTCTAAATTTTATATGAAATATAAAAAGACACAAAATAACCAGCAAAATATTGAAGAATAAAGTCAGAGGATTAACACTACCCAACTTCAAGATTTACTATAAAGCTGACAAAGATACTATAGAAGACATAGAAATGTGCCACCTTATCTCTGCTTCCATGCTAAAGGTTGTGATCTCGAGTCCAGGAGATTCTTTCCTAGACTATAATGTAGAATCAGAACTCTCCAGCATCCTTTCTTCACCCCACCAAGAGAAGAATTGTGTATTTTTGCTATTTAACCTACCTTGCCTAGGTCTCATTGGACAACATTTCTATATTAAATTCTCAAAGAATTGTATCATCTATAGATTATATAAGTTTTCTCATCAACTTTCAACCACAGTTTTCTTTAATACTCACTTTGTATCGATGTGCTTAGGAGTCAATATCAGTTCTAGCAATAAACAATTAATTATTTTCCTAGAGAAATGTGAAAGCTGTTTGATTCTCATTTTTATAAGTATTTAGTATTGCTTGTTGTCCTGCACACCATATAACTGTGCTTTGATAGTGAATTCTGTCTGCTTGTTTAATGTAGATAGAAATTCACTTCTTTCATAGCAAAACCATAAAATAATAATTTTCCCTGTAACAGCTATTTGAAGACCCTATCAGTGTCTCTGCTTCCATTTCTTAGAACACAGGCATGTGGACATGCAAACACACACACACACACACACACACACACACACACACAAATGGCTTTGGCCCCTGTTTCTTAGAAAACACACACACACATACACACACACACACTTGTTCTAAAGGCATTATCACACTTTATAGACTGATAAGTTTGCATTAAATTTATACTGTCCCATTTCTCTGAAGAGTTTTCCTCACGAGACCTGTGAAGAGCTTTGGGGATGCCCGAGACAGGAGTACACAGCTGATAGACTATTGTTTTATCTCAGTGAATCTACCTTTTGTTGTCCAAACTCCATGAGGAAAATACTAAGACTGGGAGTTTATTGCTGGCCAATATTTTAAAGAAGTAAACTTGGCTTAAATCAAACCAATTATTCAGTCCAATACCAGTTTTGAGGGTATTTTCAATTTATGTATCTTTCATGCAGTTTTGAGATTTTATTCTGGTAGAGTGGCATAGCAATGAACATTTTGTTTTTAATATTAGCCACACCTTAAGAGTGATTTATTGAGTGTGATGATGGACTCTAGTATATCAAAAATATTTAAGATAAAATTTTCGTGTGTGTGTGTGTGTGTGTGTGTCAACCAATGGCTATTTTGTTGTGTGTGTGTGTGTGTGTGTGTGTGTGTGTGTGTGTGTGTGTGTCAACCAATAGCTATTTTGTTCCCAAAGGAATATCTGGATATCCTGCAGTGTCCGGAGACATTTTTGGTTGCCTCTGGCATCTAGAAGGCAGAAGCCAAGAATAAGGATGTTGCTAATCATCCTACAATGCACAGGACAGTCCCTCTCCCCTTCACACACACCAAAATTCTCCAGCCCAAATGTCAATAGAGCTGAGGTTAATAAACCTTGATATACAGAGAGACAGAATTTACATGTCATATATATGTAATGTGCATGCGTATGTGTATATACATATATATAACATGACACACTGTGTACTATATCCCCTTCTTAGAGATTTAAACTGCATTTGTATATTTAAAATTCTGAGAAATTCAATATTAAGAAATCTGTTAACTCTGTTAACCCTGAATTTTCTATTGTCCCTGGAATTCTTTCTTCTCAGGAAAACTATTTACTACTGATTGACTTGGTGTTTAGTAGATTAAACCTTGGAAAATATTATTCTCTCTCTCTCTCTCTTTCTCGCTATATATATATATGTGTGTGTGTGTGTGTGTGTATATATATTTATATATGTATATATACATACATGTATATATGTACATATATATAAAACATAAGAGAATAAGAGGCAACTATGTCACAAACTCTACTTTCATGATATTCTGCTGATATATAGCTTTAATAAAAAATAAGTATTATTTATATTACCTATAAAGCTATAGAATAATTTGGAATATTTTCAAATAAATATGTTCTTTGGGAATCCACAGGTATCCAGAATGCTGACTTTCTTTGATACTGTAGTAGAGCAATAAAATGAAATAGTATTGTTTTTATCACTTAAAACCTATGTTTAAAAAATTACAATAAAACAAGTAAATATTTTTGTATACACCTTTTATGATAGGTATATTTTCTAATTATCTAATACATGACTTATAACTGCAATTGATTTTCAATTCTGTGGGATTATCTGTTAATGATTTTTTCATTTTGAGCTGTGCATATGCATCTCAATGACATAAACATTTGGAAAAACTCATTTTTAATCTTTTCACAAATCTACAGAGCTACATCTTATAATCATTTATTAAAATAAATATTAATATGGAAAATGTATATTTATATGCTAAATATTTTCTTTAGTCATTTCTTTTTTCTTCAAAATTTAACCGTCATTGAAGGTAAAATGGAAAACCTATAGACAGCTTATTTAATCCCATGAACCTCTGATAATAAGGAATATGAATATCTCCCTAGCAGGATGGTTGTATAAAACAATATACTAATAATTACTATTTATGAAGCACTAATATGTGCTAGGCACTTTGTTAGTTTTTATATGTAATCTTATTTCATTCTCTGAACAACTCCATGAAGCATAAAAATACGTTTTATTTTTTATTTATTTATTTTTTTGAGACGGAATCTCTCTCTGTCGCCCAGGCTGGAGTGCAGTGGCGCGATCTCGGCTCACTGCAAGCTCCGCCTCCCAGGTTCACGCCATTTTCCTGCCTCAGCCTCCCGAGTAGCTGGGACTACAGGCGCCCGCCACCACACCTGGCTAATTTTTTGTATTTTTAGTAGAAACGGGGTTTCACCGTGTTAGCCAGGATGGTCTCGATCCCCTGACCTCGTGATCCGCCCGCCTCGGCCTCCCAAAGTGCCGGGATTACAGGCGTGAGCCACCGTACCCGGCCCCAAAAATACGTTTTAAATATAAAGCACCTAGAACAGTTTTTTACAAACTATATTTTGCATATAGAAGATATGGCTACTAATATTTCTATTATTTAGATAAATATGTGTCCTTCATTTCTTGTATCAAATTGTAGTGTGATTATATGATTATAACATGATCCTCTACTCTATAATAGGTATTAAACAGTGTATGCAACCTGAGAATATGGGATGAATTATGGGTAGAGAGGACAGAAGTGTAAGTAGTAGAGACATTATGATAATCCATTAGAAAAACATGCAGAGGCCCTAAGGAATGAAGGAATAGCACCATGGTAAGACATCTAATGCCCAGGTAAAACTGACAGAGGATGATACGGTAGAAAATCATGTATGTATACATGTATAAGACCAGGCATGAGGGATAGACTCAGCAATGACACATGAATTGGAGAAATTAATCCAAATCTTTCTTTCTTTTTTTTTTTTTTGAGACGGGGCCTCGCACTGTTGCCCAGGCTGGAGTGCAGTGGCGCAATCTCGGCTCACTGCAACCTCCTCCTCTGGGTTCAAGCAATTCTCCTGCCTCAGCCTCCTGAGTAGCTGGGATTACAGGTGCACACCACCCCGCCCAGCTAATTTTTTGTATTTTTAATAGAGACGGGGTTTCAGTATGTTGGCCAGGCTGGTCTTGAACTCCTGACCTCGTGATCTGCCTGCCTCGGCCCCTCAAAGTGCTGGGATTACAGGTGTGAGCCACTGTGCTCGGCCGTTAATCCGAATCTTATACCACCAAACACCAATTAGAACACATATATAAATGAAAAGATCTCATTTGCAATAGCTACAACAGCCAAAAATTTCCCAGAAATACCTAATATGGAATATGTCATTGTAATCTTCATAAAAGAACCTGTAAAATTTTACAGATGGAAAAGACAATAAAACAGCACATGCCATAGCAATACCCAACATTTTAATTTGGTTAATCTGGCATCTTCATGTTATAATTTTAAAGCACTTCCAAACAAATTAAAAGAATATTTTTTGGACGCTGATAAAACCATTCTGTACTGGAACATGAAAACAAATTAAAGGATTATGGAGAAAATGAGGGAATATTTGTTCTAACTTGTCCTGAAACAAACAATAAAGCTACAAGAACATGTTGTAACAATGACAAAAAGTTCAATGCATCACAAGGACTGGCTAGAAAAAAAAAGTCCCAATATGCCAAGCAATTTATTGTATAAAAATGTGAAAATGCAAAGAAATGCAGCATAGTCTTTTCAACAAAATGGTGCAAGGCTTACTGTATGTTTGTGGGCAATTGCAAATAAATCCTACCTTGAACCATGCCAAAAACCACAAATGCGTTAGAGTGTTAAATATAAACACACAATGTAGTTGAATAGGTATCTGATCTTGAAATGAGAAGAGTTTTTATCAACATCATGAAAAAGAAGAAATCTTTTAAAATGAAAATGTATAAATTTGCTGACATGAAAATTAAATGTCTGTGGGTTTAAAACTATGGGAAAATATTTCAACATCTGTGTCAAACATGAACTTAATATTTTTACCACATGGAGTGCTACTCTCTGTCCCTTAAAAGATAACTTCTCTAGTAGAATCAGGAAGAAAGTATTTAAATAAGTATTGCCTGGTATGTCTTGTCTGTGTTGAATATTTTAAAAAATACAAAGCAAGTTGATAAATAAAAGGGAGAGAAGTATCCTTAATAGTAAAAAACAAAAAAGGAAAGGAAAACAACAGGATAGCATTTGCACCCACCAGATTAGCATAATATCTTACAATGATAATATCTAGTTTTTGGAGGAAGCACTGAAATTGACACTTTCACCAATGGTGATATTGTACTTTGAAATGCTCCCTATGAAGAACAAATTGACAACATATAGCAAGAGCTTTAATGTATTCATACCCTTTATCTCTAAGGAACATTACCAAAATATGCACAAATGGTGTTTTCAACAAGGATTTGATTATAAAATGGGCAGAACAGTGTAGCATGGGGCCAGACTGCCTGGGTTTGAATCCTGCCCTTTTGCTTCCTAGCTATGATTTTGAGCAAGTCATTTACCTCTTGGAGCCTGTGGTTCCTGATCTGTAAAATGAGAGTAACAGCAGAATCTACTTGATACAGCTTTTCTGACAACTAATTTAATACATGTAAAGATTTCTAACAGCCTTTGATACGTAGTAAGTTCTACATGTATTTCAGTTACATTTATTGTTGTTATTAAATGAGATTACATAGCATACTTCACAGATTGTTTAGTATGTATGAAGAGAGAATAAGAATCAAAACAGGTATTATTATCATTATTTTTATACTATTATGAAATAACCTCAACCGTGGCAATGGAATCCTTATAGGAATGACTTTTATTACCTTGTATTAAGAAAGATTATATGAAATCAGAACACATTGTAAAATCATCACTTTCTGTTAACCAAGAGTGAATTAAAACAACAGATACCAAGTAACTTAGATGTGATTATTTTATTTTATTTTTTTAGAATACGTATTTTATTTTATTTATATATATTTTTATTATACTTTAAGTTATAGGGTACATGTGCACAACATGCAGGTTTGTTACATATGTATACATGTGCCACATTGGTGTGCTGCACCCATTAACTCATCATTTTCAAAGGATTCTTACATCATGAGAGGCTCTAGTAACATAGTGAGCCACACAATCATTTCAATTATACTAAACTAAGTGGAATTTTGTCCGTATCCAAATTTCCAGAGAATGTATTTTGCATGCTATGCTCTAAGTATTCATATTCTTCTTTTTGATATGGGGGTCTCACTGTCACCCAGGTTGGAGTACAGTGACGTGATCTCGGCTCACTGCAACCTCTGCCTCCTGGGCTCAGGTGATCCTCCCACCTCAGCCCCCTGAGTAGCTGGGACCACAGGTGAATGCCACCATGCCCGGCTAATTTTTTGTACTTTTGGTAGAGATGGAGTTTCACTATGTTGCCCAGGCTGATCTCGAACTCCTGAGCTCAAGCGATCTGCCTGCCTCGGCCTCCCAAAGTGCTGGGATTACAGAAGTGAGCCACCATGCCAGACCTAATTATTCATATTCTGTGTATACCTGTGTACACCTGATTCTATTAAAAGAAATTAATTGATTTTGGGAGGTTCCTCAACTAATTCACTAGACACTAATTCACAAGTTAAATTTTTTCCTGCTTTCTTGAAATGGACTTCAAGTAAAGCAATTTACTCGTACAGTCTGACCCTTTAAGAGTTTGTTAATAAGTGACTTTGGAAAAATATTGTGGACAGATAGACATTAAAAATACTTTCCTTTTGTCAGTTGAAGAGCAATTCTCACTGATTTCCTATCAAAATAATCCTGAAAATGACAAATGTTCTTTTTTACAACCTTGTACTTTTCCATCATAGTAAATCACTGATTAACAAATAAAACACACACAGGCAATACATTATCTGAGAAAAAGAAAAGTAACAATGCAGTGGCTATAGTGTTTAGAATTTTGTGAGGTTGTGTCAGATATAAAATCATTTTCTAGTTATTTCCCTTGGTACAGGGTATCAGAATTGTGTGGTCTTTCAAGAAAAAAATATTTTAAAGAAAGATATATGCACTGTACTCCTAGGTTATTGAGAAAAGTATATAAAACAAAGCTACTGTCTGCATGATGTATATAGAAAAAGAGCAAAAATGTTATCTGTAAAAGCAGAAAAGAATATGGCTTGCTTGACTTTTTGAATCAAGCAAGCTACAGCAATCTTTTGATTCTAATATGAAACTATAGTAAGGATCATTGCACTAATGCATGAGGATTTGTGATAATGTTGCAGAAATTTTACTGTCAAAACTGAACTGCAGTGTAATGACTTTTGTTATCATGGTTTCTAATAACTATTCAGCATGAATTGACCCTACATATGTTTTGCTGCAATAATGTGTCACTAACTCAGAAAGCTAAAAAGAAAATAAAAAACAGTCAACATAATGCTGTGTATGACTTCATGATAACCTTTACTATTAATATTGTTAAAACAATTATATTAATAATAGTCACTATGCAAACTATGGGATCACATGTCAGTAAAACCTCAGACACATTGTGACAGTTCTGGCTAAAGAAACCTATAGAGTACTTCACAGTAAAATATGTCCTCCTCTGTTCAGCCTGGGCACTAGTTACTGACTGTGCTCTTACTACTTCCATATCTGATTGTTACCTCTATTGTAGGGAGTCTTGGACAAGTTTCCCTACTTCCTATAAGGTGTTTCTTTTTCCTTTTATGGGCTATCTCTTTAGTTTTTTACTTTCTATATTTTTGCATCTCCTTATTGCACCATATTTTTATTTCAGCATCTCTTCACTGCCATAAATAAGAGAAAGTAGAATGTTTACTTTTCTGTGTGGCAGTCACCATGCTAGACATTTACAACCAGTGTAAATCATTGAGTTGCACCAACCATATCATAAATGTTGACCAATTACAGATATCATTATCATTTTTGTTCTATTATTATTTAATTCATAAAAACACCATGAAACAACTGAGAATATTCTCATTTTTCCTTAGAAAACAAAACTACTGTATTAGTTTGCTAGGGCTGCCCTAACAAAGTACCACAGACTGAGTGGTTTAAACAAGAGAAATTTATTGTCTCAGAGTTTTGGAGGCCAGAATATGAGATGAAAGTGTCAACAGGATTGATTCTTTCTGATGGCCTCGTGGGATGGATCTGTTTCCAGCCCCACATTGCTTGTAGGGGGCCATCTTTTTCCTGTGTCAATACAATGTCTTCCCTTTGTATGCGTCTGTCCAGATCTCCTCTTCTTTTCTTTTTTAACTTTTATTTTAGGTTCAGGGTTACATGTGCAGGTTTGTTACATAGGTAAACTCGTGTCATGGGGTTTGGTGTACAGATTATTTTGTCACACCGGTACTAAACATAGTACCTATTTTCTGTTCCTCTCCCTACTCCCACCCTCCACCCTCAAATAGGCTCCAGTGTCTGTTGTTCCCTTCCTTGTGTCCACGAGTTCTCATCATTTGGCTCCTACTTATAAGTGAGAGCATGTGAGATTTGGTTTTCTGTTCCTACATTAGTTGTTAAGGATACCAGCCTCCAGCTCCATCCACATTCCCACAAAAGACATGATCTCATTCTTTTTATGGCTGCATAGTGTTCCATGGTGTAGATGCACCACATTTTCTTTATCCAATCTGTCCTTGATGGGCATTTGTGTTGATTCCATGTCTTTGCTATTGTGAAGAGTGCTGCAATGAGCATTCACTTACATATGTCTTTATGGTAGAATGATTTCTATTCCTCTGGGTACATACCAAGTAATGGAATTGCTGAGTGAAATGTTAGCTCTGTTTTTACCTCTTTGAGGAATTGCCACACTGCTTTCCACAATAGTTGAACTAACTTACACTCCCACCAAGTGTATTAGTGTTTCATTTGCTCCACAACCTCATGAGCATCTGTTATATTGTGACCTTTTAATAATAGCCATTCTGACTGGTGTGAGATGGTATCTCATTGTAGTTTTGATTTGCATTTCTCTGATGATCAGTGATATTGGGCTTTTTAAAATATACTTGTTGGTCGCATGTATGTCTTCTTTTGAAAACTGTCTGTTGATGTCCTTTGCCCACTTTTTAATGGGTTGTTTGTTTTTGGCTTGTAAATTTGTTTAAGTTCCTTACAGACACTGGATATTAAACTTGGTCAGATGTGCAGTTTGCAAAAATTTTCTCCCATATTGTAAATTGTCTGTTTACTCTGTTGATAGTTTTATTTTGCTGTGCATAAGCTGTTTGGTTTAATTAGATCCCATTTGTCAACTTTTGGTTTTGTTATGATTGTTTTTGGTGTCTTCAACATGAAGTGTTTGCTGGTTCCTATCTCCAGAATGGTATTGCCTAGGTTACCTTCTAGGGTTTTTATAGGTTTGGATTGTGCATTTAAGTCTTTAATTCATCTTGAGTCCATTTTTGTATATGGTGTAAGGAAGGGGTCCAGTTTCAAACTTCTGCATATTTCTAGCCAGTTATCTCAGCACCATTTATTGAATAGGGGGTCCTTTCTGCATTGCATGTTTTGGTCAGCTTTTTTGAAGATCAGATGATTGTTGATATGCAGCCTTATTTCTGGGCTCTCTGTTCTGTTCTATTGGTCTGTGTGTCTGTTTTTGTACCAATACCATTCTGTTTTGGTTACTGTAGCCCTATAATATAGTTTGAAGTCCAGTAATGTGATGCCTCCACCTTTGTTCTTTTTGCATGGGATTGCCTTGGCTATTCAGGCTTTTTTGTTTCATATTAATTTTAAAATAGTTTTTCCTGGTTCTGTGAAGAATGATATTGGTAGTTTCATAGGAATAGCATTGAATCTGTAAACTGCTTTGGGCAGTATGACCATTTTAATGATATTGATTCTTTCTATCCATGAGCATGTAATGTTTTCCAATTTGCTTTTGTCATCTGATTTCTTTGAGCAGTGTTCTGTAATTCTCATTGTAGAGATATTTCACCTCCATGGTTACCTGCATTCCTAGGCATTTTTTTCCTTTTGTGGCAATTGTGAATGGGATTGTGTTCATGATTTGGCTCTCAGCATGGCTATTGTTGGTATATAAGAATTCCACTGATTTTTGTACATTTATTTTTAATCCTGAAATGTTGTTGAAGTTGTTTATCAGCTGAGGAAGCTTTGGGCCAAGACTACGGGGTTTCCTAAATATAGAATTATGTCGTCTGCAAACAGGGATAGTTTGACTTCCTCCGTTCCTAGTTTGATGCCCTTTATTTATTTCTCTTGCCTGATTGCTCTGGCCAGGACTTCCAATTCTATGTTGAACAGAAGTGGCAGGAGAGAGCACTCTTGTCTTGTGCTGGTTTTCAATGGGAATGGTTCCAGCTTTTCCCCATTCAGTGTGATGTTGGCTATGGGTTTGTCATTGATGGCTCTTATTATTTTGAGTTGTGTGCCTTCAATACCTAGTTTATTGGGAGTTTTTAATATGAAACAATGTTGAATTTTATTGAGAGCCTTTACTGCATCTATAGAGATAATCATGTGGTGTTTGTCTTTAGTTCTGTTGGCATGAGTCACATTTACTGATTTGTGTATGTTGAACCAACCTTGCATCCCGAGGATGAAGCCTACTTCATCATGGTAGATTAGCCTTTTGATGTGCTGCTGGATTTGGTTTGCAAGTATTTTGTTAAGGAGTTTTGCATTAATGTTCATCAATACTATTGCCCTGAAGTTTTCTTTTTGTTGTTGTTGTGTGTCTGCCAGGTTTTCATGTCAGGATGATGCTGGCTTCATAGAATGAGTTGGGGAGGAGTCCCTCCTTCTCAATTTTTTGGAATAGTTTCAGTAGGTATGATACCAGCTCTTCCTTGTACACCTGGTAGAATTTGGCTGTGAATTCTTCTGGTCCTGGGCTGTTTTTGATTGGTAGGCTATTTATTACTGATTCAATTTTGGAACTTGTTATTGATCTGCTCAGAGAATCAGTTTCATGCTCATTCACTCTTGGGAGTGTGTATGTGTCCAGGAATTTATCCATCTCTCCTAGGTTTTCTAGTTTGTGTGCACAGAGGTATTTGTAGTAGTTTCTGATGGTTATTTTTACTTCTGTGGAGCTAGTGGTAATATCCTCTTTGTCATTTCTAATTGTGTTTATTTGGATCTTCTCTCTTTTCTTCTTTATTAGTCCAGCTAGTGGCCTATCTATATTATTATTTTTTTCAAAAAACTCACTCCTAGGCCAACTGATAAAGATATCAGTCATATTGGATTAGGGAACATTATAATCACCTCATTTTTAGCTCAGCTACCTCAGTAAAGATCCTGTCTCTAAATAGGGTCATGTTACAGGCTACTTGGGTTAGGACTTCAACATATGCAATTGGGATAAAAGGGAATACTATTTAGCTTATAACAGGTACTTTGTTGTAATTTTAGGCTACTCTACTTGTAAGTGGGAACCAGAGCTAGCAGTCAAACCGAGTCCCCTGGGACTTATTCTCCTCCTCTTTTATTATTTTTCTTTACTATGCCCAACTCATTATCCATATACAGGGTATAACTGTCTCTCTTTAAATGCAAAAGTATTTCAATTATAAATATCTTGTAATACCTGTGATATTGGGCATGAATATGATTAAGCAATGCTTAGTAATAAAATACTTTTTGAGAGAGAGTTTATGGTGTTACATAGGAAATGGTAGATCATTTATGTTTCTAATCCATGGTGAAAGTTCAGGCAGATAAGTACCTCTCCCACTAGAAGAACTTTAAAATCCACTCCCATTGTCTCAGACAACAGAACATATGTTTACCAGAAGATCTTGATCCTAAACAGATTGCTACAGACACAAAGATGAAGGGTGAGGGTATACATCCTATTAGCAGCTCCAAGCAGCTGCTAGCATGTAGCAGAGAATACAGAGTAAAGCAAAGCTTGCTGTGGAAATTTGATGAGAGAGATACTGAGATTGATATTCTGGAAAATATGGTAGCATGACAGGGTTAGATGCACTACCGCCTCCTCCCCCTCACACACACCACGAGCTGACTAGAGTAACCAAAGAGAAGTTTTGGAAGATTTAAGGAAAGAATATTATAGAGAATATTATAATAATCAATGCTGACAAATATATCACACAAAGTGTGGAGTGCTGACAAATATATCACACAAAGAGGAGAAAGGCAACACATTTGGAAAAACAAATGAAGATACGGAGTGCTGATAATTAGAAACTCTCATTTCTGAAAGAGATCTGAAATGCGGCAGTAAGCAATGGGAGGAATTATGGTATCCCTTTCCTCAAATATCCTCCTATATTGGAAGCATGTGGGCTGAAGTAAGGACTACCACATTGAATCCCCTTTCAAGTGTGAAGACCGATCTTCTTAAGAGCAATGTCTGCTAACGTGGATGGGATCTTTCTCACCTAAGAATGCTAGGATTGGAGGTGTCATTCATGGATGTCTGGGGAAGTCCATCTGAAGTGATTGTCGGGACTGAGCACCACCAGCAGCACAGCCTGCCTGTGTGTGAGCAAGGCGTGGGGCCACCCATATGAAAAGCCAGGTGGTCTTAGGGCTTTTCTCTGATGATTCTTTACTACGTTATAAATTTCAAGAATAAAGAAGTAATTCCATGAAGCATGCATTTAGAAGAAATACAGTGCCTACAAAGGGAACATAACTTCAGACTTAATCTCCACAATGTTTTATGGCAGAAAACTGTAGAAAAATATCTACATAATTTTTTTTCAGATGAAGTTTTGCTTTTGTACCCCACGGTGGAGTGTAGTGGTGCAATCTCAGCTCACTACAACCTCCGCCTCCTGGGAGCAAGTGATTCTCCTGCCTCAGCCTCCCGAGTAGCTGGGATTACAGGCATATACCACCATGCCTGGCTAATTTTTGTATTTTTAGTAGAGATGGGGTTTCACCATGTTGGCCAGGCTGGTCTCGAACTCCTGACCTCAAGTGATCCACCTGCCTCGGCCTCCCAAAGTGCTAGGATTACAGGCATGAGCCACACCGTGCCTGGCCAATAACTACATAATTTTAAAGGAAAAATTAAGGCAAGAATGTTGTATCTAGTCAAGTTATTTCTTATCTGATGGGAACAGAAAGGTATTTTTGTTCTTTGCTTGTTTAAAAATTTTTATTTTTAATTTTTGAAGTTACATAGTAGGTATATATATTTATAGATACATAAAATGTTTTGATATGGAAATATAATGCATAATAATCACATTGTAGAGAATTGAGTTTTCATACCCTCAAGCATTTACCTTTGTGGTACAAACAATACAATTCTACTCCAGAAAGGTATTTTTGAATGAACAAACAGCAAATATAGATTAATTAGCAAGCTTTAAAAATCCAGATGGCCAATAAACATAGGCAAAATGTTTCTACCTCTCTAAAAATCATATATATTCAAATTAAATGGAGATACAAGTCTTCAATTCTCTTTTCAAAAGATCAGTAAGATTGATTATACACAGTGATAGTAGGTTATACACAGTGATACTAGGGGAGTGGAAGGAAAAAGAGGCATTCATAGAAGATGAGAACTCATCTGTCATCAAATCCATCAAAGTACCTGCATCTACTCCACAGTAAATGTCTTTCTACCTGTTTAAGATTGAAGTATGTCTGCTCCTAATATAGATGTCTTTTCATTTGTGCTCTGGATTCCATCCTCTTTCACCTTCTCACAGTCATCACTCATACAATTTTCCTATCCTTCCATATCTTAATTTCCCTCTCCACTGAATTATTTTCATCATTATATATTATACAAATATACTGTAGTATCTGCCATCTCAAGAACTCATTTTTGAGTCCATGTTTACTGGAGCACTTTATGTTTTGTTACAAATTTTGGAATGAGTTGTCTACATTTGCAGTTTTCATCACTTTCCATTCTCTTCTTTGAAGTACCATTTGTCAATTGCCTCCATGATGTCAAACCCCATAGGGTGTATCTGGTCTCATCTTGCTCAATAGCTCAACCATATTTGATCACTGTTTACCACTCCCCTTCCTGAAGCACTCTCCCTTAGCCATGACACCATGACTTCCTATTTTCCTCCCACCTCACTGGACACTAGACAGAATATCTCTTGTGTCAGCAGCTTTTACTCTGCTCAGCTTCCAAATGTTGGAATTCCCCAGGGCTCCATGGTGAAATCCCTTCACTTTTGTTTATCTACCTTCATCCCTTCAGGTGGATGCCTAAATGTGGATGAATAAAACATAATTTTAAGCAAAAGAAACCAAACACAGAAATTGATACTGTGCAATTTTTGGTCTATATAAACAGGTGCAATTAATCTATGATGTTGGAAGTCGCGGGAGTAGTTACCCTTGGTAGGAAGCAGTGATTGGAACAGGGCATAAAGGGAGGTTGAGAATGACGTAATGTTTTCTTTCTTAATCTGTGTTCAGTTTGTGAATAATTCATTGTGCTATACACTTATGATGTGCATGCTTTAATATATATGCACATTTTAAGTATATATTACATTATATATATATAAAATCATAATTAAATTAAAATTTAAAATCACCCAGTAACTTACCCCTATATTCAGGATAAAACCCACATTTCTTGCCCTGGCCTCCCCGACTGCATAATCCAGTCTCTTCCTCATTCAGATTACTCTCACTCACCTCAGTGTGCTCCAGCTACTTTTTGATCCTTGACCACTAGCCTCATTCCCAATATAGGGACCTTGAATTTCCAGATGCTTCGAGCTGTATATATTCCCAAAAATTTTCATACATGGCTTCTTCTTAACCATTTAATCACTAGATTGAAAGTCCCTTCCTTAGAGCAGCCTTCCCAGAGCTGCTAAAGTTGTCCCTTAGCCACCCACTATCATGCCACCTATGTATTTTCTTTGCTCTTAATACTCTGACATTTTATGTTTATTTGTTCATGGTTTATTTCTGCCATAAACGTATGCTCAATACAAGAGAGCAACTTATTATCTAATTCACAGCCATTATTCTAGCACCTAGAGAAGTGCCCGGCAAATATTTTTGCAATTACTAGATGATCGTTCCCAGTGGGTATCTAACAAAATGTTTATGCATACCCACTGAGACAGCATTCCTACATCTAGAAATTTATAGGAAAATAATCTGAAAGTCTGCAAAGATATATATATAGATAGATAGATAGATAGATAGATAGATAGATAGATAGATAGATAGATGCTGACTATAGTACTCTTTATAAAAAAGGAAAATGTCAGCAAATTCAATATACAGTAATACAGAATTGTCTGAGTATATGATAGAATTTGTATATAATGGAGTATTATGCAACCTTTTAAATGAATGATATAAAGAGCTACAGTACATAGTTAAGTGAAAATTAAGGTATTTTCACATCGTATAATCATGTAATATATGATTCCCACTTTGTATTCTCATATTATTAGATTTTATTATAATCATTTCTATCCATCTATCAGTCTACCTGGGAAGCTACATTCCAAAAGTCAGCAATACTCAGGCTGCAAATGATTTTCATTCTCTTATTTCTCTATTTTATTTTTATTATATTTATTTTATGATATAAAAATGTAAAGCCATTTTATGTCACAAAAAAGAAAAAATTAATAAGGGCCCTGAAACAAGAAGTGAGCACTGAGAAATAAATTTTATGAGATTTTGAAAAAATGTTGGATACCCACAAGTAAAAAGTCTAGAAAAATCCAAGTCAGACACAATCCCAAATATCCTCAGCTCCCACTGTAAATACTTTATACTATAATTCATTTGCTTTGATTATTTAAAAAATGTATAGTTGGCCAGGCTCAGTGACTCATGCCTGTAATCCCAGCAGTTCGAGAGGCCAAGATGGGTAGATCACTTGAGGCCAGGAGTTTGAGACCAGCCTGGCCAACATAGTGAAAGCACCTTTTAGAGGAATTGTTCTACCTTTATACAAGGAAAAAGTGAAACCTGCAGAACAATTTAAATCAATGTTGAAAGAAAGAATTGGCAAAACTCTGCAGTATCCCTTAAAATATATACTTATAAATTTAAAATTATTTTATTTTTCTATGGTGATGACACACAATACACAAATAATGAAGACATTTTATTCTTCTTTCCATTAAGGACATCTTAAGTCAATACACATCAAGTTTGAATCCTGGCTCTGATAAGACCTTGGCAAAGTCACCTAGTCAGCTTGTTTCCTCCACATATCTTTTCTCTTTTACTGAATAGAGGTACTGTGAAGATTATATGAGATGATGCATGTGATAGCCTAACATAGTGGCTATTGCATATTATATATTTGTAAATATCTTTTGACCATAGGCTCAATAACCCTCCTCATTTTGTCAAGTTTTTCTTATGGGGACTCTCTTCGATTTATTTTATTCCTAAGAGATTTCAGAGGGTAATATCCTCTATATTTTCTCTAAATTATTTGTGTTTGATTGCTTTTAACCATTTTTTAAAAGATAGCTTATATGCCTAATTTAAAAATTAATATAATCTAAATGCAGAACATCTGAAAAACACAAAAAGACCAAATTTTCTCTCTGAATTCATTTAAAAGTATAGTATTAGTAACCAAAATTAGAAGGGAGTATCTTAATGATAATTAACTGAAACCAGAAAAAGACAAAAAGATTTTTTTCAAGTCCTTGCATATCATACTCTTTTTAAGAATTTCCTGTGGAGTATAGGCAGTATTCACAGTAGCATCACATTGTTGATTAATATTATAATAAGAAAAATTTCTTCCAGGCATCTCTTTTGTGTATTTATATTATTCAACCTTTCAATTTTTATCTCCTCCTTATACCAACTAATATTTGTAATTACCTAGAGAGTTGATGAGCACACTCTAAATTACTTACTGCAAATTATCTAATAGCAGTTGACTGGATGATCCCAAGAATCAGTGCTTGGGAGTTAAATCAAAATATTAATGCAACTTTAAATTGAAATTTCAATTTCCCTTTGGTTGAACATTCAAGCACGTTGTGCATCCATCCACCTAAATATAATGTGGCTAAGGTCATATTTCCTCAAGTTTCCCAATGAGAATATGACAAAGAGCAGATTCCAAGACCTCCTGAAAACAAGATGGATTTCACTACCATTTTTTCTTGTCTCTGTAACCTGTAATCCTATCACAGAACACTGTTTAATGGGTCTGGCATGATTTGCTATTCAGAAAACCGTGTTGGTATTTCATAGTACCCATACTTTTCCAGGTGATGAAAATTTGATTGATTACTTCTGGTATCTTCTCAGATAACCAAATAATGACATCAGATTATTTAACCTCTTTAAAAATACATACGTATTTTGCCTTTTCCAAATTATTTTCATTTAAAAAATACCTTTATAATAATATTTCAAAGACTTCTTGATTTTAATGCAGACAGCTAATTTTCCTATTTTCACAATTTTATATATAGACAGATCTTTCTTCTTTTCTGTTAAATTTCTACATGACCAATTCATTCCTCTATGCGTCCACCTTTCCATCATGACTAGCTCACTCTGATCAATGACTACTCGCTCCTAAAAGGCAGTGGTAAAGAATTCATTTAACTCCAGCCTGTTTGCTGCTCACTGTATAAACCTCTCCATTCAATAATTCACTATAGTTAAACAAATATTGATGGAGCACATACTATTTTCTCTTTCTTGTATTTTAGCAGAGCTGTTTATTTTCTAATTCTTATCCTTAATTGATTTGAAGATTTATTTTCATCTTTATGACCTCTGTTGGTAATAACCCCTGTTGTATCTTTGTAATGTGTCTCAATGAATTTATACTATTTTCTTTTGCATTTGTCTTTATTAATCAAATTAATTTAAATTTGAAAACTGTCTCTTTGTCTTTAATGTTACATAGATTCCTGATTTTAACCAATTTGTATTGATACATAATAATTCCACATATTTATGGGGTACATATGATATTTTGATACATGTATACAGTGTGTAATGATAAAATCAAGCTATTTAAGATATCCATCACCTCAAACATTTGTTATTTCTTTACATTGGGACCATTTCAAGTCTTCTCTCCTAGCTATTTTTAAATATACAATAAATTGGTTCACCGTGGTCACTCTACCATGCTATCAAACTATAGGACCTAGTCCTTCTAGGTAACTGTATGTTTGTACTCATTAAGCAACCTCTGTAACCCTACACCTTCACCCTTTCCATCCTCTAGTAACCATCATTCTGCTCTTTCCCTCCATGAGAACAATATCTTTAGCTCCCACATATGAGTAAGAACATGCAATATTTGTCATTTTATCCCTGGCTTATTTCATTTAACATAATGACCTCCGGTTTCATTCATGTGGCTGAAAGTGTCAAGATTTTTTTATGGCTGAATAGTATTCTATTGTGTAGATATTCCGCATTTTTTATTCATTCATCCACTGATGGACACTTAAACTGATTCCATGTCTTGGCTATTATGAATACTGCTGCAATAAACATGCGGGTGCAGGTATTCCTTTGTTATATTGACACATTTTCCTTTGGATAAATACCCCAGTAGTGGGATTGCTGTATTATATGGTAGTTCTGTTTTTAGCTTTTCGAGGAACTTCCATACGGTTCTCCATAATGGCTATACTAATTTTACATTTCTACCAACATTGTATAAGAGTTCCCTTTTCTCTGTATTATTTCCAGCATTTGTTGTTTTTTGTCTTTCATAATAACTATTTTAACTGGGATAAGATAATATCTCACTATAGTTTTGATTTGTACTTCTCTAATAATTAGTAATGTTTAGCATTTTTTCATTTACCTATTGGTCATTTGTGTGTCTCCTTTTGAGAAATGTCTCTCCAGATCCTTTACCCATTTTTTAAGTGGATTATTTGTTTCTTTGCTGTTGACTTGTTTGAATACCTTGTATATTCTGGTCATGAATCTTTTATTGGATAGTTTGCAAACATTTTCTCCCATTTTTCAAGTTGTCTCTTCACTTTGTTTATTGTTTCCTTTGCTTTGCAGAAGTATTTGTAGAAGTTTAATATAGTTTCATTTGTCTATTTTTGTTTTTGTTGCCTGTACTTTTGAAGTGTTAGCCATAAAATCTTTGCCTAGATCAATGTCCTCAAGGTTTTCTCCTGTACTTTCTTCTAGCAGTTTTATAGGATTAGGTATACATTTAAGTCTTAAATTGACTCGAGATGATTTTTGCTTATGGTGAGAGCCAGAAATATAGTTTAATTCTTCTGCCTATAGAAGTCTAGTTTCCCAGCACTATTTATTGAAGAGGGTATCCTTTCCTCACTATATGTTACTGGCAACTTTGAAAGAACAGTTGGCTATAAATATGTGAATTTATTCCTGGTTTTTCTATTCTGCTCCATTGTGTATATGCCTGTTTTTAATCCCAGTACCATGATGTTTGATTACTACAGCTTTGTAGTATACTTTAAAATCCGGTAGTGTGATGCATCCAGCTTTGTTCTTTTCACTCAGGATTGCTTTGGCTATTCAGCCTTTTTTGTTTCATACAAATTTTAGGATTTTTAAGATTTCTGTGATGACTGTCATTGGTATTTTGATAAGGATTACATTGAATCTGTAGATTGCTTTGGGCAGTATAGTCATTTTAACAATATTAATCTATGAGCATAGGATGTCTTTCCATTTGTTTCTGTCACTTCATTATTAGCTAATTTGTTATTGGTGAATACAAATGCTCCTGATTTTTGTATGTTGATTTTGTATTCTGCAACTTACTGAGTTCATTTATTAGTTCTTAGAGTTTTTGGTGGAATCTTTAAATTTTTCTAAATATAGGATCATGTCATCTGCAAAGCATAACAATTTGTCTTTCTCTTTTTCAATTTGGATGCCTTTTATTTATTTATGTTGCCTGATTGCTCTGGCTAGGACATCCAGTACCATGTTGAATAAGAGTAGTAAAAGTGAGCATGCTTGTCTTGCTCTCATTCTTAGAGGAAAGGCTTTCAGCTTTTCCCCATGCAGTATAATGTTAGATGTAGGTTTGTCATATATGGTCTTTATTATGTTGAAATAATTTCCTTCTGTACCTAATTTGTTGAGAGTTTTTATCATAAAGCAATGTTGAATTTTACCAAATGATTTTTCTGCATCTATTGAGATGATTATATGGTTTTTGTCCTTCATTCTATTGATGTTATCCATCACGTTTATTGAGTTTTAAATGTTGAACCATCCTTGCATCCCTGGGATAAATCCCACTTGATCACGGTATATTATCTTTTTGATGTGTTGTTGTATTGAGTTTGCTAGTATTTTGTTGAAGATTTTTGTATGTCTGGTCACCAGGGATATTGGCTTGTAGTTTTCTTTATTTGTTGTGTCCTTGTCTGGTTTCAGTATCAGGGTAATGCTGGGCTCATAGAATGAGTTAGGAAGAATGAACTCTTAATTTTTTTGAATACTGTGAGAAGACTTCTTTATAAGTTCTTCTTTATAAGTAAGTTTGATAGAATTTAGCAATAAAGCCATCTGGTCCTGGGCTTTTCTTTGTTGAAAGACTTTTTACTACTGATTCAACCTTGTTACTCATTATTGATCTGTTCACGTTTTCTATTTCTTCCTGTTTCAATCTAGTAGGTTGAATGTGTCCAGGAATTCATTCATTTTCTCTAGATTTTCCATTTTTTTACCATGTAATTGTTCATAAGTCTCTAATAATCCTTTGTATTTCTGTGGTATCATAATGTCTCCTTTTTGATTTCTGATGTTATTAATTTGAGTCTTCACTCTTTTTTTCTTTGTCTCTAGAAGTTTTTGATGTTCTTTGTCTCTTCAAACACCGGCTTTTTAATTTTGTTAATTCTTCTTTTTTTCTTTCTTTCTTTTTATTTATTTATTTATTTTTGAGACAGAGTTCCTCTCTTGTTGCCAAGGCTGGAGTGCAATGGCAGGATCTCAGCTCTCTGCAACCTCTGCCTCCCAGGTTCAAGCTTCAGCCTCCTATGTAGCTGGGATTACAGGCATGCCCCACCACGCCGGGCTAATTTTGTATTTTTAGTCGAGATGGGTTTCTCCATGTTGGTCAGGCTGGTCTCGAACTCCCGACTTCAGGTCATCCACCCGCTTCAGCCTCCCAAAGTGCTGGGATTACAAGAGTGAGCCATCACGCCTGGCCTGTTAATTCTTTATATTGATTTTTGTTCTCTATTTTGTTTAGGTATGCTTCAATCATTATTATTTCTTTCCTTCTACTAATTTGGAGTTTAGTTTGTTTTGTTTTTTGCTTTTTTATTTCCTTCAGGTTCATCATTAGGTTGTTTATTTGAAATCTTTCTACTTTTTCGATATAGACATTTATTGGTTTAAACTTCCCTCTTAGCACTGCTTTTGATAGATTTCATAGCTTTTTGTATGTTGTATTTTAATTTTCATTTGTTTTAGGAGATTTTTTGACATCTGTCTTAATTTATTTATTGAGCTAATGGTTGTTCAAGATCTTGTTGTTTAATTTCTATGTATTTGCACAGTTTCCAAAGTTCATCTTGTTGTTGATTTCTAGTTTTATTTCACTGTAGTCTGAAAGGATACTTGACATGATTTTGACCTTTTAAAATTTGTTGTGACATTTTTTGTGATGTAACATATGATCTATCAAAAAGAATATACCATGTACTGGTGAGAAGAATGTGTATTCTGCTGCTATCAAATGAAATGTTCTACATATGTTTGTTAAGTCCATTAGGTCTAAACTGCAGTTTAAATACAATGTTTCCTTGTTGATTTTTTGTCTCGATGATTTTTCCAATATTAAGAGTGGGGTGTTGAAGTCTCCAAATATTACTGTATTAGAGTCTATCTCTCTCTTAAGATCTAGTAATATTTGCTTCATATATCTGAGTGCTCCAGTGTTGGGTGCATATATACATAGAATTGTGATATCCTCTTGATGGATTAGTCCTTTTAGCATTATACAGTGACCTTCTTTGTCCGTTTCTACAGTCTTTTACTTAAAGTCTGTTTCATGTGATATAAGTATAGCGACTCCTGCTTCACTTCGGTTTTGATCTGCATGGAATACCTTTTTCCATCCCTTCACTTTCCATTTACATGTGTCTTTTCAGATGAAGTGAATTTCTGGTAGGCAGCATATAGCTGGGCTCTGCATTTATTTTTCCATTTAGCCAGTTTATGTCTTTTAAGTGAGGAATTTAATTTTTTATATTCAAAGTTATTATTGATACATGGGGACTTATTGCTATCATTTTATTGTCTTAATTATACTAGTTAATTATCACTGTGTTATATATCTTTTCTTTCTTCCTCATTCATTGTTTACCTTTACAATTTGTGGGTTTTGTAGTGATTACATTTGAGTCGTTTCTCTTTCTTACTTATATATCTACTGTGGTAGTGAGTTTTATACTTTCCTTTGTTTTCCTGATAGTAGATATCATCCTTTTACTTTCAGATGTAGGATTCCCTTTAGAATTTCTTGTAGGACTGGTCTAGTGGTGAATTCATCAATTTTTGCTTGTCTGGGAAAGATTTTATTTCTCTTTCATTTTTGAAAACTAACAGGCCAGGCGCGGTGGCTCATGCCTGTAATCCCAGCACTTTGGGAGGCCGAGGCGGGTGGATCACGAGGTCAGGAGATCGAGACCATCCTGGCCAACACGGTAAAACCCCATCTCTACTAAAAATACAAAAAATTAGCCAGGCGTGATGGCAGGCGCCTGTAGTCCCAGCTACTCGGGGGGCTGAGGCAGAAGAATGGCGTGAACCCGGGAGGCAGAGCTTGCAGTGAGCCAAGATCACGCCACTGCACTCCAGCCTGGGTGACAAAGTGAGACTCCATCTCAAAAAAAAAAAAAAAAAAGAAAAAGAACTTTGCTAGGTATAACAGTCTTGGCTGCCAGATTGTTGCTCTTGTTGCTGTTTTCAGTACTTTGAATCTATCATCCCATTCTCTCCTTGCCTGTAAGGTATCTGCTACAAAATTTGCTGTTGGTCTGATGGGGATTCCATTATGTGTAACTTGCTGCTTTTCTCTTGCTGCTTTTATAATTCTCTCTTTGTCTTTGTCTCATTGTTGCCAGTTGGACAACAATGTGCCTTGGAGAAGACCCTTCGAGGCTGAATCTATTGGAATTGTTGAACTTCCTGTATCTGAACATGTATATCTTTTTTTGCAAGGCTTAGGAAGTTTTCAGCTATTTTTTCATTTAACAGGTGTTTTTATGCTTTTATCCATCTCGTCTCCTTCTGGAAATCCCAAAATTCAAGTATTGGATGACTTTATGGTGTTCCATGTGTCACATAGGCTTTCTTCATTCTTTTTCTTTTTATTATTATAAAAACTGACACATTGTAATTGTACACATGGGGTATAATTTGATGTTTCAATACATATATATGTTGTATAATGATAAAATCAGGATATTTAATGTGACCATCACCTCGTGCCTTTATCATATATTTGCGGTGAGGACACAAAGCATCTAGCTATTTTGTAGTACACCATATCTTACTGTTAGCCATGTCACCCTACTGTGCAATAGAACACCAGAACTTATCTCTTCTATCTAATTGCTACTTTCTATTCATTGACCAACCTCTCCCCTTCCTCTTCTTTTCCCTCCCCTCCTCAGTCCCTGGTAGCAACTGCTCTACTCTTTGCTTCTACAATGTCAACTCTTTTTTTTTTTTTTTTCCAATTCCACACATGAGTGAGAACATGCAGCATTTGTCTTTCTGTGTATGGCTTATTCACTTGATGTGATGTCCTCCAGTTCAATCCATGTCGTCTCAAATGACAATATTTTACTATGGATGAATAGTGTTCTGTTGTATGTATACACCACATTTTTTCTTCTTTCATTCATTGTTGACACTTTTTTTCTTTTATTGTTCGTTGTTGGACACTTGAGATAACTCCATATTTTGGCTATTGTAAATAGTGCTGCCATAAACATGGGAGTACAGATAGCTCTTCAACATACTGATTCCATTTCGCTTAGATATATATGGAGTATTGGGATTGCTGGATTATATAACAGTTCTATTTTAATTTCTTGAGTACCATGCATGCAGTTTTTCACAGCAGCTGTCCTAACTTACAATTGCTCTAACAGTGTGTAAGCATTCTCCTTTCTACACATCCTCATCAAAAATATTTTTTGTCTTTTTATTATAGCCATTCTAACTGGAATGAGGGGATATCTCACTGTGATTTTGATTTGTCTGACTGGGTTATTTCAAAAGATCTGTCTTCAAGTTCAGAAATCATTTCTTTTGTTTGATCTAGTCTATTGTTGGAGTGCTCAATGGTATTGTTTTATTTCATTTATTGAATTCTTCAGTACTAAATTTTCTACTTGGTTCTTTTTACGATATCTGTCCCTACTGAATGTCTCATTGAGATCACAATTTTTGTCTCATTTATTTGTATTGCTTACTTATGTTCTCTTGTATGTCACTGAGTTTCTTTGACATTATTGTTTTAAAATCATTTCCAGGCACTTCATAGATTTCCTTTTCTTGGGCTCTACTATGGGAGAATTATTGTGTTCATTTGGAAGTGTCATTTTCCTTGCTTTTTCCTATTTTGCTTTCTCATATTTAGTATATTGTGTTCTTACATTAATATCTGCACATTTAGTGTAACTCACATTTCTTAATTTATGGATTGGTATTCATAGGGAAAGACTTTTTCCTACAGCTGTGTCTATAGTGTTGGCTGGAGAGGTTGCTTTGGCTTTGAATCTGGGTAGGCACAATAGTGTAGTCTCTGTATGATTTATTTGGCTGTAATCAGCATTAGTTGTATCTGTGAGTTCCTCAATGGCTTGGGTTGCAGTTAGTGCAGTTTGCTTTAGGGTTTGCTGAAAATGTGAATGCCAGGCAAGCTGGTTCTCTGGCACAAGTGGTGGTGGTGGTGGGCCAGGCATGCCAGTCTTCAGAACTCCAGGTGGTATACAGGGGCACTAGTGGTGGCAGGCCTGGGGATTCTTGTCCTTGGTATATGACTACCTAGACAGGTATATTAGAGTGCCTAGAGTGCCAGCAGTAGCAGCAAAGGGTCAAGAAGGTGGGAGGTCCCTTGGGCTCTGTGTACAGCGTGTGTAGTGGTAGTTATAGTGGCAGGCCAACCCTTGGGCCCCTGAGAGGTGCACATGGGCACCAGCAGTGATGGCGATTGGCTGAGGAGTTCAGTCTCCAGGTTCCCAGGAAAGCATGCAGGTGCTGGCACTGGACAGAGTAGACCTGTACTTATGCCCCTGTATGGTGCATGCATACACCACTGGTGGGGGCAAGCTTCCCTTATACCCAGGCCCCTGAACAGAGTTTATGGGCAGTGGCAGCAGTCTGGGAGAGCTTGTCCTCAGTCCCCTGGAAGGTATGCATGGGTGCTAGCAGCGGTAGGCAGAACAGTTTGATCTCCAAACCCCCAGATGACATGCTGGGCACCCATGGTGATAGGCAGAGAGGGCACATACTCAAGTGCAGGTATGTGTTGGCACTGGCAATGGCAGGCAGGGTAGGTCAATCCCTAGCCCCACCCTGTGCAATGCCAGTGGCAATGGTGGAAAGTGGAGCAGGCCTGTCCTCAGGCCCCAGGATGGCGCCTGGCTGGTGGGCTGGTTTCCAGGAACTCTGAAAGTGCATGCAGATGTGCCTGCCATGCCGCTGGAAGGGGTTGTGTTTCTGTCAGTGTCAGTGGCCCAGGGCAGATGGCTATCAGGCTCTGCTGAATGCGGGCTCCAGCTCCCTTTATCCTGGGGCAGCTTTCCTAGCACACTGGTCAGCCTGCTCCCTAGGCTATAAGACACTGTGGGCTGGAGTTCTGCTAGGTCCTGGCGTTGTGACACTTCGGCATCTAGGTGAATGTGGGGAGATATCAGTGAGGCTCGTGGAATGTGGAAATAAGGGACTGTGTGGCCTCAGGGCAGAATGTAATATGGTGGGGTCTAGGGTCTCAAAATGGTGCCATGCTTCAGCTTCTTGGACCTTGGGGAATGTGTGGGACCCAGCACAAACTCCCTCTCTGAAACAATGCCATCACATGGACTGCAGGAAACTCAGGGTCCACATGGGCTGAGGGGCTCTCCCTTGGCTGGAATTGCAGAATTCATGGTGAAACTATAGACTGCTGGGGCTCTCTTGCTTACCTTTCTGTCCGTCACAATAGTGCTTCCTCCTGGCTCTGAGTCAATTCCAGCCAGGTTGGCTGCTTTACTTCCCTCTCCATCTGTGCCTCAGAGGTTCCCTGTCACTTGCATGCTGAATTTTAGTGTCTGTCTCTCTTACAAGCTCTATTCATAGTATGGTTACCTGTTCGCTGTTTGGTCCTTATCTGTGGAGAAGGTGAGTGTGGTGAGCCTCTATTCAGCCATCGTGAAGTCAAGTTTAACCAATTTTTTTCTCTGGACTTCCAATACATGGTCAGATTATATTTCATACTTTGTTTCTTGCCAGTACCTTAACATAGCTAATGCATATATTCCCAAAGGCCTTTGTCCAAATCCTAATTACTTCATTTTAGAGCATCTGTTTTGCTAGATGAAGAAATAAGATGAAAAGATATAGATAGTGTCCACACACAAAGTACCTGTTAGTAGACCTTTAAAAAAAATATTTCTTTACCTCTGAATTGATTCTGTTAATTGACATGCTTCAAGACTTACATTCACCATCTTTTCCTCACCTATTTCATAGCAACAAAATACAAAGTAAAATAAATCCGATTACTTTTACACTAAAAATATATTTCTAAAGTGATTATAAAACCATTTGATAGTGTCTCTAAATTACTTGTCCATGAGACAGCTAGGTAAAATCCCCCATTGATATCTGATTTGAATCAGAGATTTTCACTAAACCAATGCATGTCTTCATATAACCCTCTGTAGATGTCTACCATGCCAAATCTTGCCACTGCTGAAAAAAAACACATCAGCAGTATTGATAAATCTATCATTTATAGATCATCTAAATAATCACTATTTGGTTATTCATTTGAACATCTATGCATCTATGAATTTGCCTTAAGTAAAATGAAACCAATGTGTGAAGATGTAGCTGAGCTCAGATTCCTCATTCTAACCCTTTTTCTTTGTCTCCATATAATCCATGCTGAGATTTAGTAGTTAATATTTGCCACTTAAAGAGTTTGTTTACAGAGGTAGAATGAATGGTTAAATAAAAAGTGTACGATATCAGGAAGCATTTCAAATCACTTAATAAAATACCAGAAATTGGTTTTTAGATTCCCTCCATTCTGTCAACATCAAAATATACTCAAGTAGAGTATTTAGGCTTATTGGTGAACTTAGAGTAAAATTTATGTATTATTTTTTATTCATAGAATTGAAACAACAGTATGGTTACTTTTCTTTATTTATACTTCAATGGGATAAGATTATATTTTTACAAAATGAGTTGAATATACAATTATTAAACTGATACATTTGCATATTAATGTCCTATTTTAGCAATAAAAAAATTACCAGTCTGATATCTTATTGTTTAGGGTTAAAAATTAAATTAGTGAAAAAATACTAGAAATAATGTTATAGAACTGGATATAAAACTGTTGGTTAAAAATTATATCTACATCTTTAAAGCTGAAACAAGCCTGATAACAAAAGTTGATGTATTTTAATGTTTTAATTGATTGGAAAACTTGCTAAATAATTGTGCAAATTTTCTAGATTTTAGGATATATAATTTTTTAGATTATAACAAATTATGAGGTTTTCCTTCAGCATAAATATAAGGAGTGTGCGGAAATGTGGGTAAATAATAGAATAGGTCATCTTTATATCACTTAGTTATGGGTTTAATAAGGGAAATATTTTGTTCTTTCTTGCTTTTGTGCCTTGTTTTGATTAAGTGCTATTGTTTTTCTGCATTGTTCAAGTTCATGTAAAAAGTAGAATAAACTCATTCTGAGAGAAATATTCCATTTTTCTAAAACTTCCCACATATGTGCATTACTGTTTTTCTCAAAGAGACTTCGAATGAACAAACTTTATATTATGAGAAAGTTTGAAGTTGACTTCAGCGTAACAGTGTTTTGTCTTAAGCATCAGATTCACTGTATTCACCAATAGCGGGAAAGTTACAACCGAGTCCAATTTTCAAAGCTCAGCAAGAATGTGCTACTTCAGAAACTAAAAATTAAAAAAAAAAATGTAATTTTAATTTTAAAAAGTACAAATTTGTTTAGAGTAAGTAGAGGACATCAATCATTTATTTACTTATTTGACAATCATATTTGAGAAAACTGGGCATCTGCTTGGCAATGAAAATTTAAAGACAAGACAATGTTTATATCTTAGAGGAGAGTATGTGGCACCATTAGCAATGGAGTTTCCTCAAATAATATTATAAAGGCTTTATGGCAAGTATTTTCTATAGGGTATTACATGGAAATTCAAGAATGGCTAAATTTATTAGAGACAATAAACCTAAATTTTCATAAAATGTCATTTGTCAACCAGAAACTCGTTATTTGGCTCCTTTTACCAATGATGCTGTAATGGCTTTTGTTCATAAATAATACCTTAAGAAGTTACTTTAGGAAATAACAGAATTCGAGACTCATTATGACTCATTTAAGACTTCACAAAAAAGTAGATACCTATACTGAGTCTTAGAGGCTGACATGGTAGAAAAGAAACACATTTCAAAGAAAAGTATATGTAAGTTTAACCCAAAATATGAGAGAGCTGCAAATAAATATTAGGCAGAAGTAGCTGCAGGTAGCATCCCAAAGAGTTTGGAAAGGAGAGTCAAAGACATGGAGACTTACATAAAGCAAATCAGGAAGAATCTTATATGCGAGGGCTAATAGCTTTGAATTTTATTCCACAGACAATGGGAAGACATTGAAACATTTTAAGCATGACCATGGCATGACCAAGTTTATGTTTTAGAGAAATTACCCTTGAAGAAATATATCGATGGACCTGCAAGATTTGGACTGGAGGCAGAAAGTCAACTTAGGATAGAGTGAAATATTTCAGGTTAAAGGTACTGACAGTTTATACTGATACTGACACAAAGGCAATGTAAGGAAAGTGAAGGGCACAAATTGGAAACCTATTTAGGAGGTAAAGACAAAGGACTTCGTGATTTGGAGGTGAGAAGTAAGATAAAAGAATGAGTCTGGCACTCACTCACCATATTTGTATGACCTTTTTCTACATTTGAGGCCTTTTGCTAGTCACCAGAAGCATAAAAATATTCTCAGCTTGGGTAATTGTGTAAGTTGCAGGGCAAACCTCTAGGATAGGTCATATAGTTTAGTAGCAGGTTTCAGATAGAAGAGAATGTGTTCTTGTGTGGATGTGTTAAGTTTGAGGAAGTGACGATGCAGAGTAAGCAGTTATCAATATCATATTAGAATACAGCTGAAATATTGAAGGCAGAGCTACTAATCGGGGAGTCTTGAATTGGATTTGTTTGATTTTGCTTTTGAGTCAATACTTCCTAAATAGATGTTCTGCCTCCAGTTCAAATCTTACAGGTCCATTTATATATTACTTTCAAGGGCGATTTTTCTGAAACATGAATTTGATCATGCCACAGTCAGACTGAAAATGTTTCAATGGCCCCCTGTGGAATAAAATTCAAAGCTATTAGCCCCCACAAATAAGATTCTTCCTGATTTTTCCTAAGTCTGTAGGTCGTTGACCCTTCTTTCCCAGTGCTCCAGGATACTACTGGCAGCAACTGCTGTCTAATATTTATTTTTCTTGGAACTTATAAATATTGTATATTTATGATGAAATTCCAACAGTTCATCTTCCAAGTGTTGTATGTGTATCATCACATTTCATCTTCAAAATTGTGTGAGATATAAATTATTACTATATCCATTACAAAAATGAACACAAAAGGAAGAACAGCAAGGTAAAACACTTCATTAAGTTCTAAACATCTATATTTAAGTATACTTAAATTAGTTTCCAAATTGTTAAACCTTAAAAAAACCTGAATATGAAAGAATTTGTACGTAAACCATCAATTCACCTTTCACAAAACCCATGACATCCTGCCTTATTAACACCTTTGTTTCAGCTGTCAAATACTTGGAACATCTTTTAGGGACTGTGCCTTGAGACTTATTTCCATAAAACTATGTTTTACAAAATTTTTTCTGTGTAATCTCTACATGGCTGTGCCTTTCCCATTTCCATTCTGAAGAGGCTATGTATCAATTAGGAGGTTTACTATTTCTGTCTCTAGCATTTCAGCTTTCAGTGGTGACTCCTGTACTGCAGGTCTCTCATTTATTGACTATGGCCATTGAGGATGCAGAGTTGTCCACATTTGGGGGTTGTCTAGCTTCTTTTATTAGCGTAATATGTTCAAGGCTTACCATGTTGTATCATTTTTACGTACTTCATTACTTTTTACTGCCCAGTAATACTACATTGCATGGATAGATCACATTTTTTTAAATCACTCCTTAGGTGATGGACATTTATGTTGTTTCCATTTTTTGACTCTTGAATAATGCTGATATCAACATTCATGTCTTTGTGTAGACGTATGTTTTCATTTCTGTAGGGTGTATGTATCTAGGAGTGAAATTCCTGAGTCAGGTCATATGGTAGCTCTCTGTTTTACCTTTTGATGAACTCTTATTTTTTTCCAAAGTGGCAGTACCATTTTACAATCCCATCAGCAATGTAGTGAGTTTCAATTTCTCCACATTCTCATCACCATTGCTATTGTCTCTCTTTTTTTATTTTAGCCCTCCTAGAGGGTGAGAAGTGCTACCCCACTGTGGATGTGGTTTACATTTCCCTAATGACTATTGACAAACAATTATTTGTAATACTGTATAGAGCTTAAGTTTTTGGTGTCTAGATACAAAATACATTTTCTGTTCTCTCATATTCTTTACACAAAATTAATTTTAAAAATTTCAGTTGGGCTGGACGTGGTGTCTCACACCTGTAATCTCAGCATTTTGGGAGGCCGAGGTGGGCAAATCACCTGAGGTCAGGAGTTTGAGACCAGCCTGGCCAACATGGTGAAACCTTTCTCTACTAAAAAAATACCAAACATTAGCCAGGCATAGTGGTGGACACCTGTAATCCCATCTACTCAGGAGGCTGAGACAGAAGAACCACTTGAACCCAGGAGGCAGAGGTTGCAGTGAGCCCAGATCGCGCCATTGCACTCCAGCCTGGGTGACAAGAGCGAAACTCCATCTAAAAAAAAAATTCAGTTACGTCTCTCTAAATTAATATCCTAACCTTAAATGAGTTGCAACCTGCAGTTTGCAAAACACTGGGCTGGATGATTCTTAAGGATCTTTCTAGACTTCACAACCCAACAGTGCCTTATATGTCATTATTGTTCTAAATGCTTCATAAGCAATGTTTCACTTAGTATTTATAACCACCCTTTGAAGCAGGTATAAATAGCCCCATTTTATATAGATATAAATCCAAAATCAAATAAATGAAACAACTTTGCCCCTAAGGCCCATGCTGTTGTGTGCTTTATTGAAATAAAGTCTTGCTATGTTCAATTGATCCTTAGAAACTTATGTAGTTTTCTCATAGTCCCCCAGGTCAGTCATTTAATGTTCTTGGCTCCTGACTTTCACTACATGACTGAATAAATAATGTCTTTTATTCTGCTTGCTTGCTTATTTAGTTAGTTAGTTATTGTAAAGTTTTGACTTTTTTCCTTTTTTTCTGTCTATACTGTTAATATGTGCTTATTACAGAATATTGGAAAAATAGTGGAAAGCAAAAAAAAAAAAAGGAAAAACTTATAAACACCAGCAATTCCAACATCAAAGATGACTTTTCTAATTTTATGATATCTACAATTCCAGACCCTCTTTTGGCAAAACTGAGCTCATCCTGCACATAATGGTCTATAAACTGGAAAAGTATACTCACAATACGTGATTAAGTATATTTGCTTTTTACTCTAGCCTGAGTTTACCCTCCACCAATGATGGATCTCCCTTTAGCATTGAATTTATAACCTCTTATGCCTGACTCTCTCATTTCTTTCCCCAAATTAGGATGAATTACATTTTCCAACTTCTAATATTGTGAATTTCTGAATCTATGCCAGTTTCTTCATGGATAAAACTCTCAATATTTCTCAATCTTCTCACTTTTATTATTTATCCCTATATCTGTTCTGATTCTTTCCATTTTCCCCATCTTCCAGACTTCCCTTTACTGTGAGAGGAACCATAAAAAATCATTTTTAATAGGGGTGATTTTATGGCCCTGCCACGTTTATCAATATGTTGTCACCAATGCTAATTGGTAACCATACAGATAATTTGCCAACTCCAGTTCATAAGCTTGAAACCATATTTGATGACAATCTTAGAAACAAATTGTATTATACAATACAGAGAGCAGAAATTACTTTTAACTTGACATCTTTCCTGGCACACAGGTGATAGTCAATAGATGTTTGCTTGATGATTGTGAACTGACCCCTGCTCATCCCTTCTCTCCCCACTAAGATGAAGGCAGAAGCCAGATGATGGTAGAATTGACATTTCAATCACATGTAGTAAGTAGCATAAGCATGTGTGTCCCCATAGGCAATTTTATTTTTTCATTTATTTAATAATCTTCCATTGAGGCCAGGTGCAGTGGCTCACACCGTAATCACAGCAATTTGTGGGGCCAAGATGTGCAGATCACTTGAGGTCAGGAGTTTGAGACCAGCCTGGTCAACATGGTGAAACCCTGTCTCTGCTAAAAATACAAAAATGAGCCATGCATGGTAGCATGCACTGTAATCCTAGCTACTCAAGAGGCTGAGGCACGAGAATCACTTGAACCCAGAGGTGGAGGTTGCAGGGAGCCAACATGGTGCCACTGCACTCCGGCCTGGGTGACAGAGCAAGACTCCTTCTCAAAAAAAAAAAAAAATTATCCATTGAGTTCTTGTAATAAACCTATCCCTATAGTAGTTGCATAAGAGTTGGTGGTAGAAAGAATTGAAGATAATTATAAGATTGTGTCACTTCCTCATTGAACTTATAGCTTCATTGTATAGGCAAAAGCTTTTCATGTTAAGTGTTAGAGAACATTCATAAAGAATAAGAAGTGGCTGGGCATGGTGGCTCAAACCTGTAATCCCAGCACTTTGGGAGACTGAGTCAGGACGATTGCTTGAGCCCAGAAGTTCGAAACCAGCCTGGGCAACAAAGTAAGAATCCATCTCTGCAAAAAATTAGCGGGGCATGGTGGCGTGCACCTGCTGTCCCAGCTACACAGGAGGCTGAGGCGGGAGGAACCGTTGATCCCAGAAGATTGGGCCTACAGTGAGCCATGTTCATGCCACTGCACTCCAGCCTGGGTGACAGAGTGAGAGACCCTGTCTTAAAAAAAAGAAAAAGAATAGGAAGTTAAAGATAAGATCAGATTTTTTTTCACATGAAAAATATGCCAAATGGGATCTAATTAAACTAAAGAGCTTCTGCACAGCAAAATAAACTATCATCAGAGTGAACAGACAACCTGCAAAATGAGAGAAAATTGTTTCAGTGTGTTCATCTGACAAAGGTCTAATATCCAGAGTCTATGAAGAAGTTAAGCAAATTTACAAGAAAAAAAAGCATTAAAAAGTAGGCAAAGGACATGAACAGACACTTTTCAAAAGAAGACATACATGCAGCCAACAAACATGAAAAAATGCTCGACATCTCTGATCATTAGAGAAATGCAAATTCAAACCACAATGAGATACCATCTCACACCAGTCAGAATGGCTACTATTTAAAAGCCAAAAAACAACAGATGATGGCGAGGTGTGGAGAAGTGGAGTAAAAGCAACACTTTCACACTGTTGGTAGGAGTATAAATTTGTTCAACTATTGTGGAAGACAGTGTGGCAATTCCTCAAAGACCTACAGGTAGAAATACCGTTTGATCCAGCAATCCCATTACTGGGTATGTACCCAAAGGAATATAAATCATTCTATTATAAAGATGCATGCAAGCATATGTTCACTGCAGCACTCTTCACAATAGCAAAGACATAGAATCTACCTAAATGCCAATCAATGATAAACTGGATAAAGAAAATGTGGTACATATATACCATGGAATGCTATGCAGCCATAAAAAGGAATGAGATCATGTCTTTTGCAGGGACATGGATGGAGTTGGAAGCCATTATCCTCATCAAACTAACGCAGGAAGAGAAAACCAAACACTGCATGTTCTCAGTTGTAAGTGGGAGCTGAATGATGAGAATACGTGGACACATGTAGGGGAACAACACACAGTGCAGCCTGTTGGGGTATGGGGGGCAGGTAGAGCATCAAGAAGAATAACTAATGGATGCTGGGCCTAATGTCTAGGTGATGGGGTGATCTGTGCAAGAAACCACCATGGCACACATTTACCTATGTAACAAACCTGCACATTCTGCACATACACCCCTGAACTTAGAATAAAAAGTTGAAGAAAAAAGAAAAATGTGTAATGACTGTCATATTTATTTGATTTGATGACACAGCTCATGGAAATATTTATTGCGAAGTGAACTCAGTTCAAGAGGATTCATCTCAGTGGGAAAGACTAAAGTAGGTAGTAGACTAAAGTATTAATAATTATAGGAAAGGGTGTATTTTCACGGGGATAGAGAATGTGAATTAACTACACAAAAAGGGCAAAGAAAAGCACTGGACACCTTGCTCTGAGTAGATCTTGGACATTCTGGTATGATGTTTTAAGTTTTAGAGCATAAATAGTATATGAAAACTATATTTTAACATAAAATAATATTTTACCATTACATTATAAGGATTTTATGTACTTATTATTTTGTATAATATTATTCAAAATACTTTTCTAAAGCAACAGAAATACAATTTCAAAACAAAAAGTTGTCATAAAGTGTTACCCAGATACATTTTAAAACTGAATTGTATTTTAAAATTTACATAACTTGAGATACAAATGCGTTCTTGAAACATTGAGCATCATTTTACTAATTTCAGCACTGCTTTGACTGTATACTTAGGTTGTTTCATTTGTATATATTTTTCTTTTTTCGACTTTTCAATCTCTGAAGGTGGAAACCCCCATAACTTATTTTTATCTCTATTGACATCTAATATATTATCAGTAAATGTTGTTTGAATTTACAATGTTGAATTATTATTTTTACCCCTGGAAACTCTTATTTTGGAGTTACTTGCCCTTCTTACAAGGAAGACAACTGAACATATTCTTAATTCATTTTTGTTTTTTCATGAAGAAGAAAATACAGTTTTCATCACAAAGTATTACCTATGTCCGTCCACCATTTCAATCCGTTTTTTTCCTCTGAGTATGGAGCCCTCAACTATTTGAATCACTGTAATAAATGTGTTCCATAAATGAAATAATAAGTTCTTCTTTATTATTATCTAGGTGACATTAGACCTTTCCACAGGTTACAGGGAGTGATTTGGGGTAATGAAACAAATCCGTAGGGAAAGCCATCTCAGTAGGTAGACTGTGTAAATGGATTATTTTATGGATCGAAGCTTGTGATTTTCAGGCTGATGTCCAGACACCAGATGGCTTTAATCCTTTCATCCAGAACACTAGCAGCCTGCTTTGGTCACATTGCTCTTGCTAATATTTGTAGAGCATCTATGTGGTCCCCAGTGCATGCACTTATTATTCTATTAGGCAGATATTATTTCTTTTGAAGCTAGATCATATGGCTCCTAGGCTATGTTGCAATCATTGGCATTAATCTCTATTTGTCCAGCTTTAGGGTGGAAAGTTTCTATATATGCATCTTCTAGGGAAGGACATTTAGACATTCCTTTTCTGAAGATGAAGAAATGACTTACCAATATCAGGAATTTCAAACTTATCAGCATTACCTTTCCCTACCAAAATACATGTTAATAATAGGTAGTTCTAGTTGTTAAAAAAAATTTTTTTAAATCCTGCTTCCTAAAAGATTAGTAAAATAAAGGGCTTATGAGGAGCTAGCACAGAAACTTCCTTGTCATTTTCAAAACCACACAGGCTAACCTTAAATAATAATAAAGGATTTTATAGGAGCTATTCATTTCAAAAATTCCAAATATTCCTCAAACACTACATATATGTTTTTCTCTTCCTCTAGGTTTTTGTTTCCTCTTAATCAATATGAACAAGAATTTTCCTTCTTTATAGTGATTTGGATGGACTCTAAATGCGGCTCTTTTGAATACAAATCCATACAAAGTGTAGAAATAACAAGAGACTCTCTTTGCATGTTTAATCAGCCTTGCTGCAAACTCTCAGTAGTAAAAATTGTTATCATATAACTTAAAGTTAAATTTGTAATCTTGTTACCCTATTATGTACTAGAGTTCTGAATTTACCTAAGTTGACAAAGAAATGAAATTTTGCAGCTTTTGTCTGACATGCCTGCTGTTTATGATTTTAGGGATTATATTCATTTTCAGCATTAAATTCATAGAATAAGCAAAATGTCAAACTTTGTTTACTAATTTTATACTTATCTGTTCTTTTAATATCCTGTCTTGGTTCTCTAGTTATAACATAGATGAACCTAAAGTTTGCTAGAAACATTTGCCATTAGCTTCTTCTAAAAAAAAATTAAATTTGAGGATAATCCTACCTCCAGAGCTTATTCTGTTCCTGGTCATTGACTGTGACAGTGGAAGGCTCATCTGAAAGCACTGGAGCATCCCATCTAAAAGCATAAAACATATTACATTTCATGAAAAAGCTAATTCAGATTGTTTAATTCTGGTAATATTGCCTCTGTCACCTTCAAAATCAAAATGTTCTTTCCTGTTATTATAAGGAAAACAACCAAATTGCTAAAAAACCCATTTGAATACACAGCTGCCTTATGTTGCATACTAATTTGATTAAAAATGCTCGTGCCTCACCAGCATTTTTATATAAAATACATTGGTAAATTTAACAAAGACTGTTTAAAAATATATCTAAGGAGGTTTTGCTGACCAGAGTCAGCAGTGACCACTGGCGCCCCTGGACTGAGCAAAAATCTTTCTGGCTGTCTTGGAAAGCATGAAACAATTGTCGAGCTATATTTGTTTGCTCACCGCTTTGGGCACTGAGCCAACCTCATTGCAAATAACTACATTAGTCAAGTGTATCCAAATTATTACAACACAGCGTCCATCCCAGTTATTGCTTTTGAAGCACTTTCTGAATCTTCGTGTCACTAGAAAACATTTATTTGAAGGGTGAGCATCACATAAATTCAAGTCCACTTGTATTTATAGAAAAGTGAGAAGACTACTTTCACAAGTGGCTTTATTTTTCTGTCTTTATGAGAAGGAGCCTTTGAAGTACTTATTGTTGTAATCCTAAATCAGAAGAGTTTCTCGCCTTCATCAGGATATTTGCCATCCTGCATGTTTTCTTTTATCTCTTTCTTGAGATGATTTTTATCTAGTGTTGATACTTATCTACACTTTAACTAACTGTAACTTTGTTTCTAATAATGAATGTAAGGGGTGAAAACATTGATGATCAGGCTGGGTGCAGTGGCTTATGCATGTAATCCCAGAACTTTGGGAGCCGAGGCAGGAGGATCACCTGAGGTCAGGAGTTCGAGACCAGCTTGACCAACATGGCAAAGCCCCGTCTGTACTAAAAATACAAAAATTAGCTGGGCGAGGTGGTGCACGCCTGTGATCCCAGCTACTAGAGAGGTTGAGGCAGGAAAATCACTTGAACCTGAGAAGCGGAGGTTGCAGTGTGTCAAGATCGCGCCATTGCACTCTAGCCTCAGTGACAGACCGAGACTCTATCTCAAACAAAAAACAAACAAACAAATTGATGATCAGTCAAAGCCAAACTACTGAAATCTGTGCAACTAAATAGATGAAGCTTTTAGAAATCTATTTCATTTCTTATGGGTGAGCCTTAAGCTAGGTCTGCATAGAGAAAAATAAATTCTAGGTCTTTCTTGATGACCTTTCTGGTGAATTCTTACACCAATGAAGATATTCTTCAATGCCTCATTACTCTCTAACAATAAGATTTGTTATTTTGGAAGATGCACTAGCTCCTTAATCCACAGGATAGCTAAGAATATATCCTAAAAATTTATCTGACATAAACCATCTTGACTTACTTAGGTTTCCAGGTTAACTCTGCATTGCATAAGGCTTGGGTTTGTTTGTTTGTTTTTGTTGCTTGCTCTACTTTTCTACTTAATTCCTTTATATTATCTAGAGTTCCAATCTACTCTTCCATATAGCCCAAGCCACTGTGTGCCTCAACTTGCTTCTTAGAATCTTAAATTAATAATTTCGCTATCAGTGATATTTTTAAAAAATGTCTGCCATTACTCTTTCAAGAACATTCAGAAGACTAATGAAAAATTATTTGTGATTTCAAACTTCGGCGGTTTCTGTCATAAATTTAATGTTTAGCAGCATTTTGCCATTTGACCTCCCAAATTAAACACAATTCAGAAAATATAACATTATAAGAAAATGAACCCATCTATGTTTCTGAAAAACTACAATGAATAAAATAATGTTCCCACAGAGGCTTGATTCAATTAAAAGCTATTTAGGATAAAGTACAAATTAAACAAATAAATAATGTGATCTTAGTTGTATTCTTAAAATATTATTTATTTATTTATTTATTTTTGAGATGGAGTCTTGCTCTGTCACCCAGGCTGGAGTGCAGTGGCAGGATCTCAGATCACGGCAAACTCCGCCTCCCGGGTTCAAGCGATTCTCCTGCCTCAGCCTCCTGAGTAGCTGGGATTACAGGCGCCTGAACCACACCCTGCTAATTTTTGTATTTTTAGTAGAGACAGGGTTTCACCATGTTGGCCAGGCTGGTCTCGAACTCCTTACCTCAAGTATCCACCCCCCTCGGCCTCCCAAAGTGCTGGGATTACAGGCATGAGCCACTGTGCCTGGCCTTATTCTTAAAATATTTTAAAGTATTGTTAGGAAACAATTCTGTTGAGGGTGAACAGAAATAAGGAGTTCTCTGATTTTTCTGTTACTGTTGATTAGCAAAAAGTGTGATGCATCTATCTTCAAGTTAAAAATAATAAGCTTGTCTTTCAACAGTGTTTATCAAACACTCACCCTGTTAAATATTCTGAAACTTCCAGCATATTCAAGAATAAATGCCAAACAATTGGGAGATGGTTAACTGAAACATGCTGGAGCTATAAAAACAACTATTAACAAATGTCATGGAAATTATCTTGATATAATGTAAAGTGATAAAAATTTAAACAAAACAGGGTAAAAAGATAATAGTAATTTTGTTAAATATATGGGAGTACATAATTATATACTAGTTTTAAATTACATTAAATCAAATGCAGATGTATTTGTCCATGTGTTTGGTATGTGTATATATTTGATAGAAAATTCAAATTTTAAATAGAACTTATCCTTGAGTTATAGGGTATTGCTGATTTATTAACATCTTTATAAGTTATTATAGTTTCTCAATATGTTTCATGGCTTTGTAGGATTTCTTTTATAAATTAAAAAACCACTAAATGTTGGGGTTTTTTGAAAAATCTTATTGTGAGGCTATGAAAAAAGTTAATACTCTTTTATCCCATGATAAACTTTACATGTAGTTATTCTGCTACCTTTTTAGGTCTTAGTTTTATTTACTTAATTGCTGTTACACTTGTGGTAAGGTATACTTAATCATTTGCTTATCAGTTGATTAGAACCCAGTGTCACTACAATTTTTAATTTTATCTCTAAAGATTACAAAATATTGACAAGTTATCTGGATGTCATTCTGTGGTGTGATAGGGATGGAGTGGGAGACATTTTGTAAGTGAGGTTTTGGAATTCTTATAGTATTTTTGAAAATGCCTATAAAGTTAAAGAGAGAATTTTACTTGAGACCATATAAAGGATTGGGAAAACAAATCTGAAATTGTAATATGTTATTTTTAGGCCTCATTCTTTTTCACTATCTATTTTTGCACATTTCTCCCTTGATAAAAATGAAGCTATCCTTAAACTTTTATTTGATGGTTTCCCCTAAGATACAAACAGATAAAAGCAACGATTCTCACAGTCAGTATACAGGGAAAACATCTGTAGAGATTTGTTATACAAATATTTCTGTAAATCCTCCAGAAATCTTTTGTGTCTAAAACTACCTGTAAATTAAAAACACAAAGATGAAGCAAGTAAGTTGTAAAATTGCTATTTGCTTTATAAATATTTTATATCATGGTTTATTTCATGAGGATGTAAAAAAAATTCAAGAATGACTCTATTTCATAATGGAAAGAAATTATTCTAATCTGAGAGCTGCTTCTAGAAACTTCTAGGATATTCTACCATAATACAATATAGTTATCACAAGTTACTACCAGGAAACTGAGTTAGAATGTTGGGAGTATCTTATATGATGGTATAAGCATACTGTTAAGGGCTGCTGTAATAATGTACCAGAAACTGGCACGGCTTAAAAAATCAGAAGTTTATTGCTTCACAGTTCTGTAGACTAAAAGTCCAAAATTTAGGTGTAGTGGGGGCATGCTCCCTCTGAAGATGCTAGAGAGAGATCTGTCTCAGGCCTTTCCCCTAGCACCTGGTAACCTTAGGTGTTCCTTGGCTTGTAATTGGCTGTCTTCTTTCTCTGTCTTTTCACTAATTTTAACTTGATTACCTTAACTTCATTACCTTAGTAAAGAACCCATCTTTAAACTAGATCACATTTCTAAACTAAGTCGGAGGTACTGGGGGTTAGGACTTCAACATATCTTTTTGAGGGGACAGAATTAAACTGCTTATCCAGGCAATCTATACTTCTTACAAACTTTGACCTTCCAAGTTGATCTTTTATGTTTAGAGGGTAAAAGTTACCTTTCCACAAAAAGCAAATTGATGGCTAGTGTTTTTCCTGAGGACAAATCACTCGACTTAGAACACTCCAAAAGAATTATAAATACTGAAAATTGGCAAAACCCAGTTTAGCATTAGGGCTTCACTGTAGAGACTTAGAGACAGCTAAGAGTTCATTTAGAGTCCCATGTTCTTTGCTGTTTAGTGTATAACTCTGTAGAAAGATTTTTGAACTTACAAAGGGACATGAAGATCAGGGCATTTTAGGTTGGAAGTACCACTTTTCATTTCACAGATGAAGAAACACTTGAAGACCCTAAGCAATATTTGGCCAGAAAAAAAGAACTTGCTGGCAGATGGATTAAGCAGACAAAATTTCATCCATAAAGAATATTTTATGCCCTGAAATATGCAAAATTAGAGGCCTCAATTGGGAAGCTGATTGTTTCATAGTTGACAAACATAGCCAGTGAAATGCAGATATATCACAAAAATGAAACCCGCCAAAAATAGGCTACCACTTTGTAACATATTGGTTAAAACTGTGAGACACAGACGTTATGGGAGAAAAGGAATGAACTTAAACCAGAACAACTAAAATCTGCCCTGGGACATCATAAGCCTGAGGTTTGAATTCACTTTTTCTTTATTGTGCCATTTGTATTTTTTTTCTTTTGGTTCTGTTCTGATTATTTAGCTGACTGAAGCAACTAAAGTAGGGTAAGTTGTGACATCTTTGCTTTTTCAGTTGAATTTTTTAAAGTAGCATAAACACAGGAGACAGTTGTGTGTACCATTATGCAACGCCCACAAAGTCATTATATGTATTTCTTGCAATTGCCAAAAATATCTATGAATAAAAAATAGCACAGTTCCATTTCTAATACAATGTTTTACCATACATAATAAATGTCAAAGCTGAGTTAAAGTGAGGAATCATTTATTTTGTTAGAGTCAGTCAAATACAAGTTATATAAGGCATTTCTATATCTCCATACCTGCAGTCTTACCCTTCAGAATAAAAGTTTAAATTACCTTTGTTCATTTTTCTTTCAATAGTCAGGTCCCTCTTCTGTAGGGCTGCTGTAGTTTGCTAGGGGTTCACATCAGGTCCTATTCATCTGACTCGCTCCCCTGCCTAGAGATGTCACTCAAGGAGGCTGGAGAGCAGCAAAGATGGTGCCTGCTCCTTCAGTCTCAAAGTAGCTACTTGTAGCAAACATGAATGGCTTCATTTTGCATTGAATTATAGTTTGTAGCATTATCATAAAATTGATAATGCTTGTTTAATTTTTTTCCTCTAAAACATTTTAAATGTTAAGTAGGAACATTGAGATTCTGAAATTACTGTGGTTATTTTTTTGCTTATACTTAGCTTTGTCTTGTAAACGTTTTCATTTTTAACAGGTATATGCTGTACTTATTTTATATTAAAACAGTAGTATATGAGAAGTTGTCTCTCTAGGCCATCAAAAATGAGTTTGGGCTACCATGAGACTGGATTTTTAAATGGTTGGAAAAAAGGTGGGTGATCAGATTTATGTTCAAGTCATAGCTATGCCAAATAGCAATTGTGTGTCCCTGGCCAAGTTATCAAAGATTTCTAAGTGTGAGGAGAAGAAACCTTAAGATTTTTAGACCTAGATGCAAGGATAAGATACTAGAATATAAAAACAGGTCACTCATTCTTTTGGCAATCAGCTAGAAATCAAGACCAATCTCCCCAATTCAGTTTCTCTTAAATGTATTTGTATTTATTTCATGTTCGTAAAGGCTAACATCATCTACTATCTTACTAAATATTATAAGACTTTTTATTTTGAGATGGAGTCTCCCTCTGTTGCCTAGGCTAGAGTGCAATGGCACGATCTTGGCTCACTCCAACCTCCGCCTCTCAGGTTCAAATGATTCTCCTGCCTCAGCTTCCCAAGTAGCTGGGATAATAGGTGGGTGCCACCACACCTGGCTAATTTTTTTTGTTTTTTTTAGAGACAGGGTTTTACCATTTCAGCCAGGCTGGTCTCGAACTCCTGACCTCAAGTGATCTGCCCGCCTTGGCCTCCCAAAGTGCTGGGATTACAGGCACCAGTCACCGTGCCCAGCCTAAGTATTGTAAGACTTTTATTTGGAAAACTGGTAACTACTAAGCTACGCCTGCAATGCTTCGGCTTTGTAAGTGAAAGTAATGCATGCATTTTCATTAGAGGAAATGAGAATAATCTAATACTTTAACTTATGTAGTTATTATACAATTGCTTTATCAAGATCAGAATTTATACAGATGAAGGCCAGAACAATTGATATTAAGCTTTGGAACAGATTTTCATGAGCATTAGACTATGTTTCTCATGGTAAGAGACAAAATTGAATACATCATTTGTTCTCCCAAACACTCTGCACAGAACCTGGCAAAGTAGATGTTCAATAACTCTAAACTGCTAGTTAGCAAATATCTATTAAGCACCCACTACATGCTCAGCACTTTGTTGAAAACTAGAGACACACAAGTATGGCTATGCAAGATAAAATCTAGCTCTCGGGCCTAACTATTTATTGATTAATTACTATGACATTAACACGGTAGGTCATATATTAAGCACTACAGGCATCAGGAACTATATAAATATTGTTTAAATTCTATAAATACATGATTTAATCTTCATAGGGACTCTATGCAATACATTTTTATTGACTTTTTTATCTTTTTACAATTTATTTTATTTTTATATATTTAGGGGTACAAGTGTGGATTTCTTACATACATATGCATTTCTTACATGCACCATGGTGAATTCTGGGTTTTTACTGAAACCATCACCTGAATAGTGAACATTATACTCAATAGGTAAATTTTCAACTTTCATCCCCCTTGCATCCTCCGACCATTTGTGGTCTTCAGTGTCTGCTCTGTATGTCCATATGTAGCCATTGTTTGGCTCCCATTGAGAACATGCTGTATTTGACTTTCTGTTTCTGAGTTATTTCCCTCAGAACAATGGCCTCCATTTCCATCCATGTTGCTGCAAAAGACATTATTTCATTTTTAATGGCTGAGTAGTAGTCCATCAGTAGTATTCCACTGTAGTATACCACATTTTCTTTATCCAGTCATCTGATGATGGAGACTTCAATTGATTCCAGATCTTTGCTATTATGAGTAGTGCTTCAATAAACATACCAGTGCAGGTATCTTTTTGCTATAATTGTTTCTTACCCTTTGGGTATATACCCAGATCAAATGGTAGCTCTATTTTTAGTTCTTTGAGAAATCTCTATACTGCTTTTCATAACGGTTGTATTAGTTTACATTCCCACCAAGAGTGTATAAGTGTTCTCTTTTCTCCACATCGTCAACATCTGTTTTTTTTGTTTGTTTGTTTTTTTAATAATAGTCATTCTGACTGGTGTAAGATGGAGGAGTCTCATTGTGGTTTTAATTTGCATTTCTCTGATGATTAGTGAGATTGAGCGTTTTTAGGATTAGATCTTGGGATTGTTTTTGCTAATTCTGTTAAAAAGTGACATTGGTAATTTGATAAAGATTGCATTGAAGCTGTAGATTGTTTTGGGCAGTATCGTCATTTTAACGATGCTGATTCTTCCAATCCATGAGCCTAGAATGTTTTTCCATTTGTTTGTGACATCTACAATTTATTTTATCAGTGTTTTACAGTTCCTGTAGAGGCTTTTTAATCTCCTTGCTTAAATGTATTATAAATGCCATTTTACAGATAAGGAAATTTAAACTTGGAGAGGTTAAATTATTTATTTTCCCAAGTTTTATACATACATACACACACAAACATACACACACACACATACACACACACACACACACACATATGCTGGTGTGTGTGTGTATATATATTGTTAACAACACATCAATCTAGAAAATTCTGAGTCCAAATTCCAAACTCTTATTATTTTAATATATTTAAATATAATTTTGTTTTGCCTTCTTTAGCATAGTATCTAGTGCCATATGATTTTGATTGCTACAAGTTGAATTAAACTATTACGGCGAGAAATTTTGAGAGAGGATAAAATGTGCTAAATGTGATTAGAGTATGTAATTTGCTTTTAAAAAATCATTTACATATAATTGCTAGAAAATCTGAGCATTGGTGTTATACTATAATTTCTTTTTAAATCTGATTCCATGAATATGGTTACAACTCAGGCCCCTTTTCTGGAAGTAAAATGAGAGTGTCTTGGAGCATTTGATACTTGAATTATACCCTGAAAACTTAATTTATACAAAATTATTTTGTTTTTAAGATATAAATAGCTAATTAGCACCCAAAACAGGAGACAATTATGTTATGTTTAATTTTACAAATGCTTAAATAGGACTTAAAATACGCCACACACCATTCTAAGAACTTACAGAGTGATGTAAGTGCCTTTTTCAGAAGCATAAAGTAGTAAAGTAACTGCCCAATACCACACAGCTAGTCAGTGGTAAAGCCAAAATCCCAATTGAAGCACTCTGGTTCCAGATCGCATGCTTTTCATCATTATGCTAGGCTGTCACTTGTTTGTCAGAATAAACATATTGTTCTATGATAATTCTCAGTAGAACTGTAGTCTCTGTATAATGTCAATATGACAGTTTCTTCAGTATTAGTTCCTTTTTAGATAGTTTTTTTACTGAAATAGAAGATATCTATTACTTGATCTTCCTTTACATAGAACCTTCAGTGTTACTTACTATATGTCGTATTTTAAAACAAGATTAAAATCTACATGCATATTTATAACTTGATTGTAGTCTTTTATTTAACATAGCAATATTCATTCAGTATTTTCTTCAAATGAATTTTTATGTTTTGAAAATTAAGTAATCAGTGCTAGTGCTTTACTTTCGATTTTCTTTTCATTTTTATATCTGTTTATAAAATATACATATATCCTTTCACTAATGAAACCCAATGCTCAGTTGTCCTACATAAGCTGTTACTTTTCTGACTATTATTGCTCACTCTTAAATCTGCGAATCATATTTTTCATCCTTTATGGAAAATTCTCCACCATTATCTTCTCACTTTTTAATACTCAAATGTATAGAAAAGTACAATGAGTATACAGCCTACACCTTGATTCAAAAATTAGTAATATTTTTCTCAAGCTAGTTTTTGCTGAACCATTTGAAAGTAAGTTGCAACTGTCATAATTTTTCAGTGCATTTTCTAAAAATAGTAAAATTCACCTAGTAACCACAGTATAATTAGCACACCAAGGGAAATTAAAACCATTTTCCTAATACCCAGTCCATATTCATATTGTCATTCCCAGTTGTCCTCCAAATGTCTTCTACAGCTGTTCTTTTTAAACTAGCATATAATAAAGATACATATATTGCATTTTTGGTCTCTTTAGGCTATTTGATACAGAACAAACTCCACTCATATTTTACATATGTACATACATTGACTTTTTTAAAAGATCAAGCCAGTTATAGAGTATACACCTTTTGAATTTATCTTATTGTTTCTTGTGGTCTGACTTACTTCTTTGCCCTCTGTACTTTCTATAATATTAAAATACATGTCTAAAAGTTTGAATACAGTCAGATTAAATATTTTTGGCAGGAATACCTTACAGATGATGCATCTCATTAAGGGCTTGTAATTTCACTATTAATTGTGCCATGTTTGATAATTTCTTCAAGGTGGCAACTGACAGTTTTCTCCATTATTAAGGTATATCTTCCAACTGGCAATTAGTACACAATTTGTAGGTTGGTAGTTGGTGTCATGTGAATGTCTTGTTCCCTGTCATCCTTTCAACTAATTGCTTTGACATTCATTGATGCTCCATTCCTAAATCAATAACTTCAATGAATATCAAAATAGTGATTTTTCCAACGCTATTCTTCCTTTATATTTATAAGCTGGCATTCTTCTTTAAAACAAAACAAAAACAAAACATTCTTCCTCCTCAAATGAGTGTGAACTGTAGTGATTTTGTATGCTAAATTTGTACCCTAATGCTTACTGAATTCCCCAATATTATAGCCTTTTTTCTTCATTGAGCTTCTTGGGTTTTTCACATATAGTCTTATATAATTTACAAGTATATTTAACCTCTTTGTTGACATGTTTACCTTTCCAATCAATTCTTCAACTCTGATATTGTTGGTTTTCTTATCTTGATTTTATAAGAATGTGTCTAAAATTTTTAAGTAAAACTGTTTGGGGAGGAGGAATGAATTTCTCAATTTAAGAAATAATTATTATTTTATTAAATGTTTTTATTAGTAATGGGTATTTTTGCATGATTTTCCAGAATTTATGGAAAGAATAATGCCATTTTCTTCTTAGACTTATCAATAAATTAGATATTATTAACGGATTTAGTAACTTTGGTTCTTTTTTGAAATCCTAAAATAGACATCACTTGATCATGATAAATTATTTTTAATATATCATTAGATTTTTTCTAATATAACATATATTATACATTATATAAAATGTTTCATTGATATACATAGGGAAGATTAATCTATGGTGGTCTGCTTTGTATATTTAAAATTTTATATAAAATACTCATGCATATAAATATTTCCATGCTTTCTTTCATTTTCTGTGCTTTTAAAAGATTAAATAGCTTTGGGATTATCTGGAATTTAGAAGTTTGAATTTATCTGTCAAAACATCAATAAGATGTCTCAGTTTATAGGGTGATAAGATTATTTAAAGTTTCTAATTTGTTTATATAGATATGGGTAATTTTAAATTTTGTGTCTTGATGGGTTCATTTTTGGTAAACAATAGTTACTAAAAAACTGCCTTGGCCTTCTGTTAAACAATTTAAAATAATATCCTTTCACTTGTACCTATTACCAATTATTATTGTACTTTCTCCTTTCTCTTGCTCTTGGAATTCTACTTTAAAAATTGAGTTATTTTAACTCTTCCAACACAAGGCATATTCACACTATTCTTTCATTCTCATTTTAGCCTTAGACCTACAATTGCATATACTCGATGCTCACTACTATTCTCTTTGCAAAATTTTCAAACTATCATTTCCTGGGTAGGAGAAGCCTGTTCACCAGCATTGTCCTCAGGAAAGGCTTACCATGTGCTATTTTTTGAGTTCCTGCATGTAGGGATTTGATACTAGGGGAACAATTTGGCTGGATAACTCCTCAACTCATACTTTTTTTCCTTGAGTTCATTTTAAAAGTTGCTTTATTGTTACCTTGCTTTGTGTGTTAATATTGAGAAGTTTACTGATTTTCTTTCCTTCCTAAATGGCTTGGAGTTTTAGCCCAGAAAATTATTTTCTTTATCTATAAAGGATAGCAGTTTTACTAAGACAAGTCTAGAAGATGACCATTCTGGACCTATTCTCCCAAATAGATACAGGGCAACTTTTCATTATGTAGTTTCTGGTCTTTTGTATTGGAAAAGTACTATTACATTTTAATGATAGTTTTACACTTAAATTCTTTTCCATTGATTTGGTTTTTAATAGTCAGAGACTCCAATTATACATTTGTTTTATCTTCTTTGTCTGCCTTCTTCAGCTATCACTTTCTTTTAGATCATTTTGCCTCTTTATTTTAGACTCTCCTCACTTTTGTCCTGTATACCCTTAGTTTTATATATATGCATATGTATATATTTAACTTTGTAAGTTGGTATTTTATTTCTGTGATATTTTGGTCTTATTCCTCAATAGTTTTATCTGGATTCTGTCAGAGTATTTTTCACATCATCCTACTGTTTGTTTATTCTTTTCTATGTTGAGTTTTCATGTGTACACTAACTCATCAAATTGTAGTCAAATGGAAACGTTTCCAATTTTTCTCTGATTCATAATCATGAAATACTATATTTATCTTCTTCCTCTGCCAAAAGTGTATTTTTTTTCTTATGGTAATTTTTTATAAATCCTGGATTTTCTTGTGGTTGTTATCGTTGTTAATTTTTCTGTTATGTCTTATTAAGTCAGCAATTGTAGTCGATCCTGTGGGATGAATAGAGTGAAAAAGGCAAATAAGTGTCTTTCTTAGATTCTTAATCTAGTTTCTTCCTTTTCTGAGGCTAAAGAGAATTTTATTTAAATACTTAGTGCCTAAATTTTTAATGTCTTCTAACCCTTGGGTACTATTTCGTTTCTGAAGGGTCATTGTATTGTCATTTCCTTCTCTTCTTTCACCAAGAGATGCATCTAAGGTCCCCTCTCTCGTTTTGAAATAGTGCCTTTTCATAATTGCTATTCAAGTTTCACTTATATAGAAGCTAGGATTTGAACCATCAGATCTCAAACTTTCTGCAAGTATTTTATATTCAGAATAGGCCTTCTCCTCTGAGGGCATGCTCTTGTTAATGATATTGGTGTTAGCCCATGCATAGGGGCCTCATGCAGGCTTCCCTGTAGCCACTGATCAATGCTTCACTCCAATGTGAGCTCTAGACCTGGCCTTGCTGGTCTTGAGAAATATATTTTTCTACTTTCTTATAAATTGTGATTTTCAGTCTTTCTATCTCCTGATTTCACTGTAGGCATGAGCTATGTATGATTTGTTTGCTCACCTTTTAACATGTGGATGTGTGGAGAGATTAAAATTAAGGTGGTTTTTATTGTCCTCTCATCATTTCTTCCTTCTGTTTTCATTCTATTACTCCAATTAGAAATGCTTTGGTCTTTTAAATTCACCCTTAATATTTCTCAATATCACCTCAGCCCATTAAGTGTTTTATTGATTATGTTTTTATTTGAAGAATTATATGGTTTATTTCTAGATGTTTCATTTGTTTTATTTTCATGTCTCTTTGTTCATTCTTAACATCCTTTTTTAACTGGTCATTTTTGTTGTTGGGAACTTAATCTTTTAAAATACTTTATACATATCTTCTGTATTTTGTAAATTGTAGTTTAAAATATGAGCTTTTGGCCATATACATATGTTGTGTGTTGTTTTGATTGACTTGCCTTTTTGTGTTTTTGATAATTCTTGATTGTGAGAACATTGCTTAAACTAAATTGATGGGAGTCCTTTGGCATATGTTGAGGATTAAGGGAGTTTTCCTACAAAAAGGATGTTTTCATTAGCCAGAGGTGAATGGGAGTCCTATTGTCACTTCGTCTACATTTAAGTTGTCTTAAGATTCCATTTCATGATGTCAGTGATACTACCAGCATCTCTTCTTAGACAACCTCATTCTACCTCACTGCCAATGACTCAGGCTTTGCAAAAAAATCCAGTTCTTACTGGTCTAGCCTGCGCTATTTTTTCTGTAAATGTAGTAGAAGAGATTCTTCAAGTCTTCACTACCTTCTGTGAAATGAAAATGTCTCAAAGAACATGACATTCTAAGTTTTTGTTGTTCTACAACAGGAGGTCACTTGGAATTCCTTGGAAGGCAATCAGTCAGAAGCATGTCTGAATATGCTTTCCTAAAAAAATACAAGTATATCTAATTCACTGACCTATCGACATGAAAGGTAAAAAACATCAGTAAGTGAAATAGGGACCAATATTTAAAGATATGAGAAAATTCAATATATAATAATGTCTTAAATATTTATGACATAATATCTGCTTTGTAGTCTAACTCCAAGCTTCCCTGATATATTTATACATCTTTGAGATATACCAAATATCTTGTTCATAGTTTTCCAATCTGTCTTTAATTCTCCCTGATGCTACAGACTCAAGCTAATTTAACCATGTTGACTTTCCAGCATTTTAGTCATAAAATTCAAACTTTTAGAAACAAAATGTCTATAGTAGTTTGCTCTGGTAATATGATCATTTTTGCTTTGATGCTTGTATGTATGTAAAATAATCATACTTTTATTGAAAAAACTGGGAGGTGTGTTTTTCTGATCAATCTAATTCTCCATAATTTGCAATAATTAAAGTGCCACAGTGGCTCCCCAAGTAACAGAGAATTAAGAGAAATTCAAATTGTTACATACATAGCATAGATCCCAGTATTTATAGATTGATTGCAGTAGAAAGAATTTCTATTATGGCAATAATGTTGCTGCCTTCTCCCATTCCTATTCTACTTTAAATAATGATCCTGCATCTTTAAAAATAAGTAAACCTTGTCATTTTTACTGATGGTCACTCATAGTTTTATGAATGAGCTAGTGTAGTTTTCCTGTCGAAAATTTATAAGTATCACTAAACTGGCTTAAAATATACCCATACTCTTGGTATCTAACTTGAAGAAGGAAAGGAAGTTGAGGATGAGATTTATCCAAGAGAGTTTACATATATTCATAAACTTTTGAGAAAGAAGAAAAGCATCTACATTCCTGGGCTGGACTATTGAGAGAAGTTCAGAATTCTCCATTGTCAAGGAGTCAAGAAAACATTTTGAAAGAAAGGTGTACTTACTAGTCAACTACGGTAGAAAAGTAATAAAATACCTCCAATTGTGTGATTGTACAGTAATGAATAAACAAGGAGTTAAGGCTAGTTAGAGCTTATCAATGACAGATAAGTTAGAGCTTATCAATGACAGAGTTTACAAATGTGCTTTTAAAGTTTTTGTGGAGAAAATTCCTGGAAAAATTGATAAGAAATATAGTAATGCACCACCTGTTTCTCAAGAGACTCAATCAAAGGAACATAGAAATTCAAATAACTAGTGTTAGATCTGGGACTATTTGTCTCATTTAAAAATCAACACAGTCTATTAATGCCTTGGTGCTTTTGGTAAATAAAACAATTTTTCAAGAAAGTATTTTGATTAAGTACCAGCCACATTTCAATCATTATATTATGAGGCTTTTCTCTAGTAGTCGATGCTTATATGTGTGGATTAAGGTGCTATTTATCATTATATTGACATTGCCTTGGTTCCTGAAGAACTGTTCTCTCCTGATTCTGTCTTGACCACTGTCTGTCTTGCTCTTAGTCTTCTTCAAGACTCTCCTTCTTTCACGCAAAAAGAAATGTTGGCCATTTCAAGTCCATATAATTTATATCCTAAACCAGTTTTGAATCTATTGTCTCTCTCAGCTGTAATTATTATCCTAGTTTATATAGGTGTCATTTTTCATCTGGATTACACCAACCGCTTCCTATTCTGTCTCCCCGTGTCTTGTCTTAGCCTTTATCAAAACCTCCCTCCTCACAGCTATTTAAAACCCTTCAGTGATTCTTCAAAATCCAAACTTTCCCAATCATCTGGCCTCTGCCAGACTCTCCTCCTTATTTTGAGCCACTGTCATCCATCTTTACACTGTAGACTCTCGCATTACCGAGTTGTGTGCAGTTCTCTTTGTACACCAAGTTGTTTCCCACCCTGGACTTTTGCTCGTGCCATACCCTTTCTAGGATACCTCCCCTCAGTCAGATTTCTATACTCCTAGTCATCCTTTGAGGCTCAGTGCAAATACCATTTTGCTCAAAAAGCTTTCCCTAGAGCTTTCTCTCCCTGTGTCATATTCCCATGGAGTTTGGTGTTCTTACAGCCATGTATTATATAACTATTGATTTTCTTGATGCTAGCACCATGTCTTAATCACTTTTTAATACTCTGTACCTATCACAAGGTCTGGCAAATAATGACATATAACGAATAATTGATGAGTATATTAATTAAATATATAATAAATAGATTTTTTCAGGCACAAGGGGAATTGTGAGTACTTTTAAACGAAAATATCATTTTCTTTATACATGAATTTATAGATACTACATATTACTATCTTTAACAAATTTCAATTATATAAAGATTATGAAAAATATGACTAATCACATAGGTATTCTTTTAAGTAGCTTAAAGAGTTTAGGCTTGTGTCTACTACATTTGCCATTCTTGTGTTTGTTTCAAATTGTAGTAAAGTTCAGTGAATTGGGCATAAATATAAAATGCCACATTACTATTTTTTCAAGAAATAGCTCTCTGTGGAATGTAAAAACTTTTGAAATCCCCATTGTGCTGTACTGCTACTATAAAATGTACTTCAGTGAATCTTTGAACATTTTTATTTTTAATCAAACTAAAAAAAGTCAGAATATTTTCCTTTCTTATTTTTAAAGACTTGGCTTTATTTTTCTCCCAGATTGTGATCCAAACCAAACTCTTTTGAATATTTAATTGACAAATAAAGATTATATATAATCAAGGTATACAATGTGATGATTTGATATATTAATACTTATGCAATATGTAATGATTACCACAATCAAATTAACACTTTCATCACCATTCATGCTATACAATAGATCCCTGAAGTTGTTAATCTTATAACTGAAAGTTTGTATTCTCTGACCAGCATCTCCCATTTCTCCCAATCCCCAGCCCCTGCGAAACACATTTCTACTCTCTGGTTCTAAGAGTTCAATTATTTTTTCTTGGGTTCTACATCAAGTGAGATCTTACAATATTTGTTTATTTTAATCTGGCTTATTTCACTTAGCATAATGTTTTCAAGATTCATCCACGTTGTCACAAAAGACAGGATTTTATTCTTTTTTATGACTGATTATATTCCATTGTGTGTGTGGATATATGTGATATTTTCTTTATCCATTCATTTTTCTTAACCTTCATTACTCGCTGTTGCTACTTACTCTCCCTTCTGTTTGGCCAAACCATTCCACTTGTATGCTGGAATTTCTGCTTTTCTGTTTTTCTATGCTCAGCTTATTCATTCTGACTCATATAGTGTTTCCCTCCACTTCCATGTATCCAGACTCTACCCTCTTGTCAAACCAGAGGTCAAAGCCTACTTCCTCTGCCTTTATAAACATCCTAACTTCTACCCTAAGAGAAACCATCTCTCCTCTCTAGAAGTCTCAGAAGTTTGATTTGTGGCTCTCTACAGAGTTCTACTTCATTTCTACTCATACACTCCCAAACAGCTGACCTTAAATAAACATGTCTCATGTTCCACACTGCCTTTTAAGTAATTGCTCTGTCCTTGAGTGTTAGGAATAAAAATATATTATTCATCTTTATATTAATGTACATAAAACAAAATGTACTTTATATTATATTGGCATTATTTTAATAATACGTATTGAATGAGTGTGTAATGTACAGATAGTAATATCATAAGATAATTATCATTGAGATGAAATGAATTATAATTAATTCAATTTATACATATTGAGGAACTACTACTATATGCTAGCCACCATGATTTTTGAAAGGAATTGAAAAATTTTCAAAATTTCAGGCTAGGATCTGGAAACATACTGCAACAATTAAAATACTGTGAAATCATTGTGTACACAACAAAGACACTATGAGAGCAGAGGGGCATGCCAATCAGCCTGGGAAGGCAACATAGGCTGGTTGGAAAAAGAGCTTTTCCAAGCCTTGAATGACTAGCCAGCATTACACACATACATAAAGTTAGAAAAATATCTCAGAAACAAAAAGCAGCAGCAAATATAAAGGTCAAACAGGAAAAATATGACACTTTCCAGAAACTTACAAGAATGTCACTAACCCAATTTGGAAAAGTTTTATGTGCTGCCATGAGGAGTTTGACCTTATCATAAAATTTACTAGTTTACATAAAAAGCTTTTAAGCAGAGAAGTGACAAGATAAGGCTTTCATTTTAAGAAAAGCCCTTTGAGGCAATTGTGTAGACTGTATTAGAGGGAAAAAGACAGGAAAGGAGTTCTGTTTGGAAGATTTGCAATGTTTCCCAGACAAGAAATAATGAGAGCCTAATGCAGAAGGTGTCTGTAAGGATGCTATGGGAAGGAAGGAAATGAGACATAATTCAGAGGTAAAAGCCACAAGATAGACAGAAATGCAAAGTGTGGGAAAAGGAGCCTAGGATGACTCCAAGGTTTCTTGCTTGGGACACAGGTGATTTTCTAAAAGACAGGTTTAGTAAGAGGAAAAACGGGTTTGTAGGGAAAGATGATGACATTGGTTGAGTTTTAGGTGTGGGTTGGCATCTACAAAATAATTTCTAGTCTTTGTATACATGTTTATATATATACACATATATATATATACACACACACAGATATTGTCTTGGGTTCTGTCGATGTGTAATTAGCAGAATAAGTCATGGGATTAGATATCAATCTGAAAGAATGAACATATAATTTGAAAAAAATAGTGGGATAAGTAAGGTAAGAATTGAAAAGTGTATGTTGTATTGAAAAATGACATTGTAATTCTTGCATAAAGACAGATTAAGTGGGATTAGAAGAGAAATACAAACAGGGAAAAGATGAAAAATGCAGCCCACTCTTTGAGGAAGCTTGGCTGGGAAAGATTAGCGAAAGTCGGGTTGACTGCTAGAAAGGATTCTAGGTTGAAGGGAGTTATGTCTTTGCTTTCTTTTATTTTAAGTTGGGAAAGTTTGAATATTTTTGTGTATTTTGTGAATTAAAAAGGGGATAGGGTAGAAAGAATGAATAATTAATGGACTGAACCTCAAGGAGACAGGCGAGGTTGGGAACAAAGGCATAGGTAGAGTCACCCCTTAAGCCAGATGCCAGGGAAGGAGTTAAATGTTGGATTCATCCCGAAAACACTAAAGTGAGAAGATGCAGAAAGATTGAGAACATTTTATTCAAGGGCTTTTTTCCTTGGAGGCGACATAGGCTAAACTCATGAGGAGAAAAAGAAATATTTTTTCTCAAAGGCTTTTTCTTTTAAAAGATACTTCCTGAACTCTACAAAAACCAAAATTTAAGACTCACAACACTAAATTAAATTTTTTTCAAGGACCCTCTCCAAATTCATTCCTTTTGTAGGTTGTTGGAGGAGTGATACAATTCTTTTATTTGTAATCATAATTATAATTTATGGTAACAGAAATGAGAGAAAATACAACAGACCATAAATGAGAGCAGTGATGGGACTTCTTTAGAATGCAACATTTAAAGTGAGTCTCACGTATGTGAAGAGTAACAGGGAGCAAACAGCCTTGTGAAGTACTTAAGGCAGAAAGGTGCATGACATTTTAAAATAAATGATAGGAAGGTCAATATGATCAAATTTACCCAATTCAGGGGTTGTTAGTAAAAATTAAGCTGAGGAAAGGTAGAAGAGGATGTGGAAGCCTTAATTAAGGGTGTCAGATTTCCTTCCATAAGCCATAAGAAAGAATTGAAGGTTTTAAACAGAGAAGAGATGTAGCCAACCTTTGCATTTGTCTCTCCTCTGTCAATTCTTACCCCAAATCTGTACCCAAACTAAAATACTTCCAGATTCTTGAAGACATCTTGCTTTTTTCGTCCAGCTCTTTGCATATGAAGGTCTTCTTGAAAAATCCATCCTTCTCAGTAACCTTCCATGAGTACCCCAGATAGCCTCAGCTGCCTATATAGCGTCCCTAACAACCTATACTAGCACCTATAGTAGCATTTTTACTGACATTTTAAATCAATTTGTAAGTATGCAAACATACAAGAAAATGCAAGGATAATTTTATAGCCCTTTCCTAGGCAGATTGTAAGATAGCTCTAAGATTCGCCTCCTCTTGAGAACCCATCCTGTGTAATTCACTCACTTTGAATGTGAACAGAATATGTGATTTTGGTGGGATACTCTTTATTGATTAAATTATATCGTGTAAGACCCTTTATAGATTCTAATGCTGACTTTGAAAAAGGGAGCTCTGATTTTGTGAGATAACCATGTGACTAAGTTTAAGGGTGGCCTGTAGATGCTAGGAGCAAACTCTGGGACTAGCCAAAACAAAACAAGGATCTCAGTTCTACACACACAAGAAATTCATTAATTTGCATAAAGCAGACACAACCATGAAAAAACAAACTGAGTCAGTAAATGGAGCACTAGCACCCCAGAGGCCTACATTATGCCTCCTTGTAGAAACAATTCTTTTCCTTAAAGTTTACCACAGTCCTGACTAGCCCTACCATTGGTTATTTTTGCCTGTTTGTGAAAGTTATATAATTAGAATTGCACTGTGTTATCTTTTATGATTGGCTTCTTCCACTCAACATTATATTAATGAAATTTATTCATTCTGGTCTATGTAGTAGTAGTTCATTCTCATTACTAGATAGTATTTATTCTCATTGCTCTATATATTGTGTGAATAAATAAGAATTTATTTACTCAATCTATGCCTGAGAGATATTTTTATTTTTATTCAGATTGGGGCTATCGTGAACAGTGCTGCCATGAACATTGTTATAAATATATTCTGGGATACAAAATACATATTTATGTTGCATATATGTCTAGGACTTGAATCATTATAACATATTTGCCAATATTAACACAAAGAAAGAGGATGGAAACAAAACTGTACTGGAGCCAGCTGGTTCCTTGAATCCATAGGAACAAATGAAAAAAATCAGAAATAGTAAATAAGAAGGTTACCATAACAACATCTTTAAATATATACTTGTGCGTTTTTCTGTACTTTAATAAAAGACATAAAATTATATAAAACAATATATATACATGTCACTGAATTAAGATACAATAACTAGATTCTATGAGGTTAAAATGTATGCAGTAAGCCCTGGAGCAACCACTAAGAAAATAAATCTAGCAGCTGCGTGGAGGGTATGCACCTGTATTCCTAGCTACTCAGGTGGCTGAGGTGAGAGGATTATTTGAGGCCAGGAGTTTAAGGCTATGAAGTGCTATAATTGTGCCTGTGAATAGCCACTGCACTACAGCCTGAGCAACATAGCAAGACTCCATTTAAAAAAAAAAAAAACTCCAAAAATATGTAGTAAAAAAGTCATTAAAGGAGTTAAAATTGCACACTCGAAAATATTCACTTAAGTAAAAGGAAGCAGTAAAGAACTAGAGGAACAAAAAAGACATAGACATCTAGAAAGAAACAAATGGATGATGTGATAGTTAATTTTAGGAGTCAATTTTAATCCTAAAATTGAATCAGAATTTCAGGATTTCCAGGTTTTGGACTCCAGGACTTAACACCAATGCCCCCAACTGACCCAGGTCCTCAGGCCTTTGGCCTCAGGCTGAGAGTTACACCATTGACCTCCCTAGTTCTGAGGCCTTCAGGCTTGGACTGAGCCATGCTACCAGCTTCCTAGAGTCCCTAGCTTGTGGTCAGTCTATTGGAATTCTCAGCTTCTGTGATCATGTGAGCCAATTCCCTATTAAATTCTCTCTCTCATATCTATATCTACATCTATCTATCTATCTTCTTATCTATCTGTCATCTATCATCTATGTCTATTGATCTATCATCTATCTCATGTGAGACAATTCCCCATTAAATTCTCTCTCTCATATCTATATCTACATCTATCTACCTTCTTATCTATCATCTATCATCTATCTATCTATTGATCTATCATCTATCTCATGTGAACCAATTCCCCATTAAATTCTCTCTCTCTCATATCTATATCTACCTCTATCTATCTATCTATCTATCTATCTATCTATCTATCTATCTATCTTCTATCAGTTCTGTCTGGAGAACTCCAATACAAAGGATATAAAACAACTATATTGATAATAACATTAAATGTGAATGGATTAAACAATCTAATCTAAAGACAGAAATTGTTGGATTGGGTGAGGAGAAAACATTCAACTACATACTCCTACGTATAAGAGATAATTTAGATTCAATATACAAATAGGTCAAAAGTAAAAGAATGGAAAAATGATGTATTATACAACAGCAACAAAAGAAAAGCTAGAATATGTGTACTAATATCCGACTAAATTTTTAAATGTTCTAGCATAAAGAGAGGCATTTTATCATTATAAAGTGCTAATTCATCAGGAAGATAATAGCTATGTTAAATATATATGCAGGAAACAACAGAGCCCTAAAATAAATTTAGCAAAACTGACAGACTTGAAGAGAGAAATAGATAATTCAGCAATATGAGTTAAAAATTTCAGTGCTCTACTTGCAACAATGAGTAAAATAACTAGGAAGAAGATCAACAAGGAGATAGAAGACTTTAAAAACATTTTAACCTAAGATCTAACAGCAATATATAGAATACTCCATCCAAACCCAGCAGAATATATATTCTTCTCAAGAGCATATGGAATATTCTCCAGTGTAACCTTAAAACAAGCCCCAAATAACTTTACAAAATTTGATATAATACAAAGTACAGTCTCTGAAAAACAAGATATGAAATTAGAAATTAAGAGATGGAAACTTGGGAAAATTACAAATAAGTAAAATTAAATACACTCCTGAAAAAACAGCAAGTGAAAGAAAAAATTACCAGAATATTAGAAAATACATTGAAATAAATGATAAGGACACCATATACCAAAACTTGTGAGATGTAGTTAAAGCAGTGTTCAGAGCAAAATTTATAGCTGTAAATGCCTACATGAACAAGAAAGGTCTCAAATCAATAGCTTTCTGTCTTACAACACCAGTAATTGTAAACTAAACTTAAAGCAAGGATATAAAAAGGAAATAATAAGATCAAAGCAGAAATTAATGAGATAGAGAATAGAAAAATAACAAAGGAAAAACAGTGAAATCAAAAAACTGATTCTTCGAAGAGACCAACAAAATTGACAAAACTTTAACTATAACCAATAAAATAAGAAAGACGCAATATGAAAATCAAGAATGAAAGATGTGATATTATTACCAACTTTAGAAAAATGAAAAGGAATGTAAGTGAGGAGTATGAACATTTGAATGCCAGCAAATTAGATAATTCAGGTGAGACTCATGTATTCCTAGAAAGACACAATCTATCAAAACTCACCAAAGAAAATTTAAAAATATGAGTAGACTTATAAGAAGTAATTATATTGAATTAGTAATCAAAACTTTTCGAAGAAAATCCCAGGCTCAGATGGATTCACTGGTGAATTTTACCACAGGTTTTAAGAGGAATTAACACAGATTCTTTACAAACTCTTCCAAAAGCTAGCAGAGCAAGGGACACTTCCCAACTCGTTCTATGGGATGAGTATTACTTTGGTACTGAAACAAGAAAAAAATTACAAGAAAATAAAACTACAGACCAATAACTTGTGAATATAGACACAAAAATCCTTAATAATATACAAACAAACAAAATCCAACACCATGTAAAATGAGTTATATGTTATAATCAGGTGAGATTTTTCCTAGGTATGCAAGGTTATTTCAGTATCTGGATATCAACTAATGTAATACATCACATCAATAAAGTAAAAACCAAAAAATAGGAGCATCTTAATAGACATAAATATGGCATTTGACAAAAACAAACACTGCTTTATAATTAAAAAATAATAAACTAGAAATAGAATGAAACTTTTTAACCTGATAGATACAAGGCATCTACAACAACAACAAAACCCACAACTAACATAATTATTAGTAATCAGGAAAATAATTAAAGACATTAATTATTAGTAATCAAAAAAATAAAAACCAAACCACAACATCATAACTTTATATCAACTAGCTGGCTATAACTTTTTAAAAAACATATAATAGCAAGTATTGGCAAGGATGTGGAGAAACTGGAACCTTTATTCAAACCTGGTTGGAATGTAAAATGGTGTAGCCACTCTGGAAAGTCATGCAGTCTAGATAAAATTGAATTACTTAAAGAAGTTGTTCATTTCATTTAAATTTTGAAATGTATTATGATGAATGTATTTCAACATTCCTATTACTTTTAAAACTGGATCTGTAGTCATATCAACTTTTATTTTCCTGTTATTGATAGTTTGTGCCTTATCTCACTTCTGTCTTGACAAGTTGCCTATTTTGTTTTATTTTATTAATCTATTCTAAGAATGAACATTTGGTTTTGTTGTCTTTCTCTACTGTAAATGTGTTCAATTTCTATTCAGAGCTTTATTATTTCCTTCCTTCTATTAATATATTCTTTAGATTTGTTTGCAATTCTTTCACTAAGTTCTTTAAATCGAAATTTAGAACATTGATTCTCAAACTTTGAAGTTCTAGATTTGCTTCAGCAGTGTTTTAACTGCATTGTAAAAGTATAAATGTAATATTCTTCATTAAGATTTATTTCTAAATATATTTCTAATTTATCTTGAGATTTCTTTTTTGACTAGTATTTTTCACTTGTTAATTTGTTTTTTGGTTGGAAATCTGTTGCCCAAATATCAAAATATTTGGAGGTTGTTTTCGTAGTTATCTTTGTGATACTAATTTGTAGCTTTATTCCACTGAGATCAGAGAACAAAATCTGAATTATTGCCATCACTTGAAATTTTATGACTTTCCTAACAGCCTACAGTGTGATCATTTTTGCTTAATATATTTTGATGATATGTTGTTAGGTGCACACTTAACTAGAATTGATATATCTTCCAGGTGTACTTTTTCAATATAAAATATCTTGTTAATCTCTAGTAAAATTTAAAATGAACTCAAATTAGATATTCTTGTGATATTTACTTTATATTGTTGATGCTTTATGATATATATTTCTGATGTTATATCTCACTTTCTATTTTCTTATTCTTCAGATTTGTTTTTGTATGTGGCAGGGAGTTTTTCTTTTAATCAAGTCTCACTATTTTTACTCTTCTAATTGTGACTGTTTCTAGTTCTAACTGTAGCTGTTTCTAGTTACATTTATTGTAACTACTGTTATGGTTGTTTTTATCTCTTATACCACAATGATTTTATTTAGCTACTCTTTTGTGTATAGCTTTTTCATTCTTTAAGTTCTTGGAATAATGAGATAGTTTCATTATTCCACTCTCCTCACTAACAACTTGTTAGTTATTTATTCTTTTACTAACCTTTTCATGGGTACTCTTGATATCATAACATGTATTCTTGGCTTTTTATAGTCAAAATCAAATTATTATGTTTACCACTTCCCCCAACAAAGCTAGAGTTTAGAATAAGTTAAAATGATTATTTCTTTCTGCGTTTTGTATAAGTTTTGCAATGCATTTCAATTTTGCAATTATTTTGAATCCCCAAGATTCTGTTATCCTTTTGTATAGTTAGTATTACTTTATATTTACAAATATGTTTGCCATTTCTTTTGAGCTTCATTATTTCTGCATTTCCATGTTTGCATCTGCCTGAAGAATCCTTTGGCAATTTCTTTTAATACAGATCTCTTTCCAATGAGTTCTCTCAGAAGTTATTTGTCTAAAAATATTTGGATTTGCCTCACCTTAGAAGGATGTTACTATGGGCTTTAGAATGCTAGATTGCTTTTTTTCTTCATTTGTCTTATGTTTTATGATGAGGGATTTTTTGTTTTTGTTTTTGTTTGATTTTTTACTCTTGGCACTTTACTTCTACCATTCATTTACTTCTACCATTCATTTCCTATCATTTCTGTTATCAATCCATAGCTACTGCTTTAAACGTAATATACTTTTTCTTCTGGCTGTTTTTAAGATTTTCAATTTAACTTTGCTTTTCTAATAGTATTAGTACATCTAAGGATGTTTTTCTTTGTATTCATACTGTTTTCTATTCTAAAAACCTCATGAAATTTGTGGGTGAACTCTTTCACCAACTTTGGAAAATTATTGAGCACTATTATTTTTTAAAGTTTCAGTTAAACTTTTATTCCGAGGTATTTTTAGTTCCACATGCCAATGTAAGAGATAATGCAGAAAGATTTTGTGTATTCTTTACTCACTTTCCCCTAATGGTAACATCTTGCAAAACTATAGAGCAATATCACAACCAGATATTGATATTCATACGCCCAAAATACAAAATGCTGATTAACACCAGGATTCCTCATATTGCTCTTTTATAACCACACCCACATTCCTTCCTCAACCACCTGTTTCTTTACCTGGCAACCACTAATGTGTTCTTCATTTGCATAATTTTTTCATTTCAAGAATGTCATATAAATGGGATCATACAGTTTGTGACCTTTGGGGATTATTTATTTTCCTATAGAATTTTATCCAGGTAAATGCACACATGTATTAATAGTTTATTCCATTTTTTTTTCCTAAGCAGTTCCATGGTATGACTGTACTATAGTTTGTTTAACCATTCACTTGTTGGAGGATATCTGGAGTGTCTTCAATTTTTAGCTATTATGAATAAAGCTCCTATAAACATCCATGCACAGGTTTTGTGTGAACATGTCACTTCTCTGGGACGAATGCCTGAGAGTACAATTGTTTGGTCATATGGTAATTAAGTGATTCGTGTGTTAAGAAACTGACAAACTGTTTCTCAGAGCGATTGTACCATCAATTATTACCAGCAATGTGTAAGTCAAATTTCTTTACATCCTTACCACCATTTGGTGTTCTCATTATTTTTGTTTTAGCCGTTTTGTTAGATATGTAGGGGTTTTAATTTGATTCCCCTAATGGCTAATGATGTTGGGCATCTCTTCATGTGCTTATTTGTCATACGTATATCCTCTTTGGTAAAATATCTCTTCATGTCTTTTGTCTATTTTCTAACAGGATCATTTGGTTTTTTAACCTTTGAGTTTTGACCATTTTTAAATAAAGCCTAGTCTTTTTTTCAGGTGAGTGACTTACAAATATTTTCTCTCATTCTGTAGCTCTTCTTTCCATCCTCTTAACAGAGTCTTTCACAGAGCAAAAGTTTTAATTTTAGTAAGCTCCAACTTATCATTTCTTCCTTCTATACATTATGTTTTTGGAGCTAAGTCTAAGAACCCTTTACCTACCTCTAGATCCCAAAGATATTTTTGTCTAGAATTTTTTATAGTTTTTGTTACATTTTAATAAGTGATCCATTTTAAGTTTTGTCGAATAATTTTTCTGCATCTATTGATATGGAACTTTTCTTCTTAAATGTGTTGATATGGTAGATTACACAGACTGATTTCCAAATATTCAAACAGCTTTGAATCCCTACAACAAAGTCCACTTGGTTATGTTCTGTAATTCTTTATATACAGTTGTTGACCTCTGTTACCCATTGTCTAGTTAAATATTTTTATATCTGTATTCGTAAGGATGTATTGGTCTGCAGTTAACACTATTTCTTTTGTACTGTCTTTGTCAAGTTTTAGTATCAAGATAATAGTAGTTTCATAAAATAAATTGAGAAGAGCGGTGGCTCATGCCTGTAATCCCAGCACTTTGGGGGAGGCCAAGGCAGGCAGATCATGAGGTCAGGAGATCAAGACCATCCTGGGTAACACGGTGAAACCCCGTCTCTACTAAAAATACAAAAAAAAAAAAAAATAGCTGAGCATGGTAGCAGGCACCTGTACTCCCAGCTACTCGGGAGGCTGAGGTAGGAGAATGGCGTGAACCCGGGAGGTGGAGCTTGCAGTGAGCCGAGATCGTGCCACTGCACTGCAGCCTGGGTGACAGAGCAACACCCCATCTCAAAAAAAAATGATAATAATAATAATAATAAATAAGTGTTCCTATTTTCTGTAAAATATGTTATAAAGTGTGTCAATTTTGTGTTCAAATTCATTGTTGAAGTTCTAACAGCTGGTACCTCAGAATGAGAGTATATTTGGAGGTAGAGCCTTTAAAGAGGTAGTTAAGGTTAAATGAGATAATATGGGTGGACCCTAATTCGGTATGGCTGGTGTCCTTATAAGAGGAAATTTGGAGGCACAAATTTGGATGCATGCATACAGAGGAAAAATCATGTGAGGAGAAAGACAGAAAGCAGCCAGCTGAAAGCCAATGCTAGAGAGGCCTCAGAATAAAAACGATCCAGCCAGCACCTTGATCCTTGACATGTAGCCTCCAGAACTGTGACAAAAAAATAGTTTCTGTTGTTTAAGCTACCCAGTCTGTGATGTTTTGTTATGGTATCCCTAGCAAATTGATACAGAGAATGTATATAACTGGTTTTAATTCTTCCTTAAACATTTGTAGAATTCTCCAGTGAAACCATGTGTTGGGAAATTAAGTCTTGTTTGGCAAGTTTTCAAATTATGGATTCAATCTTCCTAATAGTATTATGCTTGTTTAGATGACCTGTTTCATATTGTGTGAATTGTTGTAGTTCATGCTTTTTGAGGAACGGTTAATTTCATCGAAGTTGCCAAAGTTATATTTACAGAATTGTTTATAGTATTTCTTTGTCATTCTTTTGATGTCAACAAGATCAGTAGTACCATATCCCTTGCTTTGTTTCTGATATTAGTAACTTGTCTCTTCCCTTCTTTATTCTTTGACAGTCTTGCTAGAAGTTTGCTAATTTTATTGATGTATTCAGAGAACATATATATTGAAGATAGAGATATATTTAGATCTTTATTTTATTGATTTTATTGTTTTTCTATGTTCAATTTTATTGATTTCTGTTTTTATATTTTTTCCATTTACTTGCTTTGGATTTATTTAGCTCCTATTTTTCTAGTTTCTTGGGATGTTTGGGAAGCTAAGATTGCTGATTTGGTAGCTTTCATTTCTTCTAATATATGCACCTAGTGCTATTAATTTTTCTCTCAGCACACTGCCTTAGATGTATCTAACAAATTTGAACATGTTGCTTTTTCATTTTCATTCAGTTCAATGTACTTTTTAAACTCCCCTTGAGACTTCCTCTTTGACCCACAAATTATTTAGAAATGTGTTATTTTCCAAGTGTTTCTGGATTTTCCTGTTAACACTCTCATATGGAACTCTAGCTGTGGTTGAAGAAAACATTCTGTATGATTTCAATTCTTTTATATTTGTTAATATTTGTTTTATGGTCCAAGATATGGTCTGTCATAGTATATGTTCCATGGGTACTTAAACACATGTGTATTCTGCTATTGTTGGATGGAATGTCTCTATAAATGTCAATTAAACCCTGTTGATTGATGATGTTGTTGAGTTCTTCTCTGTCCTTAATGATTTTCTGTTTAGGTGTCCTATCAATTATTGAGAGAGGGTTGTTGAAATCATCAACTATTGTTGTGGATTTTTCTACTCGTCCTTTCTATCTGTTTCTCCTTCACATATTTTGCAGCCCAGCTTTTAGGTTCATACACATTTAGGATTGCTATAACTTCTTCTTGATGGATTAATTCTTTTATTATTATATAATGTCCCTCCATGTCTGATTATTTTCTTTGACATAAAGTCAAGATTGTTTGATATCAACACAGTCATTCCTGTTTTCTTTTGGTTAATGTCTTTATATCACTTTTCATCCTTTACTTCCAGCCCCCCTATATATCATTATATTTAGAATGAATTCCCTGTTGACAGTACATAGTTGAGTCATGTCTTTTTAATCTGCTCTGCTAATGTCTGCGTTCTAATTGATATACTTAGACTATCTACATTTAATGTAGTTATTAATGTTAGAGAATAAGTCTGCCATCTTATTTTTTGTTTGCTTTCTATTTGTTTTCTGTTTTCATTTCTCAGTTTTATTTTTCTTGACTGCTTATGGGTTATTGGAATATAATTTTGAATTTCACTTGGATTTTTCTATATTGTATTGTAGTGAATCTCTGTGTAGCTTTACTAGTGGTTGCTGAAGGTATTACATTTTAAATACATAACTTGTCACAGTACACTGGTGTCTGTTAGAAACCTTACCTCCCTTGACATTCCTCTGCACTCTCCATGTGTAATATAATTGTCTTAAGTATTTCTTCTAAACACATTTAGAACCACATCAGACATTATAATTTTTGCTTCAACCACCAAATATAATTTAGAAAACTCAAGAGGGGGAAAAAGTGTGTTAAGTCTACTTATATTTCTACTTATCACATTTTTTTCTTCCTAACGTTCTAAGTTTTCTTCCTTTATCATTTCCTTTCTGTAACTGAGAAAGCCTGGTTAATGTGGCTTGCAGGAAACAGCCCTCCAAAATACAAACCAGCACACAAAAGAATGGGAAAAGATTTGAGAGCAAAGGGCAAATGACCATCACATTATCTCCATTTCATATATCCTCCTTTATGAGAATACTAGAAGAACATACCAAAAGACCATTAGGCAGTAATATGGATGGTATGTCATTAATATTTATGTGTTTTTGTAAGATGTTTGTTTCCCAAATTTCCTGAATTTTCTATGTTGCAATTTTAAAATTAAAAGGAAATTATATACCTATTGCTTTTAGAACATTTTTGGTGACCAGGAAAATAATTTAAAAAATATAAACACATACAGAAAGAGAATGAGACAGAGAGAGAGAGAGAAAAGTCTAGTTGAGCAGCCTTAAAGGAAGCCACCACTAAGAGGCAATAAAAATATAAAGCAGTGGCATTTAGCACTGTAATGAAGTAGAGAAAAGTTCAAATAGGAGTAGATGTTTGAAAGCTTCAAATGCTGAGAAATGTCAGTCACTGGGAACTTCCCTGAGAGCAATTGTAGCAGTTTGAGGAATAAACATGAGGTGAGGTTAATAGGAAGGTCAAGTCAGAACTGTGGTATCCTTTCAAGAAACTTGGATCAAGAATGAAAGCAGGGGAGTGATACTTTTGTCACAGACCAATAGTCAAGGGAAAAGTTTTGTGTGTGTTGTGTGTTTTGTTGTTTGTATTTTTAGTAGAAACAGTGTTCGCCATGTTGGCCAGGCTGGTCTCAAACTCCTGGCCTCAAGTGATCCAACCGCCTCGGCCTCCCAAAGTGCTGAGATTACAGGCATAAGCCACCATGCCTGGCCTGTTATTTTTAACATAGATGCAGTCTCAAGTATTTGTATATGGAGCTGAAAGAGTCAGTAACAATGAAAATGAAAATATATGAGAAAATAAAAACTGGTAGAAAAAGATTCAGAACAGGTGAAAGAAACAGTCATGCCATTGAGAACTGCTTCATGTAAAAAGATCCATCTGCAAGAAGATATGCAAGATCAAAATGTTTTCAGTTAGTGATCTGCCAATATCATTGCTTGTTTTCTTTAGTCATCTGATTCAGAGTTATGTATTTCTGCATTATCATGTCGCTTCAATTAATGAACCTATGAATTGAGTGTATGTAATGTTGGTTGCTGTTTCTAAGCCTCCAGGTGGCAGTGGCCTTATTGCAGTAGCTTTTGTGATACCACCAGTCTCTGAATCCTACGTGAGAAATATGAAATCACTCTCCCACTGATTGTTTTTCTGTAGAGCCTCACAAATATATATGTCCAACTCTCATTTCTTCATGTGATGGCTGTAGTGTCCTGTGGTCACTTGACACTAACACACATGTCATTTTCAAATAATAGTAGTGCACACTAGGGCTTCATAAATATAGTCAGTAAATACAACCTAAAATTCACTTACGTGAATTAACTTAGACATGTTTTAATTAGGAAATCAGAAAAAAAAAAGGTTGTTTGTCATAGGCCACCTGTGGGCAGGAATTAAGTTACATTTTTACAACTTTACTGCAAAAGTGCTATAACCATGGAGAAACTCAGTACGTAATTTTAGATTAAACACTCCCTGATTTATAAAATTGAAAACATTCCCATTGTGATCAGCAATTGCTTTTAAAAAAGTAAACACACACCACATACATTCACAACTACTTTATACTTTAAAAACAAAAGCAAAGTGGGCTCATGGACTTATAAATACAAACCTTATCTTATTTAAAGGAAATCAATTATTTTTAGTATTCACAAGTAGTGCTACCCTAGTAAATTAAAAACAGTGATGTATAAATCTCAATTATTTCTATACTATGGCTATATTATATTTCTGAAATCGTTTGTCAGCTAAGAAAAAATGTGAGCTCAACATTATTTCAGTTTCTTTGGATCACTATAATTTGTTTAACGGAGAACAACACAACTTTCAGGGAGAATGATAGAGTTGGAAACATAAGATATTAATAGTGAGATATCGGCCAGGCATGGTAGCTCACACCTGTAATCCCAGCACTTTGGGAGGCTGAGGCAGGCCAGGAGTTTGAGACCAGCCTGGCCAAGATGGTGAAACCCCATCTCTACTAAAAATACAAAAAAAAAAAAAAACCAATTATCCGGTTGTGGTGGCAGGCACCTATAATCCCAGCTACTTGGGAGGCTGAGACAGGAGAATCACTTGAACACGGGAGGCAGAGGTTGCAATGAACTTAGATCGCACCACTGCACTCAAGCCTGGGCGAGAGAGTAAGACTCTATCTCAAATAATAATAATAATAATAATAATAATAATAATAATAATAATAATAATATCTCAGTTAAGAGGATCATGAAATGAATGATCATCTATGTTTTCACATCAATGGATTCTGATTTATGGTATTTAGATGTATAATAGACTAATGTTTACCCCCAAAGTTATTTTATTACAAAGAGTCTTCGTGATTTGATGTCACACAGAGGAGTTAAAGCCATGTCTCCTGATTTTATCACTGGTGATATTAAATCCACCTTGAGTCTCAGTTTCCTTACTGTAACATGGAAGGAAGTAACACTCCATAGAGTTTTTAAGATGCTTACATTATATAAGTAAGGCACCTTTCACAGCATCTAATGGTATAAGAGCTCAATAAATGATTTTTTGTTTTATTTAAAGATAATTAGCAATGGGAGAAATGCCTTATGCAAGAGTGAAGAAGAAGTACATCTCTTAATCTAGGAACCAAGTGTACAGGTTGATTGTCCTCCAGTTATAGGGCCACCTGAAAACTAAATTAGCAATCATATATCTTGGACAACCTAGGATAAGAAAAGAGTAAGCTGTTCTTCAACTGGGTTTTCCATATGGCAGCCTGATATGATGTTCTTCACCACATTAGGAACATTTATATACAAGTGTTAAGAATGGTTCTTTTTATCAATTCACTTGCTACATAATCATAGTACCCTCCACCTTTCTTTGTCTCAGTTCTATGCATACCACCAGCCTTCTGCCAACATTGGATTTTCAGCTTCTGTTTATTCATTCATTTATTTTTAAATCAAAAATACTTACAGTGCCGATTTCCAGGCACTACGGAAGCAAGATGGGCTATTTCTGCCCTCAACACACTTAAATATGAATATGAGAAGGTAGATAATTAAAGAAGTAATGACATAGTATTGAGAATTCCTATCCTAACAATTCCCTAAGGATTCTCTGGAGAACCTCTATATGAACAAGATGTTTTATTGGTAGAGAAGTATCTCATAAAATCAGAAATGTAGTATTATACCAGCTCTGGTTATTTATATTGCAAACAGGGAATTTTTGTAACAGCCTTATTGATATATAATTCACAAATCATAAAACTCACCCACTTAAAGTATACATTTCCATGATTTTTTTTATATTCACAGATTTGTACAACCATCACCACTAACTTTGAAAATGTCATCACCCCAAAAAGAAGTTCCATACTTAATAGCAGTGGAGACACATTCCCTCCTATTTCAGTTGCTGTAACTTCTAATCTATTCTGTGTCTATAGATTTGCCTATTCTGCACATTTAATATAAATGGAATCATAGTGTATGTAGATATAGCCTTTCGTCACTGGCTTCTTTCTTAATGCTTTAAGGCATAATGCTTTAAAGGTTCATTGAGCTTGTACCAGTATTTCAGCTTTTTGTTTGTTGAACATTTCTTCATATGACTATACCATATTTTGTTTATTCATTCATCACTTGATGGGCATTTGGGTTGTTTCTACTTTGAGGGTATTGTGAAAGTTTGGGTGGACATACCTTTACACTTCTCTTGAATGTGTACCTCAGAGTAAAATTGCTGAGTTATATAGTAACTATATGTTTAACATTTTGAGGAGCTGCCAGAATGTTTTCCCACCAACATGTATAACAGTTCCACTTTCTCCACATCTGGTCAGCAGTTTTTATTTTCTGCTTTTTTGTTGTTTGGTTGATTGGTTTTTAACCATTCCAGTGAGTATGAAGTGGTATTCCATTTTGGTTTTGATTTCTCAAATGACTAATAATGTTTAGCATCATTACCTGTGCTTATTAGTCATTTATATATCTTCTTTGGATAAACGTCTATTCAAATATGTTGTTCCTTTTAAAATTGAGTTATTTGCCTTTTTATTGACTTGTTAGAGTTCCTTGCGTATTCTAAGGACAAAAGTCCTTCATCAGCTATAAGGTTTTCAAGTAGTTTGTCTGATTCCTTTGGTTATATTTTCACTTTCTTAATGGTTTCCTTTAAAGCACAAATGTTTTTAATTTATCTTGAGTTTCAATCTATCTTTTTTTTTCTTCTGTAGCTTGTGCTTTTGGTATCATGTCTAAGAGGTTCATGACTAATCCAAAATTACGAAGATTTTCATCTGAGGGTTTTATAGTTTAGTTTTTACATTTATGTCTATGATCCATTTGAGTCCATTTTCTATGCATATTTCTGGACTTTCAATTCTATTCCATTCTTCTGTGTTTCTATACTTATATCACTACCACTGTCTTGATTATTTGTAACTTTGTAGCAAGTTTTGAAATCCAGAAGTGTGAGTCCTCCAACTTTGTTCTTTTGTTAGATCGTTTTGGTTCTTCTGAATCCTTTGTATTTCCACATGAATTTTAGAATATACTTCTCAATTTCTCCCAAATTATGTAACTTGACTTTTTATTGGGATTATTTTAAACCTGTAGATGAATTTCGGAAGTATTGCCATGTTAACAATATTAAGTCTTCTGATCTTTGAACATATAGATGTCTTTCCATTTACTAGGCCTTCTTTAATTAGTTTCAACAGTATTCATACTTTTAGACCACAAGTATTACACTTCTTTTGTTTAATTTATTTCAAAGTATTTTATTCTTTTGATGCTATTTTGTTGGAATGATGGTATTTGGGGATTATTTGTTGATAGTGTATAGAACATAATTGATTTTTGTTCATTGATCTTGTACCCTTCAATCTTGCAGAACCCATTCATTGGTTCTAATATTTTTTTACTGATTTTTTAAGATTTTCTATATATAAAAGCATGTCATATATCATCTGTAAATATAGTTTACATTCTTCCTTTCCAAACTGAATGACTTTTATTTCTTTTCCAGCCTAATTTCTCCATGTAAAACTGATAGTAAAATGTTGAATAGTTGTATTCACATATTTATTGTCTTTTTCTTGACCATAGAGGAAAATATATATTTACTATTGAATATAATGTTAGCTATAGGGATTTTTGTCAATAGTCCTTACCAAATTGAGAAGTTCCCTTCTATTCCTGTCACATCAAGTACTTTTCATTAAGCATTGCCAAATGTTTTTTCTGCATCTGTCATTTTGCTAAGTTTTTCTAAATGTTTTTATTTTCTGTACTTCTATTATTTTATTGCTTCATTCTCTATGTTAAGTATATATTTTCCAGTGTGCCATTTTAATTCCTTTGCTGTTTCTTTTATATGTGTTTTGAGTTAATTTGTTAGTGGTTACACTGGGGAATACAAGTAACATCTTTGCTTATAACAATCTAATATCAATTAATACTAACTTTAATAGTATTCAAAAACTTGACCCCAATAAAGCTCTGATCCCCCTCCCTTTTTTCTCTGTTACTGTCATACAAATGACATTTTTCTACATTATAAGCCCAGCAACAAAATTAATAATTATTTCTTTATTCAATTGTCTTTTAAATTCATGAAAAGAAGAAAAGAGTTACCAACAAAAATACATTTTTATGGCAATTTATATCTATCTGTGTAGATACCTTTGCTGATGCTTTTTTTTCATAATGTGGATTTGATTTCTTGCCTAATATTTTTTCATTTTAGTCTGAGGAGCACTCTTTAGAGCAGATCTGCTAGCCAAAACAAACAAAATCTGTTTTGTTTTTGTTTTTGTTTTTTGCTGATCTGGGAATGTCTTAACTTCTCCTTCATTTTTGAAAGATAGTTTAACCATATATAGAATTCTTAGTTGACAGTATTTTTTCAATACTTAATATATATCATTATTCAGGCCTTCATGATTTCTAATGGTAAGTCAGCTATTTATATTTTTGAGAATCTCTGGTACATGATTTACTTTTTTTCTCTTTGTCTTTCAGAAGTTTGACTATGATATTTCTATATACGGAAATTTGAGATTATTATATTTAGAGGTTACCAAACTTCTTGAATGTGTAGATTAATGTTTTTCCTCCAAATTTGGAAGTTTTTCCCCACAACTCTCAGAGGCTCTGTTAACTTTTCTTTGTTCATTCTCTTTCTATTCTAACTGAAGAATCTCAAATGACCTATTTCAAGTTTACTGATTCTATCCTATGCCACTAAAAGTCTGTTGTTGAGCCCCTCCAGGGAATGCTTTTATTTTAGTCATTATACTTTTTAACTCCAGCATTTTTATTTGGTCCTTTTTTATAATTTTGATTTTCTTATTGATTGTTTCTAGTTGTACACCATACATATAATTCCTTCAGTTCTTTAAGTTAGATTTCTTTGGTTCTTTGAACATATTTATAATAACTGATTTCAAATTTTTGCCTAGTAAATCCAACATCTGGGCTTTTTGGATTTTTTTTTTTTCTATTTACCATATTTTCCCCAATTAGCCATGGTTTCCTGTTTTTGTTGTTGTTGTTTGTTGTTGTTGTTGTTTTTGAGACGGAGTCTCGCACTGTCTCTCAGGCTAGAGTGCAGTGGTGCGATCTCGGCTCACTGCAAGCTCCGCCTCCCAGGTTCACGCCATTCTCCTGCCTCAGCCTCCCGAGTAGGTGGGACTACAGGCATCTGCCACCACGCCCGGCTAAGTGTTTGTATTTTTAATAGAGACGGGGTTTCACCGTGTTAGCCAGGATGGTCTCGGTCTCCTGACCTCGTGATCTGCCCCGCCTTGGCCTCCCAAAGTGCTGAGATTACAGGCGTGAGACTTTCTTTTTCTTTTTTCCTTTTTTTTTTTTTTCTTCTTTTGAAACAGAATCTTGCTCTGTCACCCAGGCTGGAGTGCAGTGGCATGATCTTGGCTCACTGCAGCCTCTGCCTCCTGAGTTAAAGAGATTCTCCTGCCTCAGCCTCCCAAGTAGCTGGGATTACAGGCACCCACCACTACACCCGGCTAATTTTTGTATTTTTGGTAGAGATGAGGTTTCACCATGTTGGCCAGGCTGGTCTCAAACTCCTGATTTCAAGTGATCTGCACGCCTCGGCCTCCCAAAGTGCTGGGATTACAGGTGTGAGCCACCACACCCAGCCTCTTTCCTGTTTCTTTCCATGTTTTATACTTTTTTATTGTTGCTCAAAACTAGACATTTCAATTAATATAATTTGGCAACTCTGGAAATCGAATTTTTTCTCCCCAGGGTTTTTTGTTCTTGTTATTTGTTATTGCTGTTGTTGCTGCTACTGCTGTGCCTTGTTTTGTGATTTTCCTGGACCAATTCTATAAAGTCTGTCTTCTTTATTATGAGCAGCTACTGAAGCTTCTCCCCAAACAGACTAGTAATTTGACAAATATTTTTTAAATGACCTGAGCCAATAAGTCTCCCAGATGTTGTCAGTGGACTCTGTGTGTGTGTGTTATACATACATAAAACAATATAGTAGGTTATAATTATGTCTTTTCCTTTACTTCCTGCTTATACAGGTCCTCTAGAAAAAACAGCAGTAAGAAAGTGGAACATTGTCGTGTCTTTTCTGAGAATGTAAACTGCCCTACACATAGGTGTGCCTTTTAGATTGCTAGTGCTTTGTCAGAGATTTTCAAAGACCCTTTAAAGACATTTCTTTTTCCAGTTTTTCCTTTTAAGTTTTTCAGTTAGCCTCTTGCTAGCCCCAATAGGTGTCACTTCTTCAGGAAACTGTGGTATCAAACAGTTCCTACTGATTGTACTAAACAAACGCTCTAAGCATGCGCTTGTTTACACTGATTAAACTATGAGTCTTGTCAAATAAAGATAAGCCCTGCATATGGGATTTTTCCAGGGAGTTTCTGGGCAGATCAAATAGTGACAAGAACACCACACTCATTCCGCTGCATCCTGTGTTTACTAGAAATTGGTTCTCACAGTTATTGTGGTATTAAGGCTGTTGGTTTTCCAGGTTTACGAGGAGTTGAAGTAGGAGAATGGGAATAGAGCAAGCTAGAGCATTACAAAGCTTACAATTTTTACAGAAATTCAGCTGTTTTCCTTGAATACTTTTCAGACTGTGGGCAAGGATGTTGGTTAATTTTCAGAGTTCTGTCAAGTCAAGGTCGATTTTTGACAAATTTTGCTTTCATGAAGGGGCATATTTTCGGAGCTCCTTATTCCACCATTTTAGAACTGCTTCTCCGCAAACATGAATTTTTAAAATAAGTCATGATCTTTTACACAGTGTACCTTGATGTGAACAAGATTGTCTAAATAGGAGTGGTTATAACATTGGCAAGATCTTTGTATGCATATATATAGTCTTCCCTGGATTTTTCTTGGGAAAGTGCAATATTGACACTTAAGTGAAATACCTTTCATCCATGTCCACTTCTTGAGTGAAATTATCCCTTTCAAAGCTCATACTCTATTTCCGCACTGAAGGCAGAGCAAATGACATCATTTTTTAGTTACAAGAAAAAATTTATATTTTGGCTTACATACTTCTTATAACTTAAAATATAGTAAATATAAAAATAAATCATAGCCTTATGTCATAAAATTATATGTGCCAAGATAGCCTTCTTAGTATAAAATGGAATGCATTTAAAAAATGGTTCACCACTTTGAGTACCCAAAGCCAAAGATAAGTAGAAGTAAATACTGATGAACTTTTATTTTACTTTTATTTTCTTCACCAAGGAGATTAATCATAAACTTGGAAAAGGTAAATAGTAACAAGAGGGCCCAAATCCCTTAAGACTGATAGTGTCCATACCCAGCAAAACAGTCCTGGATCCTGAAAGAATGTATCTATATGATTAAGGAACTAAAGTTAGTTACTGGAGAGAAGCTGTGAAGCAGGTGAAAGAAATGTGAAAACACTAAAATTAGGAAATTTGTCTCATTTTTCAAAAGGAGGAGAAACTAAAGCTTGGTGGGAGTAAAATTAAGCCTCATAAAAGTATTCTAGATTGGTTTATTTAGGAGATTATAAGTGAAATCCTATAAAAGGAAAAATGTGTTATTGAAATATATGGATTCACTAAAAATTAATTATGTAAATTATGCCAAATTTCCCTCCATTCTCTTATAAACAAGTTTGCTCTAACTACTGTTTAGAGCATAGGCTGATATTTGCAAAATATAATATTTCATTGTATCCTTGTGTAAGAAACAGTTGCATAACCATAACCAAAGAAAATGGGTGGTTTTAAAGTCATCCTTGATAAGCCACTGGGCTGCTGCTGGACTCAATCATTTTTTATTCCTATTTGCTAAAGGCATACTTTAAAAATGTCTAGTTTCCAATATTATGGGGAAATTGTATCATATGGCGAAAAAAGGTTGAAGATTATCTTGATTATAAGCATAAAACTAAAATATGAAATTTAAAAGAAGACAGTGGAAACCATCTACAATTTAAGTTCCAATGTTCAATTATTTAAAGCCATAAGATGATTCTCTGGTTTTATATTAATGTTAAGAAAAATATTTTAGGGGAGCGCTGTAAAATGAGGCACTGCATGGACTGGATTAGCACCTTTTATGATTTCTGAGTTCTCTTCCAATGCCAAGATTTGGGGATTATATATAGGAACTTTTTATTTAAGGTAAAGTTGAAATATTTTAATAGCTGGCAAAAATCATATACATGTAAAATATTCTGAATCCTAATATCCCAAAGTGATGCATTTATCTCTACCTATGTCATTCTCTACAATAATTCTTACTTTATCCTGGTGATTGATATTCATAAAGCCTGATATATGGGAATATCACCCTTGAAATAATTAGTATGCATGTAGAAACAAATTTCAGATCACTTCTTCAATGCTGGCATGCAAAAGCCTGTGCTAAAAATAAAATACAGGAAAATAATATAATGTTTTGCAGAAATAACATTTAAGTATTCAAATTGAGCCCTCACTATCTTAAATTGTAGCTATGTGACTTTATCTAATGAAAGAAACTAAATGAATCCATGCTAATGCATTATTGGTATGTGAAGAACAAGAAGAACAAATCACACAAATTTCCCCACTTAATTATTGTGATAGAAATTCATTGTCATATTATTGACCTATTTGATCATGCCCAAGTTAATCATGTCTGAACCTTTCCCAGTGGGAAATAAGCTTGTTCACTTCCTGTCTTGCAAGAAAATCAACTAAAACTCAGTCACATATGCCTATAGCCCGATCACTGCAGCCCACCGTAACCATCATCTCCAACAGGGAAACTGTAGTCTGCAATGAGCCCAGGAGACTCATCACTTCCTGTGTCCTTTTTTTTTTTTTTTTTTTTTTTTTTTTTTTTTTTTTTTTTGCATTCTGCTCAATCATTTGCCACGTTAAGTTAAGCCTGTTTGCCAAAACCCTTCCTGCTTTCTCTTTGCAAGGAGCTGTTTTGAAATACTGAAACAGAGTTTACGTGCAGTAACAGACTAGTAAGCCAGCAACTTTAGTCGCTTATTAAAGTCAAGCATGTGTCTTTGTTTCATGTTGCTAATGATGTGGAACCATAGAGGCCTGAGTATATTTCGCCTGGACGGTGTGGGAGCGAATGCTGAGAGCTCATTACTCGGCTCCCCATTGGAATCCTGCAGGCTTCCGCTCATTGAGGAGACTGTGGGGGCTTTGACAGAATTATTATACTGAATATTTTTAGACTCATTAACTATATCACCAAAGCAAAACATCTCTTCCTCAGATGCAAATGGCTGCAGCTACTGTGGCTTTGCTTTAGTTATTGCAGAAAAAAGGATGAAGCTTGAAAATAACTTAAGAAAAAGACTTCTCATGCCTGAATGTTTGATTTTGCAACTTATATTGGGACTGTTGTGGCTGTTTTACCACATTTGAGCCACTTGTATACAAGTGCTATTTATAAAGATAAACACATTCATTTCTCTATATTAAGCAGTAATCAAAATCTTTTTTAAATTTTCTGTGTGTTCTATAATGCATTTCTGGATGAGGCTTTGACGATTATGCTGTGAGCTGAGGGTTATGATATTCATTCCCAAGACTATAGAGTAACTTTTGGTGCCTGACCTAAATCCAAACTGAGAATGACTATGTAGTTAAAATAATAATTTGGGGGAATAGCTGTTCTCTAATTCAGGAATTGTAACATATGCTGCCTGGCGTGAAAGATGACACACTGTCTTAGATCATTACAATACCTTAACACAGCACTCTGATTTAAGGTTGAAGAGCAAGAAAGGAATTTTAACCTACCTCCAAATTGTCTTGCTCTTGTGGATTTCTGTTCAACTTTAATATTACTTTATTGAGGCTCTTGGTGATTTAATTTAGGCTTAAGCCCTTAAAGAAAAAAATATGCATACCTTAAAATTAATTCTTTAGAGCAAAGGACAGAGAACTACATTTATGGTCCTTTTGGTATGAAAGTTAAGTTGGACCTATAGAGGATTTCAGGTTTCCAAAAATAAATTAAGTTTTGGCACTTTGACAGAGAGTCTTTAATTTCTTCTATATTACTGTTTACAAGCATGCCAAAAATTTGCCACCTAAGGCAGCTAGACTGAGATGTGTTTTCTGGACTTTTAAACATTAATATTTGGTCTGAAATATTTTGTACCTTAATGAAAACATTGTTGTTTGTGCACAAATATTCAGTGCTTTGGAAGAAATACCCTTTGATTTTATTTGTGGTTCATTTCCCACACTACAGTGCTTTGACAATGGTGACAGTGACTTCATACATCAAGAATTTCTCCTGCTTTCCATGACCGCCAGGGAATCTGAGGGGAATACTTTACATCTGAAACATGTTTTCCTTTGGGATTCTACCGTTAGAATAACAGGTCTGATCAGTAGCCCATTATGAAATGGAACTTCCACATGGAAGAGAAAGGAGTGAAGAAAGAAAATACCTAAAAATCAAACATATAATAAAACTACAAAACTGAATTTTATATGCATATTGAATGTATACTATAGCTTTTAGGATGCCATTGTACTCTCATTAGAAATCCCAATACCCTATATTCTTTTACTATCAAGAGCATACAAAACTTTGACGGTGTGAGGTAGGAATTATTTCACTTGGATGATTAGAAGACAATGATAGTGTGGCCAATGTCATAGAATTAATTGTTTTGTGGGAGAGTTCACTTCACCTGGAGTCTCAGAGAGATTACTCAAAATTTCTGTCAATGGTTCTAAAAAAGATCATGAGATAAAGTATACATCAATTCTCATTTTTTGTATTCCTTTCAAATAAGCATTCAAAACATAAATGTTACTATTGATGGATCAGAGACACCATCCTTTATTCAAAGATGTTGCAGATCTGCTTCATGGAAAGCACTCCTTTAGATGTTTGCATTACGATAGTAAATAAAACAGACATTCTTGTTCTAGTGAGGGAGACACATAGCAAACAAGATAAATACAATATATTGTGTATTAAGAAATTAATCTAGAATGGATATAGGAATGTGTGTTGGGGAAGGGATGGAATTCTAGATAGGATGGGAAGAGAAGTATTAGCTGAGAAGGAGTAGTTTTAATAAAAATATGAAGGAATTGAGGAACTAGCAATGTGGATATTTGCGGGAAAGATATTGCAGTAATGCAGAATACACAAAGTCACTAAGATAAAAGCATATCTATAAGAATAAAGGTAACACCGGGCCAGTGTAAAAGAGAGAAAGGGGAAGGTGAGAACAGAGAAATAATGAAGGGATATATTATTTAGAGACCTAAAGACCATTGTCTTTTCCTTAGAGTGAGCTGGAAAACCATTGAGAGCTTTGACATGAGAAGTGACAAAATCCAAATTATGGTTTAATTGGATCACTCTGGAAACTGGGTTTGAAATAGACTGAAAGTGGTCAAAGACAGAGGAAGGGAGGCTATTTTAATAATCCAGATAAGAGATTTTGATGGCTTGGATCAAGATGGTGCCCATGGCAGTAGTGAAAAGTGGTCAAATTCAGGGTATATTTTAAAGATAGCACCAATAGGATCTTCTGATGACCAGATGAAGGGAGTAAGAAAAATAGAGGAGTGAAGAATGATACCAGGATGATTTGCCCACACAACTAAAATGAAGTTGGTCTTAAATGGCAAAAGAAACAAGAGGAGACAGGTTTAGAGAGAAATATCAGGAAATCAGTTTTGAACATGTAATATCTGAGATGGATTTAAGACATTCAGGTGAAGATGTCAGGTAGTTTGTTGATAAACAGGTCTGGAGTTGAGGGAAAGTATCCTTACTGGAGATACTAATTTGCAAGCTTTTCACATATAGATAATGTTGGCAATCATTAGACTAAATGAGGTAATCTCAGGATAGAGAAGAAATCATTGATGACCTTGATAAGAGAATTTTTTTAACAGAATTATATCAATGAAAAAAATCTGATTGGAGTAGATTCCACAGAAAATGAGAGGAGAACCTGTGCAGACATGAGTAGAGACAGCTTATACAACAATTTTGATATAAACATAAGCAGAAAAACAAAGAAACAGGAGAGAGCAAAATGTGGGCATGAGAAGATTTACTTTCCAAAATATTTGTACACGAATACAAATGATTGAGTAGAGAGGAGGAAATGTGTGAAAGGAGAATTAGAGAAGAACTGAGGAATTGCTGAGACACTGTCCCTTGAGCAAATGAGAGGGGATGGAATCGATTGCACAAGTAGAAGGATTGGGCTTTGCTAAAACATACACAGTAACAAGAGAGAGGGTAAACTACACTGACACAGACAAAGATCATTGCTGGAAATTTGTGGACAATGTTTTCTGGTTACTTCAATATTTTTCAGTGAATTAGAAAGCAAGTTCAGTTGGGACCATGAGTGTGGAGGAAAAGTTGTTTGAGATATGCAAACCTGCACTATAATGGAAGGAGTATTGGCTTGGGGATTGAAAACTTGAATCCTGTTACTAATTATTGGTTTGCCCACTTTAGTGTCATTGGACCTCAAGTTGCACAACTGTGAAATAAAACATTCATGCCAATATTCTTAAATTCTGTTTTCGTCCACTGATTCACTTGTAACCAATCATCAGAATGTTTGACATAATGTTACAATCAAAGCTGCTAACATAATTACAAGAAATGAGAAGCCAATACATCACTACCCAGAAGATCAATGAGAAAAGAATTGCAGACATGCAAATGTACTATCACTATTCAAATGTTTACCATTATAGATGCTATTGCACAATGTTCATGTTTTGTTTTCCATTTTCATACATTAGGAAGGACTGAAATTTTCAAAGTAGTTACTGGTGAAAAATTCAGCCCTTGTTAAAACTGTGTAGTCCTATAGCTGATCAGTTGACCTGAATCAGTCATGTCATACCAATCAAGTAAACTGAATGTGTGAATAGGAATATAATAGCCACCAATAGCCTTGATTTGTATGTACTTAGGTGCAGTCTTAAAACTTTTCAATGGCCCAGTAGCTACAACTACCCCTATCTTGTCAGCAATATGAGGACCAATATAATTTGAGTCGTTAGAGGGGAATGACAGGATTCTGTTTCCTTGACTTTGGGTCCCAGTGCTCTTGGGCAGAGGGTTTTAGTGATGACAGTGAGACAAGCTGCAGAACTCAACAATGAATACCTGACCCTTAGCTTGAATTTTCCATTTACAAGATGTCACCTGTTGAAAACAAGATGTTGCCTCTTGAAATCTTGAATCAGCTTTTTAAGTCAAAAAAGTAAATGTTAACTCACATAATCATATGAAAGAAAGTGTATTTGAATGCATATATTGTTTATAGTATATGTTGCAAAGCCTTACCATAGAACCCCCACAACAACTCCTGTTGTTACAACTATAACTTTCTGTGTTGAGATGGGATGATCACAGGCCTTGTTGTTGCGTAGAAAATGATAAAAATCCTTTATAAATTCTGTGAACATAGATTATTCCCACGGCCTCTATGTAGGAAATGCTGCATCTCCTATACCGAAGTAGTTTATAATAGCTTTTAAAATCGTGTTTTAATTAGTTTTCTATTGCTGTGTAACAAATTACTACAAATTTGACAACTTAACATATAATACATTCATTAACTCACAATTTCCACATATCAGATACATAAACAGAGTTGAACAGGGTCCTCTGCTCAGCATCTCACAAGACTGAAATCCAGTTGTCAGCCAGGCTGTGTTCCTTTTTGGAGCTTAGGGTCATCTTCCAAGATGTATTATTGGCATGTATTGTTGGCAGAAATCAGTTTTTCTTGCTGGCTGTCAGTAAGGGACAACTCTCATCTTCTAGAGACCCTCACAATTCTTTGCACTGCAATATCCCTTTCAAAGGGCCTCTCATAACATGGCACTTCAATATTAAAAGGAGACTCCCTTCTTATCTGCAAAGACAGAGTCTTGTATAACCACATAACCTAACATAATCACAGGAATGACCTCCCATCACTTTTTCCATATTCTATTGGCTAGAAGCAAGCCAGAGATTCTGCCCATACTCAAAAAGAAGGGATTCTACAAGGATTTGACTTGTTGGGAATCATCTTGGAACTCTCCCTACCTCAGTGGTACAAGGAGTATTTATTGAGATAATGTATCTACACATACAATACTTGATTTATAAAAAGCACTTGCTAAATGTAAACTGTTATGACTGATATTGTTCATATAAAATTTAAACACTATGCAAATAGTAACTTTAAGTTTAAATTTAGAAAAAAAATTATCAAATTGGGAATCAAAAATTGTTGTCATACATTGCCATCAAACATTTATTAGGCATTTATTTGTACATTCCTCTCCAACTGATTGTGACTGTGTAGGTAAATTAGCTTACATAATGCATTGAAGCATTAGGAATTCTTCCCTCTTAAAATGGTACCTCTTAAGCATTCTGAGTTGTGAAATAAAACCAAAGCAAATTCAATCTTAAATAAGTTATTTTAGACTATTACAAAGGCTAAATGAGTCAACAATTTTATTCTAAAGATCATTTAGTCTAAAAATATGATGTTAATACAGTCAACCAAACGAATGTCACAGATCCTTATGTATGATAACTGATAAATTGTAAATTATCTCATATTGAAAAAGAAATGTGCTTATTTATTTCTCCTTTTTAAACATAACTTTCTAGTAAAGAAAATAGTTAAGTCTTCCATTTAAATTCAAGGGAAAGGCATCAGAATCATTTAGAAAAGTGGCATGTGGCATGTTTACATTTGATATTATGCTTCAGTTCTACTTATTTCAGGTTTTCACTACTGGTAGGAGTTGTATCGTAAAAGATCATTACTTTCTTTGTGTACACAGAGTTAGAACTGTAGAAAAAGAAGCATCTACTTATTTTGAGTTTTTAATTTTTGTGTGTGCATAGTGGATATATATATGTATGGATTACATGAAATAGTCTAACAAAGGCACTCAATGCATAATAATCAGAGTAAATTAGGTATCCATTACCTCAAGCATTTATCCTTTCTTTGTGTCACAAACAATCCAATTATTCTCTATTAGTTATTTTAAAATGTACAAGTTATTGTTGTCTGTTGTCACTCTGTTGCGTTATCAAATACTAGATCTTATTTATTTTATCTAACTATATTTTTATACCCATTAACCATCTCCTATTCCCCATGCCCAATAACCTTCCTAGCCTTTGGTAACCATCATTCTGATCTCTATTTCCATGAGTTCTATTGTTTTTACTTTTTAGTTCCCACAGATAAGTGAGAACATGCAAAGTTTGTATTTATGCCTGGCTTATTTCACTTAACATGATGTCCTCCAGTTTCATCCATGTTGCAAATAACAGGACCTTATTCTTTTTGTGGCTAAATAGTACTCCATTATGTATATGTACTACATTTTCTTTATCCAATCATCTGTTGATAGGCATTTAGGTTGTTTACAAATCATGGTGATTGTGATAGTGCTGCAGTAAACATGAGAGTGCAGATATCTCTTCAATATACTGACTTTCTTTCTTTCGGGTATATATCTAGCAGTAGGATTGTTGGGTCATATGGGAGCTCTATTTTTAGTTTTTTGAACAACCTCCAAACTATTTTCCATAGTGGTTGTACTAATTTACATTCCCACCAACAGTGTGCAGAGGGTCCCTTTTCTCCATATCCTCGCCAGCAGTTGTTATTGCCTGTATTTTGGATAAGAGCCAGTTTAACTGGAGTGAGATGATGTCTCATTGTACTTTTAATGTGCAGTTCTCTGATGATCAGTGATGTTGAGCACCTTTTCATATACCTGTTTGCCATTCATATGCCTTCTTTTGAGACATGCCTATTCAGATCTTTTGCTCATGTTTTAATCTGATAATCAGCTTTGTCCTATAGAGTTGTTTGAGTTCCTTATATATTCTGGTTATTAATCCTTTGTCAGATGGATAGTTTGCAACTATTTTCACCCATCCGATGGGTTGTCTCTTCACTTGATTGTTTCCTTTGCTGTGCAGAAGCTTTTTAACTTTATGCGACCCCATTTGTCCATTTTTGATTTGGTTGCCTATGTGCTTGTGGGGTATCACTCAAGAAATCTTCAGTCCAGTGTCCTGTAGCATTTCCCCAGGTTTCATAGTTTGAGGTCATGGATTTCAGTCTTTAATCCATTCTGATTTGAATTTTGAATGTGGAAAGAGATAAGGGTCTTGTTTCATTCTTCTGCATATAGATAACTGATTTTCCCATCATCATTTATTGAAGTGACTGTCTTCCTCGGTGTATGTTCTTGGCACCTTTGTCAAAAGTGATTTCACTGTAGGTGTGTGAATTTGTTTCTGGATTCTCTATTCTGTTCTATTGGTCTACCTGTCTGCTGTTTAACGTAATTTGAAGTTAGGTAATATGATTTCTCCAGTTTTGTTCTTTTTGCACATGATAGCTCTGACTATTCTGGGTCTCTTCTGTTTCCACATAAAGTTTAGGATTGTTTTTTCTATTTCTGTGAAGATGTCATTCGTATGTTGATAGGGATTTCATAGGATATTTAGGTTGCTATGGGTAGTACAAACATTTTAGTTATATTGATTCTTCCAATCCATGAACATGAAATATTTTTCTATTTTTTTGTGTCCTTTTCAATTTCTTTCATCAATGTTTTATAGTTTTCATTGTAGAGATTTTTCACTTTTTTAGTTAATTACTAGGTATTAAATTGCATTTGCATCTATTGCAAATGGGATTACTTTCTTGATTTCTTTTCTAGATTGTTCACTATTAACATGTAGAAATGCTGTAGATTTTTGTATGTTGATTTTGAGTCCTGCAACTTTGCTGAGTTTGTTCATCAGTTCTACTAGTTTTTGGTGGCGTCTTTAGGTTTTTCCAAATATAAGATTATATTATCTGCAAATGAGAACAATTCACTTCTTCCTTTCTAATTTGAGTGCCCTTTATTTCTTTCTCGTCTCATTGCTCTAGCTAGAACTTCCAGTGCTATGTTGAATAACTATGGTGAAAGAGGGCATCCTTGTCATGTTCCAGATCTTAGAGGAAGGACTCAGTGTTTCCCCATCAGTATGATACTAGCTTTGGATCTATTGCATATGGCTCTTATTATATTGAGGTATGTTCCTACTATGCCCAGTTTTTTGAGGGTTCTTATTATGAAAGGATGTTAAATTTTATCAAATGTTTTTACAGCATCAACTGGAATGATCATGTGGTTTTCATCCTTTATTCTGTTGACATGATGTATCACATTGATTGATTTGCATATGTTGAACCATCCTTATATCCCTGGGATAAATCCCACTTGGTCATGATAAATGATCCTTTTAATATATTGTTGAACTCAGTTTGTTAATATTTTGTTGAGGATTTTCTTCATTAATGTTTGTCAGTGATATTGGTTTGTAGTTTTTCTTTTCTTTTTTTTGGTGCATCTTTGTCAGGTTTTGGTATCAGAGTAATACTGGCCTCATAGAATGAGTTTGAAAGTGTTTCTAACTCCTCTATTTTTCAGAATAGTTTAAGTAGGATTGGTATTAGCTCTTCTTTAAATGTTTGGTAAAATTCAGCAGTGGTGCCATCAGGTCCCAGGCTTTTCTTTGCTGGGAGACTTTTTATTATGGCTTCAATCTCACTATTTGCTTTTGGTCTGTTCAGATTGTGGCTTTCTTCGTGGTTCAATCTTGATAGGTTGTATGTATCTAGGAATTTATCCATTTCTTCTAGGCTTTCCAATTTATTGGCATATGATTGCTCACAGTAGCTGCTAATGACCCTTTGAATTTCTATGGTGTTAGTTGTAATGTCTCCTTTTTCATTTCTGATTTTATTTATTTGGATCTTCTCTCTTTTTTTTCTCAGTTTGGCTAAAGGTTTGTCAATTTTATTTATCTTTTCAAAACACCAACTTTTTTTTTCACTGACCTTCTATATGTTTGATTCATTTCAATTTCATTTATTTCTGCTCTGATCTTTATTATGTCTTCTACTAACTTTGGATTTGGTTTGCTCTTGCTTTTCTAGTTCTTTAAGATGCGTTGTTAGGTTGTTTATTTGAAGTTTTTCTCATGTTTGATGTAGGTTCTTATTGCTATAAACTTTCCTTATAGTACTGCTTTTACCATATCCCATAGGTTTTGGTGTGTTGTATTTCCTTTATTATTTGTTTTAAAAAAATTTTAAATTTTCTTCTTAATTTGTTCATTGACCCACTGGTCATTTAGGAGCATATTGTTTAATTCCATATGTTTGTTTAGTTTCAAAATTCCTCTTATTAATAATTTCTAGTTTTTTTTTTCATTGTGGTCTGGTCAGAGAAGATACTTGGTACAATATCTATTTTTTTGAATTTTTGTAAGACTTGTTTTGTGGCCTCACAATTGGTTTATTCTTGAGAATGATCCATGTGCTGAGGATAAGAATGTGTATTCTGCAGCTGTTAGATGAAATATTCTGTAAATATCTATTAGGTCCATTTGTCCTATAGTGGAAATTACATCTGATATTTTCTTGTTAATTTTCTGTCTGAGACAGCTGCCCAATGCTGAAAGTGGGGTGTTGAAATCTCCAGCTGTTATTATGTTGAGATTTATCTCTTTATTTAGCTCTCATACTATTTGCTTTACATATCTGGATGATCCAGTGCTTGGTGCATATATATTTACAATTATATTCTCTTGCTTAATTGACCTGTTTATCACTATATAATGACCTTCTTTGTCTCTTTTTGTAGTTTTTGCCTGAAATCCATTTTGTCTGATATAAATATAGCTACTACTGTTCTTTTTTGGTTTCCATTTGCATGGAGTATCTTTTTCCATCCCTTTAGTTTCTATGTGTCTTTGCAGGTGAAATGTGTTTCTTGTAGGCAACAGACACTCTATGCTGGGTCTTCTTTTTTTAATCCATTCATACAATCTATGTCTTTTGACTGGAGAGGTTAGTCTGTTTACATTCAATGTTATTATTGATAAGTAAGGACTTAGTCCTCTCATTTTCTTATTTGTTCTCTAGTTGTTTTGTGGTCTTCTCTTCCTCACTTTTCTCCTTCATTCCTGTCTTCCTTTTAGTGAGGGTGATTTTCTCTGGTGGTATGTTTTAATTTTCTGCTTTTTATTTATTTATTTTTCTTTTTTTGAGACAGAGTCTCGCTCTGTCGCCCAGGGTGGAGTGCAGTGGCGTGATCTCGGCTCACTGCAAACTCTGCCTCCCCGGTTCACGCCATTCTCCTGCCTCAGCCTCCCAAGTAGCTGCGACTACAGGCACCCACCACCACATCCGGCTAATTTTTTGTATTTTAGTAGGGGTTTCACTGTGTTAGCTAGGATTGTCTCAATCTCCTGACCTTGTGATCCGCTCGCCTTGGCCTCCCAAAGTGCTGGGATTACAGGCATGAGCCACTGCGCCTGGCCTCTGCTTTTTATTTCTATGTACTTGTATGTTTTTCGATTTGAGGTTATCATGAGGCTTGAAAATACTATCATATAACCCATTATTTTAAATTGATGATAACACAGATTGCATCAACAAACTAATAAGCAAAGAGAAAACTAATAAAAATTCCACTTTAATTTATTTACCCCACCTATTAACTTTTTGTTGTTTCTATTTATATCTTATTATGCTGTCTTGAAAAATTGTCGTAGTTATTATTTTTGATCAGTTCATCTTTTAGTTTATCTACTTAAGAATGAGTACTTTACACACTACAATTACAGTGCCATAATATTCTGTGTTTGTCTCTATACTTACTATTATCAGTAACTTTTGCAACTTCAGATGTTTTCTTATTGCTTATTAATGCCTTTCCTTTCAGATTGAAGTACTTCCTTAGCATTTCTTGTAGGACAGGTCTGGTGGACAAAATCTCTCAGTTTTATTTAGCTAGGAAATTCTTTAATATCTCCTTCATATTTAAAGATATTTTCACTGGATACGCTATTCTAGGATAAAAGCTTCTTTCCTTCAGCAATTTAAATATGTCACCTGGCTTGTAAGTTTTCCGCTGAAAAGTCTGCTGCCAAACATATTGGAGCTCCATTGTATGCTATTTGTTTCCTTTCTCTTGCTGCTTTTAAGATCCTTTCTTTAGCCTTCAAGTTTGATTATTAAATGTCTTGAGGTAGTCTTATTTGGGTTAAATCTGTTTGGTGTTCTATATTCTTCTTGTGCATGAATATTGAAATCTTTCTCTAGGTTTGGGATGTCTTCTGTTATTATCCCTTTAAATCCACTTTCTACCCCATCTCTTTCTCTACCTCCTCTTTAAATCCAATACTTATTTTGTCTTTTTTGAAGCTATTTTCTAGATCTTGTAGGTGTGCTTTATTTTTTTTAATTATTTTTTCTTTTGTCTCCTCTGATTATTTTCAAGTAACCTGTGTTCAAGCTCACTAATTCTTTCTTCTGCTTGATCCTTCTGCTAAGAGACTCTGATGCATTCTTTAGTATATCAGTTGCAATTTTCAACTCCAGAATTTCTCTTGGTTCTTTTTAATTATTTCAATCTCCTTGTTAAATATTTTTGATAGGATTCTGAATTCTTTCTCGATGGTATTTTGAATTTCATTGAGTTTTATCAAAACAGCTATTTTGAATTCCCTGTCTGAAAGGTCACATATTTCTGTCTCCAGGAATGGTCCCTTAGTTCATTTGGTGAGGTCTTATTTTCCTGGATGGCCTTCATTCTTATGGATGTTCTTTGGTACCTAGACATTGCAGAGTTAATTATTTATTTCAACAGTTGCAGTATGGGCTTGTTTGTACCTGTTCTACTTGGGAAGGTTTTCCAAGCATTTGAATGGACTTGGACATTGTGACCTGAGTTTTGGTATCTATAGCCATATCTACATTAGGGATCACCCCAAGCCCAGTAAAATGTGGCTCTTACAGACACATAGAGGTACCACCTTGATGGTCTTGGATAAAATCTAAAAGAATTTTCTCAGTAATTAGGCAGAGACTCTTGTTCTCTTTCCTTACTTTCTCCCAAACAAATGGAGTCTCTCTCTGTGCTGAGCTGCATGGAGCTGGAGGATGGATGACAATAAACACTCCTGTGGCCACCACCACTGGGACCACACTGGGTCAGACCTGAAGCCAGCACAGCACTGGGTTTTGCCTAAGACCTGGAGCAAGCACAACCTGGCTGCAACCTATGTTTGCTCAAAGCCATAGGGCTCTAGAATCAGCAGGTGGCAAAACTAACCAAGCTTGTGTCTTTCCCTTCAGAGCAGTGAGTTCCCCTGGCCCTGAGTGGGTCCAGAGATGCTGTCCAGGAGCCAGAGCCTAAAGTTGGAAACCTTAGGAATCTATCTGGTGCTCTATTCTACTGTGACTGAGCTGGCATGCAAAACACAAGACAAATTCCTTCCCCCTCTTTCCTCCCCTTTTAATAAGCAGATGATTCTCTCCCTTTGGCCACCACTGCACCAGGCTCAAGGCAAGTACTGTCTGGCTACTGCCAGTCTTCACTCAAGGCCCAAGGGCTCTTTGTTCAGCTTGTGGTGAATGCTGCCAGGCCTGTGGCTCTCACTTCAGGGCTGTGGTCTCCCCTGTGGTCCAGGGAAGATCCAGAAATGCCATCCAAGTGCCACAGCCTGGAATTGGGAACCCCAGTTGTCCACTTACTTGTCTACTCTACTGTGGCCAAGATGCTACCTAAGCTGTGAGACAAAGTCCCTTTTCCTCTTCCCTCTCCTTTTCTCAAGCAGAAGGAGCCTCTTTCCGTAGCCACCACAGCTGGAAATATGTTGACACCTGATGTCATCTTATCTCTAAATTTCACCCAAGGCCTGGGTATCTCACCAACACTGCCTGGGTATGACCGCTCATTATTCAGGGCCCACATGCTCTTTGGTCAGCAGGTGCTGAATCCTGCCAGGATGAGGTCCTTCCCTTCAAGGCAACGGTTCCTTTCTGGCCCAGGCTGTGTCTAGAATTATCATCTGTGAGCTAGTCTGGAATAGGAGCCTCTGGAATCTGGTGGATGCTGTATCCTACTGTAGATTAGCTAGTATCCAAGTTGCAAGACAATGTCTTCTTTACTCCTTCCTCTTCTGTCTTCAAGCAGATGGAAGGAGCCTCTCCTGGAGCTGCAAGTTATGCTGCCTAGGGTTGGGGGAAGGGTGGTGTAAACACTCTCTTGACTGCTCCAGCTGGTGTCCCTATAGATTGCATGTCCCTCAGGTCCATTATCTCTGAGCCGAGCACAGCACCAGGAGTTGCTCAAGAATTACAGTCCTCATGGCCTAGACTGCCTTTTGAGTTTATTTAGGATCCCATAGCACATTAGACCACAGTGGCGAGGCTTGCTGGAACTCGGGGGTTCTGATTGCTGAGATAAATGATTCCCCTCTGGCTAGGGCTGGTCTAAATGCTCCCTCCATGAGTGTCCACTGAGTTCTTTCCCAGTATTGCATTCCTCTGCAATAGGGCAGCACTGACTTCCAACGCAAAGTCCCACAATCACTCTGCCTCCTCCAAGCACACAGATTATCTCTCTTCACCACATGGCTGCTGCCAGAGGATAGTGGAGGGGTGGTGTCAGTGATTCAACACTGTCTTTCCAACTATCTTCGGTGCCTTTTTCTGTGCTATGAAATTAAAACCAGGTACTGTGATTGCTCACCTGATTTGTGGTTCTTATGAAGGTACATTTTGTGTGGATAGTTGTTCAATTTGATGCTCCTGTCGGGAGGACAATCAGTGAGGGTTTCTATTAGGACATCTTGCTCTGCCTTTCCACCTATTTATTTTGGATAGTATAAAAATGAATAAAATGGTTGATTTTTTTTTCTCATATCAAAATGAATTATTGCTAATGAAACAAGACAACTATATTGGCCTTCCTTAGATACCTGCTGTTTTGGTCAGGATTCTCCAGAGAAGCAGAGCCAATAAAAAAACATAGATATATAAATAGTCAGACAGATAGATAGACGAATAGATAGATAATATATAATATGTATGATATACATATATAGTCTTTATATATACATACACAGGTATGTATATATACTACACTCTTTACACACACACACACATACACTTTATGTATATTATAAAGAGAGAACAAGAGAGAGATTTTATTTTAAGGAATTGGGTCACATAAAATTCTGAGGCTGGCAAATCCAAAATCTTCAGGGTAGGCTGACAGGCTGAACATCCAATGAAAACTTGCAGCTTGACCCTGAAAGCTATCTGCTGGCAGAATTCCCTCCCTTTCATAGTGGTTGGTGGAGAACATCAGTCTTTTCATCTTAAGGCATTCAATTGATTGGATGAGGCCCAACCACATTAGGGAGGACAATCCATTTTATGCAATGTTCACTAATTTAAATGTTAATCCCAATCTAATAAACAATCTCCTCAGAAACAAATAAATTAGCCTTTTAACTAAATATTTGGGTACCATGGTGTAGCCAAGTTGACATACAAAATTAACTATCATACCTGTCTTCACTGCCCCATCCTACCCCCACACACAGAGTACAAATAGTACTAGGGTTATTTAATCCATTGAAAAAATTTTACATGAATTCCCAGGGATGATAACTTAAATTCAAAACGAAAGAGAGAAGTTTTGGATTATGATTTGAAGTCTTTGTAAATTGGTATGAGGGGGAGGGTGAGCTGTGTAATTTAATTTTTTATTTTATTTTTCTTTGTTATTAATAGAATTGGTTATTCTATAACTTTACTTAACATTTGTGCTAATTCATCTATAATGCATTTCTGCCATTCATTCATTTATTTCTGTTGAGGTATTCTTTTTTCTTATTGATTTATATGATCTCTTTATAATACATGTGTCACTTTTTTGCTTCAAATATTTTCTACATTCAATTTTTTATACTACATTTTAAATTTTGCTTGCAGTCAAGTGCATCCAGATTTTTTAAAAATTATTTATTCTGTTATTTTGTGCTTAGAAAATACTTGCCTATACCAGAATCAATTAAAAATCCATCTGGATTTTCTGTTTCCTATGGCTTAATTGTTTGTATTCAACTCTTTAAATCATATTTTAACAGTTTGAAATTATATTATAGATGCAGTTTTACATTCTACTTTATTCATTTAATATTATATATGGAGCATTTTCCTATAAAATAAAATTTTATTTACTGTATAATATAAGCTGAGGATATAATTTATAGTTTTCCAAATTTCTAGTTTTCTCAACATTGTTGACTTGTTGACTTTCTTTAACCTAGCTTAAGTTCTTGCATACTATTCCTAACTCAATGATATTAAGGTTACTTAATATTTCTCTCATTAAGCATTTTTTGTACATTATAAAGTCTTTGTATATAATGTAGGGATATTAATAATACCAAAATCAGGTTTGTTGAGAAGATTACACTGGGGACTTTATACATATTTCAGTAAAGTTTTGTAACTTTATTACTACAGATTTTATAGTGGGTTTTCTTGCTGTTGTTTTTAATGCTGTTCTCAGGATTTTATATTTCTAATATTGTGTGGTTGTCATGTTGTTCTTATGACTGGGAATTTTTTTTCTATTATATTTTTACTTAAACCATAAAGGAAAGCTCACTTTTTGAAAATTCATTCATTCCGTATCTGACATTGTAGCTGAATTTTATTTTTATATTTGACTTTGCACTTTATTTTCATGAGTCACTTAGGGGTGTGTGTGTGTGTCTTAATATATATATGTAAATATAGAGAGAGACATAGATATAGATATAGATATAGATATAGATATAGATATAGATAAAATTGTAGGATCAGAAAGATTTACAAGCATCCTGACTCCAGATTACAGAGTTTTCTCTAATATATTCTCCTATAGCATCTTTCTTTAAACATTTTTATGCTTTTCTAATTTGTCAGCAATTAATCTTATTGCTTTGATAATATAGTTGACTTATAAATTCCCAATTATGTAATGTACCATGCTTTTGTAGAATGGCGCAAGTCTAATAGTACCTTCTCAGTTTATGTTTTTTGGTTTTCTTTGAAGTGAAATAGCAGTTTATATTCTTTAGAAGGAATATGGCAAAAAGCATTCATTAATTCAACTAATATTTTTATGTTAGAAATAGAGGCAGCTTAGCCATTTTATAGGGTACCACAATACACAGTTGTTTATTTTGTATACATCTGGTTTTCATTTAGGCCTCTATTATACTTGGCTTTAATAAATCTGATGTAAATTAGTTGGTGAAATACTATTTCATGTTGTGATTTTATTTCCTTGAGTATCTTTTTACCAAAAAATACTAGAAAGAAAACTATATTGATTTAATAAAAAATTATATTTTTAAATTGCTCTTTGAGGAATCACATCCAGGACTAAACAACCACTCCATAAACTTAAATAACAATTGCTTTTCTGTAAAAAGAAGAAAGCCATTAAGAGATTCAACTTCTACTACATTGTTAAACCCTGATTCTTACTTGCAGAGTTGTTTTAATTATGTGCCATAAGTTCCTCCTCCCATTGATAAGCGATCGCATTTATTTGAGTTGCAGTACTATATGTAGATTAATAAAATACTGTTTCCAGGGACTGAGCCCATGTAATTCCATTACACAATGGCTGATCCAGTGCAACACCTATGAAAAGGAGTGCAGGGTCATTGCCAGCTTTCCTCTCAACTTGGCATAACTGAGCTGCTATCATCAAAATGACAAACAAAATACTATTTTCAAATGAGCCATTAAACAGAAAACTGTTTCCTATTGGTATGAAACCATGATTTAGTCACCTTAGAAATACTGCTGATATTCTAATCACTAAAACTAAAAGTCTGCTCTTATTCTTATTTTTATCCCTTTCACACCTGTGGCAGACATGGATAATCATCATTGAATTCTCTTTTGCTTGGTACAAGCTAATCCTCCAGCCTTCTAAACACAATGCTCCAGATGGCCATAATTAATTAATTAAAATTGGCACTTGAGACAAAACCTATTTGCCTAGTTGCTAACTCATAATTTCTATTGACCGCAGCAATAAACTTGGTGATTATTGTAGGTTAATTTTAGTCTTGGAGGCTTTTCTGTTCAATTTTGTATAAATGAAGTACTGTGTGTCAACTTCTATTTTCCCTTTGAATTTCATTACTTAAAACTGGTACTGGAAACAGGGTATCTTCATTTCAAAGGCAAAGTGGAATTTAGACTTAATAATATAGGTCCAGATTTGTACACTGTTTGCCCAGAGAAGGAGATTAAAAAAGAGTTAAAATTATTTTACAGGTGATGAAAATTTGCAGGATGAAATTCTTATTCTTTAAAGTTTTTGGTGTTTTGACTTTTGTCTCTGCATTATCCCAGTTTTCTTTCTACATCTCTAACCAACTTTACATCTTGTGAAATATGCACTTATGTTTCTGAAATAGTTCAGTAACATAAGTTAAAGAACTAAAATCAAGTAATGGCAGTAAGTTTGGAGAAAAAGAATGGAATACAAGCATTCAGGAGTTAGAAAAGAGATTTAGTAACCAATTGGAGGGGGATGCTGAGGAAAGGAAAGATTCATGGGTAACTCTGAGGCTATCCTGGGTCAGAGTGAGGCAGGCTTTTTTAGAGATAATATTAGGACTCTGTAAGATCATGGAGGAGGAAGCATTTTCTTTCTGCTTGGGGTGGGGTGATGCCTCAGGAAAGGCTTCTCTATATAGTAGTAATCTCTGTTGCAACACAGGACTGTGTTGTACAGAATTAACCTGTGGTGTTGGTTCAATAGGCATAATAGCTAATAAAATTTTACAGTGTAAGATTTGTTGTAATTGAAGTGAAAGGAAACCAGCTTTCTTGACACTCATTAAAGGCCCTATATTTATTAATTAAGTCATTCAAATAATATTTGTTGAGGACTTTTTATGCACCTAACCCTGAATCAGGTGCAGGGGACACAAAGATGAACATCACATTGACCCTGCCCTCAAGGACTTAATGATCCAGCAGAGAAAGCACATATACAACCAACTACAATACACCTGAAATAAACTAATCCCTATCTGTGCATGATAAAAGATCACATTCAAGGTGATGCTGGGCAGGTGAGCCCCAAAACTGGGGCTTGGCCCAAGAGGGTTCTTGGCTTTGCCCAGGAAAGAATTTAATGGTGAGCCAGTGGTGTTAGACAGCAACATTTATTGAAGTGGCAGTGTACAGGAGCAGCAGAGGTACTGCACTTGCCCAGGGCATCAGCTCAGGGCAGTTTTGCAATCTTATTTGTACTTATTTTTAATTATATGCAGATTAAGGGACAATTGGGTTGTCGGGTCATTGCCATAGTAAGGGTGGTAATTTTTGGATGTTGTCATGATGGTAATAAACTGCCTTGGCACTCTGATGGGCACGTCTTATGGAAAGCTGCTTCCACCCTGTCCCTGTTTTAGCCAGTCCTTAATTTGGTCTGATGTTTGAGGTCTGAGCTCCCACCTTCAGAGTCAAGTACTGCTTCCTACCTCAGAAGAACAAAATCCTTAATTTTTTTTTTCTTCAGACAGAGTTTCATTCTGTTGCCCAGGCTGGAGTGCAGTGGTATGATCTCAGCTCACTGCAACCTCTGCCTCCCGGGTTCAAGCAATTCTCCTGACTCAGCCTCGAGAGTAGCTGGGATTACAGGTTTGCGCCACCACGCCCTGCTAATTTTTGTATTTTTAGCAGAGACGGGGCTTCACCATGTTGGCCAGGCTGGTCTCGAACTCCTGACCTCAGGTGAGGTGCCCTCCTTGGCCTCCCAAAGTGCTGGGATTACAGGTGTGAGCAACGGTGCCTGGCCCCAACATCCTTGAGTTTAATTAAAGGAAATATAATATTATCTTGGTCCATCTAATTTACGTTTTTAATTATATTTTTTAGGTGTCAAATAACAACTGTATATATTTATGGGGTAAAATGCAATACTTTGATGTATGTGTACATTGTAGAAAGATTCAGTCAAGCTAATTAAAATATCCATATCCATTGCCTCACCAACTTATCACTTTTTTGCGTAGGGTGATCATGCTTAAAATCTATTTCTTTAGCAATTTTGAAATATATAACACATTAACTGTGGTCACCATGCTGTGCAATAGTAAATATTTCTGCTTTATTCCTCAGAAGTCTCCTCATTATTTTACAGTTTCTATATACCTTTTCTCTTCCATTTTCTGTAAGTCTTCAAAATTCCCTCAGTTGCCACCTTGTCACTTTTTTTTACTTACTTTCAAAGCATCTTTTAAACACCCATGAGCCATAATTTAGGAATGACTGACCACATATAGTTTTGTGTATCATCCTCCTTGTTTTAAATTTAATATTCCAATTTAAAATTTGATCCAAAATGTGTATTTAGAAAAATTCAGAAAGTTTATCCCATTTTATAATGTATTTTAGAAACAGCAAAATCTTAGAGATTTGATAATCCCACATATCATGTAATGAGCAGAACAAGCTGTCAAAAGAACAAAGAATGGACTAGGTCTCCAAAAGCTCATTTACAGAAAATGAAAAGGATAAAAAAAATGCATTTGATTTGACAAGTTGTTACAGCGCTTATACTAACATGACAGAAAATATAATAAAATTGGTTCAACTATTACACTTTCATTTATTCCAAGGACTATGACCAAGTTTCTACATGTTGACTTACAGCTTATGTACCCACTTTTGAGGTGTGATTTGGGAAGACCTAAAAGTTCCCATTATTTCTGTACTTTATACCACAAACACAACACACTATCTAAAATTTCTATCATTAGATATAATCCCTTAGGTAAAGCAATGGGCAGATGTCCTTTTTAAATGCCTGGGGTAATTAACACAGAATTCTTCAGGAGCATTAAAATATGAAATAGAAATTCTTTATTTAGACTAGCTCATGCAGGGATGTGCCTGGAGGTGGAAACTCAAGATAAAGGGTGAAACAGAGAAAGTTTTGTTGGGACTGGGTATCAGAATACACCTCTGCATAAGCCTGAAGGAACAAACTGGGGACCAGCCCGAGACAGCATGGAGACATGAGGGGCTGGTGCAACTGTAGTGGGACATTTGGAAGAGGGGTGCAACATTTATTAAAGAAAGTAAAGAGCACAAATGTTAAAAATTTGCTTATTTACCATTTTGAAATAAAACTACCTTCTAGCTTACATGAAATCACCTCCTCCTATCTTGACACTACCACCATTTTCTCTTGTTAAGTCTGCGCCTCCACAGACTTTTTTATCTTTCATGGCTCAAATCACAGTTCATAATTGAATACTTGCTTGAATCCTTACTGGTGAAGTCCAGTTTCCCCCACAGGTTGTAAATGTCATTAGGCATAGTTATCCTGGCCCCTTATTTTCATTAGTGTGCATTTGACACCCTAAAAATTTATGTACACAATACCTAAATTTAACTGTTTAATTTGCCCGGCAAACATTTATCAAGTGCAATGATTAAAAGGATAGGATATGAAGTCAGACAGTCATGAATTTGAATACCGGCTTTACCACTATGTAGTATATTATTTGTTCTTGCTACTAAGAATCTTTTTTCCAGTCTGTAAAATGATAATAGCCCCCATTTTATGTAGAAGTAACTAAGATATTGAATGTAAAATATTTTGCACCATGCCTGGCATATAGCAAATGCTCATTAAATAATAATAAATATAAAATTATTATAATAATTTTTATTTAAAGCAGATAACTACTCATAATATAATTGATATAAAAGAGTATCTCACTGTGTTATTAACTTTCATTTTCCTAATTACTTGTAAGCCATTTGTGTTTTCTCTTGTGAAAAAAAAATCTTTTGCTCATTTTGCTATTGGGCTTTATGACTTTTCTTTTCTTTTTCATATTGGTATCAGTCATCCCTAAGATCTATACATAAATCCTGGACGCTAATATTTTGTTGATTATATATGTAGCAAATATCTCCTCCCAGTTATGGCTTCCCTTTTTCATTTTCATGGTGTTTTGGATGAACAAAGTTTTGATGAAATACAATTCAAAAATCTTTTTCTGTATGTATTTGAAGACATTTTCTTTTAATTTCTTCTGAGATTTTAAAAATTTGACTTGAACTTTTAAGTTTTTAATACATATGGAATTTAGTTTTACATATACTGTGAAGACTTGATGAATTTTTTTCACATTCAGAATCAATTGTCAAAATAATTAGTTTATCCATTCCTTATTGATTTGCAATGCCAACTCTTTATAACTTTAGGTTTAATATTTATGTGAACTTCTGGGCTCTCTACTTTGTTCTATTGATTACTACGTCTATTCTTATACCAAAACATACTGTTTTAAATACTGTCTTTGCAACAAATTTGATATATCGCAGGGCAAATGTCTCCGACTTGATTTCCTTATACAGTGTTTTGACTAACTTTTGCTACTTGTTCCTAAAATTTAATTTTATAATCATTTTTCCTAAGTTCCCTAAAGTGCACTGTTGATGAGAATTGCCTAGCTGTAGATTAATTTGTGAAAAATTGACATTATGACATTGATTCTTCATAGGCATGGCCATGGTTCCTTACATATTTAGTTAGATCTCATTCAGTATATTTAAAGAAGTCTTCCAATTTTCTCTGTATATATCCTACTCAACTCTTTAACAATAGTTCTTTCAAATTATCTTATAATTTGATGCTTTGTAAAAAAGTTTTTTACAGCTGCGAACAATGTATTTCCAGTGAATAAAATTATAATTGATTTCTAAATATCAATCTTACATGCAGCCTTTGTCAAAAGTTTCTCATTATTTCTTGTAACTTAACAGTAAATTATCTTGTATTATCTATATGAATAATCAATGGCAGGTTCTTTACTTTGACATATATGTATTTTTTTCTATATGTGAGTTTTTTCCTTATCTCACTACATTGCTCAGGCCCTCCCATATAATGTTGTATAACTACAGCTCACTGGCCAAATCTGGGCTGCCACTTGCTTTGTTACTGCTCATGAGCTAAAAATGGTTTTTATATTATTAAATGGTTTGGAAAATATCAAAGGAAGGAAATATTTGACACATGAAAATATATGACATGCAAATTCCATAATTAAAGTTTTATTGTAATACAGCCCAGTCATTTGTTTACATCTCTTCTATGACTGCTTTCAAGCTAAATCAATAAAGTTGAGTAGCTGCCACAGGTGGTTTGGCACACAAAGATTAAATATTTAGTATCTAGCTCTTTCCAGAAAAAAATGTTGCCAACCTGTGTATACAGAAACAAGATACTGATTGTTATTATCACATAAATGAGTCTTGAATTTTTTCAAATGCATCTTCTCCATCCAATAAGATGATCATATGGTTTCTCTCCTTTTCGGGGATTAATGTGGTGGGTAAAATGTATGTTTAGATTTCTTTTAAGTCTTGCGTTCCTAGAATAAATATCACCTGGCCATGATTAATTATGGTTTTATACATTGCTATGTTCATTTTACAAATACTTGCCACATATATTTTGCACATAAGTTTATAAGTAGAATTAAATTATACTTTTTGGTTTTTTTACTGCATTTATTGGATATTAGTTTTCATGTTTTGCTTGACTTCTAGAATAATTTGGGAAATATTCTCTCTTTTTCTATTTTCTGAAAGAGTTGGCATACAATTGGAAGAAACTGTGTCTTTAAAACTTGGAAAAATTATCCTATAAAACTTTCAGAGCCAAGTGTTTTCTGTATGAGGGCAATTTTAAACTACTAATACAATTTCTTTAGTAATTGTAAGAATATGTAGCTTTCTATTTTACAAGTCAGTTTAAGTTCTGTTTATTAGGACTTTGTCTATTTCATTTCATTTTAAATTTACTACATAAAATTACTCATAGTATTATCTTAACAATTTTAATTTCTACTATGTTTATCAATTTTTCTTTTGTTCAAATATTATTAATTTTTTACTTTATTTCTATTTCATTGTGTTAATCCTTGTGGAAGTTTGCATAGTTTATTGGTCTTTCCTAAGAACTCTGTGAATTTCCTCTATCATATATATATGGTTTCCATTTTATTACTCTTTTCCTACATTTTTGATTAGTTTATTCTGTTCTTTATATATTTTTTTAAATTTGGATGAAAAGCTCTTAATCTACATTTTGTCTTTTCTAATATAAGCATAAAAGACTATAAACCCCCTTAAGTATCATCTGTTTGCATCCTATGTGTTTGAAATTTATTTATTTAGCAATCAGTATTAAAGAATTAACTATTTATTTATTTATTTATTGTTGAGATGGAGTCTTACTCCGTAGCCCAGGCTGGCATGCAGTGGCACGATCTCGGCTCGCTGCAACCTCCGCCTCCTGGGTTCAAGCGATTCTCCTGCCTCAGCCTCCCGAGTATCTGGGACCACAGGCATACGCGACCACGCCCGAATAATTTTTGTATTTATAACAGGGACGGGGTTTCACCGTGTTGGCCAGGCTGGTCTTGAACCCCTGACCTCAGTCAGATGATCCACCTGCCTCAGTCTCCCAAAGTGCTAGGATTACAGGCGTGAGCCACCGCGTCAGCCAACAACTTTTTATGATTAATTTTGATAAATTTATTATTATTATTATTATTATTATTATTATTATTATTATTTTGAGACGGATTTTCACTCTTGTTGCCCAGGCTGGAGTGTAATGGCACAATCTCCGCTCACTGCAACCTCTGCCTCCCAGGTTCAAGCGATTCTCCTGCCTCAGTCTCCCAAGTAGCTGGGATTGCAGGCGTCTGCCACCACGCAGTAGAGACAGGGTTTCACTATGTTGTCCAGGCTGGTCTCAAACTCTTGGCCTCAGGCGATCCACCTGCCTCGGCCTCCCAAAGTGCTGGGATTACAGGCGTGAGCCACTGCACCCAGCCAAATGTATTATTTTTAACTTTACTCATAAATGTCTAAGGAGATATAGACATTTTTGTTTTGTTTGTTTTGCTTTCTGACTTCTAATTTAGTTGTTTTGTTGTCAGGAACATGGTTTATATCATGTCAGTTCATTGTAATAAAAGGCTTGCTTTATGATCTCATAAGATTTTATACAGTTTATGTTTTAATGTATATAAGTTACAAGTTTTAATGTTTCCGTATGCTTAAGAAGATGGTGTAATTTATAATTTGGGACATGTGCATGTATATCTGTATGTACACATATATATGCATATATACATATATATGCTAGATCAAGTTTATTAAGCCTGTCAATCATCACCATTATTTTAATTTTTGATTTGCCAAAATTGATGTGTTGATATCTATAGACCTAGATATATATATATGGATATGAGTAATCTCTATCTAAGAACACTATTTGTCTTAAGGTCTCTTTTGCCTACTATACTCAATGTTTCATTGTGCTAGTATATGCCTGTAATCAATAATTTTTTTTATTATTTAGTTTCTATCTTGACTATCTTTTAGTTTTTAATGTGTTTCATGTAAACTATATGTAAGCATCATTTTCTAAATCTAATCTTCTGCCTGTCCTAACTGAAAAATGTAATCCATATATGGTTATTGTAATCAATTATATTTTTTACCTCTTTCTAGTATCTCTTTGTTTTTTAATTGTTATATTTTTTTCTACTGCTTCCTTTTTCTCTCTACCTGCCTTTTTAGTTGATTGAAGACTTTTGTTTATTTTTTCTTATTCTATTTTTTCTCCTCCTTTTCTTGAAGGCCAAACCACTATATCTAACCTTTTATTTGAAATTTTATTTTTATTATACTTTAAATAGACCATGCATATTTAATTTAAAATATACTTGATATTTTATTTATTACAGCACATATTTTAACTATCATGCAATATACTGAGTTAGAGAATTTTAATTCAGACTTCTGAACTTCAGACATACATAATATTGTTATAAAACATTTTAGTTTCCATGATTCTTTTATACTCTTTAATTAGGTATTATAATTTTATTAGCATTGCTATTAATATTTCATACAGGGAATGTTTGTTTGACTTTACATATTTACCTGTTTTGTTGTTATTCACCATTCCTTCTTGCAACTCAGAGCCTCTCCATGAAATCATTTTCCTTTTTTCTGAATTACATCCTTTCTAGAAGGTTCAATAGAAATAAACTCTCAGTTTCAGTTTATCTAAAATATCTCTTTATTACCCTTGTTCTGAAATAATACTCTTCCTGGTAGTTTTTGTTTGTTCCTGCGAATCTCATTGTTTCTACTATGTATTAATATATTCAGTTGACTAGAAGTTAATAGATCTTCATCTCTATAAAACTTGTGTCCCAGTTTAAGATTGCTTTTTTCCAGAGACAATTTGCACTAGTTTCTTCTGCAAGCCAAGGGGAAAACAAAAACTTAGGAGTCCTCAGCTCTACTCTAGGCTTAGAGAGTATACATGCAGAGATCATTCACTTACCTGGAATTGGTGGCTACTCACTATTCAAGTTTCACTCATGGTTCTCCAGATTCTCTCATGGGAATTTCTTATGTGTTCTAAACCCATCAATGCAATAAAAATATTTGTATAAAGAATTGATTTTGTTTTAAAATTAAAGCACTCTTCAGAGTGTCTAGTGAACTCTTTTTTTCATAATTTTTCATTACATTTTGCCTATTCTCAAAATACATGGAATAAATTAACTAGGCCAAAAAACTCAAAACCCTGTCTAAAATGTTGTATCTCTATGTTAGAAACAGTGCAAAAACAAAAATATCTTTCTATATTAAGAATGAGTATTTTATATTGAATCCAGTTTGGTAGAACTATACTTGTTCCTTGCATGATTGGTAGAACTATACTTGTTCCTTGCATGAGACAATCAAGGTTCAAATGACACTAAGTCACATAGCCCAGTAATACCTAGATCTGCTTAGGTTTTCAAATATCCAGTGATCCTTCCTTCTACTGCTACCATAATAAATTTCCAGAGTGTGGTAGAACATCTGTAGTTTCCTTAATATGAGTCAATAGTATTCCATTTATATTAATCATTGCTATTTATATTCTTTTTAGATTCTTTGAGTATCTTCAATTTAGTTCACAATGTTTTCTGAAAGAATGGTATTAGTAACTAATGTAGAAAAAGCATTGTTTTATTATAAATATATTCGATAATATTTGTCATAACCTGGATTTAATTATATATACCAGTGCAAGCCAGCAAATGAGTTTATAAATTTTGGGCATCTGTGACAATTTGCACTACTTTTCAGATTTTCTTCTTACTCTTGCCATTCTTCTAGTGCTAGAACAATTCTAGATCACTAACAAGAAGCTAAGACAATAATAGGGTCAGAGTTTTGCATTCTAAATGAAGCTTATACTTTCTGACCCATGATTTTTATAGCTGTAGACTAGTTTCCACACTTAGGCTGTCCCGCATTGCATGATTGTGTGGCGTATTTTATTTACATTTGCAGTTGAATTTTTGCAAATTGTTTAAAACAAATAACTTCATAAGCATTTATGTTTACTTGTGTGTAAAAGAAATAAAAATGCTGGGGGTATTTATAATGAAATTTAATGTTTTAAAAGTAAAAATATACTATATTTCTTCTTGAAATTTTGAAATAAACCAATGAGCTCTATAATTAATCTTTTTCGAATAATGTTTTTATTGTGAATTAATTTTAGGTAAATGTAATTTTTAAAGCATTTTCTTGATTTTTTGCATTAAAATAAGTGGGTCTCAGAAGACTATAAAGATATACTGTGGATAATCATCAGAGAAAATTGCTCAACCACAGCTCATAAATGAAAACCGAAAGTGCCAACTTAGACCATTTATTTGGCCACATTTTAAAATCAAGGTACTTAATTACTTTTGGGCAAAAGACTGACAAGCAGGCAAGGAAGTGTATGCTTCAAAAATATGTTCATCTCTATGTTTGACAGTGTAATCTTTCATATTTAGCTGTCATGTAATTCTATCTTCAACCATTTTTGAACAATTATTCATTTGAGAAAAGTTAGATTTTTATTGTGAGGGTAATTTTATTTTATAATTTTGTTTTATTATTGGTTTAACAATTTTTTCAATCACAAGGAACAATAATTTTAGAATTAATCATATACGTTCATTCATTTATTTCTTATTGAACTGTTCATGGGATTTCAGTGTGAATTTTAGCAACTTAAGCAAAATATATAAACTACTGTCTTTACACATTTTTATCAAAATCTACCAGAATGCAGTAATTTTATTTCAGAACCAAATTATCAAACTAAGAAGGTTTTAAGTTTTGCAGGTTGTTACTACTATTAAATGTGAAAAAAGATGAATTATTATCTGTTATATGTAATAGTGTGTATTATCATTATAAAGTATACAAAGAAATACATTTGCATATTCATATAAAAGGATAGACTTGATTTTTAACTATTCAGTACAAAAATTAATAGTGTCTGTGTAGATCAGCTTTCTCTCTGTCATACCATGGTTTTATATATTAGCAGAGATCCAAATGCAGAATTATCGAATATATTATTTTTATATAATTAGAGTAATTAAATAATTCTTCTTTAATTTTCTTAAATGCCAGCACCAAAATTGGGAGTGCACGTGGGTCTTATTTTTCTTAAGTACATCTAAGCAGTTAATAAAAGCTATTTCCAGAAATGAGCTATGTGATCTTTAACACTAGTCTGTGAAATGGATTTGGTAATAAAGAAATATCTCATTACTTTTGATATTTGTATATTGTACATGTATAGCTTTGTAACTGAGTACTATAAATAGCTCAGTATTAACTGGATTTTTTATATCTGTCATTCCTGCCTTGCCAAAAATCTGTGGAGTAGTTTATAATTGCTATTGTTTGGGTTATTACAATAAACAGAACTGATAAGGCTTATGCTATTTGCCTTGTGAGCTGCACTTCACATCACTCTGTTGAATTAAAATTGCATGCACATACCTTCACTTATCAGTTTTATCTATCTGTCAGAAATTGAGAAACGCAGTGTGCTTTCAGTATGTGAAAACTTACAACAAGCAGATTGAAATTGTAACCATTATTTGAATATTCTAGTGCAAATAAATGAATGTATTTGTGCTATTATCTATCTACCTTCTTTCTATCTAAAATAAATTCCTATAGGAAAAGCTCATTATTTTTTCCAGATGGCCTTTATCGTATTTTGTCAAAGCTTTAAATATGATTTTAATTAGATTACCTAAGGTGCAAATGCAAATCTACAGGATACAGCATTTTTTTCTCTTCTTTGTCAAATGTGAATAAATCTTAGAGCTGCTTCTACAGTTGTACTATTTGTTTGACTGTGTTTGTAGATAGGAAATACGGACTTCTGAAATGGCTTCATTTGTAATATTTGTAATATTTCTATTCTTAGGTTGCAGGCTTCTTACCTAAGAAACTTCCAAACTCTCTGCCAATTATATCAGATGAACTCTCAAATTTTCAGGTACCTGTGATGAATTAATCCATGCATACACGTGCATCTTTCAGAAATACTGTAACCTCTAACAAGTGTCACACATTGTCACCACCATGTACCTACTCCCAATTCCCACTCCAGTGTACTGAGAAGTGGTTTTTTTTTTTTTAGATTTTATTTTTTAGAGGAGTTTTGGGGCTTACAGCAAAATGGAGTGGAAGGTACAGAGAGTTTCTGAATACCCCCTTTCCACATACATGCATAGCCTCCTCCATTATCAACAACCCATGCCAGCTGGTACATTTGTTACAACTGATGAACCTATATTGACACATCATCATCACTCCAAGTTCATACTTTAGGGTTCACTCTTGGTGTTGTACATTCTATGGGTTTGGACAAACGTATAATGGCATGTATCTGCCATTGTGGTATCATACAAAATATTTTCACCGCCCTAAAAACCCTGTGTGCTCTGCTAATTTATCCTGGGAGGTAATTTTTACTTCAAAAATTTGGAATTGTTCCACACTTTTCATACTTGTCCTACATGTTGTATTGATAAAGATTGTTTATTGCAGCGATTCTGTTAATTTTCTGTTTGGATTCTGTATCTAATGGGTTTTCATGTTGCATGTGGAGAAATTCTATGTTCTTTTCAACTACCAGTTGAAACTGGATCTGTATAAATTCCAGTTTTTATAAAGATGTTTTTCATCCAAAAAAGTATAAATAAGGTATTTTCAAAAATCCCTTTCACAGATTTGAATCCAGCAGTTGTATGTTTTCACAAATCCAGAATGAACAAATTATTATTCATAGACAAAGAACTGTGAGTGCTGTTCATGCACTGTCTACCCTGCCAGTTACTATCATCTTTGTATTCTAAAGGACTTTTTGTTTTCAGTATTGACTGGTCTTTGTTTCCTGGCAAAACAATTTATAGTTCATTTTCAGATAACTATACATATGGTATTTGTATTTTAATTAAAAAGACTGTTGTGATGTCTGATTCTTATAAGGAGAAATTCATTATAAGGACACTTCTCATTTCCTTGAAACGTTCCCTTTCTTTTTTTCCAGGGTTCTTAAATTGCAAAAGCCAGTTAAATGATGTGCTTTGGGGAGTTAATTTTTGGTACCATATGTCTCTAAAAATGATTTAATTTTATCCAAAGTGTGTTTTCAATGGTATTTATGTTCTGTAAGACACAGACACAATTTAAAGAATTTTTAAGGAAAAAACATACTAGTCATTATTTCAACACATTAGCATATGACACGTGTATAAGCTGACAAAAATATCTGTTTATTAAGGTTAATATATTTTTAACATCTGGGCTCTATGGTTACCTTTTGAAACTAGCAAATTCAAATTCTCATGAAAATATTTTACATATGGCAATCTTTAATTTCATATGAAATAAGTTATGAAGTCACTAACCAACAACTGTGTTAATTGTATGAGTGGGATGAAGGAAAATACCAATAATTTTATGAGGCAGCTGAAAGTAGTAATTTTTTCCTTAATGATATAAACTCAGTATTTCAGATATTTTGTTTATTATAGGTAAGATCACATTTAGTGGGTATATAACAAAAATATTGTACAAAAAGCCATTTTTATATTTTGACAGATGGTCACGTATAATAGGATACCCTTAACAAACAAATTATAATAAATTCTCTGAAAGTAAATCATTCTAAGCCACAAAATGTGGAGGATGCCTTTCTTGCAGAGATGTCACCTTAACATAGGTTTTGTTCTTTAAAGAAACAACTAAGCATGCAGTAATTTACAGAGTTATATATAAACTATAAGTAAACAAGTTTCTAATAAATTTCTGTGTAACCTTACCAGCTTAGTAAATCCTGACATTTTCTATATTTGTTTTGCATGTTTAAACCAGTATAGATGCATTCAAAATCCTCAGTCTGCCTCTTCCTATTATTATTCCCCTCCTTCCTCGTGGTTAATTAACCTTTTGTGTTTACCATTCCAATTTTTTTAATGCCATTTTTACATAGTGATAAAATTAAAACAAAAAGTATTATTTGTAAGATTTTTTTGTTTCTCTAACATACATACCACCTGCAATTTTAATGTGTTTATTTTATTTTATTTTTTTAGAGACAGAGTCTAACTATGTTGCTTAAGATGGTTTCAAATTCTTGAGCTCGAGCAATCCTCTTTGGCTTGGCCTCCCAAAGTGCTGGGATTACAGACATGAGCCACCACATACGGCCAGTGTGTTTATTTTAAATGCTGTGGTTTAGGGTATGAACATACCATAATGTATTTTTCATTACTTCAAAGACAATTAGATTGTTTCCAAATTTTTACTATAGCAAGTCTAGAGTATGTAGCTTTAAGTATAATTGCTGGATCAAAGGGAAAGTACAACTTCATTTTCAATACGAAATTGTAGTTTGTTCTCCAAAGTTTTTGTATCAAATTATACACAAATTTGAACAGCATATGAGTTTAATTTTTTTCACATCTTTACCAAAATTTGATATTGACAGATTTTGTTAGTATTTGACAATATGATGAGTTTGAATTTTATTTATTCATATCCTACTATTAAAGTTGAAAAACTTTTCAAATGTTTTCAGGCCAAATAGCTTTCCTTTTATGTGAATTGCCTATGTGTATAATTTGCCCATGTTTTTCTGGTATACTGTTTCTATTTTTATTATTGACTTATAGGGGCTTTTTTTTTTTTTTTTTTTTTTTGAGACGGAGTCTCGTTCTGTCGCCCAGGCGGGAGTGCTGTGGCGCGATCTCCGCTCACTGCAAGCTCCGCCTTCCGGGTTCACGCCATTCTCCTGCTTCAGCCTCCCGAGTAGCTGGGACTACAGGCGCCCGCCACTGCGCCCGGCTAATTTTTTGTATTTTTAGTAGAGACGGGGTTTCACCGTGGTCTCGATCTCCTGACCTCGTGATCCGCCCGCCTCGGCCTCCCAAAGTGCTGGGATTACAGGCGTGAGCCACCGCGCCCGGCCGGGCTTTTTATATGTTAAAGAAATTAATCCTTGTCTGCTGTATTATTAAAATCTTCTCTAAACCTGCAGCTTATATGGTTACTCTGTTTAAATTTAACTTAAAAAAATTAAATGTGGTTAGATTTGTCAATTTTTTTTCCATTAGAAGTTATCATTTTAATTTTTATTTAAAAATTCTTCCTTTCCTCAAAGCCATAAAGTTGTGTCATGTTTTTTTAAAAAATTGTTAAAGATTAACTTTCCTCATTTCAATCTACTTTACTTTTATTTTCCTTATGTTGTGAGTTAAGGATCTCATTTTATTTTATTTTGCATGGAGCTAGCCAATTATTAGCCATCCTTTCCGCACTGATTTGTAGTGATATCTCTGTCATATGTTACATTTTATATGCATGTGTCTGTTACTCAGCTCTCTTTGCTGATCAAATGCTCTCTTTGGATGATCCTAATATTACTCTTAATTCCTACAGCTTTAAGATAAATTATATATATCACATGTCAAATTTTTCAGGCTTGTTCTCTTGTTTCACAGTTGTCTCATTACATATTCTCAGTCCTTTATTCTTCCATGTGAATTTTAGATCAACTTTCATGAAACCTGATGAGATTGTAGACTACTTTGTGGAAAACTGATTTGTCCATGACACTCTTTTCTCATATATGACCACATTATACCTCCAGATTTATTCAGTCTTTATTCTTCAAAATATTTTGTAACTTTCTTTATAAAATCTTGCCCATTTTTAATAGATATAAACCTAAGTACCTTTCATTTTATTTTATGGTAATAAATAGGATTTTTCTATTACAATTCAAAATTGGTCATATTGATTTATAAAAATGGACCGGGCGCAGCGGCTCATGCCTGTAATCCCAGCACTTTGGGAGGCTGAGGAGGGCAGATCACCTGAGGTTAGGAGTTCAAGGCCAGCCTGCCCAACATGGCGAAACCCTGTCTCTACTAAAAATACAAAAATTAGCCCAGCGTGGGGGCAGGGGTCGCCTGTAATCCCAGCTACTCGGGAGGCTGAGACAGGAGAATCGTTTGAACCCAGGAAGCAATGTTGCAGCGAACTGAGATCGCGCCATTGCACTCCAGCCTGGGCGACAAAGTAAGACTCTGTCTCAAAAAAAAAAAGTTATTAATTTTTCAGTGCAGATATTATAGGCAGAAAGCTCCTAAACCCTCATCACCTCCATTTGTTGTTTTGTAGAGCCTCTTGGATTTCTCATATAGACTTTTTTTTTCTCTCTTTTTTTTTTTTTAGACGGATTCTCACTCTGTCTCCCAGGCTGGAGAGGAATGGCGCGATCTCTGCTCACTGCAACCTCCGCCTCCCTGGTTCAAGCGATTTTCCTGTCTCAGTCTCCTGAGTAGCTGGGCCTATAGGCAACCGCCACCGCGCCTGGCTAATTTTTGTATTTTTAGTAAAGACAGGGTTTCACCATATTAGTCAGGCTGGTCTCAAACTCCTGACCTCAGGTGATCCACCCGCCTGGACCTCCCTAAGTGCTGGGATTACAGGCGTTAGCCACCGTGCCCGGCCTTTTCTCTAACTCTTATAGCTATCTTTTGTCCTTCTGCTTTTTTATTGTTTCGACAAGAATCTGCAATACAATTTTAAAAAGGGGTATTGATTTCTGATATCCTTACTTTATTTTGCCCGACATCCCCAGGAAGATTTCTGAAGTTTATTTAGTAAAATGTTTGATGGAAGTTTTTGATTTATACCTTTTATCAGGTAAACTTTTATCAGTTCAAGTTGGGTCCATTTTAATAAACATTTATCAAGTGATCACTGCTGACATCTTAAAATGGGTTTTTTTCATAATCACTTTCCTAAAATAATTGTTGTCATACCTATTTGATATAATCAATCATTCTTTGCAGCATCTTAGTTGTTTTTCCTTAAATATTCTTTTGAATAGTCTTTTTGTCTTTCGTGTGCAAATGTGTTTGTGTGCATATGTTATTTTATTGGATACTGGTTCTTCTCTCTTTAAGATTGTCTTTAATTCTTCCTTTTCCTGGTTCTTGTTTTTCCATAGGCCTATTAGCTATTGATTTCCCCGCAAAAAAAAAAAAAAAAAAAAAAAATCTTTTTTGAGATATTACTCTTTCTTAGTTGATCCTTAAAAACTTCTCTGTTTAAGAGGCTTCAGTTAACATGTGAATATGGATAAATTCAAGGCCTTTATGGCTACCTCAAGCTAGAATACAGACAACTGAATAAAAACAGACACTGCATACAGCTGCTTCTCCTCATTTGACTTGTGGCTGTAGAAAACATTACTATTCAGTTTGCTTTGTTTACACATGCTGAAGCGCTCCCACTTGCAAAATTTACCTTGTTGTTAAGGAATTCCTCTACAGCTCATCTTTCCATTACTTGCTTTTTATCATATTTGTGGCTACTTTAATAGTATTAATTTATTATTTTCTTTGGCAAACAAATCTTTGTTCATAGGTGTAGTTCCGAGTATCCTAGGATCTCTTGGGGGAAATAATAAGGTATTCTGAGAGCTAAGCTGGCTCCAAATAACTACAGCCTTGGAATAAGAAAAATACTAGAGAAAATTAAAGTGGTATTTTGCTGTAGGTGACTTTTCACTGAGATATCTGATTCCACTCAGTAAGGCTAAGAGTTCATCCTACAGCCGTTCTTTGAAAATCGTTTATTTCTGGCTTATTGCTGTGAACTTTTCTTGTCTTAATAGTCTATTGTCCAATTTTTGTACAAGGTAGGCTCCCATTTGTTGTTGTCTTAAAAATTCCAAATTACAACGAACTAGTAAAGTAAGGTCTGAGGTAGACAATAATTTGAAAACCTATGCTATGTGGTAAGGTTTTATCATGCACTTCTTACTAATGTCTAACAAGCATATCTAGATGTTCATTTTGCATCACAGCCTATTTTCCAGGAAACTCTGTGGCAAAGGTCTACGGAACCCTTGGGTGTTTCTAGCAGTCTTTATGACTATCCTTAATCTAGAAGTGACTGCTAAAATATCAGAGAGAGAAAGAGAAAAGCCATTGAACTTTAACTGATATGGCATCATGGTTAATAACTTAAACTTTAAGTTAGACGGAATTGAATAACCTAAAGCAAGTTAACCTCTTTAAAATATAGATTTCTCAGCTGTAAACGGGGGTTAATCAAAGAAGCTATCTCAACAGGCCCACTGTGAATACAATCAACCTATGAACTGTGTTGTTTAAATAAGTCACATTGACAAGAATTGAGAAAGTTGACAGATTATTTGTCTTTGTTAAGAAAATAGCAAAAATCTAATCTCTTCAGAGCCTCCACCCACAACAGACAATTTATAGTTAAGCATCATTTAGCAAATTGTATTTATCTATAAGATTATGGCCTCTTCATTCAGGATGTTTACCTCAGCAAACAATGTATTTAGGTAGTATATAAAGAACTATACTGCAATATGTGTTTCAAAATATATTTCCACATGTAATTTCAGAAATGAGATATCCTGTTAGTAAAACTGATTGATAATTTTATTTTTTAAGCAAGTAAAATTTCCTTCACACTCATTTCATTTTTGCCCTTTAAAAAAATCTGTAAACTGCAAGGTCATATTTTAATAATAAAGACCAGTATAAAAATCACACAAATTTCAAACATATATATGCTATGAAATTATTTTCAGGAATATTTGTCATGGTTCTTTTTTTCTGCTATTAATGTTTACTTGACACAAATGTCAGCTTCTTTAGCCTTGTCCACTGTTTCAAATTGAAGTAATATCTAATTTAAATATACATGTGCTCTGCATCTTATTGTTAAAGCAAATTTAATTAATATTATTTAAATCATTGATGCATACATTAGGTAATACAGGGCTAGTGCTACCTCCTATGGATCATTCCTGAACCCCCAATACCCAGACCCTTCTCCTGTCCCTGAACAATAATTACAGTCTTAATATGACTCTTTATGTAGTTGTGAACATACACAATGAACTAAACTTTTCAAATGTCTTAATGAGTATATCAAGATACAGCATACCTCCCCACATTGACTGTCAGGCTTGGCTAATACTAAAGAAAACACAATTTTTTTTAAGTTTGACAAAATTTCTCTTCAAATAATAATGCTAAGTTTTAATTTAATAGCCCAAATTATCTGAAATGCCCATAAACTGGTTCTGGACAATGTAATTCAGCATTTAGTAAGCTGAAATACCTATAGTTTTCAAAGTCTTTTCTTCTTCCTAATCAACTAACCAAAAATAGAGGCTTTATTTTCCTGGGAACCAAACACAAATACATATGTGTTATTTATAACAATGCATAATGAGGATAATGATGGTAAACAATTTACATGCAATACCAAGTATTTAGTTAAGTGAATTGTTTTATTGAAATATATATACAAAAGCATTCCCAAATTTTACATACACTCTTTATTGATGTTTTACAGAGGATCCTGCATATGTAACCCATCAGATAGCCACATTTTTCACATGTTTTTACTCTGGTATGAGGAAGTATTTAATATAAAAATTGTGTTTGATATTATATGTTTGGATGTGAATTTTGTTTTTTCATTCTGCAAAATATGCTAAAAATGAGCTGATATCAGCAATTATCCACATCCCCAAAACCAAGAGTTTTCAGTGACAGAATGTATTATATTGTATAAACATATGATATATACATTCATTATAAATATATAATATAAGCATTCATTATAAATGTTTGGGATTTTTAAGAAACTGTTTTTACTGTTAATTTTATGTTTATCCCTTTGAAAATGCCTTATTATAATAATTCTGTATGGCGTGCCTACGGTAACTGGTGAAGGGCAAATGTACATTGTTTTGATAAAACGTCCACTGTTTTCTTTTGGTTTTTATATTAAATTTCCAAATGATCTAGCACATGTCATAGGTGAATTCTTTCTTTTTCTGTACAGATCCTGTATTAAACATGTCACTTCTTAACACCGCATCCACTATGCTTTAGTGCAGTGAGATGTTTCCATGTCACATGGTCAGAGGGAGGTAGATTAATAGGGAGTTCTAGCTGGAAATTTCTTCCTTGTTATTGTTCTCCCTCAGCAGTTGATGGCTAAGTTAATTCTCTTTAGTTTTGTCATGCTCTAAAGCACACATTGCCAAGCAATGGTAAGCTTTATGAGGAAAAAAAGCAGTGATGGTGTCCATCAAAGTCTTAAAGTTGCATTTTTAAACTTTGGCTTGACCTGATGTGCCATTCAAAACGGCTTCAAAAGATGATTTTTTTCAAGAAAGGTTCAATATGTCCCAAGGCTATCGGTTTTGAGTTAAACTGGGTGAAGTAGAAATATTTTACTCATCAGCTTTGCAGTCACAGAGTTTGCCTCAGCTAGAACAAAACTGCTGAGGCATTTAGAGAAAATTAACCCCCCATCCTGGCGGCCAGATGTGACTGGTTTCTGATGAATGCACATGAGTGGGCTGAAAAATCAAGAGACTGTGAAATTCCTGTCAGGTCCGTGCAGTGCAGAATGGGCTATTGACTGCTTTCTATATTTCCCTCCATCATTCTTCTTGAACACTGCCATTAATTTCCTCTCCTCCTCTGACTTGTGTTTTCTCCCCTCCCTCTTCCCTTTAGCTCTGTCAGCTGCAGAGAAGGATGCACACACTGTGGCAGGAGCACTTCAAACTGGTGGTCCTCTTCAGCCAGATGAGGCTGGCCAACTTCCAGACAGACTCTCAGGAGAGTATTCAGAAAATATTAGCTGTGCAGGTAGGTGATTGCAGGGAAGTAGGAAAGATCATTCTGATCTAGATTGAAAAGCAAATGATGGGTAGTGTGATGAAGCATTAAAACCATATCCCATCAGAGTTTTATAAATTTTTAACCTCTTTAATAAACTGGAATTGCATGAAGAATGAATTCAGTAAGTTAGCACATATACCATGCATACTTTGGGAGAAAAGGGAGATTGGACTTATTTCTCACAAACCTCAGAACTGATTTCTATAAATACATTTAGTATAAATAATTTTTTTTCAAATCTTCAGGCTTTGCAGATGTCATCCAGCTGTTTAAAAGATGTTGACACAAGATACCTTGTGCTGATTTTGTGCAAAATCCACTTCAGTGAAAATAACCCTCTTATGTTTACTTAGTTTAACTGTTGTCTTTCCTTTTCTATTTTGCAAGAGGCTCATCCTAAGCAGATTTGGAAATGACTTTATTTGAAAGATAAGCAACTTGAGACTAGAAAGTAGCTGTGGTTCTAGATGCATGTGAGATTTTACTCCTTGTTTCAATAAAAACATTTAGCAGATACATTGTTTCATTTTAAGAATGATATATTTTAGAAACCCACATTAAATATGTGAAGACAATTCTTAAATATTACTTAAACTTTTAAAAAATTAATGTTTTACCATATCACATGTTACTACCTGCATAAAACATGACCTCCCAAAGAAAAACACATACTACCTTGTTCTATTAAGTAACAAAAACTAGAATGCCTGTTCTGTGAAAAACAAAAACATAAAATCACACTTTTCAGTAATATGAAATGAATGCTGAACCCTAAACCAAATCTTTTTCTAAACATTTTATTATACACGCACTTCATATTACTTTTAATTCAAGTAAAGGAAGATTTTGCAAAGCACTTGAATAGCTATGAAGCGATTTCAAATTTCATTTTTGCTGTTGTCTATTTTTTGATATTTTCTTCTGAGGATTGTGTGTGTGTGTGTGCTTTATATATGGGTTGTTTTGACAGTGGGTTATAAGAAAAAATTTAAAATAATAGAAGAAAAAGGAAGATTTTGAAAGGCAGTGCTTAAAACATGTAGATTTAGTAGAAATTTATGTACAAACTTGAGTACAAACTACAATTGCATTATTTTAGAAGTCAGGAGCATCTTGTTTTCCTTAAGTCTGTTAAAATGTAACACATTATATTGTGGCTGGAACCTGTGAATCTCTTTTAAATATTTAAAAGTAATCTGCATGTTCTAATTAGTATCTTAGAAAAATCTATATTTTTGTCCAAATGTTTTTAAAAATCTACAAATGATAAATTCTCACTGTGAATTATTATGTCTTTTCAAATATTAAAAATGTCATTAGAAATTATTTGAATATCAGTAAAGTGATTCTCTAATTCATACCTTTCAATAATCCTTGTTTTAATTTTTATGAGAATTTCACCAACATATTGTTTACCAAACTTGATTTTAAATTGCTTATTTGTATGGCTGTTACATAACAGTGGAAATGAAGGGATGGGATAGGTTAGGTAGGGAAACTCAACTACTCAGCACCTAGAGACACAGCAGCAAGGTTGGATTGTATTTGGGGAACGTGAGCAGCATAAATTAGTGCCTCATTTTCTTATCTATTGGAGATGGCTTCCATTTAGAATATTTCAATTTTGGCTTTTAATAAAAATGTGAAAATACAATTTTCAAAATCTTACTACAAAACAGTGGAAATATGCAATCCTCTGGGGAAAAAAATCAAGTCTACAACCTTCAGCATGGTACACAACAATCTTCATGACCCAGCTTGTGCTAATAATCCCAGCTTCATCTTCTCTCTGCTTCAGTTCTTTAGTATGTTTCAGCCACTCCAAAATTCTTGCTAATTAAGAAACTTGCTGTGAAACTCATTCTTCTTCTTTTGTGTTTATACTCTTCCCTGTTTCTGCAATACTCATTTTTATCATGCCTGTTTAAAAACACCTGATCAAGCTACCATTGACTTTCTTCACAGAATTGGAAAAAAACTGCTTTAAATTTCATATGGCACCAAAAAATAGCCCGTAGAGACAAGACAATCCTAAGCAAAAAGAACAAAACTGGAGGCATCATGCTACTTGACTTCAAACTATACTACAAGGCTACAATAACCAAAGCAGCATGGTACTGGTACCAAAACAGATAAATAGACCAGTGGAACAGAACAGAGACCTCAGAAATAAAACCACACATCTACAACCATCTGATCTTTGACAAACCTCAGAAAAACAAGCAATGGGGAAAGGATTCCCTATTTAATAAATGGTGCTGGGAAAACTGGCTAGCCATATGCAGAAAACTGAAACTGGACCCCTTCCTTACACCTTATACAAAAATTAGCTCAAGATGGATTGAAAATTTAAATGTAGAACCCAAAGCCGTAAAACCCCTTAGAGAAAACCTAGGCAATACCATCCATGACATAGGATGGGCAAATTCTTCATTACTAAAACACCAAAACCAATTTCAAAAAAAGCCAAAATTGGCAAATGGGATCTAATTAAACTAAAGAGCTTCTGCACAGCAAAAGAAACTAGCATCAGAGTGAAGAGGCAACCTATAAAATGGGAAAAAAAGTTTGTGATCTACCCATCAGACAAAGGTCTAATATCCAGAATCCACAAGGAACTTAAACAAATTAACAAGAAAAAAACAACCTGATGAAAATGTCGGCAAAGGATATGAACAGACACTTCTCAAATGATGACATTTATGCGGTTAACAAACGTATTAAAAAAGCTCATCATCACTGATCATTAGAGAAATGCAAATCCAAACCACAATGAGATACCATCTCAAGCCAGTCAGAATGACGATTATTAAAAAGTCAGGAAACCATAGATACTGGCGAGGTTGTGGAGAAATAGGAATGCTTTTACATTTTTGATGGGAATGTAAATTAGCTCAGCCATTGTGGATGACAGTGTGGCAATTCCTCAAGGATCTAGAACTGGAAATACCATTTGACCCAGCAATCCCATTACTGGGTATATACCCAAAGGATTATAAATCATTCTACTATAAAGACATATGCACATGTATGTTTCTTGCAGCACTATTTACAATAGCAAAGACTTGGAACCAGCCCAAATGGCCATCAGTGACAGACTGGATAAAGAAAATGTGGCACATATACACCATGGAATACTATGCAGCCATAAAAAAGAATGAGATCATGTCCTTTGCAGGGACATGGATGAAGCTGGAAGCCATCATTCTCAGCAAACTAATACAGAAACAGAAAACCAAACACCGTGTGTTATCACTCATAAGTGGGAGTTGAACAATGAGAACACATGGACACAGGGAGGGGAACAACACAAACCAGGGCCTGTAGTGGGGTGGGGGGTAAGGGGAGGGAGAACATTAGGACAAATACCTAATGCACGCAGGGCTTAAAACCTAGATGATGGGTTGACAGGTGGAGCAAACCACCATGGCACATATATACCTATGTAACAAACCTGAACATTTTGCACATGTATCCCAGAACTTAAAGTAAAATAAAAATAAATACATAAATAATAAAATATAAATAAATAAAACCACCTGACCCAATTCAATCACTTCCTCTACAAAATGATTCTGAGTCCTTCCCCAACCTTTCTGTGCAAGATGAATTAAATTCTACCTTACTTGTACCCTGTATATACCCACGAACCACAATTGTATTTTCAGCAGCTAACCACTCCTACATGTAGCTTGTCCTCCTTTCTGGAAGATTCTAAGCTCCTTCAGGCCTTTATACCATCAGTGAAATCCTTTCAATTCTCCCTGGGTTGTATTTTAGGGTGTATTGTAGCAAGGCTACTAGGGGGCTTGATAATACCCTATGTCTATCTTGTTTTCACTTATATCCAATTGTTTTAAAGGAAAACATGCTAGAGTGACTTAATGTATTTGTGGAGTGAATCTGCAGGTATCAATGTATACAACATGATCCAACATGACTAAAAATTGCATAACAGACCAGATGCTATTGGTTTTCATTTTCCTGTGGCTTAGTATCTCGATTCCTTTAAGTGCCGATGTCAGGGGGTCTAAATAATGTTTCCTATTCTCAAGGTAGTATTAAAATGATGCCATAAGATTTCGGTGAACTATTCAATGCAAAAATCATTTGATGAAGGTTTTGTAAAGTAAATTGTATATAACCAATATTGAGGAAAAGCAATTCAAAAATCAGTTAAACAGAAAAAAAGAAATTTTGTTTTATCCTTGGCCTTGGAACAATTCCTTACAGGGCCACACAAAGGCATGACTGGCAGATCTACAGTTGGCAGAAAACCAGGTGGGCCAGATAAGCTTTTGAATTACATGATCAAGCAGAAACCAATAAGATGAGTTATAACTGGAACAAAGAATTGGTGTATCTGACTTTGAAGCCCTTTATATGAAAAAGATTTAGGGATTTCAGTTGACCACAATTTTAATATGAGCGAAAGTGAGCTACTATAAACTTGGAACCAAAGGCCTGTCCCAGCCCTAGTAATCACAGACAACTTCTTGACTCTGACAGTGTATGGCATATTTTATATGAGGTCCTAACTTCATGTCAGAGCTCTTACGAAGTACTATTATCATTTCCTTTCTCCTCCCATTATTTTTTATTTTTACTTAAACTTGTGGTATTTATTACCTTTTTGGCATGTTATTTGGAAAAAAGACTGAGCACTAGCAAATCATTTAAATGAGAGAGTGAAGAAGCTACAGCATATGAATGTGGTCTTAGACTGAGTAAGCAGAGGCATTTTTATCTGGAAGGAGGTGAGTCCCATAAGATAAATTGCACTTTTTCTTACATTGAGTATATCTGTGGTATTTTATACAAGTTTGGGAAGCATAATTTAAGGGTCATATTGACACACTAGAGAGCAGCAATATAAGAAAGATTAAAGAGTGGGAGAAATATTTAAAAAGTTGGAATGTTTAAACCTGAAAGACAAAGGCTTTGGAAGGACAAATATCTGAAGGACTGCAAGTAAGGGTTGGTATATATAGTTTGTTGAGCTCTAGAAGCCAACACTGGGAACAAATCATGGGAGAGGTTGGAAAGTGGGTTTAGGGTCAACAGGAATAAATTTTATAACAAGTATTTCTGTCCAAGCGTGCACTTCTGGTGTTCAGATGTTAGATTAAACAGGCCAGGTGCATTAGGGAAGATGTTACTACAGTGATTGAGGGGAAGCAAATGGACTGGGGGTCAGTCCAGAGGGCACCTCCTCAGGGATGTGCTCCCCCTAGTAGGTTCCTATGACCTCTTTGTGCAAGTATCTGTGTGTGTGTCTGTGCCTTCTCACCCACTAGTATGTGAGTCTTCTCAACTCAGAAAGCATGTCTTATTTCTTCATCTTCATCTCCCTGGCACCAGCTGCAGTTCTTGGAACATAAGTATAAAAATTTTGTTGAGTTAGTGAACTGGTTTAGTAAGATTAAATGTGATAACTCCAAAAGTTCTTTCTACCTCTAGGTGCCTACAGTTCTGTTACTTAATAAACAAAAGCATTCACTGGTTGCTTTGCCAGGAATTCTGATAGCATAGGTTTAATCATTTAACACACACACACATACACAAACAACTAGATATAGGGATAGTTTCCTATTTCTGGAAAAGAATTGTGTAAATGAAGGAAAGTCAGGAAAAAAACCACAACAGAAATTTAAAATCACTTAGCAGTGTGATGTAAAAGGAAATCTCTGATTCTGTGTGATCTTTTGAAACACAGAAGAATTTATAGAAAACATGCATTTTGGACTTTTAATATATATACATTTAGAGATATTATGCTCAAGGAATAACATTAAACTCCTAAATATTACTGGTTCACTCTATATGGTAATAGAAAAAGTATTTAATTATAGTTGCCTATAATTTAAGAATATATACGATAAATCTAAAATTGGATTTTTCTAATGTAAATTAGTACAGCCATATGGGAAACAGTATGGAGATTCCTCAAAAAATAAAACTATAACTACCACATGATCTGGCAATCCCACTACTGGGTATATAGCCAAAGGAAATGAAACCACTGTGTCAAAGACATATCCGCATTCCCATTCCCATGTTCATTGCAGCACTATTCACAATAGCCAACACTTGAAATCAACCCAAATGCCTGTCAACAAATGAATGAATAAAGAGAATGTAGTATATCTACACAGTAGAATACCATTCAGCCATAAAAAAAGGAATTAAATCATGTCATTTGAGACAACATAAGTGAACCTGGAGGATATCATGTTAGGTAAAATAAGTCAGACACAGAAAGTGAAATAACCACATAATCTCATTCACATGTGGAATCTTAAAATATTTGTCTCATAGAAGTAGAGAGTAGAACAGTGATTATCAGAGAATGGGGAGAGGCTAGAGAAGAGGAGGATGGGGAGAGATTTGTCAACAGGTACAACGTTACAATTAGACAGGAGAAATAAGTTCTAATATATTGCACGATAGGGTAACTACAGTTAACAATAATGTACATTTCAAAATAGCTAAAAGAGGGGTTTTTGAGTGCTGTCACAAAGAAATGATAAATGCATGAGGAGATGAATATGCTATCTATCCTGATTATATAGTGTATGCAGGTATTGAAATGTCAAATTGTACCCCATAAATAGGTACCATTATAATGGATCAATCAAAAAATTAAAAAAAAAAACAAAAGTATATATGAAAATTACAAACACAATTAAATTAGACCAATATAAAAAGAACATTCTATATGATTCCATTCAAATAAAATTTAAAAACAAAACAAAAAATTTGTCAGTTTCAAAATACTAGAGAAAAAAAAGTACCATAAAAAATTAGATAATTCAAAATGCAAGGAGTACAGGAAGAGCAACAAAATGTATAAAGTAAGGCTAAATGCATTAATGATACTAATAACTGTAAATGGTTTTATTGCACAGTTTAAAGTTACAGATTTGTAGATTGGTCATAAAAGCAAAATTCATGTTATTTAGAAGAAATGCACTTCAAGCAAATAGAAACTGAATGAAGATCCTGGAAAAAAAAAAGAATAAAGAATTTCAATTTTAAAATGAGAGAGAGAAAATTCAAGGAAATAAAGAATTAGAAAACTCAAATTTGGATCTTTTATGTTAATAAAAGATATAGTCTAAGACATCAATCCTGAACGTAATGCACATGACAACATAACTTTATAATATATAAAGTAAGATCTGGTTAAAATTCAAAGAAAACTAGACAAATCCACAATCACAATGGGAAATATTGGCACATCTTGAACTTTTTGGAAATAAAAAAAAAAAGAGCATCACATATCAAAACCTGTGAGTTGTGATTCAATTGCAAAGAGATTCAACTTTAGAAAATATGTTAATGTAATTTAATATAAACACAGATTAAGGGAGAAAGGCAGCATAGTTTTAATCAATGCTGAGAAGCATTTGCTAACAATAACAATATACTTATTCTAATAAAAGTTACAAAATAGTTTACAAATTTAACTTCATAAAATGTACTTGATAATTTGATAAAGAAGGTAGAGATACCACTCAGAAAATGGACAAAACTGAGAATCAACAAAAAAAACTTTAGAATTAATAAGACAGTTATTTAAAATGGCAATCTAAAGTATATTTTCTAACCATAATTAACAAAAATTTAGCTCAATCTTTTTGGAGAAAGCTACTAAACAATGCCAGAAAGACATAACCCAAATAAAAGTAAACATATATCATTTGCATGGATGAGAAGATTACATATATATACCTAGATATCAAATTTTAAATCCAAAATTTTTAAAAATCCATAAATAAAAATCCATTCAATACAATCATACTCAAAATCCGAACAAAATTTGTGTGTGAAGCTCAAGAAGGTGATTCTAAATGTATTTGGAAGATTAAAATCCACAAGGATAGCTCTAACACTTTTTAAAAGGAAAAATTGTTGCTGGGTTGGGGTGAGGGAACTTATGCCACTGAGTAGCAAAATATATCAAAAAGTTATATTAATTAACACAGCACAACATTAATGCAAGAATGGATAGAAAGATCTGTAAAACAGAATAGTTGATGAACATTTTTTAAAGGGTCATATAATAAATATTTTTAGTTTTCCAGGCCATACAGTCTCTGTTGCAACCACTCAACTCTGCCTTGTAACAGGAGAGCAGCCATAGACAGTAGTATATAAATGGATGCAGCTGTGTTCCAATAAAAATTCTTTTACAAAACAGACAGCAGGCATGAAGCTGCTCACTGGAACAAAGAATCCAAGAAAAGCCCCACAAATACTTAGACTTTAGAATATAGTGAGAGTAGGATTTCAAATTGTATATGATGAGATGGACTATTCACTTGCCAGCTATGTGAGATAAAAGTAAATATCCAAAATATACAGAATAGATTATTTTGTATATCTATTTTGTATATTTATATACATTATAGAGTAAACATTTTTAAAATCTATTTTTTAAAATATAAAATGTTGTATAGTGTTAAGGTACACTGAGGGTAATAAATTTGACTACATAAAAATAAATACATTTTCATGGAAAAAGATATAATTAAAAATTGATTCTATTATATATCTTATATATTTTTATATATAAAATAAGCATTTATTTAAATCAATAAGAAATAATATAACCCAATAGGAAAATATTTCAAGTTTCATATATGAATAAATGATATATGAAAAAATGCCAAATATCAGAAGTACAAAAAAATTAATAATATAAAATAATTTGTTTTCCGTCATCATGCTGGCATGTTTTTCAAATATATTAATTAGTGGTGATTATAGTGTAAAGAAAAGTAAACTTTCATATTCTGTTGAGGACTATGTTGTCCTCAAAATTTAAAATCCTATATTCCTTAATAGAACAATGTCATATTTTATACTAAAGATACACTCCCACTTGTGTACCAAGAAGCGTGTTCTAAGGTTGTTCATGATATAGCACTAGTGATAGTGAAAAATTGAAGGCAATGTAAATACCCATTGAAGACAATGTAAATATCCATCAATATATGAAGACATAAATAAACACACATATATCTAAAATATGTCAGGCTAAACAGGACTTTAAAAGAATCAGGAGGAACTTTGGGAAGCCAAGAAATTATGTCAAAGAAATAGTAAAAAGAAGAAAAACATACAGAATAACATCTTAACCAAATGACCTTAGTTAGGTAAAAATAAATGCATAGCATTCTTTATTTCAGTAGTCTATATTTCAGTTGTGTGTTTATATTTTACCTGTAACTATCCATATTTAAATCTGCAGAAATAGGTCTAGAAGGATGCACACTTACTGACACAGAATTTTTGGAAACGAAGTAGGATTTGTGATCTGTGTGGCTGAAGGGATTGATGAGAAAGAAATTTTGCTCATTTTTGCTCATGTATTGATATATTTTTATTTTGTTTTACAATTCATTTGTTAGGTAAATAATTACTGTAAGACTATGTGCCAGTCACTGTTTGAGGTGCCGGGTATACAGTAGCAAGCAAAACAGACAAAAATCGTTAACTTAATGGAACTTACCTTCCAGTTGTGGAAAAAAGACAGTAAACAAACAAGTTAAAGATACAGTCCCGCTCTGTTCTAATGAGAAAAACAAAATAGAGAGGGGGGCATATGAAAGGACAGGAAAGATGCTGAAATACATTCTAGAAATGTTTTTTGCATTAATGCTTGTGTAAATAAACAGTTCAAAGGGTAAACTTTTTTAAAAAATCTCTCTTTCTATGGGATATTTTCTGAAGTGAAAATATACACTTAACCGCTCTGAATGCTAGAGTCTGAGTTTTGGAGTAGATGGGTTGACAAGTTGGTTGCTGACTTGGTTTGTATCATCTGGGACGTGAAGCAGGTATAAACAGCACCTATCCAAGGGTCACTGTGAGAATTAGATGAGATGATGTATATACAATGTGCCCTGTACACAGTAATGTGCCCTGACTACCTTAGCTCACTTTCTTCTCTTTTTTCTCCTGGTACTGTGTTAAGACGACTCTGAAAATTCAACATTTTGCCAAAATTAATTAATCGTGGAAACATTCATACTTCCCAGTCATTTTCCCTTCAGGAACTGGTGACTCCATGGATGTCATTGCAAACTTGAGAATTCAAGAAACTACATATAGGCACACAACACCTCTAGTCATATAATGTAATAAAATAAATGCTTGGACAACTTCAATTTAATGATTCCTGCCTCAGCCTTTAACATATGCATAAACACATAAACAAAAAAAAGAAAACAAATGCTTAGTTAAAACATCCAAATTAATGAGCCACATTTAACCAAATATCTTCCTTTAAATGTAAATCAGCATTCCACCCTCATCTAAAGCTGACTATAGCTAATGAATAAGTGCCTTTTGCCAAAAGTTAGAGTCAGAAAATTCTAAGCTGAGTTTATAAGCTAATTTGTTCTACACCCCTACCTTTAGGAATGATTATGTTATTATTCTCCTATGGTCAAATGCCTCTACAATTCCATTTTGATTGATATGGGTAAAATGTAAATTACCATAACATTCTGAAACACTGAATTTATTCTGTACTTATTGATTACCAACATAATGTATACAATACACATCATGTTTTTAACCTTAAGCAGTTTGCTGCTAAGTTGAAAAATATCAATTAATTTCAAGGCATATTTTAGGGATTCCCACAATATGAAAGGCATTTTGCTAGACACTTGTGGTCCAAAGGTAGAAGACATACTCTCTGTCTTTAAAGAGCTTGAATCTCATAGAGGAGGTAGACACAATATATTGTGTAAATACAAATGAGGGCAGTAAGAAGAGCACTTAGCTCAACCTGAGAATGGAAGGCCGTTCTCTGAAGGAGAGAACTCATAAACTACATCTTGCAAGGTGAGGGTACATCGACAAAAGGTAGTCAGGGGGTTATATAAACAGGGAGCAAAGATATATGAGAACAAAAACAGTATTGTGTACAGGGAAAATTACTAACAATTTTATATTAGTAGAGCATAAAAATGCAACACGGGGAGCATCAGAGATGAAATGAAGAGGGAGATATAAAAATATTCAGGAATAATAATTACATGATTAAATATTACCAGGTACAGACAGTAAACTTTACAATTGGCCAGGAAATAGGAAGAATTACTTCAGCCTGAATTCAGGGAAATGCCTTTGTAAGAGTGGGACTTAAAACAGGAATGAGCAACTGAATATAAAGGGAAGAATGGAAACACTGTGAGGTGGGGAAAGGGAAGCAGCTCAAAGCAGAGAAGTATGAGGGACTTAGGAAACAGATTCCTGGGATATGGAATAGACATTCTTGTTTTGTTTCTTTTTATTTAATGCAGCATTTATCTAGCCATTACTATGTGTCAAACTTCGTCCTCCATGCTCATCCTCAGGACATAAACCTAGGCAATTTGGCTGTGAGGTACCTGTTCTTAACCACTATACCATGGCAATTCCCTGTGTGTTTTTTACTGAGATTAGATTATGTTGGAGGAAGACAGTGTGAAACAAGAGTTAGAGTAAGGTCTTTAATAAGTCCAGAAATATCAGGCTAATTTAGGGTTGATATTTCAGAAATGTACTAAATATTTAGTAAATCATTCTTGACCACTCAGTTACCAAACCGAGTGCTAAAATATCAGCATGCACTTCTTAGGTATTTTTTGTATAGTATTAATGTAACTTGATTTATTATCTGCCGATGGTGAGTGCACTGAAACCATAAAAAGTATAGAAATAATATGGCCATTTTGGTGAAAAACATAAATTATAGATCCAATTAATTCAAAGAACCCCCCAAAAGAGATACACATAAAAAAATACCAAGGTAAATCATAGTAAACTCCTGAAAACCAAAAATAAAGAGGTAATCTTAAAAACAGCCAGAGGAAAAGAAACAAAAAATTACCTCTAACATCTTATCAGAAAAAATGGAGACTAGAAGACATAAAAGAATATCTCAAACTGCTGAAAGAATAAAATACAAAAACAATCAGCCCAGAATTCTCTACCCAGAAAAAATATCTTTCAAAATTAAAGGCAAAACAAAGATATTTTAGATACATGAAAGTGGAGAGAATTGCTGACCAGTAGATCTGAATTACAGTAAATGCTAAAAGAAGTATTTCAGCTTGAAGGAAATGACCAGAAGAAAACCTGTATCTACAGAAAGGAAGGAAGAAGAATAGCTATGAGAAATATACTGGCAAATGTAAAAGACTCTCTTTTTATTGTCTTCATTTATTAAAAAGACAACTGAATTTAGATACAAAAATTACAACATTGTAGTATAAGATTTACAGTATATATAAATGCAAAATAAATTCGAGTAATAGCATAAAAGATAGGAGAATAAATAGAATTTTGTGGTGCAAGTCTTAAATATAAAATGATTATGATATTGACTCATGGAGACTAAGTGAGAGATGTATATTGTTACTCTCTTTTAAAAATGAAAAGTGATATCACAAAAAAGCCAATGATCAGATTAACATGGAATTCTAAAAAGTGTTTGATTAACCCTAAAAAAAAAGACAGTAAAGAAAAAACAGAAATAAAAAATAAATAGAAAACAATGAGAAAAAATAACAATAGATCTAAATCCAAGCACATCAAAAATTATATCAAAGTGATTAAAATCTCCCACTAAAAAGCATATATTACATTAGACCAAGGGTCCTCAACCCCCAGGCTGCAGACAGGTACAAGTCCATGGCCTATTAGGAACTGGGCTGCACAGTAGAAGGTGAGCAGCCAGGAGCAAGCATTACACACAGCTCCGCCTCCTGTCAGATCAATGGCAGCATTAGATTATCATAGGAGCACGAATCCTATTACACATGCAAGGGATCTAGGCTGCCTGCTCCTTATGAGAATCGAATGCCTGATGATATGAAGTGGAACAGTTTCATCCCAAAACTATTCCCTGCTCTGTCTGTGGAAAAATTGTCTTCCACGAAACCGGCCCCTTGTGTCAAAAAGGTTGGGAACTACTGCATTAGATAACATACAAGACTCAATTTAAATCGTCTGTAAGTGACACACTTTACAAAAGAAAAGACTGGTAACTTGAAAGTTTTAAAGATGGAAGAGTATACCATGCAACACCAAGCTCAATATGGTTGGTGAGTCTATATTAATATCAGATAAATTTCTCAACTAGAAATATCATCAGGAATAGAGAGAGACATTTCATAAAAAGAATTAATGAATTCATCAAGCACATATAAAAAACCCTAAATATGTATGTATCTAATAAAAGTTGAAAATATATAAAGCAAATATTGAGAAAACTTAAAGTAGAAATAAAATAATGTATAATTATAGTTTGAGATTTCAATACTCGTCTCTCAGGAGTTAATAGAACATAAAGACAGAAAACCAGTAAGAATATGGAAGAGTTGAACAACACTATCAACCAACTTGCCCTAATTGACATTTAAGAAACAGTCCATCCCAAATAGCTACATATGATTGTTTTAAAGTGTATACATAACATATAAAATTTCCAAATATAGACCATATCCTGGGTCATGAAGCAAGTATTAATAAAAGTAAAATGATTGAAATAGTAAAGAATAAGTTTTCTAACAACATGGAATTATTATAAATGAATAATAAAAAGATATCTGAAAAATCCCTTAAATATTTGAAAATTAAATTGCACACTTGTAAATATATTATGGGTCAAAAAATTAATTATAAGAAAAATTAGGAAATATCTTGAACATAATTAGAAAGTTCGTGCAGGATTAATCCCAAGTGGTGAAATTGACAATCCAAGGGGCATCAGGCTGAATCGATTTTTGGGGTAGAATTAGAAGGCCTGTATGGGTGAAGCATAGTGCTGGGGTAGAGAGGAGTACAAAATGAGGTCAGAGATGTGATCAAGACCAGATTTCTGTGGGTCCAATTTAGGGACTATCTTTATTGCTTAATTAGCACCTAATTTAGCATTTAGCGTATAGAACCTAGACTAGCACCTAGACGTATCCTGACAAGAAAGTTGAATAAATGAATAAATGAAGTTTTTCTTGACTGTTGATGTAACCAAATCTACTCTATTTTTTTCAAATATTGACTGTTGTCAAAATCTCCCTTTGAGTGTGTTTAAGAGCTCCTTCTTCCCCATCTAGTCTCTAATTTCCTATTTCACCTCAAAGTTGTTTCCACTCACTCTGTTTCTAACCATTTATTCTCTAATTCTTTGCTTTTTATTCATTGGTTATGATACCTGTTTTCTGATTCTCTCACCTCTTCAAAATATCTGGAAGATTTTGACAATATCCATGAGTGCCTGTGGATAAAAAGTGTAGCCTTGGATCACCTATTTTCCTTCCCTTTAAAGATAAACAAAAGATAAACACAATTCATATATTGATATCTAAGATAAAAGTGCATTTATTTCACAATGTGTCAATATGATGTAGCTTTAGGAGATTAATAAAACATTTGTCAATATTCAATTCCATGAATTAAATTATCTACTCTTTTTATTCTGTTAAATGACATATTAAGCCAAAATGTATTTCTTCCCTTGATTTTAAAATAAAATAAGCTTATTTCTGATCACTTTTATTGGAAAGACATAAATTTTATGTATTCTGATTTTTTCTTAGACTTAACAACAACAACAAAAGACTCCAGCATTTTTATTTTTTTTTAATTCACTCTATGCCAGCAGGACATTTTTCAAGTGGAAGAGCCATGTCAATGGTGTGGGGGAGAGGAGTTTTTCAAAGACAGAACTTTTCGTTTGAAAATTAGTGACTAATGGAGCATATCCAGTAGGTATTTTTCATACAACTTAGCATCATCATTATATAATGATGCTGCTTTGATGTGAGATTAACTCAGGCACATGATTTTTCATCCAAAAGTATCAAGATCATAAAACAATGAACAGTGCAGTTATAACAAGAGAAAAAAAATTAGGATACATTTTTAAAAGAAAACTCAAAAAAGATGAAAACTTGAAGCAGCCTTGTTCTCATAAATGGTGCCAAGTCTATCATAGACCATAGACAAAGAGAAAATTATGAAAATGGAGAAAGGGACTCAGTAAAACAATGTGAGAATGGCATGTTATAGAGTTAAAATGAACCAGACTCAGTTTTTATTTTTGTTTCATAGAAAGTGTACACCAAATGAGAACTAAAGTTCAATGCACTATGTATCCTACCTCAATCCAACAGAGTCTCATAGGTTCTTAAACATAGGAGGCTTAACCTTTGGATTTTCATTCATGTAAGAAACTGCACATATTATCAATAGGAGAAAATCATCTAACATGACCAAACCTTGACTTGAAAACTCTTCTCATTCCTTTCCCCTGCAGATCCCTCAGTTGGCAAAGGGAATATTTTCCAAATGAGTGCTTATGATCTTGACAAAACCAACTAGAATCCAGTCAAATATAAGACATAAATTTACCTTACATTCACTTAACAGGTTTCAGTTTCATCAATATCTGACTTGATAATTGTAACAAACCTCTCAGATAGGATGGGAGAACTTGTTACCACATTTGGGGGATTTGGTAACTGAATTGTAGAGAGCTGAGTTACGGGTCCAGAGACTCATAACCAGAAAGTGATGAATCTGTGGACTAACACCTTGACAACTGTGAGTTCCACCCTTAATGCCTCTTAGTGAACAATCCCTCTTAGTTAAAAATCAGCCTGTGGTCACTTCAGTTTGAGCCCTTGTTTGAGTGACTCCACTATAAATCAACCCTTAACCAAAAAGGAAGGCAGCAAGCTTGCAGAATTAAAGTCTCAGGCTGGGACAGTTAAGTCAGGAAAGCTCAAAGGACATTGTCATTACACTACAGAATGTATAGACTTCTATGTACCTTAGTAGGGTTTGAACCTGCTTCAATTATTGCCATCAGGCCCTGACTTCGTCAAACATCTATCACTTTACAGTACACATTGCATTCTCTGCTACACGTTTAAACATAAGCTCTTTACCAAAACAAACCTGCTGGAAGTCCCTCTGTACTTGACATTACTTGAACTAATTATGGTATTTCAACACAGCTCCAGTAAATGTGTTGATAGACATATCATAGCTTATAAACACATCTATTGGAATGCTAACCATGGTTACAAAGCAGATTATCTTATTTAAAGACACTGGTTTTAAAATTTAGACATTTAATTTAATTATCTTTTCCCAGAAGTATATAAGGAAATCAGAAACCTAGTGTGAATAACATTATCTTCACAGAAATGAAAACTTGCAAGAGCATTTTTTGCCACAAACTCAATAATTTTAGTATAATCACTAACTATGTTTTTGTTTTACAGAACCAGTATGATTTGGAAAAAGAATAAAATTGCTTTTAAAGTACAAAAATAATTATGAACCACTTCAAACGTAATGTCTGTGTTTTATTTCTCATCAGAATTCATTAGTGTGTAGCATCAATAATTTAGCCCATCATTTGCCAACACTGACTTGGCTCAGTAGTTCAATCATGTAACCCTGTAAACTCACTTTCCATTAAAATGAATGTTGCTGACAAAGGATAACTAAAGAGATACTTCATTTATTAACTAAAGAGGTACTTCATTTATCAACATTTTTAAATTAGGAGTTTGGGGCCACAGAAGCTTAGCTGGATGATTTATTTGAAAGATCTTTATATTAGACCTGAAGACTTGCTCCAAATCATACGATGCAACCCACGAAGACAATCGCATTTCATTTGTGTACTTGTGACTCAGGGTTCTCTCTTCGGCAGCAGGCATAGCCACCTGCAGAGAATCAAATGACCTATCAGGATGAAAACTTGACTGTGTAGTAGAAAATTATAAAATGTACAGCATTCTTCTATATCCTGATTTACTCTGTTGGGCATATTTCTTACAAAATCTATAATTTGACAACTAATATTGTAATATCCTAATGTTGTTAAAAATTGATTTGAAGCATTAAGTAAACAGGCTAAAATTAGTTAATGATGAAGGTAAGGCTCCCTAATATTAACAACATGTACTTTAGTATGTTCAAATTTCTCATCGTTTGCCCCTGACCTATACTTTCCCTGATACAAATGCCTATAGATGTTACCCCCACTGTTTTGAGCAAGATAGTTTCATTTTCCAGAACTGATCCCACCTTCTGCTGCTATGTTAACATCACACCATTTTGGATGCAAAAAGCAAACAAACAAATAAAAACATCTGCAATGCAGTGAGCAAAACATGAAATCAAAATTCCTCATATATGTCAAAATTTTTATCTCCTAGGCTTTTAAACATATGATTTCTAGCAAATACCACAAGACTGCATGATCAGATCCTTCCTTGCTTCTTCTGTAATAAATTAAATGCATGTTCTTATTAAAACCTTTTTGTACAACAAGGAGGATCTCAGCATTCAGCCTCTAGAGTTGCCAGCTGGCATCTTTCCCTGTCTTGGATCAAAAAGTTCTCAGCCAGCTGATTCATTCAAAAGTCAAAATCCAGGGCTGAGGTTGGATTATGAAATGTTATCTTTACTGTATCAAAACGGCTTCTTTTTCTCTTATTTCATCTCTTTCTCTTTAGCTTTCCTTCCTTCCTTTAGAAATATTTATCCTGGAAGATTCTAAATAAGAATGATCCTACAGAAATGTTTTCTCCTGCCTCCCCTCATCTTTTCTTTGCCTTATAAAAGTTCAGATGGAAAAAACAGTTCTTTCTAATATTATGAGCAGGGAATTACTCATCTCACATGACTTGTTAGTAGAATTCTGTAGTCATTTTGTGAAGAAAGGAAGCTGCGCTGCACCAATGCAGACAGCAGCCAGGGGTCTACGGTGAGTTCCAGCATCATTGCCTTGGCTCATGTTTCTACAGTACTTTATATTTTCAATTTGTGCTTATTTTAACTTGGGCCTCACAAATAACCCTGGAAAGAAGATTTTGTTAGGTCCATTTTGTAGATAAATTAATTAACTCAAATAGTGTAAGTGATTTCCCAAGGCCACTTACTTACAGCAATAATTTTACATGATTTATTATCAGAGGGGAGAAGAGGCAAAGTGATTTTTCTGTAGTAAACCTGAGGTTTGTGGATTTCATTTCGTATGTTTTTAACTTATTGTGGAAAACATGTCACAATCATGGCATCTGTTAAACTAAGTGGTTGTATAATACGATATGATGTATTATCCAGGCTTAAAGCATTGTGAGAGAAAACACTTTATGCTGTATTTCTTAGTTACGTAAAAAATAAATAAATAATTAGTTTAAAATTTGCAAAGAAAATTCACCAGAATGCACTTAAATTTACCATACACATGTAGAAATACAAGACATGAAAATAAATATATGGATAGCCAGGATCTTAGCCATTGAATTCCTCTCCCACACATTTGACTTCATTAAATAGAAACATTCTGATTGTTTTTATCTTTCTCACTTAAAAATATTTGTAAAATTTAAAAATAGAAAAATAGAAGAATGTACATAACTCAATTTTCAGGCAAAACAAAATGAAAAAATGTGTAGTGTTAGTTATAGGCAAAATTTTTCTAAAGACCTTTTAAATATGTATCAGGAATGGACCATGATGGCTAGCACATGGATTTTAAAAAGACACTTGGAGGAAAACAGTAATATAAGCCTTTTATGAGAAAACAGAATAGAGACTATGTTTGCAGTTAAGTAGTACCTGTTCTGGAATACCTTAAGATAGTGAAAACTTATACAAATTCCAGTTGACCTAAAGAGATTATGTAACACTAAGAAAATGTGAATAGAAACCAATCAGCAAATTCATAAGACACAAATTATAAGGGCTAAGTGAAATATATAATGAGTTTACCAAGTTATACACAGACAAGTTATTTCTAAAAATCCTGAATATGTTGAGACATGACAAAGATCTGGGAGTGTATGTGTGTGTATGTGTGTGTGTAATAGAAACTTTTCATTAATTTAATAAATACTTATCAAATATCTGTGTAGGCATTTATAAAGATACAGACAGATATAAAGATGAACCAGATTCAGTTCCTGCTAAGAAAAAATTCTAGTCTATGATAGAAAAAATCAGCTAAGAGGCAATGTCAATATAGTATGATAATTGCAATGACAAAGAAAAAGGCAGAGGTGGGAAGATTTTCCATACAAAAGACAAACAGAGTACTAAGACCTAGACCTGAAAGAAATCTACACATTACTGGAATTAAAATATCTACATATGACTCTATAGGAGTACAATTGGGCTTTAGCTATGGGTGAGTGTGAAGAGATAACAGGAGCTTAATCTTGCAGATGGTTGTGTGGCATGCAAAGAAGCTTCAACTTCATCCTGAGGATATAGGGGAAGAAGCAGAGGAGTGGAAATTGATGTAAAGAAAAAGAGGGAGATGATAACATTTGAGTTTTTGAAAGATTGCTTAGACTGATATGTGGAAAGTAGAAGCTTGGATGGGGAGATGAAGGGGATGGAAATGGAGTAGAGGTTTCATGACTGGAACTGAGGAAATTGATTAAGGTGCTCTTGCAGGAACTCAATTTGGACAGCTAGCATCCTGAAATGATGTAATGTCACTGGAGATAAAGAAGGGTATTTGAGAGATAGCAAAGGAGTATGAGTGACAAGACTTTTTTTTTTAAGTGGATGTAGCATTTAGTTTCTAACATAGATATTTCTTTTACCTTTCCATGAATCCTGGCTTGGAAATTCAACAAAACACTGTCTTACACCATTCATTCTTTTCTTCCCTCCTTTTTTATTAAACAAAAATTGTTAACACTACTGAGTTTGGGGAAAGAGATAAAATGTGAAAGGAGACAGATATCTCTTTTGCTCCTGGGGACTGTCTGATACTGCTTTCTGTTCCTTTGAAGTCATTTCCATCACTACCTCCCAATTCTCTCTGCGTACCTTCAACTCTCTTATCTCATAAAAGAGAGAATATTCTTCCTGCTTCTATATATCCAGGCATTGTTTTTTCATACTTCCACCATGGCAATTGATGTATTAAGTTGTAACAGCTTGAATTTATTTCCCCAGACAGACTGGAACCCTAAAAACAATACCATATTCAGCTTTATATTCCCAATAGAGCCAAATACAATGTAAAATGCATATTATTTGAAATACATGCCAAATATATACATATAGCATTTTTATGATATATACCTACAACATGTGTATATGATACATACATATCTTCTTCAGAAGTCTCTAAAACCCTTGTAAGAAGGGTTCATGATTTATTCATCATCATACCCTGTGGAGTGCTTAGAGGGCATACGTTTTAATAGGTTTGCTATAAATATTTGATGAATAAAATGGACAGTTCTATCAAAGGATTACCTGAGATAGTATTCAGGAAATAATCTGGTATTGAGTTAATTAATGAAAAAAATGAACCAGGGCAGCATTAGGAAAATATCAGATTTCATTTATTCACACTTGAAGAACTTTTTTTATAAAACATACCCAAGAGTCAGTGCATTTTTAAAGGCAAGTAGGGACACCGTATTGTTTAAAGTCATATTTGAAAGCTCTCTTGTGTATTTATTTTTCTGCTTCCAATCTACCTGTGAGGCTAGGGAAAAAAAATCAAGAAATTGTATGAATCCAAAAAGTCATGAGATATATGTGAAAGGAAGCTTATGCATTAACATCTCTAGAAGTCTGAATGTAAAGAAAACTTCTGTTATCATTTTGCCCTTATTCATGTTATTATTTACAAGTAAATATATAATAACAAAGCCAAAATAAGGAAGTCCATTGAAAAACAATGTCAAGGCTGCAGATATTAACAGTGAAAAATTGTGTCACAACATTGTTTTATAAGAGAAAAGAAGAAAAAGTATCTAGGTGTGTATGAGCTAAATGGGGTTCCTTCTTTTGTTATTAAGTGTAACATTTCTAAAAGAACATTTCTGTTCATCATTTTTAACTTTGGTAACCAACTACTTTTTGAGTGTCAAAGATGAGTTCAGGAATGGGATAAATGTTTGTCCTATATTATTATTATTGGAACCTTCAGTTCACCAATGGTAAGGAACACACAGGCTGTATTTGCAATTGACTTTGGAACTTGGTAACAGGAAGAGGTTGGAACAGTTTGGAAGGCTCAGAAGAAGATAGAAAAATGTGGAAAGTTTGGAAATTCCTAGAGACTTGGAGGGCTCAGAAGATAGGAAGACATGGGAAAGATTGGAAATTCCTAGAGACTTGTTGAATGGCTTGGACCAAAATGCTGATAATGATATAGACAATGAAGTCCAGTCTGAGATGGTCTCAGATGGAGATGTTGCACTTGTTAGGAACTAGTGCAAAGGTCGCTCTTGTTATGCGTTAGCAAAGAGACTGGCAGCATTTTGCCTCTGGCATAAAAATCTGTGGAACTTGGAACTTGAGAGAGATGATTTAGGGTATCTGGTGGAAGAAATTTCTAAGTGGCAAAGTGTTCAAGAGGTGACAGAGCATAAAAGTTCGTAAAATTGGCCAGGCATGGTGGATCACACCTGTAATCCCAGCACTTTGGGAGGCCGAGGCAGGCAGATCATGAGGTCAGGAGATCTAGACCATCCTGGCTAACATGGTGAAACCCCATCTCTACTAAAAATACAAAAAATTAGCCAGGCATGGTGGTGGGTGCCTGTAGTCCCAGCTACTCGGGAGGCTGAGGCAGGAGAATGGCTGAACCCAGGAGGCGGAGCTTGCAGTGAGCCGAGATCATGCCACTGCACTCCAGCCTGGGCAACAAAGCGAGACTCCATCTCAAAAAAAAAAAAAAAAAAAGTTTATAAAATTTGCAGCCTGACAATGTGGTAGAAAATAAAAACACATTCCCTGGGGAGAAATTCAAATCTACTACAGAAATTTGCCTAAGTAATGAAGAGCCAAATGTTAATCATCAAGACAATGGGGAAAATGTCTCCAGGGCATGTTAGAGACCTTCACAGCAGCCCCTCCCGTCACAGGCCTGGAGGCCTAGGAGGGAAAAATGATTAATGGACTTGGCCCAGGGCCCCCCTGTTCTATGTGGCCACATAGAAAGAACATGGTGTCCTGTTGCCCACCTGCTTCAGCTCCAGCTGTAGCTAAAAGGGGCCAAGATACAGCTCAGGGCATTGCTTCAGAGGGTGCAGACCCAAAGCCTTGGTGGCCTACACATGGTGTTGGGCCTGCGGGTGCACAGAAGTCAAGAATTGAGGTTTGGGAACTTCCACCTAGATTTCAAATATATGGAAATACCTGTATGTTCAGGCAGAAGTTTGCTGCAGGGGCAGAGCCCTCATGGAGAACTTCTGCTAGGGCAGTGCAGAAGGGAAATGTGAAGTTGCAGCACACTCAGAGTCCCCACTGGGGCACTGCCTAGTGGAGCTGTGAGAAGACAGCCACTGTCCTCCAAACTCCAAAATGGTAGATTCACCGACAGCTTGCAGCATGTGCCTGGAAAAGCCACAGGCACTCAATGCCAGTTCATGAAAGCAGCTGGGAGGGGGGGCTGTACCCTGCAAAGCCACAGGGGCGGAGCTGCCCAAGGCTGTGGGAGCCTACCTCTTACGTCAGCATGACCTGGATATGAGACATGGAGTAAAAGGAGATAATTTTGAAACTTTAAGGTTTAATGACTGCCCTATTGGATTTTGGACTTGCATGGGGCCTGTAGCCCTTTTGTTTTGGCCAATTTGTCCCATTTGGAATGGGTGTGTTAACCCAATGCCTGTACCCCCATTGTATCTAGGAAGTAACTAACTTGCTTTTGATTTTACAGGCTCATAGGTCAAAAGGACTTGCCTTGTCTCAGGTGAGACTTTGGACTTGAACATTTGGGTTAGTACTGGAATGAGTTAAGACTTTGGGGGACTGTTGGAAAGGCATTATTGTGTTTTGAAATGTGAGGACATGAGATTTGGGAGGAGCTGGGGCAGAATGATATGGTTTGGCTTGGTGCCCCACCCAAATCTCAATTTATAGTCCTATAGTCTTCATGTGTTGTGAGACCAACCTGGTGGAGATAATTAAATCATGGGGGTGGCTCCCCACATGCTGTTCTCATGATAGTGAGTAAGTTCTCACAAGATCTAATGATTTTATAAGGGGCTTCCCCCTTCATTTGGCACTCATTCTCTCTCCTGCCACCCTGTGAAGAGGTGCCTTCCACCATGATTGTAAGTCTCCTTAGGCCCCACCAGCTATATGGAACTGTGAGTCAATTAAACCTCTTTTCTTTATAAATTACCCAGTTTTGGGTATTTCTTCACAGCAGCATGAGAAGGAACGAATACAAGTTAAACTATTAAATTTATAATAATAAAAAGGGATGCTCCTGTGATATCTCCAGATTATCCCTTAAGGCAGAATTATTTCAGTAGGATTACATACCAGCATATTACCTTCAAGCATAGGTTAACATAGGTAATAACTGAGTAAAAAAAGAATAAATTAATGAATAGATTGTAAAACAATTGCTCCTGGCAAAATAAATAAGTCTAATTTTGCAGACTATTTTTTTTCTTTTGACAAAACAAATACATCTGTAGTATTGGAATTCTAGAGAAATGTATAGTGGATTATGAGTCTTGTACTAAGAAGATACTCCTGGGCTAGAAAAAAATATGTTAGAAGACATCAGCATATTAGTGGTAACTGAAATTATGGGGAAGGTATTCAGCTGTAACATAGGAAAAGGTATTAGCTATAGAAGTCTAAAACTCTGTGTTGATCACAATTATGCCTAAGTATTATAGATTAATTTTTTACCTTTTAATATGCTTCCTTTGAAGTAGTATGTCTCCAATATTTTCCTAAAATTACTAAAAATAATTTTTTCATCTAAAGTTTAATCTTACCTGTTAAACTGGGCCTATTACTAACTTCAAGTAGCTGAAGTTGTAAGGAACTCACACACTGGGGCCCCACACAGCCATATCACCAGTTTCTGTAACTGTAACTGTTGGAAACTCTTGGGTAACTGTAACTGTTGGAAACCAGGAAATGTTTTTAAAAGTACTACTGAAAGTAAACGAAATCGAATGAGACATCCACATCCAGCCAAAATGAAGTAACTAGAGTCATATTTACCTGCCTGCCTAAAATAACCAATCACTGAACAAAGCATATGGAACAATAGTTTTCAAGCCATTGGTCATCAGTTAAGAAATGAGTGATCCCACAAAGAAATGAAACAAACAAGATGAACCCTACAATTTTCCTATCTTGCTGGCTTGAGAGACTTTACAAATCATGGTGCAGGTGGGAAGAATAGAGGCAGAGTCCAGCAAATTATGTGAATTGAGTAAATGGAGCTAAGGGTTCAAGGAGAATAAGGCAGCTAGGATTTACAAGACACAGTATCAGGGATGAAAGCCTTGCAGATTCTCTCTGGAGGTTTACAGAAGTCTCCCTTGGATAACCTTTTAAGCAGCAAATGCTTCTAAGAAAACTACCCAAGTTTTCTACTCATGAAAAGAGTCATCCAAAATATTAGTGGAAATAGTATCTGGTTGTTACATATGACATGTTTGTATCTAAGAGAATGAAAAAGCTTATGATTTGTGGAGAGTTGGGTACAATCCTCAGAAAAGTCTTGCCTCAGTGGTAGGGATTAATTAGCCGTATGCTAACGTAATTCTATTCCCACCTAACAAATTTTGAAAGCAAGGCTTAAAAGGATCAAACTATTTTCAAGTAACCTCACTGCATGCCACAACAAATCTGAAAACTATATATATAGGAATATGAAAATATCTAGCACCAAGGAAGGTAAAATGCACAATGTATGGCATCCAAGGAAACATCAAATCCAGGAATGCAAAAAATACCAGAAAAGTACAACCAATTAGGAGAGAAAAACCAATCAATTAAAACTGACACAGAACTGATAAAGAAGTTAAAATTAGCAAACAAATACATTAAACAGTTATAACAGTATCCCATATGTTTATAAATTAAGTAGAGACATTGAAGATATAAAAAGGACCCAATTGAACTTCTAGAAATAAAGCTTACAATGCCTGAGATGAAAAATACATAGAATAAGATTAGTGGCAGATTTAATATTGCCTAACAAAAAAGGCTGGTGAATTTGAAGACATAGCAATAGAAACTGTCCAAAATGAAAGAAAGAAATAGTTTTAAAAATGAAGAACACCAGTTAGCTGTAAGATGTCATCAGTCAACCTAATAAATGTGACACTTGAGTCTATGAAAGAGAAGAAAATAAAGAGAGAACAGAAAAATATTTAAAAAATCATGGTTAATTTTTTCATCTGTAAACTAAACTGTAAACAAAGAAATAGAGAAATCTCAAGAAACCCCAACCTCAAGATATGTAAGAAACTATACCAAGGCATATCGTAATGAAATTACTCAAAACCAGTGATACAGAGAAAAATCTTTAGAAGAGCCAGATAAAAATAGACATGTAATGTGCCGACGAACAAAGATAAGGTTAACAGCAGATTTCTCATAAGTAACAATGCAAATGAGAAGAGAGCGGAGTAACATATTTAAAGTAATGGGGAGGGAAAGTCATTCTAGCATTTTATACACAGTAAAATATCTTTCAAAATAGGGCAAAACGAAGACTTTTACAGACATACAAAAGTTGAAAATAGTCATCACCAGCAGACCTGCACTACAAGAAACGTTAAATGAAGTCTTTCAGGAAGAAGGACAAAATGACACTAGATAGAAATACAGGTCTCCTGAAGCGAATGATTGGCTCCCAAATGATAATGACATGAAGGAATATGTGATTATTTTCTTATTTTTAAAACACCTTTAAATGACAATTGACTGGTTATGCAACAAATGACAATATATTGAATAGTTTATAAAATATGAATAAGTAAAAAGTATGACAATAGCATGAAACCAACAGAGAATAAATGTATTATTATCTGGTTTTATACCGTTTTTTAAATGATATAATATCACTTGCATTCAGATTGCAAAGAAGTAAAATGGTCATTATTAGCAGGTAACATGCTTATCCATATAGAAAATGTAATTAAGTCTGCAAAGAAGCTCATAAGCTAACAAGTGAGCTTAGTAAGTTTGCATAATATAGCATCAATGTGCTAACAGTGATTGGATGTTGAAACTAAGAAGACAATGCCTATACAATAGCATCAAAAATGTGAAGTAATTTATACTTCTGTGCCACAAAAGAAAATTAAACTACATTTCTGAGAGAAATTAAAGAAGTCCTGAATAAATCAAGATGTACCTCATTTCTCAGTCAGAAGACTCAATATTGTTAAAGTGCCAGTTTTACCCAAATTGATCTAAAGATTCAACACAATCTGAATCGAAATTCCAAGACGCTTTTTCATAACAATTGAAAAGTTTGTTTTAAAACCCACAAGGAAATGGAAAGGACATAGAATAGCCAAAACAACATCATAAAGGAAGTACAAAGTTAAATGACTTACAATACCTAATTTCAAAATTCATTATAAAGTTACAGTAACCAAAAAAATGAGGCATTGGATCAAAATATATCAATAGATGAATAGAACAAAATAGCGGACACAAACATAAGCCCACATTTATGAAAACCTGATATTTTTACAATGTTGCAAAGACAAATTATTGAAGAAAGAATAATTTCTTCATGAAAAGGTGCTGTTAAAATTGCATATCTATGTGAAAATAAATAAAATTTCACCATTACCTTGGACAATATGCAAAAATTAACTCAAAATCATAATCCTAAACATAGAATCTAAAATTATAAAACTTCTAGATTTTAGGGGAAGAATACCTTTATGAACTTGGGATTGGCAAAGATGTCTTATGTACAGCACCAAAAGCACAAGAATAAAATAATAAATTGGATTTTATCAAAATGTAAAACTTCTGACCTTCTAAAGACACTGTTAAGGAAATGAAAAACTGGTCACACATAGGAAGAAAATATTTGTAGGGGATATATCTGATAAAGGACTTGTATCCAGAATATAAATGTTAAAAAAAGAAACTTTCAAAACTCAATTATTAGGTAAATAGATACTCACAAAAAGAAAAGGGCAAAAGATTTGAATAGACAATTCACCAAAGAAGATATACAAATGGCAAATAAGTAGATGCAAAGCTGCTTAACAGCACTGGTCATTTATGAAAGGCAAATTAAAACCACAATGAGATACCACTACACACCTATTTGAATGGCTACAATTAAAATACTGATCATATTAAAAGTTGGCTAGGATGGTAAGAAACTAAAACTCTCATACACTGCTTGTGGGAATATAAAATGGTACAACCACTGTAGAAAATATTTTGCAGTTTCTTAGAGTTAATGCATATTCTATAATCTGGCCATTACACATCTTGTTGTTTTCTCAAACCTAGCAATTTCTGATCGTGACTGCTTTGTTATTGTTATGTTCCTGGTTGTACATACCTCTATAAAGATCTTCTTTGTAAGTCCCCTCGGCTATACCAAAGGAGAATGGCACTTTTCTTATGTTCCCCCAACCTGAGACATTATAATAGACAGATAAAAGAAAGACACTCTTTAGGAGGCCGAGGCGGGCGGATCACGAGGTCAGGAGATCGACACCGTCCTGGCTAACGCGGTGAAACCCCGTCTCTACTAAAAATACAAAAAAATTAGCCGGGCGTGGTGGTGCGTGCCGGTAGTCCCAGCTACTCCGGAGGCTAAGACAGGAGAATGGCGTGAACCCGGGAGGTGGAGCTTGCAGTTAGCTGAGATTGCGACACTGCACTCCAGCCTGGGTGACAGAGCGAGACTCTGTCTCAAAAAAAAAGAAAAAGAAAAAGAAAAAAAAGACACTAACAAAAAAAACAACAAAAACAGCAAAAAAAAAAAAAACCCAAAAAACCACAACGATCCAAAGTTACTATTCCTCCCTGTATTTGTTAATAATTATTATAATTCAATTCAGCAAATCTATATTAAATACCCACAAGAGACCATGCACCGGACTAGGTTCTAAAATATAAAGATGATTGCATACAATTTCTGTCCTTGGGGAGCATGTGATTTGTGAATAATTTGAGGATCAGTATATAGAAACTTTTGTAGAAAATAACAAAGTGATCATTCATTGTGTTCTCTGTAATAACCATATATTTCATTCATAGTCTTGATACTTTTAGGTCTAAATATTTTGAATGAATATTTGTCAAATGATATTTCTCTGTCTTAATACTCATTTCAAAGCAATCAGAATGAAGAGAGTTTGAAGAAAAGTGGTGGATAAGCCATACTGACATAACAGTAAAATTCAAATTCACAAGCAGAGTTATTTTGTTGCATTTTAGGGCAAATTTAAGAGATTTTACCTAACTGAGAGTCAACCATCTACAAGGTTAGCTCATCAACAGTGTCACATTTATTCTCATGAGTAAAAATTATTTGAGGGCCTCTGATGAGCACAGAGCCTCCCTAGAAGTAGGTTACATGGGAATTTCAGTGGTGTGAGGAACAAGGCTGTACCCAAACACGAGATTTTTCTTGATGCCTATTCCAAACACCAAGTGTAATATAAGGAAGTATAGTTCATAAATGGCACAAAATGAAGCAAACTTTATGGTCAAGAGACAATTATCCTAAAGCTTTTAACATAAAGAAAGATAATTCAGTCACAGACTATGTAAAAGTTAAAAAAAAATTAAAGCAAACACTTAAAGCCCACTTAAAATTGGGCCCAATTAAACTAATACCTGGAATATCTAAGCTTTTTTGCTCTCAACATTAAAAACTGTGTAATATCACATTAAAAATATAAAAGAAGTTATAGTCGTCTCTGCATGAACATGGTAAAAACAAGACACAAACATCAGCAATACGAGATCTGCTCCAAAAAAACCCAAATTTGTAGGAATTTTAGAAAGCATGCACCTTTAGATTTAGGTCATTTCCTGCCAAATAATTTATTTGGTTAGGCCTCTTAAGTGCTTCAATATGTTAAGCCATGTGGCCTTCTCCAAATTGTGCTTACACAGTTACTAAAGTGAAAGCTCATATTGAGCTGAAACACCTTAGTTTTTAAATTGTTGAAATTCAAAGATAATATGTAGGAAAATTAAATATGTAACAAAAGTAAACAAATATGTTTATGTAACAAAATTTTGTTTATGTAACAAAATTAAAATGCAATGCTAAATTGTTTTGTATAAGCCTCTTTTCCTAGTCAAACTTCATGTAATCAGCAATCTAAAGTAAATCAGACAAATAATTGACAACTTAAAGTTTCAAACTTGGGGAGTATGTTCATATTCACAAATGTGTATTTCAGAAAACTCACGTGAGATTATTAAGTAATGTGACTGTTAAATATTCTTATATATGCAAGTCGTTTCCCAGTCATAATGAGGTCTAAGTATCCTTATATTGCTAACAGCTTTAGAACTGCCTTCACTGCCTTCAGGACATATAGCCTACAATTCCAAGCATATACAGCATTGACAAATCTCTGATTTGTGTGGGTTCAATTTTTGAAACAATCAAATTCACAAACAATGAGTAAAATGAATGACTAGCTAGAATATTATTTGTATTATTCTGTTTTCATGCTGCTGATAAAGACATACCCCAAACTGGGTAATTTATAAGGAAAAAAAAATGTTTAATGAACTCACAGTTGCACGTGGCTGGGGAGGCCTCACAGTCACGGCAGAAGGCAAAAGGCAAATCTTACATGGCAGCAGGCAAGAGAGAATGAGGGCCAAGCCAAAGCGGAAACTGCTTATAAAACCATCAGATCTAGTGAGATTTATTCACTACCATGAGAACAGTATGGGGGAAACCACCCCATGATTAATTATCTCCCACTGGGTCCCTCCCACAACACATGGGAATTATGGGAGCTACAATTCAAGGTGAGGTTTGGGTGGGGACGCAGCCAAACCATGTCGCTATTTTTGTTTCAAGTTGTGAGCAGGAAACTTCCCAACATAGCTATAAAGTTGGTTATGAAGATGGTGCCTACGCAAGAGCTGTAAGAACACATTGGGGAAAAAAACCATAAACCTTCCAAATAGGATGTGTAAGTACATATTGTGGCTAACTGAAATGAAATTTTATAGCCACATCTCAATTAATATGTACTACAGACATGGTGATTCTTTAAAATAGGCCCATCAGTGCCTCCCCATCACTTACAGCAGATAATCTTGGTGTGCAGTATCTGTCATCATCTATTTTCTATCTGCCTTTCCAAATATATCTTTAGCCATGCTCTGAGTTCTGAACACTGATATATTTAATGATTCCCTAAATAGATCCGTGCTTTTCCATCTCCGGTCTCATCTTTCAAGGACCAGCTTACACATCATCTCTTTTATTAGATTTCCCTAAACTTCCAGCCAGAAGTGGTATTTCTCTCCTCAAAACCACCACTTTTCTGTGACCATATCACATCCTGTGTTGTGATAAACTAGTTATTTCCACATCCCTTGAGGCCAAACCATATTTTGTGCTCTGGTTTACTGGGGGTAGGGGGATCCTTCCCTGAAAAAAAAAATGTGTGCTACTTTTCCACTTTAAGCCACAATATCTTCCACTGTGCCGGGAACAATGCCTCAGAAATAACAGAGGCAAATAAATGTTTGTTGCATGAATATATGAAAGAGAAAGGTGACTTACAATGTCCATACAAGGTTTGAAAAGTAACTACGAGATCTCATTTTAACTAAATTCTTTTTCTGCACATCACTACAATTTTCCCAAATATATCTGGTTGAATCTTAATATGTTGTGTTACCTGATAAAAGATCAAGTGGACAATAAATTTCAGAAGTGCTGAGTTTTAAAATGTTAAGCGGGATTTGTTTTTTGAAATTTCAGAATATCTGTAATCATACCATAGTGCTTTGTATCTCTTGAAAAAGTGGAATAGAATATTCAGTGTTTACAACATGTTTTGCCACAAAATATTTGCTCTTTCTCAAGAAAACACAATGGGGCTACTCTCTGCTGATTGTATTCTGAGAATCAAAACACAAGTAGGATTAAACTCCTGCTAATTAATTTAGTAATAAGTCTAGAAATAGAAAAAATGAAGTATTAATAGTATACAATTTTATTTATAAGAATAATTTAAGGAAAGGTTGCCACTCATGTTGAATTCTAGGAAAAAAAAGAAGCACTAGTTTCCTAAAAGAAAAAAAATAGGACCTATTATTATCCACAGATTTAATTGTTTCCCCCCAAAACTGAGCAAGATCACGGAGCATGATCATTTGTTCAACAGGGAATTCGTGTGAAATTTTCTTTATTAACTGGCTGGAATAGGATACTTGAAATATTTTTCTCCCTTAGAGTATATTGGTTTAGGATAAGTAGTCCTCTTTTTAAACTATCACTTTGTTATATATAAAATGAAAGGATCACTTTCTCTCCATCATTTGGCATGTTGTCAAAGATGTGATTATTTTCCTCTCTAATCTAAATAACCTCACACCATGTTCCCTGAAAGGCAACCTCATCATTCAGCTTCATGATTCTCCTTCCAATATCCCCTAACTTCAGCACAAAGGCCTGCAGCTAGCTGCTTTGGTCTCTGAATTTCTAACTTACTTTTTTGGAAATCTGATAATATTTGAAATACCAGTTAAAATCTGGCAATATAATGTTTCTTATGAATGCTTCCCCACCAAAAATCTAATAACATTGCACAAAAAAAAAGACAAAGTAACAATTTTCTTTCTTCAAAACCACTCAGCTATGCAATCTTGAGTTCTTTTAGACCTTCAGAAGGTATGATCAGTATGCATAGGAAAAGTCATGTCTCTTACTTAACTTTGCAAGAGTGCACTGCGAAGCATTAATAGCAGCATTGCTGTGTTAATAAACTTCAGTCAAAATGCTTTGGGAGATAATTTGATTAAAAAAAAAGAATAAAAAACACCAAAGCTGAAATATAGCTTTTATAAGCTGCAAGATCAATTCACCATGTGCTTTTTTAATCAACTGAAATATATACATTTAAACAGAAAACACAGATGACTTAACATTCTCCCATATCATGTCAGTCAGCATGACTAGTTTCTCATAATTTTTTTTTTAGAAAACTCTCTTGTGCTCTGACTTATGGGGAAAAAAACTTTCCATGAAAAATGTGTGCTACTTTTCCACTTTTGGCCTTGTATGTGCTTCTTCTCTGCCTTAATTGCAGTATAAATCAACTGTAAAAGAAGATTTACAGTGATTATGCCTCACTTAGAGAGCTGCGAAGATTGATCTGGAAGTGGTATGTTTTTCAAGCCCCAGGTCTACTTTTCATCTTAGCTGGTTCTACACTGAATCCCAGGACATGTATGGCGATATTCAAAATGAAATTGATGTGAGAGGAGAAAGTTCTGGTGGGTCACTCTGTTCTCTGTGTTCTCACTGAATATACCTAATCACTTACCCTTCCAAAACACTGGGGCAAAAGACTTTACAAACCATGTGAACTTCAAACTCATTTACTACATTAGGAGAAAAGATGACCATAACTACTGAGTGGATCCTATATATCCTCCCATTTTCTCTTTATGTGATCAACTGGGTGGGATGGCAACAGAAACAGAAATCTTCCTGTTTTGAGTAGATGAATTATTAACACTGTCATCAATAACTTATTAAGGAAGGGCTATATTCAGGTCATTGTAGTAGTTTTTTGAAGAGAGGTTCATCAATCCTTACTTTTATGAAGTTTGTTTTCTTTCTACTGGAAGTTTATTCCTTGATGTGATCACATCAAAGCAACACACGAACATAGAATTAAGAAACAAGTAGACATAATGTAGTATGTGCTTTCATATCTTTCCTCCTTCAAAAGTTCTGGAACATGTTGAATTTTGGTCTAAGCTCAGTAGCAGGACCTAACTTCCATACCTTTACCATCTGCACCTTTGCCCATACTGTTGGCATTCAGTCAAGTGTCACTCTTATCTAAAAGATGAAATAGCAGGTCTTTTAGCTTTCTTCTTGTTAGATTTCTTTGAAAGAGTCTTTTTTATAACTTAATTGCTTCATTTAAAAAGTGACCTCAGTGATTTCTTGATGAAAAGTAATAAAATCTCTAATAAATTATTAGGACAGCTGTTTGCTAACTTGCCAATATATCTCTTTTAAAAATGGGCTCCTCTTTCCAAACAACACTCCTGAAAGATCATGTTTTCCTGTTCAATTGTTCCCTACTTTTATCGTTTTCCTATAGCAGAAATCTCCTGTTGAATAGACAAGTGCCAAAGATTTTCACTCTCAGCTCATATGAGGACTCAGAAAGGAATGTAATCATACTTAAAAAATAAAGTATATTCTCAAATCTAGAAATTAGCTAGTAATTGAAATTATCATCACAGTGTTTTAACTGATGACCATTGAACTCTTTTCCGGCAAACGGCTCATAGAGCATTAATTGCATGTCACATTACAGATCTGCAGAGTTAAGTTCCATCTTGCCCTTGGTACTGTGAGGTCTAAAGCAACTTTGTAAGCGTCTTTCAGAATTAAAAAAAAAAAAAATCATTAAACTGCAGGAGTTCTATTAGGTCTGCTAAAATATGTGCCCCATTGTCCTTTCACATGTCATTCCCTGACCCTCAAAGCTCTATTACTGAGTTCCTACTGTATTTCAACACTGCTGAGGAGCTCTACCTCCTATGTCTCCCCAGAGCACCTCAAGAACGTTCTTAACACACCCCAGAAAATCATTTCCCACATAAAGCAAATCCAATGAGTTTAGAAAGGGAGGTTGATTCTGATTTCATTTTGTTCTGATCAATGTTTTGCATAAGGGGGACTACCTGGATCTTTTTCTTTTATAGTCCTATAAACATTTTAATTTATTATTTAAAATAACTCATATAACTGCTGGTCACAAAGCAGGAAGCAACAGACACTGGGGTCTACTTGAGGGTGAAGGGTGGGAGAAGGGAGAGGAGCGGGAAAAATAACTATTGGGCACTAGGCTTAGTACCTAGATAACTAAATAATCTGTACAACAAACCCCCATAAGGGAGAAAACGAGTTACAAAACAAAAAAGTTTACCTATATAACAAACCTGCACATGTACCCCTGAACCTAAAATAAAGTTAAAAAATAATAATAATAATTCATAATAGTGACTATACTAATATAAAAATAGAATCCTAATCTAGGAACAAAAAGTAAAATATTTTGTCTCTGGTATCAATCAGTAAATTATATTATGAGATCTAATATCTGCATTACGAAGTTTGCAAGAAGCAAAAAAAGAAAAGTTGATAAAAGTTAATGAAAGATATATTTTAATATATGACTATATGCTGACTTCATACAAACATTCACAGAATTATAAATCTTATTTTTCAAATTTCATTAATTCAAAAGGGGCTTCTTCTTTTTCTGTATAATTTATACAGGGCTTGGTTTGACCTTGGATCAATCATTTTGTTGATTTTCACCATGAAAAGATTTTTATTTCCCAAGCAAATACTAAAAACATAATATGAAAAAAAACTCTGCCAATTCAAGCAAATGGATTCTTTTTTAGTACTTTAGAAACACTCTTAAATATCCAGAATGTAATTGTAATGCTAATTTAAGATTAAGAGAATGTAAACTGGCATTTTATTATGCAAATTACACATCAATTGTAATTAGCTTTATTAAAGCAAGGCTTCATCTAGTTAAATTTTTCATACAAATTCAAAATTTAGATTCATTGTTCTTCCATTAGTCTATCTATATATTTATAATGGAGTGTGTGTTTCTATATAAAGACCCAAACATTTCGGATATGAAAGAGATAACGTTTGATTACTGACAGGTGTCTGAAGCCGGAACTCATGGATGCTGAATCCATCTACCATGCTCCTATCTGCACACTGAGTCATGCAGGTTATTAGTGCTGATCACAAAATAAAATACAGGTGGATTTTTCCTGTGTGTTGTCTTTTACTTCAAGGATCAAGGCTCAGTCACCGTCATTACTGTTGTGTGCTATCTCCAAATCAAGACCTAAGTTCTTACAAATACTAAAACATGGTTCTCTTTCCCAATAAAAAGAAAATTCATTCCTAGCCCATTAATTGAGCAAGTATTCTGTATATCTATGATATCCTCATTTCTGAATTAAAGATTTATACCACGTTTGACTATTCTCATAGGACTTCTTATATAACTTGACTGAATCCAATTATGAAATCCTTTAAAAGTAGGATGATTTTTTTCAGGCTTTATTCAGATGGATTTTTCAATGTTTCATTCTTATCTCTTATTTAAAATCTTTTTTTTTTCAGTTATGTTCCTATTCCTAGAAGAAAATGATATTTAAGTATCTTTCTTAAAAATAAACATAGAAGTATTTCCATCATCAAGAAATACATATTAACACATATCAAATATTTCAGTTGGAATTAATCACTTAGTTTTCATAAGACTATTTTATACCTGCTTAAGTATATAGCCTTATATCTCTACAAAATATGTTCATGATGGTATTGTGACATCCAGACATCCAGAGCTGGACCTTTTAAGGGATTATTTCACTTCTTGGGTAATTAAAGTAATGTAGTCTTTAGTGTAGAGACTATAAATAGCACTGAAGGGATGAGACGTATGATAATTACCCAAAAAACCGCTTATATGTATTATGGCTCAGTTATAACATGCATTTAGAATGGCAGCAGACCAAACCAATATTGAAAATCAGAGCACACAGTTACAGTACATATTCTTAATATCCAAAAACAAAAGTGAACTCTGCGTTTTCCTATCTACAAGAATAGTTTGAGAAAAATACTTTGCAATAGATAAACCTTAAGACAAAGGTCATCAAGAACTAACTTTTTATGTGTTGTTGCCTTTGCCCTTGTTTACATTTAGAAGAAGAAAACAGTGGGGATCCTACATTACTGCAGCATGTAGTTATAAATATATATTATACACATTTTATACACACATTTTACTAATTATTAAGTACCCTTCTGTATGTGTATATGTGTGCATGTGTGTTGTTTCTTTCCTTGCATTACAATGCAAACTCCATGAGGGCAAGAAATTTTCCTTTTTCCCTATTTATATAAATAAATATATTTGTTGAATAAATACGAACATCCAGTTGTTGAAGCACTATGAACAGAAGCCTAGTGACCATCATTATAATTTGTTCTTATCTAATAACCAAAATTTCACTTTCTCTATGTGACAAATTTGCCTAAAATCTTTGTAATGGGACAAGGATGATAGTGGGTAAAAGAATCTCTAAAGCAGTAGAATAATTTAATTGTCTCATTCACTCTCTACCTTAAAGTTAGTTGGACTTTAATTTTTAGAACTTACTAGATCATAGAGAAATCACTCTTCCTTGGGGTTTATACTGTTTGTCTCCTATAAAGGAGAATGTAATGGTGTTTGTCGTTATTTTTATTGTTGATAAGTTTTCCATGTGTATGATTTCATAATAATGCTCTGTTTTCTTAATTAATGAGTACTTATTGATTTTGTTTGTTTCTTGCTTCTGAACAGGAGGAATCTTCAAATTTAATGCAACACATCTTAGGTTTCTTCCAGACTTTGACAGATGGCACATGCGAAAACGATGGTTAAGCAAACAACCAATGTATCTTGGATGCTGAAATAAAAGACAAGAAAAGTCACACAGTTCAGATAACAGTGTAATTGGACATTCACCTGTTTGCCATTTCACACTTCCATGAACGAAAAACTCACTCACCTCCCAGCATGCTTTGCCACTCTTTTACTCACAGCAAATCCATAACAATGAAACAGGTGACTTTCATGCTGCTGTCAGGAACGATCTAATTTCAGCTCTGGGTGACTGATTGCAATTGGCTTTGCCTCATCTGATAATTAATCTATGTCACCATTAATTGGAAGAGAGAATAATTACTGGCGGTGTTGACAGTGACTGTTCGCTTCCCCAGATTTCCCTATCGTCTTGGCCCAAATAAAGGCTTTGCCATTCAGTACTTAAAGTTTGTGTAAACTGTAACAATATCTATGCCCATGTGACACTTTGAGACACTCTGTCTAATGTACTTTTGTTTTTGTGTTTACCAGTCTTTTTTAGCTCACTGAGAGCTGTCTCTCTCAATCACTCCTCAATGTTCTATCTTAATTTTGTGGAAGTTTAAAGTTTTCAATGAGCTGGAGATGAATGATTAATGAATAAATTTAAATGCTTCATTTTGTCCATGGATCATTAGTCAAGTCCTTTGTGGTAAGGACCTGAGAAAGGAGGGGAAATTATTGAGACATTAGCCTGAAGCAAGCTTGAGGTAAATATTATGCAAAAGAAGAGAGAGAGATGAAGACACACACACACACACACACACACGCAGAGAGAGAGAGAGAGATGAAGACACACACACACACACACAGAGAGAAAGAGAGAGAGAGAGATGGGGCAGGGGAGAGAGAGAAACAGAAAAAAGTGGGGCACTTTAAAGAACAACTTGAATGGCCTGGTGAAAGGCCTCCAGAAATTTTGAATCCCTGGCCATTCCCAGTTTAGTTTAATGGGTACATCTGGCCACTTGTTCCCCAATGCCTACAAAAGGGAAAACATGTTTCAGTTAAACTAATTGTTTACAGTATGTTGCTTAACTAGAGATCCAAATCTTTCTCCTACTCATTTACATAGAAGCTTTTGTTTTCAGAACCTGCCACAAACTGTGACACTGCATATTTTATAGAAGAATAATCACTGGTCGTAATAAAAATGTGGAAAGTAAAGATCTCTGGCATTTTATATATTTATCTTTAGAGCAAATGATCCTAGGCCTGGAAATAAACTTTTTTAACATTTCTCTACTTTTAAGAGGGTCTTTCACCCTAAAATAACTTTTAGGAAACTACAACAGCAACATTTTATTTTGCTCATACTGCCAAATTTTATGAGTACAATTACTGATCTTTACCTCAATTTATTTCTTCAAATGGATATACATGAACAAAACAATAGCAAAAGCTTTGTCTCCATAAACTTATTACAAACACAATAGCTAAAGGCCTCACTTTATGTTGACCTCACTCCCAAAGTACTATATAGCCCAATGGTATGTCAACATTTAAGGATAATATTGTGCTGAATAAAATATCTAAGGGCCCTCCAGTATATCTTTATATCTCTAAAGAGAATTGAACATATATTACATTATATCCTCTACTAGGATATAATTTTACTATGATTTCCAGAGAGGGACTCCAATACCTTACAAAAAAATACAGTGCTTAATTCATTCTTTTCATTTCAACTATATTTGTTGAAAATCTTCTGTAACCAATATGTCATGCTAGGAACTGAGAGATGTGTACAAAAGTGTATGGAGGTAGTAGCCTTTACTTCTTAAAGAATGACTAAGATTTGAATATGCAAAAACCCAGATGACAGTGTTCCATTTAGGTGTAAACCATGAGAAAAGACACAGAAGGGAAAGCATGAGCCTGCATCAGAAATGGAAATCTTCTACAAGAAAGCCTTTAATAGATATGTTAATCTAAATGACTTGGAATAAGGCAACACAATAGAATTCACACACCCAGTGGTAATTAACATTCTTATTAAGAACTAGTTATCTCCGGCCGGGCGCGGTGGCTCACGCCTGTAATCCCAGCACTTTGGGAGGCCGAGGCGGGCGGATCACGAGGTCAGGAGATCGAGACCATCCTGGCTAACACGGTGAAACCCCGTCTCTACTGAAAATACAAAAAAATTAGCCAGGCGTGGTGGCGGGCACCTGTAGTCCCAGCTACTCGGGAGGCTGAGGCAGGAGAATGGCGTGAACCCGGTAGGCGGAGCTTGCAGTGAGCCGAGATCGCGCCACTGCACTCCAACCTGGGCGACAGAGGAAGACTCCGTCTCAAAAAAAAAAAAAAAAAAAAAAGAACTAGTTATCTCCTAGCTCTCAGGACAAATTGAAAGGTCTGCTTTACTTTCCTCTAAAAGTGTCAACTTTGTAGAAGCTGTCTCTGTGGTTGCCTATTTTAAAATCACATTTGAAGTCAAAGAACCTAAACCTTGCTGCCTTCTGAAAATCATCTAGACAAAAAATCTGTTTCCATTAATGACTTGCAAATCTCTATCATTATAGTGGTAGCTCTCTCATAAGATGGCTCTTGATAGAAGATGCACTATATTTTATCAAATTTTCTTTAGTTCTTGGATGATTTCTTTTTATAAACATTTAAAAATTTTTTAACTCTGCATGCCGAAATGGAAATCTGTATATCTAGAGTACTTCCGAGGAAAATACATACTAGATGACTTTGTCATTAAAAAGACATAAAACCCAGAATTGTCATAAAGTGACATTTCAATATTTTCTATGATGAAAAAAAAATAGACACATCAATAGATTGGTTATTTTAGGACTTCCAATCCGGTACTAAGGAAATTAGACAGTAGATTAGTAGCCTGACTCCACATCTGTCTTTCAATTTACTGAAGTCACTTCAGTAGCATCCCTCTTGACAGAATAAAACTGAGCAGAGGAGGTCTGGGCAGGAACCTGCAGGTGTGATAGTGATGCCATTGCTCACCTGTCAACCGTCTTTCAGGCCGGGCATTTCCTGAATAGATAGATTACATTGAAACAATGTGGGTTGCCTTCTTAAAGCCTATCAAATAGAGAGTTGCCCTATACATTAAGGATTAAATTTAAAGAAATAGGTCTGAAGGATTTCTCCCCTATAATATTTAATAAATTTGTTCTTGAATATGCAATAAGACATTAAAATTCAAGGCAATGTTGATCTTACCCCCACCTCTTAATCCCCGTAAGACTTTGAGATTAGTAGTATTCTTTCTGATTTTGCTCCTAATCCGGTGGAACTATATAGGAAGATTCTGTGTACTATCCATGGAGCAAATATGTAACAGATTGTTCTGTACAACATGTCACAAACCACATAACAAAAACCTCAACTACAGGCATCAGGTTTCTAACAGCGCCAATACCTGACCTAAGAGACCAGTCACACTGAAAACTTCTGTTTGTAAGGATGAAACTTGTGAGGTATAATCAGGCCCATTCCAATGAAAGGTCAGGATATATGAGAAAGGAAAGGAGAAAGAAGTCAGTCGGGAAGCATCAGAGACGAATTATTTCACGCCCTCAGGGCTATCACAACAAAATTCAGAAAGCTGAAGAGCAAACTTTAAATAACACTGGTAGAAAACATAATTATAGAAAGAAGTTGCCTCCCTACTTTGAACGGAAGAGCTCTGACATCAAATGCCTGCTGGGGATCATAATTTAATCATTACAATAGAAAGAGTTGTTTAAGAATGACTGACTGGCATTGAGAAACAAAAGATAGATGGCAAGGGTGACTTCAGAGCTGCAATTCTCCCACACCACAAGAGCATTGAACAATATCTCAGCCTGGTCCTGCTTGGAGCCTCTTCTTGGGCTTCTATATTCTTAGTCACTCACTGTCGTCTGTATTCCACCATTATTCAATAGTGATCCACAGCAAAACTGAAATGGGTATTTCCTTAAATTTGGGCTTTTAAACTAATTGCTGTGGGTTCTTTCCGGCTGCCACTGCCTACAACAGACGAGCTCTCCTTTAACTGTATTTTTACAGCTGAAATGATCTCTGTGACTGATTTACTTCTGCACAAATCTGTGCCAGACAAAAATTTAGAGAAGTGTCTCTTTTCTTACCCTGCTTTACACTACATTGGTAGTGTGCATTATATAAAACATTTTGGCATTTTGGCAGAAAGATAACAACATGTAAAATGAGGAGGGAGGAATTACTCTACAAAAATCATTGTTCTGTGTTACAGTATTAGATAATTTTTGGTGTTTCATGTCCTTTTTGAGGAAATTAAATGAGGTAAGTAATGTAGGTGCTATGACACAGCATTTATAGAACATACATAATTTTGGAGGGATTTTTAGATAAGATTATGTCTCTACATATGACCTACAAAAATTAATACTCTATAGTGTCTTAGTCTGTTTTGTGCTGCTATAAAGGAATACCTGAGGCTGGGTCATTGATAAATAAAAGAGGTTTATTTGACTCATGGCTCTGCAGGCTGTAGAAGAAGCATCGTGCTGGCATCTGCTTAGCTTCTGGTAAAAGATTCAGGCTTCCACTCATGGTGGAAGGTGAAGGGGAGCTTGCATGTGCAGAGATCACATGGCAACAGAGGGAGCAAGAGAAAAGCAGGAAAGCACCAGGCTCTTTTTAACCAGCTTTCATGGGAACTAACAGTGTAAGAACTCACACATGCCACAGAGAGGGCTTTAATCTATTCATGAGGAATCCAACCTCATGACCCAAACACTTCCCATTAGGCCCCACCTCCAACATTAGGAACAAATTTCAACATAAGGTTTAAGGGCCACACATCCAAACTAAAACAGTAAGAAAACATTATTTAAAAGAGGTTAAAAATTAGGCAGAAGGAAAATAAGGAATCAAATAAGCCAAGGAGGGAAGTTGGTACAAAATACATCCATGAAGCCTTCTATATTTGCAAGTAATGACTGCAAGTTAGGCTCTGAGCTTTCTAATAGCCAACATAAGAAACAACTCTTGCAATAGTTTGGTCACTCTATGTTAGTAATCCTGGGCATAAGTATGTAGAGAAATGTAGAACATTTTATTTTATTTAACATTCAACTATAATTTTTATGTTCAGCTCTCTATACTCAATATTGGCCATACTCTGTCTCTGGCAGAAATGGAAGAGTTTGAACATTCATTGCAAGAAGAATGAATATATATCTTGTGTCAAAATTTGACTGATAATAATAAAATAATAAACTCCAAATTTCTCCTTGAAATCCTTTAGCAGAAATAACTGCTATAGTCACATGGAAAATCTTCGAATGTCACCCATCTGTGATTATATAACTAACCATAGATCCCATCCAGGCCTTTGCAGAAGACTGTCTTTATTGATTTACTAAATACGGTCATTTGTTTGTTTGTATTCATTGTTATGTGATGAATCCAGAATGATCCTATTGGTATTCAGCACCAAGCAGCTGCTGAAATTTCCCAAATCTTGTTATTCCAGTTATAACTTTTAATGTATTTTATTATATGTGATAATACCTATTGGGCAGATTTTTATTTTAAGGTTTTTCTCTTCCTAAGCATAAGATTATGAGGTATAAAGAATGAAATACCATTTATAGTCTATATGTATGCATTTATCTCCTAGAGTCATGAATTCATAATCTCATTCACATGTAAAATACATATGGTTAAGATGTGAGTAAAAGCTTGGAAGAAGGTTGAAAACAGGTCAGTGATAATGAGAAAAGAAGAAAAAATGTATTGTTTAAGGCATTTAGGGTAATATTTTGTTTCTAATTCTTCATCAAAATCACAAAGCAGTTTCTGAATATGAATGTAATTGTACATGCCTCTTTATTTGTAATAATTTAATTTTGGCATTTTGAATTGAACTACCCATTAAAATATTATCTTCGTTGCTGAAACAAGTCATATAAGGACATTGACATACTTCTTAAGAAATCTGTTCTGAGCCAGAAAAGTATACTTCATTTTAACAAGGCGTTCACAAGTCCATTGCTGTATTCCAAAACAATTCTACTGTGTTGCATTCATACAACTAGCCTATAAATGTACCAATGTCGTTCTGACACATCAAGCATAAATTTGAGTTTGAAAGTCTCACTTGGCTGGGTTTTACAGGTGTCCATATTGTTCTGACTATGATAAGAGGTGACATTTGGGCCATTGTGGATATGCTTGTGCTGTCTCTAGAAAGTGTTCACAATTTCCTTTTGTTCTATTTCAATTTTTGTATCTAGATCATCTTCTTTCACCCAGTAACACATTAATTGTAGCAGCACAGGTTACATAGTCATGTAGATATAGACTGGGTGTTTGCTGGATAAATTATTTCACCCAAGATCTGCAGATTCTGCCCAACCAACATGGCATGGCATTAGAACTGGCTTAATGGTGACTTTTAGAGCTTATGAGAGACTGTGAGAAAACTCAAACAAGAGAGCCGAGTAGCACATACATCACCCACAATCCTCTTCTCTGATTTAGATGGCAACTTCCGGAAGAAAACTTGGGGAATATGCAAAAGAAAACAGCCTATCCAGACAGACCAGCCAAGTGAGCCCTGGTGATTGCGGGAGTGACAGGGATCGCATGCAGATTGACCTCATGTCCAGCTGAGTTACACTGGTATTTTTAGAGTTTTCATCAGGGGAAAAAAAGGAGCAGGAAGGTGACCATATAATTAATTCTCAAGACTGGAACAATTGTGATTATAAAAGGGGATGATACTAATAATTACACTAGGAAAATCAGCATAAACCAGGACTGTCCTAGCCTGGAAAACCTGGAACTCATGATTCCCCCGGATAGCACTAACCCAATTACTTCCTTTCAAAGGTTCATATCTTAATATAGAAAGCCTGGCAAATAAATGCATAATCTCTAGAAATCAGTAAACCGTGAGAAAGGTAAGTTCAAGAGTACATTGGGGAACAGAGTGGGTCCGTGTGATTAATAATATTTGGGGAAATAGTTTAAGTTGCCTATCATTGAAGTATAAATTGATTTAGAATGGGAAACTCTTATCAGCTCAAATGAGAATAGCCTTGGAGGTAAATAATGTGTGGGTAGGAAATGTTTTTACGTGCTCCTCTCAGGATATATGTAGTATTAACTCTTTCTGGCCACTAGGGGACCACTTAGTACTTTGCACATGGCATTCAACTGCTTACATCATTTTGCACATATACTAAGAACAGGAGGCTAATAGCATCAGGGGCCTGTGACATCTCTTGCCTATACCGCACACTCCTGTAATTGATTATATGATATTCTTGTCTAGTTCCTTTAAGTACGTTAGTTTGGTCACTTATAACTCAAGGACTCCTTAGATATGTGTTGAATCTTTGGTGCACCTTGTCAAGTGCCTGGGGAAGAGCTGCACATTCAGTGAGAATGTGACCATTGTTTTTCATTTTTTAAAAATTGAATAACAGTTCTTCCTGGGAACTTCCCTGGCCCTGCACTAAATGTTGAACTCTCACCTCAGGTAATAATTTGAGCCCTGGCGAGAACAACAACAATAAAACTAAGTAAAAATTATCACATGCCTACTAGGTACCAGGCACTATGTATTTATTTACGTGTGTGTGTGTGTGTGTGTGTGTGTGTGTGTGTAGTGTCTAATCCTATAATTTTTTCCAAGAAAACTCTGTTTTCCTCATATTAGAGACGAAAAAACTGAGACTTAGGTTGAATTACTAATGAATTCATATTGATGGGGCAAAGGTATAATTGGATGAGGGGATTGAATTTGAATTACCAACTAATTCATATACTTGGGGGCAGAGATGAAACTTGAATCATTGTCCAAAGTCCATATATTTTTTTCGTGTTCCATAAGCACTAGGGAGAAAAGCCAAATGATCACCTGGTTCTTATCATGACATCAGTGATCTTCCAAGCAGGGACTTGCCACTCCACAAACAGGAAATCTTTCACTGGTATACTTTTTTGCTGTGGACATGGACTCAGTACAGAAAACCCTACTCCAAGCTGTCTGCCACCTAAACATCCATTCATCCTCTAAGGTCAGTTTCTGCATGGAGAATTCAGCATCCTCAATAATTTCTATTAGTGCTCACGAGCAGGCATTTTCTGATGTGGACACCAAACATTTTATCCTATTATTTTATTTTATTATCCTTTTATGTAGTTCTTATAGAAAATTATATATATATATATATATATATATATAGCCACATCCATTGCTGCCACATGCCAATCACTAGAGCATCCTACACAGAAATTCTGGAGCAAGTACATCCACTACCCTCAAGTACTACCACTATCATCCTACTTTTCACACCATATTATTGTTTTTAAAAAATTTAATCTGAGTGCTGTGACAGAACAAAGCCATATCTTATTTATCTCTGAATTCCTAATCCTGAACATACTTACTGGCACATGTTGATCAAGAAATAGAGAAAAAAGTGCCATTCCAGATATCAACTGAGAGTCAATTTCATTTCCGGTGGAAAATCCAATGTGTTCCCAACATTGCTGGGAGGCCTCTAGATGCAGTACCTTCTCGGAAATACTTGCCTGTAACAAATTCTTCTCTGCCCGGCATTGAGCAGCTGCTCCTTTATCTCTGCTCTGAGACTGACCCAAATCGTTTTTCCAGAGAGAAGTTTTATGACACACAGCAACACAAACACAAACAGTGAACACTGAATATTTGGCATCTCCGGGCAGAAAAATCCATCTGCAATGCTGCCATGTTTCCCTGTCATCGCTTTTCTCACCTATTCTCTGTTCATTTTTAATGTAACACAGCTGATCTATTCCTTTTGTTTTCTTTCCTCCTTCTAAGGTATCACCTTCCATTCCAAGGGACTTCTAGAATTATTTTGTAAAGTATATTCTTTGTTAATTCTTAAGATATTAATACAATATAATTTTTAATCACATAATAGAAGCAAGAAAAGAAGGAAGGGAGGAAGGGAGAGAGGGAGGAAAGGTATGGAAGCCACTCAAAACTATCAGCCTCTTACTAAATCATATAAATTTCTGGGGCATTCTCTCTCTCTCTGTCTCTCTCTCTCTGTCTCTCCTCTGTCTCTCTCTCTCTCAAGAGTTTTAATGACATAATTAACATAAAATAAGCAGCATATATCTAAAGTGCACAATTGGATGTTTTGACATCTATATACACTTGTGAAACTATCATCACAATCAACACAATGAGTATATCCATCACACCAACATGTCCCTCAGTTCCTTTATAAACTTATCCAACCTTCTCCATCCTCTACTCCCTACTCTGCCCCATAAAATCACTCACCTGTTTTCTGTCACTATAGATTAGTTGGAATTTCCTATGTTATATAAATGAGATCATATAGTATTTACTCATTCTTGTCTAGCTCTTTTGTCAACATAATTATTTTCAATTCCATTTTATAGATATACCAAAATGCATTTATTTATCCATCTGCTCATGAACATTTGGGTCATTTCTATTTGGGGCTATTATAAATAAGACTGCCATGAACATTTTTGTACAATTATTGGAACGTTTTCATTTATTTTGGGTAAATACCTAAAAGTGGAATGTCTGTATCATATCGTAGGTACTTGTTTAGCTTTTTACAAAACCACCAAACTGTTTTCCTATTGGCTGTACCATTTTACATGTCCCCCAGAAGTGTATGAGAGTTCGAGTCTCTTTACATCCTTGTCTACATGAAGTATGATCAGCCTTTGAAATTTTAAACATTCAAATGGATGTGTAATTGTACTTTGTGTTACTTTTAACCCGCAGTTCTTTAATGAATAATGTTGTTGAACATCTTTTTGTATGTTTATATAACATCCATATGTCTTCTTTGGTGAATTGTCTGTCCAGATCTTTGGGCTTTTTTTTTTTTTTTTTGAGACGGAGTCTCGCTCTGTCGCCCAGGCTGGAGTGCAATGACGCGATCTCGGCTCGCTGCAAGCTCCGCCTCCCGGGTTCACGCCATTCTCCTGCCTCAGCCTCCCCAGCAGCTGGGAGTACAGGCGCCCGCCGCCACGCCCGGCTAATTTTTTGTATTTTTAGTAGAGACGGGGTTTCACCGTGTTAGCCAGGATGGTCTCTATCTCCTGACCTTGTGATCTGCCCGCCTCGGCCTCCCAAAGTGCTGGGATTACAGGCATAAGCCACCGCGCCCGGCCCTCAATTTGTTCTTTTATAGAACCAATCTGTCATATCGAAGAAGACTTTTTTTTAATCATATCTTGGGAGTCTTTGGTCATATCTAAGAAGTCTTCACCTAATCCAAGTCACAAAAATGTTCTTTTTTATTTTCTTCTAGAAGTTTTACAATTTTAAGTTTTTACATTCAGTTATATCATTCATTTGAGTTATTTTTATATATGGTGATAGGTATGGATCAAAGTTATTTTAATATATGAATATTCAAATTTTTGGCACTACTTATTGTTAAGAATATATTTTCTTCATCGAATTGCCTTAACACATTTGTTAAAATTCAGTTGTCTATAGACTCTGTCTTCTGTTCCATTGTTTTATTGTCTGTATGATGCTAATAGCATATTGTCTTAGTAGTACTTTTACAAGTCTTCAAATCAGAAAGTGTTAGCCTATCAACTTTGATCTTTTTCAGAGTTATTCTGGCTATTCTGAGAATTTTGCATTTCCATATAAATATTGAAATCAGCTTGTCAATTTCTATCAGAGAAAAAATCCCTGCTAGGATTTTGATTTGGAACGCATTGAATCTATACATCAGTTTTGGGAAGATTAATATCTAAACAATATTAAGTCTTTTGACCTGCAAAAACAATACATCTTTCCATTTGGTTAGATTTTCTTAAATTTTTCCCAGGAACGTTTCATAGTTTTTGGTGCACAGATCTTTCACACATTTTGTCAAATTTATCCTTAAGTATTTTATGCTTTTTATACTATAACATATGTGATATTTAAAATTTTTAATTTGCAATAGCACATTATTAGTATATATAAATACTTTTGTATTTATACCCTGAAAAATTCACTTAATATTTAGATTTTGTATAAGTTGCATATAATTATTTACATAATCATGTAGAAATGCAAATTAAGAGTTTTACTTCTTTCTTTCCAACTTGGATGACTCTCCTTTCTTTGATTTATTACACAGGCTTGAGTCTTTCATGTAATGTTGAACATAGTGGTAAGAGTGAATATCCTTATCTTCTTCCTAGTTTTAGGAGGAAAGCATTTAATCTTTCACCGTAAATATGATGTTAGCTACAGGTTCTCCATAGATGCTTTTATCAGAATGGGTAAGCTCCTTTCTAATCCTGGTTTGTTTGGAGTTTTTTTTCCTTTGTCAGGAATAGATGTTGGACTTTATCAAATGCTTTTTCTGAATCCAGTGAGAAGATCATAAGGATTTTCTTTTTTGGATTTTCAAATGTTAAACCAACTTTGCATTTCTGAGATCAATGCGATCTGGTCATGATACATTATCTCATATATATATATATGAGATAGATAGATATATATATACCCAGAGAGAGAGAGAGCTGGATTTGACTGTCTAAAACGTGTCTATGCTCATGAAGAATGTTGGTCTATAGTTTTCTTTTCTTGAAATGTCATCCAGAATGTGGTATCAGATTAATTCTGGCCTTATAAAATGAATTGGGAAGTAATTCCTCCACTTTGGAGGAAAAAATACACATACACAGAGAGAGAGAGACAGAGAGAGAGAGAGAGAAAATTCTCATGGAGCTATACAAAATAAATTCAATTCTTCATATTTTAAAACCACTATTTTACATCTTCTTTTTGTTACACAGGTTTCTCATGTGATACGCCCTTCAGAACCTTGACTAGCATTATGCTCCTCATTTTGAGATGTGACAAATGTTTTATTTCCTCATTAAAATGATATTATGAGAAGACAACCCTAGTAATTTTCTTATCACTGCATTGAACAACAGAACCTTCACATCCCTTAATTTTGCCACTTAACTTTTATTAATGCAGCCAAAGATTGCTTTAATACAAACTAAATGCTTCTTCACCATTACTGCCATAAAGCAATGATGTTGTGTTACAACCAAAACCAAAGGAAACCCCAAATGAAAGGACTCTGTCCTTTTATCCCTGAGAGTAAACCTTACTCTGCTCTTACCCAAATAAGTGAGGATTCCTCTTCTTAAACAGACACAAGGGAAGATCTAAGGAGTGAAAACATCTTAGTCCTTTGCTGGTGACTACAGCAAAAACAAACAAGAAAACAAAAATCTATGAGTACCATGAAAACTTTTTGTTGGAAGGTGCTTTACAAGTGCCTAAGAAGCCAAGTTAGTGGCCAAAGAGGAGATCTAGGAATTATGAAAAAATGTGTGGCTAGAGACGAATGGACAACTACAGTTATTGACACCAACAGAACTCTTCTCTTCTGTTTCTATAAATCTTTTGATTCAAGACGATAAGATTTGTTACTTGTACTTTGGCCTAAGTGAATAAAAAAAAAGAAGGACTTGATATGAAAAGAAGCTCTTATCAGTGTCACAATAATATCAGACATACCTTGAGATGACTGATAGTACTGATACTACCTGTCTCCCAACTGCCGTTCTTTGTCCCAATACGACCTGGAGCAACTTAGATGAGGACTTCATGGGTTAGATTTATTTAAAGTATATTGACTTTTTCATAGAAAATGAGTTCTTGTGAAATTTAGCAGGATGATTGATAAATAGTAGGTAATTCATAAATATTTACAACATAAATGAGTAGGTAATTAAGTAAATGCTCACACAGTTCAATAGCAAAATACCAAATAATCCAATTAAAAAATAGTCAAAGGACCTGATGAGACATTTTTTTCCAAAGACATATGAATAACCAACAGGTGTATGAAAAGGTGCTCAACATCACTAATCACAAGAGAAGTGCAAATTAAAACCACAATGTGTTATCACCTCACACCTGTTAGGATGGCTATTACTAAAAAGACAAGAGATAACAAGTATTAGTGATGATGTAGAGAAAAGGGAAACTTTGTACACTATCGGTGATAATGTAAATTGTAACAGCCATCATGGAAAAACTTATAGAGGTTTCTCAAAAAATTGAAAACAGAACTACCATATGCCAGCAATCCTACTTCTGGAGACATATCCAAACACAATGAAATTAGTATCTCAAAGAGATATCTGCATGCCTATGTTCATTGCAGCATTATTCACAACAGCCAAGATATGAAATCAACTGAAGTATACATCAATGGATGAATGGATAAAGACAATGTGAGATATGGATGTAGATATATAACGGAATGTTATTCAGCCAGAAGAAAGAAGATAATCCTGCCATTTGCAACAATATGGCTAAACCCGAAGGACATAATGCTAAGTGAAATAAGCCAGACACAGGAAGATAAATACTGTGTGACCTCACTTATGTGTAGAATCTAAAAAAGTTGAATTCATAGAAACAGAGAGTGGAATGATGGTTGCCAGGGGCTGAGGGGTGGGAGAAATGGGGAGATGTTGGTCAAAGGGTACAAACTGTCAGTTATAAGATAAGCAAGTTCTGGGAATCTAACGTATAGCATAGGTGATGATTGATGTGTTAATTAATTTGATTGTAATAATCATCACACGATTCATACATATTTTAAATCATCACATTGTATACCTTGAATATAAACAATGTTTGCCAATAAATTTTTGAAGGCGAAAAAATAAAATTGAAGATAAAATATTTTTTAAAGTAAATAACTAAAAAACCAAAAACATAAGAGAACAAATGAATGAATGCTGTAATCATCCAGGATAAGGGGACAAATTGGACCTAATTATCAAATTAGAATAATTCAAGGAAGGTTTATTTACAAAGCACTGAATGCAAAGTCATGAGTAGGCTGTAGAGGAGCCATAAGGGATAGTGCAGAAATCCTGGGCCAATAGGAGTAGAGCTATTGCCACTCCTATACCTAAAGGATGAAGGAGGAAGAAGCATGAAGGTCCATTGATGTAATCTGTACAGGTCAGCTCCCAAGGCAGGGAGCGGGCAATAGAATGGTAGAGCGTAGATCTGGAGGAATAAGCAGAGAATATTCAGTGCAATCAGCTATGAGCCAGGTCCCAAAGCAATGAGCTCTGGAAAAGGAATAATTGCCAAAGGAGCAGGCTCAGCTTCAAGCCATAGAAGGAGAACCTAAATAATTTGGTATAATAGGTAGGAAAAAAGATGTTTCTCACATGGTGTTTTCTGGAGCACAAGCACATGAAAATGTTAATAGTATGACCCCCCCAAAAAGTATCTACTCTCAAGTTTACCAAAGACTGATTTTCCAGCGGGTCAACGGGACGGATTTGATAACCTTCCTTTGAAGGCAACAAGGAGGTGTCATTGACCAATGAAAAGAATTTATAAAAAGGACCTGCATTGGTGTACTATTGACTGGTCATTTTGAAACTATGAACAAAACAAGTTCTTAAAACCTAACTTCTTAAGTCAATGCCAAAATGAGAATTTTGAACTAAAAAAGAACAGAACATGAGCATCTACTGTACTAGTATCCAAAATCGAATAGTCCCCTCTGGGCAAATTTACTATTATGATCTCATAGCAGACAGGCCGTGGCCTCTAATCTCTCAGCTCATGCCTTTTTTCTTTTGCTCACGTTAGTCTGGTGATAAATGATATAGAATTTCTCAGAGAGAGAGAAAATTATGCCCAATATAAAAAGTGGTTGAAAAAAGCTGATTACAGAGTCATTAGCCCCTGTGGGCTCATTTTATTGCTATAAAGTCATCATTCAAGTAGACATATATTTAGCTTCTGCGGCCTTCATTTGTGGTAAGCAAAATAACCTCAGACAGAAAAAAAAAGGGAGCCTAAGTTCAAACTTCCTATTTTTAGTGATGTGACAGCCAATTTACTAAATTAGAAAAGCCCAGAGCAGAAGCAGAGAAATGTCATCAGCTTATGTTCCTTGTGTGTGCTGTGTGCTGCTGAGAGCACATCTGTGGACAGGCTTAATCCTAGGTCACATATTCTATGAGAGGCACTTAAAATCCAACACATGACCAGAAGGTACCAAGGACAGTGAGAAACTTACACATCTTGATATATGAGAAGTAGTTGAAGAGACGAGACATAGCCTGGTAAACAGAGGCCTATATGAAACACACAGTCTTTTTTATTCCATTTAAGGGCTGGATAAGGGAGGTAGATTTATTATCCAGCTAGATCCAGTAACATGTGGACAAACACTTTCAATTGGCAATGAAACATTTGTTCATCCATTTATTCATCCATTCAATAAATATTTATTGAGCAACTATAATTTGTCATTTATTGCGCTAGGTTCTCAAAGTTAAAGGAGAATTTATTAGCAAACACTGTGATTTTAAAAAATCACGAGCTCCTTATCACCGGTGGGTTTGTAGCAGATACTGGATGACTATCTGTGAGTGGTATTATAGAAGGGAGAACTTCCGTCTCCCTGCGAATCACACTCTCTGATTTTTTTTTTTTTTTTTTTTTTTTTTTGAGGCTGAGTCTCGCTCTGTCACCCAGGCTGGAGTGCAGTGGCGAGATCTCGGCTCACTGCAAGCTCTGCCTCCCGGGTTCACGCCATTCTTCTGCCTCAGCCTCCTAGTAGCTGGGACTACAAGGCGCCCGCCACCATGCTCAGCTAATTTTTTTTTCTTTTTCTTTTTTTTTTTTTTGTACTTTTGAGATGGGGTTTCACCACGTTAGCCAGGATGGTCTTGATCTCCTGTCCTCGTGATCTGCCTGCCTCTCTGATTTTAATGTGCACAAGAATCACCCGAAGCTTGTGCAATTGTACATCCTAATGCAATAGATCTGGGCTGAAGCCTCAGATTTTGCATTGCCAAGTTCTCAGGTGATTCAAATTCTGCTGCTCCATGGGCCACACTTTGATTAGCGAGACACAGATCACTGCCTCTCCAGTATTCTATGATTTTAGTGGGAATTCTGTGTCATCTCAGATGCCTTCTCTTGCCTTTCAGATAAAGAAACAAAATTAGAAGACATTTTCTTGTCATATATCCATCAGTAAAAGTGATAGAGCATGCAGCTGGCTTGGAGTCCAGCTCTGCATCCCACCTTCCTACTACAGTCAGATTAAACACATTCAGAATATAAACTGCAAACCATGGGAAAAGGATGTGCAGTAGTGCCCCTTATCCATAGTTTCACCTTCGTCTGTTACGGTAACCCGCAGTCAACTGCAGTCCAAAAATGTTGAATGAAAAAGTCCAGAAGCAAACAATTCGTATTTAAATCATATTTAAATTTAAAAATAATTCATTTTAAATTGTGCACCATTCTGAGCAGCGTGATGAAATCTCTTACACCATCCCACACAGGACATGAATCATCCCTTTGTCCAGCATATCCATGCTTTCTAGGCTACCCACCTATGAGTCACTTAGCAGCTGTCTTGGTTAACAGACCTACAGATCAAAGAAGAAAAGTGAGTACAGAACAATAAAATATTTTGAGAGCGAGGAGACCACAATCGTATAACTTTTATGATGGTAGATGGTAATCGTTATATTATTGATGTTAATCTCTTCCTGTGTCTAACTTATAAATTAAACTTTATCATAGGTATGTATGTATAGGAAAAAAAACATAGTATATATAGGGTTCTGTACTATCTGCACTTTCAGGCATCTGCTGGGTGTCTTTGCAAGTATCCCCCTTGGATAAGGGAAGACTACTCTACCAGTGTCCGGTCCACTCTCCAAGTCTGAGTTCATAGCTCCCCTCCTTGGGCTTCCCTCAGACCTAATCTCGTCTTCTATCAGCACTTTGCATACTGCTCACTATCCAGTACTGACTTTGTTTTGTTTGCCCCACAAATGTGACATTTGGTGCTTTTTTCCCAGGTTCAACCTTAGAGTATTACAGCAATGACCTTAGTACCTGCCCTATTAATTGTCCCACTGTAAGGACTCAGGTCTCTCAGTAAACATCTTTACCCTTCAGTTCAGAGTCAATCTCCCTGAAACTGTTTTCTGCCACAAGGGTCATCCTGTCTTGTGCGGGGATTAGGCAAATAGAGGGTGTTGCAATGAATTTGTCATCTCAGGGAACCCAGAATACTCTCAGGTTTCCAGAAATTATTAGAAAGGCAGAGTTCATCCAGGATAATTTCTAGATACTGTCTATCTTTCTTCTTTAAGTAAAAGCTAAAAGGAGAATGTTGATAGAACTGATATTAGAGATTCATCTGCTAATAATAGTTGCAATCTCCAGAAAAACTGGGATTCCATTTAGTTTACCTTCTGAGGTAACTAAATGTTTACAAGCATAGAGACGTATTCTATTTTACAGGCAAAAGTTCCAAATCTTCTCTATCAAAAATCCATTCTTAGGTGTTTCTGTACAGTTTTGATAAATTTGACTACTAATTAAGTAAATTGAAAAAAAGACAGCAAGAAGACATATAATCATTGGAAGAAACTGGAGAGGTTTGAGTAAGTATAAGCAAATTCTTGACCCATTTTAAACAATATCACTCAATTTTTGCAACACATATTCAAGTTTAGCAACAAAGAGAGGTGAGCTGTTCCATCTCATATTTATGTTCACCATCTATAAACTCCCATAGAGTTTCTATTGGAAATTGCCCCCACTAATAACTTGATGAATTCTATTAATTCTATTAATTTGCCACATATTAGACTTCCTTCCCAGAAAAATTATAAACTTCTTACAGACAGGAAATATGTTTTTTCTTTTGCATTCTCTTCAGTGCTGTGTACCTACTAGGGACTTAAAGAATGTTTGTTGTTTGATTATTGAAGTTAATATAAATATTTTACCGGCAAAAATAATATTATACCTGTTTTCTATTTGGTAAGGAGTGAATCTGTTGCAACTGGTGCTAAGGAGGCAGGGAAACTGTAAACATGGCAGAGATCTCTTGGACTACTGTTTTGAATTCTAGAAAGAAGGGCGGGGCAGATATTCTCGGGGGTAGATGTGTCAACCCCCTGCCATTAGAGGGAGTAAGAGCAGAAGGAAACTGAGCAGGCCTTTACTGTCTCTCATTTCACCACATTGCCCCTGGTGGCCCACTGCTTCAGAACTACCATGATATCTACCTGTACCTAAGAACAAAATGATGTGAGGACACCTTGTTGCTAAGATATTCAGCCAAAAAGACAGGTGTGTGTTGCATGGACCATGTTTGTGTGGTGATAATTTGAAATACTTCATAATGAACAGCCATATGACTTCCTTTTTCTCTTTCCAGATATAAAGTTGTGCCACTCTCTTTCCCATATTCCTCTTCTCTGGCTCCTCAGTCATCACTAAGAGGTCTCTGCCTCTGTCTGGGTCCTGGGCTCTGTGATGGCTAATTTTATGTTTTACCTTGGCTGGGCCCTGGTGCTCAGATATTTGGTCAAATGTCATCTGGTGTTTCTGTAAGAGTGTTTTTGGGTAAGACTTACATTTAAATCAGTGGCCTTTGAGTAAAGCAGATTTATCTCCATTTTGTACGTGGGCCTCATCCAATCAGATGAAAGTCTGAAAAGACCAAAGACTGGCCTTCCCAGAGCAAGAGGGAATTCTCCAGCAATTGGCCCTGAGACTTGAACTGCAACATCAGGTCTTTCCTGGATCTCCAGCCTGCAAGCCTACCATGGAGATTTAGGACGTGTTAGCCTCCATAATCACATGAGCCAATTCCTTAAAATAAATCTCTCTTTATATGTATATACACTTCCTGTTGGTTCTGTTTCTCTGGAGAACCCTGATGAATGCAGCTTCTTTCACTGTGATATTTGGAAGTTGATTCTTTCTCACATGGCCACAACAGTCACAAAACATTAAAAGAAAAACCATCCAATGGAGAAGACTCTGACATAAAATTTGCCTGTCCCCAGTTTCTGAAAAGACTTAAGCACAGTGCCAACGAAGGAAGCAGCTGAATAAACTGGAGTTTTCTGTTTCTCTGACAGTACACTTCTCAAGCAGGACTCGGTAGTACATGAGTTAAACTTCCGCTTCATCCATCTGCCAGGACATAAAGGCTGTTCTGTTAAAGTTGGTAAGAAACGAAAGAGTGAAAGGAAAGACAGTTCAGTTGATAAGAGTGTCATGGAAAATAGCTGACGCTCTGTAAGTAAAGAAGATGGAACTGAAAAAGTGTGCAACAGCAATCAAATGTATCAGATCTTAACTACTACCTGAAAACAGGCATGACAGAAGCTGCAGCACTGGCATAGGAAAGCTAGAAGTTCATCAATGACTCTCTCTTACAGCATCCTATTCAAGTTTTTTTAACTTGATTTTTGTCCAGCACTAAATAGAAAGATCTGGAAGAGTAGTGTTTGTTCATGTTTACAGGCTGTCAAAGCAATCATTTTTCCGGGTGATCATACTCTCAAAAACCTTTTTTTCTCCCTTCAGGTAAAGATTATGATTGACTATAAAATAGCAATAGAGAAAAGATCAAATTCCAACCACTCCTTTTTTTCAATAAGAAAACTTGAGATTTCCTCTACCAAAATTGAAGTCTCCCCATAGTTTTTTTTTTAGTAGATCTTAGACTTTTGTCAGCAAGCCTATTCACAGTTTCAGAAACCATGAAATCCTTAGTCTTCCTACTGCTAAACTTTGAATTCATTTGTAGTTCAACACATCTGTTATTTTCTCCAGGCAGAAAAAAAAGGAAACCCACTGAAAACTCTGATTTATACTCCCAAGTGTCCTTAAATTCATCCTAATACCTCTCCTTCCCCACACCCTTTTTTTAAGTTTGTCTCACAAACAGTGATAAGCCCAAGGTTACATATTATACACAGTTTTCAAATCAATATTACCTTATATCACATTGCTGAGCAGTTTAGGGCTTTGCGGCTAGCTACCATGACAATAGATGCACAGCCTGGAACCAGTTTTAGTTAATTAGAGTCAATCAATCCAAACTTTGCTAACTTACTCATGTGAAACAATAGTATAATGAACCAAAGTCGGCAAGATGATTGGGAAACACAAATTATTACACCCTGATAAATTAAATGTGACTATTACAAAACCTTCTTTCTAAATGAATACTCAGGGAGGAAATATATGGGTATTTAATATAATTAAGAATCCAGGGAAAGTAAACTTAAAGCAGCTATTAAAGCTCCTCCTTTTTCTTTTTTAAGAAAGAAAATCACTCAGAGGTTGTCGAATGGGAAGATCTTGTGGCAACTTTATGAGTATTCATTTGGGAAAATATCTTCCAGTAGAACCCATGTGATCTGTAGGTGAAACAGAGGGAAAACAGGACATGCACTCTTGTGGGCTCTGGAACCATAGTGAGATGGGCATGCTAAGCTGGGGAAAGAATAAAATGAGAAGAGGTGGATGGGCTTGAGCTCCTGTGTTTGTGTGCATGCAGTGTCCAGAGCATGGGTTTATGTGACTAAGATGTCAACACTTTTGATCATTGTACAAAATTGAATAAAAGCATTTCCCCTGAATTCTGGAAAATCTGACATGCTCTATCTATTATTGGTATTTGTGGCACACATGCCTAGAGTTCAAGGCCTACGCAGACTAAGTAAAATAATTAGCCATTTAAAACAAAACCCAAGATTTACTCTCCCATGAGCCAAATTTAGCTGTTGTTTTAGCCCAAGATAACCTATGAATCCTATCAGAACTATTACTTTAAGTTAAAAAACTACGTTGATTGAACACAGTTAAATGGGAGATAAGGAAGCTCTCGCAGTGCATATTGACGTGAAGGTATAAGGCGTCCTATTTAGGAAATGAGTGATGGGAAGGGAAAAGGGTTTGGATAAGAAGCAGAGTGGGGTGGAGAAAGGAAGTTTGAAAAAATGCAGAAGGTTGAGCTTTAAAACAAGATTCTTATGCACCAGCTTAGGCTAAGGTCAGTTTTCTTATTTGCTCTTGGCAGTGAAACATGTTGCATAAAATAGCTTTGCAAGAGGCAGTGTTGAAAGAGCTCTGATGACCTGGATGGGGGTCCTCTTCCAGCCAGTCCCACCTGGCCTCTGTTTTTTTAACTGGGTGCTGAGAGCTATGACCACTGAAGAAGCTACCAACTCAAAATATTTCAACCCCAGGTGCAATTTCTAAAACAGTTTTTGATCATTTACTATACTGACATGTTAACTAGTTATCAGATAACGTGATAACAAGTTATCTTGTTACTTTTATCATAATCAGGTAATCAAGATATACACCAGAGATATTTACAGTGCGGAACATAACATCATATGTTAGATTTCATTTCTTTATGTTGAACTACTATCCAATTTTCTTATAATCTAAATTATGGCTAACTTACAGCCTTTATATACTCTCAAGTTCATGTATTTTATTGTCATTTCCAGGCTTGTAATAAAAGCAATGTAAGGATTGGCCACACATCTATAGTAAGACTTCGTGTCTGTGTCTCCATGGATTGGGTGGGAAACTCCATTTGTTTTATTTTCTTTATTTTTAAAATATAATTACTGCAGTGATAAAGTGGCTCACTCTTCTTTATGCTGTAAATGAATAGTCAACATAGTTTGAAGCATCTAAAAGACACAGAACAGGAGTTATGTCACTTTCAATGTCCTATAATGTCTAATACAGTGTATCAGCTACAGAGGTCTTTAATCAATAGCTGTTAAACGATGGATGGATGCATAGGTGAATGGACAGATTACAGACAGGTGGGCAGATAAACATATAAATAAATTAAAGGTCAGTATAAGGACACAATGACATATGGCTTATATTTCTTTGCATTTGGAAAACTGCCTTAAATGCTTGATATTTGAGACTCATTTTGGGAAATGACAAAATTTTACATACTAGAAATATATTATTAAAAGATCACATAATTTTTAATATTCAGAATCACTGGACATATTTATACTCATTCAACTACTAAAAACAGTAAATAAAAGGTAACATGATTTTTTAAGTTTCAAAGATACGTGGCTAATTGAATCTCACCTTCCACATCTCAGATTCAAATTCTATCATTAGCAGTAAAATAAATTGTAATGAAGGGTTTACTTTTCAGATGTAGTTTATACCTATAACGTAAATCTCATAAAACCAGTTGCTTCTCCCAAAACCACATAACAATCACGAAGTATTTTCTTGGCCATGACACCACCAATTGGTGATGAGAAATTTGCTTGTGCTTTTGACATTTCTGTGTAAAACAACAGCTGCTTCACTCACTTGGAAGCAGCCTTTTCTCCCCCATTGGGGATTCTTATCCCCTGTGGAGGTGGGTGGGCATCCTGCCGGCAATGTTGCATACAAAGAAAGATGCTTAGATACTCCATTGCTGACAGCTAAAATGAACTCATTCTGGGAGAAATCTGTTTTCCAGTGGAAGACAGCCAGACCTGCTTTCCTTCAGGGAATACAGTATGAGGGATACCATGGCCCTGCTCTCATCCTAGTGAGTCTAACACCCACAGTCACATGGGGCTAGCCATGTACACTGCAGAAAGCAAAGGCTAATACTGTAAATGCATCCTAACTACCAGCAGCATGATGCTAGGTCAACAGTGAGCAGATGATTTAAAACATAAATATATTGTATGAATGTACTGGGTCCTCCTCTTCCTTCCTGTCATCATCACTATCAACATCATCATTATTATTCTCTCATCTGCCCTACACTTTCACCTTCCAAAGTTCCTTAAACTTGAACAGTGTTGGTTTCCTTTTCTTCTGGTTTTCCTTCCTAGTCTCCTACGTATCTTGCTCCATATACTTAGTGAATCTACTCATTCCCATGTTCTTAAAAATTTAACCCCAGGAGAGAAGTTTCACTTAGGCATGTGACATTTAAAGGCTGAGCCTTTGGAAGGTGGCGATCATCTTGATGTGTTCCACTGTAAGTATGCTGGCCCAGGTCCTTCTGTCTATGCTTTCACTGTTATCAGAATGCACCTCATGAAGAGCACTCCCTGACTCTTCAATTCCATAACTTCCATGCACAGATTCAGTACAAGCCCAAGGCCAGCTCTGCATGTGCTCAGAATGTTCATTGAGTGTGGGATACAAGTAGCAGTCAGAAGACCTCACTTTATGTACCACACTGTAAATCTGCTAACCTCAGAGACCTGTGATAAAGACGAAGGTGCTTAACGTGCATGAGGACCTGCTGATGTTGGCTATTTCACTTAGAAGGAATAAAGTAGAAAGAACTCTGAGTCTAGAGATTTCAAGCCTGCCTTCAGCCACTTGCTAACCATGTGCTATCACATAACCTCTCTGAACTTCATCATCAATATATAAAGTGATAACATGTGACTTAGTGATTCTGTGCATGTATATGTGTGTATATACATATATATATACCCACAGAGCAATAGAGACGCGCATGCATACAGTTACTTGATTTCCATATATATCTAGCTCTGACACTTCTCTTACTTTTCCAAATGGATATTTCATTGATTATCCATGTCCAACCATTTAAGAATGACTTTTATACTTTTCTAATGGTTTTTGTATTGTATGATCTCCAGAAAAATGGGAGAAGTCTTGTACTTGCTAGTGTTAGTTCAATGTAAAACACACTGTAAATATCATTAAAATGCAGCCAACAATAGACAGGAAAGGGCCAAAACGTGTTATGACCAAAAAAAATCAACAAATATATTTTTAGTAACATGTAAAAACAAGGTAAAACTACCTCTATCACTTCTTAGAGAATATCTCATATTTCTCCTTTCTCCCCTTCACTGTCTATTATGATCCAAAGAAGAAGCTGTGTTAATACTCTAATTTCTAGCAATAGTTCTTGTATTTTTCTCTATAAGTCTATCATTCCTAAATTCCTGTTTCCATGCTAATTTCTATTCTCATTCTTTCAATTTATGTCCCACTTCTCTCTTGATCCCTCTACTTGGATGTTCCACAGGTATCTCAAACAACACAATTTCAAAAACCAAACTTACTGTTTCCATCCCGAACTATTCTTTCTCAAGTGTTTCTGCTTTAATAACTGGCTCAGTAGTCACTCATATGCTCATGACAGAACCTTGGCAATCATCCTTGACGTCCATATTTGTTGATTATTCTTTCAAAATATACCACTAATTGACCAATTTCCCTCTACTCATCTCCCTCTCAACCACCCCAGTGTGAGCCATCCCTCACTTCTTCACTTTCTCTCTACTCAGACCCTTTCTCTCCTCTGCCATGTTCTCAGAATGATCGTTAGAGAAATCTCCCAAAAACTCAAATTTGAATATCATTTTCTTTCTTAAAATTATCCCACAATTTCCAATTCCTTTTGCAGCGCTGGATTTGTTATATACAAAGGGATAGATGTGCAGGAGTAGAGTGGCTGTCTGATTGGAAGAAGGTAGCTAGGGACTTTGCTTAGAGCTGCATTTGTATGGGATACATGTTGCCCATGGTCTTATCCATTGTCACATCCCTAGCATGGCCTTTCATCCCTTGAAAGAAATGATCCTGCCCAACTTTCTTTTTTTTTTTTTTTTTTTTTTTTTTTGCAGTCTTGCTGTGTTGCCCAGGCTAGAGTACAGTGGCGCAATCTCGGCTCACTGCAACCTCCACCTCCTGGGTTCAAGTGGAGGTTCACACCTCCTGGGTTCAAGTCCCTCAGCCTCCCAAGTAGCTGGGATTACAGGTGCCCACCACCATGCCTGGCTAATTTTTGTATTTTTAGTAGAGACAGGGTTTCACCATGTTGGCCAGGCTGGTTTCAAACTCCTGACCTCAAGTGATTCCCCTGCCTCAGCCTTGCAAAGTGCTGCCTGCCCAAATTTCTATTCTCAGTTCACGTCATACTCACCCTCACTCACTGTATTGGAGTTTCACTGCCTATCCCCATCCTTGCCTTCCTCAAATGGACCAGGCTCATGTGCAGATATGCTGTTTGTCTGCCTGTATCACCTTGCTTTTCATCACACTGTCCCTAAAGGCCCCTGTGCTCACATCACCACCATCTTTCTAGTTTCTGTTTAATTATCACTTCTTCAGTGAAGATATCTCCTCTCCAGGTCAGAATCCCATCTTGAATGCTATCAAAGTACCTAACTGTTTCAAGCGTAGCACTTACCACAATTGTCATAACATGACACTTCAGAAATCTTTTCTTTGAAGTCCACAGCACTTGCCATCTTCTACAGCCTAGAGAGCAGGAACCAGATCAGCTTAGTTCATCCCTGAACCCTCAATACCTAATATAGGGCTGGGCACATAGCAGATGCAAATGTGTTAAACAAAGAAATTACTAAATCTATTTACAACGCTCTTTTCAAACTCACAGTTTTCAAAGAAGACCAATAATTTTCTTGTGTGTATAGATATTATCTTAATGAAAACAAATGAAACTTTTTGCTTCCAATGTCTAAATTGTTGATTACCTATTAGACTGAGAAAAGGACCTGTCCCTCAGGTGTAACACAACAGAATTTTGGAATGAAGAAAAAGATGTTTATTTTTAAATTTTTTCTTCCTTATGGAGGACAGGAATCTTGTAAACCTACTTCTTAGGTGATTCACAGTCAGTCAGACTTATTAAATTGTTGATATTGTTTTCTTATCTCTTCCTATAAGCTTGATTTTTACTTAAATTCTTTTGTAATTATTTATTTGCTAAACATTTATTAGATACCTATGATGTGGTAGGACCTCATCTGTATGTTGTGAATGGAAAATAATAATTATTGAGGCGCTAATAGTCTACTAGGATAAACCAATAAATAAGTACATTTATGGGTATACTATAAGACAGTTAAGAGATCTAAGATAATTATATGTATAATGTTGCAGGCATATAACAGAGAATTCATTAATTTTACCTATGAAGATTAGGGAACATTATGAAGAGGGGCGCACTGGGGCTGTTCTTGAGGAAGGTCACCAGACAGACAGTGACTCCTCCAGTCATTCAGCAGGAAAGGCAGTGGCATGAGCAGAGGCAGAGAGCCTGTTCTTCACATTTGACCATCACCCTGTGCGATTCAGGCTCACTAATAAACAGACCTAGCTCTCTTATAAAACATACATCTCTCTGGTGAGCAAGGCTTTCCTGAAATGTAATGCTACTTTCATTTGGTTCTCAAACTAGCTGCTCTGCAGGGAATTCAGACTTAGCAGATCTCACTTTCTTTCTGGACAACTAACAATATGTGCAACTTCCCAGCAGTCAAGAAATATGGGCAATATCCTCCTGTAGAGATGTACTTTAATGATTCATCAGTGACTGTACTATAACTCATTCATAAAATCCCAAAGCATTAAAAGCTCCATCTTCATTATTACCAGATGTCTTACAGGCGCCTAAGTCAACACTTCCAAATGACTCCCTGCAAGTTTGCAAGACCAATTGTACCTTCAAGGACATCCAGGAATACAAATGCTGCAGGGAATCTGCTGAAAGCTGGTTAACAATGCTGTAAAAAATGCCTTTTAGTGTTAAGGACCCTGTGTTTCTCACATTCTGCCAAGTCCATCCTGGAGATAAACATGCTTCCAACTGACTGAGTTTGAAAGGAAAGAATAAATAAATTTCTTCCAAAGATTATAGAAATTGCAAGAACATCAAAGTTTCTCACTCTCAATAGATAGGCAGACAGGTAGATAGAGACAGATTTGATTAGACAGATAGATAAATAGATAGGCAAAAAGGTAGATATCCTTCTGAAAGCTATTTTTTAAAACCACTGAACAAAATGCAGAAAAATTTGCTTTGGGCATCAAAGAAAGTAATTTTTAAAATTAAGATGCCATAGACTGCCAGAATTGAATCCATGAAACCTTTGAGAGCATGGAGCATGATGGGCTCCGTGAAATTTGCTTCTGTTCTTCAACCTATCACAGGGTACCAGCTGAGACGGGGATAAGGCTGTCTGTGTCCCAGCTACATAGACATCCTGACATCCCTGCCACTGACTTTTCAGTTGACTTTATTGCAAATGTCCCTGAAAAGAGTTCTTCCTTTTTAAAACATTTAAACTCCGTATTTAAAACTGCTACAGATATGCTTTTGTCAAAAATGCTGCTGAAAAAGTGAAGAATAAAAAAGGAAACTCTTTTGAGCTTGCAAGTTTCCTGCAGCCTGAGCCAGTAACACATATTTAGCACTGACCAGGTGACTCCTGGCCTTGAATGGATGCCCTGATTCCAAAGTGTCCTAAGTGTTGTAGCACATTCCTACCTTCCCACATGCCAATTCCTTCCCTTCTGAAGTCATCACTCCTTCCTGTCTTTAACTGTGGTATGTTATACCTTTAAAGCATTACATTCGCACATAGTTTATTTTTTCGTCAGCTGTAATCAGTTTTTGAATTCTGTTGTGTTTTATTTTTTTTTATCCAAGTATGGTTCTCATGGTGTAGTAAATGACATTAGGCTTTTGTAAATTCTTGCAGAATATAACAGATCATTGGTTTTATAACACAGTCGCTGCTTTTGCATTCTGATGAGATTATTAGTAGCAGCCTAGAATACAACATCCCTGCATACTGTTAGTTAAAAAAAAATAAAAGTTTACTAAATGGTCTCTTGTCAACTGTATCTGAAAATCATTATAGTTTCTCTGTTTCCTCTACATGAAGGGGCTCTTCAGCAAGCTGGTGGGTTATGTCAACATGAGGTTACAAAATTATTATCCCAGCTCTGTTTGTTTCAGAGGGGCTTACGCCATGCATTAGCATTCCTATTGTAAACCTCAGGGGCTTAAGGTATTTGTACATCCGGTGTAGAACAATTCCAGTGTTCAAACAGAGGATGCTCAAAGCCAATCGGCCTAGTAGTAGCTTTCAGTGGGAGCAGATTCTGAGGTGGGAAAAAACGCACTGGGGCTTTTCTGATTTGCCATCTCTCCATAGCATAGATTAGCCTTTGGGGTATTCTATGGCCTCCTGTGGAGAGATTTAAAATCTACTCTATTAATAAAATTAAGTGTTTCTCCCTCTTGGACCCACAGTCTACAATGTAAATTAGCTCCATGTGATATTTACATGTGGGGCAAATAGTCCTCCACACTCTACAGCACTGCAGCAAGCAAAGGAGAAGTGCAGGGCGTGCAAGAGGAAGTGCCTGGCACAGACCAGGGAGCAGAACATTCTCTTCTTTTTTTTTAGGGCTAAAATGATGACATTTGAAAATTGCCAACTGCATGTGCACCTTACCTTTCTCTCCATACCACTTCTCACATGCATACTTCCTATCTGCATTAAGATCATGACATTCTGAGCTCTAAATTGATACAATGCCAAATAAAAAGCTATCCTGTGAGCCATAATGGTTCTCCAGAAGTCACGGCATTCAACATAGTCAATAATATAAATTTTTAAATGTGTAAATGCATATTAAAATGAGAGATCTGATTTGCTTCAATAGTTCTGGCCTATTAGACACATAAAATGGTGTTTTAAAAGCCTGCTGGCATCTAGTTTGCATTTTACCTGAAAATGGGAGTAATGAGCATGATGAATTTTCTAAAACCTTCAATATCCTGTTTTGAAATTTCCCCCACGTGACAGTTCCAAGATAGAATCAATTTCTCTCTCTTCTTTTGTTTTTATTTTCTTCTTCCCCAATTTCTCAGTTGTTTTATTGACAATGCTTTAAAATTAAATAGTGTTTAAAGTTACCATTATTCTCTTAGAATTGTAAATAGCTTCTTCGGACTCTTTCAAGACAGCCATTTTTAACTGGAAACAGTCCCTGACAGTCCATGTCAGGTTTATTCATGGATCCTCCTTTGAAACTACAACGCAAGATCGTCTTTAAAATGTTTACTCAGAAATGGCTATAAGTTGTTTTGGTAAACAAGTTAATACAAATGGAAGGCTGAAATAATCAAATTTTTAAAAACTTTCACAGATCAGTGTTTCAGAACGAGCTCTAACCTCTGCCTTCAGCTGAGATGCAGACACTGTGTTAAGGACTAGGGATGAGAGACTACTGCAAGGGCCTAAGGTTGATTGCATTCTAATGGGCAAACCAAAAAACAATTACAGCATCATATATTAAATGCTGTGTGGTATAAATTCAGAGGATATATTTTTCCCAGAAATTGGTAGGATCAAGAATGTCCTTGTACATTTTTTTTTTACTTCCCAGGCAGAGGCTAAGTCCTTTTACCCAGTGATGAGGTTTCCTTGCAAATCAAAAGGGATAATGAAGTTCTAACTCTAAATGTTAATAGGTAAGAAGTTAAATCCCACCTTCCACACTTGCTGTATGATCTAAAGCATAATAATAAGCATCTCTTAACTTCATGTTTTTCTGCTATGAAAATGGAGCAAAAATCATGCCTACCTCATAGAAGTGTTATGAGTTTAAAGCGAGAGAGTGCGTGGAAGTAGGCTAATGCAGTATCTGGCACATGGCAAGTGCTTGTGAAATGCTATCTGGCATTACTGTTATTGCTATTCATTGAGCCCATGTGCTTAACGACTTTACCTGCATGCCTCCTAAAGTCAGGGCTGTTCGTTTGTTTGTTTTTTGTGATGGAATCTAGCTCTGTCGCCCAGGCTGGGGTGCAGTGAGTGGTGCGATCTCGATCTCAGCTCACTGCAGCCTCTGCCTCCTGGGTTCAAGCAATTCTCCTGCCTCAGCCTCCTGAGTAGCTGGGGATTACAGGTGCCCGCCACTGCTCCCAGCTAATTTTTGTATTTTTACAAAATTAGTAGAGATGGAGTTTCACTGTGTTGGCCAGGCTGGTCTTGAACTCCTGACCTCATGATCCGCCTGCCTCGGCCTCCCAAAGTGCTGAGATTGCAAGCGTGAGCCACTGCATCCGGCCACAGTCAAGTTTTGACCAAGGCAGTGAGTTTCTTTTCACTCACTGAGAAAGAAATGTACTTTCTTCTCCCAATTTGAGCACTGTGCAGTCCAAGGGCTTGTGTCAAATTCTCATCCATGGGGCTTCATCCCACTATCTATTGGGAGCTGGTAAATGTGTCCCTTAAGCTCTATCTTTAATTTGTAAAATTAAATTGCAGATTATGGGGATGGTGAATTCGATCCTAGGAATTCACATGTTTGTTTACACGTGGAAGTGGAAGTTTTGTTCCATTTATTGAATGTGATGTGACCTCAGCCGCATCATATGATGCTTTGAAGATCCATGCTCTGTTTTACCCTGGAGCTGTGATTCTCTTATTTTTTCTATGTGAATGAGTACATTGTGCTGTTTTCCTAGGCGCCAATCAGTACATACTTGACTGGTCTCCGGCAAACTGCCAGGGTTATAAGGCGGAGTCCTCTGATCTCTGCATTGACCCAGGCTTCAGGGATCGGTCCTGTGTTGGCAGCCCCTCAGCTGACCTGTCTTTTTGCAATGCTAATGCCAAGCTTTCCCATCTCTTCTCCTACTCCTATGTAGAATATGGCTTCCTTCCTTTAACTTCTTCATTACATGCACACACCCCACATGTACACACTCAACTCTCCTCATCAAAATTTATTAGAGACACCCATTCGATAAATATGTTTCAGGTATCTTCTGTGTGCCAGGCACTGTGCTAAGAATTAGGAATATAAATTAAACAAGACAGATCTTGACCTTGAATGTACTAGACAGTAGGAAATAGACAGCAGACAAATATGTGAATAGGTAACTAAAACATTTTCAGACTATGGTTAGTGCTTTCAGGGAAATAAGTGGGGCGATGGGCCAGAAAGCAACCGGGGCATTTACTCCAGTTGGAGTGAACTCAGAAATCTTCTCTAAAGAAAATACCCAAAGAATGAAGAGAAGCCAAGCAAGTGAAAGTTACAGGGAAATACTTCTCAGGCAGGAGACACAAGCAAATGCAAAATCCTCAAAGTGGGAAAGAACTGAAAAATTTCAAGAACCCAAAACACCCAGTGAGGCCGGAGCTTAGCGAGGCTGTGCCTGTGTGAGGAGAAGGAGGGGCTAGAAAAGAAGGAGGGGCTAGAAAAGAAGGAGGGGCTAGAAAAGAAGGAAGTGCTAGAAAAGAAGGAAGTGCTAGAAAAGAAGGAGGGGCTAGAAAAGAAGAAGGGGCTAGAAAGGAGCCGGGACATGCAGGGCTTTGCAGGGTTAGGGAGTTGTGGTGGGAGAGGTTTGGGTTGTGTTCTAAACAGGACTGAAAACCTATGCCGGTTTTTCAGCTACAGGGAGACCTCCTGCAATGTATGGTGTAAAAAACTTTAATAACAGTAGGGTAGAGAAAGGAATCTACCAAAACCAGACTTAGAAAAGGAAGGCCAGTTTGGAAGTTACAGAAGCTTTCCAGGCACTGGGGTGTGAAGGGAGGATGGGGCAGGAGTTGGCAAAGACTGAATGGAAAGGAACTCAATGACAGATTCCAGGAGGAGGCGGGTGAGGAGAATGAAAGAAATAAGGGAATTCCCGGTGACTGCAGGTTTCTGAACTGAGTAGATGAATCATTTATTAGATGGGAGAGAAACCGGTGTTGACAATTCTGAAAGTGGATGGGTAAAGTTTGAAATGCCTATGAGCCATCCAAGTGGAGACATGAAGAAGGCGCTACCCGACACGGTTCTGTGCATTCTACTTATCCACTATCCAGAGTGTCAATATTTATCACATTGGAAAACTCTTCAAAGTAACAGTCACCATTTGCCAGGTGACAATTTGATCCTTCTGGTGCATTGCATCTCTTTGGTGTATTGACTAAATGTGATTGTTACATGTTAAGACTGCATCTCACTATCAGTGTCAGTACACAAAATTCACTATCAAATGCTCAGCACAGAGCTCAGAAAATGAAGGTTTATCTGGAAGACTTCTGCAAAGGCCTGAAGGGATGGCAGTATCAGATTTATAGGTCAATGATGAGGTCTCATGATCTAGAATCTGAAAAATTCAGAATGTACCTGCAAGAACACAGCCCCCTGGAGAGATGTGACATAGTAAATACCTACGGTATACATTGGTAAACACACTAACATGGTCTCCTCGGGTTCTAAAAATGTCACACAAAAGACATTTTTCCTAAAATACAGATCAACTGGTTGCTGCATGGGGAAAAGCATTTGGTGGGAGGGAGGAGTAGGAAGGAAAATTCCACAATCACAAACTTGTTTCTTATAAGAGAAGAACATGCAAATCATGTTTATCAAAGAAAACTGTATAAAATGTTGCAGAACCTTTCCTGTCAAATGAATATAAGATGCTAATTGGTGATGTATGTAGTCCCAGAGATGCTTGGCATGCAGAGAGTGAGTGAAGTACAACAAAGCATTTGTATGGGCCATCTGGAAGGGCATACCACACTCCTGCATGTGATGAAAAAGTGCAATTAAACAGAAACTTTGGAAACCAAGGCCTAAATATGCATGGCCTTGACCCAGGTCAAGATCCTTGCGAGAAACCCTTCCATGCACCTAGAGACTACGGTGACCAAACGCAGCGGAACACGGCTTGGTGAAGCTATTGCCAGCCCTTTAGTGAAGCTATTGCCAGTCCCTTTGCAATGTGGACATCTCTACAGCTTTACCAAGCATGAAGATTGTGTTCCCAATGTACTTCATATGTGAAACTTCAAGTTTTGCATTCACTCACACACACACACACACAGACACATGCGTGCACACATGCGCGAGTATTTCCCACAAACACCAAAGATAATATACAAAATAGAAATATTTGTTTTTGCTCTATGCATGAGAAAACTTTTAAAATGTTCACCAAAGGAGTAAAAATTATGAAATACATTTTTACTCATTTCAGCTTACAAACTGGATTTTCAAAACTTAAAATTTTGGAGGGTAATAAATCCTTGAGATAAAAGTGTTTCTAAATTTTGTTCAAATAAATATCTCAGTCTGTAAGGAGAACTAGTCCATTTTTTAAACAGTATTTGATGGCTTGAAGACGGGCCATAAAATTTGGTGATCCATTTTTAAATGAATGATTTGGTTTCCAGTGAGGAAGCCACTGGCAGTCTGAATTGTTGAAAGAAGCATGAGGAGAGAGAGTAATTCAAGACCACAGAGACCCCCAGAATCAGGTCCTGTGGATGCTCAGCCCTGTATTCTGCCCTTTAAGGCTCATGTTTTTTACCCTGAACTCTTGTCACTTATATCTTTGTTTGAAGAAAAGTTTCAAGATTGCTTTAGTCCACGGCTGGTTAAAAGACAAAGGAACCCAAAGCACAAATACGAACACCTGGGAAATTGCATTTTCGTGATCAATCTACCTCTTCTTAAATACACTTTGTTTGTTTGCCTATCTGAGTGTAAGCCCCAAGGCAAGAACTGTGTCTTTTTAATGTGTTTCACAGCACCGAACCTATTGCAAAAGCTGAGGCAATGATAAACAGTAATAATAATGCCATTCAAAGGGAATGCTGACTCAAATAGCGTGATTTTAACCCTGCTGGTTTAGATACTTGGAGTTGGGAAAAGATATGGCACTAGAAAAATTTATAAATATATAATCCAACTCTGCTTCTAAAATCTTCCAAAATCCGAGTCATTCTAATCTCTGTTTGGGTTGCATATTTTGAAAACTGAAATGGTAAAAGTAATATTTGCCAAACACACACACACACACACACACACACACAAACCTGTACTAGAACAAAAATGTAATCACCAAACATTTTCTGAGCACCAACAGTATTCATTAAAGAAATAAAAGAAAATAGGATACATTTCCTACTCTCTCAGACCTCATAATGTATAGGCAGATCATGAAAGAGTTAAGAGAGGGGAAAACAGGAGATTTTTTTTAATGCTTTTGTGAAAACCGTGCCCTGTAGATCATAATAAAATGCACTCATTTGAAATGGATGGTCTATTCCTAAGAACATACCTACATGGGTCAGCTCTTTGGAGGAAAAATGCAAGACTGATTATCTACACTCAGGGAATGGGGCCTGACTAGAGAGTGTGCTTGGAGCACCTTTCTGAGTTTTCAGAAGACATGTCATTAGTGGAAATATAAGAGGGGCTCTAGGCCAGGTGTGGTGGCTCACGCCTGTAATCCCAGCACTTTGGGAGGCCGAGGTGGGCGGATCACCTGAGGTGGTCAGGAGATCGAGACCATCCTGGCCAACATGGTGAAACCCCGTCTCCACTAAAAATACAAAAAATTAATCAGGCATGGTAGCACGTGCCTGTAGTCCCAGCTACTCGGGAGGCTAAGGCAGGAGAATCCCTTGAACCTGGGAGGCAGAGGTTGAAGTGAGCCAAGATCACGCCACTGCACTCTAGCCTGGGTGACAGAGTAAGACTCCGTCTCAAAAAAAAAGAGGTTCTAGCCTAAAATACTTATCTTCCACCTATATATTTATCTGAATTGTTTATCACATTAGCTAGTTGCCATTTCCCCAGAGCAGAAACCTAAAAGACTGAGACAGGAGGATGCATAGGTGTTGATGAGACCGATAGTGAAGAAATCTGGCAGCCTCAGTGTGAAGAGCATAGCACATTTTTGAGAAAGATACTGAAAAGAAGGAAGGAGATGTTTTAAGAATGGAATTTAGGAAGACATTGGGAGACCAGGGGAAAACTTGCCTGCCATACAAATTATCCAGTTCTTAACCTGAATGTTACTTTGAGGAGGATTAGGCACAGCTCAATATTCTGAAATTAAATTCATCTAGATTTTATATAATGAATTTCAATTTGCCATTGCAGCTTTCCTAACTGGAATTAGGACTGTAATTACTCCTGGTGGTTTTTGTGACCCAGAAGATTCAAGAAAATTTGAAGCTGTAGGATCTTTGGAAGCCAAAAGGTAGTATGTGTCACTGGAGACATTTTTACATTTTCAATGTTACAGACTGAATTTTGCCTCCCTCCCTTCATATATTAAAGTACTAATTCTTAATGTGATAGTATTTGAAGATGTGACCTGTAGACAAGTGATTAAGATTAAATGATGTCATAAGGGTAGGATTCTAACTCCATATGACTAACGTCTTTATAAAAAGAGGAAGAGACCCCAGGGATGTGTACACAGAGAAAACACCATATGATAACATAATGAAAAGGTGGCCATCTGCAAGCCAAGGAAAAGAGTCCTCACTAGAGACCAACCCTGCCAACACCTTGATCTTAGAATTCCAGCCTACAAAATGGCAAGAAATAAGTTACTGTTGTTTAAATCACCCAGTTTGGCGTTTTGTTTTGGCAACTCTAGCAGACAATACACTGAACTCACTTAAGTGATTACTCACTAGGAAAATTGCTCTTCATAAAGGAAAAAATAGCATAAATGTGCCACTAGGACAAAGAGGGGCAACAACAAATAGAGGAACTTAGAGTCTAGAGTGATGATTTTCAGTTGGGTGAAGGGATGGCCAGGTACAAGGTAACTTCTGCAAAATCTATGTCTTACTTCCCTTCTCTCAGAACCCTACACCAGATGCTGATTTATTTTGAGACCAGCATGAATAATTGAAAATGTTTCCAGATAATTCTAATATATGAGCACCCTTCCTCTCTCACCCCTCCACTCTGGCTTAGACATTCATCACCGAACTGCTGGATGCCTATTATAAAATTAAAGTGCATCAGTGGTGACTATTCCAGCTAATGGCTGATTATCCAAAGGCCAATCATGAACCATAGTTATATGAAAATAGTTGTCTTCACTCTCTATTCCATCTACGATATCAAAGCAGAATCAGAAGCAACAGTAAAACGCCAGAAATGTGAGATGCCATTCCTCAGGAAGAAATTGTCTATATTTGTCCAGAATAGAGCATCTTACATAATAGATGAAACATAAAGCCTCACCTCTCTTGGGATATGAAAATATTAAATGTGTAACTGATCCACAAAGAAAACAAAGTCTCCTATTGTCATTACTTTGTTCAATTAGGTCCCACATTTCTATTACTTATTTGGCAGAGACGTAAGGTTTTGCCCATAACTGAGTTCTCTACTTCCCTTTCAATTAGGCTAGAATTTCCAGTCTCTCTTCCAGTTAGGTGTAGCAATATGACTAAGTTCTCACCAAAAGGATGAGTAGAAGTGACATACACTCCTTCCAGGCCCACCTGAGAACCTCATTTCTTTTCCTGACCATAAGGTAGAACAAGAAGATCTGAGAACCTGAATAAAACTGAGTCTCATAATGAAAATTGCCTGGGTCCTTGGATGACTGCATAGTGGAGCAACCTACTAATCCCCCAGATTCAATAAATTAACAGGGGTGAAAAATAACCTTTCATTATTTCAATCCATTTCCATTACTGTTATTTATTAGAACAGTAGACCAATTCTAATAACACATTTATATTAGAAATAGCAAAGAGTTCTCTTTTTTGCCAATAAGTTCCAGGAGTTTTCACTTTAGGAATGATCATCTGAAGCTAAACAATTCATATTCACCCTGATCTTGCAGAAGCTCTGAGTCAATTCCCATGCAAGGCTAAAGGGTAACTGAGCTGATGGACTAAGTTTTTTGATGAAATTAAAGCAGGGGTCATGGTGATCTTTCACAGTTGAGTGATGTCTTTCTTCAAAGACGTATATATCTTGGATGTATTCCATAAGAGTTGCTCTCCTTTATGAGCCTTGTCAGATGGGGTCTTCTTATAATTCCACTTTCCTTGAAATGAGAGAACCAGGGCCAAGCACTATGAGCACTTATTAGATATTCCTTGATGATTATATAAACATACAAGTTTAAGTCTGATAAGCCTAGGCTATGGACTATGGAAATAGAGCTTAATTATGGCCTGGACATGTTTACTGGTTAGTAGCAAGTGTCTGGGTTTCTGGCCATTCTGTTGATCTTTATTGATACATAATAGTTGTATATATTTTGGGGGTATATGTGATATTTTGGTATATGCATACAATGTGTAAAGATCAAATCAGGATAATTGGAATATCCCTCATCTCAAACATTTATCTTTTCTTTATGTTGGGAATCTTCCAACTCTGGTCATTGTCTTGAGGGCAGTTTTGCAAAGCATGTGTTTGATTAACCTCTCAAATCATAACCTCCTGTCTCCCAACCTATGGGGGTATGGAAGGAAGAACTGAGTATTCCCAATTCATTTTATCTGCGCCCATATGGGTTTGTCACATGCTCATTGGAATAATAATGTCTGAGAGCAATGAGGGGGTGGATAGATCACTGGAGAGTGTGTGTGTGTGTGTGTGTGTGTTATCTGCAGGGATAGACAGATAGCAGTTCTAGGGAAGTAAAAAGCAGGGCAGAGAAGTAACAAATGGACATATGAATACTCTACCCAATCTCTGGCCTTTTACAAACAAATAGGTTTAACCCTATACCATAGTATCACCAATATTACTAATTAGGATGAGCCATGCTATTTGATAAACTTTTATTATGTTTTATTATAAACAAGAACATTTGAATTTTTCACTATTAATAACAAATAACATGTGTTAGAACTTAATGAACCACAAAGCACTTTGCATAAACATTATCTCAAAGCAGAAATTTTTTTGGGCCCTGCACCCCATCCACTTGGCCCACCTCTGATTTCAGAGCAGCTATGGTAGCACTTCCATGCATGTACTCTGCCACCATTCTTTCTCAAGCTCAAGCAGCAACTTCTCTCCACTTCTCTGCCTCAGGACTTTCTCTAAAGTCACACAACACAGTCACAGTCAGAAAGCGTGGGAGTGGGATGGGAGACAATACTCCTGGTGTGGTGGAAACTCTCAACTAATGAGACAAAGGCATTAGCAGGTAAATGTCTGGACTTCGCATGTTCTGGAAAGACAATTCCGAGGTTCACATTCTATACATATACATTTAGAGGGTCCTCAGTAGAATTAAGACCTACTTGCCCACAGCAAAAACCAGCTGATATTCCAAAAGTGTTGTCCCTCCTACTTCCTTGTCTCCATTTCCCTGCTCTGTCAAGATGGTTTCCCTGCTCTAACAAGAAGGTAACTCGATCCAAGTCCTGGATTTGGGCTCTGCTTTAGGATAATCTGACCAAGATATTTCATTGAATCTTCACTCTAGAATAGAAACCCATATGCATCATGACATGTACCTCTTGAACATTTGCAGCTAAAGAAAAAAAGGCACAAGATGAATTGGGCAGCTCGTGCTCCATCTGCTGGAGGGTTAGAAGTTGCCAATTATACGACTAAATGTTGTGACTTAGCCATACTACTTTTCAAGGACCAAAATTGCAGCCAAACTCAGAAAGATATTATCATTTGCCTTCTAAAGAGACTTGGAGTTGTAGAAAAGCTATGAACTTATCATGTATCTTGCTTGCAGAATCCACTTTGGGACTGTTTGGGACTGTTACTAATTTTGACAAACCATATTTGAATCTTTAACATATTATTGAATTAATGTAACTTCAAAAGAAAACTAGCAGCCTCTTCTATCAAGTCTGCCTTGTATCATTATCACCTTTCTTAAATTTCTCTATTATTTTAAAATCTAAGTTTTCTAAAAAAATACTTTATCTTATAACCTCAGCTTCTGAAATTAGAATTTTAAAAGCTTCTAAGCAGTTAAACTCTAAATAAAAAATTCCATATAGTAAAGCTTCTGTAATTTTTTCGTGATCCACTCATCGCATACAAATTTGGTTTCCTTGGTAGTTTTGCCCTTGAACTGAATAGAAATAACCAGATACAATGTAAGAGAACAGCATATATGTGTAGAAAGGAACAATAGATAACAACATGGCCACAGGAGAGAAGACAATAAAAATCAGAAAAGAGAATTTTAAAAGATCAAGCTGGCTTTTGTATGCACCTGAATAACCTTAGTGAAATTTTAGATCATATCACCACCTAAAAATCAATGATGAGAGAATGATGGCAAGGAATCATGTATATTCTGTTTCTGAAGCCAAAGAAGTATAGAGGATAGAATAGAAATATTTTCATGACGTAATTTTAATACTATCTAGCATTTATTGACTACCCACCTTGTGCTAAACAATATACACTTGGCATTTTACAAACATCATCTTCAGTCCTCACTGCAACATTGCAAATCATTTGCCACTATCCTTCTTTTAAACAGGAGAAATCTGAGGCTCAGAAAGGTTATTTAACATTCCCAAGGCAACACAGTTAGTTGATAGTTACCCCAGAGTATAAATTCAAATCTCTTTAGCTCCAAAATCCATGATTCTTTCTTACTCTTTGTCACCTTTACTATAAATAACATTTCTATTAGTTTGTTCTTGTGTCACAGCAAAGGAATACTTGCAACCGATAGTTTATAAAGAAAAGAGGTTTTAATTGGCTCATAGTTCTACAGGCTGTACAGGAAGAAAGAAGCTGGGATCTACTTCTGGCGAGAGCCTCAGGAAGCTCCCAACCATGGGAGAAGATGAAGGGGGAGCAGGTGCATCACATGGTGAGAGTGGGAGCAAGACACGGGGAGGAGATGCCACACTCCTTTTTTTTTTTTTTTTTTTTTTGAGATTAAGTCTCGCTCTGTTGCCCAGGTTGGAGTGCAATGGCATGATCTCAGCTCATTACAACCTCTGCCTCCTGGGTTCAAGTGATTCTCCCACCTCAGCCTCCCAAGTAGCCAGGACTACAGGCACACACCACCACACCCAGCTAAGTTTTCTATTTTTAGTAGAGACGAGGTTTCACCAGGGGCTGGTCTTGAGCTCCTGACTCTCAAGTAATCCACTAACCTTGGCCTCCCAAAGTGCTGGGGTTAAAGGCATGAGCCACCATGCCTGGCCGAGATGCCACACTCTTTCAAACAACCAGATCTGACATGAAATCAGTGAAAACTCACTCATTACCACAAGGAGTGCACCAAGCCATTCCTGAGAGATTTGCTCCCATGACCCAAACACCTCCCACTAGGCCCACTTCCAACATTTAGGTCACATTCCAACAAGAGATTTGGAGGGGATAAAACATCCGAACCATATCATTCCACCTCTGGCCCCTCAAATCTTATGTTCTTCTCACATTGCAAGATACAATCATCCCATCCCAATAGTCCTCCAAAGTCTTCGGTCATTCCAACATCAACTCAATCAAAAGTCCAAAGTCTCAATTGAGACTTAAGGCATGTTCCTTCCACCTATAAGACTGTAAGAACAAAAATAAGTAATTTACTCCCAAGATATAGTGGTGGTACAGGCGTTGGGTAAACATTACTATTCCAAAAGAGAAAAATTAACCAAAAGAAAGGGGCTGTAGGTCCCACAAAAGTCTGAAACCCAGCAGGGCAGTCATTAAAGCTTAAAGCTCCAAAATAATCTCCTTTGACTCCATGTCCCACATCCTGGGCACACTGCTGTTCTGGGTGGGCTCCCAAGGCCTTGGGCAGTTCTGCCCTGTGACTTTTTCACACTGAGGTTGCAAGTTGCTGGTGGCTTTACCACTCTTGGGTCTAGAGGGTGGCAGCTTCATTCTCATAGCTCCAGTAAGCAGTGTCCTCATGGTGACTCTGTGTGGGGGCTCCAACCCCACATTTTTCCTCAGCAGTACCCTAGTTCAGATTCTTGGAGGGGCTCTGCCCCTGTAGCAGGCTTCTGCCTAGGCACCCACACTTTTACATATATCCTCCAAAATCTAGAGGGAAGCTGTCAAGCCTCCTTCACTCTTGCGTTCTGTGTGCTTGCAGGCTTAACACTACGTGAAAGTTGCCATAGCTTAAGGCTTGAACCCTCTGGAGCAGTATCCCAAGCTGTATCCATTGCCTTTTAGTGAAGGCTGAAGCCAGAGCTGCCAGGATTCTGGAAGTAGCATCCTGAGGCTGCACAGGATAGTGGGCCCCTGGGCCTTGCCCCTGAAAACCATTCTTTCCTCCTAGGCCTCTAAGCCTATGATAGGAGGAGTTGCCTCAAAGATCTTTGAAATGCCTTTGAGGCCTTTTTCCCCATTGTCTTGGATATCAGCACTTGGCTCCATTTTAGTCATGCAAATCTCTTTAGCTCCACAGGGTGCTTTCATATCCCCCTGAAAATACTTGCTCCTTTTTTATCACATCTCAGCATCAAATTTTCCAAATGTTTAAGCTCTGCTTCCCTTTTAAATATAAGTTCCAACTTTAAGTCATTCCTTTGCTCCTGTATCTTATCTTAGGCTGTTAGAAGCAGCCAAGCCACACTTGAATGCTTTGCTACTTAGAAATTTCTTCCACCAGATGTCCCAGGTCATTGCTCGTAAGTTCAAACTTCCACATATCTCCAGGATGTGAGCAAAATGTAGCCAAGCTCTTTGCTAAGGCATAACACAAATGACCTTTGCTCCAGTTCCCAATAAGTTCCTCATTTCCATCTGAGGAATCATCACTCTAGCTTTCACTGTCCATATCTTTATCAGCATTTTGGTCACAACTATTTAACCAGTCTCTAAGACGTTCCAGACTTTCCCTTATTTGTCTCTCTTCTTCTGAGCCCTCCAAACTCTTCCAACCTCTGTGAATTACCCCATTTCAAAGCTGCTTCCACATTTTCAGGTATCTTTATAGGAAGGCCCCCACTCCTCAGTACCAACTTTCTGTATTAGTCTGTTCTTGTATTTCTATAAAGAAATACCTAAGACTGGGTAGTTTATAAAGAGATTTAATTAGCTCACAGTTCTGCAAGCTATACAGCAAGTGCGGAGCCAGCATCTGTTTCTGCTGAGGGCCTCAGGGAGTTTCCAGTCATGGCAGAAGGTGAAGGAGGAATAGACAAATTACATGGTGAGAGGAGGAGCGAGAAAGAGGGGAGGTGCCAGGCTCTTTTAAACAACCAGCTCTTGTGTGAAATTGTATAGCGAGAACTTACTCATTATCATGAGGACAGCACCAAGCCATTCACGAAGTATCCACCCCCATGGCCCAAACACCTCCAACATTGTAGGTCGTATTTCAACATGAGATTTGGAGGGGACAAAACACCCAAACCGTATCAATATTTAAAATATAACTTAAGGTGACAAATTCTAATTACCTGGTTTATATAAAGCCATACTAGATTAAAGAAATATTAGTAATTTGGTGATAATGACAAAACAAAAACAGCTGAAACACTACGTGATCCATCTTTAGGCACAGAGTTTTCAGAAGTTAGATGTTCTTCTGATTATCATCACATAGCAAATTATTATGATAAAATTGGCACCATATTTTAGTATTTCAACTTTAATAAATAATAAGTAATAATCTAACACACTTATAGTTTATTAAACATTGAAAAGCACTTTTTTCATACATTATTTAATATTTATACACACAATATTTCAGTTATGGAGGTAGGAGCCATATGTTCAACAGATAATGAAACCAAAGCCCAGAAAGCTTAAGTGCCTTTTATAGAATCACACAGTATATTAGAACCAGGGGAACCAAAATCAATGTCTCCTTATTCCCAATTTGATGCCAATAAGCAACATACCCAAATTTAAAAATGTGAAAAAATTTTGATCATTATAAAAAATCAGTAAGTCACACATTCTGCTACTATTTTGGCTAAATGTAAAAAAATTACCATCTTATTAAGTTGTGTTAATAAATGGTCAAAGGGAAAAACAAAAAGGGAGGATCTTGGAATGTTTCTATATAATTAGATTTTTTTACAGTGGGATATTTTGCTTAGCTGGGAGACTGCCAGCTATAGACAAAATATGGATGTGTAACAACCTCCTCAAAACTTACTGATATACAGCAATTAGAATATATGCTATGTTCAAATGTCTTCAGGTCAGTTGGGCTGTTTTGCTCCACTCACCTCTCATTCTTCCTGGACTAACAATTTACTGGGCTCATGTTCTTCTCAAAGCCAGGGCAGTGGTGCACAAAGCCAGGTGAAGGCAGAGATACTTCCGAGGATGAGGCTCAGCATTGTCTTACTATCACTTCCATCAACTTATCATCAGCCAAAGCAAATCACACAGCCAAGACCAACATCACTCAGGTGGAAGGGCTACAAAAGCATATTGCAAAGGGTGTGGATAGAGACAGTGGAACATTGGGAAGAATAGTTTAACCTACAACTGGTGATTATCGTAAACAATCATGCATTCCACAACTTATTTTTACCAAGTACATTGCATACAGGACACTAAGGATATAGCTGTGAACCAGACTAACGTAATCTCTTCCCTTATGGAAGCTATGAAAGAGGAGAGAGAGAGAGACAGAGAGTGTGCGTGTGTGTCCAAAAGTTATACTAGTCATAATTCAGCCTGTCTTTGTTGATTTTGAAGTATACTTGATATATCGTAGTGGTCTCCATTCTAAACATGTTTTTATTGTGCAACGTTTAAATGATGAGGTTATAAGAAATTAAATTAAATATGCAGTTTATTCAGGGTATACTACAGTCAGTGTTGCCTAGATTCTTAATTTCTTACCATTTCCCCTATAAAACAACGATGCACTTTTTAAAATTCCAGTTATTTTAGTCTTACATGTATTTTAATTCCAGATAGATGGGAGTTCATTGGAAAAAATATTCTCTTAAATGTGGTGAGTACAAGTAAAATTAAAGAATCTATAAAGTCAAGAAAGTGGCAGGTTCTTTTTGATAAAATAAATGAGAGTGATATAATCATTTTTATTCTTTGCCAAGTCCCCTGATACTATTAATCCCATAACCTCTTATTCTCAGACAGGAGAGAACATCACTGTCATTTCCTCAGTGACTGGGACAAATATTAAAAAATTGTAAAGGCTAAGTAGACATTTACTGAATCAATGCTGGAATGAATACATAACTCAATCAATAAGTCAGCCAATGAAAAGAGAGACAAACCTAATGATTTCCTACTAATATTCATGGACTATCATTGGCTTCTCCAGTATAAGCTCCTTAGATGTTGGGGGCACACATTTTTTTGGGAGATGGGTCACGTAACCACAGACAAAATTCCTATGAGTCAAATGGCAGCTCTATAATTCTCTTTCCTTGTTATTTTATAGCTAACACAGTCTTACTATCATAAGGCATTCCATCATCATCTACAGGGCTTACGATGATGTTCCTAACATTACGTCTCCTAGGTTTCTCCAAGCAGCCCTCTATCCTCGTACAGAGGTACTGCAGTTTCCAGAACTTGCCTGCTCTCTTCCATTTCATTGGTGACGATGACTGCTCTTTTTCTGTTTCCTGTCTGTATCTCTTGTGCTTGTCCTCCTGGAAAATCCTCCATTTTTCCAATACGAACATGTCTCTTTTATGAAGTCTACCCTGAGCTCTCAGTGGTAAAGAAACGTTTCCTTCTCCAGGATCCCAGAGTAACTTATACACACAGTAGCCTATTTATGACATTCTAAAGCAATTACCAGCTCTTATCATCGTTCCTAATACCTAGTAGGTGTTTTCATTCCTGCTAAAAAATATATAAGTAATAACAGTTTACAGCTGGGCATGGTGGCTCACACCTCTAATCCCAGCACTTCGGGAGGCCAAGGCAGGCGGATCACGAGGTCAAGAGATCAGATCACGAGGTCAAGAGATCGAGACCATTCTGGCCAACATGGTGAAATCCTGTCTCTACTAAAAATACAAAAAATTAGCTGGGCGTGGTAGCAGGTGCCTGGAGTCTCAGCTATTCGGGAGGCTGAGGCAGGAGAATCGCTTGAACCGGGGAGGGAGAGGTTGCAGTGAGCCAAGATCGCACCACTGCACTCTAGCCTGGCATCAGAGCAAGACTCTGTCACACACACACACAAAAATAGTTTACCCAGTTGGCTAAAGAATCATCAGCCAACAATTTAATATAAATATAAATGTCACACATTTTTAAAAAATACTATTATAGTACAGCCTTCTTTAGGCCTTCTGAAGCCTTTTACTCAATGCTAATAAACACTCACCTCATCTCACATTCTGACTTCATTTTATCAACAAGCATTTTTGAAAATCTGGGAAACAACAGCAAAACAAACAGATGAGCATATTAGCATGAAATATGCAAAATTCTGTATTCTTGTTTGAAGGGTTGCATTTATTGCCCTTAATCCAGTTTACAAATTGCAGGAGTTTAGGATGCTTATTGACGTTTGTGTTTGATTAAGATATGACTATATATTTAAGAGCTGGCAAAACTGTCGAGCCAGCCTGTGATTGCAGCAGTAATTAGGCATTTTAGCACATATTAGTGTAAACAGCTGTGTAAAATCCATATCAATGTTAGAAACACAAGTGATGTGGTTCAGTTAAAATATCACGAGGTTGGTTATTGAAGGTGGCTGCAAAATGCTGAGGAGAACCTGGAAAAATTAATTGCTCCCACAAAATGACATAGGCTAACAGAGGTTAATTTAAGGGAACTGTCTTTCAAACATTACAAATGGAAGTAGTGGAGTAAGAAGGAGATTTGGGGGCTAGAATCCCTTTTCTAACTCTACCCACTCTTGTGTGTAATACACACATCCTGAGATATTCTGTACTTTGGTGGAGAGAGTCTCACTGTCACTCACCAGACTGGAAGGTCTCAAAAGTAAACTGAGCAAAACTGTAAATGCTATACACATCCAAAAGTTAGTTATCAGGTCCATTAAACCACAACTGAACTCCACCACCCTTCTGTGGCCTTGCAAATATATATAGCAGCTCCTACACTGGGCAACTCTTATGCATAAAAAGTGTAAATTTTGAGATCAGCGTGCCTGATTTCAAATCTCTGCCTTGCTCTTTTCTATCCCTGGGATGTTGAGCAAGTTATTTCACCTTTCTAGACATGATTTTTCTCATCTGTACAATGGGCATAATCTCCACTTCATAGTCACTGTGTTAAGAATGAAAATAGACTTCATATATAGATAGCCTGAAAGTACAATATGGGACCCAGATAGTCATGAGTGATACAGACGTTTCAAGAAAAATATATGAGCAAGAGATTAAAATGGGCTATTATTCTACCACTCCATATTCTATGCTATATTCAAAGAACCAAGTCTTCCATTGCTTCCATAGGCTTTCCATTGTAGAGATGCTACCAGTGAGAACCAAGCTGAAGGGCTATCTCAGTTCATCAGCACTTTCCAATAGCACAGAATCACTAGGGTCAAAAGCAGAACTTGAAGACTCGACTATCAGCTCTATTAAAGCGAACACTAGACACTAGATAGCCAAATGCTTTGGGTAAATTTCTTTTGCTTGTGGTGGGAAAGAGACAGAGATAGTGTAACCCTGCCATCTGTTGACCTAGCAGCATATTGTGCCACTTCTGGTATGAGCAAAGGGCTCTCAAACCTGGGAAGGAGGTGAAAGATCAATATTTACAAGAGTACAACTGCTAACTTTATTCTGCAAACTCTAGCTATGTTACTGCACTTTAACTATTATACGCAGGCTGGTGGAACCACAGATTCTAGGAACAATATTCCCTGAAAGTTCTTTCAGTTCTACCCACTCCATTCCACCCGAATACCAATATGATTATTAAAACAGCTATCTGTGCTTCTCTGGGGGCACATTCAATAGATTTTTGAGGGTAAATCATATGAACAAAGAAGAATAACTCCAATATATGTCACTAGAAATAAAAGGCTCCCTACAGGGCATGTGGCATTTTTAGCTTTATATGCCAAGTCTCTTATCAAACACACAATATTGATCAAAAATTAAAATAATGTGTTAATGGGAACTTCAGCTCTGGTCCTAAAATATCTGCTATGCATGTATTAATAACCAGGACTACCAAAGTGAAGACGAAATTGACCTCTGATTAGATTTAAAACTATATTGCTGAACTGAAACTATATTTTTTGAGAAAAAGAAACAAAGAAATTATCATCATTTTCCTGTTTCTAAGCAGAACTACATAGATCTTATCTAGCCCACTTTCAAAGATCTCCAGAAATTCTGGGCTCACATCCTCCTTTGCTGAGCACACCACACTAGCACCTGCATCTTTAAGATGTACTCAGTTTGTGCCAAGCGTCAAGCTTCTTTACTATTTTTCTGTCTCTAGTAAGGCTTGACATTGGTTAATCAACACTCTTCTAAAAGGTTTTTTTTTAAAAATCTTTAGGACAGTATTAAACTTGAACTTCATGTACTTGTTATTGAGGCTTTTGTTTTGTTTTGCTATGTTTGTTGTTTGTTTTTGAGAAACTGAGTTGTTTTCATTTTATTTATTCAGTGAAATGATAATTACTAGGTGCCTACTAAACAATGAGCAATATGCTAAATAATAGGAATTGCAATGGAGTAGGTCAGATATTTCATAAGCGTATACTCAGATATGTAAAATATGGAAGTTTTAAAATTCTTTTCTAAATGTCCATGTAACCCCCATTTTTAATCTTTTATTTTTTCATTGACAAACAAAAATTATATATATTTATCACGTACAACGATGTTTTAAAATATGTCTACATTATGGAATGGCTCAGTTGAACTGATTAACATATGCATTACCTTAATTCCCATTTTACACCCATGTTTTACCTAATAAAGGAAATCACTTTAGTTCAGATAAACATAGGGCTTATTTTCAGTCACCTCAGGGCTGTCTCAGTCTCTTTCAGGCAAGCTCAGTCCATTTATAGGCCTATCAATGCTCCTTTTCTCCCTGGAGTGATATTAACATTCCAGGAGGGCTATAGGCATCCTCCATCCTTGCAATGAGATGAGACTCTTGATGAGAAGTGACTCCTTTGTCTTGCCTTTGGTCATTTTGCTCTGATTTTGTTACCTGGAAAAACTCAGGTATCCACATGGCCCCTGCTGCTCAGATTCTCCTAGTCACTCTGCATCCCAACATCGCAACTCCAGGGCTCCGTCCGCCACTTTCACTAGCCCGCTAGGAAGCATTCCACACCCATCTCAGGAAGCACAGAAATTTAGGGATGTTCTCCCACCTCTCTGGGTGGCTTCAGGCATAGGAAAGATGCCAGCTCAGGACATTTGTACAGTTCCCGGCAGCCATTTCTTTGCGTCCACTGTTGTTGCACTGTGCCCCAGAGGACTTCCCAAAGAGGCCCTGCCTGGTTGCTGTCATAGCCGCTTCTTTGTGGGCCCCACACCATAGCAGCCACAAGGCCCTTTTATAGGGACTTCTCTTAGCTGTCTTCATAGGGACAAGCTAAGCTCTCAAAGCAACTCTTCCCAAACAGTAAAGTATTGTTTCTAGTCTGATTAATTAGGTTTTTCACTTGTTCACTTTCCAAACTATTATTTTAGGCTTTGTTATTTAAAATGTAAACCAGGGACCAGTAGCTTGCAGTATTTTCAAGCTTATTAGAAATGCAGACACTCAGGCCCAATAGGAAGCTGTGCATTAACAGTGCTCCCGGGTGATTCCTGTGCCCCTTCCAGTTTGGGAAGCACTCCTAGTTAAGGCATTAACTGCTGCTGAGCTGGGGATTTAGCCTTTTATTCCAAAATGCCTGCTCCTAGTAAGATGAAAAGATTTGCTCCCAAGGCCATTTCCTCTACTGGGAATTTCCAGAGGCCTTCTTTGAAACTCAAAGCCAGGGATTTGTGGTTTTTTTTTCACTTTCTCTGATCTTTTGTATCCTGTACTCCATTCAATAACTATCTCTTAAGGCAATGAATATCACTGATTCAATGGGATAGTGGAAGATGGGAAATCTGGAAGGGAAGTGTAGGCTAGGCCAAATGAGTATCTCCGATTTTATTCCACTAGCCAACCCAAAGAACAATAAAATAGTTTCTTAAAGGAGCACACACACTAGTGAGATTCCTGATTCTACCAGCCTGCAAATTATTTGAAGGTAATGTAACTCAGGTAAAATAATCTTTTCTGCCTACTTCTAACAAATATGCTCTACTTCAACTCTTAGAAAAATCTGGACATGGGGACTGGAGGAAATTAAATACACACTCAAGTGTACAATTAAGTACACTTGTTTTTAATGGATGGGTAGAAAAGGGACGAAGACATGTTATGACAGCTGCATTTCAGGGATAGTTACCTAAAACTTGGTGGATCACAAGAAAAATTCCCTTCTCCTTGTAGCCAGACACTGTAATGGGGTACTTTATTTTATCTTTTTATTTGTATAAATGTGTGGGTTACTAGTGCCATTTTGTTACAGGCATAGATTGGGTAGTGGTCAAGTCAAGGTTTTTAGAGTACCCATTTCCTGAATACCATACCTTGTACCCACTAAGTCATTTCTCATCATCCACCCACCTCTCACCTCCTCACCCTGCTAAGCTTCCATTTTCTATCAGTCTACTCTGTATGTCCATGTGTACACATTTTTTTTAGCATTGAATAGGGTATTTTATGGAGACTTAAAAAGATATAGAAAGTCCAGCATACCTCTAGGAACGTATTTTTTTTTTCCTGGTACCCTGGATATCCCTGAAAAATCATCAATCTAGGTCATAATATTTTTAGTTGTTTATTATTCATGAAACAATGCTATGTATTTATAATTTTACATAACACCTTTGTTGGATAAAGTTCAAAGAGCCTAAACAGTTTATGGGCCTAGCATCTTAGGGCAGTAAGGGAAACAGACATGACCACCCCTCTTTGAAAGGCAGGGGCCACTGCTAAATCAGAAACCTGAAATCCAGACCTTTGCTACCTGCCCTTGAACTGAAAGTAAGCATATACCCCAGGGTAATTATTTACTTTTATTTTCCCTCTCAAAAGTCCCAGTTTAAACAATAAATAATATGGTCACCCTTTCCAGAGCCTATTGCAGTTTGACCACCAAGGTTTTCCTCCTGTGCCACTCTGAAAACTGCTGATGGCCAAGTTCTGTAATGCTGCTGAGGTATCCACCCCCTCGCTAGAATGGACCTCTTTGCTTCAGGACTATTCCCACTGCTTAACAAATGCACATTATTACCCCTAATAAACTTCCCGAGACTTGTCAGCTTTTATGGAGTGATAAAGCCTTTCTTTGAAACACCTACCTTGCCTTTTAGTTAGGAGCAAAAGAAAACATGTTCCCCTGGTAAACACATCTCCTCTAAGATGGCAAACGAGAAACTGCCCCTGCTTCCCCCTCCCCCACCTATATTTTTTTTTTTTTACCCTTGCAGCATTTAGAAAACTCTGTCCAAGAATATTACTCTATGAAGAAAAAAAAAACATCATTTCAAAATTATTAAAATCTCTGTGGGAATTCATGATTAATTTTAAGGCCTGGCAGATTAAAATACATTATTATGTACACTCTAGTGCATCCTTTCAGATATTTTCAGAATCTGATTTTGCTCTCTTGATACACACCAATGACTCTACATGTATCTAGTAGATTGCAAGGAATAGATTAGCATTAAAGAGGCAGTATTGTGTTGTTAGGTTGTTATATGTAACTTGTGCTCATACATTAAGAAAAATGTACCTGGCATTCCCCCGGACATGACCAGGCCTCTTAAAAAAAGAGAGTGAGTGAGAGCATGGTGACTACTTGGTGACAATACAGTTGTGGCAGCAGTTCTGAAATTCTGACCTTTGGGGTATTCACTGATGTTTTTATCCAGTTCCCAGGCAGAAGACGAACCACAGCGGCCTGCCAGAAAATGGAATACAGGCATTTATTTTCAGAAGCTATCAAATTTTCTACTTCCTAATCGGTAAAGAGCTGTCCTTTTGGCTTTTTTTTTTTTTTTTCCAAGGAAGTCACAATTGCAGCTGCAGAGACAGGGATAAACCTACAGCTTCTTTTTCTTTGTTGAAGACAAAGAGTAAAATCAATGAAAAGCAAATCAACAAAAACCTGTATAAACCTTACCATGTTTCACTTTGAGGAGTCCAAATACAATGACAAGGAAACTAGCTTGCCTCTTCCTCCAGGATATGACACTTCCACTCTTGATGACCTTCCTCTGTTTATAACCTTGAATAAGTAGCATGATTCTTGGTATTTAGATGGGTATCTGCCATTCAAGAGTGAAGCTGCCCACTTCCACATAAGATATTCTGTGACATGATTTTATTGTTAACAAATATTACTCATAGAAACAAAAATAGAGGATTCTGACCCAGTTAAGGGCTCTGTAGAGCTTTTGGCATAATAATAGATAAGAGTGGTTTTTTTGACTGAGCACGGTGGCTCATGCCTGTAATCCCAGCACTTTGCGAGGCTGAGGCAGACAGATCACCTGAGGTCAGGAGTTTGAGACCAGCCTGGCCAACATGGCAAAACCCCGTCTCTACTAAAAAATACAAAAATTAGCTGGGGATGGAGGCACACACCTGTAATTCCAGCTACTCCGGAGGCTGAGGCAGGAGAATCACTTGAACCTGGGAGGCGGAGGTTGCAGTGAGCTGAGATTGCACCACTGCACTCCAGCCTGGGCAACAGAGTGACACTCCATCTCAAAAGAAAAGAAAAAAAAAGATGAGTGCTTTTTTATCTCAAAGCTAATACATGACAATATATACATAACACTAATTTACATTTTTCCCTTTAGATGATGGAACCAAATGCACACAAGAGTTGACCTTAAACTACAAGACGAAGTGGGCAAATCAGATGTTGCGGTTCTCCTGTTTACCTACTCCAATTTCCCTTGCCAGATACTTGCTCTAATTACCTTCCTTCTCCACTTGCAATTTTACAAAATATTTGTGTTTTTAAAAAATCCTTCATGTGGGGCTGGGCGCGGTGGCTCATGCCTGTAATCCCAACACTTTGGGAGGCCGAGGCAGGAAGATCACCTGAGGCCAGGAGTTCGAGACCAGCCTGGCTAACATGGTGAAACCTGTCTCTACTGAAAATACAAAAATTAGCTGGCTGTGGTGGCATACCATGTAATCCCAGCTACTCAGGAGGGTGAGGCAGGAAAACCACTGGAGCCTGGGAGGCGATTGAGCTGAGATTGCACCATTGCACTCCAGCCTGGGTAGCAGAGCAAGACTCCATCTAAAAAAAAAAAAAAAAAAAAAAAAAACAAAACTTTTCATGCGTGGATCTGCTCCCAACATGTTGACGTTTACTAGATGCTATCAGATTAATCCTATTTCAATATGGGGTACCTTCCCTTCCCCTCAACTTTCTCTACAGCTTCCCACTCTCGCTCTCCCTTGTCCATCCATTCCACCACTATTTGCCCGCTTTCAATTGCTGGTCTTGCTCAAACTTTTTCTTTACTGTTCTTTTGTCCTCTCCCTCTTCATTTGTTTTATACTTAGCCTAGACAGTTTACAAGTGAAAGAGATAAAAGAAGAAGGGGCTATTCAGAGAAAAGAGGCCTAAATACTGCAGAGGCCCTGCTTGTGTTTACTGCTGGTGTGTTGTGATCCTCCCCTCACTGGATTTTCCTATTTTAATGGCCTTCCAGAAAAAAAATAGTGTGTGTGGGGCCTGGGGAATTAGTGTACTTATTAAGGGCTCCTGCAACCAATCATAGCCATTCCACTTTGAAATTATCATTATATATGTATGCATGTACACACTCTCACACACACAAACATTTTTGTTCCCTATTCTAAAACCCATTTCAGGCAGTTAGGTGTTCAACCTAGCATTCTGGGAAATTGACAATATGGAAGAAGATGCAGGGGTGATAGTGACCCCATCTAATTTCCAGTTTTCAAATAGCAGGCTTCATCTGCAGTTGGGCCTCCAGGTTGCCATTCAGCCCTGAAAGACCAAGAGTATCTTCTGGTTTTTTCATCCTGTCCTCTGAGATTTCACATTCACATACAATCCTTACAAATAACATATTAACATAGTTTCCATGTGATGTTTAAATAATTTTCAGCTATATTTAGAAGAAAAGATAGAATCTTAAGCAACTGACCCAATAGAGGAAAGGGTATCATGGCAGACGTATGACTGAGTTCTTTGAATAAGTGGGACCTTGTATCAGTCCATTCCTGCATTGCCATAAAGAAATAACTGAGATTGAGTAATTTATAAAGATGAGAGGTTTCATTGGCTCATGGTTCTGCAGGCTGTATAGGAAGCATAATGCCGGCATCCTCTTAGCTTCTTTGGAGGCCTCAGGAGACTTTCAATCATGGCAGAAGGCAACGGGGAAGCAGGCACATCTTACATGGTCAGAGCAGGAGCAAGAGACAGGGAGAGGGAGGTGCTACACACTTTTAAATAACCAGATCTTGTGAGAACTCTATCACGAGAACAGTACTAGGGGGTACGGTGCTAAACAATTCATGAGAAACTGCCCCCATGATCCAATCACCTCCCACCAGGCGCCCCCTCCCAGCATTGGGGATTACATGTCAACATAAGATTTGGGCAGGGACACAGATCCAAACCATATCAGACCTTGAGTAGACATCGCTTGAAATTTAACCAATGAGAAAATTGGCAGAAATAACTAACATCAGAGGTATTCATCAGGTCGTCTCAGCTTCACAAATCAGTTGAGATTAGAACCATCTCTCAAATTTGAAACAAGAATTCAGTGAGAAGTTCATTAGGCAACTTGCAATGCTGAGTAGAGAGGGGCTTTCCCTCCACCAGCCCCTGTGGGAACACAGGCTGTGGTAGAACAGCTCTCAAGGAGAAAATACCCTACTGCAGGGTGAGTCTAGGCTTGGGTAATAGCCCAGAAAGCAAGTGCAGAAGTGAGACTTTGCCTAAAGACAGGCCCTGCTCGATGCTAATCACTGACTATTCCAAAGCAAGAATAGACTTTCTAAGTTTCTGTTACAATGAAAAATGTAAAGAAGAAAGTTTTATTGCCTTTACATAAAATAAATTATCAATAAATATTTGATGGTATTTAATAAATGCACATGTATGAATATGTATACATAGAGATGATAGGTAGATGCATAGACAAACATATAGATAAATTAAAGTAAATGTGTGTGTGGTGTGTGTATGAGAGAGATTGAGAAAGAGAGGAACAGAGAACGAAAGTTTTCAATTCATGGTAGTATCACTCCTTTCCATCCCATCCATAATCTTCACCTCCAGAAGGATCACATATAAACCATGTAAAATTAAAATTAAAATAGGATAATCAAATTTAATACAATAACAATACACTTACATACACATACAATACACTTACAATAAACTTATGATCATTTTTACAAAATAATGGGACAACATGATATAAGGGAAGAAGCAAGCACAGTTTCTGAAAGTTAAACAGACCTGAGTTTACATTCTCTCTCTACCACTTGCTTACTACATGACTTGGGGCAAATTACTCAGCCTTCCTGAGACTTAGTTTCCACATCTGACAAACTAGAATAAAACTTATTTTTCATGGTTACTGTGAAATTTAACACATATTACTATAAATATCTAGCATACCAGGGTTTCAATGCATTTTAGCTGGCTTCCATTTCCTTCATTTGTTGATGGCATACAGCACAATAGAGGGTCTCCCTGAAAGAATAGGGGAAGAGGACAGGTTCCAGCTGCAGAAGTTAAATGAAGTCTAGAGCCAGAAGGGCTAATCCTGGGCCCACAGGCAAGGAAAATATTAGGAAATAAATTTTGAAAAGACCAAGAGTTCCACCAGCCATAGGAGTTCGTCTGAGGTGAGCAGTACACATTGCTGGATCCAGCATCCATGCCAGCCATGACTGAGCAAAAAGACTTCAAGGTTTTGTCCCAGGAGATAAGGTCAAAAGAGCCAATCTGCAAAGATCTACCAAGTACTACATGTTAACCATGTACACTTTCCCAAGTTCTTTAAATAAGTGAATACTGACCATATACCAAGGAAAAAATGCAGTCTTTATCCTGGTTTTACAGGTAAGAAGACAGAGGCATAAAGAGGCTAAATAATTCAACTAAAGTTACCGGCCCAGTAAGTTGAGGAGCCGGGATTCAAATCCAAGTAGCCTGGTTCTAGAATCTGTTCTCTTAGCCACTGGTGAATGGTTTTGAATGCTGGAGTCTAGTGTTTGTTTGTTTTTAATGAGACTATATGTAAAGAAGAGAGAAAGATAGAGCAGGTTTATTCTAACCTCAGGACTAGTAGTAATAGTGATAACAACCACTGCACATTACTTGAAATGTACCAGATGCTGGTGCTGAGCACTTTACATATCACTGAATCCTCTCAACAACCCATGCTCTACTCACTACAACTCTCCACTTATTTTTGTTGAGGGAACTGAGCTCATAAAAGTTAAAGGTATCAGCATTAAATGAGATATATCTATGTCTTCATATTTCCTGGTTTGAGTTGTTTCAGCACCTGACTTGAGACAGTTGGTGTATTGGTGGCAGACCCCATTATCTGAAGAGCCAAGAGAAGACTGTTGAAACTGAGAGGGGACAAAATTACTGGGGACAGCCATGATTGCTGTGTTGCCCTTCCTTCTTGTGGCAGGTTCACTCACCAGGAACTCCTCAAATCATACAGTCAAGTGCCTGTGAGATGCCATGATGGATTAGGCCACTCACCTAACTTCAGGGCATCCCTGAACACACATGCAGTCACACACACTCACTCACACACACACACACACCTCCTTCACTATTGGCCCCTAACTCTTATGATTTAAATTCAGTAATATAATGTAGGACTAAAGTGGAGGGCAACAATTTTGGTCCCCTATTTGCCATAGAGTGTCACTTTTCACAGTAGCATTAGATAATAGATAATAGTTCATGCAATAGGCTCAGGCCATGATGAGTTTAAGTTCAAATATATTAAGATTTCAACTTATGGTCAGGGATAAAACCCTACCTTGATTTTCTAAAACATCACAGTGGAAGGGACACCAAATTCTAATTGTCCTACAATATTAATTCCCCTTTGTATTGGAGGCGGCTTAGCCAGCAGATTCGGGCAGACCTCTGAGTAGGAAAAAGAAGAAGAAAGAAGTAATCACTGGTGCATGAATTGAGGGAACTCAGCCATTTATAAAAGGATTCCATAGTCAACATGTAAAAGGGTTTCTTTGTAAATTTCCCACTCATTTTTTTTTCCTTCCCTTGATGCAAGATTTTTTCATTTTAAATAGTGGGGAAGCTGTAGAAAAGAATTATTAAAATCAAGAAGAAAGTAAATAAAGCGAAAAGCAATTCATTTGGTCATTGCCTAAAGAATTGTAAGTGAGGTGTCTATAACTCAACATCTTGTGCTGAAGAATTTCTTAATTAATTCCTTCTTTGATTAAGCAAATATTTACTAAGAAGGTACAAAGATAGGAATAGGAGATACAGTGTAAACAAAATGAGATGATGTCTTTGGCTTTATAGAGTTTTTATTTTACTGATAGAGAACACCAATAAACAAGTATATGTTCAAACAAACATATTCATAAATATTAAGAAGGAAAGTAACAGAAATGGGAATAACACCCTAGAACTATATTAAACTGGTAGCTGGAGTAGAAAACAGATTGAAACAAAAACATAAAAAAGCAGATATTACCATCCAATTAAATATATTTTTAACAAGTATTCAACACTGCACTAGGCATGAATACATTCCTGTTTTTGATTGCTACACAGCCTGGATGGGAAAATAGAAAGAAAGATGGATACGTCATTGCAATACCCTGCAACAACTGCTCCAATGGAGGTGCCATGGTGGGGAAGAGGATGGATGGGTTGAGTAATTAAAGTCTTCAACAGAGGGGGCTTTAGAGCCAATCCCTGAAGGATGAGCAAAAAACTCAACAATTGATAATGAGTTTGTAAAGACCCTTGGAATAATGTGGTAAAAAGATACACATATCTGCTAAGGAGATTATTCTTTATCTTAAGGAGAGCTCAAGAGACCTGTAAGCAAGGGAGGGATTCCATCACATCAATGTTTGGGAAAGACTCCCATGACAGAAGTTTAGGAAATGGATTACATCTGGCAGGGACAGAGCTGGGGAGACTAGAGAAGAAGTAATTAGGTCAAAGGAGAGAGATTCTTCAGACCATGTCCTCCACCACTAGTGGCCCCAGTGGGGCCCATGGAAGAAAATTTGCTGGAGGGAAACTACACTAATTCATAGTCCTAGTCCAGAGCTGGGAGCTGCTGTGACCCCTGTTGATAGACCATCTGTAGGGGGACAGAGGCTTACCCTCCCACGCTGGCAGGTGTGAAAACTGTACAAAGGAAAGCCAGAGGTGGGGGCAGTCCCTTCCCCAAATCATTGTGTGACTCCACCCTGTGCAAATACAAGCCGAAGGAGAAGTGTCCTCATCTGCAGCTCTCTACGTGCTTTTGTGCTTATTAAATGAACAAAAGAATACAACTTGTAATGCTTCAGAAAGACACTGTGCCATTAGAACCAAATAAGGATGGCTTCGTCTAGTCTCACATTTATCTAGCCCTCTTAAAATCGAATTTCAATTTGAACAAATAATTCTGAGCTAGCTAGCTAGGTCTGAGTAGAAAAGTAAACATCCCATCAGCATTAATGATTTAGTTGATCATCTTCATCACTATTCAGTAGCCATAGTCCCAATTCTAGTATGATTATTTATTTTTTTGAAACTGTCTTTGGAAGAGGTGTTGTTTTTTAACTTGCAGATGTCCTTGGGCTGATCTTGTGTTATTTCCTATTTGAAAGCTTCAGGTGTTGCTTTCAACTCTGCTTCTCTCGTCTATCACGAAGAGATGTCCTACTGGCATATCAAGCAGCACTTTGCAACAAGAGGCCATGTTGGTCAGTATCCAGGAGGAATAGGTATATTTTTAATAGGCAAAGATGACATGGAAAATAAGATCAAGGTTGCCTAAATTCAATTTTGGAACAAATCTCCCTTTTTCTCATTCTGATTCCCGACAGTTTCATCTTTTCTAGAAAGGTGTTTCATCCATAGTTCAATATCACTTTGCCCTTAAAAATGCCATGATTAAAAAGCATCTCCATGTTGTGATAAAAGGCTTGTTTTGCTGTGCAGAGAAAAACCAACACACTTATTCAAAATCAGGGAACACGATTCTTTTATTTTCTTAGGTTTACCTTTGAAAGTAACCCTGATCCTTAGGAAGCTGGGGAAATGTTTAATCACATGAAATTGGGTACAAATCACCTCCTTGAAAAGCCTAAAGCCAGAAACACTTCCCTGGAGCATCCTGTGCTTTGAGACTTTCAAACTTTCCCCGAAACATGAATTATGATTTTTCTCTTATGTACTTATTTTTCTACAATAGTTTTTCTGCTTTCTAGTTCTATGCTGGTCTCCTTCCTCTACCTCAGATATGTTCCCAGATCAGTCTCACATGAGTGAGAAATAGTTGCCCCAGCCTCAAAACTCCAGTCAGGGAGAGGATCAAGGAAGTAGGGGATATAAAAGCATTTTTTTTTGTCTTTTTTAATGCAGAGCTATTGGTAGGCATCTGATGCTGGATACAGCAACCCAATTTGCCCATCTCATGAAAGGCACCCCACTTTACCCAATCTCAGAGGTGATAAACCCAAGGGCAAGGAAGAACAAGTAATAAGGTGTTCTTGTCATGCAGCTCAAGATTTTTAAAACACATTAACTGTAATTTTTAGATAGTCAGAATTTAGTGAACCATTAAAAGTGACCCAGTTCATTGAACCAAACTGAACTGAACAGATGGAATTCCACCCTCCTTCTGCTTGAATGACTTCACGAACAATGCAGAGTCTTCTTTTAAATCCCTCCTTTGAGCTCCTTACCTCACTTATGCAAACATGTCGGGAATGCTTTGGTCATTTTTCTACTTGGCAATTCTCTTATTGCAACTGGAAGCTGGAAGCTGGTACCCAGATTGTGCCGAATTTATGAGACTGAGTATTGTGCTTTGTGAGCTGTTTATATGTTGCCATTTTTTTCTGAATTTGACTCTGCATGTGAGGCTCAACAAAGTCCTGAATTTTTTCTCTTTCAGAACCTGTGTCATATCCAGCTCTCTTTATTTCGTGGCTCTCTTATTTCCTTTCTAGTCTCTTTTTCTTCCCACAAGCATAAAACATATGCATGAGACGTTATAGCTTTCCAAGTCCTTTCTCTGCTGCTCATGGCCTTCCAGGCACACGTGATTATGGATACTTTGAAAATTAAACATCTATTCTTCAACTTTTGATGTTTAAAAAATGAAGCTGAAATAAGCTTTCTCATGAATCACAGAATGGCATCCCTGTATATCAGAATTCTCCAGTAAGAATGGCAATATGTCCTGTTATTTAAAAATCTCTAATATGCTGAAGAACAATATGATACGTTGGTTGGAAAAACGAAAATGAAGGGCCTCTCAGAGCCTCTAGGCAGTGAGGAAACAGTGAGAATATCTCACAGAAAGAGATACATAAAAGGTTAAAATTGTGGCAAAATAAGAATAAAACCCAGAGACCAAAACAGAGCCATCTGTATCTACACAGACTTTAGAAAAATAGAGATTAGAGCGGTTTCATTATGCTGGCTCTCACGTGACCAGAGAAGCTGTAAAACAAACTGTGTTATGGTCTCGGGATGAGGTCTTAGAAGTGGAACCAGAATGGGTGCACATTTGTTTATTTTAGTCTGTATCAGCTTTAAGTGTTAATTAACATAGTGCACTGTATTATCTCTGTGCCTATGGAGCAGAGAGAGGACCCACATTGTCCCTGCCCCAACCCCCACATAGCTTCTGTGGGACAGTTCTGTTTGGCCTTCTGGCTTCAGTGCAGGGCAGGGAGATGCAAACTTTATAGCCAAATCAGAGTTGGCTCCAGTTTGGGGAATGACCCGTCAATTATCCTCTGCATCTCAGCTCACTCATTTGCACAATGGGAGTGCTATGCTCATTATGACCCTGAGGTAGCTCACTGTGCAATTCTGATCAGAAACTAGGTCAACAACAACCAAAGGAAAGGTTGATGTTCCCGCTTCCTTAGTTCTGTTTTTCTGTCCTTTGCCTGCCTCACACTCTCCTGTCTCTCCTGTCTTCTCTATCACCCGCCCTCACTCATGTGCATAATTAAGGAAGTGGCCATGAATGAAGGTATGAGATCTGACCCCATCTTCTTCTATGCTCCCATTCTGACAGCATGGCCAGAGGACCCTGAGGCCATATGGCAACCTTATTCCTTATTTATCTGTTAAATATTATGCCCAGGCAACTAGTCTTACTCTTATTAACATCCAAGTTACTAAGTCATGTTCAAGTAACTTATTAATTTATTGACCATCTATTGAGCACCTACCATGTGCCAGGCTCTGGAGATAGAAAGATGAATAATGCAAGCCTTGTCTTGGAATCTTCAAGAGTGATCAAATGTGTAGGGAAGTAATAACAATGTAATAACAATGCAATGGGTATCGGCAATGGTTTGCACTGTTTGCTATCCATGTAATTCAAACCAAATCAGAAAAAAAAAATGCCCCTGCCAAACTACTGAAGTTAAATAATTGACATTTTTAGCATCTCTATTGCCTTTCAAAAAGTAGCATGATGAAGGAAGCACCTCAGCAAGAAGTTTCCTGAGAAGGAAGAGTGTGAGTGGTTTTTTTTTTTCCAATTAGCTTTGTGTCCTTGCCTTGAAATGGTCACAACTGCAACATCACGGATGTCATCTGGAATTTCTTCATCATTCTCAAGCTTCAAGATGAGATCAAGGAGCCATAGTGTGCATTTTCCTCAGCCGATTTGAAGATTTCAGCAGGGATTCCATCAGCTCCAGATGCCTTGTTGTTTTTCATCTGCTTGATGGCTTTCCTCACCTCATAAAGAGTTGGAGGGATTTTGAGATTGCCACTGATTGGGAGTTGTGGGATGGAGTTGAAAACACTCCCACTGATAAAATAATTTCCACTGAAGACCTGGAAATGCTCTTTTCAATATGTGTTGACATTTTCTCTCTCACTGAGCAGTTTTCAAGCACCCTTATCTTCTTGATAGCTCATATAGAGTTTCAGCGTTATCCGACCTAATCCATGTGGGTGTTGAATCGACTTCGCCATGACATCTCACCATCTGCCCTGTGTGTTGGAGGGCTCTCTGAATCTTTACCTTGACTTACAAATGTAACAATGTCTTTCTTTTGGGATCAACAACAATGTCAAATGCCAAAAAATTAAAAACAAAAAAACTCATTGCAGACTTATGTTTAAGATTATTATAAGATTGCCAATTTGCATCTGTTAAATAATGTTTAAGAAAGTCAGGGTCTTGGCCAGGCACGGTGGCTCACGCCTGTAATCCCAGCACTTTGGGATGCCGAGGCAGGTGGATCACAAGGTCAGGAGATCGAGACCATCCTGGCTAACATGGTGAAAACCCATCTCTACTAAAAATACAAGAAAGTAGCTGGGTGTGGTGGCGGGCACCTGTAGTCCCAGCTACTTGGGAGGCTGAGGCAGGAGAATGACGTGAACCCGGACCTGGGAGGCAAAGCTTGCAGTGAGCTGAGATCATGCCACTGAACTCCAGTCTGGGCGACAGAGCAAGATTCCATCTCAAAAAAAAAAAAAAAAAAAAAAGTCAGAGTCTTGGGGGTAAACTAGTATATGGAGGTCCTTGGCATGTTCATGTTAGGTAAGAAGTTGTGCATTAATTCACATAGAAATCTATTGTTTAGCTTTAATGGCCTGTTCTCAATAGCCAATTGAGTCCAGAATGTTCTAATGTTGCAGGAAATAGTTCTGAGAAATTGATTTTCCTTTGTTCTATGAGTAGATGCCCCTTTCCTATTTATAGGAATTTATTTGGATTATAGCTTCGAATTTTATCATGAGAGTGTGATGGCCTCAGAATTGTAAGTCTCTTATCTTTTAGTCTCTAGGATTGCCTATTCAGAGGGCATCATTGGGCATAAGGATCTTATGCAGAAGTGTTCTGTCTCTTTCTAATACAGGACAAGTATTACAGGTATTCAATTATAACTATCTTCATCATGAAATGTTAGAATTAGACAGAGCTCAGCACTTTGATTTTATTGGTGAGGAAATTGAATACAAGAGAAAAGAAGTGATAGCTATCCCAAAGTTGCACAGCTGGATGGTGGTATATGGTGTTCTAAAACTCAGTGCTTCTAGGGCAAGATTCTTCCAACTACAGTATTCTTTCTCTCCTGACAATATAACACCTGATGAAGAATGAAATCCAAATCTTTGTATCTTCTCTAATTTCTCTCATAAACAATACCCAGGAAGCAGGAACTTCCTATTATTAGTCTTCGTATAATTTGACAGAACCCTCAATCTATATCAGTTGAATATAACCAAACCAGGAATCAGTACATTTAGGCACTCACCAGTATGAAACACAACAGTCACTCTATATTATACCACTGATGTTAATAATACTCCCTGATTATCTCAATGTTTGGGGCACCAGAAAAAAATATATAAAGACTTTTATTTTAAAAGGATGTGCAATCATAAAAACTAGAAATATGCTTTGTTGCTCTTTATAACGAAGAGAAAAGAACTACAGGAACTCACTGAATAGAAACCATAGATGTGTGACCTTAAAGATGACTCTAAGGTGCAGAAAAGTTTCTGCACCTTAGAGTCATCTTTAAGTCATCTCTATGGCAGTCTCAAAGAAGCATTGTTTAAAAAGAGGAAACTAGCATATTGATGATCTTCTGCAGCACAGGAGCTGGTTTAAGGATCTTTACTGGGTCTTGAATGTATCAGCCATGAACCATCATTGTACATACCCAATGAGCAAGCTATGGTGATACTGCTGTAGACCTTCAAAGGCAGCATGAAGCAAGAAGTCCTACCCTTGAATTGCTGATTGATATGGTTTGGCTGTGTCCCCACACAAATCTCATCTTGAATTGTAGTTCCCATAATTCCCATGTATCATGGGAGGGACCCAGTGAGAGATAATTGAATCATGGGGGTGATTATCTCCATGCTGTTCTCATAAGAGTGAGTGAGTTCTCATGAGATCTGATGGTTTTATAAGGGGCTTTTCCCCCACTTCACTCTGCACTTCTCTCTCCTGCTGCCATGCGAAGAAGAACATATTTGCTTCCCCTTCCACCATAATTGTAAGTTTCCTGAGGCCTCTCCAGCCATGCTGAACTGTGAGTCAATTAGACCTCTTTCCTTTATAAATTACCCAGTCACGGGTATGTCTTTATTAGCAGCATGAGAACAGACAAATACACGGATTGACTAAAAGGAAAAACAGAACACACATGAATCAGAGGCATGCAGGTGAGCTTCCAGTTATTACAATGAAGAATAACAAAGTATTTAACTTTTGAAGGCAAGATCTCTTCCTTTGTGCAAAGCACAGAGGGTCTTACTCTAGGAACTCAGTTAGTGCTGGCCTCCTTTCCTCTCATTCTATTCAGTAAATTAGAAAGCTTTCTCTAGCCTACCCTCATACCTCCCTGCCTTCCATAGCCTGGCCTAGCTCCATTCATTAATGTATTCATGCATTCACTCTGCAAATATTTAGTGCGCATCCCTTATGCAATAGGTCTTTGCTAGATACTTAATGAAAAATCTATAATCCCTACCCTCAGGAGTGTTTAAAGTCTAGTGGAAATGACAGGAAATAAAAAAGTGATTATAATACAATATGGCAAATGCCTCAGTAGGGGTAAATGTGTACAAGGTTGAATTTTATTTTGGAGGGCAATAGGGAAAGATTCCTTTCAATGCTCCTTTTTTTTTTTTTTTTTTTTTTTTTTTGAGACAGGGTCTCACTCTGTCACCCAGGCTGGAGTGCAGCGAGATCACTGCTCACTGTAACCTTGACCTTGTGGGATCAATTGATCTTCCCACATCAGCCTCCCAAATAACTAGGGCTACAGGTGTGTGCCACCATGCCTGGTTAATTATTTTTTTTTTGTAGAGATGGATCTCACCATATTGCCCAGGCTGATTTTGAAATCCTGGGCTCAAGTACTCTTTCACCTAGCTTCCCAAAGTGCTGGAATTCAATACTCTCTTAACGTCATTAAAGGAAGAGGAAATGAGATCTTAACAATCCATCACCACAACATTTTATTTATTCATTTATTTATTTATTTATTTATTTATTTTTGAGGCAGAGTTTTGCTCTTGTTGCCCGGGCTGGAGTGCAGTGGCATGATCTTGGCTCACTGCAACCTCTGTGTCCTGGGTTCAAGCAATTCTCCTGCCTCAGCCTCCCAAGTAGCTAGGATTACAGGCATGCATCTCTATGCGTGGCTAATTTTGTATTTTTGGTAGAGACGAGTTTTCTCCATGTTGATCAGGCTGGTCTCGAACTCCTAACCTCAGATGATCCACCCACTTCAGCCTCCCAAAGTGCTGGGATTTTATTATTATCAATTGAATACAGGTCATCACAAAAATGTTCAGGGCAATTATTTATGTTAGGCTCTACCCTTGTGTGGCAATCTATAAAGAGTCTTCCTTAGCTTCTGTCATCTCTTAATAGTTATCTTCCCCGCCAGCCTCTCAACTCTACAGAGATTATTTTCCAGGTTATTTATTTCTTGGTCCTACACGTACTTGGACACCAACTTCCATGTCTCCTGGAACCTCTTAGGTTCCTTCAGTGTTCACTTCCGCTTCATAAGTGAAAGAGTAGAAGAAAGGAAAGCTACCCTCAAACGTCTGGCCTTGATTAAAGTATAAAGCCCCAAGTGACTGCCTAGCATCTCCCTAAACATTGCACTAAGAATTCCTCGTTCCATTTCTCAACTTGCAGTGGCATTGGTAACAATGCTATTTTGTTGGTATAAGGTTAGCCCCAAAGGGGTTGGGTGTGTTATGTCAAGAAATTTAAGGTTAAGGAAAAACACCCAATGCTGTTGCTTTATTGGCACATGTCATATCCCAGAAAGTGGAAGAGGAAGAGGTAAAAATAAGAAAAAAAGATTTATTCTTGCAGAAGGCATCTCAACATTTAGAATAGCCATGAGCAGATTTGTGTTTTAGAACACTCCCTCTGACTGCTGTGGCAGGAAGGGTCTAGAAGTTTGCATAACTGGAGAGAAGGAAAATGGTTGAGGTCTATATTAGTTTTCTGACACTGCTGTAACAAATTTTCACATACCTAGGAGCTTAAAACAACATAAATTTATTCTCTTACAGTTCTGGAGGTCAGAAGTCTAAAATGGGTCAGCAGGACTGAGTTCCTTCTGGAAGTTCAAGTGGGAAAACCTATTTCTTTGCTTGTATAGCTTCTAGGAGCTTCCTGCATTCTGTGGGTCATAGCCTCCCAACATTCCTGTGTCTGTTTCTGTCGTCACATCTTCTTCTCTTTCTGAATCTACTGACTCTCTCTTATAAAGATCCTTGTGATTACATTGAGCCCTTCGAGATGATCCAGAACAATCTCTCCATCTCAGGATCCTTAATCACTTCTGCAAAGTCCCTCTTGCCATGGAAGGTAAAATAGTCACAGGTTCTGAGGACTAGGATGTGAACACATTTGTGGGAGGGCACTAGTCAGTCTACCACAAGGCCTTTGAAATATACAACCAAAAAGGATATGCAGGTGAATTTCAGAGTTATTCAAGGAGCAGAATTAGGATTTAATAATTGGCTTGTTGTAGATATGGGGTCAGAGAGGGGGAAGGCTAAGAAAACCTTTTGCTTTCTAACTTGATCAACTGGTTGGGCTGGCGCCATTATCTGAGAAAGGGTGTGCTGGAGAAGCATGCTGTAGGGAGGGGAAAGTTATGAGGTGAGTTGTTGACACACGAATTTTGAGATGCCTTGAGAAATCCAGGCAGGGCTATACAGTTGACAGGTGAATGAATACACAGCTCTACAGCTCAGGAAAGGAATTACAAACCAAATTGCACACATATTTAAATATCCTGAGAGGAAGAAAACAAAATAATTGAAGCAGTCAAGTAGATAAGTAAATAAAATCTCTCAGAAAGGGAACCTAAAATGAGAAGAGGTAAGGTCTAAAGACAGAAGAATATGTGTGTGTGTGTGTGTGTGTGTGTGTGTGTGTGTGTGTGTGTACAAATTATATATATATATTTTTTTTTCTTTTTTTTTCTTTTCTGTTTTGCTTATTGGAGACAGGGTCTCACTCTGGTGCCCAGACTGGTGTGCGGTGGTGCCATCACAGTTCACTGCAGCCTTGAACTCCTAGGCTCAAGCAATTCTCCCACATCAGCCTCCTGAGTAGAAAATACCAATATTTTAAGTTCTAGTAAAGCTTTGAAAATTCCAAAGAGACAGAACATGTGGCTAGCATATTCTTTCCTACTAGCCCCCACTCTTTCTCTCCTGTTTCCTTCCCTCTTCTCTGCCCCACAGTTTTGACTCTTCTTTATTAACTACTCAGCCTTTCCCTAATCTTTAAGGAAGTACTGATTCTAGATCATGCCCAACAAATGCTACCGCCAGCATGCCTATAGAGAGAGGAACTGGCATCTCCAAGGAGACAGAAAGAAGGGGACAAAATAAATAAGTGTCCAGAAGATGAACGTGCAACAGCTGAGGATGTGAATGCCAATGAGGGGTTGAGAAGGACTTTTCTCTTCCTGCCTCCTCCCCTCACCTCAACACTGTCCCCCTTATAGAACCCATCAAAAGCCGTCAGAAAAAGAGAAGAAAGGGACAAGTAAAACATCTGGCAGTTCCCATGAGCAGGGAGGTGGGACCGCTTGGAGTCACAGTGGGCCTTCCTCTTCATGGCGTGGGGCTGTCACAGACCTGCCACAGACAAAGCTGAGACTGCTTCCATACCCGAGAAGGTGGTAAGCTTTATAGAGGTGGGCTCTGCATGTTTAGCATATCAGCACATCCTCTATGTTGAGTTTCATAGTGTTCAGGAATATGGGTTGGAATGTCTTTGGGCCCAGGAAGCATAGGGATGTGGCAGGTACCTGCAAGGGCAATGGCTCCAGGACAATAGGTGAGAAGACACAGTCACTCCCATTGTTTCACGGGGCTCTGGAAAATCTGCACTCAGATTCAGACCATGGCTTGGACTCACATCTAGTGGATTGCCCCACGTCTTCATTATATGCCCAGCACATAATACATCACATTACCAGCAACAACAGCCCCCCAAAAGCATCACAGTATGAAAGTGGAAAAGCATTTTTTAGGCTTTTACTACTTAGAAGTGCTTGCTCCAGACCAGGATTAACATGGATTACTGGGCGGAGTGGGAACGTGTGTGTGAGAGTGACTGCTTCATGTAAGAGAAGTAAGGGGCTGTAAGAGCGTTCTTTTTGCCAGCACTAAATTCTCCCCCAGCGGCTTACTCACTGCACCTGCTAGGTCTCCAGCATGGTCTCTCGGGGTTCCTTAACCCTGAGTGCCATTAGAAGCAAGTAGGGAGCTTATAAAATGAAAACAAAAACAAAAAACAGATGCCTGTGCCCCGCTACAAACCAACTGGATATCAAGATCCCTGGGAATCTGGTCCAGGCATTATTTTGCCCCCTTAAATGCCTCCAAAGTGATTTTAACATGCCGCCAGGGTGGAGAGCCCCTCATAATCTCAAGAACAAATCCTGAGTGGTACAACTGCTGATGAGTAATCAGGAGCAGACTGATTTCTGTTTCGACAGCAATTGGAAACACTGGCTGCAACATCACTCTTCTAACAGCAAACTCCAAACTACCACAGCAAGACTCCAAAGTACCTTGGCCAGCAATTCACATCAAAACCCATGTAATGGCCACCTATGCCTTCTCTTCTCCTGGAGTAAGCAAAGACAGGGCTTCTAAGGAACAGAGATGTAAGGGATGCTTTCACTCTGAAACAAAAGAATGAACATACTCATGAGACATCTCCCTGATTTTTTTATAAACACAGAAAGCAATTACTTAGTTTCTATCTAAGAAAAAACTTTTTCATCAGTCAGGATGCCAAGCTTGGCTCCACAACTTAGGCTGTGACATGGACATGAGACATGGCCTCTCAGAATTGATTTCCTGGCCTCTAAAGGTGGCACAGGGATACCCACCTACAGGTACAGTGCAGTGACTTAGGGTGCAAAGTTGAGATCTTTGCCCTACTTCAGTACAAACCTAAGATAAAATTAAGGCTAACACCTCGCCTCAAGAAACCTCCAATTTCAATAGAAACCAACAAAAATTAATGAAATATGTAAGCCAACCAAAAAGTCATTGACTTTCACTTAATTGCCAAAATGATTGCAGAAACAATATTTGGTGAGTGAATTCAGAGAAGGATGAGTACAACTCATTTCAGGCTCCTAACAATGTGAGAACATTTGCAGAGAAGGATGGATTGGCTGAGTTCTAAAGATTAGACAGGATTTGGGTTTGCTGAGAAGAGAGAGGAGGGCTTTACTGTTAAAGGAACCCTAAGAATCAATGCAAAGGGCTATTATTGAGTAAAAGACCTATTTTCCTCTGTTCATTCTTTATTCCCTGATAAATTATTCTGGAACAGCCTCCTCTCAGCTGCATGTTCTCTTCCTTCAACAAAATCCGATGTCTTGCCATATTCTTCTTCACATCACTGTTCTTTTTACTTGGCCTACCTGGGTCACCCCTAAAGCGAACCAGCCAGGCCTCAGTATATGGCAATGGTTTGTGTGAGAAGCAATCAGATGGTGTTGTTCTTTGCCCCTCAAGGGCAGTTTCAGGCACTTCTTTTGGGAGGAGGTGTCATGCCCATGCCTTTGTACTCCAGATCACTGTCTTAGCACAGGGGATTTCAGCCCTTTGTAATTTCCTACGTACCCTCAGCAGCCAACAGTGGCATGCCGCTTCACAAAACAGTGATGGTGATCCATCTCTTGAATTTGTAATCCCTCTATATTTTGTCACTGATTGTGAAGAGCTTTGTGATGCAAAATATACAATATAAAATGATTTGGGAATGAATACAGCTTTTGCACTCGCCTGAGGATTTCTTTCTTCTAGCCCTTCCTTCTTCCTCATTTTATACAGATGAGAAACTAAAAACTGGAGCAAGACCTTCCCTTTTTTGTATTCTAGCAGCTTAGAATAAAGTAAACAAAGCCCACCTCTCAGTCAGGCCAAACCTAGACACTCCCTTTCCAAGGGTCGAAGGTGATAAAACTCAAGGTGTGCTTTGCAGAGCCAAGAACTTCTCTCCTTGAAATGTCAACCCCTGTGCACAACAAGGAAATTTTAGCCCATTATGTTTCTGATTCATTTGCACTTAACTCATCAAGATATTGTTTTGTATGAGCTGTTTGATGTCTGAAGCACCTCATGAGCCTTTTTACGACCCTTTTATTTGAGAAGCTGGGAATTATGCCTAGCCAAGAATAAACAGAACTCAAAGCTTCGAACTCAGCTCAAAACATAGAACCCTTACTTAGGCAATGGCTAAATAGTCTGCTCTTTCTGAGTTTTGCCGTGTTTAATTGGAAAAAGACTCAGAGGAGTATAAGACAAGGAAAAACCAACAATGATTTGAAAATGCTTTGCTTCAGTCCTGGTAGATGCTGTCATTTGGTCTATATTAATTAGCATGGAAAAATATATCATCTTTTGGATCCAGCCTGTTTGTGAAAGCTATAAACATAAGACTATTTTGAAGTGAGAGACAGTGATAAGCAGATTTCATTTTGTTGTTGTTTCCTGAGCAGCGGTTCTTAATCAGATGAATGAACTTGTTTGTACTAGTTAACTTTGCTGGAGTTTAGGAGTTGTATTTAAAACAGATTTTATCCTACAGTGATATTAATTTGATAGGATCCCTGATCTGTAAACCATTGGTTATCTTGGTCTCTCCTGATAAGGAAAAAAAGTGCCGAGGATTTCCAGTTGGTGAGCACATTTGGGCAGAATCTTTCACACGTCACAAATTGCAGATGGGAGGCAGTGATCTCGAACATGCAGTCACATTGCGTGACCATCTGACACCTTCCATTTAGAAAAATAATACTTTCCTCCCAGCATACGCTCCCTGCTGCAACCAGCACCAAAAATTATGCCTGGGAGAGCCGTTCCTCCTAGACCAGGGTCTTAAATATTTCTTAGGCGCCTTTTAAAAGATTCATACTGCAGCAGCACCTAGCTCACACCCTAGTCACCTATAGAAAAATCCCAAAAAGGCAGCTTCTCAATGATGCTGCTGATAACAAAAACATCCACAAAGAACAAAAGGGGTGGGGGTGGGGGAACTGGAAGGAGACAGGAAAATTACACTAGACGCAGTTGTAAGGTGATTTATTCTTGTCTTCTGTGTGATTCGAGCATATTCACGTTAAAGTCAACGGACTTCTTTGTCGGCTCATTTCTAAGCTGCTTCACAGTGGCATAGAATTTCGCAGTCCCCAGGAGGGGGACCGGAGTCCCTGGGATTGTATATAACTTGCTCATCCACCAGTGTTCTGCACTAACCCATGCTCATTTAAGACAAGGAAGAGCATCTCTGCCTCGCCTCCTCTCCTGTACATTTAATGACCCCTGGCAACAGCAACGGCAGTGATTTCCAGCAGACATGTTCAAGCGGAGAGATTTTTAACCAGAAATTCAGAATTCTGATAGCATGTCCAAATGGGCAAAGCTTATTTGCTGTTTAACAAAAGCCATGGCAAATTCGTATCCAATCTCTATACATACGTACACACACATACAAACACACACACACATAAGGTTGCATGACACTGTGTGCACATGCACAAACACACGTACACAAAATGTGACTGACTTTCCCTGTTTCTTTGTCCCAGAGTGAAACTAAACACACTTCTGTGACCTGCTAGGTTGTCAATATCCACCTTAAAAGAATGAAGAGGGCCTGAATAGCTGCGGTCCTAGGAGAACAGACTCAAAACTGTTTCCTTAGAATCCTTTGCGGATATGGGGTAGGGGGAAGGGGTGTTTTCTCCATGATCATAGAACAGAGGTGGTTAAAACACTCAACCACCTGCTTTTAAAAAATATATTACCTTCTTCTCATTTTCACACTGCCCTAGGTTTCGGGGGACTTCCCAATAGCAGCACGTGAATAATTTTAGGGTTGTATATATCAGGATCTCATCGCAATGTTAAAAAAAGAAAGAACCTTTTTTAAAAATAAAAAACAATGTGGCATTTACAGGATTGACACCCTATTCTCTTTTCTTATAGAAAAGAAGTGCAGACGGCTTGATAATTCCTCTAATAATAACACAATCCTTTCCTTTCATAAGGAAGGGAAACTGCTTGAAAAGCTGCCACATCAGAAGGGTAGGCAAGAGGGTTTGTTCTCAAGAAAGCTTGAGTGTCAACTCCAGTAGGAATTCACTTATTTTCCTGAAGCTCTTTAAAAACATCAGAGCAATAGTCATTTGTAAAATCAACTCCACTTCTTTACCTATGGGACAAGAACAGCAAGGGGAGGACTTTAAAAAGAAAAAAAAATGAACAAGAACATGCTGCTTTGACCAGGGTTGCTCCAAAAGCATTCATCGCTCTCTAGGTATTTGTGCAAATATTTTAGTCTGTTGTTGTTTTCTCCAGATCTTTGACTGATAAGACCTATAAGGATAATACCTTTTGTCTTATGAGCTGTCTCTTTCTGTCTCTGTATCTACATGTACATGAATATTAAAATATACATATATATGTTTGTGGACATGCAAGAAATTTAATCAGGCTATCATGTGAAATATCAAATTATAAAGCTTCCTCCTAGTACAAGCTGTCCATAGGATCCACACATGCCATGCTTTGGTAATAGGGTTGAATAGTGCTTACCTGCCCAATGGTTTCTTTAGGTATCACTTATAGGTGTAACCCCAATCCACTTATCTCCCAGATACCTATTCATCTTTATACCATAACTTTAACCTCATCACTAACTCAATGACAAGGTACATTGTATTACCCAGATAAACTAAGCAAATGAAATGCCTGATTCCTAAAAGCTCCAGATTATTAAGGAAGTAACAGCTTGGGCCTGAACTATTGTCTGTGTTGTCCAGATAACAGCTAATTTGATATTGAGCTTGGGAGATCTATTATAACTGGGAAATAATCATGAAAACTTATGATTATTGAGCAGTTTTCATAGGCCACACATGGTTTTAAATAATTTTAATGTGTTTAAGGAAGGCACTATTATCTACCTTAATTTACACATAGAAATGAAGTAATTACTCAAGATAGCATGGCTAATGAGAAGTAGGGTCACTATCTGAACACTGGCAGACCAACTCTACTCCCCATACTCTCCATCTCTACGTAATGTAAGCTGCTTCCTTGTGACTTTTGCTTTAGGGATCCTCAGCTTTCAGTACCTGGAAGGGCTGCCTTTCCAGGTACAATTCTAATCAGAAGTAAACGACATGGGACAGCAGATATTTCTTACACTAGTTGGAGGGAGGTGGCAGTATATTTGGGCTAGATTAAAAACTATTACCTTAATGAGAAAAGCATGTTGTGCTGAGAATGATAGAGCAGAAGAATGGAAGAAATCTTGGTTCTAATGGCATCACTCACCCAAATCTGAAGGCTCTCACTCTCTGAGTATCTAGATATGAGACAAAATAAGTGTCCTTATTATCACTCCGATTTTTTTGTTGTGTTGTACTATTGAACTATTAAATGTGAAGTTGTACAGCCCATTGAATACTAGAGAAAATACATTAGCATCATCAATGTAATATTTGTTAATTCCCCCATAAAGAGGTGTCAATATTTTTGCCTAGTCGTGTTAAGTGGTAAAAGAAGTTATATATCAGAGATTTTAACCACAAGAAAAAATAAAATATGAAATAAATGTTAATGGGTACATTTATAGTTAGAAAACTTAATGCTATCCTTAGATTCACTATGTTATGTGTATCCTAAACTATAAAATTTGGTTTGTGTGACTCAAAATTCATCAAAATATTCCAGCAATAAATCTTGAGAAGAGGAGTAGAAAAAAGTAACATTTATACAGGAATTACTATTGGATGCATTTGCTAAATCAGAGATGAAATATCTTAACCAATCTGTAATGTCTTTCTCAAAATTAAAAAAGATAACTAATGTAGACTAAAAAAAGAAATGTAGACTAATTACTTGTCAAATTTTATTTTTAATTGCAACCCTTTTGTGGTAGCTTTTACAACAGACCCATACAACATTCTTTAGCCTTCTCTTTAATTTCTTCAAAGACAGTCAAGCACAAATCTCTTAGTATTAAATTGAATAGATGGCAAACAGAAACTTTGGCTGGATACTTTGCTGCTTCTTCTGTGGTAAGAAAAGGGAACATTCACTAGCATTCATTCAACAAATATGTATATAGAGTGCCTACTATGTGACAGACGCTGATCTAGGGACACAACAGTAAATGCAACAAAAAAACTGCCTGCCCTTTGGAGCACACATTCTAGTGGAAGGAATGCAGACAATTATCAAACAAAAATAAGTAACAGAAGTGACATAATGAGTGATATAAAGGAAAATAAAGTGGAAAGGGATGGAGAGTTTGTGATTTTAGATGGTCATGAGCAATGGCACATAGATAATGACCTGAGGGAGGTCAGGTGTCAAGCCTTGTGAATGGCTAAGAAAAGGGTATTCCCAGTAGAAGGAAAGAGCAAATGCAAAGGCCCTGAGGCCATAGCATACATGACATTTTCAAGAATCAGCAAGGAGGCCACTGGAGCAGAATGAGCAAGGGAGAGAGCTGGTAGCTGGAAGTGAGGTCCTTGAAAAAAGGGGGAGAAACTGGGGAGGGCAACCCTCAAAGTCTTTTGAGATAAACTTGACTCTGACTCTTAGTGTGTTTGCACAAAAACACACACTTTCTGAGTCAGTATTCTGCTCCCCTCTCAACTATCAACTACATATAACTAATCAACTAAATACAAATTCTTAGCTAAAAATTTTGTGCCATTCCTTTTCACATATCATCTTCATGTAGAGCTCTAGTTTGAAAAGGTTTTTATATGCTTTATCTCAAGTGGGCCACGGTTAACATCCATATTTTACATGCAAGAAAACTAAGTCTCAGAGGCACTGTTTTAGTATGTGTGTGCTGCTATAACAAAATACCTGAGCCTGGGTAATTTATAAACAATATAAATTTATTTCCTCACAGCCTGGAGGCTGGGAAGTCCAAGATTAAGACACCTGTAGGTTCCATTATCTGGTGAGGGATGCATCCTCTGGAGAGAGAACTCTCTGTCTTCACGTGGCAGAAAGCAGACAGACAACAGGGTCAAATGCTGGGTGAAGCCTCTTTTTAAAGAACTGAATCCCATTCATGAGGAAGGAGTCCTTATGACCTCATCACCTCTTAAAGGCCCCACCTCTTAATACCATCACATTGGCAACATCTGAATTTTGGAGGGGACACATTCAAACCATACCAGACCCAAACTGTCTTCACTAAATCTTATGGTGGTAAATGACAAAGGTGCTTTGGATTTGGTGCTTTACCCTCTAGCCACACTCCCCCAAAATTCTCAAAGCACTAAGCTTCATTGCCAAGGTCCTGACTAACAGTGGCATTTTGGTTTATGGGAAAGAGAAAACAAAATCTTGAATTTTTCTCTTCTCCATAAAATGTAAGTTCCTCTCACAATTTGGTGAAAGCAACAGACTGTTTCAAGAAAAATAAATAATTCTGTAATAAGGAAATACCATTATTCATTAAATTTCTCTTCAAAAAATGTTGGCAAATGTGAGGGTTTTGTTTTAAAATGTCCCAAATAATGACAGTATACCTAACCATGTGATTGTATACTGACGTAACTTTCTTGTGGGTTTTTATCAAAACTACTGAAATTTTATCTAAAAAAAATTTTGCCCTTCACTGTATGTTGCAATCATGAAATGCTAGTGATTTACAAACCCTTTCTCTTACAAGGAATAGCTATCAAAAATACCTGAAGATGACTGAGTAATCTTTTTATTGTGTTTGAATAATTCTTATATTTGTAGATTTCATATCAAGTAAAAATTTTTAAGTGGGGGTTTGCCTATGTAATATTACTTAGTCCAATACCCAATTTAAAAAAATAAAATTTTACATTTATATATATACACATACACCTATATCTGAGCATTAATTATATATATAAGATATATAAAAATAAATATATATGAGAAAATATGTATAAGACCATTATTATACATGTAAAAGCATATATGTGTGTAGAAACATATCCATAGATGGACTTCTATATCTATTCACCTATGGATTTATAAATATATAGAGGTAAGCATTAAAAGTTACATATCTATAGATCTATTTATGTAGTTCTACAGATAGATCTATAAATAGAGAGAAGCATTAAGAAATCACTATCTTCACCAGGTGCAGTGACTCATGCCTGTAATCCCAGCATTTTGGGAGGCTGAGGTGGGTGGATCACGAGGTCAGGAGATGGAGACCATCCTGGCTAACATGGTGAAACCCCGTCTCTACTAAAAATACAAAAAATTAGCCTGGCGTGGTGGCGGGCACCTGTAGTCCCAGCTACTTGGGAGGCTGAGGCAGAAGAATAGCGTGAACCCAGGAGGCAGAGGTTGCAGTGAGCCGAGATCACGCCACTGCACTCCAGCCTGGGCGACTGAGCGAGACTCTGTCAGAAACAAAGAGAGAAAGAAAGAGAGAAAGAGAGAAGAAAGAAAGAATGAAAGAAAGAAGAAAGAAAGAAAGAAAGAAAGAAAGAAAGAAAGAAAGAAAGAAAGAAAGAAAGAGAAGGAAGGAAAGAAAGAAAGGGAAAGAAAAAAAGAAAGAGAGAAAGAAAGAAAGAAAGAAAGAAAGAAAGAAAGAAAGAAAGAGAAAGAAAGAAAGAAGAAAAGGAAGAAAAGAAAGAAAGAAATCAGTATGGGGGAGGAGCCAAGATGGCCGAATAGGAACAGCTCCGGTCTACAGCTCCCAGCGTGAGCGACGCAGAAGACGGGTGATTTCTGCATTTCCATCTGAGGTACCGGGTTCATCTCACTAGGGAGTGCCAGACAGTGGGCGCAGGCCAGTGTGTGTGCGCACCGTGCGCGAGCCGAAGCAGGGCGAGGCATTGCCTCACCTGGGAAGCGCAAAGGGTCAGGGAGTTCCCTTTCCGAGTCAAAGAAAGGGGTGACGGCCGCACCTGGAAAATCGGGTCACTCCCACCCGAATATTGCGCTTTTCAGACCGGCTTAAAAAACGGCGCACCACGAGACTATGTCCCACACCTGGCTCGGAGGGTCCTACGCCCACGGAATCTCGCTGATTGCTAGCACAGCAGTCTGAGATCAAACTGCAAGGCGGCAGCGAGGCTGGGGGAGGGGCGCCGGCCATTGCCCAGGCTTGCTTAGGTAAACAAAGCAGCCGGGAAGCTCCAACTGGGTGGAGCCCACCACAGCTCAAGGAGGCCTGCCTGCCTCTGTAGGCTCCACCTCTGGGGGCAGGGCACAGACAAACAAAAAGACAGCAGTAACCTCTGCAGACTTAAATGTCCCTGTCTGACAGCTTTGAAGAGAGCAGTGGTTCTCCCAGCACGCAGCTGGAAATCTGAGAACGGGCAGACTGCCTCCTCAAGTGGGTCCCTGACCCCTGACCCCCGAGCAGCCTAACTGGGAGGCACCCCCCAGCAGGGGCAGACTGACACCTCACACAGCAAGGGTATTCCAACAGACCTGCAGCTGAGGGTCCTGTCTGTTAGAAGGAAAACTAACAAACAGAAAGGACATCCACACCGAAAACCCATCTATACATCACCATCATCAAAGACCAAAAGTAGATAAAACCACAAAGATGGGGAAAAAACAGAACAGAAAAACTGGAAACTCTAAAATGCAGAGCACCTCTCCTCCTCCAAAGGAACGCAGTTCCTCACCAGCAACGGAACAAAGCTGGATGGAGAATGATTTTGACGAGCTGAGAGAGGAAGGCTTCAGACGATCAAATTACTCTGAGCTACGGGAGGACATTCAAACCAAAGGCAAAGAAGTTGAAAACTTTGAAAAAAATTTAGAAGAATGTATAACTAGAATAACCAATACAGAGAAGTGCTTAAAGGAGCTGATGGAGCTGAAAACCAAGGCTTGAGAACTACGTGAAGAATGCAGAATCCTCAGGAGCCGATGCGATCAACTGGAAGAAAGGGTATCAGCAATGGAAGATGAAATGAATGAAATGAAGCGAGAAGGGAAGTTTAGAGAAAAAAGAATACAAAGAAATGGGCAAAGCCTACAAGAAATATGGGACTATGTGAAAAGACCAAATCTACATCTGATTGGTGTACCTGAAAGTGATGCGGAGAATGGAACCAAGTTGGAAAACACTCTGCAGGATATTATCCAGGAGAACTTCCCCAATCTAGCAAGGCAGGCCAACGTTCAGATTCAGGAAATACAGAGAACGCCAAAAAGATACTCCTCGAGAAGAGCAACTCCAAGACACATAATTGTCAGATTCACCAAAGTTGAAATGAAGGAAAAAATGTTAAGGGCAGCCAGAGAGAAAGGTCGGGTTACCCTCAAAGGGAAGCCCATCAGACTAACAGTGGATCTCTCAGCAGAAACCCTACGAGCCAGAAGAGAGTGGGGGCCAATATTCAACATTCTTAAAGAAAAGAATTTTCAACCCAGAATTTCATATCCAGCCAAACTAAGCTTCATAAGTGAAGGAGAAATAAAATACTTTACAGACAAGCAAATGCTGAGAGATTTTGTCACCACCAGGCCTGCCCTAAAAGAGCTCCTGAAGGAAGTGCTAAACATGGAAAGGAACAACCGGTACCAGCCGCTGCAAAATCATGCCAAAATGTAAAGACCATCGAGACTAGGAAGAAACTGCATCAACTAACGAGCAAAATCACCAGCTAACATCATAATGAGAGGATCAAATTCACACATAACAATATTAACTTTAAATGTAAATGGACTAAATTCTCCAATTAAAAGACACAGACTGGCAAGTTGGATAAAGAGTCAAGACCCATCAGTGTGCTGTATTCAGGAAACCCATCTCACGTGCAGAGACACACATAGGCTCAAAATAAAAGGATGGAGGAAGATCTACCAAGCAAATGGAAAACAAAAAAAGGCAGGGGTTGCAATCCTAGTCTCTGATAAAACAGACTTTAAACCAACAAAGATCAAAAGAGACAAAGAAGGCCATTACATAATGGTAAAGGGATCAATTCAACAAGAAGAGCTAACTATCCTAAATATATATGCACCCAATACAGGAGCACCCAGATTCATAAAGCAAGTCCTGAGTGACCTACAAAGAGACTTAGACTCCCACAAGTTAATAATGGGAGACTTTAACACCCCACTGTCAACATTAGACAGATCAACGAGACAGAAAGTCAACAAGGATACCCAGGAATTGAACTCACCTCTGCACCAAGCGGACCTAATAGATATCTACCAAACTCTCCACCCCAAATCAACAGAATATACATTTTTTTCAGCACCACACCACACCTATTCCAAAATTGACCACATAGTTGGAAGTAAAGCTCTCCTCAGCAAATGTAAAAGAACAGAAATTATAACAAACTATCTCTCAGACCACAGTGCAATCAAACTAGAACTCAGGATTAAGAATCTCACTCAAAGCCGCTCAACTACATGGAAACTGAACAACCTGCTCCTGAATGACTACTGGGTACATAACAAAATGAAGGCAGAAATAAAGATGTTCTTTGAAACCAACGAGAACAAAGACACAACATACCAGAATCTCTGGGACGCATTCAAAGCAGTGTGTAGAGGGAAATTTATAGCACTAAATGCCCACAAGAGAAAGCAGGAAAGATCCAAAATTGACACCCTAACATCACAATTAAAAGAACTAGAAAAGCAAGAGCAAACACATTCAAAAGCTAGCAGAAGGCAAGAAATAACTAAAATCAGAGCAGAACTGAAGGAAATAGAGACACAAAAAACCCTTCAAAAAATCAATGAATCCAGGAGCTGATTTTTTGAAAGGATCAACAAAATTGATAGACCGCTAGCAAGACTAATAAAGAAAAAAAGAGAGAAGAATCAAATAGACACAATAAAAAATGATAAAGGGGATATCACCACCGATCCCACAGAAATACAAACTACCATCAGAGAATACTACAAACACCTCTACGCAAATAAACTAGAAAATCTAGAAGAAATGGATAAATTCCTCGACACATACACTCTCCCAAGACTAAACCAGGAAGAAGTTGAATCTCTGAATAGACCAATAACAGGACCTGAAATTGTGGCAATAATCAATAGTTTACCAACCAAAAAGAGTCCAGGACCAGATGGATTCACAGCCGAATTCTACCAGAGGTACAAGGAGGAACTGGTACCATTCCTTCTGAAACTATTCCAATCAATAGAAAAAGAGGGAATCCTCCCTAACTCATTTTATGAGGCCAGCATCATTCTGATACCAAAGCCGGGCAGAGACACAACCAAAAAAGAGAATTTTAGACCAATATCCTTGATGAACATTGATGCAAAAATCCTCAATAAAATACTGGCAAACCGAATCCAGCAGCACATCAAAAAGCTTATCCACCATGATCAAGTGGGCTTCATCCCTGGGATGCAAGGCTGGTTCAATATACGCAAATCAATAAATGTAATCCAGCATATAAACAGAGCCAAAGACAAAAACCACATGATTATCTCAATAGATGCAGAAAAAGCCTTCGACAAAATTCAACAACCCTTCATGCTAAAAACTCTCAATAAATTAGCTATTGATGGGACGTATTTCAAAATAATAAGAGCTATCTATGACAAACCCACAGCCAATATCATACTGAATGGGCAAAAACTGGAAGCATTCCCTTTGAAAACTGGTACAAGACAGGGATGCCCTCTCTCACCGCTCCTATTCAAAATAGTGTTGGAAGTTCTGGCCAGGGCAATCAGGCAGGAGAAGGAAATAAAGGGTATTCAATTAGGAAAAGAGGAAGTCAAATTGTCCCTGTTTGCAGACGACATGATTGTTTATCTAGAAAACCCCATCGTCTCAGCCCAAAATCTCCTTAAGCTGATAAGCAACTTCAGCAAAGTCTCAGGATACAAAATCAATGTACAAAAATCACAAGCATTCTTATACACCAACAACAGACAAACAGAGAGCCAAATCATGAGTGAACTCCCATTCACAATTGCTTCAAAGAGAATAAAATACCTAGGAATCCAACTTACAAGGGATGTGAAGGACCTCTTCAAGGAGAACTACAAACCACTGCTCAAGGAAATAAAAGAGGATACAAACAAATGGAAGAACATTCCATGCTCATGGGTAGGAAGAATCAATATCGTGAAAATGGCCATACTGCCCAAGGTAATTTACAGATTCAATGCCATCCCCATCAAGCTACCAATGCCTTTCTTCACAGAATTGGGAAAAACTACTTTAAAGTTCATATGGAACCAAAAAAGAGCCCGCATCGCCAAGTCAATCCTAAGCCAAAAGAACAAAGCTGGAGGCATCACACTACCTGCTTCAAACTATACTACAAGGCTACAGTAACCAAAACAGCATGGTACTGGTACCAAAACAGAGATATAGATCAATGGAACAGAACAGAGCCCTCAGAAATAACGCCGCATACCTACAACTATCTGATCTTTGACAAACCTGAGAAAAACAAGCAATGGGGAAAGGATTCCCTATTTAATAAATGGTGCTGGGAAAACTGGCTAGCCATATGTAGAAAGCTGAAACTGGATCCCTTCCTTACACCTTATACAAAAATCAATTCAGGATGGATTAAAGATTTAAACGTTAGACCTAAAACCATAAAAACCCTAGAAGAAAACCTAGGCGTTACCATTCAGGACATAGGCGTGGGCAAGGACTTCAAGTCCAAAACACCAAAAGCAATGGCAACCAAAGCCAAAATTGACAAATGGGATCTAATTAAACTAAAGAGCTTCTGCACAGCAAAAGAAACTACCATCAGAGTGAACAGGCAACCTACAACATGGGAGAAAATTTTCGCAACCTACTCATCTGACAAAGGGCTAATATCCAGAATCTACAATGAACTCAAACAAATTTACAAGAAAAAAACAAACAACCCCATCAAAAAGTGGGCGAGGGACATGAACAGACACTTCTCAAAAGAAGACATTTATGCAGCCAAAAAACACATGAAAAAATGCTCATCATCACTGGCCATCAGAGAAATGCAAATCAAAACCACTATGAGATATCATCTCACACCAGTTAGAATGGCAATCATTAAAAAGTCAGGAAACAACAGGTGCTGGAAAGGATGTGGAGAAATAGGAACACTTTTACACTGTTGGTGGGACTGTAAACTAGTTCAACCATTGTGGAAGTCAGTGTGGTGATTCCTCAGGGATCTAGAACTAGAAATATGATTTGACCCAGCCATCCCATTACTGGGTATATACCCAAATGACTATAAATCATGCTGCTATAAAGACACATGCACACGTATGTTTATTGCAGCATTATTCACAATAGCAAAGACTTGGAACCAACCCAAATGTCCAACAATGATAGACTGGATTAAGAAAATGTGGCACATATACACCATGGAATACTATGCAGCCATAAAAAATGATGGGTTCATGTCCTTTGTAGGGACATGGATGAAATTGGAAACCATCATTCTCAGTAAACTATGGCAAGAACAAAAAACCAAACACCGCATATTCTCACTCATAGGTGGGAATTGAACAATGAGATCACATGGACACAGGAAGGGGAATATCACACTCTGGGGACTGTGGTGGGGAGGGGGAAGGGGGGAGGGATAGCACTGGGAGATATACCTAATGCTAGATGACGAGTTAGTGGGTGCAGCGCACCAGCATGGCACATGTATACATATGTAACTAACCTGCACAATGTGCACATGTACCCTAAAACTTAAAGTATAATTAAAAAAATAAAAAAATAAAAAAAATAAAAAAAAAGAAATCAGTATATTCTATTACCAAAATATCCTCACCTGGACATTGTAACACACACACGCATACAGGAAGAGCATAACCTAAGAATAATGAATATTTCTCCAAGTAAATTCATTTAATTTTATATTTAAAAAGACTAATTACAGTGCCCTGTGCCCTTGTTTTTCTAAATCATAGCCGACTTTACCCAGTGTGAGGACTGGCCTTGGAGAGTGGAAATAGGATCAAACAGATTAGGATCCAGTCCTAACTCCACCACTTACTTGCTGCATGACCTGTGGCAAAATACCTGACCCTTTATGCTTCAGTTTTCTCCTCTGTAAAATCTGAGAAACAGCAACAATCGCATAGGATTGATGTGAGGTTTAAATGAAGTATTTATGTAATGCATCTAGCAGGTACCTGAATCATAATAAATGTCCAATGTTTATTCACTTCCCTCCAAGTCTACTCAGTTTCTTCCTCATCTTCATCTTTCAAGTACGGATTTCAAGTGCAGTAAATAAATAAGTGCTCAATAAGTATTTGCGGACTATCTACTTAAGCTGGTTCACTGACTGTTTAAAATAATAAAAAATTGGGTCTTATATTATTCTTCCTAGCAATAATTAATCAGACTTAGCTGGACATTGTGGCTCACACCTGTAATCCCAGCACTTTGGGAGGCTGAAGCGGGTGGTTCACTTGAGGCCAGGAGTTCAAGACCAGTCTGGCCAACATGGTGAAACCCAGTCTCTACTAAAAATACAAAAATTAAGCCGGGCATGGTGGAACACACCTATAATCCCAACTACTCAGGAGGCTGAGGCAGGAGAATTGCTTGAACCAGGGAGGCAGAGGTTGCAGTGAGCCAAGATGGCACCACTGCACTTCAGTCTGGGCAACAGAGCAAGACTGTCTCAAATAAAAATAATAATAATAATAATAAATCAGACTTATTTTTCTTACCTAAATTCCTCATGTGAAATATGCCTTTTTCAGCTTTGTATTTCTATAAACATAGGAAGCAGTCATAAACATTTGGCAAATTGAGTTGGTTACTAAATTTCCTTTGCACAAGATTGACAAATCTGTCAATAAAAATTTTTAAATGATGTATTTTGCTGATTGCACTTGAATCCTCCATTTTTATTTATACAATTGAGTGCGCTAACCCTCTGAATCATTTACCTTTTCACCATTTTTCTCTTCCAGAATCTTTGAGGGCTGCCATGTAGATGAATCCTATCATCTTGATTGGACCCCAAATTTCTCACCATGTGCCTCTTAACTACAGTATATATGGCTGCTTCTGAAGATGGCACAATTAAGAAGATGACTATTTTAATTGAGGAGCTACTGAATAAAGCTGTGATTCTTTACTTTTGGGGAAGTTTTTTCTGTTTTTGTTTGTTTGTTTGTTTTTTGTTTGTTTGTTTTTGCTTCTGGACATTTGCTTTCCTTTCAATAAACCGCTGTTCCTCTGGAATACAAAAGAAAGGATTGTAATGGTAAGTGGAATAGCCTCCCATCTATTTCCTCATCTACATTCCTAAACTGCAGTGCAATTGGTTGATATCTAATTGGCTTGTAAGTAATACTGCTGGTTACATTATGTTATGCTATTTCAGATATATATCAGTTCTTGTTATGGTCCTCTCTATCGTTACTGAGTTTAGAAAATTGTTTTGGCTGCCCATTTCTTAGAGTATGCAAATCATAGATCTATGGCTTGAAAAGATTCATTTCATCATGGTCATCCTTTGGCGTATACAGGTCTTTTTTCCCTGGCTCCTATATGGTCTGAGAAAATAAAACTGCTCATCATGTATCGAGTGAAAAGGAAATAATCAGCTTGAAACAAAATTGACTCAATTTGTAATTTTTTTCTTTACCATAATTTTATATCATTTTGCAAGTTAAAGTTTACCTTATAATCTTTTATAGGCTTTTATAATAATATGAATGAATCATAATATGCTAGCAAGTTATAGTAAAATAACTAAAATAACTAAAGAGTTATGATGAAAACAAGCAGAAATTTGCCCTACCCTTTCCCAGTTCTCCTTTTTAAAGACCATCATTCCCTCTTTTAACTACTTCTCTTAACATTTATCTCTGATAATTTGCTTAGGCCACAATGTCTTTATCACTTTTGACTTTCTATATCTGCCACTTCTCCCCAATTCAATATAATTAAAACAAAAAAGAGTTAAATCAAAAATCAGTGTTCACATTACTGTGTACTATAGTATCAAGTAATTACTGTGATTAGATTTCCTTCCTTGTACAATTGCTGTTGATAGAGTTTATTTTTGCCGTTTTTTGTTATTTGAGTAGTTTTTTGGAAACGAATTCATAACTTTTCCAACTGCTCCTCTGAAGCCACCATACATTTAAAACTAGTACTTTTTTATTCAAATTTCCAAACATAGCTGGTACACTAGCAATTCTCTTTTCACCCTGATCCACCTTTTTTTCTGGAAATTTTCTTCCTAGAAACACTGGTTTCCCTTCTTCACTCTAAACTGGTGCTTCTTTAAGCCTGCTATCTAGACAGTATCTGAGATTTTCTTTTCCTAACTTCGTGAAATGTACATATTTTCCCAAAGAGCTATGTTTTCCTTTTCTTCATTTATTTCTTGGTTCTGCTGAAGCCTAACCTCTGGTAGTTTGCAAAAAAAAAGAAAGAAACAATGGAAGAGGCATCTGGAAATGATTTATTTCTTATTCAAAATCTTGATGGATGGTTTGATTGGGTAGAAAATTATGAGTTGAAAATTATGTTTATGTCAAGAAGTTGAAGTCTTACTATTTCTGGGGGCCTGCCATTCCCAATACTTTGCCAAATATGGTCATTTTATTTCTATCTATTGTGTTGAGCCCCTTGAATTTCAAACCTCATGTTCTCCAGGATGGAAAATGTATTTTTAAATTAATCTATTCATCTACCCTACTTTCTTCACTCTCTTTTCCTAGAACATGTATTGGTAGGATGTTAGACTTTTTTGATTGATTTTATATATGTAAATATTTGTATCTATATTTTCTCTTGTTTTTCCATCCTAGATCTTTTTATCCTACTTATGAAGATATTTTCACATTTTTATAATTTAGTTTTTAACTTTCTGGTTATATTTTAGCTTTTTTTAATGAATGCCTTACTATACCCCTTTTTTTAAATCTGAGGATATTGCTTTAAAAGCTTTCTTTTATTCTTTTGGAGTTTTTGTGTGGTTATTTGGTGGTAGTGGTGGTTGGTTGGTTAGTTGGCTAGTTGGTTGGTTAATTTTTAATGTTTCTTCTGTTCTCCGCATGATCTCTGTTTCTTTCAAGTTAATTTTTTTCTCTCTCTCCATCTTGTAGACTTCCATCAAAAACTGGATTGTTATTACTCTAATTTCTATTTATACTTAAGAATAATTTAGTAAAGTATGATTAAGTGTGATTGAATACTCTATGCCATTAGACAGGATTGTTCATTGATGAGCAATGTTCTTGAGTCCTGAGGCTTCCCCTTCTAGGTTATTCAGAGGATAGCTCCCAGTCCACCTGGCCAAGGGGAAAGTGGAGAAAGCTGACTTTACTGGGCTCTGACATTGTTAAGATACTTCTAATCATTCCTGATTTTCAGTGCGATACTTCCACCCTGCCCTGTCTTGGACTGCTAATCCCAAGTTCTGAGTCCCTTAGAAATTCTGAGGTGCCCATCAGCTCACTTTTTGTTACTTTCATCACTGCGAGATCTTAAACCTTAAGATCTTCCTCCGTGCTCGTGAGTCCACCAAGGGCCGTTTCCCAAAACATATTGAAATCCCTCATCCGCTTCTATCTGTTTTCATTTTATCTTTGCCCTTTTTAGTCTATTTTATCCCCTTTCTATCCGTTTCAGAGGTGGGCCAGAGCAAGAGGAAATAGCATGGTCACACCACCTTTTCTAACCTATACCTGTAGTTTTGATTTGCAAAATTTTCTAATTTTTTTTCTAACTTCCTCACTGACAAGTAACAAAACTGAGAATATATGTTGCTTTCATTTGGTTTTAAATTGAATAATGTCTAACATGGCAGTTATTCACAAACGTTTATTTGCAGACAGTGAACATAATGAAAGTATTGTATAATTATTTAATGATTACAGTGTAGGCTATTATAGACTGGCCAATTAACAAATTAGAGCAAAAATGTAACATCAGGGATGAATTTACCTTGTCTATATGAAGAAATCTGCCCTTCATTATATAGAAAAATAAAAGCTTTTTTGAGTGTTTTTAGTCAGTATTTTAGCTTCGTAAAGATAAATCTTCTTAGTCCTTAAAAGCTATATTAAAATAATTTAAATAAACATCCTCTTATGATAGGAGGCTGCTTTGAGCTTTCTGACTGAAAGACTCTGTATAGGCCAGCACTGGTCATCTCCAGATCATACAATGCTAACATAAGGTCCCCCATGGAACCCACATCCTGCTTTTGGTCAGCATAGCCTGTGCTCACTGAGGTTCAGAGAACTGAAGTGTCCATGCTGAGATCTCCTCCCAGATGTTTTTATTCTCTAACTGACCACAGATTTTTTTAAAACTAATATGGAAAATTACAGAGTGTTCTTTCTTAGTTGTGTGATTAAGCAGGATAAGCAACAACACTGACAAGTTGCCTTGATAAATTTCAGAAGCCAAATAATACTGTTGACTCTTGGGAATGAATTCACTGAAGGATGATACACTACTCTTAAGGAGTAGTCACTGGAGATTTCCCCAGTACTCCACAGACTTTGAACAAAAACTCTAGAAAAAATAAAAGGCAAGGGCAAAGGCAAAATAATGAAAAGAAATGTACAACCAGATTTTGGCTTGTTTTATTAACACCTTTATTGAGATATAATTTGCACAAAATAAAATTCATCCTGTGAAAGTGTAAAATTCATGGCTTTTTAATATACCCCTAGTGGTACAGCCATCATCACTCTTGATTTTAGGACATTTTCCTCAAAAGGAAAATGTCTGGCCCAGCATGGTGACTCATGCCTGTACTCCCAGCACTTTGGGAGGCCGAGGCATGTGGATCACCTGAGGTCAGGAGCTCAAGGCCAACCTGGCCAACATGGTGAAACTCTGTCTCTACTAAAAATACAAAAATTATCCAGGAGTGGTAGCAGGCACCTGTTGTCCCAGCTACTCAGGAGGATGAGGCAGGAGAGTAGCTCGAACCCAGGAGGTGGAGATTGCAGTGAGCCGAGGTGGAGATTGCAATGATCCAAGATGGTGCCACTGCACTGCAGCCTCGGTAACAGAGTGAGACTCTGTCTCAAAAAAAAAAAGAAAAGAAAAAAAAAGTTCTCTCAAAAAGAAATCCCACAGTTATTAGCAGTTGCTTCCCTTTTTTCCTTCCCCCGGCCTTTGGCAACCACTAATCTACCTATGTCTCTATGGATTTTGCCGATTCTGGGTCTCTCCTATAAATGAAACCATACAATATCTGGTCTCTTGTGACTTGTTTCTTTCACTTAGGAGAATGTTCTCTTCATGGATAAAGTATAGCACCAAGGAAATACTTTATCTTGTCTATATGAAGAAATCTCCTCTTCATTCTATAAGATAATAGAAGCTTTTTTATGAGGAAGTGCTTTTAGTCCATTTATTAGGCATATATATCCATGTTGTAGTATATATCACAAATTCACTCATTTCTGTTTTCAAATATTTCACTGTATGGCTGTACCACTTTTGTTTACTCATCAGTTGAAGGACATTTGGATTGCTTTAATTTTTTGGCTATCAGAAATAAGCTTTTATGAACATTTATATCCAGGTTTTTATGTGGAGATAAATTTCCATTTCTTTGGGGTTTATTCCTTAGAGTAAAAAGGCAGTTCATGAGGTTTAAACTTTTGAGAAAATTCCAAACTCTTTTCCAAAATGGCTGCACTACATCAGTATTATATGAGGGCTTCAAATTCTCACATTCTCACCAACACTTCTTATTGCCTATATGGTTTATGTTGTTGCTTTTTTTTTGCTTTAGCTATTCTAGTGGATGTGAGGCAACATCTCATGATTTTTATTTGCATTTTCCTAATGAATAGTGATGTTGAGCATCTTTTCATAAGCTTAATGGCCATTCATGTATCTCCTTTGAGAAAAGGTCTACATAAATATTTTGATAAGTAGGGTTTATTTCTGAACTCTCAATTCTATTTTGTTGATCTCTATTTCTATCCTTATAGTCTTGTTTACTGTAGCTTTGTAGTAAGTTTTGAAACTGGGAAGTGTTGAGTCCTCCAAGTTTTTTCATCTTTTTCAAAATTGATTGCACTCTTTTGGATCCCTTATATCTTCATACAAATCTTAAGATCCACTTTTCAAATTCTGCAAAAACAAAAAAGGCAGCTGAGATTGCACTGAATTTGTGGATCAATTTGGGTAGTATTGCTATCCTAACAATATTAAGTATTGCAATCCATGAACATGAGATATCTTTCCATTTATTCAAGTCTTCTTTTACTTCTTCCAACATTTTGCAGTTTTCAGTGTACAGGCCTTGCACTTCTGTTGAATTTATTTCTAAATTATTTTTATCACATATAATGTCATTTTAAATGAAATTGTTTTACTTTCAGATTGTTCATTGCTAATATATAAAAATATAATTGATTTATGTATCATGATCTTTTAACCTGCAACCTTACTGAACTTGTTTATTACTTCTTTCTTTTGGCATAGATTCCTTAGGATTTTCTACATAAGATCATATAATCGATCACAAAGGTAGTTTTACTTCTTTCCTTAAAATTTGGGTGGTTTTTAATTCTTTTTCTTGCCTAGTTGCTCTGGCTAGGATCTCTAGCACAATGTTGAAGTGAAGTGGTGAGGGTAGACATCTTTGTCTTGATCTTACAGGAAAAGTGTACTACAATTCACCAGTAAGTATGATATTACCTGTGGGTTTTTCTGAGATGCCTTTTATCAGGTTGAGGAAGCTTCCTACTATTGCTAGTCAGTTGAGTGTTTTTATTATGAAAGGGTGTTTGATATTTTCAAGTGCCTTTCCTGTATCTATTGAGATAATTACATGGATTTTGTTCTCTATTCTACTAATATGATGTATTACACTGATTGTTTTTCAGATGCTAAACCAGCTTTGCATTCCTGGGATAAATCCTACTTGGTCATAACACATAATCTTTTTTATATGTTGCTGACTACCAGTTTGATTTTAGTTGTGATCAAATATCCTGCACAGTATTTGAAATGTGATGACAATGTCAAATATTAAGTATAACAACAATAATAATATGTATGTCTGGCTCTTTGCTGGGTATTTTTACATGCATCAGCTTACTTGTTCCTCATGCCAGTCCAATTAGTTAGATTCTAATAGTATCCTAATTTTACAGATTACAAACCTGAGTCTCAGCAAAGTTATGTACCGTGCCCGTGGTCATAGAACTAGTGAGTGGAGGTGCTGGTATTCTAAGCCAAGAAGTCTGGCTCCATGACCTGAGCTCTTAACCACTACTTTCTGAGAGTATCTATCCAGATATGGATACTCTTGCCTGAAGTAAGAACTATAGCTTCTCTTTATATTTTTACTTCCCATCTGTCTGTTGTGCTTGGCCAATAGTACAAGGTTTTGACCACTAAAGATGAGTAAGCAGTGCTGACTCACAAGATTGTTTTTTGGACAGAGACAGAGATAGTTTCATTCAATTTAGATTCAGTTTGGCACATACATGCCATGATCCATAGGAATAAATACCTGAGAGATGACTGAAAATAGGTCCCCTATACAAACTGGATTTAACTAGAAAATGTACAATTTTTTTTCACTAAATTGAAGAATTATGATTTCCACCTCACTGTCTCTAATATTTATATGGTTATTTGTTCCGGATGTTTGGAAAGATTTCCCTAAGCTTATCTCACCAGATCTGTTTGTATCTCTCAGGTAATGAGAGAAAATAATAATAATCAAGGGTGAGGAGGTTGCAGAGGAAGAAAATTTTAACAAGAATATGCACAAAGGAAATAATAAATTGGAGTAGTAAAGCATTCTTTTTTATTCTTTTCCAAAATACTCTTTAATTTGACTATATTGTTTTACAGTTCAAAGGGGGAGAAATATTAAATATGAATAAATAAGTCTGGGAGGAAAAAACTGAGATTATAACTTTACATTCTAATATCATTTTGAGTTATTTTTTCTATCCTTTCTATTTTCTAATTTTCATTTTACAGTGCCCTTTAAATTTTCTATATTTAATAATTTCTTAGGATTATTTTCCAGAAATTTCAGCTGCCAAAGTGAAGAATGCTTTGAAAAGATCTATGCCAAAAATAGTGTTCTACAGAAAACTATCATTCAAATTAAATATGAGCTAAAATGAATTAAAACTCTTTATTTTTTCCGGGTAAACTCTCAATTCTTACCAGTAGCTATTAGATCATGTCTCAGAGTAATTAGGAATTCAGAATCCACAGTCCCCAAAAACACCTCAGACTCCTAATCTCAAATCCAGGGGCTAACCTTTTAAGTAACAGTTCATCAATTCTACACATGTTAATAAAATTTCAGAGGAGCTCTTGTCTTTATCACTAAGAAAAGTTGAAAGAAAAGAACCCAGCTCAACCATCCCTGCCCTAAATTCCTGTGCTTCCATGCTCTGCTCTCTCACAAGGCAACCCTGTGAGAAGTGGCAGCTCTGTGCTCTCCCCCACTGCCCGTCTGTAGCACTGCATGGCTTTGCATTGCTTAAGGATAAACAGGTTGGAGTTGCATATGGTTAGCATTTTTTGTTTGAGCTGGTGCAGGGAGAGGTTGTTTAGCATCTGCAGGTCTCACATGGTGTCACGGGCAGTAAAGGAATGACTGAAGTAGTTGCAGACAGCATGGAGTCTGCATTCCTCTCTTTGCCTAAGAAATCATGGATAATTAAATTAGCATGGATCGAATGCAAAGTATGAGACCAGAGGCATTAGAATACAAACCCCCATCTCAACATGGGATCACCATATTTACCTGTATTATATGAGGCGATAAAACACCAGAGGAGAAAAAGTAATAAAAACAAAACAGTAATAAAAACTTACATTTACATAATTTCTTTCTGTCCCAGGATTCCAAAGCATTTTAATGAAAATCATACAGGAAAATCTGTCACATGACATGTGACTTATAACTGCCAGAAGAGCTCACTAGTGATTACAGCGTGGCCAAAGGAACTGGAGACAAAAATGCACGTTAGGAAAGCTGGTGTTTAAAAAGAAGGGGAGTCCTGTTTTAGGTTTTCTCACTCACTCTGTTACCTTTATGACTATAAGTCAGAGTGATCAATTTCAAACCTACCCCCACTGTAATTTGAGAGTGGTGAGAAGCATTAAAAGGGCACAGATTTGCCAAATTGCATCAACCTGGAAGGATAAAATCCATGCTTACTTAGGAAATTGTCAAATGCACACTTTATTTCCTTTTAGTCTCTCTTCATTGGCACTTCTCGATGCAAGTTAAAGGACAAGGACTTCATCATATGCGTCCAGTCTTATTAGGTTTCCTAGGCATGTTTCCCACACACAAACTGAAATTCATACTGTGTTTATGAAATCAGGCCAGTTTTGTTATGACTTTGAAAGATTTGTAAGGAACAGATGCTAGCTCCAGCTGTTTTTATCAGTGATCTGCAGGCTGAGGTGGTCCTAAGGAGGTTGTGCTCTTTCTGAAAGTCATTAAATTGTGTTATACTAGCACTCACATATTGAGAATTTCCACGTAAAGTTAGATTCAAGAAATATATTCTGCTAGAAGCCAACAGGATTTTTTAAAAGATGAGACAGTCATACAATAGTCCCTACCACAGAACATGAGGACATCTGTGGCATATCTGACACCTTTTAACTCAACAAAATCCCTCGTATGTGTCAGGCAGATGCCAATTATTATACTAATAATAAGATTGATAGGAAGAATAATGAGTGCACACTCTAAAAAGACACTCTGTAATCTTTTTAAAAGTATTACCTAATTTAAGTCTCAGCAACACAGTGAGGTAGGTACACCTTTTAATCGCATTTAAGGATAGCAAAACCAAAGTTCTAAGTGTTTTGGGAATGGTTATGTGGATAGCAGATAACCAAAGTTGTCTGCTGATGTCACATAGCCATTTATAAAGTGTCATTGATTCTAAAATGAAGTCACAAGGAAACCATTCTATAGTCTTACTTTTCTCTTGTATTCTTATCTCCAGCTAATAAGTCCAAGAAACGAGAGAAGGTCAAGGCTCTATTCTGAGTTTCATTGAAAAACAAGTACAGAGGAGAATCTCAGGAAGGCAGAAATGAGAAAACAAATAGAAAATCAGCCCTATATCCTAACTATTGGTATCAAATCATTATTTTTTCTCAATTCATCTAACAAATATTATGTTTCCTTGTTATAGTGGAGACTACAACATAACTGTTTTAATGACATTTACATTATAAAAAGGAAGCATGGAGCTATGTCTATCAAAAGCTTTTTATGTTCTACTTGTTATGACTTCATGAGACAAAATATAATAGATGCTGTTATCTGTATGTGAATTTCCATAAGCCACATATTCATTCTGCGCACTCTGAGCCTCAGTTTCTCCTCTAAAATCCTTCCAGCCCAAAATTCAATGATTCTATAATTCTAAGTCACAGCAGATTTTGAGTTTGCTTTCTTTTATATTCATTATTATTTTTATGTCTTCCAGAATGTGAGATAGATTACATTAACCAAGATTTCTCAAATAGTTTTACACATATTGGACGTTCATTATAGCAACCTTGACTCCAGCAAACCTTCATGAATCAACCTGTTATAAAATAGAGCAGTCCAGTAAGGCAGATAAATACTATCATCTGCTAGAGCATCCCAAAACATTCTTCATAAATGATGTTTCGTGCAACATGATTAGAAAACACTGCCATCTTCCTTAAGGTTAAACCTGTAACGATTATGTAAATAAGAAATAAAAACCTCTGCATAGAATTGTATTCATATAACTTATGAAGCAGAAGTAAAAAGTCACAGAGAATAAAACATTTTCATAACAGCAAAGAATCATAGCTAATATTTCTCAAGCATTTGCTCTGTCCAACACTTTATAGGCATTACTTCATTTAAAGTAAATATGTTCATAATAATCAAGAATCATGGCTAAGATTTCCTAAGTATTACCTTATTTAATATTCACAATTACCGTATGAGGTAATGAAGTCAATAATTAATATTCTACTCAACATATTATTATTTAGGGTCATCATGCTTTATTTAAGTTGTGATTCTCAAATTTTCCCCCATCAATAGCAGATTATTTTCCCATCCAATGTCTAGTCTCTCTTCTTTTACTGCCTTCCAAATGTTCAAAACCCCACAAAGGCCTTAAAGGCCCAACCCTCCCTTATCCAAACCAAAGGCAACACATTGACCTCATTCCTGCCAAACGACCTAGAATATTTAATGTCATTATGGTATCTTTTGGAACTTGCTTACAACTTGCTTATCAGATTATTGATTCTCCTGTACTGTTCAAATGATTTATGTTTTTGATAAAACAATAACTGAAGTTCTTTACAAAGAAAAACAGCTTGCTTGTGTGTGTGTGTTTGTGTGTGCTTTTACATGTTCTCCACAAACAGACTGGAAACTCCTCCATACACTAACTTTCTTGTTGATTATTGGAATACACATTTATCCTATCTTTTGATTATCAAATGCTAGTGTAGGTCAGTGGTTATCTTTAAAACTGTGGTATAAATACTTCTGTATAGCAGCCCAATAACGTGATTCCCTCTCACTACTTAGCATAGTTCTAGCTACAGAGGTGATAATAAATATTTGAATGCAAAATGTAATTGACTTTAATTATATCATCTCAATTTCTATATCCAGTTGGTCTCCTGTTACTTTTTAAATGCAAATTCTAAGTCACTCCTCTCATCTTTTTAAAAATGCTTGTCTAAACTTCTTTGTGCCCTAATTTCCTTATACATAAACTGGTAGTTCTGATTGTGAACCAAAATAATAGTAGTGAAGAAAAATGAAATATTAATCATAAAGCATATACAATAGTGCTTGGCACATAGCAGATACCCAATAATTATTTACAATTATTATTTTCCTCTGGCCTCTTTCATTTGTTTTAAAATGACATGCTCATCTTTGCTCATTAAAATTAAGAGGTTGAGGGCCAGGCTTAGTGGTTCATGCCTGTAATCCCAGCACTTTGGGAGGCCAAAGTGGGCAGATCACTTGAGGCCAGAAGTTTGAGACCAGCCTGGTCAACATGGCAAAACCCCATCTCTACTAAATATACAAAAATTAGCTGGGCATGGAGGTGCACACCTGTGGTCCCAGTTACTCAGGAGGCTGAGGTGGGAGGATCACTTGAGCCTTGGAGGTGGAGGTTGCAATGAGTCAAGATTGCACCTCTGCACTCCAGCCTAGGCAACAGCATGAGACTCTGTCTTCAAAAATAAATAAATAAATAAATAAAATAAATTTAAGAGGTTGAGATGATACACTGAAACTATACATAGCCCCGATTACCATGTTATTCTTATCTTTTAAAAATAAGTAAATTGCACACTACTTTAATAACACACAATTTGTATCGTCGTTATCTAGCAGACATCAGAAAGTAATTAAACATGGTGACAGATTTTAAAGCAACACAATTCCTTCATGTACCATGTTTAATGAATTTCTATGAAACTGAGTTCCTACTACACTTCAGGCATTGAAGATATCATCATGACTAAGACCAATTCTTGCCAGAAAAGATGTTTAAGCGGGACGGACACGACACAGAAAGCATTCAAAATGGGTTTTCCCATGACACAGTTGTACCTCGTTTTCCTTTCCATACCACTCGGTTCCTCTGGGTGTCAGTGGCACCCTCCTCTTTTCCGGAGTGGTACCTTTGAAAGGTGGGGTCTTTCACACTCAGTTTGGATGGGACTCAGTGAAATCTGGGATATGGGAGATGATCCCAAAAGGAAAGCAACCCTCTACAGATGGGCAACATTCATGTGCTGAACCACTGACAGAGGAACAGGCAACAAATAGTGCTCGCCAGGCTTGCACCCTGCTTCCTTGTCACTTCTGTTCCAGAAGCTGACGACAATTCTACCCACATGATTGGGCAAGATGAGCCTCTATTCCTGACCTCCTCTAAGATCATGTCCCATCAGCATCAAAGTTTCCCCACCAGCCCAGAAGCATCTTGTGGGTAAGGGAAATGTAGTAGGGGAGATTCCTCTGCCTCTTTCTCTATGACCTTTCTAATCCGTTGTTTTGTTCTGAACTTGAGAGAGGTAGGAGGCAGCCAAATATGCCTGGGCAGATAGGGGTGTTTCCCCAGTGAAACCCCACCTCCAAGCTGAAGACAGTTTAAAGCCTGAAAGCCAAGCTACAAGTTAAATCTTCCAACTGAATTGAGAACTTGTCTTCCCGTTTGGTGCACTTTCCTCTGATTGAGCCCCACTCTTTACTTATTTCGCATGTACCTACCCTTTCCTAATTGCTTTCCTACACTGTTGTGCCCACCTTTGAGTGGCATCTTCGCTTTAACCTTTTTACATACTCACAAGCCAATCAGCATACACTCCCCATTCTGAGTCCATAAGAGGTCCTGGACCCAGCCACAGGTGGAATTTTCCCACCTCCAGGTAAGGGAACCACCCCCACATTCTCTCCACTGAAAGCTGTTTCATTGCTCAATAAAATTCTTCTCTGCCCTCCTCACCCTTCAAAGTCCAGCATATCCTCATTCTTCTTGGGTGTGGTACAAGAGCTCAGGACCACTGAACGCAGGTACAGGCTATAACACAGGCAAGCTGGGGCACACCAGCAAGGCTGAGTGGGGCCCAGGCTGGGCATTGCCAGCCAGAGGTCCCCAGCTTGCAACCTGACTGAGAAGAAAAATCCTACATCAAACTCTTTTAAATAATGCAAATCTATATTTTTTATAAGTAAAACACAAACATTCTAGAAGCTGTACTATAGCTTAAAATGTATATAAAGGTCAAAAATATGCTGATAATTGTGATATCAAAATAAAAAGCTCATTAAAGGAAAGATGACCTCACATGTTTTTGAACTGTTGAAACAAATGCAATCATTGATAGACTTTTTGCAAACTAGAAAAAATACTTATAACAAACACAACATTAAAGTTTTACTATCTTTAATACAGGAAATGTCCTCACGAATTAATTAGAAAGAAAGAACTCATACTCTAACAAATAAGTGAGTAAAGAACATGAAGAATCAATAAACATACATACATATACACACATATATAAAGACAGATCAGGAAAATTTGTAAGTGCACTTTTTTTCAGATATTACAATAAATGCTAGTAAAATCAATGAATTTTTACATAGCAAATTAACTTTAAAATTGGTAATATTTGGGGATGATAAAAATAGTAATGCAGAAACCATCAGCACCATTAGCGAGGCTAAATTTGTACAATTATGCTGGATGAAGTTTTGTAAAAATGTATCTATTTTTGTAATCTTAAAATTGTGTACAAGCTATATCCCAGTAATCCCTCTTCTACAAATTTACTCTGAGGAAATTATAGATGTGCCAAAGATTTATTTATCAAGGTTGTTTATCATAAGCTTGTTTAAGATACCCAAAAACATGGAAATAATCTCAAGCCTAACAACAGGGAATTACTTGGATAAACTGTATATATCCATATAAGAAAAAACTATAAAACCATTGCAAATGAGGCTGAAAAAGAATAGAAAGATAGAAATATATTCATGTTATATTGTGGGCATCGGTTACAAAACAGTTTGTACAGCATAATTTATTATTGTAGTATTTGACAATAAAAATATCCTTGAATATAAAGAAAATTATACACCACAGTGTTTATTTCTGGTGGCTGATACTGCAGTGATTCTTATTTTCTGTTTACTCCTTATCTAATTGTATAAATCTTCTACAATGAGCTCCAATTGTTGCCATAAAAGATTATTTTAAAATGTTAAAGTTAATGGCAAATAATTAGGTAATCAAGTAGTCAAGTAATAAATTTTGAAGCAACAGGAGAAAGTTGTCTTGAAAAATGTAAGAGTGGGATATTCAGAGCATATAAATCCTAATGTGGGAATGTGGGAAGCAATCATGTAGTGGAAAGAATGAAATCAAATAAAACAAGTGTACGGAAGAAGACAAGCTGAGATTCGACACTGATACAGAGGGAAAAAAGGCATCTGAAAAAGGTATCTGACCATTAGATAAGGTAAGTAGGTAAAGAAGCAAGCTTCTAGAGGGTTTGAGTATTCTAACTGAACATCTTATCACTCAAAATAATGATGTGTTTTCATTTGATGCAAATGTGATAATGGCCAAATTACTCTAAAATGCAAACATCTTAAAGGGTTGCTAGTAGAGCTCTGGAAGCAGTTAATTGATCTCCAGCATGACTGGGATTTTCAGGCTGGTGTTAAGTTTAACAATCTTGAAAGGTGTTTTGGAGTTCAAATGCAAAATAAGTCCCTCCCTTGGAGGGAATTCTGTGAATTAGTTGGAGACACAGGCATTTACAGCTCACAGGTTTCCTCATTTGCTGGTGGGTATCGTTATCTTTATAGTTCTATATATAAAATAGGCAAATGTCCCAGGTCATGCCTTCTCTCATGAAAAATTGGGCATTTGCTGGGGGGTGAGAGGAAGCCCAGAAAAGTTTGAGAATGGGCAGGAATACAGAAAATATAAATGAACACAAAAGGGCATCAGTTTAGATAACTAATGGATACCCATCCCCAAATATAAAGGAATTTTCCTCTTGGGGGAAAATTTTATTTCTGGTAACTACTCATGAACACATCTACAATTCCCCTATGATCCAGGAAAACCAATACAGAGAGATTTCCACCACACTGGTATGCATATTTCCTACCATATAAATGCATAAATTACTAAAATCAGTGATAAGATTTTGTGGACAGTAGGTTTTGTGGTTAATGAAACAAACTGGACAGTAGGTTTTGTGGTTAATGAAACCAACTGACCTTGAGAGGCAGGTAAATACTACTAAGTTCATTTTTCTTATGAGCAAAATTGAGACAACAATACCTGAGTTGCAGGGTTGTTTAGAAGATAGAAGTAAATTATATACATAAATGCTTAGTCCATAATAAACAGTGCTGTCATTAAGACATTGATTTTTTTTTTCCTTAGGACAAAGTTGACCAGGGCTTGTTGTAAATGCATAAGACAAGAAACATATGTAACTTGGGCTGAAATATAAAATAGAAATGTTTTAGTTGACAACTTTTTACCTGAAATGTCATAGACATTCAGGAGCAAAAGTTGAATGCTTGTATTTACAACAAAGTTTGAAATTAGTTCCAAATTTATCTATCAGGTGTGGGCAGTATTTTAACAATTATTTGATTATTTGAGCTACACTTGCATTTTCGATTGTAAATGCATTTGTACCATTTCTAGACAATTCTATGTAATTTAGCACAGTAAATGTGAGCAAGCATGCTTATGTTAATGTCAAATGACTGGTGAGATTGTTTTCCTACTCACCATAACTAAAATATTTCTATAGATTTTGATCCTAAACTAGTATTAAAAGTAATGACAAAGCCATGATTACTATTTCACCAACCTAATACAAAAATATGAAAATTATTAAGACTAGGTAAATTAATGTTTGAGAATTTTTCTTCTCTTCCTTTCCTTTCCTTCCCTTTTTTTCCTATCCCTTCTTTTGTGTTTATTTCTCTTTTCTTTTTCTTACTTCAGAGTAGGCTAAGTTTAGCCCTATTTATATAAGATATTTTAGAGAAAAACTTTCCAGATATAATAATTTTCTAAGTAAATATCTTATGCAAGCTTATTTTAGCTTGTCCTTATTGAAGGAAACTTTCTGAGTGATTGATCGCATCCTATAACATTACAGTATGGTGTCATAAATGACAATGATATCGTCAATCAGTCAGCAGTATGTTAATTTTAGTTTAAGAAAATTTGAATCAGATGCTTTAGATCTAGAAAAAGAGTTCAATCCCCCCATTCCCAAACTGTCCAAACCCTGCCACCACCACCACCTTTTGGAGTGGACAAGTTGTTTGGCTAAGGACGCAAAGTCAGTTGATAACAGAACCTGACTTAGAACCCAGGCATCTAACTCCAAGGTGGAAGGTGAAGTATAGGCATTTCTGAGAAAGGATCAGAAATACATTTTAATAATAAACTTTTAAACACAACATTGCAAAGCATACCATACTCATGATACTTCTTAACCAGATTGTTTTTCTTGTGATTTCAAAAGTTGTGAGTAGAATGGAGTTTTAGAGTAAGACGATGGGTGTTTGTTTGAATCTCTGCTCCACCACTTAATCTGACCACAACCCCTCAGCATGAACTTCCCCATCTATAAAATGTGGATAATGACAACTAACTCACAGGAGTGGTAAGAGAATAGTATAAGAGAAATCATGAAAGTAAAATCAATTTGTGAAATATAAAAAAAGTAAAAATGAAAGAGAGTGGTATTATCATTTTTACCCAGCTTGCAAAAATCCTGGCCCCTGTATTATGAGTAAAGTTGATTTCCAGTTCTCTTGGCCTATTCCAGCAATATAGCTCTTACATTTAAAATATTGAGGATTTTTCCAGTGGGATTTTTGCTATGCAATAAGGAAATATAAGTAATTATCTAAAACAAGGCCATCTAATTATATTAGGGGGTTCTGATAACAGCATAAACCATGAAAGTGGAACTTAAGTGCTTTATTATCAGAATCATAAAACAGAAATACAGCCTGTTATTGCATTATTACAAATTCTTTATTTTTATAATACAGAGTGCTTCCCAAATTATTGTTTTTATACTCAATATATTCCTGTTAATTTTTCATATAGATATTAAAATTATTTCATAATATAATGCCATTTTACTAATGGATTTTTTGGTAAATATACTACAGTAAATAGTATAAAAAACATGACAGAGTGGAGGTCTTTGCTATAGTCATTAATTTTCCCATGTTATACACCAATTAGCCATGTATCATATCTGTAAAAATATACATAGGGCCATATGCACATAATTGAAACCCGTACCTAATGATACCCTCGTAAACTATTTTCCCACCATTGAAGCACACATATGTTTAACTTTGAAATGCATTGCCAGAAGAATGCCTTTGAAAAAAATCTCACTGCAGATGAAGTCTCATCAATTGCTGCTTTTTTTCTACTGTATACTTTATGAATTGCCTAATCATAATTAACTCCAACCACTGGAATTAATTACTCCAGATGATTTGGAAATTGGTCTTCTCAGTTCCTCAGAAATTCATTGAGATCATCCCACAAAGCAGAGGAAGGAGTGTGAATAAAGCAAAAACTGTCTTTGAAAAAACAAACGTGTTTTAGGATTGTGTTTTGTTTATTAAAAAAGGAGAAATAGGGTCAGAGAATGACTATAAACACATTTTATTCTTTTCTAGTTTCATAGAATTATAGCCATTCAGAGCTACAGTGAGTAGCTATTTCAACCCCTTCATTTCATCCACATAGAGAGACTGTAACAGCTTGAGTGACTTGGTTGAGGTCACACATAGAGCTAATGCCAAAACCAGGAAAAAACCAGGCTCCCTGTCACCACAGCACAGTGTTCTTCATACTCAACCTGACTATGTTGATGTCATGGGTTCATGATCCCAAACTTATGTCGGGATTCTGTTCAGCTGAGAAATAAGAAAGAAGGATAATGGGTCTTGTAAGACTTATAAAACAAAAATCAGATAAAAATCATACATGGACACTAAGAGGTTGGCAATTGTGGGGATTCATTGACAATGAGCCCTGTGCTCAGGAAAGCCCTGGTATTCTTATCTGAGGAAAGCTTGGATTTGGGTGAACCCACCCCAACTTCGTCTCAGTTGTTTTCAGATTCACCGTCACAATCTTTCCTCTCTAAATATGTTGTGGTTAGAGAATATAAATCTGTTATGTTTGGTAGAAACCAATTCTGCATCAGAGGACTTCAAGGAAGAATTGGAAAATAGTGGATAAAAATTTGTAGTTTTTTTAGTTGTCAGAGTAAAATTTACGTTTTAAAGATGTATACTTTTTAAAAATCAAACGGTTACTATTCACACTAAATCAAAAGGTTAGTGTTAACCTGAGAGCTGCTAAATTCTCTCTCAGAAAGAATCTATGTAACCTAGCCAGAGCAGAAATCTGAAAAGCAGGAATCGGAGACAAGGAATGACCTAGAGTTTGTCATATCTTCCTAAAAAGCAAAAATTGGTATTAATGGGGAAAATACAAATAAAAGAAAAACAATAAAAGCAAGCTTAATTATTATCTTCCCACATCTTCCCTGGGGGCTCCCTGATATGACAAAGTAAAAGATAATGCAATAAACTAGTTGAGTCCTCCCAGAAGCAGATGCCAAGACAGAGCTAGAAGCACAAGACATTAACTGGGGAGAGTGACTTGAAAGAGAAAGGGGAAAAGAAACAAGAGCAGTTAGGAAAAGCCTTTTAGACCATGATGGAGGTCTGACACCTTGCAAAGGTGCAAGGGAAGGAAGAAAGAACAGGGAGGAGAGCCTCAGACCATGGTGTAGCCCTGGGAAAGCCTCGGCTAACACAACGAGTAGCTCCAGCACAAGAAGGGCCCAAAAAGGAGCATCTCACCGTCCAGAAATAAATTGCAAGCCCATCTACTGCTGCTTTGCTCAGTCATTGGCAGGAGGCTGCCTTGCAAGTGCTTGATATCTGCTCAAAAGCTGAGGCAGATCCCAAAGTCAGCACAACCAGGGGCTGTTGGCCATGCGCACTCTTTGTAGCAGGTTCACCCTTGGAGGCATCTCTGAGTGGTGCACCACCATGGCGACACACTTGCAGGCATTGATTCTTTTCCAGTGTCATTGCCTGGGTTGAAATTTATGACAGCCAATCAGATCATTTCACCTGTGTCACCAAATCTGGTTTAGATGCCAACTCTATCTAAATCACTTATGCAAATAGTTTTGTAAAGACATTATTTTATTTTAAATGTCCACATCTTATCTGGTAAAAAACATATTATAAGCACTTTTGGGACCTTCTTAGGTGTGAACTATTTACTCTTACAAGTGCCCCATACTTTCAATGTCATTTAAGGTACAAAATAAAAGTAACTTTATGTTTTAGAAAACAACTAATTCTAAAAATTTTCCTTTAAATTCTGGAAATTGGAATATTATCTCCCCTGAGTATCCATAAGATATTTACTCAACCTTGATTCTTCTCATTGATTTTGTCTCCCCACAGAAAAGCAACTTCATTTTTTGTCCTGCTGATTTGTTTTAATCAAATTGCTCAGTGTTACAAAACACAAAATAAAGGAAGATGAGCTTTGCTTGTTTTTTCCAGATGTGCTCTGGAGCAGTTTTGATTTCTGCTTCCTCTTCCAAGACTTGGGCCTCTGTGTGTCACATTCATTGGTGCTGGACTCTCAGTTCCCTCACTGGACAACACACACAGGCCAACATGTGGAGCTGGACTTATTCCCAGGCTCCTGCCTCCTAGGCACTGCAGAGTATTTGGTCTTTACAGCAAACTAACCCAGAAAAAATTTATTTCCTCCTTGTCAGAAATAAAAATGCATGTTATTGCCCACAGTTTTAAGCTGTAGATGTAATATTTTCATCCAATAGTGAAGAATGGTGTCATTCCAAATTTAATGTTGAACCCTAACTTCTCCCCTGAACTCCAAAATTATGTGTTCAACTACCTGCTCAACATTTCCACCTGATGGATGATGATATGGTTTGGCTCTGTGTCCCCACCCAAACCTCATCTCGAATTGTAATCCCCATGTGTAGAGTGAGGGACCTGGTGGGAGGTGATTCGATCATGGGTGTGGTTTCCCCCGTGCTGTTCCCTTGATAGTGACGGAGTTTTCATGAGATCTGATGGTTTAAAAGGGGCAACTTCCCCTGTGCGTGCTCTCTCTCTCTCTCTCTCTCTCTCTCTCTCCTGTTGCCATGTAAGATGTGCTTTGCTTCCCCTTCTCTTTCCACCATGATTGTAAGTTTCCTGAGGCCTCCCCAGCCATGTGGAACTGTGAGTCAATTAAACCTCTTTTGCTTGTAAGTTATCCAGTCTCAGGTAGTTCTTTACAGCAGTGTTAGAACAGACTAACACAGATGGTCAATGGGAAAAGTCATCTAAAATTTAGCATATACAAAACAGAACTCATCCCTCCCACATGTGCTCCTCCTTCAGTCCTTCCCCGTGGAGTAAATGGTAATGACCCTGGTTGCTCTGGTTAAAAACCTTGGACACACCGTTGACTCCTCTTTTTCCCCGCTTTGTATCCAATCAATAAATGGGTCATCTTACTTCTCCCTAGAGCATTTCTAACCACTTCCACTCTTACATCCCTCATCCAGACCACCATCATCTCTCACCTGGAGCATTTCAATAGCCTCTGAACTGGCTTCCTTGTGGCTTCTTTTGCTTCATCAGTCCATTTTCCATTTAGATGTCAGAGTAGTTCTTTGTAAGCCTAAGATATTTCATCTCACTTCCTTGATCAAAACTCTCCAAAGACCTGTCTTCCTCTTCAGGATGAAACCTGAAGTCTTTGCCACAGACTCTGGGGGCTTGCCACTGCTCTGACTGCATCTCAGACCGCCGCCCCTTTCCTGCACTCTTCTCTGGTCTTTGGGCTTCCTTGGTCTTCTTTGAATAAGTCAAACACCCTTTTCTCATCTCAGGATCTCTGGGATTACTGTTCATTCTGCCTAGGGAAAAAAAAAAACTTCATCCTACCGTTCTCAGCTCAAGGACAGCTTCTGGAAGAGAAGCAAGGGGCACGAGGAGAGTTAGGGTGAAGCTCAGAACCAGAAGTGACCTGGCAATGTGGAGACAGCATAGAAAGTGCACTGGGGGCTTGGGTCTATTTTCCCTAAGCCTCAGAGCACAGGGGAGCTCCAGCTGGCATTTGGGCTATCTGAAAAACTGCTGAGCAAACCTCCTACTCTCTGCTCCACAAAGAAAATATTCATTGGTGGCTATCAAATGCCAAGTGCTTTACCTATATTATTCCCATAAATGCCCACAACAACACTATGGAACATATGTGATTATCATCATCATCGTTACACATATAACGGATGTGAGGTTCCGCATCATGGCCAGGCCATGTCTATTGAGACAGAACAAAGATCCAGTCACAGGTCAAACCGACTCCAAAGCTGATGCTCCTTTCTCTGTGTCATGCAGGCTCCCCATGAAATAAGATGCATGCTTCATGTGTATCAGACCATTTGTCAGTCTCAGAACAATCCCTACAACTTCCCATCTTCCTGCACCCCAAAATCCATCAGAATAGCCTCTCACACTTCCAATCTTTTTTTTACTAATAATTCTGACTTATCATCCCAAGATTAGCTCAAATGATCAGCTGGTTGTCCTCTACCATCTTCCTTTCCACTTCAAGTAAGAATCATAGATTCTCCTTCAACCCAAATGGTGTGTAAACATGGTTTGTGCCTCTGTTCTGGTATTTTCAAACCTTCATTGCTGTTAGCCAGGTATAACTTCACTCCATCAATGCTAAGTTCTTTGAGGTCAGAGCCATATTTTTGTTATACTTTTATCCCTCAACACGTAGGACAATGCTTTAACATGTTAGATATGCAGTAATACTGTTGCAGTTGAATAGAATTGAATGGAAATAAATATTACAAAGTCTCAATTTGCTAGTCACTGGCAATAATAGATAACTTTCATTGAACACTTACTAGGTGCCAGGGGCTTGCTAATCCCTTACATGATACACCTCGATTTATTCCTGACAACAACTTATGTCCTGACTAATATTATTACCTACACTTAACATAGAATAATATTGAACAACAGAGAGATTAATTAACTGTACTAGTGGCCTCGGAGCTAGGAAATGGCAGAGCCAGGATTTGAACCTGGGCAGTCTGAATAAGAGCCCATGATTGAACCATAACACTAACCAAAATTGAATTTGTGACCTCAGTAACTACTCTAACAATTGCCTCTTTTTGTCCCATCCCATCTACAGCTGTGCCATGTTGTGGCATATTGTCTATGCACTTAACTGTTTTAAGCTGTGTTTCAGGGCACAGTCCAGGGGCCAGAGAGATTCATTTGTCAGCAAGTGGATATCAGCTGAAGAGTGGTTAGATGTGTTGAGTCCAAAGCAAGTTCTAGGGTTTGGAATTCCTGTTGAGGTATTCATTGTGACAAAACAGTATCACTGTCAACTAGAAATCAGGCTAGCCAGACTTATTCATTCTAAAAATAAACAATCCTTCTTTTTTTAATGCCTAAGAGGTGTGGAGACACAGGAGACCAGTTAACATTTTGTGGTGATCATGGAGTAATCATCAGGTCTGACAAAAATGATGGACACAGCTATTAAGCCATGGACATGGGACCAACACCAGGGTGCATGCTGGCCACCCAGCCTTCAAATCACCTGCTGAACAACACATTTCACTGCTGCCTGAGACAGCGGTGCCTCTAAATGAGCTCTTAAAAACTCCAAATTACAAGGAATGTTAAAATCTTAAAGATTTTCTAAGATAATTGCTAAAAGGTTAATTAAAACTTGAGACTGATTTGGCCATTTAAAACTAGCTTTTTTCGGCCGGGCGCGGTGGCTCACGCCTGTAATCCCAGCACTTTGGGAGGCCGAGGCAGGCGGATCACGAGGTCAGGAGATCGAGACCATCCTGGCTAACACGGTGAAACCCCGTCTCTACTGAAAATACAAAAAATTAGCTGGGCGTGATGGCAGGAGCCTGTAATCCCAGCTACTTGGGAGGCTGAGGCAGGAGAATGGGGTGAACCCGGGAGGCGGAGCTTGCAGTGAGCAGAGATCGCGCCACTGCACTCCAGCCTGGGCAAAAGAGCGAGACTCTGTCTCAAAAAAAAAAAAAAAAAAAAAAACTAGCTTTTTTCATTTGAACGTCTATATTTCCTTATGTCTGGACAAACATCCTTTTAAAATAATAAAAAAAATTCTGAAAGCTGTAGGAGATGGACAGTTGCTTAATTTGTGAGTGAAAATTAATTTCTTCATCTCAGATATTACAAGGTGGATTTCAGTATTGATTCTAGAACATCTTGTGCAATTTCTAACAACATCATCTCACACTCTTCAACTCAGTGACAATGTTGAGCATTTGTCATTAACAAAGGGAACTAAGTCCCCTCTAATTTGAGGGAATGGGATTTACAGACAGTAGTGGACACACACACACACACACACACACACACACACACTCTTAATGGAGAAAATGGGAAGAGGGATGCCAATGATTTGTCATTTGAGAAGGAGCAAAGGGGAGTATTGGCATTGTTTAATTTGAGTCAAATAGCAGAAAGTCTGAATATCAGCGCAGCTCATTTGATTTTATTACTGAGTACACTCGGAAATTATTGGAACTGTCTCTTTTTGCCAGTGCCTGCTGCCCTGCTTTTGGTCGTTAGATTATTTGATTTGACACTCACCACACTAAAAGGTTGATCCTTCTGCTCTGACTATCAGGGCTGGTATGAGGAACAGAGGAAGAAAAATTGCACAGCTGGTAGTACAGTGAACCCAAAAATATACAGAAATGTACCAGAGGGAATAGTCATCAACACGAAGTGAACAAGCACCCAGACTATTGATCACATGCTGCTCACAGAACACCAGGCATTTCTGCCAACTCCTTTCGACTCATACACTGAACGACAGACAGCATGTTGTACCTTGCATCATCAGTTTTGATGAATAATGCACTGATAAGCACTGCAGCCAGTATTCTGGGGGAGCTGAGAAGCCAGATGTCATCTGGACCTCCAATAGTTTGAACCCTGAGTCTCTGACAAACGCTGATAAAAATATGAGATGAGCACTGCAGAGTGGGCAAAGCCACTGCGAGACTGGTGAATTTTATGCTGTTCTGGCAAGTGAATGGGAATCAGCTTTGTTACAAGCAGAAGTGAAGAGGCTATGCTTGCATATCATCCATTACTAAGTTACAGAGTGGTAATGGTGTCTAGGTGAACTTCATCTGAGATTTGTTGGGGAAGTTCACACACGTACACACAAATAAAGAGCTTTTGAGGGAAAACCATTTTTAAAGGGCTCAAATTCACACAGCTCCAACTGGGGCTCGTGACAAACAGATGGAACGAGCTCCCTCCAAGATGGAATTCAGAGGATGGTTATGACAGATTTGAGCATCGCCTTAGTGGGAGGTGCAATGAGATCTGATCGGCCCCCCATGCACTGCATGCTTGAAGCATTTCAGCAGGAGGGCTGCACAGATCATGTTTTAATTCTATCATTACAGGTAAATGTTCAAAAGGATCAATTAGACACAAGGTTTCCTTCACTCGGTAACTGCAGACCTACCCCACGTTGTTTTATGAGTGAAACCTGGAGTTGGAGCAACAATTGTCTTTGCTCTATTTAATTCTTCATCTAGACAACAGATTTTTCTGACCCTAAATTCAACAACGGTCTCTGGTTCCATCCTCAATTGCAATCGCCCCTCCTTCCCAGCTCCCTCCGAGCCCTCATTCCCCTCTGCTATCTCAGTTTCCCCACTGTTGGATCTCTCTCTCTACCCCTTGGTCTCATGGTCACACTCTTATCTGGTGACCTTGCCTCTTCCACAGTATTCTCAGCCTCTCGAACCCAAGCTGTCAATATCTAGCACTGAGACTGGGCAAATCAGAGACTTAAGCTACAAACATTGGCGAGCCCAAACCACTCCTTCGAAGCTGTCTCACTTGGGGCAAAATGAATCATGACATACATTCACCTGGTTTGGAGGTTGCCCTTTTTCACACATTCTAACCCACTGTATTTGATTGGATCATTTGGGCAGACTGAGAACCAGAGAGAATCCTGTATTGCCATTTTCCAGAATGTATAGACCAAAATATGTTGGCTTTGGGTGGCCTTTATAGACACCCTTATTAAAACGGTCACTTCAAATTAGCCAGATGTGGTGGTGCATGCCTGTAGTCACAGCTACTTGAGAGACTGAGGTAGAAGGATCACTTGAGCCTGGGAGGTGGAGGTTGCAGTGAGCAGAGATTGTGCTACTACACTCCAGCCTGAGTGACAGAGCCAGACCCTGTCTCAAAACAAACGAACACACATATACACACACACACACACATACACACACACACACAAAACCCAGTCACTGTGGTTTCAGTTCTAACAGCATTATAATAGGCAAAACTTAGATGATGTCAAAATAGTTTCAAATTCTCTAAAATAGCCTATGAAATCAAATATAAACAATTTTGAATAGACAAATAGACAATAAACAGTCTATAAATGAACAAACACATATAAAATATCATTTTGTAATGGAGTTTATTTCGACATGGCAAGACACTGACCCTGCAGGAAGCCCACACTCTCGCCTCCACCTCACTCCCTGGCCTGTGCACTCCAATGGAGGCAGATGCACTGCACTGATTTTTTTTTTGTTTGCTTGGTTTTTGTTTTTTGACTTGTTATTATGAAATTTCAAGCACAGAGGAGTAGAAAATGGTAAACCAGACAGCCACATAACCTTTACTAAGTTTTGACAAATGCTAATTTTGGCATATTTGTTCACCTTTTGGAAGGAGGTTAAAATTGTAAAATAAATTACAGATACCATATTCACCCCCAAAAAATGTCAGTCAGTACCTTTTTCCAAAGAGGACATTTTCTTTCATGGCCCGATATCATTTTCATACCTAACAAAATTTCTAACTTCTTAAGATCACCTAATATCCAGTCTACATTCAAATTCTGTGTAGTATTCCTTAAAATATCTCTTGTAGCTGGTTAATTCAAATCTGAATCCCATGAAGTAGCTTGTATTGTGTTTTCTTTCCCTTGCACTATTTAAATAGGTATTATTTCTCTCTCTCCTAGCCTCTCTCTTTCTTGCACGCACACGTGCACACACACACACACACACACAAACCCAATACATTGAAGTTCATTAAGTTAAAATGTGTAATATGCAATTTGTTTTAATGATAATATAAAAGAACATGATACATGTCTTGAAACCTAGTATACAAATTTCACAGGGTAATAATGACTAAAACAATATATTTTTGGTGGTTTAAAAAATATGTCTGCAAATTCTTCATCTCTCTCCTTTCAGGAGGTGGAACTTAATTTCCCTCCACCTGAAGTGTGGGCTGGACTTAGTGACACATTTCTAATGAATAGAATGTGGCCAATGGGATGGGCTGTACTTTCGAGATGCTGCAGCTTCCATCTTGGGTGTGATCTCCCTCTCTCTCTATTGTTCCTTGTGTAAGAGCAGTGCTGACCGTAAATCCTGCCCTGGTGGCAAATTTCTATCCATTCCCTCTGAAGCACAGGTGCCCCTCCCCTACAGTGTATAATTCCTAGGTCTGGGGAGCAGTGGCATGGGGATCTACCACCTTGTCTTGTCACCATCTGAGATGCAGACATGGCTTCTGTTCATAAGCCCCTGTTAAATGTTTCTTTCCAAACAATTGGATTTGTCAGCCTCTTTCTTTGGCCTCTCAGCTTCCTTGACTTTGGGGTGTGTTTGCATGGACCTGCCTACTCAAAACATTGGTTAAAATTATTTTAGGCTTGGAAGCTTCTTGGGGTTGTGTGGAAGGCTGAGTTATGACAATGGATTCATTAGATACATCTAACTCTACCAGTGTTTGAATGTCCCATCAGTTTTTCCTGTAGGTAATCAATGTATATGTGGTGGGGGTTCAAATCTAAGTGGTCCCCATCCTGCTGAAGCAGCCATGCCAGAAAAGCATGCCTTGTCTACAAGACTAACTCCCTTCAGGTACATATACTTGGTGTGATGACCACATTCTGGGGCTGCCATCAGCCTTGCATGCTCTGAAATTCCACTTCTTCTTTGTTTTGGAGACTATCTAAGTTAGGAATATTAAACCATGCTATCAAAGCTTACTCAATGGTAAACTCAGAATGTTTAATTAAATTTAAAAAAAAGAAGGTTAACAGCCAAGGAAAACTTTCATGTTAACAGGCTAAATAAGCATATATATATAAAATACAAACACACACACACACACACACACACACATACACACACATATATGTATATATATACATGTATATACGTATATATGTATATATATGCATGCATATATATACTTATATACGTATATACATGTATATATATTCTTTTTTTTTTTTTTTTGAGACAGAGTCTTGCTCTGTCACTCATGCTGGAGTACAGTGACTTGATCTTGGCTTACTGCAACCTCCACCTCCCGGGTTCAAGCAATTTGCATGCCTCAGCCTCCCAAGTCGCTGGGACTACAGGTGCACACCACCACACCCAGGTAATTTTTGCATTTTTAGTAGAGGCGGGGGTTTCATCATGTTGGCCAGGCTGGTCTCAAACTCCTGGCCTCATGTGATTCGCCAGCCTCGACCTCCCAAAGTGTTGGGACAACAGGCGTGAGCCATTGCGATTGGCCTGCAGATATGTTTCACTATAGGTAAACTACACAGGAAATCAAATTGTGAAAGAGTCAGAATGAAAGTAGAATAAAAGGGTCATATTCAGATGTTGACTCAGATGTTGAAACGTATTGATTCTGATAGGGTGTGGCCCCCAGCTACTCAATGAGGAGACAAAATAACTACTTACTGAAGAGGACACATCCCCTGGAGAGGACTTAGAGCATCCTAACAAAAGCTGCCCTTCCAACTGTCCCGCTTCTGTGCTTTCATTGCTGGAAATTCTTTTTTTTTTTTCTGTTTTCCACATTTCTTCTTTATGTAATAACAAAACTTGGAAGCAAATGAATAACCAAGACATTTGGAAATGTATTAACACCAAATTATCTTATGTTTCTCTTGTGGGACTGTCAAGCTAAACCACAAACCTATTTGTCTAAATAAGGCTGCTGTCTAAAGGGAATGGATGTCTCTTTCATTATTCATCCTAAGAGGAGCTCAATATACGGAAGGTTGATCTAGGTTTAGGAGGTCTATTCTATTCTCTATGTTGATTTTCTGCTCAATTTTCTCTAAAACTTCAATGAACCCTCATTAAAAAAAAATATAGTCTGGGAATGTGGGGAAAGATGCCAGAATAAAGTCACCTAACAAAAAAGGGGGAATGAATCTTCATCAAAACAAGGAAATAGTCACAGTGTCAAAACCCAAAACACAAAATGTTCCTGCCAAATATTCTGTCGAAATACAGTTTCATGTAAAGCAATTAATTAATTAAGAATGATCACATTGTCAAGTGATAATCTAGTGGGTATCTGAATAGAGACATACAATCTAGGAGAATTAGGATACATCCCATAGATACAGATACAAAGGAAGGTCATACCGAAGGCGGAATTATCTTACCAATTATTTCTATTATCTACAATCTGGACACCTACCCATAGGATAGTGTGAGGTGAAACTTGGTGAGTCCACATCATAAATGCTGAAGATCCTATGAGAGTCATGCCACCAGGAGAAGGATAGAACTGATTTAGGATAGAACTGATTTGGTGAATAGTTATTTGTTAAAAAAAAAAAAAAAGTCCAGACTGAAGTTGTGAATTACTGCACCTCATGCTTTCCTGCTCTTCCTGCCTTTATCCCAACCCCAATCTCTTCCCTCCTTAGAGTACTGTGTAGCAAATATTCAACTCATTTCAAATACAAGTTAATAATCAGAAAAGAGACAATGGTATAAACACATGCTAAGAAACTGCAAAAAAAAAAAAAAAAGAAGAAGAAACAATAGAAACAATATAAGCAAAGGGTACGCAAAGAATACACACACACAAAAATTAATCAAGGAAATGGAAGATATAAAATACCATAATCTAAACAAAATTAGGGAGAGCATTACATCTCTTTTTTAAAAGGACTCAAAAAAATGCTGTCAATTAAAATGAGCTGGCAGGATAATAAGAAAGAAATAGAAGAGAAAAAATTTTGAATATTGCAGAAATGAAAGCCCTCTGAAAGTAACAAAAATAAAATAAACAGGACTGAAAATATTCAGGACCAGTGTGAACAGGTTTGAGAAAACAGCACCAGAATGCAGTGAAGATGCTACTCCACAGTCTTCCTGGAAGTACTTGGGAAGGGTGGTATGTGGAAGGTGATTGTTTTACGCCCAGTCCTTCAAATGCTGAGTTTCTAAAATAAAATTCAGAGAAAAAAGGTAAAGGAAGGAACATTGCTAGGAGTGTCAGAATGCTGAGTGTCAGGGTAGGTTAGAGTCCAGCCTGGGTAAGTTTTGGAGATCCGGGCAGTTACTGCGCCAGCCAGTGGGGGAGACGTCTCAGCCTGTTGTGGAAACCATTAGGTTCTGGAAACTGAGAGTGTTCTCTGGAAAATCTGCTTTGAAATAAAGTTGCTTTTAGAGATAGGAATTTCTGGAAACTACTGTTTAATAGAGAGCAGTCGGAGAAATGGTATCAAAACCTGTGTTGGATCTGGAAACATTGTTAGAAAAGATAGTATGAAGAGGAGTCCATCTTAGCCAGAGGTAGACTTGTGGTACCCCACAGGACTTTTTAGTCAAAGTTGCAGCTGCCATGCCAAGAAGAGCCTTCTAGGTTTTTAAATTATTTTAATACAGAAAAGGGAAAACAAAGAAGTCAAGCCTCAAATCAGCCAGAAGAAAGAATCTAAAATATCTGAGATAGCACAGAGATCAAAAGCTTAAATGATGAGAAAATATAGGCGTGTAATCCCATATAACAGCCCTGAAAATTGGTGGAGATGGGAAATTTTTTAAAAATTTACCCGTGGAAAAAATATAGACTGTGAAATATACATATATGCACAACTATTACAGAAGATTGACATAAGCACAAAAATAACTGCGAAGAAGAAAACCCATTCATAATGTTCTGAAAGGTAAAAAATGGTCCAGGAAATTAAACTACCTTGAAGACACAATCTCTAACACTCATTTCATGAGGACTGGGGAGACAATTCCAATAAAATAGATGTTGTGCACAGGGTCTGAATAGAGGATTAGAAGCAGCCCTAATTTTAAAGTCACTCTATAGACAAAAGCTGAACCATCTTTTCTTTTTGTAAATATAATTTATTTTTTATGTTTTACTTTTAGAGACAGGGTATTTCTTATTGCCCAGGCTGGACTCAAACTCCTGGGCTCAAGCAATCTTCCCGCCTCAGCCTCCCAAGTAGCTAGGGCCATCTTCTTATTGAGAGTTTAATGGGCTGCAATTATTTGCTGTTTAGGTTCAGTAACCTACATTTATCTAAAAGCTGGAATTTTCTAAAGGGTTGGAAAGGTTCAAAAAGAGGTGGATTGAATAGCAATTACCTGTCTAGGCACAGAGTATCCAGGAAGTGGCTGGATTGATGGTGACAACCTCTAGTCTCTTCAACGGTGTTAGCTGGTGCTACAGACAAAATACCCAGATGTTTTTCCTATGCATATCTTGTGTGTAGAAACTTACCAGTGTATAGAGGCAGGTAAGAGGCAAATGTTTCACCGTATTCCACCCTGCTCTTTTCACTCAGATCAAGAGAGGTATGATGTCTTAACAGGAGAAGAGAAACAGAAGGAAAACCCTAATCAAAGGGAAACTTTTCTTCCTCTGTGAATGTGGACTACACTGAGAACAAGGAATTTAAACAAGATTCCCAAGACCCATGACTCCTTGGAGTGCTTCTCAAACTTTAATATACATACACACATCCTCTTTTGGTCTTTTGTATCTTGTTAACATACAAATTATGATTCAGAAGTTCTAGATGAGGCCTGAGAGTCTAAATTTCTAACAAACTCCCAAGTGATGATCCTGTTCTTGTAGGGACCACACTCAAATAGAGTTTCAGAGAACTGACTAAAACTATTGCTCTGTCTGAGATGAACAATTTATAAAACCATCTTAAAAATCAGTACACTGGGCCATGTGATTAAAATTCACCTAATTATTTGTAGGGGTTTCAAAATCTTTGAGGAATGTGTGTTATCAAATTCCTAAACCAAAAGAGGATGAACAAATGGCAGTCATCATCTGGCCTATAATGTATATCAGTCAGAAAATATATCCTCAGATAACCTCAGGGGCCCTTGCTTTCTTCCAAAGGATGATCAGAGTGCTAGTTAATTTGATTAATACAATGTATTTGTCAAGTCTCCAGAGAGGTATAAACAAACAGAAAATGACCATTCTTGCTTTTTTCATTCACCTAATATTTATTGCATGAATAAACTGTAACCCACCATGTCTTAGGCCCTTTGCTAGGTGCTAAAAATGCAGCTGGGATCAAGACAAACACATTACAGAGACAGCCTTCATTGGGGTGGGGGTAAACAATAACAAATTCTTTCTGGAGCCAAAGACAATTTTTCCTGGACTCAGATGTATGAAGAAGTCTGGATATGAAGGCAGAAGAATGAAGGTGGCCTGGAGCCATTTGGCAGTAGCTTGGGAGAGAACAGGGACCACACCTGGAGTTGACTTGAGGGTGAGTCTGGGCTTAGGAACCGTTATCAATTCTTCCCCATAGTTTACAGCTATTCCTTTCTACCAAACCTTAAGTAAATCCTCATTAAATTTACAGCATGATGTTATAAATGCTGCATTGTGGAGACCTGGGGCAGGACCCGTACAAAAATGATACAAACAATGATCCTCTCATGAAAACGGGCTCAGAAGGATAGGTGTAGCTCCCATTAGTTATCAGTCATTAGTTGATCCAGTGTCCCAGAAGGGACAGCCAAGAGACAGGTGACATCATGGCAGCAAATGAGGAGGCCAGTGCAGAAGAATTGGACATGCGCTGGAGTACATATAAAGCAGCTCTCTGAGACGCTCCCTCACATGCCAAAAAGGTCTCTTTCAGGTGACTACCTATGCTTCATTCCATGTATACCACTGTGATAGCCTGACTCTCACAAAGTGGCCTCATTTCCCTTATTTCCAAGTTCTTTGACGCACTTCATTCTCCTTTCATGTACTCAGGGCATTAAGTCCATATAATTAAATATTATCTTTTTTGGAGTTCCTTTGCAATTAAAGTATAGTGAGAGAGAATTTATAACAATGTTAAGTGATCATTTCTCCCTATTTCACTGTCCCTCGCCCATCCTCATTTCCCCACAGCACTCATGACTCCATCTACAGTGCAGAATGTCAGCACTATTTCATCCTCAGGGACAGTCCTTCTCTGCCACATGCACCACAGCCGCAATAATTCCAGCAGGACTTGTTTAAAACAACAGTATGTCATTGCGAGACGGGAGTTTCTGGAAAGGCTCTGTTAGGGTACAAAAGTCTCTATGATCTCGCTTCCCATTTTTCTCTCTATATAGTCAGCCCTGCATATCTGCCGGTCCTGCACACTCAGGTTCAACCAACTGCAGATCAAAAATATTCAGGAAAAAATTAAAAATAACAATACAACAATAAAAATAATATAAATGGAGAAACAATATAGTATAACAACTGTTTAATAGCACTCACACTGTATTAAGTATTATAGGTAATTTAGAGATGATTTAAAATATATAGAATGATGTGTGTAGGTGATATGCTAATACTACGCCTTTTTTTTTTATATTAGGGACTGAAGCATTCTCGGATTTTGGTATCAGTGTGGTTGCTGAACCAATCCCCCATGGATATGGAGGGACAACTGTAATCACTTTTGTTGACATACTATAGTGTCTCAAGAAGACCCATTTATTCTAGAGCTAAAATTTTAAAGTGAACATTTTTTAATTTGTAGAATAGTTTTAAAAACTAAATTTGAGCCTATGGACATCTGAAACAGACTCTTTCGACGTGATCTTTTGCTGTCCAGAAGTTTAGGAAAATGTGTAGAATTTAATTTGAGTGTAATGTAAAGAATGGTTAGTAGTTTTGTTAATTTTGAAGTAATAGATTCTCTTAAATATAACAGCAAGCTCTTTTAGTGAATTTGAAACATGTATAAGCATATCTTAAAGTAATGGGACTACCGTGTAAAAGAAAGAAGTTAAATACAATAATAATTATCAATTAACAGGGTACAGATTCAACAGCCAGTTTACTTTGTGGAGGTCACATAGATGTGTGTTGATGAAAGATATTAACACAACTGGTCAGCAAAAACGCTAGGCCGGGCGCGGCGGCTCACGCCTGTAATCCCAGCACTTCGAGAGGCCTAGGCTGGTGAATCACCTGAGGTCAGGAGCTCGAGACTAGCCTGGCCAACATGGTGAAGCCCCGTCTGTACTAAAAATGCAAAAAATTACCTGGGCATGGTGGCGGGTGCCTGTAATCCCAGCTCCTCGGGAGGCTGAAGCCGAAGAATCGCTTGAACCAGGAGGTGTAGGGTGCGAGGAGCCGAGATCACACCATTGTACTCCAGCCCGGGCAACAAGAGCAAAACTTCATCTTTAAAAACAAAAACAAAAGACCACTATATACTAGAAGTCATCTATTGTTAAGCACTCTATAATAACTGATAGATGCTATGTTGTACCCTGAAAAATGGGAACATAACCTTTCCTTGCCACTCAGGGATGCTACCCTCAGAGCAGTGTTCCCTGCTCTACCAACACCTGTCTCAAGAGGAAAATATTGGTAAATACAGGAGGGGTCTTTAGACTTAGGCAAGGTAAACCAAATTGAGGAAGGGAAAGAACAAAGAAAGTTTGTGTAGTTCAGGCTCATACTAATATTTTTAAAAAAAAGAACTAGGAAAACTTGGTAAGAAACAAATACCAATTGTTTTGCCAACTTGATTTATCATAAGGGAATTGAGAAAATGCATTATAATTCTCCAATATTTTGAATAGGAAACATGGTCAGAAATTTTTATCTTGCAAACTCAAATGCAGATACTTTTTAAGGGTGTGTAAATATATATATGATATATATACAATAATTATACAAATTATACAATAATTTGTATTATTATACAATAATTTGTATAAATTTAAGAGATACAAGTGCAGTTTTGTTTCATGTATATATTGCACAGTGATGAGGTCTGGTTTTTTCCATGTAATCATCACCTGAATAATTGTACCTATTAAGTAATTTTTCATCCCTCACCCCATCCAATCTTCCCACTTTTCTAGTCTCTGAAGTCTATTATTTCACACTATCTATCCATATGTATACATGATTTAGCTCCCACTTATAAGTGAGGATATATGATATTTGAACTCTAAAAGCATATTTTATTTCTGCACCAACTTTTTCCTCACTCCATCCCACTCATGCATTTTTTCAAATAAATATTTTTATTGATACACAGATAGAAAAAGTACACAAATCATAAGTGTGAAGCTCAGCGAATTTTTACACAAGGAACACACCTGTATCACCACCGTTCAGATAAGGAATAAAATATCACTAACACCACAGAAGCCCTCCCTTGCCCCTCTCTCAGTCCCTAACCCTAACTTCCTCTCCAAAGATAACACTATCCTGACTTGTAACACCCAATTTTCATATTAATATAATGAATGACATCATATGTACCTGTACCCTTTTGTGTCTGACATTCATTCAACGTTGTAAGAGTTATTCATGTTATTGTATATACAATGGTTTATTCATTTTCATTGCTGTGAGGAATTCCATTGTGTGAATATACTAGACCTTATCCATACTGTTGATAGACAACTAGGTTGTTACCAGTTTTTAACTATTATGAGTAATGCTGCTATAAACTTTTATACATACATAGGTATATGTGTGTATGTATATATACATATGAGTATGTACCTATTTATGATATATCATGTATATAATCTGCAAGTATGTACATGATAGAAGATATATATCTTTTGGTGCATATATGTATATATCTTTTGGTACACATGTGTATGCATTTCTGTTGGACTGGTATTGCTAAGTAACAGGGATATGTACATGTCCAGTTTTAGTATTAGTAGATACAAATGGTTTTCCAAAGTAGTTGTTCCAGTTTACAATCCCGTCAGCAGTGTATGAAAATTCCAGTTGCTCCCCAGTTTAATCCACACTGGGATTAAGACAGCTTCCCAGTCTTTTACATTTTAATCTTTCTGGTGAATGTATAATGTTACTTCACAGTTTTAAATTTTTATTTCCTTAGTGATTAATGATGTTGAGCACTTTCTCATATACTTACTGTCAAAAGAGATTATTTTGCCTATTTTTCTATTTGAGTTGGCTTTTTTCTTACTGATTTGTAGACATTGTTTATATATTTTTGAATACAAGCACTTTGTTGCATATATATATACATATATATATATATATATATATATATATAGCAAATATCTTTCTTATGGCTTAGCATCTTACTGTGTTTGGGATGTGGTTTGATAAACAACTTGTATTCTTCTTTATCAATCTCTTCCTTTATGCTTACTGCTCTTTTGTGTCACTTTTTAGAAATTTCGACAACCCAAGGTCATGAATACATTCTTTCTTATAAGCTTTAATGTTCTATCTTCCTATATAAGCCTATAGTCCTCCTAAGATTGACTTTTGTTTTCAGCGTGGTTTCTCAACCTTAGCACTATTGACATTTTGGACAGGCCAAGTCTTCATTGTGTAGAGACTCTCCTGTGCCTTGTAGGACATTTAGCAGCATCGCTTGCCTGTACCCACTAAGTACCATAGCATGTCCCATCCTAAGTCATGACAATCAGTGATGTCTCCAGTCATTGCTGGATGTCCAAGGGAGCAGGAAGGCCAAAACTGTCCCTGTTAAGAACCACTGACTTATGCTATTAAGTGGGAACCATGGTGATATTCAATTGACTTGCCACTACTACTAGAATGGTATTCTCCACGCTCTGCCTTGTCACCAGTATCACAAATCAGAAGACCATATATGTTCAAGAGACTAAAATGTTCTTTCTGGACTCTTTATTCCATCGGTTTCAAAACCAATACTCATGTCAATATGACACTGTTTTATTATAAAGCTATGGTAATCAAGACTTGATATCTAGCCGTACATATATTCCAATTTTGATCTCCACAGTTTCTTTTACTATTCCTGCATCTTTGCCTTTTCATCTTAGAATGAGCTTGTCAATTTCCATTAAAAAAAAAAAACTACTGGAATGTTCACTGGGATTACATTAAATCTATAAATCAACTTGGTAAAATTGACATTTTGGAAATATTGAGACTTCTAATTCTGGACCATAATATATCCACCCCCTTTAATTAATTCTTTAATTTCTCTCAACAGTGTTTTATGGTTTTTGGTGTAGATTTTCTACACATCCTCCCTTAGATTTATTTCAAGGTATTTGACTATGTAGATACTATTACAAATAAATTTTCTTTAAATTTTTTAACACCTTCTAATATATAGGAATATATCTCATTTTTTACATTGAGTTTGTGCTAGTTACATAGTTAAATTTATTTATTTATTCTGACACTTTATATTTGAATTTTTGAACATTTTCTGCACACTTACATCATCTTATGTAGTTAGGGTAGTTTTATTTCTTTCCTTCAATATTTTTTTCTACTCATTTTTTATGTTATTGTATTGACTAAATTTCAATACAAAGTTGAACAGATAGTAGTGATAATGTGCATCTTTTTCTTTTCTCTGATCTCAGCAGGGAAAGAATTTTGTCCTTAATTATGGTATTTGATGTAAGCTTTTATAGGTACATTTTGTCAAAATAAGGAAATTTCCTTTTACCCTTGGTTTGAGATGAGTCTTTGTCATAAATGATATTTAATTTTAATATATTTTTTCTGCATTCATTGTGGCAATAATAGTATAATTTATTTTGTTAATGTTAAAAATAAAATTGATGATTTAAAAATTTAAAATCAATCTTGCATGCCAGAACACTAATTTTCTAATGGTATATTATTATTTCACATGTCATAGAATTTAAATAATTAATCATTTGTTTAGATTTTTTGCTTCTGTGATCATGAAAAAGGTAAGTTTGTAATTTTTCTTTCTTATGAAGATTTTATCATGTTTTGGAATCAATATTATTCTGGCCTGTGATAGAGACAGTTTGAAGTTCTGGTTGCTATCTTTTTCTAGACAAGATTTACTTCTGTTTCTGGCAGGCAGAGACTCCAGTTTTTCAGCAAAAAATTATAGAGCAAAAAAAGTTAAGGCAAACGCAGGTGGAGCTTCTGTTCCTGAAAAGAATCTTTTGAGAAATTTCTGTCTTACAAATACATATTTATTTTGAACAACACTTTCTGGAATTATTGCTACTGTAGTAAAAATAAATTGGAATAGCTCTTCTCTTTTTTATTTTCTAAAGATTTGGGGTAAAATTGATCTTATTTATTTTGTAAATGTTTGAAACAGTTTACTGACAAAGCCATCTTATGCTGTCATGTCTTCATGAAAATATATTTATTGTAGATTTAATAGCTTTAATGGGACTATTTAGCTTTTCTATTTTTCTTATATCAGGTTTACTAAGTTATATACCTCAAAAGGATTTTTTCATTTAATCTAAATCTTCAAATTCATTTGTTTAAACTTTTTTCTCAAATAATTTTTATTTTTTTCATGTCTGAGGAAAAAAGTAATGTCTACATTGTCATATTAATAGTTTGTTTTCTGTCTGTCTCTCTCTAGGGTTTTATCAATTTTATTAGTCTTTCAAACCCCCCACATTTTGCTTCTTTGATTTTCTCTATTTGTACCTTTGTTTTCTATTCTGTCACCTTTGTCCTTTTCTTACTATTTCTTTGAGTTTCGTTTGTTAATCTCTTATTATCTCCTTGAAACGGATGCTTAGATCATTGATTCACAAACTTTCTTCTTTTCTAATACATGCTTTCAAGACTAAAAATTTCCCTCACAGCTTAGCTGCAACCCACAAATTTTAATATACTATATTTTTATTATTACTAAGTTTAAAATATTTTCTAATTTCCATTTTGAGTATTTACCTGTGGATTATGGAAGAGAATTTCTTTATTTCTAAACAACTGGAGATGTTGTTATCTTTTTGTTATTGATTTTAGTTTTAAATCCACTCTAGTCAGAGAATACAATCTTTTCTCAGTATTCATGGGGCATTGTTCAAGGATCTCCCACAGATGCCAAAATCTATGGAGGCTCAAGTCCCTTATACAAAGTAGCATAATATTTGCTTATAACCTCTGCATACCCCCCCATATACTTCAAATCATCTCTAGATTACTTATAATACCTAATAAAATGTAAATGCTATGTAAATAGTTGTTATACTGTATTGCTTAGGGAATAATGAGAAGGAAAAAAATCTGTCCTTTTCAGTACAAATGCAATTTTTTTCTAGATATTTCTGATACATGGTTAGTTGAAACTATGCATGTGGCAAGCACAGATTGAGATGGCCAACAGTATATTCTCTATGTTTTCAAAGTTTTCAATTTAATGGAGGTTTACTTTATGGCCCAGCATATGTTTAATTTTGGTAAATGTTCTACATGCACTTAAAAGAATGAATATTCTGCAGTTGCTTTGAGCAGTGTTCCATACAAGTCAATTAGGTTAAGAGTGTTAACTGTGTTGTTCAAGCTTCCTATATCTTTACTATATCTTTATGCTTATTGTCTCAATTATTAGAAGAATTGTATTCAAATGTATCACTATTATGGATTTGTCAATTTCTTCTTTTAATACTGTCAAATTGGCTTTACATAGTTCGAGGATTTCCTATCTGATGCATAGAAATTTGAAACTGCTCTATCTTCCTGTTGCATTGATTCTCTGATCAGGAAGTCTCCCTAGTGTTTTTACCTTGAAGTCCACATTGTCTGATATTAGCAAAGCCACTCCAGCTTTTTTTTCTTTTTTTGGTTAACATTGGCACAGTTCTATAATCAGTTACTTTAAAGTCCATGACCTTTATGTCTATTATCTAACTCACCTGTTGGTCTCTTTCTCTTTTCTTAATTGTTTTCTCTTAGTTTTCTGCAACTTGGTATTTTTTCCTGGTATTTTTCTTCCTGGTAGTTTGCTGTTGTTGAATGCCAGACATTGTGCATGGTGGTTTGAGGCTCTGAATAATATTATTCTCCTACAGAGATGATTTGCTTTTGCTTCTGGCAAATCGTAAGAGTAGGGTGATGTATACTAATCCAGGCTGGGCAGAGGTGAACTGAAGCTAATTTTCAGTGTTTGTGAGAACTAATTTTTTTCTACCTTTACCAGTAGAATATAGACTTCAGCTGAAAGTCTGCATGTTTTATAGGTGGGCCCTGAATTTTAATTTGTTTCCCCAGGACCACTAGATTGCTGAAAGTTTACTTGGCTTCCCATCCCATTGACTAAAGGTTTTTCTTGGCTTTCTGAATCTCTTAGGTGTTGCTCACAAATAGGCAAATGTCACTTCTTTTTAGGACGTGTACTTTTCAAACTCTGGCTCCTGTCACAGCCTTGAACTCCAATTTTTGTTTCTCCAGCATTGTAAAACTGCTATAAAAGTCTGTTCAGCTACTTAGCTCTCAGATCCACCCAACATATGAATTGGCAGATGCATTGAGGGGAAATATGAACAAAATAATTGAGATAACTTTGATGTACTTCCTCTTTCTGAACACATGGGCCCTCAAATATTAACAGCCTCGATAACTAACCCTAATCCTAACTCTCCAATCAGAGGGTTTTGCAACCAATTAGAGACTTTTAAGCTCTTTCCTGCTTTTTTTACTGGTTCTTGGCTTGAGGGGAGGGCTTTTCTAATACAAGGTAGTCTGCCAAAACCGGAAGCAGAAATACTACTCACATGCTCCTAAAGTGATATTCCTTAAGAAAAGTTCAACCTCCCTTAACTATGTTAAGGTGAATGGAAAAGACAAAAGTATTGTTTTTCTCAATAATATTGCAGAATATTCCCAAGTGTGGCTAAGGTGATGAAAAATTTGTTTCGAATGAGAAAACCCTAAAAGGAAATTTAAGAGAAACTAGAGTGTCAGTTTATAGCCATTTTCAATCTGGAGATTTCCCTTTTAGACTATAGTGAGTATCAAAAAACATGTAACTAGCATGTGATTCCTCTAATTTTAAAGGTATGATTGCTGAGGACCAAAATACACAATGCTATGACAATCTACCTTGGGCAGACCTCATAAAATTAGATAGGTAGTGACTGGAGGGTGTATGGACATGGCACTGTGAAAGATATCTATACAAAACATACTCTGCACCAAACAAAACATCTTATGATTCCAAGAATGGTTATCCAACCTGTATTTTTCCATGCCTCACCTCTGCCTGGAATATGCCTTTCACATCAACATGACGATTAAGCCTATCTCCCCTGTGGCAGGGTCTGGATCAAATGTAAATATTAGAGCTTCCTGGATCCTCTGAACACCTAATTCACGTTTCCTGCACTTTTTTTTTTTTTTTTTTTTTTTTGAGATGGAGTCTCACTCTTGTTGCCCAGGCTGGAATGCTATGGTGCTATCTTGGCTCACTGCAACTCTCACCTCCCGGGTTCAAGTGATTCTCCTGCCTCAGCCTCCTGAGTAACTGGGATTACAGATGCCAGCCACCATGCCTGGCTAATTTTTGTATTTTTAGTGGAGACCGGGTTTCACCATGTTGGCCAGGCTGGTCTCGAACTCCTGACCTCAAGTGATCCACCTGCCTCGGCTTCCCAAAATGCTGGGATTACAGATGTGAGCCACCACGCCCGCCCTCCTGCAATGCTTTTAATGGAACTTACACCTGTCTTACTAGCATTGTATTTGTTAAGGATTGTTCTCTCCCATTCAGAATTAAAACTCATTGAAGGCAGAGACTGAAATGTTTCATGTTTATTTCCCCTGAAATACTTTGTGTTCATAAATTGTTATTGGCAAAATAGCTGTGTTGAAAAGCCTAACTACAATGAAGGGCTATATAGCATTCTATGCAAATCAAAGCACAAGAATAATTTTCCCCACCTGTAGTTGTGGATAGTTCATATACTAAACTGTTAAAGACATATAATAAAAGTAAAGGTAAAGTATAATCATACCACAATTGTGGTATGTGTGCGTGTATGTGTGTATTTGGGCATAAACATTATGCTTTCTTGCTAATGATGGACAGCCAATTGTTGATCATATCCAACAAATTCATGCTTCATTTGTAATTAACTGTTTATTTGCCTGAAAACAATGCAAGTAAAATCCACAAATATTTGAGTTCCTACAATCCAAGACACTGCATTGTGTATTTTGAGAACCACAAATAAGAATAATATATTAACCCTGCCTTCAAGAGGGAACATTCTGAGGCATTAAGGCAGTAAGACACTACAAATTAAAATATTGGTAGGATAATATTTAAACCACAGTTGAAGAGATGCAACCAAGCAATATGCAATTAATTGCCAAATGAATTGTAGAGACTATCATTGCTTTAGGAATTTGGTGCGGGGTGAGCACTGCATTGGCAGGCAGTGGGGGACAGGGTGGTTACTTGCAGAAGGACGTTTGTATACCAAATGAAACGCCAAAGGGGAGTTGTGGGAGTGGGAGTGGGGGTGGACAGGACAGCAGAAATCCAGCCCAGCTCCTCTCACCAATATATCTGCCCCAAAACAAGCCCACTTCAGACCAGCGAGGAGAGGTCATTTTATAGATAACAGAAGACATCTTATGTGCTACAGTACTTTGGTTGAGTGGAACTTTATGGAAGGTATGGATTTGAACAAGGTCTTGGAGAACTAGTGTAATTTGCTGTAATTCTGCAGATGATAAGTATCAAAGGTATGTCTGGGAACCACTAGTGTGGGAAAATAAAATGTTCAGCCAGGGGAGTATTTTGAAATAAGAAAACATATGGAGAAGACATTGTATAAATGTACATATATATGAATAATTTTAAACTCCAGGCTAAAGAGTGTAGAATTTATTGTATTGGTATTAAGAGCCAATACATGTTTTTGAGCAGGTTATATGTGACCAGCGTCTCAGTAACATTTGTCTAATGCAGTATATTAAATGAATGGAGAAGTGAGAGATCACTACCAGGGCATCAAGCTGGGTCCCATTGTAATTGTCCAGGCATAAAGTGAGAAGGGTCTGGGGTAATAACAACTGGAATAGAAAAAAAAAATGCAAATTTGAAGGTTACAAGAAATAGAGAAATCTAAGGAGAAAGTTTTATTTTATAATAAAGTTATTTTAGTTATTAAAAGCAATATTTCTTTTTTAGTTAGCTTCATATTCTTTTTCCAGTCTTGAATTAATGTAATCAATGTTTTTTCTTAATGGAATGAAGATAAAATTTTACCAGCTCTTGAAAAAAATTATTCAGATAATCATATGTAGTCGAGACTAAAGTGATGAGGTTCCACTGTGTCATCTGATGCTTAAATGCATGGTCTCTGGAGCCAGACTTCCTATGTTTGAATTAGAGCTCATCATTTACTAGTTATATGACCTTGGACAAGTAGCTTGATTTCTCTGTGCCTAAATTTCATCTATAAAATAGGGTCAACAATGGTATCACCTCACAGAATTATTTTCAGGAATGAAACAGTGCCTGGCATGGGGTGTTACTTGTTGTTGAAGTTATTCTTATTCTTATCATTTATTGTGTTTCTCAGGCCATACAAGCCTGGAGCTAAGGATGATCATAAAAGCTACAAAATAGCATTTCTCTGACTCTGCGACAACCTATTTCTTAAGAATTTCAACCTCACTCCTCAAGTTCCCAAATAATTCTGGGAATAGGTTTCCTCTCCTGAGTTATCAAGATGTCTAATCCTCTCACTTTCTCAAAGGCATATAATGGCATTACCTCCACAGGCTTCAGTGCTGCCCATCAGGCACTCTGCTGTTGCCATCATTGATGCCCACATACACAACAGTGTTCCCAATGCTCAATTTTGAGGGTTCTACAAGGATACCATGGACACCGTGCCATTATTAGTGCCCTCACTGCCAACTCCACCTGCACTACTATCTCTACCGCTACTATCTCTAGCACTACTATCATCTCTAGCACTACTATCTCTAGCACTATTATCTATCTCTAGCCCTACTATCTCTAGCACTATCTCTAGCACTACTATCTCTAGCCCTACTATCTCTAGCACTACTAGCTATCTCTAGCACTGCTATCTCTAGCACTACTATCTCTAGCACTACTATCTCTAGCGCTACTATCTCTAGCGCTACTATCTCTAGTGCTACTATCTCTAGCTACTTGTAGGGCAGTGCAACTGCTCTTTCACCCATATGGCCATCAACACCATGGCCCATGGTATCAATGCTGCTTTTAAATTGTGTTATTACTAACCCTCAGAGATGGAGAACATGCTTGTTTTACTTTTACCTGGTCTTCTTTTTCTATGTCCCTCATCCTAAGAACTCAGGTTTAGGTCCTAGTAACCAGCCTCCTGAACCCTTCACATGACAAGCACCATGCCATAATTAGAATCTCCCCTTCCATTTGAAATTTAACTTTTCCCCATGAACCTTCTTAGAAGGAAGTGTTTTCTAAAAGGTTACATATCCTAGAGGGCAGTAACATGACTTCTGACAATTGTGCCTTCAGAGGTATGTCAAAATGTTGGTAAATGCAACATGGTTCAAGTTGGTTTCTTTGTTCACTTGGTTTTTTATTTTAGAAAAAAGCAAGCCCCATAGAAATCCTACCTTTCTAAAAAAAAAAGTTCATAAATACAAATACTAATGTGAGGAGGTATGTTTGCCCATAAGAGAAAGCTAGGCAATGAATGAGAAAAAAATAAAAAGCAAAGGCATTAAAGAAATAAAAGTAGTCAATGTGATGCAATTTCAATCCCCTGACAATGACTGATATTTCACAGGAATGAAATCAGATGGATGCGTGTCTCTGAGTGCACTGCAAAAATGTTCCCTCACACAGCTTGTGAAGCAATCAACAGGACCAGGGGCTATTCTGGACTTAGTCCAGGGAAATGAAAGCAGGTAAAATGAATACTGTAACATGGAAGCTAATAAACCCCTAGGGGAAAGTTATCATAATATCACCAGATTGGAACACACTTCTGCGAATATTTGAGAATGGTAATAGAGGTATAGAAATATTGGATATGTGGAATGAGTTTTTTAAAAAGTTGATTGGAATCAACTGTTGTGTGCTCTAATGGAAAGGTATACAGTGCTAAGAGAGAACAGATGACATTCACTGTCCTGAAATTCAATTCTAATAACAGAAGTCAATGTAGTCTCATAAAAATGTAGTAATCGAAATCAAGAGCAATTTCCTTATTTAAAAATACTATCAGTTTTGATATGGAATTAGATTCTTGAGATTAAAGAGAATGAAAGAAGTCACTAGCAAGCTTCAAAAATGTATTTATAACGTAGTTTCAAAGGAAGCCACATGGAATTGCAGAAAGAGCAGGGATTTTGGAGACCAACTCACCTAGATTCATGGTGCTAAGCAAGTCACTTCTCTCATTGCCTCCTCTACACAAAGGGTACAGACATGCCTACTTTAGTAGAGTTATTGTTCACAGTCAAATAGATCATGCAAAAATATCTGCATAGCGGGTGGCACAGGGTAGGTTCATGGTAAACATCACACCCATCCCCTTAATTCTTATTCTTTTTCATGGCCATCAGTGTACCAGACATTCCCTCTCTGTTTTCATTTTCTTCTGTCTTCCACCAAAATATTAATACCCCCAATGCCAAGTCAACCAGTGGGGCCAGAGGGAGAGATGGAAGTAAAGAAATAGGCTTGAGAGATCTTGAGAGAAGACATGTAAATGAACTGCATTATAGTAAGTGCTTTTCACCAGCCAGTGAACATTGATCCAGTTTGGGGCAGCTCTAAAATACAAAAGTAGTATGGCAGTTCCACAGTGGATTGACTTTTTTTCAGTGTAAAATGAAGGCAATGAAAACATTAGATGAGTGCTATGGTTTGAATGTCCTCTCCAAAACTCATGTTGAAATTTAATTGCCATTGTAACAGTATTAAGAGATGGCCCTTTAAGAAGAGATTAGGCCTTGGGGGTTCCACCCTTTTGAATGAATTAATGCCATTATTGTAGGAATGCGTAAGTTATTGTGAGAGTTTGGCTCCTTTTCTCTCTCCATCTCAGGTGCTCCCTCACCTGCCATGTGATGCCTTCTGCCATGTTATAATGTAGGAAGAAGGCCCCCACCAGATGCAACCCCTTGATCTTGGACTTCCCAGCCTCCAGAACCATGAGCCAAATAAATTTTTTTTCTTTAAAATTACCCAGTCTGAGGTAGTCTGTTATTGCTGCAGAAAACAAAGACAATAAGTAAAACCAAGTGATTTCTAAGTCTCTTTCAACAATTGTATTGTGATTCCAGCTAATTGGACATGCTCCCAGGGAAAGGGACCTGGTGAAACATGGCAGTCCCTAAAAAGTAGGCAGTGCACCTACAGATACACAGAGGTGGCACATAGAGATCTCGAAAGCTACCATAATTGTACAATTTTAATGTGAGAGATCAGTCCAGGCTTATACAATGAAATCTAGAGAAACCCAGATATCTGCTATTTTGACTAAGCTCAGCTTATGAGGCATAACCAAAATGTAATTTTATGTTGGTCTCTCCTCCTTTATTGTTTTTTTTAATATTTATTTATTTTTTTTGAGATGGAGTCTGGCTCTGTCACCTAGGCTGAAGTGCAGTGGTGTGATCTTGGCTCACTGCAACTTCTGCCTCCCAGGTTCAAGCAATTCTCCTGCCTTAGCCTCCCAAGTAGCTACGACTACAGGTGCATGCCACCATGCCCAGCTAACTTTTTGTATTTTTAGTAGAGACAGGGTTTCACTGGGTTAGCCAGGATGGTCTCGATCTCCTGACCGCCTGACTTGCCCGCCTCGGCCTCCCAAAGTACTGGGATTACAGGTGTGAGCCACCGCTCCCAGCCATCTCTCCTCCTTTAAAATGTATTCAATGGGAGACATTTTCCCCTGCTATTAAATGCACCCTTCACTGGGCTCCTTTACATCTGCATTTTGCTGTTCAGTATAAGAAGATGTCTAAGTTTAAAACAGTCTCAAATCAATAGATGTCCGTCTCTAGTAATAGTGAAATCCTGAACTTGACTTAGGGTTTAAATCCTTTTTCATTCACCAGATGGTCAGGTTTTAGGAATGCTGCCTGCTACCTGAAGGACAGTACACCTTTCCTCTTTCTCTGTCCTCACTCTTCTGCTCCTTCTGCTCTGCTCATTAGCTACAGTTTCTAATCTCTCCTGGGTTGGAGCACTAATCAGAAAGGCAGGCTGGAAATCTTCCTACATGAATTCATATTGCTATAAGCTGACTCTATATTATCTGGGGCTGGAAAATATTTCAGCTGACTCTTTCTCTCATGTAGGTATTAGTGGCTACATTTATTTGTTGAGTCCTTGCTGGCCCCCTCCAACTACACCTCTAGCTTGTACTTCTTGGACTGTCCCACTCCATCCCACTCCCTGCCTTGGCCTCTTCTTCTCAGATGGTCCATTCCATGCAGATGTTTTTCTATTTGAGACCCATTGCCTCCTCAAGACAAGCTTATTTGACAGGTTATAAAATGGCTTCAGGCCTATGTTCCTATATTAGATTCCTCTCTGGTCCCTGGAGTTTTGTCTCTGAACTGCCAGCAAGGGAGAGGCAGTTACTTTCTGATGCAGCAGCGACTCTCCTCTGCTCAGCTGCCAAACCAGCTCTCCAGCACATCTCTTCTGCTCTTTGATTTCCTAGACTGAAGTTAGACCCAGCCAAATCTGAGCACAAACCCAGAGGAGGCATAGCAAGCTCTTAAAGCAGTCTTTGAAGCTCTCCCTTACTGTGTTTGAGTGAGAGCAGGTAGTCCCCATCTCTCCTTTCTTAGGGAAAGACGCTCTCTGTGCAGCTTTCCCAGAGAAGTAGTCCTCAAAAGTGTTCTCCCTTCCCACTCTCTTAATTCTTTTATATCCTCCATTTTAATCAGTGTTCTTCTAGTGTCCAGCTGCAAGTTTGTGCAACCAACTCCTGCCTTTCAAAATGTGTATTTTGATACAGAACCTCACTTTGGTGTGCAGAATCTGCTGTATCATGAAACCTTGTTGGAAACTTAAACATTTTATTATATAAGATCAAAACACCTTATTACATACACATGTACCCAAAGAAAAACAAACACTGGATGAAGGAAAACATTCAACACTTTAGTATTCGGGTAATATTGCATTGAGGCATGAAAAGCTATTCTACTGTACCCCAAATATTGAGGTTGCCATGGATTTATTCCTTTAAGAAGGTTAATTGACTATGTACCACGTGCAAGCAGTGCGTTAGGCCCTGAGACCACGACATTGTGAAAAAGAGTCACGGTTCCTGATAATGGACAGTATAGTCTACAAGAAAAGCATCTGTCCCCATTTTCTTTTGTCCTCATTTTTCAAATAGAGACTTTACTGAGCTTTTGTACTCTTAGTTCAGCATTGCAAACACACTGATTTCTTCCTTGTCAGCCTGTACATGAAAATTAAGTCAACATATATATGAGATAGGTGGTTCTTGCCAAAAAGTAACTGCAGTATATGATATGAGATTGTTACCTAAAGTCCTTGCCAAGGTTTTGTGTTATTGAAACCTGAAAGTTCACTTAATCAGAAGTACTTCTTGGTAGAGCAACATGGGTCAGTAGGTGAAGCAATGGCATGGAAAGGACTCTGGGAACATGAATTTTAATTTGGTTCTGCCACTGACTGTGACCTTGATCAAGTCCTCAGACTTGTATCTCAGTTTCCCTGTGGTAGAAGCAGGAGGACACTTACGGCAACATTGGTTGAGTGTTGCCATGCTGTTTCCTTCACACCTGGAGACGACAAGTTAGCACCCCAATATCTGTTTTGTGTATGCTGAAACTGAGCTACTAAAAAAAAATCTAAGCATATTTTTAGATTCATATAGTGAATTAAAAGCCACCCAAAAGTTAGAACTGAGGATCTCTGACTCTCTATTCTCTTAATAAAATGTTTGGCAGTGTTTAATATGAATTCGGGTTTTAGTGCTTCAATCCCCATCTCCTTGCTACTACTGTCTTTCACAGATTGGCTCTATTCTCATTGTTTCCCATCCTGTAGTGAAAGAAATACATATATATATACACACACACATATATGCTGCCCTTTAAAGCCATATTTTTGCCATATCATTTAAGGATGACACAGCTAAGTGAAACAAAACATGTGTCGAGGCCCTACTATGAGCCAGACACTGTGCTAGGCACAAAAGGCATACAACAATATAGTTAATCAGAGCTCATAGTCATTGAGGGTTTACTACATGCCATGTTCTTTGTGTGGATTTTCCTTTTTATTCTCAAAGCAACTCCTATGGGGTGACAAACAGCAAGTCCACTTTACTTGGACTTGCTGTTTGATGATAAAACTACTTCTCAGAGTGGTTAAACATCTTTCCCAAGATCACACAGCCAGTAAGTGGAGGAAGCTGAAATTTTACCCAGCTCTTCTGACTCCAGAGTCCATATTCTTAACTACTAACTTACTCTGCCTTCCAAAGATGAATACGATTAGATAGAACCTCCTGTGAAGAGGTTCATGGATGAATGGAGGAGAAAGATTCATAAATAACTGCTATGGAAGTACAGAGAAATGCGCAATTAAATTTGTGCAGAGCTGGAGCAAATGAATGTGTGAGAAGGTATTGCAAAGAAGGCAACATATGAATTTGAAGGAGAGAAATGAGGGATTAGAGATAGGCATTCCAGAGGCAACAGCGTGGGGCAGAAATACTGTAAATCTGTAAGATGTGTTGGGGAAGGAATTACGAGTAGCAGAGTGTGGCTTGAGCATAGTACATTGGCTCCTTCTTTCCTAGGCTTTCAGTGGCTGCAAGAACCTCACCACTCTGCCTTCCTAACACCTATGGAGCAGGGAGAAATTACAACTCCACATCAACCCCCTGGGAACATAAGCAGGTCTCTACAGCTCCACTATCCCCCAGCTTAAAGCATGAAATTTTGAGATAACCTCAGTTAATCTGTAGATGAAGTAATTTTCTCTAATCACGGAACCAGCACAGACTGATGGTAGCTTTCAGGACCATGGCCTCCTTGTCCCCCTTCATTTAAGTTGATCCCACACTCCACGTGACACCAACCTATAGACAACCCCAACAAATGAGTTAGGGTTCAGAAACGGGTGTGAAGAATGCTACTGAAGATCAGACAATGGCCTAAGTAGAAAGAATCAAAATGCAAGCATACATGGCAAAAAAAAAATCCATTCAAAAACTTTTCAAGAGCCTATAGTGATCCAGGCTCAGGTCTATGCTAGAAAGCAACAATATTCCCTCTATTTGATGTTATTTTAGCATTTAAATAAAGTGTAATGGAAGCACATTTTGAAGAGGGAAGAAAACTGACTTTTTTTCTTTATAATGGCATCCATTAGTTTCTGCCTCAACTTTCCACTTATAAGTGGAAGATTGGATTCATCTAATCCAAGTTAAAGTTTTGTCAATTACAACTCACAGGGAGTAGTTAAAATAGGAATTAAGGTAAAATATATTCTGGTCTATTCCACAGTTGAGCATCTACTTGGTCTAAGTCCTGACCTCTTACGTTGTTCCCACATACCTGAAAGAAAACATTATTCACTTGATTTACATATAGAAAATTCAAGGAGTCATATAGGAATTTATTTTTGCATGACTTGATGGTAGTGACAATGTAAAATATTTGCTCGGTGATAAGTCATACTTAGAATAAGATAGAGAAGGATTTAGACTTACCATCCCTAGACATCCAGTCTCCTGGTGTTTCAATCCATGTTACTAGATGGACACCTTTGAATGAAATCTTAGAAATATTTTCTATAGGAGTTTAAGTGTATTTTTACATGAGCTTGTGTTATTGCTGCCTATAAGGCCTAATCAACAAAACAAGCAAAGAAAAGATTGAGTGACTTGGTTTAAAAAAAATCAGTGGGGAGGCAGGTGCAGTGGCTCAGGCTTGTAATTCCAACACTTTGGGAGGCCAAGTAGAGAGGATAACCCGAGGCCAGGAGTTTAACACCAGACCGGGCAACATAGGGAAACCCTATCTCTACAAAAAATACAAAAATCAGCCTGGCATGGTGGTGCACACCTGTAGTCCCAGCTACTTGGGAGGCTAGGGCCAGACAGTTATGTAAGCCTGGAAGTTCGAGATTACAGTGAGCTATGATCGCACCACTCCAGCCTAGGAGACAGTAAGACTTTGTCTCGGGGAAAAAAAAAAAAATCAATGGAAATAGCCAAGCTGTTAACTTTACATGTTAAATAAATTAACATATTATTTGCATTCTGAAAGGGATTTTGGATAAAAATTCCTGAATAAAAAATCCGAGTTTATAATAATTATTGTGATAGTAGTAGTGTCTAAAATGAATAATTTTTCATCTATTATTCTTAAAAGTTGAGTATTTTGCACTCTGAGATATGTATCGTCATCCTCACTTTACACTTGAAGTAACTATGTCTTTGAGAGGTTAAGTGCCTTACCCAGGTTCATACAGCTTATAAGTAGCATTACACGGACTCAAACTCAAATCTACAAATACTAAAGAGTGAGCATCAGTACTATATTTTATTGCCTAAAAATAAAGTGGCAGATTTAATCCCTAGGGAATATATAAACTCAGAAATCCAGATTTGCAGACAGCTTGCAAATGCTATATTTTAATGTTCTCACAAAATACCCTTCATCTAATCCAAAAACTATCCACTTGTGGACTCAGACAGACATGGGCATCCCTGCAACCTGCTCTGGCCTTAGTTCAGAGCCATGTGAAGGGCTGAGAGCCTCAGGACCACTCAGCATCAAACTCATGTCTGCTGTTTACATCCTATGCTTGTTATTCAGATCTTTTGAATAGCTTCTAATCTCTTGTTGTTGAAGGGTTTTGACCTGGACTCGTGACCCCATGTTTCAAAAAAACTTTTTTTCGCCTCCTGACCTTGTAGTTTCCGCAATCCTAACCTCAGTATCTGATCCCTGATGCCTGTCTCCCTGGATTCTGGACCTCTTACTTGCTAATCTCTCCCTCAGCTGACCTCTCTGGAATTAATCAGTGATCCACCTGCCAGTACCTTTTATGCCTAACCAACAAACCCCCAGTCCTGGCCTCTTTGGCTTTATCTCTGGTCCATTGTCTCCCAAACCCTGTTAGAATATGCTTTGAAGAAATGGTCTGATTTTCAAAGATACAAAATCAGTTTGAAACTTTGTAATACATGACCCTCGAAAATAAGCCTAGATACAAACTCCCAAACTGAAGACATTTAGTATGCTGACTACTTGTCAACAGACCATAACATCAGTCATGAGTCAAAAGAGGAAGGTGAGCAGGAAGGGGGACAGATATCAAGGAGCCACTTGAATGATAAAGTATTTTCAAAAACACAATTATCTATGTCTGGCTTATCTATTCTACTAAATTATAATTCCTTAAAAGCAAAGACTTGAATTTTTTCCATTTTAGATTCCACGCAATGTCCGTATGGTGCCTGGTACTAGCTAGGCACCATATTATTGAATTAATGAATATAGCAATTGATTAGTGTTTAATGAATTGGCTACAGCCAATTGTTGTTCAGGCATATTTACAAAAAAAAATCTTTCAAGGTTTTTCTGGACAGATTAAAGTGAATTACAACTCAAGGGAAAAGTAAAAGAAAACAAAACACTCCACTCTCTAACATATATTTGAGAACAAATGGAAAATAACACTGGGACTTTGAAAATGAGGAGCATGGCCCTGAGGATTTCAAAATGGACTGCCTTCCTTCTGCTGGAACAACGGCACCACACAACTGAACAAACAGCCAAGGGGCCATGTTCTATCCTGCAGCCCCCACATGTTTGCATTAGTGAGGTAAGCAGCTCAAAGGGGAACTTAAAAGAAGACTTGTATTGTTCATGGAGCCTTTCAAGCGTAGTAAGGGTGGAATTCCATCTGTTCAGTTCAGTTTGGTTCACTGAGCTGGTTCACTCGTAATGGTTCACTGAGTTGTGACACCTAGTAGAAATTACAACCAATGTTTTTAAAAACCTTTATGTTATCATTTGTGAAACTGTGTGGCTTGATCACTTTAAAGTTTTCATCTCCTTGTGTTTTTGATCTGTTTCCAGGATACCTCTTTCCTGGTCTTTAAAAAAAAAAAAAGTGAAAAACTAGCACTGAAAATACCACTAAAAAGAGGAATATATTTGTTGAGCTCTGTTTTGCATACTGGCTTAATTTGTGCACGATTTCAGACAAACACAGAAGTTACAAAGCTTTCACTCCGGGTTTGCATTCACCTTGTCTCCCAACCATGAGCTCTTTATGCACAGAAAGAGCCATGAATGGCTAACACTCTTTGCAGCAGCTTAGCAGATACTCTGCCTTGAGGAACAGGTAGAATTCCACACTACTCGCTTGAATGACTCACTGAACAATACCAAGTTATTAAGTTTTTCAGGACCAAGATGGTGATGGGGGAGGGCACTCCATTTGACATCTGCCCAGTGGCATCTTACAAAAAGTCTCTGTGCTTGCACGGAACTTTGCAGGAGGCCAAGTACCGATCAGCAATGATTATGATCTCAGCCAGATAATCATTTTCACTTACCTGGAGGAGAAGAAACAAAGTGGTAAAATGTGACAATGATGTAAAGTGATGGATGGTTATTTGCAGTGCATTTTGCAAACAGCACATTGGGTATGATGAAGGAGGACCTTTGTATGAAGTTCAACAAATAACAAAAGACATTCCCACTATACTTTGAGTAACCTGCCTCAAAGGTGCCAGATCTATTTCTCACAGGGTGAAGGAAGCGTGCAACCTATTCAGAGAAAAAAAAAAAACAGAGAGAGGAATGCTTAAGAAGGTTTTCCACTGCATGCACTGGAGATCTGAAAAGAATGAAAGTAAATCTGTAAAGCAGAAATCTAAGGAAGAAGGAAATGCAGAAAGGCCGACCACATCAGGCACCTAGTCCAGTTGGTTATGCCATAATCATTGATACCATGGTATTTTTGTCTCATCTCGTATCATGTGCTTCAATTCACTCCAAAAAGTAGCTCCAGCATTTTCCTCTGACCATTGCTCAGTAATGAAGGAGTATGTAATGCAAACGCACGGACAATCTCTGGGTCTTAACAGTAAGAAGCTTCCTGTTGGAAATCTCATTGGGTTAGGTAAAAGGATCTTGATTTATTTGCCAATGAAGGATAGAAAACAATTCAAAATTATTTAAGTGATACTTTTGCCACTGCTTACTTCCTGTACATCTCTGGAATTATGATATTTATTCATCAGCTCAATTTACCATACTATCATCCTGAGACCGTTCCTTTGAACTGTGTCCTTGCCTTTCTTCAACATCCCTCCAGGTATCGTATCATCACGGCCACATCAAAGCAGGTAGGGTAACAAATGTTCACTGAATTAAAAAAAAAATCTGATGTGTGCTTTACTTTTCTAAGTTCTACTTGTATTGCAGGTGAAATTCCTTCCTCTGGATTTTTTGGCTGTTGCTTGTCGAATGTTTTCGTCCTGGCTGTGTCCATTTGCATTTGTCTCAGACTCTAACTCTCTTAACTATCCTCATCTTCCATCACAGTGACTGCATAGCTCATCTTCAACATTTAGTAAGATAGGTGAACAGTGTCATCACTATTAATATTGAGAGCATTTGATAGTCTTGGTCTTAATCCCTTTTAGCATATTTTCTCCTTTACTAATCTTTCTTTCTAAAGCTTCTCATTTTCAAGAGGTAAACTCTATTGATCAAATTAGTTCTTATCAGCTGAAAACTAGGTGACCTGTGAAGCAACTAGTAGATTAACTCTATCCTTTTTACTTTTCTTCTTTTAAAAGAAAAAAAAGTTATGAAATGCTTTGCATGTGAATTACACCAAGAAAGAGTAAGCACCAGAAAAAAATACTGTAATAACACCTGAATTTTTATTAAAATCTATAATAGGAGGAAATGTTTCTTTCCAGTAATGAATATAAAAATAAAAAAATAAAAACAACCTATATACTAAGAATAATAATAGTTACATGCTTCTGAGGACTCTCTGGAAAGTGTAGATTAGATATTTATGTGTCTGTGGGTTAAATCTTTGTTTGACTATTTCAGAAGCTAACCTGGGTGGCATGTAGAAAATCACAGCATGATTAAAGATTGCTGGCATGCTTTACAAAAAGAGAAGAAAAAAAAAAAGAGGAAGGTCAAGCCTCACTAACTTCTTGGAATTTCTAGAAGACACAACTGACCGTGGAGACCAGAAGAATAGAATGAACACTCTTATTCTTTGAATGTTTTGTTGTTGTTATTGTTGTTGTTGTTGTTAAGGAAGCTTTTTGATAGTGGTCTGTGTTAAATACTACAAAAAGTTTTAAAACAGGTAAGCTACTCCAAAGGGAAAGGTTAGAAAATGCCCAGATGTTTCCTGAAAAAATGGTTTCATTTGCTCACGCAAAAGGTATTGAATGTAAGAATGTATGTGCAAACTTCTCAAATAAAAAAAGAAAATAGGCACTTACTGGACACCTACTATGTTCTAGGGATGTCACATGCTCACTCTCATTGAATCTTCACTCAGCCCTGGAAGGTGGATATGATTGTCCTCATTTACTACATGAGGAAATTGATGGTCAATGAGATTAAGTAGATTGCCTCCAGTCACCCAGCTGGTAACTGAGTCGGGGAACAGGGATTCAAACTCAGGTCTAGCTGGCACCAACCTTTGTGCTCTTGCTGCTGCACCACATGGGCTTCTGGAGAAGCTAATGGTGGTGTCTCCAGCCCTTGAATTCTCCAGCTCTCCTCCTCCACAGGACAGCCTCTGTTTCTGAATCACCTTGAAATCACTGCCTTCCAGCAGCCTCTGCTTCCAGATACCTAACTAAGCAGATCCTGGTTTCTTCCTTCACATAAGGTACAAATGTTCTATTTCCACTTTGTAGGTATTTGGATTTCCCTGAAGTTTTCAGCCTTAAACTGAAGGGATTTTGTTCTAAGAGGAAATTCTGGCATCTACAGGGAATGAAGGGAAGAGAGGCTTTCCTGCTCCTTGTGACTTACTCCTGGCTCTGCACAAGACCCCTTCTGTGCATGTATAACTTTAAATATGTATGTGCAGTGTGCCATGCAGAGTTCAGGAACATCTTTTGGCTAACTAGCTGACATTTTGGCTCTTAATAAAAATGGACAGAGCCTGGGGGAGTCAATTACAAAAAGAGTACTGAGCTAGAAACTTGCTGGGAAGGAAGAGAAAAAAAAAAAAGAATATAGTGGCTAGAATTGAAGAAAAAGTGTAACAGGTGAACTTCAATAATGATTACATTAGTTCATATCATAACCTATTTCCCTAAAGCCATGAGATGCCTTTTAATGTTTTAATATCCATACCCCTCAGCTAGTAAATTTTAGACACCAAATATAGTATATATATATAGATAGATATATAGATATACACATATATGTATTTATACACACACACATACATGCACACATCTAAAAGCCAATCATAAGTTAAATGCTTATAATCTTTTAAAAAATTAAAGCAAATTAAATTTGACACTTAGGTTTTTATAATCATCCCTTGAGATAGTTTTTGCATCCTAGGGTATCACAAAATCAAGGTACTTTATGCTCCAGTGCTGGAAGTATTTTGGCCTTCAGAGAATAAATGGCGTTTATCAGAGGGACTTACTAGTAAGGGAGAGTCACTTCCTGTGGATCTACAGGAAGTCCATTAGCAATCCCAACCACTGCTCCAGAGGGATCCTTGATGATATTTATCACAGTAATTTTAACCTTGACCTGTCATGTTCAAACATGACATTTGGCCAAGATTGTTGAAGTCTTCCTAAGAGAGTGTGATTGAGAAATAAAAATGTTACCAACAGTCATTGTCTTATACTTCACACTAGTGATTCTCATACCTTTTGCTTCGGGAAACTTTTACACTCATAAAATATTGAGTACTCCAAAGAGATTTTAGTTACAAGGGATTATGTCTATTGATATTTACCTTACTAGAAATAAAAAAGTAGACATTTTTAAGTCTTTATTAATTTATTTAAATATAATAAATGTGTTATATGTTAAAATGAATTACGATTTTATGAAAAGTATATTATCCCAAACAAACAAAAGTCAGTAATAGTGGCATTGATTAATATATTTGCAAATCATCTTAATATCTGGCTTAATAGATGACAACCAAACTCTCATGTCTGCTTCTGCATTCAGTTTGTTGTAATATGTTGCTCTGGTGGAAGCATATGAAGAAAATCCAGACTCACACTGACGTGTAATTAGAAAAAGAAGAACCATTTTAGTAGCCATTTCAGATAATTTGGGATGTCATTTTTAATACTACACCAAAACTCCGAAAGTGGCAGTTTCCTGTAGATTAGCTGCAATATGGAATATGAACTCATATTAATTAACTTTTTATACTCTGTTACATTAAAATCCATTGTTATTTCATTTTCCATGAGTTCTTTACTGTTGTATGATTTTTTATTACCAAGCATCAGTGTTTGGAAAATGTTGCCACATTGAATTATTTTTTAAAAAGCTTCTAAATGGCCACATATCATCATACAATATAAAAAAAATTGTCCATTAGTAACACTACCAATCTCATTAGGAAAGTGTTTAAGTCAAGTTCATGGTGGTGTATACAGGTTTTTCAAAATTTGATTTTTCACTGGAAAGTTCAAATTTTATCATGGGTGATACAATCAGTTGTTTTCGTTGAATTTACAGCTTTACATTTTTCATTGCCAAGAATATTTTCACCATATATCCAAGAATATCTGTCAGTCATTCTCTCAAGTAAAATCATGTTCCATGAAAAAGTGGCTAGTTTAGCTTGCAACTCAAACAATTGCATAAATGTTCTTCCTCAAGGCAAATGCTATACTTCAGTATGCAGGAGAGCTCTTCATTTTGTCACACAGAATATTAAAAAATATGTATTCAAAATTAAGAGTTAATAAAATCAATACTTTTATTGCTTCATTAAAGACTTTTTAAAGTGAGACTGACAATTTCTTTAAATGAGAAATGCATCTTTTGTGAAAGATCAGCATTCGAGAATACAATGACTAGTAGCTCAGCTTGGTGCTGCTGCTTTGATTTTTAATAAGATAACACCAGTTTTACCGACCATTGCTTTTCTACCCTAAGTACAAATGTCAATACAGTAGAAAAGGCAAATAAAATCTTTGAATCATTGTAAACACAGTTTTGACTTCAAAGATCCCCTCAAGAGATTTCAGGTACCCCCAGGGGTCTATGGACCACGTTAAGAACCACAGCTCTATGTAAATAATTTCTTGTGCCTGTGGCTACAAAAAAAATTAGATAGCTATTAGAAGTTCTGAATTCTTGCCTTTAAGCCTCCTCTCTCTGGTTTACCTGTGGTGTTATTTACAAGATGTGCATACTGCATATGTGTTACTATGAAAGTCCCTTAATGTGAGTGTGTTTTAGTTAGTGCTTTGCCTGCTGGCTATTTTCATTTGCCTGCTTTTAGTTCTGCAGTCAATAGTTGCTTGAGTTTTTACAGCTATCTTCCTTCTTTTATGTCCTGCAGAGTTTGAATGCTGAACTGTTCAAGAGCAGAAACTGTGTCTTGTTAATCTTCAAAATCCTAGCACATGATACTTAGCTCAGGAAAGGTTGGGGTTCAGTAAAGTAAAGGAGGACAATATGACAGTCATCTTTCTTTCTTTCTTTTTTCTTTTTTTTTTTTTTTTGAGACTGAGTCTCACTCTGTCGCCCAGGCTGGAGTGCAGTGGCGCAATCTAGGCTCACTGCAAGCTCCACCTCCTGGGTTCACGCCATTCTCTTGCTTCAGCCTCCCAAGTATCTGGGACTACACGTGCCTGGCACCACGCTTGGCTAATTTTTTGTATTTTTAGTAGAGACGGGGTTTCACCATGTTAGCCAGGTAGGTCTCGATCTCCTGACCTCATGATCCACCCACCTCGGCCTCCCAAAGTGCTGGGATAACAGGCATGAGCCACCGCGCCCGGCCAATAGTCGTCTTTCAAGATAGTATTGCATCCTTAGGAAACTAGACGGTGATGAGGAAATTTTCTAAAAACCTAAGTTAAGATCATTTGTGGACATCATGGCTTTTGTTGCCATTGCTTTTGGTGTTTTAGTCATGAAGTTTTCGCCCATGCCTATGTCCTGAATGGTATTGCATAGGTTTTCCTCTAGGGTTTTTATGGCTTTAGGCCTTATGTTTAAGTCTTTAATCCATCTTGAGTTAATTTTTGTATAAGGTATGAGGAAGGGGTCAAGTTTCGGTTTTCTGCATATGGCTAGCCAGTTTTCCCAACACCATTTATTAAATAGGGAATCCTTTCCCCATTGCTTTTGTCAGGTTTGTCAAAGATCAGATGGTTGTAGATGTGTGGTGTTATTTCTGAGGCCTCCATTCTGTTCCATTAGTCTATATATCTGTTTTGGTACCAGTACCATGCTGTTTTTGTTACTGTAGCCTTGTAGTATAATTTGAAGTCAGGTAGTGTGATGCCTCCAGATTTGTTCTTTTTGCTTAGGATTGTCTTGGCTCTATGTGCTCTTTTTTGGTTCCGTATAAAATTTAAAGTAGTTTTTTCTAATTCTGTGAAGAAAGTCAATGGTAGCTTGATGGGGATAGCATTGAATCTGTAAATTACTTTGGGCAGTATGGCCATTTTCACAATATTGTTTCTTCCTATCCATGAACATGGAATGTTTTTCCATTTGACTGTGTCCTTTCTTATTTCCTTGAGCAGTGGTTTGTAGTTCTCCTTGAAGAAGTCCTTCACATCCCTTGTAAGTTGTATTCCTAGGTATTTTATTCTTTTTGTAGCAATTGTGAATGGGAGTTCACTCATGATTTGGCTCTCTGTTTGTCTATTATTGGTGAATAGGAATGTTTGTGATTTTTGCATATTGATTTTGTATCCTGAGACTTTGCTGAAGTTGCTTATTAGCTTAAGGAGATTTTGGGCTGAGACTATGGGGTTTTCTAAATATACAATCATGTCATCTGCAAACAGAGACAATTTGACTTCCTCTCCTTGACTTCCTCTCTTCCTATTTGAATACCCTTTATTTCTTTCTCTTGCCTGATTGCCCTGGCCAGAACTTCCAATACTGTGTTGAATAGGAGTGGTGAGAGAGGGCATCCTTGTCTTCTGCTGGTTTTCAAAGGGAATACTTTCAGCTTTTGCCCATTCAGTATGATATTGGTTGTGGGTTTGTCATAAATGGCTCTTATTATTTTGAGATATGTTCCATCAATACCTAATTTATTGAGGGTTTTTTAGCATGAAGGGGTGTTGAATTTTATTGAAGGCCTTTTCTGCATCTATTGAGATAATCATGTTGTTTTTGTCATTGTTTCTGTTTATGTGATGGATTACATTGATTGATTTGCATATGTTGAACCAGTCTTGCATCCCAGGGATGAAGCTAACTTGATCATGGTGGATAAGCTTTTTGAGGTGCTGCTGGATTTGGCTTGCCAGTATTTTATTGAGGTTTTTTGCATCAGTGATCATCAGGGAAATTGGCATGAATTTTTCTTTTTTGTTGTGTCTCGCCAGGTTTTGGTATCAGGATGATGCTGGCCTCATAAAATGAATTAGGGAGGAGTCCCTCGTTTTCTATTGCTTGGAATAATTTCGGAAGGAATGGTACCAGCTCCTCTTTGTACCTCTGGTAGAATTCAGCTGTGAATCTGTCTGGTCCTGAGCTTTTTTGGTTGGTAGGCTCTTATGAATAACATCGGTTTGAACGGTACAGGTTCACTTATACACACACTTTTTTCAATAAATATATTGAAAATTTTTTTGGAGATCTGTGACAACTGGAAAAAACTCATGGATGAAACACATAGCCTAGAATTACTTTAAAAAATTGAGAAAAACGTCTGTTAGGTCTGTTATGAATGCATAAGACATATGTAAATCTTAGTCTATTTTATTATTTACTACCATAAATTTATATAAATCTATTATAAAAAGTTAAAATTTATCAAAATGTACACTCACAAACGTTTGCAGACTGTCACGGCACCATTTGCTGTTGAGAGAAAGGCCAACAAATGTAAAGATGCGGTATTTAACCATACTGTAATAGTTTTTTAGCCACCCCCGTTGTTACTGCAATGATCACAAGCATTAGGAGTATCCTCTTAAAATGCCACATGACACTAACAATCTTCCTGTGACCAGACCAGTAAATTACAAATTGCAGTAAAAAGTGATCACTTGTGGCTCTTGAGTATTTCTCATTGTGTTTATCGCAACACTATAAGCATTGAATTGAATACAAAGTGGCACTAGTGATGTCGGAAATGTCCCCAAGAAACAGAGAAAAGACATGACATTACAAGAAAATTTTGAATTGCTTGATCTGTAACATAGATTGAAGTCTGCAGCTGTGTTACTCATCATTTCATGATAAATGAATCTAGCCTAATGATCATTGTAAAAAAGAGAAGGAAATGCATGAGATTGTTGCTGCAGCTATGCCAGTGTGTCCGGAATTGGTGGGTTCTTGGTCTCGCTGACTTCAAGAATGAAGCCGCGGACCCGGACTCAGGAGCCCAGCTGGCTTCACCCAGTGGATCCCGCACCGGGGCTGCAGGTGGAGCTGCCTGCCAGTCCCGCGCATGCGCCTGCACTCCTCAGCCCTTGGGTGGTCGATGGGACTGGGCGCCGTGGAGCAGGGGGTGGCGCTCGTCGAGGAGGCTCGGGCAGCAAAGGAGCCCACGGAGGGGGTGGGAGGCTCAGGCATGGCGGCCTGCAGATCCCAAGCCCTGCCCCGCGGGAAGGCAGCTAAGGCCCGGCGAGAAATAGAGCGCAGCGCCGGTGGGCTGGCACTGCTGGGGGACCCAGTATACCCTCCGCAGCCGCTGGCCCGGGTGCTAAGTCCCTCATTGCCCGGGGCGGCAGGGCCGGCCGGCTGCTCCGAGTGCGGGGCCCGCCAAGCCCACGCCCACCCGGAACTCCAGCTGGCCCGCAAGCGCCGCACGCAGCCCCGGTTCCCGCTCGCGCCTCTCCCTCCACACCTCCCTGCAAGCTGAGGGAGTGGGCTCCGGCCTTGGCCAGCCCAGAAAGGGGCTCCCACAGTGCAGTGGTGGACTGAAGGGCTCCTCAAGTGCCGCCAAAGTGGGAGCCCAGGCAGAAGAGGCTCCGAGAGGGAGCGGGGGCTGTGAGGACTGCCAGCACGCTGTCACCTCTCACCAGGAGGTAAGAAAACGTTGCACTTTTTTGTGAAATACCTTTTTATCTCATATTGAAAATGCAACTTTTGTGTGGGGGCAGGATTGCTATAAGAGAGGTGTACCTATAGACTGGAATATGATTTGAGAAAAAACAAAGTGATACGATAGCTTAAAGCAAAATAAAGGATCTAAAGCTAGATAACTCAATACCAGCAAAGGACGGTTTGATAATTTTAGAAAGAGATTTGGCTTAAAAAAAAAAAAAAAGAGTCAAGATAATAGGGGAGGCAGCTTTTGCCAACCAAGAGACAGCCGACAAATTTCCCAGATGCCATTAAAAAAGTGAGGAGAATATGAATGGAACTGGAGGTCATTATCCTTAGCAAACTATTGCAGGAACAGAAAACCAAATACCACATGTTGTCACTTATAAATGGGAGCTAAATAATGAGAATACAGCAGACATGGGGGCCCACTGAGGGTGAAGGATGGAAGGAGGGAAAGGTTCAAAAAAAAAAAAAAAAAAAAAAAACGAACTGTTGGGTACTATGCTTAGTTCATGGATGACAAAATAATCCATACACCAAACCTTAAGTCACGAGTTTACCTATATAACAAACCTGTACATGTACCACTTAACCTAAAATAAAAGTTAAAATTTTTTTTAAATGAAAAAAAGAAAATCATTGAGGAGAAAGGATATTTGCCTGAACAGGTTTTTAATGCACACGAAAGTATCGTATTTTGGGGGGTGTGGGAAACACACACAAAGGACATTAATTAGTAAGGCAGAGAAGTGAGCACTAGGATTTAAGGCAGGAAAGATAGGCTAACTACGATTTTGTGACAATGCAGTTGAGTTTATCATCAAAACTGCCCTTATGTATAAAGCTGCTAACTCTTGAGCCTTGAAGGAAAAGATAAGCACCAGCTGCCAATCTTTTGGTTGTACAGTAAGAAGCCTTGGAAAATGAGAACTCTTTTTCTGGATTGGTTCCATTGATGCTTTGTCCTTGATGTCAGGAAGTACTTTTCTAGTAAGGGCCCTTTTGTTTTTTTGTTTGTTTGTTTGTGACTGAGTTTCGCCCTTGTTGCCCAGGCTAGAGTGCAATGGCGCGATCTCGGCTCACTGCAACCTCCGCCTCCCAGGTTCAAGCAATTCTCCTGCCTCAGCATCCCGAGTAGCTGGGATTACAGGCATGCGCCACCACGCCCGGTAATTTTGTATTTTTAGTAGAGATGGGGTTTCTCCATGTTGGTCAGGCTGCTCAAACTCCCGACGTCAGGTGATCCGTCCGCCTCTTCCTCCCAAAGTGCTGGGATTACAGGCGTGAGCCACCATGCCTGGCCAGGCCTGTATTTTAAAGTTCCTTTGACATTGGACAATGCCCGTGGCCACCCAGAAACCCACGAGTTCAACACAGAAGGTGTCAAAGTGGTTTACCTACCCCCAAACAAAATATCTCTAATTCAGCCTCTAGATCAGGAATCATAAAGACCTTTAAGGCTCATTACACACTCTATGGAAGAGAACCCTGATAGAGAGAACATCATGAAAGTCTGGAAGAATTACACCATTGAAGATGCCATTGTTGTTATAGAAAAAGCCATGAAAACTATCAAGCCCAAGACAATAAATTACTGCTTAAAAAAACTATGTCCAGTTGTTGTTCATGACTTCACAGGATTTATGACAGAGCCAATCAAGGAAATCATGAAAGAAATTGTAGATATGGCAAAAAGGTGGGGATGTGTGAAGGATTTCAAGATATGGATCTTGGAGAAATTGAAGAGCTAACAGACACCACATCAGAGGAATGAACAGAAGACGACTTGATGGAAATGAATGCTTCTGTACCTGTGCCAGATGATATAGAAGACATAAAAATTGCAGTGCCAGAAAACAAACCGACACTAGACAATCTGACATAAGCTTTTTAATTACTCAAGACTGCTTTTGACTTATTTTATGATATGGATCCTTCTATGATATGGGCACTGAATCTAAAGCAAATGGTGAAAGAAGAACTGGTAATGTTTGGGAGCGTTTTTAGAGAAATGAAAAAGCAAAAAACTCACACAGAAATTATGATGTATTTCTGTAAAGTTACACAGTGTGTCTGCCTCTCTTGCCTGCCTTTCTCCCTCCACCACTTTCATCCCTGAGATAGCAAGACCAATCCCTTTTCTTCTTCTTCCTTCACAGCCTGCTAAACTCAAAGATGATGAGCATAAAAACCTTTATGATGATCTGTTTCCACTTAATGGATAGTAAATATATTTTATCTGCCTTATTATTTTCTTAATAATATTTTCTTTTCTCTAGCTTACTTTACTGTAGGCATACAGTATATAATATATGTAACATACAAAATGTGCATTAATCGACTGTTTATGTTATCAGAACGTTTTCGCATCAATGGTAGTTTATTAGTAGTTACGTTTTTAGAGAGTCAAAAGTTATATGCAGATTTTTTACTGTGTGGGGGACCTGACCCCTACTTTGTTCAAGGGTCAACTGAACAATATCAACCAGTATTTATGCATCCGTTTATTTTTATAAATTATTTCATGTACCATCTTATTTTCTTTTATAACAATAAGAGCTATTATGTATGAAGGACTTTCTGCTTGCTAGTCATTAGGCTAGAAAATTAATATGCATAGTTCTGTTTGAGGTTAAAAACTCTCTAAGACAAGTATTATTATTGCCCCCAATTTTTAGATGAGAAAACGGAGGTTTAGAGGAATCAATAACTTGGCCTTATAGCTAGTAAATTACAGAGGTGGAACTTGAGCCCAGTTTTCTAACTCCAAAACTTGAAATCTTTTCTACTAAAACACACTCTTGGAAATTTAATTTTGTGTTATTCTTATTGAACATACTCCAAATTATTTATCAGAAGTTTGTTTCAAAACACTGTGGTTTGGGATTTGCTTTTTTTTGGAAAGCTTACAAAAAGATTAAGAGTCTTAGAATTGATGTTATTTTTTAAGAGTCACAGAGCTAACAAAGAATATTAGCAAACCCTGAAATATTTGGTTAGGATCACAGTCCTGGAAAGGTACTTGGTTAATGCATTTTAGAAACTTAGCATTTAGCTAGGTGCTAGGGTTTTTTTTAGAAGTTCTTTATTTTCCCCCATCTTCTAAGACTATTTTTAATTTTTACTTTTAATATGTTTTTTAAAAATACTATTTAAGCTATATTTAATAAAGTATGGAAGTATAATACCCCAATTTATAAGTACAATACCCCAATTTATAAGTATAATAAATGTACTTAAAAATATTTAAATCAATTCCTACATGTTGTATTTATGTTCTCAAAAAATTATATTCTCCTATCTAATAGTATTTAAGAATAACACAGAAAGAATACTGGTCTCATCCATGTGACTCAGTAGCTATCCTGAGTTTGTGTTTTCTATTAAAATGAAGACAATAAGTCAATCTTTGCAGTGCATCTGTAAGTCAGTTAAGTATTAACCATTGTCAAATGTCTAAATGTTAAATTTATAGTTAGAAAATGGAAACTTTTAAAATAAGATCTCCTCTCTGTGCAGATGGAATGGACTTAAAACTCCCATAGATTCATCAGCCAATCACAGTTAATTATTTAGGTGTTCATTTATTTAAAAATATGTATTTTAACAAGTATAGTTTCTAATGCTAAAGAAGCAGAGAAATAGAGACAAAAAAAAAGAGTAAGACATGGCTCTGCAACAGTTTGTGTTTATGATTCCCTTCCTGCAATTAAATTGTATTGACTCAGATGGTATATTTGAATCCATTGCATAATCAAGTGAAATTTTATATGTGTTAGCACTTTAAATACTGAAAAGTGCTACACAATTTAAGGTGTTATTATCATTAGTGCTATTTTAGTACAAATTGAATCATCTTATTGCCTGGCCCAGTTATCTGTAGGCTGAAGATGGATGAGATAAAAGTAATAATATAGTTAAATGTTTGATGGCCAACATGTGAGAGTTTCTCTAGGATTTCACTGGAGTGGATACGTTAAGGAATATTAATTTGTAAGCATTCTTGGTGGATTGATTTGAAGATATGACTAGACTCATTCTAGAACACTGATTCTCAAAGTTGAGCAGGCATCAGAATCACCTAGAAGGCTTCTAAAAACAAAAATTACTGGGCCCCACCTTCAGAGTTTCTGACTCAGGTCTGGGGTGGGATCCAATGATTTGCATGTCTAACAAGCTCTCAGATAAGGCTGATGCCAAGGACCACACTTTGTGAATCCCTGTTCTGTCATAACCAGGGTCACACTAAATGTTGGAATGTGAAATTTAATAAAAAATTATTTATGCAAGTGGATCTGTTGCCATCCCATTAGTCAATGTATCAGTAAAGGTGATTGTGTTAATGGTTGTAACTGCATTTATAGCAGAAAGTGAAAGAAAAGAAAGTAGGGTTAGAGAGAAGCCTCTAATAAATGACTTTAATAACTGGGCCAACGAGTGAAGGAAATAGAGAATCTTACTTTGCTTGCTGTATTTACACATCATCTTATCTTAAAAGTCAGTAAGGTTTAGAAGGGCTATCTCTACACAAAGATAATGACTTGATAGCATCAGATTTGGAATTAGAAGAAATAAAAACACTAATAGGAGAAAAGAAATACAATTTTTCCATCCTTAAGGTAAAAGAAACAGTTTAAGGAAGCTTTGAATGTCTTTAAGACACTGCATTTCATCCATATGTAACAGTCTTTGCCTTAAGTCTGATAAAGGTTAACTTCATGGAGCATAGAGGGCACCACTAAATGATCAATTGCTTTAACAGGCAATCGAGATTCTTGTATGTACAGGTGTCCTTGGGGCTGCTGCCCTCCCTAGAACCCCCTTGGCCAGCTGCAACTGCAAACCTGCGTTCTGTGGGCACAGCCAAAGGCACACATACCTTTCTGCAATTGTAAGCAAGACTGGGAGTATGCCTCTGACTCCTGAGCCCACAGAAACTTAACAAAATCACTACCAGTACTCAGAAACACTCTCACCCTCACAGTCAATAATAATGCTTGGGAAAAGTCGGGGTCATCTGAAGTGGAGAATTTAGCCTGAAGTGAATTTATAACCCTAAATGGGTTTCTGTGCCAGTTAGTAATCTCATTCATCTATGAATAACAATGATCCTGTACCCTCCCCAACAAGGGATGAAATATGCAAAATTTCACTCTTTTCATGTAAAAGAGGTCCAGTCATAGGCAATCCAGAACTAGTTCGGTGGGTTCACAGAATCTTCAGAGACCCAGGGCCCTTCAAGCTCTCTGGCCCACCAATCCTAGGTATGAGCCTTGTCCTCGTGGTGGTCCAGGCTATGCTACTGGGGCTGCAGCAGATAGAGGCACATTCTAAGCAGAAGATTGAAGGAAAGGAAGAAAAAGGCCACATGCCCATCCTTTGAGGGAGATTTTGTAAGTCCCATACAAAAGCCCCCTTTGCATCTAGCTGTCAGGGAGGTTGAGAAATGTGAACTGGGCAGCAAGGAGCTCAGGTAAAAATTAAGTTTCCATTACTAAAGAGAAAGGGAAATATGAATATCGGGTAAATAAATAGTAACTTATGCCATCAGGTCCAAGAAAATTAACATTCTTCCTTTCCACCATAGAAAGTGGTAAAAGGGGCAGCACCTCAAAGCACACCTACATGATACTGTAGGTCCCACACTTTGGGGAATGTAAGAGCTACTTGGAATACTTGTTAAAGTCCAGAATTCTGGCACCCTCGAGATTCTAATTTAGCAGGCTTAGTGGTTATTGTGATTCAGGAGGTGCCAAGGACCACACTTTGAGAAACACTGCCTTACAGTATTATTACCATTTGTCAGCCAACTGTCTGCTGCCACCTGAGTTGTTACTGATTATCCGTGGTAACAAATTCTGTTCTGTCCCTTTTTAACTCTTTTATTCTCCATAATTAGATCTTGTAAATGGGTTGGACATGCTCCCCAAGTGTTTGTTCCATCAGTACAGCAAGATTGAAACATTAATGACAGATGCATTTTTAGCAATGAAATAAGTCCTTCCTTGAAGGCAAGCAGCAGAAAGCTTCCCCAGGAGGAGTTAACCTGGGTTCCAGAGTGGAGCAGCAGAGTCATGCTTTGTGGTGAGTCTGATGGCTAGAAGCAGCCAGGGTCAGGCTTGACAATCAATCTAACAGTGATGATTAATAGCCAAATAGAATCTCTGGAGCTTTATTCCTTAGCCTCTGCTCTGCCTCCTCTTTAACACTCAGGTAAATGTCAAAAAAGGAACTAGGGATTATAGCTGACAAGGGGTAAATGCCTTCATGTTGTCCTCCAAAGGTTAAGGTTTCCCAGACTTAGTGGAAGCCCCAATCTCCAATAACCATTAATCCACTCTACCCTGGTAAGAGTGAGCATATTTATGACTACAGTCACTAAAGGGTGAAATAAAGATTAGTTTTTAGTTAGGAACGCAAAGCTTTTGAGATCAATACAAACACACTGCTGAAATCAATCTAAAGTTTGGAATTTTTAAGTAAAGATTTACTAGGCTTCTTTGCACAGTTAATTTTCCAAAGGGAAAATAAGCTCAGAAATGTAACATAGTAATCAAATTGAGTAAACACTAGTCAGTTTGTAAACTGACCTTGGTTATGTGCATATCAAGTAAGTGTGTAAAGCAATAAAAATGCCCATAAAGTGGACTGTAAATTTGCCAATAAACAGGTAAAGCCAAAATACACATATAGATTTACATGATAAGAATACTAGCAGCTACATTTGCCTATTTGAAAACATAAATAATCAATAGACATTAATATTGAAGTTATTCATGCATTTCCCTATTACTGTGCATATTAAGTGTTTCAGTTATTTCTACTTTGTTTGATAGATAAATGTATAGCCATATTTTATGAAACCCTTTAAAAAGAATATAGAACTGTTCTCAAAAACAAAAGCTACTGTTTGGATGAAAGAGCAAGTGGATTGGAAATACATAGCTTGTTATAGTCCTCTGCTGTTCATGTTTGATGCATGTATACAATTTATTATGCAATTTCTTGAGATTTGACAAAGTAATTGTCTGGCAAACCATAGCTTTAATGATTTTTTTTCTGTTTCATATGAAGAGACTGTAGGTATTTTAGGAAAATGGCTTAATAGATCAGTGTCTGTAAGTACTCTTTTGCTTGTTATATATCTGTAGGTTGCGGAGACCCAGAGATATTTTCAGAGGAGTGTGATTCCATGTAGTAAATTCATTTTCTCCAGCAGAGTAAGTGCATGAAAGCTTACTGTAAGCTATAACTTGCAGAAATTATTTAAGCTACCTTGGGCCCTTGTAGTGGAACTGCATATCTTCTCAGTAGAGAACGGAGAAGAAAGAACACGACAGCACCTCCAATGGGAAGAGGATACTGGAATAAAGGCACAGCCTTCAGTTAATTTCACTAGGCTACTGTGTAACAGGTTGATGTTATCTGCAGTTGTTAGAGGGTGGAATTATCAACCACACTCTAACTGACTCTGCAGCTAAGATTCATTTGCCACTGTTTGCTGCCTGGATGCCAGAGATGGACTCCTAAAGCTCATTTGCCTAAAGCATATTCCGTCCATTCACCCGATGCTTTGGGGCAGAGACATACAGAAATTTGGGTTCAGGAGATTGATGTTGTCATCTTTGAAATATTTAGAGGGCACAACAAAATACTTTTAGTTGCTTAATGTCAGCATCTGCCACCTGGTGCCACACTCTTGGGAAATAATGCCAATATTATTATTTGAGTGTGCCAATAATGCACACTCACAAACAGTGAGCAAATATGTGTATACATTCTTAAATAGTAAAATCCACACTGGTCATAGGAGACAGGCAATAATTTTTGCTCTACTAACGCTATCACATAGGTCCTAAAACAACATTTTAGCAGCACATACTCTCCAAGAAAGGGTAAAATAATTCTTAAGTTTTATGAATTGCACATATGCAGTAATTACAATAGCACAAATATGTGTATATGCACATACATAGAAATGTATTGGGTAAATACCTATATATTTGTGTAACATACATACTATATATGTATATGTACATATACATATAAACATAGACATATACATACAAATAAAATCACTATGTCTGCACCAGGATAGAGAACTTGACCACCTAAATTGTTGTTCAGGTGTTTTGACCAATGATACATCACTTTACAGAATAATTCGGCAAACTTTAAATCATTTTTGTCAATTTTACTTTTTATGAGGAGATTCATTTAGCAATCAAGATGATCCACCCTCAGATTCTGAGTGTTGATGACATGTGACAATTGGAATAAAGCAGTTTGGAGTGGGGATAGCTAGGTTGCCATCATGAATCTGCATAGTTACAAGAAAAACCAGATTAAAGTTATGATACTGGAAGAGTTCCCAGGTCTCTGTAGATTTCAGAACCATATTGATGAGTAACAGAGGGTTTAAATGATCAACTTTTCTAGCAGTGCCAGTTCTTCCACTGTACAAATCTCTAAATATTTGTTCTAAGAATCCACATAAAAACACAAAAGCCATCTTACATATAACATTAAATGTTCTTTGGGAGGCCGAGGCGGGCGGATCACGAGGTCAGGAGATTGAGACCATCCTGGCTAACATGGTGAAACCCCGTCTCTACTAAAAAATACAAAAAATTAGCCGGGCGTGGTGGTGGGCGCCTGTAGTCCCAGCTACTCAGGAGGCTGAGGCAGGAGAATGGCGTGAACCCGGGAGGCAGAGCTTGCAGTGAGCCGAGTTCGCGCCACTGCACTCCAGCCTGGGCGACAGAGGGAGACTCCGTCTCAAAAAAAAAAAAAAAAAAAACAAAAAAAAAACATTAAATGTTTTGTTGAACAAATCAGTGAATCAATGATAAATGCATAGTTGAATCCATCTATGAATCAGCACAACTAGAATAAGCAAGTCCAAGTCTCCAATTCCCAGGGGTGACAAGCTAATTTCCTAAGTGGCTTCCAATAGTAAATTGGGCCCTTGGGAGCCACACTATTCTTCTAGGCCAGTAAGGGAGGAGGTTGCACAAACAGAAGGAGAAACCCTAAGAGCCCAGGATTCCTAGGAGAAGGAAAATACTGACTGAAGGTATGGCTCTAGGAGCTTCCAATTCTCATTTCTCAAGAGAAGATTCCTGAAATGTGAAGAATCTAAAGAAAAATCTATATACAGTCCTACATCTTTGTGTATCAGAGAAATCCATCTATATCCACAGCTACTTGTTACAGATTCTATGTGTTGGCAGGATTCTCAAAGAAGCAAACGTAGGGTAGATACAGGGGCAGATACACATTCTATGGTGCATAACTTACAAATTTTTAAAGCTAACAATACCATAAACATTGCCAAGTCCAGGAAAATAATGTAAGATTAACTAATTAACTGTGTGACAGATCTCTATGATACTCCTTTCCCTGAAATTTTGGCTTCATACTATTAAAGTAGCAAAATGACAAAGATTTTATAACACCATTTTCTAGAGGGAAAAAAAGTAGATCAGTTAATCTGTCTTCTAACATGATTGATCAAAATTTGTTTTCTAAGGCTGAGGCAGGAAGATAACTTGAGCCCAGGAGTTCAAGACCAGAATGAGAAACATGGGGAGACCCTATCTCTACCAAAACAAAACAAAACAAAAACCTCAGGTGTGGTGTCAGGCACCTGGGGTCACAACTACTTGGGAGGTTGAGGTGGGAAGATCTCTGAGGCCTGGGAAGTCGAGCCTGCAGTTAGTGGTGATCATGTCCTACACTGCAGCCTGGGTGACAAAGAAAGACTGTGTCTCAAAAAAAAAAAAAAAAAAAACTAAGAAAAAATTTTAATTTTTAAAATTATTAATAGCTTAGAAAGTTTTTTTTCAGCTTCTCAAAGTTTCTCTAGAGTTTCATGTCTTGTTGCTGTGCAAGTCAGCACAGTTGGAATTCAGAATATTCCTAGTAGTCCTTCCTACATCAGGTCAGCTTGCAACAATTTAACTCTACATGGAAGCAATTGTGAACCACATAAATGCACCCTTCTACATCAATCCAAACCAGATTCCCAAATCAACTTCCCTTTAGCTATGTCTCAAAATATTCACAACTCCTCCAAAGCCAACTGACATGAGGGGAAGTCAGAGTGGAAATAGCACTCTTAGTTGATTACAGTAAAAAAAAAATCTCATTTTTGTAAATTTTACACATTGCGAGTGCCCCTCCTAGACCCTTGGAGGGGGCCCATGAGAGTGAAGTGCCTTTCTAGTGGACAATTGCCTCTCATCACTCAACTGGGGTGTAGTTTTTCTGTGGCCCCTCATAGCTAAGTTGGGAGGCCCAATCCCTCCACTTATTTCAAGGGAATTTACCCAGGCCCTGTTACGAGCTGGGATCCTGTATCCCATGCACCAATCAGCATTTCCAAAAAACAGAGAGATTCAGAATATGAACTTTAGAGCTGGAAAGAAAGGACATTAGCAACCACACAATCCCCTTCCCACCCCACAGATGATTAAACTGAAATCCAAGGAAAGTTAACTTGTGGATAGATTTATTACTTAGTTGTCTTGTGAATCAATTATTTGGAGTTTACTAAACCAACGTTGAGTATTTTCCATGTACAGGGAATTCTCCCATCAAATCCTTACAATGAGCTTATAGGATAAATGAACCCCATTTGACCTATAAGAAAAGTGAATCTCAGAGAAATTAAGGGTCTGTCTGGCCTTATTTCACACAATTAGTAAATTGCGTAGTTCAGGTCCACATTCTTGCCCACTATGCTATGGCATCTCCAATTACCCAATGGGTATGATCTCCTCCCACTAAAGATAATATAAATAATAATTATTTTGTATTGTTTTATTATTTCACAAATTACTTTCACACTTCACAGTTTTCTTAATTATTACACTGCCACTTAAAATAAATTTTGTAGGAATTAATATTATCTACTCTATGAAAAAACTAAGGTTTAGACACACTGGGATACTTGTGTTACCAATAAATGATGAAAGTGAGCCTAAAGTCCATTTTCTTTCTAGTCTAGGTCCTATGTTCTTTCCTCTCACTCCCACTGGTCAGTGATCCATTAGGTGAACTGTAGCTGTAATCACCCCTCTTATAGAAACTTCCAGTGGTTGTCAAAAGCCATGGACTATAAAAGTAAAATGAGCATAGACTGAGATACTTTTCTTATAGCTTTCTCCCAGTAGGTCTGTGTTTGAGGCCTTCTTCTAAAGTTAGAAGATCCTTAAAACTCTCTTATTGAAGATAATGGACTTCAGTTGCAAAGTATTTATTTTCTGCATGTTACACTAAAAGTATTTGAAGTGTAACCCTAGTAAATAATAAAGTTGAAAGTTGTTACTACAGGATGTGTTTTATTCCTTCATTACATCCTGTGAGAGCTTGGTGTAGTCTGTGGACTCATCAACCCCAAAGTAGGAACACTGTGTTGCCTGTTCTTCCTTCTCATGTCTTTCCCATATAAACCTGTTAAGTTAAAATAAAGTTGGCCTGTAATGTATTAGGGTTGGAGACACGAGTATAATCTCATGTTTAGCTTAATTTAAATATAGATGGTTACACATATGTAAACATGTATAGATATGTGTACATATAGGGTTAGTATACACACATATTTCCTTGATCTTTCAGTGCAGAGGATCTAAAAGAAACAACACCTCAGCAGCAATGAGCACACCTAATGGCCAAATTTTTACTTCCAATACCATTCTCCAATAACAGGAAGCAGTGTTCCTTCAAGAAATGGTTGATTCTAAGATTGGGGTGTAAAATATACAAGATGAGCCTGCAGTATATTGCTGAGAAAGAAAGAAGGAAGGAAGGAAAGAAGGAAGGGAGGGAGGGAGGGAGGGAAGGAAGGAAGGAAAGAAGGAAGGGAGGGAGGGAGGGAAGGAAGGAAGGAAGGAAAGAAGGAAGGGAGGGAGGGAAGGAAGGAAGGAAAGAAGGAAGGGAGGGAGGGAGGGAAGGAAGGAAGGAAAAGAAAGAAAGAAGGAAAGAAAGAGAAAGAAAGAAAGGCAAGAAGGCAGGAAGGAAGGAAGAAAGGAAGAAAGGCAAGAAGGCAGGAAGGAAGAAAGGAAGAAAGGAGGGTGGGGAGGACAGACAAAAGGAAGGAAGGAAGGAATGAAAAGGAAGGAAGGAAGAAAAGGAAGGAAGGAAAGAAGGAACTATATGTCCTTTTAAAGCTGGAATAGTTTAATCAGGAAAATAAAGCAGTATTGGATTATAACTCAAAGTGTAAAATAAATATCCATGAGTTTGTATTGATATAAATAAATAAATAAATAAATAAATAAATAAGGGTAGGAATAGACAAATTTTTCTTGCAGGGGAATTCCAAGTAATTTATGTAAATACTCCACCCAGAAGGAATTGAAGAAGTTGCTCTCCACTCCTTAAGATTGGACTGTGCATAGTGACTTTTTTCCAAGAAGTACAATATGGAAAGAGTGATAAAAAGAAAATAATATCTTATTATGGAGATACATGACAAACACTAAATCAGCTAGGTGAATAAGTTTAACATCAGCAGTGATTAGTCATATTTATTGCATGTATCCCTGATATTATGTAATGAAACGAGACTTTACCACGGTGGTCCTCCTCCCAAAAACCCATAATCCCAGTCTAATCATGAGGAAAACATCAGACAACTTTTAACTGAGGATCATTCTACAAATTACCTGACTGGTACTTCTCAAAATCATCAAGGTCATCAAAAACAAGAAAAGACTGAGAAAATATACAGCCAAAATGAACCTAAGGAAACATGACAACTAAATGTCATGTGGTCTCCTGGATGGGATCCTAAAAACAGAAAAAGAACATTACATAAAAACTAAGGCAATCTGAATAATCTACACATTCAGTGAATAATGATTCAGCTAATAATGATTAATCAATGTTACTCATCAGTTATAACAAACGCATCATACTAATGAGATATGTTAAGAAAAACTGGGCACTGGGTATATGAGAACTCTGTATTCTCTTCTTAATTTTCCTGTAAATCTAAACATGTTCTAAAATTTAAATGTTTATCTTAAAAGTACTCTGTATCTTAGAAAACAACTAAATAAATTGTTTTACTAATAATAGTTTCAAAAGATGAAGTTAGCACATACTAACAGCTACCCATGCTGAGAAATACTAACTTTGGGAAACAACAACAAATACACAAACACACAATTTCACCTTCTAAATTAAGTACTGTACATATTACCTAAAGAAAATCATTATATTTCAGTTTTCCACCAAACATCTACAGTACTTTTCATTAAATGGGCAAATAAGCATATACATATAAGATTCAACTGACAATTTTTACCCATTTCAGAGACTCTATAGAATTTTATGTCAATAATATATGTATTTCAGGTTTATGGAGACAGTTACATTAAAAGCATGTCTCAAAGATGAGAGCTGTAAAAATCTGCATCATACACAATTAAAGTGTTTCTCTTCCACATGGAGTGAAATTCTCTCTGCAAGTATTTAGCTGCTTTTGACACTACTGTTAAAAAGTCAAGAAAATTAATACACATCAAAAGGAATAAAACAAGACCAAATATTCTAGCAGTTGGAATTTAAAACCCTACAGAGGACTTGAGTCAGTCCTTATCTTGACCCATGTCTTGCTCTAAGCTCAATTAAGACATAAAGACAAAATGAAAAGACTTCGATGCAGATTTATTGTGTCGTATTAGCTGTGGCTACATGTTACTATTTGATTTTGAGAAAATATATCCTTTAGTTCCTGGGTTGTCTCTAAACAACTAAAAAGAAATACTCATCAGAATTCTTGATTTGTCACCTTAGACAATCGACTCCCCAAATTTATCCAAACTTTCAGACAATACTTCAATAATTACTATATTAACTCAGAATCTGAACAATTTGAACAACTTTACTGGAATACTATGAAATATGGTATTATAAAATAAACAATAGAAATGGAAATAGGATTGGGTGTACTGGGGTGGAGTGGAGGAATAAGGAGGATAAGGATAAACAAAACAACAGAGAAATATTTTTTAAATGGAAAGTTGGAGAGATTTGCACTAATATCAAAGAAGCAAAGAGCAATAATAAATAAATACCTCAAGATATAAACAGGTCACCTGTAGGGAATCTAGCACTGCAGTCAAGGTAATAGATCCTTGCAAAGATACAATAATATTTGATTACTATCTGGGCATATAGATATTTGACTAAGAAATTTAGATCATTTCTTTCCATTAACTATAAAACTTTCAATGGGCTGTTGAATATTCCAACATAGCAATACATATATTCATTTTTAAGAACTGGTAAGAGAAAGAACAAAATTATTGCCACAAATGAAAGAAAAATTTGAGGTGGAGAAGGTGATTTTAATAATTTGCGAATTTGGATGATAACTCTTTATGATGAAGATGCATTGTCTTGCTTATAGAGAGTTTCATACCCTTCTAAAATAAGCATTCAGAATATAAAAAATACTTTCCAATCAACTCCAATCCTTTGAAAACTTTTGATGCATATAAAATAATTTGTGAATATAAGTAATATAATTTCTGCCAATGCACTCAAAATACACTGACATGTTTTACTTGTTTGTATCTGATGACGTCCGCAAAGATGACTGGGTAAATTCTTCTGACCTCCAGCCTCTGGGAAGTTTTCAAGGGGAGAAGAATATGTTCCTCCTTATTCTCCTGTTTAACATCCAACTTATCCCGCAAATCACTAGGAGAGCTCCCAATTATACTTTGGGGAACATTCAGTTCACTTCTCCTGAATGCAAGCCTATACAGTAGTTAAATGAAGGAAATGCTCTCTCTCTTCACATATGGGAAAACTGAGACCTGAAAAAAGAAAAGTGATTTGTCTAGAGGCTCAGGTAATGTCAGAGACAGAAGCCAATCACAACATTCTTTCTCATCTCAGTCACTGTCATGAAGGCCTAGTGCCAAAAAGCTACTTTTCAGAGTTCTGAATCTATTCAGCAACCTGTTATTAAACCATCATTAGTAATAAATATCCTTAGTTTTTAATATCCAGTTGTGTTTATTGGGATGGTTCTCCATCCATCTTGATTCAGAATGCTTTTAGTGCTGCTTCCTCCTGCAGGAAAATCTGTATGTCCTGCTTTTTCGCCTATAGGCTGGCAGAGGACAGTGCAGCAGCCAACACACACAACCACCATTGGTGCATGGCTAAAGATCATGGTGATTTTACAGTATCTTGAACATTTCACAACCACAAAGTAGGAACTGGAGCTCTGCACCAGGCACTTCTTGTGTTCCCTCTCCTCCTTTTTTGAAGAAGGATGAAGAATTTCCTTTACAAGAGGCATATTCTCATAGGGAGATCACACTCCCAGAAAGGCGAAATATCCTTAATTTTTAAAAATCTTAATTACTCAAGACATGTGTGAAACACCAATGTCCCCAGCGGGAAAAGGGTGGTGGTTTTTAAAACTACAGGTAAACAACATATATAGATATACGATATCTAGAGAGCAAAGCCAAAAATAGTGGTACTTTCATTAAAGTGACCAGTTGCCTCTTGAGTAGTATCATGAATCCTTACAACCCTAAGAAAAGTAGATGTATTCTTTTCATCATCCAATATTTGTTGAGCACTAGGCATAATCTGTAGAAAAGAAAAAAAAGGAAAACTAGGAAGAGAATTCTCTAGCTACATCTGTCTACTTTTTATTTAACAAATGTTCACAAAGCATTCACTATGTGTCTGGTACTGTTTTAAGGACTTACAAATATTTACAAAAATTTAAACACCGTAAGATCCGTTGAGATAGGTTCTACAATTATCCCATTCTCAAATGAAGAAAGCAGGCACAGGGAGGTTACTTGCCCAAGGTCACACCGATAGAAAGTGGCAGAACAAGGATTCAATTCCAGGGAATCTGCCTCCAGAATTCATGCACAGAATTGCAGCTCTGTGCTACCTTTGTTGAGTAGTTTAATTACTATTAAAGCAACTACTCTCTTCAAAGTTTTGGAGAGCTTTGCTGGGTGATTGTGGCTATAGGTAAAATGTTTGGAGGAAGCACTTACTAAGGTCCCATCAAACTCTTAGCTATGTGCTGTGAGCAGTAATTTCACAATAGAATAAAGATTTTATTAATTTTAAGACAGTAGATCAGTATAATCTGGAGATTGACTAATACCAGTTTAGTCAAATACCTGACAGTCTCTGATTGTTAAATTCTTCCCTTGTTCTCTCTGCTCTTTCTCTGATACATTTGAAAATTCACCTTTAATAGTCCATCAATATATTTATTGAATAACTACTATGGGCAAAGCACAAAGCTACGTACTATGGGAGATTTTTACCAGACAGAGAGCTTTTTCTCCCCTGGATGCTTATAATCTAGTTAAGATGATAACAGATTTCCCTGAATAAGCAATTAACAAAGCAGTAAATAATAAATGTTGAAAGAGTGTTACAGACAATATGTACTCTGAGGAAGTTAAGAGGCGAGCTTCTTTCTGCTTCAGTAAGTCCTTATACATACCCGTATCAGAGCAATTATCAAGTATAATTATTCACTTGCTGAAGCTAATTTACCAGCTTGTCTCTTCTACTGGAGTGTAAGCCTCTTGAGGACAAGAATGCAGTTTTATTCATCATTGTTTCCTTGATGTTTAGCACAGTGTTTGGTGTTCAATAGATACTTAATATATACTTGATGAATGAATGAATGCATGAATAAATAAACAAATGTTTCCTAGAGGCAGGCATTTCTTTTGTGGCCAGTACAGTAGAATGGTAAATCCCTGGAGTCAGGCTGTGTTGGTTTGAACCTAAGCACTACTTTTGAAAAGTTGTGTGATTCTGAAAAATTTACGTGATTTCTCTGCATTTCATTTTGCTCATTGGTAAAATGATAATAATTGTACCTTTCTTCAGCAGCTAATTTGGCTATGGAACAAATCACCCCAAAAGCTAATGACTTGAAACAGCAGCCATTGATGTAGCTCAGGGTTCTGTGGATCTGTCATTTGGAGCATGTTGGTTCTCCTGTCTCAGCTGGGCTCATTCATGCATCTGAGTTCAGCTATTGGGCAATCTGGGGAATGTTTTGTCCATGTGATGTGTCATCTTCTACCAGGCTAGCCTGGGCTTCATCACATGGTATCTGGCAGGGCTCTAAGAGGGAGAGTTGAAACACACAAGGCCTCTTGAAGCTTAGACTCAGAATTGGCACAAGGTCGCTTCTGGCACATTCCATTGGTCAAAGCAAGTTACAAGGCCAGCTCACATTCAAGGATTAGGTAAGTCGATTCCACTCTTGATGAGAAGAGCAGCAAAGCCATATTATAATGTAGTGTGTATACCAGGAAGGGTGGAGACATGGAGGTATTTTTGCAATCTGCCATAGTCTTCCATAGGATTAGCAAGAGGATTAAGAAAATAAAACATCTGAAGGATTTGGAACAGTGTCCACCATGCAGTAATAAACTCAATAAGTAGTAGCCATTATTATTCTGTTAGAGGTTGCCAGGAAAAGTTTTATAGTGGAAAGAAATCTGAGTTTACTCTTGAGAGGTAAGTGGAATTTCTATTTGTAGAGAATGAAGGCCTCTCAAAAAGACACAGCCTAACAATAGGTGCTGCAGTTTAACAGTGGAGCGTGTCCAGAACAGGCTGCCCAGAGGAGCTAGAGCTAAATACTGGGAACCCGGAATGTGAGCCACAGAGTTGGGCTTGACAGCAGAGCAATAGCAAACCATTGGCTTTTGCCTAAATGTTAGCCAATAGCACCATTTCTTATTGTTATTTCAGATTTTGTGTTCTTTAATAAGCTTCTCAGTGCTGATGGTTCTGTGATATCTTTGACCCATCTACTCAAGATTTAAAAAAAAAAAAAAAACTAGAAATCTTGAGTTGTGCCTGGGTTTTGCCACTCCCTAACTTTGAAGGAGCTATGTGATCCCTCTTTACTCAATTTTATTCCATGTGTAAAATGGAATAATTTCTTCCCTTATACATCCATTCCACAATGACAGTAATCTTAAAGGTCAGATCACATTGAAATAGTGTTTACTATCCAAAAGACACAGGGGAGACCAGGCTCTGATGTTTATGCAATTTGGTGATAACTCATAAATCCTAAGCAGAAAAGTCAAGAATAAGGAAAATAAAGATTCAGTGTGGCTGCCCCTATATGTTAAGCAGCAAAACATTTCTAGAACTGCTCTAAAGATAATCTTCAGTTCCTCCAGTCCAGTGAGATGATCCTGAGCAACTGGAACCACTGATAGGCCTGGATCTCTGCCACCTTGAAGGCTGACCAGACCACTAGAAACTAATGGCAGCTCTAGTAGACTGCTCAGTGGCCATAGTTTCAGAATCTTTCCATTGTACATGGTTTAAATGCAAATTCACTAATGAATAATTTTGATAATTCTATCGAAGTATGAAGATGGCTTGCATTAGATGACTACACAATCATATTTAATTTTTTTTTAAAAAAGACAATTCTGGCTCCTCTTATGCCACGTGAAATCCATCCTGCTGAGTGCTCCTGACTAGTCACGTCCTTCCTGCCATTTTAAAAACAATAGTGGCAGAGATGCAAGCTGCTGATAGCGCTCAGCAGGACAGATCAAACACACAGATGCAATTTCTGTATGTTGAACACTGAAGTAGGATAAAATTCAAATACTTAAAATCGCTTAGTAGCTAGCATCTGATTGCTGCAAATTGAATCTTTCATAACGAGATTTATTGTAAATAGTGTCGTCTCATTTGTGAGTTCTGCAATAATTTCAGTCAAAGCCAGTATAAGATACTGGAGGTGTGAGATTTACATGACATATATGCTAGTTTATGCACAGATTATGAAGGGACCCTTTATCAATATTCTTTTTTAATTGCTTATACAATAACCAGAATTGTATTTTTTTCTGAAATTTAAACATTATCAGATAACTTTAGAATGCAGAAGAAAATGTTTTTATCCACTTCAACAGCCATTTTAGAATTGCCAGCTCCCAATCCCACTCTCTTCCCTTTCCACCCTAGTTGTTAAATAAGCATTAAAATTATAGGTAGCTAAAATTTTTGAAATGTGGCTTTTATATTGTTTGGAAGCAATAAAGAGCCTGGTAATCATAATTAGTGGTCAATATATCCTATCCATAAAAAAATAGAAATTTGAAACTAAGTTATTTTGAGGCCTACAAACATACTTTAATTCTTTCAAGATAAAACAGGAAGGTGGCCATAATTTAAGTGATCAATACTATTATTGCCTTTGGGCTTAGTTCCAAATACTTCATGAGAAGTTCATAAAAGATCAACATCAAAATCATAATATAAAAATTGCACTTTACATGTATGAGAGTTTTGTGACACTCCACATACTTGATAGCTTTAATTGCTAGTGACACAGAACTCCAAAAATGTTCTATCTTAGAGTCACATGATCTTCCTGTTCAACACCCAAATAAGGGAAATTTAAACAAAAATCAAAACAATAATAGGGCCAGGAGAATTGTATAATCTGTTGTCTTTCTCTCCTCTGCCCTAAACAACAACAACAGCAAAATTCTTTTCTATGATTTAATCATGTATTGGGGCATTTCCACTATAAACATAAATATGAGAATGCAGCATCTCAACAGGATCTGAATAAAGAAGTCTTACTCTCAGATAATCTAGAACCTTGACAAAAAAAGTGGGGGGGCTTTGTGAGGGTTAAATGCTTCAGTTTGATCCTTCTTAATTCATTTAAGTGTGACTATCCCATGTGCACGTTAATGTTATCATTGTAAATGGGGAATCCCTATTTCTGAACCTCAGAATTTTTAATTTTCCTCCCTTTCCTAAGCAGGTGTCTTTCCATCTCTCACAAATCAAAGAGGATGATGGGGGGTCTGAATAGATGTCTTGCAATGGTGCCCTGATACGTATTTTAATAAGTTTACTAATCAGAGCACATATAAATTAGAATGAATCATAGTCATATAGTTAATAGCAAACAAAGCTCAATTTAGTTCATGTCCAGCTTTCTTCGTGTTCATTTTACTCAAGGGCATACCTTCCTTTTTCTGCTTCTTTTTTTTCTTTCTTTCTTGGACACCTCCAACCCCCATTGACAACCGAAATGCAGGGCTATAAACATAAGGGTGCAATACATCATGAGATAAGTCTGGAGAACATGTCCTCTACCAAAATGCACATGAATCTCTGGTACAGCTAAAATTCCAGAAACATGCTGGGGTTCCTTTTGCATGCTAAGCAGGGTCAAAAATGTGAGCACTATGTGGTTGCCCTTATATATCAGATGAGCTCTAAAGTTGAAAGGTTACATTTGTGAAATTGCGGCTGGGTTTCCTAGCACTTGATTCTAGCTCCTGCAAATCAAAGACTCCTAATTGAAATACAAATCCAACAATATGATAATCTTTCAGTAAAAAAAAAAAAAAAAAAAAAACGTGACTTCTGCACCCTTATCTGTTGAAGAGCTGACAGAGAAGTTCAGAGGCAGTTGTTTAACCAGACAAAATGATAGAGAAAATATGTTTTCAAATAAGATCATAAACCTTGAACAGTGCCTTGTGGGAAGCAAATGTAAAGCAAAGGGCTGTCCTCTATTCTGTCTACCAGCTCTACTCCCCCACCCCGGTGTGTATCCTCAGCCACTCACCTTTTAGGCAAGGGCTAGTGTCTTTCAGGACAGACCCAAACCCCAAATACCAAAACAGAATAAAGTAGTGTCTTAGCATACTTTGAGATCAGACTGTTTCTGCATTTCACAGTGCTGGGGGTGGGGGGGAGGTGTGGGGGGAAGGGAAAAGCAGCATACCAATGTAGTGAAATCTGGAAACAACAGCATATATACAGACACAAAAAAAGTTTGCATATTGCACAGAGCACTTGAAGATCATAAATCTATGCATGAGAAAGATGTAGTGGAAATTTTGGGGGGGATTAGAGTTTATTTTTGTCATCTCTGTGAGACAGCTACTCATTCATCCAGATCACAGCTAAGAAAAAAGCTGGTCACAGAAATTAGCAGTTTCAGCTCAGCAGCGAAGTCGCCAGCCTGTGAAGGCAGAGAGAAATTGACTAATTAGCAATGCGCACTAAAACTTGACGGTTCTTTATAGAGAGAGAGAAGAGAGAGGGAGAGAGAGGGAGAGGGAGGGAGGGGGGGCTCGCTTTTTCCCCTTCTTTCTTCCAAAGATGTTTGAAATCGCAGTCATTTACGCTCGACAATTTTTACAATAGCCTTGAGCCATAATTTTGCGAGTCTCTCCAGCATCCATCCCCCTGTATGGTCTCTCTCTACTGGCCAAGCACGACCGTTTCTCTCCCCAACCGTGGATTTCCTATTACTCTCGTTACGACTCACTGAGCCCCAGGCCCAAGGATAATGATGTGTTGTTTCTTGGTAGCATAATTTGTCACACGTACATTTTTTCTTCTTCTTCTCTTGCAGAAAGCTCTGCTCCCTCTCTCTCTCCCTCTCTCTTTCTCTCTTTTCTCCCTCTCCTACATTTTCTTGCTGTTGCTAATTCATGGTGATCAAATGATGTACGACAAAATAAATTGTAAAGAGTGACTGCCTGGAGTTGGGAACCAGAAGGTGTTTTCCCCCTCCCAAGGAGACAGCAAACCTTTAAAAAGGAAGGACAATTGATTTTTGGGGGGAGCTTAAGTGAGCCTTGACTTTGCAGCTGGTTGAGAACAGGTAAGTTTCTGGCCTTGTGTCTGCCTTGTGTGTATTTTGTTCTGTCTTTTGGATTGTTGGAGGGGGAAGGGCCGGGGAGGGAGTCTTTCAGAGGGGTTGGCGGGGGGGTAGTTGTATGGCAAACGCTCATAAAGAAAAAACTCCTATTGCAAGAAATAAGCAGATGAGGAGGAAAGGCAAGGGAGAAGAACAAGAAGGAAGGGGAATAGGAAAAGATGGGGCGGGGGGAGACAACGAAGCGGAGAGAGCTAGAGAGAGGTATGACCGGGTCCTCTTAAAGGGAGAGAGACTCTGTAAGATGTTTCAGGCAAGCCAGAGCTTTGGGGGCGGGCGTGGGGGTGCTGCCGGCGGAGGGAGCGCGAGGGAGGGTAGGGTCCACCTGGAACGGGATGGTAAAGTGAGTCGAAAGGAGCCCAGTCCGGTATAAATAGGAAGCCGGCGATCCAGGACCGGCGCCAGGCAGGGCAGAGTGAGCCGCAGTGGAAGGGGCAGGTCCGCCGGGATCCCTCCGAGCCGGGCGGCGGCGGCGGCTCTCCCCCGGGCGGGCGGGCCGGCGGGCCGGCGGGCCGGCGCGCGGGCGGGATGCAAGCAGAGGGTCCCTTTCTGCTCAGCCCTGGAAGGTGCAATTACAGGTTAAGGACCTGGCGTATCGATTTCGCCTCGCCTCCCCCACCCTGCCCTCCTCTGCCTAGATGCGGGCGGCTCAGACTTTTTACAGAAGTAGTTCCAGGGCCGGGGAAGTGGGGGTGCCCGAGTGGGGGGCCGCTGGGGGCTCTACCGAGGGGGTCAGAAGGGAGCTGCGGCTGCAGGCGACGATGCTGGGTGGGGCGCAGAGACCCCGCACCCCACTGCTCCCCCGCCCCCCCGCTCGTTCGACAGCCCCCACCCCTCCCCCAACACCTGCCTTCTAACTTGAACTTCTCATAGTTACTGGAGTTAAAGCGACTGCGCCTGGTGCCCGGGAGGGGAAACCGTGCACACGAATCCCTCCCGGCCTCCAGGCCTCCCGGCTCCCTCTCCAAACGCGTCCTCGCAGCCCCACTTCCTCCCCCTGAGTCCTCGGTGCCGCCCCTCGCTGGAAGGGGAGATTGATGCCTGAACTTCCGCGCTTTGAAATGAGCGAGACGGGGGAGAGGGGGCCACCGGGTGGGGGTGGCGGTGGTGGAAGGATTCTCCTGCCAGGTTTAAAGCCATCTCTGGAAAATTAGCCAAACTGAGTGGTGACGGGGAAGCCAACAGTTTGCGAAGCGGGGAAGCGGGCAGGGCCAGGTTGAGGGAAATGAGCTCGAATTGATAAGGACAGCTCCCGCCTCTGCCGATTCCACTGAGCGGGTCCTCACCGCGCTCCGCTGCACTTTCCCGGGAGAAGAAAGGGCTTTATCTCCTCCCTCAGACTATTAGCCTAGGAGTTTCTCGGGGCAGCATGGATAATCGAAGGGGGTCCCAGCTTTTGGAGAGCTAAGATTCGCACACCCCGCACGCTGGTCGGGCCCCTGTTCCTACCCCCTCCCCCAAACTGGGCCAACTGCGAAAAGCAAAGCTTCGGGCACAAGTTGACCTGGAACCTTCGCCGTCGGTCGCCTCTGAGCTTTCAGGGCACCCCCGGCTCCCCACTTCCCGGCCTTTCCCTTCATCTGGCCCGGCATGGACACGAGCCCACGAGGTGCCTCGGCCTCAGCCGCCACTTTGCCGTCGCTGCTGCCACTGCTGTTGCTGCCAACAGCCGAGCTGAGGTGGTTGGTTTTAGGAAAGTGAGGGACGAAGTGTGTGGGAGGTGGCGAGAGGAGCCGCAGGGCGCAGAACCGGCGCCGGGACCCCAGACAGGGCCCTTCTGGTGGCGCTCACGGATCCAGCGTCTTCGGACTTTCCTCCTAGGGTCGGGGTCCGGAGCGCGCCAGGAGGGAGTCAAGCTGAGCCTTGATTCTTGTTCTTCGCCCTCCCCTCCCCTCCACACCCTTCCCCACCCCGACCACACCCCACCCGCTCCACCACCCTGCTCCCCTCCCTCCCATCCCCCACCCCTGTCTGCCAGGTTGGAGGAGGGTTTAAAGCCAGGTGCACCGAGTCAGCTCGCCATGTCCAGATCCGGGGACAGGACCTCCACCTTCGACCCCAGCCACAGCGACAACCTGCTGCACGGCCTCAACCTGCTGTGGAGGAAGCAGCTGTTTTGCGACGTGACCCTGACGGCCCAGGGCCAGCAGTTCCATTGCCACAAGGCCGTGCTGGCCTCCTGCTCGCAGTACTTCCGATCGCTCTTCTCCAGCCACCCCCCTCTCGGGGGAGGGGTCGGCGGCCAGGACGGCCTGGGGGCCCCCAAGGACCAGCAGCAGCCGCCGCAGCAGCAGCCGTCACAGCAGCAGCAGCCGCCGCCGCAGGAGGAGCCCGGGACTCCTTCTTCCTCCCCCGACGACAAGCTGCTGACCAGCCCCCGGGCCATCAACAACCTGGTGCTGCAGGGCTGCTCGTCCATCGGGCTGCGCCTGGTGCTCGAGTACCTCTACACGGCCAACGTGACCCTGTCCCTGGACACGGTGGAGGAGGTGCTGTCGGTCAGCAAGATCCTGCACATCCCCCAGGTCACCAAGCTCTGCGTGCAGTTCCTCAACGACCAGATCTCGGTGCAGAACTACAAGCAGGTGTGCAAGATCGCCGCGCTGCACGGCCTGGAGGAGACCAAGAAGCTGGCCAACAAGTACCTGGTGGAGGATGTGCTGCTGCTCAACTTCGAGGAGATGCGCGCCCTGCTGGACTCGCTGCCGCCCCCCGTGGAGTCGGAGCTGGCGCTCTTCCAGATGTCCGTGCTGTGGCTGGAGCACGACCGCGAGACCCGCATGCAGTATGCGCCTGACCTCATGAAGCGCCTCCGCTTCGCCCTCATCCCGGCCCCGGAGCTGGTGGAGCGGGTCCAGTCAGTGGATTTCATGCGAACCGACCCGGTCTGCCAGAAGCTGCTGCTGGACGCCATGAACTACCACCTGATGCCCTTCAGGCAGCACTGCAGGCAGAGCCTGGCCAGCAGGTAGGAGACAACAAAGAGGAGGGCGGGGGAGGGGGGGGTAGAGCCAGAGAGGCCGGAGGGAGGGGAGGGGGCAGGGAGGAGGGAAGAGATGGGTGGCCTGGGCGGGTGGCTCTGGCAGGATGAAAACAAACGCAAACAATTCAGAGTGTGTGAGGAAAGTTGATTTCAGAGTCCCTGAAAGGTCAATAGGGAACTGGCCTAGCAGCATCCCTGAGCGCTCCAAAGCCGAGGTTCTAGATATCCCCAGAGCCGTAAACATGGGAATTGTGGACTCAGACTGAAATTGACAGGCAGATGGGGCCAAAGGCCAGGACAGTTAGAAGTGTAGCTTTGGAAGTCTCTCTAAGCCAGCTCTCCCTACAAATCTTAAGATGGGCTTGCTCAAGAAAAAGGATCCTGTGGTGAGGAATGCCCACCCCACCCCTCCTCAGTTCTGCCTTGGGTGAGCAGAAGAGCCCAGGCGATGCTTGCAAAGGAAGGCTTTCATGGTCTTGCCGTCACACACTCAAGTTGTTTCTTCATGACTGGGATCTGCTCCCTGTCGATGTCAGAACTCCAAAATGCTTTGTCTATTAGGGTCACTATTGGAAATGCTGGTATCATGTGCCCAGGCAAACTTTTCTATGTTGTGGAAAGCCTTTCCTTTTCACTTTTAAAGGAGAGTAAAGCAAGAGATTTCAGGGTGATGGGGTGAATCTTGCCTAGCAACTCCCATTTCTGAGAAGAGTGCACTTGAAAATTGGGATGGAGGAGTGGAGAGGCTTCTAGCTCCAGTTGGTCTGTGTGCCTGCTCACCAGTGACAAAGAAGTTGGAGAGTTGCTGCTGCCTCTGTTGTTGCTAGTTAGAAATGTGGCTGTGTGTGTTGCAAGTAGGATTTCAGGGGAGAGAGAAATGATGCCTTTTAAAAATGCTGCTGAGATAAAAAGGCTGTAGGAATTGACAATCGTGTTTTATTGGCTCCAATTTTAAAACCATTTTTAATGAGCCCTAGCAAAGGGTTTCTTTCTCTTTTTAGAAAAGAGAAACAGTATCCTCTCAGTTTCTCATGATAAAACATCATGATTCCAGATGCCAGGCTACTCCAGCCTAACCACCAAAGTGTTACAAAGTGTAGCAAAGTACATGGTTTGAAAATCTAGCAGGGCATTTTCCCAGTCAGAATGATGTCTAAAGAATGGGGCCCACCTTGTGCAGCCTTATAGAATTAAATGGTGTGTGTGTGTGTGTGTGTGTGTGTGTGTGTGTGTGTGTGTCATTATGTTTCCACCAGACCTAGGTAACTAAAGTTTAAAGAAATGGAAGATACTCTCTACACTTTTTTAGGCAGCTCTTGTGTTAAGGAGAGGCCAACAGGAGGCATGAGAAATCTTGAACTTGTAACAAAACCCTGTAAGTTCATTTTTCTAACATCTGTGGGAGATGAGTTAACGAATCGTGTTGTCAAAAGATGATAATAGGACAATAGAAGAAACAAGAATCCAAATCCCCGTGTGCTTTTAACAGTGAGCACAAGAGGCCAATGAGGAAAAAAACATGAAACGTATTTTTATTTTATTGGAATTTTTCGTTTGTCTAAAGATCCAAATGGCAAACTCAGTGTGATGGGCGATGGGCCTTGGTGATTAATATTCTGTGATTTAAATTTTTGTCACTTTTAAATGACCTACAAGTATACTTCATTTAGCATATATCACACATAGTCAATAATTCAGACAACACAGTTATAGTTCTGAACATACATTTACTCATACTTTTAAAAATATGTATAACACGGTATAAATTCAGAAACCCAGAGGAATAATAAAATTAAGATTTAACTTATTCTAAGAGTAATTTTGGCAGAGGAGCTTTATAAATTTGATCCAGTAAATTTCTGAAGCCCTCAATGCACTTTTATCTAACAGGTATGTCCTAAGGTTCAATGTTAGAAGAGTTGACTTTCAAAATGCAAAATCCATTTCCCACTTTAGTCAAGATTCAGCACACCAGCTAGTGCCTGCTGGCTCTGTCCTGGTGGATGGCTGAGATACCAGGCTGCCTGGCTCCGTGACGACACCCTCCAGCTTCACTGGGCCACATCATTTGAAGGATATGTAGTGGTGTCTGACCACTGAATGCTTACAAGTGTCATGGATGCTGCAAGAATCTGATACTTCTGCAGTAGGAAGAAAACTGTATTTTCTTTTAAAAGAGAAAGATATAGAAAAGCAAATAGTTCATGCGAACCTATCATTGACCTCAAAGTAATATAATTTAGGTTTTATTCCTTTATTAGTAAAGGTAGCATTTTGAATTTTACAGACTAATTACATTATTTTAATTGTAATTCATAGGAAGAATGCCAAAATAACCATGAAGTTCCTAACTTTAAAGTAGACAGAAATGCTGTAAGTTGCAACCAACAATATTAAATCAGCCCATTTATTATAGCATCAGTGTAATATAAAAATGTTCCCTTAGCCTTATGTGTCATTTAACGGGGATAAATGTGTTAACCAATTGTTTTTGAGATTACATCACTTTCATTGAAGACAATTGAATAGAAGGACCTTGTATTTATTACTTTTTATCCACCTGTAGTTTTTAAACTCTAAATATAAAAGAGTTTCTTAAATTCAGAGAAGGAGATGAAAATGTAAAATTGACCAGTCTTTTGGAATAAGTACAAAGTATAAGCAAATAGAATAACTTCAAAAGAGAATTTACTTGTTTAAGAGTATATTATCTATAGAAAGTAGAGATATTAATATAATCATAATTTAAGCATTTTAAAGATTATTAATTTTGAGTTTTCATTAAGCCTAGAAAAGTAAAGGAACCCAAGTATGAAATCTTTATACAAATACTCAAATTAATATAAAATGTTCCCTCTTGTTGCTTGGTTTTTCTAAGTATACCAGTTGCACTTAAATTCATATTCCATTTTACCAAACTTAACATAAGGACAATAAGTAAAATAAGAAACTTGTCACTCTGTATTCAAATACACACATAAGTAATTTAAGATGACAGGATTGACAAAGGATATAAAGTTTCAGTTAGACGGGAAGAATAAGTTTTAGTGATCTATTGCACCAGCAACGTGACCACAGTTAGTAAAAAAGTATTACATATTTCAAAATTGCCAAAATAGTAGATTTGAAACATTCTCAACACAAAGAAATGATAAAGAGGTGAGGTGATGGATAGATTAAATCAGCTTGATTTAATCTTTCTACAAGTCAATATTAACATCATCTAAAGCATGAAAATTTAGTTTCATAAAGCGACATGATATGCAGTGTTTAGTATATTAAATGTAAATAACAGAAGACATAGTCTAAATTTAGCTTAAGTAACCCAAATAGTTTCTTTTTATTTACAGTTTGAAATTTTAATGTATAATTTAGCAATTATCCCAAATAAATCAAATTGGATTAGATATTAATTAACTGGATAAAATTAACTAATGTTTTACATTTTCATTGCACCTCACACAATATAACGAATAAATGCTTATTAAAAGTTGAATGAATTAAGATTATGAAAAAAGAAAGGCTCAATGTTGTACTTCATCAATACATTAATCTACATTACTATTGCACATAACAAAAGTTTACTGAACCTTCTCCAAGAAAACACCTGTAATAGAAATACATTCATGAAAGTAATCATATTTTTTAAACATTTAACAACTAGCTATTACGTCCCATGTAGGGTTCCATATCGAAGTGTAGTTTTAAAGAAATTATATTTTATAAACAACAGGAGACTACCTAAGATTTCATTTACTACAAAACATAGTCTATTTATAGATTTCTCATAAATTAATGTAAAAATCTATTTAAACATCAAGGGTACTAATTATCTATCTGCTAAAATGACTTGCAATAATTAAAATGCCATTACATTTCCTAATATACAGTTTTGATTCCTGGTTTTGGTGCTTAGAAAGTGTTTCATTAAATGTAGGACAATATTTTCTGTTGGTTCTCTTTCTAAGAACTGAGTAATAACCTTAACAAAGCAAACTAAACTTGTATCCATGCATTCTCTAAATTGTTACTTCCCTTTATATCAATTTGATACCCTCAGATTAAAAATTGTTAGGTAGTTAAATTTTGTATCAGAAATTATTCAACCATTCAGAATACAATTTGTTTATTATCTGAAACAGGACCATTGATTACAAAATTACATCAACCGATATGGGAGTCAAATAGTTACATCCTACAATCAGAAGGCAATTAAAAAGGATACTAATGCCTTGTATTGAAATAGAGGACTTACTGTTAAAAGTGGACATTTTCCAGTTTTAATTCATGCTTGTATTTTTACCATTTTTATGAACATGAGGTTCACTCATTACCTTAGCTAATTCTAAGCATCCCAATTTTCTTAACTTAAAAAACAGTAAAAAATGTGTTACCTTATTTACAACTGCTACTGCGTAACAGGTGATGTTGACGCACTTCACATACATTACTTAATTGAATTCTCATAACAGCCCAAGGTATGGGTACTATCATTAGCCTCATATAGATAAAAAACTGATGCACAGAGCAGTTAAGCATTGCTCCATGATTGCACAGCTGAACCCAGGCAGTGTGGCAAGTCTGTGTTGTCATTCACAGTGTGCTGTTTTTTACTATCACTCCCCAAATGCTAGCCAGGCTGAAATCTACTAATTGACTGAAGAGTTATATGTAGACTTAAGACTTTTCTTTTAAAAAGAAACTTGTGAGGGTTAAATAGTAATGTATCTGACTTAAAAAAAAAATTAGGAGAGTTGTTTTTCCAGGCCAGGGGTCAGCAATTTTTTTCTATAAAAAGCAACACAGTGTTTATTTTTGGCTTTGGGGTCACAAGGTCTCTGTTGCAACTACACTACTCTTCACCTGTAGTGCAAAAACGCAACTGACAGTACATAAATGAATGGGCATTGCTGTGTTACAGTAAAACTGCATTTGTGGGCACTGAAATTTCCTGTAATTTTCACATCATGAAATATTATTCTTTTAATTTTTTCAACCACTTACAAACATAAAAGACACTCTTAGTTTTCAGGCTATACAAAAATATAAAAATAGAACATGGACTGGATTTATACTGTGAGCCACGGTTTGCCAACCCATGTACTAGGCTAGGCACTTGGGATATATCAGTGAAGAAAATGGACAAAAACAATTTGCCCTTATTCTAGTGGAAAAAATCCCCATTAGTCTTCATCCTTCCATTTGGAAAGAACTCAAGTCTAAATAATTCTACCGTGCTAAGTTAGAAGTTAATTTATCCAGAATATGACTTAAGGATTTGAATAGTGATCCTCGGAAGCTAAATAGTGATTAATTAAAACAATGGATGAGTTTCTCATTTTTTCAAGCATACTGGATATAAAACCTCCTAATGTAGAATGGTCATCATTATTCAGAAGAGGCTTAAATATTGTTTATATGATATTTTAATCATTTCGAGTAGGAAATCAAAATAGGCGAGTATATTTAACACACTATTTTTCTGAGGTTAACGGGCACATATTCAGCAAACTAATCTAGGCAAACTAATCTAAACTAAATGAACATGTGAACAATTATTTTTCTAAGTGTCAATCTGTATCTCCAGCTGCTTTGATCAAAGGGCATGTCAGGATTCCTGACTTATGAGTGGATCAACTGGATTGAGTATAGATCCTGCCTGCCTTCTGCAAAGTGAACAACCTCTGGAGAAATACTTACCCCATTGTAGGTTTGTCTTATGTGTCTGTCTCAGACCCCAATAGACGGTGACTTCTCTGAATATGTGTAACCAAAGCACTTAACTCAGTGCCTGACCTTGATCCAAAAATGTGAGTTCGTTGTAAATTGCTATTGGTCTTAAATATAATTGAGATAGACACTTAAGGTTGGTGCAGTATAGTGTGAATCAAAAAAGCTAATGTGCAATAAAAATATAGGTAATTTTAAAGATGATTACACACACGCAAACATACACACAACCTGTTGTTGGCCAATAATAATAGTAGCTATCACTGTCTGAGCAACTACCACAAGCTTGACTTATCACTTACAGTGTTTCTAATCTTTACAGCACCCTTTAAGCCTTTTTAAAGATGAGAAAACTGGGACTCAGAGAAGATAAGTAATTTACCCAATTATCTGAATAGTGTTGAGTCAGAGGTCCTTATCACCAGGGAAATAACCCTGCCATTATGAGTATATATTGGAGATGTGGCATTTACAAAAGACAAACTCTTATCTACACCTTCCACTTCTGTTTTATCACACCACAAAAGTCATTAAAAGTTCCTGCCATCTAACTCTTCTTCAGGCCACTCAACCAATGAAGAACGAGGGGAAGACATTAGAAAGCCAGAATTCTATCCTTCTGGTCTACAGCACTTAATTATTAGTTCTGAATTAAGGGGCTAAATAATAAGTTGCTGAGATTTGGCACTATAATATTGACTTACTAAAAATAGAATGAGCCAATGCACTTTAAATAAAGAAAAGAAAGAAAAATAAGAAATTTCTGTTTAACTATGAAAAAAAAAAAAAAACCTTGAAGCTTGAATTTGAACCAAAAGTTGGTTTCCCTGGATTTCTGTGCACTGAAGTACTAAAGGGGTGTCAGATTTGTTTTTGTGACAGTAAAACACTATTCATGTTGGGGATACTTTCAGGTGATTAAATAACCAGGTAGAAGTTGGAATTATAAAAATACCTGTATATTTTAATAACAAAATAAGACCTCTCTAACTGAAAATTTATTCTGTTTATATTTTGTTTCAAGAAAATCAATTTAACAATTGTTAGATCATAAATGTTTGTCTTCTCTCATTCACTTAGAATTCAGAAAACATGTTCATTTTCCATGTCCTTTCCATTGATTTCCAAGATAATTCACAATACAGGCATTACTAATGATGATTTCTTTAAATTAAAACAAAAAAACACTATTTTGATATGGGTAGGAGGATCACTTAACCAGAGAAAGGCTATCTGTTGTAGTACAGATGATACAATGAGTGTGTTCATTTTACTGTAAATAGCAGAGAGGTTTATCTCTTCACAAATAATATTAATGCAAATAGGATTAGAACTATTTGCAACACTAGAAGTAAAGCAGAAAGGTATTATGGAATGCCTACCGTAAAAAGAGAAAATAAATTATAGGGTAATGAGAAAAAGAAGAAAAAACAAGAAGTAAGAAAAATGCAAGGAAATAAGGGGTATCAAACAAGTTATTAAGAATGTGAACTATCTGAAAAAGGAAGAAAAAGAAGATGGGCAAGAAATTTCTAAAGACTGGAAATTAGGTGTTCAACATTTACAAATCAAGATAAGAACAAATCAAGAAACACTTAAATCATGGCATACCCAACCTTATATAATTTAGAGTTATAGACAGAATTTCATTAAAAAGAAAAAAAAAGTCAGTCCTCAAAAGAAAGAAAATATTTTCACAAGAAAAAAATGTCAATCATGGTACCTTACCGCCTATAATACCATTCGGTTCAATAACTATGTATATGTAATCTGAGTTAATAAGATTTTTTGTTGTTTTTTTTTTAAATCCATTGTTGTGCTAGGTAATGCAGTAGTTTCAGAAGTCTCGGAGTTCAAAGGGGACAACCCATTCTGTGAATATAAGGAGATAAACATATAACTGCATTCATTGCAAAATCATCTTAATTCCCATGTAATTTGACCTGGCAAAAGACCTGAGAAGCAAGGAGAACTTCAGGACCTCTGACAGCTTTCTAAATGCAGGCCCATGACTGTGTCACACTGATAGTGGAAACTTGGAGTGATGCATTGCAATTTACTACTAATCAGAAGTTGTGCTATGGAATAACCCCCACATTTGTATTGAACGTATATGGTACATCAAGCTCTGAGCTAAGTTCTGAGATACAGAGTTGAACAAGACAGCCACATTTCTGACTGCATGCAATTTACAGTAAAAAGAGAAAGAGTAAATAGTAACACAAAATAATCACACTGGCAATACATAACCTACAAGAGAAAAGTGGCATGGGCTGGGACACCCTATAACAGACAGCTGTAACCTTATCCGAGTGACTGGAGAAGACTTTCTCTGCAACAAAGGTATAAGATGAGCCTTGAAAGATGAGCCATTCTAAGTAATAGGCCTGGGGAGAAGGCAAAATATGCAATTGGAGAGGCAAAGCTGAGAGAAGACCACCTGCAAAACTCCTGGGCAGAAAAGAGCTTGGCACCTTCCAGGAACTTAAAAAAAAAAAAAAAAAAAGGATGTGTGGCTACATTTGTGGCAAGAGGGGTTGTCCAAATCATACAGGAAGTTGTAGGCCCTGCTAAGGATTATTTACTGCATAGATACATTTTAAAATGGAAAAATCAGCATGTTTTTCAGTTGAACTGAAAAAAGAAGTAATACTATTGTGGAAACACTGCTGCCTTTGAAATCATAAACCTAAATGAGTGGCCTGGCTCCACGTTAGCCGAGTCCTGCAGCAGTAAAATGGGTTAATAATTATAGTTCTAAATACTTAGCAGCATTTGTAGAAAGATCAGCTGAGATTGTAGAAAAACTAAACATAAAATGCTGTTTTAAGTTTGTATATTATTAATTTTAAAAGACATATTTAGCAAAATTTACCTGAATGCACTTTTGCCTATCAAAAAATCACTAGGACATATTCATGATATCACTGATAGCACAGAAATAGTCAGAGACTGTTAACACCAGAGGAATGAAGTTGGAGGGAACCAAAGGTGAAACCAAGGGCATCAGAAGGAAGTGGGAACATTAGAATTTTCGACAGCTCTCAGCAATTTATATTTCATTCTTCAAAAGGAAAATGATGGCCGGTTGAGTTATAAATGTCTTTCATTTTTTCCTTTCATAGAAGAGAGTTCCTCTTCTTTTTAATCTCATAAACTTAAGCTTAGAGGCTTTCTTTTCTGCTGCTCCCAAAGCCTTTCACATGCATATGTCTGGCTTCTTTGCTCCCAGAGCGCCTGTGAGGGGTTGGTAAATTGCACCTGCGCGGGGACTCTGAACTTCCTCAGAGCTCAGCTGGGCCACCGTATGGAGACTGGCTCACTGGAGGCTGCAGAGAAGTGAACTGAAGAATTACAGTCGGTTTCACTTCCCTGCCTTATGTGCCTTCAGGTGCCTCTGAAGACAGGCGAGGCCAGTGAAATGGAGAGGAGGAAGAAGAGAGAAAGCAGCAATATCTGAGAAAAGTCCTTGAAAATGTAGAGGCATTGTTGAAAAATATGGAAAGATGGATGTGCATGTTTGTGTGTGTGTGTATATGTGTGTGTGTGTGTGTGTGTGTATGTCTGTGTGTACACAGTCCAATCACATATTGTTGGGTGCTACCTTCAAATTTTCTATAGAGTGATTTCTGAGATGTGTTTTTTTATCAGATAAAGTCTATTTTGAATGTCAGGGTCAGGGTGGGATGGTCCACAATTCACAATCTGGTGCTGAGTGAGGAATTATTAGGCTGGAGGGTCAATTTGTCACCAGAAAGAAAATAGTCATATTTGTAAATACTTCTTAGAACAAAAACAACAGAGGGCTGTTTGGCTCTGATTTTGAGCACCCCTCAAAACCAACCACATCAGAGCATCCTGTGCAAAGCGATGGGATTAAAAAAGGGAATGTAAACCTGTGAGTCAGAGAGGGAAACTTTGAAGAAAACACTTTAATGCTATCAGGTGTACACTAGGCCCTCACCACTTTCTATTTCATATGCATTAACAGGAGTTCACTGATACAGTGAGAGATCCCAGTCAGTATGGGTGTATTACAGAGGCAGAAGTGTGTGCCCAGTAGCACAGATGAATTTGGTGGATTGGTTACTATAGCAACTGTACCACCATTGTCAGTGGCAATTCCTGTAATCTCCCTCTCCTAAGGTTTCATAAGCATTCACTCCAAAATGACGAGAGAGAGAGAGAGAGAGAGAGAGAGAAGGTTATAATGCAGATATCTTAAAACAGCTGTATTGTGTAGTAATTAAGACCTGAAAGTTAGACAAATGCTAGTTTAAATCTCACCTCTACCACTTACAAGCTGCTTCTCCTTGGGTAATTTACTTAACCAATTTTCAGACGCCTTACCCATAAAATGTACATCATAATACCCACTTCATTAGGGCAATTCTAAATGTTAAAATAATGTGTGTACATCATCACTTAGTATAGTGCCTGGCTATACATATTCAATGATTGATAGCTTGGATTTTTATAGGAATAGTTCCATTTATATATATATTTGCCTTTCTGTTCACTTGTTAGGACTTCCACTTCCATACAAAATGTTTAGAGTTGGATTTCCACAACGTGAGTATTGACACTATTCTGATAATGATTATGCTTCTGCTGAAGCATTATCCATTTTAGCCATCATGTTAAGTGGATGTTCATTTTATCCACCTTTGAGTGATATATAGATCCCAAGCCAATCCTGGAATTTTATTCCATCCTTTTGATCTATTCATGCCATCAGAAAATTTAGAAAACCCATGGTAGATTCACATTGAGCAGCTTTATTGAGATGTAATTAATATACTATACCATTCACCCACTTAAAGAATATAATTCAATGGTTTTCAGTATATTCACAGAGTTGTGTGGCCATCACCACAATTTTAGAACATTTTAATCATTCCCTCCCCCAAAAACCCATATCTGTTAGCAATCACCAATCATTCCCTCACCACCACCATCATCCGCCCGACTTTCAGCCCTAGGTAACCACTAATCTACTTTCTGTCACCGGAGATTTGCCTATTCTGGACATTTCATATAAATAGAATCATGCAATATGTGGGTTTTTTTGAATGGCTTCTTTCATGTAGTGTATTTGCAAGGTTCATCTATGTTGTCACAGGTAATAGTAATTCATTTATTTTTATGGCTGAATAATATTCCATTGTACAGATAAACTACATTTTGTTGTTTATCCATGGACGTGTGGGTTGTTTCCACTCTTTGCTATTATGAATAATGCTGCCCTGAGCATTCCTATACAAGTTTTTTGTATGGACATATGTTTTCATTTCTCTTGGGTATGCATATACCTATGAGTGGGAATGCTGCCTCATATATTAATTCAGTTAACATTAAACAAATATTTAACCTTTTGAGGAACTGCCAGATGGCTTTTCAAAGCAGCTGCACCATTTTACATTCACACCAGCAGTTTATGACAGTTCCAATTGCTCCACATCTTCACCAATACTCATCTGTCTTTTTCATTATAACCATCTTAATAGACGTGAAGTAGTATCTCATGGTGGTTTGCATTCCCCTAATGGCTAATCATGTTGAGCATCTTTTCATGTGCTTATTGGCCACTTGCATATCTATTTTGAAAAATGTCTCTGGGCCTGGTGGTGCATGCTTATAGTTCCAGATACTCAGAGGCTGAGGCAGGAAAACTGCTTGAACCCAGGAGTTTGAGGCTGCAGTGAGCTGTGATCGGTCCACTGCACTCCAGCCTGGGCAATAGAGCGAGACACCATCTCTAAAAACAAACAAACAAAAAAAAACAACAAAAAGATACAAAAGAGAGAGAGAGAGAGATGTCTATTCAAATTCTTTGGCCATTTTATTTTTAGTTGTGCTATGTGTCTGTTTATGATTAAGTTATAAATATCCTGTAAGCATCATAGGGCTTCTTATGGTACCTAGATCACAGCTGAGGCCACCTTCTGCAGGAACATGTTATACTATTTGCAAAATGAAAAGAAAATGCATGCAGATGTACAGTGCAAAATTCTCTAGATGCTTTTATATGACACTTATGACTATTATTAAAAATCTTGGTATTTGGTGTGGCAGAGAAAAATATCTGTGATTGATTTTGGTATTGTTTGTTTTCATGTGATCATTTTAGCTTTGTTGACTTGGGCATCATATTTCTTAAATGATATTCTGGACTTGGATAAGCAAATCTTTCATTTCAAGGAAAATATTTTCATTACTCGACTTATTTACTTAAATTTTCTTAAAGACACATAAGAAATATTTTTTTCAAGCAATGTTAATACAATAATTATTTTAGGAAATAAGGTGAAATTGTTTTGACTTCCAAGACATGATAACTGATAAGAAGCACTATAGAAGAAGAAGTACTGCATGTCAAAAGAAAACAAAACAAAAAACAGCAGCTCTCAGTTTAAAACGTTCCTTGTGGGGATCAGCAGGAAACAGCAAAGCACGGGATTTTCAGTCATGGCTGAGATTCAATGGAGGGCTTCACCACACATATCACCAAGTGGATTCCGACACGGAAAAGCTAAATTTATCATGAGAATAACTTATCCAGTTTCATCTTTCCTTTGCTACAGTCTCCTGGCAGTTTTCCTTAAGGACAAAAACTGCTGCTACTGCTGCTCTTGAAGAGAAATTACTTTTACTACTCTTAGTAAGTTGGGTACTGTTACTTCATTGTCGCTTCTAGTGTGTGGATATGGAAGATTGGCCAACAAATTGTTTCTTGGGCTTAATGTTTATGCTGCTGGGTAGAACAATTTCTATTTTGATTATGTATCTTCATGAACAATCAAATTCTTGCTTTCTCTGAAAAGATTTACATCTTTGATACATAAGAAAGAAGACTGAGCCACTATGACAGCTCTGAGTGCAAGATGGTAGGGATCATAGTGTGGGTTTCTTTATATTTCAGGGAGACAAGGTATTATCAAAAGTATGTGATAATTTCACAGGTTGTAGAATGCATTTTCAACAAATCCCAAGAATGCAGAAAACCTCTAGAAATTAGTCACATGTTTTTGTCTTTAGAAGATATCTTCTTCCCTTGGCAGAACTTCTAGTCATGTAGAGAAGGTATCTAATTCTAGACAGTCACTTCAGAACACCTAGAATCCTGACAAACTTCAATTGGCATTGTTGTATTCAAAATTGAAAAGAGAAAATAGACATGCAATGCAAAACTGAAATATTTAAACACCACCCTTAAGGCACTTAAATAAATTCAAGATTTGGGATTTTTCCAGGGTTAAGGAGCAGCAAATGAAACCAACAGCAAGTAGTCTAGGTAAAAATCTATCCCAGGAAAAGGGACACCTCTTGTGCAGGAAAGAGCCCCTCAAGCCTTCCATCAGTTTAATCAAACTGACAGTCCAACTTCCAGGAAAACAGTCATTCTTTTGACCTATTAAGAGAAGGAATAATCTCACCTTAGAAAGGTTTTTTTTGAAAGTGTTTCACATTTGCATGTGTGTGTGTGTGTGTGTGTGAAGGAAACTCTAAACCCTAAAGTCTCCAAGTGGCTTAACAAAAATTTATTGTCTCCAATTTCTGGTGGTTGGAAGTTCAAGACCAAGGTGCCAGCAGGGTTGATTTCTGCGGAGCCTCTCTTCCTGGTTTGTAGACAGCTGCCTTCCTGCTGTATGCCCACATGGCCTTTTCTCTGTGCTTACATGCAGAGGAAGATCTGGTGTTTCTTCCTCTTCTTATAAGGACATCAGTCATATTGGATCAGGGCCTCACCCTTATGACCTCATTTAACCTTAATTACCTCCTTAAAAGCTCTATCTCCAAATGTAGTCACTTTGGGGGTTAGGGCTTCAACACATGAATTTGGAGGGAACACAGTTTGGTCCGTAACAAAGCCACGTTTAAGACACAAAATTAGAAAACAGGGAAATTAACTGAAATATTGCTTTTCAACTAGATCCATACAAGCAAAGTTATCTAGGCAGCTGAACAGTTATCCAAGTCAGCAGTGTATAAATAGCTCTTCCAGTAATGTAAAGCTAGTAGAGAAAAAAAAATTCAGATCCTTTTTCCTCAATTCCAGAAGATCTTGCCTAGACCAGTAGCTTTTTCAAGAATCAAACATAGAGCTTTTTAACAAAATATATCTTCCCTAGCTCCACCCCAGAGATTCTAAATAAATTGATCTGAAAGGAGGTCCCAAGAACCTGCATGTTTAGCAAGCATCATAGGTAGTTCTGCTACCAGTAGATTTTGGACCACATTTTGAAAATCATGGAACTAAACAAATAATTGCTTCTGTTTTTTGAATTTGCTACATGTCTATAAAAGATAGGAGAAAATACTGATAGTGATTTCTTAAAAAATGGGGAAAAATTTTTGCAAAATTAAAAGAAATTTCATTAATTGATATGAGAAAAAGGGAAATGAGTCATAGGGAAAGTTGCTGGAATTACCAAATTCTAGGGGATTTATTTCCTAGAGATGAAATTCGGGTCCCTAGCGCACTACAGAATTTGCACTAGAGAATAATTCAAGCCACACAGTATAGCATCCACAATTCAGCTTCAGAGAATATGGTAAACTTTTCAGAATAATTTGTTGCTGCATGTCAAAGATCTGATAATGAAAAGAATATTGCTCCAGATTAGCTGATTGGGTGGGTCTTAGAGGCTTCTGTGAATGCCCTTTCCAGTGGGGGATGACCTTGGAGGGCTTCCTAGACACCACGGAGCCCTCCACCTAGGGTTCATTGTGGCACCATGGTCCCTCGAGGGTTGGTGATACAGCAAAGAACAGAAAGAACTGGCTCCCTACAAGGAGGGAGAGGAAAAGCAGAGGAAGATAAGAGATTCCATTTCACCCACAGCAGCAGGGTGTCCCTAAGCAGGATTCCACAAGCCACACCTCATTGTCTCCTCAGCACACACACCCGCCAGGGCCTGCCTCCCTCCCTTGCTGCAGATCTACACAAAAATAAGGATAACCTTCTTCTTTTATCTTTGCCCCAGGATGATTTCATAGCATTTTTCTTACCCTAAAAATAAACGTTGAGTCCTTTTAGAAGGAATCCACTGAAACTCCCTTCTTGAAAATGGACACTTATTTGTTGCCATGAATATTCCGGGAGAAGCCTGGAGAAATCTATCCTGTTACTAACTTTTCTCAGTATCTCCCTGCATGGCCACTCCTGCAGTGACTCTCCAACTGGAAACAGCCTGGTTGGCAGGAGGCTGGCTCCAGTTCCTCCGAAAGAGCCTCACAGTTTCCCCACAGGGAACCTCTCCCTGGAGTTAGAGTAAAGAATGAAATTGGACTTTGGATCGGGAGGCTGTTGTCCCTCTCAGCATCATCTTGAATGGCTGAACTCCTTTCTTCAGAATGTCAGGTTGCTGTCAAAATATTCATTTCTACCATTATGTCTCACTCTCTCAGAGATATAATTTTAGTGGAAAGATGTTGCATCCTTCTGAACTTGAATTTTCATTATTATTTTGTGACCTTGGTGTCTTTCTGCACTTTTTCTTCTGCAGCAGGTGCCAAAGTTTCCTTAGGTCAAAAAGTCACTCTTATCTCTTCCAAAAGCCAGCCAGATGGGAGGGAGAAAGAAAAAGACAGGACGAAGTCTCAGTAATGAGACTGGCTCTCAGGAGGCAGCATAGTCTAATAATTGGGCTTTATTAGGAGTTTAAATGCAGGCATTACTTACGAGTCCATCACTAGCCTGAGAGTGATGCTTTATCTCCTTTCGTCACTAGGCTATACAGAGCTTGAATGGCTCCACTGTGGCAGGCTGCACAGAACCACATCTCTCTTGAACAAAGAGAAGAGCTTTCTCCTGTCACACACATGTTGGTTGTCCCCACCAGCTTGCTCAGTAGCAAGCATCTGTGCTAGAGAGCAGCAGGACCCTGCATCCCACTTGCAGGCAGGAGGATTAGTCTGAGAGCTAATGCTTGCCACGCAACTTCCTCACAGGGATGTGGGGAGGATTAATGAGATGCTATTTCCATTGCAATTTATGCTCTTCAGAAGAAAGGTGCTAAGTAGGAGGTATTAGAATTAGGGATTATACAGGTAATCAAGCAAAGAAGATATTCAACTGCTCCTAGTTACCAAAGGAAGCTTTAATCTGGGAGGTGGAGAAGGAGGGGGAAATGCAGTGAGTATAAACTTGGCTGGAAGCCATTGTCCCTCATGAAGCAAAGGGCCAAGGATGAAGTGTCAAGTGCTATGTATAATATAAAGATAAACTCGTCCTGATCCTTGGGGCTTATGAGCTAAGCCTTGGGTGGTGGGGGTGGGCTACATTTCATGGATTCAGATAAAGGTCTTAAGACTTTTTTGTTATATCTGCCCCTGCCATCACCAGCCAGTCTGCAAGTTTGGTGCCTAGAGGAATGTGGCAAAAGCATAAGCCAACTACCGTAACTGCATGCTAGAGGACACAGTAACATTCTGGAAGAATTGTGGAGGACCCATGTGAGCCACAGGGGCGGGATGAGAAGTGAAGGGGCGGGATGAGAAGTGAAGGGGTGGGAAGATGGCTAATCAAAATTGCAATGTGTAAAGCAACAGCCAACAAAGTTGTTGATCTTCACATGGTCACACAGACAGGAAGTGGCAGAGTTGGAATGTAACAGGTTTTCAGAGCTTCAGATATTAAAGTCCTGATTTCTTCCATTTCTTATAGTGCGTCCCCAAGTAGGATTTATCTGCCACTGGTAGAATGTGAGACAATTTCAGATGGTACACAAGAAATCATTTTAACATTTATAATAAGTTAGGTATTGTTATATTTTAACGTGTGTTAGAGATAAAATAATTAACCCATGAAGCCCATGATTTAGTAAATATAATTGCTTAGAACCATGGTTCTCAATACCCGTTGCATCTTATTAATAGAATCACTGAGAAAGCTTAAAAGACACACACACACACACACACACACACACACACACACACACAAATATGATGCTGGGTCCCATCCCAGATCATTGAATCAGAATCCCTGAGAAGTTCTGATAGCTTATAAAAGTTCCCACATTGGAGGCGGAGCTTGCAGTGAGCCGAGATCCCGCCACTGCACTCCAGCCTGGGCGACAGAGCGAGACTCCGTCTCAAAAAAAAAAAAAAAAAAAAAAAGTTCCCACATTGGGAACCACTACAATAGCCTGGGATTTTTAAGGAAGCATTTTTTTAAGTGAGCAGTTTTAAATAAAATATTTAGTGAATAATTTCAAAGCATGTGGCTATGGCAAAAATAATGAAAGTCTTCTGTTGTACTGATAACTGAAGTTTGGTAAACATTGTGCTTTATCATGGTAGGCTCCTATTCTATAAGACAACACTAGACCTAAAGAACAAAGATAAGCAGAGACATCCAAAGAAAAATGATGAACGTGATAACGTAACAAGAGAAAGACTCATTATTTGGACATGCTCAGACAGGGATAAAAGGTGGAGGGTCTAGGGCAGTACATAGTAAAAATAGCAGCTTAGATTTGGGAGTTGGTTGATATGAATGTCCTTTTCCCAATATATGGCTCTCTGAGTCTTCCACCCTGTGGTTCAGAAATACGCTTTTTCCTTTTTCCCCATTGCCTTTTGACACCTCCACCCCACTGACTGAACCTTGAAACAAGTAAGGGAAAAAAAAGAATATAAAGAATCTATAACATCCTCCTAGATAGTGGGATTTTGTAATCCCACTGATCCTTGGGGCTTATGGGGCTTTTAGTCTGCCCACCTATTCCTTCTTTGTTGTTGGTGTTTGTTTGTTTTGTTTTGTTTTTTTGAGATGGAGTCTCACTCTGTTGCCCAGCCTGGAGTGCAGTGACGTGTCCTCAGCTCACAGCAACCTCCACCTCCCAAGTTCAAGTGATTCTCCCGCCTCAGCCTCCTGAGTAGCTGGGATTACAGGCACACGCCACAACCCCCAGCTAATTTTTGTATTTTTAGTAGAGATGGGGTTTCACCATGTTGGCCAGGCTGATCTCAAGCTGCTGACCTCAAGTGATCTGCCCACCTTGGCCTTCCAAAGGGCTGGGATTACAGGCATGAGACACTACGTTGGACTCTATTCCTTCTTTTATTCGTCATATCTTCATTTATACAACAAACATTTATTGAGCACCTACTATGTAGTAAGTTCTTCTTGCTTTTAAGTATAGTCAGAAGTTTTTTCAGTGAGCATGTATTATCTTTATGATATAATCAAACAAATCTTAAAGTTACTTCCATCTTAGGAAAACTAAATAATAGGCACGTGACTGACCGTTCTTCAGTCACCACATAGCCAGACTCTGTGTGTGAGGAAGAGGAGGAGCCCAAAGTCAGACTCTGGGAAGTAAGGCATTTTCAGCCACACCTGAGAGCCACAGAAGAGTTGTGTGAGAAAACCCTGGAGATGTTTCTTGTGTGAAATGGAGGAAAATAAAACCCATCCTGCACACTGGAAAAGCTGCCTAAGCCCCTTTTCCTCTAGTCTTTCATCTGTTAAATGGGGATAATGATACTTTGTGTTTACCTACCTCCCAGAGGCATTATCAGGTCTATTTAAAGGCTCTTCCGATGAAAGCTGCTGTGTAATTACCAAGAACAGCTATGATAAAGACACCTAAATACAACAGCAAATCAGCTGGAACAAACTCTCAAAGGAGTTTACTTCGCTGGAAAATTTTAAGAGAAGGGTAGCAGCTCTCCTTAGGGCAGTTTTGGGTACCATTCTGGCTGGAAGTTTAGGGAAGGCTAGCTGCCTTTCAAAGCCTCCTTCTGGCCAGGCCAATTACTTGGAGTAGAGGGATCTACCTCTGTTACTTCCTCCCCACGATCTGAGCAGCTTCCATATGAAATTCCCCTTTCACATTTTTCCAGATCTGGACTCACAAGCTCTTTTATCCCCCAAATGAAATTCCAGGAAGACATTTACTAATAGGAGAAAAAAAGAGAGAAAGGAAAGAGAGGTTATAATAAGATAGGTAATTGGGAATTCAATGGTTTTTAAGAAGAGGACTGATGTAATTGGTTATTAATGTTTGGCTTTGCTAAAATTCATTTGACAAAATATGTAGTGTTGATGGGGATGGGGGTCAGAAAGCAGGGCTACCACTTTACAACAGCACAAGGGAGAACCAACCCAGCTGAATCCAGCTGATGGCCGCTCAGCTGGAATGAAGAGAAAGATTTAAGAAATATTACAGCTCTAGAAACTATAGAATATAGCAAGAAAATGGAAGAGTCAAGGATACCATGAAATTCGGTGACTTGAATATTGTAAGATTTGGTGACTACCCTAACAGAGGCAGCTGGCAGCGAAGAGAAGTAAGTAGATTATATTTTATGAATGAGATCTGAGTCAATACCATTGTAGGAAGTCCAGTGATTTTATATTTTTGTTAAACTTGCTTATGCAATCAAAGTTCTGGCTATTTATATACAGTGTAACATATGGTATCTGCAAGGCTTCTAAGCAATAAAAACTCCAAAATTCCAAAGATGAATTTTCAAATGAGTACTTTGTAAAGTTAATAATTACACATAATAATAATCGCTATCACTTATCAATTTTGAACTATATAAATATTTTATTCCTATGTAACCCAGATTTCAGCTGGAGGCATAACAGATCTGGTAAAGAAATTGCTATGAACCCCTATAATCCTCTGGCCTGTGGAAAACCAAAACTATTTTGCTATGGTCTAAATGTTTGGGTCCACCCCTTAAAAATTCATACCTTGAAACCCTAATCACCAGTAAGATAGTATTTGGATATGGGACCTTTGGGAGGTAATTAGGTCATGATGGTGGAACCCTCATGATGGAATTAGCGGCTTTATAAGAAGAGAGAGGAGAGCACACACGTGTGCTCTCCTCTCTCTCTCTCTCATTGCCCCCCTCACCATATGAGAACAGAAATGGGAAGTGGGCCCTCACTAGGAACAGAATCTACCAGCACTCTGATCTTCCACTTTTCAGCCTCCAAAACTATGAGAAATAATTTTCTGTTGTTCAAGCCACGCAGTCTATGGTATTTTTGTTATCGCAGCCTGAACTGACTCACACATCCATCCTCATGTCTGTGAGTCCCTGGAACTTGTGTTTTCCTGGCCTTTTCTACCTGCCAAATCACTCCCATACATTGCTGCTGTACCACCAGATGTGAAAATGCCCATTTACTGCTTTTATGCAATACTAAGCTATCATAAGTTTAGTAAAGTCCACTGAAATTGGGAGGACATGGGAAAGAGTCAAAACTTCTTTCCATTTTCCACAGCCCCTTCCTCCTGGATTATGTTGAAAGTATCAATATTTTCCCCCTTCAGTATGCAGAGACATTCATCTTTCAAGGTGTCAGCAGCACAAAGGGCCTTTCATTTGCTGGAGGGACTGGCTCTACAGAGTGGCTTTGGTTACAAGTAGAAGGCATTTATTTTGCTATTACACCTAAATGACTTTATTTAACCCTTACAACATTCTTGTAAGAGGATACCATTATTCCCACTTTACAGATGAAGCAACTGAGGCTTAGAGTCAGCCCAAGGAGTTAAACATAAGAAAAGGTAGAGGATTTAAATCCAGGTCTGATGACTCTTAACTTGTAATTAACCTGGCTTCGGAAAGATGGGGTAATGATTATCTACTCTGGATCGCTTTGCTACTTCAAAACTGCTTGTTGTTATTGTCGTTGTTTTCAATCAAATCTCCATGTTTCAAAAAATGGTCATACACTCCCAAAGACCCTATGTAGAGAAAGTAAAAATCCCAATGATTTAGTATCATTTCAGGAAGAATGAGTTAGCATAATTAAAATATCAAAACAATTGAAGTACAACTCTTTATTATCTTTAAGTAATAAAACTTGGATGAGGGCATAGGCCACCTGCTTGTCAAACCTGCAAATTACATAAAGGAACAGATAATATTGATGATAATGAGGATGAGGATAATGATGATGTCAATAACTATGAAGTTGTTGATGATGGTGGTGGTAATGATAATTAGCATTTATTTAGCACTGTTTTAAATGCTTTACATATATTATATCTTTTAATTCTGAAAATTAAAGATGCCTGCGCCTTAGGTCTTGTTAGTGTTATCCCTATTTTATAAATAAGGTTAAAGAGAGGCAAAGAGGCCAGGCCCAGTGGCTCACGCCTGTAATCCTAACACTTTGGGAGACCGAGGTCGGGGGATCACTTGAGGTCAGGAGGCAGAGACCAGCGTGGTCAACATGGTGAAACACTGTCTCTACTAAAAAAAAAAAAAAAAAGCCTGGTGCGGTGGCTCACGCCTGTAATCCCAGCACTTTGGGAGGCCGAGGCGGGTGGATCACCAGGCCAGGAGATGGAGACGGTGAAACCCAGTCTCTACTAAATATACAAAAAATTAGCCAGGCGTGATGGCGGGCGCCTGTAGTCCCAGCTACTCGGGAGGCTGAGGCAGGAGAATGGCGTGAACCCGGGAGGCGGAGCTTGCAGTGAGCAGAGATGGCGCCACTGCGCTCCAGCCTCGGTGACAGAGCGATACTCCATCTCAAAAAAAAAAAATTAAAAAATACAAAATACAAAATACAAAAATACAAAATACAAAAATTAGCCGGAAATTGCTTGAACCCGGGAGGCAGAGGTTGCAATGAGCCGAGATCACGCCACTGCACTCCAGAAGCCTGGGCAACTGAGCAAAACTCCATCTCAAAAAAATAAAATAAATAAAAATAAGAGTGACAAAAAGGCCAGCCTACGTTCACTTAGAACAGCTGAAACCAGGCATCTCACCTTAGCTAAGAGGTCTACACCCTTAACAACTAGGCTACTCTGCCTCAAAGATTCTGATGGCTTCCATAGATGTCCCCACTAGGGTGGAATTAAGTACCGCAATGAACAAGGAATTTATTCCTCTTGTTCCCATTATTATCTCCAATCCTTAGAACACCACCTGGAACATAGTAGGAACTCAGTTAACAATTGCTAACTGTAAACGAATTGAAGCAAAGTGTCTAAATCAGTAGAGGACAAAAAATGTTAAAAAATAGTCACGCATAGCTGTTTAAAATATTTTAATTAGAAGAAATATAGGATAGGAAAAACTTGGCTTGAAAACACTTGTTTTTTTAAAAAAAGATTGATATTGATAATCAGTAGAAGCTGAACAGGGACCCAGCACTGCACTGTGACTGCTAAAACACTACTGTGATTTTAGAAAGCCTTAAAAGAAAACTAGTATTTCAGTTTTCTTTGGTCCATGGCCTGTTAGGAACTGGGCCGTACAGCAGGAGGTGAGTGGTGGGCAAGCGAGTGAAGCTTCGTTTGTATTTACAGCTGCTCTCTATCACTTGCATTACCACCTGAGCTCTGCCTCCTGTCAGATTAGTGGCAGTATCAGATTCTCATATGAGCGCAAACCCTACGTGAATTGCACATGTGAGGGAAGTAGCTTGTGTGCTCCTTATGAGAATCTAATACCTGATGATGTGTCACTGTCTCCCATCACCCCCAGATGGGACTGTCTAGTTGCAGGAAAACAAGCTCAGGGCTCCCACTGATTCTACATTATGATGAGTTGTATAATTGTTTTATTATATATTACAATGTAATAATAGAAATATAATAATAGAAATAAAGTGCACAATAAATGTACTGCATTTGAATCATCCTGAAACCATCCCTCTGGTCCATGGAAAAACTGTCTTCCATGAAACCGGACCCTGGTACCAAAAAGGTTGAGGACCACTGCTCTAGAAAACCTAGGTAGGTTTTTCAGCTCAGCTTAAGAGGAAAAAATATATCTAACACAACTGTACAACAACTTTTAACAACAGAGTGTATCTGAAAACCTAAGATTCATTTCAAATTTCCAAATAGATAATAATAATTACTTGTTTAAAAAACTATCAGAAGGATTTCTATATTATGTAGGGGACTAGACCAAGTCAGTGTCCTCAAGTCTGGCTGTGTATTAGCATCAACTGGAAGGCTGTGAAACAGCATTGATTTTTTAAGACTCATCCTATTGAATCATAATCTCTGAGAGTCGAGAACTGAAAATCTATACTAAGAATCCAAAATTTCTAATGCCTTCAGTTGATCCTGGTAACTTGCTAGGGCCTGGGAATTACGGAACTAGATTACCTCAAAGTTTTCTTCTAACTCTATGAGTTAATGATTCTTAGAACATTGCAGAATATCTTCTTTCATAAATGAGAAATATTTGTTATCTGTAAAATGAATTTTGCCTAAATGTGCATTGGTGATTATAAAGTGCCAGCATATCAGCTGATTTCTAAATAGGTTAAAAGTTTTTTTGCAATCTAGTTCATGAAAACTTTTCTCATGTATCATGGAAAGGAAAACTTTATCTGGCCTGTTTCCCAATTATTGAAGTTCCAAATCACTGAAATATAAATAAATGAGATTTTACAGTACTTAGAACACCAGTATGATGAAAAATTTGTTTACACCAGGAGGTTTAGGTCATCCTTCAATCATTCATCCTGGGAACCAAAGTATGTATGCACGCCAGCACTCACGCATACAGGCGCGCACACACGCCCAAATGTGACACATGGTAAATGTTGGGCAGTTACTGAGATGGAACAAAGGAGACCTTCAGATTCCATCGCCTTTGCAACCTTACATTTTTCTATGCAAGAATCAAGGAACTCAGATCAAAGACATTCAAATATTATTAACCACGATATACTCAGCTTTTTGTTTACATTTCTTTTATTCCTTGTCTTTCAATACGTACTTTGGTCTGGGTTGGGTAAAATGGGTAAAATGAAGAGTGAAAGGAGTATTTGAAAATAATAAAAGGTATGAAGAGAATATATTAATTTGGGCTAAATTGGTTCCCTATGTTAAGAGCTTCTAAAAAGTATACTATGTTGCCATGAGAAGAAGCTCTAGAGATTGCAATGAGGCTACATTTATAAATTTTGACTAATCTAAAATTAAACCTGTAAAGCTCTGCTGGAATTATTTGAAAAAGAATAATTAAAACCCCCTTCAGCACAGTTAGTTCAGCTTCTCTTAATTTTACTTTTCTAGTTCACAGGTATCTTTGTTTGTGGTGTTTTCAAATTGAAGTTCACACACATCAAATAAATAGTATGATAATCAGAAGTTCAGTATTCAATATGCATTCATTATTAACTGTCGTTATTGTCATTGTCACTATTATAATTGCACATTGTAAAAAGAATGGAAGCTTTTCCACAGGAATTATTCACGTGTATTGCTTTCTAGGAGTAATTGAATAGTTGACATTGCATTTATATCAAAGTAAAATATGTGATGGTTATTCTCATTTGTATTATTCTTAAGCAATAAGAAATGTAAAGTAATCTCTATTAGGTTTCTTTATTCGGATTCAGAAATCTTCATAGTTTTCTGTAATGTCCAAATGTGTACCTTCTTATAACAGCTATGGGAACTTTCTCTCCTCTCTGTAAAATGGAGAGTTATACCTACCACGTTGAGCTGTTTTGAGAGTCAATGGAGAAAATAGTGAGAAAACCACTCAAATGTGTTTTGTTACTTGATGTGTTCTTTCCTCTGTATGATCCAACTTCTTACATGTTTTATCCTATTTTGGGTTTCAATTTGGTTCATCTTCACAAAGTAGAGCTTCAAGTTTTATTTAGAATTAAATAATATTGATACTGGCTTGGAAAACTGAATAACACAAGATTTAGAGAAAAAATACTCTAAGTAAAATGTCATGACAAATTGAATGAATGATGATGTAAATACAACAATGCAAAAGATTTGGAAGGCATCTTGATTCACTAAGAAAGCCATACATCATGGCTTCAAAGCACTGCCCCTTTGTAGAAAACACACAGCCATTGAGGGTAAGTAGGATTTCCTTTTCCTCCACATAATTCTTTATTACAGTCTCTGCAGAGGCCTGAGTCGCTTAGAGATTTACCTTAGTTGTGTGGAATCTTTCATTGCTCTTTGCTAGCTAGCCCTTGAATCATGTCACTGTTGGCAGGGGTGGAGGGTGTTACCGTTTGCCCACTGTTCACTGGCTTTTGTATTGGTAGTCAGTCCACTTCTTAGAGGACAGATGGCAATGGCTGGCAATTTGGGCAAGAGAACAAAGACACTAGATCCTCTCCTTATCAGCAGAGATGGTCCATCTAAATCAGGGTGGAGAATCACCAGTGTAACTTGTCTAGGGAAGTTCCTCTTATCAATGAATGAAATGACCTTACAAACATGTGTGAGCCATGCATTCATCTCCCTTTGCCATCCATTAAACACATTTTTTTTTTGAGATGGAGTTTTGTTCTTGTTGCCCAGGCTGGAATGCAATGGCGTGATCTCAGCTCACTGCAACCTCTGCCGCCTGAGTTCAAGTGATTCTCCTGCCTCAGCCTCCCAAGTAGCTGGGATTACAAGCATGTGCCACCACACCTAGCTAATTTTTTTTTTTTTTTTTGACATGGAGTTTCGCTCTTTTTGTCCAGGCTGGAGTGCAATGACACAATCTCAGCCCACTGCAACCTCTGCCTCCTGGGTTCAAGAGATTCTCTTGTTTCAGCCTCCCAAGTAGCTGGGATTACAGGTGCCTGCCACCATACCTGGCTAATTTTTTGTATTTTTAGTAGAGACGGGGGTTTCATCATGTTGGTCAGGCTGGTCTCGAACTTCTGACCTCAGGTGATCCACCTGCTTTGGCCTCCCAAAGTGCTGGGATTACAGGCATGAGCCACCACGCCGGGCCCCATTAAATACATGTTTTAAGCAGTTAATTTGTTTATATACTAAAATATATTTAATTATGTTGCTTTTGTCACAACCGCCACTTCCATGAGTTCTTTCCTCTGTGTCTATCCTGTTGATACTGATCTACCCCCAACTGCAGTCTGGCGGCATGTGGACGAGTGATGTTAGGACAGTCACAGAATCGTGACTTCCAGTTGAACAGGTCTGTCTACACATGGTCATTTGCAGCAACCTAAAAAGAGTATTTGTTTTCATCTTGACTTCTCTTACACACACAGAGTGGTTATTTGGGCTAAAAACTACAATAAGAAAAAAATGGTCATATATCAGCTCTGTGGCCATGCATCTAGGAGATTATATAGCATGTGAATTATGTATGTATGTTTTCCAAGTGAAAGAAAGGTACAGACTGCACTGATTTTTCTTAACCCCTCTTGCAAAAACACCCCAATCACTGAAATCCTCCAAGTATGGGGGCTCTTTGCTGTTGTATTCTATTTGCCAACTACTAGTCTATAAAGCATATGGGTACTGTTTGAAGGTACTTCAAATTCAGAGTTTGGGTTTGTTTGTTTTCCTTTTGGCTCAACTATATCCACAGAGTGGCAAAATTAACACTGCAAGCTGCCATCACATTACTCATTCCTCTGTAAGTACAGCTCCCTCTATCTATGAGTGTCTACTATGGACAATTCTCCAGAAGGTATTTTTCCCACTGAGGCATAATAATGCATTCAATGGCACCAGAGTTTCATCAAAGGAATTCTCTTGTTCCCTTCCTTCCACATGGAGATGTCATTAACTGTATTAAGTTAACTCTCCGAATGTTAGGTTCTTAACCAACAAACAATGCTTCTCCACAAGGGCATACTTCGCCAAGCATTCTTGAATCAGAACGAGCTGAATATGTAATCATAGATTCAGAGCCACGCCGTGGGCTTGTGATCATCACTAAGAGGAATCCTTTTGTATTTATTGACTTTTTTCCTTCAATCATTGTTGTTCCGTTTCTTCCACCATCACCTTGAGCCTTTCAGGTACATGAAAAGTTCAATTACATGTAAAGCGACTGTTAAATCAGCAGGCCCTTTGTAGGGGTCTGGGCCTCCTCTCCCTGCTTCAATCGCAAGTGTGCTCAATCCATTACTGTTCCTGAGGATTGTACATCCATCAGGTCGAGTGTGCTGGCCAGGGTGCATCTTACAGCTTTTACTGCATATGAGACATTGCAGGCCTTTCTCAGGAACTGCCAGGCGGACTGGGAATCACAGTCACGGTTAATAGCAGCGAATTGCCAGCTCTTGATGGGTGGGTAGTCACTCCTTTCAGTGGTTGCCCCCTGGGGGAGAAGGTAGAAAAACAGAGGGAGGGAATTAGAGTGACTTTGCACAGTTGAGCAGGTTCATGCCGCTGGATCAGTGGCAAGCATTGGCAGGGCTCCACTCTGGGGAGGCTCACAACAACATCACAGTCTCATTTTTACCAATTGGTGCTGCTATATCGCCAGTGGTGCACAGGGGGAGAGCAGAGGGGAGGGTGAGCTGGGAGTGGGGGAAGGGGAAGAAGGCAGAAGTCTAAGCTAAATTAAACAAACAAAAAAATTCATGTTCAAACTGGTTAACCCACCCCAGTTAGCCCTGTGCTACTAATTGTACCAAACTCGTATTTGAAGTTCCCTGGGTGATTAAAGAGTTGGCTCACAAACTCCCTGCATAACCTTAATTTTTTCAAGGTTCTTTGAGTGGAGAATGGCTTATAATAATGATTTTGACTAATACGATTTTTGACATGCAACTTTAATGCTTAACCTTAGTACAACTCCAGAGCATTTCATGTGTACTCAGCTGTAAAGAGTGATGATTTAAAGGGATAATATAAGAAAAAGGTCGTTCTAGAATGAACCTCTAACAAATTGCATAAAGGGAGCTTATTATTCTATGAGTATGGGGATGTGCAGCTCTTCTGATCATTTTTCTGCTTGGTTCAAAAAAATTGTTGAGACATGAATGGGGGAAGAAACAGGAAAAAATGAAACAGATATCTGCAAGCAAGGAACATTCTTTGATGGTTATGATTTCGTTGCCACTAAAAAGACTCTACAGTAATGTGGTTATTCATCTCCTCTTTTGTTTTGGGTGAAGAATTCGCTCTAACAAGAAAATGCTGTTATTGGTTGGAGGGCTGCCTCCTGGACCGGACCGGCTCCCCAGCAATTTGGTTCAGTATTACGACGATGAAAAGAAGACATGGAAAATACTCACAAGTGAGTGCATTATTTATTTATTTATTCACTCACCTATTTATTTCAGGTTAGCGCTGTCTTGATGAATTTGAAAACATGGTTAATCAAATTAGACATTTTATTGATTTGTTCCCCTTTGGAGGTTTGTTTATGTATCACCGGGGATTTAGAGTAAAAAACTAAATTAACATTGCAGAGGTGGCCAATTTGGTAGTCGAGTAGGCCTAGCCTAAAATCACTGTACTGGTTTACGTTTCTGTATGTGCTGCAATGGAGGGTGTGGGGGAGGAGCAAAGATCTTCCCCCCAAAATTCTTCTGTTCTTTTTGTTGTTGTTCATTGAAAAGCAAAAGGTTGGTTTATGGCGTTCGCTAGTAAATTTTCTCACATCAAAATGGTTGTTTAGTTCACTGTCTCTGTAACTAACATTCATGTTGCTTTTTAGGCATTTTTGCTCATTAATATTTAGTCTGTGGAACTGGGTCTTTAGAGAAATGTCCCCTTATACTGCTGCATAGTTTGAATGGACAGATATATTTGTGGCCTATTCCAGCTGCATGAAATTGTGCTTGCAAACTTCTACCCAGGATTCTTCTCCTCCCCTTCCTAAAGGGCGATTGTGTTTTACAGCAAACCTCTTGCCTTGGGCACTGAGATTTGGAACTTATTGTTATATCGGTTATGATTCCCAATCGGACTCACTCATGGAATCAAAAATCATCGTTTCTTGAGTGCAGCAGGCTGTGTGCACCAGTCCCCTCGTGGGCACAGTGGCTGCACTGGTCAATAAAACTAAATTTTAACTGTCAAAATTGCCCAGAGCTGTATAGATAAAATAATAAATGAGCAATTTTAATCCATAAATCAAAGCCATACATTTAAAACCAACAAAAGTGAATGTTAGATTTTCTTATTGCATGTGTCTTAACAGTTATATATTTTACCATGTTTATTTTTCAAAAATCGTTTCCTTCCCTCTTCCTGAAAGCCCTTTAAAATAATAGAAACTGGACAACAGTTTACCCATAAAAGCAGTAGAGGAGCAGAGACATGTGTGGTGGTGCTTGAAATAATACATTTTGGAGCTGGCATCCCCCAGTGAAACCTGCAGTAGCATTGTCCAGGAACTGCAACAAGAAAGCTCCCTGGACACCAATGCGCTACGGTTGTAGTAAAGAAGTAGTAGAATAGTAGCAGCAAGATTAAGGAGAAGAAAGAAAGAAAAATAAGTTAGTGATGTCTTAAAATGATTTTTATTTCTCTTTTGACAAAAATACCATTAGTAGTGGTTTAAACATCGGAGTGAGTGGCCAAGCTGAATTTTAAAGGTTTGTCAGAAACAAAAGCTAAAGCAAAACCAAGGAATTTATTTTTTAATACTTGACCAATAGTGAAAGCCTGGATAGAAAGAAACATGGAGACTAGGAGGAGGAGAGAGAAAAGAGGAAGGACAAAAGATTCTCAAAGAGAAATGACAGAGTGATAATACACCCAACCAGTAAATGATATTCATTCATAAATCCATTTGTTTTCCCAAATACAAAAAGCTAGGTCCAATTTGTTACTTGTTTGACACCCTTCAGTAAAGACAAAAAGATGAATTAAAGCATTGTGAACAATACCTTAGAAAAGTCTTATGTGGATTTTAAACCTTGCTCAAAGATAGGTTGATTGTTAAACATTGTCCACACTGGGGCATTTTCAAGCATGAAAGGGGAATCTATTAATTATGCCAGGACAACAGGTATAGACTGGAACATATGGTCACCTTACTTCAAGTTTTCACATTGCCTGAATTAACGCTCTGCTTGGAGGGATGTAGGAAGAAAACATGAACTTTGAATCAGACAGACTTGGTTGCAAACCCAGATCCAGGACCTTGAGAAAATCATATAAATATTTGGAGTCATGGTTTCTTAATTTTGTGAAAGTCACTGTAGTATTTTTAAAATAAAAATTGTGTTTATAAATCATCTAGCACATAGAATGCACTCAAAAAGTTGCAGGTACTATTGCTATTACTGTAACATCACTATCAACATTAGCATAAGGACTGTACCTTTACACCTAGAGGCATCAGTCAATCAATGCAAGCTCTCCATGCAGACAAGTAACACTGCAACAGACATACCACTTCAATCCACTGCCCGAGAGTAGGGAGCATATTCTCCATAGTTTTCACATGTTAGATTTAATAATCTATAGATTAAGAAGTAAAGAGAAAAGGGTATCTATCTATTGACTCTATTTATTAGATTTGAAGTTGAAGGAAATAAATGTGTGTGTGTGTGTGTGTGTGTGTGTGTGCAAAGTTCTTATAATGGGAACATATTTAAAGATCTTGAACCCTTTTTCAATACTCAGACATACTTATGGCTTTGAAATAAATGTTTACTCTACTTAACAATGTTCATTTCACTGGAACTTGTACTTAAAAATATATAGTTTATTACCTGCTAGACTATGACTATATGGCCCCAAGTAAAGGCATATTTTTTACATTTGTTGAAGAAATGTAGAAAGTTTACCTAGATAATTTCTGCTTGGTTTTTTTTTTTTGTTAAGATACCTTATTCTGCAAAACAGAAAGAGGCAACTGACAGATTGCTATGCTTTGGGCCATCTAATAATAAATGAAGAAATCTTTCTCATCAGAATCCCAGATTCTTCCCAAATCTAATAAAGCCTAAGGGATTGGAGAACTTTCCACTGCCATTCTTTTGCCCCAGAAGAAATACCAAACTAGTTTGTCATGGAGGTGAGGATGACAGTTAAAGGTAGGAGACAGTCCCCTGGTTTGGGGTCTACTTATTTATTGAATGACTTTCTCCATGCAAACTAACTAGCAGACACCTAAAACATGAGGTAGATGGAGTTTCTGAATCTCAGCATACTTTGCCCACTTATGTTGAGCAAACATTTCTCAGTGTGCCTCACAGACATGCTCCTCTTAGAAAGAGGCCAGCCTACAGGCAGGTGCACAGATACTCACTCATGGGTGCCACTCCATTTACACACCTTATATCACAGAAGAATTAAGAGGAAGGCTAGTTTTCTTTAGATCTTATCCTATTATGTTATTTATATTTCAGAAATACGATGTAAGGGGTACACTTAAGTAATAGTGAGTTGAATGGAGTGGAGGGGAGTAGGAGTGAAAAAGTGGGTCTATATAACACGAAGAAAACAACATTCAAATAGTCGGCCAACCAGTTGTTTGTCCTACCCAAACAGTAAAGGAAACAATTATTCTCACCAAAAAGATTGTTTTGGTAACATGCTGGCACAGACTGCATGTTTATCTTCCTTTTTGGAAAAATCATTTCATATATCATCATAAAAACTGATTATAAGAAAAGCCTCTATCAGAAAAATATTGAGAAATAACATGTAAAAATGACTGCAACGTCTTTTTGTAAATGTGAAGTGTTAAGTAATAACATTATAAGTTTGGCATTGTTGTTCTCTCGCCTGTTAATAATAAAAGGGAAGTCAAGATGCACTTTTGTTCATCTTTATTTCTCAGTACTGCTTTTCTTGCATCTCTCACTCCTGCACGCAGTCTCCCGTTTCATCTTAACTTATTAGAAAGCAGTACAGGAGACATGAATACTAAAATGGCCAATGCATCATGCCTCTTGCACTTTGCAGGCCCTAAATCCTCTGTGCAAAGATTAAACAGAACACTTGCTGGGGTTACCGTGTACTTTTGATAATAGATTTCTTTTATATCAAAGTTTTTATGAAGTCCACATGTGGAGACCCCTTTTATTTCTCCCCATAGGGCAGCATTGGAGAGCTCTCCATTCCATTTTTATTCCCTGTGGACCGATTTCTTTACTGATGGGCAAGGTATTTTCCAGGAGCTGGCATCCTTTTTCCAATGTTTCAAATAAGAGATTCTATTTATTAGATGCTTCTTTGTTGCCTTTTGTGACCAACAACAGAAAAGAGGGACTTTAAAATATAGATTTATCCTTCCATGTACCAATGATGACTTCTTTTTAATAACATTAGAATGAAAATTATGGAGCTAAGTAGAAAGTCGTGTTCCTTCTCTTGATAACTCTAAGTTCCCTTTGTTAAAGATAGAGGAAATGCCTTTTTGTTTCTCTTCCGTTCTGTTGATTTACAACTCTTTTCTCTTTGTAGTGGAAGGATTTGGGAATTTTCTAGTGTTCAGTCATGGAAAATAAAGGAAACTGTTGGGTGGTGGTTTCCTAGGTTGTCTCCTCTGACCCACGGATGACATTTAACTTGATCCCATCCAGATAGGAGGGGTCCTGTGTCTGGTTGTTATTTATTTCTTTAAGAGGAGTCACAAAGATCAGAAAGCTGGTGGATTCTTCACACTTTTGAAAAACTATACTTTCTATAAATGGTGACGGAATAGTCATGAGCAAACAAAGCTTGTATAAGACATTGAACTTCAGTTCCAAATGATAAATATAGGTTTGATCATATTCAATAGCCAAGCAATGCAGAATGGTTTAGTTGTTGATTATTCAGGGAATAATTAATAAACCTGCATGTTGATACATTCAAATGGACTTCTTTCCTTGGCCCTTCTGTTTCTTGATTTCAGTTCATTTCTGTTCCCTAAGGATATAAAGGGAGGAAAGTAAAATTAGTCAAAACCTAATAATCATTTATCATTATTTGTTTTGAAGAAAATAAAATGTAAGTTAAATTAAGGGCTTTGTACCTGTGGGTTTCCTTTATTCATATTACCTTTATTACCAAGAACTAAAACCCACAAACCATTTAATTTAATGTTATTTCTAGACAGGTAGGTAGGGTTCATAGATAGTGTGTTTCTCATTGCAGGAGAACTTCAGAAAACAATGAGGTACTTTTGAACGACTCTGAAAATGCCTAGGAAGAATTTAGACTTATTTATAGACCTCATTCCTTTATGTAATAAGCAATTATTGAATACCCACTCTGTGTTGGATGGTAGGATAGAACATGCATAAGATAATCTCTCCTCTCAATAACCTAAGGAAGTAATTATAATACAGGGTGCTAAGAGATACATACAGAAATTCTAGGGTGCTATGGGAACACAAAAATGAGCCCCTAAAGTTAACATGAGAGGTTAGGAAAGCTTTCCTAGAAGTGACCATCTGTAACTCTGAAAAAATGGGTAGGAATTACCTAGGCAAAAGGTAGATGGAAAAGTATTTTAGTAAGACCACCCAGTATTGAGAATGCCAAAAGACAAGAGGGAGTATAGTGTCTTTTGGCAACTGAAATAAATTTGTGTATCTATAGGAAAATCTGAAGTTGGACTAGTAAGCAATGGGGCTGCAGAATTAACCAAGAACCATATCACATGGAGACTATTTCAAGGAATTATCAAGACAGGTTCAAGAATTAAGAATTGCAAGTAGGGATACCCCTCTATTTTTTGTTTTCAGGGTTACTGAAAAAAACAGGGATCTAAATATTATATACAATATCATAGCAGTTGATCTCTCTTAGCTTGGAATTTTTTGTTTCAGAGCATGGAGCAATCGTTTCCATGGCTTTGGACAAAGAAGGAGAGACAATTGTGTTTGGACTTTTTAAATATGTTAGCATCTAATTTTACCTTCAATGAGCTCAATTCTAATTTGAGATACATGGCTGCACATTGCTATATATCTTGAATTATTTGCTACTGTGTATTCATGCACCAGTGCATTAGTGGATTTTTCATAGATTTTTAAGAAAATATGTGTGGTGGTCACTCCAAATACTGTATTTCAAGGAAGCTGGGTACCTAGAAAAACTGGTTGACCTTCTTTGGCCATCTCTCATTTATTTCTGGCTTATACCTCTCTTGAATATAGCAATTGTTTTTTCTCCAGAGAACAGCATGTGTACAAATAATTCTGATACCTTCTTTAGACATAAGCTGTGGTATGTGCTACTGAATCTGAAATGAAGGAGGTATGAGTCATGCGGGCTGTTTAAATTTGCTGTGTGTCATTCCTGGGCAAATTACAGACTAAGTCTGGCAAATCATTGAATGTAAGTACTGAAAGAATAAATGATCTCAATGCCCAACCCTCTCATTTTACACACTCATTTCATTCATTTAACAAATATAATTGGTATCTTCTATGTAACAGAGATTGTGCTAAGCACAGAGGATACCACGCTGAGCCAAAACAAATATCACCATGTTAATAGTTTAGAGAGGGAAACCAGCATTAATAAATAATCCCAGGTAGCAATATATAATAAGAAAATGTGATAGTGCTCTGAGAGAAGGGTATAAAATATATAAGATCTGGCAGTGGAGAGTCCTGATCTAATCAAGGAGTCATGGGGAATATTACTAAAGAAATGGCATTTGCACTGACAACTGAAGGATAAGAAGGAGTTAGGCAGTGCCCAGGTGAAGATGTGAGATAAGATTGCTCCAGGTTAGTTAACAGTAAAGGCAAAGATGCTGCAAAAAGAAGGTGCGTGGCTGAACTCAAAGAGTGAGGGGGAAACAGATAGGAGATGTGGCTAAAGACACTGGCAGAGACCAGGCCATACAGGAACTTCAATGGCAGGCTCACAATTTTTTCATTTTGGCTTTTACTTTAAGTTATGCAAAGAGAGGAGGTGCTATATACCTAGGGTCACACAGTGATTTAATGGCAGGGTAAGGAATAGAACACTGGTATCTGTAGTTCCATCTAACTGTGCTGCTCCAGATCCCACACCAATTCATCTCACCAAAAGATGCCGTTAGTCAAAAAGTCCAAGCAGATGAATGGAATTTAATCTGTGCTGACCCATTTCACCCACGAAAATCTAAACGGATCCAATGTACTTGAGGTAGTACCATGTTCATAGAATAGAGCTAGAATAGGCTAATTGAAATAATAACCTACTCTTAGAGGTCAATAATATAATCTTGGTTTATGGACTAAATTGCAAATTATGACGTGTAAGTGACAAAATTTGCATTTAAGATTATGGACAGGCCACAATTCAATGCAACTTTTTGACATTTTAACTGTGTCTTGGAAGCAACATAGCATCAAAGAGCATGTGTGCGCGTGCACGCACACACACACACACACAGAGTAACATCTTTAGAGACAGATAGACCTGAATTGAAATACACACAAGATGTGTGTTGACCGTGTGACTCTGGGAAACTGCTTACTCTCTGATCTTTTAATCTTATCTGCAAATTAAAGATAATTGTACTCACCTCACAGGGTTATTGTGAGAATTAGATAAAATAATACACATAAATGTCCAGGCTCAGGATCTGGAATAGAGTTGTTCCTCAATACATTTTTATTCTATTTTTGCTAACTTTGCATTATTTTTTAACAAAATAAAGAAAACCAAAATATTGAATCTTATCTTCTGCTCATCTAAAGTTTGAGAAAGAAGACACACTTTGATTCAGAATGAAATCTCTATGTCTAGCATGAAGTTTATGTGTATCAGTCAGGATGAGCTAGATTATGCTGCGGTAATAACTCCAAAAGTCTCAGGAGCTTAAACTGACAAGAGAAAATGATTTCTTGCTTATTCTACATGTCCAACACAGGTTGATAGAGGGCATCTGCTCCACAGAGTCATTCAGGGATCCAGGCATGTGGGGGCTCCATCTTGACATGCATCTCCATCATGGATGCAGCAGGGAGAAGAAAGAGCTGCAGTGTCTTGCACTGGTGATTAAAAGTGACATATATCATTTCTTCTCAGTCACAGGACCACACCCCATTTCAGGGAAGCAGGAAAGTGCAAGCTCACCAGAGTTCAGAAGGAGGAAAACCAGAGAATTTTCAAACAACACAATGTGACTATCATAATTATACTACTAGACATCAAATATTCAGTGTATTCTTCTGCTGTGCTCAAAGCGCTCTCACCTCTCCTCCAAGGGGAGATTACCCAAAATCATCAAGCTCATTGTGGAGGACCTCTGGGTGAGAAGAATAGTCATCCCAACATCAAGCTGATTTGAGACTCCTCTTGACCCGGAATGAATAAACTAAAGAGAAATTATCTGGTCCCTCACACATAATGCACCGTGATGGAATAGGGACAGGATCACCCCAGTAAACACGTTCATTTGGAAAGACCGTAGCAATTTAGCAATTCTACCAAATAGACATTATGAAGGGCACCTATCCAAGAGGTGGGTTGTGTTCCTTGATTAGGGTTCTGCCCAATTCTGTTCATTATTTTTTTTGTTTTCCCATGCCCCCTGCTTCTCCCTGTGGGAGATCCTTCTTTTCCTGTTATCTTCATTGGCCATGTCTGAAGTGACCCTGATGAATATGCTCTTCCTGGGAGCGGAAGAGTTTTCTAAGTACATTCCATGTCTATAAACACTTAGAGGACCATAGTGGTTTTAGGTATAAAATTGTCAACAGCTTCTTTTACTCAAGGCTAGCAGTTCTTTCAGCAATTAACTCTCAAGAAAACTTTGCTGTTTTCTTATGTTTCCAGCTACTCCAAGGCCGGTGACCATGCTACATTTCTTTTCTGATAAACTTCTCAGATTGCTTTTTCCTTTGTCTTCTTGTGTCCTTCTCTCTCTCTCTCTCTCTCTCTCCTTTCTCTCTCTTTCTCTCTCTCTGTCTCTCTCACACACACACACCACCACCATCTAATATTCTTTATATTTCTGTGTCTATAAGACTTCAGTGGGAAAGTTTCCTTTTTACTCTTTTCTCTGAATTTTTAGAATTTACTGGTGGTTGTCTCAGCCTTAATTGGAACTTTCTTCTAAAACATCCCAACTCAGTGAAAGTACTGTGAAAGTCACACCTTTAATTTTTTCTCTCCACTAAGCTGAGTTTTAACTTACCTTACCAGATGAAATTGAAAAACATCAGTCTTCCAAGGCTACACACCCTAGATTTCTGGACTCTGTTTCCTTTCAATACTGCTCATAAATGGGCCAGCTTTTTCTGAGATCATCTCTTTTTTGTAAATCTTGCCAAGTCCAGCCAACAGCAACCAACACATACAATCAGCATTCTGTTTTCAACCTCTTCCCTTGGAGGTGGAAGTTCATTAAATAACTGATTAGCCTTCCAAGTAAGAGCAAATAACAGTTGTACCCAGTGATTTTTCTCACCATGATATCCATTTCTGTCTTTCTACTCTTCTATCTCAGTTTCCTTATCAGCCACTGGACCTTCTTGGTACCAGCACCTGTATCAGTCGGGTTAGGCGGTGACAACAATCCCAAATCTTAGTGGTTTATGTAAGTAAATAGTTATTTCTTTTCATGTCACATGTCTATGGCAGGTTAACTGGGAGCCTGTTCCACATCTTCTCATTCTAGTCCTCAGGTTGATAGACTCCACTATTTGACATGTCACCATTTTCATGGCAGAGAAGAGGAAATGTCACACTGACTCTTGAAATTTCTGCCCTGAATAACATGGCGTATCAGCAAAAACAAATTGCTCAGCCACATCTAATTTCAAAGTGGCTGGAAAAGTGCAATCCTCCCAAGATCTCAGAAGGTGGATAATCAAAATATTTACTAGCCCCTAATGTTTACAACAGTGCACCCTTATGTTCCCAAATACTTGTTTCACTCTTCTTGTCACATGCAAGATATTCTCACTTCTCCTGTGAGGGGAAGTTATTAGTCAGAATACAATTGTTCTATGTATCTTTCTATCACTTCCTACATAGGACTGTATTGTCAGGAATGATATTCATTACCAGGATATAAAACCATTTCTTTTTTCTTTTTATTTTTTTGAAATGGAGTCTTGCTCTGTCTCTCAGGCAGGAATGCAGTGGCACAATCTCAACTCACTGCAACCTCCACCTCCCGGGTTCAAGCAGTTCTCCTGCCTCAGCCTCCTGAGTAGCTGGGACTACAGGCATGTGCCACCACGCCCGGCTAATTTTTGTATTTTTAGTGGCGTTGTTGGGGTTTTGCCATGTTGGCCAAGCTGGTCTTGAACTCCTGACCTCAGGTGATCCACCCGCCTCGGCCTCCCAAAGTGCTGGGATTACAGGTGTAAGCCACCGCGCTCAGCCAAAACCATTTATATTAAAAGGAGGTTTAGAAAAACACTCTAAATATTATTATAATGCATTTGGAGTGAATTTTTAAAAGTCTGATTTCCCTCAGATATTTTTAATATGTCTGAGTTTATACAATTGTCCTTGTTTCTAGTATTTATTGTATGTAAACTATTATACATCTAAAATATAGTTATGCAAATATGTATATATATAAATTATTTATATAGATATATACACGTAGATCTCATAGAACAGGATGGTTTTCAACATTTAGAGAGACCTCATTTAAAAAAACAGCTGAAACGACTTCTTTTTCAACTCTTATTTTAGCTTTGGGGGTACATGTGAAGGTTTGTTACATATATAAATACATGTCACAGTACATATTATTACATCACTCAGGTATTAAGCTCAGTACCCAATAGCTATCTTTTCTGCTCCTCTCCCTCCTCCCACCCTCCCCCTCAAGTAGACCCCAGTCTCTGTTGTTTCCTTCCTTGAGTTCATAAGTTTTTATCATTTAGCTCCCACTTATAAGAGAGAACATGCAGTATTTGGTTTTCTGCTCCTGCATTAGTATGCTAAGGACAGTAGCCCTAAATGACTCTCAACATGACAACAACAACAAAACAAATAGAAAGATAATTTTGGAGAGCAATTATTATGTACACATATCCCCATCAAAATAAAGACGTAATGAAGGCAAAGTACAAATAAGTAAACTGTTTCTTTTCAAATCCATGAGATGACTCTATGGTGACATCATTAACTAAACCTACATTTTAGGAATAGCCAGCCACTTAGAATTTTTGGTTTTGTGGATCATACATAAATTGACTCCATTGCTGGGGAGTGTATGATTACTCTACAGTCAAACCTTTCTATTCATTAAGTGTTTCCGATGGAGCAAGGAGCTGTGCTGATACCTTAAGGACCTGGCCACATTTAGCTGGGATTAAGGATGGTTTTGTGAAAGGGGAGTGCTGAGCAGACACTTTCATACCTCTGTGTCTGGTTGTCAAGGCAGACGACCGCTTCTCACAGCGTGTTCTAATTATTAATCCTACCGACCTGCCTTGTTTGGTCATTAAGTCTTAATTTATTTTTTTAAAACATTGAGATTGAATTCTAGTTATTTAGCTAGAACAATAACCTTTGTGAGTTTCGAAGACCATAATGTTCCCACATTTTTATGTTGAGAACCGCAAAGCACTTTCAGAAAACCCTACTGCTAAGGCAATGATGTATCACTTTCACTTTCATTATATGTTTTTAATCAGAGCGTGACTTCACACTAGACAAAGCGATGCTTTATGCATGGTCTCACTTGTTTTTGCTAAAATCTTTTGACATGATTAATTTTACTTTAATGCTTTTGTCTTGTTGTAATGGTAAGGATGATGGGTATAAACCAGACAAAAATACATGCTTTTCTATTATAATGCCTCTGAGCATTAAAAATATCTTAGATGAAAGGGGAAAAAATCACAGGAAACTGGTCTGACTGGAATTAAATTTCTTCCTACCTGAACACAGAGTACATGAGATTTTTGTTTTAATGGTTCAGTCATTGTTTTTAGTTTTATTTTTGGTATTTTCATAGCAATTTATTCATCTGTATGATTAGATCTGAAGAGGAGGAGAGAGATCATAGCTCACGGATTTCTTGATCTCATTTGTTGCTTTGCAGCATTTACCTCCTTCACAGAGTTAAGGGATCAAAACGTTAACCATTTCTCTATGAGGTCTATCTCCAGCAGATCAAGGTGAAGCAGGCTATACTTCTCCATGCTGATCTCTGTCATTAGATATAAGCCAGTTTCTGGCTGTACTGATTTTTAGTCTAAAAGAATTGAATATAGTAAATACCTTTTGTTCAAACTACAAAAAAGCAGTGATATACATGACTTTAAGATGAAAACAATAGACCATTCAACAAGTGAGACCTGCCTCGTATGCAGCTGTTGAAGTATCAATTCTACCATATTCTCTCTTCCTTTTTCCTTAATGAATTATGGAGTTGCTTGTCTGTATTACAAGAACATAGCACCTTGTAATACAGATTTTTCTATTTCTAGTTCTATTTATTGGCATTTTCTAGGTGTAGTGAGTTGAATTGTGTCCCCATGAAAAGATATAAGTCCTACTCCCAGTACCTATGAATGTGACCTTATTTAGAAAAAGTTTATTTGCAGACAAAATCAAGTCAAGATGAATCATATTGGATTAGGGTGGATCCTAAAACCAATGATATTATGACAATGACATATTTCTATTTTGTGGCCTTATTTAGAAATAGGCTTTTTTGCAGACAAAATCAAGTTAAGATGAATCATATTGGATTAGGGTGGGTCCTAAAACCAATGATATTATGACAATGACATATTTCTATTTTCTACCCAACCTGTCTGCTTACTTTCCTTGTCTCCTAAACAAATCCTATTACAATGTAAATATCATCTAGCACAGGCTAATAGCACTTTACGTACACAGTGATGGAAATGTCCTGTATCTTTGCAGTCTAACATGGAAGTCACTAGCCCCATGTGACTATTGTATGTGTTAAATATGGCTCGTATAACTGAGAAACTCAATTTCTAATTTTATTTTTATTTAAGTAACCCCCTGTGGCAAGTGGCTTCTGTATGAACAGCACAGCTCTAGGTAGTAGAGAGTTCACATTCCCACAGAGGCACTGCCTGCCATCCTCACCCTCCCCATCTCCCTACAGGCAAGGAAACAAATAGGTGACCCCCACGAAATAAGGAAAGTCAAAGGACACCCAATGAACCACGTGTGAGCCTCATTCTAGGTACTGAGATTTCATCTTTTGGCTTCTCATTTTCTCCTTCCACAAACCCCAACTTTTTAATTTAGGTTACCTGTAGTATTCGTTTCCCAGGGCTGCCATAACAAAGGACCACATATTGGGTGGCTTAAAACAATGGAAATTCATTCTCTCACAGTTCTGCAAACTAGCCGAAATGAAGGTGTCAGCAGGGCCGTGCTCCCTCCAAAGACTCTAGGGGAGAAGACTTCCTTCCTCCTTCCTAACTTCTCGTGGCTTCCAGCCCTCCTTGGTGTTTCTTGATGACAGCTTCATCACTTCAATCTCTGTCTCTGTCTTCACATGGGTTTCTTCCCCGTGTCACTCCTCTGTATCTCTGTGTCTAAATCTTCCTCTCCTTTCTCTTATAAAGACTTTAATGCTTTTGTCTTGCTGTAATGGTAAGGATGATGGGCAAAAATGCATCCTTTTTTTGACCAGGCAAAAATACATCCTTACCATTACAACAAGACAAAAGCATTGGTGTTAGGGCCTACCCTAATCCAGTATGACCTCATCTTAATGATTTTATCTGCAAAGACTCTTTCCAAATAATATCATGTTCACAGGTACTGGGAGTAAGGACTTGACATAACTTTTCATGGAGACACAATTCAACTCATTACACCTAGAGAATGACACACATAAGAAAAAGATATAACAAAATTCTAAGCACTTCACTTGCATTTGTTAATTTAATTCAGACATCAGCCCTCGACCATGGTAGGCACTATTATTTTTCTACTTAAGATGCAGAAATGGAGGCACAGAGACATTAAGTAATTTGCTCAAGGTCACACAGATGGTAAATGGCAGAGCCAAAATGTGTACCCGAATAAAGCTTCAGAGCCTGCAGTCTTTGCTATTTCTCATTACTGTAGTTAACAACAGAGTGCATGTTGTAAAAGGAGTCAAAGGTGAAGCAAGACGAGACAGGCTACTTCAGCATTTTATGCAGAATCAAATTGAACATCCTCTGCACAAATAGAATATACCAGCATCCTAAATATGCATGCATATTTGTTGAACCTTCTACCATCCTCTTTGTTATTAATTGAAGATTGAAGAAAGAATATAATATTGGATTATTTTCTAGGTGAAAATTTCAGAATGAGGCGATCACTTCCAGGGGAGTTGCAGCTTCTACCGCTGCTTTCTGTGTATAACTTCCTCACTTGCAAAAATCACAATGGTAAGGGCTGTGTGCCAAGACGTAACTTTCTAAAGAGAGAAAAACTGTGTATTTGTGCTCTTGGTTCTCTGAGTACTAATGACATGGGGGTACTCCTCTGTCCATGTCATACTGGTAAATCTCAGATCTTTGTTTTGTGTTCATTCATAAATTTGTTTGAAGCTTTTCATTACCATAATCATTAACTTTATCAAATATCAGTAGCTGCTCTTGTGTGTACATAAACATTTCATGGGATTAAATTACTCCTTCCACTTTAGAGCTTTCATTTTAAAAAATGATAAAGTATCCTTTTTTTGTCCTTATTCTTGTCAAAACCCAAGTCATTTCCCTTACTTCAACAATAATGAAAGGACATATGTGCAGATAAGGGGATGTGTAATGGTTGTTTGGTTTCAATCTATCATTAAATTTGCAAAGATTCAATATGCTATATTGTTTTTGTCACAAATACATGTAAATAAGTTTCCAGATGTAATTCCAAAGACAATCCATGATGGTTCTCATAATTTAAATGTATCTTTAATGCCCAGTTCATTTGCTAATCTCAGCACTGGGGCTTCATCTTCTATGTCTTACTCCATCTGATTTCAGCCCTAAACTGAAAAGCCTGAATAGATATGGATACAGTGTAAAACCAGGAGGCAGGCACTACTGAGTACTTTTGCTAGGCAGAGTAACCTTTCTTGACCATTGAAAAATTGTTAAGTTTCCCATACTTTGTTTAAAAAAGACCAGAAGTATAAAATACATACCTTTTTAAGAAGCAGCTTTTGTTCCTTTTACCAAATAAAATTTAGTCATTCACAAATATAGTAGCCAACACCTGATTCTATTGCGGGCTGCATAAAGCTAAGGTTGGGAGTTCACTCCCCTTTATAGCTCAGCTGCCTTCCCATATAGGGAAATTCTTTCTCCAAAGGCTGCACCCCAACCAGCTTGCCCCTCAAGCATATGTGACTGTGGATAACGGAAGTCCATTGAAAGAGAGGATGGAACAATGCAAATCCAGGAACACTACTGGAAAATAACAGGATGTTTATTCTGCTGAAAGTGGGTTAGTAGCATCATCCTCATGCATGATGCTTCTTTAAGCAGAATTGATGAGGGTGAAGAGAGCACATGGCAGCCCCATCTGAGGTCTTCTCGGTTGCAGTTATCTGCAGTGTGTAATATGTCCCTTGAAAGAATGCAGAAGCATTAATATAAAAATATTTCCCAGAATAAATAATTGCTATGCCAATTTTTTCTTTTGAGAAAAATATTTTATTTTATTTTATTTTATTTTTATTTATTTATTTATTTATCTTGAGACAGTCTTGCTCTGTCACCCTGGCTGGAGTGCAGTGGCACGATCTTGGCTCACTGCAACCTCTGCCTCCCGGGTTCAAGTGATTCTCCTACCTCAGCCTCCCAAGTAGCTGGGATTACAGGCGCCCACGACCACGCCTGGCTAATTTTTGTATTTTTAGTAGAGACGGGGTTTCAACATGTTGGCCAGGCTGGTCTTGAACTCCTGGCCTTAAGTGATCCGCCCACCTCTGCCTCCCAAAGTGCTGGGATTACAGGTGTGAGCCGCTGCACCCGGCCAAGAAAAATATGTTAATAGTAGTTGTCTATCCAGGGGTCAGTCCTCAAACTTTTTCTGTGAAGGGCTAGGTAGTAAATATTTTGGGCTTTGTGGCCGTAAGGTCTCTGTCACAACTACTCAGCTCTCCCATTATAGCACAAAAGTAGCCATAAACTATACCTAAGTAAATAAGCATGGCTGTGTTCCAGTATGACTTTATTTATAAAAATAGGCAGAGGGCTGGATTTGGCCAACAGGCCGTATTTGCTAACCCTTGCACTATAATCTAAGGTCATGACTACTTCACTCACAAATCACACCACTTGGTAATGAGACAATACTGATAGTAGTAACTCTTATTTATTAGACTGACTGAGCCACTTACATGTATTAATTCATTTAATCCTCACATCAACTGTATGATGCAAGTTCTGCCAGAACTTCCATTTCATAGAGGAGGAAACCAAGGCATAAAGAGGTAAAACAAGTTGTATGACACCATGACTAAGAAGCAAAGCCAAGAATTAAACTCAGATAGTCTAACTCCAGAAATCACACCTTAAGTCACAAGCTGTACTGACTCTCAGGGGATATTTTGTGACCTTCATCTTTAACTTGAGAGGCAGATGCTATTCTGAATATAAAAGAAACACTTTCTCTGTCAGCAACATGAGGGCAGATATTATGTCTACCTCCATGACTGACAGCTCCCCCATGCCTAGCTCACAGGACACATTCCGCAGACACTGGACAATACTGAATCAGGGAATTAACTCTCGTGCTGTGCCAGGGCCATGGGCAAGCACCAAAGGGGACCAGACATTGGCTCATTAGCCACGGGTTCCTCCAGTGGAGCATCTGCTGGTTGTAATGAGACAACAACAGCCTTTCAAAGATATGTCCAGCTCTTAAATGTGTGTAATGAGATTTTTCTGCTTAAAACTCTCTTTGAACTGCAAATATCTGTTACATAAAATGAGCCTATTTGATTACTCCATATGCAAAAGAAGTAAGGAATAAAAACGCAAGGAAGGCCAGGTGTGGTGGCTTACACCTGTAATTCCAGCACTTTGGGAAGCCAAGGTGGGAAGATTGCTTGAGCCCAGGAGTTTGAGACCAGCCTAGGCAACAAAGCAAGACCCTGTCTCTACAAAAAATTAAAAAATAAGTAGTCAGGTGTGTTGGTGTATGCCTGTAGTCCCATCCCACCTACTTGGGAGGCTGCATCAGGAAGATTCCTTGAGCCCAGGAAGTTGAGGCTACAGTGAGCTCTGATCTCTGATTGTGCCAGTGCACTCCAGCCTGGGCAACAGGGTAAGATCCTGTCTCTAAAAAAAAAAAGGGAAGGGAGGGGAATTTTTATTTTAGCAACACCATGCTAAACATGGTAATGAACATTTTAATTGAGCACTTATGTGTCCAGCATTGTGTCAAACACATTACAAACATGGTTTTATTTAGTGTTCATAAGGCAGACGTAACTAGCTTGATGAGGATGGAAAAAAATGAAAACTTAGAAAGATTAATAATTTGTCCAAACTTAAACAGTTAGTAAATACATAAGTTAATAATCCAAGGTATGAAATTTTTACTTTGAAATCTGGATGCTTAACCACCATATGACACTCTGCATTGAAGTGCTCTCTCTGCACCTCTAATGGCTTGAGGCTAACATAGACGAAGAACTTCTATACACAAGACATTGTGCTCTGTGCCTAACATAAATTATCCCATTAAATACTCAGAGTAACAATGTGAGGTCAATAGCATTACTATCCCCATTGTGTTGGTCAGAAAACCAAGGTTAAGGGTGTGTCCAAGCCACTTTGTTCTGGAGCCCAAGCAACTGGCTTCAGAGCCTGCCTCTGAAACCCAACACTGCACTGTTTCTATCTGGTTGCTATGATTTTAAAGATAAGAGTAAAGACATGTATTGAGGGCTCTCTAGGGTAATGGAGGTTTACACATTTATTTATTGGATAAATGTTATCCTCATCACCACTCTGGGTAATATCCCTGTGTAATCTTCACAGTTGGAAAGCACTTTCAAATCTATCATTTATTGGTTCACCCTTAATAACCCCAGGAGATAAACAGGTCACTTTTTATTATCACTATTTGACATATGAGAAAACTTAAGATCAGAACGGTTAAGTGACCTGTCAAGGTCACGCTATAATTGATGAATTTGTGACTTAAACCCTTGGCTTCTGACCTACTTTAGTTCAGTGTTTTTTCTATTAAGCCATGTTCTATGAAACCTTATTAGGAGTTCTTTGACCTGTAACTGACATTATTTGATCTCTTTCTAACATGATATTTTTTTTCCAACTGGATTTATTCAGAAAAGTGTTTATATATCAGAAGCTTTTAAATCACTATGGCCACTTTGAAATAAAAATAATTAACTCCTTGTTTGCAAATAATGCACAGAAGAGAACCCACAAAGTGCCATATTAAAATTGAGCATGCTTGGTATATAACATAGGGTTCCAACAGGAAACAGATGACACTGTTTAATAGTAAGAGAGCTACTTTGAGAGATGTGGGCAAAAGGCAAGAATATCTTAGAACTAGTGTACCCCCCTCTCCAACCCCTGGTGCTAGTAAGAGGGGCACTGTTCAATTGGGCTCATAATTTGGCCCTAGCACAAAGTAGCTTGGACACATCCTTGACCTTGGTTTTCTCATCAACACAATGGGGATAGTAATGCTATTGACCTCACATTGTTACTCTGAGTATGTAATTTAAGCCCTCAATACATGTCCACAAGGGAAGAGAGGATTACCAGAACCAGACACAGAGAGGGCTCTGTGGAAAGGGCCAACTAAGGACCTTCATTAAGATGAGAAAGGCAGCTTGCACTGACCCAGAAAAAGAAAGTGAAGAGTAAATACCCTGACCTTCCTCTCCTACCTCCCTCAGTCTTCTGAAAGCAAATCCATCCAGAAGCCAGAGGCAAGAGAGCCCCTAATTTGGTCAGTACCACTGGAGTGGAAGAACAGAGCAAGGACCTGGGGTGGAGAGTACATCTGTAGGGTCAAAATCAAAAGATGCCAGCTTCCTTGGATTCACTATCTATGAATACTACCTTTTATTAGAGATCAAAATCAACTATTTTAAATGTCAAAATACAAATACATTTTTGGTTCTTTGGAAATGTAATATCTAGTTTGGCTTAACCAAGCTCCTTAAAACCTTAGCTGCTTTATGTTTTCTATTGTGTCTAACTGACCCAATAGCAAACAAACAAATTGAAGTGGAAGCAAAGGGGAGTGACATGATTCCACTGCACAAGCCTGTCCTCCATTGAAGGAGGAGCAAACCAGTGTTATCCTATGCCCATTCCCTACACTGAAAATGACCACGCCTGTTAGGTTTTTGTTTTTGTTGTTGTTGATTTTTAAAGACATGGTGTCACCCTGTCACCTAAACTGGAGTGCAGTGGTGTGGTCATGGCTCCCTATAGCCTCCAACTCCTAGGCTCAAGCAATCCTCCCACCTCAGCCTCCCAAACAGCTGAGACTACAGGTATGTGCCATCACGCCTGGCTAATTTCTTAATTGTGAGACAGGGTCTCACTATGTAGCCCAGGCTGGTCTCAAAATCCAGGCTCAAGCAAATCTTGCCTCAGCCTCCAAAAGTTCTGAGATTACATGTGTGAACCACTGTACCTGGCCTGATTTTTAAGATGGATTGCTGTTTTTTTTTCCTCTCCCATGATTTTCTTCGCCAGCTGAAGGTAGTGTTCATGGTACAGTGTTGTGTTGTGGACACATTCATGGTTATGGAGTGAAAATTCATGGTTTGATTCACCTTTCTCAGAATGTACAAGTGGCATTCGTGGTGAGAACTGAGACCATGATGTCTTCAGTACTGTGGCTCCCTGCTGGGCTCCATGAGTTTTTATTTGAAGAGCTCAGCTCTGCTGTGGACAGCTCCTCTCCATTTTCCCAGGTTCCTTCTGGTTAAGCTTCTCTCGTTTTTTGGTTGTTGTTGCTCACAGCATATTGGGCTTGAGGCTGTTTCTGGTAAAGTCACTGCATATTTGAGGGATGGCACAGGTTTGAGCTGGGGCCTCCTGATGGTCATAAAATGCTGAAGGAAAATGTATTAGTCTGTTCTCACCCTGCTAATAGAGACATATCTAAGACTGGGTAATTATAAAGGAAAGAGGTTTAATTAATTCACAGTTTCACATTGCTTGGGAGGCCTAACAACATGGTAGAAGGCAAGGAGGAGCAAGTCACGTTTTATATGGCAGCAGGCAAGAGGGCGTGTGCAGGGGAACTTCCCTTTTATAAAACCATCAGATCTCATGAGACTTATTCACTATCACAAGAACAGCATGGGAAAGACCTGCCCCCATGATCCAATTACCTCCCACCGGATCCCTCCCATGACATGAGGGATTATTACAATTTAAGGTGAGATTTGGGTGGAGACGCTGAGCCAAACCATATCAGAAAACCATGGCCAGGAGAGTTCTAGAGAAGGGTCACAATTTTTAGGTCATGTGGGTATTCATGCATTTAAATGGGTGAGTCAGGTAGGCGGGTTCACTATCGTTGTGATTTGAAGAGAGATGATTGGTAAAATTTTTCCCAACTTTGTTTACACTGGAGAATTAAATATAACCTTTTTCACCACATGAAGAATTTCAGATTGGTACTTGAGGAAAGCCAGTCATGTGAAAAAGAAGAGTTGGAAGAAGAGTTTGATTAATTATCCATTGAAAAATAATGTATCAAGGTTGGGAGAGAAGATCCCTTCTCTCGAGTGAACAGAAAATAGGTAGAAATATAAATTTCATATGGATAAAGCCTGAACAAATGCTCAGTGAGTGTAGATATCAATAATGAATCATTTTTTAGTATTATTAACTTAAAATAATTCCAGTTTGAAAGTCACTCTTTTCCTTTCTTGTATCCCTGAAATAGCTCCCATTAGGAAGAGCTTATGTCTTATCTCTTAGCTCTACACATTCTTGTGACAAGTGGCACAGGGGTATCAGAGTGGCAGACAACTGCTGCATGTCCAGCCTCTCTAACACTGCACAAAGGTGAAGGGTTCTCTGCAGACTACAAATAGAAGCCTGGGTTTTTTCTCAGTAGGATGTCAAATGTGGGTTTTGCCCCTTTTTTGTCTCCTGCTGCTATCATTATCTAAGTGTCCAGCGGCATGGAATTGAGGGCATGATTACTGAAGTGCTCAAAAACGGCCAGCCTCAGAGCACTGCCACGCTCCTGGCCCATGTGGGAGTCAACAGCCTTCTCTGTAGAAAACACACTTTGTTGGCAATTGCGCTTTCATCATGCCACTTTGCCATCTCATTATTCTCCCATATTTCCATTTGATGAAACCAACGTGAAGAGGATGATCTTAAAATACATGTGCTACCAAGGGAGAAGAGGAAGACTTATGGAAGAGGAGAGTAATGGCCATTATAAACATGTGAAGAAGCCTGATGGGCCTGGCATTGAAATCATGAAGAAGGTAGAGTATTTTCTTTGCCAATGACTTCTGGTCCAGAGACATTCATTTCGTACTTGTAGTACTGGTGAGATGGCCTTCATCTCAGTGAAAGTCACATCTCTCTGGCTAAGTCATCTACTTGGAAAGCACAGCTTTGTGAAAATTGTGCTTCCTCATGTAACTTCCTGGATGCCTTTTTTATTCTAGTTACTCTTGAAGCATTAGTGTTTGGCCGCATGTCATCCCAAGCCCCCTTCGCATCCTGAACATTCATCCTTGTGACAGCAGCCATAAGAATTGTTGGGTGACCACTAGTCTGAGTTTCCTTCCCAGACTTCTTTCTTGAGGCAGACTACTGTATTTCTGACTGCAAATAGAAACCCAAACATCTCCATTTGGCCTTAAAATTACCTTGCCTTTGAACCCATTCTGTCTTTGTTGTTCTCTGTTGGGAGAAATAGCATCTTCATCTCTCCAACCTGAAATCTTAAGTGTCATCCCTGACCCCTCTTTCTCCTCCAACCCCTTCCTCAACTGACCATAAGCGCTGTCACTATGATCTTCTGTTTCCATTCTCATCCATTTCCTCATCCCATTCTCACTGTCAAGTCTTAGCATATAATCTTTCAATGAATCTTCAGAATGTACAAGATGAAATCCAACTCTTTAGCAGGGCTCCTAAAACCTGCCTTCTCAGATTTACTTTCTGCTCTCTCTCCTATCCCACACATCTTCCTCCAGTTTTTGCTAATACATGCAGACCTCTAAAATGTCCTGCTGACACCCAGGCCAGTGCTCATGCCTCTTCTTTGGTATGGAATGTTTTTCAGTCCTGTTTAATTCTACACACAATTATGCTTTGTGCAGGAATTTTGGATACAAATACGACATGGCCCACATTATTAAGGTCTCCACAATTTTTACAGAAAACATAAATTAGTCAGTTACATATACTACTATTGGCTGAGATTGAAGTAGGTACAGGCTGCGAAGGGAGCACATCCCATTACACCTGGCTACGCACGTCCTTCTGACCAAGCACCCGGGTAACTCCTGAGCCACCTCTGACAAATGCTTGCTATCTCCTCTGTGTTGTCACAGCTCCCTGCCCATAAGTACCTTAGAAAGCTTGTTGTTTTGTGACATAGTTGTTTAAATGTCTGCCTGCCTACACTGAAAGCAAGGATATCGTGCCTTTTGGAAATCTTTTAGCCACTGTGTCAAGCACATGTAGTAATTATTGAATAAATGAATGAATAGTGCCTAAACGACAAGAGCAGCTTAAGCAACCCTAGCTATCATTAAACGGATGACATCAAAGTCAGTTTACCTTCACATCTTATTTATACAGGGATCAATTCAGATGCATTACATCAACTTGTTTGACGTATATAAAATGTTATATAGTGAGGTCTCAAAATGCTCATAGTTGTTAATAATGAGAGAAGTATCCATTCATAAATTCATCCTCATCTTTGACTCATTCGTGAACTTACAAGATATAGACACAGTATACTTCAAGTTCAAAAATTCTAAAGTTTTAAAATGTATTCTTTCCTATGGCCAGTTTTATTAAGTGCCTGCCATTGGTGCACAAAACAGGCATTAGCTTAACATTAGTTGAAAGTGCAGGTTTCCAGCTGGGCGCAGTGGCTTACGCCTATAATCCCAGTGCTTTGGGAGGCCAAGGTGGGCGGATCACCTGAGGTCGGGAGTTTGAGACCAGCCTGACCAACATGGAGAAACCCCGTCTCTACTAAAAATACAAAATTACCCAGGTGTGGTGGCACATGCCTGCAATCCCAGCTACTCGGGAGGCTGAGGCAGGAGAATCACTTGAACTCGGGAGGCAGAGGTTGTGGTGAGCCAAGATTGTGCCATTGCACTCCAGTCTGGGCAACAAGAGTGAAACTCTGTCTCAAAAAAAAAAGAAAGAAAGTTCATGTTCCCATCAAATTATAGCATGATATAGTGAAAATTTTGATGAAAATAGCCGGTACCATTTTTACAAAATGTTTATGGAAGCTAGACTGTGTCAATATTGTGAGTATATCTATACACTTTAAAGATACACAAAGTTTAAAAAGAAGGTAGAGTTTATCATAATAGCTATAAAATGTTGAAACTATTTTTTAAACTCTGATTAGTGTCATAAATCAAAAGATTTATGGAATTTTAAAATGGGCTTTGCTTTCTGTGTAAAAGAAACCCTTAAATTACAATATATGACACCAAATATTAATGGAAATCTGTATGCTGAATTCATTTTGGTGGTAAAATACTACACTTCATCCTAATCTGTTTCTTGGTGCTACTGCCCATTGATGTTTAGTATCTGGGCTCTCTTGCTAATCATAAGCAAGATTAGCTTGCTCAGTATGTCACCTACACATTCAGAACCTTGACTCTTCCAGCTCTAAGTCTGGGGGGAAATATCTCTGCCTACCTCACAGAAGGTGCATGGGAAATTTCACTGTAAACTGGAAAACAACATACAAATGTGATGGATTCTTATTGTGCCAGGAGAAAGAGAATAATGTAAACAGGGCAGAATATGACATTGCATTTTAAATTCAGGAAATTGCTCAGAGTTGGCGAACTCCTGAAAGGTAGGTTGAGATCAGGTGTAAAAGATTATGTGAAAAGCATTTGGATACTATTCTATAGTCAGTGGGGACTCACCAAAAATCTTTGAGCAGAGAAATAACATAATTAAATCTGTGTTTAAAAAGCTAATTTAAGATGAATTGGAAAAGGAGAGATTGGAGGCAGGGTAATCATTTATTGCATAACCCAGAATAGGGATAATAAGGGTCTGATTTACGGCAATAGGTATGAAAACGATGAGACACTAGCAAATACAAAACTCATTTTATAAATAAAGTTAGACATCACTTGGTAACTACTGGGCTGTAGAAGTAAGAGACAGCCTGGCTTGGTTGGCCAAATTGATCTGATGTCTTTGGTCAAAAGATGAAACCAAGAAAATGAACGTTTAGAGGAGGATGGAATGTGGTTAGTCTTCAGTATGTCAAGTCAAAATATCTATATTCATCATACTCAAGACTTGTGCCTGGCACATGATAGGTGTTCAATAAATATTTAGTGAGTGTATTGATGAAGGAAGGAAGAATTAAAGACTGGGAGAGATTCAAGGGAAGTTCTACAGAAAGAACTAGAAAATGTTGATCTATATGACAGACGAGAAAAGAGTAGAAATACCAATTCAGAAGTCAGCATTTAAGCAAATAGCATCATTGAGATCTGGAAGGGGGAAGAGATAGAGAGGAAAGAGGACAAAATACCCAACTCCAAGAAAATAGGATTACGTATGCCCAATCCTTGGCATAGAATAGGGTTCAATAATAATCATTCATTGACTACATGAATGAAGAAATGCATGAGTACCAACTTTTCAGGGGTAGATGAAGAAAGAGCAGCTGGGAGTCTCATAGTAGCCCTTGGTGTTTTCTGAGGCATTTCGTACGAATCATAGACTAATTCTACAGTTCAACATCTGGCTCCCATGAGGATATGTGAATGACATAGTCTAAATTTCAAGCAACCATGAGGAATTTCTTCCCCTTGTCTTTCTCACTTCAACATGCTTTATTTTTGGTTTGACTCATTTACTTAAATCTATCATCAAATTGCACTTGCAACAGATTATTATTTCCATAAGATTTCACATACCACATCAATGACAGGAATTTATAACGTTTTCTCACGTAACTAAAAGTGGGCCAAATAGAATAAAAATATTCATTCCATTCACCTCATTTATTATGGTACAACCAGGTTGACCAGAGGTTTTGGAGCTATTAGTTCAACATCTTGCCCATTATTTGGTAAAGCCCTCCAATTTGGAGAGAGAGGATATTTCAATCTCATTCCGAGTTGGCCTTTCTCTTATAGGCCCAGTCTAGACATCTGTCTAGCAGATGAGGATATTGGGACAAATAAGAATATGTAAATAATAGAAAATTAAAATTAAACTAAAGCTTTTAGGAGTCATAATGTAAAAGGCTTATATCTACAAAAGTCATATTTGAAAAAATAAAAATATAAACTAGGTATAAAACAATGAAAAGGAAAATAATCAATTTTTAAATATCAACTATATGAAATGAAGGTACAAAATTGATTGCCAAAAGTGAAGCAAGCTAGGGCTGGGTGCAGAGGCCCATGCCTGTAATCACAACACTTTGGGAGGCCGAGGTGGGTGGATCACCTGAGGTCAGGAGTTTGAGACCAGCCTGGCCAACATGGCAAAACCCCATCTCTACTCAAACATACAAAAAAAATTAGCTGGGCGTGGTGGCGTGTGCCTACAATCCCAGCTACTCAGGAGGCTGAGGCAGGAGAATCACTTGAACCTGGGTGGCAGAGGTTGCAGTGAGCCGAGATCGTGCCATTGCACTCCAGCCTGGGCGACAAGAGCGAAATTCCACCTCAAAAAAAAAAAGTCAAGCAAGCTAAAATCTTCACAATTTATAATAATTTTAACTTTCATCATTCTGTTCTCTCACCAAAAAAGCCACTGTTTTTTTTACAGCTGATACATGATTGATAATTTGTATTTACCACTGCCCTTTGGCTTTGCCCGCTCTCTGAAGAATTAAATAACAAAAAGACAGGTTGAAAGGAGGTAACTGAAGAAATAATAATATTAGAATAATATATAAACCAGAGCACTGGTCATTGAATAATCACAAGTTGACTATATTTTAAAAATATAGTCATCATTTATCATTATAATCCAAGAAATCTTGTTTCTCAGTTAATAAAAATTTTTCCCATAAAATGACTTCTAAATGTCAGATGAATGTAATTCAAAGAATGAGAACATAAAATTAGTGTCTGTTTTCAGAAGCACCATTAAGGCTTTTTAGTAATTTCACTGACTTTTTAGATTTTCCAATTGAAGATCCACCTATAGACCTTTCTTTCAACTCATTACTGTGTAGTAGAAATAAACTTTGGGCAGCTCTTCTCAGCTCAAGGGCCCTGATGGATTTGAAAACTATTTTCCCCACAAAGGATGATTATACAGATTTGCTACAATCATCTTTGACTATTAGGGATTAGAAAGTCAACTGCTACTTGAGGTGAGGAGCTATAATTCATAAAGGATCTAGGTTAAGATGACAAGAAAGATTAGAAGATAATGTTGAAACTACTTAATCAAAAAAGATCACCCGTATTTAAATATACGTGTATTCCTAAAAATCTGAGAGGGCACTTTAAGGTAAGGTAAAGACTTTTTATCTTTTCAACGTTGTCATTAAAATGTTTGCTCCTAACTTAAAACAATTTATTATATAAAAAAGTGAATTCAATAAAGTAAAGGATAGGTTGAAGCTACTAAAAAAAAAATCATCCGTCGGTAAATACCCATGCATTTATAAAAACCTGAGACACCTCTTTAAGGTAAGGAGGAAGACTTTCTCTTTTAACTTCTCTAAAATGTTTGTCTCTTAAAGCAATTTACCCACTTGGAAAAGTGAATTTAATGTGTTTGTCTCTTCTGTGAAATTATTCCCTGAAACTCAAAGAAAACCATATCATTTTTCCACACACATATACACCCTATATAGAAATGTAAGTTTATATTGAAACATGGATCAAAGTTGCTTATAGACTAAAGGGCAGAGCTAAATTCTAGCTCATTACATCTCTGCTATGTCAACACCATGGGACTTATCTGCAGATTTTTCAAGATATTGAAAAATCTGACCTATTTTTAAAAATCTATCTTTAACAATATTAGCATAGGGTATGCCTGCTAGGTGTCTGTACATATGAGTTTCTAAAGGAGAAACTACTTTATAGTGCCTTCAGGACTCATGTATGAAATTCAAAAATAGGTTGCTGTGAAAGGTTGAAATAGATTTTGGTCCAGCTCAAATATTTGGTATACTAAGGAAGAGTAGAGTCAAGAAAATAATATTGACATTCTCCAACTCAGTGTAATCTGCATCAAAAGAAAAAAAAAAAAGGACCACCAGAGTTTTAAAAGAGAGGCCCTTAATTTTGGCCTTACTGTTGTAAGTTTTCCTCTTTGTTTTTGTTGGCCTTGGAGTCCTGTACCTGAGCATAGTTCTTGATGTTTTTTCTGGAGGGTGAGCAAAGAACAGTGTACACCATCTAGTGGCTCAGTTCAAAATTGCTGCAGTTAACGAAAGGCGAGTTTGAACAGGAAGCAGCAACGGGTGTTTGCAACCATGGGAATTAACAGACTTCATTCTTCCTTCAACATTTCTCCAAGAGGCTGAGAAACGCTGAAGTAGTTGCCATGAATTCCAGAGAGAAGCTCTCACAGTACACAAAAAGATTCAATCTAGGAAGTTAATTTAAATAGCCCACAGTTAAAATCCTACTTTATTTCAACTATGTATCTATAATTACTCTGCTTTAATGAGAACTTTTTACTTGCCTTCTTAGTACCAGAATTAATATTACTACTGTAATACTTTGTTCTATCAGGAAGTGGGCAACTTGGATGAAAGAGGAAATGGGTTCCATTTGTGATCATATGCTAAATGAATTGCTTCTTTAAATAATCACCAAAGCTGTGGTCGCCAGCCTATAAACTCATAGAGAGCCATGGAGCTAACACACAAGGAGTTCCTGAATCCACAATCAGAGGCACATTCTCTATAAATTGAATGCATAATATCTTCTATATACACTGGGTTCACCACTGCAGTTCAAATGCAATTAGTAAATTGCATTTGTAAATTGCAATTTGTAATTTTAGTAAATTTAGTAAATTTGTAAATTTACTAAAATTTAGTAAAAAAGCATTACTAAATTATCAATAATTTACTTGTTACATAATTTTCATCAACAAATATTAGTATATCACTCTCATGCAGGAACATGCAAAAATATGTTTATTTATATGTAAATTTTATCAAAGGTAGATTTTTAAAAGAAATTTAATGGTGTTGATTTCTGCAGTCCCACTTCTAGGAATTTACTCTTAGAAAATAATTATTTGCATGTTCCAAGATATTCATTTCAGTGTTGTTTATAACAGCAAAAACAAAGAACCAAAATTAAGTGTTTTACAATTAGAAATCATTGAATAAATATTAGTTTAGCCATACCAAAAGAAATATCATACTACTATTAAAAACTATTAATGAACATCTACATTTATTAAAATGAAAATAGCTTACCATATATTTAGGTGAAAACAGCATATTACAAAAGCATATACACCATAATTCATGTTTACATATTAGTGAGTGAGCAAAGAAAAATGTCTAAAGGTTGTTATTTTCTTTATAATACAGATGGGGTCTCCCTATGTTGCCCAGGCTGGTCTCAAACTCCTGGGCTCAAGGGATTCTCCCACCTCAGCTTCCCAAAGTGCTGGGATTATGGGTGTGAGCCACCATGACCGCCTAAAAGATATTTTTTATCCCAAGAGAAATAAGTCATTTATTTTACAAAGCATAATAGAAAGAGAGGAGTCAGGATGAGCCCAAGGCTTTTGTCCTGAGCAAGTTGAAGGATAGAGTTGACAGTGGCTTAGGTGGGAAGGGGAATATTTGGAGAGAAAAGCCAGGGGTTCGTTTGGGGGCACTGGTAAGTTGAAGAGCCTATATGATACCCAAGTGGGGTTAGATTGAGGGTTTTAAAGTCATATTCTGGGGTTAACTTTATTAACTTTTTCTGTAAGGAGGAGGACAGTAGATATTTTAGGCTTTGCATCTCATTAGGTCTCTGCTCCAACTATTCAACTCTGCAGTTGTGGCACAAAAGCAGCATAAACTGTTGGGAGTGGCCATGTTCCAATAAAACTTTATTAACAAAAACAAAGTATTAAGTGTGGATGGAGGTGAGAAAGATTTAAAAGCAAGCTCTTGGAGCATGCTGGCTTACAGATTGAGGAGATGAAGAGCAACCAGCAAGGAGTATGAGCATGGAGCAGCCAATCAGGTAAAAGGAGGATCCAGAGAAAATGATCTCCTGGAAGGACACATTTGAAGGCGTGATCTACTAGGTCAAATGTTTCAGGTACATGATATGAGATGAGCATCGAGAAGTGACATTAGATTTAGCAACATGAAGGTTAATTTAACAACATTGTGTCCATGGAATTATGAAACTAAAAACCTAACTGGAACAGGTTGAAGTGAAAATGGGAACAGAAACCCTAGAAATCTTGAGCAAAGACAACTTTTTTGAGGACTGTTTATATAAAGGGAAAAAGAGACATGGGATAGGTAGAAAGAAGAGGATATTGATTCAAGAGATGTCTTTTTTAAAAGTGACCAATATAGCAGCATGTTTCCCTGCTGATAGGAGAGATCTCATAAAGAGGGGAAAATTAATGACGCAAGACATAATAAAATTGCTGGAAGAAATATCCTTGAGTATTTGAGAGGACCTAGTACACAAATAGAGAGCTTGACTTTAGAAATGAGCATGGAAGGTCCATCCAGGCTAACAAAAGGAAGGCACAGTACAGGTCTACTGATGCAGGTAATTTGGTAGGTATGAGGCAGGGAAGCTGTGGGAATTCTTTTCTAAATGTTTATATTTTCTTAGTGAAATAGAAAACAAGGTTATCAGCTAAAAGTAAATCAGGGAGCAGATGTTAGAGAGTTGAGGAGAAAGAACAAATGTGAAATAGTCATTTAGGACAAAGGTGGGCAAACTTTTTCTGTAAGGGCAAGATAGTAAATATTTTAGACTTTGCAGATCATTAGATCTCTGCTGCAACTATTCAACTCTGTGGTTGTGGCACAGAAGCAGCCAGAGACAATACATAAATTGTTGGAAGTGGCTGTGTTCCAATAAAACTTTATTAACAAAAACAAATGGTGGGCCAGTTTAGGCCCATTAGCCCCTCGATCTGAGAGAATAGGATAATTAATGGTCTAAGAAAACATAATAGGAATTTCAGGCAACAATAACATGAATGTAAAATGAGGCTTATTCACATAGCGATGTAAATTTATCTAGTCACATTCAGCTCTGTGGGTTTTCACATGGGGCTGAATATAGACAAGATTTGGTTCAGCTATACAACTACGAAGGATAAAGCAAGAGGCAAGAGAGTTGAGTGTGTATGCCAGGAAATTACTGCAAAGATGAGCTATGAAAACTAAGCTGAATCAGGAGGGAATAAAGATATGATGGTATGATGTATGAGGAACAGTGAAAAAGAGTCAGGCTTAATGGATTTAGGCCTTGCTACTAGCCCTTGATGCTCAGATACTCTTCCTGAGGGAAGAGGACAGTTCATTAACTACTTTATTAAAGAGTAAGAGATAAATTGTGATTCAAACTTGTTGAGTGACTGCATAGAGCAGCCAACGTTTTGCAGGTAAGAGTGATGTTACTCCCCATTTTGTCACCAGGAAAATGAGAATCCAAATCTATTGAGAAGTAGTGTTTGAATAGATTTGTACTGTAAACACAATACCATTGAATAGATTTGTATTGAATAGGTTGTATTGTAAACAGTCTTGTTTATAATAATATCTAGTTTCTCAGTTATTAAAATTACTCCTTTTCTTCCTCTTTTTATTACATAAAAATGTTCTTGCCTACTCCTTCTCCCCAAATGCTACATATACCCACTGTCACGTGCCAATTAATGGTCTTTTTCTTTTGCTGTCCCCCATTTTCTTTGCCTCTTAGCTTTTACATGTAGCTGTGCTTTACTTTTTATGGGCTGTGACTTGAAGAGGTTTATACTCTTCCTATTTTTTCCTTAAAGACCTTTCTTTTGTTGGATTTCCACACTTTGAGATGATGGCTTTTTTATTTTGGCAGATTCTGCACTGGTGATAAATGTTACCAAGATCTAAGGAGGGGCCCTATTTGCTGTTCACACAGTTCAGGCTTTACTCCCCTTCTTAAACTCTTCCAGGCCTTTCTACTGAGAGCAGTAGAGTTTGTGGAATTCAGGGACCTCCACCATCTTGGCTCTTGTTTTCTTCCACTTTACATCCCATTGCTCCTTACACCTCCACTACACGCCAGCCAACTGTTAGGCACCCAAAGGTGCCTAACAGTTCAACAGCCACCATGCCTTTGTGACACAGATGGCATTGATGGGACCTCCCTGAACCCCTCTCCATCTGTCCATTTCTCACCCTTCCTTCAGTGGCCCAACACAAATCCACCTGTAGTTATTTTCCAAGACAACTGAAAAAAGCAATTACTCTTCTCATGCCTCATCTTTTTCTGTACTTTGGACCTCTATTACATCATTAACTACAGTCCGTTTTATGTTACATTTACATGTGTATATAAATTATCCCTCTCTGGGACATGTGCTCCTGGCAGAGATGCTTACATTCTTTTCTGTTTCATATACAGCACATAGTAGGTGTCTGATATAAGTTAGTTAAAAATTAAATGAAATCCCTTATCCTTCTCATGCAAATGTCAGTTGTTAGCTAGTAAGTGTAAACCAATGTAACTCTTAAAAATATGGGTACTCGTTTCACTTCATCCTATCCACATGTCCAGATATCATCATCTTCTGGAAACCACACATTCTTGCCTCCCTATAACTCAAAATAGTATTTTGATTCAGTTCTGTAGTAAATCCATACTTCAACAATTGCAAACTTTTGTTAAGTCATTAGCATCTCAAAGAAACTTTGTTTATTTGGAGATGTTTTGCTTGGAGAATATTTGTGAAGAAACTAGAGAAAGGGGACAACGAAAGAACAACCTTTTACAGTTTGTTTGTAATGAGGCTTGTACTTTACATAAGTTATCCAATTCAACTGAATTCTCACAATAGCTCTGTGAGGTAGATATTATAATCAACATTTTACTGATGAAGAAAACCAAGGCTCCTAAACTGACACAGTTAAATGATATCAAACCTGGTTTGTATGACAATATACTGTCTTCCATTTTAAAAAGCAAATTGTACATAAATCTGTAATACTGAACCAAGTAGCTAAACCTACATACTTATTTAATTACCTTTTCACCTTAACCAAATTGTTTCACTTTCTCTATTTAAAATTTCAAAGTATTGTTTGCAAATAACAGAACTCCAATTCTATATCACTTTAAACTATTTTGTCTTTAATTTAACAAACACTTATTGGGCATCCACTATGTGCAAAGCATTTTTCTACACATTAGAATTTCAGTGGTGAGCAAGACAATCCTTGTCTTACCTATGCAGTTAGTACACTAGCATAGAAATAAATCACTTGAGGCCAGGAGTTCAAGACCAGCCTGGGCAACATAGCAAGATTCCATCCCTACAAAATATTTAAAAATTACCCAGATATGATGGCACACACCTATAGTCCTAGCAACTTGGGAAGGCTGAGGGGGGAGGATCCCTTGTGCCCAGGAGTTGGAGGCTGCTGTGAGATATGATCACATCACTGCACTCTAGCTTGGGTGACAAAATGAGACCCTGTCTTTAAAAAAAAAAAAATTCTAAAGGTAGGCATTATCAAGTGTTATCACAAAAGAAGGGTAAGGGAGCAGAGAATGATAGGGAAGGGCTTTCTAAATGGCACTGTCAGGAAAGGTCTCTCTTCCAGCAGACACCTGACTTAAATGATGGAGTGAACCATGAGAATATTCAAAGGAAAAACATGTCAGAGGCAGAGAGAAGAGCAGATGCAAAGGCCTGACACAGGAACATGTTTGGAGTGTTGCAGAAGCAAAGCAGCCGGTATGGTTGGAGCACCGTAAGTGAGGCAGAGTGTGGAAAAGAGCTTGGAAAGGTATCCAGGGCCAGGCCGTGTGATCTTTGCAGACCATTCTGGAAACTTGAAAATGTATTCCAAAGAGAAGGAAATGACTGAATAGAAGTGAATGTCATCACCTGACTCTGGTTTTAGAAGGACTTTCTCAGTAAATTGTGAAAAATAAGCCAAAAGGGGACAAGAATGAAAACAAGGAGACCCGTGAGGAGGCTGTTGCAAAGGTCTATGGAATATAGGGGGTTTACTGGGCCACATGACCAGGAGGGCAGGGCAGTACTGGCCTAAGAATGACTAAGAAACAAAATTTCAAAATCCCATCAGGATGCCTTCTCTGAAGGTCTCATTTCTCACAACACGAGCTCCTTCTTTGCTCAGACCTGCTTCTCTATTGCTGTAAGCAGCTCCAGGATTTGTGATCAGAAAAGAAAGTGTTCTCCTTTCAGCTCCAGTGTGAAAACCCCTCGCAAGGACCTGGCTGGATCATGCAACCCTCTCTAGACCAGTCACTCACATTCTACTGCTGTGTGTACAAGCCTGGCTTGGTGGGTCAGGTAGTGGGGTGCTCTAGAAGGGGCAGCTAGAAGGGAGAGCAGGATGAAAGAAGTTTGCATTTTCTTTATTTTTTAAAGATATAGCAGGGCACCCTGTGAAGACAGCAGAAGAATGTAGTGTCTGGGGAGAGATTGAATAGGGCACGCTGCTACCTAACTAAGCCAAACTCCAGTGATTTCTCCTATCTCTAGATTTTTTTGACACAAATCTTCTACACCACTGCCCTGTTCCTTTCAAATGGCCTCACATGGATCTGTATCAGTGTTTCAAATACATTGCAAATGTCCCTATGGAATAAAAAGGGCGATAATGCCAATTTCACTGGCAAATCCTCTAGCACCTCTGGTGGGATGGTGCTGGGCACTAGTGGATTCTCAGGAAAGATACGCACATTGGCCCCAACCAGAGGAAATTGGAGCCATGCTTTCTTAAAAAGTGTTCCTCAGGAGCCCAGAAGCAGTTTGTCAGAAATACATCCATCCATCCATAATCAGTTTATTGAATGAGCTTCACATATGAGGCCAGCCAAAAATAACTTGATTTTTTTCAGCCACCGATTTTCAAACCCTCTCTGTTGGATAATTTATCTCTCCCTGTAGGTTGTACCTTGAAAAGTTCTAAAGCAGACCCAGCCACTTTGGACCATTAAATCATCCAGTAAATACATTTAAAGTTTCTCCATCTCCTACTGTATCAGGAATCCTCAAGACCACCCCCAGGTTCAGTGACTCACTAGGAGAACTAACAGGATTATAGAATAGCCATACTTACAGCTATGATTTATTACAGCAAAAGGATACAAAGCAAAACCACCAAAGGTTAAAGGCACACAGGGCAAAGTCCCAAGGAAACCCAGCTCAAGCTTCCAAGAGTGCTGCTCCTGTGGAGTCACATGGGACACATTCATTTCCAGCATCGAATGGTGACAACACGCTTGAACTGCTATCTACCAGGGAAGCTTGGTTAGAAACTCCAGCCCAGGGGTTTTATTGGGGGCTGGTCAGGTACACATCTTCTAGAACACACCAAAATTCCAGGCTACCAGAAGAAAAGGAAGTATTCAGCATAAATCACATTGTTTATACCAACAATTTAGGTACAGAGAGCTACCCTTATCAGCTAAGGTAGTGGGAATGCTCCTGAAATCTCAGTTCTCAGATGCCAGCCAAAGGCTAGCTTTGCAGGCGGCCCTTTCTGAGGAAGCAGCCTTAGGCCTGCTATGTAAACTCTTTCCTGCACACCTGTGTTAACATGAGAGTGAGCCAGGCTGGCCTGCCCTGAAGGAAATCAGCCATGCTGTGTATTCTGGTTTCACCATGGATACAGCTAGAGGAGGGTGTGGGGCAAACGAAGAAAAGCTCTTACTTGCCTGGTTTCCAAGACCTGGCTTCCTGCTCCTCAGGAGGCAACTGATATAGAGCTGAGTTTCTCTGGTGATGAGCTGTCTTTATGAGTTCTGTTGTGAGTCTCTTTCTGAAGACATCCTACTGCCCCATGGGCTATACCCACCACATAGCTTTTATTATGGTCACCTTCAACTGGCAATTAATCTTCTTGTGGTGGGAGGGGGTGTCCTTTCAAAACAGCTCTGGCCAAGCAAGCCTCCACTGCACCAGCTTAGCCCACAGGAAGGTACCAGGTACCATTGCCCCACCAAACCCAGAAGTGCAGGTGACTTCTCCCCCAGCTCTCCCTCACACTCTTGTGACAGACAGCTTCCCCCCAGCCTTATGCCTTCAGACATCTCCCTGTGCCTGTCAAGCTCCAGGAGACATGCACACATCTGATCCAAGAATTGTGCCACTCTCTGCCTCATCTTTAGGGTGGAGGGTGAGAGGATCATTATTTTCTCTTATTGATGGAAAATGCACAGTATTCCCATAACGACTTAAAAAAAAACACCTACTCACCAATTGTCTTCTACATCTTTGTATATATAGACTGAATACATGTGTGTGTACACACAGACAACCAGTTCAAACCAGTTTAGGGACCAAGTTATCAAGTCCTGCATAGATAACCCGGTATGTATCTTTAGATTGTCTTAGCACCAGGGTCTCAGCCTATATTCTAACACTGGAGAAGTGGCAAATATTCATATCATTCATAAATATATTCATAAATAAATATTACTTAGTATTCAGTGAATATCTAGTTTTGCCAGTTAAAAAACAGTGCCGAGAAAGGGGTAAAGGGATTCATCATATTGTTCTACATACTCTGACCTGCACTGCTTCGGTTCTTCACCTTTTCCCAGCAATCAAGATTGCAGAACCTCCTGGAAAGATGACTCTAGGCCTCATCATGGCCCTGACCATCCACCTTGGGCACATCTCCTAAGATCACGGACTGCACCTTAATTTCCCTTATGTGTGACAAGCTGTTGACTCAGTATAATCCTGATGTCCTGGCCCAACTGCTCTAGTACTTACTGGACATCACGCATACACATGCACACACCATGAAATGGCCATTGGAAGACTGTATGACAGATTCTTCTGAATCTTTGCAGTGAAATAGGCTTTAAAGTCAAATAAGTGCAACGGCACCAATAACACACTGAGTTAGCTAGAACAAATGCAATGATGGATTATCTAAAAGGAACAAAGTTATTGCTCACAGTTCTGATAATGCTACCAATTGCTTCCAGAATGATTAGGTGGCTCCACATGTCAGGAAAGATTTAATTAGAGCAGAGGCTACGATCACCGGATTGTCTAAGAAGAGAGTGGTCCAGATGGGAACTTGAGTAGGTAGAGCAGGCCCGCTGTCCAAAAGGACAGTGTAGATAAAAGCACGTTCCTCTTATTTGCACCATTGTGTCCCAACACATTTTCGCAGGCCTCAATTAAAAAGTTGATATTGTAATAATATAACATACATTCATTTATTTATTTATTTAGAGACAGTCTTGCTCTGTCACCCAGGCTAGAGTGCTGTGGTGTGATCTCGGCTCATTATAACCTCCACCTCACAGGTTCAAGTGATTCTCCTGCCTCAGCCTCCCGAGTAGCTGGGATTACAGGCATGAGCCACCACATCCAGCTACTTTTTGTATTTTTAGTAGAGATGGAATTCCAACATGTTGGCCAGGCTGGTCTCAAACTCGTGGCCTCAAGTGATCCACCTGCCTAGGCCTCCCAAAGTGCTGGGATTGCAGGCATGAGCCACCACACCCAGTCATAATACAATCTTTTAAAAAATTTTATTTTGTAATTGATAAATAATAATGTATAGGGTACACTGTGATGTTTTGCTACATATAATGTATAGTAATCATATTAGGGTAATTGGCACATTCATCATCTCAAACATTTATCATTTCTTTGTGTTGGGAACATTCAACATTCTCCTTCTAGCTATTTGAAGCTATGTAATATGTTATTGTTAACTGTAGTCATGCTACAGTGATATAGAACAATAGAACTTATAAGATTTCAGACATTGATCTAATTCTAATAATTCATTTTTTTAAATTAAGCTAATATTTAAAAATTATATCACAGGGCCTTGCCCAAGGCCTGGCACTTAGTAGGTGCTCAGTAAATGTTTGTGGAATCTGTGTGCCTTTTCCCAGTAATGACATTTACTGCTGCAACAGCCTGGAAAAATCTCTTTTCGGAATCATGATTAAGCTTAAGCCTCACTTTCTCACTGAAGTTTTAGTCATTTCCTCCCTGGAGCATCTATTGCTCTTCTACCTGGAGTACTCTGTATCCTATTTATCTGTTCTCATGTTCTCTCTCTCTCTCTGTCTACACAGTGGGCTCTGGGATGAAGGAATGGTGTACAATTCATCTTCATATGCTCAGAGGTTGGCATAATAACCAATAGGTACACAGTACAGTACATATTTTTGAATGAAATGAATTAGCTGCTTGAAATATGATTCTTTTTTTTTGAGACAGAGTCATGCTCTGTTGCCCAGGCTGGAGTGCAATGGCGCGATCTTGACTCACAGCAACCTCTGCCTCCTGGGTTCAAGCGATTGTCCTGCCCCAGCCCCCCAAGTAGCTGGGATTAGAGGTGCACACCACCATGCCCGGCTAATTTTGTATTTTTAGTAGAGACAGGGTTTCACCATGTTAGTCAGGCTGGTCTCAAACTCCTGACCTCTGGTGATCTGTCTGCCTCGGCCCCCCAAAGTGCTGGGATTACAGGTGTGAGCCACTGTGCCTGGCCCAAAATATGATTCTCAATTAGACCTTCTGATACCTTGTAGGTTTTCAAGTGAACAACTAGAGTTCACTTTCCCATATTTGAGTATGTGGGTTTTGCATCAGAAAACTCCTCTTATAAATCCTCATTATGTAGGCCACACCCATTTCCTTCCTTCTGCCCTCAATAACTTGGGTCAACTATGGGGCCATCATCTAAGATAATTTAAACTACATAACAATCATTTTTGCTATCCTGTTGCCATATCATCCACCTTATAAATAGCCCTGACTCCCTTAACCTTTGTCAAAGATTTTATTATCAAATGCTTAAATAATATATGTTGCTCTGCTACTTTAATTCATTTAGAGGGTTTACTATTTTTGACATGAGCCTTTTGGGCTGTGGAACAATAAAAAGTATGAGAATGATACTTTCTCCCAGAAAAATATGATCAGGAAGACATTGTGTTGACACTTGGAAAAGGGCAGTCATCAAAGCTCTAGAGTGTTTCATTGACATGTCTCTGAAATACACAACACTTTGTAAAACAGGAAAAAAAAACTAACCTTTGAAAGAGATGGCAGCTTTCATTCCCAAAGATTTTTTACTCTCCAAAAGTAAAAATAAAACTACATTTAAGTTCCTACTAGCATGCCAGGAAGTATTCAAAGTAAAACCGTTGATATTAAAATAACACGATCATAATTTAGGAATATATTAGTGAAAATATTTGAACTAAGATAAAAATAAGACTTTGAAGGTCAGTTTTGCTTAAACAGGTAATAGAAGTCCAATGTGAAATCACATTAATGTCACTGCTTATTAGCACTTCCCCAAGTTAAGTGTTCAGAACTAAAACTGTAAATCAACAAGGTTTTATTGAAAACCTTTGCCCTTGGCACAATTAGGTGTTATCATAGTTCTGGAAAGAAATAATATATGGCCAGCCTTTGAAAAGCTTACAAACCTCCTTTGCTTAAAACTGACATATGTGTTGCATGGGTGACATCTATCCTAGAAGCCATAGAATCCTTACCAAAGTCACCCTTTCTTCTTTTTTCCTTCTTTAACTTCCTCCCTCCTTCACATCTTCTGGCATCCATCACAATCTTTTCCACCTTCCAAAAAAATAAATTCCATAGTCTCTTAGCTAGCATTCAGTCATTCGTGCTATTCGTTGATCAATATTTACTGATCCATTAATATTTCTGATTACTATGTTATGCCTAAATGCTATAGGGATGCCAGAGTCTGGCCCAGTACTATGTGCTGAGTTCTGTGCTAGGCATGAAGCTACAGAGATGATAGCATCTGGCCTTCAGGGGCTCATAGATCTTTTGGGGGTGACAAGCCAAAGACAAGCCTTTTAATACACTGTTTCATCACTTGGCAAGTGATACAGTAAAAGTATGCATTTAGTCCAATCATTGCAAAGATGAGGGAGTGATGAAACGATCCTCATAGTCAAGAAAACTGACCCTTAGATACAGTTTTGAACTATGAGAGACAAGCTCTCTTCGTTCTTGCACAGCCTCCTAAATGTGCACTTTTTTTTAGATTTATACACCTTAAACTCACTTAAATAACTTCATCTCCAGGGATTATGAAAATCTGGCTTGGTATGTGCAGAACAAGTAGGAGGTAAGGGAGAAAGTGCTGGCCACCTTTGGGTTAATTCAGAACATTTGCCAACTCATAACTGGATTCTGACCATAAAAACTCTTACAGAGTTAAACTTTCCAGACTAACTGTCCGTAATGATAAAATCATCCCCAAATACACAAAATGTTTCCATTTATTTGTAGTTTGAAACTATAGTAGAGCCCAAATATAACAGAAAAAAAGTAGCAGAGCTTTTTCCTATTTATTTATTTAATAATATCTTAAATTATTTATTCAATAATATCTATCAAGCCCTTCCTAATGTGTAAAATGTGTAAATATGTAAAATGTTTTACTGTGTGTCTGTTTCTATCTCCAGAAATGCATTAGCCAGCTTGCTAGATCTTTGCTGAAAGACTGAATGGTAGGATTAAACTAACTAGCAAATTTTAAAACATTTATGTTTCTCAATTGCATTTACTATAAAATTGAAGACTTTTTTTTAAAAAAAAAAAAAACAAAAAACCTCTAAGAGCCCATGGCAAGGAATATTCAATATTATTAAAGGGAAGCATCTTTCTTTCAGGTTATTTGTTTTCAACAGCATGTAATTGCTATTTGAATTTGCTTCAATGAGTAAATATTTCACAAATATGTATTCTAGCAGTATGATGCTTCCAAGATATCATTTATTTTGTCCGTTCCTAGAAAAGAATACCTTAAAACAGAAATTATGTAATTATAAGTAACATAAATTATATCAAAAACTCAAACCCAACAAAAATGTATAAAATACAAATGGATTTTAAATGTATGAAAACATGCTACACCTGTAGCACAAATAAATGAAGATTTAGATTTTAACTAGACATCAATTGTTCACTCACCATACTGGCAAAGATACAAATGTAAAAATGGGTTCCAACAAAATGTAAAATGTACCTATTCTTTGGCCCAGAAATTTCACTTAGAAGAATCAACCCTACAGATAAATTATCCACATGTGTTATGTATCTGCAAGGACACTCAACACAGCACTGCTTGTAACAGCAGCAACCTTCAAAGCATAGCCCTTCTGTCCATCTCTACTGTCCCCTCCTAGCCAAGCTGCTATCTTCTTTCATCTAGATCACAGAAGGAACCTCTGCCTGATCCTCCTCTTTTCCTTCTTTCCCTCCTACAACCTCAATAGTAGCCAGACTGATATTTTTAAAACATAAATCAGATTATGTCATCCTGCCACTTAAACCCCTCCTATGCCTTTTTATCATGCTTAGCATAAAATCCACCATGCTTATTCTGGCTCATGAAGACCTGCATTTCAGCCTGTGTCTGCCTGCTGACTTCATCCCATGCCTGTTGGGCCCTCATCCAAGGTGCTCACAACACACAGGCTTTCTCTCTGCTTCTCAGACACAACCAACTCATTCCCACTTCTGCACCAACTGCTTCAACTAAAGTAATAGAGAGGCACTCACTCTCTAGCACATCATCCCATTGTATTTCTCTTTATGTCATCTGTCATCACCTGGCTGTGCTCCTATTTGTTATTTATTTATCTGTGTTGTTCATCCTCTCTATCATATAAGGTCTAGGAGAGCAGGGATATTGTCTGCCTCGTTCAGTTGTGTATTATCAGCAACCAGAAAGGTGTCTGCATCTAGTGAGTGTTTAGTGAATGTTTGTTGAATGAATTAACCATCAGAAGGAAATGGAATCAATTATAGAATGCCCATCAAATGGAATACTGTGCAGTCACTTAAAATAATTCAGTGGACGATAATGCCAGTGTTATCTTCTGACCATGTCCTTCCACACTGCACTGGTCTGCCCTGGGCCTCTCTCCTCAACTTCATCTCAGATCCCTGTGTTCTGGTCTTCTTGCTGTCCTTCACACATTTCAAACCTGTGCCTCAAGGTCTTTGCACTTGCTATTCTTGCACCTGCACCCTGCACAGCTCCCTTACTCACTTCAGCCAATTCTCTCCTCACAAGTCATCTACTCAGAAAGGCCTTCCCTGAGCACTGTCAAAACTCACTACCCTTGCCGCTCCCTCTCCCCAGCCCAGATTTATTTTTCTTCTTGCACTTATCATTTGAAACAAAAGAGCTTATTTACTTGTGTCTGTGTTTGTTGTGTGCTTCCCCTGACTAGTGTGTACCCGGTTTGCTGCTTACCACGACCTCCCCAGCAGGTACAACATTGCCTAGCATAGAGTAGCACCAAAACAAATACTTGATTAATGGAGAAAGAAAGAATGAATATATTATTAAGTGCTAAAAAGCAAGACACTAAACAGTATGTCTACAGTATGCTGCTGCCATTTGTGTTAACAAAAATGACCCATATATATAATGTCTCTGGAAAGAAAACCCGAGAACACAGTAGCAGAGATTGCCTCTGTGGTAGAGAACTGAAAGGCTGAGGGTGGGCCGAGGGTAAGAGGAAGACTTATTTGTTCTGTATGTCCTTTTTTTTTAAGATTGTATTTTTACCATGGGCATTAATTATTTTTTCAAAACAATTGAGGACTTTGTTATATCTGACAGTTTTGCAAGCTTATGTATTTGAGACCAAAAATATCAAGGCCTTCACAAATGTCACATCCAATTGATAAACATTCAATAACCATCTATTTAGCAAGTCTATATTCTTGGCACAGCCCTTTGCAATCTCTTGTTTGGATATTCATGAAAATTTGGGGGTTGCAAAGGATACGTATACTTTCTGCTGGAAGAGGTTTACATTCCTTAGATGTAAAATGTGGGAGGAGACACAGTAGTGTGGATCTCTAGTACAGTAAGGCCTTCATGAATACAAACAAGACCCCTGGACATTTTATAGGCCAGGAAAACAGCCTCTGTAACCAAGGTATTTTGAATCTGCTTGCAAGGTTGAAATATGTCCTTACTGTTTAAAAAAAAAAAAAAATCTGCCAACAGATTCTACCCACCCTTAACTGGCTGATTTTCTCAGTGTTTTTTCTGGCTCCATAAAACAAATGTACTCTGCTTTAAGGAAACCAGCTATTCAAATATCCAGATTTATAGGAAATCATTTAAAGGAATGTCTTCTTGCTTTAAGGATTCATTCAAATATCATAGTAATAAACACATTTAAAATATGATTCAATATAAAAAATTATACACAAATTTCAGAAACACCATCACTGAACACTCAGGAACTCAGTAATTACTTGCTGGATGGATGAACATACCTATTGAAAATCAGTAGAGTGAAATGGATAAGAGCGTGAGTTGGGGTCCAGATATCCCCATGTTTGGATTCTATCTCTGCCGTTCGGTACCTGAGTCTGACCTTCAACAAGTGACTTACCCTCTCAAGGCCTTTTAGTGTTTCTAAAAAAATAAAATGAATGAGTAATGCCTCCTTTGTGATTAGTTGTATTAAATGAAAGATGTGAGCCAATTTAGGTAAATATACTATCAGTATATTTTATCATTTATTATTTCCTTCACTTAATTTCTACTTGCCTGAATGTGAACAAATGAACAGCAAGAACGCAAGTGTTGTTGTATTTTCAAAGCTATAATATAGATCAATATAATTATATATTTAATGTACATATATGTGGCACATAGTAAATGTTTGGTCAATGCTGGTTATTATTGCAAAAAGTAATAGGGAATTCCCGGAGAGTTTGACTCCTTTTTCCCATCCACAAAGACCAACTTTGTGGATAAGATCTCAGGGCATTTTATTGCTCTGGTAGAAGGAGGGGTAAAAGACTGTGTAACTGAGATTTGTATGGCCTTAAAATTATGGGAAAACAATTAGCAGGTACATAAGTTAATTGTGGCAGAGATTCAGCTTGTTACGATTGCTAACATCTATTTCCTGTGTGATGATTAGTCATTCTGCAGAGTAAATACTGTGACAATATCCTCTCCAAGTTTATTTTACAGTATTACCTGATTCCTACTTTCTTAATTAAAAATATTAAATGTAAATGTTTTATTTCATTTCCCAAGACTAGAATAGAATTTTGGGTGTTTGGAGTGGAACGGGCAAAAATGGTACAAATTGCTTGAAATTTAGAGATGAAATGAAATGCTCCTTCAGATGATGAAAAGTTTTTTCTTCTCCAATTTTCTGGCTTTTTCTTTCTCCTAGCACTACCTGTTTGTTTAATAAAGTTGAGAAGTCTCGCAAAGGGCCTTATGAACACCTGTTATTATATTTTAAATCTGATTTGAAAGTGCCTCTCTCCTACTCCCTCTGAGTAAAGTGACCTTTTTAAATGGAGGGAAGTGGGTTTAGATGACAGTCATGATAAATGCGGTCATGTTCACTCAATAAAATAAGGCCCAGTGCATTTGAGGATAAATCAGTGAAATGTACAGCCCCACCTGTCTGTCTCCATCATTCATCTCCACTGTCACTTTCACAGTGGCTGATGGATCACAGTTGCTGTAAAATTAGACAGCCTTTAATCTCATTTCATCCTGATTAGCTTCTCTTTCCCCTTTCCCTCTAACTCACTGACTGACACGCTAAAAACTCACACTGGGCTGTATGTGAACCTGGAGTACAAACCTCCCCCACTATCTGCTTGCGAGGGCGAGGCACTTGTCCACCTCTGGAGAAATCTGGAAAGGAGCAGGCATGTATCTGTGGTTATTTAAAAGAAAATCAATAAGTACAGTACCCAAGGCCATTTTAAACAATTGTTTGCTCTTGTTCACTACCCTATTTATTTTGCTTTTCTTTGGGCTTAATCAGAAGTCAAAGAAATTAGGTCTTTTGCAAAATTCAAACATTGATTGAATATAGATTTTTTAAAATAAATTTGGGAGAGTTTTACATTCAGAATAATGTCAAAGAGCATTTGGGTATATTTATAGCCTCTCAATTCACAGTAATAATTCAGAAAAGACAATAATTCAGGAATGAGAATACTGAAATGCTCACCCAAGAAATATAGCAGACAGGTTTTAAAACAAAGGTAAAAATGTGTAAATAGATGAGAATTCCTTCAAGTAGCCTTTAAAGTAGGACTTCAAAGACCTTCTTTTCTCTTATTTTGAAGAGTTCAATAGTTAGCTCAGTGCAATAGTTTCATTTGTTTGCATAAAGCATAACAATAGGGGTAATCAAATGAAAAAGAGGCTTAAAAATAAATCATGTATTATTTCCTTCACTTAATTTCTGCTTGCCTGAATGAGAGCAAATGAATGGCAAGAACAAAACACAAGTGTCATTTTATTTTCAGAGACTGTACTTTATTATGAAGCTGGACTTCTGTTTTTTTTAAAAAAAGATAATACCGTTTTTCATTATTTATAAGATTTGGGCAAAATGTTGAACTGACCAAAAGTTTAAAAGAAATATTTGAAGAGCTGTGGTCATAGAATAAGTTCGTTGTAGCCGATGGCCTCTATGACTGCACTGTATCTCATGTGAATTGATGCATACAGCTGACAATTAATGCTGAGTAAGTTTACCACTGGCCAGAGGACATTACCATCAACTGGAGTAGCACCAGGTTGTTCGTAATATGACAAGGGAAGCTTCGTTTTGTTTTTGGTATTTTGGAACCAGCATTATGATCCAAACAATGATGAACTAATTAAAGGGAAGAAAACCTTTCAAACATATTCTACCTCTGTTGCTCAATGAGCCTCACGTGTACTCTGCCACAATGAATTCTGAGTAGTGAAGCCTGTAGCATCTACGCAGGTAAAAGCGTTTTTCACAGAGATAAACTGAGGATTCATGGGCTAAAGGACATTCTTGAGATGACTCTCGAAGTCAATTGACCTAATTCATGGACCGCGCAAACCACTGCCCACCCAATTTCTACATTATGCCCCAGATTGGAGGTTTACACACCAATGCCTTCCGCCTTGTGGATGTAAGTTCAAAAACAATGCATATTTACAGTACAAATAAATAAGTCAGTAGGTAAATAAACAAAACAAAACTCCTAAAATCCCTTGGTAAGAAGCTTAAATGATCTGATTTGCTCTTTCAGAGGCTGTGTTATGAGTCTCAAACCTGTACCTGTTTCTTATTTTTTATTTAAATATCTTAGCCAGCGTAAATGCTTTCTGAGAAAAATAAAAGATAATAAAAACAAAATGAAATGAGAGCTATATAGCACCCAAAATAAGTCAGGCGTGAGATAGGTCTCCTCACTTTCTCTCTCCCTGCATTGGCAAAGGAGCACAAAGTAAGAGTTGGCCCTGACTCATATTGATTTCCCACTGCACTGGTTTCTTAAGTGCTCTGTTGATCCGTGTCAAGGAATAAGTTCCCTGCCTGAACATGCACATCACCTCCCCATTTGTCCTCACCTAGATTTAAGGTGCCCATATGATGAGCTGAACAAGGACATCATTTTTCCTACTGGGCCCAAACCACTGTAGGAGATATGATAACTAATGCTGTATACGTTTACATTTACCATAGGATATTATTGTAGCAGACACTAACACTGCACAGCACAAAAGGAGACAGGAGCATCCTGTTCTGGTACTTTGTGTCTCCCCAAAGGAAATGTAAATCAGAACAAATACAGAGAAAGCTGGCATTAGTGGGTTTCTGAATAATGCCCCCTCCTCACATCCACCACATTTGGGCAGAGAGAAGGGAGAGGCAAGGAGAATAGATATTTGTGATGTTCCTGACAGTTTTCATCTTTGTTACAGAAGAGCTCCTAAGCAGATAGATAGAGAATGTGCGATTGTGCTGCTAATGACATTGTACAGGATATTAAGCGTATACATTTGGAGGAGGCATTAAATCAGCAGGACCTTAATTTAAAAACTTAAAACTGTATGGAAATTCAGCTTGTTCATTGCTGTGGAATAGAAAGCGACCAAGCACCCTGAGTCTGTTTATGGAAAGATTGCCAGCAAACCACGTTGGGCAGAGCATCTTAATGGCTCCAAGTGTATTCAGGGTTACTTCTTCCAAGAAGTAACCCCAGCCCTGACCATTTAGGAGTGTCAGTCATTCAGATCACTATCCACATCATCAGGCAGGCTAGGAGAACCTAGGAATCGAAAGCAGCATGACAGGTTGTTCTTGACTAATTTCTGGAATCACATTATGTAAAATTAGTCAAAAGGGGTTGGGTTTGAAACCGCTGGGAACACACCACCGAGTCACTGCATAGGGATCCCTGGATTGGTGAGTAGTGGCTTGGCCACCTGTTCAATCTTCTTCCTCTGACTCAGTCTCACATTTTATGCACTTCAGTGAAACAAATAGCCAGTGAGCCAAGGTAGCAAATCCTGAGATGGAAAATTTCATATGTCTTTTTTTTTTTTCTTAATTTCAGTTATGCCATACAACAGTGCCCACCACTGCGTTGTGGAGGTGGAAAACTTCTTGTTCGTGTTGGGTGGAGAGGACCAGTGGAATCCGAATGGTAACTATTGAACAACTTAATTGGAGGTGCTCAACAAGTATGTGTGTAATGAAGGGCATCAGTAGCAGTCCATTTTGTAATTAGTGTGGAAAATACATTTCTGTGCAACGGGGACAAATGAAGTAGTAAGGAGATGGGGCTGACAATTGGAGAGAGGGTCAATCATTGAGCTAACTGGGGACATGTGTAGCAGAGCGATCACTCATCAACTGTCTGGGGATTTGGCTTCACAGTGATACCCCAGCCCCTCTCCTTATCCATCCCCTGAGGAATGCCACAAGCATGAGCACAAACTCCCTAGAGGAAGGGAGCAAAGCTGCAGCTGTTAAGAATCCTCACCATCTTCTCCACCACCTTTCTCCCATTTTATCAATATAATAACGTGGGTTGCAATACATAAGCATTATGTCCAGTCATGCCGCACATAATTTTAGCTGAAATTATTTGGCAGCAGGTATTACTCAACATCCATTCCAGTTGCTGTACCTTTTGCAAGTGCTTCTTCCATAGATTATCCACCATCCTCCCCGTAGATGTGATTACATCATAAACTTATTGCAAAGAGAAATTAAACATTTTAACGCACGTCCCAAATCGAACACAAGAACCCTGTGGCTTGCAGAACATGCAAAATTATCAAGATATTTTTGGAAAGCTTGCACATGAAGGAGGAGTTGCAGTTGTAGCCTTCTGTGTAACAGAGATAATTGTGACTGAGAAACCATAAAACAGCTTGCAGGTACACATTTTTACTTTAAAACCCCAGAACATCCAGCTGAAATTACATATACTGCATATATTTTATTGTGAGTGCTCTCTTTCAGCATCTGCACCAAGGCAAATTATAGAAAATTGTTACATCTGTTCACTCTAGAAAATCTTCAAGGAAAACAATCCAGGCCACCCTTCAAGAACATTTCTTTTAAGAGAGAGGGACATTCTTTCTCAAGACCTGCAGCTTTGTTGTGCCACATTTTCTAGTGTTGGAAAGAAGATGGTTCCTGGGCTTTGTGAGAAACTTGGAACAGGAGCAAGGATGATATTTCATATCTCTCCCCTAACTTACCTTTGTAATGATGGATTCGGTATGTTACCAGAAAACCCTGACATGCGCACAATGCATTGTAAACTCCTCATTTACTATTTAACTTATCCTTCTTTAGATGTGATTTGAACTGGAAGGAGCATTTGTAAGCAAACACATAGTGTGCAGCCACTGGGTTTATCTAAGCAAATAATCTGCAGAACATTCTTTTTGAAGGCCAGGTTAAAACTAAAACATGACAAGAGAAAACAGGAACATCTTCAGCCTACTGCACTTTGCAGGTAGAATAGACCTCTGTTAAAATAGCAGTCTTGTTGCCACAATTCATTCTCACAAAACACTGTGAATCTCCCTGACTTAAGGTCTTAAGTCAGATCTTAAGCAGCAACACAGAAAACCTGTTCCAGAGGCATATGCAAAAAAACAAAACAAAACAAAACAAAACAAAAAAACACCTGTAACTACTTGCTGTTCAATTTCTAATCAAAGGCACATCTGAGAGAATTGGGTGGGGGGAACACGGGAGAGTTGAAAGGACATATTCCTTCCTCTAGTCTAGAGAATCAAGATTTTATCTTTGAACTAATTCAGACTCCCATAAAATCATGCTGTTGGATTACACTGATTTTCTCTTTCCCAGCCCTGAGAGGAACAGCAGTTGGGTTTAAAGCCATCAGTGAATATGCTGTGAGAAATGACTAGAAACAGCACACAACGGCATTTACCATAGGGATGGTTCTCACCATGGCCACTCATGGGCTCTCTATGAAGCCCCAGAGGATAAATTCTTTAGACCAAAGTACTGAGGCATTGTGTGCTTTTGAAAAGTATTATTAATGCTAACGATGTGACTATTGTGTCTCTTTTCTTTGCTGTAACCACTAGGATGCACAGAATTAAATTTTAGTATAACTTTAATTACTATATTTTAATTTTACCTTTATCCTTAATACAGGCCTGGGAGTGCTCTCTCTCTCTCTCTCTCTCTCTCTCTCTCTCTCTCTGTGTGTGTGTGTGTGTGTGTGTGTGTGTGTGTGTGTAAGATCCCTTTTTAGAATTTTGGAAGCTTCCACATGAAAGGCTGAGTCATTGTGTCCCTGACTCATTTGGCACGTGAGGTCATTTAGTATAGATCTGGGCAAAGGAGGCTGGACCATGGGCTGGGCTCACCTAAATAGAGGAGAACTGGTTACACCTTGCGGCAAGCAGGCCAGCCTTTTGCACTTCATGTCAGTTATTGGCCAAAGCCTTCCCCCAGGTGGGGGATGAGGGAAGGCAATGAGGTGGCCTGTTCAGCAGGAGGAGCCGCCGTGACCATGAGCAGCCAGCATTCAGCAGCCAGGGAATGGGTGCACCGGTCTGGTAAAGGAATCTGGGCTAATGAACAAGAGCACCCACCACAATCCCGTGAATGGTTTCTATACTCCATCCATCTGGTCAACCATAGTTGACTTCGTTAGTATTAGTAGTAGTACTTATTGAGTACTCCTTATTGCCAGGAACTTTGCTAAGCACTCAACTGCATCATTTCACTTAGTCCTCACAAGCATCCTGCAAATCATTCCATGATAGCTCTAGTTTTACTATGAGAAGACTAAGCCTGAAGAGGTTAAATGACTTGCCAGAAAACATAGCTTACAAGAAGCTGAGCTGATTTCAACCTAGGTCTATCTGATTTCAGAGCAGTCATCTTTAGCCACTGTAATACACTGTGTTTCACGTAAACATATGTATTTGGTTAGATGTGTAACAGTCATGCTTTTGCTTTTGATCTTGTGAAATTAAATCAATATTTGATCACATGGATAGTGGCTCCCACTCACTCACAAGGAACTCCTTCATCAGTCCTCATTTTAAAAACTGTGAAGAGACTCAACCATCTCTAAAATATGAGAGTCTTGTATTATAATACCTCATGCAATTAACACTAAAACATATAAAGGAGAGCAATCCTATGATAATATATAACATGCTTTAATATCATTGCTGGCAGGGAGAAAGCTTTTAAATCCGTGGGTTCGGATGTTATGTATGTCAGTCCCAGAGATGAAATCTTCTTAAGTTAAACATTAGTTCTTATGAAAATGGTATCTGAGATGTGTGCCCTTGAAGTACAAAATTGCAAATTTCAATACATGCTCATAAAACACAAACATGTACTCATTGAAATAAATATAATTATATCTATTGATGATCTATTGATGACCACAGTTTGAAGTCAGCAAATATATTAGTTACTGGAAATATAATCAAAATACACACATAAGGTTTTCTACTCAGATATAATTATTAACTCCTATCAACTCTCTTCATGTCATTAGTGATAGGAATGCATGATCATATTCTAATAGATATACATAGACTCTGTCAGTGCCCCAGCTTATGGAAACCCAGTTTACATTTGTCACTTCCTGATAACTGGTTCCCAAAACAACTGCTCATAGGGAACTTCTTTTCTTCCCACCTCCTTCTCCTCTACCCATTGGCTGGAAACTGCCACCCTTTGCCCCATATAATCACATCAGCCAAGTGCTAAGCAACAATGGTGTCTGGTGACAGGGCACCAGCACAAAAAAGAAAAGTGGAGGAAAATCACAAAAAAAATGAAAAGGATGAGAAAAAACAGAATGTGTGAAGGATAATCCAAAATTTCATAGCATATGGCTGCCACTCTCAAGCTGCTGGTAGCATCTCAATAGTAGCCACAAGGAAGGAGAATAACCCCATTTCATCTCACCTTCCTCACTCTACCACACTCATTCTTCCTGAGGTTCATTATCCTCTCTGCACCTCCTTTGCCACCTCCAGAACGCCTTCCTTCCTTTCACCTTCCCAGTCCTCCATTCTTGACCTATTTTTGCATCTTCTTTGGGGGGTCTGGGAACAGGATCTCACTCTGTTATCCAGGCTGGAAGGTGCAATCATAGCTTACTGCTGCCTTGAACTCCCGACTTTGAGCAATCCTGTCACCTTAGCCTCCTGAGTAGCTGGGACTACAGGCATGAGCCACCACACCCAGACTCTTTGGCATCATTGACCCTGCCTCTGGAAACCATTTTCTCATCTCACATCCATGTTACACCAGTTTCTGCTTAGCCTCTTCTCTGAATCAAGGCCACTACCATTACAACAAGAAGTGAACATTGCTAGTTTCTACCACCAATGCTCAGCACATGAAGGCACTCTCAGCCCCATTGCCAGGAGGAGGCAGATATCGTCTTCCAAATGGAAATTCTAAACCAAACATCTAGAGAAACATTCCTATATATGGTGGGTAGGTTCTACTTTCCTATGAATATCATTAATCTTCAGCTGAATTTGGGAATTAACCTTGGAACTTGACGTAAGAATGATGAGATTTTTTCTACACAGAAATGATTGCAGATTTCACAAAAACTCACTTATTAACCAGCTCTAGACAACTCTTTCTTGAGGTGGAGCCTCCTTATGTGAAATCCAAGTCTTCTGAGTCTTCCTTTCCCCCTCGTACTCTTATCTCTTCCTGTATGTCCCCAAATAAAACTCAATTTACTACTCAACCTAACCATCCAAACTTTCCCACATGATTCCTATAACTCATGATCTCACATCAGCAAAATATCTATAATCCTTAAATTCTCCTCTGAATGGTTCCTTCAACTTCTTTTCTAATCAAAACCTAGCGCTGTTTTATTTTGTTTTGTTTTGTTTTTGTGGAGTCTCACTCTGTTGCCCAGGCTGGAGTGCAGTGGTGCGATCTTGGCTCACTGCAACCTCCGCCTTCTGGGTTCAAGTGATTCTCCTGCCCCAGCTTCCCAAGTAGCTGGGATTACAGGAGCCCACCGCCATCCCCAGCTAATTTTTGTATTTTTAGTAGAGCTGGGGTTTCACCATGTTGGCCAGGCTGGTCTCGAACTCCTGACTTCAAAGATCTGCCCTCCTCGCCCTCCTAAAGTGCTAGGATTACAGGCATGAGCCACCATGCCCAGCCAAAACCTGGCTGTCTTCTGAGAGTACTGCTTTCCCAGCCACTCTTTCTAACGGGAGCCAGTGTATATCTCCTTCCCCCACATACTTTATATTATTGGAGGCAAGCAGCTTTTCTGTTTTGTCTTTATTGCCATTCTCAATCCCTTAAAACCCCAAGCACTTTAAAGGACATCTGCAGATGATACCGTTTGCTGCCTCTTTATGTGGCAGTAATCCACTGTTTTGCCGGTAATGCCACCTTTTCACTGTCTGTCATCCCCTTGTGTCCTTACTTCCCGTTTTACTGAGCTTAGCTTCTATGGCCCATCCCTATAACCACTCTCCTCATAAACCTGCCGCCCTTTTGTTCTCTCTCTCCTTCCTCTGTATTTGCCTGGCAATACTAGTCCTGGTTAAACCTAACTCTCTTCCCTCTCTTCCCCTGCCCCTGAGTAGCTAAATGTGGATACAGAAAACCACACAGCCAAGCTGGCTACTATTCAGCTCCACTAAATTTCTGTGGTCAATGTGCCTTTCTACCCTCCAAGGTAACTACTTCATTCCTCAGTCTTTTCAAATGCCTCCTTCTTCAAAGGCACCATCCTCACTCTCAGTTGATGGCCTTCCTTTTTAGTTCAATAGAAGCACTCAGAAGATAAACCCTTCATTTTGTTGCCTCCAATCTATTCACTTATTTCCACTGCAACTTATATATTCTGTCTTCCCCCATTATTGTTTCTGCCCCAATCCTAAAGTCTGTTCCTCATTCCTTCTTGCCTGCTCAAGGACTTTCCAGTGTGTCCGAACTTTGAAAACAACCAAACAAACCTTCCTTCAATGCTGCATCCTCCAGCTATAATCTTCTTTCTATTGCAAAAGTCCTAAGAAGCAGTGCCTATCCTCTTACCTCCACTTTCTTACATCTTAGTCTCTCCTGAGTAGTCTGCACTCAGGCTTTCATCCCCTCCGGTTCACTGAAGCAATTCTTGTTGAGGCCACCAGCAACCTTCATGCTGCCAAATCCTATAGTCACTTCTCAGTTGCTCACTTCCCTTCCTTTTGAAACACTATTTGCTTCCAAAATACCACACCTTTCCCCCCTATCTCTGAGCATTCTTTTCCTATGTTGGTTTTGCTTCTTCTATTCCAGGGCTCACTCTGAGGACCCATTGTCTTTCATTTTCATACACTCTCCATACATGATTTCACTCAATCCTATGCTTTTAAATAATAACTCTGGACTAATGACTCCAAAATTTGCACCCATAGCCGCACTTAGCCAGTGGCCTACCAGACACTTCCTGTTTGAGATCCTATAGGTCTCTCAGGTTAATTCCAAAACAGAGCTCATAACTTCTCTTCCCAACTCCTTACCTACTCCTCCTTGGTCTTCCCCACCTCAGCAAATTGCATAATCTTCCATTCAGTTATTCAGGCTAAAAACCTAGCAGCCATCCCTAATGACTCATTTTTTCTCATACCAATATTCAAGCCCTCAGGAAATTTTATTTGGCTATGCCTGCACAACAGATTTAAAACTCAACCATTTCTCACCACCTCCACCTTCATTCAAGCCACCACAGCTCTTACCTTGATGATTGTAGTGGCCTCCTGACAGTTCCCCTCTTCCACAGTGGCCCTCCTATAGTCTACTCTTTATACAGCAGCCAGCATGATAGATTGGACTGTTTTTCACTTGCTCAAAACTCTCCAGTGACTTGCTATTGTCCTTATAACAAAATATAAAATCCTGCATCAGCCCACAAGGCACACTATGTTCTGGCCCTTGACCCCTTTCTGACCTCTGCCCAGTTACCCTAGCATTCTTGCTGTTTTTGAACTCACTGCCAGCCCAAGGACTTAATTCTTTCCTGCCCCCTTGCCTGAGAGGCTCATTCTGCAGATATTTGCATGGCTTGCAGAAGACATCTGTGAGCAGGTGACTATGCTACTGAAACTGGCCTCCCCTTTATCATTCTTGGCTTTATTTTTTAATAGCGTTCATCGCTACTTGATATTATATGTTTGTTTATTCATTTATAAGGATACAGACTACATCTTTCTTGCATACCAATATATTTCCAGAGTCTAGAATACATGAAACACACAGTAGGTGCTAGGTGCTTGATATATATTTGTACAGTTAATAATTGTGTTGGGTGGACATGTCTGTGTGAGCACATGCACACACACCCACACACCCCTATCTGTTCAGTCCTGTAGTGAATTTGGTACCCATCTCTCAATGTTTAGTTACACATATATAAATAAAGGTAGACTTTTAGAGTTAAGGCTTCAAGTCCTCTAGATGATTATCATCTCAGGTGCTACAGAGAATGTAATATATTATTTTGCTTCCATTTCTTGTTTTAATGTTAACATGTATATAAAATAAGATTCATTTTAATACCTTGGAGGCATTACCATGCTTCTCAGCTCAACAGAGAGGATAAGCTGGTTAAGCAGCTCAGAGGACTCACATTTCCCATTTCAGCAAATACACCTGTGTATATGTCACAGCAACTGTGCTCCCCCCAAATACACACACAGAACTTACTTGATATGCATAGGACAAAACTAACTTTCCCAGTCAGGCTCTTTTTGTAGTGGCTGCTATTGTTTGAACAGAGAGAGCAGACTCTCCCACCAATAGAGAGGCCATGCACATGTGAGGGCTGGGGACACGTGGGAAATCTCTATACCTTTCCTTCCATTTGGCTGTGAACCTAAAACTTCTCTAAAAATATTATCTTTTAAAATAATTTTTTCTGAAAAGAAAGAAGATGTAAGAAGTTTTTGTTGTTGTTGTTGTTGTTTTTTAAATGGCTCTAACCAGAGATACCATCATACAAGGTAGTCTTTGGAACTGATAATTTACAGACAATAACTTACTGTGTTTAAAACATTAAAACACCAATAACACCTGAGATATTTTTATCCTAACACTGTAACAAAAGCCAGTTTGGTAAATGTAGTTGCTTTGATTATTGTGGTTGATTTAGTTTTTCCTAACTCATTGCAAAAAGAGAAAAAGGAAAGAGAAGGAAAGAGGAAAAACACTTGAGGTGGCACATTTATTTTTCTATTGACTCATCGCCCGTGCTGTGTTAGGTATTCCCTCTACTTAATTCATCTATTTGTTAAACCTGAGAATAGAGACGTCTGATAAAACACTACTACATGTGCAAATCAACAAAAGAATCTAAGTTTTAAATGTCTCGAATGCATTTTTACAGGAAAACACAGTACAAATTTTGTCAGCCGATATGATCCTCGATTTAATAGCTGGATTCAACTTCCACCCATGCAGGAAAGGTAAGTGTTTATTTCTTGCACCTGAAACGTTTGTGACGGCTTTACAGGAGGCATGGGTGCTAGGTGGTTTTTTGTAAGAAGGAATGCTAAATAGAGTCAATGAAAGACATATGAGGCAAAATAGAAAACTTGGCCTAGCCAGTTTACATGACCTCCCTTGTTAATTCAATAGAGAAAAATAAGTCAATTATTTGTCCTAATGTAGGAAGAAAAAAAATGTGTGGCTTGTCTTTCTTGATTATATTGATTGGTATTTTGCAAATAGAGCTACAATTTCTCTGGCTATACCACTCTTTTTGGTGATAATATATTTAAACCCTAAAATTGAAATATAAAATACTATACTTGCAATGATGTGCATTTTGGTACAGACATTTCAATACTCAATATTAAATTATTTAATATTAAATTCAATATTCAATATTAAAATTCAATATTTAAATGTTAGATATTTAGATAATTAGATATGAAATATTGAACTTTAACATCTCAATAGTAAATTTTGTCTTGTTTACATTTTCCTCCCCAAATGTCTTTGAATCCATACATTCAAGAACAAGTAATTTGTTAGCTTTAAAAAAAATTAGTCTTGCAACGTGTCATCTCATTTTTTTGCATACAGAGTAGTTATCTCGACCAAGTCTCCTGGCTACCAAAGGACAAGATGGCTACTATATTTACATATATTTTGTCTCTCCTAGCTGTTCCTCAGGCATGACACCATGTCTTTATCTGCACATGCAAATTCACAGCCTAGATTTTGAACACTTGGTTCTTTTCAAATAATATCTAGACATCCTCTTGAGCAAATTCTCCAGTGTGATAGACAGTAAGCTGCAAACTATTGCCTCTTCAGCATGCACTTTGGGAGGCCGAGGTGGGTGGATCACGAAGCCAGGAGTTCATGACCAACCTGGCCAAGATGGTGAAACCCCGTCTCTACTAAAAAATACAAAAAAAAAAAAAAAAAAAAAAAATAGCCGGGCACAGTGGCAAGCGCCTGTAATCCCAGCTACCTGGGAGGCTGAGGCAGGAGAATCGCTTAAACTCAGAGGGCAGAGGTTGCAGTGAGCCTAGATTGCGCCACTGCACTCCAGCCTGGGCAACAAAGTAAGACTCCATCTCAAAAAAAAAAAAAAAAAGAAAGAAAAAGGGAATCAGCAGCAGCATTCTTTCTCTTTTCTATTTCTTACATGACTTCTCACCTGAATATCTCTCTTTTTATAACATTTAAGTAGATTACCCTGAGATTAAATTGGATCCTTAATCCTAAATTCCAAGCTAAAAGAAAATTTTCATACAATACCATTTATTCAAAAATGTACTTATTGCAGCAAGACAGCATGAATCTATGCTCTAATGAAACTCAATATCTAACTTTCTACTCTATATACTGGTAAATATATTAAAACTCCCTTAGAAAACTAAAGCTACACACTGAAAATGATGAGGCATGATACATTAAGGACCACAGACAGTTTTAGGAATGTCTAGTTCAAAGGTACCTGAGGAAATAATTCTAAGTCAATTAATAGCTTGACAAACTTAATGAATCCGAAGCTTCCTGGTATCTTTCTCCAGTGCACCCTGTTTCTCTCTTTTGGAGGTTACTTCCTGGTTGCTGTTATTACAGCTGCATCACTTTGCCCTTTAATCAAAACTATTCCAAAAAGTTTTACTTAAAAAACAACTATCAATACATGTTTGAAATGTCATCATCTCATCACCATGGTCCCCTTTGCTGGGGGCTGTACACCGTGATAATTAACCTTCATGCCTTTGGCTTGGGAGGCATAACTCACGTCGTGGTCAATTATCCCACTGTAGAGCCCCTAAGGATGGGAAGTATTGCTGCAAAACCTAATTAGTAATTTTTTTGAAAATGTGTATTGTTTACTTGATAGTCTGTAATGACTTCCTCTGAGGCACTATGGCCTATCATGGCAGGGTCCTACTTAGACAATTTTTAGCAGCTCATTGACCTGATAAAAAGACCTGCCATGGTCTGTCGGCGCCCGGCAGCCACCGTTGACAGGATGGACTGTTTAACGTTTCTTTCTAAGTCATTATGGTATATCATGTCAGGTCCCTGGTAAAAGAAGTTTTTTTTTTAGATTTAGAACAATCAACTCGATAGACCAAATAAAGAGCTCCTTACAGCGCTGAGTGGGAAAAGGCAGATCTCACAAATGCCCCGTCAATCTTGCAGCTCCATCTCTCCTATGGGCTGGTTGACCCAGGCAACAATCCATAACTTAAAATGAAATTTTTCTGTCATTGCCCAGTTTCCATTCAAAATAGCAAGTACAATCAGTTACCAGTGTAGATTAATTGGTGGTTTAAAAAAGGAGGAAAAAGAATCTAGAAATATATGAGACACTCTTCAGATCAGAAAAGTTGCTTAAAACATTTAGTTAATTTTACATTGTGTAGATCATGAATGAAACCGGAAGTTCCCCGCCTACCCTCTTCCACTATGCTGCTACCAAACTGCTGAAAAATTATTATGCTGAGAAATCACCAAACCAATTGAGAATAATGAAAACACATTGTAAGCCACCTCTGGGGTAACCTACCCTTACAGAGCTATACTTGCTATTTTGAATGGAAGCTTGGTAATGACAGAAAAATTTCATTTTAAGTTATAGACTGTTGCCTGGGTCAACCAGCCCATAGGAGAGATGGAGCTGCAAGATTGACGGGGCATTTGTAAGATTTGCCTTTTCCCACTCAGTGCTGACAGATTGAGTCCCAGGATAGCCTACCTAGGCAACCCTTCCAAAAGAATAGAGAAAAAGTGCAGAACACCTTCCCAGTTTAGCAGGGAAATGGGCACATGGCCTTCAGACTCACTCAACCATGAGTCAGCTCATGAATTGCATGCCTGCTGGCTATGAATTTACTGACAGAAATGAACAGATGAAAATATAAATTTAAATGTAGTGCCAATGAATTGTTTTGCTCTCAGATTTAGAATTTAATTCTTCAGTAAAGAGAGGAAAAATTAAAAACTTGGAACAGTAGAAATGCTTTGGTAACTTAATTTTTTTTCAGTAAAAGTTGATGTTTGAAGTGTTATTCTTATGGAGATCTTACTCCCTAGCTAATCTAAAAAAATAGAAAAAGAAAAAGCAGTTTGGGAAGCGTTAAGAACAAAGCCTCTATTTCACAGAGTAAATAAAAGACAAGAACTTAATATGTCAAAAATGCATCAAATTTTAAATATTTTGTTTTTCTAGTAATATTTTGTGTTACAAGAAACAATGGGAGACAATATTCTTTCTAACATATCCATTGTTTTTAATCCAACGACAAAAGTCAAAAATTCAAGCAGGGTAAGGATATAGTAATCCAATCTCATGCTTTAGGATATAAACTGACAACTCCAAGGGCCAGAAAGAACTTGTAAAGATCTGCAAAATAAGCAGAGTGTAAAGTATATTTGTACGCATTATTATTAATCTTTTTAAAACTTATCTCACAAATACTGAATATTGCTTCTGGCAGTGGGGGCAGGGGAGGCTGAAGGAGGGAGAGATGAACAATTTGAAACAGAAACAGTGTAATCCCAATAAGAAATCTTTAATAATCTTGAACTTACTTTCCCCCCAAAATAAAATAGCCTGAACCTTATATGTTCTTCATGTGGCGAAGAGGGGCAGGGAGCATTGTCAAGAGAGACCTGGTATGGGAAGATTTTAGCCTACAGTGAATGTTCACAGTTGCTGGCAGACCATTAACAATCAGGTTTCTAAAATGCATTTCAGGAACTCTCACTTTGGTCATGCAAGGGAATAAGTCAAAGACTCAGAATCTTTACTATTGGAATTTCTACCTAAAAATGCACTTGTCATCAGGAAGTGAAATCTGCTGATTTTTTCCCATTTAGATCCTAACAGTGACACTGTGTGGATAAAGCTAGGAGTACACACGAAGTGTCGCATGAAGAACGCCTTGGCTAGAAAAGAGAGCAGGTTCTGACAGGCTGACCAGGTGTCACGGTGAGGAAGGAACCAGATCATAAAAAGTGAAAAAAAACTGAATTTTAGACAAGAAAATGAGTTCACCAAAGGGAGATCTTCCTCTTATTCTTCAAAATCTATACTCAGTTAAATAGAAGGTTTTCATACTTGTTGTGACTAAGTGGCATCTTTTCTTCTAGACTAATGCTGCACAGAACTCACCATTACCAGCTTATAACCCACATAGTCCCAATTCTTTAAAGATGGCCCATTAGTGAAATAAGAAAATGCATTGTTTCAGAGGCCCCTAGAATCACATGGAAGAAGTGTACTGACCTACCTTAGTGTCAGTGTTGGAAAAAAAATATGTTTTACTTTAGGATGGATTTTTGTAGATATGTGTCAGTCTTTTCAATGAAACACTTTAACTTGAAAAGGTAAATGTACTAGTAGAATAACTTTGACCTATCATATTCAATGAGAAAGTAACTGAAGCCTGGTTGAGGAAATAGAAGGAATCAGTTTATCTGCAGGCACTTAATTTTGCAACTGCTTTGAAATTTTATTTTATATTTAGATGAGTTTTTAGTCCCTCATACCAGAAAAATCTCAATTTTTTAAAGATCAGAAATCCCTTTGATGATCACATTAAAAAGCTTCCTCCAAAAAATGCACATGTGCAAAAACATCTATCTACAGCATTTTATTATAATTTCAGAGGCTCACGGACCCCACAGAAGACATGGACCTGGTTAAGTCTTTACTTTATGAAATCTGACTCGTCTTCTCTTTATTTTATTCCTACTTTTCTCCCTGCCACTGTTTTCATTATTGTTGTTCTTCATTATCTTTCTGAATTTTCCAAGGCACATATTTCCTTCAAATATATCAAGAAAATCTAGAAAAAGCAAACATAACTAAAATATTGCTCTAAAATTATCAATGATATCTATTGGGATAATTTCAGGACTATCAAAAGTTGAATACATTAACATCCATAACAAATATCATGCCTATATGGTAACAAATTATCTAAACAAATATTATTTAGTTGCCACTTAAACATTATTAGGAAATGTTTAAATGCAAACATCTTCATGGTCAATTTTTAAAAACCTTTTATCCAGATAATATTAATTGACAGTTCCTGAACATGAACAAAATGCTGGACACTATGACAAGCACTTATATGTATTTGCCAATAGCCCTGTGAGAAAGAGACCATTATCATCCCCATGTTCCAGATGAGCAATCTGAGGCTGAGAGAGGTTGGGTGACATGTCAAAGGCCACACACCTAGTACATCATCTAGCCAGGCAGTCTTACTCAAGAAGCCAAATCGTTAATCACCGTGCTATATACTACCTCCTAAGTGTTTTGGTACTTCATAAACACAACCTGGAAAATCTCCAAGCAACATACATTTACTTGATAAAAACCTGTAGCACTCCTTGTCTTGCAATCGACATTGAACAAGAATCTCGGCATCTATTTTAATAGAGATCATTAATTCATTAAATATAAACTATATTATCTGAGGGGCATGGCACTTAACAATTACACTTATTCAATATTGGACCACATGTTTTCCTTGTGAAGTATATTATTCCAGTAGTATCAGTGAAAAAAAGAAGCAAAGAGTCAAAGGCTTGCTTCAAGTTTCAAACTAATCATCCTAACTCCCAATTTTTGACTGCTGTTTGAATGTTATTTTCCCTCAGCTCTCATATTTTATTACTTGCCAAGTTTTACATCTTCTTCCTTTAAAATATCATTTGCATCACCCCTTTCTATTTCTTCTACTAAAACTCTAATTCAGGTCCTCAGTGTCTTCAAATCTCACTCCTAAATTATGGCATATTTTAGGATTGGTCTCTCTGTCTACAATCTTTCCAACACAGCTTGTATCTTTTGCTTTGATGGCATAATGGGATAATATAGTCAAAAGCCTCTCTTAAAAAGGGATTTAAAATATCTTATAGCCTTTTAAGAATCAACACAAAAGGCTACTTAGATGAAATTCCTGTAACTGGTTATATAAGTGCAAAATTTGAACATTATATGAAGTTCACAAAAGTTATTCTATTTGCAGTAGTAGTACTAAGGGTAAAAAAAGTGATAATTGAAGAAAATTTTTGATGATGTAGTTCTCTTATAAATTGGGAACAATGACCCTTGAAGGACCATAAAGAAAGTGAATGTCAAGATAATTTATTATTGTTACATTATCTACCTCATTTTTCACTTTGCCTTACAGAGCTACGATATCCTTACAAGGTACCGAATATCCCAAATATTAATGAACACTTAACAGTGTATAAAACAAGATAACAAGGGCTGAAACAAAGAGTTGGTGAATTTCTCCTCTACTATTACTTTAATATCAAGAATATTAACCAGGAAGGGCAATACATATGATTACTGTAGAAGGTCTCAGAATTATAAGGTATACGTGTAATTTTTAAAGATTTGCAACCCTTTCTGAAGCAGAATGCACCCCTTTCCCTGACTAGCTGTGTGGTGCTTATCTTATTTCGAAAGGTAACATTTCACAGCTCCTCTTGTGATTTACTGTGGGTTCTTTTCATTGTAGAAGAGCCAGTTTCTATGCATGTCGGTTGGACAAGCATTTATACGTAATTGGTGGAAGGAATGAAACTGGCTACTTGTCCAGCGTGGAGTGCTATAACCTAGAAACGAATGAATGGCGCTATGTGTCCTCTTTGCCACAGCCTCTGGCGGCTCATGCGGGAGCAGTGCACAATGGGAAAATATACATTTCAGGCAAGTAATTCCTCCACTTTCTGTTACAAAGTTCAGTTCCAAAGCACTCTCTTGACTTGTATGTCTATGTTTATTTCACAGGGGGTGTACACAATGGAGAATATGTCCCATGGCTATATTGCTATGACCCAGTAATGGATGTCTGGGCTCGAAAACAAGATATGAACACAAAACGTGCAATTCACACTTTGGCTGTAATGAATGATCGCTTGTATGCAATTGGAGGAAATCATTTGAAAGGTCTTTTTTTTGTTGTTTTGTTTTTTAGTCACAATAACATTTGCACCTCATATTTCTCGCTAAGGGGGTTTCTCCTTAGATAATCATAGTTAACCAAGTAAAAAACATGTTGACCTAATAAAATCTACTCTGTGTAAATTGGCAGTACCCTTGAGCAAGCATTTATTTTGGCTTTGCTGCAGATAGGATTATTTTTAAGTTACCATACACATAAAAGAAAAGGATAATGATGTCTACAGAAAATAAGAAACAGGAGCATTAATAACTGAAGAACACAAACAATTTGTCGTAACAATGAATTCACTGAAATAAATTATTTCTTATCACCAAAGTTGTAGTAATGAATTTTTTCCAGAAAATTGTTTTCTGCTGTAATCATAAGGAACTTTAGTCATAAGTGCACAAAGCTAATATGTGATTTTTTTAAAGGTAATATTTACCAGATATTTGTGTCTAAATTTAGAATTTTTTTAAGAATTCAATAGCAAGCCACTTATGATTATCAAATTCTGTTGCTTTTTTTCAATAAAAAACTTAAAGCATAGCATTTTTAGAGACATGTTTTGGCAGCTTTCCTTCCCTAGATATGTATACGACTGCAACTTTTTGTAGTGTATGTGCACATATATAACATTATGTGCATGCATGTAACACTGAATGTGATACCAGAGAGACCTATGATATCGAGAACATTATTGAACTGCTTTGGGCCTCAGTTTCCTCATCTGAAGATGAAGAAACTGCTCTATGATCTCTAAAATCTCCTTCAGCTCTCCTAGTCTATGATCGCTGAAATTGAGCTAAATGGGAAACAGGCTATCTAAGTATGGTAGATAACGCACATGTGTGCATTTATTTTTTAATAGTATATACATCTTTTTAAATGGTTTAGATCTAGATGTTTTTTCTATTTTCCTAATACATATTTACCTGTAGATGAAATAAAGCCTGAACAGGTGTAATTTTTATGTAGATAGTTCCAAGTTCATGTTCATTCGTCAAGTTCATGTTCAGAAATGCCAGTAGCCTAGTGCATGTCTGCTGCTCAGCTTAAGTGCTCTCCCCAATGAGAACGGATTTTCTTTACTACTGTGATGCTTACCTTTTTATTCTTTATCTCTTTCAACGGTGCTCTTTCATTTCAAGCCACACACCATTCCTTTACGTCGACATGTTTTGTATTAACTTTGTATCCTTCTATGTTAAAATGTGATTTCTTTGCATTTCTTTTGCACAAGATATTGTCTAAATGCTCTAGGATCTTCTAACATTTAAGGTTAGGTTTGGACAGAAAGACTCAGGTAATGACAATCTAAATGAGAAATAGTGTGCACACATCAAAACTGGGTTAGCTCAAGGAGGCATCATGGTGAGGAGAGGATATAGACATTGTATCTAAGCCTAGGTTTGATTCTAGTTATGCACTTTCTAGTTGTGTGGTCTCACTCAAGACACTTAACCTCATGTCTGTAAAGGAAGGATAATTATCCTTGCCTTGATGGTTTCTGTGAGGATTACAGTTCCCATGTATAACATTGTCACAGAGAAGGCACATATATCTTCAAATGATGCCTCCAAGGTCAGAACCTGGAATTTGCCCAAGTGCTCATTCTAAGTGTATATGCTTCAAAAATTATAATCAATAATATTAATGGTAAAGGAAAGGAATATACTCTGGTGTTGCAGTGAGTACATTGTTCTGTTGTTCCACCATCTATGGGATTTATTTTCTGTAGGAAGTTAGTAACCGAAATAACCTGTCTACCTCTTCAAGAACAAAAATTTCTCCACCTTTTTATTCATCTTCTCAATTATTTTAAAGAATCCAGTATGTTGGTTACTTTAGAATACACACTGAGATTGTCAGCTAGCAAATATCCATAGCCTGCATTTAACTACGGGAAAAATAGATAAAAACATTAAGGGTTTGACCTGCTTGGTGAGCACGAAGCTCCCACTAGGTGTTTCTCACCCTCTAAATTAAAGGCAGGGCTCCAGTAGAGACCAGGAACTTAAGTTGTTCTCAGTGACCTAGGTAGTGCCCCAGACACCAAGAACCCTATCAGAAGCTGTAGGAGAAGCTCTTCAGTGAAAGTTACTCAGCCTTCTACTCTAAACCTTGATTCTTGGTAAATACTAGAAACGATTTACATCATCAGAGTTGTTTATAAACATAGTCAAATTGTGGAAAAGGTAAAAGATGCTGAACAACATATTTTTAATCTATTAAAACATTCTGAGAGAGTTAAATATTCATTTGAGAAAAAGCAATACAATTTAGTCTGCAAGAGTCTGAGTTCTGAAGCCTCTCCTGGATTCAAATCTCAACCTATCTACTTACTGACTTGTGACTTACTCAAGTAATTGACTTTCTCTGTCTCTCAGTTCCCTTATCTATAAAATGAAAGTGAGGACAGGGACTATCTCATAGAGTGATGGAAGGGATTGAATGAGTTCATTTAAATAAAGCCCTTAGAAAAGAAAACTAGCATATTGTAAGTGCCTTGTACAATGCTTGCTTAAACTATTATTTTAAACATTTTTAAATAAGGTTTTAATAAACCATTTTAATAAGATCTATCCACATATAATCAACCTTTGCTAATGACATCTGCTCAGGCATTCTTGCTTTGAAGTAATCTAAAACAACTAGAGTTTCTTTGGGGTTTTCTAGGTCTTTCTGACATTTCTCCCAATCTCAGTGAATTTATGCATTTGTGTCTTCAAAAACATAATTATCTATTTTGGCTTGAGACTTGTTTTTAAAAGAAGCCCTAGCCTTAAATTGGGACCCTGAGCATTTATCATTTTGTTGTTCCACTTTGTTCTGTCACTTAGGTTTCTCCCACCTTGATGTAATGCTTGTGGAATGCTATGACCCAAAAGGTGACCAGTGGAATATACTCCAAACTCCCATTTTGGAGGGTCGAAGTGGCCCTGGCTGTGCAGTGCTTGATGACAGCATTTACCTTGTGGGAGGCTACAGCTGGAGTATGGTATGTGTCCACATTTACTGCATCCTCCTTTATTTCGTTTGTGCTTACGTTTTCTGTATCCTTCCAAATGTGTTATCCTCCACACATGTACCTTTTAAGAGTATCATACTTACATGCAAGCAGTCAGTTGCTTTAGATAGTAAAATAGGATCAGCCTGGTGGCTGTTGAACTGGCTTGCTAGCTGATCAACAGCATCACAAGGTGCAGTAGGTCTCCCTTCTCTCCTGTCTCTATGACCTTGTGATTCTGGCTTCCCAACTGAAAGTCAAACTGAGGTGATTTTACAAATGTTCTGCAGTTCAGTAAGAGAGTCTGAAAGGTTTCTGACCGGTAAGGCATGAAAAATGGAAATTCATTCTCCAATATTCATGAAATCTATTTAGGATGTGTGATTTGCCATTGATTTTTCCCCTTATTTTCCCTCTTTATCGTGAAATTTTCTAAACATACACAAAAATCGAGATTAGAATGGGACTTCATTAACCCATCATTCAGCTTCAACATCCATCAACATTTTGCCACACTTCATCTATCCCCACTTTTAAAATCTTTGGCTCAGGCAATATGAAGTAGATCCCAGATGTCATATCATTTCACCCTAAATGCTTCAGTATTTACCTTTTAAAAATCATTAACTTACGTAAATACACTCACACTCCAAAAAATTAACAATAATTCCTTTATATCCATTTTTATATTCAAATATTTGCCATTGACTTTTAAAAAAGATGTATTTTTCAAATTGACATATCCAAATCAGGACCCAACAAGTCTTTCTTATATTTCATCATTATGTCTCATATATCTCTTGCAATCTAGAACATTACCCTGACTCTTTTTGTTTCATGCCATTGACTCCTTGACAAAAGAGGTTCAGTTATACAGAATACCCTACATTCTGAAATTGGCTAATGACTTCCTTGTGGAGTCATTTGAAATAGTCCTCCATCTGCATATTTTCTGGAGACTGGAAGTTAGAGATAAGGGCATAATTAAATTCAGCTTCTTTCTTTTTCCTTTATTTATTTCTTTCGTTAACTTCTTTTTTCTTTCTTAGCAAAAACACCTGCGAAGGTGGCTTTGTAGTTCAAATTACAGTACATCAGGAGACACATTGGGTCTAGCAGATTACATATTCACTTTTAAAATGATGAACATTTTTATATTTTCCTGATTACCTGTGTTAGTTTTGTAAGATTAATTTGGTGGTTTTAATAATATTATTTGGTTTTATTTCTTTTGCCTCTAACAAGATTGTGACATAAAGTTTTGGGGAGCTTTAAAACATTATTAGTTATATAGGCAAATATGTATTGACATATATAACTAGATATTCATATGTGCACTTGTTTGCTTGTACAAATTGTTAGCTGCAAGAATGTATTTGTTTGGAAGCAGACATTGGGGCATTTTTAGAAAAATAATTATTAGGTTGGTTGGGTCTTTCGTTTTTTTCCTATGATAAACACAAAGCTGCCTTGGTTTGGGGAGGAAAAGGTTACACAAGCACTAGCCTCTAAAGTTGACAAAGAAAACAAGATTAAGGACATTTTATTTCTCATGTGGCCTCTTGAAAATAAATAAATCAATATATGAGAAAGTTGACAAACTTTCATTTCCAGTTTACTTTGAACTGGTTTTCAATCCTAGCTCTGATTCTTCACAGTAGCAAAATTAAAATGGAGAAGTGAGACAACAATCTGAAATATAATTGTCTTAACTATTTGAATGTTTAAGGTAAATTTGTTCTCTTTTCTTTTTTAACTTAAACCAGCTGGATAACTTCTATTTTTGGTATATTATTTTTATGTATGTATTTCTTTCTTTAAGCCAAGATCTTACTCTGTTGTCTAGGCTGGAGTACAGTGGCATGATCAGAGCTCATTGTAACCACGATCCTCCTGTCCTAGCCTCCCAAGCAGCTGGGACTACAGATGTGCACTATCATGCCCAATTTGTTTTTATCTTTTTTAGTGTGTGTGTAAAGATGAGGTCTTGCTATGTTGCCCAGGCTGGTCTCAAACCCCTGGGCTCAAGTGATCCTCTCGCCCTAGCTGCCAAAGCTCTGTGATTACAGGTATGAGCCACTGGGCCCAGCCAATTTAGGATTTGTTGAGCATCTAGGATCCTCTAGGTATTTATTTAACTTTTATTATTAGTCACACACACAAAAAAATTTTTTTTGAAATTTTGTCAATCTTAGCTTTTTCTTTGGAATAGAACAGTTTAAAATCCATTGCTTTCATTTGGAATTATTTAGCAAGAATGGAGAACAGATATTTTCTTTTCAATATATTAATAAATATGATCAGTAACATTGCCATTGCACTTCTCTAGCTTCCTTCTCTAAATGCTCCCTCCTCTGTCATTACAGGGGGCCTACAAGTCATCTACAATATGCTATTGTCCAGAGAAAGGAACCTGGACAGAACTCGAAGGAGATGTAGCAGAACCGTTGGCAGGCCCTGCCTGTGTGACAGTTATTCTGCCCTCTTGTGTACCATACAACAAATAACACCAGGAAACTCTGGAATGAACAGTATCACATTCTAGGAAGCAATGGCAGGTGACATCACTATTATAATAGGAACAATGCATTCTAATGGTACAACTGCCAAAACCCACCCTTGGTTTCTGATGATTTATAAGTAACTACAAAAGAAAGAGACCTGTTCTTGAACAGATACTATGTCTATAACTCAGATCGCACCAAACTTCCTGTGGTGACAGACTCTTCCATTTCAGACTGGTTTTAACTTATCCCAGCTTTACAAAAACTCTTCATGTGAATCTTAACTTGCAAAAGGAGAAAGATAAAATACAGAAGACTGGCCCCAGAGAGACCTCAGATCAGTATTGTGCATTGTAGTCTACCTGCATGTGATCTATGTTGACATTTCGGGGATATTGTGTTCAAGAATGATTCCAAATTTGAGCCACCAAAATACACTGCATTACAGAAATTGCCACTTGATTCTGTACTCTTAACCTTTGGCTACTTCACAGACTCCATTGGCAACACTGTTATTGAAAATCATGTAAGATTAAAGAGAGGCATTTTCGTTTCTATACAACTTCATTTCATACACCTTCTGCCCTTACAGCACCTCATGGGATCAGAAAAGAGAAAGATGTTGGCTCTTGTAATAAATGCTTTCTACCCTATAGGTTCTAGGCTAGACAGAGTCGTCATTTCTGTGTCCTCAATTTTATCTGAAAGATTAAAACAAAATATATTATGTCACTATTCAGTTCATGGAGGTTTGTGCTTTTTCATATTTTGTGATATATAAGTAGTGAACACACATGTTATTTACTTCAAAAGACAGGATTGACAAATTCAGTCAATACTATTTTAGAGATTCTGTTAGATGATATGTCTGACCCAAATTTAATCCATAATAAAAAAAAATGGGAGATTGTTTTCAGGAATTCAGGGATGAAAAGAAAGAATAATTTCCATTAAGTAGAATTCCAGTTGTCTTTCTGTTTCTAAAACACAGAACTTACAAGAGCCACAGGAGCCAATTATAGCACCTGACAGAATACTTCTCCTCTTCCTCACCTTCGGGTGCCTCTAGACACTTGACTTACGATCGTTATTCCCCCAATTCATCATATTTTGTTTGTTATCACCAGAGATGCCTGAACTCAGTTAAGCGAGCAATTGCTAGTTGTCTTGAGGAGCATGAGGAATTCAGGAGCAGAAGGTCAGGATAGCATGAGATAGTCTCAATGTGGCCAACCAAAAGGACAAAACTGACAGGAATGCACATTCGATTTTCAAGCCCTCCAGAGCTTGAACAACAACTTTAGGAGTAAATAAAAGCCTAAAATATATTTTAACCATCCAGAGATGGTGTTGAATCCTTCAACAAATGTGTCATTCAAAACAGTAATTAGGGAAATCCCACAGATGAAAAATGCCTTAGTGATAAGCTTTCATGGCAGAGCACGTCAAGATAAATGGGTATACTGGAATCCGATGCCGTTTCTACAGTAAAGTGCAATCTTCGTTGTTTTTGTATTTATTTGTATGTTCAGATCCAAAGGATCCGTTGTAAAAATATATATATATAAATATATGTATATCCAGTGCAATCAACTGTCATTTCTTTTTCCTTAAAACATATGAGTATATAGAAAGAAAAGTTACAGTACTCTGTGGGAAAATCTCAGCTGACATCATGAATAGAATGAGGTCTGCTTCAGAACCTTTTGTTGTCAACTGTCACTGTTTCTTCCAAAAGTCACAATTTGTACAAGAACCTTTGCTTTCCTTAGACTTGTTCTGCATTTTATTTTTTATTTCTCACCAAAATAAAAGCATTTATGAGAATTATAAGTAAAGCTTTCTGTATTTCAGAGAGACATAAGTTACTAGAAAGTGAAAAGTGAATAAATAAGTCACAGAGAATGTAAATTTTGTACAGTATTAGAATGTGTAAATGAAGCTTGCTTGGAAGGGGAAAACTTTAAATAAAAACTTTATGTACTAATTCAACTGTCTCTCATATCCTACTTACATATGTATAAATCTCTACATTAAACCGTTTGAAGGTTTGTGATATGTAAATGCCTAAATATTTTTGTTCTGAAGCTGTGATTTACAAGTGTTATTTGGCTTTCTCACAATATGTAAATGTATACAGTATGGACAGTGCTAAAATTATGGAATACTTCTGGAAAATGCTGTGAGTTAAAAATCATATGAGTGGAATCTGATGTTTTCACTACAAGAGTGTTATAATAAGACATAACTTATCTGAGATCAAATAACTAAATATTTATACACATTATTAGAAGCACCATTTGTGTTAAAAATAACTGCACCCTTTTTAAAGAATAAGTGAGTCACACATTTAATTAAATCAATTATCAAATACATAGTATTTAATTTTATTCTCTTTTGAAGATCTGATGAAGTAGTTGTACAGGGCAATTAGAGGGGCTATGGGAGACATAGGGGGAACTAAGGCTTGCAGTTAAGGGTAGCAGTTGGGCAGCCTTCCAGGCAAAGAGCTGTGTAAGATCAGGAGCTACGTTCGGAAGCCTGTAAGCTGGGGGGAATTTACTTTAATGCTTCCCAGCCAAATCTATCATTAGTGATGATTAAACTCAAAATTAGAGGATATTTTGATTCTCCCTAATATTCCACAAGAAAGAGTAATGGAGTTTCTTTCTCCTTCCATTGGATCTTCTCCTCCACATACTAGAGTAGCACACTGAAAGAAGACCCTTCTCCTGAGCCAATGGCTAGTTGCTGAAGGGCTTCTCCAAATCCCCTGAAATACCCAAGGCTCCAGTGCTGACTAAATATCATGAGATGTTAAGAAGGCATGCTTATCTTTTTCCTAATCCCAATAAGCCACCTACTTGATGTCCCTCGCTAGACTGTACTTTCATGTTTTATATTTAGTTAGTTAATACTTGAAGGAATTTTGGGTAAAGTGGAAATATACTGAGGGGACAAAAAAAGATATTTTTTCTAAGAATACATCTTAAAACTGACTAAAACTGGAAGAATGCATATACAGACCAGATTTTTAAAATTAATTAAGCTGTGTCTGTGAGCTTGAAATTAGTGTCTGCATTTGTTCTACCCTATTCAGCCAAAGTCATATTTTCCCAGCTGCTTGACACTTATATCACTTAACAAACTATCATCATTATCAACATGGTAAGTATCAAGTATTCATTGAATATCCCAAAGAGCATCATTATAAATGCCTGACTTCTGATTAAACTTAATTCTTTAGGTCAAAATAGTTTTTAAAAACAAATAAATAAGCTAAAACAAGAGTAGTAAAGCACACCAAAGCCAACTAATACACATTGATGAGTACCTTGATAGACTGAGTTCTCACAGAAAGGACCGATCATGACTGATCATGCCTGACTTTCTAGAAGCACCTAACCTTGAGGATATTAAAACTTTAGTGGAAAATATTATGCCAATAAGAAGCAGCAGAAGGGTCAATGTAGGAATAAAATATTCAAATACATAGTATATTTGCTTTGTGTCGCTGTAGCTATATAGTGCTGCTCTGAATTGTAGAATAAATATACACCAAATATAGGGTGGTGTGTCTTTATGGAGGTTATCTTAGTCCATTTTGTGATGGTAGAACAGAATACCTGAAAGTGGGTAACTTATAATGAGCATAATTTACTGGTGCACAATTCTGAAGGCTGAAAAGTCCAACACCAACTTTCTGCCATCTGGCCAGGGCCTTCTTACTGTGTCATCCCATGGTGGAAACCAAGAAAGTGAGAGAGACAAGGGAGGCCCAATGTGCCCTTTTATAGTGGCACCAATTCCACCCATGAAGGTGAGCCCCTGTGACCTAAACACCTCTGAAAGACCTCACCTCTTAATATTGTTACAATGGCAATTAAACTTTAATATGAGTTTTGGAGGGGACAAACATTCAGGCCATAGCAAAGGTATTCTACATTTGTTGACTCTATAGGCTTGGTGCAATAACAAAAAGTGCATGTTTAGATATGCATAGTAAAAATGTGCTTCAAGAATGCAACACAAAAGTTTAGAATAAGAAAAATTTTTCTATAAATTGAAGCTTGAGTGGCTTATTCTATTCTAGGTTGTTGCCTAGCATATATTAAGGACCCAGTAAACGTTAATTGTTAACATTAGCAGCAGTAGTATTATTTTAGTGTATTTTAGTTCACTAATGATGCTAAAGACAAGACAATGAAGTAAATTAATGCGTGGGACTGTCCACTCCTCAAGCACAGAAGAATTATATCACTTCAGATAAAGTAATAAAGTGATCCTTGATTGTAACCTCCCTTTCCCTTCTTTATTTATTAAGCTGACTCTTATTCTGTGGCCTTCCAAATCCCTTATATACAACACAATGGCCTGTAGGGGTAGGCTGGGGAAAGGTGAACATTTGGTTGCAGGGAGATAGCAGGCTCTTTGCTTCCAATCACGTTGCTCAAATCTGGAACAGTTGACCCATCAGTCACCTCAAGTGCACATGTGCACCATAATAACAGTCCCACAAAACCTGCCACCAGCACCCAAGCATACCATCGAAACCTGAGAATCACCCCACCTCACCTCCCGCCACTGACGTCTGTGCACTCTTTTTGGAGGCCTGAGAACAGGCCCACTCAGCCTGCTACCACCACCAACACTGGTACCACCCACACATGTCACCAGGGGCCTGGGGACTGCCTCACCCAGCCATAGCAGCCACCGCTGACACCAGCTCATGCCATCTGAGAGCCTGAGGTTATCTTACTACTGCTACTGCCATCATGCATGCCATACACACTGCCCAGCAACCTGAGGCCTGCCCAGCCACCCAGCCCACTGCTGTCACTGCCATCAGGTAGCCTGGAGGCCCAAGAATTGGTCTTCCTAGACCCACTAATACCAGTGCCCATGTACACCACCAGGGGGACCCAAGGACAGGCACGCTTAGCTCACCACTGCCATTACAGGGGCCCCAGGACTGGCCCACCTGGCCTCCCCATCCTAAGCAAAGTCTCACCATAGCCTCCACTAACAACTTCAGCCTAAGCCACTGAGGAAATCACAGACACCATTGACACTACTGACAGCCAAAGAAATCATACAACAACTACCCTACTGCACATACCCAGAATCAAAACTAAAGCGCCCTACCCAACTAATGCCACCGATACATCTACAGGAAGAAGTCTTTGTCTATGAAAGGCAATCTAAAAACTGGAAGAAACAACTGTTATGTCTGTTTTTTTTTCTGATTCCCTTTCACCAATTTTATTCTACAGTTCATGTTCTACCCAACTACTATTATTATTTCACCATAACACTTTGAAATCTCTAAGTTTCGGATCTTCAGGGACATTGCTTATTTGGTTCATCTCTGATCCTTTTTTTCATTTAACATTTCTGATGAGAAACACTGCAGCTCCTTCCACCTGCAGGCTCTTCCAGAATAGCTGTGGTAAATTGTACTTTTTTAATGAATGGACTTAGACCACCAAGCTTCCACACCAGGCCAGATGGCATTCATACAGTTTGGCAGGAAGTTCTTTACTTGTCTTACAAGTTTTTCTTAAAAGCAATTGGGACTATTAAAGCCAGCTGGGATGGAAAGCCATATTAAGTTTATTCTTTTCTCTTCCAACACAATTGGTTGTATTAATCCAATTCACAGGATAGAAAGAAAAAAGAAAAGGAACTTTAAAGCCAAAGTCCCTTGAGGCTATATAAGCTACATGAGGCTATATGAGGTCCCATGAGAAGATATAATCCTCGTGTCTAACTAGACCACCCCTAGAATAGTCATCATCTCCTCTATGTCTTTAGAATATTTACCAGCTGCATTATTCATGTAGCTTCTGTCACATATTTTCTAATATTGATGGTGTTTTATGTGTAATATTTATGCCTTGTTTTAACTAAGCCCCTTGGTGTATAAGAGGCAACGTCTGAATGTTGTGTTTCCCCACCATGTTTGCTCACAGCAGTGCTCAGTTGCTTAAATGGTGGTTGATTTTAGGGGTATTAGAATTCCTGGAGTAGCAGAGTCATTTCTGACTCAGAAATTTTATGTGCATAATCTTGAAAATGTAAATTGTACATGGATGTTCTGGATCCTAACTGCTACCAATATAATAAGCCCTACAATAGCCTTTGATACAAAGGTCTGTAAGTATGTGACCACTAGTTGCTTTTGTCATATTAACCATGTTCCCCTTATTTAATGGCTGTGAAAAACCAGAATTTTAACCCTACTATTATGAAAATCTTTTTTCCGAAAAGCAAATGGATAGTACTGGTGTGATTCTTGCCTCCAGCTCAGGAAACATTCACAAATATTGCTTCCTAGGTGGTCTCTTCACAAACAATGAGGATTAGTATGTAATAACTCTCTTGGTATCCCCAAAATATATCCCCAGTATTACAGTCAGTCTTTTATTTATTGATTCCTCCCAGTGTGGATGAAGCTCTTAATACGTAAGTAACCATAATGTAAAGTATATGTGCAATAAAATCATACAAATAAGGTGTTGTGGGAGTTCCAGAAAGAAGTTTATGTCCAACTAGGGGACTCAAGGAAGACTGAGGCAAAGGCTGTATACAGAGTCAGTCATGAAGAATGGGTAGAAAATAAGAGATATTTTTTCAATTAATGTTTGTAAGGTAGTCCTTGAAAATACAGCAGATAATAACTAAGCCATTTTCACATGGAAAAGTGCTAGATCAAAAATAGTAGTACAATCATTTCCAGATTAGTGTATTGGATGATGGTTTGAATAATGAAGTGTGAAGGCAAGAACTTTTATGTCCAGATAGAATAAAGTAGTTCAGAGCAGGCCAAGATTTCCACTGTGACAACTAGCAAAAGATGAATGGTATTTTGTTTAACATTGTTAAAGGCATGAGAGATCTATGAAAGCAATTAGGACTAGATTAATTAAAATTCCAGAGGAGAACAGAGTTCCTAGATGAGCTGATTATGGCCACTAATATTTTTCTCTAGGAACGTTTTCCAGTTCTGACCAAAAGTTGATCAACCTTGGCTCAGAAAGAGAAGAGGCTATGCTACTGGAAAGAGAAACCAGCAAAAGTGTTAGCTGCCACACAAAACTGGACTGACAAAAATGAAAACTTGAGAAGCCTTAAACACAGCCAGTTTTCCTTGAAGGGAATTTTGGAGTTCTGGTATTGCCCAGGAAGATAAAAAGCTAGGCCAAAAACTTCCAAAAGGCAGAAAATAGCTCCCACAATCTCACAGTGCTTAGAAATTAAAGATTTTCAAGGTGAAGAAAACTCTTTCAAATACATGACTGCTCACCCCCTAAAGACATTTGCCAATATTAAAATGGTATGATTTGTGAGGATAAAAAGTTACGCTGACAGAGGCGGGCAGATTGCTTGAACCCAGGAGTTCAAGACCCGCCTGGGCAACATGGCAAGACCCTGTCTCTGCAAAACATACAAAAATTACCTGGGCGTAGTGGTGCATGCCCGTATTCTCAGCTACTCTGAGGCAGGAGGATCACTTGAGCCTGGGAAGTAGAGGTTGCAGTGCGCCGAGATAGCACCACTGCACTCTAGCCTGGGCAACAGAGTGAGATCCTGTCTCTAAATAAATAAACAAACAAACAAATAAATAAATGTTAGGCTGAACTCCTCTAAAGGGAAAATCTGAATCTCCTGCAAACTGCAGGGCTGACTGGACTCACAGCCAAAAGCCTGGGAGGGCCTACCCTAGGAAGAGTGACAAACCAAGTATAGATTGAATCTTACTAAAATGAGTTCCAGCCAAGCTTGATCCCTGAATGAATTAAGATAATAACTTCCTCACTCTATCTGCATAACAGAAAAGGGGACTCCTTCTCTGATAGAAGATAAAACCATATGGAGCCTACAGTTCTTTCATACACAAAAGCATTCATTCAGCCAAAAATTGTTACTCATGAAAAAAAATCATGTGACTTATAATCTACAGAATAAAGCAATGAAGAGAAATAGACCCACTGATGATCCAGATGTTTGAATCAGCAAACAAATAACTATGATCAATATGTTAAATACAAAAAAGTAGAAAATATAAATGAAACGATGAAAGCTCTAACCACAGAATTAGAGTCTATTTTTTAAAAAAAGAATCAAGTAGTTACTCTAGAACTAAAAAACACAGTATCTTAAATTAAGAACTCAGTGGATGGCATTAATGGCAAATTAGACACAGGATTCGTGTCTAAACTGGAAGAGAGATTAACAGAAAGTATCCAAAATGAAGCACAGAGAGAACAAAGAATAGAAAAAATATATAGATTGAAGTGGAAGAGACTTCTAGGACATGCTCAAAATGTCTAACATGTGTATTATTACAGTTCAAGAAAGCAAGAAGAGAGATGATAGAAAACCAGCAGTCTCAGAGGTATTGGCCAAGAATTTTCCAAAACCGTTAAAGGATATTGACTCACAGATTTAAGAAGCTCAACAAACACCAAGCAGGATAAAGACAAAGAAAACCACACAGTACATTTCTGAAACATACTGTATGAAAGTACAGTAAAATTCCTAAAAAACAGAGATTCTTAAAAATAGCTAGAGAAAAATATCATATTATTTTCAAAGGAGCAATAACGTGGCTTTCGACTTAGTTCTGAACAGAAATGACTGAAGCCAGAGACATTAGAATAACATTTTTGAAGTGCTGCAAGAAAACAAAAACCATTCCAGAATTCAGTATCTGGTAAAAAATATTCTCTCATCACTGAAAATAAAGACAATTTCAAGCAAAAAAACAAACAAACTAACTAACTAAGGGAGTTCATTGTCAGTAGGTCTGCATAAAAGAAATACCAAAGGAAGATTTTCAGGCAAAGGAAAATAATCAGAGATGGAAACATGGAAAAAAACAGGAGAAAATTAAGAACACAGGAAAGGATAAATATGTGAATAACTATAAATAAATATAGATTGTATAAAAACTGTGAATTCTTGTGAAATTTTAAGTTTATAGGCACCTTAAATACATAACATGAATTATTTGAAAGGCAGGAGGGAAAGATAAATAAAGTTCAAAGGTTCTAGGTTTCTAGTAACATTAGGAAAGAGTTCAGAGTAATAATTTGTAATAAGTCAAGGATGTATGTTGTGATCTGTAGGACAAATATTAAAAGAAGAATAAGGTGTAAAATTAATAAATGAGCAGGATGAAAAAGAAATAATGTAAATATTTAATTCAAAAATCAAGAAAGTAGAGGAAAGATAATATTAATACAGCCAAAATAGAAAGCAAATAGTAAGATGGGAGATGTAAAACCAAACATACCAGTAATTTCATTAAAGAAAAAGGAACTAAATAGTCCTAGTAAAAGAATAAGTTTGTCAGATTGGTTTTAAAAATGAATGATGCTTATAAAAGACAGCATTTAAATATAAAGATAGACCAAATGAAAGCTTATATAATTATAATACTATCAGGCATAGCATGAAGGAAGACTAAACAAAGTTCATCAAAATGGCCTGACTTTCTCCTACATTAAAAGCCTAGGACTTCTGGGTTGGCTTTTTAAATAACTCATGACACTGAATTGATAGAGATGTTATGTAATATTTGGGCAAATTAGATGTTGTTTTATGGATAATAAATCAGTTGTAGGTAATCAATGTTTTAAGAAATAATTTTATATAATTATTTGACTTGAAAGAAACAAGAAAAGATAGATGAGAGAGACAGATGGATGGACACATAGGTAATCTTGAATATTTATTATAAACTCTCCAGGATTTATAGCTGGAAAATTTAGGCTTAAATTTCTTTTTTTTTTTTTTTTTTTTTTTTTGAGATGGAGTCTTGCTCTGTCACCCAGGCTGGAGTGCAGTGGTGTGATCTCGGCTCACTGCAACCTCCGCCTCCCAGGTTCAAGTGATTCTCCTGCCTCAGCCTCCCAAGTAGCTGGGACTACAGGAGCGCACCACCATGCTCAGCTAATTTTTGTATTTTTAGTAGAGATGGAGTTTCACCACATTGGCCAAGCTGGTCTCAAACTCCCAACCTCATGATCCACCCACCTCAGCCTCCCAAAGTGCTGGGATTACAAGTGTGAGCCACTGTGCCTGGCCAGCTTAAATTTCTAACATGAGTCTTAGATATCGAGGCCATCCCCTACAGTATGCTTTCTTTAAACACAGTGCACACCCTCCAGGAGGTCTGAATGGCATGAGCCCACCACCTACCTTTCCACAAACAGCCCCCTCAGCAAAGGAGACCCTGGCACAAAGAGCCCTAAAGCTGGTGGGGCAGGGGTGTAAAGTCATGTTGGAGGCAGTATGACATACTCTGAGAATCAAAGGTAGGGGTTTGTTCTGTAGAAAAGAAATATATAAAGGAAATATTGTTCATCCCAAAATTTCAAAAGAAAAGTTCTATCTGACAGTAAAAAGTTGATATGGTTTGGATCTGTGTAGCCGGTCAAATCTCTTATTGAATTGTAATCCCCAATGTTGGAGGAGGAGCCTGGTGGGAGGGAATTGGATCATGGGGGTGGGTTTCTCATGAATGGTTTAGCACCATCCCTTTGCTACTGTTCTCCTGATAGTGAGTTCTCACAAGATCTTGTTCTTTAAAAGTGTGTGGCACCTCCCCATTCTCTCTTCCAAGAGAGAAGAGAGGGTTCTCTGCTCCACCCATGTGAAGATGCCTGCTCTGGCTCTGCCTGGCGCCACGAATAAAAGCTCCCTGATGCCTCCCCAGTCATGCTTCCTGTACAGCCTGCAGAACCATGCACCAACTAAACCTCTTTTCTCTCTAAATCACCTAGTCTCGGGTTATTTCTTTATAGCAACGCAAGAACGGACTAATACAAAAGTCAAGAACTATGTTTCCGATATATATGACCTCAGATATCAGTTTGACTCACAGATGGAGGTTTGACCCTTTAAAATGCCAGCAAAGGCACATCAGATGGATTGTGTGAGAAGGGAATAGTTAATAGGAGAGGCAAATGATGTTAATAAATTCCAAAGGGCTTGTTCCATCAAGAAAGATTCCACTAATCTGCAGAAGTCTAACTCGTAGGACTTCATAGGACACATTCTGTTAGTGTCAGTGTTCCACATCAATTACAGATTTCTGAAGGGCCATCAGAGCAAAACTATGCCTTTAATATGTAAGCCAACACTGCTGTAACTAAGATTGCAATTGGACTGGGACAAATCTCTATGATCTTGATATATGAAAATCCAAATAGATGGTTTCCATAGAAATGAATAAAAACATTTCCGAATTACTTATTCAGGATTAATCCACTGTAGCTCTGCAAAGCAAATACATTTGATGAGGCTCAGTAAAGCAGCCAATAAAAAATAAACTAAAATTGTCCAATAAGGTGGTTCCCTTCATAACAGAAAATCCATGCACAGGTAAAATATGCATTTAGACAAAGTGTTATTTTTTAATTCCAAGTGCATAAATCCATAAAATTAATCATTGGAAACACCTTAAGGATTACTGGATGGAGTTTAAAATAGATGAAAAGAATAAACACTATATAGCCACCAACCCTTCTATCCAAATTTTTATCCTATTGTGTCCTAGCTAGGTTAACTTGGGCAAGTTAAATTCTTCTCTCTCAGCCTTAGTTTCATCATCTGCAAAATGGGAATAATAATACTTTCCTCTTGGGTATAATGAAATAATTTCATATTTTCCAGATCAAGAAGGCATAATGCAGAGAGATGGAGGGATGCATTCACAACCATAGTTAGTAAGGGAAAGAGATAAATCCAGGAGCCAAGTGGCTGGTCTCAGTCCCAAATCAACCCTCTTCTGTTATTGTGCCATTTCCTTTATAGTTGAGTTTCCATTTATACAAGTAAACTGAACTAAAAACCTGGAGAATTATCTCAGGAAGCTATACTAAAATGATTTGTCTCAAATATTCTATTGATTCAAGTTTACTCCCCCATTCAACCACCCAAAAATGTTTTCGTTTTAAAAATCTGGCATTAAATCAAATATTCCAAAATTTGAAACTACAGCATACATAGCAAGACATTAAATGGGATTTTTTCTGTTGCCTCAAGTTAGAATTTTAGCTAAGTCTTCAAAACAAAGGACAGTGGGCATTAATTACCAATGTGTTAGTTTGGGTTCTCTGAGGAAACTGTAGATGTGCAATAGATGTATTGGGGGAAATGCCTACTAGGGAAAAAGGAAGGGCACCAGTGGCAACAGAGAGAACCTTGAAAATACCATTCTTCTCTCACCCCTGTGAAGGAGAAAGGGAAGAAAGGGTTGGATAGGAAGTTACTCAACTTACAGCAAAACTCTAAGTTTTGGAGCAGACCAATGGGAAGTCCTTAAACCAAAGTTATGCTTCCAAAAATTCTCCATGGTAGAAATAGGCCTGTCTTAGTATCCCTGACACATTTAATCACTGGCTTGGCTGGGAGTAGTCTGTGGGAAATGTGGCTCTGACACAAATGCAGTGATGGATTCAGAACAAGTAGCTGGGATTGTCAGTCAATTATGCCTTCTGCAGGAGATCTGAGTGGCACATTCGCACAGCTACCACACCACATTTTCTACATATGAGTCACATACCCAGAAGACTTGCTGAGAAGTAGGCAAACGGATCCAGTGACTATATCCTTCAAGCACTTCTGAAAGCAAAGACTGTAAATTAATTAGAGGGAGATCTCCAAAGAGCATCTGTAGGAGTGAAGAGTGCTGGGACATTTCACATCCTCCCAAACACTCAGAAATTGAAGCCATCTGATTGGGTAGAAGCTGAGATCCTCACCTCCTTCTTACCTCCAGCTACTTGTCTGCTAAGATACAGAACACAGAGCATGCCCAGTCCTGTTTCCAGAGCAGAAAGCAAGAGTATCCTTGGGAGAACCTAACACCAAGGAACAGTGCCTACCTTTAATCTGGAGAAGCCTGGGAGTGGGATTCTGGTTGAAGAACTTCTGGTATGTGCATGTTAAACACACCCTCTTCACATCAGATCTCTCTGTTATTTGGGAGGCAGATTTGTAAACCCACAAAGGGCAAAGGTGGTACAATGACAGTGTTCTTTGCCTTGCCACTTATCTGTGACTTGAAGTAGATTATTTTACTTCTCTGAGTCACAATTAACTCCTCTATAAATGAGTAGTAACTTCTACTCCAAAAGCTTGTTTTCAGAATTAAATGAAACAATATATGTAAAGACCGCAGAAACCTCAACAAATAGTAACTATATTCCCAAGTAAAAAAGTAAATTCAAGACAAATTTGTAATTTAAAAATCACTTTTAAAGAATTTGTTGTCTGTAAGTAATTTTTTATTTTCTTTTTTTTAATTATTATACTTTAAGTTCTGGGGTACATGTGCAGAACGTGCAGGTTTATTACATAGGTATACACATGCCATGGTGGTTTGCTGCACCCTTCAACCCCTCATCTATGTTAGGCATTTCTCCTAATGTTATCCCTCCCCTAGTCCCCAACCTCCTGATAGGCCCCAGTGTGTGATATCCCCCCCCATGTCCGTGTGTTCTCATTGTTCAACTCCCATTTATGAGTGAGAACATGTGGTGTTTGGTTTTATGTTCCTGTGATAGTTTGCTGAGAATGATGGTTTCCAGCTTCATCCATGTCCCTGTAAACTACATGAACTCATCCTTTTTTATGGCTGCACAGTATTCCATGGTGTATATGTGCCACATTTTCTTTATCCAAGTCTATCATTGATGGGTATTTAGGTTGGTTCCAAGTCTACTATTGTGAATAGTGCCGCAACAAACATACATGTGCATGTGTCTTTATAGTAGAATGATTTATAATCCTTTGGGTATATACCCAGTAATGGGATTGCTGGGTCAAACAGTATTTCTGGTTCTAGATCCTTGAGGAATTACCACACTGTCTTCCATAATGGTTGAACTAATTTACATTCCCACCAACAGTGTAAAAGGGTTCCTATTTCTCCACATCCTCTCCAGCATCTGTTGTTTCCTGACTTTTTAATAATCACCATTCTAACTAGCGTGAGATGGTATCTCATTATGGTTTTGATTTGCATTTCTCTAATGAACAGTGATGATGAGCTTTTTTTCATATGTTTGCTGGCTGCATAAATGTCTTCTTTTGAGAAGTGTCTGTTCATATCCTTCGCCCACTTTTTGATGGGGTTGTTTGTTTTTTTCTTGTAAGTTTGTTTAAGTTCTTTGTAGATTCTGGATATTAGCCCTTTGTCAGATGGATAGATTACAAAAATTTTCTCCCATTCTGTAGGTTGCCTGTTCACTCTGATGATAGTTTCTTTCACTGTGCAGAAGTTCCTTAGTTTAATTTGATCCCATTTGTCAGTTTTGGTTTTTGTTGCCATTGCTTCGGTGTTTTAGTCATGAAGTCTTTGCCCATGCCTGTCCTGAATGGTATTGCCTAGGTTTTCTCCCAAGGTTATGGTTTTAGGTCTTACATTTAAGTCTTTAATCCATCTTGAGTTAATTTTTGCATAAGGTGTAAGGAAGGGGTCCAGTTTCAGTTTTCTGCATATTGGTAACCAGTTTTCCCAACACCATTTATTAAATAGGGAATCCTTTCTCCATTGCTTGTTTTTGTCAGGTTTGTCAAAGATCAGATGGTTGTAGATGTGTGGTATTATTTCTGAGGCCTCTGTTCTGTTTCATTTGTCTATATATCTGTTTTGGTACCAGTACCATGCTGTTTTGGTTACTTGTAGCCTTGTAGTGTAGTTTGAAGTCAAGTAGCGTGACGCCTCCAGCTTCCTTCTTTTTGCGTAGGATTGTCTTGGCTATGCAGGCTCTTTTTGGTTCCGTATGAAGTTAAAGTAGTTTTTTTCTAAGTCTGTGAAGAAAGTCAATGGTACCTTGATGGGGATAGCATTGAGTCTATAAATTACTTTGGGAAGTATGGCCCTTTTCATGATACTGATTCTTCCTATCCAAGAGCACGGAATGTTTTTCCATTTGTTTGTGTCCTCTCTTATTTCCTTGAGCAGTGGTTTGTAGTTCTTCTTGAAGAGGTCCTTCACTTCCCTTGTAAGTTGGATTCCTAGGTATTTAATTCTCTTTGTAGCAATTGTGAATGGGAGTTCACTCATGATCTGGCCCTCTGTTTGTCTATTATTGGTGTATAGGAAAGCTTGTGATTTTTGCACATTGATTTTGTATCCTGAGACTTTGCTGAAGTTGTTTATCAGCTTAAGCAGATTTGGGCTGAGACAATGGGGTTTTCTAAATATAAAATCATGTTATCTGCAAACAGAGACAATTTGACTTCCTCTTTTCCTATTTGAATACTCTTCATTTCTTTTTCTTGTCTGATTGCCCTGGCCAGAACTTCCAACACTATGTTGAACAGGAGTGGTAAGAGAGGGCATCGTCGTCTTGTGCCAGTTTTCAAACAGAATGCTTCCAGTTTTTGCCCATTCAGTATGATATTAGCTGTGGGTTTGTCATAAATAGCTCTTACTATTTTGAGATATGTTCCACAAATACCTAGTTCATTGAGAGCTTTTAGCATGAAGGGGTATTGAATTTTGTCGAAGGCCTTTCCTGAATCTATCGAGATGATCATGTTGTTTTTGTCATTGGTTCTGTTTATGTGATGGATTATGTTGACTGATTTGTGTATGTTGAACCAGCCTTACATCCCAGGTATGAAGCCAGCTTGATTGTGGTGGATAAGCTTTTTGATGTGCTGCTGGATTCGGTTTGCCAGTATTTTATTGAGGATTTTTGCATCAATGTTCACCACGGATATTGGCCTGAATTTTTCTTTTTTTTTTTTTGTTGTGTCTCTGTCAGGTTTTCGTATCAGGATGATGCTGGCCTCATAAAATGATTTAGGGAGGATTCCCTCTTTTTCTATTGTTTGGAATCATTTCAGAAGAAATGGTACTAGCTCCTCTTTGTACCTCTGGTAGAATTCGGCTGTGGATCCGTCTGGTCCTGGACTTTTTTTGGTTGGTAGGCTATTAATCACTGCCTCAATTTCAAAACCTGTTATTGGCCTATTCAGGGATTTGATTTCTTCCTGGTTTAGACTTGGGAGGGTGTATGTGTCCAGGAATTTATCCATTTCTTCTAGATTTTCTAGTTTATTTGCGTAGAGGTCTCTATAGTATTCTCAGATGGTAGTTTGTCTTTCTGTGGGATCAGTGGTAATATCCCCTTTATCATTTTTTATTGCGTCTATTTGACTCTTCTCTCTTGTCTTTATTAGTCTGGCTAGAGGTCTATCTATTTTGTTGATCTTTTCAAAAAACCAGCTCCTGGATTCATTGATTTTTTGAAGGGTTTTTCATGTCTCTGTCTCCTTCAGTTCTGCTCTGATATTACTTATTTCTTGTCTTCTGCTAACTTTTGAATTTGTTTGCTGTTGCTTCTCTAGTTCTTTTCATTGTGATGTTAAGGTGTCAATTTTAGATATTTCCTGCTTTCTCTTGTGGGCATTTAGTGCTATCAATTTCCCTCTACACACTGCTTTAAATGTGTCCCAGAGATTCTGGTACGTTGTGTCTTTGTTCTCACTAGTTTCAAAGAACTTATTTATTTCTGCCTTAATTTCATTATTTACCCAGTAGTCATTGAGGAGCAGGTTGTTCAGTTTCCATGTAGTTGTGTGTTTTTCAGTGAGTTTCTTAATCCTGAGTTCTAATCTGATTGCACTGTGGCTGGAGAGGCTCTTTGTCTCTGTTTCCATTCTTTTGTATTTGCAGAGGAGTGTTTTACTTCCAATTATGTGGTCAATTTTAGAATAAGTGCGATGTGCTGCTGAGCCGTAAGTAATTTATTGAAGACCTGGGGACTCAGTGGTACTAGGGAAAGTTAATGAATGTTTCCAGCACCCTATTATTTGAGGACAATATTGTAATAAGACCCTATGTTTGATTATTTAGTAGCCCTAATTATTCTACAGATTGGTTGGTGTCAACACATGTGATATGTGATAGAATAACCAACCGTCAGAGTTTACCTGAGTTTACCATGGAAAGTGTTGCATCTCAGAGAACCCCTCAGTCCCAAGCAAACCAGAACATTGAGTCAATTGCATGTGAAGCTCCTAGAACATTGCCTAGAATATTTTAGGCATTCAGTAAATATTAACTATTACTGTGATTACTTTAGTTTATTGACATTTTAATCTGTCCTTTATTAGCAAGACTGTGTTGTGCTTTTGAGTACAAAGGTGAATAAGGCTCAGTATATCCACCCTGAGTGGAGCTCCAGGGTTAGCCTAGTAAATAGGAGAATAGACATCGTATTGACTCTCAAAATTTGTTTTTGTTACAATGCACCCTTTTCATCTCCATAGAACCTTTACAGGGTAAATATAATATACATACTCTAAAAAGCATAAAGGATGGGAATAACAGCGATAAAAACAAAGATAAAACCTATTGTCAGAAATTGTTAAGCAGTTTCTTTGCTGAAATATGTCTTGAAATGGGCTCTTCACAAAGTTTACTGAATTTCTTGAGCTTCCTACAAACTGGAGGCAAGTCTAATTGTCCTATCAAACTGTTTCTCTTCAATGCATTTTCATTGAACTTTACAAGTCAAATGAATTTGATGAATTGAAACTAATGGCAAATCAATATGGCAAATCTGCAATTCTTAAAAGATCACCGTTGAGATCCATAATGTTTCATTTGACCAATTTAGATATAGCCAAAAAAAAGAGCACTGACACCCAGTTCTACATTACCCATCATTCAAAAATCCAGCTTGTACTTCATGCATACGATGGGCCTATGATCAGCATTAAAACGAAAGCACATCTTGTAAATTTTCCGAGACTTAAAACTGAGGGGATTCTTGCATGCATGAAGGGACTTGACTCAACCTTCAAGAAAGGAAAGGTAACTACTAACCCTAAAAAAATATAGCTCAGAGGTGGGCAGAGCAAGATGGTGACATAGAAGTCTCCACTGATCATCCCCCACCCCTCAGGGACACCTATTTAACAACTATCTCCACACACCAAAAAAAGCACTTTTATAAGAACCAAAAATCAGGTGAGCACTCACAGTACCTGGTTTTAACTTCACCTCACTGAAAGAGGCACTGAAGATGTATTAAAAACCATACTGAATTGCCAACACCACCCCTCTCTTACCCTTAACCCTCGGCAGTGGCAGCATGGTGTGGAGAGCATTTACATGCACTGCAGAGAGGGAGAGCCAGCAATTGTGAGGCATTGAACTCACTGCTGCCCTTACTATAGCAGAAAGCAAAACTGAACCAAACTCAGTTGACTCCTGCTCACAGAGGAAGCATTTAAACCAGCTCTAGCTGGAGGGAAATCGCCAATCTCATTGAGAACTTGAGTTCCTGCAAGCCTCGTCACTGCAGGCTAAAGGGCTCCGGGGCCTGAAATAAACTTTATAGGCAATCTAGGCCACAAAGACTGCAACACCTAGGTGAGTCCTTGTGTTCATCAGTCTGACCTGGGCCCGGAGCCAGTGGACTTGCGGGGAAGGTGGAAACGTAAATTACTGGAACTACTGGGACATTAGTTTGGACAGTTAAAGGAGTGCTAGCATTACCCCTCCCCTAACCCCATGCTGCACAGCTTATAGCTCCAAAAGAGACCCCTTTCTTCCACTTGAGACGAGAACACAAAAAAGTGGGGAGGATTTTGTCTTGCATCTTGGAGACCAACTCAGCCATAGCAAGATAGGGCACCAATCAGAGTCATGAGAGCACCTTTCCAGGTCCTAGCTCCCAGATGACATTTCTAGGCATACCCTGAACCTGAACAGAACCCCCTGCCTTGAAGAGAAGGAACCAGTCCTGGCAGCATTTGTCACCTGCTAACTAAAGAGCCCTTGGGCCCTAAATAACCAGCAATGATTCCTAGGTACTACATCAAGGATCTTGAGTGAGACTCTAAGACTTGCTGGCTTCAGGTGAGAGTCAGCACATTCCCAGCTGTGGTGGCTGCAGGGTAGGACTCCTGCTTGAGAAAAGCAGAGAGAAAAGTAAAGGAGACTTTGTCTCGTACCTTAGGTATCAGCTTGGCTACAGCAGGGTAGAGTACCAAGCAGGTTCTTGGGGTCCCCAATTCCAGAGACTTGCCCTGGGCCACAGCAAAGCCCACTTGCCCGAAGGGTGAGTCTTAGGCAAGTAAGCATCACCACAAGCTGAATGAAGAGCCCTTGGGCCTTAAGGGAACATTACTGGTAGTCTGGGAGTACTCCCTGTGGGCCTGAGGTATCAGTGGCCATCAAGTGAGGTTTCTTTGCCTTTTGAAAGGGGAAGGAAGGATGGGAAAAACTGTCTTGTGGCTTGAGTCCCGCTCAGCCACAGTAGAAGAGAACACCAGGTAGACTTCTAAAGTTTTCACATCTAGTCCCTGACTTCTGGATGGCACACTGAACCCACCCAGGGCATGGGGGAACTTGCTGCCCTGAAGGGAAGGACACAGGCCTGGCTGGCTTTGCCATCTGCTGATTGTAGAGTCCCAGATCCTTGAGCAAATATAGGCAGTAGCTAGTCAGGGAGTAGTTACAGCAGGCCTTGGGCAAGACCCCATGCTGTGCTAGCTTCAGGTCTGACCCAGGACAGTCCTAGGATGGTGGCCACAGAGATGTTTGTGTCATTCCACCTCCAGCTCCAAGTAGCTCAAAACGGACAGAGACTCTGTTTGTTTGGGAGAAAATAAGGTAAGAAAACAAGAATCTCTGCCTGGCAATCCAGAGAATTCTTCCAGATCTTGTCTAACACCATCAAGACAGTACCTTTATGAGTCTGCAAGAACCACAGCATTACCAGGCTTGAAATCCCCCGTAAAGTAGATACAGCTTAGATCACAATACCCAAGTCCTTCTGAATATTTGGAAAGCCTTCTCAAGACGAATGGTTACAAACAAGCTCAGACTGCAAAGACTACAATAAATACCTAACTCTTCAATGCCCAGACATAGATGCTACAAGTATCAAGACAATTCAGGAAAACATGACATCATCAAATGAAACAAATAAGTGACCAGGAGTCATTCTGGAGAAACAGATATATGACATTTCAGACAGAGAATTCAAAACAACTGTTTTCCCCTTCTTGTTTCCAAGTGTTCTCATTGTTCAATTCCCACCTATGAGTGAGAACATGAGGTGTTTGGTTTTTTGTCCTTGCGATAGTTTGCTGGGAGGGGTAGCATTAGGAGATATACCTAATGTAAATGACGAGTTAATGGGTGCAGCACACCAGCATGGCGCATGTATACATATGTAACAAACCTGCACGTTGTGCACATGTACCCTAAAACTTAAAGTATAATTTTAAAAAAACAGCTGCTTTGAGGAAACTCAAAGAAATTCAAAATAACATGGAAGAGGAATTTGGAATCCTATCAGATAAACTTAACAAAGAGATTGTTAAGTTAAAAAGAATCAAGCAGAAATCCTGGAGCTCATAAATGCAATTGGCATACTGAAAAACACATCAGAGTCTTTTAATAGCAGAATTTATCAAGCAGAAGAAAGAATTAGTGAATTCGAAGACAGGCTACTTGAAAATACACAGTTAGAGGAGAAAAAAGAATAAAAAATAATGAAGTTTGTCTACAGGATCTAGAAAATAGCCACAAGATAGCAAATGCAGGAGTTATTGGCATTAAAGGGGAGGTAGAGAAAGAGATGGGGTAGAAAGATTATTCAAAGGGATAATAACAGAGCTTCCCAAACCTAGAGAAATATTTCAATATCAAAGTACAAGAAGGTTGTAGAACACCAAGCAGATTTAACCCAAAGAAGGCTACCTCAAGGCATTTAATAATCAAACTCCCAAAGGCCAAGGATAAAGAAAGAATTCTAAAAGCAGCAAGAGAAAAGAAACAAATAACATACAATGGAGCTCCAATACGTCTGGCAACAGACTTTTCAGTGGAAAGCTTATAGGCCAGGAAACAGTGGCATGACATATTTAAAGTGCTGAAGGAAAAAAACTTTTACCCTAGAATAGTATATCTGGTGAAAATAGCCTTCAAACATGAAAGAGAAACAAAGACTTTCCCAGACAAACAGAAGCTGAGGGATTTCATCAACATCAGTTCTGTCCTATAAGAAATGTTAACATGAGTATTTCAATCAGAAAATATATGTTAATGAGAAATAAGAAATCATCTGAAGGTAAAAAAAAAACTCACTGATAATAGTAAGTATACAGAAGAACACAGAATACAATCACACTATAACTGTTGTGTGTAAAATACCCTTAAGTAGAAAGATTAACTGATGAAGCAATAAAAATAATAACTACAACAACATTTTAAGACACAGAAATTACATTAAGATATAAATAGAAACAGCAAAAAGTTAAAAAGTGAAGGGACAAAGTTGAGGCAAGTTTTTATTGTTTTCTTTTTGCTTATTTGTCTGTTTCTTTAGGTAAAAAGTGCTATGTTGTCATCAGCTTAAAGTTGTTATCAGCTTAAAATCATGGGTTGTAAGATAATATTTGCAAGCATGTTAACCTCAGACTAAAAAACATACAACAGATACACAAAAAATTGAAAGCAAGAAACTAAATCATATCACCAGAAAAAAACCACCTTCACTAAAAGGAAGACAGGAAGGAAGGAAAGAAGAAAGAAACGCCACAAAACAACCAGAAAACAAATAACAAAATGGCAGGATTAAGTTCTTACTTACCAATAATAACATTGAATGTAAATGGACTAAACTCTCCACTCAAAAGACATAGAGTAGCTGAATAGATGAAAAAACAAGACCCGTTCATCTGTTTCATACAAGAAACACACTTCACATATTTATAAAGATATACATAGACTGAAAATAAAAGGAATGAAAAAGATACTACGTGCCAACAGAAACCAAAAAAGAGCAGGAGTAGCTATACTTACATCAGACAAAATATATTTTAAAACAAAAACTATAAAAAGAGACAAAGAAGGTCACTATATAATGATAAATGGGTCAATTCTGCAAGAAGATGTAACAATTGGCTGGGCGTGGTGGCTCATGCCTGTAATCCCAGCACTTTGGGAGGCTGAGACAGGTGGATTACCTGAGGTCGGGAGTTTGAGATCAGCCTAGCTAACATGGTGAAACTCCATCTCTACTAACAATACAAAATTAGCTGGGTGTGGTGGCACGCACCTGTATTCCCAGCTACTCAGGCATCTGAGGCAGGAGAATCACTTGAACCCAGGAGGCAGAAGTTGCAGTGAGCCAGAATTGTGACACTGCACTCCACCCTGGGTGACAGAGTGAGACTCTGTCTCAAAAAAAAAAAAAGAAAAAAATTTAAATATATATACACCGAACAATGCAGCACCTAGATATATTAAGGAAATGTTATTAGAGCTAAAGAGAGAAATAGCCCCAGTACAATACTAGCTGGAGACTTCAACACCCCACTTTCAGCATTAGACAGATCTTCCCTACAGTAAATCAACAAAGAAACATTGGACTTAATCTGCACTGTAGACCAAATGGACACAATAGATATTTACAGAACATTTCATCCGAGGTTGAAGAATAAACATTCTTTTCCTCAGCACATGGATCAGTCTCAAGTATAGACCATATGTTAAATCACAAAACAAGTCTTAAAACATTCTAAAAATTTGAAATAATATCAAGCATGTTCACAGATCACAATGGAAGAAAAATTAAAATCAAAAAGAGGAATTTTGGAAACTATACAAATACATGGAAATTAAACAATAAGCTCCTGAATGACCAGTGGGTCAATGAAGAAATTAAGAAGGAAATTGAAAAATGTCTTAAAACAAATGATAATGGAAACACAACATACGAAAACCTCTGGGATGCAGCAAAAGGAGTATTCAGAGGGAAGATTATAGCTATAAGTGATTACATCAAAAAAGAAGAAACATTTCAAATAAACAACCTAACAATGCTCCTTTAAAAACTAGAAAAGCAAGAGCAAACCAAACCAAAAATTAGTATTAAAAAAAATTACTAAAGATCAGAGCAGAAATAAATGAAATTGAAATGAAAATAACAATACAAAAAAATCAATGAAACAAAAAGTTGGTTTTTTTGAAAAGTCAAACAAAATTGATAAACTTTTTTTTTTGAGACGGAGTCTTGCTCTGTCGCCCAGGCTGGAGTGCAGTGGCGCGATCTCGGCTCAGTGCAAGCTCCGCCTCCTGGGTTCATGCCATTCTCCTGCCTCAGCCCCCTGAGTAGCTGGGACTACAGGCGCCTGCCACCACGCCTGGCTAATTTTTTTGTATTTTTAGTAGAGACGGGGTTTCACTGTGTTAGCCAGGATGGTATCGATCTCCTGACCTCATGATCCACCCGCCTTGGCCTCTCAAAGTGCTGGGATTACAGGCGTGAGCACCCGGCCAAAATTGATAAACTTTAACCAGACAAAGAAAAAAAGGGAGAAGATCCAAATAAGAAAAATTAGAGATGAAAAAGGAAACATAAAATTGATACCACAGTAATTCAAAGGATTGTTAGTGGCTACTATGAGCAACTATATGCCAATAAATTGGAAAATCTAGAATAAATGGACAAATTTCTAAACACATACAACCTACCAAGGTTGAACAAGAAAGAAATCCAAAACCTGAACAGACCAATAATGTAAAGAGATTGAGGCTGTAATAAAAAGTCTCTCAGTTAAAAAAAAAAAAAAATGCCCAGGACTCAATGGCTTCACTGGTGAATTCTAACAAACATTTAAGAAAGAATTAAATACCAATCCTACTGAAACTTCTTTGAAAACTAGAAAAGGAGGGAATACTTCCAAACTGATTCTATGAGCCCAGTATTACCCTGATACCAAAACCAGAAAAAGACATAGCAAAAAAAAAAAAAAAAACTACAGGTTAATATCTCTGATAAATATTGATGCAAAAATCCTTAACAAAATACTAGCAAACTGAATTCAACAATACATTAAAAAGATCATTCATCATGACCAAGTGGGATTTATCCCAGGGATGCAAGGATGGTTCAACGTGAATCAATCAATGTGATGCATCATATCAACAGAATGAAGGACAAACACCATATGATCATTTCAACTGAGGCTGAAAAAGCATTTCATAAAATTCAACATCCCTTCATGATAAACAAAAAAACAAAAAGAAGAGTTTTAGAAGGAACATACCTCAACATAATAAAAGCCATATGTAACAGACCCACAGCTAGTACTATACTGAATGGGGAAAAAATGAAAGCCTTTCCCCTAAGATCTAGAATACAACAATGATGCTCCCTTTCACCACGGTTATTCAACATAGTACTGAAGTCCTAGCTAGAGCAATCAGACAAGAGAAAGAAATAAAGGGCATCCAAACTGGAAAAAAAGAAGTCAAATTATCTTTGTTTGCAGATAATACAATCTCATATTTGGAAAAACCTAAAGACTTAACAAAAAAATTATTAGAACTGATAAACAAATTCAGTAAAGTTTCAGGATACAAAATCAACATACAAAAATCAGTAGTATTTTTATTTGCCAAAAATGAACAAGTTGAAAAAAAATTAAAAAGTAATCCCATTTACAATAGCCACACATAAAATTAATATCTAGGAATTAACAAAAAAGTGAGAGAGCTCTACTTTGAAAACTGTAAAACATTGATGAAAGATATTGAAGAGGAGACAAAAAATGAAAAGATATTTCACATTTATAAATTTTAAGAATCAATATTGTTAAAATGTCCACACTACCCAAAGCAATCTATAGATTCAATGCAATCCATATTAAAATACCAATTACATTCTTCACAGAAATAGAAAAAAATGCAAAAATTTATATGGAACCACCAAAGACCTAGAATAGCCAATCCTGAACAAAGGAACTAAACTGGTGGAATCACATTACCTGATTTCAAATTATACTACAGAGCTTTAGTAACCGACATAGCATGGTACTGGCATAAAAACAGACATATAGACCAATGGAACAGAACAGAGAACCCAGAAACAAATCCATATATCAATAGTAAACTCACTTTCGACAAAGGTGCCAAGAACTTACATACAGGAAAGGACAGTTTCTTCAACAAATGATGCTGGAAAAACTGGATATTCATATGCAAAATAATAAAACTAGACCACTATCTCTTGCTGTATACAAAAATCAAGTCAAAATAGATTGAAGACTGAAATCTAAGACCTCAAACTATGAAACTACTCCTAGAAAACACCAGGGAACCTCTCCAGAACATTGGTCTGGGCAAAAATTTCTTGAGTAATACCCCACAAGCACAGGCAACAAAAGCAAAAATGGACAAATGATAACACATCAAGTTAAAAAGCTTCTGCACAGCAAAGGGAACAATTAACAAAGTCAAGAGACAACCCACAGAATGAGAGAAAATATTTGCAAACTACTCATCTGAAAAGGGATTAATAACCAGAATATATAAGCTCAAACAACTCTATAGGAAAAAAAATCGAATGATTCAATTTAAAACTGGGCAAAAGATGTAAATAGATATTTCTCAAAAGAAGACATACAAATGGCAATAGTTATATGAAAATGTGCTCAACATCACTGATTGTCAGAGAAATGCAAATCAAACCTACAATGAGATATCAAATCACCCCAGTTAACACGGCTTATATCCAAAAGACAGGCAATAACAAATGCTGGTGAGGATGTGGAGAAAAGAAAACTCTCACATACTGTTGGTGAGAATGTAAATTAGCAAAACCACTATGGACAACACTTTGGAGGTTCCTCAGAAAACTAAAAATTAGAACTACCATATGATCCAGGAATCTCGGAGCAGGGTATACCCAAAAGAAAGGAAATCATTATATCGAGATATCTGCACTGCCATGTTCATTGCAGCTCTGTTCACAATAGCTAAGATTTGGAAGCAACCTAAGTGTCCATCAACAGATGAATGGATAAAGAAAATATGGTACATATACACAATGTAGTACTATTCAGCCATTAAAAAAATGAGATTCAGTCATTTGCAACAATATTAACCATATTGTTAGAACTGGTGATCAGTATCTTAAGTGAAAGACAAAAATCACAAGTTCTCACCTATTGGTGGGAATCTAAAAATTGAAACAATTGAACCCATGGAGACAGTAGAAGGATGGTTAGCAGAGGCTGGGAAGGGTAGTGGGGAGAATAGGGAGGGGTGAGGATGGTTAATGGGTTAAAAAAATAGAATGAATGAATAATACTTAGTATATGATAGCACAACAGGGTGACTATAGTCAATAATAATTTAATTGTACATTTTAAAATGAGTATAATTGGATTGTAAAACAAAGGATAAATTCTTGATGAGGTGGATACATTATTTTCCATGATGTGATGATTACACATTGCATTCTGGTATTAAAACATCACATGTACTTCATAAATACACGAATTAGGTATCCACAAAAATTAAAAATTATTTTAAAACATATATGTGTGTGTGTGTGTGTGTGTGTGTGTGTGTGTGTGTATCCCAAAGTCCAACAGGGATGTGCATGCTTTATATGCATTATCATATGCAGCTCTCCACAACAACCCTAAGAAGGGAATATTATTATACAGAGCAATAAACTGAGGTTCAGAGAGATCAAGTAAATTGCTCAATGATCCCATGACTAAAAAGCAACAGAGCAAAATGAAGTCTCTCTCTGACTCCATAGTTTATGTTTGTCCATAATGCAATGTTCTTTACATTAACAAAGAATAAAAATAACGACGGGGCAATTGTGATGGATAATGTTATGTGTCAACTTGACTGGATCTTGGTGCCTAGATATGTAGTAAAACATTATTCTGGATATTTCTATGAGAGTGTTTTTGGATGAGATTAACAATTGAACTGATAGACTGAGTAAAACAGATTGCCCTCCATAATGTGGGTGGACCTCATCCAATCAGCTGAAGGCCTGAATAGAACAAGATTGACCTTACCCTATCAAGACAGAATTCTGCAAGCAGCCTTCAGACTGGACCTGCAGCATGGGCCTTTTCCAGGTCTTTGGCATGCCAGTCCACCCTGCAGATTTTGGACTTACTAGTCTCCATAATCATATGAGACAATTCCATAAAATAAATCTCTTCATATATATATACACATCCTACTGGATCTGTTTTTCTGGAGAACTCAGACTAATACAGTAACCTATCTTCATTGTTCATTTGTGATTTTGGCATGTCATATCCATCTAAAAGCTAGCATTTCAGAATCTTTTCTACTAACAAGGACACCTGACTGCACAAAATCAATTGAGTACCACATTTAAATAAGAGGCAAATTTTTTGTAGTTGTTGTTATTCTTTGATAACTGTAAAATATTCAATTTACCGGCTTACTAAATTGAGGTCAAGAAAACAAACTATTGAATAAATAAAAACAGTGTTCATGCTATAAGACAAAAGCAAAAAAGGTAGCTTTAAATCTTCTACGTGCTAGGAGGCTTTGAGCAGCAAAGCACTTAGGAAAAAAGGCAGATTAATCATCTTGTTTTACTCTTCTTCACCAATGGCAATAGATTTATTTTTCAGGACAAAATATTGCTTCCTGCTTTTGCAAAGTGACCATTTTCTTATTTCTCTTCATGTTCCAATTCGTGGTATTTCTAGTGGCAGAGAGATGTTTTACAACATTAAACAACTTGTATTATTCTTGAAATAGGTATATATACACACACACACGTATATCTAGCTCAGTGGTTATAAATCAGCAGTGATTTTACCCCTTAAAGAACTTTCAACATTTTTGTTGACACAACTGGTGGGCGATGCTACTAGCAACTAGTGTATAGAGGCCGGGGATGCTGCTAAGTATCCTACAAGGCACAGAACAGCTCTCATAACAAAGAGCGCGTGCGTGAATTTATACTAACTCTTTACCCTAATACACACTCTAGCTGTTGCTTTGAGAGATGGTGACAATTGCAATATAGGGGACAGTGCTGTGTGTGATTCAATTAATACTTGCTGCGTGTAATGATCAGTTTTATGTGTCAAGTTGTCTGGGCTACACTCCCCAGTTATTCAATCAAACACAAATCTGGGTGGAAGTACTTTGTTGATGTGATTAAAACTTATCATCAGTTTACTTTCAGTAAGAAAAATTATCCTAGATATCAGGGTGGGCTTGATTCCATCAGCTGAGCTGTCTTATTTATTGTATATTTCAAAATAACTAAAAGAATGGAATTGGAATGTTCCCAACACAAAGAAATGATAAATGTTTAAGGTGATGAACATCCCAATTACCCTGATTTGATCAATACACATTGAATTCTTATATCAAAGTATCATATGGACCCTATAAATACATACAACTATTATGTATCCATAAGAATAATTTTTAAAGAAGGAAAAGAAGAAGGAGGTTGCCAAGGAGGAGAAAGGGAACGGGAGAAAAAGAAGAAAAGGAGAAAGAAGAAGAAATTATCTCTGTGAACTGCACCTTCAGCTTGTGCCTGAGGGTTCCAGCCTGCCCTACTCGACAGCCTACTATACGGATTTCAGTCTTGCCTAACCAGTCCCCACAATCTTACAAACCAATCCAGAGATAAAGATAAAGATAGGTCCATATACATACATACATACATACATACATACATACATACATACATACACACACACACACACATAGATAGATCTCGTGCTGGTTTTGCTTTTTTTATGGACCCCTAACTGACACACTGCATATGCAAAACCATTGTAGTGTTTAAAGGTGGTAGATAAAATTTGTGTTTATTTCCTGATGTAAGTGTTGCTTTAAATTTTGATTGGTAATTCCAGTTGCTATTGTCTCAGTAAAAGAAAGTATATTCAATATGTAGGCCTTCATATCCCACATATACTATGAGCAGACCTGAAATTTAGGCTTCTTTATATAATTTTGGTTTCTCCACCCTTACCAGGCTATCCAATTAAATTCCCAAGTTTCCTGGCCCCATAACAGTATAATTTTTCTATATTATCAAAAGTAGGGCCGGGTGCAGTGGCTCATGCCTGTAATCCCAGAAGTCTGGGAGGCTGAGGCAGGAGGATCACTTGAGGTCAGGAGTTCGAGACCAGCCTGGCCAACATGGTGAAACCCTGTCTCTACCAAAAATACAAAAATTAGTCAGGTGTGGTGGTTTGCGCCTGTAATCCCAGCTACTTGGGAGGCTGAGGCAGGAGAATTGCTTGAACCCGGGAGGTGGAGGTTGCAGTGAGCCAAGATCATGCCACTGCACTCCAGCCTAGGTGACAGAGCAAGACTCCATCTCAAAAAAAATAAAAAATAAAGTAGTATGAATTTTTCTGTATTACCTAAAGGTTAAAAAATAAACAGAGTTGGAAAAATGCAAGTAGAACTGAATGGCAAGGGCTATAAGAAAGACAGACTGACCTGAATGGATCTGGTGACCAGAGGTTATTGCAGGATCATGGGCTTCAGGGAAGATGGCAGTTGCCATATATATCATTGTCCTAAAGAATAAATTCCCTCTTCAGCAGTAGAGTGTGAAGAACAGCCAACATACCTACCCTCAACCCTGATACTCTCAAGCTCTGTAGACACCATCTTGGAATGAAGGGTTAGAGAAAAAAATCTTTGAAATTACTGTATATTAAAATCTGAGATGGAAAACCCAAAGAACTTGGCATCCTGATTTCTGCCTCAGGGAAGATGGAGTAGATATACTTTTCCTTATTCCTCCTGCAAAATACAACTAAAAGCCCTGGATGTTATACGTAAAACAAACATAAGAAGACTCTAAAAGATGGGGGGGAAAGGGCAGGTCCACTAGGGACCTCAGGACCCAAGGGGCAACATGGTGATGACTTTCTTGGGTTTTCTTTTTGCCTCATCCACTCAAGATTTGGAGCTGAAGGAACCAGCAACTGTAAAACACCAATGGGAACACAGATACACACACACACCAATCCCCAACAGAAATTCCCTCTTGCTAACTAAAGGCCCAAGAAAAGCACAGCAGAAGAAGACAGAAAAATCTTGGAGAGTAGGTGCACTACTACAGTCAAATACCACCCCAACCCTACCAGCAAGGGCCAAGAGACAAGGCTAGACTTCAAACTATACCCTTCAAACATCAATCAAAAGAAAGCAGGAGAGGCTATACTAATATTTGATAATATAGACTTCACAGCAAAGATAATTACTAGAGATAGACATTTTATAATAACAAAAAGTCAATCTACCAAGAAGACATGGCAATCCTAAATGTGTATGTAACTAAAAACAGGGCTGCAAAATATATGAAGCAAAAACTGATAAAACCGAAAGGAGGAAAAGGTAAACCCACAATTACAGCGGAGACGTTAATATCTTTCTCTCAATAACTGACAGAACAATCAGAAGGAAAATCAGCAAATATATAGAAGAAATAAGAAATACCATCAACGAGCAGGATCTAATTAACATGTATCAAATACTCCACCATACTATATAAGCGTACATTCTTTTACACATTCTTTTAAAGTTCCCACATCCTATATCAAGATATAACATATTCTGTTCTATAACACAAACCTCAACAAATCCTACAGAGTATATTTTGAAATCATACAGAATATATTCTCCAACACACGTAATCAAACTAGAAATCAATAACAGAGGTAAAAGGAAAATTTACAAACATTTAACAAATAAAACTCCAAAATAATTCATGATCAAAAAGGAAGTCTTGACATTTTTCTAGATTCCACATATAAGTGAGATCTTGCATTATTTTGTGTGTGTGTCTGACTCACTTCTCTTGACATGATGTCCTCCAGTTTCATCCATTTTCTTGTAAATGGCAGAATCTCCTTTTTTAAGGCTGAATAATGTTCTGTTGTATACGTTTCATGATTTTTTAACTCATTCGTCCATTGATATATACCTTAAATGTTTAGCATAAAAAAGAGGAAGTCTCAAGAGAAATAAAAATATATTGAACTGAAAGAAAAGGAAAATACAACATAACATTTATAGGATACAGCTAAAGCAATGTGGCAAGAGAAATTTACAGCACCAAATGCTTAGATCAGAAAAGAGGAAATGTCTCAAATCAATAACTTAAGTTCTCATCTAAAGATTAAAAAGAGAACAGAATAAACCCACAGAATCATAAGAAAAGAAATAATAAAATGCAAAAATTAGCAAAATTGAAAACAATAGAGAAAATCAATTAAACAAAAAAGTTTTTTCTTCAAAAAGATTAATAAAATTGACAAACCTCTAGCAATACTGACAAAGAGAAAAAGAGAGGAGACAATTTACCAATATCAGGAATTAAACAAGGGATATCACTATACACCTGCAGATATCCAAAAAATAATAAGCGAATACTATAAACTCTGCACAGATAAATTTGACATCTTACATGAAATGGACTATTCAAAAAATGTGAAATGCCAAAAATAAGCCAATATGAAATAGATAAATTGAATAGCCCCGTAACTATTAAGAAAATTAAATTTATAATTTAAAACCTCCCCAAAAAGAAATCTCCAAGCCCAGATTGTTTCACTGAAGAATTTTATCAAATAATTAAACAAGAGAGTCACCAGTTTTACACAATCAATTCCGGAAAAATTAAAGAGGAAGGAACAATTACCAATTCATTTTATTGTCCTGATACTAAAACTGGTATTGCCCCAATACCAAAACCAGACAAATAAATTACAAAGTAAGAAAACTTCATACAAATAATCCCTCATGAGTATGGACACAAAATCCTTAAAATATTAGCAAATAGAATTCATCAGTATATAAAAATATTCACCATAACCAAATGTGGTTTATTCTAGGGATACAAGCCTGATTCAGTATTTGAAAATTAATCAATGTAATCCACTTAAGAAGATAAATGACATGCTCATGTCACCTGAGACTAAAAAAGCATCTGACAAAATTTCATACCCTTTAATAATGAAACCTCTCAGAAAAATGGAAACAGCAGAACATCATTTAAGAAAGAACATCTAGGAGTGAAAAAACAAAAAACAAAATAAAACCTACAGTTAACATTATAGGAAACATAATAGTTTCCTGCAAAGATTAGGAAGAATGCAAGAATGTCTACTCTCACTACTCTTATTTTATTCAACTGAATGCTGAAAGTTCTAACCAGGTCAATAAGGCAAGAAAAGAAAATGCAAGGCATATAGATTAGAAGGAAAGAAGCAAAATTGTTCTTATTTGCACACGGCATAATGCCTGTATAGAAATTTCAAAAATCTACCAAAAATAATCCTAGAACTAACAAGTGTCTTCAGCAAGGTTGCAGGATACAAGATAAACATTCAATTGTTTTTCTCCATGCTATCAATGAACACATGAAATTAAAATTATAATACTATTTGTAATTACTCAAAAAATAAAATACTTACGTGTAAATCTAACAAAACATGTGTAGGTCTGAAAAACTTTTGCTGAAAACTACAAAATGCTGATGAAAATAATCAAAGATCTAAATACGTGGAAAGACACACTGTGTTAATGTAAGATCTGTAGACTCAGGATAGTAAAGATGTCAATTTCCCCAAATTGATGTACTGATTTATCACAATTCTTATGAAAATCCCAGCTTGTTTACAGATATAGACAAGATTATTCCAAAGTTTATATTGAAAGGCAAAGAAGAGTGTTTAAACATAGTTTGAATTTACCAAAGCATAGGACATTGTATCATCTAATGTTAATTAGTTAGTTGGCTCAAAATTAGTGCTAATGACTTAGTAATTCAATGATTTCTCTTAGCTTTAAAACCTTCTTTATTTCAGAACTATTTCACCTCTTGGTTTTCATTTTTGCTGTGTGTCACTGCCTGCCAGCTGCTAATTTATTAACTCCCAGTGGATCATGTGTCTTGTGAAGGGACTGCATGAAATTTTAGTGGCAAATTATGTTGATGATTTGTATTTTGAATAAATAGTTTGAATAAATAGAACATTAAGCTTGTAAAAAAAAAAAGGAATACAGTGGGAGGAACCAATCTACCCAATTTATTTTTATTTTTATTATTATTATACTTTAAGTTTTAGGGTACATGTGCACAATGTGCAGGTTAGTTACATATGTATACATGTGCCATGCTGGTGCGCTGCACCCACTAACTTGTCATCTAGCATTAGGTATATCTCCCAATGCTATCCCTCCCCCCTCCCCCCACCCCACAACAGTCCCCAGAGTGTGATGTTCCCCTTCCTGTGTCTATGTGTTCTCATTGTTCAATTCCCACCTATGAGTGAGAATATGCGGTGTTTGGTTTTTTGTTCTTGCGATAGTTTACTGAGAATGATGATTTCCAATTTCATTCATGTAAACTAGTTCAACCATTGTGGAAGTCAATCTACCCAATTTCAAGGCAATAGCTACGGTAAAAAAGACTACGAAGCTTTAGCAGAGAAATAAACAGATAAACCAGTGGAACAGAATAAAGGACTCAGAGGTAGACCCACACAAATATGCTAAGCTGATTTTTTACAAAGTGCAAAAGCAATTCTATAGACAAAAGACAGCCTTTTCAACAAATGGTGCTGGAGCTATCTGACATCAGTAAGTGATGGGGGAAGAAATTTTGACGTAAGTCCCCACAGCTTCTGTAAAGATTAACTAAATTTGAATCATGGCCTTAAATGTAAAATATAAAACTAAAACTTTTAGGAACAAAAAGGAGAAAATTTTCAGGATGCAGAATTAGGAAAATCGCTTGTAAATTTGACACCAAAAGCATGACACACAAATGAAAATATTGATAATTTGGGCTTCATAAAAGTTAAAAACTTCTGCTTTGTGAGAGACCCTGTTAAGGGAATGACAAGACAGCCACAGACTGAGAGAAAATATTTGCAAACCCCATATCTGACAAAGGACTGGTATCTAGAAAAAATAATAATAACTTTCAAAACTCAATGGTAAAAACACAGACAATCCAATTAGAAAATGGGCAAAAGACAAAAACAGATATTTCACCAAAGAGAATGTACAGATGGCAATAAGCAGATGAAAAGATACTCAACATCACTAGCTGTTGGAGAAATGAAAATTAAAATCACCATGAGATAGCACTACATACCCATCAGAATGGCTAAAATAAAAAGTAGTGATATCACTAAATGCTGGCAAGAATGAGGATTATTCAAACAAATCTAGTGGGAATGTTATACAGCCACTCTGGAAAAGTGTAGCAGTTTCTAAAATTCTAACTATGCCGCTACCATATGATACAGTAATTACACTCTTGGCCATTTATCCCAGAGAAATAAAAACTTATGTTCGCAGAAAAACCTGTACACAAAGGTTTAGAGCAGATTTATTCATAATAGCCCCATCCTGGAAACAGTGAAAATTTCTCTCAATAGGTGAATGTTGAACATACTGGTACATCGATACCATGGCACGATGCTCAGCAACAAATAACCTAGATGAATCTCTAGAGAATTATGCTGAGTGAAAGAAGCCAATCTCAAAAGTTTACATGCTATATGATTCCATTTATAGAACATTTTTTAAATGGCATAACTAAAGAATGGAGAACAGAAGAGTGGTTGTCAGGTGCTCAGGAGACAGAGGCAGGAAAAAGGTGGATATAATTATAAGAGGGCAGCATGAGCAGTCTTGTGGTGAAGAAAATGTCTGTGTCTCTTAACTTTATCATTGTTAGTATCCTGGTTGTGAAATTTAACTACAGTTGTACAAGATATTACTCTTGTGGGAAACTAGATATATAGTACACAAGATCTCCCTCTATTATTTCTTACAACTCTGTGACTTTCCCATTACCTCGCAAGAAAACATTTAATTTTAAAAAGACTGAAGTGTTAAGAAAAGTTCCAAAGTGATGTAGTTTAATTGGAATTGACTAGATTATGATATCTACCACTATAGGAAATGAGAGTTAGAAAGAAAGACCAGGATGAGTTGTCAAAAACAGTCAATTACAGTAAAAAAAAAGAAATAAAAAAATTTTAAAGAGACACAAAAGACCTTAAGCATTTTATTGTAACTTAAAACATACAAATGTACATTTATTTGATGATAATTTGTTGCTATAGAGCCACAGACTGGTCTTTGATTCTCAACTGCTGCTAGAACTATGTGTGGTTGCACACACCTGTACTGTGCTGTCAACCATTTTTCCAGTTTGGTTCTTTAAAGGAAAATACAAAAAGTTTAAAGAATTTGGGGTACAATCAGGGTGTTTCATTCCTAGATTTTTCAGGGTTTTTTTGTTTTGTTTTGTTTTGTTTTCAAGTATTTTACAGTGATTTCTCACACAGCTCTAATTCAACAGCACTTTTTAAAGCAGCTCTCTGGTTCTCTCCAAAGGAACCATAAAAATAAAATAACTGCACTAGTAAACCCTCCTCCAGGGATAACTACACTTAATATGTGGATCCTTTAGTGCAGATCGAGTCCCATGTATTTTTAAATGGAAATGAATTTTCAGATGTGCTTATTTATATTTTTTCCTATAAAAAAGTATTTTGTAGTAAAAAATAAGTTATTGAAAAATTAGTTGTTAATGTGTCTACAATAAAAAATCAGGTAAATAAATTCATGTTTTTGTAATAAAAAAAGTTATCAATGTCCCCACAGTCTTCCATGGTCTCCTTTCTACCACCACAAAAAGAGGGACGTTTCTCTGTCCAAGGCAAATTTCTTATCCATTTCTATCTCACATTGCATCCAATACAAACCTGGACCACCTCCTCCAAATTCAGCTAGTATATGTGTGCAGGAAATTTAAACTAATTTGCACCATCAGCTATAATAAAGTATAACTAGAATGGGAACTATGCTATATAAGGACACTTTTTTTAAAATTATTATACTTTAAGTTTTAGGGTACATGTGCACAATGTGCAGGTTAGTTACATATGTATACATGTGCCATGCTGGTGTGCTGCACCCATTAACTCGTCATTTAGCATTAGGTAGCCATCCCATTACTGGGTATATACCCAAAGGACTATAAATCATGCTGCTATAAAGACACATGCACACGTATGTTTATTGCGGCACTATTCACAATAGCAAAGACTTGGAACCAACCCAAATGTCCAACAATGATAGACTGGATTAAGAAAATGTGGCACATATACACCATGGAATACTATGCAGCCACAAAAAATGATGAGTTCATGTCCTTTGTAGGGACATGGATGAAATTGGAAATCATCATTCTCAGTAAACTATTGCAAGAACAAAAAATCAAACACCGCATATTCTCACTCATAGGTGGGAATTGAACAATGAGAACACATGGACACAGGAAGGGGAATATCACACTCTGGGGACTGTTGTGGGGTGGGGGGAGGGGGGAGGGATAGCTTTAGGAGATATACATAAGGACACTTTTATAGTGTATTCCAGACCCAAGTGTAAGTTGTTTGAGAGAATTCTTGGCTTTGTTGTCCTGGTGCATATTAAACAGGTGGAGCAATTCATTAATGAAACAACAAATCTGCAAAGGTGAAATAAAACGAGAGCATATAAGGTATTCTCTTTTGGGAGTTCCCACAATAGCTGTGTAATTGCTGTCAACCCCTGTTTAGTGGTAACTGGGTTGCCCATTGTATTAGTCTGTTTTCACACTGCTGATAAAGACATACCTGAGACTGGGCAATTTACAAAAGAAAGAGGTTTAATTGGACTTACAGTTCCACATGTCTGGGGAAGCTTCACAATCATGGTGGAAGGTAAGGAGGAGCAAGTCATATCTTACATGGATGGCAGCAGGCAAAGAGAGAGCTTGTGCAGGAAAACTCCCCCTTATAATAACCATCAGATCTTGTGAGACTTACTCACTATCATGAGAATGGCATGGAAAAGACCTGCCCCCATGATTCAATTACCTCCCACCAGGTCCCTCCCACAACAAGTGGTAATTCAAGATGACATCTGAGTGGTGACCCAGCCAAACCACATCACTCATGTTTTGGAAACAGTGTTCATGATCACCAGGGATCTTTTGCTCTGCCTAATTCAATTATGTCCCTGTAGAGAGGTTTGGTAGCAGAACATTGTGTGCGTATATATATGTGTGCTTGTGTGTGTATATATATATATATAGGTGTGTATGTATATATGTGTGTATACATATATGAAATAATCAGATAGGTAAATGTATAATTACCTGAAGTAATGGAATATGTGCATTTGTACATAAAAGATCGCTGTCTGTGTGTGTGCATGAGCACTCATACTTGTACAGAAGATTAAAGCTTTTGATTCTATTCCAAAGCCAAGTAGATATTACAGACAACATGTTGTACTGGAAAGACCACTGGAGGAGAATCTGGGAGACCTCCCACCAGCTCCATCTTTGTCAATCCAATTACTACAATGACTTTTACTTCCTGCTTAGAGCACCAATGCCTCTGCTAGCAAACTACCTGACAACACTGATTTCTCAGAGACACTGAACAGAAAAGAGAAAGTGGCGGAAAGAGAAACAAGTGCACTCAGAATGAACCCCACAAGGGAAACCTGAATCTTGAGGCTTAGAATTTAATTTTTCTGATAATGGCATAATTCTGCTCTCAAGTGAATCACTCTTTACTCCACTTTATTTTGCACATATTATCTCTAAGGTACAATTTTTAATCTATAATTATCTTACCACGTGATTTAAACCTTGTATACAGCAGTAAGATATGCATTATACAAAATAGTCTGGTGCTAAAAATGTTTTGCCAGGATAGGTCTTATCATTCCCATTTGTTTAGACCTCTTTGTTCAGAGCCCTACTTAGCCAAGTAAAGAAATGATGGAACGTGCATAATAATGGTTGTGAAAATATTAAAACAAGCCCCCAATAAGCTGCTCAGTCAAAAGGTTGGAAAAGGATGATCAGAAAATATGCTGCTTTCTGCCAAAGGAAGTTTAAAACATCTCATCTCATTTCCTCCCTCCCCCAAGAACCTAAGAGGTAGAAAGAGTGAAAAAGTGGAAGTCAGACAGAGCCACACCAGGAAAGAAAGGAAAGGGAGAAAAAGAGGGAACAGGGGAAGAGCTGGGAGAGAGACAAGGAATTCTGAGTGTAGAAAAGTGACAGAACCTGGAAGAAGAAAGTGTAGACATAACCAAGGCAAAGGCTATTTTTTTCAGTCATCAAGACTATGAGACATAACCAATTTCTTTGCCTTTTTGGGTAATCTCAACATTTACATCTACTGTTTCTTGCAGAGTCTAGCATAGTATTAATACTTAATCTTGGGATGGGTGCTAAAACAAACAAACAAAAGGACTTGAAATATCAATCTATGGCCCATCTTTTCTGTGTTTGGTGGGAGGGCAGCCCTTCTACAGGAAAAAATCTTACAACCTCCTGCTCTCTTTCTCTGGGTTTCCAAATAAAAACACCCCCAAAAATCTCAGCTTCCCTTATTCTTTGTAAATTATATAATAAACAGAATCTCATTTGAAATTTTGTTCGTTGTCTACTGATGATGTATTTATACCTGAATTTATATTAATCTGTTTTTACTTTAGCTATGAGTTTCTTCAAGAAACAAAACTGACAACAGATTGTAAGCAAAAAACTGGTCCAAATTTGCAAATGTTTGTCCAACCTTCTCATACCATCCAAAAGTGTCTAACATTGAAATTCCAACTTCAGTGAATTCTATTAATGCATATTTTAATTAATGCAAACTGTGAGGTCTAGCAATGTAGTGGAAACATACCCTTTAAAAAGAGAAATAGCTCCAGAAGGATATATGGATTTAACTCACATCCATAATTTTTAAGGAGCTTATTCCTAATAAATATAGGAATGTCATATTATCTGAAAATTCTGGTAACTTAGTTAGTGATTATATGAAAACTGTAGAGTGTATCATGCCAGTAAAAATAAATTAACAAACATCAAACCATTGAAGGAAATATATTATTGAATGTGTCTTGCAGAGTATTGCCTATATAGTGTTTTAATAGAATCATTTCTCATATTTTTAATTCAAACTCTCATCTGAAATTCACCAAAAGATTTGTAAATAATAGTGTATTATTTTCAAAAGTAATTTCATTCCAGCACATGTGTGGATGTTACTAAGGGCCCATGCACAATACCTTATAGTAAAAGTTAGTCAAAGGATATAAAAACGAGGTGGAAATCTAAAAATAAAAAGGTTTTCAACTGAAATAAGGGCAAGCAGGATAGGCGACATTATGTTGCAGTTACAAACACTGCTCCCCACAAAATGTCAGCAGCTTTACAGAACAGAGATTTATTTCTCACTCAAAACTTGCTGTAGGTCAGGATGACCCTCCAGAGCTTCACTCTGACACTGAGGACACTCGGTGAAGCAATTCACTGATCCACATGGACAGAGCCTCCAGTCCCTACAATCATGCCGTCAGGAACACATGATTTCCTGATTCAATAGAACCAAGAGGCGGATGGAGAGTCAAACCAACAACTGTGTGCCTCCACCCAATTCACGTCTGCTCACATATCACTGGCCAAAGCAAATTCCATGGCTATGTCTTTAGGGATAAAGGAAACTTAATCTTCTGCGTTACTAGAGAGGAGACCAGATACATTGGCTAATAAGAACAACATCTACATCCCAAGGAGACAAAGCAAGTTGTGGGGGTGGAACTTGATTTTTCTAATTATGTATGGGATGACTCTTTTGCCAGGAACCATGTTATTTATGCAAAACCTGCTAAGTAGGGCTGCAATGTAGAGGAGAGGGAACCAGCTGCAATCTTACACCAATTCTGATGTGCCCCCAGAATGCTCCCCTGTCTCCACCCTACTCCCCCTCACACTCCCGTCTCATCTCCACTTTCATTTAAGATATTCACCATCTTACATAATCCTCCTAAACTGGATTAGATACTCTCCTCTTATGTGATATCAGGAGTTACTCTTATCTATCAGGGTATTCAAATAAAAACCAAATGTCTTGATGCATGTAAATGCGGATAAAATATATACTTGACACATAGCAAATGTTCAAAGAATTGTCGTCATCATTATCATAGCACCTAGCACTTTTCATCTATTAATTTAACAGTCACTCTCACAGGACAGTGAGTTCTTTAATCTCAGGAACTATGACTGAGTCACCATTGTATATCCAATGTCTAGCATGAAGGCTGCCACATAATAAGTACACAACAGATATTTGAATTGAATGAATCAGTCAATCTTTCCATTTTCCTAGCCTTTTAAAATAATGAACTGGTTCCTTCTGACTATCTTGGGAGTGACATTTAATTCCCAAGGCATCTCAGATAAACCACCTCCCTCCCTATCCTCCTACTTCAGTCTTGCTTGAGGACATATTCTACTCCAGGTCGCTCTGCTCCACCCAGCTCATTCCAGCATTGACCATTGACCTGGACTTGAGTCTCTCACAGGCTCTGCTTCTCAGTGGTTCCATGTACCCACTCCTTCAATGACCCTGAAATTTCTTTGTATCAACCTTCTTCTATGGATGTGTTTGGACTATTACAGAACATATAGGAACTAAGTCTTTCAGTTACATATATACACATTAGTAAACGTATCATTTGCAATGAAAACTGACATCAGGGCATTACAACAGTTAAATTAAAGAAGCAAATGTCCAATAATGGTTACTGTCAACTTCCATGCATATTACTAAAATACTTTCTCCTTCATATTCTAGATAATCTTTCTCCTACCTCTTGTTCCAGGTAATTTTTTCTGACAGCCTATGTAACTGTCATATGGTTACAGTAAGGACAGTTCTATTTCAAATTGTATTTGTCCAGCATCTTTGCACTTTTCCAAGAATTCCACAAAGCCCTTTCACTTGTTCAAACATCAGACATGATGTCATCATTAAAAATAATTTACATATACAATATTTAATATACATATGTTCTCCTATACATGTATCTCACTTGATCAGCAATAGATCACTTTAAAGCTCCTCTTGTAAGAATCATATTGAAATTAGTGTATCATAGGATAAATAACCAGTACCAACTATTAATTTTATTATAGAGTGGTATAAATTAGCATCTTATTTTTATACATATTTGTAAATGTCTTATTAACATTCATTCTAAAAATAGGTTTTATTGAAATACCCCATGTATTCTCAGAGTGTCACCAGTGTCGTCTCCCTGTAGAGTGAAACTCTGATCTTCTCATCAGTGTCAGCCGTGAATAATTTTACAACCTCCCCAGTAGGTTATATGCTTTGAAATTTTTCATTGGCCTGTGAAACATTTATTATATTCTGAGAACTTACTAAGCATGGTATAAAACATGGAAAAGATATAGTCCCTATCCAGTGCCCTCTCCATCTAAATAGCATGAGCGACCAAATAAAAATAGTATGTCACAAAGATTGGTTTCAATTTCCTTCATTTCTTTTTAGGATTATGATGTCATTTTTCAAAGACCATGTCTGGGAGCTTCGGTCTAAGGAGAGCCTGTGGTCATATGAGATTAGAGGATGGTTCACCAAAGAAATGAGTTTTGAGCAAGACTCACTGAAGCAGAATTTGGGCCATACATCAGAAGAAATGCTGAAGTAAAACTTAGCATAAAAGAACCAAAACATGAGCTTTTTAGGCACAAAAATCTACTATAGATAAAACTCTGAATTTAGAGTAAAGAAATATTTAACTTAATGGTCCTTGTTGTTAATAGTGATGAATGCTGTGACCTTAGAAATGATTTCACCTCTTTCTACTTCTGTTTCCCCAGGTGTGAAAAGGGGATAAATTTTCTGTTCTGTACAGCTTCCAGAGATGTTGGTAGAAGTACACAAAATAAGACACCCAGTGAGCAGTTAAGATTCTTGTTTGAAGGGGCCTAAGCATTTTGTGTTTGGATATTAGTTCTTTTCTTCCCACGTAAAAGGAGCAGATCAACAGAGCATTCATAATCCAGGAAGGGTCCAAGTCTCTGACTTGTCTGTAGCACATGGAGGAGAACAATTCTCCCTTCACTTCTACCTAGATCACCTTGGTAGCTTGGGGAGAGAACTAACATCCCTACAGCTTCATCGTGCTGCTCTGTCCATAGGAGAGGCCAAGGTCTGTGGACACTAGCAGATACGGTGTAGACAGGGAAGCCACTCTGAAACCACATGTATAAGACGGTCATGTGCAGAAAGATCTGGCAATTTTTCTTGACTTCAAATTATCTTAACTATCATTTACACAGCGCTTAACCATTTATCAACACTGTATTATTTCATTGTGTTGTTATAAGACCTCAGATGGTACCATCCAAGAGCAATGCTGTGTAGCAGTAGGGGATTAGACTCTGGAGACGAGCATACCTAGATTTGAATTGCACCTTAGCCATTCAACAACTATATAACTTTGCCCAAAACACTCCACATCTCTAAGCCTGAAATTTCTATCTACAATAAAAGGATCATGAAAAGGGATTTTACAGAAAAATAAGCATAAATTCAAGCATGGCACCTAGTGCAGTGTCTGGCTCATTGTAAGCACTCCATAAATGCTGGCTATGTTATTAATGCCTTGTTAAATAGACATAAAAAGATTTTGCAATATGCTTACGATGGTTGATTTTATGTGCCAACTTGACTGGACTAATGGATACCCATATAGCTGGTAAAATATTACTTCTAGGTGTGTTTGTGATAGTGTTTCTGGAAGAGATTAGTATTTGAATCAGTAAACTGAGTCAAGAAGATCCACTCTCAGCAATGTAGGCAGGCATCATGCAGTCCATTTTGGGCCCAAATAAAACAAAAAGGGTGGAGGAAGGGATAATTTTTTCTCTGTCTTCTTGAACTGGAATATCCATCTTCTGTCCTCAGATGTCAGAGCTCCTAATTCTAAGGCCTTTGGACCCCAGGAATTACACGGTGACCCCAGTTCTCAGGCCTTCGGCCTCAGACTGTGAGTTAGACCACTGACTCCCCTGACTCTCAGGCTTTTGGACTCTGACTGAATTCCACCATGGGCTTCTCTGGTTCTATAGCTTCCAGATGGAAGACTGTGGGACTTCTCTACCTTCATAGTCATGTGAGCCAATTCCCATAATAAATCCCCTCTTACATACCTATATATCCAACTAGTTCTTTTTCTCTGAAGAACCCTGACTAATACAATGCCCTATCTCATACAGCCAGTAAGCAACTGGTCAGGATGTCAACCCACCATTGCCATCCAGCCTCAGGTGAACCCACATCACTGGCATATTCACTGACATGAAAATGTAAGCCCCACTTTGAAGGGATGGTCAGTAGACTTTGAACATTTCTGTTGTTGGACAGAAAGTCTTATTCCCCTTGAGTGAAAGAGAATCACTACTGGGGCCCCAGATGGATGGGTCTGGGGCCTGTGGTAGAGCACAGAGAACCACCACAGGAAGCTCCTGTTTTCTCTCTGACCCCAGAGCAATGTCCCTCCAACGCAGACTCCAATACAGTGGGTCTGGGCTAGGACCTGAAATTCTGCATTTCTAACAAAATCCCAGGTGGTGCCATGCTGCTGGCCCATGCTCCAGATTTTGAGAAGGAATGGGGCTAGCCTCTCTTGCTCTCCATCCAGCAAGACAGAGGTCAGAGATGGAAATACAGAGATAGCTACAAATAGTTCTTCACCAAACAAAAATGACTCCTAAATCTGTGGGAGGACAACGTGGGAAATTTACCATGGAGCCAATGCCAGAGGCCAGAAGGGCTGCACACTACAGTGAGGAGAGCAGCTAAAAACCATGGATTCAAAGATCAAATGTGGCTTTCTCCATGGTCACAAAAGCTTCAAAACAGGACATATGAGTGAACCTGCATCGCTGAGAGAATTCTGGCTGATGCGCAGGGGGAGGAAACCACCTGGAAAGGGAAATAAACCAGAAATTTCTTGAAAAAGAGAAGAGAAAAGAAGAAACTTGGAAGCTGAGCGCCCTCGCCATGGCACAACCCTGAAAGATAAGAAGGAAGGGACTGAGTTGACTCCCAGATGTGGCAAGAGCCCAGCTGAAAATGGTTTTCTCTGCTTCTTGGGCTGAAAGGTTGACCCTTCTCAGATGGATTTCAACTACCAGGAAGAAGACAGAAATGTTTCAACAATCCATTCAACAATTTTTTATTAAGTATCTATCACATACTAAGTACTAGCCATCCGATGGGAAGGGTGCAAAAACTACTATCGTCCCTGCTTCCATGGAATGTACATTCTACAGGAAAATACAATCAAACAAATCGTTACAAATTGCAACAAATGCTACAGAGGGGAGAGAAACAGGGCTGGAGACAGATTGTATGGAAGTAAGCCAAGGACATTCTTTAGAAAGAGAAGGCCTCTCTAAGAAAGTGTCATTTAAGCTGAGATTTCCAAGATGAGAAGCTAGCTATGCAAAAAGCAGAAGAGAAACATTCTAGGCTGAAGCACATTAACGTTCCTGATATGGCAAAAGAGGGGAAGAAGAATTTCATTTTAGTCCATTTGTCAGGCCCCAGGGTCTGGGTCCAGCCCATGCTGAAATCCTAGAGGAGTGGGTGGATGGGCAAAAAGAACATTCGGGGGCGGCGGCGGGGGCATAGGCAGGTGAATATGGTTTTATTCAGCAGCAGCTCTCAACCACAGCTTACTCACACTAGCTCTCTCACACTGTCCACCCTGTCTCAGCTGCTTGAGCTGGCGGTTCCTACGCACAGCTGTGCAGCCGGCTCTCCCTTGCATTCAGGGTCAACAGTTAACTCTTTTTTTTTTTTTTTTGAGACGACGTCTCGCTCTGTCACCCAGGCTGGAGTGAAGTGGTGTGATCTCGGCTCACTGCAAGCTCCGCCTCCTGGGTTCACGCCATTCTCCTGCCTCAGCCTCCTGAGTAGCTGGGACTATAGGCGCCTGCCACCACGCCCAGCTAATTTTCTGTATTTTTAGTAGAGACGGGGTTTCACCGTGTTAGCCAGGATGGTCTCGATCTCCTGACCTCATGATCCGCCCGCCTCGGCCTCCCAAAGTGCTGGGGTTACAGGTGTGAGCCACCGCACCCGGCCAACTCTCTCTCTCTGGGCACCAGCAAGCTGAGCTATGTCCTTGCTCCCTCCTGTCCGTCTGCAAGACAGCTTTGGCTCTCTCTCTCTCTCTCTCTCTCTCTCTAGGCACAAGCAGGCCCGCCATGTCAAGCCATGTTTTGCCGAGCCAATCCCCAAGAGCCCCTGTATAGCATTAGCAGGGCAATTATACCTTTTACAGACAATAGTGGTTCAGAGCCACATGTAAACTTACACAAACAGGTTATATAACAAGTGGAGGTATGCACCTACACACCAAACCTGCTGAGTCATGCAGGCCTTGATATCTGCCTTGGCCTATTCCTTGACCAAAGCACATCCATGTACCTTACACCATTTATTCTACCTGTCATGTGGAGAATGGTCTATAGGGGAGCAAAAGGTGGCAGCAAGAGAACTAGCCAGAGGCCACTGCAAGCACTCAGGAAGGAGACAATGGAACTCAGGCATTTGGTGCTGAAATAAAGCAGAAAAGATGCCCTGGCAGAAGAGACTCAGGCAGGAGCAAATGACCCTGAGTTGTCTATCTCTGTCCTCAGCATCAAGTCAATCTACCCCAGAGACAACAAAAAGGTGCCACAAAGAGAGAAAATAACCCACAGCTTTCCTCATGGTAAGGAGGAAGCATATCACCGTGGCTGGAAAGTTCTCCAGGCAGTGGCAATGGTGCTGAAACTAGACAATGTCCCAAATCTCTCGAGCTGTGCTGTCCAGCATGGTAGCCACTAGAGCCATATGTGTCTAAATTTAAATGTAAATCAGTGAAAATTTAAGAAAATTAAACTTCAGTTTCTCAGTCTCATTGGTCACATTTCAAGTGCTCAACAGGACACATGGTTTGTGGCTATCATATCGAACAGCACAGATTCACAGAATATTTCAATTATCATAGAAAGTTCTATCAGACAGTTGAGCTAACAATGTAGATTTCCATGACAGATGCCAACTTCTGAGACTGTGAATCTAGAATGCTCTGAAGACTTGGCTAAGAGACAACGGCCCCGTACTGTGATCATCGTTCAGGGATGAAGTAAAGGAGATGAAAACTAGGACATTCTCTTTGACTTAGCGTCAGTTATGAAAGATGAATAAGTTCAGCATGTCTACTGTATAGTAATGTGACTATAGTTAAAAACACTTTATCATGTACTTGAAATTTGCCAAGAAGGTAGATTTTAAATGTTCATACCAAAAAAATAAAAAGGAAATGGTAACTAAGTGACCTAATAAATATGTTATTCACAATGAATATATGTATCAGAGCATCACCTTGTATACCTGAAATATACACAAATTTTTATTTGTCAATCATACCTCAATACAGCTGGAAAAAAAAAGTAGTTGGTCTAGTTAATTATTACAAAAATATTCTTATCTTCAACATTAAAATTAGAAATTTTCTGAACCAAAAAAAAAAAAAAAAGTTCTATCAGACAGTGCTGCTCTAGATAGCTAAGACACAAAGGAAAATAAGGGAAAATACCAGCTCAAAGGACAGTCCCTAAAGGAATAATATTTACTATTTTCTGGTACATGAATGCTAATGTGGCCTTATTCTAGAGGATATTTGCTATGCAAATAAGCACAGGCAAAAATACGTGGTGGGACTTCCACGGGATGAAGATTAGAAAAAGAGGTACCATATGATAAAAAGTGAGTAGGAAATTGAAGCTGCTGGTATAAGAATCATTTTATTGCCAAATTCAAAAGAGCCAGCCCAACCAGGAAATTAATCGAAGCCAAATGAAAACAAATGGATCCTGAGACTGAAAACTGAGACTAGGAAAGAGATGGGAGATCTGGGTACTGATGAATTAGGGAGAATGAATGGGAGTGGGCAAAGTGAAAAGTGAGTCCAGATAAGGAAATCTTAAGGTCTGAAATCTTGGAGGAGAAATAGCGTGGGTGATGTGGAAGTCCAGTATGTGCCGTTGCCCATGGTAACTGAAACAGAGGTGAAGTTTATATTCAAGAACTCTAAGACCAGGATTTTGGAAAGAGTCATCAACATGGAGTGTTTTAGCTTTCTGTTATGAAAAGCTTCAATCATGTATAAAAGTAGAAAATTAACATAATAAACCCCAATATATGCTTCACTCAGCATCAACAATGAATAATTTGTGGCCAATCTTGTCAACATGGATTTTAATGTTACCATTAAAGACATTGGAAGGTCTGGTCTTGGTGTGGAGAAAGAAAAGTGGGAACAGGTGGTAAAAACAGGAAAAGAAGGATGGGAGGTCCTCCTCCCACGGGTAACAGTGGAACAAAAGAAGAAGTGGAATTGGAAGTGGTGCTATTGCAAGAACAATGGAAAGCACCTAGCACATCTGGTACAGAGTACAGACTCAATAAATAAGAAGTGAAGAGACAGTGAAGAGCAAGGAACGTCTTATTCCCATCTCACTACATCTGTGGGGGAATTTAAGCAGCAGGAGACAAACACAATGAAAGAGCAACCCCTTTAGAAAAGACTTTGAATTTTTAAAAATCTAGGTTGCAGTAATGGATACAGCCCCCATAGCTTATAATTGTAATAATCCAGTCAAGCCACATTATATCAATAAAATGTTGAGCAAAAATGACACAGCAGAGTTCACTCCCTGCTGACATTTGAAAATAAAACACGCTACAAAGAGTGATCTCCATTAATGTGACTCCCACCAGCCCTCTGTCACCTTTCCCTTGTCCTAATGAAGATCAGCCTCACCTGTGTGATTTGCCCTCAATAAGCACAAATATTCTCCATGAGCCAGTGAGCTACTCTTTCAGGTTAAGTGGGCATGACTACAAATGTATAGTCCTATGATGCCTCAAAGGCCTTCAGTGGTTTTCTGAATTTCTTTCAATTTTAATAGAAATTTGCAAGTGACAAAAGCCCAAAATCACAGCAAATGCTGGCTTCAAAGTTGGCCTCTTGGGACATTCTTAGTCCTAAAAATCTAAATGCAGTAAGTAAAAGCATTCCTGTGTGTTTAAGAAAATGTACTAAATTTACCTTCCCTTTCCTAGAGGTTAAAAAAAAAAAAAAAAAAAAAAAAAACTCTAAGTCTCCTGACATCACACAAGTTCAATGTTTGGTTTCCTAAAACACTCTGGTTCAGTTTCGGTCTGTAAGTCTATTGAACTAGTAAGATGGGTACCACTAATACATGTGGTTTACATTAATGCTATTCATGATGTTTATCCTAACTCTGCAGGAAGCAGCTCCCACCATATTGTATTCATGTTTGTGTGTTGCTATAATACATTCAGAATCCCCATTCTAGAGAATAATTCATCAGTTGCAACATAAATAAAACACATGCCTCTGCATTTGTTATTTAAAGAGCCATTTTCAATCAGAGTGGAAATACTGCAACAGTACACTCAGAATTAAATGTTAAAATCAGATGTCTTCCCAAGCCTGAATTGTGATTTGGGATCAGCTAATACCTGTAAAACAAAACAGATGCTTAGAAAAGAGAATTTCAAATAAGTGAGAGTTTGGTGGCTTTAAAGAGGAGAGCAAGTGATTCAGTGCTAAAAAGAGTAAATTTCCTCAGCACCTTCCTAACTGTGAGGACATTGTGCACATCTCAGGCGGATACTAAGTGATGCAGTAAAGCAGCAAATTAGAAGAATGTAAATTCTTTAGTAGGAATTGCACGCAGGGGAAAAATGCCTCCTAATGCTCATATTTGTTTTCATGTAAATAATGTACACTCTTCCTAAAATCAGACTGTCCGAGGCTAAGTAAGATGTCAAAATCTACAATAGATAATAAGCTGGACTCCAAAATGGCAGGTAGAGTTATATTCCTTCTTGGGTGCAATTCTTCCTGGTAAATGAGAAAGACGTACCCAACGTTGAAATCCAGCAGTTTCAGTCTTTTGCTTTCTCTCTTATTTTTGGTAGGCGCATGTGTTCTTGTTCTTATCCTCTCTTTTTCTCCCTTTCTCTGATTTCTTATTACACTGAATTATATGCTAATTGGTTGAGTAATCCCAGATGATACCATTTCTATTTTAATTGGTATAACTGTTATTGTTATTCCTCCTTCATCCCTGTGTTTGTCACCTTTGCACAGAACTGGTGATGCCTGCAGCTCTCTCTGAAGTTAATCGAAGCCTCATTGTCCCACAGTGGGTGAATCAGAGTTCTGTGTGTTTTCCTCCACTGTCTCTTACAACTGGGTGACTTAGGACAAAGGCTTATAGCCCCATCTCTAAAATGCTTTTAATTGGCTATCAGCCTCACCTTTGTTTTTCTACGTCTAACCATGTTTACGGCACTTATAGACCATATCCCAAAATTTAGCACCTAACTGTAATGTGCCTGGTATTCCACCCTCCCAAGGAAGCTTCTCAAGCGTTCACATGGTGGAGCACAAGGGGTTGTTTGCTGCCTTCTGCTCTGCCCTGGCAATGAGGAAGGTCCTGCCTCAGCTCTCAAGGAGCTCACAACCTAACGGCCAAGACAAACAAGTTCACAGGATTTACAATACAGTGCTCAGAAGGGAGTCAGCACAGGAGGTTTAAGATATCCTAGGAGGACACCTGGCATATTTGAAGAGTCTAGAGTTCTCTGTATAAAGGGATATCTGAGATAGGACCAGAAGGATGTGTAACAGCAGGAAAAGGATTGGGACAAAACAATCTCAGGCAGAGAACATAGGTCAAAGTTTTTTTGGGAGGTGGGAGCAGGGCAGTCGAGAAAGCAGCAAAAACCAGATCAGAAAACCAAGGAGATAGCACTCAAGTTCAGAGATTCTCAAGGAGTATGTCTTTAGGTTGAATCATATGAAATTGCAAATCTTTAACTAAAAATTTCTAACCAAAAGTATAGCATTTTTGTACATTATGAAATTTAATATTCTTTCTTTGTACCTACGATTTTAACATATTCCCCTACAGATAATGTTGTGTAGGTAGTTTTCATCTAGCTGGAGAGAGGGAAGTCAGCTGCCCTAATTGAGAATATCCATTCCAGGGTGGTTGGATAGAAATTGAGAGCCTCTAATGGAAACTTCACCCTCCACATGAGGCTCTATCAATATTTCAGCTATCTTGACAACTGATCAACTCCAGAGACTTTGTTAGCATCATGGATGTAAAAAGTGATTTTTTACTGGTGAAATGAGTGATCAAGATGTGTTTATTGACCAAAATATTGCACAAGCATTCCATTCGTGCATAATCAAAATCCAGCAAGCTCAATAGCCTATGCAGTTAACAACAGTGCCTGAGGCTTGATTCGGGAATTATCTTGGGTCCATCTGCTGACTCAAAGGATTCTCCTCTCCTGAATCTGGCTGCGACTTTAGCTAAATCCTGCTACTAAACTATTGCCTCTGTGTCTCTAGTGAACCATTCATGCAAGGAGCTGTTGGAGCACTCAAAGGGATCCAGAGCTAGGACTTTGTATCAAGCTTACAGAACAGGTTCTATGACTGTTTTTGTGACTCTTGGCTAAAAAAATGTTTGTATATGCAGCAGAATTCAAGCTGAGCCTTGCTGACATTAAAACCTGATATCAAGTTTGTCCCAAAAGAGATCTATCACTCTCACCAACTTTCAACTATTTGAGGCTATATTTATATGCTAATACCAATATACCAATATTTTTTCCCAAAAAGCTTAATGTGGATGATTACATTGGCTTTGGTTGGTTCTCAAAATCCCTCTAGCATAGTGATAGGCATGTAGTAGGTAGTCCATCAAACTGTTAATTAAATTAGGGTTTTGACACTGGTTGAAATTACAGGATTATAGATGCATATGGGCTAATAAGAGTATGTCACAGATATTTGGGAAAAGATACTTTCTAAGAAAACATTAGAGAGAACAGCCAGTGTTTTCTCTAAGATATGTTCTGTTCCATAATCAGAATGAATCTCAGCCCTGACCAGGTTTGGCACTATGAAATTTTGTATTCTGGCCTTCACACTCAAGAATGATCCCTAACATGCCCTTGGGTATGTACAGTGAGTTTCCATAGAGATGATGACAGTGTACAGAGTCATCTCTAAATGGTCTTTCACCATAAGTGGCCATTCCCACTTATATGACCTCCAGTTGCAAGTTGAAATAGTTTATTTCACTGTACAGTGGCTCTGAAACTCCATAGTCTTCTGATCCTCCATGGGGTCTTTCTCAACTCTTTTGAGAATTACCCACAGTTAACAGATAGAGAAGGTGAGGCCCAGAGATCTTTAGCCACTTGGCCACAGTTTCACCAATACTTCATGACAATTGGCATCACAATCCAGGTTTTCTGACTCCGAGTAAGGTGTTTATTCACCATACAGTCGCTCACAAACTTGTGCAAGCATCACAGTTCACAGCTTATTAAAACACAGACTGCTGGGCCCCATCCCTCGAGCATCTGATTCAGTGTGGGGTTGGGGTTAGTCTTTTGCATTTTAATAACTTCCCAGGTAAGACTAATGCTGCTGATTCAAGGACCACACTTTGAGAACTCCTGCACTATATCATACTTCTTTCTTGCTTCTTAACCACCCTGCCCCTCCAACCAAACACACTCCTTCCTGTATAATCTGGATCAGCTCCACTTATTTGACCTCTAAGGGCAAGTTGAACCAAATACACTCAAAATACCACTCCATCTTCTTGTGACACTAGGCTCTAGGCCCTGCATTCTCATCATAGGTTTAACAAATGGTCTATCTTCACAGAACTTCAAGGGAACTTTTTCTTTTTTGGAACCTTGGATGTCCGAGAGGATATAATGTAAGTTGAGCCTGGAAAAACTTCTTGGGGCCAGATCATAGAGGGTCTAGATCACATTAAGGAGTAGAGACACCAACTTTTCTCAGTTGTAGCACTAAAAGTTCTTCATCCTGAAAAACTTCTCAGGATTTGGCAAACCGGGATAGTTGTTGATTCTATATAGCATGGAGCTTGATTTATGATTTTAGACAATGAAATCCAGCCATTTTTTCAGCATTCATGAGTTACCATGCTTTGTTCTAGCATTATGTCAGGTCCAGGAAGATGATATACTACCCCAGACCTTCGTGATCAATTGAAAGAGAAAGGTAGGTAGGCAACAAATTATCTTATTAGAGGGTACATAGTTTAATAGAAACTGTCTGCACCATAGTTATGGGAGCAGTATTGTGCTTTAGAAGTAGGAACCCAAAGAATAAAAAGCATGTAATTTTCAAGGACATGTCTTTTATAATAGAGAAGGCTGAGTGTGTTCATGGGCAAGAGGGTGGGAGATAATACAGGCGAATAGTTCTTAGTTGAGGGGAGAGAATGAAACAGAGATAGTAGAATGACATGGAGAGGTTTTGGGTTTGTTTTCCTTATACACCACATACCATTAACTTACCTTTCCTGTTGAAAGTGAGCTTTTTTGAGAATCACCCATGCAGTGGGAGAAACTAAAGGTATAAAAAACAGGAAAAATTAATAGAGATTGTCCCAGAAGAGGCAGGAGGAGGAGTCTGAGGAAATCATCTAATTTTGCTGAATCACAATTCGCCTATTTAGAAAATAGAGATAGCATCACCCCTGTAAACTCCTATTTGTAGCTCCTCTTTCAGTTACCTGTGATTCTTAACCTTTAGAAAAAGCACTTCAAGAAAGCTCTAGGTACACCTTGTCTCCAGAAAAGTGCTTATCAATTCTAAATACTATTTCAGGGGGTAGACCAACACTTTGGAGCCCATCATGGATTTTCCCAGATTAAGACCTTGCATTTTAGAGCAGGAACCAATGAAGCAGAATGTGCCACACGATCTATTAGGGATTGGGAGAAATGCATAATTGATATACACTTATATTTTCATTGTTATATGTGCATTAGTATAAGGTATATGATATTGGTGCTATAGTACATATATATGTGTGTGTGTGTGTGTATATATATATATATATATTTTTTTTTTTTTTTTTTTTTGAGATGGAGTCTCGCTCTGTCACCCAGGCTGGAGTGTGGTGGCATGATCTCAGCTCACTGCAACCTCCGCCTCACAGGTTCATGCCATTCTCCTGCCTCAGCCTCCCGAGTAGCTGGGACTACAGGTGCCCGTCACCACGCCTGGCTAATTTTTTGTATTTTTAGTAGAGACGGGGTTTCACTGTGTTAGCCAGGATGGTCTTGATCTCCTGATCTTGTGATCCACTTGCCTCAGCCTCCTAAAGTGCTGGGATTACAGGCGTGAGCCACCTCACCTGTCCAGTACATGTATATTTTAAGGTAACGATAAACCTATTTGGGGTCCTCCTCAAATTCACTAAAGGGTAATATTAAATTACTATCCACTTAGAAGAAATTTATATTTTAAGTGACTAAGGCTTAAATAATAAAAGAAAGTAATAGAATTTCAGAGTGTCCAGTACATGAGGGGACACTGGCAGTCAGGAAGGATTTGAGGCCTTCCTGGAGGTCTTTGCGGTATCCTGAAACCTCCCCCTCGGCTTCTGCCTGCTTCTTTTCTGCCTAGGCATAGCCCTGAAAGGAAGGAAGAGAATGATTAGTATTATCCTAGCCCACAAAGACAAAGAGAGAAGATTTATTGCTGTTCAACACTTAAGACCTCTATATTCTGCCATCATCCATTCCCCCTTAAACAAATGCTGGTTGTCACCAGACGATTATTATTACTATGCAGCCCAGATCCTCTGATGAATCGAAGCTGATGAAACAGTCCTCTCAAGTAAAGAGACTAAACTATTCCCAGGTGGCCTGATTTATCCCCTGGAAGTTGTGGTTTTCCAAGTGGAACCCTGGTTGCTGAAAAGCATTCCCTCATTGCAGTAGGATGGAAAGTTAACCCTGAAGAGCACTGTATTAGTCCATTCTCATTCTGCTAATAAAGACACACCTGAGACTGGGTAATTTATAAAGAAAAGAGGTTTAATTGACTCACAGTTCTGCATGGCTGGGGAGGCCTCAGGAAACTTACAATCATGGTGGAAGGGGAAGCAAATACGTCCTTCTTCATATGGTAGCAGGAGAGATAAGTGCAGTGTGAAGCAGGGGACAGGGAGGAAGCCCCTAATAAAACCATCAGATATCGTGAGAACTCACTCCCTATCAGGAGAACAGCATGGAGGTAACCACCCCATGATTCAGTTACCTCCCACCAGATTCCTCCCATGACACGTGGGGATTATGGGAACTACAGTTCAAGATGAGATTTGGGTGGGGACATAGCCAAACCATATCAAGCAAGTTTCTCCAGAACGGGAGATGGATATGAGTGTACACGCAGGTGACCAAAGAAGAATGAGATTGTTCCCATGGATATCCCTTACAGCAACATCCTCAACCTTGAATGTTTGTAAGAATTCCCCAGAGAGCATGTGAAAACAGTCTCCCGGACACCATCCCCACAGATTCAGATTCATAAGTCAGGGCAGGGCCTATGAATTTGCATTTCAAGTGAGCCCACAGGGTTGTCTGTGCTGCCAGGGTGGTGACCACCCTTCGAGTGACAGAGCTGTCTGGCAAGCACCCTGGTTAGAGACCCCAGAGAGTGTCACATCAATAGCCTCCCCGGTGGTCTGCCTCCCTCAGTACTCCCTGCTTCTGCCTCTCTAATTTGTTGGCTGCTAGAATGACCTTTCTAACACCATAATGTATCCTTATCTTGTTTAAAATAATGTTGACTGTGGCCCCCAGCTAATTCTACAATAGCTCAACATGACACCATCAATGATGTAGTATCGTAGGCCAAATTTGTTTTGTTTTGATTACACTTTTCAACTGTGCCAGCACAGGCACATACACATCTCCTCTCCAGGAATTCCTTTTTCTCCTGTTAGAGAAAATCTGAAGATGATCAGGGACATGCCAAGTCATATCGGAAGGTCAGTGAGGTGACATTCACCAACCACATGCTTTCTCTTAGATTCACCTTCATTAAGACACCTTTCCACAGCACACATCACAATCTTATTCTCGCCAAAACTAGAATGTCCCAGCTCCATTTGGAAAAATTCCAAAAAGAATTTTTCTTTTCTTACTTGCTTTTAATAAAATCGGAGTGTTTCCTCTTCCAAGGGGTTTTAAAGATATGGAGAAACAGAGTGGCTAGACTCAAACTCCTGGGCTCAAAGTATCCTCCTGCTTCAGCCTCCTGAGTAGCGGGGACTACAGGCATGCACCACCATGCCTGGCTCAAAAGTGTTTCTTAATCACACCCTTAGTCTAGGTCATTCTAAGAAAAAGCCATTTGTTTCTCAGCATTGCTTGGCAGTATACTGTGAGAATTGAGAACACGTGACGATCTTAGTCTTCTTATCATAGCTGACATCTACAAGTTCTCCTGTGTGTTTTTGTTTTAAGTCAGCCGGCACCAATGACCCTGCATTGGTCATCTTGTTAACAGTCCTACTGTACTGAGAGTGGGAGAAACTGAAACAGTCACAATTGAGGAAGACAGAAAACACTTTGGAACTGTCCACCAAGGCCTTTAGAAGAAATTCTGTCTAAAGACCTCTTATTTAGGTAACCACTGAAACAACTGAGAGAAGAAAAAAATAACCAAACATATCACTGGGAAATTAGTTTCTCTTGAAGAAAGCCTAAGATATTTTTGCTAAGATATCCCAAAACAGTGTGGCTGAATCTGCAGCGCCCATATCCCAGAACAAGCCCCACCTCAGAACCTGCCTCCACCATTCTGGCCCTTCTACTTGCAATTTCCAAAACCAAAATGTTCAGGAACTTAATTCTTAAGTTTTCAAGTTTTTATTTCAAACAAAAATTGTGAATAGATTTTCCTTAAAGAATAAATTGATCTGATCAAATAATTTAGAAATGTATGTTTATTGTAGGATTTATCTAAGTCCTTAGCTTATTAGAGTAGAATCTAGATGTGAAACCTGGCATGTATCTACACACACACACTCACACAATCACATATATGAAACTCAATTCACTTGCTACATTAACAGTCTCGCCGGTACTCTCTCATCTTTTAAGAATGGTATGGTTGGCTGCCTTTATGTTTTCATTTAGCATCTCAAAATGGGCACCTCTTATTTGAGAAGGGTTACGGCATGACTCAGCCATTTAGTTAATCTGACTAATTAGCATTCTGTTGCCCATTAACAGAACTAAAAACAACAACTGGAGTTCCAGATATTTCTCAGATTTCTGAACAGACCTTTTCAGTGTCAAGGACGTTTGTTGCTTCCTGACCTTGGTAAATTTTGGCCTAGTTAATACCCCAGAAGAAGCCCTCTTACTACCCTGAACAGAGAAGGCATCATTTTAAATGACCTCCTAAATTGGCAGCCTCCTAAACCATACCGCTTTTCAAAAATACAATTCCAAATTAAAATTCTGTGTCAGGAAGAAAACATTAACCGAATTGCAAGCGTTCTTATGAGCCTCATTTAACTCAGGTGCATGAAGTTGAGAAGGCAAATTTACATAAAGCTTGTTTTGAGTTTCTGGCGGGGGCGGGGGGAGTGGGATCTATATATTTATAACTGTGAAAAGGCTGTAGCTAAAATTTAGATATAAAATTACAAAATTAAAATTCAGCATTTGCTCTAGGGCAGTGGGGAGGAAGAACGAGAAAGCTAGCTAAAATTGAGACAGCATAACAGTATGTGGATTGCGTGCCATGCAAACTTATTAGGTTTCCTTGATTCAAAGAGGGAAACCTAAGTGGCAACTTCACTGAAAGATTCAAAATACTCATGAATCAAACCAATGTTTTTAGTATTCTTAATTTCTCATTTATTTTATGTACACCTCTGCTGTAAAAATGTGAGAAAAATGCACAAATGTTTGTGCAATTTGTCCTGATTGTATGCTGATGATATCGAGAATAAAGACATGATTCTTAATATTAAAGAATCCACCCTCAAGGGGAAAGACCATCAGGAGAACAGTAATGTACCTGAAATGGGCAGACATGACCCGAGCAAAGAGGAGACCCCTCCTATAGGCAAGGGAGTGGGTCAGGGAATGTATTCTGGAAGAAATGACCCAGGAAGTGAACCTTTTTACTTCCTTTTCTAGCTAGGCAAGCACTTCCTTTCTAGGTCTGCAGGTTTCTTCTCATCTAGGTTATTTATTTAGTAGTTACTATAAGTAAATGTGTTAATTGTATTATACATATTTTCTCAATTATTCTTCCCCAACTCATATGAAATAGGTTTTACTATTATCACCTTTGTTATGGGATAAATGGTGTTCCCTGCAAAATTAATATGTTGAAGTCCTAATCCCCTGGACCTTAGAATATGACTATATTTGGAGCTAGGACCTTAAAAGATGTAACTAAGTTAAAATGGAGTCATTAAGATGGGCTTTAATCCAATATGACTGGTGTCCTTATAAGAAGCAGTGATCAGGATATAGAGAACACAGAGGGACAACCAAGTGAGGATGCAGCAAGACAGTGGCCATCAGCAAGCCAAGGACAGGGCCTCTGAAGAAATCAAACCTGACCTTGGACTTTTAGCCTCCAGAACTCTGAGAAAACTTCTATTGTTAAAGCCACTTAGTCTGTGAGATTTTGCTATGAGAGCTCTAGCAAACTAATATACCCTTTTTACAAATAAGGAAACAGAAACTTAGAATAGTTGCTCAAAGTTATATAAAAAGTATCAGAACCAGGATTTGAGACTGGGTATCTCTAATCCAGAGTTTCTGTTAACTTCCAAACACAACTGCATCCTATGAGCCCTCGCCTGTCCAGGTGTGCTCTGAACCCCATCAGGAATAATCCCCTTTGTAGGGCTTCCCACTCCCTTTATGAGCCCTCTTCAGCATACCTAATTGTCATTAAATAAGAACTTGCACCAGCGGTGTATTCATTAGCATGGCAAATTCTCTCTGGGACTTAGGATCAGAGACAGGCTGGGACCTGAAGGAGATCACAATCCCATGGGAGATGAAAAGTAGCAGTTAAATAGCATCCCAAGGAATCAAGTGAATGCTGGATGACTAGTGCAGGTGACAGAGAAAGAGCTATCTACCTCCCCATTGCCATACTCTCCCTTACTACTATATCCGGTCCCCATCCCTAATCTGAAACTGCACTTGCCATGGTCTCCTAGTTTCCAAATCCAATGGACACTAGTTATCTTACGTGACATATTTGTAAGTTAGACACCATTGGCCCTGCCTTTTAAAAAAACAAAACAAACAAACAAAAAAACCCTTGTCCCTTAATATTCTTGGCATGATTCTCTGGTTTTCATTTTTTCTTTCTGATTACCCTTGTTCTGTATCCTTTTATGGTTCCTTCTCTTTATCCCATCTTTCTATATTGGTGAGTCTTGGATTCTGTTCTCAGTCCATCTCTTTTCTCTCTGCATACTCAACCTTGATGATGGCATCCATTCCCATATTGTCAACCCCACCCACCTATGACTCCTATATCTATAGCTCTGGCCCAGACCTTGTTTCTGAGCTCTAAACCCACACATCCAGCTGCCACAAAAAGAAACCAAGCATCTTCTCCCAAAACTTATTCCTTCTCAATTCCGCTTCTTGGTGAATTGCATCCAGTCACTCATGCCAGAAGCATAGGAAGCACAGGTTTAGAAAGTTTAGGATAGGCAGGTATGGGAACCATGCAGGTCTTCATTTACGCCAAAGTTTCATTATTCTTTACTTAATTTCTTTGATCTTCAGTGTCCTCATCTATAAAAATGAAAATGATAATATCCACCTGAAGAAGCTCTTGTAAGGATGCAGTTCAGAAGTCCCCAAACCACTCTGACATTAGACAGTTGGCGAGAACTCACAGAACTCAGAAATGCCGTTATGCTCTCGATTACAGTTTCTTACAGCCAAAGAGTAAAGACTCAAATCACAAAAGGAAGAGGCGCATAGGGCAGAGTCAGTAGAGACCAGGCACAGAGCTTCCAGCTGTCTTCTCCCAGTGGATCACATGGACAGCAGTAACTTCTCCTAGCAATAGTGTGGCACAAATGCATGGAGTATTGGCAACCAGGGAAGCTCATCTGAGCCTTAGTATTCAGAGTTTTTAATAAGGGTCAGTCACATACACATGGCTGACCACCCAGGTGGCTAACTTTTGCCTTTCCAGATGTCAAGCCCAAAGCCCCCACTATAAATCACCTTGTTAGCATAAACTATCTGGCATGGCCCAAGGCTCCAGGTAAACATCAATATTCTCATCAGGCCTCCAGATTGATAAGAACCTCTAGGTTCCTAGGCACTGCTCAAGGGCCAATACCTTTATTGCAAAGAGGATTAATGAGTTCACGCATGTAATGTGTTTAGCACAGTGCCTGACACATAAGCGCTCAATAAATGTTAATTGTCACTAATATTTTCACCTTGTGTTCTTCTTTATTTTCCATGTTCAGTCAGCTACCAAGTCCTAACAACACCATCCTCTTTCTTTTCTATTTTCCTTTATGCCCTTCCTTTATATAGTGGAGGAAATATCATAATGAAATAAGAAAATATGTAAAATGAACAGGAGAATTTGAAAAAAAAAATCCAAATAAAACTTCTCAAAAAAGTGATCTTTGAAATTAAAAACTCAATGAATGTCATAAACATCAGATTAGCCACAGATAAAAGAGCAATAAAAATTCCAACTTTAATTTTATCCTAATTTGTCCACTTTTTTCATAAGAAAACATGCAAAAAGCATTCACTGTTCCATTCTTTGAAACAGTAGGAAATTAGAATCAATAAGGAAGTACATAAAAAATAATGGTGTATTTTCCATGGGATACTATGTGGCCATAAAAAGGAATGAGATCATGTCCTTTGCAGGGACATGGATGAAACTGGAAGCCATTATCCTCAGCAAACTAACACAGGAACAGAAAACCAAACACCACATGTTCTCACTCATAAGAGGGAGTTGATCAATGAGAGCACATGGACACAGAGAGGGGAACAACACACACCAGGGCCTGTTGGGGGGTTGGGGGCAAAGGGAGGGAACTTAGAGGTCAGGTCAATAGGTACAACAAACAACCATGGCACACGTATACCTATGTAACAAATCTGCACATTCTGCACATGTGTCTTGGAACCTAAAGTAAAATAAAAAAATTAAAAATTAAAATAAATTTAAAAATAATGTATTTTTACAACGGAATGAGATTCAGAAGTTAAATGAACTAGATTTAAATGTATAAATTTGTATAAATGCATAATAAATTATAGTAGTAAAAAAGCAAGGTAAAAATGGATAAAGTATTATGCCATTTATGTGAATTTCTAAAATTCAAACTATAACACTCAGTACTTTATACACATTTACATATTTTGAAAATGTATAAACATAGATTAGAAGGATACACACCAGATGTAGAATATTTCTTATCCCAGGAGAGGAGGGGTAGTGAGTGGGGAACTCAAGAAGAGATTATAAGATTTTCTACTGCATTCTATTGTTATATTTTTTTTTAAAAATTTCAGCCTGGGCAACATAACATGACCCCATCTCTACAAAACTTAAAAATTTAGCCAGGTGTTGCGGTGCATATCTGTAGTCCTAGCTACTCAGGAGGCTAAGACAGGAAGATCACTTGAGCCCACCCAGGAGTTCAAGGTTGCAGTTAGCTATGACTGCATCACTGCACTCAGCCTGGGTGACAGAGTAAGACCCTGTCTCTAAAAAACCTAAATAAATAATTTTTAAAAATGTAACGAGCAAATATAGCAAACATGCACCATGGATTACTTTCAGTTCTATAAATGTGTCATGCTCTCTCTTTCTCTTCCTTCCCCCATATCATACCTTTGTATTAGCCAGGGTTCAACCACGAAGAAAACCCAGTAAGAGATACATATAGTAAAGAACTCTTACATAGAACTATCATATGACCCAGCAATTTTATTCTTAGGTATACACCCACAGGAATTGAAAGCAAGGACTTACACAAATATTTATAATTCAGTGTTCGTTGCAGCATTATTCACAATAGCCAAAATGTTCAACCCAAGTGTCCAGCAACTGATGAATGGATAAATGAAATGTGGTATATACATACACTAGAATATTATTCAGCCATAGATACATGCTACAACATTGGCGAACTTTGAAAACTTATGCTAAATGAAATAAGCCAGACACAAAAGAACAAATATTGTATGATTCTACTCATGTGAAATATTTAGAATAGTCAAATTCATAGAGACAGAGAATATATTGGAGGTTACCATGACCTGAAAAGAAAGGAAAAGGGAGAATTATTGCTCAATGGCTACAGAGTTTCTGTTTGGAATGATGAAAAAAATTTGGAAATACATAGTGGTGATGGTTTCACAACATTGTTGATATAATATAAAGCCACTGAATTGTACATTTAAAAATCTCTAAAACAGCAAATTTTGTTGTCTATATATTTACCACAATTTTTAAAAAATTAATAATGTAATATACCAAAAACCGTTGATTTATAGACTTTAAATAGGTAAATTCTATTGTATGTGAATTATATATCCAAAAAAGAGAGAGAGATTTGTTGCAAAGAATTGGCTTATGCGGTTGTGGAAGCTGTCTAGGCAAGTGGAAATCCACGGGACAGGCTGTGAGGAAGGGCAGTCTGGAAGGCTGACATGCAGACTGAAGCTGCAGTCCATAGGAGGAATTTCTTCTTCCACAGGGAAGCTTTTTCTGCTCTTAAGGCCTTGCGACTAATTAGATCAGGGCACTATGGAATCATTTTGAAAAATATAAATTACTTAATGTATGATATGCAAATTATGAGTATCATAATAACCCAGTAGTTTTTATTATCTCCTGACAAAGATGACGATTAATGTATTCTTCAAGTGTCCAGCAGAAATTCTACACTTATCCTTTAACAAAAATAAAGTCTGTGCCAGGCATTGAGCTTAGGTTGAGGATATTAAAATTAATAAGGCACAAAAACTGGCTGAAGGGAGTTCCCAGTCTACTCCTATTTACACAATAATAAAACATGATCCTTCCCCAGTCACAGGATGATGGACTCCACTGATTACCTGGGTCTGCCCTGCCGTCCACTTTGGCTCAGATGTCTGTGTAAACATCCTCTGCTGACTGGCTTCCAAACCTCAGGCAAAAGGCTATACCAGTTGGAAAATTCAACAGTAAAAAATTAAAACACCTCACATTCTTTCCGAAACATTACAGCCATTTCTCTCTGCTATACTTCTTTTCATGAAGAAATTTCTGAAGGCAAAATTTCAAACTTTTAAAGAAGCAAAAGCAAGACATTGTTTGCAATTGAGATGTAAGAAAACAATGGTCCCCATAGCTTAGGGTGTCTCCCTGTTCTCCAGTTTATCTGCTTTTCATCTTCTCCCCTACATTCTTGCTCCTGCTCTTCTTATCTACTCTTCTTCTATATCTTTATTTTCCTTGGCGCCTTCAGCATTTCCTTGATCATCATTTCATCCTGTGGTAGCACTCAGGATTAAAGAGAATGCCATTCAGAGAAATGCAAACCAAAACCACAATGAGGTACCATCTCACACCAGTCAGAATGGCCATTATTACAAACTCAAAAAATGACAGATGGCAGATGTTGTGGAGAAAAGGAAATGCTTACACACTGCTAGTGGGAATATAAATTAGGTCAAGCCACTGTGGAAAGCAGTCTGGAGATTTCTCAAAACACTCAGAAGTACCATTTGACCCAGCAATACAATTACTGGGTATATATCCAAAAGAAAATGAATCACTCTACCACAAAGACATATGCACTTGTATGTTCATCGCAGCACCATCCACAATAGCATACACATGGAATCCACCAATGGTGGGTTGGATAAAGAAAATGTGATATATATATAACATAGAATACTACACAGCCATAAAAAAAAAAGAATGAAAACACGTCCTTTGCAGCAACGTAGTTGCAGCTATCACGAGGTTAGGAGATTGAGACCATCCTGGCCAACATGGTGAAACCCAGTCTCTACTAAAAATACAAAAATTAGCCAGGCGTGGTGGCATGTGCCTATAGTACCAGCTACTCAGGAGGCTGAGATAGGAGAATCACTGGAACCCAGGAGGCAGAGTCTTAGGTGAGCCGAGATCACGCCACTGCACTCCGGCCTTGGCGACAAAGTGAGACTCCGTCTCAAAAAAAAAAAAGGAAGCCATTATCCTAAGCAAATTAATGTAGGAACAGAAGCCAAATATTGCACTTCTCACTTTTAAATGGGAGCTAAACTTTAGGTGCATATGGAATAAAGATGGGAACAACAGACACTGAAGACTACTAGAGCAAGGAGAGAGGGAGCGGGGCAAGGGTTGAAAAACTACCAATTGGGTATTATGCTCACAGCCTGGGGAATGGGATCATTCATACTGCAAACCTCAATGTCAGGCAATAAACCCTTGTAACAAGCTGTACATGTATCCCCTAAATGTAAATAAAAGTTGAAAAAAATGAAAATAAATAATTTTTTTAAATGAACAGAATTCCACGAATCACTTTCTAACCTGTTGGGTAGAAAGACGCAAAAAAGAGCAAAGCAAAGAAAAACTCTGTTCAAGGTGAAATGGTAAGTAATTGGAACTTCTAAAATTGTTTTCTTTAAGTTTGTCTAACGGTATAATTTATTAAAAGATGCCCAATAATTATTTCATGTTGATGATAATAATGAACTACAAATGACCTTGTACTTTTAGGAAACTTTACTTCATGAAAAGAAACCACTGCTATAATGTTGCAATATATTCCTTTCTTAAGGCTTAGCAGTTTCGCCTCCCTGCATTTTCACTGCCTTTAATTATTGAATGTCTTTGGAAAAATAAAATCAATATTTTGCAAACTGAAACAACAATCTCCACCCTTATTGAACATCAGACAGCTGCAATCATGCATGTAAACTTAATTGTGAAAAAATGAATCAGAATTCTATGAAAATTAATTTAATTATGCTCTCAGTGTTTTCCTATTGATAGAATGTGCATATAACTCCTTTAGGACAATAACATGGGTTATGAAATCGAACTCATATGAGCAAAGGGGTTTTTGTTGTTGTCATTGTTGTTATTGAAATTATTTAATTTCTCGTTTCTCTCAGGAACCATTTCATTCAAGTGAGCAGTTCCATTGCCATTTTAAAGGAGAAACTGAGGCAAATATAATGATTAAACCAGGAGATTCCTGAGCAACATTACAACATATTCCTGTTTCATTTGCCTTCTATGCATCAAAATATCAGTGCAATGTTGTATGCTATTAGGCAATACAGAATCCCAGCACTGTATTATTTCCTGACATTTTAGTTGAGCAAATACCCAAAGGACCTTCCCAGGTGGATGTAACTTGGCTCTGGGCAATTAGTGTCCAAAGCCACATTAATGTTGTCTTCCTGAATCTGCAACTTGACAGTCTGATAAACAATAGCACTGAGAGAGGTGTGAACTTCCACTATTTATCTCAATGGGTTGTTAACTTTGAAACCTAATTATGATCACTTAAATGCCAACACTCTTAATCATTTCACTGCTGATCACTGTACCAGAAACGTCCAGCCACAGTAATGTGCTTCTTCCTGGGGCTGCTGGACTCAATGGCCATGTCCTGATGTGTTTTTCAGAATATCCTCTTGTTAGTAATGTCAACCTCAGACTGGCTAAATGGGTATATTCAGCACTTGAGTTCTTGGTTAAGCAAAGCACCTATGATTGTGCTTTAAACAAAGAAAAGGAATGAATATCTGTTGCTTCATTTTGTTTATTTCTTTTTAAATACTGGGCTTGATGACTTTTCTTCATGAGAATCTCTTAAGTCCTTACAGAAATCGAAATCTTTCAGAATACCAGAGTCATCACTGGGAATAATGTAAAATAAGAGCAGAGAGGATGATTTTCCAAAAGTCACTGGCATGAATTTACAGTATAATTGAACTTGAGAAATTTCCAATATCATACACTTCAACTATCTAAAGCGGGAAATATTTTATACAGTCTGACCAAAACCATGCAGCCTCTCTCTTAATATTTTCTGGTTTAGCACATGGACACAGGAAGGGGAACATCACACACTGGGGACTGCTGTGGGGTTGGGGGAGGGGGGAGGGATAGCATTAGGAGATATACCTAATGCTAAATGACGAGTTAATGGGTGCAGCACACCAACATGGCACATGTATACATATGTAACAAACCTGCACGTTGTGCACGTGTACCCTAAAACTTAAAGTATAATAATAATAAAATTTAAAAAAAGAAAAAATATATATATTTTTTCTGATTTAGGTAACTCACTGCCCCACACAGAAACCCATCCCATTGTTTGCTTCTTGCTTCTTAGAAGGTTCTTTCTTGTATTCAATGTAATTCTCTGTTGTATACTGTTTATCCTTTGGCCCGAATTCTCGTATCACACAGAAAATATTTATCCTTTCATCATCTTCAAATATTTTTAGCAGTTCTTCCAGATCTTCCATCCTAAATACTAGCACGTCATTGATAACAGCCTCTTATTGAACACTTATGTGCCAGGCTCTTTGCATGTAACTCATTTAATTATCAAAACTTCAAGAAATAGATAAATTACCATTTTGCAGATTAAGAGATTAAGACTCAGCAAGATTAAGCAAAAGGGGTTGGTAAGTGAAAAGGTGGGGCTTGAACTCCCAGCTGGCTCTCTTGCGTCCTCGCCACGCTGCCTTCCAGCCACGGTTTCTCCAACACACCTTCTCATTGCAATAGGGCCCCCTCTTTTGAATCTCTTTCCTAGATTAACAGCATCCTCTAATGAATACATATCATTATCCTTATTTTACAGTTAAAGAACTGAGGATCTTCTAATTCCTGTATCACTGTTTCAGTACTTATTGACATTTCAGGATCAAATTGCTTGATCTTTCCTATTTGCATATGATATTAAAACAAGCCAGAGTCCACCAACATGGGATTCACATGCAGCCATGTTCCCCACAAGACTCAACATTGACATGACTGATGATGGCATTCTTCCCCACTGAGCTCAGATACAGTCAAAATTTTTCTCAATCAGGGCTCCAAGCAGCCATTGTATGCCTATCAGTCAACTGAAAGCATAAACCCTGTTAGGCTCTTCAACAATGGCCACTAATTGGTTTCTAGAAATAATATACTAAATTGAATATGACAAATTTCAAATGTGACAAATATGGGTACATTGGGATGAAGAACCTGACAAAGATATTATAATGAGAAAAATGTACAACAGCAGCCAGGTTAAAGGCCATCATTAAATAAACAGCAACCATTTACCAAAAACACAAGTCCAAATGGGGTCTTGGCCTTAAAGGGTATACAGTTAGTTTGTTGATGTACAACACTCAGAAATTCAATAAACAAAGACTAAGAGCAAAATAAAACTGGTTCCTTCCCACTCCACAAAGAATTTACATTGTCACTTATTTGCAGTGCAGAGGAGGCATGCATAATATAAATTTATTTTGTCCAGAAAAATCACCCAAAAGGTAATAGGTATTGCTTCACACATGGAGAAAGAAAAGATGATGGAAGGAAGAAAAATGAAATGAAGGGCTCAAACTGTCTTTGAGTTCAGTATATGTTATAGCAGGATTTCACTTTGACTTAAGTAAAATAGGCATACAATAAAAAACAAAAATCAAAAGAAAGTGGAAGGAAGGTCCCCTGGAAAACAAAAGTTCATGCCTTCCCTGAGGCAAATATGGAAAAAAAGACTGAATATTTTCTTTCTAATGAGCTTCCCACTCTGAGGCAAGAGGCAACATACTGTCACACAGGAAAGGACCAGGGCAGTTGTTCTCTAACTGTGCTCCTAAAAATGCAAATTCTCAGGCTTACCCCGGACCAAATGACTCAGACACTCTGGGAGAGTGCGGTGTGAGACTAAAACAGCAAGCTTCCAGGGATTCTGATGTTCTCTGAAGTCTGAGAACTATTGGTCTATGGGAAGCCTACAGTGAAGAAGCCAGGATCGGCCCAGCCGCAGCCAATGTTGTCTTCATTTAAAACCAGCCACCAACTAGTTCTCTGCCCTTATTACCATTAATTTAATTGCAAAATTAAAAAGAAGGAAAATCCATATACTCATATTTAAAATCTGTGCTCCAATGCGCCACTGACCAAACCCTGCCTGGGAGCTCACATATCTGGGCTATTTTTTCACACAGGGTCCTGAGTAAAAGGACTGAGTTTTTTCACACAAACCCTGCGCCTGAGCTGCTAAGCAGAAAATTTTGGAAGAGATTAGATATGTGCATGAAATTTTAAGTAGTTTGAATAAAACCTTTGGGTTCAACCTTTCAAGTGTATGTCTTTTGCATACAACTTAGGAAAACATTCCTAAAATCTACTGAAAATTTTGAAAACTCACAATCTTTTGCCTCATATTCTGAAAATGCACAGTATTCAGAATCATTTTATTAAAATAAAATTATTATTCTTTGTACACTCTAATGTTCACTTTTTCTGAGCCAACTCTACAACTATAGTTCCTCCTGTAAACGTGTAAGATTTTCTCAAACAAGTGTTATTTATTAAAGAACAGCCCTTTTCCTGAATTCCTGTTTCTCTTGGCACTAGATAGGTTCTGTTGTTGATAGATGCGTGCCAAGCTCTAAAATAAAAATCCAAGTTGAGTGATTTTTCTCTATGTTTATTTTATCCATCCAAATGGGTCCACATCCCTTAAGGGAACCAAGCAAGTCAACTCAGCAAGGTCCTCGTCTATTTTGCAAACTTAGGTTGGAAGCTCTGTTTGAAGATATTCTCAACCAGAATTAAGCTTCTTGGCTACCTCCAGAAAGTGATATTCTCACTTACACATTGTATTTGTTATTTAAGAGAGGTGGAGAAGAGCAGCAGCTGATACCAGGGATATACTACATGACAGCAGTTCATCAAAGATATTTGGATCATCGGACAGCAACTAGCTCTCTCAAAATATCAGGTTACTTTTCAGTTTTGGTGCTTTACTAGTAGTTGAAAGAATCATACACTCCATATGGAGGCAGTTAAAAATGATGAAAGGTCTGGGAGGAAGAGGCTGATTAAGATGGCCAAATAGAACCCTCCAGCAATCATCCTCCCCACAGTAACACAAATTGAACAACTACCCACTCACAAAAAAAGCACCTTCATAACAGCCAAAAATCAGGTAAGCAATCACAGTACCTGGTTTTAACATCTTATCAAGGAAGGAGGCACTGAAGAAGGTAGGTAGAAAAGACAGTCTTGAACTGCTGACACCACCCCTCCCCATCCCCCTAGCAGCAACTCCATGACACAGAGAGAGAATCTATGTGCTTGGGGGATGGAAAGCACAGTTGTTTGTGAGATTTTGGACTGGAACTCAGTGCTGTCCTGTAACAGCAGAAAGCAACACAGGGCAGAAATTGACTGGCACCTACAGAGGGAGCCTTTAGACTTGCCCTAGCCAGTGGTCGGAATCTGAGTTCTGGGAAGTCCCACCACAAAGGGCTAAAGCCCTCTGGTGTCCTAAATAAACTTGAAAGGCAATCTAGGCCACAAGGACTGCAATTCCTGGGCAAATCCTCATGCTGTGCTGGGCTCAGAGCCAGTGGACTTGGGGGGCATGTGACTTAGTGAGACACCAGCAGGGATGCCCAAAGTGTGTCACCTTTCCCCCAGCCCTAGGCAACATAGCTTGCAGCCTCAGGAGAGACTCGTTCCTTCTGCTTGAGGAGAAGAGAGAGGCTATTAAAGAGGGCTTGGCCTTGCAATTCGGCTATGGTTACCAGCTCAGCCACAGTATAAGAAGGCAATAGGCAGAGTCTGGAGACCCCAATTCCAGGCCCTATCTCCAAGAAGAAATTTTTAAACACACCTGGTTCATAAGGGAACCCACTGCCTTGAAGGGAAGGACCTAGTCCCAGCAGAATTCATCAGCTGCTGGCTAAAGAGTCCTTGTTAAGTTTTTTTCAGTTTAAAATAATGTGCTACTCATAGGTGGGAATTGAACAATGAGATCACATGGACACAGGAAGGGGAATATCACACTCTGGGGACTCTGGTGGGGTCGGGGGAGGGGGGAGGGATAGCATTGGGAGATATACCTAATGCTAGATGACACATTAGTGGGTGCAGCGCACCAGCATGGCACATGTATACATATGTAACTAACCTGCACAATGTGCACATGTACCCTAAAACTTAGAGTATAATAAAAAAAAAAGGAAAAAAAAAATAATAATAAAATAAAATAATGTGCTATAAGGTCTTATTTGCAAGCTTCATGGTAGCCTCAATTAAACAAACCTGCAACCAAGAAATAAAAAATAAAAAGCAGGAAATTAAAACATTCCACCAGAGAAAATCACCTTCACAAAAGAAAAGAAGATAGGAAGAGAAGACAACAAAACAACTAGGAAACAACAAAATGGCAGGAGTAAGTTCTTACTTATCCACAATAATATTGAATGTAAATGGACTAAACTCTCCAGTGAAAAGACACAGAGTGGCTGAATGGATTAAAAAAAAAAACAAGAGCCAGTGATCTGTTGCCTACCAGAAACAGACTTCACCTATAAAGACACATATAGACTGAAAATTAAGGGAGGAATAAAAGGTATTCCATGCAAATGGAAACCAAAATAAAAGCAGGAGTAGCTCTTTTTTGTCTGATACTTATATCAGGCAAGATAGATTTCAAGACAAAAATTATAAAAAGTGACAAAGAAGGTCACTATATAATGGTAAAGGGGTCAATTCAGCAAGAGAATATAACAACTTTAAATATATATGCACCCAACTGGAACACCTAGATATATAAAGCAAATAGTATTAGAGCTAAAGAGAGAGATAGATCCCAATACAATAATAGCTGGACACTTCAACACCCCACTTTCAGCATTCATCAGATTATCCAGACAGAAAATCAAAAAGGAAACATAAGACTTCATTTGCACTATAGATCAAATGTACCTAAGAGATATTTATGGAACATTCCATCCAATGGCTGCAGAATACACTTTGTTGTCCTCAGCACATGGATCATTCTCAAGGATAGACCATGTGTAAGACCAAAAAGCAAGTCTTTAAAAATTCAAAAAAAATTGAAATTATATCAAGTATCTTCTTTGATCACATTGGAATAAAACTAGAAACCAACAACAAACACATGGAAACTATACAAACACATGGAAATTAATACATTACTGAATGATCAGTGAGTGAGTCAATGAAGAAATTAAAAAAGAAATTAAAAATTTTTTGAAACAAATTAAAATGCAAACACAACATCCCAAAACCTATGGGATATAGTAAAAGCAGTACTAAGAGGAAAGTTTGTAGCAATAAGCAACTATACTTAAAAAGTAGAAAAACTTCAAATAAACAACCTAATGATGCATCTTAAAGAAGTAGAAAAGCAAGAGCAAACCAAACCAAACCCAAAATTAGTAGAAGAAAACAAGTAATAAAGATTGGAGCAGAAATAAATGAAATTGAAATGAAAAAAATACAAAAGGTCAATGATATAAAATGTTCCCTTTTTGAAAAAAAATCAACAAAGTCAACAAACATTTAGCCAGACTAAGAAAAAAGAGAAGACCCAAATAAACAAAATAAACATTTTATTAAGAAAAAATAGCCAAATAAATAAACATTTTACTAAGAAAAATGAGAAAAGACCCAAATAAATAAAATCAGTTATGAAAAAGGAGATATTACAACTGATACTGCAGAAATTCACAGGATCATTAGAGGCTACAATAAACAACTTTATACCAATAAACTGAAAAACCTAGAAGCAATGGATAAATTCCTAGATATATACAAACTACCAAGATTGAACCATGAAGAAATCCAAAACTTGAACAGACCAATAACAAGTAACGAGATTAAATAATAACAAATAATAAGTAACGAGATCAAAGCCCAGCAAAGAAAGTCCCAGGACCCAATGGCTTCAATGATGAATTTTACCAGGCATTTAAAGAAGAACTAATACTGATCCTACCCAAGCTATCCTAAAAAATAAAGGAGGAGGTAATACTTCCAAACTCATTTTATGAGGCCAGTATTACCCTGATACCAAAACCAAAGACGCATTAAAAAAAAAAAAAGAAAACTACGGGCCAATATCCCTGATGAACATGAATGCAGAAAATCCTCAACAAAATACTAGCAAACTGAATTCAACAATGTATTAAAAAGATCATTCATCATGATGAAGTGGGATTTATCCCAGAGATGCAAGCATGCATGGTTCAACACACACAAAACAATTAATGTGATACATTGTATCAACAGAATGAAGGACAAAAACCATATGATCATTTCAATTGATGCTGAAAAAGCATTTGATAAAATTCAATATCCTTTCATGATAAAAACCCTAAAAATAAAACTGGGTATAGAAGAAACATACCTCAACAAAATAAAAGCCCTATATGGACAAACCCACAGCTAGTATCTTACAGAATGGGGAAAAAGTGAAAGCCTTTCCTCTAAGATCTGGAACACAACAAGGACCTTTCACTACTGTTATTTAACATAGTACTGGAAGTCCTAGCTGAAGCAATCACACAAGAGAAAGAAATAGCTGGGCACGGTGGCTCACACCTGCAATCCTAGCACTTTGGGAGGCCCAGGAGGGCAGATCACCTGAGGTCGGGAGTTTGAGACCAGCCTGGCCAACATGGAGAAACCCCATCTCTACTAAAAATACAAAATTAGCCAGGCATGATGGTGCATGCCTATAATCCCAGCTACTCCAGAGACTGAGGCAGGAGAATCTCTGGAACCCAGGAGGCAGAAGTTGTGGTGAGCTGAGATCGCACCATTGCGCTCCAGCCTGGGCAACAAGAGCGAAACTCTGTTTCATAAGTAAGTAAGTAAATAAATAAATAAATAAATAAATAAATGGCATCCAAATTGGAAAGGAAAAAGTCAAATTATCCTTGTTTGCAGATGATATGATCTTACATTCGGAAAAACCTAAAGATTTCACCAAAAAACTATTAGGACAGATAAACAAATTCAGTAAAGTTGCAGAATACAAAATCAACAGACAAAAATCAGCAGCATTTCTATACACCAACGTGAATAATATGAAAAAGAAATCAAAATGTAATCCCACTTACAGTAGCTACAAATGAAATAAAATGTCTAGGAATTAACCAAGGAAGTGAAAGATCCCTATAATGAAAACTATAAAACACTGATGAAAGAAATTGAAGAGGACACAAAAAATGGAAAGATATTCCATATTCATGAATTTTAAGAACCAATATTGTTAAAATGTCCATACTTCCCACAGCATTCTACAGACTCAATGCAATCTCCATCAAAATACAATGACATTGTGCACAGATATAGAAAAAAAATCCTAAAAATTCATTTGGAACCACAAAAGACCCAGAATAGCCAAAGCTATCCTGAGCATGAAGAACAAAACTGAAGAAATCACATTACCTGACTTCAAATTATACTACACAGTTATAGTAACCAAAACAGCATGCTACTGACATCAAAACAGACACATAGACCAATGAAACAGGAAACAGAATCCAAAAATAAAACCTTACATCAACAGTGAACTCCTTTTTGACAAAGGTGCCAAGAACTTACACTGGGGAAAGGACAGTCTGTTTAATAAATGATGCTGGGAAAACTGGATATCCAAATGCAAAAGAATGAAACTAGGCTGGGCACGGTGGCTCACGCCTGTAATCCCAGCACTTTGGGAGGCCGAGGCAGGCAGATCATCTGAGATCACAAGCTGGAGACTAGCTTGACTAACAGTTTGTCCAACAAACCCCATCTCTACTAAAAATACAAAATTAACTGGGCATGGTGGCTCATGTCTGCAATCCCAGCTACTCTGGACGCTGAGGCAGGAGAATTGCTTGAACCCAGGAGGCAGAGGTTACAGTCAGCCGAGATCGCACCCTTGCACTCCAACCTGGGCAACAAGAGTTAAAAAAAAAGAAAGAAAGAAAGAAAGAAAGAAAGAGAGAGAGAGAGAGAGAGAGAGAGAGAAAGGAAAGAAAGAAAGAAAAAGAAAGAAACTAGACCCCTATCTCCTCTCACCATATACAAGAATCAAATCAAAATAGATTAAAGACTTAAATCTAAGACCTCAAACTATGAAACTACTACAAAAAAAAAAAAAAAAAAAAAAAAAAAAAACTTTGGAAAAACTCTCCAGGATGTTGGTCTGGGCAAAGATTTCTTGAGTAATACTCTATAAGCACAGGCAACCAAGGCAAACGTGGACACATGGGATCACATCAAGTTAAAAAATTTCTGCACAACAAAGGAAAGAATCACCAAAGTGAAGGGACAGCGCACAGAATGACAGGAAATATTTGAAAACTACCCATCCGACAAGGTATTAATAACCAGGATATATAAGGAGCTCAAAAAACTCTATAGGAAAAAATCTAACAATTCAATTTTAAAATAGGCAAAAGATGTGAATGGACATTTCTCACAAGAAGACATACAAATAGCAAACAGGTATATGATAAAGTGCATGACATCATTGATTACCAGAGAAATATAAATCAAAACTACAATGAGATACCATCTCACCTCAGTTAAAATAGCTTTTATCCAAAAGATAGGCAACAGCAAATGCTGGCAGAGATGTGGAGAAATGCGAACTCTAGCACACAGTTGATGGCAATATAAGATAGTGTAGCCACTATGAAAAATGGTATGGAGGTTCCTCAAAAAAACTAAAAATAGAACTACCATATGATTCAGCAATTCCACTGCTAGGTATATACCCAAAAGAAAGAAAATAGTATACTGAAAAGATATCTGCACTCTTATGTTTATTGCAGCACTATTCACAATAGCTAGTATTTGGAAGCAACCTAAGTGTCCAACAACAGATGAATGGATAAAGAAAATTTGGTATATATAAACAATGTAGTCCTATTCAGCCATGAAAAAAGAATGAGATCTTGTCATTTGCAACAACCTGGATAGAACTGGAGGACATCATGTTAAGTGAAATAAGGCAGGCACAGAAAGACAAATTTTGCATGTTCTCACTCATTTGTGGGTGATAAAAATGAAAAAAATTTAATTCATGGCGATATAGAGTATAATGATAGTTACTAGATGCTGGGGAGGGTAGTGGAGCCAAGGGAAAGGTAATGGTTAATGCATACAAAAATATAGTTAAATAGAATGAATAAGATCTGGTATTTGATAGCACTATAGTGTGACTACAGTCAATAATAATTTATTGCACTTTTTTTTTTTTTGAGACGGAGTCTTGCTCTGTTGCCCAGGCTGGAGTTCAATGGTGCGATCTTGGCTCACTGCAACCTCTGCCTCCCGGGTTCAAGCAATTCTTCTGCCTCAGCCTCCTGAGTAGCTGGGACTATAGGTGTGTGCCACCATGCCCGGCTAATTTTTTGTATCTTTAGTAAGAGAAGGGGTTTCACCGTGTTAGCCAGGATGGTCTCGATCTCCTGACCTCATGATCTGCCCTCCTAGGCCTCCCAACGTTCTGGAATTACAGGCGTGAGCCACCATGCCCATCCTATTGCATATTTTAAGATGACTAATTAGAATGTTTGTAACACACAGAAAAAAATGATAAATGCTTGAAGTAAAGGATGCTGCATTTAGCCTGATAGGATTATTACACATTGTATGCATATATAAAATATCTCCTGTACCCCATAAATAAATGCATCTGCTATCTACCCATAAAATAAATAAAATAACTATGAAGGGTCTGAAATTTTTTTTTAATGTGTTAAAAATGTTGAACACATTATCATGCTGCTTTCTTTTTTGTTTTTTTAATTATTATTTTAATAGTTTTTGGGAAACAGGTGGTGTTTGCTTACATGGATAAGTTCTTTGGGTGTGATTTCTGAGATTTTGGTGCACCCATCACCCGAGCCATGTACACTGCACCCAATGTGTAGTATTTTATTCCCAACCTCCCTCTCACCCTTCCCCTCAAGTCCCCAGAGTCCATTATGTCATTCTTATGCTTTTGCATCCTCATATCTTAGTTCCCACTTATAAGTGAAAACATGTTTGGTTTTCCATTCCTGAGTTACTTCACACAGAATAATGGTCTCCAACTCCATCCAGGTTGCTGCAAATGCCATTATTTCATTCCTTTTTATGGCTGAGTAGTATTCCATGGTGTATTTATACACATACACCATATATATATATATCCACATATATATAATCCACATATATATGGTGTATATGTATAAATACATATATTTATAAATACATACATTTATCCACATATATATATGTGGATAAAGATATATATATCACATTTTCTTTATCCACTAATTGATTGATGGGCATTTGGGCTGTTTCTATATTTTTGCAATTGCAAATTGTACCGCTATAAACATGCATGTGCAACTGTCTTTTTCACATAATGACTTCTTTCCCTCTGGGTAGATACCCAGTAGAGGGATTGCTAGAATAAATGGTAGATCTACTTTTAGTTCTTTAAGGAATCTGTGTACTGTTTTCTGTAGTGGTTGTACAGTTTACATTCCCACCAGCAGTGTAAAAGTATTCCCTATTCACCAAATTTCTTGGAGACTTTGTTCATTTTTGTTTATTCTTTTTTCTTTATCTTTTTCAGACTGGGTTAATTCAAAAGACTTATCTTAGAGCTCTGAAGTTCTTTCTTCTATTTGCACAATTCTATTGTTTAAACTTTCCAGTGTATTTTGCATTTTTCTCAGTGTGTCTTTCATTCCCAGAAGTTGTGATTGTCTTTTCCTTATGATATCTATTTCTCTGGAGACTTTTTCATCCTTATCCTGTATTTTTAAAAATTTCTTTAAGTTGGTTTTTACCTTTCTCTAGTACCTCCTTGAGTAACTTAATAATCAACCTTCTGAATTCTTTATCTGGCAATTCAGAGATTTCTTATTGGTTTGGATCCATTGCTGGAGAGCTAATGTGATCTTTCAGGGAGTGTTATAGAACCTCATTTTGTCATATTACCAGAATTACTTTTCTAATTCCTTCTTATTTGGGTAGACTCTTTCAATGGAAAGATCTGGAACTCAAGCGCTGCTGTTTAGATTCTTTTGTCCCATCAGCTGATCCCTCAGTGTGATGCTCTCCCCTTTCCTGTAGGGATGGGGCTTCCTGAGAACCAGACTGCAGCAATTGTTATTGCCCTTGTGGGTCTAGCCACCAAGCAAGGCTACTGGGCCCCAGGCTGGTGCTGGGGAAAGTCTGCACAGAGTCCTGTGATGTGATCCATCTTCAAATCTCCCAGCCATGGATACCAGCACCTGCTCTGGTGGAGGTGGCAGGGGAGTTAACTGGACTCTGTGGGAGTCCTTGTTTGTAGTTTTGTTTAGTGTGCTGGTTTTCTCAAATGCTGGTTATGCTAGCAGTGAAGCTGTCATGTGGACAGACTCAGGACCTCTGGTTAGCCAGGGTGTAGTAGGTAATGGAATTAGCTGGTTTTTTTCTCTATTTTTGGAGCAGAGTTGTTCTGTTATGAGTTGCTGTAACGGCTTGAATTGGTTGGCCTCCCGTCAGGAGGTGGTGCTTTCAAGAAAGCACCAGCTGTAGTAGTAAGAGGGGAATATAATCTTGCCCTACATTGGCCAGGATGAACACTTGAGTTTTTCAGGCAATGGGTGGGGCCATAGAGCTCCCAAGAGTCTTTTGTCTTTGGCTACCATGGCAGGTAGAGAAAAACCATCAGGCGGGGGCAGAGTTGGGGAGGTCTGAGTTAAGACTATCCCTGGGTGGGGTTTGCTGTGGCCACTGTGGGGATAGGAGTGTAGTTCTTAGGCCAATGTTCCCAGGGGGATTATGCCTGCCTCTGCTGCATCATACAGGCTGCCAGGGAAGGGGGAGAGAGCTGGCAGTGACAAGTCTCACCCAGCTTCCATCCAGCCAGCAAGGCCAGTCTCATTCTCACTGTGCGCCCCACCACCACCCCCACCACCAACTGCAGAATTTATACCAAGGCAGCCAGTGAACAGAGCTCAGATCTTGCCCCAGGCTGTAAGCCTCCCCACTGAGAAAGCAAGCGGGGCTCTCAGGCCTCACCCCTCCCTGCCTGCCTGTTGTGACTTCTGCACTCATATCTATACTTTCCCTTCATTCCCTACCCTCATCCCAGATTCTGTTCAGGAAAATTTGTGCTCAGTCAAAATTATTACAAAGTTCAGCAAGGAGCATCCTTCACCCTATGGCCCTTCCCCAGTTTCACTGGCTCCCTTCCCTTCCCCAAGGACCTCTGTGAGATAAGGCCAGTAATGGCTTCCCTGGGCTCAAGCTGGGGACTCGGAGTGCCTACAGGGCTTTTCCCACTTCTTCTACTTTTATATTTCACTTGGCTCCCTAAACCCATTTCAGCCTAGGTAAGGTTGAATCATTCCCATGATTCAGATTTTCTGGTTCTCCCATGGAGATGTGTGTTCGGAGGCTGACATTTCCCCCTCTCACACTTTGATAATTCACAGTTTTTCATCTATCTTATGGCATTTGCAGCAGCAAGTGCTTCTTTCAAAGGGTCTGTGAATTCTTTCCGTTTTCCTGGTATGTTCCTGAGGTGGTTCTTGGAGCGAGAGTTCACAATGTGAGTCTCCAGACACTGTTTTGCCTGTCCAAGTGGGAGCTACACATTAGTCCTGTCTCCCATCTGCTATTTTCTTCTCTATTTGAGATTTTAATCTAATTGAAAGCTAACAAGTTAGCCTCCCACAGTTTCATAGAAAAAGACATGATACTCAGATCAGAGACAAAGGATTTTATTACTCACAACAATAGTAGTATCCAGAAGATCAGCATTCATACCAGTTACTCTAGCCTCAATTCTCACAAAGTGATGCAATGAGGGCCAGGTAATGCCTGCACACATGCAGTGGCTTACTTTATAGGAGAGGAATCATGAGCTTAGGGTACCTGCATCTTTTATAATGAACAGTAAGCCTGCCTAACTAGAGAAAAGGCACTGAAGGAGACCATCTTCCTGGGTTCAAATCACAGCTCTCAGTATGCCTCTGAGGGAAATTCAAACTTGGATTTCAGCCAGATATCTCCTTTGGACAAGATGCAGAAATGTGGTCTGGAAGAAAACATAGCTTGGTAGACTTGTAGGAGGTTGAAAAACCAAGTAAAGAACTTCAATTAATTGGAGGCAATAAGGTTTACTAGAACAGCGTGATTTAGAGAGATGTAGAATCAAAATCTAAGTTCAGCACTTGCTAGCTGTGTAACTCTGATTAAAGATTAAATGTGATAATGTATGCGGAGAGTTATATGTAGTATCAGAAACATGGTAGATGTTCCATAAAATCTGTTTTCCTTCCATTTCCCCCATTAATTAATCCATGCCAACCCACAGGAAATTTTGCAGGGCTTAAAGAGCTTTGTCTCTGTCCTCCTCACATTTTCAATTATTTGGATAAAGGTGACAATGGTATAATTATAATATTTGCAAATGGCACAAAGCTGGGAGAAATAGGCAATGTATTGAATAGCTAAAACTCTATTCCTAGAGCACTGAACAGCCTGGAAACTTGGCCTCATTCAAAATCACAAGATGACATTTAATAGAGATATATATAAAGCCCTCTACTTGGTTCCAGGTTCCAAAAATTTAGCTCCATAAATTACGTGACAGAGAAACTCAGACTTGTAATATTTTCAAGTTAACAAGAGCTGAATATGATTCAGTGTTTTCACAAAAAGTAGACTGTGAATGTCTTTCAATTCCAGGCTCTGGGGCTGACAGTCCAATCTGTTTTCCATATTCCGACTTTGCTTAAATCCTAGAGTTTGCGGGCAGAGGAACTGTATCCAATACTACTGGATTACTGCCTGTTTTATTACACTTTCCTGAATGGCATTTGGCATGCAGTCCCCTTGCATTCAGCTGGGGGAACTTAAAACAGAAGGCCTTTCAAAGGGACTCCATAGGCATCTACCAGAGTCACGCTGGAGAGATGCAAGCACCTTCCTTCCCCTCCAAGGCTGAATGCTTCCACCACCTCTCCTGCTGGGGCTGCTCTAAAGCTATCCTTATGTTCTCAAATTATTAAACAATTTCATTAAAGAAATTAAATTACACTTAAATTATTGATATTTAAAAGGACTTCATGTTAATAATATCAGATAGGAGAAAGAGAAAAGGACATACTTAAAAACCAATTATCTTGACTAAATTCAATCTTGCAATTTGCCTGCAATTCATAAAATGATTCCAGCTGTGTTTCTTTTGGTTTTTGCTGCTAGGAGTGCTTTAGTGAATAGTCCCCAAACCTATACTGTGTCTTTCTTGATTCCCCTTAGGAATCTTTTAGTAAAATCACCAGTTTTTCTTCCCTAATACCTCAATATAATCACATGATAAATTCAAAAGACTATGGTACTATTGTTGGAAATAAAGGGCAATGGGCCGAATCTCCCCTCTGAGTTTAGGAAGTGCTGACTTTAGATTCCAGATCATCGAGGGGAGAGGAGCTGCTTTGCATCCCTTCCACCACCATAAATTCTTTCTTCCTGTGATGCTCTACCTGATCCCCTCATCTTGCCTGCTGAATTGCTGAGCTCGCTTGCTCTGAAACTGCAGGCCTGGCTATGCCCTGGAATCTAAAGACAACCTTATATTCACCCTAAGAATTGGGAGCATGCTGTGGCAATGCTGGAGTGCTTCGGCATCAGCACAGCTTAACTTCTAGTCCTTCCAGCAGCTTGTGTCCAAGCAACTGGGCTTTAATCCCAACATGCCCTTGTTCCCAAGCTCCACTACAGAGTCGCCATTTCATTTCCCTATGCCTGAATCCCTTTTCCACAGAGTGAATGTCCCTCTCCTCAGTTACACTGAGTCCTTTCATTCGATAGATAATCCCTCACCCTTTCCCCAAAGTTCTGCCCTTGAACTCATGAGGGTGATGAGGAGTGCGCGGAGAATGCTATTATCTGCTTGCTGATACAAACTAAGTTCTATTAACATCACCCAATGAATCCATTCTTTGTTGTTTCTTAAGGTAACCAGTGACTTCCTAATCACCAAATTCAATAGACAATCCTCATTTTAATCCATCTCGTTTTTAAGTAGCTAACACCATTGACCACTCCTCTGTCATGATCCTTTCCCCTACCAAAGACAATTTAGTGTCTTTTCAGCCTTCAAACATATACTCCACTTTGCAGTTATGGTAACACCATCCCTCTAGGCACGCACTAAAAATCTGAGTCTTCCAAGAACTCCTTCCACCCATTTGGTTCGTGTATCTTTCATAAATCCTGTTGATTCTCCCTCCTAAGAACCTTCCCCCTCTCATGATCATCTCTGCCACTGCTTTAGCTCAGTTCCGATGATCTCTGAGACATTTGTAAGAGCCTCCAACCAGTCTCTTCCCCCTCCATGCCATCCTCCATCCCATTGTCAAGGACAGCTTTCTTAACCAAAGATCATGCCAGGAGAAGATCCAAGTTTTGAGAAGGCTGAATATTATCCAGTTGGAGGAGCCCTCTGTAAAGTAAATGATTTTTATATCTTACTTTTTCAAATTTTAGAAAGATATATGGCCACAGGGATACATTGCTTGGGATCTTCCCAGGTTCTTGGAAGGGTCCATGCAAGTGACAGGCCCTAAAGCTTTATTGTGGTGAGTTTCATGGTAATTGCATGTCTAGCAAATGCCAATCCCATGATGAAAAGTTTCAGTGGCTCCCTGCCAGCTGGAGGATGGTATTCAAAGTCTTTTATGAACACCTATCTTGTTATCATTACAGTCACATATCTTTTCACTTTCACTACACACGTTACACTCTAAACTCTTAGAATTAGTTACCATTCTCCAAATACAAGATGCTTTTTTCATCCCTTCATCCTCTTTTACAAGCTGTTCCTGTATCTACAACACTTTTCCTTCTTTTCAACTTGGCCAAATTCTCTGAACCTTTCAAGGAAGATGCAACTTTTACCTCATTTACCTAATTTGTGAAGACTTCCCAGTATGTTTTAGTCATGTACTTTCCTTGGATTCATAAAATTTTGTGTTTAACTCAATTCTACACAACCCATTGTATTGTAATTGTTCAGATTTTGCTTCCATTGCTGGGTTGTAAGGAAGAGGCTATGTTTTATTCATCTTGTATTTATACTGCCTAATATAATGGCTGTCCCACAAAAGGCACTCAATTAATGTTTAATGAATAAGTAAATCAATGATTCTAAGCTTGAGGTCTCTTGCTTCAAAACTTGTGGACACAGCTGGGTGCAGTGGCTCACGCCTGTAATCCCAGAACTTTGGGAGGCCGAGGCGGGCGGATCACGATGTCAGGAGATCGAGACCATCCTGGCTAACATGGTGAAACCCCATCTCTACTAAAAATACAAAAAATTAGCCAGGTGTGCTGGTGGGTGCCTGTAGTCCCAGCTACTTGGGAGGCTGAGGCAGGAGAATGGCGTGAACCCAGGTGGCGGAGGTTGCAGTGAGCCGAGATGGCGCCTCTGCAGTCCAGCCTGGGTGACAGAGTGAGACTCCGTCTCAAAAAAAAAAAAAAAACTTGTGTACATCATGCCCTGTCTAGCTTACTTATGCTCCCTTTATGAACTACCCTGACAGAGCCCAACTTTCAGAAGCATTGTCTGCTGCCCCTACCTGCTGCCTGTCATCACACTCCTTGAATAACTTTATCCACCTGGCTGGATTCCTTGTTATCAACTATTGAGTCCATCTTTCTATTCCCCAAGCACATGCTTCAGCCCAATGGAGATATCTTTTTATGTGTGTGCCACAGACATTGTACTGGGCACTAGTTTCTTCTTTATACCCATTCATTATCTTAAGCAAATAACGTTGCAACGTAAGAGTGAGGTGGTATAACTTGAACAGTACATTATTATAACTACCACAAGTTATTGGAATGTAACTGTAATTGTAATAGGGACAAGTGTAATAGGAGAAAATAACTACACCCTGCCTGGAACATACATATCTTTCACTTTAGGAAAGTCTTCTAGTAAAAAAAAAGATGGAGGAGAATCACCTCTGCTTTTTGTTCATTGGCTTTCCTATAAAGCATGCCATTTTAATGGCCTCTTCTTCCATGTTGGTCAGGGAAATTGAGCTATACGATATATTGAGATTGGGTCTCTCAAAACTTGCTCCACAGAACCAGCCATATTTATGTGCAAACATTTCTAAGAAACAACTATCCTTTGAATTGCATAATGGTAATGAACATAGTAAAGAGTAGAGAACATCCATTCTAGAGCCATCAATCTGACCTGTCTGGGGCTCTCAGAGTGTTTGCTGCCTTCAGGCCTTTGGAATCACAGTACTACCTCTTATGAGCTGTGTTAAGACATGTCCAATTTTTTGGACAAGTTATTTAACCTCTCTAAGCCTGTTTGCTCAGCAGAAAAGTAAACAAGGTTAAATGAGATTTTGAACATAATACATTTAATGCAAGAGTTTAATAAATGTTATTACTCTTAACCCATCTGCTCTTGGCTAAATGTGCACACACACACATATACATACAATCACACACACATTACTGCTTTATGGGTAACTTAAATGCCTGCTAAATAAATACGTTTTACTGACTGCCGTTGAACAAACTTGCACAACTTAAATGTGGTGCTGTGGATTTTAGCTCCAAAATATATCTGAAGTCAACTATACTAACGTAGGAAAAGATTAAAATATGAAATAAATAGAAGTTTGTATTATCAATATAAAACAGCTACTAGTTCCCTGAATCTAATTGTTAAACTACTGTATATATTTATGAATATCTACTCAAAGTAAATTGACAGCATTGCTTTTGGGCTGTACAAGTATAATTATGTTACATAAATAGCAAGGTCCTGTAATTGACCAAGTGATGTTCAAGATAGAGTGACATCCCTGATTTTTACTGTCTTACCAAGTTCTTTGTTTATGTCTCTAAATTCAATTAAAGATGCAATTATGGATGTTTTAATACATTTCCTTGCTCTGACCAGGGTTTTTAAAGCAACTATGATAAATTAGTATATTCCTGTTAATTGACACACACTTTGCATCCAACTGGTAAATTCTGGCTCTTTTGCTTTGAAAATTGAGGCAAAGCAAGCCCATGCAAAACTACACAATTTTCATCCCTACTTTTCTAGCCACTCCAACTGTGAGCAGTATTATGTTTTCCCACAAGATCTGCTACTTAGAGAGGCTTGTATGAAGCAGTTTTGCCTGAAGAGTCTCCAGGGTAGGCCAGCCAGCCATGAAAAGAGTTTTGAGATAGGCCTAGAGTTCATGATGAGAGAAAATTTCACTGTTCAGAAATAGATACTCCCAAAGATGCAAGTCAAACACAAACAAAATCCAATCTACGGTAGGCTAAAAACTATTTCAAAGAATATGCCTGAACACTTTGGAGGGAAAAAACAACTAGCATCTTTTAAAAAAAAATGAAACTCAAACAATATAAGACTCATTAGCTTTAAAATGAAAGCTTTTATCAGCAAAAGCTACCCCATAGTTTAGATGGCCCTGCCTTTTGCCTAAAATGTATCTCATGGTGTTAGCTGTGTTAAAATTTTCATACAACACAGGACAGGATAAACACATATAGCTGAGTTCAAATGCCAAATGTTTGGATTTGATCCTTCTGTTTCGTTTGTTTTGTTTTTGCTTTTAGTCCCTGAGTGATAATGTTCAATCGAACTTTAATTGTCAAATATTTATTAAGAGTCACTTTTTCTATAAACTGATATGGAATGATTTTTCAGGTTACATTTTTAAATTCAAAAAGCAAGATGAAAAAGAGTTATAGTAGGCTACTTTTTATGTAGTGAAAAAGAAAAACATAAGGATATATAAAATTATTGGTTTTGCCAAAAAGAAAGAATTGTAAACCAGAAACTAATAAATTTGGTGACCCGTAATGGGGTGGGGGCAAGAGACGTTAGGGAAAATAACCTCAGAGAAAAAAGAATCAATTCAAGTAACTTTTGAACATAAATATTCTGACCATTGATTTTTGTGAGATATGATCTAAGGATTGTAAAGTAACCATGTGCTTTAGTTAGTGGACCTATTGTTAGAGTAATATGGGTATTACAACTTTCAAATTACTGTATGCATATTGTGGGATTAAACAAATAAGGAAATCCGTTAATGGTATCAGGAATATAGATTTTCACTGTAACGGAAAAAAAGATACAAATATAAAGCAAAAGATAGTAAAAAGAAGTTATCTTGATATGCTAAATTTGAATTGGAATATCAGGACACTTCTTACCTATTTCTGTTGAAATGGCAAAGAATAGTGTTTCACAGAGTATGTTCCATGGTCTTTGCATCAGAATTGATTTCAGTTATTTTAAATTTATTGAGATTTGTTTTATAGCCCATTTTTTTCTCTATCATTTGTTCTTTCTTGTTTCTTGATGGTCCAAGATTTCTTTTCTCATTTCCTTCTGCTTAGAGAATTTCCTTTAAGCAGTACTTTGAGTAGATCTGTTGGTGACAAATTCTCTTAAGTTCTCTTCATCTCAGAATGTCTTCTTTTTCCTTCATTCTTGAAAGATAGTTTTACTGGCTTTAGAATTCTGGGTTAACAGTTCTTTTCTTTCAGCACTTAAAAATGTTGTGCAAAAAAAAAAACGTTGTGCCACTTCCTCCTGGCCTCCATGGTTTCAGAAAAGAAACTCAGTGTCATTCAAATTGTTTCTTCCCTATAGGTAAGGTATCTTTTGTCTCCTGCTGCTATCATGTATTTTTCATTGTCTTTAGTTTTCAGAAGTGTGACTGTGATATGTCTTGGTATGGATTTCTTTGGGTTTATCCTGTCTTGGTTTTGCTTGGCTTCTTCAGTGTCTTGGTTTATGCCTTTTTCCAAATTTAGGGAAATTTTTAGCCATTATTTCTTTTGAGTACTTTTTCGGTCCCACCCTCTTTCTGAGACTCCTTCAGAGATTCTGATGCATGAATATTATATCTTTTGTTATACTCCCTCAGGTCCCAGAGGCTTTTTTGTTGTTGTTGTTCAGTCTATTATCCTCAGTTGTTCAGATTGGAAATTTTCTGCTATTCTTACTTCCAGTTCACTGATTCTTTTTTCCTTTGTCCCATCCATCCTGATGTTGAGCCCATCCACTGAGTTTTTTATTTCAATTATTCCATTTTTTTAGCAAAATTTCCAGTTGGTTCTTATTTATATTTTCTATCTCTTTGCTAAGAGTTTCTATTTCTTTACTGAGACTTTATTTTTTCATTGGTTTCATGTGTGTTTGTAATTACATGTTGGATCATTTTCATGACAGCTACTTTAAGGTCTGTTGTATAATTCTAACATCTCTGTCATGCCAATACTGGCACCTAATGATTTTTTAAAATTAGGTTTACGATCTTCTTGGTTCTCGGCAGGATGAGTGATTTTCAATTGAAACCTTGACATGTTGGGTGTTAGGTTCTGATAATCTGGATCTTCTTTAAACTTCTATTTTATCTGACATTAGTCTGGCAGAGGAAGGCAGAGAGCACCACTTTGTACTACCAAATGGAGTAGAAGTCCAGTTTGCCCACTTTCCCTTTGGTAATCCCTGAGAGGTGGAGGCTCTTCATTACTGGTAGGTGAGGGTGGGAATTCAGACTCCCCTACAGGCTTCCACTGATACCTCCCTGCCTGGGAGGGGTAGGAGTGACCCATTACTTCTTTCCAGGTAGCCTCCACTGACATCATGGTAGGAGCGCAGAGGTGGTTTTGTCACTGCTGGGCAGTGGTGAAAGTCCTAGCTCCCTACCAGGCTCTCCACATTGTCTCCACTGACACTATAGTAGGGAGAGGGCTCATTACTGTCCAACAAGGATGAAGTTTCTGGCTTACAACTCAACTTGCTCTGATATCCCCCCAGTAGAGATACTGGGGCTCCATGTTACAGCCTTGTGTGGTTGGAAGTATAGATTTCCCACCCCGCCTTTCCTAGCCTTGGTGGAGTGGTGCCAGTTTTTCCTTTGGTGTTTGGCTGGAATCATGTAGCTACTGTCTAAAAGACTTTTGTTAGGCGACCCTTTTCTTCAACCTTTGGCTAGAGGAAGCAGTCCTTTGTTTTGTTCCTGTTGTGCCCACTGGTGTTTCTTTCTTTCTTTTTTTTTTTTGACCGTCTCACTCTGTCTACCCAGGCTGGGTAGACTAATGGTAGACTAGTAAAAGGATTCTGAGAGCCATGGTAGAAAACCGTAGAACTAGAATACTCCCCAGGCTCACTCCCAACCCCAGCAGTCTGTATTTCTAGGACTCTCAGTGACACCAGGAGCTATGGGGTACTCAAAAGCACATGTCACTGTGCAGCGTGGTGGCTCACACCTGTAATCCCAGCACTCTGGGAGGCGGAGTTGTATGGATTGCTTGAGCTCAGGAATTCAAGACCAGTCTGGGCAACATGACGAAACCTGTCTCTACAAAAATTAGCTGGGCATGGTGGTACACACCTGTAGTCCCAGCTACTTGGGAGGCAGAGGTGGGAGGGAGGATCTCTTGAGCCTCTCAGGTGAGGCTGCAGTGAGCCGAGATCGTATCACTGCATTCCAACCTGGATGACAGAGCAAGACTGTCTCAAAACAAAACATAACAAAACAAAAAAAAAACCTGCCATTGGCTAAAAGCAGTTATATGGTTGCTTCAAGCTATGAAAACTCTACTAAAATGATAATAACCATTATTGGGTGTAAACTAGAATTGAGACATTGCATATTGTCTCATTATAGTTATCAACCCTCTTAGGTAACTTTCATTGTTTCCATTTGCCAATTTTAAGGGGTTCCCGCTGGCCAAACTTGGGACAATTTGAAAAATAAAAAGCATATTGGCAATAATGAATTACAACTGATTGAATAAAGAAAAATCCACTACTAATACTAAAGAAAGAGAGAAGAAAGCTATTATTTATAGAAAAATGCCTACTAAGAAATGTAAAAGGAATGGTTCAATTAGAGAAATTACCATTTTGCAACCACCAACATAATAATTGACTCTGGTAAGAATTATTAATAACTATTAAAATTAGTGAGTAAATAGTTTTTGAGAAATTATGTATACCCATCTCAAAGTATTACCCCCTAAATCACTTACTAATTAAAAAAAGACAAAGGCGCTTTTACAAAGAAGAGATTTGGCAGCCACACCTTAGCCAAGTGGTCAAAGTTAGCATCATTAATAAAGAAAAAATGACATTATATGCCACCTAATGTTACTTCGATTCAATAAGAAGTATACAACCTCACCTATGCACTACTTTGACAAAAAAACAAACTGAAATTTAATCATGAAAATTAAATTTCAAGGACTCAAACAGACATTTGCAAACCACTGTTTATAGCAACATTATTCACAATAGCCAAAAGATGGAAACCACCATACACTAGAATAACATTCAGCGTTTTTTTTTTTTTTCTTTTTCTTTTTTTTGTTTTTTCGAGGCAGAGTTTCACTCTTGTTGCTTAGGCTGGAGTGCAATGGCGCAATCTTGGCTCACTGCAACCTCCGCCTCCTGGGTTCAAGTGATTTTCCTGCCTCAGCCTCCCCAGTAGCTCGGATTACAGGCATGTGCCATCACGCCCAGCTAATTTTTTTTGTATTTAGTAGAGACGAGGTTTCACCATGTTAGTCAGGCTGGTCGCGAACTCCTGACCTCAGGTGATCCACCCACCTCAGCCTCTCAAAGTGCTGGGATTACAGGCGTGTGCCACCGTGCCCGGCCACAGCTTTTAATAAGAATAAAGTTCTGACACACACTTCAACATGTATGAACATTGAAGAAATCAGTGTCATCAATGAACAGCATTAGATCAACATTGAAGACATCAATGTGAAATAAGCCAGACACAAAGGACAAATATTGTATGGTTCCACTTACATAAGGTCCCTAGAAGTAAAAATCATAGGGACAGAAAGTAGAATGGTGATTACCAGGGAATGGGAGAGGACGAACTGGGGAGTTATTGTTTAATGGTTGCAGAGTTTTAATTTGATGAGAAAAAATTTCTGGAGATAGATAGCAGTGATGGTTGCACAACAATGTAAACGTACTTAATGCTACTGAACTGTAAACTTAAAAATGGTTAAAATTGGGCTGGGCGCAGTGGTTCACGCCTGTAGTCCCAGCACTTTGGGAGGCCGAGGCAGGTGGATCACAAGGTCAGGAGATCGAGACTATCCTGGCTAACACGGTGAAACCCCGTCTCTACTAAAAATACAAAAAATTAGCCAGGCGTGGTAGCGGGTGCCTGTAGTCCCAGCTACTGGGGAGGCTGAGGCAGGAGAATGGCGTGAACCCAGGAGGCAGAGTTTGCAGCGAGCCGAGATTGCGCCACCGCACTCTAGCCTGGGTGACAGAGCGAGACTCCATCTCAAGATAGATAGATAGATAGATAGATAGATAGATAGATAGATAGATAGATAGATAGATAGATAGATATAGATAGATAGAGATAGATAGATAGACAGATAGATAGATAGATAGATAGATAGATAGATAGATAGATAGACAGACAGATAGATAGACAGACAGATAGATAAATAAATAACAAAAAACCACCAACCTCACAGACTCTGCATGGCTGCTGGCTCTCTGCCCAGAGATATGAGTGGAAAAAGAATGGAAGAAATCAGAAACTCAGCCCAGCCCCATGAGTGGATGTGGGACAATTCCCCACTGCTCCAGGATCTATTAAATCCCAGCAAAAGCAAATGGGAATGAGTCCTGCAGGAGCATGCCCACGATCCAATGCAAGAAGAGAAGCCAGACTGGGATAGAAATGAAGGAATTTGTTGCTACTTTATTTGGCTCTGCTTTAAAAAAAAAAAAAAAAGTAAACTCTTGGTGAATGTTCTTAGAATTTCCCTTGCCTATTTGCAGGAACTGGAGGGTGGGAGGGAGATATTTCAAGGTGGTGTGGCCTCTCCTCCCTAACCTAGCATCTGGAAATACATTTTAAACCTAAGCATCAAATGTTTCTGTGTGGCCTTAATTAAGTGCCCGATTATTAAATAACTAGTATTACTTGGGGGAAGGAGTATCATTTTCTTTTTTATTTGGAAGGAAAGGGGCACAGATTGTTTCCTATTAATGTAGCACTCTGGATATTTCAAACCTTCACCAAAATGCATCCTCTCTTCCTGCTTTGGTTATGCATTTCTGAAAGTGACTTCCTCCCAGAGAACTTTCTGTCTTTAATGTTCTGATGATTTACTGAAGAACTTATTCTTCCAGTTCAGTGACCTTTCCTTATCTCTTAGCATTTTCCTCTTCACTATTCTATAATCTACTAAGTGCTGCTTGTGGCTTCCAACATCTGACAGCTTGCAAGAATAAAGGACATTTATGCACACATTCCAAGTAAAAGAGCACTGCTTTTTTTTTTAATGCTAGATATTGCCCTGATTGAAATTCCATTTTGGGTATGAGAAAATGGAGATTGATTTTATAGAATGATCAATAGTGATGGTAACTATATTTGGCTTTTTCTACTCTTTCTGCAATCATTGCTCATCTCATAGTTTGTGGCCTTCTCTCAGGACCTAGATACTTTTCGCAAGGCCACTTAAATCAGGCCCCTTCTACTAGAACACGTGCAGTGATAGGGGCTCACTGGCAAGCCTGTTGTTCTCTTGGTGGATGATTATAATTAGTATAGGAAAACACTTTTTTTGAAGTGATGTGAAAACGGCTCTCCTAGGATTTCCAACAGTCAGTCCTAACTCTTCCCTCCATAGGTAGTCAGTCAATCCTTATGATTTGCAAATTCACCTACTCACTAACATTTATTTGTAACCCTACAATCAGGACTTGCAGCACTTTTGCGGTCATTTGTGCACATGTGCAGAGTGGCAAAAAGACAGAGTCCCAAACATGCACAATCCCAGCTGAGGTCAAACAAGGCAACATTCTGCCTTCTTGTTTCTGCTCACATATACAAGCATCCTTTTCATGGTCTATTTAGTGCCCCTTTTGTTTTTTGGGTTTTTTTTTTTGTTTTGTTTTGTTTTGTTTTGTTTGCAATGTAGTGCTTTTTTTCAGTGATTTTGTTATTTAAAATGGCCCCTAAGCATGCTGCTGAAGTATTGTCTAGTATTTCTAAGCACAAGAAAGCTGTGATGTTCTTTACAAGGAAAATATGTGTGTTTAAATAAGCTTCATTTAGGAATGGGTTGTAGTACTGTTGGCTATGAATTTAACATTAGTGAACCAACAATATATATTTTAAAAGGTGTCTAACAAAAACACACATGAAACAAGGTTACATGTTGATTGGTTGACAAAGGTGTTGTGACCAGAGGCTCTTGGGAACCTAACCCTGAATTTCTCCTAAAAGGAATGGTTAATTATTTACCAAATCATTGTTGACAGTGAATTTATAATTCTACCTTCAATAATGGAAATCGACTGTACTTCTTTATGCTGGCATATAGTTCACTTGTTATTCAAGAAAACAAACAGCTTAATGTGGGTTTCACTTCTTTAGAGATGGAATAGATGAGGAAAACAGTAGACACTAGTGAGGAGGAATGGGGAAAGCTGTGGATAGAGATAACGTTTGAATTTTTCTAAGTTCTTGTTAGAAATACACTGGGTGTCTCTCAGTACATGTTAAGAGTCTGAGAATAATTACACTAAGAGTATTTCAGTCATAATCATCATAACAAGCACTTCACTCGTGGTGTACTTCACATTTCATGAAGTGTTTTCACAGGCATTATTTCACTTGCTTTGTGCTTACAACCACACTGTGAGATAAGGCAGGGTGTTATCCTTGTTCCTAAATGAGGAACTGCAGGACTTACAGAGGAAGCAAATTGATCGAGTGTTCCAGCTTGTCAATAGCATAACTGTAGTTACTTGCTATTATACCACGGTTTTCCAAGCAAGCTGTGGTTCTCCTGTCTCTTTCTGCTCCTCCCCTTTATTAGTGCATCATTATTGACCCTCAATTTCATAATCCATCAAGCTAGATTATTACTAAGGACCAAGCCCTCAAAAGAAAAGATACGTGTCTTGGCTGTACATACGGTAACTTAGAAACATACCATTGTTAAAGAATCATTTATTAAGGGCAGGCTGTATGCCCTACTCTAGACAGTGGGAACAGGAAAGTAGAAGAAGTTTTGTTTGTCTGGGAAGGCAAAATAGACATAAGTAAAACTGAGTAAATGAGGGCTGTGTAGTTAAACCATTACCACTTAAATCATTTCACGGTTGGGGCATGCTGGTAGTGCAATCTGGAGACAGTAGTGATTTGTTTGTTGGCAAAGGAAAATTCAGCTTGCAGTTTGGAATATATCTGCACATCCAATATATAGTACAGCCATACCCCCCATTTAGTGCTGAATATACATTCTAGAAAATGGAGAGGTTAAGGGAATCAGCAGAGACCTTGTGGAGAAGCAGTTTCAACATCATTTGTATTGCCTATAATCACAGCCTACAATCACTATTCAACCGGGGGATTATTGGCTGATGTTTATATACCTCCGTATTCTACAGAGTTGTTCTAATGGTGTACCTAGGTAGGCCATGTTTTAATAATTGAGAAATATTAAAAATATCTATTCTATTCAGAATTAAATGCTAGTTTAAAGGATAGGTGAACGGAAAAGCTCTACTCATCCACACTCCTGGTCTCACCTGGGCAGATGGGGATGGAGACAGCCAATCCTTTTGAACAGAAAATATTTCCTGCTGCGGCTGCCGCTATAGCTATTATTATTATGAGCAATCTACTTCCTTCACAATGGAAAAACGTATTGACTTATTCACCTGATCAAAACCGTTTTGAATGTCTAAAAGCCATTAGGAAATAATTGGGAAGCAGGGCGGGGGGATGCCCCATTGCATTTCTAGCACTTTCCTAACTGCCACCAACAGACTTTGGGTTTGTATTTTACATAAGAAGGAAATTCTAGGTCTGCCCCTCAGTGAGGGGGAAAAAGAGGAGGAGGGAGGTGAGTAGCAGGTCACTCATTTTTGCCTTTCTGACAGAAAGTGACATTTATCCTTACCACTCTGCCAGATTCCTGAAACTCTCATGTCTTTACAAAATATTTTTCTATTTAGTTGAATCAGGCAGCACAACTACAATATGTCTTCTCTCTGTGACTGCCTTTCACAGCCTTTGCCTTCACGAGACTTAGATGAGGTTTGGGTGATTCATGGCACTTAAACTTCTCCAGAGCACTTTTTCAATTGGAAAATTCTCCTAAACTGAATGCATCATCAGCACGGTTGTCCATGCATAAAAGAACTACAAGCAAAACAATGAGCACCATTTTTTAAAACCTACGCTTAAGCCAAGAAAAACAGTTATATCACAAAATGTTAAAAGACCTTATTTTTCAGTTTCCAGGAATCTTTCATGGAGAACATGGCCTATCTTAGTCTTAGAGCCCCTTATTCTAGGCTTTCTAAATTACAAATAAAAGAAATAGTTTATATTCAGTTTAGCTTGTTTTCAAGTTATTAACATGATATATAGCAACATAAGTAATGCCACCTGCTATATTTATGTAGAAGTGATTATTCCTCACCCTCATTAATTCTTTTCTGCATTCTCTGTGGAAATGCTTAGAAGTTTTTTACGTTTTAGGTGGTTTTCTCATTATTTTTATTTTTTATGTATTAAAGAAGCAGTCCTTTAATATATTTTAGTGTAGAAGATAGTCTTTTGCGAAAACATAAGTTATACTGATAAGCCCCGAATCTTACCTGGAACTTCAAATTTAAAATATTTGCCTGTATTTTTGATTCACGAATCAGCATTTTATAATGGAAAGGGTGTCTTAGTAAGAGTTGAGAGACACCGGCTCTAGTTCTGCTCATTATTGACTCAGTTTCCCCAGAGGTAAAATGGGTATCATATCCCAATGTCAGAGATATTTATTCTTTCATTTAACAAGTAATTACGAAGTATAACTATACATCAGGGAAAGCAGTGGAAGGCACTGGTTAAGAAACTTACTACACAAGATTGAATCTCAGCTCCCCCACTGATGAGCTATAAACATCATTTCTCCATCTACAAAATGGTAACCACGTCCTAGGTTTATTGTGAGTATTAAACAAGTAAAACATATGCATCTGTGCCTGGCACACATAGTAAACACTCAACATGTGTTAGGTACTATCAATATTGTTTTAACTGTTTTCTAAAGATTTTTCTAAAGGGAAATACATAGCCCCCATCCTCAGGAGGCTTACAGTCCAGTGTGAGGTTGATAATCAGAAGAACCAATGACGTAATTCCTACCATAGAAAACAGTGTAAGAATGTAGTGGCACACACCTGTGGTCTCAGCTCCTCAGGAGGCTGGGGTGGAAGGATTGCTTGGGCCCAGGAGGTTGAGGCTGCAGTGAGCTGTGATCAGACCACTGAACTGTAGCCTGGGTGACAGAGCGAGACCTTGCCTTAAAAAAAAAAAAAAAAAAGATTAAAAAAACTAAAAAATAAAGCTATGTAGGAATGACTTGAGTAGACGTGAACTTCACTTGCCAGGTTCTGTTGAAAAAAACTGAAGCTACTTTGCTCTTCAAAAGTTACATTTAAATCCACAGGGTTAAACATGTGCTGTTGCATTATGACTTCTTGCAAAAATGAACATTTTTCACACCAATAAAAATGTTAGAAATTTTTATAATAGGACTTGAAATCAGAAGATGTGATGTATCAGTTAGAACTCTTATTATATGGAAAAGAAATTCAAATCAAATTCACTTAAGCAAAACAAGAATTCATTGCCTCATGTAGATGAGAAATCAGAGTTCAGCTTGCTTAACAAGGTCAGTATCTCCCTCTCCCTCTTTCTTTATTCAATGTGTGCTTCCTTCTCAGGCACGGTCTCCCCAGGGTGGGACCGGAAACCTCCAGGCTCATGCCCTCCCCTTTGAGTAGCCTTGGCATGAATAGAACTCCTCTGCCCATGGGCTCCAATCAGAGTCTCCATGTGACTCTGATTGACCTAACTTGGGTCACAAGTCCATTCCTGAACCAGCAGGGGGATGAACTACTCTGCCAGATTTTGGTCACATACCCACCTTTGGAGCTAGGGGTGTGGTTATTTCCATCAGAACCACATGAAGTAAAAATGAGGAGTGGGCAGTTCCCACAAGGGAAAAGGGATGGTGTGATCTCTAATCAGGAAGAGAGTTCAAGACCCAGATATAACATTAATAGCTGCGTAAGCTTGGGGAAAACTTCAGAACCTTCCTGAATTTCAGTTCCAACATTTGGAGAGGATGGGTATGGAACTAAATTACCTCTATTACCATTCTACCTTTTGAATTTTCTAACTCTATTACCCTTCTTTTCTAGGAAAATGACTAGTATAGGGCATGTTGAAAGACATATGATTCTTAGAAATAAATTATTCTACAGGAGGAAGATTTTATAAATTTCCTCAAATGGAGTTGTGATACAGAAGAATAAAGATGAAATGAAGTCAGATCTAGGTCTTGGGACACAACTTCCTCGTGGGGTGGAGGCGTGGAAAGGGTCATTACAGTCAGAGGAAATGGGTGCAATGTCCTGAGACAAGAAAGAGCATGAAAGCCAGACATAGTGGTATGTACCTGTAGTTCCAGCTACCTGGGAGGCTGAGGAAGGAGGATCCCTTGAGCCTAGGAGTTCAAGACCACCCTGGGGAACATACCAAGACCCCCATCTCTACAAAAACATGAAAGAAAGATGAAAGGAAAGAACATGAAATTTTTGGTAGGCTGTAAGTATGCTGGAGGGTGTGTGGAGTGCGGAGACAAAAAACTGGTGGAGCTATGTCATGATGATACTTTATGCCCCTTCCTCCTGTGACCACTTGAGAGTGTCTCCTGGTAGACACTGAGGGTTCTAAGGGAAAACTTTAAAGGATGAAATGGAGAGAGGTAAGACTTACAGATCTGAGAAATGTTGAGGAGATGGACAAGACAGTACTTGCTCATTCAGTGAATAATTCTGACCTGTTTAAATCAGATCAATGAAACTTTTAATTCACAAATTATATGCATAAAAGAGAAGACAATCTCATTCAGGGATGTTTGTAAAAAGGTGCATTTTTTACTCATATTCTCAGCAGTTAATTTTTTAAAAAATAGTTCATAAATTTATTTATGTTTCCAAAGTGCTAATATTAAAACCAATATTCATCATCACTTATGATTATCAGGGGAACCAGCCCCCAATATTTCAACATAGGTTCTTTCTATTTTCCTTAAGTGTCGGCCAGTCTGAGAAATAAAGAGAAAGGGTACAAAGAGAGAAATTTTACAGCTGGGCCTCTGGGGGTGACATCACATATCGGCAGATTCCATGATGCCCCCTGAGCTGCAAAACCAGCAAGTTTTTATTAAGGATTTCAAAAGGGGAGTGGGGTATGAACAGGGAGTAAGTCACAAAGATCCCATGCTTCAAAGATCACAAGGGCAGAAGGGCAGAGCAAGATCACAAGGCCAGGGCAAAATTAGAATACTGATGAGGTTCCATGTCCCGCTGGGCACGTATTGTCTTGATAAACATCTTAACAGGCAACAGGGTTCGAGAGCAGACAACCAGTCTGACTAGAATTTGCCAGGCTGGAATTTCCTAATCCTAGCAAGCCTGAGGGCACTTCAGGAGACCAGGGCGTATTTCATCCCTCATCTTCAACCACATAAGACAGACACTCCCAGAGTGGCTGTCCATAGACCCATCCCTGGAAATGTATTCCTTCCCCAGGGTTATTCCTTGCTGAGAAAAGGATTCAGTGATATTTCTCCTATTTGCTTTCTGCAAGAAGAGAAATATGACGCTGTTCTGCCCGGCCCCGCAGGCAGTCAGACCTTATGGTTATCTCCCTTGTTCCCTGAAAATCGCTGTTATCTTATTCTTTTTCAGGATGCCCAGATTTCATATCATTCAAACACACATGTTTTACAAACAATTTGTACAGACAACGCAATAATCACCGGGTCCTAAGGCGACATACATCCTCAGTTTACGAAGATGATGGGATTAAGAGATTAAAGTAAAGACAGGCATAGGAAATTATAAGAGTATTAATTGGGGAAGTGATAAATGTCCATGAAATCTTCACAATTTATGTTCAGAGACTGCAGTAAAGACAGGCGTAAGAAATTATAAAAGTATTAATTTGGGGAACTAATAAATGTCCATGAAATCTTCACAATTTATGTTCTTCTGCCGTGGCTTCAGCTGGTCCCTCCGTTTGGAGTCCCTGACTTCTCGCAAAATATGACGTTGAACATTTCCTATACAATCTTCTCTTCCTATGGCTGGCTTCATCTCAAAAGCTTTCAGTAGGTGCCTTATGACTCAAAGCCATAATAACACTTTGGTGACTGTCATTCCTAATTAAATCTAAATGGCTATTTTCTACTCCTTATCCACGTTTCGGTGTAGATACTACTTCTTCCAGGAAGCCTTTCTTGATCTCCCAACACCCCCATCCAAGTTAAGAGACTTTTCCAAGTATTCCCAGAGCCTCTGCCCTTCCACCGTCATAGAACTCACCTCACTGCATGATAATTACCTATCAGTCATCTGTTTCAACCATCAGAATGTTGGCCTCTGAGGACCACAACTATGTTTAGCATGTTTACTATTATCCGCTTAATGTTTGATTCAACATCTGTCACATATTGAGCACTCAATACTCCTTGAATAATCAAATCAACGCATGAATAAACAAGTAGGAATTGAGAGAGTCGCTGTCGATCAATCACCATTCCACAATTTATAAACATACAGTGAGTGCCAACTATGTTCCAGGAATAATGACAATGTTGACTTTGTATTTTAAAGGACAATAATTATAACCACTTTTTTCCTCTTACCAAAATGAAGTGGTATTGTATTGCTTAATCATTCAGAAGGTTGCTTTTTAACTAGTTAGTACATAGCAGTCAGTTTCAGCCTTCCCAAGATGGTCATCTTTGGAATGCCAAAAATGAAATGCTTAGAAAGACCATAGATCAAAATAAGCTGTAGCAGCCCCATGCAGAAAAGGCTACCCCTAGAGACCTGATAAAGGAGAGCCACAAATCAAGTGAGCTCTTTTTATTTACTCCTACAAAATTTATCACCATTAAAGCTTTTTGTTTGTTTAACACCCTTTATTGCCAGCATCTGTCATTAACGCAGTTCTTATCTGTTACATCTATTGTAAAGATCACTTAACCAGCAATTGAAACTTTGTATCAATATAACTGGAGACAAGGTATATAAAGTATAATAGTATAAAATGATCAGTGCCTAACACGAGGCAGGAGCTGGGAGACTTGAGTGTAGATGGGATTCAACAACTGAGTTTTACCATCCAGTAGAGGAGTATGGTTGTGAGGGGAAGAAAACAGAGCACCTGCTAACTAGAAAGTGGGAGGATATTTAGGATTGCAAGGATATTCTAAATGAGTTGATATTTTAGTATATCTGGGTCTGCAAGGAATGTGTCAATTAAGAGGGAACAATTGAAAATACAGAAAAGAGGGAGGAAGAAGGCCAGAGAATAGTCCAGGGGGCTCCAGAAAGACAGGAGAGAGGACATACCTAGAAAACATCTACCTGGGGAAAGTCAATGGAATCAGAGGAAGCTGACCAAGGAGCACTTCCTGGCAATGCTTAGAGTCTAGTCCTCCAGGGTACTACTTCTGATCCAAGCTTCATAGAACCCTGGGACCAAGGGATTCGTACAAGGGGTCCAGGAATTCAGAAGTGAGCTAAGCATTATAAGCTGACAAAATAAACACTTATTCCCAGCTGGACTATTTATTTAAAGTACATAGATGCTGTTGTGAATACTTCCATACAAACGCACTTAAAAGTGTAGTGAATCCATTCTAAGGCAGACATAAGGTGCTTCTCTTTTTTTAACTTTAAAAGGCATCCTTAATACTCTGAAAGAGTGGGAGTTTGGGTCTAGATAATGTGGAATCATTCATGATTCCCGAAATAGGGAATAACATGATCACTGCAGAGTTTTTTGAAAGATCCATGTGTCAGCAGTGGATCAGGTGAATTGAAATAGGGCAGAGAATCGAGGCAGGAAAGAGTCATACAAGCCAATCCAAAAAGCTCTGAACAACTCTCCGGAAGCATCTCACACCACCTATATACATCCTGTCTCTTCCTGACATTTCCTCTCGGCTTCCAAAAGAAAACAATGCTCCCAAGGATCCAATGTCGTTTAAAATAGCAAACCTGGTTTTTGTTTTGAATGCCCTCTTTTTCTGAAGATAGAATCAGCTCCAGCATCTGGACAAAACAATGGGATCTGTGGTTCAATCCGGCCACAGCTGTGCAGTCCTTTCTAAAGAGTGTGTCTGTCTTAACTTGATAGAATTCTGCTGGGAGAGCAGCAACAGCGGGCTCTGACTACTGCACTTGCAGCCCCCTAGTGGGGCCTCAGCGGTTCCAAGTTGTAATAAGATTAGCTGAGAACAAATGCAGATAAAATAGTAAAACCATAGTAGGTGAATATAAGAATGTCTTGAGATGTAATGAAGTATTTTCTATAAAAGTCCTATCATGGAAAAAAAATACAACAAACAATAACAGCAACAAAAGCTAAAGCTGATACAATGAGACTGAGTTTAAGAGAAACTGAACATGGAGACAGGAGGAATGCTGATAGAAAAATAAAGATTAAAAGAGCAACATCGTTTGCAAAATGGCTATATGTCGAAATGTAACTGACAAAACTGCCGTCCTAATGAGGGAGTAAGGGTCTTTTCCTTTTTTATTTTTATTATTATCTTTTTTTTTTTTTTTTTTTTTTGAGACGGAGTTTCACTCTTGTCGCCCAGGCTGGAGTGCAATGGCATGATCTCGGCTCATTGCAACCTCTGCCTCCCAGGTTCAAGCGATTCTCCTGCCTCAACCTCCCAAGTAGCTGGTATTACAGGCGCCTGCCACCACACCCAGCTAATTTTTGCATTTTTTGTAGAGACGGGGTTTCACCATGTTGGCCAGGATGGTCTCTATCTCCTGACCTTGTGATCTGCCCTGCTCAGCCTCCCAAAAGTGCTGGGACTACAGGCGTGAGCCACTGCGCCTGGCCAGGGTCTTTTCACAAAGGGCTGGCAGCACAGCCTGCAAGGCTGAGGATCACAGCCACAGCTTCACTGGGTCTCCACAGTCCACAGGGTTTTCTTCTGGTGGTGTCACCCTACTAGATTGACTGCTTGCTTAATTTGGAAACTTGGGGTTGGTTAGGGGAGGAAGAATCGTTGTTTTGTTTTGTTGTTTTTCTCTAGAATTTTACTATCTTTTCAAACACAACAGTAAAAACTAACTGGAATGGTGATGCTTAGACCTGTTGTGTCCTCTGTGCTAATTACTACCTTCCATACAGTCCTGTTGTGTCAAAATGCAAAGCACACTGGTAGCTGTTGGTGACTCACTGATAGTCACCAAGCTTGTGGACCCTCCAAGGAGCACAAACTGCTTGAAAGCCAGGGCTGTAGGTTGGCAAGTCACACCTAAGACTGTGGGACTAGTAAAGAAAGGCCATTAATCTCTTCATCCCTCTCATCACCCCACATCCTCCCACTGCACTCACCCTCCCTCCACTGCAAACTTAGGCTTCAGTTCAGGATCCTACTTTGTCCAAAGAGAGAGAAATCTATCCTACTCGAATATCCCATGCTCCCTTGTTGATTCACACCAATAAATAATTCTCACAGTCTGGAAAGTCTTCCTTATCTTCAGCCAAAACCTAGGGAGACTGTCACCCTATTTCTTCTTTTCTGTCCTCAGGGAAGATATATTAAAGCCATTCATTATCTTTTGTGTAAGAGCCCTTTGTGTCAAAGAAAAATTAGATTTGCTCCTGATCTTAGAGAAACCTCACATTTTACAGCTGGAAGTGATATTAGAAATCATCTCAAGCAATTACCCTCTCATTTTCATCCCACCCTCCACAACTTAAAATATGAAGGAACTGAAGCCCAAAGAGGTTAGGTGACTTGGCTAAGGACACACAGTGAGTTGATCAGGTTTTTCCAGGGCACTACATATTTTTTCTCTGGTTCCTTTAACATTTCCTCATGTATTTTTCAACTACAAAAAACGCTGAACTTCTCTTGAAAGTAACAACCTGTACCCAGGTGATCACAAGCCCTAATGCACAAAGAGGCTCCCAAATGTGAGAGGAGGAAGCTAACATAATAGGAGTGGTGTATTAGTCTGTTCTCACGCTGCTGATAAAGACATACCCGAGACTGGGTAATTTATAAAGGAAACAGATTTAATGGATTCACAGCTCCACATGACTGGGGAGGCCTCACAATCATGGCAGAAGATGAAGGAACAGCAAAGGGATGTCTTACATGGCTGCAGGCAAGAGGGCATGTGCAGGGGAACTCCCCTTTATAAAACCATCGGATCTCATGAGACTTACTCACTATCATGAGAACAGCTTGGGAAAAACCCACCCCCATGATTCAATTACCTCCCACCAGGTCCCTCCCTCAACTCATGAGGATTATTACAATTCAAGGTAAGATTTGGATGAGAACACAGAACCAAACCAAATCAAGTGGCAATACTGTAGCAAACTAAATTTCCTATGTCTAGTATAAAGGTGGCAACCCTGCAGGATGGTTATTATCATCACTATTATTCATATCAAAAACTATGACTCCAAGTGGCTAAGCAGCTTGTCCATGGGCCCCAGCAGGTGGACAGCACAGGCAGCCTCTGAACTCAGCTCTGCCTCCAAAGTCTTAACAACATGGGAGATATTGGTTGTGATTAAGAACATTCATTGTTATTAAAAACATAGGGCATACTGAAAGTGCTTTTTTAAATTAACAGAACATTTGTTCCTAAAGTATTACATGCTTTGTTTGTAAGTTTCTGCATTGAATCTTCAAGACTTTATGTAGAAGTTAATCTGAGTGTTGTCTCTTTTAGCCTGTAAGATGCTGGAGAACAGAAATCATATTTTTTAGAAGAGTGGCATAGGCAAATATGAAATAACAAATACTACATTTTACTGGTCTGAAGTTGACAATGCTGAGTATAAAAGGAACATTTTCTCCAGTGTCAATATGCCCTGCCTGTTCTTATCACTGAACTAATTTTGCTTTTTAAACCAACTGGCTACATGGCTGTCCCAGATCCAGTCTCCATTCTGCCATTACTGCCCATTACAACTACATGCACTATTACATGACATATTTTGTGTAGCCCATCGCCTTCCCATCGTTTTTCAAAGGTTGTTTTTATTTCCCCTGCATAATCACACTACCTTTCACTGTTCATGCTTCCAGTCTCTCCTCCCAATTCACAGGGTCACTGTAGACTCTGATCTTACTCCCCAAGGATCTAGAAACCTGATGACTCTGTTCTGCCAAGCTTCGGAAAATATCTCTCATTAACTGATGTACTGTAGTCAAGGCTCTTCTTGTTACATGGAACATAAATTCTCTCATGCCAGATCAAGAAAGCAAGAGGGGTCTGTTCAGAGAATGTGAGACAATCTCATGCTTTCTAAGGGCAACAAGTAAAATGGACTATTATTTCCAATGTATTATGCCCACTCATTGGTTGATGGGCATTTAGGTTGGTTCCATGTTTCTGCAATTGTGAATTGTGCCACTACAAACATGCATGTACATGTGTCTTTTTCACATAATGACTTCTCTTCCTCTGGATAGATACCCAGTAGTGGGATTGCTAAATCGAATGGTAGTTCTACTTTTCATTCTTTAAAGAATCTCCATACTGTTTTCCCTAGAGGTTGTACTAATTTACATTCCCACCAACAGTGTAAAAGTGTTCTTTCACCATATTCACTCCAATATCTTTTAAATTTTTTTAATTATGGCCATTCTCACAGGAGTAACGTGGTGTCTCATTGTGGTTTTAATTTGCATTTCCCTAATGATTAGTGATGTTGGGCATTTTTTCATATGTTTGTCAGCCATTTATACGTCTTCTTTTGAGAATTGTCTGTTTGTGTCCTTTACTCACTTTTTGATGTGATTACTTGTATTTTTCTTGCTGATTTGTTTGAGTTCCTTGTAGATTCTGGTTATTAGTCCTTAGTCAGATGTATAGTTTGCAAATGTTTTCTCCCACTCTATGGGTTGTCTGTTTACCCTGCTGATTATTTCTTTTGCTGTGCAGAAGCTTTTTAGTTTAATTAGATCCCATTTATTTATTTTTGTTTTTGCTGCATTTGCTTTTGGGTTCTTGGTCATAAATTCTTTGCCGAAGTCAATGTCTAGAAGAGTTTTTCCGATGTTATCTTCCAGACCTTTTATGGATTCAGGTCTTAGATTTAAGTCTTTGATCCATCTTGAGTTGATTTTTGTATAAAGTGAGACATGAGGATCTAGTTTCATTCTTCTACTTTGCAGCTTGCCAATTAACGCAGCACCATTTGTTGAGTAGGGTGTCCTTTCCCCACTTTATGTTTTTGTATGCTCTGCTAAAGATCAGTTGACTATAAAGATTTGGCTTTATTTCTGGATTCTCTATTCTGTTCCATTGTTCTAATATGACTATTTTTATACCAGTACTATGCTGTTTGGGTAACTATATCCATGTAGCATAGTTTGAAGTCAGGTAATGCGTTGCCTTCAGAATTGCTCTTTTTGCTTAGTATTGCTTTAAGCCCTCACTCCTGATTAAAATTTTTAGTGTGATACAAATAGAAGCAACTTACTAAAATTGACAAAGGATGTAATACAGAAATATATGACAAACATCTTACTTAAAAGTAAAATATTATAAACATTTACATTAAAATTATAAACTGAACAGTGGTGCCTGCTAACAATACTTCTTATTCCACATTATTTTCTGTACCTCTATATCCTAATATTTATTCATGAGAAGACAATAATATGTTTGCGGAGGTGATATAATTGTATATCTAAAAATGCCCAAAATAAGTAACTGAAAAACTATGAGGACTAATAAATATACTCTAATGATGCACTAGATTTAAACATAAATTCAGTGCTTTCCTATCTAAAAGCAATACTCAGAAAGAGTAAAAAAAAATGCATTGACAATTGCATACCAACAAACAGCATACCTAGAAATAATCTTTAAAAGCAAGCAAGAAATACAGACAGGAAATAATATTCTGCTGAAGGACATTTTTAAGAGGAACTGAGTAAATAGAATACATTACCATCATCTTGAGTGAGAAAACTCAATATTCTAATTGCTCTTAAATAATTCATAAAGTCAATGTAATTCCAATAAAAATCTCATTGAGAATGTATTTGTGTATCTGTCAAAATTATAAAGTTTATCTAGAAAAGAAAACGTATAAGAAGAGCCAAAATATTTTGAGAAGAGAATAGTTTAGTCAAATTTGATCTATTAGTTATCAAAGCATAATATTAAAAAAACACTATAAAGTTATAGTAATTAGAACAGTGTGATATTAACACTGGTATAGAAAGATGAATTAGCCAAAATAGAAATACATACGCAGAGCCACGTACATATGAAAATTTAGTACACCATTATGATGGTACTTCATAATAATAGGAAAGGATATAATATTCAATAAGTGGTATTTTTAGTGGCGGCAGGGATCTGAGTTACACCGAGTTACCACAAGCGTATTCGTATGGGTCTGTAGCAACTTCAGTCCTTGCCTCCTCAGAAGAACTTGACTGAAGGACATAAAGCAGAAAAAGAGACCAAGGCAAGTTTCAGAGCAGGAGTGGGAGTTTATTAAAAAGGCTTTAGAACAGCAAAGAAAGTAAAGAACCCTTGGAAGAGATTCAAGTGAGCCCCTGAAGGTCAAGGAGAAAAGAGAGACAAAAGAAGCACCTTTAAATTTGATCCTGGGACTTTATAGGCTCACCTCTTTCCCATGATTCTTCCCTTAGGGTGGGTTTTCTGCATGCGGTGCCTCCTTACTCTTGGGAACTGAGCACATGCAGTATGCTTAGGATTTGTATGCATGCCCATCTGAGGCTTTCTTCCTTTTTCGGGCGGAGTGATCCGGGAAGATCATACTTCGCCATTTTTGTCTCTTAATGTGCATGCCCAAGAAGCTGCTTCTCTCTGGGGCCTGCATTCAATTAACATTTTAATGTTAACAGGTGTGGACCATCAGAAAATGGCCTCTCCCTGGGGCCAGCTGCCAATTTATCACTTTTAAAGATGCAATGCAATAACTGCCGAACCATCATCCAACATTTCTAGTGGGTGGTGGGAAGAGCCCTCTCCTGCCCCGCTCATGCCTATCTACCTGTAACAGTATTGAAACAACTAGCTACTCATTGGGGAAAAAATTAAGTTTAATCTGTATATTATGCAAGTCATAAAAATATTCCAAAAATGTTAAAAATCTAAAAGTTTTTAAATTAAAACATCTGTGTAGTAAAGAATACCACATCTGTGTAGTAAATTTACCCAAAGAGAGGTATGACCTTTGTGCCAGCTCTTGGGAAGTAACCTCTAAACCCTTAAAATACCTCCAGTGATTGGAGGGTCTTTGTTATTCATAATGGGTTCCTCAGACCACACCTGATAGTCAGATGACTCATAATGGGCCCCTAGATAGTTTGTGCTAAAGAGTTAACTCAAGATGAGGACTGGCCACACCAGAAAGACCAAGGCCATGATTAAAGGGTTGGGGCTTTGAGCCACATGGTATCAGACTGATCTCCCCAACAGAAGGGGCTGGAAATTGAGTTAACCACATGGCCAACAATTCAATTATGCTATGCAATGAAACTTCAATAAAAATTTTAGATATCAAAGCTTGGGTGAACTTTCCTGGTTAGCAACACTCTGAATATTGTCACACACCAGAGCTGGAAGCAGTAACATGATGAAGGAATCCACAGGGAGAAGATAACTGGAAGCTATGCATTTTTTTAATCTGGTTCTGAGTTGTATTTTTTTGCTATGTTAAAATTATAATCATAAGTATAGCACTTTGGGGCATTCTATGAGTCTTTCTAGTGAATTATTAAACCTGAGGGTAGCCATACGAACCTTTGAATATGTAGCTAGTTGGTCAGAAGTAAGGGTGGCCCCAGAGACCCCCAAACTTGCAACTGGCATCTGAAATAAGAGCAGTCTTGTGCAGGGCTGTGCCCTTAACATTGATTTTCATAAACGTTTTATTGTTATGGTTTGAATATGTCCCCCAAATTAATGTGTTAGAAACATAATTGTTTCACGTGTCCGTGTGAAGAGATCACCAAACAGGCTTTGGTGTGAGCAACAAAGCTGTTTATTTCACCTGGGTGCAGGCGGGCGGAGTCCGAAAAAGGAGTCAGCAAGGGTGATGGGATTATCATTAGTTCTTATAGATTTTGGGATAGGCGGTGGAGTTAAGAGCAATGTTTTGGGGGCAGCGGTGGATCTCACAAAGTACATTCTCAAGAGTGGGGAGAATTACAAAGAAACTTCTTAAGGGTGGGGGAGATTAGAAATAACATTGATCAGTTAGGGTGGGGCAGAAACAAATCACAATAGTGAAATGTCATCAGTTAAGCTATTTTCACTTCTGTGGATCTTCAGTTGCTTCAGGCCATCTGGATGTATACGTGCAGGTCACTGGGGATATGACGGCTTAGCTTGGGCTCAGAGGCCTGACAATAATTACCATTGTAACAGTACTAAGAGATGGGGCTTTTAGGAAGTAATCAGGCCATGAGGGCTCTGCCATCATGAATGAATTAATTCCATTATCACAAGAGTGGGTTAGTCATCATAGGAGTTTGACCCCCAATTTGTCCTTCTGTCTCCCGCACTGACTTCTGCTTTCTACCACAGATGACCCTTGCCAGATGCTGGCACCATGCTCTTCGACTTCCCAGCCTCCAGAACCATGAGCCAAATAAAATTCTGTCCTTTATAAATCACCCAGTCTGTGTATTCTGTTATAGCAGCAGAAAATGGACTAAGACAACATCCAAAATAAAATAGAGGAGAATATTTCAATAATATTAGCATATGAGAGGCCTTCCTAACACAACTCAAAATATAGAAACTATAAAGAAAAAGATGGACAAATCTGATGATATAAATATGTAAACTTTCTGTACAAAAAAAGGATACCATAAAACAAAATTATAAGAGACAGATGAGATATATTTGAAACCCATAATAGACAATGAAATGTTATTTATTAAAGGAATTTCCTTAAATCATAGGAAAATGACAACTCAAATTTTCAAATGGGTGAAGTCTATGAACAGGCAATTCATAGAACTACAAATATCAAAAAAAAAATCGCCAAAAAAGAGACCTCTTCAATCATAATCCAAAAATGCAAATTAAACAGTGAAATATTATTTTTTAGTCTTTAGAATGGCAAAAAGTAAACATCTAGTATTCACAAAGACTTGAGCAAAGCAAGAACCTCCTGAACTGGTCAGTGGAAGATACTTTGTTTCAATATTTTTGCTCTTGAAATTTGGCAATATCTGACAAAATTTAAATATGGATGCTTCTGAATTTGAAGAATCTATGCCATAAAATCATTCACATTGTAGTGTCCCCCTTCCCTCTCAGCTTTCTTTTTGTGTCCTGACCAGAAATCACAAGAGTGTCTTGACCACTCTGTGACCCAGCCAGCTGCAGGATTTTTTTACTCAAACTGGGGCCTTGAACATTTCCAGGCACTGATAAAGGTATCTATGTCGTTGCCCAAAATACTGAAAGAAACTGGTCCTGGCCTTGTACCAAATTCCTTAAACTCTCACACAAACTTCATACCCTGACCCTCTTGCTGTAGACGTACCTAGATAGAACACCCCTTTTCTCTTGATGTCCCTCACAAACATTGCTGCAGTACTCTATAAGTAGGTTCCCCTAATAAGCACTTTGGACTAATTACCCTGGTATTTAGTCCTTCTTTGAAATCCCAACCAGCCTCATATCTGGTTTGGGGCATTCTCTTGTGGGAATTCTCTTGCCATCATTTTTGGGGCAATTCAAACTGCATGTTTGGTGGATGAAAACACACATATGCACCAAAATGTACATGCAAGTATGTTTCTGCTGCAGTTTTAGTTCCAGCAAAAACTAGAAACAACTTATATGCACAAACCAGACACTGTTTAAAAAAAAGGGGGGGGGGCTCCATTCACATCCACTCATGAAGAAAGCTCTCTAAGATATATTTTGTGTCACAATACAATATGTTTAAATATATTATACTTTTATGAGTCATATACTACACATGTGACATAATTAGGAAAAGTTGTATTTAAAAAAAAAAAAAAACCTGCAACAGTTCACCACATTTTGGCTTTCTCAATCACCCTTATGGCCTCATCCTAGTTGGAAAGGTTGAAAACCTAAAAATCACTAGGATTCTGGATACGAATAAGGCTTAGCATATTAGAGAAACTCAACACAAGATTTGGGAGGTGGATGTCAGGCAGAGGCAATTTCCCTGTTCATCTTGGCTGTCTATTTTGCTTTTTCTTTTTTGAATTTTTATTTTTCTGAGACAGGGTCTTGCTCTGACACCCAGGCTGGAGTGCAGTGGCGCCATCCTCCTGGGCTCAAACAATCCACTCATCTCAGCCTCACAAATAGCTGGGACTACAGGCACATGCCACCATGCCCAGCTAATTTTTTTTTTTTTTTTTTTGAGAGACAAGGTCTCCCTAGGTTGCCCAGGCTGGTCTCAAACTGCTGAACTTATGCAATCCTTCCTCCCCAGCCTTCCATAGGGCTGGAATTACAGGCGTGAGCAACTATGCCCAGCCTTGGCTGTTTATTTTGGCAAGCAAGGTTATAGAAACAGCTTTTCTTCAGAAATATTCTAGCTTCCTGGTGCTGACATGCAGTTGTGGTGACAGCTCGTATAGTAGTGGATTCTTGATTCTGGCTTTCTAATCCATGACTTACAGCCATAGGTGTCCACCTTCCAGCTTTCTGGATGTCAGGAGGCTGTTTCAGTAGTGAGCACGGCAGCAGCAGCAACTTTTTGAACTTGGGACCGCATCTACAGTGATGAGTTGTTGAACTCATGCTAGCTCCCCTAGTGAGTCAGTTCTAGATCATTCTAGAATCCCAGCCTATACCTTATTCCCATATCCCTTTCAATGATTTTGTAAGCACATAAAGCTCTGTTATGGTTTGAATGCTTGTCTCCTCTAAAACTCATGTTGAAATTTAATTGCTATTGTGATGACATTGGGAGGTGGGATGTTGAGGAGGTGTTTACATAATGAGGACTCTGTGCTCACAAACGGACCAATGCTATTACCATGGGAGTGGATTTGCCTCCTTTTACTCTTTCTCGGGCACCATGTGATGTCTTCTACCATGTACAGTGCAACAAGAAGGCTCTCACCAGATGCTGGACCTTGATATTGGACTTTCCAGCCTCCAGAACTATGAGCCATCATTTTTCTGCTCATCATAAAGTACCCAGTTTCAGGTATTCTGTTACAGCAGCACAAAATGGACTAAGATAGTCCCTGTCTTAAATCTCTCTATGTTTAGAATGCCTAGAGAGTTTTTCATTTTCTTCACTGAATCTTTACTAGGTGAGAATAGGGAAATTGGCACAGAGACCCAAATCATTTCACACTGGGAAATTCTCAGGTGTTTCAGCCATATTTCATTTTGAGATGCAATGCTTTAGGAAGTGAGTGTCTGCCTCAAGTTTCCGAAATATATCTGTAATACAATTTGATTGGCTTCCTAAATGCCTCAAGACTTGGGGTATCACCTAGAGTCTTGGCAACAAAGATGTCCCTACTGGGTAGCAGGGCCTCTAGTTAGCTACGCTAGAGCTCACTGAGTTTATAGGTTTGGGAGGAGTTATGTCAACACAGAATTACTTGAATTACTTATTTGACAAGATTACAATAAACTGCCATCTAAAGAATAATTTTTCCAGTTTTAATATAACTTAGGGTTTCCTGGCTTTATAGACAATCACGGAATACATTATGGTCAAATTTCCCCAGTTCACATATAAGTTAACAACTAAGTATACAACATTATGCCTTTAAAAGAACTCAGAAATCCTAACTTGCATTCTAGTGCTTTTTTTTTCACCCTGACACCATATAATAGACATATGTTGCCTTTATTTTCCCAGCATCCTTTTCCCCTTATTTTGGTAACAACATCTCAGTGTTCCTCAGGAAGCCATGCCTCCCCCACCCTCAGTGCAGAGTGAGCAGGCCAGCCACCGAGCCCATACTCGCAAACCCAATGATAGGCTTCAAATGGGTACATAACCATTTTGGTCCAATTAGACTCCCTTTCAATATTGTAATTGGAAAGCCTGGGAAAGAGAAGCTTTCTTTTCAATGGGGGGTAACTACCCTGGAGCTGCTGCGGGGGAGATTCCACCCAGGAATGAAGCCACACAGACCTGAGAGACAACGATCCTGGAGGCATATTGAGGACCAGGACCTCTTCATGCTTTTCAGCCTCATGAAGCAGTAAACTTCCTTTTCTGCTTAGGCCAGTTTGAATTGGATTTCTTTCACTTGTGGCCAAAAATCCTGACAACAATTGCCCTGAAAATTATAAAATGTCTTACTTAAAAAAAAAAAAAAAAATTCTTCTTGGCCTGGCACAGTGGCTCATGCCCGCAATCCCAGCACTGTGGGGGGCCAAGGCAGGAGGATCACTTGAAGTCAGGAGTTTGAAACCAGCCTGGCCAATATAGTGAAACCTTGCATCTATTAAAAATGCAAAAATTAGCCCAGCATGGTGGCATACACCTGTAGTCCCAGCTACGCGAGAGGCTTAGGCAGGAGAATTGGTTGAACCCAGGAGGCGAAGGTTGCAGTGATTTGAGATTGCACCACTGCACTCCAGCCTGGGTGAAAGAGTGAGACTCTGTCTCAAAAAAGAAAAATAAAATTCTACTTGACCGCCTACTATTTGGTATTTATAATTCAAAAAGAAATGAGGCAGCCAGTTCTTACTCTTCCTTCAGAGATTCAGTCTTACAGAGGAGACACATAGGTTCTGTTGTTGTTGTTGTTGTTTGTTTTTTATTTTTGTTTTTTTGAGACAGAATCTTGTTCTATTGCCTAGACTGGAGTGCAGTGGCGCAATCTCGGCTCACTACAACCTCCGCCTTTCGGGTTCAAGCGATTCTCCTGCCTCAGCCTCCTGAGTAGCTGGGATTACAGGTGCGCGCCACCAAGCCCAGCTAATTTGTTTTCTATATTTTCGTAGAGACAGGGGTTTCACCATGTTGGTCAGGCTAATCTCAAACATCCGCCCACCTCAGCCTCCCAAAGTATTGGGATTACAGGTGTGAGCCACCGAGCCCGGCTGGTTTTGTTTTTTAATGTAATACAATGAGGGAAGTCCCACAGGTCAAAAGAGCTCTTGATGCAGAAATGGGACAAACTAAATCAGCTTGGAGGTTGGTCAAGGTCTTCACAAAGAAGGTGACATTTACATGGGCCCTAGAGAGAAAGCATAGGGTTTCCCCCAAATAAGGAAGAAAATGAAATCAAGGCACTTCAAGTGGAGGATTTTCAGGTCAAGAATGGCAACTCGTTCTGCGGAACTGAAGTACACAGGACACTAGAATGAAAACCAGAAGTGGAGTTGAAAAGGCAGATGGTGTAGCGCACCAGCATGGCACATGTATACATATGTAACTAACCTGCACAATGTGCACATGTACCCTAAAACTTAAAGTATAATAAAAAAAAAAAAAAAAAGAAAGAAAAGGCAGATGGGAGCCAGCATGCAAATTTCGTTACTGTGACCAGATAAGGAAATTAGATTTTCATCCTGGAGACACTGTGTTGAGACTTGCAGAGATTTTTAAAGGATAGTGTTATGATTGGATTTGCACTTTAGAAAGATAATTCTAGCTGTACTGTGGAGAGCAGATCACAATGTGGGACCACTAGGAGCATGTGGCCACTGTATTTAGGAGTCTATGTCTACAGTAGTTTTCTGCGTGAGGAAGAATATTAATAGATGCTTCATCAAGATGCAAAGGAACCTGAGATCTATTTAGCAAGACTCTGAGAGACTTAAAGAGTAATTACACATAATGAACCAGAAGGGCAAGGGCAGTGGGGAGTTAAGATTTCTATCGTGAGAGGCTGGGCACAAGAGAGGAACAGCTTTGAAAAGGAAAGTAATGAATGGCTTGGGACATAATAAATTGGAGATGTTAGACATACATCAAGGCTAGAAGACAAAGATCAGTAACAAAAAAGATAGGGTAATTACAATCACAGATGCAATAAATAACTACTGAGATAACATACAGGCCTCGGTTAAAAATCTTAATTCCAGACCAGGCACAGTAGCTCATGCCTATAATCCCAGCAATTTGGGAGAACAAGGTGGGAGGATCCCTTGAGGCCCAGAACTCAAGAACAGCCTGGGCAACATAGCAAGACTTCATCTCTACAAAGAAATTTTAAAAATTAGCCAGGCAGGTTAACACGCACCTGGAGTCCAAACTATTCAGGAGGCTTAGGTGCGAGGATTGCTTGAGCCCAGGAGTTCGAAGTTACAGCGAGCTATAATGGTAGCACTGCACTTAAGCCTGAGTGAAAAAGTGAGACCCTGTCTCTAAACCTTAAAATCTTAATTCCACCACGTTTTAACTGTTCAATCTGCTTGAGATTTTTCTCATGTGTATAATGGGAATAATATCACTTCTCAGAGTGGCTGAATGAACAATATGAGACCACACATGGAGAATAGCTATACATTTCATGACACAAGAAGTAAACCCTAAATAAATGTCAGTATCTTTCCTTCCTCCTACTGGTTCTTGCTCCCTGAAATTTTATAGCTAACCTATGTGGCCACAGGAGTGAGGTAATGACCAAGCATTACTTGGATACATCTACTCTGCTGTATTTGAGAGAAAAGTACAGCGTAGTGGTTAAGAGCAAGACCTATAGTTCAGACATTTAATCACAAAGACTAGGGCAACCTCGCCTGTTCTTTACAGTTACATAAATATGCCATACCTTTAACACAACTGCATAAATTCAATATATTCTGAAGGAATAAAAGGTAGTTACAATCACATATTCCCATATGTGGGTTTAAAGAGGAATGCTGACTTTACCAGTAAACCACCTTTTCTTCTGGTCCATCAACTGGAGTTTTTGTATTCCTGTCAATGAGCCTTTAGCTCTTGTAATTGGTAAATTTAATAAGTATTTTATTGACTAGGAACAGGAAGTTGATTCTTAAGGGAAGAAATATTAAAGATTGATTTTGCAACTTTCCATTATGTTACATGATGGTTGGTTTCATATTAAGAAACAAGTTGCAGATTTTTTTTCAGAATAATAATCAATGTCAGTGTATGATGTTTATGGGCATTTCTTGAGAACATGGAAAATTTTATCTGAAATTAGTGAGCTCTCTTGGTGCTTCTTATTTTTCACTTTTTCCTGACCAGTTACTAAAATTGCTTGAAATGTCATAGAAAGACAAAGAATTCAGGCATGCAATGAATATTGACTTGTGTATTTTTCACTAACATTTGCTGACCTCTTAGGTCAATATGTTTTGAAGTTTACTTAACAAGTCAATATGATTTATTTCAGTTCAGATTTAGATTGTTTTAAAGTGTCAGAATTGTTTCTTGTTTACTAACACAAAACCACTGCCAGAGTATAATAACATATATGTTAAAAACTAGTTCTTTTGAGAATTAGAAGTGTCCTGCAAGATTATGGGTTTTTTTTCAAAATAATATAAGCAAATTTAAAATGACCCTTTGTCTTTCTCTCTTTCATTTCATGTGCCCTTATTTCCTTTAAAGAGCTCTAATGTCTAGAAAGCTGTACAAACAATTAAGCTAAATCATTTTGTAAGCGGTTCTATGAAATGCAAGAGTGATTTTTTTCTTAAAGTCCAAATGTGTAACTCAGCTTACATGAGCATATAAGCATATTTTGCTTAAATTACATTTCCATCTGACAATATTAATTTCATCAAGGAAGCTTAGTATAAAATTAATTATAGCTATCATTTACGTTATTTCATCTTCCCCTTCCATTGAAGCTTCAATGAGAATTCATCAACTGAAGGGCATGATTCACATTTTAACAACAATAATAAAGAAAATAACCAAAACTACATTTTCCCCCCCTACTAGAATTCCGTGACTAAAGACCTATCTCTTAATGTCATCCGAAATGTAATAATATATTTTGAGGTTCAGAGGAAATGCTTCCAATGGATATAATGAGAGCACTTCTAGTCATATTCTCCTGCTGACATAGAACATTTCAGTTTCATTGACTTTGGTGAATAACCTCCTGTGATTTTTTAAGAAACAAGTTTCAAGAAAGCATCTGTGCAAGTATTCAAATGCCATACTGTTAAGCATGAAGACAAGGACACCAGCTTTTATTCACTCACCAATTCCAGAACATCGAGATTTACATAGAAAATAACCTCAGCTGGGCACAGTGGCTCATGTCTATAATCATAATGCTTTGGAGGCTGAGGCAGGAGGATCACTTGAGGCCAGGAGTTTGAGACCAACCTGGAAAATAAAGCAAGACCCTGTCTCTACAAAAAATTTACCAGGCAAGGCGGTACACACCTGTGGTTCCAGCTACTCAGGAAGCTGCGTATTGCTTGAGCTTAGGAGGTAGAGGCTACAGTGAGACATGATTGCGCCACTGCACTCCAGCCTGGGCAACAGAACAAAACCTGGAGGAAGGAAGGAAGGAAGGAAGGAAGGAAGGGAGGAAGGAAGGGAGGGAGGCAGGGAAGGAGGGAGGGAGGGAGGGAGGGAGGGAGGCAGGGAGGCAGGCAGGCAGGCAGGCAGGCCAGGCGGGAGGGCGGGCCCATACTTTAGAACTTCTCCCCAGCCCAATTTCCCATAAAAGTTCACTGTTGGCAATGGAGTAAATGCTTCTAGGAATTGGCAGTAAGGCATGATTCGGGTTGCAGGGAGCAACATCAAAGCAAACAATAACAATACACACCTCAGGCTGGGCCAGTGGTTCATGCCTGTAATCCCAGCATTTTGAGAGGCCAAGGCAGTTCACTTGAGGCCAGGAGTTCGCAACCAGCCAGAGTAACATAGTGAGACTCTGTCTCCCTCAAAAATTAAAAAATTAGCTGGGCATGATGGCACATGCCTGTAGTCCCAGCTACACAGGAGGCTGAGGCAGGAGGATCACTTGAGCCCAGAAGGTCAAGGCTGCAGTGAGCTATGATTGTGCTACTGTACTCCAGCCTGGGCAACAGAGTGAGACTCTGCTTCCAAAAAAAACATATACACATTTCAGATATCCAACAAAGTGAGAAGATCCCTGAAAAAGACAAAGACTTTCTGAGGTGTACAGAGATATGGATAATTATTTTAAAAGTCAATTTTCATATCTTCAACTTTATTTGTACATCTTCCTAGAACTGACCTGCCTGAGAACCTGGGGGAGGATTAGCCTGTTTCTCTTTCATTCCTTCCCCTCCACAGCTGTTCCGTACTGTAGGGTTTCCACTTCAGGAATAAAAGACTCACCTGTCACACACTGTGAATTGAATTATGGTGTAAAAACTTCCAGGATGACACAGAATGGGACATTCCAAACACTGGTATAGGTGAAGCCTCCCTCAGTCATCATGTTCATTCTACTGGAGAATGGGGAGGCAGAAGTGAAGACTATTTCTTTTAACCTTACCTTTTCCACCCCTAATTATAGTCAAAGAATGAAGCACTTCTGAGAGAGGAGCCTGGGAAGGCAAAGCAACAAATGTGGGTAGAAATGGAAAGAGTGTCACTCTTATTCCATCCAGGTGACAACACCCAGCAAGATTCCAGGCCTTTTCTATGTATCTCACAATAGGAGATGTTTGTAAAAAACAAAACAGAGTGTGCTGAGAAACACCAATTTGCTGCAAAGCCAGTCTTTCTGCATTTTCACCGTTTTCAGTAATAACGGTTTAGCGTGAAGATCTATAGATGAGATACTTATTGCATCCTATTGTCTACCTTTTAGGCCCACCTTTGCATGCCAGCCAACCAACTGCATTCCGGGGTAACCTCATTATCACTCATCTTCTACCCCAGTGCCTTTCTGCTGCTGCCATGTGGGATGCCACATTTGATGTTTGCATAAACCTGGAAGTGGGGTAGAATTAATATCTCATGAGGTGACCCTTGACCAACAGTAACAAGACCCAAAGTCTAAATACTCCTCTAATACATCCCTCGGGTGGGCAATTTTGAGGCATATCTGACACGGTTCCTCAAAGGGTCCCTAAGAGAACTGAGCTGCAGTTGCCCACAGCGGTGACCCAACTCAATAACATTCCCCTTTGATTAGCTTTTCCTTCTTCTTTCTTTCAACCCTTCCTATCTCCCACTCCCATTCCTTGGGAATCACTTCTCAAAATAAGCCATCTGCATGCAACACCTTGTTTCAGGCTCTGCTGTTTGGGGGAACCCAGGCCAAGGTGTCTTCGTTACATATTTTGCATGATTTCAGAAGAAAGGGTCAAAATTTCCGTTATCACTTCTGTAGAAGGACAGTATAACTTTGAGTATAAAGAATATATGGTAATAGCTAAGTTAACGTGTTTTTTTAAATATTATTCACATAGGTAGAAGAAACATTTTATTAACCTTTGCCAAAGCATTATTAGATGCTATAGGCTGGGCGCGGTGGCTCATGCTTGTAATTCTGGCACTTTGGGAGGCTGAGGCAGGTGGATCACCTGAACTCAGGAGTTTGAGACCAGCCTGGCCAACATGGCAAGATCCCATCTCTACCAAAAATACAAAAATTAGCTGGGCGTGGTGGCACGTGCCTGTAATCCCAGCTACTCAGGAGGCTGAGGCAGGAGAATTGCTCGAACCCGGGAGGCAGAGGTTGCAGTGAGGCGAGATAGCACCACTGCACTCCAGCCTGGGCAACAAGAGTGAAACTCTGTCTCAAAAAAAAAATTTATTAGATGCTATAAACAGATATTCGTTTTTCATTCAGGCACAAGTCTCCCATTTGTCTGCATTTGTCAATTACTTCCATGCTTATATAATCCAGACTTTAGAGTTTAAGATTAAAATAAAAGGATTGTTATAGGTGTCTATCATAAGTCATGTACTGAGAGCAATATTTAATCCATCTTTTAATTTAGTGCATCTTTTAACTTAAAACATCTTTTATAAGCCCTATAATTAATAATGGTCTATAGTTTTTATGTCAATTTTTACAAAAATATAAACCTATAGTCTTAAAACAGAATATCCTCCTTTATGCAGTTGTCAGACAAAATGTTTCCATATCATATTCTAGTATATAACAAATTAAATCCTAGAAAACCAGCTTCATTGAATTAGAATTAGTTTCTCTTTTGAGGATTCAAATCTCTTCTAATTCTGTCAAATATATAATTGTAAAAATTTATTTTCCATTAAAACTTAATATTAGAATTTATATATAATAATTCTCAGGTGTCATGACTTTTAAAGACTTTTGAGATAACTTCCTAGATTAATTGAAATTTGGCATTAATATATAGATCTCTGCTCAGAAAAAAAATGGGTACATTCCTAAAGTACAAAGCATCCAATTTATGGAGTTATTTTTACCCCAGTTTTATGTCATTTTAGCACCATAAACAAGGGTCTCTAAGTTAAAGACTAATGGGAATAATAGCTAATAAGTTGTATTAAAGTCTTTTTAATACATTTCCTAGATATTGAGAAATTAAATGATTTGCAAAATCAGAGGGTTTCCAATGCTTGCATTTTACAAAATTATATGAGGTCATTATGAGGTCATCAGCTGCCAAATAATTAAAAATACTTTTGATTATGAATTACTATATTGTTCTGGCATACAACTTAGAGGGACTTCAAATAACTGAATGATAGTCCTATCTCAAAACTTCTTCCATTCCACCAACTTTTGCCAGCAAGTTTTCTCAGCACCCACCCCTAGGTTAAGAAAGAAAGGGAAAAAGAGAGTGAGGAAGAAGGATGGAGGAGGTGGGGAGGGAGAGAGGGAGGAGAAAACTGAAGGTGAATTCTGTCCCATTATAGTGATAAGCAATATTCATCTGTAGATTGACAAACTGATGGGGGAAAATGCCATCTTTATCCATTTCAATAGGAGATGCATTTTCAATAAGCTTTACACTTTATATTTTATAATTATGAATTTTGCAATACATTTATATGCTTTTGATGAAGTTTACACAAGTAATTTTGTAGACAATTCAGCACATTAAAAACTGTTAGCAGTTACAGACTCATCAAGGGTAGTAACAGCTCTTTAATTTAAATGTGCAGGCATACTTTTATTGTCATAGCAGTGTGCTTCTAGGAAGCAATTTTAGCAATCCAGGCTTGAGATGATTAGGTCACAGACTGATGTGACTTTAGATGTAGAAAGGAAGGAACAAATCTCAGATATTTTTTAAAAGATCCTAAAGGCACAATGACTTACAGGATATGGGAGATGAAATTAAAGAAGGTATCAAAGAAGACTCAGGAATTTTGACTCTGGGTGCTGGGAGAACTGTGATTTCAGTGACCTGATAATGATTAAGCCACTGCTTTTAGGAAGCTAAGGCTTGTGAGGGTAAGTCAAAACTAGTGTTCAACATGGTCTTAAAAATGCAGAAGATAGGATAGCAGGGGGCTGGTAGTCAGAGCATGGGTGAGCTTCATATCTCCCGGCATCTTTGTTTTGTTTTTCTTTTTTAATATTTCAGCAATCTTGGACCAAATTAGGCAAGCTTAGACCTTGCAGCTAGGCTCCATCTATATATAATGGTCATCTCTATTTAGATTATTAGTGACCTCTAACATCATTTTAATTTGAAAAAGTCATTATGATTTTATTCTTATTTTTCACAACACTCATTGACTAAAAGCTTAAGCACCAACCGTGCCCACTTTTCTCAGGAATCCTGCGGCTTCACGGTTCTAAAGAGAAAGTACCAATTTTGCTAAATCTTCCCAGCTATTCTGTATAAAGCCATTCCCCAAGAGTTAAAATGCTAAATCACAAGCACTTCCCTGCTTTCAGACGTGACTCATTCTTCAACTCCAGACCTGAGGGGTTGATGTTTTTTACAAAATGTAATGCTTTTCAAAATGCATTTTTTAGAGCTGTGCACCTCTCTCTGTGTAATTACATGCCACGTGACTCAAGTTTGAGATGCATTTTTTTCTTCTCCCCAGTGACGTCTGCTTATAACCAACTTCTCAACCTTGTCTTATTGTTAAACATTTTATTTTAAGTGACACCAACAGCATTTTAATTTTACTTGAAAAGATGTCAAAATTAAAACAATAAGATGGGCTGGTTCACTTTAGCTGCTGTAGTACCATGTTGTGTATAAGTCCATTCTCACACTGCGTAATTCATGAAAAAAAGAGGTCTAATTGACTCACAATTCTGCAGGCTGTACAGAAAGCACGGCTGAGAGGCCTCAGGAAATTTACATTCATGGTGTAAGGCGAAGGGGAAGCAAGCACCTTCTTCAGAGAGCGGCAGGAGAAAGAAAGCGTGAAGGGGAAAGTGCCGCACACTTTTAAACCATGAGATCTCGTGAGAACTCACTCACTATCACGAGCAGAGCAAGGGGGAAATCCACCCCCATGATCCAATCACCTCCCACCAGGCCCCTCCTCCAACACATGGGCATTACAAGTCAACATGAGATGTGGGTGGGGACACAGAGCCGAACCGTATCATTGTTGTTTTAAGAAAACTACATTTCATGGCTCATGTAATGGTCCATAGTTTCATCTGCTTTTAATAGTCTTTCCCGCCGGGCGCGGTGGCTCACGCCTGTAATCCCAGCACTTTGGGAGGCCGAGGCGGGCGGATCACGAGGTCAGGAGATGGAGACCATCCTGGCTAACGCAGTGAAACCCCGTCTCTACTAAAAATACAAAAAATTAGCCGGGCGCAGTGGCGGGCGCCTGTAGTCCCAGCTACTCGGGAGGCTGAGGCAGGAGAATGGCGTGAACCCGGGAGGCGGAGCTTGCAGTGAGCCGAGATAGCGCCACTGCACTCCAGCCTGGGCGACAGAGCGAGACCCCCGTCTCAAAAAAAAAAAAAAAAAAAAAAAAGTCTTTTCCTCATTGCAAGTTCTATTTCATAAATTTGTCTACTTGACAATAGGTTAAGATTCCTGCCATCATTTGTTTACCTACTTTATTGTATAAATCATTAAATGTTGACCAACGAAATTATGCTTACTTCTGCCTCTACTAAACTTCAAATATTATGATTCTTGAAGCATATGGCAAAGATTATTTTGCTTTTTTGTAATTTCAAATGGCTCCCCCCAAAAATAATTTTTCCGTTCTTTGTTAACAGTGCCTCAAATGGCTTTTTTTTCCTGCTTCTCTTTCCCATTCCCTGTAATCATGCTTTGTCTTCCTCACTCTACTTCATTTAGCTAACTGCAACTCCACCTATATTTCTTCTAACATCTGGTGTAACTTCATTCTTCTCCCATTACCACATATATTTTTCCTTTTCACTTATCTCCTTCAAGGAGGGAGAAAGAGGTAGGATGGGTAAGGGAGGGAGAGAGAGAGAGAGAGAGGGCAGGCACCTACAATGAACATTGACAGTTCTGCACTCCTCTTCATGCTTGGACCGCTCGAAGGCCCATTCAGCTGTGTGTCCTTCAAATAAATTGTGCCTTATTTAGCCAAAGGCATTTACTGATGACATCCATCCATACACATATTTCTCTCTTCATTATTGTTACGGGAGTGAGTTATGCCTTCCTGTTCATTCGACTAGAACTAATAGAAAGGTGATATTAAAAATTATTATTTTTACCCTAAGCAAGTCAATCTTTCATGAGGTCTAGAGTAGGCTAAACTCCTACATATAAAGAATAAAGCCATGTGTGCCTTTGCTAATACTGCAGAATGGCTTCTTGGGTTTTCAGTATTGCTTTAGGAATGTGGAAGCAGTGAAGTCGCAATATCTGAAACTCTATCATTTATATAGATAGCTGATTTCAAGATTGTTTTTAAAAACCTTGACTTTGAAAGTCACTTCTATGGAGCTTATGGAAAATGATCGTTTAAATTTAGTTTTTAACAAAGAAAAAATCTTTGGCTCTATACTACATTTCTAATATCATTAAAAATTTCATTAGGAATTTTAAATTTGCTTTTTAACATATCATTCTAACATGTCATTTTAATGGTGACATTTTTTAGAGCATTAAATTTATTCTCTATTTCTGGGACTCTTTTTTATACTAAGAATCATACAATCTTAAACACTCTTGGTAACTCATTCTATTTCTTTCTCATTGGAGATCAAGAGAATTAATTTGTCTAGAAGCCAAAGACATTTCGTAGAGTTGATGAATTTTCAAGGATACATGTGCAAAGGCCAATCCTGTGAAATTATGAAATATTCACACTTCATCTTGAAATATGCAAACTTTGTGCTTTGGCCTGTTGGTTTTGAACATTTCTCCCAACTTTAAAATGATCCTTTTTTCATCTGCCAAGCATCCACTAACTTCATGCTCACTCTGTTATAACTGCCTTTTGGAAGAAAATTTGAGACTAATTCTCAATGGACTGTAATTATTGTTTTCCAGGTGGAGATGTGAGGCCAGGAGCTGCTCCAGCTGAATTGAATATAAGTCTTTAAGCTAAAAGATTCAATCTTCTACATAGGAATTTCAGAGTACTATTGGAACAAGATGTGTCAATGTGAAGATCTCCAGCTGTTAATGTTCACTAGGCTCTCATGCCAGCCTGTATTTTCTGGGCCCTTAGCCTGTGATACAGGCTAGGCCCTCCTACATGGGGTCCTGCCACTTCTCAGGAAGAGGACTTACCCGGCATACTTTGTGCCTTTAGATAAAACCGCTACCATTCTATCACTTTGGAGATTTCAAATTACAAAGAAACTATTCATGAGGCTTTCTCCTTTTTGTGTATTCTTTCACTGGAAAAGTAGGCCCTGGCCTTAGTGAAGATAAACCTAATGTGGGAGGTGGGGAGGTGAGAGCCAAGTTACAATATAATAAGATAAAGGTTTTATAGAGAGGACAGTGGTATCCTCTAAAAACAGAAAAGGAGCACTAATCCAGGATTAGGAGGTCAAGGAGGGCTTTCTGTCAGAGGAAGCTCAGCTGAGCCCCAAAAGACCAATCGGGATTAGCCAGGCAAGGAGGATCACAAATATAGTGAGAAGAGTAAGGTTGCAAAGGCTCTGAAGTGAAAGTGACTATGTTTCACTTGGACAGCCACTTCCAAAATACAGAGAGTGAATGGGGCAGGAAAAGGGAGAGAAGGGAGCTGGACAGGAAATCAAGGCTCAGGTCCTGGATGACTTAGTAAGTCGCTTTAAGGAATTTAAACTTAACCCTAAGACAACAGGAAACAATTGTAGGGTTTTCAACAGAAAAACGTCATGCAAGTTTATATTCTAGAAAGTCCCTTCTGGCAGCAGTGTGAAGACTGGGTTAAAGACGGGCAAAACTAGAGTCAGGAAGACCAGTTAGAAGGCGGCTGCAGCAATAACTCAAGCCAGCAATGCTGAAGGCCTGAGCCAAGATAAGAAAGGCTGAAGTGAACAGCAAATAGCCACAAGCATTCCTAGATAATAGGAGCCATAGGACTTGGTAATTGAGTGGACAAGGTGGTGATCAGGAAGAGAAACCGGCGTTCCTAGATAGTAGGAGCCATATGACTTGGTAATTGAGTGGACAAGGTGGTGGTCAGGAAGTGAAACAAGCATTCCTAGACAGTAGGAGCCACAGGACTTGGTAATCGAGCAGATGAGGTGGTGGTCAGGAAGAGAAGTGCCAGCGATGACAAAGGAATGAAGGGGGTATCACACCTGGATAAGGGCTTTCAGAGGGGCAATAATGAGTTCACTTTGTGTCATGCTATGTTTGAGATTCCTGAAGAAAGCCTGCTGCAATGCACTACCTAACCCCAGGGGGATGCCAGTCACATAGACTACCATGAGAATGACCCCCCATGGAAGGACAGGGACCAAACTATGTAAATGTATATGGTGGCTCTGCTGGGGCTCAGGAGAGAGATTCTTGTTGGAGATGAGGACTTAAGGGTCATCAGCATGTAGATAGTATTTGAAGCTCAAGAGTAAATGAATTCCTCCTACTTCTCAAAGAGAGAATGTAGAGTAGGAGGGTCAAGAACCTAAAGAAACTATTATATTTACTAAACAGATGAAAAAAGAGAAACTCACAGACAAAAGTAAGAAAGAAGAATCGGTAGGAAGAGAGAAGGCAAAGAAAAGGAGTCACCAACACCAAGGGAAGAGGTACTTGCAGTTTAGGTAAATTGCCACCAGGTGGAGTGTGGTCTCTGAGTAAGAGTCTTCTCAAAAGCAGCTGCGAGGGTGTTGGGCTGGCCAACAGATTCGCACACCTGTAGGTCTTGTGGTTCGTATCTCTTAACAGACCCATAAAAAATGGAGGAACAAGAGTTTCATGTAATAATGTAGAGAAGAAGAGCATTGATAGAGGAACAAAACTAGGTTCTAGTCTCACCTTTGCTACTCTCTAGCAAGAAAATCTTAGGTAAATCTCTTTCTCTCCCTGTCCTCAGTTTCTGCATATTCAATATAAAAAGGTTGGATTAGGTGTTTTAAAGCCCTTCCAACTATAATATTATGATGAGAAAATAACAGGCCGGGCGCAGTGGCTCACGCCTGTAATCCCAGCACTTTGGGAGGCCGAGGTGGGTGGATCACCTGAGGTCAGGAGTTCGAGACCAGCTTGACCAACATGGTGGAACCCCGTCTCTACTAAAAAATACAAAAATCAGCCAGGCGTGGTGGCGGTACCTGTAATCCAAGCTACTGGGGAGGCTGAGGCAGGAGAATCGCTTGAACCTGGGAGGCAGACGTTGCAATGAGCCGAGATCACACCATTGCACTCTAGCCTGGACAACAGAGCAAGACTCCACCTCAAAAAAAAAAAAAAACAAAGAAAGAAAAGAACAATAACAAACACATATACAGCACATATCTGGGTCTGATACTGTGTCAGGAGCTAGAGATGAAAATAAAAAAAAAAAGAATAGAACAAAGTCACTTCCTGCCATTGCAGGTCTAATACTCTAGCGGGTTAGATACACTTGTAAGCTCAGAGTCACAGCAGTGTGGCAAGTGATGTAATGGTTGTACACACTACTATGGAAGCACAGAAAAGAAGCTAACTGCTCTCAAGTCTTCATGGAGTAGGTGACCCTTGAATGAACTTTAATCATGGGTAGAAGGCTTCAAGAGATCATGGTGAAAGGAATCTTATCCAGAAGATATAGACTGTGCAAAGGCCTGGAGGTATATGACAGCGCTATGTTTTCAGTTCAATATGGCTAAAATATAAGCACATGGAGGGAAATAGATGTAACCAGAAAAGTGGACATGGACCAGAGAGGTCACTACAGGTCTTAAGTATTATAGTACATGTGTGTTTAAATCTTATTTAGTTAACAAACATTTCTATAGAGATTGTGGTATACTCCAAGTACTGTTTTAAGTGCATTATGAATATTAATTCATTTAAACCTTGCAAAAATCCTACACAATAAATACTACCATCGTCCCCCATTTTACAGTGAAGAAACTGACACAGAGGTTAAGTAACTAACCCTTGTATAAACATAAGCCTCTCAAGTGATGGAGTTGGGGTTCCAGCCGAGGCTGTCTGGCTCCCAAGCTCCTGTTCTTAACAATGCCATATGCTATAGGAGGAGAGAGCCAATTAGATTTAACTGGGAATAACAGCATCTAATTTGCATCTCAGAAAAGTCAACCAGCAGGGGCGCAAAGGCTGAAATGGAAGGAATGACATGCGGGGGAGGGGGTGGGACGCTGTCACAGTATCTCAGGTAAAAGACAACATGTGCCCAAAGCAGTGGAAACTTTGAAAAGGAGGAGACTTACAAGGTGTTTAACAAGTATTCTTTCTGGGCCTGGTGACCAATTGAATGGAAAAGAAAAAGAGCAAGAGAAATCCAAAATAACACCCAGGTTCCTGACTTAGAGGACTGGGCAAATGAGCAGATATCACATATGTGACTAACTGAAATTGAGAATAGAAGAATTTTGATCATATTGAGTTCGATATATAATAGACCATTAAAAATGTAGGGTCTGGAACTCAGGAGGAATGTCTGGATATTGACTTGGGACTTATTAAAGTGAATGGTGGGCCGGGAGCAGTGGCTCACGCCTGTAATCCCAGCACCTTGGGAGGCTGAGGTGGGTGGATCACCTGAGGTCAAGAGTTCGAGACCAGCCTGGCCAACATGGCGAAACCCCGGTCTCTAGTAAAAATACAAAAAAAAAAAAAAATTAGTGTGGTGTTGCATGCCTATAATCCCAAGTATTCCAGAAGCTAAGGCACAAGAATCGCTTGAACCCGGGCGGCAGAGGTTGGCGAGGTTGGCAAGGTTGGCAGTGAGCCGAGATCGCGCCACTGCACTCCAGCCTCAGTGACAGAGCAAGACTCCATCTCAATAAAAAAATAAAAATAAAGTGAATTATGGTTGAAGCAATAGAAATGAGTAAGGTCATCAGGAGAGAATGGGTAGAAAGAGAAGAAAGCTAAAATCAGAACCTTAATGTTGAACAAGCAAAAGAAAAAAAAAATAAGGATAAGGCTATATAAGATAGGAGGAAAGCCAGGTAAGAATGGTACCACATTTTCATTATTTAATTGTTTGGTTGTTGTTTCTAAAAGATTACTTGAAGTTGTGTGTTAGAATAGAGGTATAATATATGATGTCACATGTCTATAACTTTATAAGGTCTTTGTGGGCAGGAATCATATTCAATTCATCTGTATTTCTCCATACCTAGAATAAAACAGATCCTTGATAAATACTTGGTAAATAAATAAATCTTCTTAATTTGTAGGCTTTGACATTCTAACAGATTTAACGTTTTCTCACTTATCTTGGATACCCACACCACCTTGGCAAAAGATCTCATCCACTATTCCAAAAGATGAACAGTGTATCAATTTGGTATATCAAATACTTATTCTTAAATGTGCCCAAAAATGAATACATTAACTGTGGGTCTAAATTCTGCATCAATCCCTTAAAAAAGTCATAAGGCGTCTCACCACCCTTTCTTATGCCAAATTCAGGCAGTAAGCTTTGCAAAGACTATGGGCTCTGGAGTCAGGCAAATCTGATTTCAGCCCACAGCTCTGGCAGGCCCAGTTCTTTGATTTTGAGCAAGTCACTTGATCTTGCTAGGCCTTGGTTTTCTCAGCTGCAAAATGGTGATATTATGTACAGCATAGGGCTGCTAGGAGGATGAGATACACAAAGTCCCTAGACTGGCTGCCGTCCTAAAGTAGATGCTCAGTAAGTATTAGACCCTTTCTCCTCTTTGGCAGTATAGCAACTGAATCATATTCACTGAAAAAAAAAATTTGAATTTGTAAGAAATGCTCCCCAGAAGCTAAAGGCTTCCTCTGAGGCTTTACTCCTGCAACGTCATCAAGAGCCACCAGGTGGTGGTGGTGCCTGTTAGGGGACCCTAGGTCAGGCGTCCTTCCCAGCAGGGTAATTACCTTCTCAGTGCTAAGCATCAAATTCTATTTCTCATATGCTTCTTTCCATAGTATTTTATATACAACCTTACTAAAATAACAACCTCTACAGATTAAACATAAACCACCCCAACATGTGCATATTAATGATAATATATACAATTTGAAATAAGATTTAATGAAAAAGAAATACTTAGGTACACATCACATAACTTCCTGATTCCCTTAAATGGTTTTTAATTATTTTTTGACTTAATCTAACCTTGATTTTAATTCCCTCACATTACTTGTGATTCATTCTCATATTGGCAGAAGGCTAATAGCTTTTGGACTGTGCTTAACCTTAGAATTTGGCAAAACACTATGGAAAAAGCCCTTTGTCCTTTTCACCTGCTGGGAGATTAAATCCCCTAATTAGCAGGCTTAGAGGAGAGTCACTTCAGCCAGTACTTAAGAAAATCTTGCCCTTTGTCTGCCGTTTCAGAGCTCAGCTGTCTTGGTGCTTCCTGTATTTATCCACGCTGAAATAGAAAATTACTCACCGGTCTCTCCAAGCCCCATGACCATTGACTTCTAATCAAAACCCTGTTCCCAGAGGTCCCCTGGCTCCTGCAAGGGCACCCTGATTCTCCATGCTTGCTAACAAAGCCACTCCACAAGACCACTCTGCTTTCTTTTGAATGCTGATACAGGGTCAGGTTTGGGTTGCTTTGTGTCCTGCAGTTCTTGGCACCCTGTGCCCGTTTAAGCCCTCTGCTTATAGATGTCAAGCATGTTTCCTAAACTTTTAAGCAATTTTGAGTGCTAAAAACAAGTAACTAAAAAAAAAAAAAATTAAGGTGTCATTGTCTTTAGGGCCCTCAAACTGCTCTATGTGATGATGTAATGGTGGATACATGTCATTAAATATTTATCTAAATCCATAGAATGTACAATAGCAAAAGTGGACCCTAATGTAAACTATGGACTCTGGGTGACAATGCGCCAATCAATGAATGTAGGTTCATCAGTTGTAACAAATGCATCACCCTGGTGGGGATGTTGATAGAGGGCGAGGCTGTGCAGGGGCAGGGGAGTAAAGGTACTTTCTCTGTACTTTCCACTCAATTTTGCTATGAACATAAAACTGCTCTTTTAAAAAGTTTTTTTTTAAGAAAACCCTGACAAATAGATCTGAGGAAGGCCACGAGGAGTGGGTTTTTATATTTGTATGTCTGATCATAAAAGCTATAATAAAAGCCCATAAAAAGCAAAAAAAATAAAAATAAAAATAAAATCACGCATGGGTAAAAGGTCTGTTCCAAGTAAAAGACCAGTGGAATTTGATACATTACAGTGTGAAAAGTTCATGCATATGGTTTAATAGTCCACATTGTAACTAACTTTTAAGAAACTATCACTTGTTGAATTCTGTTATAGTCTATGAGAACAGCTACAATTACCTGAAAAAGATATTCAAATACACCTCCTTTTTCCAGCTACCTCTCTCTGTGAGGTCAAATTTTCTTCATATTCTTAAACCAAAATGACAAATTTCTGCAGAATGCAAAAGATATGGGAATCCACGTGTCTTCAATTAAGTCAGATATTGAATAGATTTGTGAGAATATAAAATAATGTCACTCTTGTAACTAATTTTTCTGGTTTTGGAAAATATACTTTCCACAAGAATATTTATGTTAAAATGTAATGGGCTTATTATTTTTAAGTAAATAAATAATTTAAAAATGTGAAAAAAAATCTTTTTTTTTTTTTAATAGTGTCACTGCTCTGACAGTTTCTACACTGTGATGTAGGTCCTGGAGGCGGCTGTGGAGAAGAAAACAGGAGGGTGTGTTTATCAGATTGTTATTAAGCACCCACTCTGTGCCGGTAACTGTTGCTGGACGAGGGGATGAATTAGGCAGATCTGGCCCCTGCCCTTGGAAATCCTGCAGTTGAAACAGAAGGGAAAAAAAATTAAACTAAGCCACCTAATTAATTACTTAATTTCACTGTGATAAATGCAAAGAAGGTGCTCTGAGAGTGGTTCCCAGGGAGCAGCTGGAAAGGGCTATTCCTCTTCCCCGTCATTCATTCTTTCCTTCTTCAACAGCAAAATGTTGAGTAGTTGAGTTAGAGCAGTAGGTATCAGAGCCGGGCACGGTGGCTCACGCCTGTAATCCCAGCACTTTGGGAGGCTGAGGCGGGCGGATCACAAGGTCAGGAGATCGAGACCAGCCTGGCAAACATGGTGAAACTCCGTCTCTACTAAATATATAAAAAATTAGCCAGGCGTGGTGGCAGGCACCTGTAGTCCCAGCTACTCAGGAGGCTGAGGCAGGAGAATGGCCTGAACCCAGGAGGCGGAGCTTGCAGTGAGCCGAGATTGTGCCACTGCACTCCAGCTTGGGCGACAGAGCGAGACTCCATCTCAAAAAAAAAAAAAAAACAGAGCAGTAGGTATCAGTCCCTCACCCGTTCACCACCCCAATCATGTTAAAAGCAGGCCTTTAAGACCCAGATAGCTGAAATGTTACTTCTGTGACCATCTTTGAACTGACACCTGTGCTGACCTCAGCTGGGCCCCTCCAAAGAAGCAATGCTGTAGTTCCAAAGCCATCCAGAAGTCAAGATGGTTCAGCCTCCCCCAGCTGCCCTCAAGCTTCTAATTTATGTACTTGCAAGCCACATGGCAAGCCAGGCAGAAGGCCATCAGACTCTTTGTCTCCACCTCTCTCCTCTGTTCGTTCTTACCTCTCCTTCCCTCCTGCCTTTCTCCAAAACGTCTTTTCATTTGGTGTGCAACAGAGAAGAGGGAGAAATGTAGAGCTATATCACATAATAGGAAATTGTATCTTGAGAGTATTTTCATCAGACTCCGTAATTGTCATCTTTTGAAAAGAACATGTGTAGGGAAATAGACATTCTCATCCATTGTTGGTGAGATGAAAGAACCTTTCAAGACAGTGATCTGCCATCTTCCAACAAAACAAAAGTATCCAAGCCATTTTGACCAAGCCATTCTACTTTTGGAGCGTTTCTTTAAGAAATCAAGAATACATCCATGAGGATATTAATTGCAGCACTATTTAATATAACAAAGAAATAGATAACTCAATGTCCATCAATTAGAGATGGTTAAATTAGGGCTCCTTTCTACAATGAAGTATTATATATTTGTCAAAAGACCAGATGGAGAACTGTATTAACTCAGTGGAAAGAAGGCTATGACACAGAAAGTAAAAACATTATTCTAGATACACTGTAGAACAGTGTTCTAGAATATCTAGAAGATACAGTGTTCTGCAGTGTATCTACTGTATCTAGAATAATCTCACATTATTTAAAAACAGAGTGCTTACGTATGTGTTTGATATGCATTATTAAAAGTCTGGAAGGCTATGCAGAGTAAATTTTACCCCTAAGGAGTAAAATTTAGGAGAAAGGAGCTTTTATTCCCTATATGAGAGAGCAGCACTTTGGGAAGCGAAGGCAGGTGATCAGTTCAGTCCAAGAGTTTGACACCGGCCTGGGCAACATGGGGAAACCCTGTATCTACAAAAAATATGAAAACTTTGCCAGGCTTGGTGATGCATGCCTGTAGTCCCAGCTACTAGGGAGGCTAAGGTAGGAGAATCACTCAAGCCTGGGGAGGTTAAGGCTGCAGTGAGTTGTGATCACATTCACTGCACTGCAGCCTGAGCAATAGAGCAAGACCTTGTCTCAGAGAAATAATAATAATTTCATTTAATTTGACTGTTGCTTATAGTGAGCATGAATTACTTATTAAGGAGAAATTAACAAACCAACATTTAAAAAAAATTTATCTGCTCTAGAACAGGATAGTAATAGTAGACTCGTCGGTCTACTTAACGTAATGTTGATGCTTATTTTATGACAGTTCAGTATTTAATTGAAAACAGCTCCTTTTTTTCAGAGCCTCTCTTTTTCCCTATACTTGGCAGTTCATATAAAATACGTATCTGGAGATTGTAGAGATGGAAAGGTAGAGAAGAAGGCACAGCAAAAGGAAAGGGATTCACAAAGAAAATAAGGACTTATCCAAATTTTTAAAAAGCCATCAAAATTATGTTTGGGGGAAAATTTAAAATAAGGTGAAATATAGATAATGAAAAATGCCAAATTCAAAGATGCATAATTAGTATGACTATTCTGAGAAATAAATGGCCTCTTCCAGCCTCCAAAAAGGATACTGGAGAAAAGTAAACCAAAATGTTAACAATGACAGACTCTGGATGGTATGACTTTAAGAAACGTTTCATTCCTCACATTCTAAACCTTTTTTAATGAATTGATTAGTTGTATCATGTAAACAGTCACACTTTTATTGAAGGCACGCCTATCATCACCCAACATTTTACCCTCCCAAAATACCAACACAAGTACAGGTTGTAACACAAGGCAGAGCTGTGTCTAGTTTTAGTAGAGATGGGGTTTCACCACATTGTTCAGGCTGGTCTCGAACTCCTGACCTCAGGTGATCCACCCACCTCAGCCTCCCAAAGTGCTGGGATTACAGGCATGAGCCACCGTGCCCGGCCCCTAAACTCACTTTTGAAGCCTGGGTATCTTGAGTCTGAGAAGCCCATTAAGTTTTGAGCCTTCCCTTCTCTCTGCATTAGAGCAACAACTTAAAGATTCCTTTATTTTCACAAGGAATACAGTCTAGGGAAGTAAATTTCAATAGGCTGTTTGATCTGTGACTGGGAGACAGAATATAATATTCATTGAAAGTATTCAGTACCTCAGGGTAAGAATCCATAACATAATGTAGATTGTCTTTATTGCTTAAATTTTATTCATAAAGTTGAAGTGAGAAACTGTAGGAGTTCAACAAAAAAATCAATCGCGGCCCCTCAAATCCCTTGCTTTGGATTTACTGAATTTTTTTTTTTTTGGCCAGAAGGGACTCACACCCAGTATTTTCTGGTGAGAATTTATGTTGGCCTGCTGTTCTTGGTTTGGTTTGTTTGCTAACAGTTGCCAGCTGTGCAAGCTCCCTCTATAATTTCTTGTAACCTTTTCTTTTTTTTAAAGAATAGAGCCTCAAATATATGGTTTCATGATAAGGTCTCAAGTTCTCAAGTTCTATGTAAAGTGGAAAATGTTCAGTACCAATGCACATACCAAGGAAGGGTGGGACTGCTTTACTCCCTTTAACCACTTTTAAGTTAGAAAGATGTCCTTCTGTCCCTGTAAGCCAGGTTTCTCTGAAACTGTCACAGACTCAAGAGAAGAGATGCTAGTCATTTTTTAACTTTGAAATCTATGAGTAAAAATAGCCCCGTCCCTAGATTCTTCTTCTTGAAAGCTTATCAAAAAGGGACTTCTGATCCCTAATCTTATCCTTTAATTCTCGATCACTGCATTTGATAAATAATCTATCTTGACAGTAGATCTGAAGAACTACGGGTAAGTGTTCCTTTACCTAAGAAGTGCTAGTCCTTTTTAATCTAAGTTTCTCCTGTTATCAGAATTCAAAATGTTATTGTTGCTTACTTTGCTTTTATAAAATATTTGACTTCTAGTAGCCCAAGTAGAGAAGAACTTATACTGATATGAGCCATGAGTTTAATATAAATATATGGTTTTTCTTTTAAGTTTTGCAGTTATTCGATAATTTTATAAATGAGGAAACTGAAGCTCAAAGATGTATGTAACTTGTGCAAGGAGAGGCCGCACTGGCGTTAATTGTAGAGTCAATTTCAAGTCTGTTTCCATCAAAAGTTCATGTTTTTTAGTTGTACCATGTTGTTTCTAACAACATAATACAAGAAAACCAATATTAATTGGCCACTTATGATACAACAGATGTTTTCAAGATATTCTTTTCATCCATAACCAAAACCTATTCTACTAGTAGTTATCCCCATTTTTATGGAAAAAAACTGGGGCTTAGAGAGGTTAAAAATGTGCCTATGACATAGTTTGCAGGAGGCAAATCCAGGATTGAACCCCAAGTCTATTTGTCTCCAGTGCCTCTACTTTCTATGCTATCATATATAGCATTTTACACGAATTCACTCATAAGAACAACTTCGAGGTGGGTACTATTATCATTCCCATTTTATAGATGAGAAAAATCAAGTTTCGAGACATTAACTAACTTGTCCCCCAAGTCTAGTTAGAGTGTAGGAAAAAGAGATTAAGTCCCAGGCCGGCTGACTTTGGCATTCTCAATCATTTAATGGACTATCCCCTCAGAAACACTTTTTAAGAATCAATGTTCTAACAAAAGCAAGAGAAATTTTCTTAGGTGTGTAAAATACAAAATGTAATTTTAAACACAAGTCTAGCTTAGAGAATGCTCCTCCAAAGCTGGGTGCGGTGGCCCACGCCTGTAATCCCAGCACTTTGGGAGGCTGAGGCAGGCGGATCATGAGGTCAGGAGATCGAAACCATCCTGGCTAACACGGTGAAACCCTGTCTCTACTAAAACATAGAAAAAATTAGCCAGGCGTGGTGGCGGGCGCCTGTAATCCCAGCTACTCAGGAAGCTGAGGCAGGAGAATGGCATGAACCCGGGAGGCAGAGCTTGCAGTGAGCTGAGATTGTGCCACTGCACTCGAACCTGGGCGACAGAGCGAGACTCCGTCATAAAAAAAAAAAAAAAAAGAATGCTCCTCCACAAATACCTCATACAAATTACTAATTAATGTTCCCAGAAGTTCCCATTAGTATATTGTCTCTCATTCCTCCTAACTATTGCATTAGTGAAACCTTGCAACTTCAGGGGAAACGGAGGGCAGCTCTGGAGTTGTATAAACAAGGACATTGTGCAATGAACCCTGTGGGTGCTGGTAAGGCATTTAGTATTCAGTCCCTCTGCATTTTAAGATTAGCTTACTCATCCTCAGGATTCTGGGTCAGGAAAATGCTCTGCCAAATGAAAGAATGGGCCATCCTTCATAGGTGAGGCCAGAGCCACTGACCCAGCATCAGGAGGGCATGGCTTTGCAATTGCCAGTTCAGTAGTGGTGATGAATTTGCACGTGTCTCTATGTGAGCTCTCGGCTCCTCTGGCCCATTGTGAGTAATGACAAGTACTTCGGAGGGCAATGGGATTCAAGGGCCATTGTTGTCATGATATACGAGATTAGCAACAATTTAAAACCTTAGCTACCTGGGAGCCTAAAACAAAGAAATAGAGCAGGATTTCATGCAAACTTAAACCCCATAAATGTGTGACCTAATTTCTCTCCAGCTTTGTCTGTGCAATAAAGGGAAGAGACAAGAAACTATTACAAGATGCTATGTTTTTAATGTCAGCAATGGCTCATTTTTCCAGGAATAGGATAAAACAGAACTCGAGCAGTGTACCATAAGCCTAGTCTAAGACAAGTTCTTTTTATGGATATGTGTTAGATTTATATACCTCCAACTTCTATGCTTTATAACAAGGCCATCCAGCATGAATCCCCTTATAGTGAGACAGATGCAATATTTCCTTCGAGTGGGAAGCAAGGAGGCAGAGGAGGGATGGCCGGCCTTATTATGCAAAGAAGCTATAATAAAGCTGCTTTTCAGCACTCCAAGTGGCCCCTTGAGAAGATGAGTAGTGAAGGAGAGCATGCAAAGTGCTATATGTCTATTTATCTAATAAAACCTGATTACAAGCAACAGGTGCACTAGCATATAAACTACCAAGGAGTCATCAAGAAATTCTGAAGAAAGCTGCATCAAATTGCAAATGATATGACTTTCATCTAATGATAGGTATTAATTATACAGAGAAGACTGTGATAGGCCCTTAAAATGGGTGTTTGCATCCTCATTATTCAGTATTTCATGTCATGATGATAAAGCAATAATGACAGAATAATAAACAAGCTTCTTATTTATTTATTTGCCTCATTGAGAACGAGACCTTGAAAGTCAAATCTCAAAGTTTAGAGGAAGTGGGTAAAAGACTTACAAAGACACCTGCAAAAGGTGAGCAGAGATGTCAGGGATGAGAAGAATAAAGAAGAGACCAACCAATAGATAGATGGGGGGATAAAACCAATAGATAGATGTTTTTCTCTATGATAAACACATTCCTAAAATTTAATCAGAATTAAGATGGCAATTTTCCCTTTTAGGTAAGAGCAGCATTTTGTTGATGTGTTTGAAAATGCCTAAACCCTTTGAAAGAACAATAATTCCTTTAGGTGACATGGTAGAGGGGCCGTGGTGATACTGAGGGGAAGGAACATATAAGGTCCCCTGTCTTCTATGCAACAGCACCTGTCACTTTTATGATTGCTAAAAGCTCTACCAGCTCATGAGGCCCTAGTAGATCACACAGCCAGGAAGTGGGAGATGAAGAGTGGGTAGGAAAGAGCTGGAAAAGCTGGAAGGACTGAGATTGCTTGCAAGGAGAGAAATGAAGGCAGGAAGTGGCGGGCGGAGAGGCAGGGAGAGTGGTACAGGGGAGAACACTGGAAGCAAACCAAACCACCACCACACATGTGCCAAGGGATGGCCACAACCTTCATCATGATAATTTACTAAATAGTGCCTCATAAAGATTAAGGAAAATGGGGAGAGGAATGTGGTGAGTTGGGAGAGATGGGGAGTCACAAAGATTGACTACCTGGAATCCTAAAATAACTCTCTCAGAAGAAACTCTGCCCAAAATGCCCCATTTGGTTTAACACAAATAAACCTGCACCCCGACACCATCCAGCCAGCCTCCTTCCTGCCTGCATGCCTGCCTCTTCAGTATTTCTCAATGCTTTGAACTCTCATCAGTTGAATGTTTTGATGTATTTTACGAAACATTGGAGAGTCTTGATTGCTTATGACTCAACTAATCTTGTCCTAATGAAGACAAGGAAAATATTTTTCTTTAAAGAAAAATAAAGTGACCTAATTGTGTATCCATGGTAATTTTTATTTGAATATTATCTCTGGAGACAAAGGCAGAGGAGTCATTTTGGGTGTTTACAAATTATGTTATTTGCATAAGGATCTAATCTCACCTAGTTTATCTGGTTATTGATATGGGCATGGAAAACCAAACTGGAAAAGATAGATGATGGATGAATGTGGAAAATCCATTAAGTTAGATCCCACTAATTCAGAAATGGTGATATATCCAGCCTTGAGAAAACGTACCTCCCATTTATTTAAACAGTAGGCAAATTAATAATGTAAAAATAGTAGAAGAAAATACTGTTTGACCTACTAAAGCAAACAATACCTCACCTTACTCAGATATCAAGTACTATACATGTCTAAGTTTCAAATAGGAAACTCATAGCCTATTTTTCATGAACACGGTCATGAAATAAGCCAGTGGCAGACTTTTTCTTTTAAAATTTGGACCAATCTCTTATTTATAAAGTAAATAAAAGCGTAGCTAGAATGCTTTGTCAACTTAAAAGGACACTCTCAATTTACATACAAGATGTATGTTGCTATGTTCTAAAATTAAATTTGCATTTACCTACTAGTTATCTTATTTCTGGATCCTGGGACACTTTATCCCAAGAAACAGAGTCACTTTGTTCAGCAGACTCCAAAGTTCCCTGATCTTTGGTGAGATGACTGCAGAATAAAAGACTTAATGATTGTCTGGAACACTGGTTTTTATGTGTACATGGAGTATTTTCACAAAACAGGTGTCAAGATGATTCAGGGCGATTATATCTTCTGAGTAGGAGGAGAACAAGGAGAACAGAGATGTGACACTATCACATTCACATTCCTTGATCCATTTTCACATCTTAAATATTTTAAAAAGCTGGGAGATCATTTTCTTTTTGTTTTTTGTTTTGTTTTGTTTTTGAGATGTAGTCACCCAGGCTGGAGTGCAACGGCGCAACATTGGCTCATTGCAACCTCCACGTCCCAGCTTCAAGTGATTCTCCTGTCTCATCCTCCTGAGTAGCTGGGATTACAGGTGCCCGCCACCACACCTGGCTAATTTTTGTATTTTTAGTACAGACAGAGTTTCACCACGTGGGCCAGGCTGGTCTCGAACTCCTGACCTCAGGTGATCCACCACCTTGGCCTCCCAAAGTGCTGGGATTACAGGCATGAGCCATTGTGTCCGGCCAAAAGCTGGGAGATCATTGGTAAAACCTGTCACTCACTCTATCTAAATTCCACAGGAACCTACTGGCTTATTTAGACTTTGGAAGATATGTATGATAGCTACAAGTTCTCCCTGAAATACTTCAAATATGAAAAGTCAAGAAGGGAAGCCAAGGTCCTTCCTCTTTTCACAAAATTTGCCTTGACTCACTCACCTATGTTCATTGATTCATTGGTTCCATGAATACTTACTGGGTCCTATTACATATACAGTAATTAGAAAAAGTGAAGATTTAGATTCCCTTCCTCCTAAAGTATGTATAGTATGGAGGTTCTGGGGTTAGGGGTAGCACTTCGAGCAAGATTTGAATGGAAGTAAACATAAAACATTAAGAAAAATAGAAAAACAGGCACATTTTCTATCTCTTCTTAAAAGAAGAAGCAAAATTGAGTAGAAGGAGAGAAAAATCATTTCCTAGGAGGAGACTTGAGAAAGTATTTGGAGAATATGGTGGTAGTTGAGGTGGATTTGCAAAATTGTTTTCAGCATGACACGAAAGTGAACTGTCCAGGAGAGAGTAACTTGAGGAGCTAAGAAATTGACATGGAAAACTAAAAATATAGGGTGATGTTAAAATCATAACTTGGGATTTAGGTACATGAAAGGAAATATTAGCAAAGACTTTGGCAAGGTAGAATAGGCCATTTATTCAACAGACATTTGTCAAAAAGTCTGCTATGTACCAGACACTCTACTAAGCACTGGGAATAAAAAGTTGGTTAAAGACTTTTCTACCGATAGTAATCCCGTTAGACTAACAGCACTGGCGTCACCTGGGTCTTATTAGGAAGGAATCAGATCCCACTCAACATCTAATGAGTCAGAATATGCATTTTAACAAAATCCCTAGGTGATTCCTACCAACCTTAAGTTTAGGAACTACTGACGTAATACATTGTTCGTATTTAAGGAGCTTACAGATTATTGGAGGAGACAAGCAAACCTGTAAATGCAGTGTACTATGATAAATGCTGTGAGAGAAGATGGGGAAGCATGCTGAAAAGCAAGTCAAACAGGGGGAAATGTCAAAGGAGGGAGAAAAAGAATACAGTTGTGAACCTATATTACAAATGCAGCACAGCTGTGCCAGTATCGTCTAACTGAAGCCATTTACCAATTGATAGAACATTCATTTTATTTATTGTTTTTTTTTTTAGAGACAGGGTCTTGCTGTCACCTAAGCTGGAGTGCAATGGTGTGATCGTAGCTTACTGCAGCCTCCAACTACTGGGCTCAAGCAATCCTCCTGCCTCAGCCTTCCAGGTAGCTAGGACTACAGGCTAGCATCACCATGCCCAGCTAATTAAAACAATTTGTGTGTGGGGGTGAGGGGGTGGGGTTGGTAGAAATGAGGTCTCACTTTTCTGCCCAGGCTGGTCTCAAACTCCTGGACTCAAGTGGTCTTCCCAATTTGGCCTCCCAAAGTGCTGGGATTACAGGCATGAGCCACTGCACTCAGCCAATTTTTCTTGATTGCCTTTGTGTACCAAGTTCTATTAGTTCAATTATTTTATTTAATCCTTCACTTCCACTTGTTTGGTTCAAGGCACCATCATCTCTTGCTTACAGGATGTGTAAGCCTCAGCCTTAGCTGGCTGATAAATACCACCCATTCTCCTCCCCACTAGTGTATTTTGCTGTAGCCCGAACAATCTTTTCAAAACCTGAATCTAATTTTGCCATCCACCTGTTTAAAGCCTTCAATAGCTCCCTATTGCTTCACTCCTCAACATGCTTTATAAAGCTCCAGTGATCCCTCTCCCACTGCATCTCCCTCTCAGCACTCCTGAGTGCTCTCCATTCAACCAGACCTTTTTTCAGTCCTGTGTACTCTTTACACTGCCTCCTGCCATAGACAATCTAAACACGTCGCTCCCTCTGCTTAAACACGCTTCTGTTTTTCTCTTATCCACGCTAAGTCTGGGACATCCCTCAGATCTCCATGTAAAAAACTGTCCACAGGAGCAGCCTTGCCTGACCTCTCTGATGAGGTTACATCTCCCTGTTGGAGGATTGCTCGGTCACCCTTTTCATAACTGCAATGTTAATTACTTGTGGGATGAACTGACTGTCTCACCCACCAATTAAGCTTGAACTTCCAGCAAGGACCAAGCACCTCATCTGGTTTTGCTCACCACTTTTTCCTTAGGATAGTGCTGGTCCTTAGTAACTTCTCAATATTTGTTTGTTTAATCAACCACCATACAGATTAGATTTTAGTTAGAAACGCTGATGGTCATATTTTGACAAAAAGTCAGCAGTGTGAGATGCTTCAGAGAGGTTTAGTGGACTGAGCACTAAGAAATAATATATTTTGTGACTAGAAGATCGCTGATAATGGCTAAGTAATTTCAGCAACATCACCAAATCGGATAAATGGTGACGAAATGGAGGCCCAAATGTAGACAACCTGATTAGCAATGAAGAAGAAACAAGGATTTAGAGAGAAGCTCAAAAGAGGTAACAAGGTCAAAGGAAGGGATGATTTTAGAGTAAGGAAGGCTTAGGCATATGTGTTGGAAGCAGAAAGAGTAAGCATAGAACATAAGATTGAAGGGAAGAAAGAAGGTATGTAACTGATGAACAAGACAAGAGAGAACAAGGTTAACACCCCATGTGAGAAAGCACCCTTCAAAAGAGACTAGCACATCTTACTTTGAAACATGAGGGAAAGAGATAAAGATGGGTTAAAATATAGAATTGGTTTTTTGGTTTTGTTTGTTTTTTGTTTGTTTTTTGGGGTTTGGTTTGGTTTGTTTTGAGACAGGGTGTCATTCTGTTGCCCAGGCTGGAGTGCAGTGGTGCAATGATGCCTCACTGCAGCCTCGCCCTCCTGGGCTCAGCGATTCTCCCTACTAAGCCTCCTCAGGAGCTGGGACTGCAGGTGTGCCCCACCATGCCCTGCTAATGTTTGTATTTTTGGTAGAGATGAGAATTTCGCCATGTTTCCCGGCTGGTCTCAAATTCCTGGGCTCAAGCAATCCACCCTCTTCAGCATCCCAAAGTGTTGGGACTATAGGCATGAGCCACTGTGCCCCACCAAAATATAGAAATGTTACTCAGGAGGCAGAGGTTGCAGTGAGCCGAGATCGTGCCACTGCACTCCACCCTGGGCAACAGAGTGAGACTCCATCTGAAAAAAAGAATAACAACAACAAAAAAAAACAAATTTTGAGTGTGAGAAAATAGATGACCTTGAAGAGTCTCTCTCATGATCTCTATCACCCTCCTTCCAGTTTGTTTTTTGACATTCCTTGAGGATAGAATGATGGTTCACTACACAGTCCTCCTTATTCTCATTTTGACCTTCATATTTTTTTCTCTGCTTCTCTTCTTTAAAAGGTCATTCTCTCTACTTATTACCCTTGTCATCACTGGTAATCAACACACAAGAAACTCTCTCACCTTCTAAGACTTCAGCCCTAGTTCCCAGTCATCCACTTTGCCTTAACCTATGGACTGCATAGTGCATATAATGATCCTTTCAACGCAATGGACTAAAACTTCCCCAACTAAAACCTCTACTGAAACTGTTCATCATTCATTTTCATTAAGCAAATAAATACTTATTAAACACCTTCTCTGCTCCAGGATCTATGCTAGGGTTTGAAAATACATAGGTGAATAAAATATGGCCCCTGTCTTCAATGAGCTTACAGTCTAGCATATGAAGAGAATGATTTTTAGTGATAAAAAGTGATAGATAACATAAAGTATATAGGGCCAAGGGCGGTAGGTTGGCAAATTGTATCTTGGAGGTCTCAGGAAAGACTTCAGAGAAAGTAGCCTAATATATGATGTTTAGTCCCAGAGACTTGAAGGCAGAAATTGGGGTCACCCAGGTTTCAGGTTGAGAACACGAGGGCTCACCAGGAAGTGTCAGAATTCATGCATTCAATAAACATTCAGTGGGCACCAATGAGCGGCAGGCACTGTGCAAAGATGATACCCAACATGAACCCACTCACAGGCTAACAGTCTGCTTTGATCCTCAGGAAAATTGTGGAGCAACTCAAATTTGTCCATCACTACCTCCATTTCTGAATCTTTTGCACTCCTTATTCATGGAGCTCTTCTTCCTCACCTCCGCAACGTCCATTGATATTCAGGAAGTCAGCTGGGGGAAGAATATAGTTGCCCATGGTACTAAGTAAAAGCCATTTGTCTATGTCCAGCCTTTGAAATCCATCGCCAACAACAAAGCAAAGGCAGTAGCACTCCCACTTATCTCTCTCAAAGAGTTTTAGGCTTAATAAATAATAATGAAGATGACTTATTAGTGCAAGTAGCACTTATTGAACAATTAACAGTGTTCCAAGCTTTGAGAACAGTGTTTTAGAGGCATTATATTTTTTAATTCACATAAGAATTCTATGATGTAAGAATAATGATTTTACAGAAAAGAAAACTAAGCGTCATGTTGCTAGTAAATAGTGCCTCAGACTTCCCTGTTTATGGCTTTTCTTCTTCCAGGCAATCAATCAAGTTCATCTTAACTGGATTTCATGTATAAATTATGTTGAAGCAAAGAACTGGCTCAGGCCTTAATTAGAACAAGCCCTCTCTAGATGTTTCTCTACTTCAAAGTGTTTATTAACAGATACAGAATTCACTAATGTTGTCAATAGAGGTATTTTAGATTACAGGGGTCTTCCTACCACCCTTCAAATAATCCTAGGTATATAACCCCAGTGGATCTGCCCATCCTACCTTAGAACTGGCCCTTGTGCTACAGTTTCAGTCGCTATAAGTATCACAGACCTATCATCTGTTTTTATTATGACTAACCACATAAAATGTTTAATGGATTTTTAATAGATTTCAAAGGGTTTTTTTTCTGTCTAGCTCTCCGTAATTGCTGCTTTTGTTACTCAAGCAACTACTTTGACATTCTACAGTTGTTCATTGTTAAGACATGAGCCGCTTGTTATTTTATTCCACCTAATGAATACTGTAGCAGGCAGAATGGTCTCCCAAAGATGTCCACACCCTAATCTCTAGTACCTGTGAATGTGGTAACTTGTGTGGCAAAAGGGACATTGCAGATGTGATAAAGTGGAAGATCTTGTGACAGGAGATTATCCTAGATTAGTTGTGTGCACCCAAGGTAATCACAAGCATCCTTATAAGTGAAATGAAAAGGCAAGAGGATCAGAGTCACAGAGATGTGAAGATACTGCACCGCTGGCTTTGAAAGTAAAGGAAAGCGGCCGGGCGCGGTGGCTCACGCCTGTAATCCCAACACTTCGGGAGGCCAAGGCAGGCGGATCACCCAAGGTAGGTGTTCAAGACCAGCCTGGCCAACATGGTGAAAACCCATCTCTACAAAAACACAAAAATTAGCCAGGCATGATGGCGGGTGCCTGTAATCCCAGCTACTCGGGAGGCTGAGGCGGGAGAATCACTTGAACCTGGGAGGCAGAGGTTGCAGTGAGCCAAGATTGTGCCATTGCACTCCAGCCTGGGTGACAGAGCGAGATGCCATTTCAAAAAAAATTAAAGGAAAGCACCATGAGCCAAGGAATGCAGGCAGCTTCTGGAGCCTCCTGAAGGCACGTAATCTGCCAACACCTTGATTTTAGCCCAGTGGAGTATATTTCAAACTGGTGACCTCCAAAACTGTAAGATAACACGTTTGTTTTCTTTTTATTTATGGTGATTTGATGGGATAGCAATAGGAAACAAATTCAAATTATTTTTTTCTGTTCTTGATACTTCGTTATTTGTCAGGCCTCTGAGCCCAACCTAAGCCATCATATCCACTGTGACCTGCACTTATACATCCAGATAGCCTGAAGTAACTGAAGAATCACAAAAGTGAAAATGGCTGGTTCCTGCCTTAACTGATGACATTACCTTGTGAAATTCCTTCTCCTGGCTCAGAAGCTCCCCAACTGAGCACCTTGTGACCACCCCCCCTCCCCCCGCCCCTGCCCGCCAGAGAGCGACCCCCTTTGACTGTAATTTTCCACTACCTACCCAAATCCTATAAAACGGCCCCACCCCTATCTCCCTTCACTGACTCTTTTCGGACTCAGTCCGCCTGCACCCAGGTGAAATAAACAGCCTTGTTGCTCACACAAAGCCTGTTTGGTGGTCTCTTCACACGGACGTGCGTGACATTATTGGAAATACTATATGCCCCATAAAACGAACAGGTTAAATTACCAGTATATCACTAGCCCCAAGTTTCTTTTTCAGAAGTACTCACATGATAGCTTTAGAACTGAGTCCTCTACTGAGTCCTCAATTACAGTGGTTCTCAAACTTGAGAGGGTATCAGAATCACCTAAAGGGCTTGTTAAAACACAGATGGGTGGGCCCCGCCTCCAGCGTTTTCTGAGTTAGCTGTGCTAGACACCTTGACTGTGCAGGTGAATAAAATGCAGTAAGAGCTAGAACGGGTATGGAATGACACTAAATTGTTAATTCAGAATGTGCTCAAAGTCTGCCATTCATTATATTACCACTTACAACTACGTGCCTTTCAAGAATGGTTCTTGAATGAATGGATGAATGAATGAATGTTTGTCATGACAGCAATTCTTCATTCATTCAGTTGCTATTTATTGATTGCCTCCTTTGCTCCAGGTTCTGTTTTAGGTGGTCTTATGGGAAGATAAAGTAGGGAACCAAACAAGCAAAAAAAAAAAAAAAAAAAAACTCTCTCCTTGTGGTAGACTGAGATAAATAACAATGAACTAAATAAGTAAGTTATGTGGAATATTAGAAAGTGTTAATTGCCCTGAAGAAAAAAATAAAGCAAGGAAAAGAATCCAGGCTGGGGAGCCAACTCTAAATTTAAATACTGTGGTCAGAGGCAGGCCCTTCCTCAATCCCCTCAAGCACTACAAACTCATTCACAAAGAATATGTTTGTCCTTTTGCTGCCACAACAGAATACCTGAGACTGGGTAATTTACAAAGAATAGAAGTTTATCTTGTCATAGTCCTGGAGGTTGGAAAGTTCAATTCAAGGATCATCTGGTTGATCTAAGAGGAGGTCCTTCTTGCTGCATCCCCCTGGAGCAAAAGAGCAAACTGGGCTAAGGCTTTATGAAGCCTCTTTTATAAAGGCCTCAATGCCATTGACAAGGGAAGGGCTCTTATTGCCTAATCTCTTCTTAAAGGCCCCACCTCTCAATGTTATCACATTGGCAACACCTGAATCTTGGAGGGGACACATCCAAACCGTAACAACATTCCTTGAGCTGCAACTCGGCTGCAATTCAGATTGGACCCCAAGATATCACAAATATAGAGAAGCAGCATGTAGTCTTTGTCCTCCAGGAGTTTACAACCTGTAGGCCCAATCTAGAGGATGTAATGACCTAATGCCTGCCCAGCTGTGCCCATCTTCTAATTATAAGAACCTAGATGTAGCTGCAGAAAACACAATCATTATTCATGGGTAAACCTAGGAGCACTGGGAAGTCTTTGCGCTATTACCTTCCCAAGCTTTAAAAAGAAAATGTTGAGAAATAAAAAGGTTAACAACATTTCTACATTTTTACTTTACATTTCAATATTAGTGTCTTTTTCATTTTCAAAGCTCTTCTACATTTTATCTTACAGGATCGAAAGAGGGGAATAATTTAAAAAGCTGGTTCAACTTTACAATCCCAGACTGAATTCTTCTTCTAAAACAAGTGGATGTAAATTATACATAGCCTCAGGTATCTTGGGGGAAGGAATTAAGTAGAATACACAAAGTAATATGCAAATTTGTTAATGTTTCAATAAAGTAATGATGGAACTAATTAAGCTCTTTGGGAGATGGTTCCCCTTCCACTTGAGGCAGACTCAAGAGTCAACCTGCCTGTCTGTACACGTGACTGGAAATACAGACCACAAATCAGTCTTGTCTGATTACACAATGAGTCTGACTCAATAAAGCAGTTCTTGGCTTCTCACGTAAGTAAGTAAAAGACTAGAAATACTGAAACTTCCTTTAGTATACTGGTACAGTAAAACCACAATACTTTGAAAGGTTCTTCTTGAGGTTAAAGCAAACTCATTCATCCTCTTAAAAAAAAAAAAGATATCTCTATTACTATCATCTGTTCTTTTCCCCCAGCCTACTTCTAAAACACTAGTTCTCAAACATTATTTTTCATCAGAATCACCAGTATGGCTTGTTAAAGACAGTTGCTGGGCCCTATTTGCAGATATGATCTGATACAGGTTGGCCTTGGGGCCTAAGAATTTGCATTTCTCACAATTTCCCAGGTGATGCTGATGCTGCTGGTTTGGGGCCCATGTTTTGTGAAACTCTGTTCTAAATAAAATTGAGGTAACCAATTGAAATTATCAATACACCTAAATACCAATACACCTAAAGAAAATAATAAATAACCATCTTAGTTTCTCCTCGGGATAAATACCTCAATCAGATTTAATCTTCCAATTAATATTACTTTAATCAATTCTATTGCTCTTCCTTAAATTCTCTGGGTAAAAGAAATCACCCTGAAAATATAAAAATTACAGTTGGACACCATATGTTAACAAAGGCCTAATAGACAGTGAATTAAGTGGAAGTAGCATTCCCCAGCTCTTGCAAGTAACCCAATAACTTAAAAATATCCAAGTATATATTAGCTTTTTAGGTTAAAGCACAACATTGATCAAGAAAGGCCCCATGAGGCTAGTTTATCAAGCAAAAAATGTATTGTTCAGATTTCCTGTTTATTTAATACATATTCCTGTTTATTTAAACATAGACTACCTAGAGATAGGTAGTCTATTTTTCTTTTAATATTTTATATTTGGAACAATTAATTTTTAAAATCTATCTTCCCAAACCACATTTTAAAATAAGGGTTAAAAATTACACAAAAGGAAAACAAATTTATTTTCCTAAGTGATAAACTAAATGAAACAGGACTCCTACAGCAACTAATAAAGCATGTCTTTTAACATTTGTAAATTCAGTAGATGCCACTTTAATACAATGTAGAAGTGTATATTGGTCCTCAGTCCATTAGTTTTAGTATGCCCTGTTAAAATATCTTACTTGCATTTTTGTATCTGCCAGGATGTCTGTTCTGACATGACTCTCTTCAGGCGAAATGTAGTTGGCCTTTCCTCATTTTTCGCTGACACAGAAAATGAACAATTTCTTAACATCATTTAGGATAATGCTATCTGAATCATAGCAAGTTCAAGTATAAATGAGGTGCACATGTTAAGTCATCTGCAGAAAGGTACAATTTTACAACTGGCTGAATTAGTTCAGGGCATGAAAATTCAGCAGCCAGACTCACTAATTCTAGAAGTACATCTAACTGGAGAAAAATTTCAAAATACATAAAGACAACCAGCCTTTAATGTCCTCACTTCCACTTGCATATAACATTGGACTTCAAACTAATGTATATGCAAGTTGCTTCCTGCAATGTTAAGCATTAACTATAACGCACCCTTATCTAGAGCACATTTGATAATTTGGGTTAGCCATTAAAATATTTAAATTGAGCACTTATGTACAGTTCAGAAAATTACATTCTCTACATTTGAAATAACTGTAAATAAAATTCTCTTTAAATTATTATGGAAGAATAATGCTAAGTGAAAAAAGCAGAATACAAATTGAGTCTACACTGTAATTGCAACTATATAAAATTGGTTATGCATGCAAACAAGACTGGAAAAAAACATGGAAAATATGTGACTGATTTGTTAAGAAAATAGATTGATGGAGTTTCTTTACAAAAATTCTATAGTTTGTATAAAGTTATTTGTATCATTTTCAAAAATATTAAAACAATTTGGGGGAAGAAACTGTTTTCTCCTCTTTGAATGTTTTCTTATCTTGGATGGTAATTTAAATTATCAAAATATAGGAAAGATAGTTTCAGTATTAGAGGAACAGAAAGCTATCTTCTTTCCTTCAAAGAAATTCATTTTAAAAGCACATATTATTGTAGATATATTAATGCATATTCTTTACATACACACGTTATTACGGCCATTCATCACTAACATTACAATTCTCAAAAATACTAGTGTTCTAACCAGAAGTAATCATGGAATCATAATAAAGACAAATGAACTAAATTACTGATGAAGTTGAAAGTTGCAGTATTTTGATTAAACAGCCAGCAGGAATTGTCAGACTAATTAACTAAGGGTCAAGTTGCTGCTCAACCAAATGCCAGAACTATCAAAATCCAATACAAGCTATGCCCCGTTACTTCACTAAGACTATGTATTTGTACTTAAGAGTAATGATCTGATATGTTAAGAAAGTTTAGCTCAGTAAAATAACTGCTGTTGAAAACTGTTTGTACCAGAGCTGTTGTCAGCAAATCACTCAAGTTCTGATAGTAAAGTTAGATCTTCTTAACTCTGAAAGCTAGGGATGCCTGGCATCTTTATAGGTAATGCACAAGTGGGCTTGGGCAGGGTCCATAGTCTAATGTTCATATCCCTGATCATAGTAATACATGGTGAGAAGCAGGGATGAACTGAAGCCTCAAGAGGGCCAGAGCACCCTTTTAAAGACTCAGGATTAAGCTGATAGATATTAGTCGTTACGCAAGGAGAAGCAAAATGACCCATGAGCAAGAACTGAGCTCTTCTTCCCCTCTTCATCCATCCCCTACAACCCCAACATTTGTCCCTAAAGTTAAGATTTTGAGCACTTAAACCATTCTGGTCTAATTTGTCTCCTTCCTTTCTCAGTTTCCTTCATTGCTTTCATTATTATAGTAAATGTTAGTCCATTGTACAGATATTTAGAGAGTCTAATTAAAGTTACTAGCCCAAGTTGCAAGTTAGTAAAATGTCTTAAGCTCTTAGAATACAGATGTTAACTGCCCACACTTCCCTCCCGCCAAAAACTAACAAACAACTGAAGTAGATTTTCTAGCTTCAATTTAAGTAAAAAGTGGGATTGAGGCCAGGCGTGGGGCCTCATGCCTGTAATCCCAGCACTTTGGGAGGCTGAGGCAGGCAGATCACTTGAGTCCTGGAGTTCAAGACCAGCCTGGCCAACATGGCGAAACCCTGTCTCTACTGAAAATACAAAAATTAGCTGGGTATGGTGGCGAGTGCCTGTAATACCAGCTACTTGGGAGGCTGAGGCAGGGAGAATTGTTTGAACCAGGGAGGCGGAGGTTGCAGTGAGCCAAGATTGCGCCACTGTACTCCAGCTTCAGAGACAGAGCGAGACGTCCTCTCAAAAAAATAACAGGCCAGGCACAGTGGCTCATGCCTGTAATCCCAGCACTTTGGGAGGCCAAGGCGGGCGGATCACGAGGTCAAGAGATCAAGACCATCCTGGCCAACAAGGTGAAACCCCATCTTTAATAAAAATATAAAAATTTTCTGGGCGTGGTGGTGCGCGCCTGTAGTCCCAGCTACCTGGGAGGCTGAGGCAGGAGAATCACTTGAACCTGGGAGGCAGAGCTTGCAGTAAGCCGAGATCCTGCCACTGCACTCCAGCCTGGTGACAGAGCAAGACTCTGTCTCAAAAAAAAAAAAAAAAAAAAAAAAAGTGAGATTTACTAGGAAACCAGATCATTATTGTACATATTAAATTGGATGATATAATGGGAACATGATATTCAGGTGTACATTAGCAGTTTTCAACCAGGGCAATATTGTATACTTGTCACAAATGAGGGTAGTTGTCACAAATGAGGGTGAGGGGAAGATGCTACTGGCATCTATGTGTAGAGGCCAGGAATGCTGCAAAAATATCCTACAAATGCACAGGACCACCACCTACAGTTTTTTAAAAAGTATCCAGCCTGGAATAGGCTGAAACGTTCCATTTTCCTACCTCCCTAAACCTTCCTGGCACTCTCCCCAGATGATTCTAACAAATCTAATGAGGACTGTAGTGATTGGAAACCAGATTTCATCTCCACTCCAGTAACTATACACGAGAAACCCATTTAACATCCTAACTGGATATAGTTTTTTTTGGTTCATTTTTTTTTACCTCCTCAGATCCAATGACCTTTACTTCCTCTTCACTCCAGCCACATAATCACACAACCATTGCTTAGACCTTGTCACCATGAAAACTACATGACTTCGTCTGCCTTCTTTCTGGCTCTTCTAATGAACATGGACCTATCCAGGTTAACCAACACTCCTAGGGGAAAAGGAGGGAAAATTTGCTTTTTTTTTTTTTTCAAGAGTGTTGGGAGGAGTGGGGCATGAGGATCCAGGCCCTGTTACACATATATCACCAGTAGCTAGGTCCCAAATATCCACGGATTCTCTTACGTAGTGATCTTGGCTGACCTATATTGGAAAATCAGTTCTTGTATCTACATTTAGGCCTAGATTAAAAGTTGAAACAGTTTATTCCACCCACTTTCCCCTAGACTCCACCAGATTGCTCTGTTTGGGGGAGGTGTTTCTGCCCAAGTGTTTCTTGCTGTACCCAATAAGACAATTATCAAGACTGATAGCAGAAAACAGCAGAAAGCAGCCACCAAGAAAGACAAGAGGAAGACAAACCAAAAGGAAAGCAACCCAGAGAAGACGATCTACCATCAGAAAAGTGGGTCTCAGTTGGATCTTTGATTTTGATCTTAGTATGGCTTCTACATGGGGGTAGATAAACACAGATGAGAGAAAGGGCCTATGCCCCCAGGGGTTCACGTGTATCCTTAACATTTCCTTTGAATATTGTTCCTTCTTCAATGACCCCAATGGATTTAATAGCCAACCCTAAGGTCATCTACAGGTGTTGAAGTCCCTCTCAAGGAAGAAGAGTAGAGAAGTTTAGACCTGTCTGCCCCTTTCTTGCCATTCCCCTACATGTCCATTCCAGACCAACAAAATGGATGTTCAAGTTGCTCACTGGCCTTTCCACCTCCAGGTTTTCCCTTCCCAGTCCTCCATTTTTGCTGATGCTTCTTCTACAGCTTCCTTTTCTGTGTCTTTACTCTTGCACTCTCTGTGCCCACACTGGTCTTCCCCTTTTCTTCATCAACTGACATTAATTCCTTTGTTGTTCAGGTAGGTATTTTGAAGCCATCCCTGATCCCCTGAGTCTGGATAAGCAACCCCCAAATTTTTGTTCACAAAGTATATATGTCACTATTGTTGTTACCATCACATTATATTGAAAATATCCATTAGGTTGGTGCAAAAGTAATTACAGTTTTTGCAATTACTTTTGCACCAACCTAATATTTAGAAATAGTAGGTCTTCTCCTCTGGACTCTGAAGTATTTTAAGGCAAACTCATCCTATTAACTTTTTAATCCTCTGCACTATGCCTGGTACAAAGAATACACACAATAAATGTTTAACTGAATTAACTAAACATATCGTAAGAGAACGTCAACATACGGTCAATGTTTCATTCACTCGACACATATTTACTGAGTATCTACCATGTGCTAGGTATATGAAAAGCTATTCAATTATATTCTTTTATTCTCTGTAGGAGTGCTTTTCAAGTGTAAAAATTTTGACCTTTGCAAATATTTAGTGCAAGACTATTTTTATTGCAGTTAAAATAAAACTTAAAATGTTCCCCTACAATCAGCTATGCATTAGCATGCACAGCCTAATTAAAAAGCAAGAACTGTAACAGGAGAAAGGAGATGGGCCATACATGGCTTGCAAAGAAATGAACTAACTTGTACAATAAAGATGAGAAATTCTATATCTTAAAGGTCAAATGAACATTGTCAAACTAGTTTTTCCACTTGGGCCCCTAGTTATAAGATTGGAGATACAGCATTTTAAAAATCATATATAAATATATTTTTATCTTCACTTTATAAAGAAAAAATATATCCTTATAAATAATGGAAAATGGTCTTTGTTATGATTTCAAATAGGCCAAGACCCCAAAGTGTCTTATCACTATCTTTGGTTGGTATAAATGTGATCTCAGCAACTAGGATAGGGTCATCTAAATGTTCTTATTCAGAATTGTTCAGCCATTTTGTTATTTACAAATTAAATTATTTTGGAGGATTAGAGGACTAGTGACCACTTTTTAGTTAAATTAGAAAAAGAGCAAATTTCCCAGGAAAAACATTTTGCTTTGAGGGTAGAACCAAGGAGTTGCAGGGACTTAAGGCTTCATTTTGAAATTTAAAAACTAAACCAGGATAAAACTATGAATCTATTTGTGGTAAAAACCACGGTTTTTGTCTTTATGTTCCACAAACTTAGTACAGCATGCAGTGCAAAATAAGAGCTAAATTAATATGTTTCATTTTTAATGGATAAATTATTCCCTCTTTATTACCATTAACTCACTAGTTGTTCCTTTGTTATTTCTATGTAATATTCCATGACGTGGGTGATCCACAGTTAACCATTTATGACACACTTTGTCATTTCCAGTTTTGAAAAATTACAAATAAAGCTGCTATGAATGTTAATATCCAGGTTTTTGTGAAGACATAAACTTTTATTTCTCTGGGATAAATTTTGAGAAGTATGACATAATTATTTCAAATATAAGCCATGAAGTAAAGCTATATTACATAATAGTGAATCTATAGAGTGATTGGCATATCATAATCAGAAATTTCATTTCATTTGAAGAAATGCTAGCAGAAATGCTTGCTAGCATTTCTTTAAATGGCATATGCTTTGCACATTTCTGATTTCTGCCTCTGCCTCCTAAGATCTTTGTATTTTTACTTCATATGAAATTCATGTCATTCTCTCCTAGAGCTCTTTAAAATCTATGTTTGATGATGAATACACTTGCATTCTTACACCAGAGATTCTCAGAGTGTGGTCTGAGGATGCATGTGTCTCAATAACTTTTTAAGGGAATCTGTGAAGTCAAAACAATTTTCATAATAATTTGAAGATACAACTGGCCTTTTCACCCTCATTCTTTCCCAAGTCTACATGATACATATGGACATCATTACTAACGGAATATATGCTTGTATACTAAAATTTCTAATTTCACTTTTTATACTATATATATAGTATATATATATTTTTATATATGTATAAATAGATATAACCCATATAAACAAAAGCTTTTGGGGGTCTTTAATAATTTTAAGAGTGCAAAGAGTTTCTGAGACCAAACAATTTGAAATCACTAGTTTTCATCATTTGTGTTATTTCTGGTTGTTCTGTGTATCTTCTTATACTATAGAGCTTCAATGGCAGGAACTATATTTTTGCAGTTCTTTACAACTATCAACAGTGCTTACAACAGTGATATGGGAACACAATAAATAGTGATAAATGGATGATAAAATGAAGATGTGACAATAAAACAATAATAGCCTTGTTTTTCTGAAACACATTTATAAAATGTAGTTTAAGAGGGAAATTATTTGAGCTATAAGACAACTTTCATTCTTAATTTTCAGATATAGGCTTCATGATTCTATTTGAAACAGTATCTGAAAAGTATCAGAAGTAGACTTATTTGGGTAGAGGTTTTGGGAGAGAACTGATATGTTTTATCATTTACCCAAATGTCACCCTCTATTGGAAGAAGAATTAATAGGATAGAACTTCGAATGGGTCCCTACTCAGCTACCTCCTGCCACATGCTCATATACTAGAAAGAAGCCATTTTTTCATGGAAATAGTAGATTAAAGATCTACTATTTCATTTTCAGGGGTAGAATAACAACACATGTATAGAAGATGGAACCTCTCTTGCCTCCTCAAAATTTTCTAAACTGGCCAGGCATGGTGTCTCAGGGCTGTAATTCCAGCACCTTGAGAGGCCAAATCAGGAGGATCACTTGAGCCCAGGAGTTCAAGACCAGCCTGGGCAACATAGCAAGACCCCATCTCTACAAAATAATTTTTAAAATTAGGTGTGTGCCTATAGTCCCAGCTACTCTGGAAGCTGAGGCAAGAGGATCACTTGAGCCCAGGAGTGCAAACCTGCTGTGGGCTATGATCCTGCGTGACACAGTGAGACCCTGCCTCAAAAAAAAAAAATTCTAAACTGTGGTGTTTTTTTTTTTTGTAGGGGGGAGGTGGTTGTATACAGAAAGACAAACTGTTGAAACATGACATTTGTATGGATCTCTGAGTGAAAAAATTCACTCTTAAAAGGTCACATACTGTATGATTCCATTCATATAATGTTCTCAAAACAAGATTCTAAACATGGAAAAGAGATTAGTAGTTGAGAATTACTGTTTAGGGATCATGACAAGGGAGGGGGTAGGGAGATGAATGTGACTATAAGGGGGTGGCAGGAAGAAGATCTTGGTATTGATGGAATAGTTCTGCATCTTTTTCTGGTGGTCACATGAATCAACACGTGTTGAAATGTCACAGAGCTATACACACACATTTTACCAATGTCAATTTCCTATAAAATGTAACCATCAGGAGAAAGTAGGTGAAGGTACACTGAACTTCTCTGTACTATTTCTGGAACTTCCTGTGAATCTATAATTATTTTAAGACATAAAAGGTTTTTGGTTTTTGTTTTTTGAGATGGACTCTCACTCTGTTGCCCAAGCTGGAGTGCAGTGGCGCAATATCAGCTTGCTGCAACCTCCACCAGGTTCAAGCAACTCTCCTGCCTCAGCCTCCCAAGTAGCTGGGATTACAGGCACCTGCCACCATGCCCAGCTAATTTTTGTATTTTTAGTGGAGATGGGATTTCACCATGTTAGCCAGGCTGGTCTCGAACTCCTGACCTCAAGTGATCCGCCCACCTCTGCCTCCAAAAGTGCTAGGATTACAGGTGCCTGGCTAAAAAGGATTTTTAAAATAATTTTTAAGCCACAGTGCCTGGCTAAAAAGGATTTTTAAAATAATTTTAAGACGGAGACCTCAATATGAACTCCTGTTTAGCTTAATATAGATAAATGGTTACATTTAGAAATATTTATAGACATGTGTACTGTTATGAGCTGAATTTTGTCTCCCCCAACCACATAAATTCATATGTTGAAGTCCTAATCCCCAGTACCTCAGAATGTGGCTGTATGTGGAGATAAGGCCTTTAAGGGGGTAATTAAGGTAAAATGAGGTTATGTGGGTGGGAACTAATCCAGCATGGCTGGTGTCTTTGTAAGAAGAAGAGATTAGGACAGACACACACACAGGAAAAACCATGCAAGGACACAGAGAAGGTGAACATCTGCAAGCCAAGGAGAAAGCCCCCAGAAGAAATCAATCTTGCTAACACCTTGATCTCAGACTTCCAGTCTCCAGAATTGTGAGAAATTTCTGTTGTTTAAGCCACCCAATCTATTGTGTTTTTACAATAGGTTGTTACAGCAACCCTAGCAAGCTAATGCATATACATAGGTTTGCATTTATACATATTTATATACTCATACATATATTTTCTTTCTCTATCAGCTGAGAGGGCATAAATGCAATGACACTCCAGTAGTAACAAGCACACCTAGCACCCAAGTCTTGGTTTCTAATACCATTCTCTTATAAAAGAGGCCAAGGCTACTTCGAGTAATGGCTGATTCTAAGATTGGGGCAGGAAATCTACAAGATGACTCTGGAATGTCTTGCATCTCCAAAAAAGAAGGAAGTGCTGAAAAAGAAAACCACAGTGATGGGGATACATGAAAGGGGAACAGGAGCCAGCTGAAAGGGCTCCCAGTGGCCAAAGCTGGAACCATTTGAGCAACAAAATAAATAAAATAGTAGAGGATTATTCCCAAAGTATAAAATAAAAATCTATCAGTTCATCCTGTATATGTAAAGAATATACTTTTTTTTTTTTCTGTAGACAGGATCTCACTTTGTGACACAGGTGGGAGTAAAATGGCACCATCTCAGCTCATTGCAGCCTCAAGCTCCTGGGCTCAAGCAATCTTTCTGCCTCAGGCTCTGGAACAGCTGGGAGCAGAGGCACACATCACCATACCCGGCTAATTTTTGTATTTTTTTGTAGAGATGGGGTTTTGCCATGTTGCCCAGGCTGGCCTTGAACTCTTGCTCAAGCAATCTGCCCACCTCAGCCTCCCAATGTGCTGAGATGGAGTTTCGCTCTGTCACCCAAGCTGGAGTACAGTGGCACGATCTCAGCTCACTGCAAACTCTGCCTCCCTGGTTCAAGCGATTCTCTTGCCTCAGCCTCCTGAGTAGCTGGGGTTACAGGTGCCCGCAACCACGCCCCGCCAATTTTTGTATTTTTAGTAGAGATGAGGTTTCACCATGTTGGCCAGGATGGTCTCGAACTCCTGACTTCATGATCCGCCTGCCTCAGCCTCCCAAAGTGCTGAGATTACAGGCATGAGCCACCATGCCTGGCCTCGTTTTGCTTTTTTCATGGATTTTTTAAATTTAGTAGGCCATGGCATTGAGCCTAGATTTGTTCAAGTGTAGGACAAGATAGAAGAGTGGTTTACCGTTTAATAAGATGTCATGATTGTAAGCCTAAAGCCCTTAAGTCTGATATGATCCTGACCAGAAAATTGCTTCATATTCTTGCAAAAGAGAAAACTACCTATTTTAAGCAGATATGTGTAAGATGAACTGGAATCAGAAGAGATTAAAAGTGGTAAGACTAACTCAGAATTTTGCAATAATACAGGTGAAAGATATCAGAATGCCTATGAAATCTTTTTTTGCTTGAGGCTTTTTACGTCTTTTTGTCTTTGGCATTTAATATGTTGTAATGACAGACAGTATCTTCTAACTATCTTTTTTCTTAACATTAAGTCCTTGCTAACTCATTAAGATTTGGGAGCTTCTGCAGTATGTGATATGTTTATATACAATAATACCACTTAAGCTAACCTTGATAAAGAGCTTAAGAGAGGGTTAATTTTTACTTGGGGAAAGGGTAAAAACTATTCTCTGAGTATCAGTACCATGTAAGTAACTAATGCATTGCAGAAAAACCAAACAGTTACTTTCTTACGTCTTCTTTGTCCGATCTGGTTGTAAACTTTGATTGCAGGGATTGTATCTTACATTTATTTGTCTCCAGATTAACATTTAGTTCACTGCCTTACCCGGTGCTCCATGCATTGTTGTGGATTTTGGCTTTATAAAATAGTCATCATTTTCAGAGAGAAAATTTAAAGAGTGACACCTTGTAGTAGCAAAAAATAGTCTATGACTCAAATATTAAAATCTCAGGATTGATTAATGTATCTCCATTCTAAACAATGGGATTTTTAATTGCCAATTAGAATAATTACCAACTTTTAAATGAAGATTTACTATGGACCAGCCACTGTGATAAGTGCTTTACAATGCTCAATATTATCTCATTTAATCCTCCTAATAATGCTTTAGGTAGCTATTATCATTATTCTCCTCATTTACAGATGAAAAACAGGCTTAAGGAAGTTAATTGTGAAATAATTAATTACATTTTATTAATGCATTCTTTCTTAGTATCATAAAGTCTACAAGTTTCTTTTCTAAATAATCTTTATTTTCTTTTCTGTGAACTCAAAATGTCTTAGATTTTCTAAATTTGTTACTAAACACAGGCTTTCTTAAATTACTACTACTCTTCCTTAAAGAAGATGTTAGTATGATTCTAGTAAAAAGTAAGTTATCTTGTCAAGAACTAGAAATCAGTTGTCCTGTTAAATACAAAGTCATCATTTAATGGTTTAATGTGTGTGTATTTAAAAACAGATGAACATGCTTTTTCTGATTTAGGCTATAGAGTTATACAAACCTAAATTTGTTAATTATTTCTTCAATATAACTATCAACCACATAGTATTTATAAGATGAATTTGAATACGAAAACAATTATTCTCTCCATATCAAAGTAATAATATATTTGCATCCTGATAATTTGGTTTATATTTGCTCTGACACACTATTTTTATGGCTGGATTTGTCTTTTTTGAGATTTAGTGTCCAACAATTGATAACTCATTACTGTATACTTGAGACTTCTCAGGAAGATTTGCTAAATACATGGCAACCACTATCTGAACAGGGTCATAAGTTTATGGACATACCATATTAGAAGTTACAAGCATTTCCTGAAAAATCTCACATCCTCCAAAACTGTGCACTAAATACGACAAAGTGCATGGGGAAAATGGAATTAGGAGCAGTAAACTCGAAACTTTGCAGTCAAAGAACTAATAGGATCAATAACGGTCTTTAAGAAAACATTATACAGTTAAAGAGACATGCTAAATTTTTAAATAAACAAAACAATGCTACGGAATATATAAGACATTACCTTAAGAAAAAATGATAGTAGCTTGACAGAAGTGGACATAAGGAAAGTTGAGGTTGCTAAATGATAGAGCAGAGAAAACTGAATAAAGATCTGAGAGTATCACTCTCAACAGGCACATCCAAGACAGAGCGCCGGGCCAAACAAGGAAGCGGAAATCTGAGTGTGAAAATACAAAACTGGGCTCCTCTATGGCTTGCTGCTTTCAACCCTGCACTTACTTTCCAATTTGCTGCTGTTACTGTACTTGAAAGTGCAAAGCATTAACGTGCTTGAAAAACAGATAAACTATTTTATTCACATTATTTCTCAATTTGTCCATCCCATATGAGCTAATTTTGCTAATTCTCATTTCAGAAACACATATTATAGCCAAACAAACCTAACCTGAAGAGATTACCTTTGCCCCTCATCTCTAGATTAGTGAATACACATCCAATGTATTATTTACCAGATTGTAATCATTTAAAAATATCTTATAAATAAATTAAAACCTCATTATATGGAGCCTTAATTTATTGTACCCACAACATACATGTTAAGATTAAGTTTGGAAGAATAAGATAGCCATTAGATTTTCTTATTGTCTCCTTGGGGTTTCTTGTGTATTAAGTTTGGGTTTTTTAACATTTGAAAAATTTTTAGACACACTTTTTACCCCATTTTAACCCATAATTTCAGGTTTATCTAAGTAACTTTTAAACTCTAATTAAAGTGGGTTTGAAATAAATGGCTTCCACATTTTATTAGTCCTGTTATGTGCTGCCAAAGGTACTTTTTATTTCACCAAAATTAAAATTTTCATGAAACAAAAATACAGTTGTTATATAGTTATTTTTAACTTTTTAATGTGCTTTCACACTTACCATTTTATCAGAAGTAACTATCCTCTGGAGAGTCTGAACTATACACCAGATCTACTTCTGCTACAATTTCCCTAATAATGAGTCCTTGGATCCTCAGCATGAAAATTATTTTTTCAAGGCAAATGATTTTTTATGGCAACATTTTATTTAAATAATTTCTTTCTCACCTAAATTTTCTCACCTTAAGTTAGTTTAAGGGCACAGATGTTACCTTTTATGAGCTTGGTTTCCAGGTTCCTTGACCGTTCAAAGTTGTTTGTTTTTTAATCCCCAGACAGGTATACTTCTTTTCCAGACTTTAATCTCTCCTTCTCCGGAAATCCACTTCTCTGCTTCATTAAGCCTCCCTGTAATATCCAGAATTAAATCTCATACCTCATTTATTGTTGTGGTTGTAGATTGCGTTTTTTCTCCATGCAGCACTGGAAAGGACTTTGAAAGGAATGACCTGAAGTTTTCATCATTCAATTTATAGTAATTTTTACTTCTAGATAGTTGTGGAATAAGAAGTTGTTTAACCTAAAAAGGAGAGAGAGGGAAAAAAAAGAATCATTAAAAGTACTGGGAGAGGGGAAAGGAGAAGGGCAATAATGGCTTTCTGCTGATAATCGAAGGGATTTGTCATGTGAAGAAATAGTATTTTTCTGTATAGTTTTCAAGAAGAGCCAGGACCACTTGGGAGAATTCCTAAAATGCACAAGATATCTTATCAAATGAGTTTACGAGTCTCAATCCATTTCAAATCTTCTGCGTCTTTTTTTTTTTTTTTTTTTTTGAGAAAGACTGTCACTCTCTCACTCTGTTGCCTCATCTAGAGTGCAGTGGCACAATCACAGCTCATTGCTGCCTCAACCTCCTGGGCTCAAGCAGTCCTCCTGCCTTAATCTCCTGAGTAGCTGGGACCACAGGTGTGCACCGCTACACCCAGCTAATTTTTTGTAGAGACAAGGGTTTCATTATGTTGCCTAGGCTGGTCTTCAACTCCTGGCTTCAAGCAATCCTCCCACCTCGACCTCCCAAATTGCTGGGATTACAGGTGTGGGCCCTCTGCGAGACTTTGACTAAAGGCCAATTACAGCAAAACAGAATCCTGCGGTGCATTAGAACAAAGACAATGAGGATGAATGAACCAGGTTCAAGTCCAGATTCTGCTGCAGGAAAATTTGTATGACATTGGGTGAGTTTTTTTACTTCTCTTTGCCTCAGTTTCCTTGTCTATGAGATTGAAAGTAGTGTCATAGAGTTTTCGTAAGGATTAAATTAATGTATCTAAAACATGCCTGACAACTTGTATGCATCATCTGTTAACTCTAAATATTAAGTTATTTTGTAAGAATTTCTGTGCTCTTCTAAATTTTTTGGAATTGGAGAATAAAATTTAAGGCAGCCTATGTGTCTGAAAACTCTTCCTTCCACTTTTCCATAAGTACAGAATACATTTTCATGAAAATGCACAGATTCTCAAGAATAGGGACCTTTGATTTGTTCAGTGATGATTCCCACGCAGTAGGAACAGCTAGTCTGTAGTAGGTGCTCAGTAAATATTGAGGAGCCCTAATTAGGGAAAAGGAGTTAGGCTGGTGGAGGTAGCAAGGGAAAGTAAAGAGATAAAGCAAATAAGCTATAAGTCTGCCTTTCTTCATGGTCCAGGACATATAAACAAAAGAGGAAGGAGATGAGCTATAGGTCTGCTTTCCTTTATGGCCCAGGATAGATGGTCCTCCTGCACAGATAACATACATAACTCACAAACTTCCTGCTTACCCTCAAATGCCTCAATTTATCAAATGCCTCGGCTGACAGAAGAATGCCATTTAAGCTCTCTGCTGCTTTGGCATTATCAATCAACCCAAGAACCATCCTATAAAATCTCCAGCAAGCCTTTGTTTCCTTGCAGTCAGCCTCTCTTCTGCTGGTCTGCCCATTGCCTTCTCACAAGATATTTTCCTACTTTCTCTAATAAATCTGCGTTCTTTACCTACAACTGCCGTGGTAAATTCTATTACCCCTGCACCACTGGCCGAGCTAGTCATCACTCACCCGTGACAAAAATGTATTGAAGAAATAGATGAAAATGTCCAATTGCCTCACATTTTGAAGAACAAATAGATGTATTTAGAAAGGTTATACCATGATAATTCCATTTAATCCAAAATGAAGGCCTTGTTTGTCATAATCAGGACACTCAAAAAAAAAAGTCCTCAAAGTCAGGAAATGTCTAATTTCTCTGTTTCGCTCCTTTTAAAATTTGCACTGGGCCAGGCAAGGTGACTTATTCCATCACTTTGAGAGGCCAAGATGGGAGGATCATTTGAAGCCAAGAGATCAAGACCACCCTGGGCAACATAGTGAGATCTCATCTCTACAAAAAATTAAAAAATTAGCTGGGCATAGTGGTGTGCACCTGTAATTCCAACTAATTGGGAGTCTGAGATGGGAGGATTGCTTGAGCTTAGGAGTTTAACGCTGCAGTAAGCCATGATCACACCATTGCACTCCAGCCTGGGCGACAGAGTGAGATCCTGTCTCAATCAAGCAAGCAATCAATAATCTTCACTGGAAATGATCCCTTGATGTATTAGTTTGTTTTCACACAGCTGATAAAGACATACCTGAGACTGGGCAATTTACAAAAGAAAGAGGTTTTTTGGACTTACAGTTCCACGTGGCTGGGGAGGCCTCACAATCCTGGGAAGGTAAAAGGCACGTCTCACATAGCGGCAGAAAAGAGAAGAGAGCTTGTGTAGAGAAACCACCCTTTTAAAAACCATCAGATCTCGTGAGACTTATTTACTACCAGGAGAACAGCAGGGGAGACCTCAGCCCATGATTTGATTACCTCCCACTGGTTCCCTCCCACAACACGTGGGAATTCAAGATGAGATTTGGGTGGGGACACAGCCAAACCATATCACTTGATAAGTGATATGTGGCACTTTTCTATTCTTGGCATTTTAAACATCAGTATGAGTCTTTTGGTGAGAGGGCAAACATATGGAGCATAGACCAGGTGCAGAGCTGGCCTGCAGTAAGAAGGCTCCAGAATTTTTATTTAAATGATAACAAAAGAGATTAGTATATAATATGAACCCCATAAACCATGTGTTTCACTATCAAATGATCAAGGAGTAAACCTTTTAAGTGCATTGATGGTTTGGTAAATCTTGGCATGGGTCTAAGGTGTGTGGTTTTCTGCTGTGAATGGATGATTGAAATCTGTTCCAACTGTATTATTACTGGTTCCCCAGCCCCTCCCACTCCTTTATGGATCCCACCCCATTGGCAAAGGAATTAGCTCATTTCCAAATAAAAATTAGGTAATTAGTTTGACATATCAACAAATGCATAAACTGTGTAAAGTTTCTCCTATTAAATCTTTCAAAATCTGCACATAATACCACAAAATTTACATCTTATACTTTGTGAATGACCATGTTAGTGTCATTAATACTCAGATATTTGTACCTGAATGAGGTTCAAGATGGGACTAGGAAATCTTAGAAAACATTAGCAAAATACACCCACTCAAAAGACCTAGGTTTATTCTTTCATTTACTATGACTTGGACCAACTATGTATACTCTCTAAATTTCAGTTTACTCATTTATAACACAAGAATGTTAATCCCACCTTACAGAATTATTGTGTTAAATGAGATAATGTATGTAAGAAAACTGCCACATAAAAATATTAAGAAAAATGTTATTGTGAATAATAATATTTATGATATTCATCAATTTATTAAAAAATATTTGCTGAGGACTAAATATACATCAGGAACTGCTCCACCCTGTTGGTAGTGAGAGGCATTCATTTGACTCTAGACAAAAATAAACTTTTTTATTTTTTTGAACAGGGTCTGGCTCTATCCCCCAGACTGGAGTGCAATGGCACCATCTTGGCTCACTGTAACCTTGGCCTCCCAGGTTCAAGTGATTCTTATGCCTCAGCCTCCTAAGTAAATGGGACTACAGGTGCTCAACACCACACCTGGCCTATAACATATATATACATATATGTATATATGTCAGTTGGAAATAATTTTAATCAAAGAATTGTATATTTTCTTCCCACATATCCTGCCTTGTATTAGGAAATGACATTGTGATCTATTTCATTACAAGCAAAATATTATAAAATATTTACAGGAAAACATTACAAATAACCCAAACACAAAAGGCAAGGTGAAATAAACTGGCTTTTCAGAAATCTCTACTCCAGTGCCCACAGCACATAAGAATAGAGTCAAAACAAATAAGCAACTAAGATCCCCCGATCACAAATTTCCAAAGGGGAAGAAGCAGGGTGAAAATGGTGGTGTGAAAGGGAATGGATGTTAGCAGCACTGCTTCAATAACTTATCTATTCTGAATGAAATACCCTCTTTAATGTGCAGCAAATTCTGAACAAGGCTAAATTTTAGGATATTCCTTGAACTGAAATTAGAAAATACCCTGACAATGGAAGCAGCTCTTTCATCTAAGTTTAATAAGAGCCTCTTTCTCCATGGGCTACTGTTGTGAACAGAGGCCTGTTCTGGCATCAAAAGCTGTCACAGTAGCCCTTCCATCTCTTTCATGAAATCCTCATAGACATCATCCTTAGTTTGTACTGAGACAGGAACAGAAGGACCAGATTTGGGTGCTGCTTTGGCAAGAGGCACAGCAGAATTATCCTCTGACTTTCTTTGGGAAGCAGCAGTAGCCCTTTTATTCTCCCGACGTACTCTCAATGCACTGGGCACAAATCGAGTAATCTCTGCCTTGGGATTAGTGATCTGTGGTTTGGCAGTGACGGTTGCTGTGGCTTTCTTCTCAACGGTGGCTGCACTTGTATTATCTACCTTGGATCGCTGAATCAAGCCGGGTGGGGCACTTAAAATCTCAGGGTTCAGCAAGGGAGCTGGTGGGAAAAGCCCAGGGGGGCAGATCCCAAGGGGAGGTACCAAAGCTGGGTGCATCGTGCCAGGACAAAATATCTTGCATTAGCAAGTATATTTGCTCTTGTATTTGGTATTTGGACTAAAAGCCAAAATGAGCTTATGGTGAAGCCTACAAACTCCAGGAATACCTGGAGGTGCAGGGGGAGGTATCCTTGGTGGGGGTTCCCGAGGAGGGGGACCAGGGGGCAGACTTGGAGGTAGACGTGGGGGAGGTAGTAAAAGTCGGTGGTCGTGGAGGTAAAAGTCAGGGTAAAGGCCGAGTCCTGGCATTCCAGGTGGTCTCAGGAGGAGCTCCTGGAGGTGGTCCAGGGGGAAGGTTCATAGGTGGCCTAGGAGGCCGTAATGGTGAAGCATGGGAGGTGCTTGTACCTGAGAAGGAGGAACAGACTGCCGGGGAGCCTGCTGCTGTGAAGAAGCAGTGGATGTGCCATCAGAATGCAGTTCCTCTTGATTGTGTTTTTGTGATTGTTTTTCTGCTTTAGAGTCATCAGAATCATCTTCATCATTGTCCTCTGAAAATTCCTCTACTTCCCGTCCCTCCTCAGGGATTTCTTGACCTGCCATACGAAGCATCGTGGCTTGAAGAGGAGTCAGTTCCTTCATGGTTTTTTTCTTCCTTGATTTTCCAGGCATATCTGCAAACCGTACACTCAGACCTGACTTCTTTTTTTCATTGTTGTCTCTCCCACCATCATCATGGCGCACACTTTCTCAATCTGATCCGTCGGTGTCACTGTCATCAGTACTGTCATCATGCTTATCTTGATCCACGTCCTCAGGATAGCCATCATCTTCACTGGTGCTAAAAACATCATCATCATGACCTCGCTGGGCAATTTCAGGACTATGTACCATGCCTTCATCTCACCTAGGAGGGGGAAGATCTAGGGCAACACCCACTTTACGGCCATACATCTGCACGACTTGAGGAGGGGGTGGACCAGGGGGAGGGCCAAGAGGTTTTCTGCCAGGAGGCAAATGTGGAACACCACGTCCCAAGAAGAGAAGGATAGAAACTGCCTGAGTTGGAGGTCCACAGGCTGAGGGTTTCTTAAGGATGGAGGGTGGCTGGGCACCAGGAAGTGGAATTTCCTGGATCAAAATGTTAGAAGAAGCATGTGGCATATCTGGTAAAGGAATACTCTCCACTTCCACGTGCTGGGCATTCTCGACAGCATTCAAATATTGGTTGAGTCCTCTTCTGTTCATACTCTATTTCTAGCTTTCTCAATTCTTTCTAAATATCTGGATCCTCTTTTTCATAGAGTCATAGAATATGTTCAAAGGTTTCACACAGCTATTTTTACGCTTGTCTTTCAGTACTTTCTCATTTAATTGTGGCTGTTGCACTGGGTTAAACTCCATTTCATCCAATTTCTCCATGTCTCGGATCATCTGTTTGGGATCCTTCATCTTTAAAACTTCAGCTCAAACCATCATGAGCTGTTTTTTGTTCTTCTGTTCCGGGCTTCCTTTCGGGCTTGGTCTGTGGGGTTCATAAATTTTCCACTCTTGGTGGATGATGCAGATCTCCTTCCCATGTTGACAATTTGTATGGTTTACTTGTTCATTTAAAAAAAAAGAAAAAGAAAAGAAAAGAAAAACACTTCTGCTGTGCTCCCAGGACTGCGAGCAGCCAAGAGGTGCGATTCCTGCCCTCTTTCACTTTGTAAGGGCCTTCAATTCAGCCTGGCGGTCAACCCTTCAGCCCCGCCATCTTGAAACCTCACGCCCCTCTGCAATCCTTACGTCATTTCCCATTCCTCCGTCCCGCTGTCTCTCCAGTCTTTGCATTTTTAATAGAGATAGGGTCTCGCCATTTTGGCCAGGCTGATTTCAAACTGCTGGCCTCAAGTGATCTGCCCACCTCGGCCTCCCAAAGTGCTGAGATTTCAGGTGTGAGCCACTGCATCCGGCCGAACATAAACTTCTTAATAAATGGTGCAATCAAATATGCCTGGTTGCATGATATAAGTCTGCAGTGGGTTCAGTGAGAGCACAAAACTTCCATTCTACCCAAAGAGGTGGTGTCATAAAGAACCTAACTGTATTAGTCATCGTCCCAGCAAGAGAGAAATAGCACACTCAAAGGCTACATGACAAGGGTTTACTGGAAGGACTATTTAACGAGACAGGTCAGGGTTAAAGGAGCTCACAGGGATGGTGAAGGTCCCAAGGATGAACAGGAAGGGGAATAAGTTAACACCCCCAGGCTGAAAAGGATGCGGAGGTTTGTTTCCAGTGTCAAGCGAAAGCTGTAGCCATGGGAGCTGTGGCGTTGGTCAAAGGAGCAAAGCCACTGCTAAACCACAGTCCAGCAGGGATGAAGGTGTGAGGAGGTGGAGGCCAAGTGGTTCAGTTAGATGGTGAGGGCATTTTAGGGAGATAGCACTACAAAAACAAAAATACAGAGGTGTGGGAGAAAACCATGTCACATTGCTGGAATTGGAGTGTAGGATGAAGTAGAAGTCAGATCATGAAGGGCCTAGTATATCACGCCAAGGCATTTGGACCATATCCTATATAACCAATAAGAGCCTGTGCCCCATAAATGACTAAAATACTCTGTTGCTAATTAAGTCCCTGTGTTTGTCTTGTGGGTTGGGTTGGCGGAGCCGGGAGAGGGGGGAGGTTGAGAGATCATTTTGAGTAGTTTGTGTCTGTTTCCCAGCTTAAGACTTTTCTGAACCAAGGCTGCTAATACAAATCACATATGTTATGGAGGACACTGTACCATTCCTAATTATTTTAGGGTAATGTATTTAGTTACACACTAAATTAACACTAATTGAAGTTGGAAGAGGTTCAGAAAGCAATTAAATATTATTTGGAATTGAACAGTGGAGTAGGTTATGTTGCTCTTTCAATACAGAATTCATGCTGAATGATTGCACTGGGCTAAATTGACATTTTTCCCCTGAATTCCAGCAAGCAATCCAGTCTTCTTCACTTTTGTCCAGATCACATGAAAATAAGACAAAAGATGCTAGTGCAAGTATATTTGCTCTTATATTCAGTATTTCGACTAAAAGCCAATATGAGCTTATGGTGAAGCCTACAAACTCCAAGTCACATAAGATGAATAATCTGTTCTGCTTCTTTCCTACTCTTGCCCATTGAAGTACAAGGGAGGAACTCAGAAGCTTCTCCAAAGAGAAAATTGAAAAATCATTATTAAAAAGAGCTCTTAGACACTGTATCTATTGTTTTTTGGTCCTGTTTATGTTTTTTTGTATAAAAAGAGATAGAAAAGATATGCTAATTTTCTTTGTATCCGAACACACATATTATAATTTGCAGCACTTTTTTATATAAAAAGCAGACATTCATTTTGCAGCAGATATTTTTGTGGCACAGTCTGGGGCCACAGAGCAGCATGGCTCATACAAACCAATTATAAGAAACCCTCAATTCTAGCTCTATTGGCTACTATAACCTGAACTAAAAATTAAGCCTATTTGTGGAGGTTTTTTTTTTCTGTATGTATATTAGGTTTTATAGCATAAAAGAGTATCAATTTATACTTGCTGCCTACCTATATTTTGGCCTAAGTCAGTTATTGCTTTCTATCCAGTTTTAGAGTGTTAAAAGCAGCAGACTAGCTTAACTCGTGGACAATATATGATGGTATGCACGGTTCTATTTGCTTATCTTGTATACATTCTGGATTTTGATCAAATTAATTTTTAATTAATTTGTTGCATCTTAAAATAAGTGTGGGCTTAAAACCCTAATCTGATAATTTATTTACTCAGAGATTTCTTGAGAGTTTAGCTGGAATTGGAGGAATAATTAAGTTACTATGGGTCTCCAGTGTATCATGGCAGTTCAGAAATTCAAAAAAAGATTTGCCTCCTCTCGTGAGGGAGGTTTTCTACAGGGGAAAGAAGTAAGGATTAAAACTCAGAGGAAATGATGACATCCAAGGGAAGAAGGGAAGATTTTACTCCAAAAGGAGAATGATTTAGACCAGTTACTCTGAAGCCCAAGGAAGAAACAGACCACAGACATTCAAGAACTCTAGCTCATCTTTTAATGAGCAAAAAGAGAATCTCCTCTGCGGGGGCTGTACATGGTTCAGTGTCGCTGGAAGGCAGAGTGTGTAGGAGGAAACGGTGTCAGGTAGCTGGAGAGTGGTCCTTAAATAGATAGCCATGCTATCTTTCTGTAGGTGACAGAGAGCCATTAAGAATTTTAGGAAGAGGAGGGGTGTGCTAAAATTTGCCTTTCAGAAATATCACTTATAGTAGTATGGAGGCTCCATTGAAGAAGGTGAGCTGGGAAGCATCTTAGTAAATGGGGATAATTCAAGCCAGGTTTACCAAAATAAGTATTTACACAGCCATGGATAAGGTGCAGGAAAAATGTAAAGGATAGCACAGAACCCAGGGGCTAGGAGCTGTTAATACCCCTAGACCTGAAGAATGAAGGAAGAGAGCAGTTACTGTAAACCCAAAGGGGAGTATTATGGGAAAGAGACCACCTTGGGAGGAACCATGACCTTGGGCAAGGGTCACAGCCAACTTAAGGCAAACCTGCAGAGAGAAAGCTGAAAAAATATATACCCTCACCTCATACCCCTCCCTCCTCTTATTCTCCTACTTGGTCTCCTCATTGGCCAAGCTCAGTGAGAAAACAGAAGGCAAGAAGGATTTTTGATGTTATTCATACAGAACTGCCTCCTGGAGCAAACAGTATGCTGGAAAAACATGGCAAGAGGATCTAGAACAAATGGAAGCTATCTATCACAGTTCCCATTTTCTGCCCCTCCACATCCCGTTCTCCTCCACTCACTTGAAAACTTTAGGTCTCAAGCCACAGTACACATGAAGTCCCATCAGCTACAAAATCATAGCAGGTTTGCATGCTTATGCCATGTAATCTCAAAAGCAGTTGGAATAGAATGGTAGAGTAGGATATGTTCTCTCAATACAAAATTCATGTTGAACGATTGAACTGAGCTAAATTGACATTTAGCAATTACATGATGTATGCATAACTACTAGTGTGTGTGTGTGTGTGTGTGTGTGTGTGGCTAGTCTAGTGATATATGCATAACTACTCCTGGTGTGTGTGTGTGTGTGTGTGTGTGTGTGTGTCTAGGATAGTCATTCAGCAATGACTAGTTAGGTGACATTTAGCAATTACATGGTGTACATATAGCTACTACTGGTGTGTGTGTGTGTGTGTCTTAGGCTAGTCATCAGAACAGCCTCTCTCCTCTACCCGTTCCATGTTCCCCTTACTCTCTGCCAGCACCTCAGTTGAATGGGCTTCTTCACCTGGTAGAGACCAAAAACTTCACTTATGTACACAAGTCTTTGGTGGTCTTGTCTTTATTAAACTGTCTCAGTTTTCTATCAATAAAACCATTAGAAAGGAATTCTAAACAAAAAGGAGTACAAGCCCCACCCACCAAAAGAAAGCCCTCTGAGTTCCAGACATAGTCCTCCTTTTTCCATGGTGTAGCAGCAACCCAATTTCCCCCATGATCAATTATCCAGGCGGCACAATAACTGGGGAGTTTGGCTACAAGTCAAAATCCTATGTGTAATCTTTCAGGCCCTGTCAGAGGCAATTTCAAAGGCTGGGGAGGTAGGAGGGTGGGTGGTAGCATGGGGCGGGGGAGGATATCTGTTTTCCCCACACCAGACTCAGTGCACAGCTACTGCATTGCCATCTTTGCAGGGAGTTACAGGCAAGAATTCAGGCCTGCTGGGTCAGCCATGCTCTTGTGCCTATCTGTATTCCTGCCTTGGTGCCACCATTTGGAAGCCTTTTTATTGGGACAGGCCTCCAGTGAGACATTGTTCAGATGCTTCTGACAAAGCCTCCTTATTGAGGGGCCCTCAACACTCTTTTCCAGTCTGACTCAGGATTCTATACTTTTCTACCACTAGGCCTTCTACCTCTCCTCCTCATCAGTCCCAGAGAACATAAAACAGCAGGAACTTTTTATTCAGAGCTCTTCCAGCATGAGACAATCCCCTAGTCAGCATGGATGCATCCTACCCTTGCCCATGCCATTTCATAAGGGGTAAGTGGGATGTTGGGGAGCTGTCACCCTTTCTTGTTTAGCCTCTTGTTTATACTGTCAAAGAAAGTGAATAAAGTATTACTTTCAGTTTTGCTCATAGTGTTAACTGAACACCCTGACAACTGGCTTCTCTCTGTCTGAAAAATAACAACCTCCTTCCCTATCAATTCCGTGGCAGGAGGAAGCTAAAGTTATGATGGAACAATCTCTGCTTCCAATTCATCCCCCAGTAACCTAAAAACAATGCCACATCCTGGGTAGAATGGGAGGTCTTAGTCCCACTATTGTACTCCCATTTATTTCACCAGTCTGGCCCTCAGAAAACTGGGTAGGTCAGAAGACAGAGGACCACCACAAATGTATCCAAGGACAAACTCCAGTCTCAGCTTCTGGTACCGAATGCACTATTGAATGCATTCCCTTTAATACCCATGAGAAAGAAGCATCAGAAGCAATTCAGATTTAACTAAGATGGACAACAGATTATATCTGCAGTCTTGTCCTTCAGCTCTCCTGCCGTTTATCATGATAAAGGCCAAATGAACCTGGACCATCTGAACATTCTAGACAACATTACATGTATCTGTTATATTGTTGATATCATGTTAATCAGACCAGATGAGTAAGAAGCGGTAAGTACTCTGGATGGTCTGATAAGACCCAGGTATTCCAGAGGGAGGGATATAAGTTCTATACAAATTTAAAGAACGCCACGACAGTGACTTTTTCAAGAGTCCAATAGTCTGGGGCATGCCAGGACATTGCCTCTAAGGTAAGGGGCAAGTTATTGCACTTGGCATCTTCTAACACCATGAAGCATAGCATTCGGTAGGCCTCTTCATGTTTTGGAGGTGACATACTACACTTGGGAATACTGTTCCAATCCATTTACCAAGTGATGCAGATGGCTGCCAGTTTTGAAAGAGACCCAGATTGTTCTGGTGGGACTATAATACAAGCATAAGCCAGGCTGTAGTACAAACCACCTTGTTGCTTATGCCATATGACAAGGTATACCCCATTATACTAGAGGCATATATGATAGATCAATAAATCATGAGGAGTACTTAGCAAGCTCCAATAGCAAGCTGCAATATGGACCTCCTAAAGTTCTGAATTAAGACCATGCATGTGCAGCACAGAACTATCTTCCATGCTAAAAGCAACTGCTGGCATATTATTAGGTTTAGTTGCAAACCAAGCTATGACCACTAAGGTCACTAAGGGAGTATTTGACTGGAGGTGCCCATTATGAATTGGGTGCTGTCAGACCCACCAACTCATAAAACTGCGAAGGCCCATGAGCAATCTGTCATACAATGAAAATGATGCATTTTGTGTCAAGCCCAGGCAGACCTAAGGGGCACAAGTAAGCTGCACGAATAGGTAGCCCAGAACCACATGTAACCCATGACTATTGCATATATACCTTGCCTTCGGCTTGCTCCTGTGGCCTTATCAGAGTTCTCTATGACTAGTCGATCAAGGGTTGTTGCGTAGATGGGATGGCTCAATATTTTGGTAGGAATCAAAAATGGATTGCTATTCCACTATAGCACCCCGGGCGGGGGGGTGGGTGGAGATCCTAAATAGTGATAAGGGAAAATCCTCCTGGTGAGCAGCGCTTTTGGTGGAGGGAGAAGAAGCCAACCTAAGAATATGTATAGACTCAGTGGCAGTGCTGAATAGTTTGGCTAGTTAGTCAGGAACTGAAAGAAGCAAGATTGAAAGACTGAATACAAAGAGATCCGAGGGAAGAAATATGGGGATAGACCAATGGGGGAGGGTACAAAGGGAGAGGATCTTTGTGTCACACATCAATGCCCACCAGACAGCCTCCACTGAAATTGAAGCACAAAACAACTAAGTGGAGAGGAAGAGTCAGCCAGTAGATGGTTGGCTCTCTCCCCAGACTCACCGATGTTTGTACACTGGTCATGTAGTTGTAGCCACAGTGGCTATATATATATAGATAGATAGATATAGATAGATATAGATATAGATATATATAGCTATGTGTGTGTGTGTGTGTGTGTGTGTGTATATATATACTATGCAGGGGCACCTAATAAGTTGGACTTTCTCTTTCCAAGGCTGATCTAGTATATATATATATATACTAATATATATATATATATACACTAATATATATACTTATATATATATATATATATATAGCTATATATGTGTGTGTGTATGTGTATATATATATATATACTATGCAGGGGCACCTAATAAGTTGGACTTTCTCTTTCGAAGGCTGATCTAGCTACTTCTACTGCTGGGTATGTGGTGTGGCCTGCTGTCAATAGAGGCAATGCTGACACCCCACTTCAGTATATCCCTGAGGGAACCTAATTAGCCCAGTGTTGGCAAGTTATTGGGCCCCTTCCGCACTGTTAACACCGACAGGGATTGACGTGCTTTCCAAACATGGGGTTGACTTTGCTGCCCATGATGCTGTGACTGATACCTATATGAGAACTCCTGAGTGTCAGGTTTTCTAACATGTGTTCCTGGTTCACATCACTTTGTACCAAGGGACAATGTTTGGCAAAGGAGGTAGGTCAGTGAGCTCATGACCATGGACTCCATTGGTCTTATTATATTCATCGTTATCCAGGACCCAGCAGCTTGATACAGCACTAGAGTGGACTCTTAAAGGTGAAACTAAGGCACCATTTTAGAGATGTCATTCTTTGATGATGAGTGGATGTTCTTCAGGATGCAGTATATACCTTAAACCAATGCTGATATAGGATGCTGTAACCCCAGTAGGATATGTTGGTCAGAGAATCAGGGAGTAAAAACAGGAGTGTCCCTTTCTACTGCTACTCCTCATAACCCACTTGGAGAATGTGTGCCTCTCATCTCTGCAAGGCTCTATGAGTTCAGGGGCCCTCGTTCTTAGGGTACACATTAAGAGTTTCACTAAATTGAAATCTACAGCTGGCATCTGGTAACTTTGGGATCATTGTGTCAGTAGGGCAGTAGGCACCAAAGGAGTTAACAAATCACTATAAAATTATGAAGTTGCTACTAAACAGTTTTGGCATAGAGAAACATGTTTCTCACTCAAGTAATCCCCTGTGGTATCTCTTGCTATTCTCTTGTCCACTTTTAACTATTAATGGACAATTACAGCAACCACAGTCTGTTAATGTCTGTACCACTCTGCAAGTGGTAATAGTCAAACAACTTTGATGATGATTAGACACAGTTGGTAAGCCTATGTACAACCACTATTCCTGTCACCATAGCCTATTAAGCATGCACTTCAGTGTCTGGAGAAAAAGAGTAACTGACAATGACTGAATGAGTCACCTTGTCCATCTGATTATTGAGAGGCTCTTCTACTATGAATGGTCTCTGATGGGCATTTACCTGGGACACAAATATGTTCATGTTCTGTTCATTCCAAGAAGCCCATCCACATCTCTATCTCCCCTTCCACATTGTGATCAATATTCCAATAGTGTCCTTTCCAAGTTCCTGAGTGTAAAAAACTATTATCAACTGCTCTTGAGTGAATGTAGATCTACTTCTGAGGCCATTTCTCCCCACACACAAAGTGATTAACTGTATATACAGCTCAGGGTTGAGCCCACCAGCAGTGGGATAGTGGTACAGCAGGCATCCCTGTTTTCCTATTGCCAGCACACCAGACAGATCCATCCATAAACTGAGCCTACGTCTTTTTCTCTGCAGTTAATTCATCATAGAGAGGGTTGAAGGCAAAGCAGTAGGAGCAGATGCCAGATGGGAGTTGGAGCCACTGGCTATCCTGGGACAGTTTGTTGTACCTTCTGTACCTGCTCAGGTATGGCTTCATATATACCAGGAATTGACAAACCACAGCCCATGGACCAAATCCAGCCTGCCACCTGTTTTGTAGCTTGCATTCTTTGCAAGCTAAGAATGGGCCTTCCATTTTTTAAAGGGCTGGAAAAAAATCAAAATAAGAATAATATTTCATGATACATAAAATTATCTGAAATTCAAATTTCAGTGCAATAAATAAAGTTTTACTGGAACACTGCCATATTCATTCATTTACATCTTGTTTATAGCCACTTTTGTGCCACAGCAGTAGAGTTAAATAGTTGCAGCAGGAACCATATGGCCCACAAAGCCTAAAATATTTACTAACTGGTCTTTGATAGATAAAATTTGCTGACCCCCTGATATATACTACTTCCATTTTATAATGCAATGCACTGTGCACATCCAATTTTATGGTTCAGTGAATCAGAAAACAGAAGTTTGGCAATTTGGATATCCTATGGTCAAGAATTCAATCTGTTCCAAGACCAGCACAGTCAGGATATTTTTCTCTAATGAATAGTTGTTGGCAGAATAGAACATAGCCTTATTCCAAAACTCTAGGGTGTCTATCTTGTGATTCTTCTATTGGGGCTTGCCAGATGCTCTGCATAGCACTTCTGTCTGCCACTGACAGAACCATTGGTTTGGCTTGGTCACAGGGTCCATGTGGCAAGACTGCATGAACTGCAGCCTGAACTGTCTAAGAGTTCTTTCTTATTTCAGGTTCCAATCAAAACTGTCAACTTATGAAGGTACCCAGTAAGCGGGTTGATACAGTATGCCTAATGTGGCAGATGTTGCCTCAATAACCCAAAGAGGACCATAAAGCATTCTGAGTGGTACAAGGTACAGTAACTTCTCTTCTACTTCAGATGGATGTCCCAATATGACTCAGACCACTTGTCCTCCATAAACCTCAATATTGTAGGCTCTTGAACTTTCACAGATTTTCCCTCTCATCCTTGGGCAAACATCTGCCGTACTCTTTCCGCAGGTGTTGATCTTTATGGAGATATGTTTATGCTGATTAACACTCTGAATGCTTAGCTCCTTCTCAGAGAGTGCTTTCTGGAGAACTCAACTTGTGACCCAAGGAGCAAGAGTGTAATAGCATATTGCTGTCCCTGCTATGTAAGTGCAAGCCATTTCTGATTCCACTTACTAATAGAAATAGAAAAGAAGGTATTTTTATACCAGGCGCTAGTCATTCTATCGATTTGTGCTAGTAAAGATACTACATCTGGAACCTCAGCTATGCTAGGTATCACAATCTGTAGTAGTCAGGGTTCTTCAAAGAATATGAATATTTAGATTTGGATTGTCATGGCAGAGGGGAGGCAGGACTAGACTGCAGCTCTGACTCAGATGGACAGAGCAGCATGCAGAGGCTCGCATTGTGAATTTTAGCTCCAGAACGGCTGCAGGAATAAATCAGGAATCCTGAAAGGACCCACAGACCCTTTGAAGGAAGTGGACTGCTCCTGCAGGATCCAGGAGACACCCCAAATACTGTAAGTACCCAAACTGCAGAAGTGGGAAAGGGAGTTCCTCTGCCCCTGACATACATCCCCACTGGGGAAACTGAAGGTCTAGTTTGAAAGAGAAGATTCCAACCTTACCTGGAGTTGAGTCAATTTAAAGAATCGAGTGAAATACAGGGGCAGAGCAAACAGCGGGAAAGGCCCTGGGAGCTTGCTGGGTCACCAAGCAGACCATTCCTGCCTGGCATCACTGGGATCCTTCAGGAGGGCTGCCAGCAGCTCAGGGAAAATGCCACAGGGAGAAGGAGGTCTCCAGCTGAACTTTGTAACATTTCAACTGGTTGAGAAGCCTCCTGGCCAGAACTCGGGGGAGGGCATGAATCTCATGTGCAGACTTCACAAGCTGGGGGAAGAACTAAAGCACTTTTCTTTTGCAGCTGGGAGGTGGGTAGCCTGGGGCAAGTTCTCAGCCCTGCTTGCCCACTGCCTGGAAACAGACTCAGTGCTGTTGGCGGGGGCACAGTGGAAGTGAGACCACCCCTACAGATTGCATGGGAGCTGGTGGGAGCTGGGTGAGGCCTATGACTGCCACTTTCCTCCTTTTCCCTGACAACCAGCATGACTCAGCAGAGTTAGCCATAATCCTCCTAGGTACACAACTCCACTGACCTGGGAACCTCAACCCCATCCCCCACAGCAGCCACAGCAAGACCCACCCAAGGAGATTCTAAGCTCAGACATGCCTAGCCCCGCCCCCACCTGATGGTCCTTCCCTACCCACCCTGGTAGCTGAAGACAAAGAGCATATAATCTTGGGAGTTCTAGGGCCCCGCCCACCCCCAGTTCCTCTCCATACTATCACAGCTGATGCTCTCTGGAAAGTGCCACCTCCCAGCAGAAGGCCAACCAGCATAAAAATAGAGCATTAAGCCACCAAAGCTAAGAACCCTCACAGAGTCCACCCGAACAGGTGGAGGTATCCACAGCTGAGAGACCCATAGATGGTTCACATCACAGGACTCTGTGCAGACAACCCCCAGTACCAGCCTGGAACCTGGTAGACTTGCTGGGTGGCTAGACCCAGAAGACTGATAACAATCTCTATAGTTTGACTCTCAGGAAGCCACATCCATAGGAAAAAGGGGAGAGTACTACATCAAGGGAACACCCCATGGGACAAAATAACCTGAACACACTTCAGCCCTGGATCTTCCCTCTGACAGAGCCTACCCAAATGAGAAGGAACCAGAAAACCAACTCTGGTAATATGACAAAACAAGGCTCTTTAACATCCCCCCAAAATCACACTACCTCACCAGCAATGGATTCAAACCAAGAAGAAATCCCTGATTTACCTGAAAAAGAATTCAGGAGGTTAGTTATTAAGCTAATCAGGGAGGCACCAGAGAAATGCAAAGCCCGATGCAAGGAAATCCAAAAAACAATACAAGAAGCGAAGGGAGAAATATTCAGGAAATAGATAGCATAAATTTAAAAAATTCAAAACTTCAGGAAATATTTGACACACTTATTTAAATGCAAAATGCTCTAGAAAGTCTCAGCAATAGAATTGCACAAGGAGAAGAAAGAAATTCAGAGCTCTAAGACAAGGTCTTCAAATTAACCCAACCAACAAAGACAAAGAAAAAAGAATAAGAAAATATGAACAAAGCCTCCAAGAAGTCTGGGATTATGTTAAATGATTGAACCTAAGAATAATCAGTGTTCCTGAGGAAGAAGATAAATCTAAAAGTTTGGAAAGTATATTTGGGGGAATAATCAAGGAAAACTTCCCTGGCCTTGCTAGAGACCTAGACATCCAAATACAAGAAAAGCACAAAGAATACCTGGGAAATTAATCATAAAAAGATCATTGCCTAGGCACATTGTCATCACGTTGTCTTAAGTTAAGACAATGAAGAAAAGAATCTTTTTTTTTTTTTGAGATGGAGTTTCGCTCTTGTTGCCCAGGCTGGAGTACAATGGCGTGATCTCGGCTCACTGCAACCTCTGCCTCCTGGGTTCAAGTGATTCTCCTGCCTCAGCCTCTTGGGTAGCTGGGATTACAGGCATGTGCCACTATGCCTGGCTAATTTTTTTGTATTTTTAGTAGAGATGGGGTTTCTCCATGTTGGTCAGGCTGGTCTTGAACTCCCGACCTCAGGTGATCTGCCCACCTCGGCCTCCCAAAGTGCTGGGATTACAGGGGTGAGCCACCGCGCCCAGTGAAGAAAAGAATCTTAAGAGCTGTGAGACAAAAGCACCAGGTAACCTATAAAGAGGGGTGGGGGAAACTATCGGATTAACAGCAGATTTCTTAGCAGAAACCCTATAAGCTAGAAGGGATTGGGGTCCTATCTTCAGCCTCCTCAAACAAAACAATTATCAGCCAAGAGTTTGTATCTAGTGAAACTAAGCATCATATACGAAGGAAAGATACATTCTTTTTCAGACAAACAAATGCTGAGAGTATTTGCCACTACCAAGCCACCACTATACGAACTGCTAAAAGGAGCTCTAAATCTTGAAACAAATCCAGGAAACACATCAAAACAGAACCTCTTTAAAGCATAAATCTCACAGGACGTATAAAACAAAAATACAATTTAAAAAACAAAACAAAACAAAAACCAAGGTATACAGGCAACAAATAGCACAATGAATGGAATGGACCCTCACATCTCAATACTAACATTGAATGTAAATGGCCTAAATGCTCCACTTAAAAGATATAGAACTGCAGAATGCATAAGAATTCACCAACTAACTATCTTCTGCCTTGAAGACTCATCTAACACATGAGGACTCACATAAAGTAAAGGGATGGAAAAAGGCATTTCATGCAAATGGACACCAAAAGTGAGGAGGGGTAGCTATTCCTATATCAAACAAAAAAACTTTAAAGCAACAGCAGGTAAAAAAGACAAAGAGAGACATTATATAATGGTAAAAGGCTTTGTCCAACGGGAAAATATCACAATCCTAAACATATATGCACCTAACACTGCAGCTCCCAAATTTATAAAACAATTATTAATAGACCTAAGAAATGAGATAGACAGCAACACAATAATAGTGGGGACTTCAATACTCCACTGGCAGCACTGGACAGGTTATCAAGACAGAAAGTCAGCAAGAAACAATGGATTTAAGCTATACCTTAGAACAAATGGACTTAACAGATATATACAGAACATTCCATCCAACAACCGCAGAAAACACATTCTATTCAACAGCGCATGGAACTTTCTCCAAGATAGACCATATGATAGGCCATAAAATAAGCCTCAATAAATTTAAGAAAATTGAAATTATATCAAGCACTTTCTCAGACCACAGTGGAATAAAACTGGAAATCAACTCCAAAAGGAACCTTCAAAACCATGCAAATACATGGAAATTAAATAACTTGCTCCTGCATGATCCCTGAGTCAGAAACAAAATGAAGATGGAAATTAAAATTCTTTGGGCTGGGCACAGTGGCTCATGTCTGTAATCCCAGCCCTTTGGGAGGCCAAGGAAGGTGGATCACTTGAGGTCAGGAGTTAGGGACCAGCCTGGCCAACATGGTGAAACCCCATGTCTACTAAAAAATATAAAAATTAGCTGGGCGTGGTTGCAGGTGCCTATAATCCCACTTACTCAAGAGTGTGAGGCAGGAGAATTGCTTGAAACCAGGAGGCGGAGGTTGCAGTGAGCTGAGATCGCACCCATTGCACTCCAGCCTGGGTGACAAGAGCGAAAATCCGTCTCAAAAAAAAAAAAAAAAAATTCTTCAAATTGAATGACAGTAGTGACGCTACCTATCAAAACTTCTGGGATACAGCAAAGGCGGTGCTAAGAGGAAAGTTTATAGCCCTAAATGCCTGCATAAAAAGACTGAAAGAGCACAAACTGACATTCTAAGGTCACACCTCAAGGTATTAGAGAAACAAGGACAAACCAAACCCAAACCCATCAGAAGAAAGGAAATAACCAAGATCAGAACAGAACTAAATGAAACTGAAACAAACAAACAAACAAAAATACAAAAGATAAATGAAACAAAAAGCTGGTTCTTTGAAAAGATAAATAAAATTGATCGACCATTAGCAAGATTAACCAAGAAAAGAAAAGAGAAAATCCAAATAACCTCAATAAGAAACGAAAGAGGAAATAATACAATTGACACCACAGAAATACAAAAGATCATTCAAGGCTATTATGAACACCTTTATGCACCTAAACTTGAAAACCTAGAAGAGATGGATAAATTCCTGGAAAAATACAAACCTCCTAGCTTAAATCAGGAAGAATTAGATACCCTAAACAGACTAATAACAAGCAGCAATATTGAAATAGTAATTTTAAAATTACCAACACAAAAATGTCCAGGACCAGAGAGATTCACGGCAGAATTCTACCAGACATTCAAAGAACTGGTACCAATGCTATTGACACTATTCCACAAGATAAAGAGAGAATCCTCCCTAATTCATTCTATGAAGCCATCATCACCCTAATACCAAAACCAGGAAAGGACGTAACCAAAAAAGAAAACTACAGACTGGTATCCCTGATGAACATGGATGCCAAAATCCTTAACAAAATACTAACTAACAAATCAGACAACACATCAAAAAGATAATCCACCATGATCAAGTGGGTTTCATACCAGGGATGTGGGGATGGTTTAACATACACAAGTCAATAAATGTGATATACCACATAAACAGAATTAAAAACAAAAATCATGATCATCTCAATAGATACAGAAAAAGCATTCAACAAAATCCAGCATTGCTTTATGATTAAAACTCTCAGCAAAATTGGCATAGAAGGGACATACCTCAGTGTAATAAAAGCCATATATGACAAACTCACAGCCAACATAATACTGAATGGGGAAAAATTGAAAGCATTCCCTGTGAGAATGGGAACAAGACAAAGATGCCCACTCTCATCACTCCTCTTCAACATAGTACTGGAAGTCCTAGCCAGAGCAATCAGACAAGAGAAAAAAATAAAAGGCATCCAAATCGGTAAAGAGGAAATCAAACTGTCACTGATTGCTGATGATATGATCATTTACCTTGAAAACGCTAAAGACTTCTCCAGAAGGCTCCTGGAACTAGTAAAATAATTCAGCAAAGTTTCCAGACACAAGATTAATGTACAAAAATCAGTAGCTCTTCTATACACCAACAGTGACCAAGTGGCGAATGAAATCAAGAACTCAATCTCTTTAACAATAGCTGCAAAAAAAAAATAAAATACTTAGAAATATACCTAACCAAGGAAGCAAAAGACCTCTACAAGGAAAACTACAAATCACTGCTGAAACGAATCATAGATGACACAAACAAATAGAAACACATCCCATGCTCATGGGTGGGTAGAATCAATATTGTCAAAATGACCATCCTGCCAAAAGCAATCTACAAATTCAATGCAATCCCTATCAAAATACAACCATCATTCTTCACAGAATTAGAAAAAACAATTCTAAAATTCATGTGGAACCAAAAAAGAGCCCACATAGCCAAAGCAAGACTAAGCAAAAAGAACAAATCTGGAAGCATCACACTACCTGATTTCAAACTATATGATAAGCCCACAGTCACAAAAACAGCATGGTACTGGTACAAAAATAGGCACATAGACCAATGGAACAGCATAGAGAACCCAGAAATAAACCCAAATACTTACAGCCAACTGATCTTTAATAAAGCAAACATAGAGTGGGGAAAGGACACCTTTCAACAAATGGTCCTGGGATAATTGGCTAGCCACATGTAGGAGAGTGAAACTGGATCCTCATCTCTCACCTTATACAAAAATCAACTCAAGATGGATTAAGGACTTAAATCTATGACCTGAAACTATAAAAATTCTAGAAGATAACATTGGAAAAACCCTTCTAGACATTGGCATAGGCAAGGATTTCATCACCAATAACCCAGAGCAAATGCAATAAAAACAAAGATAAATAGTTGGGACATAATTAAACAAACTAAAGAGCTTTTGCACAGCATAAGGAACAGTCAGCAGAGTAAACAGACAACCCATAGAGTGGGAGAAAATCTTCATAATCTATACATCTGACAAAGGACTAATATTCAGAATCTACAACGAACTCAAACAAATCAGCAGGAAAAAAACAAACAATCTCATCAAAAAGTGGGCTAAGGACATGAATAGACAATTCTCAAAAGAATATATACAAATGGCCAACAAACATATGAAAAAATGCTGAATGTCACTAATGATCAGGGAAATGCAAATCAAAACCACAATGCCATACCACCTTACTCCTGCAAGAATGGCCATAGTCAAAAAAATAAAAAAATATATAGATGTTGGCGTGAATGCGGTGAACAGGGAACACTTCTACACTGCTATTGGGAATGTAAACTAGTACAGCCACTATGAAAAACAGTGTGGAGATTCCGTAAAGAACTGAAAGTAGAACTACCATTTGATCCAGCAATCCCACCACTGGGTATCTATCCAGAGGAAAAGTCATTATTCGTAAAAGATATTTGCACACGCATGTTTATAGCAGCACAATTCGCAATTGCAAAATCGTGGAACCAACCCAAATGCCCATCAATCAACGAGTGGATAAAGAAACTGTGAGATATATATATCTATATATCTATATATCACATATATAGATATATCATATCTATATATGATAGAATACTACTCAACCATGAAAAGGAATGAATTAACGGCATTCGCGGTGACTTGGATGAGATTGGAGGCTATTATTCTAAGTGAAGTAACTCAGGAATGGAAAAACCAAACATCTTATGTTCTCACTGATATGTGAGAACTAAGCTATAACAACGCAAAGGCATAAGAATGATACAATTGTAACAAAGCTGCACATTCTGCACCTGTATCCCAGAGCATAAAGTATAATAAATAAATTTAAAAAAGAATGATACAATGGACTTTGGGAACTTGGGGGAAATTGGGAGGGGGAAGAGGGATAAAAGATTACAAATAGGGTGCAGTGTATACTGCTCAGGTGATGGGTGTACTAAAATCTCACAGATCACCACTAAAGAACCTACTCATGTAACCAAATACCACCTGTACCCCAATAACTTATAGAAAAATTTAAATAAGAATATGAATATTTATTCATTCATTTATTTTTTTATGTACACATACATAAAGCCAATGATTAATGCCACTCCCAGGTGCTCAGGACATACTAGTCAAAACCTTGAATAAATTGATTCATCACTCTTGCTCTAGCACTTCCATATACGTTCCCAGGCTTTTGCTGATTAGAAAGCTTTTGTAACTCTTTCAAGATATATTCCTTCAACAGGCATTTTACCTCTCCCTCCATGTTCTGTTGGGAACTAACTCCCACTGTGGGCTTAGAAGAAATGAGAAAACACTGAGAAGAATTGGCATCAATTTATGAGTTTCAAGGAGAGCTTGAGGATCAAAGTTCTCAGAGGCAGCCATGATGCTAAAGTGACCGTATTCTTTGTTTGGGGGTTGCATTTCTTATCTAATATTGCCCTTACCCTAGGCTTGGTTCTCAACCTGATCTGCCATGAAACTATAGAAAAGAGAGACTGCTTTAAAGATGCCATGGTGGATTTCTGGCTTTCCACATATATTCTTAATTGAAATTTATAAAGCTTTTAACTTCTCTTTTTCTTTATGTATGCCCTCTAGGGTCATTAAAGCCAAGTGACTCCACAATATTGTATAATCCCTATTGTTGCCACAGCAACTATGGGCCACATCATTTGCTCTCCTACAGCCCTTGTCTTCTATGGCTCTCCATCCTCTGCTACCACCTGTGATCTTATGAATATCATAATGACACCACCATAATGCTATTGATTACCGACATTGCATTTCTCCCTGGAAAAGTGTTTATTCCTGCACTCCTCAGATATATGAGAAACCAATCCCAGAATTCTATTTTAAGGGTCTGTTTTTTTGGGTCAATTATGGAGCCAATCACGGTATTGGTCAAAGTCGAAGCAGGAAACAGATGGCAAAAAAGAAATCGGGATAACTCTAGAAAAAATTCATAAGGGAACTATCCACGAAAGTGTGGATGAGATAAAAGAAAACTGCAAGGGATGGTAACCACAGAACCAATGCAATCTCTAGGCCCAACAGATATAACCTCTGGGCCCAAAGGGAAGAGAGGAGACACTAGTTCCTGGGACGCAGAAAGAGTCATCTAGCGGGGCTGTCTTGAGGGGAGTAGTGACCTTCAGTTAACTTACACAACCAGCCCAAGAGGACCCTGATGCAGGGGAGTTGGGGAGATAAATCCTCTCTTCCCTCCTTTTGATCTCCCATTGTGGTTTCCCATTGGTTCAACCCAATCACAGTTAGTAAGGGAGAAAAGAGTGCATTGGTCTAATAAATACACTCTTCGAGTAATAAAAATGGATTCCAGGGGCAGATAGCAGGAGAAAGAAAGGTAGAAGGTGCATTCAGAGAGACAAGTGGAAAATATCAAACACAGATCAAATAGAAATTTGCAGGATGAATGACAGGACCTTAACCCAAGCCATTTCTCAGCCTATAAAAACATTCTTCTCTGTAGAACTGAATACCTCCAGAGGAATGATATACAGATAAGGACTCTGGAAATCTCCCAGTAAAAAAATGTCAGCTTACTGCCCAACTACCCTACTGCAAACTCATACATATAAAAGCCTTGTCCATGTAGAGAGAATATCAAATCATTTTTAATGCTTTGATCTCAAACATGAAAGTACAATCATGAAAGCTTACTAAGTGAATGATGGCTGAAACAATCAAACAGAATAAAAACGAATGAAAGAATAAAACAGGGAGCAGAAAAAAAAGTCTAAATATTATCAATTTCCTAAGAGGATTAAGAGGGAAAATTATATTCAGGAAATAATAAATAAATAGCTCTAAGAAGCCACAATAATTTTTTAAAAGTTCAAAATTTTGAGTCTAACTTTAATATTCAGTGGAAGATTTTTAAGGTAATACCAAGGAACTATCCAAGAAAGTAGAACTAAAAGACATATGGGCAAGAGAAAAGGTAAGAAAATTTAAAAAGGAAATCCAGAGAATGCAAGATATCACTGATAATTCCTCAAGAAAAAAAAATACTGAAGGAAATTATCAAAGAAATAGTATGAGACAGTGTCTCAACACTGAAAATATTGAATCACTAGACTAAAAGGGACCCCCATTTTAGCTTAATGATCATGGAGAAAAATTGTTACCAAGGAACATCACCTCAAAATTTCAAAACATTGTTAATGATGAGTAAATGCTTTCATAATGTAAAATGTCAAAAGTTTCTGAAATTAATATAGTATTGTTGAAAGCTAGAAGACATTGGAGCAATGTATTGAAAATCAATTGAGAAGGTCTAACAGGCATTTTCAGACATGAAAATAATCCAATTTATTTCAGGTGCATTGTTCCTTGAGAAGGGATGGACAGAAGATACCCATTTTTAAATGGGGATGGGGAGAACTACTCCAAGAGATAAAACATGAGATTCAAAAGAGAGGGGATTCCAACACTAGAAAGCAATAAAGCGAAGTCCCAGAACAACAGCGATATAGCAGACACAGAGAGTACCTGTGTAGGCTGGAGTTGGAGCCTAAAGTTCTCTAGGAGAAACAACTCATGAAAAAATTAATGAAATAGATCATCTGCTGCCTTTGAATTTACAGAACATGGCTATAATTTTTTCTGTACGTCTCATATATATTCTCCTCTTTGCTCTTTTAGTAAAGTATTTTTGTAAGTTTTAGCCTCACCTATCTAATAGAAAACCAGGTACGATTTTAAAACATTATAAAAATATATTAAAATAGTCATAATAGGCCTGGCACAGTGGCTCATGCATGTAATCCTAGTACTTTGGGAGGCCAAGGCAGGTGGATCACCTGAGGAGTTCGAGACCAGCCTGGCCAGTAAAGTGAAACCCCGTCTCTACTAAAAATACAAAAATTAGCTGGGTGTGATGGCAGGAGCCTGTAATCCCAGCTACTTGGGAGGCTGAGGCAGGAGAATCCCTTGAACCCAGGAGGCAGAGGTTGCAGTGAGCTGAGATCACTCCATTGCACTCCAGCCTGGGCATCTCAGTGAGATTCCATCTCAAAAAAAAAAAAAAGTCATAATAGTTTATCAAGTAAAATATAGCAGGATGCACACAGCATGTCATGAATGATCTCATTTTTATAAAATATATAGATGTAGAAATATATGGGAAGCTTCGAGAACATCAAGATTCAGCATCCTAGACTTGGACCAATGACATTCTCTTTATGATAGGCACTTTTAACATTATCATTATTAATAATTATTTCAATAGCAATAGAGAGGCCTCTGTCAAAATGCACTGGGAGGAAAGGACTTTTGTTGAGGAAAAGACTAAACAAAAGAAGAACATGTGGATGTCTTATGACCATTGTCCTAATAGAATGACTTAGAGGTACAATTTAAATTTTTTTAATCATAGAAAATAGAACAAAATGGCATAATGAACACTTATGTATCTATGACCCAACTTCAACAATTATCAATTTGCAGTCACTCAATCTTGTTTTATTTATATCCAAATCTACTACCTTCCCTTAGCCCCGGATTATTTAAAAGCAAGTCACAGACATCATTTTATTTTTATTTTTAAAACTTTAAAATGATATATCTCTAAGACCTAAGGACTCTCTTAAAACACAACCACAGCACATTAGCATACCTAAAAATTGACAATAATTACTTAATTTCAAAACTTAATTTCAGTGTTATAATTTTCCCAATCATCTCACAATTTTATCTCAAAATTTTAGTTAAGTCTGGATCAAGTTTAAGTTCACACATAGACATTATGTGGTTTGTCTTTGAGTTTATTTAGTCTTTAGGTTTCCCTCTCAACTCTTTTTTTTTCCCTGAAAATTTCCCTAAGTATCTTATTGAAAAAACCAGGTCCCACTGTGTAGATTCACTTATTGCATCATGGTGGTGTCGTTAAACATGTTCTTCTTTCTTCTGTATTTCCTGTAAATTGGTAGATAGATCTAGAGCCTTGATGAGATTCAGGTTCAATTGTCTTGTCTAGACTACTTCACAGATGATATTGGGTATTCCCATCAGGAAGCACATAAGGACTTATTGTCTCCTTTTCATGATGCTAGTAGGCATTTGTGATCATCATGCAGGTCCATTAATTCAGTAGGGGTTGCATAACAGTGATTATTTGTTGACTACTTGGAATCCTTCTATTAAAGAATATTTTACCTCATCAACTATCTAGTTACTCTAAGATACTCTATACAAAATAGGCAAGATAATGCTTGAATTTTTCTCTTTATTTACCAATATTAAAGATATTTAACTGGTTCTTTAGTACTTTCCAATGGTGACCAGTTAGTTTATTCATAAATATATTTAATGAATTTCAACCCACTTTATTTTTATTTTATTTTATTTTTGAGACAGATTCTCACTCTGTTGCCAGGTTGGAGTGCAGTGGCATGATCTCGGCTTACTGCAACCTATGCCTCCCAGGTTCAAGTCATTCTTCTGCCTCAGCCTCCCAAGTAGCTGGGATTACAGGCACCCACCACCATGCCCGGCTATTTTTTTTTTTTGTATTTTCAGTAGAGATGGGGTTTCACTATGTTGGCCTGGCTAGTCTCAAACTCCTGACCTCAGATTATTCGCCTGCCTCGGCCTCCCAAAGTGCTGGGATTACAGGCATGAGCCACTATGCTCAGCTTCAATCCAATTTAAATATTGATGCTTGAACTGACCAGTGAGAGCCTACTGGGTGGCTTCTGAGTCTTTGAACACATCTTTGTTACTCTTGGATTGCTTCCTGCTTTCATATATGACAAGATGCTTCAGGCTCTTATTGAAGAATTCTTGTCCCATATCTGAAATCAGCCATTTCTTCAGGATAATGGGTTCCTTCTCAAGGGAAATGGTGTTTTGAGACACAATCTAAGTGTTAAGGATGCTGATTGCCACTGTAATCATCATTTTTCTCAGCCTTTTCAGAGGATATAGAAAATATGTATTTTTAAGATCCTATTGATACTTCCTATCAAAATCAAGACTACAGGATTTTAATTTAACCTCTTTCATCTTACTTCTGTATTTCCTTTCTCCTGTGCCAAAAATTCAAGTAATTAAAATAAGCCGGCATACTTATTTGATTTATCCTATGATATGCATCAACAAAATAGGAATAGCAATAACAATGTCTCATGAGAACATTTAAAGAATCCCCTGAGGACTTTCAGATATAATTTTTGAGAAACTAAATATCCTGTCTGAGCAGGTATAGGCAAAAACAAATACAGGAGTTATTAGACTGAATTTGCCATAATTTGTATTCAGAATCCAGTGATCCCTAAGATAAGTAGGTTATGTATTCATTGGATATATTCTGAGCCACAGGCCTTAACCACATATTGTTTCTTGCTTTAGAAATGCAATTTCTAATCAAGCAATTTTCAAATATTTTGAAGAGTAATACTAATTCATCAATTGAGGACTTACTACACTTTTCCTTTTCCTAATAGATATTATTGATAAAACAAATCAGCTACATAATGTTTGCTTCAAAAATATTAACATTGATGCAACATCTTACATTTCCTAGTTGTATAATTCCATGCCCCAAAGTGAAACTATAGGTAGAATGAGCAGTACAAGTTTTCTAGGTGGCAGGAGGAAAAACAGTTGACTGTGCTCCAGAGAGAGATCTAATGCATCTCTTTAGAACTTACCCCAATCTTCAACAGTGACTATGAAGTCAAAGTGAATGATCATCAAGAGAAAAAGCAAGGTAAGTGCCCAGGCAGCATCTGTTTAATGGGAAACCCACAAAATGCAAGGGTCCTCTCTACTGAAAGGATTGTTCTTCAGTAGTGAACAGAGAGGGGGATAATTCAGAATGTACTCATATTTTCATTCCAGGACTTAGAGAACTTTTCTATCATCTTATAAGATGATATCTAGTATATATAACTTAAAATGTTCTTGGCTGTGATGTCCATGCCTATAATTCCAGCACTTTGGAAGGCCAAGGTGGGAGTATGACTTGAGCCCAGGAGTTCAAGACTAGCCTGGGCAACAAAGTGAGACCCTATCTCTATTTTTTTTTTAATTAGCTGGGCATTGTGGCATGTGCCTGTGGTCCCAGCTACATAGGAGGTTGAGGTGGGAAGATCACCTGAGCATAGGAGGTCAAGGCTGCAGTGAGTCATGTTTGTACCACTGCACTCCAGGCTAGGTGACAGAGCAAGACGCTGTCTCAAAAACAAATTCTCTTTCTGTCATTTAGGCAACTAGCTTATTTCATTTCTTTCCGTACTTTTTCCTACAGAACTGGAGGTTCAGAAGTAATTTGTAAAGGAAATTTGTAAGGAAAAACACTTACAGCCATGTGACTTAAAGTTTGCCTTGCAAATATTTGTCTTCATTAGTCTTCTTAAAGGCCATGTTTCCTTAACTTTGTATCATGTACTTTCCTTCACTCACTAAATTTGGTCTGAGTCTGTATTAAGGGCTACATTATTGTCTTCTGACTTCCAGAGAAACTGCTAAGCACCAAGAAAGAAAGCACTTAGCTGCTTTTAGTCATGGTCAACGGTTTGCTCATAAGAGCCTAAAAGGATCAGAAGGGAGCAGGGAAAGGATATAGAAAACCTCTAATAGATCACTACAGGACATCTGAGGTTGTTTATAGAGAAAACACCATGTTTAGACTTCATTACAAGTGCAGTTTGGCTTATAGAGTAGTGACTGACAGGTAATGATCATAATTGATGTTGTTGTAATTCTAGACAGGGTGTAATGGTATGTATATTTAATGTACAATATCTGTATAAAATTTATGTCACATCCTTTTCTAATGCTCCCATAAATTTCTGCACAGGAATAGAAGGAAATGGCATTCATGTTTGCTTTAATCTCTCTCTGGGGCATTAACCTGTGCCTGGGGAGCTTCTCCACCCATTTGTCTCTGTATCAGTTTGGAAGTAGCCACAAGACAAATAAGCGGTATTAAATAAAGAGGTATTAGCTAGAGATATTTAAGCCATGTAGACAAACCTAACTTACTCACAGTTTTTGGAGAACATGCATTTCTATGGGTAATAATTAACAATAATGACTACCAGTTATAGGATAGGCATTATCTTATTTAATCCACAAGGACTATACCTTCATCCCTGTTTTACAGGTAAGGAATCTGTAGCCTGGGGAGATTAAGTAGCCTGTCTAAAGTATTCAGCTAGCAAGGAATTAGAACAAACATTTAAGTGCAGATATGTATGACTGCAAAGCCAAATTTATGAATAATATCATCATCATCATCATGTACATTAATGTTCATTATCAGCGTTGAATTTGCCTTAAATTCTTTCATACATTATAAGCATCTAGAATATTGATTTGCAGCCCAAGTACCATAACAGGAATGCCCTGGACAACTGATTTGATGATCATTTAGTATAAACAGGCATCCCTGATTTCTAGGTGTTAGAGTCTAGAAGGAATACTCATTCCTAGGGTTAAACCTGTCTCAACTAAAAACAATGTCGTACATTTGGAGGTAAATGGTGTGATCCTAAAAAAGTCTTCAGTGACAAATACGTTATATATTTTCTCCATGATGTGCTTTGAGAGGCTGTTGATGGAGGAAGTGAAATATGTACAGATGTCCTTAGAAGCTTAGTTTGGGGCTGGGCACGTTGCTCATGCCTGTAATCCCAGCACTTTGGGAGGCCAAGGCCAATGGATCGCCTGAGGTCAGGAGTTCAAGACCAGCCTGGCCAACAAGGCAAAACCGTCTCTGCTGAAAATACAAAAATTAGCTGGGCATAGTGGCGAGCCTGTAATCCCAGCTACTTGGGAGGCTTAGGCAGGAGAATCGCTTGAACCTGGGAGGCTGAGGTTATGGAGAGCCGAGATCATTCCACTGCCCTCCAGCCTGGGTGACAGAGAGAGATTCCATTTCAAAAAAAAAAAAAAAGAAGGTTTGTTTGGTTTTGGGAAGAAAGGAAGCAGGGGTGGAGGGCATTGCATGGTTAGGTGAAAAGAACACAAAGTTAGTCCCACCTTCTTCATGTACTGGAGGCTTGGCCTAGGATGACTAGCTTAACCTCGTTGCCCTTAGTTTTCTAATACATTAAAAGGGATTAATAATACATACTTCATAGGATTACTATGAGAACTGAAGGGAAAACTTCTTTACCTTTTTTTGCAAAAGGTCTAAAACATAGTACACGCTCAACAAGTATTGGCACTTAATTTTTACTTTAAGAAAATCCAGTTCAAAAAAGATTCGTTGAGCCTTTGCAACTGCAAAACAGATTTTTAAAATTATTAAGAAACAATCCCCCATAAGCTAGAATAGGAACAGATTGGTAAACAGATACCTGCATTGTGAAATTAAAAGTGCTACTTAGCAGAATGGACAAAGTGGGAACATTAAGAAGAGAAAGTTTAATTCTTTCTTTGGGATGTCAAAAATCTTTTGCAGAAATGGTAGAGTTTCAACTGTATTTATAAGGAAAGAAATGGTATGGATTCTGAAAGTTTTCAGCTCAGGTAAGGTTAATCGAGATTTGCATGACACTCATCCGTTCATTCCAACATTTCTTGAAAGCCTTCTATGTGCCAGGCACTGTTACAACCGAATAGGGTGAACCCATGGTACTTCCTTCAAAGAGCTTACAGAGTAGTGATTTATACAGAGGGACACTTTGTATTTTTATTCTGAAATTTCCTATAACTTATTATTTTGGAAAAATTAATAGTATCCTTGGGCATATTGTAAAAAGCAGTCTTTGAGGCCATAACTCAGATTGGTAATAAAGTACAATGGAAATTCTGGCACCATTGCCATTCTTTCACAGTAATTTGTCATAAAGAAAAAAATTACTTTGTAAATTCCCATTTTTTTCCTTCTTCCCTCCACCAAATTAAGATTTAGCTCAAGTCAACCTTTGAGCTTCAATTGTATGCACTAGATACACAAACATGAACAAGATACATCTGCCTTTGAAGAGTTAACAATTTAGGGAGGGTTTGAAACATTTAACATCATAGATTATGGCAGAATTCCTTCCCAAGATTTGCTTTCTATGAAAACCTAAGGGAAAAATAATAGAAAGCGAAGTAGAATTTATTAAATTGTTCTTGTAGTACACCTGCAGAATCATTTCTATCCTAATTTCTGCAGGCACACAAGGAAACCAAATTAAGTCTTGGATTTATTGCTTGTGTTGGGCATCTTGATGTGCTACTCTGTAAACTTAAATTTCTGTTTGCTCAAAACTGTTATACAGAGGCATCTTGTATTTCTCACTAAGAAATTTTATAAAAAACAGACAAAGGAGATTAAGGCAATAGATAAATTGGAATGGCTTAAGTAGACCTGGCATTCTTCCACAATAAGTGCTCCTGTTTCTCAGACTAGATTGTATTTTTTGAAAATCCAGCTACACATTGTTTTAGGAGTCATTCCTAAAACATAATGGCACAGAAATATGTAAAAAAAAAAAAGGGAAATATATATTAGGCAAACATCACCCAAAAGAAGGCTGATGTAGCATATCAACATGCAAGGCAAATATAGATAAAGATGGGTAACAAAAGAATAGAAGGAACAAGACATCAAAAAGATATGACAATCATAAACTTTTATGAACCCAATGACAAACCAAAATGAAAAAAACAAGGCAGTTACAAGTTGAAACTGACAAATCCAAATCATAGTAGGCAATTTTAACAAATCTCTATCAGAAACAAACATGTCAAGCAAACACAATTTTACAAGTGAGAAGGATAGAGAACATTTCAACAGTAAAATTAATAAGCTTGTACAATGGGTGAGTATAAAAACCTGCAGTGAACAAAGAGAAAATATACACTTTAAAGTATACATAAAACATTTATGCAAATTGATCACAAATGAGTCACAAAAGAAGTCCAGTAAATTTTGAAGAATTATCTACTTAATACATTTCTTGACTACAAAGCAACAGTTAGAAATCAATACAGTTGTCCCTGGAACAACATGGATTTGAATTGTGTGGGTCCACTTATGCTGAGATTTTCTTCTACCTCTCCCACCCCCGAGACAACAAGACCAACCCCCTTTCTTCCTCCTCCTTCTCAGCCTACTCAATGTGAAGATGATGAGGACAAAGGCTTTTATGATGATCCACTTCCACTTAATGAATAGTAAATATACCTTCCTTATGATTTTCTTAATAACATTTTCTTTCCTCTAGCTTACATTATGGTAAGAATATAGTATATAATATACATAACAAAGAAAATATGTATTAATTGATCGTTTATGTTATTGGTAAGGATTCTGGTCAAGAGTAGGCTATTCGTAGTTAAGTTTTGGGGGAGTCAAAAATTACATATGAATTTTCAACTACACGGAGGGTCAGTCCCCCTAACCTCCACATTGTTCAAGGGTCAACTATAATTGGAAAAAAATCAAGATGTTTATGTTTTAATACATCCCTCATAACTCATCAAAGAGGGACTCATAATAGAATTTACAAATTATTTTGGTTACATCAAAATATTTTGATATATCAAAACATATAGGATGGAGCCAAAGTGGTTCTTAGAAGGAAATTTGGAGCCTATAGATACATTTATTTTTTAAAAAAAAGAATAAAAGGGGTTGAAAATAAACTAGTTAAAAATTCAGCTCAGAAGTTAAAAGACAATAGAGTAAACCTGAAGAGAGTGAAAGGTAAATAAATTATTGGAAATTAATAAAATAGAAAATAGAGGAAATGTACAACCAAACCAAAAATTTGTTCTCCCCAAACAACTAACATATTCATAACTCATAATTTTTAAGATGACTTTTACAGTAATCTTGTAGACACTTAAAGTTTCATAATGGAATGTCAACTCAATCTTTCTTCATATTGTATATATTGTAGCCCCTGTTGCTGGACCAACCAATAAAAGTTTCCATTTTATACCAAAGGGAAAATGTGAGATGTTTGTACTCGAGTAATTAAAATGGAATACGTGTTGGCTTAAATTAGCATCTACATATGTATGAAGCAATGTTCCCACTGGTGTACGTTACAGATGACTAAAATACATTTGGCTGGGGGTCTCAAACATCAATAATGGATTTCTCAGGGCATAAGAAAATTTTACATTCCTGTACCCACTTTCAAGAAAATAAAACTTACTGCCACAAGTTAGATTTTATCTTATGATTTCCCTCCCCCTTCCCTCCCTCCTCTCACAAGCCTAACTCCCTCATTTTGGATTGAAGTTTTCTGCATATCCTTTACTGTTCTGATAACCCCCAGCAACACAGTTCTTCCCCTTGTCTATAGCTCGGTTTTTGCCTCAGGCACCCCACAGCTCTCCACTTCTTTTGCACCACCTTGACTTTCCTTTTCCATTTTCCCCATTTTCAGGTTTTCTCTCTCTCAGCTCTTATCCTGTCTTTTAAACTTCTCTATTGCTTTAGTCAGAAAAGTATAATAGGACATTCTCATCTTTACTTCTCAGGGAGTCTGATGCGAATTCATCCCAGAAGATAGTAACCCTATTTCCCTTGTCATTGTTTCATTTTATACCTTGACCATATAATGTAAAGAAAGCAGAAAGTCCCACTTAGCCAACTGCACTCTTCTAAGTGTTTTTTTAATCCTGAGAAAAGGTGATATAAACTGCTTACTGAGGGGGCTCCCTGAAAAACCAAAGGCACTAAATCTCACATGTACGTCAATGAGACCCAAGAGTGCCTACTTCAAATAAAAGTAAATTAACTACGTCAATGCATATCTTGACATCAAAGAGATTTACTAATTAAAAAAAACCTTATTAACTCTAGATGGAATTATAGCTAATATGAAAAGGCCAAATGCTTTATTAAATTACTGCCATCTTTCCTCCAGATGTGGGATTTGCCTTTCGACATTGCACAAACCCAGTGACAACACTTTACAAAATTCTGAAAGCACCAAATGCACCAAATGGATTTCATCAGGATTTTTTCATTTTTACATGAAATAAGCTTTAAATAAGTACTCTTGTCATCTGCCTTCCACTTCCTGATTTGGTCTGACCTACTGATGTTTTCTGGGCAGAATAACAGGACATAAATAGGAAATCTTTGACTCCCTCAATATCTTGAGTAATTGTTATTTATAAGTACAAATAATATCAGAGGATTCTATATTAAAATAAAATTTTAGGAGCAACTTTCTAGATCTTCAAATAATTTTGAAATTAATACCTTCCCTCACTACTGGAAACGTAAAATATTGTAATATTGAACATGCATTCCTCTGGAGAGTTTCATTCCCTCCTTCCAGTAGAGTATCAGTGTATTAAAAGATCAACCCCAAATAAAATGAGAAGCAATTGAAAAATTCATTACCTTTCTTTATAGACAGGTATGAATCATATAATCTAGACTAAATGAAATTGACGAGACCTTGGAAAGACACATGGCACCAATATTTAAATTGTCTAGGAATAGTGATAATTTATACTTCTTGGAATAAAACTTGGTAATAATGTCTTTCTATGATCTACGCAGTGATTTACCACATCAGAGTATAATTTTTTCTTAAGTTCAATAGTAATCTTAAAATTCTATGCTACTACAAATACATTTTTGGGCTTAACATATTTGTGCATAAAACTTCTTTTCTATAGTTAGATTAATTTATTTAAGGCAGTTTTTCCAAAATTAAATTGCTGAATAGGCATTTAAAACCTCATTGAAAATAGCCAAATGCAGATATAAAGATTATACCAATTTACATTTCCACGAGCAAGGTATGAGAAAACCCATTTAATCATATCCTTGACATCCAGCCTGCTCTTGATGTAAAAAAAAAAAAAAAAAAAAAAAAAAAAAAAGAAGTTTCTGAAGGAGTAATCCACTAATCCACCAGTTTACAAACATTTAGCAGGAATTGGTGTCTTCATTTTCCTCTATTCAGCTACTTTAGAGGGTATAAAGGCTGCTGGCATTGTTGCCAAAGAGGACTGGAAGTGCTGAGGAAGAGCAAACAACTTTGTCAGTGCTGCATCATTCAGATTGCTGAGATCGTCCACATATTCCAGTTTATTTAACAAACCTTAGTTGATCAGGTCTTATGTTCTAGGCTCTGTTTTAGACTAAAGGAAGCAAAAAGGATTAAGATACATTGCTATTCTCAGGGAGGTTATAGTTATGACTAAACCATTTTTCTAAATAGCTTATATCAGAAGTTTAAAGCAACCTTCATACTGCCTATTATAATTCTAGGGAAACATCCTCTAAACCATGGGTCCCCAACCCTTGGGCCATGGACTGATAGCAGTCCATGGTCTCTTAGGAACCAGGCTGCACAGCAGGAGGTGAGTGGCAGGCAAACAAGCAAAGCTTCATCTGTATTTACAGCCACTCCCCTTTGCTCACATTACCGCCTGAGCTCTGCCTCCTATCAGATCAGTGGTGGCATTTGATTCTCATAGGAGGCGAACCCTATCATGAACTACACATGAGGGATCTAGGTTGGGTCCTCCTAATGAAAATCTAATGCCTTATGACCTGTCACTGTCATTACCCCCAGGTGGGACCATCTAGTTGCAGGAAAATATGCTCAGGGATCCCACTGATTCTACATTATGGTGTATAATTATTTCCTTATATATTACAATGTAATAATGATAGAAATAAAGTGCACAATAAATGTAATGTGCTTGAATCATCCCGAAACCATTCTCCACTGACCCGGTCCATGGAAAAACTGTCTTCCACAAAACCAGTCCCTGGTGCCAAAAAGGTTGGGGACCACTGCTCTAAACTATCTCTGATGTTGCTGTCATTTCTAAATCATTATTTCAACAACTATGTATTAGCAACTCTCATAGCAAGGCACTAACCTGGGAGATGCAAGTGGCACATAAAAATATACAAGACATTAGCATGCCTATTGAGAGACAATATTCTTGGGTCTCTAGGGTTTCTGAACATCTTGTGAGCAGGGGCATTGACACCTTTTGTTCTAGCTCATCTTTTTGAGAATGTTTGTATCATGAACAGCCTTAGAAGACAGAGATAATGTCTCCCTTTGGATCAGAGGGCAGTTTTTGTGCTGTCTAGCAAAACAAATACAAGGGCTACCTCTGGAGGAAAGGATAGGTCAGGTTTGCTTATAAAAGGTTTGGTTTCCTAATCTCTGCTATAACACAAGTCCACTCTGTGTGCAGAATCTACTTGGGCCTCTCTGAGTCACCCCATGAGATCTGGGGAAAGAGACTTCGTGTGAACATGAAGTTCATGCTGACTGCTGCACCAAAAGTAATCAATCCTTTGTGTGTGATCTAGGAGTCTCTTATCTTCTGCCAGCTTCCATATAAGTGTGGCAGGCTTACTTATTAGCTTCCAAGTAGGTAAACTCTCAGACTTTCACACTTCTTGATTTATTGTTTAATAAGGAGATTAAGAAATGCACAAAGATAACCATGATAACCACAATACATTATTATTGTGGTAATAGTCACTCAAAATACTATAGAGAAGGATAAAATTGATTCTGACAAAGAGATGGTTTCTTGAAGGCAGTTAAAGATGAGCCTTGGAGAATTTTCAAGGTGTAGGAAAAGAACCTGTGTGGGAAAAGGAATGCCTAACAATTATAATTCTATTCCTATTTCTCTGACTATTCTTTCTCAATATCTTCTGCTGCGTCCTCCTCTGTGACCCTTAAGTGTTGGTATTCCCCAAGATTCTGTCATTTTCCCTTCTCTCTTTGCAATCTACGTCCTTCCTGGGGATATCGTATCCATTCCTATGACTTAAAATGTGCGTCTTTCCCTAATTTCTTTCCAAGCTCCAGATCTTTATTTCCAATTGTCTACTTCATATATTTTACAGGTGACTCAATCCAATATGTCCAAATCAAACCAATTCTTTCTCTTTCTCTTCCTCCTCCTGTTAATGGAATACTCAGTCCCAGGACCCAAAGCAAGGAATCTACAAGGATTCCTCACTACTTAGGCAGGCAAGTCATCAGAAAAAAGAAAGTCAGTTTAATAGTATCAGCCTGATATAAACTACATTGCTAGAGTTCGCTAAATGTTGAGACTGTCAATAAAACCTGCTCTGACCTGGGAACTATCTTGTCCCTTCAAGGTGACTTTGCTTCCAAATAGTGGAAATGAAAATTCACACGTTTCTGGAAAGTAGATTGGCAGTTTATATCAAAAGCCTTTAAAAAAGTTCATACCTTCTAATACAGCAAGTCCCCATGTAGGAAATTATATTAAGGGGAAAAATGTCATGGTTATGCCCAAAGATATACCTACAAGGATAGTCACGAAGGAATTATTAATAATAAAAAATTATAAACAATAAAAATGTCAAATAATAAAGAGTTGGATAAATTACAGTATGTGCATATGATGAAATACTATACAAGTCATTAAATATCACCTTTTGGAATATATATCAATATGGAAAGTGTTGACAATATATTGTTAAATGAGAAAGGTGGACTACAAAATTATACTATAGTTTAATCCAAACTAAATAGATCTACACATACATATACAGAAAAAGTAAAATACACACCCAATATGAAGAGTGATAAAAAGTTAACTTGGGCTGATGGGATTATAGGTCATATTTTTTCTTCATTAAATGTTTTGCATTTTCAAAATTTTATAAAATAGATATTTTAAACACAACTTTTGGGAAATTTTTAATTTGCTTCTGAGGTGGGGGAAAGGCAAAAACTCTTTAAGACATGGGTTTGGAAATGATTAGAAAGTCTGCTAGGCAAGTTAAGTATAATCTTAAGCAATTCTAAGTATATTAATGTGATACTCTCAAGCCTTCAGAGACCAGGAACCTGAAAAATGAGAGGTCAGGAAGGAAAAATGTGTCCAGTTTGAATAAGTGTAGTCAGGGGCCCAGGGAGGTACCCAGCATAACCACCATCTTTCTTGTCTTTCCCTTCTCCCTGCTTACTACAAGAGAGGGGAGAAGAATCTGCAGCCTAGGAAAACATGTATGACAGCCTTTCTTTAGAGGACTTGTCAGCAGGGAGCTAAGATCTCATTATCTTTCTATGGAAGGCTTAAAACTGGAAGCCATCTGTAAGTGCCTCTGACACTGAAACTCCTTTGAAGATTCAAATCATCAGCTCAACAACAAACTCGTATACATCCTGGGAAGATTTGGGTCACTAATAAATATTTAATAATATGAATGATTAGTTTGACGCTAAAAATAACAAAATGAAAGGTTTCCTACCTGTGCTTTGCCACATTAAGTAGATAAATACATTGAGAAAAATCTAAATTATGTCATAAACCATAGACTCTTGTAGGCAGAAAGAATCTTAGCTTATTTAGTTCATAAATGACATAACCAATTAAGCTATCTGTTTCTTTAACCAATACTTCAAGTGTAGTATTAAAAACAGTTCATTCACATATGCACAAGGAATAATTAGTGATGAGTTAGCAATTCTGCTTTACTTTCAGAAAGAATTTATTCAAACAGCAGAAAAGCCACGCCCCACCCAGGATCATTTCTCACTACCAGCAGCTTCTCAAGAGGAGGTCTTGTGCTTGGCTGAGAGTAAAAGTAGAAGCACCACCCACAAAGAGCTAGCTTCTTCATAAACCCAAACTTAGAACCTATGAAGTTACACATACACATGCATACACATACACATAGAGAAACATATATGATGATTTTGGTAAATTAAATAATTAAATTCTTATCATCTACAGTTTTGCTTCTGAGTATTCATAAATTTTAGAAGCTCCAACAATTTTAACCATAATGCTCCTTCTTTTGATGAAATGTAAATACTCATCGCTTCTCGGCCTTTTGGCTAAGATCAAGTGAAATGTAAATACTTAATGCACAAAAGAAACTATTATTTTGAATGGTGGATTTTAAATTGCAGGTTGTGACCCATTATAGATTGTGAAATCTATAAAGTTAGTGGGTCATGATTAGCACTAAAAATAAAGAAATAAATAAAAAGTAAAAGATCAGGATGCAGTTGATATGATAAGTATACAAATAAATACTGTTTTATATAACTTTTGTTTCAATTTATATGTATGTGTGTACTGGGTCACAATGTGATATGTATTTCTAAATGGAGATTTGTTATGTATTGTTTTAAAAGCAAACAAGCCTGCATGAAATTTAATTTGCAACTGGTGATATTTTCCTTAATATTCCTATATTGGCACTGTAATATCTGTCTTATCCAGTGATCTACTTAAGAAAGGCATGTCCTATATCAAAAGGGAGCAATGACAGTAAATTTGAGCTTTTTTTTTTTTTTTTTTTTTTTTTGAGACAGAGTCTTGCTCTGTCACCCAGGCTGGAATGCAGTGGCGTGCTCTTGGCTTACTGCAACCTCTGTCTCCCAGGTTCAAGTGATTCTCCTACCTCAGCCTCCCCAGTAGCTGGGATTACTGGCACGCACCACCATGCCTGGCTAATTTTTGTATTTTTAGTAGGGATGGGGTTTCACCATGTTGGCCAGGCTGTAACTACTGACCAAAAGTGACCCGCCTGCCTCAGCCTCCCAAAGTGCTGGGATTACGGGCATGAGCCACTGCGCCCAGCCAGTTTGAGTATTTTTTAAGAGACTTTCAGAAAGTGTCCATATGAGATATGCTGTTTTATGGTATTTTTATCCATTCAACATATGTATATCACAATATATATGCATGCATATATATCACACTATATATCTATTCACTACACACACACACACACACACACACACACACACACAGACACACACTGTCTACTATATGCCAAATGCTAGGGATGCAGAGATAATAAAGAAAGCTCTTCTGGGGGTGAAGTCCTAGTAAGGAAGATAAAAAATTAACAAACAATAACACATATGCTAATGGTTTTAATACATGTTGGAACTGCTAGTCTAGAAGCATAATCTCTACTTGGGTAATAAGAGTGCAGATCTTGAATTCAATGAAATTCAAATTTTCAGATGAATAAAAAGAATTGGGGGCCAATCTGATAGGAAACATTGCTATTTGGAATTAAAATCTCAAAAATCTTGAACATTTCTAGACTTGATGAATGTTGTTTATAATTAAGAGATTAGAGCAGTGTGAAAGAGGCAAGAATGACCCCGGGACTGAGCAAAGCTCGCAGGCTGTTGCATCTCTGATTCCAGCACTTATGTCCTACTGCAGTCACCAACCTGCCCAAGAGAAAAGATGAAGGGGATGCTAAGAAGATAAAGTCAAGGTGAAGGATGAACCACAAAAGACTTGCAAGGTTGTTTGCTAAATCTGCTTCTCCTAAGCCAGAGCCCAAACCTAAAAAGGCCCTTGCAAAGGAGGGAGAGAAGGTACTCAAAGGAAAAAAAGCATTCTTGATGCTGGCAAGGATGGGAATAACCCTGCAGAAAATGAAGATGCCTAAACAGACCAGGCACAGGAAGCTGAGGCGCTGAAGATGCCGAGTGCAGTGTGTGCATTTTCAGTATCTGTGTACTCTGGTGACGGCAGTCTGAAATATGATTTTTTGCCAAATTATATAAAAGTGCAGAATTTTGTTTTCCTGTTCTTTTAGGCTATGTTGTTAGCACACCAAACACTTCATTGTGGTTTTCTGAGGAAGGGGCATATATTACTAATAGAATGTTCCTGAAGCTGAATTGATGTGGGAAAATACCTTTCCTTTCTAGTTTTAAGAGACTTCCTCTTGGCATCCAGGAGGAAGGATTCCTTGAGGTTGACACACATAGCCACCTTGGCACAAATGCCCGGTGGTGTGGAAAAACTAAAATGCATTTTTATGTCCTCTTCTCGCTCTCTGCCTTCAGCATAGATTTAACTCCCTTAAACCCATACACCTGTTGGAACCAGACCCTCCCAAAATCAGTTACCAGTGTGCCAGGCAATCTGGACTTTCCAGTGGTACCATTGAGATGGCATCCCTCAAAAGAGCAGCAGTTCCTGTTCTAGACTGTGGCTCGTCAGATAAATTCCACCATTTCTTGAAAGTCAGGGTTGGCTCATGAAAAATTAAACAACATGCTAAATGTGAAATGTCAACCCTTCATGTAAACTTTCCCTTCCATGTTGGTTTTCCTCATATCAGAGTGTCCTGGCTCACATAATATTCTAGCGGTCAAGTGTGATATCAAAGTTCACAGCCCTAGTGATTTTTTAGGTCTCCACATTCTTTTCCCTTTCACTTAATTGCCATGTGATCCCCAGAGCTAACTTGAAAGACAGTCCCTGGCTAATGCCTTTTGCAGTATCTATATCCTCATTTTCTATGAAATTAAGTGTAAAGCCCTTGGCATGGCATAGAAGGTTCTTCCCTTACGTGGCTGGGTCAGGGTATCAAATGAAGAGTTCGTTTGGGTTTTAGAGTGGCTTTCTGATTTGAGTAGTCCATTGAAGGAGAGAATTTGAAAGCTGTTCTATACTCTTAATGACTGTCTGCACATGTCCTGCCTGATACCATGGTTGTTTATGAAAAGTATCTTTTTTTTTTTTGAGACGGAGTCTTGCTCTGTCGTCAGGCTGGAGTTAAGTGGCGCAATTTCAGGTCACTGCAACCTCCGCCTCCTGGGTTCAAGCGATTCCCCTGCCTGAGCCTCCCAAGTAGCTGGGATTACAGGCACGCGCAACCATGTCTAGCTAATTTTTTGTATTTTAGTAGAGATGGGGTTTCACCATGTCAGCCAAGATAGTCTCGATCTCCTGACCTCGTGATCCGTCCGCCTCGGCCTCCCTAAGTGTTGGGATTACAGGCGTGAGCCACTGGGCCCGGCTGAAAAGTATCTTAATAAAGCTGGATACAAGGTCAAGCGTGGTAGCTCCCAGCACTTTGAGAGGTCTAGGTGGGTAGACTGCTTGAGCCCAGGAATTCAAGACCTGCCTGGGCAACATAGCAAGACCTGGTTTCTACAAAAAATAAAAAAGATTAGCCAGGCATGGTGGCATATGAGTGTAGTCCTAGCTACTTGGGAGGTTGAGGCAAGAAGATCACTTGAGCCCAGGAGTTGGCGGCTGCAGTGAGCCATGATAGTGCCACTGCATCCAGCCTAGGCCACAGAGAGAGACCCTGTCTCAAAAAAATAAATAAATAAAATAAAAAATGAAATGAAAAAATAAAGTAAATAAAATTTTAAAGCTGTATACCATTTGGCTTGGGGAAAAAAAGGAGTTGCAGTGACCTACAAAATAATATAGAGTGAGAAGTTGACTCAGTGCATTGATTACTCAATTCAACAAACATTAATTGAGCACTTGCTGTGTGCCAGGCATGGTAATAGGAGCTGGTAAAACAGAGGTAAAAAAAAAAAAAAACTCTTTGTGTCCACAGTCAATTGTTGTCTAGTAGGCAAAGCTAATATAGGAAGATAATTAATCAGAGTGCAACTAGTACAGTCAAAAGAGGGTATTGCAGGTGCAATGGTAACACAGAAAAAGGAATCTCCTTGGAGGAGGAGATACAGCAGCTCATGGAATGCAGGAAGCTGGAGCTGGAATGAAGTTTTCACAGTAAGAGAAAAGGAGAAAGGCATTCTAAGCTGAGAGAACAAGCTCTACAAGGGTATGCATTACCATGATACATTTGGGCAACTACAAGCAGGTGCTACCCCAGATCATAGGGTATTAGAAGGTAGCCAAACAGGAGTGAGGTTAGGGAGGCAGACCCAGCCACATAAGGGAAGAACCTTCTACGCCATGCCAAGGGCTCTACACTTAATTTCATAGACAATGACGATATAGATACTGCAAAAAGCATTAGCTAGGGACTGTCTTTCAAGTTAGCTCTGGGGATCACATGGCAATTAAGTGAAAGGGGAAAGAATGGGGAGACCTAAAAAATCACTAGGGCTGTGAACTTTGATATTGCACTTGACTGCTAGAATATTATGTGAGCCAGGACACTCTGATATGAGGAAAACCAATATGTAATATTTTTATCTTGCAAAGCTGATAATGCAGAGAATTAACAAGTTATGCATGTATAAACAGTAGACTCACAGTTAGGAAGCTGGCAAGTGTCTGTCACTTGAGTCCTGTAGTGTCATTTACCTGATTCACCTTTGGGCTTATCAATAGCATATACAGAGTCTTCATGATCACTGCCTGGGTCTGCTGGGTAGGAGGCGGGTTCACTGTGGAATAAATTAACCCCACAGACTCTAGATTTGCAATGAAGTCCCCCAGCTAGGTTTGTCATTTAAAAAGTGTTCTTCTACTCCTTGCCTGATATAACTATTTTCCCAAATCTAATCATTTCTTATTTTTCAAATCTATTCAAATCGTCAGCATTTATCTCTTCATCTTTTCTATAAATTTTGCCCTTTAAAGCCAATGGTTTTTAATAATAATAGCAAATGTTAATACTTCCATAGCACTTCCTATGCATCTGGCACTATTCTAAATGCTAAATGTATATTAAATGATTAAATTCTCATATCAACCCTATGAGATGAGTACTATTATTATCTTCATTTTTCAGAGGAGGAAACAGCAAGTTTCCCATGACATTAAATAGAAGCAGAGCCACTAATCAAATCCAAGCCATCTGGCTCTGGAGCTGATATTTTAATTCACAAATCTCAGTTTGTAAAGGTACTTAGTAGGAACAAGGGACCAGTGCATCAATTGTTGCCTTAAAGAAAACTTTTCTTGGATGTTCCTTTTCATAAACTTCAAAGTCCTGTAAGCTTTGCCCCTGCACCAAGTTGTAATGCTTTTGTATACACAGTTTGCATTGTTCCAACAACCTTAAGAAACATGTTTGGAAGTACAGTTCAGCCAGACTGAAAGATTACCCCTCTCAACTGCTTTTTGTTTTTGTTTTCGGCAGTTTAACCAAAACTCTCCATCTCACAAATAAAATCCTTCTGTAAGAGTTCTTCCAGGACATGAAACTTACTAAGAATTTGCAGCTCACTAAAATTTCTTCCTTTTAATACTCAAGATTGAAATAAAACCTTTTCTGCAAGGTCAGCAATAACAGATCTAATGTAAGTCCTTTATTGATTTTTAAAAAGTTGATTACATTAATCTTTTTACTTTTTATCTTGTCTTTAGGTCAAAAGTCACCAGTCCTTTTGTGAGAGGAAACTACTTCTCTTATTCTCTGAAGCTTTTAAAGAGAATATAAAAGTAACAAAGTCATTTTTTTAAAAATCAGCCTACCATATAAGGGTTTAGGATCTACTTACAGGTTGAAAGACCCTTGACCCTGCCCAATCTTAGATGTTTCCTATGTCATTTTTGGATTCTGAGCTTTATTTCCAGAAGTGATTAATTATTCAGAAAAAGAAATTAGCTGGCACTTAAATCTTTAAAGTTTTGAAACTTTTTTTTTTCAGACAGAGTTTCGCTCTTGTTGCCCAGGCCAGCGTGCAATGGCACGATCTCGGCTCACTGCAACCTCCGCCTCCCGGGTTCAAGCGATTCTCCTGCCTCAGCCTCCTGAGTAGCTGGGATTACAGGCACCTGCCCCCACGCCCGGCTAACTTTCTGTATTTTTAGTAGAGACGGGAGACGGGGTTTCACCACGTTGGCCAAGCTGGTCTCAAACTCCTGACCTCAGGTGATCCGCCCGCCTCGGCCTCCCAAAGTGCTGGGATTACAGGCGTGAGCCACCGCGCCCGGCCGAAACACTCTATGTGAGCAATTCTTAGAACTTTATGGACTTCTGATTCTGCATACACTCTATAGTAAAATACTTCCCACTTTTTTCCAAGACTTTTTCAAAAAATCAATGTGAATGACCCAAAGGTCAAAACTTTCAGATGAATTTTGTGAAAATTATCGCTAATGCTTCAAAGTGAGAGGATCAGGAAGGTGGGTGTAGAAGAATCTGTGTTTTTCTTCAAATGTTAATGGAGTGGTTTATTAGCACAGACCTTTTAAGCCAGGCCACGAAAAGGCAGCGGGATGTTTTCAAGTCCCCTTGGGCTGGCGAAGCGGGTACTTGCTGTACCTTATCAAGCACTGAACATTGAATACGTGTTGAAAACAGAGCAGATACGCAACCTTAGCAACCACTCACCTCTGCTATTTTAACAAAATGTTAAGCAAGCGAAAGAAAGAGAAAGAAAGACAGAAAGAAAGAAAGCAGATTAGCATACAAGGCAGGACATGCCACCTTTATATTCTGAGCTCTGTCCACAGTGAGCAGGCCGTGTCAAACATCGGGAGAGACAGAGAATGATTGATCATGCAAAGCAAACTGTAGGTTTGAATCCCAGCACGGCCATCTACGAGTTATAAAATCTTGCCAAACTACCTAATGTCTTGGTACATATACCTAGAAAACGAGAATGATCCCAACCTTTAAGATGAGAAGAGAACTGAATGGGAAAAGCGGGTGAGAACAGCTGACCCCAGCAGCCTCCCAGTAACCTAGTTTTCCCTTCCCATCTCCGTGTCTACGGTGTTTGGTGGCCTCATCAACTCCCGTCGCCTCCAGCAGCTCGTTCACTCAGTGAAGGTCCTAGACCGAATGGCCACCTTCCTGTATGTGGGTACTCATCACCCACCACCTTTCCGCTTTTCGGTGCTTTGCCCTTTTTATCTTATCTAGTAGCCAAAGCTGAGACTGTTGGGAGTCATTTCCAGCTCCGATGGTAGAGGAGTAGGGTTGAGGGGAAACGCCAAGGCGTGCTCCACGCCTGCCGTCCGCAGCCCCGTTGGGCTGTGGTACTCTTCTGACCAAAGTCTGGGTCACCGGGAAGCAAGAGGGAGCGCCACTAAAGGTATCTTTTGTGCCTTGTATTTAGCCACCGCATTGCCAGGATGGGAGTGGAGGCGGACGGTGCCCGACACCACGACTCAGGGAGCGATACCTGAGCTCGCTCGGCAATTCCCGGGCTCCGGGGACGGGCCTGGGCGGGGAAGGAGCCGGGGCGCGCAGCAGCACCCGGCGAGACTGCAGGGCGCCCGAGTGGTCGGACGGGGGAGCGAGAGCTAAAGCTTGCGGAGCGCGCCGAGCCGCGGGCGCTGGCGGCCCCGGCCGGGGAGCTGACGCGAGCCTGCCGGGCCGCGGGAGCTGCGGGAGGCGGAGGCCGAGCTGGGGGCGGAGCGGGCGGCGCCTGGGAGGCGGAGGCGGTGTCTCCCAGAGCTGCGCAGGCGTTGCTCGCACCTTGTTGATTAGTCAGTGCTGGGAGCGCTGCTATGGCGTTTCTCAGACCCGCGGCTCCTCCTCACACGCTCGAGGCGGAGGGAAGGAGGGGTAAGAGGAGGAGGAGGCGAGCGGGCGGCCGCCGCAGCTGCAGACCCAGGGCCAGAGGAGGAGGCGGAGCGGGAGCCGCCGCAGCCACCCGGGCCGCCGCCGCCGCCCGCAGCCGCGCGGCTGCTCTGAGTCTTCTCCGGGCGTGAGGGCACGCGGGGCGCCCCAGCCATGCCCCGCAGCGGCAGCTGAGCCGGGCGCCGGCCCCCTCCCTCCGGGCCGCCCCAGTCGCCGCGCCCCCCCGGCTGCCCGCGGCCGGAGCTGCCCGGCGCCTCCCGCGCGCCCCAGACCGCGAGCGCGAGCAGCGGCGGCCGCCGAGGCGCGGGTGGTGCCGGTGGCGGCGGCGGGGGAGCGCGGGACAGGAGGCTTCGGGGAAGATGGACCCGGCGCCCTCGCTGGGCTGCAGCCTCAAGGATGTGAAGTGGAGCTCGGTGGCCGTGCCGCTCGACCTCCTGGTCAGCACTTACCGGCTGCCCCAGATCGCGCGCCTGGACAACGGTGAGTCCCAGCTGGGGCGCGGGGCAGACGGGCGAGGACAGCCGTCTCCACGCGGGTGTGCGCGCGTGTGCTGGAGAGGGTGGGACCCGCGGGGAGTGGGCTGCCCGCCCCTGAGCGCCGGAGTTGGCCCGAGCGGCTGCCGCAGCCCTGGCGCGTTGCTCTCAACTCCCCCCAGCAGCAGACAAGGAGGTGGAAATCAGAGTCCTTGCAGTATAATTAAAAAGGACGCCCTAAAAAAAAAGTCAACATAGGGAGACCTCTGCAGATCGTAATCTTGGACGCCAGATATCCCTCCCCACCCTCCTGCAAGAATTACTCAACCAGGGAAACCCTGAAGAGTTATCTTAGGCAACTTTCTTGAGAATATCATTGTGCTCCGGGTGGCATCTTAATTTGGGTGCTCTCCTCCCTATCTCCCCCATCCCCCGCCAAACAGATTTAAAGGAAAAGCTCCTGGGTGACCATTGAAAAGGATCACATTTCTCAGAGACCTTGTATTACAGCTTGTCTGTTTTGTTTAACCCAACTGAAAGTAATTTGGGGCTGTGTGTAGAAAATGTTTTCAGCAGAAGTGATGGCATGCTTAAGGTTAACTATTAGGTTTAGCGCATTTCCAGTCTGGAAAAAAAAATAAGTCTCCAAAACGTATTGATTCGGAACCTGAGCTCAGAACTAAGAAGGGTGTATTTCCTGAAACTGACCACCAGAAACCCACCCAACTCCTTCCTCCAACTGTTTATTCTGCGGTGTGACAGCTGCAAACACATAGTTGCGCATACTGTCAAGCAAGTAGACACCTTTCAGTTGGAGAGTGATGACACGTAAGGTGGCAATTTAGGTGTGTTTGGTCTTCTCTTGTTTTCATCATAACTTCAGTGGGCTTTGGCGTCATGCGATTTTAGACTGTTTGCAGAAAGAAGCCTGCCCTGCTGTGGGGCAGCTGTGGAAGTACACGGGCCCAGGCTGGCAGGCAGGCAGAGCTGTGACTACACAGGCCAGGTCAGAAGAACACTAAGCAGAAAGATGTCATTTCGAGTCACAGGCACTAGGGTTACTCCTTGTTTCCTGGGGTAGAAGAGTGGGTAACGTGAGATGTATACATACACAAAGGAGTTTTTATTCTGTTTCTTATCTGTGGGGTTTGATTAGACATTTGTATATCTGATGTGAAAAATAGATGCAGGAAAGTTCGTGAAGGCTGGAAAACAATCTTGGCTTGCTTGCTATCCTCGTTTGATTGTTGGTAGTAGTAGGGTGCATTGGGAATAAGCTGGAAGTTTTAAAACTAGTAATGAAGTGCAGATCACAGTAGCTGTTGAAGCGGTGGGGTGGGGGCGGGGGGGGGGGACGCACAGGTGGTGTGTTGAGGCGTTTCTGCTTCGAGTGGGGGTGGGAAAATGTTGTGTGCTTTAAATAGCATCTGCAGACCTGAACTGGTGTGTGTGTTTGTATTCACAGCGTTTCATTTCCTCCTCCAAAATTGTGTATATTGGCAGATTGTGAGTCCTTACCTTTTCCTACCTTCTCTCATCTCTGCACACTGCCACATTTGCTAGCTAGGCAGAGAGCATTGCTGCATGTGGTGTAAAAGCCACTCAAAAGCTTCATTAAACTGAAAGTTTAAAGGGGTGGAATATCTCACTTTCCGACATGACTTTCAGTTTTATTTCCCACTTTTCTATCCCTGCCATTCATAAAAAGGATCTGAATCAGCAGTGTACTCATCCCACACTTCTTTCTAAAATGAGGACGTGGGTAGCAAGTCTTAACACTGTGTCCTTTCAAGCTGTGGAATGGATTTTGATCACTATATGTAATTCCAATTCTTCATTGTAAATTTCTCTTATTTCCTTATTGCCGCTTGAGAATCATAGTGGCACATACAAATTTGGAATCATTGCCAGATACTGCTTTATACCTTGCTTCTTTCACTTAACAATCCCATCTCATTTAAATATTTTTGTCAACATGATTTTTAATAGCTGCCAAAGAGTCCATGGGCTAAGCTATGCCAAGTAATTTCATCCCCTATTGTGGACATTATTAAGCTGTATTATTTTGTGCTATTAAAAATTGTGATGTAATGAATACTGTTGTACATACATCTGGGAGTTTTTTGGTTAGAATGTATTTCTACTTTGCTGAACAAGCATGTCAGTCCTATTAAAATCCTTGATACACATTGTCAAATTGCTTTAGAGACTAAAGGAAATCCTCGTTTACACCAACGTGAGCATTGTGATAGTATCAGTCTGCCCACATCCTGAAAATATTAAGTATTTACCAAAAAATTCTCTTCTAATTTGATTGGGGAAAGTGTTGTTATAGCAGTTTAATTTGGGTAGACTTTAAAAGAGTCAATCATAGATTCTTTGCATGTTTTTAAACATGTTTCACACAGTTTAGGACAGGTTGAGGACATGCTGGTATATTTATAAATGTTATAGGTGAAATCTTAAGTTTTGTGTTGTCCTCATCCTGTGTTTGCCTTTTCCCCAGTTTTAGTACTGCAGGTACATTTTACATCTGCACACGCCCACCCTATACTTAGACATGAAAGATAGTCATTTTTCAAATCACTTGTTTTTAAAGAGACTAGAACAAAATTGAAAAACATGCCACTAGTTGACATTATGCCAAGAGGAAATGATTGGCTAATTTTAAATAATTTTTAAAGAACATTAAAAAATCTAATTTCACAACTATTGATTATCAGAAGCCTACTATGGGCTGGTACATTTCTAGATGCATAATATGTATTGTCTCAAATCCTCAGCAACACAATTTTTAAGAACTTCAGGAACCTAAGATTCAGAAAAATTGACTTGCCTGAAGACTCGTACCTAGTAAATGGTGGAGTGGAATTTCCAGCCAACCTTCTGACTCTGAAGACTGACCTCTTATCTCAAACTGGGCTACCTCCTGGTACTAAAGGAGAGAAGGGTTGAAGTTGTTCTGACATCTGCTCTAAATAGGTTCACTGTCTCTCTGAGAGCTTGAGGACTGGAAAGTCAATATTTTAAAAACAGTGTAGACACCAAATTAAGTGCTGGCCTCATCCATCATACATACAACTTTCTGCTTGCCAAAGGAGTGGCTGAAAAGAGGCAAGAGGCAGTGGGGAAGAAGAGGTTACAGAACAGGAGAAAAAAAACATTGGGGTTTGAGGGCCTAGTAACGTAGATGTGTCTGTTGAGATGACTCTTCAGGACATTTGCCATCCTTAGAATGAATATTCACTACACAATATATAAAGAACTCTCCAATTCTTTGCATTATACATGCCACTCCTGAAGTGCCAGGTAGATAGATGTGTTCAATATTACATCCTTGATGGTGAAATTTGCCTTTGTATGATAAGATAAATACAAAATAATTGAGCCTTTATAAATGTTGCCCCACAAGTTTTTCTGGAGAACCCAGAGAAAGGTACTCTAGCAATTCTCCTTGGGAGATTTGATGAGATGTATCTCATCAGCTGAGGTCTAAGCCCAGTCAGCAGTGCAATTAAGATCAGATATTTAAACTGATTGATCATCAGTCTTATAAACTGTTGACTTTAGAACTGGGTTCAGCAAATGTGCTTAGGACCAAGGAGAGGATGGAGAAAATACTAATCCTCCACCCCCAACCATCCTCACTCAAAACTGGATGGGTGGGAAATTGTTCATTTTCTCTCTCCTCCTCATTTCATCTTGGATAGACCCTGAAGGCTTGTGTTAGAGTAGCATTCTTACAACCTTTTTGCTTCTATGCCTCCTAAAAGATTTGGTGAAACTCTGTCCCTAAGCACATTTTTCAGTTAAATGCTAAAACTTTTCATTCTAAGTTTAAATGCTTGCAGGGGATGTAATTTCTCAGCATATTGTAACTATTCATATTTTAAAGTATTACATCATTCTAAAAACTCTAGTAAAATATATATTTGATTTCTAATATCATTTGTTTAAAAATTCATGAGATTCAAGAATCAATCTTTTGAAAGTTAAACATTTTACACCTTTTCTTTATCTCTTTAAATTCTTACTCCATTTCTCTTCCGCTGTATAGAATTCTGTCTCAGTGTAATATATTTTTATGCTTGAAAGTATTCTATTGATCACTCTGCCATACTCTCTGTAACCAAAAAAAAAAGTATATAGATTGAAATCTAGTATTTCGTATTTATTTTGATCATAAGACTTTCAATATTTAATGATTTCTGGTTGTTTTTAAAACAAAGAATTGGAAATTACCTGACTTAACAGAAATAGTTGTTACCTAAATAGTGGAGACTTTAACCCTGCAACACGAATCAATATTTTTGTTCCTTTGTTTGTTTCTCTACCCAAGGTCTTTTCACCCTCAGGCAATGCATCTTAGAAAGATGTAGAGAAGGTAATACAAGTGCATTACTTTTGTAAAGTGAGTGAAGAACCATTGTGAAGGGGAGATGGTGAACGACAGGTTCCTTCCATCACAGTGAAGGTCATCACAGGATGGATGTCCAACGCAAGCGTGGACCCAAGCCCATTAATTTTTAAACAAGAGTACGTTTGGAAATTTCAAATGTAGAAACTGATTCCTTTACAGTTGTGATGATGAGACCCTTGGGAAGTGTTAGCTTTGCCCCAAACATGTACCCCAGTTTAAAGAATGCTGGTCTAGCACAATAAAAGATGTGTTAATGGCCCTGTTTGCTGAAAGGAAAAGGAAGACCAAGGCTGCATGGAAAGGCAGGGAGAGGGAAGAAAAAGAGTAGGAGACTGCTAAGTAGGTAGAACAGGAGCAGTGACCGTCTCTCCTTCCTGGCTGTGCATAGGAATCAGATCAGATTCTAAGTCCCGGATGTGTTGGGACTGTGGGAAATTTGGTCCTTACTTTGTGCTCAGAGGCTTCTGCAGCTTTATCATTTACTGGCCTCTAGGAGCAAAAACATGGACACTTAGGCCCCAGGGAGGCTCCAAGTGGCTGTTTGTAAACATCAGAGGTCTTTCTCGGATCCATGTTTTATCATTGAAATTGAAGTAAGTTCTCAAAATCTACTTTGTAATTGATGTCTTTTTCTTTTTCTTTTCTTTTCTTTTTCCCAAAGTAACTTAGTTTTGCTCTTGGAAGATGTTCGGTGTTCATCTTGTGGCTTCATTTCTCCTGGCATTCTGTATTTTAAGAGAGTACACATGGCCAGGGTGGGGGGAATGATAATTTAAAGAATACTGGATTTGGAGCCAAGAGACCTTCGTTCTGTTAGAGGTACTGCCATTTCATAGTCATGTGATCTTGGTCAGGTCTTGTAATCCCTTTGATTTGTAGTTTTCCCGTGTAGGAAAACTAGACGTTATACTTGCCCCTATTCTTCATTCAGTAAATTGTTTATTCAGTCAACTAACACTTAACTAAGCCCCTGCTATGTGACAAGCCCTGTTACAGGTGTTGGGACTATAGCACTGAACAAATCAGACAAAACTGTATGTCTTTGTGGTGCTTACATTCTACTTATTATAGGAATTAAATGCAATAATATATGTCAAATACATGTGTGAGATGGCTGTAGTAGATACGGATCAGTTGAGGGAGGCTTCAGAGTATAGCATATCATTTAGGTAGCAGCAGGTTTTATTGTCTTTGTACAGAAGAAGAAGCTGAGAGAAATGCTCTGGGTGACTTGAGTGTGTTTCGTTTTGAGTATTCCAGGTTATTGATCTGGTAATCCGCAGGTTATAGAAAGGTGGCGAAAGGTCTTTATCAGACAGAAAGTGTTATAAACTGACTAATCTAACCAAGATTGGGCTTCGGAGGGACTGGAGGAGTTTGGAAAGGAACTTTACTTTTTTAAAAAAAGAGATGGGTTCTCGTTTTGTTGCTGAGGTTGCCCTCAGACTCCTGGGCTCAGATGATCCTCTGGCCTCAGCCTCTCAGGTACCTGAGACTATGTAGGCCTGAGCCACCACATCTGGCCAGGAACTTTTAATTTAATCCAGAATCACAGGTGAGTTTTACCAAATGGTACCGAAACAGTGAGCTTAGACACTTACATCTTTTTTTTTTCTTTTTGTGTCGCCCAGGCTGGAGTGCAGTGGCTCAATCTTGGCTAACTGTAACTCCTGTCTCCTGGGTTCAAGCAATTCTCCTGCTTCAGCCTCCCAAGTAGCTGGGCTTACAGGCATGCACTACCACGCCCAACTAATTTTTGTATTTTTAGTAGAGATGGGGTTTCACCATATTGGCCAGGTTGGTCTTGAACTCCTGACCTCAAATGATCATCTGCCTGCCTTGGCCTCTCAAAGTGCTGGGATTACAGGCATGAGCCACCACGCCCAGCCTTTTTTTTTTTTTTTTTTAACCACGTACTCATCATTATTTTCACTGATGGATGATCATTTTTTTGTACCTATAGTTGTATAATGGTTAGCAGGAAAGAAGTGCCTAGTATAATGTTATACACAAAGTGAGTGATTTAGGCCGGGCGCAGTGGCTCACGCCTGTAATCCCAGCACTTTGGGAGGCTGAGGTGGGCGGATCACGAGGTCAGGAGATCAAGATCATCCAGGCTAACACGGTGAAACCCTGTCTCTACTAAAACTACAAAAAATTAGCTGGGTGTGGTGGCATGTGCCTGTAGTCCCAGCTACTCGGGAGGCTGAGGCAGAAGAACCGCTTGAACCCGGGAGGTGGAGTTTGCAGTGAGCTGAGATCACATCACTGCACCCCGGCCTGGGCGACAGAGCAAGACTCCGTCTCAAAAAAAAAAAAAAAAAAAGTGATTTAAAAAACTCTCTTTAATTTTCATTGATATATGGTATACTTTCACTTACTTCCAGTTTTGACCTATTCTGACTATTGGCTGTGCCTAAAAATGATGAGAAAAAAATAGGAGAGGACATTGTAGCAGGCAGTGGACAGTGATAAACCTAGACCCACAGGACAAGATTTGCAGATAGCTCTTCCAGTGTCTTTTTTTTCAAGTAAGATGGCTGTTTTGAAAGTCTTTTTATTTTTTTTTCCAGAGAACAGTACTGTAATATCCATTTAGAAAGGAAAACAAGTATCTTGAATGTAAGGTGAATATTTACATATACTAGTTAAAAAGTATAACTTTTTAATTTTTAATTGACACAATCATTATATTAATACATATTTATGGAGTACAATGTGGCATTTCAGTATATGTACACATTATGCAATGATCAAATCAGGCTAATTAGCATATCCATCACCTCAAATATTTATCTTTTTTTTTTGTAGTGGGAACATATAAAATCCTCTCTTCCACCTATTTTGAGATATGCAATACCTGTTGTTGACTGTAGTCACCCCACTGTGCAGTAGGACACTTATTCTTCCTTTTATTTAATTGTAACATTGTACCCAATGGCCAACCTCCCCCAGTTGCCCCGCTTTTCTCTGCCCTCCCCAGTCTCTGGTAGCCACTGCTATACTCACTACATGCTGATTTCATGTCCTTTTTATATATAACCCATAGTGGGATTGCTGGACCCCTATCTATCATCTATTACTGAACTCCTATCTAATGCCATATATAAAAATCAACTCAAAATGGATTAAAGACTTAAATGTAAGACCAGAAACTATGAAACTACTCATGGAAGAAAACATAGTAGAAACACTTTATGACATTAGACTAGGCGAGGATTTTTTGGATAAGACCTAAATACATAGGCAACAAAAGCAAAAATAGATGAATGGGATTACATCATACTAAAAAGCTTCTGCATGACAAAGGAAACAATCAACGGAGCAAAAAGGCAACTTGCAGAATAGGAGAAAATATTTGCAAACTATGTATCTGATAAGGTGTTAATATCCAGAGTATAGGGAACTCAACTCCATAGCAAAAAGACAAATAATCCTATTTAAAATGGGCAAAACACCTTAATAGGCATTTCTCAAAAGAAGACATACAAATGGCTTATAGGTATATGAAAAAAATGGTCAACATCCGTCATTAATCAGGAATGGCAAATCAAAATCGCAGTGAGATCGATGTTACTCTAGATAGAATGGCAAAAAGACAAAAGTGTTGGCAAGGATGTGGAGAAAAGGGAACCTTTACATACTGTTGGTGGGAATGTAAGAGTGTAAATTTCAATTAATAAAGCCATTATGGAAAACAGTATGGAGGTTCCTCCAAAAATTCAAAATAGAATTACCTTGTGATTCAGCAGTCCCACTACTAGGTGTATATCCAAAGGAAATAAGTGTCAACTGAAATGAGTATCCACATTGTCTGTAAAAATCTTAAGACATTCAGTTCATTTCTGAAAGGAAAACTGGTTTGACTGTTGTGATCAACTGCATTATAGTTTAAAGAGGGAGTATTTTAGTCTCTTTCACTCATTGGCTGCCTTACTGAAATAGCAAGTTCTTGTAGACCAGCTTGTAAACTCGTTTATTTTTGTTTGAGATTCCTGAGGTATCTGTCTTTTCACTTACTGAGCTGCCGGTTCTAGGAAGACTCATAAACTCCCCATGCATCTTCAGCAGGACTCTCAATCTTAACAACACCAGCTATGATATGCCATGGGAAAAGTAACTTTTATTTCTGGTTTATGTATTGTTTTTGTAAAATATAAAATACCTGCTAAAATATTATTATTTATTTATTTATTTTTTGAGACAGAGTCTTGCTCTGTCCCTCAGACTGGAGTGCAGTGGTGCGATCATTGCTCACTGCAGCCTTGAACTCCCAGGCTCAAGTGATCCTGCCACCTCAGCTTCCCGAGTAACTGGGACTACAGGCACTTGCCACCACACCTGCCTAATTTTTGTATTTTTTATGGAAATGGGGTTTTGCTGTGTGCCCAGACTGGTCTTGAACTCCTGAGATAGAGCCATTTGCCTGCTTTGGCCTCCCAAAGTGCTGGAATTACAGGTATGAGCCACCACCCCTGGCAGGATGAATTATTTCAGACCTTTCCACATGAAAAGCCTCCCCTACCACCCTGCTGTACCCCTACTCCCAGTTTCATAAGAATTGCTTACTTGAATTTCAGGTTAGAGGTATCTAAAAGTATTTTTACCATTTTTCAGCTCTTAGCACAATGCCTGGCATGTAGAAAGCACCCAATAAGCATTTAATAAATGAATGAGCAAATCTCAGTATTAAAAATTATAAGGTCCAAGATATCTATATTACTACAGCAGTGTATGAGCTCTGCAAGTCTGAAATAGAATGTCACTTTTGTTTCATTTGAGGCAGACATTATATTTTTAAATATGTAAATTGGAACTAAGATGGCAGGTCTTAATATTAGCAGAAGGAAAAACAGAGACTATCATGATTTATAAAATAATGATTCTTAGGGTCATTAGTTACCCATATTCTAAATAAAGTATTTCTGGAAAGTACAACTCATTTTTCGATTTTTCACCTTTTTGCTAGTTCTTTTCATTCTGAAGTTAAGATGTCTCCTTTACATATTATGTGTTTCCATGTCACTGGATTTTTAATCTTTGGTATTATCATGCTCTTCATATGACTCCTGAGTATATGGACTAGAATGCCATGAATCTTAGAAACTAGTCAACTCTTAGCAAAGACCTGATGGCATAGTCAGCTTACCATTTATCCATCCTCTCATCTCTGGGCACCACGGATTTTACTTCTAAGCAAACAAGCCACTTGGTCCAAATAATGTTACAAAACTACGACTGCTAATTTGGTACAGTTGTCATCTTCCTAGAATAGCCCCAAGTTTGACTTGAAACAGTAGTGTCTGAATCCCAGACAATGAGTTTCCTTTTATGCTGTGCGGGAGCATTACATGGTGGTAAAAGAAGAAAACAACAGTGTTCCCAAGCTCCTTTCCAGTTCTGTGGATGAATTGCTTTACAATTACAGGGCAAGTTATTTTAATTGATTCTGCTAATTGTTAACCTAGTTTGAAGTATTTGAATACCACGTGGGCTTTGATGACCTTATGGTTGTTTAATAAATACCAAGTTATTGAATTTAAAATGCAGTATGAATTCTTTATAGTTATGAAGACACTTTAGTTAATATTTAACATATACAGTAAATTGTTATGATTAAGCTTGGTTATATAGTGTTGAGAGGAATGTAACCCTCTATGAGCAGTGCTTATGTAAGTGTCCCTGGGAAGATTTAAAATGAGTTGTGTTCTGTTGTTGTTTTTTCTCCAATTAGTAGAGGAAAAGTTCTTTGGTCAGACTTTTTTTTTTTTTTTTTTTTAAATAAGATGACAGTTTTCTCAATTATCAGACTTTAGGATGTTAGAAATGAAAATTTGCCTTCCTAGCAGGGAACTAGAGTTTAAATATCTAAAAGTACCAGAAAAAGGGTAAATGTTTATTTTTGAAATTTTAAAACATATCTGTTACTGTTAGGTAATTAGAAAGCACTCGTTATAACAGAGTCTGTCATCCATTAAAGAAAAGGTTAATGAAATACCTGAGAAGGCCCACTTGAATAACCCCAGGACAGCTGTCTGTGCAGATGCTATATTCCATGATTGATTCTCATTTTGGATTGCTGCTGTCTTCTTTTAGCAGCAATGGGCAAGTAAGGGTTGGTTTGAATAAAAAAACTAACATTGTCATTTCTGGTCCCCAGTAGTTTATGCTCCTAGATCTTCATTTTTAGCCTGTTTCAGGTTTTTAAAATAATGCAAGATTCATTTTTTACCTTTGACCGCTGACCCACAAAATCAATCAAGCACTAGACCCAAGTTAAAAACTATTTAATTGGTTGTTTCGAGAGAGAGACAGAGCGTGAGAGAGAGCATGCACTTTAGGAGGTTCAGATTACTTATTTAAAAATAAATAACAAGTAACAGAAAGCTTTATTAAGAGATTCTACTCTTATTTTTTCTGTTTATTTTGGTCCTGTCTTTGGCCAGTTAAGAGGAAGTCAGCCACTAAGAGACATAGGATCAAAGGGAATCTTCACAGCCTCATCATGGCCAGGGACATCAGTTAAGGTTAATTTCAGTTGTGTGTAAGATAGATGAAAAAAAAAAATAGCGGCTTATACAACACAGAGAGTTTATTTTGTTTTGCTTTCATATAGCAGTAGTCTGAAGATATGTAGTCCAGGACTGATAATATTGTATAACTTGTTATATAACCATTACCAACATTTTGCTATTATGCAGGCATGGGATGTAAATCAAAAATACATTTATAAATGACCAAATTGTATATAAAACTGCTTGTTAAAATTTACATTAGATCTTGAGCCTTTTCCTTCATTATTAATATTCTTTGGAAATAGACCTTTTGTGACTGAATGGAATTCTGTTATTACCAGTCAACTATTATTTATTTGACTGTTGCGAGACATTAGTTGTTTTGAGTGTCCTGTTTTTGAGACTTTTTACTTAAATGTGTCCTTTTTACATCATTTTATTATTTTGGGTTCCTGGAAGTGGGATGATTGTTCAAAATTCGTTATTTTTAGAATGTTGGTATTTATTGCTAAATTGCATCCAGGAAAGATTCTACCTTCAGCAGTGGATGAGTAAGCCCATGATTTTGTATATCATTGAATATCATAGTTCTTTTTTTTGTTTTGCCTTTGCTAGTTTAGATAATGAAAACGTTGTATTTCTTTGCTCGATAGTAGAATAGCTCCAATAATATCATATTTTGTTTGTGAATTTCCTGAGCCCTTTGTTCAATTTTTTGGTAGAGTTTTTTTTTCAAATCTCCTGTAATAAAATCTCCTCCTGTACATTTCTCTTAGTTTTTTATGGGATGTTTATAAATAATCTTCCGGTTTCTTGTGGGTTAATTACTTTTTAACTTATTTGTCTTCAGCAGTCAATGTTCATAAGTATTAATAGACATTACCTCTGGTTTTGAAATTGAATAATTGTGATTCATTTACTTTTCTTAACCAACCTGGATATTGGATTTAGATATGATATGTTCACTGTTGTAACTGTCCTCTGAAAGAATTCCCTTGCATTGTATGAAATCAAATAGTCTCATGAAAATCTTGATAAAACCATGTTGTGTGTTCACAAATATAATTATATTTGTGTTCCATTCATGGAGAGTTCCCCAAAGATGACTTCATTGTTGATAAATTCCTGTGCATTGCATGAAACGAAGCTGATGAACAATTTGTCACTTTTTGGCTTTAAATATTAATAAGTAAATGGACACGTTTGTAAAAATATTTAATTATTTTTACATGTAATACATAAACTGAAGTGCCACATTTGGGGTAATTAGATAAGAGATAGACGACACAACTTCAGAGTCTGTTGAAGTTTAGAATCTATGTACAGACACTAGTGAATAAATAATAGAAATTCACAGATCACTTCCAGACATGGGGAGAAGCACATGTGATAGTTTGAATGTCATTTCATTTTTTCTATTGAATATCTGTGTAAATATTGACTTCACTGTAATGACTAAGAAGAGAAATTAAAAGTCCAGTTTAATTCTCTCTGGACATAGATCCAGGGGTTGATGGGTAATAAAGTACATATCACCAACAGGGCACATGTATACATATGTAACAAACCTGCACGTTGTGCACGTGTACCCTAGAACTTAAAAGTATAATAAAAAATAATAATTAAAAAAGTACATATCACTCTGCCAATTTAGCACCTGAGGACTCTATAAATAGTTGTATTTATCAGTGTTGTGGTGGCAGTTGCTAAAAGTGAAACAACAAGATAGCTTTAAGAGAATCTTTTAGTGCCACACCAAAGAAGCTTCAAATTAACTTTATAGTAGATCAGGTAGACTGTGAATTTTACTCACCCCTCCCCCATCTTCTGTTTCTTTTTTTTCCCCTTGACTCAATTGGGAAGATACTTACCTGAGTAGATTGTGTACAGTTGAATAATGTGTGTTATCAGAGGAGAGTTTCTTGCTAAGCAGAGGCCATGGAGTTGGGAGGGAGGAAATGTATGAACTAAGTATAAATACTATTTGTAGTCTTCATTCCCCTCTGATTATAAACATATATATTATGAAGAATTTGAATACCTAAAACTATTTAAAAACTTAGGTATTCTGAAGTCTTGATATAACCACCAACATTTTGATTCATTCTCTGTTCTTTCTACACACACACACACACACACACACACACACACACTCTCTCTCTCTCTCTCTCTCCCCCCCTACACACACAATCTCTCTCCCCCACCCCCCACACACAATTTTACATAATAGTGGCATTTTAGCTACTTTTTAACAAACTTTCTTCCTTCATGACAGACCCCATTCCTCCAAACCAGCCCACCTACATAATCCAAATGTAATCCACTCTAACAGTCCAGTGCATGTTCTTCATATCTTCTTCATACTCACAGAATCCTACATCGCTATTACATATACATACAGAGACATGCAGAATTCTGTCATTGTTCCATAAAAATGGGATTATATGACAAATACTTTTCAGCCTCTTGCTTATATCACTTATGGGAATCTTTCTAAATCATCTGGTATAATTGAAATTCATAACAACTGCATAATATTCCGTGATGTGAAAATACTCATTCTTTTATTGACAGGAGTTAATTTGTTTCCTTTTATTGGCCTCTGTGAATTATACTTCACTAAACTTTCCTGTACATATCATTAATTTGTTCATTGTTTCTGTAGAATTCTGTGATTTCTAATATGTTTCACTTCTCCAAAACATTTTTGATAACATTGTTTTCCTGATTCTTTTCATTTCCTATGCAATTACCAAAACTAAATAATCTTAGGGAAAAAATGTAGGGGAAAAGTGATTGCGTTGCATCCCAGTCAAACTCAGTTCACAGAAGTGGAGTTGATTTAATAGATGCTGCCAGAATGCTATCCAAAAAGTCCATAGCAATTCTCATTTCTATCATGGATGTGTGAGAATACCATTTCTCCAAATCTGTGTCAACCATAGTTATTATGTTTTAAAAAATATTCACCAGCGTAATCGATATAAAGCTCTTATTGCTGCGTTAATTTGCATTTCCCTATCAGTGATTCTGAGGGCTCTCTTTTTATATATATGTTCACCACTCGGACTTGCTCTTCTGTGGATTAAAATCATACTTTCTGTTGGTTTTTCTGTTGTTGGCTTGCTTGTTCTTGTCAATTTCTAGATGCTATCTGTATATAATGGAAATATTTTCTCTTATTTACATTTTTCCGATCAATTGACCTAATCTACATTTTTCCATTTAAGAGTTTTAAATTTTCACATATACAGAGAAGTCTCTTATTCCTGTTTTCAATCCTAAGAAAGGTCCCCCTGACACCTAGATTGTACATGTAGTCTCTAAGATTTTGTAGGAAGGTTAATTCTTTTTTGTTTCTAGTCCATCTGGAATTAATTTTTGCATATGATATAAGATTTTTTTTTCTTCCAGGCTGTTGTGCCAGCCCATTTATTCAAAGACCTGTTTATTCCTGATATGAACTATCTTTGCCAAACTTATTTTGCTCTTTTAGTAGTAGAAAAACACTTCAGCAACACCTTTCTTTCCAGGACTACCTTGGGCTGTGTTCCAAGAACACATAAAGTTAATGAAATCGGAAAACAATTATTTTGTTCCTAAAGAAGTGAAGTTGTAGCTAGAACTGTTCCTGATCTTGACTTATCCTTCTTCTCCAATGGCTGTGAGAGGTCTGATATGTGTTTTTCTAAAGAAAATTTAAATACATTTTGAAGCCCATGTACCCTGGTGAGTCTCTGAAGTGATAGTAGCTTGTTAAATGCCTTCTAGAAGGATAGTCCAGATGCTTTGGCAGTTAAGTTTTCTCCAGGGAAGAATTTGCTTTTAAAATGATACTTTACAAAGCTGCTGTTCAAGTAAGTGTGTGTGTATGTGCGTGTGTGTTTCAGAATTTAAGAAGGATTTGCAAGTTGCACTCAGCTTGATTACTTAGTTGAAAGTGTATTTCCCCCATTATTTTTTGTAGGAGGGGCAACTTTCACATGCTATTCTCAATGTATGTGTGTCTCTTTCTTTGAAATCCCATAATGACCTACATCTGTCCACTTAAAAATTCTTAAATTTCCCTTACATTTTGTTTACCTTTCCCCCAGTTTTTCATGGACTTATATTCCTGATTCCTCTTAATCTCACATGCAAAGACCAGAATGAAATCTACATTTTAGAAAAAAAACAATGTAGGGCAATGTAAATCTTACATCTTAATGTCAAAACCCAGACTGAATAAATACAGGAGAAACAAGTGTGAGATTAGTCCCTGAGATTTTGTCTACTACATAACCTTTGTGTAAGATTATAACAAAACCTCGATCCTGGATTCCATGCAGACTTTATTAGGTTGGAGTTGTGCGTGTTTAAAAGTTTTATTCCTTCCCTTTTTATATTTGTCTTTTTAAGCTGTCCAAGAGCAGAGAGCAGGGATCCTGTCTTGTCTTTGCACTGTTCATTTCACACAGTTCACATGATCTGGTGTGATGTTCCAACAGATGGATCAAAAATTTTGTCTGAATGACTCATCTACAGAGTTGTTGGGATACTTCAGCCTATCCCTAAAGTATTTACAAGCTTCCCCGACTAATACACACACAGGTGCACACACTCTGTTCTTTACAATCTGACTTTTTAGCAGGTTCTGGGCAAGGAAAGAAGTGATGATTCCAGCAGCCTCTTCCTGCTCAAGGAATTTAGAGTTCTTTCTCAGTCTCTGACTTTTCCAACTGTCTCAAGCCTGGAAGAGACCCAGAATATGAGAATATGTCCTACTTTTAAGACTTAGTGAATTATATTTGCATATATTAGCCTGATGGAAAGAGGTTGAAAAATACTCTGAGGCTTGTGAAGCCAATTCAGCATTAAAATTTTGCTGGGAAATCATTGAGATTTGGCTATACTACTTAATCAGAAGGTGTTAATTTGTCTGGATGTATTGTAAGAATATATTTCAGAATGGAAATTAACATATTTCATTGATTCTAAGGTGTACATTTTCATATCTCTGAAATCAGCATGTGTCTTATAGTTAATGGCATGACATAGTTTTATCAGCAGCATTGTGTCTTGGTGGTTGTCAAACAATGATTGTCTTGCAAGTGATGGCATTCTAAATTGTATGAATTGTGGTAGTGCCATGGAGTATCTTTGGGTCCAGTAATTCAATGTGTAAAGCAAACATAAGAAACAAGGACTTTTTGTGAATGTCCCAATACAGGGTGGGAGATAATCTAAACTGAAAATCAAGTAGTATTCCCTGAACCATCCATCCCTAATGGAGAAAGTGTTAGCTTACTCATTTAACAACAGGTAAGATGAGGTCACTATTATATACAACCATAGTGTAATTTTTTCTCATATTACGTTTTCCAACTTTAAAGAATAACTTAATTTTCATACTCACCCCACCCCCCTATAGATTCTGACCTCTATGAAGGCAGAGATTGTGTCTTTCATGTTCATCATTGTGTCCCCAGCACTAACACAGTTTCCAAACTGTGTTACCTTGGTAACATGTAGGTGTTCAATAGAGCCTTGTTTAAGGATTCTTCTTTGTACAATATACAACACACATGCACACAGGCATGTGCACACATAGTGTAGTTGATCGAATGGGGGTCCTGCCAGCAGATTTGTCCACATCGAAATCCCTGGAACCTGTGAATGTTACTTTCTTTTGAGAAAAGATCTCTGCAAATGTAATTAACAGTCTTAAGAGGAGTTCATTCTGGATTACCTGAGTGGGCTTTAAATCCAATGACAACGTACTTATGAGAGAAAGACAAACAGAGATTTGAGACAGAAAAGGAGGCAGGGTAACGATGGTTGCAGAGATTGGGGTAATGCAGCCACAAACCAAGGCTTACCTGAGCCACCAAAAGCTAGGCGAGGCAGGGAACAGAATCTCTCCTAGGACCCTCAAAGGAAGTGTGGCTGTGCCTGCAGCTCGGTTTTCGACTTTCAGCCTCTAGAGCTGTGACAGAATAAATTTTCTATTGTTTGATGCCATTCAGTTTGTGGTAGTTTATTATAGCAGTGGTATGGTTTGGCTGTGTCCCCGCCCAAATCTCATCTTGAATTGTAGCTCTCCTAATTCCCACATGTTATGGGAGGGGCCCAGTGGGAGATAATTGAATCCTGGGTGCAGTTTCCCCTGTACTGTTCTCATGGTAGTGAATAAGTCTCACCAGATCTGATGGTTTTTTAAGAGGTTTCCCCTTTTGCTTGGTTCTCATTCTGTCATTCTTCCTGCGGCCGCGTAAGACGTGCCTTTCACTTTCCACCATGATTGTGAGGCCTCCCCAGCCACGTGGAGCTGTGAGTCTATTAAACCTCTTTTTCATTATAAATTACCCAGTCTCGGGTATGTCTTTATCAGCAGCGTGAAAATGGACTAATACAAGCAGTCACAGTAAACCTGTTAAAGACACATACTCAAGCACACACCCACGTGTAAACACACACACATACATACCTATATAAGTTTTGCTACCCTATAGTTAATAACATGCCAAGTTTCTTAAAAAAAAAAAAACGTAGAAGTTATAAGTATAAAACCCCCTTCTCTGGATCCTCAAAGTAACAGTTTCCCCTAACATTCATCAGTAGGCTGATGGGTAAGTGGGAGTATGGTATGTGGTTTCCACACTATTCATTTAACAGCTGTGGAGCATGTGCCTGCTGCTGTACAAGCACAGTAACAAGGGCTAGGTGCACAAAGATGAATACATGTGATACTCATCCTCAAGGAGTTCAGAGGCCCACTGAGTAGGTAGGTGCTTAGACAATTAAATACTGTCATGTGATAAGCAAGGAAATGCTTCAGCCCAGAGGCCAGTTAATGTTGCCTACAACTCTTGGGACAGGTTTAATAGAAAATGTTAATTGATCACTGAACTAGTTGTTCAATGAGTAGAATTTTGTGAGGTTTTAAAGAGGGAATGGTGGCCTGACAAAGGTTTGGAACGCCTGAACAGAGGCATGTTAGGGGAGGGCAAGTTGGGAAACAGATTTTGAAGAGCCGCAATATACTGACATTTGACTTTTCTCATCTGGCTAACTTGGTGGCTCTTAACATCCCTTCCCTTTCCGGGACACAAATGACAGATGGTGTTACAACAGAATGGATTGCAACAGAATTCACTGGGGTCCTAAATTTGATGAACTCTATTATAAAAATGGGTAACAAACTACAGTCATGTATGTTATAATAATATGTAAGCTCCTAATATCAGTAGAGTCTCAGGAAGGACTTGATGCAGAATCTTGGGCCATTGTGCACGTCTTGGCTAGCTAATGATGACCTCCATCTCTTCTCCTTCTCAAGAAAGCATGTCAGAATATGAGTGAAAGTCAAGTCTTCATAGAACTTGAATTAACTCTAACTTGATTTAACTCTAATTTTTATTTTAAAAATACCTTTTGTCACCGATTTCAGTATTTTACTAAATGCTAGTATCAAGCAACATTCTGCAGCTGGCTCTGTCACTGCATCATGTTGAAGATCATTATCCAGGCAAATGGCTCATCCTCATTCCTGTGGTGCCTAGCACAGTGCCTGTTTGCAAACATGCTCCTCCAATGTTTGTTATACAAACAGTGGGAAGTGCTGAAGGGCTGTAAATATGGGAAAGGCCCAGATTTTTTTTTGTTTAACAAGGGTTATTCTGGTCATTTTGGAAGATCATTTAGAGCAGAAAAAGTTTGGAATTAGGCAATATTTGGAAGCTATAGGGTTTATAATCAAAGAGAAAGAGGGCCTCTAGGCAAAACTAGATTTGTGGGAATGTAGTGGAGCAGGGTGAGTGGGAAATATTATAAGGTAAGATTTCCAGGATTAATAACTGGATAATGGAATATGAGGAAGAGGGAAGCATTAAGTAGTCCTGAGGTTACTGACTTGGGTACTAATGCCCTTATCAGAGATAGAGAAGCAGGTTGCAGGTGAGTGTATGAGGCAGAGTAGGCGAGATTTGGTGGCAGTAGCAACTCCAAAGTGTTAGTTGGTTTAAAACAGCAAGGGTTTATTGTTCACTTGTGCTGCATGAAATTTTGAAGAATTAGAATAGTTGTGGGAATAAGAAAGAATAATTCTGGTCTTCACAGTTGAGATGAAATGAGCTAGCTTGGGGGTGGGGGGATGGGGGCTCTGCTCTCCATCATCATCCTCATTGAGGATCCCAGGCCTAAAAGCCTCAGTTTGTGCTTCCATGATTGTTTTCATTCTTGTTTTTGTTTGAGACAAGGTCTCACTCTGTCATCCAGCTCTGGAGTGCAGTGGCACCATCATGACTCACTGCAGCCTCAGCCTCCCAGGCTCAAGTGGTTCTGCCACCTCAGCCCCTCTAAGTAGCTGGGACTATAGGTGTGTGCCACCACACCTGGCTAATTTAATTTTTTTTTTAATAGAAATGAGGTTTCCTTATGTTGCCAAGGCTGGTCTCAATCTCCTGGGCTCAAGCAGTTCTGCCTCAGCCTTCCAAAGTGCTGGGATTACCACAGCTGTTGAGGAAAGACAGAATATGGTAAATCATGCCCTGGCCCCTTAAAGCTTCTGTTCAGAAGTGATGCACCTTGTATCCCTCTTACATGTCATTGTTACTGGCAAGACCCATGGCGACACCCAACTTTCAACAGGGTGAGGTACCATCTTTCCATATGCTGGGATTATGACTCCAGTAAGTGCTAAAGGCTGGAGGTATGAGAAAGCAGCAAGATAATTTGTGGCTATGTTGAGGTATTGAAGAGGAAATTCAGTTCAGGAGTCAGAAATCTGGGCTTGCATCTTGAGAGAATTCAGGGCTAGAGAAATAATACTGGGAAATTTCAATGTAATGGTCATAAATCAAGCTACCGAGTGAATCACATTGATCAAGAGAGAATTGAGCCAGTGCTGATGATGGTAAAAGATCAAGGTTAATGCTTGTGGTTACACATGTTGCAACCCCTAAACAGTTTTTTTTTTAGCAGCTTATTAGAACTTTTAAATAATTGTATGTAACAGTTGGCATAAGGGTTGAATTAATCACTTAAACAGGATTTAGCTTTTTTAAACTCCAGAATTGCTGACTTGCATTTAGGGATTTAAAAGGTACCCTTAGATTTTGCAGTAGGATTTCAGCCAATTTTCTAATCCAGCAGGGAAGAGAAAGTATTGCAAAGGATAGCCGTTACAGTCGGAACAGAAGATCAGTTATAAGTTGATTGATACTGATTGCTGAGTACTCAGAATATTAGAATATCTTTAAAAATTTTCTGACTGGTTGTGCCACAGACAGCAAGATATTAACTTAACCTTACTGTAATAATATTCTTTTTATAGCTGCAATTACTGGCAAAGGGAGGTAGTTAATGGCACTTTTTCCCATTGGCTAGTGTTCTTACATAAGGAGGCTTGCTTTTTCTGTCCATTCTTTTTAAAGGTTCCTATGCCTTTGCCTGCCCAATGTCCATAGGGGTCTCCACCTAAATTATTCACCTTTTAAGCTTTTTATGTAGACATTGGTGATTACCCAAAATAGACTCTCCTCCCTTCAAGATTATGTATTAACAGGAAAATGAAAAAACAAACCTGGTTTACTGCATGTCACCATTCTCCCTGCAAAGGAAATTTTGAAGAATTAGAATAGTCGTAATGATAAGAAATAATAATTCTGGTCTTCACAGAAGATGAAAGAATATTTATTAAACTTCTACCGTGCCTGCCCCCCAACCCTTTGTTTTTTTGAGACAGTCTCACTCTGTTGCCCAGACTGGAGTGCAGTGGCACAATCACAGCTCACTGCAACCTCAGCCACCCACCTCAGCCTCTTATGTAGCTGGGACTACAGGTGTGCACCACCACACCCAACTAATTTTTTTTAAATATATATGTTTTGTAGAGATGGGGTTTCGCCATGTTGTCTAACTTCTGGACTCAAGCGATCCACTTGCCTCGGCCTCCTAAAGTGCTGGGATTGCAGGCGTGAGCCCCCGCACCCAGCCTAACTTTCTGCTTTTTAATAACACTTTACTATGAATGATTAAAAACTTTTTAAAAAAAGGAAGCTATAGCTTTTACCTTCTTAACAAAGGCACATAAAACTGTTAAAAGTAACTCTTCCATATTCCCCCAAACAAATCCGTTGGTGTTTATTTCTGTATAATAATTATAGTTAGTGTTCATTGAGGACTAATTATGGTGCCAGCTGCTGTACAACACTTTACATACATTATCTCATTTACTTCTCAAGAGCTCTTTGACATAAGGAATAATTTGCTCAAGGTCACATGGCTGAAAAGCGGAGAAGCCAGCAACGGAGGCAGTTCTAGATCTTGTGCTTTAAACTCTGGCCTGCCTTTCCTAATTCTCAGACCAACAAGTAGTGTTTTCCCATTCGTATTGCTTATCATAAAATGAGAGAGTCTTCTGTCCATCATCTTTATTGAAAGTTGAACCACTGTAAGCAAAAATACCAAGGAGAGGTCTGATCCCGCTATTGAAATAAAAAGAACCATGAGGGCCCTGCAGAATTCAACTGGACCTTGGGGATTACTCACTGAAGAAGGTTTTCTATTTTGAATGTTTATTGTCTTCCTACCCCAGTCTCCCCAACAAGAAAGACTTGGGGTGGAAGGTGACATATAACAGCAAAGTAAGAACTGTTTGCATTTTTCCTTCTTGGTTTGTAAAAGACTTGTTCCCAAATTGTCCTCAAAGGTACATAAATACATACATATGATATTTGTATATATATAAACACATATGTATAGTAATATCCTTCATTTACCTTGGGGTGAGACTTGAAGAAACTCCAGCCTTCTTTCTAGAGAGCCTCTGCTTCTGGTATTTACCTGTCACAAAGCCCATACCTGTTGTCAAACCCTTTCCTGTAACTGAGGAGTGCATTTTACGATTATGGAGTAGAGTAAGTAGCAAGTGCTATGGAAATTAAGCCAGAAACAGGCCAGTGCCATCACAAATGACAAGTAAGAGCATAACAGACATGATCGGGGATGTGGTCACACTTAGGTTCTGACATCAACAGATAATCTCCCCTCCTCTAGTATACATTTGTACCAGGTGATAATTTTACATTTTTTATTGATTACAACATTAGCAGTGATTCTTGCTTAGCTTTTTGGAGATCCTGTGAAAGCTGCAAATAGATAGGTATAAACACAGTTCTTCACATAATTTCAAAGTATTCATGGACCACCCTCCACCTGTGTGAAGCCAAGGACTCAGACCCTGAGTCCTTAATAGTACTTTGATAAATGATAGGTGTCTCTTTGACAATGGGGCAAGAGAGATCCCACAATAAACCCCTTTAGAAATACACCATAGCAATTCTTTATTATCTATGTCCATATATTTATTTGTGAAATGACATAATTTTCATTTTACACCAGGTTCTTCAGTACTCTCTCACAGTATACTTAGCCAATGCCAACTGAATTATTGGATATAACACACATGGTATAGGATTAGGAAGGCAACACCTCAATAATAACAAAGAATTTCAACAACATAACTTCTAAATTATGTAGTTTCTTGGTTCATCCATGGCACATCTTTTAATTAATATGACTTGAGAAATGTCTGTAGAAATAAAACCAATTTTGTGAACATGCCTATGATGTGCAAAGCGGATGGGGAAGTATAAGGTCCCTATCATCAAGAAATTTTAAAATTTGGTACTTTTAGTACTAAAGTTACATCATTTCTTACAACTCTTTCTGTAAATTTGGAAGATTTAACAAGGACCAGATCTATACCAATCCTGAGAGGTAACTATTCATCATTATTGCTTTCCTGTAAAATAAATAGTTTTCTAGACTTCACCACTACATTGTTATGATGCGATAAGAAAATGTTGCATTAATATTAATATGACTATATATCTTCTTTTAAAAGCCTTACTTTTCTATAAAGGGAATTTATTTATAATATGAGGAGAAGGAGTGTATGCCCATAGGACTGTGACTCAGAAATTTATTTGACGAATGGTTTTGTTAATAAGCTTTTAAATATGCGAAAGTAAAAATTCAAAAGTAGAGAATTTAGTTGAATGTTTTGATATGTAAATAAGTTAGCCAGTTTCTTATTTAAAGGTATATATATTAAATTCCAACCAGAAAAATAGTCTTAAATTTGGTAATATTTTATTCAGAAATTTGGCTCAAAACATGGAGGAATAGTGTAGTAAATGTAAATGAATTATCAGAAACCCACGCACAGCTTCCTACTGAATGTAAATTAGGTGGTGATTATTGCCTTGAAAGGGTTGTAACTGCTGTTTGTGCACACTTGTAGTAGAAACAGTGTATATAGTTTTAAAAGCAGCAAAGTTGCATGTAATTAGTGCTCTCTATGGATACAGGACAATCAGGGCCATTGATGGCCTGTGGCAGTTGAGCCTGCTGGGATGATGTATACAGTAAACGTTCTTTAATAAGATACTGCTGCTCAGTTACTGTTTGGAGGTTGTGCCTGATGACACTCACCACGGCTGGATTTTTCTGTTTCCACTCTGCACTCACAGAGAGTTTTATGATCCCAGTGTCTTGAAGTTTTAATCCCCACATTTATTTACCTAGAATAATTATAGGAATTGCAAGGGGATTTGAGAAAAAGTGTTGATGGAAGCAATAATAATCAGCTCAGGAAGCCTCATACAAGACATATTGATGAACTCACAATTAGAACAAAATAGGAAATAGAGAAATATTGGTACTACATTTGTCAACTTCTGTTTTTTGTTTGCTTTGGAAGTTGTTATTCTTTTGAACCACAGTCAGATACGGATTTCATTTCCAATTTCCTCTTGTCCCTGTGTGTGAACTTGGGAAATTAATAAACTTTTCTGAATTTGTTTCTCTCTATGGAGAATCCCAGCATCCTGGTTTGGTCAGGATAGTCCAGCTTGCATTTCTTATGCCCTCTTAGATTCTCAGAAGTGTCTTGGATTGGGCAATACATTGTATGGAAATTGTGTTTATAGGTGAAGTAGAGATAATACCTCCCTCTTTGTCTTGTTGTGATGATTAAGTGAAATAATACAAAGTGAACACTGTGATGCTTTTGGTTTACAAAAATTTTGTTACAGCAAATAACCTTGAATATTGTGTTAATGGTGAACAATTCTGTTGTTATACACACACACACACACACACACACACACACTATGGGGAACTTACAGTCTGAGAAATGGATAGACTATTTTGGTAGCCATTTATTGTGTACTAGTAATCAACAGTCCCTGTGTTTTGAAATGAATAATTACTATTGTATTTGTGTCATTAGAGATTTCTGCTGCACAGCTCTGTGTATCATTGTTTCAATGTCCCCATCTGTTATCTGAATTAATTTGAAGGCTGTGCCACCCTCATGGCAGAGCATCATGTAAAATTAAGAGCATTTCTCTTGACGAGCAACATGCATTTTACCTCAACATGATACTTCCTGGAATAACATGGTTCTGCTACTGAAATAATTTGTGAGACTAATTTCTACCATGCTGCTATTGCCTTAACCTATATTTTTTTTTGCCAGAAAAATGAATTTAGTTTAATACCAAATGGCTTGATTCTGGGATTATTATATGTGCAAATCAGCTATTTATGACTTACTATAGTGATTCTAAACTTTTTTAGGTGGAAATAATTTATTACACTGTAGTAAGATGATTGAACATTACAGTCCTGCGAAACAAACTAAATCATATTTACACATAGAACTTTGACTAGTTAAACTGGGAGTCTTTAGCTTCAACCAGTCAGCTTGATTATCTTTCGTCAGAAGACTTCTGGTTTATATTCATTAATTCATGAACTTGAAATATTACTATAGCAATAGTTTTGACAAGACTATTGATGCCATTCATTTTATTTTCTCTCTCTTTTTAAAATAACAATGTGAATGGGGTTCTAGGGGGGAGTATATACCCCTATTGGAAGAGCAGACTGCTGGTAAGCATTTCTGGTGTACTGTTTTACACATAGATCATAGGTATACTGCTTACAAATCTGTTCTTTTATCTTCATGAAAGATGCCCAGATAATAGCTCTTTAGCCTTTTTTTTGCAGGGGCGGGGGGTTTAGTGAAAGCAATATATCTTTTAATAATTCTGTAATTTACCCTTTTTACTAATATGTGTATATTTTCCCACCTGCATTCATTAGTTTATATAGATGCTGATGTCTTTCCAAAATGAGAAATCAAAGAGCAGGTTTGTGTTGGGGAGTGGAAAAGTAAGATGATGAGGTCAGGGGTTGGATGTGCTGACTTTGAGTTGCTGATGGGACTTCCAGGTGGAGATGTACCCCAGTTGGTTGTTTTCTCTCTCATTCACCTGTGCACATCCATGGGCACAGGTGTTCTGGGATCTCAGGTCATGGACAGATCCATACTGATGGTTGGGAAGGGAGGCAGGATACGCTACAAGAAGGAAGTATTGCCTATGCTGAGTCTTGAAGAACAGATAGGAATTAAGCCAGATGAAGAGGGCCTGCTTTATTTTCCTGTATCTCTCAAACATGTCTGTTAATCTTACAAAGTCATACCCACTTAAATGTTCGTGCCTTAGGAACATATGCATTCAATCTAGAATTTGCTGAACCAGCCCATAGGAAAAGGGATATAGAGAGTTTTTCACTTGCTAGCACTAGGTTAATTCATCGGGGCAGGTTGGAAACAACTGGGGTGAGACCTGGCATTGTTGGGTGTTTGGGGTTCCCAGGGACGGCTTAGTTCAGCTGGTTTTACTGTGATCCTTTCTGTTTTTTGGAAGTATTAACCCTCTTGAGGATTATTTCTCATATGAAGACTATACTTAAACCAGAATAGAATGTGAAATTTCTAGTGACTCCCAAATATGCAGTGGAATTGCTGCTGTATTTTGATATCTGGCATGATCATAGAATCATCCCGTTGAAACCAGAGGCCTTTTCTTCCTAGCACCCTAGCCATGCACTTAAACATAGGTGGCAACTGAGGTTCACAGAGCCATTGGCATTTAAGCAAGCCTGGGGGCAAAAGCAGAGCAGGACTTGAGCCCCTTAACTCTGAGCCCATGCTATTTGCATATAGTAAATTACTTTTAAAAACATTTTATTAACATGTTTTATTGAAGAATAATTCACATACTATAAAATTCACCCTTTTAAAAAGTGTACAATTCAGTTTTTCAGTATATTCAGAGTTGTGCAACCATCACCATTTGTTAATTCCAGAACATTTTTATCACTAGCAAAAGAAACCTTGCACCCATTTGCAGTCACCTCATTCCTTCCTTTCTCTACTGCTTGGCAGCTGCCAATTTATTTTCTGTCCATGTAGATTTGCCTACATTGGACATTTTGTGTAAATGGACTCATACAATATGTGGCCTTTTGTGACTGACTTCTTACACTGAACATAGCATTTTCAAGGTTCATCATGTCGTAGGATGTTTCCACACTTCATTTCTTTTCATGGCTGAATAACACATCGTACCAATCTACAACATTTGGTTTACTTATTCATCAGTTGATAGACATTTGGATTGTTTCCACTTTGGGCTGTTACGAATATTGCTGATATGGACATCTGTGTACAAGTTACTATGCGGACATTTGTTTTCATTTCTGTTGGATGCGTACCTACAACTGGAATTGCTGGGTCATATGATAACTACATTTAATTGTTTGAGAAACTATCAAACTCTTTTCCAGAGTGTCTGTGCCATTTTACATTTCCAGAACAATGTGTAAGGTTCCAGTTTCTGCATATTCTTGCTGTCTCTCTTTTTGATGACAGTCATCCCAGTGCAGTGTGAAGTGGTATCTCTTTGTGGTTTTGATTTATATGTCCCTGATGACTAACGATGTTGAGCATCTTCTCATGTGCTTGTTGCCATTTGTGTATCTTCTTTGGATAAATGGTTATTCAGATTCTTTGTCCATTTTTAAATTGGGTTACTTTTCATTGTTGAATGGCAAGGGTTCCTTGTGTATTTTGGATACAAATTCTTTATCAGATAAATGTTTTGTAAATACTTTCTTCTACTATATGGGTTATCTTTTCACTTTCTTGATGGTATCCTTTGAAGCACAAAAATTTTAATTTTAAAGAAGTCTAATTTAGTTTTCTCTTCTGTTGCATATGTTTTTGATTTTACACATAAGAAACCATTGCCAAATCCAAGGTCACAAAGATTTACTGCTAGCTTTCTTCTAAGAGTTTTATGGTTTTAACTCATACATTTGGGTATTTGATCCATTTTGAGCTGATTTTTATATAGATTATTTTTTAATGAGAGTTATCTGTGTTTCTTAGCTGTTTTATCTTCGGTGTGTTTCTAGTGTTTGAATCCACATGAAATTACATGAAAAGTTTTAAGAAAAACACCCATTTCATTCTTCTTTGTATTATTTTTGGTCATTTGGTGGAATCCACTTACTGACATAGAGTTATTAATTTTAATTTTCTTTAACCTAATGCTATTGTGAGTTGAAGAATACACATGTTCCCTTTTACAGTAGCAAATACAAGTCAGTGTAGTGCTGAAGGCTCTTGCTCTGTTAACCTGAACAGTTGGTCTCTGTTCTAGAACAATATCTTCATTTTCTGAGAACATTTGTTTGGGATCTTTCAATGAAAGCATCTCTCTTCCCATCAGCCTCTTATCTGCACAATGAACAAAGCTACTGAGTAGAGGGCAAAAGCTTAAGACATGCAGGTGACTTGGGAACTGCCACATCCCATATGCTGTAAGTGCTGAAAGTTAACATACATATTAAAGTTGAGTTCTGGCAACTTCACAATATATTCTCTTCCTCAAATAATATGCTATAAAGTTTTATTATAAAGTCATCTTCTTTTAAATTTTTTATTAAAACAAGATGTTTTTTCATCCTTTAGTATGCTTAATTTAGCATTTGGTGATACTGCTCTTTTTATAAATAGCATGTTTTAAATTTAAAAGTGTTAAGATCTCTTAAAATGTACTTTGTATTTCAAAGAGCTTCTGCTACCCTGAAATATCACATGCCGAGTAAAAAGCTGAAATGGAATTTTTGCACTGAATTCACATAAATTTGTTTCTGTTCTTTGGTTATTTTGGTGTACTTAGCTTATCAGGTTCTTAAATAATTTGCTATAAATAGCTGAGTTTCACATTTTATGGTTGTAAAAATTGGTAATTATCTGATAAATACTGCTGTAGTTGAGATATAACAGGCAGTGGGCATTGTATCAAGCCATAAAATAGTTTACTTAGCAGTGCTAAGTAGAACAACGGATTTTCAATATAAATTTTATTTTAAAATGATAGATCAATAATGTTTTTCATGTAACAGCTCAGTAATTTAGCTTAGTATTTGGAAAAGCTGCTTTAGCACCTCAGAGGGATTTTTTCCTGTAAAAAAAAAAAATTACAATTTGCACCTGCCTTGATTATGGATGGAAGCAGCTTTCAGCTGCACGGTGTTGTATTGTGGGGGTAGTTATGAATTGCTTCAAGTTCTGTTACGGTGACCTTCCAAGGGACTTGGTAGGTTGCATCAGGGATAGGAAGTTTGCTGTATTTTGGAATGCAAGCAAAAATATTGGCACATTGTTTCTCCAGCTGACTCTAAGAGCACTTTTCTTTCTGTGCGGGGTTGGGAGGTTAGCCTCTATGTGGAGAGATTTGCTGTGTGGGTTGGCTTGTGTCCGAAGAAGGAGCCCTTTCAGATTTGGATCGGATGACTGAAACGGGGAAATAAAGCAGCAGTCGAGCTGCTTTTGTTTCTGGGTATAAGAGAAGGCTTCTGTATGTTTAAAAGATGTTTGTGTCTGGGTGCGCAGTCATTAAATGGAGAACACGATCTTGGAAGGAGATTTAGTCATGCACTTGAATATAGTATGTTGCAGCTTTACTTATCTGCTGCTTTAATTTTTCTTTTCGAAAGCCGTGTTTTCCTAATTGTTGGCTGCTAGGAGTAGCTCACATATATTGAATATTTACTCTGTATCAAGCAGTGTTCTTTCTTTAGATGGATTATTTAGTCCTCATAACAACCGCAGCTGAGTTCAATACTGTTGCTGTTCCCATTTTATGCTAGACGTTGTTGTTGGACTTTGGCCGCTAGTCCACACAGAACCCAAATTCTTAAATGAATTTTAAAAAAAATTGTTAAGTATTCTTAGTTAAAATATATATTGTCTTCCATATCTTTAAATGTGTATTATCTGAGAACTTGCTTCTGTCCCTCTAGGCTTTCTCAGGTGGACTGTTTCCCTCTCAAAACATAGGAACTAGAGTCTTGATGTCTTTTAAGTCTCTGAGTTAACTGTTAGTTATGATACTAACTTCTGTATTTTATTAAATCTTAAGCATCACTTGTAAGAGGTACTATTTTTTAAATATACAGCTAAGAAAGAAAAAGATGTCATAAAATGGTGCTTCTTAATCACTTAAAATTTTATACTTGATAAACTCTTTGAGACTTATGTAGATACAGATTTTTACACTTGGGCTCATAGAGACAAAAATGTATATGTGAAATAAACGAAGGTATTTCTAAGGCTTCTTTCCATTCACAGTTGAGTTCTTCTGCGTTGCTTTTCCACGCAGCTGCAGATGTCCATGTATTTCCACACAATATGGTCCTCTGTGCCATCAAGAGCATTGTTGATACAGCATTTCTTAGGAATGCCACTGTTGTCTACAGAATTTTCTTCCAAGCTACTGACACTCATTCTGTAAGTTCTATGGGTATGCACAGGCAATGAGGATACATCACAACCGCCATCTGCTCAGCAATGATTGTAGGATACATTCCAATTTTGGAGATTCATTGTAGAATCAAAACTTAGTATTGTACTCTTAAAGGAAGGAACAAAATCAAAGGCTGAGATTTCTTAACTTCATCACCTTTAATGAGGCTCACCATTACATTTTCTGAATGTGCTTGTGTTAATTATTAGTAATGGTAACAGAGTACAGACAGTATACTAATTACAATATTAAGCAGGGCTGGCTGGTTAATTCTCTCTTGAGAATTTGAACTAGGACATATCAACAGCCTTGGGATCTGAAGCTATAATAACATGAGATAGAGAGGTTCCCAAAACCCATTAGAGTCATGTAGAAGCCGTGTGATCTTAAGCAAGTTATTTAATTTCTCTGTACCTCACTTTCTTCAGCTAAAAAAAGTAAGGATGATAGTTTCCATGTCAAGACTTTTTGATTTAATGAGTTAATATCTGTGGAGTCTTTAAAACATTGCTTGATGTACTGGTAAGTGCTATTTATGTTAAATAAGCTAATAAACAATCAAATAAATGCCTGAAATCATCAGGAATTAGGGAACAATGTATGAACAGAAGAGGCCAGCCAACAGAGAGAGAAGAATGGAGCAGATGTGCAGAAACTGTGCAAGAGTGCCCCCGCTGGTCCTAAGGGACTAGGCCAAGATGCAATTTCTAGAGCTAACTCTTGGGACTGGGGGATGAGGAATGGGAGGCAGTGCTGGCACCTTCATTCACCTTCATTCACTAGAACTGTCACTGAGTGTAAATAAAGGTCATTTGTTTGTGTGACTGTTTTTGTAAGAGAGTGTGTCAGAATGGAAGTTGGTGGCTGATTGAGACTTAGAGGGGGTGATTGGGAATGATGGATGCTAAGGCTCAGTACCCAACATTGCCCTTACTTAGCTATGTCAATCAATGACCTCTCGTATTCTTACCAGAAATAACCCCACTTTTAAAAAAGTGCTTTTTAAAGAAAAAAAAAAAAAGCTCATTTGGTCACTCTGTTACTTTCCAACCAAAGCATTTCAGGTGTTTTCTCAATATCTTTGGTCTAGAAATGACCCAGGATAAGGTCCAACCTGCAGGGTTGTCAATCTGCTATGTTCTCTTGAGTTGGAGAGGTTTAATAGGACTGAACAAACCCCCTGGAGCATCACCTTATCGGAAGTAAATTGACTTAAGCAATCACAGGAAGTTTCTCCTTATACAAAGTGTGCCTGCTTCGGGTTCTTGATCTGAGTCAATTCTGTGCTTATCTGATGTCAGCCTGGCAATAGAACCAAGGCTTTTATTGTCACCTAATTCTGGTTTTTCCTTCCATGCATGTTCTTTTGAAAAAGAACTCTTCTTTCTTTTCTCTATAATTCTTCATGTTAAATAACTGAAATTGTAATGATAGGTGAAGAAAGTGGGCCTTAGAATTCTATTGACCAGGCTTTCAGTGCCCAGCAAGCCTTCAGAGCCTCGGTCTTGGTGTTTGTCTTGAGGATCCTCTGCAATTATGCTGTTTAAGCTCCAGGTCTTGCAAATAATAGTATTGACTCAATAAAGGCAGTGACACCTGTTCGCAATTAGAGCAACGGAGTGAGGGTGAGATTGAGGATCAGTATATACCACGCCCCCTCCACCTGCACCTTACCACCAGAGTCCTTACTGAAATGAGCCACTGTTACTCATGGGAGGATGTGTGGGGGATAGGAATGAAAGCTGTGCTACTTCTGTTCTCATCCCTTCCCATCTTCCTCCAATTCCTGGGGCTCTTGCTTAGGAGACACGGTGCCTTCAAATTTGTCACCTTGAGGGGCTAACTACTTATTTCAGTGACAATTCCCTTAAATGTTTCTTAGCAGTCCTATATCTTGAAAGCAATCTCGGAAGGTAATGTTATTATAGATTTCATTTTATAGATAAGAAAACTGAGATTCAGCAGTTGGGTAATTCCTAAAGATAGAAGTAAAAGATAAGTTCCATTATAAACTTATAAATCAGCCCAAGTTTCTTGCTTCCGTATTTAAGTGTAATTATCAGGATGAGGATTTGACATGCACTTGTTCTTGACTCGCCTTTGTTGCAAGGTCTGGAAAGAAAGGAAGGCTGTCATTGTCGCTAACCCCTGTCCTCAGCAGCAGTTAGTTCCTGTGGATCACAGCCTCCCAAGGGGAACAGTCAGTTTGACAGTGGGTTCAGCTGCCTCTAGGGCAGAAGGGGCCATGTGGAGGAGCGCTAGCTGTCATCACAGAAGCCAGGCAAGCCAGGCAGATGGCCAAGGTGAGGAAAGTGTGAGGGCTTAGCACGACCTGTGAAAGGAAGGTCACGGATGGAAGCCATCAATTCACAGGGCTGGTGGCTGGCATGGGAGTCTAGCTTTAGACCATAGCAAACAGACCCGCTCTGCCAGATAAATCCGGTTTATTTTTGTCTTTTATTTAGTTGTATATCGTAGGCCTTCTCTCTTCCTTATTGTTTTACTTGGAGTAGGAATGGCAGCTGAAGTTTGTTCCTTTCCAAGTAAGAAAGAAAGAATACAGAAATGGGGGAAGGTACATGTTTAGTTCCTCATACTTTTGGTGAAAGCAGTAATTTGTTCAAGCAGTTGTTTTTTATCTTAGACTTTAGAGGTGCTGGGGTTGGGTTATTTTGGACTTTTGGACATTAGTTTACCATTTTAAAGAGATCAGTTCAACTGTTTTTAGATGGAACATCATGAGAGTCATAAAAATGCTGCTTAAAGGTAAGCTCAGTTTGCCTAGTTTAAGAATGTGAGGAGCACAGAAACTGAGTAACAGCACAGTTCTAAATAATTTAAAAAGGAAACATTCTTTAAAACTTATATTTGCTATTGTCTATGTGGGATCTTTTAATAAGAAAATAAAGACTGCCACTGAAGTGTCATTTTTTTTCCTCCCATTTTCTCGTGTTTGAAAGTTCCCTGGTTTGCCATCTGTAGGTAAATCTGTCTCCGCATTCAGAGGTGGAACCACCTTGACTTTCTCGGGGTAATCAGCTTGGCTCCCTGTTTCAGGATTTAATCATCATCCTTGCTGTTCATTGTCCCTGCTGCTCATTTTCTTCTTTACCTTTAACCCCTCTAGAAAGTCAGTTTCTGCTGGTCATGGAATTCTAGACACTGAAGATCTTGGGATAACCCCTCAAATGTGTGCAGAGTATCAGTTGCCTTCTTCCTTTTCCTTTTCTTTAGAACTAATTTCAGTTACAGTTTTTACAACATTTCTCACTCATGTCTTTCTCAAGCACCCAGCACGGAGTAGTATCTTGAGCTCTCAGGATTCTGTAGCTGGAAGGAAGCCCTGAGATGATGCCATCCCATCCCCTTCCTATGGCAAAGAGAACAGCAGGAGAAAGCAAGCACAGGAGCTACTGTAGTCCTCTCGAGGTCATTGCTGAGTAACACGTGAAATAACAGCTAAAGCCCACGTCTCCTGGCTCTGTCTGGTGCTATTTTCATTATAACACATTGCTTTGCTTGGTTATACTTGCTAGTTGCCCATTTGTCACTTTCATCATTTTAATGATTGTATGTCATTATAGTGGTCTAAATCCAGGTGTAAAATGAAGAACATTATAGAGTTACTTTCTCTCTACCTGTGTTAAAGGCTCTCTCTGTGCAGGTGCTGGATTGGGATTTATATGTGTAATTTCTCATTTAATTCCATGATGACCTTTAAAGTAGGCTTCACATTTATTGACTCAAAAAATAAGGCTTGCTTAAGGTCCCCCAGCTAGTAAGTAAGGAGGTTAGGATTTGAAAAAGGAGTCTAGGATTTGAAACTGTTTCTCTGTCTTCAAAATCTCTGTCCTTTCAGTACCTCCCAGTTACATACTCAGAATAAATAAATCTCTCACACTTGAGATTTTGTCCATTTTAGGTTTGAAACTGCGTAATCAGAATAATGGGTTTTTCTTAAACTATTATCCTACCTTTAATTTAAAAATAAAATTCAAGGGAAATTGTTGGTACAAATAAGGTGATATGCTTAAACACTCCTAATAATGAAGTTGTTTAAACTTACAGAAATGACATTTGACTTCAGCTGCTTCATCAGGTTAACTATGTAAGAAAGAACATTGGTATTTAGCAACAGACAGAGGGCTGGCTTCTAATTTTGTAACCTTTTACCCAGAATTTAAGTTACAGCTGTTAATTTGAAGTGTTTCTTTTAGGTTAGAAGAATATAGATAAATATATGTCCTCTTGTAGTTATTTTTCTTGTGGATAAGACATTGCAAGTCATACACACACACACAACTGGTAAACTAGAGCTAAAATAATCTCAAGAGTGTGACTGTAATGGCTCTATGTTCTGCCTGTTTCCCTTTAACTTACTTGACCTTCAGAGGTCCACAGGTTGGTTCTGTGCTGCATTTCTTACATCCCTTTTCGTATTTCCCCAACTCTGAAATTCTTGTGAGGAGAGCGCTCATCTAAAACCTCTTCCATCATTGTCTTCCCTTTATCTTTTAACAACTTAATCAGTTCTACCGTATACCATCTTTATTCACATATTTTTACTCATCCCCTTTGATATATTTTATTATTCCTGCTAGCCTCTAAGTTTTGCCCTTTATCAGAGGAAAATTACTCTCAGTTTTCATCAGATGCAGTAAATATAGAGAAAGAGACTTTGAACTTTGACCTGAGATTGAAACTCAGTTCTACTGCTTAACTAGGAGACCTTGGGTGCAATTTTTTTACTTGTAAAGCAGGGCTAGTAATAACCTTTCTCACAAGGTAATAAGATTAGCTAAGATTATGCGCCAAAGCCACTTAAAACTGCCTGGCACACTCTAGGAATTCAAACACGAATACTTCTCACCTGCCTTTCACCCCTCCCAGATTCCATGTGTGAAATTAGCCACAGTAGCTCTTCAGAGATTGTGTGGGATTTTACCTCTACAGCAACATCTTCCTCCTCTTTTAATTTACTACTTTTTATCACATAACAACATTTTCTAAAACCCTAATTTTTATTCTGTGTCACCATTTCTCATTGTTATTGTTACACCTCTACTGGTTTCTCCCATTATTTAAAAAAACCTTGTTGGCTAAATAGACTTTTGTGAGATATCTTGGAAAATCTACCAATGATGTTCTGCAGACAAATGTGATCTAGTATTCAGACAGCCAATTAATGTTAAAATTAAAACTTTTGTTTTTTCAGCTTTTTATTTTGAAATAATTTTAGCCTTAAAGGAATTAGAAAAATAGAGTTTTCCCATATACCCTTAACCCTTCTTCCCCTAAAAACTGTAGTATAGTTATCAAAGCTGTAAGATTAGCATTCGTTCATTAGTACTAAGTAAACTGTTGACTTCATTTGGATGGTATGAGTTTTTTCACTGCTGGTTGTTTTTTTTTCATCCCAAGATTCAATCTAGTATCCCACATTGCATTCAGCTCTCCTGCCTCCTTTGGCTTTTTAAATTTTTGACAGTTCCTCAGTCTCCTTGTCTTTATTGATCTTGACACTTTTGAAGAATCCTGGTCATTTATTTTGTAGAATGACATTCGGTTTGGATTTGTTCAATGTTTTATCTTGATTGTGTTGAGGTTGTGTATTATTGGGAAAGATCTGAGAGGGAAAACATGCAGAGATGAGACGATGCGCTCTTCCCGGTGCATTGTGTTAGGGATACGTGATGTCAATATAGCTCATTACTGGTGATGTTAACTTTCCTTATCGGTTAGGGTGGTCTCTGCCAGAGTTCTCTATTATGAAGTTACTACTGCTCTCTTTATAATTAATAAATATTTGGAGAGAGTTACTTGGAAATGTGTATCTATCCTGTTCTTGCTTAAACCTTTGCCCACTCATTTTAGCATTCACCGTTGGATCTTAACTGTAGCGGTATTATAGTGGTGTTCTGCTGGTGTTTTTCTGTTTCCCTCCTTCCTTCTATGTTTACTAATTGTAATTCTTCTGTAGAGAAGATTTGCTTCTCCCATATTTATTTCCTTATTTGTATTATTAATTTATATCAGTATGAGTCATGGATATTTTATTCTTTTGGTTTATAATCTAGTATTATTCCTATTTAATTTGTTGCTCAAATTGTTCTAGCTTTGGCCATAGGGAACTCTAATTTTGGCTTTTGTGTCCTTCAGTGTGCCCCCATCTTTTTTAAAAAAGTATTTTCTTACTTTCTGACACAGCACAAGATGCCCCTGCCCTAGGCCTGGAATCAATGACCTCTCCAAAGAGCCCTCCTTTTTTAAAGATCCGGGTACTTGTGCTTATTACAACTAGTGACAGCCCTAGGCTTCTAGCTCACAGTTAGGAAATATATGTATATCTAATAACAAATGTCCACGCAAACCTATATATTTTATTCTGGATCCATCTGTCTGTGTATGAACTCAGGAGTTCATAGTGTATAACTCTGATACCTAACACAACAAGGTTCTTTTTGATAGTCCTCCTTTTTGTATTTGTAACTTCTTTTTTCAACAGTGAGAAACTGGCTTTCATTATCAAAAACTGATTGGCTATATTTGGGTGGATCTATTTTTGGATTCTCTATTCTGTTGTGTTGATCTGTGTCTCTCTCCATTCACCAGTACAACACAGTCTTGAGTATAGTTCAGTCTTAAATAGTGTGAATCTTCCAATTTTATTCTTGTGATTAAAAATCATTTTGACAATTGTGGTTCCTTTGCCTTTCCCTATAAATATTAGAATCAGTTTTTCTGTATCTACAAAAAAACCTGCCAAGATTTTAATTGTACTAATTCTATAAATCATTTTGGACTGACTGATGTCTTAACTATAGTGAGCATCCAATCCATGAACATGCTATTTCTTCATTTCTTTACATCTTCTTTTGATTTCTCTCAAAGATTTTGTCATTTTCAGCATACAGATTCTGTACATATTTTTATTAGATTTATACTTTTTTTGAACTATCGTAAATGGTATTATATTTTAAAATTTGTTTCCAATTGTATATTGCTAAGATAGAGAAATGTGACTGACTTTTGTGAATTGGCTTGATATTCTTCAGCTTTGCTAATTTTACTTATTAGTTCCAGGAACTTAAAAAATAGATTTTAAAGGATTTTCTGTGTAGATATTTATGTTCTCTGAAAATGGGGACAATTTTATATAACATATAGATTTCCTTTCTATATGTTTTTAATTATATGTTTTTAATTTCTTTTTTTTTTTGTCCTTAATTGCAGTAGTTAGAACTTCTAGTATTATGTTGAATAAGAGTGGTAAGAGTGGGTATCCTTTCCTCGTTCTTGATTTTAGGGGGAAAACATTTGTTCTTTCACCAGAAAGTATGATGTTAATTGTGGGGTTTTTTGTAGATGTCCTTTATCAGGTTAGAAAGGTTCTCCTCTCTTCCTAGTTTGTTAAAGTTTTTTTGTGTTTTTTAATCATAAAGGTATGTTGAGTTGTGTGATATGTTTTTTCTACATCAATTGATACGATCCTGTGTGGGGTTGTTTTTTTTTTGCCTGTTAATGTGGTTAATTAAATTAACCGATTTTCAATTGAACCATTTCACATATTGAATTCCTGGGCTAAATTCCAGTTGGCATTGATATATTGCTGTTAATATTTTGTTGAGGATTTTTACTTTTGGGTTTATGAGGGATATTGGTGTGTAATTGTCTTTTCCTGTACTCTTTTTGTCTGGTTTTGGTAACATGGTAATGCTGGCCCCATAGAATGAGTTAGGAAGTGTCCTGTTGTCTTATATTTTCTTGAAGAGATCTTGTGGAATTGGTGTTATTTCTTCTTTAAATGTTTGGTAGAATTTGCCAATAAAACTATCTTGGCTTTGGGATTTCTCTTTTTGAGGAAAATTGTCTCACTACAAATTTAATTTCATTAATAGGAGACTATTCAAGTCATCTATTTCTTCTTCAGGGAGTTTGGCAGTTTGTGATTTTCAAGAAATTGGTCTATTTTATCTAAACTGTGAAATTTATACGTGTGGAGTTGTTCTTAGTGCTACCTTGTTATCCTTTTCATGTCTGTTAGATCAGTAGTGACATTCCCTCTTTTCTAATATTGATAATTTATATCTCTTCTCTTTTGTTCTTGGTCAGTCCAGCCAGACATTTATCAATTTTATTGATCTTTTCAGAGAAAGATCTTTAGACTTATTGATTTTTCTCTATTGTTTTTCTATTTTTAAACATTAATTGATATCTGTTCTCATTTCTAAACTCTTTAAAACATTTTTCTTTTATTTGTGCTCTTCTTTCTTTTGGATTGCTTTCGGTTTATTCTGTTCTTTTTTTTCCAGTTGCTTAAAGTGGAAGTTTAGATTGATTTGAGCCCTTTCTACTTTTATAATGTAAGCATTTAATGTTATAACTTTCTTTCTAATCACTGCATTAGTAGTATCCCATAAGACACTAAAAATCCCAAAAGACATTGTTAGAATTTTTCTTTGCACCATCATATTTATTTTAAAGAAATTAAGAAAAGAATAGTCTGTGGTATTTACCCAGATATTTACTATTTCTATTATTCTTCCTTCATTCCTGATGTTTCCAGTTTCCTTCTGTTGCCATTTCTCTCTGTTTGAATAATTTTTAAATTATTTTATTTTAGGGCAGATCTGCTGACAACAGATATTTCTCTTAGATTTTCTTCACCTGAGAATGTCTATTTCACCTTCATTTGTCAAGAATATTTTCACTGGGTATAGAATTCTGGGTTGACAGTTCTTTTAGGACTTGAAAAATGTTCCAGTTCCTTTTGACCTCCATGATTTTTGATTTTTGATGAAAAATCAACAGTCAATTGAATCCCATTTTTTTCTATAGGTAGTTGTTTTAATCAGGTTGCTTTCAGGATTTTTTCCTTTGTCTCGTGTTCACCGGTTTCATTGTGATGTGTAAGGGCATGGATTTCTTTAAGCTCACCCAATTTGGTATTTGCTGACATTTTTGAGTCTGTAAATTTATATCTTTCACTAGATTTCTAGAGTTTTTAGCCATTATTCCTTTATTTATTTGTTTATTTTTGAGACGGAGTTTTGCTGTGTTGCCTAGGCTGGAGTGCAGTGGCGTGATCTCGGCTCACTGCAACCTCCACCTCCTGGGTTCCAGCGATTCTCCTGCCTCAGCCTTCCCAGTAACTGGGATTACAGTTGTGCACCACCACACCTGGCTAATTTTTGTGTTTTTAGTAGAGACGGGGTTTTACCACATTGGCCAGGCTGGTCTTGAACTCCAGGCCTCGTGATCCGCCTGCCTCGGCCTCCCAAAGTGCTGGGATTACAGGCGTGAGCCACCATGCCTGGCCTTTCATTATATTCTTTTTTAATACCATACTCTCTTTTCCTTCTGGACCGTTATAGCATGAATATTAGACCATTTGGTATTATTCGATAGTATCCTGAGGATCTGTTCATTTTTTTCCCTTAGTCATGTTTTAATGTTTTTCATATTGGGTAATTTCTATTGATTTATCTTCAGATTTACTGACTTTTCTCTGTATATCAGATCTGACATCTGTGTGCACCACTCAGTAACCAGTCTTGGTCTTGGGTAGTGGTCTGTACTGCAGTTCAATTCTTAAAGCATTTGACGAGTTGTTTATGGTCAGATCCAGGCATGCAAAGCTTTCCTACAAAGGGATTCATACTCAAATTTATAGGATCACTCTGTTGAACTCCTTTCTCTCTGTGATATCCCTGACATTTTCTAGCTCTCTGAAACCCCCTTCCTAGTCTTCTGGCCAAAAAAATCAAAGCTTTAGCTTTTCCTCTCTGCCCTGCACTCCCCACAATTGCATTTACAGGGCCAAGTGGCAAGAGTACAAAGAGATTTAAAAAGCAACAGTTATTTGCCCCATACTCTTGGAACCACAGTTTCTCTAGTCAGAGAGGATTCTCCTCGTTCAGGGTTTTAGGGACCTACCTAGCTGTTGCCGCCACTGTCATTACTTGTGGATTGCTTGAAGACCCTGATGTGATGCTACATCAAAGTCATGTCCTCTTCTTCTCCTGGCTGCTGTGTACTTTTTAGAGTCTTCAGAATGCTGCCCCATGCAGTCTCTCTATGGTTTATAACTGCATTCCGTGGAGAAACAGGGTGAGGTGTACTGTATCTCTTGAAGAATCCTTAAAAGGCTGTGGATCTCCAGACTGAGACTCCCTTCCTTCCAATATATTTGTTTATTTGTTCAATCCTAGTATATATATAGAGAGAGTTTGTGAATCCGTACTCTTGCGAGAAACAAGTTTAGCAACTAGAGTACAGTATTTGTGTACAGGTCTTTTTTTCTTTGTATTACAGCATGAAGTCAGAAACACTGTTTCTAAAACTACTAGGGACAGCTCCCTTCATGCCTGTCAGTATGTTTGTATATGCCATTCATTTGTAATATAGTTGATTCATTTGGTAAGAGAGTGTTCTAAAGGTTGGTTTTCATATTTCTGAGATATCCTGAAATACCAGCATTCTCTGCCATGATTTTGTCTTTGGTCTGTTGTCTGGGTCTGACAGCCTGCGGAGTTGTACTTCAGTGTTAATTGTTTCTTCCACTTACCACCCCTCGCTTTGATCCCACTGAGCAACAACTCTTTCAGTGTTCAAATGAAAATATAATACAGTGACATGGTGTTTGAAACCAAATTGTTATATCATGTCCTTCAGTTTCATGTTACTCAGTTGTCCATGACAAGCCATGATTTCTAGTATTTTTTGAACTTGTTTACCAGTCTTTGCAGTGCAGAAAGTGGTTAAGTATTCAACTGTGGTTTTGTTTTTGTTTTTTTCTATCTTACATGCATACTGTAGGCTAACAGCAATTAAGATTAAAGAATGTCATTCCTCCTCTGCACCAGGAAGGTGTGAGATAGAAAGTTGTTCATTTAGAATTAAAGTTCACCTTTAGTTGGATTAGTGCTTTTCATTAGAGGAGTGAAGTGTCTTTTATCAGCATAGATTAAAATGGTATCAAGCACCTAAGCCGGAAACATAGCCGGCAAGCTGAAGCACTTTCTGGCTTTTCTCAATTCATATCTTCACAGCTTGAATTCTCTTTTAGTATTTGAAGTACTGTGTTGTGGAGTTCAAAAATATCGTGGTAGCAACAGAATTCAGAATGGCATGCAGCCTCTGCTTTAAGGTGACTATGGCTATAATGGAATAAAGGATTTGTTTTGTTAGAAAGATTTAGGCTTGGTTATTGGGTATTAACAATAGTGATTCTGGGAGGTGGACATTACCCAGAATGCTGAAGTTGTTCTTTGAACTATTTCTATTTGATTCTTATGATAGAAATAATCCTAAGTGGCTTTTGATCCTTTTTGGATCCCTTGCCAAAGGATCATGGACTCCAAAATTATTAAAATGATTTAGAATATCACTGGGAAAATGTAGGAGAAATAAAAACCTAATAGTGTAGAATGACATATAGTTTTAAGTTGTTATTGATATAAAAGCGGTCCAACAGTGAATCAAAATTTGAGACAGGGCATTTCCCTTTAATTGATGGAGATAATAAAAGTTAATATGGACGATAGAGACTCTGAAACTTACCTTGCCCGTTCCCCCTCCCCCATAAAAGGAAGGTGTCATTGCAAGTCTTTATTTTAGAGAGTTATTTTTTGAGAGGAGAGGGTAGTACATAAAGAAACATAAATTCATTCTGTAAAGGTTTTTGAAACTGTAAATTTTGCTAAGGCTTTGCAGATGATACAAAAAAAAAAACTTGAACTACTGAATGAGAAAAGGAGAATAGAGGACTATCAGGGAATTCAGGGGCAAGAATGCAGCAAAGGACTAAAACAAGGAACCGAAAAGATGGAAGATGATTCCACATACTCATTCTTGAGCCAATCAACTGTGTCTGGAGAGTTGAAGCATTTAGTATTAAATGTTGTGTCTGGGGCCCCTCCTCTGGGGGTAAGAGTGACATTTAATGGTTGTATTAGTCTGTTCTTGCATTTCTATAAAGAAATACTTGAGACTAAGTAATTTATTTAAAAAAGAGGTCTAATTGGTTCACGGATCTGCAGCAATATGGGAAGCATGGTAGCATCAGTTTCTGGGGAGGCCTCAGGAAACTTACAATCATGGCAGAAGGCAAAGGGTAGTGAGGTACCTCACATGGCTGGAGCAGGAGGAAGAGAGAGAGGGGAGAGGTGCTACACACTTTTAAACAACCAGATCTCACGAGAACTCACTCACTGTTCCAACCACAGGGGGTGATGCCAAACCATTCATGAGAAACCACCCCCATCATCCAGTCACCTCCCACCAGGCCCCACCTCCAACACTGGGGATCACAATTCAATGTGAGACTGGGGCAAGGACACAGATCCAAACCCTATCAATGGTTAAAGGGTAAACTAGACAGAACTCCCAAAAGTTGTCTCTTACAATACCATGTTTAAGTTTCTAGCTTATAAGAATTAAAGCCTCTAATGGTATGTGGCCTTCAGGAAGGTTACAAAATTTATCAAACTTGCAAATACAAGTTTTTCGACCATTTTTATTCATAAGCTTGTCAAACTGTTTTAACAATTTTCCTCCAGGTGGCTGGCTGCTCCACATCTTAAAGATCACTGCATTTTTAATGGCATTATATTTTTTAAAAAGATGATTTCCTTTTCCTCTTACATAATCTACCACCATTTTTAGAACTCTCCATATAATATACTTTCCCTCCATATATAGTCATATTTTTTCATGCACTTTTACTTAAATTTCATAGGACCCCTTTTTTTCCCTTTATTCATGCTATTGTGTGTTGGAAGTTTTTTGAGACCTAAGAAATTTTAATTTTCAGATTTAGAAAATACAGCTTTAATATACCCACAAATGATGTGGCATTTTTTGAAAGGTCACATTTTTTATGGTTAGAAGGAAAATTGGAAATATTCATGAGTCATTTTAGTTGTCTGAGCTTAATGCCAGTTTTTCTCTCCAAGGTTAGATGCTTAATTTAAACCCAGAGTATCACTTATCTTCACGTGTCTGATTTTGATTTTTATGATGTGACAGAATATAATGATACAGTCCCTTGGAGGAAAAATTTTAATGAGCATTTGTGGGTGATAAGCATGTTGCTGCCATCAGCTTTTCTGTCGATGCTTCTGATAGTGGTGATACTGCACCAGACCTCAGCTCCCTCAAACATCACCATTGCAATCATTTCAAGATTGAACTCTCAATTTCCATGTCAAACTCAGGGAGGCAGACATTCCTGGTTCTCTCTCCAGCTCTGTCATTTATTAACAGAATGATTTGGGGCTGGTTACTTCACCTCTTTGAACTTAAGTTTTTCTTATCTATAAATTTGGGAAGAATAATTTACATACCTGTTGACTGTTAAACACTTAATATGTTTCCTGGAAAAGAATTGCTGCTCAGTAAATGGTAGCTACTGAGCCACTTAATGACGTAGGTGTTTTCTTTGCAATATAACTTCCCCAGTGAAAAGTCCCTATCTTAGTTCATTTGATATCTCTTTTATTGATTTGCAGTGCAAATGTATATGGCTCTCAAAAGTTGGAGCTCCCAGAAACTACCATGGGAAGTTGGGACAACGAGAGTAAAACAAATTTAGGAATAGAATGGATTAAAATTTATTAGGTCTCAAAAAACTTCCAACACACAATAGCATGAATAAAGGGAAAGAAAGGGCTCCTATGCAATTTAAGTAAAAGTGCATGAAAATATATGACTATATATGGAGGGAAAGTGTATTATATGGAGAGTTCTAAAAATGATGGTAGATTATGTAAGAGGAAAAGGAAATCATCTTTTTAAAAAATATAATGCCATTAAAAATGCAGTGATCTTTAAGATATAGAGCAGCCACCTGGAGGAAAATTGTTAAAACAGTTTGACAAGCTTATGAATAAAAATGGTTGAAAAACTTATATTTGCAAGTTTGATAAATTTTGTAACCTTCCTGAAGGTTACAAAGGTTGACAAGCTCATTAGCCAGTCAAGTCATATTAAATTGGTGGAGTTGATTGAATTGTGAAAACACTTAAGTAGAGGTGGAAGAGGAATTTCTATAGAAAAAGAAAATGGTAGTGATACATTTAGAGATGTACTTGGAGATGTACAATTCAAATACATGAAGTAGAAAATGGAAACTGAAAGAACAGACCTGTATATAATAGAGTGAGGCATAAGTTGAAGCCAGAATTTCTGTCATGTGTGTCTTTTACCTTAGATCCTGGGATTCCTATTTTAATGTCAGTAAAAGAATATAATTTTTAAGAACAGGAAAATAATCATGCTTTGCCTGTTGGCCAGGCCATTAGTCAAACATCCTATTTTCTCTTTCAGACTCTAGAATTAAAGAAAGAGGCCGGGCATGGTGACTCAAGCCAGTAATCCCAGCACTTTGGGAGGCTGAGGCGGGTGGATCACGAGGTCAGGAGACCGAGACTATCCTGGGCTAACACGGTGAAACCCCATCTCTACTAAAAATACCAAAAACTAGCTGGGCGTGGTGGCGTGTGCTTGTAATCCCAGCTACTCGGGAGGCTGAGGCGGGAGAATTGCTCGAACCTGGGAGGCAGAGGTTGCAGTGAGCTGAGATCACACCACTGCACTCCAGCCTGGGCGACAGATCAAGATTCCGTCTCAAAAACAAACAATCAAACAAACAAAAAGAATTAAAACTGGAGAAAATTCAGAGAAGAGTAGTAGAAATAGTCAAAGGCTTATAAAAAATAAGGCCCATAAATGAGGAAAGGGTAAAGGAGTTGTGAATCTTTAATTTGAAGAAAAGTTTAAGAGACCACTTAACTGTCTGAATATGCAAAAAATTGTCAAGAAAAGAAGGCTGAACAACTGTTTTCTTTCTCACAAAGAACTGAAGAAAGAGAAACAGTTCAAGAGCTACTTAGATTAGATGAAAAGAAGTATTTCTTGCAAAAGAGAAATCCATATGAGTCATGCTTACTGTTCAACATATCTTTGTTTGGCTGTGTTCTTAGGAGGTAGGGTACAAGCCTTCACTGAACATTTGTTGACTTAGAGTCTTGGACACAATATTAGCACTCAGCCTCAAAATTAGCATTTTTATCTCGCACTATTCTTTATTTCTTGGTTCTTCTATGCACATTACTCTCTCTTTTGTGTCTCCACCCCCTGTTTCTCTCTTCTAAGTTATAAGGTAGTACAGAGCACAAAACAAATTCTTGTGGCCACTAAGAGACTTTCCAGGAACTGATCAATTAGCAGACTATGGAGGAAAATCTTTTCCCACAATGTTTATGAAAATACTTGGAATCACTGTTTACCTCAAAAGATAACAATTTTTACTTAAAAATGGTAGGACCTTTCTTAAAGAAATCTTCACAGTAGTTAATGGGAAATGGCTCCAAATAAAATTTTGTGCCACAGTGATGGTTTAGTAAATTGGTTAACTGTATTTCCTATCATTAATGTGGAAAAAATATATATTTTTAAAGTGGGAGCTGCTGAGTTAATAGGGTTTAAAAGCTAAGTATATAGAAAATACTAAGCACTTTTATAGTGGAATAGTTAAGTGAGTAATAACAAATTAACATATGCCCAACGCATTGAGGTAAAAATAGTGGAGGGGAGGAGCCAAGTGATCATTTGGTTGACCCTTTACTCAATCACAAACACTAAATTGGGACTGGTACAGAATTTTAAGTGCCTTTTTCTTGGGCCTTACTGTTGTAATCTTTCTTTAGAACGGTTTGATATACCCTTTGGAGGGCTGGCCTCTGTGGATGTTGTCTGTGCCAAATTACAACACAGAACAAGGGACTGTTCTGTTTCATTTACTGAGAATAGTGCTTAATAAGTACTATTTGACAACATGCTGAATTAAGAGAATGTTATAAGGATGTTTCACAAAGGAAAGTGAGTAAAACATCTGATGTTTACAAGTTCTATTTATATATATGTTGATAGCAATATAAAGCCATGCTTAAAGCTTTATTTTTAAATTTTTATTTAATACATGTGAATATGTATGCTGAGAGAAAATGATCTCATCTGGTTCCAAATATATACAGTATCTTGATATAGTTAATGCTATTTCAGAATCCAGTTTTTTTTGTTGTTTGGTTTTTTGCCTTGTTGGTTTGAAATGTATCAGACCCTGGTAAATTGATTTACGTTAACCAAAACACATGCAATACTGATTTGCAACCGGGAATATAGTCATGATTCTTTCCTTTCACTTGCCTTTGACTTTTATCTTATCCTAATATCTTATCTTACTTTATCATCATAAGTAACTATGGTTTCCTTTCTAAAAATGGAATCCCAAGTTGAAATTATACTGTGGGATCATATATTTATGTAACCGTGTTTGCACAAGTATAAAAAAGATCTGTGAGATTTAATGTCCAATGGAGAAATAACTGTCAAAAATTTTTATAATACTTCTATTTATACTTCAGTGTCACAGGCTTAGCATTTATGTTGAATTTAATTCATCATAGATTTTAGCATATGGAAGTACTCCTGTGAGACACTTGCTTTTTTTTTTTTCTGGCTGGTGGGGAGATGGGGGTCTCACTATGTTCTCTGGGCTGGATCGCAGCAGCATGATCTCAGTTCACTGCAGCCTCTATCTCCTGGGCTCAAGTGATCCTCTCACCCCAGCCTCTTGAGGAGCTGGGACTACAGGCATGTACCACCACATCCAGCTAATTTTTGAATTTTTTTTGTAGAGACAGGGTCTCTTTATGTTGCCCTGGCATGTCTCAGACTCTTGGGCTCAAGTGATCCTCCCACTTCAGCCTCCCAAAGTGCTAGGATTACAGGTGTGAGCCACCATGCCCAGCTCCATTTCTTAATAGACATCTATACTCTATAGTCAGGTCTAACATATGAAATAATTAACTTGTGTGTTGAAGTACAAAATACTATAATTTGTCATTTAAGGGAATGTAAGATTTAGATGATCCTTAATGCTCCTTGCAACTTAAAGATTCTGCGCCTCACTGACGTTAAGCTTGTATGAGACCTGTAGTCTGTTGGAATACATAAGCAGCTGCCTGTGTTACACAGTTGTGAGGTGGTAATATACTTGTGATGATTTTAAAGAGCTCTTTCTATTGTCACTGACAACAGAGTCTAAGAAAAACCTGAATTATTGCATAATCAAATAAGACCTAATTTCCCTTTCTTTTTCTTACCTTGGAGCTGGTATAATTCTCTTGCACAGAGCAAAGGCCAACATCAAAACAAGAGAAAGATATAAGGATAAACAGAATAATGAAGTAGTGACTAGTTTTCACATTCACATGTGAATGTATTTTTCAGTGTAAACTAAAACATAGTGTAAACTAATACCTATTTCATATTTTATTAATATCTGGCACTTGTGTAACATTTATGATTTGCAGAATGCTCTCACTGATGTTCTCATTTAATCCTCATAACAGTTTCTGAAAGAAGTACTGTTCTCACATCGCAGATGAGAAAACTGCCTGCAAGCAGTTTAATCAGGAGCACACAGCTAGTGTCCCACTGGAATTCTTACTCTGCCCATAGACTTAAAAGCCAGCCCTTCTCTCTGTTGCTTCACTGTGTTCCCCTGGGCTGGGTTTGCTTTGATACTACATTGAGATACACAATTTAGGTCAATGTTTATGTGCTCATATGAAATTTGAGTATCTCATTTATTTTATAGAATAGGCGATTTAGTTTTCCCTCTCAGATGGTATAATGTTTGAGACCAAGAAGCAGGAGGCCGAGTTCTAGTCTTGCTGTCGCCACTGACTGATCAGGAACCTTGTACATATTTCCTCAATTATAAAAGGAAAGCACTTGACCTTTAGTTTCTCCAAGCAGACTTCTAGTTCTAAAATTCTGTGATTCCAAATTTGTTCTTGTTCCACTCAAAGTTGTTGCTTTAAAAAACTCCAACCTCATATGATTAGACCAAATTTTTACATATGTTGTTTCTAATTGTCTAAGCCAGGAATTTTTAGGCTTCAAGTTTTGGATAGTGTAGTAATAAAATCCCTTTTTAATGATAAAGAAAACCTTTCTTCCAAAAAATTCTATTCTGTAATAAATAGTGTTCCTTAGTAAAGCTCTCATCCTGAATTTGGAGAATGGAAAATGACAGCATAATGCCAGTTACACAGGAAACTTAATCCAGGAAACATACATTGAGCATCATTATTAAGTACTGGAGTTGCTAAGACCTTGAGCTCTCAGCCTAGTGTGGAAGGCAGACCTACAAATACGAAATGTCACTGCAGTTAAAAGAAACCTGGGGAAGAGGTGTACCAGGGCCAAGGGAGTGAAAGGAAAGAATCAGTTCCATCTGTTGAATGGAAGATGGGAGGCATGCCAGCAAAGGCTTCACTGGGAATGGGAGTTAGAAGTCAGAGAAAAACTGGAAACCATCATTCTCAGCAAACTATGGCAAGGACAAAAAACCAAACACCGCATGTTCTCACTCATAGGCGAGAATTGAACAATGAGAACACAGCGACACAGGAAGGGGAACATCACACACCAGGGCCTGTTGTGGGGTTGGGGAAGGGGGGAGGGATAGCATTAGGAGATATACCTAATGTTAAATGAAGAGTTAATGGGTGCAGCACACCAACATGGCACATGTATACATATGTAACAAACCTGCATGTTGTGCACATGTACCCTAAAACTTAAAACTTAAAGTATAAAAAAAAAAGTAGGAGAAAGGATAATTTTAGGCAGAGGGAAGTGTGTACAGAGGGGCAGAAGCTTTAAGGTTTATAGTTCTGAGAACCTCAGGTAGTTTGTTTATATCACCTGCTGGAAGAGGATGATGTGCTGGAAAGGTAACTTGTGTCTAGCTTGGGAAGGTTTTGTGTGGATTTGGGAGTATCCTAGGCATTAAAGAGACTGTTAAGAAGGGAAGGAAAAACAGATCTCTTGCAAATATGACAGAGGAGACTCTCCAATTTCTAGCTTGGGTAATATGGGGGAAGGGCTTTCTAGGCAACAGAATAAGCGTGAGAAAAAAAACATGGAGGCCTGAGATAGACCCTGGAGCTGTCTTTATCTGTGCACCTTTTTTTGATTCTGCCTTCTGATATACGTTACCAGTGTTACTGCTGTGGCTGGGTCCTAAAGGGTTTCATGCTGCACCCCACGGCGTTTGGACTTTTTTCTTAGAGTAGTGAAGAGCCATTGAAGGTTTCAAAGCAGGGGAATGATGTGAGCAGATTGGCATTAGGAAGGTTCTCATAGCACCAGAATGGGAACCAGTTTAGATGGATGTTAGAATGTAATCAGCTGGGAGCTGCTGGGAGCCTGTATTAAGCCTAGAACAAAGGGGATGTGCAGAAGAGAATGGACCTGAGGGACAATGAGTTAGAACAATGACAATCATTTTAGCCAAGCTTTGTTGAGTGCTTACTGTGTACCAAGTGCCTGGTCCAAGTGCTTTGCATTTACACACACATTTAATCCAGCCTACAACCTTACAAAGTAGACACTATTATTATTAGTATCTGCATTTTACTGATGAGGGAAGTGGGTTAAGTAACTTACTGGGCCTGTGCTTGACAATTATGTATAACTTTAAATATTATACAACAGCTATCAGGATTAGTGAAGCTTAATATAGTTTCATTGGCCCTTTCATAATTGCCCTCCATCCAAAGGACTCTGAATGGGACTTGAGTTTATGTCCTTTCTGAATCTCCCTGGGTATATTTATAAATGTTACTCTAAATAGGTAGATGCAGCGCAGATACTGAGGAAGGAACTCCAGCTGCTGCATAAGTGAGAACAGTCTGAGGTGCCGCAAGATTGTTGGATTCTCTGTAATGAAGACAGAGCCACGGCAGAGAACGTTCATGTTTATGAAACCAATGCAGTTAAGTACTATGTGGCTCTCTTGCATCCAGCTTTGGGATTCTATTTTTTTTTTTTTTTCATTTTTGAAGAGAAGGGGGTCTCACTGTGTTGCCCAGGCTGGTCTCAAACTCCTGGACTCAAGCTGTCCGCCTGCCTTGGCCTCCTAAAACATTGGAATACAGGCATGAGCCACTGCGTCAGCCGGGATTCTGTTCTTTGCAAATTAAATGGAAACGTTTTTTACAAACTTCCCATGGGTATATGGTTTCCCAGTGGTGGTCATTGGGATGGATGAGTGCCCCAGGGTGGCAATTCAGGGTCAGGAATAGTGAATCCATAAAGTGGGGGAGTCAGTGCCCAGCAGCAGTTGAAACCATTAGATGCATCCCGGGAGGTAGAGATGTGTAGGAGTTTAAATCATAGTGCCCATTTCCCTCAATATCAGTGGCCAGCAGGGTTTTTTTTTTTCCTATTTTTAAATATTTTCTGGTCCCTAATATAGTCATTTTGGCAAAAAAACAAAAAGACTTCCCTTTCTTCTTTCCCCTTCCTGTCTAGGGTTGAAAAGTACAGTCAAAGGAGCAAAGAAAGGAAGTCTCAAGACCTCAGCATGACAGATAGAGTAATAATTTTGAAACTATTTAAAGCTATGATAATTATGCTCAGTTAACTTTAAAAAGCCAAGTGAAATTGTTGAAAATTATTTCAAACTTTATTCTTAAAGACTAATAGGTTTTGGCTGCATTCATTTCTCAATTAAATTTATCTGAGTTTAAGATTCTGTTTATCTCCAGAGCCTGTGGAGTGTGTTCTTTTGGCCTAGTGGCACTGTAAATGAAGCAGGCTATACTGTTACGTGGCTCTTCCACTCACCTTAGGCGAGGTGACAACTGCTTTCGTATCATAATATCTCAAAGTATAAATGGGTTTCGGTTGCTTTTTACCCATAAAGTCTTTTTGAAAGGTACTGTATAAACACAACACTTGACCCATCATTCTCTTTAATTCTGTATCTACTCTGTACTGAAATAACGAGCTTCCTTCCTGTATTAGCATGTGTGATAGGCAGAATTCTGAAATGGCTCCCTTGTACTCATCCCCTGGTGTTATGCCAGATTATGTGTATGGCAAAGGGGGATTTAAATTTTACAGATGTAATTTTTAGGGTCCCTAATTGGTTGAACTAGTGTCTTAGTTCAGGCTGCTGTAACAAAGTGCCATAGACCAGGTGGCTTATAAACAACAGAAATTTATTTCTCACAGTTCTGGAGGCTGGCATTCCAGGATCACAGTGCCAGTATGGTCAGGTTCTGGTGAGGGCCCTCTTGCAGATTGGAGGCTGCCAACCTCCTTGAATCCTCACGTGGCAGGAAGAGAATGAGAGAGGTGCCTGGGGTCCCTTCACTAATCTTACCCATGAGGGCTCTACCCTCTACTTACTTCCCAGATGCCCCACTTCCTTATACCATCACCCTGGAAGTCAGGATTTCAACATGCACTTTGGGAGAAAACAAGCATTCAGCTTATTATCCATGGAGGGAGACTATCTTGGTGGCCCGACCTAATCAGGCAAGCCCTTTGAATGGAAGAGATTTCCCTAGTTGGTCACAGAAGAGAAAGTCAGAGATATTTGAAGCCTGAGAGGGATTTAGCATGAGACAGGTTTTCTGGTGCTGAGAAGGGGATGGGGCCACTGGGCAAGGACCTGAGAATAGGAATCAAGAGCAGTTTCCAGTGAATACCCAGCAAAAGGACAGGGACTTCAGTCTTAACAACTGCAACTGAATTCTTCCAACAAGAATGAGCTTAGAAGAGGACCCTGAATTCCAGATGAGAATGCAGCCAGCTGACGCCTTGATTTCAGCCTGAGTGGAGAGCCCAGCCTTGGAGTGCTAGACGTCTGACTATATTTAAGCTGCTAAGTTTGTGGTAACTTGTTACACAGCATTACAAAACTAACACGTTATCCTTCTCTTCATTTCTGTCTACTTACGCTGATTATTGGTCTTGAGTCTTGCAGTGTTAGCATCTCTCAAGCTTACAATATGTTTTCCATCTGTGGCCTTAAGAGCCACTGTTGCGTTAAATGAAAGAGAACCCTACTCGTTTCTTTCCCCTTGTCTCTTTTTGAAACCCCCAGTTCGATCTTATTGGTTCTATTGTATTATGATACTTGGTATGGATTTCAACCTCTGGGGCAGGTAGGAAAGGCCTTAGCCTCTCAGTTGAGAGGTTACTTGTTAAATATCATCATGCTTAAAGTGATTTGAGGATACAGGTTTCTTTCCCTTTTACTTTACTGAGTTAATTCTTGGTGATTTTATGTCATGCTCACGTTATCCTTTGGAGTGGGTCTGTTATTCCCATTTCATATGTAGCAAACAAGCAAAAGAACAGTATGTGGCTATTCCATAACAAGGTGGAATTGAGCCCTAGAACAGAGAGGTGTGTGGGATGAGTAGAGGGTGTTTACAGTACACAGCAACCAGGAGCCGTTGACTTTGGCTCATGGACTTTGACACCATGGACATCTGAGACTCATCACGGAACTCTGTAAGCATAGCAAGAAGAAAGTCGCTAATTTTGACTATCTCACAAGGGGGAAAAGAACACGGGTTGCTCTATTATATGTATGTGATTATTCTATTTTAGTCTCCTTGGTGTTTTTAGACACTTTATCTACTTTCCTCTTGCATCTAGAAAATATTGAAATGGAAATATTGAAAAATATGAGATGGAAGAAAATATTTTCTCTCATTTTATTATGTTGGTGGAGAATTGGAATGGGGTAGAAAGTTTTCCATATTCATTTTTTTAATTTTGTGCGTACATAGTAGGTGTATATGTTTATAGGCTACATGAGATATTTTGGTACAGGCATGCAGTGTATAATAATCACATGGAAAATTGGGTATCTCCTCAAGTGTTTCTCCTTTGTGTTACAAATAATCCAATTATACTTTTAGTTATTTTTAAATGTACAATTAAATTATTAATATTATTGACTATAGTCCCCCTGTTGTTCTATAAATACTAGGTCTTATTCTTTTTTACTTTTTTTGTGTGTGTCCATTAACCATCCCCACCTTCCTCCCACCCCCACTACCTTTCCCAACCTCTTGTAACCATGCTTCTATGTGCTGTCTTCATGAATTCAGTTGTTTTGATTTTTAGATCCCACAGATAAGTGAGAACATACAATGTCTGTCTTTCTGTGCCTGGCTTATTTCACTTAACATAATGACCTCCAGTTCCACCCATGTTCTTGTAGATGACAGGATCTCATTCTTTTTTATGGCTGAATAGTACTCCATTGTCTATAAGTTCCACATTTTCTTTATCCATTCATCTGCTGATGGATGCTTAGGTTGCTTCCGCATCTTGGCTGTGATGAACAGAGCTGCAGGAAACATGGGCGTGTAAATACCTCCTTGTTATACTGATTTCCTTTCCTTTCTATCTGTACCCAGCAGTGGGATTGCTGGATCATATGTTAGCTCTATTTTTAGTTTTTTGAGGAACCTCCAAACTGTTCTCCAAAGTGGTTGTACTAATTTACGTTACTACCAACAGTGTATGAGGGTTCCCTTTTTTCCATGCCCTTGCCGGCATTTGTTACTGCCTGACTTGGATAAAAGCCATTTTAACTGGGGTGAAATGATATTTCATTGTAGTTTTGATTTGCATTTCTCTGATGATCAGTGATGTTGAGCACTTTTTCATATATCTGTTTGCCATTTGTATATCTTCTTCTGAGAAATGTCCATTCAAATATTTTGCCCATTTTTAAATTGGATTACTAGATTTTTTTCCTATAGAGTTGTTTGAGCCCCTTATGCATTCTGGTTATGAATCCCTTGTCAGATGAGGAGTTTGCAAATATTTTCTCCCATTCTGTGGGTTGTCTTCACTTCATTGATTCTTTTCTTTGCTGTGCAAAAAGCCTTCTTACTTTATGTGACCCCATTTGTCCATTTTTGCTTTGGTTGCCGGTGCTTGTGGGGTATCACTCAAGAAATCTACAGTCCAGTGTCCTGGAGACTTTCCCCAGTGTTTTCTTTTAGTAGTTTCATAGATTGAGGTCTTAGATTTCAATCTTTAATCCATTCTGATTTGAATTTTGTATATGGCAAGAGATAAGGGTCTAGTTTCATTCTTCTGCGTATGAATGTCTAGTTTTCCCAGCACTGTTTATTGAAGAGACTGTGTTTCCCCCAGTGTATTTTCTTGGAACCTTTGTCAAAAATGAGTTCATTGTAGGTGTGTGGATTTGATTCTGGGTTCTCTGTCCTGTTCCATTTGTCTATGTGTCTGTTGTTATGCCAGTACCATGCTGTTTTGGTTACTGTAGCTCTGTAGTATTAATATAATTTGAAGTCAGTTAGTGTGATGCCTCCAGTTTGTTCTTTTGCTCAGGATAGCTTTGATTATTCTGGGTCTTTTGTGGTTCCATATAAATTTTAGGATTGTTTTTCTGTTTCTGTGAAGAATGACATTGGTATTTTGGTAGGGATTGTGTTGAATCTGCAGATTGCTTTGAGTAATATGGGCATTTTAACAACATTGATTCTTTCAATCCATGAACAGGGAATATCTTTTATTTTTTTGTGTCCTCTTCATTTCTTTCCTCAGTGTTTTATAGTTTTCATTGTAGAGATCTTTTACTTCTTTGGTTAAGTTAATTTCTAGGTATTTAATTTTATTTGTGGCTATTGTAAGTGATCGCTTTTTTGATTTATTTTTCAGATTGTTCACTGTTGGCATATAGAAATGCCATTGATTTTTGTATGTTGATTTTGTATCCTGGAACTTTACCAAATTTGTTTATCAGTTCTAATAATTTTTTGGTGGAGCCTTTAGTTTTTTCCAGATATAAAATCATATATCATCTGCAAAAGGACCATTTGACTTTTTCCTTTCCAATTTGGATGCTCTTTATTTCCTTCTCTTGTGTGCTTGTTCTAGTTAGGACTTCCAGTACTATGTTGAATAACAGTGGTGACAATGGACTTACTTGTTGTGTTCCAGATTTTAGAGGAAAGGCTTTCAGTTTTCCCCCATTCAGTAGGTTACTAGCTGTGGGTCTGTCATATATGGCTTTATGATGTTGAGGTATGTTCCTTCTATACCCAGTTTTTTGAGGTTTTTTTATCATAAAGGTATGTTGAGCTTTATCAAATGATTTTTCAGCATCAGTAAAATGACCATATGGTTTTTGTCCTTCATTCTGTTGATATGATGTGTCACATTGATTGATTTCCGTGTGTTGAACTGTGCTTGCATCCCTGGGATAAATCCCCCTTGGTTATGATGAATGAGCTTCTCAGTATATTGTTGAATTTAGTTTGCTAGTATTTTGTTGAAGATTTTCTGCATCAATATTCATCAGAGATAATGGCCTGTTTTTGTTTGTTTGTTTGTTTGTTTGTTTTGATGTGCCTTTGTCTGGTTTGGGTATCAGGGTAACACTGACCTTGTAGAATGAGTTTGGAAGTATTCCCTCTTCCTCTATTTTTTTTCAGAACAGTTTGAGTATGATTGGTATTAGTTTTTCTTTAAATGCTTGTTAGAATTCAACAGTGAAGCCATCAGGTCCAGGGCTTTTATTTACTAGAAGACTTTTATTATGGCTTTGATCTCGTTACTTGTTATTAGTCTGTTCTTGTTTTGATTTCTTCTTAATTCACTCTTGGTAGATTGTATATGTCTGGGAATATATCCATTTATTCTGGATTTTCCAATTTATTGGCATATAAGTTGCTCATAGTAGCCACTAATGATCCTTTGAATTTCTGTGGTATCAGTTGTAATATCTCCTTTTTTTATTTCAAATTTTATTTATTTGAGTCTTCTCCCTTTTTTTCTTAGTCTGCTAAAGGTTTGTCAGTTTTGTTTATCTTTTCAAAAAGCCAACTTTTCGTTTAATTGGTATTTTGTATTGTGTTCTATATTTCAAATTCATTTATTTCTGCTCTGATTTTTATTTCTTATACTAATTTTGGGTTTTGTTTGCCCATGCTTTTCTAGTTCTTTAAGATGCATCACTGGGTTATTTGAAGGTTTTTTTCCTTTTTGATATAGGCATTTATAGCTATTAACTTCCCTTTTAACACTGCTTTTGCTGTATCCCGTAGGTTTTAGTATGTTGTGTTTCCATTGTCGTTTGTTTCAATACATTTTTACATTTTCTTCTTAATTTCTTCATTGACCCATTGGTCACTCAGGAGCATGTTGTTTCATTTCCATGTGTTTATATGGTTTCCAAAATTTTTCTTGTTATTGATTTGTAGGTTTATTCAGTTGTGGTCAGAAGAAGGTGCTTGATATTATTTCAGTTTTTTTGCATGTTTTAAGACTTGTTTTGTGACCTAACCTTTTTTTTTATGTAACCACATACTTCAGGTAAACTTCTTCAATTAGATTGCCCTTGTCTGAAAAAAATAACTCATATGTTTATATATGCTTAATGATATTCCAACTGTCTCTCTTTCTTCGGTCTGTATACTCATCTATCTGTCTGTCTGAGAAAGTTTAGAAAATAGTCACTGGATCAAGTTGACACAGTGATTTGCTGATGGATCTTGGTGAAGGAGAGTCCTTACATTTATTGAGCCAAGCTGTACTGATCCCTTATTTTGTCATTGTCTGTGAAAACCTTAAAATGTTATTCCAATTTAATGTAATTTAAACTTTGCAAATAGCGACCTTTTATCTATAATTTTTTGTATACTTTCAGTCATTAAAATAGATTTTTCATTTAAAAAAAGTATATGTGTGTACAATACACTTGTGAACTCTCATGGCTATAGCTTGCCTCCCCTCAAGCCAGATAAATATTCCATGTCTCAGATGACAAGTTTAGGAAATATTCCTATGTAAGTATGACTAAGTGTCAAAGTGATTTTCTTTTGTTACATTTTGCCCCAGAAAATTATACTAGTAATTTATTCATAAGCAATATAATTGCTTGGGAGTGTAACTAACCACAGTACCAATTTAATTGATGATATCTTTCAGTCAATATCTGTAAACTCCTGGGGTTTGTTTTGGTGGGTTTTTTTTCCTCATTATCTTTAGAGTTTTAAAAAGAAATGATAGCTGTTTTGTTTTCCAGTTCAATTTTAAGAAGTTGCACCCTACTTAACAGAGACACTTTTTTACTTCTTTTAGGCCTATTATATCTTTATAGACCTATCTATAAAACTTAATGATCTGGTTTTTTAGTGTTTGCTTATTTCCATTATTTTGATATAGTGTCCTTTCATGTTGAACTTTTTTATTGTGTGTATTTTGAAGTCATAGATGTAGAATGTCACCTAGCCACTGTCTTCAGGGCAACCCACCTGGCAAAATAAAATAATCTTCATTTTTCTTATTAACCCTCTGTTATGTGTACAGAGAATATTAAAATTCAGTGGTTTTATATATTGATAATGGAAACATCATTAGGTTTTCAGCATTGACATTTGTATGAGTCTTTGTTTCTTTCAAGTTTTATGTGGTTTTGTTTTTAAGGCTAAGCGGTATTTTTGGAAATCTACTTAATGTGAGTGACTCCCCCAAACTGTCAAATATGTAGTTGAAATATTTTTCTGGCCTTTCTGCCCGTGGACGCCGCCGAAGAAGCATCGTTAAAGTCTCTCTTCACCCTGCCGTCATGTCTAAGTCAGAGTCTCCTAAAGAGCCCGAACAGCTGAGGAAGCTCTTCATTGGAGGGTTGAGCTTTGAAACAACTGATGAGAGCCTGAGGAGCCATTTTGAGCAATGGGGAACGCTCACGGACTGTGTGGTAATGAGAGATCCAAACACCAAGCGCTCCAGGGGCTTTGGGTTTGTCACATATGCCACTGTGGAGGAGGTGGATGCAGCTATGAATGCAAGGCCACACAAGGTGGATGGAAGAGTTGTGGAACCAAAGAGAGCTGTCTCCAGAGAAGATTCTCAAAGACCAGGTGCCCACTTAACTGTGAAAAAGATATTTGTTGGTGGCATTAAAGAAGACACTGAAGAACATCACCTAAGAGATTATTTTGAACAGTATGGAAAAATTGAAGTGATTGAAATCATGACTGACCGAGGCAGTGGCAAGAAAAGGGGCTTTGCCTTTGTAACCTTTGACGACCATGACTCCGTGGATAAGATTGTCATTCAGAAATACCATACTGTGAATGGCCACAACTGTGAAGTTAGAAAAGCCCTGTCAAAGCAAGAGATGGCTAGTGCTTCATCCAGCCAAAGAGGTCGAAGTGGTTCTGGAAACTTTGGTGGTGGTCGTGGAGGTGGTTTCGGTGGGAATGACAACTTCGGTCATGGAGGAAACTTCAGTGGTCGTGGTGGCTTTGGTGGCAGCCGTGCTGGTGGTAGATATGGTGGCAGTGGGGATGGCTCTAATGGATTTGGTAATGATGGAAGCAATTTTGGAGGTGGTGGAAGCTACAATGATTTTGGCAATTACAACAATCAGTCTTCAAATTTTGGACCCATGAAGGGAGGAAATTTTGGAGGCAGAAACTCTGGCCCCTATGGCGGTGGAGGCCAGTACTTTGCAAAACCACGAAACCAAGGTGGCTATGGCGGTTCCAGCAGCAGCAGTAGCTGTGTCAGTGGCAGAAGATTTTAATTAGGAAACAAAGCTTAGCAGGAGAGGAGAGCCAGAGAAGTGACAGGGAAGCCACAGGTTACAACAGATTTGTGAACTCAGCCAAGCACAGTGGTGGCAGGGCCTAGCTGCTACAAAGAAGACATGTTTTAGACAAATACTCATGTGTATGGGCAAAAAACTCGAGGACTGTGTTTGTGACTAATTGTATAACAGGTTATTTTAGTTTCTGTTCTGTGGAAAGTGTAAAGCATTCCAACAAAGCGTTTTAATGTAGATTTTTTTTTTTTGCACCCATGCTGTTGATTGCTAAATGTAATAGTCTGATCGTGACGCTGAATAAATGTCTTTTTTTTTTTAATGTGCTGTGTAAAGTTAGTCTACTCTGAAGCCATCTTGGTAAATTTCCCCAACAGTGTGAAGTTAGAATTCCTTCAGGGTGATGCCAGGTTCTATTTGGAATTTATATACAACCTGCTTGGGTGGAGAAGCCATTGTCTTCGGAAACCTTGGTGTAGTTGAACTGATAGTTACTGTTGTGACCTGAAGTTCACCATTAAAAGGGATTACCCAAACAAAGTCATGGAATGGTTATAAAAGTGATTGTTGGCACATCCTATGCAATATATCTAAATTGAATAATGGTACCAGATAAAATTATAGATGGGAATGAAGCTTGTGTATCATCCATTATCATGTGTAATCAATAAACAATTTAATTCTCTTGAATGAAAAAAAAAAGAAATATTTTTCTGAAGAATATATATTTGATATAACTTCTGGTACAATGAAGTATATTTTATAATTTGATTCTTTTGTATTTTATGTTTGTTTTATTTATCACATAATAAAGTTCAAAGGAAGCTATGTCAGATTTGAAACTGACACTGAAAATCCCTAACGTTTGACTTGTGGCTCAGTTTATCCTCTTGAAATAAAATTGTTGGGTTTTATGTGACATTAACACCCTGATGAAAATCACTCCTTAATTTTGTTAGTTGAATTGAAACATAAAAGTTCAAGTCATTGCACCTTAGTGCATTTTCTTATTAGACACAGAAGCTGAATTATTTACCTGAGCCAGCCTAATAAGGTAAAGGGAACTGATTGAAGAAGAAAATAAAACCGAAGTCACCAGGCACGGTGGCTCATGCCTGTAATCCCAGCACTTTGGGAGGCTGAGGTGGGCAGATCACTTGAGGTCAGGAGTTCGAGACCAGCCTGGCCAATGTTGTGAAACCCCATTTTGACTAAAAATACAAAAATTAGCTGGGCGTGGTGGCACTCACCTGTAATCCCATCTACTTGGGAAGCTGAAGCACGAGAATCGCTTGAACCCGGGAGACGGAGGTTGCAGTGAGCCGAGATTGCTCCACTGCACTCCAGCCTAGGTGATGGAGTGAGACTTTGTCTCAAAACAAAACAGAACAAAAAACCGAAGTCGTATTTGTTGAGAGACTTCTATCTATACAGTACTATATTGAGTCCTTTATATTTGTTCTCATAAAAGCATCTCAACTTCCTTATGTAATTATTAATACTATTATTTTAAATGTGAGAACACTGAGGCTCAAGAAGTTATTTGCCCATAATCATATAGTTAATTAATAATAGAACCATGCTTTGGGAGGCCAAGATGGGAGGATCTCTTGAGACCAGGAGTTTAAAACCAGCCTGGGCAACATAGGGAGAGATCCTGTCTCTACAAAAAATAAAAAACATTATCCAGTGTGGCGGTGCATACCTGTAGTACCAGCAATTTGGAAGGCTAAGGCAGGAGAATCATTGAGCCCAGGAGTTCATGGCTGCATTGAGCTATGATCATGCCAATGCACTCCAGGCTGGGCAACAGAGTGAGACTGTCTCTAAAAATATATAAATAAATATAAGTAAACCACAATTTCAACTAAATCTGGCTGTAAATCCAATCCCAGGCTATTTCTGAGAGAAGGCACACTGTGTCTCACCTACCAGGTGGAATAATAAATACATTTAAGTTACTGGAAGCAGAGAGTTGGGGATGGAGAGGTTGGGATCTTAGAAACATGCCTGGTCATTTGGCATCTGATGTCTAGTAGAGCTTGAGATGACACCTGTCTGCTTATGTGATTCTTTTACTTTCTCTGTCTTTTGTGTGCCTTTTATGGTGTGAGCATCTCTTCACACAGTGTTATAAAATACACACATTGCACAAACCAAATGCATCATCTTACGACCTGTCCAACAGTGGAGGATAAACTGGATGTATCAGACTTATTGAGAGGAATGTCTCTATATTGTAGTTTAATGGATTTTCAAAGAATTTTTTATGTAAATCTGAGTCCCCTCTCTCACCTGCCTGCCTGAAATATTCCATGGTATATGTCAGGCCTTTTGTTGGAGATTTAGTATATTATTAATGTTTGCAGAAATACTGGTACTACAGTTGCTTATCTGTTTTTCTGAAAGTTGCTTGGCGTAGAAATCTTATCTTTTAAATATTAGTTACCGTGCAGTATTTCAGGGTGTAAAATTTCAGATTTGAATTAAGTAGGCATACTTCTGTTTCATACAGCAGGAGTCTATTATATGTAATTCCTGGTCATTCTACTGTTCAGAAAGGAGTCTTTTGTCCAAGGGTTCATTTGAAAAGAGGTAATAATATATCCCTAATCTTTTTTCTCTTTTGTTTCATGCATTCCTTTTTGCTTAGATTTCACCATGAAGTTCTTTGACTTCATTACCACATATTGCTTTGTCTAGATTAATCTCGATTTTCTTCTTTTCTTGCTGGGATTTCACAGTAAACTATAAAATGTAGAAACAAAATTATTTCACTTGCTTGGAGTTCAAGGTTATAGTCTCTGGGCCTTTGAATAAAGTACTCACCCAAAAATAGGATTTTAATATAGCTTTGTTGATGTTTAAGGTAGGAAGAGATCAATAGAAAATACTTGAAAAGAAGTTCTTTTTCTTATATACTCTGCTTTCTTTGAGGGGCTTAAATGTTTAAAATCTGAGTGCTTAATTTATATTTAGACTTACTTGAACATACACCAATTTATACCTAAGATAGTTCATGCAGAAAGCAGTTTTTACCCACCTGCTCTGTTGCCTAGTGGTCTTGTGGACTGCAAACAGCAGAAAAAGAGATGATATTGAGCCAAAAGAGCTGATGGGTTAACTGGGGAGATGAGGGTTTCTGCTTGTTTCGTGGTGTACGCTCCAAAGAAAGATAGGCACTATGGAGACTTAAGTGCATCTTTAGCACTTATTCTCTCATTACTTTTCTAAACATTTTACACTGCTAGTCAATATAGGAATTAGAAGTCACTTTTAGATTAGTTAGCATTATATGACAGCAGATACATAGCTTAACTTAATCAGAATGTTTTCCAGGAACAAAAATATTTTGAGGGATACAAAGGAAAAAACCTTTCTGATTTGATTGGCATATAGATTCTACTCCCAAAAGTTAAGTTGCTTTCCTTTAAATTTTTGGACATTTTCAGAAAACAGGGAGCTCCTAATCATGGGTTGCACTAGAATTTCTGTGCTGCATGTTTAAGGCCTGAGGTACAAGAGGAGGGATTGAGAGTTGGTTACTGGGTATTTAGTCTTAACAATGGTCAAATGGATACAGAAGCCACAGTCTGTGCAGTGGCTTTCCCTTTCTGTTGTACTCACTATTTGATATCAGTCAGGTATTAATGCTGACATTAGGTTCTCCTGCTGATGGTAAATTCTAGGACAGATGTTTCATCTGTATTCCTCACAATTTTTTTGCCATTAATATAAAGGCACTCATTGTTTTTCTCTGCATTAGGGATACTTGATATCACCCCATTTAGACTTATGCTCCTGACTTAGTTTTATCAATAACTTAGAATCAAAGCATATAATATATACGAATTTAACCATTCAAATTGTGAGTTAACAAATACCTCTTTTTTGTAAATAGACACAAGTAAGGAGTTTTTTTATTAAAGGTGTGACAATATTTTTAGTGATTTTAGGGTAATCTTGGCTTTCGGAAGTAATCTAGAGTTAGCAAAAGTAATACAGCCTCTACAATCAGAAATTAGTTAGGAAGCTTGAAAGAATATATTAGAAGCATAATATTGATAAATACTGTAAACCCAATGGAATTATTTTGAAGTTGGAAAAAATTACATACCAAACCTTTTTCAAAATTTACAATCTAGAGCCAGGCTACCAGGCTTAGACAGTACTTCCTTAGATTGACACCTTTAGTAGAGTTAGTTTTTTTTTAAAAAAAAAAGACAAAACTCTAGTTTTGTGTGTTGAAAGTAGTTCATATATTTTGATTGAGTCATGCAGGCATTGCAATATTTAAATTTTATTTAAATGCTCCTGTGCGTCAATTTCAGCTTGGACTCAAGTCACAGAGACCCAAAGTGAAGTCTAGCTAGGAGATCTGAGGTTATGTTGCCCAGGATGGCAGGGACCCAGGTTTTTTCTCAGTTGTTGCTATTTCTTGGCCTCAATTCCAGTCCTAACTTCCCTTCAGGGTCTCAGATGGTTGCTGCCACTCTAGTAATGTCATCTACATTCCCTCAATCAGAAAGAATAAAGAGGGAAGAGAAGGGCACATACTCTTTAAAGCTAGATCTTGGTTGCCACTTATGTTCAGCATTGTACTGGAGATTCTAGCTAGGGCTATTAGGCAAGTAGAAGAAAAAACATGGCATCCAGTTTGGAAAAGGAGAAGTAAGACTATGTCTTTTCAGAGATGACATGAATTTGTATACAGAAAATCCTAAGGAATCTATTTGTTTTTGTTTTTTGTTTGTTTGTTTTTGAGACAGAGTTTCACTCTTGTTGCCCAGGCTGGAGTGCAATGGTGCGATCTTGGCTCACTGCAACCTCCACTCAGAACCACTGTCACCATCTTCCTTAAGGCTGCAGATCCTTTTCATACACAGGGACCATTGGCCCTGAGACAGGCAACTATGTTCTCATTTTTACATGTGATTAGAACAGGACAGCAACTAAGCTCAAGTGACACTGTTGTTCTCTATTGTGGTTGTTTTTCCAGAGCCCTTTCTCTGTACCACAACATGTGTCTTAGGATCCACAAAATGACAGCACCCAGTAATGGGCGGATTGTTGAAGTGAATGAGAGTAGAAACGTAGGCACTTGCATAGTGTTGGAGGATCATTTGGGATAGCTGAATGTTAGAGGTGACTTTTAGCATAGTAATAAAATTATTCATTGTGCCTGCTCAGATTTAGGACACTGATTTTCTTTTACATTCCTGTTATCTGTGCCAGAAACTGTCTTTTCTGCAAATCCATACTATGCTTTGCAGGAAGCTTTTATCATCAGGTGACTTCAGATAGTTTTATTTGATTGATACCAGTGTCTGTTCCTTCCTCTTCAGTCTTATACTTTCTTATAATACCTCAACCATTGGGCTAAAAGCAGTTTCTTCTCCTATTCCTAGAGCTTTCTTTTCCCACTGAAGAAATTTTGGTTTCTTCAGTTTCCATTGACTTCAATTATTACCTGTACTTCAGTGATTTCCTGTAACCACATCCTTCCTGATCACTTTATCATTTCTCCCTCTTAAAAGTTAGTTGCCAATTAGTTATTTCTTTCAGAGTTCTTCTCACTTTTTTGACTTTCTGTTTGGAACACTTTGCTTCCTTTTCGCAGACAACATTTTCATTTTTTGATTTCATGATTGTTCTTTCATTGTTTTGTAGCAGTTTTCTATGATTTCACCTCTTTCCCCCCACCACACACCGTTTCTTTACTCATCATGTCATTTGATTATAGTCCATCGGGACAGAGAAATACTACCAGAATGTCATGTTGTATTCTCACAATAAACAGTTCTTGTTTGTTTACAAGACAGTAAAACAACTAGGACATCATTTATTTTAAATGTTTGAGGATGCTAGGCTGGGCGCGGTGGCTCACGCTGTAATCCAAGCACTTTGGGAGGTTGAGGTGGGTGGATTGCTTGAGTCCAGGAGTTTGAGACCAGCCTGGGCAACATGGTGAAACCCCGTCTCTACAAAAAAGAAAAATAAAAAATAATGTTTGAAGATGCTAATTAAATAGTGTTTAATTATATCCCTCAGTTTATAGAATCAAATGTAACTAAAAGAATAAGGAATGGAGTTTTTTAGCCTAAGCTACCTTTGCAAGGTGAAGGGTAAGTTTGTGTGTATGAAGAATAGTTAGAAGGAACAGCCTGTGTAATAAAACTTTTGTGATTATTAGAAGACCGCTGGTGTTGAGGGTTATGTATACAGATGTTTTAGTTTGGGTAGGCTAACTACTGTAACAAAAAAAGAAAACTACAACACATCACAGGCATAGTATCACAGTAGAATGGTATTTCTTACATAACAACTCAGTGTGTGGTCCAGGCATAGGTAGGTGATTTGTTCGAATATGTTTGAATTGAGGAACCCAGCCTGCTGGCAGCTGTGCTATCTTCACTTTGTTCCAAGGTATTCCTGAGAGTCAATATTTAGCCATTGGTCGAGAAAAGAGCACAGAGGATAGCTTGTGAGCAGCTTTCATGGGTAAGGCCAGGACAGGAAGTAGGAAATGTCATTTCTGTTCATACATCATTGGCTAGAACTCAATGACATGGCACACTTAACTGCAAGGACAGTTAGGGATTGTGGTCTACTGTGCACCTGGAAGGAAGAGGACACTTATTTGATAGTCAGTCCCTTCCAGTGAAGGTATTTTGAAAAAAGTTTAAATTGTAAGAGAAGGCCGGGCTCGGTGGCCCAAGCCTGTAATCCCAGCACATTGGGAGGCCAAGGTGTGTGGATCAGTTGAGGTCAGGAGTTTGAGACCAGCCTGGCCAACGTGAAAAAACCCTGTCTCTACTAAAAATACAAAAATTAGCCAGCATGGTGGTGCACGCCTGTAATCCCAGCTACTCTGGAGGCTGAGGCAGGCGAATCACTTGAACCCGGGAGGCGGAGGTTGCAATGAGCCAAGATCGCACCACTGCACTTGAGCCTGGGTGATAGAGCGAGATTCTGTCTCAAAAAGACAAAAAAAAGAAAAAAAAAATTGTAAGAGAAGTACAGTGGTTTGGGTATTTAACTGACTCAGTAAGTTTCCTTTCTACATGAAAAGGACAAGTAAACATAATTAAAATTATGCCACACTATTTATTAAAAGAGGAAGAATAAGTACAGTATTATCACTTGAACAGCTTTCCTTTTGATATTGGTAAAATAATGCACACCTCTTAAATTTATATTAAGTGCCAACACAGAAATCTTAGAACTTATTAAATTATTCATTGTTTAATAGATTTAGCTATGACATAAGAACAGTTTATGTCCGTGACAGATAAAAACAATATCAAGTTCAGCCAATCTGATTCTTATTATATATGTACTAAGAAATCAAATTATTTCAGTGGGGCCATGTTAGTCAGTCAATAACTATTTAAATGTCCACTATAGACAAGGCTTTACCACAGTGCTGAGAAAAAACCAGGCTAATGAGGAATAAAAACATTCTTTAAAAAGAAAAATAAATCTGTCATATAAGATTATATATTTGCAAAGTTAGGTATTTCGGAGTTGAAAGGATTAAACATGCATGCCTTCTGCAGGGATACAGCTTCAGATGGTTGACCAAGCTAGTTACTCTAATGTGAAATACAATACTCTGAGTATAAAGAAACACAAATGTGAAAAGAAAACACCTTAATATACTAGCACACAACTTATAGAATTAACTAAAATCACATATATACTTGCCTTTTCTTTGTTCTGTCAACCAGGGTTTTTTTTTTTGTGCAACATAAGAATGGAAAGAAACAAACCCAAAAACCCAACATGAGCGTGTGTCTGTTTTGTTCTCTGGATTCATCCCAACCTTAAGAGAAAACTCATCAGTAGTTAAGCTAACAAGTTGATTATCAACATATTATATTTAGTCATCCAAATGTATTTCATCTTCATGTTTAAAAATAAAAAAGCATTTAATAGAGATTTGGGTTTTGCTGTGACAGATGTTACATAACTACTTACATTGATTCACAACCATCCTAAGTAATTCACAAGGGTGCTTTAATTCATAAAGGCACTATAGTTATGCAATGATTCAGATACATTCAACTGTAATGAAGGTAATGACAATTTGGACAAAGCTGAAATACTTACAATCAGCATAAAAAAAATAAGATTCAATGTCCAGGGAGAAATATTCTAAATAAAGACTAACAGCATGTTATGGTCCTGCATACCTTTGTTCCTTATCCCCTACAACCATGTTTCTCAAAGTTGGTGAATGTATAGACCAGTTTTAAAATGGAAAAAAATGCTTGTAATTTCTACAGGTTAAGTTATTTTTACTGTGTTGGCCTTTAAATATTAATACATAAACATTAAAAAGTTGATCTAAGATTCACGTACTCATAGCTCTAAAACAAACCTATAAATTCAGCATAGACTGTAAGCAAAGCCATAAAATCACTGCAGTTTAAATGAGTAGGATTAGGACCAGGGCTGGGCACAGTGGCTCATACCTGTAATCCCAGCACTTTGGGAGGCTGAGGGAGGAGGATCACTTGAGCCTGGGAGGTTGATGCTACAGTGAGTTGTGATTGGACCACTGCACTCCAGACTGGGTGACAGAGCAAGAACCTATCTCAAAACAAAAGCAAAGAAAGATTAGGATCAAGAAGACATTCACAAAGGTAGCACTTGAGTTAGGGTGAGGAACTGGGTAAATAAGGGTTGAGAGATAAAGGCCAAGGCAAGGAAACTGAAGTGAGCAGAGGGCTCGTGTAAGTGAGAGTACAGCATATGTGTAAACAGAGAACAGTCCCTTTGGGTTTTGTGTAGGTTGGGAGCGGGAGGGGGTAACATAAGGTGGTAAACTATTAGAAGTAAATCATGGGGACCTTGAGTATTGGACTCAGGGCCCCATTCTGTATGAATGGAATTGTTGAAGGCATGTAAGTAGTACTACATTTTCATTTTTTAAAATGTTATCTGCAGCAATATTTAAATACATTAGGAGAATGAAAAGATTGAGGCCAGGCACAGTGGCTCACTCCTGTAATCCCAGCGCTTTGGGAGGCCGAAGCAGGCAGATCACTTGAGGCCATGAGTTTGAGACCAGCCTGGCCAACATGGCAAAACCTAAAAATACAAAAATTAGCTGGGTGTAGTGGTGCACGCCTGTAATCCCAGCTACTCAGGAGGCTGAGGCACGAGAATCACTTGAACCTGGGAGGCAGAGGTTGCAGTGAGCTGAGATCACACCACTGTACTTCAACCTGGGCAACAGAGCAAGACTCTGTCTCAATAAAAGAAAAAGAAGGAAAGAAAAGATTGAAAATCCAACCAAAAGGTCCACTCCACGAGCACAGATACATGGTTCATTACCAAGTTTCCAGGTCCTAGAACATAATTGACCCTCAGTAAGTGTGTGTTGATTGAATATATGATGCCTAATGAAGGGCAGGGGGATATCTAGTTAGAAAATGTGTGGGAAATAAAGTCCAGAATAGGACTCCGAATAAAAGTTAGCAGCTGGTATTAACAAGGATTTTGAGTTGTCTACAACTAATTGAATCCTTGAGAAATATATAAGATTGTAGAGGAGACAGGGGGAACAGGCTAAGGGTGGAGCCTCGATAGCTCCTACAGTTATGGCAAATGTCAAGGAGAAAGCACTGAGAGAAAATAGCAAGGAGGGATCAGAAAAGTGGCTCAGGAGATCTGTTGGCACAGAAGCCAAAAGAGCAGAAAAGAGAATTACCCATTTGTGCATGTCCACTTTATAAATATTTATTTTGGATTTTGAAATTGAATCCTTTTTTTTAAGCAGACTAACTTTGAAGGTTTCATGGATTCTAGTTATCCTAGTGTTAAAAATTATTTTTAGAGGTAGGTAGGACTTAATGTTGAAAGGATCAAGGTCAAATGGGGCAAGTAAAATCCAAGCATATCCCAGAAGCATGTTAAATGTGGGGAAATTTCAGGATGGCATTTACATATTTTGGAATTTAACATGCACTTCTTTTAGATGTCTCATTACTACATTGTTGAGTTAAATATATAAATTTTAGTACATTATATGTAGTAGTTAAGCAACAGAATAATTATGTCACAAAATTGTTTACTTTATGAATTCATTTAGTATAATGTCTCTATTAGTGGCCTACCCTAGGATATTTTAAGTGATTATATTAAGTTTTATTTCTAGACAGTTTTTCTGGAACTTTTTTTGCCTAAAGCAGGCACACAGCTCAGTTAAAATAAAAAAAGACATAAGCATTGGTTTCTTACTACTTTATGGCTTTAAAAATCATTCTGAATCCTCTTGCTGGAGTGTTTACTACACCAGCTAGCAGTAGGACTTAACATTAAATTTTCATTTTGATTAACTTGACTGCAGTTGTTTCTTGGCTGCCTCTTTAGAGCCCACTGTGGGATAAAATTAAAACAGTTTTTATGATACAACAATTTAGTTGCGGAAAACAACATTTTTTTCCCCCGAATGGCAGTGTGTTCTACCTCTGGGTTTTCTGCATACGCCCCATGGCTCTGGTTTCTCTCTTCTCCAATCCATCTTTTAGAGTTCCGCCAGATTAATTTTTCTAAAGCAGAGCTTTGGCCATCTTCTCATCCAAAACCCTTCAGTGGTTCCCCTTTGCCTCTCTCTTATCTAAGCCCAACTCATTCTTCAAAGAAAGAGCAGCTCACATGCTGTATTTGCCCTTTCACATTTTTCTTGATCTCCTCTGCTGAAGTCTCGATCTCTGCTCTACATTTCTTTTTTTTTCTTTTTAAGACCATTATCTGGAACATAGTAAGTACTTAAAAAAACTTAGCAGTTATTAAGTTTCTACATCTGTCTTCTTTTTATTTCTTTTTTATATTCAATTAGTCTTTATTATTATTTTTTATTTTTATACTTTAAGTTCTAGGGTACATGTGCACAATGTGCAGGTTTGTTACATATGTATACATGTGCCATGTTGGTGTGCTGCACCCATTAACTCGTCATTTACATTAGGTGTATCTCCTAATGCTATCCCTCCCCTCTCCCCCCAACCCCACGACAGGCCCTGGTGTGTGATGTTCCCCTTGCTGTGTCCAGGTGTTCTCATTGTTCAGTTCCTACCTATGAGTGAGAACATGCAGTGTTTGTTTTTTTGTCCTTCCTATAGTTTGCTGAAAATGATGATTTCCAGCTTCATCCATGTCCCTACAAAGAACATGAACTCATCCTTTTTTTCTGGCTGCATAGTATTCCATGGTGTATATGTGCCACATTTTCTTAATCCTGTCTATCATTGTTGGACATTTGGGTTGGTTCCAAGTCTTTGCTATTGTGAATAGTGCCACAATAAACATATGTGTACATGTGTCTTTACAGCAGCATGATTTATAATCCTTTGGGTATATACCCAGTAATGAGATGGCTGGGTCAAATGGTATTTCTAGTTCTAGATCCTTGAGGAATCGCCACACTGTCTTCCACAATGGTTGAACTAGTTTACAGTCCCATCAACAGTGTAAAAGTGTTCCTATTTCTCCACATCCTCTCCAGCACCTGTTGTTTCCTGACTTTTTAATGATCGCCATTCTAACTGGTGTGAGATGGTATCTTATTGTGGTTTTGATTTGCATGTCTCTGATGGCCAGTGATGATGAGCATTTTTTCATGTGTCTGTTGGCTGCATAAATGTCTTCTTTTGAGAAATGTCTGTTCATATCCTTCACCCACTTGTTGATGGGGTTGTTTGTTTTTTTCTTGTAAATTTGTTTGAGTTCTTTGTAGATTCTGGATATTAGCCCTTTGTCAGATGAGTAGATTGTAAGAATTTTCTCCCATTCTGTAGGTTGCCTATTCACTCTGATGGTAGTTTCTTTTGCTGTGCAGAAGCTCTTTAGTTTAATTAGATCCCATTTGTCAATTTTGGCTTTAGTTGCCATTGCTTTTGGTGTTTTAGACATGAAGCCCTTGCCCATGCCTGTGTCCTGAATGGTATTGCCTAGGTTTTCTTCTAGGGTTTTTATGGTTTTAGGTCTAACATGTAAGTCTTTAATCCATCTTGAATTAATTTTTGTATAAGGTGTAAGGAAGAGATCCAGTTTCAGCTTTCTACATATGGCTAGCCAGTTTTCCCAGCACCATTTATTAAATAGGGAATCCTTTCCCCATTGCTTGTTTTTGTTAGGTTTGTCAAAGAGCAGATGGTTATAGATGTGTGGTATTATTTCTGAGGGCTCTGTTCTGTTCCATTGGTCTATATCTCTGTTTTGGTACCAGTACCATGCTGTTTTGGTTACTGTAGCCTTGTAGTATAGTTTGAAGTCAGGTAGCGTGATGCCTCCAGCTTTGTTCTTTTTGCTTAGGATTGACTTGACAGTGCAGGCTCTTTTTTGGTTCCATATGAACTTTAAAGTAGTTTTTTCCAATTCTGTGAAGAAAGTCATTGGTAGCTTGATGGGGATGGCATTGAATCTATAAATTACCTTGGGCAGTATGGCCATTTTCACGATATTGATTCTTCCTATCCATGAGCATGGAATGTTCTTCCATTTGTTCGTGTCCTGTTTTATTTCGTTGAGCAGTGGTTTGTAGTTCTCCTTGAAGAGGTCCTTCACTTCCCTTCTAAGTTGGATTCCTAGGTATTTTATTCTCTTTGAAGCAATTGTGAATGGGTGTTCACTCATGAGTTGACTCTCTGTTTGTCTGTTACTGTTGTATAAGAATGCTTGTGATTTTTGCACATTGATTTTGTATCCTGAGACTTTGCTGAAGTTGCCTATCAGCTTAAGGAGATTTTGGGCTGAGACGATGGGGTTTTCTAAATATACAATCATGTCATCTGTAAACACGGACAATTTGACTTCCTCTTTTCCTAATTGAATACCCTTTATTTCTTTCTCCTGCCTGATTGCCCTGGCCAGAACTTCCAACACTGTGTTGAATAGGAGTGGTGAGAGAGGGCATCCCTGTCTTGTGCCAGTTTTCAAAGGGAATGCTTCCAGTTTTTTGCCCATTCAGTATGATATTGGCTGTAGGTTTGTCATAAATAGCTCTTATTATTTTGAGACACTTCCCATCAATACCTAATTTATTGAGAGTTTTTAGCATGAAGGGCTGTTGAATTTTGTCCAAGGCCTTTTCTGCATCTGTTGAGATAACCATGTGGTTTTTGTCTTTGGTTCTGTTTATATGCTGGATTACATTTATTGATTTGCGTATGTTGAACCAGCCTTGCATCCCAGGGATGAAGCCCACTTGATCATGGTGGATAAGCCTTCTTTTTGATGTGCTGCTGGATTCAGTTTGTCAGTATTTTACTGAGGATTTTTGCATCAATGTTCATCAGGATATTGGTCTAAAATTCTCTTTTTTTGTTGTGTCTCTGCCAGGCTTTGGTATCAGGATGATGCTGGCCTCATAAAATGAGTTAGGGAGGATTCCCTCTTTTTCTATTGATTGGAATAGTTTCAGAAGGAATGGTACCAGCTCCTCCTTGTACCTCTGGTAGAATTCAGCTGTGAATCCATCTGGTCCTGGACTTTTTTTGGTTGGTAAGCTATTAATTATTGCCTCAATTTCAGAGCCTGTTATTGGTCTATTCAGGGATTCAACTTCTTCCTGGTTTAGTCTTGGGAGGGTGTATGTGTGCAGGAATTTACCCATTTCTTCTAGATTTTCTAGTTTATTTGCATAGAGGTGTTTATAGTATTCTCTGATGGTAGTTTGTGTTTCTGAGGGATCGGTGGTGATATCCCCTTTATCATTTTTTATTGCGTCTATTTGATTCTTCTCTCTTTTCTTCTTTATTAGTCTTGCTAGTGGTCGATCAATTTTGTTGATCTTTCCAAAAAACCAGCTCCTGGAATTCATTGATTTTTTTGAAGGGTTCTTTGTGTCTCTATCTCCTTCAGTTCTGTTCTGATCTTAGTTATTTCTTGCCTTCTGCTAGCTTTTGAGTGTGTTTGCTCTTGCTTCTCTAGTTCTTTTAGTTGTGATGTTAGGGTGTTAATTTTGGATCTTTCCTGCTTTCTCTTGTGGGCATTTAGTGCTATAAATTTCCCTCTACACACTGCTTTAAATGTGTCCCAGAGATTCTGGTATGTTGTGTCTTTGTTCTCATTGGTTTCAAAGAACATCTTTATTTCTGCCTTCATTTTGTTATGTACCCAGTAGTCATTCAGGAGCAGGTTGTTCAGTTTACATGTAGTTGAGCGGTTTTGAGTGAGTTTCTTAATCCTGAGTTCTAGTTTGATTGCATTGTGGTCTGAGAGACAGTTCGTTATAATTTCTGTTCTTTTACATTTGCTGAGGAGTGCTTCACTTCCAACTATGTGGTCAATTTTGGAATAAGTGCGTTGTGGTGCTGAAAAGAATGTATATTCTGTTAATTTGGGGTGGAGAGTTCTGTAGATGTCTATTAGGTCCGCTTGGTGCAGAGCTGAGTTCAATTCCTGAGTTCAATTCCTGGATATCCTTGTTAACTTTCTGTCTCTATCTGTCTAATGTTGACAGTGAGGTGTTGAAGTCTCCCATTATTATTGTGTGGGAGTTCTAAGTCTCTTTGTAGGTCTCTAAGGACTTGCTTTATGAATCTGAGTGCTCCTGTATTGGGTGCATATATATTTTTGATAGTTAGCTCTTCTTGTTGAATTGATCCCTTTACCATTATGTAATGGCCTTCTTTGTCTCTTTTGATCTTTGTTGGTTTAAAATCTGTTTTGTCAGAGACTAGGATTGCAACCCCTGCCTTTTTTTGTTTTCCATTTGCTTGGTAGATCTTCCTCCATCCTTTTATTTTGAGCTTATGTGTGTCTCTGCATGTGAGATGGGTCTCCTGTATACAGCACACTGATGAGTCTTGACTCTTTATCCAATTTTTCAGTTTGTGTCTTTAAATGGGAGGATTTAGCCTATTTACATTTAAGGTTAATATTGTTGTATGTGAATTTGATCCTGTCATTATGATGTTAGCTGGTTATTTTGCTCGTTAGTTGATGCAGTTTCTTCCTAGCCTTGATGGTCTTTACAATTTGGCATGTTTTTGCAGTGGCTGGTACTGGTTGTTCCTTTACATGCTTAGTGCTTCCTTCAGGAGCTCTTGTAGGGCAGGCCTGGTGGTGACAAAATCTCTCAGCATTTGCTTGTCTGTAAAGTATTTTATTTCTCCTTCACTTATCTTAGTTTGACTAGATATGAAATTCTGGGTTGAAAATTCTTTTCTTTAAGAATGTTGAATATTGGCCCCCACTCTCTTCTGGCTTGTAGAGTTTCTGCCGAGAGATCCGCTGTTAGTCTGATGGGCTTCCCTTTGTGGATAACCCGACCTTTCTCTCTGGCTGCCCTTAACATTTTTTCCTTCATTTCAGCTTTGGTGAATCTGACAGTTATGTGTCTTGGAGTTGCTCTTCTCGAGGAGTATCTTTGTGGCATTCTCTGTATTTCCTGTATTTGAATGTTGGCCGGCCTTGCTAGATTGGGGAAGTTCTCCTGGATAATATCCTGCACAGTGTTTTCCACCTTGGTTCCATTCTCCCTGTCACTTTCAGGTACACCAATCAGACGTAGATTTGGTCTTTTCACATAGTCCCATATTTCTTGGAGGCTTTGTTCGTTTCTTTTTACTCTTTTTTCTCTAAACTTCTCTTCTCGCTTCATTTCATTCATTTGATCTTCAATCACTGATACCCTTTCTTCCAGTTGATCGCATCGGCTACTGAAGCTTGTGCATTCGTCACGTAGTTCTCGTGCCATGGTTTTCAGCTCCATTAGGTCATTTAAGGACTTCTCTACACTGGTTATTCTAGTTAGCCATTCGTCTAATGTTTTTTCAAGGTTTTTATCTCCTTTGCAATGGGTTCGAACTTCCTCCTTTAGCTCAGAGAAGTTTGATTATCTGAAGCCTTCTTCTCTTCAAAGTCATTCTTCGTCCACCTTTGTTCCATTGCTGGCGAGGAGCTGCGTTCCTTTGAAGGGGGAGAGGTGCTCTGATTTTTAGAGTTTTCAGCTTTTCTGCTCTGTTTTTTCCCCATCTTTGTGGTTTTATCTACTTTTGGTCTTTGATGGTGGTGACATACAGATGGCGTTTTGGTGTGGATGTCCTTTCTGTTTGTTAGTTTTCCTTCTAACAGTCACGACCCTCAGCTGCAGGTCTGTTGGAGTTTGCTGGAGGTCCACTCCAGACCCTGTTTGCCTGGGTATCAGCAGTGGAGGCTGCAGAACAGCGAATATTGCTGAACAGCAAATGTTGCTGCCTGATTGTTCCTCTGGAAGCTTCGTCTCAGAGGGGTACCCGGCCATGTGAGGTGTCAGTCTGCCCCTACTCAGGGGTGCTTCCCAGTTAAGCTACTTGGGGGTCAGGGACCCACTTGAGGAGGCAGTCTGTCCATTCTCATATCTCAGACTCCGTGCTGGGAGAACCACTACACTCTTCAAAGCTGTCAGACAGGGACATTTAAGTCTGCAGAGGTTTCTGCTGCCTTTTGTTCGGCTATGCCCTGCCCCCATAGGTGGTGCTCTACATTTCTCATTCCTCTTGCGTAGCACTCATCATGGCTTCTCTAATGTAAAATTACATATGAACCCACCTCACTCTCAAGAATGACTTCTTGAATGTAGGGACTAAGTCTTCTTTATATTTTTGCCCATTCCCTCATTGCCTTTTGCATAAAAGATAAAAAATGTTTGTTGGATAATGAATGAATGTTTGTTGGACTTGTTAAAAATAAATGTGTGAACTGTCCCCTGTTCTATATAATCCTGATCTTCTTACCCATTACTTCCCCCACCCAGCATCTCTCACCTTCGAATGAATTTGTAATTTAATTACTTAGTTTTGTTATTGGTATTGGCTGTCTTCTCCCTGTTGAATAGTAAGTGCCCTAGGGCAGCGATCTTGGGTTTGTTCACCCGTATGCGCCTAGCACTCAGAACAGTGCTTGTTATATTGGTTGAGTGAATGAATGAAACTTGAAGCCAAAGGTCAGTTTTTCCCCTTTCTTTGGATTATTGTCAGTGTTTTTCAAGGTAAGAGACATTGTGGCATTGGAAGAGCAGGAGAGAGATGGAGAGAGACCCCAAAGTCAGCTTCTGCCACTTACTATGCTGTGCAGCTTTGAGCAAGTTTCTCAACTCCTCTGAAGGTCATTTCCTAACTTTTAAAGGTTAATATAACTTGAATTACAATATTTATAGAAGGATTACGTTTTAGAGGGAAAAAAGCATACCATAAAATCAGTAGCTTATGTGTCCTGATCACTGCTAATACCTGCTAGAACTGGTGCTACACACTTTCCATTCACTGTGTGTCTCCACATCCACTCTGTGCAGCAGGGCCTGTTGTATTAATAACTATTTCACAGGTGAAAGAAGGAGGTTCGTGCCCAAGACCACACCATGGTGGGTAGCGGAACATCGCTTGAGACCAGGTCTATGGGACTCTAAACCTGGTGCTTGTAATTCCTGCCTACTGTGCATATGCTCAGCAGGGGGCTGCATGATTTCTCCTTTGGAGCAGCAGTTCTAGATTTTTCCTTCCTGCCCTAAGGTGGTTGAGGGATACAAAGGGCTCATGAGTACCACTGGCCCCCAGGCAGTATCTTTCTGAAAAAGCCAGGCCACATCCTCTCAAGAGGTGATGGGCAGCATAGTCTGGTTTGAAAAATCCCCCCGATGAATTGGATTCTCCCCCTTCTGCTAATGTACCTCCACTTCCAGATCTATTTTTCTCTCCCTGTCCCCTTATAAAGTTTTTTAACTCTTTGTATTTTGCACTATAAAGTATTCCTGCATTAAGACTGTTTTAACCTTTTTATTTTATTTCATTTTTTATTTTTTGAGATAAGGTCTCGCTCCGTTACCCAGGCTGGAGTGCAGTGGCACAATCTCAGCTCACTGTAGCCTCCACCTCCCGGGCTCAAGCGATCCTCCTATCTCAGCCTCCTAAGTAGCTGGGACTACAGATATATGCCACCACACCCGACAAATTTTTGTATTTTTTTTGTAGAGATGGGATTTTGCCATGTTGCCCAGGCATGTCTCAAACTCCTGGACTCAAGCCATCCTCCCACCTGGAGTGTTGGGATTATAGGCATGAGCCACCATGCCAGGCCAAGACTGTTTTAAAGATTGTTGCATTACTGTTTTGGAAACAAATTAGACATTTTAGGTTGGGATAGCCAAGTTGATCATTACAGTCTCTTCTATTTATTGAAAAAGTACTGAAATTTTTAAGAATTTTTGAGAGATCTAAAATGCCATTTCAAAACACAGTTAAATCACTAATAACTTAATTACTGTAATATAGTGTCAAAATAAGGCTGTTTTCTGTATAAAAAGTTAGCCTTTTCAGATATTTTCATTGAGCACTGAAAATTACTAAACTAGGATTAATGGAACGGATTATTTCAGCATCTAGAAAAACATCTTTTAAGTTTCAGGAAATGAATTTCTCTTTTGAAATAGTTTGTCATCCGTTCAAATGCCGAAAAGATACTTCAGAAAATATTAAAATGAAAAGAAATTTCATTTGTATGCTATAAATCATTATTTTTAATTGATCGGGAAGTTTGGTAGGAGGCCAGAGAAAATTGGCAAACATAAAATTTAAAAGGAACTGTGAGTATTTAATTTCAAGTACTCTTTCAACAGAGATAAGATTATTTATTTTTGTAGCTTTATTGTGGTGATTAAATCATAAGCTTTCAATCTATCTGACCTAGCTTTGAATCCTCACTTTTCAGTTTATTAAATCTGTGAGCTTAGACATGTTAACATTTCAAACTTTGATTTTTCTCACCTGTAAAGAAGGAGCATTACCTTTTACCTACCTCCTAAAGTTATCTTATTACATGAAATAGTATATGCAAAGCATCTAAACAGTACCTAATATATTCTAGGCACTTAATAAATGTTTTATTATCATTAAAACATAATCATTTAGGTATAATGTGATATTTGAATAGCTATTTGCAAATGAGTGGGAAACATTTTTTATGGACTTCTATGTACAGTTGTCAGCTTGGTGTGGAATACCCTTTTTTAAAAAAAAAAAAAAAACAATTCAGAGGTAAACTTTATCTCATCTTGGGATGAACTGTCAACTTCTGCATTAGTCAAGTTTTAACTAATGAAATTTTATTGCAAAGTATGGAGAAAGCAGATTATGAATTCTAAGTTTCTCATATAAAATTGTATTTCCTAGGAGAGTGCGTAGAAGGGCTGCGGGAAAATGACTATCTGCTGATTCATTCCTGCCGCCAGTGGACCACCATCACTGCCCACAGCTTGGAGGAGGGTCACTATGTCATTGGGCCAAAGATAGAGATTCCGGTACATTATGCAGGTAAGACTCCTCCAAGGGCCAAGATGAGGCAGCGAGAGAAAGGGGATGTGAATAGCTAAACTTTTCCTCTAAGAATTGTCTGTAAACTAGAAAGTAGAATGACTTAGAGAATCAAACATTTGTGTGTGGTTATTGATCAGTGAAAGCTCAGATTCATTTTGTTAGAAGTATTTCTAATTAATGCATGTAGTTAAATGAGGATTCTTATTAGGTATTTATAAGATAGAAATTTTACAAATAAAACACCTCTATTGTCTTGGAATTAAAATCAATACATGTAGCCAACCTCAGAACTTCAGGGGGTCATGTCTCTGAGGAATCCTGTATACAGTTTGAACATTGCTTTTGTGAATGACTTTGTGAAGATTTCACAAGATTCCGTCTCACAAATTAACATTGTGGTCTGGGTTTAAAAGTATTGGATTGGTAGTTCATATACCTGGATATGTCTCTCCTTTCAATAGGCATTTAGATTACAGGCAACTGAGATGCCCTCACTACTTTAGTTAAATGAGTGTAATACCTGCCTTCTCACCTCACTTTGAACCCGACTCAATGCAATAGTGCCATATAACTGATTTTTATTGAGTATATTCTGTGTGCCAGTACTGTTCTAGGAGGTTGGGATACATCTAGTGGCTTAAATAAGCTTTAAATAGTGATAGCTTATAAATGCCATTAAAAAAAAAAACTTATGTTACCATATGCTTTTTCCGGCACTTATAATACATTATATAAAGGATCTTAGCCTTTTCTCTAGTATTGTTCAATATTTTCCAAGTCTGTTCAGAATACCTTAATCAACTAACCATAAATTGTGTAGCCCTAGACTGCCATTGTGTTCTCGAATAACCCCTTTACAATGCACAGAGAGTTATTATTTGGAAAAGGGACCTTACTGTATTCCCACTGTCTAGACACAGTAAATGGTATTTGTTTGATGAATATTTAATGAATGAATGAATAGTTTGGTACCATTTTTGATTCCTGGGAATCTTCAAATGCTGATACGACCCAGGGATTACTTAGCTTCTCAAAAATCCTTCTTACTCAAAAAAATTATAAGACAGAATTTCTGTGGCCTAAAACTTTGTCCTCTAGAATTGTATTTCCTAGCCCTAAGAGTAGCCTTCATGGAAAAAGAGAAATGTATACTTGTAGAAAGCATTACATCTGTTAGATTGTAACTCAGGCAAGTGGGGCAGTTTTCACAGGGGCAGAGAATGAAACAAACCCCCTACCCTACCCATTCTGTCATCAGAATGGTTCCTACTAGTAGTGAGATACATGCTACTTTTAGCAAGTCCAAATTCTGTTTCTGTCTTTGTGGAAAACTGGAAAGAAAGGTAAATTGCTACATTGCTTCATCCTATATACTTTTACCTAATCTGCTGTATTCATCTATGAGGAAATTACGTTTTAGTCTTTCCCGCAAAAGCGCTGTGAAAAGCTCTGTCAAATCAGTCTTCCCAAAAGAGTGCCCTCATTTTATCACTTCCTCAAACCCCTTTAGAGACTGCATCCTGCTGCTAGATTCTTTGACTTGTTGTTGAATGCTTTCCAGAGGCTGGTTCTGGTCTACTTCTCCAAACTGATCTTTTCTATTCCGAAGAGTGAACCTCCCACTCTTGCTACATTAGTCGTCTAACTGTTTCCTGAACATACTAGACACTTTTCCATTTACACAGTCTCTAGCTAGCTGGAGTTACCTCCCTCAGCTCATCATTTCATCAGGAGGGTTCAGCCGTCCTCCGCAGCCCCACATGGTCTCCTGATGTGTCCCATTCATTTAGCACACGTCCTCAGTCTTCATTCAATTACCTTTTCCTGTGTACACACTCACCAGTTGGACTGTACAGTCCTTAACAAGTTATACCAATTCTAAAAAACACCTGAAGCCTTTGGATCTGTACTCAAAAGAAAATTCTTTGTGGCTATGGGTGTTTGACTTAGGGATCTCAAACTTGGTTATACATTGGATTCACCTGGAGAACTTTAAAAAGACTGATGTGGGGTCCTACCTCCAGAAGTTAATTGGTCTGGAGTGTTGGCTGGATATCAGAATTTTAAAAGCTCCCCCATGGTTAAAATATACAGCCAGTGTTGGGAACCCATTGTTCTAGAATGAGCATCCACAATGTGAGATAAGATTTCCTCAAACACACACAAATATTTGTAAATATTTTGGTGTTTGGAACTTCTTTTTAAAAGAACCATCCAGCTTCCATTGGGAAGAAAGATGTGATATTGTTGAGCAGCTTGCTTTTGATCCATAAGGAAGGTGACGGATTATGTTGCAAATGATACATTTTTAAAAATGAAATTGAGGTGCCAAGACTTAAGAGGAAACATGGGCACTAAGATCACATCATTCAACATAAAGGAGAGAAAATACATTAAAGAAAGAAAAGCTTGAAATAGGACCAAATAGTTCATGAGATCATTTGCCATTAAACAAAATAGAATGAATCGCTGGTCATGAGTGTCTGAATGTTCTAAGCTGTCTTCCTCAATTTTTTCAACAAGAAGTTTAGGTAGAAGTTTTGAGGTACAAATAGATTCCAGCTGATCATTTTGTTTTGTGTTTCATATCTTAAGATAGCACCATGAAACTTGCTTTACAAGACAAATTTAGTGATTTGGTAGTTTTTTTAAAAAAAATTTTATAAACAGGTAAATAAGAAGGCAGTGTGGTTTTATAAGTGTTTTTTGTTTGTTTGTTTTGAAACAAGGTGTCACTCTGTCACCCAGGCCAGAATGCAGTGGTGTGTTCATGGCTCACTGCAGCCCTGGACTACTGGGCTCAAAGGATCCTCCCACCTCAGCCTCTTGAGTAGCTGGCACTACAGGCTTGTACCTGGCACTACGCCCGGCCAACTTGTCAATTTTTTGTAGATACCAGTTCTCGCTTTGTTGCTGGTCTCAAACTCCAGGTCTCAAGCAATCCACCTGCCTTGGCCTTTCAAAATGTTGGAATTACAGGTATGAGCCATCATACCTGGCCTGGGAGTATGTTTTGATTACCGTGTAAAATGGAGACCCAGGAGTCTTGATATGATTGATCATTTCAAGGTTATAGTGTATATATTTTGTCTCCAAGAATCTATTTATTGCCAGGTTTAGCCCTTGGAAAAAAGAGAGCATATAGTACATTGTGGAGACCAAAAATCATTTATGTCTCCCTAGCTTATTTGTGCTCTAGTTTTAATTAGAGGAAACCCTTATATATGTATATTTTACCAATTTTTCAGAATTTCATCTAGGTTGAAATGAATCTTACTTTTTTTTAGGGCAGCTAATAAACAGTAATTTAAAATGTTTAACAGAGTAGTAAAGCCCACCAGCTTTGTAATCAAACAACCAAGTTTGATTTCTCATTCTGCCATTTTCTGTCTATATTACTTTGGGCAAGCTACTAAACCTCTTTAAATCTTTGTTTCCTCATCTATAAAGTGAAGATAATTATAGTGCCTTTCTCTTAGGGTAATTGTGAAGATCGAAAGAGAAACACCTTTCAGAGTGTTTACCACTAAGTAAGCCTCCATAAATGTTAATGGTGATGACTGTGATCATGTTAGCTACTAAATGTTTCTAAGGATTTAATTCTTTATCCTGCACTACTAATTACAAGTTGAATTACTCTTCATTCAAGCTAGTTGAATACTGACACCCCTCAATGTTATTTGGGCTGCTGTTTTTTGTTTTGCTTTTGTAATTTTATTTTGAAGTTGCAGTAGTATAGTTTACTCCCTTGTGCCATTTCCCCGGTTTTACCCATTTTTAGTATCATTTTGCCACATTTGTTTTTTATCATTCTTACCCTCCTCCCTCCCCACCAAATGCACATACAAATACAGACAAATATGCTATTTATTTTTTTCTCAGTTATTTGAGAGTAGACAGCATACATCCCCCTAATACTTCACTGTGTATTTCCTAAGAACAAGGATATCCTCTTATATAACCACAGCACTGGTAGCAAATTCAGTACATTTAATACTTTAATCTACTGTCCATGTTCCAGTTTTGTTGATTGTCCCAATAATGCCTTGCTGCATTTTTTCCGCCTCTGGGACAACATCCAGTCTAGGACCACTTATTGTATTTTGCTCTTGTATCTCTTTAGTCTCCTTTAATCTGGAACAAGTTCCTCAGCCGTCTTTGTCTTTCGTGATATAGACATTTTTTAAAGAATACAGGCAAATTATTTTCTAAAACAACCCTCAGTTTGGGTTTCCCCGTGTCCTCGTGATTTGATGAGGCTATGCAGTCTTGGCTGGTCTGCTCTGTGTTGTGATAATGGCAAGGGATGTCCTTTGCCCCTTATTGGTGATTTTAGTTTTGATCACTTGGTTAACGTATTGTCCAGTTTCTCTGCTGTATAATTACCATTTACTTTGTGATTACTGGGAAATTTGAGAGGACGTACTTTTAGACTCTGTAACTATCTTGCTCTTTCCCTAAATCTTCTCCCCCCACCACTCCCCTATTAAGTAGTTATTGATGATTCCTGTCTGATTCTGTTTTTACTATGAAGGTGGCAAAACAGTTCTTTTCTAACTTAACTCCACCATTCCTTCTTGTATTTGTTAGCCGTCATTCTCCTGTAAGGAAAAGCATTTTTTTCTCTTCTGTTTATTTATTTTTTTACTTACCTGCTATTATGAGCATGGACTTGTGGATTCTTATGCCATTCAGTGTACTATGATATATTGCTGTCCTTGTTTCTTCAAATGGTCCTATGTTTCTCCATTTGGGTATAGGCTGGCACCTGTGTCTCTGTGACATGCCCCCTTCATTTTTTAAATCATGTCCTTATTTTCTGGCATAGGTAACAACCATTCTTTTCAATCAGTATTCTCCTTTGGTCAAGGCTCCTACACTCTCCTATTCCAAGTAGTACCCCTTACTTTGTGATCTTTGGTAAGAGAGTCCCTTGGAGTTGGGCAGTGCACAGCCTGGGCAGCCATAGGCCACAGCTCCATTCATGCATATTTTGGAAAGCAATAAAACTCAGCGTTTTAAAGATATGTGTTACATCAGAGATTTTCATGAAATTCTTAATATGAAAAATAATTTCATAAAACTTTGAAAAAAGGTAACTATGACTTCTGTGGTTCTTATGAGAACCTCACACTGAAATGGTGGTGACAAGAATCTCCTTATTCTGAATTCTGAAATTATCTAGATGTGCTTTGGGAAAATAAAGACATTCCCTATTCTGGCAAAATAAGTTTTAGACAAAAGGTGTTTTCTTGGTATACCAAATAATTGATCCTGAGAGAATGTGTCCAGTCAACATCACGTATTTTGCTAATAATAGAGAACCCACTTAAGAAAAATTGACATAGTGTTTAGAAAAGAGATTGTCACATTCGTACAAATTGTATTCAAAAGACATCACAGATAAATGTAATCTGAACTTTCCTACTTCACATTGCTACCAAAGGGGCAAACCTTTCCTACGAAATGTACAATACAGAACTCAAGATTTTTTCTGCATTCTGTATACTCAGAACATTAATTCCAAACTGCCTGGACCTGTGTCAGACATTGCTAGCTCAACCTGCACACCCACTCTTCTTCCCACTCTTTTACCCTGACTTATTAAACAAAAGCAAATATTAAATTTTTTTAACCTAGCAACTTAATTCTAGCCAGGAATTTCTGAAGTTGAATGGTTTTTATTCTACAATTAATGTATCTATTCATCAAATTCCTTTTGTCTCTGCAGCTCAGCATGACCAGTCAAGCAGATCCCCAGTTGGTTACCTAAAGCTGGTGTCTCGGGGCCCTTGTTTATGCTGACCCTTTCTAGGGCCTGAAACCTAACTTAGTATGCATAATGTGATTTTTTTTTAAAAAAAAAAAGAATATAAACCCCAAGCCCCACGAAAGCCTAGATATGCCATTCTCTTTGGAATTTTATTTGCCCTCCTGAGCTCCAAGTCTCCACTCTATAAAATGGAGATCTACTGTAGAAAAATGTTGTTCAGATTCTCAGAGATCTAACTTGCGTAAATGGCTCAGCACAGTGCTGGCACGTGAGTAATACAAAATCAATGGTATCTCCTCTCACTCCCCTCTGTCATGAAAAACAACAAAGAAAACTCTAGCAAGAGACAGCTTTGAGAAACCAAATGGATCAGAACATGAAGTGTCTATATATCAGTGGTCTGCCAATTTGCGAAGTAATGGAATTCTGAGTGGGTTTATGAAAATTTATAGCATTCCGTGGCAAGCTTGCTGTCATCATGGATGAACAGATACTGTCATCATGGATGAACAGATTGCTACTTGAACATAAGCATCTGAGATAAACTCCAGCCGCGTTTGGCTTCTATTTTTAAATTCTCATCCTCCTGCAAATCTGGTGAATCTGTAACAAGCTAAAATGATCTCAGTACTTTCCCTCCTAGTTGTAATATGTACAGAAGTAAGTGACACTTGAGCAGAAGATGGGTAAGAATTGCTTATGCAGTTTTCAAGGCCCTTATTCAGCAAGCACCTGGATTTATATCAGCAGTGCCTGTTTTTAAAAGTGTAGGATGTGCAGTGTTTGTCTCTTGGGCAAAATTATAGTAATGTGGCATCTAACATAACCTTGAATTGTAATTACTGAACAAAAGGAAATGTTGAAACAAGCTAATTTTATTCTCCTGGGTTGCAAGTTTAATTAGCATGAATCATCCATTTATAAAAGTAACTACTAGTGTTGAACAACACTTTGTGTACTTTCCCTGTTATATGGGATAAAGCTTATGTGACGAAATGGAAAATAACCAAACTTTCTTTTCAAAAGTCCTCAGAACTAATAAAGTATGCTGAGGAACATTTATCTCAGCCATTTTTTGCCATTAAGAAATGTTATAGATCTAAAAAATAACCATTTTTGATGACTGAATTTTTAGGTTATAGTTAACAATAACTAAAATTTATTTAGTGCTTACCATTTCTTGGGCACTTCGTTAACTCAGCATTTTACTTTTATTTTTTCATGTGACTTTCACAACAAACTCATGAAATGGGTGCTATTATCTATATTTCATACAAGTACAAGCTGAGGTTTAGAGATGTTAAGTGTTTGTAATAATACACAGTTAATAAGTGTGATTTGAACCCAGGATATGTGGCTTCAGAGCCTGCCCCCGTCTCCACTATTCCCTGGAAAGTGCTAGGAGGCACTTTTACTTGGAAGTCATCCTAGAGAGGAGAGATCTGTTAGAATTAGCCAATAAGCTGGGTAAAGCTTTCACTTTTCTTCCTTTCACAGTAGCTCCCTACTTGTATTCTGACTCTAGGAAAAAATTAAGTAGATATATAAGACTTGACTTTTTCAGATTTACAAGTCATCTGCATACAGGTGACATTCCCCTTGCTCAGTAAATTTCTGGGAAGAGATTCCAGGGGAGCCCCTGGAGCCTCAGAGGGGACAGCTGCTGGGCCTAGGGGGGTGATCAGATCAGAGGCAGGAGGCCTGGGGAAAGAGTCTTTTAAGTGTTGAAGAAGGAAATGGGTGATGTTCAACAGGGCAGTTTCAAGTAAGGAAACTGAGGAAAATTAGATTACAAAAGAGAGTTAAAAATGAGTGAAAGGTAGACAGCAAGGAAGGATCAACTATTTTTGCCAAGATATTTTGTACTAAAGGGAAACCAGTGACATTTGATTTGGGGGGAGCAAAGTAAATATAAAAATTTTATTTAAAAAAAAAAAGGGAAGCCAAGAAAGAGGACATAGGAGTGAAATCAGCTCTCCAGTATTTCATATTTTTAAGTATAATGGAATCTGAGAAATCTTTCTAGACTAAGGGAAATGATTCAGAAAAGGAAAAAGAGAGAAAGTAATTAAGTAGTATATTAGTCTGCTGTCTAGGAAATTGTCTCTACCATTTTTTTCCTCAAGAGTCAAAAATGTTATTCTCTTCCTCTCTCCATTACTTAAATTTCATAGCTGCTGTAACATAGTTTTTGTGGTCAGATAGAGGGTAAATGTATCTTTCACACATTGGTATTCACACTCATATTTTAACTCAAAACAAAGATGAAGAGATTATCTAAGTGTCTTTGCTACAAGAATGGATTGAAGATTGTCACCAATCTTCAGTATAGCTTTCTAGTCCTACTTCACATTGCTTAATAATAACTCAAGGAAATTTGAATATGAATGGATTTCATGATGAGATGATTAGGGAATTATTGTGAGTTTGTTATTTGTAATCAATGTATTATAGTATGAGGGAAAATATCCTCACTTTTTAGGGAGACATACTGAATTATTTAAGGGTGAAATGTGATTATAAAATGCTCGAGCAAAAGTGGACATAAAAAATAGATGACTCTGGCAAACTAAGTTGTTAAATCTAGGTAAAAGGTATATGGGTGTTCATTACCCGAATTTTCCATGTGTTTGGGAATTATTGTAATAAAAAGGAAAAAATTGACTCAGCACAACCACCAGTGGCAAAATAAATTGTATAGTTGAACTCTTATATGGCATTTTTATCAAAACCACTCTGCCTCCATCCTTGAATCCTATTTACAGTCTTAATTAATTTTTCTAGGGGTGAAAGTTCATCTTTCACTGGGTCGTTTTGTTCCAGTGTTAAATGTTTGTGGCAACAACACAGTGAAGGGTGAATTCAGGAAGAAATGATGTTGTTTTCACCATGTGGTAGAAGCTTCCAGCTCATGGCTTCTTATGGAAACCTGATTGCTCCCAGCTGTGGCTGGTTTCTAGCGACTGACCCAGTTGATGGTAGTGATTTAATTATTAAAGGGGGGTAAAGTTTGGATAGGTGTATGTAAAACTTGGAAATAAAGGAACTTTTAAAAAAATTATTTTCTTAAAATAAGAGCTTTATGAGAGATATGGAAAGGGAGAATATGAGCAAATACATTGCAGAATTATTTGGTGTCATACTATGTGGCTTTTCTAGATTGCTCTATAAATGCTAGTAAAGCTCTAAAAATTTTAGAGTCCTTTGATTGCTATTTTCACATTTCAGCCTGTTTACTCAGAATCCTTGCAAATTATTTACTGAATCTACAAACAGAAAGTATAGTATTAAAAAAAAACCCACAAAAATTGTAGCACAAAACAGGGATGGGGTTCAAAACTCCTAGGCTACTGTTTTCCATTTCTTTATACTTACATTTAGGTACTCAGTGGAAAGTTGGTTACTTGAAAGGGCTAACGCCAGTTCAAATATAATTTAACCTATGAGATAATATGATTAACATCAGGTGGAAAGTTTAAACAAGCTGCCTGTGACCACACTGTTAATGGAGTGTTTATAGCATGGGTGGGAAAGTGCTTGTCTCACTTCATAATTTGATTTCCATATTGGATTTGTACCTCTAAGAAGTAGTGTGACCTTTTAAAAGGTTCTTTTTTAGGAATTTCTTTGAGCTTTTTCTATTTGTGGAAAACAGACTTCATGGGTTCCAAAACTGATTGCAGTGCTAGCAAAACTTCCTGAATTGAAGTCACTCTGCTCCATTTCTTAGGCTTGGAATCACTTGCCTTTGTGAGTCACTATCCAGGGAAGTCTTGTGCTGGCTTTCTGTTAACCCTGACCCATTTCTGTAGTTGTTGAGTGTACTGCAACAGGAAAACAACAAAACTATGTGTACCATGTGAACTTTTCTGATATCTGGAGCAAGAGGGTAGATGATTCAGACGTGTCTGTGTTGATTTTTGGTGAGGTATACATTACACAGGGCCTCCAACATGTTAGAACTGGTTTACAGAACACCGTAGGGTTTGTCCCTAATAGTGAGTCAAGCCAATGCGTGAGTGTGAGACAAGCAAAATAAACACAGAGCTTTTATTTTTTAGATGTTAAAAATCATTGTAGGTAAACCAAATGCAGTAGACACATAGACATGAGAAAGATTCCGTTTTTCCATTCATGCCTTCTACATTCCATACGTTTCTCAGTGGCAATTACATTTTTTCTTATAGACCTTCATAACATTTTATAGTCCCAACTCTTTTCCTTTAATAAAACTGGTCCCCTCGTGTGGGAGTCCCAGTTCTCTGTCCACCTAGGGTCCTTTCCTCCTGACCCACAGAGTAATTATGCAGCGAGTCTTGTTGATCCTCTTTCCACACAATTCCTATCAAAACTGCTCCTCCTTTCCAGCCTACAGTGACTGTGTCTCCCTTGCTCTAAAGAGCAAGGTGCCTCCCTTTCCTCCTCCAATCAGTCATCTATGTTACTGTCAGATTATTATTTTTTTCAAGTACAGCTCTGTTATTTTACCAGCTAGCCAGGAGTTTTCAGAGATGTTTCCCACGTGAGTATAAACTCTGGTCTAACGCTGGGCCTTTTTGAGGTCTGGTGTTCCTTTGACTACAAGCATCATCCTCCAGCAGACAACCCAGCAGGCACTCGCCACACCAGGTTGTTGGTTGTTGCTCAGGTAGGCTTTGCCCTGCCTTGTTCCCGCCTGTGTCTACTGCTTGGAGGGCTCACACCTCATAGCCACCACCCAATAGAGAAATCCTGCCCCAACCACCACCACCTTCCTCAAGAAGAAGAATAGTGAAATCCGGCCTCATTTTTACCACCTTCTTCAAGAAGCTTTTCCTAATCTTTCTCACCAGGTAGATCCTTCCCCTTCAGAATCCCTGTAACAATTTGCACCCATGACTGTTTGTCTTGCTGTCACTCTTCCCACCACTAAAGGCTCCTTGAGGACAGTCCTATCTCATACAGCATCTAACACAGCCTTGAATAGTTTAAGGACTCAATAAATAATTTTAACCCAACTGAAATGGATTCTTCTTTAAAGGAGAAACATCAAAGATGCCTGAGAACTACCTGGAGAACAAGTCAGGTCTCTTAATTCCCTCCAGTCAGGCAGGTACAGCTCTGAGACATTGACCAGGAATGGTGATTGTGAGTGCTCTAACAGGTGCAAGCAAAATGCCATGGAATTGTTGAGTAGGTAGTTCTGACAGCTGTCTAGGAGTGGGAGGCCTTCAGGTGAACGAGGTTAAGGGCGTTCTAGATAAAGTACCAGGCACCATTCCTGAAGGTAACAAATGGCTCTGGGATAGAGGGGAAGGAGTATTTAGGAGATGAAGTTAGAAACCTAGTTTGGAGCAAATTCCAGACTGAATAATGGGAACTATAATCTCTGTGCCCTGGGGAGTTCCTCCCAGAATCTGCTTTTTAGAAAGATTAAGTGAAGGCAAGTGTCCTCCCTCCCCTGCAGGTGAGTTAAATTGGTCAGGAGTGGAGGATGAGAAGATGGTGAGAAATTGCAGGTAGAAGAACTAGTTAGGAAGTTTTTAAGATAGACCTGATAAAAGATAATGAACACCTGATCTAGGCTGGGAGGGAGATGTTCAAGAGGAAAAAAACGATACTTAGGTAAGAGGAATGAGGAAAAGGGAGCAAAAGATAATTCTGAGAAATTTTTAAAACTTTTTCCCCTAGCTTTTAAGGAAACATTTTTTAAAATTAACCTTCTTAGCACAGGCACTTGCTTTTGCACACTTTTTCTTACTCTGTTTATTATTAAAGGAAGAATTTTTCAGGTTCTTCCTAATAAGAAATAGAGTAAGAAAACAACAACAACAAAAAACCTCTTTGTTATCTTTTGGGACTCTCAGGGCTTTCTAGCAGAGATGTTTCCTATCTTGTCAGATATTGGACCTCTAGATGGCAAGAATGTCCTTTTAGTTCTTGGGCTTGCCAGATATGTAAGAGATAGGAGTTCCACAGAGAAGTGTATTTGGAGTAAAAGATTATGTGATGGAGAAAAATGGTGCACAAAAGTCTCAGGCTCTAAAAGATTGATACCATAAAGATTTGATAGTTTTACGTATATTTGGCAATTACTTGTTTTCTGCATCTAGTAGGAGGAATTCTTTGTTCTATATATAAAAATCTAGAAAAGTCTGATGAATGAAATATTCTGGCTGTATATTTTCAGTACTATGACAAATTCATCTGTGTGGGAGAATATGTGTTTGGTAGGTTGACTTGTTAGGATCAAAACATCTATTAAGGAATTTGTCACAGTTTTTAACTCTCTTACCTCCTTATTTAAGAAAAACAATTCTCAACAAAGTTGAAAGTTTGCACCCACTTCCCTACCCCAGCGCCATCTAGAGACATTTTTGGTGGTCACAATAGGAGGTTGGGAAGATAATGAAATCTGGTGGGCAGAAGCCAAGGAAGTTGCTGAACATCCTGCACTGCACAGGACAGCTTCTGTGACAAAGAATCACCCAGCCCAAAATGTCAGTGGTGCCAAGTTGGAAAACCCAGATATTTTATAATTGTTAATACCTTTATTATTGGTAATCAGTTTTATTTTCTGCTCCATTAGCAAAAACTCTCACTTTTTGGACAGACAGAGGCTACCAGACTTGATTTCTTGCTTTTTTTTTTTTTTTTTTTTTTTTAAATGAAGTCTCACTCTGTCGCCCAGGCTGGAGTGCAGTGGTGCAATTTTGGCTGTCTGCAACCTCCGCCTCCCTGGTTCAAGCAATTATCCCACCTCAGCCTCCCAAGTAGCTGGGATTACAGACACGTGCCACCACACCCAGCTAATTCTTGTATTTTTAGTAGAGATGGGGTTTTGCCATGTTGGCCAGGCTGGTCTTGAACTCCTGACTTCAGGTGATCCCCCTGCTTCGGCCTCCCAAAGTGCTAGGATTACAGGCGTGAGCCACTGCTCCCGGCCGAGACTTGATTTCTAAATCATAACCAGTCATTGCTCAGACTTATAGAAAAATGTTCCACAGATTATTAATCGACATTACTTTCTGTACACACTGTGTGAAACTGATAGCAACCATGCGTGTCATGGCGGAAAAATTCAGGGGGGAGCAATGGAGCAATCCCTTTAGTTGCAAAGCTTTGTTTATTTTCCAGAACTATCCTGGCCCTTCTTCCTTTATTTTAAAAAAGGGTGTATCTGTAAGTGCCTAGAATAAATAGATTTTTAAGGAATTAAAACAACATTACAAACCTGGTCTCCCTGTTTCATAGCAGTATGCATCTACATGACATGTGATTTTTAAATGGTGTTGAAATTAAAATTTTCACATGTATCTGTGTGAGGTCAAGATTTGGGACTCCCTAACTCAGCTTCCTCAGCCCCCCAAGTGTATTTTCCATTTCTCTTCTATCGCTAATTCTCTTCCATTCCCAACGATTTTTTTTTTTTTTAAAGACCAAGTCTCGTTCTGTCACCCAGGCTGGAGTACAGTGGTGTGATCTTGGCTCACTGCAACCTCTGTCTCCTGGGTTCAAGCGATTTTCCTTGCCTCAGCCTCCTGAGTAGCTGGGACTACAGGCGCACACCACCACGCCCAGCTAATTTTTGTATTTTAGTAGAGATGGGATTTCACCACATTGGTCAGGCTGGTCTTGAACTCCTGACCTCATGATCCACCCCGCCCCCCACCCCCCCCGGCCTCCCAAAGTGCTGGGATTACAGGCATGAGCCATCGTGCCTGGCCCCTTCCCAGCATTTTTAAGTTTGGGCAACGTCATAGAAAGTCCAAGTCTAGGAAGGAGAGACTCCATTGAAATATTGTTGCTGCAGGTCCGTGGATCTATTCAGATATTAACTGAATAATTGAAGATCTACTAGATGCTGAGCAGTGAGTGAAGAGGGGACAACTGGTGACGAGGCAGTGTGGCAGTTAAGACACATAATAGTAAGTACTCTGGGAGCACCTCTCATGCAGTATCTGGGCCAGGGCTTTTATACACTGCTGTTATCTCATTTAATATAGAAACTGTCCTTTTCTGGATGAGGAAAGCAGGCTTTGGGACCTTAGCCAAGGTCCTACCATCTACAGGTGGTGAAGTTGAGATTCAAACCCAGAGCCGCCCAGTTGGAGAGCTAAGCACTCAACGTACAGCCTGCCTCAGGAGGCCAGGTGGCAGAGTGATTAGGAACCTTTTGAATTTGATCTGTCTCCCGTAAGCAGTGAGCTCACTCCCATGATACAATATTTGTGTTTTAGAGATAACCCTTTGGCAGCAGATGGGAATGGCCTTTCGTGACTAGCAAATTGCATAAGTAAAGTGGAAATAGCAAATAGTACATTCTGTTGTTCCCTGAGTCTGCTGAGGAGACTCAGAGGCAGGCTGTATGAGTCAGGAAGAGAAGGATGGCACACTCTTGGATATGAGAAAGCATTTGTTTTTTCATCTTTCCTTTACCTTTAACCCTCTTGTCAGCCAGTATTATTAGGTAGTATTTTTAACCAGAGCTCTTCTATAGCAGGAAAAGCTCACAAGTGCCAGGGCTTTTTGTTCCGCCTCCCTCCCATTGGAGCATCATGCAGAAAGGTCTTCTATGTTTTCCCAAGGTGTAAATGGGCTTGGGAAAGAGCAGTTGCTTTTTGTTTTTTTTTTTTTTTTCGGAGACAGTCTGACTCTGTTGCCCAGGCTGGAATGCAGTGGTGTGATCTCAGTTCACTGCAACCTCCCCCTCCCAGGTTCAAGAGATTCTCGTGCCTCAGCCTCCCAAGTAGCTGGGATTACAGGCACCTGCCACCATGCTTGGTTAATTTTTGTATTTTTAATGGAGATGGGATTTCACCAGGTTGGCCTGGCTGGTCTCGAACTCCTGACTTCAAGTGATCCACCCGCCTTGGCCGCTCAAAGTGCTAAGATTATAGGCGTGAGCCACCATGCCCTGCCAAGCAGTTCTTTTATTTGATCAAAAACCCAATATGTAGATTGAAAGAACAGACAACTATAGAACTTAAAGAATGAAGAGATTTAAACTGAACTACAGAATTCCTGGCATTTATCACTTCACTTCACCTCAACCCTGCCCTCCTCCAAAGCGCCCGCGCGCACACACACACACACACACACACACACACACACACACACACACACAGTTATATAGTAAGTGATCTTTGGGATCTTGGCTGAGATCCCAAAGCCTGCTTTCCTCATCCAGTAAGTGAATAGTCTTTTGTGAGGTGGTAGAAGGAAAATCATTTGATGCATTTGACCTCTTGCAGGAACCATTAAGAAATAATCTTCTGGCCAGGCCCGGTGGCTCACGCCTGTAATCCCAGCATTTTGGGAGGCCAAGGTGGGTGGATCACGAGGTCAGGGGATCAAGACCAGCCTGGCTAACATGGTGAAACCCCATATCTACTAAAAATACAAAAAATTAGCCAGGTGTGGTGGCATGCGCCTGTAGTCCCAACTACTTGGGAGGCTGAGGCAGGAGAATTGCTCGAACCTGGGAGGCAGAGGTTGCAATGAGCTGAGATCGCGCCACTGCACTCCAGCCTGGGCGACAGAACGAGACTCCGTCTCAAAAAAAAGAAATAATCTTCTCTTTTTTATCCTGGTTCTGGTGAGTTTCCCATATGGCAGCCGTGGAGCATGTGGCCATTTAGAGGGAAGTGGTCCACAAGTGTTGCTAATGTCCAGTCACCTTACACCACTGTCTTCACGTTTGGCAGCTGGGTAGTGCCTCACTCGCCCAATAAGAATGCTAGACCTTGGATGACACAGGCTCTGAGATGTCCAGGTGGTAGGAACCACCTTGGAACACGTTCTCTGTGATGCCTGGCGGAGACTCAAGTTCATCCCCTTCTTCCTTATGGCTTAAAGCAACAACAATATAGTACTGATCCAATTAGAATCAGGAATAAGATAAGGGTTCACATTTTAATTTCTTCTCTTCTGTGGCCTAACACCTTGGGGTTTTCTTCCCAACTCAATACTCTGTAAATACTCTGCCAAAATGACAGTGTAAAGAGGAGGTTCATTGTCCTGGTCAACTCCTTAGTGGCCGTGTGGTCTTATATATGTTGCCTAACGTTTTTTGTGCCTCAGTTTCATTATTTCTAAAATTAGGATAATAATACTTATCTCATAGATATCTGTCATGAGGATTAAATAAATTTGTAACTAACATACTTTAGAAGAGTTATAGCTAACACACTGGCTTATACTAAACATCATGTAAGTGTCCTGCAGCTGTTGCTAGTGTTTTTGTTTTGTTTTGTTTTTTGTTTATTTATTTGTTTGTTGATTTGTTTTTTTATTTATTTTTGAGACAGTTTTGCTCTTGTTGCCCAGGCTGGAGTGCAATGGTGCAATCTCGGCTCATTGCAGCCTCCGCCTCCCGGGTTCAAGCGATTCTTCTGCCTCACCCTCCCAAGTAGCTGGGATTACAGGCATGTGCCACCACGCCTGGCTAATTTTTGCATTTTTAATAGAGATGGGGTTTTGCCATGTTGGTCAGGCTGGTCTCGAACTTCTGACCTCAGGTGATCCACCAGCCTCGGCCTCCCAAAGTGCTGGGATTACAGGCATGAGCCACCACGCCCAGTTGCTAGTGTTTTGTAGTTAATGTAATAAGACAAAAAAGGAAATTCAATTTTAAACATTGGAAAGGAAGAGAAAAATATTTACAGTTTATGTGATTGTCTCACCAGAAAATCCAAGTAAATCAACTGAACAAAAGATTATAACTAATATCAGATTTTAGTGACGAGATGTAAACGTCAATAATGTTTCAGATATACTTGAAATAACCAAGTGGAAAATGTAATTTTTACAAAGTAGTACAGAGCAGCATCCAAGACACATTCTTGTTTACCCTGTAAAGTCCTTGGCCTGATCTAAGTGGAGACAATTAAATCTTGAGACGTCAATGCATCACTTACTCAGTAAGACAAGTGATTCTTTACTGGCATGTAAAACCATGTTAAATGTTATATGTAAATTTGTTTATACATTTAAAAGTCTTTCTCTTACCTTTACATGGAGGATTTTATCAATAGGTTTCCTCTGGAAATTATTAATCCATACTATACTTTTAATTCAGCCATTTGCCTGAATATAATAAAGCATGATGATAAAATGTTCACAAGATTATTGCCCGGATTTTTTTTTTTACATTCAACTAAGTTCATGCAGACTTCTGTTAGAAATTAAGATGCCTAGAAATCCACTTGTGGCTGCACAGCAGTGATTATAGCAGTGGAGATTTGAGAAAAATAAGTGATATTCAACCCTTTTATGAAGACCGCTGCCCCAATCAAGTTTTTGCTCTGGGATGGCCATATGAAGTCAGTACTGAATCTTGAGCAAATCGATTATATTCCATATAAAGTAGATGTAGATGGGATTGAAGAGGCAGGCAGATCCTATTGTCTTTTATAATTTATTCAATATTGGAATCAATTCCAAATCACTGCTTCTTAACTTCCTTTGATTGCCTTTAATCAAATGATTTCCACTTTGGCTGCATATAGGACCAACAGAATATCTAGAATGACAATTCTGTATCTGTGTGAGACCTAAGTCAAGGAAAGGTCACTCCAGTTGGCAGTTTTTGAATGGATTGGTTTCTCAAGTGATTCTTGACTCACTAATCTCATGACAGCCAATAGATTTAGACTGGCATTGGACTCAGTTTAATTGGTCTGAATGAATAAGGTATGAAGGTCATCCAAACTCAAACGAACCTGTGAAGAAACCTTTTTGCTCTGGGATGGCCATATGAAGTCAGTATTGATGTAGCTTAGGTTTTACAGCCTCACCAATATTTAGAATTGCTCTTTTGGGTGTTCAGACTCCAGGGTCGCTATGGAGAGGTAGAATCGGTAGATTCTAGTGCTTGCCTCTACAGTTTACCAGCCTTATAACCTCAAAAACTGCCTTTATTGTTTCTAAAACTCAGTTCCTAAAATGTTTAAATAGTGATAATAATACCTAGGTTGCCAGATATTCGGAATATTAAATATATCTCAGACCATAGAAATTTCGTAAACTATAATTTACATACATATATTTAGTGTGTATATATAATTTATAATAATTGCAAAGCATTACTTTTAGTAGGACTAGAATTTCCTGAACCTTCATATTTAGCTTCTTCTTTAGGAGAAAGTAGATGTCTTTTGTGCTTGAAATAAATGGTATCTGATCTCTAAGCCTGTTGAAAGGGCCTTTTCTTCTAAATTTGATGGCACTCTATTGGAACCATGTCTGCACTTCAGTATATAAGATACCTTATACATATATCTGCTACTTTCCTGAAAGTTCTTGAATATAATATTTCATTTATCTTTGCATTCTTCACAGTACCTTTGTGGTATGCCAGGTACACGGTAGATACCTAAATGGTTGAACAGTTGAATACACAAACAGGTGTTAACTTACTATATGTCTTATTTCCCATGGAAAGTTCTTCTCAAGGCACATATTATACAGAACAGTGTTATTTTTAGAATCACTCAGGCATTTTCATTTTACCTTTCATCCTCTACTTTTCTGTCTTCCTTTGTTATCGTGTTATACATACTTCTCCAGAGGTACCTGTGTAAAACTAATGCAAATTTTAATTGCTTTTGTTGGAGCTATATTGTTTTGCTAAGAAAGGGTCTAGCATAAGGTCTAGCACACTTGATTACTATCAGTGCAGCTTAAGCTACAGGTAGAACATTCTCATAGGGGCACATGCTGACAAGGAGAGCAAAACTTGCAGAGAAGGTGGGGAGTTCAGTTGTTCATCCAAGAACATATAAACGTATATCTAGAAAACCAACCTGCAAATTAAAGGAAGCACTCTAATTATTGTCCAGGGCAAGAAGTGGAGTGAGATGTAATGACTGAACGCAATGTAGAAAGCTGGCTAGCTGCCCAGAAAAGGAATTTATGACTGTGTGACCTCATTTTGCCTTTAGCAGAGTGTCACTTTTCTAATATCTACTTGAATGTTCCTCATGCCTTTGAAGACCATGTGTGAAATATCTGATAGGAGATATGTTGTGTGAATGCTGGGTTCATGGTCTTTGGTGGAAGCTGAAACATTTCACATCCGAGAACTCAACCAAGTCATGTCTCAGTTTATGAAAGCTGCTGAATCACACATCAGATTTTAAGCATTCAAAGCTCCCAGGGAGTGTATTGGCAAAGTGAAATCTGTAAGAACATTGTCATCATTAATGAACACTATGTTGGCATGGTTTACTTAGGTGGATACCAGTGTGTTCATTTTGCCAGGAATTCTCATCTATTGTTTTATAAGACCTTAAAGACTGATTTATAAAATAATTCTGAGACTTCTGGTACATTGACACCATTGGCAGTAGATCTGGTCCACTCTAAAGCAGGTGATGGAAAATTACCAGGTTCATATCTCTCTGGCGGTTGAAAAGAAACCAGGATGGCACCTAGTGACCAACCTTAGAGATATCCTTATAGAAATGCTTGTGGGCGGCTGGAGCGGAGCATGTGTCAGCTGTCGCCTTTGGCATTGTATTCTTCCAGATGCCTTATTTTCAGGTGGTTTTGCTTGGGAAAGTATCCATGAAGACCTGGAAAATTTGTTTCACTATTTCTTGTCAGAGTCTTCTTAGGAAAATGTGAAGGAAGAGAAAATGTAGGTCTGGGTCTCTCTGATCAGAGCAGCTCCACTCGCATGCCCTAATCACCTCCCTAAGGCCCTACCCCCAAATACCTTCATGTTGGGCATTAGGGTTCAACATCTGAATTTTGTAGGGGATACAGACATTCATCAGCTTAGGGTAGTGGTAGAAAGAAATCCCTCCTCCCAAATGGGACTTAGTTTTTACTAAGTAGGTATTATTTCCTTTTATTAAAATATATTCAGAAAGAGTTGAGTTTTGACATTATAAACAAGAAGTAGGATTCTCTTCCAAGTTGATACAACAATTTTATGTGTCCCCTTTAGCTAGACTGTTTGACTATTTAGTTTTTCATTCTCCATTTAAAAATAAAAAATTAGATATTTATCTACTATATAAAGAGATACAACATGAATACTTGTAAATCTTCTATTGTTTACAGACTAGGGAGAGTGATTAATACAGAAAAGCATTGTCAAACATGTTCCTCTGATGTCTGCCAGGATAACTTCTATGGAAGAGAATTAGCTTAAGCAGTGAGAGTAGGAATGTGGGTGAGGCGGGAGAGAGCTGTAATCGAGATGAAGCTGCCTGGGAGCTGCTCTGCTCCTCTACTAAAAAATCTACACAACCCCCAGTTTTCTACAGGAACCACCCCATGTCCTGTTCTGTTTTCCGGAAGTATTTGTGGGCCACCTTCTCTGTATTACAATTCTGACCTCTTGCCCCATTTCCTGGTAGGGCAAACCCAAGCCAAATCCAGTGGCCATTCAGCTAACTAGGCCAGTTTAGCCAGTATTCCCAGTTTTGTTGACATTGCAACACCACACTAGAGAGCTTTGTGTGTTGCTCTTTTCCATGGTCATGAAGCAGAAGGCAGGTGTGGAAGCTCCACAGGGTGGGACTTGTCCCTTTCTGATGACTCACTGGGTGTCACTCTTTGGGTGTATATTGTCAGTACCCCCTTGCTAAAAGGTTGTTTGTTTTCAGAGGCATAGCTCCTAGGGCTCTACTCATAAGATTGTGTTTAAACCCCTGGAAACATTTCAAGTGGGTAATTTTTAACATCTAAAAATCAATAGGATTGGGTGTGTCTGTTTCCTAGGCTGACTGTGCTGTGTTGTTTCTCAGTAGTAAGAAGCAGATTAGTGTGCGTCACATAGAAGCATTGGGTTTTGATTTAGAAGAGAAACTACACTTCCTTTTAGGTGTATGTTTACAATTCTGATAACTTAAAGGGTGGCTTGGGGTAAATATTTAATTTGCCTTCTTAGTACATAATAATCTTGTTGACAGTAAATATTTTCTGTCTGCTTTGTGTGTGTACACATACACACAGAAGAATATATGAAAAGATCATCACCAAAATGTCAGTGTTGGTTATCTGTAGGTAGTGAAATTTCAATTAATTTAAAAAGCAAAGCAATCCGATCCACCTTTAACCCTGTTTCTACATTTAACAGCTACTCAATGAAATGTCTCCATTCCTTACCTCTTACCTCTCATTTACTTCATAACCTCTCATTTACTTCATAACTCATTGTGGTCTGACTCTCTTTCTCATAACTTTACTGAAATAGCTTTAACTAAGGTCCTCAATGCATCCTGCTTTCTATATCTAGTGGCATTTCCCAGCCCTGACCTAGCTGGGCCTTTCTACTGCATTTAAGATTATCACTTGTGCCATTTTCCTTGGCATTCTGGACCTCAGGGCTACCAAGACATCACCACATGCACCTAGTTTTCCTCTGAGCTCTCCTGCCCTCGGTGCCACCCTCCTTGTGGTACTTGGTATCATCCAGAGTACCATCCTGGGCCCACTCCTTTCCCTCCTGGGATATGTCTGTAGGAGTGTCCAGCTCCACTCTCTATAGCCAGACTTACTACCCACCCTTAATCCCACTCTTCTTCCTGTATCCTGTTTGGTGGTATCCCTACCCAAGCCAGAAATCTGGGAGCCCTCCCACGACTTCATCCCCCACATCCTGTGATTAAAAATCCCACTGATTCTATCTTCTCTGCATATCAAATGTGACTTAAGAAGACAACAACATACTTCTGCTGCCCTAATACAAACTCTTTTCATTTTTCACTTATAGGGGCCTTTTAACTGCCTCCAGTTTTGTTCCCCTAAAATTAGATAAACCATCAGAGTATTTAAATCCTCGGTATTTAAAAACACAGTATTTAAAATCTATCCACCTCTAACTTTTGGCATAAATTCTTTTGTGGATCTCCAGACCAACAAGAGAAAGGCCAAGCTCCCCAGTATGACCAAGTAGGTGCTCCCTGGCCTGGGTCCTGCCAGTGGCTCTCTGCAGTGTTCAGTGTAGTTCCCTGCACATGCCATGTCACCTCCACGTCCTTCCTTTGGTCATGCTGTCCTCTCCACCTGGAAGATTGGGCTTCATCACCCGTCATCTAGGAAGCCTCTTCTGATGCTTCCTTGGCATTCCTATAATCCTCTCTTTCTGACACTAAATGTCCACATTTGTCATTGTTGTTTCCCCCAGTAGATCCTGAGCTCTTCGAGGTCATCTACAATTTCTTTTGTATCTCTAGTGCCTGTCAGAGGATCTGGCTTGCAATAAGACAGTAAGTTTTCAGACCAATGATGTGTCTATGTAGTTTGGATTGCTGATAGGAAATAGGCTGTATATATATAAAGATTGTAAACAGCAGGTAGTTTGAACATAATCTTAACGTTAGTATTAGCATCTATTACTGATCGCCAATAGGCTGTATATATATAAAAATTGTAAACAGCAGGTAGTTTGAACATAATCTTAATGTTAGTATTAGCATCTATTACTGATCGCCAATCTAAGTGGTGAAGATGAAGAGAATTGTGCTCAATCAGTTTGGAGGGGCACACGCCATATTGAAACTTCTCTTGTTTTATGCACCACACTATGTTTACTTTATGTTGGAATTTCAAATACACAAGGAGCATGAGAAAATTGGGAACCAAAGGAATATGATATATAAATTAAAGAATATTGACTTAAATAATTTAGCAAAACATGATTGTAAATATTGTGTGTTATGCCTATGGTAAAAATTCACCTTACGCTTTTTTTTTTTTTTTTTGAAACAGAGTTTTGCTCTGTTGCCAGGCTGGAGTGCGGTGATCTCAGTTCACTGCAACCTCCACTTCCTGGGTTCAAGTGATTCTCCTTTCTCAGCCTCCCAGGTAGCTGGGACTACAGGTGTGCGCCACCACGTCCAGCTAATTTTTTTATTTTTAGTAGAGACGGGGTTTCACTATGTTGGCCAGGATGGTCTCGATCTGACCTTGTGTTCCGCCGGCCTCGGCCCCCCAAAGTGCTGGGATTACAGGCGTGAGCCACCGCACCCGGCCCACCTTACGCTTTTTAAAGCATGTTGATATGAATGATGTAACCGCATTTACTTTAAAATTGCCATGAAGTAGCCCGCACCCTGCCAGTCAGTGGAAACTTTTTGTAATTTTCTTCGTGTACAACCTGTTTAAGAGTCTTGTCTCAGGTTCTTTCTGGTGATGCGTGTAGCAGCTTACAGCTCTAAGTGAAGGGTCACCTTGTTCATCCCCCAAACCTCACAGTTGAAGAAAATGAAGGACACATACACAGTTAGCAGTGGACCCAGGACTAGAGGCCAGGCCTCTGTGGTCATCTGCGCATTACTGTCTACATAATATGGACAAATCCATATCCAGAGGGAAAATGGCAGAATGATGATGATTGTGTCAGAGTGATGCTAAGAAGCCTAAGGGTATAGGTGGTTCTTTCTTTATTGACAAGATGCCCTGTGATGTGGTTTAGGGAATCAGGAAGAAATTAAAGAAATGTGCTTGAATGATACCTGACCTTCCCTCCCACCAAAAAAAGAATCCTTGATGTTTTCAACAAAAGTATTGTTATTAGCAACCATAAAATTGTCATTCTTTTATTTTAAAAGATTCTGGGGGTTGATACTGATCAGTCTGTAAATCCCTCCCTCCATCCATCTCCATATATTCTATCTGTTTATAAATCCCTCCCTCCACCCATCTCCATGTATCATACATATAGATAAAACATAACCATATAAAATGTACACATTTTTAACCTCCAACAAATGACATTACCAACAAAGTCTGTCTGTGCTGAAATTAGAAGGAAAGAGTTTCAGATTGGTAAAGTGACAGGCTTCAGAAATACTCTCTGACTAATTCCTAACTATCTCTGCTCAAAAACGTATAAAAATTATTTGACATATGCCGACATGAAGTAATTGGAATCATTGTCCAAATTCATGATGTGAAAAGCCTTTCCGCACCTTTCAAAGCAGCATATGGGCCCTGAAATGTGAATACACACTTGGAATTAGCTTTGCCTTTCACTCACTCACTCTCAGGATGTCTCTGATAACATGCACTTGTGCCAGAATGTAGTCATCTGTAGAACTTATGTGTGGGGAAGGCAATATGATAAAAGTAGCATTTGTATGCCACGACAGTTCAGATCTTCACTAGAAACAGTGGTATAGGTGTACTGTTGAGATCAAATACAGACTAATTGTTCACCTTCTAAATGGACAATTATTATATTTTATATTGAATTCACAAAGCAGATTTTTTTTTGGCTCACTATATTTAAACTGAAGTGCTAGGCATTACCTTTTGTTGGTTTAATTTTACTGGTGTTATTACCAGGAAACTAAGTTTCTCAGATTTCTGATCAAAACACAGAGCCTGTTTGTGAAAAGCCACATTCATGTTGCGTGTGTGAGAGAGAGAAAGAAAGAAAATATGTGAAAGAATGAGCTAGAAAAGTATGTAGGGCAAGGTTGTAGAGGGTCTCTATAGATGCATTTCATTCATTAAAATTAATAATTTTGCCACTTGGTACTTAGCAGTAGGGTCTGTGGACACTTTAATATATAAAAGATAGACTTCCTGCCATCTAGAGGTTATAAATAAGGCAGTTGAGCAGTGATTCAGAGTAGAAAAAGGAGACTAGTGTTTTTACCAACTGAAGAAATCTTGAACCCTCTCTTTTAATTCTACTAGGCAGAATTTTGGCCTGATATTCCAGGAAAGTAGCTTGAGAGCTGTGACACTTTGCAAATGATGCAAAGATCCAGAGGTACATGGAAGTGCAATAAAGTTGTGAAATAATATGACTCAGTGCTGATCAATGGCTCCTCATTAGCAGCAGACATTCATTAAAACATAGGAAATTTCCCAGGCACTGATGTTACAAGGGAGAGGCTAGCAGGACATGGCCCTACACTCAAGGACAGAGAGACCTAAGCTTAGAGACAAGTTCCAGCATAAGTCAAAAGTGCCTGAATCTATTGAGGAATACCATGAGAACTGTAGGAGTGAGTTTTGGAGGGGAGGAGGGAACGAAAGCTGCCAGGGCTTCTTGGGAGATCAAGGCCTGGCTTGAGCTGGGCCTAAAAAGGCATCCTGGATTTAAGCATGTTAAAGGGAGGGGGAGATAAAAGAAAGGGGGGTAAGCACGGATAGGAATGTACTGGAGATGTTTAGAGAAAAGTGAATAGATGTATTTGCCTGAGGATCTTAGTTTAGGAGTGAACGTCTCAAACATTTCATGGTCTTCTTTGACTCTGCCTTGTCTCAGGAACGCCCTTCTCCCTGCCCATCCCTCAAGCTCCAGACTCAAAGCCACCTCCTATGTGAAATCTCACCTGGCTCCCGTAGGCAGACAGCCATCCCTCCTGTGAAGGTGCTTGGCTTCTCCTCCTTATCTCCCTGTTGCTTTGTATGGTCATCATGGTTCGTATGTGTCTCCCTGGCTTGCTTAGAATTGGGACTGAACCGTGTCTGCCATCCTTGTATCCCTAAAACCTAAGCGAGTGGCCAGTTTGGAAATGCCCAATCAATAAAACAAAATAAAAAATAAAATTTGGACTTTGGCAGTGAAGACCTGAGAGATTGCTCTTCTCGTATTTGTTTTGTAAGGGAGGTAACCTCAAAACTGGGTGAATGAAGTATGAGAAATTTCTCAAAGGAGCATATCTTCTATAAATCAATGGAGTTTGGATTTTTCCTAGATGCTATATAAATCTATAAAACTAAATATCTTAGGAGAAGAAGAGGCTTTGTCTGAGTCTTAGACTCAGTATATAATCTTAGTCTTAGACAAGTTTATTGCCTCTGTGAGGAGGAAAAGCAGGCTGTTACCTATATTAGCTGTTACTACATGCATATATATACCTGCCAACCAGTGTCCTTCAACCAGTCAGAAATCAGTATCCCATGTAAACCTTAAGCACTATTGCTATTAGGTAAGTGGTATTTCTTTTAAAATACTGTTTGAAAATAGTACTTGATCAGTTTTATAAATAGAGACTATTTTCTTGGGCTTTGCAGAAAATGAAAGGATTTATATAGATATATTTTAAAAGAGAGTACAGTGTCCTGTTTTTATGTTGTGTGGTTTTGTTGTTTGACATGAATAAATTTGAAGATCTGAAGTATAAGGTTAAATATTAAAGACATGAGCACTGCTAGAGGGCTGTGGGATTAGGAAAGAGCTTAGGAGAGATTATTCAGAGTACTTTTTGACAGGGTGTTCACTGTTAAGTGTGTGACCCTAATATCATGATACTTGGTTTTTCAAGCTTACATTTCACCTGTTGACAATAAAAGCTGTATTACTGAGGACCCAAATTCCACCCACTGGTTTTTCCAGAATATTTGCAGGACTTTCTCAACAACTAAGAGCTGCCAACCCAGTTTTGGTATGTAGACCTCCCAGCTAGCCGGAAACAAAACATAATTTAAATCACTCTTTATTGCATAACTGCCCACTGACTGTACCATTTAAGTTAATGATTTTAACCAGAGTTGATATATTATGATGTGATCATTAGACTGTCTTGTGAAAGTAGATGAGGAAAATAATTAAAAGTGCATTGTTGCAGTTTTCTAGTCTACCGGCCATTTTAGGTTTTTGAATGGATGGAACTCCATGAATAACAAAGTTTCTCTATTATATACAGGTTCCCTTTCCTATAAAAATATGTAAAATTTAGTATACTTTAAAGTCTCTTTCTTGCTTTCTCCTGGGGTAGCCCTTGCCCTAATTTTATTTATGAATTCATTCCTGCAGCAGATATTTGTTGAGGACTCTTCTATGCGAAGCCCTGGACTAGTCTTTGGGTCACAAGGAAATCATAAGCCTGCCTGAAAGGAGGCAGGCTTATGAGGTTTACTGTTAAGTGTTTACTGTTACAATGTAAGGTAATAAGTAGTATTATAGAGGGAAGCACTAGGTGCTATGGGACTGTTTAGAAAGGGGTTCCTAGCTGGTACTAGGTAGAGTTGGGGGAACTAAAAGGTGATGTTCTGCTGGGTCCTAGGGTGTGTTAGGTGGGCAGGGTGGAGTGAGGGGAGGAGACAAGTGTGGCAGGCAGGGAGAGGTAGCAGTATATTTCAATGAAATAAAATTACTCATTTGAAACTACTGGTGCTAACAGTTTGAAGAAAGAAAATGGAGAGATGGAACTGAACTGATAAACAGGAATCAGATCTGGAGGATCTTTTATGATTTACTAAGAACTTTAAACAATATTTAAAGGTGTTCTGGAAATGCACCTGCACTTCTATAAATCCTCCCCTAGCCATGGAATTGCCTCATTTAACTTTTACTTATGAAATGTATTACCTCCAGAAGTGTAACTCATAATGAAAAGGTTTCATACTACTTTGTGCATTACTTTAATGGGGTTGCTTTCCTTCTCAGATGAGCCTGAGGGAGTTAGGATTAGTACCCAGAGTGCCTTTTGATGAAGTGCTGGTGGCAGAGTTGGAAGATGCGAAAAAGTAGTGGGAGTGTGAAGCAGGGCAAATCCTAAAATGAGACTAGGGTGGGGTGCAACAGGCCAGTGGGAGTGGGAACAAGTCAGAAAGTACATTGTCACCATCCATGGAGTTTTGGCCAACCCTTCCTCCTCTTTTCTACTTCCCATTTCCTCATTGTGGTATAGAAAGGTTATTTACCTATGGTATCCATAGTTTTGTACTACATGTGAGATATTTGGGTCCTTAAGTATTGGATTTATAGGAAATCTCATTGATATGTATGCATAGTGAACAGATTATTTGAAATCAAAATAATCTCTTCAGTTGCTTTAGTAGACTTGGGTTTGGAATGATAATATTTCACGATATGAAGAGCTAGTATTTTTTGTTCTGTTGAATAAAATATCATTGCCAGAATAGAACATCTGACATTGATAAATAGTGGAATATTGGAATGATATTTATTGTTTCCCAACAAAAATTAAATTAGTTCCACATATGTAAAGGTTCTGGTTATATTTTAAATTATTGTTCTGAACCAGTGTTCTTTGTGAAGCCTAGGAGTAAAGACAATTCCATCTTACAGCCCTCCGCTCATTTAAAAAAATTCCTTGTCACCATAGTGTTAGCAGGAAAAAAAAAATTCTGTAGATGGCTAAGGGCACAGGTTTTGTACAATCTTGGGTGTGAGTTTTTGCTTTGCCACTCACCACTCTGTGATTTACACTCTGAAGATCAGTTTCTTTCTCATTTTGTTTTAGAAGTAATATATCGAGAAGTCTGGAGAAATAATACACATAAAGTGTTTGATTTGTGTGTGTGTGTGTGTGTGTGTGTGTGTCTGTGCTCTTATATGTGCCTCGCACATGGTACATTCTCGTATTTAAAAACTTTGATTTGATTATCTTTGTTCATCTCTGGTGTACTTTTTCCACATTTTTCTGCTTCTGTGTTAACGTGTCTTGTGTTCATAAAGAATTTTTCTGTACATCAATGCTACAGGCTAGATTAGAGAATTTTATAAGTATATTTTACCAACCTTAATTTGTTCACTAGAAATATGTTAACACTGGCACATCAGACTTTTTTTAAAAATTTAATTTAATTTTAAGTTCTGGGATACATGTGCAGGCTGTGCAGGTTTGTTACATAGGTAAATGTGTGCTGTGCACAACAGACTTTTATAAAATCAATAAATATAGTTCTTGCTTTTAGATTTTGCTTGTCTACCATACTTATTGTTTCTGTGTTACATGCTCTGTGTGCATGCACGCACTTGCACGTGCATGTGTGTGTGTGCATGTGTGTACGTGTGGGTAGGGGCGGAGCGGTGAAGACAGGGGTAAATACTTTTGGAGGTAAGATATTAAAATTATAACCTTGGCCGGGTGTAGTGGCTCATGCCTGTAATCTCAGCACTTTGGGAGGCTGAGGCAAGCAGATCACTTGAGGCCAGGAGTTCAAGACCAGCCTGGCCAACATGGTCAAACCCCATCTGTACTAAAAATACAAAAATTAGCTGGGCGTGGTGGTGGGTTCCTGTAATCCCAGCTACTGAGGAGGCTGAGGCAGGAGAATCGCATGAATCTGGGAGGTGGAGGTTGCAGTGAGCTGAGATCGCACCACTGCACTCCAGCCTGGGCGACAGAGTGAGGCTGTGTCTCACAAAAAAAAAAAAAAAAAAAAAACATATATATATATATATATATATATATATATATGTATATATGTATTTATGTATTTGTGTATGTATATGTATTTATAATTATACATTTGTATGTGTATATATATTTTTTTATGTGTGTGTGTGTGTATAACCTTGACCAAAATATGATGAAAGATAACCTTTGCCAAAATAAGCCTTAAAGTCAGCTGTGGCAAGGTTTTCTCCTGTGACATTTCAAAAAGTTGTAGGAAGATTACCTTGAGCCTCTTCAAAATAACCTTTCCTTTTACATGTTGATGACTGAAAATCATAAGCTGTAAGGCTTTGTCTCAAAAAGTTCACAGTGTTCCAGTGTTCCTGTAACAGGGAGAAAGGGGATTGATTTAACTCATTAAACGTTTTCTAATCTAACATTTGCTTTTGAAAATTTGCAGAATTTTCAGATCTTTTACTAAAACCTGATTTAGTTAGGGGTGAAGACAGAGACCTAAGCCTTCAGTGCCCGGTTCAAAAAGGATTTTTCACCAAGATTCAAAAATCTTATTGAATCAGGGAAATGCAAAAGAAATTGTATCTATTTTAGTTTTACCTACTATAAATAATTTATAGATATCATCAAGAATTTAAGCAGGATAGTTAACTATACAATTATGACAGCATATTTATTTTATTAAAAAACAGTGTTAAAAGTAATGTCCAAGGTAACATTTACATTTGCAAAGGAATGGAACCATGGACTACAATTACAATTAATGGCTAGGCAGTTGTTTTTAATTTGCTTAAAATAATTCATGTTTTAAAGGTGTACTGTGTTCTTAAGTAAGATTTTTTTTTTTTTGCCTTGAGACAGAAAAATATTTTTTTCTCATAAGAAACATTGGTATACTTCTGTAACATTCGCTAGGGAAACTTTGGTATATCCAGTTTTTCAGGAATATTTGTTTCAGGCCCATCAATTTGGATTCAAAACTAAACCCCTTATATAACTTATTGCCATGGCTGAATACTTACAAGCTACAATTTTAGTTTACCCCAATTTAAGCAAACTTGATGAATGAATTCGGATATAAAGGTATATAAATTAAATTATATACTTGACATATTTGCCATAGGATTCCTTGGAAGAGCAGCCTTTGCTAGTTGGTATAAAATGATTCAACGTAGATGCAAATTTACAGTTTTGCAAAGAAGTACACAAATGAGTAAGCACATAATTAGTGGGATACTACTGTTTTTCAAATGCAAACATGGCTGATAAACATCTCTCCTTTCCTCATTAGTATCCACGTCTTGTTATGATAGTTACAATATCTTGAAATTTGCTGTATTGCAACTGAAACTGGAAGGGCAGGTTGAAGCATAAGTGGATGGTTAGGTGATCTCTGATGTCTTGCAAAATATTAGGGGTTTTATCCCAGTAAACACCAGCTTAGTCATCATTTGGTTAAACCATATAAATTTATCTTTTAGTCATTTCATAATTGAGGTTTTCATGGTTCCCAGGAACTTCTCTCTCTTTTCTGTAATTTGCCTTTAAAACTGATATATAGAAAACAAAATCACACATTGCAGTTGTTTATTATTGACCGGCTACATATATTTAACAACCGAAGGAAAATATGTAATTTCAAATATTATTTGTAGTTTAAAGTGCATCTAATTTAGGAATACAGTAGGAATTAGATCATTAACCCACAAAAAGTCTCATAAAGGTCTTTACAAAAGACAAGGAAAGGTATTATTCTAGAAAGTGACTTGTTCCAGAGAGATACATCATTTGGGTACCATAAAGATAAATGTACATGAATGGAAAGAAACTGTGAATCGTGAAGACTGATGAGAAAGATGAGTGAACAGGAGTCTCCCCTGGAATCAGAATCCTTGGAGCTAGAACATCTGGTATGGGAGATGGTGAAGAGCATAGCAGTGCGGGCCACAAATTGGGGATTTCCATGTCTCATCATTGTTCCTCTGTGGCTTCCCATCCTTCTTGCCAGGCCAAGCATGATAGTTTTTAGTTGCTATTGGAGGTGGCAGAAATGGTTTATAAACTTTGATTTTTGTAACATTGCTTGAAAAGAGTCATTTTTCAAGTGTAATTCATACACTTAAAATGGAAATACACACTCATGTAAAGATATGTACTGTATTCATCATTTAAATTTTTAACCTGGTACATATGTCTCCAAAAAAAGGATTGAATGAATGGATTCAAAGGAGAGAAATTCCATTCTATCATTCTACCTGTCAGTTTAACCCTCTTGATGTTGATTTAATGTAAGGTAAACATCGTACATTTTATAAACTCTATGAGGAAATAGAAACAGTTTACAAATTTTTCTAAAATAATTGGCTTAAACAGGATATTGGGAAATTATAAAATACTGATGTCAAAATCTTTCCTAAAATGTCTTAATTTCATTTCCTGTTAGTTTTGCAGAGGGAGGAATGTCAAATTTCCAAACACTTTTGTTTGAAACTAATTCTCTGTGTAAAATCAAAACTTGAAGAGAGTTCGCCTCTGCACCAGATGAATTTGTGGTTAATTATATTATTAAATTGTTAATAAGATCCAGTTGTTCAGAAGTAATATATTCTTAATTTCATTGAGGCAAAACAAATATCCAAAAATATTTTCATTTAATTTTGGATTTTGTTTTATTTTGTTTTTTTGCAACAGATTTGCCTTCCTCACCATACTTGCCTGGCTCTAACATTAGAAAATAGTCAAGATCTTTAAAAGGCTCATGCCAACAAAAAGTGAATGAGGAAGTAGGCCAGGTGTGTGTGGTTATGGTGGGATCAGAAGTAAGGAGCCAATCCAAGATTTCAGGATTATCTGTAGGTGATCCCCAAGGCAGATAATCTACTTATGAACTGTGTGAGGCAATGTAGGCAACGACAGTGATGTCAGGGAAGAAAGAAAAACCACCTACCTGCCTAAGACCTGACAAAACTGTGCTTCGTTTTCATGTGGTTGCATGGCAAAATCTAACAATGAGATAAAAAATCAAGTCTATCATTTTTGAGAATTTTATTATTTCTAAAAAGAGTATTAAGTAGGAGAATATTTTGACATAACTGGAAATGTTGCATCATGAAGAGTGTTTTTAACGTCTGAGGCAAAGGGAGAATGCTGATTAAATGTGCAACTTGAGCACAGGTGTTTAATACTTGTTCTCTCCCAAAACAAAGGAACATGAAGTGAAGAACAAATAGGGTACAGACTCTTAACAGACAGGAGAGTGAGATCGCAGAAAATGAAAGATATTAACAAATCTCTGGAATAAGTTATGGAAATTTCAAACCTAATTTAATCAGTTTTCAACAGAATGGAGCTATAGTGAGGATGACATGCCAGTATTAAAAACAAGAGTCCTGTGAAAGTCAAAACCCCCAAAGCCACTTGGTTTTGGGGTGTTTGCTGGCCAGGCATAACTCCTATAGGCAGGAGGATTCCTTTTTGGAAAAATGCTCCCCACCCCCCCAAAAAAGATCTGTAGATACAACATTTGAGGGTCCTCTAATAAACCAGTAGGCCAGTAGGCTTCCCAGGTGACCACGTTGCAGTGAAATTAACCAGTCAACAAGCCCCTTTCATGCACCTGAAACTTCCATCTGAATTTTAGTGTTTTCCTCTTAAATGAGAACTGGCAACCAAGCGGCCTCAGACTTGTGAGGAATGTCCATGATATGACAGTTAGGAACAAACCACAAACCAGAAAAGAAGAATCTTGGAAGAAATACCATATAGGAACCAGAAAAAAAGTTCCTTAATTGCTTGAAAGGGATCAGAGAATAGAGGATATATATATATATTTTTTAAACAGGATTTTTTTTTTCTTTAAGAAGCAGCTGGAAACTAAAAATTGCAGAAATAAATCCAGAATGATTGGATGGCTGAAGGGGAGGAACTTTCCCAGAAAGTCAAAATTTTCAAAAGGAGAAAAGGTAAGATAGGAAAGGAAGAAAACAAATTAGAGAATGTCTCCATGAGGATCAACATTTAAGTAATAGATGTCCCAGAAAAGGAATAGAGGCGATCATTTTGTACATTGTATAGATAGAGGTGATTCTTTTTATTTATTCAATTTTTTATTTATTTATTTATTTATTTATATTTAAGAGACAGGTTCTTACTTGGTTGCCCAGGCTGGAGTGTGGTGGTGCAATCACAGCTCACTGCAGCCTCAAACTGCTGGGCTCCAGCCATCCTCTGTCCTCAGCCTCCCATGTAACTGGGACTACAGGCATGTACCACCACATCCAGCTAATTTTTTAAAAAAACTTTTTGTAGAGACAAACTCTTGCTAAGTTGCACAGGCTGGTCTCAGTTGTTCCTCTCGCCTCAGCCCCCCAAAGTGCTAGCAAGGATCTTTTTTTTTATAAAAGAGAAAACTGATAGATCACATGATGTCCTCAACCATATTGAGACAGGTTTTATGCTTTGGATTAACAAGAATTTGTGATAGTTACGTTAAAAACAAAGCAACTGTAAAAGTAAGGCAGTTACTCACCCCAGGCTGGGGAGTGGGGGCATTGCACAGGAAAGGATATATAATCCATTTGGCTCCACTGTGAACTGTATAGTATAAACTGAATTTTTATTATAATCCCCAAACTGTGATAGGCCAAATTGGGAGGATCGGGGAGGGAGAATGTGGAGTGTGAGTATATGCGGTGTGATAAGCTTCCTACATAATGGAAAATCAGTAGATAAGATATACAAGTCATTCATATTTAGAAACATGGAGACAAGTATCAACAGAAACTGCTCCAAGAGTTAGAAATACACACCTCTAGGGAGAAGGAATCAGGTGGGAGGTATGGGGCATGGGCTGCTGGTTTTCTTTTATTAATTATAAGCCTTTTAATACCATCTGATTATTAAAACCATGGGCATATTTTAGTTTGACTTAAAACTAAAGCAGGCAGCATAGTTTTTTGCTTTTTTCAAAACCTACCACATACAGTTTTGAAATGGCACACAAATATCACAGTATGAGAGTTGTAAACTGCACAGCTGAGGATGGCTGACGGGTTCTTCCAGTGAGGTGTGGGTTCACAGGTGAGCATCCCGTGCAGTGAACAGGACCCAGCACTTGGTTTAATACTCTGCTGTCGCCGTTTTGAAATTCTTAATAATTTAGGCACAAGAGAGAACCCACGTTTTCGTTTTGCACAGAACCCTGCAAATTATGTAGCCAGGCCTGCTTCTAATAGATACATTGTTTGGATTCTAGCCTGAGTGAGGTTGCTACTACTTCCTTTGACCCTGACCTCCTAGTGGCCTGCTGTTTTCACCACTCACATATTGATAAGGCCACCAGGATTGACGTAAACCGACATTCCCTCACGAGGGAATTTGGAAGTCATGTATTGCATGATACCGTAGAAAGTTGTTACGGTGGCTTCTATGGGTTAATTCTGTGTCCTTTTAAGGAAGACATTTGGTGTGGGAAAAGGTTATTTTTAATTCTAATTAATTATGTACTGAGGGAAATGGTTTTCACAGGAAAGAATATCAATACTTCACAACAGAGAAGTGGAGAGCTAAGCTTGCAGCACCCTTTTGGGGGAGAGGAAGAAGCTTAGATCGTTGTCCAGATTGGGAAGTCTGTGGTGGCCCTGAGGTGTGAGGAGACCCCGGTGAATGAGTACACAGAGAGAACTAAAATCTGGCCCCTTTTGACAACCTGAAGCCCTCACTTGACCTCCTGTAATGAGCTATGTCCCCTGCAGGCAGTTCCCTTCCCCTGCAGGGGGCATATCTCATTGGTCACTGCATGGCAGACTGGGAGTCCCACCTGTGAGATGGGGAAGGCGTCATGGGAAGCACACAAGCCGGGTGTGCTCTCCGAAAGGGTCCCCTGTGAAAGCCTCCGTGTGGGGTGGGATGTCATTGAAGCTTACTCGGGGTGGGGGGTGGGCTCAGCTGAGTAAGTCACATAGAGAGAGGGAGGGGATAGACGGTGCTAACTAAGGGGTAATAGCTTGTCACCCTGAAGTGAGGAGGCAGGTTTTCTTGTTTGGTTAGTAAAGTAATTTTAAAGGCAGTTACCAAAGAGGAACCTTAGAAATATCTAGAGTAACAATAGTGTATGAGTAGTCATTGCACAGCCCCCTGCCCACATGATGTAATAGAATTCAAGGCACCACTAATTCGGGTATGTGTGTTCTGCTGTTTTTCTTAAGTTATTTATAGTTATAACTTATTTATTCATTACAATTATTTATAATTGCAGTGTTCCAGAGATAGCTGTATAGCTATGTTTAGTATAAGGAAGCATTTGTCTTAGATAAAATTTTTTCTTTTCCTGTTTTGCATTTTGGATAAAACAGTTTTATAAAGGATGAAAGTTTATAAAGGATAAAACAGTTTTATAAAGGATGAAAGCTCCAATGCAAGTAACATTAACTCAGGCATGCCTGGGAGTGCTAGGAAGAGCTGATGCAACAATCAGAGCCTTCCTTCTTCCCAGTCTGTAATGGCTTTTGCTATCCCTTCGGGTCCTGTGCCCATCACTGTGCTAGACAGCAGAGATAGAGGGCTGAACACAAATCAAGTGTCTCTGTCATTGGAGAGCTCACGGTCCAGAGAGAGTGAGAGGCTAAGCACTTGCACATTGAGATAAAGGTAGCACGTGAAAAGTTCCAGGTGTCTTGAGAGTTTAAAAGGAGAAGCTACTTGAGGTTGAGTTCAGGCAAACCTTTTTTAAAAAATTTATTTATTTTTAATTGAGACAGGGTCTCGCTGTGTTGCCCATGCTGGTCTTGAACTCCTGGGCTCAAGTGATCCTCCTGCTTCGGCCTCCCAGAGTGTTGGGATTACAGGCATGAACCGCTGTGCCTGGCCAAGGCAAACCTTTTTGCGGAATGACTTGTAAGCCGAAACCTGAGTAACAAGTAAGGAGGTAGTATTGCAAGTACAGGGAACGGAGTGTGTGAAGGATATGAAACAAGAACAAGTTCTTTGTACGAAAGGAATCCAGAGAGCCTCTGTGTCCCTACTCTCAGAAAGGAAGGGGCAGAGTAGCACGGGATTGTGCTACGAAGGCTGTGGGGCCAGAGAAGCTAGGACCAAAACCTCCATTAGGGATTTTCATTTTAAAATTATACATACAATGGAAAGCCATTGATTGCCATGGTTGGGGGTGGAGGGTGGCGGTTAAACAGCAGAACTTGAAGTCCTGGATCTTCAAATATCATCATAATGATGGTCCTCCTAGGAGACAGTTTTCACACTTACTGAAGGTTTTTGGATTTGTCAGATTAAGGTGGATTTGAATCCCATTTCTCTTGTTCATTGTGTGGCCTGGGACAAATGACTTAATTCCACTGAGTCTCAGATTTCTACCTTGTAAAATTGGTGTGATAATACCATATGTCATAGGGGAGATTGAAGGATATATGATATATAAGACACTTGTACAGTATCTGACATCTAATAAGTTTTCAATATATGATAGTGATGGGAGTAGTAGTTGTTGAGTTTGTTATTATTATGTATTTAGGACATTAAACAGGTGTTAATGGACAGAGGAGCAGAATAATAAATAATTAACCTATTGGGTCATTAAATAGGAGAGGGATATATCAAAGAATTTGTTCTAAGAATCAAAGAGAGGAGCTAAAAAATGATATTTGTTTGTCTTTGTGATAGCGAAAGTCAAAAAGCATAGCAGTAAAATGTGAATAATTTCACTCCTTTTCCTCCTGGGTGTTTTTACTTTGTGGAGTTGTATGTAAGAGTTCAGAAAACAAACATGGAGTGACTGGTCATTAGACATATTCAAATATTCCTGGTATATAATTATCAGTGCATTTTGAATTACTCATTTTCTCAAGGAAAAGTTTTTGGAGACTTTAACTTTTTTAGAAATGGGAAAAAAATGCTAACCTGACCTGCTTCATGGTGATTCATTCCTTTCTCATTTTGCTCCTTAAAACAAACCAAGAAGCCAGATGTTTAGTTGCCTAAGATGAAAGCTGTTTCCTTAGAAATCCTGAATGAAAGAAAAACTGCTTCTCTAGAATGGCAAAGTCCATTTAGGAGGTAATCGTGACCTGATTTAGGCAATAGAATGTGGTTGAAAAATGTTGCTCATAGCAACCAAGAACACTTGTAGATAAATTAGTTTTCTAAAATAAGCCTTCTCTAATAACTGTATATGGAATTTTCCTGTTCAACTGTACTGTGCATTCTTTTTTGTCCAATGATTGTATTGACCTAAATAGTTCGGTTTGGTGGGCTTATAACCTTTTGATTACATCCATTTGCTTAAAAATCTTCCATTTCTTTTATAGAATGTTTTTCACCTGTCAACATACTCTTGTTCTTTCTGTGAATTTATATAAAATGTAATGGTGTCAAGGTACTAGAAAAAAGTCCAAGTTCCCCCGTATTTATAAACAGCAGACTGAAATTGGTAATTTTTAATTGTCATTACTTAAAAAGATAAAAATGAAATAAACTTCTAGTATGTCTGATTTTTGTTTCACTCTTTTTAGTGATGAAACATTGAGCATAAAGCTCTGAAACATGAGTGTAAAATTAGTATTTTGACCACTTTTCTCTCTACTCTTGATTCCTTAAGTAAAATTTATGAATATCATAAATAGAAATCTAGATAAAATAGTCATGTGTAAAAATGCATCGACTCCAAATATGCAAAAAACCTTTCACAAAATAAAATTTTATTTATCCATAGATAGGGTTCTAGGCAGCATTACTTCATTATTCACCATAGGCCTCTTGCTTTGTGAGTTGTTTTTTAAATAGGAATTAGATGTAGATTTGTAAAATTTTGAAACTCCTAGATAGATGTGGAAAAAGAATACCATAATTAGACACAAGTTCTTCAATATCTATAATGATCACAAGACTTTAAAAAAATTTTTTTTCTTCCATCTTGATACCATAGTTTAGGCCTGACCAGCTACCCTACTTTCAAATTCTCAGCACATTCTTTGAAAAGATGGATTAAAATATTAGTTTCCATGCTATAGAGAAATGCCTGTGAAAAGTAATTTTTTCTTCGGCATAGGTACACAGCTGTTAATCTCTCCTCCTCACTCATTTCTAATTTTTATTCTTTTCATCACCTGTAGAGATAATTTTGTATATGGAATTTTCTGGAACAGAGTTCACTGACACAGTGGTCTCCATGGTAAATTTACCATCAGGCAAATACCGTCACTGCTTCTGACACTCCCTCTTCACTTATTTGCCTGTGTCTTCTGGTTTCTTACAAAACATTCATTTAAACAGTCAATAAAGAACAGAAACACTGGAGATCAGAGGACTGGAATTCCAGTGACTGCTCTGCTTCATGACCTCAGCCACACCGCTTTTCCTCCCCGGGCCATGTTTAGCCAGTGGAGGGAGTTGACCCCACTGTCTCTGCCGTCTCTTCTAGCCCATTCTGGATGATCAGAATATTCAATTTTGCTTTTGCGGAGAAGTTTTAGAGAGGGGGATTGTAGCTTGTTTCTCTCCTAGCTTCAATGTGTTGTTCAAATTTTAAATTTGTATCATAGATGAAAAAGAAACACTCATCTGGGAGTGCTGGTGGCATTTGGAGTTAATTTTGGACTCTTCTGATGAAAACTCCAGTTCTAACCATAGCCTATCTCCCCTTTCTCTTAACATGTATTCAGTCAAGTAACAAAGATTTATTGACCTATGTGCCAGACACTCTTTTTGGCACTGAAATCCAATATATTATATAATACAGTTGTCTTAAAGTTGGCAACTCTATCTTGAAAGTATGATGCGTTCATACTTTCAAACTAAGTTATTATTAATGTTTAGAAGTGTACACAAAAGCTATGAACTTCTTTCACATAATCCTTTCCTAATTTTGTTTTGCGTATGATATAAAATATAAATGAGGAACAGATAAACCACAACCTCTGGTACTAAAGTATTCTTTTATATTTGCTGCTACCTTGTAATGCTCATGAATTTGTCAGTTTAGATTTTCAAAATTATTTATGTATGTTATCTGTGGTTCCTTTGGTTTTACTAATACTCATCAATTCATTTCTTAACATATACCAATAGGGCATCTTTTATTTGTAATCATCTATTTCTAATTAATCAACTTGTTCAGAGATTTTATAATCTAAGGACAAAACCTTGTTTTCTTGACTTTGAGCATTTTAGTTCTCCCTTCTCTTCCTTTCCCTTCCTTCTCTTCTCCTTCTTCCTATTAAGTCTTCCCCAGATTTCTATCAATTCTAAATCATAAAGGCCCAGGTTCAACTTTCTAGTATTTCCATATACTTGTAGAACAGCATAGAATTATTTCATGAAACACCTTAGAATTCACCTGCCAGTGGTGGTATGATTGTAATGAAGTCAAAATGATTAGCCATTTTCTCCTTTTATGACTCATCTTTGTCTCCTTATTCTTCATCTGTTGGTAAACTTTAAGTTATTTTTAATGTACTTTTACCTAATGTAACTCAGAAGTCAAAGCCCATAGGTAAAGAAGGCCCTATTATAGTTAAAGCAAGAAATTCAATACTTTAGGCCAGTTACTTGAGGACTTATAAAAGTGTGACAAATTATTTTAACCCTTATAGTTGGGCTAAGGTTAAAAGCTGGCTGTACATTAACAAAATAGCTATTAGGTAAGTAAACAGTGGTCTGAGAGGCCAGCTAGACATTGAGTAGCTGCCTTGTTCAGATGGAAGTATTGTTGCTAAGAAATAAAAGTAGGATCGAGAACTTGGAGGCCATACTACTGTGTCCCCTATGCTCAGAAAACACATGGCCCACAATATGCCCTCAAAAGATATTTGTTGAAAAATATGTTTCTGACTTTGTTATCGTCTGATTAGAACTTTTGTACATTTCTTTATGTGTGGACATTTAAAAATATTAATGTAACAAAAATGGACTAAGGTCAGTGATAAAAGATATAGGTTCTCATTCTAAATAGAAAATCACATAACTTACTTATCTGTTAACGTCTGACTTATCTAAAAATTCAGTCTGCTAACCATGTAATCAGGGTATGGAAATTTGTAATTGAAAGATTGTATGAGTTGGCCTCTCATTAATAAAAAATTGACTCCTTTGTTGTTTATATTTTATGTCTGTTGTGTTATCTGTTTATGCCACTTCCATATTAGTACTAGTTCTAGAAGGGAGGCATTGAGAACTCCTCTGTCCCATGGCCACAGCTGGGGAGTTTCCTCTTCTACAGACTCTGAATCAGCCCAGAATTCTCTCCCCTCTAGCCCCATCCTCCTTAAACCCTTCTTCCATGGAGATTCTTTCCTTCTCTCATAATCACAGGTGTGGTCTTCACAGGTGTGATCACAGGTGTTCCCAGCTGTGATCTTCTTAATCTGGTCCTGAGGAAAGAAAAGGTAAATCAGAGAAATGAGGGAAAAGTCCTCACTGGCCTACCCTAAACCCCCTGTCCCCTCTTTCTGTTCCACTTTATCTCAATTCATTACCCTCATCCACCTCCTCCCAAGTTCCCGTTTCATTTGTCATCCCCAAGCCCTTGGCTCTGTCCCTCACCTCCCAAAACTGTGGCCCTCTTATAGGCTACTCTCCATCCCCTCTCATGGCATCCACACCCCACAAATCCCCAGGAGTGACTGTGAAAAGATTCTGAGCTTACAATGAAAGGAACAGGATTCCCTGCTCAGGCCAGCGAGGCAGGATGCTCTTGCCGCCCCAGGTGTCGCTGGCCACGGGATGCATTTTCCCCAGTGTTCTGAGTTACTCCTGGCCTTGTCTTAGTACTGTGTTTTAAATCCAGTTTTGTGGGCTGATCTGACAACTTAACCTCAAATTTTATTCTTGTTTCCCTGGGAAAATATTAAAATTTTGCAGAACTGACTAATAAATGAACTTTTGGAATACCATATGTTTGTAAATGGGTGGCTGCCTGTTTTCTGATAATGGTGTATCCTGTAGTGGCTCAGAATGCCTTTGTTTGGGTTTGGAGGTGAAGAGAAAGAAAGGATGTTTGGTTTGTTTTAACACTGAGAATTTTTGGCTCTAAAAGTACTTTGTAATCATTTTAATTTTTATTATTCTTTCATTTAAATTGGGACATTTGTACCAAAAATGTCTTTCAGATTCATGTAATTCCTTATATCTATCAACAGTTGTGTACCTATGCTGAAGAAAAAATTACTTTACACAGGCATTTCTCTATGGCATGGAAACTAATAATTCTTTTCAAAGAATATGCTGAGAATTTGAAAGTAGGGTAGCCGGTCAGGCCTAAACCTTGGTATCAAGTCATGCTGTGTAAAAGATGGCTTTTCACATAATTGTTTTAGTGATGTGTTCTGTCTGTGTAAGTAAAAAAAAAAAAAAGAGAGAGGGTATTGCTTGAGAGATATTTACTTTTCCATTTTTCTGTATATTTTTTAGAATATTTATTAACCAGGTTATCAGGACACTGTGTGTGTAGCATCATCCTAGAAGTAATTATCCACATACTTCTCTTGGTTAAACTTAACTACATGAAGTGTGTCCTCAGGAACTTAGCTGAACTGTGTGAAACCCATTCAGTTCACACAGGCCCTTGAATGTGCACTTTAAAGCTTTTCATGGAAAATGTCTGAACCTTTATTAATATATTGTTTATATCTGAATTAAGTTAGGGCCAAGAACTGTAATTATTTTTCTCCTGCTTGCATCAATAGTTTTACATAGGCCTTCTCTGCTGATAAATTTGAGTCAGATTAATGAGTAATAAATCTAAAGATAACCTTTTAAAACCATTGGAGAGCCAAGAAAGTGAACATATAATTATGATTTAAAAGGATATGTGACTAAGGCACTCAGATGTGTTTCATCTGGTGCCTGGGTGTTCATTTCTAGTTTTAACGCAATTGAATGAAAATTACTTCCTAATTCCATCAAAATAGCATCATTGGCTACTTTAGACTTTTTAGAGTTGATGTTAGGAAATACACCAGTACACCATACAAAATTAGAAATTGAGGAATCAGAAGGACCAGAAGTTCAACCAAAGGACTAAGAAATAGTAAGTTCCTAGAAAAATTCAAGTCAACTTTTTCTACATAACATTTTGCCAGTATTTGTACTCTTCCTAATTAAAAATGGGCATACCATTTAAAAACATACTGTATTTATCAAAAGTAGGAATTTGTCTAATAAATTGAAATTTTGTTTAAACATCATGCTTTACATTCCTGATATGCCATAAAACTTAATGGTGGACCAGAAATGTAAAAGCTTGACCAGTTGGGTTTCATGTATACTTTGAAACCAGAAGGCCATCACTTGGTTGTTTGTTTCTACAGTAGAAATGAAAACAATTTATTGTTTGCTAAATAATGGACACACTTTAAGAATTTTAAAGTGATTCGTAACCTTCAAGAGTTTACTTGGCATGTACAGCTGTTTTTAAAATTGCATTGAAATGCTGTTTTCAAATATCCTAGAGAGAAGGGGTCTTGTTTTTAGTCTGAAGCAATATCAGATCACATATATAGTCAGAAATATCATAAGTTTGAGTAGAAATGTTTATCCTTCCTTCTACCTAACTTAAATGCCTTTGGATCTCTATTTAATGTGTTGAGAGACCCTGACTCTATTTTTAAAGAAATTGAGGCAAGAGTATACTAATATTAGCCAAAAATCCTTCAGTTGGATACATTAAATAATTTTAAGAAACCAACAAAAAATCTAATCAGTGCATTGTAATAGTAGTTGTATTAAGGTTGAACTGTTAGAGGTGATTTATTTCTTATTTTCCAAACTATAAAGTGGTTATATTACTTTCATAAATAGACTTTTAAAAACATGTCTCCATGTGTATATATATTTAGAGAGGAGAGAGCCTCTGAATGACTCATTCTGGAAAAAAAGGGGGGCAGTTTTCAACTTTTCAAATAGCTTTCTTTTCTCTTCTTCCCATTTCTTCACTGAAAATTGCCAGTTACTGTATATAAAAAGTGTTCCTTTTCTTTTAACCATTTCTGCTTCCTGCCAAGGTGTAAATCAGAAAGCCCAAGTTTCTTTCTCCCACTTCATAAACAAGACTTCGTTCTGCTTCAGACACTTGGAGCCCTGCCAGAGTTGTCATGATGATGTCAGTTTACCAAGAATGTTCACATTTCTCATGCTGTGTTCCACATTCCCTGGACTCGAGCAAATGTCCTTTTAGAGCTCACTGAAGTTTCAGGATTGGATTTAAAAAGCATGCCTTGTTTTCAGTACTTGCCCTTCATGTGCTACCTTTTCAGAATCAGGGATCCATTTTTAACAGCTTGACAGTTTACAAGCCCACACGATACATTTTGTATTTGTCGATTAAATACAGAATGACCAAAAGTTTATCAGTTGGTGAAACCAGTCAGATTTGCTAGTTTAACAAATTGGAATTTTATTAATAGTATTCTCTCATTTAGCAAGTATTTATTTTATATCTATATTTATAATTTATGATGTTTCATTGATTTTTTAAATTTCCTTTTCACAAATAACAATGACATCTACCTATTTTGGGGGAAGTAATACCTCTGTGTAGGAGATGGAACTTATCAGATGAATTCTGATACCTTGTATTATTTCTTGATTCTTGGCTAGCTGATTGGAAACCACTATGATATACATCATTGTATCTAATTATTTAATAAATGATTTGAGCCTGTAAGCCATAAATATTAGAAAATCCAGACGGTTTTTGAAACTTATTTAGAGAGATGGCTATGATTGAAGGGAGTAGTTGAACTTTGTGTATACCTTGTCCTGGTAAATTTAATGGACATCTCATTTATACAGAAGTTCAGAGGGCCATGAAGAGTTCAGTCCTTCTAACATTTAAAATGTGTTGAAGCCCAATTTTATGGATTTTTGTAGAACAAAGGTTTAAAATAAAACCTGTTCTATTTTATATCTGCTGCATTTGATCTAGTTATCCCATGTAATTCAATACTGTGCAGAATTTTATTTCTGAAATGATCCTTGAAAATCATATAGTCTGACTATAATTTTACAGGTAAGTCTTGGATAACTGAATGATTCTGGATAGTTTTAACTACATGTTCAGAAAATTGGACTAAATAAGATAAATTCTGTGAAATATATTAGTCCTCAGAATTCTTTGTAAATGCCCAACAAATATGGATGTGTTTATATGGATTTATTATAGTAGTTGCACATTGATGACCTAATTAACCTAAGAAACAAAATATCAGTACATAATTATTTATATTATAAACATATTTGATTTTTTAATATCCTCTCAACTTGAGTTGGCAAATTACATCTTTACAAGGAAAGAAAGGGGGAATTTTCTTGATTTATTTATTTATTTAGAGATGGAGTCTCATTCACTCAGTCACTCAGGCTGGAGTGCAGTGGCACGATCTTGCTCACTGAAACGTCTGCCTCCCAGGTTCAAACGATTCTCCTGCCTCAGCCTCCTCAGTAGCTGGAATTACAAGCACGCACCACCACGCCCAGCTAATTTTCGTATTTTTAGTAGAGATGGCGTTTCACCATGTTGGCCAGGCTGGTCTCGAACTCCTGGCCTCAAGTGATCTGCCCACTTCAGCCTCCCAAAGTGCTGGGATTACAGGTGTGAGCCACCACGCCCAGCCTTGACTTAATTTTAAAGTGGGCTTTGTTTGACTTTCTAGGCTGATGTTGAATATTGCCTACTTTTCATTTCTCTTATAATAATAATGTGAGCTACAGTTTTCTTTTAATCACCAAGTTTTGATTCACTCAAAATAATAGAACTTGAGATGGGTGCCAGCCAAAACACTAAGTATTGTTAATCATAGGCAAAACCCTGGTCCTCTGTCCTTTGTTCTCATTGAGTGGCGTAATGACTTGCTGAATTCCAATTCATAAACTCAAATCATTGTGAATTTTATGTTTAATCCTCCTAGCATTGCTCTATGGCAAATGTATCCTTTTGATAATTTTTAGAGCATTCCCTTGCGGCTTTTTATAGAAGTTTCAAAACAAGTTTAAACTAGGCAAATTAAAATCTAGTTTGAATACAGAGATTTTTAAATCTCTATTTTAAGAAATAATTGCAGATTCCAAAAGTAGTTTTCAAATTAGCAAGGAGGCCTCAACCAGTGTTTCATTCCCATTTTTGAACTCTTCATCACATTCTCTAGAATTTCAAGAGTGAATTTCCAGCGAGAAAAGGACCTGACACACGAGTGAAATGGTTACCTGGCATGAAAGGATATACAAGATGGTCTACTAAGCCACAGTTGTACTGTTTTTGATATTACCATTGTCTCTATATGGATAAGAACTGTCTTATAAACTCTGATATACTATTTGTCCCACTTTTATGCATTGTATAAAATAAGTAAATGTTTTGTTAATTGACATTGCTTTAGTCTTTCTGTAGTTTTGAGTTTAAGTTGTTGTGTGCATCTTAAGGCATTTCTCCAAGAAATATTTCCTAATTGACCCAGTTTGCTTTAGGAAAGTTCCCTCAGTTCGCCTTTGAAAAGACTGTTTTTCTAAATTTAGTGCTATTTAAGATTTCTTTTCTCTCCTTATTTTCCAATATGAACTCCAGTTTCTTCCTTTGTTCCCAAGCAGCCAACTAGAGTATTAGAGGGTCCTCCCTCAACCAGGACATGAGATTTATTTCCTTTGCTGCAGAGCAGTGCTTTCCATAGACTAGAGGTGCACTTAGTTTTCTTTTGTTTTTATTTATAATTTTTATTATTATTATTTTGAGACACGGTCTCACTTTGTTGCCCAGGCTGGTCTCGAACTCCTGGCTCAAGTGATCCTTTCACTTCAGGCTTCCAGAGTGATGGGATTACAGACATGAGCGCCATGCCAGGCCTTGTTTTTATAATGGTATTGTTACTAAGACTTTAATCTTTTATTCTCTCAAGTATTTCTTTTTTATCCTTAACTATCTTAAAAGTCACTTCCTTTTTTGTTGTATGCACACAGCTAGCATTTGAGGACACAGTGTATGCATATTTCCATAAATTAAAGGCCCCAAACCTGGCTGTCTTGGGGAAAGTTTATATTCAGACTTCTCCAAATTCTGTTTCCAAACAGAAATGTAGTGTGAACAAAGCAGAGACTGAAGAGTGAATTGCACTGAGTTGGTGCCGACACAGCGTCTCCTCTCTCCTCTTCAGCCCTGGTGACCGGCCTCTTTCCCTTTTGTAGGAAGTTCTTTTCAGATCAGTAGCTGTCTGCAAGGCCTGTTCTCCCCTGCAGTTCAACTCTACTTTGTAAACATTCTTTCAACGTTAGGTTTGTGTTTTGGAACCTTATTAAAAGTTTTTGAATCAGATTCTCTCTTAAGTTCTCCAAAATCCAGTGATTCTGCACTGCTTCCCTTTCAATGTCTGACACAACTAGGAGTAGTAATTCAGTTGTTTTTCTGATTCCCATAACATTAATGCATAAAAACATAAGCAGAACAGTAAACCATTTGTTCTCCTACCCTGAAGGAGAGCCCAAATCCTTTGGTTGTATTGGAATTTTATTTTCTATGTGGTGTGAAACAAACCAATCATCGAACCCATGCTTGGTCACCTTTTTAAAATAACAGTTTACCTATAATAATATCTATTGCTTTATAAGAGGATTCACTTTATATTGATGAAACATTTGCTAAACACTTAAGGAAATTCCCATAAAATGATGGTCCAATTGTAATGGTAGTTTATATTGGTCAATAATTTTATTTTATGTGAGAGTATCTTGAAATATTTGTATTTATTACATTTAAAATTATAAATTTGCTTGATTTTTGCCTTTTTCAGTTATGTTTATAATGAAGCAATATGTTGATGTTGATCTTGTCAACTTTTGATAAACATGGCAATTTACATGGGAAATGTATTCTATCTTAAATAACCAGACATGTGAAGAGACAAGATAAAATGATTATTTTATAAAAAATAAAGCAACAGGCAATAAAAACAGACCACAAAGGAGCCAAATTATGAAGTTTTCAGACACATGTTGTAAAGTAACTATACGTGATATATTCAAGTAGTTAAGACTGAGTTTAGTGGAGAACTTGAAACTGAAAAAAAAAGAAATTCTAGACCTTAGCTCGTCTTTTTATTCTTAATTGTCTTAAAATTCACCTTACGATAGTTAATGATAAAAAGTTAAAACCAGCCCAAAGTGTGATATAAAATAAACTTAATATCACCTTAATAGAAAGCATATTTACTGTTTAGACCGTCAAGATGATTAACTGCTGCACCATCAGTAATCTGCTTTTGACCAGCTGGACCCTTTTTCTGACCACCCATTTCAACAGTGCCATTATCACCCAGTTCTCAGATCCAGGTCAAGTTGCCCCAATGTCGCTTTCATCAGCTTAGCGATGTGAATCCCAGCCAGAAATTCATCAGTTGCTTTTCATTCTAAGAGTCAAATAAGCATTTGCTTGTTTGGGCAGATTTGACCAGAAACTGGCATTTTCTTTGCTTATTGCCAACTTAACCAAATTATCATTGCCTTATCAAGGTTGTAGAGAGAGGACTTCTTTAAAGTTTTCCTATTTTTTTACTCTACTTGAAGAACTTGGTGCAGGTTCAAATGGAATTAATTTGATCTTTATCTAATTTATATCATAAGGTTTTGTTCTCGTAGTTTATCATTGAATGATGTTTCTGTCAATTAAAATTTTTTGCCAAATTTTAGTTTGGGTTTAGATTTCAAAAATGTAATTATATTTCAAAAATGAAATATGATTGGAGAAGACTCCCTGTGCTATATTGGTAATACTGGTTTCCTAACAGTGGTCTTTCTAGTACATAGATATGTCACTAGTTTGTAGTTGTTTTAACCATTTCATGAATGAAATCTTTATGATTAGTCTATCCTTTGGAGAATTGAGAGCTAACTGTACTATGCCTGTATTTGATTTGCTCATACATTTTACTTGTCTGATTTACTTATAGACTGCAGACTGTTTTTTGTTGTTGTTGTTGTTTGGTTTTTGGTTTTTGTTTTTGTTTTTTTCGAGACTGAGTCTTGCTCTTTCGCCCAGGCTGGAGTGCCGTGGCACAATCTCGGCTTACTGCAACCTCCGCCTCCCTGGTTCAAGCAATTCTCCTCCCTCAGCTTCCTGAGTAGCTGGGATTACAGGCATGCGCCACCATGCCTGGCTAATTTTTTTGTATTTTTAGTAGAGACAGGGTTTCACCATATTGGCCAGGCTGGTCTCAAACTCCTGACCTTGTGTTCTGCCCGCCTTGGCCTCCTGAAGTGCTGGGATTATAGGCGTGAGCCACCGTGCCCGGCCTACAGACTGTTTTATTGGAGACTATTCATCAGCTTTCTGACCTGACACTTCATTATTACAAATTTTATATAAATACATACATATGTTTTATCATTCGACAGTGTTTATTTTGAAAATTGTTTTTTGTACCAGAAATCTTTAGTTAATTTTTTTACCCATATAATTTAATTTCCAAAATATTATTCAGGTAATTAGGCATTTCTAGATAGAGTAAACTGCTATATACTCAGCATAGTGAGCAGTTACTTTTTTCCCATTTAGCGTGATTAGGCATAATTACTGATAATTTCTGTTGATAATCTGTTTTGTACCTTATGAATCCAAACATTAATGCAACATGTTGAGCTTCTTTACATGTCCCAGTTGTCCACATTGGCTCTTAGCAGAAGGTTGATGTATATTGCCAGTACTAAGAAGGATAAAGTTACTGGTCAGCATTGCCCCAATTTTGAGAAACTTTGAAAGCTCCTGAGTTTTGGGGAAGAGGTCAGTGGTTCAGGACCAGATTTCAACAGGAATGCAGCCTATTTACACTAAGTCTAGTTGAGTATCTGGGTCCAAAAAGAGATCAATTCCTAAAGAAACAGCCTACAGTTGGGGACTGGGAGTGAGGAGGCGGGGAGGAAGGCAGCGCAGTTCTGTGACTGTAATGCAGAGGTGTTATTAATACCACTTGCCAAGGTGGGCATTTCCAAGACTTCCTTCAAGATGAGATGGGAGGAGACCAGAATAGGATACACACAAGCCCCTGGAGATCTGAGCCTTGGCAAAAACAAAGCGAGGAATGACCTGAAGATGCCAGGAGGGAGTGTGCCTAGGAGGGAGTCAGAGAGGCTTGTGGGGGAAAGGAGCAGCCTGTCTGTATTCAGGTGTGGGGCAGCAGAGCTGGGAGTGGGGGGTGCCTGTGGATATCCTGGACAGCTGTTCTCCCAGGCTGCCAGGAGCGGGTGGCTTACTGACACTCAGATGTCCATTCTGACTGCTCACATGGATCTAGACAGTGCCAGATGGCAACAGTATTTCCTATGAAGTTGCCGTAAGTGCATGTTAGGCAAATGGTAAAATGTTATACTAAGATATTAATATTTCATAATCTGGAATATATGAGATTGATAATATGAAGTACACATTTTGTTTCATTTTCTTTGAACTAGCTTGGTTTAAAAGTACTCTTGTTGTGGCCAGGCACAGTGGCTTATGCCTGTAATTCCAGCACTTTGGGAGGCTGAGGTGGACAGATCACTCGAGGCTAGGAGTTCAAGACCGGTCTGGCCAACACGGTGAAACTCAGTCTCTACCACAGATACAAAATTGGCGGGTGCCTGTAATCTCAGCTACTCTGGAGGCTGAGGCAGGAGAATCACTTGAACCCAGGAGGTATAGGTTGCAGTGAGCTGAGATCGCGCCACTGCACCCCAACCTGGGCTACAGAGCAAGACTCTGTCTCAAAAAAAAAAAAAAAAAAAAACAGTGGGGGAGAGTACTCTTTTAGCTTTTCGGAATTACTTGAAGATTCTCAGTGACGGTGCTTTTTCTCCACCCGCTTTCCAGTTTGTATCATTTTTTGCCAACTCTGGCATTTTCTACGTAGTGTACTTTCTGTAACTAAATTTGTTTTTTACGTTTATGGCTGTGTAGCAGAAAATTCAACAGTAATTGTTTAAAGTTTGGTTTGAGCAATTTGGGAAGATAGCAGTTCCTAAAACAAGTTAGCAATGTTCTTACCATTTGGGATGAATATCAGAGATACAGGGAGACTGACTGTCAGACATGTTGTCTTCAAGGCTCTTAGCAAATACTCTGATGTGAGCTCAGGTTATTTCATCTATAAACTGGTGATAGTATCTGCCAAATTGTTTAGTACAAAAGAAGCATAGATAGTACATAGATGGGGCAAAGGAAACTGTGGCTAGAGTGGGTCGGTGGGCATGGTACCATAAAAGTAGACCTCTACCTGTCTTTGCTGCAAAGTCTTCTGAGCTTTTATTCATGCAGCACCCCCTTCATTTATTCAACAGACATTTGGATGTGTATAGTATTCAATTATTTATTCTTCCTTTCAATTTGTATGTATAAGGGGTTGGGGATTCCAAACAAAGAGTGTCCTCAAGAAGCTTCTGTTTGTTAGAGAGACAATCAGACAATTTTGCTGGAGCAGTTGGTACAGCAGAGTAAGGATGTGGAGTCCACTGTGAGCTGAGGTGTGTAGGAAGCATAGAGGACAAGAGGAGGGAAGGTGTCCCAGACACAGGAGAGAGCGCTGCCTTTCTTAGCTATCCCATATGTCTCAGCCTCAGGGAAAAAAGTCACAGGACGGGTTGGTGGGATCATGCAAGGTTGTGTGTGCCATACCAAAAGGGTGGTAAGCAGAGCCCTGCAAAAGTTTAGGCTGGGAATGACATGATCAAGTGAGTGTCCAGCAGCAGCGTGGAGGATGAGACTAGCCTGGAGGAGGGCGGGTCATTTCAAAGGATGCTGAGATAACCCAGGAGAGTTATTGATGGTAAATGTGCTGTAGGGCTCTGACTCTCTTTAGCTTCGAGACCTCAAGCAAGATGCTTAACCTCTGCGCCTCATTTTTCTTCATGTGTAAAGTGAAGATAATAATAGTACCAACTTCAAAAAAAGGTTATGGAGTGGTTAGAAGTGATGATTATGCAATGCCTGGTATGTAGCAGGCTTTAAGTAAATAGCAATAATTATTATAATGCCAGGTCTCAAAGGTCATTCAAACCCAACTTATTCAAAATAAACCTTTTTTTTTCTTTTTTGGTGGCCTGCAATATCAGTGTTCTCCACCTCACTTTGTCATCCTCCCAGACGTACCTCATCACCAGCAACCTCAGCATGATCCTTGACAGGACCCTCTCCCTCCTGTTGTATGGGCTTTATCACCCATCGCCGATGATTTTATCCTCTATGTAAATCTGGAATCCATTCACTTCTCTCCAGTTCTGCCATTACAACTGTCTTAGCCCAGAGGATTACATTCTGCCCTTAAATGGTTGCTGGGTATCTCCTCTCCATTCCACCTCTCCCCGCTCCACCCCATTCTCCACTTGGGAACCAGAGTGTGACGATCTTCCAAAAACAGAAATTAATTACATTGCTGCCATATTAAAGAAAGAAACTCCAGTGATTTCCCATTGCTTTAAAGAAAAATATCAACATTTATCTTACACTGTTGGTGGGACTGTAAACTAGTTCAACCATTGTGGAAGATAGTGTGATGATTCCTCAAGGATCTAGAACTAGAAATACCATTTGACCCAGACATCTCATTACTGGGTATATACCCAGAGGATTATAAATCATGCTGCTGTAAAGACACATGCACATGTATGTTTATTGTGACACTATTCACAATAGCAAAGACTTGAAACTAACCCAGATGTCCATCAATGATAGACTGGCTTAAGAAAATGTGGCACATATACACCGTGGAATACTATGCAGCCAGAAAAAAGGATGAGTTCATGTCCTTTGTAGGGACATGGATGAAGCTGGAAACCATCATTCTCAGCAAACTATCGCAAGGATGGAAAACCAAACACTGCATGCTCTCACTCACAGGTGGGAATTGAACAATGAGAACACTTGGACACAGGGTGGGGAACATCACACACCGGGGCCTGTCATGGGGTAAGGGGAGGAGGGAGGGATAGCATTAGCAGATATACCTAATGTAAATGACAAGTTAATGGGTGCAGCACACCAACATGGCACATGTATACATATGTAACAAACCTGCACATTGTGCACATGTACCCTAGAACTTAAAGTATCAAAAAAAAAATAATCCAATACACATCAATTCTTTTTCATCCAGTTGTTTTATATATTTAAGCACAGAGAAACCCAAGCAAGGGCATGTAACACACTTTACGTCAGTCTTCAGGGGGTGAGATTGGAGGTGGGGCCAGTTGGTGGCTCTGAGCTGGGCTCTAGGACTAGACTCCTTGGGATATCTAGTTCTCACTTTCTAACTTTATGGCCCTGGGCTTTTACTTTGCACTTCCCTATGGATAATAACAGCATGAAAACACTTAGGAAGTACCTAGCATCCAGTAAATACTATATAAATGGTATGCTGCTATTACTTCTTTTCCTATTGTTGAGTTGTTGCAGTAAACATACTTTACTTTTACAGCCCCTTAAAAATTTTAAGAGAAAATTTTAAAGGAAGAGAGATGGAAGAGTCCAAGGAAGTCTCAGTGAAATCTCATTGTTGCCTGCAAGTCTCTGTGATAGTCCCCTGCCTATTCTGCAGCTTCATCATGTGCTGCTTTTCTTCCCCTTTCTTTCTGGACCCGAGTCATGCCAGTCTTCTCTCAATTCCTGCAGCCTGACCTCTGCTCATCTTTCAGGTCTCAGGTCAAAGTTACTTCCCTGGGAAGCTTTGACCTGGGTCTCTTAGACAAAGTCTGATTCCCATAATCTCACAGCACTTTTTCTCTAGAGCGTGGATCCTAGTTATAATTACATACTTCTTTGAGTGATTGTTTAATAACTGACACCCATCACTTGTCAAGAATCTCTAAGAGGCCATGACTGTCCACTTTGCTCATCATTATAGCCCTCAGGGCCTAGCACAGCAGTTTGCCTAAATAAGTAGGAAAAGGGCATCCCACAGAACTGGGAGTAAGGCCAGGTTTGGAGTAGAGAACATAAGCTCCATGAGGACATGCAAGAAGTGCCACTGGAGAACAGGGGAACTGCTGTGTTCTGAAGGAAGGATTTTGAATTGTGTCCAGGTATTTTAGGAGCTAGTGAGAGATTTTAGCCAAGGCCATGATTATAGGATTAGATAGCATTTTAGAGTGGTCACTCCAGCACCAGTGTGGTGGATGGGTGGAATACAGGGTCAGAACTTATACAACAGGGATGGAGCAGCTGGAACAGCTTCAGGAAACATTCGGATGGAAGGACTAATGGTACTATGTGTGGAGTGGATGTGAAGAGATGCCATGATGATAAAGATGACTTCCGCGTTCCCGGTTTATATTACTTTCTGGATTTTGACTTTCATTTGGGAAGTTAAGGAACAGAGAGTGAAGATCAGATTTAGAGAGAATACTACGAAATTAGATTTGTATATGTTAAACACCTGCAAGGCATCGTAGAGGAATTGTCCAGTGGAGGCAGGCATAAGGTGGTCTGGGCTAGGAAGAGATTTAGAAGACACAGGTCTGCACAAAGTGGATGCTGTAGGTGTGAATGAGGTGGTCCAGACAGCAGTCCTTCCCATAGGTCCAGCCCAAACCCATCTTCTGTAAAGAAAATTTCAGTCTATAAGGATTCCACATTTTCTGCCTGCAAGTGCTTTTTTATATTCAGAAGTTTTTCTTAGAGGCCAGCAGGGAAGCTGTAATATACAGAAATATCTGCCCTCAGACATTTCCCTGCATAGTAGGACAGTGTTTTCACATAGTCGTTCTGCAAGAATCATGGTAGGTGTGCTTCTTCCAGGCACTTATCAGTGGGCGGTGGACCTGGCATTCATATCAGCAAGGGAAGTGGAAGCAAAGGTCAATATGAAATAAATATTCATGGTTTCATGTTAAAAACAAATTAAGAAGGGTGAAACCAGTATATCAGTCATACTTCTCCAGAGAAACAGAACCAGTTGGCAGCAGAGTTGGAGGATAGGGGGTGGTATTTATAGATAGAGGGAGGGAGATTTACTTTAAGGAATTGGTTCACACAGTTATAGAGGTACAAGTCCAAAGTGCTGGATAGAGACCTAGCAGGCTGGAGACCTGGTAAAGAGCTGCAGTTTGGGACCAAGGGCAGTCTCCTGGCAGGATTCCTCCTTTTTTTCTTTTTTAAGGCCTTCAGCTGGTTGGATGAGCCCCTCGCACATTATAGAGGGAGTCTGCTTTACTCAAAGTCTACTGATGTAAAATGTTAATCCTGTCCAAAAATAGAACTTCACAGAGACATCTAGAATAGTGTTTGACCAGATATCTGTATACCGTGATCAAACCAAGTTGACACAACATTAACCATCACACTCAGTAAGCTGCCCTGTCTGCTCCAGGAAAGCTCTGCAATGCTGCAGGTCTAGAAAAGATGGCCTCCATGTGAGGTTCAGGCTTTAGTCTGATTATCTCGAGCTTAAATGTCAAGTGTCCAAAACATCCAAAATTTCAAGACCTTAAAGAACCAAAGGCCATTGCTTGTTAAGGAGCTTTGCTGTTGCTTTAAGGGTGTTTAATGCATCATGGTTTTTTCATTTTGTCTCACAGTTTGTATTACAAAACTAAAAACTCATACACTCAACACACAGAAAATAAGCATTTCATGGTTCTTTTCCATTTTACAGATGAGGAAACGGGTTGAGCCAGTGTTAGGTTCCATGCCAAATTGAGGACCATTAAGTGGCTAGTTTGAACCTAGGTCTTCTCACTGTAAATTGAGCCCTTCCTGTCCCTCCCTGCCATGCCCCCAAACACCTTATTTCTAAAAGAGAAGGAAGGGAGAGAGAAAAACAGAGACAGACTATGGGAATGAATATTTACAGAACTCCTACTTGAATTCACGGTAGGGGAAATAAAAATAAATTTACCAGATTATATGCCTAACTTGATCCCTCTGGGGTTGTAGGTATTTCAAGCTACTTGGAAATTAGAGGAATTTAAGTTTGCAGTCCATTCCTTCCTCCGTCTGCATTTTTTGTATTTGTGGATGAGTAAGTATTGAAACTCTGAAGAAACCACCTCTTTCACTCACTCAGGTCACCTCCTCGCTGCCCCATGCCTTTGAGAGGGTGTTTTCACAGTCATTGAGTCTGTCGGGTTTGGGTCTTGTGGTATGCCTCCTTCCAGTTTGTTTGGTTAGTTAGCGAATGTGTTTTGCATTCAACCAAGGAAGTTCAAAATACTGTCTCTGAGAGAGCCGGTTAAGGTAGAAATGCTGTCCAAGTTACGAGTGGCAGACTGGCTGAGTTCTCCGGGCGATGATTGAGAAAACCACCCACTAATTTTAGGCTGGAAGAGCTTGCAGCACAAATTGAGTTTTGAGTAGAAAACAAGGTCTTACTGAGATATCCTATAGCCATTGGAAACACCTTCTGGCTCCTTAGCTCTTGGCCACTGTGAAAGTTCGTATCACTTACTCATTGTCATATCAAATGTGGTAAAGATCTTAGTTTTGAATATTCTGCATTCTGCCTAAGATCATTTAGATCTCAAAGGTAATGGCAGCAGAGCTTGTCCTTCTTTCCTATGACTAATGCAGATGGGAAGCCGTAAGCCTCAGGCAGCAGTCTCACTTTTAAGTGGATAAGCCGGGTAATAGCGCACAGAATTACCGAGTTATCAGTTTCAAGCTTGTGGGCCATATACTAAATCGTAGTGTCCTAAAATGTGTATTCACTCACCCCACTTACGTACATATTGTAACTTTTCAAAGAATTGTCCTGGCTTCATCAGATAGTTTCATCTGCTTTGTTTTGCCAGGATGACGTTTAAGTGTGTGGCCAAAGCTCCAATTGGTCTTTCACAAGAAAATTGCATATGGCTCTGTTAGTCCCAATTCTGGCACCATTTCAAACCTTCTGGAGCCATAACCAGGCCATTAAAAAGTAAATATTTTCCAGGAATTGATTTCCCAATGTATTTGTGCCTTGAATATACAGGTGCCCATGTCTAATTCTGTATGGTTTTGAATATCTCCCTAGAGTCTCTCATTGGGTTTTCACAACAAATCTGCAGTTGGTAGAAGAGCTGATGTTATAAAATAAGCAAAAACAGAGGAATGGCATTTACTTAAGGACCCCTAGACTGTATAGTTTTAGCAGTCACCATTTTCTGTCACCTACTTTGAGCCAGGAATTGTGCTGTTTTACAGACAGCCACTAATATTATTTAATCCTCGTAACAACCTGTGAAGTCAGGAAGGTAAGTTTCAGGGTAGTTTTAAGTTTTCAAGTAGTTTTAGTTTTACCGAAGGGCTGGTAAGTGGAGCCCATCTGGTCTAAGGCCCATGCTTGTTCCGATTCAAGCTGCACTTCATTTCAGGTTGATACTGTTAAGTTCAGTGGCTGTTTATGATCCATATTTAACTTTTCATCCATCAGAGTGTTTGAGTGGGGAATAAATAGGTCAGAACTGATGTAGATTTAACTTTTGTTGGTGCCCAGCCTCGCTATATGCAGACTTCAATAATTGTATAAATCCCTGTATTTACATTTTTATGACAATTGAGATGTTTCAATCCAGAAGAAAGTACAGCATGAGGGAATTAAGATGTTTAAATTTGGTAAGTACTTATAGAGCACCAGTATTTGCTGGGCACTGTGATTGCTGCTTTCATATATACTGTATGATTTTTTTTTTTTTTTTTTTTTGAGACGGAGTCTCGCTCTGTTGCCCAGGCTGGAGTGCAGTGGCGCGATCTTCGCTCACTGCAAGCTCCACCTCCCGGGTTCACGCCATTCTCCTGCCTCAGCATCCCGAGTAGCTGGGACCACAGGCACCCACCACCACGGCCGGCTAATTTTTTGTATTTTTAGTAGAGATAGGGTTTCACCGTTTTAGCCAGGATGGTCTCGATCTCCTGACCTCATGATCCGCCCGTCTCGGCCTCCCAAAGTGCTAGGATTACAGGTGTGAGCCACCGTGCCCGGCCTACTGTATGGTTTTTATAACATCCCGGCAGGCCTTAATTATTGTTTGTTTACAGATAACGAAACCGATCCTCAAAAAAGAATACATTACTTGGGGAAGGGCACACAGCTAATAATAAATAGAGCTGGACACAAACTAGCGTCTTTGAACCTCATGCCCATTACTCTTTCTGGTAGTGTCAGCGTTCGCTGCTTACAGTGCACTCCGTTGCTCCCATGGTCACTCTGCTCTTCCACAGCCCACCATCAGCCCAACCCATTGCTTGCCATTTGCATCCCTCACTTGTGAACTTCAGATCAATTAAGCATCAACCCAGAAAGCATTTCCTGAATTGCAACTAGAATTGTCTACAGGAAATCATGCATCTAAAGAAGGTATTATATTATGCAGTCATTAGCATCTTGTTTAGAAACCTGTGCTTTTCAGAATTAATTTCACAGAAAGCAGTGGAGTTATCTATCAAGCATTTCTGAGAAATAAATACAAGAGATGGATACATGTAGTTCAAATCAGGACAACTCATTAAATCTGCAGTGGGTATTGAAGGAGTCCTGAGGTAATTGAACATAGTAATTGCATTGCTCTGTCCAAAGGGTTTCACTGACACCTGTTTTGTTTGTGTTTTGCTGGAGCCCATAATTGCAGAAATATTCTCCCATGGTGATTAGCTCCCAGTTCAAAATGGACTGTTTCATTAAAGGTAACTCCATAATGAGACCAGTAAGGACCCAAGCTGTGTCCTTTAACGAGAGTAATTCCCTCTTCACTTGCAGCTTGACCATGTGCACACAGAACCGTGTGAGTCAAAGCCTCCAACTTAAGGCCTGTTTGAACTGCAAGAAAAGAGGAGGGTGAATTACATTGCCTTTAAGGTCTGTTCCAGCGTTAGCATTCTATGATTCTTTGGAATATTCGCCAAATAGAAGTTCAAAAATTGATTCAGCTTTCACACTGAGAGAGAAGAATGCCCACAATTGAATAAAAGATTAGAGGCTGTAGAGAGGAAATCGTTGCCTTGAGTGAGTTCTTTTATTGGAAATCAGCCTTGGACTACTGGACAGGAAATTAAGTTCTTGCCTGGGTCATTAATCATTGTGCCGATTTGAAAATTGGCAGTGGGGGAAGGTGGCTATATTTGAGGAGGAAGGAAGGAGTGGGCGGAAAGAGCGGTCCTCAAAGCTCCCAGTCTGAGTGGGCATTCGCCAGCAAAGAGAGGGTAGTATCAGCCACCTCCTTCTGGCAGAGGTGTCTAGATATTTTTGTCAACTCTCCTGAGGGTGCCCACATATCTCGTACCCAAACCTGTTTCCCACTTCTACCAAGAAGAGGGAAATGGAATCATGGGATTTTCACTGGGTAAGGGCAGAGAAGTGATCTATCGGAGGTTGTATTTCTGTGTTTAGCTCAAGAGAGGTAGACAAAATTAGGATATCCTTAATTTTTGTCAAAGTTAACATTGACAAGAAACCTTTAAAACCAGCAAAAACACAGGGAATAGGTTATGCCGTGTCAGGACTGCCTGTGCCCCTCAAAAGTACACCATCTTTTACTATCTCCTGTTCCTCCGCTTCCATGTGGAACCCCACTCGGGGGAAATATCTTTTGCTGCATAAAGCCGGAGCCTCCCTCTGCATCTGTTCCTTGGACTAGAAAAATATTAAGACCCTCCTGGCTTTCGCTTGTCCATCCTCCCCCCACTCCCTGTGACTGTTTAAGAGTATTTGCACTTTCCTATTTTTCCTGTAAGGTGAGAAGTTTTGGTAAATAAAAACTTGGCAGCAGGTTTTATTTCCACAAAAATAACAATCTTGACATCTCGGGGTGTCGTGTGTTTTAAAGCTGTTGCCGGTAGAATCTAAATATACCTCTGGGCTTTCTCGTCGCACATCCGAACTGCCTGGAAAATGTGCCCCCCTCGGGGTGTGATTAAGTCTTCTATAAAGCTCTCTCTTCTCCTATAGATTTTTCTGATGGGAAAGTGGCTAAGTTAGATTGGGAATTGAAGTATCTGGCTGGGTTACAGTTTGTGTGGGTTTCTGCTCTTTCTCTCTCTCGGGACACCAGCTTCTTTCCGACTGCAATGTCACAATGTTCCTAACTGCTCAGTGCACAATATGGTCTCAGCATCCCTGACAGATCCTGCCCTGAATCATCCTCCGGAGCCATCTAGGGGCTGGCCTGTGTGGTTGTGGCTTTCCTGCTTAGGTGGAACAAATAGACTTCTCTCTTCACTCTGCGGACCGCACACCGGCCTGTGTAGCGACCTGAGTCTTGACTCCATGCTGGACACAGCTGCTCCTGCTCCCATTGTTGACACCAATGATAAGCACCTAGAGGTTATTTCCAAAACTGAGGAGGAAAAAAAATACCAAATGCAATCAGGTTGAGCGTCATTGTCAGCCCAGGAAGAGCATTCAGAGCAGCTAATGTTGTAGAGGATGAGATCTATTGCCATGGAGCCACCTCTTCACAGGAAATCACACAGCCTTGCAGCATTGGAGGCTCCTTTGAATTAAAAAGAGTGGGTGAGGTTTCCACTTTATTGGAGTTTGTATACTGGCTCAGGAAGTTATACAAACTACTCAAGAACTCCTGTAGTTCTGACTTGGAATACTGGATTGCAGCAGTGCCTACAAGGGGCCTCAATCTTCTCTTTTGGCACTTGCCCTTGAAACTTGGCTTCTGACATAACAGCTTCTCACCATCAGACCCATGGTCTTTCCCTTGTCTGCTCCTTGGCCCTCTGTAGCCCCAGACACTAGTGAGAACTCTCCTTGGGACTCCTCTTCCCACTCTCCCTAACATTCCATTCTCCCAGCTTTCTGTCTGCTGTTCATTTTCTCTTTTTTTGGTCCATCCACTATGTTGACGTGAAGATTCAGTGCCTGTTCCCCCTCCCCCTCTCCACTCCCCTTCCTTGTCTCTCTTCCACCTCCTCCTCCTCCTCTATCCCTCTTCTTCCCTCCTCTTAATGTCTCTCTCTTTCTTTTCCCTCTCATCATCTCCACAGAAAACCTAACCCTCCTGGCTTCCCTGTCATCTCCTGTAGGTCTCACTATTTAATCAACTCCCATTCCAAAGTTCAGCAGCCTACTGAATACATTTCTACTTTTTTATTTTATCATCATCTCAGCCTCAGCTTCTCTAAAGAAAAAAAAAAAATTCTCCCCTAACGGCACCCTCCTCTCCTCTCCTGTGTCTATTTTTGTCATTGTCATTTCAATCCATGTCCTAGGCCACTATATTGGCCACTGATACTCTCTCTCTGTCATGCCATCGTTTTCAGGAAAGAGTCCACACAGGCTTCTGGGGCACAGACAGGAGGGACCAGCTTTAAGAGCTTAGAAACAACAGGTTCCATCTCTGAAGCCTCAAGTGCCAAGCACTGCACTGAACTCTTCTCTAGGTTTACTACGTTTAATCCCGACAGTGTCCCGTCAGATGGTGTGGTAGGAGACACAGCAGGGACAGTGTGGTGGGCTTGGTGATAGGCAGGGAGGCTGAAGGAGAGTGGGACTCAGCTACTGAAGTGCTGAGAGCAGAGGACTGATAGGATTGAACTGCTGCCTCCACAGCCCTCCTTGTCCAGCTGCCACGCTGCACTTACAGTTCCTCAGGTAGAAGGAAGGCCACACCAGTGCCAAATGCCCCTACCAATGACAGCTTCTGCATGCCACCCTTCCGTAGCACTTAACTGCTGTGTCAATTAAATCTTAGCTGCAAAACTGGTTGTAGAAAGTGTATATCTCCAACCCCCCCATGTGAGCATGGGGGCTGGGCTGCGTCTCTGGTGTGTTACATGGCGTGCCTCTGTGCAGTAAACACCGCATCCACTGAGCGAATGAACACCAGCATTCAGGACCTCAGACCCAAGCTGCTCAGAGCACAATGCGCTCTTCCCGGCCCCGCCATTACTCTCTTAAAACCTGGTAGGCAAAGACTACACTAAGCCATGTATTTCTCACTCCTCTGAGCAGAGCCAAAACTGTATCCCAAAGGAAGGCACACCAGAAAGTCTTAGCACTCCAAAAAGGGAGGATAAAAGAGGAAGAGGACGCAAGTCCCCAACCACAAATGCCCCAAGTGAGTTGCCTCTGTCAAGCATCCTAGATGATACTCTCTTCACCCTTCCTGTACGAAAGGACACAGTCAGTTCTGTGATGTCTACAAGGGAGGAGGGAAAAGACCAATGCCTTTTCCCGTCCCCTGGGTCACCAGCCCTGTCAGTCTGTCCCTGCCGTGCGTCCTTCCCACCCATGGCTCTGCCTGCGCCCAGATGTTGTCACCACTCGCAGTGTTTCTCTCCTCACTCTTTCCCCTTCACCTTCTTTTAATGACCCAAAGCCCAACCCACCCCCAGACCTCTCTCATATCCCAGTTTCTTCTCTGTTCTAACAATACAATTGTGACCTGTCCCTCCTCTTATTATTTAGGCCAGGAGTTCTCAAAGGGGAACCTTGTCACCTGGGAACTTGTTATAGATGCGTTCTTGATCCCCATCCGACACCTTCTGAATCAGACACGGTGAGGCCCAGCAATCTGTTTTCACGGTCTTCTGGGTGATTTTGAGGTATACTAGTGCTTGAAAACTACTAGTGTATGTGACTGCTGTAGAACTGTACTATGTGTTGCCTTATTTTCTTATGTCATATACAGGATTAATATTTTGCTTCCACACTGAGATAGTAAGTCCACTATTTTGCCCACATATGTGTTTTTACATAGTGTTAACATTTAACAGTTTAATATACATTTGGATAAATCGCTGAAAGCTATTTTAGTAGTTTTTACCTCCTTCCATATGGCTAATAATTTCATCTTGATCTGCTTAGGAATTCATAGTATATGTAGAGAAATGTTAAACTCTTCACAGCCTCTGACACCAGTTGTGAGGTTCCCATTAGTAGGGAGTACAGTTTAAGAAAGGGTATAACTCCAAACCCATTTTTTGTCGGGTTTTTAAGTATGAGGGAGAAATGTTTTTGAAATTTTAAACTGTTGCTACCCACCAAAGGAATAATAATAGAATATAATAGAATTAAAGAGGGAAAAAAACCTATAATTATCTATGATGTCAGTTTTCTAGAAATGATCAGAGAGAAGGAGGAACAGACTTTTTGTGAACTACAGCGCTTGGTTTGGTTGTGAGGTTAGGATGTACTTATGTCAGAGCATGTCTGTGTAGCAGCCTATATGGAACTGTAAAGAGTGCTGGAAAGGCAGTCATTTCAAGAAAGAATGTTTTAATTTTTTTATCAAATGCAGTGCTTGGCTGTAAGACCCTCAAAATGTTCCCTTCTTTCCTCCTTCCCTTTTCTCACCTTCTGTTTCCTTCCTGATATATTAAATAAATGTTTAAAATACTAATCTTAACTTTTCTCCCCAGAAATAAAAGCGTGGGGAAGATTTTGTTTCATCCCATTTCATCCTGATAGTACATTCCCCTCCCACCCTCCCATTTAAATGTATTTATTGTGCCTTTTTTCTTTGGCTCTGTTTTTCTAAAAGTGCAGTGGTTTGTATACAAATACTTTAAATTTACATAAACTGTATTGTGTTTTAAGTCTCATGTTTTTCATTTAGCATTATTTAAAGATACACCCTTGTTTCCAAATCTATTCTTTTTTTAATCATTTCAATTTTTATTTTAGATTCAGGGGATACATGTGCAGGTTTGTTATATGAGTACATTGCATGATGCTGACGTTTGTGATACAAATGATCCTGTCACCCATGTAAGTGAGCCTAGTACCCAATAGTTTTTCAACCCTTGCCTCCTTCCCTCCCCCCACAACTAGTAGTCCCCAGTGTCGATTGCTGCCATCTTGATGTCCATGAGTATCCAATGTTTAGCTCCCACTTGTAAGTGAGAACATACAGCATTTGGTTTTCTGTACCTGCATTAATTCACTTAGGATAATAGCCTCTTGCTGTATCCTTGTTGCTGCAAAAGACATGATTTGTTCTCGTTTATGGCTGTGTAGTATTCTGTGGTATATATGTACCACATTTTCTTTATACAGTCCATCATCGATGGGCCCTTATGTTGATTCCATATCTTTGCTATTGTGAGTAGTGCTGTGATGAACATATGAGTGCAGGCATCTTTTTGGTAGAACAATTTATTTTCTTTTTGTCAAAAATCTATTTTTGTTGTTGTGTGTTTATATGATCTCCAAAGGGTGAGCAGCAAAAATGATGCTGCCACAAATGTCCTCATGCATTCCCCCGACACTCTTGTGTGAAATTTCTTTGGAACTTATACACAGGGGTAGAATTGCTGGGTGTTAGTAATATGAAGAGTTAATTTGACTAAATGGTGCCCGATCACTCTCCACAATGGCTGCCCCAGCCCCACTCCCACCATAGTCCAATGAAATTTCTTACCTACATCAGGAACTTATTTTTTTTTAGCTTTTCAATCTTTTTTTTTTTTTTTTTTTTTTAATGGAGTCTCGCTCTGTCACCCAGGCTGGAGTGCAGTGGCGCAATCTCGGCTCACTGTAACCTCCGCCTCCTGGGTTCAAGTGATTCTTCTGCCTCAGCCTCCCGAGTAGCTGGGACTACAGGCATGCGCCACCACACCTGGCTAATTTTTGTATTTTTGGTAGAGACAGGGTGTCACCATATTGGCCAGGCTGGTCTTGAACTCCTGACCTTGTGATCCACCTGCCTCAGCCTCCCAAAGTGCTGGGATTGTAGGCGTGAGCGACTACACCCAGCCAGTTTTTCAATCTTAATAGGTGTGAAGCAATACCTTTTTTTTTTTTCTCCAAGACAGGTTCTTGCTCCGTTGCCCAAGCTACAGTGCAGTGGCACAATCATAGCTCACTGCAGCCTCAAACTCCTGGGCTCGAGTGACCTTCCCACCTTAGCCTCCTCAGTAGGTAGGACTATAGACACTTGCCACTACACTTGACTGATTTGGTTGATGTTGTTGCTGTTGAGGTGGGGTCTCACTGTGTTGCCCAAGCTGGTCTAGCATTCCTGGCCTCAAGTGGTCCTCCCACCTAGGCCTCCCAAAGTGTTGGGATTACAGATGTGAGCCACCATGCCGGGCAGAAGTAATAGCTTTTAATTTGCATTTATTTGGCTGGTTGAGCTTCTTTTCACATGCTTGCTAGTCTTCAGGGATACCTCCTTAGTAAATTGCCTGTTCATCATGTTCTTTGCCCGTCATTGTATTGGTGGTGGTGTCTTTCTTAATTTTCAGGATTTCACTGAATAATTTTATCATCAGTCTCTTTTCCGTTTTAGGCTTTGCAAATATCTTCTATTCTGTCACCTGTCAACTTTTCCCATAGTATCCTTAATTGAACAGAAAATCCTTAATCTTAAAGTAATCAATGTTTTGCTTATACTTTCTGCTTCTGAAGTCCTTCCCTGCCCCTAAGTGGTATCAGGTAGGAATTCATTTTTGTTTTTCTCCATATAATGAGCCAGTTTTACCAGCACCAGAGACTAAGTGATCTTTTCCAGTTGGCTTGTGGTGATATCTTTATCATATTATATAAAAATGTTTTGCATTTACCTAACCCTCTCTAACGTCATTTATTCCACAAAATGCTTAGATTAAAATGACTCAGAAGGCTAGAGGAAGAAGCTGCCTCCTGATGACTAGCAGGAATAGCACTCATGAAAATAATGTCAGAATGCTCTTATCCTGGCCTTGGAAAGTTTCAGCTAGACTTTAGGTGAAATACAGTGTAACTGCTGAAAGAAGCTATTACTTATTTACTCTGTTCTATCTACAGATTATCAACCACACCAGCCAGCATAAATTTAGGTCCTATCCCACTATCTCCTGCAGTAATTGAGTTTATCAACTCTCTAATCATTTTGTATTTAATAATTATTTGTGGGATATTCAAAATAAATATGCCATCCTAAATCACTCATCTTAAAAATTGAATAGACATTGGAAAAAATTCAAATCTGTATGTAAATGAAAGACAAGGAAACACAGAGATTTCGAAGTGTATTTCTGAGTGCTTTGAAATATCCTTAGCACTTCATACACTGCTTTGAACAGAGTAATACATTGATAAATAAATATCTTTGAAATTTTAATATTTTGACTAATAGTTTAAATGGGGAGGAAAAATTAATTTGGCCTGTATATTTAATTCTCTTATGGAATCTTGATAATAAAAAATAATATTCATATTATTAATCATATTACTGTGAATCAGAGGCATCTTGCCCTTTGTTGAGCATTGTACCTATATGGCCTCATTTAATCCCTGTAACAGTCCCATGAAGTAGGTATCAACATCCCCATTTTATATGTGAGGAAACTGAAGCCCCGAAATGTCCTCCTCTCAAGGTCAAGGCCAAAGCTGAGATTCAAACTTGTCTGTCCACTCCAAAGCTGGGCTCTTGTCCACTACTCACATTGCCTCATATTAGTCTCACTAAGTGATGTCTCACTAAATGAGGTTGTTTTTAAAAATATTTGAACACCACGTTGTGCATTTCATGCCAAGAACCCAACTTCATGTATTTAATATCCAGTCACACTCTAGGTTTTACAATAAAATTGTAAACATAATCCTAATCCTTCACTTTCTAGTCATTCTTTTCTTGTTATGCATATTTGCTGGTTTTAGGTATTGCAATCTCTATTTGCTTTCATCATCCCCGCTTTCTTCATCATGAGCTATTATCACCTTAGTATAATGAATTTTCTGTGTATAGTCTTTTGTTTGCAAGGCTAAATACTTCATCACTTGTCCCATGTACTAGATATTAATGAAGATAATGCTGTCTCTCTTTCAACAGTAAACATCAACATGAGTACATTAGTGAATCCATCTACTAATTATCTGATGACTATGTTTCTTATTTGTTATAAAATATTAGCCATAATTCCCATTCAGCATCTGTATAGGTTCTTAAATATTAATAAATTCTGAAAGTAGCCTTCCAATATCTCTGGCACTTAAGATGTTTTTGTTTTTTCTTTTTCAAGAAATAAAAATTTACAGCCACAAAATGAAAAAGTTGATCCCCTTTGTACAATATCAGAAATCATAATTGCTGACTCAGTTATTACAGTTCTTTTTACATTTCTCCCAGTGATTCCTGTTTTTAAAAAGCCTGGTCTTACATTAGAAAGAAGAGTGTTTTTTAATTTGGAATGTATCTCTGTTCCCTGACAAAGTCACTCCTCTCTAAAAGTACTTTTTCTCTCCAGCCTTGTTTATCCCATCAGACATTCCTGCCAGAAAGCAGCCCTGTTTACATAACTGCCCCTGTTGGATGGAATATTTTACTGAGCAACCATCCTACCCTTGCACCGCAGCCTGTTTAACATGGAAGAGGGTCAAAACCTGAAAGGCACTAGAGAATGCTCAATAAGCTGGATCTGTACTGAATAAAAGCGGAGGCATTTGGATGAAAATGAAGTATTGGGAGATGGGAGCAAGAGCAGGGGCATTTTGTCAGCAAAGACTAAAGAAAACAAAAGAAGACAGTGTCGGTCTCTTGTGAGGGGGTGGAAGGGAAAAACCATTTGCTGGTTTGGGAGTAGGACAAAGGTATGTATTGCCTGTTTGAAAGCATACTCATTCATTAAGCACTTTAGCAAAAATGGAGCTGCAGGTCAGCAGAGCAGCAACATGGCTATTTGCTTCTCTTCTCCATTTTTTAATTAAAAGAAAAAGACTTAGCAAGAGTGGGGGGCTCTCTACAATGTAGGGCCTTTGCGTTTTACTAGCCTTTCCATTTTTACTGCAGTTTTGACTGATTCCTAACAAGCATAGGACTCTAGGCCACTGTCATTATGGTCACAAATTTATTACAGGAATTATATTTTAAGCATGAGCCATTTTAATTGCATTTGCTCTTGGATTGAGCAGAGAGTTTAGTAGGTAGCTTGTCATGGAAAAGATCACACTTGTTATTTCCCAGTCTCTATCTTTCCCATAACCGAAGTCTCCAACCCGGTGGCAGTGAGCCACCCTGAATACCTTCTGCATAGCTCTTTCCTCTCTTCTTCCTATCTACCAAACTACTGATTGTGCCATCTTTTTATGTATGTCAAATTTAGAATACTTTTTGATGTCTCATATTCTGGAGCAGTTTTTCCAGGGTTACTGTAAGAAGGAGCTAATACGTTTCTCCTATTCAGTAAGTAAATCAGAATAATAGCATGATTACATTCCTTTTCATTCATGACAAGTGTATCTTCATCCTAAACTTAAACTTCTCTCTGACATACATGCTCATTGAGTCCTTGTCATGTGCCACTTACTGTGTTAAGCCCTTCATATATGTTTAGTCATCCTCGTAAGTCCAGTGTCAGTATTACTGTCCTGGATTATAGAACTGGAAAGCAAATGGAGATGTAGAAGGATATGATGCAACCAAAGTTGCATGATACGAGGGAAAGCCAGGATTCAAACTCTGGAAGTTAATACACTACCTGTTGTGCAAAGATTTGGGAGCAAAACGATCATCAGTGAGTATTATGTTGAATCCAAAATTAACAGTCCTGTGCTGAGCCATGAGAACAAAACGTGCCTTACTGAGACTGTCCTACCTCAGTCTTGAATCAAATGGGGGACTTTAAGGAGTTGCCTTCCTTTTTTCTGTTTTTTAAAGGCTTAATTTTTTAGAGCAGTTTTAGATTCACGGCACAATTGAGAGGAAAGTACAGAGATTTCCCATGTACTCCTTTCCCCACCACACGCAGAGCCTCCACCATTAACATCCTGCACCAGAGTGGTATATTTGTGACAATCGATGAACCTGCACTGACATGTCATAATAACCCAAAGTCCACAGTTTACATTAGGGTTCACTCTTGCTGTTGTACATTCTGTGAGTTTGGAGAAACATATAATGACGTGCATCTACCATTAAGGTAACATACAGAATATTTTCACTGCCCTAAAAAACCTCTGTGCCACACCTGTAATCCCAGCACTTTGGGAGGCCGAGGCAGGTGGATCACGAGGTCAGGAGTTCAAGACCAACCTGGCCAATATGGTGAAACCCTGTCTCTACTAAAAATACAAAAATTAGCTGGGCATGGTGGCGCATGGCTGTAATCCCAGCTACTCCGGAGGCTGAGGCAGGAGAATTGCTTGAACCAGGACCCAGGAGGTGGAGGTTGCAGTGAGCCAAGATCGCACCACTGCACTCCAGCCTGGGCTACACAGCAAGACTCTGTCTAAAAAATAAAAAACTTCTGTGTTCCACCTATTCATCCATTCCTCCTCCCTAACCCTTGGTAACCACTGATCATTTTACTGTTTCCATAGTTTTGCCTTTTCCAGAAATGTCATACATGGTATAATTTTTTTCAGATTGGCATCTTTCACTTAGTAATAGGCATTTAAGTTTCCCCCATGTCTTTTCATGGCTTGATTGCCTTGCCGTTTGTAGCTTAAATTTTTGGTGAAAATGTGTCTCTAACCTTGACAAAATGCAATGCAGAACCTATAGAGTATGTTTTTATTTTACTTTGTGTCTTTGCTAACTTTCCCATATCCAAGTCAATGCGCAAGCTGGCGTGGGTGTTAGAATTTGGACTGTCCTCCTATCCTCTTTTGATAATACTGTGTGTGCTCTATACTCCACTTTTAAGAAACCATTCGTGTTTCTGTACATGGAGTTTTAATCACTTCGGTTTTGGCACACAGGTTAAAAACTAAATCTCTCATAATCAAGGCACTTTTTTTCCTAATGAAAACCACAGCTCAAGCAGCTGCTTGTATTATTGTCTCTCCTCTGTGGTCCCACTGGTGTGTGGGAGTTTACTGTTAGGCTGTGGAAAAGGGAGCAAATAAGCCAAGAACAGGGTCATGTTTCAATTGAGAAATAATGGTGGAATGTTAAAATCCTTGAGTGTTTTCTTCACCCTCCTCACACTCTGTGTACGCAGTTTGGCTTTCTTTTTCCTTTCTAAATACTTCCATAAGGCGTAGAAGAGAAGCATAAGCACCATAGTACTGAAAATTCCTAGACACCTCAGCTTTGATTCTACACAGCTTGCCTTCACTTTTGCCTGTAGTTGTACGGTGGCAGCGTAGCTTTAGGGTCTGTTTGTGTTGCATATGTCAATCTTTTGTCCATCTGTGTTGGCGTGGTCTTCCTTTCCTTTGTCTGGGTTGAAATCATGTTTATTTGTGTAACTGTCATTTTCATAGGTCGATTTCTATGTCTCATTTTCTTTTTGTATCTATTTCCCTATCTCCCTCTCTCCCCATTTTTCTCTTTCCTTTATATTTTCTATTCACCTTTGTTTTCCCCTTCTCTTTTCATACTAAATAACTGAAAATTCTGTGAGTAAAAATTAAAGTTTAATTTTTGCTGCTCTTAATTTTTTATGTAGATTAAAAAATGAATCATTTTATATTTCTCCAAAAGGTTCTTCCTCAAGTAAAATTGCTTTTTACATATTGGAACCTTGATTGATTATTTATTTGTTTATTTGAGATAGGGTCTTACTCTGTCGCCCAGGCTGGAGTGCAGTGGCGCAATTTTGGCCCACTGCAACCTCTGCCTCTTGGGCTCAAGGGATTCTACTGTATCAGCCTCTCAAGTATCTGGGATTACAGGTGCACACCACTACACTTGGCTAAGTTGGCTAAGCACACCATGTTGGCCAGGCTGGTCTCGAACTCCTGGCCTCAAGTGATCTGCCCACCTTGGCCTCCCAAAGTGCTGGGATTACAGGTGTGAGCCACTGTGCCCAGCCAATAGTATAGGTCTTAAATGAGCTTTCTCATAATGCTTATGCTAAAAGCTGTAAAGAGTAGCCTTCCACTTCAGGACCGTGGCTTCAAATGAAGGTAGAATGAAGAGTTCCTGGACCCTAGACTTCCCACACATTTCTTGACCAACATTAACCCATTCACAAATACAACAGCATCAGCTAGATCAGTGATGTTGTAAGCCCTTGCTCAATCCACACCTATGCCCGACTCTCTTTAAGAAATGCAGAGCAGTTTTGGGGCTGGGTGACATTTTTTATTTGAGCCAACTATTAAAAACCATTAAAAGTTGAACACATTTACATAAAAATTTCCTGCCTCTGGGAACCAGCAGGTGCTGGAGCTATGAGGTCATCATTTCTACTTTTATCAATGTTACCAATTTGCAAGACTTTGTGGTCTCATAAGTATTTGAGTTTGAGACTCCCAAAAATATATATTTCTCCTGCTCTAAACACCTACTCTTCAAAGAAAGCATTTATTCAGTTTCTAGTTTGGACTCAAACTCAGCTATCAGAGAAGCAGAAGACATGATTCCAGCTGTTACGGCACTGCGGTCTAATTAAGAAAACAGCACAAAAGGAAGTAAAATAAGTAGAGAATCGGTGAATAGACTCTGGTAATCAACATAAATGAAAATCGTTTGAGCTGAAGTTGTCAAGGAACACTTCACAGATTATGTTGGACTTGAGCTGGCTCTTAAGTTCCTTCATTCAGCCATCATTTATTAGGCACCTTCTGTGTGTCTTGCCCAGTATTGAGTACTGGGAATAAAAAGGTGATTGACACATCTGCTTTCTTTAGAAAGTTTACTGGTTAGTTCACGAAGACAAGAAAACAAATAAGGACAATAAAATACTATACATGCTTTGATAAAAATCTGTAGATAATGCAGTCATTCAAAAGATAAGATTCTTTCAGGTGTTGTAACTGACCCCAATCTTTATAGTTTAGGTAATAAGTGAATTGATTTTGGAAAATAAATAGATTGGTGAAATCTGGGAATAGAGGAAAGGTATTCCAGATGGTGCATTCTATAGTCCGCTGTGGATGGATCTAGATGGATTTTAGCGTGATGAGAAGAAAGTGAGAGCCAGATCTTGGAGGCCTGTATACACATCTCCTATGTGCCACCCCTCCTGCAAATCTATTCTGTACCACCTCTACCCTGCTCCACCCCAGAAGCTAACCTGTAGGGTTAAATCAGCAGACTGTCATGCCTTTTAGTTTCAGCCAGTGGCTAAATAGCCTCAGCCAGAGATGGGCAGGAACAGAGCGAGGTCAAGGTCTTTTTTCTCTGTTGGCTTCCTCCCTTAAAAAAATCACTAGAGCCAGCTGCTTCTCCTTTTCTCAAAGCCAGGGTAATTATAGAAATCTTTGTTTCCATAGCTAGTCCCTCTCTTGTCCCTTGAGGCCAGTGGTGGTGACATCTCTGATACTATCCCCAGGTTATCACTGTGGTTCCCCTATAGCCTACCCACTTCATGACCAATAGTTCCATTGTACTTAAATCATGTGCACATTATCCTAAATTGAAATATGGTTAGATTTGAATTTTAAGCAATGGTGTAGGGATGGTTTCCTGGGGTGGAAATCTAGAGGCAAGACAATCAACTAGGAAAACTGGCCAAAGTGAGAGATGCTGTGGTTGGGAATATGTGGTAGCAGTGGAGACAGAAAGGATTTGATCAATGTAAGAAAAAGAATGGAGTTGAAGTTGACAGTAATTGAATGTGAGAGATTAGGGAAAAGAAAGTGTCAAGGATGACCATCCTTTCTGACTTTTATGGTCGCTTGATTCAGGAAGTAAAAAGATGATTTTAGTTTTGCATATTTTGATATTGAGATTTTTGTGGGAGAGCCATTGGAGAAGCCATTGGATAGGCTGATGTGGAATTTAGGAGAGATCCTGCTAGAGAGAAAGGTTGATGTATTGTCAACTTACATAGGTGGTCCTTGGAGCCAGGATGATAGAGGAGTTCCCCCAGGAGGGCTAAGAGAGTGAGGAAAGAAGCGGAATGAGAGGAAGACGGCCATGCACAGAACTCAGAATGTCATTAAAAGGGTCGATATTTTTGCACAGACTGAGAAAAGAGCATGAGCAAAGGCAAAGGAGAAAGAGTGAGTACTGGTTGCACAGATGGTGGGGAAATGTTTGCATAAGCTAAGTGGAGCAGATCATGGAGGGACTTAAATAAAAGCCGAGGCAGAGGAGTCTGGGCTTGGTGGTTAGAGATTAAAGAGCTATTATATGTTTATTTATTCATTTATTCTACAAGTGTTTATGGAACACTTAGGTTCTTGAGTGAGATGGATTTGTTTTAGGTTGTATTTTAAGGTGAATAATGTGATAATGGAAGGGCAGAGATGGAAACGGGCTTAAAATCTGAAGCAGTAATACCATTACAAAGTGATGAGAATCAAAACCAGAATAGTAGCAGTGAGTGCTCTGGACTAAGAGATTTCAAGGAAAGAAGTGCCGAGATTTCATAATGTATTAGCAACCATGTTCAATCTAAGACCTTTCTAGGTTCCATCATGTTTATGATAAATTTGTCCCAGAAAACTTCTGGTAATTCTGAAGAAGCAATTAACCAGTGAGATACAATGAAAAATGCAGTCTTCCCATTTTCAAAAAACAGGGAAACCAGTTTGCATGGTGTGAAATGGTTTGGCTGCTTAGAACATAGATCCCAGAATGGTTGAGTTTTGAATTCTGGGCCTAGTTAAGTTCAAGAATGGAGTTTCAGAATTGGAAGTAATGGTCTGACCACTTGCTTTATAAAATCTCAGATGGAGAAATAAATAGAAATAACCACAGATTATCTATGGTGCAGTTCATTATTTTTGATTGATGCCTTCTTTTCTTTGGTTTTAATTCCAATTCTCTGTGGTTGTATGTTTTGAGACTTTGTATTGAGACTTGTTCCTTACCCCTCCTTTCCCCCAACTCCACTTCCACTTCCTCCGCCATGAAAAAATAGTAATTTTAGGAACTAACTTCAAGTAATGTAGGGAATCAGATTTTAAAATAGGGAATGCCATGTTGTAGAATTTCAAGTTTTTGTTTTTATCATTAAGACTATGATTAAGATCAGCAGAAATTTCAAAGATTGGGAATAAGAAAATGAACAGAAAAGCCACATAATATGAAACATAGATTACTTATAAAAATAATTATGTCCTTTATAATAAGAAGAACACAATTACAATCCCAATGGAATGCTATTTTTCACCTGTTGGACTGGCAATGATAATTTTTCAGTTTGGTAATGAACTATTAGGAAAAGCATGAGGAAACGCATCGTTGTAAGAATGTAAGTGGACACAGACCTCTTAGTTTGACAATATGTATCAAGAATAAAAATGCATTTACCCTTTGGCTCAGCAATTCCTCATTTAGGCATTTTCCCACCAATGTACTTGGACTAAGTACTCAAAGCCTTCAGGACAAGCATATTTAACTTCAACATCACTGGGGCTGCAAAAGATTGGAATAAATGTGGGTGTCTATCAATAGCAGACTGGTTAAATTAGTTATGGTATATGCATGGGATGAAATAATGTGCAGTTCTTTTAAAGAATGAGACAGATTTTTATGCAGTGATGGAATAACTGTACAGAATGCAACCATTTGTTTTGAAAAGCGTAGCATTATGTGTGTATACTATATCAGATACTGCCTCTGGACAGATGTACAAGAGACTATATAGCAGCTGCTTCAGCAAGAAGATCTGAGGGTAAGATTGGGAGGGAGACTTACTTTTTCACCCTACACCCTCTAGTAGTACTATTTGGATTTTTTGGCATGTACATACGTTAGGCAGTCTTTAAAAGTCTTCCACCTTACTCAGGGAAACAAGTGAGGTAGCATTCACTGTTGATGAAGGATTTAGTTAAATGAGGTTTCATACACTTAGTGGAGGTGAACATTTATACAAAGGTTAAAAAGGCAATATATATTGGTTGGTGCCATACAAAATGAAGTGCTGCATATCTTTTATGGGGCAATCCTACTTTTACATTTTCATCCCACAGAAACTCTAGCTTACATGCATACATAAGATTAAAATACAAGAGTGTGTTTGAACTTTGGTATTGTTTTGTAAGTCCACATTCCTACCCAGGTTTATTTACTTATTGAAAAATGGCAACTGGCTACTTGTTTCTGTCACTTGAGAATTGCTGATCTCTTCACATTTGGATATGGGCCAGTGGTTTGAAGGGCCAGTTATTTGAGCCATTTTTAATGCATTTCATTTGTACAGTTGACTTGGAACCATCTAAGTTTGTCTGTGGCCTGTCTCTGAAAAAGGTAAGAGAAGAAAAGTTCATTCATTCACTATTTAGTAAGCACCTGCTTTATGCCATGTGTGGTATGATGCTGGAGGTACCACACTGAATCACAGACCTGGACCCTCCCCTTCATGGCATTTTCAACATTCTAGGCTTCCTTTTCCTTAATCTTTTTCCTCACATTAGCCATTTTTAGGTTTCTTTGGTGTTCTGGTCCCATTTCTGTTGCTCTTGCTTTCTTTTCTACTTTAACATTTTGGGCTGGTTTCAGCAACATTTTTCTGCTCCCAGTCATGGAGGAGATGACAACAGAATGTTGCTCACTTGAGTTGTGGGTCCACAGATGGACACTGTGGGCCTCAGCTGTCATTCCATTTCTTTTTATTTGATACACAAAGTAGACTGCCATGCTGAAGGGATGGCAGACAGTAAAACTACAGCTGCAAAAGAGGGCCCACCGCAGGTCATGCTGACTGCCACTGGTGATGGCGAACAGTGAGGCACACATCATGCGGAGCTGCATCTTCATCGGTGGCACTAACCCTAACTTCCCAACCAGAAGCAAACTGGACAGACCTGAATTTGACCACCTCTAAGTCTGCCTTTTATTTCTTCATATCTCGGCATTGTTGCTGTCTTCTTAATTAGCAAAATTTGTTTCCACTTTTCATTTCTGACAAGTGACCTTTCCCTGTAAGTAAAGGAGAGTGAAGTTTAGTCCCTTCAGCCCCATACAGATGATCGAAACTTAGATGAAGGAAGGATTTGGAGCATCTTAGCTGATGTGTTATCCATTCTGAAATAACTCACTGTGGCTATCTTGAGGGGCACACACAAAATGGATATTTTCTAGATGACGGTTATTTCATAATGTCAGTTATGAAATACAGTTTTAGAAATACATCATGAAATATAGCTTCCATCTTTGCTTTTTAAATATTACCATAAATTTATTTAAACCATAATCAGCGAGCATGTCATTGGTGTTGAATTTGTTCCTGGAACTTTCAGGGGCCTGCAGATGGAACAGCTCTTACAATGGAGACATTTTATGAAATCATCAAAGCTCCTGAAAGACAATGCAGCTTCCTCCCTTTCAAGAACAGAGTTTGACAGTAACATCTCAGAACAGATGTTTCAACAATCTCCAAATGTTTTTATTTGGTGGCACAAAGACTCTGTTATTCGTGAAATGGTCTTAAAAAATTAGTTCCTCCATGTGGGGATTGTGGGAATATGTGTCATGTAAATTGATTTCACTTTTGGCAGGAAACTGGCTCTTAACTCTTTAGATTGTCTCCAAGATTTGACTCCAACAAGTTCCGATTTCCAGGACACAGCAATCACAGAGGAGGTAGTAATACTCAGCATTTTTCCCAGAGTACTTAACGTTGGCTAATCTGAGAATGTTACATTCTTTAAAAAAAAAAAAAAAAAGCAACAGCGAAATAAAAGTTCATAGAAATTTTATCTTGCAAAACACAGTGAGAAAATGTAGGCCTTCATGTTTGCTGGTTATTTACATTATTCTTTTAATATAAGTCCACTTCTACAGCTTTTACTTGTTGATATTAGACTCCTGTTTGAAGGCAAAACTGCCATTCAAAGACAAACATGAGCAACTTAGAATGTGATTTCAGGTACCTTACAAGAGACTCTGGTATGACTGTTCAGTGGTATGCAATAAAAGGACGAGTCACTTTCTTTTCTTTGCTTTGCTTTTTTTTTTTTTTTTTTTGTGACAGAGCGCTCTCACTGGAATGCAGTGATGCAATCTCAGCTCACTGCAACCTATGCCTCCTGGGTTCAAGCAATTCTTCTGCCTCAGCCTCCCAAGTAGCTGGGATCACAAGCATGTGCCACCACTCTAGGCTGATTTTTGTATTTTTAGTAGAAACGAGGTTTCACCATGTTGGCCAGGTTGGTCTTAAACTCCTGGCCTTCAGTGATCTGTCCACTTCGGCCTGCCAAAGTGCTGGGATTACAGGCGTGAGCCACCGCGCCTGGCCCATTCTCACTTCTAATGTCTTGTCTTGCCACTGCCCTGACCTATACTTTCCACTCCTTCCAGCAGGACAGAAGTCAGCACACTGTGGCCTGTTTTCGTAAATAAAGTTTTCTGGAGCACAGCTGCTCTTATTCACTTGTGTGTTGTCTATGGCTGATTTTGTTGCCCTACATGGCCAGAGTTGAGTAGATGTGAATAGAGACTGTTTAGCTCATGAAACCTAAAATATTTACAGAACAAGTTTGCCAACTCCTGCAATAGGAAGTTGCATGTGTATTGTGACCTAGTGTTTAAACATTACATTAAGAAAATATTTTATAGGTTTTAGCTATTTCTATTTTAAAGACATTTGTGGGGCGCAAGAAATGCAAAGTAGGGCTGCATACGGTGGCTCACACCTGTAATCCCAGCACACTTTGGGAGGCTGAGGTGGGCAGATTGCTTAGGCTCACAAGTTTGAGACTATCCTGAGCAACATGGCAAAACCTCATCTCTACAAAAAAATACAACAATTAGCTGGGTGTGGTGGCATGCACCTGTAGTCCCAGCTACTTGGGAGGCTGAGGTAAGAGGATGGCTTGAGTCTGGGGAGCCAGTGAGCCAAGAAGGTACCACTGCACTCCAGCCTGGGCAATAGAGCCAGACCTTGTCTCAAAAATAAAGAAATGTAAGGTAGTATTTGGTTTTCAATAATTTAACATCACAAGAGAAAGTTTAAAATATAATATGTGTACACAAATATGTAAATTAAAATCTTCCAGGATGATCTGAAAACACTATGGAAAAGAGAAGAGAGAAATTAACTGACAATTGGGTATTCACTAAACAATTGAAAGAACGAATGAAAGGAATCTATTAATCTGATATACTATGTGCATAAATGTTAACAGTTGTAGCATTTGGCCATATTTAGCTGTTAGTTTTTTTCCTTGTTCTCTTATCTGTGTGTGTTAATCATTCTCAGTAGAATTTCTTATACATGCTCCCATGTATATGTGATTCTGAAGTCTTCCTGTCCAATAGGATGACAAAACACAGATGACTATGCAGCTTAATATGGACCCTATGACCATACCAAAAGTGATTATTCATTTGTTCTGTATGCCAAAATATGTTTGAGGCTACTGATAGTACAAGATCACAGACGCAATAGAAAAATAATTAAAAAACAAGAACCCAAGTTGGGAGACAAGGGGATAAAGGTGGTTATATTAAGAAACCAAGACTCTGTTATTTAGGCCAAAATATCAGCAATCATGGCAAACAAGGCAAAAAGGAAAATAGGAATTACAAAGCTCTTCTTATTTCATCAGAAGAAACATTCTTCTTTTTCAGGAAATACATCTTTTTCCCTAAGAGGATTGTATCATGTAATCTTTATTTAACGACTTGAACAGTACCTGCAATCACAGTTTTAAGGGAATGCAGAGATATTCTAGACCTGCACCAACTGTCCAGTATGACAGCCAGTAGCCACATGGAGCTGTTGAGCATTTGAAATGTGGCTAGTCTGAACTGAGATGATCCCTAAGTGTAAAACATACACCAGATTTGAAAGACTTAATGCAAAAGTATATATATATATATCTACTTTTATATATATTTTTATATATATCTACTTTTTTATATATTTTATATATATCTACTTTTATATATATTTATATATATACTTTTATATATATTTTTTTATATATACTTTATATATATTTATATAATACATCATTAGTGATGTTTAATTGAATTTAGATGTATTGGTTTAAATAAAATATGTTATTTAAATTTTACCTCTTCTCTTTAAATGTGGCTACTAGAAAATATGTAATTGCACATGTGGCTTGTTATATTTCTGCTAGATAGCACTATAGTGTATCTATATCTGCTAGATAGTCTATAGTATAATGTTTGATATATTAGGGTGCAGTGATGCATCCTTGGCCTGTGAGTACATTTCTGAAGGGACAGAATGAAATTTATTATAGGCATGACGCTTTCAGGTAACCTCTTACCTCAGAGATTGAGCATCTGTAGACTACTCAATGAGTGTTTGGCATACATATGAATCCCTGCATCTTGAGAACATTTTTCTAAAATACTCATCATAAAATTACAATAAATTAAACTTATTAAATACTATTGAAAAGATACCATTTGCAGGTTTTCATGAAAGTATACCTGGCTTAATGATAGCTTGAAATGTGTTCATATTCCAAATCTATAATTTCTTAATCAAAAAAATTGGCAGGGCGCGGTGGCTCACACCTGTAATCCCAGCACTTTGGGAGGCTGAGGCAGGTGGATCACGAGGTCAGGAGTTTGAGACCAGCCTGACCAACATGGTGAAACCCTGCCTCTACTAAAAATACAAAAATTAGCCAGGCATGGTGGTGCATGCCTGTAATCCCAGCTACTCAGGAGGCTGAGGCAGGAGAATGGCTTGAACCTAGGAGGCGGAGGTTGCAGTGAGCTGAGATCGCAGCATTGCACTCCAGCCTGGGAGACAGAGCGAGACTCCGTCTCAAAAAAAAAAAAACAACAACAAAAAGTGACCCAAGAAATGACAATCTGTATGCATCTTGAGAAGAGGAATAGAAGCTAGGAGTTGTTGAATGGTCACTTGTGCTGAATACTTTGGATGCGTCATATCATTTAATCCTCATGGCGGCCCTTGAAGTGTCCCCATTTTACAGGTGAGGAAACAAGACTCAAGTGGATTTGTAACTTGCCAGCACCACAAAACTTGAAAGTGGCAGAGTCTGCATTTAAATTAGGCATCTGTCTAACTTAGACTAATCATGTAAGAATGGAAAAACAGTTAAATCCATTATGAAATGGTATGCAGACATGGGTGTCATTGCATGGAGAATTGCTCAGCTCAGTGGGCAAGGGCACGGTATAAAACTGTAGAACACCATAATTGTTAAGAATTTGTGCATGGACCAGGTAGGAATAGAGACAAATGAAAAGTTTAACTTGTGATAGAATTTGTTTAAATAAGTGTTATTTTGAAATTGCCTTATTTAAAAAAAAAAAAAACTTTTTTTGTCAAAAAGTATGTACTGTAACATATTCATACTGTATATTCAAATGTATTATTCATACCCCTACATATTTCTATGTGGTATATGAGCTGTTCTTTCATGTCTAGGTTCATCCTCTGTATTGTCCTTATCACCTACCTCTTAACTCCTGAAAACTCCTCCCTCATGGTCCCTCACCAGCAAAACCTCTATATCCTTAAAGCCTTCTTTGAAATTACTTTTATCTTGTTAAGCCCAAACTTGGATATTCCCTGAGAGAAGCCCTTTCAGGTGGCAGCTCTATTTTTTGCCCCAAAGTAGAGGAGTATAAGTGGTCTCTTTATTCTTCCTCATCACCTTTACCATTCCACTTCGCAATTCCCTAAAAACTCTTTGCTTTAAACCGCTTGTCCACCAGGCTTTAAACCTCTTGTTCATCAGACTGTATCACCCACTACCCCATCGTTGTCAGTTACCTACCAAGCCTAGGATTCTGTCCTCATTGTGACATAATTTTAGTTCCTGGCTTGCTGTTATTCTCTCCAGATATACTCCTCTTCTTGTCAAGGAGGATTTTCCTTGGAAATATGATCCTTTTAATACCCCTGGGCTTCTCAGTCATTTAGCTGTTTGCCATCTCAACCTTTAGCAGACATGGTCCCTCCTTAGACCACATCATAACCAACAACTCCATCCTTCCATTTTTTCAACTGCATGCACTGACTTCTCTCCTTTGCATGGCTTTTGAGCTCACTCCCTCTAGGGTTCAAAACTCAATTCCATCAAAATCCATGATCCATTGATCCCACTACTTTTTTCCCGGACCCACTTCCCTCCCACCCAGGATCCTGTGCCCATTTTATCCAGCTCAGTGTCCATGTTCAGGTGGCATAATTGCTCCCGGTGACATCCTGACTCCTTTGCCCCTCTCACTTCTCATATTCACTTGGTAGTCTCGGCTCTGGCTGAATCTGAATCTCTGGCTACTTTATGCCAGCCTCTGTGCATCTGACCTTGGCTGGACAAAAACACAACTGTACTCTGTGGTTTTACTTTTAATTAATGACCATGAACCTCAAGTAAGAACTTAAAAAATGCTGCCCAGCAATCATATTACATTGCAACCTTCTCTTTCCTTAACCCTCTAACAACTCCTCTCTCAACCTTATTCTCAACCAATGCCTTCCTTCCAACTTTGGCTGGAAAAATTGGAAGCTTCCAACAGCTTCCACTGCTGCATCTCTTGGGGCTGGAGATGAATGGCCTGTGCTCCTGTCTGAAGGCAGCTCCTCCATTTCAACATCAGATGCACGTTCTCTGCCTGCTCAACAATTGGGTTCCAATCATTTCTCCTGTCATCACCTTGTTCCCCTCTGCTGGTCATTCCCATCAGCATGCAAGCATGCTTGTTTCTTCTCCCATCATACTAAGGAAAATAAAAACATTTCCTACATCTCACTTCTGCTTCCTCTCAGTAGCCTCTGTTCCATCTCTCTTCTCTATTTTATAGCAGAACTCCCAAAATATCTGGTGCCCATTCTTATTATTTCTGGTTTCTCTCTCTTCCCAGGCTGCCTTCAATCCAGTTCTGCCAAGCTTTTAGCCCAGCTCTTCTGCTGCCCTTGTTGAAGTCCTCAATTAAATACAAGTTGCTGAATCCTACAGTTTTCAGCCCTCATTTCACTGTCCTGTAAGCAGCATTTGACACCCACTCACCATTCATGAGAGGAATCAGATCACCTGGCTTCTTGGATGCATCCCTCTTGGTTTTCCTCTCACTCCCCTGGCCGGTCCTTCTCAGTCTCCCAGGACTCAAACCTTAGACCTCTTCTCTGTTCACACTCAGGCCCATGGTCATCATCATCAAAATGTCATGGCTTCAAATAACATCTGTTAGCCGATGACTGCCAGATTTATTCTTTCCAGCCAGACTTCTCTCCTGACCTCCACACTTCGGTGTCTAAGAACTTTTTGAACATCTCTGTTTGCGTGTCCAATAGACATCTCAGACTTACCTGTCCAGACTGAACTCCTGATCCTCCCTTCACCCTCCAAAGCTGTCCTGTCTCAGTCAATGTCAGCTCTGTTCAGAGTTGTTCAGGCCAGGGTCCTCACACTTTAACCACTTCCCAGCCCCTGCCATGTCATACCTGAATTATTGTAGGAGCCTTCTACCTGGTGTCACTTGCCTCTGTGCCTTGCACCTTTATGGTCTTCTCAACATGCCAGCTAGAGGGATCCTTCTGTAGCATTGGTTAGATCACCAGCTCTCCGCTCAAATCCCCATTCCACTCAGGTGAAGAGTGCAACTCCTTAAAAGGCATATACAGTCTGACCACCTGCTACTGCTCTAACTTTCTTTCCCCTCTTCCCTTATCCCACTCCAGCCATAGTGGCAGCATGCCAGGCAGGCAGCCCACCCACCTGAGAGTCTTTGGGCAGACTGTTGCCTAGTCTTAGAATTCCGAGACCTCTAACTGCAACTACCAAGCACGACCCTCCCTCACCTACACCAAAGGTCACCATCTCAGCAATACTGATTGGTCTCCCTGCACTCTCCATCCCCCACACCCTGCCCTAAATTTAATAGCATTTCTCACCTTCTACCATGGTATACTCTTACTCATGTATTATAGTATCCATCTCCTGCTGGAATGTAAGCTTTGGAAGAACAGAGATTTGTGTTAATTCCATTAATTGATGGATCTCCAGCATCTAGAATAATGTCTCCACCTAGTAGATGCTAAAAAATTGTGTTGAGAATATGAATGAAAGTTTTCCTATTTCTGCCTGAGAGATTTTCCCATGATAGCTTTTAATTCCTTTTAAGTTTCTGGAGTATTATATTATAGCCAGGATTCAGAAAATAACTACTAAGAAACACTGTATCCCTGATATGATTGCATATGGTCTTTTATTCCAAACTGAAAACAGTTCTTCTCAAATGTTGTAGCAGGGTCACAGATACTGAAAATGTAAACAACAACATGATAGATCCTTGATATTTTAGGAATATGTTCAAAGTTCTTCATAAATCCTGTAAATTGTGGAGACCATGATATGGCCTACTCGCATGAATTTCATATATAGCAGTAAAAGGAAAGAAAGGAGCCACATGGAGCTCTGGAGGCTGAGTGGCCGGCAGGCTCAGTGGTTGAGAGGAAGCTCACCAGACAGCTGTCTGCTGCTGCTCCATGCTTCTGCCTCAGCAGCATCACACATTACAGCAGCTCATGAGCCCTAGACATTACCTGCATATTGTTCTAACCAGGAATATGAGTTATGTGAAAGCCAGGAATCCATTATATCATTTTGTTCTATTTGCAAAAAAAAAAAATTTAATACTAATTTTTAAAAGTTAGCTCTCCCAGGCTTCTAAGACTCGGTTCTAGAATGTAAATGTGTGGTTCGTACAACAACTGATGGGCAAGGTAACTTCAATGTTTAACTTACTGTTAAAAACAACCATTTATAGCAAAGTGAGTTTTCACTTTGAGATCAAACAGCAAGTAAGCATTCATTCAGTTTGATTTTGGACATCTGGGAATAAACTCTCAATGTAAACAAAAAGAATGCAGTTTATTTTCATTTTTAAGCTGATTTTAAAATCTATCTATCTTCTAGTTTAATGGAACCTCCCATAATGCCTTTTTAAAAAGATTAATGATGAACAGGAATCTTTGACAAAAAAAGGGCTGGGGTAAAGAGAGAGGATGTTGTTGCCATGGTAACAGCAGTCCAGCATAAACATCTTAGATCTCTTCTGTTTATCCTGTGTTTTAGGGCAATTCAAGCTGCTGGAACAAGACCGAGATATAAAGGAGCCAGTGCAATATTTCAACAGTGTGGAGGAGGTGGCTAAGGCATTTCCTGAACGCGTGTACGTCATGGAGGATATCACATTCAACGTGAAGGTAGTAGCTCTTGAAGCACCAAATATTTATACTCACTAAAGATAATTTAACTTTCAAGTCTGGATGTACACAGTAAGTGTTCATCTGTGTCTCCTAGGAGGGTTTTATCTTCTAATAGTTAGTGGCAGTAGCCAAAACCACATATATTGTAGCTGACCTGACTCCCTGACTGCTTCTGTATTTATTAGCATTATCTTTTGTTAGAATTTAAAACTGATATCTGAGTTCAAAACTGTAGCTGTTGAGGCATATAAGTGATATTTTTTAAAATTTGGACTTCATTTTCTAATATGTAACAGTTGTTTAGCCAGATCTCCACTTCTGGGAGCAAAAGGGATATGATGAAACTAAATAATACCAAACACTTATTTAAAAAGAAAGAAAGAGAGGAAAAATACAAAGATAGAATAGGTTTCTAAGCATTTCTTGAAGTCAGCATGTATTCATTCCATTCTTTGTGGACTATCTATTTCACTATATATAGAGAAAACTGATATTGCCCAGAGAAAAGCTATATAGTGTTTGTTGTGCTCTATTTGTTCTGCATTCTTTTTTTTTTTTTTTTTTTTTTTTTTTTGAGACTGAGTCTTGCTCTGTCACCCAGGCTGGAGTACAGTGGCGCGATCTCGGCTCACTGCAAGCTTCGCCTCCCTGGTTCATGCCATTCTCCTGCTTCAGTCTCCCCAGCAGCTGGGGCTATAGGCACACACCGCCACGCCCAGCTATTTTTTTTGTATTTTTAGTAGAGATGGGGTTTCACCGTGTTAGCCAGGATGGTCTCAAGCTCCTGACCTCGTGATCTGCCCACCTTGGCCTCCCAAAGTGCTGGGATTACAGGTGTGAGCCACCGTGTCTGGCCTTGTTCTGCATTCTTAAAGGGACAGTGCAGTCCTTGTCCAGATGTTGACCGAGGTCCTTTGACTAGACTTGCTGTTGAAGAGGGACTGACCAGAGAAGCAAGCCACCAACCAGGCCCATCGTATTGCCTGCAAATCTTCCACATTTTCTCCAGCAATACTCATAATTACACTAAAACACTTTAGAAAGTGTTCACATTGAAGGGGTTTTCTCTTTAATGTCATTTCAGCCCAAAGTCCACCTAAATCACATTTTCCAAACATTTCAAGATTTAGGGGGTCAAGATTCCTGTTTCTTAGAAATCCACTCTATGTGAAAAACAGACTACATGGTGTCTTGGCCCAAGAATGCAGCAGTGTCTTTGTGGATGAGTCATTCCACCCACACTCTTCAGGAAAGGGAGGAGATGCCTAGGACAGCCCCTTATTGGAGAAACGGTTCTGCCCATTTCATTGTCTAAGCTAAGTCATTTCTTCTTCCAGTTCCAAAATACAGCTGCTTTGGTCTACGCTCTTTAGTTTTATTATTAAGATGAGTGATATTTTATATTTTGTAAAATCTTTACTAAGTAAATTATGCTTACATACAAAAATATTTATCGTTTTTAACTTTTTCAGTGGCCCTAATACATGAGCAGTCAAGACAGCTTGCATTTGTTTACAGTGAAAACTTGTGCAAACATGTTCATTTTTAAACATACCTAGACTCATTGGTCAGAAGTTAAATCCTATTCCATTAGTGTTTTGATATGACTTAAATCTCTCCCTAAAACTTATATTTAGAATTCTCTAAATGAAAAAAAAATAAGTTTTTTTTAGAAAGTTAGTAGTTTTAAACTCCTTTCTAGAAAAATATTTCATTTGCTAATAAAGAAATCAAATGTAAATTTTTAAGTGATTTTTAAAGATTTTCTCTAGTATTAAAATGTAACATTCCATCTTTTGCCACATATTGCTCATGTATACTATTTTTTTAAATGCCTCTAGCAGCTTTTCTTGGTGAATTTGTAGTAAGTCAGAATGACTGAGAGGATAACACTTAAATTTATACATTTTAGAGTTCTTTTTTTAATATAGAATACCATGACTGAATGTATTCATTAAAATGTGTTTAATAGAGAATATCATTTAAGAGTTCAAAGGCTCAGTTAAGTGTGTGAAGTATGAGCTTATAGCATCCATAAAACTAATTGGATTTGGGTTGAGTTCTGTGCTGTGCAAACATAAATATTTAATATTTCTAGTCTGTTACTTATGGAGTTTTAAGGTGCCATCACCTCTAGCTTGCATGAATCATTAAAACATTATTCAATTCTGTTCAAAGAAGGATTGTTATAGGAACCTCAGGAAATTTACATAAAGAAATACACAAAAGGTTTTGTGCTTAGTGATAAACACACAAGTAAATAAATAAACTAAGGATAGTCATAGAAAAGTTTGTCTGGATACCACCTGGACCAGTAATAAAGGCTGGAAGTCATGGTCTTCTTCAATTAAAAATAGACTGGATTAAGCCAGGGCACAGTGGCTCACACCTGTAATCCCAGCACTTTGGGAGGCTGAGGCAGGTGGATCACCTGAGGTCAGGAGTTCAAGACCAGCCTGACCAACTTGGTGAAACCCCATCTCTACTAAAAATACAAAAATTAGTTGGGCTGGTGGCACACACCTCTAATCCCAGCTACTCGGTGGGGCTGAGACAGGAGAATTGCTTGAACCCAGGAGGCAGAGGTTGCGGTGAGCCGAGATCACGCCATTGCACTCCAGCCTTAGCGACAGAGTGAGACTTCATCTTAAAAAGAAAACAAAAAGTCTGGATTATTGTGTCTGTGTGAGAACTAAGAACTAGCAGGGGAGGAGTTAAAGAAATGGGATTTTGGTTATTCTCATGGAGAAGGTGGGAAAAAATTAAAAACAATACTCTTTACTCATAAATGTAGCTATTATCCAAGAAGCAGTTTTTAAAAGAAAGATTTCAAACCTTCTTAGAAGATTTCACCCTCTCTCTTCTACTTCAGATACAGCGTAAATTAAACCAAAAGGATAAACCACTGAGAAAAGCACTTGCAGTTAAAAATTGATAGTTACCTGGCATCATGATAATCAAGACATTATTATTAGAAATAAATATACATATGTATCCTGATATATTTATTTACAAGTCCAAACTGAAATTAATCTTAATAAGAATGTAAAATAAAGCAAAAGTATTAGAAAAAGGGGAACTCTAGTTCTGGGTTTCTTCACAAACTGTAGCAAAATTTTAACTTCAAATTTTAAATTTAATGGCTAGTACTAGTACTATTTATACATTTGTTGAAAAATGAAACATTCTTTTTAATTTGGAACTAAAATTTGTCTTTAAAAGATACCTTGATGTGTTTAAAACTATCTGCCTGATTGGCCCCATCGATTAACTGCGTGAAATGAATTCATATGCATTAAGTGTTTAATTCTTTAACCAGCAAATATATTTTGAGCACTTACTATATGCCCAGCACTACTGCAGGCACTGGGGGTAAATAGTAAATATGCAAGTCCCTCACTGCATGGAGATTACAGTATAGTAGGGGAGGTAGACAAGAAATACATAAACAAGTATCAGTACTACCTCCAAGTAGAGATATCAAGAATCAGTTGGATCTACAGGTTGGGAGCTTAGAGAATAGTCTAGGCTCAGAGTATCTAGTTGGGGCTCATCATCTTCTGGAAGACGTTTGAAGCCATGGGTCTAGTTGAGTTTACCTGTACCAGTGATTCTCAACCAGGAGTGACTTTGTCCCTCAGGGGACACTGGCAGTGTCTGTACACAGTTTTGATTGTCATGACTGTGGGGTGGAGGATGTTACTGTCATTTAGTGGGTGGGGGGGGTTGCTGCTAAACATTCTGTGATGCACAGGACAGGCTCCCATAACAAAGGATTGTCCAACCCAAAATGTCAGTAGTGCCAAGGTTGAGAGGCATTAACCTAGAGACAAGATTAAAAGGAGAAGAGCTCTGAGGACTGAGCCCTGGAGTACCCCAGCATTTAGGGGTCTAGAAGAGAAGACTGGATAGGATAGCAGTGAGGTAGAAGGACAGCCAGGAGCATATGGTGTCCCAGAAGCCAAGATTCAAGAAGGAATGAGCAACTGTGTCAAATGCTACTTAGTAATTGAATTAGATGAGGACTGAGAACTAACCATGAAATTTAGCAAAATGTGAAGGTCATGAGTGGCCTTGATAGGAAGCAAATAATAATCAGCTCTGAGACTGGAAAGTGAGTTAACCAGGACAGTACAGTAGGGTGGTCCTAGAGTTTAGTCAAGGTAAGTTTCAAGTGAGATTACTCAGCACTACCCTTTCTTCCAGCCATTTTCGGCTCCCTCGATGCAGGTATAGAGTAGACCAAGAGAGCTGAGTTTAATGAGAGTTGAGGTTCTCCCAGTGAGTATAGCAGAGATCAGCAAAGGTGTTGATGGAATGTGCCCTAGAGTGAGTGACAGGTCACACTGAGCCATGGAATCCTCACTGGGGGCTGGGTGCAGTGGCTCATGCATGTAATCCCAGCACTTTGGGAGGCCAAAGCGGGTGGATCACTTGAGGTCAGGAGTTCGAGACCTGCCTGGCCAATGTGGCGAAACCCCGTCTGTACTAAAAATATAAAAATTAGTTGGGCATGGGGGTGCATGCCTGTAATCCCAGCTACTTGGGAGGCTGAGGCAGGAGAATTACTTGAACTTGGGAGGCAGAGGTTCCAGTGAGCCAAGATCGCGCCACTGTACTCCAGCCTGGGTGACAGAATGAGACTCCATCTCAAAAAACAACAACAAAAAAGAAGAATCCCTACTGGCTAACCAAGCGTGAATAGAAGTGTAGCCCCAATGAGAACTGGACTTATGAGATAGATATGTTTGAGAAAATGAGATGCAAAATAGGAGGTGGTGGTAGAGTGTAAAACTCTTGAAATTTAACTTTAGGCAGTAAGATCGGTAATGACAGGAGTAGCTTTATTTTCTGATCTAAGTATGTCCATTTGAGTGAGCAGCTGGGGTGGTAGAAACAGAAAGTGGGAGATGAGAGAGTACAGAAAATAAAAGGATATGTGGGCAGGTTACCTCTCACTGATGATTTGCATATATCTCTTCTAATCCCTGCAAAGCTAAAGGAATTCCATGTTTTGGGAATAGCAGTCACCTGTCTCTTTCACTTTTTTTTTCTTTATCCATCTGGTTTTTAGTTTTCAGGGTAAGAATGTTGTTTTCGTTTACTTGTTTTCCTGCATATTTGTGGGGTTTTTTTTTAACTGTAATAGGCTTTTTCTCTCTTAATTATCTCTCTTAGTTTTTTCATCAACCATGTTTCTTCTCATGTTTGCTTCCAAAGTCAGAAGATGTCCTCTTTCTGAGTTGGCCATTCCAACTGAAGGCCCATACCCCTCCTTTTAAAAATAAAAACAGCTGCACTAACAATTTTCAAGCCATATATTTTTCTTCAAGCAGGCCACCACGATCTACAGAGTGAGTTGGACTGTAGAGTGGCTCAGGCTCTGAACTCAGGGGTGAGTTCAGAACCCTGCCCCAGGCATTGACTCTGACCATGGGCGGGTCACAAGACCTGAGCCCACAGTGTCTTTACCTACAAAATGGAGGTGATACTACCCACCTCATAGATTTGTCATCAGAATTAAGTAAAGTAATACACTCAAGTACTTTGCAAGTGTCTAGTAAGGAGGCGGGCAAGCTGCCTGTTTTTGTAAATAAAGTTTTATTGGAACAAAGCCATGTCTATGTGTTTATGTATTATCTATGGCTGCTTTCATGCCAACAGCACAATTAAGTAGTTGTAGCAGAAACTATATAGCCCATAGAGCCTAAAATTATTACCATCTTGACCTGTAAGATAAGGTTTGCAAATCCTTGGTTCAGAACATAGAATCATAAAAAATTAAGTTTCACATTTAAAAAAATTCCCACCACAGATTAAGATTATTTCACTTACTCTTTCTTTTTCTTTTATTTTTTATTTTATGTTATTTTATTTTTTTTTGAGACAGAGTCTCGCTCTGTCACCCAGGCTGGAGTGCAATGGTGTGATCTCAGCTCACTGCAACCCCCATCTCCCAGGTCCAAGCGATTCTCCTGCCTCAGCCTCCCAAGTAGCTTGGACTATAGGCACGCACCACCATGCCTGGCTAATTTTTGTATTTTTAGTAGAGATGGGGTTTCGCCATGTTGGCCAGGCTGGTCTCGAACTCCTGACCTCAAGTGATCCACCCTCCTCGGCCTCCCAAAGTGCTGGGATTACAGGGGTGAGCCACTGAGCCTGGCCTCTTTTCTCTTATCCCTCCTCTCCCTCCCCTCCCCTCCCTCCCTCTTTCTCTGTTTCTTTTTCTCACCTCTCTCTTATTTCTCTCTCTCTCCCTCTTTCTTTTTTTTTAAGAAACATGCTTTGTCACCCAGGCTGGAGTGCAGTGGCACTATCATAGCTCATTGCAGCCTTGAACTCCTGGGCGCAAGTGATCCTCCTGCTTCAGCCTCCTGAATAGCTAGGACTACAGGCATGCACCACCACTCTTGGCTGATTTTTAAATTTTTTCTGTAGAGATGAGCATCTCACAGTGTTGCCCAGGCTGGTCTTGAATTCCTGGCCTCAAACAGTCTTCCCGCCTCAGCCTCCCAAAATACCAAGATTACAGGCATGAGCCACCATGCCTGGCCTGCTTACTCTTTATGTAATACTTCCTACCCAGTGACTTACTATTAAGAACTCAGTACATAGTAGCTGTTCTTTGTTGTGGTTTCGAAATACCCCTTCACTTCAAATACTTTTTTGGAGACCTTACTACACTAATAACTACGAATTATTTTAAATGTCTTCCAGCCTTTCAAACTCAGCCCAATAAAGATGAGAAAATTTTCCCCGTCTGCATTTCCTGCCATCAAAATAATGACTAACAAATTAAGTTTTAATTTAAGCTCTATCTTTACTATGACAGTTGTGGAGAGAGAGGGGAAAAAGGTGGCCTTCGATTTGGCATTGGGTCTGAGGCATCCTATCTTCACTGATGTAATCCAGAAGCTTTCTACATTAAAATTACTACTCTCAAGTCTCAGAGCCCAAATACCCTAATCTGGATGCTATAATGTTACTATTTTAGCTCCAACTAGTTAGTGAGATCCATACTTTCAGCTGTTCCAGCATAGATTTCCTCAGAGGCAAAGTAACAAGTTTACATTGGCTTCATTAGAGAAAGTTACCCACTCGGGAATGTGAAGTTTCATTCAGATGTGGCATACAGTCGCTGCCTCTGCCTGCCTAGACCTCTTCAGAACCACTTCCCTACTGCGTGCGTGGTCTGCCCAGGAGCTGAGGTGACAGCCTTGTCATCAGCCTATCAGCTTCTGATTACTGCTTTGGCACCTGCTGTGGGCTGGGGTGTCAGTGCCTAGCAGCAGAGCCACTGTAATGTGGGGAGAAGGATTTCAGCGGTACCTTTTCTTTGGATATTGATAAAGTGATGCTGTAGTACAGGTATACAATGTGGAATGATTGAATCAAGCTAATTAACATTTCCATCACCTCTCAGTTTCCCCCCATTCTACCTGGAACGTGTACCCTTTGACCAGCATCTTCCCATTCTCCCCACTCTCCAGCCTCTGACAGCCACCATTCTCTCTGTATCCATGAGTTTGATGTTTTTAGTTTCCATATATAAATGAGACCATGTGGTATTTGTCTTTCTATGCCTGGCTTATTTTGCTTAGCATAATACCCTCCAGGTTCATTCATGTTGCCACAGATAACACGATTTTCCTCCTTTTTAAAGCTGAATAGTATTCCATTGTGTATATATACCCAGAAGTGCCTCTTTTTAATTGGAGAAAACATCATATAAGTTTCAGAGAAATTAAGTGAAAAAACTAGAGCCTTGCAATACTAAGAAACATGACCAAGAGTAAAATGATAAAATGCTATAAATTATCCAACAGGACTAGGAAGTTTATAGACTTTGAGTTGTTATAATCATTACATTTTAGATCTGGAAAGGCCCTTAGACGTTGCCTAATCCTGCTTCTTTTAGCAAATATGAAAACTGAGAAACAGCTATGTTAGCTGACTTCATTGGTTCATATGAAGCCACAAAATGACTCAGCAGCAAAGCCCAGCATAGAAACCAGGTCTCCTAATACAATCCAGTCACCTCTCTGCTCCATCACACTCTATTTATGGATTTGAGATAAGGCCCAAGATTGTGATCAGAATGTACTTTCACTTTGACACAATAGCTTGTATAGTTTAATTCATTTTCCTTTTTAAAAAATACAAACATGTTCAATCATTATGGCATATGGTACAATATAGCCAAAATCCTTCTGTCATTTGTATTTCTGAAACATTTATGGTCTGACACACAGGATTTGGCAGCTTTTATGAATGTTATACATGTACCTTTTTATATCTTATTAATAGTAAAGTATGGTGCCAGTATTTAAAAAATAAAATCTTGCAACTTATATGAACAAAAGTTCTCTGAAATAGGAATTTGAAGGAAAGACTCTTCCAGTGAACAATTTGCAGACTGTGGAGAGATAGCCTTCAGTGTAAAATGAAGATGCAATTCCTGAGAACAAAGGGAAGGTCCCGGGTTTTATAGCAAAAGTGCCCACTCAGGTTCTCAATCAGGTCCATATAGCAAATGAAGGATTGAAACACGATTAGTTCTGACTAGTTGGTGCTGCTGAGCCCTGATTGGCTGAGGCTGGTGAGTTCTAATTGGTTGGTTCGCATTAGCTCTGAAAGTCCAAAAGTTGAATGGAGGCATGGGTTTTCCAGGAACTCAGAGCACATGTGTGACCTCCAATCAGCAAATGGTTGGTTGGCTGTATTTTAAATTTAGACCCGGTTAGCCACTCAGGATCCATCTTAGAGGATTGGCTCTTTCATGTTCACATTTGTTCACACTTATTTTGAAATTTTCAGTCTATCAGTATTAATGTAGTTTCTGATTATTTAAATATCACATGTCAGAATGAACTCCTTCAAACTCCATAAGGTCTTAACCCAGAATTTTTAGAGTGCTAACCAGTATTAATAAAGCAGCAAGACCAGAGGTTGGGTTCTTGTATTGTTGCTTGAAGCAGTGTTAAAGATACACCGACATGACTAAAATGCATTGCTGAGTAAACAAGCACGGATTTTAAAGTTTAATATGATTAATGCAACTTGATGCCAAACTCTGAATGTCTCCTAAGGCTTCCAAGTTACTGAAAAGCAGCCAATATATTTTCCCAAGTCATAGATTTGATGCAATCCATGTGCCTTTTATTTTAACATATTTGTTGCCGTTTTAAAAGTTGCCGTCTGAAAAAGTGCTGAAAAAATGAAGACCTTTTACTTCTGCCGACCAGTTAGACTGTGCCTTCTTCTTTTTTTTTTTTTTTTTTTTGAGACGGAGTTTCACTCTTGTTGCCCGGGCTGGAGTGCAATGGATCAATCTCAGCTCACCGCAACCTCTGCCTCTCGGGTTCAAGCGATTCTCCTGCCTCAGCCTCCCAAGTAGCTGGGATTACAGGCATGCACCACCATGCCTGGCTAATTTTGTATTTTTAGTAGACACAGGGTTTCTCCATGTTGGTCAGGCTGGTCTCGAACTCCCGATCTCAAGCGATTTGCCCGCCTCGGCCTCCCGAAGTGCTGGGATTACAGGTGTGAGCCACTGCGCCCCGCCTATGTTACTTTCTTTATTCATTTTAGCAGAACAAACTACAGACAGAGCCGCTTGTGATTCTACTCTTGTCATAATTATTTATGCTCTGCCATCCTCCTGGTCATGTTTTGTCTTCGAAAACACAAAAACAGTTTATTAGTAGACTTTGCTCTGCATACATGGGCCATCCTGTGGTTGTCCTGTAAAATAATACAAGCTAGTAGTACTGAAACATTTAGTATTCTTCAGGGTTTTTTATTTTGTTTTCCGAGTGTAGTTCAGTTGTAACCCACCATTCCTCGTTTAAAATACAATTCTTAGTTTCCATCTCAAGAATTCAGAAAAGGAATCTTGCGTTTTAAGTTTATAATAATGACAGAGAGACCATCTTTTCCTGTGATTTTTCAAAATGGGTAGGAATTATTTGCTCCAGCATTTTCTACCTACTCTCTGGAGTCTTTAGGGCATGAGTAGTTCTAGCTAGCCAGTTTCTGGAGTAGCTGTGAATGTTAACCAAATTCTGTCCAAAATGACTATAATTTCCTTTCAGTATTTTATAATACACTTTTCTACTATCTTAAAGAAAGTACTTGAACAAAATTTAAACTTATCACTGTCTCCTGTTTTATAATTGATTAAAGCACTCAGCCCCACTTGAGATGAGTATGACTTTTGCCTTTATATAGAGAGACCATAAGCCCTGAGAAGTTTATATTTTTACAGTCTCATAATATAAATTTTTTAAAACTTTTTTTGTTTAAAACCTTTAAAGGTTTGCTGTCTTATTTGCTTCTTGTGTCTTTTTCAGAATACCTTTCTTAACAGTCCCTATTTTTAGTTTAATTTTTCACTTCTGTTTTGCTAAGGCTGTAAATTGGCAATCACGTTTAATGGAGTCTTAGGAATCAGTACACTAAGTTAAGGACCTCACAGGCTTTCAACATAAGCTCCAACATCAACAACATCCCATCATTTTGGTTAGCTCACTGCCTTGTTCTTGGCTATATTCCAGAGAGGTCAGAAATTATTGATTCCTATGCAACCTGAATTTTGTCAGATGTAAAAAGGAATATTTAAAATGAAAATTGAATGTATTTAGATATAGCCACTTTTTTTTTTTTTTTTTTTTTTTGAGATGGGGTCTTGCTCTGTCACCCAGGCTGGAGTACAGTGGCGCGATCTCGGCTCACTGCAAGCTCCGCCTCCTGGGTTCATGCCATTCTCCTGCCTCAGCCTCCCCAGCAGCTGGGACAACAGGCGCACACCGCCACACCCGGCTAATTTTTTGTATTTTTAGTAGAGACAGGGTTTCACCATGTTAGCCAGGATGGTCTCGATCTCCTGACCTCGTGATCCGCCCGCCTCCGCCTCCCAAAGTGCTGGGATTACAGGCATGAGCCACCGCTCCTGGCTAGATATAATCACTTTTTATTTTCCAGTTTTTTTTAATTATATGTTTCCCTTAGGGTGAGTCAGATGTCATTTATTTTCGAGATCCATTCAGAATGATAAATTGGATACAATTGTGAGGTTAATTATTTCAATGTTTTGAAGATAGCTCAGTCCTTTTTTTGTCATCTGAGGTTTTGGGCCCTCTGAAAAACTACCAGTTGGCAAGCCCTCTGCTATAGCATCACAAATGCAACCATTGCCATTGTACTTGTCATTCTTGCCCTATTTTGTGTTAAAAAAAATATATATATATAAACACCATTTAGGATTAACATTTATCTTAACTCTTGATGCAATTTTCATCCATTTGCTGTCATTTTCCCAAAAGAAAGAGTAATGAAAATTTAATTTGGGAAGACATAACATAATACTAATCAAATATTGTCTATATAACCTATATATCAATCAGATCATTCCTGATTTTATCTTATGAGTTGGAATTTTAACCTCTTACATGTTTGAACAATTGTTATTAGAACAATTGTTGCTAGAGAACAGATTTCCTATTGCCAGAACCTTCAGACAGAGAGAATGTGTGCGCGTCCACAAGCTTAAAATTTTACGTCAGTGTTTCAAAATGTTTCTTGACCATGGGGTATTAATTCTGAGTGGTATTATGAGCGGTAAAAAGTAAAACCCTGATAGTTTCCTGGATCAGACCTATTAGAGTTGTTTAGATAACACACTTTGAATTACTTCCTCTCAGGAAACATTGAAACTGGAAATGTTAACCAGACACACATACGGAAGCACTTAGAATGCATTGTTTCTTTTGCTATTAAAAAAAAAAGGAAAAAAATTATGCAAATAAATTACATCTGTAGAAACCTGAGGAGACTATTTGGCTCTACTGCTAAAGAAAGAGCATTTATTTATGAGATTTTTCATCTGTCACTGGCAGTGACCACAAAATTGGTCAGTACGTTAGTTGTATAATTTATTCAGGGCTAATTGCTAGCATTAATAATGACTTCAGAGTTGGAAGCATGGGATACAGATTGTGCTCACATATGTTACACATTTTTATGTATGAGAGTAGGAGTAAGTTATTTAAGAAGTACACACATACACGAAAATGTAGACAAAACTGTTGAATGTGCCCAGATAGTGACATTTAGTAAGGAGAACTTTGATCTGTTTAATCTGTACGTGTACTGTTTGATATGAGTCTCAAAAACTGGTGGACATTATCTTTCAGTTCATTTCCTGTGCAGTACTTCACTAGACTTATCATTTCTTAATTCTGGAAGGTGTATGTTTATAAAGATAAATTAGGAAAAATATAGTAAATATTGATTTAAAGGGATAGAAACACATTTTTTGTTTCCGGATCCCTGTCTGCATCTTATCCCTGTCTCCATCTTTATTCAAATGGGTGACTCGCCAAGTTTTTCACAAAGTTCTAATAAAAAGGAAGTATAGCAGTGCAGCTGAGAGTTTTGCAGACTAGACTATTCTAAAATTGTATATTTTGAATTATTTCCATATGTTCACATCCTTTGGGATATAATTGTAATGATATTTCAGGCTCTATTCTGGCATTAAGTTTTATTCTGGGATAACATAGTCAATAAAAATTTGAACGATATTCAGTACAGAGAAGGATAATACTTAGAAGTAGTGGTTTGGGCTTCAACACAGTAGGAGATGAAAACTTAGAAATCTATGTGAAAATACAGAGGTGTGAAAGGCAATGTGAAACACTTAAAAAAAGTAAAATGTTTTGTTAATAAAAGTAATAGTAACGATGGCCTCCATTTATTGAGAGCCTACCATGTGCCAAGCACTGTGAGCATTTGTTTACATACGTTCACTTAGCCTGCAAAATAGATGGTGATGTTCCATTTTATAGGTGAGGAACCTAAGGCTCAAAAAACTAAAAGCATTTTGTCTGAAGTCACTACACTGTAAAGGCAAGATTGAAACTCAGCTTGTAGTTTAGCTGATAGTATTGTATCTGTCAGTTTCCAAAGGCCATGGTTCTTTTCATCCATCTATACCCAGTATCAGTAAACCTTTACTGTAAGAAACAGAGAGCACGTATTTTAGAGTTTGCAAGCCATACAGTCACTGTTGCAGCTACTCAGCACTGCCATCATAGCGTGAAAACAGCCATAGACTATTTATAAATGAATGGGTGTGGCAGTGTCCCAATAAAACTTTATTTACAGAACCAAGTGGTGGGCCAGGTGTGGACTGTGGGTATTAGTTTGCTGACCTTTGATCTATATTTTTGTAAGTTTAACTAGATGCTGGTTGAAAGTAAAAGCCTTAGGGATAAACCAAAGGCTAAAATTGATAGCAGATGATTCTTGGTGACCTAAGTCAAGAGAATAAAATAACTGAAACCAGGACCCAGACAGAGCAGCCTGTTCCTCTAGTCCCAGCCACTTGGGAGGCTGAGACAGGAGGATCACTTGAGCCTAGGAGTTCAAGTACAGCTTGAGCAGCATAGCAAGACCCAGTCTCTTAAAAAAAAAAAAAAACTGCCAAGAAAAAAAATAATAATAATAACTGAAAACTTGAAACTACAAGTCCTATGGAAAAAGAAAGCCCTTGTATGTGTCAAGCACTGTCATTTATAAATGATGTTTAGCTCTAAACAAACAAAAACCTTGAGCTATATTCTTCAAAACTGTCAAAGCCTTAGAAACAAGGCCAAGAAATTCACAGATCGGAGGACCAGAGGCAGTGTGGTATCCTGGCTTGATCCTGGGATATCAAAATGACACTCATGGGAAAAAAACTGGTGAAATCCAAATAAAACTTGTACTTTATGTAATAGTATTGTACTAATGTGAATTTCTTAGTTTTGATAAACATGCCATGGTCACATAACATGTTAACAGAAGCTAGGTAAAGAGTATACAGGAACTTTCTGTACTGCCTTTGTAACTTCTCTGCAAATCTGAGATTATTCCAAATAAAAAGCTACCTGGGCGTGGTGGCTCACGCCTGTAATCCCAGCCCTTTGGGAGGCTGAGGCAGGCGGATCACAAGGTCCAGAGTTCAAGACCACCCTGGCCAATATGGTGAAACCCCTTCTCTACTAAAAATACAAAAATTAGCTGAGCATGGTGCCGCGTGCCTGTAGTCCCAGCTGCTTGGGAGGCTGAGGCAGGAGAATCACATGAACCTAGGAGGCGGAGGTTGCAGTGAGCCAAGATCACACCATTGCACTCCAGCCTGGGCGGCAGAGTGAGACTCCATCTCAAAAGAAAAAAAAAAAAGAAAAAGCTAAAATGTATTTAAATTCCTAGGCTTGAATTTAGATGCCTAGCATCTATGTTAGAACCAGATGAATACCGAAGTACTAAAAGTAAACACAGTTAGGTTGAGATCTTGTTAAAAAATAATAGCAATACTTACCTGAATCATCCAAAATGGACTTTAAGCCTTGGCAGCATATATTCCCATTAAAACAATATTGTGCTGTCATTTCTGTACTTACAATGTCTCCTACGGAGAAATTCACTTCACTATTGGAAACAACAAAGCTGTTTGTTTTTTATAGTACTGTTGTTGATTGACAAATTACTTGTTCCAAAGATTAAAATTATACAGAGATCACCTAGAATAGAAGGTAAGAAATTATTTACAAAGGTTGCTCTTCCTAGTTTTCTAAACACATATTGATGATCACCACTCAGTATATGGTATGAACGTAGTCAGTTACTTTACCCAGACATTTTTATTAACATGAGAGAAAAAAATTCAAGCTTAGGTTTAATGTAAGCCTGATACCAAAACCTGATAAAATATAGATAATAAAACTGTAGGCCAGTCTCATCTGTGACAAAGATGCCGACATCATAGGTCAGGTACTATCAGAGAATTACACAGTATTGTCTTAAGTGTACTATGATCATGTGGAGATTATTTCAAGCATGTAGAATTATTTTAATATTTAGGAATCTATTATAATATATAATGAGTGTATTAGAGAAGTGAAAAATGAACATATGGGCCAGGCACGTGGCTCACTCCTGTAATCACAGCTACTCAGGGGGCTGAGGCAGTAGAATCACTTGAACCCGGGAGGCAGAGGTTGCAGCGAGCCGAGATCATGCCACTGCACTCCAGCCTGGGTGACAGAGCAAGACTCCATCTCAAAAACAAAACAACAACAACAACAACAAAAATAAACATATGACCATCTTAATTGGATATAGAATCAACATTTTTATTAAAATTTTTAAAAATTTTATTTGTAGAAACTTTTAGAAAACTAGAATTGGAAAGACATTACTTACATGATAAAGAATATCTCAAACAAATTTATCGTATTTTTATATTAAAACACAATATTCTCATTAAAATCTGAAACACTAAAATGCTCACTGTCACCACCACCACTCTGTTATGAGAGAAGGGATGAAAATTGAAAGGATAAAGATAAATTTTTCATCATTTGTGTAAGTTATAATCACCTAATCCCAAGAGAATTAACTGGAGAAAAAACCTTACAGTAAGACACTGGACATGCAAAATAGCAATAAAACATATTCAACAACTATGACTCAACAGCAGTGTCCAGGGATTGATAATGAAGGCAGAATTAAATACTAATAAGGGAAATAAAAGATCTGAATAAATGATGAGAATTATGTGCCTCTTTGGAAATGCTGTTACAGTGATGTCACTTCTTGCCAAAACACCATGTAGATTTAATGTACTACAATAAAGTTATCATTACAAACCATAGAAAAAATGATTCTAAAGTTTATCTGGAAAAGGCAAATTTTTCAACCTTTCATTTTTAAATTATTTCAGTTCTAAAGAATTGTTCCAAGAATAATAATGAGGACACCCTATCACTTTAGCCAGATTCACCAACTTTTGCCATTTTAGCACATTTGTTTTACCCATTTCCCCGGACTCCACTCACATATACAGATACACGTATGCGTAATATAACGTATCTTTTTCTGAATCATGTGAGGGTGAATTGAATCCATTATGTCCCTTACCCCTTAATACATCAGTGTATATTTCCTGAGAATAAGGGTTTTCTCTTATGTAAACACAGTATATTCAGGAATATTAGCAGTGATAACGATACTTTTATTTATAGTCCTGATTCCAATTTGGTCAGATGTCCCAAAAGTGTACTTTATTGCATTTACTTTTCACTTCTCTTTATTTCATGTTAATCTGGAACAATTACTTATTTCATTTTAATCTGGAACAATCATTCAGCCTTTCTTTGTCATTTCTGGCATGGAAATTTTGTTAAGAATACACACCAGGTATTTTATAGAATATTTCTGTTTGGGTTTGTCTGATATTTCCTCATGATGGGATTTTCATAATAGTTTTGGCTAGAATGGTACATAAGCGAGGTCATGAACTTCTCAGGAAGTCACATTCAGAGGTAGAGGATGTCAGTATGCCTCTTTGGTGATACTAAATTTGATAACCTGGTCAAGGTACTGTCCAAGGTATATTCTCCACTACATAGTTACTTTTTTCCTCTTGCAGTGAATAAGCATTCTGGAAAAAGACACTAAGACCATGCATATAACCTCCTTAATCACCTCCTTAATCAAACTCCTATAAATTTGGATCTATTGATGATTCTTATATAAAATGATCTTTACTAAAGTTATAATAGTATAAAGTATAATAGTAATAAATAATGAAGTAAATAATAAGTTTCAAAATTATGATTTTCCAGTCTTCCTTGTTTGTCATCTTTTTGCTATCAGCATGGACTTAGGTGTTCCTGTTTTATTCAATAGATTATAATTCATCGTGGTCTTTATTGTGATGCTCAAATTGTCCCAGATTTTAGCAGTAGGAGCTCATTTAGGCTGGTTCTTGTGTCTTTTTGGCATGTTCCCATCATCTTATGAGCACCTTACTTTCTGGCATGACAAAATGTTCCAAGCACACCTTGTACCATTTCAGCCCTACCCTTGGAATTCATCATTTCTCCAGGGAGCCCTGGTTCCTCTCAGTGGGGAATGATTTGGGCAGTGTCTGGTTGCTTGGAAAGGAAAAAAACTAAGATATACGTGTGTGTGTGTGTCTGTGTGTGTGTGTGTGTCTGTGTGTCTATGTGTGTCTGTGTGTATAACTGCTGAAAAGTGTGAGTTAGTACAGATACCTCTAATTTCAATCCAAACCCCAAGGAGCTCTGTCTTGCCTTTCCTGGTCTTCTTCATTCCGTATTTCTGTCTCTCCTTCCAAAATGCAATCTCTGTAACTCGCAAGACATCAATATATTTAGCCATTCATTCAATCTTACAATACAAATAAATTTGACTCAGAGTTTCTCTACCCATATCCCTATGAAAAACAAATCTACCAAAAGGATCAGAATATTTATTGGTCTTTTTTTCCCTACTGGCATTATATGGTCAAAGTGTATTAGTCCATTCTCAAACTCCTATAAAGAACTGTTCAAGATTGGGTAATTTATAAAGCAAACAGATTTAATTGACTCACAGTTCTGCATGGCTGGGGAGGCCTCTGGAAACTTGCCCTCATGGAGAAAGGCACCTCTTCACAGGGCGACAGGAGAGAGAATGAGTGCCCAGCAATGTGGGAAGCCCCTTATAAAACCATGATATCTCGTGAGAACTCACTATCACGAGAACAGCTTGGGGGAAACCATCCCCATGATTCAATTATCTTCACCTGGTCCCGTCCTTGACAAGTGGGGATTATTACAATTCCAGGTGAGATTTGGTTGGGGTCACAGCCAAACCATATCAGACAGCATTCCAAAGGTACTTGGATTTTCTCTTTCCCCAGAATGGTTATTTTGTTGATTTAAAAAACAGTTGGATTTTGCATTTGTTTCCATTTGCATTCAGTTTTAAAATAACTTACATTAACAAGAAAAAAACAACCCCATCAAAAAGTGGGTGAAGGATATGAACAAACACTTCTCAAAAGAAGACATTTATGCAGCCAACAAACATATGAAAAAAAAAATCATCATCACTGGTCATTAGAGAAATGCAAATCAAAACCACAATGAGATACCATCTCATGCCAGTTAGAATGGCAGTCATTTAAAAATCAGGAAACAACAGATGCTGGAAAGGATGTGGAGAAATAGGAATGCTTTTACACTGTTGGTAGGAGTGTAAATTAGTTCAACCATTGTGGAAGACAGTGTGGTGATTCCTCAAGGATCTAGAACCAGAAATACCATTTGACCCAGCAATCCCATTACTGGGTATATACCCAAAGGATTATAAATCATTCTGCTATAAAGACAGATGCACATGTATATTTATTGCAGCACTGTTCACAATAGCAGAGACTTGGAGCCAACTCAAATGCCCATCAATGATAGACTGGATAAAGAAAATGTGGCAGATATATACCATGGAATACTATGCAGCCATAAAAAAGGATGAGTTCGTGTCCTTTGCAGAGACATGGATGAAGCTGGAAACTATCATTCTCAGCAAATTAACGCAGGAACAGAAAACCAAACACTGCATGTTCTGACTCATAAGTGGGAGTTAACAATGAGATCACATGGACACTGGGGGAACATCACACACCGGGGCCTGTTGGGGGGTGGGGGGCTAAGGGAGAGAAGATAGCATTAGGAGAAATACCTAATGTAAATGATGGTTTGATGGGTACTGCAAACCACCATGGCACTTGTATACCTACGTAATAAACCTGAACGTTCTGCACACATATCCCAGAACTTATAATAAAAAAAAAATTCTTGTTGACCTAATTTTTAAAATATGTAGCACATTAGTATACATCCTTGCAGTCAAAACTCTGTGGCAAGGTATACTCAGAAAGGTATCATTTCCTCCCTTGTCCCTAGCTCCAGTAAGTAACCAGTTTCATTGTTTTCTGTTTTTCCTTGTGCATGTTTTTGGTTTTTTTTTTTTTTTTTGGTAACAAAAATAAAAAGAAAATGTATATACTAATTTTTCCTTTCTTCTTAAACAAAAAAAAAGTATACTGTATAAACTTTTTTTGCACTTTATTTTTTTTTATTTAACAATATATTCTTGAAAGTCATTTCATATGCATTCCTTGGATTCATTATTCTCATTGTCTTTTGCATAGTACCAGGAAGTGTGTGTACCGTAGTTTATTCAGTCAGCCTCCTATATTTAAGCATTTAGATGAGTTCCAATATTTTGCAAAGACAAATAATGCTGCAGTGAATAACCTTATACATGTGTACTTTCATATTGTTGGAGGAATGTCTTCAGGGTAAATTCCTAGATGTAGGATTGCTGGATGGAGGGATAAATGCATATGTTATTTGACTTGATATTGCCAAATTCCCTGCCACACGGGTTGTATCATGCTGTATTCTCACCAGCTATGGACAAGGATGCTTTTTACCCCATAGCCTTACCAACTGAGTGTGATGTCAAGCTTCTGAATTTTTAATCAATATGTTAGGTAAGAAGTGGTATCTTAGTATAATTTTAATTGGCATTTCTCTTAGAGGAAAGAAGTTGAACATCTTTTCATAGGTTTGAAAGCCATTGTACATCTTGTTAGTTAATTGATTTTTCATGTATTTTGCCTATTTTTCTTTTTTTTTTTTTTTTTTCAGACAGTCTGTCTCTGTCACCCAGGCTGCAATGCAGTGGCACAATCTTGGCTCATTGCAACCTCTGCCTCCCGGGTTCAAGCGATTCTCCTGCCTCAGCCTCCAAAGTACCTGGGACTACAGTCACGTGCCACCATGCCCAGCTAATTTTTTTGTGTTTTTAATAGAGACAGGTTTCACCATGTCAGCCAGGATGGTCTCAGGTCCTTACTTTTAAAAAGCTGCTTGTATATTAGAGATATTAGCTCTTTATCTGTGATATGTTTTGCAGATATCTTCAGTCTGTCATTTGACTTTTGACTTTATTTCTCTTGTTTTCTGCCATCCACATACTTTTTGAGTCAGAATAAACACAAGTCAGGGCTTTTGTTATCAGATCTGAAAATATAAGATGAAGACACAAAAACAATATAGTTACAGTGGGAAAATAGAAAGGTCGCTAAGATAAATGGCCTGAAAATAAATGCAAATATAGGTATATATTTGAATGTATTTTATGAACTTAGTATATAATACTTTATATATTTTTAATTTATGATATAAAAGTATATAATATTAGTATACAGTAAAAGTGACACTGCAAATTAGTGATGAAAGGGATGACTCTTTAGGAAGTGCACTCAACACTCAGTTAACTTACACACACACACAAAAAAAAACCTACCTTAAATAAGCCACCAGAGTAAATACAGTTACATTCCCTGTTGGGCTAGTGGTTAGGATTCAAAAAATAGAGATACATAGCAAAGTATTAAAAGAAAACACTGGTAATTATACCAGCGTTTCTCAACCTCAGCACCACTGATATTTTTGCACTGGCTAATTCTTTGCTGTGGGGAGCTGTCCTGGGCATTATAGCATATTGAGCAGCTTCCCTGGCCTCTACCCACTAGATGCAAACAGCAGCTTCCCCAGTCATGGCAATCAAAGCTGTCTCCAAACATTGCCCCCTAGTGGGTATAGTCACCCCTGGTTCAGAATCATGAATCTATATCATCTCAGCTAGAAGCATAGCACCCAAGAATGAAATCACAAAGGAAAATTTTGAAAATATTGACTACATTTTAAAAAAAACAACTTTAATAGTTAAGCTATAAAATTGCAATTCAAACAACAAATGGAAGAATACATAGCACAAATGACATTTTCATTTACACAAAAAGTAATCAGTAAGAGATCTAAATAATTAGATAAATACTGAAAAATGAATATACCAATAAATATATTTAAAATATATTCAGCATGCATGCTTTACCTCTCATGCTGGTAAGCATGAAATAAACTTCAGTGTGAGTGTAGGGAGACATAATTTCATAAAGTGATAAAAGTATAAATAAGTATAACATTGATGAAAACACAGTGGGCAGTGCATATTAGACCTTTCAAATATATGCATATTAGCCAGGTGTGGTGGCTCACACCTGTAGTCTCAGATACTTGGGAGGGTTAGGTGGGAGGATTCCTTAAGCTTGGGAGGTCAAGGCTGCAGTGAGCTGTGATCATGCTGCTGCACTCCAGCCTGGGCAGCAAGATCCTGTCTTCAAAAACAAAACAAAACAAAACAAAAAAACAAATATATGCGTAGCTTTTGTCCCTGCAGTTTTTCTAGTACTTTATCCTAAGGAAATAATTGAGCTGTAAAAAAGTTCATTGCAGTACTATTTATAATTGCTAGACATTGGAAAAATCCATCTATATTTTTATTTTACAGTAAGGAACTAGTCAAATAATGCACATTCATACAAAATGGAATACATTAGGTTAGTATTACTATTGATGAAGGATATGCCCGGGGGAAATGGATACAGTTAGAAACTCAGGTAACAGAATTGTGTATATATGTATCTATTTGTATCTCTGAGATAGATGGATCAATTCTGTTTCTTTTTTCTATTTATATTTGACAGATTATCTTTAGTGATAAGATAGTATAGAAGTTCTTCATTTTTATATTTGTATTTTTAATATTTCTTCCAATTAAATAATGGATGTATAATTTTTTAAAAAATTGAGAAATACCACATTTTTAAGTTCTTTTTCTCAATTTCAAATTTTAAAAATTTAATAAAATTTTAAAAAGTAAAAAATTAAAATTTAAATAATAAAAAACAAGGAATTTTCTACATCAGCATTCATGAAAACATTTATAACTGCAAAAGAAAAAATGACAATATCCCTGTTAGTATCCATATGATAGATTACTCTGCATATATAGAGAAAAGAGATGTTTATAAGATTCTAAACTAATATCATCTTGAACAAATAGTAGTTATTGTTAATCACGTAAGTATAATAAAAGAAATGAGGTGTCTAAATTTAGTATTAAAGAAAAGCGCAGCATTTTCCTCTGTGTGTGTATTTGTGTGTGTCTTAATAGGAAGTTCTTTGCGTGAATAGATCAAAGGAAATGAACGTAAAATGTGATTTATTATATTGTAGGTTGCTTCAGGTGAATGCAATGAAGACACTGAAGTTTACAACATCACCCTGTGTACTGGGGATGAACTCACTCTAATGGGGCAGGCAGAAATCCTTTATGCAAAGACATTCAAGGAAAAGTCACGACTCAACACAATCTTCAAAAAGATTGGGAAGCTCAATTCCATCAGCAAGCTGGGAAAAGGCAAAATGCCGTGCCTCATTTGTATGAATCACCGGACCAACGAAAGCATTAGCCTTCCATTCCAGTGCAAGGGCAGATTTAGCACCCGAAGTCCCCTGGAACTTCAGATGCAAGAGGGCGAACACACCATCCGCAACATTGTGGAGAAAACCAGGCTTCCTGTGAATGTGACTGTGCCAAGCCCTCCACCGAGAAACCCATACGACCTCCACTTCATCCGTGAGGGGCACCGCTATAAGTTTGTGAACATCCAGACCAAGACGGTGGTGGTTTGCTGTGTGCTGCGGAACAACAAGATCCTCCCCATGCACTTTCCTTTGCACTTGACTGTCCCCAAGTTCAGCCTCCCAGAACACCTGGTGAAGGGAGAGAGCTGGCCCGAAACCCTGGTCCATCACTGGCTAGGTATCTGCCAAGAACAGTTCGACATCGATGAGTATTCACGGGCTGTCCGTGATGTGAAAACCGACTGGAATGAAGAATGCAAGAGCCCCAAGAAGGGTCGGTGCTCTGGCCACAACCACGTGCCCAATTCGCTCAGCTACGCCCGCGATGAGCTCACCCAGTCCTTCCACCGACTCTCGGTCTGTGTGTATGGCAACAATCTCCATGGCAACAGTGAGGTGAACCTTCATGGTTGCAGGGACCTGGGGGGAGATTGGGCTCCCTTTCCTCATGACATCCTGCCCTATCAGGACTCTGGAGATAGTGGGAGCGACTACCTTTTCCCAGAAGCTAGTGAAGAATCAGCAGGCATCCCGGGAAAGTCAGAACTTCCCTACGAAGAGCTGTGGCTGGAGGAAGGCAAGCCCAGCCATCAGCCTCTCACTCGCTCTCTGAGCGAGAAGAACAGATGTGATCAGTTTAGAGGTTCTGTCCGATCCAAATGTGCGACTTCTCCTCTTCCCATCCCTGGGACTCTGGGAGCAGCAGTGAAGTCTTCAGATACTGCCCTACCTCCACCTCCAGTGCCTCCCAAATCTGAAGCCGTAAGTCATTTCTGTTTTTGAATGCGGTGCCAGTCTTTCTGTCTCTCTGCTCAGTCATCCACTAATTTATTTTCTTAAAACTCCCCAACTGAAGATTGCAGAGTGAGCAAATTTGTTTAGTTTGGAGTGAGATACACATGCTAGCTTGATTATTTTGACCATTTAGGAATTAGAGTTTTACTCTATGTCTGATGAGAACCTCTTGGAGAGTTTTTAACAGGAGAGTTTTAAACATGACTTTTGCTGCTGCCCGGAGAATGGATAATAGGGAGGAGAGAGTAGAAGGTGGGAAGCAGAGAAGAGGCGACTGCATTAAGGTAGGTGCGAGGTGGTAAGGCCCTAAACCGTGGCAGCTGGTAGTGGCTGGCAGAGAGAGACGGCTGCTTCAGACTGTTTCATAGGTAAACCCAACAATATTTACTTGTGAGTTGGATGTCAGGCATGAAGAAAAGAGAGCAATCAAAGAAAACTCCTAGATTTTTAGCCTGGGCAACAGAATGGATATTAGTGTCATTTACTGTGATGGGGAAGACTGAAGGAGGAGTAAATTTATTTGGTGGTGGGAGGGGAAGCAGAGGAAAATCAAGAGGCAGTAGCCTCACTTATAACTCTTTCCTATATCCCTGAAGTTACACTGAGATCAAAGCATAGCGGATGTGCTAATGTATTATACACACACACACACACACACACACACACACACACACACTCCAGAACCAGGTGCCAGGGTAGTTCTATTTAACACCTTAAACATAACTCATTCAGAGCTTGATTCTAATGTAAAACTAAAATTTTGGTACAGTTCTGTTTAGAACAAGAGAAAGGGCCCTCTATTTTGACCATGTTCTTCAATTGGCAGCCACTCTGAACCTTTGCTACTCATTTTTGATCACTGAATTTCATTATCCCTGAGGGAGAAAGGGCTAGAGGTATTAAGTGTAATTCTATTAATTTATTTGACAGTATCTATTACAGTGGCTTTCTTTTTTCTATCTCTAGAAGAATCCTTTTTAAAAGAATTACATGAATCCCAATATATAGAAGAGTTCAAATCAAAACCTACCTGACCAAAGCACAGATTGTGGGGAAGGGGTCTTCCTTGGGTCCCTGCCCACTCTTTGCCCCTACCGGGTGATCTTAGGACACCTTTCTGGAACCCTGGGGCTATGCAGAACCGGGTTTTTAAAAACTATGGAATTACTAGGCTAGATGCTAGAAATACAATCATCAAGAAAACCTGGACTCTATCCCCTCGTACGTCTCAGTTTTACAGGGAAGGTAACAGATGAAAAGCAATGACTGTTAATACAAGTTAAAAGGTGATAAACAATAGGAAAACAAGAGAGAGATAATGTGTGGAGAATTCAGAAGAGACAGAGAAACTTCTAGTCGCGGGATGAATGAGAGGAGCCTCCATGGAGATTATGACATTTTAAATGAGTTTAGAAAATGTACCTGAATTGGAAGAGTAGAGAGATGAGAAAGAAGGACATTCCGGACAGAGCAGCATGAGCAACGAGCTGGAAGCTGGGGCAGCTTTAAGCATGTAAGAGGGAAAACAAGAAGTTCTGTGGGGCAGTTGAATAGGGCTGGATAGGGTGCAGGAAGGGCAGTGGTGGCTGAAAGGCTGGTGCCAGGGCATGGACAGCCCTGGGTGTCAGGCAGCAGTTTGTGCCAGGCTCCACGCTTAGCTGTCCATAAAGAGCCCTCATTGCTGCAGAGCTTTCCTGAGAGAGGACCCACCTCTGGCCCTCTGTTGCAGGGCTTGAGAGCTCCCCAGCAGCTACAGGTCTGGACTTGCCCTTGATCCTTACAGGATCCTCTGGGGACCATCAGGCACAAGCCCAGAGATCCCTGTATTCACTAAATATCATGGACTATTTGGGGAACTTAATGGTGGAGCCGGGGTCCTTGGCCCTTGGGTTTATGTCAGCAATTCCCTAAGAATGTTCATCAAAAGCCGGGTAAAAAGTAAGGGGGCGGGCCAGGCGCAGTGGCTCACACCTGTAATCCCAGCACTTTGGGAGGCCGAGGTGGGTGGATCATGAGGTCAGGAGATCGAGACCATCCTGGCTAACACGGTGAAACCCTGTCTCTACTAAAAATACAACAAATTAGCTGGGCGTGGTGGCGGGCGCCTGTAGTCCCAGCTACTCGGGAGGCTGACGCAGGAGAATGGCATGAACCCAGGAGGTGGAGCTTGCAGTGAGCCGAGATCCCGCCACTGCACTCCAGCCTGGGCGACAGAGCGAGACTGTCTCAAAAAAAAAAAAAAAAAGTAAGGGGGCACCCCTCCAAACAAGTACTCCTGGAACTTGAGGGATGTCTTAATTCAGCTATGTATTTCATGTTACTTGAAGGTTGGGGCTCTGACCTTCAATAGAAACATGACTGCATGAGCTTTTCCTATTGAACTTAGGTCCTACCTGGCACACAGTGGGGACTCATGTTTGCTGATTGACTTACAGACTCATCTGAGATGGTCACACCCAGGGTCATTTATGTAACCAAGTCTAGAGGTAGGAAACTAGCATCACTTGTTTTTTCTGTGGCTAATGAAAGATGAGTAAGAACATAAATATTAAGAGGTCCAGCTTTGCCCTTGGTACTAAAAAAGAAATGCTAAATTTGAAACTAAAAGCAAATCTCACAGAAGAAAAAAAAATTTGGCCTCCAGTCTAAGCTGTAACTTCTTATGACATAAGAGAATCTTTTCAGAGCGTGTCCAGTGTTTGTAGATTGCTATAAACCTAAAGATTTTTTATAAACACCTGAAATCATTTAATTTGTTTTTTTTAAAAAAATTAGGCATTTCAAATGAAGTCATATTTTTTATTGGTTCTGTGACCATGAAATGAATTTTCCATTTTTAGGATGTGCGTGGGATCCAGAGAACATCATAGTTGTTAGATGTGGCTTCAGCTTGTAATTTTCAAAAGGGAACTTTAATGGGGCATAAATTTAAGTGCTCCCACAGAATTAAGTAAAAGTTATTTGGATAGTTCCGGTGGAATGAGTCTTGGGAGAGAGATGTGCCATGTGTCCAGCCAACTATCCTACCCAGTAATTAAAGATGTTGGCTTCCCTTGAAAGTTCACCAGCTAGATATTAGCTGGGAAGGTGACATCTCTCACCAGGTCCTTAGAAATAGAAGGTGCCATGGCAGTCAAAGAAAGGGTGTCTTCCTCCCAAGTTGTGCTGCAGCTCTGGCATCCTCCGGGCTCTGCTCATCAGCCCTTTTCTGTTTGTATCTTAAACAGGGAAACTACATCGTGAGCCAACCAGAAAATCCTTGGGGGCAGAGTCATCCGTTTAATCCCATTCATGTATTTTGTTAATATATCTTGTATATTAACTTGCATTTGATGCTCTAGTCCTCTTGTATCTTTGTATTTGATGCTCTAGAATTGTATGCTCTAGTCCTCTTATCTCTTTGTAAAGATTGTTTAATAATTTTTTATGCTTTTTTTTGTTTTGTTTTTTTTGAGACAGAGTCTGGCTCTGTTGCCCAGGCAGGAGTGCAGTGCACGATCTTGGCTCACTGCAACCTCCGTCTCCCGGGTTCAAGTGATTCTCATGCCTCAGTCTCCCGAGAAGCTGGGATTACAGGCATGCGCTACCACATCTGGCTAATTTTTTTGTATTTTTAGTAGAGATGGGGTTTCACCATGTTGGCCAGGCTGGTCTTGAGCTCCTGACCTCAAGTGATCCACCCACCTCTGCCTCCCAAAGTGCTGGGGTTACAGGCATGAGCCTCTGCGCCCAGCCATGTTTAATAATTTTTTAAACAAAACACTGACACTAACCTCTCTGGAATATGAGAGGCCGTTCTCTTCCTCACGGGAATGTCCCAGGGAAAAGTAAACAGTTCCTGGTTCAAGAAATAGACAAGATGCAACCCCTAGAACTGTTGCAGCTGAGCCCAACTGAGGGAGCATGCCCAGTCTGGCATTTTCCCTTTTTAAAATTTTGCAAGGTGCCCCCAGATCAGAATGACCTGACAGTCCCTCTTAAGTGGATTATCCTTATTGATCCATGTGTTTATTCTAAACATATCCTCTATTTTATAATATTGCAGGCCTCTATTCATCAGTTAGATTCTCTGGTTATTGGCTGATATGTAAAATATTTACCCAGATGTACTCTACAAAAGGCAATCTTCAAGAGCAATCTTCTTTTCCCCCTCTTTAGAAAATGCCATTTTGGAGAGCAATGCTGGGAAGACTTTATATTGCACAAAATTCTATAAATAGATCATTTGACTTCCAGTCTGTTCTCGTCTATGCAATGAGTTACAAATGGTTATCAAAACTGCAGGGTTAGCCTGGCACCGTGGCTCACACCTGTAATCCCAGCACTTTGGGAAGCCGAGGTGGGCAGATCACTTGAGCTCAGGAGTTCAAGACCAGTTGGCCAACAGTGAGCTGAGATCGTGCCACTATACTCCAGCCTGGGTGACAGAGCAAGACTCAGTCTCAGAAAAACAAACAAACAAACAAAAACCCTGCAGGTTCACAGCTCTTCTAAAACCATTTGTGTGGCAGTGTCCTATCTGGGGACCCCAGCACCCAGTGATCAGTGTTCTCCATCTGTCTTCTTTTTTTTTTAGACGGAGTCTAACTCTGTCACCAGGCTGGAGCGCAGTGGTGCGATCTCGGCTCACTGCAACCTCCACCTCCTGGGTTCAAGCGATTCCCCTGCCTCAGCCTCCCAATGAGCTGGGACTACAGGCTCACGCCACCACGCCTGGCTAAGTTTTTTTAAATTTTATTTTGGTAGAGACGGGGTTTCACCATGTTGGCCAGGATGGTCTTTTTCATGCACGTCCGTGTGAAGAGACCACCAAACAGGCTTTGTGTGAGCAACATGGCTGTTTATTTCACCTGGGTGCAGGCGGGCTGAGTCCGAAAAGAGAGTCAGCGAAGGGAGATAGGGGTGGGGCCGTTTTATAGGATTTGGGAAGGTAATGGAAAAGGGGGTTGTCCTCTGGCGGGCAGGAGTGGGGGTCGCAAGGTGCTCAGTGGGGGTGCTTTTTGAGCCAGGATGAGCTAGGAAAAGGACTTTCACAAGGTAATGTCATCAGTTAAGGCAAGGACCGGCCATTTACACTTCTTTTGTGGTGGAATGTCATCAGTTAAGGTGGGGCAGGGCATATTCACTTCTTTTGTGATTCTTCGGTTACTTCAGGCCATCTGGGCATATACGTGCAAGTCACAGGGGATGCGATGGCTTGGCTTGGGCTCAGAGGGCTGACAGTCTTGATCTCCTGACCTCATGATCCACCTGCCTCAGCCTCCCAAAGTGCTGGGATTACAGGCATGAGCCACCGTGCCCGGCCTCCATCTGTCTTTAAGAACAGAAAAAAACACATTCCCTTATGGATAGTGGTTGATATTATAGCAATTCCTGGTAAAAGGAAAATGATAAAAGGAGCTCTTTTGTGAACCACTGGTTTCAACTAAATTTTACTGCAGTGTTGATGAATTTGTGAACCTTTGTGTTAGACAGGGTTGCCCCACAGCTTGTGAGAAACAGAGTTTAGGGACTAAGTTTTAAGATGGGTTGGTAACACGCATTCATTGTTAGAAGGCCGGAAGTTCATCATAAAGTTTCTTTAATGAAGCACACTGTGTTGTTGGTGTTTGAGAAAAATGGGACTTAAAGAGTAAATTTAATGCCAGATTGATGGGCCTAGCCTAGTAGGTGCTTGAAAAAAAACTGATTTAACTATAGAGAAGTCAGTTGGGCCATCTGAATCTGCCTCAGACAGGCAGAACACTCACTATGTGATAGATAATTAGAGGCGTGCAGCATTGCATCTGAGAGCTGCACATCGATTTCAATCCTCATGCTACCACTTTGTAGCTTCATACCTTGCACAAAATATTTAACCTCCCTGAGTCAGTTCCTGTGGGGATAATAACATCTTCACTGCATTTTTGTACTGTGCGAAGAACTTGGCACTTCTCCCTGGCACTCGGTAAACATTTAAAATAAATAGTAGCAATAATTTAATATAGGATGGATTCCAGTTTAGAGTCAGGTAGACAGTCACTGTTTAGAGGTTTTTTCCCACTGTCTTTCCTTGACTAAGGGATGGAGAGAAGAAGTCACACTTTCCAGGTACATAAGTCCCCTCCAAAGAGTCAGAAGGTGGGTGGGAGTGGACATATCCATCCCCACAGCAGATGGGCAGAGCCAGCTACCACGGGGGTCAGTCAGCCTCCCATTCCAGAAGTGGGTGTGCTAGTTCATTCTGCTGGGTTTCTAAGATATTACAAAAACACACAGTTGGTTTTAAAAATAGCAAAACATTCTTTTAATCTGACTTTTAAAACTTCTACTTGGTAAGATAGGTACTGTTTTAGTTACCTAACTGTGGAATCATCACAAACTTTGTAATCATCATATGCCCCCAAAAAGAGCTCCAGAAATGCTTGGCACCCTGTGGATCCCAATAGCATAATCTTTTAGTGGCAGAGTCGGGGGTTTTGAAGAACTAGAGTGCCTGTGAAAAAGCCACATGAGGCTCTAAGGCTGTGAACAAGTGTCAAGAAACTGGTATTCCCGGGCAAACCAACACAGAAATATCAAAGGTGAGAAGTGGCCTTGGATAACTGACTCCCTTCCTCGGGCTTGGCCAGGCCAGCTCCTGGTGCTGCCAGATCTCATTACTTTGGATATGCCCAGCCTACAGAATTAGGGGCCTCACGTGACTGCCCAAGTTAAGAAAGTGCCATAAAATATGTTTGTTGATAATAAGCTGTGGAAAGTAGCTAAGAATTGATTGTACTCTGCATTTTTATTTTATTTTGTCTTTGGGCTTTTTCTCTCTGTAAAATATTAATATTAGAAAAGGTATTGACAGACAGATTTTCTTAAATCTGATGTATTAATATTTAAGCTTAGTGATTATTTACTTTTCCAAATAACTGCTCTACAAAAAGATATACTCAGGATTCCACTAGTTAATGAGGTTTCGTAGGGCATTTGACATTTAATTAATTTTAATTACAAGCTTTGAGGAGTACTTTGTAAGCAAGCCATACCTAAGTTCCCATTTGTTAATTGAAATAAGGACTAAATTATTATTGTGTTTTGATAACTTTGAAACTAATTGCCATTCTGTTTCATGTAGGTTCTTTTTAAATGAAAGCTTCTAGGCCAAGATTTGTTTTTTTCTTCTTCTGTGTCTATTGAAAATCTTAATGATTAGAATGATAATAAGGATATAATATCCAATTGCCACAGTCCCCAACCTTTTTGGCACCAGGGACCAGTTTCATGAAAGACAATTTTTCCACGGACCTGGCGTTGGGGGAGGGAGTGGTTTCGGGATGACTCAAGTGTATTGCATTTATTGTACACTTTATTTCTATTATTATTACATTGTAATATATAATGAAATAATTATACAACTCACCATAATGTAGAATCAGTGGGAGCCCTGAGCTTGTTTTCCTGCAACTGGATGGTCCTATCTGGGGGTGATGGGAGACAGTGACAGATCATCAGGCATTAGATTCTCATAAGGAATACGCAACCTAGATTCTCATAAGGAACGTGCAAAGATCCCTCACATGTGCAGTTCACAATAGGGTTCATGCTCCTATGAGAATCTAATGCTGCCACTGATCTCACAGGAGCTGGAGCTGGGGCAGTAATCCAAGGGATGGAGAGCAGCTGTAAATACAGATGAAGCTTCACTGGCTCACTTGCCAGCTGCTCGCCTCCTGCTGTGCAGCCTGGTTCCTGTCAGGCTACAGACCAGTATCAGTCCATATCCCAAAAGTTGGGGACCCTGTTCTATTGGATAAGTCTTGTTCCAAACCTGTACAATTAGGTATATACCATTTGTATAAAATCACATTAATAGGAAGGTTATACACTACTTAAGTATATTTATCACGTACACTCCTTGCTCAGGAAAGATCTTTATTCTACTCCTCAATGGCATATACTTTCTGAGTCCATGAAAGCACCCTAAATGTTAAACAAGTACATCTTTTCAGAACCACTTGCCCCTCCTGCCACTGAGTAAGTGGCTGCCCGCTCCTTCCCCTGGGCCTCCCTTGCCTGAGGCTGGAATATTGGAGACCATTTCTGAGAAAGGTCTGTCTTAGGTCCTTATCATCAATGTATAAAAATGGAAAAAAGAAGCTCACGCATCTAAGAATCAGGATTTTGACTGTAAATCACATTTGCCCTTGTGTAATTAATCAAATAGAGGTTCATTTATTGTACTTTGTCATTATAAAACTTTAATTTCTGTTTGACTGAAAATATCCGCTGATGGTTATGTGACAGGGTTATGAACTCTGTATAAAAGCCTCTTTATAAATAAGGTTTCTTAACGGCTGTAATGATTTTGTTATCTGGGAGTGTGGGAAGAAATGTAAAATACAGGGCAGAGGGCAGTCAGTGAAGGCAAAGTTACAAAGTTCAAGGAAGCATGGTTACAAAACTCCTTTCTTTGGGTTGCTGACATTGTCCTGCATTTGGCTTTTTAGGGAAGAAAATGCACAAGAAAGGTGAATCTCATTTTAAATCAAGCTCCCCTACAGTGTATGTATTTTCTTAATCATTGTCAATATGGAAACAAAACGATCCTTACACCACCTAAGTATGCCAAAATCTCCTTATTGATTGTCCACAATTCCAAACAATATGAACTTTGAGACAGGAGGTATACTCTCTCCCCCACGCCCCTGCCAGGCATGTGACAGTTGATTCTAGAAGGTTAACTCAGGAAATACATGGCCCTGTCAGCAGATGTCCCTAGATCCATCATCTTGTATGTAAGAGTTGAGCACCCACCACTGCTCTGAAATTGATTTTTTTCCCAAAAGGCTATCTGAAAACTGCTAAGACCATGCCTTAGTTAACTGTCCTTTTACGTTTCTTAAGCTCTTTGGTCCTGTTAGTGACTGCATGTGAAAGTTCTGTTTCCTCCACAGAACAGAGGAGTCAGAAGTTGTGAAAAACAAAGGCTTTCCAAGAAATGCTGTTGTACCAAAAAGCCCCCAGTCTTAGACATATTGTTTCATAAACCCCTAGGAAGTATCAGAGAAAGAGGTGTAACAGGAGAAAGAAATTATTTCATAGATACTATGTAGAAAGCACTCCAATTGTATGTATGTTTCAGTTTTTGTCCTCCAAAGATCTACATGTAACTCTGCTTTCCACTCATGCAATGATGAGCTTCCTACTGTTAACAAATTCTCGTGCATTATTTTCAACATGTTGCAATTTAGAGGAGACAAATTACTGATCCTTGACCTGTGCTCAATTCCCTCCCAACTAAGCAAGAGTTAGAACTGTAAGGAGAGAAGGGAAAAGAAGGTTAAATGTCTATTCCAGGACTCAGGAAATGACGTTAAGCTCCCTGGGCAGTATTCTGAAAGTAAAGAAAATAGTTCCATTTTATGATGTGTTTGATTTGGACCATAGATTGGAGTTGCACTTGACTTTGTTGACCACTTCCACTTAGAAACATGAAGCTTTCCAAAGCATTTGTTCTATTAGTGTGTTTCATCTTTGCTTTCACTGTTAAGATGATATGCTACCATTAATTTATTTTTCTAGCTTTATGTGGCCAGTGATGGCATGACAGAGGCAGGGAGCAATGGAAAAATGGTCTCCCCTTTATCTTCTTAAATTAAAGGTGAGCACAGGGTCCCAGGCATCAGTGTACAGTTGACCTCCAGCTTACATGCATGCATATACGTACCCAGGCACATTTTTTCAAGTTTCTTTAAAGTTTTTTTTTAAAAGGCATGCCTTCTTCAAACCAGTATCCTTTTGTAACAACTGCCTCACTCCTTTCTTTCCAGACAATTCCTGAGAAGAGTGATCTGCCCTCACGAACACCACTCTTACCTCCTGTCTAACTTTGACTCACTAGAGTCTGGCTCTGCCCCCTCACTTGACTCACGCCTCATTTGCTAAGATCACCAGTGACTTGCTAGCTGTCACATAAGGGGAACCTCTTCCAGCCTCTTTCCTGACTTCCTGACATCTCTCCATCTTTGCACTGTTGTTCCCCTGCAGCTCTCCCTCCCTTGGCTTCCTTGACGCCATTCAGGCATGATTCTGCTCTGTGAGCACTAAAGTGTAGTTACCTGTTTTTCCCCTCCTGTCTTCTCTTCTGCCCATCCTTTGGGGGTTCAGCCTTCTTCACTTCTCATCTGGGATCTCAGTGCCGCCATAACTTCAGATTCTATCTATCATTAGAACACTGAGCTCAAAGTTAGTATTTTCAAAACTGACCTCCTCTGCTTTTCCCAAGCCCTGTTCTTCTAAATTTCTATCTGATGAATGGTACCAGTGTTTTGTTTCATCATCTAAGCCCACAGACCAGATCATCATTCTGGTTCTTCTTTTATGCCATGTTCTTCTATGTTCTACCTTTTGTACACTCATAATCCCTCCTAAGACTTTCTCAGTAAAATTACCTATGAATTTGTTCTTCTCCTGCCACCTTGAGTAAATTTATGGTGCTCCCATGAACCTTGCACATACTTGTCTTATCACACTTACCAGATTGTATTTTAATTATGTTTGTTTCCCTCCCTCATAAGTAATTCCATGAGTTACTCACTGTTGTATACTCAACACTAACTCAATGAGCACATGATAGGCACTCAATCTATTTGAACAAATAGCAAAGTGGAATTAATAGAGGCTGTAGGAAAAGAGAAGTGATAGCCATGTTGTTCAGACTTTCAGGGATGGTGGAAGTCGATGCTTGTGATCCCGGCCATCAGCCCCCAGGACAGACACCTTTTACAGCTTGCTTTAAGCCCCCATTATTAGATTATTTCAGTTGTCTGAATATGCCTTTCTAGAAATATGCCTCATTGACTAAAGAGGATGAAGTTCGAGAAAGAACAGAACTCACCGTTTCTACCTCTTTAATAAATGAGCTTTCTGTTTAGCTCTGCATTCCTGATTTGCAATGTGAATACCAAGGAGACTTGTATCAACACCAGAGTAGTGGTGTCTCATGTTTGATGATAATTGAAACACTGAACATTTTAGAAAAGAGACAGACTTAGGCCAGGCACGGTGGCTCACGCCTGTAATCCCAGCACTTTGGGAGGCCGAGGCGGGCGAATCACCTGAGGTCAGGAGTCTGAGACCAGCCTCAACATGGAGAAACCCCATCTCTACTAAAAATACAAAATTAGCCAGGCGTGGTGGTACATGCTTGTAATCCCAGCTACTCGGGAGGCTGAGGCAGGAGAATTGCTTGAACCTGGGAGGCGGAGGTTGCGGTGAGCTGAGATCGCGCCATTGCACTCCAGCCTGGGCAACAAGAGCAAAACTCAGTCTCAAAAAAAAAGAGATAGACTTACTCTGAAGGAGCAGGAGGAGAGAAGTATGCTAGCGGTGGGGCAGCTGGGAAGAAAAGCTTTAGGCCGGGGAATTGCTCAGGAAGCGAGGCTTTGGGTACTCCGTGTATCCGCACTGTGCTCATTGACCCTGTCATCAACAGGACTTTGGTTCCAGGAGTTTCTCTGTGAATAGTCAAGGTACTCATAACCTGAAATTAACTACACATAGGCAGAGATCACCGTCATCTGCAATGGACGGTAACACCCACCTCAAAACAGAACGCCAGCTCTTCACTGAGCGTGAGGGTTGGAGGTTCATTCCTGATAATACAGGGGCCCCTCTCTCCTTGTGTTGCCAGTGGAAGTCCAGTCATAAACATTACATTGGAAATAAATAGAAAGGCTTTAGTCCATTAGGCACAGTATAGTCCTTTAGATCTTCATTTTAGAATAGTCATTACTCTGGGGTGTGCTAGATTAAAGCCACAGCGCTTCCTAGTTCAGGAATACTGTCACTGTCATTTTCACCATGACACTGTGTCAAAGGGTGGTGGTAGAGTTGGTGGTGGTCATATGTGGCAGGTCTTCTGGTGCCTTTTTTTCCCCTAGATTGACTCAGGGTCACCAAAAAAACTTAACATTCAGCCCAAATGACTTGTCAGTAATAATTTCCACATAAACATATAAAAGATATTCTATGGTATATGGGTTTTTTTAAGTGCCTTTTTTTTTTTTTGTATTTTTTGTGACATTTCTTAACACCTACCAGGCATTCTGTGTGACATGTTCATGCCAGGAGTGACAAATCCCCAAACTCTGCTATCCCCAGGATAGTAATAACAAGGGATAGCTAAAATGGCAGTCCCTACATTTTAGCTCGCAGGCTCATTAAATATAGATGGAGAGTGGCACACAGAGTGTGTAATGTGTGGGGCTGGCCCACAGGAACTGGTGTTTAGGTGTGGTGGGCAGTAAAAACTAAACCAGAGAAAGGGGCAGGAAAGCACAGGGTGTGCTGGGGGGACACTGAGTCCACCACTTTGCATGGACCTGCGTGCCCATATAGACTAGGAGCAGTGGGAGAGATTGCTAGAAAGATGCGTGGGAGCCTGGTCGCACAGAGCCTTGGGTGGCAGGCAGGGGAGGCCAGCCTTTATCCAGGAATCAGAGGGAGCCGTCGGAGACAGCGAGTAACATGATGAGAGCCACATGCTGAGGCTTCCAGAAGGGATGTGCTGAAAATGTTACACTTAAAAGCTAAATTGAATATGAAGGAAAACTGGAGATAGGGTGATTGACCGTCTAGTCTTAAAAATTGCCTTTTATTGACAGATAAAATTCATCTAAAGCACAGCTACCTTCCTCCTGGATATAAATATCCTGCATGAATCAAATCAAGAAGCAAAGAGTAATAGAACTGTTACTGTTCTAAGAGTAAGAGATAGGAACTAAGATGGTACAATAAGCCCTCACTCTGTCACTTCTGAATCCCAGAACGCATACAGCCCACCATAGCATGTAATTCTTCCCTTAAGATGCAGAGAAATAGGCCATCATCGGAGCGGCCACCCATGCAGCAACAAGTTGAAAATAATAATGCCACTTGGAGATGTGTCTGTGGAGTCCTCAGCTGTGCCCACCTGCCGTGGGCTGCCCCTCACCTGCCTGGCGTAGTGCAAGCCACTCACTCTGTGCCTCAACAGAATGACACTCAAAATTCTTGTCATGAATGGAGTACCTTTAAAGTCATCCTTTAAAACAACAACAACAACAAAACACCTTTCTCTAAAGTGAGTTTCAAGTAAACCTAATTCTTTTACCTTGACCTCACATAACAACACCCAGACTGCCCTCCCATCACAACAGAAAAAAATCCCTGGCCTCATATTCTTGTTTCATCACTGACAACTTCCCATCTCCTAAAAGTAAGAATCAGTTTGTTTCTCTCTCTCTCTCTCTTTCTTTCTCTCTCTCTCTCTCACACACACACATTAGTTCTTTAACTCCCTTCAGGAGTCATGTGGCCACCCCAAAAGCTCTATGTGTCTCAAATTCTGTCTTGAGCATCAACCATAAACACTCCCAGTTGGCCCTGGCTACCTCCTCACCAGGCCCTTTAGCTTAGAAATGCTTCTCTTCACTACTGCCCTCTCCTCACCATTGTGGGAAACCTATTAGCCCTTCAGGAGTCCCTAGTTTTGAAGGTGGCAGAACCAGCTCTAAGTGACCTTGGGTACCTGGGGTTGATTATAAGTACAGGAAGAGGGGAGTTCGGGAGTTCCTTTAGGTCAAATTCAACTACAAGTGGCTTCTTTTCTGAGTTTATAAACCTAAGTCAGCCAACTATTGTAAATTAAAATGCATATTGTAATTGACATCTGAGCATATTATAATTGACATCCCAGGTAAGTGTTTCCTAATGAAACGTCATATTTAGTGGCTAATTCTAAAATTTTGAAAGTGCTAAATTGAATCCAGCATTAACCATGTTTTCCTCATGTTCCACTCTAATCCAATATTGGGAAGTAGCTAAGTATTTATTTTAAAATTGAAAAGTTAACTGACAGAGTCCTTATCGTCTCACATTTTCCATGCGCCCTATTTCTATAAACATAAATAGAACCAAGCACATCTGTAATAAAGTGACAGCCATCCACCCTAAATTCTATAGATATTCCCTAAGAAAGAAACACATCTGGCTACCGTGCAGTTCACTAACAAGACAGAAGGAAGATGAACCAAAGCCAGAAAGCGGGGTGGCCCAGCCTGAGCTCCGGCATCCTGGTTGGTTCTCAGCCTCTTAAGAAGACCCGCCTGGCTAAGGAGGGTGGATCACCTGAGGTCAGCAGTTCGAGACCAGCCTGGCCAGCATGGCGAAACCCCCTTTCTACTAAAAATACAAAATTAGCTGGGTGTGGTGGCGCATGCCTGTGATCCCAGCTACTCAGGAGGCTGAGGCAGCAGAATCGCTGGAACCTGGGAGGCGGAGGTTGCAATGAGCCAAGATCATGCCATTGCACGCCAGCCTAGGCAACAAGAGTGAAACTCCGTCTCCAAAAAAAAAAAAGACCCCAGAATGGTGCAAGGGTCTTTCCTGGGCCAGCCCAGCCAAGCATTCCTCTCACGTGATTATCCAAACTTCATTTCCTCCCGGGCATCCTTTCTGCAGTCATCCACCACCTTTTTAAAAGCTCACAAGGGGAAAGCCTGCGTCTATTGTGGAAGAAATCTGCTGCTCCGAATATTTTCTTTTAGTCTAAAGAGCTTCTCCAGATGAAACCGTTCCCTTTCACCAACCCACTGGGCCCCAGTAACCAGGGCTGTGGGTCCTGCAGGTAGGAGCAGTGATCCCCAGCCCCGGGAAGAAATGCAGTTGATAAGACTTTTTAAATTGCTTCCATTTCATTTAGAGTTGGGTTTACTGGGCTACCCATAGCCATGAGTCTTCTTAATGGCTGGTTTTCTCTGGCAAGTGAATCAGGCCAGGGATGCGAGGTAGAGGTCCCGGGTGTGGTGTAGATAGTAGGAGATGCAGTGTGATAACATGAACCCATTTCATTTCCGCTTAAGCAAACTCAATACCAAAGCTAATAGGAGCTTGCTGTTTCATTGTCTTATCCCAGAGCTGCTTGGCCAGAAAGGAATTGAAAGTGAAGGTGAAAAACTTGGTGGGAACATAGCCTAAAAGTAGACAAGGTATGCATTTCAAAGCATAGCATTTTTGACAGAGTCAGAATTGGCTCTGTTAATATTTTTACCTCTATAGCTTAGGGTAGACTAGCAGAGCCAGGTATAAACTGCCCCCTGCTGCCTGACACGTAGAAGTACATGAAAAATGTCACTTCATTAGTAATTATATTCTGAAATGCCTGCAAGGAATGGAAGGCAAATTAGGGGAATGGCAGGCAGTCTCAGAGAAGCCATGGACAGCACAGATCAGCTAGATCCTCTCCAGTGTGAAGACGAAGGAAATGTGAGAGAGCTGGAAGCAGCTCTTATAAAAAGTACTTTTTGGATGTAGAGAGCCGCTTCATTACTCCTTCTGCAGCCTTGTCAGTGTGTGGACCATGGTCAGGTAGCATCAGTATCACCTAGGAACTTGTTAGAAATGCAGATTCCCAGGCCCCACCCTGGGTCAACAGAATCAAAACCTGCATTTTAAACAAGATCCCTAGATGATACACACTCATATTTACATTTGAGAAGCCCTTGCCTGGCTCAATGTCTCATACCTGTAATCCCAGCACTGTGGGAGGCCCAGGCAAGTAGATGCAAGGAGTTCAAGACCAGCCTGGCCAACATCGTCAAACCCCGACTCTACTAAAAATACAAAAATTAGCCGGGCATGATGGCAGGCGCCTGTAATCCCAGCTGCTCAGGAGGCTGAGGCAGGAGAATTGCTTGAACTCGGGAAGCAGAGGTTGCAGTGAGCCAAGATGGTGCCGCTGCACTCCAACATGGGCAACAGAGCAAGACTCAGTCTTGAAAAATAAAAAAAATAAATTAAAAAAATTAAAAAGTAGCCCTGGCCAGGAACGGTGGCTCATGCCTATAATCCCAATGCTTTGGGAGGCAGCCTGAGCAACATGGTGAAACTTCATCTCTACTAAAAATACAAAAAATTAGTCAGGTGTACTGGCGCACACCTGTGGTCCCACCTCTCGGGAAGCTGAGGTGGGAGGATCACCTGAGCCCAGGAAGCAGAGGTTGCAGTGAGCTGAGCTGAGATTGTGCCATTGCATTCCAACCTGCGCGACAGAGTGAGACTCCATCTCAAAAAAAAAAAAAAAAAAAAAACATCCCTGAACATGACTTCAGAAGGAGCTTTAGCTCTGGACCAGGTCCAGGGTTCTCTAAGGTTTGGATCAAATTGAATTCAGCTTGAACAATGAAAAAAACACAACCTAATAGAAGAGATGAATCCTCAAGTTAAATTTGTGAATGCCTTACGTTCTTATTTTCTTAATACTTCCTCTTTATCCATCCTCACATGTCACTAGCTCTTTAACCATAGACACTTTAACTTGCCGTATTTCATATTACTTTCTATATTTCAGCAGCAGCCAGCATTTGCCAAGCAGTTTCTTTCAAAAATCATTCTGTCCCAGCAAGTGTGTGACAGGCGCCTGATTTGCTCTCTGGCAGCCTCTGTGCTTCCTATCATTCTTGTTTACTTCAATCTTCTCTCTGCCATGCTTACACCCTGCTGTTACGGTTTAAGAGTGTGACTTGAGCAAGTCTTCAGGATTGAGCTGGCGCCCCGTGGCATTGTCAGTCTGTTGCTAACCTGGAGTGTTCTTTTCTGCGCCAGGTCAGAGAAGAATGCCGGCTCCTGAACGCCCCACCTGTTCCACCCCGAAGCGCAAAGCCTTTGTCCACCAGTCCCTCCATCCCTCCTCGCACAGTCAAGCCAGCGCGGCAACAGACTCGCTCTCCCAGCCCCACCTTGTCCTACTATTCTTCAGGGCTACACAACATGTAAGTCTTCCTGCCAGGTCCCACTGCACGCTTATCTTCTCATCCACCAGTTCATGGGTTCTTGAAAGCATTTTCACGGTAGCCCTAACAGGCAGGGTGGTGGGAGAGGAAATGGCTTTTTAATTTTCTAAATAATTTTACTGAGTGAGCATGATGGGGCCCCTGTTTGTTTCGAGCTAGAATGGAAGAGCCAATGTCTTGGGAAGAAAAGATGCCACACCAGTCTGAGAAATTCAGAGGTAAAGGCCAACTAGATTCTCCTGGAAACAACCCGGGGGCTGCCATCAGTTCTCACAAGTCAGCATCTGGTTCTTTCCACTTTGACACGAGCAGACAGCACCTTCAAGCAGACAACACCTTCGACCAGGACCTAAAATGGAAAGGGTCCCATTGGCTATCTACTCTGAATTTCCATCCAGACAGGAGTCCCCTTTTGACCATCACTGTTGAGTGGTCATTTCCTTTTGTCTGGATACTTCCAGTGCTCTGAGATCATTCTTCTGCAACACAGCTCATTCCATTGTTGGCAAGTACCAATACTTAAAAAAAAACACCCTTTATTATATTGAGTTGAAATCAACCTCTGTGTAACTTTCAATCATTTCTTAGGTCTAAAGAAACAAAAATAGGTCCATCCCATATCTCTTTGTCAACTCATGAAAATTCCGAGTCAGCTATGATAGAAGTCTTCTCTTCTCCAAAAGAAACATCCTTGCGTCCCTCTACTGTTTCCCCGACATCACTGTCAGACCCCTCACCGGCCTGCTCACCCTCCTTTGAGCACACTCTAGTTTCATGTTGCTCTTAAAACCCCCCAGAGCCTAAGCTACCGCTCCACATGTGCTCATTACAGTTTAAAGTAGCTCTCTTTGCAGGTACTTTTTGTTCTCTGGACATTTAAATCTTTGCGCTAATGTTACTCGATTGTTCAGAAACTAAGACAAGGATAAACATTTTATTTGAAGGATTTCCTCCTGCCTCAGACTTTTGGGTGGAAATAGAGTCACGGGTGGTGTGATGCCATCATGTCACTGTAGCACAAGCATGGCAAGCATGCGCCACTCATTTACTATTCTCTCCTTCTACCCTCGCTCACTGCAGACATCATTCATCAATCATGGCACCTGTTGGTGCAGAGCCTACACGTGACTTAATAATTTTCCTCATCATAAAGATCCAGGCACCTATTAACAATTATTTTCTTACTAGCTGAAATATTTATTTTATCTCCACTGTAGCATTTTAAATCATTATGTACATATCTACAATTACCAATGTATTTTATTAAAGATTCTTTAAAAAAAAAACCCAGTGAAGTTAGCAGGAATTTTATTGAATTCAAAACTAACTGCGCTTTTCTACTCAGCAGTAACGTCTATAAATAACAAAAGCCTTGGGATTTGGCTTTTTTCTTTTAACTGATTTCTCCTTCTGTGTTTGCTTTTAAGCAGCGTCACTAAAACTGACACAAATCCTTCTGAAAGCACTCCTGTTTCCTGCTATCCATGTAACCGAGTGAAAACTGATTCTGTGGACCTGAAATCCCCGTTTGGAAGTCCTTCTGCTGAAGCTGTGTCCTCTCGGCTCTCATGGCCTAACCATTATTCAGGAGCATCAGAAAGCCAGACCAGGAGTGACTTCCTGCTGGATCCAAGCAGGAGTTATAGTTACCCTAGACAAAAGACGCCAGGCACACCAAAGAGAAACTGCCCAGCACCTTTTGATTTTGATGGCTGTGAGCTCCTGGCCAGCCCCACTAGCCCAGTCACTGCAGAATTCAGTAGCAGCGTCTCTGGTTGTCCCAAGTCAGCCAGCTACTCTCTGGAGAGCACAGATGTGAAATCTCTTGCAGCTGGTGTGACAAAGCAGAGTACGTCATGCCCTGCCTTACCCCCCAGGGCTCCAAAACTAGTGGAAGAGAAGGTCGCCTCCGAAACATCTCCTTTGCCTCTGAAAATTGATGGTGCTGAGGAAGACCCCAAGTCTGGGTCACCAGATCTCTCGGAGGACCAGTATTTTGTTAAAAAGGGCATGCAGGACATCTTCTCTGCCTCCTACCCTTTCTCATCTCCGCTCCATCTCCAGCTGGCCCCCAGATCCTGTGGCGACGGTTCCCCATGGCAGCCACCTGCTGACCTATCAGGACTCTCTATAGAGGAAGTGTCCAAGTCACTACGGTTCATTGGTTTGTCCGAAGATGTCATATCATTCTTTGTTACTGAAAAGATTGATGGGAACCTGCTTGTTCAGCTAACGGAAGAAATCCTCTCAGAGGATTTCAAATTGAGCAAATTGCAGGTGAAGAAGATAATGCAATTCATTAATGGCTGGAGGCCCAAAATATAGCCAAATAACCCCCGGCCAGCATGGAACAAAACTGATCAATGCGTGTGCTAGAAGGGGTGGGCTGGGACACAATTTCATGTTTTTGCACTAAAAACCTTCTCTGTAAATAGGGATAAGAGAAACTCTTACTATGCAGATTACGTTTTTGAATGGTGAACAGGCTATTTTGTACATCAATAAAAATGCTGTACAGAACACTTGGAGGTGTGCCTTGTACGTCACTCAACAAACACTCAGCAGCTGCTAAAAGAAAAAAAGGCATGTGCAGAGAAATCATTCTTACCCAAGTAGGTTTATGTGAGAAGGTATGATATTTATTACAAAATAGCCAAAGCTGGAAGACATAAAAATCTTTAAAAAAAAAAAAAAAACACTTTTGAACAAGTCCCTTCTTTCAGGAGGGTTGACTTTAGACAATTAACTGTGTTCTGTGCTCTGTCATTCAGATTGCTTCTTGCTAATTGTTTTACTCTTGTGCCTGAAAATGTTAGTGATACGAATTGACACTTTAATGTTGTATGCTTGGTGGGGATCTTTTTATCACAAGGCATTTTCCAAGAGTCATATGTTGATAAAGGGATATATGTTGTCCTTAGAAATCACACAAATCATGACCACAATAATTTATCTGTAACTGCTGCTAATTTTATTGAGCAGAGAAAAAAGAATATACATATATAAACATGTATAGGTGCATACACAATACACCCGGATATGTTTTACACATAATTTTGATTCTGATATTTTAGATAACATCTGTTCACTTTTAAACAATCTGTTGAGGTTTTGGGACTGTTATCTACATTGATTCTCTTAGGAATAGTGGACAGAATGACTCCAAAGATTCTCAGAACCCTGTCTCTTGAAGCTCAATCTTATTTGGGTTCATCACTGAAAACTTAGAACAAATCAGTAAAGAATCCTGTATTGAAGAATTAAGTTTGAGTTTAAGCCCACTCACCGCAGGGCTGGTTTTTGCATGTAATACTCCCATGATGTCTGGGGAAATGACAGTTTCTGTTGAATTATAATTCTCCGGTTTAAGGGTCTCCTTCCCCTGGTGTCTGATGGTGAGAGGTCTGAAGAGCATTTGTCAGAGTACATTAGGCATTCTCAACCTACTTCATGCTTTACGAGAGCTGAGAAATCAGACGCACCGGCCTTTATTATTATATATGCTACATCTGTTGAGTATTTTTAAAATACCAATAAGAGGACTTGTTTATTTCATAAACCACTTCTTCCCTCTCTTTCAAAGAAAATACATTATTACCATACTTTTACATTAGTCTGAGAATTTTTGCTAAATATGATTAAGTATTCCAAAATATAATGGCGTCATTATTCTTGACTTTTTTAGAGAATATACATCTTAAGACTGTATTAGTTCTCAGAGCAAGGCATCATCTACTCCCCTGCACCTGAGAGTCTGGCCCCAGATTCCAGATGTGCGGACAGCCCATGACCGAGGTGCACACAGTGCCCTCTTGAATAGGAAGGTCAGCCAGTGAGGCGGCAGCATAACTTGCAGGATGGACTTATATCTTACCATCTCTTCCTGCTACCAAAATAAAAAAATAAATTGAAAGACAAGACCCACCAGTCTAGTTTTGTAGACCTGTGAAATGTGTCTTTATTTCTTGGCATTAGAAGAAAGATATTTTTAATCCATATCGTGGTTTTAGAGTTGAAGTGAATTGATACCCAATTTTCCATCTTAGATCTCCTTTATCAAAAAAAAAAGCATTTTTTTTCTCCTAACGTGTCTCCCAAAATGTAAATACTATAGGCAAAAAGAGTACCCTGTAAAATTCTCACACTGGAGCACCTCTTCAAAAGTCACAGATAACTCAATGAGGAAGTGCTGGTACTGCACTCACAGGACATGAGACCTATGAAGCTTTCGTGTTTTGAAAGCATCCTTCTGTGTGAGGGGGACTGCCTCCCTTAGTAAAGTAAACCTCTCAGAACTTCTTTTTAAAATAAAAACAGACAAGATGCAGTTACTAAGCTGCAAGTTTTCATTGGCAAACCTAGCTGAATCCGTTTTAAAATACTTAGCACTCGGACACAATTCTCAAACTCAGGAAGAAGGAACAGGGTTGGTTTGGGTTTACTATAAAGGTTGCCTCACATAAACAACTGACTCCTTTTAGCGTTTTTTTTCTTTTTGTAAAAACTTTACACAAAATAGGGTTTTAAATTCTTTTTGCTTGTTTTGGACTTGGTGTATTTTTGTCAAGTTTATATTGATTGGCAACGCAGAGACTCCTTGAGGGCAGGGACTGTGGCCTTTGATTCACTTATGCTACAGTCTAGTATCACTACAGTGCTGAGTAAAAGACACAGCCCCTGCCCTCTTGGAGATCATATTGTTTATATTTGAAATCTCAGTTGCTAAGAGTATGTATGTGTGAGTAAGAAAGACGTGAAGTCCTATGGGCAGCTGGGTATATGGAGAATTACGTGTGTCCTGTCTTTAAAACGTCAGCCTCTATTAAGGGGTACAGAACACCCCAAGATCACTAAAACTTGGAATGTGTTGGAGGCAGAAAGTATCTCTCTCATTGCCTAGTGTTGTTGTTTTTTTGTTTTTTGTTTTTTGTTTTTTTTACTGACCTGGAATTCTTTTAATTGTAATAAATATCTTCTGTCACAAATAAATGCCACAAATAAATGAAATTGCCATTCCTAAGCTGAGCACCTGTCTGTGAAGGACCTTGGTGTCCTGACTGGACAGAGCATTCATAGCTCCAAGAGAATCATGACAAGATATGCAAAGCAGGGATAATAAGGAGAAAGCCCTTCCCTTTCGAGAAGCCCTTCCCTTTCACAGCCCTTCCCTGCGATTCTGCAGTGAAAAGTGATGCCCAGAGATCCACACACAGAACCCTTCTAACCAGCCAGGTCAAGACTTATCATCTTATCTCCTCTGGCAGGTCCCCTGTAATCAAAAGAGAGGAAGTGTCTATCTAAACAAGACCCTTTTGGGTCCTTAGATTCATGGCAAAAATCATCATGGCCCCCATCAGAAAAGAAAATCAGCAATAAACCAAGCCAAGCAACTAAAATGTATAATGTGGACCTGACTCATGTTGGGAGGCAGAATTCAGACACTCACAGATCAATCTTGCAAGTTTTCTCTTCTTTAAGTTGAGCTGCTCAACTTTATGAACTGTGAAATTTACTTACATTCTTTCAACCCACATATATCATTGCAGTTTATGAAGTTGCAGTGAACTGCCCATTCAGCTAAATTGCAGTGTTTATTCTTGTCTCATGTCGAAATACAACAATCTTATGGGAAATATTATGACAGTCCGTTCCAACTGTTCTCAGACACATGCATAAACAGTCTCTGCTCACATTCCACAGCCACCTGCATGTTATCCATACAGCTCCCTGAGAAGTCCAGGGATGGGAGGTGGGGTGTGGAAGGATGGAGGGTCCTTCATTTTCTAAACACTTTGTATAAGTCACTACTCATCGTGCCTAGCAAGTATAAGATTAACATTTTGAATAACAAACTGGAAAACAAATAATCCTTCAAAGAACCTAGCGAACTGTTCAAAGGAAATTTTAATTTCAGTCTACCAGAAAAGTTAAATCTGTTGTTGGACGTAGGGGGCTTTCAGAAACATGCCTCTTATATCAATTTCCACTATCTTTCAAGTTACCTAAAGGCACCAGGCTGCTTGAGCAAGAAGAATAAAAGGCCTAGAGTGCAAATTATGTGAAGTAGAGTTTTTAGATTGTGGGATTGTAATAATACGGGATTCTCATGGTTACATCATGTTAAATCACACTGTTCAGTCTTTAAAACTTGGTGTTTTAAAATTTGTCTCATTGTGATAGCCAGAAACAAGGAATAAACGTGATTTCAGTTTAAACTATATACAAATATCTTCTGTAATTTTGCTGCTCTAATTTTTAGGCTATAAATTTTGTAATAGAGCTTATCAGATCGCAAATTTCCTTTGTTTACAATCTCATGTAGTAGGGCTCAGATAATTTCTTAGCTATAAACCTTTTCTCCCACTCTCATATTGTTTCATTTAAAATATTTAAGCTAAGCCTAAAAATTGAAATCAGTTAAGAATTTGGAGAGTTTATCTTAAATGGAAATGGTGTATTCTTTTCAAAGAATTTTGTAACCATCTTTACAGTTTCTTTGCTTGGAAAACTTGGGTTGTTAACTACCAGTTAACAATGGCATTACTTTCCAAAACGTTATCTAATGGGCCCAATGTGTACCTCAAGATAAACACAGTATGTTATGTCTAAAAATTTCCTTGTCTGTTGATTTAAATGGTTCTGAAATGTCTGTAATAAAGAAATTTTCAAAGTTGCTTTTCTTGCAGTTGTTCCTCAGTAGTCAGACCTAGTGCATAGTTTTCTAAGGACTTGTTTCCCATCCTCACTTAGGAGTAGGGAATTTGGAGGGAGTCCCGATACTGCAAGCCCATTCTGTATTAATAAGAGATGGAAGACTGTGGCTATTGTGCATAGTCAGAAGATGCGGGTAACTAGGTAACTTGATGGCATACAGAGAATCCAGGGCCTGTGTGGTCAGGAGATAGTGCAGAAGATGAAATAGATAAACTGGTGAGGGAAAAAAAAAAAAAAAAAAAACCCTGGTCCAAAGATAGTTGTCTCAACTGATCGTTCACCATCAGTTACAGATCAGACTCCTTGTTCTACTCTTTCCCACTCTCACTACTGCACTTGACTCTTAAAAAATAAAGTATACATTTGAATGAGGAAAAGAAAGATAATATAAATTTATATCTCTTTGGCTTACATACAGTTTAACTTATGTAACTAGCAAATAGCAGAGATGGCTGAGGCTATTAAAGAAAAATTGAGTGTTCAATATGCTGCAGCATCCACTGGGAAGTGTTACACAGAAGCTGGAGAATTGCAAGTGGAGTTTGGTTAAGAGAACTTTAACTGTACTCAAAATAGCATAAAATAGTCTCTCAATATTTTATGCCCCAAATCTTCCTGTCTTCTTTTACTAGACTAAAAGCATCCCCAAATCATTCATTCCATCTTACACTTAAGCCTTCAACCCTTCTTTCCTCTTTCACAGGCATAAACCTGTGACTAAACCCATACGTGTCCACTTTACTGGATTTCAGGAATGTGTGCTAGAAGAACCTATAGGCTTGACTTAGATTGACTGAAACTTCCCAAGATCTATCTCAGGATTTTTAGAGTATTTCATCAAGTAGTATACACTAGAACATTTGACTCCCAAAATTAGATATTGCAAAGTAAATTTGAGTTTAGAAATAAGTTGGGTTAGAATCAGATGTCCTTTGATTCCTTATATATCTGAAGTTAGAAAAAGCCAAATCATTGAAAACAATAAGTCCTGCTTCAATTCTTATTACACTGAAATGAATAAAAAGATGTGCTCAGCCCCTTCTTGCTTAGGTGATTCATGCACATCCTTCAGGATTTACCAAATGTCATCCCCAAGCTGATTAGATTTCACTCCTTTGCACTGATATAGCTCTCTGTGCATATCTCTGTCCCCTGGAAAGCTATAAGCTCTTTGATATCAGGGCTTATGTCTTCATTGTTGTATCTTCAGAAGTAGGTGCTGTTTGAGGTTCTGTTGAATGACAGTGTGAAAATCACATTCCTGATGGTGGCCAGTCTTTGTGCCATCAAAGTCAAGACTGCAACCACGTGACAATGTAATGAAGTAAGGTCAGATGAGTGATATCAATGAAACTTGTACTCATCATAAAATATCTGAGTGCCTAAAAATGGGTGAAATGTAAACTTGTCTAGAAATCCCAGGTTGAGTTTGTATCACTTCCCAATGAATAAATTTTTCTTAGTTTATTTATTCAATGACTTCCATTTTTAATGGCTAAAAAAAATGAAAGGATCTGTTCCCATAGATTGACTCAAATACTAGCTCTAAAAGACACAGGCAATTGAAAAGTAAGAGATATGGTTGAATGACCTCAGCTAAGAGTGGTCTCAGGGTCAGAGGCAGGGATGGGTAAAGATAAGAAACAGAGATCTGTGTGCTCAGAAACACAAGGCCAGGAGACATGGTGCTCAGCATGGAAAATACCATCTGTAGGCAGACCATAGAAGTTTAGAGACAGAAGGGACCTTGGAAAGGATCTGGTCCCTCCTCCTTATAGGAATGAAACCCATGGAGGGTGAGTGATGGGCCCCAGACCTCATATGGGTCATGAAAGAACCAAGGCTAGAAATAAAATCTCCCAGTTCCCTGTTTTGTATTCCTCCCATTACAACACTGTCTCCCGGCTTCCTCCGCTTTTAACTTTCAAAAGTAACTTGTTTTTTTAGTGCATGGAATGTCCTACGTTGATCCTCCAACTTCTTTGTCTAAGACTAAAGAACAGGGCAGTCCTCAGTTGATACTCCTCAGTCAGTGTTAGGTGGAAATCAAGAGAAACCTACATATAAAATGGAAGCTCTGGGTACATCTCCTACTCTTTGATAACACGGATCACTCAGTGGAGACGCTAAATGAGACGAATGGGACAGAAAATGTAAAAGATTCACAGATAGCACACACACATTTCATCCTGCTGTATATATCCAGGCTAGCTGCTAGGAAGAGCTTCCAGGCTGTGGCACCTAGGAAGAGAAGCAGCTCTGTAGTACTAAATATGGCCACAGGGTGTGGAGCTTTTCCACCCAGCCAATGACTGCGCAAGGATCACCCCGATCAACTCTTAATGGAGTACAGTGGAGAGTCAGGGATTAGGAAGGAGTAAAATTTCAGTCCAACCATATTGGAGGTCTCTCTTTCCATCAGTCACTTTTCAACTTTCCTCAGTTAGCCAAAGGCATTGGAATCCTAGTTATAGAAATGAATAAACAGAAGTAGCTCAAGAAAGATAAAGGGCCAGGAGTGGTGGCTCATGCCTATGGTCCCAGCACTTTGGAAGGCTGAGGTGGGTGGATCATTTGAGGCCACTTGAGGAGTTTGAGACCAGCCTGGCCAACATAGCAAAACCCCATCTCTACTAAAAATACAAAAATTAGTCAGACATGGTGATGGGCACCTATAATCCCAGCTACTCGGGAGGCTGAGGCACAAGAGAGAAAGATAAGGAATTTGAAGATGGGGCACTATGCATTTTTTCAACAGGTGTCCACTGGGGAAGAGAGTAGAAAACTGATCTGTCATATGCCTTGCCACTTCTTGGTTCTGAGTCTGGGATTTTTCTTTCTTTCTTTCTTTCCTTCCTTCCTTCCTTTCTTTCCTTTCTTGTCTCACTCTGTCACCCAAGTTGGAGTGCAGTGGTGCAATGATGGCTCACTACAGCCTCAACCTCCTGGGCTCAAGTGATCCTCCCACCTCAGCCTCCTGAGTAGCTGGGACTACAGGTGTGCGCCACCATACCCGGCTAATTTTTTAATTTTTTGTAGAGATGGGGTTTCACCATGTAGGCCAGGCTGGTCTCGAACTCCTGGGCTCAAGCAGTCAGCCCGTCTCAGCCTCCCAAAGTGCTGGGATTACAGTTGTAAGTCAGCATGCCAGGCCTGTCTCCGGAATTTTAAGAGTGAATAGCTTGAGTCAGAAGCTCTTGAGTAAAAAGAAGTTGTACTTAAAAAAAAAAAATCCATTGGTGTGTTTTGAACAACAAAACCCTCAACCTGAAACTAGCTCTATCAACTAACATTATACTAAAACTTACTTTCAAGTTTGGATTGAGAAACCATATCTCAATCCTCCTCCTTGGCCTTCAGAGTCAAACCATGAACCCACCCAATTGGCCATGGAAGAAAGGACAAAGAAAAGATACATCCTAACTAAGAAAAAGAGAATCATCGATCTATAGTTTTTGCATAAATGTTTCTGCCTCATTCTATGTACCCTTTACTACTCTCAGGAACACAGTTATTGACAAGCTAAAGCAAGTCTGTTTTTCAATTCGCCTTTTAAGAAGAGGACTGATTTTTATAAATCCAGTAAACTACCAACAATTTCGTTTTTCATAGTTAAATTGCCATCTTGAAGCAGTGTAATTGCCTGTTAAAAGTTTTCATGGCTGGGTGTGGTAGCTCATGTCTCCCAAGTCCCAAAGGGATTACAGGCATGAGCCACCACGCCCAGCCATGAAATGTACTTTGAGAAGCCAAAGCAGGCGGATCACTTGAGCCCAGGAGCTTGAGACCAGCCTGGGCAACATGAGGAAACTCCATCTCTACCCCGAAAAATACAAAAACTAGCTGGGTGTGGTGATGTGCCTTGTAGTTGCAGCTACTCAGGAGGCTGAGGCGGGAGGATCACTTGAGCCCAAGAGATCAAGGCTGCAGTGAACCTAGATTGCACCACCGCACTCTAGCCTGGGTGATAGAGTGAGACGCTGTCTCAAAAAAAAAAAAAATTTTCATATAATCATGTTTTTATCACACATCAGTGATTCATGAGTAAGAGTCGTGGGGCAATGTGATTGTTCTGAGAGTAGACCACAGTTTTGTTTTGTTTTGTTTTTTTTCAGACAGAATCTCACTCTGTCACCAGGCTGGAGTGCAGTGGCATGATCTCGGCTCACTGCAACCTCTGCCTCCCAGGTTCAAGCAATTCTCCTGCCTCAGCCTCCCGAGTAGCTGGGACTACAGGCGCGCGCCACCACGCCCAGCTAATTTTTGTTTTAGTAGAGACAGGATTTCACTGTGTTAGCCAGGGTGGTCTCGATCTCTTTACCTTGTGATCCACCCACCCCAGCCTCCCAAAATACTGGGAGGTCTGCTGTACAGTATTAGAAAATACTGTAAAATGGTCTGCTCCACTGGCTTTATGTTGTTTTTTTAAAATCTTACCCCATCCTGCACGCTATGCCCTTGGTTTTGGTTTCTTTTCTATGTGGAGGCTCTATAGAATCATGCCAGTACTGCATCTGTATCCTATTTGCCCCCATCTAACGCTGGAAAAGTTTAGCCATGTAAATTATCATTTTCCCATTGAAGCAAATGCAATCTTGAGAGGACATGTGACTGACTTCCCATCCTTGAGGCAAATCACTCACAAACCCACTTAGTCTCAAAATCTGAGTCCTGGACAGGACTTCAACCTCCTCAGGCTGTGATGATCTCTTCCTGTATTTAGAGATCTCTATGGAAGTTTCTGTTCCTACACTGAACAGTTCTCAGTTCTCTCTTCTCTGCCTCATTTTGCAACTTAAATCGTTCACCTACTTTTATGGTATGTGAGTAATATTTCCACTTCTTTAGATGTTCACCTATTTCTCCATGGAGATAAATTGTGAATCAGGTCGTTTTCTATCCTATTGTTTCTCAGGCCTAGAGAATGTTACTTTTCTTTCTAGTTTTCCTGTTAGATGAAAATAACACTCGAGTTCTTGTCACTGTGCTTCAGTTCTGTGTGCACCAGTTATCTGGAGCAAATTTGGGAGAAATATTGTTTCCCTGCATTTAGTCATTCTGGATAATAGATGTGGACATTATTTGTTCTGGCAACAGGAAAAGGCAACCTGTAGAGACACCAGTATGATAGCAACCTAGAGTGGACTATGATCCATGAATCAGTTAATCGCTGAGAGTCTGTTCTTTGGAAGGCTAAGATAACTAACTTATCTTTCACAGATAACTCACTGTAAAAGAAGAGTTTGAAATATGGGATGGGAGAAGGAAGGACCTGCCCTCCTTATTCAGTTAACTATAGGTACCTCTCACTAGAATTCATGCTTGAGGGGGAAATGCTCTTATTTAACCCTTGCCAACTTCTTCGAGAGGAGTGTTGTTTTATTTTATTTAAATTTTTTGCCTTAGCATGTTGCGAATGTTGACCATTTTTGGAGCATCTGTCTTCTCTCTATTCGCTTTGTCCCCTCCTGACTGTCACCCAGTGTCAGGGCGTGACTTTGTTTTAGGAGGATTGAAAAGGAGAAGTCAGCAGTTGCTGCTGGAGGAGAATCTGATACACAGCAGGTGTATCCAGCACCCATTTCCAAACTGTGGATGATCCCATTACCAGCTTATCTCCTGACCTCGCTCAGGTGTTCTCCCAACTTATTGTTCACAGAAAGAAAGGATCCTCTCTACTACTCTGCCTCTGTTCTAGGTTTCTGCTCATACCCTGGGACTTCTTGTATTTTTACTCAGACTTAGCCCAAATTTCACATTTCCTTGAATTCCCTTTTTTCTCTTTTATTCTATCTCCAGCTAGCTCATTGTGGTGGTTTAAAACATTCTGTAATCTGATTAGATCTGCCGGGGTAAACAGCATTGGAGAAATTCTGTCGGTCTCCTAGGCAGATGGAGGAAGGAAGGGCAGCTGGTGTGTGGTTGTATGGGTTCACTCATTGAAGTAATTTGGGGGAAGTGCCTAACATCATTTCCAAACAGTAAAAATTTACTCTTCAGTAAATACCAGATCCACTGAATGCAGAAGACAGGTTAGAAGTTATTTTTTAATATCAACAGATTGTTTATCCGCCAGTTCCCCATGCCCTGGTGTGCTCCTAAGAGACTTCCCCAGAATGTTTCAGGGAAGGCGTGTTTCATTTGTGCCTATGTTGACTAACACAGTTCTTCTCTGATTCTCAGCCCTGGCCATAGCACCCAGGCCTGCCATGGCCGCAGGCTCACTTCCCATTAGTCATCACTGCCAGGAGCTCCTGGACACAAGCTTTGGTTAGACAGCTAGTCCTGTGAACAGGCACCACCTGAGAGGTGCATAGGGGCATTTCCTGTCTCCACTGTGACTTCTTCTCCCCAGTACCACTATATCATCCATAGGAAATCACATGCATTATTTCATTTAATTTACACAGCAATACTAAGAGGTAGCTACTACTGTTGTTCCTTTTTTTTTTTTTTCTTGAGATGGAGTTTTGCTCTTGTCACCCAGGCTGGAGTGCAATGGTGCAATCTCGGTTCACTGCAACCTCCACCTCCTGGATTCAAGCGATTCTCCTGACTCAGCCTCCTGACTAGCTGGGATTACAGGCATGCACCACCGTGCCTGGCTAATTTTGTATTTTTAATAGAGATGGGATTTCTCCATGTTGGTCAGGCTGGTCTCAAACTCCCGATCTCAGGTGATCTGCCACCCTCAGCCTCCCAAAGTGCTGAAATTACAGGCGTGAGCCACCGCACCCGGCCTGTTTTTCCCATTTCTATAGATAGGAAAACTGCATCTAAAAAGGATAACCCACCCAAGATCACATAGCAAGTAAATGGCCAATCCCAGATTGAAACCTGTCTTTCTGACCCAGGGTCCTTGCTCTTATGAGGGGATATATACAACATGCTCCGAGAGCTCACAGTTGCAGGGTGGGACACCTCACTGTGTCTTAGAGCTCAGAGAGGGCGTCCTGAAAGAAGTGGTGTCTAAGTAGGAATCTGAAGGGATAAGACGGAATTAGGAAGATAAAGGAGAGGCAGGAGAAGGTGGCTGGTATTCAAGGGAATAATACAATACCATCATCCCTTAGTTCCAGGACCACTGGGGATACCAACATCTGAGTCCCTGGTATAAAACAATGTAGTATATTTGTATATAGCCTATGCACATCCACCTATATACTTTAAATTATCTTTAGATTACTTATAATACCTAATACAATGTAAATGTTATGTAAATAGTTCTTATCATATATTTTTATTTATTTTTTTATTGAATTGTTATTTCGTGGAGTTTTTTCAGATGTTTTCCATCAGTGGTTGATTGAATTTGTGGATGTGCAACCCACAGACATGGGGGACCAACTGTATTTGCAGAGTCCTAAAGATCCAAGAGAGCACACGTTGCTTACAAAAATCGTCCAGGAGGACTGGAAGGTAGCAAATAAAGAACACTGGTGAGAAATGAAGTGGCAGGAAGGAGCCTTTCCACAAAGATCAACCGCAAGGCAGATGTGGGAGTCTGTTCTTTCATCCCAAAAGCATCAGAGAAACTTTGTCATTGAAAGTGGGATGATGTGACATGAACAGATAGGACTGCTGTGAATGCAAGGTGAAAAACAGACTGAAAGAAGGCAGACCTGTGTGCTGAGAGGTCAATCAGGAAGCCATAGGAATTCATGCAAGGGATGAGAGGAGCTGGGTGGAGCACCGCCTGTGGGGATGTAGAGAAATGGAACAAGTAGAGCAGTGTGTTTGAGGTGAAACTGAAAGGGTTTGGCAACTCATCAAACATGGCAGCTAGTGTTTATCTTTGAGAGCCGGTGCCTAAACCTCCCATAGCCCAAATGCCTGCGAGTCTCTCAAACTTTTTTCACTCCCCCTCCTAATACAATATGGGAAAGGAAAGTAAAAGATTAATATTCTAATAGTATTTTAAGGGCTTCTAGGTATAAAAAGAAACAATAGAATATGAATTTTATGACAAACCATAGCACTTGCTGTGTCCCAACAAAATTCATATGTTGAAAACTAATCACTGATGTGATGTTATTAGCAGGTAGGGCCTTTGGAAGATGATTTGGTCGTGAGGGCAAAGCCCTAATGAACGTAATCAGTGTCCTTAGAAGAGACCCCAGAGAGCAAGCTAGCCCCTTCTACCATGTGAGAACAAAGCAAGAGGTGCCATCTGTGAAGAAATACACCTTCACTAGACACCAAATCTGCTAGTGCCTTGATCTTGAACTTCCCAATCTCTAGAACTTAGAAATAAACTCGGGTATGATATTTTGTTATAGCAGCTCAGATAGACCGAGAGTGCTCAAGCCAGAATCCCTGCCAGATCCTCTTTGCACAAAAGGATGAAACAGAGGCTCTGTCACACAGACTCCATCCGCAGACAAGCTCGGTAAGGAGCTACCAAGAGTGTGGCCCTGAACCAGAGTATCCCTCTCTCCACCCGGCCACACTGGGTTCTGCAGCACCCAAATACTGCAAGCAGGGATTTCCTCAAAGTCAGAAGCTCTGGCAGCTGCCTGCCAGGAGCTTTAGAGGTTGCACTCAGTGGGTAGCAGTGGCTGGGTAGCAGAGGTTGTGCTCAGAGCACCTTCCGTGGCAGCAGCACAACAGGTGTCACAGCTAACAGCAATGAGGGAGGAGCAGGAGTGAGGATGGCGTCCAGGCTGTCCACTTGGGCAACTGGATAGAAAAGAAACAGAGAAGCAGCATGAAGGAGATGCTTCCTCAGCTTTGGGTGTGTTGCATTTCAGGCCATCCACCAATTAGGATCGTTTTTGGCCACACAGAACTAAAACCCAGCTACTATGGCTTTGTCAAGTAGGGGTGTGTTCTTTTGAATAACAAGAAGCTCCAAAAAGGCAAGTTACGACTTTTGCAGCTGCTCAAGTGGGTCATCCAGGAACCAGGACCCTTCAGCTCTCCTGCTGCACTACCTTCACCAGTGGCTTTAATCCTCACTATCATCATCATATGGACCCAGTACATACAAGCATTTTTACTGACTTCCAAGAGAAAGAATGGTTGGAAGTGTCAAGAGGCAAAAACAATTCAGTGGCACAATCTCGGCTCACTGCAACCTCTGCCTCCTGGGTTCAAGTGATTCTCCTGCCTCAGCCTCCAGAGTAGCTGGGATTACAGGTATGCACCACCATGCCTGACTAATTTTTGTATTTTTAGTAGAGATGGAGTTTCGCCATGTCGGCCAGGCTGGTCTCAAAATCCTGAGCTCAAGTGATTCCACCCCACTTGGCCTTCCAAAGTGCTGGGATTACAGGTGAATCTGTCCCTTTTTAATAAGGAAATATATTCCTCAGAAACGCCACCCATAGATATCCAATTGGGCAAAACTATGTCACATGACCACCCAGTTGCACAAGTTGCATTGCTGTGTTATTTCTAACCCTGAACTAATAGAGACTCTCTATGAGCAAGGAAGAAGAGGAGATCAGATATTGGACAGGCAACCAGCAGTGTCTGCCATGGGTTTGCAGTGAATATTCATTGCCTCCGTGTTGACTGTAGGAATGTAGGCCATCTTGGTGGGGATTTTTTTTTATTTATTTTTTATTTTTTATTTCAGTAGGTTTTTTGGGGATCAGGTTGTGTTTGGTTACATGAATAAGTTCATTAGTGGTGATTTCTGAGATTTTAGTGCACCCAGCACTTGAACAGTATACGCTGTACCCAATGTGTAGTCTTTATCCCTCCCTGCCCCCGACCCTTTCTCCTGAGTCCCCAAAGTCCAATGTATCATTCTTATGCCTTTGCATCCTTATAGCTCAGCTCCCACGTATGAGCGAGAGCATATGATGTTTGGTTTTGCATTTCTCAGTTACTTCATTTAGAATAATAGTATCCAGGGCCGGGCACAGTGGCTCACACATATAAACGCAGCAATTTGGGAGGCTGCGGTGGGTGGATCACCTGAGGTCAGGAGTTCAAGACCAGTCTGGCACCACAGTGAAACCCCGTGACTACTAAAAATACAAAAATTAGCCAGGCCTGGTGGCATATGCCTGTAGTCCACTTCTGCATCCTCCTCATTTTCTCTTGCCACTGCCATATAAGAAGTGCCTTTCACCTCCTGCCATGATTCTGAGGCCTCCCCAGCCATGTAGAGCTGTAAGTCCAGTTAAACCTCTTTTTCTTCCCAGTCTCAGGTATGTCTTTATCAACAGCATGAAAATGGACTAATACAGTAAATTGGTACCAGTAGAGTGGGGCATTGCTGAAAAGATACCCGAAAATGTGGAAGCAACTTTGGAACTGGGTAACAGGCAGAGGTTGGAACAGTTTGGAGGGCTCAGGAGAAGACAGGAACATGTGGGAAAGTTTGGAACTTCCTAGAAACTTGTTGAATGGCTTTGACCAAAAGCCTGAGAGCGATATGGACAATAAGGTCCAGGCTGAGGTGGTCTCAGATGGAGATGAGGAACTTGTTGGGAACTGGAACAAAGCTGACTTTTTTTATGTCTTAGCAAAGAGACTGGCGGCCTTTTACCCCTGCCCTAGAGATCTGTGGAACTTTGAACTTGAGAGAAATGATTTTGGGTATCTGGCAGAAGAAATTTCAAAGCAGCAAAGCATTCAAGAGGTAACTTGAGTGCTGTTAAAGGCATTCAGCTTTATAAGGGAAGCAGAGCATAACAGTTTGGAAAATTTGCAGCCTGACAATGTGATAGAAAAGAAAAACCGAATATTTGAGGAGAAATTCGAGCCAGCTACAAAAATTTGCATAAGTAACAAGCACCAGAATGTTATTCCCAAAGACAATGGGGAAAATGTCTCCAGGGCATGTCAGAGGTCTTCAAGTCAGCCCCTCCCATCAGAGGCCAGGAGGCCTAGGAGAAAACGGTTTCGTGGGCCAGGCCCAGGGTCTCCTTTCTGTGTGCAGCCTAGGGACTTGATTGAATGAATTTTTTGACAAGGCCTATCCAGAGATTAGAGAAACTTTCCAGACTGCCAGAGCTGAGACCCAGGCACCCACGACAAATTTTAATGAAGCTCAGGATCTACTTTTCGAGCACCAATCATTTTGTCAAATTTATCTGGAGTTCTAGAATTTAAACTTATGCCAGTGAGTAGGAGCTAGTCATGTGACTATGATGAATGACCCCCCCCCGACCCCCAAGCGTACAAGCAGCAACCACAAATCTACTTGGTCTTCCACATTGAAGGAAACATCTAAAAACAGGAACATAGTTTTCATAATTGGAGCTAGATCCTCTTAATTAGGAATTTCCTTTGAAATCTCTGGAAGTGGACAAGAATGATATATGGTATAAACAGACTTACCCATAAGACCAACTAAGCAACAAAAAATAATGAAGCTGATTTCTTTAGCCTTAGCTCCAGGCAAATATGCAGTTTTTAATTTATTTTTTCACTCTTCTACACTTTCTGCCTAAAACATATTTATATCAATGACTCTTATCACCACAACCTTCATGAATGGAATGCAACAAGTTATTAAACACCTTAGAGGGAAAAAAAAATGTGTGGTATTCCACAAAGGGTAGTTAATGAGTCAATATACCTTTCTATATAGGATAATCCATGCCTAACTTTCTTTGACTTTAAAAAGCTTAAGCAGAGTCTTGGGAACAGTATCAAAGAAATAAAATTGCCTTTAAGAAGCAAGATCCAGGCTTTCATTTCTTTGAAAGAGGAAAGTTAAACCCAAAGGAAAAACAGAAAACCATTAAAAATGACAAGGCTTATATATTAGCAGAAAGAGGGAAGGAAATTCTTTGTCATTGTTTGTCATGTAAATTGGCAAGATAATGAACCAAGAAGGACTGACCTTTTCACTGGAGGAAAGAGCTGGCATTTAGATTATTTTTCTGAGGTCAGGAACGGGGTCCTATTCGCCTTTCCATCTCCCTCACAGCAACCAGCACAGCAATTTGTCTGCAGTCTATGTGCGGTAATATCTATTGGTTATTTGATGGGTGAGTGGCTGGAGGAGTGCATGGGTTGGTTGGTGGATTTAAATTAAGCAACTGTCTCTCTTTTCTCCTCCAAGCCTATATAGCAACCTCTTTCTCCTGGTCTCCTGCCCATAATGCCTAGTCCCAGTGCCGTCATCAATGTTGTTTGAACCAGCGTGCCTGTCCTTGTATCAGTACCACAGGGCCATTCCCCTCTAGAAGGTGAATGGGTTTCCTCCAGAAGGCTTCTCCTTTTGCCACTGAATTGTAAACTCCTATGTCTCATTTATCACTGTCCTGTTCTCCCAAGGCTGTCCCACCTGCCCCTCAATCTGTCCCTCCCAATAAATATTTATGTCATTGGCTTGGTGAATTTAAGCAAATTGCACATTTAAATTCTGTTTTTGAAAACAAACTTTTCTTTAAGTAGTGTTTTTAAAAAGGAAGATAATTGTTTGCCAAAAGTGCTAAATGTCTTAAGATACCTGTATTTACCTATTTAAGAAATCATTTTTGTACTTAAAATTGAGGCTTACATTTAATTTTCAATCCAATGAAATAATCTGTCACAGCTTTAAGAAAAATACAAGGCACTGGCCGGGCGCAGTGGCTCACGCCTGTAATCCCAGCACTTTGGGAGGCCCAGGCAGGCAGATCACGAGGTCAGGAGATCGAGACCATCCTGGCTAACACGGTGAAACCCTGTCTCTACTAAAAATACAAAAAATTAGCCAGGCGTGGTGGCGGGTGCCTGTAGTCCCAGCTACTCGGGAGGCTGAGGCAGGAGAATGGTGTGAATCCAGGAGGTAGAGCTTGCAGTGAGCCAAGATCACGCCACTGCACTCCAGTCTGGGCAACAGACCAAGACTCCATCTCAAAAATGAAAAAAAAAAAAAAAATACAAGGCACTCACTTTTCCTAGCTTTTTTTAGTTTTTCTTTTCTCATTCAAAATGATTTTTTTAAAAAGTATTCAACTTACTGAATATATAATTCTCTGTAAATTATAATGTGATTCACTCTGTAAATTTTGAAACATTTGCCTCTATTAGGTTTCTTTCTCTTCCTGTGTTAACAACCACATGCATTCTGCTAGATTTGCCTCAAAGCAGAGGGAACATCAGTATTGAAGACCTCTAATTCTCATAGACCATTTCACAGCAATCTTTTTACCAGTTCCTTCTTTAAGCTTTAAGAGAGCTCAGATCTAAAAACAATACACAGTATAGTGCCGTGTCTGAGATTTAGAGAAGACACGCAAAGGTTAACAAAAATACAAAGAAAATTCAACTCATTCCATTTTACTGAAAACAATTTCCAAGTAGCTTATCTGTTATGAAGATAACTTCATCCAAGCATTTATTTAATAGTTAATTAGCAGCAGCTCTTAAAATATTTCTGCAGCTTAGAAAACACAGGGCCATCATCCTAGCTAATAATATCACACTGACGAGCAAAGACACAGTACCTACATTTTCAGCTGATGATGTGGCAAAGATCATGAAATTCTGCAAAACTCAATCTAAAGTGAGTTATAAATTGCACAAATACTAGCTAAGGGATAATGAGATTCTATTCTAATGTTGATAATGTGCAATGTAAGTGTTTTCTGTTTCTTAAATAGGATATCTTTGACCATTTAAACAAGTCTTTATACCAAGCATCCACAGACATGAGTATATTAAAAAACCCATTTTGTGTATGTCGCTTGGAGGTAATGAGAAAGTGCTTTTCAATGGGACACGCATAAGAGGAGACATCAATGTCTTATTAATAGGTGAGAGCACGCTGAGTTAATAGTGCATTGATAACTTATTTTTATTGTCCCCTGCTCACCACGCTTGTGTGACTGGGTGATGTAATACTAGCAAGAAAACAAAAAGCCTAACCGGCACAATTACTGTGTCATCATTTTCTGGTATAAAAGTGTGCTTGCCTTTTATTGGAAACATTTTTTTATCCTTGAGAACGTCATTTGACCTTTTTCACAAATATCTTGTGTCCAATACATCAACCTCCTACCCTAAATTCCCCTTTTCTTCTCACTCCCACCCTTTTATCCAGCACCATGTCCAACTTTGATCTACTGAAAAATCCCAAAAAACACCCTGAAAAATCTGACTCTCTTTATTGTGTAAATCTCTCTCTAACCTTGGCTGTTCCCCATCTTTCCGTTGTATCTTTTCAACAAAGGTTCAAAGACCAAGTATAGCTTGAGCCAAAACTTCGGGGTGCTTTCATCTGTTTAAGAACTTGAAATCTTTATCCACTACTAACTCTGTCCCTCTTGATGCCAACCACTCAGGGGGACACAAAAATACATGTGATACAATATCTGCCCTTTTGCCTAGTTGTGGGATGAGACAAATATATTTATTGAACATACATTTATTAAATTCTTACTCCATGTCAGATACCGCCAGCCATGGACAAAACAAAAAATGAGAGACATAAAGCTTGTCCTTAAGGGACTTATAGTAGAGAGCAAAGGAATAGACGTGGAAAGGAATTAGTGCCTCAAAGTGATCTAGGTGCTATGATCAAAGCATAAGCAAAATGTTGAGAGGGCACTAACAGAAAGTACCAGAAAGGGGATATTTTTCAGAAGAGGAAGATATTATACAGGTGGGAAAGGAGGAGAAGTTTCCAAGAGTAGGATTTTAGCTTTCAACACCTCCTCTTGAATGCTCATTTCAAGAACTTGTTAGAAACTATTTGTAAAGAGGGTATAGTTACCAAAACAGCATGGTACTGGCCGGCACAGTGACTCACACCTGTAATTCCATCACTTTGGGAGGTCGAGGAGTTCAAGACCAGCCTGGCCAACATGGAGAAACCCTCTCTCTACTAAAAATACAAAAATTAGCCGGCCATGGTGGCGGGTGCCTGTAATCCCAGCTACTCAGGAGGCTAAGGCAGGAAAATGGCTTGAACCCGGGAGGCAGAGGTTTGCAGTGAGCCAAGATCATGCACTGCACTCCAGCCTGGGTGACAGAGTGAGACTCTGTCTCAAAACAAAAAACAAAACAAAACAAAAAAAACAACATGGTATTGGTATAAAACAGAGCGAGACTCTGTCTTAAAACAAAACAAAACAAAACGAAAAACAAGAAACAAAACAAAAAAAACCAACATGGTATTGGTATAAAAATAGGCACGTAGATCAATGGAACAGAGTAGAGAACCCATAAATAAAGTCAAATACTTAACAACCAACTGATCTTCAACAAAGCATACGAAAACATAATTTGGGGAAAGGACACCCTATTCGATAAATGGTACTGGGAAAACTGGCAAGCCACGTGTAGAATAATGAAACTGAATCCTCATCTCTCACCTTACACAAAAATCAACTCAACATGGATCAGAGACTTAAATCTAAGACCTGAAACCATAAAAATTCTAGAAGATAACATCACAAAAACTCTTCTGGACATTGGTTTAGGCAAAGAATTCCTGACTGAGACCCCAAAAGCAAATGCAACAAAAACAAAAATAAATAAATGGGACCTAATTAAATAAAAAGCTTCTGCATAGCAAGAGTGATAGCAGAGTAAACAGACAACCCACAGAGTGGGAAACAATATTTGCAAACTGTGCATCCCACAAAGGACCAGTATCCAGATTCTACAAGGAACTCAAACAAATCAACAGGAAAAAACAATCCCATCCAAAAGGGGGCAAAGGACATGAAGAGACATTTCTCAAGAGATGATATACAAGCAGCCAACAAACATATGAAAAAAAATACTCAGCATCATTAATCATCAGGGAAATCCAAATTAAAACCACAATGAGATACCACCTTACTCCTGCAAGAATGGCCATAATTTAAAATTCAAAAAAATAATAGTTGTTGGTGTGTCTGTGGTGATAAGGGAACACTTTTACACTGTTGGTAGGAATGTAAACTAGTACAACCACTATGGGAAACAGCATGATTCCTCAAAGAACTAAAAGTAGAACTACCATTTGATCCAGCAATTCCACTACTGGGTATCCACCCACAGGAAAATAAGTCATTACATGAAAAAGACACATGCACATGCATGTTTGTAGCAGCACAATTCACAACTGATGAGTGGGTAAAGAGAATGTGGTGTATATACACCATGGATACTAGTCAGCCATAAAAAGGAATGAAATAATATCTTTTGTAGCAACTTGGATGGAGCTGGAGACCATTATTCTAGTGAAGTAACTCAGGAATGGAAAACCAAGTATCATATATTCTCAGTTATAAATGGGAGCTAAGCTATGAGGACGAAAAGGCCTAAAGGTGATATAATAGATTTTGGGGACTTGGTGTGGGGAGAGTGGGAGGGGGTGAGGGATAAAAGACTACATATTGAGTACAGTGTACACTGCTCATGTGACGGTTGCACTAAAATCTCAGAAATCACCACTAAATAACTTCTCCATGGAACCAAAAACCACCTGTACCCCAAAGACTATTGAAATAAAAAATAATAATAAAATAAAGCAATGTTGGAATAAAAGTAAAAAAAAAATTGAAAAGAATGTCTGTTTTCATTTTATTCCTCAGTATCTCCCACACTCATGCTGTAATTTATTTGGATTTTCCCTTAATTATCACCTTCAGGAGGTTTGATTGGACTTCCCAAAATACAGTAACTACCCAGGCACTCTCTCTTATGTACATGTATGTAATGCTTTTTCTAACACTTTCAAAATCTACTGTTTTGTTCTCTCTTGTCTCTCCAGTGCTTAGAATGGTACCTGTCACGTAGAAGGTGCTCAATGATTTTTTTTGAATAGATGAATGGTAAATTTGCAGGATTTTCTCAAATCAGCTTTGTAGACAGGCCATTTTCCCTTTCTCAAACCTCTGTATTCCACACACTTTTCCTCCACCCTCATCAGCTTTGAATCAATAACCAGTATTGTTCCACAGAGAAATAAGTTTTGCAGCTGAGAATGCTGATCACACCCTATTGCCCTTTCAAGGTGCTCGGGTGCCTTAGACACAGGTCATAGTCAGAGCCAAAGCCTATGGCAACTAGGAAACTAGCTAAGTCTGCACAAATATCAAATTATAATATCAATTTTAAACAAAATGTAAGCTATATAAGAAAATGAATTCTGGATTATAGAAAACTGTTGTCTTTTTGCTGTAAGTTTATTGTCTTTTAGTTCAGATTTCATGAGGATTTAGAATTTGGAGTGATGTGTTTTGCTTATTTCCCAATATTTTATGTCAAACAGAAGGACTGCCATTCGGAAAAGAGGGAAAATGGCACAATTATATTTGAAAATAAATATTATTTAGTCCTAACTAGCTGATAATTATAATAATACAAATGAGATATTATCTCTACTATAAAGCTTCTTCTTAAAAAATAAAATATGCGGCCGGGCATGGTGGCTCACGCCTGTACTCCCAGCACTTTGGGAGGCCGAGGCAGGTGGATTACCTGAGGTCAGGAGTTCGAGACCAGCCTGGCCAACATGGTGAAACCCTGTCTTTACTAAAAATACAAAAATTAGCTGGGCCTGGTGGTGCATGCCTGTAGTGCCGGCTACTTGGGAGGCTGAGGCAGGAGAATGGCTTAGGTGCGGGAAGTGGAGGTTGCAGTGAGCCGAGGTTGCACCACTGGGGGTGACAGAGTGAAACTCCATCTCAAAAAAAAATAAAAATAATAAAAAGAAAACATGTTTGTATTTATTTTTACCATGCCTTTGAATATGCTAATCTGTTCCACTCAATTTCACAAATATTTACTGAGTACTCCCAGGTAGTGGGAAGTGGGTTGGGGGTGCTGTTAGGTATGTAAAGATGAATAAGAAACCTCAAGAATCCTGAAACCTAGTGTCTTACCATGAGTTCTAGAATAGTTTTATACTAACATCTCATATTTAAAGGAGAATTTGGTTGGGCGAGGTGGCTTACGCCTGTAATCCCAGCACTTTGGATGGCCGAGGTGGGTGGATCACTTGAGTTCAGGAGTTCAAGACCAGCCTGGGCAACATGGTGAAACCCCATCTCTACCAAAAATACAAAAAATTAGCTGGGCATGGTGGTGCACACCTGTGGTTCCAGCTACTTGGGGGGCTGAGGTGACAGGATCGCTTGAGCCTGGGAGGCAGAGGTTGCAGTGAGCCGAGATGACGCCACTGCACTCCAACCTGGGTGACAGAGTGAGACCCTGTCTCAAAAATAAAAATAAATAAAAGAATATGCCTCTCTTCACTTTGTGTTTTCAATATTCAAAGTGGAAACGAAGGCAGAGAAATCTACGCCGCAGTAGCAGAAGCCCATGCTAGTGGTGCAGAATCCCCCAGCCCCCAGAACTGCGCGGTTCTAGTTTTCCTGGTTGCCTTCTCCATGGGAAAATTAGGAGAGCATCTGTTGCTCTGAGCTCAAAAACAAAAACGTGCTCTGCTGCTCTAGGAGATAACATCCACAGAAGGCTGAAAATTAAAATAAACTAAACAGAGGACTGCAGATTGTTCAAATTAGCCCACATGAAAGCCAGGGGAATAGCCAGTCATTTAACTGTTAAATTAGACTGCGGCTGCAGCTGATTTGGGAGGACAGATGACTGAATGACAAGTGTTAATAAACCCGGGAAAAGGTGTAAAGTAAGCCACAGGGAAGCAAGGGAATGCAAAGCAGATGGACAATTGGATTTGAACAGAAGGAGAAAAATTAAATTTTTAGATTGAATCTTTTAAAAAGATAGCAATAACCTATATTTCCACAGACACACTCTTTTTCTTTCTGAAAGATTTGTAAGTCCTTCTTTTTCTGTTTACTGTCTAAAAGGAAGGGACAGGGGCTGCCGATAAAATGATACAGATAAGAAATACCTGAGTAAGAATGTTGGATGCTTTCCATAAACCTCCGAAAGCGTTGGGTCACTTGATATGTTGTTAACATACATAGGCATTCTATGAGATTCTAAACCCAAATACAGGCCAGTGAAATCAGTCAGTCAACTAACATAGTCTATTTCTAGTAGGTTGAGATACAAAAGAACTATTCATTCACTGCCATTTGAAAATGAATGATCTAGGTGACAAGTCTTGCCATTTTAAGAACCAAACCTTTTCCATTTGAAACTTGGTAAATTTTGAATTTTGAAATTTGAAATGGTGAATGCCACAAACCAAGTGGCTCACCATTCATACATTTGTTGAACAAATGTATGAATAAAACTTTTTGTTGAATGAATGTATTAATAAAATCTTCTTGAATAAATGGATGAATGAATGAATGAAATTGATTGTGCAATTGCATTCAGCAGTAGAGACTGAAAATAATTTCTTGGTGACATTGTAAACAGAAGTTATACTGCAGTCCCACCATATGAGAGCAAACTTGAGTGCTCAAATGTGAGTTGGGATGATAGCTTCACTTGGGTAGTTCTCACCTGGGGAATCAGACATAATGGAGCAAGTCTAGAATGTCAGTGAGATCGGCCCAGCAGGAGACTGCCAGTAATGGTCACTAGGGCACCTACTGAGGGAACGCCACCTGAGGGGCCAATGATCAGACCTCACAATTTGTTAAAAGAGCAGTGCCACGTTCCTTGGATGCGAGGTGAAATTTTGAGTTCTGCACATCATTAGTGAGTCTGATAGTTTTCCTCTAGGCAGGTTTCATGGACTCATATCTAAGTCTTAGGGAAACAGTGAAATGTAAAGGGAAAAGCAAAGAAATTACTCTTATATAAGCTTTCCATGCAACACTGGTAATACTGCTTTGAAGAAACGAGTTCTCTTCCGTTTGTCACAAAACTTAGCATCGTTTCAGGGAACATGGGACAGCTCCAGCATACCAGCTGCATCCAGCAGCACCCAGCTTCACCTAGGCTGCAGCCCTGGCCACCAACAGCGGCAGCACAAGCAGTAGTGACCCTCCACTGAAAAACACCCTCATGACAGCCACGTCCCCGGCACAATCACAGATTATCCACCACGACACAGCTGCACTGCCAGATCTGTGGGCACTGGCCCCGGGTGAGGATTAGGCTATTGTTAGCTATCAAGGCTGACTGAGCACGGTATGCCAGACTCTGGGCTAAACTCTGGCAACATAGTGACAAATAAGACACACTTGGTCTCTGCCCTTGTGGCACTTGCATTTTGGAAAGGTCTTGGCAGGTGTCTTAGTTTCCTAGGGCTGCTGTAACAAAATGCCACAAACTGGGTGGCTCACACAACAGGAATTTACTGTCTCTCAGTTCTGGGGGCCAGAAGACCAAGATTAAGGTGTCAAGATTAAGTGTTGTTTCCTTCTGAGGGGGCTGTGAGAGAGAATCTGTTTCATGCCTCTCACCTATGGTGTTTGCTGCAGTCTTTGGTGTCCCTTGGCATGTAGAAGCATCACCCTGATCTCTCCCTCATCTTCACATGATGTTCCCCTTGTATGCATGTCTGTGTCCCAATGCCCCCTTCTATAAGACGTCACTCATATTAGGGGCCCACCCTACTCTAGTATGACCTCATCTTAATTAATTACATCTACAAGGACTCTATTTCCAAGTAAGATCACATTCTGAGGTACTAGAGGCTAAGACTTCAGCATTTGAATTTGGGGAAACGCAATTATAGTGGAGAAAATATTTTTCTTTACCCTTCTGAGTTCTCAGCTGGGCCGCCTGTATCAAAAGACAGATTAACAAGAGAAAAACAAGCAGAAGTTTATGAACATGTACATTTCAAATGTACATGAGAGAAAACTCAAGGACAGAGTAACCCTCAAAGAGGTGGCTTAGATCTCCAGCTTATATAGCATCTTCAACAAAGAATTAGTACATTTTTAGAAAAATGACAAGGCAAAAGGAAAGGATGTTAATTAAGCCTGTAAGTGCAGCAGTTGTGGGAAGCCAATGATACAGAAAATTCATGTTAAATAGAGGCTAAATAGTAAAGTTTGTTACGTAGATTCCTCTGGTGCCCTCCCCAGGCTGATAATGGCCTAACTGTGTCTCCAGTGACCAACCTTTGCCCTTCCTGGTAGAGAAGGAAGGAAGGACACCTTTGTAAATTGATGTCCTGCTTTTAGATTAATAGCGGGGAGGGCACAGAGCTTTTCTTGTATCTGATTCTTCTCAACTGCCTTTAGCTCAAAATAATCCTTATACCAAAGTGGCACATTTTGGGGTGGCATATTCTGCACCATTCACTATGCCACCCATAACAGCAGAGAAACACTGGTGGGAGCTGAGCCACAGAGGGTAATGGTGGATGCCACATGTAGCTGAGAGAACATGTTTTTGAGCCTATGTGAGAAAACTGCTGAAATTCCAGAAACTATGATGGAGCCCTTGTGAGTGGTGGAAGGTCTCACAGAGCAGATGGAGGCAAAGGACAGAAGAATATTACTTAATACTCTAAAACCTCAATTTTACTGCCTAGGCTAAGGAAACATATGTTCATATGTTATTCTGTTTTCTTCCAGTTTTTCATATATTTTTAAACGTTTAGCCATCTGAACGGTTTCAAATTCATTGTGTTATATAGAGTAAGCATACATCTAATTAATTTTTCTCTCTCCTGATATCCACTTACCCCAATCATCTCTATTAAGCAGTGACTTGAGAATAATATGTAGTGAGTTTTTATTGTATTGCAGTTGTAAACCAAAAAGTTGTCTGACACAGATCTCAATCAATTTTGAGGTTTATTTTGCCAAGGCTGAGAATGTGCCTGGGAAAAAGAAACACAAGTCACACTAGGATCTGCAGCTTGTGCTTCAATATTTAAAGGAGAAAGAGCAGGCAGGAAAGGAAAGCGGAAAGAAAAAAGGGGGAGGATAGGTAATGAGGCAAGTGGTCCCATTCTTGTAAGGCTTTGATTAAGGCTCACTGAATCCACATTTTACATGTGAAAAGAGAGGAGTGGGGAAAGTCAATTATGCATTTGTTTCATGCTCAGTAGATCTACATTTTACATAAGTATGTGAAATTACAGCTATCTGTTTAGGAACAAACAGAAGGCAGTTTTTGCATGACACCAGTTCCCAAGCTTAACTTTTCACTTTAGCTTAGTGATTTTGGGGTCCCAGGATTTTATTTTCCTTTCACACAGTTAAGAAAGCAACTCTAGCCCATTGCCCTATCATCAAATGATTATTCAAATCTATTATAAAACACATCTTAAGGTTTATAACACTCTGAAAAAGGATGCTTTTCTAGTGTTATTTTGGAGGAGCTAATGATACAGCAACATTGAACCATTCTAATAAAAGTTGAGAATTAGATCACCAAAAAAAAAAAAAAAGCAAGCAAGCAACTTGTCAGCCATATCCATTCAATCCTTCCCTTCTGCTTGAGACTCCCAAAAAATTTGCTACAAGAAATAGCAAATAAGAAAGTACTGGTTTGAGAAGACTGAATTGGTGCCCAATACCTTGAGTGCAACCCTGTGATGAAGCTGAGCTGGAGCATGCAACTGGGCCTGCAAACTGAAGCCTGCTCCAAAATCCTGAGATAATACCATTCTCCAGCCAGGTGCAAGATCCAACAACACACCGATCTGCACCTTTTGACGTGTGTGTAGAGAAGAGAGAAACCTGGCAGGCCCTAAGTCACTTAGCACCCAAGCTCATGAAAGCAGCTCAGACCTGGAGGCAGGGAGGCAGAGGCAAGCTGAGCGCCATAGCCTCTCTCTCCAGTTGTCATATTGCTTCTATTTTGCCTTACATTCATTTTCTAATATATGTACAATAGAATAGACTCCTCTGGTCAGTTTATCCTCTTTTAACCCAATGCTATACTGTTTTGGTTTTTATTACTTTCTAAAATGTTTCAAATTTGACAGAGCAATTTTACATAAATGTATACATATTTACTATTTCATATCGAGTCCTTTAGTCCTCCAGGTGACTACCCAATTGTCAATTTCTATTTTCTATTCTGCTATAACTTCAACTGGTAATGCATCAATCATGCAAAAACCTATGTGTTATATTTAGTTAAGAATTACTGTCTTCTTTACTTACAGTTCTCAACTGGCAATAGCATATATCTGTCCATTTATTCTTGTCCTCTTTTATCTTTCATGTTAGGATTTTATGATTTCCTTAAATGTTTTGTGTCCTGAGTTAATTCTCAGTAATTCAATATTTGTACAAACAAAAAAAAGGAATTTTTTCTTAGCATTGTATATTTTAGCATTATGGCATTCACATGTACAAATAATAAATCTTGCAGATTTATTTCATATGTGCATTTAGGAGAACTTATTACCTCTGATAATTTTTGATAGATCCCTTTGAATTTTCCAATGACAGATTCATAAAATCTACAAAAAGTAAAATATTTATTTCTTTTTTTCCTTTATTTGTAATTATTGTTTTCTTCTCAACTATCATTAGAATTTTTGAATAATTAGGGTTTTTTTTTTTCCATTTGGGTATATTCTTTCTGTCTACTAAGTCTCCCTTTAATGCTAAATTAAGTAATTTTTTTATTTCTACAAGTCTTAACGTCTGCTGTTTTTAAGACCAAATGGGCCAGGCATGGTGGCATACACCGGTAGTCTCAACTTCTCCAGAGTTTTAGGCAAGAGGATCACCTGAGCCCAGTTCAAGGCCACAGTGCACTATGATTGTGCCTGTGAGTAGCCACTGCACTCCAGCCTGGGCAACATAGCAAGACCCTTTATCTCTTTAAAGAATCACTTGGAAGGAGCTATTTGTGATTAAGCATAAGAAATTCAAAAGCTAAGTAGAGTAGCAGTCTTTCATTTCCTTTAATGAATTAGGAAAACATCTCTAAAGAGTAGCTATTTGGGGCATATCTCAGAAATCACTAACTTTGGGGGGCCATTAATTGCTTTCTCTTTCCCTGAAGTTTTCAAGAATAGTGCAGTCTTGAGTGAGGGTTTGTGGGGGAAGCAAAAGGATGGGATTCTGATAGTCAGGGCCGATCATGTCTAGCAGAAGAGTACCTTGGAGAAAGTCACTCTCCCAGCTCTGATCCTAATGCCTGTGTGTTTTTTGAATAGAAAAGAGGATAACCAATGAGTCTAGTTCCATGGGCAGCTGGTTAAGGGATGGAATCTCCCTTCTAGCATAACTGCTTTAAAAACACTATTTTATCCTTTTAAAAATTATTATTATTATTTTAAGATGGAGTTTTGCTCTTGTTGCCCAGGCTGGAGTGCAATGGTGCAATCTTGGCTCACTGCAACCTCCAACTCCTGGGTTCAAGCGATTGTCCTGCCTCAGCCTCCTGAGTAGCTGGGATTACAGATGCCCACCAGCACACCTAGCTAATTTTTTGTATTTTTAGCAGAGATGGGGTTTCGCCATGTTGGCCAGGCTGGTCTCGAACTCCTAACCTCAGGTGATCCACCCACCTCAGCCTCCCAAAGTGCTGGGATTACAGGCAAAAATTATTATTTTTTAAATCATTCAAGATTAGTTATTTGTAGCTGACACAAAATGCAGTGGCCTCTCAATCTTGAGTTCCCAAGGCCGTGTTTCCATCCCCCTCCTGGCCACAGGGGTGAGTACTTGAGCCAAACTGAGCCAATCATGACACCTCACCCCTGGCCGCAAGAAATTGGCAAATAGCTAAGTCAGGGCAAGCAAAATATTTCACCGCAATGCTCCAAAATGGAGCTGGAGGCAGAAAGAACCATGTCCTGTCTGTGGCAGAGCTGTTAGGACCTCAGTCTGGCACTGCCTACAGCCACATCCCCTGCCACAGAGAAAGAACTGGTTGGATAGAACAAAGCCAACACACAGAGAGAGGTGCAGGCGGGAGAACAGAGGACAAGAGGAAGTCCTGGTGGCATGCAAGTTTCTGATTCCTGTCATTCCTGGGGCCAGCTTGAGCCCCAGCCTTCCCAAGTTTCAAACTTGCAAGCCAGTAAGTCCCAATCTGCTTCAGCCAACTTGTAAATTTTTCTCTTATAACCCAAGGAGTCCTGAAGCTGTTCCTAGATTTTTTTCTCCCTTCTCTGGATTCCGTTGGGATATCTATCACTAACCAACAGTGACTGCACTGTCTTTAAAGGCAGCTACAATTTCTCTCTCATTTCTTGTACAATCTGCGGCTGAATACAGGGACTCTTCAGTTATGAGTCTCCCTTAGTCCCCCAGCTCCTCTCTCCCTAGTCAAATCCCAGCTCCAGCACTTACTAGCTGGAAGACATAAAAACCCAGCGTGACACCTGGAGAAAGTGGTCTGTTTCGGTGGACCCTATTTAACAGGAATTCCTTCTTTTTTGTGGGCTGCTTTGTAGGTTGGCAATCACATAGCTTATGAATGTCACTAATCTGGGGGCTCCCGGAGCATTATCTCAAGTACACATTCCCATTTGGTCATTCAGGGCCATCATTCTTCAGCTTCCCCTTCCTTCACTATTCCTTTGTATCCTACACTGTCACTATAAATGATCCAAAAAGCTAAAACCAGAAGAAAGAATAACACAGAGGCAGCACCTGCCAAAAGAAGACACAAACGGGAGGGAGATTCAGAGTAGAAAATGGATGTTTCTTGGGACTGTTGGAGCTTCCAAGGAGAGAAGTGTATTCTGTTTTTGTTTTGGTTTTTTTGATATTAACTATCTTCTTTTCTTCTTCTTCTTTTTTTTTAGAGATGGAGGTTTCACCATGTTGGCCAGGCTGGTCATGAAGTCCTGGCCTTAAGTGATCCACCAGTCTCAGCCTCCCAAAATGCTAGGATTACAGGCATGAGCCACCATGGCCAGCCAATACTAACTATCTTTTTTATTTATTTTATTTTACTTTCTTTCTGTTTTTAGAGACAGTGTCTTGCTTGCTCAGGCTGGAGTGCAGTGGTGTGATCATAGCTCACCACGGCCTCTAACTCCTGGGCTCAAGGGAACCTCCCACCTCAGCCTCCTGAGTGGCTGCAGTCACAGGCACACGCCACCATGCCCAGCTATTTTTTTTTTAAAGATAGCGTCTCTGTATGTTGCCCAGGCTGGTCTCAAACTCTTGACCTCAAACAATCCTCCTGCCTTGGCCTCCCAAAATGTTGGAATTACAAGCATAAGCCTTGGTGCCCAGCCAATTGCCTTTTTTATATTTACCGTAATATTGGCTTAGAAACTTTCAGAGGACTATGAGAATTAATTCATGAAATACTGCCAAACTGGAAACTGAGAATTTCCTCATGAGGAGGGTGCTGTCGTGGCTAAGGTTTACAGATAAGACAGTGTTTGTTACTGATGGTACAGGGGCTGCCTAATCAGCTGGTGCCTGGTGCATTATCACCACCATCCTGACAATTCCACGTACTTATTACATGTGATCCTTTTCCAAGGCTCCATCTAAAATGAAATGTTTCACAATCCTAGCTGCTTTAAGGTGTACCAATCACTGTCATTAAGGTTTATAACAACTGAGTCATCTGCCAGGAAGGGGAAACCTTTGCCCTAGAACTATTCATCCAGAGAAGATAAGTTCTTGAGGACCTGGGATGTTTTTTGTTTTGCTTTGTTATACAATGATCAGAAAAATAACGAAATATTGAGTCTTTTTATTATGACCATTAGAGTAAGAACACAAGAAAAACCCAAAATAGGAATATTTGAAAATACTTGGAAAAGGAAAATTTAAAAGCCTAGATAGCTAACCCAGCACCGTATCTAAGTTATAGACACTTGAGGCAGTTATATAAAAGGATATAGAAATCAGATCCTTTAAAACAAATCCCCTCACAGAGTAGATGTTCTAATTGTAGTTACTGGAAAAATATGTTAAAAATGTAATCACTTAAAAAATTAAAAAGGGAAATGTTGTACTTCTCTCTTTCTCCTTCTCCTGTCTGTGTATACTTTCCTAGGCTCCTAGGAGATCTGTTCAGATACATACACACATGTGGGTGGAACTGTAGCAGAAAGAGGACCTCAAGCTGTCTTTCTGGAAACTGCTATGGCCATCAGCTCCTGGGCAGAAGGGCTTACTGAATTTTGAAACCTGGAAATTAGCTTTAACTCTTAGGGAGATCAAAAGCAGTTAAAAGCAGAGATGAGAAAAGGCCTTAGGTGAGAGGACCAATCCTTTTATTGGCAGGTCAAGTAAGTTCCCTAGGACAGTAGGCTGCTGAGTCTGAGGAATGGCTTTGTAGTCTCAGTCAAATTGCAAATCTGATTTTTACCTCCATTCTCACACTTACTGGTCTAATTTCCTTTCCATTCGTTTTGGTGGTAGAGCATTGATTTGATTGGGCTCTGCTTGGTCATTTACCACCTTAAAGATCTCCATGTAGGTTCTGTGTAAGTTGCACTTAAAGGGGAGACAGGTTGCACCCTCTCCCCCTCCTGAGGCATGATGGGACCCTCCTGGGGTGGCATGTGCTGCTTGGGGACTGCGCGGTGGCCTCACAGAAGAGGCATGACTTGATGGCCAGACTGACCAAATTCTGACCCCAGTACTTCTCCTCCGCCAAATGAGGATTAACAATGTCCCCTATCACAAAAGACTGTTTGGAGGATTAAGTAAAATCATATACAAAACACCTGACACAGAGGCTAGACCTGAGTACAGTGTCCCTTCCTCCAAAACTGCATTATTCCCTCAGAGCAGGGAGTGATGATCTCTAAGATCTTAAAACTCATGCATATCCACCTTGAAGGGTCTGTTTCCACCTCCCAAGCTAGTCTGAAATAAAATCTCATGGCTATTTAAATGGCCAGTGATTAATTATATCTTTCCAAAACAGGTTTTCACAGGCATCTGAGAACACTGAAGAAATTTCTCATAATCGGCAGCTCTAAAGATGGCAAGCCCTTCATTTCTAATGTAAAATACATCTCACACTGGGGTTAATGTTATAGAAGCTTCCAATCTAATGACTCTAGCAGTCAGACTTGACTTCAGTGGTGAAATTTGGTTTTATGTTAAGACTGTAGATACCAAAGGATAATTGTCTTTCCTGCAGTCCACACACTTACTTAAGTACGATTACTGATACGGAAGATGATCTGAATCTGAATGGAGTCCTGTTTTTTCCAGGGCCTAACTAGTGATATCAGTAGAAATGCAGGAACTTTAAGGCCATTTTGAGCCCACAGATTAAATAATGTTCAATCTCTCCCTGGTATTTAAGAAAATAGATTAACTCATTAATTTCCCTGGGTGCCAATAGGCCCAAAAGAGAGAATGAGGGTATATGCTTCCCTGAGTATTCAACTACTAGAGGATAATTTTGCCTATGAAATGTGATGTGGCAAAATTCCATGCAAAATGTGGAACTTTAAATTTGAAATAACACACTATTAAATGCAGTCATAAAGTCTCTGTACAAAATTTAAAATAATGTGAAACATCCCAAATTAAAAACTCTTCAAGAATCTCATCATTTTAAAGCTAGTAGTCCACATGAATTGAAAATTAATTATGTTACAGCCACAAAGGAGTCCATTTTCCACAAATATCCATTGTCCCTTGTCAGTCAAAACTGGTAGAACCCAATGGCATCACAAACGTGCAATGATAGGCCTCACAAGTCTATCTTGACAGCTTGCTGTCGTAAGGGGTAGGGAACTATCAAAGGCTAGCAGGGAACCAAATCTGGAGATTAGCAAAGCCAATCCCCTCTTTCTACGGCACTGAGACCTTCCATAGAGGGACCTATTCTCTGCTTTGAAACAATACTGAAAATTCTTGAACTCCCACTTGGGAAGCAGTTAATTATTACCTTAGGACATTTATCTTAAATAATCACGGGGAACCATAGAAAAAGTAATCAAACGAAAGTCTCCTGCTACTTACTACCTGGTACTCCTGGTACCCATTGTAAGTACTGGGCCATGACCGACTGACATGGTTCCATTTCCCCTCTTACTTTAAAAATAACTGGATATGGGATGGGAGTTCTCCTATAATTGAAAAAGAGGAAACGTTTGCTACCAATTATGCACAACTAAGTAAACTGTTATATGCCCCAGTCATAATCTTTAAAAACAACTATAAAGCAAAAATCCATATACTATCAAAAAACTTAAAGTCTGAAACTAACAGGTCACTAAAATTTGGACCAAATATAGCTACATGATATTAATAAATGTCATTTGACTAAAATGTATAGATACCTGATCATTGATTTGTCCTTATGATATATTCTTATATTACATATGAGTAATATGATTATGTTCCCATATAAGAAACTGAAGGTTTTTTTCTTCTGTTGACCCTAGAGTAAAATATAAAATTCTCAAAAATTTATCTTGATCTCAATTTGAGAATTTTTTTATTATGGAGCAGTAACAGTTTACCCATAACTTGGTAGTAGGTAACCACCCAAGAGAACCAGAGAACTTGTGGCTCAAATGGCATGGCTCTACATAGAAAACAATGATGAGATTAACCTTCAAAGGGCTGACTTTTCTTAATCGGGATTTTGATTGTAAACCATCCTAAACACATACTGCAAGGAAAGGCACATATGCTATTGCTTTTGCTAATCAGACTTATATTAGTTTATTTTCACTCTGCTATAAAGAAATACCAGAGACTGGATAATTTATAAAGGAAGAAGTTTAATTGACTAGCAGTTCTGCATGGGTGGGGAGGCCTCAGGAAACTTACAATCATGATGGAAGGGGAAGCAGGCACGTCTTACATGGTAGCAGGAGAGAGAGGAGAAAGCAAAGCAGGAGGGGGAGGAGCCAAGATGGCTGAATAGGAACAGCTCCGGTCTACAGCTCCCAGCATGAGCGACGCAGAAGACGGGTGATTTCTGCATTTCCATCTGAGGTACCGGGTTCATCTCACTAGGGAGTGCCAGACAGTGGGCACAGGACAGTGGGTGTGCACACCGTGCGCGAGCCAAAGCAGGGCGAGGCATTGCCTCACTCGGGAAGCGCAAGGGGTCAGGGAGTTCCCTTTCCTAGTCAAAGAAAGGGGTGACAGACGGCACCTGGAAAATCAGATCACTCCCACCCGAATATTGCGCTTTTCCAACGGGCTTAAAAAACGGAGCACCAGGAGATTATATCCCGCACCTGGCTCAGAGGGTCCTACACCCACGGAGTCTCGCTGATTGCTACCACAGCAGTCTGAGATCAAGCTGCAAGGCGGCAGCGAGGCTGGGGGAGGGGCGGCCGCCATTGCCCAGGCTTGCTTAGGTAAACAAAGCAGGCGGGAAGCTCGAACTGGGTGGAGCCCACCACAGCTCAAGGAGGCCTGCCTGCCTCTGTAGGCTCCACTTCTGGGGGCAGGGCACAGACAAACAAAAAGACAGCAGTAACCTCTGCAGACTTAAATGTCCCTGTCTGACAGCTTTGAAGAGAGCAGTGGTTCTCCCAGCACGCAGCTGGAGATCTGAGAACGGGCAGACTGCCTCCTCAAGTGGGTCCCTGACCCCTGACCCCCGAGCAGCCTAACTGGGAGGCACCCCCCAGCAGGGGCAGACTGACACCTCACAGGTGTCAGTACTCCAACAGACCTGCAGCTGAGGGTCCTGTCTGTTAGAAGGAAAACTAACAAACAGAAAGGACATCCACACCAAAAACCCATCTGTACATCACCATCATCAAAGACCAAAAGTAGATAAAACCACAAAGATGGGGAAAAAACAGAGCAGAACAACTGGAAACTCTAAAAAGCAGAGCGCCTCTCCTCCTCCAAAGGAACGCAGTTCCTCACCAGCAACGGAACAAAGCTGGATGGAGAATGACTTTGACAAACTGAGAGAAGGCTTCAGACGATCAAATTACTCCGAGCTATGGGAGGACATTCAAACCAAAGGCAAAGAAGTTGAAAACTTTGAAAAAAAATTTAGAAGAATGTATAACTAGAATAACCAATACAGAGAAGTGCTTAAAGGAGCTGATGGAGCTGAAAACCAAGGCTTGAGAACTACATGAAGAATGCAGAAGCCTCAGGAGCCGATGCGATCAACCGGAAGAAAGGGTATCAGCGATGGAAGATGAAATGAATGAAATGAAGCGAGAAGGGAAGTTTAGAGAAAAAAGAATAAAAATAAACGAGCAAAGCCTCCAAGAAATATGGGACTATGTGAAAAGACCAAATATTCGTCTGATTGGTGTACCTGAAAGTGACGGGGAGAATGGAACCAAATTGGAAAACACTCTGCAGGATATTATCCAGGAGAACTTCCCCAATCTAGCAAGACAGGCCAACATTCAGATTCAGGAAATACAGAGAACGCCACAAAGATACTCCTCGAGAAGAGCAACTCCAAGACACATAATTGTCAGATTCACCAAAGTTGAAATGAAGGAAAAAATGTTAAGGGCAGCCAGAGAGAAAGGTCGGGTTACCCTCAAAGGGAAGCCCACCAGACTAACAGCGGATCTCTCAGCAGAAACTCTACAAGCCAGAAGAGAGTGGGGGCCAATGTTCAACATTCTTAAAGAAAAGAATTTTCAACCCAGAATTTCATATCCAGCCAAACTAAGCTTCATAAGTGAAGGAGAAATAAAATACTTTACAGACAAGCAAATGCTGAGAGATTTTGTCACCACCAGGCCTGCCCTAAAAGAGCTCCTGAAGGAAGCACTAAACATGAAAAGGAACAACCAGTACCAGCCGCTGCAAAATCATGCCAAATCGTAAAGACCATCGAGATTAGGAAGAAACTGCATCAACTAACGAGCAAAATCACCAGCTAACATCATAATGACAGGATCAAATTCACACATAACAATATTAACTTTAAATGTAAATAGACTAAATGCTCCAATTAAAAGACACAGACTGGCAAATTGGATAAAGAGTCAAGACCCATCAGTGTGCTGTATTCAGGAAACCCATCTCACGTGCAGAGACACACATAGGCTCAAAATAAAAGGATGGAGGAAGATCTACCAAGCAAATGGAAACCAAAAAAAGGCAGGGGTTGCAATCCTAGTCTCTGATAAAACAGACTTTAAACCAACAAAGATCAAAAGAGACAAAGAAAGCCATTACGTAATGGTAAAGGGATCAATTCAGCAAGAAGAGCTAACTATCAAAAATATATATGCACCCCATACAGGAGCACCCAGATTCATAAAGCAAGTCCTGAGTGACCTACAAAGAGACTTAGACTCCCACACAATAATAATGGGAGACTTTAACACCCCACTGTCAACATTAGACAGATCAACGAGACAGAAAGTCAACAAGGATACCCAGGAATTGAACTCAGCTCTGCACCAAGCGGACCTAATAGATATCTACCAAACTCTCCACCCCAAATCAACAGAATATACATTTTTTTCAGCACCACACCACACCTATTCCAAAATTGACCACATACTTGGAAGTAAAGCTCTCCTCAGCAAATGTAAAAGAACACAAATTATAACAAACTATCTCTCAGACCACAGTGCAATCAAACTAGAACTCAGGATTAAGAATCTCACTCAAAACCACTCAACTACATGGAAACTGAACAACCTGCTCCTGAATGACTACTGGGTATATAACGAAATGAAGGCAGAAATAAAGATGTTCTTTGAAACCAACGAGAACGAAGACACAACATACCAGAATCTCTGGGATGCATTCAAAGCAGTGTGTGAGGGAAATTTATAGCACTAAATGCCCACAAGAGAAAGCAGGAAAGATCCAAAATTGACACCCTAACATCACAATTAAAAGAACTAGAAAAGCAAGAGCAAACACATTCAAAAGCTAGCAGAAGGCAAGAAGTAACTAAAATCAGAGCAGAACTGAAGGAAATAGAGACACAAAAAGCCCTTCAAAAAATTAATGAATCCAGGAGCTGGTTTTTTGAAAGGATCAACAAAATTGATAAACCGCTAGCAAGACTAATAAAGAAAAAAAGAGAGAAGAATCAAATAGACGCAATAAAAAATGATAAAGGGGATATCACCACCGATCCCACAGAAATACAAACTACCATCAGAGAATACTACAAACACCTCTATGCAAATAAACTAGAAAATCTAGAAGAAATGGATAAATTCCTCGACACATACACTCTCCCAAGACTAAACCAGGAAGAAGTTGAATCTCTGAATAGACCAATAACAGGACCTGAAATTGTGGCAATAATCAATAGCTTACCAACCAAAAAGAGTCCAGGACCAGATGGATTCACAGCCGAATTCTATCAGAGGTACAAGGAGGAACTGGTACCATTCCTTCTGAAACTATTCCAATCAATAGAAGAAGAGGGAATCCTCCCTAACTCATTTTATGAGGCCAGCATCATCCTGATACCAAAGCCAGGCAGAGACGCAACCAAAAAAGAGAATTTTAGACCAATATCCTTGATGAACATTGATGCAAAAATCCTCAATAAAATACTGGCAAACTGAATCCAGCAGCACATCAAAAAGCTTATCCACCATGATCAAGTGGGCTTCATCCCTGGGATGCAAGGCTGGTTCAATATACGCAAATCAATACATGTAATCCAGCATATAAACAGAACCAAAGACAAAAACCACATGATTATCTCAATAGATAAAACTGGCACAAGACAGGGATGCCATCTCTCACCACTCCTATTCAACATAGTGTTGGAAGTTCTGGCCAGGGCAATTAGGCAGGAGAAGGAAATAAAGGGTATTCAATTAGGAAAAGAGGAAGTCAAATTGTCCCTGTTTGCAGACGACATGATTGTATATCTAGAAAACCCCATTGTCTCAGCCCAAAATCTCCTTAAGGTGATAAACAACTTCAGCAAAGTCTCAGGATACAAAATCAATGTACAAAAATCACAAGCATTCTTATACACCAACAACAGACAAACAGAGAGCCAAATCATGAGTGAATTCCCATTCACAATTGCTTCAAAGAGAATAAAATACCTAGGAATCCAACTTACAAGGGATGTGAAGGACCTCTTCAAGGAGAACTACAAACCACTGCTCAAGGAAATAAAAGAGGATACAAACAAACGGAAGAACATTCCATGCTCATGGGTAGGAAGAATCAATATCGTGAAAATGGCCATACTGCCCAAGGTAATTTACAGATTCAATGCCATCCCCATCAAGCTACCAATGACTTTCTTCACAGAATTGGAAAAAACTACTTTAAAGTTCATATGGAACCAAAAAAGAGCCCGCATCGCCAAGTCAATCCTAAGCCAAAAGAACAAAGCTGGAGGCATCACACTACCTGACTTCAAACTATACTACAAGGCTACAGTAACCAAAACAGCATGGTACTGGTACCAAAACAGAGATATAGATCAATGGAACAGAACAGAGCCCTCAGAAATAACGCCGCATATCTACAACTATCTGATCTTTGACAAACCTGAGAAAAACAAGCAATGGGGATAGGATTCCCTATTTAATAAATGGTGCTGGGAGAACTGGCTAACCATATGTAGAAAGCTGAAACTGGATCCCTTCCTTACACCTTATACAAAAATCAATTCAAGATGGATTAAAGACTTAAACGTTAGACCTAAAACCATAAAAACCCTAGAAGAAAACTTAGGCATTACCATTCAGGACATAGGCATGGGCAAGGACTTCATGTCTAAAACACCAAAAGCAATGGCAACCAAAGCCAAAATTGACAAATGGGATCTAATTAAACTAAAGAGCTTCTGCACAGCAAAAGAAACTGCCATCAAAGTGAACAGGCAACCTACAAAATGGGAGAAAATTTTTGCAACCTACTCATCTGACAAAGGGCTAATATCCAGAATCTACAATGAACTCAAACAAATTTACAAGAAAAAAACAAACAACCCCATCAAAAAGTGGGCAAAGGACATGAACAGACACTTCTCAAAAGAAGACATTTATGCAGCCAAAAAACACCTGAAAAAATGCTCACCATCACTGGCCATCAGAGAAATGCAAATCAAAACCACAATGAGATGCCATCTCACACCAGTTAGAATGGCGATCATTAAAAAGTCAGGAAACAACAGGTGCTGGAGAGGATGTGGAGAAATAGGAACACTTTTACACTGTTGGTGGGACTGTAAACTAGTTCAACCATTGTGGAAGTCAGTGTGGCGATTCCTCAGGGATCTAGAACTAGAAATACCATTTGACCCAGCCATCCCATTACTGGATATATACCCAAAGGACTATAAATCATGCTGCTATAAAGACACATGCACATGTATGTTTATTGCGGCATTATTCACAATAGCAAAGACTTGGAACCAACCCAAATGTCCAACAATGATAGACTGGATTAAGAAAATGTGGCACATATACACCATGGAATACTATGCAGCCATAAAAAATGATGAGTTCATGTCCTTTGTAGGGACATGGATGAAATTGGAAATCATCATTCTCAGTAAACTATTGCAAGAACAAAAAACCAAACACCGCATATTCTCACTCATAGGTGGGAATTGAACAGTGAGAACACATGGACACAGGAAGGGGAACATCACACTCTGGGGACTGTCGTGGGATGGGAGGAGGGGGGAGGGATAGCATTGGGAGATATCCCTAATGCTAGATGACGAGTTAGTGGGTGCAGCGCACCAGCATGGCACATGTATACATATGTAACTAACCTGCACATTGTGCACATGTACCCTAAAACTTAAAGTATAATAAAAAAAAAAAAAAAAAGGAAACCAAAGCAGGAGAGCCCCTTATAAAGCCATCAGATCTCGTGAGAACTCACTCACTATGAGGAGTACAGCATGGGGAAAACCGCCGCCGTAATCCATCACCTCCCACCCTTGACACATGGGGATTACAGGTCCCTTCCTCCACAAGTGAGGATTACAATTCAAGAAGAGATTTGGGTGGGGACCCAGAGCCAAACCATATCATCTATTGAAAAACTACTTTTATTCAGTTCCCCCTCTTCATCCTCCTCCTTCCTTTCCCCAGTTCACTGAGAATAATCTGTTTTTCTCTAATGTTCTTCCTCCTGCTTTTCTACCGCCCCCTGCTTTCTATCATCCCCTCATATTTCCTCTTCTAGCACTAGCCATTCTTACTTACACAGAGCTTATGGTGTGCCAAACACTGTTCTAAACACTTTACATGTGTTATGTAATTTAATTCTTGCAACAACATTACAAGATGTGTATTTTTATTACTCATTATAGAGATGAGGGAATTAAGGCATAGAGACATTAAGTAACTTGTCTAAATGCACACAACTAGTTAGTGTGTGGCTGGGATTCAAACCCAAGCCATCTGGCTCCAGAGTCTCCACCTTCACCACCAGCATGTGGGCCACAATTATTCTTCTGTCACTAAAGTGACTTGCTACACCTTCCTTTTTTGGGGGTGACCACACTTCCAGGTTTGCCAGGGACAGCCAAAGTCTGCTGTCCACAGTCTTTTTTTTTTTTTTTTTTTTTGGTGTGAAGTCTTGCTCTGAAGCCCAGGCTGTAGTGCAGTGGTGTGATCTTGGCTCACTGGAGCCTCCATTTCCCAGGTTCAAGCAATTCTCCTGCCTCAGCCTCCTGAGTAGCTGGCACTACAGGCATGCACCACCATGCCTGGCTAATTTTTGTATTTTTAGTAGAGACAGGGTTTCGCCATGGTGGCCAGGCTGGTCTCAAACTCCTGACCTCAGGTGATCTGCCTGCTTTGGCCTCCCAAAGTGCTGGGATTACAGGCTTGAGCCACTGCACCCAGCCCACAGTCATTTTTTACATCACCTTTTTCACCCTCAAAATTGTTCCTGTTTAGGTAATAAAGTACATCACACTTTTAAAACTACCTACTTTTTATATCTACCATTTGTTGAATGTCTGCTACATACCAAAAAATCTGTACTTATTATTTTATTTGACCTCATAGGAATTCCATGGTGCAGTGATTATTGTTCCCATTTTATAGCTGAGGAAATTGAGGCTCAGAGAATTAGGAAGCCTCCCAAAATTGCATAACAGTAATTACTGGTCCAGGATTGAAATTCAGGTCTATCTGATGCAAAAGCTCATGGTCTTAACCACTAACCCCATATTTACCCCTTATGAAAGGTAAGAAGCCATGAAAAATCATCTGAAATGTCACTAGCCAGGTAAAGAAAGGTCTACTATTACTGCCTGCATAGAGTTCAACTAGGGCAGTTATTCTGAAAGGGTGGTTCACAGACCCTGCAACCTCTGAGATCCTTCCATGGGTCATTGAGATTCAAAATATTTTCCTATTACTGCTAAGATGTTATTGGCCTCTTTCACTGTGTTTACATTTGAACTCCTAGTGCAAAAGTAATGGTGAGCCCATGGCAAGATACCACTTCACACCCACTAGGATGGTTACAACTTTTAAAAATAGAAAATAATATTGGAAAGAATATGGTGAATTTGGAACTCTCACACATTGATGGTGTGAACGTAAAATGGTTCGGCTGCTATAGAAAATAATTTGATAATTCTTCAAAAAGTTAACACAAAATTACCATGTGGCCCAGCAATTCCACCAAACAACAATACACACATAACTTGGACAGCTTTGAAGAAGTTGATCAAATTTTTTGAAATACAGCCACTATAACCTTCATGAAATATGAAATAGATCATTTGACTAGCCCTGTAACTATTTTAAAAAGTTGAATTCATAATTTTAAAACTCCCCCAAAAGAAATTCCAGGCCCAAATGGTTTTACTGAAAATTCTACTAAACATTTAAAGAATTAACACCAATTCTACACAATCCCTTCCCTCTCCCCCAACAAAATAGAAGAGGAGCCAACATTTTCCAGTTCATTTTAAGAAGCTAGTAGTATCCAGATATCAAAACCAGATAAAGACAGTACTGAAAAAGAAAACCTGACCGGGTGCCGTGGCTCACACCTGTAATCCCAGCACTTTGGGTGACAGAGGCAAGTGGATCCCTTGAGGCCAGGAGTGCGAGACCAGGCTGGCCAATATGGTGAAACCCTGTCTCTACTAAAAATACAAAAATTAGCTGGGTGTGGTGGTGGGCGCCTGTTATCCCAGCTACTTGGGAGGCTGAGGCACAAGAATTGCTTGAACCTGGGAGGCAGAGGTTGCAGTAAGCCAAGATAATGCCACTGCACTCCAGCCTGGGTGACAAGAGTGAGACTCGGTCTCAAAAAGAAAAACAAAAAAGAAAACCCAACAGACCAATATCCCTTATGAATTGAGGCAAAAATATTTAACAAAATATAAGCAAATACAATTCAGCAATACATAAAAAGAATCATACACCATGACCAAGTGTGGCTTCTTCCAGGAAGTAAGATTGGTTCAATATTCAGAATCAATCAATGTAATCCACAGTATTAACCAGTTAAAGAATAAAAATCTCATGATTACATAGATTGGTACAGAAAAAGCATTGAAAACAATTCTACACTCATTTATGATAAAAACTTCCAGAAAAATAGAAATAGAGAAAAACTTCCTCAACTTGAAAAAGAGAATCTATACAAATCCTACAGATAACATTATACCTAATAATGAAAGACTGAATGCTTTTCCAAGACTGAAAACTAGGCCAGAACATCCACTTTCATCACTCTATTCAGTGTAGTTCTGGACGTTCTAGTCAGTGCAACAGGCAAGAAAGGAAATAAAAGGCATACAGATTAGAAAAAATAAAATAAAACTGTCCCTATTTGTGAATAGCATGATCGTCTAAGTAAAAAAAAATCTCAAAGAATCTACAAAAAAAAAAAAAAAACTCTCCTAGAATTAAGCTAGCTCAGGACACAAGTTCAATATATAAAAATCAGTTACATTACTATATAGTAGCAATAAACACATGGGCACCAAAATTTAAAATATGATAGCATTTATAATAATAGTTTCAATGCTGGGCGTGGTGGCTTGTACCTGTAATCCCAGCACTTTGGAAGGCAGAAGCAGTGGATCACCTGAGGTCAGAAGTTTGAGACCAGCCTGGCCAACATGGTGAAACCCCCGTCTCTACAAAAATACAAAAATATTAGCCAGGTGTGGCGGCAGGCGCCTGTAATCCTAGCTACTCGGAAGGCTGAGGCAGCTACTCGGGAGGCTGAGGCCAATCCTAGCTACCTGGGAGGCAGAGGTCGCAGTGAGCCGAGATCGCACCACTGCACTCCAGCCTGGGTGACAGAGCGAGACTCTATCTCTAAATAAATTAATTAATTAAAATAGTTACTCCTAAAATGAGATACACACAGATGTAAATCTAACAGAGCATGCACGGGACTTGTATGCTGAAACCTAGACAATGCTGAAGAAAGAAATCAAAAAGGAACATAAGAAAGGGAGAGAGAAACTATGCTCATGGATTGGAAGACTCAACTTAGTAAAAAGGTGTCAATTCTCCCAAAATTGATATTCAGATTTAATTCAATTCTTGTCAAAATCTCAGCAAGAGCTTTTTTCAGATATAGACAAGATTATTCTAAAATTTATGTAGAAAGAAAAAGAAACTAGTATAACTAAAACAGTTTTGAAGAAAAAATAATAAAGTGGGAGGAATCAGTCTACCCAATTTTAAAACTTACAACACAGCTATAGTATATGTGTAGTAATCAAGACTGTATGGCATTGGCAGAGAAAGATTATATAATCAAGACTATATAGTAATCAAAAGTCTATGGTGTTGGTAGAAGAGTAGATGCATAGATTAATGAAATAGAATAGACAATCTAGAAATAGACCCACACAAATATGTTAAACAAAAATGCAAAAACAAACCAATAGAGGAAAGATAGCTTTTCAACAAATAGTGCTGTAGCAATTGGACATCCATAAGCATCCCCCCCCCCAAAAAAATGAGTCTTAACCTAAACCTCACACCTTATACAAAAATTAACTCAAACTATATTACTGGCTTAAATGTAAAACATAAAATTATAAAACTTTTTTTAAGATATAGGAGAAAATCCTCAGGATGTAGGGCTAGGCAGAGGGTTCTTAGGCTTTACACCAAAAATTCAATCCATTAAAAGGAAAAATTGATAAATTGGATTTCATCAAAATTTAAAACTTTCGCTCTGCTAAACACCTTGTTAAGAGAATAAAAAGATAAGCTACAGAGTGGGAAAATGTATTTCTAAATGACATATCTGACAAAGGAATAGTATATAGCATATGTAAAGAACTCTCAAAATACAATAATGTAAGAACAAAAAAGCTTGGAGCCAGGAATGATGGCTCACACCTCTAATTCCAGCTACGCAAGAGGCTGAGGCTGAGAATCACTTGAACCCAGGAGGCGGAAGTTGCAGTGAGCCAAGATTGCACCACTGCACTCTAACCTGGGCGACAGAGTGAGACTGCCTAAAAAAAAAAAAAAAAAAAAAAAAAAAAAAAAAAAAAAAATCTGATTAGATGATTAGAGCATGAGCAAAAGACATGAAGAGATATTTCACTCAAGAGAATATGCAGATGGGAAATAAACACATGAAAATAAGTTCAATATTATTAGCTATTAGGAACTGCAAATGAAAACCATGATGCAATATCACCACATATTTATCAGAATGGCTAAAATAAAAAAATACTGACGATAAGTGAAAAAGATGCATCTAAAAAGGCTACATACCATATCATCCCAACTCTATGATATTTTAGAAAAGGCAAAACTATGATGACAGTAAGACTCAGTGGTTACCAGTGGTTGGTGGGGAGGAAGGATGAATGGGCAGAGTATAGAGGATTTTTAGGGAAGTGAAGCTATTTTGTATGATACTACCATGGTGGATACACGTTATTATACACTTATAGAACCTATAGATTGTACAACTCCAAGAATAAGCCTAATGTAAATGGTGGACTTTCAGTGATACTGATGTGTCAATGAAGGTTCATCAATTGTAACAAATGTACCATTCGGGTGCAGGATGTTGATAGCGGGGGAGGCTGTGTATCTGTGGAAACAGAGGTATGTGTACTTTTGTTCAGTTTCATTGTGAATCTAAAACTGCTCTAAAAAATAAACTGTATTTTTAAAAAATCATGACAATACCAAGAACTGGAGAAAATGCAGAGAAACTGGATCATGCATCCATTGCTGGTGGGAAGGCAAAATGGTATAGTGCTCTGCAAATCATTTTGGTAGTTTCTTTAAAAACTAAACATGCAATATCCCAGAGAAATGAAGACTCAAAAGCTTGTACACAAACATTTATAACAGCTTTATTTGTAATAGTCAAAAAACTGGTAACAACCCAGATGTCCTTCAACAATGAATATTCAACAAACTTTAGTCCATCCATATCATGGACAACACCAATAAAAAGCAACAAACTTCTCATGGGCATGATAACCTGGATGAATCTGCAAAGAATTAAGTTGAGAGGGCAGGGGGAAGCAAATTCCAAAATGTGCCACACTGAATGGTTCTATTAATAGAACGTTTTAAAAAAAAACAAAATGATATAGAGAACATATTAATGGTTGCCAGAGAATAAACGGGAGGTGGGAGAAAAGGGAAATGGATGTGGCTCTATAAAGGCAACTTTAGGGATTCCTGTGGTAGTGGAAATGTTCTGTGTCTTGACTGTATCAATGTCAATATCCTGATTATGCTATTGTAGTATATATAGTTCTGCAAGATGTTACCATTAGGGGAAACCGAGTGAAGGGTAGACAGATCTCTCTGAATTATTTCATATTACTGTATGTGACTGCAATTATCTCAAAATAAAATTTGAATTTAAAAAATTGAGTAAAGTGATCCTGATGCTACAAGAAAGACGGGATTTGTTGCCAACGATAAAATTTAATCTTTCAAACAAAAGTTAAAATTTTGGAAAATTTGTTTCTGCCACCATGAGCATAACAATTTCCCAAGACTTAAAGACTTTAAAAATATATATATATTTTTTAATTTGGGGGGGGGTTAGTCATTTATTTACTTATTTATTTCAACACAAAGTCTTGCTCTGTCCGCCAGGCTGGAGTGCAGTGGTGCAATCACAGCTCACTGCAGCCTTGACCTCCTGGGCCCAAGCAATCCTCACACCTCAGCCTCCCAAGTAGCTGGGACCACAAGCATGTGCCAACATACCCAGATAATTTTTTTTATATGTAGAGACAGAGTCTCCCTATGTTGTCCAGGCTGGTCTCGAACTCCTGGACTCAAGTGATCCACCTGCCTCGGCCTCCCAAAAATGCTGGGGTTACAGGCATGAAAGACTTTAAAATGAGATCAGTAGTGCAATTAACTAATGTTGTTTTCATACTGCATAATGAAATGTGTCAAATGTTGTAAAAGCTGCAGAACTCAGTGAACCAATATTTTCTAAATGATCAATGCACAGTATTGCAATATGAGACATAGCTGAAAGACTCAAAATACAGGATAGACTAATGGATTTTACAGGACGGAATACAAAAGTTCATTGATATGGTTTCGGATTTTGATTGCAACTAACCTTTAAGAAGTTACCATTGTCAACTTTTAACAAAATTATTTCAAAAGAATATTCATATTTACCTGAGAAAGCTATTCAAATATGCCTCCTTTTTCCAAGTACATATTTGTGTGAGGTTAGATTTTCTTCACATCCTTCAAACAAATTAATATATCACAACAGAATAAATGCAGAAGCATCTGTGAAAACTCAGCTGTCTTCTATTGAGCTAGGCATTAGAGATTTTCCCAAAAAATGTAAACCAATGCCCCTCTCTTTGCTAAATATTCTCCTGTTTTGAAAAATATAGCGACTTTTCATATTTATGTTAGCATATAAGGGGCTTATTTTTTGTGATTAATAAATACATTAAGTTTTTCCTGGTTTGAATTTCTAATAAACACTTATTTAAATCAATGAACTGCTCATAAGCAAAATAGATCCTCCGTAATCTATTTGAGATCCTCAGTAACCTATTTGAGATCCTCAGTAATTTTTAAAGTGTAAAGATTCCTGAGATCCAAAACTTGGAGACTTGCCACTCAAAGAGTGAAAGGTTTTCTTGCTGATTACAGTCGTATGCTCAAACAAATTCTAAACCAAGCTCATGTACCAAAGGGATTATATAAGAAAACAAGAGTAGCCAGTTTTGGAGAAGAATGTATATTGACAGAGAGTGGGGAGCTGTCTCATTACCCTTCCCAATGCTGGGAAAGGATGGCACTGAAACTGCTGTGATTCTGCATGGATGATCATTCCCATTGGGTGTTTCTAGTGGGTTTCTAAGGAATCACTTGTGAGGACACCACACTTGGCCCCCATATGGAAGGATCAGTAATTTGAAAAGCCATCTCTAACTGTTGCTCTCCCTTTTTTCTAGACAATATTATACTTCCAGAAGAGCCTGAATTGCTTTTCTCTCATTTAAAAGAAGGAAACACAAACAGCATTTCACCAATTTGACTTTGACCAAAATAGTGATTTATAATATTTCCAGCTATTTACAGAAAAATATCCACTTTTAGAAGAATGAGGTGGCTGTAATATCACTTAGGCGAAATCCATGATGAAGAATCCTTTTTAATTTCATTAGCTGGCCATATTGTCGAGTTAATCTTCAAAAAGCATGCTGCTAAAAGGGGAAAGAACAATTGATGATTTAATTTCTAAATTTAAAAACTGCTATTTAAATGAATCATAATAAAATGATCTGGTCTTTAAATGAAGTCCCCATCAGCAGTCTCCTGGCCTCCCTCCTAGCTGGCAATGGCTCCTGCTCCTGGTCTCCATTTCGAGCCCTGGCTTTTCGGGCCCACATTATTCAGATGCTAAAACATTAGGGTGAACACATACATTCGCCTCAGAAAAAAAGGTCATTCTGATTTAAGATCTAAACGACATCTGGGAGATCTGTTACCAGTGAATTAGCTGTAGAAATGCCTAGCCTAAGATAATGTAAGTCAACTGCCTTGTCCTTAGGAATGTGTTTAAATGACCCAGAAACAAAACAGCTCTGTTGTAATATTATGGAGTGTGTGTGTGTGTGTGTGTGCATGTGTGTTTCCACTTACTATCCTTACCATGTCTCTAATACTGTCATGGTTTCCCTGCTTTATTGACTTAGCTTCCTAGCTTCCTTCTTTCTCTTCTCTTTGGTTTTGTCATTTTTCTTTAACTCCTTCCAGTTTTTACTTGCTAAGCAAGTTTATACTTGCTTATAACAGCTGTTACACTACCCATTCATTGTCAGGGAAATATCCTGGCAATCCCATCCACCCAGTTAACTTGTCCCCTCCTGCCCTTCTACTCTTCCACCTTCCATGCACCAACTCCTGGCTCATCCCAATGGCCCAGGAGACCGAACTTGCAGGCACAGCTGCCATCAGGTTGACCTACCAGGCCAAGTATTCACTGATCTTCCCCTTTTATTTTGAGTCATAAAATAAGCTGAAAGTTGTCTTAAAACAAAACAACCTGTTTATATTTTAAATACTTTTCTAATAATTTTGTGAAGTAATTGATCTATTGCCTTATTATTAGCATTAAACATCTTCCTGATGTTGAGGAAATAGGACAACAGCCTACGATAATACAACGATTTGCTTTCAGTTCATTATCATTGTTCATGTTTTGACTGACTTGATACCAGGCTGTCCCCTTTAAAAACTCGTAGCTTTAAATATAGTATGTCTTGAATAATCGTTTTTCTTAAGAAAATGTACTCTTGCTTTAGCCAATTGCAGTATTTTTATTTTTGGAGATATTCTAATTGGGCATTTTTTCTGACTGGCTTCAGTAGCAATTTTCAGAGACTCCAATTGGAATGAAATAGAAATGGAAGAATTTTAGGGCTTCACTTTTAAGTAATGCTCAGATTTTATGCCACTTTCTCTGTGCTTCTTTGAGAGGAATATGAATCTGCATGTAAAACTCTGTACTCTACTGCTGGAGTATGTAGTGGATGCTAGGGAACTGCTGCTTTGTCCTGCCCTTTGAATGAAGGCTGTTATGCAAGAAATGCCCTCCCCCAAAGGCCGTTGCCTTGCCCAATTTTATGCCCCCTCTTTGAGGGCAGCCCCCTTCCAGTGATGGGAGTACAAAGGCCTGGCCCCCTCCCTCGATTCAGGACGTGCCTAAGAGGGAGTCATCCCCACTCCAGAGCTCCCTGAAGGATGGGCTGAGGCCTCAGCTGCAACCACATCACATTCCAACCTCACCCTCTGCCCAGGCCAGCTCCCTCAGCCTATTATACGTGTTCCAGGAGCCCTCCCCAATAAACCTCCTGCGTACAAATATCCATCTCAGAGTCAGCTTCCCAAGGGACCCACTGGAAACAGGATCGTTTCAGGAGTCTATTAGCATTCTAGAGATTTTTTGAGGCAAGACTTTAAATCCTTTACTTGAAAACTTGCCTTAGAATTAGTTATTCCACATGAAGCCAGAATGAACTGGAACCTTCTTTAATGAAAAAGCTTCCCCAAACATGCCTGCATCCCCTTCCTATGGCCTCAGCTCACCACCACTACAAGACCTTTAGAACAAAAACACTTGCAGGCCACCTCTTCCCTTTACCAGGAAGGTTTGAACTTTCAGGCAAAATCAGTTGTGCCTTTCAGGTCACAGACCACCCCACACTCCAGGAAAAAAACCCACACACACAACTGTACACAATGTTGTATACAATTCCAGGAGGATAATGAACCTCCATAAATCCCAGTTTAAGAATCGTTGATTTACAGTGAAAGTAATAGGAACTTTTATAATCTGAAATCAGTTGTCCCAGCATAGGAAACAGAGAGAAGAAGGCAAGAACCAAAGTATATAAAAAATGTCCTAGTTCCTCTCCATAAGATTTCACCAATAGGTTATGAATAATCAAACATCAGCCTCAACTTACATTTTGCGGAGTCAAATTTGGTCGATTTGAGCTCATCCTTTCACGATATTTCTTCCTGGTGCAATAGACACTGACAAGGGTGATGATCAGCATCAAGGCAAACACAGCAACAGTAGATGAAACAGCAATGACTATGGTGTCTCGGGTGGAGCCTCTCTTTTCACACCTTTCTCCCATGTACCACCAGTCTTCCCCTGACTGGCACCTGCATGTTGAGAGCATGACTCAGAGTTATTAGTTGATATCTAACTCCAGAAATCTTCACAGTTAAAGATGTGGATCACCTTTAGTCTATTTGATCACCAATAGGTCATTGCTATATGAAACTATTTTACCCACTCTGGACTGGAGAGAGACTAGCACCTAGAGCACAGGTATAAACAATGGAAAGAAAAAATGGAATTCCTCCTAATCTGATACTAAAACAGTATCTCCAAGTTAGGAAAGGCCGATAGCACAGATAACAGAGAAAGTTTAGTTCTCAGTGTCCCATGCCCGCCACCCTCCAGATTCACATCTTGGCCAAGGGCTCCTCAGAACGTCAGTATCTTCATCTAGAAAATGGAGGCAGCTACACTTAAAATGACTGGACTGTTATGAGGACTTTTTCAGACAATTAGAATATAGAGTTCTATTTTTTTCATAAAAAAATTGTGTTGGCTATCACAAAGATAGTTCTTGAGGTTATCCAAAGCCCCAAAAGGAGAATAAAAAAAAAATTCTATGAATGGCTGTGAGATGAGAATCAACTGATTTCATTCATAAGAACTATTAAGTAATTAATCCTACATTATGGAAATAAAATTTCTAACCAAAGAATGGAGAGATCTCTTTCAAATCATCCTTACCTGCACTCAGCTTTGCCATCTCGAACAGTGCAGACACCGTCATTTTTACAGGTGGTTTTTGAGCAGAGGTCTTGAACACTAGGGGCTGGTGTTAGCTGGATTTGTGTAGAGTTGAGGTGAGATATGTCTAGGAAGATGGGGAAGAGTGTGGATGGAAATCAGCTTTTGTTTAACAATCATTTGATCTTTAATTTTCATTTTCTTTTAATGTTTCTTTTTTCCTTTTTTCTTTCTTTCTTTTTTTTTTTTAGAGGTGAGATCTTGCAATGTTGCCCAGGCTGGTCTTTGCTCCCAGGCTCAGACAGCCTTTCCACTCCGGCCTCAGAGTCCTGGGATTATAGGCGTGAGCCATGATGCCAAGCCCAATCTTAAGTTTCAGAATAGACAATGATCAGATTTTAGGCTTGTGAGAAATTCAGGTATCCTTGAAGCACAGTCTAGCAACATTCATAGGCAGCGAGATAAGAACTAGGCAAAGGGAAACTAGGCCAGCCTACTGGGGCTCCAACTCAACCACATGCTGGCCTGGATTCTGGGAGCCCAGAAGGGTACAAGCCACTGATACCAACTTTCAAGAGACAGATAAGGAAACCAAAACTCAGAAATGTAAAGTAATTGAGGGCATTGCCCAAGGTCACAGGTCTCTGGCTTGGTAGAGCAAATTGGTGGAGATTTGGAGCAAGACACCAAGTGCCCTGACAACCAGTGTTACATTCTTTGCAGTATTTGTTATTGCTTCTGGTTGAAATCGCTATGGTCAAAGAGAACTGATGCATACTGATTTTTGTTCTCTGCTACATAAAATATTTTCTCTCTTAACAGAAGTTATTTCTGAATAATCTCTCCAAGAGGTATCATCTAGATTTACTCTAATGGACACTGGAGTCAAAATTTTGTGGGTTTTAATTGCACCACCTTTCATCACAAACAAGAATCTGATTTACTGAGATCCAAGTGGGTCTTTAATAGAAAATGAGTTAAAATCCTACCACATAAAAAATAGAAACCACCAGAATTGCTGCAAAATGTATTTATTGGCTGCCAGGTGTAAGAAATTTAACATTAGTCTAACAAGAGATTAATGTCATTTCTGTCAAGATATATATATATATATATATATATATATATATATATATATATATATATATGCATATATGTATGCATGTATGTACATTTGAAACAGGTAAGATGCAGACGTTTCCAGTCATTTAATTTCATGTGCTTGTGTGATATTTTTATTTCAGGAATCCTAGGGTATAATAGTTCTATTTTAACTTATTTCTTTTCTTTTTTTGAGACGGAGTCTCGCTCTTTGGCCCAGGCTGGAGTGCAGTGGCACGAACTTGGCTCACTGCAAGCTCCGCCTCCCGGGTTCACACCATTCTCCTGCCTCAGCCTCCCGAGTAGCTGGGACTACAGGCGCCCGCCACCACGCCCAGCTAATTTTTTATGTTTTTAGTAGAGACAGGGTTTCACCGTGTTAGCCAGGATGGTCTCGATCTCCTGACCTCGTGATCCACTCGCCTCGGTCTCCCAAAGCGCTGGGATTACAGGCATGAGCCACTGCGCCCGGCCTATTTTAACTTATTTCTAAAGAAATTTCCCAACCTAAAGGTTTCCGCTATAGCTTCATGTGGTGGTCATTAAATTCTTTATTCTGGAATCCTCACTGTTTCAAATTAAATTATTTTCATATTGTTAATAATTCATATTCCTCCCAAACCCCATTCATGCCCATTCCCCCCACATCTCTATATAATACATCTAAAAGTGGAATGCAGAAAGAAAAACAGAAAATAATCAGTGGCCACAACAAAAAAAAACTAGTTTATATAAAACTATTTTTATTGACATACCTTCCACTGTCAGTAGGATATAAACATCATCTCCTTTTATAAAATCTCTGCTTTTCAGCCTTTCGTGGGTTATAAAGGCACTGGTTCCATAGCCCCCACCTCTTCTAAACTGAGTTCCATTAGAGAACAAAGCCACTGTTCCCACTTTAGAAGGCCTGTCCCAGAAATAGTTTCCATTATCTGAAAAAGCAATTTATATTAATGGAGTGTGTTTATCATCATCGTAGCTTTTGGTGGTAGGAAAGAACAGGCAATGTGAAACACAATTAGGCTGGAACTCAAAATAATTAAATGATGCTATTGACCTGTGATGTATTCCCTGGCAAATCACTGGGGCTTGTTCATTTATACTGTCCTAGAGGAAATGAAATTGCCTGGCAGGGAGGACCACACTCTAGAATAAGAGTGGAGAGGTACCAGAAGTTTCCTAGGTACCAGATATTCCTGGGAATATCATATCTTTACTTATTGGCCAGTATAGAAACCCTCCTATCTATTAGAATAATTTAGAATAGGCTTCAAGGCTACTAAGAGAGTCCTTTTACAAAGTTACAGATTGTCCAGTTAAAGCAATATGTTGCTGAGAGAGTTTTTAATATCAGCATAGGATGATTTATCTTATTAACTGAATTATTCACCTAACAGAGCAAAGTGCTTCAGAAGTAGAAGACAACAAGAAGCACTGCTTCTGGGAAAAGATAATGACCTACCCAGCCCTGAGCTGTTTTTAATGTCATTTAGTAAGAAACACTTTAGGAAAAAGTGAAGAAATTCTGAATGTCAAGTCCCTACAATTCCATTGGTGAATATTATTGTTTTCCTATGAGATTAAGTTGGATTTTTTTCTATGTCGATTTGGTCCATGTTTTTCATATATAGAATTCACATTTGGCAAAATTATTCAGCTTGCCATAATTCCATTTTTTCCTTTACTAGGGTCTCAGAAGCAAAGAATTATTAAAATTAGTAGTGTGATCTTTGCTTTCAGTGGGTTGCTTCTTTTTGAGATGGGAAAGATGGGGAATGATGTCATGATTAGCAAGTCCTCTGTAACTTTTTACTAAGAAATTATAATGCATTTTCATACCCTTCCCACCAACACTTGAATGCACCTGCTCAATACCTTCCTTCTGGTCAAAAACTACCCCCATTTCAAACGCTGAATTATTTTTGACAATCCCAGTGACGTGAACAAGGTAGCATGAGTTAGAAGAACCCAACATCTGAGGGCCTCTCCACCGCAGGCCTTTCCACAGCTTCCACACTTGACCTGTACTAATTCTCATAGCAAATCTGTGGAATGATTACTACAGCCCTGGCTTTACAGCTGAGGACACTGGGGCCCTAAGAGATTATTTGCTCAAGATTACATAACTAATGAGAAGCAAACTTTGGACTTGAACTCAGGCATGTCAGACTCTAAAACCAACACTTCTTGCACAGAAGTGGAAATTTGAGAAGGGCCATCAGTTCTTAGGAATACAGTCAGCATTTGTTGGAGTCCTTGCTGACATTTGTGATGAGCTCCTGTCTGACAGACTCAGTCCACAATTCTTGAAACCTTTCCCCTAAATATCTGTTCTTAAGATTTGGGGCTCAAAATTCCCTAGGTAACTAACTGTGCAATCCCTCATTCCCAAAATTATCAGTCCCTCCTAGAGCAATGATTGTTTATTAGCAATAAAGAAAATGAGTTACGAACCGGTGGTCATAAATGGGTCTGTAGTTATACTCCGCTGATTGGACATACGCTGTCGAATGTCAGGATTTTGATCCAAAAGTGTCATTGTGGCTTGTTGCCAAGGACATGGCCACTGTAATTGATCATCATTGGCTCCAGAGATCAAGTGGAAATATATCCCTGCATTAGTCACATGGGCTAGATTTAAGTAAATCTGAAAGGCATAACCTTTAGAAGAGTAAAATGGAGGGCTATACAGAGTTCCATTTGGGCTGCCAATGAACTGTGTGAAATTCCTTATATGCCAGATATGATGAGGGCACCGTGTTTCCGAAAGATTGATGTCATCAATAGACAGACCACCCAGTGATGCACCAGAGCCTTTGCGTCCTTCAAACACCACTCTAAACTTCTTGGTCACTTTCAATGTTACATGATAAAGTTGCCAGCTCCCAGTGGGTATTTCTGCAAAAGAGTCATTATTATTTCAAAGACAAAGAAGTTCAAATCATGTACATGTCAACATTAGATTTCTAGCCTTCTTAGACAAAGGGTCATCCAAAACCGATTTATTTCTACAGGTCAGAAGTATGGTTTTGCCAAAGCTCCAGCCTAGAATTATTTACTTCAAGGTGCTTCTGTGGGGTCACACTGTTCTCTGGAATAGCTGAACGTTTGTCTAGCTGTTTCTCAAATAGATCACCCTTTCCTAGAGATCGGTGAGTAAATAACAACATCTAGCTCATGAGTACTTCATGCCCTACCTATGAGTTACCTGCCATTCTCCATTAAAGGGCCAGCAAACCCAACACTTGTAACACTTCTACTCAAGATTCCTGTGATACTCAGGCAAAGCCTTCTTTAATATATTTATAGTTTGATTGGAATACTTCCCTCACATACAAAGTCTTCAATCAACTTTTTGGTAATATTAAACAAAATCCACCAAACCCTAGAAAGCCTACATCCTGCAATCTACTCTTTAGATCACTTCCCAGTAACTCAGCATTGTAAGTATTTATCTGATATTTGGTACCACCTCCTTTCTTTCCAACCTGTACTTCCTCCCCAACTATTAGCCCATACCCCTCGCTAGCAGCACATAATATGCCATTCTGTCTGATTTTCTTATATCACATACTCAAATAAGAAGCAGTATACTAAATAATCTGCAGAGGCCCCCAGATGAACAACAGCTGAGGAATTCATGTCAAACTAGTGGTTAACACAAAGTCTTAAAACAAAAATATGTTGGCACTTAATGTGAAACACAGTTACTTGAAAATAAGCTAGACATACCCAAATGACAGAAAATAAGCAAGCTTCTTAAGTGCCTTTTTGTGTTATTGTGTATCAATGACGAACCCACAGATTGCTAATAGGAAGGACCCCCCTTCCAGTCCTGGACAATTATATATATTACAGATACATTATATCAATATTTGTATTAATTTAGATATTAATACATAAAATATAATATTTATAGTAACATATATGGCTTATATATAAGGCTTTTATATATGTAATATATAATATATTATATATAATTATTCTTTATATATTTTACATTGTTACATAAATAATATATATGTATAATGTGTGTATATGCTTAGTGAGATTAAGAACCTTACTGCTTACAGGTGTTCACAAAGAAAAATATCGCCTGTATTTCAGATTGTTTCTCATTGTTGAAAACAGGAGGAAAATGGCATACTATATTGCATAATATGGATCCAATTGTGGAACAAATTGAATTACTCAATTCATTCAAGTCATGAGATGATTAGGTGGAATAGACAGTAATATATTTGCCAGCCCACAGCCCCTCCCTTTCTCAGTCACCCCCTTAACCATCTACTTGCATAGGTGGTCAACATGGCTCTCCTCTCTGACACATTATTGGTATGAAGGGTGGGTACCCATTTCCCACTCAGGAATTGCTCCAGAAGCTGTGTTTAACTTAAGACATAAGTATCCCAGTTCTTCACTGGGATTTATTTTTTAAGCTTTATATTAGAGGAAGAGTCCTTTTTCCAGACTGATAGCAAATTTGGTCAAATGTAAGCTGGGAAGTGAAACAACCGAAGTACCAGTCTTATAAAGACAGCCATTCTGAGATAAAACAAGAGGTCCCCAGCAATGTTCAGAGACAGATCTATTAATAATTCCCCCTCAAGCCAGTGTCTCCCTCATCTGTCCCACAGGCTGTAACTAACATTTAGCCAGGAGCCCATCCTATTTTGCCTAAGCTAGTTCACATTGTATTTTTATGTATTTTATTTTTATTTTATTTTATTTTATTTATTTTTTCAGAGATGGAGTCTTGCTCTGTCGCGCAGGCTGGAGTGCAGTGGCATGATCTCGGCTCAACTGCCACCCCCGCCTCCCGGGTTCAAGCAATTCTCCTGCCTCAGCTTCCCAAGTAGCTGGGACTATAGGCGTGTGCCACCACTCCCAGCTAATTTATGTATTTTTTCAGTAGAGACAAGGTTTCACTATATGTTGACCAGTCTGGTCTCAAACTCGTGACCTCAGGTGATCCGACCGCCTCGGCCTCCCAAAGTGCTGGGATTACAGGTGTGAGCCACTGCGCCCAGCCTTGTATTTTTATTATTTGCCAAGAACTGACCTCCATAGTGCCAGAGACTGATCTACAGTTTCTTAAGTGAGTGTTACATAACAGAGCACTCAGAAAGAATCTTCATTCTAGCTTCCTTTCCACAGCTTAAAACAAGAATCTAGTTCTTAGTTGAAGTATAGTGACTCAGTAGCCCCTGCCCTATTGTAAATTGTTGCATTAACTAAAGAAAAGACCTAAGATTGCCTCATTTTAAATCCAGACAATAAGGATGTTGACATTGTACCTTTTATTTCTTCCACAAGGGTTAAATTGCCATCCACATTGTCTGCAGAATACTCCCTGATATAGATGTTCAGTTGATCACTTTCACTGCCACTGTTATATAAGTAAAATTGCAGGCACTGAAATCCTCTTTTAGGGTACAGCGTTCTACTTTCCAGCACTGCTGTGGCCCCCACATTTACAGAGCTGCTATCGAAATGCATGAAGAAACCAGAACCTGTTAAAGAAAAGCAGAATTGAGAGAAAAACAGATACTGGGTATAGGAATGTGTGTTTGTTAATGGTGGTGCTAGATTCTTTACGCGAGGCATAAGTAACATCCATATATAAATCGCCAGGGAGAAATGACAGAAGCCTAAGCTACATATCTGGCACTTGCAAAAGCTAGCAGATTGACATAACAGTATAAAACTCAAACCTCTCTATTATTTATAAAACGTTTACTTACAATAGTAGTTTTCCGTGGGCACTAATCCTTGCTTATCTTCATTTGTTATGAGCTATAAAGATAAAGCAAGTTTAAGTATCAAATGCTAACTTTTTAAAAATCCACTGTAAGGCTGCAGGTCAAGCCCAAACAGCAGGGCTAAAAGGTAGATTCTACATGGGACACCTTTCAAGTGTCCAAAACCCTGGTCCAGCTCCAAGTGGAAAGAGCTACCATTGGACAAAGATGCTACAGAGGGTTGTTCCCCCGCTGAGAATATGAAAAAGGAAAATGGAAATTAAGTCAAAACGAGGGTTTGAAACTTGGGTGGGTAGAGAGTTGTAGCATCTGTGTCTCCCAAGGGTAATTCAACGTGAACTTCTAGGTCTTTCTGGAAAGGTGAACACACACTGCGGACAGAGGTGAGAGTCCAGCCAGGAAACCAGGGCCTTGGCTGACCTGCCCGCCCCCCTTTTTTTTTTAAACACTTTCTAACTTCTTTGGCTTCAAACTGTCACAAAAAAAGAAGGAAGAAAAAAAGAAAAGGAAGAAAGAAATTCAACTTTCAGAAGATATTGTTAACTACAGCAACCATCTGGGGAGATTCACATTTTAATATTTTTAAAATGATACTTGTAATGAAAAAATTGAGAATAACTGAACCTGATAATTTCAGAGGCACCTCCCACTTATCTGCTTTCATTATCTGCAATACTTAACCTTCTAAGCCATCTCTAAAGAAGGCACAGCTAGTAATTCTGGTTTGAGTGTATATATATTTTCTTTCATTTTTTTTTTTTTTTTGAGACAACGTCTTACTCTGTTGTCCAGGCTGATACGCAATGGTATGATCTCAGCTCACTACAACCTCTGCCCCCCGGGTTCAAGTGATTCTCCTGCCTCAGTCACCCAACTAGCTGGGACTACAGACATGCACCACCACACCCAGCTAATTTTTGCATTTTTAGTAGAGACAGGGTTTCACCATGTTGGCCCAGCTGGTCTCAAACTCCCAACCTCAGGTAATCCGCCCACCTTGGCCTCCCAAAGGCCGGGGATTACAGGCATGAGCCACTGCACCCGGCCCAATTTTCTTTACCTTATTTCAAGTATTCGCTTAGTTTCCACTATATGCAGGGAATTGTGTTGGGCATTTAAATATGGTTCTAGGAGCAGGCGATTTATGAAAGAGACAACATTAGGGAACCTTTCCCTTACCACAGAAATTAGTTTTCAAAAACAGAAAAAAGTGAGAGCTACCTGGTCTGGATTCTTCTTCTTTTCCCCCTCCCTCCCTATCTACTTTCCTCTGGTCTGAGTAGGACCACTATCCACTATCCAAATATGCATTTAAAAAGAAAAATAAAAGGAAAAGCACCTTTTTGCCATTAGAGGCCTCCAATTCCTGCCTAGATCATCTGAGCTATTAAGCACTGGCCCTAAGTTCTGAAGTCTAGTTTTACATATTTGATGCCAGAATAAGCAAATACGTAAAAATTTGGTCCTTGTAGCCAAATAACTACTTAAGGCAAAACAAAATGAAAATGGAAAAGGATACGCATCTGAAGAAAATTAAATAAACTCTGCTTTTTAGATATTTTTGTAACAGGAGCATATAATCACATCCAGCTACAGTTCTGAAACAATAATTCGCAGCCTAGTGCTGTCCATTGGAAAGAGTCTCTTGTATTCTGCAAACTTCTAGGAAACAATAGTACTGCCCCTGAGATAAGAGGCCTTGCAGGAGGCCCAGTCTGGTACACTCTCCTATGGGAACGCACTGGTAGAGGCATCACAGAGCCCAGCTCTGACTTGTAGAAAGAAAAATAAACTCAGGAAGGAAAAGCAAAGAAATTAACAATGTCTTTATCAGGTGCAAGGCCTACTTCTCAGTAGTAACCTAATGAATAATCATTAATAATTCTGATAGAAATTAGAGATAAAATCCCATTCTTTCATAGAGAAGTATGTGGCTGTAGCCACTGAGTATACAGTCTAGGAATATCTCACTCCTGTTACCTTGGCACTGGCCCATGTTGGAGTGATCACTCTCTGGCCCCCTGGGAACCTGTGAAACCCGTTGCCAGTCAGCATTATCTCCTGAACTTTGGATCATGCCACACACATTTTCCAGTTCAAAACTGCACGAGTCCATAAAACTCAAGGAAGAGGCTACAAAAAGCAAAAAACAATTATTGACACTCATACAACATGATAATCTAAGTAACAAAAACTGAACTTATCACAGTATTAGAAATGCCAGGTTGGTATTACAGGGAACACCTAGCTGATTCTGGATGATGGTGGCTTAAAGATCCCTCTTTATTTGCAGAACCCCTACAAAGAAGGTAATGAATTCTGTAGATCTGAATAAGCTCCCTGCCTGAAGTCTTTTTTAAAAAAAATTTTCTAATTTGTAGAAACCTGAGTCTATACTCCCCTAGTTATTCGAATCATTAAGCCACAATCCAGATTATTTGATCCCATTCATATTACAACTAGACATATCATTTTGGCTAAAAGGAAGTGTGAGTATCAATCTGACCGAGGTTTGAATTAGTAACAGCTTTAAAAACTTGCCTGAGGCATATTCCTACAGGACCCAATTTGTTTTTAGATCTCAACACCAGACGTGGTGAAAAGAAAAATGCTGCTTCCAAGTTGTAGATTGAGATCTGAGTGCTATTCTGTTTATTTCCTGAATATCAAATCTCTATAATCGCAGAAACCCCACCAATGCTTGACAAAATGGCACAGACCATCATTTTTTCCTACATAACAGCGGAAAATATAAGTCATTTCAAAGAACCTGTCACATACAGCAGTTATACAGTTGATTCAACTTTAGGAGATCAGAGTCACTGAAATCCATTCGTTGGCCGATCACATCCTCAAAGTCTGAGATTCTTGTGACAATTGTCGGCTCTGTTCCATTTTGGAATGCAGTTTTACTGTAGTGCATTACTGAAGTGTAATCATAGGGAACATTCAGGGAATCTGATATATCGTCACTATAGGTGTTAAAATTGTGCTCTCTGCCTAAAGGATAAATAAAAAATCTTTACTTGATGTTCACAAAATTCAGCTTATCTTACTCCAAATACTGCTCACTTAGAAATGGAGAATATAATAAACTCAAGCAATTTTTGCTACAACTAACAACAGTTTCATTATTCCCATCTTACAATATAATATTCAAGCTTAGAACTGTGATACCAGCAGTCACACTGAACATATCTAAGGTTCTATTGCAGCCCATAGTTAGGACATTGGCATTTAGTCTAAGGCTGTAAAAATTGCTCGTGGAAAGGAGGATTCTAGAAAGTGCTGCTAACCAGCCTGGGCAACAAAGTGAGACCTCATCTCTAATAAATATTTTAAGGCCGGGCGTGGTGGCTCACGCCTGTAATCCCAGCACTTTGGGAGGTCGAGGCAGGCGGATCATGAGGTCAGGAGTTCGAGACCAGCCTGACCAACATGGTGAAACCCTGTCTCTACTAAAAATACAAAAATCAGTCCATTGTGGTGGTGCGCACCTATAATCCCAGCTACTCAGGAGGCAGAGGCAGGAGAATTGGTTGAACCCAGGAGGCGGAGGTTGCAGTGAGCCAAGATTGCACTACTGCACTCCAGCCTAGGTGACAGAATGAGACTCCATCTCAAATAAAATAAAATAAAATAAATATTTTAAAAATTAGCCAGGCATGGTGGTGCATGCCTGTAGTCCCAGCTACTCCGGAGGCTGAGGTGGGAGGATTGCCTGAGCCTGGGAAGTCGAGCCTGCAGTGAGCTGTGATCACGCCACTGCACTCCAGCCTGGGTGACAAAGTAAGACTCTGTCTCAAAAAAAAAAAAAAAAAGTGTTGTTGAACCAGTCAGGGCATTGGCCAGCAACGATGGCAGGCTGAGGACGTCCACAGTAGATGGAGATGGAAGTAAGAAGGCTTTGAAGGGATGGTGAGATGAAACCTGGGAATGATAACTTTCTAGTTATCCTACAGAGGAGTCATTAAAAAGCATTGACATGCAGTTATTGACTAACCATAATTCATGGTTACTGGAATAGGTGTAGATGTATTTAAAGCACAATGAACCAGCCTGGCCAACATGTTTAAACCCTGTCTCTACTAAAAATACAAAAATTAGCCGGGTGTGGTGGCGGGCGCCTATAATCCCAGTTACTCGGGAGGCTGAGGCAGGAGAATCACTTGAACCCAGGAGGTGGAGGTTGCAGTGAGCCAAGATCGCACCACTGCACTCCAGCCTGGGCAACAGAGCGAGATTCTGTCTCAAAATAAATAAATAAATAAAGCATAATGACTATAGTTAATAATAATGTATATTTCAAAATTGCTAAGAGAATAAACCTCAAATGTCTCACCATAAAAATGATAAGTGAGGTGATGGCTATGTTAAGTAGCTTGTTTTAGTCATTCCACGTTGTGTACACATGTCAAAATATCACTGTACCACATAAGTATATACAATTATGATTTGTCAGTTTAAAATAATAATAAAAAACAAAAATGAATATATTTAGAGAAGACATTCAGGCCATTTAGCATTATACTAATGGGCAACTGATTTCAACTTGAAATGGAATGATTCTGTGGACACTTTAAGGTGGTTCTGATCTCCAAAACATAAAGATGTGTTATCAAATGTGAGCAGAAGTTTAGATCAAAAATAAGACTTTGGGAATCCTAAGGAGTGTGGCTGTGGATTAAAGCTAAACACTGCTGTTTCTCTAGAAATCTTTTAGTTTGCTGCTATGCCTGACCGCATTTGAGATAAGCAGAGTCGGGGGATAAAGAGCAAGAGCTGTGATTTCAAGAAGTGTGGTGTCAGGGGACCTTGTATAGGGCACTCCTCACAGTGCCTCAGACATAATAGCAATGCCCTTTCCTCTGTCTCGCCCCACACAGGCAGGACAGATGAGGAAGCTGAGTGTCACTGTGGAATGTGGAAAACATGAGCTCTAGTCAGACATAGTTATTAAGACTTTGTGACTTTGAACACAAAATCACAAACAGTTCATGCTACTCAACTATTACTGAAAATTGTTCCATGAAACAATAAATCCAAATACTCTACAAGCTACTCTGCAAAAAGAAAAAAGAAGACCATGATCAAATCATTTTGGGAAATGCTCCTTTTCTTAGAGATTTACAATTCCTGTCAACCCAATAAACACTCAGAGCAGTATAGCAGGATAAGTAAGTCTAATTTCTTTTAACCTAGGTGTTATGCCTTGAATATGTCCCCCCAAAAGCATGTATTGGAAACCTAATCCCCAGTGCAACAGTGTTGGGAGGTGGGGCCTAATGAGAGGTAATTAGGGCATGGGCTCCGTCTCATAAATGGATTAATCCCATTGCTGCAGAAGTAGGTTTGCTACTGCAGGAGTGGATTCCTTGTAAAAGGACAGATTTGGTCCTGTTTTTTCTCTCTGACTCTCCCTTGACCTCTGCCCTCTGTCATGGTATGTGACACAGCAAGAAGGCCCTCATCAAATGCCCACCCCTTGATTTTGGACTTTCCAGCCACCAGAACAATGAGGAATAAATTTCAGTTCTTTATAAATTACCCAGTCTGTGGTGTTTTGTTATAGCAGTGCAAGATGGACTAAGACTTGGGGATTTGCAAAACTAATTTGGCCACAGACTCCGTTCCACATAATACTCATGAACATATTGTGGGACTGAATATGCTTTAAGAACCACAAAACCAGTTTCTAGAGCATATCTAGCTCATATGGGTTCTGGAATACTAGTGCTCCAATAACTCAGAATGAGTTCAAGCTGAATGAATTAAGACATCAAAACATCAAAGTTTTAAAATTATTAACAGTTGCCACAGATGACAAGAGAGGACACATGCTTAGAAATTCAGTCCTTAACTAAAAACATAGGAAAAAAAGAGAAATGTACCTGACAGAATTCTGTCCCACATTATCCTGACATAGTCATCCCGGTCAGAACGCGACTGCTCATGCCAGAATCCCAGAGCGTGGAGGAACTCGTGTTGAACTGTTGCTATTCGGTCACAGTTTGCCCCGATGGAAAGTTCTTGCTTCCCAACCCGCCTATTTCCTACTGAAGACCAGCAGCTTACAGGAGAGTTTACAAGAAAGGGGGAAGAGAATGTTACAATCTGAGGTCTCAGGGCAGAATCGCCACTGCCTAGTCCACTTCATTACCCACTTCATTACCCACCTTTGCTCTTACATCTGAACACTGTGCGTTTCTCTCATAACCCAGGTGACATAGTTTGGACAATTGTCCCCACTCACATCTCATGTTGAACTGTAATTCCCAGTGCTGGAGGTGGGACCTCATGGGAGGTATTTGAGTCATGGGACGAACCACACATGGCTTGGTGCTGTCTTCGCGATAGTGAGTTTTCATGAGATCTGGTCATTTAAAAGTGTGTAGCACCTCCCCCTCCCCACTCTTTCTCTGGCTCCTGCTTTTGCCATGCGACATGCCTGCTCCACCCTCACCTTCCACTATGATTATAAGCTTCCGGAGGCCTCCCCAAAAGCTGAGCAGATGTCAACACCATGCTTCCTATAAAGCCTGCAGAACTGAAAGCCAGTTAAACCTCTTTTCTGTATAAATTACCGAGTCCCTGGTATTTCTGTACAGCAATGCAAGAATGGCCTAATATACCAGGTATTGTATAATATTAAAAAACCTTACAGACCAGGTGATCTTTAAAGAACTTGCCCTAACACCAAATATTACATAGGAGCAAATCGTCCTCAAGGTGGTCTAGACCTGGTTTTTCTTGTGAATTTCAAAGTCTTTGAGCTCCTCGTTATGCCTGTGCCCATTAACAAGGGTTTTACAGGGACAGCAACCACTCAGAATTGCTGAGCTCAAGACAAATAATACTGTCGCCTTCTTAACCCAAGAAATAAGAGTGGTTAGGTTAAAATAAGCTTAAGCACAGACATGGACACACATAAATACACATGTTTTTTACTTGAAAGGGATAAAGAGTATGTAAATTACAAACGGGCTGAAATTCACAAGGTTGTGGGTCTGATGGCATGCAATCCCATCCACTTTCCACTTTGTCTAAAGGCGGTTACATGTATGGGAATATAATTTCTATGTCTACAAAAACTAGATCCAGTTGTTTTTTACTCTCCAGCAACTAGCAAGAAAGTCCCCACCCCTTCCTAAAGGTCAGAGCCTAGGATGATTGCTGCAATGTAATGTCCCAGGCACTAGAGTTCTCCTTAGATGCCTTAGAAGACTAAGTCTGCAACTTACCCACTGCCCTTGAACACTGATATATAGTTTGTTTCTCCAGCCCAAGGCTTAAAGTCAATACATGTTTTAAGGCGATAACGTTCAAATGCATTGAGGATAACTCCCTTAGCATTCATTTCTGAAGGAAGAAAACAAACAAAAATAAGCTTATTAAAACAATCACCACTGAAAAATCTTCCATGGAAGCAGGCCACTGCAATATATTGCTTATCATGAGTTAGTCCCTTCATGAATGTTGAGTCTTTTATTTTTACAAAAATTAGAATTCAGTACCCATTGAATATCATATACAGTATCTGCTTATTCTTCAGATCCCTTATTTGGCCTTATATTTCTCTAGCACTCACTCACTAATGGTGCATTACTAAACAATAAAAATGCATCTTTACCTCAGAGAACATATCCATTGGATCACAGGCAATCAAAATAAATAATCACCATCACGTACTTCATCTGAGAAGCCATAATATGTATTTAAAGCCACACAGCTGGGCTTTTAATCTGAGGATCTTCAGATGGGAGAGTCTATGAATACCCTGAAATAGTATGCAAAGTGTGTATGTGTGTGTGTGCATATCTACAAATGCAAAGTGCATTTTCTAGAGAGAGCTTTCATGAGGTCTGCAAGTGAGTTCAGGGCCCAAAATAAGGGTAAGAGCCAATGCTCTGGATATAAGAGTGATATGGATATGGAGCTCAAAGAAGGCAGAGGTGTGGAAGAAACAACATGCAGGAAAAGAAACTTGTGAGTGACCAGGAGGAACGGGCTGTATCAGATGCACATGGAGAGGCATCACATGGGCCAGGTCCTAGTGACGTGAAAGATGGGAGCCTGCCAGGAGGTGGGAGACAGTATGGCAGAGGGGAAAGTGCTTGGACTTTGGAGCCAGACACACCTAAGTTCTTCCCTATCCTCACCACTCACTTTTGACATAAAACTTTTGCCAATTCAATCAACCTTTGGAGCTTTGGTGTTATTATCAGTTAAGTGAGGAAATAAAATCAACTTTGCAGGATATTGTGAGGATAGTAAGAGAAAGTAAAGGTGAAGTTCCAAGTAAAATTAGCATTTGTCAAATGTTCATTTCCTTTCTCCCTTCTAGAGTAACCATTGCATAGACATTCAAGGAAGATTACTTGGTATGCCTCTGTTGAGGCAGGTCTAAGAAGATCAAGAACAGGATTCACATAGGGAAGACCCTAAAATCCATAAGTTGTAAAAGGCACTAAGTTCAGACTTTTACAATACCACATAAGTAATACACTATCGTTATAAATAAGTTAAAAATTGATATGAATAAAAAGAAATTTAAAATCCTATCATCCAGGAATAATCAATCACCCTTACCATACATTTTGCCTTTGAATACATATATAACATACATATGTTAATATTTCTATAAAAAATAAAGTCATCTACATAGCATTTTACCAACTATTTTTTCACTAAATATTATGTCATCAAAATATTTTTTCATCATTATTCTTTTTATCATTTTAATGAATAGAGGATTACAAATTGGATCCATTGGACATTGGATCACAGGCAATCAAAATAAATTGCCACCACATACTTAATCTGAGAAGCTATAATATGTATTTAAAGCCTCACAGCTGGGCTTTTAATCCGAGGACGCTGAGATGGGAAGGTCTATGAACACCCTGAAATAGTATGCCGTGTGTGTGTGTGTGTGTGTGTGTGTGTGTGTGTATCTACATATGGCTGTTAACGTTCAAAATGTTCTGTCCTATAAGTATCATATTTGGGTCATTATTTCAAATGTAATATTTCCTTCAAATAAGGTATGATAATACTGACCACCATATCACTGTTTTAAACAGAATGTAAAAGAGCATACTAGTTTAGGCCATTTATCAAAACTTAATGAGGATAGTTTCTTGAATTAATAAATAAAGTAACACGTGAAAGCTTTATAAACACTGAGGCCCTTTACCAAGATAAGATCTTTGTTTTCCATATGCCTTTATTTACTGAGGGCCTTAGTTAACCTTGCGTTATAGATGCAGAAAGCTCCACTTGGAACCATGCCAGGCTTTGGAAAATGAGGCAAGTTGCTGGCAATCCTAGGAGTTCAGTAAGCAGCTGTTCAGGATTGTTTCCCCTTAGTAGCCCCTTCAGGTTTCTAGCACCTTCCCCTTCATTTCCATCCCCAACTCTTTACCCTCAGCCTCCCCCACTGCCTTTTCTGCCTTGGTGCTAAGGCAAGGAATTATAACTTAGGCCCTGGAAACTATAAATGGCTGCTATGAGTATTACTCCTTTCAGGGAAGTTGCATCTACCAGCCAGGTAACATCTGAAGTTCAAGCTCAAAGACTACAACCCTACTGGTAGAATTTCACAGTTTGACCTACTAGAATCTGAGTAATAGGGCCTTCCAGAAATCAACCCTTCATAGGTATTTATTTTTGCTACCTGTAAGAGTGGCCTTGCTTAGTAATTTTCTTAGTCTGAGTCATTTGAAGATGGTATACATTTCTGAAACGTAAGGATACTTTTCTTAATTTGAACATAGAAAACAAGTTGAATTCTACAATATTAAACAAAAGTATTTTCTAAATAAGAAATAATCAAAATCACATAATTGAAAAAAATTGTTCTATAAAAATTTGAAGTTTGATTCTATTATAAAGACTATACAATATGAAAAAATGCAATAACATTAAGTGAAAAAATTAGAACAAAAGATTTAAGACATCATAGTTATAACTATGTAAAAATGTGCACAGTTTGGATGGTAGGATCTAGGCTGAATTTTTACCTAACATTTTTCATTTATATATATACATATGCTTATCAATTTATTTCAAAAATGTTATTACATATAATACGCCAGAGACTATGGTAATCCTCCAATTTGCAAGATGAAAAATAGCTCTTATCCTCAAGGCATTCATTATGTTGTTTATAATGTTGTTTAAAAAATAAATAAAGCTCATGGTTAAATACATGGCAAAAAAAAAATAGCCTAAGATATATATAAAATTAAAGCTCCCTAATCTTTCATGGAACATACTTAGGAGAATAAGTTTTTTAAAAAAAGAAATATAACTGGATGTGGTGGCTCACGCCTGTAATCCCAACACTTCGGGAGGCCGAGGTGGGTGGATTGCCTGGTGAAACCCCATCTCTACCAAAAATACAAAAAATTAGCTGGACATGGTGGCATGCATCTGTGGTCCCAGATACTTGGAAGGCTGAGGTGGGAGGATCATTTGAGCCTGGGAGGCAGAGGTTGAAGCCTGGGTGATAGAGTGAGAACTCGTCTCAAAAAAGAAAGAAGGAAGGAAGGAAGGAAGGAAGGAAGGAAGGAAGGAAGGAACGAACGAAAGGAAAAAAAGGAAGAATTAAAACAAAAGAACTTAAAAATTTTTTAATCAAAAGACTAAACCAAAAAAACATGTATATTCAAAATCTTTCAGGTTCCTAATTCCAAAAGTCAATGAACATCTTTCTCTCCTCATGCCCCCTGTGCTCTTTATGGCTTCCAACCCCGCTAACTACTCCTGCCCTGGCTTTCCCTACCCTACTGTTAGTTTTTTATCTATGTTTCTGGCCAATTCCCCCTTCTCAATAACTTCCACTAGATCTTCCTTCTATACCAGTTCCAAAAAATGGCACTGAGTTTCATTCTCGACCATCTTCTTACTTATTCAACACAACCTTCCAGGATAAATCAATAAAATCCAGTTATCTATGGAGCACCTGCTCTATGCAAGGCACTGTGTGAAATGCTCATCCATACTCACGGCTTCAACCATCTCTTACATCCTAATAACTCCCAAACATTTCTCGACCTTGAATGACCAGGTCATATACCAAGAATTTATTTGGTATCTCCACCACAGTGACTCTGATGCATTTCAAATTCTGCATGCCAAAAACTAATTTCCACCATGCTTCTCTGTCTCATGCTCCTCAAGGTTAAATTCTCCATTCTTGTTGAAGACGTTACCATGCCCTCAGCTACCCAGGACTGAATCCTGAGCACTAGAATCTCTTTCTCTACACCCACCTTCTTCTTGACCTCTTACAGTCAATCACTAAATCTAACAAATGCATCCCAAATAGCTTTTAGATTTATCTTGGTTAGGAATCTCTTAATTCTTTCTCTGAATTTCCTCAGTAGTTTTCTAACTGGTCTCCCTATCTTCTTTTTACCCCACTAATGACACATCTTCTATACTTCAACCCAAGTGATTATTTTAAACTGCAATTTTAACAATCTCACTTCCACAATAATACTTTTGGTGGCCCCATGTTATTAGTATACACGACAAGTTCTTTAACACCGGGAAGACCCAAGTCCTTCCCCATTTGCGTTCCGCCTACCTGCTCAACTTCCTAGCTCCCCACTCTCAATCTAAATTCCAGCTCAGGATTTTCTCCCTTCTTCAGGACTTAGCAGATCGTGATGCATCTGGCTAAAGCACCCTTCCCTTGCTATCAGAGGCCACACTAGCCCACATGGTGCCTGTGTGCCAATTAGGAAGAGGCACTACCTCTGAGCAGGTGCTGCAGTTGCTGGCTGGCCAGATGGGTGAACAGCACTTTCACACAAAGAAACAAATGCCTCCTGGTGAACAGAAAGAACGTAAACCTGGTATCAGCTCCACTTGTTTCCTGGCCCAGCCACCTGAGAGCAGCCTCTTGAAGCAGCTCTACATCATTAATGGCATTCTTCATTCATTTCTCTCAGTCAAAAAGTCTTGGAGAATCTGAAAGCTGAGGTGGCATGGCAGCACCAGCTCCAGGAGGTCATGTCAGTTGTACGGTGTACAACTTACACAGTCTTCATGGCAGTCCTGCTATATAGCGTCCTCTGCTTATAATGCATATGCTTTTCTATCCAGGTTGAGTTTACTGCCCCTCCAATGTGCTCCCATAGCTCTTTGAACACATCACTAATCATAATGTTTATTCCATTCTATCATAATTCACTTTTGATTTATGTGAGTCTCCACTGAAATGCATGATCTTTAAGAAAAATAGCAGGGTTTCCAAATACCATATGTTTTCCCATAAGTGGGAGCTAAATATTGCATAGACATGGATGTAAAGATGAGAACAAAAGACACTGGGGACTACAAGAGGGGAAAGGGAGGGAGAAAAGGGTTGAAGAAGCCACCTATTGGGTGCTATGCTCAACTCCTGGGTGATGGGTTCATTTGTACCCCTAACTTCAGCATCATGCAACACACCCATGTAACAAACCTGCACACGTACCCACTGAATCTAAAATAAAAGTTGAAATTTTAAAAAACTATAACAGGCTGGGTGCAGTGGCTCATACCTGTAATCCCAGCACTTTGGGAAGCCAAGGCAGGCAGATCACTTGAGGCCAGGAATTCGAGACCAGCCTGTACGACATGGTGAAAGCCCATCTCTACTAAAAATACAAAAATTAGCCAGGTGTGCTAGCACATGCCTATAATCTCAGCTACTCGGGAAGCTGAGGCAGGAGAATCGCCAAAACCTGGGAGGTAGAAGCTGCAGTGAGCCGAGATTATGCCACTGCACTCCAGCCTGAGATTGTGCCACTGCATTCCAGAGCAAGACTCTGTCTCAAAACAAAAAAAAAAAAACAAAAATGAAAAATAAAATTAAAAATTAAAAAACTATAGCAGGGTTTTTACTCAAACTTTTCCCAAACAGCAATTTCTAAGCTAATGCTGGTCAGTGGCATCATTGCCACTAGTCCATAGATTAAAATGAAGACCATGTTTAGAGTTTTCCAACATATTTAAATTTCTTCTATAGAAAAGCTGTTCTTAGTTTTGGATTTGATTCTTCTGACTTTTTAACATTTTAATACTACACTAATAACATTATTTACTGTATGAAAAGAGGATGATGAAAGCTCTTTTATCATGTTAGGTTGTTGTTTAAGTTCCTGACCTGGCAAAATAAAATGTTGATAAAACAATGCCAGTTCCTCAAATTTAGTTGGTTATTTTATGTATTTTCTCATATGTATAATTGATCATAGGGTAAACCACTGCTTTAAAATAAAGACTGGCTCCCTGTGAGCCCATCAATCAGGCCCTGCACCTGTTTAACCAAGTGTAGGGAGCAGTGCACGTGGAGATCTGAGCCTGCCTGCGCCTCCTTGCCCGCCTCCACTACATCATGGGCAAGTACGCAGAGGCCCTGAGAAGCCAGCAGAAGGCAGTGCTGATGAGCGTGCGGGTGATGGGCATCGAGCACCCCAACACCATCCAGGAAAACATGCACCTGGCCCTGCACTGCTTCACCAGCAGGCAGCTGTCCCTGGCCCTCAGCCTGCTGCAGGGCGCCCACTACCTCATGCGCTGGTGCTTGGGGAAGACACCCCGAGGTGGCGTGCTGGACAACATCAGGCGGGTGCTGCACAGGGTGATGGAGTACGACCTGTCGCTGTGCTTCCTGGACAACGCGCTGGCCGTCAGCACCAAGTACCAAGGGCCCAAAGCTCTCAAGGTGGCCCTTGGCCACCACCTCATCACCTCGGTCTATGAGAGCAAAGCTGAGTTTCCGGTCGGCCCTGCAGCACCAGAAGGAAGGGCTGGCTGCACACCCTCTGTAAGACCCAGCTGGGCGAGGACCAGGAGAAGACCAAGGAGAGCTCTGAGTACCTCAAGTGCCTGACCCAGCTGGCCGTGGCCCTGCGGCGCGCCATGCATGAGATCTACCGCAACGGCTCCAGCAACAACATCCCGCCCCTCAACTTCACAGCCCCCAGCATGGCCAGCGTCTTGGAGCAGTTCAAAGGCATCAATGGCATCCTCTTCATTCCTCTCAGCCAAAAAGACTTGGAGAGTCTGAAAGCCGAGGTGGCGCAGTGACACCAGCTCCAGAAGGCCAGCAGAAACAGGGATGAGGCCAAGGAGCCCAAGGCCACCGAGCCCGAGCCAGCGGGGGCACCAGAGGACCTGGGTTCCCAGCCCCGGGCTGCCAATGACCCTTCTTCCCCGAACTTGCAGGGATAGAGAGGGACAGGCAGATGGACAGTCAGTCAGTGGCCTCACTCACCAGGGATCCAGACTCTAGGAGAAAGGAGCATACCTGCCATGGGAAGAGGAAGCAAGGCCCTCTTCTTCCATGTTTCACCCTCACTGCACCCCCAGCAGAGCATCCTCCTGGGACCCTGGCCTGGCCTGTCTGCTCTCCAAAAGATGTTTTTGCACTGGTTCAATGAATATATGATGCAGAGCCCCTCCCCCACAAAAAAAGACTGGCTCCCTAATCGTTATGTCCCTAGCATAACAGAGTAGGCTCTCCATAAACGTTGGTTGAACTCATTGCTTTGTTGGTCAAGACACTGTAAATATTTCAGACAGAGTCATTTAGGTTACTTTCATTGTTCGTTTTGCTTATTTTTTTTTTCAAAGTAAATGTACATAGCCACACAAAGGAGCAAACCAAACAAAACCTTAAAGACTATATAAGCCCACCCTTTGAAACACTATAATCATATTTTGTCAGAAATAGACATTAGTTATGGATACTTCAAGGTGCATACTAACCCAAGCTATCTTCTAGAACATATGGAATGGTATGAGGCCATCTATACTTTTCTCCAATGATGGAATTTCTAATTTGTGCCTGTCAAAAATAAATGCAAAAGGGCTAGTTAAACAAATAAGGCAAACACTTAGGAAACCTGTAGTTAATCTAGAAATAAATGAAGTTTAAAGCTCTCCCAGTTCGCACAAACAAATTGTGTGTGTGTGTGTGTGTGTGTGTGTAGCCCTACTTTTATCATAATATAACAAAGTTTCTAGGAAGAAATTACTAATTTCTATCATTTTGTTAATACAGTTGAAGAAGGAATAATGCAAAAAATAACTGTTGGAAAACTGAACTACAAATATTGGTAGATTTATAGGTTAGTTTCCTACACTTAAAGATTAAAAATTTGCAAGAAAACAGTGATAGCAAGACCTTGATAATCTGGATCTCACAATATCAGAAAAAGTCACACATGAGCTGGGCCAAAGTTTTCAAAAATTTTTAAAGGATTTTAAACTGTATAATAGAAAATGAGTAATATTTTACTAATGTATTTACTCAGTCCACAAATTGAATATTGTCCTAGAGAATAGAGATTCCTTGGTAATAAAGGTCTCTGGCTTCATGGAGCTTATATCTAGTGGAGGACAGAAAGAGTATGTAAAAAAAAAAATGTTTAAGCAGGATGAATGCAATAGGGAGGAAATTAGAAAGAGAGATGTGAACAAGGGCACAGGGATGACGGAGTACATGAGATGGAGTGATCAGGACAGTCGTCTATGAAGGGATGATATTTAAGGGGAAATAGGGATCGCAAGACAGAGCCAGCATTGAAAGGGGTCCTGGGAAGGTGGTTTCAGGCAGAGGGAACATTAGTTGTTCTTGTTCTGAGGTGGGAATATGCCTGGGATGTTTTGAATATGTGTTGAGACCAGTAGCCTGATGAGTCTAAGAGAGAACGTGGATGAGATAAGAGGAGAGGAAAAGAGAGGAGAGGGGAGGGAAGAGGGGAGGACAGAAGCAGGAGCTAAGGCATGCTAGGCTTAGACAGCTGGGACTAAATCGGGAGATGATTCTAAACCCATAGGCAACTATGGAAGAGTTTCAAGCCAGGAGGTGAAATGAAGTCACTGCCTGTTTGAAAAATGACTTTGCTGTGAGAGATAAGGACAAGTAACAGGGTGGAAAAGATTATAGGGGAACAATATCTGAAATAGAAAGACAAATTAGGAGGCTAATGGAAAAAGCCAGGCAAGAGATGATGGGGCCTGAATTAGAGTGATGGAGAAAAGTGGACGATTTGCAGTGTATGTTAGAGCTAGAAATGATAGAACTTGCTGACGGGCTGGATGGGGAGTGAAGGAGAGAGGAGAAGCAAAGGTGGCGCTCAAGGTTTTTATGTGTTCAGTTGAGTAGAGTCAGGTTGTGAGGATGACTTTATGAAGACAGGAGAGTGGGGAGGAACAGTTTGGGGGGAAGGTCAGAGTTCACCTGATCAGAGGACACCTTAGGTTTGAGACGTCTTGTAGACATTCAAGTGGAGCTGGCAAATTAGTGCTTGGATAGACCAGTCTGGAGCTCAGGGAAAGGAGAGGACCAGAGATATGCCTTTGGATTCATTGGCATGGAGATGACATTTGAATCCCTGGACGAAGGTGAGATCAAGAGAGAGCACAGATAGAAGAGTAGGCTCAGGACTAAGCCTGGGAGACTGCAGCTCTGTTTCCTGGGGGTGGGAGGACTGTGAGGGATGTTGGTGCTTACGATATAGGAAGTAAGGGAGTGACTTAGGACTGTGTTGGAAGGAAGAGCAGAATTTTACAGGAAAAGATCTACTGGGTAATTTCTAGGCCACATGGTGTATATATTTTAAACTATGCTAGCTCTTCTCAAATTGCCTTCTTTCTTTTTTTCAAATTTATACACTCTCCAGTATAATAACATGTTCTAAACACATTCCTAAACAAGCATCCTAGTTTCTCTCTATCATCACCAAAAGGGATAGTAAGTAGTAAGTTTCTTAATATTTTTCAATCTAGTGGGCAATAAACTATATCTTGTCTTTTGAAAAATAGTGCTTATTTCCATGCTGTGAGAGAACACTGAAAAAAACAGTGCTTTCATGATAGTGAACTTTTTAGTCCCCCTAATCTACCTGCAAGGTTCTTGTGTTTATCTGTGTGGCATGATGACTTAGATGAGAATCAGCACTCTTTATGAATAGGTTTGGGAGGGTCTTAACTTGGCAACATTATTTTTAGCTAAGGCCAGGGTAGAAGTCACAAAATCTATTTATTGGGGTAAAAAGCCTGATTCATTGAAGATGTTTACAAATTCAGTTTAATTTTGCCTCCACTAGATTGAATCTGTGAGGTCCTATTTTAAAATCAAATGTCATATTGCTCCAATAATGAAAATCAATCAAATCAATAAGACTAAGACATATGTAATGAGTTATGGTGGCTTGAACCACACAGAAATATGAGTAATGAAAGATGAAGACACAATTATATGCATTTCTTTGAGTATAATATATTCATTGAATAAATGTGTCACCATGATTCTGCACCCTTAGAGATAGTTAGGCTTAACAAAGTTCATGCTGTCTAATCTTTCTCAGTTACTCTGAATTTGGCTTGCAGTGGTTAATGGAAGATTCTTCCTTATACTGTTTCAACTCACCCTATCAAGTCTGATGTCACCCTCAAAAAGATCCAGTCCCAAACCTAAGAGTAAAGATAAAAATTCATGTTAGCAAATTGGATTCAAACTCTCTACTTAAGAGATTATGTAAAAAAAATCCACAAACCTTCATTGATATCAAATATGTCCTGGTCCATTCCGCCATCTACATCTTTGATTAAAACAACAACAACAAAAAATTGAACATTATGTTTATAAAAGGAGAAAACCTTTATCATTTATATAATCAGAACTAAGCAAGTTTCTTTTGGCCTCAGGTGACTACTAGATTCAGACTCAACATACATTGATTGATTGATTGATTGATTAAGAATCTCCTATGAGCCAGGTTGGGCTCTAAAGAGCTTTTATGTATGTATTCTGTCCTATCGACATTCCTTGAATGTCAAATGACTTCGGGAATAAGAAATTGGTTGCTCCATATATTATTAAGCATAATTTGAAAGACTAGAAGACTAGATTAAATAGCAAACAAATGATTAAATTTGGTCAAACTAGCCCAATCTACTCATACATGTATATCACTTGCTAGTAGTATACCTTGGAACTTTCAAGCAAAATTCTTAAGTTAAACTTGAATTACTATTTTAAGTTGTAAAGGTGTATATAATATGGCCAAATCTCCGAGTATGCAAGTGAATACTGAGTAGACTGTTATTATTAGGTCCATCTGATTTGACACAAAATAACAAAAACAATAATAGCAAGCATTTATGGGATGTCTATGTGTCAGTCACTGTGCTTGGCCTTTCCTATACCATCTATTTCTTTGCTGGGCATATGAAGCCTGGAACATGGACAATAAAATGTCCCTCCATAAATCAAAAGAATCCAGTATTAGATCAAAGTTCAATGCAATTATGCATCAATTATGCATATGTAATTATGTATGATGTTTAGCATTAAATATGTCCTAGGTTCTCTATAACCTAGAACAAAACTCAAAATAGACTCACCAAAGTTTTCTGGAGTTGCCTGGGAAATAAACACATAAACAAAACATATTATTATAATGCCCAGGAATGGTCTTCTTGGATTCAGTTTATATCTAACCATTTGTTGTTTGTTTGTTTTGTCATTAATATTATGGATTACTTCCTGACATGTATTTAGGATGGCTAAATTGAAGTTTAAGATGACTTTTTGACCAAAGGGTCTTCTCATTTCATATGGAAAATGAAACTGCCTGTTAAATCAATTTGAAGGTGAAGGAAACAAGAAACCAACTTCAAAAATTGGGGGGGAAAAGGCAGAACATAAGACTCTAGCTCTCAAATAAGTGCTCACTTTACACACGATTTTCTAAAGCATTCATGGAGCAATGTTTGAAAAACCAAATAATTTATTCTCAATGTTGAAATAATACTGTAATTTATAACAATTCTTTAAAAAGAAATGTTATTCAAGACTCATTAATCAAGTTATTTTGCATTCATGTTTCTCCCAGAATAATTCTGCCTTCAAAGACAATACAAATATTTAAGAAAAACAATGGGTACATTTTGTGATTAATTTTTTTTCTGAAAATAGATTCTCCACAAATGGTCAATGAAACTCAGACTACATGTCCAAAGGAAAAAAAAAAAAAACAACTAAGTAAACCTGAGAAATGTCTTAGTGTGATTGAATTAAAAAGCTCATAGGACTGTCTGGGTTATGTTACCAGTTCTACTAACTAAGGGTAATTCAGTTCACCTTCCAGGTACTCAGACTATCCATAAGATATGGTCAGTACCTGCTTTGCATGGGTATTGTGAGGGTTACAGTATATAATGTGAAAGAAGGCTCATTGTAAGCTATAATAAATTGTCACAAAAGTGTAAAGTACAATTTTATTCAAATACAGCTTACATATCTAAATACTAGAATCATTTGGAGCGTTTAACAAAATGTGGGAATGAACTGGATGGATGGTTACCATCATTTTTGACATTAACAAGTGCTTTGCATGTTTCACACTATAACCACACACAGGCATACACTCATAGAGGAATGCCAGTGCACCTACAGAATAAAATTATCAAGGATTTATTCCTAATTACACTTTAACATGTATTCATCTGTATCTCTTGTTTGCAATGTTCTAGTTCCTATTCATAGAATATCACCCCAATATAATAATTGTTATTTTAAAATAACAACTGAAGGTTTTCCACTAGCCATTTGAAACTTCATTTAAAACCTTGGGTTGGTTTGTGATACAAACTACCTGATAGAAAAGATTAGTCCAAACTGTAGAAGGATGAGTCTAAACTGATGAAGAAGCATAAGAGAAATACCACGTTATAAAACTTTGTAAGTACTGACGGTGCCTGTGACACTCATTCATGTCTCAAGTTACTGTGCAGCAATCTGCATTTCATTCAGCAGTAAAAATGGAATGATTTTCAAAATACACATTTATAATCTCATCAAAAGAAAACTTGTTACACAATGATGAAACTGAAAGGAAAACATAACTTTATATCAATGTCTCTACTCTGGTGTGGCTATTTGTCACTCCCTACACACTGCCCACCCCTAATCTCCAAGAAGAAACACTCATTTGAGATCAACATTTCAAGATGTATAAAAAACAAACAAAAAAAAAACACTTGTTCTTTAACAATCAATATCAACTGCCCCAAAATTTTTAAATTATCTTCTATATACTGTTTCCTTACCAAGCCAGAAATCACGAGAAGAGCATCCAAGAACAGAAACCAAGACAGATTCCATAAATCCATGTTGTAGCTTCCAGTTGAAAGTAGCTAACTATGACATTCAGGGTTGAATTGACTTCTTTAAAGGCAAACATTATAATTTATAGCCTTTGATCTCAATGATCCATATTGCAGGTCAGCTTGATGCTGTAATAATACCTCCAATCAAGGGATGAAAGTCCAGTATTTTTAACACAGCTCTGCGGAGTTGGTTTGTTGGCTTTTTTTTTTTTTTCCTGTGTCAACAATTAAGTGCCTGGCTGAGACTTCTTAATGAATACATTCTCTAATGTATGTGTACTGGTCCTTAGACTAGTAAACACCACTTAAGCAAAAAATATATATATCAAATTAATTTTTAATCTTGATCTTATGAAACTCCTCCTCTCATATAGCCCCATGCTGCTTTAATATATCCAGTTATGTCCACTGCTTTTTATCATTCACTCATTTAATAAAAATTATTGAGTGCCTATAATTTATTGAGTTATAAAATCCATTAATGTGCTAGAAATCAGGCACACCGGTTATTCACATATAGAGTAGTAACATAGCAATGTATCTCATCCCTAAAAATTCCCATCAAGCAAACACTGGTGGGACATGGGTCATAAAAGTAGGAATGGTCACTGATTTTCTAATAAAATAATGTTCCCAATCCATCTCTTAATTCTTTCTCACTTTTTCCTTCTTTTCTTGGGATAATTTCTCTTTAGAAACAACCTGTTCTCTCAGTTCCCATGGCTTCATATTCAACTTACTTAAGATGCAGGATAATATTTTTTGAATACTAATTTTTGGCCATGGTGGCTCACATGTGTAATCCCAGCAGTTTGGGAGGTCAAGGTGGGTGGACCACCTGAGGTCGGGAGTTCAAGCCCAACCTGGCCAACACAGTGAAACCCCATCTCTACTAGAAATACAAAAATTAGCCAGGTGTGGTGGTGCATGTCTGTAATCCCAGCTACTTGAGAGGCTGAGGCAGGAGAATTACTTGAACCTGGGAGGCAGAGGTTGCGGTGAGCCGAGATCACACCACTGCACTCCAACCTGGGCAACAGAATGACACTCCATCTCAAAAAAAAAAAAAAAACCTAATTTTTTTCTAGTTTCCCCTTCCCCTCTCCAGCTTAGCCTTCACCCCATTTTGTGCTAATAGGAAGACTATCAAGAGACATGTAGCATAGACAAGGAGTTTGAGAGGTTGCTTCCTGAGTACAAGCCAGCACTTCCCACCCTATGAGGGTAGGATGAGAATTAAATGGGAAAACTGAAAACTGTAGTTATAGTCAGTTCTTCACTTGATCCCTGAGATCCCCTAGATATATTATAGGATCCAAAATCAAATGGTCCTGTTTCTTGGCTAGAGCTACAAGGAAGCAAAGGGACTCTACAGAAGAAGGCACATCTTGGGAAGAGGAGAATAACTCCTGGGGCCAAGGGAAGCATAGAAGTATCAGAAAAAGCTGTCATGCCTGAAGAGCCATGTGGATAGGAATAAGGATGTCTCCATTGCAGGCTGCACAGAATCACAAATAAGGACCAGACAGAGGGACTGATATTTTAGAGGATGCCTGTGAGGATAGATGACATCAGGGATCATAAGGGACCTTCCCAATGCATTGGGACTGTTAATTAAGGTTAGGCACAAGCCTAAAGGTAAAATGTGAATCCTGAATTAGCCGCAATTAAATTTTTGACATCTATGTGAATGGGAACCTAAAATATCAATTATTATAACAGACCAATGGAACAGAGTAGAGAACCCAGAGAAACCAGATGCCAAGAACTTACACTGGGGAAAGGACAGTCTCTTAATAAATGGCGCTGAGAAACTGGATATCCATATACGGAAGAATAAAAATAGATCTCTGTCTTTCATCATATACAAAAATCAACCCAAAATGGATTAAAGATTTAAATGTGGCTGGGCACGGTGGCTCACACCTGGAATCCCAGCACTTTGGGAGGCCGAGGCAAGCGGATCACAAGGTCAGGAGTTCGCAACCAGCCTGGCCAACATGGTGAAACCCTGTCTGTACTACAAATACAAAAATAAGCTGGGCATGGTGGTGCACTGCACTGGTGCATAGCTGTAATCCCAGCTACTCTGGAGGCCGAGGCTGGAGAATTGCTGGAATCCAGGAGGCGGAGGTTGCAGTGAGCCGAGATCGCACCACTGCACTCCAGCCTGGGTGGCAGAGAAAGACTCTGTCTCCAAAAAAAAAAAAAAAACCCAACAAAGAAACAAACAAACAAAAAAAGATTTAAATGTAAGACCTGAAACTATAAAACTACTCAAGGAAAACATGGTAGAAATGCTCTAGGATATTGGTCTGGGCAAAGATTTTTGGGGGGTAAGACCTCAAAGATACAAGCAACCAAAGCAAAAACAGACAAATGGGATTACATTAAGCTAAAAAGCTTCTACACAACAAAGGAAACACTCAACAAAGTGAGGAAACAACTCACAGAGTGGGAGAAAATGTTTGCAAACTATCCATCTGACAAGGAATTAATAACCAAGATATATAAAGAACTAAAACAACTCAATACCAAAAAAAACAAATAATCTGATTTTAAAATGAGCAAAAGACCTGAACAGATATTTCTCAAAAAAGACAAACAAATTGCCAATAGCTATATGAAGAAATGCTCAGCACCACTAATCATCGGGGAAATGCAGATCAAAACCACAATAAGATATCATCTTACCTGAGTTAGAATGGCTATTATAAAAGAAAAAAAACGAAAGATAACAAATTCTGGAAAGGTTGTGTTGAAACAGGAAGACTTGTACACTGTGAAAATGTAAAGTAGTAGAGATATTATGGAAAACAGTATAGAGGTTCCTCAAAAAACTAAAAATAGGACTCCCATATGATCCAGCAATTCCATTGCTGAGGATATATCCAAAAGAAGGGAAATCAGTAAATTGAAGAGATATCTGCACTCACACGTTTATTGCAGCACTATTTGTAATACCCAAGATATAGAATCAACCTAAGTATTTGTCAACATATAAATGGATAAAGAACATGTGGTCTATATACACAATAGAATATTACTCAGCCATAAAAAAGAAATCTGACACTTTCAGCAACATGAATGGAACTGGAGGTCATTATAAGTGAAATAATCCAGGCACAGAAAAACAAATATCGAATGTTCTTACTCATATCTGGAAGCTAAAAAAAAATTTATCTCATGGAGGTAGAAAGTAGATTGGTAGTTACCAGAGGCTAGGAAGGGAAGGGAAGGGAGGAGGAGATGAAAAGAAGTTGGTTAAGGGGTACAAAAGTATAGTTAGATAAAATAAATGATTTAGTATTTGATAGTACAGTAGGTAAATTATAGCTAACAATTTATTATATATTTTTAAATAGCAAGAAAAGATTACTTGAAATGTTCCCAACACAAAGAAAAGATAAATGTTTGAGTTGATGGATACCCTAATCACCCTAATTTGATTATTATACATTGTATATAGGTATCAGATCATCATATGTACTCCCAAAATATAAACAATTATATATAAATAAAAATTTTAAAAGAAAAAGAAAAAAGTATGATTATAGAAAAATAAAGACAGTCTGGGTACAATGGCTCAAGTCTGCAATCTCAGCACTTTGGGAGGCCAAGGTGGGGCAGATCACCTGAGGTCGGGAGTTCAAGACCAACCTGGCCAACATGGCGAAACCCCGTCTCTATTAAAAATACAAAAATTAGCTGGGAGTGATGGTGGGCACCTGTAATCCCGCTACTTGGGAGGCTGAGGCAGGAGAATTGCTCGAACCCGGGAGGCAGGGATTGCAGTGAGCTGAGATCGCACCATTGTACTCGAGACTGGCTGAAAAGAGTGAAACTCTGTCTCAAAAAAAAAAAAGAAAAGGAAAGACATTTATTAAGCACAGCTGTTTCTATGAGCCAAGATTTGTAACTGAAACACCTGAGTGAATTCTCTGTGTTGCTACAAGCAGTTCATATTTGAAGTTAGGAAAAGTGGAAGCAGGAAGAACAGGAAGCAATCATTCCCAGGATGTTGGAGTCTGTTTTGAATCCTAATTACAGGACATGGGCAGAGCCTCACTAGGAATCTCATGGAAGTCATTGAGGCATGGCTGAAATCCAATTTCCAAAAAATGTATTTTGCCTACAATAAATAGATATCTTTTACAGTTTGTTCTTTTCTAAGGTTGTCAATGAAGCTCTACTGCAGAAGCTACACTTGGCTGGTCTAACATACCTCCAGCTTTCATCACTTGTATCCTGCCCCTAGAAAGCCTTTACAAGCTTCATCATGGCATTAGGAATCTGATCTCAGGAACCTTTCTGCCTTTGGTCATTGGTCCACCTCTGGTGTTCATTTTTCCCCAGGCAATAACATCAACAGGAAACCCAATGCTGAGATGATAGGATTTATATCCTGTTCTGAGATCCCCTGGCACCATCAGGAAAGCATATTTCTCTTAGGAATGTGATTCTTAAAAAGTTTTTGTAAGTTATGTCATAAGTTTCCCAATACTAGCTCTTTATGAAATCTTACAAACATTTGCCTAACAGATTAGAAAGTTATGTATTTATTTGAATTTCAATTAAATTAAATGGATTTAGGAAAAAGAAGAAAATGAAGATAGAGTAATTATAGAAGTCCCTGCGAAGCTGAGAACACAAATTCAATTGGAACTCAGCCAACTAAGGGGTGGAAGGGCTCATAAGACATCTTCCTAAGACATCTGCATTGCCTGGTATTGGACAGACTAAATCACATATTTCACACAGATCTTCCAAGTCACTCCCCCAAATTACCATCTTTTACCCCATTTTTCAAAATTGTAGTATGTTACTATATTAGTCAAAGTTTACCAAAGAAACAGAACCAATAGGATGTGTATATAGATAGATTGGATTGGCTCACATGATTGTGGAGGCTGGCAAGTCCAAAATCTGCAGGGTAGGCCAGCAGGCTAAAGACCCAGGCAGGAGTTGATGTTGCAGCTACAGTACCATGGCAGTTCGCTTCTTCTTCCTCTAAAGACCTAGAGGAAGAAAATGAAACTCTTCTCTCTCTTAAGGCTTTCAACTGATTGGGTGAGCCCCACCCACATCTGGATGGAGTAATCTAAACGTTAATTTCATCATTAGAAAAAAAATACCTTCGCAATTATGTTTAGACTGGTGTTTGACCAAACATCTGGGTAGCATAACCTAACTTAGTTGACACATAAAATTAACCATCACGGTTACTTTTTTTGCTTCTTTTCTTGTGTTTCCCAAGGATGGGATTGTGTGTACCCAACACTAACATGGTTTAAAAAGCCATTCATGGGATTTCCAGTTTCCAGTCTGGCATGTAAGAAGTCACCACTCTGCCCTAACAATAAGTGAAAATATGAACAAACTGAAAAATAACCAATTCTTCCTAGATTTGTAAAAGTTAGGTTAGAGGACAAAATGCTGTTGCTAAAGTGGGAGAGACCAACAGGTGAATAACCAGAACCACAACAGAGCAGAATCTGCCATAAGGAACCATCACTGGGTTAAGGAAACCTGAACTGTAACTGACAAGTTCCTGGAGGGTCAATGTGGACAAATCTGAGTGATAAAAACTCCAGGGGGACCTGTCATGGGGAAGGGGTGGAGGGTATGCTTTTCCAAGTTTTACCTCCAGGAGCCTCATCAAGTCTTCCCAGTGAACATCAGAGAAAAATTCCCTCATGATTACATCAAAGGCAGGGGAAAGAAACTATTCTGAAAACCATAAAAGCACTATGTTCTTCTGCTTTAGGTTCTGATAAAACCTGCTGGAACTCACCTGACGGAAGGAAAACATCCAATTCTATCTGACTCTGCCCTTCCGTGTGGAGGAACTACCCAACTCCAGTCCACTCTAGCCATCCTGCCCCACCTATGGGGGTGAGGTGGGGAGGTCTGAGAAGCACATGTGGAGTTCACAGTCCAGAGGCACAGGCTTACTAAAACACTGAGATCTAATCATAAGAGTATAGAATGCTTCCCTTCCTCCCACGCCTTACCAACACATTAATAAAGACCTAGTTACAGCAATTCCTTTTACCTGCTACATTTTTTTCAGCTATCAAGAAAAAAATGCAAGGCATACTAAAAAGCACAAACAGTTTGAAGAGACCGAGCAAGCAATGGAACAAGACTCAGATATGGCAGATATGTTGGAATTATCAGACCAGAAATTTAAAACAACTATGATTAATATGCTAAGGGCTCTAACAAATAAAGTAGACAGCATGCAAGAGGACATGGGGATTATAAGCAGAGAGATGGAAATTCTAAGAAAGACCCAAAAAGAAATGCTAGAAATAAAAAATACTGTAACAGAAATGAAGAATCCCTTTGACAGATTTATTAGTAGACTGGACACAGCTGAAAGGAATCCACAACTGGAGGATATCTCAATAGAAACCTCCAAAACTGAAAAGCAGAGAGAAAAAAAAAAAGACTGAGGGAAAAAATCCAAAACAGAATATCCAAGAACTGTGGGCCAACTGCAAAAGATGCAACATACACATAATGAGAATACCAGAGGAGAAGAAAAAGAGAAATGAACAGAAGAAATATGTGAATCAATGACTCAGAATTTCCCCCAAGTTAGTGTCAAACACCGTAACACAGATCCAGGAAGCTCAGAGAATACCAAGCAGAATAAATGCCAAAAATCTATACCCAAACATATCATTTTCAAACAACAGAAAATCAAAGATAATGAAAAAAAATCCTGAAAGAAGACAGAGGAAAAAGAATATCTTACCTATATAGGAACAAAGATAAGAATTACATTAGAATTCTCAGAAATTATGCAAGCAGGAAGAGAGAGAAGAAATATTTAAAGTGTTCAGAAAGAGAGAGAGAAAAAAAACTAGCCAAGAATTCTTTACCTTAGGAAATTATCCTTCAAAAGTGAAGGAGAAATAAAGCCTTTTTTGAACAAACAAAACTTGGTGAAATTTTTTGCCACTACACCTGCTTTGCAAGAAATGTTAAAGAAGTTCTTTAGAGAGGAAGAAAATTATATAGATCAGAAACTTAGATCTACATAAAGAAAGGAACAGCATGGGAGAAGGGATAAATGAAAGTAAGATAAAACCTTTTATTATACATATTTTTAATTGATCTAACAGATAACAGTTTGCTCAAAAAATGGTATAGCAATGTATTTGATTATGTATGCACATATATATGCTTATGTATGTTTATATATAAGTGGAACGAATAACAGCAATGATATAAGGATCAGAAGGAGGAACTGGGATTATTTTGTTATTATAAGGTGCTGACACTGCCCATGAAGTCATATAGTCTCATTTATTTATTTATTTACTTATTTATTTATTTATTTTTTGAGACAGAGTCTCGCTCTGTCGCCCAGGCTGGAGCGCAGTGGCGCGATCTCAGCTCACTGCAAGCTCCACCTCCCGGGTTCACGCCATTCTCCTGCCTCAGCCTCCGGAGTAGCTGGGACTACAGGCGCCCGCCACCACGACTGGCTAATTTTTTGTATTTTTAGTAGAGACGGGGTTTCACCGTGTAAGCCAGGATGGTCTTGATCTCCTGACCTCATGATCCACCCGCCTCGGCCTCCCAAAGTGCTGGGATTACAGGCGTGAGCCACTGCTCCCGGCCATATAGTCTCATTTAAAAGCAGACTTAGATTAGTTGTAAATGTATATTGCACACTGTAGGATGCCAATAAAAAAAGTTTAAAAGGCAGTATAACTGATATGCTAAGAAACGAGAGAAGATCCAATCATATAAAATGCTCAACAAAAACCACAAAAGGCAGAAAAGAGTGAAAGACAAAAATAGGAACACAGAAAAGGGCAACAAACAGAAAACAGTAACAAATATGGTAGATATTAATCCATATATAAAATAATCACTTAAAACATCAATGGCCTAAATGCACCAATTAAAAAACACAGATTGTCACAGTAGATCAAAAAACAAGACCCACCTATACATTGTCTATTAGAAATCACCTTTTTTTTTCTTGAGACAGGTTCTTGTTCTGTGGCCCAGTCTGAAGTGCAGTGGCACTATCACGGCTCACTGCAGCCTCAAACTTTTGGGCTCAAGCGGTCCTCCTGCCTCAGCCACCCAAGTAGCTGGGATTACAGGCATGCGCCGCCACACCCAGCTAATTTTTTTTTTAAATTTTTTGTAGAGACAGGGTCTCACTATGTTGCCTAGGCTGGTCTCCAACTCCTGGGTTCACGCAATCCCCACCCTCAGCCTTGCGAAGTGCTGGGATTACAGGTATGAGATACTGCATCTGGCCAAGAAACCCACTTTAAATATAAAGACACAAAAAGATTAAAAGCAAAGGGATGAAGCATGTCAAACCCAACTATGTATAAAAAGAACTATATACCACAAACAAGTGGGATTCATCCCAGATATGCAAGGCTGGTTCAACATTAAAAAAAAAAACTCTTGAAACTTAACAATAAGAAAACAACAGCCAATTAAAATATGAGCCAAAGACCTTAACAGATACCTCACCAAAGAAGATATACAGGTGGTGAAGGAGCATATAAAAAGATGCCCTGCATCTTATGTCATCTAGGAAATTAAAATCAAAACAGTGATGAGATACCATTACAAATGATGAGATACATTTGGCCATTAGAATGGCCAAAATCCAAAACACTGACAACACCAAATGCTGGTGAGGATGTGGAGCAACAAGCACTCTCACTTACTGCTGGTAGGAAAGCAAAATGGTACAGCCACTTTGGAAGACAGTTTGGCAGTTTTTTACAAAACTAAACATAGCCTTATTATGCTCTGGTTTCTTGTCAGAGCATACAAATCTTTCACCTCTTAAATATATCCTTACCATATCATCCAACATTTGTGTTCCTTGGTATTTACCCAAAGGAGTTGGAAACTTATGGCCACACAAAAACCTGCACATGAATGTTTATAGCAGCTTTATTCCTAATTGCCAAAACTTGGAAGTGACCAATATGTACTTCAGTAGGTGAGTGGATAAACTGTGTTACCTCCAGACAATGGAATGTTATTCTGCCCTAAAAAGTAATGAGCTAGCAGGCTATGAAAAGCCATGGAGGAAACTGAAGTGTATGTTACTGAGTGAAAGAAGCCAATCTGAAAAGACTATGCACTGTGTGATTCCAACTATATGGCATTCTGGAAAGGGCTAAATTAAGAAAACAGTGACAAGTTCAGTGATTGCCAAGGGACAGAGAACAGGAAGGGATGAGTAGGCAGAGCATAAAGCATTTTTAAAAGAGTAAAGCTATTCTGTGCATTACAGTTGTGGATTCATGTCAGTATACATTTGTCAAAATAAAACATACAGCACCAACACTGAACCCTAATGTAAATTATGAACTCTGGGTGAGAACAATGTGTCAATGTAGGTTCATTAGTTGTAACAAACGTACCACGCTTGTTGGGGATGTTGATGTGGGGAAGCCATGCATGTGTGGGGGGAAGGATATATGAGATATTTCTGTACCCTCCAGCCAACTTTGCCATGAACCTAAAATAAGTAGTCTCTAAAAAATAAAGTCCAAGAAAAAAAATTAATCCAAGAAATAAAAACCAATCAATATTTTAACAAAAACACGTAAGCTGAGAGTATCAGGTGTACATGTTATAGGCCCTGATACAGGATCACCAAGATTCAATTAATCAAGTTTAACCACTAGCAGGTGGCATCTTCTGTGCACCCAACACTGTGCATCATCTTGCTTCTCCTCTACTGCATTGACTTTTTGTTTTGTTTTACAGTGTGTGCCTTCTGAGAAAACTACTAGAATAACAAACATTTTCCAAAGGATGTAAATGACACTACCTGCAATGCAACAACAAAAAGTAAACAGGGTCACACACTTACTACAAGACTACACTGTTGCCTTGGAGACTCCGCTACAATGTGTTCCTGAAGTGGGAGGGGGTCCATGGCATTGTTTAAGCATTCGCTGTGCCTCGCAGTAGAAAACATCCTGCACAAAAGCAAAAAAAAAAAACTTGTCACACACCCATGGGTAGATGAGTGGATGGAGAGCACATCTCCTGTGCTCAAGTTGACTTCAAAGAGAAATGTAGTTGAAAAAGCTGAAATAGCCTTTTAGGTAATTGTGGCTGTTCTGCTTAAGTACTACACCCAAACTCAATAAGCTGTAGTTTCTTAAACCACATCAGTGAACTTTTCATATTCTGTTATTTTTAAGTCCATTTCATATGCTGTTATATTCAAATCTATTGGTCTATCTTACATTTGAATGGATCCTTTACCTATGCATGATTTTCTAACATCATTCATCTTTTAGAAAATCTAGGCTCACTGAGTTATGCAGATCTTACAAATGTTGACACATTTAGTTATACTTTATCAGATAAATCACTTTGTTAATGTCACCACCAATTTCATCAGAAAACTTTAGATGTATCTGGGAAACTGTCAAGTTCATAGTAGCAGATACAAGTTTCCAAAATTCCAACTTTCTCTTGAAAGCTTAATTTTTTTCATTGCCAATAAATACCATCAATTGATTTTCTTGTTGTTTTAGGCTCACTCCATTCACTTTCTTTTCTTTTCTTTTCTTTTCTTTTTTTTTTGAGACAGAGTCTCCCTCTGTTGCCCAGGCTGGAGTGCAGTGGTGTGATCTCGGTTCACTGCAACCTCTGCCTCCCAGGTTCAAGCGATTCTCCTGCCTCAGCCTCCTGAGTAGCTGGGATTACAGGTGTGTGCCACCATGCCCGGCTAATCTTTGCACTTTTAGTAGGGACAGGGTTTCACCATGTTGGTCAGGCTGGTCTCAAACTCCCGACCTTGTGATCCGCCCGCCTCAGCCTCCCAAAGTGCTGGGATTACAGGCGTGAGCCACTGCACCCAGCCTCCATTCACTTTCGAGTACATTTCTGAGAAATGCCTGATAACCAAAGTTTGTCTGTCAGTTGTTCTTCAAGTAAATATAGTGTGCCATGAAAAAGGCATCTTCTCCACAACTCAATCACACAAATGCTTTTCTTCCAAATGTGTACTTCACATTTTGTCATGCAGAATATTAAAAAGATGTGTACTCAAGGGTCTAGATTTAATAAAATTAATTTTTATAGCATCATCTGGGCATTTTAAAGTGAGACTTTTGTTATTATTGTTTTTACTATAAGTGCACAGTGATGAAAAATACAATGACTACCATTATCACTGCTTTTGCACCAAGGTACAGTTGTCAACGTAGTTTTTTTTTTTTTAAGACAAAAAGAGTCAGTATTATTGTAAAAATAGTTTTGACCTGTGGACTCTGAGAGAGTCTCAAGGACACTCAAGAGTCTATGGACCACACCTTGAAACTGTTGCCTCATGGTGATGGGAAGATAGAGCTGCACTAAAAAAGACTGGGGTTTGAACCCTTAGCTGAGAAGTTCAGCTTTGCATTAGCTAACTTTTTTTCTTCTGTATAGATGGGGTCTCCCTATATTGCCCAAGCTGGTCTTGAACTCCTGTGCTCAAGCAATCCTCCCACCTCGGCCTCCCAAAGTTCTGGGATTATAGGCCTAAGCCTATAATCCCTAAGCTGGGATTATAGGCCTAAGCCACTGTGCCTAGCCTCAACTTTCTTATGTATAAAATAGAAGTAATAAAAGGACAGGATTAGCATATTAAAAATTATATATGTAAAGTAAGTGCCTGAAAATTAGAACAAACACTACAATATGGACCAGAGACATGTATGTAAGGAAGTTCATGCAAAAGGGAATTTTTAGAGAAAACTAAAGTGTTCTTTAATTAACATATTCATGCATTCATTCAAAATATTTATGGAGAACCACATCCTGGCGTTGTGCTAGATACTGGGGACATAGAAACAATTGACATGATCCCTGCTTTTAAATAGTTTACAGGGGGCACAAGCATTTAAGTAGACTGTAAGGGCTTCGTCTGATCAGTTATAAGAAAGGTATCCACCAAGTGCTAAGGTCAAGCAGTGAAATACTTGCTCATAGTCTATGTCTGGACCTTGGAAGCCAATTTAAAAGGGAGGATGGACTCTTGGGTCAGTCCAAGTAGAGAAGAGAACAGAGAGCCTAGTTTTGGCAAGGTTTACTGAGTCACCAAAGGGCCTGATGGGCTGAGAGGGAGAGAGGGAGCTGCACCATTCTGAACTGCAAACTCTGCCCTTGGATGGGGAAGTGGGTCAAGGCGAGATTTTCACGTGTACTGGGTTTTCAGATCCCCACCATGGTGGTGAGAAGAAGCTGCTTCCCCTACATATGCACTGTGGGAACCCTAGGATCTATGATAATACTCAGCTGTTCAATGACTGAGGACTTCTGCTTTGACAGCTGCTGCATGTGGTGGGCCTTGATTGTTGACTTTGCTCCATGTGGCCAGAAGGGCCAGGTGAGCATGGAGTGGGTGAGACGTGACTCATTGCAGGTTTTGGTTAGAGTAAAAGGGAAAGAAAAACATTTGCTTCCCAGTTCAAATGTCTTAATTTAAGCCACAGGTAAGTGTTTCCATGGAGTCAGCTACCAGATGAGAGTTCTGAAGGGGTATGCCAGGGCCCAGAACACGAAAGAACACCACCATACAGACACAGAATATTAGGTTATCATTTTTTTATGACAAAACAGACAGGAAGTACAAGCTGCTGTTCTATCTTCATCTGAGAGAGGAAAGAAGAAAAACAAAGAGAAATAATGAACAAGCTTAGAAATCATAACTACACTTACATGTGGGATAGGCAATTTTACCATCAGTATTAGACATTTCAGATCTGAGGACCAGAAGCCAAGAATAACCACCAGTTTTCACAAATTGGCCCAAAAACTGCATAGTGCAATGACTTGATTTGCTCCAATTATGCTAGAAACATCTGAGGATGGCTTTATCATACACAATCCTTTGCACTAATGTAGATATTTCTCACTATGAGGTTATGAACAAGGGGAGAATTTGAAAAGGGGGGTAAGTTACACATTCATACCTTCATTGCGTGGGCTCATTACTAAATGGATGGATGGATGGATGGATGGATGGATGGATGGATGGATGGATGAGTGGATGAGTGAATGTGTGGATGGGTGGATGGATGGATGGATGAGTGGATGGGTAGATGGGTGGATGGATGGATGGATGAGTGGATGGGTAGATGGGTGGATGGATGGATGGATGAGTGGATGGGTAGATGGGTGGATGGATGGGTGGGTGGATGGATGGATGGATGGATGGATGGATGGATGGATAGATGGATGGATATATGAGTGAATGGGTAGATGGATGGATGGATGGATGGATGGATGGATGGATGGATGGATGAGTGGATGGGTAGATGGGTAGATGGATGGGTGGATGGGTAGATAGGTGGGTGGATGGATGGATGGATGGATGGGAAGGTGGGTTAGTGGGTGGTTTGCTGTGAAGTATGAACTTTAGAGTACATAAATTTTAGAATGAAATTAAAAGCTTCCAAGGTAGGGTGGCTCAGGAGAGCTTTCTGGGGGCCATTTGGTGAGAGAATAGAAAGCAGACTTGAGAGTCATAATCTCGGCCTAGAACAGGAGATTAGAAATCCTATGAAAATTTCTAACACTCTATATCAGTGAAGCCACTTACTTTTTGTTCCATTTATACTACATCAGGAGAATTCAAGACAGTGTCTTTGAGGGCTGAGAGATCCATAGACTCTGCTTCAGGATCTCTGAGGCTAGAGAGTCATATGGTATCTATAATCCTCTTGCCATAATAATTCATTAACATGGGGGCATTCTTCACCTCTGTTGATCTTAATTTGGGGCCCACAGCCATGGATAGAAATCACAGGTTCTGAGACTGAGAAATAAAAAAAAAATTACACCTTAATTTCATTAGCTTGTAATTAAAATGTGGCATTTCTCTCCATTGTGAAAATAGACATCTACATCCTTACCACCCTGAATCCACCCAATCTCGTCTGATTTCAAAAGCTAAAAAGGGTCAGTCCCAGTTAGTATTTGGATGAGAGCCAGCCCGGGAATATTGGGTGCTGTAGGCTTTAAAAAAAGATAGATAGATACATAGATACATAGATACATAGATACATAGATACATAAATAGAAATTTTAAAAAGAAAATAGGCAACAAGTCATAGTCACGGTATAAGTACCTATGACTTTGTCATCAATAGAAACATCAAATATTTTCATATCAGGTCACATTAAGGTCCTGTATCTCAAAATATCATTTGTACTCATTGCTACTTTGAAATTACTATAGTTCTTAGGCCCACAGCTAGATCTTGTCATTTAATAGCTTAAAAAAAGAAACGTGTGTATTACTATATCACAAATTTATTCTTTTTCCTAACAGTATCTCAATAAGAATTGATTTCCTTTGTAATCCTATGTATATTTTATTTTGCACATTTAAAACATTATTCTGAGGAGGAATCCATGAGCTTCATTAGACTAACAAGTCCATGGCTCAAAAATGTTAGAATGGGAGCTGCCTCTTTCAATTGTCCCCGCTGTCCCTGCATAGACATTGCCCTGAATTCTCATGAAGGGATAGGCAGATTTTTCATGACATTTCCAGGAAGCAGCCCAAACCATCAAGTCAGGGGACTGTCAGCAAGCTGTTTTATCCATTAGGAACCATAGAAACAGGGCCCAGGGCCAATGAGCTTGAACAATGCTGTCTACAAACATGCTTGAGACAGACCTAGGGGGAAAAATTATTTGCTCCTACCTAAAAATAAAGCTACAGATGTGAAATCAATAAATGTCTAATTAAACATTCTACCAAATATGTCAAACTCATCTGTCATTAAATTTAATATTCATAAATATTTTTGCATAAAAAAATGACATGTCAGATTTTCTCACTTTGCAAGAAGCCTCAAGTAAACATGATTATGAAGAAAGACTATAAAGATTAAAAGTTACTCATAGCCAAATATTTTCAGAGGCAGAATTATAAAAATATGCCCAATATTTTATGGGAAGAAGAATCTATTTATGTGATGTGGAATGCCTGCATTTTAATATGTTTGATGGGGTGTAAGGTGGGCTTCAAAACAAGATGGGAAGGGGGTTAAGTCTTCCTAGGTTGCAAAACCATGACGACTATAAGTTGTGACTTGTCCTCTCGGCTCCCGTGAGGAGCACAGCCTCAGAGTTTAGGACTTGGGAAGACTTCCAGCATTGACATCCCTTTCCCCTTCCTCCCATGGGCTTCCCAATCCTCCCGCTGCCCTCTCTAAGCCCTCACTTTCAGCCTCACTGCCCTCTCCTGGGCATCTCACTCTCTGAAAAAAGTAAAGAAGACCCAGTTTAGTGAAAAAAGCCGGGCATGGTGGCTCGCTCCTGTAATCCCAGCACTTCGGGAGGCCGAGGTGGGAAGATCGCTTGAGCCCAGGAGTTCAAGACCTGTCTGGGGAACATAGCGAGATCCCATCTCTACATATCAAAAATTAAAAATTAAAAGAAATGAAGAAAAAAATTGAAAAATATTTGAAATTTGATACATTTATTTAAAGGCACCAAAGACAGGGAAAAATCAAAACGTTGATGTTCTTCCTCACGCTTACACTAAAATGTAAGATCTGTGCAAACAAAATTGTCCCAAAGCCTAGATTTGGAAAGAACTTCTTCCTGGGAAGAAATTGACATCCTGATAAAACTCATAAGCCATTTTCTAAGGAGGTTTGTTTGTTTTTTTGTTTGAGACCAAGTCTCACTCTTTTGCCTAGGCTGGAGTACAGTGGTGCGATCTCGGCTCACTGCAACCTCCGCCTCCCGGATTCAAGTGATTCTCCTGCCTCAGCATCCCAAGTAGCTGGGATTACAGGCACCCGCCACCACACTTAGCTATTTTTTCGTGTGTGTGTGTGTGTGTGTGTGTGTGTGTGTGTGTGTGTGGTTTTAGCAGAGACAGGGTTTCACCATGTTGGCCAGGCTGGTCTGGAACTCCTGACAGGTGATCCACCTGCCTCGGCCTCCCAAAGTGCTGGGATTACGGGTGTGAGCCACTGCACCCAGCCCTGAGGAGGTTTAATAGGACTAAGATTTGTTCTGGAAATCTAGTTCCCTGCCCCCTGTGTTACTGTCAGCTGCTTTTGACCAACTTGTAAAATTTCTGTATTTACTCTAACAAGGATTATATAAATATTCTCTTTTTCTATAAAATACTCCTACTGAGCATAAATCTTTCAATTTGCCTCCCAAAGGCCTTTCCCTATTTATGCAACGTTGTCATAAATTTTATCTGTTTATGATTGAATTGTCTGAGAAGTTTAGCATGTCTATTGTTCTTGTTTTCAAATAAGGGGTTAGGCAATATGTTCTTTCGGAAATGTAAGTCTAAGCATGGTGGCTTCTGTACCGGTGAATTGCTTTATAAGCATATATTACATTTCTAGAAGAATTTCTTTAAAGAGTGTAGGCAAAGGAATTTGGTTTAATCACATTTCTCACATAGTTTTGTTAAGGTACAATACTATTACAATATAATATTTTAGAAGCTCATATTATGACCCTCATGCAAATATAAAATGTATGTATGTCAAAGATTGTATTCAATTAATCAAGAAAGAAACCAGTAAGATGTAAGAACCAGTTTAAGAGAAAATTTGAACAACAGTCATATATAGAGAGGCAATTAGGAATGCTGAAATGCATATGCTAATGGTTGTAAAACTTATTAATATTACGTAAGAAAATGAAATGTAGCATTTGGGGTTATCTTTCTACACGGCAGAAATCAATTATATCTCTACCCAACAAAAGCATTTGCGTTTCTGTTGACAAGAATTGTTTGCCATGACTACCAGTTTCCTGCAAGTTCAATTCTGCCCTAGTCATTAGGAGACAATCAAAGGTACACATCCCTATAAAATCAGATAACATTCTCTGGACAGTGCACAGAACTCCACTGAAAGGTTACCGTGCATTCTGTTTAGCCAATTTTTAAGTCTTGGACAAATTTTCTTGATAATACATCATTTTATCAACAATTTTACCTTATCAAAAACCAACGCACAGAACAAATTAATGGTAAGGGCTACACAAATTATTGAACAATTGCTAGCTCCTCCATTTTCCTCTTTCTGACTTTATAACAATAAAATGATACTTTATAAAATTATTTATAATTATAGTAGTTTCAATCTAAATCCCTTTTTTGTTTTGAAGAAGGAGAAATGTGAAAAAGGAGATTCTAGCACTCACTCGGAAAAGTAAGCATCTGAAAATAGTCAAGAAAATTTGAAAAAAAAAATTGACTGATATAGCTAGGCACGGTGGCTCACATCTGTAATCCCAGTACTCTAGGAGGCCAAGGCAGGTGGATCACTTGAGGTCAGGATTTCGAGAGCAGCTTGGCCAACATGGTGAAACCCTGTCTCTACTAAAAATATAAAAATTAGCCAGGCATGGTGGTGTGTGCCTGTAATCCCAGCTACTCGAGAGGCTGAGGCACAAGAATCACTTGAACCTGGGAAGTGGAGGTTGCAGTGAACTGAGATCATGCCACTGCACTCCAGCCTGGGCAACAGAGTGAGACTCAGAAAAAAAAAAAAAAAGAAAAAAATTGAAAAAAAAGTCTCAAAAAAGAAAAAAAAATTGACAGATGGGGTGGTGGATATTAGTAGCTATGCAGGAAAAAGGTGGAGAGGCTTGCCTTCCCTCACATTAGATATTAAAAGTCATTTGAAATTTATAATAATAAAAATAGTAACAACACAAGAATGGATATATTAATAGAATATTAAATAATATAAGGCCCCAAACGAGACCCAAATGTAAGAATCTACCACATGCTGGAGGTGACACTGAAAATCAGTAGAGAAATGATGGGTTGTCAACAGATGACATTGGGACATCTAGATCCTTCATTATTTCAAAAAAATTAAAAGACCAGGGTATTAAACCATCAACTGGAGTAAGCTGGATGGAGATGAGAGAAGAAATTCAGACATTTTAGACAGAGGGCACCCAGAGCAAAGGAATCACAGTAAAGAAAGAGTTGCTGCATGCATGAATGAAACAATGGATTCAGACAAAGAACCCAATCAATGCCCAGCAGAGAAATGTTGAGAGATGAGGGGGACAGAGCGGTCAGGAGCCAGCCATGTCAGCTGAGGATGCCATTCGAAAGAGGCTTGAACTTGATCCTAAAAAAGATGGGAAGCCTCTGTAGTTTTTAAGTAGGAAACTCTCATGATCAGGTGTTCCTTTTAGGTTGATTACTCTGCTGCCTGTTTAGCAAATGGGTTCCAAAAGGTTAAGATAGTGATATGGTTTGGCTGTGCCCCCACCCAAATCTCATCTTGAATTGTAGTTCCCATAATTCCCCACGTGCTGTGGGAGGGACCAGGTGGAGATAATTGAATCATGGGGGCAGTTTCCCCAATCCTGTTCTCATACTAGTCAGTGAGTTCTCGCAAGAGCTGATGGTTATATAAGGGGCTTCCCCCTTCACTAGGTACTCATTTCTCTCTCCTGCTGCCGCGTGGAAAAGGACGTATTTGCTTCCCTTTCTGCTATGATTGTAAGTTTCCTGAGGCCTCCCAAGCCCTCTGGAACTGTGAGTCAATTCAACTTCTTTCCTTTATAAATTGCCCATTCTCGGGCAGTTCTTTATAGCAGCATAAGAACAGACTAATATAGATGGGATGCAGAGACCATTTAGGATAGTTACATAAGAAGGAGGTTCCAGAAATATCTAGGAATAGGAGCCAGATTGTAAAAGTTTCAGGGAGGAATTGATGGAAAGAAAAGAGTGTTGTCAGCACTATCCTCACGATTTAGGATTTGGGGAGTGAGAGAAAGGAGAAAGGTAGGGTGGTAACTAAGGGAGCAGCAGGTTCTAACAAAGCTTAGACCTAGCCTTGGCATGCTGGCAGCAAAGCAGGAGCCAGTGGAGACAGGGGAGAGGAGAAGATGAGAGGGAGGCCTGGGGAGAGTGGGGAGGAGTGGGGCAGGGAAGGGTTGGGGCACAGCCAAGACCCATCTATTTAACTTTACGAAAAGGAGAAAGGGGCTAACTTGGGGAATGGGCTAGTGTCATGCACTAAGCAGGCCTCATACTCAGCACTCATGTTCTTGTCTTTACCAGTTTTTGGAAACTGATTCTAAAAGGATAATATGCCTAATAAAAAGAACAAATCAACTTATTGCTCTAGAAAGCTCATAATCATCCATTTAACTTATTTCCTTTACCTGTTTTATGCCAGTGTTGTTCTCAATCCTGGGGATGAGGCAGTAAACTAAACAGATAAAGCCCCTGCCCTCGTGGAGCTTACATTCCCGTGGGAGAGAAGACAATTACCAATTACCACGGAACACAATTTCAGGGAGTCATAAGTGCGGTGAAGAAATAGAACTCAAGCAAAGGAGGTAGCAAGGCTGAGGAGGGGAGCTATTTTATACGATGTGGTCAGAGGAGGAATCTCCAGTCAGATGACATTTTTCTTAGACCAGAAGAGCATAATTTAGTGAATGGTGGGCATAGTAATCAAAGTTCAGGATTAGCCTCAGGTCTACCTGAGACATGACTTCTATTCGTAAGTCCCTATTAAATGTTTCTTTCTGAGAGGGGGAAAAAAAAAAGGACCTTTCAGGATTAATGATCCTGTAAAACACAACCTTCTAAGAACATAAATAAATAAAAGAAATCCAGGCTAGTTATCAATTATGCAGTGGCATTTCCCAACTAAAGATTTATTTGGGCCTCAAATCAACCTTCCCTTAATCCAAAATCTGACTTGTCTCATTATAAACTGTGACTTAACATTTATTTCTGGTTCTAAAATCAGAATTTTGGAGAACTGAAGGATACAGTTGGTATTATAATATTTCAATTTCTGATAAGTTTCCATGAAAAACAATGGGACAAACTAAGAAAAGCCTGAAACAAATGGCTGGGATGTCTAAAATGTTTTAAATCTCTTTGTAATTTAATTGTTGATCAAACATGGTGCTGTGTGTCTTCAAGTGCCGAGCACTGACCTGGGCACCAAGGGTACAAGTTTTTTTGTTTTTTTTGTTTTGTTTTGTTTTGTTTTATTATTATACTTTAAGTTCTAGGGTACATGTGCACAACGTGCAGGTTTGTTACATATGTATACATGTGCCATGTTGGTGTGCTGCACCCATTAACTCGTCATTTAGCATTAGGTATATCTCCTAATGCTATCCCTCCCCCCTCCCCCCACCCCATAACAGGCCCCGGTGTGTGATGTCCCCCTTCCTGTGTCCAAGTGTTCTCATTGTTCAATTCCCACCTATGAGTGAGAACATGTGATATTTGGTTTTTTGTCCTTGCGATAGTTTGCTGAGAATGATGGTTTCCAGCTTCATCCGTGTCCCTACAAAGGACATGAACTCATCCTTTTTTATGGCTGCATAGTATTCCATGGTGTATATGTGCCACATTTTCTGAATCCAGTCTATCATTGATGGACATTTGGGTTGGTTCCAGGTCTTTGCTATTGTGAATAGTGCCGCAATAAACATACGTGTGCATGTGTCTTTATAGCAGCATGATTTATAATCTTTTGGGTATATACCCTGTAATGGGATGGCTGGGTCAAATGGTATTTCTAGTTCTAGATCCCTGAGGAATCGCCACACTGTCTTCCACAATGGTTGAACTAGTTTACAGTCCCACCAACAGTGTAAAAGTAAAAGTGTTCCTTTTTCTCCACATCCTCTCCAGCACCTGTTGTTTCCTGACTTTTTAATGATTGCCATTCCAACAGGTGTGAGATTGTATCTCACTGTGGTTTTGATTTGCATTTCTCTGATGGCCAGTGATGATGAGCATTTTTTCATGTGTCTGTTGGATGCATAAATGTCGTCTTTTGAGAAGTGTTTCTTCATACCCTTCACCCATTTGTTGATGGGGTTGTTTGTTTTTTTCTTGTAAATTTGTTTGAGTTCTTTGTAGATTCTGGATATTAGCCTTTTGTCAGATGAGTAGATTGCAAAAATTTTCTCCCATTCTGTGGGTTGCCTGTTCACTCTGATGGTAGTTTCTTTTGCTGTGCAGAAGCTCTTTAGTTTAATTAGATCCCATTTGTCAATTTTGTCTTTTGTTGCCATTGCTTTTGGTGTTTTAGACATGAAGTCCTTGCCCAGGCCAAGGGTACAAGTTTTTAACAGCCCTGTCCTTTAAGATCCCACTGCCAGGCTGGGTGCGGGACACACATCTGTAATCCCAGCAATTTGGGAGGCCAAGGCATGGTGCATCACTTGAGGTCAGGAGTTCAAGATTAGCCTGGCCAACATGGTGAAACCCCATCTCCACTAAAAATATAAAAATTAGCTGGGTGTGGTGGCGCACATCTGTAATCCCAGCTACTCTGGGGGCTGAGGCAGGAGAATTGCTTGAACCCTGGAGGCAGAGGTTGCAGTGAGCCGAGATCATAGCACTGCACTCTAGCCTGGGTGACAGAGTGAGATTCTGTCTCAAAAACAAAAACCACTGCAAAAAATCAAGATCCCACTGCCAAAAGGCCAAAAGGGATGGCTGTTGGAAAATTAATTACATCAAGATGGCTACAACAGAACATGGCCAAAGTATTTGAGAATAAAACATCAGAGGAAGTAGCATCTCGGAGAAAATCTGCTGTAACTTTTCCAATTGCTCTGTAAAGAAGATACTTCTCAATCTCTTTCTTAATCATCCATTATGCTGAATTTGGCTCTATTGAATATTTCTTCATTTTAGAAACTCTTTATGTCCTATTTACCCTGAAACCTCTCTCCCTTTTTCTCGAACCTTGCTGAATTCAGCCAGATTGGCAAACATGCCATATTCTTTTTATGATCTCAGTAGCTAGCAAGATACCTGACATATGGTAGGTACTCAACAAATATTTGCTGAACTAAACCAAACCAGGTCATGCCTTGACAAAGCTCCAAGAATTCTTACTCAGGTTCTTCCTCTGCCAGACCCTTGCCACATCTTCCCACACTACATTCATTCACTCAGTAAATATATGTGGAATGGCTATTAAGTGCCAAGATCTGTTCTGATAAGATAGAAATGTACAGAAAAGGCTTCTTTCCATACAAGAAACTAGGGAAGCAGAGTTAAAATAGCTACCTTGGTATTAAAAAAAAATTCTGGCTGAGCACAGTGGCTCATGCCTGTAATCCCAACACTTTGGGAGGCTGACATGGGTGGATCACTTGAGGCCAGGAGTTCAAAACCAGCCTGGCCAACATGGTGAAATCCCATCTCTACTAAAAATACAAAATTAGCCAGTGGCACACACCTGTAATCCCAGCTACTTGGGAGGCCGAGGCATGAGAATTGCTTGAACTGAGGAGGTGGGAGTTGCAGTGACCTGAGATGGCACTATTTGCACTCCAGCCTGGGTGAGAGAATGAGAGTCTGTCTCAAAAAATAAATAAATATAATAAACAATTTTAATATATATAGAGGCTACCATAAAGGAGCTACTCTACATACTCATTTTTTGAGATCAAATTTACTTGATAAACTTAATTTTATGATTACATAAAAGGGCAAAAAAAAATCTTTTCTGAGAGCCAAGGATACAGCAAAACAGGCAAAAATCCCTGCCTTGATAGAATTTACATTTCAAAGTAGGACACAGATAACTAAAATATAGAGCATGGGAGAAGGTGCTAAGAGATGTGGGGGAAAAAATAGGTTTATTAGGATTTGACCAGAGAAACAAGACCATTAAGAGGTATTCACAGTGGTGGGCTGGAGCTGGCTAGTACTGGCCTGAGAGAGCTATCAGCATCTTCTCTCTTCTCCCCATTCAGTGATGTCACATTGGTGGCTTGAAATTGGCCATGGTAAGAATATTTATACCAGGAAAATTGGCAAATGCTACAAATTAGGGTTTTTTTTTTCTTTTTCCAGAAAGCTGGTTGTTAAACATTTATCCGCATACCACAAACATAAACATGTGTAATGGCTTATTATAAGGACTTATTGTAGGGATTTGCCTACATGCAAATGTGGGGGCTGGTTAAACAGTCTATATGGAGGCTATTGCTTCTGTGTCAGGCACTAGTGCCTGAAATCAATAGGGCAGGTAGTCAAGAAAGGAAGATGGGCTGGGCGCGGTGGCTCACGCCTGTAATCCCAACACTTTGGGAGGCCAAGACGGGTGGATCACGAGGTCAGGAGATCGAGACCATCCCAGCTAACATGGTGAAACCCCGTCACTACTAAAAATACAAAAAACTAGCCAGGCATAGTGGCGGGTGCCTGTAATCCCAGCTACTCGGGAGGCTGAGGCAGGAGAATGGCGTGAACCCGGGAGGTGGAGCCTGCAGTGAGCCGAGATCGCGCCACTGCACTCCAGCCTGGGCGACAGAGCTAGACTCCATCTCCAAAAAAAAAAAGGAAGATGGTAATGAAGTAAGGGAAGCAAGATGGAACCTACACAGCTGAGCTGTAAACCAAGAGGATTGACTGGACTTCTTATGGCTCTCTCACCGTCTCTAAGCCTCCAATTTTGGTGATATGGAGGGTGGGAGGAGGCGTATTGAGGGAGAAGCTGGCCTCCTTCACCATGGAGCTAAACACATCTCTCACCTAACAGTCTGAAAAACTAAAGGAAGATCCAGCTAGAGCTAGAGGAGTGGTCAAGGGTCCAGCCACTGCCCTGTGCCAATCAGGCGAGCCAACAGGTAGCAACAATGCACTGAGCTGCACTAGTCTTCTAAGTGTAAAACAAGATGGTGGTTCCTTCAATTCTGCCTTCTAAGCATGTGAGACACATATCTGTGGCCCATGTGACTTCAGAGCTCTCCAGGGAAGAGAATCTGGGAATGATAACTCCAGCTCAGCTAAGTTAGCACAATATTCATCCACCATGGTTAAGAGAGGGAATAAAGAGTGTCGGGGGAAGGGTAGAAATATTCAATAGGATTGTCAGGGAAGGATTTAACAAGGAGGTGACATCTGAGTAATGATATGAAGGAAGTGAGGGGGCAAGCTCTGGGGATTTTTATGGGAAGAGAGTTCCAGCCATAGGAGATGGCAAATACAAGGCCTTGAGTTGTGAACACAACCAACATGTTCAAACAGCAGCAGGGATAACAGTGTGGCTGGAGGGAGCAAATGAAGAGAGTAGCAAGAGGGGAGGTCAATTTGTTTGAGTGCAGTAGAGAGAGGGAAGGGCTTGTAGGACATTCCAAGACTTTGGCTCCTACTCACTGTGGCATAAGGATCCACTGGATGATTTTCGAGCAGGGGAATAACAAGATCAAATGAGTCTTAGCAGGATTATTCTGGCGGCTCTATTGGGAATACACTGAAAGATTGACAAATGCAGATTATGAGGTTATTGCAGAAATCCACAGGGGAACTGAGGACAGCTTAGACCACGGGAGCCACAGTGGGGATGGTACAGAGAGGTCAGATCCCAGGAATATTTTGAAGGTGAAGTCCATGGAAATTTGAACTGGATGTGTAGTATCAAAGAAAAAGAGGAATCCAGGCCGGGCACGGTGGCTCACGCCTGTAATCTCAGCACTTTGGGAGGCCGAGGCGGGTGGATCACGAGGTCAGGAGATCGAGACCATCCTGGCTAACACAGTGAAACCCCATCTCTACTAAAAATACAAAAAATTAGCCTGGCGTGGTGGTGGGCACCTGTAGTCCCAGCTACTCAAGAGGCTGAGGCAGGAGAATGGTGTGAACCCGGGAGGCGGAGCTTGCTGTGAGCCAAGATTTTGCCACTGCACTCTAGCCTGGGTGACAGAGCGAGACTCTGTCTCAAAAAAAAAAAAAAGAGGAATCTAAGCTGAATCCAAGTTTTAGAGCTAAGCAACTATACCAATAAAGTTGCTATTAAATAAACCTGGAAAAGCATAAGGACAACTAAGCTTGGATGGGATAGGAGGAGGTCAGGAGTTCAGTTTCGACAAACTAAGTTTGAATTTTCTCTTAGACACCAAATTGGAAATGACAGTTGGATCTATGAAGAGGTAAGTACAGGCTAAAGATACCAATTTGGGAGTAACCGCATGCAATGAGAAATATTTAATGCCACAAGATTGGATGAGATCACCAAGGCATGAACAGAGAAGAGAAGGTACAAGGACTGGTCTCCACTAAAAGTTCAGGGACATGAGGAGAAACAAGCAAAAGAAACTAAGGGACTGAGCAGAGAGGTAGGAGAAGAACCAAGAGCTTAGTAGCCTCTGACTCCAGTGACAGAAGAAGGAGGAGGTGATCAGCTGAGTCAGGATGCTGCAGACAGGTCAAATTAGACAAGAACTGAGAGCTGTTTGTTGGATTTACCAAAATGGAGGTCTTTGGCTACCTTGTTAAGGACAATTTAGGCAGACTAGAAGCCATAAAAGCCATACCAGCATGAGTTCACATGAGAATGAAACAGAGAAGTTAGAGACGATGAGTACAGACAATTCTTTTGAGGTGTAAAAGGAAGGACAAAAATGGAACATGAGCTGGAAGGCAGAATGGGGTCAAGGGTTTTGGTTGTGGTTGTGGTCTTGGTTTTGTTCAAACTAGGAGAAATAATAGTATGTTTGTATACTGATAGGAATGATCCACAAAGAGGCTGGATTTTATGAAGGACAGAGGGAGAGGACAATTGCTGAAGCAATGTTATTTTAGGAGGTGAGAGAGGATGAGATCTGTTCCACTGTGGAGGGGTTGCACTCTGAGAAAAGTTACTTTCATCCATAGAAGACCAAGCACTTGAGGTCAGCAGACCGAGGTGGATAGGTAGGTAGGTGTGTGGGTAGGGAGATTGTGGAAGTTCTCTTATTATTTCTAACCTCTCATTTCTATATAAATGGGGTAAAAGTATCACCTGAATAGGGTTTTGGGAGAATTAAGTAAGTTAATACATATAAACACATAGGAGGGTTATAGTGAATGTTAGCAACTATTAGATATTATTCCATGTTAGTCTGGGTGACCTAATTTGTTCTCATGGTTTCGGTGACCTCCTATCCTTAACCTTCACATTCAAAATCCAATTCCTGCTGGACGTATCTCAAAATCAACTCATTTAGAACCCAATTCACTTTGTTCCTCCTAGGGAAAATCTATCTCCTGCAAGCTTCTCTCTGTTAATGGCTCCTCCCACTACCTGGGCACATCAATAGGAACACCTGAGTTTTCTGGATCTCATCCTGTCCTTCATATTCACACCTAAGCCATATCAAGCGTGGCTCATTCTTCCTCCTCAACATTTTGGAAACCCCCTTCTCTCCTCCCCCACCCATCATCCCTACCACATTATCCTTTCAGATTCTCAGCATCTCTCTCTTCTGGACTTTGGCCTCCTAACTGGCTCCTTCTGTCAACATGACCCCCTCTTCTGTATGTACAGAATGGTCTGTCCAAAATGCAAGACACCGTGTCACTTTCTGTGTTCAGCCCTTCAGTGGCAGCCTAGAAGCTGCAAGAGTAAATGCAATCTAGACAGCATGGCGCTGGAGGTCTTCCATCTATATTTATAACTTTGCCTAGTTGTAGATCTCCTGTCCCCTCCAACCTTGTACTCAATATGCCAATTATACCAAGTGTTTACAGCTTCCTTGCACAGTCCTCCCCAAAGCTACATCCCCAAACTGTTTTGTTTTGAGACAGAGTCTAACTCTGTCACCCAGGCTGGAGTGAAGTAGCGTGATCACAGCTCGCTGCAGCCTTGACCTCCTGGGCACAAGAGATCATCCTACCTTAGCCTCTCAAGTAGCTGGAACCACAGTTGTGCACCACCACGCCCAGCTAATTTTTAAATTTTTTTAAGAGATGCAGTTTCTCTGTGTTGCCCAGGCTGGTCTCAAACTCCTGAGCTCAAGGAATCCTCCCACTTCAGCCTCCCAAAGTGCTGGGATTACAGGCAGGAGCCACTGTGCCCACCCTCTCAAATTGCTTAGTGCCTCCAAGCTAATGCTTAGTTGTCCTTTAACTCTTGGCTTAAGCACCATCTCCTCCGGGAACTCTTCCTGACCTCCAGCTTGAGCCAAGTGCCCTTCCTCAGGGCTCTCACAACATCACATCCAAAACCCAGCACATGAGGGCTCCATGACTTAGTTGATATGTATTAGATGAACTACATTTAATTGATTAAACCATGTTAGATGACATCTTGAAGTCCTTTCCAGTACTATGATATTACAACAGATATTTCTGTTTTGGTAACAATTTTATTGAGATATAATACGCATACCATGTAATTCACCCTTTTGAAGTATACAATGAAGACTGGCTTTTAGTATACTCACGGCGTTAGCTGTCACCACAACAATTTTAGAGCATTTCATTGCCCCCCTCCCCAAATGCTTCTACCATTTAGCAGTTTCTCCCTCGTTCTTCACAGTCTCTCCAGCCCTGTGCAGCCCTAATCTACTGTCTGTCTCTATGGAGTTGCTTCTCATGGACATTTCATATAAATAGAATCATATAATATATGGTCTTTTGTGTCTAGTTTATTTCACTTAGCATAATGTTTTCAAGATCCAGCTATCTCATAGCATATATCAGTACCTCATTTTTTTTTGCCAGAGAATATTCCATTGTATGGATACGCCACATTTTATTTATCTCTTCATCAGTTGATGGACTTTCAGGTGGTTTTCAATGTTTGGGTATTGCAAATAATGCTATTATGAATATTCTCATACAAGTTTTTATGTGAATATATGTTTCATTTCTCTTGTCTATATACCTAAGAGTAGAATTACTGGGTCATATTGAAATTCCGTGTTTAGGCCATGCGCGATGGCTCACACCTGTAATCCCAGCACTTCGGGAGGCCCAGGCGGGCGGATCGAGACCATCCTGGCTAACATGGTGAAACCCCGTCTCTCCTAAAAATACAACAAATTAGCTGGGCGTGGTAGTGGGCGCCGGTAGTCCCAGCTACTTGGGAGGCTGAGGCAGGAGAATGTCGTGAACCTGGGAGGTGAAGCTTGCAGTGAGCCGAGATAGCACTGCCGCACTCCAGCCTAGGTGACAGAGTGAGACTCCATCTTAAAAAAAAAAAAAAAAAAAAAGAAAGAAAGAAATTCCATGTTTAAACTTTTGAGGAACTGCCAGACTACAGCAGGTATATTTTTCTGTTACCCAAATGAAACTGTGGATACCTGAGTGAAACTTAAGTTGCTTTTTAAGACCAGGCCTCACTATGTTGCCCAGGCTGGTCTCACCACAACTCCTGGCCTTGATCCTCCCACCTCAGCCTCCCCGGTGGCTGAGACCACAGGCATGCGCCACCGCACCCAGCCCATTTTTCTTTACAGAAGGTTTGTGCTGCAGTTGGCTGGTGATCCTGGTAGGGATAACTTTTCAGGTTAGCTGGTCCTCTGAAGGGCCACCGTGCATAGCAAACCACTGCCCAGCTGATTGCAAAGAGCCCCTTTCAAAAGCAAGCCCATGCCCTTGGCACTTTAGGTGGGATTTGCTTCTAAATAAAGTCGTAGTCATTGTCCTCTTCATTCATCATCCATTCCCCAGCTACATCTTTAAAAATTAGTCTATTTATAAGAAATGTGGGCCATTATTTGTACTTTGTTCATAAAAAATATTTAAAGTGAAAATGAAAGATATTTCATGAGATTTGTTTTTGTCATTTTCTCAAATACTGTATATCTTTAAAATCTTTTCAACTAATAAAAATTAATATATTTAAAATAGAATGTGGTTCTCAAATTTATTTTGTCATCCAATTATATGATAAACCTACTGGCTATCATATGTTTGAATATTTATATATGTACAATAGCTACAGGTTGTACTTTATGACTTTTTTTGTTTTTTGTTTGTTTTGTTTTGTTTTGAGACACGGTCTTGCTGTGTTACGCAAGCTGGAGTGCAGTGGCATAATCATGGCTCATTGCAGCTGTGATCTCCAGGGCTCAAGTGATCCTCCCACCTCAGCCTCCCCAGTAGCCAGAACTACAAACGCACCACTGTGCCTGGTAAATTTTTTTTATTTTGATTTTTTTTTTTTTGTAGAGACAGTGTCTCACTATGTTGCCCAAACTGGTCTCAAACTCCTAATCTCAAGTGATCCTTCTGCCTTGGCCTCTCAAAGCTCTGGGATTGCAGGTATGAGCCACTGTGCCCAGCTTGTCTGGATGACTTTTATAAAACAAAATAACATCTAAGTCTCTAATTATACCCATATCAATATATCCTGCATAATCTTTCAAAAGTTTAGCCTCCACCAGGTCATTACCCTGTTCAAAGGCCTGCAGTGCCTCTGGGGTAAAGGACAGACTCTCTGAGGACAGACTCCCAGGCGTCCTCATGATCTGGCCCCTCTGCATCTCAGTCTTTTCTCCCTGTGCCACACCCTCCTGAACTGTTCTGGGCACCCTGTTCTACTCACCCTCACCTGAACACACCTTCCTGAGCCTCTGCCCCAAGAATGCTTCCCCCTCCTGTTATACAGTTATGATTCACCTTCCAAAGTCCAGGCCAATGCTAATCCCTTCTATGAAGCCTTCCTCCCTCCTCTGAGCATCTATAGCACTTATTTTTGCCATATGTTGTTGAAAGTGCATTTATAGATATGTTATCGTTTTCCAGTAAGTTATAAGTTCCTGGAGACAGGATGATACCACACCCTTTGCCCCATATCCATAGTTTTTACCCTACTGCTGGTCTGAAAAATTATGATTTTACTAAAATATAATTTCGATTTGTTGGAAGTTTAACAAAAGCTACGTTTTAGGTAGTATCTATCTATATGGTTTATTGTAAATAACATTTCCTTTTAATTCAGTAATTTCCCACGTTCATGTGGTTCAGTGCTTAGCTTTTGGACTTCTTATTGGATAGGTTAAATTTATAACCAATCTTTATTAAATGCCTCCTCTGGGCAAGGTATGGAAATATGATCATTCAGACAAGGCATTGACTCTTACGTCATTTGCCTTCTAGAAATCCAAAGTTTCACGATTATGTTATAAAGGCTGCTGTTCAAATCACTAGGACATGTAGACGTGGTGATAGTATAGATCAAACTAAGGAAGGGGGCTGGGCATGGTGGCTCACACCTGTAATCCCAGCACTTTGAAAGGCCGAAGCAGGTGGATCACCTGAGGTCAGGGGTTCAAGACGAGCCTGGCCAACACAGTGAAACCCCGTCTCTACTAAAAATATTTTAAAAATTAGCCTGGCATGGTGGACGGCGCCTGTAATCCCAGCTACTCCGGAGGCTGAGGCAGGAGAATTGCTTGAACCTGGGAGGTGGAGGTTGCAGTGAGCTGAGATCATGCCACTGCACTCCAGCCTGGGCACAGAGTGAGACTCTGTCTCAAAATAAAAATAAAAATACAAAAATTAGAGCCGAGCATGGTGGCTTGCACCTGCAATCCCAGCACTTTGGAAAGCCAAGGCGGGTGGATCACCTGAGGTCAGGAGTTCGAGATCAGACTGGCCAATATGGTGAAACCCCATCTCTACTAAAAATACAAAAATTAGCCAGGCGTGGTGGCACGCGCCTGTAGTCCCAGCTGCTCGGGAGGCTGAGGCATGAGAATCACTTGAACCCGGGAAGTGGAGGTTGCAGTGAACCAAGATCGAGACACTGCACTCCAGCCTGGGCGATAGAGCGAGACTCAGTCTCAAAAAAAAAAAAAAAAAAAAAAAATTAGCTGGGTTTGGTGGCTCGCGCTTGTAATCCCAGCTACTTGGTAGGCTGAGGCAGGAGAATGGCTTGAACATGGGAGGCGGAGGTTGCAGTGAGCGGAGATCACGCCATTGCACTCCAGCCTGGGCGACAGTGAGACTCTGTCTCAAAACAAACAAACAAAAAAACAAAACAAAAACTAGGGAATGGGACCTTGAGTTTCATGGACCCTTGGGTACAGCAGGTTAGCTCTGAGAAGTGGCAGAGAGGTAGACATTCTCTTCTCCCTTTTGCCCCTTTATGATCCTCTACACTGTGTTGCAATATTCCTCTGCTACTGTGTCCACACCTTCCATTTTCCAAAATATGTATTCTGTTTCCCTTCAGTTCAGCAGACATATATTAAGCACCCACTATTTCAAAGGCATAGTAGAAAGCACTGGTTTCCTGATTCATCAATTAATGCTACATATTATTATAACGTATAATATAGATGTATATAGTCTATAATAATATATGGATTTCTATATGTATATTTTTATAAGCAGAGTAGAGTAGCAACTTAGTGAGGTTCTAAAGTAAATATGTTACATGAACCCCAGAGAAAGTAAAAGTACTCTTAAGAAGTCCTGGCCGGGCGCAGTGGCTCACACCTGTAATCCCAGCACTTTGGAAGGCCGAGGCAGGCAGGCGGATCACCTGAGGTCAGGAGTTGAGACCAGCCTGGCAAACATGGTGAAACCCTGTCTCTACCAAAAAAAAATTACAAAAATTAGCCGGGCATGGTAGCGTGCGCCTGTAATCCCAGCTACTCAGGAGGCTGAGGCAGGAGAATCACCTGAACCCGGGAAGCAGAGGTTGCAGTGAGCCGAGATCGTGCCACTGCACTCCAGCCTGAGCAACACAGCGAGACTCCGTCTCAAAAAAAAAAAAAGTTCTTAAACAGCCTATAAAAGCACGCCATAAAAGGTACGAAGGACGTGAGGCCACCTCAGGAAACAGCCAGCTCGCGACTGCACAGGAGACTCATTCTGGGGTTAACGCTTCTCAAGAGTGAAATTGATGAGTCTTTGCTGTGTATATGCATTTAAGTGTGTGTGCCTGTGCTTTTTTCTAGGGCAAACAAAATTATAAGGATGTGCGCACCAAATACAATAAATCACGGTCTCTTTCTCCTTTCCCGGTTCTAATTGCCCCAATAAACCCGCTCTCCACTCTCCAGCCTGCCACATTCCCCGCTGTTCGGTCTTTGAATGGTCGATGCGTAATGTCACGGTTCTAAGCTGCCACCTTGTGGCCATCCCACGTGTGTGTTTTAAGCAGCCTCTTCAATGTGCCGCTTGCCTAGCTCTACTTGTAATTTGATGCGGTTCCTTTTGCTTTCTGCGTTTTGTGCTTCCTTCCCCCAGAGCTGCTAGTTGTCCTGTCGTAGATTCACGAAACTGGATTACAATACTTGACATCATTCAGGATAACAAGTATACCAAGAGCTTAAAATTATGGCAGAGTTGCACATTGCTTTGAACTCTAGTAGACACCATTATATTTTTCTCCCAAAATACTTTGTAATATTTATTTTAAATCCCCAGTATCCGAAAAGCAACAACGAATTCCTTTCCCAAGCATTTATTGAGCACCTATTAGCCACTGCCTTTGGGAGTTCCCAGCCTCATGAGGCGACATGTGGGGCCATGTGGCAATTGCAAATAATGCAGGTGGACCGCTGTACAGGGGGGCCTGGGAAATCACTCTAGAATCTCTCTGAAGGGGTCAGCAATGCCTTCACAGAAGAGTCCAGGCTGAAGCTTAAGCCTGCAGGTCAGAGGGCCAAGCTTGGAGACAGGTTAGACATCCCAGACAGAAGGAAAAGCAGCACTATTTTGGTGAGGAAGTGCACGCATCATTCTGGGACTTGATCCCCAGAGCTTTGCCAGCCCAAACAGCACTCCAGGTGCTTTGAAGAATGTATTTATGCCAGGCACAATGGCTCACACCTGCAATCCCAGTGCTTTGGGAGGCCAAGGCAGGAAGATCACTTGAGCCCAGGAGTTTGAGACCAGCCTAGGCAGCATAGTAAGACCCTGTCTCTACTACAAATTTTAAAAATTGGCCAGTCATAGTAGCACATTCCTGTAGTCTCAGCTACTTGGGAGGCTGAGGTGGGAGGATGGCTGGAGCCCAGGAGTTTGAGGCTGCCATGAGCTATGAATGAGCCACTGCACTCCAGCCTGAGCAATAGAGTGGGACTCTGTTTCAATTTTTTTAAAATAATGTATTTAAACATTCTTAAGAGAACTCCTCCCTTTTTACCCAAATAAAATATACTGAACCATAAGGGCTTTCTGAATCAGTTTGACCAACCACTGCTATTACCCAATATTTGTGCTCTCTTCCCTTAATAGTTTTTCCATTTCACAATTACTTATTCTAAAGCAATACTAGGTCTTTTCACAGCCTGTTCACTCTTGAAACTGGACTGCAAACTGGCTGACACTGATGTCCCCAAGAAGCCACTGAAAAAATGGACTTTTGGTACCTAGTAGCAGAGGAAAGAGAGAGGAGAAGAAAGCTCTTGTTTTCTCTTGTCTCAACAGTACATGCCCACAGATTAGCTCAGAGATGGATAACTCATGGGCAGCAAACCCGAGCCTTAGACACTATAAGGGGGCCACACCTTGTGGCAAATGTTATCTGTATAGTAATAACATCCCACAAAAATAAGAAATATGGCTCAAATGTATCTAAAGGTTGGGTGATTAATAAATTAGAAATCTATTTAGAGTTGTTAGCGGATTCATAGGACTGTGTATTTCCCCAATCGTTAAAAATCGGCTACTCTGAGCCTTCCACAGAAGACAATTAAAAAATCGGCTACTCATCATGTAGAGAGGTCTGAGAAATATTGTGAGGTTCAAAATTTTACCATGCTGGACAAGACAAGAAGCACTAGTTTAGTTTTGTACAACACTTTTGTCTAGTTAATGCCTACTCTTCCCTCAGATCTGGCTTTAACTGGAATCTTTTCTGTGACCTCCCTGACGTAACCAAATTCTGCTATTATATGCTCTCATAGCATCATAGCACTTAACACACTTGGAGTTTTAGAGTTGTGAGCCATATTTCTTATTTTTATGGGATGTTGTTACTATACAGATAACATTTGCCACAAGGTGTGGCCCTCTTATAGTGTCTAAGGCTCCTAAGGGTTTGTGAGTGTGGATATAGAATATCTCTCTCCCACTACTGTAAAACATCATACGGGCAGGCCTTATGTCTTCCTGATCAATATTGTCTGTCCAGGGTTCAGCACAGTTTCTAGCACACACTAATAACTCACTCAATGAATAAGTACAATAAGCTAAAAGTTCCTGTGTCCCAGTCCTAGGAGATAAATCCAGGGATGACATGTCAAAGTAAACCATCTAAAGGTCTTGGTGGCTGGTAGCTATCTCTAGAGACCTAGACCCAGAAGTAGGTCTCCTAGGAGAGGAGACCCAGATATGTAGAGGAAGGGGAATGTGGAGCTCATAAATGTATCCTGCCTAACAGCCAAAGTCAGGGGCAATTCCACCTTTTATGGACAGTTCTCAGTGTTAAGAAAGAGCATTAGATTGGCCGGGCGCGGTGGCTCACACCTGTAATCTCAGCACTTTGGGAGGCCAAGGCGGGCGGATCACGAGGTCAGGAGATCGAGACCATCCTGGCTAACACAGTGAAACCCCGTCTCTACTAAAAATACAAAAAATTAGCCGGGCGTGGTGGCGGGTGCCTGTAGTCCCAGCTACTCAAGAGGCTGAGGTAGGAGAATGGTGTTAACCCAGGAGGTGGAGCTTGCAGTTAGCCGAGATTGCACCACTGCACCCCAGCCTGGGCGACAGAGTGAGACTCCGTCTCAAAAAAAAAAAAAAAAAAAAAGGCCTTAGATTAGGGTTCAAGTTCTGGATCTACCTACCATCAACCTGGCATACAACCTTGGATTAGACATCTAACCTCATCAACCATGAATCAGATTCTTAATCTGTAAAATGGGGATGATGTCTGCCCTATCTACATCATCATTGTGAAAAACAAGCAAAATCATGGACCCTAAAGTACAGTGAAATTATAGAGTATTCGAGAAATATAAGGGTGGCATTTTTTTCTAAATACAATAAGTCCTCAATGTCATCAATAGGTGCTTGGAAACTGCAACTTTAAGCAAAACAAAACCAATTTTACCATAGGCTAATTGGTATAAACAAGAGTTTAGTTTCTTGTGGCATTTTTCTGGTCACAGAAACATCACCAAACTTCTAAATAAAGACACAAAACACTTCTAATATTAAACATTGAAATAAATGTGAGCTATATATACCTTTAAGAAATATTAATAAAAACAAGTAGCATAATTACCCAATTTTTGGTGAATCAGTGAGTGATGGGGGTTGCAATAGTGGTGGATTAAATCAAGGAATAAATGTTCGCAAAGCAAAAAATATCAGAGTACTTCCTACCACTATGCAGCTCAAAAACAATCACAGACATGGCAGGCTCAATAAGCACTTTTGTCCTGCATCATTTATTTTCATGCATGTATTAGTGTGTTCTCACACTGCCATAAAGAACTGTCCAAGACTGGGCAATATATAAAGGAAAGAGGTTTACTTGACACACAGTTCTGCAGGGCTGTGGAGGCCTCAGGAAATTTACAATCATAGCAGAAGGGGAAGCAAACATGTCCTTCTGCACAGGGCGGCAGGAAGAAGTGCCAAACAAAGGGGGAGGCCCCTTACAAAACCATCAGATCTCATGAGAACTCACTCACTATCACGAGAACAGGATGGGAGAACTGCTCCCATGATTTAATTATCTCCACCTGGTCCTGTCCTTGACGCATAGGGATTGTTACAATTCAAGGTCAGATTTAGGTGGGGACACAGCCACATAATATCAATGTATTTATATGATTTTCATATATTTTGTGAAGTTTTATTTTACCATCATATGTATTCATACCTTTATTCATTTTCTAACCCACTTATTTCAGTTCAGGCTCACAGATGGCTGGATTCTCTTCCAGAAGCTCAGGGTGCAAGGTGGGAAATGACCCTGGAGAGAATGTAATTCCATTACAGGACACGCTCACAGACACCCACATACTCACTCCAACTGGGACCATGTAGACACACCAATTAACCTAATGTGTACAGCTTTGAGATTTCGGAGGAAACTGGAATATCCAAAGAAAACCCACTCAGACATGAGGAGGATGTACAAACCCCACACAGACAGTAGTCCCCATTGGGAATCAGTTTTTTCTTTCTTTCTTTCTTTCTTTTTTTTTTTTTTTTTTTTTTTTGAGACGGAGTCTCACTCTGTCACCCAGGCTGGAGTGCAATGGAGCGATCTCGGCTCACCACAACCTCCACCTCCCGGGTTCAAGCAATTCTCCTCCCTCAGCCTCCCAAGTAGCTGGGATTACAGGCATCTGCCACCACACATGCCTAATTTTAGTATTTTTAGTAGACACGGGGTTTCCATGTTGGTCAGGCTGGTCTCAAACTCCTCAGGTGATCCACCCTCTTCGGCCTCCCAAAGTGCTGGAATTACAGGCAGTTTTTCCACATTACAACGAAACCATGTTGAACAAAGTCATGTTATTTGAGGCCCTGCTGTGCTGCTTTTTTATGATTCTCCTCTTCAGCTTCTCCTAATTTATAAAATATGATTTATCTTTTCTTTTTAAACCTTCAGTTTTTTCCCATTTCTTTTTTTTTTTTTTTTTTTTTTTTTTTTTGGCTGCACAATCACGGCTCACTGCAGCCTCAACCTCCTGGGCTCGAGCAATCCTCCCACTTTTGCCTCCCAAGTAGCTAGGACTACAGGTGCACACCACCACACCTGGCTAATTTTTAAAAATTTTGTAGAGACAGGGCCTTGCCATGTTTCCCAGGCTGCTTAAGTTTCTATAGTTTTTCTGGATATTTGTCTATCTGTTAACTTTCATTGATTATGCATCCTAATAATTACCTAAAATAAACCCAATTTCTCAAAGGCCCCATAAAGACTATTTATCTTAATGTCCTAGTAGCTCAGTGGAACGAGAGCCAATATCATTTCTTCCTACTGTCACAAAGCAGATCAACAAACACTTATTGATTACCCCACTACATGTTAAATGTTAGTTAATATCAAATGAGTAATACAACAATCACATTTTCAAAAATTTCACAGCCGGGAGACTTCTGGTTTCAAAATGACAGTGTAGAGGTAAGCTGGTTTCACTCTCCCCCCGTAGAATACCAAAAAGTATATATACAGCACTGAGATTTTCACCAGCAACAATCCAGAGCTCAGATCTGAGGATGAGACAGTTTTCAGGGCCTTAGAGAAATGGAAAACCTCTGAGCAGACAATAGGAGAAATGGATTTCTACATCTGTAATGACCCTCACCCCGATTCTGCCCTGTACCAAGTATGTGAAAAATCTCTCCCAAACTCAGTTTCTACAATAGAAAAAGTGAAACTGAGGTGGTCAACCAGCTTCCCCACTTTCTTGGGTTCCCTGGCAGGAACCCTGTCCTTGCTTTAACCTGTGGGAAGCATTGTGACTGCCTGATGGCAGAAATATCCCTGAGAACAGGAAGAGACAAAGTGGGGAGACAGGACTACCATCTCCAGCCCTAGGACCTCTGCTCTGTAACTCAGCCAAAGAAGATGCTAAATCAGAGTGGCCGTTCAGCAGCACCACACTGTAGGAAGTAAGTCCCACAGGTCTCCTGGGCATGAACCTCTAGCCAGCCTTCTGACACAGTCAGGATAATCCCTCTGGGACCTCCTCCATTTAGGACCAGGAGCACTCTGAGCATTAACTAAGGCTGAGGCAAACCTGGGCTTAAGGTGTCACCTAAAGCTGAAAAGGAAGCAATGACGTGCAGGCAAAGATGTGCTAAGCAAATATATTCAATTAAAAAAACAAAACAAGACTGAGAAAACTAGGATAAATAATCATCCAATGCAAAGACCTAGACATCCACAAGAAACAGCATGGAACCATGACCTCTCCAAAAGGATAAAGCAAAAATCCAGTAACTGACCCTAACAAGACAGCAATTTGTGAGCTCTCTGACCAATAATTCAAAACAGTAGTTTAAGGAAACTCAGTGATCTCCAAGATCACACAGAAAAGCATTTCAGAAATTTATCAGAGAAATTTAACAAAGAGATTGTAATTAAAAAATAGAAATATTGGAATGGAGAAGTACATTTAAAGGGAGAAGAACCCTTTAAAGGCTCTCAAGAGCACAATGAATCAGAGGAAAGAATCAGCCCAAAGACTGGCTATTTGAAAATATGCAGTCAAAGAAGAAAAATGAAAAAGAATGAAAAGGAAAGAAGATCACCCACAAGATATAGAAAATTAGCTCAAAAGATCAAATCTAAGAATTATTGGCATTCAAGAGGGAGCCGAACATGAGCAAGGGGTAGAAAGATAAATAATAACAGAAGAGTCTCCAAAACTTGAGAAGGATAAATGTCCAGGTACAGGAAGGTCTTAGAACACCAAACAGATTTAACCCAAATAAGACTAACCCAAGGCATATAATAATGCAACTCTCAAAGGTCAAAGGCAAAGGATCTAAAAGCAGCAAGAGAAAAGAAGCAAATAACATATAAAGGAGCTCCAATTCATCTAGCAACAGACTTCTAACAGAAACCACAGAGGCCAGGAGGGAATGGAATGAAATTTTCAAAGTGCGCCAAGAAAAAAAAAACTATCATTCAAGTATAATATATACAACAAAATTTCTCATTTAAATATGAAAGAGAAATAAAGTCTTTTCTAGACAAACAAAAGCTGCCAGAATTTATCAACACCAGATCCATCTTGCAAGAAATGCTAAAGGAAGTTCTTCAATATGAAAGAAAAACAAAAACACACCAACATCCCAAAGAAAACATTTCAAGGCATAAAACCCATGTTAAAATTAAGTACACAAACAAACCCAGAATACTCTATTACTGTATTTGTGGGGTACAATCCACTCAACTCTATTATGAAGCCCAAAAAATAAATCTGTTAAAAACAATAATAGCTACACCAACCTGTTAAGAGATAGGTAATATAAAAATATATAGTTTGAGACAACTAAATCAAAATGGAGGAGGGGATAGAGTTCAAGAAGTAGAATTTTTTTGCGTGTGCTTTTCTTGGCCTTTGTTTGCTTCTATTCTTTTATTTGGAATCAAAGATAAGTTATCAACTCTTTAAAATAACTTGTTATATGTATAAGATGTTTTCTGTAAGCCTCATGGTAACCACAGTACAAAAACCTATAGTACAATTCCTAAAAATAAAATACAAAAAAATTAAAATATACTACCAGAGAGAATCCTTAGCCGCAAAGGAAGAAAATAAAGAAGGAAAAGTGAAAGGGAGGAGTCTCAAAACAACAAGAAAACAAGCAACAAAATGGCAGTAATAAGCCCCTGTTTATCAATAATAACACTGAATGTAAATGGTCTAAATTCTCCAACTAAAAGGCATAGAGTGTCTGCATGGATAAAGAAACAAGACCCAACTATATGATGCCTTCAAGAAACCCACTTTACCTAGAAAGACACACACAGATTAAAAGTGAAAGGGTGGAAAAATGTTTCAAGCAATTAGAAACCCAAAAAGAGCAGGAATAGCTATTCTTATATCAGATAAAATCAGATGAAATACTTATTTCAGACAAATCAATGACTATAAAAAAAGACAAAGAAGGTCATTATATAATGATAAAGGGATCAATTCAGCAAGAGGATATAACAAGTATAAATATCTATGCAACCAACACCAGAGCTCCAACTATATAAAGCAAACATTAATAGATCTAAAGGAAGGGCCAGGCATGGTGGCTTATGCCTGTAATCCCAGCACTTCGGGAAGCAGAGGTGGGAGGATTGCTTGAGGCCAGGAGTTCAAGGCCAGCCTGGGCTGGGCATGGTGGCTTGTCCCTGTAGTCCTAGCAAATTGGGAGGCTGAGGTGGGAGTATCACTTGAGCCTAGGAGTTTGAAGCTGCACTTAGCTATGATCACACTACTGCACTTGGCCTGGGTGACAGAGTGAGACCCTGTCTCCAAAAAATAAAAAATAAGAAATAGATCTAAAGGGAGAGGTAGACTGCAATGAAACAATAGTAGGGGATTTTAATACCCCAGTCTCAGTAATGGACAGATCATCCAGATTATCTGCAAAGAAACAATGGAGTTAAACTGAACACTAGATCTAATAGGCCTAACTAATGTTTACAGAACATTTCACCCAACTGCTGCAGAATACACATTTTTTTCATGAGCACATGGAACATTCTCCAGAATAAACCCTATCTTAGGCCACCAAACAAATTTTTTAAAAATACAGATTTTATCACTGGGCATGGTGGCTCCCGCCTGTAATCCCAGCACTTTGGGAGGCTGAGGCAGGCAGATCACCTGAGGTTGGGAGTTCAAGACCAGCCTGACCAACACAGAGAAACCCCATTTCTACTAAAAATACAAAATTTTTATATTGTATATAAAAATTTATATTTCTATAAAATTTTATATTTTATAGAAAATTTTATAAATTTTCTATAAAAATTTTCTATAAAAATTTATATTTCTATGAAAATACAAGCTGGGCATGGTGGCACATGCCTGTAATCCCAGCTACTTAGGAGGCTGAGGCAAGAGAATCACTTGAACCTGGGAGGCGGAGGTTGCAGTGAGCTGAGATCGCACCATTGCACTCCAGCTTGGGCAACAAGAGTGAAACTCTGTCAAAAAAAAAAAAAAAAAAATTTACCAAGTATCTCTTCTGACCACAATGGAATAAAACTAGAAATCAGTCAAAAAAGGAACCTCAGAAAATACACAAACACATGGAAATTAAACAACATGCTACTAAACAACCAATGGGTCAATGAAAAAATTAAGAAGGAAATCAAAAATTTTCTTGAAACAAATGAAAATGGAAATACAACATACCAAAATCTATGAGATATGGAAAAAGTAATACTAAGTACTAAGAGGTAAGATTACAGCAATAAATGCCTATATCAAAAAAGTATAAAGACAGCAAATAAATAACAATGCACCTCAAGGAACTAGAAAAGCAAGAGCAAACCAAACCCAAAATTACTAGAAGAAATAGTAAAGATCAGAGCAGAATTAAATGAAATTGAGACTAAAAGACAATACAAAAGATCAACAAAAGGGTTTTTTTTGAAAAGATAAGCAAAATCAACAAACCTTTAGCTAGACTAAGAAAAAAGGAGAGAAGACCCAAATAAATAAAATCAGAAACAAAGAGACCTCAGAAATAGAATCATTAGAGACTATTATGAACTATATGCCAACAATTGAAAAGCCTAGAAGAAATGAATAAATTCCTGGACACATACAACTTACCAAGGATGAACAAAGAAGAAATAGAAAACTTCAACAAACTAATAATGAGTAACAAGATCAAAGCTGTAATACAAAGTCTCCCATCAAAGAAAAGCCCAGGAACTGATGACTTTACTGCTGAATTCTACCAAATATTTAAAGAACTAATACCAATCCTACTCAAGCCCTTCAAAATAACTGAAGAGCAGAGACTACTTCCAAATACTCCACAATACAAGCATTACCCTGATATAAAAACCAGACAAGGACACAGCAAAAAAAAAGGAAACTATAGGCCAATATAATTGATGAACACAGATGCAAAAATCCTCAACAAAATATTAGTAAGCCAAATTCAATATTTAAGAGATGATTCACCATGATCAAGTGAGGTTCATCCCAGAGATGCAAGGATGGTTCAATGTATAGAAATCAATAAATCAAGGAAATGAATATGTCAAAGAGACATCTGCCCTCCCATGTTTATTGCGGCACTATTCACAATAGCCAAAAATATGGAATCAAAGTGCCCACCAATGGATGAATGAATAAAATGTGGTACATATACACAATGGAATAATATTCAGCCATAAAAAGAAATTAAATTATGTCATTTAGCAACATAGATAGAACTGAGGGGCCATTATGTTAAGTTAAATAAACCAAACACAGAAAGACAAATATTGCATGTTCTCTCTCGTATGTGGGAGCTTAAAAAGTGGATCTCATGAAGATAGAGAGTAGATTAATGATTACCAGAGGCCAGGAGAGGGAGATGGGAGGATGAAGGGGAAAAAATATAAGTGTATTTTATTACCACTAACATGTATACTTAAAAATGGTAAAGATGGTAAATTATATATGTATATTTGGTCTAAATAAAAAATACATAAGTGAATAAAAGATATTAAACCAAAAAATAAAAATTGAAGGAAGTGCAAGTAAAAAGCAAACAAAAAATTTTCACAGTGGTTCTTAACTCTGGCTGTACATTAGAATCATCTGGGCCCTGCCCCAAACTAAATCAAAATCTCTGGAGGTGGGACCTGGGATATAGTTGTTTTTCCAAAGATTCTTATGTGATTCTATCGAGCAGACAATGTTGCAGATCTAGTTGGGAAAGAGACTTACACAAGTTGATGGTAATGCTGTGATAGAGGCATGAAAAAAGTGCTATTGAAATCATACATTCTGCTTGGGGCTGCAATAGAATATGAGCTCAATGAGGGTAGAAGCCTTTGTCTGTTTTGTTTACTGATATGTCTCAAGCACTAGAGCCTTTATTTCTAGCACAGCCACTCAATTCATATTGTTGAGCTGTAGCTTTAAGAGTGAACAAATAGAATATCAGCAAGGCAAGGTATGGGAAAGGCATTCAAAGAAGAGGTACTTGGAAAATAAAAAAATAAAAAAAAAAGTAAGTGCAGCACATATGGGAAAAATTTCAAATAGTTGACTAAAGCTAGATTATAATGTATAATCCCTAATGTATAGTGTATAATGGAGACTGGTGTAAAACTCCTTTTATTTCTATAAAAAGAAATTTGTTCTGTAGTGTGCAAAAATTGGTAAGGTACCAAAGAACAAAACGGTACACAACTTATAGTTTTCAAAAGTAACACTCAAGTTCTAAGGTTATCAAACCTTTCTCTTTATGGACCTGGATTCCTATTAACAAGATGACTGCCTCCATTTCTGTAGTGGAAGAAAGTTGATGAGGTCAGTTTTCCTGTGTTTAAAACTCCACTAATAGTTTGATCAAAGATGCTAAACTGGTAGATAGGCCTGGCTTTTGTTACAGAAGCACAAGACACAGAGATTACATTAGAGAAGCAATATTGAAATATTGGGATTTACATACTGAAAATATGTAACATTGTTGGAAATAAGTATCTCCTAAGATAAAGGAAATTATAAAACTAGGTACACCTGAAAAGGATTCTGAATTTAATGTCTTAACAGATTGGAAAGGCAATTATTTAAAGAAAATTTCTTTTTGAAGGAAGACTCATGAATTAGTGAAAAAAAAGGTCATATTTCAACAAGTTCAGACTAAGGTAATATGATCCTTAGGCAAGAGATATTAAAAAGAAAAAGTTAGTAGAGAGGATATTCTAACAACGTTATTATAAATTGATCCCAATAAGGAAGGAAAGGGGGAAATATTTGAAGAAATTAAAGTAACTGCCATTCTAACAAGATAAAAAATCAGTCTATAAAAGAGACATGTATACAAGGATAAATAGCAGTGAATCATTTCAAGAAGGTTAGTACCCCAGATATCTAAGACTCTTGAAAAATTCTGAAGATTTTATATTTTAACCTTTTAGAGAAATTTTTGGAACAAGAGAAAAAAAGACTGATAGGTTTCTGTTAGGAGCAGAAGATACAATGTCATTCATTTACTCCAGTGGTTCTCAAACCTTGCCTGCATGAGAATCCCATGGAGGCCTTATGAAAACAAAGATTGCTGACCTCAGCTCCAGAACTTCTGTATTCAGAGGACTGAGATAGGACTTGGGAATCTGATTTTCTAACAAGTTCCCAAGTAATGCTGATGCTGCTGGGACAGGCACCATGCTCCAAGACTGACTTAGTGTGTGTCTTGGTTTGGGTTCCACAACAAGTAGACACTAAGACAAGGATACAAGTGTAAGTAATTTATTTTGGAGGTACAGAAAACACCTGTAGGAGGCTGAGCACAGTGGCTCACGCCTATAATTCCAGCATTTTGGAAGGCCGAGGAGGGAGGATCACTTGAGGCCAGGAGTTCCAAACCAGCCTGGACAACATAGTGAGGCCCCATCTCTCCAAAAAATAAAAAATTAAAAATTACTGAGTGTGGTGTTGTGCACCTGTGGTCCCACAGACTCAGGATTGCTGGAGCCCAAGAAGTCGAGGCTGTGAGCCATGATCATGCCACTGCACTCCAGCCTGGGTGACAGAGCAAGACTTTGAGAGAGAGTGAGAGAAAGACTGAGAGAGGGAAAAAAAAGGAAAGAAAGAAGGAAGAGAGAGAGAGAGGAAGGAAGGGAGGGAGGGAAGGAAAGAGAAAAAAACCTGTTATCCCAGCACTTTGGGAGGCCAAGGTGGGAGGATCACTTGAGCCCAGAAGTTGGAGACCAGCCCGGGCAATAAAGTGAGGCCCTGCCTCTACAGAAAAATACAAAAATTATCCAGACGTGCTGACAAGCACCTGTAGTCCCAGCTACTCAGGAAGCTGAGGTGAGAGGATCACTTGAGGCTGGGAAATTGAGGCTAGAGTGAGCTATGATCATGCCACTGTACTCCAGCCTGGCAACAGAGCAAGATCCTGTAAAAAAACAAAAGAGAGAGAGAGAGAAAGAAAGAAAGGAAAGAAAGAAAGAAAGAAAGGAAGGAAGGAAGGAAGGAAGGAAGGAAGGAAGGAAAGAAAGAAAGAAAGAAAGAAAGAAAGAAAGAAAGAAAGAAAGAAAGAAAGAAAGAAAGAAAGAAAGAAAGAAAGAAAGAAAGAAAGAAAGAGGACCAACACCTGTAGAGGAGGGGAAAATGAGACAGGGAAACAGTAAAATACAGACCTCAGAGTTGTTCCACAAAAGGGGCCAGAGAGGTAGGATGTTTATACATCAACTTCCATTGGGCATTGATTGAGGGTTGATGGAGGGGAGTGTTGATAAAAGAGATTGGTTAATTCTCCAACACTTCCAAACTATGGACCTCCAGGGCGTTACAGGAAGGCCTCATCAGAGGTGGGGATATAGATTCTGACAATTGACGATGCAGAATCACAGTTGATTCCTACTGTGTATTGGGCATTGCTATGCCTCCCCCACTGAATAGTCCATTGCTGCTGTGTCCTCATGGAGCTTACATTCTGGGGGAGACTGGCAAGAAGTTATTTAATTTAATTGTAACTGGGTTAAATGCTAGGAAGCAGAACAGGTGCTATGGGAGGGTACAGCAGGACCAGAAGAGAGCTGGGTCATCAAGACTGCCTTGAGCAAGTAAGGTGAGAACTGAGCTTTCAGACGAACAGATTACAGCTAGATGGAGAAGGGAGGGTGAGGGTGGTGTTCTATGTTGAGAAAGCAGCATGTATGGAGACCCTCTGGTGGGAATGGGCATAGCAACTTTGAGGAACAGAATCTATGGCTAATAGCGCCCGTGTCTCTAGTATGAAGAGTGATGATAAATGAGGCTGGGAATGTTATGTAAGATGCAGACCCTGTAGGTTTGTTGGCCAAATTAAGAGCATTTGTTTCTTTTTCTCTTGAGAACAATGGAAATCATTGGATGATTTTAACCAAAACAATCGTAAGAAATTTGATGATATATACTAAAGAGAACACAAGCCTATTCAGGCATACTGATCGCAGTCCAGAAGTAGGGATGATATCTTTGGGTAGTGGAATGACAGTGAATAGGAAGAAAGACAAAAGAGACTTAAGAAATAAAATCAACAGGACTCATTAATGAATTAGATGTGTAATATATGGAAAACAGAAGTGACAAGGATGACTCCTAGGCTTTTGGCTTCAGCAAGTGCTGAAACATACTACTGTTACTGAGTTTCAGAATATGAAGACCAGATGTGAAGAGAAGATAAGTTTGGTCTTAGCTGTTATGAGTTTGAGACACCTGTGTGATCGTTGGTGCTGCTGAACAAATAGGTGGATATGCAGAGGACAGATGCGGATGAAAATTTGAGACTGGTTACCATAAAGATGGTAACTTGACGCTTGGATGAATGTGATCACTGATGCACAATGACGGATGAAAATGCTTGACCTTGAGATAAAGTAAAAGAGGAGAGACAGTACTGAGCCCTAAAGAACTCTGACATTTACATGCCCAATCTTAGGAGGTGAACCAGCAAAGAAGAAGTAGAGAGGAATGTGAGGAGAACCAGGAGAGAAGGATGCCACATTAGGCCAAGAGAAAGCAGTATTTCAACCCAATACTGAGTAGTACAGTAAAACAAGTACTAACTAGCTATGAGAACCCCGCCTAGGAAATAAGGGGCTTTTCAGCATTAAGGTTCTCAGGCTACAAACCTTAGTTTGCATCTTTTCTAAGGAAGAGTGGCATAACATAGTTAATAGTGAATTGAAGCTCAAGATACAGGAATAAAAGTAACTTGCTGCTTCAGATGAATTCATATCTCTAGGTCCAGATAAATTTCATCCTAGTATAAGGATGAGAGTGAAAACCTCATGACAATGACAAAAACTGCTGAAAACCTTCCTCATTAAATCTTCACATCCAACCTGTGGGTAGCCTGAAAAGAACAGAAGGGATACCTGTCTTCCAAGATCTATTCATGCTAAGAGTTGCCTGAACCAAACCCAAACCACAGCATACTCATACTTCGTCTCCTCTTTTCCTGCTCTGTGTCTGTTTCTGTTGACTTGCGTCTCCATCCCCCATCCAGTTCACTGTAGTTTCATCTTCCCTCTTGGCTCAGTGCATTTGAACTGGTCACACCATCACTGGCCTCTGGATTTATCTCAGGATTTTGTTTTCTGAACCTGGGCTCACAGACAACCCAAGATATACAGACCAGCCCTGCCACATACTCAAGGTGGATTGAATATCAAACTATGATGATGATGAAAATAGTCACTTTAAAATTCGTGACATTGGCCGGGCACGGTGGCTCACGCCTATAATCCCAGCACTTTGGGAGGCTGAGGCAGGTGGATCACCTGAGGTCAGGAGTTCAAGACCATCTTGACCAACATGGTGAAACCCTGTCTCTACTAAAAAAAAAAAAAAAAAAAAAAAAAAAAAAAAAAAAACACACACACACACACAAAAATTAGCCGGGTGTGGTGGCAGGCGCCTGTAATCCCAACTACTTGGGAGGCTGAGGTGAGAAGCACTTGAACCTGGGAGGTGGAGGTTGCAGTGAGCCGGGATCATGCCACTGCACTCCAGCCTGGGCAACAAGAGCAAAACTCCATCTCAAAATAAATAAATAAGCAAACAAACCAACATTCAGACAGGTGCGGTGGCTCACGCCTGTAATCCCAGCACTTTGGGAGGCCAAGGTGGGCAGACCATCTGAGGTCAGGAGTTCAAGACCAGCCTGACCAACATGGTGAAACCCCGTCTCTACTAAAATTACAAAAATTAGCCAGCCATGGTGGCACACACCTGTAATCCCAGCTACTTAGGAGGCTGAGGCAGGAGAATTGCCTGAGCCTGGAAGGTAGAGGTTGCAGTGAGCCAAGATCGCACCACTGCACTCCAGCCTGGGTGACAGAGCGAGACTCTGTCTCAAAAAATAATAATAATAAATAAATACATTCTTTCCTATGTTATAAATTTCACAAGCCTCACATCAACTTGCTGCTGCTGCTTTTTTTTTTTTTTTTTTTTTTTGAGATAGGGTCTTGCTCTGTCACCCAGACTGGAGTACAATGGTGTGATCTTGGCTCACTGCAGCCTCAACCTCCTGGGCTTAAACAATCTTCTTCCCTAAGCCTCCTTGTGTAGCTGGGTTCATAGGCACTCGCCACCACACCCGGGTAATTTTTGGGCTTCTTGTAGAGATGGAGTCTCACTTTGTTACCCAGGCTGGTCTCGAACCCCCAGGCTGAAGTGATCTGCTCACCTCGGCCTCCCAAAACGCTAGGATTACAAGCATGAGCCACTGCAGCTGGCCTCAACTTGCTTCCTTATCGTGATATTAGCTCATATTACAAAATAAGCAGCAGGGTATTTATGAGAAATATGAAAGAAATAAGGCTGCAAACAGAATCTTCACTTCAATTTAGACATATTTGTACTGAGGAGTCTCATACTCATGATATCATAGGCCCTTGATAAGCCCCAGCCAGTCAGTACTTAAGAAACCCTATCTGGATCAAACTGCTCCTGATTTTTTGTTGAAAGAGATACTTTTATTAGAAATGTCCCCCAACATTCATGGCCCAAATAACAAGAGGGGGAAACAAAAACTTCCAGCTTTTTTGCAATAATACACCTATCACCAGTGAAACATATACAACATTTTACATGTGGTCACCTTTTAGTGATATATATATTTAAACATTTTGTAGAGACAGGGTTTCACCGTGTTGCCCAGGCTGGTGTTGCCCAGGCTGGTCTCGAATTTCTGGATGCAAGCAATCCACTTGCCTCAGCCTCTCAAAGTACTGGGATTACAAGTGTGAGCCACTGCGCCCAGCCAACCTATCTTTCTAAAGAAAAAGAATGCATGCTCTGGCAATTACCAGTGAGAATCATGTTGTTCGACAAAATTCTAGAGTATCTGACTTGTAAGCAATTAGAAAATGAAATAGTAATTAAAGGACTCAAGGTGTATTCACTAAGTCAAATCAAACTAAATACATTTCACATTTTAACACATTTAATGGGCCAGAAGATTAAGAATTGTTATCATTGCAAACAATATGCTATGCAAGGGCTGGAGACTAGAACATTTAAGCATAAATATTAAAGTAATAGTTTAATAACTACACTCAAAGATTATTGATTAATAGATGAATGTCAGTCTAAAATAGCCTTTAATGATTTGTTCCTGGGCTCACCTTGGTCCTGTGCAATAAAGTGAAGGCCTTGCTTATTAGTCTGCACATGAATCTGGGAGTGGTAGCTAATATGTTGAGTGCCAAAATAAAAACTCAAAACATCTTATAGGTGAGACCCATAGCCAAAACTAAAAACAATGAAATTTAATAGTCTTTAAAGTAATGTCCTAAATTATGAAAAACATTTTAGGGATTATGATAGACATAAACTGCCATCAGTGGTCATGTAGTCTTGAGCAATTTTGATTAAAATGTGGTTTCTAATACAATGCACATAATGGTACCAAATTATTTTGCTTTGATGGGAAAACAATTTAAAGCACTGGACTGCAATTAAGAAGCCAACAATTTAGGGCGTTGACAAAACTGAACTGAGGCCAGACAATGGAAACCAGGAAGAGAAGTGATCCTAAAACCAGGCCATGAGGAATGATCAAAGCAAATGAGGATGTTACCTTGAAATGAAGTAAAATTTTGCTGATATTGTAAGAGACTCATGCATTCAAAGTTACGTTATAAAACGACAGAATTTTATGTCATTTGTTTTTGGTAAGACTAGACTATAGAATTATGAAGTCGTTTTATGGCAATCACTTGGATGGAATGTTATCATGCTGTGTCAGGAATTGGTGGGTTCTTGGTCTCACTGACTTCAAGAATGAAGCTGCGGACCCTCGCAGTGAGTGTTACAGCTCTTAAGGTGGCGCGTCTGGAGTTTGTTCTTTCTGATGTTCGGATGTGTTCGGAGTTTCTTCCTTCTGGTGGGTTCGTGGTCTTGCTGGCTTCTGGAGTGAAGCTGCAGACCTTCGCGGTGTTACAGCTCATAAAAGCAGTGTGGACCAAAAGAGTGAGCAGTAGCAAGATTTATTGCAAAGAACGAAAGAACAAAGCTTGCACATTGTGGAAAGGGACCCCAGCGGGTTGCCACTGCTGGCTGGGGCAGCCTGCTTTTATTCTCTTATCTGGCCCCACCCACATCCTGCTGATTGGTAGAGCCAAGTGGTCTGTTTTGACAGGGTGCTGATTGGTGCGTTTACAATCCCTGAGCTAGCCACAAAGGTTCTCCACGTCCCCACTAGATTAGCTAGATACAGAGTGTCGATTGGTGCATTCACAAACCCTGAGCTAGACGCAGGATGCTGATTGGTGTTTGCAAACCTTGAGCTAGATACAGAGTGCCGATTGGTGTATTTACAATCCCTGAGCTAGACACAGGGTGCTGATTGGTGTGTTTACAATCCCTGAGATAGACATAAAGGTTCTCCAGGTCCCCACCAGACTCAGGAGCCCAGCTGGCTTCACCCAGTGGATCCCGCAGGGGCCTGCAGGTGGAGCTGCCTGCCAGTCCCGTGCTATGCGCCCGCACTCCTCAGCCCTTGAGTGGTCGATGGGACTGGGTGCCGTGGAGCAGGGGGCAGGGTTCATTGGGGAGGCTTGGGCCGCACAGGAGCCCACGGAGAGGGTGGGAGGCTCAGGCATGGCAGGCTGCAGGTCCCCAGCCCTGCCCTGTGGGAAGGCAGCCAAGGCCTGGCGAGAAATTGAGCACAGCAGCTGCTGGCCCAGGTGCTAAGCACCTCACTGCCCGGGGCCAGTGGGGCCGGTTGGCCGCTCCGAGCGCGGGGTCTGCCAAGCCCACGCCCACCCGGAACTCACGCTGGCCCGCAAGCACCGCTCACAGCCCCGGTTCCCGCCCACGCCTCTCCTTTCACACCTCCCCGCAAGCTGAGGGAGCCGGCTCCGGCCTTGGCCAGCTCAGAAAGGGGCTCCCACAGTGCAGCGGTGGGCTGAAGGACTCCTCAAGTGCCGCCAAAGTGGGAGCCCAGGCAGAGGAGGCGCCCAGAGCGAGCAAGGGCTGTAAGGACTGCCAGCACGCTGTCACCTCTCAATGCCACAGCCTGAAAACACTCTGTAAAAGCCTACTAGCTCAGAAAGTCCTCCTCTCAGCTCCATGGCACTAGTTCCACAGAATTAACTATTATTTTTTTTTTTTGGTGTTTTTTTGCTAAACTATCATCTCTGCTCCACTTAATCTTCTTCATAATCTGCTGCAGTTTGCTGCTTGTCAGTTGAGGACATGGTTTACATTTCAAAAGACATAATTTAAGCTTCTTTCCTTAATAAAAGTACTTTTTAAAAAATGTTCACGCATTTATTTCTTTTGAAATAAATCTGAACTTTAAGAAAATTTGTGGCTGGGTAGCCAGGCGTGGTGGCTCACGCCTGTAATCCCAGCACTTTGGGAGGCTGAGGCAGGCGGATCATGGGTCAGGAGATTGAGACCATCCTGGCTAACACGGTGAAACCCCGTCTCTACTAAAAATACAAAAAGTTAGCTGGGCATGGTGGCGGGCACCTGTAGTCCCAGCTACTCGGGAGGCTGAGGCAGGAGAATGGCGCGAACCGGGAGGCAGAGCTTGCTGTGAGCGGAGGTCGTGCCACTGCACTCCAGCCTGGGCGACAGAGCGAGACTCTGTCTCAAAAAAAAAAAAAAAAAGAAAGAAAGAAAATTTGCGGCTGGGCACAGTGGCTCACACTATAATCCCAACACTTTGGTATTACAGAAAAAAATAAAAATAAAAAAAACCCAGGATGCAATAAAGAAGCCAGTCAAAAGCTGTCAAAACCAAGATGGTGACCAAAGCAACCTCTGGCTATCCTCACTGCTCCTAATATGTTAATTATAATACATTAGCATACTAAAGTAAACTCCCATTAGTGCCATGACTGTTTATAAATGCCATGGCTACATCCAGAAGTTACCCTACATGCTCTAAAAGGGGGACAAACCCTCAGTTCCAGGAACTCCTCACCCCTTTCCTGGAAAATTCATGAATAATCCATCCCTTGCTTAGCATATAATCCAGAAATAACCATAAGTATAGCCAGTCAAGCAGCCCACACTGCTACTCTGCCTATGGGGTAGTCACCCTTTTATTCCTTTACTTTTTAATAAACTTGCTTTCACTTTACTCTGTCAGCTCACTCTTGAATTCTTTCCTGTGCAAAGCAAAGAACCTGCCTGGCCTTCTGGGCTAAGCCCCAGCTTTGTGGTTCACCCTGTGACAGAGTGATAAGACACATAGATCAATGGAACAGAACAGAGAACCCCAAAAGAAACTCACATATGTATGCTCAAATGATTTTTTACAAAGTTGCAACAGCAAACTCAATGCAGGATGGATAGTGTTTTCAACAAATGGTGCTGGATTAATTGGAGAACGATAAGCAATAACAAGATAATGTCAGCCTAAACCATACCATTTATATAAACATCAACTCTAAATGGAGTAGATTTAAATGTAAAGCATAAAATTATAAAGAATTTTAGAAGAAAACAGAAAAAAATCTGCAGGACATAGGACTAGGTAAAGAATTTTTAGGTATGATACCAAAAGTATAATCCATAAAAGTTAAAATCAATTAATTGGATTTCATGAATATTAAAAACTTTGTTCTCTTAAAGTTTTTAATTTATCAAAAACTTATATATTTTCTCCCCATGTGTATCTGTTATTTCCTTCTTCCCTGTAAGATGAGAGATCCAGTATATGAGAGACCCAGTTTCTCCGCATCCTTGCCAGCATTTAGTATTATGAACATTTTTTCTATTTTAAACATTCAAATAGGTATATAATGACATTTCATTTGTGGTTTAAATTTTTATTCTGTAATAGATCATGGCATTTGACATCTTTTATATCCCTTATGTCCCTATAAGAATAAGGAAACAACAGATACAGATGGGGAGAAAATATGCAGTAGAAAAACAAATAATCCAGTTAGAAAATGGGCAAATGATAAGAAGATATAAAAGGACATTTCACTAAAGAGAGATGGCCAGTAACACACTAAAAGATGTCAAATACCATTAGCTATTACTGAATAAAAAATTAAACCACAATGAAATGTCATTATATATCTATTTGAATGGCTAAAATAGAAAAAAAATACTTATAACCATGTGATTTGTGCCTGTAATCCCAGCTATTCCAGAGGCTGAGGCACGAGAATCACTTGAACCCAGGAGGTGGAGGTTGCAGTGAGCTGAGATCATGCCACCGCACTCCACCCTGGGTGACAGAGTAAGATGCTGTCTTAAAAAAAAAAAAAAAAAAAAAAAAAAACTAAAAAAATTTTGACTCTTAAGTAGAAGCCTTTTTTAATATTCTGGATAACAAAAGGGGGAAGACACATAAAGTACATTTCCTGCATAAGGAGGTACAATGGTTGTCTCAAGGAAATATATTTGTGCAAATTATATTGAGTTATGACCTCAACCAACTTTTTTTTTTTCATGGCATGGCCACTTTTACTTAAAAGAGTGACTGGCAAAATATTTATATGTGGGTATTTGGAGGGAGAAAATCAGCATGTCACTTCAAGGTAACAACCATTTTTTGTCAAAGATAAAATTTGAGGTTTTAAGCAAAAATCGGAGTTTTGTAAGCTTCCTGGCTTCCCAATTTTTAAAGACTTGATGAGATCCATGGTGATATTAATATAATTGCTACAGTACAAAAAGTGAGTAAATATTTGATAGATCTCCATAACTCAGTGCACCATCTTTTGGACTGACCATCACATAATGCTATGCAATCATGTGCAGGTAAAAGGTCCATTCAAATACAGGATAGATCTATGGATTTTCCTGTTAAGTGTACAAAAAGTTTGATGTGGTTCGGATTACAACTAACTTTTAAGAATTTACTATTTGTTCGGGAGGCTGAGGCAGGAGAATTGCTTGAACCTGGGAGGTGGAGGTTGAGGCGGAGGTTGCAATGAGCTGAGATTGTGCCATTGCACTCCAGCCTGGGCAACAAGAGCGAAACTACATCTCAAAAAAAAAAAAAAAAAAGTTACTATTTGTTGTTTTTGTTTTGATGCAGTATGTAAGAATACCCAGCCAACTTTTTTTTTTTTTTTTTTTTGAAACTGAGTTTTGCTCTGTCACCCAGGCTGGAGTGTAGTGGCACAATCATGGCTCACTGCAATCTCAACCTCAACCTCCCTGGGCTCAAGAGAACCTGCCACTTCAGCTGCTGTGGGTAGCGGGGACTACAGGCACATGCCACCACACTCATTTAATTTTTGTATTTTTTTTTTGTAGAGACAGGGTTTTATCACATTGCCCAGACTGGTCTCAAAGTCCTGAGCTCAAGCCATCCGCTCGCCTCGGCCTCCCAAAGTGCTGAGATTACAGGTATGAGCCACCTTACTGGAACTCAGTTATCTTTTTTAAAAGGCTATTAAAATATTCCTCCCTTTTCCAACAACATTATCTGTATGAGACTAGATTATCTTCATATCCTTTAAGCAAAATAACCCACAATAGGTTGAATGCTGATGCATATATGAACAATATGAACAATCTAGCTGTCTTCCATTAACCTAGATATTTGAGAGATCTGCTGAATATTTTTGCAAGTTATTTTCCATTACAAATGTTAATGATAATGTAATGAGCTTATTATTTTAAATGTTAATGTTTTCACTTTGTCAATTCCCCCTTTTTTTTTTTTTTTTTCAAGAGACAGGGTCTCATTGTGTTGCCCAGGCTGCTCTTGAACCCCTGGCCTCAAGGGATACTCTTACCTTGCCTCCTAAAGTGCCGAGATTACAGCCATTAGCCACTGGGCCTGGTCCACTTTATCAGTTTCCTATGTGACAAACATGTGATAAATACAGTCATGCATTGCTTGATGACAGGAATATGTTCTGAGAAACGTACCATTAGGTGATTTCCTCATTGTGTGAACATCACAGAGTATATTTACACAAACCTAGATGATATAAGCCTACTACATACCTGGGTTATATGGTGTGGCCTATTGCTCCTAGGCTACAGAACTGTATGGCATGTTACTATACTGAATACTGTAAGGAACTATAACACAGTTTATCTAAACATATCTAAACATAGAAAACATATCTAAACATAGAGAAGGTACAGTGAAAATACAGTATTATAATCTTAAGGGACCACCATTGCATATGTGGCCCATCAACGACCAAAATGTCGTTATGTGGCGCATGACTATATTCACAAAAACAAAACTGCTTTTGGGTTCTCAATAATTTCTAAGGGTAAAGGGCTCCTGAGGCAAGAAGTTTGAAAAGTGTGAGTCTAAGTAAACCTAAAATTACTTCATAAACACAGAAAATGCTGTTGTGATATATCAATTCTATCTGGAAACAGAAACAGTTGGTATAGAGTAGTATTCTCAACCATTACTCATAAAATTTTCAAAAAGCTCAGAAAAACTATTTTACACCCTTTGATACTACCAAATAACCTAGATAATCATATGTAAGCTAGTCAAGTGATTTGCTAATGTTGCAAAATAATTTTTTTCCTAGAGACAATAGTTTCATTCTAATTATTAAAGAACCAAACATGTTTAAAAATGGGTGGGTTAAGTAAATTTCTCATCATACATCCTAGGTATACATTCGACTGAGAAGTATGATCATCAGCTGATTGTTCTTTATTATTTTTTCTTTTTTTTTTTTTTTTTTTTTTTTTTTTTTTTTTGAGGAGTCTTGCTCTTGTTGCCCAGGCTGGAGTACAACGGCGCAATTATTTTAAGATATGTTTTATTCAGAATTCCTCATGTGTGGGGTATTTGTACTTCTTGGAAACAAAAACAGTGTCTCAGATCTTCCCACAAAAGTTGAGGCTAGCAAGCCAGGTATGACGCACACCTGCAGTCTCAGCTACTCATGAGGCTGAAGATCCCTTGAGACAAGGAGTTTAGGTTCAAGGGATCGAGGCCTTGAGGCCAAAGCAGGAGGATCACTTGAACTCAGGAGTTTGAGACCCACCTGGGCAACATGGCGAAATCCTCTCTCTACAAAAAATACAAACAGTTGAGGCCAGCAAATAAAGACTAGTAACCCTTTAGACTCTATATCCTTAAGGGGGAAAAAAAATCCAGACTGTCTTGACAGGATTTTAGACTAAAGTAGGACCTGACAGATATAAATACAATAGGTTGACTTGTATTGGATACACAGTAACAATAAACGTTAACATGCTCTGTTCCAAGCTCTTTGTAATATTAACTAATTCAATCCTCACAAACCATAGAGGTAAAAAGGGCTACGAAATGTGTCCAAACTACACAAGTAGCAACCAGCAGAATCATCAAAAACAGGTTGTCTGGTCCAAGAAAGTAGGCTCAGTTGTTTTAAATGCTTGGTCTTCTGGCAAAGATCTACCCAACACCCTTCTGTATCTGCTGCAACCGCTTTTGTTTCTATTGGTGGCTTCAGATCCTATCCCAGAAAATATTGTCCTTAAATACTCATTAAAATCTCCTATTTCCCATGATTTGAGGGAGCCTAACAAAAAAATAAAATAGAAAAATAAAATTCTGTACCTACAAAAATGCCTTGAAAAGAAAACATCCAGGCCGAGGTAGGGCACGGTGGCTCACGCCTGTAATCTCAGTACTTTGGGAGTCTGAGGTGGGCGGATCACCTGAGGTCAGGAGTTTGAGACCAGCCTGGCCAAGATGGCGAAACCCTGTCTCTACTAAAATATAAAAATTAGCTGGGTGTGGTGGCGCATGCCTGTAATCCCAGCTACTCGGGAGGCTGAGGCAGGAGAATCGCTTGAACCTGGGAGGGGTTGAAGTGAGCCGAAGTCAGGCCGCCGCACTCCAGCCTGGGTGACAGGGCGAGACTCCATCCCCCCAAAAGATAAAAGAGCATCCAGGCCCTGCGCGGTGGCGCACACCTGTAATCCCAGCACTGTGGAAGGCTGAGGTGGGCGGATCACTTAGGGCCAGGAGTTTGAGACCAGCCTGGACAACGTGGTGAAACCCATCTCTACTAAAAGTATAAAAATTAGCTGAGCATGGAGGCGCACGCCTGTAATCCTAGCTACTCAGGAGGCCGAGGCAGGAGAATCGTTTGAACCTGGGAGATGGAGGTTGCAGTAAGCAGAGATTGCACCACTGCACTCTAGCCTGGGTAAGAGTGAGACACTGTCCCAAAAAAAAAGATAGAACATCCCATACACAGCTCATGGAAAGTCAGGTAAGAGCAGCGGAAGGCCATTTGGCTAGACTCTTCACTTCCTTCCTCAGTTATGAGGGGAAGACCAGCCTGTTTTGTTTTTACCTACATTTGGCATCCCCAGGTACCAGCATACATAAAAGAATCACTTGTAATACATTTAACACAACTTTTACAAATACTAAAATATAACTTTAGAAGACTAAGCTTTTCTGTTCTGGACAAAGGACAAGTCACTGCTGCTGTAAATGCAAGAAAAAAACAGAAAAATCTCAATGTTATAAAAGCCAAATATAAAATAATATTTACTGTGTGCTTCCACTTAACACAAACCCATTTATGGTATTAGAAGTTATGTCGTGATAATACTTAGTTGTGACTGGAAGTAGAAACAAAAAGACTTAGGAGATTCTAGCAATTTTTTTTTCTTGACTTGAGCATGGATTACTTCAGGTTATTGTTCACTTTGTGCACTTTCAGTATCATGTGCCATTATTGCCCACTTAGACTAATACGAAATCTCCCTCACATCCTATTTTCTTCCTCTCCATATCCTCCACCAAACGGCTGTGACTCATCTGCTTACCAGTCTTCCATATTTATTCCCCTGCCTTGCTTGTCCTTAAATTCTGCAGGATGTCTTTCACTATTACAATCTTAAGAATTCCTGTTTTTTGGCCGGGCATGGTGGCTCACACCTGTAATCCCAGCACTTTGGGAGGCTGAGGTCAGGAGTTCAAGACCAGCCTGACCAACATAGTGAAACCCTGTCTCTACTAAATACAAAAAATTAGCTGGGCACGGTGGCGTGTGCCTGTAATCCCAGCTAAGATAGGAGAATCGCTTGAACCTGGGAGGCGGAGGTTGCAGTGAGCCTAGATCATGCCATTGCACTCCAGCCTGGGCAACGAGAGAACTCCGTCTCAAAAAAAAAAAAAAAATTCCTGTTTTTTGTTGAGACAGGGTCTTGCTCTGTCATCCAGGCTGGAGTGCAGTGGCACAGTAACGGCTCACTGAAGCCACAACCTCCCCAGCTCAAGCCATCCTCCCACCTCAGCCTTCTGAGTAGTTGGGACTACAGGTGCACACCACCACACCCGGCCAATTTTTTGATTACTTGCAGAGATGGGGATATATGTTGCCCAGGCTGGGAGAATTCGTTATATAGGACATCATACAATACAGTTTAAATTGTTTGTCAGTAAAGTACATAATGGAATACACCCATTTTACTCATATTGGGAGAAGAATGCAGTGTATGTCATCTTTCTCAATCCCAGGACTGGACCACTGCTATTGAAGCAGGGAGACAGGCTGTGACACCCGTTTTCCTGAGATTCTTGTATCCCCCTTTAACTCACCTCCCTTCCCCATCTTTTTTCAAAACTGTACCGCACAGATAATTATGTTACACACTAAGTGATATCATGGAATGAGTGCTTTACTTATATGTCTGAGTTTTATAGTATCTGTATTTACATGTTTTCTGGGTCACACCTTTTCTACATAGTATGCTAAAAAGTCACGCTTCTACAAGGGGTTTGAGTAGCAGCTGTTAAGGGGTTTCTGTAGAAGTTATGATGTATTGAAGATCATAATTAATACTTACCAAGCAACCCATACAAGGTATATGACATTGTATTTGGCAACATAGTCTTATAACCCTGGTATCTTACTTAAAAGTACTATCTATCTCCATATAAAAGTGTTTATTAAGCAAATAAGCTTTCTGCCTAGCTGCTAACAGGGCTTGAAAATCTTGCTCCGCAGACACTTCATAAAATTGCTTTATAAGGTGATTAACATTTGAAATGGATAAAAATAAATAGGTTTATAAAGTTAAATCTGACATATAGCACCAGCATGTGGTAGCTTTTTCTTATCCACTTTTTTAAGTGCAAAATAATGGGTTATCTCCTACGTCTTTCAGTGTGAATTATGAGAGTTAAATGTTTGCCTCCAGACAAATTTTAATTAGACACACAAGTAGGAGAAAACCACTTTTAATTGAAAAATAAAGCAATACATCTCAAATAAGACTCTGTTTTAACAATAAAACTGTAATTTGTTGAAATAGCTTTCCTAAGTGGTATTGTGAAATTTAGGTATTGGAGTATCAATACAATTCCCTCCTTTAATTCTGACTCAGCTATAAGTAATATTAAAAATAAACTTTTCCCCATAAATTTAATTTCCATAAATCTGTAAAGTCTATCCCTATTCCCAATGCACTGACAAAAAGAGGGGAAATTTTAAACAATCATTTTCATACTGAGAAATTCTCAGATAAAAGCAAATAAAGTATTTTCCTTATGAAAAAGCTGATATGTGAGACACACAAGACTATCAATGATATTTAACTCATTCACAAAACTTTAAAACACAATTCCATCAAGATGACCTCTACTACAATTTTCCTTTAAAGAAGTTCCCAAATCCCAGAATGGTTTAACTTGACATATTGGATGTATTAAACTTTGCAAATCCCAGAATGGTTTAACTTGACATATTGGATGTATTAAACTTTGCAAATCCCAGAATGGTTTAACTTGACATATTGGATGTATTAAACTTTGAAAGAAACTATGAAAGTTATTGCTTTAAACTGGAAAACACTATGGTCAAAAGTCTTAAAAAGGAGCTGTTTTTTAAATTACACCCATGTAACTGAAAGAAAATGCTCAAGCACACACATAGTAAACACCACTCTTTAAAATGACAGAACAAAGGCGTATGTTCATTAAGATGTATGGCTTTTCTTGTGGTTGTTATTACAATCCATAAATAAAGTCTTTACTGTTTGACTGAAAAAGGTTTTTACAAAACTGCACTTCCAAAATTAACATTTTTATTAAATCAAGTTAAAAAAAATGTTCAGTGTAGAAAAGTCAACAAGGGTTTTAACAAAACCAAAATATACCTTTTTATACAATATATGTATATATTAGCAGCAAACTACTTCTGAGATTCTCTTTCTTTTATGTTCTTCTAGTTATTTTAAAGAAAGCATAAACAATGTATATTAGTATGGAATGTCAGCAAATCCACTCTTAGTCCTTTATTCTGTGATTTGGGCCTTCTACAAAATACTTTGTGATTCTCACTAATGAATATTAAGAACATACCCAATTTTAACTAAAAAGTAGTGAAACAGTGGTTGGTAGAATCTTTCTCACTATATCACGGTCACACATTATATTTGAGAATAACAAATGAGCACCATATAAACAGGTAATTGTGTGTGTGTAAACTCAATTTTTAAGGTGTAATAGTAGCCAACTAGATAACTTAGCACTGTGACTATCACTTTTTAAAAATTTGGTGATATACAAAATTTTAAACAAATCAGATAAACACTTCAACCCCCTATTGCTTGTCCATTTAAAAAATCCTTAATAGAAATTCTATATATAACCTGACAAACTGCATACACACATATGTGTATATATACACACAAAAGTATATGTATATATACATCTTTAGCTTTGAATAAATTTCTAAACTGAGATGAAGCCAAACCTCTCATTTATATCTTCTAGAATACAATATCACCAACTGAAAGTTTCTAATAAGAGTTTCAACTTAGTTAATCAGAAATACTGGCTACTGAAAATTCTGAGGCCAAAGAGCTGTTATTCAGCTTAGTATATTCTAGGCTTACAAATCAGTCAAAGACTGAAATTATCAAATGCCCATGAAAGAAAGAAATTTTTCTCTTTGTATTTCCTTCTAATAACAAAAAGAAAATATCTTTACAACAAGCTTTCACTTTTTAAAGAATTAAAATTATTACAGAAATCTCACTAGTCTTCAAAAATAGTAAATGTTATATAAATACAATTTTCTTATAGTTGAATTTTTCAGCTAGAACCTGCATTTAAAAAATTTCCTTTGGATTATTCCATTTAGCACTTCAAGTTTCTATTCTGCAACTCTAATAATAACTGGCTCAGATTTGTTAGGTTATATCAATCACATCGTTCAAAATTTGCTACTGTGTGTTAAATGTGTACAATAATAAAGTAAATGGGAGGAATGCATCAAATTTCAAAAGCAACATAATAATGAAAAATTCAAAAATAATATTACAAAAAGATAAAGTACAACAGGGATTCTCTTTCACCGTTACATTAGTGAAACATCTTTTTTACACCTTTAAAGCTAATGTCATAACTTTCATTTTTTAACTTATCAAGATGATGAAGTTTTTAGAAGCCCTACCTTTATTTTCAATCAAAAACTAAAATGACTGAATTACTTTTATTAATATACACATCAAGTTACTGTAACGGTGACTTCATGTAGTTTCCCCCTTAAAGATGGCACTTGCAGGTACAAAGATGCAGAGATGTCTACAGCCTTCAGATGTTTACTTGAAAAGATTCTTCAACAGCAGTTTGGTATTGGGTTTCTTCATCTAGCTGAAGATTCTAAAAACAATAACATTCATGTCAACAGGAAAAACATATTCAACTACTCTAATACTTTGCCCAAAACATTAGACATCTTGATACACATTACACATCTTGACACACATTACACACACTCAGGACAGTTATGTAAAACATATATAACAGTATCTTTTAAGATACAAGATTTGAATACCTGAACTTTAATAAGACATTAAGTTCAGTTGTAACTGTTCAAGAATAACAAACAAACAGAGAGGATCATCACAGAACAAAATTTGAGTGTTATAATGCCTTTATAAGTCATTCATAAAAAATATGGTTAACTGGAAAGCTGGGTAAGCATGCGCCTGTAGTTGCAACTATTCAGGAGGCTGAGGCAGAAGACAGTTTGAGCCTATGAGTTTGAGGTCAGCCTGGGCAACACAGGGAGACTGTCACTTTAAAAAATAAAAATAAAAAATGAAAAATAAAACTGAAGTTAATCATAACACACAATCATAAATGTGTCATCTCTAGAAAATAATGCCAAATATCTGACAGTAAACTGATTTTAAGAAAACAAGCATTTATTGAATTATGAGTTGAGTAAGAAATTTTTTGGGGGGCAGTTTGGCTCTGTCACTCAGGCTGGAGTGCAGTGGCACAATCTTGGCTCACTGCAACCTCCACCTCCTGGGCTCAAGCAATTCTTGTGCCTCAGCCTGCCAAGTAGCTAGGATTACAGATACGTACCACCACACCCAGCTAATTTTTGTATCTTTAGTAGAGACAGGGTTTTGCCATGTTGGCCAGGCTGGTCTTGAACTGCTGACCTCAGGTGATCCACCCGCCTCGGCCTCCCACAGTACTGGGATGACAGGCATGAGCCATCATGCCCAGATGAGTAATAAATTCTTAACCATAACATGAAGCCTACAGCTTATTCAATCGTTATAAAACTACTCCTTAATTTAAAAAATTATATTTGCTATCAATTTTATGCCCTATGCATTTCGCTTTAAAATCAAGGCCTCTATTTGACAATCTGAAATAATTAGATCACCTACTTTTCTTTTTTGAGACGGAGTCTCGCACTGTCACCCAGGCTGGAGTGCAGTGGCGTGATCTTCACGCACTGCAAGCTCTGCCTCCCGGGTTCATCCCATTCTCCTGCCTCAGCCTCCCGAGTAGCTGGGACTATAGGCACCTGCCAACACACCCGGCTAACTTTTTGTATTTTTAGTAAAGACGGGGTTTCACCGTGTTAGCCAGGATGGTCTCAATCTCCTGACCTTGTGATCCACCCACCTCGGCCTCCCAAAGTGCTGGGATTACAGGTGTGAGCCACCAAGCCCTGCCTAGATTACCTACTTTTCTATGGCAAGATAAAACAACTTGACAATTAGATCAAAAGTGGTTCACAAATTTTTGTATTTCCAAATACATTACATAGCAATCTTTCTTACAATGAGAATTTAATAATAATCTAGAATTACTTTATAAAATTGCTAAAGCAATAAAGCGCACCTAAATTTTACATATATTTGAATTTTTATTTTGAAATTGGCTAAATAATGCAAATTCTACAAAATTTAAAAACCATTTAACAAGAATGATGTAATTTCAACACTGGAAGGCAGACAAAAATGTATATTTTGTTCATGTCACTCTGCTTACCTAAACTGGAAAACAAATAGCCATTCTTTGTCAGGACTAATCTTAAATAAAGTTTTGATTAAACTGAAGTTGAATAAAATGCAATTTAATAATTAATAAAACAGGTTTTCACCTAATTAAAAAAGTATATCACACATTTAGAAGTACAAATTAATCCATTTTGCTTTATGAATTCATTTTTACATTATATAACTTCTCTTACACTCTTAGTCTCTTTGTAACCTGGCTTTGCCTGATAACTAAGCTCCCTCATTTTTAAAAACGTTGTGTCTTACATGCTAGATTTGAGAAATCTAAGATTTCTAGCATAATACAAGCAACTTATACTACATGAGAAATACATCCTCCATATGTTGTACCAATTTTACTTCTCTTGTAGGTACAATTTTCCCTTAAATCTTGACAGAGTTTTCATGTAAATCATCATTTTGTTAATCTGGGTGCTTGCTGTTACTCTTATTAATTCTCTCTCTAGTACAGGAGGTGGAGAGTAAACTCAATTTTTACCTTACCATTTCTACAAGCTAAAGTTCACCAGTATTATTAAAAACCTAAGAACTTGCTCTAAATCCATCCAGTAAGATACAACAGCTTGCCACAAAATTTAAGTCGATTACAAAAAAGTTATTTTAACTTTAATATTTAAACAGTACTTTCTTAATCTTGAAGAATTCACTTACCACAAATTCTCCATAATCAAATTGATGTCTCTGATTTAGATGACTAACGAAATTTCTGGTAATCTGGCTAGGATCTCCCCAAGGAAGAGACACACAAATAGGACATGTCTATAAGAAACAGATTGTTTTAAACAAAAAATAATAAAAACAATGAAATATTATACAATTGACAGTATTAAAATAACACAGGGATATGTTACCAAAAATATCTACGTGAGAAGCATTTTTAAAGGCCAAGTTCCATGACTAGATCATTTCCCAATCAATTACCTTAGATAAATGACATTAATCTAACACAGTGAGAAATCTTAGACATTCTATTCCTTAAATCTCTTATTACACAAATGTTTCAACAGAAAAACCACATCTAGCTTTTAATAATACCAACTGTAATGACAGTTATCACTAACTGGCTGCCTGCAACATATCCAATATATTATCTCATTTGATCCATACAATAACCATATAATTATTATTAGTTTTATTTCATTTGTAAGTAAAATAAAAATGAAGTAAACTGGAAAATTTACTTTAAATTGTATCCTTAGTTTTTCTTTTCTTTTCTTAAAACTAGAGACACAGTCTCACTGTTGTCCAGGCTGGGTCTCAAATTCCTGAGCTCAAGCAATCCTCCCGCCTTGGCCTCCCAAAGTGCTGGGATTAAAGGCATGTGCCACCACACCCAGCCATATCCTTACGTTTAAATGAAGTACATCTTAAAAACTGAATGGATAAATAACTGAAATAACACACAAAAAACCTTCAGTAATTAAACTCTAGCCAAAGTTTATGATATATCGAATATTATGCAGAAATGAATAAAAATTTGGTAATCCAATATAAAACTAAGTAAAATCTTAAATATGAGCGAGATTTCCTGGAACATCTTTGGCACTGTATTTGTCTATTTAAGCATAACTGAACCCATTCTAATAAGCAAAGTAGGTAGTACACCTTCTTAGGTGGTATGTGAGAGCTTAAGGTCATCCTCAATGGTTATTGAAGCATATTCTTTTTATTTTCTTTATTTTTAAATAGACAGGGTCTCACTATGTTGCCCAGGCTAGTCTCGAACTCCTGGGCTCAAGCAATCCTCCCCTCTCGGCCTCCCAAAGTGCTAAATTACAGGCATGAGCCACCGTGCCCGGTCCTGAAGCACATTCTTTCACAACTTTTCCTAGCATACTCACTAAAACAGCTTAGAAATATCTACAGTTCTTATTGATAACATTTTCCTTCCTATTCTCCTTTCTGAAGACAATTATTTATATATCAAAATGTTCAGCTGAAAGGGAAATCTCTCTCCCAGCTCAGTTTCTCCTGTTCCATTCACAGCTGAAATAACTTACCTATGAAACACTTCTAGGATCATTATATGTTGGAATCCTGAATTCTGCTCTATCTCCCTCATTATCAAAAAGCTCTCACCATTTTCTTACATACCCTCAAAATGTCAAAAAATATGTAGGCATCAAATACAAAGTCTAAGTCTTTTCCTTCCTTGCTTTATGCATTCACATACTATATGCTGCAAGAAAACAATAAAAATACCTACTGACTTTATTCTTACTTACAGGTATTTTCACCTACAGCAATCTACCTGACTAGATCTACTTGTCTGCCATCTACAGAGCAAGTAACTGAGGCCTCAATAGACAGGTTGTGCTACTGCGCAGGAATGAGTTCCCGGTTCATCTTTCATTACTTCACTCTTCTCCAGACTGTGCTATATTACCTCACACTATGCATCTCCCTTTTTATAATGAGAGTTACTGCAATTTTAAATATCTCATTTTGCTTCACAGTCATCAATCCTTTGTTGACAAAAATCTACCTTACTGATAATGCCCCAACCAAATATAAATCAACTACTTTCTCTTGCATACATGAAGTGAAATAAATAGAACAGCATGTTTTATTCTAAGCAGAAGACTGTCTCAAACGTATGTACTTACCACAGGAACTATCTGAAATAGGTGATTACTGTTACAGTGATCCAGTAAACGCTGTCTGGTAAAATTTGATTCTTGACACAGGGGACACTTAAAAGTAGGATGACCAGAAGAACTATAAAACAATTTTAAGTGAAACATACTTAATTCAGAATAACACAAAAATAACGCTCTCCTATTTTTTGAGGAATCACTATACATTTTTTAAAAAAGTTATAATTATTAGACTATTCAAAGATTCTCTCATTTTGAACATATGTATTCAGGAAATGATGCATTACAGAGGTTCCCAATCTCAGTTTACAGTACTCTTAGTGTCCTCAATAAATTTTTTCATGGCACCTCTAGGCCAAAACAAAAACAAAAACAAAAACCTAGCTGACTCCATATATTATGTAGTTAGGTCCAAACTTAATTGTAGTTGTTTTCTGATGCCAATAGCTGTCACTGTATGTCCCTTGAAAATTTTTAATATTCTGTAGTATTCCACATTTTGCAAACCTTTTATCTAGGAACTTAAAACTTCTAAAAGACTTCCATCAATATCGTATCTCTAATAAATACCAGGCCCTAGGAATCCAACATCCAAAATTCAAAGGAAAAGAAAAAACAAAAGCACTGATCATGAGAATGAAATACTCGAAAACATTCTGAGGATCAAGCATCACTGAGTTTTAATACTTCTGAATTTCAGGAAGGGACAGTTCAACACAGACAACTTTACCTGAATCGTGTGTGGAAGAAACCTGACCACAGTGAAAGAGAATAACTAAACTCTTCTAACCTAATGTGATTCTTAAAAGCAGTAACTGCATTTTCTATTTCTAAACTGCTAACTTCAAACACTATGCCTAATGATGTAACTGATTTTTTTTTTTTTTTTAAGTTTAATTTATGGCCAGGCGCAGTGGCTCATGCCTGTAATCCCAGCACTTTGGGAGGCCAAGGCAGGTGGATTATCTGAGGTCAGGAGTTCGAGACCAGCCTGGCCAACATGGTGAAACCCTGTTTCTACTAAAAATACAAAAATTAGCCGGGCGTGGTGGCAGGCACCTGTAATACCAGATACTTGGGAGGCTGAGGCAGGAGAATCACTTGAACCTGAGAGGCGCAGGTTGCAGTGAGCCAAGATCGCACCACTGCACTCCAGCCTGGGAAAACAAAGTGAGACTCCGTCTCAAAAAAAAAAAAAAAAAGTTTAATTTAAAAAGCTATTTGATAAGTGATAAATATAATATTACTTGCTAAAGTGGCAGGATTTTTCAAAAGCTTACCTTGTATTCTCTTGGTAAGTTTCTGTGTTATCAGATGTGGATGTTTCACTCCTATTGCTTAAGAAGCACAGGGGAAAAAGTTAATACCTCAAAGTAATGAAAACACACTAAAGGTTCATTATCTTGAACCATTAATGAAGAAGACTAGTCTGAATTTGTTTTAAAAGTCTGAACTTCAATACACCTTTTTCCTATTGGGTCCTTGAAAAAACAAAATTTGAACTTCAAATGGTTCTGAACTATGAAATAATTACAATATTAATTACTTTTAAATAAATTGACTGCTTACTAGATTCTTATTTATGTTCTTTAAAATTAACTTATGCACAGTTACAGAAGTATAGAGAATTTTGCAGAATTACCTTAAATCCCATTCCTCTACCTTTACCTAGACTAGTAAGGTTTTAAATGCTACGGTAGACTCAAGAATTTGTGAACTTTTTTACTTCAAACTAGGACATGGTATAAGGTTATGCCCTCCAAAGTGCAGTAATTTAAGAAAATATGTAAATGTTCATTATGTTTGTATTTTATTTCCAGAAAGGAAAGAAACCAGGCTTCACTAACATTTAATATACAGAACAACTTAACATCTCCACTTTTACCATATGCCAGAGAGTCATGTGTCACATGGAATATCAGAGGAATCCTGAGGGAAGAGTAAGTATTCCATACAGGGACCGTCACCTGTGTGCTACAGAATTTGATCAATGTGGTCAATTTTATTTATTTAGTTAGTTAGTTAGTTTTTGAGCTGGAGTCTCAATCTGTCGCCCAGGCTGGAGTGCAGTGGTGCAATCTTGGCTCACTGCAACCTCTGCCTCCTGGGTTCGAGCAATTTTTCTGCCTCAGCCTCCCAAGTAGCTGGGATTACAGGCGTGAGCCACCATGACCGGCTAATTTTTGTATTTTTAGTAGAGACGGGGTTTCGCCATGTTAGCCAGGCTGGTCTTGAACTCCTGAGCTCAAGTGATCCGCCCACCTCAGCCTCCCAAACTGCTGCGATTACAGGTGTGAGCCACCGCGCCTGGCCCAATGTGCTCAATTTTATAAAAGCAACGTCTTTCAATAGTAGAAATCTTAACACAGTAATAAGATAAGTAGTGGCTAAGAAAAATTGTACAATACAGGTTGGTTCTATATCTCAATGCCAGAGTTTAAAAAGTTGAACTTAAACTGGTTATTCATTTTTCCTTTATAAAAAGACAAGGAGTACTATATCATCTACTTAGCAGCTGATCTTTCTTTTCTGTTTACTTTCATAATAAATGTGTATACAACAATGTGTACACAGTGAAAAGGCACCATTCCAATGACACTCAGTTCACTTCTGTGAAGATAACAATGTTATCTCTCCACACATAGCCCAAGCGAGCAAGCAGACTTCACTGTTAAAATACATAACCCAGGCCGGGCACAGTGGCTCACACCTGTAATCCCAGCACTTTGCAAGGCTGAGGCGGGTGGATCACAAGGTCAGGAGTTCGAGATCAGCCTAGCCAACATGGTGAAACCCCGTCTCTACTAAAAATACAAAAATTAGCCGGGTGTGGTGACGGGCGCCTGTAATCCCAACTACTCGGGAGGCTGAGGCATGAGAATCGCTTGAAACCGGAAGGCGGAGGTTGCAGTGAGCTAAGATCATGCCACTGCACTCCAGCCTGGGCAACAAGAGCGAAACTCAGTCTGAAAAAAAAGTACATAACCTAAATAGAAGACTATTAAACTACTATTTGTACCTTTCTGGAACTAAAAACCTGCTCTTTAAAATAAAGTCAAATTATGGAGAGTGCACTTATTAAGGGAGTGGTTACATGATTTTGTTACCAAAAACAGCATGTGTCACCAATTAAAGAAAAACAACTCATATCTATACATTTAAAATTGGTAGATGTTTCTAACCAGCTTAAAAAATCTTCCAAATTAATATAATCACTGGGTTTTGAATGTGCCCTTTAAAAATACTGTTAACAACTTCTAATAGGTTTATAGAACTATAATATCATTGGGGAGGATGAAAATTTCAGCAACAGTCCTTTTTATATTTAGAAAATAGGATTAAAACTTTTTTCTTTTTTTGAGATGGAGTTTCGCTCTTATTGCCCCGGCTGGAATGCAGTGGCGCGACCGCGGCTCACCACAACCTCCGCCTCCCAGGTTCAAGTGATTCTCCTGCCTCAGCCTCCTGAGAAGCTAGGATTACCGGCATGTACCACCACACCCGGCTCATTTTGTATTTTTAGTAAAGACGGAGTTTCTCCATGTTGGTCAGGCTGGTCTCAAACTCCCAACCTCAGGTGATCTGCCCGCCTTGGCCTCCCAAAGTGCTGGGATTACAAGCATGAGCCACCACACCTGGCCAGGATTGAAAAAATTTTTATTTTATCCTATGGCATACATCTTCCATTTGGATCTGCTTTTTTTTTGTTTTGTTTTTTTTTGAGACAGTCTCACTCTTGTCTCCCAGGCTGGAGTGCAGCGGCGCGATCGCGGCTAATTGCAAACTCCTCCTCCTGGGTTCAAGTGATTCTCGTGCCTCAGCCTCCCGAGTAGCTGGGTCTATCGGCCATGCCACCATGCCTGGCTAATTTTTGTATTTTTAGTAGAGACAGGGTTTCACCATGTTGGCCCAGCTGGTCCTGACCTCAAGTGACCCACCCACCATGGCCTCCCAAAGTACAGGGATTACAGACATGAGCCACCGCCCCCAGCCAGTACTATGCAGTTTTAAATAAACACAAACACTGGGGGTACATACTCAATTCTTTCACTGATAGGGTAATGCAATCACAAAACTTCTGATTTAAAGCATTTAATATCAAAGTTAATGCCCTTTTTAAACACGTTCTCCCTTCTATCTACCATTATAACTCTCAATTTTCCACTATTACTGTCATCATCATCATTCTAGTTCTTCCTAGTCATCCTTGTATCATGCCTAGGCTGTTGTATCATGCCTGCTCATTTAGCCCAGAATAGGTTCAACAATAGAAAATCAATTACTGACAGCAAATTATTATTTTTTTAAAAACTTATGATTTTATCAGATACAGAAACACCAATAAAATTCAATCTCCATAATAAAACAAAAACAAAAAATTATTTTCCCATAGTTATGTCTTGCTTTTTAATTTAATGTTCTATATCACACTTGGTTTACTGCATTCAATAGGATCTCTATCCAATGTTAAATAGTAAGCACAATGCTTTTTAAAAATACAAATGCCTAGACTCCAGATATCAGAATATCTGGAACTCTAGCCAGATGTATATATGTTTTTAATTTCATACATGATTCTGATTTGAGTAAAACTATTAATGGGGAAACCTTAAATTCAGGGTAATACTGACATGGGGCAGATAAACTGTAAAACTAAAAGATCTACGCTAAAAAACTATAGTAAATATTATACTTATTTGTAATATTATAGGTGTATTCCCACTAAAATCAGGAACAAGAAAAGGTGCCTGCTATTTAACACTGAATAGAAAACCTATTCAATGCAATAAATCAAGTATTATATAGAACATTAGGTTTAAAAGAAGCAGACAAAACTATGGGAGAACATAATGATTTTCTATATAATAAATCTAAAAGAATCAACAGGTAGATTATAAGAACTGCCAGATTAGAACTATTACAACTAACAAATCATCAAAGCTGCTGAAAACAAGATTAACATAAAAATCAACTTACTCTCTAGTAATAACTAATTAGATTATCAAACAGGAAAAAAAGGGGGCTCATTTTTATAGCAACAAAAACTATAAGGTTTTACTAGAAAAAGATATAAAACATTTACTCATGTTCTAAATGAACTTTTAATCCATTTCTTTTTAAATGAGAAAGAGGCTGGGGGCAGTGGCTCACTCCTGTAATCCCAGCACTTTGGGAGGCCAAGGCAGGCGGATCACCTGAGGCCAGGAGGCCGAGACCAGCTTGGCCAACATGGCAAAACTCTGTCTCTACCAAAAATACAAAAATTAGCCAGGCGTGGTGGCACATGCCTGTAGTCCCAGCTACTCGGGAGTCTGAGGCAGAAGAATCACTTGAACCCAGAGGCAGAGGTTGTAGTGAGCTGAGATCACGCCATTGCACTCCAGCCTGAGAGACAGAGTTAGACTCTGTCTCAAAAAAATAAAATAAATAAAATAAAATAAAATGAGAAAGAGGCCAGGCACCACAGAGGCTCATGCCTGTGATCCCAACACTTTAGGAGGCCAAGGCGGGAGGACTGTTTGATCCCCAGAGTTTGAGACGGGCCTGGGAAACATAGCGAGACCCTGCCTCAATAAAATAAATAGTAAAATGAGAGAGGTCATATTTCTAGAGGAATGAACAATGGATCACCTCCTACTGCCCCTCCCCCAGAAAAAATCAGGATGCAGAGATGTGTAGAACAGAAGTGGCATTATAAATCAGTAGACAAAGAACTGACTCCTCAATGAATGTTACCAAATGGTTTATCACATGGGGAAAATTTTTCCTACCTCACATTATACATCCCAAATAAATGTGAAAAGCTCAGCTTTTAAAGTTTAAGAAGAAAATATCTTTTATAACCTTCATGTAGAAAAAAATTTCTCAGGCATGATATAAAAAGAAAATTAAAGAATATGCATATACATGTAAATACTTTTCTATGTCAAAAGACACCATACAAAACCAGCCAAAGACTAAACAAAAATATCTGCAATGCATGTAATGAAGGATTATTATTATTATTATTATTTTCTTTTTTTTTGAGACGGAGTCTCGCTCTGTCGCCCAGGCTGGAGTGTTAGTGGCACGATCCCGACTCACTGCAACCTTGGCCTCCCGGGTTCAAGGAATTCTCCTGCCTCAGCCTCCTGAGTAGCTGGGATTACAGGCGCGCACCACCACGCCCAGCTAATTTTTCTATTTTTGGGAGAGACAAGGTTTCACCATGTTGGCCAGGCTGGTCTCGAACTTCTGACCTAGTGATCCACCCACCTCAGCCTCCCAAAGTGCTGGGATTACAGGCGTGAGCCACTGCGCCCGGCATTATTATTATTTTTTGAGAAAGAGTCTTGCTCTGTCTCCCAGGCTGGAATGCAGTGGCCAGATCTCAGATCACTGCAACCTCTGCCTCCTGGGTTCAAGAAATTCTCCTGCCTCAGCCTCCTGAGTAGCTGGGACTACAGGTGTGTGCCACCACGCCTGGCTAATTTTTGTATTTTTAGTAGAGATGGGGTTTCACCATGTTGGCCAGGCTGGTCTTGAACTCCTGACTTCAGGTGATCTGCCCACCTTGGCCTCCCAAAGCTGGGACTACAGGCGTGAGCCACTGCGCCCAGCCATAACAAAGGATTACTATCCAGAATATATGAAGAATGCCTATAAACAAGAAAAAGAACATTTTAATACTATGCCAGATTTCTTCATAGCTATTTAGCCACTTAAAATATTGAACAATCTGGAGAGAAATTTATTAGGAAAAATAAAAGACTGCTGGTAATTTTTTTTTAGTTTTTGTGAAGAGCTGTATTTGAAATAAACTGTATGAGCCTACTGACATCCAGTTACTAACGTTTACAGAGTCAAGATTAGTAAGAACAGCCTGAAAACAGACCAAATGATTTCCAAGGAGGATAAAATTGAAATGTCTTCTGTATCTTAATGATTACATTCATCTTCCCTCCTCCTCCCCACTTCCTGTGGCTAAAGAAAACAAAAATATATAATCTTATGTTAGCAGCAGAATGTTGTTATAAAATAGGAATGGCCTTAGTAAAATTAGCACTGCTATCTAATTATTATGAGAAACTACCCCACACCAATGCAATAATTTTGCTAAAACATCCTCCAATATTTACTAATTTACAGTAAACAGTACTACTCTGAATGATATGAATGAAAGTGACACAGATTATTTTAGATGGCTCAACTGGAAGTTATAGCTTACAGTTAGATACATGGAAAAAATAATGTCTGTTTTACCAATTCCCGTATATTCATAACGTGGAGTGTGTCCAGCACTTCAGAACGTATAATAAACAGTATGAATTAGTGAAATGATCTATGGATTTATTTTGCAATTTTTTTTTCTACTCAGTTGCATGCAAATGCCACTTTAAGAATTTCCATAGCCATGCTCTATTCAGCTCTCTTCTTCAGGTTCTGTTATCTATTTCCTCCTCTCTCCTGCTTTCAGTAGACCCAGAGCACACCATTATTCCTTGTGGCTTCCTATACCCTACTTATATAGTGTACCTAACATACTACTCTTTGAAAATAGTCTCTTTACTAAATTCTCCTCAAATCGCATAATTAGAGCCCACTGTTTCCTGCTCAGACCGTGAATATAACACAGATCATATTTTTCCTACCATTAAAAAAAAAAAATTTCTGGCTGGGCGCGGGTGGTTCATGCCTGTAATCCCATCACTTTGGGAGGCCGAGGCAGGTGGATCACCTGAGGTCAGGAGTTCGAGACCATCCTGTCCAATATGGTGAAACCCCATCTCTACAAAAAATACAAAAATTAGTTGGGCGTGGTGGTGGGCACCTGTAATCCCAGCTACTCAGGAGGCTTAGGCAGGAGAATCACTTGAACCTGGGAGGTCGATGTTGTAGTGAGCTGAGATCGCACCACTGCACTCCAGCCTGGGAGACGAGCAAAACTCTGTCTACAAATAAATAAATTAAAAATAAAAATAAACATTTCTGGCCAGGCGTGGTGGCTCACACCTGTGATCCCAGCACTTTGGAAGGCCAAGGCAGGTGGATCACCGGAGGTCAGGAGTTCGAGACCAGCATGGGCAACAAATTGAGGACCCCATCTCAATGTGTTTAACACCAAAAACCACCCCCCCACCCCAAAAAATCAAAAAATTAGATGGATGTGGTGGCATGCGCCCATGGTCCTAGCTACATGGGAGGCTGAGGCAGAAGGACTGCTTGAGCCCAGGAGGTCAAGGCTACAGTGAGCCATGTTCACGCCATTGCACTCCAGGCTGGATGACAGAGCAAGACCCTGTCTAAAAACAAAACAGAACAAACAAAATAAATTTAAAAATTTAAAAAAAAAAAAAAAAGCTTTTCCTTCCTTTGCCAATTTTCTTACTGACTAAAAATCCACATACAAACTCAATTCTTCCATTGCAATCAGAACTCCGCAAAGGATATAGAAATAAATAAGACTAAAAAGCTCATTCTAGGTGAAGAGACAGGCTGAAATAAATAAATACAATAAAGTTTAGAGATCTAATAGCATAAAGAACAGTTCTACCAAGAAGAAGAAATTCTAGAGCTCAGGAAGGATTTTACTGAGTAGCTAACACTTGGTCTAAGTCTTCAAGGAGAAGAAAAAAGTCAATCAGCTGGCAAAATGCAGGTTGGGATATTACTGGTAAAAGTGTGGAGGTGAGGGAGTGATAATGAGGATGATGAGGAAGAACTAACATTTTCCAAGCAAAGTACTAGTCAAGTTTCTTTACCTGTATTAACTTATTTATTAACTTCAACTCAATGAGGACCTATCATCATCATCGCCTCTCATACCTTTCCTTAAACACATGAGACAACTGAGGCAGTTTCTTGACAATGTAATACAATTAGTAAGTGACATCTGAAATTTGAACCCAGCATTCCGGCTCCAAGCCCACATTTTTAACCACAGTCATACTGTTTTTCAAGAATGGCAAAGAGAGGGAACAAATAAATCAACATGGCTAAGGCATGTGATGCAACGATGGATAACCAAGAAAGAGGCTATAAAAAGAGAGGAAAGGGCCAGATCAGAAAGGGCTTTGGAATAAGGAAGTGTGTGTGTGCGTGCGTGCGTGTGTGTGCGTGTGTGTGTGTTTTAGACGGAGTCTGACTCTGTCGCCCAGGCTAGAGTGCAGTGATGTGCTCTCGGCTCACTGCAACCTCCGTTTCCTAGGGTCAAGTGATTCTCCTGCCTAAGCCTCCCAAGTAGCTGGGACTATAGGCACGCGCCACCACGTCCAGCTAATTTTTGTATTTTTAGTAGAGACAAGGTTTCACCATGATGGCCAGGCTGGTCTTGAACTCCTGACCTCAAGTGATCTGCCCACCTTGGCCTCCCAAAATGCTGGGATTACAGGTGTGAGCCACCGCGCCCAGCCAGAATTTTGTCTTTTATACTTCATTAATATTACTTTGGCGATAGAATGTAAAACAGATTAGAGGATAACTACCAGCTAAAAAGGCTATTATCATAGTTCGAGTGAGAGATGATGAGGGCCTGAGCTAGGGAAGTGACAAGATAAAATAAAAGTACAGATGAGGAATATTGCTATTAGGAATCAAGTGTCTATGACCAAGTGGATCTAAGAAATAAGGGGGAGGAAGGCCTGTCTCCTGATAAGAAAATTTGGTCATTAAAAGCGTGATTACAATCATGTATACTAAGAACTTTACTAAAAGCTGGAGATATGCTCAACAAGACAAACACCATCCCCTCACTTAAGAACAATCTATTGGGTAAAAAAGCAGATAGGAAATTACAATAAAGTAGAAGTACAACAATAAGAAAAACATAGAAATGAAGAAACCCAGAAGGACTAAAAAAAAACTATAAGAGCAACAACTTTCAAACAAATTTCCTTGACACTAACAAGTCAAGTAAAATGAGAACCTGAAGTTTTTTCAGACTAGGCAATCAGAAAATTACTGCAGATCTTTACCAGACAATCACTAAAGGTTTTTACCAGAAATTTCAACTGAGTAGGGAAGACGCCTAATGTAGTATGATCAACATGAAGTGCTTAAGGGCGGTTAAGTTACTAAAAATTAGCAATATGTAAAATGAAAGGCTACTAAAATAAAATATTAGAGACTGCTTAACATACTGTCTCCTGGGAACCTTTCTATAATAGTGGCAATATTGTCTTTCCTTACAGTTACGTATGTGCTTACTACTGAAGTTTTCAAAATTAACAATGCATTGTTTAGGGATACATGCATGGGTGATGATACATAAAGAAAATCAAAGGAATGAATAATCCAAATAAGAGAATAGTGGTTGCATCTAGGAGTGTACGGTTCAAATGGGCAGGAGCTCACATAGAGATCCTGAAGTTTTGAAAAATGTTCTTTCTTGACCTGGGTTAATAGGTAACTGGATGTTAATCATTATTTTTTTAAACCACAAGTGCATTTTGGCCATTTTTCTGTGTAAAATACATTTCATAAAAATGTTTAATGTACATGAATCTGAGATAAGATACAAATCAATCCAAATCTAGTTGTTTAAAAGAAATGAGACTCAAACAGAACTGCACTGCACCTGGTTTCATTTTTACATGACATTTTAGAATAAAAATTTCAAACTCTAAGTCTATCCCTTAGATAGCAAAGAAAAAACAGGTTGTAGTTTGCAAATACATTACTGAAAAGGATTTTCTATAGTTTTTCAAATCATTTCAGTTGCAAAATCAGTAAGAGAAAAATCTCCAACTTATTTTTTACTCAAAAAAATGAAAATTCTTAGAATGATTTTAAATAACATAAGCTGAAGTTCATGAAGTCATCTCCCAGATGAGAGCTTACGTGTGCCAAACAGATTTTAAGGCAAATGCTGTAGTTCTGATACTTGGCAATTCACTTTAAAAACACATGTGCACATACACACACACACATCCCCCCAAATACCTTATCATATAGTTCCCAAAACAATTTCCATTTCAATTATGAAAATTCTGTATTTAGGAATAAGTATTGCTTACCTGTTCCCTACTGAATCTTGAGAGATCTGAAAGTTTGGAATGATAGAAGAAACACCATATTCATCCTGATACTTCTTACAAGATTTGTAATGATGTCTCATGCGATAGAATTTAATCTGTAAATTATTAAAATGTGACTTTTAATTTAAAATAGAACTCGTAAGATTTGAAATAGTGTAAAGAGAGGAAAAAATAAAAGTAACTAAATACTCCATTTAAACAGGAGTTGTATTTTTTTAAAGTAAATGATTTCATCCTTAAGTAGGAGTTAAGAATAGATAATACATTTCTGTTCATTAAATGTAGAGATGGAGAAGAGTCCATCTGTCTATAAATTCACTGCAAAAAACAGCAAATAACTTCACACTTGAAAAGACACTACCAGCAGTAGACAAAAAAATTAAAAGCACTAAGAGGATGCCAGATGCTATTGGGCATGTCTTATTATTTAACTTCTGCAGCCTGGCAGAGTTAGAAAGCACTTAAAAAAAAATTAAGTTCCTGGCTGGGTGCAGTGGCTCGCGCTTGTAATCCCAGCCTTTTGGGAGGCTGGGATGGGTGGACTGCTTGAGTTCAGGGGTTCAAGACCAGCCTGAGCAATATGGCAAAATCCTGTTTATACAAAAAATACAAAAATTAGCCAGGTGTAATCTCAGCTACCTGTGGGGCTGAGGCAGGAGGATTGCTTAGAGCCTGGGAAGTCAAAGCTGCAGTGAGCCGAGATTGTGCCACTGTACTCCAGCCTGGGTGACAAAGTGAGACCCTGTCTCAAAAAAAATTAAGTTGCCAGGAATACTTGGAACATTTTTCAGTTTCTCACTGAGAGGAATAGCCAGAATCTCTCGAGTGTGTTTTCCAGCTTCACGTCATTGCCCTGTCAGTTAAACACTTCCTTCAAAAAGATGTAAAAGCAGATCTGACTTGTGTGAATGCATGAAATAGCAACCAGCTTTGCTCACTGAATTCATTAGCTATTAGAAAAAATGTCGGTGATAAATCTATAGACACATGGATATACTCAAAGCCTAACCACCCCTCTCTATTTTATTCCTTCTCCAAATGATAGAATAAAATCCAGATTAGAGAATTAATGCTGGTTATTTGTTAACACCTGATTTTCCTACATGTTCCTTAAAATTAACCAAATATTTTGTGATTTCTTTCTTCTTCTTTTTTTTTAGACAGCGTTTCGCTCTTGTTGCCCAGTTTGGAGTGCAATGGCGCAATCTCAGCTCACCGCAACCTCTGCCGCCCAGGTTCAAACAATTCTGCCTCAGCCTCCCAAGTAGCTGGGATTATAGGCATGCGCCACCACACCTGGCTGATTTTTTATTTTTAGTAGAGACGGGGTTTCACCATGTTGGTCAGGCTGGTCTCGAACTCCTGACCTCAGGTCATCCACCCACCTTGGCCTCCCATAAGTGCTGGGATTACAGGCATGAGCCACCATGCCCGGCCCTTGTGATTTCTTAAATACATACATAAATACATAAGTAAAGTGAGGAGCTAGAGAGTTCCTTAAACTACATAAATCCATGTGCCCAAACTAGTAACATTTCTATGTGTAAAGCTGCAATAATGATGCTACCATGAGAAAAACTTAAGGGGTGAATTTGTACCAGAATGGGGTTTAAATGAGCTAAATGCCAGCTTGCTAATTTAGTTACTTTAGCAAGTAATCAATGAGAAATTACTTTTAGAAAAATGCCACGCTAAGTATTATGAAATTCAGTGATTTTTTTTTCAGTCTCATTTCTCAGTAAGTTTATAATCTAGTAAGATCTATGACCACAGCTTTTTTTGGCCTTTTCTATCCAATTCCCAGTCTAAATACCTTTCATCTTTTCAAAAAAAAAAAAAACACCAACCAAGAAAATTCAAATAAGAATTTCAGAGTAGAAACTTGGCTTCCAAAGAAGAGAGATGTCACATTTACTCTACCTGTTTTGCACAGCATCTGCAGCTACCAGAAAACTTCCTCATTATATTTTCAAGGTCTAAGGCCCGTTCAGGACATGCTCTCTCTCTTCTAGTCACATTTCCACGACATAGGGGACAATGTGCTCCGCTTTCCCTCATTGCAGTCAGGAAACATTTTCTACAGAAACTAAACCAAACATTGTGACACATTAATTACAAAAAAAATTACTCTCTTCATCTCTATAATTAAATACAAACAAGTGATTATAAATATGTATTCATATTAAATAAGTTAGGCTACTCATATGTACATAAATCTCAGAAGTTTAGTAACTGTATATGTATTTATCAGAGAGTAAGACTGATAACTGGACTAGATGGGAATATTTGAACAATTACACTCAAGTCTGCTTTACAACTTCTTAACATAATATATGATGAATAAATATTAATGCTACATATTAATAATATTACTAGAGGAAGCATGGTACAAAGGAAAAACCGGATCCTGGCTCTGCCATTTAGTAGCTGTGTAATCTTAGGCCAACAAATTAACGCACACTGGATCTCCATTTCCTCCCCTTACAAAATAAAAGGATGAGTAACATAAGCTTTTGTCTCAAACTGATGTATATCGACATGTTGTTCCACAAGACATAAACAGGTCTACTACAAAAGAGCACACAAATTGGTTTGGGAAGTTCTAGGATAAAGTTAATAGGTTTTACCCAAAGTTAGGTGTTACCCAAAGTTATCTGCGTGTTAACAGATATTTGGTTATTTGGTCCGGAAGTAGGGAAATTTCCCAAACAGTATGCAATGGAACATAATTTGAGAAATACTTAAGAATACTTCCGGCTTTGCCGGGCACGGTGGCTCACGCCTGTAATCCCAGCACTTTGGGACGCTGAAGCAGGCGGATCACGTGGTCAGGAGATCAAGACCATTCTGGCTACCACGGTGAAATCTCGTCTCTACTAAAAATATAAAAAATTAGCCGGGCGTGGTGACAGGCGCCTGTAGTTTCAGCTACCCGGGAGGCTGAGGCAGGAGAATGGCATGAACCCAGGAGACAGAGGTTGCAGTGAGCCGAGATTGCACCACTGCACTCCAGCCTGGGCGACAGAGCAAGACTCCGTCTCAAAAAAAAAAAAAGATTAAACATTTATAACCAACTTTCTAATTAGAATCAAACTAAAATCTTTTTATCTTCTCTAGCCCCACCAAATACCTTATTTGATCATTTTGCTTTCAAGAGAACCAGTTAAATTACAGACATATATATCTGGGATCTAGAATACATATACATTTAATCCAATCTCCTATAAATATATATGAATATTCCTCCTCTATACTAACAGAAGTTGAGAGGAAATGGTGCAGTAACAGATCACATAACCTGAGTTTCCTAACTATGCAGCACTTTTAAACAAGTCAGTTTTTCCCTCTAATATCAGTTTCCTCACTCACGAAATAATAAAAGTATCTACAACTGATTCGGCTGTTCAGAGGATTAAAATAGATAACAAGTATAAAATGCTTAACACATTATTTGTCATGGTCAGGAAAGTGCTCAATAAATAGTAGTTAATATCATTAAAGCAGCACTAGAAGTCATTACCAATTAACACCATAAACTAAAACATTAGGCAGGGCGTAGTGGCTCATGCCTATAATCCCAGTGCTTTGGGAGGACAAGGCAGGAGGACAGCTTGAGGCAAGGAGTTGAAGACCAGCCTGGGCAACATAGCAAGACCCTGTCTCTACAAAAATTAAAAATAAAAAAAATTAGCTGGGTATAGTAGCATGCACGTCCAGTCCCAGCTACTCAGGAGGCTGAGGCGAAGGATCACTTGAGCCCAGGAGGTTGAAGCTGTAGTGAGCTATGAAGGTGCCACTGCATTCCAGCCTGGGTGACAGAGCAATACTGTCTCTCAAAAAACAATAACAATTAAAAATATTTACCATAGCCAGAAACCAAAATAACGCAAAGTAAACAAGATGCCAGTTTTCACTTGCCAAACTAAAAACTAGTTTTATTTATTTTATTTTTTTGAGACAGAGCCTCGCTCTGTCGCCCAGGCTGGAGTACACTGGTGCGATCTTGGCTCACTGCAACCTCTGCCTCCAGGGCTCAAGTAATTTTCCTGCCTCAGCCTACCCAGTAGGTGGGACTACAGGCATGCACCACTGCGACGGCTAATTTTTGTACTTTTTGTAGAGATGGGATTTTGCCAGTTGCTCAGGCTAGTCTTGAACTCCTGAGTTCAAGTGATCCAGCCATCTCAGCCTCCCAAAGTGTTGGGATTACAGGCGTGAGCCATGGTGCCCAGCAAAACTAGTTTTAAAAATAGTAAAAGTAACCAAATCTGGGCACAGCAGCATGTACCTGTAGTCTTAGCCACTTGGGAGGCTGAGGTGGGAGGGTCTCTTGAGCCAATGAGTTCAAGGCCCGCCTGGGTAACACAGCATGACCCTGTCTCTAAAAAAATAGTAATAATAAAACAATGGCCAGGCACAGTGGCTCACACCTGTAATCCTGCACTTTGAGAGGCTGAGCGGGGCAAATGGCTTAAGCTCACAAGACCAGCCTGGGCAACATGGTGAAACCCCATCTCTACTAGCCTGGCATGGTGGCACATGCCTGTAGTCCCAGCTACTCAGGAGGCTGAGGTGAGAGGATCACTTGAGCCTGTGAGGCAGAGGTTGCAGTGAGCTGAGATCGTGCCACTGCACTTCAGCCTGAGCAACAGAGTGAGACCTTGTTTAAAAAAAAAAAAAAAGAAAGAAAAAGACAAAAATGAAAACGGTGGGAAATACCAAGTGTTAGGGAGGATATGAACCAACCTAAACTCACATTGGAGGCTATGGGAGTATAAACTTTTACAACCATTTGGAAAACTGGGTGGCAATATCCATTAGAGCGCATAAATTCCACTCTGAAGTATATACCCATCAAACCTATATACATAAAACCATGGGCAGTGGCTTATGCCTATAATCCCAGCACTTTGGGAGGCCAAGGCGGGAGGATTACTTGAGGCCAGCCTGGACAACATAGTGAGACTTTGCTCCTGTAAAAAAATTAAAAATAAAAATAAAAAATTAGCTGGGCACGGTGGTGCATGCCTGTAGTCCTAGCTACTTGAGAGACTAAGGCAGGAGGATTGCTTGAGTCCAGGGGGTCAAGGCTGCAGTGAGCTATGATCACTCCATTACCCTTCTACCTGAGCAAGAGTGAGACCCTGCATCTATTTAAAAACCAAACAAAACAAAAATTACATATATAATCAGAAAAAATTTGCTAGAAAGTTCATAGCCACACTATTTATAATAGCCCCAAACTGAAAACTATACATAGGTCCGCCAACAGAAGAATGCATAACTAATTATGGTATATTCACAAAATGAAAATTACAATATGATGTATTGAGAATGAAAATGTTACAGCTATAAGCAACAATATGAACATAATGATATAATGTTGAGCTAAACAAGCCAGATATAAAAGAGTACAAACTGCACGATTCTATTTTTTAGAATGTACAAAAAGCACTTAAACTATGTTAAAGGTCAGGATAATGGTATCCTGAAGGAGGTGGGATATGTTCCCTTAGAGAAGGGAACATTAGGGGAGTTTCTGGGATGCTAATAATCTGTTGCTTGACATAGGTGTTGAATGGTTGCTTGATATGGGTGTACTCAATTTGGGAAAATTCACTGAGCTGGATATCTGTGATAGGGACACGTTTCTGTATGCATTTTATACTTAAATAAAAAATATTTGGCCAGGCATGGTGGCTTACGCCTGTAATCCCAGCACCTTGAGGAGCCGAGGCGGGTGGATCACCTGAAGTCAGGAGGTCAAGACCAGCCTGGCCAACATGGCAAAACTCCATCTATACTAAAAATACAAAAATCAGCCAGGTGTGGTGGCAGGTGCCTGTAATCCCAGCTACTCAGGAGGCTAAGGCAGGAGAATCACTCGTACCTGGGAGGTGGAGCTTGCAGTGAGCCGAGATCGCGCCCCAATCTGGGCGACAGAGCGAGAATCCGTCTCCAAAAAAAAAGTACCCTTTAAACAAGGGTAGTTATATTAAAACTGTTATAAAAATAATTAAATAAGGCCGGCACAGTGGCTCACACCTGTAATCCCAGCACTTTGGGAGGCTGAGGCGGGTGGATAACAAGGTCAGGAGTTCGAGACTAGCCTGGCCAACATGGTGAAACCCCGTCTTGACTAATACAAAAAATTAGCCAGGCATGGTGGCACACGCCTGTAATCCTAGCTACTTGGGAGGCTGAGGTAGGAGAATCACTTGAACCTGGGAGGCAGAGGTTGCAGTGAGCCAAGATCGTGCCATTGCACTCCAGCCTGGGTGACAGGGTGAGACTCCATCTCAAAACAAACAAACAAACAAACAAACAAAAAACTAAATTAAGATTATCTTCTAACTGGCCTTTAAAAAAAAACTGCTAAAATTTAAAAAAGGACAAATTACTAGAAAAAAAGGAAAGTGGGCCAGGTACAGTGGCTCACACCTGTAATCCCAGCATTTTGGGAGGCCGAGGAGGGCGGACTGCCTGAGCTGAGTTCGAGACCAGCCTGGGCAACACAGTGGAATGCCGTCTCTACTAAAATACAAAAAAAAATTAGCTGGGCGTGGCAGCGTGCACCTGTAGTCCCAGCTACTCAGGAGGCTGAGGCAGGAGAACTGCTTAAACCCGGGAGGCAGAGGTTGCAGGGAGCCGAGATCGCGCCACTGCACTCCAGCCTGGGTGACAGAGCGAGATTCCGTCTCCAAAAAAAAAAAAAAAAAAAAAGGAAAAAAGGAAAGTGAATTTAACCAGAGACAGTTAACACACAAGAGCCCTAATCCAGTGGCCCAGTAGCCATAGGAGACAGAAAGAGAAAATTATTTTCAAAGAAACAAAAGGAGAAAGTGAGAGTGTGAGGGGAATTTCCAGAGCTAAAAAATATGTCAGCAGAATAGAGACAAGTGAAGGACCTGTACAATAAATTTAAGAGTCACAACCAGAGAGATTACTGGAAAAACTTCAAATAATAATTTTTCAGCCGGGCGCGGTGGCTCACGCCTGTAATACCAGCACTTTGGGAGGCCGAGGCAGGCGGATCACGAGGTCAGGAAATCAAGATCATCCTGGCTCTAACACGGTGAAACCCTGTCTCTACTAAAAATACAAAAAATTAGCTAGGCATGGTGACGGGCGCCTGTAGTCCCAGCTACTCAAGAGGCTGAGGCAGGAGGATGGCGTGAACCTGGGAGGCGGAGCTTGCCATGAACCGAGATCGCACAACTGCACTCAAGCCTGTGTGACAGAGCGAGACTCCATCTCAATAAACAAATAAATAAATAAATAAATAAATAAAATAAAATAAAAAATAATTTTTCAACTTCTAGTATCTTCCAGAGAGGAAGTAAAAATAGATCACCTACTAAGGAAAGAGAATCAGATTAGCATCAAACTCATGAGCAATAACAAATGACAAATAGAATGATGTGTTCAAAGTTCTGAGGAGAAATGATTTATAACCTAGAACTGCATCTTCTGGATATTAAATCATTTTGTATCACTTAAGGCATTTCTGATATAATGTAACATATGAAACACTGAAAACCTTGGCATTCTGCATACCCGCACACTAAAACTTATAGGGCTTATGGAAAAAAATGGTTGGAATAGACCACTCGTGCAACCTTGTCGCCAGACTACTAACAAAACCCAAACAATCCAAATAAAAATACGAACAATTCTGAAAAGGTATGTAAAGTTCCTAATAAACACTTCACCCTAAAATTTTTTTAAAAGAAGAGAGGGATAAGTGGTTGAAGCTGTTAAATTATGGAAATAAATTTAAAATGCACAAGGGAAAGGAGAAACATGCAATAGGTATTCCAAGAGAGAACTCATAGCCAAACTGAACTAAGAAGAATGAATGTTGGGCACCTTGTGTCATAGTGCTTAATTCTATGGTTTGTTATATTCAGCTATGTTTTGATGTGCTTTGCTTCAGCTACCATTTGTTGATGGACCAAAACAATTTTCAGGGGGAAAAAAGTCACATAGAAAGCTATCTGTTCTGATATAATCTGTTGCAGCAAGTAGAACAGACGACATTCAGTCCATCATTTGTCTTTAACCTTGCTGCTTGTGGTCTTCCGATATGGAAATTTTTTAACTTTTAGACATGGCCTTTTCCTAAAATTATGGTTTATGCTTTTGCAGTCTTAAGAATTCCCCACTTCAGGATCAGAGATATTCCCCCACATTTCCTTCTAAAGTTTAAGCTTTGCTCATTAAAGTTTTCAATCCATCTGGAAATATTATCATGTATAGCACACAGCAGAGATTCTACATATAAAGCTATTGCCCAAATACTATCTTACTGATCAAAGCCACCTTTTCCTCATTCATTTGCAATGTCACGTCTATCAAAGATAAAAAGTTCCAAAACGTGTGGAACTATTTCTGGACTCTGTAGTATATTCTAGTCATTTATCTACTGCTGAATGAACACCATACGATTTGGCCAGTGCGGTGGCTCATGCCTGTAATCCCAGCACTTTGGGAGGCCGAGGTGGGTGGATCAATTGAGGTCAGGAGTTCAAGACCAGCCTGGCCAACATGGTGAAACCTGTCTCTACTAAAAATACAAAAATTAGCCATGTATGGTGGCAGGTGCATGTAATCCCAGCTACTCAGGAGGCTGAGGCAGGAGAATCACTTAAACTCAGGAGGCAGAAGTTGCAGTGAGCCAAGATGGTGCCACTGCACTCCAGCCTGGGGGACAGAGGGAGACTCCATCTCAAAAAGAGAAAAAAGCATATGATTTTTTAATTTTCATTTTGTATTTTTATATTTTTAATTTAATAATACTTTCACAGGAAAATCAAAGAAGCCAACCATACTAATTACTATTGTTTCATAATATCTCATTATATCTGATAGGGTTGTGCTATCTGCATGTTCTTCTTTTTCAAATATTTTCTTAGTTATTCATAATCATTAGCTCTTTATTAGAATTTTTTAATCCATTTTTCAAGTTCTACCAAAAAATCATGTTGGGACTTCACCAGAACTGTATGTTTAGAACTGTGTGGAGAAAATTGATACCTTAAATTTATTAAATCTTTCTAACCATAAATGTCATGTTCTCTTACACTTTTCAATAAAGTTTTGTAATTTTCTTTAAGAAGCTGTGTATATTTTTATTGTTTAGTCCAAATAACATTATAATTTTGTTGCTATTGTAAGTGACGTTTTTCTTCTATTAATTTTTTATCTGATTACTGCTGGTATAAAGATATGTTGTTGATTTTTGTCTGTTCTTGCATCAAACCTCCCTGTACTCTTATTGTTTCTCTTGTTTTTAATCGACAAATTATGACAATTTTATCTCTTCCTTTTCCATCTCTGTGTATCTGATTTCTTCTTCTCTCACTGAATTGTCTAAAACCTGAAATACAATGTTAAATGTCAGGGGTGATGCAGACTTCTTTGACTAGTTCCTAACTAGAAAAGCACCTAAAGCTTACAACTAGGTATATTTGCTATAGATTTTAGGGAAGCCACCCTTAATGAGGATTTTTTTTTTTAAACTTTTAGGCCAGGTCTGGTGGCTTATGCATGTAATCTCAGCCCTTTGGGACGCCGAAGTGGGGGGATCATTTGACCTCAGGAGTTCGAGACCAACCTGGCCAACATGGTGAAACCCTGTCTCTACTAAAATACAAAAATTCGCCAGGCATGGTGGCATATACCTGTAATCCCAACTATTTGGGAGGCTAAGTCACTAGAATTGCTTGAACCCAGAAGGCAGAGGTTGCAGTGAGCCAAGATCAGGCCACTGCACTCTGGCATGGGCGACAGAACTAGACTCTGCCTCCAAAAAAAAAAAAAAAAAGTTTTTTAGCCTATTCCTAATTTGCTATGAAGTTTTCTTTTTTTTTTCTGAGACGGAGTCTTGCTCTGTCGCCCAGGCTGGAGTGCAGTGGCGCAATCTCAGCTCACTGCAAGCTCTGCCTCCAGGGTTCACACCATCTCCTGCCTCAGCCTCCCGAGTAGCTGGGACTACAGGTGCCCGCCACCGCGCCCGGCTAATTTTTTTTTGTATTTTTAGTAGAGATGGGGTTTCACCATGTTAGCCAGGATGATCTCGATCTCCTGACCTCGTGATCCACCCGCCTCGGCCTCCCAAAGTGCTGGGATTACAGGCGTGAGCCACCACACCCGGCCCATGAAGTTTTCAAAAGCTCAACATGTACTCTTGTCTAAAAAAATTTTTTTAATGATAAAAAGGGATAATAAAAATATTTTGTGGAAAATTGCTGTTTATTGATTGTGTTCTTTGAAGGACAAACCTTTTTTTTTTCTTGGTGCCTTGAATATCAGGTACACAAAAATGTTTAATCAAATGCTGAATGAGACCAGACACAGTGGCTCGCACCTATAATCTCAACACTTTGGGAGGCTGAGGCAGGAGGATTATTTGAGCCTAGGAGTTCAAGACCAGCCTGGGCAACATAGTGAGATTTCCCCACCTCTACAAAAATTTTTAAAAATTAGTGAGGTATGGTGGTGTGCACCTGTAGTCTCAGCTACTTGCAAGGATGAGGCAGTAGAATTCCTTAACTCCAGGAGTTCAAAGCTACAGTGAACAATGATCACCCCACCCCACTGTACTCCAGCCTGGGCAACAGAGTTAAATTAAAACTAGTCTCTAACCAAAAAATGAAAAATAAACAAATGCTGAATGAATTTTTACTAAAAAAGGAGAAACAAAGCCAACAATTTCTATTCAGCATTTACTTTCAAAAATATTGGCACACAACTAATAAATGCAATGGTCTGGATTCAAAAATATACATATACACACATGTATATATATAGGCTATAAAGACAAAGCAAATATTTAAAGGCATAAAAATATAGAAAAGCAAAAAATCAATTTAGATCACAAAACTATTTTGTTAGAAAATCCCAAATTGGCCAGGCATGGTGGCTCACACCTGTAATCCCTACACTTTGTGAGGCCAAGGCAGGTGGATCACCTAAGGTCAGGAGTTCAAGACCAGCCTGGCCAACATGGTGAAACCCCGTCTCTACTGAAAATAAAAATTAGCTGGGCGTGGTGTTGCGCACCTGTAATCCCAGCTACTCAGGAGGCTGAGGCAGGAGAATCACTTGAACCTGGGAGATGGAGGTTTCAGTGAGCCGAGATAGTGCCACTGTACTCCAGCCTGGGCAACGGAAGGAGACTATTTCTCAAAAAAAAAAGAAAATCCCAAATTAACCTCCAAAATTACATGTGATAAATCAGGTGACAAACTGTACAATACAAACTCTTCAAATATTAATTGCATTACTACAGACTAGTGATATTATTAAAAACATTCATATAAGAAACTAAAAAAAAGGGCCAGGCACAGTGGCTCACGCCTGTAATCCCAGTACTTTGGGAGGCTGAGGCAGGCGGATCACGAGGTCAGGAGATTGAGACCATCCCAGCTAACATGGTGAAACCCCATCTCTACTAAAAATACAAAAAATTAGCCGGGCGTGGCGGCGGGCGCCTGTAGTCCCAGCTACTCGGGAGGCTGAGGCAGGAGAATGGTGTGAACCTGGGAGGTGGAGCTTGCAGTGAGCCGACATCGCGCCACTGCACTCCAGCCTGGGTGACAGAACAAGACTCCGTCTCAAAAAAAAAAAAAAAAAAAAAAAAGAAACTAAAAGAAGGTCAGGTGTGGTGGCTCACACCTGTAATACCAGCACTTTGGGAAGCCCTGGCCAGAGCATCACTTGAGTCCAGGAGTTTGAGGCCATTCTGGGTAACACAGCGAGACCTCCTCTCTACTGAAGAAAAAAAAAAAAAAATCAGCCAGGCATGGTGGTGCACGCCTGTAGTCCCAGCTACTTGGGAGGCTGAGGTGGGAGGATCGCTTAAGCCTAGGAGGTTGAGGCTGCAGTAAGCCGTGATTATGCCCCTGCACTCCAGCCTGGGCAACAGAGTTAGACCCTGTCTCAAACAAGCAAAAATGTAATATGGAAAAATGCATGCAGCCTTGCTAGCAACTAAAGAAATACATTTTAATGTGACTTCTAGACACCACTATGAACTGTATTAAAATAGCATAAAAATGCTTAAAAAAACAAAATTGGCAAAGATGATGGATTACAAATATACTTTTATAGTACTAATGGCATTTTGTAAATTAGCTCAATTTTTGGGAAAGCAACATGACATTTATGAAAATAGCAGTTAACACTTATTGCGTACATAATATGTGCTAGGTGCTAGGCTGGATCCCAGAAACTATCCATTCATGATCTTGAATTCTTAAAAAAAAATAAATTTTTCTTAATAAGTTCCTTCATTTTACAGATGAGGAAACTAAGGCTTAAAAAAATAAAATGTTAATAAACCTGTAAGAGTGAGGCAGGCAAATCACTTGAGGTCAGGAGTTCAAGACCAATCTGGCCAACATGGTGAAACCCTGACTCTAATTTAAAAATATATATATATACACAAAAATTAGCCAGGAGTGGTGGTGCACGCCTGTAATCCCAGCTACTCAGAAGACTGAGGTAGAAGAATGGCTTGAACCTAGGAGGCGGAGGTTACAGTGAGCCAAGACTGCGTGTGCCACTGCACTCCAGCCTGGACAACAGAGCCAGACTCTGTCTTTGAAAAAAAAAAAAAAAAGAAACCTATAAGAGGTTGAAGCCCAGAAGATGTTTCTGTCATTCAAATACAAAGCCCTGCATGTTCCCTCCTACCTCGGGACCTTTGTCCAGAATGTTTCTTCTCCCCAGAATGTTCTATGCACGAGCACAGCCCTCCACAAATTAATACCTATATCTCTCTTAGATATCAGCAACAATATCACTTCCTAAAGAAAGGGTCATCGATACTCACCCACTAGATCTGATCCCTCTCTTATACTCTCTCGAAACCTATACATTTGTAATTACACCATTTTTCTGAGCATTTATTTTAATTTAAATATATCTCAGGCCAGGCGCAGTGGCTCAGGCCTGTGATCCCAGCACTCTGGGAGGCCAAGGCGAGCAGATCGCTTGAGCTCAGGCATTCGAGACCAGCCCGGCCAACATGGTGAAACCCAGTCTATACAAAAAATACAGGCCGGGCGCGGGGGCTCACGCCTGTAATCCCAACACTTTGGTAGGCCGAGGTGGGTGGATCACCTGAGGTTGGGAGTTCGAGACCAGCCTGACCAACATGGTGAAACCCCCGTCTCTATTAAAAATACAAAATTAGCCAGGCCTGGTGGCGCATGCCTTTAATCCCAGCTACTTGGGAGGCTGAGGCAGGAAAATCGCTTAAACCCGGGAGACGGAGGTTGCAGTGAGCCGAGATCGCGCCATTGCACTCCAGCCTGGCCAACAAGAGCAAAACTCCGTCTCAAAAAAAAAAAAAAAAAAAAAAAAGTTAGTTGGGTGTGGTGGTGGCACATGCCTGTAGTCCCAGCTACTGGGAAGGCTAAAGGGGGATTACTTGAGCCCAGAGAGGTCAAGGCTGCAGTGAGCCATGATCATGCCACTGCACTCTAGCCTGGGCAACAGAGCAACAGAGAAAGACCCTGTCTCAAATATATATATAAAATAATAAAATAGAGGTATTCAGGTCTCTTATGTCCAATTTTACTGTTCCTTCCCCTGTACAACCAAAGATTTTATATATATATATATATATATCTCAATCACTAACACCCAGCTCCAAGAGGGCAGGGATCCTATCTATTTGCTCTTTACAATATCCCTGGCACCTAACAGTGCTAGGCACCTATTAGGCAGTCCTAATATTTGCTAAAGCAATGAATGCCAATTTACCTTAATTTAAAAAGTATTAAATCCCTTAACCAAAAGATATAATTGACAGTTCTCAAATCAAAACCTTGAGCACTTTCCATGAACAAGACACTTCACTAGAGCTGCAATTATTCTTGTGTGATGTATCAGAAATATTTGTTTGTATCTACCCTTTGACCCAGCAATTCCATTTGTCAGAATTTAGCTGGCAGGAAAAACTCTCATATGTGAAACGATATATTAGTAGGCTTAAGTAAGTAACAGGAGATCTTGGATGCTTTCTTTATAAAGCTTGCAGCCTAACCAGTGAAACTGACATTGGTCAAATTATCTGATTCCAAAAATGTTATGATTACAAACTGTGATAACAGGTACAAAGAATGGCCGGGTGCAGTGGCTCACACCTGTAATCCTAGCACTTTGGGAGGCCGAGGCGGGGCAGATCATTTGGGGTCAGGAGTTGGAGACCAGCCTGACCAACATGGTGCAACACCATCTCTACTAAAAATACAAAAAAATTAGCCGGGTATAGTGGTGCATGCCTGTAGTTCCAGCTACACGGGAGATTGGGGCAGGAGAATCTCTTGAACCCAATGGGTGGAGGTTGCGGTGAGCCAAGACTGCACCACTGCACTCCAGTCTGGGCAACAGAGCGAGATTTTGTCTAAAAATAAAATAAAATAGAGATATTCAGGTCTCTTATCTCCAATTTTACTGTTCCTTCCTCTGTACAACCAAGCATGTTTCTTCAGACATAAAACGAATTATTCTCATCTCACTTTGGGCTGGAATGGATCAAAGTGCTAGACAGAACTTATTTCAAAACAAAGCAGAAGTAGGAAGGAAAAAGGTACAAATCAAGAATTACTAAAACTAATTTTCATGTTCCTGAAAAGGCCCGTATCTTCAGAACAGGGCATTACCCTATAACCAAAAAAGGTCTCTTTACATTTCTCTCAACTTTAAACTAGCAGATGCTAGACGAATTTCCATTACGCATTCTCCCAACAAAAGGCTAATCAACAACACTGGGAGAGGAAAAACAATATTCCCACTCATCATGCTCCCAATTTCAGTATAAATTAAATAATTTAAAATCTGGCACTTAGTCTATCTATTTTCCGAGTCGATAATCGAGATCATTCCCCAAAAAAACTTCAAAAAAAAAAAAAATCAAAGGTTGTAAACTAGTCCTCAAGATTTAAAATTAAGTAAATCTTTTTTTTTTTTTTTTTGAAACGGAGTCTCACTCTGTCGCCCGGGCTGGAGTGCAGTGGCACCATCTCAGCTCACTGCAAGCTCCACCTCCCGGGTTCATGCCATTCTCCTGCCTCAGCCTCCCGAACAGCTGGGATTACAGGCGCCTGCCGCCACACCCGGCTAATTTTTTTGTATTTTTAGTAGAGACAGGGTTTCACTGTGTTAGCCAGGATGGTCTCGATCTCCTGACCTTGTGATCCGCCTGCCTCGGCCTCCCAAAGTGCTGGGATGACAGGCGTGAGCCACTGCGCCCGGCCTCAACCTTTATTATATAATTAAATAGCACAGATTTTAGGAAAGAAGAAAATTATTTTAAAGTATATACTTAGAGCATAACTACTCAAGTAACAAGATACCAATAAAGCTGTTAAAATTACAAAGCCAGGTGCTGTGGCACTCACCTGTAGTCCCCACTACTCAGGAGGCTCAGGTGGGAGGACTGCTTGAGACCAGGAGTTTGAGACCAGCCTGAGCAACAAAGCAAGACCCCATCTCTAAAAAATTTAAACTATAAGAAATATATTGTGGGCGCAGTGGCTCACACCTGTAATCCTAGCACTTTGGGAGGCCAAGGCAAGAGGATCACTTGAGGTCAGGAGTTCAAAACCAGCCTGGAGTTCAAAACCAGCCTGGCCAACATGGTAAAACCCTGTCTCTACTAAAAATACAAAAAATTAGCAGGGCGTGATGGTGCACGCCTGTAATCCCAACTACTTGGGAGGCTGAGGGAGTAGAATCGCTTGAACCAGGGAGGTGGGAGGTTGCAGTGAGCCAAGACCGCACCACTGCAATCCAGCCTGGGCAACACAGTGAGACTGTCTCAAAACAAACAAACAAACAAACAAAAATAACACACACACACACACACACACACACACACACATATATACATACACATATACACACACACACACAAATACACATACATACACATATACATACACATATATACATATATATAGCCCGAGCAACAGAGTGAGACCCTGTTTCTAAATTAATTAATTAGGCCGAGGATAGTGGCTCATGCCTATAATCCCAGCACTTTCGGAGGCCAAGGCGGGCAGATCACTTGAGCGCAGGGGTTCGAGACCAGCCTGGCCAATATAGTGAAACCTCATCTCTACTAAAAATACAAAAAAACAAAAAACAAAAATTAGCCGAGCATGGTGGTGCATGCCTGTAGTCCAGCTACTTGTTGTGCCTGTAGTCCCAGCTACTCAGGAGGACGAGGCAGGAGAATCGCTTAAATCCAGGAGGTGGAGGTTACAGTAAACCAAGATCCCACCACTGCACTCCAGCCTGGGCAACAGAGACTCGGTCTCAAAAATAAATAATTAATTTAAAATTGTTTTAAAATTAAGGATTAAAAAAAGTAAATATGAACTAAAAACTCAGGAACTGGATGTTCAAGCTGGTCAAATAGGAAATTACACAAATTTGTGCTTAACAAGAAGTAGAAGTTCATTTTAAAAGATGCCTCCTTACAGAGAGGCCTAAAAGCAAAAACAGATTAGATTTCCATTTTTAAGAGTTCAGCAAAGAATCAAACTTGTTATATGTAATTTTTATTGCAATAGTAGCTTACTTCTGCCATGTACAAGAATTATTTCCTTGACTGTTCAAAACAAGGAAGAACAGAGGTTTCCAAGAGCCTTTGAAGATTACAGAATAAAACACCAAAAGAGATAAACACCTTACTCCTACGCCAGTCTGTACTTTCTTCTGAAGCCTTGCTTTGACTACCTGCTCAACTTTCATATTAATTTGTCTTAACATGTTTTTCAAAATATTACATCTGCCAGGTGTGGAGGCTCTTGCCTGTAATCCCAGCACTTTGGGAGGCTGAGGCAGGAGGACGGTTTGCACCCAGGAGTTAGAGACTAGGTTGGGCAACAAAGCAAGACCCATCTCTACAAAAAAATTTTTTTTAATAGCCAGGCATGGTGGTGAGTGCCTGTAGTCCCAGCTAGCTACTTGGGAGGTTGAGGTGGGAAGATTTCTTGAGCCTGGGAGGTCGAGGCTGCAGTAAGCTATGATCATGCCACTGCACTCCTCGCAACAGAGCGAGACCCTATTTCAAAAAAAACAAAAACAAAAACAAAATTACATCTGACCACTCTAAGGCCTCTGAAAATGCTGACTGCTTCCTTAACAATCATTTGCAGATGATCTGAATCCTCAGTTTCCACTCTCACTTTATTCCTGGTTTTCTTCCTATCCTTCTGTTCGTTCCTTGTCTGGCTGCAATTTTCTCCACTCGATATTTAAGTAAGTATTCTCCAACACTTGGCTCTATCTAGGTGCTCTTCAATCTTTCCATTTATATACCTCACTCGGTGACCACTTCGACACCCACAGCTTTAGCTCCATGTATTCCAGATCTACATATGGTATACACACTTAACTACTGAACCCAGTCATCAAATCTTACACTGTCCTTAAAATGTCAGGAGTCTCTCTGCTCCATTCCTACTATCATTTCCTTAGTTCAGGTTCTAATCATTTCTCTCCCTGACACATCAATGAATGACCGACCTCTTCACTAGTCTCACCACTACCAAGCTGAAAACCCTGCTATGAAGGTAAACTTTCTAAAAATGAAATGTGACCACGCTGCTCCCCTGCCAAAAATTATTTACTAGGTCTAGTATTATTCATTAGGTTATCTAATTATTTAATAGGTTTTCAGGAAAACACTCAAATTAGCTTACACAGTAAGTTCCTGCCAATAACGCTAAGCTCCATCTCCACTACGCTGTCTTTGGCTCCAGCCAAACTTCAAAGTCCAGCTCACATTCATCCTCTGTACCCTCCTTGACTCTGGCATTCCCCACAAACACTGAATACAAACGCTGACCTAAGGCATTACTTCATCTAGGAAATTATCCCTATCCTTTAGGCTAATTTAGATACCTGCTCTAGATGCTCACATAAAATCTCTTCTATATCAATCACACTCATTTATAGGTCTCTCCAGCGGACTATTAAGTCTCCAGAGAAACAGTACTTAGTAGTCCCTGCACCAGACAAAGAGCATTCAACAACTGCAGTTTCAGGGAATGAATGGGGATTAAACGGGAGTTTATATTTTAGTAATGTTATTCTAATGATAATGAACTTGCTCCTTTTACTAGGATAGTCAGTAGTCAAATCCTTTCCTGTCATTGAAATGGCAATTAAAATTTTTCATTTTCTAACTGATCCACAGTAACCCAAAGCCCTTATCACTTCAACTCTCTATTCGTGAATCAAAAATTGATTTTGCAGCCAAATATAAATTTCTTTAAAGGCATAGGTCTGTCCTTTGTGAAGAAGGTAGAGCAAATGACATAGATAACTATGTTAATTAAAAAACAGGTCAGGTGCCATGCCTCACGCCTGTCATCCCAGCACTTTTGGAGGCCAAGACAGGAGGATGACTTCAGCCCAGGAGTTCAAGATCTGACTGGGCAACGTAGTGAGGCCCTGTCTCTATAAAAAAGAAAACAAAATTAGTCAGGCATGGAGGCATGCTCCTGTAGTCCCAGCAACTTGAGAGGCTGAGGCGGGAGGGTTGCTCCAACGGGGGAGGTCAAGGCTGCAATGAAACATGATCACACCACTGCACTCCACCCTGGACAACAGAATAAGACCATGTCTCAAAAAAAAACGATAATTTTTAAAATTTCTCTCCAATTCCCCCACTAAACTCCTTCCAACTGATTAAAATCCTGTTCCTCCATTACCACCTCTTCCAAATTAAACTTTTTTTCTCCCTCTGCCTATTCTTTTAATTCATTGTTCAGGCAGAACTGTCTACGTACAATAAGTTGATTTGAGAAAGGTCCTGAATTAAAAACAATCATCTCCAACATTTTCCACAGTCTTGAGGTCAAATCAAATTATAAACCTTGATTTAAAATGTCCCACAAGGGAAGCGGACTAGAGCAATCTACACGGAATTTTGGGGAGTGCTAAAAACTACAATGAGGCCCATTAGGTCAATGACCCAAAGGATAATTAGAATGATTCTATCCAAAAAAGACCTGCTTTATATATATATATATAGTTAGCAGCTATTACAACTTCCTCTCACCTTGCTCTCCTCCCTCCCTTTTATCTACCCAATGCCAACACAGCACTTAAATTTTTTTTAAATATTGGAAAGGGACCAAGTTATGCTAGATTAAAGGTGGAAGATCTATATTGTGCCCTAGACACCTCCAAACGTTTTTTTTTTCATGTCAGATGGGTAATGTGCTGACCCTGTAACAAGGTTTGAGGATGGCATATCTCACACATGCCTGTGAACACTCAATCATCACACTATGAACCGCAAAAGGATCCCTCAAAACATTTCCCTAAGAATCTGCATTTGTTGCACAAAATAACAAGATGTCATTCATCTCCCTTAAAGAGCAAAAGCGTAACTGGCATAATTTCTATCATGAAAATCCACACACTCTTGGCTCACACAACCAGCACAAAATAGAAATAAAGTAGACAGTGCAGTTAAGATTGGGGAAAAAATGAGAAGAGTTGGTATCAAGAAAACAGCCACAGTAAGGGCATTTGCAATTAAGAACCAAAAATTCAATCCATCCTTTACAAAATTATAGAACCTCACCTCAAAAAAAAAAGAAAAAAAAGTCGAAGGAGAATGAAATACATTTAGAAGGTTGGTCAATTCTTTTCAGTTGTTTGCAAACACACGTAACTTTCAAGCCTGAGTGTGTTTTTTAAAAATAAAGATTTCCGGGCGGGGCGCGGTGGCTCACGCCTTTAATCCCAGCACTTTGGGAGGCCGAGGCGGGAGGATCACGAGGTCAGGAGATCGAGACCATCCTTGCTAACACGGTGAAACCCCGTCTCTACTAAAAAAAAATACAATAAATAAATAAATAAAGATTTCCAGGCCCCACCTGCCCGAACATTCTTTTGTTAAGTTTGAAATGGAGCCTGGGAATTGGTATGTTTACTTAAAAAGTTCCCCGGGGACTCTGATCATCAGTCAGGTCTGTCAGAAGGGCTATACACCTTCTCAACAAGGGCTCTTTCCAACCCTTACTCACACCCTAGCTGTCCATAAAATTTTATCAAAGTTCTTGTAAATATGCCTGCCAATCAAACGCATGCGTTATCTCACCCAACCCCTTTGTGTTCTCCCCCACCCTGGGTAGCATCTCAATTTCGGCTCATTCCTCATAACAGAAGTCTTCCTTTCTCCTCTCCACCCTTGTATTAATCAAGTAATAAGTAAGCAGAAAGGTAAAACAAAGGGGAACGCTCATTTCAATGCCCGAAAATCCTGTCAGTTTTAAGAGACCAGAGAAGAAAACTCATTCTAGATCCCTCTAACACATAGTGGACTGGAAACGAAACAAAACGCTCTCGAGGGTGTTCTGTGAAGCAGGGTTGAGGGGAAGTTACAGAAGAGCTCTTGGACCGAGGGGACGGACCAAGGTTCTGAAAGAGGAAACTTGAAAGCAGGGCAGGTCGCGGGGCGAGCGGGCCCGCGCGAGCACCGCCGGCCGCTTTTGACACTCGACACCCCAGCCTTCACCCGGGTTGCTAAGAAACAAAAAGGCTCCAAGATCCCTGCAATTCCTCCCGGGCCTGGCGGAGACGACAGGGGCCTCCGGGGCCTGAAGACGCCGCAGGGAACGGCCTGGCCACTGCCCCGGGGGCGCGAAAGCCAGGGAGAGCGGGAGAGCGGGAGAGCGGGAGAGCGGGAGAGCGGGAGCTTGGGCTGAGGGGGCTGGACGCGGGGAGCGGGCCCCGAGGCTGAGGAAAAGGCCGCCCCGGGACTCTGAGGGGCGGGGAACGGGACCTCGCGGGGCAGCGACGCTCGGGCAGGCCGCGGCGGGCTCGGTTCCCGCCAGGCGGCAGCCCGGGGTCCCGGGCCGGAGGCCGGGCCTAAGCGACAACCCGGCTCCGCGAGGGGGAGGGGGCGTCTACTCACACGTGCTGACAGGCCGTGGTCCGCACGGGCGTTTTGAGCACCTCCTGACAGACGGGGCAGTAGAAATCATCTTCGGTGTAGGACGTGGCCGCAGAGAGGTCCTCGGCCATGGCGGGGGATGGGGAAACAAGGCGATGGCGACAGCGGCAGCGGCCGAGGTGACGGTGGCGGCCCGGGGCCCGACTCCCTACATGAACCCGGAGGGGGGAGGGGGATCGCATCAGGATACAGCGCGCGCCAGGAAGGGGGCGGGGCCCTGGGTAGGGCGGGGCCGAACGCAGAGACGCTACTGCCGCACGCGCCGGGCAAGAGGCGACCCCTCCCACGGCTCCTCCCACAGGGGGCTGGATGGGGGACGGTGCTTGGCGGGAGGCTGGGCTCGCAGCATGCCGTGGGCCCGCCCCGCTCGCCCCTCACCCCGCCCCAGGACGCGGCCTCACGCTCTAGGCCACGCCCTCACCGGGCTCCAGGCGCGGGCTCGCGCCCCGCCCTCAGCCCCCGTCTTCGCCCAAGGCCTCCCTTTTCACTGCTTTTCCGCCTCTACTCACCCCGACCCCGAGCCCCGAGTGCCCAGCCCGTGTCCGCGGCTTCCTCCCCGCCCCGCTTCCCGGCACCCCGGCCCCTCCACGCTTCCGCCGGGGAGACTCTCACCTAGGAGCCCCGAAGCGGCGTTGTGGACGGAGCTGCTTTTCCTTCACGTGTTCGTAGAGACCCGGCCCAGCGCTTTCCTCGAGCTTCCTGTCCGGCCGCCGCTATCTTCGCAGCCGAGGCCCCGGGGCAAATGGAGGGCGGCGTGCGCTGTGCTTATCGGCCCCTAACGGGGCCGGAGCCGAGGCTCATGGTGCAGGGAGATTCGCCCGCCGCCGCCAGCAGCTCTGTCTTGGCATTGCGCTGCCTACAGCCTACCCGGCCGTCACCGAACGCGGGAGCGCCGGGGATCTGGGCGGAGGAGCCAGGAGAGGCGGGGAGGCACGGGGTGTGAAGTGCGGCCTGTATAGCAACCGGCGCACGGCGCCTTCCGCGGGTTGTGACGTAAGCAGCTGGGCGCCCGCGGTGACACCTGCGCCTCCCCGCCCCGCCTCGCTAGGCCCGGGACCCCAGTTACCTCTCCTGTCAAATACATTGGGCCTTTCAGGAAGTTTTCGTCAATGTTCAAGATTTAGTCTTTACTATTTGCCCTACCAGAATGTTTTGATCTTGTCAAGATGTGTTATAAACAAATATTTGTTACGGGATTTTAATCCTTTGGGGGCAGGATTAAAGTTTCCTTGAGAGGATGTCCACTTTCTCCTTTAACAGCATGACCGATGCTTAAATACGGTCGCAGATGCAGTCTTCTACTACACCTTTGGGTTGATTTTTGATTTTTTCTTTTTTTTTTTAGCTTTGAAGAGAAATGCCGTAGAAGCATGGACGTGGCTTTTCACCAAGGTTATTCACTAATTTAAGTGTTTTTTTTAATTTTATTTTATTTTATTTTATTTTTTGAGACAGGTACTCACTCTGTCTCCCAGGCCGGAGTGCAATTATCTGTACAATTGATAATCTATAAGATGGTCCAACCTGCGTAACAGAGTGAGATTCCGTCTCAAAAAAAAAAAAAAAAAAGAAAGAAAAAAGGCCGGGCGCGGTGGCTCACACCTGTAATCCCAGCCCTTTGGTAAGCGAAGGCGGTTGGATCACTTGAGGTCAGGAGTTCAAGACCAGCCTGGCCAACGTGATGAAATCCCATCTCTACTAAAAATACAAAAATTAACCGGACATGGTGGTGGGAGCCTGTAATCCCAGGTACTCGGGAGGCTGAGGCACGAGAATCGCTTGTACCCGGGAGGCAGAGGTTGCAGTGAGCCGCGATCGCGCCGCTGCACTCCAGCCCTGGCGACAGAGTGAGACTCTCAAAAAAAAAGAAGAACAAAAAAAGGATAAATCGATAAGATGGGATCCACAATGACGTGAAAGAAGCTAAGGAAAATCTGGAACATTATACAGCATCTACAATTAGCTTCAGAGAAAAGAAAGGTTTTATTACCATCCTTTGTTAAAACCCTCCCCCATGGTCTAAATGAATAAACAGAAGCCATTTAAGGGACTATTTAAATCAATTCTGCCATTTATTGTCTATGTTGACATTGGCATTGTTAGGTGTTATGCAGATGTCATGAACTTTGCTCTCAACCTGTTTACATTATTACATATCTATCAGAATGAGAGAGAAAAAATGGTATTTGCCAAAGTATTAAATTTTGCATTAAACGATGGCTATAATGAGGATAGGAAATGGAATGATTAGAAATATATAGAGTTAACAGAAAACTTTATGGAGGAAATGGGTTTTAATGTACATCTCAAAAGCATTGATTCCTAGAATAATAATAATTTGTCCAATGAATAGCTAATTCCCTCTACCAAACTATATTTTGTATTTTTGTTGCTTTTCCTCCTTAGCAGCAAGCGCAGTGGAAGCAAGACAAGAAAGCTAATACTAGCTTCAGATTTCCTGGAAGGAGGAAGAGCACGTGACGAGAGGGGCAGCTAATAGCAGTAGTTCAGGTGCTTTTCACATTCACTTATAAAATGGTTCTTTGAGTTCAAATTTTTAACAGCCCAGAGAAGAAAACTCACTTTTTTTCTTTTTTCTTTTGAGACAGAATCTCACTCTGTCACCCAGGCTGGGGTGCAGTGGAATGATCTCAGCTCACTTCAACCTGCGCCTTCCAGGTTGAAGCAACTCTCCTGCCTCAGCCTCCCAAGTAGCTGAGATTACAGGCATGCACCACCATGCCAAACTAATTTTTGCATTTTTAGTAGAGACAGGGTTTTGCCATGTTGGCCAGGCTAGTCTCGAACTCCTGGCCTCCAGCGATCCGCCCACCTTGGCCTCCCAAAGTGCTGGAATTACAGGCCTGAGCCACTGTGCCTGGCCTACATTTTACTTTTTTGATAATTCCACTCATTTCATTCATTCTGACCATTTAGGAAGTAAGGTGTATTTTCTGTATAATAGTGTTTCCCATTATTCATTGGGAATATCTAACCATAACATTAATTTTGTGACCCTAATTTTATTTGCTTCATTCTTTCTCTGCAACGGCAGCTTTACTTATGTCTAATCCAAACATATTTGTATCACTCCCCCATATATTCTAATAAGTCATTCGGTATACACGTAAGCATATAGCTGGCAATATGTGGAAATCCAGCAAAAACTTGGACATAAGAAAAATATAGATACCCTTGGAAAGTTAAGCTTAAAAAAATAAGTTGCAATTACCAATGACACAATCTTCTTTCTTGGCAACATTTCTGGTGAAAAGCTACTTGATATTTTTATAAGAATGTCATAGATTTACTCAAAATACATTCAGCTGCGTAAATAAAATGTCCTCAGCCTTTGGTCATTAGAAGGGAAAACCCTAGATGTAGACCGATTTGGTAAACTGTGCTGCAATAATTTAAACAGTTCCTTTAAGTTTGGGTTAAACCAGTCAGTCCCTCTCAGTGGGCTTCCCTCAGAATGGCATTTGGGAGAAGGGAAGGGAGGATGATGGGTAGCTGACATGAACTCAAGGCACTATAGGGGAATCTGGCTCCTGAAATCTGCAAGTTCTCTTTTGCATTTTTGCCGGATTTTCTTTAGCCAGACTAATTTTCTCTGCTCCTTGAGATGTAATGTGTCCTGGGTGTTCTCTTGCTGAAACTTGCTGATGAAGATTGCTCGGACCTGTCTCTCAGCTGGGCCAAGGCCCTGAGATATGTCCTAGCTTCACCAACACTGTAAAACCTTCTGATTCCTGCCACGATCACCTTCCAATTCCTTAACCCTCAACATGGCAGGCTCCTTAGCAGGCTCTCTGGCTCTCAACACAACTACTGTCTATGACATCCTTTGTGGTTCTCCCTCTGGTTCTGAACAGCCTGTAAGGCCATGTGCTTCCAGGGCACACACTCCAACCCATCTAAACCACCTTTCCCCCCCAGAATGAAGCCCCTACTTTGTTTCTTCTCCTACAGTCTCTTGGATTAGAAGGAATGGACTTTTCCCCTTGCCACTTCTTGCTGATTGGGTGCTCTAAAACTCTCCAGTCAAGACCAGGCGTGGTGGATCATGCTCCTAATCCCAGCACTCTGGGAGGCCGAGGCAGGCAGATCACTTGAGGTCAGGAGTTCGTGACCAGCCTGGACAACATGGCGAAACCTGTCTCTACTAAAATACAAAAATTAACCGGGCATGGTATGCATGCCTATAGTCCCAGCTACTCCAGAGGCTGAGGCAGAAGAGTGGCTTGAACCCAGGAGGCAGAAGTTGCAGTGAGCTGAGATGGCACCACTGCTCTCCAGCCTGGGTGACAGAGCGGGACTCTGTCTCAAAAAATAAAAAATCAAAATAAGTAAATAAAACTCTCCAGTCAAGTTCGATGGATCTTGATATGCAAAAGAGAAAAATAAAATAATTTAGAATACTGATTTCTTGACAAGGCCTGGCTTTATCTTACTACAAACCTTCAAAATCCTGTTTTGCTGGTAAAAGTGATTGCCTTTGAAGAAGTGAACTGGGAAGCTGGAGGATGGAACAGGAGAGAGGCTCATGTTTCACTCTCTACCCTTTGGTATCTTTGTAAATTGCTACCATGTGCAGTGTTGACACTCAGCTGGTTTGTACCAGTACCATTTTCCTAGTCTTTTTCAGCCTTGTCCATCCTGACTGGTGAGTAGTCTGTCCTGAATGACCAGTGCCAATTTGGTTCCAGTTGCTAAATATTTTTATTTTAGCAAATATTAGCTAAATATTACTCTTGACTATGTACATACACAACTGTTCCATGAAAGGGCTATATATGCAAAGTGACTCTCAAATGCAGAAGAAGCCAAAAATCCAAAGAAGAGGCAAACAAATCCAGTTTGCTGGTAGCAGGTGATTTACTGGGGAACTTGTGGATGGAAGTGTGGTCTTGGGCAGCAGCAAGACAGGTGGATCTTCGTATTGTTATCCTGCAGACCATAAGGAAAGGGTATACATAATGTGCAGGAAAATTAAAGTTCACCCCTGAGGGAAAGACAAGAATACTATGTGCATTACAGCCTATAATTTGCTTAAGGGCAGGATTTATGATTAAGACCATGCTCTTTTTACACAAGGAATCATAAAGAAGAACTCTTAGGGGCATTCCTGGAACTGGGGTTAATCAGAAGTCAACCTAGCATGTTAACATCCATGATGGAGTTCTTTAACCTCCACAATAACCAATTGTGTAGGGAAAACTCTAACCATATTTTACCTTTACTCTCACGCACCACAACAATCAACACAGAAGAAGACTTCTGTGAACAAATATGTGGGGGGTTTTCCCCATGCACCAAGCAGCAGACAGCAAATGGGTGTCCTCTAATTCAGTTCCTACCTACCCAGAGACAGTGTCAGATCCCACAGGTTGGGGGCCCAGTTCCCAAGACTGGCTTCCATACCCCCAGACACCACTTACAAGTCCGGGCCTCCAGAACTTCCGACCAACCAGCTTCAAGTTGCGGTTCCCATAGCCCACTCTTTGGGTTTCATTAATTTGCTGGAGCAGTGCACAGAACTCAGAGAAACATGATTACTGGTGTATTATAAAGGATATTGCTCCAGCAAATTAATGAAACCGAAAGAGTGGGCTCTGGGAACCGCAACTTGAAGCTGAAGCAGCACACAGAACTCAGAGAAACACGATTACTGGTATATTATAAAGGATATTGCAAAAGATACAGATGACGAGACGCATAGGGTAAGGTATGGGGGAAGAGGTGCAGAGCTTCCAAGCCTTCCCTAGATTGGCCGTTTCCTCTTACCAGTGGTTTAAGCATGAGTGTGTATGTGACTCAGTTATGACCAAAAGGCTGTGAAGGGAATTATTATGAGGGGCATCAGCAAGCACTTTTCTTTGATGATCAAAGACAAGGCCAGGCATGGTGGCTCATTCCTGTAATTCCAGCACTTTGGGAGGCTGAGGTACAAGGATAGCTTGAGGTCAGGAATTTGAGACCAGCCTGGACAACATAGTGGGACCCTGTCTCTACAAAAACATTTTAGAGGCCAGGCATGGTGGCTCATACCTGAAATCCCAACACTTTGGGAGGCCGAGGCAGGCAGATCACCTGAGGTCGGGAGTTCGAGACCAGCCTGACCAACACGGAGAAACCTGCCTCTACTAAAAATACAAAATTAGCTGGGTGTGGTGGCAGGAGCCTGTAATCCCAGCTACTTAGGAGGCTGAGGCAGGAGAATCACTTGAACCTGGGAGGCAGAGGTTGCGATGCGCTGAGATCATGCCATTGCACTCCAGCCTGGGCAACAAGAGCAAAACTCCATCTTAAAAAAAAAAAATTAGAAATTAGCATGGTGTGGTGGCTCACACGTGTAATCCCAGCTACTCGGGAGACTGAGTTAGGAAGACTGGTTGAGCCTGGGAGGTCAAGGCTGCAGTGAGCCATGATCACTCCACTGCACTCCAGCCTGAACAACAGAGAACCTGTCTCAGAAAAAAAAAAAAAAAACACAAATATCTAGGTGCAGTGGTGTGCACCTATAGTCCCAGCTATTCGAGAGGCTGAGGCAGGAGGATTGCTTGAGCCCAGGAGTCCTACCTAAGCAACACAGCAAGAGCTTGTCTCTTAAAAAAAAAAAAAAAAGACAAATCTACTCCCCCATCTAGATGTTTCTTTGTCTATATGTGCTACGTGGAACTACAAGCAGGATGAAACCATGTAAAGAGCCAGCCGTGAAAAGAAAAGCCAATGTGCTGAAGGTGGTAAAGCTGAAAGATGGAAAGAATATATAGGTTCTTGATATATTAATATTTGAATTATTCAATTACTCTAGTCAACCCTGAAACTGCCCTCCCTCCTATCTGTTAATCAAGATTAATTAAACACCTTCTAGTTTGAGCCATTCTCAGTGGGTTCTTTGGTTATTTGTAGTTGGAAGTATCTGACCTAGGCATTTGCCTTTCTGCATCTCTTTCCCTGTTCTGCCCTTGTTGTTCTGCTCTTTTTGTTGGAGCTGACTCTTATAAACTGTTTCCCAGTTTCCCTTACCAGCTGACTTCTGGCTATATTCAGCCAATACGAGGCACCAATGAGAGATCAGGAAGGAAGGAAGAACGAAACCAAGTTACTTCTCTCTCTCTTTTTTTTTTTTTTTTTTTTTTTTGATAAGTCGTTTCACTCTTGTTGCCCAACCTGGAGTACAATGGTGCAGTCTTGGCTCACTGCAACCTCCACCCCCAGGTTCAAGCGATTCTCCTGCCTCAGCCTCCCAAGTAGCTGAGATTACAGGCACCCGCCGCCACACCCGGCTAATTTTTTGTATTTTTAGTAGAAATGGGCTTTCACCATGTTGGTCAGGCTGGTCTCAAACTCCAGACCTCAGGTGATCCTCCCACCTTGGCCTCTTAAAGTGCTGGGATTACAGGTGTGAGCCCCCTCACCCAGCTTTCTCTCTCTCTCTCTCTCTCTCTCTCTCTCTCTCTCTCTCTCTGCTTCTGGCAGTGGTTTCATTTCTTCTGCGGTTTTGGCTTCTGTGAGGCTGCACTTTCTTTGGTCCTGCTTCCTGCTGGGCAGGCCCTTCCTTTTCTCAATGCCTTGTGTATTTGCTTCACTGTCAACTTGGCCTTTCTGCTCTTTTAATGTCTTTGTAATTAGTTTCCCATATTAATCATCCTCTACTGAACCACCCTTGCAAGCTCCGCTTTCCTGATTGGCCCCTGTCCCAGTTTCCTAGCTGAATCAACAGTTCAGAAGGAGAGGAGAGGCAAGTGACAAAGAAATGCCGCAAAGTGGTTCTTCCTTCCCAAAGACAAGGAACTGGGTTACTTTTCATTGTAAGCTTAAATTCTCTCCTCACACCTCTGCAAAGTAGCTGAAATGGAAGTTCAAAAGTGAGATTAAATTAACTATAGAAAATGAAGGAATTTATCTTTTGAATTCACCCCAGTTTGAGACAGTTACATTTCAACTTCTTCATAAATGTCATTATGAACATGAATTTTCATGACATTTAATTTCATATCATCCATATTTTATGTATTATTATACAGCTTCCATTTTTAACAATGTTCATATGAGTAGCCCCGGTGACCCTGTTTATCCTGTGGAATCTGGCCTCTATGTTACAGTTGATTAGGATAGAGGTGAATATAATCCCAGCTTGTGATAGCCACACTGTGTCTCCCAAAACTGTGGAACTGAGATTCTGATATTCTAGTCAGTCTCTATCAAATCCCTTAATTTGGAAGGCATGTTAACACAGGAGCTGTGGGGCAGCCACCTTCTCCCTTGCCCAAACACACAAATCAGTCAGTAGAAAGAGAGCAAACCAACAATGAAACAGATATTCGGAATGCAGCTAAAGTCACTTCACTGAATAAACTATGCTGTCCTAGGAGGCAGAGCCCTAGAGTAGACCAGTAATGATGAATAGATTTCAACAAATCAACTCACATTTCAACTTTTCTTTGACACTGTTCTTGTTTTTTTGTTTGTTTGTTTGTTTGTTTGGAGACATAGTCTTGCTCTATCCCACAGGCGGGAATGCAGTGGCACTATCTCGGCTCACTGCAACCTCCGTCTCCTGGGTTCAAGCGATTCCCCTGCCTCAGCCTCCCAAGTAGCTGCGATTACAGGCATGCGCCACCAAGCCTGGCTAATTTTTGTATTTTTGTAGAGATGGGGTTTCAGCAAGTCGGCTAGGCTGGTCTCAAACTCCTGACCTCAGGTGATCCACCTGCGTCGGCCTCCCAAAGTGCTGGGATTACAGGTGTAAGCCACCGCACCTGGTCAGTTGTTTTTTAATCTTTGAGAGAAACATTTAAATTTGAAGCTAAAAGATCTTTCTCCATTTCTCTCTCGCTCTTCTCTCCCTTTCTCCCTTTCTTTTTCTTACCTTTTCTCCCTCCCTCTTTCCTTTTTTTCCCTTTTTGTTTTTCCTTTACTCCACATTTTTTTTTTCGAGACAGGGTCTCGCCTCTGTTGCCCGGGCTGTAGTACAGTGGCACAATCATAGCTCACTGCAGCTTCAAACTCCCAGGCTCAGTCAATCCTCCTGCCTCTGCCTCCTGAGTAGTGAGAACCATAGGCACACACCACCACACTCAGCTAATTTTTGTAGAGATGGGGTTTGGCCATGTTACCCAGGCTGGTTTCAAACTTCTGAGCTCAAGCAATCTGCCTACCTAGGCCTCCCAAAGTGCTGGGATTACAGGCATGAGCCACCGCACCTGACCTACTCCACATTTATTAACATCCTCTGGGCATTGTTCTGCCCCGGCTTCCTCGCCAGGACAGAGGAAACTATAACAAGATTAGTTCCAGTATCACACTGGAGGCAAAAGCCTGACACCAATTTTAAAAAGCAAACAAAGCCTACATTTTAGGGAAACAGAAGAACCCTCCAGCCCACATATAAGCCCTTCTTTCTATACATGAAGTTCAATAATTCCAGCCTTACCCCTTAATATATAGGCATTTATTATTTTCTCGAAAGGAGGTAATCCAAAGTCCCTTCTAGCAGCAATGTCACAATGTCATGAGACCACTATTTTTCCAGTTCAGTATTGCCAAATGATTTACCTTTCCCTTTACTTGGGTCTTAATCTGGTCCAATTTTGAGATCTCATGATACTGCAACCTTAGACCAAATAAGAAATGTAATTCCTATCAACCACCTGTTATGTACCACAATGGAGAGCAAATACAACTACAATGAAAACTTCCATTTAGAACATGGAAAAAGGGGAAGAAACACAGGACATGTACCATCTGTTGCTGGACAGAATTAATAAAGTAAAGCAGAGAACCACAGCATCTCATGGGCATCATTTGGTTGACTTTGCAACAGTGAGAGCTCTATTGCCAACAAATCTAGCTTCTCTGATATTGCCTTCTGGGATCATTTCTATTGTCAAGGGAGCATCTGAAAGGACATTAGAGGAGACTACCCTGTTTGGGGAGAGAGGATGGGTATATCTCACAATTCACTTTTTGTTAAAGGTATTGGAGTCCACAAATGCCCTGAGGACCTTAGGGTCTCCAAGGAACTGGGACATTGGTTTCAATGAATCACAGTCCTGTTATACGAATTGTGTTTTTCCAGTGCTATAATTCTAATAAAAACTTAGTCACCTGTCCATCATTTTCATTATAGGGGAAATTCCTAAAAGCAAACACCAAAAATGTCAGGTCAGCAGGGCTGCTAAATTGAAGAGCCAAGGCTGGCCTACACACATAGAGTTTCCGTTCCTTAGCAGCAACTCTGGGGGCGATGTATATCCCAGTACACTCTGTTTGACAAACTTTATATCAGGACAGCGTGAAGACGACTACCTGGGCTGGCAGAGAGGTCTTCTCTATTCCCTAAAATATTGCCTGGTGATCTGAATTCACAGCATCCTGAATCTACGCTCCCAGGTTGCAGATCTCAAACTTGGCCCAAATAAACTCTCTACTTATATTTAAACATACATATAATATAAATACAAATATAATATATATGATGTGTGTCCATGTATATATATGTGTGTGTGTGTGTTTGTGTGTGTATATACATATACCAGTCCAATGTATTTTGTGCAGGTAGTGACATCTTATTTGATTTGCCAGGAGAGAAGCCAGTGTGAGGTTTTGTTTTCCTATTTGATTTGCCAGGAGGGAAGCCAGTGTAATGTACTGAATACCAGTCCAATGTATTTTGTACTGATAGTGACATCCTATTTGATTTGCCAGGAGGGAAGCCAGTGTGAGGTTCTCTAATGTAGCTCAGGGAGCCAAGATTCCCCAAACCCTCCATTCCATTCATTCCTTCCCACTCCGGTTGCCAGGATCTCAAACTTTCCCACTCAGCATTTCAAACTTACATACAGAAAAGGAAGTGAATCAAAGAACTTGACTCCTGTACCTCAGTCCATCAAATGATTACTTTCTTCATTTGGACCTCCACATTCTCAATTCCCAACTTCCTTTTTTCTACTCACATCCAGAAAAATCTCCATGGAAGAATGTAAATTTCTGGTTGTACCTTATTGAAAGTGCTCAGGAAAAATCAACACAATCTGATTTATCAGTCTGGGTCTAATCATGAGAGAGAAACCACACAATAATTTGAACAGAGAAAGTTTAATATTAAAAATTTTAAATTATAATAGATTTTATAGGTTGAATTGTATCCTTTTCTCTCCCCAATTCCTATGTTTAAGTTCTAACCCCAGTACCTTAGAATGTGACTCTTTTTGGAGGTATGGCTTTTAAAAAGTAATTAAGTTAAAATGGGGGTGATACTAACTATAACTTGTAACTCAGTAAATATCTAAGAGATGGTACAATCACTGCAAATGGTGGGGGAAACAAGCAAACAATGTTCTGTGCTTTAAGCTTCATCCAAAGTCTGGAGAGAGACCAGTGGGTGAAAAAAATAGCAACAGAGAGTAAAGTTGTTGTCTCTATATTTAAATACTTCATTTTTGAAACCCCAAGAGCTTTGCCAGTAAGATGACATTTCTTCTTTCCTAAATTTCACTGACAATTATAATTTCCTAAACTGGGTGTCATAGAACTATATATACACCATGGTATTTGCTTAAAATTTTTTGTTTGTTGTTTTTTTCTTTGTGTTTAAAAACACACAACATGAAATTTACCATTCTGACCTTTTTTTTTTTTTTTTTCAGATGTAGTCTCACTCTGTTGCCTAGGATGGAGTCCAGTGGCGAGATCTTGGCTCACTGCAACCTCTGCCTCCCGGATGCAAGCGATTCTCCTGCCTCAGCTTCCTGAGTAGCTGGGATTATAGGCTTACAGACCTGCGCCATCACACTCGGTTAATGATTGTATTTTTAGTAGACACGGGGTTTCACCATGTTGGGTCAGGCTAGTTTCAAACTCCTGACCTCGTGATCCGCCTGCCTCAGCCTCCCAAAGTGCTCGGATTACAGGCGTAAACCACCGCGCCCAGCCCATTCTGACCCTATTTTTTTTGCCTTTTTGAGACGCAGTCTCGCACAGTCCCCCAGGCTAGAGTGCAGTGGCGCCATCTTGGCTCACTGCAAGCTCCGCCTCCCGGGTTCACGCCATTCTCCCGAGTAGCTGGGACTACAGGCGTCCGCCATCACGCCCAGCTAATTTTTTGTATTTTTAGTAGAGACGAGGTTTCATGACTTTTAAGTGTATAAGACAGTAGCGTTATCTATAGTCACCTTGTTACGCAACAGATCTCTAAAACGTTTTATCTTGCAGAACTGAAACTCCATACCCATGAACAACAACTCCCCTTTTCTACTTTCAACTACCATTCTAAGAGTTTGATCACTTTATTAAGTTTTTTAAATTAGAAAGTTACAGTTTCTCTCTTTAAGGTAGTTTTAAAACCAGCATGCCTCAAGGCGGAAATTTCTGGAGGACACATCCTTGAAATACTGTCAAAGGACAGTATGATTTTGTTATAAGACTTTGACCTTCTTGCATACATTAGTAAGAGTGTTTCAAAGGCACAAAGTGAAATACCCTTAGAGGTATATCAAAACATAGTGGATAGGCCGGACGTGGTGGCTCACACTTGTAATCCTAGCATTTTGAGAGGCCGAGGTGGGCAGATCACCTGAGGTCAGGAGTTTGAGACCAGCCTGGCCAACATGGTGAAACCCTGTCTCTACTAAAAATACAAAAATTAGCTGGGCGTGGTGGCGCGTGCCTGTAATCCCAGCTACCAGGGAGTCAGAGGCAGGAGAATCGCTTGATCCCAGGAGGCGGAGGTTGTAGTGAGCCGAGATTGCACCACTGCACTCCAGCCTGGGCGACAGAGCGGGACTCCATCTCAAAACAAAACAAAACAAAAACAAAAACATAGTGGATATAAGAGCTAAACATTTTCTTCATTTTACGTGATTACCTAGGTTAGTCCATTTTATTTGGTTACCTAGGTTGACTCTGTAGCAGATTACTACACTGTAACATCTAGAGCCAATGAAACTCAGCAACTATAATATATACAGTTGTCCTTCAGAATTAGCACTATAGCTTTAAAATGAACACAAAATAATACCGCTTCTCCTATAAGAGCTATATCACTGGACTAAATCTTTACTTTAGAACTCTGTCCAGGAGAGAAGTTGTCTGGTAGTTTGGTTCACTTGATGGGCATATCTCTAAAGAGAAGGAATGCATCTGGCTTGAAGACATTATTCATTAAGAACATCTTGTGTAAGCATATCAAACTACAATTTATTCACTAACTTATTTATCAGATGTTTATGGAGTGCCTACAGAGATGCATGACACTGTTGCTAAGTTCCAGAAACAATAATGCACAAATTTAGACACAGGGCTGCTTTCTTCATTATAATTTTGCTCCCCATGTAGGCTTTATTGCTAAGAAAATACACTGAAAAGCTAACATGAATAGTCTCATCCATTTTTTAGCCATTCATTCATCCAGTCAATGAACATGTTGTTAAGGACTGAATGTTTGTGTCTTCCAAAATTCATATGTTGAAGCTCTAACCCACCATTTGATAGTATTTGAAGATGGGGCATTTGGATGGTAATTAGGATTAGATGAGGTCAGGAGAGTGGAACCCTCAGAGGAGATTAATCCCCTTATAAGAGACTCCAGAGATCTTCTCTCTCTCTTTCTCTCCCTCCCCACCATGTAAGGACGCAGTGAGAAGTCGGCTGTCCAAAAATCTGTTACTGAAGTCACCCAGTCTATGGTATTTTTTTATTGTAGCCTGAGCAGATTGACACATGAATTGAATTTCTAGTAAAGCCCTGTGATTACAAAGATAAATCCCAACCTTTGCCCTCAAGGAACTCCCCATCTCATGGATCTCAGATATATAAACAAAGAAATATAATGTGATAACTGTAGCAATAGATGTATGGTCAAGGGATACTGGTGATATAAAAGATGGTGTGACTGACTCTACTTGGGTGGGTCAAGGAAGTCTTTTCAGAAAAATAATGAAATTTATTTCAGGCTGAGGAAAAAGTGTGCAAAATCACAGAGGCATAAAACAACATGATGTGTTGGGGATGGAAGGACTAGGGCAACAATAAAATATTTCCTAAAACCTTAGAAACAGTGAAAAGGATTGCTCTATGAGAATTAAATTAAAACTAACTAAAGCAAAGTTTAAATATAGTAATTTAAAGATACACATTTCTTCCCAAGCTGACTTGACAGTAAACTGAATGATGTATTTTTTTTCTTTTCTTTTTTTTTTAGAGATTTGGTCTCACTCTGTTGCCCAGGCTGGAGTGCAATGGCATGATCATAGCTCATTGCAGCGTTGAACTCCTGGGCTTATACAGTCCTCATGCCTCGGCCTCCCAAGTAGCTGGGACTACTATGGGCACATGCCACCGTGCCCAGCTATGAATGATGTATTCACCGATCTTTATTATTATTATTTTTAAGCTATATCCTACAGGAAGGATATTCACCTATCTAATGACAGTGACAATCAAAAAGTGCCACTATTTAACCGTTATTAGACTTTATTACGTCCCACTCCTTTTTTTGTCATTATGAATGGTGTTGCAATAAATTTTATCCTGCATATAGATTCCATTTTGGATTAGAGTGCCAGGAAATATTTCCAGATGTAGAATTACTGGGCCAAGAGGTAAGATATTACTATCAACTTGCTTTGAAATGTGTAAGTTATACCGCTATCACCAGCACAATATGCCAGTTTCACCATATCATCCTTTCATGGGGGATTATTAATTGAGAAATTTTGCTAATAGACTGAATCAAAAAATATTTATTGGAGGCTGGGCCTGGTAGCTCACGCCTGTAATCTCAGCACTTTGGGAGGCTGAGGTGGGAGGGTCACTTGAGCCCAGGAGTTTGCAGCCAGCTTAGGCAACATAGTGAGACCCTGTCTCTACAAAAAATTTTAAAAATTAGCTAGATGTGGTGGTGTGTGCCTATAGTCCCAGCTACTCAGGAGGCTGAGGTAGGAGGATCACTTGGACCTGGGAGGTCAAGGCTGCAGTGAGCCATGTCACACCACTGCACTCCAGCCTGGGTGAGAGGGTGAAACCATGTCTCTAAAAAAAAAAAAAATTATTAGAGGTTACACTATGCCAGACATTATGCTAAGAGAGAAAAATGGTACATGACTAGAGTGGTCAAGTTAATGTCTTTGATTACTGGTAATATTATGATTTTTTTCTTCTTTCAAAAATGGGGTTTTACGGCCCGGCGAGGTGGCTCACACCTGTAATCCCAGCAATTTGGGAGGCCGAGGTGGGCGGATCACTTGAGGTCAGGAGTTCGAGACCAGCCTGGCCAACAAGGTGAAACACTGCCTCTGCTAAAATACAAAAATTAGCTGAGCGTAGTGATACATGCCTGTAATCCCAGCTACTCAGGAGGCTGAGGTAGGAGAATCGCTTGAACCCGGGAGGCAGAGGTTGCATTGAGCTGAGATCACACCACTGCACTCTAGCCTGGGCAACAGAGCAAGACTCCGTCTTAAGTGTTGGGATTACATGTCTCAAAAAAAAAAAAAAAAAAAAAAATGGGGAGAGGGGTTGCTATGTCGCCCAGGCTGGAATGCAGTGGCTATTCACAGGCACTATCATAGTGCACTATAGCCTCAAATTCCTGAACTCCTGGGCCAAGCAATCCTTCTACTTCATGCTGGATGTTTTATATGTGTGTTATCATCACACACTGATGATGTATATGTGTATATATCATCAGTAGGTCTCATGATAGATTAGACAGCTGAAATATTTACTAAGTACTTGACATGTGCCATTGTTTTAGATTTTGGAGAATTTAGTGGTGAATACTTGCAATCCAAAATTTATATTCTAGAGAGAGGAAATAACCAATAAAAATGAAAATAAATGTATAAGATAACTTCTCATTCTAGTACAGTTATGGAGACATTACAGTAAAACAATAGACAGATTTGGTGGAGGAGTGACTTTGGCTGGAATTACAAGGTAATTCCTTTATGAGAAGATGACATTTGAGCTGACAGTTGAATGATTTAGAAGGCAGTCATGTCAAACTCCCAGCGAAGAGCTTTTCAAACAGAAGGAATAGAAAGTGCCAAGATGCAGGACCCACTGTAAGTTTGGTGTGTTTAATAAACCTAACAGTGTGGCCGAAGTATAAGGATCAAGGGAGAGAGTGGAGTGAGATGAAGTTGGAGAGTGGGCAGGGACCAGGTTGTGAAGGGCTTTCATTGAAGGGCATGGAAAGGCCTTTAGAATTTATTCTCATAATAATGGAGGCCGGGCGTGTTGGCTCACACCTGTAATCTCAACACTTTGAGAAGCCAAAGCAAGAGAATGGCTGGAGTCCAAGAGACCAACCTGGGCAACATAGTGAGACCTCCATTTCTACAAAAATTTTACAAATTAGCCCAGCATGGTAGTGCATGTCTATGATCCCAGCTACTAGGGAGGGTGAGGTGGGAGGATGGCTCAAGCCCAAAAGGTCGAGGTTGCAGTGAGCTGTAATCATACCACTGCACTCAGCCTGGAAGACAGAGTGAGACCCTGTTTCAAAAAAAAAACAAAAAAACAACCAAAAAAAACCTCTTTCCACAATCTTTCCATGTCACCACAATGGTGCGCATAAATGTCCTGGCTGATGCTCTCAAGAGCATCAACAATGCCAAAAAGAGAGGCAAACACCAGGTTCTTATTGGGCCATGCTCCAAAGTCATCATCCGGTTTCTAACTGTGATAATGAAGCATGGTTACATTGGCGAGTCTGAAATCATTGATGATCAGAGCTGGGAAGATTGTGAACCTCACAGGCAGGCTAAACAAGTGTAGAGTGATTAGCCCCAGATTTGACGTGCAACTCAAAGATCTAGAAAAATGGCAGAATAATCTGCTCCCATCCTGCCAGTTTGGTTTCATTGTACTGACAACCTCAGCTGGCATCATGGACCATGAAGAAGCAAAGACGAAAACACACAGGAGGGAAAATCCTAGGATTCTTTTCTAGAGATGTAATATATATTTACAAATAAAATGACTCGTGGACATACACACACAAACAACAACAACAAAGAAAACAATGGAGGCCCTGGGAGCATTTTAAGCAGTGAAAAGGTGGCATGGCACAATCAGATTGATGCTTTTAAAGATCTCTCCAACTGCTGTATGAGGAATGGACCTTTTTTTTTTTTTTTTTTTGAGATGGAGTTTAGCTCTTGTTGCCCAGGCTAGAGTGCAATGGCACAATTTCGGCTCACTGCAACCTCCACCTCCCAGGTTCAAGCAATTTTCCTGCCTCAGCCTCCTGAGTAGCTGGGATTACAGGCATGCACCACCAAGCCCAGCTAATTTTGTATTTTTAGTAGAGTTGGGATTTCTCCATGTTGGTCAGGCTGGTCTTGAACTCCCGACCTCAGGTGATCCACCCATCTTGGCCTCCCAAAGTGCTGGGATTACAGGCATGAGCCACTGTGCCTGGCCAATTTTTTGTATTTTTAGTAGAGACGGGGTTTCATCATGTTGGCCAGGCTGGTCTCGAACTCCTGACCTCAGATGATTCACCCACCTCAGCCTCCCAAAATGCAGGGATTACAGGCGTGAGCCACCACAACTGGCTAAGAAATGGACAATTTCTTAAATGTGGGCACAGAGTCCAGTTAGATAGCTCTAGGGATCCAGGCAAGAGACGCTGATGGATGGAGTAGAATTGTAAAAATGGAGGTGGTGAGAAATGGGCAGGTTGGCATACATATCAATGACTTCCTGATGAATCCATGATAATTTCAGAGATTCTGTACATCTGGAGAGGGCCCAGGAAAGTGTAATTATAACAAGTATCCCAAGTGGTTCTGATGGCGGCACACAAGGAGTACACTGAGAAAATACTGTTGTAAGGGACAGAGAACATATTTGGCATTTTTGTTAATAAATAAGAAAGAACAATTCAAAAAAAGAAATCACTATCTTATGTCTGAGAAACTGACAGTTCTTTCATTTTGTAAAATAATCCCAAACTTTAAGTAAAATTAATGAAAATATTACCATGGCAGGGCCAGGCGTGGTGGCTCACGCCTGTAATCCCAGCACTTTGGGAGGCCAAGGCAGGCGGATCATCTGAGGTCAGGAGTTCGAGACCAGCCTGACCAATATGGTGAAACTCCGTCTCTACTAAAAATACAAAAATTAGCTGGGCATGGTGGTGCATGCCTGTAGTCCCAGCTACTCAGGAGACTGAGACAGGAGAATTGCTTGAACCTGGGAGGTGGAGGTTGCAGTGAGCTGAGATCGTGCCACTGCACTCCAGCCTGGGTAACAGAGCAAGACTCCATCTCTAAAAAAAAAGAAAAGAAAAAGAAAATACTACCATGGCAAAAATGAACATGACTTCATGTTTTAGAAAGCTAGTCTCATTTTGACTTTTCACCCCTCCTTTCCACACATATTTTTAATGTCTTTACCCTGTGTACTTCCTGTCTTGTCAACTCTGCCTGGCTTGTACCTTCATGGTTGGTATTACTATTATGCCTCAGTATCCAGTTGTCTTCTACATGAGAAGACTGGATTTCCTCAGTGCCTTGACATTACATATGGCCATGTGACTTGCATTGGCAAATAATGAACAGAAATTACCTGTGTAGCCAACTCAGCAGCCTGTTGCGAGGGGTGATATAGGAACACACAGTGATATACAAATGCCATGAGATGAAAGTACCCTGGAATTCTGAAGCTGGAGAACAGCTTCCCTGGAGAAGAGCCAGGAACCACAGTAGACTTTGGGTGAGCACTGGGATTTGGGACTTGTAATTGTACCATAATCCAGTTCACCTAGATCAATACTACTCCCTGTGATTCTCCTTCGTTGGGCTTCTTACATGGCTATTTTGGTGGCAATGATTAGCCTTAAGATCCATGCATTGTCTTTGCTGAAATCTTTAGGATTAAAATACCACACGATTTTCTAGTAATAATACAAAAACATAACTATTAGCTTCAAGGATCTCAGACATGAGTGTCCCTCTGTAATATTTTGTCTTATTTCAATAAAGATAATCTAAATGATGAAGGTAAATCTTCTCAACTGATCTGGGTTCCCTCAATCATCTAGAACGTCACTCAGCAAACAGGCATCAGAGGTTTCGTCAGTAACACTTGTGTTCTGTCCTGTATGTGTTCTTGCAAAAAATCAAAAAATTAATATGCTCATGACATATGGGTACGCATGACAGCTACAGCCATTCAAAACTTAGTATGGATTTAGCAGGGGGAAGAATCTATCTACATCTTACCTTTTAAATTTCAGTGAAGCCTCTTGCTAGCAGAACAAATAATAAATCCATAGTGCTCAGTATTATGTTGACCAAATCAGAGTTTCTAAGCCTAGGCACTATTGCCATTTTGCGCAGGATAATTCTTTGTTGCAAGGGGCTGTCTTGTGCACTGTAGAATGCTGAACAGCATCCCTGACCTGTATCTAGATCTCAGGCCACTAGCACACCCAAGCCCTGTTAGGACAACCCAAAATGTATCTAGACATTGCCAATGTCTGCTGGGAGACAAAATTACCCCCAGTTGAGAAGTACTGGCCTAAATGAATGTACACCTTTGTGATAGATGTTGCTCAATGATGAAAATTTAAAAAGCATTATTAAATTTGAGTAAAATAGTAATCAAGATTAATGTTTAAGAATAGACACAGTAGATATTTTAATAAAAACAATGGTCCTGCCATTTTTTATTTATCATAGCAATACATACTTACAGAAGAAAAAGAATCACACATTTTAAATTCTGATCATTACACTATTTTTTTGTAGTTGAATAATAAAAGAATGAATCTCTTAGTGACTTTTTAAAATACCTTCAATGTTGGAAAAATGCAAATTATGATATGATAAACATTCAATAACTGGAGTAAGTTCACTTCCAAATGAAAGACACTTGGCACCCAGTAACAGTAATGAAATTAAACATCACTGAAGACAGTAAGGAGGTCTGCCTGGAGGTCTCTAAGGAGGTCTGCCTGGAACCATATCTTTAGTGTAGATTCACAATCAATCCAATCTTTCAACCTACATTTTAATAATTTAGCTTTAGAAGAATAACATGTGAATCAGTTTTTCTCTAATAAGGCCCTGAAAAAGTTGTATCCTGAAGCACTATAAAGAGAGTGAAACTTTTTTGTTGGTAATCAACAGCTTCAAATATTGGTTTTTATCAACGAATTATAAATACCTTTTTATAAAAGGCCAAAGGCACAGTAAAACAATGAGTATTTGTACTTTACCATTTTAGAGCTCAAAATAATTCAGAACACAAAATAATTCAGGCGACCAGCACCTAATCTGTCCTGTAGGTGGCAAAATTATCATAAAAGGAATCCAGGCACAGGAGTCAGAATTGCTGCACTGAGGTTAATAGTGACAGATGACTTAAAGCTTTATCCGACATACAATTTTTAACTTTTTCAAGTTTTATAGATTCAAAGTGCCTTTTGTATCGCTCTGAATTAACAAAAGTTTGTCTGCATGGTCAACACCAATGCTTAAAAATATGTTTTCATTTCTCAGGCTCTGGACTTTCAGTCTGATGATCATTTCTTTTTATGATTATTCCTGAAAAATTCCTCTCCTTTTTCTCGTTTCCCAACAGATTTTGCTTTATTTTTATTTATATTTAATTATTTATGTTTTTGGAGACAGGGTCTTGCTCTGTTGCCCAGGCTGGAGGGCAGTAGCATGATCATAGCTCACTGCAGTGTTGACCTCCTAGGCTCAAGTGATCCTCCAACCTCAGCCTCCTTAGTAGCTGAAACTAAAGGTGTGCATCATGCCCAGCTTTTTGTTTGTTTGTTTGTTTGTTTTTGTTTTTGTTTAAATAGAAAGAGTCTCACTATATTGCCCAGGTTGGTCTTGAACTCCTGGGCTCATGAGACCCTCCACCTCAGCCTCCCAAAGTGCTGGGATTATAGGTGTGAGCCACTGTAACCAGCCAGATTTTGCTTTATTGTATGATCCATCTAAATTGAAGAAAGAGAGGTTGTGGAACTAAAAATCAGTTGTTACTTTTTAGCAGCTGTGAAAAGCAAACTTAAAATCAATATCTAAAAGGGAGGATATGAGGCTCACTAGATTTCATTCAGCTTTACATTTTCCCAATTATTTGTACTGGATAAAAGAACTGTAGCAAGACCTTTAAGGAGTTACAATAACTTATAGAAAATTTTGGGTACCATGGTTATGACTATGCTTATATGTAAGGAACAAAGAAGTTTATAAATGATTACAATTAAAAAGCTAACTCTAGTCAAGTAACGTTTTATCCTCAGGAGTTGATATTACTTATTTTCATGGCTTCTTTGCATCCTTACAAGATGGAGATACTAATCTATGCCCTGGATTCATAATTAAAGAGTCAGATATGAGAAACAGTCAGAGCCATCAAATAAAAACTGGGGGCAATTGCCTGGCGCGGTGGCACACACCTGTAATCCCAGTACTTTAGGAGGCCAACACAGGTGGATCACTTGAGGTCAGGAGTTCAAAACCAGCCTGGCCAACATGGCAAAACCCATCTCTACTAAAAATACAACAATTAGCCGGGTGTGGTGGTGCCCACTTGTAATCCCAGCTACTCGAGAGGCTGAGGCAGGAGAATCACTTGAACCCGGGAGGCGGAGGTTGCAGTGAGCCAAGATCACACCACTGCACTCCAGCCTGGGCAACAGAGCAAGATTCCTCCTCAAAACAAAACAAAACAAAACTGGGGGCAAGTGTTAAATATATAGTTGAAGAACTAAGAATAAATGGGGGATAAAAGGAAGAAAGTACAGTATGCTATACCAGTATGTTCTGAAAATGTTGACATAGTATAACTATTTTAAAAATTGGGATGTCGGGCGCAGTGGCTCACACCTGTAATCCCAGCACTTTGGGAGGCCGAGGCAGGCGGATCACCTGAGGTCGAGAGTTTGAGGCCAGCCTGACCAATGTGGAGAAATCCTGACTCTACTAAAAATACAAAATTAGCAGGGCGTGGTGGCGCATGCCTATAATCCCAGCTACTCGGGAAGCTGAGGCAGGAGAATTGCTTGAATCCAGGAGGCAGAGGTTGCAGTGAGCCGAGATCGTGCCATTGCACTCCAGCCTGGGCAACAAGAGCGCGAGACTCCATCTCAAAAAAAAAAAAAAATTGGGAAAGAATGAGAAAAGCAAATGAAAACTTTTTAATTGTTTCAATTGCCATATTATTTGTGGTTGTATTTCTATTGTTATTCTGAGACAGCTGTAAGTGTAAGATAAATAAAAGAAATGAGTAATTGTGGGATGTTCTAATTCTATCGTGCCCTGTGTTCTTGAAAACCAGGACTTTCAGTACAGAAGGAGAGGTACAGTTGTAACAGAAAGGTTAGATAAAAACCCTGTAGGCCGGGCACAGTGGCTCACGCCTATAATCCCAGCACTTTGGAAGGCTGAGGTGGGCGGATCACAAGGTAAGGAGTTTGAGACCAGCCTGGCTATTATGGTGAAACCCTGTCTCTACTAAAAATACAAAAATTAGCTGGGCATGGTGGCTCATGCCTGTAATCCCAGCATTTTGGGAGGCCAAGGCTGGTGGATCACTTGAGTTCAGGAGTTCAAGACCAGCCTGACCATTATGGTGAAACCCCTCTACTAAAAATACAAAAATTAGCCGGGCATGGTGGCGTGCACCTGTAGTCCCAGCTACTTGGGAGGCTGAAACAGGAGAACTGCTTGAACCCGGGAGATGGAGGTTGCAGTGAGTCGAGATCGTGCCACTGTACTCCAGCCTGGGCAACAGAGTGCAACTCTGAAAAAAAGAGAAAGAAAAGGAAAGAGAGAGAGAGAGAGAGAGAGAAGAAGGAGGAAGGAAAGAAAGACACCGTGATTTACAGTCTTGCCAAAGGACTGAACCTAAGTCTTCTCAAATTCAATGTGCCTGAACCTGCACTGTGTGCTAATATCGAGAGGACAGGGCAATGTGCTGAACCGTGCCATGAGTGTGCAATCAGCAAAATACAAAGTATGGGAAACTCTATAGGTCCTAGGATCAGGTTCTTCACCAGGTAAATTTTAAGGAACTGGAAAGAAGGAGGAACTTCTAGATTAAAAAAGAGATGTAAAATAAAATATACATTTAATAACAACTTTAAATTGATAATATTAAAATATAGATATATGCATTTAGGTGTGGCAGCAGTAATCAAATGCAACAAAGTGATTACCATTTAAATCAGTCTAGCAGTTACTTTTGTGGGGTTGTAATTGTGACAGGACACAAAAAGGACACGTGGGGTGACTGGCTGAGTCCTAAAAGAGTATTTCCTTATAATAAGGCATTCAGCTATAAATTTTGTGTCTGGTTTTCAGTACTTTTATTTCATAATTTTTAAAATGTTACAATCAAAAAAGATATCAAAGCCCTTAGGGTTTTCTACTAAAAAGTCTGGATGTGAATACTTATACTGTAAGTATCATCTGATGGTTTTTAAGAAATTGCTTATATTATAGAAATATTTCTAAATAAGCTATAAATATTTGAAAAATATTGAATTCTTATGTATGCAGTTATAAAAAGTCAAAGAATTAAGTATACTTTTCTAACACAAAATTTGTTTTGTTACAGTATTATGTAAGACAATTTGGTTAAATGGATTTTTTTTTTTTTTTTTTTTGAGATGGAGTCTAGCTCTGTTACCCAGGCTGGAGTGTACTGGTGCGATCTCAGCTCACTGTAACCTCTGCCTCCCGGGTTCAAGTGATTCTTCTGCCTCAGCCTCCCAAGTAGCTGGTATTACAGATGCCCGCCAACACGTCCAGCTAATTTTTGTATTTTTAGTAGAGACGGAGTTTCACAGAGACCAGTGTTGGCCAGGCTGGTCTCGAACTCCTGACCTTGTGATCCGCCTGCTTCAGCCTCCCAAAGTGCTGGGATTACAAGCGTAAGCCACCGCGTCCGGCCTAAATGGACTTTCTTGACTTCCAAAATTTTCCTTTCCAACTCCCATACAAGATTATTAACGTTAACCTATTAGAGATTAGAACAAGAGCATTGGAGCAGATTTCTTATTTCTTTGAATGTCTGCACTTTGTTTCACTCTCCATATTTTTTTACACAGAACAAAGATTAGTTATCGTGCCTAACCATGATGGTAGTTATTGATATGTAGCATTATACACAGAGTATTATCTAATTTGCAAACCGAGATCCTCCACCTACTTGCCTACCACCTGTCTTTTCCATGTAACAATGACTGATGTAGATAATTTTTTTTGTTGTTAGATGTGTAAGAATCTCAAGGATGTAAAACAGATTTAAACCATTAAAATTAAAGCAGTTTTTAAATGCACTATAACAATAAACATGGACAAACACATAACTGTGTTGTACATTTTTGCCCATCAATCATTGACAACTTCCCTCCCATTTGTTCAAGCAGCATCTTAAATGGTGCAATTCAGTGGTCCCTTTTCCCTTCGTTTTAATAAAATTATGTGGTGTTCGAGTGATTCACATATTCAAGAAGTGACCGGTCTAAGACTCTTCGGATAAGAGCTTCCTCAATTATATTAAAATCCTACAATAAAGAAAAATAATTAGAAATATTCAGAGTCAATAGTATTTCAGAAACTAGAGGATGAGGGTCAATGCAACACCCTCATTTTGTAGGGAACTAAAGTTACGAGACTTGTCCAAGGTTCCACAAAGCCTGTCATAGAACCCAGGACTTTTGCTTTGGGGCTAATGAATTTTCTACTTCACTTTGTTGTCTATCGATTAACTAGTTACTGTCATAATAAACAGTCTTGATTTGAAATTTGAAGTTTTTATCTGATATAATGAGAAGTTTTTAGTCACCATTACAAATCCTGGTCAGAGTGCTATGTTCCACATAAACCTGTAAAATGGAGCAAAGTTCAGGCTCCCCCACAGGCTTCACCAATGCCAGCAGTACCACTGAATGGCTACTTCTGAAGAAAATGTTAAAAACAAAACTTTCTCCTTGCCTCCTATGTGTCAAAGTGGAATTCAAAATTCTATGTCAGCACATTCTATAAGTAAAACAAAAACCATTAAGAACCCTATCCTCTGCAATCCCTCTCCTCTTCCGCAATAACAAAAGGTGAAATCTCTATTCAAAGTCCATTCTGCAATATAAAAACAAAACAAAAAAACCCCCACAAAATCCAAAGGAAAGTCATAAAGTACAGCAGAACACAAGGTTTGGTCTTGATACTGGCTTGTTCTTAGATAATTCAGTTAACCTTTGAGCTTCAGATATTTCAGTTAAATGAAGATAAAAATACAGTATTCACTTCACGGAAGTTGCTACAAGGAATAAAATGTGATATATACATATAGTGCTTAGCTTAGTATATAGTAGCTCAGGAAGCAAAAAATCAAAACAAAGAACACTACTTCCAGTTCACTTCCCTACCCAAGAATATGGCTGTGAGTGGCTGGAAAGTATTCCTATCAAAGTGGCTTCATCCTGCCTAGCTCTGGATCATGCTTTGTCTGAAAGATCTTGAGAACAGACTGAGCATGATTAGACAGAACAGCCATAGAATCGACCTGGCTTTTAGAACACCTCATAGAGCTAAGGTAAAGAGAAACCTCTTGAGACGGAGTCTCGCTCTGTCACCCAGGCTGGAGTGCAGTGGCGCGATCACGGTTCACTGCAAGCTCCGCCTCCCGAGTTCACACCATTCTCCTGCCTCAGCCTCCAGAGTAGCTGGGACCACAGGCGCCCGCCACCATGCCCAACTAATTTTCTTGTATTTTTAGTAGAGACAGGGTTTCACCGTGTTAGCCAGGATGGTCACGATCTCCTGACCTCATGATCCGCCCATCTCGGCCTCCCAAAGTGCTGGGATTACAGGTGTGAGCCACCACGCCCGGCCAAGAGAAACCTCTTTGTATTACCAGAGAGAACACATAGACCAGAACCAAGTTCTGTTGAGGCCTGTGTGCCATATGGGCCACAAAAGACATGCTTAGAGATATGGAGCTGAGAATTTAAAGCCTCTGTCATGTTCCTTGTTCAGTTCCTCAAGTGGTCCTAACAATTCTACTCCCATCCCATCTCCAATTTGCCTAACATCTGCACCTGAACTGTGCAAAGCACTTTATATACATTATCTCATTTAATCCTAAGAAGAATTTTGGGAGTAGGTGCTTTTAATCTCTTCCCTTAACCAGTGCACAAACTGAGTTTCCGAGGTTAAATACCTTCTGCAAGGTCGCACATATATGACAGAGCTATTGCTTAAAACTAGTTTAGAACCTGAGCTCCTTGTATCCAACCTGGATAATAATAATTGGCAGATAGAAAGCATGGAGAAAATTCTCAAATGACAATCTTCAATCGTTATTAAATTTTATCTTGAAATTGCATTTCATTTTTTTTTTTTTTGAGACAAAGTCTCACTCTGTTGCCCAGGCTGGAGTGGAGTGGTGTGATCTCAGCTCACTGAAACCTCTGCCTCCTGGGTTCAAGCGATTCTCCTGCCTCAGCCTACCGAGTAGCTGGGACTACAGGCGTGTACCACCATGCCTGGCTAATTTTTTTATTTTTAGTATTTTTAATAGAGATAGGATTTCACCATGTTGGCCAGGCTGGTCTTGAACTCCTGACCTCAAGTGATTCGCCCACCTCGGCCTCCCAAAGTGTTGGGATTACAGGCGTGAGCCACTGCACCAGGCCAAAACATTCTATTTTCATGATTTCTTACTTAATGCTAATACTCAACACTATAGCTATATACACATTTTTTCCTCTATAATTTTATTCACTTGGATCGGAAAGGTAAGCTTAACAAGACAGCATGAAAACATAATGTAAAAATAAGAAAATATACTTACTATGAAATCATCATAAAACAAAGTGTGACTAACTTGCAGATGTCTTATTAAACTGCCACTGAAGCTGCTTGGATTCTCATCGGGTATTAAACGGCAAAGTGGACAGAACTGGAAACAAACAAGACCAGGGGTTCAAGAAAGAATTTAAAATCGTTATTAGTGTTAGAATTAAAAACAACGGCTGGGCGCGGTGGCTTACGCCTGTAATCCCAGTACTTTGGGAGGCAGAGGCGGCCGGATCACCAGGTCAAGAGATGGAGACCATCCTGGCCAACATGGTGAAACGCCGTCTCTACTAAAAATACAAAAATTAGCTGGGCGTGGTGGTACGTGCCTATAGTCCCAGCTACTCGGGAGACTGAGGCAGGAGAATTGCTTGAACCCGGAGGCAGAGGTTGCAGTGAGCCAAGATCACACCACTGCCCTCCAGCCTGGCGACAGAGCAAGACTCCGACACACAAAAAAACAAAACAAGACGGGGTGCAGTGGCTCACACCTATAATCCCAACATTTTGGGAGGTTGAGGCGGGTGGATCACGAGGTCAGGAGTTCAAGACCAGCCAGGCCAAGATGGTGAAACCCTGTCTCTACTAAAAATACAAAAATTAGCTGGGCGCAGTGGCAGATGCCTGTAATGCCAGCCACTCAGGAGGCTGAGGCAGGAGAATCACTTTAATCTGGGAGGCGGAGGTTTCAGTGAGCCGAGATCTTGCCATTGCACACCAGCCTGGGCAACAAGAGCAAAACTCTGTCTCAAAAAACAAGACAAAACAAAACAAACAATAACAACAAAAAACAACAACAGGTAACCATTCAAAAATAAACTGTCAACTTTATTCATCCATTAGCCATACCTCAGTATTATGTTATAAAATTGCATAAACATGAAAGCAACATTAAGCAAATAAAATTACATGTCTTCATATGCATTTCTTGCTCATATGCATACATAACAATATAACTATTTGTTTCATATTCATCAATTTATTATTTAAACAATATTACAATTAATACATGTACCATAATTTACTTAATTAGTTTGCCTACCTCTTGGAATACTTGTTTGTATATGGATATTTTACTATCACAAATGAGAATAACTATAGTGTTTACCTTTTAGGGGATTAGTTCCTTAGGAGAAATGACCAGAAATGGCAATTACCAGGTCAACAATTATGAACGTTGGCCAGGAGCGGTGGCTCACTCCTGTAATCCCAGCACTTTGAGAGGAGGCCAAGGCAGGTAGATTACTTGAGGCCCAGAGTTCAAGACCAGCATGGCCAACATGGTGAAACCCTGTCTCTACTAAAAATACAAAAATGAGTCAGACGTGGTGGTGCACACCTGCCTGCTATCCCACCTACTTGGCAGGCTGAGGCAGGAGAATTGCTTGAAAAAAGATTTCACTAGGTTTTGCCTGTACTCATATTTTTCAGTGTGTGTGTGTGTGATATAGTTTGGAAACTTGTCCCCACCCAAATCTCATGTTGAAATGTAATCCCTGGGTGTGGAGACAAAAAAATTAGCCAGGTATGGTGGCAGCACCTGTAATCCCAGCTACTCAGGCAGCCGAGGCACCAGCTCTGTCTCAAAAAAAAAAAAAAAAAAAAAAAGAAAAAGAAAAAGATTTCACCAGATTTTGCCTGTACTCATATTTTTCAGTGTGTGTGTGTGAGATATAGTTTGGAAATTTGTCCCCGCCCAAATCTCATGTTGAAGTGTAATCCCTGGGCGCCGTGGCTCATGCCTGTCATCCCAGCACTTTGGGAGGTGGATCACTTGAGGTAGGAGTTCATGACCAGCCTGGCTAACATGGCAAAACCCATGTCTACTAAAAAGACAAAAAAATTAGCCAGGCGTGGTGGTGCACACCTGTAGTCCTGGCTACTCCAGAGGCTGAGGCAGCAGAATGGCTTGAACCCAGGAGGCAGAGGTTGCAGTAAGCCGAGATCGCACCACTGCACTCCAGCCTGGATGACAGAGTGAGACCCTGTCTCAAAAAGAAAAAAAAAAGGACTTGATGGATTAAAAAAAAAAAAAAGATACAGACCATTCTGTCACTGCAAAGGAATGTCAGTGCGTTGCTATCCTTTATTTCCTTCTCTCTCCCTAACCTCTGCTCTGTTCCCCATATTATTATTATTACTATTTCGAGAAACTTATATAAATAGAACTATACAGTATTTAACCTTTTGAGATTGGCTTTTCCCATTGAGCATGACTTTGAGATCCATCTAAGTTGCTGGGTGTATCCATAGCTCCCTCCTTATTACTGAGTAGTATTTCATGTATGGATGTCCCACAGTCTGCTTATCCATTTATTTTGTAAAGGGCATTTGGGTTGTTTCCAGTTTTTGGTTGTTAAGATAAAGCTCCAAGAAATATTTGTGTACAAATGTTTGCATAAACATTAAGTTTTCATTTCTCTAGGATAAATTTTCAGGAGTGTGATTGCCTGGTTATATGATAAGTATATGTTTAACTTTGTAAAATATTGCCAAACTGTTTTCCAGAGTGGCTGTACTATTTTACATTCCCACCAGCAATGTATGAATTATTCAGTTTTTCTTTATTTTCCCCAACATTTGGTATTGTCCAAATTTTTTTATTTGAGCCATTTTGTTAAACGTGTACTGGTATCTCACCATGGTTTTAATTTGCACTTCTATGATGGCTAATATAAATAACTCTTTTAACATATATTACTTTATCACATTTTAACAAAGGTTCACTTTTTTAAAATTATATTTATTCATGTATTCTTCTTTTTTTTTTTTTTTTTGAAATGGAGTTTTGAGTTTTGCTCTTGTTGCCCAGGCTGGAGTGCAATGGCATGGTCTTGGCTCACTGCAACCTCCGCCTCCTGGGTTCAAGCAACTTTCCTGCCTCAGCCTCCCAAGTAGCTGGGATTACAGGCGCCCACCACCATGCCCAGCTAATTTTTGTATTTTTAGTAAAGACAGGGTTTCACCATTTTGGCCAGGCTGGTCACGAACTCCTGACCTCAGGTGATCTACCCACCTCTGCCTCCCAAAGTGCTGGGATTACAAGCATGAGCCACCCCACCCGGCCCATGTATTCATTTTTTAAAGTATGAGATGCAGACTTATTACTGAGTGCCAAGTATGTGTTGTTAGGTAGTAAATTAGGTAGTATTCTCATTTGATCCTCACAACAACTCAGTGAATTAATTGCTATCCTTATTTTGTTGATGAGCCCAATTTCAGAGAGAAAAAAAAATAGCTTGAATTTACTCAGCTGTAAGTATCAGATCTGGAATCAATGTCGCTGATCCTCCAATGTTCTTTTCACATTCTAACAGTGTCCAATTTATCAACTTGGGTGATAATGTTTTTCTTTATTTAAATGAGGTCTTTATATATTTCTTTTCTTTCTTATTGTTTTATGAGGATCTCAGTTTCAATATGCTCAATTTCTATAATTAAAGGTCTATTTCTGAATTTTGCTCAACTTCGCTAATTTTTACATCTTATTTTTAGTAAAATTACATCCTTTTAATTAATTATTGTTGAATTATAATCATTTACAATTTCCTAATGTTCTTGGTTAATTGGCACTACTGGTCATTCCAAGACAGCATTTAATTTTCCCTGATGCCACTATGTATAATGAGAACAGAGCTGAGACCAAGAAATATTTCAACAAAAGAGCACTATTAATATTTGTAGTGTGGGAGAAGGAACCTGCTTATAGAAATTTGTTCATCCAACACTCTTTATTATGCCCCTACTACGTGTTCCGCACTTAGAATATAGAGATCAGTAGGATACTTTGAAGTTAGATACTTTGGGTTCAAATCCTAGCACCAGCAGTGTGATCTTGAGCATATAAGTTTCCCCTTCTGTGAAATGGAGATAATAACACCTGCCTTGTAGAGTAGCTGTAATATTTACAGATAATGTCTTCAGTGTGCCAGGTAAACATCAAACATTCAATAAATGCCACATATTTACTACTATTTGATCCCTGTCCTTGAAGAGTTGGGGCTCCCTGAGGGAAGAAACTACCATGTGTCTAGTTGATCCCTACATTCTTAGTACCCAGAAAATAGTTTCCGATTTCATTTCAGCCTCTCGCTGATGTTCTGTGTCTCAGAGCTGTTAGATTTAAAATAATACACCATTTACTATTATAAAGCTCAGTCATTATATTAGCTCAGTCTTTAGCTGCCATTATTATCACTTAAGCAGATACTTTCAATAGTGTATCAAGTGCCATACTCAAGATGTGAACAGACAACTGTTCAAGATCTGTAAAGGGAATTACTAATTTTGCCCAAGGGTTCGGAAAGGCTCCAGCAGAGCTGCTGGTAACTGAAGTGGGTCTTGAAGAATGAGCCAGCCAGGCCAGCAGGGAGGAGCATCACAGCAGAGGAATCAACGTGGGAAAAGGCAGTAAATCCTAAAAGAAAGAGGCCTGCTTAGGGCAATGGAAAAACCTCAGTGTAACTGAAGGTAGGGAAAGTTGGGGAAGTGGTAGGGGATGAGTTTGGAATGATAAGTTGGAACTAGCTCTGCTCCATATTTATTCAAGCACCTGACATGGTTTTGGTAGACTTGATGCAAGGAGTCAGAGGTACAGAGATGTCTGTTACCTTGGTCCCTACCAATAAGGAGCTGATTAGAGTCTAGTGGAGAAGACAAATACAGAAAACCTGGAATTTTAGGCCAGGCACGGGGGCTCACGCCTGTAATCCCAGCACTTTGGGAGGGCAAGGTGGGCGGATCATGAGGTCAGGAGATCGACACCATCCTGGCTAACACGGTGAAACCCTGTCTCTACTAAAAATACAAAAAATTAGCCGGGTGTGGTGGCGGGTGCCTGTAGTCCCAGCTACTTGGGAGGCTGAGGCAGGAGAATGGCGTGAACCCAGGAGGCGGAGCTTGCAGTGAGCCGAGATCGCACCACTGCACTCCAGCCTGGGCGCCAGAGCAAGACTGTCTGAAAAAAAAACTAGAATTTTAAGCAAACAAGATTTTGTTTTGTTTTGTTTTTGAAACGGGATCTCACTTTGTTGACCAGGCTGGCCTTGAACTCTCAGATTCCAGAGATTCTCCTGCCTCAGCCTCCTGAGTAGCTAGGATTACAGGTGCAAGCCATTGTTAGTCTGACGTTAATAGGCAACTAGTGGAGTCTTCAGTCTCTGGTCAACATAAAATTTAATTGTGTGACTAAAGACACATCTGTCAAAACGACATTGCAAAACAATGGGCTGAAGTCGGTACTAGTGGAAAAACTTCTTTTGTTTCTTAAATTGGGAGATTAAACCTGAGGGAAGAGAGGGTAAGAATAGGAAGGAGAAAGAAATGGTAGGTGAGAGACAGACTGAAGATTACCTAAGTATTGACTTATACTCAATGTTGTCCATTTCCTAACATCAGCTCATCCTTTCTTACTTGTCTCTACTCAATGCTCCCAGGCTATACTACTTATATTAAGAGCCAACAACTATACAGTGTACATTCAAAATATGCTGGCTTCATCTCTGTATGGGCTTTTTCTGATGGTGAATGCAATGGGCAAATAATAGCTACCATATTAGAAGCTACTACCAACTTCAAAGAATTGAAAACTGTTTCTAAGATTAGCCTCCCACTTACTAGACATGGTGATATTATCATGTCCTTATGCTCCCACCAACCCACCCGCAACAATGACAGGTCTTTAGTGGATAAGCTTACAGCCCATTCACTGTGCAGGCCAGTGTGTCAGGGACCGGACATCTGCCTGTCCTGATTTGTGACCTGGCAGCTTAGAAGAGCTTCACCTCATCCTACTGATGCCTTCAGTTGATCCCCTTAGCCCTGTGGTTTCTATTTCCTGGCCTTGAGCATGTTGACTCCAAATAGGCCCTTTCTATGCAATGAATCTTCATTTATTGTTCTTTCTTTTCAAGAAACCATAAAGCCAAAAATAACCAAAATCATTGAGTAGATTTTCTCTACCTTTGTTTTACAAATGACCAAATTGAGGACCAAAGAAATCCTCTTGCTAGGAAAAGGGGAAAGATCTCCTGACCAAGGCTGCTTTAATAGGATTGAAACAAAACAACACTTGATGTGGGTGGAAACAGATGTTTCTTTCCATTTTTGATCAGATGAGGAAGATTCTTTTGAAAGGATAATTATTCCTCTAAATCCTTAGGATATAGATTATTCAATGCTGGTCAAGATAGTATCAAATTAAAAAAAAATAGTCAAAATCAAATCAAAATGGATTAAAAACTTGAATCTAAGACCTCAAACTATGAAACTACTAAAAGAAAACATTGGAGAAACTCTCCAGGACATTGATCTGGGCAAAGATTTCTGGAATAATACCCCACAAACACAGGCAACCAAAGCGAAAATGGACAAATGGAATCACATCCAAAAGCTTCAGCACAGCAAAGGAAACAATCAATAAAGTGAAGAGACAACCCACAGAATGGGAGAAAATATTTGCAAACTCCTCATCTGACAAGGGATTAATAACCAGAATATATAAGGAGTGCAAACAACTCTACAGGAAAAGAAATTAGTAATTCAATTTAAAACAGGCAAACGATTTAAACAGACATTTCTCAAAAGAAGACATATAAATGGCAAATAGGCATATGAAAAAGTGCTCAGCATCATTGATCATCAGAGAAATGCAAATCAAAACTACAATGAGATATCATCTCACCGCAGGTAAAATGGTTTTTATCCAAAAGTCACACAATAACAGATGCTGACGAGGATGTGGAGAAAAGGGAAACTTCATACACGGGTGGTGGGAATGTAAATTAGTACAACTACTACGGAGAAGAATTTAGAGGTTCCTCAAAAAACTGAAAATCAAACTATCATATGATCCAGCAATCCTACTCCCAGGTATATTCCCCAAAGAAAGGAAATCAGTATATTCAAGAAATATCCGCACTCCCATTTTTATTGCAGTACTATTCAGAATAGTCAAGATTTGGAAACAACCTAAGTGTCCAGCAACAGACAAGTGGGTAAAGAAAGCATGGTACATATGGAGTACCATTCAGTCATAAAAACGAATGAGATTTTGTCATTTGCAACAACATGGATGGAACTGGAGGACATTATGTTAAGTGAAATAAGCCTAGCACAGAAAGACAAACTTCACATGTCCTCATTTATTTGTGGGAGCTAAAAATTAAACCAATTGAACTCATGGAGATAGAGGGTAGAATGATGGTTACCAGAGGCTGGGAAGGGTAGTGGGGATTGGGGGAAGTGGGCATGGTTAATGGGTACACAAATATAGTTAGATAGAATGTATAAGATTTAGCATTTCATAGCACAACAGGGCAATTAAAGTCAACAATAATGTATTGTACATTTAAGAGTATAGGCCAGGCACAGGGGCTCACGCCTGAAATCCCAGCACTTTGGGAGGCCAAGGTGGGTGGATCACCTGAGGTCAGGAGTTTGAGACCAGCCTAACCAACGTGGTGAAACCCTGTCTCTACTAAAAATACAAAAATTAGCTGGGTGTGGTCACATGAGCCTGTAGTCCTAGCTACTTGGGAGGCTGAGGCAGGAGAATCCCTTGAACCTGAGAGGCGGAGGTCACAGTGAGCCAAGATCGCACCACTGCACTCTAGCCTGGGCGACAGAACGAGACTCCCTCTCAAAAAAAAAAGAGTATAATTGGATTGTTTGTAACACAAAGAAAGGATAAATGCTTAAGGTGATGGGTATGCCATTTACCCTGATGTGATTATTACACACTGCATGCCTGTATCAAAGTATTTCATGTGCCCCATAAATATATACACCTACTATGCATCCACAAAAATTGAAAGTACATATATGGTCATACTTCTCACTTGCCCTTTAATTTTTTTTTTTTTTTTTTTTTTTAGAGATGGGGTCTCACTCTGTCACCCAGGCTGGAGTGCAATGGTATGATCATGGCTCACTGTAACCACAAACTCCTGGCTTTAAGTAACCCTCCCACTTTGGCCTCATAAAATGCTGGGACTACTGGCATAAGCCACGGTGCCTGGCCACTTTAGCGCTTTAAAGGAAGCAATGGTTCTCAGCGTGGGGTCCTCAGACCAGCAGCATTGTCACCATCTGGTAACTTGTTAGAAATGCAAATTTTCAGGCCCTAGCTCAGACCTATTTTATCAGACACTCTAGGGGCAGAGGCCAGCAATCTATGTTTAAACAGGTCTTGTAGATGATTCTCATGCATGATAAAGTTTGAGAACAACCGCCTTAAAGACAATATAATTTCTTTCAGAGAAACAAGATAAAATAGTAGGCGAACAAATGAGAAATTCTAAATCTAATACCTAGGCTGTAATGGAGAACACCTTTCTTAACTCCAGTACCTATAAAAAAAACAGTCATTTGGACCAGGCGCGGTAGCTCATGCCTGTAATCCCAGCATTTTGGGAGGCTGAGGTGGGCAGATCACCTGAGGTAAGGAGTTTGAGACCAGCCTGACCAACATGGAGAAACTCCGTCTCTACTAAAAATATAAAAATTAGCCAGGTGTGGAGGCATGCCCCTATAATCCCAGCTACTCGGGAGACTGAGGCAGGAGAATCGCTTAAACCCGGGAGGCAGAGGTTGCAGTGAGCCAAGATCGCGCCACTACACTCCAGCCTAGGCAACAACAGCAAAACTCCGTCTCAGAAAAAAAAAAAAAAAAGTCATTTGGGGTTCTATTTTACTGAGAATCATAATTAGGCCAGAAATATGACTCAATCATAAAAAAGCTAGTACAGTGCTGTATGGATAACATTCAATTATCTAGAATAATGGTTGTTTCCTCTGTTCTGCATTCACTGACCATTCTTGGAGTGCTGTGTTCTATTTTAAGTGCTGGGTAAGGAAAACATCAATAAACTGCAATAGACACAGAAGGGAAATTAAGATGTTGAAAGGTGTAGAAACAAAATCCTTGTAATAACTGGGTTACCATTCTGGAAAACTTCAAGCACTCACACAGTAAGTTACTTATCACCTTGAGAGGGAGGCTACATTAGATCACCTCTGAGGACCCTTTTCTCTACGACTGTGTAAAAATCTTTATTAGCTCAATACTATAAACAGCCCAAGTATAATGTAGAAATAGAAATGCTGCTGTATGTCTATTATGTATAAGCTTGAGGAAGAGAGGTAAGGAAGAAGGTTTGTAATTTTTTGCTGTGTAAAAAAATCATTGTTGGCATAAAGCCAAGTGCATTGAGTTTCTTTTGCACCTGTTCTCATTCTCCTACTGTAATCCATGAGAATTAGAAAAACTTCCCACTCCTTTTGCTCTTTTTTTTAAATTTTTTTTGAGATGGAGTTTTGCTCTTTTTTATTGTTTAATGTTATTATCTTTTTTTCTATAATTGTCTTTTTTTTTTTTTTTTTTTGAGACGGAGTTTTGCTCTTTTTGCCCAGGCTAGAGTGCAACGGCGTGATCTTGGCTCACTGCAACGCAATCTCTGCCTCCTGGGTTCAAGTGATTCTCCTGCCTCAGCCTCCCGAGTAGCTGGGATTACAGGCATGGGCCACCATGCCCAGCTAATTTTGTATTTTTAGTAGACATGGGGGGTGGTTTCTCTATATTGGTCAGGCTGGTCTCGAACTCCTGACCTCAGGTGATCTGCCCACCTCAGCCTCCCAAAGTGCTGGGATTACAGTCGGGAGCCACCACGCCAGGCCAGTCCTTTTCCTCTTTATTCATGTGAGTCATTTTCTCAGAGCTTTGTAGGGCAATTTTATAACAGTCTAGATTTACGAGGAGTCAGTACCTGAAGTCTGTTCACTTTACAGAAAGTCTACGAAATCTCTCCTTCTTCCTATGTGAGCCACTTACTTTCATTTTCAGGAATACTGAAGAGAGTAAGAATCCTTGCAAATTCCAGGAAAAAAAAAGTCCTATATGACGTTAAAAACAAAGTGTCTTTTATAAAGGCAGCCAGAAATAATAATGGATTTCTTAAGTTTCTTAAAATTAGGGTTTAAATTTTTTTTAATTTTTAAATGTTCTTTTTTTTTTTTTTTTTTTTTTTGAGATGGAGTTTCACTCTTGTTACCCAGGCTGGAGTGCAATGGCATGATCTCGGCTCACTGCAACCTCCGCCTCCCAGGTTCAAGCGATTCTCCTGCCTCAGCCTCCCGAGAAGCTGGGATTACAGGCATGCGCCACCACACCCGGCTAATTTTGTATTTTTAGTAGAGACGGATTTCTCCATGTTGGTCAGGCTGGTCTCAAACTACCCACCTCAGGTGATCCGCCCACCTTGGCCTCCCAAAGTGCTGGGATTACAGGCATGAGCCACCACACCTGGCCTAAGTGTTCTCTTAATAATCCCCACAATCTCCAAGTGTCAAGGGAGAGACCAGGTGTAGGTAATTGAATCATGGGGGCAGTTTCCCCCATGCTGTTCTCATAAAAATGAGTTCTCACAAGATCTGATGGTCTTATACGTGTGTGGTAGTTCCTCCCGCGTTCATTCTCTCTCCTGCGTGTGAAAAAGTTGCCTTGCTTCCCATTTGCCTTCTGCCATAATTCCTGAGGCCACCCCAGCCATGTGCAACTGTGAGTCAATTAAACCTCCTTCCTTTCTAAATTACCCAGTCTTGGGCAGTTCTTTATAGCAGTGTGAGAATGAATACCGGGAGCAAGATGTTGGAACAGGAAAAACTAAATAAGAATAACTTGGTCTAATTTCTTTTTTTTTTTTTTTTTAGAGACATGGTCTCCTTTTGTTGCCCAGGCTGGAGTGCAGCGGTGCCATCATAGCTCACTGCAGCCTCAAACTCCTGGGCTTAAGGGATCCTCCCACCTGAGCCTCCCTAGTAGCTGGGATTACAGGCGTGCACCACCGGGTCCAGCTAATTTTGTTGTTGTTGTTGTAGAGACAGGGTCTTGCTCCGTTGCCCAGGCTGGCCTTGAACTCATGGGGTCAAACAATTCCCCCAGCTCGGCCTCCCAAAGTGCTGGGATTACAGGTGTAAGCCACTGCAGCTGGCCTAAATTCTTGCTATGTTAGCTTGCATAGGATTTGGCACATAATAGAAGCTCAAATTCAATTTTTCATATCTAAAGTAGGAATAAAATATATACTTTGCAGATTAGATAATATATATTTTATTCAAATTTTCTTCTTCCTTGGAATAAAGGATCCTAGGGCAAGAACAAATCATATTTATCTTATTTCCTTATGCCTAGACCTAGCATAACTTGACACACAGTAGACACCTCATGAATAAAGAATTCCTTTTTGGGAAAAAGATTTCTAGTACTTTTCTTTCTCTTCTGACAGATTTTTGCTAGCTTTTTGTTTTTTCCAAATGTCTTCTACTTCACATCAGTTCCTACAACAGAGCCCTTGGGCAGGTCAGAAATGGGAGAAGAATAGTTGATACACAGAATCAGATGAGAATTCTTTTTCAATGATATAACTTTCCTTCCCTAAATTCTGATAAAACCATATTTTCTCCCCAGAGGAGTTCTCACCACTCTCATGCATCACTATTACTTATGGAAAAATAAGAATGATTTTGTTCAGTATTATATTTTTTAGATGTGATGGGACAGAGAAAATATTAGGAATCACCAATGTAAGGGCTTCTGAGAATACATAAAATGTACAGGGCAGATGCGGTGGCTCATGCCGGTAATCGCGGCACTTTGGGAGGCCACAGCGGGAGGAACACCTGAGGTCAGGAGTTCAAGACCAACTTGGTCAACATGGTGAAACCACGTTTCTACTAAAAATACAAAAATTAGCCGGCATGGTGGCGCACGCCTGTAATCCCAGCTACTTGGGAGGCTGAGGCAGGAGAATCGTTTGAACCCAGGAGGTGGAGGTTGCTCCGAGCCGAGACCACGCCACTGCGCTCCAGCCTGGGTGACAAGAGTGAAACTCTGTCTCAAAAAAAAAAAAAAAAAAAAAAAAGTACAAATGTCTTCACAGGCATGATCATATGAGCTTTGATCATCAGGATCATAGGTGAGAGCATCTAACATAGGTCTATTAGGATGCATTTCCTAAAGTTTCTCACACCAAACACCAAAGCCACAGAAATGGAGTTGATACTGCTTCATGGATACATGGAGTCAAATACCCTGTCTCCCCCCCTAGTCTTTCTGAACTGGTCCTTACCAGGGTTTTCAATAAGACACCCCTCCCTTATCCCATTAAGAATAAAGGCAATATTACTGACAGATCATAACCAACAGGGTAGTTGGCTTTCCAGTTCTATTTTTTTTTTTTAAGACAGGGTTTTACTCCCATCACCCAGGCTGGAGTGCAATGATGCGATCTCTGCTCACTGCAGCCTCTACCTCCCGCGCTCAAGCAATCCTCCTGCCTCCTAGAGGCACACGCCAATGTGCCTGGCTAATTTTTAAAAATTTTTTCTAGAGATGGGATTTCACCATGTTGGCCAGGCTGGTCTCGAACTCCTGACCTCCTGACCACAAGTGATCTGCCTGCTTTAGCCTTCCAAAGTGCTGGGATTACAGGTGTGAGCCACTATGCCTGAAGAGTTGGCCTACAGTTGACAGTTTTCCCCCATTTTTGTATTGTTATAGGGAATCCCTAAAATAATCATACTCAGTGCAGGTCTGACAGTCCTCACTGTGAATGACATATATGTTCTTTCTTTTTTTTTTTGTTTGAGACAGAGTTTCACTCTTGTTGCCCAGGCTGGAGTGCAATGGCACAATCTCGGCTCACTACAACCTCCACCTCCCGGGTTCAAGCGATTCTCCTGCCTCAGTCTCCCGAGTAGCTGGGATTACAGGTATGTACCACCATGCCCGGCTAATTTTGTATTTTTAGTAGAAACGGGGTTTCTCCATGTTGGTCAGGCTGGTCTCGAACTCCCGACCTCAGGTGATCTCCCTGCCTCGGCCTCCCGAAGGGCTGGGATTACAGGCATGAGCCACCACACCCAGCCAATGACATCTATTTTCTACTATAAAACTTGAATTCCATTTCTAAAGTCTGTGCGTGACTGATTTAATATTTAATAGAAAATAAGTGTGTCAGAACTTAATTTTTTTCTGGTACCCTTTTCTTAAGTTCTAATAGCATATATGCAAGAACACCATATTTTACTGTTGAGGGATTTCAGTTGCCAAGTACTATGTATGCAATCTAATATCAATGATCCTTAGTGAACAGCATGTTCTATCAAGTTCTCCTGAAGTCAGAAGATGACTCTAGGAGTACAAGTGTAAAAGAGCTGGACAACAGTGCACTCATGTTACAGCCATTCCAAGATGCAAAGGATTCGATCCTTCAGAATATCTATGATAATGGACACTCCGCTCTATCTGTGGCTTAGATTAACCTCCACAGCAACTCAGCTGATTATAGAACACTTCCCATGTGATGACAAGTGCCATTTGAGGAGGTAATTAAAGGTCACTCAATCCAATACCCAAAGAAGAAAAAAGGAACATGCACTGAAAATATTCACAGGCACCTATGTAATTAAAATCAAGGTACAAGACTGCATACCTAATTTTTTTTTTTTTTTTTTGAGATGGAGTCTCGCTCTGTCACCCAGGCTAGAATGCAGTGGCACAATCTTGACTCACTGCAACCTCCACCTCCCAGGTTCAAACAATTCTCCTGCCTCAGCCTCCTGAGCAGCCGGGACTACAGACGCGCGCCACCGTGCCTGGCTAATTTTTGTATATTTAGTAGAGATGGGGTTTCACCATATTGGCCAGGCTGGTCTTGAACTCCTGACCTTGTGATCTGCCCACCTCAGCCTCCCAAAGTGCTGGGATTACAGGCACGAGCCACCACACCCGGCCACTGAAAGCAAATCTATTGGAGATTTTTTTTTCCTTCCAGAATTATTACCACATAGATCTCCACTGTCGCATCAAGTCACAGATATTCTAAGTACTCACGGAAATTAACTGCTATGGAGAGGGGTAGCCCAGGATGTAATCATCACAGTTTACACTTCAAACCAAAAGTCCTGTCCCTTCCTTAAGGAATGAGCCCCCAGGGTAACATTGAAAATATAGAACTCAGGCTGGACGTGGTGGCTCACGCCTGTAATCCCAGCACTCTGGGAGGCTGAGGCGGGCAGATCACAAGGTCAGGAGATCGAGACCATCCTGGCCAACATGGTGAAACCCCAACTCTACTAAAAATGCAAAAATTAGCTGGGTGCAGTGGTGCATGCCTGTAATCCCAGCTACTCGGGAGGCTGAGGGAGGAGAATTGCTTGAACCAGGGAGTCAGAGGTTGCAGTGAGATCACGCCACTACACTCCAGCCTGGCAACAGAGCAAGACTCTATCTCAAACAAAAAAAAAAAAAAAGAAAGAAAATATAGAACTCACTGGAACCCCTGAATCAGGGTGAATGGAATCATGCCTTTTTTTTTTTTTTTTTTTTTTTAAGACTGAGTCTTGCTCTTGTCGCCCAGGCTGGAGTGCAATGGCATGATTTTGGCTCACTGCAACCTCCGCTTCCTGGGTTCACGCGATTCCTGCCTCAGCCTCCTGAGTAGCTGAGATTACAGGCTCCTGCCAACATGCCCAGCTAATTTTTGCATTTTTAGTAGAGACGGGGTTTTGCCATGTTGGCCAGGCTAGTCTCGAACTCCTGACCTCAGGTGATCCACCTGCCTTGGCCTCCCAAAGTGCTGGGATTACACATGTGAGCCACCGCGCCCAGCCTGTCTTTCTTTACTATCTTTTTTCCACATCACTACATCCTGCTATGTTCTAGGCACTCTGCAAAGAACTGGGCATGCAGTGTTAAACGAAAGACTTAGGTCCCATGACTCCATAAGCCTAATAAATTAGAGGGAGAGACAGACATGAAATGAATATGCAATTATAAGTTGTGGTAAATACTGAAAAGTAGAGGGGAGAAAAGCAAAAGCTGAAATTAATGAGTATCAGGGAGGGCTTCCTTGAGGAAGTAAAATTTAAGCTAAGCTCCAAAGGATGAGTAAGAGCCAACCAGTGAAAGAAAGAGAACTTTGAGGCCAGGCGCGGTGGCTCATGCCTGTAATCCCAGCACTTTGCGGGGCCGAGGAGAGCAGATCGCTTGAGCTCACAAGTTCGAGACTCAGCCTGGGCAACATGATGATGAAACACCGTCTCTTCAAAAAAAAAAAAAAAAAAAAAAAAAAAAAAAAAAGCACTCTAGACCGAGAGACTAGCTGGAGGGCAAGGTTCTTGCTAAAACATCTTCCCTTTACAGAATAAAATACATTTCTCTCAAAAGTGGTCTCATTAATGTTATCTACATTTAAGGAAAAAGAAAAAAAGTGGTCTCATAATTCAGTCTAAAGCATGCTGTTTGTGTCACCTGCTTCCTTCGAGTCTAATATTCCAGAGATGGAATTATTATTTAAAAAAATAAATAACCGAGCTTAGTGGCTCATGCCTGTAAACTCAATGCTTTCAGAAGCCAAGGTGGGAGGATAGCTCGAAGCCAGGAATTTGAGACCAGCCTGGGCAACATAGCAAGATCTCATCTTTACCAAAAATAAAAAATAAAAAAATAATAATTAAAGAATTATCCAGTTGTGAAGGTGCACACCTGTAGTTCCAGCTACTCAGGAAGCTGAGGTAAGGATCACTTGAGCCCAGGAGTTCAAGGTTACAGTGAGCTATTACTGCACCACTGCGGTCCGGCCTGGGTGACAGAGCGAGACCCTGTCTCCAAATTTTAAAAAATGGCAGAATATAACAATATAATTACTGCTTGACAAAAAGGAGCTATTGGCTCTTAAGGATGCATATAAGAAAAGTCAAAATCCCCTGATGTTTTTAACAAACATTTTATCATTCTTGAGCAGCTCAGAAAGAAAAGATGGTTATCTTGTGGTTTGATCTCTGAGTTATCTAATTATTTTTGGAAGTCAGAAGAATCATTTACCCAGGAAATCTCTAAATGCCAGGAAACCTCTTATGTGAGGTAAGTCAGATGATGTCACTGATCTTATCTGCTTGCAAAACCTGTAATCCAGTCCTTTAAAGCAATAATTCCTGGTTAACTTCCACACCCATCCAGAATCAGCATTGGACCCAGCCCTCCTTGCCCAGGACTTCCCTCAGTGTGTTTTCACCCACATGTCCCCATTAGGGACCCCTAAGCACGTGAACCCCAGCTATACCACATATCTGTCCCCTGCCTTTTCCTAACCATGGGGTAAATCATGACTTCTAGTGGCTCTAGATCCTTCAGAGTGACATGCTCCTGAGCTTCTGCTCAAGAGTGAAACACTAACACAGGACACCTGAAGGTCTTGTGTTCCAATTACCACCTCTAGACAGCCCTAGGGTATTACAGAACCTTGGATTTCTGAACAATCTGCTCCTGCTTCAAGGCCATGATAGCATCCTGGTCTTTGTGGTGAGATTTTACCACTTCACTTCCCCATCCTCCTCCTCCCCGCCACCCCCCCGACTCACACCACCACCCCATGTGGGTTCTCTAACTGTGAGAGGACATCACTTCCTCTAAGAAATCTTCTCTAGGCCTGATTTTATAGAATTGAAAAAGTGTAGTGAACCTCCACTATCACCACCACCCTCTTCTATTAATGGAGTGATCACCAGGAGACAGAGTGCTTACTTTATTATATGCCTGATTCATTTACTACTTGTGAAAAAGGCATGAATGTCATCACCATCCCCATTTTACAAATGATGAAACAGTGACAGAATTTAATAGACTTCCTGGGATTAGAACCAAGCCTATCCCCTTTAAAGCCTAGGATTTAACTACAAAATCCCACAGGCAATCTGATTCCACCATTCCTAGTTTGTTTCCCTGCTTAGGTCAGCTGTCTTCAATGACCCTGAAGACCTGTAAAATCATGGAGGACCTAGCTTCATGGGCCACCTTCAATTTGGGCCAAACTGAGCAGCATGTGGACTGGATTTCTGCTGGAGCAGGTACACAGTACCACGGAACTGACCAGTACACGGCCTGCCCCAGATTGCTGCTTAGATGCAGCCTAGGACCACAGTCCAGAGGGCCTGGCATTCTTCCAGCCAAAGCAGCACCCTGGGTACTAATGGTCAGGGTTCAACCTTCTTCACAGAGTTGCTAGGAGACAAGAAAATACTTATAACTCAGTAAACTCAGTGATAGTAGTCACTATCATTCCATCCTTATGCTTTCTTCTAACTTCCTCTAGCTCCCCAGGGACCTATTGTGAAACAACTCCCTAGCCCAGTTCCTCCTACAGAGCAACTTGAGCAGGAAAAGCCCGTGACCATCGGCTCTGCTCCCTCAACACCTAACAAGCTCCTACTTAGCCATTCCAATTGCCAACTCCCTAGGCCATTAAGATCAATAACAAATATCTCTGCATGCTTTTCTCTTGAACTTGCTATAGACCACAGGGGTTTCCCACACAGCCCTGGAGCTAGATCACTGTATTCAAATTCTGTCTTTGTTACTTACCAGCTGTGTGACCTTGTATGATTGACTTAACCTCTCTGAGTCTCAGTTTATCATTTTTAAAATGGGGATAATCATCAAGCCTATCTCATAGGATTGCTGTGAGGATTTTCTCTCTTTTTTTTTGAGACAGGTTTTTTTGGGTTTTTTTGTTTGTTTTTTGAGATAGAGTTTCGCTTTTGTTGCCCATGCTGGAGTGCAATGGCGTGATCTCAGCTCACTGCAACCTCCGTCTCCCAGGTTCAAGTGATTCTCCTGCCTCAGCCTCCCGAGTAGCTGGGATTACAGGTGCCCCCCACCACACCCGGCTAATTTTTTTTTTTTTTTTTTTGTATTTTTAGTAGAGACAGGGTTTCACCATGTTGGTCAGGCTGGTCTTGAACTCCTGACCTTAGGTGATCCATCCGCCTCAGCCTCCCAAAGTGCTGGGATTATAGGCATGAGCCACTGCACCCGGCCTGAGACAGGTTCTTGTTTTATCACCCAGGCTGGAGTGCAGTGGCACGATCTCAGTTCACTTCAACCTCCGTCCTTCCAGGCTCAAGCAATCCTCCCACCTCAGCCTCCCGAGTAGCTGGGACTAAAGGCGCATGCCACCATGCCTTGCTAATTTTTGTATTTTTAGTAGTAGAGACGGGGTTTCACCGTGTTGGCCAGGCTGGTCTCGAACTCTTGGCCTCAAGTAATCTGCCCACTTGGCCTCCCAAAGTCCTGGATTACAGGTGTGAGCCACTGTACCCGGCTGTATCTTTCTCTTTATTCTCTATCATCTTTATTTCTATCCATTATCTATCTACCTACCTGTCTAATATATTTATGTTTTAATTTCATCCACTTTCTGAAAGGATTTTATGGAAAAAACCCTAAAATTAAAAACCCCTAAAAACTCATATGAGAAAACAACACACACACATTTGTGTATATATTACATAAAACTACATACTACATAAAATAATCTTCAAAGTATCATTTTATATTTGTTGAGCCAGGGTAAATTAAAAATAAATGTTCCCAATTATGGTCAGATTAAGGTAAAAGTGGTTTACTCATACATTGCTGACACAAATATAAATTGACTCAGACTTTTTGGAAAGCACTTTAAAAGTACATTTCAAGAGCTAATAAAAAGTCTGCATTATTAATTGCAGAAATAATAATGTAAGGAATTTCCTCTTAGAAAAATTCCAATATAAGGAAAAGTTTAAGCATACAAGAATATGAACTCAAATTCTAAAAACTGGTTAACAATCCAGGCCAGGCGCGGTGGCTCACACCTGTAATCCCAGCCTTTGGGAGGCCGACGTGGGCGAACCACAAGGTCAGAAGATCGAGACCATCCTGGCCAACATGGTGAAACCCTGTCTCTATCAAAAAAATACAAAAAATTAGCCGGGCATGGTGGCGCACGCCTGTAGTCCCAGCTACTCAGGAGGCTGAGGCAGGGGAATGGCTTGAACCTGGGAGGCGGAGGTTGCAGTGAGCCAAGATCAAGCCACTGCACTCCAGCCTGGCGACACAGCACGTCTAAAAACAACAACAACAACATCAAAAAATTAGGCAGGTGTAGTGGCACGTGCCCACAGTCCCATCTATTTGAGGGGCTGAGGCAGGAGGATCGCTTGAACCTGGGAGGTCAAGGTTGCAGTGAGCCGAGATGGCGCCACTGTACTATGGCCTGTCTCAAAAAAATAAAAATAAAATAGCTTAAGTAAACAATGATGTATCCACTCTGCCTTACCTCACAACTATACAAAAATGAAAATTATAAAAGCCACTCTACAAAGAAGAACTAAAACGCCAAGGCTGAAAAGGAAAAAGCATCATTCACAATGAATATAGGAAATAATGAGCAATATGTACATTTACCATACAAACATATGGATAAATATTAACCATGAATAAAACGACACATTAATGAAGATGAATGACTACTTTTTGTTTCTAGTGTAGTGTCATAATAACACTATTTGCATTTTTTTTTTTTTTTTTTTTGAGACAGAGTCTCGCTCTGTCGCTCAGGCTGGAGTGCAGTGGCACGATCTCAGCTCACTGCAAGCTCCGCCTCCCGGGTTCACACCATTCTCCTGCCTCAGCCTCCTGAGTAGCTGGGACTACAGGCGCCCACCACCACGCCTGGCTAATTTTTTTATTTTTTAAGTAGAGACAGGGTTTCACTGTGTTAGCCAGGATGGTCTCAATCTCCTGACCTCGTGATCTGCCTGCCTCGGCCTCCCAAAGTGCTGGGATTACAGGTGTGAGCCACCACGCCCAGCCTTATTTGCATTATTTTTAAATGTTCTAAACATGGCTATAACCATAGTTAGTGTACTAAACTTAGATCTCTCTTTCTCTTTTTTTTTTTTTTTTTTTTTTTGAGACAGTCTTGCTCTGTTGCCCAGGCTGGAGTACAGTGGCTCCATCTCGGCTCACTGCAACCTCTGCCTCCCAGGTTCAAGCGATTCTTCTGCCTCAGCCTCCCTAGTAGCTGGGATTACACATGCCCGCCAATGTACCCAGCTAGTTTTTGTATTTTTAGTAGAGATGGGGTTTCACCATATTGGCCCAGCTGGTAAACTTAGATCTTAACTGTGCATTTTGGATCATTTTAGTTGATTATGCCCATGATTACCTGTTAGAGATAATGTGTAATTTCATAAATGAGTGATTACACATTAGTCGTTCTTATCAGTTTCAACTGAACACTTTCACACATTGTAAACAGTCACAGAGTTACCATAACCTTAACTTAAATAATTATCCTTTATAAGGTATCTATAAATATAAATCTATTAAATGGATTTCCTAATGTGTCCTGAATTCAGACATTGCTGTAATACATGTAACAAAAATCCTTACCACAGGCCTCCGTTCCGATCTGTGATGAGTAATACAATGATCCAGCAAGCTGTCTTCATACAGTTCCCTCTGACAAAAGGGACATACACACCTGGAAATAGCACAGAATACAAATAATATTAAAATGGTTGGCAACTAGATAGTAGTCACTTTTTTTTTCTTTTTTTTTTTGAGACAAGAGTCTTGCTCTGTGGCCCAGGCTGGAGTGCAGTGGCATGATCTCAGCTCAATGCAACCTCCCCACCTCCCGGGTTCAAGGGATCCTCCTGCCTCAGCCTCCCAAGTGGCAGGGATTACAAGCCCCCACCACCACACCAGGTTAATCTTTGTATTTTTAGTAGAGATGGGGTTTCACCATGTTGGCCAGGATGGTCTCGAACTCCTGACTTAAGGTGATCCACCCACCTCGGCCTCCCAAAGTGCTGGGATTACAGGCGTGAGCCACCGCACCTGGTCACATATCTGAATTTGGACTAGCCACATTTCAAGTGCCCAGTGGACACATCTTGGACAGCACAGATAAGTGACAAATATTCCTAAGTGTACATAAGGATTTAATAAGGTAGCTGCAGGTCACTTTTCTTTTTCTGTCTTTCTTTCTATTTTTTTTTTTTGGAGAGGGAGTCTCGCTCTGTTACCCAGGCTGGAGTGCAGTGGTGCAATCTTGGCTCACCGCAACCTCCACTTCCTGGGCTCAAATGATCCTCCTGTCTCAGCCTCCCAAGTAGCTCAGACCACAGGCACATGCCACCATGCTAATTTTTTGTATTTTTAATAGAGGTAGGAGTTTCACCATGTTGCCCAAGCTGGTCTCAAACTCCTGAGCTCAAGCAATCCACCCGCCTTGACCTCCCAAAGTGCTGAGATTTCGGGTGTGAGCCACCTCGCCCGGACTGCAGGTCACTTTTCCTTCTTCACTGGAAATTAACAATATAGGCTGATGCACATAGTTATATGCTAGTGAAGTTGGAAAACAAATAACACCCCATCTAAATGTTATGTGAATTCGGAAAGGGAGGAAGGAAAAGGTAATCCAAGGACAGCTGGGTGCTGCAATACTCAGTTTCTCAGTTAATGCATGCTCAGATTGCACTTCTCTCCTAAAGAGAAGTGCAGTGAGCTGGTATCACACCATTGCACTCCAGCCTGGGCAACAGGCGTGAAACTCTATCTCAAAAAAAATAAAAAAATTCAGATTTGCTGGATGTATAAGATACACGCTGAATTTTGAGGGCTTAATGTAAAAAGAAAAAAGAATGTAAAATATCTTGATAATTTTTATACTGATTACACGTTCAGATGATAATATTTTGGCAATATTAGGTTAGATAAAATATATTGAAAGGTAATTTAAACTTTATCTTCTTATTTGTTTAAATGTCGCTACTAGAAAATTTTGAATTACATGTGATTAACATTATATTTCTAGGCCGGGAGCAGTGGCTCAGGCCTGTAATCCCAGCACTCTGGGAGGCCGAGACGGGTGGATCACGAGGTCAGGAGTTCAAGACCAGCCTGGCCAAGATGCTGAAACCCTGTCTCTACTAAAAACACAAAAATTAGCTAGGCATGGTGGCACACGCCTGTAATCCCAGCTACTCAGGAGGCTGAGGCAGGAGAATCGCTTGAACCCGGGCAGCAGAGGTTGCAGTGAGCCAAGATTGCGCTGCTGCACTCCAGCCTGGGTGACAGAGCAAGACTCCATCTCAAAAAGAAAAGAAAAGAAAAGAAAAAAAAAAACCCATTATATTTCTACTGGACAACACTGCCTTAAGTTCTTAGGGACAATACGGAGTCTTGGAGTTGTTTGCTCACTTTCTGTTACAGATGTAACTTCTTGTCCCCCAAAACTTGTACTCTGGACAAACTCTAGGTGTAAGAATTTTTAAAATTTGAATTATGTGGTAAATTCTTCTGTAAAGCAAAGATTTTTATCATAAATCAAAATATTAATATATCTTGTAAAATAATCAACAACCCTCTCCATTTTCTATTATTTTAATTCTTTACTATTTAATTCTAATGAGTAAAAGAAATTGGGATTCAAATTAGCTTTCATATATTTTTAAATTTTCATAAAAGCCATCAACCTTGCAATCAAACCCATACACTTTCTCAACCCATTGGTAATCCTTCCTTCCTATTGGTCATTGTGGTCAATCTAACAGGATCCATACTCTGTTTATAGCTAAAATACTCATTTGAAATTTATAAAGTCAGGGTATAAAGCTAATCCTATAATAATAGGTACTTTTGCAAGGCGATCTCTAGTAAAACAAAAAGAATGAGGTGATTGTTTAGACTTTTAGGTTTAGAAATGTAAGCTATATTTTGAGTATATTTTCTAAAAATGAGCAGAGCTAACATTTTTCTCTGGGAGAGAGAAATTATACAGAATACCAATATTGGATACATGAATCCATAGGCAGATTAATGGCTGGAAAGCCATCAATCTTTGCTAGAGAGCACAGATCACTTTATTTGGTTAGTAGGGGCAGATTACAAACTTTATAATTACTCTGATGCAGCTAAATTACCTTTCTCATCAGGAGAATAATGACTTAGATGTGTTTCTTTTTTTTTTGAGACAGAGTCTCGCTCTGTCACCCAGGCTGGAGTGCAGTGGCCAGATCTCAGCTCACTGCAACCTCTGCCTCCCAGATTCAAGTGATTCTCGTGCCTCAGCCTCCAGAATAGCTGGGATTACAGGTGTGCGCCACCACGCCCAGCTAATTTTTGTATTTTTAGTAGAGATGGGGTTTCGCCATGTTGCCCAGGCTGGTCTTGAACTCCTGACCTCAAGTGATCTGCCCGTCTCAGCCTCCCAAAGTGCTGGGATTGCAGGTGTGAGCCACCACACCCCACGAATGTTTCTTTCTCTTTTTTTAAAGAATAAAATACTATCAATATCCTCCATTACATCTGTCAGCTACCTCCATCTTTCCCCTACCCCCATACGAGATTACCCATCAAAAAGGCAAAGGATTCAGGATGCCTGCCCAGCCTGTTCTCTTGTATACTGAGATGCTGCTGTCTATATTCTAAAGAGAAACAAGCAAAATGATAAGGAATGAGCTGGTGAAATGAGCAGTGGTGACAGAAGATGGATAATCCCAAACACAATCTACTTCAGGAATCTATTAGAAAACAAAGCCTAGCAGAAATGTAACAGTTCTGCATTCTATTTTTGGATCTGTGTTAACACAAACTTGTTTGAGGAAGTTGCCCCAATCTCTCCAGTCTGTGGTTGGTTACCCCTGGAAATTTTTAAAGTAGACAGTGCAAAATTCCTTAACAATGATTGCTATCAACAAATGATTACCAGTACCAGGTATTATAGTTAAGAACATAAACATAAATATGTAAATATTTTCATAAGAATGTTAAAGTTTCCAGCCCATTAAATTCTTTATAAACATTATCAATTTTAGCATTAAACTATATTGTATTGAAACAAACCTTGCTGCTGTCTCCTCAAGTTCTTGTAGTGGTCCATACTTATCTATGTACTTCTGACAAGTCCGAATATGTGCCCTCATTTCACTGAGGCAAACCTACATAAAAACAAATTCAAAATAAACTCACTGTTAAAAAAGGGCTCAATGAAAGCTTATGCGATCCAGCCTTTTAACTTTCAAGTAAGGTCATACTGTGGGATCAACTGACTAAATAGATGCATTCGTAACACCAGTACCACCAAAAATTAAGGCATTATCAAGAATACTACTATTTTTCAAATTCTCCGATACTTAGAAGATCCAACTGTTAAGTTCTTGAATTTGGTTCTTCTAAAAAGCATATACGGCCGGGCGCGGTGGCTCACGCCTGTAATCCCAGCACTTTGGGAGGCCGAGGCGGGCGGATCACGAGGTCAGGAGATCGAGACCATCCCGGCTAACACGGTGAAACCCCGTCTCTACTAAAAATACAAAAAATTAGCCGGGCGTAGTGGCGGGCGCCTGTAGTCCCAGCTACTCGGGAGGCTGAGGCAGGAGAATGGCGTGAACCCGGGAGGCGGAGCTTGCAGTGAGCCGAGATCCCGCCACTGCACTCCAGCCTGGGCGACAGAGCGAGACTCCGTCTCAAAAAAAAAAAAAAAAAAAAAAAAAAAAGCATCTACATTTTTTAAAGTAGATAGATGTGTGGTGACTCAAATTTACTTCTTTTGCATGCCATTACATAAACAGGTTTTAGAAAGAAGGAAGCAAGGGAAAAAAATGGGTGAAGAAAAAGAGCACAAGAGAGAAGAAACAATCTAAGATGGAAAAAGAGACAGAAAAAAGAAATGGACAGATAAGAAGAATAAATGGATACATTTTAGAGGTGCCCATAGCAAGTTAAATGAAACACTGTGCCTTAGGGAAAGATATAAATACCATGGTTTTATAACACACCCAACAGTATTACATGAATTCACAATACACAGTATACTTAATGGTCCCATTAAGAGCAAACATAAAAGACAGCTCTTGCAGTCCATTTTGATCAATGCAGAATAAAGAGCCCTTGTTCTTTCACATATACATTCAGAGAGCCTAACCATGAGGGATCTGTTGCTAACATCACACATCCTATTAAATGTTTCATTAGAAACTCTGATAAGATCTTGTGCTAAAGGAAGCTCTGTACAGCTGTGGTAAGGTGGCCGACCCACTCTGCTTCATTTTGCCCAAGCTACGGAAGTTAAACCTCAAACATGAAATCTGCCGTGTCAAGGAAACAGTTATAATTGTTTAACAAAGGGCAAAAATAAAAGCAAGTGAAAAGTAAGAACAAAACCCTGGCTTTACAAATATCCACCTAAAAGATATAAAAACTAGGATTGATCTGCACAAGCTGTCTTAAACAGATGTATTTTACGACCTGTAACATCCAACTTTGCACATTAGGGTTCTCTCATGTCTTTATGACTTTTGCTGGTAAAAATTTCTATTTGTATTCTTTGTTCAACAAAGATAAGCATTAGTCATGAAAATTAACAAGCCGTGGACTATCTACTGACAAATGAATTGATCAATTCATAGTCTAGACACAAGATTATTTGAAACATTATAAAAAATGGCAGAAGAAATGCAGTTCATTGTGCCTGTTCTAATGGTGCTTACAATCTAACAGAAGAAAAAAGGATGTTAGACAAGTAGATAAGGAATTGTTTGATATAGGGGCTGGGCGTGGTAGCTCACGCCTGTAATTCCAGCACTTTGGGAGGCTGAAGTGGGTGGATTACCTGAGGTCAGGAGTTTGAGACCAGCCTGACCAATATGGAAACCCCCTCTCTACTAAAGATACAAAAATTAGCCGGGTGTGGTGGTGTGCACCTATAGTCCCAGCTACTTGGGAGGCTGAGACAGGAGAAGTGCTTGAACCCAGGAGGCAGAGGTTGCAGTGAGCTGAGATGGTGCCACTGCACTACAGCCTGGGTGACAGAGCAAGACTCTGTCTCAAAAAAAAAAAAAAAAAAAAGAAAGAAATTGTTTGATATAGGGAACTGGAAAACTAAGGCCAGGCCTCAAGGAATGGAGATCTGGCGGGACTCTGAAGAACACAGAGAGTGCAACATGGAGAGGGCAAAATGTGCGTAGAAGGAATGGGGAGCATTCCTAGAAAGAGGGATAACACAGAAAGGAAAAGACAGAATATAAGAAGTATCTCAAAGCTGGGCGCAGTGGCTCATACTTGTAATCCTAGCACTTTGGGAGGCCGAGGTGGACAGATCACCTGTGGTCAGAAGTTCAAGACCAGCCTGGCCAACATGGTGAAACCACGTCTCTACTAAAATACAAAAATTAGCCGGGCATAGTGGTGCATGCCTGTAGTCCCAGCTACTCGGGAGGCTGAGGCACGAGAATCTCTTGAACGTGCAAAGTGGAGGTTACAGTGAGCCAAGATCATACACCACTGCACTCCATCCTGGGCAACAGAGTGAGACTCCATCTCAAAAAAAAAAAAAAAAAAGTATCTCAAAGAAAAAAATCAAAATCTTTGTGATTAATCAGATAATGGGGGAGGGGGAGTGGTGGATTTCCACACAAGTTAATTGAGAGAATCCTCTTGTTTCTGACAGACACCAAGGTGGGATCAAGAATTGGATGATTAAACAATATAATGAGTTTGATTTTGTGTATGAATTTTATGTGAAGACAAAGTAAAAATAGGCAATAATCTATTATTAAGAATGTAAAAAGCTATTAATTTTGAGCATTTACTATATTCCAGACACTGTGTTAAAAGACAATCATCAGTTATATATATATCACATATATATTTATCATTTACCTTTAAAACCACCCTCTAACATGAACATGAACATGATCCTCTCCCCAGCTCCTCTTTTTTGTTGAGAGAGTCTTGCTATGTTGCCCAAGCTGGAGTGCAGTGGCACGATCATAGTTTACTGCAGCCTTGATCTCCTGGGCTCAAGCGCTCTTCCTACTCAGCCTCTGGAGTATCTAGGACTACAGGCGTATACCACTATGCCCCAGCTAATTTTTTTGATTTTTAGTAGAGACAAGGTCTCTTCCCAGGTTGGTCTTGAACTCCTGAGCTCAAGCAATCCTCCCGCCTCGGGCTCCCAAAGTGCTGGGATTACAGGCATGAGCCACTGCGCCTGGCCTCCAAACCATTTTCTATGTGTATGTTAGAGTGATATCTTAAAGATACAATCCTGGGCTGGGCATGGTGGCTCATGCCTGTAATCCCAGCACTTTGGGAGTCCGAGGCGGGCAGATCGCCTGAGGTCAGGAGTTCAAGACCAGACTGGCCAACATGGTGAAACTGTGTCTCTACTGAAAATACAAAAGTTAGACAGGCGTGGTGTTGGGCCCCTGTAATCCCAGCTACTCGGGAGGCTGAGGCATGAAAATCGCTTAAACCCAGAAGGTGGAGGCTGCAGTGAGCTGAGATCGCACCACTGCACACCAGCCTGGGCAACAGAGTGCGACTCTGTCTCAAATAAAAATAAAAATAAAGATATAAGCCCGATCTTGGCACTCCAAAACTTACTCTCTTTCTCTGGCTTACTATTGCATTTAAGATAAAATCTAGAATCTTCTACATAACCTTCAAGACCTCACATGATCTGGGGAAGCTGATATAGTACCCAAGTTGAAAACTGCAACAGGCAAGGTGTGCTTGATAGAGACAAATACTGCAAAGTCCAGATCAATACAGGTGGAAATATGTCACTGGGTTTGATAATAAAGCTATTCATTAGTGGTCTGCAACAGAGTAGCAGAACTGGAGGACATATCATAGAGGATCACTGGAGTAATGGGAAGAAGGGAAAATGGAGGTGGTCAATGAAAGCATTTGTTTGACAAATTACGGGTGATGGTAGAAGTTCAGGGTTTTCTGCAGATGATATATGTACATATATGAAATTGGAGGCTGGGTGAGATGGCTCACGCCTGTAATCCCAGCACTTTGGAGGCCAAGGTGGGCAGATCACTTGAAGCCAGGAGTTTGAGAACAGCCTGGCCAACATAGCAAAACCCTCTCTCTACTAAAAAGACAAAAAATTAGCCAGACATTGTGGCACATGCCTGTAGTCCCAGCTACTCGGGAAGCTGAGGCATTAGAATCACTTGAACCTGAGAGGCGGAGCTTGCAGTGGGCCGAGATGGCGCCACTACACTGCAGCCTGGGCGACAGAGCAAGACTCTGTCTCAAAAAAAAAAAAAAAAAAAAAAATGGCACGGACCCAAAGAGTGAGTGGTAGCAAGGTTTCTTGTGAAGAGCAAAAGGACAAAGCTCCCACAACATGGAAGGGGACCCAAGCCGGTTGTCACTGCTAGCTGGGGTGGCCAGCTTTTATTCCCTTATCGTCCCCGCCCATGTTCCGTTTCTGTCCTATCAGAGTGCAGTTTTTCCAATCCTCCCTGCGATTGGCTACTTTCAGAATCCTGCTGATTGGTGCGTTTTACAGAGTGCTGATTGGTGCACTTTACAGAGCACTGATTGATGCGTTTTACAGAGCACTGATTGGTGCATTTTACAGAGCGCTAATTGGTGTGTTTTACAATCCTCTTGTAAGACAGGAAGGTTTCCCAAGTCCCCACTCTACCCGGGAAGTCCAGCTGGCCTCACATCTCACCAGCACTTTGGGAGGCCGAGGCAGGCGGGTAATGAGGTCAGGAGATTGAGACCATCCTGGCTAACATAGTGAAACCGTGTCTCTACTAAAAATACAAAAAATTAGCCAGGCGTGATGGCAGGTGCCTGTAGACCCAGCTACTCGAGAAGCTGCGGGCAGGAGAATCACTTGAACCTGGGAGGCGGAGGTTGCAGTAAGCCGAGATCGCACCACTGCACTCCAACCTGGGTGAAAGAGCGAGAACCTGTCTCAAAAAAAAAAAAAAAAAAAAAAAAAGGTGCGTACCATGGGGTCAGAAGCAGAGGTGAAATGATAACTTTCGCAGGGACTTAAGCTGGTAACCATGAAAATAGGTGGGGTCACATACATACCAGGGTGTCACACTCAGCGCAGTTCTTATACTCTGATTTCATTCTTTTGGCTACATCAGTTGCTGGAACTCCTTCTGAAGGAAGATATGCCCGGCAATAAGGACAGGTCCACTTGTTGTTCTTTAGACTGGTAGCAATACAGGAACGGCAGAATCTACCCCAAACAGACCAAAAATACATCACTTTCCTTGAAAGCTATAAGGAGCCACCACCATGTATTCATTTGTGTAAACTGTAATTTAATGACACCTCGTACCCCATGAGCCATACTACCAAATTACAGGTCCACTTGCACCCTGCACTTCCCGAGAATTGCTTACCTTCCCAGCAAGACTTCTTTAGAATCACACATTCTTACCACATGCACTTTCACACATTTCAAGAAAAGTAAGAATTCAAAGTGGGTGAAATAGCTTTCCTATAGGCTAAGTTTAAACGATACTTTAAAGAATGTCTAAATTGGATTTTACCTCAAATTTCTTGAGAAAATATGTCTTTCTTCTGTGGGGTTTTGTGTGTCACATAAGAAAATAGCAGGAAGTCAAGGAAGTAAAAATACCAGACACATTATAATTCCCTATAAAACCATTTTCTCCTTCCCTCCCTTCCTCCCTCCCCTCCCCTCTCCCCTCCCTCCCTCCCCTCTCCCCTCCCTCCTTCCCTCCCTCCCTTCTTCCTTCCTTCCTTTCCTTCCTTCCTTCCTTCCTTCCTTTCTGGTCAAGAAATATGTTCTCTGGTTTATTTAAAGGTGCTCATTATGAAATCTTAACATAATCAACATTTCCAGAAAATTCTGACCTATTTATAGGAGTTGTTGAAGACTCCATAAACATAGAAATAAAAATGAGCATTTGGGTAATTTATACACATGAGCATGACCTGATGCCTCTTAAACTACTCAGCACATAATATCTATTTGGGAGTATTAATACATGTCCAAAGGTAGGCTTTTTAAATTTTAAGTATACTGTACATACTGGAAAGTTCTTATAAGCATATAGTTGAATGAAATTTCAAAACTGAACACATCCATATAACCAGTACCTATAACAAAAACAGCGTGGCCAGCCCCTAAAATTTCCCCTCTTGTTTCCTTCTCTTTTTTTTTTTTTTTTGAGATGGAGTCTTGCTCTTGTCACCCAGGCTGGAGTGCAATGACACGATCTCAGCTCACTGCAGCCTCCACCTCCTGGGTTCAAGCAATTCTCCTGACTCAGCCTCCCAAGTAGCTGGGATTACTGGCACCCACCACCACGCCTGGCCAATTTTTTGTGTTTTTAGTAGAGACAGGGTTTCACCATGTTGGTCAGGCTGGTCTCGAACTCCTGACCTCAGGTGATCCACCTGCCTCAGCCTCCCAAAGTGCTGGGATTACAGGCGTGAGCCACTGTGCCCGGCCTCCAGACACAATTCTATCCCCTCCAAAGTAATCACTGACTTTTTAAAATGTATTTTAACATATGAAAATTATACTTTTCAAACATTGTACCAGCCTATAGACTGCAGCTTTCTCATCCCTGCTTACCATCCTTGGTGGTGCTAATCATTGACTTCTAATAACAAAGATCAGTTTTGCCTGTTTCTGTACTTCCTATAAATGGAACCCTCTGGTATGTATTCTTGGTCTTCTTTAGCTCAATATTATGGTCAAAAGATTCATTATATTGTTGTATATAGTTGAGATTGTCCATTCTAATTTTGTGAAGTCTATTGTATGAATACACCCAAATTTATTTACCCTTCTGTTGTTAATGGACATCTGGGTAGTATTTAAATACTTGCTGATGATAAACTTTAGTGATGGGCAGGCACAGCTATTTTCCAAACAATTCTTCTTCTTCTTTTCCTCTTTAACTCCTAATTATATTAGTCACTACCGATTTTTTTCCTCTTTATTTTTTTCTTATTATGTTTGAATTTGGCTTGGATCATGACTGATTCGTAACAGTATTCTCTTCTGCATCTGTTATCAAATTACTATAAGCACACAGAGGATGCTCACTTGTGCAGTGATTGAGACATCTACTTGTTGTTTATACCTGTCCAGCATCCATTCCTCCTTTTTCTTGCAATAGCATCCTGCTCTTGTTCTTCAGGAACAATACCTCTTATATTACATATAGTCTCAGTGGGACCTAAATCAAGGTGCCTACCAACTCCTGCTGAAGGCATGAGCACCTGGCAAGCCAAGTCAAGTATAGACCATGTCTCTGGAAGTTGAACACTGCACACAGTGACATAATGACAGATTCAGTAGCAACCAGATGGAACTTTTCTCCCTTTACGTAGAACTCCATATCTGCCTTGGTTCCTACCCTTTCCTTTTAGCTATTTTTGTTATTGTATGGTAATTTTTTTTTTTTTTTTTTGAGATGGAGTTTCGCTCTGTTGCCCAGGTACAATCTCGGCTCACTGCAACCTCCGTCTCTCAGGTTCAAGCAATTCTCCTGCCTCAGCCTCCCAAGTAGCTGGGATTGCGGGTGTGCACCACCATGCCCGGCTAATTTTTTTTTACTTCTAGTAGCGACTGTGTTTCGCCATGTTGGCCAGGCTGGTCTTGAACTCCTGACCTCAAGTGATCTGCCCGCCTCAGCCTCCCAAAATGCTGGGATTACAGGCATGAGCCACTGTGCCCGGCCAGTAATTTTTTATGTCTAATTTCAAGCTTGATACACTGGTTCTCTACCAAAGTTTTTAAAAACTCTTCCATATACCTTAATTCATTTAATCTTAATACACTCCCAAGAAAGATCATTATTTCCATTTATAGATAAGGAAACCAAGGCACATACAGGGTAAGTTGCTTCTGCAAGATCACGTAAAGGAACAGTGTGAAGAAGCAGCAAGAACAACCCCCAGACCGACTATAACCTATGCGCTGTTGCATCCCTTACCCAGGGCTTATGTCCCGCTGCAGCTGCCGCCCTGCTCAAGAGAAAGACTGAGCGGGATGCTAAGGAGATAACGCCAAGGTGAAGGATGAACCACAGAGAAGATCCGCGAGGTTGTCTGTTAAACTTGCTTCTCCAAAGCCAAGTCTAAGGAGACCCTTGCAAAGAAGGGAGAGAAGGTACCCAAAGAGAAAAAGGGAAGAACTGATGGTGGCAAGGAGGGGAATAACCCTGCAGAGAATGCAGATGCCTAAACAGACCAGGCACAGGAAGCCAAGGTGCTGGAGGTGCCAGGTCAAGTGTGTGCATCTGTGATAACTATGTACTTGTGGTGACTGTACAGTTTGAAATACTATTTTTTATCAAGTTTTATAAAAATGCAGTATTTGGTTTTCTTTTTTTTTTTTTTAAAGGTATGTTGTTAGCACACAGAACACTTCATTGTTGTTTTCTGGGGATGGGATATCAGTCACTGTCACTAATAGAACGTCTAGAAGCTGGATTGATGTGGGGAAAACACCTTTCCCTTCTACTTTTTTGTTTGTTTGTTTGTTTGTTTGAGATGAAATTTCACTCTTGTTGCCCAGGCTGGAGTGCAATGGCAAGATCTTGACTCACCGCGACCTCCACCTCCCAGGTTCAAATGATTCTCCTGCTTCAGCCTCTTGAGTAGCTGGGATTACAGGCATGCGCCACCACGCCCAGCTAATTTTGTATTTTAGTAGAGACGGGTTTTCTCCATGTTGGTCAGGCTGGTCTCAAACTCTCGCCCTCAGGTGATCCGCACTCCTCGGCCTCCCAAAGTGCTGGGATTACAGGCATGAGCCACTGTGCCCAGACTTTTTTTTTTTTTTGAGGTGGAGTCTTGCTTTGTTGCCCAGGCTGGAGTGCAATGGCATGATCTCAGCTCACTGCAACCTCCACCTCCTGAGTTCAAACAATTCTGCCTCAGCCTCCCAAGCAGCTGGGATTACATGCATGTGCCACCATGTTCGGCAAATGTTTGTGTTTTTAGTACTAGAGGAGGGGTTTCACCATGTTGGCCAGGCTGGTGTTCCCTTCTAGTTTTGAGAGGCTTCCTCTTGGCTCCCAGGAGAAGGGATTCCCTGACTTTGACAAACACAGACACCTTGGCACAACAGCCTTGTGGTATGGAAAAACAAATTTGTTCCTATGTCCTCTTCTCCCTTTCCATCTTCAGCATAAACTTAACTCCGTTAAACCCACACACCTGTTGGGGACTGGCCCCCAATAATTGGTTACCAGCATGTCAGGCAATCTGGACTTTCCAGTGATGCCACTGAGATGGGGCTCCTCAAAAGAGCAGTGGTTCAATTTCTACATTGTGTATCGTCAGACAAATTCTGCCATTTTCATTTCACTCCCTGAAAGTCAGGGTCGGCTCATGTTAAACAACATGCTAAATGTGAAATGTCAACCCTCACCCTAAACTTTCTTGTTCAGAGTATCAAATGAATACTCCATTGGGTTTTTTCGTTTTGTTTTGGGTTTTTTTGGTTTTTTTTGCCAGATGTCTTGCTCTGTCGCCCAGGCTGCAATGGCGCAATCTCGGCTCACTGCAACTTCTGCCTCCCAGGTTCCAGTGATTCTCCTGCCTCAGCCTCCCAAGTAGTTGGGATTATACAGGCGTGAGCCACCAAGCCCGGCCCTCCACTGGGTTTTAAAGTGGCTTTATGTTTTTTGGTAGTCCATTGAAGAAGCGAGTTTGAAAGTTGTTGCATACTGTTAAGGATTGTCTGCCCACGTCCTGCTTGAAATACTGTGACTGTTTATGGAAAGTATCTTTAATAAAGCTGGATAAAGTTTGGCTTGGGGGGAAAAAAATCACATAAATAGAAAGTGCTTGAGCTTGGTCAGGCACAGTGGCTCATGCCTGTAATCCCAGCACTTTGGGAGGTAGGTGGCTCACCTGAGGTCAGGAGTTCGAGACCAGCCTGGCCAACACAGAGTGAAACCGTCTCTACTAAAAAAAAAAAATACAGCCAGGCATGGTGGCTTCTGCCTGTAAACCTAACACTTTGGGAGGCTGAGGCAGGTGGATCGCTTGAGGTCAGGGGTTCGAGACCAGCCTGGCCAACATGGTGAAACTCCATCTCTACTAAAAATACCAAAAATTGGCCAGGCATGGTGGTGGGTGCCTGTAATCCCAGCTACTCGGGAGGCTGAGGTGGGAGAATCACTTGAACCCGGGAGGCGGAGGATGCAGTGAGCCAAGATCGTGCCACTGCACTCCAGCCTGGGTGACAGAGGAAGACTCCGTCTCAAAACAAAACAAAACAAAAATACAAAAATTAGCTGGGTGTGGTGGTGCATGCCTGTAGTCTCAGCTACTTGGGAAGCTGAGGCAGGAGAATCACTTGAACCCAGGAGGCAGAGGTTGCAGTGAGCTGAGATCGCGCCACTGCACTCCAGCCTGGGCAACAGCAAGACTCCATCTCTCTCTCTCAAAAAAAAAAGAAAGTGCTTGAACTTGGTTGGTCTTAAGCTGGGGTTTTCTGACCCAAATTTCAGTAACCTTTTATTCCACTACCACAGCTACCCCAGTTGGGAAGATCAATATTTTAAGATCAAGAAATCTAAGTTCTCTGCTATACATATTTTACTTCTTTCTATCTCAGCTAATTATAAGTTCTAAGGTACAATCTGACCTTGGATGTCTCTGAGTCTCTAAGAATGGGTTCTCAAAATGTAGTCTTGAATGAAATTTATGACAAATGGTTCAAATGCTCAACTCACAATTAACATTTCTAATACAACACTTATGGTTCTGACATGAATTATTTGCTTACATTATTTAGAGGCAAGCAGATAACATTTTGTTTTTTTGTCAACTAGCAGTTTTCCCTTTTTTTTTTTTTTTTTTTTTTTTTTCCCACAATTTGAGTTGTATGCCAATGCAAGCAGAATACAAATACTGGTGCCGAGCCCTATGGCGGACACTTGTATACATTATCCCCTATTATTGTAGGCTCCTACAATAATTCATAAAACGCTACTGTGCTTTCTCCTCATTTTATTGATGGCAAACTAAGGTTCAGAGTAGTGTAGCAACGTGCCAAGTTTATGCAGCCACAGACAGTAGTGCTCTGATCCTTAAACAGTTTGGGTAGGGCCTCAAATTTTGTAGTCTTTTCAAGAAACCTCAGTTCTTCCCAGTAACAAGCAGAAGTCACAAATATAAGACCATGAATGTGCCTGTATAACCAGGAGGCCTGATATAATGAATGTGTCCCCCCAAAGTTCAAGCATGAAAACTTGGTTCCTCTTGTGGTGGTATTGAGAGGTGGAACCTTCAGGAGGCATTTAGGTCATAAGGGCTCCACTGTGATGAATGGATGAATGCCGTTATCACAGGAGTGGGCTAGTTCTTGCAGAAGTGGCTTTGCTATAAAAGCCAACTCTCTGAGGCAGGAGGATCACTTGAGCCCAGGAGTTTGAGTCCAGCTTGTGCAACATAGTGAGACCCCCATCTCTAAAAAATAAAATAATAAAATAATAAGCGAGCTCTCTCACGTGCATTTTCCCACTCTGCCAACTTCTTTCTACCTTTCCACCAGGGGATGACCCTAGCCAGGTCCCAGCACCACGCTCTTGGACTTCCTAGCCTCCAGAACTGTGAGCTGAAAAGATTCTTTTCTTTATCTATTACCCAGTCTGTAGTATTTGATAAATACCCATTCCCATCATGGCGTGAACTAGTGTTTCTGGTTTACTTTAGAATGCCCTTGGCAGAGAGGAAAGGTCCATTCAGTTGGTTGGGGGCCTTAGAATTTTATTTTTGGTTTACAGTGGGATTGCAAATGTCCTGTAAGAATGAAAGCCACTCATGCATATTTCTGGATCAATTTAAAACTCATCAGGAAGACTCTCAGACTCTACTTAGGAAACCACCAATTTGATGTACGCTTTACTGCTCATACTTGACCACAAATTGAACGTTTCAATCCATTTACCTGAAAGTATTTCAGAATTATCCTAAACAGAGTTTCATTTTCTAAAAATTAGGTACATTCACTGCCGGGTAGGGTGGCTCACGCCTGTAATCCCAGCACTTTGGGAGGGAGAGGCGGGCGGATCACCTGAGGTCTGGAGTTCGAGATCAGCCTGGCCAACATGGTGAAACCCTGTCTCTACTAAAAATACAAAATTAGTTGGGCGTGGCAGCATGCGCCAGTAGTCCCAGCTACTCAGGAGGCTGAGGCAGGAGAATCGCTTGAACCAGGAGGTGGAGGTTGCAGTGAGCCAAGATCGCATCACTGCACTCCAGCCTGGGTGACAGAGCGAGACTGGCTCAAAAAATTAAATTAAATAATAAAAAATAAAAATAAAAATTAGGTACATTCTATGACTTAGAGCAGTTGTATCTGAGGTCAATGGAGACTTGGCTCTTTCTTATGGTGTGCTCCAGTTCATTTAGCTCTCTTCAGCCCATTCTCAACCTCTAGATGCTTTTTAGATAACTCAGTCTCCAGCCCTGATCTCTTTCCCCCAGTCTATTCCTCCAGAGCCTTTGGATATTTCCATTTGGATATCTGCCTATCAGACTGCTGTACATTCAGCAGGCCCATTCATGAGTGCACTCACTTCCTCCTGTGCCAGTCTCTCTGACCCCGTTTATTCACCAGCCTTAAAGCCCAGTGGTTGGCTTTGATATCTTTCTCCCTTGCATCTACTGTTTTCAATCTGACAACAAATGTCTTTGAGTATTTCCTTTGAATGTAAATCATTTTTTTTTTTTGAGGCAGGGTCTCATTCTGTCACCCAAACTGAAGTGCAGTGGTGCAATCACTGCTCACAGCAGCCTCCCGAGCTCAAGTGATCCTCCCACCTCAGCCTCCTGAGTAGCTGGGACTACAGGCATGCCCCACCATGCCCAGCTTTTTTTTTTTTTTTTTCTGTACAGACGAGGTCTCACTTTGTTGCCCAGGCTGGTCTCAAACTCTGGGGTTCAAGCAGTTCCACCTCAGCCTCCCGAAGTGCTGAGATTACAGGCATGAACCACCACACCCAGCCTCCAGACTCCTTTTAAGTTCCATTTATACAGCTCCAAGTTATCTAGTGGCTCTCACCCCAGCTTTCTAATAGAAGATAAGGCAGAAGTGAGAAGGCTCTTCCTTCAAATCTATTTTTTACAACTGATACAGCAATATGAATAAAGTTCACTTAAAATTATAAAACATTAAAGTGAAACTTCTTAAATTAAAGTCCACCAAAGGAAAAAGAACTAAGCTAAAAGTGAGGCTATATGAGACATCTTAGAAATGTCATAGATCAACTTTTCATGGCACAGTGTTCTTCCAAAAGAAATACAGAGATAAGAAATAATATCTGTTCCTGGGGTTTTGCTTATGGAATGACTGAAGGAAAGAGAAACCATGTTTTGAGCCTTTACTATGGGATACTTTTACATTTTAAATATTCATAAAAATGGCACTACTCACCCCATTTTACAAATGAAGAAACAGAGATTCAAAGAGATTAAGCAACTTAGTGGTAAAGAAAATTGGCTGGGCAGGGTGGCTCAACCTGTAATCCCAGCATTTTGGGAGGCTGAGGTGGGCAGATCACTTGAGGCCAGGAGTTTGAAACCAGTCTGGCCAACATAGCAAAACCCCATCTCTACTAAAAAATACAAAAATTAGCCGGGCGTGTTGGCACACACCTGTAGTCCCAGCTACTCAGGAGGTAGAGGTTACAGTGAGCTGAGATCACGCCACAGCACCCCAGCCGGAATAACAGAGCGAGACCCCATCTCAAAAAAAAAAAAAAAAGGAAACAAAATATTTTACCCCCAAAAATAATTATTTGACATACTTCGAGATGGCTATTGAGATGGCCTGCAGAAAGGAAAAACCCTGAAAAGCTGCATGTTGTGGGGGAGAGAAAAGTCTACATTGGTAGAGAAAGTCTACATTGGTGAAATAAATAGGCAGGCTTTCTGAGGTCTCCCCTGCCCAATCTAGGAGATTAACCAAGAGTCTGAAACGTTTGAAGGTCTAACAAAAAAACTTATCATGAACCACTACCTATTATTTTTTTTTTTTTTTTTTTTTTTTTTTTAAGACGGAGTCTCGCTCTGTTGCCCAGGCTGGAGTGCCGTGGTGCAATCTCGGCTCACTGCAAGCTCTGCCTCCCTAGTTCACACCATTCTCCTGCCTCAGCCTCCTGAGTAGCTGGGACTACAGGCACCCGCCACCATGCCCGGCTAATTTTTTGTATTTTTAGTAGAGACGGGGTTTCACCATGTTAGCCAGGATGGTCTCGATCTCCTGACCTCATGATCCGCCCGCCTCAGCCTCCCAAAGTGCTGGGATTACAGGTGTGAGCCACCGCGCCCGGCCGACTACTGCCCATTCTTTCTGAGAGCTTCTACCTGTGAAGTTTCATCTGTATAACAAGAACAGCTTTGCCCCTTATGTTTTTTTTTCCCTCTTATAACTTGTCTTGCCATCTTGCAATCCCCCATTCTTCTGTAACCTCAAGTATAAAAGCATCAAGCATCTGGCCCTTTCTTTCAGTTTTCATATTTTGTATGACTCCCACGCCCATATGCATATTAATAAATGTGTATGCTTTTATCCCATTAATCTGTTATCTGCCTGTTTTATAGACTCAAAGTATCGAATCTTTAGGAGAAAAATTTTTGGTGTTGTGATCAGGATGTAAGTCATTTTGTTCATTCTAGAGCCAATGAATGGGATCTTGGAACAACGGATGAAAAGCCAGCAAAGAAAGGTAAACTCATTTTTTTTTAACCAAGTCAGTTCTCCTCTCCGATCTCTGCCTATAGTGCCTGGTCAAATGTGGATGGTATGAGTCTCTGTGTTTTACCCTTTCTAAATTTGGATCAACAGAGAAAAACATATAAATTAGTTCTTGTATTGGTTTCAATCGCTTTTAAAATAAATGAATGGCTATATTTAAAAGAAAACTTTTTAGAGCTCACATCTTAAATAGCTACCTTATTGGTACCTATGAAAAGATACAAAAGGAATACAGGTTTAGAAACTCCCTCGGCAAGATTTTTGAAAAGTAGAAATCAGATTTAAAACAAAGTTAAAATCCTTTGTACTCAAATTGCATGCTTTAGATTCCTTATGAAATTTGTTAAATTAAAAAAAAAAAAAAAAGACTCCATCCTGTAGTCCAGTGGTAAGGATTCTGCACTTTCACCACTGCAGCCTGGATTCAATTCCCTTTCAGGGAACAAGACCCCAGGAGATGTAAATCCTTTAACTCAGGAAGGAAAAATAAAAGAAATACTTGGAAAAAATTAGTTTGAATTGTTTTGAATTTATATTTGTATGACTTCTTAACCTTTGGGGTACCCATTCATTCTGTAAGCCTCTCATCCAGCTGTTGTTTTCCTCTGTCTTAAACCCTAGAGAATATGGCCAGACAAAAATGTGGGTTGTACCCCATTTGCGGCTGGCAAAACCTTGCTTTCTTTAAGCTGTTGTAGGGAATGATCTGGATTTTGAAAGGGTTGCAACTTTTGCTCCCTCTTAGGAAACCTTGGTTGAAGCCATCAAGAGCTTCTTGGTTTCAGTCTCAAATGTTCTTATTTGTTTTGATTTTGAGTTATTTCCTTTGGTTAAAACGTTGGTTTATATTTAGAGTGTGATAGTAACTTTTTCCCCATTAATCTGCTTCCTCTACGGGGCCAGAGAGACATACCTCCTGCTACAGCTGGGAACCAAACAGGTGAGGAGAGGTGGGTACCCCCTAAAGAGGGGGTGCTGGGAGGGTCTGGGGAAAAAGAAGCATGAAATGCCACAGCTACCATTCTCTCTGCTCCCACAAAAGACTGGGTGCTCAGGCTGGGGACAGTGGTTCACACCTGTAATCCCAGCACTCTGGGAGGCCGAGGCAGGCAGATCACCTGAGGTCAGGAGTTTGAGAGCAACATGGTGAAACCTCTTCTCTACTAAAAATACAAAAATTAGGTGGGTGTGGTGGCACACCCTCGTAGTCCCAGCTACTCGGGATGCTGAGACAGGAGAATTGCTTGAACCCGGGAGGCAGAGGTTGCAGTGAGCCCAGATCGGGCCACTGCACTCTAGCCTGGACGACAGAGCAAGACTACATCTCAAAAAAAAAAAAAAAAAAAAAAAAGACCGGGTGCTCAGAGGACAAAATGTTTGCTGCTTGCATATTTAAAAGGATTTTTTAGGCTGAGGCACGAGAATCGCTTGAACCCAGGAGGCGGAGGTTGCAGTGAGCCAAGATTGCGCTGTTGCACTCCAGCGTGGGCAACAGAGCAAGACTCCATCTCAAAAAAAAAAAAAAAAGTTTTTTTTAAGAAAGATGGCTCTGTGGTCAAAAGCCAGCTTAATTAATAGCTGATATTCTCTGTTCTCTTTCAAATCCTGTTTCTCCCTTGGGAACTTCTTAGTCAACTAGACCTTTTTTTGTTCCTCAGACTCCTACTAACTAAAACTGTATTGGCCTTTTGAAAGCTTAAAATCTCCCCAAATTGGCTCCTCTAAGACTTGTTCTTCCATTTCCTTCCCCTTCTGCCCCTCCTCCTTTTTGCCATTTTTGATACCACATGAAGAGGCCTAGAGGGGACTTCTGTGAACCCTGAGACCCCTTGAGGAACACACACACACACGCATACACAAACACAAAAGCCACCAATCGCCCCTCTTTGGGGGTCCTCTGTCTTCTTTTTTTTTTTTTTTTTTTTTTTTGAGACAGAGTTTCACTCTTGTCACCCAGGCTAGAGTGCAGTGGCGCCATCTCGGCTATTGCAACCTCCACCTCCTGGGTTCAAGTGATTCTCCTGCCTCAGCCTCCTGAGTTGCTGGAATTACAGGTGCCTGCCACCACCCCTGGCTAATTTTCTTGTATTTTTAGAGAAACGGGGTTTCGCCATGTTGGGCAGGCTGGTCTCGAACTCCTGACCTCAGGTGATCCCCCCACCTCAGCCTCCCAAAATGCTGGGATTACAGGCGTGAGCCACCACGCCTGGCCATTGGGGGTCCTCTGTCTTCTCACTGAGCCACAGAAGCCATGGGCAGGGTCCATCCTCTCATGTCTAAAGTTCTGCTCTCCTGCATTAAACTTCCTAATCTCTCTGGCTTTTGGATACTGGTGTGTGCATGTGATATATGTTGTGTCTACATGTATATATATGTTTACACATGAGTTTGTATAGTCTGTAGTACCAAACTGACTTCTAAATAAATGAGTACTCACAAATTAACTATCCCAAATGTTTTTCGAAGTTCATATGACTTTAGTAATCTTTGGTAAATCAAGCTAGGTTTTTTTGTTTGTTTTTGTTTTTTTGAGAACGACTCTCAATCTGTCACCCAGGCTGGAGTGCAGTGGTGCGATCTCAGCTCACTGCAACCTCTGCCTCCTAGGTTCAAGCGATTCTCCCACCTCAGCCTCCATGTGCGCCACCATGCCCGGCTAATTTTTTAGTATTTTCAGTAGGGACAAGGTTTCGCCATGTTGACCAGGCTGGTTTCCAACTCCTGGGCTCAAGTGATCCGCCTGCCTCGGCCTCCCAAAGTGCTGGGATTATAGGTGTGAGCCACTGTGCCCAGCAATAAAGCTAGTTTTAAATTGTTAGTTGGCTGGGTGTGGTGGCTCATGCCTGTAATCCCAGCAGTTTGGGAGTGCTCATGCCTGTAATCCCAGCTCTTTGAGAGGCTAAGGCAGGAGGATCACTTGAGCCTAGGAATTCAAGATTGGCCTGGGCAACATAGGCAGACCCTGTCTCTATAAAAAAATAAAATTTTAGCAGGGTGTGGTGGGGCATGCCTGTTGTTCCAGCTACTCAGGAGGTTGAGGTAGGAGGATTGCTTGAGCCCAGGAATTTGAGGTTGCAGTAGGCTATGATCACATCACTGAGTAGTTTGTTCTTAGATCATATCTCTAAAAACAAACAAATAAAACTACTAGAAATAAGACAAACAATTCTTCAGGCAGAATATACCAAAAAAGCAAGATATGTTCTTGGAGAGAAAGGTTGTAAGAATGGCATGAGGCCGGGTGTGGTGGTGCACGCCTGTAATCCCAGCTACTCAGGAGGCTGAGGCAGGAGAACCTGGGAGGCAGAGGTTGCAATGAGCCAAGATCATGCCACTGCACGCCAGCCTGGGTGACACAGTGAGACTCCATCTTAAAAAAAAAAAGAAAAAAAAAAAAAAAAGAATGGCATGAAGTGTGATTTTTTTGTTAATGGAAAACGAATTGTGTCTAGTTTAGAAGTTATTTGAAGCTTGTTTCAAATTGAAAGAATAAAAAAAGATATAGATAAAACTAAATGAATATAGAAAGTTGGAAATAGAAGAAAAATCGTAAGAGGTTATAAAAGATATGTAAATCTTGTGTGGTCAAAGCTGACTGAAATTGGATGGACTTGTTTATTAGGTTTTATTTAAATTTATTATTGATATACTGATTCAAAAGTAAAATATGGTTTTCTCTTTTGAACAAGACTTTTGTGTAGTAGAGATGGGGTCTCACTATGTTGCCCAGGCTAGTCACAAACTGCTGGTCTCAAGCCATCCTCCTGCATCGGCCTTCCAAAGTCCTGGGATTACAGGCATGAGCCACTGCACCTGGCCAAGTATACTTTTGTGAGCAAAATAATTTACCTTTTTCTCTTTGGATTCACAAACTGGGTTTTGAGTATTCCTATTTCATGGCAATATAGTTACATGCATAAGTTCAGTAACAGTCTGAACAGGACATAATTGGAGACAGTGGTTATTTTAGCAAGGCTTTAACTGGAATGTCATACTTAGATACATGATCAAACTGTTTTGAGGGACTGAAATTGACATTAAAAAGCCAACAGACTTAGAAAAAGATTGGCCTGGTACCCTGTGTATATGGTTCCCTTACAAAATCCTGACCTTGCGGTATGTAAAGAATTGTCACTTTCTTGGCTGGGTGCAGTGGCTCACTCCTGTAATTCCAGCACTTTGGGAGGCCGAGGCAGGCAAATCACCTGAGCTCAGGGGTTCAAGACCAGCCTGGGCAAAATGGCGAAACCCTGCCTCTACAAAAAATACAAAAACTAGCCAGGTGTGGTGGTGCATGTCTGTAATCCCAGCTACTAGAGTGGCTGAGGCGGGACAGTCACTTGAACCTGGGAGGCAGAGGTTGCAGCGAGCTGAGATCACGCCACTGCCCTCCAGCCTAGGTGACAGAGTGAGACTCCATCTCAAAATAAACAAATAAGTGAAAAATAGCCAGGCATGGTGGCAGGCACTTATAGTCCCAGCTACGTGAGAGGCTGAGGCAGGAGGATTGCTGAGCCCAGGAGGTGGAGGCTGCAGTGAGCCATGATTGCACCACTACACTGCAGCCTGGGTGGCAGAGTGAGATCTCACCGCTAAAAATAAATAAATAAATAATAAAAATAAAGGAAATGTTTAATGTTTTAAAAATTAAGCTTTAAATGGGGGACTAAAGGAAACTGAAAATATTTCACCCCAAAATGTACTTCTTTGATATATTCCCACAGGAATAACCCTGAAAAGCTGCCTTTTGTGGAGGAGACTTGCATCTGTAGAGAAAATCTACACTGGTGAAATAAACAACCAGGCTTTCTTGGAGGCACCCCCTTATCTGTACCTAGGAAATTATTAACTGAAAGTCTGACACCTACGAAGGTCTGACAGAGCAACTTAACACAGGCTCATGCCTATTCTTTCTAGGAGCTGCTATCTATGAAGTTTCATCTGCATAACTAGACCATCTTTGCCCCAGCCCCTTCTTTCTTTCTCCCTCCCATAACCATGTTCCAAGCCCCTACTCTGCTGTAACCTCAAGATGGTATAAAAGCATCAAGCATCTGGCCCTTTCTCTCAGTTTTCATATTTTGTATGACTCCCATGCCCATATGCTCATTAATACATTTGTAAGCTTTTCCCCCCTTGTTAATCTATTAGCAGTTTGTTTCATAGACTCAAATGATCAAAACTTTAGGGGAAAAAAATCAAATTCAAATTTCCCTAAAGTGGTCACACATCTGGCTAGTGGCAGAGGTGAATTTCAAATCCAGCTCTCTGTAAGGGCCAGTTACTACTGCATCACAATACAACTTATAAAGTGCTCTTACATATTCATTCAAGGTACTGTTGTTATTATTAAACTTGTTTGACTTGAAATAGGTTTACAAACAAAAATCAGCATAAACCACCTAGTTCAACATGTCTGAAAATGTAGCTTCAATATGGGATAATAAAATACAGAAGGTTCATTTGCATTTATTCGTTTTCCAACTTAATTTCAATGGAAAAGAGTAATTCATTTAGAATGTACAAATGGTATTAACGCTCACAATCTCTACTGCAGAAAGGACTCTGGTTAACATTTATAAAGTGGAAGGGGACCAAGTAAGTTTGCCAAAAGGAGGAATATGGAAATTCTGCCCACAGCCAGAACAATGGACATAGATTTGTCAAAACAAAGAACAGTAAAGAGAGGAAAGGCAATTTGTTCAGCCCTTGTAATGCTATTTTATGACTATTTTTCCAGTTGCTAGTTTCCTATTCACTTTAACAAAGAAAAAGATTAAACAAAAAATTTAACATTTTGCAAATTTATATTATCCTTTAGTAGAAGGAAAAATATTGTAAATGGTAAATTATAATATTCAAAGTCCAAACCGAGAAAACAATCTCCAGTCAGATCATTGAATAGCAAAGCGGTCTGTTCCAAAAAGAATCTTCAAAACGCCCACTGTTTATGTTTTGCACAACTTTAAAGTTTTAATGCTAATAATGACTCAATTTAAATGGAGATATCTTTAGGCTGTTATTGCCCTAAAATAATCAATATATTTTATGACTCACACAGCCCATCTTGGCTTCCAGACTGGCCTGTGGATATTATGTTAATAAGCTACATCTGGACAGCTGAGCAACAACATCAGTAATAGAAAGGAGGGTAAATTTAAGCCTCGAGTTTTAAGAACAAAGCTGAAACAACAGGCCTTGAAAATACAGCTACGGCCGGGCTCCATGGCTCACGCCTGTAATCCCAGCACTTTGGGAGGCCGAGGCGGGCAGATCACGAGGTCAGGAGATCAAGACCATCCTGGCTAACACGGTGAAACCCCGTCTCTACTAAATATACAAAAAAATTAGCCGGGCGTGGTGGCGGCACCTGTAGTCCCAGCTACTCGGGAGGCTGAGGCAGGAGAATGGCGTGAACCCGGGAGGCGGAGCTTGCAGTGAGCCAAGATCGTGCCACTGCACTCCAGCCTGGGCAACACAGCAAGACTCCATCTCAAAAGAAAAGAAAACACAGCTACGAAATAATGCCCAAAGCACTCTTTATTTATACATTGTGCAGGCTGCACACTTTTGTCCCTGGCTCACAGACGGGCAGTAGTGAAAACTGCTTTTCAGATACAAGGCTATAGGTATTAAGGATTACCTAAGTCCTTTCAAAACTTTCTTTTTTTTCTTTCTTTTTTTTGAGACTGAGTTTTGCTCTGTTGCCCGGGCTAGAGTGCAATGATGCCATCTCAGCTCACTGCAACCTCTGCCTCCCAGGTTCAAGCAGTTCTCCTGCCTCAGCCTCCCAGGTAGCTGGGATTACAGGCACGGGTCACCACACCTGGCTAATTTTTGTATTTTTAGTAGAGACGAGGTTTCACCATGTCGGCCAGGCTGGTCTCGAACTCCTGACCTCAGGTGATCCATCCACCTCGGCTTCCCAAAGTGCTAGGATTACAGGTGTGAGCCACCACGCCGGGCGTCAAAACTTTTGACTGCAAGTGCACAACATGTTTTTAAGGACTACCTAAATCCTTTCAAAAGTGGTCCTCAAAAACATGTTGTGCACTTGCATTCATAATAACGGTATTTCTTTCTTCCTGCTAAGCCAAATGCTGGTACAAGCCACTGTGGTATCACACATGGCTTCATCATACTATAGTCACCCTTCAAAGGACATTAAGTAGGCTTCCGCTCCTGATCTGTGCAGACACAACACACACACACGTATCCACGAAAAAAAATCAAAGCAAAGAGAGAAGGCTGGGTGCAGTGGCTCACACCTTTAATCCCAGCACTTTGGGAGGCCGAGGTGGGTGGATCAATTGAGGTCAGGAGTTCAAGACCAGCCTGGCCAACATGGTGAAACCCCATCTCTACTCAAAATTCAAAAACTAGCCGGGTGTGGGGGTGGGCGCCTGTAATCCCAGCAACTCGGGAGGCTGAGGCAGGAGACTCACTTGAGCCTGGGAGGCGGAGGTTGCAGTGGGCGGAGGTTGCAGTGAGCCGAGATAGCACCACCGCACTCCAGCCTGGGCGACAGAGCCAGACTACGTCTCTCTCTCTCTCTCTCAAACACACACACACACACACACACACACACACAGTAAACAGAGAGCACAAATTCACAGCTCCAACTCCACCAGTTATTCAAACACACATTAAGGATGTGCCAATTTTATATAGGGACTTTGTTTTTAAATTCTTCTTAGAAACGACCACGGCTTTGCACCAACTGTGAGTTTTAGCTAAGTACTATGCGGTTTTGAGAAAGTTATTTTACTCTGTAATTTCCGCCGGTTTGGAGAGACCGTGCGTAAAGCAGGTAGCCTGCCACCTCCTGTTACGTTGTGGCTGGGTTTTGAAGGAGTACATTCAGGGGCTTGGCGGCTAACGTCCAAGCCCCACCCTAGCAGGTTGTTAAACTCTAACAACTGTGGAAAGTCACTCGGAAGCTCCAGTTTGACTTGCCCTTTGAGGGGCTGGGTGTCTGTGTTGGGAAAGGGTAGCAGGGGTGGGGGTGGAAAGACACTTTGCACAGATCCTTGTTTGCTTAAGACGAGCCTCTGTGGGCATTCTGGGAACACGTGCACAGCTCCAGCAAAACAAAACGGACCCGGGTTTCTGGGGCAGAGGGAAGCGCAGCCCGTTCTACCGTGTTCAGCGGGGTAACTGCGCTTTGCGGGAGCCCCTGCCTTGTAGCTGGAGCTCGTTTCCTTTCCGTGCCTGGGCGAGCGCTGGTTCTCCAGCCAAGAGCACCCTCCCCAGTTGGCGAGCCCTGGCTCTGGGCGGGACCCGTGCCTGGATCCCCTTCTCTGGAGTTCCGCACCTGGGCTTCGGGAGCTGAAAGCGCAAGGGGGCTACAGGACCCGCTTGTTTATTTTTTCTCCTCCCGAAATCCTGTGTCACCTTCCGACCCGCGTTTTCCCCGTGGTCCTGCATCCGACGGGTCCAGGTTTCTCCCTGCAGCAATTTCCTAAGAGGCTGTCTTCCGTCCCCCTCCTTCCCCACACCATGCCCTCAGCTTCCCCACATCGCCCTCCTTAGGGGTGGGCGCAAACCGAGCTCCCCTGGAACTTACACGTGGCCACAGCGGGTCCGGACAGGCTGGTGTAACACCTCAAGGCACACGGCGCAGTCGAAGGACGTGACGGGCAACTCCGGGTCCCTCCTGCGCTCCAGGGCCCGCGCGGTGGCAGAGGCGGGCGCCGATTTGCCGCTGTCGGTGCTCAGCACGGAGCCCATCGCTGTGCCTCTCGCCCAGACAGCTGCGAAGCACTCAGTGCCTGCCGCAGGGTTGTTTTGTTGCCGTGCGGTGGAGGAAGGAAGTCCCGGCCCAGCTGCGATCGCCGCCTCCCAGCTCTCCCAGCTCGCGCAGCCCAGAAGCCACCTCCGCCGCTGCGCCCAACCCTGGTCTAGGGCAGGGCGAGCGCGCGGCCGCGGGGCTGAGATCTTCGGCAAGCCGCCTAGGTTAAGGCGCGGAGGCGGAGGCGGCAGCCGCCCCGTGCTCTGTCTTGTGGTATTGGGAGGATTGAAACCTGAAACCTCAACTGCAGAGAAGAGGACTTGAGGCAGCAGTAAACCTTCCAAGCTATCACACACAGCTGCTTTCCCCACTGTCAGAAGTTAAGTGCGGGCGTGGCCATGCTTAATGATAATCAGAGAACAGCCGCTTTTAAGGTGAAGTGGAAGACCATCCTCCACTGTTGTCATCACAATAAGCTGCAAAAATGACCTATGACCTATGATTGGGCGTCTCCTAAGACGGTGCTATCGCTACTCTGTCATCCAATCAATAGTCCATTAATGGAGAGATAGCCTGGGTAGTGGAAAGAGTCCTGGAGATTAGGATTCCAATCTTACCTCTCCTACAGAGATTCTAGTGCTAAACCCTGCCATCTCCAGTTTCCTCTGCGGCTCAGGATTTCCTCTGTTGTTTGTACGCTCCCCACCCCGCCCTTTAAACATGATCAGCCAGGCGCGGTGGCCCACGCCTGTAATTCCAACACTTTGGGAGGCCGAGGCGGGCTTGAAACTCCTGCTTGAGGGCAGGAGTTCGAGACCAGCCTGGCCAACATGGTGAAACCCCGTCGCTGCTAATAATACAAAAATTAGCCGGGCGTTAATTTACACTTTTTACGAAGACTTATTTAGTGCCCACTGCACGCCAGACTCGGTTCTAGTGATGAAGACACAATCGTCAACAAGCAAACAAAATCCCAGTTCTCACAGAACTTACTTTAAAAAACAAAAACAAAACTTTGAGATAATTATAGATTCACATACAGTTGTAAGAATAGTACATAGTATATAATACACATATACAATAATATATAATATAACACATGGGATATAATAACGCATATAATACATGTACGTATTTAGCAGGCCATAAACTTCACCCAGGCTTTACTTTTAATTAGGAGATATAGGCCGGGTACCGTGGCTCACGCCTGTAATTTCAGCACTTTGGGAGGCTGAGGTGGGAGGATCACTTGAGCACGGGAGCCAAGATCACACTACTGCACTCCGTCCTGTGCGACAGAGTGAGACCATGTCTCAAAAAACAAACCAAGCCGGGGCAGTGGCTCACGCCTGTAATCCCAGCACTTTGGGAGGCAAGAAGGACAGATCACCTGAGGTCAGGAGTTTGAGACCAGCCTGGCCAACATGGTGAAACCCTGTCTCTACTAAAAATACAAAACTTAGCTGGGTGTGAGCTACTTGGGAGGCTGAGGCACAAGAATCGCTTGAACCGGAAAGGTGGAGGCTGCAGTGAGCCGAGATCATGCCACTGCACTCCAGCCTGGGCAACAGAGGGAGACCCTGTCTCAAAAAACCAAAACAGGCTGGGTGCAGTGGCTCACGCCTGAAATCCCAGCAATTTGGGAGGCCGAGGCAGGTGGATCACAAGGTCAGGAGTTCAAGACCAGCCTGGCCAACATAGTGAAACCCCGTCTCTACTAGAAATACATTTCTTTAGTAAAAATTTTTGTACTAAAAATACAAAAATTAGCCAGGTGTGGTGGCACATGCGTGTAGTCCCAGCTACTTGGGAGGCTGAGGCAGGAGAACCACTTGCACCCAAGAGGTGGAGGTTGCAGTGAGCCGAGACCATGCCACTACACTCCATCGTGGGTAACAGAGCGAGACTCTGTCTCAAAAACAAACAACAAACAAAAGGAAGATACATGTAATCAATCCATAAACAAATGAACAAAATCATTTCAGATAATCAGAGCCATGAAGAAGATAAAACAGTAAATGGCAATGAGGAGAAGAATAAGCTCAGAGAAGAATTTTTGGATGAAGTGACATTTGAGCAGAGCCATGAATAATGAAAAGAAGTGAGCCATTCAAAGATTTAGGAAAAAGCGTGGACTGGGAACAGTGAATGAGGCAGAACCAAAGAAAGGAAAGACCTATGGAGCTGGAGCATGGGTGGTGGGGGGCAGGCGGTGGGGGGGGGGAAATAAGATGAAAAGGTAGTTATTCCCATCTTCAAAAGGAAAACAAAAACCTCCCTTTCATCCCACTTATGCCTCAACTCCTGCCCCATATCCGCTTCAAGGCCAAATCTCTTGATCTGATCCTCTACATTTTGTCATCATTTCTTAATTATTCACTTCTTATTCAGTCCAGTCTGGGTTCTGAACCAACCTCTCCACCTCCATCTGTCCAAAAACTGCTTTATTATCAGTGTCACTGGTGACGTTCATGTAACTAATTCCAATAGATTCTTTTCAGCTATTTTTTTTGCTTGACCCCTCAACTATGTTTGTTAGTGCTGACCATCCCCTCCTTCTGGAAACACTCTGACTTTCCCTCTTTCTTTCTGGCTATTGTTTCTTCTCCCTTGCCAGAGTCTCCTTCTCCACTGGCTCTGGGCTGGAGATCCTAGGATTCTGTCTTAGGACCTTTTCCCTTCTCCTCTCTCTCTCTTTCTCTCTTTCTCTTTCTCTCAAAAATCACACAGGTTCTGTCACTATTTCGGTTCCAAAAACTTTCACATCTTTATCTCTACCCCAGGCCATTCAAATGTCCAATAGCCTAATAGCTTACATGACTGACCATTTGACATAAACACCCTCAGCCCAATGTCTCCAATAATGAACTCATTATAGTAGCAGCCTCCTCCAGTGGTTGATCTCTCTTTTAGCAAATGGCACTATGATCCACTTTATAGCTCAGTCTAGACACCTGGAAGTCATCCTTGATTTCTTCCTCTTCCTCATTCACATTGAATCAAGCATAATCACAATCCTGCCTCCAATATGTATCTCAGTAGTTCTTTTTTTTCTGAGATGAAGTCTCTCTCTGTCGCCCAGGCTGGAAGTGTGCAGTGGCGCAATCTCAGCTCACTGCAACCTCTGCCTCCTGGGTTCAAGTGATTCTCCTGCCTCAGCCTCCTGAGTAGCTGGGATTGCAGGCGCATGCCACCACACCCGGCTAATTTTATTATATTTTTGGTAGAGACGGAGTTTCACCATGTTGGCCAGGCTAGTCGTGAACTCCTGACCTCATGATCCGCCTGCCTTGGCCTCCCAAAGTGCTGGGATTACAGGCGTGAGCCACCATGCTCATTTTCTTCTATTTCCATAGCCACCGCTTATTTTAAATCACTGCATTCTCTTGTGTGACTTAATGGCAGTAGTTCCTAACTGCTCTACCCGCATCCATCATTGCCTCTCTCCAGTTTATTATCCACATGGCAACTAAAGTGATCTTTTGAAAAGCAAACATCTTGTGTCACCCCATGCACAAAATCCTTTAATAGCTCTCCTAATCCTTAGGATTAAATTCCAAATCCTTAATATTATCTAAAAATTCCTGCAAGACTTACTTTTGATGGCAGGAATCAGAAATTCAACTAAAAGTGCCTCGTTCAGTAAGGATATTTATTATCGACCAGCTCAGTGGCTTACACCTGTAATCCCAGCACTTTGGGAGGCAGAGGCAGGCTGATCATGAGGTCAGGAGTTCGAGACCAGCCTGGCCAACGTGATGAAACTCCATCTCTAATAAAAATACAAAAATTAGCCGGGCATGGTGGCACACACTTGTAAGCCCAGCTACTCAGGAGGCTGAGGCAGGAGACTCGCTTGAACCCAGGAGGTAGAGGTTGCAGTGAGCCAAGATCATGTCACTGCACTCTAGCCTGGGGCAACAGAGCAAGACTCTGTCTCAAAAAAAAAAAAGATATTTATTATCGAATATGGCAAACTAGTCCAGGTGTAAACAGTTCCAGAGATGTCTCAGCAGCTCAATTATGTCCTCACAGCCTCAGCCCCTTGCCATCCTCAGCATGTCTCCCTTATGGCTGAAACAGTCAATTCTATACACAACCTCCAAAAACAAAAAGGAAAGGGTAAGATTTCCCCCTTGTAGCTCTCTCTTCTTTTACATGGGAGAAAAACGCTTCCTAGAGGCCTTCCTCTGCAGGCTTCCCTTCCTATCTAATTGGTCAAAATTGGGCACCATTGCCATCCTAAATCAGTCACTAGCAAAAGAGAATGGGAGCACTCTGATTGGCTTAAACTTATTATTTATTCCATAGGACTTGGCACCTCAGCTCTCTGAAACAACATAAATAGGGTTCTTATACCAAGAAAGGAGATGAGACAATTGGATGGACCAACAGTAAGGTTTCCCAAAGTAACTATTTGGGGGTCTTAGCTGCTTTCACTCTCCTCCCTATTTTTCAGGCTTCTAAATTTCTCTACTTATTTCAGTCCTTGAGTGTGTTAAGTTCTCTCTGACTCAAGGCCTTTATCCATGCTTTTATTTTTCTCTTGGACTTAACACTTCCTACCCAACATTCTGCCATTCATAACTAAACTTTCTCAAATTTTTGTGTTTTTGTTTTTGTCTTTGTTTTCCCTGAGATGGAGTCTCGCTCTGTCCTCCAGGCTGGAGTACAGTGCCACGATGTCAGCTCACTGCAACCTCTGCCTCCTGGGTTCCAGCAATCCTCCTTCCTCAGCCTCCTGAGTAGCTAGGATTACAGGTGTGAGCCACCACGCCCGACTAATTTTTGTAGTTTTAGTAGCAATGGGGCTTCACCATGTTGGCCAGGATGGTCTTTCTCTTTTGACCTCATGATCCACCCACCTCAGCCTCCCAAAGTGCTGGGATTATAGGCATGAGCCACCACCCTTGGCCAAATTTTGGGTCTTAGTTTAGAAATCTTTCTTTTCTTTCTTTCTTTTTTTTTTTTTTTTTTTGCTCTGCTGTCCAGGCTGGAGTGCAGTGGTGCCATCATGGCTCACTGCTGCAGCCTCAACCTCATGGGCTCAAACAGTCCTCCCACCTCAGTCCCCTGAGTAGCTGGGACCACAGTCATGTGTCACCACACTCAGCCAACTTTTGTATTTTTTGTGGAGACCGTGTCCCGATATGCTGCCCAAGCTGATCATGAACTCCTGAGCTCAAGCAATCCTCCTGCCTCGGTCTCTCGAGGTACTGGGATTATAGGCATGAGCCACAGTGCCTGGCCTTGGAAACCTTTCCAAATCACATTCATCTCATACTATCGTCTTAGTTTTTCATAGCCTGCTATATTTGCCTTCCTATGTGGCTACTCTGAGGGCTAGAGGACCTGGCATGTGAGAGGTGACAAATATATTCATATTTATACATGTCTTTCAATAATTATCTCACAAGGTGAATATTATTATTCCCATTTTATATGCTCAGATTATTTAACTTAGCAAAAGTCACATAGGAAATAAGTTGTAGAACCAGATTTTAATTCTAGATTGTCTTTTATTTTAAAAAATCTATGCATTTTTTCACTAAGGCTCTGCTGTAGAGATGAGAAGCATAAAAATTCTTAGAAAATAATAAAACAGTATTAAACAAAATGAGGCAGGCAAATGGGATATGGAAGGATAAAAGCATCGGATATAATAAGACTCTTTCATAGAAACGGGGTCTCGCCAGGCACCGTGGCTCATGCCTGTAATCCCAACACTTTGAAAGGCCAGGTGGGCAGTTCACCCGTCCCTACTAATAATACAAAAAAATTAGCCAGGCATAGTGGTGCATGCCTGTAATCCCAGCTACTTGGGAGGCTAAGGCAGGATAATCGCTTGAACCTGAGAGGCGGAGGTTGCAGTGAGCCGAGATCATGCCACTTCACTGCAGCCTAGGTGACAGAATGAGATTCCGTCTCAAAAAAAAGAAAAAAAGAAACAGGGTCTTGCCATGTTGCCTAGGCTGGTCTCGAACTCCTGGAGGCAAGCAATCTCTCTTTGGCCTTTCAAAGTGCTGGGATTGTAGGCGTGAGCCATCTCACCAGGCCAATAAGACTCCTAATAAATCTTTTCTTTCTTTCTTTTCTTTCTTTCTTTCTTTCTTTCTTTCTTTCTTTCTTTCTTTCTCTTTTTTTCTTTCTTTTTTTGGAGACGGGGTCTTTCTCTGTGATTCAGGCTGGAGTGCAGTGGCGCAATCTTGGCTCACTGCAATCTCCACTTCCCAGGCTCAAGTGATCCTCCCATCTCAGCCTCCCAGGTAGCTGGAACTACAGGCATACGCCAACATGCCCAGCTAATTTTTTGTATTTTTTGTAGAGATGGGGTTTCACCATGTTGCCCAGGCTGGTCAATCTTTAAACTTATAGATGACAAGGGTGATGATAACAGTGATGGTGATAGTGTCAGCCTGAGAATAAATTCACAATTCAGTTTCTAATCCCTGAAGTATATCAAAAGTATAGATTAGTACAAAGAAAATTTGAAAGGCCTATAATCAACATCCTGTCACCAAGAAGACTAATGTATCTCTCAACCAACCCAAAGGAAAGCAAAGCTACAGCTCTTTAAAACATCTAGAAAAATATGTACTTCAGTTATTTATTTCCACGGAGGGATGAAAAGAAATTAGTTTATAATTTGAAGCAGGGTTGAAGAAATGAGAAAAACATTCCTATATTCTTTGAAGTTTATTTATTAACAAAACCATTAGGAAACCCGAATGTTCATCATAGAGAAATGTTTTTGTAAAGTATGATAAATTCACTCAATGAATAGATAAAACAATGTTAAAAATGTTTGGCCCACCATTTTTAGGTCCATTAGAAAGTATTTCATAAAATAAAAAAAGTACGTAGACAAGATAACATATGGATATTTATTGTAGTGTTGTTTGTTATAGCAAAATATTAGAAACATTTTATTTTTGAGGCATTTTATTTATTTATTCATTTATGTATTTATTTTATTTTGAGACAGTGTCTCATTCTGTCATCCAGTCTGGAAAGCAGTGGCTCACACATCACTGCAGCCTTGGCCTCCTGGGCTGAAGCGATCCTCCTACTTCAGCCTCTTGAGTAGCTGGGACAACGGGCACATGCCACCATGCTCAGGTAATTTAAAAATTTGAAATTGTTTGTAGAGACACAGTCTCGCTATGTTGCACAGGCTGGTTTTGAACTCCTGGGTTCAAGTGATCCTCCTGCCTTCACCTCACAAAGCACTTGGATGACACTCATGAGCCACTGCAGCCAGCTAGAAACATTTTAAATATCCACCAATAGGTGACTGGTTAAATAAATTATGGCATCTCCAGATTGCTGTGAGCCGAGATTGCGCCACTGCACTCCAGCCTGGCAACAGAGCGAGACTCTGTCTCAAAAATAAATAAATAAATAAATAAATAAATAAAGGCATCTCCATACAATGGAATACTATGCAGCCATTAAAAAGCAAGGCAGCTTTATAGCTGCCCTAGAGAAACCCCTCTGAGATGTATTATTAAGTGAAAAAAGCAAAGTATACAACTCCATTTATTGCACACTATCATTGATTTTTTGAAAGACTATACATGTGCACACACATAGGTATAAGTGTTTATGTGTATGTATAACATATGTAGATGCACAGTATGTATATATACTGTTTATGCATGTTGATTTTTTGAAAAGATACATAAGAAATGAATAACTGTGGTTGTTGCTAGGGAGGGGAACTAGTTCCTGGGGAACAGAAATGAAAGAGAGACTTTTACTGTAGGATCTTTTGTGCATCTTGAAATTTATACTGTTTGTATGCAGTGCCAAGTTAAATATTAATAAATAAAAATTAATAATTTCAACCAGGCATAGTGGTATGTGCCTGTAATCCCAGCTACTCAGCTGGCTAAGGTGAGAGTGTTACTGAACTGAAACTGCCTTTGCAGAATTATGACTGAGACAGCAAAAGAGATTTAACTTAATTGACTCCATCTTGCTTCTAATCTCCAAGCTGTCCTTGTTCATTCCCTGGGCATAGGCTGAACTAACTTTGGGAAAAACTTAGTTTATAGTTTAAAACAAAGACAGTAACAGCCCATTCCCAAAGCAGACCTCCTTGCCTGGGGACTAGACTGCCTTTGTAGCACTAACATTAGCCACAAGTTTAGAAATTATGGTTTAGGAGTCATGCAGCTAGAGGCTACAAGATTCTGACCCTCCCTAAACTGCTCCTAAGATGAGTGCTTAAGACATTTTGCAGACTCTACACTTGATGGATCAGTTGGCACCACCCAGATCAATAAACTGGCTCATCTCATCTTGCAGCCCCACCCAGGAACTGACTCAGTGCAAGAAGACAGCTTCAACTTGCTATGATTTCATCTCTGACCAATCAGCATTCCTGGCTCACTGGCCTCCCCTCTCCGCCATCAAATTGTCCTTAAAAATTCTGCTCCCCAGGGAGACTGATTTGAGTAATAATAAAACTCTGGTCTCCCATACAGCTGGCTCTGCATGAATTACTCTTTCTCTGTTGCAAATCCCCTGTCCTGATGAATCGGCTCTGTCTAGGCAGAGGGCAGGGTGAACCCTTTGGGCAGTTACAAAACCAGGCCTGTTTTGCCCACACCACAGTAAGCCAACCATGAACATAATGAGTTTTGTAGCGGAGAAAGAATTTATTTATGTGGGCTGCCAAGCAAGGAGATGGGAGAACGGGTCTCACATCCGCCTCCCCAAAGATGGAGTTTAGGGACATTTATGGGCTAGAAGAGCAGGGTGGTCTAAGGTGTGGGGAAAGATAATTAGGCATAAGGAAAAGTGAGGTAATCAGTGTTCTGTAAAAGTGTAGTCTAGATTTTTGGTTCTTCATAGGATACATGATCAAAAAATGGCAGCATTGGCCGGGCAAGTGGCTCAGGCCTGTAATCCCAGCACTTTGGGAGGCTGAGGTGGGAGGATGACTTGAGCCCAGGAGTTTGAGGCTGCAGTGAGCTATGATCACAACACTGTACTCCAGCCTGGGTGATCCTGTCTCTATAAAAAAGAGAAAGAAAATAAAAGAAAAGAAAAGAAAAAGAAAGAAAGAAAGAGAGAGAAAGAAATAAATCGAGAGAAAGGGAGGGAGGGAGGGAGAGAAGGAAGGAGGGAGGAAGAGAGGAAAGAAGGAAGGAAGGAAGGAGGGAAAGAAGATAAAGAAGGAAAGAAGGAAAGAAGGAAAGAAAGAAAGAAAGAAAGAAAGGAAGGAAAGAAAGAAAGAAAGAGAGAAAGAGAGAAACATGGCAGCATTAGCATGATCTGAGGTGGAGCTCTCAGCCCTCTGATGTCAAAGGTCACCCATCAGACATGCGCGTAGGCCCAGTTGAAGGATCAGTGGTCCCACCTGGTTTGAGCTGAACCAAAGCTGATTCTATGTTCCTGAAAAACAACTTAGGCAACTATTACCTCTGTGACCCATACATCAGAGATGTTATTTATAGTAAGGCTGAAGGGGCCCTTTCTTTACAGAAGAAAAAAAAAAAAACAGCTAAAAGCAAGTGACATCAGTGTCAGGTTTGCCCTCAGCTTTAGGAGAATTGCTTGAGCCCAGGAGTTTGAGACCAGCCTGAGCAAAATAGCAGGACTCCAACTCAAAAATAAAAATAAAAATAAAAAATAGAGGGGTTGGGGAAAAGGGGAGAGAGAGAGCATTAGGACAAATACCTAATGCACGCGGGGCTTAAAATCTAGATGACGGGTTCATAGGTGCAGCAAACCACCATGGCACATGCATACCTATGTAAAAAACCTGCACATTTAGCACATGCATCCCAGAACTTAAAGTAAAATAAAATAAAATAAACATAATAATAACTTTTTTTTCTTTGAGATGGAGTCTCATTCTGTCACCAGGCTGGAGTGCAGTGGTGCAATCTCAGCTCACCGCAACCTGCACTTCCCAGGTTCAAGCGATTCTCCTGCCTCAGCCTCCTGAGTAGCTGGGACTACAGGGGCGTGCCACCATGCCCAGCTGATTTTTGTATTTTTAGTAGAGACAGGGTTTCACCATGTTGGCCAGGATGGTCTCGATTCCTTGACCTCGTGATCCACCCGCCTCAGCCTCCCAAAGAGCTGGGATTACAGGCCTGAGCCACCACGCCCGGCCTAATAATAACTTTTAACATACATGTACCCTTTAACTCAACATTTCTACTTCTTGAACTAATGTGTAGGCAAATGTGCACAAGGAGGTTTGAACAGAAATGTTGTTCTTTTTTTTTTCTTTTTTGAGACAGAATCTCACTATGTTGCCCAGGCTGGAGTGCAGTGGCATGATCTCGGCTCACTGCAACCTCCACCTCCCAGATTCAAGTGATTCTCCTGTCTCAGCCTCCCGAGTACCTGGGATCACAGGTGCCCGCCACCAAGCCTGGCTTATTTTTTTTGTATTTTTAGTAGAGACGGGGTTTCACCATGTTGGTCGGGGTGGTCTCGAACTCCCGACCTTAGGTGATCCAGCCCCTCCTCAGCCTCCCAAAGTGCTGGAATTACAGGCGTGAGCCACTGGTCCCAGCCTGTTGTTCTCTGAAACACTGTCTATAGTACCAAAAATATGCAAGCAACAAAATTTCTATTTATTAGAGGGATAATTAAATATATTACAGTGTAATATATTTAAAATATAAATATTAAATGCAGCAGTTAAAAAGAACTTTTCGGGGGGGCAATGGGGACAGGATCTTGCTCTGTCATCCAGTCTGGAGTGCAGTGGCTCACTGTTTCTGCAGCTTCAACCTCCTGGGCTCAAGCAATCCTCCTACCTCAGCCTTCAGAGTAGCTGGGACTAGAGGTGACTGCCACCACGCCTGGCTAAGTTTTTTATTTTTAGTAGAGACGAGGTCTCATTATGTTGCCTAGGCTGGTCTCAATCTCCTGGGCTCAAGCTATCCTCTTGTCCCAGCCTCCCAAAGTGCTGGGAATACAGGCATGAGCCACAGCGCTTAGCCTAACAAACAAAACTTTTGATAGCACTTAACTATGTATCAGGTATTATTCCAAGTGTTTTATATGTGTTAACTCATTTAATCATCATAATAACTCTATGAAATAGGTAACTAATATTATCTTCCTGCTTTTTACAGAGAAACAGAGGTACAGACAGTCTAAAAACTTGCCTCAGATTACATTTATGATAAAAAAAACAGCTGAGTTGAAGCCAGGAATTCTGACTCTAAATGTCAATGAACTTAACCCTTACGCAATATTGACCTTCTTCTATTTTTTCCAAGACATTGTTAACTAAAAAGAGATGTTACTGAAGAACACAAAAATCAGGCCAGGCATGGTGGTTCACACCTGTAATCCCAGCACTTTGGGAGGCCGAGGCTGGCAGTTCACCTGAGGTCAGGAATTCGAGACTAACCTGGCCAGCATGGTGAAACCCTGTCTCTACTAAAACTATAAAAAGTAGCCGGGCATGGTGGCGGGCACCTGTGATCCAAGCTACTAGGGAGGCTGAGGCAGGAGAATTGCTTGAACCTGGGAGGCAGAGGTTGCAGTGAGCTGAGATTGTGCCACGGCACTCCAGTCTGGGCGACAGAGCCAGACTCCATCTTAAAAAAACAAACAAACAAACAAACAAAAAAACTGTGGACAGCAGGCTTTGCTTGTTCCTGGCAAACCTGGAAGTGTGTCCCTTTTATAATTCTTTATATTCTTAAACTTAACATTAAATTACAGGTTAATTTGGAAAGAACTGCCATGTTTATAGTGCTGAGTCCATAAATAAGGTATATCTCTCTATTTAAGTGCTCTTTCAAATTCTTCAGTTTTTTGTTTGTTTTGTTTTGAGATAGGGTCTCACTCCTGCCCCCCAGGCTGGAGTGCAGTGGCGCAATCTTGACTCACTGCAACCTCCGCCTCCTGGGCTCAAGCTGTTCTCCTGCCTCAGCCTCCCGAGTAGCTGGGATTACAGGCACCCGCCACCACGCACAGCTAATTTTTGCATTCTTAGTAGAGACAGATTTCACCATGTTGGCCAGGTTGGTCTTGAACTCCTGACCTCAGGTGATCCGCCAGCCTTGGCCTCCCAAAGTGCTGGGATTACAGGAGTGAGCCATAGTGCATGGCCACATATACTTCTTATGGAGAAAAAAGATTCTATATTTCTCACTGAGGGAAGTCAATGCCCACACACTCAAGGCCACAGCTTTCTCTTGCTGAGTGTCCTTGGCAAGTTTTTTCTTTAGTCTTAGTTTCCCCATCTGAAAAAACACAGTGTTTACCTATAGAATTGTTGTGAGAGGTTAAATGCAATAGCAAGTAAATCCTTGAGTCATTGCCTGGTAGGTGGTGTTAAGTAAGTATCAGTTCTCTCTCTCTCTGACTTCAATCATTCTGAAAATATTCAATAAAAGCCTAATTTGTATTAAGCACCTCATTAGACATTGGGGGCACAGTCCAGAGCAAGGCCCAATGGAGTGAACCGCTATTGTTTTCAGCTGCCAAGCATCTCTTCACCTTCTTCTGTAACAACACCATACACCCTTCCTTTGGGGGAATTTTTCCTTCATCAAGCCAATATCCAACGGGTAGCATTTTGATTGATTACTATGAACTGTCTCAGGTGTCCCTGTGAAGAGAACACCACACAGGCTTTGTGTGAGCAACAAGGTTTTGGGATAGGTGGTGGAGTTAAGAGCAATGTTTTGGGCGCAGCGGTGGATCTCACAAAGTACATTCTCAAGGGTGGGGAGAATTACAAAGAACCTTCTTAAGGGTGGGGGAGATTACAAAGTACATTGATCAGCTAGGGTGGGGCAGAAACAAATCACAATGGTGGAATGTCATCAGTTAAGGCTATTTTCACTTCTTTTGTGGATCTTCAGTTGCCTTAGGCCATCTGGATGTATACATGTAGGTCACTGCGGATATGATAGCTTAGCTTGGGCTCAGAGGCCTGACATTCCTGTCTTCTTCTATTAATAAGAAAAATAAAATAAAATAGTGGTAAAGTGTGGGGGGGGCAAAAATTTTGGGGGGTAGTATGGAGAGATAATGGGCAATGTTTCTCAGGGCTGCTTCGAGCGGGATTAGGGGCGACATGGGAACCTAGAGTGGGAGAGATTAAGCTGAAGGAAGAATTTGTAGTAAGTGGTGATATTGTGGGGTTGTTAGAAGGAGCATTTGTTGTATGGAATTATTGGTGATGGCCTGGATGCAGTTTTGTGTGAATTGAGAAACTAAACGGAAGACACAAGATCCAAATAAAAGAAGGAGAAAAACAGGTATTAAAGGACTAAGAATTGGGAGGATCTAGGACATCTAATCAGAGAGTGTCCAAGGGGGTCCAAGGGGGTTTAGCGTAATTACTTGCTTGGTTGGCAAGTTTTCAGGCTCTATCTTTGAGGGTTTTTTTAATGTCGTCATATACCAGGACAGATTGATTTAGGGAAAAACAACACTCTTCATTTAAAAATATACAGAGTCCTCCTTTTTCAGCAATGAGTAAATTGAGGCCTTGGCAATTTTGGAGGAAAGAGAAATGCAAAGCCAGCAATTGTTTGTTAAAGAAGGATTAGAAATGGCTAGGAGACAGTGAGTGAGATTGATAGTGTGGTGGAGATAGCTGGGGAGAGGTAGAGGATGGCATAAGAATGGGAATGAGAATAAGAGTGAGTATAAAAGTAAAGAATAGGACTTCATCAGGGTGAAAGCTTTGGAGTATGTCCTGTCAGCAAAGATCATCTATCTACTCAAAGAGGGAGTCAAGAATGGAGGATTGGGGATAGATATTCATGATGGAAAGGAAATGAGAGGTTTTAAGAGGCAGGCTAACAGCTTGTAACCTACATGGAAGAGGTTATGAAATGATGACAGAATAGAATGGGCCTGTGAGGCTGAAAGGAGATATTTTCCTTGGTCCAAGAACCATTTGCCTTGTGTGGGAAGAAATTGATAGGTGGAAACTTCAGTAAGAGAGTAAATAGGAGTGACCAATGAGAAGGAGAAAAACTGGCCATGAGGGACAGAAGTTGGAAAGCTAGCTGCTTCTTTAGCTACCTTATCAGCATAAGTGTTGCCCTGAGTGATGGGATCTGATGCCTTCTGATGGCCCTTGCAGTGAATGACTCCAGCTTCCTTTGGAAGTAAAGCGGCTTTGAGAAGAGTTTTTATTAAAGAAGTGTTAATGATGGAGGAGGACCCTTGCATAGTGAGGAAATTTCTTTCTGCCCATGTAACAGCATGGTGGTGCAGGATATGGGAGGCATATTTAGAGTCAGTATAAATATTGATGCATATAGTCCCTTTGCAAGAGTGAGGGCCCAGGTTAAGGCAGTGAGTTCGGCTTGCTGAGAGGTAGTGGAGGGGGGCAGAGCGGTAGCCTCAATGATAGATGTGGAAGATACTATAGCATAGCCTGCCTTTGCTGGTGAGTGGCGATTAGGCCTGGTGGAACTGCCATCAATAAACCAAGTGTGATCAGGGTAAGGAATAGTAAAGAAGGAAATATGAGGAAATGGAGTGAATGTCAGATGGATCAGAGAGATACAGTCATAGGGGTCAGGTGTGGTATCCAGAATAACGTGGGAGGCCGGATTGAAGTCCAGGCCAGTAATAATGGTAATTGTGGGAGACTCAACAAAGACTGAGTATAGCTGAAGGAGCTGGGGGGCAGAAAGCATATGTGTCAAATGTGAGGAGGACAATAGATTTTGAAAGTTATGGGAACTGTAGAGAGTAAGTGGAGCATAGCTTCTGATTTTGAGAGTCTCTAAAAGTATTAAAGCAGCAGCAGCCACTGCATGCAGACATGAGGGCTAGGCTAAAACAGTAAGGTCAAGTTGTTTGGACAGAAAGGCTACAGGGCGCAGTCCCGGCTCTTGTGTAAGAATTCTGGCCACACAGCCCTGTACTTTGGCTGTGTGTAATGAAAAGGGTTGGGATGAGTTAGGGAGAGCTAGTGTGGGAGCAGCTTTTAGGGCTGTTTTTTAAGGAATGGAAAGGGGAGTGGGGAAAGGATTTAGGATGTATGGGGTCAGCTAGGTTTATCTAGAACAGAATGGGTTGTGGAGGGAGGTATTGAGGATAGGAGAGTATATTGGTTTGGCACCACAGGGTGGATAGGCAAGATAATTTGGTTGATAAGGCACAGATCCTGAACTAACCTGTAAGACTTGGCTGGTCTTTGGACAGGTAAAATGGGGGAATTGTAAGGAGAGTTTATAGGCTTTAAAAGGCCATGCTGTAACAGGCAAGTGATAGCAGGCTTTAATCCTTTTAAAGCATGCTGCAGGATGGGATATTGGCGTTGATTGGGGTAAGGGTGACCAGGTTTTAATGGGATGGTAAGGGGTGCATCATCTGTCGCCAAGGAGGGAGTAGAGGTGTCCTATACTTGTGGATTAAGGTGGGGAGATACAAGGAGAGGATGCGAAGGAGGCTTTGAACTGGGGGAAAAGGCGGCAATGAGGTGTGGCTGTAGCCCAGGAATAGTCAGGGAAGCAGATAATTTTGTTAAAATGTCTCGACCTAATAAGGGAGCTGGGTAAGTGGGGATAACTAAAAAGGAGTGCATTAAAGAATGCAGTCCAAGTTGGCACCAGAGTTGGGGAATTTTAAGAGGTTTAGAAGCCTGGCAGTCAATACCCACAACAGTTATGGAGGCAAAGGAAACAGGCCCTTGAAAAGAAGGTAATGTGGAGTGGGTAGCCTCCGTATTGATTAAGAAGGGGATGGACTTACCCTCCACTGTGAGAGTTACCCAAAGCATCCGTGATGGTCTAGGGGGCTTCCAAGGCGATCGGGCAGCGTCAGTCTTCAGCCACTAAGCCGAGAAGATCTGGGAAGGAGTCAGTCAGAGAGCCTTGGGCCAGAGTTCCAGGGGCTCTGGAAGTGGCTGCCAGGTGAGTTGAACAGTCCGATTTCCAGTGGGGTCCCGCACAGATGGGACACAGCTTAGGAGGAATCCCAGGCTAGGGGCATTCCTTGGCCCAGTGGCCAGATTTCCGGCACTTGAAGCAAAATCCTGGGTAAGTTGGTCCTGGAGGAACGCCTGACCACTGCAGTTCAGACGTTTTGAAGTTCCTGTGTGCTGGAGATGTGGCTGGGGTTTCTCTCACAGTGGAGGCACGTAATTGCAACTCAGAAATAGTTGAAACTTGGCTGCCTCTACTCTATTATTGTACACCTTGAAGGTGAGGCTAATTAGGTCCTGTTGCGGGGTTTGAGGGCTAGAATCTAATTTTTGAAGCTTTTTTCTAAAGTCAGGAGCTGACTGGGTGATAAAATGCATATTAAGAATAAGGCGGCCTTCTGGCCCCTCTGGGTCTAGGGTGGTAAAGCATCTAAGGTTGCCACTAAGCAGGCCATGAACTGGGCTGGGTTTTCATCTTTACCTTGGGTAGTTTCTTTAAGTTTGTCATAATTAACAGCTTTGTAAGCTGCCTTTTTAAGCCCTTCAACTAGGCGGGAAACCATGTAATCTCGCCTAGCTATACCTGGGGAATCTGCCTGATAGTTCCATTGGGGATCTTCTCAGGGAACTGCTCTAATGCCTTCCTGGAGGTCTGGCTCATGAAGCCGGCGGTTGTCAGTGTGAGATTGGGCTAGAGAAAAAACTCTTTCCCATTCATCTGGGGAGGGGGTAGAAGTTAGGATGACATTTAAGTAACTCTAGGTTAAATTGTAGGACAGAGTTAGATATCAGAATTCCTGTATATATTTAGTGGGGTCTGATGAGAAGGAGCCTAAATGCTGACTGATCTGAGAGAGGTCTGATAGAGAAAAAGGCACATGTACCCTGACTATGCCTTCAGCTCCAGCCACCTCTCCAAGAGGAAATTGTTGGGCAGGTGGGGGAGGGCTAGTCGCAAAACGAAACTGTAAGCCAGGCCTGGGTGTTGGGAGGGGAGGTGATAGAAGGATTATAGGATTGGGGAGCAGAGGCTGAGGAAGAACCGGGACCTGGCAGCAGCCTGGGGAGAAGGGGAGAGGTCAGATGAGTCCATAGAAAAGGATTCAAAGGACTCAGAGCTTGGGGTGGAGATTGAAGGAACAGACAGGAGAGAAAGAAGAAAGATTTGGGACGAGTCACATTGGGAGCAGAGACTAGGGAGGGACCGACATGTAAAAGAATGCCTGGACGTCAGGCACCTCAGACCATCTGCCCATTTTTCGACAAAAATTATCTAGATCTTGTAGGATAGACAAATTGAAAGTGCCATTCTCTGGCCACTCGGAACTACTGTCAAGTTTGTATTGGGGCCAAGTGGTATTGCAGAAGAAAATAAGATGCTTAGACTTTAGGTCAGGTGAGAGTTGAAGAGATTTTAAGTTCTTGCAAACACAGGCTAAGGGAGAAGAAGGAGGAATGGAGGGTGGAAGGTTGCCCATAGTGAAGGAGGCAAGTTTAAAGACAAGGGTAGAGACATGGAGAAGGGGGTGGGTGAGCAGCCCTGGGCTGCAATGTGGGTGAGCAGCCAAAGCAGACGTCCCTGCAATTGATTTGCCACCAAGGGAATATGGGTGAATGATGAAGGCAGGCATTCCTGCGGTGATCAGACACCAATGAAATGCGGGTGAATAATCAGGCAGGCATCCCCGCAGTGATTAAACACCAAGCGAAGACTGTCTTCCCAAGTCTGTGACCAGCACCGGAGTTTTGGGTCCACAGATAAAATGTGTCTCTTTTGTCTCTACTAGAGAGGAAAAAGAACTGGAATTGGAAGGACAGGGAGATTGAAGGGTAGCGAGAGAGGAAGACTGAAGGGTAGCGAGAGAGGCTGGAGAAGAGTAAAAAGACCACTTACCCGATTTGAAATTGGTGAGATGTTCCTTGGGTTGGTTGGTCTGAGGACCCGAGGTCATAGGTGGATCTCCTCACAGAGTGAGGGCGAGGACGGGGGACCGGTCTCCTGAAGGAGTCCCCCTGTCCTGGGTTTCGGCACCAAATGTCTCACGTGTCCGTGTGAAGAGACCACCAAACAGGCTTTGTGTGAGCAACAAGGCTGTTTATTTTACCTGGGTGCAGGCTGGCTGAGTCCGAAAAGAGAGTCAGCAAAGGGTGGTGGGATTATCATTAGTTCTTATAGGTTTTGGGATAGGCGGTGGAATTAAGAGCAATGTTTTGGGGGCAGGGGGTGGATCTCACAAAGTACATTCTCAAGGGCGGGGAGAATTACAAAGAACCTTCTTAAGGGTGGGAGAGATTATAAAGAACCTTCTTAAGGGTGAGGGAGATTACAAAGTACATTGATCAGTTAAGGTGGGGCAGAAACCAATCACAATAGTGGAATGTCATCAGTTAAGGCTATTTTCACTTCTTTTGTGGATCTTCAGTTGCTTCAGGCCATCTGGATGTATATGTGCAGTTCACTGGGGATATGATGGCTTAGCTTGGGCTCAGAGGCCTGACACGAACCACACACAATGTTAAATGTAATGTATGTGTACGTATGCATGTGTATATTTCAGTGACATAACAATGACTTGTTGAGGCTGCCACTGATAGTCTCCACTTTTTGTCCTTCATGGCCCTCCTCTGACATGGGTAGGAGTTCCTATTGCTATGACCTGCAGCTTCCCCAGTGTCTGCCCTTTGTAAGCATAGTTGAAATACTTCTTTTTTATCTCTTAGCTATGCAGCATCTCACCAATACTTCTTTCTTCAGATTTGAGTTCTGTTGCCTGCAACCAAACTAACCGACACATTTATCCTGTCCTCAAGACTTTCATGGCCTATTATGTGATATGTATAGAAAAATAGTCCTTGAGGCCAGGTGCGGTGGCTCGCGCCTATAATCCCAGCACTTTGGGAGGCCGAGGTGGGCGGATCACCTGAGGTCAGGAGTTCAAGACTAGCCTGCCCAACATGGAGAAAGCCTGTCTCTACTAAAAATTCAAAATTAGCTGGGCGTGGTGGCACATGCCTGTAATCCCAGCTACTCGGAAGGCTGAGGCAGGAGAATCTCTTGATTCCGGGAGGCGGAGGTTGTGGTGAGCTGAGAACACACCATTGCACTCCAGCCTGGGCAACAAGAGCGAAACTCTGTCTCAGGAAAAAAAAAGAAAAATAGCCCTAGCATTTATAATTCAATATGATAAGACTGATGATACAGATCTACAAAGAGAAAGAGCAGCCATGTTAACTTAGTTCAGGGGATGTAATGAAAGGCAGGAAGAAAGAAGGAACATTCTAGATAGAGAGGCCTGGAAAGAAAAGACAGGAAGAGGCCGGGCGCAGAGGCTCATGCCTGTAATTCTAGCACTTTGGGAGGCCAAGATGGGTAGATTGCCTGAGGTCAGGAGTTTGAGACCAGCCTGGCCAAAATGGTGAAAACCTGTCTCTACTAAAAATACAAATATTAGCCAGGTGTGGTGGCAGGTGCCTGTAATCCCAGCTACTCGGGAGGCTGAGGCAGGAGAATTGCTTGAACCTGGGAGGTGGAGGTTGCAGTGAGCCGAGATTGTGCTACGGCACTTCAGCCTGGGCGACAGAGCCTAGATCACGCCATTGCACTCCAGCCTTGGCAACAGAACAAGACTCCGTCTCAAAAAAAAAAAAAAAAAAGAGAAAAGAAAGGAAGGGAGGGAGGGAGGGAGGGCATTCCAGATAGAGGGGACCTGGTCAGCCCAGACAAGGAGACCAGAAGCAGCAAGCTCTGTTTGCAGAGACTGCAAACAGTTCCTTGTTGCTGGAATTTTAAGCACACGGCACTCAGTGGGGAGAGAATAAAACTGGAGACCTAGGCAGAGAAGTCATTAAAGCTGTATTTGACAGGTTAAAAACTTTCAACTTGCTTCTGTGGCTTTGTGGAGCCCATTAAGGGTTTAGGTAGAAGAGGGAGAGAGCCATACCTACAACTTTGACAAGTCATTCAGTTTAAGTCAAGGGTTCTCAAACTTTATCTTGCATCAATCACCTGAGGAGCTTGTTAAAATGGCCCCATTCTGAGATATTTCAATTCAGTGGGTCGGGGTGAGCTGCAAAAGCTACATTTTTTAGCAGTTCCTGGTTGATTCTGGAGGGGTCAGCAGACCATTCTTTGATATATACGGTCCTACGTGATGGACCACAGCAGACTCTGCAGGTTACTTTGACAGCAGGAGGGACGTCAGGTGGCAGGAGGGAGTTACTCACATTTATTCTAGTGTCTTCTGCCCACAACTCTGCCTCCTCACTACTGGATGACATTACACTGGTTAAATATCCTGGCACTGAAACATAGATATTTCTACAGTTAATAAGATAATTTTTAAAAAATTCTTATCTATAAACCTATTGAGAGTAATAAAGCTTCACAGTATTCTACAGAAATACAAACATCTGAGATATGAATGTGAAAAGCACACCTCCTCAATCCGAAGCAACATTTGATGGTAAAACAAGGCACCATCTCTTAAAGCCAGAAGGACATAATCGCAAATAAAATTCTGCTGAATGAAGGATTTATGAGTTCACCCAGGTAAGACAGCCAAGAACCTGAATCTTCTGCCTTGATTTTGGCACAATTGGATTTTCAAACTTGCATATTGCCCTCAGTTTTTCTGCTAGCCAATCTCATTGCTATTTGTTGCTAGGCCCCCCAGATAGCATACTGGGGGCAGCTGTCTTCTTGACATTCTGACCATTGCAGCTTACTTCAACTGTGGGCAGTCACATTACAGCATACCTTCAAAGCATGCTGTCTTCTTCCAGGAATAACCCAGTGAATATTTCAGCAGCTGTCAGTTGGCAACAAAACTGGGTAATGTTTGCCAGGCGTGGTGGCTCATACCTGTAATCCCAGCACTTTGGGAGGCTGAGGCGGGCGGATCACCTGAGGTTGGGAGTTCGAGACCAGCCTGACCAACAGGCAGAAACCCTGTCTCTACTGAAAATACAGAATTAGCCAGGCGTGGTGGTGTATGCCCTGTAATCCCATCTACTCGGGAAGCTGAGACAGGAGAATCGCTTGAACCTGGGAAGGGGAGGTTGTGGTGAGCCGAGATTGTGTCATTGCACTCCAGCCTGGGCAACAAGAGCGAGACTCAAAAAACAAAACAAAACAAAAAAACTGGGTAATGTTTGAATCAACTCCACATTTGGGGTGTTCTAGCTCAATATGCATGAAATCATGGCATATTTAGAATGGGAAAAGTCAAAAAGGGCATCTGACCCAATTCTCTAATTTTGCAGAGAAGCAAACTGACTCTCAATGAGGTGAAAGCATATTGTATCTGGAATATTACATCCTTCAACTTTCCAGATCAACACATTTGAAATAAAAATTAAGTCATTAAGTACAGTACTTAGAAAGCACTAGCCTATGTAGAAGGGATGTAACTTATTTGGTAAGGTAAAACCACAAATGGTAAAAACATTTAAAAAAATAAACTATTTAAATAGTAGTTTAAAACAAAATTAGCCTGGGCGTGTTGGCTCACGCCTGTAATCCCAACATTTTGGGAAGCTGAGGTGGGAAGATCGCTTGAGCCCGGGAGTTTGAGAACAGCCTGGGTAACAGAGTGAGACCCTGTTTGTACAAAATGTTTTTTTAAAAATTAGTTGGGGCTAAGTTTGCATCATGAGGCTGCATTGAGCCCTGCTCATGCCACCCTACTCCAGCCTGGGTGACAGAGCGAGACCCTGTCTCAAAATAAATAAATAAATAAAACAAAATTAGAAGCAATATAACAAAGCAGTCCATGGGTGATTAATTGCAGGCAATTAAAAGATCTTTTTGTAATTTTTTTTTTTTTTGAGACAGAGTCTCGTTCTGTCTCCAGGCTGGAGTGCAGTGGCACAATCTCAGCTCACTGCAACCTCTGCCTCCCAGATTCAAGCGATTTTCCAGCCTCAGCCTCCCGAGTAGCTGGGACTAGAGATGCACACCACCACGCCTAGCTAACTTTTGTATTTTTAGTAGAGACAGAGTTTCACCATGTTGGCCAGGATGGTCTCGATCTCTTGACCTTGTGATCCGCCCACCTTGGTCTTCCAAAGTGCTGAGATTACAGGTGTGAGCCACCGTGCCTGGCCTTTTTGTAATTTTTTAATTTTTTACTGCACAACACCAACAATTATATCAATAGTTTTCTATTGGACATTCTTCTATTACCTACACAACTAACCATCTTTTGTCATTTTGTCACAGAAGAATGTCAATGCTTCGGACTTTACTTTCTTTCTTTCTTTTTTTTTTTTTTTGAGATGAAGTCTTGCTCTGTCGCCCAGGCTAGAGTGCAGTGGTGCCATCTTGGCTCACTGTAATCTCTGCCTCCGGGGTTCAAGCTATTCCCTCGGCCTCAGCCTCCCGAGTAGCTGGGATTACAGGTGCCCGCAACTATGCCCACCTACAGACTTTACTTTCAGATAATGTGATTGCTTCCTGTGCTGACACTATAAGTAAATAATGGGTTAATTCTACCCTAAACATAAGTCTTGTCGGAATAAAAACTCAACAAAAATTTTAAACTGAACTACAGGGTTTGTGGCACACATAAGACCTAACTCAGAAGTGATTTTTTTTTTATACAGCATAGCAGTGCCCTTTTTCTAGCTTGTCTCTGTGTTATCGAAGTGAATAAATGAAGAAAAAAAACTAAAACAAAAGATTCTAAGTCAGCAGTTGCAGAGGTAAGAGAAGAATCATTGTTTCCTTCACTTTAAGTCCCCGGAGAGTCCTCCCTCAGGAAGTACGGTGGAAAAATCAATGCCAGATGGCGCTCAAGGAGATGCTGCTAATGGTTCTGCTATTGTTAAACCCCCTGTGGAGAAAATTCCCTCACAGTTAATCAATACAGTAATGCAGCTCTACAGACTTTCCATCTCAGGAACCACTGACCTCCATCATAGGTGACCACCCGGCTCAGCGTCACCCCACAGGCCCCAGCAAAAACTATATCTTACGGTACCAATAATGTATAACTTGGTTCAGACGAAGCAGCAGAAATATCCCCCCCTTTCTACCTTTTATTTGTTTTTAAATGGTATTTTAACCAATTAAGGAAAATTTATAAATAATACCAGCTACTGCTTGTAAGGCACTCATTATGTACCAGTATGGTGCTGAGCATATTACATCGACTCACTCATTGCATCCTTAACTTTTGGACAGGTGTTATCTTCATTTACAGTTAAATAAATGGTACAAGGCTATGCAGCTTGTGGGTGGTGCAGCTGGAATGCAGATGGGGTGGCGGGGGGTGAGTGTGACAACAAAGTTTTAGTTTTTTATCTGCTGCATTATGTTTTCTTTTCTTTTTTTTTTTTTTTTTTGAGACGGTGTCTTGCTCTGTCGCCCAGGCTGGAGTGCAGTGGTTCCATCTCAGCTCACTGCAACCTCCACCTCCCAGGTTCAAGCGATTCTCCTGTCTCAGCCTCCCCCGTAGCTGGGATTATAGGCGCACTCTACCACGTCTGGCTAATTTTTGTACATTTTTATTTTGAGATGGAGTTTCGCTCTTGTTGCCCAGGCTGGAGTGCAATGGCGTGATCTTGGCTCGCGGCAACCTCTGCCTCCCGGATTAAAGCGATTCTCCTGCCTCAGCCTCCTGAGTAGCTGGGATTACAACCATGCACCACCACGCCCAGCTAATTTTGTATTTTTAGTAGAGACGGGGTTTCTCCATGTTGATCGGGCTGGCCTCGAACTCCCGACCTCAGGTGATCCGCCCACCTCAGCCTCCCAAAGTGCTGGGATTACAGGCGTGAGCCACCAGGACTAGCCAATTTTTGTATTTTTAGTACAGATGATGTTTCACTGTGTTGGCCAGGCTGGCCTCAAACTCCTGACCTCAAGCAATCTGCCCGCCTCGGCCTCCCAAAGTGCTGGGATTACAGACGTGAGCCACCACGTCCAGCCTGCATTATGTTTTCTGTTCTAAAATACAAAATTTAAAAGAATAACCTCATAAATAATTTCATAACTTTGATAAATGCTTTCGTTTTCTCATATTCCCTTTCGTTGTTGTTCAAGTGTATATTGCTAAGAACTTCTTTTCTCTTTATTGTTCTCCACTCCTGCTCTATCCGTTTGGTACAGCAATAGTACCCACTTTCCTAGAAGTGGCCTTCAACCCGACACCCCTTCATCAGCCACCAGCCACTGTTCATTAGTTCAAGCATGGCTACCTCACCCAAGCTGGGCTAAGTTTGTTCTGTAGGAATTTCAAAATTCAGACAGAGAGATTTCAAAAGTTAGAGAGGAAGGGAGGAAGAGAGGGAGAGAAAATAAATCAGTCTCTCTGCATTAGCTGTAACACGGAAAATTCAAAAGCTGTGTGTAGTTATGTTCTTAATTGTGGACTGAAGAACAAAGAAAGCCTTTTTGGCAGTAAGAAAAAAGGCACTGCAAAAAGATGAAGAAAAAGGACTCTTGAATTCCTTACAATTGGCTTATTCCAGAGGCCAGGCTGTGACTCTGTCCTTGGATTCCATGAAATGTTCCAATTTTCCAAAAAAGTTATCTCTTTTGCTTAAGTTAGCTACTATTTACTCTTGTTACTTGCAATCAAAAGCATCCAAATTAATACTTTTTTAAATGCTGTAAACATTTTCTCAATGGTCTGGAGGGGAAAGGGTTGGAGTGAAGTCTGAAGATGCTCCTTCTCTCCGCCAAAAGGGGAGATAGTCCAAGTCATGCTGACTTAAATGGTGAGGAGACTTAGTGGTTCAGGAAGCTACGAGTCCGGAGGAAGTGCAGGTTTCTGGGATGACTTATTCCAGGGACTCTAGCACCATTTCCCTGCTGTTCTTCTGATTTGCCTCCTCCATGTCCACCTCATCCTTGGGCAAGTGGTGAGATAACTGCTGCCTATGAGTGCAAGGAAACTTTTCCAATGTTCCCCAGCACATTTTCATTGGGCTGAATTCTTTTTTTTTTCTTTTTTTCTTTTTATTTTTTGAGACAGTGTCTCACTCTGTCATCCAGGCTGGAGGGCAGTGCTGTGATTTTGGCTCACTGCAACCTCTGCCTCCTAGGTTCAAGCAGTTCTCCTGCCTCACCCTCCCAAGTAGCTGGGATTATAGGCACCTGCCACCATGCCTGGCTAATGTTTGTATTTTCAGTAGAGACAGGGTTTCACTATGTTGACCAGGCTGGTCTTGAACTCCAGACCTCAGGTGATTCACCAGCCTTGGCCTCCCAAAGTGCTGGGATTACAGGTGTGAGCCACCATGCCCAGTCTGGTCCTGATTCTTGTAGTAATTCCTGTGACCAGGGTACAGTCATGTGCTGAGGTTAGGCCCTGAACTAGCATCTGGTAAGCAGGATGGAGATGCATCAGGGTCACTTTCTGGAAGGATGTAGCTGCCACTCTAGGGCCTGGCAGAATAGATGACGGAGATTCTACCACAATGTCACCTTGGGCTCAGCCAGGGGTTTGTTATCTGCCTTACACATGCCCCTTCCCCTTCCTTACTGAGAAGGAATACGTATGGTATGAATAGTGCGGGCTGTGAAGGCAGAGTGCCTGAGATTTTTCAGATTCTTGGCTTTCCTCTGGGTCTTTTTCCGGTTCTCAGCAGCAGCTGCCCCTGTCCCATTCTTCGTTTAAAGGAGACACTGGAGTCTTTGGTCTGTGTTAAGGAGACTGTGCTCCCCGTAACCTCTACATGGCCAATGACTGCCCCTTCCGAGACAGCCCAAGAAGCTAGGGGTGAGCCGGGGAACGCCTAGAGTCGGTGATGCTGTTGGCCATGGGCAAGCTGAGCCCACTGCCACATTTTATCTGGTCTGCACCTGCTTCTTACAGCAACTTGATATTTTTCTTGGCCTTGAATTTCTCTGTAGTGGTGCTGGGTGCAAGGTGTTGGCATGTCATGAATACTATCTAAGTGTCTCCAAGATACTAAAGAGTGCAGTACTCTGCAAACAGATTGCCTAGGCTTGGATCCTAGATTTGGCAGTTACCAGCATGTGAACTTGGACAGCTTAACTGAACCTTTCCGTGCCACATTCTTTCCATCCATAAAACAAAATTAATAATAGCATGTACCACATAGGGCAGTGAGAATTAAGTGAGTTAATATATGTAAAGCATTTTGAAGAGTGGTTGGCTCATAATAAGTCCTAAGTATTTCCTAACACATTATTACTATTATTGTTATTATTATTATTTTTTTTTTTTGAGATGGAGTTTTGCTCTTGTTGCCCAGGCTGGAGCGCAATGGCATGATCTTGGCTCACCACAACCTCCGCCTCCCAGGTTCAAGCGATTCTTCTGCCTCAGCCTCCCGAGTAGCTGGGATTACAGGCATGCGCCACCACGCCTGGCTAATTTTGTATTTTTAGTAGAGATGAGGTTTCTCCATGTTGGTCAGGCTGGTCTCAAACTCCTGACCTCAGGTGATCCACCTGCCTTGGTCTCCCAAAGTGCTGGGATTACAGACGCAAGCCACCGCACCCAGCTTCCTAACATTATTATCATTATTATGTATTATCTTAGGTTGCATTCCTAGGAAATAGACTTTTTTTTTTCTTAGATGGAGTCTCACTCTGTCGCCAGACTAGAGTTGCAGTGGCGTGATCTTGGCTCACTGCAACCTCTGCCTCCCGGGTTCAAGTGATTCTCCTGCCTCACCCTCCAGAGTAGCTGGGACTACAGGCGTGCGCCACCACATCCAGCTAATTTTTGTATTTTTAGTAGAGACGGGGTTTCATCGTGTTGGCCAGGATGGTCTCTGTCTCTTGACCTCATGATCCACCCGCCTTAGCCTCCCAAAATGCTGGAATTACAGGCATGGGCTACTGCACCTGGCCTGAGATAGACTTTTTAATATTAACTTTTTTTAAAATTAGAGACAGGATCTTGCTATTTTGCCCAGACTGGAGTGCATTGGTGTGATCACAGCTCACTGAGCCTCAAACTCTTGGGCTCAAGTGATCCTCCTGCCTCAGCCTCCTGGGTAGCTGGGATGACACGTAGTTAGACCCTGAGATAGGGATTTGGGTGTAGTAAGGTTATTGGGTAGTACTTTTGGGATCAACCACTGTGAATAAGAGAAAGAAGCAGGATTGGGCAGAGAGAGGGGTTGAACAGTGATGCAGATGCCACAGAGGCCTCAGCCTATCCCCACGGGAGAGGTGCAGCAGGGATGACACTTGAGGCCTTTGTACCACTCATCATTCCACACTTCTGTTTCCCTATTTCCCTGAGAGTATGTTGGGTGTAGGCTTTCCCTGAGGACAGGTATAATTTGGAGACATGACAATTCCTAGAGGGGGACTTGGCTGTGGGCCATTAGCCGACTTCACTCCTGGCAGTTGGCAGGAATGAGTGCTTTGGTCATAACCCCGCTTATATGAGACGCATTCACCTAGAAGTCAACCCAAAGACCCATCTAATTGTGATACCAGCACCAAGCTGAGCAATCTGGGCATTGTGTTGTCATGTTTATCAGTCCTGGCTATAGCTTCTCAGAATGATAACTTACCTTCCAACACCCCAGTACTCAAAGAACAAGATTACTGTTAAAAAGTTGGAAAATAGGCCAGGCACTGTGGGACGTGCCTGTAATCCCTGCACTTTGAGAGACTGAGGTGGGTGGATCATTTGAGGTCAGGAGTTTGAGACCGCCTGGCCAACATGGTGAAAACTCATCCCTGCTAAAAATAAAAAAAATTAGCCAGGCATGGTGGCATGCACCTGTAATCCCAGCTACTCAGGAGGCTGAGGCAGGAGAATTGCTTGAGCCTGGGAGGCAGAGGTTGCAGCGAGCTGAGATCACGCCACTGCACTCCAGCCTGGGTGAGAGAGTGAGACTCTGTCTTAGAAAAAAAGTTAGAAAATAAGAGACTGGGCAACAATACACACTGTCCACTCTTCCAGAACACATACCACATCCTGTTGGACAGGAATAGCAAGAGCTCTGTGACATGCACAGGGTTGAGGCCCTTGATTAACCACACTGGCAGTCTCAGGCAGTACCTCTGAGAAGATTGCCCTTTCTATTCCCCTTATTGAGCCCTAGTTCTGTCTTCTAGAAGTTTTTCTTTTATCCCATGTCCTTGTCCATATTTGAACATCAGCATAGATCCTCTTCTAACATCAATATCTATTAAGCAACTTCTTCCCTGATGACAGACTTTCCAGGTCATGGAGATTACCTGAGAACTGAATGGTCATAAGATGTTCAAAATGACACTTTCTTTTTTTTTTTTTTTGAGACGGAGTTTCGATATTGTTGCCCAGGCTGGAGTGTAATGGCACAATCTCGGCTCACTGCAACCTCCACCTCCGGATTCAAGCGATTCTCCTGCCTCAGCCTCCCAAGTAGCTGGGATTACAGGCACATGCCACCACGCCCAGCTAATTTTGTATTTTTAGTAGAGACGGAGTTTCTCCATGTTGGTCAGGCTGGTCTCGAACTCCCGACCTCAGGTGATTCGCCCGCCTCAGCCTCCCAAAGTGCTGGGATTACAGGAGTCAGCCACTGCTCCTGGCCCAAAGTGACACTTTCAAAAAGTCCTAACAAATTTATCTTATTAATCTGAATCAGGTTATATACAGTCTCAAAATAAGAATGGTCTAAATAATTTAGGCCTGGGATCCTGAAGTAATAATTGGGGAATGGAATGGATTTATCTAATTGGGGCACATCCCTGTAACTGTTCCCTGTTTCTCAATAATTTGGCTTAAAAAATAGTAAATGAAGTAATGGATATTGAAGAATCATCTATACATTGCTCCATTAGTGACTCAACTGGATTGACTGGTTTGATGGGCAAGATATATAAAGCATGGACAAATTTGGAAAATTTTGCAGTATAATCTCCTCCAATTGTACTCAAGAATCCGAAACTGTTCTTTCAGCCAAAACAATTGCTAAAGAGACATAATTTATTCTAGAATATAGTTTAGAGATAAATGTTTAACAGGTGATTATTAGTGGCCAAGAGAGGCAATTATCAAATTAATTTATTTGGTTTTACTTATATTGCTTTTATAATGGTGGCTTATTGTTCATTTTACATTAGATGGTATGATTTTCCAATCATTACCATCAAAGGATAAGTAAAAATGCCAAAAAATCAATAAAAATGCATAATGTCCATGGTTAAATAAAATAGGGCGTTGTGTCTGTTTCCCCAATTAGGAACTTGATCTCATTCAGCTTTATAAATCTGACAATTTATCACAAGGTCTTAACCATAGTGGAAACATGACCAAAGGCCGGACGCGGTGGCTCATGCCTGTAATCCCAGCACGTTGGGAGGCCAAAGCAGACAGATCACTTGAGGCCAGGAATTTGAGACCAGCTTGGCCAACATGGTGAAAAACCATCCCTACTAAAAATGCAAAAAAATTAGTCCGGCATGGTGGCGCGTGCCTGAAATCCCAGCTACTTGGAAGACTGAGGCATGAGAATCTCTTGAACTTGCGAGGCGGAGGTTGCAGTGAGCTGAGATCATGCCACTCCACTCCAGCCTGGGTAACAGAGTGAGATCCTGTCTCAAAAAAAAAACAAACAAACAAAAACAAACAAAAAAAACCACACACACAAACAAACATGAACAAAGATTGTTAAACGGCAAATGGAAGTTCCTGGTAACTAGTTGTTCACAATTATTCCACATTTACTAATATTTTTAAAATGAAATCTTCAGGATGAAACTTTTTCTCATCTATCTATAAATCTAGCATAAACTGCAGAAATATAGTGAGTTCTTGAGAAATGAAATTACTAGGCTGGGCGCGGTGGCTCACGCCTGTAATCCCAGCCCTTTGGGAGGCCGAGGCGGGCGGATCACGAGGTCAGGAGATCGAGACCATCCTGGCTAACACAGCGAAACCATGTCTCTACCAAAAATACAAAAAAAAAAAAAAAAAAAAAATTAGCCGGGCGCAGTGGCAGGCACCTGTAGTCCCAGCTACTCAGGAGGCTGAGGCAGGAGAATGGCGTGAACCCGGGAGGCAGAGCTTGCAGTGAGCCGAGATCTCACCACTGCACTTCAGCCTGGGTGACAGAGCGAGACTCTGTCTCAAAAAAAAAAAAAAAAAAGAACAAGAAATGAAATTACCAATATTAATGCCAACATCACCTCATTAGCAAAATAAGACTTCCAAATTAGTTGAAAGTGGTTGAAAACAATTTGCTTTTCTAAAATGTATAAATATATATCATTTGTATTTATGTAGTGAAAATTATTCTTTTTGGGAAAAGTGAAAATGAGTAAATTTTCCAATGCTTTATCTGTCTATAGAAGACATGCACACATATTAATAATCATCTTTCAGGGTCAGGCGCAGTGGCTCATGCCTGTAATCCCAGCACTTTGGGATGTTGAGGTGGGAGGATCACTTGAGGTCAGGAGTTCGAGACCAGCCTGGACAATGGGGTGAAACCCCGTCCACTAAAACTACAAAAATTAGTCCAGTGTTGTGGTGCATGCCTATAGTACCAGCTACTCAGGAGGCTGAGGCATGAGAATCATTTGAACCTGGGAGGCAGAGGTCGCAGTGAGCTGAGATCTTACCATTACACTCCAGCCTGGATGACAGAGCAAGACTCCATCTCAAAAAAAAAAAAAAAAAAAAGGCCAGGCACGGTGGTTCACGCCTGTAATCCCAGCACTTTGGGAGGCCAAGGCTGGAGGATCATGAGGTCAGGAGTTCGAGACCAGCCTGACCAAGTCTCTACTAAAAATACAAAAATTAGCTGGACGTGGTGGCACACGCCTGTAATCACAGCTACTCAGGAGGGTAAAGCAGGAGAATCGCTTGAACCTGGGAGGCGGAGGTTGCAGTGAGCCGAGATTACGCCAGTGGACTCCAACCTGAGTGACAGAGCAAGACTCCATCTCAAAACAAAAATAATAATCAAATAATAAATAAATAAATAAAGCTTCAATGAACATCCTGGTAGTCAAACCTTGCACATTTCCTTAATTTTTGCTTTAGGATCATAATTGCTAATTTAATCTGCTTTACATGTTTCTTAATAACAAGGAAATGATTTCATATGCCCTCAAGGACTGAATAGTTTTCAGAATTTGGAAGAGCAATTTGATAAAAATAGAAAATATTAACAATCATACCAGCTTAATTACCAGCTACAACAATTCAAGGAAGAACTGTCCAGTGGCTTAGGACAACATTTTCCTGGCTACATTAGTTTTGTTTAGAAACTGTTCACCATCAAGCAAACAATGTGGTTTTGGAACAATTTTTAGATGTTTTTATTGCTTGGCTTAAAATACGTAATTAAGCCATTTGAGTCTTTAAAAAAGTACAACTGAATAAGAATGAAATGAGCTCCTTTAATTTTACTATTTTCACCTGTTTAAATAATGCAAACATTTAAACAGAAGTAGTGTTTGTCTAAGAGCACATTCCAGGGAAACCAATAATGGGAGCTCTAATGAGGGCAAAGAAAGGACATAAGGAAGTTTCTGAAGCAGAGCTGGCTATTTGAGTTATTAGGACCACAGAAAAACTCCCAGCTGAAATCTGGAAATTAGGAAGGGTACCACATCCTCAACATTTATATCAGTTTTGCTTTGTTTCTTCTGCTAGTGTCTTGCCTGTCAACCAGAATCTAAACCTGGTTTGCCAGAGGCAAATCTCAAGCCAATTCTCTACCCCTTATTCCAGTCTTCTTTCTTTTTCAGAGACTGAGTCTTCTCATCACAACCCCTATCATTAGGTGTTTTTTTGTTTTGTTTTGTTTTGTTTTGTTTTGTTTTGTTTTTTGAGACGGAGTCTCTCTCTTGTTGCCCAGGCTGGAGTGCAATGGCACAATCTCGGCTCATGGCAAGCTCCACCTCCCGGGTTCAAGTGATTATCTTGCCTCAGCCTCCCAAGTAGCTGGGATTACAGGCATGCACCATCAAGCCTGGCTAATTTTATATTTTTTAGTAGAGACAGGGTTTCTCCATGTTGGCCAGGCTGGTCTCGAACTCCCGACCTCAGGTGATCTGCCCGCCTCAGCCTCCCAAAGTGCTGGGATTACAGGCATGAGCCACCACGCCCGGGCACCAATAGGTGACTTCTAATGGATCTCCCAGTCATGATCACTACATTGAGTGACTTACAAATTAGGTCTCTACCTAAAATAATATTAATAGCTATCATTTTTATATATATGTACTACACACTACACTAAAATCTTTAATTATTAGGATTTATTCTCCCAGTCACCCTGGGTTGCTATAATCTGCAAGTAACATAAACCTGACGCAAATTCACTTAAACAATAAGAAATTGTATTGGCTCAGCTGGGCATGGTGGCTCACGCCTGTAATCCCAGTACTTTGGAAGGCTGAGGCAAGCAGATCACCTGAGGTCGTGAGTTTGAGACCAGCCTGACCAACATGGAGAAACTCCGTCTCTACTAAAAATACAAAATTAGCCAGGCGTGGTGGCCCATGCCTGTAATCCCAGCTATTCGGGAGGCTGAGGCAGAAGAAATCGCTTGAACCTGGGAGGCGGAGGCTGCAGTGAGCCAAGATTGTGCCATTGCACTCCAGCCTAGGCAACAAGAGTGAAACTCCATCTCAAAAAAAAAAAAGAAAGAAATTATATTGGCCCAAATAACAGGAAGTGCCATAATATTGCGCTATTGACTTCAGGTATGATTTGATCAGGGTTCTCTCTCCATTTCCCTGAAATTCTGCCCAATTATATACATCAGCTTTGTTCTCAAGTTGGTTTGTTCTTGGTGGGGTGGAATGGGTACTGGTAGCAGTTGGCAATATTTCTGTGTTTTTTGATATATGAAGTAAAAAAGAGACCATGGTTTCCCTTAGAAGAGCAAGAGCAAGGGAAAACTTACCTACTTACCTAGCAGCACCCCCATTAAGCCCTTTTTTTTTTTTTTTTTTTTTTGAGACAGAGTTTCGTTCTTGTTGCCCAGGCTGGAGGTTAATGGCATGATGTTGGCTCACTGCCACCTCCGCCTCCTGAGTTCGTGATTCTCCTCTCTCAGCCTCCCGAGTAGCTGGGATTACGGGCATGCGCCACCATGCCTGTCTAATTTTGTATTTTTAGTAGAGATGGGGTTTCTCCATGTTGATCAGGCTGGTCTCGAGCTCCTGACCTCAGGTCATCTGCCTGCATCAGCCTCCCAAAGTGCTGGGATTATAGGCGTGAGCTTCCATGTCGGGTCCATTAAGTCCTTTTTATTAGCCAGCTCAGGTTGACATAACAAAATACAGAAATTTATTTTCTTACAGTTCTGGAGGCTGGAAGTCCAAGAGCAGGGTGCCACCCTGGTAAGGTGAGGTGAGGACTCTCTTTCTGGCTTGGAAATGGCCATCTTCTCATTGTGTCCTCACATGGCAGAGAGGGAGAGAGCAAGCAAGTTCTCTGGTGTCTCTTTTCACAAGGACATTAATCCCATCATGAAGGCCCCACCCTCATGACCTCTTCCAAACCTAATTTCCTCCCAAAGGCTCTGTCTTCGGATACCATCACACTGGGAGTTAGAGCTTCAACATAGGAATTTTGGGACGACAGAGTTCGGTCCATTGTATTCTTCTGCATATTTCATTAGCCATCCCTGGGCCAATCATTAGCAAGGAGAATGGGATTATCATGATGGCTTTAGATGGATCAACTGAGGTGGAAAGGATTTGGGGGAGTCAACCACAAAGTCTAATATAAAGTAGGTATATTTCATAATTTAGGAAACTGAATCTGAAAGATGTTGAGTGACCAGCTGAATGTCATACATATAATAAGTGGGAAAGCCAAGATCTAAACTCAACTGACTCTAAAGCTCTTATATGACATGACACTAGCATTTCTTATTTTCCTTTCTAGTTTGCAGGTTATCTGTACCTTCTAGTTTTAGCCTATATTCTCTTTTGATATCAGAAACCTTGCCCTTGCCCTTTCAACCTCAATGGGTACAACCTAGGACCCTGAGCTCCATGCCCTATCTTTGGCTCCACGCATAGAGGGCCAAGCTCAAACATAAATAGTTCCCCACAACTCTTTGCACTGCTATTTAAGGCCTTTCACAAACTACTCCTTCCTTAACTTTCTAGGTGGAATGCCACCCTTTCACTTTCCTGAAATTTCTACTCCTATCAAATAGGGCTATTTGGAGAACTCCAAATATACCTTCCATTATTAGACTTAGCTGAGCTTGTTCAACCTGACTGGAAGCCTCTGGTTTCCTTTCTTTTTCTTCCCCCAACTCCCCCGCTTCAGAAAAAACAGAAACTTTGAAGTAACATACATATGGGTCTGAACCTCTATGCTTTTTACTGGCTGGGTGACCTAGGAAAAGTTGCTTAAACTCTCAGCGTCTCAGTTCCCTCCTTTGTAGACTATGGATACCAATGCCTATTTCATAGGATTGTTCTAAGAAATAATAATCCATATGTGAAAATGTTTGGCAAATAGTAAGTACTTAATAAATGGGAAGTCCTTCAAGACCTAATGTCCCGGCTGGGCATGGTGGCTTACACCTGTAATCCCAGCACTTTGGGAGGCTGAGGCGGGTGGATCACCTGAGCTCAGGGGTTCAAGACCAGCTTGACCAACATGGTGAAACCCGTCTCTATTAAAAATATAAAAATTAGCTGGGTGTGGTGGCACGCACCTGTAAGTCCAGCTACTCTGGAGGCTGAGGCAGGAGAATCGCTTGAGTCCGGGAGGCAGAGGTTGCAGTGAGCCAAGGTCATGCCACTGCACTCCAGCCTGGGTGAGAGAGTGAGACTCTGTCTAGAAAAAAAAAGACTTGATGTCCCGTTTCCTGTGAAATATTTTTTTATCTTCCTAATCTGAAGCGGTTACACTTTCTCTTTGAACTCTCATAAACATTACAGCTAACACAACTGGTTTGACTATTAACCAGGCATGAGTTTTTGATAACTCTTCTGTTGCTCTCTTGGACTACTATTTAAATCTTTTATAATTATTTAACTTTCCAATTAGTTTATAAGCAACTTGCAACCTCTGCATGATGTAGCAGACTGTCTTGTCCATATATTTGGAAAGAACACCCTGTGCAAAACATTCTCTTCTTCAGGGATAAATAGTAGTGATTCTCAATGATGAGTCTGATAACAGAAACACCAATATAGGAAGACTATCTCCCCCTGCATTTTGGAGGATCGCGGGTGCCATTGTTAATAAGGACAAAGACCGTCATTGCTTTCTGCATAGGATATGGGTAGTACTGTCTCTGAGATTTCTAGTAACTACAAGGATAGCCTGCTTTTCCTATCCAAGGTGGGCCATAGTTCCCACCTGGATTCTTTCTTGACCCAGTTTATAAAGCTGGCTTTTGCCTTGGTTCCTGTTGCAAAGTTGTTTTTCTGGGATTCTTCCAAGTATTCCATGCGGAAAATGACATATAATTTATCGTCCTAAGTAGGAGCCCGTTGAGGACAAAAAAGCATGTTATTTATCATTATATCAAGACAGCAGGTTCATACGGTACTGCCAGGCCCACTCTCCATACTTCTTCTGGCTTGAGAGCTTTGCCTTGCATTTGCCTACTCTCTCCTTGGGGCCTGAGAGCCTGTCCCCAAAACCCAGGCTGGTTGGTGAATGGAAGTCACCACCAAGCCACAGATGTGCCAGACACTAATGGCCTTACCTGAGGACATTGTTCTTTGCTCTCCTGGCTGGACTTCCATTGTCAGTTGAGTCAGACTCTCCCGCCCCCTTCCTATGTGAGCCAGGGCCAAGTCCCAAAATTAGTGCCTGTTTTACTCTGAGAAAATAGTCACACTTCCTGCAATAGGGCAAGCGCTGCTGTTAATCCAATCATCTGGTTAAAGTACAAGTAGTTCTCAAAAAAGGGCACATAGGCACAGGGTGTTTTGCACTTATAGGGCTCTGTTGTTACACCTTGCTGTAATCTACAGCACTCCCAGCCTTGCACGAAGTAGGTCATTGGGTCAGAATGCTGGGGAGTTCCAGCACATTGTAGTGCTGCCTTGGCTGTGATTCCAGCTGCCTTCCTCCCATCCCGTCTTTTCTCTTGAGGGTCTTTTCAGTCTCTTGGCCAACTCACGGACTTGGGTTTCTCTGACTCCTACTTTTAGGCACTTGCCACAAAAATACTTTCCAAAACATCTCTGCCTGTCATTATAATTTCTCCCTTATTTAAAAACACTAGCTGGGAGCAGTGGCTCATGTCTGTAATCCCAGTAGTTTGGGAGGCCAAGGTGGGCAGATCACCTGAGGTCAGGAGTTCAAGACCAGCCTGGCCAACATGGTGAAACCCTGTCTCTACTAAAAATACAAAAAATAGCCAGATGTGGTGGCAGGCACCTGTAATGCCAGCTACTGGGGAGGTTGAGGCAGGAGAATGGCTTGAGGCTGGGGAGGCTGGGAGGCAGAGGTTGCAGCGAGCTAAGATTGCACCCTGCACTCCAGCCTGGGCAACTGAGTGAGACTCCGTCTCAAAAACAAAACAAAACAAAACAAAACAAAACAAAACAAAACAAACAAACAAAAAAACTTCCCTGGAGTGAGTTCAATCGCCTTTTCCTGGTCTGTACATTTCTCTGGTGACCTCCCCATTTCTGGAAACTCAAGTAAATTCAATTCAACAAGCATTTATTGAGGCCTACTTTGTACACAGTATTATACTAGGTGCTGGTGATACCAAGAAGAATAAGACATAGTCCTGGCCTTCAAAACACTCAAAACCTTGAGATAGGCTGGGCACGGTGTCTCCTGCCTATAATCCCAGCACCTTGGGAGGCCGAGGAGGGCAGATCACCTGAGGTCAGGAGTTCGAGACCAGCCTGACCAACATGGAGAAACCCCATCTCTACTAAAAAGAAAATACAAAAAATTAGCTGGGCATGGTGGCGCATGCCTGTAATTGCAGCTACTCGGGAGGCTGAGGCAGGAGAATCACTTGAACCTAGGAGGCGGAGGTTGCGGTGAGCCGAGATTGCGCCATTGCACTCCAGCCTGGGCAGCAAGAGCAAAACTCCATCTCAAAAAAAAAAAAAGAAAATATTAGCCGGGCATGGTGGCACACACCTGTAGTCCCAGCTACTCGGCAGGCTGAGGCAGGAGAATCACCTCAACTCGGGAGGCGGAGGTTGCAGTGAGCCGAGATCGCACCACTGCACTGCAGCCTGGGCAATAGAGTGAGACTCCATCTCAAAAAAAAGAAAAAGTACGTAATATTTTATGAAACCTTTGTCTTAGTTTTACCTTTAGAAGTATGTGTGAACTGGTTTATGATATGAAATCACAGTTTAAAAACAAAAAAAAGAACAACCATTGGGGAAGTATAGTCCCTTGGAAAATAAGTCCTCAAAATCAAAGTAGGGAGTGTACGGGTCAAAAAAGTTTGGAAAGTCTACGAACCAATTTGCCTTTTTGAGATTCAAAACTCATATTAGTTTGTTAAAGGCCTTATAAAGTCTCACCGTGAAGAAATCTGTGTAACTCCACTTTTTCCAATGATTGGCTGCAGAACTTTTTGCTGTATTCCAAGGATTACATCTATTCACATGCCCCAGTACAGATGTCGAGAGAAGCCACTATCATCTGTGCCATCACAGTCTCTGAATTCTACTGGCAAATTATAATCTCTGAGAGAGCTAATTTTTGTCCCTGAGTTTTAACTACTGCAGTCTAACCCAGATTGTTAGCAAGAGGGGACAATGGTGCATGTGTGTAGAGAAGTATAGACCATTGACAGTAAGGAAATAACAGCACCTGTGGATTTGCTCAGTTTTAGTCTGGTGTTTAGAATTAAATTGCTCCACTATGTCTTGCTTTTGCTCTCTCATTTAAATCCCAGAGTTTCTTCCAAGTCTGTGGCTAAGACTTCTCAAGCTTCCTCCAATCTCAGCATGCTAATCTGGAGTCAGAGTGCAAGATCCCAGGGTCTTCCTTTGATGATACTTCCTGTAGCTCCACTAGTGTTACATTAAGAAGACTGAAGTCCAAAGTCCTGGCCAGGTGCAGTGGCTCATGCCTGTAATCCCAGCATTTTGGGAGGCCAAGGCTGGTGGATGACTTGAGCCCAGGGGTTCAATACCAGCCTGGGCAACAGGGGGAGGATACCTTGTCTCTACAAAAACACAAAAATTACTTAGGCTGCACTCCATCTTGGGCAACAGTCACTCTCGTGTGTGCACGCACGCACACACACACACCAGTCCAAAATCCTAACATCTGGGAATGACACAGTAACCATCTAGCCTGAGATATTATAACCCTGGGAAGTTAGTGAACTCCTCTGTGTCTGCAGTTCCTATATCTAAAATAAGGAAGTTGGACATAGATTTTGGAGATCCTCTCCTGCATCAATATTTGGGCTTTTATCTGATGTTCTTGAAACTTCTTTCCTCATTCTCTTGGCTTTCCTCTCTTCCCCCTTTCTTTATTTACTTTCTAAAGTTGTTTTTTTTTTTTTTTTTTTTTTTTTTTGAGGATCTGCTTTTTACCAAGCATTGTATCAATTGCTGGAGATACAACAGTGAGCAAATTATTTTTACATTCTGTTCCCAGTAACCACCTGTTTGGACAAAACGGTGATTCCTTTAGATCAGGCCATTCTTTTACATGATCACTATCATTATCACAGAAAACATTTCCTCATTTCAGAGAAACATGTAATCTGCTCAAAAAAATAAATCTATGCCAGGCACAGTGGCTCATGCCTATAATCCCAACACTTTGGGAGGCCAAGGGGGGTGGATCATTTGAGGTCAGGAGTTCAAGACCAGCCTGGCCAACATGGCAAAACCCTATCTCTAGTAAAAAAAAAAAAACAAAAATTAGCTGGGCATGGTGGTGGGCACCTGTAATCCCAGCTACTCAGAAGGCTGAGGCAGGAGAGTTGCTTGAACCCGGGAGGTGGATGTTGCAGTGAGCCGAGATCACACCACTGCACTCTAGCCTGGGCAACAGAGCAAGACTCCATCTCAAAATAAATAAAAGAATAAATAAATAAATATATGACTCATATTGACATTAGAAAACAGATCATGCCAGTTTCCTGTTATGGATGCTTCCTCCGATAACATTCTCCTTTCCCTCTTGGAGAAAAAACATGACATCATTTATTGCTGCCAATATCCAACAATAGCTGGTCAACATTCACTATGTATTCATGCTTGGAGTAGGTCTTATCCAGTGGAATTCTGTTCAGGCAAGAATCACTTCTGAGCTGGCAGATTGCTTCAAAGTTGAGTTAAATGAAAGTAGTAAGTGGGAGCTAAACACAGAATACACATGGACACAAAAAATGGAACTACAGACACTGGGGCCTGCTTTAGGGCAGAGAGTGGGAGGAGGGTGAGGACTGAAAAAGTGCCTATCAGATAGCATGCTTATTACCTGGGTGATGAAATAATCTGTACTCCAAACCCCTGAGACATGCAATGTACCCATATAACTAACCTGCATATGTACCCTTGACACTAAAATGAAAGTTAAAATAAATAAAAAAGAGAGTGGCTACTGATGCTAATGAAATTGATCCTTGAAAAAGGTGAAGTATCCATGTGAAGCCAGTATATCAAATATACTGAGAAGGTGGATACAAAATTAAAGGTCCCATAAAACTTTAGCGTCATATTCTGCAAGTTTGCTTTTTTTTTTTTTTTTTTTTTTTTTGAGACAGAGTCTCACTCTGTCACCCAGGCTGGAGTGCAGTGGCATGATCTCAGCTCACTGCAGCCTCTGCCTCCTGAGTTCAAGCGATTCTCCTGCCTCAGCCTCCCGATGTTGGAAACAGTGAGTTCCTCTTCAAAGGTTCTGCTTGTCCTCTATTTTCAGAGCCTAATTTCCTTGCCTCCTTGCCACTAGTTATGGTAAACAATTTTCAGCTGTTCCCAATCTGTAACCCACATCCATTCCCAATCTGTAATCCACATCTGTTCCCAATCTGTAACCCACAGCCATTCCCAATCTGTAACAACCCACACCTGTTCCTTATTTGGCACCCTTAGTTCCGAAACTGCTCTTTCCTCTGCTGTAGCTCCCACCCCTGTTCCATTTTGAAGTAGCCAAATGGGATCAGCTTAGATTGTGTGGTCCCACCCCAGCCAATGCAGACTGGACACAGTAGTAGGGACTGACTGTGTTAGGGATAAAAACCCATTCCCTTCTTCATTTGGTGTATTCTTGCAGTGACCAGAAGAACGAGCAGCGCTTCTGCAGAGGTAAATTTGCCTTGCTGAGAAATCCTTCATTTGAGTGCTCATTTTCTTTGTGACTCCGAGCTCTTATTTCCCGGGCTCATCTGGGATTCCCATTCTCCTCTGGGAAAGGGTCTTCAGTCCCCTCCCATGAGGAGAAGCATCCCACTGCCTTGTTGTGGTGGCCTCAGGGTAAGGAATTGGGCCCTACCCGGTGTGATGAATAAATCTGGACACTCAGCAATGTGGGCAGAAAGGATCCTCACATACTGCAGCAACCAGGTAACTCTGTGCACAGACCAAGGTAAGAAACGTCGTGGGGGGCGACACAGTATTTCCTTGGTGGTCGGGATAAAGGCAAGAAATCTCCAGTAAGGGAGGTTGAGCCTTTAGAGAAAGGAAAGGCAAGAAATCTCCAGTAAGGGGGGTTGAGCCTTTAGAGAAAGGAAAGGTAAGAAATCTCTAGGATGAGGGATTGGGCCTCAGGTCAAATCTCCAGGATGGGAAACCCCCAGTCTTCCTTTATCCCCTAAAAACTACAGGAAGTAAGTCAGAAACCAACTCCTCAGAAAAGAATAGGGTCCTTACCTCCAAACAGTCCACCAGAGTATGGGATCCTGTAGACCACCTTCCCCTGCTTAATGCCCCTGATCCTAACTTCCCTCCCCCTCAGACAGCCACTACTGCCCCAGATCCTTCCCTTACTCACGTTGTTCCTCCTCCTTATGACCCTGACTTTTGGGAACTATCATTGCATGAGCCTGCTCCTAAGTACCCTTCCCTAAAAGGATTTCAACGTGAGGTAGAGCAATGTAAAAAGGATATTCAGAACTTCCCTTTCCCCTCTACCTCTAGGGAATCAGCTCCAACATTCCTCCCCTTAAGAGAGGTGCCCATAGGAGGGGGAGCCATTGGCTTTGTGAATGTCCCTTTAACCAGCTCAGAAGTTTGAAATTTGAAAAAAAAGTCAAGCCACTGTTAGATGACCCTTATGGAGTGGCAGATAAAATTGACCAATTTTTAGGACTCCAATTATATACTTGGGCTGAATTAATGTCCATCATGGGCATCCTCTTTTCAGGGGAAGAAAGGAGAATAATCTGTAGAGCTGCTATGGTAATTTGGGAACACGAACATTCTCACATCAAAATGTTCCCGCCGCAGACCAAAAATTATCCGCCTAAGACCCCCAGTGGGACAATAACAATGCAGCTCACTGGGAAAATATGAAGATCCCCTTGGGCAGGGAATGCTAAAGACAAAAGATAGAGAATTGAAAAGACCGTCCCATGAATGAACTCCTTAGGGAAGCTCAGAAAGTATACGTAAGCAAAAACAAAAAGCAAGTATTATGTTATCCACCTTCCAGCAGGGGGCTCCAAAGGATAAGGCCCACTGAAATTACTCTCCATTGGCCTCCTTAACCATTTCGGATAAAAAGGCTTACAGGTTTCAAAGGGAAAACTCCAATTTGTAGAGCCTGAAGTTAAATACTTAGGGCACTTAATAAGTAAGGACAAACGAAGGATAGGACCTGAGCGAGTTGAAGGAATTGTATCCCTAACTTTGCCTAAAACTAAGCAGGAACTCCTAGAAAAGCCATTTTACCTCTTTGTTAATGTAAACAAGGGGGTAGCTTTAGGGGTACTTACCCAAGAACATGGGGGCCACTGGCAACCTGTAGCCTTTCTATCAAAGGTTTTAGACCCCGTAACCTGTGGATGGCCCGAATGTGTTCAATCTATTGCAGCCACTGCTTTGTTAACTGAAGAAAGCAGAAAGCTAATTTTTGGGGGAATTTTGGTTGTAAGCACACTCCATCAAGTTAGAGCTATTTTAAACCAGAAAGCAGGATGGTGGCTCACTGACTCAAGGATTTTAGCGTATGAAGCTATCCTATTAGAAAGAGATGATTTAACACTAACCACTGATAACTCACTTAACTCAGCAGGTTTTCTAACAGGAAATCCAAATCTAAAAGGACCTGAGCATCAGTGTTTAGATTTAATTGATTATCACACAAAAGTCAGGCCCAATTTAAGAGAGACCCCTTTCAAAACAGGACAGCATTTATTTATAGATGGCCCTTCCTGGGTAATTGAAGGAAAGAGACATAATGGGTATTCAGTAGTTGATGGGGAAGCTCTTGCAGAAATATAGTCAGGAAGATTGGCTAACAATTCGTCCACCCAAACTTGTGAATTGTTTGCATTAAATCAGGCTTTGAAACACTTGCAAAACCAGGAAGGGACTATTTATACTGATTCCAAGTATGCCTTGGAGGCGGGGTAGCTCACACCTGTGGAAAATTTGGACTGAACGAGGTCTCAATAGCAAAGGCCAAGACCTTGTCCACAAGCAATTAATCACTCAAGTATTAGATAACCTCCAGCTGCCAGAAGAGACAGCTATTGTCCATATCCCAGGACACCAAAAAGGTCTTTCTTTTGAAAGTCGAGGGAATAACCTTGCAGATCAAATAGCCAAACAAGCTGCCATTTCCTCTGAAACACCCACTTTTCACCTAATCCCTTGTCTTCCTCCCCTGACCAGTCCCCATCTTCTCTTCCACTGAAAGGGAGAAATCAATGAAAATAGGTGCCAAAGAAAATTCAGAAGGGAAATGGGTGCTACCAGACCAAAGATAAATGTTATCCAAACCCCTCATGAGAGAAGTCTTATCTCACTTGCATCAAAACGGGACCTCAAGCTATGTGTGATGCAGTTCTCAGGGTTTATGGATGTATAAGAATTTATACTCTGGCAAGACAAGTTACAGATAGTTGCCTAATATGCAAAAAGACTAATAAGTAGACCCTTAGAAAACCACCCCTTGGTGAAGAAGTCCAGGATTAAGACCATTCCAAAGTGTCCAAGTTGATTACACTGAAATGCCCTCATTCATTCGCCTAAAGTGCTTATTAGTGATAGTAGATCACCTTACTCACTGGGTGGAAGCTATTCCCTTTTCAAGTGCAACTTAATAATGTAGTCAAAGCATTGATTGAAAATATTATACCCAGGTATGGACTAACAGAAAATATTGGTTCAGATAATGGGACTTATTTCACTGTGCATGTCATTAAGAAATTAACCCAAGCACTAGACATAACATGGGAATACCATACTCCCTGGCACCCACCTTCATTGGGGAAGAGTGGAGAAAATAGAGTCACTTAACCAAATTAGTCTTAAAAGACTCAGTTGCCATGGACTAGATGCCTACTCATTGCCTTGTTAAGAATCTGAACTGCCCCTCAGAAAGATGTTGGTTTATCCCCTTATGAGATGCTATATGGGCTGCCCTATTTACACTCCACTGCTGACATTCCTATGTTTGAAACAAAAGATCAGTTTCTCAGAAATTATATACTCGGTCTATCTTCCACTTTCTCTTCTCTCAGAACTAAAGGTCTTTTAGCACAGGTGCCACCCTTAGAGTTCCCAGCACACCAGCATCAGCCTGGGGGTTATGTCCTCATCAAAAGTTGGAAAGAAGGAAAACTAGAACCAGCTTGGGAAGCACCCTACCTAGTGCTTGTAACCACTGAGACTGCAGTCCAAACAGCAGAAAGAGGATGGACTCATCATACCCAAGTCAAGAAGGTGTCACCACTTCCAGAGTCATGGGCCATTGTTCCGGAGGAGAGTCCTACCAAACTAAAGCTAATAACAATTTAACCCTCCTATACCTCCTTTATCCCTTCCATACCCAGTGACCACTTGGATGGTCTTCCATTCGACAGGGCATGAGCTTTATGGTAGCTCTCTTCCAAGACCCCACAGCCTGGGGTAATGAATTCTGCTGATCTCTTTCTCTGCTACTCCCTAAAGTCTGACACCCTGTGGGTCAGCCTCCGAGGGCCATCCAGCCTCTGTCTCCTGATGCCAATTTTACCTCCTGTCTCTCATGACAGGAGGAAAACTTAGCATTCCTTGGAGACGTAATGGGATGCAGTGAGCTTAACCCCTTCCAAGAGCTTACCAACCAGTCTGTCCTGTCCTTATTCCATCCCTAATAACATAGCCCCCAGTGGAACAATTACAAAGGCATTACAAGGCCTTACCTCTTGCAATTGTTATAGGTGTACTTATTCTTGTAGGATGCTGCATCATACCCTGTATTCATGGATTGGTGCAGAGACTTATAGAAACAGCTCTCACCAAAACCTTTAATTCTCCCCCACCTTACTCAGATAAACTCCTACTTTTAGAAAACCAAGCAGAACAGCAGAGTCAAGACATGTTAAAGAGTTTGAAGAGGAAGAATTATGAAAATCAAGAGGGGGAAGTAGTAGGAAACATTGAGTTCCTCTTCAAAGATCCATTGTCCTCTATTTTCAAAGCCTATCTTCCTTGCCTCCTTGCCCCTAGTTATGGTAAAAAATTTCCAGCCATTCCCAATCTGTAATCCACATCCATTCCCAATCTGTAACCCACATCCGTTCCCAATCTGTAACAATCCACATCTGTGCATTACTTGGCACCCTTAGTTCCGAAACTGCTCTTCCCACCGCTGTAGCTCCCACCCCTGCTCCATTTTTATGTGGCCAATCAGAATCAGCTTAGGTTGTGCAGTCTGACCCCAGCCAATGGGGACTGGACACAGTAGTAGGGACTGACTGTGTTAGGGATAAAAACCCATTCCCTTCTTTGTTCAGTGTGCTCTTGCAGTGACAAGAATGAGCAGCACCCTTCTGCAGAAGCACATTTGCCTTGCTGAGAAATCCTTTATTTGAATGCTCATTTTCTTTACAACTCTGAGCTCTTATTTCCAACACTGAGTAGCTGGGATTACTGGCATGTGCCACCATGTCCAGTGAATTTTTGTATTTTTAGTAGAGATGGGGTTTCACAATCATGGCAAGGCTGGTCTTGAACTCCTGACCTCAAGCGATCTCCCCACCTTGGCCTCCCAAAGTGCTGGGATTACAGGCATAAGCCACCAAGCCCAGCCTGTTTGTTTAAGAGACAGTGTCTTACTCTATCACTCAGGCTGTGGTACAGTGGCACATTATAGCTCATTGCAGCCTCAAACTCCTGGGCCCAAGAAACTTCCCATCTCAGTCTCATGAGTAGCTAGGACTATGGGTGCAAGCCATCACAACTGGTTAATTTAAATTTTTTTTTTTTTTTTGGCAGAGACAGGGTCTCACTATGTTGCCCATCCTGGCAGTGGACTTTGGGCCTCAAGTGATCCTCTTGTCTCAGCTTTCCAAAGCACTGGGGTTCCAGGTTTGAGCCACAGTGGCTGGCCTTGTTCTGCAAGTTTTCTTAAAAACAAAAATAGGCCGGGTGCAGTGGCTCATGCCTGTAATCCCAGCACTTTGGGAGGCTGAGGCAGGTGCATCACAATGTTAGGAGTTCGAGACCAGCCTGGCCAATATGGTGAAACCCTGTCTCTACTAAAAATACAAACATTAGCCGCATGTGGTGGCAGCTGCCTGTAGTCCCAACCACTTGGGAGACTGAGGCAGAAGAATCGCTTGAACCCGGGAGGCAGAGGTTGCAGTGAGCCAAGATTGTGCCACCGCACTCTAGCCTGGGTGACAGAATGAGATTCCATCTCAAAAAATAAATAATATAGAAAAGCTGGCATGTTTTGTTTGGTTAGATTTTTGGTTTTTTATTTTATTTACTTTTTTTTTTTTTTTTTGAGATGGATTCTCATTCTGTTGCCAGGCTGGAGTGTAGTAGCACAATCTCAGCTCACTGCAACCTCCACCTCCTGGGTTCAAGGGATTCTCCTGTCTCAGCCTCCAGAGTAGGTGGGACTACAGGCATGTGCCACCATGCCCAGCTCATTTTTTTGTATTTTTAGTGGAGATGGGGTTTCACCATGTTGGCCAGGATGGTCTAGACCTCTTGACTTCGTGATTTGCCTCGGACTCCCAAAGTGCTGGTGTTACAGGCATGAGACACCATGCCCGGTCTCTTTTCTTTATTCTTTCTTTTGGTCTCACTCTGTTGGCCAGGCTAGAGTGCAGTGGCATGATTATACCTCACTGCAGCCTCGACTTCCTGGGCTCAAGCACTCCTCCCACCTCAGCCTCCTGAGTAGCAGGAACTACAGGTGCATGCCACCATGCCTGACTAATTTTTAATTTTTTTTGTAGAGAAGGGGGTCTAGCTATGTTGCTCAGGCTGGTCTTGATTCCTGGGCTCATGTGATTCTCCCACACTGGCCTCCTAAAGTGCTGGGATTACAGGCATGAGCCACCATTCCCAGCCTGGCTTTTCGTTTAACAACATTCAGAAATACTTTTGGATTGCCAGCTACATACATTCCAATAGCTGTAAAACTTTTTTCTTTAACTTTCTATTTGTTAAATGACATTATAAGAAGTACACTGTCAAGATGGTAGAAGAGAACATTGCATTGTACTTCACACTGGTCAGACCTCATCTGGAACTGCGTGTTCAATTCTAAGCATTGCATTTTTAGGGCAACACAGGCAAATAAAAACATTCTCATAGAAGAGAGGGGGAAAATGGAGAGGGAGTTTAAAATCATACATAAACGAACATGCTAAAGAAGGTGTTTATTTTGGGCTGGGCACGGTGGCTCATCCCTGCAATCCCAGCACTTTGGGAGGCCAAGGCGGGTGGACCACGAGGTCAGGAGTTCAAGACCAGCCTGGCTAAGATAGTGAAACCTCATCTCTACTAGAAATACAAAAATTAGCTGGGTGTAGTGGCAGGCACCTGTAATCCCAGCTACTCGGGAGGCTGAGGCAGAGAATTGCTTGAACCCGGGAGGAAGAGGTTTCAGTGAGCCAAGATCGCACCACTGCATTCCAGCCTGGGCAACAGAACGAGACTCCGTCCCCGCCCTCCACCCCCCACCAAATAAAGGTGTGTAAGAGAAAGGCAGATGATCAGGGCACACAAAAGCTAGCTAGCTCTCTTCAACTATGTCCAAAGAGACAGCATTCTCTTTATATATCGCAATGGAAAGTAAAACCCAGAAAAAGACTAGAAGTCATGAGGAGTCATGTTTCAACTCAATCTAAGACCTAGATTAGGTCTTTGCTTTGGTATTCAATGAATTCTGGATTATCAGCAGTAAACAGGCTTAGACTAGACTACCACGTTGCTGGAATATTGTAACTTTTTTTGAGACAGAGTCTCACTCTGTCGCCTAGGCTGGAATGCAGTAGCACAATCTCAGCTCACTGCAACCTTTGCCTCCTGGGTTCAAGCGATTCTCCCACCTCAGCCTCTCAAGTAGCTGGGACTACAGGTGCCCACCACCACACTGGCTAATTTTTGTAATTTTAGTAGAGACAGGGTTTCACCATATTGGCCAGGCTGGTCTCGAACTCCTGACCTCAAGTGATCCACCCACCTCAGCCTCCCAAAGTGCTGGGATTACAGGGGTGAGCCACCGGGCCTGGCATGTAGCTTTTAATTCTATTTTGAATATTAGATTTTATGTTCCTTCTTGATCTTTAGTCAATGTGAAACTCAGAATCTGATGAAAACTTAGGCCACAATTTGTAATTCTACAATACATTTGAAAAGCTTTAGCTTATATAAGTTGACATAAACCTAGGTATTTTCTTTGAAACCCTGTTACTCACTGCTCTTAACTAATTGCAAGTTGTGCCTGATCTCATTCGTATTTCTGATGTATATTTCCAAGGATAAATACTATAAAATATCTCATGACCTTAAGGACACAGTTCAGAGATATGGATTACTTACAGAGCCAGAAATATAGCTTTCCAGCTTTTTAAAAATTGAAACTTCAAGTGTATTTTTTTTTTTAAATAGATTGAGTTCAACCTGTCCTGCAATTTTCTGGAAGAAAACCTGCTATCAGTTTTCAGAGAATCATCCTGGGAAGTGCTCTCTGACTTTCAGAAGGAGGATGGAAATCATATCCTATGTATATCGCATCCAGTGGATGGGCAGAGTGCCTCTAGAAAGTATTACTCACGGATGCACTGCTCTGAGTGAGGGATGAGTGTGAGGGTCATAGGATCCAGGCAATGCATACGTGGGGGTGGGGCAGGGAGGAGAGAAGTAGGAGGATGCAGATCAGCAGGAGAGGGGGAGGACTGGCAGGTGTCACAGAAAGTGGTGGTTAGAACCTTTAGCAGAGCAGCAGAGATTGTGCAAAGATGCATGCAAGGAGACTGTGGAAAAAGCAAGTGTCTCTCCCTTTCTGGAAGGACACTTAGATGGATGAAAGGAGAATTGTATAATCAGATTTCAATCTATTGATGTTGAAAATGGAGACACTTAACAGATTCTGATGATGGTAATACTACTACTTTTTGTCTCAATGCTATCTTATAGTTTTCAAAATTCTTTCACATTTTTTATGGAACCAAACATAACATTGTAGAAATGTTAATATTTTCTTGAATTTTTTGAAGCCCCAAACCTGCTTGCTGACTGCCAAATTCAGAGTATCAAATGTCATTAAAGGTCAGTGAATTCAGTGGGTGTCCGTGATGTTGTCTGCATTTTACTCCTGCAATAACTAATACAAAGATCATGTTCCCAACCTCACATTCTAGCCTACTGTGTAGTTTGGAAAGTTAGAGTTTGTAATTCTGTGGGTGCAGAATATTGTCCAAAGAGAGTTTGGTCAGGACACTCACTCAAATGCTTAAAAGCATGAAGGGTCTAGGATGCATTTTATATATTTATTCTGGTTTATTCTAATAAACTTTATGTTAATGTAGTTTTAGGTCTTGTGCCAGTGATTCCTCAAACTAAAGCAGAAATGTTGAGTATTATTTTTGAAATTAATAACTAAAAGCCTTTGGCCGGGTGCAGTGGCTCACGCCTGTAATCCCAGATGGCAACATGGCACCATTGCACTCCAGCCTGGGCGACAGAGTGAGACTCCGTCTCAGATGGAGTTTTGCTCTTGTCACCCAGGCTGGAGTGCAGTGGCGCAGTCTTGGCTCACTGCAATCTCCACCTCCCAGGTTCAAGCGATTCCCCTGCCTCAGCCTCCCAAGTAGCTGGGACTACAGGCGCCCGCCACCAGGCCTGGCTAATTTTTGTATTTTTAGTAGAGACGGGGTTCCACCATGTCGGTCACGCTTGTCTCAAACTCCTGACCTTGTGATCCACCCACCTCGGCTTCCCAAAGTGCTGGGATTACAGGCGTGAGCCTCTGCGCCCGGCCCAAAAATATTCATATAGAAGAGTGGGAAAATGGAGAGGGAGTTTAAAATCATACATAAAGGAATGTGCTAAAGAAGGTGTGTATTTTTAGACAAGAGAAGGTCAGATTATCAGGGCATGCAAAAGCTGGCCAGCTCTCTTCAACTATATCCAAAGAAACAGCATTCTCATTATATATCACAATGAATATATATTAATGGCCACAAATTAACAGTCTTACAACTTAAGGTCTTTCTCTGAAAATCCCAACTCTATTATTTCTCAAATACATATTAAGAATTATATTCAGACCCACTTAACAAGTATTTATTGAGGATACAGCCAAAATACCAGTTATGACATTATGAAGCATTGTGGCAACGGAAGGGATATAGTATATAATGGATAAGAGTATGGAGTTGGCCAGGTGCTGTGGCTCACACTTGTAATCCCAATACTCTGAAAGGCTGAGGTGGGCAGGTTGCTTGAGTCCCTGAGTTTGAGACCAGCCTGGGCAACATGGCAAAACCCTGTCTCTACTAAAAAATACAATAGCTGGGTGTGGTGGTGTGTGCCTGTATTCCCAGCTACTTGGAAGGCTGAGGTGGGAGCATCGTGTGAGCCCAGAATGTCGAGGCTGCAGTGAGCTAAAATTATGCCACGGTACTCCAGCCTGGGAGACAGGGTGAGACCCTATCTAAAAAAAAAAAAAGTAACAGTAGGGAGTCAAGCCATACTGTTTAAATTCTAAGTTAAATTCTAAGTTAAATTCTAAGTTAAATTCTAAATTAAATACAGGGGATTTCTGAGGGAAGTCAATTAATTTTGTGCCTTTGTTTCCTCGGTTGTGAATAATAAGACCTACCTCTGAGAATTGTTGTGAAGTTTCAATGAATCAATACATGTAGAACACTTTGATATTGCTTGGATTTAGGTAAACACTCTGTAAATGGTAGCTATCATTATTCAAGGATGTCTACTTGGAGTTCTAAGAATTAAGCAAAAGTCTTCTTTTTTTTTTTTGAGACAGAGTTTTTGCCCTGTTGCCCAGGCTGGAGTGCAATGGTGCAATCTCCACTGCACCCTCTGCTTCCTGGGTTAAGCAATTTTCCTGCCTCAGCCTCCCAAGTAGCTGGGATTATAGGCGCATGCCACCACACCCAGCTAATTTTTGTATTTTTAGTAGAAACGAGGTTTCACCACGTTGGCCAGGCTGGTCTCGAACTCCAGGCCTCAGGTGATCCACCTGCCTCGGCCTCCCAAAGTGCTAGGATTACAGGTGTAAGCCACCACACCTCACCAGTTTTCTTAACTTACCACAGAGTTTGAAGAACAGAAAAAGAATTTTAGAACCTTAGACCTTTATAGAAAGTATGCTTCTTACTGTTTTCAGTATTTTATTTTATTTTTATTTATTACTTTTTTCAGTCAGTGGAAAGACATTTAATATGAGATTAAACAAACAAGATTATCAGCCAGGTGCAGTGGCTCACATCTATAATCCCAGCACTTTGGGAGGCCAAGGCAGGTGGATCACGAGGTCAGGAGTTCAAGACCACCCTAGCCAACATGGTGAAACCCTGTCTTTACTAAAAATACGAAGAAGAGCTGGGCGTGGCGGTGGGTGCCTGTAATCCCAGCTACTCGGATGGCTGAGGCAGGAGAATCATTTAAACCCGGGAGGGAGAGTTTGCAGTGAGCCGAGATTGTGCCATTGCACTCCAGCCTGGGCAACAGGGTGAGACTCTGTCTCAGAAAAAAAAGAAACAAGATTATCAAGAAAAAGCATTTGTTTCCTCCTGGCTACCAGAGTCAACTCCGCATTGGATATGCAGCAGGACAACCCTTTGCTGCCAGACCCGCTCTGAGGAGGAAGCAGACAAGACCTGCCTCTGCCCACCTTCTGCCCAGATGTACAGAATGAGACCCACAGAGCAGCAAAGGGCCTTAGAGACCCCTGAACCAGAGCAGCCAAGGGGCTAAAAGTCCCTTTATAACCAAACTCAATCCAGACCGAGGACAATTTGCCTGGGCTGCCAAAGGCTCAGTACCGAGGATAGATTCAAGCTCTGCGGGAGCCACCGCTCCCTAAGCCTGGGGACACCCATCCCACCTGTCACCCATTGCTGCTGCTCTGGCAAAGGGTGAGAAGCACTTCCATTACTCACAGCCATGGTAGGAGCCCGGGGACACCTGGCCTTACCATACTCCTGCTCCGAGTGGCTGGTGGAGAGGTTGGGCTGGCTGGAGCCTCGCCCAAGGTGATCTGGTTGCTGCCCATGCCAGTGGCAACCTGGGCCATGTGCTCTTTGGTTTTGAGAGCCTGGGCCCCCTCAGCTTTCAGTCATTCCTCATCTTTGAGGAGGGCCACCAGTTGCTTTGACTTCTCATGCACGTTGATGCCCTGGTCCTTGCCATCTTGGTCAATGTACTGGAAGTCCTTCAGGGTCTGGATGGCAAAGATGATCTCACGGCACTGCTGGGCCATGCACTCGGAGCCTGTCTTGATGGGGTAGTCCAGCAGCAGCAGCTCCTTGTACACATGCTGCCAGTTCTTGCTATGGTCATTGAGCCGCTTCCACATCATGCTCATGATCCCCGAGAAGGCCACCATGTTGTAGGTCAGGTCTGCAATCTCGGTCATCAGAGAGCTGGATGGGCCCCATGGGTCATTGGAGGTGGCCTCCTGGACTTTGATTTCTGCCTCTGAGTAATTTTTCACAATGTTTTTCATCTGCTATCTGATAGATAAAGTCATCACTTTTCTTTGTTACAAATTTAAAGCCCTTCAAAGAGAGAAACTTTCCTGTCCTTGGTAAGTGCACACCCAGTGAAGGTTCAGTTTCCATAATCAAGCTGGAGCAAGAACCCTGAACGGTCATTTCCTCCTTTGGAGGCTCAGATCCAAAAAGCTGGAAGCCATGACTAGGCTACAGTGAGGTCCACGTTTGTTACATGAGGCTCTGGTCCACAAGTTTGGTAACCTCCATCTGCTTCATCACCATTGAACACCTAGCACTTAGCACTGTGCCCGACACAGAAATGAAGACTAAAATCCTTGGAATCTCCACAGTGATGCCTTTTGCCTGTGAATGATTGACTGAGGGCTGGCAGCCCCTAGGCAGCTTCAGGATGGGGTTGGTCACCAGAAAGGCAAAGGCAGGATCAGTCCCGGGAGGGGACTAAAGGTTAAGTTTATCACCAATGGCCAATCATTTAGTCAATCGTGTCTCCATAATGAATCCTCCAGACAAACATAAAAGGACAGGTTCAGGAAGCTTCTGGATGGCTGAACACATGAAGGTTCTTGAAGGGTGGCGCCTAGGTATGGCATGGAAGCTCTGCACTCCTCCCATACCTGGTCTATGCATCTCTTCATCTGTATCCTTTGCAATATCCTCTGCTCCTCCGGGCTGGCGTGGGTATGCTGCCAGCGCTGGGGAGGTGGGAGCTACCAGAGCCAACGGAGCCGCGGCCGCCACGTCTGCCTCTGTTTTCAGAATTTTAATTAATAGACAAAAGTAAATATAATATTTAGATATGTATCATCTTTTTTTAAAAAAATAGAGAATTTAGATATATGTAGATTAAGGGACTTGCCCAGGGAATGAATGAGGAAGACTGGCATAGGGATTCCGTCTTCTGATAGTCTGATTATCTCTAGAGCATTGCTTACACAGGTAAACCATAATCTTCAAGCAAAAGTAAATAAATACCCAGAGCTTATTTTGGGTTACATATATTATTAATACTTTTGTTCCCTTTGGTGTCTTTATAAACATAGTTTTAAATGGAAAGTGATTGATATGGTTTGGATGTGTTCCAACCCAAATATCATCTTGAATTAGAGTTTGCATCATTGCCACATGTGTGGGAGGGACAAGGTGGAGATAAATGACCCATGGGGATGGTTTCCCCCATCCTGTTCTCATGATAGTCAGTTCTCGTGAGATCTGATGGTTTTATAAGTGGCTTCCTTCTTCTTCTTCTCCTTTCTGCTGCCATGTACAGAAGGAAATGTTTGCTTCCCCTTCCACCACGATTTTAAGTTTCCTGAGGCCTCCCCAGCCCTGTGGAACTGTGAGTCAATTAAACTTCTTTCCTTTATAGATTACCCAGTCTAGGGTATGTCTTTATTAGCAGCGTGAGAACGGACTAATACAGTGAGTTAAAGTCCAAGGTGAATTTATCTTAGTGAATTGAGTCATTTTACCTCTCATTTGCTTTTCCGTGCCAGCAACTTTAAGATAGGATCCACACCCAGGCAAGGTAGAATAATTAAACTGGGAAAAGGAAACCATGTAATTCAAGCCAAATGACCTGTTTTGGCCTGAACTGTCCAATAACTATGACTAAATTGGTTTTTTGTTTGTTTGTTTGTTTGTTTGTTTGTTTTTGAGTGGAAGTCTCGCTGTCCCCCAGGCTGCAGTGCAGTGGTGCCATCTCAGCTCACTGCAACCTCTGCCTCCTGGGTTCAAGCAATTCTCCTGCCTCAGCCTCCTGAGAGTAAGCTGGGATTACAGGCATGTGCCACCATGCCTGGTTAATTTTTTTTTTTTTTTTTTTGAGACAGAGTTTTGCTCTTGTTGCCCAGGCTGGAGTGCAATCGTGCAATCTCAGCTCACTGCAACCTCTGCCTCCTGGGTTCAAGCAATTCTCCTGCCTCAGCCTCCCAAGTAGCTGGGATTACAGGCATGTGCCACCACTCCTGGCTAATTTTGTATTTTCAGTAGATGGGGTTTCTCCATGTTGGTCAGGCTGGTCTCAAACTCCCAATCTCGGGTGATCCCCCCGCCTTGGCCTCCTAAAGTGCTGGGATTACAGGTGTGAACCACCACGCCTGGCCTTATTTTTTTGAGACGGAGACTCAATCTGTTGCCCAGCCTGGAGTGCAGTGGTGCAATCTCGGCTCACTTGCAACCTCCGCATCCCAGGTTCAAGTGATTCTCCTGCCTCAGCCTCCCAAGTAGCTGGGACTACAGGTGCCCGCCACACGTCCAGCTAATTTTTGTATTTTTAGTAGACATGGGGTTTCACCATATTGGCCAGGCTGGTCTCGAACTCCTGACCTTGTGTTCTGTCCATGTTGGCCTCCCAAAGTGCCGGGATTACAGGCGTGAGCCACCACGTCCAGGCTAATTTTTGTGTTTTTTAGTAGAGACAGGGTTTCACCATGTTGGCCAGGCTGGTCTGAAACTCCTGACCTCAAGTGATCCGCCCACCTTGGTCTCCCAAAGTGCTGGGATTACAGGTGTGAGCCACCACACCTGGCCTTTTTTGTTTTATTTTTAAATTTACTTATTTTTGAAACTAGAGGATCAGCAATAAAAGTGGATAAAGAAAGAACTAAATTATCCAAACTACCTCAATTGGCTACCCAGGGAGAATCACTGTTGATCTTTCTTTCTTTCTTTATTATCAGTCTGATGTAGCTTTTATTGAGTAAAGGAAAAAGGGAATTCAGCCGCATGATACAGAGGTTCCAATTGATCAGAGTGCACAAAGACCCTTCCCGTCTGCGTGATGGGAACCACACCAGCACATGGGGCATGCGGAAGCCACTGCTGCAAGGAGGTGGTTCCCACTCTCACACACATGAACAGCTCCTGGTCAGTCCCAAGAGGCAAGGGCAGAGGGCACAGCAGCTCTTACAGAGCTACTTTACAAATAAACTGTGTGCCTTCCTCTGGAGTCTCTTACAACACTTTTTAAAAAGATCTGGGCCAGGGGTGGCTCATGCCTGTAATCCCAGAACTTTGGGAGACCGAGGCGGGAGGATCATGATGTCAGGAGATCGAGACCATCCTGGCTAACATGGTGAAACCCCGTCTCTACTAAAAATACAAAAAATTAGCTGGGTGTGGTGGCGGGCGCCTGTACTCCCAGCTACTCGGGAGGCTGAGGCAGGAGAATGGCATGAACCCGGGAGGCGGAGCTTGCAGTGAGCCAAGATCGCGCCACTGTACTCCAGCCTGGGCGACAGAGTGAGACTCCGTCTCAAAAAAAAAAAGGGCCAGCTGGCAGTGCCATGAGGCTCATGGAATGTCCTGGTCTGTGGAATCGTGGAGGGTGACAGGAGCAGCATCATCATCATCAGGCATTGTATGACGAGGATGATACACTGCCACCGTGGCCTGTCCAGTTGGTGTGGATAAACTGCCCTGGTTTGGCCAAGAGTTCATAGGTGTGAGCCCCAAAGGAATCCCGCTGAGCCTGGATGAGGTTGGCTGGAAGCATCTCGTGTCTGTACTTGTCATAGAAGGAGAGGGCAGTGACAAAACAGGGCATGGGAATGCCAGCCTGGACCCCAGTGCTGACTGCCCACCACCAAGAGTCCTAGTGGTTTTCAACAGCTGACTTAAGAAGTCGTCCAGTAGGAGGTTCTGAGGTTCTGGGTTTCGATCAAACGCATCCTTTATCTTTCCTAGGAATACACTTCTAATAATGCAGCCCCCTCTCCACATCAGGGCAATATCACCATAATTGAGGGTCCAGCCAAACTCGGTGGCTCCCTGCCTTAGCAGCATAAAGCCTTGAGCATAAGAGATGATCTTGGAAGCATAGAGGGACATTCTGAATATCCTCCAGGAATGATTTCTTATCACCATCAAACTGGAACTTTTGGGGACCCTTCAGCTTTTTGCTAGCTTGAATTCTCCCATCCTTCAGAGATGACAGGCACCAAGCAAAGACGGCTTCTCCAATGAGGGTGACGGGTATGCCATACTCCAGGGCAGAGATGGTGGTCCACTTCCCCATGCCCTTCTGCCCTGCACTGTCCCTGATCTTTGGCAGCAAGTGTTTGCCATCAGCACCTTGGAACTTGAGAATATTGGCTGTGATTTCAATCAGGAATGAGTCTAGCTCTGTCTTATTCCAATCCTCAAAGGCCTGGGCCATCTTGTCCTGTGCCATGCCCAGCACGTCTTTCATCAGGTGGTATGCCTCACAGATCAGCTGCATGTCCCCATACTCTATCCTGTTGTGCGCCATCTTCACAAAGTGGCCTGCTCCCTCATCTCCCACTCAGTCACAGCAGGGTTCCTACTTTTGCAGCAACACCTTGGAAGATGGTCTTGATGTGGGGCCATGCTTCTTTGTTCCCTCCTGGCGTGAGCAATGAACCATACCAGGCCCCTTCCTCTCCACCACTGACTCCGCTCCCCACAAATAAAATTCCCTTGGCCTTGAGGTCTTGGCACCGTCTTGTGGTGTCCCTATATTCAGAATTTCCTCCATCAATGATGATGTCACCAATGTCCAACAATGGTATCAGTTTTTTGATGAAATAATCCACAGCTTGCCCAGCCTTCACCAGGAGGATGATCCGCTGGGGCTTCTTCAGCTTGGAGACCATCTCTTTCAGGGACTGGGCACCCACCACTTTGGTTCCCTTTGCCTCATTGGCCAAGAAATCATCCACTTCGGAGACAGTCCTATTAAAAGCACAGACCACAAAGCCATGGTCTTTCATGGTCAGAATTAAGTTCTGGCCCATGACTGCCAATCTGATCAGCACGATGTCAGCTTGGGCCATGGCAGTGGACAGAGTAGAACCGAAGAGCGGCGAGGCATGGAGGAAGAGTCTGATCTTTAAAACTGATAATAGGAAGTGCTGTGAAGGCATTTTACCCAAAAATAAGAACCCTAGGCCGAGTGTGATGACTCATGCCTGTAATTCCAGCACGATGGGAGGCTGAGGTGGGAGGAGTGCTTGAACCCAGAGGTTTGAGACCAGGCCACACAACATAAGGAGACCCTGTGTCTCAAAAAAAAAAAAAAAAAAGAAAAGAAAAGAAAAAAAAGAAAGAAAGAAGAAAAATTAGCTGGGTATGGTGGTGCCTGTGTAGTTCCAGCTACTTGGGAGGGTAAGGTGGATAAGGTGGGAGGATCACTTGAGCCTGGGAAGTTTAGGCTGCAATAAGCTGTGATTGTGCCACTGCACTGCAGGCTGGGTGGCAGAGCGAGACCCTGTTTCAAAAAAAAAAAAAAAGAACCCTAGCTCCTGTCATTTCATGTGATAGCATAACTTCTATCTAAATTCAGCTTTTATATATATATTTTTTTAATTTTTATTTTTATTGATCATTCTTGGGTGTTTCTCACAGAGAGGGATTTGGCAGGGTCATAGGACAATAGCGGAGGGAAGGTCAGCAGATAAACAAGTGAACAAAGGTCTCTGGTTTTCCTAGGCAGAGGACCCTGAGGCCTTCCACAGTGTTTGTGTCCCTGGGTACTTGAGATTAGGGAGTGGTGATGACTCTTAATGAGCATGCTGCCTTCAAGCATCTGTTTAACAAAACACATCTTGCACTGCCCTTAATCCATTTAACCCTGAGTGGACACAGCACATGTTTCAGAGAGCACAGGGTTCGGGGGTAAGGTCACAGATCAACAGGATCCCAAGGCAGAAGAATTTTTCTTAGTACAGAACAAAATGAAAAGTCTCCCATGTCTACTTCTTTCCACACAGACACGGCAACCATCTGATTTCTCAATCTTTTCCCCACCTTTCCCAGCTTTCTATTCCACAAAACCACCATTGTCATCATGGCCCGTTCTCAATGAGCTGTTGGGCACACCTCCCAGATGGGGTGGTGGCCGGGCAGAGGGGCTCCTCACTTCCCAGTAGGGGCGGCCGGGCAGAGGCGCCCCTCACCTCCCGGGTGGGGCGGCTGGCCGGGCAAGGGGCTGACCCCCCCACCTCCCTCCCGGAAGGGGGCGGCTGGCCGGGCGGGGGGCTGACCCCCCCACCCCCCTCCCGGATGAGGTGGCTGGCCGGGCAGAGGGGCTCCTCACTTCCCAGTAGGGGCGGCCGGGCAGAGGCGCCCCTCACCTCCCGGACGGGGCGGCTGGCCGGGTGGGGGGCTGACCCCCCCACCTCCCTCCCGGACGGGGCGGCTAGCCGGGCGGGGGGCTGACTCCCCCACCTCCCTCCCGGACGGTGCGGCTGGCCGGGCAGAGGGGCTCCTCACTTCCCAGTAGGGGCGGCCGGGCAGAGGCGCCCCTCACCTCCCGGACGAGGCGGCTGGCCGGGCGGGGGGCTGACCCCCCCACCTCCCTCCCGGACGGGGCGGCTGGCCGGGCAGAGGGGCTCCTCACTTCCCAGTAGGGGCGGCCGGGCAGAGGCGCCCCTAACCTCCCGGACGAGGCGGCTGGCCGGGCGGGGGGCTGACCCCCCACCTCCCTCCCGGACGGGGCGGCTGGCCGGGCGGGGGGCTGACCCCCCCACCTCCCTCCCGGACGGGGCGGCTGGCCGGGCGGGGGCTGACCCCCACCTCCCTCCCGGACGGGGCAGCTGCCGGGCAGAGACGCTCCTCACTTCCCAGACGGGGTGGCTGCCGGGCAGAGGGGCTCCTCACTTCTCAGACGGGGCGGCTGCCGGGCGGAGGGTCTCCTCACTTCTCAGATGGGGCGGTTGCCAGGCGGAGGGTCTCCTCCCTTCTCAGATGGGGCGGCTGGGCAGAGACGCTCCTCACCTCCCAGACGGGGTCGCGACCGGGCAGAGGCGCTCCTCACATCCCAGACGGGGCGGCGGGGCAAAGGCACTCCCCACATCTCAGACGATGGCCGGCCGGCCAGAGACGCTCCTCACTTCCTAGATGGGATGGCGGCCGGGAAGAGGCGCTCCTCACTTCCTAGATGGGATGGCAGCCGAGCAGAGACGCTCCTCACTTTCCAGACTGGGCAGCCAGGCAGAGGGGCTCCTAACATCCCAGACGATGGGCGGCCAGGCAGAGACGCTCCTCACTTCCTAGACGGGGTGGCGGCCGGGCAGAGGCTGCACTCTGGGCACTTTGGGAGGCCAAGGCAGGCGGCTGGGAGGTGGAGGTTGTAGCGAGCCGAGATCACGCCACTGCACTCCAGCCTGGGCACCATTGAGCACTGAGTGAACCAGACACCGTCTGCAATCCTGGCACCTCCGGAGGCCGAGGCTGGCGGATCACTAGCGGTTAGGAGCTGGAGGCCAGCCCGGCCAACACAGCGAAACCCCGTCTCCACCAAAAAAATACGAAAACCAGTCAGGCGTGGCGGCACGCGCCTGCAATTGCAGGCACTCGGCAGGCTGAGGCAGGAGAATCAGGCAGGGAGGTTGCAGTGAGCCAAGATGGCAGCAGTACAGTCCAGCTTCAGCTCGGCATCAGAGGGAGACCGTGGAAAGAGAGGGAGAGGGAGACCGTGGGGAGAGGGAGAGGAGGGAGAGGGAGAGGGAGAGGGAGAGGGAGAGGGCAGCTTTTATATTTTAAGAGTATTGACATTATTAAAAATAAATAAAGAGGCCAGGCACAGAGGCTCACGCCTGTAATCCCAGCACTTTGGGTGGCCAAAGTGGGTCAATGGCTTGAGCCCAGGGGTTCAAGACCAGCCTGGGCAACATGGTGACACCCCATCTCTACAGAAAATACAAAAATTAACCGGGCGTGGCAGTGGGTACCTGTGGTCCTTGGTACTTAGCTACTTGGGGGGCTAAGGCAGTAGAATAGATTGAGCCTGGGAGGTAGAGGTTGTAGTGAGCTGAGATTGTGCCATTGCCCTCCAGCCTGAGTGACAAGAGTGAAACTCTGTCTCAAAACAAACAAAACAAAACAAAACCCTGTCTCAAAAAAGAAAAAAATATTTCCATGAAGAAACCCCAGTTTCAGTGCTGAAAATTTTTAAATATTCAGGAAATAAATAACATCAATCATATATAAACTCTTTCAAAAAAAGAGGAGAAAAGAACAACTCCTCATTTTTAGAGATGGGGTCTCCGTCTGTTGCCCAGACTGGTCTCAAACTCCTAAGCTCAAGTGATCCTCCTGTCTTGACCTCCCAAAGTGCTGGGATTACAAGAGTGAGCCACTGAGCTCAACCCCAATTTGTTTTTTGTTCTTTCTTTCTTTTTTGTTTTGTTTTTTTTAGATGGAGTTTTGCTCTTGTTGCCCAGGCTGGAGTGCAATGGCGCAATCTAGGCTCACCGCAACCTCTGCCTCCCGGGTTCAAGCGATTCTCCTGACTCAGCCTCCCAAGTAGCTGGGATTACAGGTGCCTGCCACCACGACCGGCTAATTTTTTTGTATTTTTAATAGAAATGGGGTTTCACCATGTTGGCCAGGCTGGTCTTGAACTCCTGACCTCAGGTGATCCACCTGCCTCGGCCTTCCAAAGTGCTGGGATTACAGGCATGAGCCACCGCACCCAGCTGTTTTTTCTTTTCTTGAAACAGAATCTCATTATCTTGCCCAAGGTAGGGTGCAGTAGTGTGAACACAGCTCACTGGAGCCTTGACCTCCTGGGCTCAAGCCATCATCCTGCCTCAACCTCCTGAGAAGCTGGGACCACAGACGTGCACCACCAGGCCTGGCTAATTTTTTAAATTTTTTTGTAGAGACTAGGTCTTGCCATGTTGCCCAGGCTGGTCTAAAACTCCTGGGCTCAAGCAGGAGTCTAAAACTCCTGGGCTCACCTCGGTCTTCCAAAGGGCTAGGATTACACACGTGAGCCACTGCACCTGGCTACTCAATTTGTTTTATGTGGCCATAATAACCACAAACTAGACAAATATATTACAAAATTAAATAAATAAAATAATATGCCAATATCCCTCATAAATTATATAATATGCTAATATCCCTCATACTCAAAAATTATTTACAAAATATTAGTAAATTTAATCCAACAACATATTAAAGGATTATATATATAAATATATATATACACATATATATACACACACACATATATATATGAAACCACCCCCACAGGATTGACAAGAATTGCATGTAGGGTTCTGGACTGATATGTAGTCATAACTAAGTATTAATCAGGCTGTACTTTGGCCCACTTCCTTGTTGCTAAAAGTCAGGTAGCACCAGGTACTGACCATTTGCATTCCCATTATTCCTATAGATAGGATTTCTGAAGTTAGGGTTGTAAGACTGTTTAAGAATTGATTTGCTTTAACATGAGGAAGGAAATTCAAAGAAAAAAAGAAATAAATAAAAGAATTGATTTGCATCCCCTTTGTTCCTATAGGCACGTTCTCTGACATTGGAATCATAAGACTTTTGTTTAAGAATCACTTGTAGGCTGGGCACAGTGGCTCATGCCTGTAATTCCAGCACTTTGAGAAGCTGAGGCAAGCGGATCACGAGGTCAGGAGATTGAGACCACCCTGACCAACATGGTGAAACCCCATCTCTACTAAATACGAACATTTAGCAAGGTGTGGTGGCACATGCCTGTGTAATCCCAGCTACTTGGGAGGCTGAGGCAGGAGAATCACTTGAACCCAGGAGGCAGAAGTTGTAGTGAACCGAGATTGTGCCACTATACTTCAGTCTGGGCAACAAGAGTGAAACTCCATCTCAAAAACAACAACAAGTCACTTGCTAGGCGCAGCGGCTCACGCCTGTTATCCCAGCACTTTGGGAGGCCGAGGCGGGTGGATCACCTGAGGTCAGGAGTTCGAGACCAGCCTGACCAACATGACGAAACCCCCCTCTCTACTAAAAATACAAAATTAGCCGGGCATGGTGGCAGGTGCCTGTAATCCCGACTAATTGGGAGGCTGAGGTTTCAGTGAGCCTAGATGGCGCCATTGCACTACAGCCTGGGCAACAAGAGCAAAACTCCATCTAAAAAAAGAATCACTTAACACCTTAAGCAATGGCTCACTCCCATAAGCCCAGCACTTTGGGAGGCCCAGGCGGGGCAGATCACCTGAGGTCAGGAGTTCAAGACCAGCCTAGCCAAAATGGTGAAATCCTGGTCTCTACTAAAAATACAAAAATTAGCCAGGCGTGGTGGCACATGCCTGTAATCACAGCTACTCGGCAGGCTGAGGCACCAGAATCCCTTGAATCCAGGAGGTGAAGGTTGCAGTGAGCCAAGATTGTGCCACTGAACTCCAGCCTGAGTGACAGAGTGAAACTCCGTCTACAAAATAAATAAATAACTTCAGATGTTTTTCACACCCTGACTTCCAGCAAGTAGTTTGAAGACCCCCACAGAGAAATGTGATCAGCATAAGAATACATCTTCATTTCTTTGTCCCTTGACTTCATCCTGCATTCTTTTTTCTATTGATTAGTTTTTATTTTTGTGGGTACATAAGTGTATACATTTATGGGGTACATGAAATGTTTTGATACTGACATGCAATGTGAAATAAGCACATCATGAAGAATGGGGTATCCATTCCCTCAAACAAACCAATTATACTATTTTATTTATTTATTTGGAGACAAAGTCTCGCTCTGTCACCTAGGCTGCAATGAAGTGGCACCATCTCGGCTCACTGCAACCTCAGCCCCCCGGGTTCAAGCGCATTCTCCTGCCTCAGGCTCCCAAGTAGCTGGGATTACAGGCACTTGCCACCACATCTGGCTAATTTTTTATATTTCTGGTAGAGACAGGGTTTCACCATGTTGGGCAGGCTGGTCTCGAACTCCTGACCTCAGGTGATCCACCCATGTAAGCCTCCCAAAGTGCTAGGATTATAGGCATGAGCCACCGTGCCCAGGCTACACTCTTTAGTTTAAAATGTACAGTTATTGGCCGGCGCGGTGGCTCATGCCTGTAATCCCAGCACTTGGGGAGGCAGAGGCTGGCGGATCACCCTAGGTCAGGAGTTCGAGACCAGCCTGCCCAACATGGAGAAACCCCCATCTGTAATAAAAATACAAAAAGCTGGGCTGGGCACAGTGGCTCACACCTGTAATCCCAGCACTTTGGGAGGCTGAGGTGGATGGATCACTTGAGGTCGGGAGTTCAAGACCAGCCTGACCAACATGGAGAAACTCCGCCTCTACTAAAAATACAAAATTAGCTGGGTGTGGTGGTGGATGCCTGTAATCCCAGCTACTCGGGAGGCTAAGACAGGAGAATCGCTTGAACCCGGGAGGTGGAGGTTGCAGTGAGCCAAAATTGCACTATTGAACTCCAGCCTGGACAACAAGAGCGAAACTCTGTCTCAAAAAAAAAAAAAAAAAAAAAAAATAGCGGGAATAATATCTGGTTGGTGTTGATCTAGGAAGAAGATAATTTTTTTTTTGAAGAAAAGAATGACAGACTCAGAGCTTCACATGTAAATGAATACAAGAAATCTAGTCCCAACTTTCTAAGCTTAAAGATAAAGAATGCTAGACTCAGGCCAGGAGCAGTGGCTCACACCTGTAATCCTAGCACTTTGGGTGGCTGAGGCAGGCAGATTGCCTGAGCTCAGGAGGTTGAGACCAGCCTGGCCAACATGGTGAAACCTGTCTCTACTAAAAATACAAAAATTAGCCGGCGGGGCATGTGGGGCATGTGCCTATAATCCCAGCTACTGGGGAGGCTGAGGCAGGAGAATCGCTTGAACCCAGGAGGTGAAGGTTGCAGTGAGCCGAGATCACGCCATTGTACTCCAGCCTGGGTGACAAGAGCAAAACTCCATCTCAAAAAAAAAAAAAGTATATTAAACTATATACTGGTGTAGCATACAGTTGATAGGATTCTTCCATTTGAGGAGAGAAATAAACAGTTTTTTCACTCACGTCCGTGTGAAGAGACCACCAAACAGGCTTTGTGTGAGCAATAAAGCTGTTTATTTCACCTGGGTGCAGGTGGGCTGAGTCCGAAAAGAGAGTCAGCAAAGGGTGGTGGATTATCATTGGTTCTTACAGGTTTTGGGATAGGCGGTGAAGTTAAGAGCAATGCTTTGCGGGCAGGGGTGGATCTCACAACGTACATTCTCAAGGGCGGGGAGAATTACAAAGAACCCTCTTAAGGGTGGGGGAGATTAGAAAGTACTTTCTTAAGGGTGGGGGAGATTAGAAAATACATTGATCAGTTAGGGTGGGGCAGAAACAAATCACAATGGTGGAATGTCATCAGTTAAGGCTATTTTTACTTCTTTTGTAGATCTTCAGTTACTTGAAGCCATCTGGATGCATTCGTGCAAGTCACAGGGGATGCGATGGCTTGGCTTGGGCTCAGAGGCCTGACAAGTTTCATCTTCAGTACTGGGAAAAGACGTCCTTAATTGCTTGTGCTTTTGTTATTAATTTGTCCAGCAAGCTTCCTCTCTTTTAGTGACAGACCCTGTCCTCTTGGCCTTGAAGGCTGGCACATGACCAAACCTGGGTAATCATAGGTTCTCACTTTTACTGGACGTGATAAATTGTCCAAAGGGCATGTGATGCAAGCAGGGCCCAATGCCAGATGATTCAGAGACACAGACAAGTAATGTGATATCCTAGACCCCAGGGAAATACCTCTTGCTGGGTACCTCATTCCTGATAAAGTGTGGTGGAGATCACTATTATCCCACATTCATTCTACTCCTCTTCCTTTAGCAACAGAATCCTTGCGCCTATGTTTTCCAGCCTATTTTTGAGATAGGTGTGTCCATGAGACTCAATGGGGCCAGTGGGATTGACTGAAGTTATTGAATGGCATTTCTATGATTTGACTTTTTAAATTTAAATTTTTTTTTTTTTTTTTTTTTTTTTTGGAGACGGAGTCTCACTCTGTCGCCCAGGCTGGAGTACAGTAGCACAATCTCGGCTCACTGCAACCTCCACCTCCCGGGTTCAAGCAATTCTCCTGCCTCAGCCTCCCAAGTAGCTGGGACTACCGGCACCCGCCACCAAGCCTGGCTAATTTTTTTGTATTTTTTAGTAGAGATGGGGTTTCACTGTGTTGCCCAGGCTGGTTTTGAACTCCTGAGCTCAGGCAATCTGCCTGCCTCGGCCTCCCAAAGTGCTAGGATTACAGGTGTCAGCTACCATGCCCAGCTATGATTTGACTTTAAACCATTAGACATGTACTTTTTCATTCTCTTTTCCCTATTCCTGCAGGCCAGAAAGCAGATGGGGCAGTGACTCAGCTTTAATCCTGTAGAAGCGGATAACATCTTAGACGATGGTAGACCAATAAGCTAGAAAGATTTGTTCCTTATTGATTTTTGTCTCCAACTCCTCTAGAAAATACTTTATGATCATTCCCAAGTCCTTATAGTTTTGCAAACAAGAAGTAGGTGCAGAATCAAGAGAATATTCTATCTCTGCCTTTTTCATCTCTCTTAGGAATGGCCTTAGAGGATATTGACTAAGGGATATCCTCCTAGCAAGCAGGACTGGAAGTAGATCAGTTTGACCACAAGATTCATTCCACTGACTGGAGAATGAATTTTTGCTGTCCTTGTCCAGTGGCCATTGTAAATTGTCTTTCCTTTAAAATATGGTATTAAAAGATTGTCCTGTATTCTTTCATTGTTGACTGGGGTTGTTTTAATTTTTTTTATTTTTAAGGTCTGGATTGAGATGAAATGGGGTTGTTTTTATTTAAAATTTAGTCATTTGAAATAGGACCATGAAGACCTGACCAAGAAGAGCACACACCCTCAAGAGATCCCTTGCTTTGGAACTGTGCGTGGTGACTTTTTTTTTTTTTTTTTTTTTGAGACAGTCTCGCTCTGTCGCCCATGCTGGAGTGCAATGGTGTGATCTGGGCTCACTGCAACCTCTGCCTTCCGGGTTCAAGTGATTCTCCTGCCTCAGCCTCCTAAGTAGCTGGGATTACAGGTGCACACCACCACGTCCAGCTAATTTTTGTATTTTTAGTAGAGACAGGGTTTCGCCATGTTGGTCAGGCTGGTCTCCAACTCCTGACCTCATGATCCACCTGCCTCGGCTTCCCAAAGTGCTGGGATTACAGGCATGAGCCACCGAGCCCGGCCTAATTTTTGTATTTTTAGTCAGATGGGGTTTCATCATGTTGGTCTGGTCTCGAATTCCTGACATTGTGATCTGCCCACCTTGGCCTCCCAAAATGCTGGGATTACAGGCGTGAGCCACCGAGCCCAGCCTAATTTTTGTATTTTTAGTAGAGATGTAGATGTATTTTTAGTAGGGATGGGGTTTCACCATGTTGGTCAGTCTGGTCTCAAATTCCTGACCTTGTGATCTGCCTGCCTCGGCCTCCCAAAGAGCTGGGATTACAGGCCTGAGCCACTGTGCCTGGCTGGATGTGATTTTTTGCTTGTTTTCCTTTGGATGCATGATAAGCCTATTTTCAGTTTTAAAGGGGATAATTACTAGTTAGCAGCATTCTTGGAATCATATATATGAGAAGAAGGGTATGTGTGAATGCTGAGAAGCCAATGGGTAGTTTGTGGTATATGATGGGTATTGTTTTTGTTTAGCCAGTGAACTTTCCCATTCCCATTTTACTCATCATAGTTTCTATCTCCCCGCCTACAGGAATGGAAATATGACCTATGCCTGGCTGGTAATATCGCCCATTTACCTGGAAATCGATTGGTTCAGGGTGTCAACAAAAAGAGTCAAACTGTGTAAGATATTTGAAGAGATTTATTATGAGTCAAATATGAGTGACCATGGACCATGACACAGCCCTCAGGAAGTCCTGAGAGCATGTGCCCAAAGTGGTCAGACACAGCTTGGTTTTATACATTTTAGACAAGCATGAGACATCAATCAAATACATTTAAGAAATACATTGGTTTGGTCCAGAAAGGCAGAACAACTCAAAGCAGGGGGCTTCCAGGCTATAGGTGAATTTAAACATTTTCTGGTTGACAATTGGTTGAATTTGTCTAAAGATCTGGGATAGCTAGAAAGGGAATGTTTAGGTTATGATAAAGATTGTGGAGACCAAAGTTCTTTTGAAGTCTTATAGTGGCTGCCCTTAGAGACAATAGGTGACAAATGTTTCCTATTTAGATTCTAGTTAATCTCTTTAAGATTGGGAGGGTCTGGAAGAGAAAGATCTAGCTATGTTAATAGAGATTCTTCCCCCCCTCCCCCAGACGGGGTCTCACTCTGTCGCCAGGCTGGAGTTCAGTGGCGGGATATTGGCTCACTGTAACCTCTGCCTCTTGGGTTCAAGTGATTCTCCTGCCTCAGCCTCCCGAGTAGCTGGGACTACAGGCATGCGCCACCATGCCCAGCTAATTTTTGTATTTTTAGTAGAGATGGGGTTTCACCATGTTGGCCAGGAGTTAATAGAGATTCTTTACAGATGCAAGTTTTCCCCCACAAAGAAGAGCTTCGCAGAGCCATTTCAAAGTATGGCAAAGAAAAATGTTTTGGGGTAAAACATTTTGATTTTCTTCTTTGTCTCGTAATGTTATGTCACAGTCAGGTTGGAAAGTAAATTATGATATATAGGGTTAAATAAAACCCATCTGATGATAATTTAGGATTTGTAGGGCATGACTCCCAGACTCCTTAGGAATTTAGACAAGATAAAAAAAAAATCAGAGGTTAGTCCTCAAGGGAAAGGCATGTGATACAAGCAGGGAAAATCAGAGGCATTCCCTGGGATTGGTATATTGATCCTTTCCAGGACCCCTGGAGGTTCACTGAAAATCACTGACATGAGGCAGGTTGAGTAACAGGAGAAAAGGCATACACGTTTATTATTTATATATTTATTTATTCATTTGAGACAAGGTCTCGCTCTGTTGCCCAGATTGGAGTGAAGTGGTGCGAATATGGCTCACTGCAACCTCAACCTCCTGGGCTCAAGCGATTCTCCCACCTCAGCCCCCCAAGTTGCTGGGACTATAGGTGTGCACAACCACACCCAGGTAATTTTTTTTTTTTTGGTAGAGACAGCATCTCACTATGTTGTCCAGGCTGGTCTTGAACTCTTGGGCTCATGTGAAGCCCTTGCCTCAGCCTCCCAAAACGCTGGGACTACAGCCATGAGTCACTGCCTGGCTAACATACAAATGTATTTAACATGCGTACGTGGGAGCCTTCAGAATGACCACTCAACCCCTCAGTTACAGAAACTTATATACCATCTCTTTTTTTTTTTTTAAATAGAGATGGGGTCTGGCTCTGTTGCTCAGGCTGGAGTACAGTAGCAGGCTCACACCTCACTGTAGCCTTGAACTCCTGAGCTGAAGTGTTTCTCTTGCCCAAGCCTCCTGAGTAGCTAGGACAACAGGCAAGAATCACCACACCAGCTAATTATATACCATCGTGAGGCTACAGAAAGAATGGGAGCATTAGATCCTTGCAAAACAGGTTATGGGAGTGAGGACAAGAATTCTGTTGAGGGGCAATAAATGATTACTGGGGAGAAGGACTGGATCAGGAAACAGAAATTAATGTGTAAAGAGTTCTTTTTGAAATGCAAATGATCCTTGGAGACAGTCATTATACTTGTGAAAGAGTCTGTTCAGCTGTGGGTACATCTTGGTCTTATTTTCTACAATAGATGAGATTACAGGGAGGGGGAGAAAAAAATTATAGTTTTCCTTGGTAGGTCTGGATCTTAGGTAAATAAAGAACTTCAACTTCAATGGGGGAGGGTGGGTCAAACAGATCTTGCAGCTTCTTCAGTTCAGCAGGTCAAAACACCTTATTTTGAGATACTGGTTTCTAAGGACTAAACTCAGATTTTTTTTATTTTGCCCAAATTCCTATCTGAGTGGTCTGGGGAGTCATGCTCTACAAATCATAAATTCTCAACAGATAGGTTTTATTTAACCTTATATATTGCAACTTACTTTCCAGCTTTACTCTGGCATAACATTACAAGACAAAGAAGAAAATCAAAATGTTTTACCCCAAAACATGTTTCTTTGCCATACTTTGAAATGGCCCTGCAAAGCTGTTAGTTGTGGGGGAAAATTTGCATCTATAAAGAATCTCTGGCCTGGCCCGGTGGCTAATGCCTGTAATCCCAGCACTTTGGGAGGCCGAGGAGGGCAGATCACAGGGTCAGGAAATCGAGACCATCCTGGCCAACATGGTGAAACCTCGTCTCTACTAAAAATTAAAAAAATGGCTGAGTGTGGTGGCTCACGCCTGTAATCCTAGCACTTTGGGAGGCCGAGGCAGGCAGATTGCCCGAGCTCAGGAGTTCGAGACCAGCCTGGGCAACACGGTGAAACCCTGTCTCTACTAAAATATAAAAGAAATTAACCGGGCATTGTGGCATGCGCCTGTAGTCCCAGCTACTCGGGAGGCTGAGGTAGGAGAATTGCTTGAACCTGGGAGGCGGAGGTTGCAATGAGCAAAGATTTCGCCACTGCACTCCAGCCTGGGCGACAGAGTGAAACTCCGTCTTAAAAATAAATAAATAAAAATAAAAAAAATTAGCCGGGCATGGTGGCACATGCCCGTAGTCCCAGCTACTTGGGAGGCTAAGGCAGGAGAATCACTTGAACCCAGGAGGCAGAGGTTGCAGTGAATCAAGATCGCACCACTGCACTCCAGCCTGGGTGACAGAGTGAGATTCTGTCCAAAAAAAAGAAAAAAATCTCTATTAACATAGCTAGTTCTTTCTCTTCCAGACTGTCCCAATCCTAAAGAGATTAATTAAGATCTGAATAGGAAATATTTGTTATTTACTGTCTCTAAGGGCAGCCACTATAAGACTTAAAAAGAACTTTGACCTCCACAATCTTTATCTTTTTTTTCTTTTTCTTTTTTTTTGAGACGGGGTCTCACTCTGTCGCCCAGGCTGGAGTGCAGTGGCACGATCTCGGCTCACTGCAACCTCCGCCTCCTGGATTCAAGCGAATATCCTGCTTCAGCTTCCTGAGTAGCTGGGATTACAGGCATACACCACCATGCCCGGCTGGCTGATTTTTGTATTTTTAGTAGAGATGGCGTTTCAACATGCTGGCCAGGCTGGTCTCGAACTCCTGACCTGGTGATCCGCCCACCTAAGCCTCCCAAAGTGCTGGGATTACAGGCGTGCGCCACCGCGTCCAGCCACAATTTTTATCTTAAACTGAACATTCCCTTTCTGTTTTTTGTGTTTTGAGATGGAGTCTTGCTCTGTCGCCCAGGGTGGAGTGCAGTGGTGCGATCTAAGCGGATGAATCCCAGTTAGACAAACTCAACCAATTATCAACCAGAAGGTGTTTGGTAACCCAATCCCCCTGCCCCACTTTGAGTTGTCCCATCTTTCCGGATCAAACTGTAGCAGGACAAGCCGCGGACAAAACCTCTCAGACACCTAGTTAAAGAAGGAAGGGCTTTTTTCGGCCGGGAGCTTCAGCAAGACTCACATCTCCAAAAACTGAGCTCCCAGAGTAAGCAATTCCTGTCCCTTTTAAGGGTTTACAACTCTAAGGGGGTCCGCGTGAGAGGGTTGTGATCAACTGAGCAAGCAGGGGGTACCTGACTGGGGGCTGAATGCACTGGTAATCAGAACGGAACAGAACAGGACAGGGATTTTCAAAATGCTTTTCCATACAATGTCTGGAATCTATAGATAACATAACCAGTTAGGTCAGGGGTCGACCTTTAACCAGGTCCGGCACCAGGCTGTGCGCCGGTGGATTTCATTTCTGCCTTTTAGTTTTTACTTCTTTCTTTGGAGGCAGAAATTGAGCATAAGACAATATGAGGGGTGGTCTCCTCCCTTAAAACCAGTGTATTTCTTAAATGTATTTGATTAATGTCTCAAGCCTCCTTAAAATGTATAAAACCAAGCTGTGCCCGACCACCTTGGGCACATGTTCTCAGGACCTCATTGTCACTCATATTTGGCTCAGAATAAATATCTTCAAATATTTTACAGAATTCGACTCTTTTTGTCGACATTCTGAGCCTCAACAATATGATCTGGGGATGTGGGCAAACCCTATCATGTAGACAGAGGCTTCCTGAAAAACGAAGCCTAACAGAATTAGAAATTAGAGATAGAGGGACTTGCTGGTAACAAATCCTGGCCTTTGGTCCTTGAAGCCATTATTTTTGCAGCTCTTCCTTCTTTCCTGTGACCTTTATCCCATCTCTACCTGTAGTTACATGAGCCATTAAATTCTCTAGTTTGCTGACGTTAGTATAAATTTAATTTGCCTTTTTTGTTTTTGAGATGGAGTCTTGCTGTATTGCCCAGGCGGGAGTGATCTTGGCTCACTGCAACCTCCACCTCCCAGGTTCAAGCGATTCTCAGCCTCCCAAGTAGCTTAGACTACAGGTACATGCCACTATGCCTGGCCAATTTTTGTATTTTTGGTAGGGACGGGTTTCACCATGTTGGCCAGGCTGGTCTCGAACTCCTGACCTCAGATGATTTGCCTGCCTCGGCCTCCAAAAGTGCTGGGATTACAGGCATGAGCCACTGTGTGCCTGGCCTAATTTGCTTTGTTTTGACATTGAAAGAATCCTGACTAAAAGGTCTGCTACTATGGTCACAGTAAATATTGTCGACAAAAAGTATCAAACTCTTTAAAACATTTAAAGAGGATTATTCTTTTTTTTTTTTTTTTTAGACAAACTCTCACTCTGTTGCCCAAACTGGAGTGCAATGGCGTGATCTTGGCTCACTGCAACCCCCACCTCCCGGGTTCAAGTGATTCTCCCACCTCAGCCTCCTGAGTAGGGGACTACAGGCACGCGCCACCATGCCTGGCTAAAATTTTGGTATTTTTAGTACAGACCGGGTTTCACTATGTTGGCTAGGCTGGTCTTGAACTCCTGACCTTGTGATCCGCCCACCTTGGCCTCCCAAAGTGCTGGGATTACAGGTGTGAGCCACCGTGCCCGGCCCTGAAGAGGTTTATTCTAAACAAAATATGAGTGACCAAGGCCTGAGGCATAGTCCCAAGAGGTACTGAGAATATGTGCCCAAGACTGTTGGGTTACAGCTTGGTTTTAATACAATTTAGGGAGACATAACACACCAATCAATACATTTGGGGTATACATTGGTTTGGTTGGGGAAGGTGGGACAACTTGAAGAGGGTTTGGGGGAGGGCTTATAGGTCATAGGTGGATTAAAAGATTTCCTGATTGGCAATTGGTTGAAAGAGTGAAGTTACTATTTAAAGACCTGGAATAAACAGAAAGGAATGCCTGGATTAAGATAAGGGGTGGTGGACACTAAGGTTCTTATTATGTAGATGAAGTCTCCTAGGTGGCCATCCTTAGAGACAATAGATGGCAAATGTTTCCTATTCTGACCTGTAAAAGGGGCTAGACTCTCAGCTAATCTCTTCAGAATTGGGAGGGCCTGGAAGGGGGAAACATCTAATTATGTTGATAGAGATTCTTTTTTTTTTTTTTTTTTTTTTTTTTTAGATGGAGTTTTTTGCTCTTCTTGCCCAGGCTGGAGTGCAATGGTGCGATCTTGGCTCACTGCAATCTCTGCCTCCTGGGTTCAGGTGATTCTCCCGCCTCACCCTCCAGAGTAGCTGGGATTACAGGAGCCCACCACTACGGCCGGCTAAATTTTTAGTAGAGACGGGGCTTCACCATGTTGGCCGGGCTGACCTCAGGTGATCCACATGCCTCGGCCTCCCAAAGTGCTGGGATTGCAGGTGTGAGCCACTGCACCCAGCCAACAGAGATTCTTAACAGATGCAATTACCTCTCTCCCCACAAAATAGCTTTGCAGGGGCATTTCAAAATACGGCAAAGAAATATATTTTGAGGTAAAATACTTTGATTTCCTTTATCTGTCATGTGATGTTATGCCAGAGTCAAGTTGGAAAGTAAGCCATATTATATAAGTTTACATAAAACCCATCTGATAACTTTTCTTTTTTTTGAGACGGAGTCTCGTTCTGTTGCCCAGGCTGGAGTGCAGTGGCACGATATTGGCTCACTGCAACCTCCACCTCCTGGGTTCATGTGATTCTCCTGCCTCAGCCTCCTGAGGAGCTGGGATTACAGGCACACACCACCACGCCCAGCTAATTTTTTGTGTATTTTTGGTAGACGGGGTTTCACTATGTTGGCCAGACTGGTCTCGAACTCCTGACCTCGTGATCCACCCACCTCAGCCTCCCAAAGTGCTGGGATTACAGGCGTGAGCCACCGCGCCCGGCCCATTTGATAACATTTTATGTTTTGTAGGGTGTGACTCCACAGGCCCCTTAGATAGGAATTCGGGGAGGAGGGGAAAAATGTCAGAGTTAAGTCCTCAGTATCATCTCCTTTAAGGTGTTTCCACAGTTCAAACAGTACCTTGTCAAAAGAAAGAAGAGACCAGGATAGACTACGAAAGAATTAGATTTACACAGTGAAGTTACTCACTGGAAACACTGTGTATGGGTGTGGTATTAGATTGTGAAGTCAGGCTGGGTGTGGTGGCTCACACCTGCAATCCCAGCATTTTGGGAGGCTGAGGCAGAAGGATCACCAGAGCCCAGAGTTTGAGGCCAGCCTGGGCAATACAGTGAGCCCTCATCTCTATATATTAAAAAAAAAACAACAACTGCAAAGTCAATGCATAAGACAAAAATCCATTTAGGCTCAGCCATAAAAAGGAATGAAGTAATGATTCATGTTACAACATGGATGAACCTTTAAAATATATTGATGAGTGAAGTAATATGTGTACAAAGGCCACATATTGTATAATTTCACTTATATGAAATGTCCAGAATAGGTAAATCTACACAGACAGAAAGTAGATTAGTGATTGCCAGGAGTTGGAGGGCATGGCAGGGTGCAGAATGATAAAAGCCTGTACAAGCCTTCTTTTTGGGATGAACATGTTCTGGAATTAGATAGTAGTAATGGTTGCACAACTTTTGGAATAAACTGAAAACCAATGAATTGTACACTCATCTGAAGGGGTAAATATTATGGCATGTGAATTATATCTCAGAAAAATCTATTTTGGCTAAATTACCATTGAAAGTCCTTTTCAAAGAGTCTAATTCAGCTGTTTTTACTTTCAGCATAAAAATAAATGGCCTTTGAAACTTTTTAGAGTACTAGATAAATAGTATGTTTGCATTTGGGAGTCCTGTTATAAAAAATGTATCTTATAACTTGAGTCACACTAAATTATGTGAGATTCTCACATTATAAAGGGTAAGGAAGTGAATCAGAAGCATTGAAAAGGGATTGTGTGTAACATGTTATCTCTTGCAAAAGGAAATTAAATTTTGGGACCCCAAACTGATTTAGCCAAAGGGAAAAGTCACGCTGGGACTGGTCACGCAAATCTGCCTCCCCCTTTTGGTTCCTAAATAAGATTGCTGCAAGATGAAAAGCTACATCTCTCCCCCGTATTTTGCCCACAAGGAAATTCTTAGTGTGCTGTTAAAACTTCATGGCAATGCAAATTGATAGCTTATCTTTACAGGTGGCCACCCCAGCCCGCCAGACACAAATGCCTATCTGATTGTTCCCCTACCCCATTTTGTCTGTTATCTTATGAAAAATGCAGACTCCCACATTCTTCCTCTGCCCATTTTATGTCATCTTATGTAAAAAATGCAGATTCACTGAGCCAGAGAAAGGCAAGAATTACTATTTTCTCCTACCGCCCCCTTACATGAAAACGGTGTGCTTCTCAATATCCCGCCCTTTCCCCTTTAAATTTGGAGCACTCAAAATCATCTTCGAAGAAAGGCATAGACCTGTTTCCTGGGCTCGTACTTAACTTCGGCAAATAAATCTCCTAAAGTGATGGACTCTCTTATAAATTAATCTGTAGCCAAGGCATGTCATCAATATGTCCTACTGTGCCTTCCTACCTCCCATTTATCAACTTACATGAGAAGCACACATCTTACTTGTCATAAATTATTACCTTAGTGAAAACCTGAGGGTGTCAAGAAGTCGAAAAATTTGAGACATTGACGTTGGGGAAGACACCTTTAATTAGAGCACCATAAAATCATGATAGAATGATACATTTTTCCTTGCCTTATATTTTTGGCATGCAAAACAGAAGGAGCTCAAACAATTGAGTGACACATTAGTAAAATTCCTTTCATTCATTTCTACTTACAAGGCACACACCATTGACCTCACCCCGTCCCCCCCTTTAAAACAATATTTGACCCGCGCCCCCCCCCCTTTAAAGCAATCTTTGAAAAGTTAGGAATGAAAGCCGGTTCAGGACAGTACACAGTACACAAATACTGGCTTCCCCTACCTCCACCACAAGCAAGTAAACATCCTAGCACAGTGTAAAAAGGAAGAGGCTGAGGACGAACCACGCGGACATTTGCAGGCACACCCCTTCCCTGCGACCAACAAAAATGCAGTAGCGCAATTACACTTGAAGGAATTGCAGCACTCACAAAAGCACACATTCTGTTCAATGGTTGAGTCCACATAAAGTGACAGTCCGTTTCTAAAAGCATGGCTGTATTTAAAGGACACATGGTCTGTTCAGGTCCGCTTCAGCGAAACCCCAAGCACTTCCGAGAGATCCACTCCCTCTCTCCGAGCAGGTGCCACTAGCTGCTCCGCCGGCGAGCGTAGGAAGCAGCGCGACCAACCAAATCGGTTGCCCACAACAGCCAGGGACGTCAAAAAGGCCAAACTGCGTGGGAAGCGAGCGTGCGCCTCCATCACCACGACAGCACCCGTCTCGAGGCTCCACCTGCCGCTAGTAGGTGGCTCTCAGCTCTGCTCTGCTAAGGGCGAGCTTGAGAACCCGGCCTACAGTTGTGCACCTCCCCCCGCCCCCGCCCCCGCCCCCGCCCCCGCCCACCGCACTTGTAGCCCCGCCCCGCCCAGGGAGCTTCCGTCACAACACTTCCGGCTCCAGCCTCCCAACCGGCCTCCGTCGTTTTTCACTTCCCTCTCCTCAGCTCTCTTCCCTTGCCCCTACCGTCTCCTTTAACACAGTCACGTGAGGGACGCGCGCGGGGGCAGCTGGGAGTAGTACTGCCGGTTGGTCAGGGTTCGGCCTCAACATGGCGGTTCCGGCCGGGCAGTGACCAAGGTTTTGCCGTCCGAAGGACTAAGTGGTGACTGTCGGCGTCTCCACCTATCGGGGTGGAATGCGAGCACGCGGGGACGAGCGCTGAGAAGCGGCGGTGACGGGAAGGGGGGGGTCAGTGGATTGTGCCCCAGAAACCGAAGCGGCGGCGTCTGTTCCTTCTTGTTTCTAGGCTCCAGTGCGTTCGGGGCCCCGCCCGGCCGGGCCAGGCCGGCGGGCGGCGGCGGTAGCTGCTGCAGCCGCAGGATAACCTCGCAGGGTGGGCCGGAGGGCGGGCGCCGCCGCTGCCTGTGCTGCGGCGATGGCCCAGTGTGTACAATCAGTGCAGGAGCTAATCCCGGACTCCTTCGTCCCCTGTGTCGCTGCGCTGTGCAGCGACGAAGCCGAGCGGCTCACTCGTCTCAATCACCTCAGCTTCGCGGAGCTGCTTAAGCCCTTCTCCCGCCTCACTTCCGAGGGTATGTGGTATCCTCCCTTTTCCAGTGGGCTCCCGCAAAGCCGTGGTCGGGAGAAGGAAGTTGCGGGCGGGCAGGGAAGAGAAGGGCAGTGTTTACGTCCTGGAGCCGGTACCGTGGCGTCTGGGGCTGTGGCCCCGCGGTGCTCCGGGGGCGGCTGGAGGAGGGACCGTGAGGTTGTCAAGACAGCGCAGTCCTAAGCTCCAGTTTCTCTGGGCACTTCCTTTCTTCCTCGGACAACCTAGGTCGTTAAGTAATTGGTGCAAAGATAAACGTGAGTCTTCGAGAACGGCATTGAGACTGTTCTCCACGGCCATAGCGAAGGAATTAGGCACTTGCAAAGCAGCTAAGGTAGGAAAATGCTGCCTCTTAGACCGACAGGGTCTGAGTAAGGAAGACCTGTCATCCTCCCTTGGATGTTAAACTGGACTTTGAAAGTAGTTGTGGATGTTATTACATTCTTGTAGCGTTGAGGGTCATCTCTGTCTGAACTACCGTGTAGCTGTTTTACTAATATATTCTTAGCTATACGGTATTTTGCTTAACCTCTCAAGAAAATTAAAAGTATTATAAGAAGAATAAAACTTGAAGCAGCTTTTTGCCCTAAGGAAGAGGAAGCAAGCCCAAGTTGTGGTTAATTTAACCTGGATATTTGGAGTTATCTATAGTTATAGGGATGGAAATGTCTTCTCTTGTTAATGAATGTCTTGTTAAGAAGCTACCCGTTTTCTCCAGTTTTGGATTTTTTTATTAGGAGAAAATAATGTGGTAAAGCTTCAAGCATGTTTTAGCCAATATCTTGCAAACAACAAAGTCCAAGTAAAGTTTTTTTTGTTAAGGTCGGTAAGAACTGAAGGGTTTCATAATAAGCCTGTGTCAGGCAAACGACTGTGATGTTTGTTAGCTTAATATGACTTATCCACAAAAAAAATCAGTGCTGTACCATTTTTGCGCTACCATGTTTTTTGGGAGAATAGTTCCATTATAAATTAGCTTTTGTTTTTAGCGGAGAGAGGGAGCTGTCCAAAAAAACAAAGTTTGGAAACTTTTGGATTTTCTTTAGCCTGTATCGTAGCCATCAGTCTCAGTTCCTTCAGTGTTGGACTTAAGAGCAACAAAATGCCCTACGTTTTTTATTTTTTTGTTATTTATTTATTTATTTATTTTGAGATGGAGTTTCGCTCTTGTTGCCCAGACTGGAGTGCAGTGGCGCGATCTCAGCCCACCGCCACCTCCGCCTCCCAGGTTCAAGCGATTCTCCTGCCTCAGCCTTCTGAGTAACTGAGATTACAGGCATGCGCCACCATACTCGGATAATTTTTGTATTTTTAGTAGAGACAGGGTTTCTCCATGTTGGTCAGGTTGGTCTCGAACTCCCGACCTCAGGTGATCTGCCCGCCTCGGCCTCGCAAAGTGCGGGGATTATGGGCGTGAGCCACCGCGCCCGGCCTTGAATTCCTAAAAAAACACAAACACTTGAGCTAGTTTTACTTTTATATGTGTACTCTTTCCTTCTTTCTTAATAAATAATAATAATGCTAATACCTGATACTTGCTTTGTGTAACTTTTCTTTTTTAGTCCTCATTGAATCCTGTTATTGCAATTTTAAATTTGAGGACCTTGAAGCATAGAAGTGTTAATTTGTTCACAGTTTTGCGTCTGGGAAAGATTTGAAACAGGCAGTGTGACTCAAGACATTGTGTTCTTAATCATCTTATCTCCTGACAGTATTTAGAATTATGTATTTACACCATAGAGCAGTGCTGTCTAATTGAAATATAATGTGAGTCACAGGTATAATTAAAAAATTTTCGGCCGGGCGCGGTGGCTCACGCTTGTAATCCCAGCTCTTTGGGAGGCCGAGGCGGGTGGATCACGAGGTCAGGAGTTCGAGACCATCCTGGCCAACATGGTGAAACCCCGTTTCTACTAAAAATACAAAAATTAGCTGGGCGTGGTGGTGGGCGCCTGTAGTCCCAGCTACTCGAGAAGCTGAGGCAGGAGAATCACTTGAACCCGGGAGGCACAGTGAGACTCCATCTCAAAACCAACCAAACAAACAACAACAACAAAAAATTTTAGTAGCCACATTAAAAAAGTAAAAAGAAACAAGTGAAATTAGTTTTTTTGTTTTTTGTTTTTTGGAGATGGAGTCTTGCCCTGTTGCCCAGGCTGGGAGTGCAGTGGCGCGATCTTGGCTCACTACAACCTCTGCCTCCCAGGTTCAAGCGATTTTCCAGCCTCAGCCTCCCGAGTAGCTGGGATTACAGGCGCTCACGGCTTATTTTTGTATTTTTAGTAGAGACAGGGTTTCACCATGTTGGCCAGGCTGGTCTCGAACTCCTGACCTCGTGGTCCGCCCGCCTCCGCCTCCCAAAGTGCTGGGATTACAGGCGTGAGCCACCGTGCCCGGCCGAAATTAGTTTTAATACTGTATTTTATTTAACTCAGTATTTCCAAAATGTTACTATTTCAATGTGTAATCAATGTGAAAAATATTCATGAGATATTTTACATTCTTTTTTATTGCTTAGTCTTTGAAATTTGGTGTGCCTTTTATACTTAACATCTCAATTTGTACTAGTCACATTTCAAGTACTCAGTAGCCATATGCAGCTGTTGCCTACTGTATTGGACAGTGCTGTGATAGCGGCTCATTGTCAGTACACTTCTGATTTCCTTCAGGAGACTGGGGAAGATTAGGGAAGGAGTTTTTTTGTTTGTTTGTTTTTTGTTTTGAGACAAGGTCTTGCTCTGTTACCCACGCTGGGAGGGCTGGAGTGCAATTGTATCACCATAGCTCCCTCACCCACTGCAGCCTCAACTTCCCAGGTTCTAGCTATCCTCTTGTCTCAGCCTCCCAAGTAGCTGGGACTACAGGCACATGCCATCATGCCTGGCTAATTTTTAAATTTTTTGTAGAGATGGGGTTTCTCCTTGTTGCCCAGGCTCGTCTCGGACCACTGCGTCCAGCCTAGTGAAGGAGTATAATGAGTTGGACGTTAGTGGACAGGTAGACAGTTGGTAGAAAGCAAGAGGGCAGTCATTCCCTATGAAGGAGTGGTATGAGGTTATAATGGTATGGGCAAAAGGTCTAAATTATGACTGAATGGTTGGGAAACAGGGAGGAAACTCTTACTGGGGTACAGAGTAGTAAGAGGATGCTTAGATAAAGGGAGGACCTTGAATTCTAGGAAAGGGATTTGCGATTTTATGTCTAATGGTAAATGTGAGTAGATTCTTGAGGGTCTGAAACATTTGGACATTAATGAGTTGAAAGTTTTGGAGATTAGTGAGTTGTGTGGTTTATAAGGATAGATATAAGTAGATACAAGTTTTACATTTCAAGATGAACATGGACTATGATAGTAGCATTAGAAATTTGGCAAAGAGGACTTAATTTTTCTTGGTTTTAGTTTTTTGCTGGTATAAATACATTTTAGAATTCTTTACCACCTAGAACAGCTACTTTTTGTTTCAAGTGTGGGGATTCTTCAAAGACAGCTTTTTTTTTTTTTTTTTTTTTTGAGACGGAGTCTCGCTCTGTCACCAGGCTGGAGTGCAGCGGCGAGATAGATCTTGGCTCACTGCAAGCTCCGCCTCCCGGGTTCAAGTGATTCTCCTGCCTCAGCCTCCCGAGTAGCTGGGACTACAGGCTCGTGCCACCATGCTCAGCTAATTTTTCTATTTTTGGTAGAGATGGGGTTTCACCATGTTGGCCAGGATTGTCTCTATCTCTTGACCTCATGATCTGCCCGCCTTGGCCTCCCAAAGTGCTGGGATTACAGGCATGAGCCACTGAGCTAGGCAACAGCTTTTCTTTAGCAAGTGAGGCATGAGAATATAATTTCAGGCAATGTAATTTAAGAATACAACTGACTAAAACCAGCTAACATTTCCTTAGAGGGAGAAAAAATATGTTAAAAAAGAAGACTCAATTTCTGGCCTGTAGGTATGCCTTTACTTAGGGTAGAACTTTGCCTTGACTGCTGAGTTTTCAAGGAGTGTCAAGTACAGTGCCAAGTATTGTCAGGAGACTTATTTTTAGATTTTAGTAGAAAACACTTGGTTTAAAGCTATACCAAAGAGAGGGTTGGTAGAAGAGATTTGAGTACTATTTGTGTGTAGGGCCTTCAAAATACAGTTTAGACTTGATGTATTACACAACGGAGAGCCATTTTAGGTTCCTTAGAGACATTTTAAAACCTGAAGAGTATTAAATTATGTTAAAATTAAATTATATTAAAATATATAATTAAATTTATTATATGTATTTTCTGTGATTGTTATGCTTGATGTATGTTTGAGAGTTAATGTAGTCATTGTTTGACACAAATTTTGAGATCCTAATACTCAAAGAATTTCCACTGGCCATGTTTCAAAGAGTCGTGGTATTAATATTAATTAATCAAGCAAACAACAAAAAATTAAAATTAAGCCTTGTTTTTGCTTAGTGATAGTTCTTTGATAGTTCTAAACAATGTTGCAATATATCATTTAGATGTTCTGTAAGTTTTAAGAAAATTTCACTTAAACACTAACTTGGAAGTATGTGGGTTATATATTATTTTATTTTGAAATTAAGGTTACTAAAGGGATTAAAAAGTAGGCCAGGTGCAGTGTCTTAGGCCTGTAATCTCAGCACTTTGGGAGGCTGAGTTGGATGATAACCTGAGGTCAGGAGTTTGAGACCAGCGTGGCTAACGTGGCGAAACCCCATCTCTACTGAAAGTACAAAATTAGCCTGGTGTGGTGGTGGGCGCTTGTAGTCCCAGCTGCTCGGGAGGCTGAGGCAGGAGAATCACTTGAACTCGAGAGGTGAAGGTTGCAGTGAGCCAAGATTTTGCCACTGTACTCCAGCCTGGGTGACAGAGCGAGACTCTGTCTCAAAAAAACAACAAAAAAAAGTAGACTAGGATATAACTTTTGAAGGCTATTTAATATCTCCAGTTTTCTTAAATTTCTTTTTCTTTTCTTTTTGAATTCTTGAAAAACATTGTGTGATCCTTGTGCAGGAGCTATGCTAATCTTCTCTGTATCATTCCAATTTTAGTATATGTGCTGCTGAAGTGAGCAGTTTTTTTTTTGAGACAGAGCCTCACTCTGTTGCCCAGGCTGGTCTTGAACTCCGTGGCTCACTATAGCCTCAACCTTCTGGCTCAAAATATCCTCCCTCATCAGCCTCACCAGTAGCTGGGGTTATGGGCATGTACCACCACACCTGGCTAATTTTTGTAGTTTTTGTAGAAATGGGGTTTTGCCATGCTGCCCAGCCGGTCTCAAACTCATGGACTCAAGCAATTTACCCGCTTTGGATTCCCAAAGTGCTTTGATTACAGGCGCGAGCCACTGCGACCGGCCTTAAATTTCTTTCCTTTTCCTTTATTTTTATTTTTTGAGACGGAGTCTCGCTCTGTCACCCAGGCTGGAGTGCAGTGGTGCGTCTCAGCTCACTGCAAGCTCCGCCTCCTGGGTTCACTCCATTCTCCTGCCTCAGACTCCTGAGTAGCTGGGACTATAGGCGCCCACCACCACGCCTGGCTAATTTTTTGTGTTTTTTTAGTAGAGACGGGATTTCACCATGTTAGCCAGGATGGTCTTGATCTCCTGACCTCGTGATCCACCCGCCTTGGCCTCCCAAAGTGTTGGGATTACAGGCGTGAGCCACCGCGCCTGGCTCCTTTTTTTTTTTTTTTTTTTTTTTTTTAAAGACGGAGTCTTGCTCTGTCACCCAGACTGCAGTGCCGTCGCACAATCTTAGCTCACTGCAACCTCCGCCTCCCAGGTTCAAGCAATTCTCCTGCCTCAGCCTCCTAAGTAGCTGGCATTACAGGCACGGGCCACCACTCCTGGCTAATTTTCGTGTTGTTAGTAGAGACAGGGTTTTGCTATGTTGGCCAGGCTAGTCTCGAACTCCCGACCTCAAGTGATCCACCCGCCTTCGGCCTCCCAAAGTGCTGGATTACAGGCATGAGCCACTGCGTCTGGCCTCTTAAATTTCTTTTAGTTGGAAATATTTCATCAATCTTAACTACCATGTTTATATAATGAAGTAATTAATCTCCAAGGTGTGGAAGTACCAAACTCTGAATAAAATTCAAGTCAGTTTTTCGAAATTTGTTTTCATTTTGTTTTATTAATTTTTCGAGACAGGGTCTCACTTTGTCACCTAGGCTGGATACAGGGGGCATGATCATGGTTCACTGCAGCCTCGACCTCCTGGGCTCAAGCGATCATTCCACATTGGCCTCCTGGGTAGCTGGGATTACAGGTTTGCATCACACATTTGGCTAATTAAAAAAAAAATTTTTTTTGTAGAGATGGGGTTTTGCTGTGTTTCCCAGGCTGTTCTTGAACTCTTGGACTCAAGCGATCTGCCAGCCTCGGCCTCCCAAAGTGCCTAGATTACAGGCTTGAGCCACTACACCCAGCCAGAGGGTTTTTTAATATGGTAAAGTTTTATATGTATAAAGTATACAAGATCCTCCTACCTTAGCCTCCTGAGTAGCACACAGGTGTGTGCCATCACACCCAGCTAATTAAAAAAAATTTTTTTATAGAGATGGGGTCTTGTGCCAGGTGTGGTGGCTCACGCCTGTAATCCCAGCACTTTGGGAGGCCGAGGTGGGTGGATCATGAGGTCAAGAGTTTGAGACCGGCGTGGCCAACATGGCGAAACCTCGTCTCTACTAAAAAAACACAAAAAATTAGCCGGGTGTGGTGGCGGGCGCCTGTAATCCCAGCTACTCGGGAGGCTGAGGCAGGGGAATTGCTTGAACCTGGGAGGCGGAGGTTGCAGTGAGTTGAAATCATGCAATTGCACTCCAGCCTGGGTGACGGAGCGAGACTCTGTCTCAAAAAAAAAAAAAGAAATGGGGTCTCTCTCCCTCTGTTGTCCAGGCTGGTCTTGAATTCCTGGGTGCAAGTGATCCTCCTGCTTTAGCCTCCTAAAATGCTGAGATTACAGGCTTGAGGCACTCACTGGGTGCAGTGGGTCCAGTGGCTCAAGCCTATAATCGCAGGCTTGTTCATAAAGCCTGCTTTTTTTTTTTTTTTTTTTTAAGATGGAGTTTCGCTCTTGTTGCCCAGGCTGGAGTGCAATGGCACGATCTTGGCTCACCGCAACCTCCACCTCCCAGGTTCAAGCAGTTCTGCCTCAGCCTGCCGAGTAGCTGGCTTGAGCCACTGGGTGCAGCGGCTCCAGCCTGTAATTGCAGACTTATTTATAAAGCCTGTTTTTTTTTTGGTTTGTTTGTTTGTTTGTTTTTGAGGTGGAGTTTCGCTCTTGTTGCCCAGGCTGGAGTGCAGTGGCGCAATCTCGGCTCACTGCAACCTCCACTTCCAAGGTTCAAGCAATTCTGCCTCAGCCTCCCTGGTAGCTGGGATTACAGGCATGCGCCACCACGCCTGGCTAATTTTGTATTTTTAGTAGAGACGGGGTTTCTCTATGTTGGTCAGGCTGGTTTTGAACTCCCAACCTCAGGTGATCCGCCCGCCAAGGCCTCTCAAAGTGTTGGGATTACAGGCATGAGCCATCACGCCCGGCCTAGCCTGTTTTCTTTGTACAGTTTTATATGCTGGGTAAAAGCATAAAAGATGTCATTATTTTCAAAATACATTTTATTTATTTATTTATTTATTTATTTATTTATTTATTTATGAGACGGAGCCTCTCTCTGTTGCCCAGCAGGCTGGAGTGCAGTAGTGTGATCTCAGCTCTCATTGCCCAGGCTGGAGTGCAGTAGTGTGATCTCAGCTCTCATTGCCCAGGCTGGAGTACAATGGTGTGGTCTCGGCTCAGTGCAACCTCTGCCTCCCGGGTTCAAGCGATTCTCCTGCCTCAGCCTCCAGAGTAGCTGGGATTACAGGCACGTGCCACCATGCCCGGCTAATTTTGTATTTTTAGTAGAGACGGGGTTTCACCACGTTGGCCAGGCTGGTCTTGAACTCCTGACCTCTGGTGATCCGCCCGCCTTGACCTACCAAAGTGCTGGGATTACAGGTGTGAGCCACTGCGCCCAGCTATGAAGCAACTTTAAGGAAAATACTTGTCCAATATGTTCCTAAGGATATCAGAAATGCACCATAGTTTTTTTGTTTGTTTGTTTGTTTCTCTGCTGCATAATTAGACTGACTGGGAAGTTTAGGGAGAGAGGCTGGTATGTTTATTTAAGTTAGAAAACATAACAGTTATAGAAGAATGCAGATAATACAAGAAACATCCACCTCCCCACTACCCAGAACTAACAAATATTAACCCTCCATCATATTTGCTTTTTATCTTTTCTTTTAAAAAAAAAATCAAACGTTATAGGACAGACTTCCCAGGTTGAAGTTTTCTTTCTACCTTATCTTAGTCTCTTTTCTTTCCTTCCTTTTATAGGCAACCACTATCATAGAATTTGCATGTACCATTTTTTTTTTTTGAAAGGGAGTCTCTGTCGCCCAGGCTGGAGTGCAGTGGCGCAATCTTGGCTCACTGCAACTTCTGCCTCCTGGTTTCAAGTGATTCTCTTGCCTCAGCCTTCCAAATAGCTGGGAATACAGGCGCTTGCCACCATGCCTGGCTAATTTTTGTATTTTAGTAGAGATGGGGGTTTCACCTTGTTGGCCAGGCTGGTCTCGAACTCCTGACCTCAAGTGTTCCGCCCGCTTCAGCCTCCCAAAAGTGCTGGGATTACAACAGTGAGACACCATGCCCGGCTGCATGTATACTTTTTGTGTATCTATATTTATGTTTACAATATAAATACACATTTGTACCACATACAGTATTTTAAAAACGTTTTTGAGTCTTTTTTTTTAGTAAAAAATGTTAGAAATCAATAGAACACATAGGAAATGTAGAAAAGTTTGTATGCATATAACTTTATTTAAAATATACGCAGGCCTTGATTTTGGTATAAGGCATTTTCCATTGAGAAGAATGTGTCATTCTTTATTTGTAGGTACCCAGACCACTTTCCCAAAGTTGCCTCTTATTTGTATGTGATAATAACCCATGGTGCAGGTGAAATAGGTGATGTTGTATCTGCTGCTGCTGCTATACCGCCTTCATTATGTATTGTTGAGCATGGTGCTCAGTGCTTTGCAATTACTGTCTAACAATAGTTCACCTAAATCACTAAAATGATCCCGTGAAGTAGATAGTAATCACATGTGCAGATGAAGAATTTGAAGCACAGAAGGGTTAAGTTGTTCAGGGTAACCCAGTTGATAAGTAATGGGTTGGGATTTAAATCAAGGTCCAACTCCAAAAGCTGGGTCCTCAATCATTATAATGGACTCCTTTTTTTTTTTTTTTTTTTTGAGACGGAGTCTCGCTCTGTTGCCCAGGCTGGAGTGCAGTGGCACGATCTCAGCTCACTGCCAGCTCCGCCCGCCGGGTTCACACCATTCTCCTGCTTCAGCCTCCCAAGTAGCTGGGACTATAGGTGCCCACCACCACGCCCGGCTAATTTTTTATGTTTTTAGTAGAGACAGGGTTTCACCGTGTTAGCCAGGATGGTCTCGGTCTCCTGACCTCGTGATCTGCCCGCCTTGGCCTCCCAAAGTGCTGGGATTACAGGTGTGAGCCACTGCGCCCGGCTTTTTTTTTTTTTTTTTTTTTTTGAGACGGAGTCTCACTCTGTCGCCCAGGCTGGAATGCAGTGGCGCAATCTTGGCTCACTGCAACCCTCCGCCTTGGCTCACTGCAGCCTCCGCATTCAAGTGATTCTCCTGCCTCAGCGTCCCCAGTAGCTGGGATTACAGGCGCCCGCCACCATGCCTGGCTACTTTTTGTATTTTTAGTAGAGACGAGGTTTCACTATGTTGGCCAGGCTGGTCTCGAACTCCTGACCTCAGGTGATCCACCCACCTCTACCTACTAAAGTGCTGGGATTACAGGCGTGAGCCACTGTGCCCAGCCCTGTAATGGACTGCTTTTAATGCTACTGTGGAACATTTTGTCTGATTATGTGAAAAAATATGCTCACATTTTGTTCTGTGGACTGTGGACACTGTCTTCTTGCTGTAATTGCCTCAGAACCTATTCCCTGTCCTGAATCTCTGAACTACTTACTGGTTATAAATTGTATAGGCTGAAACAAGGACTATAGGACGGTGGAGGCAGGAAGTATTAGGGTGGTAAAAGGGATCTGGACATTGTTTTTTTGTTGTTGTTGTTGTTTTTTTTTTTTTGGAGACCAAGTCTCACTCTGTCACCCAAGCTAGAGTGCAGCAGTGCAATCTCGGCTCGCTGCAACCTCCGCCTCCCGGATTCAAGCAATTCTCCTGCCTCAGCCTCCTGAGTAGCTGGGATTACAGGCACCCGCCACCATACCCAGCTAATTTTTTGTATTTTTACTAGAGACAAGGTTTTGCCATGTTGGCCAGGCTTGTCTCCAACTCCTGACTTCAAGCTGTCTGTCTCGGCCTCCCAAAGTGCTGTGATTATAGGCGTGAGCCACCGCGCCTGGCCAGAGTTTTTTTTTTAAGTAGACTCTATTTTTAAGACCAGTTTTAGATTAATGGCAAATTTGAGCAGAAAGTACAGAGAGTTTCTACATACCTCTTGGCCCTGCACATGCACAGCCTCCACCACAGCATCGTGCACTGGTGTGGGCATTGATTTTTATGAGAGTGAAAAAGAGGCTAAGAATGCAGGCCGACTAGGGAAAGAAGAAGGAAGCCCAAGTGCAACATTTTAACTCCCCTTTCTTTTTCCTTTTACTGTTTCTAGTGTTAATACCATAGACCTTACGCTGCCTTGGACCAGCTTTAGTGTGAGGTGAGAATAAGGGAAGTGGTATGGATAGTAGTTGGTTTCTGGCAACTCCAAACATAGGAAAGGAGAGGACCTACAGTAGGAAAGCTGAGCAGTAGTGAGAGGGGAAGGAATCCTGTGGTTAATAAACTGTCTAGCTAGCCCTTTTGGTATATGAGGGAATGTTGTCAACCATTTATATTTCTGGAAGAACGTTCCACTTGGAATTGCTGGCTTCTGCTTTGTACATCCTTTTTGTTTGTAAACCATCAGCCCAATTTTGGGTTATTATGCATTGTATAGAATTAATTTCAAGTTTTTTTCTTTTTTTCTTTAAAGTTCACATGAGAGATCCTAATAATCAACTTCACGTAATTAAAAATTTGAAGATAGCAGTAAGCAACATTGTCACCCAGCCACCTCAGCCTGGAGCCATCCGGAAGCTTTTGAATGATGTTGTTTCTGGCAGTCAGCCTGCAGAAGGATTAGTAGCTAATGTGATTACAGCAGGAGATTATGACCTTAACATCAGTGGTATGTAACAAGGTTTATTGTTATTTTTTGAGTGAAATTTCGTTTTGTTAGAAAAAGCGATTCTATGACTTGGGAGATGATCAACATGTATTTAAGAGTTTACTAAGTGCTAGGGCCTGAGAATACAATGTTGAAAACAGTCCTAGGAACTTTGCCTGTTTATTATTTTAGGACCTAAAGTAGTATCTAGAACATATGCATAATAAATATTTGTTGAATGAAAGAACTAACAGTAAATTAAAAAATTCTTTTGTGACATAAGTAATATTATAATTAAATAAGCATTAAGTTTATTGTATTTTTATCTTGCTTGGTGTTAAGTGGAGGAAATGTTTATAAAATGCGTAAATATGTAATCTGTTGTGAGTACGTCTTTAACTTGAATGGTAAATGTTTTCATAACAAGATTGGTAGGTAAAATCATATATGTACATATGTATTTTATTTTTTAAATTAAATTTTTATAGAGATAGGGGGTCTCATTATGTTCCCCAGGCTGGTCTTAAACTCCTGACCTCAAGTGATCCTCCTGTGTTTTATTTTTTAAGTTAAATTTTTATAGAGATAGGGAGTCTCATTATGTTCCCCAGGCTGGTGTTAAACTCCTGACCTCAAGTGATCCTCCTGCTTAGCTTCCCAAGTGCTGGGATTACAGGTGTGAGCCACTGTTCCCAGCCTGAAATTATATATTAATATGTAAAGTGAATTAGAAGTATTTGGTCTAACTGTTTTCCAATATTAAAAAGTCTTAATTGACATGGGGTAGATATTTTAGAGGGAAAATATTCAAAGTACATCATCAAATTAACATATTTCAGCAGTCTAATAAAGTAATCTTTTTAGGCCAGGATAGTTTATAATCTAATACTTTAATACTTCCTAATATCATATTTAAAGATTTTCCTAAGCAGCCAGGCGTGGTGGCTTACCCCTGTAATCCCAGCACTTTGGGAGGCCGAGGCAGGCGGATCACTTGAGGTCAGGAGTTCAAGACCAGCCTGACCAACATAGTGAAACCCCGTCTCTACTAAAAATACAAAAATTAGCTGGGTGTGGTGGCAGGTGCCTGTAATCCCAGCTACTTGGGAGGCCAAGGCAGAAGAATCGCTTGAACCCGGGAGGCAGAGGTTGCAGTGAGCCAAGATGGCACCATGGCACTCCAGCCTGGGCAACAGAGCGAGACTCTGTTTAAAAAAAAAAAAAAAAGTTTTTCCTAAACATACGCAGAGAATTTGAAACAGGCATATGTTAGGTCACCAAGTTAGTTGTTGCTCTTGTATAGTTAAAAATATTTGTAGAATTATTTCGTTTAAGTGTTCTGTATTTTTTTCTTTTTTCTTTGCCTTTAGTTTTAATTCCAGCAAGATGAGTCAACTTGATAATTTTAAGTTGAGAATATTATGGTTATCTTTACCAGTCAAAAAAATCTGAATTTCTTAACAGTTCCTAGCATGTTTTCAATATGAAGCAAAAATTTGGGTATTTCTTGGAGAAAGGAATAGAATTTGAACTGTTATTTTTCTCTCATCAGTGTTGTAGTGTGAAGGGCAATGAATCAAATGCCAGAGTGTCCAAGTTTTTGTACTACCATAGTCATTAGTTAATTAGATAACCTGAATAAGTCACTTAGTGTTTCTTTTTATTTTTATTTATAGTATTTTTTGTGACAGGGTCTCACTCTGTCAACCAGGCTGGAGTGCAGTGGTGCTATCACAGTTCACTGTAGCCTCAACCTCCCTGGGCTCAGGTGATCCTCTCACCTCAGCCTACCAACTATGCCAGGCTAATATGTTTTTTTAAAAGAGACAAGGTCTCTCTCTGTCACACAGGCTGGAGTGTAGTGGTGTAATCATTGCTCATTGCAGCCTTGAACTCCTGGACTTATGCAATCTTCTCACCTCAGCCTCCCAAGTAATTAGGACTATAGCTGCACACCACCATGCTTGGCTAATTTTTAAATTTTTTTGTAGAGACAGGGTCTCACTATGTTCAAGTGATCCTCTCACCCTGGCCTCTCAAAGTGTTGAGATTACAGGCATGAGCCACCATGCCCAGCCAAGTCACTTAGTGTTTCTGAGACTCTGTTTCCACCTCTGAAAACAGGAGTTTGGCTGGATTCTTTTCTTTTTTTTTTTTTCACTTTTTTTGAGACGGAGTCTCACTCTGTCACCCAGGCTGGAGTGTGGTGGCATGATCTCGGCTCACTGAAACCTCCACCTCCCGGGTTCGAGAGATTCTCCTGCCTCAGCCTCCCGAGTATCTGGGATTACAGGTGCCCACCACCACGCCCAGCTAATTTTTTGTATTTTTAGAGGTGATGGAGTTTCATCATGTTGGCCAGGCTGGTTTCGAACTCCTGACCTCAACTGATCCACCTGCCTCAGCCTCCCAAAGTGCTGGGATTACAGGCGTGAGCCACCACTCCTGGCCTGGCTGGATTCTTTCTTAAGGCCTCTCGTAGACCTTTATATGTGATTCTGTTTTGCAGGATCTTAACAAGTTTGTTAGCCATGCAACAAATATTTATTGATTTCTGCTGTGTGCTTTGTATTGAGATGCAGAGATGAATAACACATGCTTTAAAGTTTATAATCTGGTAGGGAGACAAACGTGTTAATCAGTAATCATAGTAAGGTCTAATTTATAATACGTTAATATCAACAATACATTGTAATAGAGCTGTGGCATACCTGGTATGCCAAAAGTGCTAAAGGGGCACAGAGAGGGATTACCTATCATATTTAAAAAACAAAAATATCTTTTTGTCTTATATTTATTTCTTTTATTTTTTTTTCTTATTTTTAAGAGACAGGGTCTTACTCTATCACCCTAAGGCTGGTGTGCAGTGGTATGATCATAGCCCACTGTAACCTTGAACTCTTGAGCTCAAGGGGTCATCCCATCTCAGCCTCCTGAGTAGGTGGGACTATAGGTGTGTACTATGCTTGGTTAATTAAAATCTGTGTGTGTGTGTGTGTGTGTGTGTGTGTGTAGAGATAAGGTCTCGCTGTGTTTATTAGCAGGCTGGTGTTGAACTTCTGGCCTCAAGCGATCCTCGTACCTTGGCCTCCCAAAGTGCTGGGATTACAGTTGTGAGCCACTGTGCCTGGCCTATGTATTTTTTATTTTATTTAATTTTAATTTTATTTTATTTTATTTTATTTTATTTTTTTTAGTCGGAGTCTCACTCTTTTGCCCAGGCTGGAGTGTAGTGGCACGATCTTGGCTCACTGCAACCTCTTCCCCCTGGGTTCACACGATTCTTCTGCCCCAGCCTCCTGAGTTTCTGGGACTACAGGTGTGCACCACCACACCCGGCTAATTTTTGTATTTTTAATAAGAGACGGGGTTTCACCATGTTGGCCACGTTTGTCTAAAACTCCTGACCTCAAGTGATCTGCCTGCTTTGGCCTCCCAGAGTGCTGGGATTACAAGCATGAGTGACCAGGTCCACTCATTTGCTATGTTGCCTAGGCTGGTCTCAAACCACTGGCCTCAAGCAGCCACCTCTCAAAGTGCTGAGATGACAGGAATGAGTTCAGATGCTGACCAAAAGTATCTTTTTCATACTGCAAATATTTTGCTAACCTCCAAAGCCCATATACCTGTTACTTTTAATTTATTAAGGCCAGGCATAGTCGCTCAGGCCTCTAATCCCAGCGCTTTGGGAAGCTAAGGTGGGAGGATCACTTGAGGCCAGGAGTTCAAGACCAGCCTGGGTAACATATTGAGACCCCATCTGAAGAAAATTTTTTAAAAAAAATTAGCTGGTAGCTGGGCATGGTGGCTCACGCCTGTAATCCCAGCACTTTGGGAGGCTGAGACGGGTGGATCACTTGAGGTCAGGAATTCCAGACCAGCCTGGCCAACACAGTGAAACCCTGTCTCTACTAAAAATTCAAAAATTAGCCAGCAGCAGGCACCTGTAGTCCCAGCTACTTGGAAGGCTGTGGCAGGAGAATCGCTTGAACCTGGGAGGCAGAGGTTGCAGTCAGCCGAGATCACGCCACTGCACTCCAGCCTGGGCAACAGAGTGAGTCTCAAAAAAAAAAAATTAGTTGGGTGTGGTGGTGTATACCTGTAGTCCCAGCTACTCAGGAGGCTGAGGTGAGAAGATTGCTTGAGCCTGTGAAGTCAAGGGTGCAAAAAGCTGTGATTGCGCAACTGCACTCCAACCTAGGTGACAGAGCAAGACCCTGCCTCAAAAGAAAAATAAATTTATCAAAATGATATGTGTACATAGACAAAATGATAAAAAGACTTAAAGGAAAAAACAACAGTGATCTGTACCTTGCCCCACCAATTTCTGTAGTCTTTTCCTCGGGTATTGATTATGTGCTTCTAAGTAATATTTTTATATGGCTGTCTATGGCGTAATAAGTTTTAAATTTAAATAAGTTTTATTTATTGACTTCTCATTATCATTGATAAGGATTTGGCTTAATTACTGTCTATCCTTTCCACTCCATCTCATAGTTTTTGGTTAATATTCACTGCTTATAATATGACTAAATGTCATTCACTTCTTCACTGCTTAGCCAATTATTGGGCTTTCTGATACAGTATTTTGTGTTTTCAGGAGTTAGTAATTGTCTTTTTAAAAACATCTTGTGGTGGCTCACGCCTGTAATCCCAGCACTTTGGGAGGCTGAATCACCTGAGGTCAGGAGTTCAAGACCAGCCTGACTAAAATGGTGAAACCCTGTTTCTACTAAAAATACAGAAAATCAGCTGGGCGTGGTGGCACACTCCTGTAATCCCAGCTGCTTGAGGCGGAGGTTGCAGTAAGCCGAGATCCCACCGTTGCACTCCAGCTTGGACAACAAGAGCGAAACTCTGTCTCAAAAAAAAAAAAACCAAAACAAAACATCTTGCTCAGTTCTTTGTGTCTGTTGCTAGTTTCTCAGACTTCTTCAACTGTATTTTCTACTCGAGAGATTAATTTGTCAAATAACCCATTTATCAATGGCTCCTTCAAGAAATCTCTATTGTTACTGCATATATTCTCATTAAGGATGATATTCCTATGTGGTAAAAATTGGTCCTTGGGGGACAAAAAAATCTTAGCTATTACAGTGGTCTGTGGCTCTCCAAAGGGTCTCCATGCATAAATAGATACACAATACAATTGTGGTGTTATTTTAAAAAATACTTTAATCGGGGGAAAGGATTGATTAGAAAAAAGCTGTAAAACACAGAGAATATAATGAAATAAAAGCTGGGAAATGGTGTTCAATTTTATGTCGGACTGGTTGCTGTCCGAGGCCCACTCCACAGCTGTCATCCTGAGGATTTCCTTCCCTTCACTTCTCTGTAGTATTTCATTTATATATATTTTGTGTGTATTTCCTTAGTATGGTGAAGGACATCTCTAGTAGCTTCCTGAGAAAGGGTGCATGGAAAATAAAATTTTTGAGGAATGAATGTTGGAAAATGTTCTTATTTTATATACTTGATTGATGGTTTGACTGTGTACATTGTTAGTTATAAATCATTTCCCTCAGAATTGATCCACTTTCTTTTAGCTTCAAGCATTGCTCTTAAAAAAGCTAGAAGCCATTATATGTATTACCCCCAGCCCTCCAGCTGTTAGAAGTTTTTGAAGGTCTTCATCCCTGCTATTTTGAAATTTCACGTTGGGGTTTATAACTCCTTTTTCACTTATTTTACTGAGTAGCTTCTTTTGACAGTCTGGTTATGCACTTTTTAGCCCTGAGAAACTGTCTTGTATTCTTTCTTTGTTAATTTCTCCCTTATTGTTCTCTCTGTTCTTTCTGAAACTACTGTTAGTTGGATGTAGAACTTCCTGAGTTGATCCTCTAATGTTCTTTTTTTCTAAAATTGTCTATCTCTGTCTTTTTATTTTTCTGGGTGTGAATATCCTTGACTTTATCTTCTGATCCTTCTATTGAAGTTTTAATGTTTGGTGTCTTTTTGGGGTTTTTTTGGAGCTATTTTCTTCTCTAGATTTTCCTTTATTGTGACATGCTATTAAGGTTTTATGTTATAGTGTCTTAACTCTGAAGATAGTAATAAATTGTTGTTGGCTGTTTTTTTAAGTTTTCTTCTATCCTGTGCCTTTTTTTTTCATTCGTATTATTTTTATTTGTTTTGATTTTTTTCATGTTGGACACTTACCTCAAATCTTTGGTTAGACCAGGCATTATTTTCTATTTCAAATTGAGGCATTAAAACCCTGACTGAGTATAAGAAAGCTTATCAGTTAGTAGACTTCTTTATTGGGTGGTAAGGCTAAGAATAGGTTTAAGGGTTGCCCAATTTTTATTACTTATAGTTTTTTTCTTTGAGGCCATTTAGTTTATCCAGAGAAGGATTCTGAAATCTGCTCTCTGGCTGTGTCCTGGGCCTTTTTTTTCTATTAAAGTGGTTTGGCAGATCATTTATAGGAACATAGTTATGATTTGGTTGTGGGAAATTGTTTTATCTAATTATATTACTTGCATTCTCAGATCCCTGCCAACATCTCCTCATACGGGAGGATTGATTGCTATTTGCATTTAAAAGCAGGTGGAGGCAATTACTATAGCTTAACTCTTCAGGCGGATTTTTTTTTTTTTTTTTTTTTTTTTGAGACGGAGTTTCGCTGTTGTTGCCCAGGCTGGAGTGCAGTGGTGCGATCTTGGCTCACTGCAACCTCCACGTCCCGGGTTCAAGCGATTCTCCTGCTTCAGGCAGATTTAAAAAAATTAGTATTATTAGTTGTATATTTAGTGGAGACAGAGTTTCATGATGTTGGCCAGGCTGGTCTTGAACTCCTGGACTCAAGTGATCCACCTGCCTTGGCCTCCCAAAGTGCTGGGATTACAGGTGTGAGCCACCACTCCTGGCCATTTTTTTTTTTTTTTCGGTGGGGAGGGATGGAGTCTTGCTCTTTCGCCCAGGCTGGAGTGCACTAGCGCGATCTTGGCTCACTGCAACCTCTGCCTCCTAGTTCAAGCAGTTCTCCCTACCTCAGCCTCCCAAGTAGCTAGGATTACAGGCGCCCACCACGACGCCCAACTAATTTTTGTATTTTTTTTTTTGAGACGGATTCTTGCTCTTGTTGCCCAGGCTGGAGTGCAATGGCGCGACCTCGGCTCACTGCAACCTCTGCCTCCCAAGTTCAAGCAATTCTCCTGCCTCAGCCTCCCAAGTAGCTGGGATTACAGGCACCCGCCACCACGCCTGGCTAATTTTTTGTATTTTTAGTAGAGATGAGGTTTCACCACGTTGGCCAGGCTGGTCTCAAACTCCTGACATCAGGTGATCCACCCACCTCAGCCTCCTAAAGTGCTGGGATTATAGGCATGAGCCACCACGCCTGGCTAATTTTTGTATTTTTTTAGTAGAGGCAGAGTTTTGCCATGTTGGCCAGGCTTGTCTTGAACTCCTGACCTCAGGTGATCCTCCTGCCTTGGCCTCCCAAAGTGCTGGGATTACAGGCATGAGCCACCACACCCGGCCTTATTATTTTTAGAACTAGAGATAGGGTCTCACTAAGTTGCCCAGAGTGGTCTCGAACTCCTGGGCTTAAGTAGGATTAAACTACACACCAGAAGAAAACAGTTTTTTTTTTTTTTAGCTTCTTTCCCTTTTACTGAAAGGCACCTCCTTTCAGCTTTATTTTTATGTTGGCCATGAAGACTGAGAATGAGATACGATGAAGTACTACGTTAATTTTAGTAAAATTTCATTAAACAGAATAATACTCTTTGGAGATCATAGAAAAGTGATTTTATCCATTTTAATAAGGTATTAATTCTTATATATTCAGATGTATGCTTCTAATTTTCACCATTAATGTGAGTCAGCATACTTTTCATTCATTCTGTTAAAGAAATAGATGTTAGATATTTACCTCATAAGCTTAACAGTGCCGTGTTTTCTTCAGATCGGTCATTTAAAGCTGCTATTCCTTGGTACAGTAATTGGAAAGACACATTGATGGAGTTGAAAGTCTGTTATATACAGGGATTTCTTGTGATGGTTTCAGTTTTCTAGATTTTTCTCACCTACTTCGTTTCTGTTGTCTTTTTTTCCCCACTTAGGTACTGTTTTGTATTTTTCCCAATTGACATGTCTAATTTTTCTAAAATGAGGAAGGTCTAATGTATCTATTTTTTTCAACTTTTGTTATCTATTTTATCATCCATTATCCTGTTTACTCTTACAGCATTATGTGTTAAATCCAAGCATAGTCTTTGAATGGTATATTTTGGGCTGCATCTTATTTTAAAAGGAAGGAAGACCATATTACCCTTCCTTACCAGGTAAAACAGTACATTCTGCATGTTTTTGTTTTGTTTTGTTTTGAGGCAGGGTCTCATTATGTCACCCATGCTGGAGTTCAGTGGCTCTCTCTTGGCTTACTGCAACCTCTGCCTCCTGGGCTCAAGCGATCCTCCTACCTCAGCCTCCCGAGTAGCGGGGACTACAGGTGTGGGCTACCATGCCCGGTTAATTTTGCATTTTTTGTAGAGATGAGGTTTTCTCATGTTGCCCAGGCTGGTCTCGAACTCCTGGGCTCAAGTGATCAGCCTGCCTCGGCCTCCCAAAGTGCTGGGATTACAGGCGTGAGCCACTGAACATGGCCAGAAAACTTTAGTAGGAAAACATGGTTGCTATTTCAATTCCAAAGAAAGAACATGTAGAGATGGAAAGGGATATGAGGAAAATAGTGATTTTTATCCCAAGATAAGTCCAAGAAAATTTTTTGTTTTTTGTTTGTTCGTTTTGAGACAGGGTCTTGCTCTGTCGCTGCCCAGGCTGGAGTGCAGTGGCACCATCTTGGCTCACTGCAGCTTTGACCTCCTGGGTTCAAGCGATCTTCCCACCTCAGCCTCTCGAGTAGCCAGCGCTACAGCCTCATGTCCCACTCCCGACTAATTTTTGTACTTTTTGTAGAGACAGGGTTTGCTATGTTTCCCAGGCTGGTCTCCAACTCCTGGGCTCAAGTGATCCCTCCACCTCAGCCTCCCAAAGTGCTGGGATTACAGGCATGAGCCACCACGCCCAGCCACAAGCTACCAGTTACTACTAGTATTTAGAAAGTTATTGCAATTTAAGAGTATGTCTGTGTATGTCTGTATGTGTATGTATTTTGCTTTTTAATTTATTTTTAATTATGTGTACATTCACATAGTTTCAAACTCAAAATTATATAAAGCAAGATACAGAGAAGGCTTGTCCTCTATTCATGTCCCTTCTTTTTTTTCCCCTCAAACACATAGACCTTACTTTACTTAAAACACAATAAAAATCTAATTACAGTTACTCTTTTAGTACTTTTATGATGAACTTTAAGAAAAAATGACAGTTTTGGGTTACATTCTTCTTTTGTCTTAAAGAGGCAGAAGCACTCATGTAATATAGTTTTCAAAAGATCTTTTGCATAATTAGGGGGAACAACTGATAAATTTGATTTTATTCAATTTTCAGGCAATAAGAAAGTGACATAAACATATTGAATTTCCCCTTCATTTCTTCCTCTAAATATATATATAATTGGATAACCTCATCCTAAGAGTAGAACCCAGATACAAGAAAATCGAAGCGTAATAAATGAAATATGTAATCACATTCCGTTTTCCAGAAGGTGAGATGAGAAAGCTACATTATACATTGCAGAAAGCTCTGAGGTTGACAATGTGGATTAGAGGCTTTTCTGACCAAATCAAATCTCAAAGATAACTTTTTTTTTTTTTTTTTTTGAGACGGAGTCTCGCTCTGTCATCCAGGCTGGAGTAGTACAATGGTGCGATCTTGGCTCACTGCAACCTCCACCTCCCGAGTTCAAGTGATTCTCTTGCCTCAGCCTCCGAGTAGCTGGGATTACAGGCATGTGTCACCCCGCCCACCCAGATAATTTTGTATTTTTAGTAGAGACAGGGTTTCTCCATGTTGGTCAGGCTGGTCTGGAACTCCCCACCTCAGGTAATCCGCCTGCCTCGGCCTCCCAAAGTGTTGGGATTACAGGCGTGAGCCACCGTGCCTGACCTAAAGATCTCTTTATTCACAGCACTTGGTCGATCCCTCTCCTTTCTTATCTCCCTTCTTTCTCTTCTCTCTTGTATAGATAATTAAATGTAGTAGATTTATTCTGTTACTTCTCTTTGAAACTATAAGCAAATATAGGTATGGCTCTTCATATTTTCCTTTTTTTGCACAAAAATGCATACTTTTCTGCTGTCGCTTTTTTCACTTAATATATCTGGAAGAACACTTCATTGTAATATGTAGAGATTTTTCCCCTTTCTTTTACAGCTGCTAATGTATCTTTTTAATGGTTAGGCCATAATTTATTTAACTACACCTCAAGAGAATGCTGGGACTAAAGATGTGCACCACCATGCCCAGCTAATTTTTTTTTTTTTTTTTTTTTTTGAGACGGAGTGTCGCTCTAACACGTTGCCCAGGCTGGAGTGCAGTGGCGTGATCTCGGCTCACTGCAACCTCTGTCTCCTTGGTTCAAGCGATTGTCCTGCCTCAGTCTCCCTAGTAGCTGGGATTACAGGTGGATGCCACGATGCCCAGCTAATTTTTGCATTTTTAGTAGAGACAGCGTTCTACCATGTTGGTCGAGGCTGATTTCGAACTCCTGACGTCAGGTGATCCGCCTGCCTCGGCCTCCCAAAGTGTTGGGATTACAGGTGTGAGCCACTGTGCCTGGCCATTTTTTTGTATTTTTTTTTAGTAGAGATGGGGTTTCACCATGTTGCCTAGCTAGTCTCAAATTCCTGAGCTCAATCGATCTGCCTGCCTCAGCCTCCCAAAGTGCTAGGATTACAGGCATGAGCCACTGCTTCAGTCCTAGTTCCTCTTTTATAAGAATGAACATGAAGCAGCTGGTATTGCATGAACATGAAATTGTTACAGTAGTAACTCTTCTAATTAGACTATGTAGGATATATGGGTCATTCTCATGAGACATCTGTTGTCCATCATGAACTGTTGTTCATCAGTTTTCTCCTGATGAGCGCGTTGTGTTTTCTAGTCTTTCAATGTCATTACAGATAGTGTTGCTAAGAAGAGCTATTTTGGAAAATCTGCTTTGTTCAGAACTTTCCACCTCCACCATGAAACAAACCCAATTTCATATGACTATAATTTATCTGTCATTTGTTTAATTCAGGAAACATTGAAGCAACAAAGTAAATAGAAAAAATAATTTTAAAAGGTGGAGATAGTAATTTCCTTGTATATGTGGAGATCCCTTTCTATTTAACGATAATTTTCATTATGTATTTCTTATTTTCTTATCATTGGTACTACATATGCATTAGATTTCCAGGTAGACTTACTTTGACTGAGTTGGGGAGAAGGGTAGGTGTTCGTGGTGGGTGACAAGATTAGTTTCCTATTTGTGTGTTTCATTTATTCTCCAATTTTTGCCTTTTTTTAAAATGTAGATTGTAATGTTTTCTGGGAATGTTTTCCTCTTTTATTTTTATTTTATTTTATATTTTTTGAGACAGGGTCTCACTCCTGTCGCCCAGGCTGGAGTGCAGTGGCACATTCTCATCTAACTGCAGCCTTGACTTCCTGGGCTCAGGTGATCCTCCCACCTCAGCCTCTCGAGTAGCTGGGACTACAGGCATGCATCACAATACCTGGCTAATTTTTTGTATTTCTTTTAGTAGAGATGGGGTTTCGCCATGTATCCCAGGCTGGTCTCAAACTCCTGGGCTCAAGCAGTCCACTCACCTCAGCCTCCCAAAGTGTTAGGATTATTATTATTTTATTTATTTATTTATTTATTTATTTATTTATTTATTTATTTATTTATTTATTTATTTTGAGACTGAGTCTCACTCTATTGCCCAGGCTGGAGTACAGTGACGCCATCTCAGCTCACAGCAACCTCCACCTCCTGGGTTCAAGTGATTCTCCTGCCTCAGCCCCCCGAATAGCTGGGATTGCACAAGGGCGCCACCATGCCTGGCTAATTTTTGTATTTTTAGTAGAGATGGGGTTTCACCATGTTGGCTAGGCTGGTCTCGAACTCCTGACCTTAAGTGATCCGCCTGCCTTGACCTCCCAAAGTGCTGGGACTACAGGCGTGAGCCACCGCACCCAGCCTCCAAAGTGTTAGGATTATAGGTGTGAAACGCCATGCCCTGCCCATTTCCTCTTTTATAACGATGAACATGAAATCGTGATAGTAGTTGCTCTCCTAATCAGACTATATGTAATATATGGGTCATTCTCATGAGGCATTTGCTGGAGTTAAAATATCTGTATATTTGGCACCAGGTTAGAATGCTATTTGGTTAAGATGAATGGCTTTGTCCTCAGCCCTTCCAGTTGTTTAATATAGTATTATAATATAAGCAGAAAGAATATATTTGCTGTTTTCAGTGGTTAAGATGAAAGCAAAAGGAATATAAGATTTGATATATCAGCATAAATCAGCATTGGAATGGAGTCCTTTTAGTAAAACTGTGATATAGATAATCTGCTTAAAACCTAGTGAAACCACTAAGTTTTACGTAAGTTCAAATAAAAAGAATAATTGTGATACAAAATACTTGATGTGGAACAAGAGAGAGTTGACTTTTTAAGAATCACATTATATACATTTATACAAACAATGAAAATACACTTGTTTGTATTTGATTGTAAGGTAAATGTACTTCGAAATTTCATTTAAGAGGCTTTGTTACTGTCATATTCAAGTAATCAAATTACAAAGTAAGATTTACCAGCCATATCACCATTTACATTTTGAACTAGATAATTCTTTATTGTGGGGGCTGTCTTGTCTTGTCTTGTCTTGTGAGATGTTTTGCATTATTCCTGACCTCTTTGATGCCAGTAGCATAAGCCACCTACCCCAGAACTGATAACGAAAAATATCTTGAGACGTTGCCAGATGTTTCCTGGGGGTCAAAATCATGCTCAGTTGAGAACCTCTATGCTAAGTGTTATTTTTGAAAAAGATCTACTTATGGCAGTGTGACTAGTGGCAGGGTCACAGAACTTGAGTTCTAAAGAAATAATCTTTTTACTCATGTAGGTAATATTTAGAGCATTAATAGGTAAGTAGGTTGTGGGAACACTAGGTTTGGGAATAATTCAATTTTATTTTTGCAAATATATATACTCATGAATATATGAATATATTCTTGTGTGAATATATTCTTGTGAATGGCTTAAAAGGTGTGTGTACATATATACTCAGTTTATTATTATTATTATTATTTTGAGACGGAGTCTCATTCTGTCACCCAGGCTGGAGTGCAGTGGTGTGATTTCAGCTCACTTCAACCCCCACCTCCCGGGTTCAAGCAGTTCTACTGCCTCAGCCTGCTGAGTAGCTGGGATTACAGTCACGTGCCACCATGCCCGGCTAATTTTTGTATTTTTAGTAGAGACACGAGGTTTTGCCATGTTGACCAGGCTGGTCTCGAACTCCTGACCTCATGTGATCCACCCACCTTGGCCTCCCAAAGTGCTGGGATTACAGGCCTGAGCCACCGTGCCAGGCCCTATACACATTTTATATATACACACATGTACATCTGAAAGCACAGGTGAAAAATGCTTGTTTACTGTTAGAAATTTTTTTTTTATACCTTTTAGGAATATGGACTTGAAATTTTGTCTGTTGTAAACTGATTCTATTGAATACTTTTAACTGTTTTGTATATTGTTAATTTTAGCCACTACTCCATGGTTTGAGTCTTACAGAGAAACCTTTCTTCAGTCGATGCCAGCATTGGATCATGAATTTCTGAACCACTATTTAGCATGTATCCTTTGACATTTATGTTCTCCTCAAATCAAATATTATGGAAGTTATTAATCTCAGAAATAGTTAATGAAGGCAAAATTGTTGAAGATACAGAGAATAGATAAATTATTTTTTATAGATTGACAATACACGGAGTCTTGTTATTTTGTTAAATGGCCTCCTAGATACAGGACTGCTATAACAATTTTTTAATCAATTTGGTTTTTGATTATAAAATAAGACTACAGAGGGCTTGCTTATTTTTCTTTAGCCCCCTAGCTTGAATATTTCATGCTTAATAACTTTTTTAGCCATTTTAGAAAGAAAATCTAAACAATGTTAACTGCTTTTGCTGATTGCCTCAGAATTGACTGCTTATCCTAAGACTCATGAAAAATAATTTTGGATATTTTTAGTAATTTTTTAATGGGTATTTTTTTATGATTGTGGCTTAGTTTTCTTAATGCGGTTACTGACGAAAGTTAAGAGGTAGGATGAAATTTGTAACTGCAGTGAGATAGAGTGGAGAGAAGCAAGATGCAGCAGAATTCATTTCTGTTGAAGTTGTACAGTTGTCCATTTTTATTTTTATGAGTTTCCTTGTTACATATATATTAATGGCCGAAAAAACTGTCAACAAAAAAAATCTGTTAGAATTATCTGGAGTATTGAATTATTTGGAGTGTTGGAGAAATTATTTTGTGCTTGCAATTAAAACCAATGAAATTGGATTTTTTTTTTTTTTTTTTTGCTGTGAAAATACCGCTGGGCACGGTGGCTCATGCCTATAATCCTAGCACTTTGGGAGGCTGAGGCGGGCGGGTTACCTGAGGTCAGGAGTTCAAGACCAGCCTGGCCAACATGGTGAAACCCCGTCTTTACAAAAAATATAAAAAATTAGCTGGGTGCAGTGGCTTGCGCCTATAATCCCAGCTACTCTGGAGGCTGAGGCAGGAGAATCACTTGAACCTGGGAGGCGGAGGTTGTGTTGAGTCGAGATCACGCCACTGCTCTCCAGCCTGGGCTACAGAGTGAGACTTTGTCTCAGAAACAAACAAACAAACAAACAAAAACCTCCTGTTTATCTCAGTAGGACAATATTTATCATTGAGTAATAAGCGATAATTACCTTAATAATATGGTTTACAAGGTATGTTGGTAGCGTCATCTAGTGAAGCTGAACCTGTGGAACAGTTTTCAAAGTTGTCACAAGAACAGCATCGAATTCAGCACAACAGTGATTATTCCTACCCCAAGTGGTTTATACCAAATACACTTAAATACTATGTACTTTTACATGATGTAAGTGCAGGAGATGAACAGAGGTAAGTTTTTATTTTAGTTTTAAATTTTTTCCAGTTAAATGATTTAACATTAATTTGGAGATAGCTTGTTTACGTTTTGGATTTATTTTTGATACAAGAATGTAAAAGTTTAATGTGAATTTTATTAATAAAGCATTTAACTTTATGTTTTATCCTGGCATTATATTCAACAGTCAAGTTATTTTATGTTAGATTTCTTTTTTTTTTTTTTTTTTGAGACGAGGTCTTGCCCTGTCACCCAGGCTGGAGTGCAGTGGCACGATCTTGGCTCACTGCAACCTCCGCCTCCTGGGTTCAAGCAATTCTCCTGCCTCAGCCTCCTGAGTAGCTGGAATTACAGGTGCCCGCCACCATGCCCAGCTAATTTTTTTTTTTTTTTTTTTCTGAGATGGAGTCTCACTCTGTCGCCCAGGCTGGAGTGCAGTGGCACGATCTCAGCTCACTGCAAGCTCCGCTTCCTGGGTTCACGCCATTCTCCTGCCTCAGCCTCCTGAGTAGCTGGGACTACAGGCGCCCGCCACTGCACCTGGCTAATTTTTTGTATTTTTTTTAGTAGAGACGGGGTTTCACCATGGTCTCGATCTCCTGACCTCGTGATCCGCCTGCCTGGGCCTCTCAAAGTGCTGGGATTACAGGCGTGAGCCACCACGCCCGGCTTCATTTTTGTATTTTTAGTAGAGATAGGGTTTCACCATATTGTCCAGGCTGGTCTTGAACTCTTGACCTCAGTAATCTGCCCGCCTCGGCCTCCCAAGGTGCTGGGATGACAGGCGGGAGCCACTGCGCCTGCGCCCCCCCCCCCTTTTTTTTTGATGGGGTTTCACTTTGTCACCTAGGCTGTAGTGCAGTGGCACGATCTTGGCTCACTGCAGCCTCTGTGCTTCCTGAGTTCCAGCGATTCTCCTGCCTCAGCCTCCCGGGTAGCTGGGATTACAGGCACATGACACTACGCCCGGCTAATTTTTGTATTTTTAGTAGAGATAGGGTTTCACCACGTAGGCCAGGCTGCTCTGGAACTCAGGTGATCTGCCCGCCTTGGCCTCCCAAAGTGGTAGGATTACAGGCGTGAGCCACCTCGCCTGGCCTTATGTTAGATTTCATATGCTTACCCAAACTTTCTTTTTAATGTATAATTGTTATACAGTCTGTACAAAAACACTTGTCATTTCACAACTGTAGATCATAGCTGTTATTTCTGGTTTTATATAAAATTATTTCTCTTTCTTTGTTCTTTTCTGCTTCCCAGTTTTCCTCTCACTTTTCATGGCCTGACTTGCTTACAGGCACTTTTTCCACTGTCCACTCTCTTGTGACTTCATATTTATAGCCTTGATATTTTTCATAGCCTTAGAAATATTCAAACTTTTTTTAATGTTCCCTTTAATATTCATGATTTGTTGTTTGCAGTAGTCCTTTTGTATTTGGGATATGTGAATAGATTGTCTTTAAAAATAAATTCTTGAAAAATAGGATAAACGCAGTAATTTTACTTGCATGGCTTTGGAGCTTATTTTGGCTTTTGGTGCAAGGTGTGGAGCAGATTAATGTTTTGTTTGAAACTATTCTGATGCCTTAGTGCCACTGAGGAAATGTAGTTTAATAATCATTACCCGCCTTGTCCTGAGCATGGACCACCATCTTTTTATTAAATTTTCCTCTGCAGATCCAGTTAATTACTCTGAAGATTACTAATCTTTAGGATATTTTGAAATGTCTGTAGCCCGTTGGATAAGGTGTACTACTATATTAATAGAAAAAATTTGAAATGACTATTAGAATTAGTTTCTGTCAGTTCAATTTGGAGTGTGTCTTCCGTATTGAATGGTTGTAACTAGGATATTTAAGGTAGTAATTCAAGTATCAGATGAATGGTTCTTAGGTTTAGCAGTATCATTAGTAACGTGAGCAGGAGTTTGCTTTATTGTCCTTCAGTGTGTGTACACACACATGCATCTGCATTTATACAAATTTTCTATAACTATTTTACTTATCCAGCCATAATTTTTTAGTGCGTAATATCATTTTGTTGTTTGCTAGGCTTGTTGCTTACATAGTATTAGTATTTACATTTGAATGTGGTTAGTTTTCCAGGTTGTTTTTTTTTTTTTCTTGTTTTTCCTCCTTTTTTTTTTTTTTTTTGAGATGGGGGTCTCACTCTGTTGCCTAGGCTAGAGTGCAGTGCCTGGGCTCAAGCAGTCTTCCCACCTCAGCCTCCTGGGCAGCTGGGACCACAGGTGTGTGCCACCATTTTTGGTTAATTTTAATTTTGATAGAGATAGGGTTTCCCTATGTTGCCTAGGATGGTCTCTAACTCCTGACTTGAAGTGATCTTCCCACCTTGGCCTTCCAAAGTGCTGGGATTATGGCCACCACGCTGAGTCAAAACACTTGTTTTGTTTCCTGTAGTTCCCCCCGCAATCTAGTTTGACCACCAGAGCTCTCTCTTTGAATAACGTAGAGGAGTGTCTTGCAGAATTTTATTCCACGGAACACACTTTGGTAACTGCTTTAAGGTGGTATCTAAGCTAGCTAAATTTCAATTGCCATCATGATTTTTGTTTTCGCTTTTAGGTTATTCTGTCCTAATTTTCTAGAAGGATAATTCTTATGTCCTCTTTTATATTTTTCCAGTCTAAATATGCCTTTTTGGGGGATTATTTTAATGTTATTTTTGTACTACTTTAGTCTCTATTATTGCCTAAGGCCTGCTCCTCTTTTACTTCAGATTTTTTTCCATTTTCTGTTTTAGAGCTGAATCAATTTATGAAGAAATGAAACAGAAATATGGAACTCAGGGTTGCTATTTACTTAAAATTAATTCTCGAACATCTAATCGAGCATCAGATGAACAGATACCAGATCCTTGGAGTCAGTATCTCCAGAAAAATAGTATTCAAAACCAGGTATATGTAAAAAATAAATGAAGCAAACCACAAAAACGATACTTCAGTTTTTACGTTTTGGTTTAACTAGTATAATTATTCATATTAATTGTGTGGAATCTGGTCAGTTTTGATCTGTCAGAGGTGAGCTCTTAGGTCAGTGGTTTAAAAGCTGTTTTTAACTAACTGCAGTAATCCCTTATGTGCACTCTTTTCAGGTGTGTACTATCAGTGTGAATTAATCATTTTCTTTTTTTTTTTTGAGACAGAGTCTTGCTCTGTCGCCCAGGCTGGAGTGCAGTGGTGTGATCTCAGCTCACTGCAACCTCCGCCTCTCAGGTTTAAGTGATTCCCCTGCCTCAGCCTCCCAAGTACATGGGATTACAGGCACATGCCACCATGCCAGGCAAATTTTTGTATTTTTAGTAGAGGTGAGGTTTCACCATATTGGCCAGGCTAGTCTTGAACTCCTGACCTCAAGTGATCTGCCCACCTTAACTTCCCAAAGTGTTAGGGTTACAGGTGTGAGCCACCGCGCCTGGACTGATCTCTTTCTTAAAAGATTAAAAGTGAATTACACGTTAAGAATTGAGTTAGATAGGCTAGACGTGCAGAATGGAATTTCTGACTTGTCTGTTTAATTCATTATGAATGCCTACAGTCAATTCTTTATTATCTACATGCTCTGGGGTTGCTCCCTACATTTTTCTTTTTCTTTTCTTTTTTTTTGAAACAGAGTGTTGCTCTGTCGCCAAGGCTGGAGTGCAGTGGCACAATCTCAGCTCACTGCAGCCTCCACCTCCTGGGTTCAAGCAATTCTCCTGTCTCAGCCTCCTGAGTAACTGGGATTACAGGCGTCCACCACCTACCACCATGCCCGGCTAATTTTTTTTTTGGAGACAAAGAGTCTCGCTCTGTTGCCCAGGCTGGGGTGCAATGGCGCGATCTTGGCTCACTGCAACCCTCCACTTCCCATGTTCAAGCAGTTCTCCTCTCTCAGCCTCCCAAGTAGGTGGGACTACAGGCGCACACCACCACGCCCAGCTAATTTTTGTATTTTTAGCAGAGAGAGGGTTTCACCATATTGGTCAGGCTGGTCTCGAACTCTTGACCTCAGGTGATCTGTCCGCCTCAGACTCCAAAAGTGCTAGGATTATAGGCATGAGCCATCATGCCCAGCCTCTTTCGTACCTTTTTAACATGCTTTTATAGCCACCTTCAGGAACTCATACTTTTTAGGTGGGTGGGCATTTCCCTCCAACTTTCCGTTGATTTCCCTTCTTTATGTACTCTCAGGAGTTACTGTTTTTTAATTACTCCTTTCTTAACCTCGAGTTCTAGAATAAGATTGATTGTCCTATTGGCTTAAGTTGATGGGCGTTTGATGTTTTGTCAGACTTCTAAGGTACAATAGTATGCCGCTTGGTAGTAGTCAAATGCCAAGTTCCTATGCTTAGTTCAGATAATCGAGAGTCACTGTTTTTTGTTTAGAAGAAAATTTTTTTTTTTTTTTTTTTTGAGACAGGATCTCGCTCTGTCGCCCAGGCCTTGGTCTCCCAAAGTGCTGGGATTACAGGTGTGAGCCATCATGCCGGCCTAGAAGAAATTCTTTTTTTTTTTTTTTTTTTTTTTTGAGACGGAGTCTTACTCTATCGCCCAGGCCGGAGTGCAGTGGCATGATCTCGGCTCACTGCATGATCTCGGCTCACTGCAACAGCTGCCTCCTGGATTCAAATTATTCTCATGCCTCAGCTTCCCGAGTAGCTGGGATTACAGGCGCCCGCCACCACGCCTGGCTAATTTTTGTATTTTTAGTAGAGATGGGGTTTCACCATGTTGTCCAGACTGGTCTCGAACTCCTGACCTCAAGTTATCCCCCTGCCTCAGCCTCCCAAAGTGCTGAGCCACCACACCCGGCCAGAAATTTTTTTTTTTTTTTGAGACGGAGTCTCACTCTGTTGCCCAGGCTGGAGTGAAGTGGCGAGATCTCGGCTCACTGCAACCTCCACCTCCTGGGTTCAAGCGATTCATTTTTAGTCGAGACAGGGTTTCACCCTGTTGGCTAGGCTGGTCTTGAACTCCTGACCTCAAGTGATCCACACGCCTCAGCCTCCCAGAGTGTTGATATTACAGGCGTAAGCCACAGCGCCTGGCCTAGAAATTCTTAAGTAAATGGAAAATATATTTATATTGTTCAATTAAACTATATTATGCACTCTGTGTGTGACATTTAAAAAATCAATTACAAAGCTTATGTAATTTTTGATCTTCTGATATAAGTATTGTTTAATCTGTTTATTTGCTTTATTTTTCTGTCTCATAAATGGAATCTTTAAATCTAAATGTAGTGCTATCATGGTATTTTACTGACTTTAGTATTGAGGTGATTACTGACGTTCTTTAAGATAATGCTGGGGAAAAGCAAAGAAGTACCAGTTGGATGTGAAGGAACTTTATTTTTAAAAATGGTCTTTTAGGGGCCATTCTAAGAATAAGAACAGTACTGAAAAAAATACACTTTAGAGTTCAGTCACCTAAGGTTGTGAAGGGGAACATGAAGAAGATTGTGCAGTATGAGAACTTTTAGCAGAAAGCAGAAATATCAGAAATCTATGCCTTAGCATCCTAGAAGCTCAAAGTTGGAGAATAGTTTAGAGGTTTTACATCCAATGCTTGATCTAATGCTTTAATTTCTTTAAACTTACGAATGACTGCGTCTGTTGACAGTACTCACTGTATTCTTATTAAGTGACCTATTGCATGTCTGATCACCCAAAAATTCTCTCATTTTGCTTAAGGATCAATAAAAAATTCTTGACCTTTGCTTGTACGCTTGATCCTTTGGGAGTGACTATGTTAGTTTTCCATTAAGACAACTTTCAAAATATAGAAGGATAATTCTCATGTCCTCTTTTATATTTTTCCAGTCTAAATATGCCTAGTTTCTGCAACTCTTTCTCAAGGAGTGGCTTCAGACTTTCTTGTCCTGGTCACTTTCTTCTTGAGTTCTAGTTTATGTAAATTCCCTCAAAGTGTGACACTCAGAATAATACATCATATTTACTGGTCTTGTAGAGTAGTCTGGGTATTTTTAGTTTAAGTGTTTTTTTGTTAACTGAGAAACCAGTTCCTTTGCACAAATAAACGTTGCGTTAGATATTTTTCTAAAACACTTCAGTATATTCAGAATTCACTCCAACCTGCTTACACTGTGACCCAAAGAATTTCATATCTGTGCCTCTCTTCTTTCCCCGTCTGACTCTAGTAGTCCATCTCTCTTGCCATTATTCCTTACTTAAGAGGCATAAGCATATGTATGTGCTTATATGAACACTCGTGTATATACATATCATATATAAGTAGATATCCTGAGAGATAATTTGAATTAAGAAGAATTAGGATAGTAGCTTGAGTGTGAAAGGGGATTTAAGAATATAGTAGGTGTGAGTTGGAGTGATAGAATAAGATCCATGGAAGAAGTTATGAATTTGGAGGACGAGAAAATGCTCACTGTAGCAAATAAATGAGGCCAACAGTTAGCAGAGTAACCATAGTTGTTGATGGATTTGATAGTATATTAAGTATGATTAAGTATAACTGCTAATGCTTTTTAAATTTTATTTTGATAGGAATCATATGAAGATGGCCCTTGTACTATAACTTCAAATAAGAATTCTGATAATAACTTGCTTTCATTGGATGGATTAGATAACGAAGTCAAAGGTCTTGATATATTTTCTCTAAGTTTCTCTTTTGATTGAAAATATGCACTGTTGTCAGATCATGCTAACCTTTATAGATAAAAGATGGGGGAAATTTTTCATAATACAGAAAGATATTGGGCAGGTTAGTTTTTCTTCTGAAGATTTTACTGAGCTACTTGAGTTTGTTTTTGACACTTAAAAATTTGTTTTATATGAGTAGTGTATAGATTTCTTTTAAAATATTTTGTAGAAAGCAAGGGAAGATGTGATGCACAGCATTAATTATTTAAAAATTTACATGATTTTGAGAGCTTTATTTCTGACTTTATGATTTTTGTAATGATAACAAATTTTTTTTGTTATATTTTTTCTTACGGCTTAGTTGTACTATTTAAAAGTCATTCTTTATATTATTTAAAATAAAGTATTTTTCTCCATTTCCTGGTTTATACCGATTTTCAAATTACTAATACAGGTACCAAAACAAATATTAACTCAAGCTCATTAATTTTGGGGCTGGGGGATGTTACTGCTGTTTTATCTTAGACATTTACCTATACTGAAAGATAAAGGATTTTAACATTCTGCTTTTTTTTTTTCTTTAGCAGTATGGTAGTATTAGCACTGTTTTCTGTTGCATTCTGAGAGTAAAAGAAATAATCTCTTTTTCAGTAGATGGCTTACCAAATAACTTTAGAGCTCACCCACTTCAGTTGGAGCAATCCAGTGACCCTTCTAACAGTATTGATGGCCCAGATCATCTAAGATCTGCTTCATCGTTACATGAAACAAAGAAAGGAAATACTGGAATAATTCATGGTGCATGTTTAACACTTACTGATCATGATAGAATTCGACAGTTTATACAAGAGTTCACATTTCGGGGCCTTTTGCCACATATAGAGAAAACAATTAGGCAATTAAACGATCAGGTAAGGTTTGATTTTTTGGATTAGTATTTTAAAAATTTAAGTAAATAGTAAATTTAAGAATTATTAAACGTATTTGAAGTTTTGTTTTATTTTCGTTTTAAGATAGGCCAATATTAAGACTTCCCAAAATTACTATCAATGATGAAATTCTGTTCAACTCTAGAAGAGGCTTATTCATTTTCAATAGGATTTTGCCAGCATATTGGACAGTTTTCTTTAAATCAGTTTTATTAAAATGAACATTTGCTATTAAAGCTTTTTAGTTAAAATTTTTTTATGTAAAGGAAAAATACTAAATTCTTTGTTTGTCAACATATTTAATCTCTTTTTTAAAGCTAATATCAAGAAAAGGTTTGAGTCGATCTCTATTTTCTGCAACTAAAAAATGGTTTAGTGGCAGTAAAGTTCCAGAAAAGAGCATTAATGACCTGAAAAATACATCTGGCTTGCTGTGAGTAAAGTGTTATCATTTTTGTTTTTCCTCTGTTTAACTCTCTGACTAGTGTTTGATTGTATATCCTGCAGAAGATAACTATCTCTTTAATTTCTTAGTTTCTTATTGGTGAAAATTCAGGTGGATAAGAAGAGTGACTCAAGTAAATCATATTAATTTTTTAAAAACTAAGTAATTGGACATCTAAAAACAAATGGGAAAGTCACTTTTGGTCTGTTTCCTTATTTGTAAAACAATGAAGTTAGACTAGGTATTCATTAGTAACCATTCTATATCTAAAATGTAATGGCCTGATGATTCTAAGACAAGGGACACATTTAATAAATTTTGCTTTACACAAAAAACCATTTTAAGGAAAAAATATAATTAATCCATTTTGGATTTTAATCTTTCTCCTGGTTGTATATAAATGTGAGTCACTTGGAATTAACCATTTACTTCATTATTTGACCATGGAGAAAATGTTTGCCTGCCATTCAGACATTCTCAGGGCTATAAATAATAAAACAAGGAACTTTCTGTTTCCAGGTATTTTTGAGAACTGACACTCTTGTTGGAGGTAGAATTTCTTTGAAACAGCATTAGTTTTCTTCATATTCTAGAAGAACATGGCAGCTTGTTAATGTATTTTATAATTTTAATGGTTTGGGGGGTAATAAATTATAAATTATTTTCTTTTGTATTTACAGGTATCCGCCGGAAGCACCAGAACTTCAAATCAGGAAAATGGCTGACTTATGTTTTTTGGTGCAGCATTATGATTTGGCTTACAGTTGCTATCATACTGCAAAGAAAGATTTTCTTAATGATCAAGCAATGCTTTATGCAGCTGGTGCCTTGGTTGGTATTCTATGGTATTATAATTCCTTAATTCTGCTACCATAAATTATTTAGAAATTTCTCTTGGTGGCAAACAGAATCCTTAGGGATAAAGTTGTACTCAAAGAGCATATAGTACTTTACAGATTGTTAATTCCTTAATGCTGAGTTGATGGATTTCCCTCAGACTAGTTGATTAGCTGGGTATGGTGGCACATGCCTGTAGTTCCAGCTGCTTGGGAGGCTGAGGCAGTAGAATTGCTTGAGCCCAAGCGTTTGAGACCAGCCTGAGCAACATAGTAAGATTGCATCTTTAAAAATAAATTGAAAAAACTTATTTCTTAAAAACAAAACCCAAAAAACTAGGTAATTAAAAAATGGTCATGTATTAGGGTTTCTTTCTTTATTAGTACTTTCCAACTTTTGCATCAGCTTTCAGAATTGTATTTCATTTTCTAATATATTTAAAATACAAAAATTTTTTTAGAAGTTTTTTTAAACCTTGACAAACATTTTTAAGTTGCTTGATGTATGACTTCATACATCAAGAACATGTACTTTGGTGTGAGACACTCTCTCATCTTAGGCAAGTTATTGAATATCTCTAAGCTACAGTTTTCTGACCTGTAAAATATGCGAATCCTAATGGTATAGGATCAGATAAAGTATAAAGCATGCACTTAGCATAATGCCTTATATATAATAAGCTGTCAGTAATATCAGTTGTGTTAGTTTTGTAATTGATTACAAAGCCAGGTATTTCCAAAGAATTTGCTATACTTGTTGCCTAAAACCTTTTAATGTTTTTGAAAAGTTACCACAGATATATGTGTAATCTGCTTTATGTGTTCAGAAAAGAGTAAAATTAGCACTGTTACTTTTTATTTAATCTTTTAAAAGACATGTAAGCTTATAAACAAAAGTGAAGAAAAAAGTTTATAAGAATAATTCATAGGTAATTGTGTAGATACTTTTTTTTAGCTAGAAAATATTCACAGGCTGACAGATACTTGTTTAATAACTGGCATTTGTTTTGCATTTATTTTAATACTGTGCATATATAAAATATGTAACTTAAAAATGGAAGCCAGAATAGCAAAATTATATTACTATTGCTTTCTGGTTCTCTAATTTTTTAATGAAAAAAGTCAGCCCACTTTTTTTTTTTTTTTTTTTCCTGGAGACAGAGTTTCAGCTCACGGCAACCTCCACCTCCCGGGTTCAAGATTCTTGTGCTTAAGTTTCCTGAATAGCTGGGATTACAGGCATGCCCGACCATACCCATCTAATTTTTTTTTTTTTTTTCGTATTTTTAGTATAGACAGGGTTTCGCTGTGTTGCCCAGGCTGGTCTCGAATTCCTGACCTCAGGCAATGTACTGTGCCCGGCCAACCAAGTTTTTAAAAACCTTTCATAGAAATGGAAAATATGCTATGTTCATGAGAAGTGTTTGAAAATATAAGTGAATTTTCCTTGGCTAAATATTCTCTGATTGCTCATTATAGTCATCCAATTTAAGCTAATATGAAATCACAAATACTTCATGTTATTATTAATACCTTATAACCTAGGTATGCATTTGTAATGAGAAATTTTTATTTAATGTACCTGCAAGTAGAATGTTTGATAAAAACTACATTTAAGCCATTCAACTGGAAGTATTAGTAGCTATTTGAGAGAAAATAATATAGCACTGGAAAATAAAGGCATATTTATTCTTAGATGATATATGTGCACCTGAAAATCACTTAGCCTTTAAAAGCTACCCTAAAAATAATGGGCTTCTGAGAAAAGTTAGACTGGGTTAGTCTTCTTGAAACCTATTCATCTTTGTAACCAGAGCACAAACAAAAACATTAAATGGTACCTTGGAAGATTACCTAAATAATCTAGATAGGCAGCTTAGCATGGCTGAGGATACCTCAGGGAATATAAAAAATAATTTTTTTATAGAGATGGGGATGAGCAAGAAGAGTTCCCAACCGATGGAGCTGCCATGAAGCTGATCATAGAAGAAAGTACAGCCTGCCCTGAGCCCAGAGCTGTGCAAGGCTGGTGGTGTACTTCTCTGGAGACACAGTCCATATGCACCAAAGTGTAGGCATTCAGTTTTTAGCAGCTGAAAGAGCGCCTTTCTGTGCAGCAGCTGAGCTCAGGGCTTTTTCCTTTCCTACTGAAGGATATAAGTTTATAATACTGCTATTTTTGATTCCCTTGCCTAAGAAAAATTATGTATGAATAAAAATTTAATTTGAACTGATATCACTTCCCTTACCATTCACATGTTAACTAATTGATAAGATAAAAATGTGTTGTAGTAGAATAGACTAGATCGTATGCCTTTTTAGATGAAAATTATAGAAGATATTTAGTCATAGTAACTACAAAGGCAAAATAAATATCACAGCAAAACCAGTAATAGGAATGCTTGCAGACTTTTTTTTTTTTTTTGAGATGGAATCTCACTCTGTTGCCCAGGCTGGAGTGCAGTGGCTTGATCTCAGCTCACTGCATCCTCCACCTCCTGGGTTCAAGTGATCCTCCTGCCTCAGCCTCCCAAGTAGCTGGGATTACAAGCATGTGCCACCACTGCCAGCTGATTTTTGAATTTTTAGTAGAAATGGGGTTTCACCAAGTTGGCCAGGCTGATCTCGAGCTCCTGACCTCAAGGGATCTGCCTGCCTCAGCCTCCCAAAGTGCTAGAATTACAGGCGTGATCCACTGGGCCTGGCCAAGAAAACATGTTTTAGAGCTGTACGATATTTTGTCACATGGATATTATGTATTTTATTTAGCTTCTTCAGTGAATTTTAGAGCAGATACTGCTGAGTGCTGAGGATACAGAGGCATTCTAAAATAGATATCGTTCATATTGTCATTCATGGAACTATCAGGTTAAAGGCTTTAATCATATTTCAGTTCTCAAATCATTATTTGTTTTTTCTTCTATTTTAAAAAATGTTGCAGAGAAGTACATTTGTTTGTCTTAAAAGTGAATTATGGCTTTCCCATCCTGCTATTCTCCCCTCTCAGCCTCCCGAATAGCTGACATTACAGGCATGTACCACCACACCTGGCTAATTTTGTATTTTTAGTAGAGACAGGGTTTCTCCATGTTGGTCAGGCTGGTCTCGAACTCCAGACTTCAGGTGATCCACCCACCTCGGTCTCTCAAAATGTTGGGATTACAGGCGTGAGCCATTTCCATTAAAACTTAGGTTCTTTTTTCTTTTTTTTTTTTTTTGGAGGCAAGGTCTTGCTCTGTTGCCCAGGCTGGAGTGCAGTAGTGCGATGACAGTTTATGCAGCCTCCACCTCCTGGGCTCAACTGATCCTCCTACCTCAGCCCCCCACAGTAGCTGGGACTATAGGCATGCGCCACCACGTGTGGCTAATTTTTATATTTTTTGTAGAGATGGCATTTTGCCATGTTGTCCAGGATTGTCTTAAACTCCTGAGCTCAAGCATTCTCCCTGCCTTGGCCTCCCAAAGTGCTGGGGTTACAGGCATGTGGCACTGTGCTTAATCTTCATTTCTAAATCCTTTAACCACCATTGTATATTATTTGAATTATTAACTAAAGTCCTAGTTATTGCCAGTAGAATGAGTTTGTTTTTTTTTTTGATACAGATCTCAGTATGTTGCCCAGGCTAGTCTTGAATTCCTGGGCTCAAGCACTCCTCCTGCCTCAGCCTCCCAAAGTGCTGGGATTACAGGTGTGAGCCACTGTGCCCATCCAGAATGAGGTTTTAAAATGAAATATGATCTAGGAAATTGACAGTAATAATAGGCTTAAGAAAAATGGTCTTTGCACTGTCTATAAGATAGTGGATATAAACTAGAGTTTGTAATTGGCAGAATATATTGATAAGGCAAGCCGTTGTGAGCTCTGATTTTATATTGTTGCCAATAAATTGGAAAGAGATGTACTTTATTTCTTCTCTTTGTGATCCATCATTGGTCTGTTCTCTACTTATTGAAGGTTAGGGAAGAACAGGGAGGAGGGTGATAGTAGAAATCTTAAGCTAGGCTAATCTGGTAGTATATATACACCATAACCCAAAGTGTTTACTAGGTTTTTTTGAAAATCTCATTTATATATTGAATGGGAGACTTCAGATATTAACTAGAGAATTTTAAGATTGAAAGCTTATATAAATGTATTACTTATATTACTGTCGTAGATAATTCTTCTGAAAGTACAACCCTAAATCATTCTTGTCGTAGCCTCTGCTCTTTTTCCACCAGCAAATACTTGGAAATTCCTTCTTGGAGCATTGTGGGCCAAAGCTTCTCTCTGGGTGGAAAATTGTTGCCACTTCCAGTGTCACAGGGAAAACACACACACACACACACACACGCACGCACGCACGCGCGCAATCAAAAAGCAGGACACTGGAGAGGAGTAGGGGCTATTTTCTTTTTTTTTTTTTTTGAGATGAGTCTCGCTGTCACCCAGGCTGGAGTGCAGTGGCACGATCTCGGCTCACTGCAGGCTCCGCTCCCCGGGGTTCACGCCATTCTCCTGCCTCAGCCTCCCGAGTAGCTGGGACTACAGGCGCCCGCCACCTTGCCCAGCTAATTTTTTGTATTTTTAGTAGAGATGGGGTTTCACTGTGTTAGCCAGGATGGTCTCGATATCCTGACATCGTGATCCGCCCGCCTCGGCCTCCCAAAGTGCTGGATTACAGGCGTGAGCCACCGCGCCTGGCCAGTAGGGGCTATTTTCAAACAGAAAACCCGGCAAATGGGTTAGAGGAGAAAAGCCCCAGCTGTGCAAAGTGGAGACTGACTCCCCCATCTCCAGTGGCAACCTAACACGCTGGTTATGTTGGGCCTGGCCAACCTTTTTTCCCTTTGTCTCTATAACAGATGATACCACAACCAAAACTGTGTTACATCTCAGCATATCAGAGGCCCATGGAGTAAACATAAATGGAAATACCTTTCAAGCTAGTTTGGAAAAATAGATGGCTTAGATAAACTGACTATTCAACCTCCCACTTAAAGCTGTTAGGCAGAATATCTGGGAGAACACTGGGGGTAAGATGCTGCTTAACAGAAATAACCTCTTGCTGTGACCAAGAGGTTGCTCGGACCAGTGTAGGGTCAGCATACTTTGTTGTTGTTGTTATTGTTTGTTTGTTTTTTGAGACCGAATCTCACTCTGTTGCCCAGGCCAGAGTGCAGTGGCACTATCTCGGCTCAGTGCAACCCCCGCTTCCCGGGTTCAAGCGATTCTCCTGCTTCAGCCTCCTGAGTAGCTAGGATTACAGGCACCTGCCACCACTTCTGGCTGTTGAGGGTGTTCAGGAATTTTTGTATTATTATTAGAGACAGTGTTTCACCATGTTCACAAGGCTGGCCTCCAACTCCTGATGTCAAGTGATCCATCCGCCTAAGCCTCCCAAAGTGCTGGGATTACAGGCATGCGTCACCACACCCGGCCAGTTCAGCATATTTTTGGTGGGAAAAGATAACTGTCAAATACTACAGTGACAAAGAGGAAGGGGAAACATGAGTAGCTCTAGAAAACAGAAGATTAAAAAATCTGGACAAAATAAAAGTGATGGACAACACACCTAACCACTAGGCCTGACCAAACATTCACCCATAAGCACATTGTATATACGTGCACCCACTCACACTGCCACACAACATTCACGTAGACGCCCAAAGGAGGACAAATCCAAATGTCTGCTCTGGAATTTCCATGGCAAATCTGAGTTTAGGCAAAAGTGAAGACCTCCCTGGGGTCTAAACAAATCTTAGGAGGCAGTCTTTGCTCCCCATGTAGCCAGTGGTGCCCTTATATTTGCCTGAGCCTTTCGTAATTGTCTGGACACCAGAATTCATTCTTCATTTTCCTGGAGTTTAACTGCTAAATCTTATCTGATCTAACTTTACCTGTAATGGAAGCCTCTCCCTTTTGATCTCTGTATTCCCCATGTTCTTTCAGGAAAAACACATCCCAAAACAGTGGTCATTAGAGGGTGTTCAGAAATTGGAAAGTAGAAAGAGAATAATATAAATACAATAAAGAAATGCCTGTTACTCTCATGATTTCTCTGAGACCAGTTGGCCAAGGATCCACTAGTCTTTAAGGATATGTTTTAAAGGCCTTAATTGAAGGTACTGCAGTCTTTGCTCACAAGAGCCAAGTAAGACAGTGCTACTTGGAGGTTTCTGTAAGACTCTTACTCATTACTTAACTTGAATTCTAGGTGCTCTTTTGACCTCTCTGACTTCAGTCCTTCCAGAGTCAGATCACCCATCTTCTCTGAAGAGTGACTGGGCTACAAATGTGTTTTTCAAGTCTGCATTAGGCTATGAAGTTTATACATGTGTATCCAGTTAAAAAAAAAACAGCAAATTTCATTCCAACTTTTAGTTTCCCATCTAAACTGTAAGACTGTTTCTTCTTTTGAAATATGTAAACTATGTCTTTTATTTTAGGAAATGGCAGCAGTGTCTGCTTTTCTTCAACCAGGAGCACCTAGGCCATATCCTGCTCATTACATGGATACAGCAATTCAGACATACAGAGATATCTGCAAGTAGGTGACTATATAAGATTTATATTGTATCCAGTTAAAGGTCAGTTTGTTCTTTTTTTTTTTTTTTCCCCATTCCTAAACTCCCAAATCAAGTTAATATAGTCGGAGACAAGTTGAGGTGATTTTTAAAAAGTTAGTGTTTTATTATACCTTTTTCTTTTCTATTTTGTTTGGATTGGTGGTTAGGAATGTGTTATGTAATGTTGAGATTATATGTTACATTGAAGGTAATTTGTATTGTGGGGACATTTCTAGCTTTAAACTGCTATCAAGTTAGGAATTAGTCATTTTGCATTTTCTTTGTTAAATAGGCAAAACACAAATAGTTAAACAATATTGTATTCATAGTGCTTTCTGTTGGAACCCTATAAAAGTGAGAACTCACCACCTATGAGGAGACTATGAGCTGGTCCCCAGTGGTCAGGGGAGATTTCATGGGATATTTGATGGATAGACCTTGAAAGAAAGGTGGTTAGGACTTGATAACCATGAAGACGTATCAGGAATTGTGATTGGCAGGCATAATGTTTTAGATGTGCATTACTGGCTAAAGAGAAGAAAGCCCTGGCTAGGTTGGAAGGTTGCTGTATAGGGAAAGTACTGGATGATAAATTTGGAAAGGAGGTTTGAGATAAATCTGTGTGAGGAACCTTTACTGTCATGTATTATTTTTTTGTTTCTGGTTTTTTTTGAGGAGGAGTCTTGCTCTGTCGTCCAGGCGGGAGTGCAGTGGCGCAATCTTGGCTCACTGTAACCTCTTCTTCCTGGGTTTGAGTGATTCTCCTGTCCCAGCCTTTGGAGTAGCTGGGATTACAGGTGCGCGCCACCATGCCTGGCTATTTTGTATTTTTAGTAGAGACGATTTCACCATGTTTGCCAGGCTGGTCTCGAATGCTTGACCTCAAGAGATCCACCCACCTCGGCCTCCCAAAGTGCTGGTATTACAGGCATGAGCCACCATGCCCAGCCCATGTTTTTTTTTGAGACAGTCTCGCATTGTCACCCACCTGGAATGCAATGGTGTGATCTCAGCTCATTGCTACCTCCACCTCCTAGGTTCAAGTGATTCTCCTGTCTCGGCCTCCCAAGTAGGTGGGATTACAGGCATCTGCCACCATGCCCAGCTAATTTTTTGTATTTTTAGTAGAGAAGGTGTTTCACTGTTTTGGCCAGGCTGGTCTCAAACTTTTGACCTCATGATCCGCCCACCTTGGCCTCCCAAAATCCTGGGATTACAGGTGCGAGCCACCGCGCCAGGCCCATGTATTATTTTTATTAAGCTTCAGTGAAGACTTACGTAGTAGTAAATGGAAAATTACCGAATATTTGAGTAGAGAGTTGACGTAATAAAAGTTATTTTTCGGAAAGATTAATCCGACTTATCTGTTGTTTCAGAATAGATGCACTGGAAGGCAGATATAGAGGCAATTTTGACCCCTATAAGACCCCTATAATGTTGAAGTAAAAGTAGTCATCGTAATGGTAACATGGTTAGAACAAAACAACATCATTAATAAGATAATAATAAACATTTTTTGAGTGTTCAGCATTCGCCACCATGCAGAAGAAATCTATATGCTCATTTAGTCTTAATAACAAACCTCTGAAATCGTGAATGCTATTGTTATCCTCATTTTACAGATGAGGAAACTGAAGTAATTGACCATATGGGATAAATGGTTTTGGAATCAAACATAAATAAGTAAAATAAGTGTTAAGATTTAAGGGAGTTTATAAAATTTACTGAAGACAAATCTTTAAGAACTGAACCTATTATATAAGTAGTTGCTAGTATATAGGAGTTAGTCTTTTGTGTTCATCAAAACAGTCTTAGGTATTCATAAATATCTAACCTCCAAGAAAAGGTGTGATTTGTAGAAAGTTTATGACAAGTCAGTATAGTAATTTTTGAATTTTTGAAAGGAGTAAATTGTGTTTCAAAAATAAATACTGTTCATCGTTTAGAATGGGTTTCCAAAGTAAATTCAAGTTAGCAAGCTTTAGTTATATTAATAATTTTAAAGCCAAGTGATATTTTTGATTCTATAAGGATTAGAAAGTAAAAAGAAAAACTTTTGCTGCTGTTTGCCAGCAATAGGATTCCATCTTGTAATTTCATAGTAAGAATGTTTTCATTTGTTTTTATTCTTTTCTAAAATGGATAATCTAATTCTAGATTACTGATGTAGTAGTCCACAAAATCAACTGATTATGTTTTTACAAAAAAAACTAAAATTGGATCAGGAATCAATCAGACAACGCTGGCTGTAAGCCATCTCCAGCAGAAATATCCTAATGGTACTACCAGGGGGAAAATACCTAAATATTTCTCAAAGTAGCCAGCAAAATGAAACACAGTCAGAATTTGCATAGGGAAGGAGAAAGAAATAATGTGTGACATGTTTATATTTTTCTGTTCAAAGCAGACTTTGTTAAATAGGTTCTGGAACCAGTTCTAGCTTTTTTGCATGCAGGAGATATGACTTTGCATTGTATTCTTACTGCCAAATTACATGATAATGAAAAGTTTTGATGAGTTATAAGAAGTCTTTGAAGATTTTTTTAAAAAACCTTTTTGGTAGGTGCAAAACAAGGACATAGACTTCTTTTCTTCTTTTTACAGTCAGCCCTATGTATCTGCAGGTTCTGCATCTGCAGATTCAACTAATTGCAGATTAAAAATATTTGGGAAAAAACCAACAATAAATAATAACAATACAAAAATTTAAAATACAAATAAAAAATAAAGTATAACAATGATTTACATAGTATTTACATTGTAGTAGGTATTATAAGTAATATAGAGATTATTTAAATTATATAAGAGGATGTGTATGGGTTAATAGGCAAATGCTATACAATTTTATATAAGGAACTTGACAAACCTTGGATTTTAGTATCCTGGAGGGTCCTGGAACCATCTCCCTGCAACTATCCTCTAAAACTGTAATTGGAATCTTTTGCTGAACACATTTACTTTGATGTGCTAAGGTATTATTGTGCTATTTTATCTTCTTGTCCTTTTTTCTATAGGAATATGGTGTTGGCTGAAAGATGTGTGTTGCTTAGTGCTGAACTTTTAAAAAGCCAAAGCAAATATTCAGAGGCTGCAGCTCTCCTAATACGGTTGACCAGTGAGGTACTGAAACTGTGTAGTATTTGCTTTAATTAGCATTGTTCTTTTTTTTTTAAAAAGATGTATCTTTTTTCTTGAAAGGCTTTACAAAACATAAAATTAGCCAGGGAAATCTGTCTTTGGGAATTTACAACATGGCTATTTTAGTTTTTTGTTGAGTTAATTTTAAATGTAATTTTTTATAAATTAAGTTTATTTACATATTTTAAGCCTACATTTCATTATTAACTACAGACATGTATTGAGCATACTCTGTGACTTATTACGTTTTGTCCTTTGAATAAGAATATTGAAAACAATATGCATGTGCATTGTTCCTAATATAAAATGATATTTTATTTTTTGTTACTCATATTTTGTTATCTGAGTCTGCTTGCTAGGGAGATAAAGCTAATTTTAAAAGATTAATCACTGAGGAATTTTTAGTTTTACTTTCAACTAGCATGAACTTTTTAAGAAAATCATCTTAAACATTTAAAAAACCTATATTGTGAATATTTTAAAAGAGAAAAAAGTAATTCATTTATAGTTGTTGAAGATTTTACAACAAATATTATTGAGTTACATTGACTGCAGGCTTGTAAAGAATGGTAGTAATTCCTTTATAAGTACTGTTAATAACACATTTTTTAGATGAATACTGAAGAACGAAGGAACAAAATCAAACACCTCCTTTGTTTGCTCCTTAAATGTTAAATTATCCTAGGATTTTAATCCTTGGACCAATGCACTTTTTAACTCTTTACGTTTTGGGGATGATCTTGTTCACAGCCATGCTTTTCACTTTCAAATCTGTCTTCAACCCTGACCTTTCCTTGAGCTTTAGATTTGTATGGCCAACTGTCTTTAAGATTTATCTACTTGTGGCCAGGCATGATGGCTCATGCCTGTAATCCTAGCACTCTGGGAGGCCGAGGCGGGCAGATCACCTGAGGTCAGGAGTTTGAGACCAGCCTGGCCAACATAGTGTAATCCTGTCTCTACTAAAAATACAAAAATTAGCCAGGCATGGTGGTGCACACCTGTAATCTCAGCTACTCAGGAGGCTGAGGCAGGAGAATTGCTTGAGCACAAGGTGGAGGTTGCAGTGAGCCGAGATCGCACCACTGCACTCCAGCCTGGACGACAGAGCGAGACTCATTTGTCTCAACAACAACAACAACAAAGATTTATCTACTTGCGTGTTTCCAAGGCATCTTAAATTAACATATAAATAAACCCATAAAATTTTTTACCTAATATATCATGATCTTAAATTATGTTATCACTAACTAGCCCTCTATTTGCTCAAGGCAGAAATGGCTTGAGATATTCCTGTATTCTCATATCCTGTCTGTAATCCAGTGCAGAATGGAGGTGGGGGTGGGGATGGGAGTAATTTTTGTTTTCAAGCTCTTAAACATTATTTATTTAATTAAAACAATTTTAACCTTTAAAAATATATTTTCTTTTTGTATCTCCAAATAGTTTACTTCTCTCTCTTTCTTTTGTTGTTGGTTTTTCTTAAACTTCTACTGTTCTAGTTCTCATTCTTAATATTTTCTCTTTGGGACTGCGGCCTTTTTCCTTTTGCTTTGCCTAATTTACTAGTCATGATACCAGTTGTGTACTTCAGATAGTCTTTCCTAATACACCTGTTTGTCCTAAGTGTCTCTGTTCTTCTCTCTCATACAATGCTGTAAAACCTGACTTGTCATATTATATTATATTGGAAATTATGTTTAAGCTTCTTAAGCTGTTAGCTTCTTGAGGGCAGGGAACCGTGTTGCCTTCTGTTTTTATTCTTGTTGCCTAACACTGGCCTTGGCACATGGATTAGATGCTCTACAAGTGTTTGTTGTAACTGAACCATTAATTCTTCTACAAAAGTTTCTGTAAGGTCTAACTAGTTAGGTTCAGAAGTGATATTTAAAATGTTTAATAATTGTTATTGCATGGACACTGACTAATAAATATGAACAGATAACAGACAAACTATTTGTAGAGCTGAATAAGGCTTTTGAGTATTTTGATATTCTCTATTATAATAAATAATCTTAACTTGGATTTGAATGTGTTGCCGTGTTCTTCAACCTAAGGATTATCAGTGAATGTAAAAAGAATTTATGGTTCAGGAGCTTCAATAAAATTCCTTTTTTTCTTCCTTGCTTAAATGATTTCAATATGCCATTCTATCCACATATGTGAATAAAATTTCTTCAGAGCAAGTTCTCCTGTCTGCATTATAACCGTGTTATTTTTTGTCATTTTTCTCTTCTTTCCAACTCTTTGTTTCCACTTTTCTTTCTCAAATCTGGATGATTTGTTTTATCATGAAAGTCTAGAAAATGTATCATTGTTATTTGCTGCCATGTGGTGGGGAGAGGGGGCAGGTGGTGGTGCACGTACCCAGAAATCGTGATTCTTAATGGCCTTTTCTGCTATACCTTTCATAAATTTCTTTGAGATAACTTGAGACTAATGATTATTAGGCATGTTTATAAATTATGTTAAATCTTTACCAACAATTTACATTTACTGTATGTATTTTGTTAACTAGAAAGGCTGTATAATATCAAGAGATGTACACTGGTTTTGAAGCTGGAGAATTGAGTTACATACTCTTGACATTCCTGAGCTGTGTTCCCTAGATTTTTGCTAATACCGTCATAGCAAAAGATAGTTAATGAGGCCTAGGCAAAAGGAGGAGCTGTGCTTTGACTTTGTGTACTGCAAATTTTTGGTCAAGTGAATCATATTTTTTGTTTTATGCCCTGGGATTCTCAGAATGGCAGAGCAAACCCAGTTTAATGGTGAAACATGCTACCTTTATCACCGCATAGGATGTATATGAATTTGGTGCTTAAGACATACCTACTTGTGTCTGTTTCTGTGTTGAACACTTATTCTGGTCTTATAACCCATTTTTTCTGTTACTATTTTAAATATGAAAAATCAGTTTCTAGGGATGCTAATACCAGTTTTTTGTAAGTTTCTTCAGCTTAGGAGTAACTGGTCTTATGGGAAATTTATCAGCTGATAGCACCTTTCCTGTTAACTTCACAAGTATGCAGAGATGAAATCTTAAAAGCTTAGAGCCATCTTTTGTTTGATGTTTGATTCAGTTAATTAGCTGCAACTGGTGGCTTTATCAACTGTGTTTTTATTGAAATGTTAATTGAGGCCTCTACCTCAGGTGATTTTTTTTTTCCTGTACATACTCTCATATTTTAAGTTATTGTTATCTTTTTATCTTTTGTTAAAATTATCTCTTGGTTGTGGAGAATTTTCATAGGCCAGAGTTCTTGTTGAAGTGCTATCAACAGATTTTTTTTTCTTAGTTTCTTATAGAACATAAACAAAACTTGTTATTCGATAGTATGAAATACACCACTGTATTAAAATTGTATCTTTCAGTTCATTTAAAGCCTTTGCTTTCTGGATAAAACCATCACTTTGTAAAAATCCTTTTATTTCTCTTCCATCAACACTGATACCAGTTGTCATTCTTTTCAGGGCAATTTTCCTCCTCTCAAAACAATGTTTTTACCACTTTGGGTGTCACAGTAAGAGTCAGGGTCCAATGAAGAATAAAGCTGGACCAAGATATGAAAACATGGTATTCAGCTCTAGAAACTGATTCTCAGTCAGTCTAGAAACTGATTCTCCACATGCAAGAGTCAAAATTTTGTTTCAGCCAAATTAATACCATGGAAGGCCATGGACTTCCACATCTGCCTTCAGTTGGTCAGTTCTTGAGTGTTAAATTTGGGAATGCTAAGGGTTTCTCATTTTGGTTTTTAACTGGATTGTGCGTTAGAATCATTTGCAAACCATTAAATATTCTCAGGGGATATTCTTAGCTTATGAGAATGTCCAGGATTGCTGCCCATCCAGGTTTTGCAGTTTAGTGAAGCTTCATAGGCAGTAAAAAAGTGTGTGTGTGTATATTATTTTATTTTATTTTTTCGTGTGTGTGTATGTATGCATGCATATGTGCAGTGTGCTAAGAATAGACTTAAGAAATTACAGCACTTAAAAAACTGAACTCTGTTGAGGCCTAAGTGAAATTCTGAAATAGAAACAATAATTAGGGAGAATTACCTATTTTAGATATTAAAATATGGCTATTAAAATATAAGGCTACAGAAAGTAAAACTCTATACAGTGATAAGAATAGACATATTAATGGGCTGGAATGAGAATTTAAATACTGCATATGATTAAGGTATCATTTAAAATCAGTGGAGAAAGTTAACTTACTCACAAAATGGTATTGTGATATCTAACCAGCTGTTTGGGTTGGAATCTTAGCTTATTCATTGTGTTTTAATATATTATGGCTTGATTAAGCTATAATAAAAAATGAAACCAGGGTAACACACACACAGGCACACGCGCGCGCGCACACACACACACACACACACACCTAGAAGCAAATACTAGGAGAGCACTTTTTAAAGTCCTGGAATGATAACATCCTTTCTTAGTTTGATGTAATATCTTGACACTATAAAGGCAAAGAGAGTGTGCTTCCCTGCAAAAGAATAAACTCTTTCATGTCAAAACTGGAAAATACTATTTGCAAAATATATCACAAAGGACCAATATTAAGAGCATACAAGGGCTCTTACAAAGCAGAAAATCGCAACAAACCATTCACAAAAGAGCATAAACAGGCAATTCATAGGAAAATTACAAAATCCCCTAAACATATGAAAAGATTAACAGTCCTACAATGAAATGTATGTTAAGGAACAAGATGTTGTTTTTTTTTTTTTTTCCCTTTTTTTGAGACAAGGCGTCATTCGTTCACCAAGGCTGGAGTGCAGTGGTGCATTCATGGCTCACTGCAGCCGCAGCCTCCCAGGCTCAGGTGATTCTCCTGCCTCAGCCTCCCAAGTAGCTAGGACCACAGACACTCACCATCATGCCCAGCTAATTTTTGTAGAGACAGGGGTCTCTTTTTGTTGCCCAGGCTGGTCTTGAACGCTTTGGCTCAAAACGATCCCCCACCTTCGGCTCCCAAAGTTCTGGAATTACAGGTGTGAGCTCCCGGGTGTCATTTTTATTTTATTAGCTAAAAATTTTAAAGATTTTTGGCTGAGTAGAGTGGAACACATATACTCTTATTCTTTGTTGATGAGAGTATGTATTGGTGCTACTTTTTTTGTAGCAGTTTGGCTATATTGATTAGAATCTGAAGTAGTATATGCATAGCTTTCATTAACTCCACAGTTCTACTTCCAGAAATTTCTCTATTAAAAATATTTGAATAATTATTCAAATGTTTCTATAAGGATAGTTATCAAATCATTTTATGTAGTAACAAAATATGAAACAATCGGTAATTTAGGGTACATTTATATAATGGAAGACAGTGTAGCTTTAAAATAAATGAGACAGATGTAGATGTCTTAGAAAGATGTCCATTACATAAGTGAAAAAAGCAAGGTACTCCATATAAATACCACTTACGTATCAAAATATATGTGTATTTTTAAAAATGCATATGTATTAGGCATGTAAACACATGCACATACATATATAGGAGGGGTGACATGACACAACACTATTAAGCTGTAAAGAATAGTTACTCTGGCAAATGACATGAAGCATGGGCTAGGAAAGATGTTCACTTTTTTCTTCAAACATGTATTCTTTTTAAAAAAATTAGTTTGTATTAATAATTTCTAAAAAGAAAACATTTTTCTAAAAAATAAAATAGGCTCCCAAGCTCCCCTAAGTATTTCTGACACAAACCCGTTTTTAAGAACCACTCATTAATTACATATTTCTGACTTTTTTACTTACTAGCTTTTGGATCTTAATTACTAGAGCAATCATCTAATCATTTAGTTTTTGTCAGGAGGAGGATGAAATAGATAATAGCTGCCATTTACTGAATGCTTTCTAGATGATTTCCTCGAGTCTGTTTCAGCTCTAGTATAATTCTATGATTGACGCAGAGACAGTTTATGCTAATCAATGGTCTGTGAACACTTTTGATGTAACTATAATTTGTTGAGATTATCGCATTTAAAGTCAATGTTTTCTGTTTTCAACTTTCCCTGGGGAAAATAATGGCAGCAGAACACATGGAAGGGCATGGTAAGTTCAGCTTGAGAACAGCTAAAAACCTGGAGAAAGTTTTGGTGAAAATGTTGTTGATATTTAATCAGCAACCTTCAGTACTTTCTCAGTTATCTGTAAAGTGATGACTCTTTCAGTCAAAAGATTTGTCTTAAGGGCAGTGACGTAATGTAGTATGTGGTTTTGTAGATGCTGTACTGTAAGATTCAGTTGAAGTGGAAACTTACTTGAGTTGTATTCTTTATTAATGTAATAATAGGTGAAAAGAAAATCTTTGAAGTAGAAGCATTGTGAACTTTTTAATGAAATGCAGTCGATTTGGCCCTCTAGAATTATAGCAAAAGTTGAGGATTCCTTTAAATGCAGTAAAATTTTACAGAGAATGAAATAGTAGATTAGAATATTTCATAATCTATGTACATGTTTTCTTGGGTGGATGAAAATATGCCAACAAGTCAATTTTCAGAGGAAATTCGATTGGTGTAAATGTTTTCTGGTTTATTTTTTATCGGTATACCTGTATTAAATTTGTAGTTTACATACTTTTTTGCCATTTGAGAAAGGATTGCAATTATTCACAGATTTGGTACATGGCACATATCATAACCAGACATGTGGCTTTTATGAAAAGCTAAGTATTTCATGGTAGAAGATGTTTTCAAAGCTTAAAAGAATTTTGTGTTTATTGGAAAAATCAAGATTGGTTTTCCCCTTGATCTTTGCCCTCATATACTCTTAAGTTAAACATTGGATATGCTATATATTAAGAAATTAAATGTTTTTTTCACTAGTTATCTATTTACTTTTAACTTGGTGAAACTAACCTTTTTCTCTTTTAAACATTCACTAGGATTCTGATCTTCGAAGTGCACTTCTTTTGGAACAGGCAGCACATTGCTTTATAAACATGAAAAGTCCCATGGTTAGAAAATATGCATTTCATATGATATTGGCAGGCCATCGATTTAGTAAAGCAGGGCAGGTGAGTGCATTTGCTTTACAATGAAAAGTTGCTATTTATTTTATAAATGTGTGTCATTTGTCCATTTTTATTATTTAAAAAGGATCTTAAAAACTAAATTTTGTTCTGAGGTAATGTATTGGTAAGGGCGTGAGATTTGGATTTAGACAAATCTGGCTATAAATTTTGATCTTCTACTCACAACTTTGGTCAAGCTACTTCTCTGAGCCTCGGGGTTTTTTTATTTATAAAATTTGTAATTTTATCCAAATTTTGGTTAGGTTAAACTAAATCACATTTGTGAAAGGCCAGATAGATTGTATGCATTCAAGCAGGAATGCATTCTCCCTATTTCAGCTGTGATCTTCTGTTCTCTTTCAAAGTACTTTTTAAAAAAATCCTGCTCTTTCTGTTTCAGAGTGCTTTATAATGCTATTGACTAAATACTTAATGTATAGACATCTTCTGTCTGTTGTCTCTTGAAGCAGCTGAGTTGCTGGGATCTTTACTGATGTAGAGAGATTTATCCGGCCCCAGTTGTCCTAGAACCATTAGTCGGAGAGAGCTAGCTTTCTTGGAGGCTGAGAGTAGCAGTAGGGAGATGATGATTTACTATAAATATAAATGGAAACTTGGATTAAACAACCATCTCTATATTTCAGAGAGTATACTAGGAGCTGAACATTCACCCATAAAGTCAACATGGTCTTACGTCTTAAGGAGCTTTTGATCTATTAGGGGCATATGAGGATCTTTTAAAGATTTAGTTAATATGAATTTACTAAGTATGAAATGTAACTATGAACATCCTTAATTTTTCTAAGTCTGTGCTAACCAAAGCATCCCAGTGTTTTACACAATGTACATTATTTCAAAGGTACAAAGAAGTAAAGATGTTCAGAAATTACTCTCAATTTCATGTAAAAATATTGTAATTTTTTAAAACCAACATTTCAAAATTGGGTTCCTTCCTCTTATTTTTGGAACCTGTGGAAAGTTAGAAAATATGTGGACTTGCTTAATGTTCATTAAAAAACCTTTCAAATCTTAATATAAAATTAAACGTCTTTATAATAATTGATACACTCCATGAATTAGAATTTCTCAGGCTCTAACATGAGAAAAACTTAAAGAAATAACTATTACTACTTTTCATGGCTTTTCTTCAATAGTAAATGCAAGTGCATCTGAAACATGTTACGCCACTGTGTATCTCTGGTTAAAAGGTTTCTGTTCAAAAAATGACAAAATGTATTAAGCAGGAGGTTTCCTTTGCTTGAAAGAAAATATATGTCCCATTAGGAATGGTCTATTGTCTCCTATTGAAAATAAGTCGTCATTTTTCTACATCTTTGTCCACTTTTGTGAATGGTTTCATTTGTGAGAATGGTAATGTCATTGGAACTAGAAACAGCTGCTTGTATCTGCCTTCCCAGATTATAGAGCATATTGCTTCTAGGAAATACCTAACAAGTTAAAAATGCTACCTTTGTGGTAGGTTGAGATACATTTGCTATCTGGCTTCGTAATCACCTCTTACTGTAGTATATAACCCTGTGAAGTTAATGATTCAGGGTAGCTGAGTTTGCTATTTCATGACCACTCTGTACACCCTGAACCCAAGACAGCTCTTTCACAAAACAGTACAGTTTGTGGAAATCTGAGAATATGACTATAAATTAAGATCTACTAGATAAGCCAATACAATATATATCTAATTGAAGTTCATCAAGAACAGTCTCTTCCTTGGAAGTTAGGGTGCATAGAACACATATAATTCTGACTTGAGGCCTAGTTGTTTCTGAGAAGCACCAATTTTTTATTATTTAAAAAAAACTTTTAAGGTCCAGTGTACATGTGCAGGATGTGCAGGTTTGTTACATAGGTAAACGTGTGCCATGGTGGTTTGCTGCACCCATCAACACATCACCTAGGTATTAAGCCCAGCATTCATTAACTCTTTTTCCTGATGCTTTCCCTCTCCCACCCTACCCCTCAACAGGCCCCAGTGTGTGTTGGACTGTGTCCATGTGTTCTCATTGTTTAGCTCCCACTTACAAGTGAGAACATGCGGTGTTCAGTTTTCTCTTCCTGTGTTAGTTTGCTGAGGATAATGGCTTCCAGCTTCCTCCATGTCCCTGCAAAGGACATGATCTCTTTCCTTTTTATGGCTGCATAGTATTCCATTGTGTGTATGTATGTACCACATTTTCTTTATTCATTCTATCATTGATGGGCATTTGGGTTGATTCCATGTCTCTGCTATTGTGAATAGTGCTGCAGTGAACATATGTGTGCCATAAAACAGAATTCTCCTGCCTCAGCCTCCCGAGTAGCTGGGATTACAGGCATGCATCACCATGCTCGGCTAATACTGTATTTTTAGTAGAGATGAGGTTTCTCCATGTTGGTCAGGCTAGTCTTGAATTCCCAACCTCAGGTGGTCCACCTTCCTCAGCCTCCCAGAGTGCTGGGATTACAGGCGTGAGCCACCATGCCCAGCTTTGACTTTTTAATAATCACCATTCTGACTGCCATGAAATGGTATCTCATTGTGGTTTTGATTTGCGTTTCTCTAATGATCAGTGATGTTGAGCATTCTTTTTTTTCATATGTTTTTTGGCTACATAAATGTCTTCTTTTGAGAAGTGTCTGTTCATGTTCTTTGCCTACTTTTTGGTTGGCTCTCTGCTTGTCTGTTGTTGATGTGTAGGAACGCTTGTGATTTTTGCACATTGATTTTGTATCCTGAGATTTTGCTGAAGTTGCTTATCAGCTTAAGAAGGTTTTGGGCTGAGACAGTGGGGTTTTCTAGACACAGGATCATGTCATTTGCAGACAAAGACAATTTGACTTCCTCTCTTCGTATTTGAATACCCTTTATTTCTTTCTCTTGCTTGATTGCCCTGGCCAGAACGTCCAATACTATGTTGAATAGCAGTGGTGAGAGAGGGCATCCTTGTCTTGTGCTGGTATAGCAGTGATGAGAGAGGGCATCCTTGTCTTGTGCTGGTTTTCAGGGGGAATACTTCCACCTTTTGTCCATGCAGTATGATATTGGCTGTGGGTTTGTCGTAAATGGCTCTTACTATTTTTTTTTTTTTTTTTTGAGATGGAGTTTCGCTCCTGTTGCCCAGGCTGGAGTGCAATGGCGTGATCTCGGCTCACTGCAACCTCTGCCTCCTGGGTTCAAGCAATTGTCCTGCCTCAGCCTTCCAAGTAGCTGGGGTTACAGGCACCTGCCATCACACCCGGGTAATTTTTTGTATTTTTAGTAGAGATGGGGTTTCACCACGTTGGCCAGGCTGGTCTTGAACTCCTGACCTCAGGTGATCCGTCCGCCTTGGCCTCCCAAGTGCTGGGATTACAGGCGTGAGTCACCACGCCCAGCCAGCTCTTACTATTTTGAGGTATGTTCCTTTGATACCCAGTTTATTGAGAGTTTTTAACATGAAGAGATGTTGAATTTTGTCAAAAATGTTTTCTGCATCTATTGAGATAATCATGTGGTTTTTCTCTTTAGTTCTGTTTATGTGATACATTACCTTTATTGATTTGCATATGTTGAACCAGCCTTGCATCCTAGGGATGACGCCAGCTTGATTGTGGTGGATAAGCTTTTTGATGACAAGCACCAACTTTTCATGACATTTGAATTTAAAACAGGGTTGTATTGGTAGGGATGAGTGAGAATGAGAGAAGAAGTTATAGAGTAATGCCGTTTCTCTTAGTCCTCTATTTGAGAATTCATGCTGAATTGCTTATCTTGCCCCAGAAGTGTGTGTGTGTGTGTGTCACCCAGGCTGGAGTGCAGTGGTGCAATCTCAGCTCACTGCAACCTCCACCTCCCGGGTTCAAGTGATTCTCCTGCCTCGGCCTCCTGAGTAGCTGGGACTACGGGTACGTGCCACCACTCCTGGCTACTTTTTGTGTTTTTAGTAGAGACGTGGTTTCACCATGTTGGCCAAGCTGGTCTCAAACTCCTGACCTCGTGATCCGCTCGCCTCAGCCTCCCAAAGTACTGAGATTACAGGCATGAGCCATTGCGCTCGGCACCCCCAGAAGTTGTTTATAGTTCAATTATTTTTCATTAAGAATATCAGAAAGTAAAGTGCATTTTAAAAAGAAGTGGCATGAAAGTAGTCAGTAAAAAAACAAAAAACGCTGGGGAAGAGTGTATGTGATTAGACAACCTTTGTGTTCTTACTATAAAAAGCTGACTCAAACCTTTTTACCTCATTTAAATTTCTTTTCCAAAAAAATCTTTAAAAATCCACTTGAACACATTCGAAAATCCACTTGAACACACAAGACACATTCAACTCTTTTTCTATATCTATCAGTTTTTAATACTGTGTTCCTTTACTAAATGCTAAAGATAGGGTTGCCTTTTTTTTTTTTTTTTTTTTTCCTCAAGAAACATCACTTAAAAATTAATTTGGAAACAGGCTGGGCGTATTGGCTCACACCTGTAATCCCAGCACTTTGAGAGGCCAAGGTGGGCTGATCACCTGAGGTCAGGAGTTCGAGACCAGTCTGACCAACATGGAGAAACCCCATCTCTACTAAAAATACGAAAAAAATTAGCCAGGCATGGTGGCGCATGCCTGTAATCCCAGCTACTCGGGAGACTGAGGCAGGAGAATTGCTTGAACCCGGGAGGTGGAGGTTGCAGTGACCCAAGATTGCACCATTGCACTCCAGCCTGGGCAACAAGAGCAAAACTCCATCTCAAAATAATAATAATAATAATTTGGAAACAATCTCAAGTTTATAGAAAAGTTGCAAGCGCCGTTCAGAAATTTTTCTTTTTGCCATTTGAGTGTTAAGTGGTTTATCTCTTGCCGTATTATCCTCAAATACCTTAGGACATATTTCTTATTTTTCGTTTTTTTGAGATGGAGTTTTGCTCTTGTTGCCCAGGCTGGAGTGCAATGGCGCGATCTCGGCTCACTGCAACCTCCGCCTCCCAGGTTCAAGCAATTCTTCCACCTCAGCCTCCCGAGTAGCTGGGATTACGGGCATGCACCACGCCTGGCTAATTTTTTTTTGTATTTTTAGTAGAGACAGGGTTTCTCCATGTTGGTCAGGTTGGTCTCGAACTCCTGACCTCAGGTGATCTGCCCACCTCGGCTTCCCAAAGTGCTGGGATTACAGGAGTGAGCCACCGTGCCCGGCCCATATTTCTTATTTTCTAGAAACAAGAACTTTCCCTTACATAACCATAGCATAACCATCAAAGTAAAAAAAAATTGGCATTGATACAGAGCTACTGTGTAATCCTCAGACCCCATTCAGATTTTGACAGTCATCTCATGCATGTCCTTTATCAAAGGGCATAGGATGTTTTATCCTTTTTTAGTCAAAGGATCGTTTGACTTCATGACTTAAACACTCGTGAAGGTTACAGTCCAATTATTTTTGTAGATTGTCCCAAGTTACATGTCTCTGCTATTTTCATGATGAGATTCAAATTCGGTATGTTTGTAGGAATATACAGAAGACATCCTGTGTTCTCATTTCATGCCGTCCAGTGGCAGACTATTTTTATTTATCGCTTAATCAATAAAGTATTTCTTTTTTAAAAAAACTTAATTTTGGCTGGGTACGGTGGCTCACGCCTATAATCCCAGCACTTTGGGAGGCCGACGCAGGCGGATCACGAGGTCAGGAGATCGAGACCATCCTGGCTAACACGGTGAAACCCCGTCTCTACTAAAAATCCAAAAAAAAAATTAGCCGGGCGTGGTGGCGGGTGCCTATAGTCCCAGCTACTCGGGAGGCTGAGGCAGGAGAATGGCGTGAACCTGGGAGGCGGAGCTTGCAGTGAGCTGATATCGCGCCACTGCACTCCAGCCTGGGCTACACAGTGAGGCTCCATCTCAAAAAAAAAAAAAAAAACTTAATTTTTTTAAGAAATGGAGTCTCACTGTGTTGCCCAGCGTGGTCTCAAACTCCTGGCTTCAAGAGATCATCCCACCTTGGCCCCCCAAAGTGCTGGGATTGCAGCCATGAGCTACAACACCCAGCCAAGAAAATATTTCTTTAAAAAACCCCCTCAAAGACAATTCTGACAATACTGTAAGGCACGTGTGGAGGACAGTGGAAACTAGTATATTTTGAAACAAAAGTTTAGTGAAAAAAAAGCCTTTTCTTGGTACCAAATCCCATTTTTTAGGATGGAGGTTGTCTGAGTTCAGAGAGTGGCAGTGATAAGTAATTTCAAATAGCTGCTTATGCTTGTGATAGGGTGCAGCAATAGCCAGAAGAAAAGAATACCAAACTCTATCACTACAGAACAAACCAGTTGTGTAAAAATGTGCATACATCATAAATATATACACACACATAAATACACACACATTCACTATATGCTCACATGCAGTTTTAGCACACGCTGGTATTTCCATTCAGGCCAGTGCAGTGGTATAAAGAGGGATGACCACATCAAAATTAAATTTCATAAAATAGCTTCTAGTTACAAGATAATAACAAAGCCTCTAACTCTATCCATGTCTCCATATGCTAATGCTCTGGAAACTCCCATCTGGTTTTGTTTTTGTTTTTTTGGCAGAGTTTCACTCTTTTGCCCAGGCTACAGTGAAGTGGCTCCATCTCGGCTCATTGCAACCTCTGCCTCCCAGGTTCAAGCGATTCTTCTGCCTCAGCCTCTCGAGTAGCTGGGATTACAGGTGTCTGCCACCAAGCCCAGCTAATTTTTGTATTTTTAATAGAGATGGGGTTTCACCATGTTGGACAGGCTGGTCTTGAACTCCTGACCTCAGGCGATCCACCTGCCTCAGCCTCCCAAAGTGCTAGGATTACAGGTGTAAGTCACCACGCTCGACCTCCCAACTGGTTTTTCACAGTCATTATTATTACTGAGTTCATATACTTCTTGCCTTTGAACAAAGCAGATGCTTGCTTGTTTCAGGACTTCCTCTTGGTTTTTAAACTGCAGCTCTAAAAACTTTTAGATTTTTAGAACTGTTACCACTTTTGGGTTTCTTCTGTCTGGTTAATTTGTCTCTATTTGAGATACCTGTTATTAAAAATCAGCCTTCAACTTTGCAGTCCTCTTTTCTTTTTTGAAAACATTTGATCCTTTTGATGTAGCATCTTCTTCAGTGTTCACTTCTTTCATTAGTTGGGCAGTGATGGCCAAATGGTTAGTACCTGGTGAGTTCAGAGCCAGATCTGGAGGAAAGCTATCCCCATGAATTGTGATTGACTGGAACTTGGACCTTTTTCTTTGGAAATTTATTTTGATGTAGAGATGTGGGAAGTCTTCTAGCTGTTACAGTGGGTGCTACCCACTCTACTGTCTATCTTCTTTTTGTGGTGGCTGACATTGGATAACTGCTTTGGTGTTTTTGCTGCTTTTTTGGTTTTCTACAGGGTGTACTTTTATAGTGTGTTTGGTCAGCATCAATTTCCCATCCCTTCTTTTTTGGTCATCTTTTCTGTCAGACATACTGCTGCTGGCACTGAGAGGTGGTCTGTACCTCTCTCTTTTTTTTTTTTTTTTTTTCTGAGATGAAGTCTTTCTCTGTCACCCAGGCTGGAGTGCAGTGGCACGATCTCGGCTCACTGCAACCTCTGCCTCCTGGGTTCAAGTGATTCTCCTGCCTCAGCCTCCCAGTTAGCTGAGATTACAGGCGCACGCTACCACGCCTTGCTAATTTTTGTATTTTTAATAGAGATGGGGTTTCACCATGTTGGCCAGGCTGGTCTCGAACTCCTGAACTCGTGATCCACCCACCTCAGCCTCCCAAAGTACTGGGATTACAGGTGTGAGCCACTGCGCCTGGCTGTACCTCTTTTAAAACAGTAATTACAGAGGCCAGGCATGGTGGCTCATGCGTGTAATCCCAGTACTTTGGGTGGCTGAGGTGGGTGGACCACGAGTTCAGGAGTTCGAGACCAGCCTGGCCAACATAGTGGAATCCCATCTCTATTAAAAATACAAAAATTAGCCAGGCGTGATAGCATGCGTCTGTAATCCCAGCTACTTGGGAGGCTGAGGCAGGAGAATCGCTTGAACCCAGGAGGCAGAGGTTGCAGTAGGCCGAGATCGTGCCACTTCACTCCAACCTGAGCGACAGAGCGAGACTCTGTCTCGAAAAAAATAAAAATAAAAATAATTACAAATTCAGGAGGTCCATGTCTGTGTTTGCTGCATGAGTATATTGTGTAATGCTGTGATTTGGGCTTCAGAGAACTAACCCATCACCCAAATAGTGAATATATTATCCAGTAGGTTGTTTTTCAACCCTCACTTCCTTCCCTTCCTCTTTCTCCCCTTTTGGTGTGCCCAGTGTCTATTATTTCCTCTTTATGTCCGTGCATGCCCATTGTTTAGCTCCCACTTATAAGTGAGAGCATGCCTATTTGATTCTCCATTTCTGATTTATTTCACTTATGATAATGGCCTCTACCTCCATCCATGTTGCTGCAAAGGATATGATACCATTCTTTTTTATGGCCGTGTCATATTCCATGGTGTGTATGTACCACATTTTCTTTATACAGTCCACCATTGATGAGCACCATAGGTTGATTCCATGTTTTTACTACTGTGAATAGTGCTGTGATGAACATAAGAATACAGGTGTCTTTTTGGTAGAACAATTTACTTTTCTTTGGGTACATACCTAGTAATGGGATTACTGGGTTGAATGGTAGTTCTCTTTTATCTGTTGGAGAAACCTCCAAATTCCTTTCCACACTGGCTGAACTAACTTACATTCCCACCAACAGTGTATAACTGTTCTGTTTTCTCCATAGCCTTTTAAAATAGCCATTCTAAACTGGTATGAGATGGTATCTCATTGTTTCGATTTACATTTCTCTAATGATTAGTGATGTTCAGTATTTTTTCATATTTTTCATGGCTGCCTGTGTATCTTTTGAGAAGTACCTTACGTCCTTTGCCCATTTTTTAATGGGATTATTTGATTTTTTTTCTTGATTTAAGTTACTTTTAGATTCTGGATATTAGTCCTTTGTCGGATGTGTAGTTTGCAAGTATTTTCTCAGATTTTGGACGTTATTTATTCTGCTAATAGTTTCTTTTGCTGTGCAGAAGCTTTTTGGTTTAATTAGGTACCAGTTGTCAATTTTTGTTTTTGTTGGCATTGCTTTTGAGGACTTGCTCATAAATTTTTTGCCAAGGGTGATGTCCAGAAGGGTATTTCCTGGGTTTTCTTCTAGGATTTTTTTATACTTTGAGGTCTTATCTTTAAGTCTTTAATCCATCTCCAGTTAATTTTTTGCATATGGTGATAGGTAGGGGTCTAGTTTCATTCTTCTGTATATGGTTAGCCCAGTTATCCCAGCACCATTTATTGAATAGGGAGTCCTTTTCCCCATTGCTTAGTTTTGTAGACTTTGTTAAAGATCTGTTGGTTGCAGGTATGCTGCTTTATTTCTGAGTTCTGTATTCTATTCCATTGTTCATGTGTCTATTTTTTGTACCAGTACCATGCTGTTTTGGTTACTATAGCCTTGTAGTGTAGTTTGAAGTTGGGGAATGTGATGCCTCGGGCTTTGTTTTTGCTTAGGACTTTGTTGGCTACTCAGGCTCTTTTTTGGTTCCATATGAATTTTAGAATAGTTTTTTCTAATTCTGTGGAAAATGACATTATTTATTTGATAGATAGTTTGTTGAATCTGTAGATTGCTTTGGGCAATATAGTTATTTTAACTATATTGATTTTTCCTTATCTGTGAGCGTGGGTTTTTTTTGTTCTTTTGTTTGTGTCTGTACTTTCTTTTATCAGTGTTTTGTAGTTCTCTTTTACCTCCTTGGTTAAATGTATTCCAGGTATTTTATTTTGTGTGTGTGTGGCAGTTGTAAATGGGATTGAGTTCTTACTTGGTTCTCATCCTGAGTTTTATGACTGTATAGAAACACAACTGATTTTTGTGCATTAAATTTGTATCATGAAACTGCTGAAGTCATTTATCCTAATGACTACTGTCTTTAGGAGGAATCTTTAGGTTTTCTAGGTATAGGATCTTGTCATCATTGAACAAAGATCATTTCACTTCCTCTTTTCCTATTTGGATGCTTTTTCTTCTTTCTCTTGCGTGATTGCTGTGGCTAGGACTTCTAGTACTATGTTGAATAGAAGTGGTGTGAGTGCAGAGTGTACATCCTTGTCTTGTTCCCCTTCTTAGGGGGAATGCTTTCAACTTTTCCCCATTCAATATGATTTTGGCTGTGAGTTTGTCATATATGGGTCTTATTATTTTTAGGTATGTTTCTTACAGTGCTTAGTTTGTTAAGAGCTTTTATCATGAAGGGATTTTGGACTTTATTGAATGCTTTTTCTGTATCTATTGAGATGATCATATGGTTTTTAATTCTCTTTATGTGGTGAGTAACATTTATTGGTTTGCAAATATTGAACCATCCTTGTATTTCTGGAATAAAACCCACTGGATTGTGATTAATTTGACTTTTTGATGTCCAGCTGGATTTGGTTTGCTAGTATTTTATTGATGGTTTTTGCATCTGTGTTCATCATGGGTATTGACTTGTTTTCTTTTTGTGTGTATGTCCTTGCCAGATTTTGATATCAGGATGATATTAGTTAAGGAGGAATCTTTCTTCCTTAAAAAAAAAAAAATATATATATATATATATATATATATATATATTTTTTTTTTCAATAGTTTCAGTAAAATTGGTACCAGCTCTTCTTTGTGCATATGGTAGAATTTGGCTTTGAATCCAGCTATCTTGGGCTTCATTTGGTTGTTTATTTATTTTTTTTTTTAATTACTGATGGAATTTTGTAACTACTTAATGACCTATTCAAGATTTGAGTTTCTTCCTTGTTCAGTCTTGGGAGATTGTATGATTCTGGGAATTAACCCATTTCCTCTAGGTTTTCTAGTTTGTGTGCATAGAGGTTCATAGTATTCTCTGAGGACCTTTTGTATTTCTGTGGTATCAGTTGTGATGTCACCTTTGTCATATCTGATTGTGCTTATTAAAATCATCTCTTCTTTTTCTTGCTTAATCTTGCCTAGTAGTCTCATCAATTTTGTTTGTGTTTTCAAATAACTTTATTTTGTTGATTCTTTGTATGATTTCTTTGGTCTCAATTTCATTTAAAGAATAAAGATCTGCTCTGATCTTTATTTCTTTTCTTTTGCCAGCTTGGGCTTGGTTTGTTCTTGTTTCTGTTTCCTCTAGATGTGACATTATTAATTTGAGATCTGTCTTTTTGATATAAGCATTTAGTGCTGTAAACTTTCCTCTTAACACTGCTTTTGCTGTATCCAAGAGGTATTGATATGTTGTGTTTCTGTGTTCATTTGTTTCAAAATTTTTTTAAATTTCTGCCTTAATTTCATTGTTTACCCTAAAGTCATTCAATACCAAGTTGCTTAGTTTCCATGTACTCGTATGGTTTTGAGCGTTCCTCCTGGTATTGATTTCTAATTTTATTCCACTGTGGTCTGAGAAGATCCTTGATATGATTTTGACTTTTTAAAATTTTTTGAGACTTGCTTTGTGACCCAGTATATGGTCAACTTCAGAGAATGTTCCATGCACAGATAAGAAAAATGTATATCCTGTAGTTGTCAGTTGGAATCTTCTGTAGACGTCTATTAGGTCCATTTGGTCAAAAGTCCGATTTAATTCCAGAGTTTCTTTGTTAGTTTTCTTCCTCGATGATCTGTCTAGTGTTGTCAGTGGGGTGTTGAAGTCCCCCAGTATTACTGTATGGCTGCTTGTCTTGTCTTCAGTCTAGTAGTATTTGTTTTATAAATTTGGATGCTCTGGTATTGAGTGTGTATATGTTTAGGCTAGTTAAATCTTCTTGTTGAATTGAACTCTTTATCATTATATAATTCCCTTCTTTGTCTTTTTTTTTATGTTGTTGGTTTAAAGTCCATTTTATTTGATAACAAGAATAACAACCCCTGCTCTTTTTTGTTTTCCATTTGCGTGATTGATCTTTCTCCACCCCTTGACTTTGAGCCTGTGGATCTCGTTACACAGAAGATAGGTCTCTTGTAGATAGCATATGCTTGGATCTTGTCTTTTGAGTAGAACAATTAAGCTATTTTTGTTCAAAGTTAATATTGATAAGTGAGGTTTTGTATTTGTCATAATGTTGTTAGTTGCTTTGTAGTCCCAATTGTATAACTGCCTTATAGGATCTTTGAACTTTGTACTTACGTGTATCTTTATGGTTAGCAGGTATCATCCTTTTGTTTCCGTGTTTAGAACTCCTTTGAGCATTTCTTGTAGAGCTGGTCGGGTGGTGACAAATTTCTTTAGCATTTTCTTGTCTGAGAAATACTATTTTTTCCTTCAATTATGAAGCTTAGTTTGGCAGGCTGTAAAATTCTTGGCTAGTAGTTTTTTTGTTTTTGTTTTTATTTGTCATTAAAAAGGGTAAAAACAGGCCCCAAATCTCTTTTTGTTGGTAAGGTTTCTTCTGAGAAGTCTGTTGTTAGTCTGATAATATTTACTTTATAGATTATTTGATCCTTTTTGGGATGGGGTGCACCAGTTGCTCATCCTGAGCAGACAGAAGCTTCCTTATCACGCCCCGGTCAGAGGGCTCACAACCATCAGTTCATGTAGACTTTGTCCATTAGGCTCTGACCAGAGTACACTTCCACCAAAACGGGCAGCTGCCACCAAAATGGGCTCAGGGCGGAACTTCTTCCTCTAGTACAGAGTAAACAGCTTTGCAGCTTGTCCACCTTCTGTTGCCCGGATGCTTCTCTGTAGGGAGGGGGAATTGGGCCTTGCCCTTCCTGCAAGCCCAGTTGGCATGGGGTCACTTTTTTTTTTTTTTTTTTTGAGACAGAGTTTTGCACTTGTTACCCAGGCTGGAGTGCAATGGTGCGATCTCGGCTCACTGCAATCTCTGCCTCCTGGATTCAAGCGATTCTCCTGCCTCAGCCTCCCGAGTAGCTGGGATTACAGGCACGCGCCACCACGCCTGGCTAATTTTGTATTTTTAGTAGAGACGGGGTTTCACCATGTTGGTCAGGCTGGTTTCAAACTCTCAACCTCAGGTGATCCACCCGCCTTGGCCTCCCAAAGTGCCTGGGATTATAGGCGTGAGCCACCGTGCCTGGCCATGGGCTCACTTTTTTTTTTTTTTTTTTTTGAGACGGAGTCTCCCTGTTGCCCAGGCTGGAATGCAGTGGCGCGATCTTGGCTCACTGCAGGCTCCGCCCCCCGGGGTTCATGCCATTCTCTTGCCTCAGCCTCCCGAGTAGGTGGGACTACAGGCGCCCGCCACCTCACCCCGGTAATGTTTTGTATTTTTAGTAGAGACGGGGTTTCACCGTGTTAGCCAGGATGGTCTCGATCTCCTGACCTTGTGATCTGCCTGCCTCGGCCTCCCAAAGTGCTGGGATTACAGGTGTGAGCCACCGCGCCCGGCCAGGCTCACTTTTAGCTGTGATGGAGCCACCACAAAAAGCATGAAAAGTGCTTTCCCCAAGGACACGTCTGCCAGCTCCCAGCAGGGAGAACCTCTCCTGTGTTCACAACAGTGGATGGGGTGGGCGGGAAATGATCCCCTCTTCATGTTCATTTCCAGCCGCTGGGGCTGCCCACTTCAGCGATTGTTGCTTGCTTGCATTACCTTTGTCTCAAGGTGGGGCTTTGGCAGGCTACTGTCCCCCCTTCCCCTAGGGGCAGCCTAAATTAACGGTTACATCTCCATGGGTCTCACACCTTCTCTGGGGACCCACTGGTCTCCTAAACTTGCTAATGTCACAGCAGTTGTGAATATGTTAGGGATCTGGTGGTGCGGTGGTGACTCAAGAGCAGAGATTTCCTGGGCAGGGCAGTGGTATCTCCTGTCTCAGTTCAGGCCTGAAAGGAGGGCGGGCATGCCTGTGTGAGCTGGCCACCCACATCCTTGTCCCTGGGACGTTCTCAAACTGCCACTGTTAGTGTTGTCCTGCATCATGAGGGCAGAGGGACTCCCCATCAGTTGGATGGTGAACAGATGGTCAGAGGGGTGAGGGCAGCAGAGAAGTACTCCCACTTACCCTTTCCATGGGGTTTTGTGTTCCTCAGCACTCGATCCCTGCCAAACTCTTGTTGTTTTTCTTTCCTGCACTCTAGTTTCTTTCCATGGGTTCTTCATCATATCCTGGCTGTCTTTTCTCAGTTTTCTGTTTGGATAATTAGTTACTTTGATCTTTCTGAGGAGAACTGGCATCTGAGGATCTGAGGTCCCTAGTAAGTGATCTTTTTTTTTTTTTTTTTTTTTTTGAGATGGAGTCTCGCAGTGTAGCCCAGGCTGGAGTGCAGTGGCACAATCTTGGCTTACTGTAAGCTCCGCCTCCTAGGTTTATGCCATTCTCTTGCCTCAGCCTCCTGAGTAGCTGGGACTTCAGGCGCCCGCCACCATGCCCGGCTAATTTTTTGTATTTTTAGTAGAGACAGTGTTTCACCATGATAGCCAGGATGGTCTCAATCTCCTGACCTCATGATCTGCCCGCCTCAGCCTTCCAAAGTGCTGGGATTACAGGCGTGAGCCACCCCTCCCGGCTGTAAGCGATCTTGAAGAAAATACTCTCCTTTTAAAAAAATTGATACATAATAAACATACATAGTTTGGGGTATAATACGTGATAATTTCATACATTCATATAATTTATAAAGATCAAGTCAGTGAACTTGGGATATCCATCACCTTAGAACCATTCAAATTCTCTATTTTGAAATGTAGAGTAGATGGTTGTAAACTATAGTCACCCTGCTGATCTGTCTAACGCTAGGTCTTATTTCTTCTATCAAACCATGTATTTGTACCCATTAATCAACTTCATTCTCTATCACCCACTCTCCCTGGCCTTTGGTAACCACCAGTCCACTCTCTATTTTCATGAAATCCACTGTTTTAGCTCCCACATATGAGTGAGAACATGCAGGATCTGTCTTTCTGTGTACCTCTTTTGATTTTTTACATTGATGATGTTTATTGCCACAAATATTGCATTCTTATTGCAATACTTGTAAGATTTTGGCATTCCTTGCAATTTTCCATTTTGAACACACATCTTGTATATCATTCTGGTATATTATTAATCTCTTGCTCTTCTTAAGTCCTGCAGTAAATGCACTGAATACCAGGAAGTATGCCCTGACACTTGCCAACAGCACCTTGAAAAGGAGGCTGTGGTAGCACCTGATGCTGGCAGAGAACCCCGTCATGTCTTGCCCAGGCAGTGTTTACTGTGCTGCTGTCCTAGCCCACTGCTTTATTTGAACCGTGTGAGGCATAACCTTTCAGTGGTCACAACACTGGCCAGTGAGTTCTGGCAGGCAGGCAGGCAGGCAGGCAGGCTGGGATCAGCATGGTTGGTCCAGTATGTGAATTTTTAATATAGAAAAAAAAAGTTTATTTATATATTATTATATATACTACTATATATATTATTATATATTATTTGTACTGTGGAAAACTGTGGCATATGTGGCCACATACATTCAATGTAAGTCTCTGATCGTAGGCAAGAAAAAACTTTGATAAATGTGTTTATTGTTTTACTTAATATGGAGAAACTCTTTGTAGACATAGCATGCTTCTAGTTAAAGTATGAGAACATTTTTTTCATCATCATATTAGTGAAATCTGACCATTTTAAATGTTGAAGTTTGTTTACATATCCCTTGCCTTTTTCCAGAAAGAATTTAAGGTAGATAAAGTCAAGTTGAGAAGTAAGCTCTTTCCTCTGAAGTTGACGTTTTGAAATTGTGGCTCAGAGAAGTAGTGGGTAAATGTCAAAGCAGTCTGGCCTCCCTTTTCTTCCTTTAGGTACCCTACTCCTATCTAACGCACACACACAATGGCTCAGGTAACTTTATCTATATCATTCCATATATAATTGTGAAGGGATTATCATAAATGTTAGTTTTATTTTCTTCATTATCCCAGTCCCCCTTAGAGGAAGAACCAGTTACTTAATTGTTTCTATGTGTGTGTTTGTATTTGTTTTTTCTAGTTCAAACAAATTTGGAGTATAATACATTATTTTGTTTATTTTCTTACAGAAAAAGCATGCTTTACGCTGTTATTGTCAAGCCATGCAAGTTTACAAAGGAAAAGGCTGGTCTCTTGCAGAGGATCACATTAATTTCACTATTGGGCGCCAGTCCTATACTCTTAGACAGCTGGATAATGCTGTGTCTGCTTTTAGGCATATTCTAATTAATGAAAGTAAACAATCTGCTGCTCAACAGGGGGCTTTCCTCAGAGAATATCTTTATGTTTACAAGGTGACTGCTTATTTTCATTCAGGAATAGATATTAAAACTGTATTTTAGTGTGAAAGTATTTATTTATTACCATATCTTACGATAGTTTTATTAGAATATATGTAGTTATCAGTCATAAAAAAGCTGTGGCAGGCTAGGCTTTTTGGCTATAGATCTTGGTTACATTGCCCCTTCCACAGTTCTTGAAAAGAGAATTTTAATATTACAATGAACACTTGATTTGTGGCTGTTCTTAGAATCTTAAAAAAAAAAAAGATTCCACAGGTTTTCTGGATTCTTTATTCATCATGCTTTTATAGACTCACAACTGATTTTACAGTTGGTTTTAAGTGGGTTCTCTTTACCATCCTTTGGAGATGGACATTCTATGTTCTTTTCCTTGTGAAAGATGAGGGGGTATGGATCTGTGGAAAGTAGACAGGCTATTATGGTGCAATGGAGAAAAATTAACAGGAAGAAGGACTGTTTCACTGAGGCAAGCAGATAAACATATAAAGCATTGTTTTATGGAAAAAATGGGAAGTTGTAAATTTTTTCCCAAGGCCTATGAATAGTGCATATTATATCTATCGTGCAGAAAATAACTACCTTTAGGGTCTAGACTTTATTAATTTGAAATTATATGGGTTAGAATTTTGGCAGATAGGATGCTATAATGAGTCATAAGAAGTAAAACGCTTACTAAAATAAGTTTTGCATATTTAACATCCAGGTAATTAGCTGAGTAACCTCAGTAAGATTCTTTTGAGGCAGAATAAATATCTGAAGTGCTTCTGAGTTGTAAAATTTTATGACTGATATGAGAAATAAAACTAGTAATTACATATCTTAATATTCTTGCTTAACATATTTTTAATGCCTTGTGTATTAAGAAACGAGGAAACAAATAAAAATACCATTTTCACAAAAACTACTTTTTTTCCCTTTTATATTTCTCTCAGAATGTAAGTCAGCTGTCACCAGATGGTCCTTTGCCACAGCTTCCTTTACCGTATATTAACAGTTCAGCAACACGGGTTTTTTTTGGCCATGACAGACGACCAGCGGATGGTTAGTAAAGTTTTATTTAGCCTAATTACCTAATGACAATTTAAAAAAAACTTCTTTTCCTTTCTCCATTTAAAAAACGATGTATAGTTGAATATTTGAAAATTAATAGCTCAGCCGGGTACGATTGGCTCATGCCTGTAATCCCAGCACTTTGGGAGGCTGAGGCCGGCAGATCATGAGGTCAGGAGATCGAGACCATCCTGGCTAACATGGTGAAACCCCATCTCTACTAAAAATACAAAAAATTAGCTGGGCGTGGTGGCACATGCTTGTAGTCCCATCAACTCAAGAGGCTGAGGTAGGAGAATGGCGTGAACCCGGGAGGCGGAGGTTGCAGTGAGCTGAGATCACGACACTGCACTCCAGCCTGGGCGACAGAGTGAAACTTTGTCTCAAAAAAAAAAAAAAAAAAAAAAAAAAAAGGAAAATGAATAGCTCTCTATTACTTCTTTTGTCCTGTCACCTGAAGATAACTACTATTTTGGTGTTTCTCTTTCCAGCTTTAAAAACTAAAAACAATGAAATGAAAACAAAACAGTTGTAATTACAACAGCTTTTCTCACTTAAAGAATGCTTTTGTTATTATATAATCTTCATAAACGTTTAATGTTAGTAAAATATTCTATTCAGTGCTTATAAAGTACTTTATTTTAACATCCACTTGATATATATAGACTGTTTCCATCTTTTGCTTATATAAAATTATATTGTGGCCGGGTGTGGTGGCTCACACCTGTAATCCCAGCACTTTGGGAGGCCAAGACGGGCAGATCATGAGGTCAAGAGATTGAGACCATCCTGGCCAACATGGTGAAACCCTGTCTCTACTAAAAATACAAAAAACTAGCTGGGCGTGGTGGCATGCGCCTGTAGTCCCAGCTACTCGGGAGGCTGAATCAGGAGAATCGCTTGAACCCAGGAGGCGGAGGTTGCAGTAGCCGAGATCTCGCCACTGCGCTCCAGCAAGACTGTCTCAAAAAAAAAAAATCGTATTGTGATGGACATCTTTGTAGATAAAATTTGTTTTTTAAATGTCTTATGGAAATTTTCAAATGTACATAGAAGTAAAGAACAGTTACCAATGTTCTGCTGTTCTTGTAAGACTTTTTTTTAAATGCAGGATGATTTATTTAGGATTGAACCCTAGAATGGCAATAATGGAACAAAAGTATAAATATATTAAGCTCTTCATTATCTTACATTAAATAACTCAGAAACAGAAAGTCAAATACTACATGCTCCCATCGATAACTGGGGTTGGAGCTAAATAATGTGTACACATAGACATTGAGACTTGGGAGGGTAGGGAATGAAGGATGAGAAATTACTTATGGGTACAATGTATACTATTTGGGTGATGGCTACACGAAAAGCCCAGACTTTGCCACCAAGAAAATATGTCTGTATAACAAAACATAACTTGTACCCCCTAAATCTATACAAATATATTTTATATAAATGCATATATTTTAAAGCTCTCGATGGCTGTTAAACTTTGTCATTCTAAACATTCTTATATTTGAATTTAATCAACGTTTCTCCTTGAGATACGATTTAGTATTTTTTTTTTAAATTGTCATATTCATAGTAGCATTGTTTGTAGTAGCAAAAGAGTGAAAGAAATAGAATTCCTAATAGAGGATTAATTGATATGGTTTTGTATATTCACATAATGGATTCATGCTGCAGTACATGAGAATTCATGCTAATTCTACATTTCCCACAACTTGATGCTGAGTGAAGAGTCAATTACAGTATAAGTTTCAAACATAAAAACTAATTTTATGCATTTTTTAGATATACTTATGTGGTAAAATCATGGATGAAAATGATACACTTTAACTTTGGAATACCTCTGGGAAGAAGTGATGCCAGTGGGGGCGAAGGAGAGTAATAAGATTGGGGGTGGTGCAGAGAGGACATCGACTCTATCTGTGATGTTTTTTTTTTATTAAAAATATTTGGGATCATAGGTGAAAGTTGACATTTGTTAAATTTTAGTATACAAATATTTGTTATATTAGTCTCCATGCCTTTTCTGTATATTTGAAATGTTTTATATAAAAATTGCTTGTGGACACGAGGGAAAATACATTCTTTCAGAGTCAGGAGGAAAAGAACATCAGTATTATAAGCAAAATCCAGATAAGCTAGGATTAATGAGAGGATATTTTTCACTCAGAATTAGAAATAGGCAAGAGTGAATGTATATATATATATTTTTTTATTTCTGTACCTTATGTCTATTTAAAATATGTTTTATTTGAGGGCAAGTCTTCATAAACGTGTTGTTAACAAATTTTTTTTAGGTGAAAAACAAGCAGCTACTCATGTAAGTCTTGATCAAGAATATGATTCTGAATCCTCTCAGCAGTGGCGAGAACTTGAGGAACAAGTTGTTTCTGTGGTTAACAAAGGAGTAATTCCATCCAATTTTCATCCCACACAATACTGTTTGAACAGTTACTCAGATAATTCAAGATTTCCACTTGCAGTTGTAGAAGGTGATATACTTGAATTTTTATTTCTGTTTTTTATTTGTTTTACTTACAGCATGATGAAGATAATTTATTGTTTGGCACACATAATTGGTGCTGGGGATGCAAAAATAAATTAGGAACTCATAATTTACTGAGCTGCATTTATAAAACCAGACAAGGGGGACTCTTCTACAGCTATTTGCAATGTGATGTTGGAATATACAAGAGGGAATGGCATTCTTTAGTACAGAGAAATTGGGGAAATCTTTTCAAGGAGGTAATGTAGTATTACAACAGAATCCTGAATACGTGGACATTTATAAGGTAATAAAGGACAGTCTAGGCAGAAATGCAGAGCTATGAAAGCAAGATGCATTTAGAAGATCGAAGCTGAGAATGAGGTGTGATGTTTATTAAAGTTATTAATTTAGGCCTTTTTTTTAATAGAACCAATTACAGTGGAAGTGGCTTTTAGAAACCCTTTGAAAGTTCTACTTTTGTTGACTGATTTGTCATTGCTTTGGAAGTTTCATCCTAAAGATTTCAGTGGAAAGGATAATGAAGAAGTTAAACAACTAGTAAGTTATTAAAAGGTATTTGTAATTATGTTTCAGCTACAGCCTAACAAATGCTGTAGTAACATTTCAATGTACTCTGTTCAGTGAGCTATACTTCTTTTTGGTTTATTTTTCCTTAGTTATAAAAATTATGATATGTACTTATTTTTGAAAATTGAAAATACATAAAAACATAAGGAATAGAAGTGAAACCATCTGTCTTCATAATATTTAGAAATAACCACTTTAACATTTTGCTGTGTATCTTTCCAGTCATTTTGTTTTTATTTTTTTTTTTTTTGAGACAGAGTCTCACGCTGTTGCCCAGGCTGGAGTGCAGTGGCGCCATCTCGGCTCACTGCAACCTCTGCCTCCCAGGTTCAAGTGATTCTCCTGCCTCAGCCTCCTGAGTAGCTGGGATTACAGGCTTACCCCACCACGCCCAGCTAATTTTTGTATTTTTAGTAGGGATGGGGTTTCACCATGTTGTCCAAGCTGATCTCGAACTCCTGACCTGACCTCGTGATCCTCCCGCCTCAGCCTCCCGAAGTGCTGGGATTACAGGCATGAGCCACCGCGCCCGGCCTTCCAGTTATTTTCATTTGTATGTTTTTCCCACATATTTGGGATTCCTTCATACTGTGTATGTTGCTTTTTACATTCTGTGTTGTTTTATAGGCGTATTCTGATATCAAAGTGTCTTAATATTTTATTTTTGCATAATATTCCATCATATGAGTGATTCATAAGCTATTTTACTATCTTTGATAGTTTTTTGGCAAGTTTCCATTTGTTGACTATCACGGTAATACTGTGGTGCACTTTTTTGTGTGTGGCTTTTTACCTTTAGATTATTTTTGTGGGGAAGATTCCAGGGCATGAAGTGAAGATTTTAGGGAAAAGTATTGTAGTGCCCTGCTGGTTTCATAAAAGTTCATACCAATGAGCTTCTTACTAAGCAGCATATGGGTTTGGGTGTCTAATCTTTATGACAGTAAGCAGTATTAACTTAAAAACTTTGTTGATTTGATATTTTTAAAATGCCATCTTAACTGTTTTATTTTCCATTTCATTGATTGCTGGTGAAGTTGAAACTCTTTGTTTTTCCTCTTTTGTGAATTGCCTATTCAAAACCTCATTTATATTTTTTTCTTTTCATTTCCGTGTCTAATAAGTCCTTTATGTATCTAAGATACTTAATTTTGAAGCAGAAATGATGTGGCCAAATAGTTTCTTTATTAATACCCACCTGACTGTAAATGAAATAACTTGGACAAATAGATATATTTACTTACTAATTTATTAGTTTAGTCACCAGTATCTATCATATAACTTGCTTTTTTTATACTACCTTGCTAAATGCTTTAATAATGTGGCAAAAAAAAAAAAAGGATTTTGGAACTGGGAAATAACCCAGCATTTTGGTGCTCAAGTGTTTTGATTTTTTCAAGATTGCCTTATTTTAAGTCTTGCTCTAGCCTAGGCAACATAGTGAGACCCCCATCTCTACAAAAATTTAAAAATTAGCCAGATGTGGTGGTACACATCTGTAGTCCCAGCTACCTGGGAGGCTGAGGTGGGAGGATTGCTTGAGTCCTGGAACCTGAGGCTGCAGTGAGCCAAGGTCATGCCATTGTACTCCAGCCTGGGAGACAGAGCAAGATCTTGTCTCAAAAAAAACCACAAAACAAGTAAACAAACAATAAAAAATAAATAAATAAATAAATAAGTCTTGCTGGTTAAATTTGTCAAAGATATTTTGTATTATTTATATTCATTGTTAATAATTTGAATGAGATTTCCCAGGCTGTATTCTGACTTGAATTTTAGCAACTTCTGCAATTTTTCTAATCTTTTGGGTGCCTGGAATACTCAGTATGAGCGGTTAAACTTGGAAACGTTTTTTAAAAAGATTTATTAGCTTTTTAAGTATATTAGTCTGTTCAATATGGGAGATTTTAAAGGAGGTTTAAAGTTAAGTGAATATTTTCATTTGTATGATGAAGTGTTTCTTAAAATAATATTTTTCTATAAATTGCAAACTCTGGATTTTTTCATGACTAAGAAATGAAGAAAATGGACTAAGATGGTGATGGACTAAGATGCTGAACTGGAATGTAGGGAGTTTTTTGTTTCTTGTGCTAAATAATGTCATGGTGAAAGTATAATAGCGTTTATGAGGATCAGGTTTATCTCCAGTATGAGCCAATTAGCTCTGCTTTGCTACATGACCAGAGAAATGTCATTGCTTTGGGGGAAACAGGCCTTTTTCCCTTCTCTCCCACTGCTGTTATTGTCTACCTGTCTTTCTTTATCATGCTTAGCCCACCATTATCTTTTCTATGTAATTGACCAATTTTGAAAAAGAGGCTGGTCAGAGCAAAAGAAGAAATTTGCTATTATTGTAAGATTAAATTAAATGACCATTTGGCCATTGTTGACTATGAGCAGCTAGGTATTTTCTCTCAGGGTTTTATTATCTTGGTGGCGGTATCTTTGATATGCTCCCGTTTTGAAACAGAGTCTCGCTCTGTCACCCAGGCTGGAGTGCAGTGGCGCCATCTTGACTCACTGCAACCTCCACCTCCCGGGTTCAAGCGGTTCTCCTGCCTCAGCCTCCTGAGTAGCTTGGATTACAGGCATGTGGATAGTGGCATCTTTGAATCGATTGCTTATCCTTCTCAGTTGAATTGGACTGAACAAAATGAAAAAAATATATATTGAGTGCCTACTACAGCCTGGGTCTACTCTAGTTGTGGAAATAAAAACACTTTGTGTAGAGCTCAGCATGTGGTAAAAACCAAGTAAATGCAGACTTTAATTAGTGTTATTTTTTTGAAGTATTGATATATAGGAGTGTTAATAATCTGATACTTTGTTCATTGGAATGTATAATTTATGAAATTTATTTTTTAGGTTACAAGTGAACCTGAAATGATTGGAGCTGAAGTTATTTCAGAGTTCTTAATTAATGGCGAAGAATCAAAAGTGGTAATTATTTTATCATTTCTCTGCTTTATGCCTTTCTGAAAGTAAGGTGAAAACAAATTTTTAAATAATCTTTATTCAGTTTATTTTATATTCTAGTTTTCTTAAGAACTAAAATTTGGAAGATTAGGACATAGGAATTGCTCAGGAGGAAATTGGTGGTTTGCAGTGGTCTTTGATTTGTTAGTTTCCTGAGAAGCCTGTTGCTTTCTTCTTGATATGCTTTTTATGAAAAGTTATTATTGAGGGTTTAGGCCTATAATTGTTAAATTTAGACATTTTCTTTTGAAGAAGATGCTTTTCATAAATTAATTGGCATTTTAAAAGTTTAGGTCATGAGTTTATGTTTTTGCAACATTATAGAATTAGGTATTGTGCTATTTAAGATATTATGAAAACATAATAAGACTGACTTAAATATCTCCACAGGCAAGACTAAAGCTCTTTCCCCATCACATAGGGGAGCTGCATATTCTGGGAGTTGTTTATAATCTTGGCACTATTCAGGGCTCTATGACAGTAGATGGCATTGGTGCTCTTCCCGGATGTCACACAGGTAAAGGCTATAGCATTGGTAAACAATTAGAAAACTTTCTTAAATCACTCCATAGAATAAAATGGACAAAAATGATGTATTTTCTAAATAGGTTTAATGTATCGTTAAGTAAAGACATTTAGCCAGATGTAAGAATGACAAATTTAGATTATTTTAACTTCTAACATCATCTCTAGCGTCAAAAGTAAACAACTTGATTCCCTTCTGATATATTTTCTTTTGTTAATTTTTAGACTGTATTTTTTTCTGTCACTGATCCAAATTTAGTAAATTCTAACCAAATAAATTCTAACCATTGATTGTCTGCTGCCAATATAAAAACCATCTTAATATGTTCTTTTTTTTTTGAATATTTCCTTTTTATAAAACATGGAACAAATTAAAGACCTATGTTTTCACATCACTGGATATTAAATACCTTAAGTTCTATCTTCTGTCTTGAAAGAGTAGGGCTTTAGTGTTAATCTGATATTCTTGGTGCACTATACAGTATGTTCTACACATTTTTGAAGAGGAAAACTACACGATATGTGCATTTAACATAGTTTTCTTTGTTTTTTAAACTCAGGGAACCCTTCAAGATTTAACATTACCATGTAATTACTGTGTGTAGTTATTTGAGTTCAAGTTGAAAAGATGCTAGGAGAGGGAGTTTACCATGAAACTTCCTACTTCTGGCTCATTTTAATAGATATGTCTTATTTTACAACAAATTAAGTTGAATAGTCCTTGACAAACATGAATTTAGCATTTACAAAAGCTGATTATTAACATTGAGAAAGTGGGAACACTTGGAAAATTTGTTGGTTCTTTTAACTTTCAATTAAATATACTTGCCCTGGGTATCTAGGATAATTCAGTACACCATTTAAGAAAAATAAGTGAAATGAATCCATAGAAACTAAAAACATTTTACTAAAGAAAAAAATTTGCACTAAAATTGAGTAAGGTATTCTGCATTTTAGTACTGTATTTGTATTTTTTGGTTGACAAGAACCAGACAAAGTTTATTTATAATTTATATAATTTATAATTTAAATTATTTATAATTTAAAAATGCTAATTTATTGCATTTTTAAAGCAAGATAACTGGATATTAACAGCTTTTTGAATCTCCTTTCTTTTCCCACTTGTATGTAACTAGGATCTTAATCTAGTACACAAATTTATGGTTGTCAGTAAAATATAGGTAGTTGTTTTATTTAAGGCACCAAATATATGCATTAAAAAATACTTTATATGTTATTGTATAATATTAATGGGAAGAGACTGAATTAACTGTTAAAATCCTATCTTCTAAGCAGAGTTTTCATGATTTAGTATAGCTCATTATTATGTAAAATGCTAATAAGGATTTGGGTCACATGAAGTGTGGGAATCAATACATTTTATATCTGGCTTGAGATTATTACAGTGACCTTCGGCACATTAAAGGCTTTAAGTAGTCCTGCAAGAAAGATAGTTGTATACTCTAGCTTTTTTCACACATACATGCACTACATGGAAGCTTTTGGGAAAAATTTCACATGAATATTAAACAAGTTTAATTTTGAGAAAACTCTACTGTATTTAATTTTCTTTGTGCAGTCTCTTGAGAAGATTCAGTTATTTATATTCCAGAAATAATTCAAATTAGTGTATATATTTGAATATGAGTAAAAGTAAAAAGTTGACCTTTTCATTGTTTTCCACTTCTTTTCTTTGTGAATAGATACCGTTCTCATGGCCTAAATTAAATTGTTGGACCTAAGATAATTATTCTCTCAGGTTTTGTTAGTTAATAGGCACATGGTTAAATACAGATTTCAGAGGGCTTCCTATTGAGTAATGTGTAGTCTTTTTTTGCAAAGTATATCTAAAACCAAGTGAGAAATTAAGTAGCATACCTTAGTTGGTGTTAAACATGGAATGAAAATATACTAAATTCTTTGATTAATCATGTTAATCAAAATTGTCTAGAATTTTTCTAGAAATAATCTGAAACTTACAATATTCACATATTCAAGTTAAATTGATGTCAGTTAACATACCAAATTATTTTAGGGCATTGATTGTTTTTTATTTCAGGAAAATATTCCTTGAGTATGTCAGTCCGAGGGAAGCAGGATTTAGAAATTCAAGGTCCTCGACTTAACAACACAAAAGAAGAGAAAACATCTGTTAAATATGGCCCTGATCGACGTTTAGATCCCATAATCACAGAAGAAATGCCACTGTTGGAGGTATTTCACTTTTTAAAATTTCATGGACTTAATTTATCTATATGAGCAAATATTCTGAGTAAATTAATTTTAGGCTCTGAGGTTTTTGATATTACATTGAACTATACTTTTAAATTATTATTAAGCTAGTGTTAAATATATTTAATTCACAATGTAAGGCAATCATGCAAATTGCCATTAAGTCATAGCCAGGCTATAAAATATAACCCTCAAAATATTAATGGAAATTGGGAAAAATACTTCTAAAAAATCCACTCTGATTTTAAAAATGAGTGACTCTTTTTCATAAGTTATAAAAAATAATTTGTGAATGAATGCTTATAAAAAAACTTAAGCAATGTAGAAGCATCTGAATAAAAAGCAGTATTTCACCTTCTTCCTATCTTCACCTTCTTATCCCATCCTATCCTACTTTTATACCATACAAATTAAAATTTGGAAAAGATAGAACCTGTTGCTAGGTAGTATAGCCAGAGAAAGAGAAATGTATTATTTAGTTGAAGGATCTTGTTCTGTAATACTAAAGTATTATAATATTTTATAGAACATATATATTATATAATACATAATATAAATATATATTTTATATTTTATAGAACATATTATAATAACATATTATAATAAAGTATTATAATATGTTCTATAATACTTTAGTATTATACTTTAGTATAATAGAACAAGAAGTGGCAGAAGCTCCAGGGAATTTAAGAGCAAATGTTTTAAAGCCTCTAGAAAGCATTGCTTTTGATATAACCCTAGTCCAGCAATTTTCAGTCTTTGAGCCACTTCAAATTTCAAGTTTCTAGAAGAAAGATGTGGTCCACTTTGGATCAGGCTTATACCTGAGGAGCAGGGCAAAGGTGGTAGGGTCATGTAATGTAAGGGTGAAAAAGGCCCTTCCTCCCACATCCTCAAGTTATTCTAGTAGGGGGTTTACAAGGATAGCAACCTACCTCCAAAAGTGCCAGTGATACCAAATTGCTGTTTATCTTTTCAGACCTTGCATTGTGCACTTATATATAGTTTTAATAATTATAGATGCAATCATACTACACGTTTTATCCTGTACTTGCTTTTTGTCCTTAACAGCATAACTCAGTCTTCTTTTTAACCGTTACATATGGTATTCTTTTATTTGGATATACTGTAATATATTTTCATGCTCTTAATGGGTTTACTTCTAGTTTTTCATCAATACAGACAATTCTGCAGTAAATATCATGTATATATTTTGTCCATGTTCTAGATTTGACTAAACTTTAAAAATGGAATTACTGGGTGGAGAGATATATAAATTTTAAATTTCGCAATACACTACAAAATAACCTTCAGCAAAACTATAGTAAATTGCACTTTTCTTCAGAGTGAGAGTACCTGTTGCCTTACATCTGTGTCATTCTGGATAATATCAGTTTTTGTTTTTTAATGTTTGCAAATCAGATTGAAAAATGATGTTTTTATTTACATTTCTCTGATAACTGATAGGGTTGATCAGTGTTTTTTGTTTGTATGATTTTTTTCCCCTCCATGTGTCCATATGATTGCCTGCTTATACTCTTTTTTTTTTTTTTTTTTGAGACCTAGTCTTGCTCTGTCACCCAGGCTGAAGTGCAGTGGCAGGATCTCGGCTCACTGCAACCTCCGTCTCCCAGGTTCAAGCAATTCTCCTGCCTCATTCTCCTGAGTAGCTGGGACTACAGGTGCCAGCATGCACCGGCTAATTTTTTGTATTTTTAGTAGAGACGAGGTTTCACTGTGTTAGCCAGGATGGTCTCAATCTCCTGACCTCCTGATCCGCCCACCTCGGCCTCCCAAAGTGCTTGGGAACTCTTTTAATTGGATGTTATTTCCTTTCTTCTTACTGGATGATTTTTATGGTAGTAATCCTATACATGTAGTGGTGATATAGGTAACATACTCATGAAAATGGTGATGGGTGGTGTGTGCTGAGAGGTGGGCATTGCTGAACTACCCATATTCTGTCCACATTTAACCCTTGCTTAATTGTGATGCATGTAAAGAATTTTGTAGGGCAATAAAAAAAACTTATGGACTGACCCAAATGCCAGTTTCTGGTTGTCAAGAGATAAGGCTCAAACTTTGTTTTTTAGTTCCAGTACCATTAATAGAATGTGGGCAACTCATTATGCCATCTTTCTATTATATTAATATTCTGAAAGTATCCATACCAGGTTCTCTTTTAGATGCAGTCTACTCTGTTTGATAATATTTCCTTATTTCTTTCTGTGTCAGTACTATACTGTTGCTTCATCATTTTTTTTTTTAATCTGGCAAGCCAAGTCCCTTTTATAATCTTTAATTTTTTTCATTTTTCTTAATACTTGTGCCATTTTCGTCCAGGCTTTGCAAGTTCCCACAATAATAATTTTGATTAGAATTGCATTGGTAAAGCCTAGGAGTTAAAAAGCTGATGATGAATTGAAATGAGTCAGGAGTCAAATGTTATTTTAGGGTTATTCACCATTATTGTTTAAAAGTCTTGAACTAATGAACATTTTGTTTGGAATTACGTTTCTAAAAATTTGTTAGAGCTTACTTTCAGATGGGAAGATTCTGATCTGTGTGGTCAAAATAAATCAGTGTAAGACACCAAAATATACTGTTTTTAATGATTGTGCTAGCTGCTAGCTTTGATTTTTTTCTCTCCTCCCCCACCGCCCCCCCCCCCCTTTTTTTTTTTCTGGAGACGGGATCGCTCTGTCACCCAGGCTGAAGTGCTTGGTATGATCTCTGATCACTGCAGCCTTGGCTTCCTGGACTCAAGTGTTCTTCCTGAATAGCTGGGACTACAGGTGGATGCCACCACACCTGGCTAATTTTTTTGTGTTTTTTTGTAGGGACTGGTTTCACTACGTTGCCCAGGCTGGTCTCAAACTCCTAAGCTCAAGCAGTCCACCCACCTCTGCTTCCCAAAGTGCTGCGGTTATAGGCATGAGCAACCGTGCCCAGCACCTATGATTTTCAATAAGCCATATCATTTAAATATTCTTCAGTTATTAAGATTGTTAAATGTACAGATGGTTTTTAAATGCAATGCTTCTCAAATAACATATTCCTATGAATAGAGGTTTACTTTTACATTGTTTAAGCCTCATCCCTAATTATCTGGCCTTCATTTTCTAAGTGAAAGTTTTTTCACTTAGGAAAGAAGCTTAAACCAGATATCTTCTTGGATTTTTAACTCTGTTGAACTTAACAGTCTTTATATTTACATTCATCTGGTTTTTGATATTGCTAGGTCTGTATTTAACTTTGCTTCTTGCATATCACAATTTTAGAAAAATTTTGTTATAGAGGCAGTTCTTGAAGAGGGTATTTTAGAGCAGAGGGCCTCTTATTCTACATAACAAAAATGGTGTTTGGTTGATGAAACAAAGCTTGTAAAGTGAAAAACAAAAAAATCAGTAGATCCATACCCTAAACATTTTACCTTAATTTAAAACATACTGATGTACATTTATTCACCATTTCTGCGGGGGTGGATTTAGAGCAGAGACCTTTTCTATGAGTGCTGGTATGGGTTTCCTGATAGGAGTTTCATCTTGTTTCATGCATTAAACTACATCCATAAGTTGCACTTTATGTTTCCAGTTTTGGTTTCTTCAGAGTGAGAATCTAGACAGTTTGTCAAGTAATCTAAACACTGTGTATGTCTGGATTTTTATCTACAGATAAAAGCTATACTTTCAGCTATGGATGAAAGCAGTTTACACAATACTTAATTTATGTGAACAAGTTTGGGAATAGATAGTGACTCTTGAAAGGAGAATATGATGGGCATTACAGAAAGCCTAAAGCCACTGATGTTCAGTTCCATAAACATCACTCAGTATTTTCTTGTAAGAGAATAGGGAAGTTGGTTAGTTCAACAAGGTGGTATGATTATGATGGAAGTCAGCTAATAGACCATTTATCATATTTGGACAGACAGTGGAAGACATGAAAACTGGTGAAAAAATTCATAGAATATTCCTGTGCCTAATATTTCAGAAATATTTTATGGAATTTGAGATGTTTAAGGGAATAGTAGAAGTAGTTACCCATCTATACTGTATGATGAAATAATCTGTAACAATATATATTTATCAAACAAGGGTGAGAATGAAAGTTACTGTAGCTCATTGAGAGAAGATAAAAATAAGAGTCATTTGCATACTACTATGTGTATAGCATACTGAACTCAAACAATGAGCTATGTGGATTAGAAATCTTTCCCCCTAAATCTTTTTTTTTTAATACAATTGTTTCTGTTAGGAATAATTTTAACATGTAGAGAAGCAGAGAAAAGAGCAAACTCCTTTAATTTCTTACGCACAAGCACTATTATATATATGTATCATTCAACTAGACCATTTGATTTGTGTCTAGTCATTTTCTGTTACAGGCAAAGCCACAATGAATAATCCTAAGCATGTCATTTTGTACTCACACATGTATATCTTCAGGATAAATTAGAAGTGAGATAGTGAGTTCTTGGTCTTGTTTTCCATTTATATTTGAAGCTATCACAAATATCAACTATTTAAAAGGACTTTCAGCAACTGAGCATTTGAGGTAAAGGCTAAATATACTTGTTCTTTTTTTTTTTTTGAGACGGAGTCTTGCTCTGTCACCCAGGCTGGAGTGCAGTGGCGCAATCTCGGCTCACTGCAACCTCTGCCTCCCAGGTTCAAGCAATTCTCTTGCCTTAGCCTCCTGAGTAGCTGGGATTACAGGTGCGCACCACCATGCCTGGCTAATTTTTGTATTTTTAGTAGAGACGGGGCTTCACCATGTTGGTCAGGCTGGTCTCAAACTCCTGACCTCGTGATCTGCCCACCTCCCAAAGTGCTGGGATTACAGGCGTGAGCCACTGTGCCTGGCCTTGTTCTTCTTAAAGAGTCAAAATAGTGTATTTAGTAAACCTGTGTTCTGAAGGTACATGTGATCCTATACATAGTTGGTACCACTAGTCTTTTATGTGTTCTATCACTGTTACCATTTTACCAATGCTGTAACCTTCTTGATGGTATCTAGGTGTCTCTATGTATTTTAGTGTGTTTTTACACACTGAATACTCTATTTCACTTTTTGTTAATGCAGCTGTGTTGGATGTAATAACAAAATTAATAATTCCTCCACAAGTTTTAGCTCGACTATAAGCTTGACACTGACTAATCAGTACAGAGAGTCAGTGTCTTCAGTATAATGCTATGTCTAGCTTATTTTTTTATCCTATTAAATCTATGTGCGGGATTTCTACATTAATCCCTTGTTTTCTCATTTATTTTTAAAGCTTCTAATGTCCCCAAATTTCATCTGATTTTTTTCTTTTTAAGAATATGGCCATAATGAAGTCCCACTCACATTTAGATTCAAAAACATATTTTCACTGGAATTTCATGAAGTGACTGCCAGCTATAACTTTATTAGAACATTTCACTCATATTGTTACCTTTATCTTCCTGCTTGCTTAGATGTTAGTTGTGACATTTAAATATCTGTTTTTTTGTTTGTTTGTTTGTTTGTTTTTTGAGATGGGGTCTCACTCTGTCACCCAGGCTGGAGTGCAGTGGCACAATCTTGGCTCACTGCAACCTCTGCTTCCTGGGCTCGAGCAGTCCTCCCACTGCAGCCTCCCCAGTAGCTGGAACCACAGGCGTGCGGCTCATTTTTTGTAGTTTTGATAGAAACAGGTCTCACCATGTTGCCCAGGCTGGTTTTGAACTCCTGAGCTCAAGGGATCCACCAACTCTGGGATCCACCAACTCTGGCCTCCCAAAGTGTTGGGATTACAGGCATCAGCCACTGTGCCCAGCCAGTATACTTAAAGATCTTTTAAATGCAGATAACTTACTGTATGATTTCATTAGCCCAAATTTCTGTCTCTTTAAGCACAAGTCCACAATCCCTCATCTGAAATATTGAGGCCACATGTGTGTTGGAAATCAATTTAAAAATTTTTTTTAGAAGTGTGTGTGTGAAGTTATGTAAACCCCATTGCTTTGTGGCAGCACCTAGTAACCAAACATTAATATTTCTTGCATGAACTGTATTAATATCACACTAAATGGGAAAGAATATAAAAAGCCTCTATTAGGTCAGGTTTTGCCCCCACATGAGTTACTAAAAGCCTGAGGTTGGAGTTTTTTGGATTTTAAAATTATGGATATGAAATCATAGATCTGCCCATTCTTTCACTTTAAAACCCATAGTAAATCTGGCATATCTTTTCATCTTGATGATATAGACATAAGTAGTTGAGCTGCTTCTTTAGTTGACAGTTATAAGGGTTATAAAACTGATATTTACTTCATATAGCCGTGTTAAATTACTTTCAACTTTTCTGGTCCATAATCTACCAAGTTGTGAAATTTTGACATGTTAGCCCTCTTGTGTACTGATAGTATACCTTTAATTCATAAGTCTAGAATCACTACTGAGTGGCAGAGTAACATTCTTCTGTCTCATCATATTTTCTAAAATGGAGTCATTAACTGCCACATATTCAGGGAGATACCAAAGAATTAATGAAACACTTGTAAACCTTTGGTAAAAAAAAAAAAAAGTGTCTTAAAGTGTTATTCATTAGAGGTTCAAAATTTTTAACAGACAAATAATAATATTTTTTCCCTCCAATGCAGGTGTTCTTTATACATTTTCCTACAGGGCTTCTCTGTGGAGAAATCCGAAAAGCATATGTAGAATTTGTCAATGTCAGCAAATGTCCACTTACTGGATTGAAGGTTGTTTCTAAACGTCCAGAGTTCTTTACTTTCGGTGGTAATACTGCTGTTCTAACACCACTAAGTCCCTCAGCTTCTGAGAATTGTAGTGCTTACAAGACTGTTGTGACAGATGCTACCTCTGTGTGTACAGCACTCATATCATCAGCTTCTTCTGTAGACTTTGGCATTGGCACAGGAAGTCAACCAGAGGTGATTCCTGTTCCCCTTCCTGACACTGTTCTTCTACCCGGAGCCTCAGTGCAGCTGCCAATGTGGTTACGTGGGCCTGATGAAGAAGGTGTCCATGAAATTAACTTTTTGTTTTACTATGAAAGTGTCAAAAAGCAGCCAAAAATACGGTTAGTATTATAAAACTTATAAAATTTAACATCTATGTTCAATGTATATGCACATATTCAGATAAACATTTTGATATTTACTAACATGTTAAGAAATTACTCTGTTCCAGATTATGCAGGATATTTATATCTGAAATTGTCTCAAATAGAACTGTAAGTTCTAGGTACCCAAAAATGAAAAAATAAAATTTAACGGCACACATTTTTTTAGTTGCTTCTGTCTGTAAACTTCTCAATTGTTTGATACGATTTAAGTACTGTAGACAGAGCTATCACATAATAATGAAATTAACAGGTACCATGTATTAAAATAGGGCGTCATTTATGTATGAAGACAACCTGCCTGGTCGTCTCAGTCATCCTTTTTTAAGAAAATTGTTTTGTTTTACCTTTTCCCTAGTGTTCCCCCTTGCCCCACAAGAATGTATGAAAAACAGTACATATTTACAGAAGAGAAGATTATAATGGTGTTACAATAGATGATCACTGAAGAAATCAAAGCTAACTGGCTCATCCAGGATCTATGACCTATATTTTGTTCAACAGAATATTTTCTTTTGATACCTCCATTGTCATTTTTACAAAATTAACTAGGAATAACTTGGGAGGCTGAGGCAGGAGATTCGCTTGAGCCCAGGAAGTCAAGACTACAGAGAGCCGTGATTATACCGTTGTCCTCCAGCTTGGGTGACAGAGCAAGGCTCTGTCTCAAAAAAAAAAAAAAAAAAAAAAGATTTTAGCATTTGAATATCAAGGGAGGGATATGCAAGAGAGTAGTGGGTATTATTCTAGGGAGCGGCTGTATATATTTTATTTGTAAAGATTTACAGATTAGAGAACACAAACTGAATGTAGTTAGTTCAGCCACAGTGTAAAATTTTTGTAAAAGAAGTAAAGAGGAAGAAACCTTTGAAATGTAAAGCTTATATATGGTGAGGAGTTTTGAATACCAGGTTAAAGTTTGAACTTTATTTGGTAGTCATTCAGTAGCTTCAGAACCACTATTAGAAGCAAGGCTGGGCGCAGTGGCTCACACCTATAACCCCAGCACTTTGGGAGGCTGAGGTGGGCCTCACTTAAGATCACTTAAGGTCAGGAGTTCAAGACCAGCCTGACCAATATGGCTGATGAAGATGGTGAATATGATTGATTTTTGGGGGGAGATCACCAAAGTACAGCACATTAACCCTAAATATCCTAGAAAGCAGACACCTTATGATGAAGATGATGAATATGGCGAAACCCCATCTCTACTAAAAATACAAAAATTATAGGGTGTGGTGGTACATGCTTGTAATCCCAGCTACTCAGAGACTGAGGCAGGAGAATCGCTTGATCTGGGAGGCAGAGGTTGCAGTGGTGAGCTGAGATCACCCCACTGCACTCCCACCTGGGTGACAAAGCAAGACTCTGTCTCAAAAAAAAAAGAGAGAGAAAGAAGCACAATCAGAACATTACCATATGAAGATTATTTTTATGTGTTATACAGATGAATTTGATAAGCAGGGCAAAAACTTAGACAGGGAGACTAGTAGTTTCCTTCCAAATTGGATAGAAAGAATTGAACTGAAGTTAGGCTAACTATGTAATTTTACTTAATGTATTCTATGGATTTTTAGAGTATAAATGGTCCTGAGAGTGATCAGTTTTTAAAATCTTTATTTGGAATTAGATAATTATAACATAGAGACTCTGTGCTTAAATGTGCTTTTTTTTTTTTTTTTAACTTCAGGCACAGAATATTAAGACACACTGCAATTATTTGTACCAGTCGGTCTTTAAATGTACGGGCCACTGTCTGCAGAAGTAATTCTCTTGAAAATGAAGAAGGCAGAGGAGGCAATATGCTAGTCTTTGTGGATGTGGAAAATACCAATACTGTAAGTTGGTTTAAAACTGAATTTTGTTTTTAATTATATTTGAAGTGTTTCCCTTGTGTTTAGTAGTGGTTTTTGTTTTCCTTTACAAGACAGCATAAGCTAGGGATTTTAGGAATGTTCATGTAGAATAGTATGAAATCATCTTAATTCTTCATTAGATTTGTGATTTTATCCCTTAGTCTGTCTTCAAATAAAAAGATCTTCTGATATTAATATGGTACACACTGATATGCTATATAGTTCCATTAATTCATTCTAAAAGATCTCATAAAATACTTTCTAGGTCTCACCATTGAGATCCATTGGTGTTACTAAATTGTGAGGTTCTGTTAATATATCACATTCAATATTAACTTGGTAATCTTCACTTGCACATTTCTAACAGTGCCATTTCCTTTATATAGTAAATTTCTGAAATATTGCCATTCCTGTTTATGCACTCTAATATAAAAATGAACATTTTTTTTTCTTTTTTCTTTGTAGACAGGTTCTCATTCTGTCACCCAGGTTGCTCACTGTAACCTCCACCTCCTGGGTTCAAGTGATTCTCATGCCTCAGCCTCCCAAGTAGCTGGGATTACAGGCACATGCCACCATGCCTGGCTCATTTTTTTGTATTTTTAGTAGAGACAGGGTTTCACCATGTTGGCCAGGCTGTAAAAATGAATATTCTTTTTTTTTTTTTTTTTTTTTTGAGATGGAGTCTTGCTCTGTCGCCCAGACTGGAGTGCAGTGGCGCGATCTCTGCTCACTGCAAGCTCCACCTCCCGGGTTCATGCCATTCTCCTGCCTCAGCCTCCCTAGTAGCTGGGACCACAGGCACCCACCACGCCCGGCTAATTTTTTTGTATTTTTAGTAGAGACAGGGTTTCACCATGTTAGCCAGGATGGTCTCGATCTCCTGACCTCGTAATCCGCCCACCTCGGCCTCCCCAAGTGCTGGGATTACAGGCGTGAGCCACCGTGCTCGGCCAAAAATGAGTATTCTCAAAGATGAGAGTGTGATCTCTCATGTTTGAAATAGGACTCTTAGCATTAGATTGATTCAATTCAGGTACTTATTTGAAATGTTACTTAATTCTGTAATGTTCTTTACTTTTAACTTCTTAAATTTGTAAGGTGTCTGCTTTCTAGGATATTTAGGGCTAATGTGCTGTACTTTGGTGATCTCCCCCCAAAAATCAATATTTTTATAGTAAGAGTGAGAATATTTTAATAATTTCAGATTAGCTTTTATTCAGGAGAATTAAAAAAATACATGCTACTTAAATAATTTCATGTGTACTGACCATATATTAGGATTCTGTTATGTGAGTTTTTGTTGCTTGTTTTTTTGCCTAATAAGAATGAGATATCTCAGAGTAGAGAAATAAAAAGAAAATGCCATAATTTTGATTAAAAATTGACAATTTTTTATCTTTTAAATACTACCAATAGCTCATTGTGATAGGCTTTAATAACTCAGTGGCTTTCAGTATTTTAAAATTTACCATTGAGTATGCATTATAGTCAAAAATACTTCTTGGACAAAATGTTGATGTCTCTGAAAGTGTTTAGAAAGGGATTTAAATAAGTTTTTGGAAATGTATATTGTAATTGCATCTTATGTTAATTGACATTGACTTTGGTAGCAGTGTCTGAATTTTATTCTCATCGGAACATTCTGATTTAGTGCTTCTAAATCCTGAATGACTCCTATCTTTTTTTTTGACAGAGTGAAGCAGGCGTTAAGGAATTCCACATAGTGCAAGTATCAAGTAGTAGCAAACACTGGAAGTTACAGAAATCTGTAAATCTTTCTGAAAACAAAGGTTTGTTTGTTTTTCCTGCTACATAATAAATTTTGAAACTTCATTACTTGGTTTTCCAGAATAGTACCAGAATGTCTTAAGATTATTAGGATTAACTTTTTTAAGCATTAAATTGTGATTTCATTAGTTTACCTAACTGTAAGTCAAATTACCTATCTTGATCCAGTCTTTCCCATTTTTTAAATTCCCTCCCACATCTTTTATACTTGTATTTTCTTCTTTTTGTTTTTTATTGTAAAATCAGTGCTTGGGTACATGATTACTGTCAAAAATTCAACCAGGACTGGGTGTGGTGGCTCACGCCTGTAATTCCTGCACTTTGGGAGGCTGAGATGGGCGGATCACTTGAGGTCAGCAGTTTGAAACCAGCCTGGCCAACATGGTAAAACCCTGTCTCTACTAAAACTACAAAAATTAGCTGGGCGTGGTGGCAGGCGCCTGTAATCCCAGCTACTCGGGAGGCTGAGGCAGGAGAATTGCCTGAACCCGGGAGGCAGAGGGTGCAGTGAGCTAAGATCATGCCACTGCACTCCAGCGTGGGCAACAGAGTAAGACTCTGTCACAAAAAACAAAACAAAACAAAACTTAACTGGTACAAAAATATATAGACTAGAATATGGAATTTTCTCTTTGTTTCCTTTACCACTGGTGAGTTTATCTGTGAATAGCCATACCTACGTACTGACTGGCTTTTCTGTGAATTGTCATGTTTATATAACATTCAAACAAAAGAATGTGTACCAGAAATTACTTAAAGTACCATTTTAAAAGTGCCTGCAATTATGGGAAAACATATAGCAGAGTGTGTTCGTATAGTAATGTTGGTATAAATCATGCATATGAAACATACTGAAAGGAAATGAAGAAGTGGTAGAGTGGCAGGATTATGGGCTTTCCAGTCCCTGTGTTCTGATCTTTCAAACTTACTGTTTATCTGAAATGTCGCATATATGAATACATATATATATATACATGTGCACACATGGATATGTATTTTGAGAAAATTGAAATTTATCCTTTTTAAGAGGTCATTTCATTGAGATAAAAACAAAGATGTTCTTCATTAAACATTATTTATAATTACGAATTATTTTCTATTTTGACCAAGGAAGTCTAAATAATGAATTGGTTTTTATCATGTGATGAACTGAGAAACATCTTTGAAATTTCCCTTTTTCTTCCTAGATACCAAACTTGCCAGTAGGGAGAAGGGAAAGTTTTGCTTTAAGGCAATAAGATGTGAGAAAGAAGAAGGTAAATTCACTTTACTTTTACACTTTACTAAATGGTCATTTTATATTTTATGCCAATGATATGATTAGTTTGTTTTCCCCTGTTTTTTAGCGGCCACACAGTCCTCTGAAAAATATACCTTTGCAGATATCATCTTTGGAAATGAACAGGTATGCAAGTAAGCATAGTAGTGTTTGATGTTAAGTCATAGTTATAGCATATCTGGGTATTTTTGGCAAGGCTTATCGCAGTAATTCCCAAACGCTTTTTTTTGGGGGGGAGACAAGGTCTTGCTCTGTCTCCCAGGAGTACAGTGGCGTGATCACAGCTCACTGCAGCCTCGACTTCCCAGGATCAAGTGATCCTCCCCCCTCAGCCTCCTGAGTAGCTGGGACTACAGGCATCAGCCATCACACCTGGCTAGTTTTTTTATTTTTTATAGAGACCAGGGTCTCACTGTGTTGCCCAGGCTTGTCTCCAGCTCCTGAGGTCAAGTGATCTGCCTGCCTCAACCTCCCAAAGTGCTAGAATTACAGGTGTGAGTCACTGCACCCAGCCTCCTCAGACTCTTTGGAGGATAATAAACATCTGAACTTTATTGAGTTTTGCAACCTGCCTTCAGTCCCCAAAACAAACCAAAAATGCTTATGGACTATACCATTTTAAGTAGTTATTTAAAATTAACTTTCTTTTGAGACTATCGTATGAAGTAAGTATAGTTCTTGGGATATTTTTTTTAAAAAGCAAGATTATATGAGGGAGCTTTTCTATTAGGGAAAGTGGTCACAATGGAATATATAGATGATAACCCTCTGAATTTTGGCATACCGTATCATATCATATCATATTCTGAGACCCAGATAATAAGGTAGATACATAAGACTCCATTGTGATTTTAAAGCTATTACTCTCTAGGGCAGTGATATTCCATCCTAATTATGTATAAGAGTTACGTAGAGGGCCAGATGTGGTGGCTCATGCCTGTAATTTCAGCACTTTGGGAGGCTGAGGCAGGAGGATTGCTTGAGGCCAGGAGTTCAAGACCAGACTGGGTGTCAGAGACCAAGGCAAGACCCTGTCTCTTAAAAGAAAAAAAAAAAAAGAGCCTCCTAGAACAGTGGTATTCAAAGTTTCAAAATGTGTCCAATGTAAATTATCAGAAATCTTGTTAATATGCAAATTCTGATTCCACAGGACTTGGGTAGAACCTGAGGTTCTAAATTGTTACAAGCTCCTAGGTGAGGTTGACATTATTAGCCTGCAGACCATAATTGGACCTAGATTTTGTAAAAATACAGGCTTTACCTCCCCTACCTCTAAAGCTCTGGTTGATTATATCTTGGGTGGACTTTGGGAGTATGCATTTTAAGCTATCCCTGAAGATAATCTGAAGTAGTGACCTGCTTTGAAAAATGCTGAATCTGGGGTGTAAAAGTTCATATAATTGTGTGCTATTAGTGGGATGATTTCTTCTTTCTGCTCGTCTCCTTGATAATTCTAAACATCCTTATATTTTTGTACTTCTTTTATCATTTGCTTTCATCTGACTCATCATTATCTTTTTACCATTTGAGGAAACAGCTATTTAGAAATATCTCCAAGTTTCAAAAGCTCAGTAATTTCAAAATATGCATTACTTTCAGAGATACTGTGCTTCCTGAATAGTTGAATTTAGTTTTCAGGACTTTAGTTATTTTTTTTTAAATTTCTTTAAAAACTTTTAAAATCCCAGAAACATCAGCAGGACTCTTGTATTGTAATTTTTATTGTGTTTGTTGTTAAATAATTTAGTGTAAGAGCACTGGTGAAGGCAGAAAGAAACACATTTTTCATTTTGATGAACCTGGTTGAATAAATAGAACTTGCCAAGCACTACAGATTAATGAGAAAACTATGGGGACAGTGTTTTACAAGAAGTTCGCTCATAAGGAGAAAATGTATATATTCATATTTAATACTTATTTAATAATTAACTTGAAGTTTAACATCTACATGATATATACATAGCCTGTAATACAGGAAACCATAAATATAAAGATGTTATTATGTGGCATAATATTCATTAGTTAAGGGAAATCCTGTAATTGAGTCCATTTAAAATTCTTATCTCATGCTTTCATTGTTTAAGCCTGAAAGCCAAGTTAATGCTAATAATTCTATTTGCATTCTGCTTCATTGGATATTGCCTTGGATTTAAATGAGAAATATTTCTGTCATTTTAAAATACAGGTTTTCAACATTTTATTTTTATTTTCTTGGTGATACCCATTCATTCTCCCTAGATACTTGGAAGGTCAAAGCTAATGTTATGGGAGCGTAGTTTAATTATTTTGGGGTGACGGCTTTAAGATTCAGGGTAACTTGCAGCTGGGTGCAGTGTCTCACACCTGCAATCCCAGCATTTTGGGAGGCTGAGGCAGGCAAATGCTTGAGCTCAGTAGTTCAAGACCACCCTGGGTAACATGGCAAAACTGGCAAAACCCCGTCTCTACAAAAATTAGGCGGGAGTGGTGGCACGCACCTGTAACCTAGCTACTCGGAAGGCTGAGATGGGAACATTGCTTGGGCCCAGGAGGTAGAGGTTGCAGTGAGCTGAGATTGCACCACTGCACTCCAGCCTGGATGACAGAGTAAGACCCTGTATCAAAAAAAAAAAAAGATTTAGGGTAATTTGTACCAAATCTTTTGAATGTTCAAGTGGCCTCCCTGTATTCAACTACATTGACAAGAATTATTGAATAAGTATTTTGGGTATGTATAAGCTATAGAAATAAAAATTTTGGCAGGATATATTTAATTAAAACTGAGTTATACAAAATAAATTTTGACAACATAATTAAAAGCATTTATGAACACAAGTGATTTTCTTTTAACAGATAATAAGTTCAGCAAGCCCATGTGCAGACTTCTTTTATCGAAGTTTATCTTCTGAATTGAAAAAACCACAAGCTCACTTGCCTGTGCATACAGAAAAACAGTCAACAGAGGATGCTGTGAGATTGATTCAAAAATGCAGTGAGGTAGATTTGAATATTGTCATATTATGGAAGGTATGTGCTACTAAATTATTTCAGCAAGCCTCACTTATAGATACTCGAGTCTTAAGCTAAGCACAAACGTATATTACTATTTATATTTTTTATGCTTATCTTTTCTAGTTTCAATATTGAAACTTTAACAGTTACATATTTTTTTTTGGCCTAAAAAAAGAATTCATTCAAATTAGATAACATTCTTCTGTGTTACTGTTATTTCTGTGTGTTACCGAGAATATTGTAGACATGATAAGCTCTGAAAGCAGGTGGTATTAAACTGTTCGGGGCATTTCCAAACATTCTACAGAGGGAAAAATAGCACCATGAACCTCTGGAAATCCACTACCTTGGCTCCAAAAACCATTAATTTTTTGTTATTCATATTTCATATAATCCATTTACCTTCTCTTCTCTTTTATTGTTAATTTTTTTGCTGTAGTATTTTTAAAATGACATATTTCATCTGTAAATGCTTTTATATGTACTTTTAACAGATGAAGACTTTTTTGTTTAATATAACTGCACAGTATTATCTTTCCCAACCAAATTAATAATTCTTAATTATCTAATTGATGGTCTGTGTTCAGTTTTTTCCAGATTATTTAAATATACTATTTTACCCTGTTAAAAAAAAATCAGATCCAAATAAGGTTCACACATGGCAGACCAGAATGAGATTATTTAGACATTAGTATTCCCTAAAGTTAACTGAACTATACTGCAAAGGAGTCTTAATTCTTACGTTACACCCTTTTGTATCATATGCATGTACTACCTATTTTTAAAAATTATTCTGCAGTAAAATTAAGGATCTTGTCCAAGAATAATCACCCGAACTTTGTGACAAGGTTTTGATTTTGTGTTGTTTGATGCAAGAGACATGTTCATACTAGGTGATCAATACATGTATTTTAAATTGACTCAGAAGTTTTTATGAAGTGTTTCTTTTTAAACCATGTTTTTAAATAAACATTTTTTTGAAACCAAGCTGACTTTGCATGTTTCAAATGAAATCTACTAAGTAAATTGATACTTTTGTTGATTATAGAAGGCATTTTATGTTAAGAAGATCAGTTATACATTATTGGCGAAATCAAATTCTTCCGAACTTTAGAATCATATTATATAAGTGTATAACGATCTTTGGCATTTGTGTCTTCATTCAATAGGTTTATGCCGTGTAGCAATCTATAATATTTCTGAGACAAGGTTTTGTGTAATGTATTCTGTACTCATTGTTAAGTGCATGGTATTCTTTGATGAGGGGAAAAGTGTTATCTTTTAAGAAATGGCCCTGAACCTAAAGCCCACTGCTGGTATCACTAATCACATAAAGAAGAAAGTTATCTAAGATTGTGATGCTCCTTGGCTGGGAAATGGAAGTTTGAATACATTAAATAATGGGTTATTAAGTTTGGTAGTGGCTAGTACCCTGGTAAGTTTATAATTTACTCAATGGAGAAAGTGACTGGTAGATTTTTGTTTGTTTTAGTTAGAGTTCTGGATAATGTAAAAATGATTCATTAGATTAAAGAAAACTTGAAAAGTCATTAAAGTTGTAGAGTAAGATGCACAGGAAGCATAGGACTCTTGAATGAAATATGATTCAGGAGAAAACCAAGAGCTTGAACATTTTTGTGAAGAAAAACAGTTGAAAAAGGGACATAATACAACTCCTAAACAACTTTAATCCAAAATAAAGGTTAGTTTTAAAAATCTAAGGTTTTGCACAAGCAGGAGGATGCATTATAGAATTAGCCATGGCTATGGGTGACTGTCGCTCAATGCCATAACATCATCAGAAAAGACATCTGACAAGTCTCAGACCCTTATCTGTCAGCTCTTATTCCTTCTTGATTAAACATTACCCTATCAGGTGTTTAACTTCTCCTGCCTTTCTGGGTTTTGCAAATATAGACGCTGAACAGGTCCTGAGCCATCCTATGCCTTACTGCAGCACTACTCAAAGTTTGTTCTGTGGATGGCAAACTGTCATTAGTCCATTATAAGTATAGAAATTGAAAGTAAACAAGAAGAAACTTTGATAGCATTTTGACTGAGTAATTTTATGTTTTTTGAACCTAACAGTAAAAATACCGGGCTTGTCAAAAAAATTAAGCCTTTGTGTTTGCACATAATGTGATAATGACAGTAGATCAGAGCCATTTATAGATTATATTTTCCCCAACACAGAAGCAATTGAAGAGAGAGAAGAGTTATAAACTGGAACAAGTATTATAATATAGATAAAGTCAGCTCACTATATTGGAAGAAAAAAGCCTTTTTTAAAGCATATGTATTTATATTTATGAACATAACATTTCCACTTACAGGATTTATGATTGTACTCACTGATTTTGCTCAGCTGTGTGATAAACCCTAGGACATTTCAGAAGCTAGGCTGTAAGAATAAGCCTTTTAGCTGTATATTGGTAGTTCAATAAAGAAAACAGCTTGTGTTATAGCACAGTTCTTTTAAAGTAGTTTCTTAAGAATTCTAAAGAATGTTGGAAAGGATTTCATGATGTATCTCTCTCAAATATCCAGGCCAACTGTGTTATATTGAGGTGAAAAGATTTGTTTTTTGGATAGATACTTTATTGATTGAATGAATAACTAAAAGTAGAAATGGTGACATTGCCAGGAGTGTCAATAATTGATAGATATTGGCCATATTATTTCCACTTTCTATCAAGTATTGGGTTGGTTACTTTAGAGGTTACTGTCAAGCACGGTAACGTTTTTGTACTTTGCATTTTTTAGGCATACGTTGTGGAAGACAGTAAACAGCTTATTTTGGAAGGTCAACATCATGTTATTCTTCGCACTATAGGAAAAGAAGCCTTTTCATATCCTCAGAAACAGGTGATAACATAGTTTGCTTTGGAGCTTTCTGGTGAACTTGTGGGTTTTTTTTTGTTGTTGTTTGGTTGGTTGGCTTTTGTGTTTTTGAAGGGGTCTGGTTTGTTCAGGTTTTGTTTTTTGGTTTTTTTTGTTGTTGTTTTGAGACTGGATCTCACTCTGCCACCCAGGCTGGTTTGCAATGGCACAATCATGGCTCACTGCAGCCTTGACCTCCCCGGGCTCAGGTGATCCTCTGGCCTCAGCCTCTTGAGTAGCTGAGACTACAGGTGTGTGCCACCACACCTGGCTAATTTTTGTGTTTTTTTGTAGAGATGGAGTTTCACCATGTTGCCCAGGCTGGTCTTGAACTCCTGGGCTCAAGCGATCCTCCTGCCTTGGCCTCCCAAAGTGCTGAGATTATAGGCGTGAGCTACCACGCACTGCCATGTTCAGGTTTTTATATTGGTATTTGGGTTGGGTGTTGGTGACAGAAGAATGATTAAAGTTAAAAGTGAACATAAATTGATTTTAAAATTCATTAGCACCTTTATCAGAGTATTAAGATGCAGTTATGGTTTTTGGGGTTTCCTCACATACATTCCATATTGAATCCAGAATTCATAGGTATGAAAAGAATTGATTTGCTTAAGAGTAGAGAAACTATATCTCTATATTTTCTTATTTGTTATAACAGGATATCATTGCAGAGCTCCGAGGGTATATTGTAATATGTAAAAGGTGGCCTCTGGAGTTGTGTAGCAGCTGCTGATAGCATTGAGTATGCTTTCTTATTTTTCCTAAAATAATACTTAATCTTACTGAAAAACTTTCATAGTAAATATGAATAGAATATAAGCACATTTAGTCTAGTAATTCAAACAATGGCCCTGTATTTTGTTTTTAAATAACAGATCTTAATTTTCAGGGCCCCACCTCCATTATTACTATTTTTTTTATTTCACCGTGGACCTGAAGGCAACCCCTCCCATTAGTTTTGACAACTTTTTATTATGAAATAATTTTCAAACTTACAGAAAACTTTCAAGAATAGTGTAAAAGACTCCCTTATAACTTTCATTCAGGTTATTAGTGGTTGACATTTTGCATTATTTGCTTTGTTGTTATTTACATATGTATTAGTTTTTTTCCCTTAATCGTTCTTAATTACTCCCAAGTAAATTGCAGGCATCCTGTCACTCTGTCCCTAAATATTAATACTTCATTGAGTATTCCTAAGAAGAAAGACAAATCTCTTACATTAAAAAAAAAAAACTACAACATTATCACATTCAGGAAGTTTAACATTGATGCAGTACTCTTCTTTACAATCCATATTCAAATGCTATCAAAGGTTTTAATTCCATCCATGTAACTATTTGCTCTTTTCTATCCAGGATCCAGTTCAGGATCATGCTTTGCATTCAGTTGTTATATCTCTTTAGTCTCTTTTAATCTGAAACAGTTACTTAGCCTTTATTTGTTGATCATGACATTGACATTTTTGAAGAGCTTGGGCCAGTTATTTTATTTTATTTATTTATTTATTTTTTTTTTTTTTGAGACGGAGTCTCGCTGTCGCCCAGGCTGGAGTGCAGTGGCCACCCGCCACCTCGCCCAGCTAATTTTTTTTGTATTTTTAGTAGAGACGGGGTTTCACCGTGTTAGGCAGGATGGTCTCGATCTCCTGACCTCGTGATCCGCCCGCCTCGGCCTCCCAAAGTGCTGGGATTACAGGCGTGAGCCACTGTGCCCGGCCTATTTTCTAGAATAATACCTCTTTGGGTTTTTCTCATGTCTCCTCATGATTAGATTAAGTTTATACTAAGTGATGTGTTGCATAAGAAAGTGCATGATGTTAATTTGCCTCATCAGTGTTGGATCATTTAAGGTGGTGCCATGTTTCTTCACAGTCAAGTTACTGTTTTTCCTTTCATAATAGTAAGTAATTTGTGCGGAGATAATTTGAGGTGGTATAAATGTCTGGTTTCTTTCTTTCTTTTCTTTTCTTTTTTTTTTTTTTTGAGACAGAGTCTCACTCTGTTACCAGGCTTGAGTGCAGTGGCACAATCTCGGCTCACTGCAAGGTTGCAGGTATTCTTCTAAGGCCATTGTTCACGTGCTTTCCTCCTGACAGGTGGTATATAGAAATGTATTCAGTATAATTTAGAAGTCTCAAATAAATAGCTTGTATTTTTTTGGTGACTTGAATATATTAATAATACATTTTTGAACTTTTTACTGAAGTGTAACATAAGTACAGAAAAGTAAATAGCTTATTTGATTTTCACAAACTGAGGAACACTCCAAACCAGGACCCAGATCAAGAACTAGAACCTAACCAGCACCCCAGAAGTTCTGCGTTTGTTCCTTTCCAATCAGAAATCTTTCTCTTCCAGACCAAACTTATAGTTACTTCTTTCTGACTTACAAGTCAAAAGCAAAACTACTGCTTTTGAATTTATGTAAATAGTCATACAATATATACCTCGGCTTCTTTTATTCAACTTCTGTGTTTGTGAAATTTATCCATATTGTTTGGTATACTTGTAGTTTTTTTATTTGCAACAAAAATTTCACCTGAAAACTTACTGACTGTTCTCCAATAAAAGGAGCCAGGGTTCCTTGGAAAAATGGTTGATTTTAGGGCTGGGGCAGAGAAAATGCAAGATGAACCAGAAGATATTATGGTGGCAGAAAGTAAGGAAATGTACCCAAACTGATTGAGAGCATATTGAATTTGTGTTTCTTGCAGGTTACAAAGTGGCTTTTATTCTCCTTTGGTCCTCATACTCTGTAAGCAAGGCAGGTAGAATTACACCCATTTTACAAATGAGACTCTGTGAAATAAGTACAGCTATAATATTTCATAATAATTTTCAGTTTTAAAATTGTCTGAGAGAAAATAGAAATCTGTTGATTGAGGATTTGTAATTTATCAGTTTTCACATTGTTCCGTCTATCCCCCAGGTAGACTTATTTATTGAGGTTGAATTTGTTTGCTTTATTTACTATTTTACTACAACCTCTTGGGATAGTGCTACCACATAATAAGTACTTGGTAATTATTAAGTAAATGAATAAAGAATGCTGAGTTACCAAATTCATTCCACTGCATTAAGAAACCAAAAATATTTTAACCAGATATGAGTGGCTCAGTCATACTAATAGTTTGCACACAAATAGATAGTACACAGTAAGCTTTAAGATTGCAACTTTCAACATTGCAGTTCTATAATCAGCATGTCTTTTAATTTTTGTTCTGCCTTATAAAGAATAAATATAGGGAATGCTGTGCACAAAATTATTTTACCAATGTAACAACAAAATCTATTTCCTTTAGCAAATATTCTATTTCCAGAACTTATATGTGTGCTTATGTTATGCATTTACTACATATGAAGTTCACGTAAACATTCATTCAGCTCACTTAATGAATGGTAAAATTTTAACCGAAAAAGAAAAAAGACAGAAGAGGTGATATTGTTTAATAAACTACAGGTTTCATTGAATGGTTGTTATAAAAAGAAAGGAATTATAATTTCTCTTGTTATTTTTAAATATAAGAGCCTGCTAAATTGATTGTGTTGCAGATTAATATACAACCCTTAAGTGTAAAGTGTTTTAGAAACATTTTTCCTTAAGAATTTATAAAAGGAAAGTCTTTCTACTTTTTATCTTACTATTTTGTACATGAATTTTTTTGCCTTGAAAATATATTCACCTTTAGATCTTTTTCTTTTCATAAAGTGATTCATTCACATAAAAAAAAACTATGTAATGGATCAGAGCAGAAATATGCAAGATTTGAAAGAGCATTCCTAGTCATACACAAACTGAATTCAGCCTGAGAGAAAATAAGAGATTGAGTATCCCTTCTCTGAAATGCTGGTACCCAAAGTGTTTTGGATTTTGGAATATTTGCATCATATACCTGCTAGGTGAGCATCCCTAGTCTGAAAATCTGAAATCCAAAATGGTCTGAAGAGCATTTCCTGTGAGTGTCATGTCAACACTCAAAATTTTTTGGATTTTGCAGCATTTCTGATTTCAGAGCGTTTCAGATTTTGCATCTTTGGATTTGGGCTGCTCATCCTGTATAAGTAAAGAAAGAAACTGTCCATCAGTAGGGGAGTCAGTCAGTTATAAAATTATAGAATAAAAAAGACATTGCCAATATTCATCCAACCATTGTCATGGGATAAGTAGGTTCTGCTTACCCACATTAGTATTTGGTGTCTCTGTAGTTACATCTTCATTGTGCAGGTGATCAGCCTGATGCCAGTCGACATTTATGTTACCTCACTAATATCCCTTGTCTGATTTCATGTCTCACAATCAGTGTTCTGAAACTTTGCTTCCTAAGTAAACTACCAACAGAAACCCTGTGCACATTGGTCAGTTGGTAGCAAATTATATTTATCACTATACATTGGCATTCATCCACATTAACTGTGTTGTAGTGATTAACATCTCACCATTACTTAACTCTGAGAAAATAGTGAGATTAAATACCAGTCTATAAGGCCAAATGACACACCTTGGACAAAGGTAAAATCACCAATATAAGTGTTATATTTTGAATCCTGTGAAAAGCTGGCAAGTAGCCCATACATACACCAAGATGCTTGTGTACCAAGGGTATACTAGTCTTGTATTTGAATCTCTAATTGACCAATCTAAATTTCCTTAAAGTCTGAAAGAAGCTGAGTGTGGTGGTACATGCCTTTAGTCCCAGCTGCATAGAAGACTGAGGTGGGAGGATTGCTTGAGGCCAGGAGTTCAAGACCAGCTTGGGTAACATAGCAAGACCCTGTCTCTTAAAGAAAACAAGTCTGAGATAGTTTATTTTTTTAAATAAATTTTAAAAACATTCAGCTAGAGAAAGTTATCTGATACTGGGGGATAAAGTAATCCACATAGGTAAATAACAATAATAGATACCATTCATAAGGTATTTGGTATTTGTCAAGTGTTGGTTCACATCAGTACTTAAAATTACAACCCTGTGAGGTATAGGTAGAAGTCCTCATAATCTGAATCCTCTGTTTAGGCAACAGCAGGCATATAAAATTATAATTTTAAGTCATATGATTAGCAGAAGGAAAATTTAATTGCCAAAGCAGTATAGCACAGTAGTTCAAAATAGAACTGTATTTGTATATAATCTCTGCCACTTAAAAAAGATCTTCAGTTTTTTTTTAACGTTTCTGAATTAATTTTCCTCTTTTTAAACATGCAAAAATACTTCCACCTACATCCCACATGTAAAGGCTATTACATTGTATCAGATAGTTTCTTTCTCTGGTTTCCCCTTAATCACATTTCTGTTCTCTTTCATATACTCTGGTTTATCTGATTTTTTAAAATTTTTATTATAAAAGTAGTAATTTTTATTGCAAAAAAGCAAAATATCCACAAGCTGTCAATTGGAAAGATAAAAAATTTAAAACAAAAAAAACAAATATACAAATGAGAAAGCAAATTCTGGTTTTCTTTTCTCTCCTCAGGGCCACTTTTTGAAATTACCCATAATCAAGTTCCTTTTCTATTCCAGAAATGTTCCATGCTTATGCAAATATAAGCATTGGAATATATGTATTTTTAACATGCTGTTAAACTTTATTTGACTATATGATATTTTTGGTCAATTTTCATACATTTGTATATCATACCAGTTTCAAATATTTTGCTTTTTACATATTTTGTGGGATAGATTTCTGGAAATGAAATTTCTGGCCATATGATTATATGCTTGTCTGTTACCACTGATTAGGCTATAATCTTTTTTTGTTTGTGTTTTTTAAAATTTGTCTTTTTTTTTTTTTACCAGTAGCCCCAGGGTGTTACTTGAATATAATATGGTTAATTTGTTAGTTGTTAATGGGATGAATCTGGAACCAGTGCCAGCTTTTATTTTATTTCCAGCAAATTTAGCTCTTGCTTTTGCAACTGTGTAGATAAGGGGTCAGCAAACTTACACTGAAAAAGGCCAGGAAGTATTTTAGGTTTTGCTCACCAGATTGACTATGTCATAATACTCATTTCTGTCATTGAAGTCAAAAAGCAGCCATAGACAGTATGTTGACAAATGGATGTGGCTGCGTTTCAATAAAACTTTACAAAAACAGGATGCAGGCTGGATTTAGCCCATGGGCTATGGTTTGCCAATTGCTGGTATAGATAAAAATCAAACTCGGCTATCAGAAAATTATAAATCAAATATTCTCCTGGGTGGTGAGGGAAAATAGAGAAAAAAAAATAACCAAGAAAGAAAATAATAGTAGAAATGGGATGTTTCTCTACTTTCATCTTTCTCTCTCTCTCACCCTCCCCAACTCCCTGCCTCCCTCCCTCCCTCCCTCTGTCTCTCTATTTATTTTGAGGCAGAGCCACATTCTGTTGCCCAGGTTGGAGTGCAGTGGTGCAATCTCGGCTCACTACAACCTCCGCCTCCTGGGTTCAAGTGATTCTCCTGCCTCAGCCTCCTGAGTAGCTAGGATTACAGGTGTGTACCACCACGCCTGGCTAATTTGTATAGTTTTAGTAGATGGCATTTCACCATGTTGGCCAGGCTAACCTCCAACTCCTGGCCTCAAGTGATCTGCCCTCCTCAGCCTCCCAAAGTGCTGGGATTACAGACGTGAGCCACCCTGCCTGACCTCTATTTTCATTAGATGATAATGATTATTTATTGAAATAGTCATAATGTGCCTGACAAACAGCTATGTTAATACTTTTTACGTGCATTTTAACCTTTAGCTAGTGTAGTTGAAGCACATTATAGTATAGATTATACTATACAATGCAGCAGGATATTTTCAGAATGAAATATTAAACAGTTTTAGATTTTCAGCTATTAAAATAGGTGCTATGCAATCGAATGTCTGCAGTCCTAAGTCCTGTGCAGTATTATCAGATGAGAATCACAACAACCTTTGAAGTTATTATTGTCATGAACTTCTTTTTACATATGAAGAAATTAATTATTAAAGTATTAAGTAACTTATCCAAGATAACAGAGCTAATATGTAAAGCTACTGAGATTCAAGTCTAACTCCAACACATAAGTGAGGAATGAATAAATGATTCCAGATACTGATTTTTTTATCTTAGATTACACTGCAAATGATAGCAGCTATTAGCTTAACAGCAGAAAAGTACTGTTCATGCATTACATTATCTCTGCTGATTTTAACTTTTGTATATATACACTATGCTTTTTTTTTTTTTAAACAAGGTAGTGTTTTTATTGTCATATGTTTTTTCTTTCTTTTCTCAGGAGCCACCAGAAATGGAACTATTGAAATTTTTCAGGCCAGAAAACATTACAGTTTCCTCAAGGCCATCAGTAGAGCAGCTTTCTAGTCTCATTAAAACGAGTCTTCACTACCCAGAATCATTTAATCATCCATTTCATCAAAAAAGGTTTGAGCTTTATTTTTGTTACCAAAATTTTCTACAACACACTGGCACGTGTATTTGTTTCTTTTATTTTGGCAGTGACATTAACCCAAATATTGAAGAGGAAATTTAGAATGTTTTTGAGTCTATAGAATACTTGAACTAAACAGTTCAAGTTTAGACAATATCAGTTAAAGATTTATTAAGTAAACTTCATGGCAAATGTGATATATTTGTAATTTTGGTAAATAGCTGGAATATATAAATCTCTAAAATTCTAAAAATAAGAAGTCCTGAATCAGGCAACACTTCAAAAGTTTGCCAGTTTTGCAAATAAAAGATGGAGAGAAGCCTATTAGAAACAATCTAAGTAATAATTGAAGGTATGAATTTTGGTGCAAACACCCTGGATGGGGATGGGGATAGGATGGAATAGAACAGAAAGAGGATGGTGACCTGTGGAACAGTAACATCTGAGAAAGAAGCTAAGGAAAAAGAAGCCTATGAAGAAAACTGAAGAAAAAGAACTAATTAAAAAATTAGGAAGAAAAGACCAATAAAAAGAAACTATCTCAAAGGTTGAGTGAGAATAGTTCAAGAGAAGTGGTTAATAGTTTAAGATGCTACAGAAAGGTCAAATAGTAAATGGGCCAAAAGGTCATTGGATCTGACAATAAGGAGATCATGATTTTTGAGAAGAATGCCACTGTATAGAGGGTAGAATAGCATGACATCATAGGTTGAGAAGCAAATAGGAGGTAAGAAAGTAAAGATACCGCGTTGACCATCCTTTCAAGAAACTGGGCTATGAAAAGGGATCAGGGAGTATCTGTTCTTACTAGGTACGATATAGGCATGTTTGTGGTCTTGAAGAAAATGATGAGATACAGGGAAACTAACAAAATCCTTAGTAGATGGAAAGATAAGATACATGCACTGAAGAATGACAGGATTTGCTTTGCGCTAAAGAAGGGACCTTCTTACACGTTATGTAGTGCCTCCATTTCAGGGGGTAGTTATAAGAGCAAGGTTAGCTAATTAATCTAGGAGATAAGAGTAAAGGGTAGAGAATTTGAAAAAAGTGAAATTTTAGGATAGCTACTGAGAAGATGCTAGCTGAGGATGCATAGAAGGAGTACTGGGCAAAATTAAGACCTTGACAGTGACTTTAAGAGAAAAAATATTTTAAAAAGTAACTTAGAGCCGGGCATGGTGGTACACACCTGTAGTTCCAGCTACTTGGGAGGCTGAGGCAGGAGGATCGCTTGAGCCCATTAGTTTGAGGCTACGGTCAGCTATGTTTGCACCATTGCACTCTAGCCTGGGCAAAACAGCAAGACCCTGTCTCTCTTTTTTTTTTTTTTTTTTAAGTGATTTTTTTTTTAACAAAGCTAACACCTAAATGATTATCTCTGTAATCTTTATATAAGTAGAATTATAGAGTATATTTGTATGTCTAGCTTCTTTCATTTAATACTGTGTTAGTAAGAGTCAGCCATTGCAGGAACCTGTAGAATTGATTTTCATTGCATGTGAGTATGTTTCGATATACCAGAATTAGTTTACCTACTTAAGTGTTAATGGACTTTTAAAATATTTTTTTTTCTTCTTCTTCTTTTTCTTTTTTTAAATTTTTCTGAGACAGAGTCACACACTGTCACCCAGGCTGGAGTGCAGTGATACGATCTTGGCTCACTGCAAACTCTGCCTCCCAGGTTCAAGTGATTCTCGTGCCTCAGCCTTTGAGTAGCTGGGATTACAGGCATGCACTGTACACCACCAGGTCAGCCAAATTTGGTATTTTTAGTAGAGATGCGGTTTCACCATGTTGGCCAGGCTGGTCTTGAATTCCTGGGCTCAGGCAGATTGCCTCGGCCTCCCAAAGTGCTGGGATCACAGGCGTGAGCCACCACGCTCAGCCATAGAATAGTTTCTGATTTGAACTATTTTGAATTCTGCTGTGAATATTCTACACCTTTCCTTGTACATATGTGCTTGCCTTTTTTTTTTTACATAGTAACGTCTCCAAAGTGGTTTTACTAATTTGCATATTCCAATAGCAGCATATGCGAATTCCTTCTGCTTGATACCTTCACCAGCACTTAACTCTTGTTGGATCTTTAAAAAATTTTATCCTAAGTTATTTTTTAAATACTTGTGGTCCTAAGTCTTTGTCATGGTCTTAATGTTGCCCAGTACTCATGCTTTGTTCCTTTCTCTGATACAGATGTATGCAGGGTTCACCTGGGGAAATGTAAGAAATACTGAAGGATGGGCCGGGCGCGGTGGCTCACGCCTGTAATCCCAGCACTTTGGGAGGCCAAGGCGGGCGGATCACGAGGTCAGGAGATCAAGACCATCCTGGCTAACACGGTGAAACCCCATCTCTACTAAAAATACAAAAAAATTAGCCGGGTGTGGTGGCGGGCACCTGTAGTCCCAGCTACTTGGGAGGCTGAGGCAGGAGAATGGCATGAACCCAGGAGGCGGAGCTTGCAGTGAGCCGAGATCGTGCCACTGCAGTCCAGCCTGGGCGACAGAGCGAGACTCTGTCTCAAAAAAAAAAAAAAAAAAAAAGACTGAAAGATGCTTCATTCAGTCCTACCCCCAGAGGTTCCAGTTTGATTGGCCCAGAGTAGGGGTTGGCATCTGGATTTTCTTAAGTTCTCCAGGTGATCCTAATATGCAACCATAAGTGAAAATAAAAATGTTTGTGTTTTATCCTTATTGAACCTCACACACTTCTATGAACAATTTTGATTCTGTGATTCATTTTAACCCAATCTTCTACTTCAGCTCTGTTTATTAAACCCGTCCTGCTTCATGTACTTTCTGAATAACCTTGGTGCTTCTTTTTAACCTTAGTGGTTAAACCTTTGCTGCATTGAGAGGCTAGGATGTTTAGGAGTTCTCTACATCATTCTACTTAGGGGTTAAAAAACCCTATGGAATCTATGTGAAACAGGAAAGTTTTGATCAAACTAAAGTAGAAGAGTGGGTTAAATGAAGCATTCCAAAATCAAAACTCTGCATGGAAGTATGTGAAAACAAGGCAGGTTCAAGGATAAAATGTGGCAGTTTTCTCCTTGGCTGCATGTTAGAATCATTTGGGAATTTCTGACATTTCCAATGCTTGGGCTGATTCAATCAGATTCTCTGGAAGCAGGGTACCGGCATCTCTAGTTTTAAAATGTCTGCAGATCATACCCATGTCCATCTCTATTAGTCATTGTTGCCACAATAATGCTTCATAACAAACCATTTCAGAAATGAGTAGCTTATAACAAAGCATTTATTTCCATACTCATGGGTCTGCCAGTTGATAATTTGGCCGAAGCTGTGCTTTGGTCTGTGTGCTGTTTGGATTTGGCACCTGAAGAAACTTGGGTTCCCGTCTGTGCCACATATATTTTGGGCCCAGTCCAAAGGAGCAGCTGCTACCTGGAGTATGTTCTGGTGGCATGTCTCCGGAGTATAAAAAGTGAGCCACATTGCAAAAGCACATTTAAGACTTTTGCTTGCATCAAAAGATGTTAATATTTCATTGACCAAATAGCCTCACTTCCATATCAACAAGGATGATTCACAGTCCCACAGAGAGAGTGAATAACTGCTAAGCAGTACTCACAGTTACCACAGTAACCAAGGTTGAGAACCATTGAAATGAAGGATCAAGTGACTGGGTGTCTGTGTAAAACTCAAAAACAGATGAGAGAGTATAATTGAGAAAGCTAGAGAGTTGGGAGATGGTGGTCAAAGTGGGGTGACCGAGTATTATGTTAGGGATAGTTGTCTAATGTGATGGGAAAAAATTTCATGGTTTGGTCATGGAAGTTGTGTGGCTGAGTTTTGAATAGTACTGAAGATTATGGAGATGATAGGTCCAGGATTTGGGAAGGTGCTGAATAAGTCATATACCTAGACAGTGAAGTTGTCCAAAATGATGACAAGACTTGGAGTTGAAGGAAGAAAACAAACTTCCCTGACACTTTTAAAATTATGCCAATAGATAGTACAGAGGAGGGTAGCGAGAGAATAGTGTCTTACTAGGTGTATGCCTCTGCTTGACCGATACAGCAGATGAATTCACAAATGGGAGGTAAAGCAGATGTTCAGACTACACATGCTTCATCTTTACCTCAAATATTTCAGAATATCCATTTCTTCCCCTTTCCCCCAAAGAATTCTCGCTGTACTGAGTTACTGTCACTGTGTTTGTTAGAATGGGAACAGAAAAAAGAATACAAACCTTAAGGTAGTTTATGATGAAAAAGTGGAGGCATCTTTACAGGAGAGGTAGTAGAAAGAAATCATTAAGAACTACATCAGCCACCCTGAGGTATGGAAGATGTTGGAAGAAATACAGCATCTATTGTTGAGAGGACAATACAGTTAAAGATAGATGTAGAAACACAAAGAGAAGAGATGGAGGATATAAGGAAGCATTCTTAATTTAATGGGGGTTTCAGAAAACAAGTAGAAATGTGAGGAAATGGGACAGTAGGAGGTTTGGTCATGGTAGTGGGACACAGAGCAGTAGAGGTATGAGAATAGAAGAAAGAATAGGTGACAGGAGATAACAAAGATAAAATCATACTATGTTTAGCTGCCATGAGCATAAATTGTTATATTAAATAATGTTTATGGAGCTTTTGAACATGTGCTAGTCACCATTCTCAGCACTTAACATGTTTTACCTAATCACAACAAACCCAAGAGGTAGAATCAATTATTATTCTTTGCAGTTTACAGTTGAGAAAACTGAGGTACAGGTAGCAGTCTGACTCTAGAGCCCAGCTTTTTCACTGGATGCAGTGGTGGGAGAATAGTTGTCAGAACTTTGATTTCTCAGCCCTGTTTGTGGTTCATTAGATTAGCATTTTAGAAAAACTAATGTGTAAAGCAGTTTTCAAAATGTGGTCCCAAGACTGGACCTGGTGGCACACACCTGTAATCCCAGCACTTTGGGAGGCCAAGGCGGGCGGATCTCCTGAGGTCAGGAGTTCAAGACCAGCCTAGTCAACATGGTGAAACCCCATCTCTACTAAAAAATAAAAAAAAATTAGCCGGGTGTGGTGGCGAGCGCTTGTAATCCCAGCTACTGGGGAGGCTGAGGCAGAATAGCTTGAACCTGGGAAGCTGAGGGTGCAGTGAGCCAAGATCGTGCCACTGCACTCCAGCCTGGGCAAAAAGAGCAAAACTCCATCTCAAAGAATAAAAAACAACAACAACAACAACAACAACAACCAAAATGTGATCCCAGACCAGGAGCATTAGTATTAGTATCATCTGGGAACTTAGAAATGTAATTTCTGTTTTTTGTTTTTTTTTTTTGAGACGGAGTCTTGCTCTGTCACCCAGGCTCGAGTGCAGTGGTGTGATCTCGGCTCACTGCAAGCTCCACCTCCTGGGTTCATGCCATTCTTCTGCCTCAGCCTCCCGAGTAACTGGGACTATAGGCACCTGCCACCACGCCCGGCTACTTTTTGTATTTTTAGTAAAGACGGGGTTTCACCATGTTAGCCAGGATGATCTTGATCTCCTGACCTTGTGATCCGCCCGCCTCGGTCTCCCAAAATGCTGGGATTACAAGCGCAAGCCACCGTGCCCAGCCTAGGAATGCAATGTTTGGGCCACACTCCAGACCTATGGAATCAGAATCTCTGAGAGTAGGCCCAGCAGGTTTTTTAAAACAAGCTTGCCAGGTATTTCTGGTGCATACTCAAGTGTGAGAAACATGGTTAAAGAATAGATTGCATTGTGGTGCTAATTAAGAGGCTCTTGCAGTAAAATGAGACATGAGACTTGAACTTGTAAGGAAAATGAGATACAGTGAAGTAACCAGGTTCCAGAGATGTGTGGGTGAGAGAATTGGCAGGAATTTGTGAAGAACATTGGGAGTGGAGGTTAGTGACTGTTAGGAGGAATCAGTATGATACTTACAGTTTGCTGGGGTAGATGGGGGTGCTCTTCACTGGAATGAAGATGATGAGTTTCACTTTGGACCAGGAGATATCCACATGTTCACATTTCTTCTTCTACTAGAAGCATTTGTATAAGGTACAAAGAATTTGACATTTGAGGATCAAATGGGAACAGAATAGCATAAGTTCCTGAATTTTTACTTTGGGCTACAAATTATGCAATTGGAACTTAATTTAATGAGATGCTTCAGACTGACTGGACACCTACCCAGTAGTCTTTGTTGCCCTTCTTGCCACATGAGAAGTTTGTGGGGGAAGTTAGGGCATAGCACCAGTACAACCTGGTATGTATTTTAAATCATCTTAGTTTTTGTTTAGGGAAACCTGTGACGTTTGCGGTATTGTTTAAAAAGTATTTCTCAGTAAGAAGATATAAAGTTTCTGAAAGTATAAAATATATTATCTGAGCAGAATTTAAAAGTTAATGTGTATGAACTTATACGGTTACTATTTTTTCTTCTTTACTATCTTTGTGTTTATAGAGTAAAAGGTAGATAATAGTATATAACCCTGCTTCATTTGTACATGTTATATTCATTTCTTGCATTCTTGATTTGAAATCTGTACCACTCTATTCGCATGTCCTCTTCTATCACTGCCTTTTTTCCTATGCTTTAGTAATTTATTAATTATGGTATCAGAAACTAGGCTACCTGAGCAAAATGTATCCACTCGAAAGAGATTTCCTCATAACTATATAGAAATCATTCTTATATTCTTCAAAACATGATGTTGTGCAAATTTGATAGAAAAACAAATGTCAGTCTAGGCCAAGTTCTCAAAATTAAGTAATTTTTAATAAGCACAAAGACAACAGTATTAGTTGTTGGCATTTTCATGGTTTACTTTTTCTTCATTGATCTAAGTTGAGATTTTGTTTTTCATTTTGTGAAATATCTAGAAACATTTTAGTTGTTTTTAGAAGATTAATAAATGAAAATAAAATAGTTCTGTGAATGTATATATTCTGATATTTAATATTGTCATTGTATTAATATATTTTTTATTTACAATATAATTTGTCTTGAGTGATTTTGGAACTTGAGCTTTTTCCTTCTTGAATCTGATTGTTTTTAAGGAGCTTATGCTCTGTTACATAGTCTTAAGTGTTATTTTCAGGAAAATTGCTTTTAAGAAGAAAAAAATATATAACTTTTTTGTTTATTTTTCTTCCATAGCCTTTGTTTAGTACCAGTCACTCTTTTACTTTCCAATTGTTCTAAGGCTGATGTAGATGTCATAGTTGATCTTCGGCATAAAACAACAAGGTAAAGATTTGTTTAGTGCAAGGTTATTTGATTTGGGAGCAATTTAATATTTTGAAATTATGCAAATAATTACCTAACATGGATAAGAAAGTTACTCAAGCTTGTCCTGGTTTTTTGTTTGGTAATATAGAAGGCTTACAGATGTGTTACAGAGGCTTTAAATATTAAAGATTTTTTTTTCTTGATTATAAAATAGTACTTAACAACAAAAAAAAATCCAGATCCACAGTCCCACATCAGATACTCCTAGAGCCAAATGCTTTTGGGAATTCAGAAATTTTTGAATTTTTGGAAAAATACTATAAAGCGTATACTTAATATTTTTGTATAACACCCCAAACAGGATCTGGGACAGTTCTCTGAAATCCAAACACACACCTATATATGTGATTTTGTGTATCATAAATTTATTAATACTTTATTGGGTACTGGGTTTTCCATTTTTCAATATTATAAACAGTTTCAATATTAAAAGCATTCATGTACAGACACTTATATATGGCTAACTAAGGAGTTAAAAGTTTAGGTTTGAAATCAAGTTCCAACATATACTAACTCTTAGGGCATTAAATGAAATAATCCACTTTTAGCATTGTGCCTAGAGAATAGAAACTATTAAATAATAAATGTTAGCTGTTATAGTAATGATGTTGCTATTATTAATAAACAGTTGGCTTCATAAAATAATTTTTAGAAATAGAATTGTTAGATGAAAGGGATGTTTGTTTTCTTCTTGAGATGGAGTCTTGCTCTCTCATGGGCTGGAGTGCAGTGGTGCAATCTCAGCTCACTGCAACCTCCGCCTCCCAGGTTCAAGTGACTCTCCTGCCTCAGCCTCCTGAGTAGCTGGGATTACAGGCGTGCACCACCATACCTGGCTAATTTTGTATTTTTAGTAGAGACGGGGCTTCATTATGTTGGTAGGCTGGTCTTGAACTCCTGATCTCAGGTGATCCACCTGCCTCAGCCTCCCAAAGTGCTGGGATTACAGGCGTGAGCCACCGCGCCCAGCTGAAAGGGATATGTTAATGTGACTTTGGGAAAAAAATTAAAAAGAAAAAAATCCTGCAACTTACATTTTCCTCCTCCCTTAGTCCAGAAGCACTGGAAATCCATGGATCATTCACATGGCTTGGACAAACACAGTATAAACTTCAACTTAAAAGCCAGGAGATTCACAGTCTGCAGCTGAAAGCATGCTTTGTTCATACAGGTGTTTATAACCTTGGAACTCCTAGGGTATTTGCCAAGTTATCGGACCAAGTTACAGTGTTTGAAACAAGTCAGCAGAATTCCATGCCTGCCCTGATCATCATCAGTAATGTGTGACAACTTGGAAATTTGTACTGAAATCCACAATAATCAGTTTTTGCTGGATGGGTTTTACAGCAGTATTTGATATACCTAACTTGTTATGGAGGTTGATTGATATCTGATCCCTGCAAAATACTTTGACTTGTCATTTTGTTGATGATGCAAAGCACGTTGGACTGAGAATACTTAACATTCTTTTTCTGTATTTCTTTAAACCCTGAGAATAATTTACATGCTCATAATACAGGATATCAGCATATTTGTGCACCTTATTAAGCCCCATCTTAAGAAAACACAAAGTCTAAGTCTGCTGTTACAACTTGTCAATGGTATACGAATATTAGGAGATGATTCTGAGAAAGGAAAGGCCTTGTTGGCAGTACTCCTGTTAAGCCATTAGTCTCTAAATTCCAGCTTTACTGTGAAGTTCTATAGAGTGTTAAATACAAATTTTCCTGTCTTGCTTCACACAGTTCCTTAAAATCAGTTTTGAACTTTGGTCATAGAGTCTTCATATTTCAGTATTTGGTGGTCCCTATGACTTATACATAACTTTGTAAAAAGAAAAAAAAATTTTTTCTGATGCTTTGAATATAGTTTTGAAAGGAGTTTTGACTTTTTTCCCCTCATTCATCTCAGTATAGAGTGCGCTATTTCACAATACGATTTTTGTCATTAAAATTACCATATTCTTTATTATATAACGTTAACTATTGAGTTGATCTGTTTAAAATATAAATCTCAAGTTAATTAAAAATAAGCTTTTCAAAAATGTATTATATTTATAACAAATATACTGTAAATAGAATAAAGACATGCTATTCACTGTATAGCGTATTAGTATCTGTTGATTAGAAAGTCTGGTTTCAAAATATTTTTTTATTCAGAGAATGGGCATTTGGACATAAGAAATTTCAATTCAGCCCTGCTGCAGATAGAGAAATGGGAGCAAGGTTGTTTCAATGAATATCTCTTGTCATTGGAGAAGGAGGGAAGACAGGGTGTAGGAGTGGGTGGCAGGGAGTACAAGAGCCAGGGTCAGTCAAGTCTGGAGCAGATGGGGTCCTTGTGCCATTGACAGCTACCATGGTTTGTTCCAGTCTCAATCTCGGCACTAATCGGAGCAGACTGCACCAAAGTGGGGAGAGATCAAAAGACCCCGTTTTCAGACTGAAGATTCCAAACCTGTACTTGGAACAACTCTTCTTGAGAGATGGGTGGCTAGTCTGTGTGCCTCTCTGCAACTGCTGCTTATGCTTCTGGATCTTAAGTGGGTCTCTGGCTTTTCAGCTCCTTCCACTCTGTGTCTTAGCAGGTGTGGGACAAGTTGGAGAGGAAGGTCACATTCTAAGGACACTCATTTCCTTCTTGAGAGTTTAGGGCCATGGGCTTATAAAAAGTCTGAGGAGGAAAGACAAGAATGAGGAGGCATAATCACAGTGGTATCTCATATTTAAACCACTCAGCTGAATATTAAATTGAACCGATTGTTAAACAGACACTAATAAAAAAATTAAACTATATAAACCTACAACTGAATATATTAAAAATAAAGGTAATAAAGCACTCAAAATTACTTCCTGAATATTACTCAGGATTATTTATGTCTATTTTATCTGTATCCTGGAAATACTACACAATGGTGTGTTTCTGCTCATCTCTTGCCAACCCTACATTCAGTGACTTGCTGGTAGCTTGAAATCAATGATAGTAGAATGTTTACCTCAGGAAAACCAGCAAATGCTACACACCAGGGCTTGATTTATTTATTTTTGTTGTCTACGCTAGACCTAAGAAAGTGATGGAGAAAATGTTAGTGATGCATATTAAAAGTGTTGCATATTTGTAGCTGTAACGAGTAGCACAAATAGTTTAGGAAAATATTCCTGCAGTATCTGAAAAGTTTTACCCAGTTCAACAAAGAAGTTGCCCGTATCACTGATGAACTAGTGAAGATCCAACATGTGTTTTCTCACTTCCTCTTCCTCGTTAATGTAAACAGAAATATCAACCAGCATTCATACTAAAATTATTCTCGCTTATCAATTGCAACATAGGTTGGTTTTCTATACAAGAGCTCAGCAAAAATCAAAGAAACTACTCTGAGTGGCCGGGCGCGGTGGCTCACGCCTGTAATTCCAGCACTTTGGGAGGCCGAGGCGGGTGGATCACGAGGTCAGGAGATCGAGACCATCCTGGGTAACACGGTGAAACCCTGTCTCTACTAAAAATGCAAAAAATTAGCCGGACGCGGTGGCGGGCACCTGTAGTCCCAGCTACTCGGGGAGGCTGAGGCAGGAGAATGGCGTGAACCCGGGAGGCGGAGCTTGCAGTGAGCCGAGATAGCGCCACTGCACTCCAGCCTGGGCGAAAGAGCGAGACTCCGCCTCAAAAAAAAAAAAAACTTCTCTGAGAATCAATTGGCTTTTTGGAATTTACAATAAAGAGTATTGCATATTTTATTGTTACTTGTAAAGTGTGTGCTACACAAACTTTAGCAGTTTAAAAGATTTTTTCCCCTGGAGAATAATTTGATAAACATTCATCAGCATACCTCTGGGCGTAGACCATGAGAAATGTTCCGACATCTACATTGCAGCTGGTCAAGAACTAAGGTATCTTATGGAATCTTGCAGCTTTTAGAACCCAGTGGGGCAATGGTTCTCAAAATGTAGGAGGAGCATAATCATTAGGGAGTTAATAAAAATGTAATACCAGAGGTTCTACCTTCTGAACCCAATTTCGTTGGTCTGGTTTGGGGATGAAACTTTGTTTTTGTTGTTAATTTCCATTTGTTTTCATTTGTTGTTTTTAAATCTTGGGATTTTAACAAGCCCCGGTTCTGAAGAACGGATCTGCATAGTACACTTTGGGAAACATTGTCCCAGGAAGCCTGAGAAGCACTTTATAAGGTCGATTAAATTGTCAGGCACATCATGGAAATGTCAATCTTTAAAAGTTCTTGGTAGCTAGGCCAGTATTTTAAACACATGCCTCTAAGATACAGTGATTTGTTCAAAGACTACTTTTCTACTTCAAGGATATTGAAATGAAAATTGAGTTTCTAGTAGCGCATTTGTTCAGTTAGGTTAAACACTTGATAAGGCTGGGGTTGACAATCCCAGCCTGCCTATCAATTTTATTATTTCTTGGCTTTTGATCAGAACTATGAACTCTTACAAGCTTTTGGTGTTGGTTGGCCTATTTTGCCATTCACAATTACTAGGTTATTTTGGGCCGATACATGTAGTCTCTACTAGGTATAGGTAGATGAGAGTTATAGAGAGGATGACCACATAAGTTTTCATCCCAAAAGAGACATTTTGAGAGTGAAAGAGGGCACTATTAACAATTACAATTATGGGGACAATGGGATAAACTGGGTCTGTTCTGGGCACCAAGCTGTAGGGGCCAAGGGAAAGCTTCCCCTCTGCCTTCAAAAGGTTCACTGAAAATAAACTGACAGCAAGCTGATCATAGAAGAAGACATGTGAAACTTATTTAACCTGCTTAAGCACAGGGGAGTCACATGAGAACAATTTCCCAGTAACCCAGTGAGATCCAGATGCGTACTACTTCATAGAAGAAAGGGAGATGGAGGTGTGGCAATTTTGAGGAGTAGTAAATGATAATTAGTGGGAGTGAATGGACCTGGAGGCAGTAACTTGTAAATGACTCTCTGGAATTTCAATGAGCCCAAGAGGCAAACATTGTCAGGCCTCTGAGACCAAGCTAAGCCATCATATCCCCTGTGACCTGCACATATACATCCAGATGGCCTGAAGCAACTGAAGAATCACAAAAGAAGTGAAAATGGCTGGTTCCTGCCTTAACTGATGACGTTACCTTGTGAAAATCCTTCTGGCTCAGAAGCTCCCCCACTGAGCACCTTGTGACCCCTGCTCCTGCCTGCCAGAGAGCAACCCCTTTGACTCAACACCTTTGACTGTAATTTTCCAAATCCCGTAAAACTGCCCCCGCACCATCTCCCTTCGCTGACTCCTTTTTCGGACTCAGCCCGCCTGCACCCAGGTGAAATAAACAACCTTGTTGCTCACACAAAGCCTGTTTGGTGATCTCTTCACACGGACGCGTGTGACAAACATTATCTTGTGTAAAAGTCTTTCCAGGTGTGGTTTCATTCCTCAGTCTTTTCTGAGATAGAAAATGAGATTTCAGAGAGGGAAGAGGGGGCAGTCCCTCTGGTGAGTCCAGTCTTAAGGTAGATAAAGGACTATCAGAGAAAAACCTTATCCTGTGCTTTAGGAGAAATAGGGCTGGGGTAGAGTCAGTGTGGAGGTGGGAGGTAGAAAGACCTTGAGGCTGCTGCTTTAGTTCAGCATGTCAAAGGGCCATATTTCGGGGTATCATATTCCGAGCCTCATGTGGTAGGAGTTATTAATAAATTATTTCAGGCAGATAGGAAAAGGGGTCCTTGGAAAGTTGTTTCTTTTTTTATTATTATACTTTTAAGTTCTAAGGTACATGTGCACAACGTGCAGGTTTGTTACATAGGCATACATGTATCATGTTGGTTAACTGCACCCATCAACTCACCATTTACATTAGGTATTTCTCCTAATGCTATCCCTCCCCCAGCCACGAAAGTTGTTTCTTTTAAAGCAGCTAAGTTGTTTCTTTTAAAGTAGCTCCAGAAACCTTTCTCATCTAGCAGGAAAGCCCCAGGTCTTACAGCTGGGCTGCCAACCTTTGATATGCAAATACAGTCCATTAGAAACTGGATCCCCCCAAACATGGTGATTCCCACCGTTGTTCTCTTGCCCTTGCTCCCATGTGCCTGGCAATGTGGCCACCCCCACATATCCCCATGTGTGTAGAACATCACGGTGCCCTTCATTTGCATATTAAAAGGCTAGGGTGGGAGGGCCAGTTTTTGTGGGCTACATGAATGACATGCCTGGTCAAACCAATCCCTTGAGCCCTATGCAAATCAGACACTGCCTCCTTCAGCCTCCTCATATAACTGGCTGGTATCCACCGCACTTGGGGGTCTCCTCTCTCGGCTTTGGAGTCCCCCTCCCTCTGTCTCTATACGGGGGAGCTTCTTCCCTCTGTTTTCTCCCTTCTTTCTTGCTTATTAAAGTCTTCACTCCTTAAAAACCACTCCACGTGTGTCTGTCATTTCATCTAATTCGCGTGAGACAAGAGCCCTGGTGTTCCTCCACTCATCAGTGCTGTATCACTAACACTGGGATGTGTATTCACATCCACTACAGCTCTCCTCCTCTCAGGCTGTCTACCCACTAGTATGTTACAATGAGTTTGGCCACATATACAAATACTTCATATTAACAAGGCAATCATATGATTACTTAGATGCTTGGGGAAATTCCAATTCCCTACCTTTTGGCAGAAGGGGTCACTCAATTCGGATATGATGGACAACAAGGAATCAAGGGACAGAACCCTCTGATAGCTTAGTGACCAGAACCAGGACTGAATTTTAGCCTTGGGTGGAGCATGCCACTCCAATGGGTATGTTACAGGAAAAGGGTTCCGATCCAGACTCCAAGAGAGGATTCTTGGATCTCTCCCAAGAAAGAATTCAGGGCAAGTCCACAGTGCAAAGCAAAAGGGAGTTTGTTAGGAAAGTAAAGTGAAAGGACAGCTACTCCATACATAGAGTAGGACGTTCCCGAAAGTAAGAGGAGGAACACATCCATCCTAGGTACAATGCTTGTATATGTGGGGAGATGTGTTCTGCCACAAGGGTTTGTGTTAAAGAATTAATTTTCTTAATTACTATATTTTGCAAGAATCGTTATTATCATCTTTAAAGCAAAATTAGGAATGTCTTTGTTCTCCAGACATCAGGATATCGGGACATTCCCAAGTCTGGGTCTGTTTTAGTAAGCATTATTAATTTGTTCCCTTAACTGTAAATGTCTAGAGGCTAGGAATGCCTGTTTTTTCTGAGAATGCGGCCTAGCCAGTCTCAGCCTCATTTTCCTAAACCTCACTCAAAATGGAGTCTCTCTGGTTCAAGTTCCTCTGACAGGTATGGGCTACTGGCCTAACTAGATTTTTTTTTTTTTTTTTTTAAGACAGGGTCTCACTGTGTCGCCCAGAGTGGAGTGCAGTGCTGTGATCTTGCCTCAATGCAACCTTTGCCTCCTGGGCTCATGAGATCCTCCCACCTCAGCCTCCCAAGTAGCTGGGGCTACAGGTGCATACCACCACGCCTGGCTAATTTTTGCATTTTTAATAGAGACAGGATTTCACCATGTTGGCCATGTTGGTCTCAAACTCCTGGCCTCAATTGATCCACCTGCCTCAGCCTCCCTAAGTGCTGGAATTACAGGCATGAGCCACTGCACCCGGCCCCTAACTAGATTCTTAAGCCACTTCATCCAAGCATGTAGGAGTTTGTACAATATCTCTGGTCAAACACCTAGTTTGAACACCACTCATATCTCCTTAAAGTTATAAATCAAAAATAAAATTCTAAGCCCCCAACCGACTGAACAGACTTTTAGGCTTGGCCAAGGGGATCCCAGAAACTCCTGAAAAACTAAATTCCAGGCCATGACAGGAAGGGAAGTCAAACACACCTTGTTATACCTCCTCTCTTTTGGAGTTCAGACATAGCTGACCAGCATTAACATTAAATTAGAGAACACAAGACTGACAAAACAGCCTCTGGCAATACGGTACCAAATTGCAATCTGACTGGTATAGCATCCCATGACAGCAGACCATGAGGGAAATAAAAACATTTTACATCAAAATATATTTCTTTGACATATTTTTAAATGGCCCTGCAAAGGTGTCTTTTGTAGGGGAAGTTTGCATCCATAGAAAATCTTCATTATTACAGCCAGGCCTTTCTCAGATATAGGAGAGATTAACTAAGAGCCTGACACATTTTAAGGTCTGAAAAGAGACATTTATCATCTGTTCTGTCTGAAGTCGGCTGCCTGGAGGCTTCATCTACATAAAAGAACCTTGGCTTCCACAACCCTCCTTACCTTAACTATTTCTTCCTACTGACTTCAAATCTTTAGACAAAGCTTAACTCCTTCAACCAAATGCCAATCAGAAAATCTTTGAATCCACCTATAACCCGTGAGGCCCCCACTTCAAGATGTTCTGCCTTTCTGGGCTGAACCAATGTATATATAATTTATGTATTCCATGTATTGATTTATGTCTTTGCCTGTAACTTCTGTCTCCCCAAAATGTATAAAACCAAACTGTAACCCTACTGCCTCCGGCACCCTTTCTCAGGACCTCCCGAGACTATCCCTAGGGCCACAGTCACGCATATTAGCTGGAAATAAACAGCTTTAAATATTTTACAGAGTTTGCTTTTCTTTTTGTCAACAATGTTGATTAATAAACTCACTAGTGCTATTGAGACAGCTGATATTTGAAAGTCTTTTGGTAGCCACTTTAGAATATGGCCTGACCTGTGTTTTTCAAAGGCTAAATAACCACCCAGGGTTAGGTACCCTGGTTATATTTTTATTTTTCACTTTTTTCATGTCATTATTATCATCTTGTCTCTGTAATCTTATATATCTGCCTTGTACTCTTGTTATGTAAAGCGAAATGTTTCCTTAAGTGTTAGTTTTAAAATTTTTATGGGTATATCTTTGGTTACATATTTTGTCTGCTCCATAACATCATTCAGACAATTTTTCTTCTTCTTTCTTCCTTTTTTTCTTGTATTATTTTCTATACATACCTAGTCTGGTTTCTAAACTTATTTAAAAAAATATATTAAGACAGGGTCTTGTTATGTGGTAAGGCTGGTCTTCAACTCCTGGGCTCAAGTGATCCTCCCACTTTAGCCTCTCAAGTAGCTTAGGACTACAGGCATGCACCACCATGCCTGGTTAAACTCATTTTTAAAAGGAGTTTCTTGACCAACTATTTGCAAGATGGTACTGTAGTAATACTGTGTTCCAGTAATTTATCTTATGATCAAAACTTATATATACAACTAATTTTAGCCTTTGCTACTTTTCAGCCAACCAAGATTAGCAGATACAGAAATTGATGCTGAATATTTTACCTCCACCCTGCTTTATTGCAAGATTATTTTTTTCTTATAAAAATGAGTTGCCGGTAAAATTGTTCAGCCCTGTCTTCTCTGTTTTTCTCCATATTCCAGTTGAAAAAAGGGACACTCTCATCTTGGCTGTCACAACAGACACAGAAAAGGCACTTTGAAGATGATTTTCCATGATTATTAACTGAAGATTCTATGGAAGCATGGAAATAAAAGTGTGATGGGCACACTTCTGGTTTTCCTCTAACATTCCTGATACTCGTTTCAGTCTCCTTTTTTTTTTAAGATAGGGTTTTGCTCTGTTGCTGAGGCTGGAGTGCAGTGGCATGATCTTGGCTCACTGCAACCTCAACCTCCCGGGCTCAAGCAATCCTCCCACCTCAGCTTCCAGAGTAGCTGGGACTACAGGTGAAATGGCCTCATTGCCTGGGTGGCACCCAAAGTTCTTGATCTCATGGCTGAGGAAATCAAGGACATGGACAAACCAAGGGTGAGGTTAGAGCAGAAGTTTAATATGCGAAAGAAAGAGAACAGCTCTCTGCTGCAGAGAGGTGTCCCAAAAAGTGTTGCCCCTTCTACAGTTGAATTATAAGAAACTGTTGAGGGCTGGGCATCTCATTTGCATAAAGCATGAATGTCTGGTAGCTCCACCCCAACCTTTTATTATGTAGGCGGGTCCTTGGCCTGAGCTACTCCATGTTGCTTATCTCTTTCCTACTGTGCATGTGCTTAAAAAAAGGGGAAGGTGAAGCCCCCGTGGTTGACGTGCCTGGCACCAGGTAACCCTTCCTATCGGTGCAGCTGCAGGCATATTCCATGCAAACTTCCAGCTTCCTTATCTGAGTATGTCCAAAACAGGAAAGGAATGTGCTTACTGGGACCCACCGTATGTAAGTGAAGCTTACTGATTACCCAGGAAGCTCCCCTTCTTTGCCGGAGCTGCTTCCTTATCTTTGTTTGCAGCCTGATCTTCCAGGCTGCTCTTTGTTAGAAGAGAAGTGATTTCTTGCGCTGCTTTTTGTTAGAAGGGAAGTTCTGCCAAGGACTCTTTGCCCTAACCATCTGCCTAACTAGTTTCTTTTTATCTCCTCTCTCACAGGCATGTGCCACCACGTCAGCTAAGTTTTGCATTTTTGGTGGAGATGGGGTTTCACCATTTGGGCCAGGCATGGGCCTACATGGGATTACAGGCATGAGCCATCGTGCCCTACCTCAGTCTCCTTTGTAAACTCACTTTGCTTTACTCAACCCTCAACAGTTAGGCCTAATTATTTGTTAAAAGGTGAACTAGCTGCTTTTGGCACGGTATGAAATTTCTATTAAAAGGAGGGCTAGTTTCTACTCCTACTCTTTTTTAATTTCCATATTTTGTGGAATCCTGCATTAATAATCACGGAAAATCATTTTAGAAGTGCATTTTCTTCTGAATATTCGAGGTGCATAATTAAGCATTTAAAAATTGACCATGCTCAAAAACTAAATGAATGAATAAAGAAGACAACAGGCCAGGCATGGTGGCTCATGCCTGTAATCCCAGTGCTTTGGGAGGCCGAGGCAGGCGGATCACCTAAGTTCAGGAGTTTGAGACCAGCCTGGCCAACATGGTGAAACCCCGTCTCTACAAAAAATACAAAAATTAGCTGGGCCTGGTGGCATGTGCCTGTAATCCCAGCTACCCAGGAGACTGAGGCAGCAGAATCACTGGAACCCGGGAGGCAGAGGCTGCAGTGAGCTGAGATCACGCCACTGCATTCCAGCCTGGGCAACAGGGCAAGACTGTCTCAAAAAAAAAAAAAAAAAAAAAAAGCAGAAGATAACAAAGAAAGAGCAGTGTAACAGAAAAAAAAAATTCCAGAATAACAAGATTAAATGAATTTTTTTTCCCCCTTTTTTTTGTTTCAAGCAGAGTTTCACTCTCGTTGCCTAGGCTGGAGTGCAGTGGTACAATCTGGGCTCACTGCAACTTCTGCCTCCAGGGTTCAAGTGATTCTCCTGCCTCAGCCTCCCAAGTAGCTGGGATTACAAGTGTGCGCCATCACGCCAGGTTAATTTTTGTGTTTTTAGTAGAGACAGGGTTTCACCATGTTGGCCAGGCTGGTCTCGAACTCCTGGCCTCAGGTGATCCACCTGCCTCAGCCTCCCAAAGTGCTGGGATTACAGGCGCAAGCCACTGCGCCCGGCTGAAAATGGATTTTTAAAATATTGTTATTTAATAACCAGCTGAAAATGGATTTTTAAAATATTGTTATTTAATAAATGAAAGCTAAGCATAGTGCTATTCTTTAGAAAGCAATTCTTCTACTGTGAAAAACAGAATTGTTGACTCCAAGAAAACACAATATTATAAAGTAATATTTCCCAAAATACGTTTCATTGAATACGATATTAATAGGTCTTAGGTGAAAAAAAGAATTCCCAGAGTAAACTAAGTAAATAAATATAGAATTAAAATTAAAGAGGTTTCTTTACTGCTTAATATGTTAATGGAGGATTTCCCAAACATATTCAACTAGGGAATAGCCTTTCCTAGCCAAAGCATCTTTCAGAACTAGTGATATGTCCCATGATTAGAGGTTAGTGAACTTTTTTTGTAAAATGACAGATAATACATATTTTAGGCCTTGCAGGTCATAGAGTCTTTGTTGCAACTACTCAGCTCTTTTGTTTCAGCACAAAAACCACCAGACACAAATAAATGGGTACGGCTATTTTTCTAAATAAACACCTGTTTTGTAAATAGAGTTTTATTAGCATTAACACTGAGTAACATTGTCAGTGTATCTTGGGAACATGGACAAGACCAAAAAATAGAGGAAGAGAAAGGAGAGAGGAGAGAGTATAGTGACAGAGCATTCCTTTTTATGGAAAGTTTCACTAAAACCTACCAAGTGATAACTGAAACCAACTATATCCACTAGAGGGCACTAGGAGTGCAAGTTTGCATCAATGTTGTCCATACCCTTTGCCTTTAAAATGTTGAAATTAGCATTATATGAGGTAACACATAGCAGAGTTTGGAGGAGTTCACAAAGAAAAAATGTGGCCCGAGGAGGTGGCCAGATGACTGAAACTTATATACCATTTTAGGCTAAACAAAAGAAAGGGGGATTTGGGCTGGAGTTAGGGGCAAGTTCTGGGAAGGAGAGTGAAGGAAATGCATGGTAACTAAAAGTTGTTTTGTCATGCTGAGAAGAGCCTCTCAGGTGGTGTATTAGTTTGTTCTCACGCTGCTAATAAAGACATACCTGAGACTGGGTAATTAATAAAGGAAAAAGGTCTAATTGACTCACAGTTCAGCGTGGCTGGGGAGGCCTCAGGAAACTCACAATCATGGTGGTAGGGGAAGCAAACACGTCGTTCTTCACATGGCGGCAGCAGGAGAAGTGCTGAGCAAACGGGGGCAAAGCCCCTTATACAACCATCAGGTCTCCCGTGAACTCACTCACTCTCACGAGAACAGCATGAGAGGAACCACCCCCATGATTAGATTGCCTCCCACCTCGTCCGTTCCATGACACACAGGGATTATGGGAACTACAATTCAAGATGAGATTTGTGTGGGGACACAGCCAAACCATATCAGGTGGTAAGAGTTGTCTCCAGGAGCCTCTCTTCTTGGTATGGAGACATCTTTACAATGGAAATTTCCTTTGTAAATATAAATATCCTTTATAAAAGGAAAATTTTATACTTTCCTTTTAGATAGGGGGAAGTAAAAAGCTTTTCCTGCATCTCCTGGTTCTCAGTTGCCTATAACTCAAAATAATTCTTGTCAAAGTGGTATATTTTTTGTGGGGCATATTCTGGTACCTTTAAATTTCAAAATCGATATCAAGATTGATGTATCAAGTTTATAGAAAGTATTTGAATATTTTAAGAATTTAAAGGTAGGTTGTAATATTTTCTAAACAATAATACGTTTTTGGATGTATGAGTTTACTTGCGAATAACAGGCTATAATATAGTTTGGCTGTGTCCCCACCTAAAATCTTATCTTGAATTGTAATCCCCATAATCCCCATGTGTCAAGGGAGAGACCAGGTGGAGGTAATTGAATCACAGGGGCAGTTTCCCCCATGCTGTTCTTGTGATAGTGAGTGAGTTCCCATAAGATCTGATGGTTTTATAAGTGTTCGGTAGTTCCTCCTGCGTTCATTCTCCCTCCTGTTGCCTTGTGAAGAAGGTGCCTTGCTTCCCCTTCACCTTCCACCACGACTGTAAGTTTCCTGAGGCCTCACCAGTCGTGCAGAACTGTGAGTCAATTAAACCTCTTTCCTTTATAATTTACCCAGTCTCGGGGATTTCTTTACAGCAGTGTGAAAACAGACTAATACAGGCTGTCATCTCTGCAAACAAGATTGCCTTGGAACAGCTAGTATTGAAAGGTTCCTAAATCACACTACCCAGCTTTCAATCCATGGCTTTCCTCCTTACCAAATATAAGACTTTGGGGCAGTAACTTAACCAGCCATCTGAGTTTTTTCATCTGTATAGTGTAGCAACAATAATTCCTATTTCAATGGGTCGTTTTGACGATCGGCTGACCTAATTCCATACATTTCTTAGCTCAGTGACTGACAGTAATAAGTTCTCAAAAAATGTATCATTTTAAAACATGATTTACTTAAATTCCATTTGAACTTCGTAAGTCCCTCTGTAAGTCCCTCTAATAGATGTGATTTCAAATGGCTGTATGAAACCTAAATAATTCAAACTTAATTATAATTTTTAGAAGCCTAAAAATTATGTTGAGCCTTAAAGGAAATGTGACTGTGTGGTCTGAGCACATGCATGTGGCTGCAATTTCTGCTTCTCAGGTTATAGATTCATTCTTTCTCGTTGTTCTTGTTCTGCAAATCAATTAGGAAAGACTAAATGGTGCCAGACATAAGACCTCCCCCTCCTGATGATGGCTAGCCTTTCCTCCTTTATTATCTTGCATCTAACTCAGATCAGATGGTGCGGAAGACTCCATGATTGTTATATCCTCAATGTGGAATGTTAAATATACCTTTCCCAAAAAGAACACCACCTCAATTAATCAGATTACTGTAACTGTGTGCTAGCCTTGTGTGGAAAATGTTGAAACATTGTTAAGCTTCCCAAACCTTATTTATATAAATGACCCCCAAAACTTCTCCACTTTGGAGCACTGGCTTCCATTCTTTGGAATCTGTGTTCCTGGATGCCTATCCTTAAAATTTGTGCTTGACTAAATGCTATATTTAACCATATTTCTTGAATCTCTTTAAGGTCGACACTCTATAGCAACCACCGCACTATTTTAAGTTACCAATTCTGTTCAAGATTCTAGGCTTTATTTTGATTGTAAACTTGGGGCTTGGCACATCAACTGTGAGATTTGTTTCTTTCATATCATTCCTTAATACTTAGAACAATGCAGGACACATACTAGAAATTCTTGTTGAATTGAATAGAAGAAATGAACTGATGAATGAGATATTGGGTACCATAACTCTTTTGACCAATGCCCTCTGATCACTTTAAATCTCAAGAAGAGCCTCAATTTCAATAATTAAAATTTCCAAGAACTTTAATAACCAGCATTCTGAATTTCATAAAGTTAACATTGGCTTCTCTCCTGGGAAGCTTTCAGTTTGGGAGGAAGATGGCCAACTTCTCCATTTTTCTACTGTGTGCTTCTCCTTCCTGTGTTAATATACTTGGCTGACTCTGAATCTTCCAGAATTTGGTAAAAGTACCTAAGTAGGAGTAGCAAGGGTGTAGGAACGCCTTACCTCACCGGTACTGTGATAACCTGGCATTGATGGTCTCTGGGCACCAGGGAATGTTTTGTGGGTTCTTGAGAGATCTCCCATTACTGGGAATCTTCCACAAGGTGGAAGCCATGTGTCGATGATAGAGCAACAATTTAGTAGAAGCCCATCGTCCCGATGATTGTGGAGTCTACATAGTTGCCTGGGACTGTCTATCTGGACTTTTGTGCAAAAGAAGTAAAGTTTAATTTTATTAAACCTATTGATTTTTTTTGCTGAACATACCCTAACTAATAAAACTATGTTGCCATTGCCAGTAAGGTGTGTTGTCCCCTCTGAGTGTTTAAGATCCTAGCAGGAAGCCATGTTGTTCATCATGTTATACCTATGGATTTTGTGCAGTGCCTGGGCATAGACTATATGTTCAAAAATATTTGTTTGATGAATAGATCAACCTGATATTTTTATAGGGGCAGGCTGGTTTGATGTGCCACATTTTATTATTGAAACCCAATTTTTAATACAGCAGTTAATTTGGCTGAGTTTAGTATTGTTATTGTTGACCACTTATCCCCTCAATTCTCGTCTCTCGGAGTCATTTTTTTTTTTAATACTTTAAGTTCTGGGTACATGTGCAGAACGTGCAGGTTTGTTACATAGGTATACATGTGCCATGGTGGTTTGCTGCACCCATCAACTCCTCATCTACATTAGGTATTTCTCCTAATGCTATCCCTTCCCTTGCCCCCAACCTTGCCCTGGGGGAACGCCCCAGTGTGTGACGTTCCCCTCCCTGTGTCCGTGTGTTCTCATTGTTCAACTCCCACTTATGAGTGAGAACATGCAGTGTTTGGTTTTCTGTTCCTGTGTTAGTTTGCTGAGAATGATGGTTTCCAGCTTCATCTGTATCCCTGCAAAGGACATGAACTCATTCTTTTTTATGGCTGTATAGTATTCCATGGTGTATATGTGCCACATTTTCTTTATCCAGTCTATCGTTGATGGGCATTTGTCCCAGAATCTTTTTTTTTTTTTTTTTTTGAGACAGAGTCTCACTCTGTCACCCTGGCTGGAGTGCAGTGGTGTGATCTCAGCTCACTGCAACCTCCCTTTCCTGGGTTCAAGCGATTCTCCTGCCTCAGCCTCCCGAGTAGCTGGGACTAGAGGTGTGCGTCACCACACCTGGCTAATTTTTGTATTTTTAGTAGAGTTGGGGTTTCACCATGTTGTTCAGGCTGGTCTCTAACTCCTGACCTGGTGATCTGCCCGCCTTGGCCTCCCAAAGTGCTGGGATTACAAGAGTGAGCCATCACACCCCGCCCAGATGATGTTTTAGAAGTCTAGTCTTTGGGCTGGGCGCGGTGGCTCACGCCTGTAATCCCAGCACTTTGAGAGGCCGAGGTGGGTGGATCACAAGGTCAGGAGATCGAGACCATCCTGGCTAACACAGTGAAACCCCATCTCTACTAAAAATACAAAAAATTAGCCAGGCTTGGTGGTGCATGCCTGTAGTCCTAGCTACTCAGGATGCTGAGGCAGAAGAATCGCTTGAACGCGGGAGGCAGAGATTGCAGTGAGCCGACATCGCGCCACTGCACTCCAGCCTGGGCAACAGAGTGAGACTTCATCTCAAAAAAAAAAAAAAAAAAAAAGAAGAAGTCTAGTCTTTGACCAGGTTCCCCTCATCATCCACCAGGATACTCACAGCCGTCCTGGTTGTTCTTGTCTGGGCAGCGGCTGTGCTGGCTTCCAGGGTCACCTCTGGCCACTGGCAGGTAACAGGCTTCTCTTTGGCCACAGCTTTTTTCATGCTGCTTTGTCCTGACTGTGGCCAATCTAAGCCCTTCCTTAAGGCCCCAAATCACAGCTAATACTATAAGCTGCAGCACTGAATAATAATTAAGCAAAGACTTGGGGTTAACAAGGACACCAACTACAGTCTGTTTTCTAAATGAGTGAAATTGCCCAAATAGCAAAATTTCCACATTGAAACAAAAGTTTAAATTTCAGTCTTCATTGTTCCATTTGTCTCAATGGGCTTTCACTGGCTGATTATGGGGCAACATAGATTCAAACTTTGGTTTCTAAAATATTTATAGAATATCTATTATAGAGGGCTGCAAGCAAACCTGCCTGACCTTCACTGTAGGGGGATATATTAGCTTTGTTATACTGGACAGGAAGCAACCAACTGTCAGTTTTAGAGAGAGACAGATCTCAACCTTCCAAGGCTGACACAAACATCCAGGAAAAGGTAGTCTGAAACAAAATGGAAGTTAATGCTTTGGCTCACAAGAGATGCAGAAACGCAAGAGCTTCATGAAGAATTATGTCCCAACAGAAAGCAGCCATTATATCCCTTGAAAATACCTTTGCACATCTGAGAAGCTTTTTTTTTGAGTAATGTTAAGAGTAACAAAACAATTTCAGAATGCAACCCACTTGGAAAATTATCCTTAGAGTAAAATCTTAAAGGAAAAAAAGTGTCATATCAAGAAATTGTTAAGATTGCTAGCCAAGAGCCAAGGAGTAAGGATAGCCTCAGAAACCATTTTTACATACATCCTCTAGTGTAACATCATAAACAGAAAGTCTGTGCTAGACATTTATTTCTTGGTATTACACCACAACCGTCTGATGATAAGCAGAAATTATTTGCAGATCAAGACAATTGTTCTGCAGTCTGGATGTCCTCAGATGACTGATAAAGCAATTCTAGGGTTCCCAATATTCACACAAACTTTTCTCTTTGAGGAGGCTGATACCTGGTTCACAGCTTATTTCCTTTTTATTATTCACCATTTTGGCTTTGCAGGCATTCAAGACGTTCTATATTTAGTGTAACCGTTCCCCCTTATGAGATGGTGTGATATTATAAAGGATTTTTAACTCTTTGCAGGAAAATCAGTTTTACCGTTAGTCCCTTATTTATGACAGGGATATCACAACTCTCATATTTTGTAGTATTTTTAATTATTTCTTTTATTTTTTTCTGGGATGGAATGGTATGATAGGAAACATACCATTTTAAAAAGAAAGAAAAGCTGATCTTAATTGAAAAAATTAAACTCTGATTTATATTAACTTCTAAGTGATTGTAGGGTTGGGATTTAAAATTACATGTTCTCCATTTGTGCATTAGAAAATGTCATGTGTGTGTGATACTTCCTAGTTTATAATATTAAAATACACATATGTGTATATTTAGTTAGTGATCCATAAAAAGAGCTACTTTGAAAATTAAAATTATTTGTAATGATCAAAACAATGTCCCACTAATAAAATTTTATACAAAGGAAGCTCTCAATTTGTTAATTTAAATTAAGTTCACATTTTCACCTGTTAAATTTTCTTTTTTTAATTTTAATTTTTTGTTTATTTATTTATTTTTATTATACTTTAAGTTCTAGGGCACATGTGCACAATGTGCAGATTTGCTACATATGTATATACATGTGCCATGTTGGTGTGCTGCACCCATTAACTCGTCATTTACATTAGGTATATCTCCTAATGCTATCCCTCCCCCCTCCCCGCAACCCATGACAGGCCCCGGTGTGTGACGTTCCCCTTGCTGTGTCCAAGTGTTCTCATTGTTCAGTTCCCACCTATGAGTAAGAACATGCAGTGTTTGGTTTTTTGTCCTTCCTATAGTTTCCTGAGAATGATGCTTTCCGGCTTCATCCATATCCTTACAAAGGACATGAACTCATCCTTTTTTAATGGCTGCATAGTATTCCATGGTGTATATGTGCCACATCTTCTTAATCCAGTCTATCATTGATGGACATTTGGGTTGGTTCCTAGTCTTTGCTATTGTGGATAGTGCTGCAATAAACATACATGTGCATGTGTCTTTATAGCAGCATGATTTATATCCTTTGGGTATATACCCAGTAATGGGATGGCTGGGTCAAATGGTATTTCTAGTTCTAGATCCCTGAGGAATTGCCACACTGTCTTCCACAATGGTTGAACTAGTTTACACTCCCACCAACAGTGTAAAAGTGTTCCTATTTCTCCACATCCTCTCCAGCACCTGTTGTTTCCTGACTTTTTAATGATGGCCATTCTAACTGGTGTGAGATGGTATCTCATTGTGGTTTTGATTTGCATTTCTCTGATGGCCAGTGATGATGAGCATTTTTTCATGTGTCTGTTGGCTGCATAAATGTCTTCTTTTGAGAAGTATATGTTCATATCCTTCGCCCACTTTTTGATGGGGTTGTTTGATTTTTTCTTGTAAATTTGTTTAAGTTCTTTGTAGATTCTGGATATTAGCCCTTTGTCAGATGAGTAGATTGCAAAAATTTTCTCCCATTCTGTAGGTTGCCTGTTCACTCTGATGGTAGTTTCTTTTGCTGTGCGGAAGCTCTTTAGTTTAATTAGATCCCCATTTGTGTATTTTGGCTTTCGTTGCCATTGCTTTTGGTGTTTTAGTCATGAAGTCCTTGTCCATGCCTATGTCCTGAATGGTAATGCCTAGGTTTTCTTCTAGGGTTTTTATGGTTTTAGGTCTAAATTTAAGTCTTTAATCCATCTTGAGTTAATTTTTGTATAAGGTGTAAGGAAGGGATCCAGTTTCAGCTTTCTACATATGGCTAGCCAGTTTCCCCAGTACCATTTATTAAATAGGGAATCCTTTCCCCATTTCTTGTTTTTGTCAGGTTTGTCAAAGATCAGATGGTTGTAGATGTGTGGTACTATTTCTGAGGGCTCTGTTCTGTCACCTGTTAAATTTTCTTATAGTAGCTTTTATACTGTTGCCATTTTGAATGTTAAGAGATTAGCCTGCTTATGTAAATTTAATGTTAAATTTTTTCAAAAGAGAGAGCCCAGGTGTTGCCAGACTAAGCCTGGCTGTCACTCCCAGGAGTCTTCATAAATGGTATTTACCTGGGCTGGTTCGTTGCTTTCAAGGAACTGTTCTAAAGCGTTTAATTCTCAGAAATAAATCTCTTCCTAGTTTTCTGTCAAAGCCAGAGATTTATTACTTGTATAGAGTAAGGTGAGCACACACATGCGCGCACACACACACACACACCAGCACAGTGTTGCTTTTGTAAGTTAATAGATGTCATACATTATCTGTTCACCTCAGTTAGTGTAATGACTGAAATCATGCTTCAGAAGCCTTTGCTATGGCCCTTGAAAGGGCACGCTCCTCTAAAAATCCTTTCTTCTTTTTCAAGAAGTAAAACCAGTGAGTGAATTAGGTCTTTTAGGGTATCTCAGGTGATGGGAGTTTATCATAGGAAACCAAAGGAAAGTCAAGAAGCAGAAGAAACCATCCCAGTTACTGAGCTTTCAATACTGTGGACCTAGCACGCCATTTTGCATCCGGGTATCACATCGGCAGCTCGTCTGTCTACTGCTCCACCATCGCTTCGGGTTCTAATGGTACTTCCATTTTAGTGCTGTTTCTGCTGCCAATCCCTCTAATGAATCTAGGTAATACTGCCTTTGCTTAAATTTCTATCTTTCCCGTGGTCTCTACCTATGAGTTTACAGTTGTGAAGGGGTGGCCTGCCCCTCCACACCTGTGGGTGTTTCTCGTTGGGTGGGACGAGAGACTGAGAAAAGAAAGAGACACAGAGACAAAGTATAGAGAAAGAAAAGTGGGCCCAGGGGACTGGCGCTGAGCATACGGAGGACCCGCGCCGGAGGACCCGCGCCGGCACCGGTCTCTGAGTTCCCTCAGTATTCATTGATCATTATCTCTACCATCTCGGAGAGGGGGATGTGGCAGGACAATAGAGTAATAGTGGGGAGAGGGTCAGCAGGAAAACATGTGAACAAATGTCTCTGTGTCATAAACAAGATTAGAAAATGTGCTGTGCTTTGATGTGCACATACATAAACATATCTTGTGCATTAAAGAGCAGTAGTGCCACCAGCATGTCTCACCTCCAGCCTTAAGGCGGTTTTCTCCTATCTCAGTAGATGGAACATACAATCGGTTTTTACACAGAGACATTCCATTGCCCAGGGGCAAGCAGGAGACAGATGCCTTCCTCTTACCTCAACTGCAAAGAGGCCTTCCTCTTTTAATAATCCTCCTCAGCACAGACCCTTTACGGGTGTCGGGCTGGGGGACTTTCAGGTCTTTGCCTTCCCACAAGGCCATATTTCAGACTATCCCATGGAGAGAAACCTTGGACAATACCTGGCTTTCCTAGGCAGAGGTCCCTGTGACCTTCCGCAGTGTTTTGTGTCCCTGGGTACTTGAGATTAGGGAGTGGTAATGACTTTTAACAAGCATGCTGCCTTCAAGCATTTGTTTAACAAAGCACATCCTGCATAGCCCTAAATCCATTAAACCTTGAGTCCACACAGCACATGTTTCTGCGAGTACAGGGTTGGGGGTAGGGTTACAGATTAACAGCATCTCAAGGCAGAAGAATTTTTCTTAGTACAGAACAAAATGGAGTCTCTTATGTCTACTTCTTTCTACATAGACACAGTAACAGTCTGATCTCTCTTTCTTTTCCCCACACAGTTGTCTCTCTGAGAGTCTCTCAGGTTTTGCTGCTCAGAATTGTTTTCTTTTCTTTTTTTTTTTCTTGTTTTGTTTTGTTTTGTTTTGTTTTTGAGACAGAATCTTGCTCTGTTGCCAGGCTGGAGTGCAGTGGCACGATCTTGTCTCACTGCAACCTCTGCCTCCCGGGTTCAAGCGATTCTTCTGCCTCAGTCTCCTGAGTAGTTGGGATTACAGGCACCTGCCGCCACACTTGGCTGATTTTTGTATTTTTAGTAGAGACAGGGTTTCACCATGTTGGCCAGGCTGGTCTCGAACTCTTGACTTCAGGTGATCCACCCGCCTTGGCCTCCCAAAGTACTGGGATTATAGGCATGAGCCACCGCGCCGGGCCAGGACTCTGTTTTTTATCCATGTATGTCACCTTTGGACACCCCAAGGGGAAAATCTGATGGGGGGTTTTCATGCACATCCATGCGAAGAGACCACCAAACAGGCTTTGTGTGAGCAACATGGCTGTTTATTTCACCTGGGTGCAGGTGGGCTGATTCCGAAAAGAGTCAGTGAAGGGAGATAGGGGTGGGGCTGTTTTATAGGATTTGGGTAGGTAAAGGAAAAAGGGGGGTTGTTCTCTGGTGGGCAGGAGTGGGGGGTCACAAGGTACTCAGTGGGGGAGCTTTTGAGACAGGATGAGCCAGGAGAAGGAATTTCACAAGACAATGTCATCAGTTAAGGCAGGAACAGGCCATTTTCACTTCTTTTGTGGTGGAATGTCATCAGTTAAGGCAGGAACCGACCATCTGGATGTGTATGTGCAGGTCACAGAGGATATGATGGCTTAGCTTGGGCTCAGAGGCCTGACATTCCTGTCTTCTTATATTAATAAGAAAAATAAAATGAAATAGTGGTAAAGTGTTGGGACGGTGAAAATTTTGGGGGGTGGTATGGAGAGATAATGGGCAATGTTTCTCAGGGCTGCTTCGAGCGGGATTAGGGGCGGCGTGGGAACCTAGAGTGGGAGAGATTAAACTGAAGGAAGATTTTGTGGTAAGCGGTGATATTGTGGAGTTGTTAGAAGGAACATTTGTCATTTAGAATTATTTGTGATGGCCTGGATACAGTTTTGTATGAATTGAAAAACTAAATGGAATAAGAGAAGGAGAAAAACAGCTATAAAAGCTCTAAGAATTGGGATGACTCAGGACATCTGATTAGAGAGTGCCTGAGGAGATTCAGCGTAGTCCTGCCAGCAAAGATTATTTATTTACTTCAAGAGTTAAGAGTGGCAGTTTGGGGATAGCACGAGGAGATATCAGCTGTGATGGCTTGGAGAAACAGTGTAAACCGGCAGTGTAAACAAGAGCAGGGCATGTATGAGTAGTTGAGAACGGTGAATAGGAGTATGACTAGACAGAAGATAGTAGGGATAACAGGTTTTTTGGGGGCACAGTCTAAGTTGGTCTGGTGTCTGGAATGAGACTGGGGCCTAATAAAAAGGAGCGTCTATACAGGAGCTTAAATGGGCTGTACCTTGTAGCATTCTGAGGACAGGTCTGACTTCTGAAAAGGGAAAGTGGTAAAAGTATTGTCCAGTCCTTTTTAAGTTGGTGGCTGAGCTTGGTGAGGTGTGTCTTTAAAAGACCATTAGTCCGTTCTACCTTTCCTGAAGACTCAGGACTGTAAGGGATATAAAGGTTTCACTGAATACCAAGAGCCTGAGAAACTGCTTGGGTGATTTGAGTAGTAAAGGCTGGTCCGTTATCAGACTGTATAGAGGTGGGAAGGCCAAACCAAGGAATTATATCTGACAGAAGGGAAGAAATGACCTCGGTGGCCTTCTCCGACCCTGTGGGAAAGGCCTCTACCTATCCAGTGAAAGTGTCTACCCAGACCAGAGGTATTTTAGTTTTCTGACTCAAGGCATGTGAGTAAAGTCAATTAGCCAGTCCTGGGCAGGGGCAAATCCCAGAGCTTGATGTGTAGGAAAGGGAGGGGGCCTGAACAACCCCTGAGGGGTGGTAGAATAGCAGATGGAACACTGAGAAGTGATCTCCTTGAGGATAGATTTCCATGATGGAAAGGAAATGAGAAGTTCTAAGAGACGAGCTAGTGGCTTATAACCTAAATGGAAGAGGTTATGAAATGACAACAGAATAGAATGGGCCTGTGAGGCTGGAAGGAGATATTTTCCTTGGTCTAAGAACCATTTGCCTTGTGTGGGAAGAGATTGATAGGTAGAAGTTTCAGCAGGGGAGTAGGTGGGAGTGACCGATGTGAAGGAGAAAAACTGGCCATGAGGTACAGAAGTTGGAGAGCTAGCTGCTTGTCTAGCCACTTTATCAGCATAAGCGTTGCCTGGAGCAATGGGATCTGACACCTTTTGATGCCCCTTGCAGTGAATGACCCCAGCTTCCTTTGGAAGTAAAGCAGCCTTGAGTAGAGTTTTTATTAAAGAGGCATTAATGATGGAGGACCCTTGCATAGTGAGGAAACCTCTTTCAGCCCATGTAACAGCATGGTGGTGCAGAATATGAAAGGCATATTTAGAATCAGTATAGATATTGACGCGTAGTCCTTTTGCAAGAGTGAGGGCTTGAGTTAAGGCAACTAGTTCGGTTTGCTGAGAGGTAGTGGAGGAGGGAAGAACGGTAGCCTCAAGGATAGATGTGGAAGATACTATAGCATAGCCTGCCTTTGCTGGTGAGTGGCGATTAGGCCTGGTGGAACTGCCATCAATAAACCAAGTGTGATCAGGGTGAGAAACAGGGAAGAGGGAAATGTGGGTAAATGGGGTGAATGTCAGGTGGATCAGAGAGATGCCGTCATGAGGGTCAGGTGTGGTATCTGGAATGATGTGGGAGGCAGGGTTGAAGTCCGGGCCAGGAACAATGGTAATTGTGGGAGACTCAACAAAGAGTGAGTATAGCTGAAGGAGCTGGGGAGCAGAAAGTATATATGTCAGGTGTGAGGAAGCGAATAGATTTTGGAAGTTATGAGAAATGTAGAGAGTGAGTTGAGCATAGTTTGTGATTTTTAGGGCCTCTAAAAGTATTAAAGCAGCAGCAGCCGCTGCACGCAGACATGAGGGCTAGGCTAAAACAGTAAGGTCAAGTTGTTTGGACAGAAAGGCTATAGGGTGCAGTCCTGGCTCTTGTGTAAGAATTCTGACCACATTAACCATGCCTAGGAAGGAAAGGAGTTGTTGTTTTGTAAGGGATTGAGGTTTGGGAGATTAATTGGACACGATCAGCAGGGAGAGCACCTGTGATTTTATGACGAATTATGCTGAGATAGGTAACAGATGAGGATGAAATTTGGGCTTGACTGAAGTAATGGGGGCTGCCTGTGAAGCCTTGCGGCAGTACAGCCCAGGTAATTTGCTGAGCCTGATGGGTGTCAGGGTCAGTCGAAGTGAAAGTGAAGAGAGGCTGGGATGAGGGTGCAAAGGAATAGTAAAGAAAGCATGTTTGAGATCTAGAACAGAATAATGGGTTGTAGAGGGAGGTACTGAGGATAGGAGAGTGTATGGGTTTGGCACCATGAGGTAGATAGGCAAAACAATTTCGTTGATAAGGCGCAGATCCTGAACTAATCTGTAAGACTTGTCCGGTTTTTGGACAGGTAAAATGGGGGAATTGTAAGGAGAGTTTATAGGTTTTAGAAGCCCATGCTGTAGCAGGCCAGTGATAACAGGCTTTAATCCTTTTAAAGCATGCTGTGGGATGGGATATTGGCGTTGAGCGGGGTAAGGGTGATTAGGTTTTAATGGGATGGTAAGGGGTGCATGATCGGTCACTAAGGAGGGAGTAGAGGTGTCCTATACTTGTGGGTTAAGGTGGGGAGATACAAGGGGAGGATGTGAAGGAGGCTTTGAACTGGGGGAAAAGGCAGCAATGAGGTGTGGCTGTAGCCTAGGAATAGTCAGGGAAGCAGATAATTTAGTCAAAGTGTCTCGGCCTAATAAGGGAACTGGGCAGGTGTGGATAACTAAAAAGGAGTGCTTAAAAGAGTATTGTCTAAGTTGGCACTAGAGTTGGGGAGTTTTAAGAGATTTAAAAGCCTGGCCGTCAATACCCACAACAGTTATGGAGGCAAAGGAAACAGGCCCTTGAAAAGAAGGTAATGTGGATTGGGTAGCCTCCATATTGATTAAGAAGGGGATGGACTTACCCTCCACTGTGATAGTTACCCAGAGCGTCTGTGATGGTCCTGTAGGCTTCGGAGGCGATCGGGCAGTGTCAGTCTTCAACTGCTAAGCCGAGATCTGGGAAGCAGTCAGTCAGAGAGCCTTGGGCCAGAGTTCAGGGGCTCTGGGAGTGGCTGCCAGGTGAGTTGAACAGTCTGATTTTCAGTGGGGTCCCACACAGATGGGATGTGGCTTAGGAGGAATCCGGGGCTGTGGGCATTCCTTGGCCCAGTGGCCAGATTTCTGGCACTTGTAGCAAGCTCCTGGGGGAGGAGATTCTGGAGGTACCCCTGGCAGCTGCGGTTCAGGCATTTGGAGTTCTCGTGTGCTGGAGATGTGGCTGGGGTTTGTCTCACAGTGGAGGCAGGGAATTGCAACTCAGAAATACGTTGCTACTTGGCTGCCTCTATTATTGTACACCTTGAAGATGAGGTTAATTAAGTCCTGTTGTGGGGTTTGAGGGCTGGAATTTGATTTTTGGAGTTTTATTTAATGTCAGGAGTGGATTGGGTAATAAAATGTATATTGAGAAGAAGACGGCTTATTGACCTTTTAGGGTCTAGGGCTGTAAAGCATCTCAGGGTTGCTGCCGAACGAGCCGTGAACTTGGCTGGGTTTTTCATATTTGATGAAAAAGTCTAAATGCTAACTGATTTGGGAGAGGTTGGATAAAGAAAAAGGAGCATTAACCTTGACTATGCCTTTAGCTTCAGCCACCTTTTTAAGAGGAAATTTTTGGGCAGGTGGGGAAGAACTAGTCGCAGAACGAAACTGTAAGCCGGACCCGGTGTGAGGAGGAGAGGTGATAAAAGGATTATAGGGTGGAGGAGCGGAGGCTGAGGAAGAATTGGGACCTAGCTCAGCCTGGTGAGGAGCAGCCTGGGGAGGAGGGGAAAGGTCAGATGGGTCTGTAGAAAGGGAAGATTAGAAAGACTCAGTGGCGCTTGGGGTTGGGACTGAGGGGACAGGTGGGAGGGAAAGAAGGAAGATTTGGGACGAGTTGCACTGGGCACAGAGACTAGGGAGGGACCGATGTGTAAAAGAATGCCTGGACGTCAGGCACCTCAGACCATTTGCCTATTTTTCGACAAAAAATTATTTAGGTCTTGTAAGATGGAGAAATCGAAAGTGCCGTTTTCTGGCCATTTAGAATCACTGTCAAGTTTGTACTGGGGTCAAGCGGCATTGTAGAAGAAAATAAGGCATTTAGGTTTTAGATCAGGCGAGAGTTGAAGAGGTTTTATGTTCTTATGAACACAGGCTAAGGGAGAAGAAGGAGGAATGGAGGGTGGAAGGCTGCCCATAGTGAAGGAGGCAAGTTTAAAGAAAAGGGAGAGTAGAGACACGGAGGGAAGCAGTTCGGGGGTTCTTACCCTCCAGAAAAGTGGGAAAGGGGTTGGGGCACAGAGATATGAGGTCGGGGCATGGAAATAAGGGATCATGGTGCAGAGATATAAGAGGTTGGGGTGTGGAAATAAGGGATCAGGGCACAGAGATATAAGAGGTTGGAGCACGGAAATAAGGGATTGGGGCACAGAGATACAAGGTTGGGGTACTTGCCCTTCCCCCAGAAAAGCGGGACTTGCCACTAAGAGTGATGGAGAAGGGGTTGGGGGTTTCTTGCCCCCCAGAAAGGCGGAGAAGGGGTAGAGACATGGAGAGAAGGGGTTGAGGTACTTGCCCCTCCCCTAGAAAAGCGGGACTTGCTGCTAAAGGTGAAGGACAAAGGCAGGCGTCCCTGCATGGTCTGACACCTCTGAAACATGGGTGAATAATCAGAGAGGCGACCCTGCAATTATTAAACACCAAGGGAAGGCTGCCTTCCCAGTCTGTGACTGGCACTGGAGTTTTGGGTCCATGGATAAAACGTGTCTCTTTTCTCTCTACCAGAATATGAAAGGAATTGAAATTAAGAGAAGGGAGAGATTGAAGAGTGGAAAGGAGAAAGTGGTTGAGGGACAGTGAGAGAGGTTGGAGAAGAGAGTAAGAAGAGGCCGCTTACCCGATTTAAAATTGGTGAGATGTTCCTTGGGCTGGTCGGTCTGAGAACCTGAGGTCGTAGGTGGATCTTTCTCACAGAGCAAAGAACAGGAGGACAGGGGATTGATCTCCCAAGGGAGGTCCCCCGATCCGAGTCACGGCACCAAATTTCATGCGCGTCCGTGTGAAGAGACCATCAAACAGGCTTTGTGTGAGCAACATGGCTGTTTATTTCACCTGGGTGCAGGTGGGCTGAGTCCGAAAAGAGAGTCAGTGAAGGGAGATGGGTGGGGCTGTTTTATAGGATTTGGGTAGGTAAAGGAAAAAGGGGGGTTGTTCTCTGGCGGGCAGGAGTGGGGGTCACAAGGTACTCAGTGGGGGAGCTTTTGAGCCAGGATGAGCCAGGAGAAGGAATTTCACAAGACAATGTCATCAGTTAAGGCAGGAACAGGCCATTTTCACTTCTTTTGTGGTGGAATGTCATCAGTTAAGGCAGGAACCGACCATCTGGATGTGTATGTGCAGGTCACAGGGGATATGATGGCTTAGCTTGGGCTCAGAGGCGTGACAGGTGTCTTCCTCACAGCCCTGTTGTGAAGAAGTCTCAGGCCACTTCGTATGTCCCTTTGTGTTCTGATTGTGGGTTTATCATCAGAATCACGTGGTGGTATTTTATAATACAGAATTCATAACCCTTTCTTGGGAAATTTGATCCTGTAGCTCTGGGCTTGTTCCTACAAGACTGGTTTATAAGAAATGCTCTAGATGTTTCTGAAATACTGCGTTAGATGGCTATATTTGTGTCAGGCATGCATTTCTGGTCTAATTGGTTATGTTTAGATTGTAGCGTCAACTACCCAAAGAACAAGGGAACCTTGTTTTGCTGCTATCCCAAGAAGAGAGGGTAACTGGCAGGCCCTCTGAGGGCCAGCACCATGTTGGAAATAGGTGGTACATTAGAAGCAGAGTAAAGCCCATCACAGGAGTTGAATTTCAGACTTGGCTCATGGTACATGAAAGTTTGAGTTAATTGTGCTTCTGACATTTTGATAAATGAGCCATATTGTCTGGAACTCAACTCGTTTGTTGCGACTTCTGTCTGGTAGCCTGCATGTCTACAACGTTTCAGTTCAGAGCAAGCTCCGCTGTATACTCTGTAGAAATATGACCTATAATGCATGCTCATGGGAAATTTAGACATGGGGGTTAACAAAATTAACAAGGTTGTTTTTAAAAATATTGAATATAATATAGTTACCAACTCAGTGGGATTCCTTTGAAAGACAAAAAGATTATCTTCACTTGTAGGAGATGTTTTCTTTCCTGCATAAAGACTAGAGAGTGAAACACCTATTACCTCAATGTAGAAGATTCTGTTTGTGAGTAACGTGTTAACTGACCAAACATACTAGTTGGCAGTATGTTTGAATGAGAACGTTAAAATGAGAATGGCCATGTTTCAGGAAGTGAGAAGTTGTAGTCAGCTTTATATTTATTGGCTAATGGAGCCTTGAAATAAAACATGATCTGGCTGGTATTTATTGAAGCTGTGTTTAGGGGCTGGCATGAGGGAAGCATTTATTTGTATTCTTTTTGTTGCGAGTGAGAAAACCCAATCAGTTCTAATCAGAAGTAATTGGAAACATGGCTATCAACAGCTCCAAACCCCTTACATTTTATAGTTTCTATATGAGTCTACATATCTATATTCTATATATCTATACACATTCTATATGATTCTCTGTACCTATCTGATTATACCATCATGTTGATTCTAGAACCTCTAGATTCTGTATATGATTCTTTCTTGATACCAAGATCTCAGATCCCAGGAATGGGCCACACTGGCCTCACCTGAGGTAAGTCTGCACCCCTGACCAATCCACTGTGGCCAAGGAGCAGAAGCAGGGAGAATGAATGTTCTCAGAAAAAGGAAGGTAGAGGTGAGGGGGAGAATGTGGAGGGAAGGCTAAAAAAGGACATCTAGGGGACATCCAGAAATAAAGGAGGAGAAAAGAAGTGCAGTGACATAGAGGAGAAGAGAGTCAAAACACTCTGACAGCAATACCAGGCAGTGCATTCTCACAGCAGTGGAACTTCACCGGCTGGGCTTCGTCCACAGGCCATACAGAGCAGAGGTGCTTTGTTGCTGGTGGTGGTGATGTTGATAGTGATAAGCAGCTATTAGTTCATCTTATTGTGTTAGGCTCTCAGTGATTATGTATTTATGGAGGAAGAGAGATTTAAAGAATTGCTTAGCTTAGACCACTGCAGCTCTCTGAAGGGGGAGAATACTGCAAAGGAAAATTGAATAAAGGCAATGAGGGTGGTCAAAGAGAACAGATGGGGAAAAGAGGCAAGAGAGAATTGGATAGTGGGGCTGGGACAGGGAACTGTTCTTCCCTCTACTCCCTTCATCTCTTTCCCCCAATGCCAACCTTGAGACGGAAGATGGGAGACTCTTATCTTCTCCATTTTTCTCTAGTATCTTCAGAATAGGAATTTTCTGTTTTTCCTTCAAATCCCTCCCTTCCCCATGCTTTGTATGGTGAAGTGGCATTTAACATGGAAAAGATTTTGGGATTTTGGTGTTTTGGGTGGGACTGAAAAAAGAAAATGCATGTTGTTGGTTTCATAGAACTGGCAACAGGATCTGGGCTTTAAGAGAAATGGATGAAGAGGATCTGGAAGTTTCTTTTAATGTTAACCTGCCTGCTCCCCAGGGTAGGGACAACAGCCCTGTGTTCTTTCTGGAAGACAAGAGGATAATTGGTATTACCATTGTGAAACAATTAGGCAGCTGAGTATGTGATCAGAAAAATAGAAATAGCAGTTTAAAACACTAAAAGTATTGAATAGAAACTAGACATTTCCGATTCCATTTTAAAAAACCATCTCAATTCGTTTTGGGTTCTGATTCCATTTTTAAAAACCATCTCAATTGCATTTTCCAAGTAGATTCCCAGTGAAAAGAGATATTTCTAACTGTAAGTGTTGAAATTAGCTTTCTGTATCAAGTTAGTCCAGTTTGAGCCTGCATGTTGTAACACAATATTCTCTGGGCCTAATCACCTCTGTATGAACAAACATTGAGACTCCAGAACTGCACAGCAGAGGGCCAAAGGCTGGAATATTTTGGAGTAACTCTGAGGCTGTTCTTCACCACCCCTTTTCCTACAATATCAAGAAGGACGTAAAAAGACTTTGAAAACAAAATCTTTTCAAAATGGGTATAAATAATAGAGTGTGGTTTGGAGCTATAGACTTGCCTTGCTTTATGTAATAAATGGATGGTTCCATTTAAAGTAAATAATAATTGTTGATTTATTGCACAAACTTTTTTAGAAACAAATAGAGACAGGATCTTGCTATGTTGCCTAGGCTCATCTTGAACTACTGGGCTCAAGCAGTCCTCCCATCTAAAGCTCCCAAGGTGCTGGGATTACAGGCATGAGCCACCACGCCCGGCCCTGTACAAACATTTTAAAGATAATTAGTTGTATTTCTCATTGATCTGTGAATTAGTCAGTGTTCTCTTGGAGGGACAGAACTAATAGGATATATATATATCTATATATGTGTGTGTTTATATACATACAGATGTAGATATATAAAGGGGAGTTTATTAAGTATTAACATACACGATAACAAGGTCCCACAATAGGCTTTCTGCAAGCTGAGAGGAGCAAGGAGAGCCAGTCTGAGTCCCAAAACTGAAGAACTTGGAGTCCAATGTTCAAGGGCAGGAAGCATCCAGAATGAAAGATGTAGGCTGGGAACCTAGACTCGTCTTCTCCTTTTCACGTTTTTCTGCCTGCTTTATATTTGTTGGCAGCTGATTAGATTGTGCCCACCAGATTAAGGGTGGATCTGCCTCCCCCAGCCCACTGACTCAAATGTTAATCTCCTTTGCCATTTCTCCTTCCATGTAAAGTGCACAACCAGGTGTACTGCTCAAAGTTCTGCCCCCAGGAAGATTTCCCTTCACCGCTGTCCTTCAGGGATGTCCTAGAAAGGGGCTGTAGTGCTGCAGCTGTCCACTTTTGGGTGGTACCTGCATATCGTACAGAACCATCTGTGAACCAGGCCCTAGTTTTCTCTTCCTCTGTCACCTGATCATAGGGAACTCCCCATGAGGCCATCAGTTCAGACTGGGGAAGAGAAGGCAGGGTGGCAGGAGTGGAGACCATGGGGATTTGAGCCACCTTCTCATGTAACTTACTTGTGCCTTTGGGACCTGCTGGAGACCAGTTACATATATACCACTTCCATTTGATGATGGAATGCTGCTGTGCACAACCCACTTTATGGCTAGATGGGTCACAAAGCACCCAGTTCATGACGGGCAGTTCAGGTCACATGGTGACTTGATGACCCATAGTGAAACATTCAGTTTCTTTCTTTTTTTTTTTTTTTGAGACGGAGTCTCGCTCTGTCGCCCAGGCTGGAGTGCAGTGGCGAGATCTCGGCTCACTGCAAGCTCCGCCTCCTGGGTTCATGCCATTCTCCTGCCTCAGCCTCCCAAATAGCTGGGACTACAGGCGCCTGCTACCACGCCCAGCTGATTTTTTTTTTTGTATTTTTAGTAGAGATGGGGTTTCACCATGTTAGCCAGGATGGTCTCAATCTCCTGACCTTGTGATCCGCCCGTCTCAGCCTCCGAAAGTGCTGGGATTACAGGCATGAGCCGCCATGCCCGGCCAAACATTCAGTTTCCACCAAAGCCCAGTAACAGACCAAGAGCTGTCTCTCAAAAGGAGAGTAGTTATCTGCAGAAGATGGCAGGGCCTTGCTCCAAAATCCTAGAGGCCTCCACTGTGATTCACCTATGGAGGCCTGCCAAAGGCTCCAAACAGCATCGCTATCTGCCGCTGACACCTGAAGCACCATTGGATCTACTGGGTCACATGGCCCAAGTGGCAGAGCAGCTTGCACAGCAGCCTGGACCTGTTGCAGAGCCTTCTCCTGTTCTGGACCCCACTCAAAACTAGCAGCCTTTTGGGTCACTCGATAAATGGGCCAGAGTAACACACCCAAATGAGGAATGTCTTGTTTCCAAAAATCCAAATAGGCCCACTAGGCGTTGTTCTTCTAGTCACTGACTAGGCCAGTCTCTCCTTTTCATGTTTTTCTGCCTGCTTTGTATTCGCTGGCAGCTGATTCGATTGTGTGCACCAGACTAAGGGTGGATCTGCCTCCCCGAGCCCACTGACTCAAATGTTAATCTCTTTTGGCAACACCCTCACAGACACACCCAGGATCAATACTTTGTATCCTTCAATCCAATCAAGTTGGCACTCAGTATTAACCATCACAATCTGCAATGGGGAAACTTCCTACATTTTCCTGCCTCAGCTTCTTTTGCGAGTACAATAGTTTGCTTTCCCCAGTTTAATCATTCCACCTTGCCTATGTATAGATTCTTTTATACATATTTTTTTTTTTTTTTTTTTTTTTTAGTTTAATAGAGACACGGTCTCACTAGGTTGCCCAGGCTGGTCTCAAATTCCTTGGCTCAAGCCATTCTCCCACCTCAGCCTCCCAAAGTCCTGGGATTACAGGCATAAGCCACTGTGCCTGGTCCTTTTTTCCCCTAGGTTCACAGAGACACAGATCCTGTCTTAAGGTTGCTAGCAAGGAAAGGCAAATGAGAGGTAAAGTGACTCAACTCACTCATATAAATTCACCTTGAGTTGTAACTCACCTTGTGTTTAAAGCTGTGTTTATAAAAAGCCAAAGGGTACAAAGGAGTCAATATCTGTAATGTGATCCAAAGTCGGCTCTGGATAATTATTTACTTTGATTGCAGATTCTGCTTTACATGTTTAAGCAATATTCTAAAGAGTATCATATTATCAGAAGACAAATCCACGATCCAGCCTTCCCATTCACTCCTTGGGCAAGTCCTTAATCTACATATATTTAAATTTTCTAATTAAATACAAGATGATAAATATCTAATTATATTTACTTTTGTGGACTGATTTAAAATTTTGAAAACAGGCTGGGCGTGGTGGCTCACGCCTGTAATCCCAGCACTTTGGGAGGCCAAGGCAGGTGGATCACGAGGTCAGGAGATCGAGACCATGGTGAAATCCGTCTCTACTAAAAATACAAAAAATTAGCCAGGTGTGGTGGTGGGCACCTGTAGTTCCAGCTACTCAGGAGGCTGAGCCAGGAGAATGGCGTGAACCCGGGAGGTGGAGCTTGCAGTGAGCCGAGATCGTGCCACTGCACTCCAGCCTGGGTGACAGAGTGAGACTCCGTCTCAAAAAAAATAAATAAAAATAAAGTGAAACAAAATATTGAAAACAATGAGAAGTATAAAAAGGCCTAAGACGTTTCTAAAAGGGCCTAAGAATCTAAAATTATTTTCCTATTCTTCAAAATGCATTGTGAGGTTAAGGAGACTGCATTAAGTTAGCTGAATTCATTTATTACATTTATTATATATTTATTATAGTTAATTACACAGCAACATATTTATGTTAAATTCCCAAATATATTGCTAAAATTATATTTTCCAGAAAATACATCCTGATCCTCCAGATGGACATGTGATTTGCCACATGTCCTTGTTGAGGCTCAGAACACAATACCCAAAGTATGGTGTCTTGGCATGCTGAGTACTTTGAACTAAAGGAGATTGGGAGGTCTCAAAAGAAGGTCTTTCTGATCTTTTCCTGGCCTCCCATCTTTCTCCCCTCCTTTTCCCACCAAGTGAGTTATAGAAGGCAATATTCCCCTTTCCCAAGGGGAGTCACAGAAGGCAATATTCCCCTTTCCCAAGGGGAGTCATAGAAACTAGAACTGCTGTTACCCACAGCAAGTCATAAAACCTAGAAAGGTCACTCTAATCTCCCTTTGCCCATGAAGACCCTCATGTGACAAGTGTCCTGTCCTATACCCAGAGGAAAGGAATGCCCCACAGAGAGGCCAAGAAGAATCTGCATCAGTCTTGCTGGGTCCCCCTGAGTCTATTACCATTAGATCACACCTTTTGTCTAACCACATTTCGCACAGCTGTCCATTCTTCATCAAACCTAAGCAAAAAAACAGACAGTTTTCTCTGGGTCTTTGAGTCTTCATTTCCGAAGGCTCCCATGTCATGTAAAACTTTAAGTAAATTTGTTGTGCTTTTCTCTTGTTAACTGTCTTTTGTTATAGGAGTGTTGACACGACCCTTAATGATGAGTGAGGAACGGGATAACTGCCTTTCTAACCCCACATTCTCAACCATTCACTGAAAAAAACTTTCTGTAGTTTAGTCATTTTTCTCAGCAGTCTGGACTTGCATAGCATGATGGATTTTAACAGTTTGATTTTCAAAATTTAACCTAATTTCCCCATCGCAGGGAACCCTGACAACATTCATTTGCTGGCAAAATGAAAACAAAAATTACACCATTTTAGAGACAACGCTCTGCTATCCCTTGATCAGAGCTTGCTACCCTTCTGATTGTCCCACTAAGCTTTCTAATTGACCTTTTTTTTTTAGTGAAATAAACTTGAATTATATTTTGTCACACATCAAACCCTATTCTGACCCTTGAAGATGTTGTCTTCTTATTGTATTTACTGGAATTTAACTGTATGAATAAGTAATCCACTGATTTATGTGAGAAAATCTTTGATATTTGGATAATTTTCCAGTAATGACATCAACTAAGTTTTTATATTCTATTGTCTAAAATAAAATACTTAAAGACTTTAGCTTTCTCCAAATATTTTATAGACCAAATAGAGCTAAATGTATTCATTTGTTCTAGCAAATAAAATGCTATGAGAATAAAAATTGATATATTAGACTTCATTTAGGTTGTTGTGAGAATTATTTAACATATATTTTATTATTTTACATGTATAAATTAAAATATGTAAGGTATTTAATATAGGCTCTGGCACATATAGGCTCTTAATATATGATAGATACTTTTAGTTATTATTAAATGACTCCTAGAGCTAAGTGTCTAAGGTCATACAGGTTGTCAGTAGCCAACCAAGTTTAGAATTCAGATCTGCTGATTCCAGTCCTCGTGCTTCCCACCTCACCATGATGATTTTCTGTTGGCTCCTGGGGCAAGCCCCCGCTTCACCTGCTGAGAAAATGAAGTCATAGAATAGGAGCTCAGCCTAAGCGGGGCCTGAGAGTGCCTGGCCCACACTGCCCCTGGGACAGGCGGATAAGACCACAATTAGTTCAGAATTTGAATTTTATTATGGTGGGTACCAGGACCCTCTCTCCCAAAAGTCTGGGACCACTCTCAGGTTTCAGAAATAGAAACAAAATTCTAGGCCCACTCACCAACTGAATGGATCCCCCACTTGCCCAAGGGGACCCCAGAGAAAGCTTGGAAGCTGAGTTCCTAGCCATGATGAGATGAGAGATTGAACATCCCTCATTATACCTCCTTCCTTGCTGACGTCATTAGGGCTTTCTTCCCTGATGGCTAAACAGAAACTAGCCTTTTTGGTTTTTAATTTTTAAAAAATGTTTAAATTTTTATGTATTTATTTAAAGTTTTTAAAAAATACAAGACAGGGTCTTGCCATGTTGCCCAGGCTAGTCTCAAACTCCTAGGCCCGAGCCATCCTTCTTGCTCAGCCTCTCCAAGTGCTCAAATTACAGGTGTGAGCCACCTTGACTGGCCAGAAACCAGCCTTTCTGAAAGACACCACTGCAGATATCAGCCAACAGCCAGATGCTGCCCTTCCCTTTTGCAGTGTTGACACCACAACCAATCAGGCTTCCTTCCTAATGATAGACCACCTACCACAGATTGGTTCTGGCCAGTCCACAGAGGATGCATAGTGAGGGTTTTTGTGTCCTCTACTTTACTTTTTGATGTTAGAGGGCCAAGATCGGATCGTGCCAATGCCGACATTTTTTGGGACCCATGAAGGGGCATGAAGCTCAGCTGCACATGCACGTTTCTCCTCTCATAAATATTCATGACTCCTCCTACAGCTTTTTAAATGTGGGGGGTATTCATATCAGAATTACCTGAAGAACTAAGATATATTTATCTATGGCTAATTGTCCACCCTGCTTGCATAAATTCCTGTTCCCCTTCCCCCTCCCTCAAAGTGTCTGTTTCTGGCTTCTGACTGAAGGCTGTGCTTCCCAGCCTGTCAGAATTGCCACCATACAGGCTGCAAGTCTTGCTGAGAAATTAAGCTCTCCTTTCCAAATTTATGAACCTCCTTATTCTTCAGTTACAGGTTACACAGAGGAGTTTGAGAACTGCCTGACTCATAGAATCACAGATTCTATCCACAGGAAGATTCCTCTAGCTCAATGGGAAGGAACAAAGCTTTGTTCAAAGCTCATCCCTGTGACATAAGAGGACATAGAAATCAGGATTTTTTTTTTATGACTTTGTGTTCTCTCTGGGCATTACCTTCTTTCTGATAGCACATCACATATATCTCACCAGGTGAATCATATGAATTCTGGTTCATACAACCTCATGTTCCAAAAATTTTAAGTGGCTTGGGACTTGGCCGGTAGTGAGGATTTTGAATGGATTAGAAAGTAGTAAAACCTAACAGATGGACGAGGCGTGGTGGCTCACGCCTGTAATCCCAGCATTTTGGGAGGCTGAGGTGGGTGGATCACAAGGACAGGAGATGGAGACCATCCTGGCCAACATGGTGAAATCCCATCTCTACTAAAATACAAAAAATTAGCCAGGCGTGGTGGCACGCACCTGTACTCCTGGCTACTTGGGAGACCGAGGCAGGAGAAATGCTTGAATCCGGGAGCTGGAGGTTGCAGTGAGCCAAGATCATGCCACTGCACTCTAGCCTGGGCAACAGAGTGAGACTCCATCTCAAAAACAAACAAACAAAAAAAACCCCCAAAAATAAAAAATAAAAATTAGCTGGATGTGGTGGTGGGCACCTGTAGTCCCAGCTACCCGGGAGGCTGAGGCAGGAGAATCTCTTGAACCCAGGAGGCGGAGGCTGCAGTGAGCCGAGATCACGCCATTGCACTCCAGCCTGGGAAACAAGTGAAAAGCTGGTCTCAAACAACAAAAACAAAAACAAAAAAACCCCAGATGTAGCAGAAGTGTTCTAAAGCAATTAGCTGAGATATCACAAGCTACAGAAGGAAGGTCATTATGCAAATGCAGGGCCATTAAATGCCAGTCTTTTTAGCCTAATGTCAGAACCTGCCTTATACCCAAAGGATAGGGGGATAGTTGCATGTTTTCTTTCAGCACAATCCACCTCATGCTGTCTGATCTGTCCCCATTAAACCAGGCTAACGGGTTTTTCTTAACAACAAAGACCAGCAGATGGTTTCTGATGTCAATGATGTTCATCTCGTATTCTGGTTTGGTTTGCTTTCACTACCTCCCTTCTCTGCTTTGAAGGTTATTTTTTCCTCAGTTTCAGGGTCAAGGAGACTCATAAAAATATGCAAGGCAAATAATGTTTTTAAAATGTAGCCCATTTTCACCTTTTTTATGTCTCATTGGCTGTAATGTGTGTTTGTAGAGACAAAGTGTATCCATTTTGCTTCACCAGCTAACAATACAAAGAATGATAAATGGCTGTTATTCCTCCTCCTCCTCCTCCTCTTCCTCCTCTTCCTCCTCCTCCTCTTCCTCCTCCTCCACTTCCTCCTCCTCTCTTCCTCCTCTTCCTCCTCCTCTCTTCCTCCTCCTCCTCTTCCTCCTCCTCCTTCTCACAGTCTTCTCTTCTGAGAACCTGGCCCCAGTAGTGTTACCTTGCCTGAGGACTCCTTGCTGAAGGAGGAAAGGAGTAGGTACTGTAATTCTTTGTCTAGTTATTACCCAAATGAAAAATTCCAAGATAAATAGTGCTTGCATCTCAAAGGGTGAAAGGATAGAACAATGGCCTTGTGCTGTTTCTATATACTCTCTGTAACAACCCAGGCATAGGATGGCACCAAATCAGGAGGAATATAAAGGGAAGGTGTTCAAGGCAAGTAGGAAAGTGCAATGGCATGAGGAGGCTTGACAAGAAAGGGCAGACAAAGCTGCGGAGACAAGCTTCTGGTTTGGATCAGCAATCCTAGAGGGGAAATGTCTTTGAATTGGAAGCTGAAGATCTGGGTGCTAGATCAGTTCTATAGTTCTACTAGTACTAAAATCTTGCCTCAGTTTCCCTCAGCAATATAACACCACTATCTTTCCTCAGCATATAAGAGACATATGAAGCCCTTTGTAAACTGTAAAGCAGAATCTAAATAAATATGAAGTCTCAAGAGCCATACACTAGAGATAGCCCAGGTGGGAGCTACCTGTGGAATTAGGAAGCAGCTGTCCTCTGCTCTCTTTTTGCTTTTCCAACCTGCATTCCTTCTTTTCCATAAACCACAGCTTCCCAGAAAAGTACTCTCTGGTGACTGAGTTTCTCAGATTCAGTGTTTCTTCTTCCCAGGCTCTGGGTTTCTTCTTCCTGGGCTCTGATGAATGGCTTCTCATTATCCAATACCCATCTATTACCGTCACATAGACAACATCCTCTGCTCACCTATTCTGTCTCCGATGTGTCCATAGCAGTGATAAAGCTAGTCTCCTTTTGTGTCCAATCAAGCATCAGTTGCCCTTATGTGTTATTCCTGTTTATGGCCTGGGAGAAAGTATAACCTCTAAAGTAACCTTTGAACAGGGTGAATCACATCTGTTATGTTGTAATTTATTGGTTTAACACTCAGGAGTCAATATTGTATCTCCTTAAAATTTATCTGGGCACATTTCACAGTCACATCCATATACTTGGCATCTTTAGAAGGTGGAAGTGTCAAGAAAAGGGAGGTTTTAAGACTGAGGGTAGTGTTGGCTTTTGCTATTGCAGTGTCTGAGCCGTGAAGCCACATCACATGGTGAGTGTGAGGGTTCCTCCCCTGCGGGGAATACCTGTTTCTACTGCCAGTCATCCTGAGGTAGGACGGAGTGGGAGAGGACATCCCCTCGGGTGCAATTGGGTCTGAACTTAATTTGTGGGGATGCCTAGAGGTGCCTGGGGAGTCAGGCCTACTCTTATTATGAGGAGGTCTATTGCAAGCTCTCCAGGAACTCTTGAGGTTATGGTCAGTAGCAGTTATAAGATAGTTTCCACATCATTTTCTGTCTTCCTACTTTACTAAAAATTAATAAAAGCCACTGTCTGGTCTGAACTGTCCTCCGGGGAATTAGTGGCAACAGGGTCCCCACACTGAGGGCAGAGTGGAAGCATTAGAGTGGGCATCATGAGGGACAGCTGTCCCCACCAGGTGGCTATTTTACAAAGATGGTCAGTGTTGAGGGTTAAGAAGCAACAGGGATCTGTGGCATAGTTCCCTTGAGGCAAGACCTAGAGAAACTCCCACAAATAACTGGCAAGGCGCTTTGAAGGAAGTGGACCAGTGGGTGTTAGAGTCATAATAAGTTGAATAAGCAAAGAGGATGTAAACCTATTTTGTGGTCACAGGCCCATGTCACTGGCAGCATTGAGTTACAGCAATGTCTTTCAATACTCTCCACTTCTCTTTCTTTTAAAACCATGCTCACCAAGTGACCTTCAGATAATAATTTAGCTTCCCAAATATTTGCCAACAGGGAGAGAATGCACTGGCATCGACGGAGTGCGCTCCAGTTCTCCTGGAGGCTTTATTTTGCTATGTTAATCAAATTATTCTTCTGGTCTACACAGCAAATTTTTATGAGTTTGGTAAATATGAGTCAGTTCTGGAATGATTATCTATCATGTAAACAAACAAAATTAGATTTTAGTCCTGCAAAGACGAAGGTGAGATCCTGGGCCATGCCCTCTGTGTTAGTCTCCTAGGGCTGCCATTACAAAATACTGCAGACTGGATGGCTTCAAAGAAGCTTATTTTCTCTCAGTGATGAAGGCTGCAAGTCCAAGATCAAAGCTCAGGCCCAGTTAGATTCTCCTGAGGCCTTTCTCCTTGCTTCGCAGGTGGCTGCTTTCGCACTGTGTCCTCACATGGTCTTTCGTCTGTGAGTGTGCACCCCTGGGGCTTCCTCCTCTTACAAGGACACTAGTCGTGGGGGTGAAAGGATAGAACAGTGGTGGTGTGCGGTTTCTATATACTCCTGTAGCAACCCAGGCACAGCACCACGAAGGATGGCACCAAATCAGGAGGAATAGAAAGGGAAGGCTTTATATGCAACTATCCTTTGGGTCTAAGGCAGGTTGTGACATTAGGCTAAAAAGACTGCCATTTAATGGCAGTATGAGCAAAATGAGGTAATGACTTCATTTAACCTTAATTACCTCTTTGGAGTCCTTATCTCCAAATACAGTCACATTAGGGATTAGGGATTCAACATATGACGGGTTGGGGGAGGCGGGCACACAATTCAGTCCATAACACCCTCACTCTCCTGTCCCCCACTCCAGGAATACCACTCCGTGAGGCCTGAAAGAGCTAATTGCTTTCCCTAAATGACCCCTGTCTTTTAACCCCTCTCTATGGACAACATCACCTCCCCGCACCTTTCCCTGTTGTCACCATTGATTGAACATCAGGAATCTCCCAAACACATGATGACTCTCACCCCAGAATCAAATCCTCCTTTCTACCCTCACTCCTGCTGCCACCCTGGGTGACTTCCATGAGTGTAAGACCCCACGCCCCAAACTCACATCTTTACAACCATCTCTGTTAGACCTGTGTGTTCAGGTTGACCAGTTGAACTACTCCTTTCTTCAGCATTTTCAGCTCGTAGATCCATTGTGGTTCCATACAACTCATTTTGTAGGCCTTCAATCTTGGATACATCTTAAAGTCCACTTTCTATTCTCCAACAACAGGGGGCTGAGTGTTTCTGGAGAAAATCTAAGTCTTTAGATTAGTACAACAATTAATCTACAGTCTATGACCTCATTTGGTCATCAGAGAAAATTCATTTTACTTTCCTCTCTCTTTTTTTTTTTTTTTTTTTGAGACAGGGTTTCACTCTTGTTGCCCAGGCTGGAGTGCAATGGCACAATCTCGGCTCACTGCAACCTCTGCCTCCCACGTTCCAGTGATTCTCCTGCCCCAGCCTCCTGAGTAGCTGGGATTGCAGGGGCCTACCACCACGCCCAGATAATTTTTGTATTTTTAGTACAGACAAGGTTTCACCATGTTGGCCAGGCTGGTCTTGAACTCCTGACCTCAGGTGATCCACCTGCCTCAGCCTCCCAAAGTGCTGGGATTACAGGTGTGAGCCACCGCATCTGGCCTAACCTTCCTCTCTTAATGCTTTCTTGCAAAGCTCTCACGAACCTTCCCCACTTTCCTTAGACCTCCAAATAATACTATGTGCCAAGCGCTATTCAAAACACCTCTCATGTATTAACTTATTTAAATTAACAACCCTGTGGGGGAGATACTATTATAATCTCACATCCCTATTTTATAGATGAGAAAATTAAGGCACAGATAAGTTATGTGACTTGCTTAGGATCACATAGCTGTTACCACTAGGGAACGTATCTGAGTCACGTGGCACCTCAGAAGAAAGAATTTGACCCAGGGGCATTAGGCAGACTGAGAGACCCAGGCAAGTTTTAGAGCAGGAGTGAAAGTTTGTTAAAAAGCTTTAGAGCAGGAACAAAAGGAAGTACACTTGGAGGGCCAAGTGGGTGACTTTAGAGATCAAGTACATAGTTTGACCTTTGACTTGGGGTTTAGTACATTGAGTGTGCTTCTGGGGTTGCGTTACTTCTCCCCTGATTCTTCCCCTGGGGTGGGCTGTCCGCCTGCACACTGGCCTGCCAGCACGTGGGAGGGGCCGCATGTGCAGTGTGTTTACTAAAGTTGTGCGCATGCTCACTAAAGGCATTCTTTCCTTACCAGTCGAGTGCTCCTAGAGGAAGGTCATATACCAGTTAAACTCTGCCATTTTACCTCTTCGTGCACATGCTCGAGCCCACTCACGCAGTTCCTGAGACCTTATCGGGAAGCTGTTGATCACCAGTTTCAGGTGTTTTCTGTCTACTAGGAGACTGCCTTTCTCTGGCGCTGGCTGCAACCAATTATTATTTTAGAGAGACATTTAAGAACTGCCTGACCATCATCTCCTGATGGTCGCCTGATATTCCTGTTGGGGGTGGTGGGGGGGACCCCTCCCACGCTGCTCATGTCTGCCTACCTACTGTAACACGGCTACTAAGTAACAGAATTGGCATTAACCAGGATTCTGTCTGCAGAATCTCTTAACCACTACGTGGTATTGCCTCTATCCATTTCCTGGACACTCAGGCTTTGACCAAGGTCCTTTTCCCCTTTCAGAGGGCAAATGAAGGCATAGACACCATTATCTTCTTGTCTTCTGCCTACTCAATTCTAGTCTTACAAGCAACTTCTTCCCCTGTAGGCTCAGAAGGAGAAATCCTCTTTTTCCTGCCCCAAGTCAATTTCTCTACCTGGGCTGTAAATCACATTCCTTCTTCTGAGACTGATTCTATTAGTTATTCTGGGTCTTCGAATTCTTCCTCTCATTACCCATCTCATTATCCCAATAACGCTTTGGGAACTCCCACAGTGTTATTATGCCAGCATACATCAAGTTGAGTGAATTCATGGGAACTGATACATCACACAACCCTCAAAAGTGGCATCCCAATGTATTAATTTATAATGACAAGTATCATTTCCAAGGAAACCAGGCAGTCATTACTGTTCCTTTGAGAAAAAGCTTAAGTCTCCTCTCTTCCAAGGGGCCTTTTGTGCTTTGTTCTTTAGCTTTCCTTTGGTACTTAGCATATACTGCTGTGTGTTGTTATGATCTTATTTATCAGCGTCCTATGTTGCCCAACTAGACTGAAGATCCCTTGAGAACAGAGAGTATACCCAATCTTGCTTTACTTTTCTGGCCCAGCATCTTGCACACAGCAATTGCACATGAAAAATTTTCTTGATCCTTTCAGCATTGTTTTCATTCGACAATGGTTGAACTTCTACTGTGTATCAAACATGGTTTTAGACCTTGGGGAGTCCACAGTGTGTAAAACAGACAATGAATCTGATCACATTGAGCTTATGTTCTGGCAGAAGGAGATAAATAGGAAATAAATATGTGTCAGGCTATGGTAAGTGCTATAAAGAAAGATGATGCAGAAGACAGAGCTGGGGACTTGGCAGGGGATCATGGCATTATTTTACAGAAGGGGGTCAGAGATAACTGACAAGGTGGTGTTCGAATGAAGACGTGGATGAAGTGAGGGAGCAAAGGGCTGGCTTTATCAGCACAAATATTTATAAAGCTGCTGACTTAGGAACTTGAACACCACTTACTAGCCACATAATCTTTTTTCCTCAGTGTTTTACTATGAAAAAATTTTAAACATTTAAACAACTTTAAAAAATTGTATACCATATACTACTGTATGCAAAGGTTCTACCATTAACATTTTACTTTATCACATATCTCTCTACATCTTCTGTTGATCCACCAAGTCACCTTTTTTAATATATTGCAAAGTAAATTGAAGACATCAGTGTATTTCCCCCTGAATACTTCAGCATCCATGTCATTAGTTCAACATTTTTTTAGTGTTATTTTTTCCTTTAGATAAAATAAAATGCACAAATCTTAAAGTGTATGCTTGCTGATTTTTGGCAAATGCATGCACGTGTGTAACCCAAATTCCTACTGAGCTATAAAACATTATCATCATCCCAGAAAGTCCCCTCATATCTCATCCCGTGGGCCGCTGTGTCCACTCACCTATAGACAACCACTGTTCCATTTTTTTCACACTATAGCTTAGTTTTGGCTGTTCTAGAGCTTCATATAAATGGAATCATACAATAATACTCTTTCAGGCAAGACTTCTTTCACTTATCGTAGTGATTTTGAGATTCCTCTGTGTTACTGCATGTATTAGTAGCCTCATTACATAATAAAGCTGTAGTCCAGTGGTTCTCAATCAAGGGCAGTTTTGCTCCCAGGGGGCATTTAAAATGGTCTGGAGACATTTTTGGTTGCCACAACTGAGTAGTTGCTTCTGGTCTCTAGTGTTTAGAGCCCAGGGATGCTACTAAATATGTAACATGTCCAGGACGGGCCGGGCGCGGGGGCTCACGCCTGTATCCCAGCACTTTGGGAGGCTGGGGTGGGTGGATCACGAGGTCAGGAGATCGAGACCATCCTGGCTAACTTGGTGAAACCCGGTCTCTACTAAAAATACAAAAAATTAGCCGGGTGTGGTGGCGGATACCTGTAAGTCCCAGCTACTCGGGAGGCTGAGGCAGGAGAATGGTGTGAACCCAAGAGACGGAGCTTGCAGTGAGCCAAGATCGTGCCACTGTACTCCAGCCTGGGCGACAGAGCAAGACTCCGTCTCAAAAAAAGAAAAAAAAGGAAAAAAACCCACAAAAACAATGCCCAGGACAGCCTCCTGCGCATCCCCAACTTCAGCACAAGGACTTATCTAGCTCCAACGGCAATAAGATTGAGAAACCCTGCTCTAATCGGATATAAAATATTATTTGTGTATTTACATCCGATCAGTATCTTCTGTCAGCTATCATTTATTAACTGAGGCATTAAATATAGACCTTTGTTTAGTTTTAGTTTTCTTGGAATTTTTTACATTTTAAAAAAGGACAATATTTTAAGCAAAGTAATTTTTCTTTAACGGTGGAAAATTCAATCATCAATAGCAGACCCACATAGGTGGAGATTTGGCTATGAGTCTTTCCTGAGAGTCATCAAATTTTATGACATTTAGACTTCTCAAAAAACCCAGGACCAGAACTACACTGGCTTCTGGGGATGACTGGAGGAGATTAGAAACTTTCACTTTCTTTTCTTTAAAAATATCCTTAGGACCATGGGGAGTAATTGATTAAGAGAAGGGTTTGGATGTATTCTAGTTTCACTTGTTCAGTTTCAGAGCAGTATTCCAAGAACAGATAGCAGCTGGCTGGGGTTGGGTAGAAACGGCCGGTACTTGGAAATGTTCTGTTGCATTTTTCAAACAAAAGTCATTGACTATGATATTGAGAAAAAATTAGATTCATAGAAATTTATTGGAGAAAGTTTACATTAACTATTTCATAAATTTAATGGCTATTGTTTTGAGCTACCTGATAGATTTTTCTGGTAAAGAGATTGCCAGGAGGCTGAATTTCTTGTTTCCATGAGAGTCACGATTAGCATTCAGATAGCTCTCAGGCACCCCTGAAAGTGGGATTAAAAACAGAAGAGCGTTGCTCTTAAAAATCAGCTGCTGTGAAGCTCTCCATTTATGACGTGATTATTATCTTCACCCATGTCGAATTTTTATTTTAACTCTTTCTAACCATTTTATTTTATAATTTTAACTAAGTATTTTAAACATTAATGAGCAAAATGAATAAAATCATGGGCGTAAGTGCCATATTTGTCACTTCTGATCTTATTTTTATTTCTCTGACTTTTCTTAGTTATAAATATAATATCTAATTTTTGATAATCAGTGGTGTTGAATAGCAGCTTTTTAAGATCACTATAAGTTAAATTATTTATTAAAAAATAACATCATATAGGCTGGGAGCGGTGGCTCATGCCTGTAATCCCAGCACTTTGGGAGGCAGAGGCAGACAGATCACAAAGTCAGGAGATCGAGACCATCCTGGCTAACACGGTGAAACCCTGTCTCTACTAAAAATACAAAAAATTAGCCGGGCGTCGTGCACCTGTAGTCCCAGCTACTCGGGAGGCTGAGGCAGGAGGATGGCGTGAAGCCGGGAGGCGGAGCTTGCAGTGAGCTGAGATTGCGCCACTGCACTCCAGCCTCGGTGACTCATAAGTCAAAATTCTGTCAGCTGCTGCCTTTCAGTCCCAGGTTTCTTTCCAGTGACTCTCCCCGGTTGCCTCTTAAGAAACTTGTAACAGGAACCACAGGATCACTGCTATTCACCAACATTCTTTTCCTTGTAACTTAGTTTTTTTTTTTTTTTTTTTTGAGATGGAGTCTCGCTCTGTGGCCCAGGTGGGAGTGCAGTGGCGCAATCTTGGCTCACTGCAAGCTCCGCCTCCCGGGTTCACGCCATTCTCCTGCCTCAGCCTCCCGAGTAGCTGGGACTACAGGCGCCCGCCATCACGCCCGGCTAATTTTTTTGTATTTTTAGTAGAGACGGGGTTTCACCGTGTTAGCCAGGATGGTCTCGATCTCCTGACCTCGTGATCCGCCCGCCTCGGCCTCCCAAAGTGCTGGGATTACAAGCGTGAGCCACCGCGCCCGGCCCCTTGTAACTTAGTTAAGGAATTATTAATCCTCTCAAGCCATATATATTTATTTTTGCTGCAATTAGCTTCTTACTCTGAGTGGTCCAAGTGATAATTTCCTCATGGGTTCTTTCAAAAATGCCGGAGCTGGTCCTGAGTTCCAGGTGAGAATGTCATCTCTCTGCTTCACAGTGGTGTTGTATGAGTTTGTTAGGGCTCCTGTAATAAAGTGTCACAAACTCGATGGCTTTAGTAACCAAAATTCATTATCTCACCATTCTGGAGGCTGGAAAGTCAAGATCAAAGTGTTTGCAGGGTTGCTCCCCCTGAGGACTGTGAGGGAGAATCTGCTTTGGGCCTCTCGCCTTGCCTTGTCTTCATGTTCACACAGCTTCTTCTTGTATCTGTGCCTGTCTCTGAATTTCTCCTTTGTATGAGAAAAGCAGTCTTATTAGATTAGGGCCCAACCTAACGACTTCGTTTTAACTTGATTATCTCTGTAAAGATCCTCTTTCCAAATAAGGTCACATTCTGAGGTACTGGGGTCTGGACTTCAACATATGAATTTTGGGAGGACACAATCTAACTCATGACAAGTGTCATTTTCTGAACTTCCTGAGAACTCTTACAGAGCCCAATACCTATTCCAATAAAAAAAATACACGTATATTATAACATTTCATAGGTATTTTAAAAACTCATTTAAAAACAATAAAAATCACCCATAATTCACATTTTATCACAATATCAAACGTATTTAGAAAATGAAACAATATGAAAACATAGGTAGTTCTATTTCCGTAGAACATTCTCTTATTGTCATTTAGGGAATGGTTATGGAAGATAGCCAAGATCTTTAACAGCTCTACTGATGTATAATTGGCATATAATACGCTGCACATATTTAACATATACAATTTGATAAGTTTTGATATATGTGTACACCTGTGAAGTTACCACCAGAATCAAGATAATGAACATATCTTTTACCCTCCCACCCAACAAGAGTTCCCTATGATTCTTTGTTGTTTCTCCTCAAGCATTGATCTGCTTTCTATCATTATGCATTAGTTTGCATTTCCTATAACCTTACATACATGGAATTTTAAGCATGTACTCTTTTTTTTTGGTCTGGCTTCCTTCATTCAGCATAATGATATTGCAATTCACCCATGTTGCAGTCTGTATCAATACTTTGTTTCTTCTTATTACATAGTATTCTACTTTTTGGATAGGCTACAGTTTATTTGTTTACCTGTAGTTGAGCATTTAGGTCATTTCCAGATTTAGGTTATCATAATGTACATAGCTAACAGCTATGAACTTTTGTGTACAAGTCTTTGTATAGACATGTTTTCATTTCCCTTGGACAAATTCCTAGGAGCAGAGTTGCTGCATAATATAGTAAGTGTAAGCTTAGCCATTTTAGGAATTGTTGGTGTTTTCCAAGTGGCTGTGCCAATTTATTTCACCACCAGTAGTATATGAGAGTTCGAATTCCTCCATATTTTCATCAACACTTGGTATGGTCAAGTCTAAGTTTTAGCCATTCTAATAGGTATGGAGTAGTAACTTAATAGTGGATTTCATTTACATTTCTTACATGAATAGTTATGTTGAGCATCTTTCCATGTGCCTTTTGATTATTTATTTAGAAGAGTTCATTGTCCTTAGACAAATTAGATATTGAGTTTGTGTCAAAATTTATTAATTTGCTAGTGTCAATGGAACCTGTAAAGTGAAAACAGGAGGGAGAGAGAAAAAGAGAGAGAGAACAAGACAGACAGACTGATAATAAGGGGGTTAAATAGGAAAGATAATAATTGCATAGGTAGCTAATGTTTTTTAATGTAAGAATAGTTTGCAGTTTCATTTCCTACATTTGTAGGTCATTTCATCATGACCCTATCCGTGGTTAGAAAAAAGTCTGCGGTAAGGTGGTCTGAGATGGTAGGCAGCTATCTACCAGTCAAGAAAGAAAAGCCATCTACAAGCAAATGATGAAGGTACATCTGTGGTGCTACTAATTGGAATAACAAAGTTTCATCCCTTGACTGAGGTGCTGATTAGGCCAATCAACGTGAAAAGATCAAATGGGGCCAATGCAGTGATATTTTAAACAGGTTATTGCCTGTAATCATTTTATTCAAGCTCCAAAAGGTGCAGAATACACAGTTCTTCCATTTCTTAGTTTGGGAACTACTTTTTTTTTCTTGATATCACCAAACAGCATGGGTAAGTTTAATTGTTTTACATAATAAAGTGAGGAAATTGAATTTCTGTGGATTTTCTGAGGAAGGAATGGAGAGGAGAATGGTGTTGGAGGTATGCAGGCCACAGAACAACATGGCAAGCTAGCCAAAGGAAATATAAGCACAGACTTCCTCTAATTTTTAAGTTGTTGGAAATGCAAAGTTGTGAATGCCTCTGTCAACTCCAAACCTCAGTAAACTCTGCTATACACACGAAAGCCTTGTATGAGTTCATGTGTGTGTGTGCACGTGTGTGTGTGTGTAAACCAAGGACAAGGAGTTGAATTTGACATCTAGTTTGGTATACAAGGTATACTGAGATTCGTGAGTCCTGCCAGAGCAGAAACCATGAGCCAGAATTGCACATGAGAAGGTAAACCCTGGGAAAGCTGCAGAAATCTTTAGAGAGCATTAGATCTCCTACACTTTGTAGGTAGGAATGTTTCAGCTAATTTTGTTTAAGTCTTCAATGACAGAGTGATATTTTGCTGATATTTGAATGTTATGATTATTATGGCATCATAGGTTTATGTTGGTGTCAATTCTTTATTGTTGTTTGCTTGTTTTTTTTTTTTTTTTATTCTTGCTCTGTCCCCAGGCTGGAGTGCAGTGGCCAGATCATAGCTCACTGCAGCCTCAAACTCCTGGGCTCAAGCAATCCTCCTGCTTCAGCCTCCCAAGTAGCTGGGACTGCAGGCTCCCGCCACCACACCTGGCTAATTTTTAAATTTTTTGTAGAGTCAGGCTCTCACTATGTTACCCAGGCTGGTCTTGAACTCCTGGGCTCAAGCAATCCTTCTGCCTTGACCTCCCAAAATGTTGGGATTACAGGTGTGAGCCACCATGCCTGCCTGGTGTCAATTCTTAATGTAACAAGTGTTTTAAAAGAAAACATTAAAGGCCGGGCGTGGTGGCTCACGCCTGTAATCCCAGCACTTTGGGAGGCCGAGGCGGGCAGATCACGAGGTCAGGAGATCAAGACCATCCTGGCTAACATGGTGAAATCCCGTCTCCACTAAAAAAAAAAAAAATACAAAAATTAGCCGGGTGAGGTGGCGGGTGCCTGTAGTCCCAGCTACTGGGGAGGCTGAGGCAGGAGAATGGCATGAACCCGGGAGGCGGAGCTTGCAATGAGCCGAGATCGCGCCACTGCACTCCAGCCTGGGCGACAGAGCGAGACTCCATCTCTAAAAAGAAAACAAACAAACAAACAAACAAACAAAAACAAAAAAAACATTAAAAAGCACATTAGTGAAAATATGCCTGTTTTGACATGTAAGTGCTGTTGCGACAGTAATAATCATTAGTCAGTCCTTAATTTAATATCCCTGATTTACATGGACTCCTGAAGTTAGGAAGGATATGCTCAACTTCGATGTCACATTTCGCCTGGCATCAGGGAAGAAAATCATGTTCTTTTCCTCCCTTCTCCCTCCTGGGGCATCAGAGGACCCAAGCTTCTGTTTGTCCACTTTGGCTCTCACTGGCGCATTTGGCTGGCAGGCTGGCAGCCGCTGGGTCACCTTCTCCCTTAGCCCCATACTTCTACATCCCTTTCTCCTCATCTGAGGACCAGTATGTTGGCAGACTACCTAACCATCTTTCCTTCCCTTTCTTACCACTCGTTGCTCATTGCAGGATTAAGGAATGGCAATGAGTTAAAGTGACCTTGATCTGGCCACTCAGACTGTATCAAAAGATGAGATTTTTGTGTGATATATACCAGCCTGAGAAATACTTTGTAATGATACGTGTGTCATAATGATACTTTAAAGAAATGACAAAGCAGTAATAGTGCTTTCCAGCATTTTTTGTTGCATATATACAATCTGATTTTATATTTAAAAAAACTATTCCAAGTTTAAAACACTTGATGAGCCTTTGCATCAGAGGCTATGAAAACTTGGAAAACAAGAGCTTTTTCAATATTAAAATTGATAATAAAGAAAAACAATCATTTAAAAAGGAAGGATGAAAGAAATGTCTATTTAAGTCTTTAGCCCATTTAAAAAAATGAGTTATTAGTTTTCTTCCAAGTGAGTCATAGTTCTTTATATATTTTGTAAATTTAACTCCTTATCTGATATATGGTTTGCAAATATTTTCTCCCATTCCATAGGTTGTCTTTTCCCCTGTTGTTTCTTTTGCTATACGGAAGCTTTTCAGTTTGATGTTGTCCTGCTTGCTTATTTTTATGATTGTTGCTTGTGATTTTGGTGTAATATCAATGAAGTCACTTTCCTCAACAAATTAAAAATAGAACAACCATATGATCCAGTAATCTCACTTCTCAGTATTTATCCAAAAGAATAGAAATCAGGATCTTGAAGAGACATTAGCATTCCCATCTTCTTTGCAGCATTATTCATAATAGCCAAGGTGTGGGACCAACGTAAGAGTCCATTGATAGGTTAACGGATTAAAAAATGTGGTATACACATACAATTGAATATTATTCAGCCTTGAAAAAGGGAAGAAAATCCTATAATATGCAACAATATGAATAAACCTTAAGAATGTTATGTCAAGTTACAGAAGGACAAATACTGCGTGATTTCACTTACATGAGATAGCTAAAGTAGTCAGACTTATAGAAGCAGGCAGTAGAATAGTGGTTGCCAGGGGCTGGGAGAAAGGGATCATTAGGAATGGCTAATTGATCTGCATAAAGCCTGGATTATGCAAGACGAATAAATTCCAGAGCTCTACTGTACAACCTTATGCCTATAGTTAACAATGCTATATTGTACACTTAAAAATGTGTTAAAAAGATAACTTTCATGTTGTGTTCTTACCACAGTTTTTAAAAAGGGATGAAAAAAGATTTCTGCTTCTAGCCATGTCTGAGCACCTAGTACCAGATTAGGCCTCTTGCTGAATGAAAACAATAAAATTGTATGAGGCAACAGTTTTAGACATTGGGTAACAGGTAGTAGAAGACTGTGATCACTGAAATAAGAAAAACTCACAAGGTAAGCTCTATATTCATCTAGAATCTCTGTCTGGGGGCAATTTCCAAGCTGTGGCATAGAGAGGTGGAGGCTTTGCCAAGATGAGTGGTCTTGTGGAGCTAAGGAGGCCAAGATCAGAGTTTGGGCTGCCAAGATGCCTGGAATTGGTAGGGCTGGGAATGGGGAAGGAGGCACCTGTGCAAAATGGCGGGTGCAGGTATGTGTTTGTGGGATCTCTGAGTTTTTATCTGAGGATTGGGCTGCACATGCACAGACTGAACCTTTGGGAGTCTTACCAGAGAGCTGCTGCTGTACAGTTGAGTTTGGAACAATATGAGAAATCAAACAGTGCTGAGAGACATTGACTGAGTTCCAGCCAGAGTAGAGTGACCTCATTAATATCCCAGGAATTTATGAAGGCCATGCCTTAGTCATGAGGATTATGTCCTGGAGCAAGGCTTATTCTAGATCACTCTAAAAAAAAGCCTCTAAAACAAAGCCTTGTCAAAATCTACTGGGTAAACAGAGGTTGGAATTAGATTTCTGTGGGCTTAGTAAATATCTTGGGTCTTCCACAGATTTTCCCTAAGGAAGCCCATGCGACTTCAAAGTGATCAACCATGATTAACAGCCGAAGAGCATAACTTAACATTATTTAGAGAATGAGATATTGAAATTCAGAATCTATAAAATGTATCACCAACAATGTCTACTAAACAATAAAAAAAATTAACAGACATGCAAAGAAGAGCAAGAGCTAAGAAAAAAAAGTAGAACAGACGCTGAGATAGCTCAGACATTGGATTTAACAAATGCATACTTTTAAAAAGCTATTATAAATATACCAAGGACTTAAAGAAAATATGGTTTTAAGGAATAATCAGAGAAATGGAAACTATAATGAAGCACTAAAGAAAAATTATAGAATAAAAAGTACAACAGCTGAAATGAAAAATTCATTCAGTAGGCTTAATAGATTAGAGTTGGTAGGAAAAAAGTTCAGTAAATATATTAGTTTTCTATTGCTGCATAGAATTGTTTTGCAACAAATTACCACAAATTTAATGACCTAGAAAAACACCCATTTTATTATCTCACAGTTGCTATAGGCCAGAAGTCCAGGCACAGTTTCACTGGGTTCTCTTCTCATGGCTTCACAAGGCTGCAATCCAGGTGATGTTCTTAGGATAATAGTCACATGATGAGAATCTTTGCTAATGTTGCTTGATAATCCCTATAATTTGGAATTTCTTTTTTTTTTCTTAATTTGGCTCACCCCAGAAAATTCTAACCTTCTTGTAGTTTTTATTAGGAATTACAAATATTGTAATCACCTGATGGGTTCATCTGACCCACTGCACAGATAAAGCCAATTCACTGAGACAGTGGTATTGCAGCAGAGAAACAGTCTGATGATCATAGGGCCAGCCAAGCAGAACAACAGGAGATAATTCTCAAATCTGCCTCCCTGAGAGCCTGGAGGCTAGGGTTTGTAAGTATAATTTGGTGGGCAGGGGGGTAAGGAATGGATGCTCTGGATTGAATGGGAATGAAGTCCATAGGAGTGTCCAAATGGTTTTGGTGTGCTGAGTCAATTTCTGGGTGGGAGTCACCAGTTGAGTCAGTTCCTTCGTATGGGTCCAGGTGGAGTCAGTTGGTTATCAGAATGCGAAAGTCTAAGAAATATCTCAAAGACCAATCAATCTTAGGTTTGACAATAGTGATGTCATCTATAGGAGCAACTGGGGAAGTTACATATCTTGTGACTTCCAGCTTTATGACTCCTGAGCAGTAAGGGATTCTAGAAAAGCAAGCCAGGGAACAATGGCTGGTTATCATGTAACTAATGCCTACATTGTAGCAGAATTTGGGCTCCTCCCATAATCTTAATCTTGTGATCTTTCATTAGTCTTACAAATGTGGTTTCAGTCCCTGAACAAGGAGGGGGTCAGCTTTAGGGAGGTATTATTATCATTCTTGCTTCCAAGTTAAACTATAAACTAAATTCCTCCCATGGTCTGACGGGCCTATGCCCAGGAATGAGCGAGGACAGCCAGCCTATGAGGCTAGAAGCAAGATGGAGTCAGCCATGCTAGACTTCTCTCAGTGTCACAATGTTTGCAAAGGTGGTTTCAATATCCCAGTAATAATTTCTGACCATTGTTGCCTCTGTTAATGCAATGATTAGTAAACACTGCCAGCAACTAGTTAGAGAAATTTTTGTCCACTTTGAGAGACTAAATCTCAAAGAAAATAGTCAAATGAGTCCCTGCTCCAAATAGCAATCTACAATAATATCTTAGAGGCATCATTAATTTAGCCTTTTTTGAAGATAATGACAGGCTTTTTGAGACTGAAGAACCGTAATTATCTCACCATACAACGATGGATAAATATTAGGTACCCAACATGCTGCTTCCCCTACTTGTATCCGGAGTTGGCTGCCCTCCCTTGTTCAGTGGTCATTGTCTGAGTGTACTCAAAGTGTGGTTGGAGGAGCAGCAGCTCTGGCATCATCTGGGGGCTTGTTGGAAATGCAGACTCAGGCCCTACCCCAGATCTACTGCATTTCAACAATAACATCTTCAGGTGATTCATATGCACATTACAGTTTGAGAAGCACTGCTCCAGAATAATAGGAAATGAGGAAATTTGATTCATTTCTGCTCCTAACTCTGCAGTGGGCCACTGTTCACATACCTGCTGGTAACTGTGATAGTCTCCTGTTATAGGAAGCCACAGTCTCCTGTTACAGGAAGCTATTCCTTCCACATCAGTAATAGCTTCATTTAATTTTCCCTGTAGTCCAAATGAAAAGCACAAAAATTTAATCTCTCAAAGGTGGTCCACCTTGTGGAACTCCTCAAATCCTAACCTCCCTCCCCTGTGTTCCAGTTCACAGCTTTCTCTGAGAGAGTCTTCTTAGAAGCCCACCCCTTTTTTTGTAAATCCTGATAGAGGCTGATAATTTGGCTCTAGGTTGCCGCCCCTCCCCATCAACTCCCACCTTGCCATTGTAGGGGAGAAAAGATTTCTCACCCATTGCTAAGTTCATGGCTGAGGCACCTGTAATAAAAGATAGATTAACAGGAGAAAAGCACACAAATTTATTATATGTTTTATGTGACGTGGGAGCCCTCAAGAAATGTGACCCAAAGAAACAGGGAAGTTTCTGTATTTTTATATTAAATTGGATGAAAAGGTGGACAGTTGTGGAGAAATAAGATTGGGGGACAAAAGTGTCAACCTGAAAAAAAAGACACTAGAAAAAATTCTCTCTAAATATGTTGGGAATATTTGGGAATAGAAATAAGGACTATAATCTAGGATGTATGAAGTAAATGGCAAGCCACCAGTGCATTCGGTGACAGAAGGGTAAAGGGGAAGTTTTATTAGGAAAAAGAAATTTAAACAAGCTGCTTGGAAGCAGAGTTTATTAGTTCTAGAGGGTCAAAGCCAGAGTTGTTTTCAGTTCGCTGGTGGAGATGCCATTGCTCGGCAAGTGTTCTTCCGAGTGTGTCTTCCCCGAATTGCTGCAGTCCTAAAGGATGTCTAGTGATGAGCCTTATCAAAGCAAAAGATGCATGAAGGGTTTTTAGAGAGCCCTTGGAAACAGTTCTTCTTCTCAGACACGTAGCATGAGCCTCCGCTCTTTCAGGCCTTCCCAGCCCTGTTTTGTCTAGGTCTGACAAAAGTGCTTTCATCCTGGTATGTGCAACTTTCAAAAGGATCTGACGTAATGGTAATAAACTAGGGAGAACTTAGCAAGGCCTGGTTGTTCAGATTCTTCCGTGTGCCCCAGTGTGACATTCCTTTCTTCCAGGTGTTCGAAATGCTTGTTCCCCAGTGCCATAAAGAAATCCACTTGAACATAAATTTAATTTATTTAGTAAGGCCATTTTTACTTCCTGCAGAAAGGATACACTTGCCAGCAGTTTTGCCACGAGAGTACACCGAACAAAGGAGACAGGGTCATTTAACCTGATGCGTCCACCCTACTGCTGTGTCTGGTTTCCATTGGCTGTAACGGGACCTCACATTCTGTATTTGTCCTGATTGGTTAGCAACTTAGAACTTTTTAAAAGAGGCAAAGGTAGAGGAGAACAAAGGAAGGAGGAAGTAACTTTCGGAATGCTGAAAAAGGTAATAACACTTTTAAAGAAGGAAGAAGAACAGGCTATGGCCTAACACTTGCTTGGACCAGTATAAGCATGCCAGGGCAAATATTTAGGCTAAATTGTGGGAGCTAAGAATATAAAGTACATTGATTTCTTTATTACGGCTAGCAGATATTTAAGAATGTTACCACAGGTTTTTGAATAAATTTTGCTTCTAAGACAAGTTACTATTTATTCCTAATTAGACAGGGAGGGAAGTCTTTGAAGAGGAACTTGTACTTTACTTTTCTTTTTACACAGGTATAGGGCACATGAGGGCCTTATGGCCCACTTCAGAGGAAGGCCAGATAATTATTTCATGGCCTGTCTTTAGGCGGGAAGGGCAGGAGAAGATCACAGTAACCATCTTGCTTCTGCTGTTTCCTCAAAAGCCAAGGTGCCGTATTTTGAGGTGGCATGTCCTGAACCCCATCACCATCTTGAGTAGCTTGTGGGATGTGGTAATCCTCAGCATGAGGTTTCCCAAGTCTAACTTACTCAGTCTTCAGCAGCACCAGTGAGGAATGGAGCTGGGATATTGGAATTTGAGCAGCTCAAACCAAGGGGCCCTTGCAACTCTCAGCTCCAAAGAACGGTCCATTGTCGGCTTTGCCACTTCAAGTCGGCTCCCCTTTGTGGTCTCCATGGCAATGGCAGACACAAACATGTTTCTTCATCCTTTTAGAACTTCCAATAGGTAACTAGTAAATATATCAATTAGACACACACACACATAAACACACAGTACGCTCCCCAGGACAAACGTTGATTCTCACAGCTATGCCAGTATAATACATCCATATACATTTTTCTATCTGCAAAATACTCAGGATGCTTGCTCCAGCCAAAAAAAAGAGTTAAGTAAAGGGTCAACAACGGAGGCACTTGCCTTTGTTCCCTTTGCTTTTTTCAGACTGTGCCTTGAAATATATTAAAGAACAAAGCCCCTAGTAATGCTCATTCCTAAGCCAATCAAAGGCTCTAAAATAAAAAGTTTGTTCTTTCTAGTTTTAGTGTTGTGTTGAATTTTTAGGCAATTTTTCAGGTAAGCTTTCTAAGAGAAAGAGAGCTGGGGTGGGCATCTGTCATTCTCAGGTCCCCAAATGTGTGGGAGAGGGCTGTTTTTCTTCCTGTTACAGAGTAATTTTAAAGAAATGCAGTTGTTTCTGAAACCAGCCTCTAGTTCCATGTCACGAAGACCTTCAGCCACTGTGGTTAAGAAAATGGTTAGTTTGCCTGTGTGGTCTGTTGTCCTCTTTCAGAGTCTGCTTATATTTTCCTGTTTCCCACATTCTTGTTTCCTACCCTCGGCTACACTAATGTATCATTTTCTTGTGTTAGATCTCTTTACTATAGCAACTAACAGTCTATTATCCATAATTCCAAAGTCCAAGAACTCTGAAAATGAAACCCATTTGGTGGCGAAACTGCCCTCTCCTGATCTGATTTGACTGCAAAACTACGCTCGAGCCAGAGAGAGGCTAGTCACGCTCCTTACCCCTTCATATGGGATATTACTAATAATTCGTGGAGGAAGTTTTAATTTGTTTTATATGAGACGTTGCTACACATCCTGCTACGGGTGTTCCACATTAGTTGGGTTTCACAGTATCCTTTCTGAAATGCTGAAAATTCTGAATTCTGAAACACAACTGCTCCAAGGGTTTCAGATGAGAGATTATGGATTTGTATCTGCAGACAGTTCTTAGTCTTGACATCTGGAAATATCAACATTTACTTTAGGAATTGAATCTAAGTTCCTCAGTTTTACCAAGAAGTCTTTGCTTCTCTCCAGTATGCCTTTCTGGTTACCTGCTTCTATAACTGCATGAGGAATGCTGCACGAGCCACAGATCTTCCCCTGCCTGTGCTGAGAACTTTGTGTTTTTGTTTTTGTTTTTTTTCTTTTTTTTTTTTTTTTTGAGATGGAGTTTCGCTCAGTTGTTGCCCAGTCTGGAGTGCAATGGTGCAGTCTTGGCTCACCACAGCCTCCATCTTCTGGGTTCAAGCCATTCTCCTGCCTCAGCCTCCTGAGTAGCTGGGATTACAGGTGTGTGCCACCATGCCCCGGTTAATTTTTGTATTTTTAGTAGAGACGGGGTTTCACCATGTTGTCCAGGCTGGTCTTGAACTCCTGACCTCAGATGATCCGTCTGTCTTGGCCTCCCAAAATGCTGGGATTACGGGCATGAGCCACTGTGTCTGGCCTATTTTTAACTATTAATACATCTTTGTGGGGAAGAGTCACTTCTGTTGGGGTCTGAAGCATAAATAGATTGTCCCCTTACATAACACCTGGATGGATCCCTGTAATACCATTAACTCATTCTCCAGGAGGTAATGGTTTTAATTTGCCAAATGAAGATTTTATTTAAAATATGAATATTGACAATCCTAAGGAAGGAGGACCTTGAAATCTGGTTTGAATGAAAGTATTAGTGCTTCAAATAAAATATTACAGAACTGGGGACTTTGTTTAGCATGGGAATTAATCCATTAAAAAGTTGGTTTTAATGGAGGAAGTGCCAAGCTGAAGCCATGTTGGGTAATACCACATACCCTATTTTCCATATCAACTTAGTTGCTTTGATTACACAAATTGACCATTTGGGGCAGTATATCACATTGTTTTCTATAATTAAAATGTCTGCAATATTGATTAAAAATGCAATGTTAACTCTGTACGTTTTTGTCTGTTTTAAAATACTTTGGAAAAGGAAACTTTAATCCAAATGTCTACTCGATAAATATTATTGAGGCTCTGCTGTATGACAGGCCCTTGTATTGGGGGTCACAAAGGTGAATAAGACACAGTTCCTATTTTTAAGATATTCATAACCTGGTAAGAGGAAGAGGCAAGTTAAAAATTCATACGATTAATACTAAAATTGGGATATGTCTAATGTGTTGCGTAAGATACAAAAACCTAGTCCTATAGGGCAGGGAAGGTACTATAATATCTGTTATTTGACTGTTGCTTCAGCCCCAAGAGTAGCTGAGTCCTGATGTCTCAGAATCAAAATAAGGGTCTGTTTTCCTTATATTTGCATTTTACATTTCTCATTAGGAGACAGTGAAGATCTGGAAAGATCTCTGAGGATTCTAATTCAAGTTTTCCCACTAACTTTCTGACTTACTGCATCTTCTGTCAGTCATAAGGGGAGACTTGTGAAAAAGCATATTCTCTGGTCTCACCCCAGACCAACTGAATCAATTTGGAAAGCAGGATGTGGAATCTCCATTTTATTTTTATTAAATTAAATTAGTTACTTATTATTATTTCAATAGTTTTGCAGGGAACAGGTGATGTTTCATTACATGGATAAGTTTTTTAGTGGTGATCTCTGAGATTTTGGTGCACCCATCACCCAAGCAGTGTACACTGCACCCGCTGTGTAATCTTTTATCTGTCACCCCCTTCCCAGCCTTCCCCCGGAGTCCCCGAAGCCCATTGTGTCATTCTTATGCCTCTGTACCCTCATAGCTTAGCTTCCACTTATAAGTGAGAACTTAGAATAATGGTCTCCAACTCCATCCAGGTTGCTGCAAATGCCATTATTTCATTTCTTTTTATGGCTGAGTAGTTGGGATCTGCATTTTAAACAAGCACCACAAGCTATTAATATGCAGGCTGAAGTTTGAGCAACATTGGACTAGATGGCCTTGTGAGCCCTTTTCTACATCTACAAATTCAAAGCAGTGTCTGGTTTACAGTGGATAGATGGTTATCCAAATTTTCTCTTTGTGTATGATTTTGACCATCTTGCGTTAAGGCACTGTGGAGTTTTTTACAATGGATGAGTCAATATTGATACATCATTATTAACTAAAGTCCATAGTTTACATTAGGGTTCATTCTTGGTGTTGTATATTCTATGAGTTTTGACAAATATATGCTGATATTGTATCTATAATTAAAGTATCATAGAGTAGTTTCTCTGCCCTAAAATTTCACTCTCTTTACTTATTCATCCCTCCTCCCTGACTCCTGGCAACAGCTAATCTTTTGCCCATATAGTTTTGCCTTTTCCAGAATGTTTTATAGACAGTTGGAATGGTACAATATGTAGCATTTTCAGATTGGCTTCTTTCACTTAGCAATGCACATTTAAAATTCATCCATGCCTTTTAGTGGCTTGATGTTCTTTTCTTTTTTTTTGAGACAGAGTTTTGCTCTTGTCGCCCAGGCTGGAGTGCAATGGTGGGATTTTGGCTCACTGCAACCTCCGCCTCCTGCATTCAAGCGATTCTCCTGCCTCAGCCTCCTGAGTAGCTGGGATTACAGGCACGCACCACCACGCCCGGCTAATTTTTTTTGCATTTTTAGTAGAGATGGGTTTCACCATATTGGCCAGGCTGGTCTCGAACTCCTGACCTCACGTGATCTACCCACCTTGGCCTCCCAGAGTGCTGGGATTACAGGCATGAGCCACCGCACCCAGCCTTGATGTTCATTGTTTTTTTTTGTTTGTTTTTGTTTTTGTTTTTAGCATTGAATAATATTCCATTGTGTGGATGTACCACGGTTTATTTATCCATTCACCTACTGAGGGACATTTGGTTGCTTCCAATTTCTGGCAATTATGAATAAAACTGCTATAAACATTTTGTGTGCAGATTTTTTGTGGACATAAGTTTTCAATTCACTTGGATAAATACCAAGGAATGTGATTGCTGGATGATATGGTAAGAGTATGTTTATTTTTTTTCCCTCAACTTTTATGTTAGATTCAGTGGGTACATGTGCAGGTTTGTTACCTGAGTATATTGCATGATGCTGAGGTATGGGGTAGGAATGATCCCATCACCCAGGTACTGAGCAGAATACCCAATAGTTTTTCAAACCTTGCCTATCTCCCTACCTCCCCACTCTAGTAGTTGCCAGTTCCTTTCTTTCTTTTTTTTTTTTTTTGAGATGGAGTCTTGCTCTGTTGCCCAGGCTGGAGTGCAATGGTGCAATCTCGGCTCACTGCAACTTCTGCCTCCCAGGTTCAAGCAATTCTCCTGCCTCAGCCTCCCAAGTAGCTGGGACTACAGGCGTGCACCACCACACCCAGCTAATTTTTGTATTTTTAGTAGAGACAGAGTTTCACCATATTGGCCAGGCTGGTCTCGAACTCCTGACCTTGTGATCCGCTCGCCTTGGCCTCCCAAAGTGCTGGGATTACAGACATGAGCCACCGTGCCCGGCCATAGTTGCCAGTTTCTATTGTTGCCATATTTATGTCCATGAGCACCCAGTGTTTAGCTCTCGCTTATAAGTGAGAACATGTGGTATTTGCTTTTCTGTTCCTGCGTTAATTTGCTTAGGATGGTTGTCTCCAGCTTCCTCCATGTTGCTGCAAAGGACGTAATTTCATTCTTTTTTATGACCGCGTAGTATCCCATGGTGTATATGTACCTCATTTTCTTTATCCAATTCTCAGTTGATAGACATCTAGATCGTTTCCATGTCTTCACTATTGTGAATAGTGCTGCAATGAACATACAAGTGCATGTGTCTTTTTGATAGAAAGTTTTTTTTTAATGTATACCCAGTAATGGGATTGCTGAGTTGAACAGTAGTTCTGTTTTAAATTCTTTAAGAAATCTCCAAACTGCTTTCCACACTGGCTGAACTAATTTACATTCCCACCAACAATGTATTCCCTTTTCTTTAGCCTTGCCAGCATCTGATGTTATTTGACTTTTTAAAAATAGCCATTCTGACTGGTGGGAGATGGTATCTCATTGTGATTTTGATTTGCGTTTCTCTGATGATTAGTGATGTTGAGCATTTTTTGATATGTTTTTTGGCCACTCGTATGTCTTTTTTTGAGAAGTGTATGTTCATGTTTTTTGCTAATTTTTAATGGGGTTATTTGTATGCTTAATTTTGTAAGAAATGGTCTTTCACGTGGCTGGCTGTACCATTTTGCATTCCCACCAGGAATGAATGAGTGTTCCTATTGCTCCACATCTTCACTAGCATATTGTCAGTGTTTTGGATTTGGGCCATTCTAAAGTTATGTAGTAATATTTCATTGCTGTTTTAATTTGAAATTCCTTAATAATTAATATGATTTGAGAATCCTTTCATATGCCCATTTGCCATGTGTATGTCTTCTTTGGTGACTTGTCTATTTAGATTTTTAAAAATTGTTTTGCTGGTTTCCTTATTGGTGAGTTTTTAGAGTTCTTTGTATATTTTTGATAACAGTCCTTTTCTATGTGTTTTGCAAAGATTTGCTCCTAGTTTGTGTCTTTTTTTAAAATTCCTTAAACAGTGATGTTTTGCACAGAAGTTTCTAATTTTAATGATGTACATCTTACCCATTTTTTCTTTTATGCTTTTGGTGTGGTAGCTAAGAATTCAGGCCAAATCCAAGGTCACCTAGATTTTCTCCAACGTGATCTTCGGTTTTATAGTTTGCATCATATATTCTATTCCATTTTGAGTAAGTTCTGTGAGAGGCATAAGGTCTATGTCTAGATTCATTTTTTTTCTCTTTTTGTATGTGGATGTCCAGACGTTTCAACATCATTTGTTGAAAAGACCATCCTTTTTCCATTGAATTGTATTTGCTCCTTTATCAAAGATCAGTTGACTATATTTGTCTGAGTCTATTTCTAGCCTCTCTTTTCCATTCCATTGATCTATTCGTCTATTCTTCTGCCAATACTTCAATGTCTTAGAACATTCTTTTAATCAGAGAATCTTTCTCCACTTTTTTTCCAAAATTTGTCCCCTTCTGATTTCCAATAATTTCTTAAACTCCCTAGCAGCACCTCACAAAATCCCTCAACTCAGTTTCCCCCTTCCCCTTTCTTCTCTTTGTCTGTATTCATTACTAGCCAAACAGCTTAATTTGTTAGGACTTTTCACTCTGGAAGAATATGTTTGATGCTATCAATGCCTAGATTTACTATAACACAAATATCTTGAAATCCGAATCTATGTTTACTAGATTCACTATAATACAAATATCTTGAAATCCGAATCTATGTTTACTAGATTCAGATATTTGGTGAATTTGCTTGGCTGATGAGTGGAATTACATTATGAATGAAAATCTCTAACTCAGAATACCTTTTAAGCATGTCTTATGTATGTTTTTACTCTTCACAGTACCTGTGTATAGATAATTGATGAAGAAAGGAAGGAAGGAAGAAGGAAGGAAAAAGGGGAAAGCAAAGTAACAAAGAAATAAATGAATAGATAAACTAGCAACTACACAGGAAGAAAGGGATCCTCAAAAGAGGGTCAAATGCAGCCCTGTGCTGTTCAAGCAAAGACAAGGTGGTAGGCAGGAATAAGCAATTCAGAAACAATGTAACTATTGCAGAAAGGGACCACACCAGGAGACTCAGACTGGATGTAGTCAGGTTAAAGCTGAGTCCTTCCAAACCTGAAGGAAGTCAACCTATGATAGCTTGAAATGGGAGCTTCTTGTGGTGGTTTTAACATATGTCCACCAATTTATCGACATGTGTTAAAAATCCTCTCCTCAATAGGCTTTTCCTCTTTCCTTGAATATGAGCTGGATTTATTTACTTGCTTCTAACAAATGAAATGTGGTGGAAATGTACATGGATGATTTCCAAGGCAAAGTCATAAAAGACATTGTCACTCCTACCTTCACTCTTGTATCGCTCAGTCTGAGGAAGTCAGCCAGCAGCCTGCAAGACAACCTAAGCAGCCCCTTGAAGAGGCCCTGTGGGGAAGAACTAAGGCCTTCTGCCAAAAGCCACCTCTGACTTGCTGGCTAAGTCAGAGAAAAAGCATACATCTTTCTTTAACATGTGTATACATGAGCCTTCAGAATGAAGACCCAAAGGTACAGGAGACATTGTCCATTTTTATGCTTAGGTTCAACAAAATGTAGACATCCATATGGGAATATGATTGGACACAAAGGGTTTGATCTAAGGTTAATAGACTGAGTGGGGAAAGCCCACAAGGCCTGCCCGTCTAGATTCTTCTTGGCCTCTCTGAGCAGCATTCCTTCCTCCTGGGTGTGGGGCAGGGCCCTCTCTGGAATGGAGATCTTAAGGACCTACAGTCAAAAAACTTAGGTCAGGTAATTTCCCTAGGACCAGTTTTTACATGGAAAGATGGAGGGAAAGTTAGAGTGATATTTTCAGGCTTTATGGCTGACTTTGACCAAAAGGGGCTCTGGTTTCTATTACCCACCTTGGGGAAGAGGAATTCTAGTTTCTATGGCTAGCCTCGGGAGAGGATGGGACTGAGAGACAGGAGGGGAGGAGAAGAACAAAGAAAAATTTTTGCTTCTGAGGTTGCATCTAAGTCCTTTATTTTGGGGTACTATTTTCTGAGCCCCAGCATAGCAATAGACAGCTAGTATGCTAATCCAGGGCTTTATCTGTATCACTGTGCTGTGCTGCCTTTGGTGTGAATCATAAATGCCCCCAATGCTACTGAGAAATTGATGGATGACAGAGGATAAGGAAGAGTGTCTGAGGGAGAGGATGCTATGCTTCCTCCGCAGCACATGTGGTCTCATCCACCTGCTTCCTTTGTATATCACTGTTTTTCTTGGTTCTTTTGATTTATCTCTCCATTCCTTTCTTTTCTTATTCTGTGTCATTAGCGGACACCATCAGTTACCTCCTCATCTGCCACTCCTGTTTCCTCTTAACAGGACACCAATTTTGTCTGGAGTGCCATATGCCCTGGCTGGTCTCAGCTAATGTGGTAATTCTATTCTCCTTGCCAGTGACTGATCTAGGGGTGGGCATGCAACAGAGAAAATGTAAGAGGAGGTCTTCTAGAAATGTCTTCCTCTCATCTAAAAGAAGAACATGTTACAAAGAGAAATCTATTTTCCTTTCAAGTTTGAACAGTGTCATCAGAGGACATTATACTTGATTTTCTGCAGCTGTCACGTTGCATGGGGGAAGGCCCAAGAAATGGCAGGGATGTGGAGTCAGAGCTCTGACATTGCTAAGACTGTGTGACCTCTGGGGTAGCCCTCCTCTTGACTTCTTGGTGAGTGAGACACCAATATTTTTATTGTTATACCACTTTCGCAGGTATTCTATTACTTGCTGTCAAAAACATTCTAATGGATATATTTTTTCTTCCTTTCCTTGCTTTTTCTTCTCCTGTTAGGAATATCAAGAAGGCTCCAAAGTTGTTGTTGTTTTTTTTCTGATTAAGGGCATTTTGGGATAAAATGACTTTTGACTTGTGGTCAAGAAAAAGTGAAAGTAGGCCGGGCGCGGTGGCTCACGCCTGTAATCCCAGCACTTTGGGAGGCCAAGGTGGGCGGATCACCAGGTCAGGAGATTGAGATCATCCTGGCTAACACAGTGAAACCCCGTCTCTACTAAAAATACAAAAAAAAAAAAAAAAATGCCGGGCATGGTGGTGGGCATCTGTAGTCCCAGCTACTCGGGAGGCTGAGGCAGGAGAATGGCATGAAGCCGGGAGGCAGAGTTTGCAGTGAGCCGAGATCATGCCACTGCACTCCAGCCTGGGTGACAGAGCAAGACTCTGTCTCAAAAAAAAAAAAAAAAATAAGAAAAAACAAAAAGTGAAAGTACATTGTTATCTTGCACAGTAAGAAATACAGAGGCGTGTTATTATAGGTGTTGGATTTCCTATAGTCCTGCTTTACAAAATTGAGGTTAAGTAACTTGCCCAAGGTCACACAGTTGGTCAGTGTGGATTTGAATCCAGGGGTCAAATTCCAGACTCTTTGATGCTAACCTCTATACATTACTGCCTTTTGTCTGAGCTCACTTAGCTTGGATGGGCTGATGCTTTTTCTTTAGATGTGGGCTTGATATTCAGGTATGGGCAATTGATATATTTCATTCCTCTGGCCATATGGACTGGTTCATTGTTGGACATGTGACTCCAGTTAGGTCAATGAGTTTTCACCCTAAGCCTTTTCTGGAACTATATGTAAAGTGAATCTATATCAAATAACATTGCCCAACTAACAGTTTGTACACATGGAGCTGTTTCCAACCATCACTGTACCACAGAAAGAGCCAATCCGCAAAAATATAATCAAAAGAGACAAATGGCTCGTGCTGACGTTATATGACCCTGCATGCAGCCTAGCCCAATCCCTACTGACTTTTCAGTTATGGGAGACAACGCATTCCTTCTTTTTGCTCAAGCCAGTTTGAGTGGCATTTTTGTCACTGAAAGACTTCCTAGGGGCTGAACTGTGTCTCCTTAATTCATATGTTGAAGTCTTAACAGTACCTACTACAGTAGCTCAAAATGCGACTGTATTTCCATAGGATCTTTAAAGAGATAAAGTTAAAACAAGCTCATCAGGGTAGGCCCTAATCCACTATAACTGGTGTCCTTATAAAAGGAGATTAGGACACCGACACACACAGAATGGGAGTTGGCCATGTGAGGATGAAGCAATGAGGTGGCCATCTGCAAGCAAAGGAGTGAGGCCCTGGGAGAAACCCACCCTGCCAACACGGTTGTCTTGGACTTCCAGCCTCCAGAATTGTGAGGAAATCAGTCTCTTTTGTTTAAGCCACCCAGTCTATGGTACTTTGTTATGACAGCCTGAACAAATTAATACAAGACTCTGAACACTTTCTAAATTCGTATCTGGAGGTGAGAGAGTACATGTTGCAGATTGTCAAATAGAGACGTGGCTCAGTCAAGATGGGATAGGGGCAGTGAGGACCTCTCGATTTTGGGCAGGAAGCTGGCAATTTTGTTGTGCAGTAATAGCAAGGCAGTGGTGAAACTATTCTATTTTCTCTTGGTGCTCTGACCATGAGCCTACTGAAGTTGAAAGTTAAAGAGAGATGGTAGAAAAATGTCAGGCTGATGGAATAAGATGAATTTATTTTGTAGCCTTCGGTTAGGTCCTACCAGAAAAACAAGTTTTGTTAGAAATGGGCAATCTGAAAGCAGCAAGGGAAGAAAAGACAGCTTTGCTACAGGAGGCCCTTTCTTCCTACAGCCATCAACTTAGAAACTTAGATGTCCCTGGCTGGGCGTGGTGCCTCAAACCTGTAATCCCAGCACTTTGGGAGGCTGAGGCTGGGGGATTACCTGAGGCCAGGTCAGTGTGGCCAGCATGGTGAAACCCCATCTCTACTAAAAACACAGAAATTAGCCAAGTGTCTTGGCATGTGCCTGTAGTCCCAGCTACTTGGGAGGCTGAGGCAGGAGAATCGCTTGAACCTGGGAGGTGGAGGTTGCAGTGAGCCAAGATGGTGCCACTGCATTCTAGCCTGAGCAACAGAATGAAACTCTGTCTCAAAAAAATTAAATAAATAAAATAATAGAAAGTTAGATTAGACGTCTCTGAGCTTCGCTGAATTGAAAAGTGGGGTTCTCTGTCATCAACTAATATTACTTCTCACAAAGCCTAGGGTGTGGAAAACATATCAGAAGATAAGATAGGAGTCAGAGAGAAGCTTCATTCCTGTTCTTTTAGGCTTCTCCCAAACATCTTGCAGACATTTAGCAGCCTGAGAAGGGTGACAATGGTCTCCATTGTAAAGAGTCACCCATCAGACATAACCAAGGGGCAAGGGCCAAGTTATCTGTGCTTTGAGGGTGCTGGTTCTGCCCTGGGGCAGCCAGCATGGACAACACTAGGTTGAGGACTAGGTGGGATAGCAGAGCATTAGGGCCTGTGCTGAGACAAAAATCCCGCAATAAAGGGTCTGGAATCTAGGACTGTGACCAAACATATTTGACTTGGGCCATCGGTCAGTAGAGTTGCCTAATTTTTTTTTTTTCTCTTTTTTGAGATGGAGTTTCGCTCTTGTTGCCCAGGCTGGAGTGCAATGGTGTGATCTCAGCTCACTGCAACGTCCGCCTCCTGGGTTCAAGTGAATCTCTTGCTTCAGCCTCCCAAGTTGCTGGGATTACAGGTGTGCACCACCATACCCGTCTAATTTTGTATTTTCAGTAGAGACAGGGTTTCACCATGTTGGCCAGGCTGGTCTTGAACTCCTGACCTCAGGTGATCCCCCACCCCAGCCACCTAAAGTGCTGGGATTACAGGTGTGAGCCACCGCGCCTGCCTGAGTTGCCTGATTTCAAACTGTATAGTTACATTGCCCAAGAAACTGCAAGCTTGGACCAAAAAAAGGTGGCAATGGCTCAACTTCCAAAGCAATTTTCCAGCTCCTCTCATCTGCACCAATGGCAGTGGGCTGTGTGGCTTCAGAGGGGAACACCTCCTAATACCTTTCTAGGTCCCAGTGGTTTGGGTGGTGGGCGGGATGGGAGGTTTACCTCCTTCTGCCCCATTTACCTGACAAGTGCAGGATGAGGCAAGTGACTCAGGTTTGATTAGTATCATTTTCCATCCCCCTGATCCCAGTGATTGGTTCAGACCAACTAACTGCAATGAGACTCAATCCTAGGGTTGTTTTGCAGGAACTGTTGGGAAAGTGAAGCACTTCATCCTTCAGTTGCTAAATTAGCAGAATAAGCTTCAGGTAGGATGTTACTCTGTAGAAAGAGCTGACTGAAAATGAAGTTAAAACTGAGGAATGTATAGCTGGGCAATATATACGTGGAGAGGGATGTTAAGTACTTGTGATGGTGGTTGAACCTCTAGGATCCAGCAATGCCTAAAGTGATTGCTACTTCTGGATTTCTCAACTTTTTCATTACACGAACTAATACATTTCTCCCCCCACTTCACTTTTTATTGTTATTTTCTCACTGAAACTGCCTTTCTTTCCTCTCTTGCAAAGGAATTCACTTGCCTCATCTGGCACTTGGGTGCTGAGGACAGAAGGAGGTAAGTACCCCCCAAAATCAGCAGGATCCAGAAGGGTATTCGGAAATGTTCTCCTCTGTGGCCACATGGCCCACTCCTACTGGTGCAAATGAGAGAAGCTGGAAAATTGCCTTAAATGTTGCCCAGATGCCACCTTTTTAAATCCTTTCCTGATTTCTTACCTCCTTCTCATCTTCCTTCTTCCTTCTCCTTTCCTTACCCCCTAGATTTGCTTGCTTCAGTTGGAATGGTATTTTTGGCTCTTATAACCAAGACCCATGAGTAATACAGAACTCATCAACACTCTTTACACTCTTAAGCAGTTGGAGACCTAACCAGATGCCTGGACACTGGGGACACAAACTGGAATAAAGTTCAATGAGAAGTGGACTGTGTCTTCAAGAAGCCCTCAGCATTGTGAATCGTGGACATTGTACAGTGTGACACGTGCCACACTCACAGTGTGTATAGGGTGTGTTGTGGAGAAGGGGTCCTCATTTGGACTAAGGAGTTAGCGAAGGCTTCCAGAAGCTGAGTAGGAACTAGAAGTAAGGACATTTCAGGCAGAGGCAATAACCGAATAAAGACAAAGGAGTGTCAGATGGCACATTATTCTTCATTCTGGAGACCCCGAGTAGTTTGATATGGCGGGGACGGAAGGTGCCTTTAGAAATGTGAAGGCAGATGGCGCCAAGGGTAGGAAAACGTCAGACCATGGGGGACCTTTGTCCTTCAGGTGTAAAATCATTTAAAGATTTAAGTGAGGGAAAACGTGCTCACGTTTGTTACTAAGATGACTGCTTTGGCTGCAGTGTGGAGGATGGATTGAAAAAAAGCAATTGTTATCTTACCATAGGATCATGAGAATCTCTCTTCAATAAATGCGAGAAAGGGCAGTCTGTTTTTCATGATATACTGATTGCCAGCATCTTGACAGAAGGGCTATGGCAAAACCGAGAAAACACTATCAATATTAGGCAAAAAAGCAAAACAAAACAAAAGAAAGGAAAACAAAGATCTCTCTAGCCCCAACAGTGCTAATTTTTGCATACCCAGCAATTACATTTCTAATGAAAGTCATTGCTGCCAAAATCAATCAGTATAAATGTTGGAGACTCCCTTCTCTTTCCGTGAAAAGCTTTTACTATTTCGTTTCACTAAAGCTTAAAGAGAACTTCGGGTTTATGGTTCATTCTAGAGCGATCCACCATAGGCGTGCTTTAAGATGATGGTCAGGGAAACTGTCATTTAATCTCAAGGAAGCTGTCATTTGATTCTATTCAAAAACTAGGCAGTACACATCAGCAGGCAATGTAGTCTGATGCTGTGACCTACTTTGTTGGCTGAAGCCTTCCACTGTTCCTGGAAGGGAAGTTATTTTTGTTTCCTTTCATCTCTCATTCACATACATGGAATATACACATTGGTTACTCTAGAAAACACATGGGTAGTCCTAGAGCAAAATGGGTTTCAAGGTTATTTAATTTATGCCTCTTAAAACCTCAGACACTTTCCTCCCAGTAAAATTTCATGTGGTATACAGAACTTTTTTTAAAAAAAAAATTCATCTTCTCCTTACTTCTCCTTACCACCTACTTTTTTCTTTCTTTTCTTTTTTCTTTTTTTGGGTAGAGACAGGGGTCTTGCTATGTTGCCCAGGCTGGTCTCAAATTCCTAGCCTCAAGCGATCCTCCCGTTTTGGCCTCCCAAGGTGCTGGGATTACAGGTGTGAACCACTGCACCTGGCCTACTTTTTTCCCTTTCAAGAAAATACAGTACTCCAAGGCCTGAGTGACTATGAAATTTCAACTTTTGTGCCTTTGTACTCTTAGATACCATGTTTGTTTTGTTCTTCTGCAAGATTACACTAAAATCCACTTTTCTTGTATGTATACACTATTTAAAAAGTTTCACAGTCTCTTAGGGAAGCCACTGGCAACACATCTTCACAGTGTCCGTGGAGAAGGTTATGTGATTTAAGAAACACTTGTGTCTATACCATTTAATATTTAGGAATTTGTTGATTTTTTAGGATCTTTGGATGAATGAGTTTTTAATTTTATCCAGCTTATTTAGAAGAAATTGCCATGCTTGCTTTAAAAGGGTTTCTTCTCGGATCCCAGCGGCGCCCAGAGCGTCACGCTGCGCCCCCGCCCCGGGGTCGGTCATGGTCTGCGCCTGCGCAGGTCCCGGCTTGCTCGCAGTCCTGCGGGGCGCCGGCGGCGATGGGTTGGGGAAATGGACGCCTGGAGAACGGAAATCCAGTTATCAAAATGGACTCGGGAAGAGAGAACCTAACAGAACAATAACAATGGAAGAAATTGGGAACATTATCACAAAGCTATCATCCTGCCAAACTCCAGGCTCAGATGATGTCACAGGTTAAAAAATGCCCTTCATGAGAAAGATCTTAAGCAACATGATAGATTCAGAAGCTCATGAAAAGAGGCCACCAATACTTACATCTTCAAAACAAGATATATCACCTCATATTACAAATGTTGGTGAAATGAAGCATTACTTGTGTGGCTGCTGTGCAGCCTTCAACAACGTCGCAATCACATATCCCATTCAGAAGGTCCTCTTTCGGCAACAGCTGTATGGCATCAAAACCCGGGATGCAGTACTTCAGTTGAGAAGGGATGGATTTCGAAATTTGTATCGTGGAATCCTTCCCCCATTGATGCAGAAGACAACTACGCTTGCACTTATGTTTGGTCTGTATGAGGATTTATCCTGCCTTCTCCGGAAGCATGTCCGTGCTCCAGAGTTTGCAACCCATGGCGTGGCGGCAGTGCTTGCAGGGACAGCAGAAGCAATTTTCACTCCACTGGAAAGAGTTCAGACATTGCTTCAAAACCACAAGCATCATGACAAATTTACCAACACTTATCAGGCTTTCAAGGCACTGAAATGTCATGGAATTGGAGAGTATTATCGAGGCTTGGTGCCCATTCTTTTCCGGAATGGACTCAGCAATGTCTTGTTTTTCGGCCTTCGAGGTCCCATTAAGGAGCATCTGCCTACCGCAACGACTCACAGTGCTCATTTGGTCAATGATTTTATCGGTGGAGGTCTATTGGGTGCCATGTTGGGATTCTTGTGTTTTCCAATTAATGTTGTAAAAACTCGCCTACAGTCTCAGATTGGTGGGGAATTTCAGTCTTTCCCCAAGGTTTTCCAAAAAATCTGGCTGGAACGGGACAGAAAACTGATAAATCTTTTCAGAGGTGCCCATCTGAATTACCATCGGTCCCTCATCTCTTGGGGCATAATCAATGCAACTTATGAGTTCTTGTTAAAATTTATATGAAAAAAAACCATCAGTTAAGTGCCATTTATCAACTGAATAGACCTTCTAAGAAGAATGCAGTTTGGCCTCTTTCTTAATTGGCCAAATACAAGTTCGTGTCATAACTCCAGGCCACAGTGAGTTACGGGCAAAGCTGTTTTCCTTAAGCATCAACAAAACAGAATAAAAGGTTCCAATAGGAAAATGTAAGGGTTTTTTTTTGTTTTGTTTTCTTTTTCTTTCTTTCTTTTTTTTTTTTTTTTATCATTACCTAAGAGCTTTAGGCTAATTGCCTGGTAAATAGCTGTCCATCTGATGGCCTTTGACAGGGAACCTAATCCCCAAGATAAGATTCTTTTTCTCAAACCAGTCTTGAAATCTCCTGCATTAAAACATAAGTTGCTATGACCGGCCAGAGAGAAGGTCCTCAGGGGCCAGGGGCTCCTCAGGCTTCCTTTGTTACTCCATTGCTTTCTTCTGTGCCCTCAGGAGCAGCTGCAGAGGATAGTCTTCATTAAGCTCAAGCATATGACAAAGGGGCAGAACAGAGAAGAAAAACAGCTTGTTATGTAGAGGCTTTTCATGATACATTGCTTGTATTAGTTTTGAAACTAATCACCTATTGGATAGTCATTATACTATTTCTATTTAGATATGGTAGATCAAGGAGCTATGAAAGTTCCCGTTTTGCTTTCTAGGTTTGAAAGTTTTCTGTTTGATTCTGACTGTGACCCTCAACCCTTCCAAAATATTCTTATGTTAATTTCACTTATTTCATTGCTGAAAGATGAAGGGACTTAAATTTTGTTATAGGTGTTCCATCCTGTTAAGAAGTTTTCATATTGTGTATAGATCAAATTCTGTTTAGCTTGGTTTCTTTGACTTATTGATGCCATCTCAGCAAAGGTCTGTGGTTATTTTTCCCGTGGAGTAGGAGTTGGTCATATTCAAGCATCCTGTTCTCTTAAAACTCTCCTTTTAAAAAATAAACACTTCCATAACATTTTGTTTTGTAAGTCTATTAATGCAATCCCACTTTTTTCCCCCTAGTTTCTAAATATTACAGAGTGGGGCGGGGGGCGGGAAAGGCTCAGGATAGTTTTCACCCCATAGTATTCGCTGTCTTTTATTTTACTCTTGGAAATAGAGACTCCATTAGGGTTTTGACATTTTGGGAACCCAGTTTTACCATTGTGTCAGTAAAACAATAAGATAGTTTGAGAGCGTATGATCTAAATAAAGGCATTTGAAGGGTTAGTTTGAACTCTAAAAGTAGGTAATAGCCAAATAGCATTCTCATCCCTTAACAGACGAAAACTTCTTTGTCAAAGGTATTAGAAAATGTGAAAATATTTTTTCCAGATGAAACTCATGCCACTTCCAATTGACTAATGAAATATAAGAGACAGACTGAAAAAGTGGATTGTGAATCTTAAAACCCTTTCTGTAAATATCATGTAGCTAAAGATTGATTTCCAGCATCTGACATGATGGTAGGTTTCTTGTTAACCAGTTTTTCTTCTTTCTGGGTAATTGCATGTGAATATGTGCACATACTGACCAAAATACAGGCCTCAACTTGGTAGTTTACTGAAAGTTTCTGGGCAAATAGTCCATAAAAGCTGTTTACCTCTAAATGCACTATGGCTGGTTAAATACAGTGAACATCCTTCTTCCAGCTGTAAAGGATGAAACTTATTAAGCATTAGCCAGACGGTAATAAAGCTAAATAGCCATATAGCAGCTCTGTCTGACAATGTTGTGCTGGATATTGCAGTTTACTTTCAAGGTGCAGATGTAAGGATTAAAAAAAAAATAATTTGGCACCAAATAAATATGAGTAGCATCCTTTGGCCTATTAAATAGAGTCAGGATTTGAAGGGAATTGAGTTTGAGAAACGAATAAATAAAGGCACCTTGGTGCCTGACACCCTCATTCATGTGTGTGACTTTGAGCACTCACAGGCGTGTCCAGCTACTCAGCCCAGGGCAGGTGGGTTAGCCTGGGGTTATACCTTGGCCCTGGGAATAGACACCATTGGGCCTTTGGTTTTGTTGGGCTTCCTTTTGTCTTTACACTCCATACAGGTGGTAGAAATTTGAGTTCTAAAGCACTTTTGTGAAATACAAGCTAAGTGAGAATTCTAAGGAAAACGCTTTGGTTTCTGCTGTCTCAAATAAGTGGCATTTAAAAACAATTATTAATAAATATTTTTAATGGTTTTAACTCAGCATTTTTTTTATTTCTCTGTTACTCTTTACAGCTTTTGAAGACCAAACTGCAAATACATTACCAGGGATGATTTTGTGTTGTCCTATAGACTTCTTAAATTTGACAAAAAGTTTAGCAGAACTTGTAACCAACAGCTTTGTCTGAACTTGAAGTCAAAATGTGTTGTTAATAAGAGATTCTAATTATTGCTTTTACCTTCAGTGTGAACTAGTGTGGTAATAACCTTGAAAAGGCAGGCCAGGCACGGTGGCTCATGCCTGTAATCCCAGCACTTTAGGAGGCTGAGGCGGGCGGATCACTTGAGGTCAGGAGTTTGAGACCAGCCTGGTCAGGACAGTGAAACCCCATCTCTACTAAAAATACAAAAAAGTAGCCAGGTATGGTGGCACACGCCTGTGATCCCAGCTACTCGGGAGGCTGAGGCAGGAGAATCTCTTGAACCTGGGAGGCGGAGGTTACAATGAGCTGAGATTGCACCACTGCACTCCAGCCTGGGCAACAGAGAGACTCTGTCTCAAAATAAATAAATAAATAAAATAAAAAATAAAAATAAAGAAATTGAAAAGGCAAACATGATTGAATATCTGAAAAGCTTTAAAAGTGGCCTTTCTGTTACGTATGTGGCACAAATGGCTCATGAGTGCAGGACACTTATGGTCTTGTGTCTTATACTTCATGTGTGATGCCACCAGAAATGTTATGGATTCTGTACTGAACACACTGAGAGTGGTATGAGCCCTCAGGACTTCACCACAGAGTAAACACAACCTTGATATGGTGGCGAATGTGTGTGTCTTTCTTGTTTCATTAGTGGTTGAGGAGAAAATTGATGTTTGTGTCTGAATAGTCGATATTCATCTTAAGATGGTTGGCTGTATAAATCACCAGCTATATTGTGAACTGTGCAATAAAACAATCGTTCGTATATATAATTACCTTTGGATACCTGAAATTCCCAAGCTCAGTTGCAATGTAATACTCAGTATAAGGCTGTGCAAACATGTAAGGGAATAGTGGTGGTCGATGGGATATATGAAATGGGATATAGAGGGCTTCGAGTGAAGCCAATCATGTTGAACTAACACTGGTTCAGTGTAGGTGAAATAGAGTGAGGGGTATGCAGTTATGAAATGAAGGGTGGACAGGAGATTACATTTGAAGAAATATTAAAATATTTCTTTTCTCATGTGCAAATGCATATCAAAGACTTGAACAGGCAATCTCTTGAAATTTGAGGATTTTTAGTTTTTAATGCTGTATTTGCTTAATATTAAATATGTGTTGCCTAATGGCTCCCAAATTGTGCGGGAGTCTCTAAGTGTTTCCTCTTAAATGTTCATTATTGAAAGTGGTTAAGTGCATAATGCTATTTTTGTTTGATAGTTTGAGTTTTATGACCATATGAGTTTAAATGAAATCTGTTAAATATTTCAGAGTTAACACTTTTTTTTGATAATTTGTAATAAAGTTTGTTTTTAAGCCCCCCCCAAAATAATAAATAAATAAATAAATAAATAAATAAATAAAAGGGTTTCTTCTCACACATCAGGCAGTTGTGGGATGGGAGTTTATTCAGACTACTTTTACATTTTGGTTTGATGCGTAGGATTGTGGGTTCACGTGAGCCTTAGTTAACCTTCTGTCAGTATAGTGCTATCTGACATTCTGCGTTAAGGAAATTTTTTTCTCCCATCAGAATCTGTAGCTAATGGTGGTAAACTTCACCCATGTATTTCTATAATAACACACCAGATAACACACTGGATTTGTGGTCTATAGTAACCAGCAGTATAGACCACAAATAATGAAGAATATAAGCTTTAGAATGAGATATACCTGGCCAGGCGCGGTGGCTCATGCCTGTAATCCTAGCACATTGGGAGGCCGAGGCAGACGGATCACGAGGTCAGGAGTTCGAGATCAGCCTGGCCAACATGGTGAAACCCCGTCTCTACTTAAAGTACAAAAATTAGCTGGGTATGGTGGCATGTGCCTGTAATCCCAGATACTCGGGAGGCTGAGGCACAGGAATCGCTTGAACCCAGGAGGTGGAGGTTGCAGTGAGCCGAGATCACACCACTGCACTCCAGCCTGGCGACAGAATGAGACTCCATCTCAAAAAAAAAAAATAAATTAATTAGAAGAATGAGATATACCTGTGTTCAAACTCTAACTCTGTTACTGACAAGTTATATGTCATTAGGCAAGTGACTCTTGGGTTTTTCTTTCACCTGAAAAATAACATATTTACTGCAAATGGTTGCTTTTAATTATCAATAAAATAAAATGCCAAGTAAGCCACTTAATATGGCATCTACAGATGGGCTTTCAAGACACAAAACTATTATCATTGTTCTCTTTTCCTTTTTATTTCACCTTTCACATTTCTCCCAATATCTTTTTGGTGTGGAAATAGCTTCCACTTGACATTTACAATGTTGATTCTATTTTAATCTTTGGCTACTCTTTCCTTTCAAACATATAATTCTTCCTTTCTGATTTTGACCTGTTATTTTGGTTTTTCTCTAATGTTTTCACTGCCTGGATATAATAACTTTACTTTATTTTGCCCATTTTATTTCCCCTACTGTTTGAGGTCTCTTTTCTTCTTGACTGGTTATACTGATAACTATGATCAAAGTTTCTAACTTTAGACATCAAATTTCATCTCAGGGTAATCTTAGAATCAGCCAGTTGACATGTTATTTATTGAAGAATGACTTGGAATGTACAGGCAACCTTTCCTGTTTTTAAAGAACAACCTAAATGTCCCAGTTCCCCTGGAAGCCAATTTCTGAACGGTTACACATCTAAAAGAAGCACAAACTGGACTTTCATGCAAGTTTTTACCAAACAGTTCTTGAGGATTTGGAAGCAGGGAATTAATATTGCACAATGCACATACACCCACAAAAACTTCCTAATACTCATATTTAGATAACTCTCCCTCTCCCCACAGTTCCAGTCTTCACAGATGCTCTCATGTCCAGTCTCTTTCCTGTCTTATTGTCTCTTTTGTACATTCTCCTTTATACCACCAAACTAGTTCTCCTCTTCTCTCCCCAGTACTCACTTTGCCAAGCTCTTCCTACTTTCTCCAGTTTCCATATTTCTTATTTGAGTATCTCCACGCTTGCTCTTATGTGGAACAATTCAGCCATTCTTAGATTCTCCATGTCTTCTCTTCACCTTGTATACTCATTAATTCTAACAAGGGCAAATACCTTACAAGTATGTCGATTCTTATAAAAGACTATAGGCCACTGCTATGGTTTGAATATGTTCCCCCCAAATTTATGTGTTGTAAACTTAATCCTCATTGTAACAGTATTAAGAGGTAGAAACACCAGGAGGTAATTAGAATTAGATAAGGCCATCAGGAAGAAGCATCCATGATGGGGCTGGTGGCTTTATAAGAAGAGGAAGAGAGACCTGAGCTGGCACACTCTTACTTCCTCACCATATGATGGCCTGTGCCACCTTGGGACTCTGCAGAGAGTTGCCATCAGCATGAAGGCCCTCACCAGATGCAACCCCTGAACCCTGGCCTTCCCAGCCTCCAGAACTGTAAGAAATAAATATCTCTTCTTTATAGTTTACCCAGTCTGTGGAATTCTGTTATAGCAAGAAAAAATGGACTAAGAAAACTACCCATGTGAACATGACTTTTTTTGTTCCCGACAACACCTATTCAGAAAATATAAGGTTGCACACCAATAAGTACTTTTACTCTGTGCTTCAGGAAATGCCAAGACCAATTAATTGGAGACAATACATTGAATTCCAAAATTCACAGACCAATTTATTGGAGACAATACGTTGCTTATCTGGGCAAACCCTTGCTTTTTAGCCACAGTTTACCTATTCAAGACCCTTGCTTTGCCGTGACTGCCAACTTAAACTACTATGTAAAACATATATTTACATATAAACATTTTTATGTATCATTAAATATGTAATTGTATGTATAATATATAAACAATTTTTATATATTGTACATGTAATTTGTATTGATACATTATAGAAATATATATATATTTCTCTATATATAAAACAGGTCTTTCAAGGGAGAGAATATATACATTCCTTGAACGGCCTGTTTTAAAACACTTGAACTCAGACCTCAGTGCCCTATAAGTATTCTATTTCTGATTCCCCTTGTGAGGTGCTGCCAAGACTGTCAAGGATGTATTCTTTCTTGGCAGAAAGTTCTAATAAATTTAGCTTTGATTTATTAAATATTGATAGTTTAGGGAGTTCAACAGAGCAAATAAATATTTCCTAATTTATTGTATATTTTTGGTAATTATGTGTATTTAAGGACTGCCTGTATTTATCATTTGCTTTTTGCAGAGAATCCTCCTTTTAAATGCGAAGAAATACTTAGCCCCATCTTACAGAATATCATTACTTGCTGAATGTGTTTAACTTCTTTTTTTAAAATTTATTTTTACTTTTTTTACTTTACAAATAAAAATTGTATACATTTATGATGTGCAACATGATATTTTGATATATACATTGTGAAATAATTAAATCAAACTAATTAATATATTCATCACCTCACATTTATCATTTTTTGTGGTGGGAATACTTATGTTCTCTCTTAGCAATTTCCAAGTACACAATACATTGTTATTACTACAGTTCACCCTTGAACAACACAGGTTCGAACTGTGTGGGTCCACTTACATGCAGATTTTCTTCTGCCTGTGTCACCCCTGAGACAGCAAGACCAACCCCTCCTCTTCCTCCTCCTTCTCAGCCTTCTCAACATGAAAATGAGGAAGATACAGACCTTTATGATGATCCCCTTCCATTTCTTCCTTATAATATTCTTAATAACATTTTCTTTTCTCTAGCTTACTTTATTTAAGAATATAGTATATCACACATGTAACATACAAAATATGTGTTAATCAACCTTTTGTCATGGGCAAGGCTTCTGGTCAACAGTGAGATATTAGTAGTTACGTTTTTGAAGAGTCAAAATTTATACATGGATGTTTGACTGCATGTGGGGTTGGTGCCCCAACCCGCAAGTTGTTCAACAGTCAACCATATAATTGCCATGTTGTATGATAGTCTTCTGAACTTATTCCTCCTGTCTAACTTAAATTTCGTGTCCTTAAGCCAACATCTCCCCCAAACCCTCAACCTCAGCCTCAGTAGCCACTATTCTACTCTTTGTTTCTATGAGCTCAGCTTTTTAGATTCTACATATAAGTGAGATCATGCGGAACTTGCCTTTCTGTGCTTGGCCTATTTCACTTATCATAATGTCTTCCAGGGTCACTTATGTTGTCCCAAACGACAGAATTTGCTTCTTTTTTGAGGTTGAATAGTATTCCATTGTGTATATATACCACATTATTCATCTGCTGATGGACACTTAGGTTGATTCCATATCTTGGCTATTGTGAATAATGCTTCAGTGAACATGGGAGTGAAGATCTCTCTTTGACATACTGATTTCATTTACTTTGGATATACACCCAGAAGTGGAATTGCTGGATCGTGTGGCAGTTCTATTTTTACATTTTTGAGGAAGCTCCATGCTATTTTCCATAATGGCTGTACCAATTGAATATTTCCACCATCGGCGTGCAAGGGCTCCTGTTACTCCATGTCCTCTCCAACACTTGCTATCTCTTACCTTTTTGATAATAGTCTTGGGATGTCCTTAATTTTGCATGGACATGAATGGATGTGATTACAGCTGGCTGTAGGCAAAGTCATGAAGTTAGTTAAATTAAATTTCTATAAAGTAACTTTGCTTTGTCTCCTAGTTCTTTCTGAAGCGTCGGCAACCTGCTAGAGGTAACCAGTGCTCTCCTGCTTTCTAAGGATCTGCACTACAGTTCAGTCAAATTGTGTCCCAAGTTCGCATTTATCAACTTCCACCTTCCTCTTTACAGCTCGTACCCTTCCCACCATTATCCCATTAACGGTCATCATCACTCCCGGGCAAATTCTTGATTTTGTAACAGTTATCTTAGGAATCAGAGCAGGAATTCTGGTCTCTTTCTCAGAGCTCATGCCCAGAAGAACTCAGGGCCCCTGTGGGTCTGTATTGGTGAATGTTAAAAATTTAGCTTTATCCATTTTGGGAGTAGGGGAAAATGGGAAGAAAGGGCATGAGAGTGAAGGGTAAGAGGAAAAGGGAAGAGAAAGAGAGGACTAAGAAAGGTAGATGTGCATGGTACCTCCTGATATGTATCAAAATAATGTAAGGTGTAGCACATTAAAGCTTTAGAGTTATGACCTTCCAGTTGAACCCTCTTGTTTAATATATGAAAACCAGAAAACTTGCCTAAAGCTCTATAATTACAGGCAGAACTGAAAAGACAGTTTACCTATGATTACTCAATGTCTAAAAAGGGGAGTTAACTAGGAAAAAATTAGGTAATCTGTTGGTACTTGAAGAGTTAGTTTCAGCTCCAGAAAGAGAAGAGGCTCGTAATACTATTCTAGGGAGAATGAAATGATGGTAAGGCTAGCTAACATGAGGCTCAAGACATTATGTGAGAAATAATTATTTAGTGACTACTCTGTACTAGGTAAGAGCAATGGAAGATGCTCTTGGAAGATGTTTCATTTCATTCTTTTTTCTCAAAGTTTATTAAGAAGTGAACATCATTAAGGATCATTGTAGTTTTCAACCTACTTGCAGTTTGTTTTCAATTGCATGTCATTTTAAGTTGTTATGGTGGGGAATTGTAGTGTGCATGACAATTTACATCTAATATACTGACTCTGTATTATCATCATTCCATGTGCTACTTAATTATAGACTGTCATAGAGCAATTATTGTGGGATCTAATAATGAACTTCACTTATAATGAAGAAATTTCTTAATGACTTATATGCTGCAGTCAATCTGCCTGATAATTTCAAGTTTTATAACCCTTGAAAATTACTTGGGAAATAGCATTAATGTACTTTAGATAAAAATATGCTTATCTTACTGCCTGTGCTCACAGAATTTATGCTGTATTTGCAACATTAAACTATGGTATGAAATGCTCTACAGTATGCTTTAATTATAACAGAACAGACTGTTCGCTCTTCTTAATCCCTTGCTGACAGACTTTGTGTCATGTCAGCAGATGATGACTCTTCCTCCTATTATGTTAGAATGATAAAATGTGCTTCAATCATACAACCCTCATCAGCAGAAGAAAGACTACTAGATTACATCTATTTTATTCTTACGCAGATTACTCTCCCAAGAGGAAGTAGTGAAGCGATTTGGGTGAGAATACAGATTGGAAAAGCATTAATGAGAAGATACGTGATGTGAGGGATCTGTAGAGGGAAATGAGAGGAATAGGTGGCATTACAGAGAGAAAATACAAGAATCATGCAAATTTGGAAAGTTCTATGTTGTAAACGAAATGCGTGAAGGAGAGGCAGAGAGGACCACTACCTCAGGGAGTGAGATAATATAACCTGCCTTTTTCCTTCTAGCTTTTATTTTATGTTCAGGGGTACATGTGCAGGTTTGTTATATAGATAAACTTGTGTCATGGGGGTTTGATGTACAGATTATTTTGTCACCCACGTACTAAACACAGTACCCAAAAGGTATGTTTTCTGCTCCTCCCCCTCCTCCCACCCTTCGTGCTTAAGTAGGCCTCAGTGTCTGTTGTTCCTCTCTTGTGTCCATGAGTTCTCGTTATTTAGTTCCCACTTACAAGTGAGAACATGCAGTATTTGGTTTTCTGTTCCTGTGTTACTTTGCTAATGGTCTTCAGCTCCATCCGTGTTGCTGCAAAGGACATGATCTTGTTCTTTTTTATGGCTGCATAGTATTCTATGGGGTATATGTATCATATTTATGCTGTATATATATATTTCATACAGAGTCTCTCCTGTTGTCCAGGCTGGAGTGCAGTGGCATGATCTCAGCTCACTGCAACCTCCACCTTGCGGGTTCAAGCAATTCTCCTGCCTCAGCCTCCCAAATAGCCAGAATTATAGGTGCCCACCACCATGCCCGGCTAATTTTTGTATTTTTAGTAGAGACGGGGTTTCACCATGTTGGCCAGGCTGGTCTCGAACTCTTGACCTCAAGTGATCTGCCTGCCTTGGCCTCCCAAAGTGCTGGGATTGCAGGCATGAACCACTGTGCCCGGACTATGTATCATATTTTCTTTATTTAGTCTACTGTTGACGGACATTTAGGCTGATTCCATGTCTTTGCTATTTCTCCAATGTTTAGTAATGTTGAGCATTTTTCATATGCTTTTTGGCCGCATGTATGTCTTCCTCTAAAACCAACCACACAATTGGACATAAAACAATCCTTAGCAAATTAAAAAAAAAAAACCTGAAATCATACCAACCACACTCTCAGACCACAGCACAATAAAAATAGAATTCAATACAAAGAAAATTGCTCAAAACCATACAATTACAGGAAAATTAAAAAAAAAAGGTCCTCAATAGCTTTTGGGTAAATAATGAAATTAAGGCAGAAATCAAGAAGTTCTTTGAAACGAATGAGAACAAAGGTACAATATCAGAATCTCTAGGACACTGCTAAGGCATTGTTAAGAGAGAAATTTGTAGCACTAAACACCCATATCAAAAAGTTAAAAAGATCTCAAATTAACAACTTAACATCACAGCTAGAAGAACTAAAGAAGCTAGAGCAAACCAACCCCAAAGCTAGCAGAAAGCAAGAAATAACGAAAATCAGAGCAGAACTGAAGGAGAGTGAAACACAACAAACCGTACAGAAGATCAACAAATCCAGGAGTTGGATACTTGAAAAAAATAGTAAGATAGACCAGTAGCTAGACTAATAAGGGAAAGAGAGAAGATCCAAATAAACATACTTAGAAATGACAAAGGGATGTTACTACTGACCCCACAGAAATACAAATAACCATCAGCATCTACTATGAACACCCTTATGAACACAAACTAGAAAATCTAGAAGAAACAGATAAATTCCTGGACACATACATGCTTCCAAGACTAAATCAGGAAAAAATTGAATCCCTGAGCAGACCAATAACAAGCTCTGAAATTGAATCAGTAAGAAATAACCTACCAACCAAAAAAACCCCAGGACCAGATGGATTCACAGCCAAATTCTACCAGATGTACAAAGAAGAGCTGGTACCATTCCTACTGAAACTATTCCCAAACATTGAGGATAGACTCCTCCCTCAACTCATTTTATGAGGCCAGCATCATCCTGACACCAAAACCTGGCAGAGACACACAAAAATAAAACTTTAGGCCACTATCCTTGATGAACATAGATGCAAAAACCCTCAACCAAATACTGGCAAACCAAATCCAGCAGCTCCTCAAAAAGCTAATCCACCATGATCAAGTAGGCTTTATCTCTGGGATGCAAGTTTGGTTCAACATATGCAAATCAATAAATGTGATTCATCACATAAACAGAACTAAAGACAAAAACCACATGATTATCTCAATAGATGCAGAAACGCTTTTGATAAGATTCAACATCCCTCAATGAACTAGGCCATGAAGGAACATACTTCAAAATAATAGGAGCCATCTATGACAAACCCACAGCTAACATTGTACTGAATGGGCAAAAGCTGGAAGCATTCCCCTTGAAAACTAGCACAAGACAAGGATGCCTTCTCTCACTACTTCCATTCCATATGACCTAAAGGAAGTCTGCCTGTGGTAGGGAGTGAGTCTGAGAAGTAAACAGAGGCAGCAAAATCATCAGGCTGCCGCAGGAGCTGAGGCCAATACACAAGCAGCCAGGGCATCTGAGACATGGAGCAGCTACCTCAGGAGCGCCAGATGCTGCTCTTGCTGGACCAGAGAGTGAGGCCCACAGGAACAGAGAGTGAGGCTCCCTGCACTGAGAAGCCTGAGTGAGTCCTGTGCAAGCAGTTGAATTAAGCTGTCACTTACACAGCTTTCTGCAGCAATGGTTGGCATCGTCATTGGCTTGAGTTCACATGCTCTCCAAGCTTCTCTCTTTTGAAAATGGCCCTTTCTACTTCTGTGACCAGACATCCCTCATACTATGGCTTGCTTTACCCCTCAAAGAATGGCAAATGTTCACCTGGAATTATTCCTTGGACCACAGGTGGCTTTGATCGGACATGTGGAGTCTGAACCTTGGATACTGGTGGTAGGGGGGCCATTGGTGTAATCTAGGGGGAAAAATCACTAATGTTAGGCTTTTAGGTCACTGATAATCTGCAAAATATCAATCCTTACCCCATCCCTGAGCCTCACATGATTGCCGATTTGTATCCCTGGGGTGGTGGTCAGGGGTGAGAGTGGGGAATGAGGTGGCTCCAAATGGAATTAGGGAAGGAGTGATGGATCCGAGTGAGGAATAAGGGACAGAGCTGGGAGAAGACTCTGAGTCAACTTGTTGAAGGTTAGAAAGGGACTGGGGCAGGACTGCCTGGTAAACTTCTGTACTTAGTATTAAACTGTTTTGTAAAAAGTGACTTTATGCTTTGATAGGATCCTTTGATGTGGCACAGTGGCAAAATGAAACCTCTGTCAAAATATCTGCAGTAAAGTCACATTTTTGGAGCAAATCTTGTGGCAGCGTTCAAGAGGAGTTGAAGGAGGGAAAACACCGACTCATTAGAATAATCTAGATATGAAGAGATTGGGACTTAAATTGGAGATCCAAGAGAAGGTGTGATGACAGCACGTCTGAAAAGATCTTGGAGGATAGACTAAAGTGGAAACCAGTCTAGTGACTCTTAAATGCCGGGGCATGTCTCAGTTGGATCATTTAAAAATATGGATTTCGGGCTTCGTACCAGAAATTTTGATTGAGTAGGTGTGACATAATGAAAAATGTATATATTTGTTCTCTGGCCCAGTTACTGGCACAGAGCTCCTAAAGCACTTGTAATTTCCTGAGCAATACTGGTGCTAAGTATATCTTTTGTTCTAATAAGTCTTTGACCCAGTTCCTGGCATAGAGCTTCTAATCCCTTGGAATTTCCTGGGTGACAGGAGTGTCTTTGCTCTAATGAGGTGCCACTTGGTAGGCTCCTGGATCGGGGCTGGTCTCCAGAAAGACCAAGCCATGATGAGAGGCTTGAAACTTTCAGTCCCAACCCCATCCTCCAGGAAAGGGAGAGTGGCTGGAGATTTGAGGTGGTAATTGATTGGGCCCGTGTGATGAAGCCTCCATAAAACTTCCTGAACCATGGGGTTTGGAGAGTTTATGTGGATGGCAAACACATCAATATCCTCAGAAGGTAGCACACCCCGACATTACTAGGACAGAAGCTCCTGTACTTGGGACCTTTCTAGATTGGGCCCTTTGTGTCTCTTTTTCTGGCTGTTGATTTATATCATTTAAAACATCCTCTGTGGCTGGGTGTGGTGGCTCATACCTGTCATCTCAGCACTTTGGAAGACCAAAGTGGGAGGATCGCTTGATCCCAGGAGTTCTAGACCAGCCTGGGCAACATTGTGAGGCTGTGTCGCTACAAAATAAAATTAAAAATTAGCTGGGCACAGCGGCATGCACCTGTAATCCTAGCCACTCAGGAGGCTGAGGTAAGAGGATTGCTTAAGCCTGGAAATTCAAGGCTGCGGTGAGCTATAGTCACACCAGTGCGTTCCAGCCTAGGTGACGGAGCAAGACCCTGTCTCCCAAAAATAAGTAAATAACAAACAAACAAAATTTCCTTGGTAATAAATTGACAGTTATAGATAAACTATTTTCCTGGGTTCTGTGAGCCGCTCTAGCAAATTATTGAACCCAAGAAGGGGGTTGTGGGAACTTCTGATTTGTAGCCAAATCAGAGAGAAATTGTGGGTAACCTGGGGACCTACTACTTGGAACTGTCATCTGAACTGGGGGACAGTTGTGTGGGACTGGACCCTTAACCTGTGGGGTCTGCACAGATTCCAGTTAGTGTCAGAACTGAATTGCATTGTAGGACACCCAGTTGGTGTCAGAGAACTGATCAGTGTGGGGAAAACTCCACACATCTGGTCACAGAAGTGTATTGAGTGTGAGTGTAGTACAGGGTTTTTCCAATCTTACGGTAGGTCTGTTGAGGACCTCATTGGTGATTAGAATGTATAGTTAAGTTTAGAAGCCGTTTACCACCAACTTTGAGGGTTTCAATCTTTGCTTCACATCAGAGCCACCCAATGAACTGTGAACTCAAAAGTATCTGAGACAGGTCTCAATCAACTTAGAAAGTTTATTTTGCCAAGGTTAAGGATACGCCCGTGACAAGGCCTCAAGAGGTCCCGATGACATGTGCCCAAGGTGGCTGGGGTACAGCTTGCTTTTATACTTTTTAGAGAGACATGCACATCAATATAACCTGTAATATTACAATGTAATATGTACATTGGTTCAATCTGGAAAGGCGCGGCACTTGAAGCAAGGTAGTCGGGGGCTTCCAGATTACAGGTAGATTTAAAAATTTTCTGGTTGGTGATTGTTTGAAAGAGTTCATTATTTTCTAACAACCTAGAGTCAATAGAAAGGAATGTCTAGGTTACGATGATCAGGATTTGTGGAGACCAAAGTTTTATCATGCAGATGAAGCCTCTGGTAGCAGGCTCCAGGGCGAATAAATTGTAAATGTTTCTTATCAGACTTAAGGTCTGTGTTGATGTTAATGCTGGTCAGCTTTTCTTGAATTCCAAAAGGGAAGAGCGTATAACGAGGCATGTCTGACTACCCCCTTCTCATCATGGTCTAAACTAGTACTGCAGGTTAACTTTGGAATATCCTTGGCAGAGAGGAGGGGTCCGTCTAATACAGGAGTTATTAAGAAATCATATTTAGGCAGCTAGAAAGGGTGAAAGTTTTCAGTAGAGTTTTCTTTTAATGAAAAGCAACCCCCAAAACATTTCTTTTCTAACAGAAAGTGGCTTGAAAAACCAAACCGGCAAGCATTGATATGCACATGCTGGTGGCTGGAAGGCGGGTACGTTCAATATAGTGTCTCCCGCCCTCTTTTCCTTGTCACCATGTGTGCCAGGTGTCACGGCAGCCTCCAGATAAAGCACATGTGCAGGACATCATGGCGACGCACATATCCATATTAAAAGGCTGGGACGGGAGGGCCAGTTTTTTCGCTGGCTACATGAATGACACACCTGGTCAAACCAATCCCCTGGGCCCTGTGCAAATCAGACACTGTCTCCTCCAGCCTCCCAATATAACCAACTGCTTTTTGCTGCACGTGGGTTTTTTTTCCATTCAGAGGCCCCCCTTCCCTCTGTACAGGGGAGCTGTTTTCTTCTTTTTTGCCTATTACACTTTCTGCTCCTTAAATCCACTCCACCTGTGTCTGTGTCACTAATTTTCTCGGTGCAAGACCAAGGACCCTGGGTGTTTCTCCAGACAATGGAGCCATGTCATGTTGGTGCATTGGCTGGGAATCCAAGGTACAACATTCATTGGAGCGGTGAGTAGAGGAGCAAACTCAAAATCGATCCCATCATTCCGAGGCTCTTGGCCTCTATTTTTAAATCAGATCAATTAATGGGCATCTGTCAGCTGTCTAGATATCCTTATTGTGGCTGACATTCTTATAAGACTTAAAGAATGTCAGACTTGCTGGGGAGGACATGGAGAACCCCCCAATACCCATAGGTTATTGGGAATGTTGGCCATCCTTCAAACCAGTTTTTATTCATAGGGAAACTTTGCCATTGTGCGAGGCCAGGAAAGGTTCTGAAATAACTGAGAGTTTCTGGCTGGGGCACACCCTGGTGTTATTCAAAGGCTTCTGGACTGGACCCAGCCTCTGACAGCCTGCTCTGGGTGTTGGTAAAAGATCCCCAGCTATCCTATTGCAAAACTTTTCTTCTTTTTCTTTTCCTTTTTTTTGAGACAGAGTTTCACTCTTATTGCCCAGGCTGGAGTACAATGGCGAGATCTCGGCTCACTGCAACCTCCGCCTCCCAGGTTCAAGTGATTCTCCTGACTCAGCCTCCCGAGTAGCTGGGACTACAGGGGCCGGCCACCATGCCTGGCTAATTTTTGCAGTTTTAGTAGAGACAGGGTTTCTCCATGTTGGCCAGGCTAGTCTTGTACTCCTGACCTCAGGTGTTCCACCCGCCTCGGCCTCCCAAAGTGCTGGGATTACAGGCGTGAGCCACCACGCCAGGCCAAAACTTTCCTTCTTTTTCTATCAGCGGTCGTTATATCTCTTATTCTCTCTGTGTGTCAAATGTGTGGTAATTTTTACAGCCTAGGGAAGAAGTAATCCGTTAGGCAAAATCAGGAAATGCTATAATAACCATGGATATAGCTCAGGGAAATGCTGTTGTAATCTAGGAACAGAGGTCTCCCCTTCCCCCACAGTGAGGTCACTCACTAATATTCCTCATGGTATTTCTTTTTTTCGCTAATATTCCTCGCTAATATTTGTTTTTTGCTAATATTCCTCATGGTATTTCTTTTTTTCTTTCTCTCTCTCTTCTTTTTTTTTTTTGGAGATAGGGTTTCGCTCTTGTTGCCCAGGCTGGAGTGCAATGGCGCAATCTCGGCTCACCACAACCTCCGCCTCCCAGGTTCAAGCAATTCTCCTGCCTCAGCCTCCCAAGTAGCTGGGATTACAGGCAGGTGCCACCATGCCTGGCTAATTTTGTATTTTTAGTAGAGACAAGGTTTCTCCACGTTGGCCAGGCTGGTCTTGAACTCCCGACCTCAGGTGATCCACCCACCTCGGTCTCCCAAAGTGCTGGGATTACAGGTGTGAGCCACCGTGTCTGGCCCAGCACATGGTATTTCTAAGCCAACAGTGTTACATAGTGGAAATAGAGATCCTCTTTATAAGACACATTGCTGGTCCTCTGTGGTACACTGCAGCTTCCCAATTTTTCCTTTTTGCACCTTTCTACTGGAAACCAGGCTTCATGCTGCTCCTGTGAATGAGAAAATTCTGCCTTCAACAATTAGGAGTAATATGTCCTCCGCAGCCAAATTGTGGTCCCAGTACTGTCCCATCAGCAGGGAAATCCCCATTAGGTCCCCATGGCCCCTTAAGGCAACTACTCTGTCTCTGATTAAGACAGTACTTAATTAGTAAAGGGATTTTAAGTCCAGAAGTTAACTGGAACCATTTTTCTCAGGGTAAATGCTTTAGCACAGGCCATAATAGCAGGCAATCTACCACATTCCCTCCATTAGAGGGGCCTTGCCTTTCCCAAGATGCATTTTTTTTAGGGAGGCACGCAGGTCACACAAGTCTAGAAAGTCAAAGGGAAATCGTAAGCAGAGGACTAGAGCTACCAGGGTGAGCATGACTAGCCCCCAAAGCTTAGTTTCTCTGGTGCCATGGCTTGGAGGGTCATGCCTACAACCATGGGCAGCACATTTAAAAGGGTGCCGGGACCCAGGAACCAGGGAGGGAAAATAGTTGAGGGGATGCTCCCACTGTCTTCTTCTCCACCCTGGGTCACTTACAGAAAGGAAGGAGACTACAGGGATGCCTTCTCTCACTTCTTTTTCTAGATGGGTAACAGATTATCTTCATCTTGCACCCCTCTGGAGTGCACTCTGAAACACTGGAACTTCTTTAACCTCAGAACTTTGAAGAGAAAAGTGGCTTTTTTTTTTTTTTTTGCACAAGAGAATGACATTTTTACTAAACCTTTACAAGTGTTGTAAGATCAACCCAGCTCTTTTAGCAGTCATATTGGGCAGGCCCAAAGAGATTAATTCCCCCAAATTAGAGAAGCAACTTCCAGGGGAATCATCTGAGGATCCCCCTTATTTGGGGCCCCTTCAAGTTCCCTTCTTATTACAGGACCTTAGGCAAATAAAGGGAGACTTAGGCTGATTTTCTAAAGACCCTGATAGGTATATAGAAACTTTCCAAAATTTAACTCAGGTATTTGACCTCACATGGAGGGGTGTTATGTTGCTCCTAAGTCAGACCCTCACTGCAGCTGAAAATAACTGGTTGTTTAAAGGAAGGGTGTTTAGAACAGGTCAGAAAGTTTGAGTATGTTGTAAGAGGGTCTGTGAAATTCAGTCATGAAAGAGTTTAGTAATTAAAGGAAAGGAATTATCAAGATTAACACTAAAGTTATCGTAGCCACCCAATAACGTATTTCTCCCAATCATATTGCAAGTTACAAAATGGTCTAAGCCTAAAATTGTTCTCTACTGGCAAGTCAAGGGGGAAATGTATGCTTTTCTCAAGGAAAATGTTACTTTTATATTAATGTTTCTGGTAATGTACAGCGCCATCTAGTGGAGGCAAGCCAGTATTACAACCCATTGGTGTAACAGGTATCAAACTCTACTGTCATAGTTAGGGTCTATAAGACTTCCACTAACAGTGGTCATCTTGTTTTTGTTTTTGTTTTGAGACAGATTCTTGTCCTGTCACCCAGGTTGGAGTGCAGTTGCATGATCTCAGCTCACTGCCTCTGCCTCCTGGGATCAAGCAATTCTCCTGAGTAGCTGGGACTTCAGGTGCATACCACCATGCCCGGCTAATTTTTTTTTTTTTTTTTTTTTTTGTATTTTTGGTAGAGACAGGGTTTCTCCATGTTGGCCAGGGTGGTCTCGAACTCCTGACCTCAGGTGATCTGCCCGCCTTGGCCTCCCAAAGTGCCGGGATTACAGGTGTGAGCCACTGCATCCAGCCAACAGTGGTAATCTTAATATTCATGTTCTAACTCTACATTTTAAACCTTCTTATAAAATGCATCTCTTTTCATCTAGAAGCAATCAAACTCCAAATGGTGTTGCAGACAGAACCTCACATGGACACGCCATTCTTCTGAGAACCCTTACATCAACCTCAGGAGGAGGCCCAACTGCTGTCCCTCACAGGATGCCCCTTTTTCAGCAGGAAGTAGCCAGAAAGAATTGTCATCCAACACCCCCTAACAGCAGTTAGATTTACTTCCCCAGATGGTGGAAATAGTATGGGAGTTATTTAGAAATAATTTTTAGGCAGCCAGAAAGGGTGAAAGTTCTCAGTGGAATTTTCCTTTAATGAAAAGCAACCCCAAAAGCATTTTTTTTCTAACAGAAAGCGACTTAAAAAACCAGACTAGCAAACACTGATATGCAAATGCTGGCGGCTAGAAGCCAGGTACATTCAACATGGTGTCTCCTGCCCTCTTTATCTTGTCACCATGTGTGCCAGGTGTCATGGCAACCTCCAGATAAAGCCACGTGTGCAGGACATCATGGCAAACCGCATTTGCATATGAAAGGCTAGGGTGGCAGGGCCAGTTTTTTCACGGGCTACCTGAATGACACACCTGGTCAAACCAATCCCCTGGGCCCTATGCAAATCAGACACTGCCTCCTCCAGCCTCCCAATATAACTGACTGCTTTCCGCTGCACGTGGGGTTTTTCCGTTCGGAGCCCCCCTCCCTCTGTACAGGGGAGCAGTTTTCTTCTTTCTTGCCTATTAAACTTTCCACTTCTTGAAACCACTCCATGTGTGTCCATGTCACTAATTTTCTTGGTGAGAGACAAAGGACCCTGGATGTTTCTCCAGACAACGGAGCCGTATCACATTCAGATAGTTGGGGGTGGGAGAGGGGTCTTAGAAATTTAATTTTGGTTTACAGAACTTTAAACAAATATTTCTGTCCAGACTCTACCATCTACCATTTAAATCCGATCTTTGGGGGAGAATCAGGCACAGTATTTCCTAAAAGTTTGCCAAGTTATTTTAATGTGTAACCAAGATTGAGAACCCTTGCTCCAAAACATTACATGGTTGCAGTGATTCAGACTTTATGTTCTCAGAGACTAGACGAATGGCAAGGAGAAGCGTTCCAAAAAAAAGTCATCTGGCTAATGATAATCTAGGGTGAAATATCTGGCATTTATTACTATTTTTTTTTAGGAAGAATATAAAACAGAAAAAAAAGGTTTTACATATAATTCAAAATATCAGGATAGAGACATCTAGTGTTGAATTTAGATGCTTACTCAGAATTTCAGTAATCTGTTCTTCCCCCCTTGGCCAGTATTATTTAAGGTTAAATGCAGAGATATAATTTCCAGTAGTCTTTTAATTTGGACTCTTCAAGACTATGAAGTGGGTGATTTGGTGATTGTGTAGGGGTTGGGGTGGGCCTGTGCCAACATAAATATACTTCTTCGGGCCTTCTAATAAATTTGGAAAAAAAATGACATAGAGCCCTATGAGGCTTGTTATAAATAAATTTTCGGTGCTGCCAAAGAAATAGCACTCTCACATAAAGTTAATTTTCTCAGCAAGGCAATTTTTACTTCTATAGAAGGGCATGACTGGCGGATGGAGCAATGGCAAGAGCACACCTGAACAAGGGAGGAGAAGGGGTTTTTATTCCTGACACAGGTAGCTCCTACTGCTGTGTCGTTCCCTTATTGGCTAGGGTTAGACCACACAGTCTAAGGTAATTCCCATTGGCTATTTTAAAGAGAGCAGGGGTACGAGCCAGAGTGGCGGGGTGAGTAGTTTGGCGGGAAAGGCGGTTACAGAACGGGTGACTCAGGATGAGTCAGGACAGAGCAGGTGACCAGGGGTGACTCAGGTTAAAGCCGGTGACCAGGGGAACAGATGTGAACTACTGATTAGAACTGGCAGGAAAGTTGTTTACTGAAGCTAGAGGCAAGGGGGCGAAGAGAACCAGAAAGTTAAACTTTAAAATGGAGAACACAGAGTAAGAGAACTGAACATACTGACATACTGATTCTTTGAAGAGGAACATGGAGTTCACTATATTTAACAGGCTGAGAACAACATCAAATAATTATCCCCAAACATAAGTATGCTGAGTTGGATTCGATCTTCCTAAATTCCTGTCCTACCACAAATCTAGAGCTTTTGCACCCATTCAACCTGATTTGAGATTAAGATACTTGTCTCTCCAGTCATATGGAAAATCCTAGCTTGCCTCAAGACCTACCCACTGCACAGTGCTTTGAGCTCCTGGCAGCAGCCCTAGGCCCTTCCCTGGTACACTCACTGTGTAGCTCACTGTTCATGGCTTGGCAGTGAGCTAGAAGAGAAATGAGTCTGCAGCAAGAGTGAGAGAGAACCAAACATGAACCCATTATTTGCCCCCTCTATCTCCAAACAGGTAAGTCTGTCTTTGTCTCAAGGAAAGCAGGGAGTTAGAAGCATTGAAAAGAAGTTTGAAATATTCTTCAGTACTGTGCCTTCTCTTTATAAAAATAAGCATTTCCCTTTCCTCAGATGCACAAAAAATATTTTTTGGAGCAAAATGTATCATTTCTGTAAATTAATGTGCTTTAAATGTAAATGATAAGAAACAATAAAGCTTAACTTATTTAGCATTTTCCTGAAATTATGAAAAGCTATAGCAAATAGTGGAAATGTGTATAAAGGGTATACAGTATAAGGTCTTCATGAAAATTTATCCTATTAAAAATAGAGGCTGGGTGAGGTGGCTCACGTCTGTAATCCCAGCACTTTGGGAGGCCGAGGCAGTGGATCATCTGAGGCCAGGAGTTTGAGACCAGCCTGGACAACATGGTGAAACCCCATCTCCACTAAAAATGCAAAAATTAGCCAGGTATGGTGGTGTGTGCCTATAATCCCAGCTACTTGGGAGGCTGAGGAAGGAGAATCACTTGAACCCGGGAGGCAGAGGTTGCAGTGAGCTGAGATTGCGCCACTGCACTCCAGCCTGGGCAACAGAGTGAAACTCTGTCTCAAAATAAATTAATAAATACATAAATAAAAATAAGATTCTGGCTGGGTGTGGTGGCTCATGCCTGTAATCCCAGCGCTTTGGGAGGCCTAGGTGGGAGGATCTCTTGAGCCTAGGAATTTGAGACCAGCCTGGGCAACATAGGAAGACCCCATCTCTACAAAAAATAAAATACTTAGCTGAGCATGGTGGTGCATGCCTATAGTCTTAGCTACTCGGGAAGCTGAGGCAGGAGGATCACTTGAGCCCTGGTGTTTGAGGCTGCAGTGAGCTATGATTGCACTACTATACTCCAGCCTGGGCAACAGAGCAAGACTCTGTCTCTTTAAATAAAATAAATAAATAAATAAATAATACTCTTATAATATGGGGAAGGCACTTTGAGACTAGAGGTCTCAGAAGGATGAGTGCCATTTAAAGTATGCTGTGGGCTCCACGTTAGAGAAAAAGTGAAGACCACATGGAGGTGAAAACCTGCAGTTAGAAGTTTCAAACTATGCTCAGATGGTCTTTATTTTTAATAATGATTTTTTTAAAAAATTTGTGAATAATAGATTCTCTTTTTCATTTAACTTGTAACAGAAATAAGCCTCAATGAAACAATTTGGACCTGAATTTTTCATGCTGAGGAATAGGCCATTTTGCTAATTCCATAATCATATCAACAAATAAACAAATTAGTGTTTATTCAATTTGTTAGAAAATTTGGGATCTCACTTGAGCAGCTGGCTGTCTTTGCTTGCCAAATTAATTGTAATGAATGATCTAATTTCTTAAGTAAATGAATTCGAAAAAATGTTGGATTAAATAGGTTTGTGACTAAGTGGTAGAATTATTAGGTTACCCTATGTTCTGTTAACAAGTATCCTGGAAACTGCATTTTGGAGTCTGGAACTCTATTAACAAATGTCACTTTATAGTAAAGTGTCCTTTGGTCATTAGTATACTCCCAAAATTAGCTGAATGAAGCAATTTGAGTATACTCTAGCAGTTTGAACTTGAGGGCCAATGCTATATTTGATACGTAAGCATGGGACTGGATTTTCACTTCCTATTTTTGAAGGCATGTCTTGGCAGCACAGGCCCTATGCACTTGGCCCATCCAGTTTTGATCATATTCAGCTGTTCCCATAAACAGAGAAAGCCCCATGGCCTTTCTGGAACAGCCTGTAGTAATAAGACATGACCTTAATATGTGCTACTCTCAGATCACGTCTTTTGAAGAACCTAAGCACATTTATAATCAAAATAGAAAAGGATATCAAACAGGCTTTTCCCCATAGTTAAACTACATATTTATTTCTCTTACTTTACCACATTATCTGTTATACTCCCTGCAATGACTGTTGACCATTAGGGGTAGTAGACAGCATTCTTCTTTTTTCTATTTTAATGAAAATAATTTGTGTTTATTTGAAATGTTTATGATTGATTTGTAGGAAATAAACTTCAACATGTTTGGAAGCTTCTCTTTATCTTAAATGAGTTTTAAAGAATGCAAAAGTGTCTGGTTGAATTTGTAGCTTCAGTTATTATGATCATGTTTTTATTCTCTTTCCATTTCTTAAAATATTAAATCATGTTCTTCCAGTGCTCGAACTATTCTTGAATTCCTAAATTAAATCCTATTTTGTTAAATTGATTATTTAATATATTGTTTGATTTGATTTGCTGGTTAAAAAAATATTTCTGACCTATATTCCTAAGTAAAAGTGATATTCCGCTGGGCATGGTGGCACACACCTGTAATCTCAGCACTCTGGGAGGCCAAGGCAGGAAGATCACTTAGGCCAGGAGATTGAAACCAACCTGGGCAACACAACCAGACTCTGTCTCTACAAAATAAAAAGTGATCTTCAGTTGTCCTGTGTGTGTGTGTTTACTTTTTATTGATTTTTTCCCCAGCTTCATTAAGATATAGTTGACAAATAAAGTTATATATATTCAAGGTATACAATGTGATATTTTGATATATGTATACACTGTGACACCATTAAACCAAGCTAATTAACATATCTATCACTTCACATACTTAGTTTGTGGTGAGAACATTATAAAATCTATTCTCTTAGCAATTTTCAAGTAGACAATACATTATTATTAACTATAGTCACCATGCTGTACAAGAGATCCCCAGAACTTCATCCCTCTGTCTAACTGAAAATTCGTACTCTTTGACCAACATTTCCTCATTCCCATCCCAGCCCCACTCTGCCCCAGCATCTGGCCACCAACATTCTACTCTCCACTTCTATGATTTCAACTTTCTTATATTCTACATATAAGTTAAATTATGCAGTATTTGTCTTTCTGTGCCTGGCCTATTTGACTCAGCATAATGTCCTCCAGGTTCATCCGTGTTGCTGCAAATAACAGGAATTCCTTCTTTTTGCCTTTTTTTTTTTTTTTTTTTTTTTTTTGAGACGGAGTCTCGCTCTGTCGCCCCGGCTGGAGTGCAGTGGCATGATCTCCGCTGACTGCAAGCTCTGCCTCCTGGGTTCATGCCATTCTCCTGCCTCAGCCTCCTAAGTAGCTGGGACTACAGGCGCCTGCCACCACGCCCAGCTAATTTTTGGTATTTTTAGTAGAGATAGGGTTTCACCCGGTGGTCTCTGTCTCCTGACCTCATGATCCGCCCACCTCGGCCTCCCAAAGTGCTGGGATTACAGACGTGAGCCACCGCACCCAGCCAGGAATTCCTTCTTTTTTAAGGCTGAATGGTATTCCATTGCATAGATATATCCCGTTTTCTTTATCCATTTATCTCTTGACAGACACTTAGGTTGATTCCATATCTTGGCTATCATGAATAATGCTCCAATGAACATGGGAATGAAGATATCTCTTTGACATAATGATTTCATTTACTTTGAATATATACCCAGAAATGGAATTGCTGGATCATATGGTAGTTCTATTTTTACTTTTTTGAGGAAGCTCCATACTGTCTTCCATAATGGCTGTGCCAAGTTACAGTCCCACCAACAGTGTGCATGGGTCCTGTCTTCTGCACACCCTTACCCACACTTACTATTTTTTGTCTTTTTGATGATAGCTATACTAACCAGTGTGAGGTGATATCTCTTTGTGGTTTTAATTTACATTTCTGTGATCATTAGTGATGTTGAACATTTTTTCATATACCTGTTGGCCACTTGTAAATGTCTTCTTTTGAGAAATATCTATTCAGGTATTTTGCCTGTTTTAAAATTGAATTATTTATCTTTTTAATATTGAGTTGTTTCAGTTCCTTATATATTTTGGATATTAACCTCTTGTCAGGTATGCAGTTTGTAAATATTTCCTCCCCTTTGGTAGGTTGCCTTTTCACTCTGTTGATTGTTTCCTATTCTGTACAGAAGCTTTTAATTTTGATGCAATCCCATTTCTCTCTTTTCACTATGTTGCCTGTGTATCAAGGGTCATATATGACCAAAATATCATCTCCCAGACCAATGTCTTGGAGCTTTTCCCTTATGTTTTCTTTGAGTAGTTTTATAATTTCAGGACTTACATTTAAGTCTTTATTTCATTTTGAGTTGATTTTTCTTTATGGGTGAGACAAGGGTCTAAGTTCCTTCTTTTGCATGTGGACATCCAGTTTTCCCAGTACCAATTATTGAAGAGACTGTGCTTTCTTGAACGTTGTATGTTCTTGGTACCTTTGTTGAAGATCAACTGAACATAAATGCATAAACTTATTTCTGGGGTCTCTATTATATTCCTTTAGTCTATGCATTTGTTTTTATGCCAGTACTACGCTGTTTTGATTACTATAGCTTTGTAGTATAATTTGAAATCAGGTAGTATGAGACCTCCAGCTTTCTTCCTTTTGCTCAACATTTCTTTGACTATTTGGAGTCTTTTGTGGTTTCATAGGATTCTCTTTCTATTTCTGGGAAAAATGTCATGGAATTTTGATAGGCATTGCATTGAATCTGTAGATTGTTTTGGTGCCAATGATCATTTTAGCAATATTAATTCTTCCAATTCATGTACATGGGGATATCTTTCCATTTATTTGTGTCTTCTTCATCCTTTCATCAGTGTTTTATAGTTTTCAGTGTACAGGTCTTTCATCTCCTTGGTTAAATTTACTCCCAAGTATTTTTTTTTTTTGGATATACTGTAAATGGGATTGTTTTCTTGATCTCTTTTTTGGATAGTCTGTTGTTAGTATATAGGAATACTGCTGATTTTTCTATGTTGATTTTGTATCCTTTAACTATACTAAATTTGTCTATTTTAACAGGTTTTTTTGGTGGAGTCTTTAGGATTTTCTGTATATGTGATCGTATCATCTATAAATAGAGATAATTTTACTTCTTTTTTTTCCAACTTGGATTCCTTTTATTTCTTTTTCTTGCCTAATTGTTCTTGCCGGGACTCCCAGTACTATATTAAACAGAAGTGGTAACAGTGGACATTCTTGCCGGGTTCCTAATCTTAGAAGAAAAGCTTTCAGGTTTTCACCATTAAGGAGGATATTAGCTGTGGGCTTGTCATATATGGCCTTGATTATGTTGAGGTATATTCCTTTATACTTGATCTGTTGAGAGTTTTTATTATGAAAGGATATTAAACTTTGTCAAATGCTTTTTATATATCTTTGAAATGGTCGTATAATTTTTTTCTTTATTCTGTTCATGTGATCTTACATATTTGCATATGTTGAACCACCCTTTCTCTGGGATAAATCTCACTTGATTATGGCATATGATTCTTTTAATATGCTGTTGAATTTGGTTAGTATTTTGTTGAGGATTTTTATATCTATGTTTATCAGGGATATTGGTCTGTAATTTTTTTTGCAGTGTCTTTATTGGCTTTGGCATCAGAGTAATAATGGCCTCCTAAAGTGAGTTTGGAAGTTTTCTCTTTCCTTCAATTTTCTGGAAGAGTTGGAGAAGGATTAGCATTAATTCTTCCTTAAATATTTGGTAGAATTCACCAGTGAAGCTGTTGGGTCCTGGGCTTGTCTTTGTTGAGAAGTTTTTGATTACTGATTCAATTTCTTAGCTCATTATAGATCTGTTCAGATTTTCTGTTTCTTCATGATTCAGACTTGCTAGGTTTTATGTTTCTAGGAATCTATCCATTTCTTCTAGGTTATCCAACTTGTTGGCATATAATTGTTGACAATCGTCACTTATGATCCTTTTTTTTTCTTTTTTTTTCTTTTTGGCACAGGGGCTAGAGTGCAGTGGTGTGATCTCAGCTCACTGCAACCTCCACCTCCTGGGCTCAAGTGATCCTCCCACTTCAGCCTCCCGAGTAGCTGGGACCACAGGGGAGCACCACCATGCCCGACTAATTTTTTTATAGTTTTTGTAGAGATGAGGTTTTGCCATGTTGCCCAGGCTGGTCTCGAACTCCTGAGTTCAAGCGATCTGCCCACCTTGGCCTCCCAAAGTGCTGAGATTACCAAAGTGAGCCACTGTGCCTGGTCTTTATGATCCTTTTTTATTTCTGTGATATCAGTTGTAATGTATCTTCTTCCATTTATAATTTTATTTATTTGCACCTTCTCTCTTTTTTCTTAGTCTAGCTGAAAGTTTGTCCATTGTGCTTATCTTTTTTAAAAAATTAACTCCTAGTTTCATTGATCTTTTCTATTGTTTTTCTACTCCGTCTTTCATTTATTTCTGCTTTGATATTATTTCCTTCCTTCTGCTGACTTTGGGATTAGTCTTTTCTTTTTTTCTAGTTCTTTGAGGTATAAAGTTAGGTTTTTTATCTGCGATCTTATTTCTTCTTAATGTAGGCTTTTATTTGCTATAAACTTCCTTCTTAGAACTGCTTTTGCTGTATCCCTTAAATTTTGGTATGTTGTGTTTCCATTTTCATTTGTCTCAAGATTTTTTTATTTCTCAAAAGGGTAATAATTACATTATGAATAAGACTACCTGATGTCAATATTGGCCGGAGTCTAAGACTCTCCCAAATTTACTAACAGCTCTAAATCTGCCTGTCCCAAAACCTTTCACTAACCAGCAGGGCTGCTCTCAGATGGTCTTTGCAGGCAAAAGCCCTTCAGTTTCAGGTTTCAGGGTTGGAGATAGGAACTTTTTTGGACGTGAATCACTCACGGGTGGTCTGCAGCATGCCTTCTGACCTGAGGCCTCCTGCTCCCTCCAGGCAGCAACAACTCCTTCCAGAGACTCCTAAGGTCTCTGGAGACTGCAATGGAGGCTGCATAGCTCTTTCCTCTTTTGGTCAGTAACTAGTTCTTTGAGATAAGAATAAATAAACAGCAATGAAATGATTCCATCAGGAGATTTATCTTCTAAAAACTGCTGTCTGGAGAAAGATGGTAGTGTTAACAGAGATCAAATAAATATTTTCCCTATAGTCACTGAAAATTCTCCAAAGAAGCAATAACAAAGGAGAAAATTATACCTGGGATGAAGCCAACAAAGTGCTGAAGAGTAGACAATAAACCACAAGGAGTAAAGCACAATTTGAACAAAAATGAAAGACTTCAGCAGTCAACTGACAGCCGGACAGATGTTGAGTACATTGCTGGGTGGTAGGAGGCAAGTGGGGGTAATACTGAGGTCTCCTGCTAATTCCTCTCACCTAAGAGGCACAAGGGCTAGACGCACAGCTTTGGCAAAGATAGGAAATTCCCCGGAGTTTTTTTCTTCATGGAAGATGCCAAGACTGACAGAGCTGGAGGGTAGGAGGGTAGATTTATCCACCAAACAGTGTTGGAAGTAAAAGGAGCTCCTCAGCCAAACAATTTTTTCTTCTCCTTTAATCAAAGGAGCCAGTTTTTCCTCCTCTAAACCAAGGGAGCAGTGGAAGAGAAATGCCCAAAAGACTTCAGGAACACCAATCAAGGCCAACATATAGTGAAGCAGGTTGTGGCATGGTCCTCTGGGCTCACCTCGTGCAAACAGCACAGATAACTCTTGCAGGCAGCCCTCTGCAGAGGAAAGATGGCATGAGGAGGAGGAGAGAGTAGGGCTTCATTCGGTAGTGCACTAACCTACAGAAGCTGAGCAAATCTGCACCAGCAGCCAATACCCAGAAGCCTCCTTTGGTGCTCCTTAAATTCTAGGGCATATAAGACTCCTCTAGACATTGTTTAAAATGCATGCTCCTGAACCCCACCCCAGGAGGCTCTTGTTCAATAGTGAGGCCCTAGGAATGTTTTTTTCCCCCTCTTTTAAAAAAAGCAACTGATATTCTACCAACCACACTTGGGAAAATGTCTGATCTTTTATTTATTAAAATAGGCAATAAATGGAAAATAATGAGACATTTGAGCAAGACTAGCATTCAGAGGATGAAGCTGAAAATGTAAAGCAAATGGCTACCTATGAATATAGAATCTAGAATATTAACAACCACCCCAACATACTAACAAGTATATTTTAAAAGATAGGTAGAAATGTATTATTTAAGGAGCAAACTACTGTGTGTGTGAGTGCGCACGCACACACACACACACACACACACACGAAGATACACTAGAACCAATGAAACCATGAGTTTAATAATACTTAAACAATATGCAGGCACCACGTTGGGAGCTTTATATGTATGAATTCATTTAAAAATGATCACATCCTGGGAGGAAAATTCTTTGGTTATCTCTATACAATAGAAGAGGAATGGAGACTTAGAGAGGTGAGATAGTTTGTCCAAAACCATAAAGCTAGTAAGTGCTGAGGCCAGAATTCTAGCCAAATTTAGAGGTCTGTTCTAACCACTGCACTGTTCTTTGCACTGCACTGCACTTGGAAGAGATGAATTGTAACAATTCTGACCGAGAAAAGAGAGAAGATGAAATATTAAGACTGACTAATTTATTCATTCATTCCTTCAAAATATATATACATGGCATGTCTACTATATGCCATGCTGGACACTTTCAGCAGTGAAGGAGGTGGAGAAATTCTTTATCCTCATAGGTCTTACATAACAGTTGAAGGAGCAGAAAACAAATAACCTATATATTTACAATAAATATATGTTTTAAAGAAAAATATAGCAGAACAAAGGGATTAGATGAGTTGGGCAGGAGGAGGCTATTTTAAATTGGGCACTCAGCTGTGGTTTTTCTGCAAACAGAACAAAAGCAGCTATGGGAGAGTCAAGCAAAATCTTGAGATGTGCATGCCAAACAATAGGAATACACTAAGCTGGGCATGACCTTGGTGTGTCTGAGCAATGGCAAGAAAGCCAGTGAGGCTGGAGTAAAGGTGCAAGAGGAATAACATTACAAAATGACTTCAGATAGTCAGCTTTATTTATGCTACTCCCTCAAAATATTGGAAATTCCATCTCAGGGTGTGCCCTATGACATGAATACGATGACCTACACAAGCAAGCCATGTCCATTGCTTTACAGTGCTAGAGAAAACATCTGAGAATACATGTACTGGTAAGGATGGATATTATATAGCAAAGACACGGAATCAACCTAAATGTCCATCAGTGATAGACTGGACAAAGAAAATGTGGTACATATACACCATGGAATACTATGCAGCCATAAAAAAGAACAAGATCATGTCCTTTGCAGGGACATGAATGGAGCTGGAGGCCATTATCCTTAGCAAACTAATGCAGGAACAGAAAACCAAATACCACATGTTCTCACTTAGAAGTGGGAATTAAATGATAAGAACTCATGGTCACATAGATGGGTAGGGCCTATTGGAGGTAGGAGGGTGAAAGGAGGGAGAGGAACAGGAAAAACAACCAATGGGTACTAGGCTTAATACCTGGGTGATGAAATAATCTGTACAGCAAACCCCCATGACACAAGTTTACCTATGTAACACACCTGAACTTGTACCCCTGAACTTAAGAAATAAAGTAAAATAAAATGAATAATGCAAAAAAAGATGGATATTATAGTTCATGTATTATAGTGCCTCCAGTGGACTTTTAAAAAAATCAAGTTAACATTAACCTGATTCTAAGATTCATTTATTTGGGCTCAAATATTGGTCGACTACACTCCAAATGGTCCCTGGTAAGTCAGTTCAGCGCACATTTTCCTACAGCCCATAGTGCTTCTGTAGTAGTTTAATTTTTTAGAATGAACCCAAAGTCCTATTTAGCACCTCTGAATTTATTTATTTATTTATTTATTTGAGATGGAGTCTTACTCTTGTCGCCCAGGCTGGAATGCAATGGCACGATCTTGGCTCACTGCAACCTCTGCCTTTTGGGTTCAAGCAATTCTCCTGCCTCAGCCTCCCGAGTAGCTGGGACTACAGGCATGCACCACCATGCCCGGCTAATTTTTGTATTTTTTAGTAGAGACAGGGTTTCACCATGTTGGCCAGGCTGGTCTCGAACTCCTGACGTTGGGTGATCCACCTGCCTCAGCCTCCCAAAGTGCTGGGATTATAGATGTGAGCCATTGCGCCCCGCCAGCACCTCTGAATTTAATGATGGTAGTAGCAGTAGTACAAACCATAACCAGAATGACCGCATTATTTCTGGGAGGAAATTAATTCTGGGTTCCACTAAGTGGGGCCAAATCACAGCTCCTTATACAGCCCACTCTGGTTCTGCTGTTTTTATAGGGTCTCCACAGCAGCAGTGAGGTTCCTAGAGTTCTTGTGGCATCCGAGGGAGCCCTGTGCAGTTAAAGAGGGTCCTGGTGGATCCTGGTGACCTAAGTGGTAGTAGGGAATCACACAAGAGTCCCCAGAATATCATGAGCGGGCAGAGAGCCCCACTGTTCTCAGCAGTGGAAGGAAAAGGAAAGTAAACATGATGCAAAGGCGCAATTCTGGCACAGAAGAGAGGGGGCCTCCGGGCAGTACTGCTCTGCTGCCAATTCTAAGGGGAACTGTTCTTATTAGAGGGGCACCCCTCAGAATTCAGTGTGTCTGGAGTTGTTCAATGTGGAGGTGAACTCCTGAATAAGACATCTCTGTCCGGGTGAGAGACATTTATGCATCAGGTAATGGTATGTAGAAAACTGTCTTAGAAACTTCTGCTTATATGTTACAAACTTCTCCATATATTGAAATACACGTATATTTAATAAATCAGAAGATATAGTAGGGTTATTTGGCTTCATGCTTTTTCATATACCAAGTTGTGTGACCAGAAGTGATAGTTTGTCTCCAGAACTGCGTTTTGGATCCATCCTTCTGGTTACGTTGTGGATGAATGCAGAGGGAGGAAAGACTGGAGACAGGAAGAAGAGTTAAGAAATCAGGAAATGATTGAAATAGTGCAGGTAAGAGGTGTCTAGGGTCCGATCTAGGACAGGATAATTTGACATTTTAGGTAGAAAAATTGGACAGGATTGAAGAATTTGACATGAAGGCAAGGAAGGAGAATAGCATAGAACCCAGTGCCTGGTTGACTAAGTGGGTGATAGTGAATGAAGGAACAATTTTGGGGGAATGACAGTGATTTCACTTTTAGACACATGGAGTTTGTTGTTTTGTTCTGTTTTTTAGAGACAAAATTCCAGCCTGTAGCCGAGGCTGGAGTGCAGAGACACATTGAGTTTGATACTCCCAGGGATACCCATATTGGAAGCTCCAGCAAGCCTGGAGTCCAGTGTCACCAGCATGCAAGTGACCACTGAACCAGGGGAATGCAACAACCATCACTGACAGTTTGTAGAGGACACAACATCTAGGAAAGAACTTTGATGAACAACAATGGTCAGAGGGAAGGGTATTAGCAATGAGAGTTTATGTTCTGGAAAATCAAAGGGCATGTCATTAACTTGATTTACAGAGCACCATAACCCCAATATCTCTGCTCCTGGCTACTTAATACCATTCAATGATGATTATTAGAAACACTTACAATGAACATAAAATAGGCTGCTTCTTCCTCCTTTAAATCATTACTAAAATATATCCTATGTAATAATCTGCAAAGAATTTAACATCATTTAAAACAGGATTAAATAAGCTCTTTGGTTATCTTTTAGAGGAGACTTAAAAGTTATAAATATTTGCATTGACTTAAAATTTTTTAATTGCAAAACAGTCCACTTATTTTAGTCAATTTCATATTGTTTTAGTCAACCCTACTAATACTGTCAGACTTTTCCTGTTTTTGAAATTGTCAGTAATATGTCAGAATTTTTTTTTTTTTTTTTTTTGAGACGGAGTCTCGCTCTGTCGCCCAGGCTGGAGTGCAGTGGTGCGATCTCGCTCACTGCAACCTCCGCCTCCCGGGTTCACGCCATTCTCCTGCCTCAGCCTCCCGAGTAGCTGGGACTACAGACGCCCGCCAACATGCCCGGCTGATTTTTTGTATTTTTAGTAGAGATGGGGTTTCACCGTGTTAGCCAGGATGGTCTCAATCTCCTGACCTCGTGATCCGCCCATCTCGGCCTCCCAAAGTGCTGGGATTACAGGCGTGAGCCACCACGCCCGGCCATATGTCAGAATTTTTGATCAGCAAAAAACCAATGCATCTTAATTAAAAAAAATAAATTAGAAGCAGGGCTGCGAGGACATATTCCAAGGAAGCCAGAGCTGGAGTTGGGGCCAGCTGGGCCGGTGACATGGAGCCCCTGAACCAGCAAACGCACAAGCAGGTCCATGAGATACATTCTCACATGGGACACCTGGAGACGGCAGACAAGCAGTCTGTGCACTTAGTAGAAGGTGAAATCCAAGCAAGCACAGACCAGATATTCAGCCATCTAGAACATCGGGAGATTTTGTCCAGCAAGGAGCCCCCTAATAAAAGGCAGAATGCCAAACTTCGGGTTGACCAGTTTAAGTATGATGTTCAGCACCTGCAGACTGCTCTCAGAAACTTCCAGCACTGGTGCTATGCAAGGGAGCAGCAGGAGGGACAGCAAGAAGAGCTTCTATCTCGAACCTTCACCACTAACAATTCTCAATCACAATCCTCTGACAACTATTGGAGATTATTATCTGTTTAAATTACCGGCATTACAATATCTCGACATGGAAACAACACAAGTCCCACTAACAACAATTGAGAACATCCCCATGATGACTCTTGAATTGGAAAAACTAGCTGTCAGCTTCTCAGTCTGCACAATTAATCAAGAAATAATGTGGAGCCACTGGTACAAATAATGAGGCATCTCCCAGAAGTTTAACTTCCTATCCATCCAATCTCTTGGACAGATAATACCAGTTAATTACTTTGAATGTGGCTCTAAAAGCTGAGTTGGGGGCTGCTTTATGACTGGAGATGGTTTGACCTTCTCAGGTGGCTCTGATGGCTGAGCTGGTATCTCCTGCTGCAGTGGAGGACTGACCTCTTCAGTGGACTTCGGAGGATGACCTGAGGCTTCCTGCTGGGTTGCAGATGGTTCAACCTCCTTAGGGGGCTCTGGTGGCTCATCTGGGAACTCTGCTGGACTGGAGAAGGTTCTACCTCCTTAGGGGGGTCTGGAGTCTGAGCTGGGGGCTATAATTGGGTTGAGGAAGAGCCCACCTCTTTGGAGTGTTCTGGAGGCTGAGCTGGGGCCTGTTCCTGGCTTGTTGTAAGTTTCTTACCTGGCTCTGGAGTTACCGTAAGCTCCACGTCCACAGGTTTGATTGTGACACTGGGCAAGTGTGAGTGCTGAACTTCACTCCAACTTTTCAATGGAACATTTACCTCATGATGTATCAATAGTGGGGCTAGGATCTCTTCAAAGGCAGGTAGCTGCTGTGCTGGAGCCTTCTGCTCTGTTGAAGAGTGGACCCCCTCAAGGGACTGTGAAGGCAGAGCTGGGGCCTCCAGCTTTGGTTGAAGAAAGTTCTACCACCTCAGGGAGCTGTGGAAGCTGCGCTGCAGCTTCTTGCTGGAGTAGAGGACTGGATCTCTTCAGTGGTTTCTGGATTTTGAGTTTCAGGCTCTAGATGGAACTGAGAAAGTCCAGCTTGCTCAGGAGGCCCTGGAGGCTCATCTGAGCTCACCTGGAGTTCTGGAGGCAGGCTGCCCAGATACAGTATATCCATACTTGAATCTAAATACCCATTCTGCAGAGTTTGTTTCTGACGCTGAGGTTTTGATACAAATCGGTATGGAGTTCCAACAACAACCTTGGCAAGCCTTTGATGCTGAGCTAGATCTTTCTTCCGGTTCTTGGGCGAAACAGTAAAGTTCCTTGCTTTTGATTTCTATCTAGAGGTGGAACAAGTATTTCATATGCCTGATGATCTGCAGCCTGATCTAGATCTACAGTTAGAAACTTACTTTTGAGGCAAAGAGGCCGAGCTAGGGCCTGGTTCTGATCCCAGTCTAGCATTGCAACCACCTCTGGGAGACTTCTGTGCCGAGTCAGCTTGTCATTCAGATCCCAGTGTGCAGCAGCGAACTGCTCTGGCCCCGGGGCAGCTCTCCAGCTGAATCCGTGTCCAAGAATGGAACCAAACTCTGAGCCAAAGTCTCAGTCGATTCCTGAAGCGGAGCTGACGTCTGGGAGGAAGCAGAAGACCCCAGGTAATCAAAGCTCTCCCGGGTCTGCCCGGGGGTGGGGAGTTAGCTCATGGCGGCGATTCGCGTGGGAGATCGGAGGAGCGGGAAGACCAGGGCTAAGTTGGCCCCAGGGAGTCAGAGGTCAGCTGGAGCGGGTCCTGGACCCACTCCAGAGGCTAAGCCGCCTGGACTAGTAGCCACAATAGTTGCCATGTGAGGAGGGGCCCGTGGGGCCCAGAGACGCAGCCGGGACAAGACAAGCGCTGGCGCCGCGCACTGAGCAGGAGCCATTAGGGCAGCCCCGAGACGCTGGCGCCCCTGGCAACCGCGCGCCCCATCCCGTCCTTTATTAACTACACCTTTATTTACGCAGCCTTTATTAGGCTCGGGTCCAGATCCGCTCCGCGTCACCAGGGCAATCTTATCCCACAATCCAGCCCAAACCTCCCTTCCGCCCTGCCCGGCCGGAACACCCCTCCCCTCCCCTCTGCGAGGAAGAATTTGGGCCGCGGGGTCTGCGGTCCCAAGACTCCAGCAGCCTGGTGGGGTGGGGTGGGGTGGGGTGGGTTGGAGGTGCGGCAGAGCTTCCCAAGGAAGTTATGGGACCTTGCCTCGGGATATTCAGAAGTGCCAGTCCAGTTCTGGCAGCCTGAACTCTTCCTCCTCCAAGCTGAAATCCGAGAGATGCTTTTCCTCCTCTTGGCCATAGGGAAAGCAACTGACCTGCAAAATGTGCGCCAGTTAGGGTGGCAGGCAGAGCACACATTACGGTCATTTATTCCAAAATGTTGCCATTTTCGCCAAACCTTTGATATCCTTTGTTGCATGTTTGGTAATTAATTCACCACCCTATTAGGCAGGGGCTGCCGGGGAATAAACGAGGACTCCAAATTTTCTGTAGGAGGGGTTTTGGGGGGTGAGCAATTCAGTCTGGGAGAGAGAAGGCCTTTAATCCTAGTGAATAGCTCTTTGCACTAGCCTGGGAGGAAGCTGAACTGTCATCCTGCCTTGACTTAACACAGCCTTTACCCTAGAAGCTACAGCGCCACTCTTCAGAGGTCTACCCTGTGTGCACACAGGGAGAAGACGCTTAGGTTGTTAAAGTCAGCATGTTAAATAATTTTCTGAAATGCGACTATAACTAGAACCCAGCTGACTTCCCCCATAGCCATTCTTACCTATCTTATTACTGATTGTCTGGTACAATCACAAAGTGCGGTGGTACTGACACCTACCTTTTAGGGTTGTTTGAGGATTTCATGGGATAATGAATGTAGACTGCTTTGCAAACAGTGAGCTTTCAATAAAAGGGATCTATTATAAAACAATAATTAAAAAAGAAATTAGAAGCCAATAAGAAAAACATTAACATTGTGTGATGGTGGAAATATGTATGCTATATTGCTAAATTATATGTTTAAATTTCAAAAAATTAAATAGTTCAAAAATGTAGTTTTCATATTTCATTATTCAGCTGCAGCCTGCAGTGAAAACATGTCTTTTCTGTACATTTTGAGTATGCCAAGATTTAAAATCCAACCTCATGATTAGTATGTAATTCATTTATATGTCAGAGGCTACACTCATAAACGTGAATAATCATTCCCAACTTCCTTTTCTAGCTGATATTTTTTGACCCAAATTGAGTAATAAAGAGGTCTTGGTATTTCATTAGTGATTGAAGACCTCAAATTCTCTTTTATTGTGTGTGATTCTGCCACTAAGAACGGGATCATAGTAGCGCTGTGGTTTATTCAAGTTCTGATTCTTCCCACCGTGATAGCCACTGACTGCCAACATTACCGGAACCACTGTTGCCAGATGAAATGAAGGCAAGTAGGCAGAGGAAAACCATCCTGTGAGCACCCACTTCAGGCCTGTGCTCCTAGGCTAAGCTGAGCCTGCTGATGAGGGAGTCACAGAGACGTTCATCTCAAGCACTTCTCAAAGCCGCCTCTAGGGGGCAGAACAATCACAAACCTGAGAGCACTACTGAGGAAGACTCATTGTAATGTGAGCAGCCACCCAGGATTCTGCATCCTTTCCTTATAAATGTTATGTGGTGTGCCTTTTAATTCCACTCACAATTGATTTGTTTTCATGATATATGGTACCAAGCTCTAAAGTTACAAAAATATATTCTTATTCTCCAGAATCAATATTACCCAATATTACCAATTCCTTATGTATTCTTCCAGAGAATACGTGTGTATGTGTGTGTGTGTTGTGTATACAATACCCTTGCTCCTTCCTCCTTCTATATGAATGGTAGTATCCATATACTCAATTCTGTATCTTGGTTTCACTTAATATTATCTTGGATGAGATTCTATAAAAGAATACAGGAAGCTTTTTTTTGTTTATGGTTGCAAATTATTCTAGCTATGTGTATACCATAATTTTTAAATACTTCAGTAAAGGGCATTTAATTATTTCTTCAGTACTACAGAATCTTGTGTATGCATAATTTCACTTATGCATGAGTACATCTGAGGGTGGAATTCCTAGTGTAGAATTCCTAGTTCGAAGGGTATGTGAGTTTGCAACTTGATAGATACTGCCAAGTGTATCAATCAGGGCTCTCCAGAGAAACAGAACCCACATACACACATACACACACACACACATACACACACAGAGAGAGAGAGAGAGAGAGAAAGAAAGAGAATTGGCTTACACAATTGTGAGGGATGATAAATCTGAAATCTGTAAGGCAGGATGCCAAGTTAGAAACTCAGGCAAGAGTTATTGTTGTAGTCTTGAGTCTGAAATTTGTAGGGCAGGCTAGCAGGCTGGAACTCAGGAAAGACACCTATGTTTCAGCCTGGAGGTAAATTCCTTCTACTCTGGGAAACCTTCGTCTTTGTTCTTAAGACCTTTAACTGATTGGATAAGACCTATCGACATTATCAAGGGTAGCCTGCTTTACTTAGCGTCAACTGCTTAAAGATGTTAACCACATCTACAAAATATCTTCATGGCAATGCCTAGACTAGTGTTTAACCAGACAACTGCACACCCTTGCCTAGTCAAGTTGACACACATTATTTTTTTTGTAAGTTTTTATTTTTTACAGTTTTGATTCATGATGGTTTATAATGTATATGTTAGGCATTCTACTATGGAAATGTAACACAGATGTTTAACATGAAGTTGCTGACATCCACTTTTGTTGGTTTTTTTTTATACTTTAAGTTCTAGGGTACATGTGCACAACGTGCAGGTTTGATGCATAGGTATACATGTGCCATGTTGGCTTGCTTCACCCATCAACTCGTCATTTATATTAGGTATTTCTCCTAATGCTATCCCCCACCCAGCCCCCCACCCCCCGACAGGCCCCGGTGGACATACGCTGTTACAAAGACTTTCTGAAGGACTCTCATGCACATACGCCTGTAACAAGAACTTCTGCCAAGAACTTCCTAAAGTGCAGCTTGCTACATGAGTCACAAGGACAGCAAGCAGAATGCACAAGAACACTTGCCTGACACACTGTCTCCACGAATGAACCAGTGTCAACTCCTGTGATGATCCCCTGTAACCAACATTCTCTGTTTGAAAACAAATGATGTATACTTCTCCCTTTTGCCTTTAAACACTTCCCCCTGCCTCAGCCACTTTGGATGTGCCTACGGTCTCCAAAGCCTGCATATCCCAGATTTGCAAATCTTCTGTGCACACCCAAATAAGCTTATTATCTTTGAAGGGTCTCTTTCTGTTTGTTATTTAGCTTGACAGGCCTAACTCTGGTCATGAGGACCCTATGGCACGGGTGGTGAGCAGGGTGACACACATGCCAAGGTGAGCAGGGTGACACACGTGCCAATTCACATTATTTCATTCCATTTCAATCCACACAGTCTCATTCAGGTCAATGTTCCATCTTCAAATTTCTTTCCCCCGTTCAAGGGGCCTCTTGGGGACAGGGAATTGAGGGACCTCTACTCCACATGGGTGGGCGTCAGTCCTTTTGGGAACTCCCTGGTTCCTGCTCCAGGTCTGGTGTCCTTTGAAGCGCTACTGATTAGTTGTACCTTGTGGTGTTGGATATCACGATGGCACCCATAGCTGAAGTCCTGCCATTTGCCCACAATTTTGCAGTCCTTGACATCTCTCCAGCCCAGGCCTCAGGGAGCCTGCTGGTAATCTCAGCACCTCTTTGCCCCTTCCCAGGGAACACACCAGTGTCTGGATCCACAGCACACTCTGCTCAGAAGTGAGGGACTAGGAGCGGTATTTCAGGTTCATCCACCTGTCTTTCTTCTTATTGAAACCACCTTTGCAAAATTACAACTGAAGAAATTATGACAGTGAAAGAAATTAGACCTAAGCAACTCCATCTTGCTTCTAACCTTTAAGCTGTCCTTGTTCATTCCTGGGCATAGGCCAAACTAACTTTAAGAAGAAATTCAGTTCATGGTTTGACTTTAAAACAAAATTAATAACAGCCCTTTTCTGAAAAGACCCCCTTCTTGCCTGGGGACCAGTCTGCCTTTGCAGGACTGACAAATTAGCTACAAGTTTAGAAATTACAGTTTAGGAGTCATGCAGCCTCTGGCTCCAAGAGTCTGAACCTCCCCACATTGCTCCTGGAGATAACATCACTACTGTAAAACCAAAGATCAGTGCTTGAGATATTTTGCAGACCCTGCACTTGATGGATCAGCTGACACCACCCAGACTGGTAATCTGGCTCGACCAGTTCTGCCACATCTATCCAGGAGCAGAGGACGGCAAGAGAAACTCACTTTGATCCGCTATGATTCCATCTCCTACCTGATCAAACGGCACTCCCCACTTACCCTACCCCTACTCGCCAAATTATCTTTAAAAACTCTAATCCCAGAATGCTCAGGGAGACTAATTTCAGTAATAATAAAACTCTGGTCTCCTGCACAGCTGGCTCTGCATGAATTACTCTTTCTCTATTGAAATCCCCCTGTCTTGGTAAATTGGCTCTGTCTAGGCAGCGGGCAAGGTGAACAGATTGGGTGGTTATACCATCAGACAGGGCATGATCTTTTTCTGGAGGCTCTCAGCTCCCTTAGGTTTTACAGGGTGAAGAAAACAACTAGCCCCAAGCTTCCTTCATATTTGCCTAGATGTGTCCATTGATTTTTCCCCTCCGGGAATTTGGTCTGGAGCAGGTTGCCAGATGAGTTGCCTCTTTTTGCTCCCCCATCTCTTTTCTCCTTGCCCCCTGCTCTGGGAATGGAGTATGTCAGCTCTACCCTTCCCACATGGCAGAGGTCTCCCTTACAGCATAGCCTGAGTTCTCCCTATTCCTGGCTTAATGGTGAAGTCAGCAAGGTCTAAATCTTGATATACCGATTGGAATTTAAAGAATGCAGAAAACTATTTATCTCTCCAAAAAACTCTTACCTTGAGAGCTTGTTTGGAGGTTCTAGCAGGGGAGTGCAGCTATTTGTATACCCTTGACCAAAGACCGGTCCTCCTCTATTGGGGATGGTCATCCTCTTGGAACGAGCATGCAGCTTCAGGAGGGACGCACATGTAGGGGTGAGGGAGGAAGAGGACACCCACCTAGCCAGCCAGGTCAGCCAAATCAATCCTGGCCATTAATGGGGTGACATATGTCACAGCCAGATAACCCTCACATTCCCCAAAAAACTTTTATCTATCTTGGTAGCTTCTTGCTGAGGATTCAAAAAATGCTACTTATGCTATCAAAAACCCAACATGTCAATCTCTTTTCTAGGAAGCAGTTGGTTATGAGGGCCCATAAGGAGGTTAATGTGATGGAGTTGGTCATTCCAGGAATCAGTGCCCTTCCTGGTAGCGGCTTCTTCTCTCAGGAGTGGAGAGGAGGCAGGGGGTGGAATATCACACCCTCCCTTTTGGCTCTTCATGGCCAGTTCAGAGGTTTCTGCCTCTATAAATATTCTTTTCTGATATGGAAGTCGGGGCTGGCTCTTAGTGACTCTGCACAACTGATTCTCCAAGCACCAGCCCTCCAGATATGTGGAGAGCGTTGTGTTAGGTGCAGGAGAAGGCTGGTTGCCACTGGGATTTATGGAGATTCTGAATGACAGGCAACTTCTGAACTGTTTGAAATAAAAGAAATAAGTCAACACTGTCTTATAAACAGGCCCTATCTTGCATCCATTTAGATAGACCTGGGTTTCTTAACCTTGGCACTATAAACATTTTAGTACAGATGGCTGTTGTTGGAGCTGTCCTGTGCATTGTAAGATGTTCAGCAGCATCCCTGGCCTCTACCCTAAATGTTGCTATCACTCCCTCCTAGTTGAGACAACCAAAAATATCTCCAGACATTGCCAAATGTCCCCTGGGGGACAAATCACCTCTGTTGAGAAACACAAATTTAGACCTTGGTCTTATTTTGATGTTGTTGCAATGCTTTAATGTTGTGCTTTTAAAAAATGTGGAACTATCTTAATGATTTCTGTTTGAAGTAGTTAAAACTCATCATAAAATGTTAGTAACCAGTTTTAATATCTCGGCAGCTTTATTTATGCATGACTCCCTTTTCCTGTGCATACCCATATCAATATATAATATCTTTTTTTTTTTTTTTTGAGACGGAGTTTCGCTCTTTTTGCCCTAGCTGGAGTGCAATGGCACGATCTCGGCTCACCACAACCTCCGCCTCCCGGGTTCAAGTGATTCTCCTGCCTCAGCCTCCCGAGTAGCTGGGATTACAGGCATGTGCCACCACGCTCGGCTAATTTTGTGTATTTAGTAGAGACGGGGTTTCTCCATGTTGGTCAGGCTGGTCTCGAACTCCTGAACTCCGGTGATCCGCCTGCCTCGGCCTCCCAAAGTGCTGGGATTACAGGTGTGAGCCACCACATCCCGCCAATATCATATTTTTTTACAAAAATGGTATTCTCCATTCTGTTTTGGATTCTGCTTTTATATTTAATAATATAGGCATCTTTCTATGTCAATAAATATAGATCTACATCATAATTTATTTCATTGTATGAATATATTGTAATTTTATTATTTTTTAACTAGCCATTTATTTCCTTTATTGAGGTATATGTTTTATATGCAGAAAATGCAATTTGATAAGTTTTCACAAGTATACATACTCAAGTCGCCATCACCCAAATCAAAATATAGACATTTGCAGCACCCAGAAACTCCCCTTGTGCCTCTTTTCAGTCAATTCCATAAGGTACCTTTCATTCAAAGAGACAACTGCTATTTTAATTTCTTGAGTTTATTGCTAAATAGTATTCTTTTGTTTATTCTTTATTTTTTAACAGCTTCATTAAGGTATAATTGATTAAGTAGTATTCTTTTGTATATAAATATCATAATTTATCCATTCTTCTATGTTGAACATTTGGATTATTTCCATTTTTTGCTTATTTTGAATAAAACTGCTATAAACATTTCTTTCTTTCTTTCTTTCTTTTTTTGAGATAGAGTCTCACTCTGTCGTCCAGGCTGGAGTGTAGTGGCACGATATCCGCTCACTGCAACCTCCGCCCCACCCCCAGATTCAAGCGATTCTCCTGCCTCAGCTTCCCAAGTAGCTGGGATTACAGGCGCCCACCACACGCTCGGCTAATTTTTGTGATTTTAGTGGAGGTGGGGTTTCACCATGTTGGCCGGGCTGGTCTCTAACTCCTGACCTCAAGTGATCCACCTGCCTCGGCCTCCCAAAGTGCTGGGATTACAGGCGTGAGTGGCACCCGGCCTACTAATTTTATTTCTTAAAGTTGAATGAATCTTTTCTGTTAGCACATTAATGCCCCATGTAATTGTGGATGTGTGATGACTTGGGGTACCTCCAAGAGATTGCTCTCAACAGCAAAGAGCTTATGGAGATGAGTTCCAGGGTAGGTCAACTTCTGCCACCACCCCCAGGCATTCAAGTGGGGCAGGCTAGTTAGTTATCTGCCCTCTGGACCTTAGAACCTACGTCTATGGTTTCTCTCTACTTCCACTCCTTTTATAGTGGTTACCTTTCTCTGACCCTGTTCACTGCAGTGTAGCACGTGGAGTTAGATGAGGCACAGAGCTTACTCATTACGTTACTGTAAGAAAATTCCAGGGTATGAACTAGGTGGTGGAGGTAAATTACAGGTATAGTATCTCATTACATAGTTTAACAACAGTTCTTTCAGACATTCTCTGTTGTCACTGCCATAACCAGTCCAGAAGCCAATTTCCAGATTATTTTGATTGCATTATCCAGTTTGAACTTTCTCTCAGACTCCTTGATCCCTGGAGATGTGGGACTTTTTGAATTCTGGATCCCTAGTCTTCTCCTTCTGCTTTAGAATTGATTGGTGGGCTGGAAAGGTGTGAATCAAAAGGGTTGTAATTGGTGAGGTAGCCATACTTTTAACAAAAAATTCTCTTCTCTTTTTCTCTCCCTCATCATTGCCATCCCCTTTCACTCACAGCACTGAATAGTTCAATAAATATTGAAATGGGAACCCAGAAGACCTGAGTTTGGGTCCTAGGTATGCCATTTATTAGAGTTTTACCTGAAAATTTTAAGTATCTAAGCCTCAGTTTTCTCATTGACAAGGTAAGGATACTTTTTGCCTGTTTTACTCTACCAGGTTGTTGAGATGATCAGATGACATAATGAAGGTAATAGTCATGAGTAGCTTGATGTTCCACTACAGGAAACTGTGATTCCATTAAAAAAGACAGTTCCTGGCCGGGCATAGCAGCTCACACCTGTAATCCCAGCACTTTGGGAGGCTGAGGTGGGCAGACCACCTGAGGTCAGGAGTTCAAGACCAGCCTGGCTAACATGGTGAAACTGTTTTCTACTAAAAAAAAAAAATTAGCCAGGTGTGGTGTCACATGCCTGTAATCCCAGCTACTCAGGAGGATAAGGCAGGAGAATTGCTTGAATCCAGGAGGTGGAGGTTGCAGTGAGCTGAGATCGTGCTATTGCACTCCAGCTTGGGCAACAAGAGCGAAACTCCATCTCAAAAAAAAAAAAAAAAAAAAAAAAAAAAAAGACAGTTCCAGACCAGGCGCTGTGGCTCATGCCTGTAATCCAGCACTCTGGGAGGCTGAGGCTGGAGAATTGCTTGAGGCCAGGAGATCAAGACCAGACTGGGCAATATAGTGAGACCCCATCTCTACAAAAAAGTTTAAACAAATCAGCCAGGTGTGCTGGTACATGCCTGTAGTCCCAGCTACTTGGAAAGCTGAGGCAGGAGGATCATTTGAGCCCAGGAGTTTGAGGCTCCAGTGAGCTGTGATCATGCCACAGCACTCCAGCCTGGGTGACAGAGTGAGACCCTGTCGCTAAAAACAAATGAATGAATAAATAATAAAATAAAAAGACAGTTCTAAGGAGACAGAAATTGACTAAGAAATGAAACACTTCCCAGAGGCAGTTGAGTTAAATATGATCAGGCTTCCTAAACCTGAGTGAGCTTGAGAATCTGTGGGTCCAGCAAGAAAGTATCTTTATAAAAAGGGCCATAGGTGTAAAATTTCCGATAAAATACACATTGCATAGCATACTGGACATACTTATAATAAACAAATTCATTGTTTATCTGAAACTCAAGCTCAGATTTAACTGGGAATCTTGTATTTTCACTTGTTAAAGCTGGCAAGCCTATGGAGGTGATCCTCATGAGCAACCTGCTTTTGAGACTACTGACCCAGATCCTGAGTAGGGCCTGCCATAGAGCCAGGGAAATGAGCTGACAGCCTACAAGGTAAGATTTCAGATGCTTCAGGGAGATGATCGTGGTCTTCTGCTATGAGAATATAAAACCCTGCTTCACCATCTCCCCTAGGCCTGACATCTTACTCTTAGAATTTTCTACATTGTAAATATCAACTTCCAAGGCAGGGGTAGAAACTTCAGGTACATATCCATTATTTGCGCTTTACTGTAGTTGAATGACCTAGACATAAGTTTTCCAGAGTGGGCAAAGAGATTATTAGGCTCTGGTCTCTGTAGAGAGGGGAGGGTGGTGGCCTGACTGTAAGTCCCAGAGTCCCAAAGCAGGGACTGGGAAATGCTAAAGACACACTTTGCCTTCTTCCCAGGCTTGCCCATCTGTGCATCCCCACCTGGCTTCATGTCAGGCCCCAGGGGAGTAGGTGGGATTGTCTGTGCAACCTCTGTCTGTTCAGATGAAAGAGAAGGGTCTGGAGTGGTCCTGGGGGAGCAGTAACTTTAGCGTTCTAGTGCAAGCTGGTGATCATGATGGAGGACAAAAAAGCAGCTCTGATTTTTTTGTTGCTCCAGTTCAGTGCTGTCTGATAGAACTTTGTGCAATGATGGAAATGTTTTGTATCGTCCATTATAGTTGCCACACATCACGTGTGACTACTGAACACCAGAAATGTGGCTAGTGCAACTGAAGAATTGAATTTTTAATTTTATTTACACTTAATTAAAATGTAAATTTAAATAGTTGCATGTGGCCTATGGCTACCATATTGGACATGTGCTTTATGGGCCAAGGTCAAGTCCATACTAGAGCCACTCACTGGCTGGCAATTTGTGGGCTTCATAGACATATTTAGTTTGCACTGTTGGAAAAACAAACAAATCTGATTTAGATGCTGACATTTAATAATTGAGAGATTTCAAATGAAAACTTGAATTTCTGTTTTCTTTTGAAAATAATAGGCTACCTGGCAACGCCGGGCCAACGATGCTGTGACGCACCAATTAACTCGAGCTTGTCAGCGGTTATTTTGCTTTTGTTTTGCTTTGCACTCTGCCTGCTTTCCCATGTATTTTACCTGCCTGGCTGCCACAGGCATTTGGTTTGGGGAATCCTTGCTTGAAAAAAATTCGGTTTCATCTTTATGAAAAAGATTAAACTCCTAACTTTGCTTTAGGAATTTGGACCTTAGGAGGTGTCTGAGATAGATATCAATTAGAAGGTGCCTCTCCCAGACTAACTAAAAAAAGGCCAAGTACAGGAAGGCAGAGGCTTCAAACTGTCTTAGCAGGCTTGCATGCTGGATCCATCACATTCTAAATGGACAAGTTTGGGCAAGTCCCTTCACCTCTCAGAAACTCAATTTCTCCATCTGCAGCATCAAACCTGTAATGGTAGGGACCTTGTATTGCTATTATGAAGCCCTAATGAAATGAGGTGTATAAACTGCTTAAGGTCCGTGCTCAGTAATAAAATTTAGAAAGTAACTTATTTTTGTATATATTTAAAGATGGAATCTCACGCTATTGCCCGGGCTGGAGTGCAGCAGCATGATCCTGGCTCACTGCAGCCTCTACTTCCTGTTCTCAAGCCATCCTCCCACGTTGGCCTCCTGAGTAGCTGGGACTAAAGGCATGTGCCACCATGATTGGCTAATTTTCGTGTTTTTGTACAGACAGGGTTTCACCATGTTGTCCAGGCTGGTCTTGAACTCCCAGGCTCAAGTAATCCACCCGCCTCAGACTCCCAAAGTGCTGGGATTACAAGCATGGGCCATTGTGCCTGGCCCACTTATAATTTTTATATTTAGATAAGAATGTTACTTTTGGAAAGAAACTGGTAAGAACCAAACAGTGCAAGGAAAACAGACTTTTTTGTTAATACATCAAAAATAAACTGCTGCAGCCTATAAAGAAGGAATAAAATAAAATATTGTTTTTATATGATTTCTGGGTTAATCTCATGGGTCACAATCTAATAAACCATGCAAAAATGTAACTGCATTTTGAGCTTGTCAAGATGATGTTCGCTGCTTAGCGGCATTCTTAATTTGGAATTGGAAAGGAACCAGAAATGAAAAAGAAATCAAATTCAGAAGGAGCATAACACCACCAAAAGCCCTGAAAAATAGGGCAGTGGATGTAAATGTGAGCACAACCAAAGGATTAGGAAGGAAGAAATCAAAGTGTTCTTGCTAAAAGATACTATGTGAGCAAGGCAAAAGGAAAGATGTCCAAGTGACTGGACAGGTGCGGTGGCTCACGCCTGTAATCCCAACACTTTGGGAGGCTGAGGCAGGTGGATCAGGCAGGCAGATTACTTGAGGTCAGGAGTTCGAGACCAGCCTGGCCAACAAAGTGAAACCCCCTCTCTACTAAAAATACAAAAATTATCTGGGCGTGGTGGTGGGCACCTGTAATCCCAGCTACTTGGGAGGCTGAGGCAGGAGAATCACTTGAACCCAGGAAGTGTAGGTTGCAATGAGCCAAGATCACGCCACTGCACTCCAGCCTGGGTGACAGAGTGAGACCCTGTCTACAAAAAAAAAAAAAAAAAAAAAAAAAAAAAAAATAACGTCCCAGTAGAAGTGCAAAAAACAAGGGCAACTCCGAACTACTGCAGACATCTCATGCAAAAAAGAAAAAGACTCCATTATAGCCTGTGTCTAAGTCACTAGAAAGAGTGGTAGCCAGCAGAATTTGTCAGACTTTTAATGTTATTGATTTTTGGAAAATGATAGGAATTTAAACTTGATTATAGTCATTTGACTACAATCCTCTTAGGATATCTGATTATGAGAAAAGTGCTTAGAAAACAAACATTTGAGTGTGTGATTAAATGCAGGGTGGGAGGAGCAAGTAGTCAGGGCTGTGCTCTTATAGAGCTATCATCCAGTTGGGGAGAGGCAGGAGAGAACAGAGGCCTGTCTGTGGGAGATAGACAATGACTGGTGAATTTGTGGTCTTTACTTTTTAATAATTCAATTTCTTTCATTTTGCAATAGTGTTTGAAAGATAAATAGACAAGAGTTTATTTCTGAAAAAGGGATAAGGAGCCTGCATGTTCAAAGGCCCTGAGACTTAAAATAGTGAAAGAAGATGGGGAAAATTTTATTCTCCAGAATTTGGTGCACAGATAGAGTTGATAGTATGGCTTATATCAGTAGGAAAGTCATGTATAAGAATTTCAGGACATTGGAAAGGAGAGAACATGAACGAAAAACTAAACTTGATGATGAAATTGTATGGTATATGATGCAATTTCTGTGCAACCTCTGGTAATCTCACTAGGTTTAAAAATTGTTTGTGCATTATCCTTAGCAAACTAACGCAGGAACAGAAAATCAAATACTGCATGTTCTCACTTACAAGTGGGAGCTAAATGATGAGAACACATGAACACAAAGAGGGGGACAGCAAGAGACACTGGGTCTACTTGAGGATGGAGGGTGGGAGGAGGGAGAGGAGCAGAAAATATAACTATTGGGTACGAAGTTAGTACTTGGGTGATAAAATAATCTGTACCACAAACCCCTGTGGCATGAATTTACCTGTATAATCAACCTGCAATGTACCCTGAACCTAAAATAAAAATTTAAAAATTTAAAATAAAAGAATGATTTGTGGATACCAGTCCTGGGAGAGCTGTGGCAAGGATCAGTGGCAAGAGAGCAGACAGGGAGAACCACTGCTCGTGACATGCCATTTTTGTACAAATTTTTAAGAGATACCTCTTTGGGACAGAGTGACACCTTTGTGTGAAAAACATGCATTGCAGCCTCATGGCAGGGTGCATAGCTTTGAGGGCAGAGTGCCTGTAGATTGCAGGCTGTGCATTACAGAAGGTCTTCTAGCCAGGGAGTCTGTACAACTCAATGTGGCAGCCCCAAACATGAGGAAGTATGCGTGGAAATTTACAGGACACATGGAGGAGGGTTTTGGCCGTCACAGGTCATAGAAGTAGGATTTAGGCCAAGATCACCTAATCCTTAAAAGATTTGAGGATTATAGTGTGTGTGTGTGTGTGTGTGTGTGTGTGTGTGTGGTGTATTCAGGAAACTGAGTAGATTAGTATTTTTGGAAACTATATTTTTAAAAAGGTGCGTTAGTTTTTCTGGGGCTGCCAGGGCAAATTACCACAAACTGGATGGTTTAAAACAGAAATTTATTCTCTCATAGTTCTGGAGACCAGAATTCCAGAAGTCCAAAATCAAGGTGTCTGCAGGTTGGTTTCCTCTGGTGGCTACGAGGGAGTGCCTAGTCCAGGCTTCTCTCCTCGTTTCTTGTGGCTGTTGGCAGTCCTTGGCACTGCTTGGCTTGTAGTGCATCATCCAATCTCTGCCTCTGTCTTCGCGTTGCCTTCTCCTCTGATGTAAGGATAGTTGCCATTGGATTTAGGGCTACTCTAAATTGCAGATTACATCTCTAAAGACATTTTTTTGCAAATTGAGTAATGTCCACAAGTTCCGGTAAACATATTTTTTTGGGAGGCCACCATTTAACCCACATAAGAGGAGTCATGGTAAGATATTAGGCAGAAATCTAGCCGATATCATGTGATCACTGAATTTCTTATTTATATCAATTTATGCTTCATTGTTATTCAAGTATTTGTCACTTACTTGGTGTCTATTTTAGCCTTGGCAGGACTTCATTTTATACTTGTGTGACTTGGTTTTATTGTTACCAGACAATTGTCTGAATCAGAAAAGCATAGTTATCATGAACACATTTCTTATTTTTTTCTTTTCTTTTTTTTTTTTTTGAGATAAAGTCTCTCTCTGTCATCTAGGCTGGAGTGCAATGGCATGATCTCAGCTCACTGCAACCTCTGCCTCCCGGGTTCAAGCAATTCTCCTGTTTCAGCCTCCTGAGTAGCTGGGATTACAGGCGTGCACCACCAAACCCAGCTAATTTTTTGTATTTATAGTAGAGATGGGTTTTTCACCATGTTGTCCAGGCTGGTCTTGAACTCCTGACCTCAGATGATCGGCCTGCCTTGGCTTCTCAAAGTGCTGGGATTCCAGGCGTGAGCCACCACACCTGGCCACACTTCTTATTTCTGAAAGTTGAGAAGTCCCTGACTACAGTCTTTGAGTTTGAGCCTAAATTTCCTATTTGTCTGGAACTTGTTTTAAATTGTCGGTATCTTAGAGCATCATTTTCCCACTTATTAGTCTTTGCAGATTGATTTCCACTGAAGTATTAAGACCTTCATGCAATCAATGCAGGATTACATAGAAGGATATATATATACACACACACACACACACACACACACACACACACACACACACACACACACATATATATCCTATTGATCCTACTGTAACCCTTCTCATCCAAGGTACATTGGATACCATATGTTATTCTGAAACACAGAGTGCCAAGAGAATATACCATATATATATATATATATATATATGTATGAATTGCAGAATGTTCATTGTCACATACTCTATTGTCCATGGGTTTTTAAATTAGCTTTAGTCAGGTGTCAGGTATGGTGGTGCATGCCTGTAATCCCAGCTACCTGGGAGGCTGAAGAGGAAGGATTGCTTGAGGTCAGGAGTTTGAGACCAGCCTGGGCAACATAGTGAGATCACATCTCTAAAAAATAAAAAAAAAATACATAAATTTGAATTTTTAAAAGTTCTTTTTCTGAAATGGGGTTGGTTACGAAATGAAACAAAATGTTCTTTCATGGAATTAAAGAATGATAGACCTGAAAGGGACTGTAGATTAATCTAGCTCACACATTTTACAGACAAGGAAACTGATGCACAGAGAGGTTGACATATCAAAGGTCACACAGCTAGAGAGTGAAAGAGACAGCACTAAAGTCTAGTGCTTGCTCCATTCACCTCTATTGCTTACAATTAAATTTGCAACAATTGTGAAAGTTAAGTACATAGACAGAAGCACTGACAAAATGAAAATTGGCATTCCTGTTTCCTAATGGCGCACCTAGAATGAGAAACCTGGCTTCATCCTTTTTCATTCATTTATTCGAAAACCTGAGGATGGCCTCTCTCCCCCATTGCCATCACCATTTTGCATTTTTCTAATTTTCTCCCCAGATCTATCTAATCTTTTCTTATTTTTCCTTCTATGGAAGGAGAAGTGGGAAGTTCAGACTCTGGGAGGGAAACAGGAAGAAAGGTGGAAAAAAATAAAGGGAAGAGAGAAAAATATAATTTCCCCTTCCAGCTTTCTACTTTTTCTATTTTCAGGTGTCAATATTATTCTAGTGGTTTTTTTAATTTTAATTTTAATTTTTATTTTTATTTTTTATTGAGACGAGTCTCACTCTGTCTCCCAGGCTGGAGTGAAATGGCACGATCTCAGCTCACTGCAACCTCTGCCTCCCGGGTTCAAGCAATTATCCTGCCTCAGCCTCCCAAGTAGCTGGGACTAGAGGCGTCCGCCACCACACCTGGCCAATTTTTGTATTTTTAGTAGAGGTGGTGTTTCACCATGTTGGCTAAGCTGGTCTTGAACTCCTGGCCTCAAGTGATCTGCCCGCCTTGGCCTCCCAAAGTGCTGGGATTATAGGCATGAGCCACCGCACCCAGCTATAGTGCTGTGTTTTTAAAAATTAGAAAGAAATGAAATGCCTGTCAACAACAAATTCATTAAATAGGTAGTTCTCAAAATTTGGTGTGTTTCAGAGTCTCCTCCAAACACTCCTAAAAATATGAATGAGCCTCATGCCAAACCTTCTGTAGAAGCTGGAAACTGGCAAGAGGAGAATGACCAAATTTCATAGGTGATCATAATGCATACTGAAGTCTGCTAATTAATGCATCAACTCATGATAGATTCATGCAAAGGAATACTATGCAGCCATCAAAAAGATAATGTAGATCTATATGAATTGACACTGGTAAATGTCCATAATATGTTGAGTGAAAAGGTCAGGTGAAAGAATAATAGATTTAAGATGATTTCATTTATTTTGTAATATATATCACATAACATATACATGCAATTATAGCATATTGTGAATATGTATGTATATATGTATAATATCAGAAAGAATATAGAACCATTGTTCTACAGTGGTATTAGGGACTTCCACTTTCTGCTCAATATAGTTCCATTTTTGAATTTTTATACTGAGTCTATTATGAACCATGCATAATGTGGGGGGGAAATTTTTAAAATAAGAAACTGCCTAGGAGCTTCTGTCCTTAAATGACAATGTCAGGGAAGATTAAATTAATTAACACTATTTAAATAATTTACCACTGTAAAAATGTTTTATTCATCTTCTCCTTGAGCTGACTCTTTTTGACCATTCTAAATTACAGATAGCACATGTTTAACTTACCTTGTAAATTAACCTCTTCATGTAGAACAGGAAAGAAAACAAAATTCACTGCCCACCTTTTTTTGTGGCAAAAGCTACAACTCGTAATGAGATCAGTTGACTAGCTTTCCTAAGAGAAAGAATAAAATGATCATCTTTCAAGACAGATACACTGTTTGGGTCACAGGCACTCCTGAAATATATTACTACATATTAACACTGGAGTACCTTGGAATGTGAGTGAATATTTTATTGGAGATGGAGAATAGGTTCAGTTTTCCTAGAAGTCATTAAATGTTAAAAAAAAAAAAAAAAAGAAAGAAAAGAAATTTTAAAATAAATTTACCATTTCTCACAGATAGGGCATGGTTAATAATTTTGAGTCCCTGAGTAAAAAGTTTGGAAAAAGTTGACCATACTTTTATTTGCAAGGTAAATAGTTTCCCAGACACTCTGCTGTGTGGTCCCTCTTATGAAGAGAGAAAAAGGACAGAGTAGTATAGGTAATGTATGTTTCTCTGTGTCGTTTCCTTCTGGCGTTTACACCTCCCACCCCCATACATATCAGGGGCAGACAAATGTCCATTCAAGATAGGTATTTATAGATAAGCAACTCCTGCAATTTAGGTATATTAACATGGTTAATGTCTTAGAATTCTTGCAGAGCACTCAGTAAGTTTCTCTGATGAAATAGCACAGTTCTTAGGAAATTATCTTTATGACACTGCTATTGCTGTTTCTGATTTAGTCTATTTAAGCTCTTTCAGCTGGGGATCTTAAACAAAAATCAGGCTGGAATACATTGTTACTGGTTATTAATGTTACATTTTGCTATAAAACATTAACCATAAAATTATGGAAATGAAGAGAGTCTTTAGAAGTTACATGATGTTCTTTTTTTTCTTTTCTTTTTTGAAATGGAGTCTCACTCTGTGGCCCAGGCTGGAGGAGTGCAGTGGCGCCATCTCAGCTCACTACAGCCTCCACCTCCTGGGTTCAAGTGATTCTCCTGCCTCAGCCACCCCAGTAGCTGGGATTACAGGTGCCCACCACCACGCCCAGCTAATTTTTGTATTTTTAGTAGAGGCAGGGTTTCTCCATGTTGGCCAGGCTGATCTCGAACTCCTGACCTCAAGTGATCTGCCTGCCTCGGCCTCCCAAAGTGCTGGGATTACAGGCATGAGGACTGCACTCAGCCAAAAAGTTATATGATGTTCTTCATAGTAAATGTTTGATAAATATAAATACATCTATATATTATATACACACATATGTAATATATATTATATATACTCCTCTTGCCTGTATGTATTATGAATATATCTATGTACATGTACATCAAACACATTTATACATATACATATGTGTATTTATTCCCTCTGTAAACAGAGCTGTATTTTTTTCTTATAATGTTGGAGGGATTAGGGCATGAAACTTAAAATCTAACATTTATTGAACATTTACTATGTTCTAGGCATGTTATCTCATTTAACCAGCATAACTACCTGTCTAAATATAATTTCCAAAAAGCTAAAAGCATGATTCTCATTCCAATGTAGAAGAAGCACATGTTAAAGATTTATTAACTCATTAATGAGGGAATCAGCAAAATGACAAACTGGTTTAAAGAGTATTTTGAGGAACTGGGTGTGTATAGGCATTTCAGAAAAACGTTGAATAAGATTGTTCTATAGGGCAATAAAAAACCATAACATTTGAGGTTATCTTTTCTACCTTACAGAAATTACTTGTAGCTCCACTGAATCTATCTGTTAATACAAGTTACCATAAAATTCCACAGAGTCTAAGCTCTTAATTTTTGTACAAATCATACAAAAAGGTCCACACAAAAGTCAAAGGGGCTGAGTGTGGTGGCTCATGCCTGTAATCCCAGCACTTTGGGAGGCCAAGGCGGATGGATCACCTGAGGTCAGCGTTCGAGAACAGCCTGGCCAATGTGGCGAAGCCCTGACTCTACTAAAAATACAAAAATTAGCTGGGCGTGGTGGTGGGTGCCTGTAATCCCAGCTACTTGGGAGGCTGAGACAGGAGAATCGCTTGGACCCAGGAGGTGGAGGTTGCAGTGAGCCGAGATTACACCATTGCACTCCAGCCTGGGCGACAAGATTGAAACTCCATCTCAAAATGAATAAATAAATAAATGAAAGTCAAAGGAAAGTTGCCCTAGTTAATTAAGTAATCCATGAGTGAGTTTGTTAAAAAATGCCCTAGCAGGACTTTGAAAGCACATGTGGTACTCTCCTTGCCTTATATTCAAGTTTTAGATGATAACTTTTAACATACCCTATTGTATAAGTACGTGTATTATCCTCTTTCACTTGGTAATGTTAAGCAAATAAATCAGATTTAAATATGTTAAATCACATAAACATATATGGCAGTAAAAAGACATGAATTTGAGTAGGTCATCTCTAGTCTATGTTCCTATCTATAAAAACAGAATAACTGTATCTGTCTAGTTTCATATTTATTACCTGACTTTTGTCTTATTTGTCTTGTTTGCCTGATTTGGCATTATATTGTGTCTGTGATTTTTTTAAATTACAAGTTACGTCAAATTCTTTTGGTAGGTAGATAGAATATTAATCTAGTTACCTCAAAAAAGATTTAACTTTGTATGCCTATGTACATTTCTCTACATATATCTCTCAAACTGTAAATTAATTATTAACCACGTGAGTCTTTTCATTTTCCTAAGACTCTGAGCCACTTACTCTAGTTGGTTATTGTATGTATTGCACACTTGAGCCTATTATAGGTGGTTTAACTTTAATATGAAAAAAACTCTTCCATGGCCATTGCTAGTATCCTTAAACCAACTGGTTAATTCACAAGTATGTATTGTTGGTGAGGAGAGAGCAAAACCCTACATATTGTATCTTCTAAAAATGCAACCCATCATTACTCTTAGAAAAACAAGTCCAAATACCTGAGTGTTTGTCAGAGATTTTATATATTTGGAATATGGTATGACAAAAGTTGTAGTAAAAATAGATGCAGACCTTTGATATAAGAAAGATTGCAGCCAGGTGTGGTGGCTCACACCTGTAATCCCAGCACTTTGGGAGGCTGAGGCAGGAGGATCACCTGAGGTCAGGAATTCGAGACCAGCCTGGTAAGACCCCATCTCTACTAAAAATACAAAAATAAATTAGTTGGGCATGGTGGCGCATTTCTGTAATCCCAGCTACTTAGGAGGCTGAGGCAGGAGAATCGCTTGAACCTGGGAGGTGGAGGTTGCAGTAAGCTGAGATCACACCAGCCTGGGTGACAGAGTGACACTCTGTCTCAAAAAAAAAAAAAAATCTCATGTTCTTTCATAAAAAGATATTGGTTTTGCCTAACCAATTATATTATTTCTAGATATCCTGAAGTCCTCTTCAGATTAGTAACTAATTATAAAATTATTATTATTATTATATGTACTTGATGTTTTTATATTTGTTGCAAAACTTTTAAGACCAATTTTTCACATTAAGTTTTTGCTGTTGTCATTAATGTTATTTTTGTGGAAAATGGAGATAACAAAAAAGGATTAAAATCCTGATTTTATTGTGATCAAAGACAGTCTGATGGTTAGCCTCTTCTGAATCATAAAGCACTGACTATTAACTTTCCGAATAATATTTAAACCTCTCACCCCTGCTGATACATATGCAAAAGAACCAATGCAAAATACTTGAGCTCAGAGCTTTACATATTTCTCCATATGGATTCTTAGACATCTGTGGGAACACCTGAGACAGATTTGTCCTTGAATGCATTTGTTTGGTTCTGCTTTAATTCTCTATGTATCACACAGCTCCCCAGACATGCTCAAAGCATCAGCTATTAGGCTCATTCTTTTCCTAATACTGGCTTAACCTCCGACCTCAAATATGGTGAAAATCTGCATCTCTCCTATACTGCTGAAGGCTTTCTAGGGGCTTATGTTTTCTCAAGTCAGGTTCTGTCCCAATTTCTGGTTGAGGATGAAATTTCTCTTTCTCATTGATCTAACAGTAGCTCTTTTTGATTCTCAGTCCTAAAACAATCCAAACAGGAAGCAGAGTCCCTATTCCTTTAATTTCTCCCACTGACCCTAACTGACCACATACTATAAACAAGGCAGTAGATGTGGTTGGCTTTTCTGAAGGATAGGCATAATATAAAACTGAAAAATCTTGTACTTAGAAATCTGTGTCATTCTTGTATTTTTTTTTCTCCTCAGACCCCAGCTACCCCACATTTTCTGAGCCCTTGTATCTCTCCTCAAATTTTTCACTTTTCCCCACTTTCTGCCCATTCTTATGAAGAAAGAATTGTTTTTTCCCCCTCTTTTCCTTGCTCCTTTGCTTTTCAGACCTCCCTTTCTTCAGCTAAGATGACTATCAAGATGCTTTGTTAAACCAAAGAGTTTCCCTTCTAAAAGAAATTCTGCCACCAGCTATTTTTTTTATCAAAAGAATAATGCATGCAAAAGATTTAAAAACTTGCAACAGTAAAAAAGAGAATGCAGAGAAAGTGTGATTTCCTTCCATCCCATACTGCAAAGGCCCTAATTCTCATGGTTCTTACTCAAAGGCATCTCTTCGTGGCAGTTTCTTGGGAACCTAAGTGTGTCTATATCCCCATGTTTTGAAAAGTATTGTGCTGCATACCTCCCATTTCCCCTCCATATCCACTCTTGACCTTTCCTTCCTCACTTAGAGCTCCCCTTGGATACATCCTCAGGCTCCCGCACCTTGGGCTTCATGTTGGAAGATGAGCGAAGAGAAGAGAAGTGGGGCCTTGGCCTGCCTTCCTGAGATACCACTGTGGCTCTCTCCAGCTACTCTCTTCTTCCATTTATGGTATTTGTGCCTTTCCTTCACCTGTTTAGGCCTTTTTGTGGTTACAGTGCCTCATCCTATCTCTAGAGGTTTCTCCGCACCCCACCCAGAACTTATAAACAGTCTCCTGTTAAAACTCAGATTATCTAGCATGACTGTGCTATTTGCTGCCTACAGGGATCCCAAAGATACAAATGGGAGCATCAGATGTATGATTTTCTGGAGCTTAGCTGTCAGGCTGTATCAACTTACATGGAATCAACCTGAGGCCTTTATAAGCATAATTTCCAGTTGCACTGATGTAATTTCTTTATTCTGTCCCTTATTGGTGGCAATTAGGTTGTTTCCAGTCACCCTATGTATAACTTTACTGCAAACATAGATCCCTGTGCTTGTATCTTTGCACATATATATAAGTGTTAACTGCAGGATAATTTTTAAAAATAATAATTGCTACACCAAAGAGTATTTGTATTTGAAACATTAATAAGTACTGACAAGTGTGCCACTTAGAGGTCTGTATTAGTCTATACTACCATTGACAGTGTCTTGCCATTATAGCGTATTATTTGCCAAACCAATAGGTGCAAGAAAGTATCTTATTGCCATTTTAATTTGCATATTCAAAATTTAAGATGTACAACAACTTTCCATGTAGTTAAAATGATTTTTTCCCTGAGAGACTCCTTCCCTATTTCTCTTATGTAAGTGCTTTTTAAAATATTATGTAATATATTCTTCTTATGTAAGTGCTTTTTAAAATATTATGTAATATATTCTTCTTATGTAAGTGCTTTTTAAAATATTATGTAATATGTTCTTCTTACGTAAGTGCTTTTTTAAATATTAAGGAAATTAATCCTTTGTCTCTCTTATGCATTTCAAATATTTATTTTCATATTGCATTGATTTATAACTTAACTTTTGAAACACTTCCAATAAAGAAAATTTAAATTTTGTATAGTAACATTTGTCAATCATTTATTTTCTTTGTTAGCAAGACCTTCCCCATCCTGAGACAATAGAAAGATTCACACTTTCTCCTAGTATTTTAACCATTTTACTTTTTACATTTTTACGTTTAAAACATTGAACTGTGGACATTTTTGGTATAAGAAATTAAGCAGGTCTAGTTTCTTCCAGATGTTAGCATTGTTCCTTCTCTATGACTATTATTATGTTTCCCCATGACTTGAAAAAAATGCCACTTTTATATATGTATTAGCCTGTTCTTACACTGCTATAAAGAAATAGCTGAGACTAGGTAATTTATAAAGAAAAGAAGTTTAATTGGCTCAGGGTTCTGCAGGCTGTGCAGAAGCATAGCAGCTTCTGTTTCTAGGGAGGCCTCAGGAGATTTACAACCATGATGGAAGGTGCAGGAGAAGCAGGAATGTCTTACATGGCCAGAGCAGGAGCAAGAGAGAGGAAGGGAGGTGCTACACACTTTACAACAACCAGATCTTGTGATAATTTACTCACTCACCACCACAAGAACAGCACCAAGGAGATGGTGTTAAATCACTCATGAGAACTCTGTCCCCATAATTCAATCACCTCTCACTAGGCTCCACCTCCAACATTGGGGATTACGATTCAACATGAGATGTGGGCAGGAACACAGATCCAAACCATATCAATATATACTGAATTTCTATGTTTATTTGGGTCTAATTCTGAATTTCTATTTTGTTCCATTGTTTTTGTTAATCTAATTTATTAGTTGTCATAGGCTTTGCTATGCCATGATATAAATTATTCCTGAAATATCAGTTGCTTCATAAAATGAAGGTCCATTTCTCCCTCAGACTCTATATCAATGTGGATTGATTGCTGCAAATGGGTGTGGGGTGGGTCTTTGCTCCACATCGTCACTCTGAGATCCAGGTTGATACAGGCAGCACTGACCTTATGACACCAAAGGTCATCCTTGTAGTCTAACTAAAATATGGTCAATTTTGGCCGGGCGCGGTGGCTCACACCTGCAATCCCAGCACTTTGGGAGGCCGAGGCATGCAGATCACGAGATCAGAAGATCGAGACTATCCTGGCTAACACGGTGAAACCCCATCTCTATTAAAAATACAAAAAATTAGCCAGGTGTGGAGGCAGGCACCTGTAGTCCCAGCTACTTGAGAGGCTGAGGCAGGAGAATGGCGCGAACCTGGGAGATAGAGCTTGCAGTGAGCTGAGATTGTGCCACTGCACTCCAGCCTGGGCGACAGAGCGAGACTCTGTCTCTCTCTCACACACACACACACACACACACACACACACACAAATAGTCAATTTTATAAATGTCCCATAAGCACTTGAAGCAAAAGTATATTCTCTTTCACAGAGTATGAAGTTTCACATATATTTTAGTTAGATCTACATGCTTGATTATATCATTTGCTTCCTCTATATCTTATTCTTGTCTATGTGGCTTTCTTAGATTAAGGAGAATAAATTATATTTCTTCTACTATTCTATTTTTTTCATTTCTTTAGTTTTGCTGAACAGTTTTTAAGAACTTAACTTCTTTGAATTAAAAACATGTATTGAGTTATAATATACATACAGTAAAGGACACACCTCTTATGAGTAGAGATTGATGATTCTTTATGTGTGACCACCAGGATCCTGGGAGATGCTTTCTTGCTCTCTCCCAGTTAGTAACCTGCCAAAAATAATTCATAGATTAGTTTTGCCTGTTTTTGATCCTTCTTCTTTCCCACTATCTGATTTTGCTGGGTTAAAATAATTATTTTGTAATTTCCTCTTTATTTTCAAACATATTAGATCTCTATTACTTGACTAATCAGCTTTAAACAATTCCTTTTCTTCCTTCTATGATAGATGGGGAAACCAATAAACTTACATAACTACTGTCTATCTTCTCTTTGCTTCCTCCTCCCTATTTTAGTGAGCTGAGTTATTACACTTTATGTACAATAACCTCATTGTTCAGTCTTTGTTCGTTCTAAATTTCTATTGATTCAATGGTCACCATTATTCTCGTCACCACTGTTTCTTCCTTTAGCACTTTGAGAGCCACAGTTCTCGTATAGCAGGTTTTTTTTTTTTTTTTTTTTTTCCAGGAAGAGACTCATGGGAAGTGTATTTCCTGATTTCTTTGATGTTTGAAAGTATCTGTCTAGGCCGGGCGTGGTGGCTCACGCCTGTAATCCCAGCACTTTGGGAGGCCGAGGCAGGCAGATCACCTGAGGTCAGGAGTTTGAGACCAGCCTAGCCAACATGGTGAAACCCTGTCTCTACTAAAGATACAAAAAATTAGCCAGGCGTGGTGGCGTGCACCTGTAATCCCAGCTACTTGGGAGGCTGAGGCAGGAGAATCGCTTGAACCCAGGAGGTGGAGGTTGCAGTGAACGAAGATCATACCATTGCACTCCAGCCTGGGCAACAGGACAAGAATCTGTCTCAAAAAAAAAAAAAAAAGAAAGAAAGAAATATCTGTCTATTGCCTTTATTCTAAGCAACGATATGTGTGGGTATAAAATTTTTACATGATGTTTTCTTTCCCTGATGACTACTTCTGAAAATTATTGTAGAATTCAATGTTCCTGTAGAGAAGTCTGAGCCGTTAAAGCCAGAAAAGAATTCCTTTTTCTTTCTTTCTTTTTTTTTTTTTTTGAGACAGAGTCTTGCTCTGTCACCCAGGCTGGCTCTGTCACCCAGGCTGCAGTGGTGCCATTTCAGCTCACTGCAACCTCCACTTCCCTGGTTCAAGTGATTCTTGTGCCTCAGCCTCCCAAGTAGCTGACACCACAGGCGTGCACCACACCTGGCTAATTTTTGTATTTTAATAGAGACAGGGTTTCGCCATGTTGGCCAGGCTGGTCTCAAACTCCTGACCTCAGGTGATCCACCCACCTTGGCCTCCCAAAGTGCTGGGCTTTACAGGCATGAGTCACTGTGCCCGGCCTTACTTTTTCTTTTTAATGAGCTGACCTTTTTTTGCTTGGATGCCCTTAAGATGCTTTCCTTTCTGCTATTTACTGAGTATACTGGTTAGTGGTCATCAATCTATATTAATTTTTTATTGGTACATGTTGTGTTTTTTCCTTTTTTTTTTTTCTTTTGAGATAGAGTCTTGCTTTGTTGCCCAGGCTGGAGTGCAGTGGCACGATCTTGGCTCACTGCAATCTCCAACTTCTGGGTTCAAGAGATTCTCCTTCCTCAGCCTTCCTGTAGCTGGGATTACTGGTGTGCACCACCATGCCTGGCTAATTGTTTTGTATTTTTAGTAGAGACAGGGTTTCACTATGCTGTCCAGGCTGGTCTTGAACTCCTGACCTCAAGTGATCTGCCTGCTCGGCCTCCCAAAGTGAAGTGCTGTGATTACAGATGTGAGCCACTGTGACTGGCCAATGTTGTGTTCTTTGAGCCTGTTGATTTAAGATTTCAACTTCTTGTAAGATGGTAGACTGAGTATTTAAGAGGGAAGCCTCCTCTTGATAGGTCAAAACAAGGTCAAAAGGTCAAAAACAAGAAGAGAAAAGTAAGGCAATAATTGAATTAAATATACAGCTGAGAATCTAACACAGAATGAAGCATATAGAGATGAAGAGATGGAAAATTAAAAGAGAAGGCAAAAGACAGGCAGAGAATGGGAAGATCCAACATATGCCAAATAGAATCCCTGAAGGAGCCTATAGAGAGAATGAGGGGAAAGCAATAGTCAGAGGACTAATGGCTGAGAACTTTCCAGACTTTAAGAAAGACATCATAACACTGAGTTTCTACCAGGATAAATGAAAACACATTATTGAGAAACAAGATATTGAAACCACAGAACATCAGAAAAAAAACTGTAATAGTGATAGAAAATTATCTACAAACGAATGATAATTAGACAAATAGCAGCCATAGATACCATAAGACAAATAAATAATATCTTCAAAGGTTGGGGAAAAAAACCCATCAACCTACATTTCTATACCAAGCTAACAATGTATAACAGTGAAAAGGAGGCTTAGCGTGACTAACTCCATTTTGTTCCTAGCCCCCTCATCCATGTGATATTTTTAGGTTAACTGCTTTTTCTTTCTTCTGCACATAGGCCAAGCTAACTATGGGAGGAATTTAGTTTGTAGTTTAACTTTAAAGCAAGGATGATAATAGTTCCCCCTAAACTAACCCGGAGAGATAACGAGAGTGTACACACAAGTAACAATAAGTAACAATGTTATGTTAAAGACTTCTAGGAGCAAGGACAAAGGACAGAGTTTCTCAACCCACCCCCGACCCTCGCTGCCACCCAGATGTCTGTGATCACTGGTCACCTCTGTACCTCAACCCCCTCCCTCTTCCCCCTTCCTCTAACATTAAAGAAGTCTGAAATTTCTATTAACTCATGATGGTTCTTTAGGACATTAGTCTGCCTGCCATCTTCTCCATTTGCTGGCTCTCTGTCTCTCTCTCTCTCTCTTTTTTTCAGGGTGGGGGAGACAGGGTCTCACTCCATTGCCCAGTCTGGAATGCAGGGGCACAATCTCAGCCATCCTCTACCTACCAAGCTCAGGTGATCCTCCCACCTCAGCCTTCTGAGTAGTTGGGACTGCAGGTGCACACCACCATGCCCAGCTAATTTTTGTATTTTTTAGTAGAGATGGGATTTTGCCATGCTGCCCAGGATGGTCTCTAACTCCTGGCGTCAAGTGATCCACTTGCCTCAGCTTCCTTAAGTGTTTGTTGGGATTACAGGTGTGAGCCACCGCGCCTGGCCTAGCTGGCTCTCTTAAAGTCACTTGCCTTGCCACAACACTTTGTCTCTCAACTAATTGGCTATTGTGCTGTGAGTGGTACGAGCTTGGACTCAACTACACAATCATTAGTAGTGAGGGCAAAATAAAGACACATTTCTGCGTTAAATGACTCAGGGTTTAATATCCACAGACCTTTACTATTAGAACTATAAAGGCTATACTGCAGGAAGGAAGAAAATAAGCCCACATGAAGCAACAGATCTAAAATGCCATAGAGAGAAGAGAAATGGGTAAAACCTCTTAGAAAAATCTACCTATTACTCCTGAAAGCAATTTGATGGTGTTTAAAACAAATTGAAATGAAATAGTAGGCATGGCATGTTATATGGAATGGAGACTATTTGGAGAGAAGCTAAATTGTTCTATATCTTTGGTTGAGAAACAGACACCAATAATTTTAGAACTACTTAAAAATAATAAAAATTTACACATTAAAAATTTGAAGATTATCAATAAAATAATAGAATGTAGAAAAGTGAAAAAGAAGAAAAGGCAATGAAGTAAAACTTGATAAATCAAAGGCAAGACTTGATAGGAATAAAATAAGCCAAGAGAATCTAAATGGAATGGAGGGCCTCCTTCTTTTTAGTTTAATTGTATTTTTGAACTTTTTTCTATTGCATTTGTTTTCTTCTTCAGCAATGCCAAATACGCGTATGATGGATCATGTTACCTGTCTTCCATATTTATTTTTTCTCTATCATTTTACTTTGCTCAATTATCTCAAGCCTGCTATCTCACATCTAATTGTGTTTTCAGCAACATCTGTTACCTTTTTATGTCTGCTCTCCATGTGCCCATGATTTTTGTGATGATATTGTTCTTCTCTTTGCATCAGCTTTTGTGAACCCTTCTAACTCTCTCTCCATGTTTCCCAGGGATTGTGTGTCTGTGTGTGTGTAAAATTCATTTGAAGTTTTAAAAAAATCGATTTCAATCTCATTCTTGATATAATCTTTCTGGCATTTGGCTATCTACCTTTCATATGTCATGTTCTTTTTCTTCCTCTTCTTTTTGTGTCTTATCCTGGCTCTTTCTTGGTTATTTCTGCTTCGAATGGAGTTATTCCTGGTCTATTTGGAGGTATGGGCCAGGGAGTGTACCTGAGGAGCAGCTGGATTACAAGATGTTGCCTGTGAAAGTTTTCTCACTGACATTTTGCCTTGTGGCATGATTCTAACCTGGTTGGAAGAAGTTGCACTATTTTTTCCATGAATCTCCATATGACATAGTTTTCTAGTGTGTTTACCTTTGCCTTAGCTTTCACTACTCTTCAGATTACAAAAATTGGCAGCTCAGGGCTGTAAGATGATCCAAGGTTTTGCCTCTCATTGCACATCAGTAGCTTGCTTCTTACAGAAATGTTGTGTCTATGCATTGTTGGTTGAAAACTTCTTCCCTTCCCGCATGGTCAAAAGAGGTCAGAGAGGTCCAGGCAGCCTAGATATGGCCTCTCCTACAGGAGGCAGTGGCTGTTTTGCCTCTCGGGGGTTCCACTACAAAGAATTCTGCTGTGTCCCAAGTGTACTGAGCAGGAATCTTCATCTGGCATTCTCCCTGACTGTGGGGACAATATTCCCAGGCTTTCTTCATACATAATTATTCAGGATTTTAGGCATTTTCTGGCATCTTTGAAGATTTTTTTTTTTTTTTAATTTCAGGGAGGAGAAGTGGCAGAACTATTTTTATTTCATTAGTTTAAACTGGAAACCACCTTCTGCCAGTCCCTCCTTTAACAAGTTTTCCTCCTGCTACCCGTGTAATACTTTTGTTCTAGCCTATTTTCTCTGTGGCAGTGGGAAATTTTTTTTCTCAAAGATAGGAAAAAAGTCAGTCCTGCTTTATTTTAATGATTTGTACTTCATGGCATTAATATTCCTTCTCCGTAGTATAGCATGATTCTTAAGAATTATTATACGATGAAGTCTCCTAGAATATTTTAATGTCATTTTATAGACAGGGGTCAGGAACTCAATCAAGAATGTTTAAAATGAAATATCTATGTATTAATCACTATGCAATTCATATTTCTAAAATTATTCTACCATTAACAGTTTAAAGACAAATAGGGTCTGGGATAACTAGTATGTGAAATGTAGATGGATAAAATTTGAGTTGTTTTGTGCTCTTGGTTTCACAGTTACACACTTTTTTTTGAAATTTCATGTTGGTAAAGTGATATTTCAGTTGAAAATTTTCTATCATATAGCAAAAACAGGGAACATTTCTATTGAAAGAAGTTATTTTAAGACAACTTATATCAGGACTACAACCTAAGTCAATTATAACTCAGTAATAATGGCCAGTTGCTGCAAATATCCTGTGAACAAAAGTCCTACAGGCACTTTTCGTTCTTTATAGCAAAGGCCTTTGACTGAAGTCACTTCATGGCCTCTCCTTGGTATACTGGCTGTTTCAACTAACTGCAGAGTTTAGAGAGACTCTGAGCGATTGTTCTTTATCTAGTGCTCCATTGTCCTGAAGAGGTTGGTGTGTTTAAAGATATTCAGTCTTGCTTGGGACACATTTGTGTTCTGGGTAAGGAAAGAAGTGTTGTGCTTAATGCAAGCAGTAGTACTTCCACCTACAAAGGCAAGTCTTTTTTATATGTACTGATCTCTGTTTCAGACTCTAGCAGACTAGTCTGGAAGCTCTTCCTGTTTACATCTTCCTGAAGGAAAGACTTCATTTATTTATAGATAGATTAATCTTCTTTCTCAGGCATATTATTCATGCCTAGTCAGGTGAAGAATATTGGAAACATAATTGGTCGTGATTGTAAATATTGTTATGGTAAGGGTATTGTCTCTTGCCATGGAGGCATGCTTACTGTCTTGCCTTGACCTATTTTAAGATAAGTGATTATAATTCTCTAGCTTGGTTACTCTCCAACATTCATGGTTACATTTAGGAAGAATTAACATCTTTATAGTATTGAATTTCCTATCCTTTTCATTACTTATTTATGTATTTTCTTTTTTTAAGATAGAGCCTCACTCTGTCTCCCAGGCTGGAGTGGCATGATCATGGCTCACTGCAGCCTCAACCTCCCAGGCTCAAGTGACCCTCCCACCTCAGCCTCCTGAGTAGCTGGGACTACAGGCGTGTACTGCCATGCCTGGGCAATTTTTGCATTTTTTATAGAGATGGAGTCCCACTATATTGCCCAGGCTGGTCTTGAACTCCTGGGCTCAAGCAATCCTCCCACCTCAGCCTCCCAAAGTGCTAGGATTACAAGCATAAGTCACTGTACCCAGCCAGCCCTTTACATTTTCAAGCCTTCTTTTTTGTCTTCACTTTGTTGAGTTCTTTCTTCACATTAGTTTTGTATATTTCCTTTTCAGTTTATTTATAGTATTATGTATATTTTGTTGCTACTGCACTTAGGATCTTTTGGTTATTATTATATGATCTCATGTTAACATTTGCATAAAGTAAGCTATAATATTTTATTAATTTTGTAATATAATTAGGTATATTATATCTCCCATTTGCTGTTTGTCTTTATGATATTTTAAAAAGTAGAATATGCCATATGTGTAACAGCTATTTACATATTCATCTATGACATTCTGTTAATAGGACTTTTCTCCATGCACTGAGTGCCATCATATGTTCCACCAGTGATGTACCGGTGTACTTGTGTACTGGTGTACACAAGCAATAAACAAAGGCCAAACCATCCTGAGCTGAGTGGTTCCACAATGTGTGTTGTGTTCTCGTGTTCTCTGCCTCAGCCTCTCCTTCCAGTCTTGAGTTCTAGTAAATCATTTTTATATGCATTGACTTCCAAAGTTAAGGTACAAACAAGGCAGAGAATCAGGAGGTAGCTGAGGACACACGTTTTCTGCCAACTTGTGATGCTTTTAAGGAAATATTTGAGGAAGCAGAGAATAAAGAAAATTAGGAGATTGGTAGAAGTCTTTGACATTTTGAAGGACATTCTAAACATTGCTAAAAACTGAGGATGAAGCAATCACTTAAGTACAATACCTATATTACATCTCCATAGAAACTACAGGACCCCATATAAGTAAGTTCAGTTAGAGCCCTAACATCTAGGAATATATCCCCACGCTAAACTGGGTAAGTGTGCATATGTTTCTTGATTGATTCTGTATCAATCTCTTCTGTTAGTTCTAATGAGTTTTCTAGTGAATTATTTTTGGGGGTAAGAGCATAAACTACAAATAACAATAATTTTTATAACTTTCTTTCCCTTACTTTTACCTCTTAATTTTCTCATCCATATGCGTTAGCTAATTCTTACCAATCATGTCTTTTTTTGTTATTTGAATGGAGATGATTCTACATTAATCATGTTGATGTAACTTGTTTAAGATAGCTCTTTACAAAATAAGAACACATCCTTTTATCCCTATTTTATGAAGTTTTAATATCAGAAATTGTTTAATCATATCAAATGCTTCCTAGCCTCTATAAAAGACATTGTAAGCCAAAAGTGTATGAAAATTGCTCAATCCCATTAGCTCTTAGAAAGGTGCAAATCAAAACCAAAATGAGACATCACTACATTCTACCTGAAATGGTAACAGTAAAATCGGGTTGACTATAGGAAGTACTGAAGAGAATGCGAGCAACTTGAACTTTTAAATGCTGCTGGTGGGAGCATAAATTGGTAAAACCAGTTTGGGAAAGTGTTTGCCAGCATCTCTTAAATCTGAGTAGTCACACATCATAAAATCTACAATTTTGACTACTAAATATATAACCAACAGAAATGCATGCACATGTGCATATGTTTACGGTAGTTCAATTTATTGTTGACTCAAATTGAAAAGCAATGTTCATTAACAAATAATAGGATAATAGATATTTAGAATATTATACAATTATTCTAAAAAAGAAAAGATACTGTATTTTTTTCTTTGACCTAATATGTTGAATTATGTTAATAATTTGCTTAATGTTGCCAGGTGCTTCCATTTCTAGTTGTTCCTTATTGGTCATGGCAAATTGGTATTATTAATACTTTGCTGACTGAAAAGGTCAGTTTCTTTCTCTCTTTTGAATAGCTCTGATATACCTAAACTTCTTATTTTTTACAGTAACTTAAATCATTCCTGTGACCATAAACTTGTGGATTTTAGCTTAAGAGAGGACGTTGCTAGTCCAGAATTCCTGTTTCAGACACAGAAACATTTCAGACACAGAAATACTGAAATCCTTTATCAAATTTACCTGAATCCTATATCTTAATTCATTATTAACCCATTAAAGCTTAGAAACTATTTTCCCCCCAGAATGATTTAGTCATTAAAAGAACAGACTGAGAAAATCTTATGAGCCTTATGACATTAAATATGATAATAAATGAATAGAAAATGGTCTAGAAATATTCTTCATTAAAAACTATACTCTGTATCATAATTACATTTCTTGAATTGCTTCTGTTGGCTACAGGTATAAGATTCTTGATATGATAAAAGGGTACTTTCATAGTATACTATCTTTCATCTATATATTTTATCTTTTGCTTTTGTGAGTCATTCGCCTATGAAGATGGCTCTTTTGATAATATGCTCTGGATGAGTTAAGGTGAACTAACTTGTATTCCATTACACAAAACCCAGAGCAATATATATATATATATATATATATATATATATATATATATATATATATATATATGTAAAATTATGTAAGAGGTTAAGACTATGTTAATCCACTGATCCAATAATTATTTATTGCCCTGTTTTTGTACTAGGTTCTAGGATAGTAACACATATCATCAAAATAGAATCATGTTCAGAAAATGACTTTTTAAAAGATTTTACTTTAAGTTCTGGGATACATGTGTAGAACATGCAGGTATACATAGGTATTCATGTGCCATGGTGGTTTGCTGTACCTATCAACCCGTCATCTAGGTTTTAAGCCCCATATGCATTAGGTATTTGTCCTAATGCTCTCCCTCCCCTTGCCCCCCACCCCACTGACAGGCTCCGGTGTGTGGTGTTCCCCTCCCTGTGTTCTCACTGTTCACCTCCCACTTTGAGTGAGAACATGCGGTGTTTGGTTTTCTGTTCCTGTGTTAGTTTGCTGAGAATGATGGCTTCCAGCTTCATCCATGACCCTGAAAAGGACATGAGCTCATTCTTTTTTATGGCTATGTAGTAAGAAAATGACTTTTTAAAACATTAAATGACTGGGGGCTGGGCATGGTGGCTCACACCTGTAATCCTAGCACTTTGGGAGGCCAAGGCAGGCAGATCACCTAAGGTCAGGAGTTTGAGACCAGCCTGACCAACATGGTGAAACCCCGTCTCTACTAAAAATACAAAAATTAACTGGGTGTGGTGGTGGGTGCCTGTAATCCCAGCTACTTGGGAGGCTGAGGCCAGCAGAAGCGCTTGAACCCAGGAGGCGGAGGTTAGAGTGAGCCAAGATAGTGACATTGTACTCCAGCCTGTGCGACAAGAGTGAAATTCTGTCTCAAAAGCAAAACAAAACAAAACAAAACAAAAACAACAAAATATTAAATGACTGCAGGGGTTGGGCATGGTGGCTTACACCTGTAATCCCTGCACTTTGGGAGGCTGAGGCAGGCGGATCACCTGAGGTCAGGAGTTTGAGAGCAGCTTGGCCAACATGGTGAAAACCTGTCTCTACTAAAAATAAAAAATTTGACAGGCATGGTGGTGGGCACCTGTAATCCCAGCTACTCGGGAGGCTGAGGCAGGAGGATTGCTTGAACCCAGGAGGCGTAAATTGCAGTGTGCCAAGAGATCATGCCACTGCACTCCAGCCTGGACAACAGAGCGAGAGTCTGTCTCAATAAAACAGACAAACAAAAAACTCCCAAAACATTAAATGACTGAAGGTAGGCTATTTTGGCCATAATAAGTTAATTCTTTTGAACTGTGTCAAGTAATAGTTCTTTTATCCTTTTAATAAAGATGCACGTGTCCACAAGAAAGCTATCTCTCGAGATTCTCAGGAGTAACACTGCGTAGAATTCAAGGAAGATCTAGTATTGTGGATATTGTTTTGTCTGTTCAGTAGCCAAGTTTACGAACTTTCTCTCTAGGGTTGAGTTGCCCAGCTGGTATGCACAATACCTAAGGTGCCCTGTGTGTCTGGGTTACATAGGTGCCAAGACTGATTTCCCTCAACCTTCAGGGGGCTGCCTGGGACCCACACAGCTTAAGCCTCAAGCTGGTGAAGGTGGCCTCTTTTTTTCTTTTTTTCTTGCTCTGTCGCTCAGGATGGAGTGCGGTGGTGTGATCTCGGCTCACTGCAACCTCCGTCTCCCGGGTTCAAGCAATTCTCCTGCCTCAGCCTCCCTAGTAGCTGGGACTACAGGTGTGCGCCACCATGCCCAGCTAATTTTTTATATTTCTGGTAGAGATGGGGTTTCACCATATTGGCCAGGCTGGTCTTGAACTCCTGATCTCGTGATCCACCCGCCTTGGTCTCCCAAAGTGCTGGGATTACAGGCATGAACCATTGCGCCCGGCCCAGCCTCTTCTATTTACCCTGGTGAATGCTTAAGTATCATCCCTTACCATGGAAGGCACTGGGCACCATGTTCTGTGACTGGACTCTATCAATCTTTCATCTTTGCTTCTCCTTGTCTGCCCTCCCACCTTCCACCCCCATAGTTTTCTGAACAAATTCTCATTTCTGTTGGGCTGGCTTCTTTTTCCAGTCGGCCTAGGATTTGCTGGCCTTGAGTCCAGTCAGTGGCTATTGTTTGGCAGCTCAGGTTCCCTGTAAGGCAAAACCAGCAATCTACTGAATAAACCTAGCATTAAGCTGAGAAAAAGAATGAATAAAGCTAACACCATCCATTAATTTTCTCGTTTTGACTTACCAACTGATGACAAGCAAGGACTAGATAGTAGTCGGGCCTTCACTTTATGTACCAGTTTTTCCCCTGTCAGTGTACCATGTAGTACACTTTATATAGTTTCTTGGCACAGATGTTTAAGGCAAAATTGGTAAAGAAAGTTTGGAAGATGGATTACATATATTTATTTCTAAAAAATGAAAAAAATACATGAAGAAAACACTTACCCTGATAGGCAAAATAATGTGTGTGAAGATAAGAGCTGGTGTGGTTTGTAGTAAGGGCACTGAAGTAGGCTGATAACATCTGGGCTTTCTTCCCAGCTCTGCTACCTTTATACTGTGTGACCTCAGGCCCGGTATTTTACCTCCCGAGCTTTGGCTTCCTCATCTCAGAAGGACATAATAATACTTGCCATACCAACCCCAAAGGGATGTTGTGAAAATGATATCAAAGTGGTTGGAATGCTTGAAAATGCTAGGACATTTGCATGATGTGAAAGAATGATCTTGGATCTAAGATCAAAGAGTTCAGGCACTTTGAGATTAGTAAGAAATTTGGGTCAAATGCTGAAGTAGGGCTGCTACCACTACAGTGGTTTTCTTTTAAAATTTTAACTACAATACAGAATTATCATACAGTTCTATATTATTTCATATATATAGAATTATTAAAATTTGGCTTTAAAGTGATCATATTTGTTCTGAAATGTAAGACATTTAAAATTTCTTTTATATAATCTAAATAAGATACAGGGACCAATATCTTTTTTCTCACCAGAGATCTGATCATATTCACAATACAAATTTTTGAGAAGTATCTGTACCACAACATTTTGGAATTACATATGTGTGTGTGTATATATATATATGTATATATATATACACTCAATTATATGTATATAAATATTCCATTTTATGAATCATGCCAATGTCTTTTATATGATCTACAATTATATAAATACAAATTCAATTGTCTAAGCATAATTCATCAACCCAATAATTTTCTTTAGCTGAGTCTCAGATGCTGAGACTATGCATTTAAACAGATATAATTACTATTTTTAATCAGTGATTGTAACATGAAGATCTGAATCTTTAGCTACCATAAAAGAGATTCTATACACTATTTTCTTTCATTTCTTCCCCCCAATTCACTGAAAAAAATTAGATATTTTTATTTTACCATGCTCACAAGCAAATTCAAAACACAGTGTATATTGTTCATCCTCACTCAGTCAGCACAGACTAAGTAAAATATCATCCATCTCATTAACAAGTACATTTTTCTTTTTTCAGTTGCAATCTGTGTATACTTCTTATTAATACAACTAGAAAACCATTAATTATGATTTAATTTATTCAGTTTGATACCCAAATATTTAAGAGCACGGTGTCCCTAGTGGACAGAAAATAATAAAAGGAATACTTGGTGGTAATAAACTTAGAACAAAGCCATTAAATAAAATTTATTTCTGTCTTACTGTTGTAAGTTATGTCTCACTATTACAGGATTAAGATCTTTTTAATGGCATTAAAAAATAGACTTTTAGATTTCTGCAAGGTCATTCCTCTGTTATGGGGCTTACTTGGCTCCTGAGGAAATATCAGTTGATATTGTGGGTTTGGAAAGGCTCAGTTAGCATTTCCTGTGCACTGAGTATTTAATCTATCTCTGTTTTAAACATGAGCTGAGACCCTGAGGCATCCCTCAGACTATGAGAGACAGACTTAATGGGTGACCCACTAGGAAATTTGGTGTTTAAGCAGAAAGAGACAACCATCATTTGTTACTGTGGACAGAGAGTGACTGCAAGGAGAGATTTCTAAAAATATATTTTACAAATACTCGAATGGTGCTTACCATGTACCAGCCTCTCCCATGCTCTTTACAGGCATTAATTCATTTAATTTAATCCTCACAACAATGGCTGCACCGACTAGGCTTGTTTTCTGGTACAACAGATAAAAGTCTACTCCTGGGGAGAGCTAATCAGTCTTAACAAGTACCGTGGGGGACACTTGCCGAACAAGAGAAATCAAGAGATAGGGTTAAAATTAGGGGAGAAACCGATGGCAGTCATCTATGCCAGCTAGGTTCATCTGTACAGTCTTCAGATTTCTTATAGATGAATCATCAAATTCTATAATGTTACTACTTCTCTCTCAGTTTATAGTAAACTTTCCTTTGAAAAAGCCAACCTTGCCTGAGAAGAATGGTCTACCACTAGGTCAGCAAAGGTATGGAACTCTCTTTTGACTAGTGGTATGGTGGTATTAGCTTTGTAAACAACCAGTCTAACTGATGCAAATAAAGATAAATGAACAGTGGGATTGGAGAGGGGAAAATCACAATTTTTGCTTCCTCAGCATTCATGACTTCTTTGGCTTGCATAGATTTTGTTTTTCTTTATTTTACAAATGAGTTTCCTTTTAATGTTGTTCCACTTTGCATTTCAAATTTCCCTTAAGCATCTAAAAATGTTACAAAATAGTGTCATTACCTTTCAAATTAAACATCAAATTAGCCAGAGAAGTTGAGTTGTGAGTACTCCAACAAGCAAAATATTAAAAAATGAATTTCAACTTGGTGATCCCACCTAGTGAACTAATGGGATATAAGGAACCTCTTACGTCCCAGACACCATGCTTAGCATTATGCACAGTTATCCATTTAATCTCACAGCCTTGCAAGGGGGTATTATATCCACTGTTTGAGGGCGGAGAAAACAGGCTCACACAAAGTAGTAGCTTCCAGGGGTCTCACAGTTAATATTAATGAAAGGCTTGGGCTTATACATAGGTGTTTCAGGTTCCACATTGCAAAGCATTATCTCAGGGACGATCTATGGCATGCGCATCCCGATAAAAACGTACCAAATTTATTGGCTATCAACTACAGTTCCATCTGGAAATACTCAGCAAATAATGGCAGTAAGGCATCCCGCCACTTCCTGCATGATTAGTTGAAAAAGAAACACCTGCGCACACACATTTGAACAATGTGATACAGCTAAGGACCTGGACAGTCAGCTAGCAGGAAGAAACATTTGAACGAAGGGTAGACCACGGCCTAGGAGGTGGATGAAGACACCCGTCCGTTTGCCTACTGAAGCAAGATGGGGCTGAGGCGCTCAAGGGCCTATTGGCTGCCCAGAAGCCTTTGCAGCGCCGCCTGAATACAGCGAGGATGACCCAGGGTTCACCTTCAGCGTTGAAGGCAAGTCCTGGTATAAGGGACGCACATAGGTCCGCGCCACATCCTGACACTGTTTCCACAGGAAGTGCGGGATAGGAGGGGGGATTCATTAATCCAGGTCGGAAATACACCTTGTTCCTCGAGGATTTTGGAAGGAAATTCCACCCGCGAAGTCCCCTTTTGGAGATGCCCTTTTCCTTTCAGGTACAGCATCCTTCATTATGTACCCCCAGGGTACAATGTATCCGGGGCTCGCAACGCGTCCCTCAACCCCCAGCAGCGCGGTCACCGCGGGGTCCCCGGGCGGGCGGGGGCGGCGGTGACGCAGGAGGCGGTGGGGCCCCGGTGCGGCGGGCGCGGGGAGGGGGCTGCTGGGCGCGGGCCTATCAGGACGCGCGGTGTTTCGGGCGCGGGGAGGGCGGGGACCTCCAGGTTTCCTCGGGGCCCGGCGCAGCGCCGCCTGCCGAGTTCCGAGCGAGCGCGCGAAGCGCGCAGGGGTCTCGAGACGTTCCCGCCGGTCCCGGTTTTCCTCCGCGGCTCCCCCGCCCCTTCACGTCCGCCTCTTTCTCCAACCAGACGCGGCTCCGACGGCGCTCGGCCTCTGCTCTTCCGGCTCCCCGGCTCTGCCCGCAGCGCGCGTCGCCCGGTTGCTCTTCGCCTGGTGTCCGCGGGCCCGGCGGGGGCGCCTCACCCCGGGCGCGCGGCGGTAATGCCGCTGCCGCCCTTGCGGCCAGGCAGGCAGCTGGCGGCGGCCGGAGTCGGAGCGCGTTCGTCGCTGGCCGGGACGCCGCCCTGGCCTGTGCTCAGCTCCCGCGGCGGCCGCGGGGCGCCGGGGCCCGGCGCGGCATGAGGAGGCGGCTCGGTGCAGGCGAGCGCCCAGCTCCTCGGCCCCGAGGGCCCCCGCGGGCCCCCGCGCGTGGCGCGCGCTGGTTGCGGCCCCGGCGCCCACGCTAGCCCCGCGCAGGCAGGAGACGCCGCGGCCCGGAGTAGGAGGCGGCGCAGGGCCTGCCGAGCGGACGCGGGCGGCCCGGACCTTAAGCACGGGGCTTCGCGGCGGGACCCCGCCGGGCGCGGGCAGCGGAGCCGGGCGTGCTGCAGTTAGCTGCCCCTCTCCGCAGGGGCGCCGCGGCGCGCAGCCTGCGCCTCCTCCCACCTGCAGCCCCTCCTCCCGCCGCTGCTTGGCGGAGAAAACGCTCCTCCTCGCCCTTCCCCGGCTTTCTTCCGTCCTGCCGTCCCCGGGCCCCTAGCCCCCAGTCCCCTCTCCCCCCTCCACCTCTTGTCCCTCGGCCTCCGCGCCTCCCCTCCCCCGACTCTCTGGCCTCCCATTCATTCCGTCCGCTCCCTCCCATTTCCTCTTTTCCGCTCGGGCCCTCTCCCCAGAGCCTCCCCGCGCGGACCCCGCTGCAGTCTCGGGGTTCTCAGCACATTTATGGAAGTTTAGGGCCTGGACAGTGGCCCCGAGTCCGGCCTGAGAGCGCAGCCTGGGCTGCTGGCAGGGAAGAGGAAGATGTCTGTGCTCAGGCGGATGATGCGGGTTTCCAATCGCTCTCTCCTCGCCTTCATCTTCTTCTTCTCCCTCTCTTCGTCCTGTCTGTACTTCATCTATGTGGCCCCAGGCATCGGTAAGCACCGAGACACACCCTCGCTTCCCCTGGTCACACCACAGCCAGCGCAGGCTGTTATCCGATGTTACTTCTGGGATTTGGAAGCTGTTCAAACAGGGGCCCGCAGAAAAGCGTTTTGTTTTAAATGTTATTTCAGACGTGTCAAACTGCTTCAGGGCATGGCTTTGGTATGTGAGTTTTGTTAATGCATGCATTTTGTTAATGCATGTTTGTTAATAACGTAAAAGATTGCATTAAATAGACGTAGCAAAATTAGTGTGATGGCCCGGGATGCCCTAGTCGCTTTCTTGAGTGTTCATGACAGCTTTATCCATTTAATGTTAAGTCTTTAAGCCTAAACTGAGTGCTTAATCGTAGTTTTATTCAAACACTCTCGGGTATAATAACTGGTTGTAAAAATATGGAGGAGCCAGCAGCAGGGAATGTGATTGAGTCCAACAATGTGTGTTTTCTAGGGTCCTAGGTCGCTTTTTTAGAATGGGGTCAGTGGACCCCATTCTTTTTGTGCCATACTTGGGGAATTTTAAGGCGATGAGTTGTCTTGTAAAAACAATGCTCCATTATTTTAGTCTGCTTGGGTGTTATTTTCAAGGGTACGTTGCCTTTGCTACCTGTTAGGATGACTTCTGAGAAAATAGTGATTAAAATAACCGTTATCTAAGGGAACTTGTAGTTTAAAATGTTAACCGGTTTATCATTTTTTGGCCTTTGGTGCAAAATACACTTTTGTAAAACTGCTTGAATTAACTTCTTTATTAAATATCCGAATTCCTCGTCCCCCATTTGTTGAAAAGGAGCCAATGCGGCGTTAATTCTAGTGAATGAGAATTATGAACTTCACATGCATATTAAAATATGTCATATTTCCAAAACTTTTCTGAGTTTTTCCTGGCTATTACGTATTTAATGTTCAATTACTTAGTAACAGTGAGCATCTCCTCTCATTTCTCCTTACACACTGTGGTCGTTTGAGCCAGTGCTCTTTGTTCCGAGTTAGCTAAAAATGTAATGCCCCTTACAGAGTGAAAACACCTGCAGAATTTTCAGATGGAATGATCAGGGCATTGTCTTGAGTGTAGTAGATTATTGCAGTGAATTGCAGCAGGGAAGGAAGATGGAAACCTAATCCAGACTGCTTCATTTCTTAAAATTACTATGAGACTTTTTCTTTAATAATTAATTTTTGGATTCAGTGAGGTGTATAAACTCAGATGATGATGTTTAAGAAGAAATGCATTGTGAAACGTTGACGTATCCCAAAATAGAAGTTTTAGGGTAAAGTTTGAAGAATATTTTAACATTATTGCAGTTTTCCTTTAGGCCAGAAAAAACAAAAAACCTCACAAAAACCTACCCCTTGAAGCCTATAGTACAAATGACAGTGGTAGCTTAGTGGATTTGATATTATCTAGATACTCAACAAGAGCTTTCTTTATTTTTTGCCATTTTGGAGTCTTATAAATTAACTCTTCATTCTATAGCAATTTTTACTTTCTCATGTAACTCTTTAAAAGTTTGGACATCTTTGGGGTATGTTTTTTTACTAGGAATTTAACTTTGAAAGATTTTGGAGAAAGTTTTTTTCACACTTACATAACAATTTTCCCACTTTCTTAGTATTATGAGTAACATGTTAAAGTTATATTACTCAAAAAGCTAACCAAAGGAAATCAGAATTCTAGTCATCCCTTTTTTTTTAAAGTTAGTGCGTCAGTATATTATTTGTAGATTCTTAATTCAACTTGTGTGAAACACTAATAAATTTTCCTTATTTGAATGCTTAATGTTTGCCATAGAACGGTCACTGATATAATGTAAAAATGTTGGCACGTGTCTTGTAGGCAATTAGATTGATGTGGCTTAACCTACTCTGTTTTTGTAGGTCTTATAAATGATAATAAGTTATTAAAACCAGTTAGAAGAGTGCAAACCAAAAACTTACAAAATGCTGTGAAATTGTCAAGCTGAATCTGTTTCCAAAACCCTGTACCATTTAGCCAAAAAAAGCCTCCTTTTTAATCTTTTGTATCTTTAAGTATTGGGAAGCAGTTTTCCAAAATTCAGATTTTCGCTTGAAAGTTTGAATTTTATCATTGGCAACAAATACTGTCAGTTTTTCTTGAAGTGTCAGGCTCACTTTGCTCATTTTCGAGAAAATGTAGGTCAGATGCACAAGTTTAACCATAGTTTTTCAGTTGTTCTTTCAAGTAAAAATGATGTTCCATGAAAAATGTGGCTTGTTGAGTCCATACTGCAGCAATCAATCAATTGCACAAGTGCTTCAGATTTCTTATTTATGAGACATATCCAGAAGTAATTAGGTTCTTATAACTAGTTTTTATTCGATGTATGTGGATTTTTCTTGAAATAATAACTTCAAGAAAATAATTCATATTTTAGCCTGAATTACATCTTGGGGCAAAATGTGTTTATGACTAAAATGTATGTTGTAAGTACTTTTTATGTGCCCTAAAAAGCGTTTCAAATCTCCTCTGTTAAGAAATTCCTATTAATCCTACCATATCAACCTGTTTGGTAAACTTTAATTCTCTTTCCCTACTTGTTTTCTGTCCTGAGCCCTGTGTATGTCATGGGCTTTCTTCCCAGGTAGATCTTCTGTCATTTTAGTTCCTCTTCTTTGCCATCTTGAGCAGATACATCACACAGTTGTAGGCAGCGTAATCTGTTTAGTTTCCAGTGTTTTCAGATGTTCCTCTGAAATAGTCTATTTCTGGACTATTTGGGTCAACTACAGTGAGTTCCATAGAACTCAAAGCTCATTATTTTCAAGGAACCATTTTTCTTGAAGTGTCTAATGCATACAGGAAACACAGGGATAGTCTTTACATTATAAACCTTAGTACTCAGGGAAACTGGATGGCAGACACCTGCCCCATCACCACACCATAGGAAGTCCATGGACAGATTGCTGTAGCCCACCCCTAGAGGCCAGAGCCATAAATTATTTCTTATTCTGTGTCTACCTTTGTGCATGATTGCAAAGATGAGTGCAGTTTCTCTCCAAGGTTTTGACTTGGCTGGATTGAGAACAGAATTGCATTTAATAGGAAACCTTTATTAATATAACTTCCAATATAACGTAGTCATTTTCTTGCTGTCATATCAAAGATGAGCTGACTTACAAGTTCATTCAACAATAGGAGTTGTGCACCCAAGAGAGGCTGGACATTGAGGTATGGAAGATAGATGACTAAGGCTCATTTTCTTCCGTCATAGTACAATGGGCTGAGCCCCATAAAACTGCTGTAGTAAATCCTTGGAAGGCATGTGGTGGGAAGTGAGGGCTGGTTAAGGATTTCCAGAGGAGAAAGTGGTTGAAATGTAATGGATGAGATTTATCTGGACTGAGCAAAGGGATCCTAGTCAGAGGGAACAGCATGAGCAAAGCTTCTAGAAAATGGGAGTAGCTCCATCCAGCTACTGCTTAGGGCTTGGAGTGGCACATGGGCCAGGTTTTGAAAGGTCTCTGGGGCTCCAGTGTCCAGCCATGGTGTTCAGATGCTTGAGGTCTCTAAAATTCCTGGCAGAGAGAGACTGGTCTTTGTTCATACAGCTTTATCAAAGCTTCTGTGATTACAAAATAAATTGATAGTGCCTGTAATCAGTGGGGCTATATAATGGGAGGAGATTACATAACTTCCCTGGGAGTGGGGATTTCACTGTCCATTTGACTCACCAGAAGCCCTGACCTTTCCTAGACACACTGACGGGCTGTTTTGCTCTCTGGGTAGAGGTGAAATCTGGTTGGGCCACTTTGGTCTGACTTCCTCTGGGCCCTTGGAGGAATTATCTGGCTGAGTGCTTTGTTATTTGGGCCTCCCTGGGGTGTGTGCCCTGCTGGAAATGGTGGAGCTGATGGCGATGGGTAGTCAAAGTGTGGGGTCTATGTGCAAGCATGTATGTTGTGGGAGAGGTATCTTAGGTCCTTTCCTCAGAGTCCCTCTGGCATTTTGGCTGGGGTTCTTCCTGGGCTAGCACAGAAGGTAGCTAGTTAACCCTGCAGCTTTCTTATCATAGCCCTTTAGCCTCCTGGCCCTGGCAAGTGGGCCTGGCTGTGTTCTTTGGAGCTGTTAATAGTCTGCTTTGTTTCAAAGGTCTTTCAGTTTTATTCACCCAGTGCTCTGATCTGCATGGCCCATTTCAGGAGTTCGGATTTGGTATCCGAATATCATGGAGGGCCATGGTATTGGGCATCTCTTTTTTCTGGGCCTCCCTTACTGGCCACATGTCCCATGCTTTTTTTGTCCTGTGAGTAACAGGAAATGTCAGAAGTCTTGAAAGCGATGCAGTCCATTGTCTTAGAGTGACCCTTCTAGCATGAAGGATGGGTTATAGGGGGCAATGGCCAATAGAAGATTAGAACTGTCGAGGTTGGTAGTTCATCAGGGCAGAGTTGAATGGATGGGAATAGTAGGTTTGAAGAAACAGGAAGAGCTTTAACATGAGGTTTGGATTCTAGCTTAGACATTCAGGTAGCTATTAATAGGGAGTATAGAAAGTCACGTCTTTGGGGGGCTATTTTGCTTTTAGAGAAATTGAGTTGGGATCCCTGTGTGATATCCAGGAAGAATTAGTAGGTAGGCAGATGAAAGTAAGGGCGTGCTGCCCAGGAGAGAGATTTGATTGTCTTCATCATGTAGGTGAATGGTATTTATTTATCCTCCAACACATCTGAGTAATAAAACTCACTCCTTCAACTGGAAGTGACTCACTGTGTGACTTCCTCTGAAACATGGAATCACGGGTTAAATTGGAATACAGAGGAAGACCAAGTATAGTTTGAAAGTATCCGATGGGATTTGCTACCCTCCTTCTCACTCCCTAGCTTTGTTACAAGAGTCATTGGGTCCATTCCACACTCAAGAGATGAGAGATGAGTTAGAGATTGTTTCCACAGTCAGATTGCCATTCCTAAGTAGCATATGTGACTCAGCTATATCTCTTCAGTGTAAACTAATCCAAATCCCATGGCCTTGTGGGAAATTAGGCAATATTGAAGGGAAACTTGATTCATTGAAATCTGGCAATGCTAACTGCTATTTTTCACCTTAGCCTTCCTTTTACAAATACATTTGAAGTCTGTTAAACAATGTGGCAGAGTGAGGCAGAGGTGTGTTTTTTTCTGCAGCAGTGCTTATCATTACTGCCTTTAATGTTTATTAAAGATAAAAATAGCCATGTCTGTGATTACTTTCAGAAGAGAAACTTCTCACCTAGGTTTGTAGTGTCTGTGTGTAATAGGTATTCCAAACACTACGTGTAATTTGGTTGGGACTAAAATGCATTTTCCTTTTGAGGCAGTGTGGTACACAGTAGTTAATTTCCTAACCCGTCCTGTGGAAAGCCTGTTTCTCACAGGTTGTCCTGCAGGGCTTCTCAGGGCACTTGTCCTTCTGGGCCTCATCTCTGATGGTTCTAGCTGTGGCTTTTCCTCTCACCCTCAGAGCCCTTGCGTTTGCCCCCCTGTCCAAGGGCCCAAGGCCAGGGGAAACTTGGGCATAGAAGCATTGGTTTCTGGAGCCAGAGCTATGAGCAGAGCAGCCCCAAGAGCAAAATCCCAAAGAGAGCCCACCGCGTTGTCCATATTTGGAGATCCATGTCTTCCCTGCCACACCCCTGACCCCTTGCCAGTAGGGCTAGCCTTGTCTGTGAAATGAGAGAAGGAAGGACAGGCTCTGGAAGATGGCCACTTGCCGAAAGTGTCACACATCATTGTTGGAAGAGCTGAAATGTACACCTTAGGATTCCTGACTCATTCTACTGTGCCCGAGTTGAAGGAACTAATTATTTTTGCCCTGGACAATGGAAGATTTTGGGGAAATACAAGCTCTCTTTTCTTCAGTTTGAAGGAATACTGTATAGACGAGCGATGAAATTTTTTGGATAGCCTAAGTTAGCAGTGAGGGTAATTACAATGAGGCAGAGTTGAGGCTTATTGAAAAGAGAGAGAGAGGAAAAAAAAAGACCAGTCTTCTAACTGACCTGCAATCAGTGAAATAAGTGGCCTTATAAGTGCTCCTTTCCTTACACATTGTGAGGTGAGGGTAGATGACCGCCTCTTAAAGCTGTGATTACCCTGGAGAGGGTGCTTTGTTTGGGATACTGGACAGACCTCTTGGATTCCCTTAAACACTGTTACTCAGTGCTGTGTTTATACTGTGTGCTTAGACTCCGCAGCACCCTGGCTTACCTTGCAAAAGGGCAGACCTGCTCCTCTACCTGTCCGCCACCCACACTGTCTTTTGTGACTCCTTTTCCCTTTCAAGCCTGCCTTTCATGTTTGTCTTAAGTAGAAATGTGGAGGTAGGAGGGGAGGCTGAGGTGAGACATGTGTGAGGAGTGATTTTTCTAGAGCTTGGGTTTCCTAGGTCGCCATTGGGAGCTCCTCAGACCTGTATGTTTGCAACATTCTTTTTCTAGTCCATTTTCTTGGCCGCCTTGGACCAAGCTGGCTTTTGTCACCACTGCCTGAGCCTGCGGTTTGCCAGCCTAAGCTGGCTGTCCCCACCTCTTTCCCTTCCTCTTTTCTCCTTTCCCCTTGTCCCTCTGAATCTGTTTCGTGTTTTCTTTTTAATTCCTGAAGGACACGGTGATTTAATATTTAAAAGATGTTTTCATTCAAATTCTGCCTTTTGTCAGGATAATAAAGAGAATAATATACAAGTAATACAGTGATTCAGGTTGAAGATCGATTCAAGTGAAGATTGAGAGTAGGTTTTCTGAGGATACCCATAATGCCTTTAACATGCCTTTGGAAAATTAAGCATTTACTCCAGTTATAATGAGATATTTTTACCTCATATCTTGGGCCCACTGGAAACTTTCAGGTGGCACTCAATTCTGTTTTTCTTCAGCATTTACATCCTGTATTAGGCCAGTTTGATTTGCTATGTTTCATGGTTAGACTGCCTGTGGACATAATTGTTTTTGGTTTTAGCAAAATTTAGCTGAGTTTGGTTTAAGATACAGCAATACCCCCTTCTCAGTTGAAATAGGAGAGTTAGCTTAAAGGATGTTTATGTCAGTAATTATATTTTTGGCTGTGAAGCACAGCAAAATGTTTAGGAAAATATACTTAGTAATTTCAAATCTTAATGTTTTATTTTTTTTCCTCCAGAAGTGTAGTATGGCTTTTTGCTTGCATCTTTGTTTTTATGTTTAATTACTTGAATTAGTGAAAGTCTTTGGCTTCACCAAATTGTTGTGTTATGTGTTCATTAAGGATGAAACACAGATACTCTTATGTCCAAATGAATTGTGGTATATTCAAAAGCTATGTAAAAGAAGATATATTTAATATAAGTTAAACTGATTTGGAAGGAAGGGTCTACTGTTTTACTTGTTACAAATGTTATGTGTGGAGAATTACTACAAGAAATAGTTTTCAAATATGAATGTGCTTAAGGTTTATTTAAGGTGATATGCTTTAATAAGCTTATTTCCCAGGTCTTATGGGAGATTCTGATTCTGATTAATTTTTAACACGTACCCAGATGTTTCTGCACACTGGGAGCGATGTTTCTGAAAAATACCCCAAATGGTGGGGAAAAAATAGTGCTACATACTTTTCTAAATTGATTATCTTACATCATTTGATATTTCATAGAACTAATCTTACTTACTGAAAACCTGATTAACTTGTTTATAACATCATGTTTTACTGGCAATAGAGATGGCTGTCATGGTGAAGAATCTTTTCCTTCAGAAGAGAAATGGACGGATACATTATTCATACCAACCAGGATCATGTGTTCCTTTATGAGTCTGCAGTGACTAGGTGATTGGGTCCTAGGTCATCCTAAATTTGTTATTTAGTGTTTTTAATTATTAGAGACATTGTAATTTACTTAAGATCAATAAAACTTATTAAACTGGATAGCATTATAGGTTACTCAGTGGAAGTAATTTCAAAGCATTTCCTAGCATTTGGCTAGAAAAGTCATTTTTATAATATCTTTACAGTGGTATATTTAAGTAGCTATATGAAGTTTGTTACTATGACATGATATCTTGATTGAATACTATGGCCTGTTTTTATATATTTGAGGCAAGTGTTAATATGATTTTACTGAAATCTTGTTACGTGTATTGCCTTCCTGATAATTAAGTTAATTGCTCAGAAATTATGACTTCTAATTATAGTGCAATTTTCAGTTTGACTCATAGGAAGAGAAATTGGACATTATTTTCATTTGAATCAAGAGACCAAAGGTAGAGAATTAAAAGGTGCCTTGTTTACTGATTTGAAAATATGCTTTGGAAGTCTTTGAAATTCATTTCCTACCCAGTTCCCTTCTCTGATTCTCATTTTAGGCTCATTTTCCTTTCATGAATACTAAGTTGGAATTCTGAAAGGTATTTTAATTGTGAAAACACAAGTAAATTGGAGGTGATTATAAAACATATTCAAATAGTTCACATTTTACTTCATTTTGATAGACTTCTTATATACTGTACACTTATATACTCTGACATCACTAATTTTCAACAATTTTATAATGTTTCCTGGGCCTGCTTATTTATGGCTTGGTCTTTTAGTCTGTAATGTCATTAAGTTAGTTTCCTGATTAGATTTTTAAGATCTGTTTAATTTCCTGCATTCTTCCTTCCTTGATTTCTTCATTTCCTCCTGATTCCACTTTCCCCAGTGTGGTTCATAACTCTCTTAGGGTTCCTGTCATGCTTTAAAAAAGCTATATAGTTATTATTTTAAGTGAATTACACAGTGCATTAGCAGATGACAAGGCTGATAGTTATCTTTTGTTAGATAGTGTTTTCATATCACTAGGTTCAGAGTCTACTTTTTGAATTATCAACTAGGGTTAAAGTAGGCTGAACTAATGATCTGGTTGTTGGAAAAGTCCTTCTGATGTTTTAGACAGTTTGTGCCTTTGCAGGATCTTGGTTCTTTACAGAGGAAGCCAGATGGCCCCTTAACTTTTGGCATTGCTTGGTAAACGGCAGACACTCAATAAACATGTGGATAAACATGTTTCCACCCTGAACATTTTTAGTAAGATCATTGGAAAAGTCAGTTTTCATTTAAAAATGTTTAACCTTGATCAGTATTCAAACACAAAGATTCTCCAGAAATAACTTAAAATTGTTAAACTGCAGAGTGGAAATTGTAAAGACACCTTTTACAAAGAATTTCTTGTCAGTTTTTAGTATTTGCATCTGCAAAGCTTGAGTTGTTAGCTAAGATCTGAAATAGATCTCCTGTATGTGATCATTGTATTTGTTGTTTGATAAAGTGGGGCTCTGAACACAGAATTCTTGCAGACTCTGTCAGCTTATAACTTGAAAAGTAGAGGTAAGGATATTATATGTTAGTAATAATTTGCACTGCAGATTTCCTTGAGTTCATACATGGTTTTGAATTATTGTCACCATGGTCAAATAGTACTTTGACATAAAAGAATTTTTTTTTTTTTAAACAGCCTGGCACATCCTTGACATTTGTTATTTTTTGTTTTTAATCCAAGTAATACCTTCCTTAGTCCTAGGTGTAGTATGAATAATATTTCATATATAATCTGGCCTAACTTTGGGGTTTACACCATTGTTATTGAAGATAACATATTTTCCTTTACCCACATGGATGAGTAATTCTTGGGGATTTATTGAACAAGAGGCTAGATGTGGAAAGAAGAAAAATTTTCAGCATCAGAAACAGATACTTAGAAGATTATCATAAATTCTTAGAAATTCTTAGAAAGAGATACCTGATTCACATATCTGTAGTTATTATTGAGTGGTGCATTAAGATTTTCACTTTTGTCCATATTATTTCCAGTGTTCCGTAGATAATATGGGAAATCATTTTCTCTTCTGTAACTTTTAAGGATCTCTTCTGGCTTTCTCCTCCTCTTTGTATTAAAGGAAATCTGGTTTATCTCTCATATGTTCACTTCCCTCATAACTTTTTACAATGAAGATTTCTTTTTCCTTGTCTCTCCCTCTCCTCTGTGGCCTTGAACCAACATTTCTTCCAAATCCCTTCCCCTCAGAGTCACTCCGGCTTGTGCTTGAATCCTGAGTTTTTAATTCTACTTATGTTAACTTTCTTTTGAGTTTGTTTTCTCATCTTCTAATGGAGAAAGTTGTACCTGTCGTGGGGTGGTATGTTATTTTCCTAAGGCTGCCATAACACATTACCACATGTTGGCTTAAAACATCAAGTTTATTTTCTCAGAATTATGGAGGCCAGAAGTCTGAAATTAAGGTGTTGGCAGGACAGTCCCTCTGGAGGCTCTGGGGAAAATCCTTCTGCGACTTCCAGCTTCAGGTGCCTGGTGGCCACATCACTGCCTCTGTCTTCACATTGCCTTCGTGTGTGTGTGTGTGTCTGTGTGTGTGTGTCTGTGAGAGTGTGTGAAATCTCTACCTTTCTCTTAGAAGAGTACTTGCCATTAGATTTAGGGTCCACCTGGGTAATCCAGGATGATCTCCTCATCTCAGAATCCTTAGCTTAATTGCATCTGGAAAGACCCCTTTCTGAGTGTCACATTCACAGGTTCTGGGAATTAGGGTGTGGGCATATCTTTTTGGGGATTTCCAGTCAGCCAACTCCAGGTGGTTGTAAGAATTAAAGGAAATATAATTGTGTATGTGTACTTAACATATATTTATATGTGGACTTCAGCTCAGTGCCTGACCAAACTCAGCACTTAGTAAATGTTAGTTCATCTTCTGCTCTTCAGAAACCTATGCCTGCCAAGATTCTATATCCCTGGACGATTTCGGCAGTCAGTGCTCAATTCTGAATGTTGCCTTCCACTTTGTCCCCCGTGTCCATCCTCGTTGCTGACCACCAGGATGTCTAGCTCTTGTCTTCTGCCCTCACTCCGCCTGGGCATGCCCTGGGTGTCAGCATAGCTGTGGCCTGCTCTCCCTTGCACCTCTCCAGACCACGCCTTCTTAACCTTCTGCTTCTGGAACTTTCTCACCTCTGTTAACAGTTATGTCTCATCCTCACAATGACTTCTCGTCCTTTCACTCTCCTTTGTTTTTTTTTAAACTCTCCATCTGCTTGACCCTTCCTAACTTCCGTTACTACCCATCTCCACTCAGGGCAGATTGTCATTCCCTGGGTGTGCACTGCCCCTGTGCACTTCAGCCTCTGCTTAAACTTTCCCACCAACAGAATGGTTTTTTCTCCTTCCTCTTGCTTCTTTTAGTGCCTGAAATTATTCACCCTTTCTTCTAGTTTTTTTCCACTCAGGCTGCTGACATGCTCAGGGCCCTGCTCTTCCAGAAAACCTTCCCTTGACCTTGCTAATCACTTATTTTCCTTTTCTGAAACTTGCTGCTTTCACTTTGTCAGTATCCACTGAAATCTTTACTATTTTCCTTTGGTTTCCACTGCTTCCTGAAGCTGCTGTCTTAAAGGCTTACAGTGATCTCCTGTAGGCTTTTTAAAGAGGCTAAATGGTGTGATGGTCAAGGGCTAGCTTGCTGGGGCCACACTGCTGGGATTTGAATTCTGGCTCCACCACTTACTAACAACTCTGTGACCTGTGGCAAGTTATGCAACTCCATGCTTCAATTTCTTTATCTGAAAAATGGGGATAATAATAGTACCTGCCTTATAGAATTGCTTGTGAGGATTACATAGGTTAGTATATGTAAAGTATGCTTGACAAAGAGAGTATGCTGAATTTTTTTAAGCTGTTGTTTTTAAGTCCTTCTCCTTAGCATCTGCAGCATTTCACGTGGTTTACCTCTCCCTCTTCTTTAGTCCATTAGCATTTTCACTGTGTTCAAGCTGAGATTAATTCACTTTGGGATCTTTTATCTTTGTGCTGCCTATTTGTGGTCTGTCTTCATACATCAGATCTTCACCTTCTTATCTCCTTTTTGGATAATTTTTCCTCTGGGAATTTATCACGATAGTTCCAGGTTTTACATTTATTGAATGTCTCCCCAAATGGTATTTCTAGCCCTCTTGTAGCTTCAGTCCTACATTTATAACTGCATCCCAGATTGCCTGACCAAGATCATCATCTCCCTCTCAAAATCATTTATTCACTAGACTTTTGTTAAGAGACCTGGGAACTGTGGCAGCATGTCATAGCAGCTAGGAACAGAGATATCAGGATCACAGGGATGCTGCGTTGGTGTCCTGCAAAGCCCAGGAAACAGTTCTAGATCCCTGCAGGCAGGCATGTTCTTCTTATCTTGAATCCTTACAGCACTGTTAGTGAGCAAAGCTGGATGTGGAAAGGGGCTGGGAGGCACAGTTTTATAGCAGATGTGTCCCTTAATTTTCTTAAGTGAAGAATTAGACAAGTTTGCCTCATAAACTCAGGATAGAATGCCTGGCCCAAAAGCTTTCATAAACTGTTGAAGATAGGTTTTATTCTTTCTATTTTTTAAATTTTTTTCTGATGTTGTTACCCTCTGGGAAGCAGAACTGGTAAAGAAGTTAGATTTATGTCTCACAATGCAGAGTCAAATAGAAAATGAATGAAATTAGAGAACACACAGCATGGTTTTAATTAAGCAGTGGTAGGTTTCCCTATTAGTTTTATGAAATGAGGGTTTCTTATAAATTGGAATAGATATTTTAGACAAGGATTTTCTCTACCTAAAGTCTTGCCAATAAGAAATTACATTTTATTTTTTGCAATCTATCCATCGGACAAAGGGCTAATATCCAGAATCTACAAAGAACTTGAATTTACAAGAAAAAAACCCCATCAAAAAATAGGCGAAGGATATGAACAGACACTTCTCAAAAGAAGATATTTATGCAGCCAACAGACATATGAAAAAATGCTCATCATCACTGGTCATTAGAGAAATGCAAATCAAAACCACAGTGAGATACCATCTCATGCCAGTTACAGTGGTGATCATTAAAAAGTCAGGAAACAACAGATGCTGGAGCTGTTGTGGAAAAATAGGAACACTTTTACACTGTTGGTGGGAGGGTAAATTAGTTCAACCATTGTGGAAGACAGTGTGGCAATTCCTCAAGGATCTAGAACTGGAAATACCGTGTGACCCAGCAATCTCATTACTGGGCATATACCCAAAGGATTATAAATCATTCTATGATAAAGACACATGCACACGTATGTTTATTGTGACACTGTTCACAATAGCAAAGACTTGGAACCAACCCAAATGTCTATCAGTGATAGACTGGATTAAGAAAATGTGGCACATACACACCATGGAATTATGCAGCCATAAAAAAGGATGAGTTCACGTCCTTTGCAGGGACATGGATGAAGCTGGAAACGATCATTCTCAGCAAACTATCACAAGATCAGAAAAACCAAACACTACGTGTTCTCATAAGTGGGAGTTGAACAATGAGAACACATGGACACAGGGTGGGGAACATCACACACTGGGGCCTCTCGGGGGTTGGGGGACTAGGGGAGGGATAACATTAGGAGAAATACCTAATGTAGGTGACGGGTTGATGGGTGCAGCAAACCACCATGGCATGTGTAAACCTATGTAACCTGCACATTCTGCACATGTACCCCAGAACTTAAAGTATAATAATAAAAAAAAGACATTACATTTTATACTACTACTAATAAGCAAGTTTTGGATTTGGGTTAACATAGTTTTATGTTTGGAAAGCAGACAATTGGAACCATTCTCATGCTGGTTTAGTGTGTCTTGCAACCCTGTGACATAGCACTTTCTTCCGGTTAACAGCCACTTTCTGTTTAAACACAGCTTCATTCCCTAATGGGTTTTGGTCTTTAGGGATTAAACCCATGAGGACCATTAACCTGAGGAATGTAACTCAATTAGCTGTAAATGATTTGGAATAAAGGAATAGATTTTCTATTTGGAGAAATTGGTGTGTTGCTTTTCTTAATTTTGGTCTTCATCTAATGAATAGTAAATGCACTCTTTTGGTAAATAATTCACCTTTGTTAGAGGTACCATAAAAAATCATTTTAAAGGCCTGGTGCGGTGGCTCACGCCTGTGATCCCACCACTTTGAGAGGCTGAGGCGGGCGGATTGCCTGAGCTCAGGAGTTCGAGACCAGCCTGGGCAACATGGAGAAACCCTGTCTCTACAAAAAATACAAAAAATTAGGTGGGCATAGTGGCAGGTGCCTGCAGTTCCAGCTACTTGTGAGACTGAGGTGGGAGGATCGCTTGAGCCCAGGAGGTGGAGGTTACGGAGAGCCAAGGTGGAGCTACCGCACTCCAACCTGGATGACAGAGTGAGACCCTGTCTCAAAAAAAAAAAAAAGATCATCATTTTTAACAGTTTTGTTACCTACAAGTTGTATAATTTAAAAAGTTGTTTCCAGGAAACATAATAATGCATATAATGCTTCTACTTAGCATCTCATTTCTTAGGCCAGGGTCAGTCCTGGAAGTACAAGTTTTTTGCCTTAGGCTGAGTTCTAGTACTTTGTGGCAGGTTTTCTTTTCACAGTTTGGTGTAGCACAAATATAAGATGTTTATATTACTGACAACAAATTTCATATGTAACTTTAGGATTAAATAATCCAAGGTGCTGCAAACCAGGTGTCATTAGTAATCTATGTGATGCTGCCCCACCCAGATAATTTCAGTTGAACTTTGGGTCTTCACTTAGGCGGAGTTGTTAATGTTAGCTTGTCTTCTATTGAACATTTTCCTGCATTTTTGGTTGGCTGTTCTTTTAGTTTTCTTTTTTCTCTTCGTCTCTTTTCTTCCATGTTTTTGTAGTTACCAAAGATGAATTTGTTGCTGTAGATACTTTCATTATGAAAAAATTAATATGGATTAAGAAATTAGAAAAAAGTCTATACAAGAATAAGATCAGGAACTAATACATTTAAAAATAGAGGAAAAAAGAATTGAGATATTCAAGACAGATTATTTAAGTATAAGCAATGGAATACACAAATATGACAAGTCTTATAAAAATAAAAGGGAGTGCTTGCTCTGGCAGCAAATATACAAAAATGGGAACAATACAGAGATTAACATGGCCCCTGCACAAGGATGACATGTTTATTTTCAAATTTAAATACAAAAGGGGAGAAAACAATTAAAAATCAAAAGTAGAAGAGATTCGAAAATTACGTAAGTTATGCACAGCTTTACCTAATTTGAATATCTCAATGAAACTTTGAATCTCTGGGACAAAATACTCCAAATTGTATCAAGAATAAATAGAAACTGAAATACACCTAATACAATTTCTGGCAGAGGGCAGGCATTCAACAAATCAACAAACTGATACATGGACAGAGAGGAATTGGAACAGGTGTCTGATTACAACTTTTTTTTTTTTTTTTTTGACACAGGGTCTCACTCTGTCACCCAGGCTAGAGTGCAGTGGCGCAGTCCTGGCTCGGCTCACTGTAACCTCTGCCTCCTGGGTTCAAGTGATTCTCCTGCCTCAGCCTCCCGAGTAGCTGGGGTTACAGGCGTGCGCCACCACGCCTGGCTAGTTTTTTTTTTTTTTGTATTTTTTTAGTAGAGACGGCATTTCACCATGTTGGCCAGGCTGGTCTCAAACTCCTGACCTCAAGAGATCGCCTGTATTGGCCTTCCAAAATGCTGGGATTACAGGCATGAGCCACCACGCCCGGCCAGATTACAACTTTTAGATGACTTTTTATGAGAAGTCAATTCAAACTTTTAAGGGCTTAATATCTGCCACACTATATCAGTTGTTGCAGAGTTAAGAAAATGACAGCAATGTGTACAGTCTATTTTATGAAACTAACATTAAGAACAAAAACATAGATGGCAAAAAACCCACAAACCTTACTTATGAATATATATTTAAATTGTGTGAATAAGTTTTTCCCCCATATGGTCTATTTATTTTAAATAATTTCAACTTTTATTTTAGATTCAGGGCATACATGTGCAACTTTGTTACATGGGTATATTGCATGATGCAGAGGTTTGGAGTATGATTGATCCTGCCACCTAGGTAGTGAGCATAGTACCCAATAGGTAGTTTTAAACTTCTGCCCCGCTTTGTCCCTCCCTCTTGTAGTAGTCCCCAGTTTCTGTTGCTGGCCATCTTTTGTTCATGAGTACCCAGTGTCTAGCTCCCACTTACAAGTGAGAACATGCGGTATTTGGTTTTCTGTGCCTGTGTTAATTCGCTAGGATAATGGCCTGCAGCTGCATCCATGTTGTTGCAAAGCATATGATTTTGTTCTTTTTTATGACTGTGTTCTTCATTCTTTTTTTTTTTTTTTGAGATGGAGTCTTGCTCCCTCGCCCAGGCTGGAGTGCAGTGGCGCAGTCTCGGCTCACTGCAACCTCTGTCTCCAGGGTTCAAGCCATTCTCCTGCCTCAGCCTCCTGAGTAGCTGGGGTTACAGGCTTGCACCACCATGTCCAGCTGATTTTTTTGTATTTTTAGTAGAGATGGGGTTTCACCATGTTGGCCAGGATGGTCTCGATCTGTTGACCTCATGATCCAACCGCCTCGGCCTCCCAGGAATTACAGGCGTGAGTCTTCATTCTTTTAAAGTCCACTTAAGTACAAAAATGTAGTCAAAATGTGTTGTATTTGTAAACTAGTATAGTAAATTCAGGTGTAGGCAAGTTAAATCTAATTATAAGACTACTTTCTAGAAAGCCTGTAGACATGCTTTTAAAAAAGGTATCTGTAAAGCTTATGTGAAACCTGGATTTCTGTTTGTCTCTTTTTTCTGGAGGTGAAAGAAAAGTTTTATTTTACTCTGCTTTTCTAGTAGTTTAATTTATGCTCTCTTCATATGTACTTTGAGCAAGTTCACATTTACATAAAAAGTGGGAAAGAAGGTAGTAAACATTAAATTTCTCTCATCCCTCTATTCCATCTTGAGAAACTGGAGCAGCACTTAGAAAATTAGTCAGCATTCCTAATTTTTTTCATTCAGCATTCATCTTTGGAGAGTGTCATTACTGTATTCAGAGACAGCTTATCTTAAAATTGAGTCATTCACTGAGGCTTGCAGTTTCTTGGTTTTTGCCATGATAGTGAGCCTCTGCCTCTCATCTGAATGGAGTTTATGATTTTTTAGCTTTGTGTTTAGAGACTTTAAAGAAGAATGCACTACTTGCACACCTGCCTTGTGAAAACGAGGAAACTGAGATCCAAGGAGCTGTACAAAGTTATGCACAGCACTAACAGAATTGGGACCAGGAAAGGAGTTTCTGACTTAGTTCTGTGCCTCTGGGGAGTCTGGACATCTCAAAAGTTAGGGATTTTTGCGATAAAGCTTTGTCAATTTACCAGTTTCTCCCAGCAGAAGAAATTTGGGTCCTATTTTTGAAGCACTTATTGTGAATAATTAAATTGAGCTGCTTTAAAAATACACATTGATTTTGATTTTATTTGCTTTTACCATCCTGGTAGAAAGATTTGTGATTGAAAGGGAGTGTAAAAGTTTAATTAACTCTTAGAAATGACCCAAACAGATACTGATCCTAGATCACCCCTCCCCGCAAACACATCAAGAATTTTCAGGACCATTGCAAGATCTTTATTCCTACTAGATATTATGGGATTTATAAGGAATCCTAGCTTTTGTGAAGTTTTTGGTAGGAAATTAATATATAATTAGAGAAACTGAATTTTGTAACTGTAGGATTGAGCATCTGTAATAAAATGCCTTTTTGAAATTTCTAAGTATATTTTATAGTAGAAAATCACAGATGTGGGGGTTCATTATAATATTTTAGTTTGTTCAGTTAGTTTCATTCTATTTGATAGGTGGGTATTTCAACTTTTTTTTTGTTTTTATTCTTAAAAAATCAGTTTGTTTTTGTCAGTTTTTATAGTAGGCAATATTTTATATTTCTGTTTTGCGTTTGGACGTGCTGATTGAGTCAGTTTATGTTTATTGGGCACTTCCCCAATTCTGAATATTATTTTATTAAATAAAAAAAAGCTTACTGTGTTATGACATTCTTTCTCTATTTTTCTTTTATAGCCAACACATATCTCTTTATGGTACAAGCTCGAGGTATAATGTTGAGAGAAAATGTGAAAACAATAGGTCATATGATCAGGCTGTACACAAATAAAAACAGTACGCTCAACGGTACAGGTAAGACTACTTCCTGCTTAACCCCTTGTAGTTACAAAGCAGTAAACCAAATCTTTTACAGTCTGTTTTGCCTTCAGGTAACTTCCTGTTAAAGATGAAGAAGGTATCTTCCCCTAAGCGTCCTGGTAGATTATTTTACTGTGCAAATCAAGACTGTTACCTATTTTAGGATGTATGAACGTGTGGTCACAAAAGTGATGAGGTTTTGTACAGACACTTAAGTTAATTCTTGTAAACAAAATATAGAAAGCAGCTTCTACTTTTTCAATTCGTATGTTGTATTTAAGAGAAATTAACCAGAGAATAATTTATTCATCTTAGTAAGCCATACTACCATCTCTCTTTATGTTCATTCTAGTTCCTAAGTTGTTCTTCCAACTAGGTCTAGAAAATAGTTGTTTTTAATTATAGAAGATTGTTAATAGTGTTATGGCCTTTTTAAGGAGCTAAAGGAGAAATTTTATAAAATTGGAAATTGGTAGCTACTCCTTTTTATTTTACTTATTTATTTTTTTAGACAGAGTCTCGCTCTGTTGCCCAGGCTGGAGTGCAGTGGCGCAATCTTGGCTCACTGCAAGCTCCATCTACCAGGTTCACGCCATTCTCACGCCTCAGTCTCCCAAGTAGCTGGGATTACAGGCGCCCATCACCACGCCCGGCTAATTTTTTTTTAAATTTTTGATAGAGACGGGGTTTCACCATGTTAGCCAAGATGGTCTCAATCTCTTGACCTCGTGATACGCCCGCTTCAGCCTCCGAAAGTGCTGGGATTACAGGCATGAGCCACTGTGCCCGGCCTACTCTTGTCTTTTTAAAATGTTACCTGGAAGTAGAAGCTCCATTAGAATTCCAGGAGGTTAAAATCTAATAGGCTGAACCAATAATTTAATGATGGTAGAATTGATGTAAATAGATTTCACTATTGTGGAAGAATGTGAATGCTCGTTTATGGCAGGGTTGCCACAGTGTCTGCCAGGGTATTATTAGGTGTTACTTTAAAGGATTCAGTGGGGTTGTCAGTTGTTGTACCCTTTATGGTCTCATTTTGAACAGTTAAAAATAAAGATTTAATTTGTGTTAGTAATTCTTCCTTGTGTCACTGTAAACCTACACATTCTACTAAGAGAAAGTCTGTCTTTCAGCTGTAGATGTTCTTTCTTAAATGTATGTCAAGGTGGGTGATAGTTTTAGACCCTTCTAAAAATTCAAGACTGTGACATATTGATCTCAATTTAATATCACATGTGCTTCTATAAAATCCATTCTAGTCATTTGCCTAATATGTTTATGATGCCACAAATCAAAACACTCTTGTTTTATTTTAATTTTTTAACCTTGAAGGAATTTTTTTAGAAGAACTGCCTCAGCATAGTTGATGTTTTAATTCTACAGTAAAAGTCTCATTAACTATTCTTTAGCATGAATGAGTCTTCTGAATAGTAGGTCAATTTTAGAAGTTTAAACATTTTAAAAGCTTCTGTAGGATTTGTGCTGGTTGAATAAGTTGATTGTAAAAATGTTCACTGAAAGTTTGTTCAACTGAAAGGAAATAGACATCTTTAAATTGGTGTATTTGTGTGAGTGCTAAAAATTTGTGCATATCAGCTTGTTTTCCCTGGGGTATGAATAAGGTATATGTGTGGATGTTGAGCTTGATTAGGAGGAATGATTACATGGGCAAGACAATCTTTCCCCATAGTATCCTGCAACCAAAAAAAAAAAAAAAGGAAAATCCTTTCCTCCTCTCACCAAGTCATAGTTTCAATAAAGACCAAAGAACCAATGCATACTTAGATTAAAGTTTGCTTACTTTTATGAAACTTTGAAAACTTTTCATAGGGTTCCTTTACTAATGGTAAAACTGTTCTCAGGAAACAGTCATTGTATACATTAGGGATTAGGTTTGGATGTAACAGAGACCTGCCTGTGGTGGTTTAAACACATGAGGCTTTCTGTTCTCATGTGAAAGAACTCTGCAAGTTGGATATCTGTGGCTGTTATGGAGGCTCCTTAAAGTAAGTCATCACACACTTTTCATTTTCTGCCATCTGTCATGTGGCTCCATGGTTAACTCATAGTCTAAGATGGCTGCTGTTTGAACTTGGGTCAGTAGGAAGGAGGAAAGCGAGAACAAAGAAGAACAAATAAGGTACCTCTTTTCTGGAGCCTTCCCAGAGGTCCCACACAGTATTTCTTCATACATTTAATTGGCTAGAACTTAATTGCATGGCCACATGCGATAACACTGGGAAATATAGTCTTGACCAGAGTATGCTGGAACTCTAGTGAAACTGGCATTCTGTTACCTACGGGGAAAGGGAAGAATGGAGTTTGAGTCAGCAATGAGGCTCCGCCATGTTCATTTAGCCAACATTTACGAATAATTATTATAGTTAGTATATTTAACCAGATATTGGAGACACAATATTAAGAAAAACAGTCTCCTTTAATATGAGGATCTCTAGGCCTCTGGGAGAGATGGAAACATGAATAGTTATTTATAATGCAACTGGTTATTTCTACATAGACTTCTATAGATACAATATCCAAAAAAGAAGATAATGGCCTATAAGGTGTACAAAAAGCTAACTGAGCTCTAGAGGGGAATTGATTAATATGCAGTGGCTCATTTATAATTTAACACTAAATGATAAATAGATTGTGATAGTTATAAGCACATTTGATTTCCAAAAGGGGTTTTTAATCCTATACCTGACTTTCTGTGGCATCAAATATAAATAGATGTATACTATTTTTGTAAATAAATTATATACTCTCATAATCAGATGGTGCCATGTAGCCCACAGAGCCAAATTATGAAAACAAGACGTATTCAGTGAATTCATCTAATTACTGAAGCAGATAAGGGCCATGCAATGTTAGAGTGGATAGGTTTGTTGGAAATAACCCAGCATGCCTCCTCATTTGATGGGTACATGAATTGAGGCCCCCAGACACTGCCAGACTGACAAGACAAGTTAGTGGGAAACAGACTAGGACTCTCATCGGTTTCTAACACCTGTTTTAAGCTGCTGTTTCGCAGCAAAATAAAGCCATTAAAAGGTGTTCTTTGGTGCTGTCCTCCTTTTCCTTTAAGTGATAAGGTCCAGTGAGAATTAGTAGGGGATCCATCTGGCAGTTTTCATTCTTTGTTTGCCTTTTCTTTGGTTGTGTTTCTGGAAGGGAGGAAGAAAGCAGGGGGCCCAGAGCTCATTTTATTTTTATCCATTCATTAGATGAAATAATGTCTACCTTTTATAGCAGTTGTGGTGGTTCCCAAATGCATCTGTCATACATAACCTTTTAAAATGCTTCCTGACTTTGAAAGCAGTGGTTATACATGATGGACATTGCTCACCTAACAACTTTTGTAGGAATAATGATTTTGTGGGTTTTTTTGTTTTTGTTTTTTTTTGAGACAGAGTCTCGCTCTGTCGCCCAGGCTGAAGTGCAGTGGTATGATCTCAGCTCACTGCAAGCTCCGCCTCCTGGGTTCAGGCCATTCTCCTGCCTCCACCTCCCAAGTAGGTGGGACTACAGGCGCCCGCCACCATGCCTGGCTAATTTTTTGTATTTTTAGTAGAGACGGGGTTTCACCGTGTTAGCCAGGATGGTCTTGATCTCCTGACCTTGTGGTCCACCCTTTTGGCCTCCCAAAGTGCTGGGATTACAGGCATGAGCCACTACGCCCAGCCAATTTTGTGGGTTTATTACAGTAAAATCTCCAAAAGCTTAAATCATTATTGGCTGTATTATCATTTGTGAGGTGTTTATTTATAGTATGTTCCTACTATGTTGTAGGTACTATTATTAGGTGCTAGAAATCAAAGATAATTTGATTTCAATTAAAAGAGATATTCAGAATAATGGCCGGGGTGGCGGATAGACTATATACACATAATACATTGGGAAGACACAAATACCACCGGACAGAGTACTGAAGGAGTGTGGAGGTGTTTCTCTAAGTCTGGCAGTGAGTTGAGCTCCTTAGGAGGTGGCCAAGAATAGCAGATGTTTAGCTCTAAAACTTTGTATTCAATGAAGTGAATATAATGATATTGCGTAACTTGAAGGCACTTAAATGTGGTTCTTTAAAAACTGATAAAAGTGATGGAATGTTTACTCTTGTGATTCAGTCATTCTAGCACTAAAATAAAAAGTAGAACAATTCTCTCTGGCCCTCCTGTTGCCATCTGACTCCCCAGAAGGAGTTAATAGTTTGTTTTGCAGAAATGTCTAGAGAGCCGAGCACTTCTGTGAGTTGGATGTGGGTTCAGAGAATCATAGCATGTGGCTAAGAGAAGGAGCCCAAGCATTAATGATGAAATTAATAAATTATGCAGAGTAAGGAAATACTCTTATTTAAAGTTAATGCATGACATTAACAAAAGGATTGAATGAAAATGTAGATATTTTTCTGCCTCAGGATTATAAGAAAATGAGCCTTGTAACGTCTCAAGGCAGATGACCCCCAGGGACAAACTTACTTTTTTTTCTTTTGTATTTTAAAATATTGTTATATCATAGTTGTACATCCAAGGACAACCTTATTTATTGTCTCATTCCTGTGAATGTGTAGTGTATAGTATGTCCTTAGTAAAAATTGAAGAGATTCAGAAAAATTATCATCTCTATATAGCTAGCCCATCTTTTTTTCTGGTGGTATGTGCAACAAAAGCTATAATATGAACTCTGTGTGTGTGTGTGTGAGAGAGAGCGAGAGCGCACACTAGCTAATTAATGAAGAACTTGCCATTCAATATTTATTGTTTTAACTGCTCATTTATTCATATTCTTGCATTTTTAAGTAGAACTTTTTATATTTTAATAGTAGAAAAGGGTATAATGTAATAACAGTCTCCTAGCTCACTCCTCCCTGAGTCCCAATCCTCAGAGAACTAACAATTTATTCTGTATTTATCTTTATGTTTCTATCCTGCTGTCTCTTGATTTATCAATTTAAACTACTCTTGTTATGGAAGAAAGACATTTAGTATTATAGTCTCACCCCAATTTTTCCTATCCTTATCCCCAATATAATTATGTCACAATTTAAATTCAAATCGGTATTGTTGATGTTGTTAAGAGAATGTAGATAATGGTTTGTTTTCCTGAGTCTAGTTGTGATTGTTCGTTTTGTAGATCTGTTTATTTTTGTTGATGTTACTTGTTAACTCTTTTTCCCCCCAATTTGCAGAGCCGTCTTAATCTATCGCTGATTTTCCCTTAGGCACATGAGTTGACCACGCTAAGGGGGGGTTTCCAAAATTCCCATGCCATTGTCTTCTCTCTTCCAGTGCTGCTTTTGAGAAGTCTGTTGACCATCCTGATGGCAGTTACTGTTCATGGACCAGTTTTTTCTGGAGACTTTTGGGATCTTTTTGTATTTTTAAATTTTACAAAGAGCATCTTGGAGCTTTGTTTTTCTTCTCTTGCTGGGAGCAGTCCTATCAGTATGGAATATCTTACCCTTCATTTCTCCAAAATATTTTTATATTATTTCTTTGATAATTTGTCTTCCTATTATTTTCCTTTCTTTTTGGAACTCCTATTATGTATTATTTCTCTCTCGTTTTTCAATTCTTTTTCTTTCCTTTCTATCTTTCTGGGAGATTGCTCTGACTTTACTACAATGCTTTGATTTGATTTTTTAAATTTTGGCAAACTTATTTTTAAGAATTCTTTTTTTTTTCTTTTCTTACTGTTACTGTCTCCCTCAAATAAGAATGCCTTATCTTCCTTTCCAGGAATATTGAAGATAAATAAGTAACTCTAAGGTGTAAATCAATGAACTTGACTAGACACTGTCACAAAACTCATAACAATAGTAATCTTAAGCAGTTTTGGTGGGAGTGACAGAAACCCAATTCATGCTTATTGCACTTGCTGCTACCACTAGCAAGGTAGGAGTCCCCATAGAGAGAGAAGCCCTTTTTTTAAAAACAAAAACAAAAAGAAAAAAACAAGAATTTTGGTATATATGTAGATATATATATTTAAAGAATCAGGCCAGGCATGGTGGCTCACGCCTGTAATCCCAGCACTTTGGGAGGTTGAGGTGGGAGGATTGCTTGAGCCGAGGAGTTGGAGACCAGCCTGGCAAGACCCTGTCTCTACAAAAAATACAAAATTAGCTGGGTGTGGTGGTGCATGATTGTAGTTCCAGCTATTAATAGTTGGGAGGCTGAGCTAGGAGGATCACTTGAGCCCAGGAAGTCAATGCTGCAGTGAGCTATTATCATGCCACTGCACTCCAGCCTATGTGACACAGCAAGATCCTGTCTCAAAAAAAAAAAAAAAAAAAAAGGAAAAGAATCAGAACTTTATTGGACTTCCTTACACTTGCTTTTGCTTGGTATCTTTAAATCTTTTAGACATATGGGGAATACATTGAGCATGGGCTACCAGTGTAGTGTCTGTGGTCTTGGGGTGTCACTGGGCATACAAAACAATTAATGTTCACTGAATTTCTCCTCCCCTTGTTATTTGGAAGATTTTCCTTGTCAGACACTTTCCAGCACTCGCCCAGGGAGAGTGGGGAGGATTGTCTCATTGGGGCTTTCCCACTTCCTGGTAGGATAGGCCTTAGCAGTTGTACCATCATTGATCTCTACTATGTTGGGGTTTTCTGGGAATGCATTTACCTTAACACCTTACTGATGCCCTGTGAAATTTGTAACTGGGGTTTCCAAGCACTTCTTTGGAATTGGACCTTCTCTTGTGGCTTCTGTTTCCTCCTTGATACCCAGCCTGGAACCTTTGCCCGTCCCAACACCCTCTGCTTAGCAGCCGTGGCAGGGCCTCTTTCATTCAGCAGTCTTGCAGGTGGCGTGAGTCTCTGCCCTGAAGTACTGTCCTGACTCCTAGGCAGCATCCCCACCAACTCCATTGTGACAATGACTGAATATTGATGTTAGGTAAAGGTGTGCAATGGAGGTGCTTAGTTTTCTTTGGCTCCTCTCACATACTTCCTATCTAATTCGCAGGATTCTCTCATTTCCCTATGGTCAGAGGGTTTAGCTTCTACATTGTCTCTCATTGGAGCAGATTACTCAACATTCAAAGAATATCTTCACATTTTCCTAAAGTGTCTGCTAGAGTTTCACTTTCTGTAGTACATTGTTTGTGATCCAGGAGACAGACGGTAGTTTAATGAGCTGTTTCCGTCTCTCATTTCACTCATTGCATGTTGATGTCATTCTCTTAGGCCAGCTTCCCTACATAGCAGGAAACCTGTGTGTCATGGTTTCTAGATTTGCGTCTCAGAACTTTGCTCCAGAAAGGGACTGAAATGTGATCTCTCTGGTTCCACATTCAAAAATCCTGAGCCTGTGACTGTCTCGTGGGTCAGGTGCTCATCTCTAATCGCTCATAGCTACAGTTATTAGCTATTTCTATGGGCCAGGGATTGTTCTCAGCACCTTACACATTTTGTCTTATTGAAGTTTAAAAATGACAGTATGAAGTAGGCATAGATGGCAAGCTACATCGTGTCCTGCCCTGTATCACACAGCTACAGTGTGTTGGAGCAAGGATTTGAACTCAGGCATTTGACTTTGGTGCCCTGTATGCAGTTTAATTTGCTGACTCTAAAGATAATGGACCTAATGTAATAATAGCTCCAGGGCTCCCCCGGGGCTGCAGCCCACAGGCTGGGAATGACTAACTTAAAGGTTTAGAATGAGCTGTATTACAAAAGTAAGTTGAGTGGGTAAATCTCAGTTTCTACAGTGTGAGGTGGTAAGAAAACATTACTCCCACCCCTCTGCTCTGTGGATGCTAGTAGCAGCACGCAGCGGTTTGGAACACCCCTGGCTGTGCCATAGTGGAGGGGATTCCCTGGTGTACTTTCACACTCCCTGTAGATCGGGCTCAGCCAGGGGAGGGACGGGAGCAGGTGTTCTCACATGGTTGCAAGTGGGACTGCCATGTCTGTGTGCAAGGATAAGGGTGTGCTGCTCTCTAGATGTCTCTTGGGAAATCATGCTGAGAGGTCTGTTCCCCGCAGCAGTTTGCTGTTCTCTAGTTCCTTAAAGATAATTGATTTTAAGTACTTCTGTAGATTGTATATTGTAGTTTTCTCCCAGTGATAGTGACGTATTTCATTCCAGGGAGAAAGCAAAAGGCCTTTTTTTTTTTTTTGTAACTCTTTTCTCTCTTTCCAAGATTATCCCGAAGGCAATAATTCAAGTGATTATCTTGTTCAAACAACAACGTATCTCCCGGAAAACTTCACATACTCACCATACCTCCCCTGTCCAGAAAAGCTGCCTTATATGCGTAAGTCGTCATCTAATTTTGACTTAACTGTTTACTTGTGTTACAATACAGTCATAAAAACCACATGATTTGAGTGCAGCAGGAGCAGGTCATGTGCACCTGGGTGCAAATGTTTATATTATGCAGCATGTTATTTGAACTTTTATTTATTTATTTATTTTTTGGCAAAGCGCATTTTGAAGGGGGATGATTGAAAAGCTGAAGAAAAATACAAAGGGGGAAAATGACAAATACCCATATTGTTCCCAACCAGTTTTAAAAACTAATACTTCGGCTTACCTATGTCCAAGTTCTTTTAAAACAGTGCTTAAGAGAGCAATTAATGTGTAGTCTCCTTTTGAATATGTTATAATGTTCCTGATTAAGCCAGTCCTTTTTGACCACCATCCCCAGTGCTGGCTCCCCATTCCTTCCTCAGAAGTAACCTCACCTCTACTGAGAGTTTGCTGAGTATTCTTTCCGGTTATGAAAATTGTTTTCTACATAGATAGATGTCTGTATAGAAAATAGATATTGTTTCAAAGGAGAAATTATGTAAATTGGTCTATAAAGTACATTTCATTCTTGTAACTTGCTTTTTTACATACTTTTTTGAGAACTACCCATGTTGTTACATATAGATCTAATTTTTTTCCCTTAACTATTACTGTGTGGTACGTCTTTGTATAAATGTATCACATCTCATTTACCTGTTTCCCCACTGATGAACATTTAGGTGGTTTCAACATTTTTGCTATCACAAAATAGCAAAAAAAATATATATATATATTTTGGTATAAAGAACAACAGAGTGTGAGTTTTCCTGTGCGTATATGCATGTGTACTTGAGGGTTGATGGCTAGTGGTGGAATTGCTGGGTAGGTTGGCTCAGGTTTTCCAGATTTTGTCAATTGCTCTCAAAAGCAGCTATACCAATTTATATCCCTAACAGCAAAGCATGAATGTACCACTTTGATATTGATGGACTTTTAAATTCTTGCTAATCTGAAAGATAAATGGTTTCTCGTTGTTTCGATTTTCACTTCCCTCATTCCTGGTGGGTTTGAGTAAGTTTTCCTATGTTTGTGTTTTTAAATTTTCTCTCCTGTGACTTGCTGCATCATGGGCTTTATCAGTTCCTGGTTGGTTATTGTGTGTTGGTATTGATCTGTAGAAATTCTTTATATTCTGGCAGTGGCCTGTTGTCTGCTATGTGTTTTGTAAGTATCTTTTCACATTCCCAGGCTTCTTGTTTTGTCTTTTATTTTATGGAAGTTTAAAATTATGACCTTTTCAAATTTTTTAATAACTTTACTTAGGTGTTTTGCTTTTTTTTGGTCTTAAACCTTTTCTTACCCAGAGGCCATACAGATAAATACCTTTATTTCCTTCTAATGATTTTACTATTTTGTTTTTAACCTTTGTGTGTAATATGTGGTAGTGATAAAGCTACTGTACTTTAAATATATATATTTTTAATTATGAAGATAATACATTATCATTATTTTAAAAAAAACACTATACTGTACTGTCAACACTCAGAAGCCACACGGCTATTATTTTAGCTTTTTTTTGTGTGTGTATCTTCTACCCCTGCCCCATGATTTTTAAGCCTACTTTGTACATATAGGTTTGTATCTTGGATTTGATATAAAGATTTAAATAAACATCTTTTTGAATTGCTTATTTATCCATATTCTGATGTATTTTGTATCTGTGTTTTTTATTCTTGACACGAGCTTTTTTAATTGAGGAAATTAGCCTTTGCCTATCATATTTGTAGGACTTGTTTTAGCTTATTGTTGATAGATATTATATATCAATAATAAAAAGAAAGATTGACCTTCTAATATCATCTAAGGCCATGGCTTTCAGTCTTGGGGGTACATCAGAATCACCCAGATCATCTTGTCAAGCCCCATTGCTGGTCCAGCTCTCAAGAGTTTCAGACTCAGCAGGTCTGGAGCGGGCCTGAGAATCTGCATTTCTAACAAATCCCGCAAGGTGATGCTGTTGCCGCTGAGCCTTGGGCCACGTATTGAGACCCACTGATCTAGAGTAGTGGGCCTGGTCCCTGGTATTTAAGAAAAAAAAAATTCTCAGGTGATTCTAATCTTGCTGTCTCTTTGCTGTACCATAATAAAGAATGGAACTCAGTGATTTTTGTGGTTGTCATTACTTTGTTATTGCAGCCTTGTTTTCCTAAAAATGAATACTTTTGTCTGTGTAATACTGAAACCACTGGGTAATGTTCTGTTGAAATATTGATTACAATAATTTCATCTTCATAATTTTCATATTCAAGGTTTATAGTTTCAGGAAATCTTTCTGTTCTTGGTTTAGTTGCCATTTTCTTTAATTAGTGCTTTATGAGTACTAATTAAACTCTATTTCAAAGCATCTGTCTGCCACTTCATCATTCTGGTACTCCTCTCCTCCCGCCCCACAGCCCATTGTACCATCTCTTGTGGTGCCTGAGAGATTGCGTCGTGCGTGGCTGCTGTGCACTGCCTTTTCACTGGGGGTGGGGAGGGGTCTCAGCACTACTGCCCCTTCTCTCTGCTTCCCTGGGATCCTTGCATTCTTTTATAAGAGAGGATCACACTAGTGTGGCCAGCCATCTTTTCACAGCAGTCCCTCTCATGGGCTGCCAACTTTGGGTCCTGTCCCAATTTTGTGCCCAATTAGTGGTGGCCGTGGTGGCCATGGTGGCAAGGTGATTTGGTAGAAAATACAGCCACATACAGATAAGGCTTTAGAAAGGAGCCATGGGTACAGCCAACATAACGAGGCTTCTGCCAAGAGAGCCTTGCACGAGCTGCCCGACAGAGCACTTCACTTGTCCTGTGACCTCCGCAAAGTGGAGGCTTAGTTTACCTACCTGTAAAACCTGGGATTCCAATACCATCTGCAGAGTGTGGTAAGGATAGAATGAAGCACACAGTGCTTAAAGTTTGATAGGTATTAATTTGATTCTCCCTTTCCTTCTCCCTCCTTCTTTGAATAATAGAGCCAGACTTTACAATGGTCAAGGAAATGAGACACCTAGGAGAAATGTGTGGAGTTTAGAAGTTTTATTATTAGCTATGTATCCTTACATTTTTTTACTTAAAAAGATAGTTTTCATTGATAATAGAGAACAATGCAATAAAATACATAAGTATAAAATCTTATAATAGTTACACAAAATAATTGAATATGATTCTTTCCCAAATAATAATTAGAAGGGATTTGTGTAAGAATTAGATCTACTTAGATGAAAACCATTCAAGTACAAGTAATATTTACTTATAGTCACTAAAAGTGAAGTTAAGGCTTAACACTGGTGTATTTGATTATTCTGTTGTAAACTTCTTTGATTTTTACTTAGTATAGCAATGGAAACACTGGCACTGGATTTCTGTAAAGATAAAGTGAATTTTTCAAACTAGAATACAGATAAAATGTGTTTCATACATTTCAGCAGTGTTTCATATTCAATAGTGGCCAATTACACTATAAAGCCTATTTTAATATGTATATTTTATATGAAGAGTATGAGTGAATACTTCTTTCTTGTTTGTTAGTATTTATAGATTTTCCAAAGGGCAAATCCACATTCAGCTTTATTGCATTTATGTAAGATTCTTTGTGCTAACAAAGTAAAATAGAAGTTTCACCTTGTCTAAGGCTAAAAATTAATAAGTGCTTAGTGTGGATGTTTTGATTTTAATTTTTATGGGTGAGGTAGAAATGGAAAATGTCAATTGCATACTCTGCATTAGACTGAAAATAGACTTACCTTTAGTTTTCCTATCTTTTAATTCTTATTCAAATAGAATACGTTTGCAGTGACCTTTATATATTCTGTTCTTACTATTTGTGGAATAGTTCCCTTTATGGTTTAACCCTGATAGTTTCTATAGTTGCTAACCTTATGAATATAACAAAAGCTCCAAGGACTTCTTGAGATGGATTTAAATAATTCAAATGAAAATCAGCAAAGAAGGAAAAGATAAGCAAACAAACGTCAGCAAAGCTCAAATAATGCTAATGTAACAAACTGTCATGCATATGTTTATTGTAAAAAAAAAAAATGAGATGGGAGCCATTTTAGAGTCAACAAGTCATTGATGAACAGCCGCTGTGCAGCGGTCCCTGTGTTGTTCATAGAAGCAGGTACGGGAGAGACAAGACTGAACGTGGTCATGTGTGTGGCAGCTTGGAGCAGGTAACACACTTGGAGAAAGGCATGCTATGAAAAGATTATGAGGCCGGGCGTGGTGGCTCATGCCTGTTTCCTAGCAGTTTGGGAGGCTGAGGCAGGTGGGTTACTTGAGGTCAGGAGTTCAAGACCAGCCTGGCCAACATGGTGAAACCTGTCTCTACCAAAAACACACACACAAAAATTAGCCAAGTGCAGTGGTGCGTGCCTGTAGTCCCAGCTACTTGGGAGGCTGAGGTGGAGTATCGCTTGAACCTTGGAGGCGGAGGTTGCAGTGAGCCGAGATCGCACCACTGCACTCCAGCCCAGGCAACAGAGCGAGACTTTGTCTCAAAAAAAAAAAAAAAAAAAAAAAAAGAAAAAAGGTTATGAATGTGACAAAAGGGAGACAGCAGTTTATTTTGGAAGGGAAAGGACGATGTCAGAGAGAGGTGTCATCAGAACTGGGTCTTACAAGATAGCTGAGAGAGAACAGCATCACCACAAGGGAGGCTCTGTGTATTCCCGGACTGGAGAGTGGTCGGCTCTGCCCAGAGAGGGTGTGTTAAGTGGCGTGTATGGGAAATGAAGCTGGCTAGAAGGGTCTTGTGTAAAGGACTGAGGAATCTGAGGGCCTTGTGGGTTCCATCATTCCTAGGCATCCATGAGGTGAGCTTCAGAGGGAGAAGAGCCTGTGAGCTTACATGCAGACAGTTGATTTATGAGCCTGTATGCATTTCTCTCAGGTGACAGTGCATGATTTTCAAAGGGTCTAGGGGCAAAAAAAAAAAAAGCAAAAATAAACAAAAAACACCACTGCTTTAGGGAAATGGAGAACCATCGAAGGCTTTAGGCAGGTGAATGATGGACTAGGATTGTATTTTAGGAAGATTATTCACATGAGAAGCTGAACAATGGGTGAGAATGGAGAAATACTGGGATCAGCAGGAGACCAATGAGGAGCTTGCTGCAGGAAGCCGACGGGCAACAACAAGGGCAAGTGCCAAGGCTGTGGCGTTGGAGAGAGGAGAAGGCACAAAAAAGAACCTACAGGGTGCCATTGGCCAGATGTGGCGACCAGTTGAGGGGTGAGGGTTAATTTCCAGGTTTCTGACTTGGTGACCATGAACTGAAGTGTGATACAGAGTAACCGTCGCATTTGGAGGATGGGGAAGTTAGTGGGTTCCGTTTGGGCCGTTTTGTTTGAAGTTCAAGAGGGTTAACTTGGGGTCTGCCTTTAGTAAGAGATCCGGACTGAACATCAGAGGAAGTGAGAGGGGAAGAAGGCTGAGAGTGGGTCCCTGAGAAAATCCGTACTTGTGAGGTGAGTGGCGGTTAACAGAAGAAGGGGAGACAGGAACCTAGAGAAGCCAGAGGGTGGTGTCTGGGGGGCGAGGCAGGAACACATCCCAGAGAGACAAGACTGCTGTGTCTTGTCACACACCTCCAGACAGCAGGGAGAGTGAGGAACTGTGAAAGGGCCACTGAATTTGGTGCAGAAAACGAATGGAGAACACAGCAAGCACGAATTCAGTAAAATGATTGGGAGAGAAGCAAAGTAGACTCTTGAGAAGTGCGTCAGAAGTGTATGTAGACTGTAGGTGAAATGAGAGAAGTTTGGTGGCAAAGGGAAGGAGATTGGGGTAAAGGATCTGGAGGAGGTGGAGGTAAGGGAAGAGCTCTTTAGGAAGAGATGGACTTGAGCATGTTGTAGGCATCATGGAAAGAAAGGATGGAGAGAAGAGGCCGGGCGCCGTGGCTCACGCCTGTAATCCCAGCACTTTGAGAGGCCGAGGCGGGCAGATAATGAGGTCAGGAGATCGAGACCATCCTGGCTAACACAGTGAAACCCCGTCTCTACCAAAAATAAAAAAAATTAGCTGGGCGTGGTGGCGGGCGCCTGAAGTCCCAGCTACTGGGGAGGCTGAGGCAGGAGAATGGCGTGAACCCAGGAGGTGGAGCTGGCAGTGAGCTGAGATCTCGCCACTGCACTTCAGCCTGGGAAACAGAGGGAGACTCCATCTCAAAAAAAGAAAAAGATGAAGAGAAGAGAACTGGGAAGGATGAGGGAGAAGCACAAGGGAGGTCTCCATAGAGCCAGGTTAGAAAGTGAATGGAGACAATGCCTCAGGTTGAAGAGTGAGCATGGAAAGCCTCAGGAATGCCTCCTCCCCTGAGGAAGCCCGCGGTTTATTTGGAGATGAGGTGGAGAGGTAGGGTGCTCGTGCCTGCTGTGTCTGTTTTCCTAGTAAAGCAGGAGGCCGTGTGTCCCTGAGGGGATGGCCAGGAAGGATTGAGCAGCTTGAAAGGGAGGAGTAAGTATTTAAAAAGTTGTCATAGGGAATGAAAAGTGAAGTCAACTAATCATAAATTAGAAGGTGACTAACAGGTTATCCTAGAGAGCCCCCCACCCCACCCTGGTGGAGTCACAATACAAAAAAAAAGTGACACTTGTTTTTGCTGAAACCTTACTATGCTTGAGGCAATATGTTAGGTATTGCCACCCAAATGATGGGATTAATCTATATGCTTACGTGCTTTCTTTAGTGCTGTTTATTAGGTAAAGAATTGGAGCATGGATAATTGTCGCTGCAAGGATGGGACCTGTAGCTCAGGTGTGGCAGGTTGAGGGGGTGGTAGATAAGGTGTTTGTCAGTGTGTAGGTGCTGTGATCGGGTGAAGGTCATAGAGCTGCATTTCTCTTAAGTGTGATTCAGATGATCTACACTTGTTAAAAATGCAGCTGGGGGCTGGGCGCGGTGGCTCACGCCTGTAATCCCAGCACTTTGGGAGGCCGAGGTGGGTGGATCACAAGCTCAGGAGATTGAGACCATCCTGTCTAACACGGTGAAACCCCGTCTCTACTAAAAATACAAAAAATTAGCCGGGTATGATGGCAGGAGCCTGTAGTCCCAGCTACTCGGGGGTGAGGCAGGAGAATGGTGTGAACCCGGGAGGCGGAGCTTGTAGTGAGCCGAGATGGCGCCACTGCACTCCAGCCTGGGTGACAGAGCGAGACTCCGTCTCAAAAAAAATGCAGCTGGGATACCTGTTAAAAATGAAGCCTCTGAGCTAAACCCTAGACTGCAAAAGTCAGGGTTCTTGGTTGCAAACCACAGAATATACTTTATCTGATTTAAGAGAAAAAAGAATTCATGAAAATATATTAGAGAGCCCAGAGACAACCTGGGTGGCTAGAGAATTAGGTTGAGAAATTGAGCAGCCAGAACAAGGCTCAGACCGCTTTGAAGCATCTCCTGCTGCCACTTGTCAGGGCTTAAACCTCCTACCAGCATTGCTCAGGTCTGGAGACCAGAAGTGCCACTTCTTGGTTCCTGTAAAGCTAGAAGCTTTTGCCACCACTTCGGGTGCATTTGGTCATATGACCACTCCTACCTGTTAGAGGGGTTTGGAGAGTGGGTTCTAGCTTTTTCCTTTGAAAGGCAGGACCCAATGGTGGGTAGTTCAAGCCGTTGAAATGTGTTCAGTTAAAGCCAGTGGCCATAAACGTGACCCATGAGCTTCAACTGACACAGAAACTTTGACAATGTGGCCAGTCAGCTGCATTTTAAACAAGCACAGCTGGTAATTCTTAGGCACACATCAAAATTAGCAAACCACTTTATACAGAGGCCAGTGTGGATATAGCAGAGAGGACTTCAAGTCTTCATGGAATTGAAGAGGGACTTCATGGGAGGGGAGTGGGAGAAGGTGAAAGAGAAAGAGGCTTTAATGAGAGGGTGCAGTGTCAGAGTTGAAAGCCAGTCATTTCTAGGTGACTGTGGTTCAGGGTCTGGACACAGAGCTGGGTGTCACTGTGAATTCACTATTGTGAATATTGCTGCAATGAACATAATAGTGCATGTGCCTTTTTGGTAGAATGATTTATTTTCTTTTGGATATTTACACAGTAATAGGATTGCTGGATCAAATGGTAGTTCTGTTTTATGTTTTTTGAGAAATCTCCAAACTGCTTTCCACAGTGGCTGAACTAACTTACATTCTCACCAACAGTGTATAAGCATCTCCTTTTCTTCCCAAGCCTCGCCAGCATCTGTTGTTTTTTCACTTTTCAATAATGGCTTTTCCTATTGGTATTTGATGCTGTCTTATCGTGGTTTTAATATGCATTTCTCTGATGATTTGTGATTTGGAGCATTTTTTTTTGTTTGTTGGCTACTTGAATGTTTCCTTTTAAGAAGTTAGTATCTTTTGCTCATTTTTTTTTTTTTTTTTTTGCTCATTTTTTAATGGGGTTGTTTTTTGCTTGTTGAATTGTTTAAATTCCTTATAGATTCTGGATATTAGGACTTTGTTGTATGCACAGTTTTGCATAAATGTCTTAAAGAAATATTTTAGCACCTGATGGAGCCAGGGAGTAGAAATGCAGGTAGGTGGAAGCAGGGATGAGACAGGAATCTTCCTACTCATTCATTCATTCATTCATTCTGTGTCCAGGCATTGCCCTTGGCAGTGGGGATGTGTGACTAATGCTCTGTCTTATGTTTAGAATGCTCAGGTTTGGTTGCTTCAAGAAAACTTGAGTAATAAATCGTTTGTTAAGCAGAGGTTGTCAAATTTTATAAGTCGAGAAGCTTAAGTAAAGCATTTGAAATAGGCAGTATCTAGTGTTGGCTTCAGAAAGGACAGGAGGTGACCAATGGCTGGATGACTCATAACTGTTCAGCCTCAGAGCTGTGCTTAGGAGGCAGCACAGAGTGTGGGAGGGAATGTCCCATCTTGTCATAAAAATGCTTTTCTAGCTTTGGAGAGGAATTTACCCTAAGGGACATTTCTAGGGGAAATTCAGGTCTTTCTCTGACACTGTCATCAGCTCTTTGAGCTGTGAACATTTAAAACCCTGAGGGTAAAACAGACAAAAGCCAACATATCCAGAATTAGGTTTTAGATACCAAAAAATAGATATAGGCTCCAAGCAAAATGAAATAGTTATTTAAAACTATTGATTTATAGAACAAACAACTCTCTGGAGATTATATGCCTTAAATTTTACTTGAAATGTTAGAAAAATATAAACGTAGGTAATTCATAGGTTTTGAATATTTGTTATTTTAAGAATTATATTTTAATAGAAAAAGTAAAATCCTAAATCATGTCATGTGATACATTATCATCCATAGCACAATAAGCCTGTTGTTTGGGCCCATGCATGCCTGGCTTTCCCAGATGGGCAGCATTGCTGCATATCTTGCAAATTCAGCATTAGGATATAGTAAATGTCCTACATAACCAATGGTGCAACTAAGTTACCCTCACACATGATAGAAGCAGTTTGGCACACACGACTGGAAGGTAGCTTCCAGCTGACTTGAGTTCCCTGTCCTTCACCTTGACCTTCTAGGTACTTGGCAGCCCCTCCACTCTTCAGACACTCAGTTCTCCTGCTCTTTCCTTTCTAACCCCAGCGCCACCTTCAAAATAGTGAAATTCAGTATTTGGTAAATTATATTATTTACATTTGCTGATTGTGATTACACTGCTGGGTAAATGGATTTCAGTCAACATATTTATTTTCTGATCTTTAAATCTCTAACTGGGAAAGAAACCACTTGTGCCAGTTAAAAATCTTAGATTTATACTATTACATCTGGGATTAAGAACAACAACAACCAATCTCAGATTCACCACAGAGGAGAGTGAAGATTGGCTCTCCATGGAGTTCAGTGGATCTCTTCAGTTGCCCTTGAAATCTCAGCGAGTGAAATAAAGGGGACTGGCCCAGTTGATGGTGTCCTTCTTTACAAGAAGGACATTCCCTCTCTAGCTTCATTCATAGCAGGTGGTTTTCCGATGCCTTTTGTTTTGTTTTTAAAGCAGTGGAAGGCTTTCTTGAGTGAAACCTAAAGGGGACAAAAGAGTACGCGAAAGAGATGAAAGTGGCTGTGTTGGGGGAGCCTGAGTCCTCCCTTCTCCAACCACAGGATCCCTGAGAGAGGTCCTTCCCAAGGACGGTTTGGAAACCACACCATCATTAGTTTATCTGCAGCATACTTCTTCCTGGCCACTCTTTTTATAACATGACCTTTTCCCTTCCCTTCCTATGTACAGGATCTTCTCCCTAATACCACTCCCCACAATGATGAATGTTTGTTCTTCCTCTCTCTGATCACACTTTCGCTGTTCCCAGTGGTGGCAATACTTGTCCTGGGAGGCCTGTCCCCTACACTCCCCAGTATAGCGATGTTGCTCTTATCATGGGTAGCATGCCACCAGGTCAATCTTTAGCCTTCAATGAGCAAATTACTAGGATTTCAGAGCAAAGGGCAACAAGCACATAGGAAAGCTCCTGATGGACTCTGAGGGGTGTGGATGGGGTGGGGGAGGTGCACAACCCCGAGGAGTGTGAACTTAGGATACCTCAGGCATGGGGATAGTGATGGACAGAGGAAGCCCTCTCTATTGAGGGAAAGAAATAAAGCCTGTCTCTTGCCAGCACATATGCGTTGGAGATGGAAATTAAACTGCAAATGATGCTGGAGAAAACTGCTGACAATAATGATGATTACAGCTGTTGAAGCAATAAAGCTGGAAAAAAGACAAAAAATGTGGTTTAACAGTGCAGAAAGAATACCAGCTTCAGTTACTTATATGAACTGCTTATTATTTAGCCTAATTACTATCATTTTAGCAATCATGCATACTATTAAATGTATCAGATTTATTTGTGTAAATTTTATTTGATTACAATGTTAGATTCTGTTCTTTGTCAGCTGAGTCATGATAGTCTGTACTTATGTTTACTGATCAATCTTACATTTTACTTACTCTTTCTCTGCAAGTTCATAGGTTTCTCTTTCTTTTAGATGAATCTGACCTTTCTAAGATTAGCTAGTTTGTGTATCTTGTCACGCTGAAGGCTGAGTGTTTGGTTATAAAAGACTGCTTATGTTGTCAGTAGAACAGGCAGGCATTAGAAGATTGCAATTCTTTTTCTAACTTATTCTGGGAAGCAGGTATTTCGATGTAAAATACTCTAGCATGCCTGCGTGGAGGCTACAGACAGCTCTGCCTGGTTAGGATGAAGTGGGGACAGGAAGAGAGGCCATTGTGAAAACTCCTAAAATATAGAATAGCAGGAGCAAAGAGGCTCTCTAGAGAGGAACTGAGTGTTTTTATATGAAATTGTGGCCACATGAAACTCAGAAGACTCGAAATGGGAAACCTCAACATTTGTTGGTTTGTATTTTATGAGATGAGGTCAGAGAGAAGAATTTGGCTGGAGGGCGCTCCAGAGCAATTTGTACCTATTTGGAAGTTAACGGATGACATTAAAACTGCTAAAAGATGATCTGTAGTTTCAATAGCCTTTTACATCCTGTTCTAACAGTGAAGTCATTGAAGATAGCATTGCTTTGAAGGGATGTTAGTGATCATGCAGCTATTTTAATTCAGGGGGAGATAAAGAGGCTTCTTGATTCTTAGTTCTCTTTTGGGGTTAACGGAAGTGGTTTTCCATTCAAGATTCATTCCTGTTTCAATGGTATACATTAGAAAAGCTACTAGTAAGAACACCTCCAGTAATGTCATATATTTGTTAATTTGGAGAATGAGTGCCTGTTAGACCAGGAATACCTCAGAAGTGGTTTTTCAGTTTTGTATGCCAAGGGGCCTGATATATGGTAAGTGCTCAGAATCAGTACTTTGAATTATGTTTGCAAATTCCCTCTCTTAAGAAATGTCAGTAGGTAACAGTAATAGTAGCTAACATTTGTTGGTTGTACCTAATGCCTGACACGGCATATGATCCTTCACACAGATGATTTCTTGGAATGGATACAACCACCTTGGGAGGCAGACATCACTGTCCTTTTTACAGAGGAGGAGGCTGAGGCACAGAGAGGTTAAATCATTTTCCCAATAGACAGAAGCTAGGAATCAGTTCCCAGTCAATCTGACTGCTTATTTCATTGTTAAGTACTGTGCCATTGTGTCCCCTGTGTTGAAAATGTTAAAATTAAAAATGGTATTAAAATATTTGAATAGTTGTTAAATTGCAGTGTTAAGTTATAATGACATGCAAACATTTTCCAAATAATACTAAATTATTCAATATATTACCCAAAAGCAAAACGGTTTTTAAAAAGAATTTGATTTTCTTTGGCCGATTTACCAAACATAGAAGGGTGACCATATATATTATCATTGAAACTAAAAGTGAAAGGGAGCGCTATTCATAATTTTGTGGTGGTAACAGGAGTAAACTGTATTGTCCTGGCAACTAAGATATGCCATCACCCTGCTGATTATTATTTGTTCTACTAGATCTTTGAGGCAAAAAATATTAAAACAATTCTTTACATTTTTAATTTGTAGGAGGATTCCTCAATGTCAATGTAAGCGAAGTCAGTTTTGATGAAATTCATCAACTCTTCTCCAAGGATTTAGATATTGAGCCAGGGGGTCATTGGAGGCCAAAAGACTGTAAACCCAGATGGAAGGTGAGGTAAATTCTTTTCATAAGCAATTTGATTGTTACTGAGCATTTGAGGAAAGAATGTGCTTGATTCAGAATACAGAGACAAATGTCTTTAAGTCTTGATAAATTTAAAACATCAAAAGTTTTGTCTTTAATGTTTACTATTTATAATTCAAATGTGATTTAAGTGTTATGTGTGAAGACTGTAAATGCACCTGTGTAGATACAAAATAGATGCTCGGTTCATTCTCTTTGAGTTCCTGGTAATAAATACGTGACTTGAGTTTGGCTTGGAAAATAGATTTTTTTGTTGTTCTGTTCTGTTTGGAAGAGAGGCTGTGAGTTCCCTGCCTCCTGCAGCTGTCCCTAATGATTACTGACACCTGCAAGCATAGCCTCACCAGTTTCTGAATTGTGAGAACTCACTGGGAGGATATTAATATCCCGATTTTCAGTTTGTTCTGGCATTGGGGTCTTCAAGCTCTGTTTCTCAGAATCCAAGATTATAAAGAGGCTGCTCAGAGATCACTGTGGGACTTGAAAAGTTGGACTTTGGGCTCTTCTTGGCTTCAGAAGGCACAGCCCAAGCTTTCTTTCAGTCTTTTTGATATGTCAGAATTCTATTCAGTGTTTTGTTTGAAAAACTGTAAGGGGGTGGGTTTGCCTCTGCTGCTTTAAAAAAATTGAAAGCCATAATTTAAACCAGACTTGCCCTCAAAGCTGTGAAATTGGTTAACAAGTGCATATTCATCTAATGTTACTACGTTTGAGTAAGAAATAACATTTATGTAATTCCAATGAAAACTACAACTGATAAATCAAGTGTTATTTCCTAAAGGATTGTGATATAACCTTGATCTGGAAACAGTTTATCTTTTAAAACATTAGTATACTTCTAGAATATTTGTATTTTCACCTCCCCCCACCCCCAAAAAAAACCACTAGTAGGAAGGAAAATCATATGCTGTTAAACTCATGAAAAAGACCCTCTGACTTCATCTACCATGAACTCTTCGTGTTTGAAGATGTGTATTATTTGTATCTGTATTCCCAACACAGAGCACATTGTCTTGTGTAAGGTAAGCACTAAACACAGTTTTGTTGAATTGACTCTATAAGGCAAATAAAAGCCTTTTTGGCCTTGTTACAAATGATTCAATAAATGGTCAGCTTTCTTATTGCCTTGAACAAGTTGTGAAGCTGCTTAAATGGATTCCAGTACCAATTTTAGCAAAACATTTAATTTTATAATTACCTTACACTATTTCCCAGATCAGATTCATTTAACAAATGAATCTCTTCATATTTCTTGATTGATTTTCCTCACATTTGTAGCTATATGAAATGCGGCCCAATTTACATACATTCCACCTTTTAAAAATAGCCTGGGCACATAAATTATTTTTAACACTTGGGTGCTGAGTGTGTATATTGAATGCTAATAGAAAAAGAAGCATACTCAGTCACCGAGGCTGTGGGATAGCATGGAGGTTCATGCTCAGATAGTTGTTTGTACAGAATGTAGCACACCCCTCAGGTGTGCTCTGGGTAGCATACTAGTAGAACAGTTTAGGATAGGAAAAATGAAGTATTTTTCTCCTGTTTCTAGTGATCTATACCAGATGGATTTTAAATTTTTTGTTTGTTTTCTTCTCATTTTCCAGGAGACAGGTGTATCACATGAGTATTTCCTACTTAAAGATATTAGTAGACTGACTGTAAACTACATATGATTCAGTAGGTAACAGTATGGAAAAGAGTTCCTGGGAACAAACTAATTCAGGGATCTAAGGTTCATACCTGTAATCCCAGCACTTTGGGAGGCTGAGGTGGGCAGATCACTTGAGGCCAGGAGTTTGAGACCAGCCTGGCCAACATGATGAAACCTCATCCCTACTAAAAATACAAAAATTAGCCGGGCATGGTGGAACATGCCTGTAATCCCAGCTACTCCGGAGGCTGAGGCGTGAGATTTGCTTGAACCTGGGATGTGGAAGCTGCAGTGAGCCGAGATCGCACCACTGCGCTCTAGCCTGGGTGAAGGAGCAAGCTGTCTCAAAATAAATTATTTTATTTAGGAACTATATGATAATGCTGCTTTTATTTCAACTTTTAGCAAATCCTTCTCAGAATGTAGTCTCTAGTTCAGAATTACACAACTAAAGGTATGAAAGGAATTTTGGAGATGATTCAGAAGTGAGCTGTACTCATATAAATATTATATAACTATCATCTCACTAAATATTTAGTTAAATGGTTTCTCCCCCTACCCGTCCCTGCCTGCTTACTGATAATGTTCCATTCTCATATTGGAACAGTGGAGAGAGAGGGAAATAAGAAATAACTAGATTTATGTTAAACATCTGTCATCAACTTGATTCTTAATATTTGAGGCCCCTTTTTTAAATGAGAAAAATACCAATGCAGTTAGTTGATGGCAAATTAATTAGAACTGAGATCTTTCAAAACTAGTAATTTTGGCTGGCCAACCTGTTGAGACCCCGTCTCTACTAAAAATAAAAAAATTAGCCGGGCGTGGTGGTGCAGGCTTGTAATCCCAGCTACTCGGGAGGCTGAGGCAGGAGAATTGCTTGAACCCGGGAGGCAGAGGTTGCAGTGAGCCAAGATCGCGCCCACTGCGCTCCAGACTGGGCAACACAAACAAACAAAAAACCACTAGTAATTTCAGCAATTCCTAGGTATTCTTGAATGCTGCAGGTTTAAGTAGAAGATCTGCGCAGGTTGGACACCTTCTGGGGCAAGCTTGTATCTAAAGAAGAACATGAGAATGCTATGCAGGTCATTAAAAGTGAAGTGTACCTGTGACATTGACTTTCCATTCAGATTTCAGATGGAGGGCTTGATGAACAACTTTGGTCTATAACTTCCAGGCTTAAAGAACCAGGCAGCTGCTTGATGCTCTTGTCTACCCAGAGGCCTGGAGTTTCATTTATAGTCCAATGTACCTCAAAGATGAGTCTTGGCCTCCCTGTTTCAGAACTACTTGAGGCATATGGTGAAAATGCTGATTTTTGGCCAGGTGTGGTAGTTCAAACCCGTAATCCCAGTGCTTTGAAAGACTGTGGCAGAAGGATCACTTGAGCCCAGGAGTTTGAGGCTGCAGTGAGGTGTGATCACACCACTGTACTCCAGCCTGGGCTATAGAATGAGACCCCCATCTCTAAAAGAAAAAAAATGCAGATTCTTGAACTCAGTCCTCAAACATTCTGATTCTATTGGTGGGAAGGAACAAGAACTTGCATTTTTAACCAAGTGCCTCCAGTTTGAGAACTGCTCCTGGAGGTACTGGAAATGAGGAGGAATAGGAAGATGAAACTAAAAACACTGAAGGAGAATGAGGGCTTACTAGCTTCTGCTTACTCAGTGGCAGATAACTAGATTCACCTTAAGGTTACCAAGCCTAAAGCCATGTCATTTAGGGACAGTGTAGCTGGTGGTGTGCTGAAAATTTGAAAGCAGGACAGAAACTTGGTGGGAGAAATTGATGTGATACACATTTTTCTTGATGTTCTCCTCATGGTGTATATAGGAGAAAATAAGCAAGGGAAAAAATGGTGCATATGTTCAGCAAGATTTGTGGTTTTAAAGTAGGAGCAAACTGAATGGAATAATTTTGCTTGATCAAGAGGTGGTGAGGAGAGATTCAGGAGGATGAAGTGTTGTTTTATCAGAAGATAATGACCAGATATTCTCGGTCTCCACTGGAGGTGTATCAGCAAGAGAGTGGCTCAAACAGCAAATTAGGGCACATAGAAGAATGTCCTGAAACAGGCTATTAAGCCTTAAAATAAATGATCACAGAACACTGAGATCTTTTCTAGACAAAAAAATTGTAAACTATGGAGGACATTCTTCCACAAACACAAGAACTGATGTGCCAGATGAACTTTTAAGATATTGTTTAGCTTTATTTTAATAAAAGCTTTGCCTTAGATTTATCACATATTCACAATATTTAATAACCCTCTCATTAAAATTTGGACATCTATTTGCTGTTAGCACATTAGGTTAGCTTATTTGAATTTGCCAAGACACTGGTAATTTCTTTTATTACCGTCTCAGTTTCCTTATGAGATTAAAAGAAAAAACACTTGATATTTAAATACTTCATTGAAGAGATTATTGTATTAGGAGCTAGAACTTTACTTTTTATTTATCCTTATATGTTCAGCTCATCACTCAGTCTAATTGTCTTTAATTAATATGCACTGTCTTTAATTGGGACTCTGCAGCCATTTAATAATTTCTTCCCTCAAATATCTGTAATTGGCCTTAACTGCTTTTACAGCTCATTGACATTATGTCATAGGTGGCCAACTCGTGGCCAAATTCAAAATCAAGAAGGGCAGGCTTGACTTACTAAGCTACATGTTATCACATGGATATGCTTTAGATAAGGTTAGTGGTGGGATATGTACTCACCATCTAACCTCTTTTGCTCCTTTTACTTTTCATAGCACTTTTCCATCCTAAAAGTAAACCCCTGAGCTAGCTTCACAGTTGTTTTGATTCGGGAATTCCTTGAATATGCCAGCCATTGGCGCTGAAGCCCAGCAGTAAGTGCCCCTCAGTATATAGTTCCAGTACAGTTGGCAGCCATTGTGCGGGGGCAGGAAGGAGGTCTTGGATGTTGGGTCGGTATTGCTGGGGTAGCCTCATGGTCCTCAGGCTTCTGAGCCAAGAGAGACGTTATGGGGAAACCAAAAAGGAATGGGACCCAAAGTTGGGCTGGCAGGGGCACCAGACCTCTTTAGTTCCTACCATTTGCCAGATAGATATGCTGTGATTAATTATTATCATGAAAACATCAGCCTCATAGCAGCCATTGTCTCTTGTTTTTGCTATCCCATCAGCATTAAGGGAAAATGAATGGGGGAGTTCATAGTTTAGACATCTTCAATTTTACTAAATCATTTTTTGTTCTCTTTATAAATGAAACTTTTTGAATAATTTAAAAATTTCTGCCATCTATGATCCTGGTAACGTAAAATACATGGTTAAATATTATTTTCGTTTGATGATATCTAATATCATGTCCTGATTTTAAAAGGATTAGGTGCAAAACTTAAGTATTCTCAATTATTTCCATTTATTCATTTATTAATAAACTTTATTTGGTATAGGTAAAATTTTAGTAAATCATGGATTTAATATTCTTTCACAATATTCTGTTACAACCAGTTTAGATTGTATATTTAAAAAATCCAGATTATAGAGTAACACAGAGGTATTTTGGTTAGATATACTTTCACTGTTGTGTTTTTTTGAAAATCTAATGATTTTGGAATTTATGATCTGTAGAAAACTTGCTTTAATTTCAATTTTATTAGAAAATTCACAATAATAATAAAGCTAGCTCAGCTAGGAAGTTGCTGAGAAAAGTAATTTTGAAAACACTTTAGGTTTTTCAAGGGCAAAATCTAAATTATAAGGAGATCTAGATTGTATGACAAAGTTTGTATCCAAGAAATAGAGGATTTGAATTAGTGATGATTGATGATCATTCATTTATTCTTGTATTACACTAAAACATTTTATATAAATGGTGTTTTTAAGTGTTGGGTTTGAGAGTTCCATTAGATTTTTTATTTCATATTAGAAGAAAGATTAACGTACTAAGAAACTATTTTCATTTCCATGTACATGTTTTTTCTTTTACTTTTTATATGAGAACAAATTTCTCTGGTTGATAAAGACAAATGTCTGTGCTGCTTACATCATCTTTTCTTGTTATGGTTTGTTACCAGTTTCATTTTAAACTGAATATTATCCTACCACTGAAATAAATTTTAAAATGTATCAAAAACTTAATTCTGCATTTTGACTAAATGAAAAATATATTAATTATCAAACTTCATGTGTATTTTGGGGCAATATCATGTATGATTGAGGTTTTTTGTATGCTATGGCTGGAGTGTGAAGATTTTGGTTTCTATTATATTTCTGAAAATATCTCTAGGACAGAGAAACCATGTGTAAGATAGTAGATATTCAAGTGAAATGTCTTTTAAATTCAATTCAAAATCCAGGAAGTTATTATTTAGGATCTACTCTAAAACCGAGACGTTACTCTTATGATACATTCCCCTCCCTTACTTTTCATGCCCAATTGATAGCCAAACCCTGCTAGCTTACCTCTTAGATGTGTTGAAAACCCATGTACTTCTCTTCTCCTTTATCCTCCTGTTAGTTTAAGCTACCATTACCTGTTTTCTCAACGACTGTACTAATTGCCTAACTAGCTCCCTGAGTCAATTTTTGGTCTTCTCCAGTCTGCCCTCCATATTGCCACCAAAGTAGTCTTTGTAGTCACCACATCTGATTTATCACTCTCAATTTCTCATGATGTTCATAGGTTAAAGGCCACAATCTTTAGAAAACGCTTCAGAGCCCCTTCTACCTCTCAGCTTTATAAGACCATAGCAGCATGCAGCAAGGGCTTTTTGCGTGTTTGCTTGCTGTTGTATCTCTGATGAGAAAATTCATAAGGACGTGGCTTTAAAACCATCAGAAGTTTTCAAGGATTGATTTTTATCCTTACCTCTAGGATGTGGTAGATATATTTATTTACATACATGACTATTTTGTTTTAAAGGTGGCAGTTCTCATTCCTTTCCGTAATCGCCATGAACATCTTCCAATTTTTTTCTTACATCTGATTCCAATGCTCCAGAAGCAGCGGCTGGAATTTGCGTTTTATGTCATTGAACAGGTGAGAATACTTTTCATAGTGGTCACTAAGTATACTAGAATCTAAACTCTTAGATATGGTTAGATTAAACATATTTAGGATTAATAAGGTAAGTCTGATTCTTAGTTTAGTTTTTTTGAGACAGAGTCTTGCTGTGTTGCCCAGGCTGGAATGCAGTGGCGCGATCTCGGCTCACTGCAAGCTCCGCCCCCCAGGTTCACGCCATTCTCCTGCCTCAGCCTCCCAAGTAGCTGGGACTACAGGCACCCGCCACCACGCCCGGCTAATTTTTTATATTTTTAGTAGATACAGGGTTTCACCGTGTTAGCCAGGATGGTCTTGATCTCCTGATCTCGTGATCCACCCCCCTCGGCCTCCTAAAGTGCTAGGATTACAGGTATGAGCCACTGTGCCCGGCCAAATTCTTAGTTTTATACTTGGGTGAAATTACATTTTGGATTGGGCCCATATATTTCTTTTATAATAATTGTAATTTGGTCAAATGACTTAATCAGCAATCATGTTTCACTTTAGTATGACAGCCTCGTTATATTTTAATGATATTCTAAATATAGGATTGTCAATCTATGGTTTTTAAAATAACTGTACAGCTTATATTTACCTTACAGGATTAAATGTGTCTTTGGCTTATAGTATTATTACTTTTTATGTTTTCATTAGGCTTATGATGTTTATTTTTGAAAACCTCTGTAAAGTTTCATTTAATTGAGAAACTGTTTATTTTCTAATTTAGGCTACTTGGCAGCATTTAGACTCATGTACAGACATCTGGACTCATAACTGGTACAACTCAAAGTTCTTTTCTAAATTATACCAAAGCACCGTACAGTTACCTTGGTTATATTCGCAGTGTTTAATTTGAAAAAACATTTCAGTTTATGACCCATGAATTTAACTACAGAAAAGGAAGGAAAGTTTTTTTCTTTTTTTAACACAACAGCAAAGCATAGTTAATTCTCGATTGAGGATTTCTTTGTACTGTGGGGTAGTTGCTGGCTATCCCTGAAAATCAATATTGGATTAACTTTATTAGGTAATCAGAGACACCTGAATGACAGCCAGTTAGTAAACCTAAAAACAAAAAGTAGTATACATTAAACATTTTCTGTCCTGTTTTCAGTTTTTCATTTTCAAAGTCATCTTTCTTGGTAGAGGAACCTTGACTGTTTTTGTTGTAGGATATAGACCCAGCTCTACAGTTGGTAAGTAAATATGCATCCATTGAACTGACAGGTCAAAAAAAAAAAAAAAAAGCATACATTGCATGGAAGACTAAACTATGTGATGCCCAAGATCCCTTCCAAATTTGAGATTCTATGATTCTTTTAGAAGAGAGAACCAGGTGGAGAATGGAATTTTAAAATATTGTCAAAAAAGCTTATTCGTTTTGTTTCTGAACAGATGCTATCAAAGCTGAATAAATCATAATTCTTTAACATAGTTAATTTAAATAGAGTTGAAATGACCTTGACTTACTTTTTGTAGTCTTTGTTTAAAGGCTATAAAGTGTAAATATAAAGAATTTGGCCTGGCATGGTGGCTCACACCTGTAATCCCAGCACTTTGGGAGGCTGATGTGGGTGGATCACATGGTCAGGAGTTCAAGACCAGCCTGGCCAAGATGGTGAAACCTCGTCTCTACTAAAAATACAAAAATTAGCCGGGCATGGTGGCAGGCACCTGTAATCCCAGCTACTTGGGAAGCTGAGGCAGGGAAGTGCTTGAACCTGGGAGATGGAGGTTGCAGTGAGCCAAGATTGCGCCACTGCGCTTCAGCCTGGGCGGCAGAGCGAGACTGTATCTCAAAAAATAAAAATAAAAATAAAAATAAATTGAAAAAAAGAATTTAATTTTCTACATTATTTCTAAACATGGATAGAGTGATGTTTTGGAAACCTAAAAAAGATCTGATAACACTTAAAGACCAGTTCTCCATAGCAGCTTGTATCACTTTTGGTATTGTCACCTCATATTTAAGTGTATGTGATAGATGGTAATTTTCTGTTAATGTATACTGACCTTTCCAATTGCTTTACATCATTGCCAGCACTTGGTATGGTTTGTCTTTTTAATTTTAGCCATTTAGTGGGTCTGTGGTAGTATCTTATTTCCCTGATGATTAATGTTGATGATCTTTTCATGCACTTATTTGCTTCCCACATACCTTCTATGGTGAAGTTTCTGTTCAGATCTTTTTCTCATATTTTAATTGGGTTGTCTTTGTTTTTACTGAGTTGTAAGAATTATTTATGTATTTTAAATACAAGTCTTTTGTAAGACATAAGTTTTGCAAATATAGTCTATGGCTTGCCTTTTTATTCTTTTGACTGTTTTTTGAAAAGTTTTAAATTTTGATGAAGTCCAATGTATTGATTTTTGTTTTTATAGCTTGGGCTTTTTGTATTATATTTGAGAAATTGTTCTGTATGATTTTCTCTTTCTTCCAGAAACTTAATAGTTTTAGCTCTTACACTTAGGCTAATCATTGAGTTAATCTTTAGATATGATATGAGCTAAGAGTGAAGTTTCGTTTAGTTGTTTCATCACCACTTGTTGCAAAGACTGTTTTCGCCATTGAATTGCTTTAGCATCTTTGTTGAAAATCACTTAATATATACACGTCATATGTATGCAGGTCTTTTTCTGGTCTCTGTGTTCCATTGACTCTGCTTGTCAGTTTCTACTAAAAGGTCTGCTAGGCTTTATTTCCTTAGTTTTGAATAGGTAAGTAACAGTATAAATGATAGACAAAGTTACCTGGCTTGTATTATTAGATACTTTTATCTTCTCTCTTTTGGTAGAAAATACTCAAAAAAGTTTTTTTTTGAGACAGAGTCTGCCTCTGTCGCCCAGGCTGGAGTGCGATAGCACGATCTCAGCTCACTGCAACTTCTGCCTCCCAGGTTCAAGCGATTCTCCTGTCTCAGCCTCTCGAGTAGCTGGAATTACAGGCACCCACCATCATGCCTGGCTTATTTTTGGAAAATACTCAAATTTTTATTCCTAAAATGGTTATAGTTTCTCCAGTTCCTTTATTCTAAATCTGCCTTTTTGTTTTGTTTTGTTTTTTGTTTTGTTTCTCACTCTCAGCTTTTTACCTCTGCTTTTTCTCCGTGGAAATGCTTGGTATTTAATATAACATACCATACTTCTGTGTGTATAAATCATTCTTTAAGTTTTGTGCCTTATGTACTTTTTAATGTAACAATCTGTACTGTGAAATCTGACTTGTTTTACCTAACAAGTGGAAATTCTCATCTACTTTCATGGAGCTGTAGTTGTAGATTTCTAGATCAGTTTTACTGATCTAGGAAAGTGCTAGTTTCCTTTGTGTAAACTTCAATTCCCCATAATGTGTGGAGAGGTGAGAGAGCTGTCTCTGGTTTTTTTTTTTTTTGTTTGTTTGTTTGTTTTGTGATGGAGTCTCGCTCTGTCGCCAGGCTGGAGTGCAGTGGCGTGATCTCGGCTCACTGCAACCTCTGCCTCCTGGGTTCAAGTGATTCTCGTGCCTCAGCCTCCCGAGTAACTGGGATTACAGGCATGTGCCACCACACCCAGCTAATTTTTGTATTTTTAGTAGAGACAGGGTTGGCCAGGATGGTCTCGATCTCCTGACCTTGTGATCCACCCTCCTCGGCCTCCCAAAGTGCTGGGACTACAGGCATGAGTCACTGCAGCCTGTCTCTGTTTTTAAAGGCATATGGTCCTGAGAATTCAGCACCAGTTATTTGGTGTATGTGATGAAACAATCTTTGCAAGGCAACTAAGGTCTGCGTTTTTATTTTCAAACCTTTTAAGTCTTAATCTCAGGCTTGATCAATATTAATTCAGGACTGTGTATTTGATAGAGTGAGATTTTGAGCTAGAAACATCTTCACCATATTTGAAATAGAAAAGTAATTTTTCTGCTAGACAGGTACCCAGGGAGTGCTAAGCAGTTGAAGAGCAGCTCAGGAATTCTAGTTAAATATAGAGGATGGACATGGGTTCACTGCTTCTTTCCAAACTCCTAAAATGAGAGTGAAAGAAGAAAACTTTTGAAAAGTTATTAAACCTCAAGGACAGAAAGTCGTGGGTGAGAGATTTTCACACGTTTCGGTTAAGTCAGGAAGCAGATGGAGTGCTGATGCCTAGCAGAACAGAGGATGTGCAAACCCACATGCTTGTAGAGGGTGATGTGACAAGACTAGAGTCAATTTGCTGGACACACCTCTGTCTCAGTGCTGTCACAGAAGGTAGGCTGAAGCACTGCACTAAAGTAAGGAGATTGTTTAAAAGTTTGACTACAAAACAGCCACATTCCCAGTTGCTCATCTTTACTTGTACTGCCAGGTCATTACTCTGTTGTATCTTGTAGAAACTTTTTCCAGTTTATCCTGTGGAAAAAGTGTAGCAGGAAGCTGCTGAGAGTGCTGACGCACCTGTGTGGTAGGGCATAAAACCGGGGGGTTGAGTAAATCTGCATGCTGACCCTAGGGACCCCAGGCCTTTCCCCGTCTGGCCTTTTGAAGCCAACAGCCAGGTGTGAATCTCCCCACCCCTCCAGCTGTGGCAGGGCATAGTGGTGTCTTCGCTAGAGAAATGAATTATCTCCAGGAAAAAGAGTCCAGATCTGATATTTGAAGGTCTCCAAAAGAAAAGGCCAGCCTGTCACTTTATCAGGTCCCTGCAGCCCGGTTTCATTTATTCAACAAAAGGGATGTGGCAGTGAACAAACCAGACAAGTCCCCTTCTTTTGCTGGCCCAGAAGGACCGGCAGTAGTAAATCATTCTGCAGTGTCTCCATGGCACTCAGGGTAGAGAGTGGTAAGGGCAGGTAGTGGTGCTCTTTTCTGCAGAGCATTTGGGGAAGGCCTCTCTGGGGAGGTGAGATCAGAGCATCCTGGAATGATGTAAAGGAGCACGCCATGCTGTTGTAGAGGCTGTGCACTCTGGAGAAGGCAGGAGAATACTTGGTGTGTTTGAGCAAAGAGGTCGATGTTGCCAGAGCAGCCGGCTGAGGAACATTCTGGGGAGGAAATCAGAGAAGCAAATAAGGAAGTGCAGGGTGAGGGCTTGGATTATCCTGTGTTAGGTAGATTAAGTCACTCTTCTACATAAAACCTTCAGATGACACTGGATAAAGTGATGTTTTAGAAACCGAAAGAAGGTCTGATAACACTTGAAGACCAGTTCTCCATGCCAGCTTGTACCACTTTTGGTATTGTTACCTCATATTTCACATTTAAATGTATGTGATAGGTGGTAGTTTTATATTAATGTATGCTGACCTAATGTAAGTCTCTCCTCCGCTTAAAACCCCCCACTGCCTTCTGGAGGTTCTTAAGTAGAGGAGCAACTTTATCGCTGGTGTGTTCCTCTCGACGTCCACCTGCTTGTGTCTCTTCCTGCCAGGATCTCAGGGCTTTCATAGGCAAAGGATGAGGGATACTGGGAATTCTAGGAAAAATGACCAATGATTATGAATCAGAAACCTATGAACATTCTCAGCAATACTGGGAAATTTTTTTTTCCTGGAATTTTTTACCCAGCCAAATTGACAAATGTGAGAGTAGACTAATGGCATTTTCAGTCCTTAATTGGCTAAAAGTGTATTCTCCATGGGTCTTTACTTAGCAAGCTCTTGAAGAATGTGCCTCAGGAAATTGAGAAAGCCAAGGAAAAGGCGTAGGTGATTTAGGGAATGAAGACGACCCAGGTGATATGCACACATGGTCTGGAGAGGGCAAGGGAGAGTTGGGCTTGAGAGATGGAGAAAGAATTGATAGATGATTTGATGTGTTTGAATGATTACATCAATTATTAATAGGTGTAGGGCATATTTCTTGGGCCTTCAGTACAAAGTAATAATATAATAGTTATATAGAAAACTGTAGTTATTCCCAGTTTGCAAAAGAAAACAGTTCACTCAGCACTGAAGAAATATTAAATATTTACATAGTCCTAATAATGTAAAGTCTTGATTTAACCAAAAATTATGATAAAACTATATTGGGAGAATAGAGGTAGGGGCAGGAGGTGTGGTGGTTTAACTCCTCCACTACCATGATAAGAAGTCAAGAGACAGTGTCTTAAAGTGAAAGAAGCAAGAAATATCAGAACTCTCATTTCCTCAAAATATGTAGATAAATACCGGAATAAATGGGAAGAGTTGAAATGTATTGCTCTTGGATGGAGATGGATTAGATATGGAACTTCTTATTTCTTTTATAAGCCTTTGAGTATTATGTCCACATTTAATAAAACATTTAATAAAAACAATTTTTAAAACCTTAAAAGTAGTTTGTTAAAGCTGATGTTGATGTACTAGTCATAACATTATAATTTAACTCCCTTTTCTTTTTATTTTATTTCACTGGTGAAAAAAGAGGCTGTAAAAAATAAAATGACTTCTATTACCTCAAGTTAGTGCAAGGCCTAGGACTAAAAATTAGTAATTTTTCACTCTTGAGGCAGTGCTCTGATGATGACTACAATGTGTGTCTCATTTACTTCTATCGTAATCCTTTTTTTAATATATTTTAGAAATGGTTTTGTTAAATGTTGCTAAAACACTGGTAAATGCTCTTTAATTTTCTTTATATGCAGAATGAAGGTTTTTTATTGCCAGTGCACCTTAATATATGTTCACTGATAAATAAAGGAAAATGGTTATAATATAGGGAGTTGGGTTCTGTGTAATAAAATTGTATTTTTTGTCCCTTAAAAATGCCCTTAATCTTTATCATAAGCAATAATAGAAACTATTGCCCATGTACTTTAATGTATTTTCTGTAATAATAAAGGAAAATGGTTGTAATAAAGGAAGTTGGGCTTTGTGTAGTAAGTTCCAATTGTTTTTTGTCTAAAATGTTCTTGGTATTTATTATAAGCATTAATAATAGAAAGTTAGACCTCCTTGGTATTGGTACTTTAGAGAAGGGTCACTGTTGAGTCACTTCCAGTTTCCTCTTCTCTTAGTCTTGACAGCATATGGAAAGCTCCACTAACAAAATAAAACTTATATTATTTTTAATGACTTTTTTTTTCTCGCCACAAGTAATCTATATCCTGATGTATTTGAAGTAGAGCAGAAATACAAATTATTTAAATGTGCTGATGTACCAATGGACTAGATACTGTTTTCTTCTATGTTATTAAATTATAAAATAATATAGTAAGTAAATTTAAACAGTGTATTTGAAAATCCTGAAGTATATTTATTATTTGTCTATTTCATTTGGGTCTAATTATTGTAATCATTTGATCATGATGCAACAAGTTTGAAAAATAATAGAAAAAAGTCAGATGGGGGCCGGGCGCGGTGGCTCACACCTGCAATCCCAGCACCTTGGGAGGCTGAGGTGGGTGGATCACGAGGTCAGTAGTTCGAGACCAGCCTGGCCAACATGGTGAAACCCCATCTCTACTAAAAATACCAAAAAAAAGAAAAAAAAAAAAAAAGATGATGAAGTGTGAGTACATTTCTATTTTTTTCTCTCGGTCTGCTCCATGAAGACTGGCACACAACCTTTTAACCGTGCGATGCTTTTCAATGTGGGCTTCAAAGAGGCCATGAAAGACAGTGTCTGGGACTGTGTAATCTTCCACGATGTGGATCATCTACCTGAAAATGACCGGAACTATTACGGATGTGGAGAAATGCCACGTCATTTTGCTGCAAAGCTGGATAAATACATGTATATGTAAGTAGTGTGCACTATTCCTGATATTGTACGATATAATTGCACAGTCATAGCATTGAAATGGTAGCAGCGTTATGTCCCTAAATCTGAGAGAACTCAAGAACCCCAAGAATATCATCTTTAACTCCATCGTGTCCTCCTGGGGAGCCAGGACACAGAGTGGCTTTTCGTTCCCCTGGGTGCTTCCTTACACAGAGGTTTGAATGTGGTGTGGTGGGAAAGAGAGCCTGGTTTCTGTGGTCAAGCACACACAGATTTAAACTTGGGTTCTCACACTTACAGTTCCAGGACTTATAGGTTAGTCACTTGCATCTCTGAAGGTGTATTCCTTGTTCACTGGGATAATAGATTCCATCCATAGAGCTGCTGTGAGATCACATGTGCTCTGTGCCTGCTGTGTGGTAGGTGCATAACTCATCTTGACTCCTGCCTGCTCTCCCCCAGTGATGGTTTGGAGGGCCACAAAGCCCTCTCTTCTGCTGTTTATCTTCTTCCTAAGGTGTGCATTCTTGACCTGCCCTTTAATAATAAAAAAAAAAAACCCAAATCTTTTCCTTCTCTAATTGGAGATAATTTAAAATGAACAGTTATCAGAGCTGAGATAGTAACTTAAAAGGACATGAAAGAATGCAAGTCTAATATGGGAAAAGGATCACAGTTTTCATTGGCCTAATGGGAGTAGAGAGAAAATCTGTTTGTTGCTTAGGGCAGGAAGATGTTGCCTGTGTCACAGTTTTGCCTGGTGCTAATCTAGAGTACAGAGAAGCAAAAAGTCTGACACAAGCAGGAAAAGAATGCTTGTTTCTTTCTTCTTCTTCCTCTTCCTCCTCCCCACTCCTCCTCCCCACTCCCGCTCCCCTCCTTCCCCCTCCCCGCTTCCGCTCCCCTTCTTCCCCCTCCCCCCTTCTTCCTCTTCCTTCCTTCCTTCCTGCTTCTCCTTCTCCACCTCATCCTTCTCCTCCTCCTTCCTTTTTTTTTGCTGGTCATTGTTATCATTAGAAAACCTTTTTCTTTATTACCTCTGTATCTGAACTTTGAGTATGGGGTTACCTTGAAGAAGGCCATCAAGGTTCACAATCTGGTTCTCTTTTTCTTTTTTTTTTTTTTTTGAGACAGAGTCTCGCTTTGTCGCCCATGCTGGAGTGCAGTGGTGCGATCTCGGCTCACTGCAAGCTCTGCCTCCCGGGTTCACGCCATTCTCCTGCCTCAGCTTCCCGAGTAGCTGGGACTACAGGCGCCTGCCACCACGCCTGGCTAATTTTTTTGTATTTTTAGTAGAGACGGGGTTTCACTGTGTTAGCCAAGATAGTCTTGATCTCCTGACCTTGTGATCCACCCGCCTCGGCCTCCCAAAGTGCTGGGATTACAGGCATGAGCCACCGTGCCCGGCAACAATCTGGTTCTTACCACTTCTGGAAACTTGATTTCAGTCAGTTTGCTAGAATCACATTAGATCCAGGGTAACCGATTTTCACAAAAAAAAAAAAAAAAAAAAAAAAAAAAAAAAAAAATCATAAAGGGCATATAAACTAAGAATTCTAAATTAATTTATTGTTAAATTCTAAATGAATTTGTTGTCTAAATAATTTGTTGTTAACTTGAAAATATCAATTTCTAATAAAATACAGTTGACCCTTGAGTAATGCAGGGGTTACAGTGGTGACCACCTCCCCCAGCCACCGGAATGCAGTTGAAAATCTAGTATAACTTTTGACTCCCCAAAAGCTTAACTACTAATAGCCTACTGTTAGCCAAAAGCCTTACCAATAATATAAACAATTGAGTAACACATATTTTGTATGTTATATGTATTGTATACCATATTCTTACCATAAAGTAAGCTAGAGAAAAGATGTTATTAAGAAAATCATAAGGGAGGGAAAATATATTTACTGTCCATTAAGTGGAAGTGGATCATCCTGAAGGTCTTCATCCTCATCGTCCTCACGTGGAGTAGGCTAAGGAAGAGGAGGGATTGGTCTTGGGGTCTCAAGGGTGGCAAGGTGAAAGAATTGAAGATGGAAAAGGAGGCAGGAGAGGCACATTCTATGTAACTTTTATTGAAAAAGAAATTGTATATCAGTGGACTTGTGCAGCTCAAACCTGTGTTGTTCAAGCGTCAGCTGTATTCATATCCATCTAGACTAGTCCCTGGATTGGTTAGGCATCTTGGACGTTTGTAGAGAAATTAGAATGTAGCTCTAGGAGAATGGCAGTAGATCAAGGCCTGGTCTGGGCAGTGCATAGACTTCAGCTGTGGGATGAAGCCTGGTGAAGCGTCCCTGCCCCACAGTGATGGCCACACTACTGCTGACCAGAGAACTCAGACTCTCAGGTGTAGTGTCTCTCCCACTTTTACAGTGTAAGATAAACACTGCAAGAGTTTGACTTGTTGGGTTTTGTTTTCTCTTCTTTAGTTTATCTGTTATACCTTCATTTTACCTAATAACTTTCCATTATTCATATAGCACAATTGATTATTTCCACTTAGAGCAATAAATGGAATTGATAGGCTTGCTGATTTATACATGTCAATAAGCACACAGACACATTTATTCATGTTTCCCTATCTGACGATCTCAGGTTTTTCCTAAACTACTAGCCTGGGCAAGAATAATCCATCTGATGTGGGAAGTACACGGTGCCAAGAATGCTTATTGGCCCTGTGGAACCCCCAGCTAGTCTTACTGTAATACCAGAACACTAAGCTCCCAAGTGTGAGCCTTGAGAGGTCTCAGGAGAGTATGGTTGTCTTTAGGATCAGTGTTGCTGTTACCATCTTGGAGTACCTTTGACCTAGGATGAGGGCAAGACTGCTTTCTCCTACAACCCTAGGCTTCCATGAAAGAACCAGTCTTCCCTGGTCTGTGTGCCACACAAGACCCCAGCTGGCAAACAGCACGTCCTTCTCAGAATGTGAGGCGAGTGTCTAACAAAAAGTTCCCTCCTCTGAGACAGCTTTGCTGTGGTTGCAGCCAGGTTTCCCTCAGCTTGATTTTTGGGTGCTGTGCATGGTCACGTTTTCTCTGCTCTGGCATCTGCTCCCCAGGGGCGTGTTTCAGTCCATGGGAATATATTCAGGATTGCAGGTCTAGGGATGCTGCCTAAATGTCAGAAAGCCAATCTATACCTAAACACACAGTTTAGCTAAGTAAAAATATAGTTTAGAAAAGTTTAAAAACATTGCATCGTTTGACACATTCCTTGGAGTATGAGTTAGGAAAGGGTAAGGAAAATAAAATCCAAACAAAAATAGTTATTTCTGTAAATATCAATGCATTGAAAATGAATATATTTGTAAATATCCATGAATATTTTGAGAGTATAATTCCAACAGATAAGATCATTATAAAAGTAGGTAGCTAGACAATTAAATGCTAGAATTGTCTTTTGTAATTGATATTTATCCTGCTCTATATAATAAATAATGCGTTTATAATTCAGTTAATTTTTTCAGTGTTACTAGTTTAGGAACATCTGACATGCATTGACCATTATAAATATATTTAATCATGTTTACTTTTGCTGTGAAAATATACAATTTGGGGGCACTGGGTTTTGAGCCTTACAGATTTTATTTTGAGTCTTATTTGTATACTAAATATTAAATTTAGGTTTCCATAAGTGCTTTACATTTAACATAACACATGTACATGTACTTGTTTCACTAGAATATAAAAATGTTTTATGTCTTGGTGTACTTTACATTTTCTAACATAATTGTCTATATAGAATATAAGGGCATATTTTGCAAAGCACATAAAAGGCTGAAACCTTCATTTCACATGGGAAATTATTATGATTTTATTTTTAGAATACTGTGTCTTTCTTTTCTAGTCTTCCATATAAAGAATTTTTTGGTGGTGTAAGTGGGCTGACAGTGGAACAATTTAGAAAGATCAATGGTTTTCCTAATGCCTTCTGGGGATGGGGAGGAGAAGATGATGACCTTTGGAACAGGTATGTTGAGGTACAAATTGTTCACTAATAGAATTTTTATAAATCTTATTTATATTAGGTAAATTGTAGTACTTATCCATTCCAAGAACATTCTTTGGGATGGGATATGTTTGAGGTTTCTAAACCCTGTTTTATATTTCTCTTTTTTTTTCATTAAGTCTGCTTTCTGAAATTATTGGCAGCATATAATTAGAGCAGCGGTCCCCAACTTTTTTGGCACCAGGGACCAGTCTCCTGGAAGATAATTTTTCCAAGGACCCAGGAGGATGGTTTCGGGAGGAAACCATTCCACCTCAGATCATCAGGCATTAGATTCTCATAAGGAGCATACAACCTAGATCCCTCACATGTGCAGTTTACAATAGGGTTTGTGTTCCTCTGAAAATCTAATGCCATTCGCTGATCCGACAGGAGGTGGAGCTCAAGCAGTAATGATCGCTCACCTCCTGCTGTGCGGCCCAGTTTTTAACAGGCCATGGACCTATACTGGTTTGTGGCCCAGGGGTTGGGGAACCCTGGATTAGAGCATTCTTTTGTGTTTTAAAATTGAACTCACATAACCCATTTTCATATTTTATTTCTCTATATTTTCATTTCCATATATGGCATTGTAGAGTTCACTATGCTGGATATAATGTAACCAGACCAGAGGGAGACTTAGGAAAATACAAGTCAATTCCTCATCACCATAGAGGTGAAGTCCAGTTTTTAGGACGGTAAGTTGAATGTCATCTTCAGATACCAAGGTTTCCAAAGCTGTTGAATAAATGAAAGGTAAATAAAAATGCATTGAACCCCAAAAAAGCTGCTGAAGGGAATTTTCATAATGGAAGGGAAGTATTTTTTGCTGAAGGGAATCTTTACAAAAGGAAGCATTTTTGATGCTTGTTTTTAAGAGATATACGTATATATACATTAATAAATACACATATTTACGTTAAAGAGCCCGGTTAACTATTTATGTAAAAGTATTTACGTAACATAAAGCATAATGTTTTATTTATTAAAGATGTCTAATTGTAAAAGTGCAAAATAATTTTTTCAGGTGGCATTTCTTGAGTAGTAAAATTGCTAATTTAGAATAATGGTTTAGAGATTCTTAAATTATGCACAAGAACCAGAAATTGTAAAGGGCATTAAGTGCTTTAATTATAAGATGACCTTGAACACAGTCCTTATCAGTTTTCCTTTTTGAACATGTTTTGTTGCTTTTTTGTTTTTTCCTCTAAAACTATAGGTATAAATTACTAAGGTATTCCAAGGAGCGTCAGTACATCGATGGACTGAACAATTTAATATATAGGCCAAAAATACTGGTTGATAGGTTGTATACAAACATATCTGTAAACCTCATGCCAGAGTTAGCTCCAATCGAAGACTATTAAAAGAAGTGGCTGTCGTGGCAAGGTAGACCACAATGCTGGATCATAAACTTGGAGCGCGCTCTTAGTGGAGGTCAGTGATTGGCTGTGTCACAGTGCCCTTTTCTCTGAGAAGAGCCAGCAGTCCACAGTGTTTACAGAGTGGGACTATATACAGTCACCCTTCTCTCACCCGTCCTCCCTGCTCTGAGACACACCCCTGTGGCGAGCACCGCAGAAACGGGAAGCCACTACTTAAGATCGGAAGTTAAGAGAGCTCCCTCCGAAGAGAAAATTTTTATACTAAAATCTATAATTTAATTCAAGAGAATGCTTTTATTTCCGTTTAAACATATTTTGTATATATGTGATATAAATTAATGTGTGCAAATTGTTTAAAAATTAGATGTGTTGCAGTTTTGCATGTAATCGGTTATACCTTTATTGGACTTTTATAGACATTTTTTATTTGCATGAAAAAAACTCACTAAATTTACATCACTAAACAAAGGTTAACCCTTGTGTGAAATGAAGGAACTGTCAATAATTGACAGCCAACTAATACAGTAAACTGTTATACTAGTTTTGAGCTTTAGACCTCAGCCTTTTGTGTGGAAGAAGTCACAGCTTTCTTAGGCTTTAAAGGAAAAGAAGGAAGGACTTAAATAGCTTTTCTTCCTACCGGGATTACCTATGTTTTTCCTTGCTTGCAATCTCATCTGATTTTGCTAGAAATCACAACCATATTGTTTATGCATATTGCATGAGTATTACCAAGAAAAATCTTAAAAGTTGTGATGTGACATGATATAAAGGATCTCTTTATGTTAAATGTCTTTCCATGTACCTCTGGTGTGTCAGGGATTTTGTGCCTCAAAAAATGTTTCCAAGGTTGTGTGTTTATACTGTGTATTTTTTTTAAATTCACGGTGAACAGCACTTTTATTATTTCCAGTTCAGAAGAGCCAAAAAAAAGTATCTTCATTTAAAAAGAAATCAAGTCAGTTTTTTTAAAAGAATGATCTATGGAAGAAAACCCAATAGTACTTATAATATACAAATGAATTATACTATTAGATAAGAATTAAATATTCTATTTTTATAAAGATAAATACTTAGTAGATAAAAACAAATTTTAAGTTTAGTTTTCAGACATAGAATTTCACTTTTGGAGGGGACCCTTGAATGTTAGTTTCATTCAAACTATATTTTGTTTTTTTCACTTTTAAGAGATTATATCTCTGGTGTTAATTACTAAAATTTTCTTTCTAAAAGTATAATTTAATAGAATTATCTTAAAATACATGATCAGTATTCAGTGCGCTGATATTATAATGTCTTCTATATGTAGTATCTAAAAGCATAATTTAATAGCATTGTCTTAAAATACGTGATGAGTTATTTGGTGCACTGATGCCATAATGTCTTCTATATGTAATATCTTACATGTTTGCATGAGTGTCAGGGCTTTGTCCAGTTATCTTCATATGACTGTTCTCTGAAAAAAGGTCTTACTACCTGATATCAAGTACATATCTTAATTTTGGATGAATTTTTCCACAGTAAAGCCGAACAGTATTCTTTTTTGAAAATTAGCAATTATAAAGATTGTTTAAAATATCTTGATATTTTCACAAATTTTAAACAAAAAATTAAATATCTATAAAGTGAATGTTCAACAACAATGATGAGCAATAGAAATCTATATATGAGAAACGTTTGGATAATATTTGCCTCAAGGATTGTTTACCTAAAACAGAACTATGGTTATTTATCTCAGATTGTAAGTTTTATTTTGAAGTGTCATTTTTATGGCAATATTGATAACACAAATGACCACAAACTAAATCATAAAATAATTGAATCCTTACACTTTGAGAAAATGGATAGCTTCTGTGTTATGATACCAAACAAAATATTTTCATATTTATTTCTTAGAACTATTTCCAAAATATTTATATTTCAGTTTTTTTATGGTACTCGAAAAATCAAACCTTCTGAAAATTATGATATTTGTACTTCATTTGTGTATTAGTTCATTTTCTGTTTCTATTACATAGTTTTTAAAGTCAATGAAAGAGATTGAGAATGTTAACATTTGTTGATCAATGTGGAGCTGTCCACATTCGGTATCTTTTCATTTTTATATATATTTTACAGTTTCAAGAAAACTTAGTACTACTAGTATCTGCCTTATTTTCTTAAGTCTGATGTTAATTTTTGTTTCAGGAGTGAGATATAAACATTTTGCTTTTTTTCAGTTTTGAAATATAGTTTGTCATCCTGTGAAAACCACCTCGTTTGCTTTTTGTTTGTTTGTTTTGCTTTTTTAGTGTAGACCTAAAATTATTTTTGCCTATAAACAGTGAACTTAATATGTTTCTGTGAGAGTGACAGAGCTGTGCCCGTTTATCTTCATTGTATTAATTATTACATAAAGATTAACAAATACATTGCAAATGCAAATTATAGGATGTTTGGAGGATTTATTAATGAGCATGTATTGATTGCCTATTCCATATCCAGTGCAATGCTAGGTATGTCTATGGAAGGAGTATTATTACTTCATTTCTAAACAAATGAAGTCAAGCAAATTGAGATCTTTCTGAAATTATGAAGACATCTTCTGATAACTTATCTGTTGTATTTCCTAGTCTCAAAGTCAAGAAACCCGTATATGTGGACCTAGGGCTAATAGGAGGTCCCTATGGCACTAACTGGGAAAATTACATGGTGCTTTTCAACTACAGAAAGAAGTAATGACTAATGGGCCTGTCTGTAGAGAAGAAAAGGAGAAGAGTACACATTTGCTGGAACTATATATAATTCACAGTGGAGATAGTTAATTCTTTGCTAAAACTAGGGTTTTATGAGTATTTTTTAAATCTACATTTAAGTTTTTGTTTTTGTGAAAAGTTATTCAGTAAGAAAACTTTATAATATTAAGTAGATACAGTTATGTATTAAAAATTTCCTTATATACCCTTTTGCCAGCCAAGATACTGATATTTTAAAACAAAATGGAAAAATGTCCAATACAATATTCTCTTTCTGGAGGCTTCCTACAAGTGAAAGCAGATTTTGTCATTTTATTTGGCCTTTGCTTGTCTTTGATATATTTCTTTATGTGTTTTTCAAATACATACTGTTGTAGATTTATTGTCTTGTATTTGCAAGTATGCCGGTTGAGAGAACTAAAATGGTTATAGTATTGTTTATCAGAAAGAGGAAGTGTACTTAAGATTATTTTATTTATTTAGATGAAAGGCTTCTACATAAATGCACTGAAATAAATGCTAGTAATTTCTTGTATCCCACTTCTTTTTTTGCTTCTCATGGAAATGTTTGTACTTTTTTATCATTGTCTTTTATGAAATATAATGTTCTAAAGACTTTGTGTGAAGATGTAATTATTTTCCTCTCAGGAACTTTTTTGGGTTACCTGGGATTTTTGTTTGTTTGTTATCCTAAATTTTAAATGAATTATTGATGAATATCTTGGTTGACAATAGGGTTGCAATATAAGCATAAGGTAACCACAGCTTAAATACAGGTGGAGATCACCTTATTCCTTTTATCTCAAAAAGTAGTATTTAAGTATTTTTCATTAGTACAACAATTAGTAATCTATTATATCAAGATAAATATTTAAGAATTCATTTTAGCATAAATTTTCTTTTTCCTGCACAACTTCAATAAACTAAGCTGGTGTGTTATGCTCAATTTACTACTTGTTTTTCAGGTATCGATGATTTTTAAGGCAAAGAGCCAAATTTCAAAAATACCTAGGGACTAGATTTGTATTTGAGACTAGATTGTAAGATCATGAGTTTTATCAACTTACTAGTTGTGAAATGAGTTGTAATTACTCTATGTATAATATGATCTATAGGGATATTGTCACTGCATGTCATAACTAAAACCAATCATTAAAATCATAATCATTTAAAGCCGTGAAATTTAGTCAGCTTAGTCTGCCCCACTATGGTACTAATGTGCCCTCTGGTGAAAACATAGTAACTCCATTTAATGATCATATATATATGTGTGTGTGTGTGTATGTGTGTGTATATATGATCATATATACCTGATATTCTATATACACACACACACTGTACACACACACACTTTTTGTGCTATCTTTAGACAAAGATTTAAGGTGGTTGGGTATGTTCTGGACCAAAATTTTATTTAGAGAAGTCTGTTCTTAAGGAGCATGTACTGTATTGCTCTTGATTTAAGCGACTTCAGAAAAGTGATTTGCCGCTCAACTATGCAATGAAAAGGAAAAAAAAACGGTGTGAAAAATAAAACTTGCATCTTTCTCAACACATTCCGCTAACAGATTTTGGTTGCATGCCCTTGCTAATACAGTCTTCCCAATTTTATCAGTTTAAGTATGTGCTCTGGAGGATCTTGAGAGGTATCAGACATTACCTACCCTCAAGGAGTTTACATCCTCTCTGTGTAAAACTGATGTAGCAGAAATACCTGAAGAATCACATGCTATCAAATGAGGGGCTCATTTCTGTCCTTTGCAAACGTTGATTGTCTGTTTAACTAATTGAGCATCTTTGCAGGAGCAGCTTTTCTCCAGCACGTATTTCTCAGCTGTAAACATGTACTTCAGAAGGAGATGTTGAGATAATTGTTCTTCTGCAATAGACCTTAAAAATTTGCTTAAGGATTTTGTATAAGGTGGGCTCTGTGGAAGGTGGGGGTTATAAGCAAATAGTGTAGAATTTTTACTTATAACTTAGACTGATCTGAGTTTGAATCCAGGGGTCCTCTGCCATTATCTGTGAAACATTAACACATTTTCAAACGTCTGTTGTCCTCAGTTTCCTGTTCTCTCAGTCAAGGATGATGTTCTACCCGAGGATAATTGAAATGATTAAAAATAAGCCAACTGTAGTAGAGCACTGAGTGCCACTGTGTCAGTACCTGACACAGGGAACAAAAACTTGGCTCATATTAAGTCAGTTTTTCAGCTTTAGATTAACAAGCTTTTCTTTCATGCACATTCTTGGCTTATATTTAAAGAATGATACTGCATTCTTTAATTCAAATAGAAAATGAAGTCAGTGATTACCCTACATGTGATCATGTATGTGAACAATTAGTAAAACTGGCAAAAGTGTACAATTGAAATTCGTCGGCCAGGCGCAAAGTATGCAATTGAAATTTGTCGCCTGGGCACAGTGGCTGACGCCTGTAATCCCAGCACTTTGGGAGGCCGAGGCGGGCGGATCATGAGTTCAGGAGATGGGAGACCATCCTGGCTAACACGGTGAAACCCTGTCTCTACTAAAAATACGAAATATTACCCGGGCGTGGTGGCGGGCGCCTGTGGTCCCAGCTACTCGGGAGGCTGAGGCAGGAGAATGGCGTGAACCCGGGAGGCGGAGCATGCAGTGAGCGGAGATCGCGCCACTGCACTCCAGCCTGGGCGACAGAGCGAGACTCCATCTCAAAAAAAAAAAAAAATTTGTCAGTCATAAGAAGAAATGTAGCAAATAGGAATCAGGGTCCCTTTCCTCACTGGGTTGTGTGGTTTTAGATGGCATGGGAAGCACACATTACAATATGTAGTTCATGGACGGCATTTAGTAACTCAGCTTCTCCCAGTATCATACCGGAGGAAGTCAAATATCCCCGATGTGCCGGAGTCCCTGCTCTCTCTCTCTCCAACCTTGGCTTTTGGGTTTGGCTTTTCACACATATCTGCAGTTTCCTTGGAAGGTCCTTCCTCTGCCTTCCACTCGCCCTTTCTATCAATACTCACTTTTAATAGTGTCCAACAGAACGTTTTGTGATGATGAAGATGTTTTACGTCCATGCTGTCCGATGTAGTAGTCACTAGCCACATGTGGCTCTCAAGCATTTGAGATGTCAGTAGTAAGTGCAAGGAACTCAATTTTTGATATTGTTAAATTTTAATCAGTCAAATGCAGCAGGTAATCTCTTACACTTCTAGAGCTTTAAATCCATGGACCCACTAGATATATACAGGAAATTCCCAAGCCCTTATCTCCAGCTTGGAATTATTATTAGCATCTGACTCATTATCAATTTATTGGTCATCCCCACCTGTTTGTTCACAGAAACTTTAATTCACCAGGTCCTTAGGTAAATGTATCAAATCCCTCTTCAAAACCTAGTCTTTTCCTGTATTCCCATCCCCTTAGCAAGTCAAGGCATGAATCTGAGTCATCCTCCCTTTTTCTCCTCCCCACAGTCAACATTACCTTTTAATTCTGTCTTCAATCTGCCAGGGTCTTTTGTTTCTTCAACAACTGCCCAAACCTTCCCCCCACCTTTTTTTTTTTGAGATAGGGTCTCACCATATTGCCCAAGCTGGACTCAATCTCCTGGACTCAAGTGATCCACCTACCTCACTCCATCTTTTCTCACTGCAAGGATATATCTTCTTCTTTGACTCCATTTTCCATGTTGCCACAGAAATTGTCTCTTTTGAAATGCCACCTTGCTGAAAATCTTCCTGGGGCTTCCCACCGCCTACAGATAAGGTCCAAGTGTTTCTGCTTCTCATACCAGGCTCTTCATGATCTGAATTCTCCTTGCCTCTCCAAGACGGATATCTCATCTCTCACTCCTGTTCCATTCTTTCCATTCCTTAGCTACCTATGAGCTGCTCCGATTGGCCTCTTAACCGTTGCCTTTGTACACAATCTTTCCTATCTTATCCACCAGAGAATCTGGTGGATCTGGCTCTCTTGCCCAGGCTGGAGTGCAGTGCTACCATCTTGGCTCACTGCAACCTCCTCCTCCTGGGTTCAAGCGATTCTCCTGCTTCAGCCTCCTAAGTAGCTGGGATTACAGGCACATGCCACCGCACCCAGTTAATTTTTTTTTTTTTTTTTTTTGTAGAGAAAGAGTTTCACTATGTTGCCCAGGCTGGTCTCAAACTCCTCAGCTCAAGTGATTGCCTGCCTCGGCCTCCCAAAGTGCTAGGATTACATGTGTAAGCCACCGACCTTGGCCTACATACCTCTTTGACTCAATAAGCTCCTCTGGAAGCCTTCTCTGGCCAACCAGTTTGCCCCTCACTCCTTTCACCTCTGCCTACAGTACCTAAACTCTATTAAAAGCATGGCTTATACTGTTGCATGTGTTTGATTAACAAATTTTCTTTCCTCCCAAAGACTGCTAACTATCTGAGAGTAGCAGTGTCTTATTTTTTTTTGTACTTCTAGCATCTGGCATAGTGCTCAATGAATGAGTGAGTCTGTCAGGGGAACACTTTGCCATCTAATTAGGGAAGAACTAAACGGCATTCTAAATTACTGTTCTATTAAAACATATACCTCATCAGGAGATCGAGACCATCCTAGGTAACACGGTGAAACCCTGTCTCTACTAAAAATACAAAAAATTAGCCGGGCGTGGTGGCAGGCGCCTGTAGTCCCAGCTACTTGGGAGGCTGAGGCAGGAGAATGGCGGGAACCTGGGAGGTGGAGCTTGCATTGAGCCAAGATCGCGCCACTGCACTCCAGCCTGGGCGACAGAGCGAGACTCTGTCTCAAAAAAAAAAAAAAAAAAAAAAAGAAAACAGAAAACATATACCTCATACTTGATTGTGTTAGGTAGGATCAGTGCCTTCATTAGGACTATTAAGGTCCATTGTCAAAATGTGTGACACACCTATGAATGTATCTGAATAGAGAGCCCGGCTCTTTTATACTCAATATTTTTTTTAAATTAAAAGGTATCTTCTAAGTCAGTTAATACAGGTTAGTATGTAAGAGAAAAAATAGCAATTCATTGCCAAGATCATTTTTATTGTTTTTTTAAAAAACCGTGAAAAGTGAAGTCGCCCTTCCCACAAAATATACAGTGTTATATGACCCTAATATTTTGATGAAAGATTAAAGAATGATACTGCATTCTTTAATTCAACTAGAAAATGAAGTCAGTGATTACCCTATGTGTGATCATGTATGTGAACAATTAGTAAAACTGGCAAAAGTGTACAATTGAAATTTGTCAGTAATAGTCATAAGAAGAAATGTAGCAAATAGGAATCAGGGTCCCTTTCCTCACAGGGTTGTGTGATTTTAGATGACATGGAAAGCACATCAGAGCAGACTGTGAAAACACCTAATTTGGCTTATGAAAGAGAAAGTGTTAATTTATCTCTGGAGCGTAATTTTCATCTGAGGTAGTTTTAGCAATGTATCTAGTTAATTTCCAAGGATTATTAGATGTTCTTGACACAGTTCTCCCCCGCTTTCCACCCCTCTGTTGCCTGCTTTTCCTTCTCCCTTCTCTTCCACCACCGTCTTTGTCAGAATCAGGAACAATCATGATGGTTATTAATTCTTCGTTAAATCCTGTTGAGTGTTTTTGTTTCAGCAGAACAGGGTCACTATGGTAACTAGATTCCCCTTTTATTATACTCTTTTTCCCTTGCCCTTGGTATGAATGTCATTTTGCATAGGGTAATTATGCAGTCTTTTAGCCTGTTTAGCAACTCGGGTAGCCTTGTCTTTATTCTCTCTAACACCAATAATTTTTTGTCATTTATTAACACACCATGTCTCAGCATTGTGCTTAGTGCTGGGGGAATGGGGGTAAATTAGATACAATTTTTTCCAAGCAGCCCATAACCAAGAAAGGGAGCTGCTTGCCATGGGCTTCTCAAAAGGGCCAACCCCCTTTTCCTCTAAAATTTTACAGCCTACTTGTAAACCTGATGGAAAATTGGGCAAAAGTCTTGGACAAGTCCCATAAAAGAAGGAAAGCTTCCAGAGTTCTACCTTAGGCTGTGTAAGGGAGGGGCCTCGTCTGGTTACCGCAGAGAGGGTGTGAGTGAGGATGGGAAACAGATTGTCCACAGCAGTGCTGGTTGGGGCAGACGAGGGGCATAGCTTCTTTGCTGGTGCCCCTCTGGAGAGCAGACAGGTATGGATAAAAGGGATGCTCTTCACTATTCACAATAGCAAAGACTTGGAAGCAACCCAGGTGCCCATCAGTGATAGATTGGATAAAGAATATGTGGCACATATATACCATGGAATACTACGCAGCCATAAAACAGAGTGAGTTCATGTCCTTTGCAGGGACAAGGATGAAGCTGGAAACCATTCTCAGCAAACTAACAGAGGAACAGAAAACTAAACACTGCAGTGGAAGTTGAACAATGAGAACACATGGACACAGGGAGGGGAACAACACACACTTGGGCCTGTTGGGGGGTGGGGTTGGGGGATGAGAGGAAGGGAGAGCATTAGAACAAATACCTAATGCATGCAGGGCTTAAAACCTAGATGACAGGTTGATAGGTGCAGCAAACCACCATGGCACAGTTATACCTATGTAACAAACCTGCACGTTCTGCACATGTATTCTATAACTTAAAATATGTATATATTTTAAAAAGGGGCTGCTCTTTTTTAAGTTCTTAGAACATGTTTTAAGTCCTTATACTTACAGCATGTTTTTCTTGGGGGATTTTTAAAAATCTGCCTTATTGGCATTTCTGGGGTGTGGCTGTTCTATTAAGTGATAGATGTCTCTGGCACCCAGGCTGGGATGTGAAGGAGGCCGGAAGAAACTCAAGTTGCTCACAGCTGGGTTCCTCCAGTTCATATGTTCCTAGTCAGTGTGCTTCTTCACTGCACCTTTCAGAGTCTTCTGGTAGGTTACTTATGCGTTTTGTACAGGGTGTAGGTTTTTTTTTTTTTTTTTTTTGTCATTACTGGGAAGAGTAGATGGAATTTCCCCATCTTATTCAACTCACATAAAAATGTCATAAAAAGAAAGGTCAGGATCTATTCTGTATCTTGACTGTATCAATGTCGATAGTGTGGTTGTGACATCTTACTATAATTTGGCAAGATGTTGCCATGAGGAGGGGGACTAGGTAAAGGGTGTCCAGGATCTCTCTCTATTATTTCTTACAACTGCATGTGAATCCACAATCATCTCAATTAAAAATTTATTTTAAAAAGAGGTTAATGGTCCTGTATGAAAGATGACCAACTCCACTTACAGTAAGAGAGATGCAGATTTGAATTACTTGCAAGTATCAATTCTGACCTGTCAGATTGGCAAAAATCCAAATGTTTCATGAACACTGTTGATGAGGCTGTGGAGAGTCTGGTATTGTCATACATTGCTGGTCATACATTGCCTGGTATCGTCACCACCTCTGTGGAGGGAAAGTTGGCAACATCCAACAAAATTACTAAAGCATTTACCTTTTGTCCCAGAAATCTTCTTTCAGGCATGTACCCTAAAGAAACATCTCTATAGATATGAAACAACAAATGTTCAAGTTGATGGACGCATTGTTTAGCAAAAGATTGGAAGCACCTGAATGTTTATCCAGCGAGGACTGGTTGAATAAACTCTGTTTACCCACACAGTGGAGCACTTTGAAGCCATGTAGGGGGCTGAGGGGCATTAAAGTTTTCAACACACACACGCATTGACCTTTCTGTCCGCAGCCTGAAGGGCTTCATTGCTTCTAAGTGAAAAGAATATGGCATTAATTTTATAGTATATTTTTATAAGGAAATAAAAGCTATCCAAATGCATATTAGGACTCATTGGGGGAAATGATGGAGTAATTTTTTAATAATGATTTTTAGTAGCTACTTATCTAAAAACTTCTTTTAAAAGTCATTTCCTGGGAGTAAATGTAACTTTTTCCCTCCAGGCCCAGAAGCTAAAGTATCTTAATTACTAATCTCACTGGGGGAACAAACTGAGTAGAAATCATGAAATCACAGATCAAGAAGGGAACTTTAAAGTCGTCTAGTTTATTTCCCTTACTTTTTATTAGATATTAGTAAAAACCAGAAGAAATATAAGGGAAATTTACCACCCCTTCACTGGGCGATTGTAACAGCCCTTCGGCTCCACTCATTCAGTCTCCCCCAGCCACAAGACTGCACTTGAGAAAGCATCGATCAGATCTGATCATCACCCTTCTTAACCTTCACCAGCTTCCCCATGACACACAAGCTCTTTAATTTCTTAGCACAGCCCTTCAGTCTTCTGCCATTCGCTAGGAAATACCCGAGCCTCTAACTAAACCGAATTGGCTCACCTTTCTCTGAATATTGCCGTTTTGTTTCAAATCTTAGTCCCTCTGCAGTTTCTTCGCTCCAGGAATGGCTTTTTCCTAGTTATTTGCCTGGTGCCTCCTACTTAGTTTTTAAGAACTAACACAATTGTCCCCTCCTCTGTGAAGCCTCCAGGCCCGCAGGAATTAGAACACATTTTTCTATTATGCTACCATAGCATTTTAAGTATTTCCATGGCAATGCTTTCCTCCTCCCTCCCTCCTTTCCTCTCTGTCTTCCACTCTTCCTCCTTCCTTTCTCTTTCCTCTCTCTCCCTTCTTTCCTTTTTCCCTCCCTCCCCCACCTTTCTCTTTCTTTTTCTTTCTTTAATCCCTTCCTCCCTTCCTTCCCTTCCCTCCCATCGCTCCCTTCCTCCCTTCACTCCTTTCTCTCCCTTCCCTCCCTCCCTCCCTCCCTCCCTTCCTTCCCTTTCTCTCTTTTTTTCCTTCCTTCCTTCCTTCCATTCCTTCTTTCCATTGCTGAGAGTGTTCCTTGCCAACAGGCTGTGTGTCTCCATATACCTTTATAGCTCCAGCACCTGGAACAGAGTAGGTGCTCAATTAATGTAGGTTGAATGAATCAATACATCTATGCCATTGTAGGCTGAATAATTGCCCCTCAGAGCTGTCCACATTCGAATTCTCAGAACCTGTGAATACGTTACCTTACATGATTAAAGGGATTTTGTATATGTGATTAAATTAAGGATCATGAACTGGGGAGATAATCTTGGATTTTTTAGGTGACCCAATATAATTACAAGGGTTCCTATAAGAAGGGGTCATAAACCAAGGAATGTAAGTTGCCTCTAGAAGCTGGAAAAGGCAGGGATATTGATTCTCCCTAAAGCATCCAGAATGAACACAGCCCTGCCAACACTTTAATTTTAGACTTCTGGTCAGAAGTCTAAAATTACACCTCCAGAGGTGTAAGATGACCATTTTGTGTTGCTTTAAGCTACTGAATTTGTGGTAACTTGTTACGGTAACAATAGGAAACTAATACACATACCTATACAAATTAACAAGTCCCAGTCCCTTTGGACTATTAGACATACTTTATAAAATCGTCCATTAAAGGACATAGACAATACACACAAAAAATAAAAGACATGGAGAAATGACCACCTTCAATAATTAAATGAAAGTTAAGATAATTATGAGATATAATGGTATGTCTGTTAAAATGACAAAATATTATCAATAAGCAGCACTGGTAAGGCCGTAATGCCATAGAACTTATTATATTAATGTGTTCATATGCTAATATTACTCCAAACAGTAATAGAGCTCTTGAGAGCTTATTATGTACCATACATTGTTTTAAGTCCCTTGACATGTATTATGACAACTGGTTTCTAAAGTAACTCTCTGGAGTAGGTGCTATGATTATTCCCATTTTACAAATGGAAAAAGAAAAAACAAACAAGGAAAGAAAGCTTATGTAATCTGTACAAGACAATAACAAGATAGTACTATTTGCGAGAATGGAGCCAAGAATTCTTCCCAAGTAGTTTGATACCCAAGGCCTTGCTTAGTGTAGGAGTTATATACTCCTAGAAATGTTAGGTCATTCACTTAATAATTCAAATTCAACAGAAGGAAAGAGCTTTATGCTTCGTAAATCTGTTAATTGCAGCACTAATTACAAATACAAAAAACTAAGTTGAAACTAAGTATGTATCACATTACGGGGGTGGTCTAATTATAGTATATAAACAAGATGGTAATTTTTTCAAAAAATGAAAATGATTGTAAAGAGTACGAGAAACATGGGAAATTGGTTATGATAAAATCATTAAAGCATAAAAAATAATCTCACAGTTATGATTGCAACTTTAAACATTTTTTATAATCTATTAATAAAAAAAATTCTACTTTGGCAAAACCATGGGTTACTATAATTTTAATTTCTTTAACATTAAATTATTTTCAAGAAGAGTATAATAAAATAATTACCGTTGAAAAAATTCTGACAATTTTATTCTCAATATATCATAGGATTGACTCTTTCAATTTAACATTATGTGTGAGGAGAAAGCCTATTTTGGATCCATTACTGATTTCTTTGTATTTCCTTTTATCTTACCGCAGAGAAGATGATGAATATTTTTATAGCTGTATCAGTTAAGACAGTCTTGGTCATAAATAACGAAATAATTGAATCAAACTCACTTTAAAAAGGAAACTCTTTAGTTAATGTGGTGAACATTCCAGAAATAGTGCTTCAGCCACTCAGCAGTGTCATCAAGACTGACTTTCTCCCTTCCTGGAACTGCCCCCTCTCCCGAGGATGGCTCCCCTCGCAGTCCTAGGATGGCTGCCAGCACCTGCCAGGGCTGCCTTTGCCCGGGGACTTACCACGTTTTTATCTATTCATAAAAGAGAAGCCCTGGGTTTCCCTGTGATTGGGCCATTTTAGATCCCTGCCGTCCCTAAACCAAGTGCATGGCAAAGATGATGAGACTTCACTGATTTAGACCAATGAGTTCCTCACTCCCACTCCCCTCCTCATGGAGCTATGGCTGAGATCATTTTCATTCCTACTCTGTGGGAGAAGAATGAATGGGATGGATGCTGGTGTTGTAGCTATAATGTCCATTATGGAGCATTTGTGAATTTCCCTTTTTTTGTGTTTACCTTTTTACAGACGAATCCCAGGCAAGGCGCTGACTCTCTGTGAGGGTCCCAAATCCCCATGTAGGACCCCCATTCCCTGTGCAGGCCCCAACTACCCTAGCAATGCCTGGATCCAGGCAGTTCTCCCATCCCTCGCTGCTGCTCTGTGAAGAGGCCTAGAAGAGCAGAGGGTGTCTGTCTTTCAACTCCCTCAATCAACACCTTCTTAGCAGGTTTTGGTTGTTGTTTTGAAAGAGGCAACCCTTGTTGTTTTGATTCTGGCCCTAGTCAGAAGGACACTTTAAATAGACTGGTTCTATTTTTAAATATTCCGAATAACTAAGTTGTTGAAATCAATCCACAGATGCAGAAACTGCCAGTCGATATTTGAACAAGGTTACCCACAAGAGCTGGTAGTTTTCTAGTGTTTCCCAACAAAATGGTCAATTTCTCATATACTGGTGGGTCGTGATGCCATTTCTCACATCTGAGCAAGAGGAAAAACAACACCCTCATAAAGCCCATGGGCTCAGGAAGGGTTTAGATGAGAGCTATTTGCCTACCTAGAGTCAAACCTCTCATTCCTTCCTTCCAAGAATGCTGCTCCATCCTGCTCAAATATTTATTGAGCACGGACTGTGTGCTAGGCACTGTCCTCCAGAGACTTAGAAATATATTCCTATATCTTTTCCAAATACACTTTCCTAATGAAGCCAAGAGTAGTGTTCATTGAGCTCAGCACAAGTCCTTCAGGCAGCAGCCCAGGCTCTGAGGTCAGTCTCAGCATTCTCTCCTGAAGCCTGTTACTGCGCTTCCACACCAGGCATTATACCCAGTTCCACCACCCTCCCCCTCCTGGGGAGTGAAAGTAATGGCAGCAACAGCAGGTAGGTGACTGCTGAGCCTGGAGGGAAGCTCCACACAAGTGTTGATTTAAGAAAGCCTGCGTGTGACCCGCCTCTCCTTCGGCACTTGCATTGATTGCCAAAGATGAATTACCATCTGCCTTGGCTTTAAATTAACTGGGGCAGTTCTAACCCAGAGAGAATGGGGAGCCAGGAAAATGGAATTGATTCTAAGCTTATTTCCATTTTGAAAGGCAGTAAGAAGATGTAATGGGGCTCAGGGAGGGGTGTGTTCTATGAAGTGTGAAGTCAGAGGAAGGAATTGGCTGTAAAACTAAGTGTTTGGGTGGGAAATAAACAGTCTTAGGAAGTGCTGCCTCTGCTGTAGCTCAAAATGCGGTTGGAGGCATAAATACTCTAAATTTTCTTGTTTGACAGGTGCTATCAAAATGTTTCAGGAGGTATTTGTGATTTGTGATTAGGCTTTGTGATTTTTGTTTTCAGAAGATATCTCAATATTAGTGGTTTTTGTTTTCAGGTTGTGTGTGTGCATACAGTGCCAGCTTCGAAGCTATGAGATTGGAAACTGGCCTGATTACCCCAGGCTCAGTGTGGCTAAAATTGGACTCATTATCTGTGACTGCAAATCTGTTCTTCTGCCCATATCCCTGAGCTCAGTTACTCTCTCATCCATTCACACGGTTAGCCAGGACGGAAGCCTGAGGCTTCCTAGACTCCTCTAATTCTCTCACAGCCCACAACAAAGCTATCATCACTCATCTGCTGATTTTCTATTCTAAATACCCCTATAGACATCAAGGAAAAGAAGGAAATATTTAAACATCCTGGTATCTGAGAAGTGGCCTCAATGTTATTACAAGCTAATCTGGCTCTCTCCTAGCTGAGCTGTGTTGATCCCTTGGACGTAATCTCACAGAACATCAACACCAAACAAGGTCGCTCTGAGACCATGACAGCATAAGACAAAAACAGAAATCACTGTGAAACCCATAAAATACCAAATGTCATCCTCCCACTAAAATGAGTAACTGCTGCTGCTTTGCAAATCATACCTTTATCTCTACTCTGGTCTGCCCTTCCTGTAGAAGTGCTTGAGATACCCAATCATAGAATTATCCCCAGTTCCTTAGACTCTCCCCAAAGTCACCCAACCAAAGCCCAAGTCCTCTAATAGGTTTTTTCTAACACCCTCTTAGTGAGATGGCCCATGGTTTCCCATGGAATATGTTTTCTCTTGCTGGAAGGAGTAATAAGCCCAACTGATTCAACCGCATAGGTGTGTTCCTGGGGGATGTGGACTGTGTAGCGTATTGACACCATTCTCTCCTTTCCATTTCTAGTTAAATCCTGTTTTTCATCATCACCAGCCTTTATTATCATCAGCAACAACATCATATGTAGTTTTCCAAGTTCCAGTGTTCTTCCCCTCTCAGCCTTTTTCATGCTACCATGAGATTACCTCACCCACCCCCACCAGTGGATTGTGTGAAACTTTTTGTTTATCAAAAATGGGCCACAGAATATAATGTGTCGACAACATAAACTCCTAGATGTAACGCGCTGAGAGGAACGCAATATCATTTCTATAATATTCTTACCAAAAATGCATAATCCCATTTCAATCACAAGAAAAACATCAGGCAAATCCAAATTGAGGGATATTCTCAAAATAACTGATCAGTACTCTTCAAAAATGTCAGTCGTGAAAGACAAGTGTGGTAAGTTGAATTGTGATCCCCCAAAACAGATAAACACATTCTAACCCCTAGTAACTCGGTGTGTGACCTTATTCGGAAGTAGGCCTGCTGCAGATGTAATTCATCAAGACAGAGTCATACATGTCACAAAAAAACAGATACTACATGATTCCACTTATGTGCAACTGAAGTAGTCAAATTTATGGAAACAGGAAAACGGAGGTTACCAGGGGCTGAGGGGAGGGGGTAAAGGCGAGTTGTTGTTTAATGGGTATAGAGTTCAGATTTGCAAGATGACAAAGTCCTGGAAATCTGTTTTGCTAGCATGTAAATATACTTAACACTACTGAACTGTACGCTGAAAAATTAAGATGGTAAATTTCTTGTTACATTAAAAATTAGATGCATACATATACATATGTATAAATACATATTGATTTTAAAAGATGATATCATGCTGGTTAGGGTGGCCTCTAGTCCAATATGGCTAGTGTCTTTATAAAAAGATAGCCATGCGAAGGCAAAGACACACAGGGAGACTGCCCTGTGACAACAGAGGCAGAGACTGGAGTGATGTAGCTGCAAGCCCAGGAAGCTTTGAAGAGGCAAGGAAGAATTCTCTGCAGATTTCAGAGACAGCACAGCTCTGCCAACATTTTGAGTTTGGACTTCTGGCCTCTAGAACTGTGAGACAATAAATTCTTGTTGTTTTAAGCCACGCTGTTTGTTGTTACTTGTTACAGCAGCTCTAGAAAACTACTACAGCAAAGAAAGACTGAGAAGCTGTTACAGGTTGGATAAAACTAAAATGTATTTCTATCAGTGTTCTTTTCCTGATTTTGATAATTGCACTATGGTCATGTAAGTGGTTAACATTAAGAGAAGTTTGGTAAAGAGCTCTATGTACTATTTTTTCTAACTTCTTTGAAAGGCTAAAACTAGTTCAAAATGAAAAATTAAATAAACACGGTGTCTTAGGCTCTTTGTGCTGCTATAACAAAATACTTTAGGCTAGGTAACTTATAAAGAACAGAAATCATAGTTCTGGGGACTATGAAGTCCAAGATCAAGGTGCCAGCTGGTAAGGGCCCAGTGTCTGCTTCCAAGATGGTACTTTGGTGTTGTGTCCTCCAAAAAGGGAGAGACACTGTGCCCTCACATTTTGGAGGGGGGAAGGGCAAGAGAGCTGAAGCCTGTGTGAATTGTCTTATACAAGGGCCTTAATCACATTCCTGAGGGAAGAGTCCTTATGGCCTAATCACCTCTTAAAAGTTCCACCTCTTAATACAGGCATCCCCAATCTGAAAATCTGAAAACTGAAATGCTCCAAAAGCCAAAACATTTTGAGCTCCAACAGAATGCTCACAGGAAATGCTGAGCGGAGCACTTTGGACTTCAAATTTTTGGGTTAGGGATGTTCAACCAATAATGCAAATACTCAGAAACTGGAAAAAAATCTGAAATCTGAAACACTTCTGGTCCCAAGTATTTTAAATAAGGGTTATTCAAATAGTACCATCACATTGGCAACACCTGAATTTTGGAGGGGATACAATCAAACCATAGCACATTGTATAGATGTTTTTTAAAAATAAGAAACACTGATTTGGAATACTAATCTAAACATGACGCATCTCTGCTTAAAAACCTGCGATTGATGTGGGAGAAACAACTCCTCTATGTTGCTTTCACTAACAAAGTGCCTGGCCTGACATACAAGGGGCAAGGTGCATGAGCTATCCACATCCATCAAGCTGCCCTCTGCTCTCTGACCTGGGTTCTCCAGCAGTGCTGACCACACGTGCTCATTTCCATGCCTCCCCTATTTCACATGACTCCATTCATTTATTATATCGTCTCCAATAATTTCTCTTTTGTCCTTAGGCAGCACCACTCCGCAGCTGCTTCTAACTCAGCTCCCAAAACACAGCCCTGGGCTCTGGGAAGGGAGAGGAGAAGATGACTAGAGAGAGAGACAAATACACTTAGAGGTAGGGACTAAGTGTGCATCCTGTTTTTTTTTTTTTAATGTTTACATCTAAAACAATAAGAAGAAATAGTCCCATCTCTGGCATTGCTTCCATCTCCAAAACTGCTGAATATCTGTTCTTATATCAGAAATGATTTTCCAGGCTTTAGCAATCTAGCATCTTGAAATATGAGGATGGTTAATGGGAAAAAATCACTAATCAACTTCTATATGTGACCAGACCAGTAATTTTTACCTGTAAAGTCTAGGTTCATAGTCTCAGGGCATCCACTGATTTCAACGGGGATTCCTGGTTCCCTCAAGATAGAATATGTGGCAAAGGAGAGCCTTTAGAAGAGGTAATTGTGAAATAGCCTCTCACATATTAATGTCCCATTCAAATATTATGTTTATTTGAGTGTGCCTTACATAGACATCATATGTAGCTTTTTCATCTTATTAAAAAGGGCAGGGACATTTTATGAGAATGAATACCCTTCTTTTAAATGACACTCTTGTTTAAACTCTCCGCCTCAATATTCATACACATACCCACTCACACCGTTATAGAAAGGAGTTGTAACACAGAGGATATGTGCAGTAGTGTGCTGGAATCAGCAACTAATGGCTTATTTTAAATTTTCAGAAATTTTGTAAGCTGGTTATTGAACTTAGCATTAACTTACATTCAAACAAAGGTAATAAATAGTCAAATCTTATTACTTCCTAACTACCTTACCTGTCCTCTTGAGGCTGTTTCTATCTGTTGTATCTGTATGGTAGAAATACTACACCAGACTACTGTATAACTCTTCCCAACTGTGCATTTAATGACATCATGGTGGTAGTTTGAAATTGCCATGGTGAGATTGTTTTTACCATGAAAATTGGCAAACATTACAACCTTGAGCTAGCTTTTTTTCTCCAAAGAGCCAGTTAAACATTTACCGTCAACCATACCCACAGCACACACAGCTTCTTTACAAAGACTGACTTTATGTTTTCATATTGGGATACAAATGATTGATTCACAAGGTAGAAAGTCCAGACAGGTAAATGGGATCAGAGCCTCATCATTCATCCCCCTGCAAGGCATCGGTTGCTTTTTAATCTACCTCATGATTTTTCCCTGAGGAATGCAAATCAAACCTCTTCCCATCACATATACATTTTAAGATCTGACATGCATTCCTTTTCTTGCATTTCCATGTCTGCCTCCCTAATGCAACGTCACATCACCTCAAATCTTCATTGCTACCAATATGGCAGTATGATTCCTCTACCTTCTCCCAATCAGTCCTATGATGTTCATTCCTACAAACTTTGTTTTCCTTTTTAAATTCATCCCCTCAAGCATTTATCCTCTGAGTCACAAATAATCCAATTACCTTCTTTAGGTTATTTTAAAACATACAGTTAAGTTATTATTGACTATAGTCACCCTGTTATACTATCAAATAGTAGGTCTTATTTATTCTTTCTGTGTTTTGTACCCATTAACCATCCCTGCCTCCCCCAAGCCCCCCACTGTCCTTCACAGCCTCTGGTAACTGTCCTTCTATTCTCTATGTTCATGAGTTCACTTGTTTTGATTTTTAGATCTCACAAATAAGTGAGAACATGCAATGTTTGTCTTTCTGTGCCTGGCTTATTTCATTTAACATAATAATCTCCAGTTCCATCTACCGTATTCCAAATGACTGGATCTTATGGCTGAATAGTGATCTGTTGTGTATACGTACCACATTTTCTTTATTCATCTGTTGATGGATACTTAGGTTGCTTCCAAATCTTAGATATTGTCAACAGCGCTGCAACAAACATAGGAGTGAGTGCAGATATCTCTTTGATATACTGATTTCCTTTCTTTTGGAGATGTACCCAACAGTGGGATTGCTGGATCATGTGGTAGCTGAATTTTTAGCTTTTTGAAGAACCTCCAAACTGTCCTCTACAGTGGTTGTAATAATTTACATTACCGCTAACAGTGTACGAGGCTTCCATTTTCTCCACATTCTTTATTATTTATTTTTATTTTTTATTTCCGTAGGTTTTGGGGGAACAGGTGGTATTTGGTACATGATTAAGTCCTTTAGGGATAATTTCTGAGATTTTAGTGCACCCATTACTAGAGCAGTATACACTGCACACAATTTGTAGTCTTATCCCTCACCTCGCTCCCATCCATCCCCCCTCCCCAAGTCCTCAAAGTCCGTTGTATCATTCTTATGCCTTTGAATCCTCATTGCTTAGCTCCCACTTATGAGTGAGAACATACGCTGCTTGGTTTTCCATTCCTGAGTTACTTCACTGAGAATAATGGTCTCCAATTCCATCCGGGTTGCTGCAAATGCCATTATCTGGTTCCTTTTATATCATACTACTCAGCCATAAAAAGTATATATACATATATATAATGGAATACTACACAGCCATAAAAAGTAGCTTTATTAATCAATGAGTGGATAAAAAAATTGTGGTATATATATATATATATCCACTCATTGATTGATGGGCATTTCGGCTGTTCCATATTTTTGCAATTGCAAGTTGTGCTGCTATAAACATGCGTGTGCAAGTGTCTTGTTCATATAATGACTTCTTTTCCTCTGTGTGGATAGATACTGAGTAGTGGGATTGCTGGATCAAATGGTAGTTCCCTTCTTTTTCTCCACATTCTTGCCAGCATTTGTTATTGCCTGTTTTTTTGTAATGTAAACCATGTTAACTGGACTGAGATGATATCTTATTGTAGTTTTGATTTGCATTTCTCTGATGATCAGTGATTAAATGTTTTCTTAAACTCAACTTCCATCATGTTGTTCCCCTGCTCCAGAACCTACAAGTCTTCCCTATTACCATACAAAGGGACCTTCAAAGGGTGGATGATAGTACAGTACCTGTATAAGTCAGTGTTCTCCAGAGAAACAGAACAAATAATGTGTGAGTATGTGTGTGTGTGTGTGTATTAGAGAGAGAGAGAGAGAGAGCGATGCTATACATATATCTGAATTAAACTTAGCTTTCCTGTCCATAGTTCCTTTTGGTATCAGCCTACTTAATCTTACCTGTTGAAACCAACTCAATTTGACTTCCAGTTTAATGCTCAGCCTTCTTTGTTTTTCCATGAATTCCATCCACCTTTTGGAGGCTATGGAGCATCTTGACATAAAGGGGAATGTGTTGTCTGGTCGCTGACTGTCCTCTGCCCATGCTGCTTCGACTGAAATGGTTGTTTGCTCCCTTGGTCTGTAATTGCCTGATGCATTTTTCCTGCTGTGCATACAAAAGCAATTCATTGAGACCATGGTATTACAGTAAATCAAGAGTTTAATTAATGCAAGGCCAGCCATGTGGAAGAACTAGAGTTATTACTCAAATCAGTCTCCCCAAAGACTTGGAGGTTAGGGGTTTTTAAAGGAAAGTGTGGGCCAGGTGTGCTGGCTCACACTTGTAATCCCAGCACTTTGGGAGGCCAAGGCAGAGGACTGCTTGAACCCAGGAGTTGGAGACCAGCCAAGGCAACATAGTAAGACCCTGTCTCTATAAAACATTTTTAAATTAGCCAGGTGTGATGGTGTACACCTGAAGTCCCAGTTTCTCAGGAGACTGAGGCAGGAGGATTGTTGGATCTCAGAAGTTTGAGGCTGCAGTGAGCCGTGATGGTGCCACTGCCCTCCAGCTTGGGCAACAGAGCAAGACCCTGTCTCAGAAAAAAAAAAAAAAAAAAAAAAAAAGCATAGTTTGGTGGGCAGGGGGCTAGGGAGTAGTGAATGTTGATTGGTTGGAGATGAAATCATAGGGGTGTGGAAAACAGTCCTTGTGCACTGAGTCAGCCTCTGGGTGAGGGCCACAGGACCAGTTGAGTCACAGTTGTGGGTTGAGGTGAAGTCCAAGTCAGTTGATTGTCAGAAGTGTAAAAGTCTGAAAAAAACCTTTTAAAAGGCCAATCTTAGGTTTTATAATGGTGATGTTATTTACAGGAGTAATTGGGGAAGTTATAAATCTTGTGACCTCCACAATAGTGAGTGGCTGGTTAGTGTTTAATTATGCCTATATCTTAGCATAATTTAGGCACATCTCAAAATCCTAAACTTGTGCCCTTTTATTAGTTTCACAAAGGTGGTTTAGTTTGGGAAAAGCTATTATTATTCTTGCTTTAAGGTTAAAAAAGACAATAAATTCATCTCAAAGTTAGCTTGGCCTATGCCCAGGAATGACTAAGGTACAGCTTGAAGGTTAGAAGCAAGATGGAGCCAACTATGTCAGATTTTTATTCAATGTCTTTTTCAGGGGACATAGTTTCACCCATAACAATGGCCACGAAAGGACATAAGCAGAAGATACTAACACAGAACAACAAAGACCTAAAGGTGCCTTTGCAAAAATCATGACCTGTGAATGTGACCTTATTTGGAAATAGTCTTTACAGATGTATTTAGTTAAGAGCAGGTAATTAGGGTGGACCCTAATCCAGCATGACTGGGGTCCTTAGAAGAGGAAAATTTGGAAAAAGACACAGGGAGAGCATCATGTGATGACAGAGGCAGATCATGGAGTGATGTGGCTGCAAGCCAAGGAACTCCAAAGATCAAGTGCCACCAACAGAAGCTAGGAAGAGGCAAGGAAGGATTCTCCCCTGCGAGTTTTGGAGGAAGTATGGCCCAGAAAATACCTTAATTTCAGACTTCTATCCTCCAGAGCTGTGAGACAATACATTCCTGTTGTTTTAAGCCACTCTGTTTTTGGTACTTTATTATTACAGCCCCAGGAAATGAATAAAACCTCCTGCGGGCTTCTTCCAAATTTTGTCCTAGGTTTATATTCATTGAAATCTTTGCCATTCTGAAAGTCAAAAATTACTTTTAATATTTAGCTCAACTTCTCTTTTTGCCTTGCAATACTGAACATATTGTCTCATGGTATTCGCCGTTTGAACCTCTCATGTGGACTGCGTGTCCACCCACATCTGCCATCTTATACAGGGGGCCCACTTATTTAATGTAAATTCACTAGAACTCTGTGTATATTAAAGAGATTATGAATCGTATTTAAAAGATGGGACATGTGGAGGAATAGTTGTCTAAGTTGTAGAAAACCACATCAGCTAAAATGTCTTGGTGGGAGTTAGTGTGATCATAGCAGAGAGGGAGATGGGAACTAGATTTTCAGAAGCAGAGAGCTGGAAACTCACGATGGAAAAAGCTGGAGGGGTAGGTTAGGTTCAGGTTAGAGAGCCACTGAATGCTAGGTTTGGAGGCTTGTTTTGGGATAAGAAAATAGATACATAAGATCAAGCAATTTGCCCAAAGCCATCTGGGGAGCTTTGGAAAGCCCTGAAAAGCAGAGAAACTTAATTTTGCCGGAGTAGTTATTGAGTTCTCAATTAATTTAAATGGTGAGGAACTGCTCACCTAAAGCCTTGAAATGCCGATGAATGCTTATAAGAAAATCCTGCCAATATCCTGCTTCTAACATATCAACCTTGGTGGGCTCCAGCCAGCCCTACACTTGATTCCCATAAGATACCCCAAAAGATAAATGAGTATGTTAATTAATTCCATTCATAGCCTTCCCCACTAATCAGAAACACAGGCATCTCTTAATTCCCTAAAGCTGGAGGGATCTTCATCATGATATATCAGTTTTCCCCGTGACCTCAAGAATAGGAATGTGGCCAAAGATTTCATTCTATGATGAACAAATTTGGGGAAGGGGACTGTGATGGTTAATTTTACAGTCAACTTGGTTAGGCCTATTTTTGGTCAAACACCAGCCTAGATGTTGCTGTGAAAGTATATTTTAGACGTGATTGACATTTAAGCCCCTAGACTTTGAGCAAAGTAGATGACCCTTCATAATGTGGGTGAGCCCCTTCCAATCACTTGACAGCCTTAAAAGAATAGACTCAGGCTCCTCCTCCTGACCCATGAGGAAAAAGGAATTCTGCTTCCGGATGAGACTGCAACATCAACCCTTCCCTGGGTTTCCTGCCTGTGGGCCTGCCCTGTAGATTTTAAACCTGCCAGCTCCCATAATTGCATGAACCAGTTCCTTTAAAAATACGTATATAGTTTATTTTCTTTCAGACAGAGTCTTGCTCTGTCGCCCAGGCTGGAGTACAGTGGCGTGATCTCAGCTCACTGCAACCTCCACTCCCCAGGGTTCAAGCGATTCTCCTGCCTCAGCCTTGAGTAGCTGGGACTACAGGTGCCCGCCACCATGCCCAGCTAATTTTTGTGTTTTTAGTAGAGATGGGGTTTCACCATGTTGGCTAGGCTGGTCTTGAACTCCTGACCTAAAGTGATCTGCCTGCCTTGGCCCCCCAAAGTGCTGGGGTTACAAGCATGAGCCACCGTGCTTGGCCACATGTATGTGGTTTTAAACTGATTCATATTTTCAACCTGTTTTGATTATAAAAATCCATAGCTATTTAACAACAGCCAAATGAATATGTAGCATTCTAAAAATAGGCAGGTTAGTGACCAATACAATCATGGTAGGTAATAGACTGAACCTTATGAAATTGCCAATATTTGACCATTTAGTCTATAAAAATGGCAATTTGCTATGGATTAACCAATATGCATGGAACAAGGACTTGCTAACAACATTAATAGAATTGGAGACATTGATTTTGCTATGTATCTTGGGAAAAGTGCATGTGAAAAACTCCAAAGCTACACTGCATTCTCTTCAAGTTTTTTCCTCTCTCAACATAGCCAGTTAGAGGGTAGCAAGATTTGAGATTTGAATTTGGAGGAAAATAGAAAGACCACTCAGGTAGGTTTAGGCCTAAGCCATGTGTCTAACTCAGGTTCTCCTGGAGAATCCTGGTTGGAGATTACGGGCAAGTGGTAACTATTCTTGTCCCAGCCACATGACTGATGTCAAGGTTCCCTTCAATGGACCCATGTTGCTTTCAAGACAAATTCACAGCTGTAACGCGTGGCAGATAAAACCAACCTTCACTCCAGCCTCATGCCCCACCAGTCCCAACCCTACTGTGGTAGAGATGGTTGTTGGCCAACTCAGATTAGTGCTCCTCTTCCAGAGCATAGAGTTAGTTGTTCTGGGAAATGGCTCCCAGCCAGGGGCCACATTTCTCAGCACATCTAGATGGGGGCATGTAACTAGCTCTGGCCAGTGAGAAGTCAATGGGACTCATGTGTGACACTTCAGCACAGAGGGGTCTAATACCATACTATGTTCCCTCAGTCTGCTGGCTAAATATCACCAGAGTGACCTTGAAGCCACAAGACTAAATCAAACTGTCTCAAACAGTCACCATTAGAAGGAAAGCCACCCTAAAGAGTCTCTAGAGCAAAGAGTTCTACATTGGACCTGGCACAACTGAGACTAAACTTTTACTTTGTTAAGCCCCCGAGATTTGGGGTTATTTGTGATAGCAGCATAACCCATCCCACCTCAATACCTTTGCCCTTCAACATTCTGAATCGTCGTCTGCTCTCTCAACTTATCAAATTGTTTCACTTGGCTGGGCCTTGCAAACTGTATTCTCTCTACCTAGAATACCTTTTCCCTTGTCTATCTGACAAATTACCAACACTCAGATTAAGTGACACCTATTCAGAGTCATTCCCTGATTTCTGTAGGGTGTTGGTTTCTTCCTCCTTCTTACCCTTGCTGTGCCTTGTACCATAGCCTCCTGCCAAACCATGATGAAACAGTTATGTTCTCAAAAGATTGTGAGTTCTTTAAGTAAATGCAGGTACTGGGTCCTATTCTTTATATTCAGTTCACCTAAAATAGTGCCTGGTGCATGTGAGTTCTCCATACATGGATTTTGGATCAGCCTAAGTAAATTGGGTGTGTGGGGTTCTTTGGTTTTCCCCTGACCTGGCTGGTTGCAGTGTAGATCTGGCCTGAACTGATCAGACGGCCTGAGTTGCTGCAGGTGTATCTTGTTGGAGCTCCCCTTCTCTTTAATCAAAGAAATGCCCAGAGTAGGGGCCGGGTGTAGTGGCTCATGCCTGTAATCCCAGCACTTTGGGAGGCTGAGGCAGGTGGATCACCTGAGGTCAGGAGTTCGTAGACCAGCCTAGCCAACATGGCAAAATCCCATCTCTACTAAAAATACAAAAATGAGCTAGGCGTGGTGGCATGCGCCTGTAATCCCAGTTACTTGGGAGGCTGAGGCAGGAGAATCGCTTGAACCCAGGAAGCAGAGGTTGCAGTGAGCTGAGATTACACCACTGCATTCTAGCCTGGGCAACAGAGTGAGACTTTGTCTCAAAAAAGGAAAAAAGAAAAAAAGAAAAAAAAAGAAATGCCCACAGTAAAGAAGTGGGCCCTTGGAATGTGTCTTTTGCTATTTGCTGAAGGTTACAGGAAAATAAGGCTCTCTCATTTACAGAATGTGTCTTTTTAATGGCTGCAGATCATATTTAATACGTGCTTTGCTTGCAAGACAATGGAAATTTGGATCTCTCCTAGCGTTCTGCCCAGATACTTTCTAGAATTCCTTTGATTCTTTGTAAAATTTTGATTCTCTTTTTTTTGGAAGGGACAATAAGGGAATTTAAAAAATCAAGTTAAAGTGGAATGAAAAGTGCCTTTCACAGGAATGTTTTATTGTCTCTGCCTGGACTTCTAACATAGCATATGAGGTGAAAACACTGCTTTAGTAAAAATGGAATACTCTTGGTTACATGAAATCCCATCCCTCGTCCTTCAGGTCCACTGGAGGAGAAGTCCCTCATTCCTTGGGATTGGTGACGACAGCCGTGGTGGAATAGGAGTAGGGGCTCAGCAGGGCGGCAATGGTGTAGCGGCGGGGGCCGGAGTCGTTGGCTGTGAATACCACCTATGAGAGAAGACAGACAGATCCATTTCCACCAGAGCCCGAAAAACGTGACAGATGACACACATGACTGACCACCGGAAGTCCAGTGCCAACTTAATTAATTTTATTCTTTTATATTTTGGAACAGTTTGAACAGAAGGAAAAAGCTCAAATATGCTGGCAAGCTAAGCCTTTGGAACCATGCACAGTCCTTAGAGCAGGAGTACAGAGTCAGGTCTTGTTTTGCAAATTCACGCCGAAAGTCAGGATGACCCTAGCTTGACTAAGGGAAATCCCAGAAAGCCTAAAGGCTGTATCTATTTTATTGGTTTTAGAAAAAAAAGGTAGGGAGAATGCAAAACTGCATTGAGTCATTGAAGAGCTGCTGCAATAGTGGCTGCCAACCACAGACTTAGAGATTTAGCATTCTGGAGCTGGAAACATTCTTCCCAATTTACAGATGAGCAAACCAGACTTGAATTATTGTATTGTCCCAGTCTACATTCTGATGGAACCATAGTAGGAAGGCAAGTCTCCTGTCTCCAAGCCCAGAGATTCCCCCACCCTCCTATTCTTTGCATTTTCTAACATGAAGAAGAAAAGTATATTTTTATGTATAACAAGCAATGAAATACGAAGTAAAAGCATTACAGGGCTCTATTTACAATACAGAGTGTGGAAGATCATGGTGGAATTTTGAAATATATATGCATGCACTAGAGCTCATTTAAGCTTTGTAACTGGGCAAATTGTGGATCAAAATGCTGTTCCAGATAGTCACACAGTTCTGTCAAATCAGTAGAATATCTGCGACTCAGGTGCTGGGACAGCCTTGGTTCTCAGAGTGAGGCAAGTTGGGATATATTGAGGTCAGGAAAGAGGTAGAAGACAGTAAAGATGTGTTTAATTTGATTTATTTTGTATACAGGCCTTGGGTTGAGGTTTGGACACACTCTGCATAAATACATTTTGTTCTAAATATGGGAAAAAGAAACCCGGATTACTTAGGGATAGGAGGAAAAAAGGATCTGAGTGAGCCATACCAAAAACAAAAATAATACTGGGGCAAGAGGAAGTGAGAATCACCTAAGAATCTCTTAGGAAGAAAGGGCTCCCCTTAAGGCCAATTCCCTAGAATCAACTAATAAAAATGTCTTTTGTCTTATGGTGACATTGACCTTCAGCCCACTTGATTCTTCTTAAAAATTGTAAGAGGCATAATCTGTAATCAAAAATCCATGAAGTAGCCGGGCACGGTGGCTCACACCTGTAATCCCAGCACTTTGGGAGGCTGAGACAGGTGAATCACCTGAGGTCTGGAGTTCAGACCAGCCTGGCCAACGTGGTGAAAACCTGTCTTTACAAAAAATACAAAAATTAGCCTGGTGTGGTGGCGCACACCTGTAGTCCCAGCTACTCGGGAGGCTGAGGCAGGAGAATTGCTTGAACCTGGGAGGCGGAGGTTGCAGTGAGCTGAGATTGCACCACTGCATTCCAGCCTGGGTGACAGGGCAAAACTCCATCTCAAAAAAAAAGGAAAAAAAAATCCATGAAGTGAAGAGGCCTAAGAGCTCCTAATAAAAGTTTCCATTTTCCCTTGGTAAATCTACTATGACCACCTGGGTCACTGGCCAAGGTAGAGTTGACCAGTTCTGAAGGAGGCATTTATCAGAAGAAGCTGCATGAAGCCCACCACGCACCCGTCACCAAAGTGAGGCATTGGGACTCATCTCTCACTACTCGCTCTCTCTTGTTCTCCGTATTTATCTGGGCTTCAAGCTGGGCTGACGGTCCTGCTTAATCTGTCTTACTTCAGTCCTTTCCCTTCCATTCCAAGGGTCGGGATGTATTTTCATTTCTAAATCCACAGCATCTAGCAGAGTGTTCCACACATAGAATGCTTTTTTTTTTTTTTAATGTTTGTTGAATGAATACTGCAAGAATGAAGAGCAGACAAGGAAGCTAAGATCTAATGAAAGAGAACAACATGTGGGCAGTATGTCAGTGAACCTTTTTATATGGTTCCCATCAGGCTGAGACCCAGCTCTTGGGCAAACAACAGTCTCAGGTAGGCAGATCTATTACTCGAGGGTAGGGGCTGAGACTCTAGGGGCAATGTCTTGTGCTGGGCGCCGCCGAAACCCTGCTCCTGCCCTGACTGGGGTCCATGTCTTGCTGCTGGCTGAGGGGTAGTCAGGGACATGCTCCTTGGTAGATGGGGCTCTCTTGTTGACTTGTGGGCCCCAGAAGTCAAACAAACCCCTGTTGTTTCCCTGGTAACATTGTCTAATAAAGGAACCACTTTATAGCAATTGAAAGTCTCATCCATGACTAAGCCAGAGAATAGTTCCCTTTCATGCCGAGCTATTTTTGATGGAATTAGTTGATCTTTAACTCTGACCAACATGTCTGGATTCTATTTCCATGACAGCCATCTGTTTCAAATGACTTAAGAAATTAAGGAGAAGGCAGGGGGACTGGGTCCATGTATAACTGTTTGAAGATCCTCACCATAGGCAGGGGAACAGAGCACGTTACAAATGTGGCTTTTCTTTTTTTAAGCTTGGCTTTCACAAGGGAAAAAGTTTCCTGGGGCATAATGCGAGGCATAGCAGAACTGAGGGCAAACCCAGCCTGGGCCTTAATTGTAAACATTTCTACTTGTGTATTTCCTAGTCTTGTGACCTTTGACAAGTTATTTGACTTCCTGGTGCCTCATTTTCTTCATCTATAAGATGGGGATAATAATAGGACTGACCTCAGTGGCTTATTCCTGAGGATTAAGTAGGTTAAATATGGAAAACACTTATAATTGTGTCTGCCACATGGTGTATGCTTGGTAAATGTTATCTATTGTGTTGCCATTATTACTTTGATTTTATTGTCTCTATAGGTATGTGTTGCCAAGAATCACTTGTCCAGACCTCCGAGAAGCCAGATGTGTTTTGGAATGAAGAATGTTACGGGTTTTCGAGAAATAAAATGGTGCATCTCTTGTTACATACACTCTACGTGGGGTCTGGAGGGCTGCCTCATAAACTATTATTTCAACAGCAGATACATCAATATTCATATAAAGTGGAATGAATAGACTATGAGTAGTTTCATGTAAGTTCAAGTCATGTTACTAAGTGGATTTTCATCAAAGTCAAAAAGAAATTTGCTTCTCAGAGTGTTGTGAATTTTTTCTTGTATAATAGGAAAGGGAACCTTTGGTCATTCATCACCTTCCTTAGGACATTTCTGTGGTACACTGAGTAAAACTGTGCATTTCCTGGAATGCCAAAAGCAAAAACCAAAACCAAAACAACCCTCGAAGGTCTGTATACTCACCTCTGCATGCTCATGGAATGGGGAGATGCCAAGTGCCTTCCAGTAAGATTTGGTGTCTATTTCCACTTTGTATATCCCTTCTACAAATTCCTCCTCAGTTGTGAGCCCATGCAGCTCTCCAGACTCACTGGTTTTCCTATAAGGTGTGAAAGTCTGGATTAAGTTACGCATGGAGGAAACAAATGGCATGGCAAAGTAATACACCCCCACCAACTAACACACATAAACATGTTATAAACATGTTATGAACATTTCCCCTCAACTAAGTCAGAAGTAGGGAAAACTCCTAACTGAAATTAAATGGCAAAAAGTTTGTAAAAACTTTTTGAAAAGCTCACTGTAGATTTTTTTCTCTGATAAGAAGAGAATGTAGGTATAATTTTTTTTTTTTGAGACAGAGTTTTACTCTTGTCACCCAGGCTGGAGTGCAATGGCACGATCTCAGCTCACTGCAACCTCTGCCTCCTAGATTCAAGGGATTCTCCAGCCTCAGCCTCCCAATTAGCTGGGATTACAGGCGCCTGCCACCATGCCTGGCTAATTTTTGTATTTTTCATAAAGACGGAGTTTTGCCATGTTGGCCAGGCTGGTCTTGAACTCCTGACCTCAGATGATATGCCCACTTTGGCATCCCAAAGTGCTGGGATTACAGGCGTGAGCCACCGTGCCCGGCCAGGTATAATGTTTACTTAAGAAAGAGTCCCTGTGATTCAAGATTGATGATTGGATGCAAGTGGCCACAGCTGTTCTAACTCTGCACTTCTCCAGGACAGCAGGATCTCGCTCCTCTCCCTTGTGGTGTGAGGATAGCTTTGAGGCATCTGCACACCACCAGGGAGTATCATTTGCACACACAGTGGAAAACCTAAAGTAGGAAGAAGAACCTGTATCTGACTCTTTTCCCTTTTATATATTTAACCTCTCTGATAACTCTTTGCCAGCAACAAACACTAGGCAACTTCTATTTCCATGTAAGTACCAGCTCCATAGTTGAATGTTGGAAATTGCTTCCCATTTGACTGCAACAGCTACGATAGATAAAAATAGCAGTTGTCTTTACTGACTCTGATTATGCCCCTCCTCCTTTCTTCTTTTCACTTCTTTTTTTTTTTGTCCTGGTGCAAGGAAAAGATTCACAAGAACATTGGAATATTTTTGGTGTCCATTCTGTCTCTCCCTTAGAATAGTCCTGTAACCACTTTTCATGTTATGCTTGGCATTTTATATAAACATAAATGAATTCCCAAATAAAAAGCCAGTTAAAACCAGACCTAAGAAAATGATCTTCCCAATAATGGTTGAAGAATCATGTGGTTCTTGGGGTTCAATTAAAACCCAACAGAAATTCTTCTCTGTGGAGATGTAAATACTTAGCAGTTCCTCTTCTGCTGGATGCAAAGGGTCTCCTGATTGCTCTGTCTTCTGGTCACTTTGCTTAGATTTATTAATATGTATTTTCCTTGAAGTTTTTGCTAGTGCAGGTAGAAAAACTCCATGAAAATTGTGAACTGGCTAATGAAGGTGAGAAGCCACTCTTGGACATGAAGTCGGGTGATCGTGGGATTAGCCTGGGGCTGTACTTTGCCTCATGGATCCATCTCTTCTATCTTTTTTTTTTTAACTGAGCTTGACAGCCCCCAGCCTTGCACACAGTAGGTGCCCCAAAGTGTTCATTAGGCAAAAGCCTTGGGTTTTGGGTGATCCATATTAACTACAGACAGATGCCTGGTTAATAATATTTCTGAATTCCTTTCCTTTTGTTAATGGGTTAATACACATTATACCTTTTCCTAAAATTCTAAGACAAGGACACTTAGCTTTGGTGTTACCCAGGGACACCAGGGAATCTGTGAAACTCCTAAAATCACATATATGATTTTGTATGTGTGTGTATCTGTGCATTTTTTCTGGGCATAGAATGTTTACTTTTCATCACCTACATAAAGTGTTCTGTGACCCAAAAGGGTTGCAAACCACAGCTAGAGGAGAGGAGTTCTGATTCCTTCTTTTCTCTACTGTCTGCCCCTAAATGATGCTCAGGTTCCTGGTCACTTCCTAGCTAAGCAAAACAAAAAGAGGGCATCCTTCAGAGGGCATACTTGACCTCTGCCTACGTTTTTCAATCTACTTGTAAATTCTTTAGCAGATGATGTGAGCCTCTCTCTACCAAGTGAGGGGCAAACGGGAAGATAAAACCAAGTCCTGTGGGAGGGTTCTTTGGCAACTTACCCAGAGGCAAATGGCTCCCAGGTGTCATCAGCAGCCTTTCTGAACACATGCACGGCCACATTGATGGCAGGACTGCCTCGGACAGCATCTAGAACTTTGACCATCAGAGGACACTTGGATTCACCGGTGCCCTGGGTGTAGAGAAGACACGTGAGAAGTTAACAAAATTGATCAGAGTGAAAGGATTTATTCTTTGTGGTATTAGAAATCTGGAGCGAAACAAGAATTACACACTGATCCCATTATCAGGAACGTAAGTGTCGACAATTAATGAGCTTCCCTACTCAGTATAACACAGACGTAATTGTTTCCAAAGCAAGAATGGTTTCTGCCTCCAGACACACTGCTATCAACCAGGGATGTGTATAATGAATTTTAAGGGAGAAAATAGGTCCCCTGAGAACAGTTGCTTTGTTAAAAGTCTCCATTTGAGTGGAATTACTGAAAAGATGTAATGTACCATACATAGGGCCAAACAGGTTTTCCTGAGATCATTTTAGTTGTTGCTATAGTCACTCCCTCTTACCAGTTGTTATAAAATAATGTCAGAACTACATCCAGACCCATTTTATAGTATTAGTTAATTCTTCTAGAGGATTTAAGAATTAGATATCTGACTAGAATATTGTTCACTAAGCCTTTTAAAGATTAATCAATAAATACGTTTTGAATAACTATAGGGCCAGAATATAATCTCCTGCAGTTTGTCCCCCAAATACATTTTATGGAGGGATACTTTTCTGAAAATTCAGTATTAACAGCTTCCTTAATATCATATCTTTATTTCTATCATCTATCTGAGGAAACAGAGGTACCAGATATTACAAACCTAATGCACCAAAGCAATGAGGTAGAATGCTCAGAGTTCAAGTCCCAGCTCAGTAAGCTCAGTGGAACTTCATTCTTTTTGAAGTTTGAATTAATTATATTAAAAATAGATGCTGGGTACCCTTGCCCTAGTAATAAAAGCTGGTTGGCAAAGCTGGAAGGAGTCACTTCTACTTCATTTAGCGTGAATCTTAAATGTAGGAATGGGATGTCACAGAAACACTCACCGTAGGGCCAGCCTCAGACACAAATACCAGTCCAGCAAGGCAGAGGAGGAGCAGACGATGAGAAGCCATCCTGCCAAGAATGAGTGGACTTCTGTGATGGCTGCTCCCAGCCTGGGGCTTTTATACTCACTTCTCCTGAGCTAGGCTGCTTATCCCTGCCAATCTGACTGCAAACCTGCTGATTCTGATTATTGACTTAGTCAACAAAGAGAGAATAAGTAACCCATACAAATATGAACCTTGTCTAGAGAGATTAGAGCATCGGAACATTCGTTCTATGAAATATTCTTAATAGGTCATTTGACCAGTTAGGTCACCAAAACAAAACAACCAAAACAAAACAAAACAATCAAAACAAAACAAAAATAGTCTTCTCCCTGTGTGACTGCGTGCACTAACATTCTTGGGGGTAATTTTTTCCTCCCTCACATATTTCTATGCATGTTTTCCATTTTTATAGATTTTTTGTCTCTCATTTTAGATGCAAGATTTTAGACAGATGCAAGTTGTAATAATGTATTTCATGTTGAATGACATCTAGCTGCACAGGCTTAAATATAGTGCATTAGAAAATGTTTGCACTTGATGGATCCATGGGTCAACAAGGAAAAACCCTTGGCAGTGCTCACATTTTTAAAAGCCTACATTTTAGCCAAACTAAGTCATTTGGAAGCTTTGCTTAGTCAGCAATTTCTCCACAATGTGTGTGTGCATGTGTGTATGTGTGTGTGTGTTCTGCCCAGATAAAGTCCACTTCAATCTAAGAATGGCATCTTCCCTCCCTCCCTTCCTTCCTTCCTTTTTTCCTTCCTTTTTTTTTTTTTTTTTGACAGGGTCTCACTCCAACGCCCTGGCTCGAGTGCAGTGGCACGATCACAGCTCGCTGCAGCCTTGACCTCCCGGGCTCAGGTCATCCTCCCACCTCAGCCTCTTGCCCAGGCTGGTCTCGAACTCCTGAGCTCAAGCAATCCACCCGCTTTGGCCTTCCAAAGTGCTGGGATTACACGTGTGAGCCACTGAGCTGGGCCAGAATGGCATATTTCAACCTGGCATTGATGCCCCTGAAATACAGAGAACCAAATCTTCTTTACTGACTCTTCTGCATTGGGCATGCAGGAACAAGGCTGACAGCTGGTTTTTGACAGAACCAAACTTGCTGGAAGAAAGTAGAGATGACTGTGAGAACCAGAAGCCATGATTGACAGCAGATTCTTTTCCTCCTGGCCGACTTATTAATACAAGTCCAGAAATTATGATGATTTGATGATTCATTACTCACATACAAAGTCTCTGTGTGTATGTGTGTGTGTGTGTGTGTGCGCGCGCACGCGCATGTGTGTGTGTGTCCACTAGCATGCGTGGCTTTGTTCATGGATAAACTAAGGCAGGTTTTTGTCCTTATAAGACAAACATGTAGAAAACATAGAGAAGACAAATATTTTGGACAAATACAAGCCAAGAGCAAGTCCGGTTTGGAGCACTAAGAATTGAGGGAACATTCCCATAACTGATAGAGTCAGATTAGAAAAAATTCAACAAGAAATTGTGAAGCACAGGAGCTTACAGGGAGTAGTGGAAGGGACAGAAAAGCCTTTCAGGAACATGAGAATGTGCAGGAGAGGACTCCGGGAGGTGGGTTGACCCCTCACAGCAATGAGCAAATGTAGTTGAGACCATAACTAGGAATGGAGTCTTAGACCCTTAGAGTTTAACTAGGAAGCAGCAGCAGAAAGACTTTTGCATTTGGAGTTGGATGACCAGAGTCATTCGATCCCAGTTCTGCTGCCCCGTTTCCCGGATGACCTTCTATGAGTTATCTACTATCTCAGATACTCGGCCAACTCGTTTGTAAAATAGAAATGCCTACTTTTCTACTTCAAAGGACTGTTCTAATAACTTTTAATATGAGAGGATGTACAAGCCTTTTGTAAGCTGTAAACCACTATCTTGCTGTAAAAGCATAACTAATAGAATTTGGTTCAACATCTATGCCTCAGGAGAGAATCCTTTCTCAAATAACATCTTTCATATATTGTCATCCAATATCCTCTTGATGATTTCCTATTGTTCAGAACCTGGATAGAGAGCCTTTTCTCTGGCTATGAATCATAAATATTTGGAAGTTCTTTCATAACCGAAGCAAAATCTACTGTGCACGCGTTTCAGCACTGCACCCTGTTGAAACTAAGAATCATCTCTTGTAGACCCTGTGAACTGGCAACGCTGGGCTGCCATCAGCCCATAGATATGTTATATTTGGGCTGCACAGAGTCTCTTTAAACATTTTGTAATAGTTGCCAAAATTAAAAATTGAGACATGCTGCATAAAAATTTGCATTTCTTGCTTCTCTTAAATCAAAAATATTGGCAGCTTTAGGCCAACATTTACACATGACAGTGATCATCAGAATGTCACTCTCAGACATCAAGACTCCCCAGGCCTCCCCGCCAACACTGAGGCTAGGTGATTCTCTAGTGGCATATCATGCGTGAGCTTTTATCTTTTCTTAAACATGGCCTGTTTCTTTCATCTGTGTTTCTGCCCAGCCTTTTGAAAAACTGAGTTTGTGATTGCTGGTCTTCCAACAGCCATGTAAGTAGTATTTTCTTTTTGCCAAATAGACATTCCCACTTCTGTGAATGAATCTTGTTTAGACATAGTTCCTAAGATCCTCAGCATCCCGAACTTCCTTTTCTGGCATATTCCCCTTGGTCAAAGTTCTCTTCAAATGTGATGCTCTGAACAAGACACAGTCCCTGAAGTAGATCAGGCCACAGGATGTCGAGACTGTTGCCTCCCTTGGCAAAGGCACTTTAGTGCAAATGTTGTACCCAGAATCCATCTGTAACTGTAGTAACTGTGACCCTCCCTTCGTCATAACACTACCCACTGTGATCTGTTGGCCACAATAATCTAAAATGACCTATATTATCTGTCATCCTGTGCTTTGATCATTTATGAATTTTAACCCAAATATGGGACCCTGTGTTTGTATCTGATATATCTCATCCTGTTAGTTTCAACCCACCACTTGATCCTTGATATGGTTAGGCTTTGTGTCCCCACCCAAATCTCATCTTGAATTGTAACACCCATAATCCCCATGTGTCAAGGGAGAGACCAGGTGGAGGTAATTGAATCACGAGGGGCGGTTCCCTCATGCTGTTCTTGTGATAGTGATTGAGTTCTCACAGGTTCTGGTAGTTTTACAAGGGGCTTTTCCCCCTTTGCTTGGCACTTCTTCCTGACGCCTTGTGAGGAAGGTGCTTTGCTTCCCCTTCACCTTCTACCATGATTGTAAGTTTCCTGAGGCCTGCCCAGTTGTGCTGAACTGTGAGTCAATTAAACCTCTTTCCTTTATAAATTACCCAGTCTCAGGCAGTTCTTTATAGCCGTATGAAAACGGACTAATACAATCCTATTGACATCATTTAATAGTTGTTCTGTAAATTCCTCTCTTAGAACAGTTTTCAGGCCATGCCCTTGGTCACTTTGACTTGCTTGCTTTCTGAACTATCATTGATCTGGAAATCATTAATGAAATCTGCATTTGAATAAGACAAGGAAGTGGGGAGAAAGTAAGGCAATTCAGGGTATAGAGAAGATCCTAAATTTCATTGGAAAATCACTGATGAAGCTTACAGAGATAAAGATTATTTTTTAATATAAAAAGACGAGAGGGTACAAAAAATAGAAAGAATAAGATCTACTATTTGATAGCACAACAGAGTGACTATAATTAATAATTGTATATTTTAAAATAAAGAGTGTAATTGGATTGTTTGTAACTGAAAAGATAAATGCTTGAGGAGATGGATACCCCATTCTCCATGATGTCCTTATTTCACATTGCATGCCTGTATTAAAACATTGCATGTACCCCATAAATATATACACCTACTATGTATCCACAAAAAATAAAATTAAAATTAAAAAGATATAAAGATAAGAGAAAATTTTGGTAGAGAATTAAAGATTAAATGTAGGTAGTCTGGAGTCAAAGTGAGAGCTCTGGGAGAAGAAGCTTGTAGTGTTTTAGGTGAGAGAAAACCAAGGCCGAAGCATGAAGGAAAAAGCAAAAAACGGAGATGGAATGTATTATTTGTTAAATGAATGCTTGTATGGAACCAATGGCAATGACAAATACAAGAAAAATCCAGTGTTTCTTGCCTAAGAAGCAATTTATGATAAGAGAGGGTTATAGGGCTAAACATATACTCTCAAAGATAAGAAGGTCTTCCTTTCCTGTGTTTATTTGAGTTTGCGAAAGCTCTTTTTGGAGGATGGTTACATAGGATCCATGAAGGGGAATGAATTAGGGTCAATGGTCACCACATTCCTGGAGGCCTAAGTGGTTGCTGCAGATACTGTGTGCTTGGGCACGATCAGTAGCTATGAAGATCCAATGCCTTAAAACAAAAGGAGCACCAGTGAAGCATTTCAGTTACAAGTCTATGTCTTTTCTTAGCTACGTACTGTTTTTCCTCTCAATCTGACTGTGGAGCTGTAGCATAGATGTTTAATTGAGGTGAAAAAGATGAATTTGATGACAACATTTCTCCTCCTTCTATGGAATATGCTGTGATTAATGAACAAGTTGCCTGGCTCTTAGTTTAGGGTTCTTCTGCCCTCTTCCTTATAATGGGCAGGTTTATCTATGAAAAATTTTGATATTATAGATAAACCCTTTCTTCTTGGTTTATTTTCTGAGGGTGCCTGTCAGCTGCTAGACAGTGATCTGTTGATACTGAAATGCCCACTAATATTAATATGTCTAAGCTGATTACCCCGAGTTGGGCATAGGCTGGCCGAGTGCTGAGACTGGGCCTCATGGTGGGGGTTAGGGGAGAGTGGAAATGACAGTATTTGGGGGCCCTGGATCTTTGCAGGTTGAATAATTCAACTTTGTCAGCTCCCCTTGAGGTGAATAAGCCTCGGGGGTTTGATTAATGGTAAGCAAATCATAAAAGATTCATGTTAAAACCATAATACCAATTTAATTAATAGTTAGATGGTTGCTAGGTAAGCGAAAAATTGGAGCAAAGGGCCCGGGCTAATTTTTTGAGAGTATTTCATCCGGACTGCAGGAGAGCCTAGGAAAGTTATCTGACTTCTCTGCAGCACATACCTTTCTTGTGTTTGGAATGCCCGTGTCTGCCTTATCTGGCATGCCTCTCCTCCGCCATTGTTGAATAAACACATAAAAAGCCTTTTCCCTTATCTTCCCTTCTTCCCTTGTCCATGTAAATAGCCATCCAAGTAAAGGCAAACATTATCTAGGATATATTAATTAGACCATATTTTATTTTTGTTAATTGTAGTTTGAGTTTCTTGGTTGAATTTTGGGGGCCAACCTGGTTGGGAACAACCATTGAGAACTCCCTTGTATAAGAATCTTCCACAACTCTTAGCCTGTGTGCTGCCATGCCCCATATTTGGGGACTGTATAACCAAGAGTGGCAACTTCAGTCTCACCCATGGCTTGAGAACACACCTGTCACTATCTGGGGGATTTTGTTGTATATCAGTAGCTCTGATGATTCAGGCAAGACACCCATGTCTTGGTCCAGGTTCGTATCTGTCTTAGTGATCACACACGTGTTAGAAGATTTTATCCATAAACAGTTATTAGACACAGTTAATAGTTTTGGCTTCTAGAATTACTCAAAGCTCATCCACCCCTACCTATGGGGTGGATATGCAGACAAAAGAGGAAGTTTAAATTTTTAAGGTATTTTTTAAAAGAATCTATTTGGCAGGTTTCCTTTGGGCTTCTTTTATCCACCCCCCGCCTTCCCCCCGGAGCTCTCATGCAGCTAGTGTAGCAAAACAAGCTCAAAGTTGGAGGCCACTTAGGTGGCCTCTCTGGCCATGATCTGCGAAGGAAGGAGGAAGTGGGGTGTGGCCTTCTGGATACCTGATATGATATATACCATTTCCTCTCCAAACACATCCTTGCGATATTTAATAACTTACCCCATTTACCAAGAGACTGCATTGGGGTATGTGTCAATCGCGCCAGCCAGAATTAAAGAGGATTTATTTGGTTGACTCTGTGTCTGTACTTACATATCCCTTAGATCAGCTGTACTGATTCTGTGGCCATAATCCATTGTGCGTGGTTCAGGATATAGATTTTGGCTACTTCTATTTTCTTTCAACCTTGGAACTGAGAGAGATATTTTAAATTCAGCAACTAATTTAAAAGAAGCAACTATTAAGCATCTTCCTAATGTGAGCCACTGTGCTAGCTAGCCATCACTATGGGAGCTATCAAGAGAGGCATGTGCCTTCAAATTGCTTATAATTTAATTATTAAGAATATGTACGTATGAAAAAATGCTCAACATCACTGGTCCTTAGAGAAATACAAATCAAAACTACACTGAGATATCATCTCACACCTGTCAGAATGGCTACTATTAAAAAGTCAAAAAACAACAGATGCTGGTGAGGTTGCAGAGAAAAAGGAACGCTTTTACACTGTTGGTGTGAGTGTAAATTAGTTCAACAATTGTGGAAGACAGTGTGGCAACTCCTCAAAGATCTAGAGGCAGAAATACCATTTGACCCAGCAATCCCATGACTGGGTATATACTCAAAGGAATATAAATCATTCTATTATAAAGACACATGCATGCGTATATTCATTGCAGCACTATTCACAATAGCAGAGACATGGAATCAACCCAAATGCCCATCAATGATAAATTGAATAAAGAAAATGTGGCATACACACACCATGGAATGCTATGCAGAAATAAAAAGGAATGAGATCATGCTCTTTGCGGGGACATGGATGGAGTTGGAAGACATTATCCTCAGCAAACGAACGCAGAAACAGAAGGCCAATTACCACATGTTGTCACTTATAAGTGGGAGCTGAATGATGAAAACACGTGGACACATGGGGGGAACAACACACACTGGGGCCTGCTGGAGGAGGGGCAAGTGGGGGAGGGAGAGCATCAGGAAGAATAGCTAATGGACGCTGGGCTTACTACTTAGGTGATGGGATGATCTGTGTAGCAAACCACCGTGGCACACTTTTACCTATGTAACAAACCTGCACATCCTGCACATGTACCCCTGAACTTAAAATAAAAGTTGAAGAAGTAGGAAAAAATATGCCCAGTCAACAGGAAACAGTTGATGAGGTGGATGGTAATTCACAGAGGGAGGAAGTGACTTTGGGATCTCGGAAGCTGTCTGTGAAGAGGTGAGATTGAAGCTTGATCATCAAGGAGAAATAGAATCTACAGAGGAAAAAGGAGCAGTGTGTGGAATTCCTCTCCCATACAAGTCGGAAAGCATTTGAGAGCTTCAAGTTGATGGGGATGGAAGAAGAAATTAATGGCATGAGTGCTGTGGCACTAGGAATGGAGGAAAATCCAGAACCTAGGAGTAGTAACCAAGCGTAGAATCTGACGAAGCATCAATGTTAATGAGCTAGGGTGAGAGGGTCGGACCAGGAGTGAGGCAGTGGGATAGTCATGGAGACAATGGAACAAGCAGGTCAGGAGGGGTAGGAGCAGTTCTAGAGCCTGGGATCTGATGGAGTCTGGGCCCTAGAGACATCTGAATGCTGTGCTTCTTCAGTTTTCCACATGCATAAAAATAATTTTTATATAGATAAAATTATATATATTATATATACACACATATTTATTTTGTGTGTGTGTGTGTGTGTGTGTGTGTGTGTGTGTGTGTGTATTAGCATTTTGGGATAAATGGAAGAGATTTCTCCATTTGGAGATAATGAGCCCAGGGAATCCAGCTTCCCCAGGCCTCATTTGGCAACTCCAAGGGCAGAAGGGACCATTCCTGTAAACCATTTATTACACCTGGTTTGGGAATTTCAGCATAACACACTGAGGCCTAGTTAAGAGTGTTTGGCTATGATATTTGTTATTGCTATCATAGATGTTATTGGACTCTTGGAGTCTCTTTAGAGAAGGAAGGATGAGGGAGTGTCTCTGAGCACTGAGTTTACAGGACAAGACAATCTGTTTTACAAGACATAGAAACCAGAATGAGTGCAGGTGCAAAAGTGGAAGAACACTAGGCATGGCCTGAGAACAAGGAGTAGAGCAGGGCCTACCGTGTGGATTAGATGAACCTAATGAGATGAGCCAGAGACGCCATTTGGAGTCAGACTGTGGAAGATCTTTAGTGCTCTCCCGAGAAGTTTGAGTTTTCTCTGTAAGTAAGAACATAAACCTATCTAGTAATTCAGGGTTATTACCCATAGAGCACTCTACCTCATGAGGTGGGGAACCCCATTGCCACTAGGGTACCCAGGTAGAAGCTCGCTGACCTCAGGCAGGAGTACTGGGGATGGGGCTCAGCAGTGAGTCAGAGTTGGAAATTCATGACCTTCAAAGTCCTTTCCACTAACAAGTCTATATAAAGGGGTTATTGAGAGTTCTGAGAGTTCTGGGTTATTGACAGAACAAAAATTAAAAGAGGTTATTGAGAGTTCTGGGTTACTGACAGAACAACAGGATGGAAACTGGAGAGACTGAGCCCGGAAGAGCCTGGAGGAGAAAAATATACAGGCTAAGTGGCCATTTAGGACACTAATATAGTTGTGTAATCAGTAGGGTGCAGCCTGTGGGTCAAGGTTACCTGCACCCCTGCCCTTCTGGAGTTATTGCAGATTCTCGAGTCTACATGCACACTTGTATTTTCTCAGTGAAATGTTATTAAAAAGACCTCTATTATGTGAAGGTCTGAATATATTTTATCATACTTTTAAAAGATATATTGCACTATAATTTACATATGGTAAAATTCTTTTTTAGGTGTACAGTTATATGAATTTTGACAAATGTATGTAAGTCATGTAATTAACAACAGAATCAAGAGTTGTAATATTTCCATCCAGAAAGTTTTCTCACACCATTTTGTAGTGAATTTCCTCCTTCCTCCCAGCCCCTGGCAACCACTCATTTGTTTTCTGTGGCTATAGTTTTGCCTGTTCCACAATGTCATACCCATTGAGTCCTGCAGTAAATAGCGTTGTCAGTGTGGCTTCTTGAAGTTGGCATAATTCCTTTTAACATTCCTCTATGTTGTTGCATGTTTTTATTAATTTTTTCTTTAATTTACTAGTAGTATTCAATGGAGTAGATATACTGCAATTTATCAGTTCACCACTTAGCAAACATTTCAGTTGTTTCCAGTTTTTGGTGATCGTCTCATACATTTTCAAATGTAAAAAACAATGTTCTTGCAAAGATGGAGAATATACCTAATAATGATAGGTAGTATTTATGAAATGGAATGACTTGCCCAAGAACTTAGAAACTGTGATGTGAGAGATACACTAAGAAATCAGCATGTCGCGAGGAAAGCAGAGACATGCCACATCAACTCAGTCGGGGCTCTTAACCCGGGATCCACAGATCCTTGATGTCTGTGAGCAGAATTCAGGAAACCTGTGATTACTGGATGAGAAAAAAATTACATCTTTATACAAACCTCTGATTGCAATTTAGCATTTTCTTAAATTATGAATGTAGATAATAAGCCAGAGTAGTTATGAGCAGTAACTGTGACTTTGTCACCAATAGAAATCACAGACATACTCCTATCACATATAGTTGATGGATACATTTTGAAATATTCTTTATGCTCATCACTACTTTAAAATTATGACACCCAGGGCTAGATTTTCTAACTAATAAAGATGCACATATATTACTATATGGCGATTTAAAAAATATTTTAATAATGGCATTTCAACATATTTGGTTTCCTTTGTCATCCTCTGTATTTAATTTTATGCACAATAAGGTTAAGAACCTGGACACAGAGACAGAATAACCTCCCCCAGGCCATCAAGGCTTGGCTGTAATCGAATGGAATCTACGAGCACATGTAAAGAAAATGGCAGTCATCCCTGGAATTTGTTAGCAGTGGAAGGAAATAAAAAAGGCAGTTGTAGTGTGTTGGCTTTTTGGACTGAAGATTTATAGTCTTATGGGCAGGACTTTTGCTGGAGCAGGAAACACAGCTGCAAAGACTTCCTACACAGTTATGCCAGAGAGAGAATATATTAGTCATTCTGGCCTGTGTGGCTGCAGGATTTCTTACGGAATATTACTACATTGAGATTCTTACTTATGCTTTAGCATTTGTGAGCTTGGTTAGTGAGTCCGTTTCTGAGATTTCTAATGAAACTGTGATTCTGAGCCTCCCCAGTGGACTTTGGGCATTGGCCAGCCTGAATGAATTGGTAAATTCATCCAGGTAGCCCTGGAGAGAGAGTTAGCTGGCCTCCACCTGGAGACACTGACCTCAGCAAGCACCTCTTCTGTAATGTCAACAATAGTAATCTGGGTGGGGGTAGTACCACTGGTTATAGAAGGAAGGGTTGGATGCAACAGACAGTGTTGAGCAAGGACTAATAGCAGAGGGACAGGGTGTTGAGGAAGGTGAAAGTCAGAATGATTCTCTAGTTTAGGACCCAAGAGGATTAGAGAGGACACTATCTTAGGTCCCTGACAGAGACCTAAGATAGTGAATCAAAGTAACATCCAAGTAAACTGAAGATTTCATTTATGACAAAGGAAGTCATTCACTATTTAAAGGCAGAGGCTTAGGAGACAAGCAAGTTTAACTTTAATTCGATGTCCTCGCAACAAACACATGCTTTCCTCAAACAAGGCCTTTGGTGTCCTGGAAGAGACAGTCTTAGACAAATGGACCACGAGAATGGAACAATAGAGGAATGTTTAGGTTGATCTGCTTCATCCCTCTGAGATGGAGAAGTATGACTGATTTTTCCAGTTGGCTGGATCCTGAGACCTGAGTGAACAAAAGGGATTGACCTACAACTCAGGCTCCATCGCCTTTATCCTCACAGGTGCAAACTCCTCCCTCTTCCCTGACTTCTCAGGCTTTCTGCTCTCTTGTGCTCACTTAGACTCCTCCGCCCAATCCTTCCACTGACTACCAGACAACTTCAATCCCACCGTGGCTAAATTCGCCAGTACCCTCAATCAGTGCCCTAAGTGCTCTCTGTACTTCGTCTTAGTTGGGATCTGGGTTCTCCTAGCAAGTGCACTTCTCTTGAGCTTTCTTCAGTGGTACCAGTTCCCTCATCTGATCAAGAGATCCTGGAGCCCTCAGCACTCCTATTTGGGATTCACTTATCTTCCCTACCAGCCTGTGTCCTGTGCTCAGTCGTTTCTCTCACCTCGTGCCCTAGATGCCTTCTGTCCTTAGTCTTCCCCACCCTCTGACTGAAGAACATCCACGGGAGGAGGAAATGTGCTAAGCTTGCTTAAGGGAAAAGCAACAACGTGGTCTTGATCGTGCCCTCAAAACATTCATTTAATTCATGTATAACCCTTATTATAGCTTGGTAATTCTTACATTCATGTGCATACTGTATTTACTCCTTTTTGCATTTTCTACATATTTTTAAAGACTTGCGTTAAACATTCATCCTTCATTTATTTTGTGAACCATTCCTTGACCCTTCTTTTGCTTTCGTCTCCCATTCAGAAGAAAGTTCATTGTTTCTTCTGGGTTACCCCCATCTTTCATTCTTCCAGACTATTGTTCCTATTTTGACATTGATCTTAATTTATTTGTCTCTTTTCTAAGATTATCTATTATCTACTCTCTATTGTTCTTTCTCCTTCTTTCTCCCTATCTTTTCTGGGTCTCTGTGCCTGAAAACTAATTCACGTCACCGCAAGGCAACACATCCTTCCCAATCTTTCTACAGCCTTTGACTAGGATTCTGCCTCTCTTACTTCTATCACTGCTAATGATTAATCTACTGTGCCACTTCTACTTTCTCATCATGAACAGCAGTGATGGCAGTCTAGTTTCCCCACCCCTTCTTCTTACAGGGCTTTTTTCTACTTCAAGGGTGTTGGTATTCTTATCATCACCAATTACAAAAGCGTTTTGGTCAGGCTTATACCTTGATCAGTTTCATGCAGAGCTTCTCTTCACCTCTAAGTAGGGCCATGAGGCTCTGGTCTTTCTGTCCCAGCCTCACAATCAGAATCCCTCAACTCTCTTAGCATCGCAATAGTGCCTCAAGCTCAACATGCCTAAATCTGAACACTGCATTTCTTCATTCCCTTCTCCCCTTGCCCCATAATTCTTTCCCTAAGTGAAATCCCTATTATCCTGGCTAGTCAAGGATAGAACCTCAAGAGTTAATGCTTGAATTCTGCCTCCCTTAACATCAGACTTCAAAAAGTAATACCAACTCTATTTCCAAAATATTTCCCTCATCTCTTACTTTCTGTTTCCACAACTGCCAACTGAATGCAAACCTTCCCTGTTAATCATATGGCCTTTTGCAATTATGTCCTAGCTGATCTCCTTACTGCTAATCTATTTTCCATATAATCTTTTCTATAAGCTACTGCCAAATTAATCTTCTTAATGCATACCTCTGATTACATCACATCTCTCTACAAAAGCTTTTCCGCGCTCCTCATGGCCAGCCAAATAAAGTCAAATGTCCTTAGTCTGACATTCAGAGATGGTCATGAGTTGGTTTTTTGCTTTGACCATTCAAAAACCAGTTGAATTCTGGGCAGAGCCTGTGACAGGCCAGCCTAGGGCCTTTACCCCTTTCTCATCCATTCTCCCTCACACTTCTAATTGTCTGAAGGAGCCAGCATAGTGGAGTGTTGCTGAAGGCAGTGGTTACAGAGAGAAAAGGCCAGATGAGAGATAGTTATGGGAGTAGGAATAAGAGATTCTGGTGACATCAGAAATGGAAAGTGAGTGAGAAGAGCCAAAAATGTCTGGAAGGATGTTTAGATAGTAAAGCCATTAGCTTATATGATTAAAAATATGAAAGAAAATGAATCTGCTTTTGGACATGTTGAGATAAAAAGGTTGACATGTAGGCATCCATGCCTAGAGGACAGCTGGAAGTGACAGCCTAGGAGATGGAGCTTGGAGGAAATCAGGTTGGAGATGGAGATTCAGCATGTGAGTTCAAGTATAGCATTTGGAGTTCACCACTGGACTAAATTTTTATTTTATATTATTTTATTTTATTTTAGGGACAGGGTCTTGCTCTGTTGCCGAGGATGGAGTGTGGTGGCATGACTATAGCTCACTGCACTCAAACTCCTGAGCTCAAGTGAGGCTCGTGCCACAACACCCAGCTAATTTATTTACTCACTTTTGTAGAGATAAGGGTCTCACTATGTTCCCCAGATTGGTCTTGAACTCCTGGCCTCAAGTGATCCTCCCGCCTTGGCCTCCCAAAGCACTGGGATTACAGGCATAAATACCAGCCCTGGACCCAAAAGCCTTTAACAACAAGAAGTCCAAGGATAGAGCGCTGGGGTAAACCAACCTTTGGCCAGTGATAAAAGCAAGAGAAACTTCAAGTAGAGGTTTCTCCAGGCAGAAGTTAACTCTGCTATGCAGTGCTTTGTACCTCTGTTGAACATTTAGCCATTCCATCAGAGTTGTTTGTGTTCACAATTTCTCTTTCTTGGGCAATGCCTTCTTACTTTTTGCATCCCCAGTCCTAGTGCAGGGCCTAGCATGCAGGAGATGCCCAGTAAATGCTTGCTGAATGATTCAATAAATGAATGGAGTCAGCTGCAGTCGCAGCTGGGTCTTGCTTTCTCTCTTAGTGAACCAACACTGGCATTGCCCTCTATCCTATTTCTGGCATTCCTGATTCCAGCTCAACAATCCAGCTGCCATTTTCCCATGTTCTTGATTGCGTGTGCCCAACTGAGCCAGACTGCTTCTGAGCCCCAGTGCTCCTTGTTCCATCCACTGATCGTGTCCTTCTTTTCCCACCTGCATTTGTTCATTTTCACCGGGCTGATAAAGACATACCTGAGACTGGGTAATTTGTAAAGTAAAAGAGGTTTAATGGACTCCCAGTTCCATATGGCTGGGGAGGCCTCACAATCACAGCAGAAGGCAAAAGGCACATCTAACATGGCAGCAGGCAAGAGAGAATGAGAGCCAAGGGAAAGGGGAAACCTCTTATAAAACCAGATCTCATGAGACTTATTCACTACCGCGAGAACAGTATGGGGGAAACCAACCTCATGATTCACTTATTTCCTACTGGGTCCCTCCTACAACATGTGGGAATTAGGGGAGCTAAATTTCAAGATGAGATTTGGGTGGGGACACAGCCAAGCCACATCACCGCCCACATGCCTGTGCCCACCTTCCATTGCCACCCATCCTTTTCCCTGGGCTTCTATATTTGTCTGAGGATTATTTCGTCATCTTTAATTTCAGACTCAAATGTAAAGCTTCCTTAGGATGGTTTATCAGGATGAACAGAAGCCTTTCCCCCAGACATTTAAAAGCCTCTAAAATGTGCATTCTAGAAGACAAATTCCCCCTAACTTACATAGCCTAGAACAGATTTGGAAACTGGAACAAACTTCTTTATTCTGAGTTTTTAGATAAATCTTTTGTGTCCCTGGGGTCAGATGAGCAACTTTTCCTCCTATCTAATCACACATGCTACCTCAGTGGATCTCCACATATGGGCCCTACACCGAGAGTATCACCATTCCCCAGGGAACTTGTTAGAAATGTAAATTCTAGGGCCCCAGTCCAGAAACACTGAATCTGAAACTCTGGGGGTGGGACCTGGCAATCTGTGTTTTAACAAGCCCTCCAGATGATTCTGATGCTAAAGTTTGAAAGCCATTGTCTTAGATGCAACTAATAACCAGGAGTGAGGTTGGGCCATGGAATCTAGAGTCTGGTGTCTTTAAAAGCTTTGCCATCTCCTAGCTGGGTAACTTTGGCCTAGTCACTTAACTTCTGTGGACTTTAGTTTCCTTTCCTCTAGGAGATAAAGTTTTTGAGTCAGTTGATCTCAAATTGTAGTCATTTTATTCTATGGCTTTGTGAACACCTGTAAGGATAGCAATGGCAAATTCCTATTTCGTTAACAGGGCAGAACTTCAGGGATGGCTAGGCACATTAAAAGGGCTAAGCTGACTGGGGACCAGGTGCATGTCTACCTCTGGTTTCCTCTGACTTTGCTCAGAAACAAATCCATCTGGCCAGATGTTGGACACCTGGCCTCCTTTAATCAGATGCTGAAGTTCTGTGTCGAGAGAGGCAAAGCAAATGATCTGTGACATGTGGGTTCTACTGAATCAGGCTCTCTTTAATCTGCACAGAAAGGTCTGTTTGCAGACAGCACTAGCTTAGGAAGGCTGGTGCAAAAGCAACGATCAACACAGGTTTCCACAGGCAGATGAGTTACCCAGATAGTGACTTGGTGTTGCCGTGTCATAGTCACTTATAAATTCAGTAGAGGAGCTTGTTCATTGTGCTCTCAATTCAAAGAATTTAAACTATAAGGTCACTCTGAAAATGAGTGCTGATTCTTCCAGAGAAGTAAACCATGTCATTAGCTGCTTGTGTAGTCAATACAATTCCTTTGGAACACAATTCAGCTTCTGTTCTTTTAATGCATATTCATGCCAACACTATAATTCTTCAGTTGGGATAAATGTTCACACAAGAAAACAAAATTAATTTATCCATAGCTTTATCTGAGTCATGTATAACCTCATTTGGCCTTCTCTCCACTGCTTAGTTCTGAGAACTGCTCCAAAGTCATCCTGAAGATCAAGTGTGATTGCTGCTGATTGGGGTTAGCAGTTTTCCTAATAGCACAGTTGCAGTCAGCCCACTGCATTTGCAATCTCTTACCTCCATCCCTGTGGTGCCATGGGGCTGAAGCCAGTTCCTGAGATGGGTAAGCTGCCCACCATGCATTATGCCCATCCCCTAGAGTCCTTCCTTCACTGCTCACCTCTGCCTGGAGACCTCAAAGGCGATAGACACAGCATTTGTACTTGGAGCTCCATATGGTAATTCATTGCCGAGTTTTTAAGAAGTTTACATGAGTGAGTAAGTGGAACATGTCTGTGCATATTTGATTTTTGAAATCTCTGTCTTATCATGGTCAGCTGAGGGAATATTGATTTAAAAACTCAGCTGGGACTTCTGTGGACAGGGGATAGTTTGAATTTTTGGTGTCAACAATTTTTTGAGCCTTCTAAACATCTCCCCACTTTCTTATACTAGAGCCATATACAGATCTGTCCACACCCACCCTGGCTGTAAGTGAAGGCTGCTAGGCAAAGAAATAATATTTCACTTGAGAGGCAAAGTAATGTAGGAGGAATAGTATGGGCTTTGGATTTTCAGAAAATCTTGGTCTGAGTCTGACTTTGCCTGAGTTTGCTTTGTACTAGATTGTTTACTTGTGTTTTCTTACACAACCGAGGCTTAGTGTCCTTATCTGTTAAATAGTGACAAGAATAGCATCTGCTTGTTAGGGAGGATTGAATTCAATAGTGGATAAGAAGCACAACACAGTTTATGGGCCATAGTAATTCATGAACACTGGTCTCATCAGGTAGAGGTGGAAATGGGGTTGGCAGACCTGCTCTAATTTTTATTTGAGCACTTTAATCTTTGGCTATGTTTGTTGTTCGACAGAGAAAGTTGCAAGCCCACGGCTGTCTGGATCCATCTTCCAGCCTTTTGATAGCAATCACTTTATCACGACTCATTTTAAGACCCATTTCATTTTTGCTCTGAATGCAAATACAGTGTCAACAATATAATATGTAAATCCATCAGAATTTGGATATTTATTAACTTGATAGTTGCCTCATGGTTTATAAGCACGTAGAAATATAACAAGTTAGTATGGCATTTAAATGATGCCGCCATTTATTTTAGTGGGACACGCTATGCTAAATGACTATTGCACCAAGTAGTTTGTGAAAATAAAGGCAGTGAATTGGGTCAAGGAAAGAGAGTTTTGTTGTGTCTGTTAATACCATGAAATATGAAACTTGGTCCCCACCTTTCCTAACTATGCAAGGGTAGGGCTCTGAATAATCCTCACTGGGGGCTGGGCGCGGTGGCTCACGCCTGTAATCCCAGTACTTTGGGAGGCCGAGGCGGGCGGGGAGATCACGAGATCAGGAGATCGAGTCCATCCCGGCTAACATGGTGGAACCCCGTCTCCACTAAAAATACAAAAAATTAGCCGGGCGTAATACAAAAAATTAGCTACTGGGGAGGCTGAGGCAGGAGAATGGCGTGAACCCGGGAGGCGGAGCTTGCAGTGAGCCGAGATCGCGCCACTGCACTCCAGCCTGGGAGACAGCGAGACTCCGTCTCAACAAAAAAAAAAAAAAAAAAAAAAAAAAAATCCTCACTGGGGAGAGGGAAGGATTGGAGCTGAGCCTTATTGTTTATTATAAACTGAAATAGAACAGTTTAAGTCATATTTATAGATTGTGTATGATTTCAGCTCCCAGCAAATTGGTCAAGCGTGACTGTTGCATCAGTTGCCTTTAAACTTTTCCCTAAGCCTTGAACTTCTGCAAATTCAGAAGCTGATTTTTGGCAGACTCAATGACTGTGTGTTCATAAATGGGGAACCTGGATTCTGGACTGCAGCTAGCAGCATGCCACCTGACTGTGAATGAGGAGAGGAACAGCATTCATGTATGGATCAGTAGTTCCAAAATGTTCTAATATGACATTGAAGTTCTTTCAAATGTCAAAAAATCCTGGGACCTGAACTTCTAATATCTACCTATTTAAAAATAAATTTATAACAAAATGTTAATAAAAAGTCAGTAATGGCTTGAAATGACTTTGTATTTTATTCTTTTAAATTATTATTTGAGACAGGGTCTCACTTCGTCACCTAGGCTGGAGTGGTGTCATGTGAACACAGCTCACTGCAGCCTCGACCTCCTGGGCTCAAGCAAACTTCCCACCTCAGCCTCCCAATTAGCTGGTACCACAAGCATGCACTGCCACACCTGGCTAATTTTTAAACAATTTTTTTTTGTAAAGACAATGCCTCTTGGCCAGGCATGGTGGCTCACGCCTGTAATCCCAGCACTTTGGGAGGCTGAGGTGGGTGGAACACCTGTGGTCAGGAGTTCAAGACCAGCTTAGCCAACATGGTGAAACCCTGTATCTACAAAAATACAAAAATTAGCCAGGCATGATGATGGGTGCCTGTAATCCCAGCTACTCAGGAGACAGAGGCAGGAGAATCACTTGAACCCAGGAGGTGAAGGCTGTAGTGAGCCGAGATCGCGCCACTGCACCCCAGCCTGGGTGACAGAGTGAGACCCCGTTTCAAAAAAAAAAAAAAAAAAAAAAAGCAAAGAAAAGACAATGCCTCTTCATGTTGCCCAGGCTGGTCTCAATCTCCTGAACACAAGCAATCCTCCTGCCTTGGTCTCCCAAAGTGCTGGGATTACAGGCATAAGTCCTCATGCCTGGCTTGTATTTTATAAATCAAATGTGTGTATGTATGTTTGAAAAATAGTAACCCATTTCTGGATGAATATCAGCTCCAGACCACCTGAAATGCCTAGGCCAAGGATTGGCAGGCCCTCTGCTGTACCTTTGTGCCCTCATACTCTGGAGGCCCAGAGATAGGGAACAAGAGCACTACCTTCCCTTGGTCCTGAAGAAAAGCTCTCGAGGGTTCTCCTGCCAGTGCCTACATAGATGAGAGCATGCTGGGACTTGGGGAGGGAGTTCAATCAGTGAGCGAATGCCCCTCTTGAAGGGTGAAGTGCAGTCCTAGATCTTGGCTACAAGGAAAGTGTCTAGCATAACTGTCCTTGAGCAAGTGAAGCCTCCTGTTTGGAGAGTGTGTCAGGAACAAAGGTTATATACTCGAAACCAGAGGCATGTCATAAAGGGCTGTGTTGGTGGTTCCGACTGAAATTGCCCAACACACTTGGGAAATGGGGAGCTCTCAGTATTCAGTTGTGGCATTAAAGAAGACTTTGTGGAGATTTCACTGGGGTCTAGAGCAAATGATAAGATTCAAAGATACAGAAATGAAGCAGGGAGGAGAAGGGAGTTCTAGCACTGAAATTTTCATTACCCTTTGCCCACCTAGAGACTGTTTTCACTCCCCCACTTTCCCTCCTTCCCTCTCTTTCCTCTCTTTCCCCTTTATCTCCCACGTGTCCGTCCTGCAAGCTTGTTTTCACTTGTACCATGCTAGTGGCTCTAGCAGAGACTGTGAGGAAGCATACAGCAGGTAGATCTTCCACAAGAGTATATTAAGTCAGATGTGGTTTGCTCCTGCTTGGCTGGGAGAACAGGTTAAAGTAGGATCCTGGGCCTTCTAGACCATCCAGGGGCTAGTGTCCATAGGCTCAATGCTCGGTTTTTAGGACCCCTGGCACAGTTGTTCTGGAAACCCTCTCCTGCTAGATACTTCTTGATTTTGCCCCACAGTTATTGCACTGGGTGCTGCCTGAGCAGCTTTTAGAGCCAAATCGGAGATTAAGATCCAAACCTTGACGGCAGCCAGACTGTGCCCTGACCTGAGCTCGCGGGAGGAGTCTGCACTGTGCCTGCTGCCCTTACCCAGACCTCATCCAGTCTGGAAGGAACCTCCTCGCCTCCTCTAGGGCTGTCTGCACAGGCCCACGGCAGTCTGAGCAGGAATGGGCCTGGGAGCCGGTAGCTAGTGGGGAACAGGAAGCATGCTTGGGGCCCTGGTACACCATGTTCGGTTGGATTCTTGGCTGGGATTTTCCATTCAAAGCCATCAATTTTACTTCATGTGTTCCTTCAGTCTAGGGCTTGAACTTTCTGGGAAAGCAGTACAAAAAATGGTACAAATGAGGTTGGGGGATTATCTGGGGATTTCAACAATAGTTGATTCCCTTTAAGAAGGATAATCTGGACTTGAAGGTATAAGGGTTGTAATTTCAAATCTCATGCAGGCTGCAGGGGGTGAGTGAAAACAGTGAATACAAGAGAAATGTATACACAGAAGGGGATGTGTCTCTTCTTAGGACTGTGGAAAATTGGTCTCATTGTGGCTTCCTCTGAGCGCTAGGCTGGAGCTGCCAGATCAGCAGGGAATCTGCAGTGAGAGGCTCTCAGAAAACACCCCTCTTCTCTAAAGACAGAGCAGACTCGTCGTTCGATGCTGTCTTGCTGGGCTATCGTTGTGACTGTGACCTTTTTGGGTGTTTGCATCTCTGTTTACCTCTGGGATTTCTCTCATTCTTTAGGAGAATTCATTATCCTCTGTTCTTGCAGAGAAAATCTCCTTAGGCAGCTGCTGGGAATAACTGTTAAGTTGTTCCTAGTATTTCCATGGCTACCCCTGTCCCAAGTAGAAGACAAGCTGGGGTCTCCTCTAAGTAGTCAAAGGGAGGGTGGGGTGGAGGAAGGATCAGGAGCTGTGAGGCAGACAGACCTCGTCCAAACCCTGCTTTTACCACCTTCTGGGTGTGCAGATGAATCTCAGGTCTCCCAGAGTCTCTGGTTCCTCCTCTGCATTGCTGAAGATTGGTAAAGATTGGGAAGAGCAAGGCCTGGAAAGCACGGCTTTAACAAAGAATCGGCTCTCAGTCTATCCTTATATTTCTTCACTTGAATGGCTTCTTATAAAACCTCTTTCTAATATGTTGCCTTCTTTCAGCCAAGTCTTGTTCTTTGTCTCCTATATACTATTTATCCCCTTTATCCTTGTATCTCCTCAAATCTTCCACCTGACAGCTTCCCCAATGATAAACTTCTTGCATCGGTGCGGTGCATTTGTTGTAACTGATAGCCAATATTGATGCATTATTCTCAACTGAAGTCCATAGTTTACATTAGGATCCACTTTGTGTTGAATGAGGTTTTGACAATTGTATGATAACACATATCCGCCATCACCGTATCATATGGAATAGTTTCACTGCCCTAAAATCCCCCTGTATTCCGCCTAGTTATCCCCCTCTCTTTCCCTACCTCCCCTGCAACCCCTGGCAACCACTGGTCTTTTGACTGTCTCCATGGTTTTGCATTTTCCAGAATGTCAGATAGTTGGAATCATATAGTATGTAGCCTTTTCAGATTGGCTTCTTTCACTTAGTAATACGCATTTAAAATTTCTTCATGTCTTTTCATGGCCTGATACCTCATTTCTTTTTATCGTTGAATCGTATTTTGTTGTGTGGATGCACTACAATTTGTTTATCCACTCACCTATTGAAGGGCAACTTGATTGCTTCCAAGTTTTGGCATCAACTATGCCAAATTATAAATAAATAAAGCTACTATAAATACTTATGTCCAGGTTTTTGTGTGCAGGTTTTGATTGGCAGCTGGAATGACTGACCTAGCTTTAAGAATGATCTTAGCTTCTCCAATTATATGTGTTTATTTTAGCATGGTTTGCATCATCTACTACATACAGAGATTTCTCATTTCTCTGAGCTAATGCTTCCTCGTTTAAAGAGAAACAATCATTGTCATATAACTGCAGGCATGGTGGCTTATGCTTGTAATCCCGGCACTTTGGGAGGCCAAGGCAGGAGGATCGCTTAAGGCTAGGAGTTCAAGACCAGCCTGGGCAGTGTAGTGAGACCTCATCTCTACCAAAAAATAATTAGCTGGGCATAGTGGCATATCCCATAGTCCCAGCTACTTAGGAGGCTGAGGCAGGAGGATTGCTTGAGCTCAGGAGTGTGAGTCTGCAGTGAGCTGTGATCAAGCCACTGCACCCCACCCTGGGTGGCTGAGTGAGACTCCTTCTCAATTAAAAAGAAAATTTAAATGAAAGTCATATAACTTGCAGAATTCTGGAGTTCGGGAACCTCTCAAGGCCCAAGTCCACACAATGTCCTTCAGCTTCCAGGCTTGATTAGACTTAGGGGACTCTATCACTCTCACAGCAATTAGCAACCATGGAGCTTTAACCCAGAGAAAGATCTCACATGGGGGTTTCTGGAACATGGCAGGCCATTCATAGCACTTGGCCATAGGCTAGCTCCCTAGTGACTTTCAATCCCACTGTTCCTTCTCCTAAAACTGGCTCAAGCAAGGAGAGCTTCTCACCAGCTAATGCACCCCAGAGCACTGCTCAGGTTTAGGTGAACAACTGTGAGAACTATTAGGGAGGAGTTTTTACTGGTGGGGGACCTAATCCACATGTAGACCAAGAGGGAAATGCCTGAATCTTGTTTGTCCCTCCCTATTTAGGCAATAGGGCTGTGGAATCAGTTTCCTGATCATTCTGCTGACTTAGCCCTGCCCTTTACTTTTACTTGAGGGCTGAGATGGTAAGATTATCATTTTCTTTTCTTTTCTTCTTTTTTTTTTTGCACTCCTAGGCGTGATCTTGGCTCACTGCAACCTCTGCCTCCCGGGTTCAAGCGATTCTCCTGCCTCAGCCTCCTGAGTAGCTGGGATTACAGGTGCCCACCACCACACCCAGCTAATTTTTTGTATTTTTAGTAGAGTCAGGGTTTTGCCATGTTGGGCAGGCTGGTCTTGAACTCCTGACCTCAGGTGATCCACCAGCCTTGGCCTCCCAAAGAGTTGGGATTGTGGGCATGAACCACTGCACCCGGCCATTCTCATTTTCTATCTGCTCCTATTTTTACACAGCCATTTCTTCTCTTCTAACTTTTAATTGCCTCAATAAAAAAGGATCTTGCAGGCCAGGCATGGTGGCTCACGCCTGTAATCCCAATACTTTGGGAGACCGAGGTGGGCAGATTGTTTGAGGTCAGGAGTTCGAGACCAGCCTGGCCAACGTGGTGAAACCCCGTTTCTACTAAAAATACAAAAAATTAACCGGGCATGGTGGTATGTGCCTGTAATCCCAGCTACCCAGGAGGCTGAGGCAGGAGAATCACTGGAACCTGGGAGGCAGAGGTTGCAGTGGGCTGAGATGGCACCACTGCACTCTAGCTTGGATGACTGAGTGAGATTCCGCTCAAAAAAAAAAAAAATAAAAATAAAAATAAAAAAGAATCTTGCTAGAAATAACTCCCCTGGATGGAGGTATTAGTAAACAAAATTAGCGAATACATGTTGTTCCAAGCTATTAGGTTTTTCTGTTTCTTATTATTTTTCATTCTTTTCAATAATTTTAGTTAACTTTCAATGAAAATAAAAATATGGTCCCGAGGTCAATTGGGATTGATTTTCTTGGTTGATTGAATTAAAATGCCCCTTTCTTGAGTTGCTAGTATCAGAAATAAAGGAGCCGAGGTGAGCAAAGGCAAAAATAAAATGAAGCAGACGCCTTTTTCCAAGTGTATAGATAAAAGAGCCCCAGCGACACACACATTCTAACAAGCTATGTGTGAAAATGCACGTATATATGTGTCTACATTTATAAACCTGGATGTCTAGGTGTCCTACTCCATTTTGTGTTGCCATAAAGGAATACCTGAAACCGGGTAATTTATATAGAAAAGAGGTTTATTTGGCTCATAGTTCTGTAGGCTGCATAAGAAGCACGGTGCCAGCATCTGGTTCTGGTGAGGGCCTCAGGCTGCTTCCACTCATGGCAGAAGGTGAAGGGGAGCTGGTGTGTGCAGAGATCCCATGGCCAGCGAGGGAGCAGGAGAGAAAGGGCTGGTGCCAGGCTCTTTTTAACAACCAGTTCTCGTGGGAACTAAGGGTGAGAACTCACTCATCCTCAAAGGAGGGCATTCATCAATTCATGAGGGATCTGCCCCCATCACCCGAACACCTCCCACTAGGCCCCACCTGCAACACTGGGGATCAAATTCCCACATGAAGTTTGGAGGGGACAGATATCCAAACGATAGCACTAGGTGCAGTTTACCACTTGGAAACACCTACGTAGAGGGACCCAATCAGATTTGGAGTAGCGGGTGGGTGTGAAGGTTGTGGGGGCATAGGGTAGGCCAGAAGAAGCAACACTCAGAGACCTGGATACAGATTCCCAGGGCAGGGGGCAGAACGGTAAACCTTGCCAGGCCTGCCTGCGGAGCTGACAGTGCTAGATCAGGGACTAGCTCAGGTGCAGGTAATGGGGAAATGCTTCACGGACAGGCCCTGTTCTTCTCTGGCTAAATAAGGCAGTTAGAATAATTTGTGTGCAAGTGTATTTAATTTAATGTCAGAGTTGAAGCCAAGATTAAGGTCCCCAACCAGGAAGAATGATTAACAAAATTCAGGCACCAAGAACCTGCTTATTTTTCATTGTGAAGCATAATGATGTGCAAACTCAAGACAAATTGGATGTCCTAATTATAACTCATAAAATTATAAATACTGACTGAGATCAGGGTTTAGGTTTGAAATTGATGGCAGTGAAATCTTCACCTGTGCCCACTGTGGAAGTTTAACTACATTCTCTATATTGATAATGACAGCATTTAGCATGTAGTGGAAGAAAAAAATCGTTTGTCAAAGGCATAATATCCTTTAACAGGTATCAGTATTGCCCCAATACTTACTGTAGAAGACCTCCACATAAACAAATACATGACTAGAGTTAACACAGAGGAAGAGTCTGGGACTCTAATGAATTTGGTATTATTCCTTCTCTGGGCATTGATTTCTTCTTGGTACTATAGCTGATTTTTCAAACTTTCCCCTTTTTGGTGTCTATGCATTCAACTCTAAGGAATTACATAGGAGAAAATATTATTTTTAATTTGATTTTATTAATTTTTGAGACAGGGTCTCACTATATTGCCCTGGCTGGTCTCGAACTCCTGGCCTCAAGTGGTCCTTCTGCCTTGGCCTCCCAAAGTGCTGAGATTGCAGGCGTGAATCACCGTGCGTTCAACTGAAAATATATTGTGACCCTAGAAAAATTCCCATGAAGCTTTGTTATACACAGTCCTATGGACTAGTTCCACGTGGTCTCCATTCATCTATTTTATGCCTATAGGAGGAGTGGGTTGGGACAGGTTTGGTGGGCATGAGGTAGACCCAGCTTGGCAGTGTCAAGGCTGGGGCATGAGGTTACCTGGGGTGAAAGGATGCATGGGGCAGGAAATGGACTTCTTATTCTGAAGGAGAACAAAGGGCAAAGTTGTGTTAATACATCCAAAGCCTGATGATTGAGTCAGCAGAAGCCAAGGTTCAGAGCAAATCTCTGGCAACAGAAAGTAGCAAAGCCAGGAGATGGCAGAGTCTGGCAGGAAACATGAGAGGCAGCCCGAGGAAAGCATGGAGATTGCATACAGAGCACTTGGGTTTTTCTGTGGCCCTAAGTGGGCTTGCTTGGGCACTCTAGTTAAGTCCAGTGGGCTGCGAAAAAGCAGTGAATCCCTTGCAAAACTGGAAATGTTAAAAATGTATCAGGCCCAAGAGTGGCTTGATCATCTGGCATGAGAGGAATCAAGCAGTGGGTGGTTGCAGGTTGTCTCACAATGTCAGCAGTGTCACAGGGCTGGGTTTTGCTTCTCTGTGATTCTCCTGACTTCTCTCACAGCTCTCAACACGGCCACCAGAGCTGTCTTCTGCAGAAGCCTGAGGAGGGAAAAGGATGTTTCTTTTTATCTGGGAGAAAGCAGCACCTTTTCACAACTTTCCCTCTGATGCTGGGAGCCAGGATTGGGACACAAGGCAGGTCCTGGCTATGTGTGATGGTAGGACAGCCAGTGCCTGGCATTTTGGGCTTTTATCATCCAGAAAGGAAGACGGTCCAAGGAAATGGCTATTGTAAGAGTGAATGACACCCACAGCGTTTCAATGTTCTGGAGCCTTTAAGGTCTTGTTTAGAAAATACAAGGAAATTGCAGCCACACTGCAATTTCATGTCACAGCCAACCTTTTCAATTGCTCTCCATCCTTGTTGAAAGAACAGTTATTGATTCACCAGAACTGTTCTTGAAACCCTGAATGCGAGGCACACAGGAAGCTTGGAATTTTCTCTTCCGCCACTGTTTGTGAATAACTGGAGGTGGCAGATCCTGGTTGAGAACTCTCTACTAAGGAAGAAGGAAGGTTTGGGGAAAATGTTGGTATCAGCACAGCATGTGTAGGTAATGAATTATATTGCTCATCGGAGAATCTGTTACACGTCAGCTACTATGTGATGAATGTTCAGTGCATGAAAAAAATTTTAGATAGAAAATATATCGGGTCCACTTCCAGAGTCACCTTTTCCATGGCTTTCTCTGAATTCAACCAGTGCTATTTGGCGCTGCCACGTGTTCATATGTGTAATAACTTTAAAGCTATAAATCCTGGAGCAGGATTGAAATGTACTCAGTGTGCTGGATTGTTCCACAGTCACCTCTGGCTATGTTAGGAACTGTGTTTTTCAGAATCCCTTCCCTCTATGGATCCTAAATAGAGTTGGCCAAAAGAGACACTTGCATGAGGTTTGAGAGGCAGAAGAGAAATAGTGGTCGTTTTTCTCTGGATCCCTTTGCAGGCTGATATCGTGACTATCAGATGGGCAATGCCCTGTGGGCCCCAGCCCGTCTTTGCTCTGTTCCTCTCCATGTCCAGGTCTTCTTTCTGATTGTTGGCCCACCACCAGCCACTTGGCCGTAGACCTGCAGTGGCCAACACTCCCTACCCACACATCCCAGCTCCCCTACTGTCATCCTGTTTCAGCAGCCCAACAGCACTTGGCCTTCCTTCCCTGATCTCTAGCAAGCTCTGATCAATACACTTGGCCAGGGCTTCAGGAGGACTGGACAGTGAGTTTTCTCTGATACTCTCACTTCCCCTTCCAGATCTCTGCCTTCCCAGCTTCTCCCACAATTGTGTCAGGTCTAATCCCTATCCTGTCTCTTCTTCCATGATATCCACAGTGACTCTACTTTCTTGAATACATGCTGATAGATACATGCTGTTATTCAAATCTGCATAGATTTGGCCTTCATTTGTCTTCTGTAACTGCTGTTTAGAGCCCCATTTCTACCAATGCTGGAGGCTGGGGTGGGATACTATTTAAACTTGCCAAAGCAAGAATATTCTGTTTCTTATGGTTTAAAGTAGTCATTTCTGGGTTAACTTAAGCTGTCTTGCATCTCCCTCCTGTTTTCCTAAAATGCCTCTGGGTGCAGGGAGAGACCTACCCATACTCCTGGTGGGATGGGCCTCTCCCAGCATGCTGGTCTCTGCTGTGGAATAGAGAGGCTGTCCCCGAATGTTCCGCACCATTCTTTCTTGAGATGTGTCTAATTGCACTTGTCCTTTGGACCAATATGCTGAGACTTGCTGCTGAATTTCAAGGCCCCTGATGTTTTGCCTCTATTGATGAGGGGGCCACCCTCTCTGGACTCAATTCCTGACCCTAGGCCTCCCCTGAGCCACCTGTTCTCTCTGCATCTCCATGTTGCCCTCTGGGACACTCCTGGCTTCCTAAATTTCATGCCAAGGCTGTGAAGGAATCAGGTTGCTATCTCAGGACCACTTAGAGGGTGTCTGCAAGTTAGGGGGCATCTGTAAGCAGGGAGGAAAGGTTTTCTAGAAATCACTAGAAAGTGGAAGAGAAGAGGTGATGGGAATAGAGCCATACCCTGGGGCTTGAGATAGAGGTTTCTGAGGTGGAACAGTTTCAGGAGCTAACAGCTCATGGATCTGATCCAGGAGAGGGGAGTGAACTGGAGTATGCGGGGAAGTCCAATAATTGGAGTCATCAGACCTTGTCTGTGTGTCTAGGAGAGAGTTCAAGGAAAGCAGCGGGAAAGCACTACGGTTTGCAGAGAAAGCAGAAGGGAGCTTAGGAGAGTAGAACAATTGTGAACTCTGTAAGCCAGCCTCCTGAGTTTAAATGCTGGCTCTAAGGTCAAGAGTGGATCCTTTCTTGAACCTCCCATTCTCCAGGTGTTAAATGGCTAAAATGATATCCCTTTTGTGGACAATTGTGAAATATTCAGCATACAGCAGGGACTGGGTGCATGGTAATCCCCATCGTTAGCTGCACTCACTACTCATCATCAGCTGCCAACTGTTAGAGAGAAAGTAGTGAAAAATGAGCATATTTCCTTAAGATGCCCCTCACTTCTCCTAGCATTTCTAAAATCCAGGTGATGTATATATTTGTTGTATTTGTTTCCATTTTTGGTCTTTTTGTTCCCTTACTAAACCAATGGTGCATCTTACAATTTTTGATACCTTGAATCCAGGAAATATATTCCTTGTTCTCCTCCTTATAGATACAAGGATGCTGGTACAGTTTGGTGTTCTTTTTGTCTCATTTTGCCACTAGATGGCAGGCCCATTCTATTATTCCTGCACCCCACCCCCCCACCCCAACCCCATCAGTGGAATGAAGAATTAAATTTTGTAACAAAAATATAGCTAAAATTTTGAAATGGAAAAATAGGGTAATCTCGAATGGACAGATATCAAAATGCAAAGTTTCAAAAACAAAGAATGTCAGAACTTTACACAATAACACTCTGCTGCCATCATTTCTTTAAACATCTACTTTACCCCATGAAAACATAAGCTCCTTGCAGCCAAGGGCTGTGTTATAAATCTTTCTATGTTCAGGACTTAGAAAGTCCAGTCCTGCTGCCAGCCCCAGTGGATTTAAAAATTGAACCTGGAGAAGAGAAAGGTCTTCATGAATTCATTACGCACATCAAGCAAGACTAAGATAGCTCTTAAGAAAGATTGATGCCTCTTTTATGAAGAGTTACAAGAAGAGATTAGCTGGAAATAGTAGCAAGAGGGACTCCAGTGAAACTTAAGAAAGAACTTCCTGATACAGATGCTGTGAACCCTGGGAGTGGATAACCAAGAATGATACCTAGTGGCCCCCTTCCTCCTTTCACTGGTCGGGAGGTATGTCCTAATGGGAGGATTGGACTAGTTGGTCTCTCAAGCTTCTTTTAATTCTCTTTGTGATTGTAAATGTGTTTTCCTCACTTATTGCAAATTATTGCTGTTATTTGCTCCACTGGTGAAAATCTATTGTACAATTAATTTTTTTGTAGAGACTTCAAAGCATTTCATAGCCGATCTTCATTATGGGCTGATGTAGATTTCTGTAGAGATAGAAAAACTGAGAAGCTCTACTGAGCAAGCTGGGGACCCTTCCCACAATCCAGGATCTGTTCTCTTGCAAAGATCTTATGAGTTTTTTAAACCAAATAAACAAAGAAAACTTGTTTTGCTCTGAAGGAAAAAAAAAAAGACAAACAAAACGAACAGCGACTTTGTCTGACCTTTCCATTGCCTGTAAGCCTCAGAGCTGTTGGCCGTGCCTTGTGATAACTCTGATCTTTTGACTAAAAAAGAATGCTAATCAGCTGGGCTTTGCCAACCTCCATTTGTTACCCAGTTGCTAAGTGATCGCTAAAGATTAGCCAGTCACAGGTGAATGGAAATTTCTACCCTGTGCTTTTTTTTAGAGATGAAAAATAGCTTAGGGCATTTAAAGAAAAACCAAGAAACAAACACTTGTATGTCTTTGGCTCTTGAATTGTTTTTAAACAGCCTTTCTCTGTCCCAACAAATCCAAAAATTGGAAGAGGCAACAAATGTTTTTCTGAAGTTCTGAAGTGCCCTTAACCTTGGCTTTTTTCTTGTTCCCGTCATCATTTCTTTAGCTGGGGTGAACTGTCTGATGATGCAAAAGCCAAGAGACAAACCACCAGCTTTATATATTGTATAGCTTCTCCAACTCACCCATCAAATGGGGGCAAAATAATAGATAGTACTGATCACTAGGACTGTTGTGAGGATCAAATCAGACAATAGTATGAGAAATGCTCAGCATAGGGCCTGTCCAGAGAAGGTACCCAGTGCATACTGGATTCTTTACTAGTGGTGTGATCACCATCACCCTTGTCGTGTGCCAGGTTCTCTCTGTGCTTCAGAGTATTATTATTCCAAAGGGAAATGCACATTGAATTTTCTCTCTTAAGAACTACTTGCAGTAGAACACCCTTTGACTGGGGTAAGAACCCTTGAGTAACAGAGGCCACTGTGTCCAAAAGCTTTACCTGTGTATAGGTGTGCCACAGTTGCATGAACCTCACCTTTGGCTTGCTCATCTAAAAAGTGGACCAATAAACCTTGCAACTGACACACAAGTTTAGAAAGGTCAGATAGCATGGTGGGTAGATCTATTCCAGGTTCCCTTGCAATTACCAAAAGGGTTGTAACTTTCAATGCTTCATTAATCCACATGTAGCACTGCACAGAGCTGATTTTTTTCTTTTTTTTTTTTTTTTTTGAGATGGAGTCTCGCTCTGTTACCTAGGCTGGAGAGGAGTGGCGTGATCTCGGCTCACTGCAAGCTCCGCCTCCCGAGTTCAAGCAATTCTTCTGCCTCAGCCACCTCAGTAGCTGGGATTACAGGCATCCGCCACCACACATGGCTAACTTTTTGTATTTTTAGTAGAGATGGGGTTTCACCGTGTTGGCTAGGCTAATCTTGAACTCCTGACCTCAGGTAATCCTCCCATCTTGGCCTCCCAAAGTGCTGGGATTACAGGTGTGAGCCACCACACCCGGCCCACAGCTCATTTTGAAGGAACTCTACCAATAACCTGCTGTTTACAATTTTTACATGATAAACAACATAGTAGCAAACATCCTTATATACATATCTTTTCATAATTTTAAGACTCTCTTGAGGTAAGATCCTAGAAGCTGGGCTGAAGAATTTGGTTCTCTTTCCATGGGTCGGGTCATTGGAATGTTCAGAGGATGCACCCGGTAGCAGATGCTCTTCCTCCCTAGTTATCAGGGCTATGTCAGGAGGAGGGGGAAAGAGACATGAGGATTTTGTTTGCCTCTATGTTCCTTTTACTTCCTTGATAGTTTGTCTTGGTTTATCCTATTTCTTTTTCTAACCCCCTGGCTTCTACTTTTGGCCAAATATTACTGGAGTATGTATGAGAGTAGAGGGAGACGCAGACGGGTCGGGGATGCAGGGAGTGGAAATATTGAGGGAATATTCCTTTTAATCATTATCTTTATTTTTATTTCATTCCAGCTTCTCAATGTGGATCAGGTGGGTGGATTTTTCTAATTTTTAAGACTATAAATCTTAAACGAATTTCTCTAATTTTTAAGACTCTAAGTCCTGTACTAGCAAGAACATGGATTTTTCTACCCTTCCTTAGAGTGCTCCAGATTATGTGGGAATTTTATTTCTCTTTGTTTGCAAGAGAAACTCCTAAAGAGCTCATTCCTTAGAAAAGCATGAATTTCCGCATGTCTCTTTAACCATCAATTTAGCTGCTCTCAAAGAAATCTGAAGAATGCTTTGCTTGTGTGTCTTTTTCCTTCTGTGTCCACTTTTAACTAAATGTCTCTTTCCAGTGTCTCCATTTCTAATTAATAAGAAGGGAGTTAGCTGGACTGATTATTCTTTGTCATCCCATTGTGGCCAGATCTTTGAACAGTCTATCTCTTGGGCTTCTAGACAACCTGCAGATGGCCACTTTTAGGTTCAGTACCTCTCTCATCCAGTCAGCTGTTGGTTGAGTGTGTGGTAGGGTGTGTATCATATGGAATGGAAAGATCCTCGGATGCTCTAGAATTCCGAGTGAGGTGAAGGGCATTCAGCGGACCTTGGGTGCTCTTACTCAGGGATTTCTTTTAAATTGGCAAGCTAGTCCAGGGGCAGTGCCAGCACTTTGGGAGGCCGAGTTGGGAGGATCACTTGAGCCCAGGAGTTCAAAACCAGCCTTGGCCACATAGCAAATCCCCATCTCTACAAAAAATATATAAAAAAAATAGCTTGATGTGGTGCGTGCCTGTGGTCCCATCTACTCTGGAGGCAGAGGCAGAAGGATCACTTGAGTCTGGGAGATTGAGGCTGCAGTGAGCTATGATTGTGCCACTGCACTCCAGCCTGGGCAACAGAGTGAGACCTTGTCTCAAGAAAATAAATAAATAAATAAATAATAAATTGGCAAACTAGGAGAGAAAAAGCATGGTAAGTATAGCCTGGCATTTTTGTTAAAAAAAAAAAAAAGCTTCTAAAAAATGTCTACACATACATTTACCCCATGACCCAGCAATTTAGGTATTTGCCCCAGAGCAATGAAAACATATGGCCACCAAGGCTTGAACATGAATGTTTATAGTAGCTTCATTTTTGATAACACAAAACTGAAGACAGTCTGGGTGTCCATCAATATGAGAATGGAAAAACAATTTTGACATAATTATACAATAGAACGCTACTGCATTCCATTGCAAAATAGTTTCTTTTCTACAAAAAGAAATGTGTTACTGGTACACACAACCTAGATGAATCTCAAAAAATTATGCTGAGTGATAGAAGTCTATTCCAGAGTCCACACTATATGACTCCATTTATATAAAGTTCTAGGAGAGGCAAAACTAAAAAAAATTTAAATAAAAAAGTCATTGCCTCTCAGAGATAGAGATGAGGCCTGAGCAGGAAGAGGTATTGGTATTTTCTGGGGTCATGGTCATTTTCACATCTTGAAAGGGGTTTGGTTACACGGGTGTATGCATTCTTCAAAACTTAGCAAATGTACACTTAAAATTGGTGCATTTCATGCTATGTGATTTTGCCTCAGAAGAAAAAAAATGTAAATAAATCTTGAACTGTAATTCAACTCTGATGTGTTCAGCGTATGGATGTATTTAAGTATACTTATGGCTATAATTTAATTTGAAATTCACCAAGAGAAATAAGATGGATTGATCAATGGATACAGACATGGATAGATATGTAATAAACTAAGAACAGTAAAATATTAATAGTGAAATCTTGGTGGTAGAAATTCAAGTGTTCACTGAAAATTCTTTCAGTTTGCTATGTGTGTGAAAAGTTTTCCAATAGAATGTTGGGGAAAATGTCTATTGAAATATGATATACCATTCAATTAACAACAAATAGTCATGCACGTGTCATATATAAAGCATTGTGATATGTACTAAAGATGCAAGAATGAAGAAAGACAAAGCTTTTGGCTCGGAGCTTTCACAGTTTCATAAAGGAGACCAAAGTACCAAATTGTTAGGGGAACAAACATGTCAACAATTTTCTGGAATCGTCTAATTTCAAGTACTTTACTTTTATTTGTTTTATGTGTAAAAGAAATGCATTTTATTATTATTTATGTTTCTGTTTCTATTTTTATATATTTCAGGGGTACAAGTGCAGGATTTTTAAATTTTCATTTTTTTAAAGCATAGTCTTTGTCATCTGGGCTGGAGTACAGTGGCACAGTCATGGCACACTGCAGCCTTGAATTCCTGGGCTCTAGTGATCTTCCCATGTCAGCCGCCCAAGCAGCTGAGACCGCAGGTGTACACCACCATGGCCACCTAATTTCTTAAAATTTTTGTAAAGACGAGGTCTCACTATGTTGCCCAGGCTGGTCTAGAACTCCTGGGCTCAAGCAATCCTGCTGCCTTGGCCTCCCAAAGTGATGGGATTACAGGCATGAACCACCAAGCCCGGCTGCAGATTGTTTACATGCTCGGATTGCATAACAGTTACATCTAGGCTTTTTAGTGTACCCATCACCGGAACAGTGAACGTTGTACCCAAGAGGTAATTTTTCAATCCTTACTTTCTCCTCCCTTCTCACCTTTTGGAGTCCCCAGTGTCTATTATTCCACTCTGTATGCCCACGTGTACCCACTGTTTAGCTTCCACTTATAAGTGAGAACATACGGTTTTTTTTTTTTTTTTTTTTTTGAGACAGAGTTTCACTCTTGTTGCCCAGGCTGGAGTGCAATGGTGAGATCTCGGCTCACCGCAACCTCCGCCTCCCAGGTTCAAGCGATTCTCCTGCCTCAGCCTCCCGAGTAGCTGGGATTACAGGCATGCACCACCACACCCGGCTAATTTTATATTTTTAGTAGAGATGGGGCTTCTCCATGTTGGTAAGGCTGGTCTCAAATGACTTTCTGTTTTTGAGTTATTTCACTTAGGTTAATGGCCTCCAATTCCATCCATGTTGCTGCAGAAGACATGATTTCATTCTTTTTTATGGCTGAGTATTATCCCGTGGTATATATGTACCACAGTTTTTTAATCCAGTTGATGGATTAAATTGGACACTTAAGTTGATGGACACTTAGGTTGATTCCATATTCAAGTACTTTATTTTTAAACGTAAGGAATTCTTTAAGTAAATGACTCCATGTTATTTTGATTGACTAATTTTGTAAGTGTTTTTATGTAAACAAACTCACAAGTTAGGAAAAAAATCTTTCATCAAATGCTGTCTTCTAATTTTGTTTAGGGAAATGTTTTTCTCATAACCATACCTTGCCTGTCTGTTGCCTCTGTGACCTATTGACATAATATTTAAAATTTACTTTACAGCAAGAAAAGGGCACTGAAAATGCACGGAAAAGTCAATGAAAGTCAGAAGAAAAAAAGGTTAATATTTAAGGTTGACTTTGGTTGGAGTTAACTTCAACTTTCCCCCACCCTCTTCCTGCAGAATCTCCTCCTTCCAGCTGAGGATTCTTTCTAAAACCTGGTTATAAGGTGTCTTGCTCACAATTGTCTGTGGCTCTTTACTGCATAAAGAGTCTGGTCCCACAGCCTTAGCTGCTGTTCCAAGTCCTCCACAGGGTGGCCTGTACCTGCCTCTTCACCCACACCTTCTGCTGTGCTCACCGCCTCTAATCCCTTACCCGCTAGCCACCCTCACCTGTGTGAGGTAAGCTTCTGATCTAGGTGGTCCTTCCTCCTGTTTACTTACTCTCTGGATTAGTTCATTTTTGCATTACTATAAAGAAATACCTGAGGCTGGTTATTTATTTATTTATTTATTGAGACGGAGTCTCACTCTGTCGCCCAGGCTGGAGTGCAGTGGCGCGCTTGGCTCACTGCAACCGCTGCCTCCCAGGTTCAAGCGATTCTCCTGCCTCAGCCTCCTGAGTAGCTGGGATTACAGACGCCCGCCACCACGCCCGGCTAATTTTTGTATTTTTAGTAGAGACGGGTTTCGCCATGTTGGTCAGGCTGGTCTTGAACTCCTGACCTCAGGTGATCTGACTGCCTCAGCCTCCCAAAGTGCTGGCATTACAGGTGTGAGCCACTACACCTGGCCTGAGGCTGGTAGTTTATAAAGAAAAGAGGTTTAACTGGCTCACGGTTCTGCAGGTGAACCAGAGGTGTGGTGCTGGCATCTGCTTCTGGTGAGGGCCTCAGGAAGCTTCCAATTATTGGCGGAAGGCGAAGTGGGTGTATCACATGGTGAGACCAGGATCAAGAGAGAGGGGAGAGAGGGGCTACGCTTTTAAAAAACAACCAGATCTCGCGTGAACGACCTGAGCGAGAACTGGCTCATCACCAAGGGGATGGCACGAATCCGTTCCTGCGGGATCGGTTCCCATCATCCAATACCTCCCACCAGACTCCACTTCCATCATTGGAGGTCACATTTCAACTAAGATTTGGAGGGGACCGTATCCTAACTATATTAACTTCCAATTTTCATCGAAAGCCCACCTGTCTAAGAAGAGCTCCTAGACATTCCCTTTCCCCTTCAACTTGGAGGAATTGGGAATGACAAAGAGAAATTAATCAAAAGAAGAATTAATCTCTCCAATCAGCCTTGGCATTTTCTTTCTATCTTTGATATGTTGTTTTTTACAGTGTCTTGGTTTTCAGAATAAGCTGTTTGTAACTACTTCCTCCACTATATTGTGAGCCTCTGGAGGGCAAGGTCTGGGCCTTACTCATCTTTGAGTAATTTTAAAGCCACTAAATAGGGCTCTGCACATAGTGAGAATTCAACATATGCTTAGTTGAATCTAATATTTCAGAAAAAGTCAACATCTATTCTTTAAGATAGCCCACAGCAGGCTGAGTGTGTTATTCGTAAATCCATTGGCCAGCGTCATTTCCTCCAAAGTGCAGCATTTTTGATAGAACCAAAGGCTCATGACTGACCTTCAGAAAGACATTTTGTATTTCACCATCAAAGAGTGGTATGGGTTTTATTAGACTTCCGTAATCCAGGTCTCGTTTCTCAGGCAACTCTGAAGCGTATCACACTTTATCTGAGAGGGTCACAATTAGTGAAGGAAGGAATTGGCCTTTGCAAGTTTGTGTTGCTCACGAACTTATTAAATTGCTTGATTTTTTTTTTTCTTCCTAGCTTTGATAGATTGACTTTGCCTCTTTTACTGCGTGCATAGTGCCATCTTGTGGCCATAAAGCATATAACACTCATAGTTATGCCACAGTGCTTCTGTTCCATCTTATTTCTGTAGTCCAGAGGATCTCTTAAGTGTAGAAACACATGGATTATTACTAGGTGAGCATACATATAGTTTACTGCTAAGCCAATTCAACCTGGTACATCTAGTTGGGGTATATCTAGAAGCATTTAAGATGCTTGTATTTTGTGCGTTTTCCAACTTCTTTCATTGAAGTATCCCAATCCAGTGTTTTTCTTTGAAAAAGAACCCATGTAAACTAGGGAAACAATAGATGTGGTCCTTGGAGAGGCTGGAATGAGAAACTCAAGATTACTTTAGAAGGGTCCAACTCAAGAGGGGTTGCAAAACCAAACTTCCTGCTAGAAGAAGCTGAAAGCTGTAGACGAGGGGCAGGGGAACATATAGGGTACGTCTTAATGTATAGCCTCGGGTAAAAAGAAAGAAGAATAAAACAGATCTTTAATACAGTGAGTAAAATCTCCAACAATCCAAGTAACCAGAATATAGGAACTGAAAGAGATTTTGAACCATTGCAAATAGATCGTGTCCTGCACTGAAACCTCTGTAGTTTTCCTCAGAATCCCTCAAACCCATTGAGAATCCATCAATTCAGACTTAACAATGAGAACTAACTTGGGCTTGGGATGCAGCAGATTAAATGTTGTCAGTTAAATGAATCATGTGCAGGTTTAGAAAACCAGTCTGAAAATTTTGTTTGGATTTTTGCAATTGTCCTGCTTAAATGTACCAAAAACCCTTACCCTCTGAGACAGGTAAATTCCTCCCACCACAGTTCACCATTCTTCCTATGACTGGCCCTCTGTTCATTCAGTCACCAGCTATTTCTTTTGTTGGTTGATACTGGAGTAAGTATGAGGTGACAAACATCAAAAAGGCCCATTCCTGCCTTCATTTATCTCAATACCCACTGACAGTACACAGGGGAACAATGCGGGATGCAAATCAATTCTTCAACAGCTTTATGACCCTAACTTCAGAGATCCTATCTATAGGAACAATGGAAATGCAAATGGTCAGTACCTGGTGCTACCTGACTTTTAGCAACAACGAAGTGGGCCAAAGTGCAGCCTGATTAATGTTTAATTACAAATATATTTCTGTTCAGAACTCAGCATGCAATCCTCGTCAACACTGGGGGACCGTTTCAAGTCTGGTAATAATTGAGAAGGAAGCAACCACTACTAATAGGCCTAAAGGAACAAGGAGAGAGCGTGGGTCCAGGAACTCAGAGAGGGAGTTGCTCTATAGAGAGATGCATGACAGAGGGAGGTAGAGGGAGAGATGCCCTGATCTCATTTTTCTCTTTCTCACCAATCTCTAGCCAAGGCCATCACTGGCCAAGCCCATCTAAAAGCCAGAGGCAGCAAGCAGTGCCCGTTGAAACATCCATAAAAGGTAAGCTCCTGGGTCTCAGAGCAGGGTGAAGAAGAGCAGAGAGTGAGTATGAAGAGGCAAATGGAAAATACCCGGCCCAGGGTGTATCTGGATTTTTAACAGAGACACACATTCCTCATCACATGGTTTTTCAATCTGGATAGGTGGGTTTTTGTAATCTGTGGAGCAATGTGAGTCCATTCCCATCCACTGATGGACTTGATACTGTATGTTTCATATCATGCCAATAATGCATTATAGCAAGTGGGGCAGGGGTATGATGGAAGGTGTGAGGGACAGAGACAATGCTGAAAGCTTCTTGATTAGCACGAGGGTAGAAAGAAAGTCAGAGATTGAATGGCATAGCAAGATCCACAAAGTGCAAGCTCAAGGTTCACATATATCATTTGTGAAATAGTAGAATATCTGAAGGTTGACTGTGATAAATTAAAGACGCATATTGTAATTTCCAGAACCATTGTAATCACCCAATGGGTTCTTCCTGCCACTGCACAGACAAAACCAATTCACTGAGACCATGACATTACAATAAAGAAAGAGTTTAATTGAAATGGGCTGGCCATACCACGTGGGAGATTGTTATCAAATCAATCTCCCTGAAAATTCGGAGGTGAGGGTTTTTCAAGGATAGTTTGGCCAGCAGGGGGATAGGGGAATGGATGCTGCTGATTGGTTGGGGATGCAATCATAGGGGTGTGGAAAACGGTCCTAGTGCACCAAGTCTGCTACAGGATGGGGGCCACAGGAGCAGTTGAGCCAAGAGTCGTGGGTATCCAGTCGTCAAAAATGCAAAAGTAGCAAACGACATCCCAAAAGGCCAGTCTTATTTTCTATTATAATAATGTTATCTGCCAGAGTAATTGGGGAAGTTGCAAATTTTGTCACTTCCCGAATAATGGATGGTAATTGTTTACTCCTACACCTTAGCAGACTAGAAGCCCCTTTCATCCTCCTAACCTGGTGGGCTTTCATTAGTTTTATAAAGGTGCTTTAGTTTTAGGGAAAGGTTCTTCTCATGTAAACTATAACCTAAATTTCTCCCAAAGTTAGCTTAGCCTAAGCCCAGGAAAGACCAAAGGCAGTTTGGAGGTTAAAGGCAAGATAGGGGTTGGTTAGATCAGATCTCTTTCATGTTGTAATTTTCTCATTGTTATAATTTTTGCAAAGGTGGTTTCACTCTGAAGTTCCCCCCAAATCTTTACACAATGATAGAAATGTTCTAGATTTGTGCTGTCCAATTGGTAGCCGCTTGCCACGTAGAGCATAGCCCTAGAATGTAAGTACAAATCTAAATGGGAAAAAAACTGAATTTTCCCTAGTGCAAACAAGGAAAACTTTCCCTTGCCATCTCTCATCTCTCTTTTCTTAGAGTATTTAGTTTAAAAAACTTGCAGTTGTTACTTCTTTCTCTATCTCCTTTGCCAGCTTTATAACCAGGGATGTCCTTCTGAAGGACCTGGGGCTATCTTTTTGAAATGTTAACATCAAGGAAGCTAGCCTCCCTATCTTCCCATCTCCATGGGTGCTCGCTCCAAATTATAACTAGCTACCTATCAGAGAGATCTAAGAAGTTTTATTATTTCTTTGAATAAAGGCAATTAGCAAACACAATAGCCCCCTCAATTACTAGGTGAGTTTAAGATGAGCTATGTATGACAAACGGTGCTGTCAAATCCTCTGACTTGAGGACAAGCTATAGTTTATCTTGTGAACAGGTATGTTCTAAATGGCTGCATAAAAAGCAAGAACTTTTTGTCTTTGCAATTTCTTTTTTTTCTTCTTTTGTGAGATGGAGTTTCACTCTTATTGCCAGGCTGGAGTGCAATGGCGCGATCTCAGTTCACCGCAAACTCCACCTCCCGGTTCAAGCGATTCTCCTGCCTCGGCCTCCTGAGTAGTTGGGATTACAGGCACCTGCCATCTGCCCAGCTAAGTTTTTTATTTTTAGTAGAGATGGGGTTTCTCTGGTCAGACTGGTCTCGAACTCCTGACCTCAGGTGATCCGCCCGCCTTGGCCTCCCAAACTGTTGGGATTAAAAGCATGAGCCACTGTGCCCAGCCTGTGGTTTCTTTTCTCTCTCTCTCTTTTTTTTTTTTAGACAGAGTCTCGCACTGTTGTCCAGGCTGGAGTGCAGTGGTGTGCTCTCGGCTCACTGCAAGCTCTGCCTCCCAGGTTCAAGCAATTCTCCCGAGTAGCTGGGACTACAGGTGCCCGCCACCATGCCCGGCTAATTTTTTGTATTTTTAGTAGAGACGGGGTTTCACCATGTTAGCCAGGATGGTCTTGATCTCCTGACCTTGTGATCTGCCCGCCTCGGCTTCCCAAAGTGCTGGGATTACAGGCGTGAGCCCCTGTGCCCGGCCCGCAGTTTCTTTAGGAGCTACCTGTGATGTGCCTCACCTTCAGGGTTTAATGCTTATTCAATGATGACACTGTTTTCTTTCTCCTTTACTTTGTGGAAAGGTTTTTTAGGTTGAGAGGAAATTTTGTTGTTAGTTATATTTCCTCAGTAAGAGCAACCAATTAAAAAGTAAACACAAGCGGGTGTAGGTGAAAGGTCAACAGAGGTGCTACAGTGGAATCCTAAAGCATGCAGTACACAAAAGAAGTCAGGAAACAAGAGTGGAGAAAACCAAAAAACCAACAGAAAACCCAGGTGGACAAAGATAAAACAAATACAAAGATGGAAGCTTAAACTTATCCATATAAATAATTGTTGTAAAACCTTCTGATAAAAGTCAGAAATTGTCAAAATGGGAAAAGCCAAGACCTACCTGTATATTGTTTACAATAAATGTACTATAAAGGCACAGACAGGTGTCAAGCAAAAGGATCAAAAAGATATACCACGGAAGCACTAACCATAAGAAGGCTGGTATGGCTGTATTAATGTTAGGCAAGGTAGATTTCAAGACAAAGAATGTGTTAGAAGAAAAACTTCAGGCAAATTAAATTTTACAAAGTTGGCTGGGTGTGGTGGCTCACGCCTGTAATCCCAGCAGTTTAGGAGGCTGAGGCTGGTGGATCACTTGAGGCCAGGAGTTCGAGACCAGCCTGGGCAACATGGGGAAACCCCATCTCTACTAAAAAAAAAAAAAAAAAAAAAAATGCAAAAATTAGCCTGGTGTGGTGGCGTACACCTGTAATCCCAGCCCAGCTACTCAGGAGGCTGAGGAGAATCACTTGACCCTGGGAGGCGGAGGTTGCAGTGAGCGGAGATTCTGCCACTGCGCTCCAGCCTGGGTGACAGAGTGAGACTCCATCTCCAAAATAATAAAATAAATAAATATATAAACAAATTTTACAAACTTTAATTGAGCAAAGAATAATTTGCAAATTGGGCAGTACCTAAACCGGAGTAGATTCAGAGCCACGCTGGTGCTGCCACGTGGTCAGAGAGGATTTATGGATAGAAAAAGGAAGTGAGGTACAGAATAGCAGGACTGGTTACAGCTCAGGGTTTGCCTTATTTGAATGCAGTTTGAACAGTTGGCTGCCTGTGAGTGGTTGAAGTATTGCGGCCGTGATTGCCTCAGACAAGAGTAGGTTACAGTCTGTTTACACATCCAGTTAGGTTATAGTTCACTAAGTATGGAGAAACCTTCAGGCCAAACTTAAAATATGTAACAAGGGCCAGGTGTGGTAATTCACGCCTGTAATCCCAGCACTTTGGGAGGCCAAGGCAGGCGGATCACCCGAGGTCGGGAGTTTGAGACCTGCCTGACCAATATGGAGAAACCCCGTCTCTATTAAAAATACAAAATTAGCTGGGCGTGGTGGCGCATGCCTGTAACCCCAGCTACTTGGGAGGGTGAGGCAGGAGAATCATTTGAACCTGGGAGGCGGAGGTTGTGGTGAGCCGAGTTTGCGCCATTTCACTCACTTGAAACTCCGTCTCAAAAAAAAAAAAAAAAAAAAAGGAAAAGAATGTAAGGAGGCAGCTTTAGGCTAAAGGTAATTAGCAGTTATAAACAGAGATGAAGAGAGGCATTTCATAATGATAAAAAGATCAGTTCTTCAGGAACACAGTAATCCTAAATGTACTTGTACCTAATAACACAGGCAAAAAGTTTCAAAACACAGGAAACAAAAATAGAAAGAATTAAAGGGGGAAATAAGCAAAGCCACACTTGGGAGACTTCAACCTCTTAGTAATTAATGGAAACAGTAGACAAAGTAATTGGGAATGATATAGAGGATTAAAATAAAACATAATGAAACTAATAAATTTTGGTCCTTTAAGAAAGTCAGATTTAATGATCTGAAATGTCTCATTTTTAGGTGATATTTGGTTAGCAACGTCCTACTGTAGACATTTTGATGTGGTGGTGATTGGAATATGGTCTGCAGAGATCAACCAGAATTAGCTCCATGTGCCACTGGGAGTGGGAACTGAAGTCACGCAGGAATAAACCAGTCTTCATGCTTTAGGATGTTCTGATGTGCCATTGTCGTGAAATCTTCATTCATGAGACATTCCAGTTTACCGGCAGTGTCGACTAGAATATGCTACAGCCCCCAAAATACGTTTTTAGTATAAGGATTATTTTGAGCTGATTATTTTGAGAAATAGCAGACGCAGGAGAAACTCTGAAGACAGAACGTAAGTTTACCTTTTGTAAAGGGATTTACATTTATAAGGGAAATGTCCATTTGTAAGGCTGTCTCCCTCCGTACCGGAAACACGGGATGACTATAAGTGACAAAGAGATTAATTTAAATCTGCATGACAAATCTTACTCAAGCTTACCAGACTTTTCCTGGTCACCTTCCCATAACTTGTTTCCCCTGCCCAGAAGCCCCTAATCCCCTTTCCTATGTTTTAGCCCAAGTTGGTATATTATTAAATTAAACTGGGCCTGAGGCTGCCTCCATACCTTGAGTCCCCACATGACGAACTGCAGCCTAGCTTGGTACATAAATGAACTGAAAGCCTAATTTAGGAGTATATTTTTGTAATACATAGCTGAGCGTCAATCAATCACAGCAGCTGAGTTTCAGCCAGTCACTGGCTGCCAACTGATCAGCCCACCTCCAAATAAGGCAAAGGCTCAGCTGTAACCAATCAAGCAGCTTCCCTACCTCACTTCCATTTTCTGTCTATGAATACGGCCTGCTCATTATTGTAGAATAGAGTTCTCCGAACCTTTTCTAGTTCCAGGGCAGCCCAATTTTGTGAACCTTTCTTTGCTTAAGTAAACTGTTAGATTTAATTTGTTTAAAGCTCTTCTTTTAACATTTTACACCCAAGTTCTAACCACCCCTTTGAGCTGCTCATTCCAGTTACTCCAAAGCATGCATGAGATACACATGTTAACAGACTAATGTTTGTTTTTCTCTTGTTAATCTGTGTTTTGTTACAGAGCCCCAGCTGGGGACCTAGAAGAAAATTTGTTTTTCTTCTCTTATAGCAGCAACTCTGATCTTTTCCCTTCTAAACTATAACAAGCAATTAAAACAGCCTCTCAAACATTGGTAGAATGATTTCATCTCTTTGGGTTAGATATACTAGCCTTCTTCTGCCAGACCCAACAGATTTCTCCAGTGTTACTCTGGGCAGAGAGCAACCTTCACTTCCTTAGGAACAAGGTTGCCAGAGTTGGACAATGAAAATGCCAAGTACCCCGATAAATTTGAATTTTAGATAACCGACAACTTTTTTTATTGCAAGCAGATCTAATTAAATAACAAAGTCCAAGAAACACCTGCCTTTAAGGCACTCTCCCTAACAAACTGAGTTATATTCCTTGTAAAATATAATAGAGAAATAAAAATCTATGGGGAAAGGGTCACTCTAAAGATACTTTTTATTTAAATATTTTATGATGATACATATACAAATATAATCTTCCAAAAAACAAATGTAAAACTAATACAAATCACTTTTTCAGGAACAAAGAAAATCATTTAGAAAATGTGATTATGCTAAAAGAGGCAGGTTAGGTTTCCAAGGCTGCTCAAGGTGGAAGCTTAAGACCAACTTTTGTTTGAGTACACAAGTGATATTTACATTTTCATATACTAGTGATATACCTGTTGCATACTTGGCAAAATAAAACTGATAGTAAGTCTATAATAATAAAAGAAACAACAATTACTAAGTAAACAATTCTAGATGATGGAAGAGTAACCTCCATTTAAGCTACAGACTTAGATGTCTAAAAATATGTGTCCTGATCTGTACAGTTAGTGGGAGCACACTATATAAATCCTTTGCATGACACCATTCAACAATATTTTTTAAAATCTACAAAATTTTAAAGTTTCACTTCCCTAGCAAAATATCTTCAGTCAAGAAATTAGTCTTTGAAAATTATGAAAATTGTTGTGGGAAATATTTATACAAATTATTACTGATAATGCACATATATTTTGAAACATTGTTTCTAGAAGCAATAAAATATAACCTATTTAGGAGATAACCCAAATGATTTGTAAAAAAATTAACTTGTAGAAAAGGGAAGGATGTTGTGTAAAATCAAGTCAATTATTTGAGGTTTTTATAATATTGAGTACTTATGTACTAAGTCACACCCAGCCAGTCAATAACTGAGAAATCAAAATAAAATAATAATTTCAAAGAATTACATAAATACAGGGCCTTTTGAGATTTTTGGCAATTGTAAACAAAAACGAATGGTTTTTACAATTCAGTGTAATTCTACGAATATTTATTTGGCACCCATGTTAGGCACTGAGGCTACACAGCAGTGAAATAGGCCTAGTTGTTCTCAACTAGAGAACATAGTTGGTTAATGTAGCTGCACTGAATTGTAGCTGTTTAGAAGATAATATACCCTGAGGCTTTTTAAAGTATACTATTACTATAAGAAGTAAAATTATTTTATACTTATAAATTTTGTTTTGGATTATTCAACTGAATTTGGAGTGTTCAGAATTTTCATGGCGGTTGAGACAAGGAAGAGGTATAATGCTATTTTTTTTTCCTTTTCTTTTTTTTTTTGAGACGGAATCTCACTCTGTTGCCCAGACTGGAGTGCAATGGTGCGATCTCGGCTCACTGCAACCTCCGCCTCCCGGGTTCAAGTGATTCTCCTGCCTCAGCCTCCCAAGTAGCTGGGATTACAGGCGCCCACCATCACGCCCAGCTAATTTTTGTATTTTTAGTAGAGACGGGGTTTCACCAGGTTGGCCTGGCTGATCTCAAACTCCTGACCACAGTTGATCCACCCGCCTCGGCCTCCCAAAGTGCTGGGATTACAGGCGTTAGCCACCACCCCTGGCCAGTATAATGCTATTTTTAAGACTATACAGTATGTACGTGCACACACACACACTGTCATGTGCACAGAAACATACAATGTGTATTCTTATCATCAATGGTCCAATTTAATGAATCACACAGATTGAAAGGGTTCAAGTCTTAAAGAAGTTATGAGCACCATAGCTGGTGCTCAGACTGTGCATGTATCTTTGGATCAATGAGTTGTTGAAAGTCTGCTGGGTGCAGTAAAGTACAGAATACAGAACATCAATGTTTAATGTTAATACGGTAGGCAAAGAGACCCAGTCAGTTTCCTGGGTTGCTTTACTGGACGGCTGATGAACTAGGTACTCTGTTCACTTGGTAAATTCTCAGAAGCCAGATTGACTCTCTATGTATCTTGTTTTATCAGGATTGTTTGCATAGCTTGCTAAAAGGCACCTAAGCAGCAGCATCATCTCTATGTCTTCAGTAAATTGTGGAACATTTCTAAAATACTCCTGGAAGCAGAGACAGTGTGGTCCTTTGCATATCAGTGACTGAGAAAAATTTTAAGATCAATGTGTATGTGTCTCTGTGTGTCTGTAAGGCTCATGAAAAATCAGGTACATTGGAAACATGAAATTAGTCACTGCTAATTAAACTCTGGGTCAGTTTGTGGCTGACTGCTGTTTAGGAGTAAGAATGCTGTACAGTGCTATGCTTGGTAACTCTGGTGGAAGATGTGGTTATGGTAGAATTAGAATGACCAGATTCCTCTAAACCAAAATCTGGCAGAGGGCCAGGGACTCCAGCTCCAGACACCGTGGTGTTCCTAGCCGTCATAGAATTTTCAGTGGGAATCTGGTAACTGGATTGCAGAGTGGAAGCAGGTGCTAGAACTCTTTCTGTCACTGTCACATTCTGTCCTACTGCTATATTAGGCATGGCCAGAGTAGGCTGCACACCTGAGCTGGGGGCAAGGAAGCTCTCTCTTTCCCTCACCATGACGTAAGGTACATCTTGAAGATGCTGAGTGCCTTCCAGAGGATTCGATCCACCCCCATGAGGCTGTATTACTCTTTCAGTGACCACAACTGTACCTTCATTAGCATAAGGCTGATCTACCAAGGTAGAAGCTGGAGCATACACCCTCTCTGTCACAATAAGGCTCTGTGGCTGGCTAGGACCCAGGATCACAGTGGTTGGTGGCATAGTGGACCCTGTGACATAGGAAGTTTCTGTTGCTATCACATTTCTAGAAGCCATTGGGTCAGGAAGAGGTGTAGCTACCTTTTGCGCCTGCCTAGAAGACACAGATCTTTCAGTGACTATTTCCTGAGTTACTTTCTCTGCATTGGCTTCTTGCAAAGATTTTGGAACTGGGAAGCTACTGCCAGAGGAGTAGGTATTCTCTGAATTAACCATAGTTTGCTCACAGAGTGAATGTGAAGCTGTGTTCATACTTGTTTCTGTGGCAGGTTTTTGTCTCTGCTCAATTTCCTTATTTATATCTATTTTTTGACCCAGGCAAACTTCAGCTAGTGTCTTGAATTTAAGTCCCAAATCATCTAAGAAGCGGTCATCTAGCTCTCCTTCAATAAAACTGCAACAACCAATAGAAGCATTCAGCGATTCAGTTTCTTCCTGAGAATAAACCAGAAGGCAATCTTTGGCTGTGTGATTTTCATCTTCCTCAGTGTAAGAGGCCGCTTTCTAAAATGAAAACAAAACAAAACAAACACAAAACAGACAAATAATTAGCAATATAAATTCATTTTAAAACAAGACTCTATATTCCTGTTCAAAATGCAGTAATGTGAATTTAATTACAAGGAACCATCAGGGAAACACAAATTGAGAGAGATCCTACGACACAACTGGACTGTATTCTTAAAAAAAATTAATATCAGGGAAAAAATAGAAAGGCAGAGGGGACTGTTTCAGATTAAAGGAGACTAAAGTGTCAGGACAACTAAATGGAATGCAGGATCCTGAGAAAAACAAAATTGCTGTAAAAGATAGTGTGATAGTTGGCTAAACTGAAATATGGACTATGTCAATATTAAAGTTCTACATTTGTTAACTGTACTATAGTAATGTAAGAGAATGTGTGTGAATGTGTGTCAGTGAGAGAGAGACAGAGAAAATGGAAAAGCAAATAGCAAATGTGGCAAAATGTTTATTGGGTTCAAAATTTCTATTATTCTTGCAAATTTTCTGATAACTTTGAAATTACTTCCAAATCAAAAGTTAGTACACACATACATAACCAAGAATGACTGGAGCAGGATTAGAGTGGAGAGAGGGAAAACTTACCAAAAGAAAACAAACAGGACGCTAGAATTGAGCTTAGCAGTGAGACAGGAAAGGCCAAGAAATGGTTTTGCTTGACACCACCCACATCCCTGTTAAGCTAATACTTGAAGGTGGGTGAAGGATGGTATGAAAGATGGGAGGTTAAAAAGGAGCAGAAAGTGGGAAAGCACGCTAATAATTTGCAAATTTAGAAGAGGGGGACAGAAGTAACTTGCTTTCCTCAATGGAAGCCCCTCCCCTTACTCCTCTCTAGGGCCCTTCAGATGCCTTATATTCCAACTCTGTCCATTCTCATGGGAGCACAGGGCCTTGTTCTCAAGAAAACCACCCAGTCCTACTTTTTAAAAAATTATTCTTACTATGTCTGTAAGATCTGTAGTAAAGTTCTTTATTTTATTTCTAACATCCATAGTTTGTGCTTAATCTCTTAATATCCTAATTAGTCTGGTAAAATGTTTATCAATTTTATTGACCTCTTTAAATAATAAGCTTGTGGCTTCAATTTTTTTTCTTATTACTTTTTGCTAAATATTTCATTGATTTCTGCTCTAAAATTCATCATTATCTTATTTCTGCTTGTTTTGGGTTTAATTTGCTCTTCTAACTTCTGAGGGTGGAAGCTTAGGTCACTGATTTGAGAACCATCTTCTAATATAGCCATTTTTGCTACAATTTCCCTTCAAGCATCACTTTAGTAGTACCCCACAAATTTTCATGAAGTATAATTTAATTTGCAGTCATGTGTATTTATAAATATTTGAGTATATTTTATATATCTCTTTGTTACTGATCTCTGGTTTTAATTTTTTTTTCATCAAAGTACATTGTATGACTGCAGTTCTTTAAAAGTTATTTACATTTATTTAATGTTCTAGAATACAGTCTATATGAAAAAGCATGTGTATTCTGCTTCTGTTGCATAGAGTGTTCTGTCAGTATCAACTAGATCCATTTGGTTCACAGTACTAAGTTTTCTATATGCTTACTGATTCTGTCACTTGTTCTTTCATTTACTGATAGATCAGGTTGAACTCTCCAACTATCATTATGAATTTGTCTGTTTCTCTTTCAGTTGTTTTTGCTTTAAGTTTTAAAAATTTCTGTTATTAGGTTCTGACATATTTAGGAGTTTCAGGCCTCCTGATGAACTGACTCATTTTTCATTATGAACTATCCCTCATTATTCCTGGTAATATTCCTTGTTCTGAAGTATACTTTATCTCTATGTTATACTTTTTTTTTTTTTTTTTTTTAGACAGAGTTTCACTCTGTTGCCCAGGCTGGAGTGCAGTGGTATGATCACAGCTCACTGCATCCTTGGCTTTCCAGGCTCAAGTGATCCCCCTACCTCAGCCTTCTGAGTAGCTGGGACTACAGGTGTGTGCCAGCATGCCCAGCTAATTTTTTGTATTTTTGGAGAGATAGGGTTTTAACATATTGCCCAAGCTGGTCTTGAACTTCTGGGCTCAAGTGATCTGCCTGCCTTGACCTCCCAGAGTGCTGGGATCACAGGCATGAGCCATTGTGCCTGACCTCTACATTATACTTTTATTTTCAGTTCTGCTTCTAATTCCTCAATTCTAGCATGAGCTTCCTTATTGCATCTGATCATCTTCCTGGAACTTTTCTCATCATTTTTTGGTGGACCCTCATAATAGCAAAGCCAAGTACTCTCATACAGAAGGTAAAATTTAAATGGACTTAATAGATTGTGTTTTTTAGGTTATATATCCTCTGCCTCTCCTACGGAGCTCATCCCTACCAAGCCTGCTCCTGCAGAGGGATGCAACTTTCCGACCCACTGACATCTGTCTTGGTCATATGACTTGCTTTGGTCAATGAAATGTGGTGTAAAAAGGTGGAGGCTTTGAGAGCCATTGCCTGGTTCTGCCTTGTTCTTTTCTTTGGGTCACAAGGACGGCAGCTTCCCAGGTACAATCTGCTCTCTCAGTGTGCATCTTGATATGAAGACATCATGAAGGAAAGCAGAGCTGACTGACTGGCAAAAACATAACTGTAAGTGAGAAATATGCCTGTGTGAGAACTAAGATCATGGTTACTGCAGCATAATTTAGCTAACACCGACTGATTCTGTGGGTCCCATTTCTCTTTCCTTATTGCCTATAAGTATTCCCTGAAAAAAGAAAAAAAAAAAAAACCCAAAGTCTCATTTGGATCCAAGGCAATGATTACCCTAATAATATCACATTCACATACAAATGTTCCCCCCACCCCCCACCACCAATACATAAAACTCATCCTTACATCAGTGAAATAATTTCTTAAGAATTCTTCGTTCAGTGCAACAGCAGCTGCCTGAGCTCCGGCCATGTCTCTGGAAGCCCCTGTGGCCCTTGCGGTCTTCGTGGTTTCAGTGGTCATGATAGCGCCTGTGGCCCCTGTAAACTGGGTAGCTCTACCAGAAAGCAGGCTTCTGTGTTCTTCCCACCTTCCATCCATCTCGGACATCTCATGTTGCCCTTTGACAATGGAAGCAGAGCTACTTCCTTTCATCGTGGCTTCCTTGGCCATACCTCCTACTCCATTTCTTCCTACTAGACTGCCCCCTTGATCCACTGGCAGAAATGATGGCACCACCTGTGAGAGCAAACACAGCTGAGAACTGAGTCAGGAGGATGGAGGGAATCCTTCATCCTTGGTAGAAGGATCTGAGTCAAGTGGGCATAGGAAGGTATAAGCTATTTCCACTGAGGCCAGTTAGAAAAAGTATTTTGAGTTGAATAACTTATGTAAGTCTTATGAAGATCTCCTTTCTTCTCTCTTCTTGTTTTATAGGTGGATAGAACCCAAAGAGAAAACAAAGCCCAAACAGTCTCAGCTCCTTTACTCTATGCGACCAATGGCATTTCAACCTCCCTCTACAGTTTGATACCTTCTTCTATAGTTACAGAATTCTTAACTTTGTTTTGACCTGGATCCATGGCCACCCAAAATAAAGACTATATTTCTAAGCCTCTGATGCCACTAGGTATAGCCACCTGACTAAACTGTGGTCAATGTGAATGAAGCAGAAATGGTGTACACAAGTTCCGGGAAGTGTGCTTAAAGAGGGTTCTTCACTTTTCTCCCATGTGCTGGTTAGAATGTGGGGACGGCAGCTAGGTAGCTAGAACTAGGACATGAGGACAGTGTGGGAATGGAACTCAACCATGGAAGAAAAACAAGGAAGAGGGAACTGGGGACCATGCTGCGGATGAATCATCATGTTGATCTTGGAATGCCCATTTTAGGATTAAGCCACTGTTATTCTGAGTTCTCTGCCACCTGATGCTAAATCCTATCCTATTAGAAATGGTGCTCATAACAGATGGTGGTGAGAGGTCCAGGGTGAAGGTGCAACAGAGAGACAAAGGGATATGGCTATGATGTAGTTGGGAAATGGGGTTTTGCAACATTTTACAAGTGTCATGGGGGTTGTGGGCTTACCTCTGCAAACCCTATGTATTGAGGGAAATGGAAATGAAGCAGTTCCTGGTTATGAAAACTGCCCATTTAATGTTAGGACAAAAGACTTAGATTCCTACACACTCTTGCTCTTCCTGAACCTTGCTCTACATTCTCTACAACATGGGAAGTGTCAAAACAGAGTAAAACTATCTCAATTCTGCCCCAGCAACAAACACAAAATATGCTGTCATTTGAACTCTTTGCTTAACAAAGGCACATGAGTGAAATCCATAGTGATCACTTTACTCACTCAACCAAACATGTAAGAAACACTTCCCTAGGCCCCTTTAAAACCCAAGAAGAAGACAAGTCATATTGACATCTGATCCACTGACCTTGTCTTCAGGTGGTGCTCCTTCATTATTCCAAGGATGCAGCATCTCTATGGTGCCAGGTATGGGGGTAAAGCCTTTGGCGCCCTTTCCGCAATGGCACATCAGCAGTAAAAGTGGTACCACTGTACAGACACAAAATTGAACACAGATAAGGTTAACCTTGATATATTTCTAAATTTATATTGCACAATTTTGGAATTTGCATGTCCCTTCCTGGACTTGTCTTCACTTATTTACAGCTCTATTTTTCTTTTCTTCACCCTGATCCAACCTTACCAAGCTTGTTTTGGGTGAATTACTCCAAAACCCGAAGGCAGGATGAGGGAGTCTTACAGATTCAAGGCCTTGTTCATCAAAAAGAGGCTGTCTGTGGCTGCTGAGTGGAATACCAAGACTAGGTTCAGATAGTATCCAAATCATCAAAACCAGCTTAAAGATTAATTTTTTTAAAACTATGGTCCAATTAAAAAAAAATCACTGTTGCAAAAATATATGTACTATTGAAAACAGTAATTAGAAATAATAAAGTGAAACATATAACAATTTCAGAGCCCTCTTCTTAGATTTTATTTTACCCCTAGGAGGAAGCAAAGACCAAGGCTGACCCCTTGATCAATGTAGTAAAGAATTAAACACACCTGCATGCCCATCTGCCACTCCCATTTGGCAGCTTCCAATGATGAACTGGCTACTGCCTAGATTCGTTTTTATGTCAAACAGTCAACAGCACATTAACTACAGCTACTACGATTAATAAGAAGACTGAAATCAGCCAGTGGCAATTCAACAATTTTAACAAACATTCATCAAGTGTCTATTATGTGCCAAGTACCACATTAGGCTCCAGGGAATCTGAGATGAGAAAGCAGTGCAAGGAATCCCTGAGCAAAAGATACAGTCCCAGCTCCAGTACCTACCTACAAACTTGGTAAGCTGAGACAAGTCATTTACCGTTATGTATCTGTATATGTAGCCATAGCATGGAGATGATGGTATAAAAGTACACTGCAGACTGTTGAGTGCTGTGCTTTCAATTGCACATCTACCAATGGCTCTAATACAGCAGTCCCCAACCTTTTTGACACCAGGGACTGGTTTCATGGAAGACAGTTTTTCCACAGGGAAGTTAGGGGTAGGGGGGTTGGTTTTGGGATGACTCAAGTGCATTACATTTATTGTGTACTTTATTTCTATTATTATTACATTGTAATATATAATGAAATAATTATACAACTCACCATAATGTAGAATCAGTGGGAGCCCTGAACTTATTTTTCTGCAACTAGATGGTCCCATCTGGGGGTGATGGGAGACAGTGACAGGTCATCAGGCATTAGATTCTCATAAGGAGCACGCAACCTGGATCTCTTGGCATGAGTAGTTCACGATAGAGTTTGAGCTCCTATAAGAATCGAATGCCAGCACTGGTCTAACAGGAGGTAGAGCTCAGGTGGTAACACGAGTGATGGGGAGTGGCTGTAAATACAGATGAAGCTTCACTCACTCTTCCACCACTCACCTCCTGCTGTGCGGCCTGGTTCCTAACAGGCCATGGACAGGTGCTGGTCTGTAGCCTGGGGGTTGGGGACCCCTTGTCTAACAGACCTCTCCTCTGTCACTGCACTAGCCTAGGCTGCCTTGGAGGCGGCCCTCTGTCCATATTCAGTGGTCAAGTAGAGTGATATTTCATGTGACCTCAGGATGCAGTCCCTTGTTCTTTTATAAAAGGAAACCCGAGGTCTTTGGAGCGTGGGTAGGGCAGGCAGGACTGGTTGAGAACATCTTACGGTCAGGAAGGACAGGAAGTGCTCAGAGGGTCTGCCTACTTTTGGTGCTGACGAAGAAACAAGGCAAGCGGGGAATATCAGGGAGGCGGAGCTCTGATAAGTTGAATGTACAAAGCAGGATTGATTGGAATAAACTGGGTTTGTAAAAAACCTTGTGCCCATAACCCAAAGTCATGCAACACATCTTTTTTGAGCGCTTACTACATGCAAGGCTCTGTTCCACACACTGGGAATACAGCAGTGAAGAGAACAGACAGCATGCTGCCCTCACAGAGCTCATCAAAATGGGAATACCAGTGAAGTTTATGCCAATAGTTCCTAAGTTACTGAAACCAGAAAAGGATATACATTTATAAAACAAAATTCTGAAGAGTCTTATATTATGCTTTGGTGATTTGCCAATCATCAGTTGTTTCCCTATTCACCCTCAAAGTGCTCTAGTGTGGTTAAAGAATAACTGTGAAGAAATCAATGACTACCATAGTAACACATCTCCAGGAGTGCACTCAGATTCCCAAAAGCACAACAGAGTGGCTTTTAAAGACTTACATAGCAGGAGCAGAAAGGCCAAAATCATGAGCGCAATTGCTGCGGGTCCCAGGCCCACATAGGAGTCATGCTGTGCTTCCCTGCAGCCGCTGCCATGCAGACACTCACAAACTGTGAGTGTAAGGACCTGCTTTTCAGGACAACTAAAACCCTGATTGTCTGAAATCAGGAACTGAATTTCACTTCTCCCAAGCTTTTTCTCACTTTGTTGCAGCAGCACACTGGTACCTACAAGGTTGGGAGGCAGAAGGAAATAAAAACGAACGATTACCAAGGATGAGGCAACATTAAATTCCACAAATGTTCTTTCATTGCTGATTGTATTTAACTCCAATTAGGTACTTTGTTCTTCCTTCACTTATTGAAGTGTGCTCATTAAAATTTGTCTATAGGCCCTGAATATGCAGTTTAAATAGCAAAGGTTCAGACCTGGACACCTACTTTCATGATGATTAGCTGTAACCAATGTGTGTGGGTCTAGGAAAGCTAGGAACTGTTCTATACACTGGGAATACAGTGACAAACAAGTGGTGAGTTAACATTTCTACTGAATGACCTTTATTTTACCATTTCTTTAAAAAAAAACTTCATTAAGGCAATTTTTCAAACATAGTAATAAAGAGAAGAGCATAACCCCCATGGTACCCATCCTCAGCGTTAATCATTTTCAATGATGGGCTGATCTTGTTTTCTCTAGTCCCTTCTTTTTTTGTTCTCAACACTATATACATTCAAAATGGAAAAAAAATTCAAACCTACAGAAAAGTTGAAAGAATATTTTAGTGAATATTAACAAACCCTTACTAACTGTTTACATTTTGCAACAATGCTTTCTTTGCCCTCTATATACCCACTTTTTCTTTTTTTTAAAGTTTCTTAACTATTTCAAGGTAAGTTACAGATAGCACGACATTCTTCAGCATGCACCTTCTAAGATCAAGGAACATTAGCACTCTTACACTTCTTCTTCTTCTTCTTATTTTTTGAAATGGAGTCTCGTTCTGTTGCCCAGGCTGGAGTGCTGTGCTGCCATCTTGGCTCACTGCAACCTCTGCCTCCCAGGTTCACCTGCCTCAGCCTCCTGAGTAGCTGGGATTACAGGTGCCCACCACCATGCCCAGCTAATTTTTGTATTTATAGTAGAGATGGAGTTTCACCATGTTGGCCAGGCTGGTCTCAAACTCCTGACCTCAAGTGATCCACCCGCCTCACCCTCCCAAAGTGCTAGGATTAAGGCATGAGCTACCATGCCCGGCTTCAACTTGTTATTGATAATATTCTGTAATATACAACTCAGTGTATTTGTAAGTTAAATTTATTAGAATTTTAGAGTATAAGGATCATAGGGAGTTTTTTTTTTGAGACAGAGTCTTGCTCTGTCACCCAGGCTGGAGTGCAGTGGCACAATCTCGGCTCACTGCAAGCTCTGCCTTCTGGGTTCATGCCATTCTCCTGCCTCAGCCTCCCGAGTAGCTGGGACTACAGGTGCCTGCCACCACGCCCGGCTAATTTTTTGTATTTTTAGTAGAGACGGGGTTTCACCGTGTTAGCCAGGATGGTCTCGATCTCCTGACCTCATGATCCGCCTGCCTTGGCCTCCCAAAGTGCTGGGATTACAGGCGTGAGCCACCGCACCTGGCTGGGAGGTTTTGTTAATTCAGATCACTGAAATATATAAGGAAACTAAATATATTAAATCTGTAAATACAGTTTGAAATATTGATGGTGTTTAATTTGTTAATTGGACTAAACATTATTCAAACCCTCTTAAAATGATTTCAAACATTTGCTAGACTTAACACAATAAAGCTGTAAATTAAAAAAAAAACTGACTATTGTCTTTGAAATTTTACTGAAATGAACCCTAGTTGTTTAAAACAAAATAGTTTTCTGGATAGACTTTTCTGCATTCAGAACCACCCTGAAGGACATCTGAAAACTCACATCAACACATCATATGGTCCATGTGTCTAGATGTCCTGGATGTGGACATATGGACATGTCCACTGACATGGGGAAGGGGGGAATCAGATAACTCCCCTGTTATGTTGTTTCTATCATGTTCTAGGTTTGAGCTTTACTTACCCCCAGTTAAACCAAGGTATCCTCAGCTTTAATCAGGGAATAATGTTGAAGGAAGGATTAAATATGGTAATACATAGGGTGGGCTAGCAGAATGCCTAGCACATAGCAAGTGCTCAATAAATGTTGTTTTAAATGGAATTACTGTTACTACAAGATTTTTAGAAGGCAAACTACTACGATTGTGGTGCTGACAAAGGCTTGGTACTCCTCACCTTACCAGACAAAACTACTTCAAGGGCTATTTAGGGAATACCCAGCTACCTTCAAGACATTTTAGATTATTTTTCTTCTCTCCATAAGCATATAAAAGATACTATATGTCAGTAGGTTCAGGACCTCATTTCATAAACTCCTTTAAAAAACTATATTGGAAATATAATTTATGAGAAGAAATACAACTTACAAATATTTTAGATATCATGCTTAATATTTAGATTTCTATGTAGTCCAGTGATTTTGCTTACTTTCTTGGCGTGCTATTTTCCATTTTTCTGCCATGCCAGGTGGTTTGTCAATGACGGAGAAACTGAAAGGGCCACTGTTTGGGTGTCCATCCAGGTCCTCTGCAGTAACATTCACATACTCTGCATCGTGACAGATTGTCTGCACAGGCTCTATCAGTGTGGGACAGTTGTCGTTGATGTCTTCAACATTGATAAGGACTGTGCCAGTGATGGTTTTTCTAGGATAATCTTAAAAATAAGAGAGAAAAAGTATGTACATTCTGTTCCTATTGCTGACAACAGACATAGTTTGAATTCCCTTGCCAATTTGGAGTGGAGAAGGTACTAACCACTTAGGACATTTTCTATCCTAGATATGTTTCAAATTTGGACCAAGTAATATCTTTTAATCCACTTACCAAGTAGAAATGTGAGATTTATCTACTGGAGAAATTAGGTGCTTATTTCATCTTACTAAAAAATTTTTTTAGACATCTATTTTTAAATTTTATCTACCCCTCAATTTTTTTTTGAAGATGGTGTCTTGCTTTTTTGTCCAGGCTGGTCTCAAACTCCTGGGCTCAAGTGTTCCAACCATCTCAGTTGCCTGAGTAGCTGGGACTACAGACACAAGCAACTGTGCTGGGGTGAGATTAGGTTTTTGTTTTTGTTTTTTTTTTTTTGAGTTGGAGTCTCCCTTTGTCTGGCGCGATCTCCGCTCCTCTACCTCCTGGGTTCAAGCAATTCTCCTGCCTCAGTCTCTTGAGTAGCTGGGACTACAGATGCATGCCACCATGCCCAGCTAATTTTTGTATTTTTAGTAGAGACGGGGTTTCACCATGTTGGCCAGAATGGTCTCGATCTCTTGACCTCGTGATCCACCTGCCTTGGCCTCCCAAAGTGCTGGGATTACAGGCATGAGCCACTGCTCCCGGCCGAGATTAGGTTTTTATACACAATCAAATCAATGGTTTCTGATGTTGGAAAATAAAAATCTAAATACATATAATCAAGAAAAAGATCTATTTAATAACTTACCTTCTGATATGGCCACAATCTTTACAGTGTATGTGCCATTTTGAACATATCTAGATTCAAAATCAGGAAGTTTTGCAAGTTTAATTTCAGATGTGACAGAATCCACAGAGATCCAATTATCTCTATCTTCTAATTTTACATATCTGTCATAAAACAAACATAAAATTAATTTTGAATTCTGCATGAATTGGAAACCTCTAACATCTACAGCTCTTTCAAGCTTACTTTTCTTCTCTTTAAATATGTTCTTATTACAGGCATTTGTTTTGAATGTTTTTAATTTTGCAAAACCATCCTAAAAGCCCCTCTCTTTACTGCATGTCACACTTAAATTGGACCTTTCTTATTCCTGCAACATACCCAAGACATAAAATTAAGGGTGATTCTCTTGAGCCCACTAACCACTAACTCAAGTTTTTAAGTTGCTCTGCAGTCTGTCCTATGGCATTTGATTTAGTGTCCCTTAAAGTTGGGTTAAACTTTTGGGGAATAACTTAGTTATACAATAAGCACTGGTGGAGAAGAGCAGTCTTATGTTCTGTTGTTTATTGGGGGCGTTAGCAACATTTACAAACATCAACTTTAAAAATCAATGATCGCAGGGGCCAGGTGCGGTGGCTCACGCCTGTAATCCCAGCACATTGGGAGGCTGAGGCGGGTGGATCACTTAAGGTCAGGAGTTTGAGACCAGCCTGGTCAACATGGTGAAACCCCGTCTCTACTAAAAACACAAAAAATGCCGGGCATGGTGGCACGTGCCTGTAATCCCAGCTCCTCAGGAGGCTGTGGCAGGAGAACTGCTTGAACCCAGGAGGTGGAGGTTGCAGTGAGCCGAGATCGCGCCACTGCACTCTAGCCTGGGTGACAGAGCAAAACTCCATCTCAAAAAAAAAAAAAAAAAAAATCAATGATCATTTTAAACGGAAGCATCTACAAATTTTCTGATACTGTTGATTATTGGGGTAATAATTTTCTTTCAGGCAGAACTGGTTAAAAGTGGAAACAATGCCGATAAAATCGTTTCTGGGTTTCTTCCCTCAAAGCAAGGAGAATTAGTGTGGAAGGAGCCAATGCTGGGAGAGCAAGGCAAATGTCCATATTATGTTTTCAGAAACGTATGTAACTGGCCAAGCATGGTGGCTCACACCTATAATCCTAGCACTTCGGGAAGCCGAGTTGGATGGACCACCTGAGGTCAGGAGTTCAAGACCAGCCTGACCAACAGGTTAAAACCCCATCTCTACTAAAAATACAAAAATTATCTGGGTGTGGTGGTGGGCACCTGTAATTCCAGCTATTTGGGAGGCTGAAGCAGAACTGCTTGAACCCGGGAGGCAGAGGTTGCAGTAAGCCGAGATCGTGCCACTGCACTCCAGCCTGAGTGACAGAGCAAGACTCAGTCTCAAAAAAAAAAAAAAAAAGAAAAAAAAGAAATGTATGTAATTAGTTAATGAATACCAATGAGTTTAACATAAAAATACCAGTACCAACCAAACATATGAGTATCTTGGTTTGCTCAATCAAATTGTTAATTTATTTTCTATTAAGTGGCTTCGAGGCACACAGGAATGAGTGGCTAATTTATAGCAATATTTATTTTTAGTGCTATTTCCAATTATACACTTGAACTAAATTTTTCTGCCTCTTAATACTGCTACCAGTAAATAATAATACATTTTGATTTTCACAATTAGTTTTGAATTTCATGTCTGAAATTTTAAAGCTTAGACATAAGTTGCTGTCTATGGTTTACCAACATTCATACTGATAATAAAGGCAGAGTCTTAGAAATAGGGATTACATTTCACAATGTGTTTGCTTAATCTCATTTAAGAAATCTTCTGTTCTCTGTTGTAAAAGCTAGACATCATTCAAGTAGCATAGCTGCTTACATGTTATATCAAATATCTGTAAACAGCTGATACACATGAATAATCAATAAAACAGTAAATTATGACAAACAGTCTGGAATGCAGTGGTGTGATGGCAACTCGCTGGAACCTTGAACTCCTAGGCTTAAGCAATCCCCCTGTCTAAGCCTCCCCAGTAGTGGGGACTACAAACATGTGCCACCATGCCTGGCTAATTGAAAAAAAAATTTTTTTTTGTAGAGACAAGGTCTTGCTGTGTTGCCCAGGTTGGTCTTGAACTCCTGGCCTCAAGTGATCCTCCTGCCTCGGATTCTTGAGTGCTGAGATGCCAGGCATGAACCCACCACACCCAGCCCCTTATCAGTGTTTCAAAATAACAACCACTAATTAGTTAGGTAAACATTTGGAAAATAATTTAACTTGGTTGTGCCTCCATTCCTTATCTGTAAAATAATAGGTTTGAGCTGGTCTTTAAGACCTTTTCTTTCTAAAATTCTGTAACTGCATTCTAAAGAATACAATAAAACACTAAGAAATAAAAAAGGCAGGGTTCATTATTCTTCCAGGCAGAACACACAATCTTTTGATGTATTCATGGCCCCTAAACAAACAAACAAACAAACAAACAAACAAAACAGCAGCCAAAAGTCAATAATTTGGTGGGAAACAGAAGCTTCAATAAGTGGCCACATATTATTGGTATATAATTAGTTTGAACATATAAGTTTCTCCATAGACAGCAGTGAAAAATGATCATATAGAAAATTCATGCTCAATTTTGTAAATTCAGTTGGGTATACTGTCTTGTGAGGTTATAGAGCTGAGAAAATTAAAACTAGACCAACTAGACCACATAACTCAAGAGGACCATAGTGGGCCAAAGAATGTCACCAAGGCACTACAGAAAATATGGTGGAAGCTGTTTGTTAACATTACTTTGGAAAAAATGTTATTTAAGGAATTCCATGAAAAGGCGATTCACTAAAAGGAAAAAGGTTGCTGAGGAGCTTCTTCCACATTTTCATTCTTGCTACACTTGGCGATGCACTTAAATACAATGTTTTAGGAAGCACTGGTACACAGGGACTGCTATGATTTTCATGTTTGTAACCCTCGGAAATTCTTATGTTGGAGTCTAATATGCAGTATGATCATATTAAGAGGTGGGGCCTTTGGTAAGTGATTAAGTCATGAGGGCACCACCCTCATGAATGGAATTAGTGCTCTTAAAAAAGAGACTCCAGTGAGTTCCCTTGTTCCTTTGGCCACGTGAGGATGCAGCAAGATGGTGCCATCTTGGAAGCAGACAGCAAGACTCACCAGATACCAAATCTGTTGGCTGGTGCCTTGATGGACTTCCCAGCCTTCAGAACTGTGAGTAACAAATCTGCTGTTTATAAATTACTTGGTCTAACGTATTTTTATTACAGCAGCTCAAATGGACTAAGACAGGGACACAGGTGTATAAGGACACTCAAGCAACCAGGCAGCTCTGGCACTGAGCAAGAAGTCACTAAAGTTGTGTCTGGGACAGCAGGTGGGGATTCTTTAAATTCAACTGCAGTAACAGTAACTAGAGCTCCATAAATAACAGCTCTGTAGAGAATGGTCTTTCCGTGGCACGGCACTGAGATCTAAGATGTAAATTTACTTTGAAAATTTGAAAGCATCACACAATAAGGTGCCACTACAGAGTGGACACAAACTAGTTTCTTCCAACACAGTGAGCATCTTGTAGGTTCTCAATAAATGTACTCTGAGTAAAGGTCACCATGATCAAGACAAACATAAACAGTGTAGGAGGCTCATTAATCTCTGAAACAAATAGGTTTAAATGAAGATTCATTCCCAAGATATATGCGTTAAGTAAAGCTGGTTTCCCCATATTAAAATACATTATGTAACTTGTATAAAGTAAATCTTGTGGATGTTATCTGCTACGTTCTCACCCTCCAATAATAATCTTTTAGGAAATAAGACAGGTTTTTAAAAGTTTTTTCCTGAACTTTTCCTTTGTTGCTTTTTAGCCATCTCTAGCCAGAACTGTTTCAGTGGTGAGTAAACTAACTTCCTCCTCACACACAGGTGGTTGAAGAAGGTGGATTCTGGTGAAAATTCCCCCTCATCTCTCAGTTATAGACACATCTTTGGAAAATTTAACTTGTAGACCTTTGGGGAACTATAATGCTGGATTTGAAGGAATGAAGTGTTCAGATTTGATTATGATTTTTGAAAATAGGCACTGAAAATAATTTAAAATAAAGAAATACACGTGTCACTCTCTCTTACCTTGCATGGGCTGGTAGTCCAGTGTCCTCATCAAAAGCTTGAAAATTTCCAATTATTTGGCCTTTGCTTGATCTATCCATGCTCTCGCTAACATAAATTGAGATGACGCTGCTTTTAAAATGAATGCCTTCTTTCACATTTTTCACTTTGACCTTGATGGGAATGGGTGTAGGCTTGTATTTACTCCTAATCGACTTGTGAAAAGCTGCTTTATTAGCGACAATAACACTGAAGTCAAGATTCTTCATTTCTTCATAATCTACTTCCTGAAAGGGAAAACCAAAGGGAATTCTTTTCAAAGAGAAAACAGAAGACATGTATACATATACATATACATGTGTGGTTTTAATGTTAGATACAATAATTTAATGCACAGGAAATATAGCAGCACTGAATAGTCCAACTCTTATACTGACACCAAGCAAATAAAAATTCTGTCAATCTGGATAGTCATAAATGTTAAGGATGTTTAGGAAGTATTACCAATTTATTTTCCTAAATGTTGAAATTACTGTAAATATATATATATATTTTGTTCAGGCATGGTGGCTCATGCCTGTAATCCCAGCACTTTGGGAAGCCAAGGCAGGTAGATCACTTGAGCCCAGAAGTTTGAGACCAGCCTGGGCAACATAGGGAGTTCCCATCTGTACAAAAAAATACAAAAATTAGCTGTGCATGATAGCTCGTGCCTGTGGTCCTAGCTACTCAGGAGGCTGAGGTGGGAGGATTGCTTGAGCCCAGAGGGTTGAGGCTGCAGTGAGCCATGATCATGCCACTGCACTTCAGCCTGGGCAATAAAGTGAGACCCTGTCTCAAAACATACACACACACATATCTATAGATATGTGTATATATATTTAACAATCTGAAGTGATTTTTTTTCTAATGTAAAAAATTAGTGGGCATTCAGTATAAATCAGTATTCCTTAAAATGTGTTCTATGGGTTTATTTTAGTGAAAATAAGTAGTGGTAGCTCTGTGAGCTCTGTCCCTCTAATATAGCTATATATTACACATTAGCATATTAAAATACTTGAATTCCTGGAGTAAAGAAGAAACCTAGAGATTTTCAAATCTGTTTAAACAAAGAACCCCACTCTCCTCTTTTTTAGCATAATACCTATTAATATCTGGTTTGCTGTTAATTCCATAAAAGATTAACCTTTCTTCAAATAGTTCTTTGTAATAGCACAATTTCCATTTGAAATAATCAGTTCATTACTGTATACATATTTTATGTTCCAACTTTTCAATGTTTCTTTTTATAAACATTTCCATAGTATTCTACTACTTAGATATAGACAGTCATTCTATAATTAGGCATTTGGGCTATCACAATTTCTAAATGTAATTAATACTGCTCTCAGCATTTTTATACACATTATTTTTCCTCTGTTGACCTATATCCTATTACTAAAAGAACTACCTAAAGTTTACTTAGGTCCTGTTGCTTTTTATTTCCAGTATCTCTGACCATTTAGATGCACTAAACATTTTTGCTTGTTTCTTCAGTATAAAATTAAATATATTAGGCATGTTTACATGAATTACAGCAAAGCTTTTCACTTGTGTTTTGGAGAATTCATTGTGAATTTCCTTCCTTTGGAGCTACCACTACTTATTTTCACCAAAATAAGTCAGTCAGTTTTCCTCTCTATTGGGCTCTGGATGGATCACAACTTCTGCACCCTTTAAAAATATGGATCACTATGATGTTGAGACAAGGACACAGGAGAAAAAGACTAGAGAAAATACATCCTTTGTGATTGTAATATCTTTGTGAAAGCTTGTTAGTTTATTTAAGTCACTCTTGCACTTGACATGCTTGTTTGATGGCATGATATATGCCGGATGAGAAATAAAATCTTCCAGCCAGATGTCATTAGTATCCAAAGGCCAAGACCATGAAAAAATAAATAAATAAATAAAAGCTAGGTATTGGGGCCATAAGTGTTTCATAGTGTTAGTCATAAATAGCCATAATGCTCCAAAGCAAATGGAAAATTTTCAGTATCAAGAGCGCTGTGTGAGGGAATAGACCTCTATTTTTTACAACTCTGTAAACTTATTTTATCATTTCCATTTTTGCTATTTTTTAATAACATTAAAGATTGTAAGTTTATTTGTTAATTTGTTAACAAAGCTGTGAATTTTTCTCATGTGACTATTTACTATCTCTATTTCCATATTTAAAAATATCCGTTCATCTCCTTTATCCTTTTTGGACAGCTTCATTCAGGTATAACTTATATACAATAAAATTTGCCCATTTTAAGTGTACAGCATGATGAGTTCTGGATTTGCAATCATCACTATGGTCCAGTTTTAGAACACTCCATCACCCCCAAAAGTTCCTTTACATGTGTTTGTAGTCAGTCCCCACTCAGACTCACCACTCCAAGCAATCCCAGTCTGCTTTCTATCCCCATTGTTTCACCTTTTCTAGAAATTTCAAGTAAATGGAATCATGTAATATGTACTATTTTGTGTCTGGCTCCTTATACATAGCATAATCAGCAAATTTTTTTTTTTTTTTTTTTGAGATGGAGTCTTGCTCTGTCTCTTAGGCTGGGATGAAGTGACGTGATGCTGGCTCACAGCAACCTCTGCCTCCCGGGTTCAGGCAATTCTCCTGCTTCAGCCTCCCAAGCAGCTGGAATTATAGGCATGCACTACCAAACCTGGCTAATTTTTTGTTTTAGTAGAGTCAGGGTTTCACCATGTTGCCCAGGCTGGTCTCAAACTCCTGAGCTCAGGTGATCCCCCAACCTCGGCCTCCCAAAGTGCTGGGATTACAGGCGGGAGCCACCGTGCCCAGCCCATAGCATAATGTTTTTGAGGTTCATCCGTGTTGTAGCTTGTATCAGTACTTCATTCCTTTTTATTGCTCATTAGTATTCCATCATATGAATACACCACATTCTGTTTATCTACTCACCAGCTGATGGACATTTGGACTGCTATTAGTTTTTTTTATTATCATGAATAATGCTGCTATGAACATTTGCATACATGTCTTTGTATAGACCTGTTTTTATTTTTCTTGGGTGGAAACCTAAGAATCAAATCATTGGGTCATATAACTACTCTTGTGTAACTTTTAAAAGAAACTGTCAAACTGCCTGCATCATGTTACAATTCCACTAGCAATCCAGTTTCTCTATATTTTTGCCAATAATTGGTGTTGTCAATCTTTTTGATTGCTATTGTCTGAATGTTTGTGTCGCCTTAAAACTCACGTGCTGAAATCCTGACTCTCAAAGTGATGATATTAAGAGTGGGGCTTTTGGGAGATCCTGGGATCAATGCTCTTTCAAAAGACGCCTAGTGGAGCTTGTTGGATGTTCCACTATGTGATGATACAACAAGAAGGCACTGTGTATAAGCCAGAAAGCGGGACCTGCCCAGACACTGCATCTGCTTTGATCTTGGGCTTTCCAGCCTCCAGAACTGTGAGAAATAAATTTCTGTTGTTAATAAGCAACCCAGATGATGGCATTTTGTTGTAGCAGCCCAAACGGACTAAGATATTCATTTCTGCCATTCTAGAAGGTAAAGTGGTATCTCTTATAGTTTTAATTTGATTTTCCCTAATGAGTAATGATGTTGGCACCTTTTCACGTGGGTATTTGCTACTTGTATATCTTTTTTGTCTAAATTCCTTTCGATGGAATCCGATTGCTGCCCTTATAATTTGGAAGCAATTCATTACATAATTGAGACAATGACTTTGTAATTATCTCACTCGGTTGCTTTCACTGTAATACTCATTTTATTGTTTTTTTATCCACATCCCTCTTGATAGAAATAACTATATCCCTTTTTTTGTGCTATCATAGTACACTAAAAATACAGTCATGCATTGCTTAATGATTTGAGAAATGAGAAATGCAGTTAGGCAATTTTGTTGAGGTGCAAACATCACAGAGTGAACTCACACATACCTAGATGGTAAAGCCTACTATACACCTACACTATATGGTATAGCCTATTGCTCCTATGCTACAAACCTGTATAGCATGTTACTGTACTGAATATTGTAGGCAATTATAATATAATAGTATTTGTGTACTTAAACATGCTTAAACATAGAAAAGGTATAGTAAAAATATGATAGTAAAGATTTGAAAAATGGTACAGCTGTATAGAGCACTCACCATAAGTGGTGCTTGCAAGACTGAAAGTTACTCTGAGTGAGTGAGTGAATGGATATGAAGGCCTAAGACATTACTGTACACTACTGCAGACTTTGTAAATACTGTACCTAGGTGACACTAAATTTAAAAAAAAATGAAACTTTCTTTCTCCAATAATAAATTAGGCTTAGCTTACCATAACTTCTCTATAAACTTTTAAATATTTTCTTAACTTTTTGACTCTTTTGTAATGAGCCTTAGCTTAAGACACAAACACACTGTGCAGCTACACAAAAATATTTTTTTTCTTTACATCCTTACTCTGTATTTCTCAGCTCCATGATAATTTAACGGGGCCATCGTCATATATGTAGTCTGTCACTGACTGAAACGTTCGTATGTGGCACATGACAATTCTATGCTAGCACCTCTGTCATTCATCAATATCTGACTGTTTCTCCTTGCGTGTATAATTGGCTTTTCTATCTCAGGTATCTGGCGTGGTCATACCTATAAATTGATGGCTTAAAAATTGATGACACAAGCAGATAAACTGATTTTGTCTCGAATGACATGATCCATTTCTTCAATAATCATGAGTTCTTCTCTTTAAACATGAGGTAATGCTACTCAATTTTACTCTGCTTTTAAAAAGGTAGCTTAAATGCATATAGTAGCTGTCAATAAGTGGTGCTCAATTATCATGAAACCTCAAGTTAATTCTTCCCTATTCTGTTATACATTTATATCACCATTATTCCTCTTTCCACTGTCAGAGTTTTACCCAGTCTGTTATATATTAAGTTTTCATAAGAATTTCGAAACTTCTGGAATCAATTTTTGCCTATGTGTAATTTAATGAAATAGTATTTTGGAACTGTAGCTTTGCATTTTATTTTAAAATCTGGTAAGGCAATTCTAATATAAGCTACTTAAAATACACTGATATTATTCCTTACCTATATTTCTTGAGACGGAATCTCACTCTATTGCCCAGGCTTGAGGGCAATGGCACGATCTTGGCTCACTGCAACCTCCGCCTCCCAGGTTCAAGTGATTCTCCTGCCTCAGCCTCCTGAGAAGCTGGAATTACAGGCATGCACCACCACGCTTGGCTAATTTTTGTATTTTTAGTAGTAGAGATGGGGTTTCACCATGTTGGCCAGGCTGGTCTCGAACTCCTGACCTCGTGATCCGCCCTCCTCGGCCTCCCAAAGTGCTGGGATGGGATTACAGGCCTGAGCCACCACACCCGGCCCATCCTGTAATTCGACATAAATGCTTAATATCCCTATTTAGTTCAATTTTCCCTCCATTGACTCAATTAAGCACAAGAACTTAGTATACTGTATTTCCAAATGTGAGCCTCATACTAATATTAGAATCACAAGTGGATTTTTGCTAAAAAGACAAGTTCCTGAAACCTGCCCAATGAAACTTTTTGTTGATGAGACCAGGAACCTACATTTTTGGCATGCAGTTTTATGAGGTGATTCTTAGGCACACTTAACTATCAAGTTATCACAGCTTTTATTTTTAGATGTTATTAGTGAGGCCTGGGTTTACTGGTTTTGTTTCGGGGTTTTTTTTTTTTTGAGTCAGGGTCTCACTCTGTTGCCCAGGCTGGAGTGCAGCAGTGTGACCACGGCTCACTGCAGCCTCCGCCTCTTGGGTTCAAGCTATCCTCTCACCTAAGCCTCTTTAGTAGCTGGGACTACAGGCATGTGCCGCCATGCCCAGCTAATTTTTGTATTTTTTTTCGTAGAAGCGGGGATTTGCCATGTTGTCCAGGCTGGTCTCGAACTCCTGAGCTCAAGCTATCTGCCTGCCTTGGCTTCTCAAAGTGTGGGGCTGGCTTTACTCTTAAGTAGATAAAATCAGAGGTAGTAATTGAGGGGATACTCAGTAGAGGCAAGAGATTGTGATGTGAGAATGTGATCGCCAGGTATGAGCTGCAAGAAAGCCTGGAAATGAGCTAAGCAGTAATGATGGTGGTACCATGCTGTCTGGCTAGGATTAGAGTCCCCTGATATGAATTTGAACCATAGTGTGACCACTTCCTAACCACAGAACTTGGGCAAATAGGGATGGCTCCTTTCTCAAACAACTGTAGTGCTAGTTAATTGAATATGTAAAGCACTTTTAAGTGTTCAGGGCTCAAAATATATTAGATTCCTTTCCAGCACCAACTTGGCCCACGCCAGTTTTGAATACTTAGTACTTACCTTAATAAGGGTCACAATTCCTTCGTTAGTTTGAGCATCTGTTTCTATGTGGAAATAACCTCCTTCATTTCCTGATGCAAATGTAAAATTTGCCAGCCAATTATCAGAACCTATTTCATCTGCATCGAACACTTTTATGCGCGTAACTTCTACGTTGACTTGATTTTCTTCAACCATCCCTTCAAGCTGCAAAACATGAACACATGATTTTTATTTCAATGAAATACAAATATAAGTGATATATTTTTAATTAGGACTGAAATATAAATAAATAGGTACAGTTATTAGAAGAATAATAGTTACCACTTTATTTTCTACTACAGGTATATTGTCATTGACATCCAAAATACGAATCTGAACTTGAGCTTGTTTTACAGGTTTGTCTGTAACTTCTCCATTGCCATCTCTTGCTTCTACTGTCAAAGTGTAGCTGCTGTGTTCCTGCAGAGCAATGAAAAATGTCCAGCTGGGTGAAAAGAGTCACTCTTACATCTGGCTTTCTGGTTTTAGTCCAGTTTATCACGTACCACAGTATATTTTATTTACAAATCTGTTTTATGATCTGCTATTATTTGTGTGAAGATACTATTTACTTGCAGTCAGAGCTTTTGCAGAAGAACAGAAAAGCCTCGGGAGTTGTAGATAGTCAAATTCTTCAATAAGTCATTGGTGATATTATCAGGAGATAGTCTGCACAAAGGAGCCACTATTGAAAATGTAGCTTATTCTCTACTGAAAGTGAGGTGGAACTGTAGGAATTGGTTCTTTCTGTCCTGCACTTCATTCTCAGTGAGGAGAAGCTGGTCCTAAATAAACTTGGTTAGTGAAGGCAAAACTGGGTGAACTTTGTCCAGAATTCCCCAGAGATTTGATTCTTATAGTATGTGTCCTAGAGAACGGCTTCTCAGATGTCACTTCTTCTCTTCCATGAGGTCCCCTTACTATGGTTCTGTTCAGCGTGGCTGGAATTTAGGAGGGCAGGTAGTGCCAGTGCTTGGGGTCCTGCATAGGGCAGAACCACTCAGTGCACAGCAGGACACCAGGACCCTGGAGCCATCTGCCTGGGTTCCAATTCTGGCATCGTCACTTACTGACTGTGTTGGACATGCACTTATTCGCTTTGACCTTCGGGTTCTTTATGTGTAAGATGAGGATAATAAGTGAATCTGCCTCACAGGGTTTCTATGTGGATTAAATAGGTTAATCCATAAAAAGGCTTAGAACAGTACCTGGCAGAAGGTAAATGCCCAGTAAGTTAACAGCCATTATTATTGGCTAAACTTTCCGTCCTTTAGAAATAGCAGCTTGTTTAAAATCACACTACTAATGCAAAGTAACACTTTTCCATTCTAGTTTTATGTGAAAAGGTATAGAGTAGAATTTTAGGTGTAATCATATTCTTTAATTTTATAAACATTCCCTTAAGCCTGTTAGGCACAGTCCTTCCAATTTGGGCAGAATTAAATCATGTTTCTTTTCTTTTTTTTGGATATGGAGTCTTGCTCTGTTGCCCAGGCTGGAGTGCAGTGGCGCGATCTCAGCTCACTGCAAGCTCTGTCCCCTGGGTTCACACCATTCTCCTGCCTCAGCCTCCCGAGTAGCTGGGACTACAGGTGCCCGCCACCACACCCAGCTAATTTTTTGTATATTTAGTAGAGATGGGGTTTCACCGTGTTAGCCAGGATGGTCTCGATCTCCTGACCTTGTGATCTGCCCGCCTCAGCCTCCCAAAGTGCTGGCATTACAGGCATGAGCCACCACGCCCGGCCAATCATTTCTCTAAGAAATACTGAACGTAGTGCACTTGGATGATGATTTATATCTGATGACAAAGAGTGTACTTTATGATCAACCACATTTTACTCTTGTACGCTGTTAAAACCTTTATGTATACAGCATTTAAAAAATCTTCTATCTCCCCTTTTTATTTAAAAATTTCCCTTTCAGTTAGAAATAATAAAGTGAAATGTTCGAGAGAAATGCCTTCCTAGTAAACCTACTCAAACTTTCCTTCAATTTGGGATTTAGAGTAATTCTCTCCTTTACAGATACTTTTATTCTCTAACTAGGATTCCTATTTTCATCCCTTTCCTCACTGCCTCCTACGTACTAGCCGTGGAGGAGCCTCCTAATGTTTCATTAGAGAACTGCAAACTGAGAAATGTTTTAGGAACCTCTAGTAAACAGAACCCTGATAGGAGAGGCCCTAGAATGGTGCTGTTTTTATGTAATTTTAAATCTTCTAGTAGCCACATTTTAAAAAGAAACACATGATAACAATTTTAAACAAGTATATTTTATTTAATCTATGATATCTAAAATATTATTTTAACATGCAATGATCACAAAAAACATTAAGGTCATATTTTGCATTTTTCATATTAAGTTTTTCAAATCTGGTGCATATATTACACATTCAACGTGCATACAGCACATTACAATTTGGGCCAGTCACATTTTAAGTGCTCAATAGTCACATGGCCCATATTGGACAGCACATCCCTAAAAGAGAGTAATTCCAAGAGTTATCCTATGGATAAGGAATACAGAACAAAATAAGAAAATTAGAAAAGAAAAAGAGAGGAGAAACTGGAAAGGATAGAGAGTTTAAAGATGGGCAACATAACATATTAACTTACCTCTCTGTCCAAGGTAACACTGGTTGTATAAATCTCTCCTGTATCTTTATTTAGGTAGAACACTGGAGGATAAGCAGGCTCCAGAGATACGATTCTATAGGAAATTTTCGAATTCAGGGTATTGGGCTCATCTGCATCTGTTGCATTGATTTTCATCACAAGAGTATCTGGCATTAGAAATAAAGATGTCTAAGATGAAATTCAACTTTAAGCATATTTACCTGTTATTTTATTTATAATTTTAGCTTGTTCCAAAAAAGATTTCAGGTGCTTATCAAAATCACATACAGTTGACCACAATATAACATTTAACTGGATGAGGACATAAGCGTGAATGGGATATAACAATAGTAAAAACAAGATGAAGGCAAGGCTGAGGGTAGAGTCCTGAAAAATTGCTGTATAAGGGCACAGATTTGTTTATAATAGTATTAGTAGCCAATACAAAGAAAGTAACATGAGCAGGTACATGATCCTGATATCTATTAAGATACAAACAAATCAGGAGAAGCGTAACTATTCCTTACATCATGGTCAAAAAGAAATCTCTCATTCGGGTCCTCATGAAGAGCACTGTGTTGAACAATGTTGTGAATAAATATTACAGTAAAAATAATACAACTTACAGGTCAGCAAACTATAGCCAAAGCTGTAGGGCCAAAGCTAACCAGCCACCTGTTTTTGTAAATGAAGTTTTATTGGACCACAGCTAGGCTCATTTGTTTACATATTGTCTATGGTGCTTTCCTGCAGATAGCAGAGTTGAGTAGTTGCTACAGAGACCTTATCCATCACATTAATCTACCCTATCTGTTCTGAGGGTAAAAGCAATGGCATGTAAAGTCCTTTAAACCTATAAGGAAAGCAGTTCTGAACTGCTTTCTTATCATTTGTTCTGTAGGTAATACTCAACTTTCATTAAGATATGAAATTTAGTGTTTATTTACAGTGGGGATAAAGTAATCTTAGGTATTTATTTATTAAAAAAAAAAAAAAAGACTCTTACGTGCTGCACTCAACTCTTCAACAGACCCAACAAAGACATCCTGTGTGAACACTGGTTCGTTGTCATTGATATCAAGAACCTTAATGCGTAGCTCTAAGGGTTTCTCTACATTGTTTCCTCTTGCATCCAAAGCGTAACCTGTTAGCTGAAATCATGACATAAATAAGATTAGATTTAAGCTAAGAAAACTAAATTACCATACTATGAAAAAATAAAACAAATGACACTTATTATGACAGAAAAACTACAAACTAATAAATCTAAAATTATTCTTCTTACCAGAAAAAATGGTGTTTCTTCTCGATCAAGAATGCTGGTAACATTCAGTTCTCCAGTATCTTTGTTAAAGACAAATATACCAAAAGGTGGCTCTGTAATCCCTTTTCCAGTGTATTTGTAAGTAATTTTGAGTCCTCTTTCTTCTGCAAGATCAGAATGTATCTAACATAAAAATAACAGGAATGTTTCAGGTTGAACTCTCTGTAATTTACTAGATTTGATCTTAGCCAAAAGCCTAAGAAGTGATTCTCTATAATTTACAGGTAAATATTTTTATGGACAATTTCCTTCTGAAGTTCTTTGGTAATACAGGCCAGAGATGACATGACTTGGACTAGGGGAATGGCAGTGGAGTTGAAGAGAAGCAGCAGATTTGGAATATATTTTTGGAATAGAACTGATAGTGTGTGGTACATTTTTGGCTTGAAAAACTGGAGAGAATTATAGCATCAATTACCAAAATGGGTAGAACTTATGAAGAAAAGCTTTGGGGGGAAAAAAATGAAGGGTTTATGTTTGTGCATGCCAACTTTGAAATATAGAGTAGCAACACTATCACATAATTTATCAAAAAAATTGGACCCCTTGAGAGTGAAAACACAGATATTAATTATTAAGCCAGGAGAGCAGGCATAAACCACGACTGTCTCAGGCAGATGAAGATGGTCCCCCTACCTAGTAATAGACACCAGTTCATCTTGAAAATGACATTTTATGACATCCTCTTTTGAGCACTGAACATTTTGTGTTACCAGTGCCAAATCCCTTTACTCTTAGTTAAATCAAAACTCAAAGTTATCTATATTTTTGCCAATGATGCTGCATCTTCCGGAATGGGAAAGAGAATCTTAAAGTTGATACTTTATGCTAAAAAGTAAGCTCTGCTAATTTTCAGATATATCTTGAATATTTAAAAATTCTGTAAGCACATCATACATTTTCCTTAAATCTTAAAGTAGACATAAAAGTCCTCTCACACCACATTTTAGTCATATGCATGTATTTCATGTTCCTCTTTAGGAGGTACCTTGGCAATTGGATTCTTCTTGGACAGATCCTCTCCCTCCCGAAGAGCCACGGGGGCGGTGATCCAGGCGCGCTTTTGCCGCACTAAATGAGGATGTTTAGGAAGCAGCTTATTTTCATTTCTTGTGCTTAAGACCTATAACAATAGAATATTGCCAAAATTTATTATGTGTCATAAATATAGAACATTAGTATGCTGTCCTATAACATAATAAACTTTTAAATAGTGCAAATTTTAAGGTATGCTTCGTATTTCCTATGAGGCTTCATTGTCTAAAAGGGAATATATATATTCTAGCAAACTGCATAGGGCCTCAAGAGATTGTCTCCAAGCTAGTAAAAGTGTAGGGTTTTTTCTGGTTTATTTTTTCTTTTGAGACAGGGTCTTGCTTTGTCACCCAGGCTGGAGTGCAGTGGCATGATCTTGGCTCACTGTAGCCTTGACTTCCCCGGATCAAGCCATCTTCCTGCCTCAGCCTCCTAAGAAGCTGGGATTACAGGCATGCACCACCACATCTGGCTAATTTTTGTATTTTTAGTAGCTATGGGGTTTCACCATGTTGCCTAAGCTGGCCTTGAACTCCTAGACTCAAGCCTCAAGCAATCCGCCCGCCTCAGTCTCCCAAAGTGCTGGGATTACAAGTGTGAGCCACTGTGCCCAGACAGTAGAATTTTGTTTTTAACTGTAAGAAATGATTTCCCAGAGTGAGAGTTTGAAAAGTTTAAAGAATCATTTAGTAGCCTTACAAATTGGCAAAGTAAAAAATAACAGATCATGTCAAAAACGTTTTTTCTTATTAACTGAAAATGAAGTTTCATTTTTCTGTGGTGGTTTGTGGTTTAAAAATAAATTACTAAATGTTTTTTAAGGCTAAATCTTAGTAATCTATTGATATAAACTTGACTAAAACCAGGGAAACTGCCAGTTAATGAATTTATTGTTTTCAGGATTGGGTAAAGAATTAAATTTCCCATTTCATTTTCAGAACCTTAGGCAGAAAACCATTCTATAAATTTCCAGTTGGGTTTTACAGGTGAATATATATTTTATCCAAGGGAAATTTCAATACAGCTGACCTGGGATCTTAAGATCAGAAATAATCCTTATACTAGGTTTGGTTTATCATTTTACTCATTTTGTTGCTCTATGTAATAGGTATTTTACTTCAAAATATGTACTCTGGTTATCACTAGGTCATTGATTTTTTTTTTTACTTGAACAAAATTTTCTATGACAAAAAATTGAAATTACTTTTTCATTTATACCTCACAAAGTATTCATTAACAGCTTGATTAATATCTTTTATGATTTTTCATAACTATACAGTTGCACATATATACACAGATGCATAAAGGTCTTTTTGCTATAAAAATGGACTTACACTATATATCTTATTTTGCCCCGATTTTCATTCAGCACCTCGTCATGGACATTCTTTCATGTACCATAAATGGTTTTAACATTCACCTATTGGTGGATATTTACATTGTCAAAAACTGCTGCACTGAATACCCCTGGATAAGCTCCTCTGCACTTGTTTGAATGGGAATGGCTGGGTCTAATACAACATGTGTCTTCAATCTAGTAAAGCCCAGTCAACCTGTTTGCCATGGAATTAACCCTCCTGAGTCAGAAGGCAGAAATAATCCCTTTGTTTCCTCACCTGTAAGTGAAGTCCACTTCCAACGTTAAAGCAGATCTGTAAAATAAAATTATTTGATATTTAGCCAATTTACTGCTCAATTCAGTGTGAAAACATTGTTCATGAATAACCTACTGCATTGAATATTATAGACATAAAAAAAGTTTAACCACTACTACTATTCTTTGTCAAGAGGAAACTAATTTTTCCCATTGCCTTCCCTAATGGGAAGTGCCCGAGGAGAAATCTATATTCTCCTGGATCCATACTGACTCCTCCAGAAAACAGTATCTTAAAAAACAAACAAAATAATCTGCCTTGTGAAATCTTAGACATTCTCTCATCCTTTACTCCGCATCCTATGGTTTTTATCTTGTGTTCTCCAGGACCTGCTTACTTTTCCTCGAGGCCACCAGTATGTAATGTACCCCACACCCAGCTAACTCCCACCATCCCTATGGATGTGTGTGCATTATACACACACAAAAAAACACACACCACACACACACGGACAGCCCATGTTCTGACTTCTCGGTTCCTCAGCATCCTCAGTCCCACCAACTCTTTTCTTTGGTTCTTCATAGGCACTGTCACACTTGGGACTTCATCATGACCTAGTACTGTTCTAAATACAGTTATGCTTACTCTTAAATTTGCCCAAAAAACTCCCATCTTGCTTTCTGAATATTTTGCACTGTAAAATAATAATTTTAAAAATTGATGCATTAAAGATGTGCATAGTTTTGGAATACATGTGATAATTTAATACATTCATATAATTTGTAAAGATAATTAGTATACTTGGGATGTCAATTACCTTAAATACTTGTCTTTTCATTATGCTAGAAACATTTAAATAATTCTCTTCTAGCTGCTTTGATATGTATAATAGGTTATTGTAAACTATAGTCACCCTGCTGATCTATCGAACTAGTGTACTTATTTCTAACTAGTGGTCTTATTTCTTCTATCAAACCATATATTTGTACCCATTAATCAATTCTTTTCTTCCCCCACCTCCCCACTACCTTTCCCAGTTTCTGGATTCTATCATTCTATTCTCGATGCCCATGAGATCAAAACTTTTAGCTCCCACATATAAGTGAGAAGATGTTGTATTTGTATTTCTGTGCCTGGCTTATTCAGTTAACATAATGACCTCCACTTCCAGCCATGTTGTTTTGCTGCAAATGGCAGGATTTCCTTATAGTTCATTAATCTCCCTGCTGGCTTCCTTCTTCTCTTGGCTCAATCTGAACCAGCACTTTCTAATATGGTAGCTACTTGTGGCTATTTGGATTTTAACCGCAATTATTTGAAATGAATAATCCAGTTGCTCCACAGCCACATGTGCTAAGGGCTACCCATTTGGACAGGGCAGACAGAAAACATTTCCACCGCTGCACACAGTTCTACCGGAGCAGCTAGCAGACTGCTGCCTGCCACTCTGAAGATGTTGTCAGTGACCACCAGGGAGGCTTCATTTTCATGACTGCTATTCCTGCCTCACTTTTCCTCTCAACTCTAGAAACCTATTATTCTCTTTAGTTCTGACCATGTACTGGCAATATCGCTAGAGGAGGCCACAGTGGCTGAATAGATCCCTTACACATTCATGCTCTCAAATAGCTGCTCTTTCCATGGGGTGGCGGTTCCTTTCTAGTGTGACCATATGTCTGCATTTGCTCAGAAGAGTCTAGGTTGACACCTGCTGTGAGGCATTCCATCTGTTAACAACCCTTTCATCCTCAAAAGTGTGCTCACACTATAAATTATATCGTCACTTTGTCATTGCCTTACCCTTATTGCATTTCTAAAATAGGCATTCCAAACTTTAGGAGATGACTCTAGTCACACCTCTGTACCTATTCACTCTTATGAGATGACCCCATGTATTATTTGACTGAGACTATCTTCAGTCATCCTCTCCTTCCCTTCTTTCCCCACAGAAGAGGTGTCCTGACTCCTTTCCAAGGCAAACCATCGTTTGTGTGCTTTATTTGCAACTCTATTTGTTCTCCCACATTTATCTTCAAGAACCTTAATCCTTCCACTAACCTTTTATCTTCCTTCTCCATTGGCTAATCAATACATTTATTTCCTTCTGATTGGCAAACCAAATATATTTAGGTTTTCCTTATCTTAAAAAAAAAACCAGATCCCTCTCTTGTTTCTGTTAACAATCTATTGCTCTATATCCCTCTCTTACTTATAATTCCAAATTGAAATTATTGTCTATATGTATTGCTCCCACTACTCCACCTTCCATTTATGCATTAATTCACTGGACTCTGTCTTTGGTGTAGCTTTTCTCAGTTGTTTGCCTTTTCCCATCTGCATGGTCACATGGATCCACAAAGCCCTAGTTGGTACATCATGGGAAACAAGGCATTCCCTAAAATTTCAAAGTCTCTTTCACATCCTTTGCATTCATTTGAAAGCTTCCTGTAGGGTCCATTCCACAAGTGAATCTTTCAGCCTCTTTCTTTCCTTTCCATTGTCAGTTCATGTTCTTGGCTCTCCATTCCAAAGAGAAACTCAAGGAGAGCAGATGTTCAGCTTCTAGTGTGGGCTTCTCTGGGGCAGATGAACAATCATGGCTAATTCTCTATTTTATGATCAGATCTATGATCTCTTCTTCATTCTGTCTACTATTAACTTGCCCAGCTAGCAATGGCCAGAGATGTCTCTAACCAAAGTGGTGCTCCCCAAATTTATGTATTTTCAAAGGTGGCATGGTATGAAAAGCAAGGGAAAGCAATGCTGAGATAGATCACTTCTCTCTGCATGTTCCTTGGGTGGGAATTTTTGAAGAGAAAGATCAGTGCCTGGATCAGAGAGGTCCCAGTGTCCACATCATCAGGGAACAGCCTTAAAATTTAGTATATTTAGGCCGGGTACAGTGGCTCACACCTGTAATCCCAGCACTTAGGGAGGCCGAGGCAGGCGGATCATGAGGTCTGATGATCGAGACCATCCTGGCTAACACGGTAAAACCCTGTCTCTACTAAAAATACAAAAAAATATTAGCTGCCCGTGGTGGTGGGTGCCTGTAGTCCCAGCTACTCGAGAGGCTGAGGCAGGAGAATGGCGTGAACCCGGGAGGCAGAGTTTGCAGTCGGCCGAGATCGCGCCACTGCACTCTAGTCTGGGCGACAGAGTGAGACTCTGTCTCAAACAAACAAACAAAAAAATTTAATATATTTCTTGCCCATCCTTCTAACCATCAGACTCTTCTCTTTGATACAGGCCATATTAAGTAGTTGGCTGCACTGAATATTTGCTACTTTTATTCTTCCCTACAATCTTACCGGCCCTAGCAAGAGGGTATAATTTACATGTTATTTTAAGTAAATATTATTATTCTGACCAAGTGTCATGTGTTTTACTAGGATATAAGAAAACGGAAGTAATTTACAGTCCTCTAGTCAAACGTAAATTCATCATATGAGCATCTTCACTGATTTTTATTGGAATTTACTTTCTAGATGTGATTTGCTCAGAAATGCAGAAAATCACATGGTTACCAACAGTGCTTCTTAAACTTTAATGTGTATTTTGTTCACTGGGGACCTTGTTAAAAGGAAGATTCCAATTCAGTAGGTCTAGAGGTCAGCCTTACACTTTGCATTTCTAACAAGGTTTCAGATGATAGCAATGTTGTGGGTTCTCAGACCAAATTTTGAGGAGCAAGATTGTAGAATGTGACATGAAATATCATTTGTTTGTTTAGGTACAAACAACAGTCAATGAAGTCTGCCTTATCCATTGTTGTTTCAGTAGTCAGCACAAGAATTTTTGTTACTCTTGACTGCTAGTATCTCGAAGGCAGAAACTCATAAAATATATTTCATTAATGTATGTATTTTTAACATTAAAATCACTTTAAATTGCAAACATGTATAAAAGCAGAGTGAATAGTAACATGCACACCCATATAGCTAACATCCAGTTTCAACAATTACCTAGCACACATTTCTTTTAAAATATGTTTTTACTTAGGAATAGTTTTAGATTTACAGAAATGTTGCAAAGATAGTACCAGCAGTTCCTTTCTCCAATTTCCTCATATGTTAACATCTTAAATAGCTGCTGTACATTTGTCAAAATTAAGAGATTAACATTGGTGCATTTAGTTAATGCACTGTTAACTAAATTCCATACTTTATTCTGATTTTACCATTTCCCCCACTAATGTTCTTTTGCTGTTCCAGGATCCAATCTACGATTCCACATTGCATTTGGTGATCACTTCTCCTTTATATCCTCTGGTCTTTGACACTTTCCCAGTCTTTGTTTCTCATGACCTTGACGGTTTTGAGGAATACTGGCTGAGTATCCTGCACAGTGTCCTCCAATTTGGGTTTATCTGTTGTTTTTCTCACGATTAGATCAGTATTATGCATTTTTGGAAAGAACATCACAGAGCTGAAGTGCCCTTTCTGTCACACCATACTAGCTGGTGTGCAATAGCCACATGACACCACTGGCTAAGGTACTGATTGCAGTTTCTCCGTTGTAAAGTTACTATTTTTCCCAGTCCCTATTCCATTCTTTGGGAGTGAGTCATTAAGTCTAACCCATCCTCAGGGCAGAGGGAAGCGGGGAGGAGATCCTGCCAGACAAGATGCTTTAGTCTGAATTTCCTTATCTGTAACAGGAGAGTAATACATACTGTGGCAGACATTTTCAATTGTCTAGCTTATTGGCATTTTCTCTCATCTTCAGTGTTCATAAAACTCTACTTTGTACTCTCAGGTAGACCCTGCCTAGCTCATGGAGCTGAATGACTGGCATGACAAAGCATGGTATGTATGCCCATTTACTTTGATATTGGCTGGTTTAGGCATAAATGTGTAAGAGAATTTTGGTCAATGAGGTATCAGGAGACCCTACAAAAGATTCTCCTCACTGATTAGAAGAGAAGCACATGCATAACCTTCCTATTTAAGTGCCTCTGGAGACTGTTGAGTGAGGAGGTGACATTTGGAATAGCTACAGCCATGCTGTGACCATGAGGGGAAAGCTAATGAAATGCTAGAGAAGCCAAACTGAAACCATAAAGGCTTTAAGTTACAGAATCGTTCAAATTTGGACCAACTCTCTCTCTAAACTTTTTCTTACGATTGATATTCAACATTCTTTTCTTTAACCTAGTTTTAGTTGGGTTTTGTTACTTGCATCTGAAAGCCACCTAACTAGGATACATCCATTTTGCAGGGCTGATGTGCAAATTAAAGAAATATATGAAATGTAACTATTGCAGTGACTGGCATTCAATAAACAGAATTTATGAGACATTTCCTCAATTCTAAGTTTTGCATGGTCCTTATCTTAAAATTTCTGCAAGTTTGAATTAATTCATACCCTCAATTTCCTGAGCTTGTAGGATATGTTAAGTAACACAATATTCTTACCCTGTTGGATGCTTACATACTGGGGAGACAAAGACAGACCAGGTTTTGATAAGAGCAATAAAAAAAATTAAAGCAGGGTCAGGATAGTAGAGAGTGACTTGGAAGTGTGGGAAAACTCTCAGAAGGGGCTGCATCTGCACAGAGACGTGAATGGTATGAGGAAGCCAGTCAGGCAGAGCCCTGCAAAAGGAACGCCCAGGCCATGCGGTGGTGAATCAGTGATGATGATGTCACAGGGATAGGCCAGTACCCAGTCAGGGAGAGGACTTTGGGTTTTATCCTGAGTGTGAGAGGAAGCCACTGGAAGCTTTTATGTTTGGAAATGATACAACCAGTTTATGTTTGAAAAAGCTCGCTGGTGCTACTGTATGGAGAACAGGCCATAAAGTGGCAAGAACAAATGTATAGAGACCAGACTGTAGTCATTGCATCATTGCAGAAGCACGTGCAATACATAACACTAGCTTAAACCCTGGGAGTTGCAGTAAAGATGAAAGAAAGTAGATATCTCCAGTGTTTATTTTGAAGGCAGAGGCAACAGAGACCTGTGAATGGAATGAATGAGGGCAAATATAGATGACCCTTAGAATTTTGACCCGGAACACCTGGGTGAGTGAAGGCACCATTTCCAGAGATGAGACAGAATGGGGAGAGGGATGGGGTAAGCTGAAGGTGAGGCAGGAGACAGGGGTGGTGTTGAGGGAGGGGTGAAATGGGAGGTAAGAGCCGTTTTTATGTGTTCTGTGTGAATGGCCTTTTGGATATAGGAGTTAGTAGCTCAGAAAAGAAGTTATGCCCGGAGATAAAAATTTGGGAGTCATCAGTCGGTTTTAGTTAAGGAACTGGGATGCATATTAGAGGTTTTGTACATCTTTAATGTAATGTTTCTTTTCTTCTCTCAAAAGGCTGGTATTAAATTGCTGAGCATCTAGGGAGCCAGCGTGACACAGGCAAGGCTAATCTGCTGTGAATTGGGACAGCGGCTATCAGGGGGATCGTAGGGACTGAAGGGAGCACAAGGGGCCTTCTGGGATGCTGGCAATCTGTTTCTTCACCTCGTTACTGGTGACATGGTGTTTTCAGTTTGTGAAGATTCAGTGCACTCGTGATATGTGCACTTTTCTGGATGTATGTTACACTAAAACATCAGAAGAATTGATGTGCATCTTAAAGTCAAGGTTGTCTTGGAATCTAGGTAAGAGGGTTCTGCTATCTGCATTTTTATAGCACGTATTGCAGTAGCATGCTTTTAGTAAGGTGTTATGGACTGAAATATTTGCTTCATTCATTGTACAAAAAAAGAAAAAAGAACTGCACTAACATTTTGTCAATTGTGGAACTGTCTGTTTATTTGACTGAGCAGTTAAGATCTCAGCCACTGCTTTCTAAATAATTTGGATCTGGTTCCTTAAGATCCTCTATCTCACAGAACACATTCTTAATTTAGACCAATCGTTCTCCACTAGGGGCAGTTTTGCCCTGCCCCGCTCCTCCTGCCACTGGGGATATTTGGTAATGTCTGGAGACGTTTCTGGTTGTCAAACCAGGGTGGGGCTCGAGGTAGGGGAGATAAATGCCAGTGGCATCTAGTGGGTAGAAACCAGAGATGCTGTCAAACATCCTACAATGCACATGATAGCCCTTACAACTAAGTGTTATCTGGCTGCAACTGGCCAAGTGCCGAGGTTAAGACACCATGGCTGCGTTTCTCTGATTGGAAGCTACTGTAATAACCAGGGTCAGGACAGTAATACAAGCTGCAGAGGACTGTGGAGATTCTGTACATCTCTAGTGGGTAGTATACTGCAAGTAACATGACTGGAACAAGCAGAAACTCTCTGCCTTAGTCCTCCATTCCCACTCCCTGGCACTTTTTAAAAAACCTGTCCACTCTGTAAGTTTGAGTCACCTCCTGTGGGGATGCTGTGAAGAGGTTTCAAGCATGGGAGGGGTGGCTGGACAAAATGGCCAATAAGGTTTCCTCCAAACACTAAATCTGTGACTTTTTTTCTCACCAGGAACTTGGTGACAGAAAAATGTCACCTGCAACATGACTTTAAGACTGACGAGGAAAAGTAAGCTGCTAGTTCCTGTATCCAAAGCAGTGTTTTCAGATGAACCAAAAAATTCTGCAAAAGCTTTTCTAATTTGCTAAACTCTAAAAAAAGTATTTTATTAACTAGTTTTGCTGCTTTGAAAAACATGTAAAAAATTTTTCTACCATTGGATCCTGCACATCTTATAAAAACTGGACTTCCTGGTATCTGGCAAAAGATTTTTTTTTTTTTCCTGCAGAGGCATGAGGGAATACCAAACACCATCAATCAATGTACTCTTTGTTTTCAAGGTCAGCACTTTTAGAAAAGACTTTCTGTTCTGAAGTCACCTTGATGAGTTTAAACAAGAATCCAGAAGGACTCATGAGTCACTGGATGACAGCTCCTCCTGGCTGACAGGTTCTCTGTCAGAAGTCTTTCCTTTAAAGTAGAGAATCTTGAAGTGTTCAGTGGTTTTATGGTGAGGTGATCCCTTAAACTTTAATAGATCAGACTAAGAGATACCTTATTAAAAATGGATGTAGAGAAATACAAATTAGTTTAAAACATTATTTCAACTTTCAGTCACTATAATGGCTTCTAATGTCCATTCAGCGAGAAATTACTAGAAGGTAAGCAGTGTGCTCAACGGACTATCTTTAGAACTCAAACACAGAGGACGTGGCACTTGCCAGTGGTTCTTTAAATTCATGCCCACCTCAGGCCCATCATCTAACATCTGTGTTATTTTCTTTCCTTGGTTACTCAACCTTCCAACCAGCAGAATGTTTTATAATTCTTTTGTTTCTCCCTTTTATTGTATAGAAGGTCAAATCAAAAACTGCCCAGAGGATCCCTGGTTTATCCCCAATCCATTCTTAAAGAGCTTTCAACTTTGGCTGAAATAATCTGAAAGAAATAAAATGAGATAAAATAAAGGGAGTGGATGCCACTTGTTTATTTCCTCTGGTCACACATCCTGACTTTTCTATTTGTATTGGCAGAGCTGGTGGTCTGGTCTGTAGTAGCGTCCATAGCCACAAAGAAGGCTCTGTAGTCTACAGTCATAGAAATGTACATGTTCAGAAGAGTTCAAGTGACCCAGTGCAGTCAGGGTGGACCAGTGAGTTTGGTGATCTGCTCTGATAAATCTGACGTGGGTCAGATTTATGTTGGAATTCACCTACTGCACTTTTCTCTTCTTAATCTTATTTTGGGGACAGGAGGAAGAAAAGACAGTTTTTATAACATTTATTTTACGGCTAACCAGCATAACTTATTTAGAAAATTCCAACTTAAAAGTCCAACTTACAGATGATCTAGACATTTATATACTCCTATAGCAGTCTCACTCAACAGCTGATTTAAATATGTAATTATATTTTTCACAATTGCTAATTTAAAAAAAAAGAGCAATATTTTGAACTTTTAATTTTTGAACTCTGAATTTGAACTTTAGATAATAATAAATATTTTAAGTCTGACAGTAATAAAGTACATGACTTACCAAAATCTTTCACCTGTTCTTCGGATGTTTGGGCTAATCTGAATGTAACAAATATGATTTTAGGTGAGTCATATTGAAGTTAGTTACAAAGAGGAAGACAGTTTCTTTGAAAGCTTTTTATTAACTCATAGAATTTTAAAATATGCATTTAGCAATGCTTTGCTACACTTGACTTGTTCATTCATGCTGTGAATTCTTATTTCAAGTAAAGTTTTGTATATTCATGGACAGTTCCTATTTTTTCCCTTGACATAGGGCTTTTTAATATTTAATCTTCTTTTCTACTCCAGTTATTTTTATTTTCTAATTGGGATGTTAACAGTGGTTTTCAAGCTTGAGTGGCATTAGAATCACCTTGATAAAACACAGATTACTGAGTCCCGCCTTAGAGTGTCTGACTCAGTAGGTCTGGATGGGGTCCAAGAATTTGTATCTAACAAGTTTCCTGGGGATGCTGATGCTGCTTGGCCCCAAAAGTGGGACCACACTTTTGGAAACCACTGTGTAAAATCACATGGTAGCATAGGAAAGGGAAGAAGAGGAGAGCCTGGATAATTCATAAACTGGATAATGAGCCCCTAGTTACAGACAGATGTGTGAAAAGATGTGTTCTAAATCAGGCAATTCAGGCCGGGCTCAGTGGCTCACGCCTGTAAGCTCACACCTGTAATCCCAGCACTTTGGGAGGCAGAGGTAGGCAGATCACCTGTGGTCAGGAGTTCAAGACTAACCTGGCCAACATGGTGAAACTCCATCTCTACTAAAAATACAAAAATTAGCCAGGTGTGGTGGTGCATGCCTGTAATCCCAGCTACTAGGGAGGCTGAGGCACAAGAATCACTTGAACCCAGGAGGCGGAGGTTGCAGTGAGCCGAGATGGCGCCACTGCACTCCAGCCTGGGTGACGGAATGAGACTCTATCTCAAGAATAAATAAAATAAAATAAAATAAAATAAAATAAAATAAAATAAAATAAAATAAATCAGGCAGTTCAGTAACTGTGAATTCTCCCCATCACAAAAAGATTTTTCATTTTACAAGTATTCATCAACTACAATTGAACTGTAGGAAAACACTTTAGGTAGTGTTTTCCCCTGGTTTATACCTCTTCTTCTAGTTTAACTTTTACTGGTCCTAAGCATTTGTCACTCAAAAAATACCATTTTATGGTGTTGGGAAAACTGGCTAGCCACATGCAGAAAACTGAAACTGGACCCCTTCCTTACACTTTATACAAAAATTAACTCATGATGGATTAAAGACTTAAATGTAAGACCTAAAACCATAAAAATCCTAGAAGAAAACCTAGGCAATACCATTCAGGATATAGGCATTGGCAAAGACTTCATGACTAAAACACCTAAAGCAATGGCAACAAAAGCCAAAATTGACAAATGGGATCTAATTAAACTAAAGAGCTTCTGCACAGCAAAAGAAACCATCATCAGAGTGAACAGGCAACCTACAGAATGGGAGAAAATTTTTGCAATCTATCCATCTGACAAAGGGCTAATATCCAGAATCTACAAGGAACTTAAACAAATTTACAAGAAAAAAACACTCAGCCCTATCAAAAGGTGGGTGAAGGATATGAACAGACACTTCTCAAAAGAAGACATTTATGCAGCCAACAAACATGAAAAAAAGCTCATCATCACTGGTCATTAGGGGAATGCAAATCAAAACCACAATGAGATACCATCTCACACCAGTTAGAATGGCGATCATTAAAAAGCCAGGAAACAACAGATGCTGGAGAGGATATGGAGAAATAGGAATGCTTTTACACTGTTGGTGGGACTGTAAATTAGTTCAACCATTGTGGAAGACAGTGTGGCGATTCATCAAGGATCTAGAACCAGAAATACCATTTGACTCAGCAATCCCATTACTGGGTATATACCCATAAGATTATAAATCATTCTACTATAAAGACACATGCACACATATGTTTATTGAGGCACTATTCACAACAGCAAAAACTTGGAACCAACCCAAATGCCCATCAATGATAGACTGGATAAAGAAAATGTGGTACATATACACCATGGAATACTATGCAGCCATAAAAAAGGATGAGCTCATGTCCTTTGCAGGGACATGGATGAAGCTGGAAACCATCATTCTCAGCAAACTAACACAAGAACAGAAAACCAAACACCACATGTTCTCACTTATAAGTGGGGAGTTGAACAACGAGAACACATGGACACAGGGAGGGGAACGTCACACACTGCGGCCTGTTGAGGCTGTGGGGGTAGGGGAGGGATAGTACTAGGAGAAATACCTAATACAGATGACGAGTTGATGGGTGCAGCAAACCACAATGGCATGTGTAAACCTATGTAACAAACCTGCACGTTCTGCACATGTACCCCAGAACTTAAAGTATAATTAAAAAAAAAGAAAAAACAAAAAAGCAAAACGATACTTTTTCTTTTCCTTGAAGTCGTTGGATTGCTCAAACAAGCAAACTAACTAAAATACAATTTCAATTCAAAATAGCATTTATTAAATGACTAGACATGTAAAAAATATTTTACTCTTTTATTGGTAGGTGTTTTCTGTAATGGCCACAAATGCTTTTGGAATTAGGCAAAATATAAATAAAGCTGTATAACAGACTTCACAAAATTTGATAAACAAAAATTATAGGTTGTCTCCACTCTTTTGCTGCAATATATTCCTGAACTGAAAAGTAAAATGAAGAAAATGATTTCTTTTCACTGGGCAGTTTAAGAAAACCAAGAGCTTCAGACTGTCCTTTTTTACCATTAGATGGCACTGGCCTGTCAGTAAGGCAAACTGCAGGAACTACCAGAAATTAACCGACAGGCAATTCCAAGGTCTAAAGTGGGAAGCAGGCGTTTCATTGGTCTCAAATAAGTGGATCAGCAAAATTGAAAAGAGTGAAAATCAAGGGCTTTAGAAAGTTATATGTACAGTTTTGCAGGATTATATCTCTGAAATGAGGTAAATCTTAATTTACATTTCTTGTTTTTTTCCTTTCTAGAATGATTCTAATTTGCAGTGAAATTAATTATCTAGTTCCAGAAGTTCGGACCTTATTGATGACTCACTGTAGCAAACTGCTGTAAGGGGAATTCACGATGATGCCTCTGGGTTGACAGACAGGCATTTGGTGCCAGGTGAACCTGGGTTTGATTCAGTTTCACCCATTATTAACTTTCATTAAATCCAGTGACTGGCACACAGCGGATATTCAAAAAATGTCAAGTTCTTGTCCTTATACTCCTTTCTCCACTGTAAGCTCCAGGATTGCAGGGGGCAGTTCACATGTCCTTAGAAGACTGTTGGTCATATAGTAGACGCCCAATTTGTGACTGCTAAATGCATAAAATTTAAACAAAAATTTACTACTCGGCCAGGTGCGGTGGCTCACGCCTGTAATCCCAGCACTTTGGGAGGCTGAGGCGGGCCAGGTCAAGAGACCAAGACCATTCTGGCCAACATGGTGAAACTCTGTCTCTACTAAAAATACAAAAATTAGATGGGCGTGGTGGCGTGCACCTGTAGTCCCAGCTACTCGGGAGGTTGAGGCAGGAGAATCGCTGGAACCTGGGAGGCGGAAGCTGCAGTGAGCCGAGACTGCACCACTGCACTCCAGCCTGGTGAAAGAGAGAGACTCCATCTCAAAAAAAAGAAAAAAAAAAAAAAAGAAAAAAAAATTACTACTTAACCTATCTGGGCATTAAATAATTCTCTTAAACACATGAAATCCATATCATTATTCCAGCTTTTCTAAACACAGAAAGATACTTTAACTCACATTTTTAAAGAATACGTCCGTGCCCAAGGCATTTAGCTAGTTTATAGATAAAAGATACAAAGATCTTGCTCTGAAGAAGCTTACAGTTTAATAGGAGGATCAAACTACTATGAGGTAGGAAACCTTAATTGTATAACTGACGGCTATAAAAATAGTTCTGGGGAACTCAGAAAAGGCAAGATTACTTCCTTGCGGGGAAATCAGGAGAGGTTTAGCAAGGAGATAGCAATGGGCTTGGCCTTGGAAATGGAAGATAATCTGTTTCTGTGCATACAGGAGGAAGGAAAACGCACAGATGAGGGACTCCATGTGCCAGAACATGGAGATATTTGGACAAAAAATGAGAAGTAGTGCAGTTTGGCACCTAGAACTATACGATGGTGGCAAGTAGAAAATAAGGACAAAGCGTTGAGCTGAGGCTCTTCACTGATCTTATAAGGAGTGGAGAGTCGTTGCCAGCTTCTGATTAGGGAGACTATGTCGCTAGTGATTCTGAAGATTTTTTGGCAGTACTGTGCAAGATAAAAGGCAGGAGACAGTTCAGAGATTAAATTACTAAGTCAGGGAGATGGAATGAGGAACAGTATCAGGGGAATGGCAATGAGATAGACAGGTAGAAGTAGGAGTCTTTATGGGGACAAAAATCCTTGGCAATGCCCTGTGTGGGGATAATAGGGAAGGAGTCAGAGGGTGCCAACGTTTTCAGTCTGAGTGGCTAGAAAGATGCAATTTCCAGAAGACAGATTGTAGACATGTTAAGCTTAGGTCCTGGGGAAAGTATCTGAGTAGGGCGGAGAGATGCTACATAACAGAGAGCAGGGCAGTGCGGCTCAATGACGAGCATGGATTGCCTGGCCACTGGGGACATTCTCAACATCCACATGCACACTGTCCTAAGGGCAGCACCCTCTTGGCCACTGCCATTGTCTCCCACCCCTACTTGATGTCTCCTAGTAATATATGTACTGTGTCCCCCCCTCTGCCGTCTGCCCATCGTGCTAGGCCAGATAAAAAGGGGTGAGAAGCACTGCAGGTTCCTGTAAGTGAAAGGAACCCCAGAATACTGAGAAAGCAAAGGAAGGCGATAACTGAAACAAGAAATGATATGATTAATGGTTTTAAAAGAAGATGATGACTGAGCTAGGACCCTTGCCCAGTTTCTCAATTAGCACTTTTGGGGTCTAAGGAGACTGGATCATTAAATTGAGGCAGTGGGTATCAAACATTGTTTAATGTTTTTGTTTGCATTGTAGGGGGCTTGAAAGAGTGGTGGGATGGAGGTGTTTTAGACCGAGGGAAATCTGAACGGTCTCATCTCCTCTCATCTCCATCCAAAACATTCCCCAGTCAGCCAGATGGAAACTCCTTGACTGATGAAAATAATCCACAGTCAGGTGTGATTTCGAGGTGAGACCTGGAACAGTGCTTGGCACAGAGTAGGTGCTCAATATTTGTTGAGTGGACGAATGTATCAAGGCGTAATCAACCCAAGAGATATTTGCCTTTCAAAAAGAGGGTCCAGACAAGTAAAATAAATCCCTACTTAGAACCTCTTACTTTGCCTATCACTGTTTCTCAATGTGGGTGCTATAAGCATTTTGGATAGAAAAATTCTTCACACGTGCCCAATTCTTGAAGGTTCTGCAGAATGTAGAGTCTTAGCATCCCTGGACCTTGGGAACTAAATACCAGGGGCATCCTCAGGCACTGTGACAACCAAAATGCCTTCCCACCCCTTTGGCTCCCAAACCAATCTCCCTGTGGCAGTCAGGCTGCTTCTCCCTCCCAGGTACCCCATGGTCTCTGGGCTTTTCTGCCTGGCTTTGATCTCAGCTTACCAAGTCCTCAATGCCTGTTGCCTCTCTTTTTAACTGGGCGCAATTATACTTAATCACTCAAATCCTATCTCTTCTTTCTTGACTCTTTCCTGACCATCTCACCCAAAGCCCATCTTTTCATTTACTTAGTGATGTGAATACCTCCCTGAAAACACTTCCTTGGCAAGTAGCTTTTCTGGGCTTCTGTTGGCTTGAAGGCCTATCTTCCTATACATTCTTCTGCCTCACTTTCTAAGTTCAAGCAACAATGAATGTTTAGGTTCCTCTGCAGAACCATGAACTATCATTTTCAGGCCTTTTAGATGCTCTTCTCTCTACCTAGAATCTATTTCTCTTCATATCATCTCACTAATTTATAATTATTCTCAGATACCAGCTGGGATACCCAGTGCTGAGATAGTTGCTCCTTCTATAGGCTCCATGGTACTACGTTTCTCTATTATTACTCTTCTTATCGTTACCCATTTGGAAGTTAGCCATTTACTTGTTATACCATTCATTAGACTGTAAGCACCATGAGGGCAGAACATGTCTGGCTTTTTTATAGTTCTCCAGTGTTTAGCACATTGCCTAGCATCAAGCAGGGATTCACTAAATAGGGGTCATGTGTCTGGTTTCTTTTCTTATGGACATTTCTCATCTCACTATCGACCACGGTAGGAATTCTGTTGTTCCAGCTTCTTCACTCTAATCACCAAGCTTTGCATATGACAAAAACTTAATAAAAAACAAAACTGAGAAGATAGTTTCTCATCATATGTAGACTATATGTTTATAAATTGTTGTCAAAGCTATTGAAATCTGTGTCAGAGTGAAAGACAAGGGAAAAAAGCTGTGATTAAAAATTGCTCAAATAGATCTAAAAGTCCTTTATGCTTTCAGTTAAAGTTCCTTCCTTCCTTTCTTCCTTCCTCCCTCCCTCCCTTCCTTTCTTCCCTCCTTCCTTCCTTCTTTTTTTTGACAGAGTCTCCCTCTGTCACCCAGGCTGGAGTGCAGTGGCACAATCTCGGCTCACTGCAACCTCCGCCTTCCAGGTTCAAGCGATTCTCCTGCCTCAGCCTCCTGAGTAGCTGGGACTACAGGCATGTGCCACCACACCCAGCTAATTTTTTGTATTTTTAGTCGAGATGGGGTTTCACCATGCTGGCCAGGCTGGTCTCAAACTCCTGACCTCAGGTGATCCGCCCACCTTGGCCTCCCAAAGTGCTGGGATTACAGGCGTGAGCCACTGTGCCCAGCCTAAAGTTTCTAATTTTAAATATAATTTGGCAGTTTTCAAAAACACTTATCCCTATTCAATGTGTAATTTTTCCCATGTAAATTTTTCTATGTCATAAATATAGATTTTTTTGCAAAATATAGACCAGTAATTCTCACGCTTACACTTGTCTGACAATTAGATCAATTGGGAAGTTTCTATAAATACATATTTATATTGTAGTGAGCCCGCCCCAGGGCTCACTACACTCACACACCACAGAATATTAGCCTTGGAAACTTTAATTTAGCTTATCGGGGATTTCTAATAATCAGAGAGTACGTAGGCCAATGAATGCTCATATCTCTTTGTAAAGTACTTGCCTTAAGTTATAATTAAAGAAAATTTCTGTTAAGAGCTGCCATTTTCCCATTACCTACTAACTTTTAGAAACAAAAACCAGTAAGAAATCCATGTTTCTAAAATCCTTGGATATGATAATTGATTATTCTTATGGCTTCAATATTCACCATCTAATTTATACTTTAATGTATTCTTTAATATATATTATTCAGTTGTATATTAGAACACTAAGCATAACTCTGATATTATTGATAATTTATAGATACTTGAATCCACTTGTTATGGATCAAATTATGACCCCTAAAAGATAATATATTGAAGTGCTAACCACCAGTACCTCAGAATGTGAGCTTATTTGGAAATAGGGTCTCTGCAGATTTAACCAAGCTGAGGTCATTATTTTGGGGCATAATCCAGTACAACCGATGTTCTTATAAAATGGGGAAATTTGGACAAGGACACAGACATGCACAGAGGGAAGATGATATAAAGAGACAAAAGAGAGAATGCCATGCGCAGATGGAGGATTGGAGTAATGAATGCACCTACAAGAGAAGGAATGACAAAGATTGCCAACAAACCAGTATGCACTTGGAAGAGGAAAGGAGGGAAACTGGTTTCAGAGGGAGCATGGCCCTGCCCATATCTTGATTTTGGATTTCTAGCCTCTGGAACTGTGAGATCATACATTTTTGTTGTTTTAAGCCACTCAGTTTTTAGCACTTCGTTACAGCAGTCCTAGCAAACTAATACCCTACTAAATATATCTGCTCACAGTGTGATCTGCTATCATTGAATCCTTAAAATGTAGTTTGATTTTAAAGCACAAGCTTCATTAGTCGAACCCAAAATTGAAGCAACCATCAGGAAATCTCTCACCCACGAGCCCTCCTTGGCAATCTGGCGAGGCCTATGAACCCCTTCTCAGATTAATGATTTCAAATGTATAAAATAAAATACAGGGGATTATCAATGAACCCAATTATATTGAAATAGTTATCAGCATTTTTAAAATACCAATTTGTGATGCAGCAGTATCATGTATTTTATTAACATATTAAGTAAAAGATCTAGTAGAAAGTCTATTAGTGATGTTCAGAATAAATGGTATTTTGAGATCACCATAAGATGTAAAGGTATTTATGAATTCTATTGTGATAGTCACAGCTACTGCTCACACTACTGTGCAGTGTCTTCCCCACACTCATAATTTAAAGAAATACTAAATTTCAGTCCGAAGTTAGTTAAAATATATATGTAATTAATTCCTTGCCATCTCTAGGAACTCTTTGAATTCTATCTGTGAACCATTTGGGAGTTGATGGATTGCAAAGAACCCTTGAAGAGGAAATATTCTCTGATTTTATTCAGAAAATTATTTCTTTTTCCCATTTTGATACAGCTGGCCTAAATGTTTGATAGCTATGTGGGTGACACAGCTACCTTCTGGTGTGTCTCCCTGCACTGCTGAGGAAAGCGAAAGACCATGTGTCACAGACTCCACTGCAGGCTTCGTTCTGAATGGGGTTTGGGTTCAATTAGTATTTACATGAGATTTGAAAGAAGGAAGTGAAACAGAGCTCTGTGCCTCCTGGCAAGCAGATATGGACGTATGGAGCTGGGTTCTTTGTAGTCATCTTATTATGGCTCTAGTGTCCAGCTACTAGATTTGTGAACACCAAGAGGCAAGGTACAAGCATCCATGTTGTTATGCATCCTAGCAGATGTGGCATGCATGGGTCTGCAGCTGGTAGCAAAAGTAGCACCCTGATCACAGCAGTTTTTCAGACTGTGGGAGTGGCAGTGCAGTTCCTGGTCACAGGAGAGGCAGCAGCTCCCTAAGCGGTGTGGCTCTGCTGTGTGGCTTTGAAGTCATTACTGACAGCTCAAATGGCAGTCTTCTCAATCCTTCCTACACTTAGGTAGTCAGTTTAGTGCCCCGAAATAAACCTATTCTTGCTTTAAATAGCTAGAGTAAATTCCGTTATTTGCAACTGAACTCTGATCTAACAGACTACAATTTATATTCCTTCCAATAAAGGACCTGTTTCCTTGGCAACTACTTCTGTCAGATGAGTTGCTTTCCATTTTTTTTTTTTTTTTTTTTTTTACCAAAAAACTGCAACTGCAAACACACTGGGGGTAAAATGCTGCATTGCCCACTACTCTCTGGACAAAAATAAACATATTCAAATTTATACTGCAGAAAGTTTTATAGAAAATACATAGAACAGTCCAAGAATTTTGCTCCTGTTCCATTGGCTATAGTCGCTTTCTAAAGGAGATGTTTATTACTGCCCAATAAGGTAAAAGTATCAAATTGCTAAAATGAAAGATATGCCTAATTTGCTTACCTGCTACTCTGTGAGTGTACAAATTGGCCTGATTGCTACATTATTTGAAGATTAAAGGTCATTTATTTTCATATATGGAAAGAATATGTAACTCTCAAAGTAAGCTAGGTGTTACATTAGCTTGGGATTCTCCTTAAACAAGGAAACATCAAGGTGACAGGATTAGTTGTTTTGCCAGCCCAGAGGCTAAAAACGACGTCCCAGATCACGTCTTAGAAAAGTTTTGTCAACAAAATGAATTTTCATTGAAAGTTACCTCAAGGACACGGGGAAAATGAAATGGATAAATAGAGCATGAAAATGAACTGTGTGCTAGGCCTGGACGCCCTAATTATCATGCTCTTCCACCTGAGAGTTCATGGAAATCTCTAGACTGGATTCAGTCACGCCTTTTTCCGTTTTGAGACACACACACACACACACACACACACACACGATTTTCTTCCACATCCCACCAAAACTCGAGGATAGAAGGGCTCATGTTTTGGAAGTTAGAACTTTGAATATAGTGAATGTATTTGCATTTTTAATTATTACGTAAGAAAACTGAGTATGATTTTGCATCTAATCTCTGTAAACACATATTTGTGAACTCTCTGGAAGGTGAACTCACACCTATATTTGCAGCATAACTGTCACTTTATTAAAACCCCTTTAGTAAACCCCTATAAGCGAGATACATACGTGCAACCCCTTAAACAAACAGAAAACCAACAGTTTAAAATCCAATTTGAGCAAAAGAACTCTAAATCCAGGGACTGAACGTCGTTTCCGGGAGTGAGGGGTGGGGCGTGGGGGAGGGGGCGCTACACTTCCATTTTCTGTAACCTTTTAAATGAATAAGGCTTCAAACTATTACATATGTTTATTATCTTTAATATTGGAAAACTTTTGAAACACCAACTTCATAAACTTTAAGTTAAAACTATATGTGGGTGATCCACTTAAAATTAAGCTTTGTAAATTACACCTTTTTAAAAAATTTTTAGCCAACTTTTTGCACTCTAAGAATACAAGTATGTTCCTGGTTTCCCCAGTTCACTGGCTTGTGTCGGCGGCTAGAGGAGCTGGGGAATCCTAGGGAAATTTAAGGAACGTGGAAGAAGCGCGAGGTTGTTCCCTATTGCCTCCACGTTTCTCGTCCCAGAGACTCTCAACAAAGCCTCCGACCCCCAGCAATGGTGTTCCCCGCCCCAGGGCTCACTACACCCACACACCACAGAAAAGGGCGCTGGGGCCTGGGTGACGCGGGAAGGAAAACACAACTTCGATAGGTCGCAACTTACTCTCCTGGCTCCAGCCAAGAGGATTTTCCGAAGCCCCAGGTCGGATCTCGCCGCAGCCTGCCCGGCCCTTTTCCCCCCTCGGGCAGCAGGAAGGAGCGCCGGGCAGGTAACGCGCACAAGGGCGGCGGGCAAGTCTGGTCGCGAGGTCTAGACCTCGCCTACCGACGCCCTCCCCGGCGGTGGCTCCCCTGTCCCGCTTGCGGCACTTACCAGGAGAAGCAGCAGGGCGTACGCGCGTCCCGGGCTCCGCGCCATCGCACCCTCGCCTCCGCCTCCCGCCGCCGCACCGCTCCGCGCCGCCGCCTGCCCCGAGCGCGCACTCGGCTCCTCCCTGGCCCCGGCCTCCCCCCGGCCCGGCCACCCTCTCCCTCCCCGCCCCGAGGGCTGTCTTCCCGTGGCGGTTGCGCGGCCCAGCCCAGCCCAACCCAAAGGCGCGGCTCCAGGTGTGGCCGCCGCGAGAAAATGGAGCCGGGGGCCGGCCCGGGCCGCTTTTACAGAGGTGGGGAGTTCAGCAGAGGAGGGAGGCGCGGGGTGGACTCCCGCCCGCTCGCACTCGCACCTGGGACCGTGACGTCCTTGGGTTGGGGACTGTGGGTGGCAGGCCCCGCCCCGCCGTTCTCTCCTTCCCGACCCCCTACTCTCTGGAGAATGGCGGGAGGAGGGAGCCTCCTGGCGGGGCTCGACCTGGGTAGCGCGGGTCGCAGGGCCCCGGCCCAAGGACAAAAGCTCCACGGAGCAGAGTCCTGCGGGACCAACCGGCCCAGTGGCTGCGGGGCCAGGCCGCCCAGCACCGCCCAAAGGTCCCGCACTTTGTGATTGTGCTTTGGGCCCGGAGCGCAGGTGTCGCTAGTGACATGGGGACCCGTGTCCTCAGGAAAGCTGCGACCGCGGTGCGTTCGGCCCGCTCTCCTGGAGCGGAGGTTGTGGAGCAGAATTTCAGGTGGCTGTCTCCCCAAAGGCTGCTCTTCCCTATGGCCCTTCACTGCTTCCAACAGGTTTGCAGCTTATCTGGCTCAAGGAGAAACAATCACCAGAGGTCAAAAAGGACAATTCTTGGGCTAGGAGAAAACTCTAGGGTGTTACGGGAAATATATATATTCTTTGAAATGATTTACAATTTCTATTACACCACTAGCTAGATCAGAGGCCCCGCTCCAAGAGTGACTAGCTGAGTGGCCTGGACTAGCCTCTCTGGGCCCCAGTTTCCAGATCTGTCAAATGGAGTTAATAGCGACCAACGCACGGGGAAGTTTTGAGAACGAAATTGGAAAATCTTAGGTAAAGCATTCTGCAGTGTCTAGAACTTAAGGGTTCAATAAATAATTGTTAAAATTAGAACAACGTGATTGCGAGGTGAGATGTTAAATTGACATCTTGAAAAGCAGAAACTTAGTATGGGCATCCAAACACTAGAATCAGCACCGGATTACGAAACTTCCAAGAAATGTAACGACTGAAAGTAATGGACGAGCCTATTGTTCTGTGCGAGAAAGGCGCAAGGGGAGAAGAAAAGACACACACACCATACTTTTAAGGGTAAACAACCTTTATCCCAATTAAATGGCAACGCGGATATAATAAGCAAATGATATAATAAGCAAATTGCAATGGGAAGGGGAGAAGGAAAAGATATATTTATAGGTACACTCACCAGACTGTGGAGGATTCACCACCACACCGGGAAGCAACAGCCTGGGCTCCAGAGTCGGACACTACACTCACCAGACTACAGAGGATTCTCATGAAGTTTCCTCATGGTCTGGGACCCTAGCTCTTATCGTAACAAGTTGTTTGGCATGAGACCCAGTCACAAGGGCCCTTCCCGACTGGACTCAAGGAACACAAAAAGGTCAACTTGTGTTTGCGATTGTCTGTTGTGTTTCAATAACTAACAAATAGGAATTTAAATAGAGATTTATTTGAAACAGCGCTCGATGAATTCCTCAAGGGGCTCACACCACCTGTTCTGGGACTTGGTGGCCATTGTTTGTGTCCATGTTCAATTGAGTTCAAATTTAATATTTAAGTTTTCCTCCACATTCGGCTTCAATCTGATACTCAATCGCAGGAAAATACCCCTACAGATACATGGGGAAGGCATAGTTGATAGAGATTACAGATACAGGGTAAGCACAGGAGAATTAAAAGCAAAATTAATAACACACCCATCATGGCTTTGCAAGGAGAGTAATATTGTGAGAATTGTCAGGGATATACACATAACATCCAGTGCAGTAAGGTGCAAACCCCTCCTTGGGCTGCAGTAAGCATATCTAATGCCTTTCCATTTGCAACACAACAGTACATAGCTGAGCAAATTCATCTGATAACAACATACATCCAGTGCTACTATCATTAAGAGCTTTTCTTAGAAGTGAGCTTAATGTTTTAATTTGTTGCTGAAGCAGGATTGTATCAGCTGCAGGGGAGAATGCTGTGATAGGATACCACCCCTACGGAGTCGGATGCATTCTAACCAGGGATGTTTGTAAGCATCTAGATTACTGGGGAGGGGAATATTATCCCGGATGGTGAATGGAATTAATGGCCACCCCCAAGTGCATATCCCCATCCAATATGGGGGCAGGTATCGCTACCCATAGGATCCGCATACCCAGAGGGCCCCGCAGGGGACAGCAATGGAGTTACTGTAATCATAGTGTACTAATGTGTTATAAAAGTAGGAAAGAGATTGTGTTTCATTGGGGGTAATGTTGTTGATTTGGAGCATGTGTTGACAATTGTCTGGCAGGAGAAACCCCAGAGTACCAAGGCTTGGTTTGGTCAAAGAAAGTCCAGGTTGGATTGCAAGTGTTGTTGTTGTGGTCCCATTGGTAGCGACATAGTCATTCAGAAATGTTAGCAGGGAGGATTCTCCAAGGTAGCTCATTCCCACATAGCCAACATTGACTGTGGTTGGCTTCCTCTGCAGCGGTGGCTACCCAGTTGATGAATTTAATCTTGGCGTCAGACACAAAGACACAGGTGCTGACCATTAGTAGATAGGTTATTCCATGTGATAACAAAAACAGAGGGGAACATGATATTGTTTTTCATCTTTAGGAAATTGTAGTGTGCTTCATTTTCTGCTCCTATAGCTACAAGGTCACCAGTCTTAAGGGTGGGACCTGATGGACGCTGTACCCATATTTTGGCTCCAGGATTTTGGCTCCAGGATCTGAATCCCCCAGTTCTGCATGTAGCCTCTGTTGGGGCAGATTTCCTCAGGGGTTAATTGCTGACAAGGTTCCACTAACAATTGAGCAACCTGCATCTGAGGTTTTATAGCAAAAGAATCTGGAGTGGTATTGTATAAAATGACCTTTAACTCTCCCCGGTAAGCACTATCAATTATACCACCATACATTATAAAGCCTCTCATTGCAAGTCTTGAACATGTTGTAATCCATTCATCCACATTCAAGTTTGCAGTTATGGTGGAAATTTTGGCCTGTTGATCTGCCTGCTGATGAAATAGTCTGTCAAGAGCAAACAGACGCATGAGCATCAACATGGAAAACAGTGATAATGGTAGTGTGTGCCAGGATTCAGATATCTTCCCAGTATTGTTTACCCCAAACCTCTTCATTCCCAATTAACCATTTGTTTTGTTGCCATTGGGGCATCCAGGTGGTAAGAACATTTGCTACTGACCAAGAGTTGGTATTCAAGTGGCAAATCCCTCTGGCCTCCTCCTGAATAGCTCAGAGGACCACTACTAGTTCAGCCAGCTGGCTGCTCCCACCCCTTCCTTCATCAGAAATGCTTATGCTTTTTAACAGGGTTATGAGCCATGGCCTTCTAGCATCGGGTCCCATCAATGTATTTGGTAGATCCATCAGTAAACCAAGCATGTTTCTGATCCTCTGGGCTTAGTTCTTTAAAGGATTTGCCCCATTGGGCGGGGGAGGTTTCCTTCCCTATCTGTAGGACTTGCTTGGTGGTTTCCTGAGCTGGCAAGTTTTGTATATATCCTCATGTAAAAGTGATACCCCCTTTGGTTTTGGCTTAGCCTGGTCTTGTATGTACCATTTCCATTTGATGATGCTACTTTCTTGGGTGTGCCCTATCCGGTGAGCTTTGGGGGAACTCATGACCCAAGTCATAATAGGAATTTCAAGCCTCATAAAGATATCATGGTTGAAGCAGAGGTGCTCCATTTCCAGCAAAGCCCAATAGCAAGCTAACAATTGCTTCTAGAAAGGTGTATAAACTTTGCCATCCTCTGGCAGTTTCCAGGTCCAAAACCCCAAAGGTACCCTCTTCCTATCTTGTTCCTGGCTGAGGCTCCAATTAGCATGTTGATCTAGGACAGTTACTTGCAGTTCTACTGGTCCATCTTGTATGGGCCATAAATCCAGGGCCAGTTGCACCACTTGTTTAACTTGTTCAGAAGCCATGCTCTCTTCCTCTCCCCAGTGAAAGTCATAGCCTTTTCTAGTGACTGCCTGAAGAGGTTGTAAAATGTCACCCAAGTGGGGAATATGATGTCTCCAGAATCCAAACAAGGCAATAAATTTCTGAGCCTCCTTTTTAATGGTAGGGGTTGCACATTTTAGTATTTTAGCTTAGCCTTTGGTAAAATGGACTATTTCCCTGCATTCCATAGGATGCCAAGAAATTTTACAATTTGTGTAGGTCCTTGAATTTTACTGGGGTTAATTTCCCATTCTTGAGACAGGAGCTGAGTTTTTACCTGTTCTGATCCCTGGCTGACTAGTTCTTCAGTTTTACCCTGACTGGGCCACTTGAATAGCTGCCTTTTCAGCAATAGGCTGATAGATTTGAGCCTGATCCATCAAGACATAGGCCTGGCATTGGGCCAGGGCCAGTTTGGAAATCAAATTAGCATTTTCCTTTTCCAGCTTACATTTTTATTGTTCCTATCTTGACACATTAACTTATAAGCAGTAAGCAAGCACCATCCATGCCAGTAAATTCCCTCAGTTTCCACTTTACCAACTGGGATTCCCTGCAGCACCTCATGCACAGCCAATGGTTCAAAATGCACTAATTTAGATTCCCAATTTTCACAAAGGCCAGTTCCATTGGACCACTCAATGGCCAAGGAGGAGAAGTTGGGGAGTTCCCATCCCGGAATATGGGGACCTCCCAGCCCGGTCCTTGTGGTGGAAAATGGCATGCTTTCGCTTTCAGATCCTGTTCGTGACGCCAAAAATGTTCTGTGTGGGAGACCTGTGAGGGGAGAAGCCACGCACAGTACTTTTAGGAGTAAACAACCTTTATCCCACGTAAATGGCAATGCAGATATAATAAACAAATGATACAATAAGTCAATGATATAATAAGAAAATTGATATAATAAGCAAATTGCAATGGGAAGGGGAGAAGGGAAAAGATATATATGTATATGTGTGTATATGTGTGTGTATATATATATATATATACACACACACACACACACACACACACACACACACATATACACACTCCTCAGACTATGGAGGATTCATCACCAGGCTGAGAAGCAACAGCCTGGGCTCCAGAGTCGGCCACTCATCTGTACACAGACAAGAAGATGTCTCTTGAAGCTTCGTTGCAGTCTGGGACCCTAGCTCTTTTTGTAACCAGTTGTTCGGCATGAGGCCCAGTCACGAGGGCCCTTCGAGACTGGGCTCAGATAACACAAAAGGTCAACTTGTTTTTGCGACTGTCTGTTGTTTTTCAATAACTAACGTATAGGTGTAGATTGAAATAGAGATTTCTTCGAAACAGTGCTGGATGAATTCCTCAAGGGGCTCACATGACCTGTTCTGGGACTTGGTGACCGTTGTTTGTGTCCATGTTCAATTGAGTTCAAATGTAATATCTAACTTTTTTTCCACACCTATATAAGCATAAAGGGTTATTTGGAGACTAGAAAGAGAGGTTTGGTATTAAATTTGGCTCAAATAGTAGAGTTCCTTCTGTGGTCCAAAATGCCCCCTCTCCCTCTGGTAGCATCTCTCACCCTTCTCTCCCAAGTGCCAATCTTCAAGATCCAGTACAGTCACCACCTCCTCATTACACTCTTTCTTCTCAGTTCCCCAAGGACCACTGCCTATTTGAGCTGAGAGAAGCACATTCTCCATATGTTTGGGGCTTAGCTGCTGAGTGGATTTTCTCATGCAGTTACTTAAGTGACGGTGGCTGAATTAGTTGAGGACTTAGCTCATTAATGTGCTCAGAAGTGCCCCAAACTGTGCTCTGTACTATGGGATACTCTCAGTAAACTTTTTTACATCATTGAATCTGGAGGAAATATGTCTTAATTTCCACTCCTTTCTCTTGAGCTAGATGTGGGTATTAGCACACCTTGGGGATACTTCTCGTTTGCCATCATGCTGGGAGCACTCCTGATTTAAGAAGTGAGGCTTTACCAAATCACTTGCAGAAATCATTGTAGGAAACTATGTGTCAGTCCTGCCTTAAATTTGTGCCCTTGCAATTGAGTCCTATAGAGAAGTATTTATGCCTCATTATTAAGTCTTTGGTTTCTATTCAGCAATGAAGATAATCATAGCTTCCAGAATGAGAAATAGCCAATGCAAACTTTATTTCTGTTGTATTATTCAACCTCCCCTGAAGGCTATCAAAGTTAGTTTCAAGGTAGTATTCCTTCTATAAGACATTTTCCCCAGGACTTTGAGAGAAGGTGCCAATATGTCATCCAGTGCCATAGCATGTCACTCCTGAATTAGTTCTACTTTAAAAATTCTAAAACTTATGACTCAGAGAGGTGAAGGAACTTCTTGAGAATCAGATGTTTCACAGCTAACTCTCTGGCTCCTAACTTCTTTATGCTGGGGTTAGAGTAAATCTGTTTCATACATCTCTGTGCACAAAAATAAATGTAGCCATTACCAACAAAGGACTAAGGATTTGTTTAAAATAAATTGAAGTCTTAACAGGATGTGAAAATTTTAACTTTCATGTTTTCCTCCCCCAAGTTAGTTGAACATTACGGTAAATGTACTTTTCTTAAGACATTTAGAATGGATTAGTTCAAAACATATTTTGTGTGGATAATAATTACCTTTAACATCTAGATATATTCAAAATATCTACCTGAATTTATGTTTTCCAGAATACTTTGCTTCACACACATACACAGATAAGAATAATCTTCAAGTGATTAGCTCATTAAAATCACCCCTTTAATATGATCTAAAACCAAAAATACTTTAAAGGGTTTCAGAAAGATCAATGAAAATTAATATATCTCTTTTCTACTAACACTGCTCCTTACTGCCAACACATCCTAGCATTAAATATTATTTTAAAAATGGACAGTTCTTTGCTAAAGGTCTGATAAGTGGCTGACCACTTAATTCCAGTGAAAATCTCATGAGTATATGTATTAGAATTAATGTTTCACAGGTGAGAGCTAAATCTGGTTGCTATCCTTTTAAAATGCTTTATAAACAAATCATAGAGTTGTGTAGCTGTTATAAAAAAAGGTTATCATGGTCAGGAGGATTACTCATAGAATGTTGATTAGCAAAGGGCATATGGACACAGGACAAAATGTGAAATACTCCCAGGTAATCTGAGAAGGGAAATATGAGGAGGAATCTGTTTTTTGGTTTAGTTCTACTAGTTTATTCAATATTTACCTTGTCCCTGTTCAACAAACATTTAATTTTCATTTTACTAGAAATGCAAAATTAAATGTTTTCCTGTATCGAAAGAAACAAGAATAGGTGCTTATAAAATAATATAACTATAATTACTTATAAAATAAAATAATATAACCACTGTGGTAGAACTACACATGCAGTATATGAACAATGAAGGTTTCCCACCTCACACTTTGGACTATGGGGTTAGAAAAGGCTTCTTGGAGGAAGTTTGCTGAAGTGATTCTTAAAGGATGAGTAATTGTGAACCAGGTGTTGAACCTGCCAGGGCAGAGTGACTCAAAGCATAGACACTGTTGATGAAGAGTCAGGGGCTTTCGCTTTAGCTGTGAAAAAAGCTTTCTTTTCATCATGTTGACACAAACAGGGAATCAGAAGTAAAAACTTTCCTTTTGGTAAAAACATGTTGAATTTGAGACATTAGAACAAAATCCAATTAGAAAAGCCTAGCAAGTCATTTGAAATGAGAAAGGACAACTGCATTGCAAATAGATTTGGGCAGCAGAAATAGTCACCTTATTTTGTTCCCATCTCACTGGCTGTTCTTTCTCAATCCCTTTCTTGCCCTCTGCTACTTGTAAAATGTGTGTGTCTTCTGAGTTCCAAACTTTGCTTCTTTTCTTCTTACTTAGTAGCAGGTATGATTCTGTGGTCACTTTCATTGTGTAAACTTAGCTTTCTTTCTCAAGCTCAAATCATGGGACCTCACTATTTGGATATTTCATGGGAACCTCACACTTCCATAATAATTTTGTAGGGATATCAAACTCAGCATATTGACAAAAAAGCTTTCCCTCTGATATGGTTTCGCTGTGTCCCCCACCTAAATCTCATCTTGAATTTTAGCTCCCATAATTCCCACGTTTTGTGGGAGGGACCTGGTGGGAGATAATTGAATCATGGGGGCAGTGTCCCCCATACTGTTCTCATGGTAGTGAATAAGTCTCACGAGATCTGATGGTTTTATAATGGGTTTCCTCTTTTGCTTGGCTGTCATTCTCTCTTGTCTCCCTCCATGTAAGACATGCCTCTGCTTCTCTTTTGCCATGATTGTGAGGCCTCCCCAGCCATGTAGAACTGTGAGTCTACTAAACCTCTTTCCTTTATAAATTACCCAGTCTCAGGTTTGTCTTTATTAGCAGCATGAGAACAGATTAATATCTCCTCTCTTTACTTTCTCTCCAGTGCAAGCTTGCTGCTTTCTCATATGCCCCACTCAGTCAATGGCAGCCTTGCGAACTTGGCCACTCACTTTAGGACCTGAGTGGCATCCTCTATTCCTTTTTCCATCCTCTCCATATCCAGTTACTTACCTCTCCTTCAGTACTCTGTGGCTCTATCCCAGATGACTCACACAACCTGCATAGCAGCAATCACATTATAGTTTATGGTTATTTCATCCATGTCTACTCTTCCACCCATTTCTTTTTCTCAAAGCTGTTCCTTCTTTGGGAGCAGAGGCCATATGATATTCACAGTGAGCCCAACCCTCAGCATCCAGCACATATCAGATGATCAATTAAGACTTGTTGAAATAAGCCCACACACTGGAAGGGATTAATTCTAAGTGAAAAAGGAGTATTATAAGGAAAAGTGTTTGGAATATCCACTGTGGGTGAATTAGCAGAGGTTCTGGTAAGAAACTGTTGGTCTGTGGTATGTATGTGTACATGCATTTGCACACATACACGCACATGTCAGTTTGTGTACGTATGTTTTCCCTAACAACACTGCAGCCCAGAGCAGAATAAGGATGGCAGCTGGTAGGTGTAAGTCAGGGTTGTAGAGTGACCCAGATGACAGTTAAGAGGTGTAAGTATCCAGGAAAGATCAACTATTATTTTGATGTTTTTCTAGGTCCAGATTGATGACATCTTATGGAAATATCTATGTAAAACATCTATAAAGAGAACTGAACTAGGCACTGAGGACAATATCACACATACAAAGATGATAAACAAGATCTATAACAAAAGGCTGAAGGTGCTGGGAATATTTAACCTAGTAAAGAATAAAGTGGTCAGGTGCAGTGGCTCAAGCCTGTAATCCCAGCACTTTGGGAGGCCTAGGTGGTGAATCACCTGAGGTCAGGAGTTCAAGACCAGCCCAACCAACGTGGTGAAACCCCATCTCTACTAAATACAAAAAATTAGCTGAGCGTGACGGAGCATGTCTGTAATCCCAGCTACTTGGGAGGCTGAGGCAGGAGAATCGCTTGAACCTGGGAGGTGAAGGTTGCAGTGAGCCGAGGTGGTGCCAGTGCACTCCAGCCTGGGCAACAAGAGTGAAACTCCGTCTCAAAAAAAAGAATAAAGTGACAGTATCAGAAAAAGAATGTAAAAGTCCTAAAAATCGTTTCTATAAGGAATATATTCCTATTGCTTCTTTAAGCAGAAACATGTTTAAGTTTCAGAGGAAAAGGTTTAGGTTAGAAACTGTAACTTTCCATTCTATAAAAAAATCTTTATCAAAAGAAAAGAAAAAAAAGAGGTGTAAGTATCCAGGATACTCCTGGAATTGAGTGTGGTCAGGAGGAAGACAGACAGGGTGAATGAAGCTGGAGGAGCTCAGGGCCCAGTTGAGAATAGACAGTTTGTTACATTGGCCATGGAGAAATGGGAGAGGATCGTCCTTCCCCTCAATCCTGGAGAAAGACCCATGGTCCTATTCCATGGAAGTCAAGGCATGGATGACAGCACCAACATTTGGAGTCAGGATCTTGAATTTCTTATGGACTCTCCAGTTAGATGGACCAAGAGACGCTTCTGCCTTAGGTGGTGAGAGAGGAGCGCTGGCCAACGTGGGGGTGGAGGAGGCCTCTAATAAGAGAGCGGGAAGAGTTATGTTGACTTTCCCAGTTAGAACTCACAGGATAATAAAGCCCAGCAGACTCCAAGCCCTGTTGTCTAGCACAGAGAAGCCAGCACGTCCTTAATGAACAGTCCCCTCATTCTGGGGGAGCAAAAATAGGCAGCCCTGAGATCACAGCCTCAGACGTCAACATCCCGAAAGAGTGAGAGTCCCAGTGCCGTGAGTCACAGTGTCTCACTGAGCTTTCCCCACATGTTCCTCCTTGTGAGTCAGTATACATGGACTGACTGCTTTGGATGCAAAGTCTCTGAGCCAAGCTGTTTTAAGGAAATTGTTAACATTGTTCATGAGGCAGAGGAGAATTAGGGAAAGACAGTGACAGTTGCAAAATAGCATTTGGTGCAGTAGAGGAAACAAAATGGTCTATTCTTGGGAATCAGTAGGGTGTTGAACACATCTCATGCAATCTTTTTTGAACTAAGTCACAGTAGTTTAAAAATGTGATCAGAATATAATAATGCTGGATTGAGGCAATTATGAAACAGGCAACTGCCTGGGAAACCCCAGCAAGGCCTGGAGGCCCCAACAGAAGGCCTCTCGCATTCACTGATTAATGTCGGCATTCCTTCAGCAGAAGGCTTCCTTGGAGTGCATATTACTGGGAGGGCAGAATGTTGATCCACTGTCAGTTATTTACATCTTAGTCTAGTGCCACAGGTTCACCAGGCATGCCCCACCTCGGAGCCTTGCACTTGCGGTTCCTTTTCCCTGGAAGTTTCTGCTCCAGAAATGTACAAGGTCTTTTCCGTCACTCTTCACTTTTCTCCCCTCAAATGTTACCTTCTCAGTAAGGACATTCCCTGACCAGTGATTTTAAAATTGTAATTACCCTCCCCCCGCCCCCCGTGCCCAGAGCTCCCCATCCTCTTTTTCTCTTCTGTATTTTTCTTCTTGGTACATTGTAACCTAAAAGACTGTGTTTTAACTTATTTCTTATCTGTTGCCATTCCCTAGGATGTAAACTTTGTGAGGGCTGGGATTTTTCTCTGTGAACTGCCGTGTATCCTGCAAATAAAACAGTGCCTGGCCCAATGTAGGCTTTCGGTAAATCCCAGCTGAATGTGTAAATACATGAATAAGTGAAGAAATTTTCAAGGTTATTTTGGAATTGAGAGAGAGAGAGTGTAAAATGAGGGTAAAGGGGAAAAGGGGAAGAGAACATTGGATTCCTGGAAGGACATGAGGGACTGTCACCAGACTGGGGTGGGGGTGTGATGGGGGGCCTGGCTCGCTGTGGATAAAATTGCTCTACCTCACAATTTCGTCAAGGGCGGGCATTGCTAAGACTGCCGGGACAGGGTGAAGTGGAGGAGTTCAGACGCCAGTGGAGAACACGGCTGTTCTTCCTCTGCTTTAAGGCTCCCTTCCTTGCAGGGGGAACCAAGGAAGAAAGCATCAACAACATGAAAAATCCTCCTTCTCCCTGGAAATGAACAAAATGTGCATTCACTACAGGAGTGCAACACTGGGGAAAGTTAATTTTATCTACTCATGACAAATCTATCATTTCGGTTTCACCCTAAGTTTTGTTTATGGAAGTTCTTGGAAAGATAAGGGAAATAGCAAAGAAAGAGAGCAGGGGAGTCCTTGGTTGCTAACAGCAGTCCTGGACTGGAATCCATCACCAGCATGACAGGGCTTGCAGGCTTTTAGGGCAGGCACAGCAGTACTTACTGAGTTTCAGAGGGAAACCATCACACTGACCCATTGTGACTAATGAGCTTAGGGAGATACACAGAAATAAATAAATTTTAAAAACCCCTCAGAAGACAGAAAAAACAGACAAAACTGGTTTTTGGCAATTATTCATTCGTAGATAGACAATGACAGTCTTATGTGCAATGAAAAAGTGAAATAGAAACAATGCAGTAGCTTCGGAGAGTGAACCTGGAAGTAAAATAGTGGGTTTAAAAATCTTTCCAAATGACCTAGAATGATAATTGTAAGCACTTTGGTTGAGAGATGCAGAATTTCAAAAGTACATGATTTTCATTCTAAAAAAACCCAAGAATTTAAAGTAATTAAATTATTTATTTTAATTTACTTTACAAATTAGTCTTTTTGGTGGTGGCTTGAAAATTTCAGTCAACGTACTAATTTGTTAATAACATTCTGAAATTTGTGAAGGATTTCCTTTGTTAAAATGATTGGAGCGCATTTAAGGCTATTCAATAACGAACTTACCCACTTGTGTTCTGCTATTCTTCTCAGGTTGAGGAAAAACATGGGTTCCAACAGGGAAGGAGATGGGAGCCTTAGCCTTGATCACAGGGCTTCTCCGTCTGAGGGCGTGAGCTTGTGAATGTCATCTACTTTGGAGGACACACTTCATGAACTGTGCTGACTACAATTACAATATTGTTATTCTTGAATCCCAGGTTAGATACTGTGAATGGCAAATTACTTCTATCTAGTAACTTTACTTCCGTAGCAAAAGTAATTGAAAACCCCATAACATGATAAATAATAATTTAATTAATTTTGGCATCTATATACACCCAGGGAACTGGAGAGTCAAAGCATTCTTTCAGATATTATAAGAGAAGAGAACCAAAATGTTGTCTCTGGTGTCTAGAATTTCAGGAATTTTTTTTTTTTTTTTTTTTGAGACAGAGTCTCACCCTCTTGCCCAGGCTGGAGTGCAGTGGCATGATCTCGGCTCACTACAACCTCCGCCTCCTGGGTTCAAGCGATTCTCCTGCCTCAGCCTCCTGAGTATCTGGGATTACAGGCTCGTGACACCACACCTGGCTAATTTTTGTATTTTTAGTAGGTACGGGGTTTCACCATGTTGGTCAGGCTGGTCTCGAACTCCTGACCTCATGATCCACCCGCCTCGGCCTCCCAAAGTGCTGGGATTACAGGCGTGAGCCACCGCCCCTGGCTGAAAATGTTTGTTTTTAAACCCATTTTGTTCAAATTACATAGCTTTTTTTTTTCAGTAGACCTAGATTGAGTTACATCACCTCTTCTAATTCTCACTCCAAGTAGAGGTTTTATGAGACAGAGATGTGTTTAAAGATTAAGCAAACTGATTGAGCAAAAAAGTTTGATACAAAGAAGGCAATGGGAAAAAAATTGCTCTGGATAGTTTAGATATAATGCTCACAATGACCTTTTTCAGCTTGTCTGAAGACAATTGTGGTTAAAATTAAAAAAAAAAAGATTGTGTTCATTATGAACATTACTGTGTATCTTGAAAGCTGACCCCTTACTTAGCTAGGCAATTGTCTGCACATTTACTGTAACATCTTCCTCCTCCCAGTGGCTGAATCTTCAGCTGGAACAATATGTGAATGACATTATACCTTTGGAGAGAGTTACACCCATTTCATGCAGAATCAGCTACAATAAAGTTAAGTCAGTCAACAAAGACTGCTTGTGATTAATTCTCTTACGGGTATGAGAGAGGATGAAAGTGTATCATTGTACTTCTTTCTTAACTGTGGGATTACAACATGAATCTGAAGTAAATAGTTATGTTGATGACAACAGGTTAAGCAGAACAGTATTACAGAAAAGATTCAGAGTTGGATAATGTGAAATCCATGTAAAAGCTCATGTGAAGAATTGCTCTATGGTTCATAAAATTGCCATGGCTAGTTTTCATTGTTTGACACTACAGGAGAATTAGTCTACTCTATACCCCAGAATTTTCAATCATTGAAATCTTGAGTCTACAGAGTATGCTCAATGGGTCAGAATGTGAGGCCTGAGTCCCAGGTGTGATCATGTGTACAGAAATGGTCTAAATGGACAGATGTGAAATGTGTGATTGGAGGGATGCTGGACAGTGTGTGTTCTCAAGTTGCTTTACCTCCTAACCTATTGCTCAATGATAATGAAAATTCACTTTGTTTATGCAGTCAACAAATATTCTAAACATTAAAGACACACACTTCAGGGAGGAGTAACAAAGTGCTTTTTGTGATTTATACCTTACTGTGAATTAATTTCTCAAACAATTAAAAAACTTATCAACTAGTTATAGCCAGTTTTTAGAAGAAGCAGGTAGCAGTGAATATGAAGACATTAGGCATGTCATGTGCTAGAAATAAAGAAAAAACATGCAAAGGTAAAGACAGATTTCACTTCCTTCCATTTTATGATGGGTCAGCTGGCATTTGCAAATAAGCTGATTTTCACTTGCCCAGCAGTGATAATGATCCATAAATCATAGAGAAACTGAACATAAAAGTGTGGTCTTTTTTCATGCAGTTTGTCACTATTCTAGTAACATTAAAATATATATCCAATGGAAGTGGGGTCAATTAGTGTCATTCTTTTCATGCTAGTTTTCAAGTAACTGGGTTTTTTTTTTTCCCCCAAAGCCACGTGGATGTCCCATCTGGCTGGTAGAAATGACATAGTGAGTATTCTCTGGGGGAAGAAAGAAGCCATCCATCCTGCCCATGACCCTATTGCAACATGATAGAAACAACCTACATGACCCTGTCACAGTTAATATCCACCTGAACACAGGAATTCAAGTCTTCATTTAAAAGCCTAAATTCACTTTTCCAAGGAAGCTGAATTGAAAAATGGCAATCATCTGGTGATTCTGATCGGCTTGGGTATACAAGATAACAATTTGTTATGAACTGGCATGTCTTCATTGGACTGTCCATTCATCGGAATTTCCAGTGCTGAGAAGACTAGGGCAATCCTTGTGGCTAAGGCAAAAAATTAATAAAAAAGACATATTATGGTGGCAGTCTAGAGTAGCAGGAAGAGAATCAGCCTAGCCAATTCTTAACTCTGAAATTGATCCACGAGTTGCTTCTCAGCCTCAGTTTAAGCATCTATGTAAAAGGAGGGCTTTGGATCATACAATAGGGATATTTCGAGATTCTGTGGTTTCAGTAGTTTGTACGTCAGAACTCTTTGAGATGATTGAGTTCATTTTGAAGATTTAAAATACAGTAAAAAAAGAAAACAAATCTTTATGAGCATTTACTATGTTCAAAGCGCATTCTCTTAACTTTACAGAAACTCTGTGAAGTAGAAGCTATTATTATCTTCATAATAATAGTCCAGAGAGGTTCACAGAGATTAAGAAACTTGCCCCAAACCATAAAGTTAGTAAGTTGGGAAACGGGGATTTGAACTCAAGTATGTAGTTTGTCTTCAAAGCCTGAACTCAACCATTAACTTAAATGCACAAAAAAGACAAAACAGAAACCTTTTCAAGTTTAACTTTTGTTTTTTGTTTTGTTTTGTTTTGTTTTTGTTTTTGTTTTTTTTGAGATGGAGTCTCTGTCGCCCTGGCTGGAGTGCAGTGGCACGATCTCGGCTCACTGCAAGCTCTGCCTCCTGGGTTCACGCCATTCTCCTGCCTCAGCCTCCCGAGTGGCTGGGACTACAGGTGCCCGCCACAAGGTCCGGCTAATTTTTTGTATTTTTAGTAGAGACAGGGTTTCACCGTGTTAGCCAGGATGGTCTCGATCTCCTGACCTCGTGATCCGCCTGCCTCGGCCTCCCAAAGTGCTGGCATTACAGGCGTGAGCCACCGCGCCCTGCCTTAACTTTTGTTAATCATTAAAATATAATATAGTTATTTTGATTGATTAACAGATGGAATGAGATTTTTAAAAATTCTCTTAGCTCCTTCAGTAGTGATTTTTTTTTTTTTGCAAACTTTAATAGGTTTTCTTAGCTTGACAACTCATTCTCTATATTCACGAACATCTCCTGACTTGTTCCTTCAGTGGAGATACCCTTTTCTAGCCAGAGTTGGCAAAAGTAGCAATAGCATGCATTGGCTTGTTTGAGAGGCCCTGGGTGAGCCTTTGTTGCATAAAGTAGGAGGTCTGTTATTGTCTTGGTAGCATATGCCTTCATTATAAGTTTGCCTCTTTGAAAGAATATTCAAAGACCAACACAAAAGAGAACATTTCCAGATCCAAGAGAGTGTATGTAGAAACAGTGGCAAGTTAGAAAATCAACTTAGGTATCAGATAGCAGCCACAAAATATGTTCTGAGGAAAAATTCATAGCAATTTATAACAGCTGAGAAAAAGAGGGAGGATGCGGGAAGGTAGATTTTGTCAGAACTTACTAGACTAAGGATTTATTGCATATTTTTTACTAATTAAATGTTGGGGATGTCAGACGTGGTTGAAAATAATTAAAAGTCTGGTTAAATAAGGCTTTTTCACCATAGCTTACCTAAAGAAATTTAGGTGCAAAATCTAGGTGATTATTATTATTTTCTAAAATAATAATGCTAGATAGCAGAATTCTTAAATGCAGAAACTTTGTGTCTGCAGCGCCCACTAAGCATTAGTGTCTGGTCCATAGATTTGATAATGGAAAGACCCTGCTTTAGCTATGCCAAGCCATGAGGTTACCTGAGGCAAGAATGTGGGTGTGTGTGTGTTTCATCTGAGTTAGGACCATATAAATCTTATTATCAGTAGAAGTCAGTTGGACATGAGAAGACATGACTGAAGTTAATCTCATATTTTGTGTTTAAATACTCATTTTTCACTTAGTAACAATGTCTCCTTGCAGGATTGAAAATCATGTCATTATGCCATTTGAATAAATACAGGATTACCTGATTCTTTACAGCTTTATAATCAAGAAAGTTCCTTGCAATCCTTCTTTTGATTATGAAAGAACATAAATACTTCTTCTGCCTTCTGGGGAAATGAGGACATACACGTTGTTTCAATATCAATGTTTTGCTTATATTATCATCATTTGATTCTCTGTGTTGTCACATAGAATTCACTGTTTGCTAATTTAGTAATGATGAATTCTGCACACAGAAAACATCAGAGATGTTCTGAGGCATAAAATTGAAAATATAGTCGTACCATGTTCCTCAGGAAAATCAAAGTAGAAATGAAACTGATTTCAAGGAGTAAAAAATTTGTAGTTGTTAAAATATGTTCTTTTCCACAAATCATGGAAACACTGAGCTGGAAGGACATGTTTAAGGTAATCATTTCATATCTGGATACATTTCATACAACCTCTTCTAAATAGTGCTTTATCAAAGTAATTCTTAGGGACTTGACTGAGAAAGAGATTCCAGGTAGTTTTTTTCAGTACTTACAACATCAGTTATAATTGTATAAAATTGCATTTTAATTTTATATTAAAATACAAAAATTGTAATTTAAATTCAGCTAAATACTTGTTTCTGCAATTTAGGCTTTTGGCTCATTCTTATTAGTTATTGGTTGTGGAAGAGACCTGGTCACTGGCCCCTGAAAGAAAAACCTCCACATGTACTTCAAAATAGCAGCATCATGTATTAGCATTCTCTCTCTCTCTTTCTCTCTCTCTCTGTCACTCTCTCTCTCTCTCCCTCCCACACACACATATGCCTACATTATACTACTTATTTAATCTTTAAAATTACATCTAGATTTGTAATCCTTTTTATAATTTTCATTTTCTTTGTATTCTTTCTAATTTTTAATGTTCTACTCAAGTCTTAGACTGGAAGTGAACGGATTATTCTGAGAGTAATAGTTATTATTTCCAGACAATTATTGATAAACTTTCACATCTGTGTCACTTATTGTGCAAATTTGAGAAAGTTATTTTGCTTCTCTGAGTCTCTGTTTCCATGCCTGTAATCTAAGGATTACTCTAGAATTGAATTAGAGTATGTAGCTCTCTTGACCACGTGGTAACCCTCACCAATGTCTCTTTTCTTCTTGCTCTGATAACCGCATCCATTTGTACTTGTTCTTCAGACATTACCCTCTTGAGTTTTAACTATATCTCTATTGTGTCTAAATTTTTTTGTTTTTTATTTGTAAAAATGAATCAAACTGTGGAAGAAAAAGAAAGTAAAGACACCAACCAGAGAACAGCCTGATGTCTTTGGCCAGGGAGGGAATCTCAGCATACTCTGGACAGCAAAGCAAGAGGAGTCTCAGCGTTCATCGTGGAAAACGTGTGGTTTCTGGCTTCTGGAATTTAAATGATTGTGTATCTTCTTGTCTTATCAATTATCCCCTTTACGTAAAACCATCTCAGACTATGTGACTGAACGCTGTGAAACCATATAATCTCTAATTCAGTATTCCTCTTTGTAGACCCAGAAGAAGATACGAGACAATGTGGAAATGCAAGAACAAGAAGGATTCTTAACTTTTACTTGTTTCTAAATTGTTAGTTGTATTGAAACTAGTCAGTTGAATGTGTCCCATTCACACTCTTACCTCACGTATGAAGGTCCTCAGGTAAAACTAAACCGATTTTGTCACTTTCGTTCCTTGAACTTTCTATGAATAGAAGAAGCTGGTAATATTTTTGGATTTTATCTACATGACTTTCATTTTCCTGGAATTGATTTGAAACATTTGAGTTAAGCCAACTACCATTCTTTACTCAATATTTGCTTTAATCCAGTTTCTTTTTCTCCCCATACTCCATGTCCAAGCCTCATTGATCAGATTTAAGAAGGAGGAAGGTCAGCCAGAAGAAAGTTCTGAAGCGTTGGAGGGACTTATTCTGTGGCATCTTTTAAAAGGAGACATAAGGACTTTAGCATTTACAGAAAAACAGTTCCACTTCTGGGGCTGATGGCTTTCACCAGTGACATGGTACGCATTTTTCATCAGGCTAGATTGTAAACATTACCTTCTCTTTACTCCAGCTTTTCTCCCCAAGTCATCTTAGAATGTCACAACTTTTGAATGTCACAACAGTGATCTCTCAGTTACCTGAGAGACAATTGCAACTTGCAAAATAAACAGTAAATGACTTAAAGCATCCAGTTAGTAAAGTCCCTCTGCCCTGACCTCATCCAGCACTTTCTCCTGCACTATGTCCACCTGAAGTCATCCCGAATCTTGACATACTTCCTTCCTGCCTGGAAGATGCAGAAAAGGAATCAGCTAGAAAAAATAGCTAAAATACTGATAAAAATACATACGTGAGTCATTTTATATCAGGGGTCCCCAACCCTGCCCCCACCCCCCAGAGTACCTGTCTGTGGCCTGTTAGGAACCAGGCCGTAGCAGGAGGTGAGCTGCGGGCAAGTGAGCAATCCAGCTTGAGCTCCGCCTCCTGTCTGATCAGCAGTGGCATTAGTTTCTCACAGGAGCGTGAACCCTATTGCGAACTGCGCATATGCGGGATCTAGGTTGCCTGCTCCTTATGATAATCTAATGCCTGATGATCTGAGGTAGAACGGTTTCATCCTGAAACCATCCCTGCCGCCGTCTGTGGAAAAATTGTCTTCCACAAAAGTGATTCCTGGTGCCAGAAGGGTTGGGGACTGCTGTTTTATAATCATATTTCTTAATAACTATTAATATAGAGAGTAGTTCAGCTTTTATTTATAAATTTATTGCCTGTTTTATTATAACAACATTATACTGTTTATGGTTTAATACATATGGTTCAAAATGTATAATACATCAAGTAGTACAGTTTTAAAATTTTATGCTTAAAACAAGTTTTGTGTAAAAAATGCAGATACATTTTACATGGCAAATCAATTTTTAAGTCATCCTAAAGATTGATTTTTTTTTGAAATTTAAAAACACATTTAATTTCAATTTCTCTCTTATATAACCTTTATTACTATAGCATGGTTTCCACTACAGTTTAACAATGCAGCAAAATTCCCATTTCACGGTAAATTGGGTTTTAAGCGGCAAGGTTAAAATGCTTTGAGGATCCTGAATACACCTTTGAACTTCAAATGAAGGTTATGGTTGTTAATTTAACCCTCATGCATAAGCAGAGGCACAAGTTAGCTGCATGTGCTCTAGACTGTAGAGCGAGCCACCGTTGAGAAGCAAAGGACAGCAGCAGGAAGAGCAATGGAACCTCCTCAGGACTTACCAGGCTGCTGCACAGGATCTAGCTTCTCCCACCTAAGATGGGCACATTGAAAGCCTTGTTGCAGCAGCACCCCCATCTGTGGAAGCACAGGCTGCCTGCACTTCTCCAGCTGCTCTAGCACCTGACTTCCTGGTAGTCAGGGTACCAGGGAGAGGGAGGAGCACCAGGGTGGGGGATATTTAGGGGACCTCTTTCCTTCAGGACCACACCCTTCTAGGTGAAAGCACAAACACTTGATTACTTTGCATTCCATCTGCAAAAACAAATTTAGGTTTTGAATATGGTGAAAAACGAAGAAAGGAAAATATAAAACTCTGTATTTTATATACAGTAAGGAATAATGGAGGCTGATAATGATCTTGTGATCAGCTAAGACAATGTCAGTAAGCAGGTGAGGTAGGGTGCTTTCTATGGGCAAAAGGGTGAATATCTTGAATGACCAGAAATGACTCGAAGAGCTGCATTACTATCATGGTAGCATGCATGAAGTGATACATCTAAACCTTTGCTAACCTAACATTATTACTCTCAAGCTTTATTATCCTCAAGGCTTAAATGGCTGTAGCTGTTTAATTTAAAAGCAAGGCTTAAAAAATAGAGGTTACTCATAATTCCCTTTCCATATCCCTTTTTGACTTGAAAATTATTTCACCAACTACTTTTCTGGAATGCTGCTTATAATACATATTCACAGATTGCCCTATGTGTTATTCTAGTCATTGGCCCGTTTTGCTTATAAAAAAGGCCATGTTTTGTATTCCTACAAAATCTGCAGACATTGTTAACATAATACACGTCATTATACATCATATGTATGCTACATCTACTCACTGACATTTAAAAAATGAGCTATTTTCAAAGACTAACACAGGATCTGTTACTGAGACGTGTAGGAAGGAGCTCAGTGTAAAATATTTTCTTTGGATAGATCCCTTCAAAGGGATTAAAACACACAAAATATTATTTATACTAAACTTTCTTAAATGTTCTATGATATTTCTATTTCAAAATTCTCTTATTGTGAGAATATGTGAAATATAGATGTAGCAAATTCAACACATAAGCTTATACCCCTTAGCTTGAGTAAAAGACACATATATGGCTTCCCAGCACCAAGAAGATGGAAGAAACTCTACTGCAACTACTTCCCTTTTTCCAAGCAGCTCAAAATGCTTTAGCAAATACCTTGTGATTCTTTTTTTTTTTTTTTTTTTGAGACGGAGTCTCGCTCTGTCGCCCAGGCCGGACTGCGGACTGCAGTGGCGCAATCTCGGCTCACTGCAAGCTCCGCTTCCCGGGTTCATGCCATTCTCCTGCCTCAGCCTCCCGAGTAGCTGGGACTACAGGCGCCCGCCACTGCGCCCGGCTAATTTTTTGTATTTTTAGTAGAGACGGGGTTTCACCTTGTTAGCCAGGATGGTCTCGATCTCCTGACCTCATGATCCACCTGCCTCGGCCTCCCAAAGTGCTGGGATTACAGGCGTGAGCCACCGCGCCCGGCCCCTTGTGATTCTTACATCATTATCAATGATATAAGAAAAGGCAATGGAGACAAGAACCAGCGCTCCTGCTTAATCCACTAAATCACATTGCATTTTAAAATGATAAACACCTTCCTTTGGCAGGGGAAAAATAGAAGCTTAAGAATGTTTAGGAAAATTTCCTGGCGAATATGATTTTAGGGTTTTGAAAAACTTTAAGATTTACTACAATTTGAATAGTACTTGAGAATTAGGAGTGACAACATATTGCTTTTGGGGTATGAACCCAAACATTTAATTTATAATCGTGATCAGTTTATGAGAGAAGCTAATAAGTGCCAAATTATTAGCCCAATACAGTGAGCTTTGCTATGCTATTTTGAATACTTTAGTCCAAAGATCCAGATTTGGTCAGTGTGGTATTCCAGCTCATTCTGGTCATATTAGACGGGAGCAAGGATCCTCTGTACAGAGCATAGTATGTGACCCTCGTAGCTGCGTTGGGCCAGCTAGGTTGCCAGGAACACTGGAAATGGGACAGATCACCCTTTCTGTCACTATCACATTTTGTGTGAGAAGTGGATCAAAGCCTGCAGTGGAAGGTTGCACGAGGGAACCAGAAGCCGAGTAAGTCTCCGTTACTAAATAGTTACCATGCTGCAGAGGGTCAGGGATGGAAACAGCTGGCTGGACAGACCCAGAGGTGGACAAAGCAGAAGCTCCTTGACTTCCTGACAAAGTCTGGCACTTAACAAATCCTGTCTGCTGGACTTCTATGGGATGGCCACAGGATTCAATCCCATAACCGCTGTCTTTAGAGGGTGGCTGAACTTCTTTGCCTTCACCATCAACACCAAGGCTTATCTCTGCAAGTTTTTTAAATTTGGGTCCAAGTGAGTCCAAGAAGCTGTCATCCAGGTCATCAGCAATAAAACTGCAACAACCCACGGAGCCCACAGGAGAACCAGTGGCATCTGCGCCTTCATTATCATAGATCAACAAGCAGTCATTTGCTTCCTGGCCATCGTCTTCCTCCGCACAGGCAAATGCTTTCTAAGACAGAGAAAAAGTGGGAAAAAATGAATTTTAAGAAAGAGTCAGTTGAACAATATAATACTGTTTGTAGAACTCATTTGGATTATGAATGCCCAAACTAGGTAATCCATAGAAATAAAGGACACTGTCTATTAACAATCTTGTTCAAAACATTATCTGGTGTTTGGACAACAGTATGGTTGACATTACCTCAAAATTGAGCTAGAACCTTTGTCTAGATTCTACAAATCTTGTGGGAGCCTGACATGTGACTGTAACACACATCCCACCTAGAAATATCCCAAGAGTCCTCATCTCAAACAACCCCTCCCTTTCTCCCCTGCCCTGCAGTCTTTCTTCAAACACAATATCACTCTTTGTCTGCTTGGATACTAGGTCAGACCTTGGCACTTACCAGTATTGATACCAAAACTCAATGTGAGATCCATTCTAACCGTGCCTCTCTGCCCACTAATCTTTGGTTATCAAATGAGAGGCAAGCATCCTACTTTTCAAAGTCTTCTTTGTTTTCATAACTATGTTCCTTTTCTGTTCTATGCTTCCTGACATGTCATTCCTCCCATCACTGATCTTCCATCCTATTCTTTTTGCCTCCCCTTTTTTGGGGGTCATTAATTCAGTGGTTCTTCAACTTTTTTAGACAGATAATGTGAATACTCTACCCCTCTCTCAGGAAAATATACACACAGGTATTTGGATATCCTTTATGATACAGGAAATACAAAATGAACTGCTTTGTATTCTTAAAGAAGATGCTAGAAATTCTCACATAAAAGAGATTTGCCCTCAATTGTTTGTTCAGTTGGAGGAATGAGATACTACTTGCTATATGCTCTCATGTTGTGGTTATCTACTCATTCTTCTTTTGTTATTAATTTGTTTATTTTAGAGACGAGGTCTCACTCTGTCACCCAGGCTGGAGTGCAGTGGTGCCATCATAGCTCACTGCAGCTTCTACCTCCTGGGTGCAAGCAATCCTCCCACCTCAGCCTCCCGAGTAGCTGGGATGGCAGGCATGTACCACTGTGCCTGGCTCCCATTCTTCTTTTGATCAGTGACCCGATTTTGACAGCTACCTTAGGTTATCTGTATTATTTTGGCAAAAAACAAACAAACCATTTTTTTCTTGCATTTTAACAAGCTGTAAATAAAAACTGCAAAACTGAAGTATATAATCAAATAAAAAGTTCTCTAATGTAAATAAGATAATCAAGCCACAAAGTTTTTCACCAAATTACCTGAGAAAAGTAGGAGTCCAGAAAATTCATGCTTATCGCCCCATCAGCGTAGTCCTTATTGGTTCCTCCAGTGGAATGCCTTGTTCTCATGGTTCCAGACTGCCCTGAGGAACAGATGCCAACTCCAGTGGCTGCTCCGAATCCTGAAGCAGCTCCTGACACTGTCCCTGTTGCAAAGCCTGCAGCACCTCCAGATTCAGTGGCTGCTCCAAGCTTAGTGGTCATTTCCATTCCTGAAGTGCCTTCCACCGCTGTGCCTCTGGCATACGTATTTGTACAAACTTCTAAAAACAAGGGAGAACATTCTGTAATATCTTATGCTGTTGTTTGTTGCATTTTTATAAAATGGGTCTTGGGTGTCTATAAGCAGTCACCATGCAAACAAGTAAGTGGGAGAAAATACAATTATATGACTAGAGGTGATAACATCCCACAATGTGTTATGTGAGAGTCACAAAGGAGGGCATATAAACGGGTGAAAAAGCTCTAAAAATATACTAATTTTAAAAGTGTACAAAGAAATAAGATTTTCAGTGACAACAGCCAGAAATAGAAAAGACAGGATATTTAGTACACAGTTATGGGAAGCTTCTAATGCAATGCTTGTTTGTTTTCACGAAAAAACATTATAGTTAAGCAGTCCTATGAGCTCAGTATGGAAACCAAAGAGGAAACATACGTAATGTAATCATGCAAATTAGCATGTCTTGGTACCTAAAGAGAATTTAACAAATCATGACTATTCAGCCTGTTACCTTGACATTATGCTTTCATGGAAAGTTACTTTTTTCTAGATAATTCTTTACATAGCTCTTGCTATGTAATTCTAATGGGAAAAGCAGGTGAGGAGTGGAGCATCTGATAAAGGAAGACAGTTACATATTTGGGGAAATCTCATGCGGATTTTGCAGGATGGACACTTGAAAACAATCTATGGAATTAAGCAAAACTTTAATATTAGGCATTAAGTATTATTGTTCTTTTAGTTCACTGAGTAGTTGTGGCACTCAGATAATATTAATGCAATAGCCACTTGGTAAAACCAAAGAAATAAACAAATTCACCTGTATGACCTGTATGACAACATAAGTGATCATGTCCTAGTATGACTGAATGCAGGAATTAGTAATTGAACTGAAATCAGGATACTGTTAGTTCTGGGGAAGAAAGAAGGGGAACAGGATCAAGGATGTGCACATGAGACTTTAACTGAAAATATGACTAATGTTTGGAAAAGACAAAGTTGGGTGGTGGATACATAGATGTTCGTTATATTTTCCCTTACATTTTTCTATATGTGTGAAGTCTTTCCTAATTAAAAAATTAGTAATTGATTGCCTGAGAACTACACGTCACTAAAGTTTGGAAAAAGTATAACAGATCTTTAGATATTGACAATGGTGGCATCAATGGATAAATTAACTTATTGAAGCCAGACATGTCAGGGAATTGACTAATATAAAAATATTAAAACAGCTTTTCTCCATTTCAGTGGTAACAGCTCCTGACATGTGCACACAGATGCAAATTATTAAGAAGATAGTTTGAACACTTCTTATTTTTTAATATTTACCACTTAACTCACCATTGCTTTCAAACATTTTATGTCCACTTACCAGAACTTTCCATGAAATCGGCTCCATTGGCTGTTACAGGAGGCACACAAATATTTGTGATTTCCTGCAAACCATGTGAAAAATAAATTCATTTAAAAGTGAACCAGATTTCAGAGCAATATAGTGACATGTGGCCCTTTGCAAATTTGTAAATGATAACATTACAAGAAGTGCAAATTCTTTCAGCGATAACCATTTCTGTGATTTGACATCTGAAGAGCTAAAATCCTAAAAGCCTCCATCTATTCAGCACTGACTCTGAAACTGAAGGTCAAGAAATCTCTTTGCCTCTTTTCCTATCTCAATGTAAATCAAACATTTTCTCTATGTAATTGAAATACATAATTTATGAACTGGATGCTTACCTTGTCTTCAGGATGGGCTCCTTCAATTCCCCACTGATGAATTGTTCCTTCTGAGCCATCAGGAACTGGGATAAAACCACCTGTCACTCCCCCAGTAGAACCTGCCCCACAGTCACAGGTCAACAGCAGAAGGGGGGCCACTAGTGAAAAACAAAACAAAACATCAGAACACTTGACTAATTTAGGAACTATTTAATGTGATAATTTTTCAGAAATGTTACAAAGAAAATACAGTATCTTAAATATTTGTAGAAAATTCCTAATGAAAACCAAAATTAGTTTCTACAAATGAAACTTGGTACAGTAAGCACACTAGAATTTCATGTGATTATGAAACTGAAGGAGACAGATCAGATCATTTCTTGTTGTTATTTTTTTGGTATATTTTCTTAAAATAGGCACTGATGTATGAATGAAAGTGGCTGTTTGGCTCCTCAATCCTTTTCCTTAATACATTTTTATGATTATTGCATTTATTTGCACATGTTGGGGCTATGTATATTGTGTCAGGTGAATACACAGATAAATATATGACCAGAATGGTCCAGATTTTAGGTGGGCACGATGGTGTTTTGGTAATCTAGTCTCTAATTATCTCTCAGTAAACAGTAATTAACCAGAAAACTCCCTCAGTAACTAGGGTGATAGCCTAATCAATGGCTGTCAATGCATTCTTAATTGTAATTTAAGAATTTCTTAGTTGTGGCTTAAGCTTGGAGGACTCTTCTGGCAGCGTAAATATCTTTCTGTGCACATCCTTGGCAATAAAGATTAATGTCATTCTCATGTGAACTGACCAAGAGTGAAATACTTATTCTTGAAAGCAGGTGTTTCCCACACTTTGTTGTCAGTGGCCCCACTGCCACCTCTGCCCTGCCAAGGCCACCTGAATCCTAATGTTTCAACTCTCTTCACTTAGAGGCAGCTTAGTGAGGGGTTTAAGCATGCAGCCTCCGAAGTCAGATTCTAGGGTTTAAATTTCGGCTGTACCACTTAACAGCTATGTAATGTTGGGCATGTAATATCATCCTTCTTTGCTCAGTTAACTCATCCATAAAATGGGGGAATAAATAGTATCTACATCATAGGTTGTTATGAGGATTGAATTAATATAGGTAAAGGCCCAACTCCTTAATACTATTTTTTTAGGGTTTAAGTTTCAACATATGAATTTTTTTGGGGGGACACACACATTCAGACCATAACAATTAATCTCCCAATCCTCTCCAGGGGCCACTGTAATGCACTGCACACTTGTCCTTTATTTTCCAGTCTCATGTCACAGCTCGAAATCTGACCTTCATCATCTCTCTTGAACTTTTACAATGACCTCTTAAGTGTTCTTTCCTTTCTAATTTACACTGTTATACTGTACACACTGTTGCCAGGGTTGTCTTTCTAAAATACAAATATGATCATGTTAGTCTTTTATTCAAATGCTTTTAGCAGCTCCTCTTTCTCATAGGATAAAGTACAAACACCACAGCATGTGTATGTAGCCCTTTCAAATTAGTCCCAATGCATTCTCTGTTGCTCCTTCACTTTCCACAATTTCCCCGCGCTTTAGCCTTCGAAGGCTGTGTGATTCCTAAAACAGAAAATACTAAGTGTTTTCTGGCCTTGGCTGATGCTGTCAATTTTTGGAAATGCCTTTTCCATTTTTTATACTGATTATATCCTAATCATTCTTCAAGGCTCAATTGAATGATTCCTCTATTCCGTGAAATGTTCTGTAATTACCCCTTTGTAGTAATTTCTATTACAGCTTTATCATGGTATTTTTCCCCTATAGTTAGACATGCATGAAAACCAAAATCAAGTTTCCTTTTCAGCTAGAAGCTAGCATAGTGATTCACATAGAGGTACTTAAAAATTTCTGGTTCTTGAACTTGATTAATACGATATTGAAAAACCAAATCTCTGAGTGTCAATTTCAGCTCTTAAACTAAATGGTGTATAATAACTTTAGAATAGTAAATGCTTTTGGAGAATAAGGAAGGGAAAAATATAGCATGTGTGGCAATTAGCTGTATCTATAGCAATTTATTTCTTTTTAAAAAAAGGGACCTGAAAAAATATTGCAAAACATTCATATCTGTTCAGTTGAAGTGATGGTTGTATGTGTAGTTGTCTACACATTTTCTCTACTTTTTGTGGTTTTAAAATTAATAATCATATAATTAATTTTAACTCTAAAACTGTGATTTTTATAATAAATTAAGAAAGTGTGAATTTAGCAAGGATTTCTCTTGTTTATACAAGAATTAGTCAGGAAGTTCTTTTAAATAGAGACCTCTTACAATCAAATACTATTTGATTTATATGATTTTGATTCAAATACAACTTTTCAGAAACCTATCTATTGAATAAATTTTACCTTTATTGGAAAAGGATACTTACGCATAGTTTTCTAAATGTGTTTAATAAACTTAGTTATATTAAATGTGAAAGTATTAAAGGGGATGCATATTCAGATGGCAATCTATTTTGAGGAAATGCTAGATGAAGCAATAACTTCTCAGAACCTAGCTATCTTAATAGCATATGATATTAATATTAATATCATATGCTATTGATTAATATTAGTGGGGGTTAATTAATTAATTAATATTAATAGCATGTGGTGATATCTTAATAGCCTATGATACCCTATTTGTATTTCCCTAACTTTGTTTGACTAGTGTTCTCTTTTTATCTTAGAATCTCATGAGATGTAATGAATATAGAGAAAACATCTTAGAAAGTGCCACACTCTTGGATAAAGCCATAATTTTGACCATGAACATTACTAACAGTGTGTAGAAAGTCTTCATGATTTGCTTTTCTCTTGATTATCTTGTGCTGTCTTCTAAATGTCTGACATATATAACTTGTGTTGCTATATGAATATAGACTGTTAGCAAGCGACATGTTACACATTTCAGATTCTTTCTGAAAATGCCATTTTCCCCTAGCTTTACCTATAAAACATCAGAGAATATTCTTTCCCCATTGCACAGATGAGCAGGGCAGCATGGAGGCCTTTGCAAATGAGGACACCTGGTCCAACAGAGAATGAAACATTGGCTACTCACACAGCAGCAGCAGGAGACCAAGGAGCAGCAGGCCGATGGCGGCAGGCCCCAGCCTCCCTGAGTGCGGCCTGCCATACCTGGTCCCAGGGCTTGTGGTTGGGTAAGAAGTTCCACAGATGCCCCTGTTGTCACACTGACAGACTTCCAGTGTCAAGCTGCGTGGCATCTCACACCGATTGTTCTGACTGTCTGTAAGTACCAGGGAGATGTGGTATACTCCAGGAGGTATCTGTTCCTGGGCTCTGAGGAGGGCCGAGGTAGCTGTAGAGAAAGAATCATGCAAATCAACAGTAGGACGAAGTGTCTTTTCAGTCTATTTTGTGTTGCTATAACAGAATATCACAGACTGGATAATTCATAAAGAAAACACATTTATTTCTCACAGTTTTGAAGGTTGGGAAGCTCAATATCAAGGTGTCAGAATCTGACAAAGGCCTTTGGACTTCATCATCCCACGGTGGAAGGTGGAAGGACAAGAGAGCATGAGAGCACGTGGGGGCTGAACTCACCCTTATAACAACTCACTCTTACTGTAATGAACCCACTCCCATGGTAACACCATTAATCCATGCATGAGGACAGAGCTCTCATGACCTCATTTCCTCTTACAGGTCTCACCTCTCAACACTACTGCAGTGGGGATTAAGTTTTCAACACATGAGCTTTGGAAGACCTATTCCAACCACAGCAGTGTCTTACACTCTTACTACTTATTTTCATTAGCAGAGTTAGTTGCCACAAACAATAGGGTTGATAATAGAGTGATGTTTGAGCAGTGATGAGGGCTATAATGGGTTCAAGTGGGTAAATCTGTCTACACCTGCCTCCTTGTCCTCTCTGTTGCAGGTAGGCCAATTATTCTCTCCCATGAAACTCAGTTCTACTCTGCTTTTCCCACTAAAGAAGATGGGCGACATCATTTAGAGTCAGGTACTCCTCTTCTGGGGCTTAACCACTCTCTTGTATGTCTGCACCAATCCTTGGACTTGTGTGGCCCTTTGAGTGTTAGTGTTCCTGACTTTGTGTTCTTGTGTTTTACTTATCAAGACTTTCAACTTTGGCTGCTACTACCTCAAGTGCTCTTCCTGGTTCTTATCCCGTGAGCTGCAGGTCTATGATATGGGATTTCCTTGTGGTGATGGCCTATTGCCTATCTGAGTCCTGAGCATAGACTGTTTTCTATCTCCCATTGCTATGTTGCCTTTTTAAAGTGGATCCCACGACAGTTCTTGTAAGGTTCAGCATTGCATTTGTTGAATCTTTTTGATCCCACCATATCCTTTGACATTGTGCCTTGCCCACCTAGTCCAATCACTGTTGCCTTGCCCAGCCACACCTGGGCAGGTATGTCTTGTGACACATCCCGGCCCTCTCTGATCTTTCTTTGGCAGCCTCTTCATTGGCCACGTATCCAGTAAACTCATTTGGAGCAAAATGCTACATGCACAGTTTGGAGATAGATCTTTATGTCAGAAGTGTGAGGGCCCAAGGAAAGATGACCATGAAGATCAAGATCCCTTTGGTAACTCTGGCAGTGGCTGCTACTTAGGACTGAAGGACATGCTTTAACAGCATGTACATTCATGAAAGGAAGCAAGGCTGGTTCAGAAAGGAGCTAGGGAAAAATGAGTTTACTAAGGATTTGAAGTGGTCTCATCGTCATTATAAAATCCAGAAAGGATGGAGATTTTAGGGAGTCTAATGTCTATTTCTATGACACTTCTGGAAAGCACAGACAATGTACAATGAGTATGATAAAGGTTGGGAAAGAGAAAGGATGAATTAGCTCCTCCCTGTTGGATAATGGGTTTGCAAATTTCAGTCCGCTATGCTCTCAATGTTCCTGACTAGTGATAGTGTAAGCGGCACTCCCTGTGAGCCTTGAGCAGACTGACTTCTTCATGCTACATGTCTGCTCATAGACTGCTCCATCAGAACAAGTTTATGTATTTAGTATTTAGAAATCTAAACAGCTCTGTGATAAATAGATACCTGACTTTTTTTTTTTAGATGGAGTTTTCACTCTTGTTGCCCAGGCTGGAGTGCAGTGGCAGGATCTTGGCTCACTGCAACCTCCACCTCCTGGGTTCAAGTGATTCTCCTGCCTCAGTCTCCTGAATAGCTGGGATTACAGGCATGCGCCAGCACACCTAGCTAATTTTTGTATTTTTAGTAGAAATGGGGTTTCACCATGTTGGCCAGGCTGGTGTCAAACTCCTGAACTCAGATGATCCTCCCATCCTGGCCTCCCAAAGTACTGGGATTCCAGGTGTGAGCCACCGTGCCCCACCTAGATGCCTGACTCTAATCTTTTTTGGGTGCACTATGGAAGTAGAAATAAACAGATTTAAAATGTTAAAATATCAAACGAACCCTAAAAAGGATTCAAAATAAAATATGAAATGGTGCTAACAGTATATCATTCCTTTTCTCTTCTGAAAAGAGAAGTAATTCACAATGCTACAGCCACATCTTCATTGCAAAGAATTTTTCCAGTTACTTTTGGAAGGACCTGCTCTTAAATGATCTTCCTTATTCTTCTGGAAATACAAAGGAGCAGTTTGCATTTATAGAAGCAACTTTACTGTTACTCACCATTGAGGGTTGTGATACTCCATACGGCAGGCAACTTTACAGGTTGATCTTCCAGTGCAAATGTATAGGGGCCAGTGTATCTATTATTCAGTGTTCTAGCGGAGACAACCACGGAAGGTGAAGAACTGCAAACTGCATCTTTTTCGAGGACAGCTGTTGGACAATTGTCATTGAAATCGGGTACTCTAACATATACCGTGCCTGTAGAAGTTTTACCCGTGTATTCTGTAAGAACAATGTTTTAGAGTTAAAGAAATGTATAGAACAAAGTTGTACAAAAAAGGAGAATCTTTTACATTTCTCTTTTCTGTAGCCAACTCAGTGTGTCTTCTCATGAAATACTATATTATCCTCAGAAGTAAAAATAGTCATCCTATTTCTGCATCTTGTAAAAAGCAAATTGAAATTTACCAAATAGGCTGATGTCTCTAACTATAATTAATTGAGAATTAATTTAATATGCTCGAACCCAAGACCAGTAAGATGATGAATTCACCAATTTCAAATAAAATCAGCACAAAAATAGTAACTTTCTTAAATGTGTTGATTTCACTTGTAATCAATGTGTGAAAAGTTTCTGCTTCTAAAGCACACATTTTTTATTTGGAATAAAAAATTGTATATTTTTATTACTCAAAATGTTAAAGTTTATTAAAGAAAAATTTTAAATGCTGAAAATAAAAAATAATGAAATAAAAATCTCTCTGTGGGGGCATTATGTGTCATTTCTGTTGTTACCCTTACTACTTCTTTTCTTGTTTTCCCAAATGGCAATCTTTTTGATACTTATTTCTTTTGGGGGGTGTTATCTTTTTTATTACCTTCAACATAAATTAATTTTATACTTGGGGAAACACATACACTCAATGAATATTATTTTAAAACATTCCAGAAGAGGAAATTGCATTGTTCAATGATAAAAGTACATGAGGTCTCTATAGGTACCTCACAAAAGCACCTGACGTTCAAGTTGAGATTCCCTGATGCGCTTTGTCTATGAATCCTTATCCATTCCCTCAAACCCAGGGATTTCTGTCAGTCAAAAAATTTCTGCTTCAACCACAGCAAACCACAGGGACCTAACACAGAATTCACTGGTTCAATCTCCACTGAGAAGTTGAAACTCTTAGTTTTCTCTCCCGGATTCAGCTGCCTCAAACTTGAGGCCCAACACTCCTAAGATAATTCTCTCTCTCCAGTGGTAAAGATAATATGTTGAATAATCATAATCATCTATGCATAAAGAAACATCAATTACGATAACATTCCTCTGAAATGATTCAAATATTTTTCTTACCATCTATGGCCAGAACCTCAGCTGTGATTGTTTTGTTAACTATGAAAGTAGAATCTCGGTTCATATTTTTGACAAATTTGATTTCAGCAGTTTTTGAATCAATCATTAGGTATCCACCATCGTTACGTCCCATGACATATCTGTTTCATAATATTAAAAAAATCAGTTTTCTTTCAAATGTGGAATGTTACATATTTAATGAAAATGACTCATTTTATATTTAGTATATTCATATTTAATATATGTTCACATTGAAATATGCTTTTATAAAAAGCAACAGAAAATTAACATAGCATAGATGACCATATTTCATAATTCTTTTTTTTTTTTTTGAGACGGAGTTTCGCTCTTGTTGCCCGGGCTGGAGTGCAATGGTGCCATCTCGGCTCACCACAACCTCTGCCTCCTGGGTTCAAGTGATTCTCAGCCTCCCGAGTAGCTGGGATTACAGGTGTGCACCACCACGGCTAATTTTGTATTTTTAGTAGAGATGGGGTTTCTTCATGTTGGTCAGGCTGGTCTCGAACTCCCAACCTCAAGTGATCCATCTGCCTCGGCCTCCCAAAGTGCTGGGATTACAGGTGTGAGCCACTGTGCCAGGCCCATATTTCATAATTCTTAAGCATATCTGCTATGCACAATAAAATAAAATACCTGTGTTCTTGCTCTGTATAATATAGCAATTATTTTGCATGGTGCCGTTATATTTTAGGCATATATGTCTTTGTAAGTGCTGTTTTATATGATAAAAACATGTTCTCATGGTGCACTTCTACTCCTTTGTAAGACTCAACTGTAAGTTTCCATGAGACATGTTCCCAATTTCTGTTGATAGGCTAAGGCATTCTTCCCTTGGTTTCCACTGTAACTTGTGCTTATGTTATCTTTGCTTCTAGTACAGTTAGATGATCACCTAATGATTTAGCTAAATGTTACTTTTTGAGTTACCCAGTTTCTTGTTTTTAATCAATGTCATATCTCTATTCTTGGCACATAATAGTTTATGTGTTATGTTGTGATAGCTTATAGATTAAAACCTCATCAAGAAATAGGATATAAATAAAAATAGTCTTACTTGACATTTGAGGCAGCTTTGTTAGTGTCCTCATCGATGGCTTGATATGTTCCCAGGATATAATCCACCAATTTTTTGCTACTTATGCCTTTTTGCACAGTAAATGTCTTGGAAGCAGGACGGAATGCAATTCCTTCTCTTACATTTATTACCTGAATTGTGACTGGGGTTGACTGAACTCGGTATCGAGAGATAACTGATTGGTGAAATTCAGCTTTGTTTTTGACAGCAATACTAAGTTTCACGCTTTGTAGTTGTTCATAATCTAGAGCCTGGAGAAAAAATAAAATTAGAAGGCAGTTTCACAAAAATACACTCCCGCAAACCCAGTAGATGATGACAGCACACTATGCAAGATGCTGTGAATGAATTCTCTTGTTTTTAAATAGCAAAACAGCTTCAGAAATTATTGTAATGTTGAGACAGAGAAAGCTTTAGGATTCTTAACTCATGAGACCTCAGTTTGGTACTAATAAGGGTACCTCTTTCAGACTAGAAAGACATCATCATAGTCTCTTTAGGCTATGAGGTGCAGTGGAAAGAACCCCAAGTTTGCTATGGTAACATGATTTGAATCCTGGTTCTGCTGCTTAATAGCTGTGTGACTCAGGGAACAATGTTTGTTTTCTCTGATCCTCAACTCTCCACTTCTGAAAAAAAAGCCTTACCTCATCAGGGTGTAGTGAGGACTGAACAAATCAAGGCCCCTAATACGTTCTTATAACTGGCAGTTATGGTCATTTGCAGAATCTTCACTGGATTTATGTACAATGGTATCTTTCCTGACTTTAAAAATTCTTAGGTGGGAAAGGCAAACTCTTTGTGGACTCATTTTCAGAAGGTCTTGCATGATAGCCATTTGTTTGATCCCCTTATTGAGGTGGCCCAAATCAAGGCCTGAGGAATCCCAGGATAACTTTTCTTCACTCACTAGTAAATTTTTCTGAGAGTGATGAGATAAGAAAATGCTCATATTGGTTACAACTGTATATCACTAAAAATGATTCAAGTAAGAGATCTGGATTTAAGTTTTAACTTTGCAATGACTGGCTTTGTGTGCTCAAGCATTTTCCAGTGAAGTGGAAGAGAAAGATGTCTAAACATGGAACTATAATACAAGGGGTAAGAGGCAAAAGAGATGATAGGGTCTATGTGTGAAAGCAAAGGAATAATTCTACTTAGGAGAGCTATGAAGGGTTTCTGAGAGGTATTCATCTAAGCTGAGTGTTGAAGGATGCCGGGAAATTATCCAGGCATAGGTGAAAGCAGTTGCAGGCTGAATACAGATAACAAATTGCCTTGTGAATTTCATCTTAAAGGGCTAGGAGCTAGCAACCCTGGCTGACTGTAGAGTCACCTGAGGAGTCTTAAGGACCCACTGCTGCCTGGGCTTCTCCAATAGTTCCTACACCCTTACTGTCAAGGGAAAGTTGCAGGTAACTTGAGTTGGTAATTAGGGTTGAAGGCCAGCTTCATAGCCAGTGTAGAGCCAGGGATGGTTTTAAAGAGAAGAGTAAGGGATCCAAATTGTTTTTAAGAAAAATGTGGTGGTGCACTGGTAAGAATGAGGAGAACAAAGTCAATGGAGACAAGAGGTAGGGATATCTATTAGGAGGGACTGCAATCATCTAAGAGAAGAGAGGAAAAGCCAGGCCAGGGCACAGGCAGTAAGGAGGTAGAAGAGGGTCAGACTTCAAAGACAATTTCTAAGGCTGTATGCTGTGAGGAAATGTCACAATTCAGGGTAAGGCCCACGTTTCTAGTTTGGGAGACTGAATGACACCAATACACAAGATAGAGAATAGCTCACTCCCAGGCATTGGTGGGAGTTTATAACAAAACCCTTACAAGTGGGGATGGCTGTGGCACTTGTCCCAAAGAGTACAGTAACAAAGGACTGCATGTACAGCTTTCAGCAGCCCCCTTGTTAAAGGATTATATGGTCTGTCACTCAACTGGATTTAAGGTTTAAATAAGGACGCTCTCATAGAATCCAAAATGCTGTACCAAGGGCCAGATGCGATGGCTCATGCCTGTAATCCCAGTACTTTGGGAGGCCAAGGCGGGTGGATCACTTGAGATCAGGAGTTCGAGACCAGCCTGGTCAATATGGTGAAACCTTATTTCTACTAAAACTATAAAAATTAGCCGGGCATGATGGCACATGATGCGGACCCTGCTACTCAGGAGGCTGAGGTGGGAGGATCACTGGGGCCTGGGAGGTGAAGGCTGCAGTGAGCCAAAATCACATCACTGCACTCTTGCCTAGATGACAGAGTGAGACCTTGTCTCAAAAAAAACAAAAACAAAAACAAAAACACCACAACCACAACCACAACAACAAAAAACAAAAACCAACCAACCAAACGAAAAACCAAAGTGCTGTACCAAGGAAGGGGCCCAGATCACACTCTCAGATAAGGAGTCTGTCATAGCCAAGCATATTAAAAGCTTTACCCAATTATTTATCTTTTATTTTGCAGATTTTGTTCATAAATTCCCATTTTGTAGGAAGAGTTGCCATTTATTCTCTATTGACTGTAGCTAATCCATTTAAAACCGATTGACGAATGGGCAAGACGTGATTCCATCCATTCTTATCTTGTCCTAACTTCAATCTGATTGTTGCAAATGAGATTAAGTCAAGAAATGTGTTTTGCTTTCTTGTGCTTAAAGTATGGACACCCATAATATATGACCATGTGCTTAAAGTATACATCATCACTCCCATAGCATGTTAGTGTGTTTGTGTTTACTATAGAAAGTTCAATAGCTTGGAATGAGTTCAAGATGTTAAGAGAGGTTGTCCTCAGGTAAAGCGGCTCTATGGGGATTACAAAAAATTCAATCTACTTTTATGTGTTTTCTGTAATAAAGTGATATTAACAAATAAATACATTTTATCTGTAGAAATGATCATTTTGGTTAATACAGAATTTTTTTTACCAATGAAGGGAAGTCAGACCTTACCTTCACCACTTTCAGGATGCCTTCATTAGTTCTAGGATCAGTTTGTATTTCAAACCAATTTCCTTCATTCCCAGAGGTAAAGAAATATACTGCAAGCCAATTATCTGTGTACTCTTCATCCAAATCTGTTACTTGAAATCGAAGTAATTCAGAACTTAAAATATTTTCTTCAATACGTGCTGAATACTGAAAAGGCGAGAAGCAGAATTAAAGACCTAATGACAGGTTTTACATGGAGAGATTATGTTTCTTCTAAATGGTAATCCTTATTTCTCAAATTATGTATTTCCTTCTTCTTATTACTGAATTCTTATATTTTTTAAAAAGCATATTTCTTTAAAGATAAGTGCAGAGAACTTAAATAAAAGCCAACAAACAGGCAAGTCCTGAATTAGGATTTCAAAGTATTAAATATATATCTAAATGATTCTTTAAGGAGCAATGGGTGTACCTGAGAGTCTCTAAACATTGGGAAGTTATCGTTGACATCTTTCACTTTAATATTACATTCACATTGAGTTGATAGTCCTTCTCCATCTTTGTCTGCACCACTCACAACCAGACGATAGCTGCTAGCTTGCTAATTTTGGATAAAAAATAAAGAAAAATAATTAATCCCAAAGAATTATAAATGGAAACTACTTGATTCCTATGGGTAAGGAGGTAGAAATATTCAATTTTATGTAGAAGACATTTGTGGGACTCTGGATGGTTGGGTGGAGGTCTTTAAGGGGCTAGGGCAGGTTTTCTGTTTTGTGAGCTTCTTATGGCAGGACTGTACTCTACCGTAACCTTAGAGCAAAAATGGGCAATGAGTAGGGTGGGAGTAATAAGCTCACTTATGGAGCTTCTCTGTTAGTCTATTGGGAAAGCCATTTGTACAAAAATAATATGGGGTCTGACCGGGTAGCCTGTGGTAATGGAGATAGAAGGTGGTGGTGGTAGGTAATGAGGGGGATTGGAGAAGGAGATTCTTTAGTGCTCTGGAAGCAGGGATAAAATTAAGAGAAGTCAGGAGAAAAAGTGTGATATAAAAGAAGGCTTTATTCCAGACAGAAATTTCTCCCTTCATCTAAGACACTTGCTTCTCCTCCATCACATGAGGAATTAGCTGCAGTTCAATCTTTGTCCATGTATGTCTATGTCAATGCCTTCTTTCATTGCCCCTATTTAACTTCCACTGGTATGTTCAGGGTACAACTGATTCTGCAGGTGCCCGGTACACATCTCGCCTCACCAGAATCACACTTAAAAATGCAAACAATTTCCCTAGATTAGCCAAGTTAAGTACTGAGAACCTCTTTTCTTTTTTAATTTTCGGGTAAAATGGAGTCACCTCTCTTGGTTTTCTTATAATCAAACCCTTTAATCTTGAATGTTCCCCCAAGTGCTTTGCTGTACCTCTCGGTCAAGAGAATTGGTCAAAGTACGGACTTCCCCAGTGTTTCTGCTTAGGAGGAACATGGGTGTGCCTGCTGGTTCCTGAGAGACAATTTTGAAGGCAATTTTAGAATTCAAGTGGTTTGGTTCATCTGCATCTGTGGCATTTAGTATCATCACCAGTGAGTCTAGGAATACAGGAAAACGTTTATTAAAGAATATGTAACAATTAACATTATGTTTACTTTAAATATTCCAAACAAGTTCACATTGATGCTAATTTTTAAATATCCTAAAATCATCTGTATGTTCAAAAAATTGTATATCACTTGTGATACCTCTTTCTGTCTCTCCCAACCAGGTAGAACTGTGCTTCCTTCCATACAAACTCTTCGATTCTCTCTAAGCCTTACGTTTGCTGAGATTGAGGCTATATTCTATCTCAATTTTCTCCCTTGATAGATTGTCATAATTCTCCCCTTTCCACAAATTATCCAAGTAATGTGAGTGTGTCTCTGTCCTTTATAACCTGAAAGAGCCCAGCTGATGCATCCAGGCTACCCAAGGCTGCCTGTTTAGCTTTGTGACTGCCAAATGCTCATATAAATTGTATATATAGAATAAGATACTATTGACCTGATAACCAGACTATAACTAGAAATACAGTGATAGTAAATAATTAGCTCAAATACACATTTTAGAAAGGAAGACCCAGATTTATCTTAATGAATTTTATTTTTCAAAACTACTGATTAAACTAAGAGCATAAATTAGTTTATAAGAATGACATATTGTAGTGGGACTCATATTTGAAAGTAGATAAACTGAAAGTGGTAAGTACTGTAAAAGACTTACTTGAGGCACTATTTTCTTCAATTTCACCCATGAAAATTTGTTGTGAAAATACTGGAGGATTATCATTAATATCCAAAATTTTAACCGTTAGTATAAGTGGTTTCTCTACATCTAGTCCTTGGGCATTTAGAGCCCGACATGTGATCTAGGAACAGAGGGAAAATGTGGAGTATTACTCTGCAATCAGTTTTCATACTATTAAAACTTGTATAAATAAGGCCTCTGTTGGCATGGACATCACTTTTGTGCAAAGAAGAAATGTTTCCCCAAAGGGTAGACAAAGTGGAAAAAGGTGCCTGCTCTGGGCAGACCAACTGGGCAAGTTGCCCCTTCCACCAGGCTAATGCTGTGTCATGGCAAACTGAAGCACTTGGCGTGCTAGATTTCAACCCTCACTCATGCACCCTCTGCTGTGTTCCCTCAGGCGAGGCTCTGTGGAGGGACTAATATTGTTATTTGCTGGTGGACTGATGCATGTACTGAACTCTCCTCTAAATTTACCAGTAGAAAACTGTCACTTTCTAAAGCGATGGTATACAAGGAGAAGGGTAGCCCAATGTTGAGGACCCAAACTTACCAGGAAGCTTGGAGTTTCCTCCCGGTCGACTATAGCTGTTATGTTAATATCTCCAGTGTTTTTGTCAACAACAAAGATTCCAAAAGGCGGCTGATCGATTCCCACTCCAGAGATTCGGTAGGTGATTTTCTGGGTTGCTTGGTAATCTGAAGTAATCTACAGCCCCAAATACCAAAAACGTTGAGGTGACCATCACTCAAGCCTTTCCCTCTCCACCCCCACTTCCATAGTCTAAAGTCATCTGTTCATTCGATTCACTCTTTTTGACATTGTGCCATTTACTTTTTGCCTTGATAGATACTAGGAATATGAAATAAAATCAAACCGTTGTTTTTGACAACCAGCCTGAACCAATGATGTGCACTAATCATTTTAGTGTTAGAATATTTGCTCAGACTGTGGCCACATGATAGTGTTAAAATGTTAAAAGAAAGTCAAAGTCATTTAATATTGACAAGGCTACTCCTGAAGGCTCCCTCTTTACCTGACAACATTAAAAAACAAAAGATATTTATTTAGTTTAAATAGGGGGAAGTGGAGAGACAAAAAGGGAAAGAGATTGTATGGTAGGGTTAAAATATGTATTAAAATAATTTACTTATTATTATTGTAATTTTAAAGCTTTTTAACATGAAAAATGTGAAATATATGTAAAGTTAGAACAGTATAACAGGCTGGGCGTGGTGGCTCATGCCTGTAATCCAAGCACTTTGGGAGGCCGAGGTGGGCAGATCATGAGGTCAGAAGTTCGAGATCAGCCTGGCCAATATGGTGAAACCCCGTCTCTACTAAAAATACAAAAACAATTAGCCGGGCATGGTGGCACACGCCTGTAATCCCAGCTACTCAGGAGGCTGAGGCAGGAGAATTGCTTGAACCTGGGAGGAGGAGGTTGCAGTGAGCTGAGATCGCGCCACAGCACTCCAGCCTGGGAGGCACAGTGACTCCATCTCAGAAAAAGAAAGAAAGAAAGAAAGAAAGAAAGAAAGAAAGAAAGAAAGAAAGAAAGAAAGAAGAAAGAAAGAAAGAAAGAAAGAAAGAAAGAAAGAAAGAGAAAGAAAGAAAGAAAGAAAGAAAGAGAATAGTATAATAAACCTGATACATCCTATCACTGAGCTTCAACAGTTATCAATACATGACCAATCCATATTTTGCTCCCAACCATTTCTGTCTTATACATGCATTATTTTTCCTATTTGTTTGCTAGACTCTGTATCCAAGTAAGCCTTCTATATTAAAATTGGTCAATATGTCTCAATTCTTTGTCTCAATTCTTTTTCATAACCCTAGAAGCTACCTTCCTTTCTCTCTTTCTCTCATTATTATTATTATTGTACTATTTTGTTGAGGATACCAGTTCACTTGTTCTGTGGACTCCCCAGTCTTCATTTTGTTATTTGGAATTGCCGTATTATTTTAATTTACACCTTATACATTTATTCTAAAAACTCATACGCTCCTGTTGATATAACTTACCTTGGCAATTGGGTTTCTTTTTGAGTTATCTTCTCCTTCTCTGCAGGGTTTGGCAAATTTCACCCATTCACGTTTTTGCCTTCTTTTAGCTTGTTGCATAGTCATCTCTTCTTCATCATATTGACCTTTAGTCTTATGTAAAAAGGGATTCCATTTGTTATGGAAATTAATGGCAATTTTTGCTTAGAATATTGATTACAGACACCTAGTTGAGGAACCCCCTATGTTTCAAGATCACTAAGACTGTTAGGTATCTAATTAGCTCTACCTGATACTTTGTCAAGCAAGTAATAAATGTTAAATAACTAAAATAACTACAAAGCTATGTGATTTTTAATATTAGCATTTAGTCGTATTTTATATTTTCTTTTTATACTCCACAGTATCTTACTGGGCCCATAGGGTTTGACCAGCTGATTTGTTTAAGATAAGAAGAAAAGAATGCATGAAATAAATTATAATAATGACATTTATGGATGACTAGTTTTAAAATATTGTTATCAGTTATTAGAATTTTAATTTTATATATTTTCACAATTAAATTATTGAATAATTTTAGAAATTAAATATTCATTTCTACTAAACACAATTTAATTTTTTTTTAAACTAAACTATTATTTTAAGTACAAAAACCTTTTTCATACTTTACCTCTATTCGCAATTCTCCATGAACCAATATGACCACCTGCAGACATTTAAATAAAGTCGAATTAAATGTGAATTCTTCAAATAAGGAATTATATACAATGAATAATCCTGATTATTATATTCTATTGTTCATATTGTGATTTGTTTCTATTTCAAAAGAAGTAAGTTTCAAGAAGCCATAATCAAAGGGTAAGTTCCTACCAGGAAAAGGAATATTACTGTCAATATAAACACATTCCACCAGTTTTTTAATTGACTACAGAATTTTGATGACATAAAGAAGAACCTATTGGACTTTGCAAAAACTATGCCTAATAGTCAGTTGCAGCAACCACACAATTCTTACCTGGCTGCTTTATACACCGTTCCTGGAAGCTATGAAAGTCATTGCTTTGGGAAACATTGGTAAGCACCATTGTGAAATGCTTCAGAAAGGGGCCACAGGGGATTATTAAAAACCTTCAGCCACCCAACTGATTTGTAGGAAGGCAATCCTGTATTAGTCCTCTACAATTACAGAACATTTTCTTTAATTGTACAAGTGAAAAGAATGGAATGGAACCAGTCTGGTTTAGAGAACAAAACGTAAAAGATGAGGATATGCTATTCCAATCACAAACCCTGTTTGCAGTGAGACATGGATCTGTTCATCTCTGCTCTATTACTTCAATTTAAATATTGAACTTAATTTTCAGAGTGGCCCCAAAAAATTAAATGACAGTAAAATGAAGCCATGTAGGCTAGGGTCTTCACCTTCTCAAGAGCATATGAGACATTCATCTGTGTCATTTTTCATCTTCTGTTCTGCCTGGCATGCATTACCTCTTTCTACTCCACCCACTTAAATATTGCTCATCCTTCCAGATCCATCAAGTTCCAACAACCTCCATGAAATTGTCTTTACTGATGTCTCTTTTTCTGAGTTTGTACAACACATATTCTGTACCATGAAATTTAGCCCATGATGGTTTACCACAGTTTATTATTTCTTGTTTTATGCACATGAAAGAATTTCTGTGCTAAGCCAGGAGTATTGTAAACTTTCCAGTTCAGTGCTATTAGGTTATTTTTTTTTTCTTGTAACCCTCACAGGTGCTTAACAAGTATTTGCTAATCCACTGATTATCGGATGAATCTGGTCGGAAAATAATGGTGGAAAATAAGTCAGAAGAAAAAAAAAACTAGAAGAGTAATAACAGTAGCTAATGTTTATTGTGTAGTTTCGGTATCAGCTGCTACTCCTAGAGCTTTATACTTACTGTTTTATGTAATACTTACAGCAGGCACCTGAAGGAGATTCTAGTATTATAATCCCTAGTATACAGATGAAGAATTGGAGATGCAAGGGAATGAATACTTTGCCCTAGCTAATGGCCATAATAGGATAGCGACCGCAGTAGCCTAACTCCAGAGCATGTACCTCACTACTACTAAATTCTTTTTTTTTTTTTTTTTGAGACGGAGTTTCGCTCTTTTTGCCCTGGCTGGAGTGCAATTTTTGCCCTGGCTGGAGTGCAATGGTGCGATCTTGACTCAATGTAAGCTTCGTCTCCCGGGTTCAAGGGATTCTCTTGCCTTAGCCTCCCGAGTAACAGGGATTACAGGCATGGGCACACCACCACACCCGGCTAATTTTGTATCTTTAGCAGAGACGGAGTTTCACCATGTTGGTTAGGCTGGTCTCGAACTCCTGACCTCAGGTGATCCACCCGCCTTGGCCTCCCAAAGTGCTGGGATTACAGGTGTGAGCCAACTACTGCTAAATTCTAACCAAAGTTGTCATAAAGAGAAAAAAAAAAAAAACAAACTAATGGTACAAAGAAAATTATATGACAGTCAATTTAGATTTCTATTTGGCAAAAGACTATGGTTGCTCTTGAAACAATGTAGATTGTTTATTTTCTAGGGTTATAATGAATAGACTAGTCCAAGTCTGAACCAAATGAGTAATTATGTCAGACATAAGATGTCAGGACTCTTCCCTTCTAGACATTCCAGCTGAAACCTTGATTCCAAAGAGTGCGTGTTCAAATTTGTCATGGAAAAGAACCATTACTTGTGGTTATAACATGTCTCAAAATTATTTTCCAACATTGTTGCTCTTTTTAAAGCAGTACCTTGAGTTACTTGGTAGAAAAGACCAGATAAATGTAGTAACTGCACAATTCCTTTCTCAGCGCATAAAAATGACTCAGCTACACATGAGAGGAGGGATGGGCCAGGCAGGCTCCCCTTTACAGGAAAACTGGAGAGTCATCCCGAAAATATGAATCATGCTTGGACTAGCCCTACAGAGAATGATTCTTCTAATACACAATAAGGTAGAATATTTGTTTTCCCAGGAAGTAGGTGATGGGAAACATTTCTGAATATTGCAATGATCTTCAGATTTTTAGAGGACAGCACAGCCTTACATTATTTAGAATAGTATTTTTTTAAAAAAATTATTTTAGTTAATATTTATATAATGGCTACTTGTTTTAGTTAATTTGCTAATATAATAATTTTGGACATTTTAAAAACAATTTATGTGTTTTTATTTGTAAATCTATTTTCATTGACAAAATTGTATATATTTATCATGTACATGTTGTTTTGAGATATGTATAAACTGTGGAATGACTAAATCAAGCCAATAAATATTTACATAGTTTTCTGACGATTTGAATGAACTAAGTTGTCTCTTTTGGTGGCCTGGATTGGAAATACCAACATGGAGAAAACCTCCCTTATCTTGAGAATTACTGTACTTTTCTTTCTTTTTGTTTTCTGGTTATTTTGTAAATTTTAATTATATGATTTTTAAAGCATTGATATAGCCTTAGTGCCTTGGTATAGATATGAATTACAAATATTATCAAAAGCAAATCTAATTATTAAATTTAAAAAATATATGAAATAAAGCAATTTGATATCCATATGCTCTATTTGTTAATAAAAATGTATATGGTTGTATCACTAAGGTTCCTATTGAATATGGTATGTACACAATAAATATAATCTGAGGATATGGGTAGCTAGATTAAACAAAAAGCAAGTATAATAGCACCTGCTCTTTAGTTTGGCCGAGATCTTGTTTGGGGTTACCTCATGCTTTAGTGTGGCAGGGGACAGAACATAAGACTATGGATTAGATGCAGGTAGCTCATCCCAGCCAGGCCTAGGGCCTGACTACACTTCTGATTTCTAGAATGGGGATTCTTGGGGAAATTTGTAGAATGAATTAGATAATTCAAATAAATCAGTCCAAATTTTAAACATGATTTTGTATTTATTAAATTTTTTTGGGAAAAATGTCATGAAATATACACAGGTAAGTAATATCATTCATATTAGCATCTTTCATAATATCTCATAGCTTTCTATATATATTGAAATTTAAAATTTAAAAACTCTGAAACATTGTGATAAACTTTGTATTTATCAAAGCAAATTCCTTAATTGAACAAAGTTGATATATATCTGATTACTTGGAAATTATTTAATTGTGAAGAATTCAATTTCCAATAACTGATTTTTAGAGTAAATTCAATTAATTTAGAAAGTTAAGCCTTGTATCATGACAGAATGCTAAGAAAAATAAATATCCCTGGATATTCTTAAATGCTCATTTGAAATGCTGTGTAGGCTGCAGTCAAGTATGATAATATAAAATTGGATACTGGATTCTGAATCACTGAATTTAAATCCAACTCCCAACCATGTACTAGCATATAACTTGGGAACATTCCTTAATCTTTCAGTTTCTTCATCTGTACAATAGGAATAAAAATTAATTTTACTTACCTTATAGGTTTGTTGTGAGGATTAAATTAATAGGTGTAAAGCACATAGGTGAGCCCAGCCCAAAGTAAGTTAGTTTTATTAAATTGCCATTTAATAAAATGTTAACCAATTCTGTCACCAAACTTCAAAAGAGGCATAAAAGAGCTTTTTTTTTTTTTTTTTTTTTTTTTTTTGAGACGGAGTCTCGCTCTGTCACAAGGCTGAAGTGCAGTAGCGCCATCTCGGCTCACTGCAAGTTCTGCCTCCCGGGTTCAAGCGATTCTCCTTCCTCAGCCTCCCGAGTAGCTGGAACTACAGGTGCGCACCACCAAGCCCAGCTAATTTTTGTATTTTTAGTAGAGATGAGGCTTCACCATGTTGGCCAGGATGGTCTCAATCTCTTGACCTCGTGATCTGCCTGCCTTGGCCTCCCAAAGTGCTGGGATTACAGGCATGAGCCACCACACCCAGCCTAAAAGAGCCATTTTTATGTGAAGTGACCTGTAATTATTCACTGTCAAGGTGCATAAGATTGTTCTCTTTCTTGACCATGAGAAGGAGAAAAGAAACAGTACTCCACTGTACAATTGTGTAGGTTGCTCCTTGAGTAATGCCAGGGCACTCCTCACGCTGTAGTTTATGTGAATGCACCTCCTGGAGTTGTGCAGTGTACAACCTAGCCAGCTGCACAGCAGCTCTCCAAGAAAAAGGTGTATATTAGACAGATTCAATTATTCATCTTGTGATTATGAGTAGTAACCAAATTGTCTATGTAATTTTCTTATGGTGAACTACCCAAAGCAAGGCCTCACCTTAGGCTACCAGCTTGACTCTTAAGTGGACAGAAAGAGCCAAAGGCTAAAAGGTTTGTGAGAAACCTCATGAGCACTGAGTGTTCTAGTTCCAGATGAAAACCGGTTTCAGGTATGAAGCAAGAGGGAGTGCTAATTGGTAGAAGTAATTACATCTTTCCTGACTTCTGCCCAAGTAGGCAGGGCTGGAAGAACCATTTGGCAAGGGTATTCTGATTTTAGAATATTAACTTTTTGGGAAGTTCAGTAGGACATTTATTTTTATATATATTAGCAGTGCTGGAAACTGGGTCAATCAGGAGAAGAAGAGATATCTTAGAGATTTTTCATTTTGTTAAACATTTGGGCCATTTAGCCTAGAATTCTTTTTCTAAAGATTTTCTTTTTAGATGTTTTATAGAAAACAAAGTGGTTGAAGATAGTTGTGCTGTATTTAGAACACTTGCTAACTCAAACTTGGTATTTAAACTGCTTCTCTCTTTTTTTTCCTACCACCAACTTCTTTAAAAAAATTGTACTCTAAAAATCTTTAGATTTCAAACATCTCTATTAATTTTTAGTGAGGAAAGCTTTACCTAATATAGTAACATAAAGTTATATAGCAAATTGTCCAAATGCTCATAGCAGTGTTGGATGACAAACTGTTTCGGATTTGGTGGACTACAAAACACAATGGTTTCCTCTGAAGATAAATTTTTTTTTCAAAAGATTAAATCTCTGAAGATAAGCATTTTCAACCATGAGTCCTTTCCTCAAAAACGTTTATTTTACGTTGCATAAAATGGATCAAACAAGCACAAGAAACTGATAAATACCACATTTTTTTCAATAGTAGACAGTTATTCCCCATGCCTTCTCCTCCCAAATATAGCTTTTATTTTTTCCTGTCAATTTAAAAATTGATACGACAACTGTTTTTGATATACTTTTTAGCTCAAGACAAATGCAGGCCCTTTCTTGACTTACTAACACTGGTATCCATGGTTATTTAAGATAGTAAGACACAATGTGAAGAAGTTATCAAGAATTACCCCATTACTAAAAATAGTACAAGTGATAAAAATTAAAGGGTTTACAAATCACTTCATCTTTCTCACAGCACTTTTTAATTGTTTTGCATGCATTGCTGCTTTATTCTCACTATGACCATTTTCATTAGGCAGGGGGTGGGGTGTGATTCTTATTTGACAGTTGAGGAAACAAAGCCTGTAGTGAGTCAGTGGCATAGCCAGAGATTTAAGTCTATGACTTTGCTATTATTTCTCACTGTTCTGGGCAACCCATGTATGGTCATTGGATGGTGGATTATTACAAAACCTTCAAACACATCTGCCAACTTTCAGAACCCACCCTGCAACAACAAAAAATGAGCATTCCCACTTGAGAATGCTTTAGAAAACATTGCTTTTCCCCCCCATGACCACATTATTTCAAAACTCTGGGTGGCTCCCCACTTGTAAAAGGTTTCCATGAGCCTTCACAAAATGCACTTTTCAATCTGACCCTCAGCTGCCTTTCCAATTCATGTCCAGATTCTCCAAAGCAAACTGTCATGCTAGTCATACTGGTGTGTCCATTTCCCCTAGGCAAATCCTAACTGTGCCTGCCTTTGATTATACTCTTCTGACAACCCAAGAGATCTCCTTTTGGCCCGTCCATCTATACTTATCCCAAATCAGCTCAAATTTCACTGAATCCATAAAGACTTGATTGCCTCTCTCCTGACTGACACTGCCTTCTATCAATAGCATTAATAGTAGACCAGTACTGTCCAATAGAAAGCTAAAAACCACAAATGCGAACCACATATAATTAAAAAATTTAGTCACATTTAAAACGTTTTTAAAAGGTGAAATGCATTTTAACAATACGGTTAACTTAATCTAATACATCCAAAATACTATCATTTCAACATGTAATCAACATAAAAAATTATTGACATATTTTACATTCTTTTGTTCATTCAAAGTCTTCTTCAAATTATGATGTATATTTTATATTAAATAGCACACCTCAACTCAGACCAACCACATTTCAAGTGGCTTAAAACCACATGTGGCTGGTGGCTACCATATGGGACAGAGTAGGTCTAGACCACTCAGTTGAACAATTATGTATGAAGTTATACTGTTGTTTAAACAGCATGTGTATGTAAAATTTTCTTGAGTGGAACCAAATACATGTCATTTCATAGTTTCCTTTATGACTAGAATTATAGGGACATTGTGCGGGGGTTTTTTAGTTTAGAGAAGGCTCATTAAATCATTCATTTACTCATTCTTCAAACAATTGCATGTCCACTCTAAGACAGATATAATAAGCATTGAGAATATAAAAATAAAAATTAGCCTCAATATAAGGATGTCACAGTCACTCCAGAATCAGAGGAGTAATTGAGAGTGTCCTATATGTCAAATTAGAAAAAAAAAAGAATCCCCCTTAGCTTATGGTGGCCCAATCCTATGTCCTCATGGCAATACTATCCCGACAGCCCATGCTGCATGGCCCCTAACTTCCTGAGCTTTGCCATTGGCTTGGACATAGGGGTTATCAGACCACCTGGGGTTCAGCCCAGACATTTCCCATCTGGAAAGGTGGGAAAGTCATACAACTGTCACATTTCTCTTTAACAACATCCTCCTTTCAAATAAAATCAGGTACTGAACACAGTTACATTGTCGTAATAGAAATAGAATCTTAGAGGCTGGGTGCAGTGGCTCACATCTGCAATCCCAGCATTATGGGAGGCCGAGGTGGACGGATCCATTGAGGCTAGGAGTTTGAGACTAGACTGGTCAACATGGCAAAACCCCATCTCTACTAACAATACAAAAAAATTAGCTGGCTGTGGTGGTGCACGCCTGTAATCTCAGCTACTCAGGAGGCTGAGGCACGAGAATCACTTGAACCCCAGAGGCAGAAGTTGGAGATCGCACCACTGCACTCCAGCCTGGGCAACAGAGCCAGACCTTGTCTCAAAAACAAAAACAAAAACAAAAATCTTAGGGAGAGCTAAGAAAGTCCTTTCTTGAGATCTATCTCCCTGTGACTTCTTGAAGTCCATTTATCTCAATTTTTTTCATGAAGAAATGAGGTAAATTGATGCCTAGGCCAACCCAGCTTATCATGGAAACCATACAAATTAGCATTAGGAATTGTTTTGACATTCATTTTTAAGGTATATTTAACTATTTTGATATCTCCGTGTAACAGATAATATTGTGACTTTTCTTTTTTTTTTTTTGCTATAAGAACACAGTTAAGGAGTAAGTTAGTCTGTAACATCCAGGTTTTAAACAGTCTGTAACATTCCGTTTCTCTTTTAGATAATACTATGTACGACTTTCTCAATCAACAGAAGTATTACTTTTCTGAAAAAAATGGCTTTAAAATGTTGTATGTCTTTCCCCCCATCCCCAAAGGCTGACATTTTCTTTTGGCACATAATAGCTAAACATAAATACTTACTTAATAATCCTCCCAACTTCTCTAGAGTCAAACACTGCTTTGATTTTAATTCTGCGATTTTTTACTTTTAAAAGCGTGTCAGGTATCAAGCCCAGGCGTGTAGAGTTCTTAGCTATATGCTAAGAGACATGTAATCTTGGAAAATAGAAGTGGCTCCTGTGTTCTTGTTTGTGGGTTAGAAAAACTAGTAAAAGCATAACTTTAAAGAAAGTGAAAATGTTGTGGAAAATATAACCTGTGATTAAGATTACTTAATTCATTAACTAAAAAAAATTCTAAATGGTTTTTAAAACTCATTTCTTTCTGGTTTATTTTTCTATGTAAAATACAACATAAAAAACAACAAAAGAAGGAAATTGGTAATCTTCACGATTTCATTTCAAAGTGTTGATTTCCACTGCACTCCTTTTAGAATTTATAATAAAGATTGTGCAATCAAATATAATATTCTTTAACAAGGGAGGAAGCAGGGAAGTTTGTGATTATTAGGAAAATCCAGGACTTACCACGAAGATGGCCAGAGCCCCTGTAGTTCTGGGGAAGAGCCCCATCATTGTCTCTGATTTCCCTGGTGAAAAAGTCCAAGTGAGCCGCTGCTTCTATCCTGCCAGCCGTCTGCAGTTGATGTCTAAGAAAAGCCCTCTGCAGCGTCTCTGCTGCTTTCCGAAGGAGTCTACAGATGGTCTGTTATGCGGTCCCTCCCCACCCTAAACCAAGGGTAGGTCTCACCAGAAACGCTTGCATCACCTTTGCTCCCAGGTAAAAACTTAGCCACACCTCGATTCCTAAAGCAATGAAATCCTTTGTTGGAAGCTGAAAGAAAAGTTCACAGGCTAAAGACAAAGTTTAATAGGAAGGTACCAGATGAATAATAAATTAATCATGATGTGGAAGTGCAAAAGCTAGTCCGGACTACACTTTGTCAGTGTTGATGTCTTATGGCTGAATCTAGTTGACTATGGTTACAATGAAAACCGAAAAGCAAAGCAAAACGTACAAAATCCCCCAAAATCTAACTTGTAAAAGAGCATTTATTTTCAGCCTGAGTATGTGTGGGTAGATCTAAAGTTAAGCAAAATGTAGATGTTAAGCAATGATATATTTTATTGAAAGGCACTAAAAATATGAAGAAGAAAAACATCCCATTAAGCAACTATGAATGTAGGCTTTGAATAAAAAAAAAAAAAGAAATAAAATTGAACAGTTATATGGTGCCTTGAATATTTGAAATATATAAATAATGCGTTGCAAAATTACTCTGATAATACTCAAATGACATCTTTTATACTGTATTTCTTTTCATTTATAACTTTCAAAAAAGCCTAGATTGCCTAATAAGGTAGATTATCTTGGTGCTCTTTTCATTACTCAAGACATTTTCCCCAGTGTGGTGAACCTGCTTGCTGTTACATACTCGGAAGTGCTTAAATACTTCGACTCTAACCCAAGATAAAGCAGAGGGGAAAAATTACCAGCCCCATTTTAGCTACTTTGCTTATAACATTAGAATTTAAAGTACTTTTTACAGTTTCAGAAATATTGAAAGAAAGGTTTGGTAGAAGAGCAATTTTATCTTTGCAAGTATTACACATTAGGTTTTAGAAACCACTTAATCACAGTTTTTTTTTTGAATCGGGGTCTCGCTCTGTCGCTCAGACTGGAGAGCAGTGGCGCGATCTCGGCTCACTGCAACCTCTGCCTCCCGGGTTCAAGCAATTCTCCTGAATTGAGGAGGCTGTCTCCTGCCTCAGGCTCCCGAGTAGTACAGAAAATGAAACATTATTCTTATTTATTTATTTATTTATTTACTTACTTACTTACTTGAGACTGCGTCTCTTTGTGTTGCCCAGGCCGGAGTGCAATGGCGCGATCTCGGCTCACTGCAAGCTCCGCCTTCCGGGTTCAAGTGATTCTCCTGCCTCAGCTTCCCGAGTAGCTGAGATTACAGGCTCCCGCCAACTCGCCCGGCTAATTTTTGTAGTTTTAGTAGAGATGGGGTTTCACGTGTTAGTCAGGATGGTTTTGATCTCCTGACCTCGTGATCCTCCTGCCTCAGCTCCCAAAGTGCTGGGATTACAGGCGTGAGCCACCGCGCCAGGCCAATCACAGAGTATTTTAAGCAGAAAGGACTGTGTAGTCTAGGAGTTAGAAAAAACATCTTGTGAACAAAATTTTGTTTTTGTTTCTTTTTAAATTGTGGTAAAATATACATAACATAAAATCTATCATTTTAACTATTTTTAAGTGTACAAATCAGTGGCATTAAATATATTCACATTGTTGTGCAACCATGACCATTACCACTCTTCATTTCCAGAAAAGTCTTGGTTTTGAAATAAAGACTTTGTAAATAAAGTTTTATTGGAACACAGCCATGCCCATTTGTTCATGCATTGTGAATGGCTGCTTTTGTGTTGTAACAACAGAGTTGATATGGATAGAGACTGTATGGCCACAAAGTCAAAAATATTTTCTTGTTCTTTACAGAAAAAAAGAAAAATTGCTCATCCCTGAGTTTTACCATATATCTTAAATGGATTTGTGACAAATCTGATGAGTGTTGATGCTAATAGAGAAATAATTAGAGAACCCTTAAAATCTGCTTCCACTAGGAAAGAAAATTTCAAAAGATCAAATTTGGTGTTCTCTGTAGAGTTCCCACTAAATTCCATATATCATATTTTATGCACTTTTTGACTAAAATCAAAAAGTGAACTACTACTGAATCCTTTCCAACATGGGAAAACTGACACACAGGACAAGGTCTTTTCTGAGTTAGGAGGTAATTTCTCTGTGACTAGACTAGTTAACAAATAAATGTGATGAAATCTGAGCTGAGTACTATTGAATTTGTTAGTGATTTATATAATGTGGAATTCAGTGACCAAAATGTTGGTTACCTTTCTGAATTTAGTGTTTGAATTTGTTTAACAGTGGTGAGAGTTTGGGTTCATGTGGATGTATATGGATGCTTTTTTCTTATAATATAATGTGAGGAAATATATAAGCATGGACAAACCCCATAATATACTAGAACTTATTTTTTGAATGAGGGGATTATAGATGTATTTTTATTTTTTCTTCATTACATCTTTATATATTACATTTTCTGATTTTGTTTTTTAATGAGGATACATTGTTTCTATAATTAAAAAAGAAAGTTATTTGAAAAATAATGTGAAGAAAGCTAGACTTTATGAATAATAGCATTCTAAACTTGGAGGCAGGGAAGAAGAGACAAACAATACACTTTTAGTTTTTTTCTTTCCCATCATTTAATATATTGCAACTCTTCAGAGTGTTATTGTGATGAAGGCAAAGGAGATATTTAAAAATGATAGCCAGTGAATTATATTTGTAAGCATACCTATTAAATTGCATTGTGGACTAAATTCTAGATATGATTCACTTTGTTACGATCTGCATTTTCTAAAACTCCAGTTTGTTAACAATTTTAATTAATTAGTGCTTAAAAAGGTAATGATCATTCCACTGTTAGCTTACCTGAACACAGGTTAAGGATTTCACTGGTAATTCAGTTTTGTATTTTGAAATACCATCTAGGGATTCTTGGTTAGGTAGTATATTAAGAGCAAATGCAGACTTGATAGGAGCATCATATGGCACATTGGTCTGATGCAGGCTGGTTCCATTTCTTGTCCCTGTACAGGATGATTGTAGAAAGCAACGACAAATCTCATCGTGCTGTCCGTAGGCATTTGGGGATCTCTCATCTTTCCAAGTGCCCTTGACAGCACTCTGTTAAGCCAACACTTCCTTTCCTTTGGAAGACTGGGGACCTCAGTACGGTAATAAAGCACCCTTGCATTGGGGCCACGTTTACACGGTGTTAGGAAGGTAATCTGCAGGTTAGTCCTGCTGGGACGTGCATTTGTGTAGAGCCTCTGGACTTAGCAGTTCTTTCTCCTTTCTTCTCATTTATGTTTGGAAAAGGAAAGAAGAAAGAATTTTCCCGTGTTTTCTAGTGAGTGGTTATGTTATTATTCTCTAGATAATGTCTTTGGAAACCGAAGCCCAACCTAAAACTGGATCTTACTCAAGAGGTTGAAATAAAGATAAGAATTATCACACTATCATAATCACTGAAAGGGATCTTCATTGTGTGTGTAGATTGTGCTTCAATTAATGTGCCATGTTGAAAATATATGAGTTGGAAAGTGGGTACAACACATCACAGGTTGAAAAAGCTAAAGAAATCATTTCTGTCTTTGGTGGAAATTGTACCATGTTATATTGTCATATAAGGAGTGAAGCAGTAAGAATGAATATTTATTCCAATGGGCAGTATCTTCAGAGGTTTCCATGATGTTTCTAGAACTCATTATCTACAGAACTTTTATTGCCTGTTAAGTAGAGAATGATAATTAACTTTGCTTTCACTGGCAAGCCTTCACTGGCTTTAGTTTGTTTTGATGGGAAAGATGTAATATATCTTATATCTCAGACGTTACTACTTTTTGGTATTTAATTATTCTTGAATATCCAGAAATTCATGAATTGAGATCATAGTTCCACATATCATGCATTAACAAAATTATATATACATCTTGGGCCGGGCATGGTGGCTCACGCCTATAATCCCAGCACTTTGGGAGTCTGAGGCAGGTGGATCACCTGAGGTCAGGAGTTTGAGACCAGCCTGGCCAACATGGCGAAACCCCATCTCTACTAAAAATACAAAAAAATTAGCCGGGCGTGGTGGCTCGAGCCTGTAATCCCAGGAGGGTAATCTTGGAAGGCTGAGGCAGAAGAATCTCTTGAACCCTGGAAGCGGAGGTTTCGGTGAGCCAAGAAAGCGCCACTGCACTCCAGCCTGGGTGACAGAGCGAGACTCCGCTTCAAGAAACAAAACAAAACAAAAAAACCCAAAGTTATACATATATCTTGAAATGGCTTGCAAAAATAATGATCTATCACTTTTTGTTACTCAAAGTAATGGAAATCGTACACCTCTTCCCTTAGGATCATCATATGAAAATATCCAGAAATGTAACAAAATGCAATAATTGTGCATCCGTAGAGAACAGTCTGCACTTGAATAATTGGTAAAAGGAGCTGTTAACCCAATTTCCTTTTAGATGGTATGTAATGTGGTTCACCATGCTTCTGTGATCCCTGGAATGATTTATTTAAAAAGATTTGCAAAATTTTTATCATATGCTGATTTAAACCCAGACTTCAGAAGGGTAAATGTAGATGAACATAACTTTCTAAAAGTTTTACTTATGCTGTGGACCACAGTCAACCTCTTTTTGCTCTGAATTAGTCTGGTCAGGTAATTGCTTATTTGTGGTAGTATATTTGTAAGGTCATAAAAAGTGTGACGAAGGAGTTTTCCAAATGAACCTAATGCTCACTTTAACAAAGTGTTTCTTTTAGGAAAATCTCTTCCTCAGTTTTCATTTGTCAGAGGTACAACTGACAAGGTTTGATTTACTTGCAAAATGTATTTTGAATCCACTTTAGTTCTCTTCTCTGAGCTTCCTCATTAGCTAAATTTTTAACATCTCTCATGTAGCCTGGGCAGTGGGCTTATAACTGAGCTTTTGCTTTTTTCTCACCTCTTGTCCAGTTTGTCCCTCACTTAGCACACTGAGTGCTATTTCTAAAAAGATCACGGCTTCCACTGTGCTTGGAACAGAATAGAAACTGCCTGTCATGTCGTATAGGGAACTGCCTGACCCATTCTCCATTATCCTCTCCCGGCATATTGCACACTCCTTTTCTCTCACAGGCACATTTTTAATTCTTCCAAAGCCCTAAGCTCTTTCTGCCTCAAGTCTTCACTCAGAACCTCCCCACCATTAAGTGGTAGCTAATGAGACCTTCTCAGAGATGTCTTTATTCCCAACACTTGGGCACCCTCATCCTCATTTTAAAAAATCATTTATCCCAATTTGTTTCTTGTATAGTGCTTAGTATACATGGCATAATTTATTTCTTAGTTGGATTGCTTGTATTGCCTTTCTCCACTACATACAGTCCAAATTTTTCATAGATTGTTGTCCATAAGACTATACCAATTTATGTTCCCACCGATAACGTAAGAGAATGCCTGTCCCTCCTCCTTGTCTGTCTCCCTCCCATAAAGTTTGTTATTGGTAAATCTTGTCTGCTTCTTCTATAAGAAAAATAGCACTCATGAGAACACATACTTTAGCTCTATTTAGAAATTTAAATGTTATTTAAATATTCTAATAATTTATTAGAACATAAGAAATTAAAATAAGGTAAAGTATGTCAATAGTATATCAATCTAAGACACTAGACTTAGAACTTAGAAAGTTCTGGATCTTGGTTAGACCCAGGGAACCTGGCATCCCTCCTGGACCTAACATTGTCCTAACTCTTCCATCATCTCAGGTGATAGGATGATATGATATGAAAAGATGAGAACCAGCTATGCAAAGTCAAATATTAATTTACTACACTCTGTGGTTCTGCTATGTCCCCTTCATTTGTATATTTTACATCTTCCTTTTGATGATAAACAGCACAATTCTCAGAAGTCCTCAAGTATTTTTAAGTAACATGGGAGAGTTGGCTTCTGTTTTTCTAGTAATCAAATTGTATCGGTCTTATTGTTGGTAATTTCTGAGGAGGGAGATTTTCTTTTTTATGAGTGTTTTAATTTAGATCTCCACCCATGGGAAGAAATAACATGTAGACAGCTCCACCGGCTTCTGAAACCACATGCCTGGAGCCCTGCCTGCTAATGGAAATGTATGAAGCAGCATCTGTGTTTCTTGCCATGCCGCAGACGCCAGTCTGTAGAAGAATGGAGTCTGAAAACAGCATGGAACATTAAGGAAAAATGACCTCCAAGGATTTCAGGAATGACTGCAGTTGAGAACTACTAGCTCTACCATGATGAGGAATGGAAATGCTTCTAAAAGAGGAGGCTGTCATTCTTTATTCTTCAGAGTCAGTGCATTTTTCTACCAAAGACTCATGTATTACTGGCTTTTTACCTAATGAGGCATCATAGACTGATACTTTTATAATTAGTAAGTTCCAAGTTCGTTTGTCAAACCTGTAAAACTTGCACAACTTATTGTACTCTGTGTTTTAGTATTGGTGTTTTAAGAAGGAACTACAAAATCTCCTGAAAGATTAATTTTAGAGCGAACAGACATTTCAAGTGTCTTATTTTCTTTTTTTCTTGCATTTTTCGGGTGACAGAATAACGCTTTCATCTCAGGTGGATCTGTAGTGCTTAGGAAAGCACCAAACTTTTAGTTTACACACACGAATATTTTCTCTGCAGTTTTGGACATGTTTAACCGGCCCTCCTTTGAATAAACACAATATTCTATTCACTGACATTAAGAAGATGATTAGAATCATTACTTACCTGAATTGTTAATAAATCTGTCTCATACATTAAAATGAGGTGGCAGTCACGCCCTACTCTCCCCTTTGAGCTACGTATTCATCTCCCGAAACTGCTTGCTATTGCCACAGGCAGCTGTAAATTAACTTAATAATGCCGCACTGGACACCATAACCTGTAATCTATAGTAAGGGTGTCTAATCTTTTGGCTTCCCTGGGTCACATTGGAAGAAGTATTGTCTTGGGCTATATGTAAAATACACTAATACTAATAATAGCTGATGAGCTAAAAAGAAAATCTCATAATGTTTTAAGACAGTTTATGAATTTGTGTTGGGGCGCATTCAAAGCTGTCTTGGCCCACATGTGGCCCACGGGCCGCAAGTTGGACAAACTTATCCTATAGCTTAACAATGTATAGCTAATCATGAAGCAATATTATTTCTTTAAACCAGTGAGAATTTCTGACAAACAACTTTGTATCAGCCCATTTCTGGTCCCCATTTTTTGCCTTTACAAATCCACTTGTTGCTAACTGGAGTATATACTGAGGGCAACTTGAATCTATGCTCCTGGGTTGCAATCCTCTAGCTTAACTCAAATAAACTATCTACTTAAATTAAAAAAAAATCTGCCTTATAGAAAAATGCATTATTAGCCTATAGTTTTTTTCTTTATTGTTTCATATTAACATTTAACATTATTTCAACTCCTTTATTGAAACTTCTTAAGATTCCTATGGATTCATTCAGTCTGAATTCTAGTGTGTTTCTCAAAGCACAATCTTTGCAGCATAAATTGACGTTTTTGATCTGAGGCTGGCACAGCTGCAACATATCTGGCCTTTCTTCTGGAAGGTACGCCTGAAAGAGATTAAAGGTAGAGAAAACTCCACCTCTACTCTTCTTCATTAGCACAGCATGTCCATGAGTCAGTTTAGGCTTCCTTTTTGATGCATTAGACACTAGGCCAATTTTATGGATGTTTGTGCATGTTGCACAACTTGTGCAACGTGGTGGCTTAATGTCAGTCTTCGATGTGAAGTCAGGATGGACAGATTCTCAAAACACCTCTTTATTTCTTTAAACTCGGAAGTGATGCAATTTCTGCTAAATTGGGTTGGTCAGCTTTCATTTGAAGGAAGTGCTTTGAGCTTATGAAATTTTATCTCCAGTTACTAAGTTTTGCTATACTGAAGCTCCTTAATATTCGTTATTTATTACTGTTTTTTGAGACAGGGTCTCACTCCTGTTGCCTAGGCTGGAGTGCAGTGGCATGATCATGGCTCACTGTGGCCTAGACTTTCTGGGCTCAGGTGATTAACCCACCTTAGCCTCCCAAGTAGCTGAAAATACAAGTGCACGCCACCACACCTGGCTAATTTTTTGTATTTTTATTTATTTATTTATTTATTTTTAGTAAAGATGCCATTTTGGCATGTTTCCCAGGCTGGTCTTGAACTCCTGGGCTCAGGCTATCCACCTATCTTGACCTCACAAAGTCCTGGGATTACAGGTATGAGCTACTGTACTAGGTTGCTCCTCAATATTCAATTGATCTATTAAGGTTTTCCTTTTTGGGGCCTACATTTTGATAATTTACATTTTGTAGGAAATTATTTATATCTCAGTGTTTTCAAATTTATTATTACACATGTGCACTTAGTACTTTTCTTAGAAATTTTAAAGTAAATTTTTATAGAATAAATACACAAATGAATAACTTTTCTTTATCCTAGTAATAAGGATCTAGAGAGTGAACTGAAAAAAAGAATCTATTCACAATCTCAGTTAAAGATTGTAAAATTCTTGAAAGTTACTTTCCTAAGAATCCACAAAAGAATATTAATGAAGGACATAAAATAGGATCAAAGAAAATAGAAGGACATTATTAGATTTCTGGATGAAAAGAATTACTATTATAAAATATCAATTCCTAAAAAAATGCTTAATGCAATTCTCAGACTTTATTCATATTATAACTGGGGAATAGAGGTGGGAGAGAATGAAAAAAAATCTGGAAGTCTATATGAAAGAAAATATGTACCTAAAAGCTAATAAAAGAATAATTATGAAGAATATTGAAGAGTTTTGTCTTATCAGATATCAAAATTTACTATAAGGATACTATTATTCAAAAAGCAACTGTTAGATATAATTATAGTTTCTGAACTCACATTTCTATGTGGGAGGCTTCAGCTACAGGAAAGCTGACCTTGTTCCCCATCCCTCCTTCACTCCTGTTTTTGGATGCAGGAAGAAATCATCTGATTGGTGAGCTTGGGAGAAGAAACTAAACTTGTTTGGTTCAGCCCATTGTCCCCTTGCCCCCATGAACCCTCATCTAGGGTTTTCTCTCTTTTGAAGCCAGCCTGTTGACAAGACACATCTTGTGCTTATGCTAGCTATAAGCTCAAAGAGGCACCCTCCATCTTTCTGCCATGGTCGTGGGGGTTGTCTGTGACTGGGTGAGTAAATTCAGTTCTGAGATGAGTATTAGGATGCTCATTGTGACTGTCCATCTCAACCACATCACCCACATCTACTATGTTACAAATTATAACGCTTATATATATATTTTGTCCCTTTTCTGTACCTTATTTCTCATTTGCATCAAATATGTTGGTTCCCTAACATTTAACAGATATGTCATTATGCTAGAATAGATACATAGAATACATGAAGTATAATATTTTGCAGGTAATAAAAATAATTAATTAGAGATATACCAGGTGACTTAGAGGTATATGTACTGGGTATTGTTGAGTGAGAAGAGCATGATGTAGAATAGGGTACATAGTATTGTGTGTGTGTGTGTGTGTGTGTGTGTGTGTGTACTATATATGACTGTAAATGATTATTTGAACATAGAAAAAACTGTGAAGGATCAAGACAGGCTATTAGAGTGGGTTTTTAATGCAAGAAAACACTACTATGATGTGTTTAGCTGAGGGGAGAGGTAACTAAGCTATAAAGGAAATGGAAAAAGATTTCACTGAGAACTCTAGAATACGTATCCTAACACCACATTTATTCATCTATATCAAATTAAATACAGATTTAAAACATTAAAATTAAAAATAATGTTGTCATTGATATATTTAATATATTTCCTTTCAAAGTATTAACTATTAAGATAAAAGAACGTTTACTATTTGATGTTTAAACTATCTTGAAGAAGATGAATTTTACTATTTGATGTTTAAAACTATTTAGAAAAAGTGTTATATATATACATATGTAATTATTATTTTAGGGCTTTGTCTAGTAACAAAAATAGCATAAAAATACTGAGCTATTGGATTTCTCTGAGTCATGTGTTTTGCGTTAAATAAGAACAATGTGGTCTGAAAACACATGCATCAGCTCTGCTTGTGCTGCTGAAGGTATTGACAGAGTGATCAACTGTGTTCATTTATTTTTCATATGACTGATAGAGATGTGCACTTGAATTAAAAGAGACAGGGGCAAAAATAGGGAAGAGCCTTATTTTTACTAGCAGTTTGAAATGAAATCCCCAAAGAGCATCATTCACTACTTTGGAAATAACATTCTTATTGCTGAAGATAGAGGGAGAGAATTGCTGTCCTGACAATGGGTGTCAATAAAAAAGTGACATTACTAGAGGCACTGTGATTCAATAGCAATTTCTAGGAGCACAAAAAGTTTTCAAAAGTGATCCCAGCTGTACCACTGGAAACCCTGGCCCATAGCAGGTGGGTAGCTCCTAGCAGGTGAACGTGGAGGCTAGTTGTCTTCATCACCAAGCCCAAGCCAATGATCTAGGAGAGTCTTGTCAGCTGTGAGCCAGCATCTCTCTCTCCAATGGGTCTAATTCAAAAGGCTAACCAGGACAGGAAGTGGGGTCGCTAGGCAGTGACTTCAGGTGTGTGGCTGGATCATAAATCAAAGCAATCCTGAATTCACGCAAGCAATGCAGGAAAAAGCATGCAGCCCAAAATAGTAGGTCTCCTTTGGAAGGACTAGACTGCAAGCTCTCAGACAGCAGGGGTCAGGTCTCTCATTTGCCACTTCTCACCTGGTCCACTACTTGGCTCTCAACAGCTACTTGTTGAGTAAATAAGTGGAAGGATGAATCACTGGATGTGGGAGTAGAGATGAAGGAAACTGAATTGTGATCCTTAGCTGGGCTCCAGATGGAGCCAGTCAGATAAAAGCTAGAAGCCAGGGGTCCCCATAATCCCCGTGAGGCTATAGTCTAAAGATCATTGAGCACCCAAACACATTTTTATTTCAAGTGAGCTAGGGGGATGATGTTTACTGAATATGCTTTATATACTTAATTGTGGTGCTAAGTATTTTTAAGAATATTATTTATTTAATTATTTAATTTCCCAAATACCCTGTAAGGAATAGATTATTAACTCATTTTACAGACAAGGCAACAAACATTCAGAAATGGTGAACCCAGTAATTTATTCAAAATCACCATACTGGTAAGTGGTGTAGGTGAATATTTGAACCAGATCTGTTTGACTTCAGAGTTTATACTTTTCCCGCAACGCCAATGACTCTGAAAGGACATAACTACATAAGAGAACATTTCATAATTTGGCAGAGAGTGGCAGAGGATTTTAGTTTTTAGTTTTAGTTTTTAGTCTTTAGGTTTTAGTTTTAGTTTTTAGTCTTCATGTCTCCTTATTTGCAGACTGAAAACAAAGTAGTCTTATCTTCCATGACTTTGGTTTTTAAAAATTATGGTATTTATTGGAATTTCATATAACTACAGATTTGTATGTTTATCAAAAAGGGGTGTGGGTTTATAAAAGTTAAAAAATACTGTACTTGTGTATTTTGTGTTCATTCTCTTCTTAAACTATTTTAATCATTATTTTTGAAGTTGTATTTAAAAAATCAAGGAATTACAATATCTTAATATTTAGCCATGAGTTACTTGTTTTTTTTTTAAAAAAATTAAAGACAAATTTTTAAGAGACGTTTTTAGATTCACAGTGAAAATGAGAGGAAGGCACAGAAGATTTCCCCTATACTCCCAACCCCCCACACATATATAGCCTCCCTGATGATCGACATCCCCCACCAGATTGGTGTATTTGTTACAGTAATGAATCTACACAGACACATCATAATCACCATAGTCCGTTGTTTCCATTAGGGAACACTTGGTATTACACATTTGGTGGATTTGGACAAATGTGTAATGACACATATACACCATTATACTATCATACAGAGTATTTTCACTGCCATAAAAATGCTCTGTGCTCTGCCAATTTATTCCTCTCTCTCTCTGTAACCCCTAGCAGCCACTGACCTTTACTGTCTCCATAGTTTTGTCTTTTCCATAATACTACATAGTTGGAATCATACAGAATGTAGCCTTTTCAGATTGGCTTCTTTCACTTAGTAGTATGCGTTTATAGTGCTTAGATGTCTTTTTATGGCTTGATAGTGCATTTCTTTTTAGTGATAAATAATATTCCATTGTCTGTCTGTACCAGTTAACTTATCATTCACCTGCTGAAGAATATTTTGATTGCTTCTCAGTTGTTTTGCAATTATGAATTAAGCTGCCATAAACATCTATGTGCTGGTTTTCGTGTGGACATAAGTTTTCAACTTCTTTGAGTAGATACTAAGGAGTGTGATTGTTGGATCATATGGTAAGAGTATGTTTAGTTTTTTAAGAAACTGCCAATTGTCTTCTGAAGAAATTGTACCATTTTTCATTCGCATCGGAAATGAATAAGAGTTTCTGTTGTTCCACATCTTTGACAGCACTTGGTGTTGTCAGCATTTTGACTATTTTAATTGATATGTAGTATTATCTCATTGTTGTTTTAATTTGCATCTCCCTGATGACATATCATGTGAAGCATACCTATTTGCTATTTTTGTATCTTCTTTGGTGAGCTATCTATTAAGGTCTTCGGCTGATTTTTAAATCAAGTTTTTTGTTTTCTTATTGCTAAATTTTAAGAGTTCTTTCTATATTTTAAATAACAGTCTTTTATCAAGATTTGTCTTTTACAAATATTTTCTTCCAGTCTGTGGTTTGTCTTCTCATTCTCTTGACATTGTCTTCGCAGAGCAGACATTTTTAATTTTAATGAAATCTGGCTTACCAATTATTTCCTTTATGGGTCATGCCTTTTGTGATCTAAAACATCATTGCCATATTCAAGGTCATCTAGGTTTTCTCCTATGCTATCTTCTAGAAGTTTCATAGTTTTGCATTTTACATTTTAGATCTATGATCCATTTTAGTTAATTTGTGAAAGGTATAACATTTGGGTCTAGCAATAGCAAAGACTTGGAACCAATCCAAATGTCCATCAGTGATAGACTGGATTAAGAAAATGTGGCACATATACACCATGAAATACTATGCAGGCATAAAAAAGGATGAGTTCATGTCCTTTGTAGGGACATGGATGAAGCTAGAAACCATCATTCTGAGCAAACTATTGCAAGGACAGAAAACCAAACACCACATGTTCTCACTCATAGGTGGGAATTGAATAATGAGAACACTTGGAGACAGGGTGGGGAGCATCACACACCGGGGCCTGTTGTGGGGTGGGGAGAGGGGGGAGGGATAGCATTAGGAGATATACCTAACGTAAATGACGAGTTAATGGGTGCAGCACACCAACAGGGCACATGTATACATAAGTAACAAACCTGCACGTTGTGCACATGTATCCTAGAACTTAAAGTATAAAAAAAAAATGGTTTGTGTCTAGATTCACCTCTCTGCATGTGGATGTCCAGTTCCAGCACTAGTTGATGAAAAGACTATCATTTCTCCATTGCATCTTTGTTGCTCTTTTGTCAAAGATCAGTTGACTATATTTATGTGGGTCTATTTCTGGGCTCTCTATTCTGTTCCACTGATTTAATTGGCTAGTCTTTAGCCAATATCACACTGTCTTGATTACTGAAGGTTCATAGCAAGTTCTGAAGTCAAGTAGTGCCGGTCCTCCAACTTTTTCCTTCTCTAATATTGTACTGGCTATTCTGGATCTTTTGCCTTTCTGCATAAACTTTATTTTGTTTGTTTGTATTTTTTTTTTTTTTTTGGAGATGTAGTCTCACTCTGTTGCCCAGGCTAGAGTGCAATGGCACAATCTTGGCTCACTGTAACTTCTGCCTCCTGGGTTCTAGCGATTCTCCTGCCTTAGCCTCCCAAGTAGTTGGAATTAGAGGCATGCACCACCACACCCAGCTAATTTTTTTTTTTTTTTTTGAGTAGAGATGGAGTTTCGCCATGTTGGCCAGGCTGGTCTTGAACTCCTGGCATCAAGTCATCTGCCCACCTCACCTCAGCCTCCCAAAGTGCTGGGATTACATGTGTGAGCCACTGTGCCCAGGCCTTTCTACATAAACTTTCAAATCAGCTTGTTGATATCAACAAAATAACTTTCTGGGATTTTGATTGGGATTGCATTAAGTCTATAGGACATGTTGGGAAGAACTGTCATCTTGACAATATTGAGCCTTCCTATCCATGGACTTGGAATAACTTTCCATTTTATTTAGTTCTTATTTGATTTCTTTCAAAGTTTTGTAGTATTCCTCAGATATATCTTAAACGTATTTTGTTAAATTTATACCTAAGTTCTGAATTTTGGAGGATGATAATATAAATGATATCATGTTTTAAACCCCAAATTGTACTTGTTCATTGCTGGTATATGGGAAAGCAATTGAGTTTTTTATTTTAACTTGTATCCTGCAACCTTCCTGTAATTGCTTATTAGTTCCAGAAATTTTTTGGTTGATTCTTTCAGATTCTTTACATAGACAAAACAGTTTTTTTTCCTTCTCAATCTATATTCCTTTTATGTCATTGTCTTGTCTTATTGCATTAACTAGTGCAGTATGATGTTAAAAAGGAGTGGCAAGAGGAAACATTCTTGCCTTTTTTCTGATCTTACTGAGAAAATCTTAGAGTTTCTTATTAAGTACGATGTTAGCTGTAGGTTTTTTGTAGACATTCTTTATCAAGTTGAGACAGTTTCCCTCTATTTTTAGTTTACTGAGATTTTTTTTTAAATCATGAATGTGTGTTGGATTTTTTTTTTAGCCTGTTGATGTGATGGATTACATTAATTGACTTCTAAAGGTTGAACCAGTTTTGCATACTGGGATAAATCCCATTTGGTTTTGGTGTATTTTTAAAAATATGTTGATGGATTTTATTTGCTAATTTTTTTTTGAGGATTTTTGTATCTATGTTCATGAGAGAGATACTGGTCTGTAGTTTTCTTTTTTTTTTTGGCAATATTTTTGTCCAGTTTTGGTATAGGATAATGCTGGCCTCATAGAATGAGTTAGGAAGTATTCCACTTTAGAGAATTGGTATAATTTATTCCTTAAATATTGATAGAATTCACCAGTGAATCCATCTGAGCCTGTTGCTTTCTGTTTGGAAAGGTTATCAATTATTTATTCAATTTCTTTAACAGATATAGGCCTATTCAGACAGTCTATTTCTTCTTGTGTTAGTTTTGGCAGATCGTGCCTTTCAAAGAATAGGTTTATTTCATCTAGACTATCTAATTTGTGGGTATAGAGTCATTCATATTTTCTTGACTATGCATTTAATGTCCATGGGATCTGTAGTGATGCCCCTTTTTCATTTCTGATATTAGTAATTTGTGTCATCTCTCTTTTTTTCTTACTCAGACTAGCTAGAATTTTATTGATTTTTTGATCTTTTCAAAGCACCACCTTTTGGTTTCATTGATTTTTCTCTATTGTTTTCCTTGGTTTCAGTTTCATTGATTTCTGCTCTAAGTTTTGTTATTTCTTTCCTTCTGCTTACTTTGAATTTAATTTGCCTTTTTTTTTGTACTTTCCAATGGTGGAACTTAAATGGTTGATTTTAGATTTTTAGTTTTTCTAGTGTATAAATTTAATGCTATAAATTTTCCTCTAACCACTGCTTTCTCTGCATCCCACAAATTTGATAAGTTGTGTTTTCATTTTTGTTTAGTTTAAAACATTTTAAAATTATCTTGAGATTTCTTCTTTGACCCATGTATTATTTAGAAGTGTCTTCATAATTTAAAAAAACCCGTTTTTAGTATTACAAAAGTAGTAAATATGCATTGCAGAAAGTTAGAACACCCAGTCCAAAAAGAAATTAAAGTCACCAAATTCTGACCACCAGAGAGTATTTTTATTAAAATCTTAAAGTACATGTCTTGTTTGTAAAATGGGGTAAATTGCATCTTCTTTGCAAGAAGTATTTGGGAGAATTAAATAATTAAACAAGTGATGTTAAAAAAATACTTAGCATAACATTTAAGTACATACAGCGTGCTCAATAAATATTAGTTCCCTTTCCTGATTGAAATTCTTCCAGTTACTTTTCTATTCACATTTATTTGTCTTTTTATACCAAGATAAGATTCTACTGTAAGTGCTATTTTGTTACATGCTTTTTGCGTGAATGAGCTCTACCTTTTAGAGCTCATTAAATATTCATCTTCTTAATGTCTGTAAATATTCACCTTCTCTAATACTCAGTCCATATTCAAATTTCCTCAAATAAACAAAACATGATTTTTATAGTTCATTTGTCTAAATCAAGATCTGACTCAGAAACACAATTTTTTCCTCAAATTTCTTTTACTTTAGCAGTGTCCTTTTATTTAATTATTGTTTTTAATATCAACTTGTTGAAAAAAACTGAAGCAGTTATCCAACAAAAGGTTCCACTTTTGCATTGGTCTTGAGATGTTGTTTAACTTGTTCCTCTATCCTCGGATTTCTAATCCCTTGTGTTTTACTCTTATATTTAAAGATTTGTCAAATTCTAATTAAATATTTTTGTCCAGAATGCATCCTAAATACTTCATATTGCATGTTATCAGAAGGCATCATAACATATGATTAACCCACTTGTTCCTTTTTTTTTTTGAAATAAGGTTGGATGGGGTCTTGCTATGTTGCCCAGGCTAATCTCAAACTCCTTGGCTCAAGCTTTCCTCCTGCCTTGGCCTCTTAAAGTGCTGGGATTTCAGGCATGAGCTACCATACCTGGCCTTTTTTTTTTTTTTTTTTTTTGTCTGAATGCTGCTAATTACTTCAGGTTAAAATGGGAGTGAAGACCCCAAGGGAGATTCTAGAGATCTGAAGTGATGGTCTATTTAACCTGTGAAACAAGTTCCAAAATATTTCAACAGTTGCAAAAATACACCAAATATTAAAGATATTAAACTAGCTCATTGGTAATACCCTTCAGGGTCCAAAGACAAAGCAGCTTATCTGTGCAGCTGCCTTCAGTGGTACCCAATAGGTCCAGACTGTTACAGGTCTAGACGGGCTGAGAAATAAAGAACTGAAAGCTGGACCAGCCCAATTTCCTCCTTTCATCTAAACTTACTCTCCACAAATAATGAGAGTAAGTTTAAGTAAGGGAAATTTAAGTAAGGGAAACATATGTTCAGGTTTGCATTTCAGATGTGTCTTTTCAGTGCCAGCACCAAACAGGCACTAAAAATACACATCTGGAATGCAAACCTGAGCATGTATTTCCCTTACCTAAGTTTTTTCAATGTCTTCCCAAATACTGTAAGATAAACTTCCAGCTATTTTGAGTGACACGTGGTTTTCCAATGCTTGGTCAATGACATTTTCAGTCTAATTTCCTGTCCTTCCCTGGCATGACTTTATGTTCTTTATGTGTGTGACATACCAGACTGCTGGTGGTTGTCCCCCCACCACCGCTGGAACAGGACTCCCCCACCCCTTTCCTAGCTGCTTCCCTAGCACTAAGCTCAGGATCCGTCTTCTCCAGGTACCCAGCTCTGAGCTCGCATACTAGCCTGTGCTCTGTGTCTGCATGCCCACAGCACCTGGGTAGTTTTCTTGAAGGTTATACGGAAATGTTTGCTTAAAAGTTAATCTCTCTTGTTAGCCTATGATTCCCCCAAGGGTGGGATTCTCTTTGTACCCCCAGTGCCTAGTCTGTTCATAGCAGATAATGCATAAATATTTGTTGAGTTGAAGTGAACTCAGTGGATTAAAAGCCTGAGCAAAATATGAGCTAGATATCAATCCTCTGAGGGTTACATAGAAGAATAGAGTTGGGGGGTCCTGGGAGGAAATTTAAGATCAGGGTCAGTGACATCAATTCAGACAGTAGTATATGGGCAAGTTTCAGTGTCTGAAACTTAAGGAATCAGAAGAGGCAGCTATTTAGTGCATCCAACTCCAAACCAGGAAATGACTGTATTCTAGAAGGCGGACTCTCCCTCTGCTCTGCCTTGGGCTGGGTGGGAGGGGCTGGCTTCTAATCACCTTTCAGGGTGTGCCCTTCTTCCTGTCTTTCTGGACCCAGCCTACTCTTTCCCGGCTTTCTACTGTCTCTTGTTCCCTCATTTTTCCTTCCTGCTGTTTCATTTTTTTCCCTCTCTGCCTATCTATTCTTCTCTTTCTGTGTTTTTTCCATTACCTTCCTCCTTTGCCTTTTCACTCTTTCTCATTACCTCTGGGCAGAATGAGGATCTGAAGCTTATATCAATCTTTTTATCAGAGGAAAATTTTGTGTTTTGTATTTTCTCTTAAAAATGTAAATGTCTCCAAATAACTTTTTCTCACTCTTAAAAAATCAGCTAATTAAATTGCTTGATGTTCATTTAGATTTAATTCAAATCCGCTGTGCACGAGCTTGAAGAAAAGCAAACTACTGTGTGTTGGGGGGAAACGTGACCACCGCCTGATCCATCTATCATCCCCCTGATCCATCTATCATCTATCATCATCCATCGATCAGGGGGATGGATGTCCTGACAAAGATGTGAGCATCCCCTTCTCTTTCAGCCCATCAAGAAGGGCAGCACAGGGAAAGAGGTGAGGTTAACACAAAATCCCAAAGAATTCTGGAGTTCCTTTTAGAAAAGTTGTCCCTCAGGGAACAATTGTTCATTGCTGTCCAAGGGGCTTTGTCCAGTTTTCTCAATTGACTACAAAACATTCTGGGTATTGCATACCTGTGGCTTTACTCACAAAGAGGATCCTTTAGGACTGATTTCTTCTTGAACAAAATGCCTGGAATCCTCAGGTCCCTCTCATTTAGGAAAGATATTTTATCCAACAGGGATTATCTTGCTAAATAGGAATAGGTGACAACTGGGCAATTTAACACCCAGAGATTATGTTGCCCAAGAAACTCACTTTTTGAAGGTGATGACCATGAAGTCCAGAGGGATAAGGGACTGGTCTACCCTTGCATGGCCTGCCAGTGTTGAGGACAAAGTGCTAGTAGATAAGGGGCACATGTATCAACATCTACAAGATGCGGTCTAGTTTTATATTTCAAAAGTTGAAGATCAAAGCAAAGACAGTCAAAAGTGGGGTTTTCTAGGCTTCATTTAAATGAATGAAGAAATATAATGCACCTACAACCACAGCCTTCTTTCTATGTAGATAAACTGCCTCTCCTTAGTAACGATTACAATGGGCCTAGAGTAGGTGAGGATCATTGAGTACTCATTTTTACAAATTCTTCTCTTGCAATCTAGGGATTTAATGACTTTCTTATTTTCCCAGTGCTTTTCCGGAAGAGGTGTTCTGTAGAAAGGACCTACCCAGTGCTTATCTTCCTGTGATGTGAATAATATGGAGTGTACTGATGGTATCTCTCACATGCACAGCATTTTTTCTGCTCCAGGGGATACTGCCTTGTGTCTATTGCTCTAGTTTCCCTCTTCCTAGCACTAAAACCCTTCCTATATCTCTCTCAACTTACTCATAGAATTCAAGCATTTGAGAGCCTGAGGAAACTTAAAATGAACTAGTCTAGTGGCTTTCAAATTTCTTTTAACCACAACTCATGGTCAAAAACATAGTTATGCCACCAACCAGTACACACACACATACACAGACACATGTACAGAAACGAAACAAATTTTTTAAGGCAATACTTACTCTTACTTTGTGTGATGTATTCTGATTTTTAAATATTTTATTTAATTTCATTAAAAATGTCTAGATAGGCATACTAAATTGACTTTATGACCCATCATTGGAGGTGTGACTAACAGTTTGAAAAACACAGATTTGGTCAAATTCTTTAATTTTATAAATAAGAAAAGAAATGAGAACAGATTTTATGTGTCTTATGCAAGAATTGGACCCAAATATGAATAGAATTCTCAATCCAGTCATGCAAAGCTGCAAGCCTTGTTTGCAAGAAGCTGAAGCATCTAATATTTTACCCCTGAAAGGTTAAAAACATATCTCTTTATAATTTCTTTTTTTAAAAGATAGATTTTTTCCCATAATCTACAGCTAATAGAAGAGATGATTTTGGTAAAAGTGTTAAGAAGTGACTGAAGAAGGATAACTCAACAAATATTCATTTTATAGGCATGTATTAGTGCCTAACATGTACTGAGCACAGTCTGACCTAGAGACATAGAGATAGATGAGATAATGGTATAATTTTGGATCAGGGTGTGCCAACAGGCATAGAAAGAAAGGAACTAATTCGATTCATGCTGTGAAGGATTATACATGACTGATTGGTTATGCAAAATTGACAAATATTTAATGAATGCCCATTACGGTGATTGTATTTTCTAAAACTCAATTTAATGTAACAAGAATGTATACATAAGAGGACAACAGGTAGATGATTTTAAGTTAAGCCTGAGAGGGGTGGTGATAATAATTATGAACCTGCCCTGAAAATTCAGGAGGTATGGTTGCTATTAATCACGCACCCAACCCTTAGAGTCACCAATTGTTTCAAATTTCAGGACTCACGAGAAAGCATTTCCTTATTTTGACCAGATTTTCTTGTTGGCAAATTGATGGATGTTTTCTCTTTCAAGTAGTCACTGCTAATCTGTCTGCCTGTCATGGAGCTTAGTGGTTTCAACTTCAGATTTCATTTCTCAGCCTTTTTTCTTGTTAAGCTACATGCTTTTCTGTCTTAGCTAAGGATGCTTGACAAGTACTTTGCCAAAACATGCAGTGAAATGAACACACCCTCATCTTCAGAGAAAGAACACTCCTTTTTATTCCACGGAAACCATAATTCCCAAGCCAGTGAGATTATCTGTGGTCTTTTCTCTTTATCCCCTCCTTTTGCCCTTTAGGGGAGAGAAGAGTGTGGAGGGAGGAATCGGGGAAGCCCAGTGCCGTACTGATGCTCTGGACTTTGTTTTTGGAGGTAGCCTGTGATGCAGGGCAGAAAAGAGCTGATGCCTTGGAGAGAGACTGGGAGAGGCTGGAGTTAATAGAGGGTAGGTGTACTGTTCTGTCTTATTCTGCTAGCGAATTGCTCACTTTTTCAGATTCTCTGGCTTGCTTTCTCCTTGTAGAGAGCCTCTCGAGCCTTTTGAGCCTCCCCTCAGAAAATCTGAAAATTGAGGAAGGAAGACACTAACTTCCTAAATTAAAATAGATCAGTTACCTAGTTGACACCAAGTTACCTATGTGATAAATAATTTTTCTTTACTTTTTTTTTCTTTAGATAATTGTTTTTTTTTACTGATACATTTTATGAAATTGGGGTGCGTGAAAAAGTGGTAAGGTTCTAGTTAACTTTTTTTTTAGCGCTTGCTCTGTGGCTTGGTCCTCAAGTACTACTAGATTTCAGTAGTTGGTGGAGGCATTCTGAGTCTTTGGTAAAGGATTCTAATCATGCTGTGAAGATTATGCTGCTGTATGAATAGATAACAGCCATCAGAAAAAGTTAGTGACTCTTATTAGCTTGCGACATTTGTTTGGGGGAGTTTGCATCCAGCTTGTAACTGTTATGAAAGTGATTACTATATAAACGGAATGTTCCCTCACATGTCCAGGTCTTCCATCCTGTCCAAGGGATAAAACAAGACATTTTATCTGAGTTAAAATGTCAGTTGTCACAGTACCTTCTTTCTTGCCAACATCACAGTGCAGGTGAGGCAGAGCATATACATTCCCTAAATTAAGGGAGGCAAAGAGAGGGGTGGAAATAGAAACTATGGAAATAGAAAATAACAAGGAGCAGGCTAGTACATGAAATCCACAAATTGTGAAAGATTAGTCATAGTGTAATGTATTCTGGACAGTGTAAAAATCTTCAGTTGTTTGAAATTAGGAATGAAGATAAGTAATAAGTGCCATCTCAGGATAAGATCCACCATTATCATGTCAGATCATGTCCTCTTTGCTGGGAATATATATATTTTTCTTTTTTTCTTGTTCTCATTTGCACTGAAGGACTAAGCTGGGAATATTTTTTTCCTCTAAAACGTGTATTTAAATCTAAGGATACTTATTGATAGCTGTCTTCCGAGTTCTATCAATCAGCCCACAGGTAATACCTGGGAGATTCTGTTGTGGCATTGTGGTTCAGGCCTTCTCATGCCTATTTTCTTGGAGGAGAGAGTTCTTCAGTGTTCAAATTGTTAGATGTAATATGGTTCTTTCTTAGAAAATTATGTCCTATAACTTTGGTTCTAGGACTATACTATATATAGATAGGGGCTGGACACATTGTAGATAGCAAAGCCTATATTGTCTTCAGTCCAAAAACCAAGTAAGTTTTATGGCCATCAAAAACAACTGGCACAACCTAACCCCTGATAGCAGAGGTTATCTATTTAAATATGCCTTTATAATGCTGGCATCCTTATAAACAAATGTAAGTTTCATAATGATATCTATTGGACTCACAGACTCAGAACTGGGAGGAAAACTAGAACTCCAGAGATATAAAAAAATTTATAGCTATGATTATTGTACTTTGGTGTATAAGGTGTCTTCACTAACATCAAGGACTGTCTTGTTAACAGTGTGTTGTAATATACAGATTTTAAAACATGTGCATAGTCATTGACCCCAAAACTTCAATTCTAATGGAAATAATGTAAAGTGCATGTTAAGCTCTATGCACAAAGATATTAATCACACAATCACTTATAATATTAAAGGAGTAGAGGAAACCTCAGTGTCATTTCATGGGATGAAATATCTCTTTAATTATTTTATGAAGAATATTAAGCGTAAAATGCAGGTACAGGCTTTTATATAGGATAATCTCAACTAAAAAAATAATGTATGCAATGAATATGGGTATTAGAGAAAGACTAAATTTCAGTCACAGATTTGGGTTTCTAGGCCTTACCTATCAGTTGAAGGGTAGAGCTGTGTTAGCATTAGTCGAGGAGAATTATCATGGTGTTAGTTGTTGTCTCTGGGTAATGGGAAATTATTTTCATTTTCTTTTATATTTTTACATTTTCTAAATTTTCTACAATGAGCACATGTTAATTTTATACTGGGAAAATAATCATCCTGCACTAAGAGCAAAAAAAAAAAAAAAACCTTGACATCTTAACACTGAGTTTTTCTTTTCATTTTATTTCTATTCCTTATAAATGTAGAAGGCATATTTTTCTTGAGGTGGAGGACTATGTCTGAGTCAGCTCCTTCAGCACATAGTCCTACAGAGAGACCCTTAGAGTTTGCAGGGCATTTCCTGGGCTCCGTGCTTTTAGGTTACAGCGCCACCTTTGGGATATAGCCGGCATCACTCGTTACCACCATTTGCTGATGATGTGAAATGCACAATTATACTACGATTTTGTGATGTGGGCAGCTAATTATTCAGTTATCCCAAGGGTTAAGATGTGTAGATGGAACGCATGTTATTTCTTCACTGCCTTGGTTCATTGAAACAACTCCTTGCTGGTCTTCTCATCAACTGCTTCATTCTCCTCCTATGCATGCCAAGGCAAACTTCACGAGCGATTTCAAATTCACTGTTCTCCTTTAGGCATATTCAATGGTTCTCTTTCAGATTTAACTTTCAGATTAAAATGGAAATTCCTTAACATGTCATTGATTTCCAGGTTTCTGACTCCTTCCTGTCTTGTGATGATCTGCCTTTATTCTTCAGCGTTACCAGCTGCTTCCAGCTGTCAGAGGAGCCAGTCTTTCTCCATCTTCCCTGTTTCTCTCCTTGTCTCCAATTCCATCCTATTGGCCTGGAATGCTCTTCTCATTTCTTCATCTGGCTGTTTCCTGTGGTTCCTTCCAGGCTTGGCTCAAAGTTCATTTCTTATGGGAAGCCTTTCCCAGCTCATTAATGCTAGGCCCCTCTTCTCTTCTCCCTTAACACTCATTCATACCCCCTTGTATAACTGTATCTCATACTGTATTTCAACCCTTTACTTCTTCCTGAATCTGACTGAGGTCCTTGATGGTAAGGACCCTAATTCACGTTTCTATACCTAGCCCTTAGCTCATATGCAAATAATGAAAATGCTCAAAAAACATTTAATGAATAAATGAATGAGCACTGGAATTGGTTCACGGTGATTTCCTTATAGTTTTTCTTTTCAATTTTCTTCAACTATAAAAGAAAGATCATAAGATGCATTAAATAAGAAAAATTTTGAGAAACAATTAGCCTAGTGCTAGACACATACTAGTAAATACTTGTTTTTTACTCTTTTTTTTTTTTTTAATAATTCCTATCTAGTTTCATGTTCTCTACATATGGTGGCTCATGCCACACTGATATCAAAGTCATCACCCAGTCAGTGCCTCCTTGTTAAATACATAATGTGTATTTAACAAGACTTCCTAGTCAATCAATATTTATTCTGATCACATGCATGCATGGTGACTTTTGTGCCAACACCTCACCATCACTCACCACACAAACTTGCTGCCTCCCTATCAAACACACATTCAGCCTCTCTCTTACTTTTAACTCGGTAATCTTATCAGTCTCAGAAAACCTTAGCTCTGTGAATTTCTAACGAAAGTATGGTCCTTTTTTGTTTCCCTCTCTCTTTTTTTTTCATTTTTTTAAAAGTTGTATTTTAGAATCAGGGAGTACATGTGCAGGTTTGTTACAAAGGTATATTACGTGATGCTGAGGTTTAGGATATGACTGTCACCCAGGTAGTGAGCACAGTACCAGATAGGTAGTTTTTCAGTCCTTGTCCCACACCCACCTCCACTCTAGTAAGCCCTATGTCTATTTTTCCCATCTTTATGTCCATGGGAACCCAATGTTTAGCTCCCACTTATAACTGAGAACATGCGGTACTTGGATTTCTGTTTTTGCATTAGTTCCCTTAGGGTAATCACTCCAGCTGCATCCACCTTGCTGCAAAGGACATGATTTTCTTCCTTTTTATGGCTGCATAGTATTCCATGGTGTATATGTACCACATTCCCTTTATCCAGTCCATCACTGATGGGCACATGGGTTGATTCCATGTTTTTGCTATTGTGAATAGTGCTATGATGAATATATGGGTGCATGTGTCCTTTTGGTAGAGCAATTTATTTTCCTTTGGGTATATACTCAGTAATGGGATTGCTGGGTGGAATGGTAGTTCAATTCTTAGTTTTTTGACAAATCTCCTAACTACTCTCCACAGTAGCTGGAGGAATTTACATTCCCACAAACAGTGTATCAGTGTCCACTTTTCTATGCAGCCTTCCCAACATCTGCTATTTTTTGACTTTTTAACAAAAGCCATTCTGACTGGAGTGAGATGCTGTCTTATTGTGGTTTTAATTTATATTTTGTGGTCCGCTTTTTAAGAAAAGTTTTCTTGATGCTTAGGGTCAATCTTTTATGCCAACAACAGTAAATACAGGTAGTCTTCAATTTTCATTTGTTCCCCTTTCATTTAACTCACTTTATCTACTTTATATATTGGCACCCTGACACTACCTTTCTTATGCACAGTTCAGCTAGTGAACAAACACTTTGTGCTAGCACATGCTACCTGCATGCCAACACTTCAGTAACCAGACAATACACATAGTTATCTGTAAAATGGATTTATATAATTTTATTTATGAAAATTTATATATAAATATATAAATGGATGTATATAATTTATATAAAATAATGTATATAATTGTTTGAATAGTTTTATTGATTTTTACCTTATTATTTTCAAAAATGATAAGACATCTCACAATCTTTTTTATTTATTTGCTTTCTTAATCCATAAAAGCATTGGCAAAATTGCTGCCAGTAATTCCTTCTCATTATCAACTGGGTTTCTTCAGCCTACTGTTATTTCAAGTAAGCTAAAATAGAATTTAAAGAAATTGTCTTTGCAAATTAATTTTCATGATCTGTATTTGATATTTAGTCTATGTTTAAAATATTGCAGCAATCATTCACATATTTCAAAATTTATGATAAAGTTGAAAATTATTTCATATTTACTGATATTAAGTTGGCTTTCTGCAAGTGGGATTTTTCCATGTGACATGTAAGTTTAAAGTTTAGGATTCATTTATTTGGCTTTTATGTTGCTTTGGAAAATATGATTAAAATAAATAACTTTCATCTGGTTCTTAATATTGAGAGCTCTATTTTGCTGCCTGTCATATAATTTTTTTTGTTACCGAATTTATACATAAGAAATAACTTCAAAAGAAAAGAAAAACTATTAATCAACTAAAGGCTATAATGAAAGCAATCTTATTATCAACGGCCTCTGTCAATGATCAGCAAATTTCCAGAAGTTTTAACATTCTTCTAAATCATTTATCCTGTGTAAATGTCATAATGGAACAGGCAAAGTTACAAATTAATGCTGGAGTTTTGAAGATATCAAAGTTATTAATGTATAATTCAATTTAATTTTAATTAATTCTAAACATATCCTTCAAAATTTTTTTAACTTGAATGTATTAGAAGTGCCAAGATAATAATAATAAAAAAAGAGCCAATGGGTGGGGATTGTACCTGTCAGATAGTAAACACACTGAAAACAGTATACTACAGCTGTAACAATGGTCAGAATTATCAGCATACCCAATAATATATCAATCTAATAGAAGAGAGACTAGAAATGTATTTAAGTATATATGGTAATTTAAAATATTGATTGATTAATTTATTCTTTTATTGTCAACTAATATTTACTGAATGCCAAATTCTGTATAATGATGAGTAATATCAAATAATTATAATTTTTATTAGATTATTAAACATTAAAAAGCTGATAACATCAATTATTATTAGGTCTATGGCTAAGCAAGCCCTGTCAAGAACAGCTGGCAGAAGTGTAAATGGACATTCTTGTTGACAGAAAAATTTGGGAAAATGCAATAAAAATTATTTGTCCATATGCTTTGATACGGCTTCCCTCTTTAAAGAGTCTATCCTATACAAATATTTCAACTTCCATGTGTTTGTTCTTATATGTACATCTGTATCATGCCTATATTAGATATGTAAATATTCATTGTAGCATTATTTGTAATAGCAAAAACTGAAATCAACCTAATTTTCTGGTAATAAGAGAATGGTTAAAAAAGTGTGGTGCAAATTTATGAATATTATGCAGATTTTCGAATGAATGAGGTTGATAAATATGTGCCGACACAGCATGATGTTCATGGTAATGTGAGAAAATCAAGCTACAGAAAAGTATACTAGAAAAAATTCAGTGACAAACTCTTGACACTAAATTCACATTCAAATGTGTCTGTTTGGCTAACTGTAGGAAAAGCAAATCTGCTGTCACTGCTTTAAAAACTGTCTGTGTTGGGTATCTGTGCTGGGTTGACAATTACCAATCGTCAATTTTGCTCTACCATCACACACTTTTAAGGCCTTTGTGGAACTACATTTCCCAGCTTCACTTTCTCTGTAGCATTTTTAGAATTTAGTTTATCCATCTATACCACAATTTCTTTCAAAAAGCACGCGAAGTTATTTTCCGTGACTTTATTTTAGTACTCTTTGTGCAAAAGATCGATTTCTCCGGAAATGTGATTGTCCTGTTAGTTAATATGCTTGCATCTTCTCCTTAAGGGTGACATTGACACAAGCTTTTTGGAGATCATTCAGAAGGCTGCTATCTAGAGGCGACACTGTTGAACTGTAGACACTTACTTTTAGGTGCTTGAGAGAACTTGACTATATTTTTCACTTCTACAATTAAATGAATGCATGCTATATACTAGACATTCCAACACCACAGATACAGGAAAGAGAAATGCATTGTCTGTATTCTTAAGGGGCTCACAGGCTAGCAGGCACAGGGAAGTAGTGTGGTAATTTCTGAAGGGAATAAAGGAGAGCTAGCTATAACAATAGTCAGAATCATCAGCATACCTAATCATATATCAACCTAATAGAAGAGAGACTATTAGCAGTACCCCAGCAGGCTGGGGTGGTGGAAGAGATAACAAGAAATGTTTCTGAGAAGTGGCAATGCTTGAGGTGAGTAAGTAAGGAAAAGCTAAACAGATGAGGGGAGTGGAGAGGGCTCCAGATTAAGAAACTAGGGTGGAGCAGCGTGACAGAGGTATGAGAAAGCAGGCCCTGTTCTAGGAACTACAATTAGTCCAAACACCTCACTTAAAGTGATCAAAACGGGAAGGGCATTCAATGTGCAAATACTTTGACTAACAAGTAGGATGATTAATTGGAGTCGCTTTAGAAACATCACGGACCTGCTCACCTCAGTGGTGACCTAAAGGATTTCCTAGGCTTGGAATGGTGACTTATCAGAAGATCGTGACTTCCACAGAGACAAACACTAGGCTCTCCACCTCAGTGAACGAGCCACCTGGTGTCTCAACAGAACACAGACAGACTATCATGAGGATTCCTGAGGGCCGTCCCAGTGCCACCTCATAAAATTGGGCCTGCCCATTGGCCGGCACAAAAAAATTTCACTGGTTCTCCATTTCCTACCAAGTTAAATCCAACCTCCTAATTGGATTCAAGATCCTTCTACAGGCTGCCTCTCACATATCCTTCCAGAATTAAATAAAATAATTTGGTGAATAGCAGTAAGAGTTTTGGAGTGAGTCCTGGGTTTGAATTTTAATTTTGCTACCCACTTAAGCTCTAACAAAAATGATTTCTGGCCGTGTGTGGTGATTTACGCCTGTAATCCCAGCACTTTGAGAGGCCGAGGCTGGCGGATCACTTGAGATCTGGACTTTCAGACCAGCCTGGTTTAGTAGAAACCCTTTCTCTACTAAAAATACGAAAATTAGCCGTGTGTGGTGGCACGCACCTGTAATCCCAACTGCTCGTGAGGCTGAGACAGAAGAATCGCTCGAACCCCGGAGGTGGAGGTTGCAGTGAGCCGAGATCGCGCCACTGCACTCCAGCCTGGGACACAGAGCGAGACTCCATCTCGAAAAATAAAAGAGCATTTCTCTTAGCTTAGCTTTTGTGTCTTCATCTATGACATGGGTATAAATCATACCTCATAGTGTTATTTTGATATTTCAATAGGATAGTATATTTTGAGTAATTAATGCAGTAACCATCATCTTAAAATGGCTGACTATAAGATAATTTTAAAATTCTTATTTTGTTTCAGACATTTTTAAGTATGTTTAATTTGGCTACTTAATAGTCTTTGGGTATAGCCTGTGTTTTAGCTTTTATATCTTTGTAATTTCCGTCAGACAAAATTCTACATCATCTTCAAGGATCCTTCCTCAATTCCCCTGATTGAAAATAATTATTCTTTCCTTATTCTACATAAATTGGTACCTCTGGCACAGAAACAATAGTAATAATTTTGTTGAATAGAGAATTGGTGAAAAAAAATTGTACAGGAAAATTTTCTTACCCTTTTCACAAGTACTGTTTTCACCTTTCTAAAATTTTAATTTGTTAGTTAAATGCTTGGTACTACTTTATTTTAAATTCATATCTTAAATCTCATGCCCCAAGATTGAATCCAGTGGGAAGAGATAATTTTCTTTTAAACTTTTATTTTAAGTTCAGGGGTACATGTATATGTTTGTTATATGGGTAAACTTGTGTCATGGGGATTTGTTGTACAGATTATTTTGTCACCCAAGTATTAAGCCTAGTACCTATTAGTTATTTTTCCTGATCCTCTCCCTTCTCCCACTCTGCACCCTCCAAGAGGTCCCATTGTCTGTTGTTCCCCCTATGTATCCATGTGCTGTCATCATTTAGCTTCCATTTATAAGTGAGAACAAGTGGTATTTGGTTTTCTGTTCCTGCATGAGTTTGCTAAGGATAATAGCTTTCATCTCCATCCATGTTCCTGCAAAAGACATGATGTCATTCTTTTTTATGGCTGCATAGTATTCCATGGTGATACTTAATTTTTTAATTGCAGTGTCTACAATAATTTATGGAGTTTATTAAATTTATTTGTTATTTTATATGAGCATTTACTAATAAAATAATAATTCTGTTGATAAATTTTATCATTAAAAACAAATGAATTATTCTAAATTTTAATTTACAAGTGAATTCATGCCCCTGTACTGTGCACATAATAATAAAGATGATTATCAATAAAATGGGAAAAGATTTTCTGAATTTGTCTGTTTACATATGAAATACTACATTCACCAAAGAGAAAATAAAACATTGTTTTATCATATATATTTTTTAAATAAATACATAAAAAATTATTACATTTAGTAATTAATACACCATGATCAGAAATAACTAGTTCAAAAGAAGAATTTTTTTAGAAAATAATTTTTTTCTTGAACAAGTTTATTAACTCTATGTTCTTAATGTTTTCCTTTCTCTTCACCTGTAAGACTTTCCCAAGATAACCCATTTATTCATGTAATGATGCTACCCCCTCAAGTAATTTCACAGGGCAGGAAATATGATTCAGACTATATGTTATATTTATTTATAAAATATAATTTCTTGAGCTTTTGGGTTCATTTTCAAACCTTAACATAAACACGATATCATTTTTACTTCTTAGACAAATTAATACCCTGAGTCTTAAGCAGTAAAGAGAATATTGGTTTATGCTATTTCGTTTGAGATGACATTTAAAAAGTATGTCAATTTTGGAAGCTTGAGTTGCATCTGAATGATACTGATCACCTTGGAATGGTGGAAGAGTTCCTCCTTACTAACAATGTTGAGAGAAAATTACATTGTTCAGCTCTTATTTCCACAGATAGTATGGAGGAGGGCATCTATTAGAGGTAAGTCTTTTCTTTGGAAGCAGCTTTAAGTCTTTGTGTATTGATAAAGAGAAGAAAAAGCTCACAGGAACATTATCTTATCCTTTTCACAAGTGGTGTTTTAACCTCCTTTTAAAATTGTAAGCAGGGCCAGGCATGGTGGCTCACGCCTGTAATCCCAGCACTTTGGGAGGCCAAGGTGGGTGGATTGATTGAGGCCAGAAGTTTGAGACCAGCCTGGCCAACAGGGCAAAAATCCGCCTCTACTAAAAATACAAAAAATTTAGCTGGGCTTGGTGGTGCACGCCTATTGTTCCAGCTACTCGGGAGGCTGAGGCACAAGAATCGCTTGAATCTGGGAGGTGGAGGTTGCAGTGAGTCAAAATCATGCCACTGAACTCCAGCCTGGGCAACAGAGCAAGACTGTCTCAAAAAAAAAAAAAAAAAAAAAAAAAGAGTAATCTATTAGTTAAATGTTTGGTATTATTCTTCATTTCTAAAATCTCATAGTGTTTTGACTATTTTATAATTCTTAGAATGATTGGCCTAATAGAATGCAAACTCTATTTTTGCAGGTCGATTTCCACTTTTTTGGTCAGTTTAAAATATTAAAAAAAGACCCAAATTTAAAATAATCACTATATTCTAGACGAGAAAACTTACTGAGTTCATTTTTATAATTTTTTAACATGTTTTAAATGTTAAATGATAACAGTAATTTAAAATACACTCAAAAAATTTCTCTGACAACAACATGTATTTCTATATACCAAGAGTATGATCCTACTTATCCATTTGTAGTTAAAAAAATTCAAACAGTATGGAGATTTTGCAAAGAACTAAAAATAGAACTACCATTCAACCCAGAAATCTCACCACTGGGCATCTACCCAAAAGAATAGAAATCATTATATATAAAAATACCTGTTTTTAAAATTTTTTATTTTGTTATTTTTCTTTTTCAACTTTTATTTTAGAATCAAGGAATACATGCGCAGGTTTGTTACAAAGCTATATCACATGATGCTGAGGTTTGAGGTATGACCGAACTCGTCACTTAGGTAGTGAGCGTAGTACCCAATAGACAGTTTTTCAGCCCTTGCCCTTCTCCTTCTCTCCTTCCCCTAATAGCCTCCATTGTCTATTATGTCCATCTTTATGTCCATGTGAACCCAATGTTTTGCTCCCACTTATAAGTGAGAACATAAGGTATTTGGTTTTCTGTTCCTGCATTAATTTGCTCAGCATAATGGCCTTCAGCTGCATCCATGTTGCTGCAAAGGACGTGATTTCATTCTTCAGTCTTCATTCTTTTTTATGGCTGCATAGTAGTCCACGGTGTATATGTACCACATTTGCTTTGTCCAGTCCACTGTTGATGGGCACCTGGATTGATTCCATGTTTTTGCTATTGTGAATAGCACTGCAGTGAACACATGGGTACACGTGTCCTGTTGGTAGAACAGTTTATTTTTCTTTGGGTTTATACCCAGTAATGGGATTGCTAGGTCAAATGGCTATTCAACTCCCAGTTCCTTGAGAATTCTCCAAACTATTTTCCACAGTAGCTAGACTAATTTGCAATCCCACCAACACTGTATTAGTGTCCGCTTTTCTCCGCAGTCTCACCAATGTGTTAGTTTTTGACTTAACAAAAGCCATCCAATGCAAACTTTAAGCGAGAAATATCCATGTCAGGATTTGCCACGGAATGGAGTGTGTGCCAGATGCTATGTGGCTGGTTGTTGCTTGAGTGTTTAATCACCATGAGACCAATGCTCCTTAGCTACCCCATGGATTTCATCAATTATAGAGTAGTAAAATTTACTAAAGTGAGAAATGGATGTAGCAGCTGGCAGTACACATAATTTGGAAAATATTAGGAAATATGTAAGTAACTTTCTAGCATTACAATGTTTTAGCTGGTCTGCGCTTACACTTTAAAACTTAATTTTTTGAGAGAGAGTTTTTCTTCCAATTAGGGAATAGCAAAGAGTATGCAACAGGCAGGTTTGGATCCTCTTCAGATCTGGTGAAGTTATAGTATAAAAAAGCATACTGGCTAGCGTATCTGAACAATGGGTTCAAGGCTTTGTACCACAACTAGCTGGTTGTGGTCATTTAACCTCTCTATTTCTAGATTCATTGTCCAGAAAATGAGAGAACTAGGTAAGAGGTTATCTGAGATGACTTAAATTCTACAATAGTTTTATTCATAAAGGAGCAAAAGATAGGCAAGAAACACTACAATTATTTCCTTTCAAAAGGATTAAGCCTTGAAAATAAGTTTATTTCATTTACATTATCTCAGTCACATTATTGCTGCTACTGTATACATATTTTACAGAATTAAGTAAAATTACCTGGCTAGAGATTCTTTTTCTCAAGTCAGCTTTATGCCTACGAAAAGTAAGCAATGTGTTTCCATTTTATTTATTCAACATAAACAGTAGTGTTGCAAAGAGAAACACAACTTGGTAATGGACTTAAGTAGTTGGTTAATTATTGTTGTTAGGAACTTAAAGCCATATCCCAGAGTTTTATTTTAAGTCTAGAAATGAATAGAAGCTCTATGAAGGCAGAAACCATGTCTGTCTTCTTTACCTGTATATTCACAGAGCCAAGACTAGCACCCAACACCTAGTTGCTTCTAAGTAAATATTGTAGAATATATGAATAACTACAGAGTGCTTTTGGAGAATATCTGGTTGCCAATTGAAAGCTCTACGATTCAGGTCAATGAAATTGGTTAAGCCATATTTCATGTATTTTTCTGACATAATTGGCAACAGTAGGGAAAAAATTCCCTGTAAGTGGGGAAAACTCTAATATTTCCCCAATAACTCTTTCTACTTTAGGATTGTCATTTTTTTTTGCTATTCTAGATTAATTTACAGTTAATCATATAAATCAATAAAGTTCAATAAAAATATATATTTTTCTTTGATGAACCATTTCCAGCCATGCTTTCAGTTGGCAAACTCTTTTCTTATTATATTAAGCATCTCCTATTGCTTAATAGCGCATAATATTGAAAAATCTTTTGAAGAGACAAATGACTTCAGATATCTAAAGATATTGACAGATACTCTACGTTCCTTTTCAATTTCCTTTCAGAATGTACATTTCATTCAACTTTTCAATTAAAAATTTTAATATAAATATTTCCCTAACGAAAAATATGGCTGGTGGATGTAGACAGGGCTTCTTTTGTAACTTCCAAGAACAAGGCATCTTGGTTTACAAGATTGGTTCTACAGGCCTCAAGACCCATAGGATTCACAATATGAGTTATGTGCTATTCGTTAGACAGTATCAAGGGATGCAATACATTTTCTGCACATTTTTTGACGCATTATTTAAAATCAGAAAGAATTTTAAAAAGGCTTATCTAAAGTGCCTAGCCATATTCACCCTCAAAATGGTATAATCAAATAATGGCATTGACCTTAGAATATCTGAGTATTTGTTGACTATTAATATATATGGTACATTATATATTTTTGGTGGATGTATTGATGATTACAAGGTGCAAGGTCTCCACATAGAATACTGACCATAAAGCACTTACTGTTGGGTGTAATGTATGTTACTGTATCGTGTTACTCTGTGTCGAGATGTCATGGGGGATGTGGAGCCAACGGTTTGGCCTATGGGAAGGTCTGGACTCATCATTTGCATCACTTGAATTTCTGGCCCTACTAAAATATTGCCGCTCATCACAGGTCCCATACAACCCTCAGTCGTGCTACTATTGCTCATGTCAGGCACACCAGGACTAGCCAGTACTCTCTCAGCATAGATTACATTGTTGTAATCTGCTAACTCAGCAGGTACACAAATATTCCCTTGAATATCATAGACAGGTGCCATTACTGCTTCGGTTACTACAACATTGGGTGCAAGCTGAGGATCAAAAATAATTGTAGTGGGTTGCACACATGGATCAGCATTACCGTAAGTCTCAGTCACAATAATATCCCCATGGACCACGGGTTCAGATGCTGCCATTTCTTCTTGGAATTCAACTTCTGAGGGAGTCAATCCTGAAGATTCATTAACAAAGTAATTAGGTCCGAGCAAAGGGAGGTCAGTACTGATTGGTATACAAGCCTGGTGTGAAGGAAATGGTTCAATTTCTGTGTTTAAGCAGATCTCAGCAAGAGTCCTAAATTTTGGATCTAAAGTTTCCATGCAGCTTTCATCTAAGTCATCCACAATCCAACTGCAACAACCAATAGAGCCTACGGGAGACCCGACTCCCTCGTGGTCATAAATGAGCAAGCAGTCATTGGCTGGTCGACCTTCATCTTCATCTGCATAAGCATACGCTTTCTAAAATTAAAAGGAAATACAGAATTAGAAATTTCTTTTTCCCTAAAATAAGGAAGAATAACAGCAATCCCTCAGAGAGACTTCTGAGTTAAGTTGTTACGGAATAAACTGAATAATGGTATCAATCACTCATTAAAATAATTGATACTATCCATGCACATTCTGTGATAGCATTTGTAACTACCAATTTTAAGATATAGTTTACAATTGCAACAACATCTTCAGCATTTGTTTGGTAAAGAATCATGGTGAAATTCATGTATGAACAGATGGAGAATAAAGCAGGCCGACTGAAATATGAGATAAAATTCTAGTTCTATTTTAGTTCTTTTAAAATGTGTAATAAATTATTGTTAACTATAGCAATCCTGTTGTGCTACCAAATACTAGATCTTCTTCATTCTAACAGTATTTTTGCACCTATTAACCATCCCACTGTTTCCCCTCCCTACTACCCTTGTCAGCCTCTAGTAACCATCATTCTACTCTCTATCTCCATGAGTTCGGTTTTTCCTTTTAGCTTCCACAGATGAGTGAGAACATGTCAAATTAGTCTTTCTGTGCCTGGCATATTTCACTTAACAGTGTCCTCCAGTTCCATCCATGTTGTTGCAAAATGACAAAATTTCATTTTTTATGGCTGAATAATATTCCATTGGGTATATGAATCACATTTTAGAAGTCCAATCATCAGTTGATGGACACAGGTTGATTCCATGTATTGGCTACGTGACTAGTGCTGCAATAAACATGGGGGTGCATATATTTCTTTGATATACTGATTTCCTTTCTTTTGGATATATACCCAGCAGTGCTATTGCTGGACCCCTTTTCGTAGTGAAGGTCAGTTGGTGGATAAGTCACTGGACTGAGAATAGGAGAGCTATCTTCTAGGTCTTAATCTAGCACGAGTTGTGGTGATGCTGCGTTCCTGAGTTTTAACTCCTTTCGTTCCCAATTCTTTTTATTTTCTCTTTTCTGTTGGAGGCTCCGGGAGAACATGAAGGACATCAAAAACAGAGGTCATAAATGCACCTTTTTTCCCCTTGATGAGCATTTTCCTGCTTTGCTACTGCTGTGGGAAACAAGGTGAGGAATCAAGGAAACAAAAGATAGAAAAATGGAAAAGGGAAGTGGAGAATGATGAGGGGTGTGGCCTTGTTCACGGTACTAAGATGCGCTATGGCAGTTGAATATGAAATCCTGTGGCAAATTAGCATTTTGTGTTTTAAGGAGACGTGAAATACTTTTTATTCAGGTTTGGGATAGGGTTGAGAATAACAGCATATTTCCGAAGAGGCCTACTACCATTGTGAGTATTTTACTATTATTATTATTCAATCTCAAGACGATTTTATGTGTGACTGTGAGGGCATTACCTCCGAGAAGTAGCTGTCCAAGAAAGCCATGTTGATGTCTGCGTCAGCGTAGTCCCGCAGGGTTCCCATGGTAGAGCTCCTCTTCCTTGCGGCCCCTGAGGCTCCTGCGGCCCCTGCGGCCATGAGGCCAACGGCTGTCCCCATACCTGTGTTGAGCTCCACTCCCGATACACCTCCTTCCACCGTGCCCCCGGCTGCATAGGTGTTGGTGTAGATTTCTGAAAAGGGAGGATGTTGGTTTAACAGCGCTGGAGTTGCCTGCAGCGCGCATCTGCCTAAAACGCTGCCGCCGCCGTCTGCGGTGCCACCACCACCCGGCAAGGCGTAGGCGCTAAAAAGCTGACAAAGAGAGATACAAGTTACACCGATACATCTCCAGGCTTGTTGACCAAATAAAAGTAAATTAATTACACAGAGGGAGTCAGTGGTGGGACGTGGCCTTCCCACATTTGCACAGACTTCGCCCTAGACTTAAAGGTGTAGAACTAGCCAAGAGAACTACAAGCAGGCGCCCGTTCCCGCCGTGGCTGCTGCGGGCTTGATCCAGCCGGGAGCCCTCCAAAGCAAGGCCAGCGGCGTGATTGCAGAAACTGAGCTCATAGTCCTCCTTCACTCCGGAACAGGATGGAGCTGGGCTCACAGGGATGTTCAGTCACGGAGTTTCTTTGCATACAAAGGGCCAAGCTTGGGATACTAAGGAACCATCAGAGAAAGCTCACGTGCACTGCAGAATTAAGCACCCTCTCTGTTTGGTGCAATCATTGCCATATAGCTAAGTAGTGTGTTCAGTATTGTTAGATATGCGTGGGGCTGGTAAGATAGGAGAGTTTACGACACTCTTTTGAGGCAAAAGCTTGTCTGAAGTTAAGAAAAGTTATTCAGTGTATTATTAGAGTACATTTACTGCCTTTTCTTTAGCTCTTTAAAAAAAAACAGCTTGTATTATAAATAATTACTACAGTGCCAGGCACTACTCTAACGTATATTTTGTGATATATGTATATATACACACTTATATATGTGTGTGTGTATATATATAGACACACATACACATGTATGTTATATATAATAAAATAATCTATACAATATATGTATGTATTATATATTACATATGTAATATGTATTATTTACTCCTCACAGCAACACTTTAAAGTAGGTACTATCATAAGCTCAATTTTAAAGATAAGGAAACTGAGGCCCAGTGAGGTTAAATGTCTTGACTAAGGACTTATTACTACAGGTTGAGCATCCCAAATCCAATAATCAAGAATCCAAAATGCTCCTAAGTCTGAAACTTTTTGATCATCATGGTACAAAAAGTTTGAGCCAAACTCAAACTCATGGTCCTATGCATTTCGGATAAAAGATATGCAACCCTTAAGCAAGTGGCAGAGCTGGGAATCAAACCCAAGCATTCTGCTTCCAGAGTTTGCTCTTTTAACTGCTGTGTCATACTTCACTGTCTGTAGTTTCAGATAGAAAAAAAAAGTGGCTACTTCAAACAGGTCACATTCCCTCTAATTATACTGTCACCCAAAGAGACTGACAGACTTTTCCATAAGGTACTTTTACATGAAGTTGGTCTGGTTGAATAATTTTGAAAAATTTAAAAGGAAAAACAGATTTTGGTGTCTACTGACCAGAGGAATCCATCCGATCCTGGGTATTTGAGGCTGTCATGGGTGCACATATATTTGACACATCCTGAAAAGAAAAATAAACATTTTAAAAACAAACGCTTTATGTTAAACATTTAAAAACTGACATCTGTTCATTTTTGTGCAGCATGTAATTGTTAAGACATGCTCAATTTCCACTGAAACTCCACACTTCTCTGGAGAGTGACAGTCCACTTACCCTGTCCTCGGGATGGGCCCCTTCAATTCTCCAAGACTGCATCACTCCTTCTCCGCCCTCAGGCACAGGAGCAAATCTTGTTCCCAGGCCTTCTGGCTGTCTCTGTTTGCAGCAACACAGGAGCAGCAAGAGTGGAGCCACTGCCCAAGAAAGTGACAATGTCGAGTTAACACACATTGCTCGGTTTAGGAAGTCACTGGATGAATCATTCTGGGGAGCATTTGGTGGCAGTATATTTAGAACAAAAATACAAATATATGTAAGAAAATCTCATTTTTTTCCTTTAGGGGATTGAGTATACATATCCAAGTTTATAAATACAGCACCACCAAATCACATAGAACTTTAGCGCTAGATGGCAAGGAGTTTGCGATCAGGTAATTGAATTTCTTTGCTGACAGATTAGGAAAGTAAGGTCGTCTTTAGTCTAAGACTCTTGAACTGGTTGGGGCAGATGCACACATACATGTAAGTTAAACGCATCATGAATATATGTTATCAAGAGGATTGAATACAGGATTCAGCTATAGGACCTGGAGATAGGACCTATCTTCAATCCTTATTACAGTTACACTTAAAATAGAAGTCAAATAATACTCACTAAATTTAATGGAGATATTTACAATTATTTTAAGACTTTGTTTATAGACTATAATGAAAAATTAAAGCTATCAAAAATGTTTAGCTATCCAAGTGTTTCTTAAGAGGAAATTTCCTATTTGTTACCCTAATAATCACCTCAATTCTGTATTTTAATCCATAAATATAGACACTGCTTAAGTTTTCTAAGATTCTAGAATACACTCTGTTTAGTTCTTTGGGCCCACTCTGGTTGCTTTTCATACTTTCCTAATTCTCTAGCATGGCATGCATTTTACTAAGTGGGTTAATTAAAGATAAAGAATAGAAGGATAAATGCTTGAGGGGATGGATGCCCCATTCTCCAGGATGTGATTATTTCACATTGCATGCCTGTATCAAAGCAGCTAATGTACCCCATAAATATGTACACCTATTATGTACCCACAAAAATTAAAAATTAAAAACAGATACAAAAGAAGAGACTATCAAAGTTGCAAAATCAGCTTTAGTCTTATTACAACAATTAATTTGGCAATTTTGCCATCTGCACTATGAACAGTGAAAGGTCAAGTTATACATTTCCATAGCATTTTCTGGAAAAGGACTAAAACTAAAATTGGTAGCCCCTAGGCCATGGTTCTGCCTATTCTATATTTCTGTGAATTTAAATGTGAGCTGGATCATGTACCATTGCAGGCCTGAACTCTAACAAAGGCACTATCTAATAAATGAAATGAAGTGTTTTTAGCACATACCCAATACAATTACTGTATGTGTAATCTCATTTGGAGCTAACATCAAAAGTGTCAATTTGAGGCCCTTTGGGAACATAGGTTTGGGCTCAGATCCCTCCCACTACCATCACACTGCCCCCTCTCTCCTAAAATAGACCATGGGCTTCTCCATTGAAAACAAGTGTCCATAGGGGTATTCCTCTCCTATTCTACAATCCATCAGTTGAACAACTCTCATGCTTTCTTTGTCTGGGTCAGGAAAAAGTCTTGAAATTCTTAGTGCTAACGTTCTGGAAATGCAGCTGGCACTGGGTTTTTAGCCCTGAACTGCACATTAGTCTCACCAAAGGGCTTGAACATGCTGATGCTTGGTCTCATCTTGAGTATGACTCTAGTATGAGTAATTTTGGAAGACCTTTAACTAATTCTTATGTACAACTAGGGTTGAGAACCGCTAACTCAAAGCTTACCCGAAACCACTACTCAATTGCTGTAGAGTTATATTCTGGGAAAATGTGTCTAATATCATTGTGAGAATCACTCATGATCTTTGCATAGCTTTGAAACCTCACAGATTATTTCAAAAAAGAAATCCTCACCAAAAGTCAGCTGTTATTTTTTATGCCTTGAAATGATTACATTTTAATTAGTGCTCATCCCTGAAAACAGCAACAATACAGTTTGACAAATTTACTTCTCTTTAATTTTAGAACCCAGCTTTTGATCCCCATGAAACCTAAATATTGCAAGGGCAACCTAAAATGTATGAAGTATTCTTCCTCTGAGGATCTATATGTTTAAAAAAACTCTATGGGGAAAGGAGGGCCCTTTTTGGGAAATTTTTGTTTGGTGATCTTTCCACTTCTGTGACCAGTCTTAGTTTAGGCACTCACCCAGAGCCCAGAGGCTAATTCTCTGTTCTAGTCTCTTCTACTTGCTTCCTACCGCAGGGTCACCTGCGCTCATCAGCCCTCATCAACTCTTCTGTGCCATTGTACTGAAGCCCAGAATGCCTGGTGTGTCATGAACATGCCTCCATGCTGGCTCCCAGACTCCCTTTTGCCTCTCTGCTTCCTAGGTGTGCTATGCTCTTCCATATCTTGCTCCCTTTTGTTTGTGTGTGTGGTTTTTTTTTGTGTGTGTGTGTTTGATTACCTTTCAAATTTCCTTAGACATCATCCTCCTTTAAAAGAAATCCTCAGCAGGGTGCAGTGGCTCATGCCTGTAATCCCAGCACTTTGGGAGCCCAAGGCAGGTGGACCACGAGGTCAGGAGTTCAAGACCATCCTGGCTATCATGGTGAAACCCCGTCTCTACTAAAAGTACAAAAATTAGCCAGTCGTGGTGGTGGGCGCCTGTAGTCCCAGCTACTCGGGAGGCTGAGGCAGGAGAATCATTTGAACCTGGGAGGCAGAAGTTGCAGTGAGCCGAGGTTGCGCCACTGCACTCCAGCCTGGGCAATAGAGCAAGATTCCATCTCAAAAAAAAGAAAAAGAAAAAAAGAAAAAAAAAATCCTCAGCTTTTCAGGCTCACCTCAAAATCCACTTTTCCAAAAGATTGTCCTAACTTTTCCACATGGACTTAATTGCTTCTGCCTCTCTACTCTTAAAGCATTTTAAGGAAATTTCCATGATGGGATTTGTTTTGTGCTTTTAGGTAGTATATGTAGTGATTTGCATGTGTTTCCCATTTTTAGGACTGTCACTCACCCTAGGCTTTCTTAGTTATCATTGTGGATTAAGCGCATATATTTGTCAGTCCCATTGTTTATTTCTAAGGCACTCAAAAATTGCTAGAGATACCAAAAAGAAATGGCTCCATGAACCTAACCATCCCAGCGAGCCTCGTAACAGCCCTATTTTGAAGAACTATTGAAAAGAAGGATTTAATTGAGTACTTACAAATCAGTAGCAGGATGCCCAGAACCATCATGCCAATCCCTGCTGGTCCAAGACCAACATTTGAAACTCCAGCTTGGTCTTCAGTGACAGGCCCATACGTGTCACCAGTTATGTCCTCTGTGTAGATGCCCGCGGCACCAGAGTCCAGGCACATGTGGTTGTCATCGCAATCACAGGCATATAACTGCACCATTTGTGCCAATTCACATGCTCTGTTATAGCTGTCCTTCACCAGGATTGGGATTTCATAAAATCCTGGAGATAAAACCTGCTTAGCCGTAAGGATTGCCGAGGTAGCTGAAATGGAAGAGAGGAAACAGAAAATAAATGGAAATTCCTTGGTGGGCTAGGGGGGTGGTTAACTCTCCCTAATACCAAATATTGACTTAAAACACTAGATTTTTCATGCTTTCTTAGTCATAAAGCACCTTGTACTTTTTTTTAACATTTATTTAATTTATTATTATTATTATTATTCTTGTTATTTTTGAGACAGAGTCTCATTCCTATTGCCCAGGCTGGAGTGCAGTGGCACGAACATGACTCACTGCAGCCTTGGATTCCTAGGTTTAAGTGATTCTCCCACCTCAGTCTCCTGAGAAGCTGGGACTACAGGTGTGTGGCACCATGCCTGGCTAATATATATACATTTAGTAGAGACAGGGTTTTGCCATATTGCCCAGGGTGGTCTTGAACTCCTGGGCTCCAGCAATCCACCTGCCTTGGCCTCTTAAAGTGCTTGGATTACAAGCATGAGCCATTCTGCCTGGCCTTTTTTACTTTTCTTTCTTTCTTTTTTTTTTTAACATTTATAACTAATTTTTAAATAAGTATTGCTTACTGCTGGATTGCTACTTCTATAATGCAGGCAAGGACCTTGCTGCATCTTTCCAGAGCAACAGTAATTGGCATATAATATACATTCAATAAATATTTGCCCAATGAATAAATAATATTGAGCTGAAAGAAAATATTAGAAGTCTTCTATTTAGGATTACAGTTTACACAATACCCTCCTTAAGACTGTTTATATGTATCTTACTCAAAATTGTTGCCCTTTCATTTAAAATTGTTCACATTCTCCTAATTCTTTGTGCTATCATTGCCTATGAATTTTCATAAAACATATTGTCTAAAATATTCATTGGAATTTATTTATTAATACAAGGAGTGTTGAGATGATTAAATTTACAGCTAAACCATGAATAGTAACTGATTGATCCATAGCACACAATATTTTTTATTATGATGGTTTATTATCCTCAGTTAGCTAGATGGCAAGCCAGCTATGTCCACCAAAATCTAACCTGTGCACAAGGTAAAAATGAGATAAGGCAATGCCACAGCACATTAAGTGAAATTCATTCTGTTCTAAAACACCAGCAAGCATTGAAACAGGTCTCTAGGAATATCATCTCCAGTGTGGTTATATTTTTTATTGGCAAACCTGTAATAGCTATAATATTATACCTCCATGCAGAACATTTTTTCTTACATGTGTAATCATAATATCTAGGATCCGAATGAGGAAAAAAGTGGTTAGCAATTATTATTGTTTATGAATGGGCTATTGAGCTTTATAGGAGATGGTGAATTCAGAGTTGACTTGATATTAATGGAATTGCTTTAACATGATTAACTTTAAAAAATATTAAAGTGGTTTTGTTGAAAAGAGCTAAAGGTTTGATGGTAAAAACAAATTGCCTAATTTCTTACTTTATTGGTGGTATTTTCCCCACCTTATTTTAGGGTTTCTCCATTCTGTAAATAGAGGGGCTTGGTGACCTTAAAGAGGTGGGAAGTATTTCCTCTCACCCTGGGCTCTGTAGTCTGATGGCCACCGACTAGCCCATGAAATTTTCCCTGTAGCCCCAAATGAATATGAGATTGGGGAGCTATCTTAGCCCATATGAGATCCTCTCATAGCATTTTCTTTTTTATTATGCACTTAACGTTTTAGGAAAAAGAACGCAAGGTAGATAAAATGTTATGTTATCTGAAATTTATTCTTAATTTTTATCGATGTCAGCCATTCAATTGTATGTAGTTATAGTCAAGATACATACATATACAACTTCGTGATCTGTTTTTCACTTTACTTTCTTTGGTTTATGCATTCTTTTGTATCTACATACTTTGCATAATTCTAATTTTAATGGCTGTATATTAACACATCTTAATAATATGTACTCTGTTTAATCATTCCTCTAATACTGAGCAATTTGGATTTAAATTTTTACCCTTAAAAATAAGTCTGAACTCATAGTTACTGTAAAAAACAATTTAATTGATTTTATGTGCTCCTAAGTGAGTAGTAAATGTTTAAATGTATCTATGGGATATATGAGTTTCAGAGACATTTATGTGATTTGTCTGAATTTATTCAGAATAGGGAATTGTGACATTCTTAATTTATGAGTTTGTTAAGGGTTCTGTTTATTTTAAACTGAATAAATATTGGTTCAACGTTTTACCTACTCAAAATGATGGGTAAACTGGTATTTATCCACTACTATTTGTAAATTAAATATTAATGAAACATTTTGACTCATTTCATTTCAGTTCAAAATTTTATCAAATATCCTCTGTGTACATGAAATATTTTTTTCATTTAATGTTAATATGGCAAGAACTGTGGAAACAGAAGTAGAATGTTTTATTAAGTGACTTGCCACATTTTTTGGTAATTGTTTTGCTTTTGGACTTAAAGTCCAAAAAACAAGCTTACGTTTCACTTACCATTTGTTGATCTGACATCCCACATGTCAGCTATTCCTGGTGGCTCATCAACAACACAGAAAGTAAACGGAGACCCATAAGAATGTTCATTAACAGAGATAAGGACTGATGGAGAGTCAATGCAGATGGTTCTTCTTTCAGGAAAAATGTTTGGACAATAATCATTGATATCAGGAACCTCAATACATATGGTTCCTGTAGCTGTTTTTCCAGAGCCATCTGAAAGAGTAAGGGTCATTGGTGTTGAGGTAAATGGTGTTAGGGAGAAAACTCTTTCTCATATCCCCTGATGATGCCATGGAACTTGTAGGAAACATATACGTGACTTGGGAGGCTTGACAGGTTCCTGCCCGCTTCAGTGACCCAAAGTCACTCTTCCCTTTGTGTGCTACCTTCCAGCCACACTGCTTCTTTTGAGTTCTTTAAACAAGTTTCTTTTTTACTCTGGACTCTGGCACATTCTTTTCACCCTTCCTAAAATGTTTTCCACCCTCATTTCATTTTGCTAATTCTGACACATCCTAAGGCGCAAAATCAAATGTTCTTCCTCCGAGAAGGTTTACTGGTTTCTAATCTCACCCTGTTCCCATAAATTAGACCCCCAGGTCAGTTATGAACCTCCATTCAGGATGCTCACTGAGTCCTGTGTTTGTAGAAATAACCACAGCTGAAATAAATACTTGTTTGTGTTTTTCTTGTGTGCTCACTGTTTATTTTAATTGCATCTGTTACATGCTATTTCTTTCTGAAATGGCATTTCTGAAAACAAATATAAGTCTATTAGATTTTTCCCTAATCCACTTGAAACAAGTTTTTGGATAGTATAATTAATCAGAAAGGGCCAAAGACTAAAGATTAGGAGTCCAGGAGCTTTTTAGTCCACTTTTCTACTCTATGTTCTGTTACAGCGAATACGGAATTTTTTTTGCTTCTTTTTAACTTGAAAAGAATCTTAGCTTTCTCGCTTTTAAACTAGAACGTTGTCGTCTCTGGGGTACCTTACTAGGTCCTTTTCTGAGAAAGCAATAAATTCCTTTTACAGATGTTTTCTGTGTGCCTAAGTAGTAGTCATTGAGGTAACTGAATGAGAATAAACTGAGAGCCTACCTATAGTCTATATGATTTTGTATAATATGTTTATATACCCTATTCAGCATTGGACTTGTTTTTACTAGATGAAGGATGTCGATTTCACTTAGCTTCTCATTCGAGAGGCATCAGATTATTCCACAGATTGTTTTATTTGTCATTCTTTGATCTTTGGTAGCTCTTCTATTACCTTGTGATTGGCAACCAAAGCTCAAGCTATTGCTTATAGTGTTTGCTTCCCAGTAAAGTTTGCTCTGCATAGAGGTCTGTCTCTTCACCTGATGATGGTGTGTGCTGAAGCAAACTTATTCCAACCATTCAGATAGCTCTGTGCCAGTGCAGACACTCTGCTTAGGTGAATAAACAATCAGCTTTGTTTCTGGGTTTCTCTTGGTACATTTTGACAGCACTTTCTCTCTCTTTATTTGCTTGGAATGACTAATTATTTATTCTAGCATTTGAAGATTTTTCACATATGACCAATATGCAAACATAGGGTGCAATCAACATGGTTAGAATCCATTTTCAAATTAGAGCTTCCAGAATACTGATAATGAATAAGACAATGTTATTTATAAAACTGACCCAGGCGTTAAAATTTACCCGCCACAGGATGAAGCCCAGGATGTACAGATGATAGTTGGTTTGGTTTTATCATGGTTTCTTTTTGAATTTTATGCTGCTTCTTTATCTTTATTTTTGTTTTGATACTGGAAAGGTCAGCTATAAACTCAATGCAAACCTACAGTATCTGTCTTACATTAGGCATGTATCTTGGACGCCTGTCTTTCCCCTTCCTTCGTGGTTCCTGACCTTTGTCTCTTGTTTGGTTCTACAGCAGCTGGTTTCCTAGGCACTGCTTCATAGAATCATTAACTATTGATAAATAAACAAATCCTGTTGCTGCTCACCAAGAGGACTGCTTAACAGATTTACCCATGTGAGAGGTGGCTCGCTTACAAGTTAAGTCAGTGCATCTGTATTTATGACTTTTAATATGGATCTTATATTTGGAATAATCTGTGCTTTCTTGGTCCATAGCATCTTACTATGGAAATATGTCTAATCAAGCAACACTCACACAAGCTTCTCACTGTAGTTCAGTTTTAATGGATCTAAAATAATTGTATTCTTGGAGACATTGCTTTCCCACAAGGTGATCCCCAAATGAACTTTGTAGAGCACGTAGCCCTTACTTTAAGTAAACATTCCCAACATACCCTACAAGTGAGATTAGCCATACTCAAGAGACAAAGTCATAATCAGAAGATGAATTATATTTTAACTTTTATGCTGTAAGCCATATACAACTCAGTTTTGGAAGTAGATGAAATAAACTATGGCTTCAGTGTAAATTATGATTTTAATTGACTTCAATTCTTGATTTAAGGTGTTTAGGGCTTTCCATAAGTCTTGCATACACCATTAAAAATGTCTGAGTCACTCAAATATCAGCATTAGAATAACATAATATTTAATATAATAGTACTAGTTTTCTTAAAATACTGAAAATAAATTTTCTTACCATCTATAGCCAGGATCTCTGCTGTGTATATCCCATTGATAATATATTTTGACTTCTTATCAAATTCTCTAGAAAATTGTATCTCACCAGTTCTTGAATCAATTTTTAACCAGCTGCCTGCATCATGCCCTATGATATATCTGTTTTTAAATAAAAAAGTTCGTTATCATGCTTTTATGAAAGTTAGTACTTTTAAATCATGTAACAGCTACAATGTGGCAAACTTTAATATTGTGTTTTTATGTTTTATAGTGATGATTGCCTTGGTTTATAAAAAGTACATATATATCAATAAAAATTCAATGATATATACATTAATATACAGGTCTGCAAGTTTTAAAATTTCATCATTTTTACTCTTCTGGCTCCTAGGATAATTGTTAATAAAATGTATGAGTTTATTTCAGCTCTATTTATTAAATCATAGCAATGTAAAACATCCTTTATTCATTTTCAGAAACACATATTGCTTATTTATTTTTGTATGTGGTATACTTAGGATTTTTTTTGTGGCTTTTCAGCTATGTTGATTTCAGAGCACCTCACTGATAGCCTGTTGGGGGCTTGTGATATCCTCTGTTCAGTGTGACTATCTGGATCTTGTTACAGATGATAGATTTAAAGTGCTTGACCTCACTGGAAGAAGATCTGGTCTCTACCAGGCACAATTTCAAGTCTTCAGTTCCTTTATCTGAACTGCTTTTACCTCCACCCATCCTGGCAGACTTCACAGGTTTTTTTGCGTCTGTCAATTTGTTAACTGATTTAATAACTAAAACTGTGAACATCAAGGTAACTTATAAGTCAGTAGACTTCGTTTACTCTAAGAATATTGGAAGAAGAAAAGGAGATAGAGAAGGGCAGGATATAGAGAAGATCTGTGTACTTCACTGTGGTTATTTCCAGAATATTTTACACTGTTCTAATTCACATATAATCTAGGTACCTAGTGCCCCAATACTATCTTTTTATTTCTCCTCTTCTGACTCTCCCTATGCCTATCAATTTTCTAAAACACTGTTTTTCGCTTCTATGATTGTGGTTTTTCTCTTAGATTAAGCAGAGGATTGAAATTAGTCTCTAAGTCATAGTAACACAGGTTTAAGAAAACAAGCAGTGACTCAACTTTTATGGTGACTTATTGCCCACAATATGGCTTAATCAGCCCCGGTCCAGGGTAGAACAAACTGGCCACAAAAGATCAAAAAGACTTATGGAGTAATTTAGGAGGCTCTTTGATCTTACAATTACTCACTGGACACAATTACTTTTATAACTAGTTGGAGCCCTTACATTATTGAAGCCTCTAAAACACTTAAAATTCTAAGATTTCAAATGCTCTAATAGTCTTTTAAATCAAAGGAATAATAAAAGCAAAAAAGCCCTCCAAAAGTATTACAACCAACATATATTAGCGCATGCTACATGAATTAACACTGGATAGAACCATAGAACATGAAGAAAATAGTTGCAGTACCTGACATCTGTTGCAGGGTTTCCTGTGTCCAAATCTATGGCTGTATATGTGCCAAGCACATAATTCAATAAGGAACTTCCTTTTATTCCTTCCCGCACACTAAAAGCCATAGTACTTGGATGAAATGCAGGTCCTTCTCTCACATCAACAACTTGAATTCTCACAGGGGTTGGGTGCATTTGGAATTGAGAAGCAACGGAGTAGTGAAAATCAGCTTGGTTTTTAACTCCGATACTAAGCTGAATGTTAGGTGCTTGTTCATAATCCAGCATCTGAAATGAAAGAAAATAAAAAACTCTGAAACAGCAAAGAACTCTCTTTCGATAAAGTAAGAAGCCATGGTAAAGCAAACCACACACTAGAATAAGGTCCAGGAGATACGCTGTTTAGATTTTGAATTGAAAAAAATTTTACTTATTACTGCATTAGGTATCTTAGATATGTTTTTCTGTTCATCTTTTAGCATAATCAGCTATGTAGATTATTTAAGGCTGTGATTTTAAATTGGAATAAAATTTTGGAGTTTTGGACTTTTTATACAAAAATGCTGAAATGAAAAACGATTATTTTCCAAATGAGGTGTTTATGAAAAAAAGCTTTAGAATAAAATAAAAACTGTTCACACTATTGAATGAATAAATAAATAGTACCCAGATTTCCTTTATAGAACTCACATCTGAGAATCTTTTGAAAGTATAATCAGCAGAATAAAGGTGCTAATATATATGATGTCACTGAACACGTAATTTTTTTTTAATGGTGTACACAACTTACAAAGAATTTATGATGATTATAGTCGCCGGGTCTGGTGGACAGGAAGACTCCTTTATGGGGCATATTCAAATAAGTAAATGCCATGCCCAGAGAAAAGTCACCTTTGAAATGGGTATTCTGGATAAAAAATAGAATCTTTTGATCCAGAATGATTGATGTGGTGACATGAAAAGTCACAATGAAAAAGTAGTTGCAAAGAAAGAATTGCTGAACAATGTCTGCTTAGAAGGGTTCTGGAAGCTAAGCATCACTTGCAATGCATTTCCAACAGCAGAAGTCAAGATATCAGCAAGGCTTGCCATCAGCAGAACTCTGTGAGGTAAATCTCTGCTTCTCAGGGAAACTCCCTGACATCATGAATGTTTCCTTAGGTTTTAGAGTTACATCTTTTTAGAAGAGCTGATAAGAAAAACATTCACAGAAATTTACTTGGGTTCTTCTTTGGAGATGGCTCAGCATGCCGTGCTTGAATTTCAGCCAAAACCCTTGAGGTTTGAGATTTTGATTCCTTTTGCACATCTGTTTACAGATCCACATAATACCTAGTCCACTGGTCCACGTAATAGACCACCCCACATGATACTTAGCACAGAACTGAATATAAATTATGTACTCAAAAATCACTTTTCAATTGGAAGAGATCTTTCTTCTACAAATCATTTTTTTATTTAATAGAATTCCATGCTATCTTCAAATAAATGAAAAATCGAGAACCTCAAGTTTTTTTTTTTTTTTTTTTTTTTGAGACAGGGTCTCATTCTGTCGCTCAGGCTGGAGTGCAGTGGCACAATCTCAGCTCATTGCAACCTCTGCCTCCTGGATTCAAGCAATTCTCCTGCCTCAGCCTCCCAAGTAGCTGGGACTATAAGCATGCGCCACCACACCGGGCTAATTTTTACATTTTTAGTAGAGACGGGGGTTTTGCCTGTTGGCCAGGCTGGTCTTGAACTCCTGACCTTGGGTGATCCACCTGCCTTGGCCTCTCAAAGAGCTGGGATTACAGGCATGAGCCCCTGTGCCCGGCCTGATAACCTCTATTCTGATAGAGAAATCTCTTGTGCTTTTCTTATGTATATACACAAATGCACTTTTGCTTGTAAGAATATTAATAGTTCTCTCCCCATTGAACAGAGTGTGATGAAAATATACCAACATGTGTCTAAAGTTGTATAATTAAAGATCTTCACATAATCTAGGAACAGGAAATTGTTCTGGGGTCAACCTTTCCTCTTGGAGGAAAGCCAAATAGAGGAAAGGCATAAAATTGTTTACTCATTCTTCGCAAGTGGGGCCCTTTAGTCAGGATTTTCTGATTGTGTCCAGAGGTCAAGGATTGTAAAGAGCAATGGAAACAATGGTTTACTCTGGAGTCTCTTCATAAAGTAAAGGGAGAGGCTGGGGAAACTCAGTCTCTGCAGTTTAAGGAACAAATGAGGAATAACCACTTAACAAGGTACACAGGCGTGTGTTAGAGTGGCTGGGGGTTTGACCTGCAGTGACCAGGAGTGAGGCTCTGGAAGGGCTCAGGATGAAGATAACACATCCAGAAATGTATTTGGCTTCTGGCAGGCTTTTGGCTGCTGTAAATTGTAGTATAGAAGCTACGCTTAGATTCTCACATCCAATTTTTTTGTTCTAATTTAATATGACACTGCTAATTCTAGTGGGGACACTGATTCATTTTAGAATTAAGTATGAAAAAGGGAGAAAGTTAGAAGTCTCCATCCAAAAGAGAATGTGATAGCAGTTTTTCAACAGCAGGGGACTGGGGAAATGGTCAAATATCTGCCTGAGTGTGTATGTTCTGTTTCCAGGAAGGCTCATTTCCTGGTACAAATGTGTCTGGAAGAGAGAAGCAGGGCACACACAGCTGGGAAGGAGTTTATAGTGGTACACAGACTTGGAAGAAAAGTCTCGGCATGCTAGTTCTTTCCTAAAATCGGTTTTACTGGCCCCCAATTACGCAGTGAGACACGAAGGTGGCAGTTAAATATGACTTTGGGACCAGAAAGTTCCAGTTGGTTCTTGTCTTTGCCATTCACCACCTGGGTAAATTGAGACTAGCTATTTGTCTTCTTCAATTTTGTTTCACTTTCTCTAAAAATGGAATTACTGGCTGGGTGCGGTGGCTCACACATGTAATCCCAGCACTGTGCGAAGCTGAGGTGGGCAGATCACTTGAGGTCAGGAGTTTGAGACCAGCCTGGCCAGCAATGGTGAAACCCCGTCTCTACTGAAAATACAAACATTAGCCGGGTGTGGTGGCGCATGCCTGTAATCCCAGCTACTCCGGAGGCTGATGCGTGAAATTGCTTGAACTTGGGAGGAGGAGTTGCAATGATCACACCACTGCACTCCAGCCTGAGTGACAGAGTGAGACTCTGTCTCAAAAAAAAAAAAAAAAAAAAAAAAAAAGCAATGACCCTATTTTCTTCCGAGAGTTGTGAGGATTAAATGAGATAATATATGTGAACCCTCTGGATACACCTTATAACAGAATAGTTGGTGTTTAGTAATTGCTTAATAAATGTTAGAATTATTATAAAAATAGAGAATCAATTTTTTTGTTAGAATTCCAATTGGGTAGCATTTTGCTTTGCTTTTTTCTCAGTGTTGAAGTCAAATATGTATATATATATACACACACACTTTTTTATTGCTTGCGTTTTCATATACACTTATCAATAAATACCAAGGAGAGGCTGTTATTGACAGAGAGACTTTCATTTTTCTGAGATCTTTCTCTTGTTAAACTGTAAATTCCTTGAGAACAGGGACCATATCTTATTTGCCTTCATGTCCTTAACACATAGCAATTCTCAATAAATCCTTATTTTTCTTCTGCCTCCCTGGTCCGCGTTCAAGTGATTTTCATGCCTCAGCCCTCCCAAGTAACTGGAATTACAGGTGACCGCCCCACACCCATCTTTCGCTAGAGACTTGGTTTCACCCCGTTGTCCAGGCTGGTCTCGAACTCCTGGACTCAAGTGACCCTCCCGCCTTGGCCTCCCAAAGTGCTGGGATTACAGGCACGAGCCACCTTAAATCCTTTGAATTGAGTCTTTGTAATTTCCTCAGACTAAGAGAAGGGTTATATAAAGCTTAGTCAAAAGTCCAGTTTCCTCAGGGTTAAGGGGTATCCCGAATGAAAATGGAGAAGGTGTAAGAGGACATTAGTAACCTCATTCCAGATGTATCTGGAATGAGAGGCTGACCACCAGCTGTTGAAAATGTCAAACATGGGAAAATTACGCTTATGTTCTCTAAAATAGTTCTTTTGGCTAGGTAGTAATACAAACATCAAGGTTTAAAATTTCATTTTAATTAGCCTTTCTCCATTACTTTGGTATTTTTAAGCACATTTTTTCTTACTCTTTTTAAGAGATTTGGAAAGTTATCATTCAGAAAAAAATAGATAGGGCTTTGTATATACAGCATCCAAATTACCTTGACAAATTTTTCATGAAATTGATATTTCAATAGCTTTTTTTTTTTTTTAGCAATTAAGTATATCTTTAAAAAAGTTGTTATCACAGAAGGCACATTACATAAGTCAGATAGTACATTGCCTGCATTGTTAATTTTTTTCATATTTATAATTGTATGCAGAAGTTACGAATGATGCAATCAAGTCCAGTGACTTCTGTTTGGATGATATCTATGCCATTAGTTTCAGGTAAATAGTATCATCAATACTATTCTCAAATTTTGTGAGTCTCTACTATCTTTTGGACACTGGACCAGGTGCTGGGGGTAGAAAGATATTTAGATCAGGTTCTTTATGCACAAAATTCTTCTATTATTTTAGTAGGTTGGGAGACAGAACAAAAGCAAAGAGCAGTTACATATTATGAGATAATATACAAAGTTAGTCACTAAGATGATAAGAACATAGGTAAGAATTGCATGTTATGTCTAGCTCTTGATTTTTAACCAGGATGCAAGGTTTAACAAATTCTGATCCCTGGAAGAAAAACTTGACTAAATATTCAGAATTTGATATGGTGGGAGGTGACCTCTTGTTCCTCTATTCCTCTTTGTATTGTATTTGGCAATGTCTCCTATACCCATTCCTTTTTTTTTTTTTTTCCATTTTTACTGCCATTGCCTTAGATCAGATGCTTAGTACCTCAGAACTTAATTAATATCATAATAATTTTTATAACTGTGGTCTTTTCAGAGTTGAACTCATGTTGTTAAGTTTCACTTTTGTTGCCGAGGCTGGAGTGCAATGGCACAATCTCAGCTCACTGCAACCTCCGCCTCCCGGGTTCAAGCGATTCTCCTGCCTCAGCCTCCCGAGTAGTTGGGATTACAGACATGTGTCACCACACCTGGCTAATTTTGTATTTTTAGTAGAGATGGGGTTTCTCCATGTTGGTCAGGCTGGTCTCAAACTCCCGACTTCAGGTGATCTGCCCGCCTTGGCCTCCCAAAGTGCTGGGATTACAGACGTGAGCCACTTTGCCAGGCCGGTGTTATTGTTATTTTAGAAAATATCCCAAAGCTTTCCTTGGTCTATAAGTAGGAATTGAAAAACTTTTGGTTAAGGGCCAGATAGTAAATGTTCTAGGTTTTAGGGGTCATATCATACAGAGTTTCTATCTCAAGTATTCATATCAGCAACTTGAGTGTGGAAACAGCCACAGAAAATACGTAAATGAATGTATGTGGTTGTATTCCAATAAAACTATTTATGAAACAGGGGACAGGTGAGGACCTCTGGATCATAGTTTGCTGACCTCTGGCCCAAAGCAATGTTTTCCAAACAGAAAGTCCATGATATACTCTTTGAGTCCTTGTGTTCACTTAAGAAATTATAAAATTGTGTGTATTCATTTGGATGACAATCTTATATATAAATATTTTTCATAATTTTGGTGGCCAGCTCTTAAGTTAATATACCATATGATTTCAGTGTGTATGGTTGTGCTTTGGTGGTAAAGTAGTAATACTAAAATTGCTCAGATACTTGAGAAAGAAAAGCGAAAGACCCAATGAATAAACGATATGTTTGCTTCCAGAAGGCTAAATGGCTTCCTAATATGCTATCTGAAAAAACTTCACAGTAACTTGATGATATGGTTTGGATGTCTGTCACCCACAAATCTCATCTTTAAATGTGATTCCCAAAGTTGGAGGTGGGGCCTGGTGAGGGGTGATCGGGCAGATCCCTCACGAATGGTTTACCACCATAGCCTTGGTGATAAATGAGTTTTTGCGAGATCTGGTTGTTTACAGGAGTCTAGGACCTCCCCCTTCTCTCTTCTGCTACTGCCCTTGTCATGTGATGCACTGGCTCCCCCTTTGCCTTCCACAATGATTGTAAGATTCCTGAGGCCCTCACTGGAAGGACATGTTGGCACTTTGCTTCCTGTATGGCCTGCAAAATGGTGATTCAACTGAACCTCTTTTCTTTATAAATTACCCAGTCTCAGCTATTACTTTATGGTAACACAAAAAGAGCCTTATGTGCTTGAATAGAGAAAAATAGTAACAGAACTGAATAATCACACTGTAAATTCCACAATCACACTGTGTAGTAAGCTAAAAATATGTGTGTACATATATGTCTTAATATATATTTTCCTGGCTATAAGTGTTGTTTATGTTGTTAGCAGCAATTTCCTTTGTTAAAAAATAACAATTTCCCTCATTACAGTAATGTTAATCTGAATCTTATTGGTTTGTGGTTTTATTCGTTTCTAATTATAAATTTTTCAGTTTTATCATTGTCTGTGAATTAAAAGCAAGTAATTAAAGAAAAATTAATCTATAGAAAAAAATCAAAGCCGGTATTTCAGTATGCAAGGTTCTCAGCAGATCGATTTCAGCTTCACTTCTCTGATCTGACTTCTGATTACTTCCCTACTTGATGCCCCACTACAGCCCCACGGGGTTGCTCACCATGCCCTGAACTTGCTTCATGTTTTCTCACTCTGTGTTTGTTTATTTTATTACCCACATTAGCAATCTTAGCTATAACATCTTGCTTAAGCCTTATTTCCTGCATGAAATCTTTTCAGACAAATCTAGCTCAGAAGGATCTCACCATTTCTTATCTCTTTCATTATTTCATATTCCACTCCCTTGGCAATTAATTATGTTTTATATCATGACATCTGTATTATTTATTGCACTGTGAACTCCCATATATCTTCTAATTTGGGGTTGCTTACCTTATCTTCACAACTAGATATTGGACACTGTCAGAACAAAACAGTCTTCATATTTTTCTTGGTAATAAGTTTTGTGTTGCTAGCTAGGAGACTCAGACTGACATAGCAGTTACTTAGGACCCTTGATATAAACAATATTCAAAGTTATGAAGTACTTTTTTTTAAAGGCAGATTCTGTCTCTAAGGTCATTTAAAACTTCTTTGGAATAAAATATTTTGGAAGAAAATATTGCAGATCCTTATACTGTACCTTGACAACTTTCAAAATGCCTTCATTGGTTTGTGGATCTGTTTGAATATCGAACCAATTCCCATCATTTCCAGAGAGAATTAAATATTGAGCCAACCAGTTATCAGTGCCTTCTTCATCAAGATCAATTGCTTGTAATCGTATCAGTTCCGAACTTAAACAATTCTCTTCAATACTGGCTGAGTACTAAAATGCAAGGATCAATTTTGTAGTCAATGAATTTTCAAAAGAAGAAACGTACTTAAAACACATTATTATTATTTAAAATACTAACAACAAACTATGTCGATGATTTTTGCACCATTATTAAATGCCCATAGTCCAATCAGGAGAATAAGAATAAAATGATTATAAGATAATAAAACTGACATTCATGTGCTGTATGTAAAATCAAGGTCAAATTAGCACTTTGTTCCTTTCTCTTTTATTTATTTATTTATTTTTGCTTATTGTTAATTTTCTTTATTTATTCTTTTCTTTTAGATAGAGGACCAGATTTTTTTCTGTAAAGGGCTGAATAGTAAATATATTAGATATTGTGGGCCAGAGAATTGGTGTTGCAACCCCTCACGTCTGCTGTTGCAGCACAAAGCCCCCATAGACAATATGTAAAGGCATGAGGACAGCTATGCTCTCCAATAACACGTTTTTTGTTTTGTTTTTTTGTTTTTTTTTTTAAACCGAAACAGACAGCAAGCCAGATTTGGCCCTGCTAGTGTGGATTTTATGCTTCTTTATGCTTAGAGATGAAAATGGAAGTTGAGACTGTCTGGGACTCTAGTAGAATTCATTCAGCAAATCATGAGGCATATACAAAAACATTAATGTTGCTATGTTATTCCCAGAGTTAGATCAACAGATTTCTGTGTTTCTGTGAATAGAGTATACAGAATAGATAGTTCGTTGCTTTCACAGAGAAGGCTTGTTTGGAGTAGTGAGTCAAAGACAAACATACAATTTGAAGGTATATTAGTATACATAAGAAATTCCAAAGTTTCTATAACAAAGTTGAGTATGTCCACACATAGGACAGAACCAGGCTCATGAGCCAGCATGATTGATTATTGACACTTATGCAAATTGATTATTGACACTTATGGAAAAAGGAAGATAAGAATACAAACTTACTGAAGTTTTCTCTAAGGTGGGGAAATTATCGTTGACGTCTAAAACCTTGATTCTACAGTCACACTCAGAAGACAGTCCATCTGCAGCTCCATCCCGATCTGAGCCTCTCACAACCAGGTTGTACATACTGTGTTGCTTAATCAAGATGAAAAAGAACGTAAGACTTAGGTTTTGTCTTGAATAGAATCCAATGCATTCAATGCCATTATTTCTCTACTCTTTTATTTACATATCCAATGAAATTTATATAATTGAGCTTTTAATTTTTATTAAAAATGGATTATTTTTCTTCCCTCCTTTATATTGGAGTAAGGGTACACATGGATCATTTTATCTTTGTCTTTTCAAAATTGAATTTTTTAGTTCTTGTTCATTCACAGAAGGCTTTACCTCTCTGTCCAAGAAACTGGACATGGTGCAGACTTCTCCAGTGTACCTATTCAGAATGAACATGGGTGCACCTGATGGCTCCTGAGAGACGATCTTGTAGGCAATTTTAGAATTCAGATGATTTTCTTCATCTGCATCTGTGGCACATAACTTTACTACCAATGTATCTAGAAATAGAAATGGAGGTGGAGAATGGTTGGGACTCTTAGAATAAATTCAGCAAATCATTAGGCATAAGAAGACAGAGTGGTTGGCCTTCTCCTGAATTCTCTCTGTTTGAGTTTTCCATGGGAATATAGTACCATAACTTTCAGCTCTACCAGTGATTAAAAAAAATGTGGTTTGCTTTATAAAACCCTTTACTGTTTTAAAAGTACTTGCACTCCTTAAATGATTAAATACTAAATTAGTGGCTAAACATAGTTCTCTTTAAAGTACGAAAAAGAAGTTCAATAGATTCTTTATCATATAGCTGAATAAACAGATTTTTATCTGTTTTATTTTTTGCCATGGTCTTGTGAAATCATTTAAAAATGCTTAATTAAGGAAAATTATAGTTTAATTAAATGCAACATTATAATTATGTATTGAACACCTATATTCTTAATTGCCACTTTTCCAGAAAGCAGATAATTACTCTTGGTTGCATTGGAAGATAGCATTTTACCAAACAGTCACAAATTTATAATTATTGAAAAGAAGACTTGTCCATAGCAATATAAGAAGTTCCTAATTACTCATAGGTAGAAAGAACAGGTATCTTAGGCAAATCCCCAAGGATGTCAATCTACAGGACAGACTTTTCAGAATTGTCAGGTCCCTGATGTTCTTTTGCTTCCTAGGCAGGGAGACTTGGTTGTGGGTTTCACCTTCTCTTCCTTCACCAGTGTTGTTTTGAGGTGTGTTGATGAGGAAGCAAAGATGGACTTCGGAGTCTCTCTTTGTGTTGGCTCTCCTAGGCAAAATCTCTTTGCCTCTCTATGGGAGGACTATCCTAGTTCAAAAAAAAATTTTGTGTTTATCTGCCTTTTTTCCTGAAATTTATTTTTCCTATTATTTCCCCCCAAATTTGTTTAGAGGTATATGGGCAGACATAGATTTGAAAGGGAAAGGGACAACAGGGGTTTGGGGAACAAACTGATATTCATGTGCTGTATGTAAAATCAAGGTCAGAAGGCAAAGGGAGAGGAGAGATAGGAAAGTAGCCATATAAGAAAAGCATAAGAGTAGGAAGGAAAGAAGTTCAGGAGAATTAATATAAAGGAAAGACAGAGGGTATTAGAACTGGAAATGGAATTAAGTGGAATGGAAAGAAATGAAAGAAAATGAGAGAATAGAATGTAGTTTGCTATGTAGTCTGTGAAGATCAATGATTACCCTTAGTGATTGATCTGATGGGTACAATTGCGTGTGCTTCCACCATCACGCTCTACCTGGTGTGGGTCAGCCAAACATTTTGAGTAAGAGACCAGAACAGAGCCTTCTTAAACATTCCTGGTTTATTCCTCAGTTTGCTCGCTTGGATTTAGTTCTTCATGAGCCCAGTAGCAATCTTTAAGCAAGGTGCTAAGCACCTGCTAAATCCCTGTAGGGACCTTCCGCAAGTAAGAAGATATTTTATTTTATCATTTTAGACATGATTTCTTTTTCTAGCTCAGTTATAAATTAAAATATGTGGGGTTTATTCAAAATACAAGTGTGGCTTTTTCTGTCCTTTACATTTCCTGTATGTCAGTCCTCTAAAGCTTTTGACCAAGAGAAGTAGATATGCTGTGACGTAGAGAAGGAATGTCATTCTACTTACTGGCATCACTATTTTCTTCAATGCTGGCTGTGTATACACTTTGCGAAAAGACTGGAGCGTTATCATTTATGTCCATAACTTTGACTCTAAGCTCAAGAGGCCTTTCTAAATCTTCACCCCGTGAATTCAGAGCCCGGCAATAGATCTGTGGAAAATTGGAAAAAAGCCATCTTTTTCCACCAAAGGAATTTTAGTAACATGCTTGAAAATATATCAGAAAATAGGCAAAGAAACAATTTTTTCCAGTGAATTCAGACTGTAGTACAGTCAAATAATTTAAATATGATCAGGACACTTGACTACATGTACATGCAACATACCAGAGAATCCTGAACTATAAACTTTTATTTTCACACTCTTTCCATTCCTTCAAGTCTTCTATTTGGGTTCAGTCTGCCATGTTTTATCAAAAGTAATCCATTATCTTAAGATAATATTTTTTGAAAAAGGGAAGAAAACTAATATGAACAAATCAAAACATATGGCTATGACTTACCAAGAAAAGTGGAGTTATTTCTCTGTCTACCACTGAAGTGATGTTAATTTCCCCAGTGCGAGGATTAATGGTGAATACCCCATATGGTGGTCGATCAATCCCTACTCCAGAAATCCGGTATGTTATCTTCTGGTTCGATTCGCAGTCTGATCGAATCTATAAGAAAAATAGCTAGGATTGTGATCCAGTTTAGAGCAGATAATGCTTAAGAGTGTAGTGGAATAAGAAGGGAGTGGGTTTCTTTACCAAATGGGCTTTGGATTGAAACCTGACACCATGACTTAGTCCTGTGTGACCCTGGAAAATTTACTTAACTTTGCCCAGATCAGCTTACAGTGGGGATAATATCACACAGATTTGTTGTGGGAATTACATGAGGTAATGTGTATAACATACACACTTGGTGCTAGGTTTGTTGTTAATAACACATTGTTCAATTCTCTGATTTTTTAGCATACGCAGAAATAGCTTCACAAAAGAAATTACAACATTTACTATTTTTTAAAAATAACTTGTGTCATATTAATAAGTATCCTACCTAAGCTGGAGTCTGAGATTTAGTCAAAATGGTAGATAAGTTGAGAATATCAGAAAACTATAATGGTTAGAGATATTTGTAATAATTTTATAAATGTAAACATACTGCATCACTTTTCTGCCAAATAGATTTTATGGCAAATATTCTGCCACACAGATTTTGCTTTAGTAGCTTTATTACCTATTGCTGATAAATTTAAACTGAAACAATTTTGAAATCTCACCTATATACTAACGATAAGAGCATTCAGTAAAATAGTAAGATTTTTTACCCACACATTCACAGTCAAATAAAGACTGCTGGAAATAGAACTTTGGTTAGCTTAACTCTAATCCAAAGGCCCTTTTTACATAGAAGAAAACTCAAGAACCTCCCAAAATGCAGAGAAAAAGAAAAGAATATGCAATATAAGTGGAATAACATAAAGCAATTACTGAGTTGAATGGAAATAATAATTTAAAAGCGTCCCTCCAATTTGAAAACATCTGAGAGAGAATACATCTGTTTTCTTGAGCTGAGGTTGTATCTGTAACACCACTGCTGATGCTTACTATGTTTTTAATATAAAGCTGGAAGGAGGGAATTCTGCAGATCACTTTACTGTTCAGGATCAAGATGTCCAGAAAGAGTGAATGAAGCTATTAATGTGGATCCCATCCTTCCTGGATCAATTTATTACACATTCTTTAACTCTCCTTCCTTTTCAGTAGGCATTATTTGTGAAAGTCTTATAAGACTCTCTTATTTTCTGGATGTAGAGATCTGGTGGGAACTTTTGATACTATCCTTACTTTCCTGGAGTTAATTCATCTAGTGCAGTAAACTTGGCTTGACTTTCTGGAGGGCCAGGCTTCAGACTGTCACTATGTGAATACGTTTCCTATGACATTGACAGGCAATAATGAGCAGTACACAAATGGATGAACAAAGCCCAGTTGTGCTGGAGATCCAGCCCTTTCTTCTAGAATCACTTGCCATTGACTGCCTGCCCCACGTCAGCCTCCCTGCACATGATATTCAAATCAGTGGCTCAGCAACTGGAGCAAATGACCACATTCTGTCTTCTTAAATAACTGTGGAGCAGTGAAGCCTGCAAATCTTGGAGATATTTGAAAGCTTCCCTGCTCTGCAAAAGCATTTGTCATCAGATTGCTTCATCACTTACTTTGGCAATGGGGTTCCTCTTCGAGTTGTCCTCTCCTTCTCGACAGGCTGCGGCAAACTTGATCCACTCCCGCTTTTGTCTTCTGACTGTTTGCCATTTTGTAGTGCCATTTTCAATGTCAAATTCCTTCACCTTAAGCAAAAATGGTTCAGGTGTCTTACAGTGTGAGAACAATTTTACTTAGAAAGGACATTTATTTAATATTGTAAGGTGCATTTAGAAGAAACAGTGATATTGAATTTGAAGAACAGAGAATGTTTTCACCAATTCACAACTCTGGATAGATAGATAGCTTGGTTACCCCTGGCTGCCACTTCTTTTGGAATCATCTTGGTTCCAATTATTTGATTCTAGTGAAACAAATTTAATTAGCTACTTGAGGAGCTCATGATGTGCCATACTGTATAAGTTGTGCAGTTTTCCTTTTCTCAATCTATCTTCACCATATAGGAGCCTTGCCTATCTCACCCTTCATTGAGCTTTCACCAGAATTTACAGACTGCAGAGTTTAAAGATTATCATTGTTCCATGTATGCACATCCCATATAACATAAAAGTTGTGCTGGTGAGTCGTGCTCACCTAAAAGAGAGAAGAGCATTTTTCTCTTCTGTTGATAAGGACACCACTGTGGCTAAGCACCCAAGTATATTTTTGCAGAATTAGAAACATATTATTAATATTGGAGGAATTGATGATTCCTCCAATAATCCCATGGACACCTATAAGGCTTTGCAATGCTGTCATTTGTATCTGTGCTTGCTATATGGTTTTTCTTTCGTAGCCTTAAGTTGCTGCTATTGATGTATACTTAAGAATTTCATACTATTAATGAGATTAGAAATGTCACTACATGTGCAAGCCTATTTGTATACATGCATAAACTATATATATGCACGTATTTATTTTTGTAAGTCCTAATGTACCCCCTGAAACACAGGTGATTATAAGTTTACTTAGGCTAAGCTTCATTTAATTACCACTTTGGGGGAAGGAGGTGTTCCACTGAATGAAGCATATATTACAACCAGAGTATTTACATTATTTCTCCATTTTGATACGACTTACTGAAATGTACCACCTATTCCCTATTTCACCAAAAAGATGAGAAAACTTTATTTTTTCCAATGATTTGAGGGGATCATAAGGAAAATTTAACTATTATAATAAAATAAAGCTCTGCCAGAGATAGAGGACAGCAGCTCTATTTCCTGAGTTCTACTCTAAATGGCACTAGATTATATGTTTTCCATTTAGTTGGGATTATACAATTTGAATGTTTGTCCTTTTTCTCATTGATGAACCATTAATTGTCTTTCTGTCTAATGTGTCTAAACAGTCTCTTCCCACTCTAAAGTGTCACTTTGCTGCTTTTGCTTTGCTGTGGATTGGAAAACATAAATAAACTACTCATATAGTTTGATAAACAGGAGTTACTAAGACACTAAGCTGTTGCAAACACATGCCCTAAATGCATAGAGATTTGGGAGCATGGATTTTACCATCGCTATTTCAGTTCACTAGTTCTTTCTCTTAACTTTTACCTGGATAATTACAATTTCAAATATTCTGATTTTTATATATAATACATTACAAAATTCAGTTTTTGTTTTAATTTTAAATTGAGAAAATAATTTTATTTTACATTACCTCAACAATAAATTCACTGTTTACTTCCATCACCACCTGTTTTGATAGAAGATACCACATTAGCATAAATTTGCATAATTTAGAGGAAGCCATGTCATAAAAACATTGACAATATTCTTTTATTAATTCATTTTTAAATATACATTTTGTTGATGATGTGAAATAAACATGGCTAACACAAATGAATAATAGACTTTTTGCCCTCCAAAGTATTTACATTTTAGAGAAGACAAACACATAAGTCTACAGCAGGTTGGGATACCTCAGTGGGCTCAATGGAGGATAGAGAAGGAAACTCAAGTTATCCAAGTGAATTTCAAGAGGACTTCCTAGGAGAGTAGGGATTTGAAAGGGCTCTGCAGAATGAAGCTAGTTTGATAAGAGGAATTGATGAGGAAGAGCATTTCACCCAGGGTGAAACAAGAACACAGTTGTAAAGGCTCTAAGTCAGCGGATGTTCCAGAAACGGTCAATAATATTTTTGCTGGAAGGTAAGGGAACGTATGAGGAGCTGTGGGAGATGCAAGAATCTACATGCTGTTGCCCTGATGCTCAGTTTCATCCATTAGAAAAATAGATGAATAAGTTCTTTGTCAGTTGGAATTTATTTTACTCCTATTACTCCTTGAACTCTTATACCACATTTCTATTGATGAATTATCCCTTCCATAGGTTCATCCTACTGGAATATATTTTCAAGCTTCACACATATTTTAATGTATTTTAAGGTTTTTATTGAGCAGCCTAGCATACTTGTCTGTAATGAAATATACATATGAATAGAAATTTTATTTTATTGGAATTTCTATCATTGTGAAGCTCTAAGTGTAAACAAACATTTTTCTCTGAATTAGATTAGTTTTACAATTATACTTAGCATCACAATTGAGCAAACAAAATGCAAATATTGAAATTTCAATGCAATATAATTAAATATGAAAAGTAAAACTTTATTGGAAATGCATTGAAAACACAGGGATGAAATTTTAAAAAAATTAGTTCTTAAATAAATATTACTTATTATTAGAATTAAACAAGCTTCAGAACCAATTCTGTTTTGTCTGGTTTTGTCTTTCAGTTGTAAGTACTGGGAAAACTTGTTCATATTAATAGATGACATTGGAATTTTTTTTCTGGTAGCAGAGTCATTAAATTCTTAAAACTTATTCTGAATTACATGACCTAAATCTATAAGGCAATTTATCATCAAAATGATTTTTAATGATGTATAAGTTGACAACTCCTTTAGGTCCTCTTTTAATTTTGTTGAAAACAAATAATTGAAAAGCAGGACTTGCAAAAGGATTTGTTAAGTGCCTTGAAATTAACTCTCTTTCTCAATATTGACGTCAATATTTTCCATTATTCCTTAGTTTAGTGCCCCAGATAATTTCACAATCTATTAGAGTGCAACAGAATAACGTTTGCCATGGCTGAAAGGTGTGACTTTTTAAGGGGGATTTGGGAGAGAAGAACCAGCTTGATACCTCAAGTTCAGGTGCACGCTGAGGTAGATTGACTTGAGGAAAGACCAGAAGCTGGGGATCTGGAAAATGATTCCTTTAAAACTCTAGTTTTAAAACTCTAGTATTTTAAACTTGAGTTTTAAAGGAATATGCTAGAATAAAACTAGAGTTTTAAAACTAGATAAAAAACTCTAGTTTTAAACTAGAGTTTTAAAGGAATATACTAGAATAAAGCTAGAGTTTTAAAACTAGAGTTTTAAAGGAATATGTATTCAGCAAAATACGTGTCCCAATTTGAAGACTCTTATAGGAACAATTAAGCCGATATCAAGTGTACATTTGGAAGTCATTGATTTACAGTCCATAGTGGATATGTAGCCTTAAATTATAATTTGGCTTTATAAAAACAATGTGATTTATCACAAATTTCTTGAGACAGGCAGGCACAAGAACTGAGTAGTGTGGCTTTGGACAAATCCCCTGGCTTCTTCCTGTTTCAGACTCTGATCCAAATAGAATGACCAAGGTGGAAGTGATAGGCACAGCAAATGCTCAGTACATTTGTAAAGACGAAGGAAGAAAGAAAGAAGCGTTTTCTTCTGTGCTTTCAAGGGCGCATTCATAGTGCCCCGTGGCATCTAAAAGTACTAGCCAATCATTTTTAAGGACTTGAAAGTAGCCACATCAAGCAGACTTGTCTGTAGTTTAAACGGATGAGGAGTTTTGAGTTCATTTTACCTTGGTCTTATCCTTTCTACAGAGCCCAGCTCAACTGAAGTAACTCTGAGAATGTTTGAGTATAAGCCCCTTTTCATCCTTTTGCTGTCCCTGAATTTTTTATTTTTCATTATTTTCAGGCCAGGGAAGTGGAATACTAGGACCCAGGGTTTTCATCTAGCAGAACCTATGCTGTGCTGATGGAGGCTTCCATAGTATATTTGTGGTATTTCTGCTCCCTGCTCAGCTGGCTCTAAGGATGAGGGTAACAGAAGCCAAACCCTCCAAATCCTGTCACTTTATGTACAGGTCTCCCGGAAGGAACTTGCCAGGTATTACTCCCAGGCCCTATGAAATCATAAGCCCCATCAGGAGCCCTCACTTTCTAGGAAACACCTGTTAATGAGTGTTTTGGAAGAAGCATGGAATGACATCAGCCTCCTAAAGTGCACAACATAACTGTATGAACCTCAGTTAGACCGTGAAAAGTAGTCATGGACTCCTAGGTAATGGTGGAAATTCCTTGCCTACAAAAGCCTTTTTAAAAATTTTTCTTTTTTAAGACTAGTCAAGTGCAGTAGTGAGACAGGGGGGAAAGAATAGAACAAGGAGCTTGACCTGCAAGTGGCTGTGAGCAATCAGTTGAGATAACTCACTACCTTTGGACCAGCCCAAAAGTCACATTTTCAGAGCAATATGTGGGCCAAGCATCATCCACTGATGTGGCTTGACCTGAGGCCCCGAGTAAAAGACACACACACAGAATAGAAATGGCTGAGCCAGTTATCACGATGGTAGAGTACTAGAAAAGGGAGTTGGAGGCATGTGCTGTTGAGGGAGCAAACATAACCTGGAGAGATGTGTGGTATCCTAAATGTATTACAGTCTCTGTGGGCCTGGTTGATGACGGTTCCCTGTCTGCCTTTATTTTTGGATGTCCTTTTGATAGGTTGCATTAATGGCAAAAACTTGAACAGGACTTTTACTGGAAATATAAAAATGCTTAAGATACTACTATTTGGCTGGGCGTGGTGGCTTATGCCTGTAATCCCAGCACTTTGGGAGGCTGATGTGGGCAGATCACGAGGTTAGGAGTTTGAGACCAGCCTAGCCAACATAGTGAAACCCCATCTCTACTAAAAATACAAAAAAAAAAAAAAATTAGCTGGGCGTGGTGGCGGGTGCCTGTAATCCCAAGCTACCAGTGAGGCTGAGGCAGGAGAATTGCCTGAACCTGGGAGGGGGACGTTGCAGTGAGCTGAGATCGCACCATTGCACTCCAGCCTGGGCAACATTGCAAGACTCCAACTCAAAAAAGAAAAAAAAGGAAACTAAAATTTATGTCTCTGCTAATTTCTGAGAAAGAAATGAAGAGTAAGACACAGGCCTAGAAAGAGTGACATGTTAAAACAGGAGGGAAGCAGGAAAATAAAAAAAGATATTGGGATGAATTAGGCAATGTAAAGGAAGAATGTATAGGGTTGGTCATTGGTCCAAAGGGAGAAGGGAGTCAATGCTGGCAGAGTTGAAGAGTTTTAGGTTCACATCCTGACTGTCCCAGTTGTGAGCTGTCTGACTAATTTATCCCATGAACATTTTTTTTTTTAATTTGCAAAATTTACCTTTCGAGACTTTTGTAATCTCTTCAAATGGTTTTGTTAACTGTGAAATGTTTTGTTAGTGTCAGGTGTTGGAATGGCAATGTAGTGGCTGGCAGCTTCAGAGAACCAATACCTCGTCTCAATATGAAACACTCCAGCTCTTTTTAAAGCTCACTGACCATGTTAAAGTTGCTCATCAACATGTGGGTGGGAAATATATGATTAAGTGACTTGGTAAGAAAGATAAGTTAGAAACTAAATCCATTCATTCATTGAAACATTTTCATTGACAAAGCATGTGACAGACACTGTTCTCTATGTGCAAGACAAGTTTCGACCTGTAATAATGTATGTATTCCAGAGAGGAATAACAGGATACACCACACTCTATTGTCATCTAACTTTTAGAAAACTGTAGAAATTTTTCTGGGTCTTGTTTTCTCTTTTAATCCTTACTTCTAGAGAGAACATGATGATTTTATATAAGATATGTAGACTCTAAGCATATAATATATGCTTCTTGCAATACTGGAATAGATATTATTCTCTTACATTCTGAGTGTATTTAAAGTAGTAGCTACAGAACAAGGCTACTGTTTCATCTCTATGACTTACCCTTTTGAAGTAAGTAGTCAGTTTGGAAGTCATCCGCATATGTAGGACCAACTTATTAATAAGCAGTTCTTTCCTGAATAACGCTTATAATAATAATTGAGTAAAGCAGTTACTATCCCACCAGGTCTATGGTAGAGTTGCCAAGTTCAAGCCTAATTATACCACTTTTGCTTATAATGGAAGGTGTATCAATAATGGCATCTTAGTTTGTAAGCCATGTAATTTTCTGCGTAGAAAAGAAGGGCAAACATTTCTCATGCAAGTTATGTCTGAAGGTTTCCCTCCAGGCACTGTTGTCACACACCCTGTAGTCAGAGCTGCTTTCCATGAGTGAGGAATTCCAACTGTGCTCCCACTTGGGGAAGGGAAGGAAACATTACTGCAGCTTAAACAACGGTTTCATTGCTCTATACGGAACTCCTTCCTGGATACTTAAGAACTAGAAAAGAGTCAGACTACGTACTCAGGATCCAGAAGCTCTGTCCCCAACAAAAAAAGTATCTTTCAAAAAGGAAAAGGGTCATAGAATCCCAAGGGCCATGAAATCTTTTTAGGGCAGGATTTTTATCCTACAAGTCAATAGGTAGATATTCTTGAGAAAACTATACTAAGTTATAGGTCATGGTAATACTAGATATCTCTTGGGATATAAAGCTTTTTTTATATGAGGTTCTCCCCATGGACTCTGCAGGAATTTGAAGGCAAAAAATATAAACTTATCCACTGATTTAAAATACATTTAGTAATTCCTTAGCCACTTATATCAACAAAACAATCATAGAGGTGAGATTTGCTTCGATGTAACCTTTGCGGTGATGAGTACATTCTTTCTGTAATAAGCAGTACTGAAACCAATCATTTAAAGCAATCTAGGGTATTCTGTTTAGTACAAATATCAAGCCAAATAGGATAAGGTGTTTTTCTCTCTGTCATATTTCTGGAAATCTGCCTGACAAGTAAATAGAAACAAATTTCTGTTCCATGTTTCAGAATAACATATTTGAGTGCATGTGAGAACTAAATTGATAAGTGGCTAAGTTAATTTTAAATATGTTTTCAAATTTTGATGCCTGCTCTCAACTTGCAATGAGATAACAGCTATATTTAGCCACCTACCTTTTTAACTTCCAAGAATTAGACTATTTAATGGAAGTGCTTACATCTTATATGTAGCATGAATGGTCATCACACATAGAGAAAAATTCTTATCTGATAAATGGTTGTCTTTTATGACCTTATCCACTTGATATAATATAGGCCTCTTCCAGCTAATAACTGTCCTGCCGTAAGTGATTCCTTCCTTATAAAATTTATACAATCCATAGAATTGCCTAAATCCTCAGATTCTCCAGCCAAATTTATGAAAACTATTTATGAGCCAGAAATGAACTTCTACTATGTAAGTATTCAGTGGAGATAATTTTAGAATTGCAGTTTCTACAGTGGAAGCAACTTAATAACATCATGTCTAACCATACATTCTCACATGAGGTCAAAGGAAGCCCTGAGAAGTTGGGTGCTTTTGCCAAAGTTACACAGCCACTTTGAAGAGGAGCTGTAATTCAAACCCGGGACTTCTGAATCTCGATTCACTGTTGAATGTCCCTCACCACCCCTGTCTGTTTTATAGAAGAACATGATAAGCATCCTTAGGAAGAAAATGCCAAATGACTCGTGATAAAATCAGTGCCCTATTGTAATCTAGAGTTTTGAGTACCTTTTGCTGGTTAGCCAGTCAGAACTTTGTTTACAGTGCTCTTTGCGGTTGAGATGTAGCTGACACAAAGTACCTGTGAGTCTCTGAGAGGCTGCCACACCCTCATTAGTGTAAGCTGCAATGATGCCCCAGAGAGTCTTTGATTTAGTTAATGAAGAAGGGGCAGAGTTCAAGTTCAGGAAATTAAAGAGAAGTAGGCATGTCTACTTTCCTATAATATCTATAACATCTCATTGATTCTCCTTAAACAATTCTTGTATTTGTTTCAATTTTGAAATATGCCAGAAGTCTCTACCTCCCAATTCCAGACACTATTAATTGATATGGTAAGGGATCTTTTAGACAAGCATAAAGAAAAAAAATACTTAAAGAACTTTTTCACAATTACCGTGAAATGTCAAACACAAAGACTTCAATATCAATGAGGAGTAGGAGGAATTAAGTATTAAAAACGCTAGTATTACCAAGGAAAATAAATAAATACTACCAAAAAAAGATCCTGAGAGTCTGAAGTATAATACTCTTTCAAGATCAAGGAGAAGAATCAACTCTTCAATTAAATAATATTATCATAAATCATGCCTGTGCAGAAGGCAATGGGAGGCAAGATTTAGTGCTCAGAAGTGGCCTCTAAAATCTTGACACATACAATTTTCCTTACAGAAAACCAAAAGTTTATCTGAGTCAAAGCATGAATATACTCGGTAGAAGAGTAACAAGAGGTATATCCTCATAACTTACTATTTCAATTGAAGACCAAGTCCGATTCTTGCCTCTTCTTTTAGTAACATTTATTTTATTTAGTAAATAAATAATGATCATTGTAACAGAATATTGCCCTTCGTCTTATGTTTTTAAGTTTAAAAATATTTTTCAAAAATGGTATTGTTTAATAATCTGTCTCCTAAACTCAGAGGATGCAATATTCTACCACTGTTGTCACGTTCCCTTTTGAGCTTGGGGTTGTGTGCCCTTTGGCAGTGTTCGGCTCCCGCACTGCTCTTGAAGTTTAGAAATGTGAATTCCAGAAGAGTAGCTCTCACTGTGCCTCTTGGACAATGACGTGCTCCCATCTCTCCCAGCCCTAGCTACTCTCTGTCTCTTACAACTGATGTTCAGAGGAGTCTGGTATAATTGCCACTTGCCTAAGAATAGGATGGGAATCACTTTCTAAGCTTAGGTTGTAGCGCTAACCTGGATACTCCTGGGAGATTGAAGTGTGGCCAACTATAATGCATTTGTCTTAATTTACTTTGAAAAATTTGTACAGTTCCTAATAATCCTGTCCTCTTACCCTCCCAGAATTGGCAATAGTTTGTTGATTGGCCAACTGGAACTTTGTTCTTCTTTGGAGTTGGAATTATCTCTTTCTAGGGTAGGATATTTGCTATGCATGCTGCCTGTCTGGAAATCATGTCACACCTTGGGCACCCAAAGGTTAGAGGAAAGAAATATAATATCCAAGATGCCATGTTTACTGTAAAGAAATAAGTCATTTAAATATTTCTTTGCTGGTCTGTAGGAATGCATTCATAATTCCAGAAAAGTTTTGTCTTGATGGCTGGGCTTCATTTTTCTTTAGCAATATCTGACTGGAAAAAGTTCTCATGACTTTAGTATGTCATCATTAGTTGCAATGTAATTTCAACATGGCTATCATTCCTCCACTTTGAAAGAAACTCATAGGGAAATAACTATTGAAAAGAAATGGGTTTGATTAACTTCCCTTCAAATTTAGAACCCATTTGCACTGGCAGTTTTCACAGCAATCTATCTGATTTATTTATATGATCATAGAATATGAATTTTATTTCCAATTTAAAATTTTAGAATAGTCCTAACACTCAAAGTGAAGTAGATTATGTCTCTGAGGGCATATAAATTTAATTCAGCCAGATTCTCACCCCGCTTCTCTATGGCATTTTGTTCCTCAAGGCGGAGAGAGTTGTTTGAAATTAACAGAGGCTGGACTTCTAGAACTCTCTTTGCAGGAAGGAGATTAAAAATGGAATAAATCCCATGTAGAAAGCCCGACAGTTGACAGAGACAAGACCTTGAGGCTGCATTTCCTTCCCACCTCTTTAAATTCTACTTACCATTAGAATGATCAAAAGGCAAATGTTTCTGAAGAAGAGCCAATCCATTCCTTTGGGTTTCTCTTGCACGCAAATCCTGTGAGATTCAATTTGAGCCCTCGTCTTCTCAGTTCCGAATTCTGCTCTACAGAAAGATATGCTTTGAGACACCCTTTTAGGAGGGCATGGGTGATAACTGTGGTGATCTCTGGGCAGAGAGATGAAGATATTCTATAATGACTGTTTCCCCACCCCAAACTCCCAGGCTGGTCTGGAAGACTGGCATTGTTTGGGCTCTGGGTAAGAATTTAGACACACCTTGATTCTTATTGCAATGAAACCCTTTGTTGGACACCAAAGAAAAACCTTACAGAGCGAGGACAAGATTTACAGGGAAGATAGCCAGTGAATAATAAATTACTCACAACATAAAAAATAATTAAAATGCTAGGGCCTATCATCATGCTGAATAAAATTAGAAGGCTTCTTCTTACTGCCAACATTGTAAAAGCAAAATTACATATACTGACAACACATACACACACATGTCCACTGCAGAACCCACTTCAAGGAATGATACTTTTAGCAGAGGCCATTGTTGAAAGTCATCAGGACTCAAGTATGGTATAGGAAGAAAGATAGAATAATGACGCTCATTTCAATTCAGTTGAGTCCTGCTTCTCTCTTTAAAATGTCTTGTGGTTGAACCGCACTCTCAATTTTAAAGATTTTCTGAAATAACAAAGTTAAGATGAAGGAACTCTGATTTAACTAGTACCAGTATGTTTGTTTCCATACTTTGGCATTTTCTTTCTTGATTATTCAGTCAAACCTCTACAATATGATATTTACAAAATCATTTTAAAGTAACTACAATACAACATTCTCACTTCTCATAGTATTACCACTGATAAAAAGTACATAATGTGGGTGAGGAACACATTTTACACCACCACAAATATTTATTAAGGAGAAACTGAAGTTGGAAACGTGAGAATTTAATGAAAAAAAGCCCAGAGTGGGATCTGGATATTTTTGAATATTATTTCCCTTTTTCGTGTCTCCCTTTTCCTTTGTTAGTATGGGTTTGAAACAGGGTATAGAGTGTCCTGATGCAAACATTGCAGGCTGGCAGCAACATCAATAAACTTAAAAGAAAATGCAGTTAACTGTTCTCTGATTGATAGATAATACATGTTGGTTGGAGAATTTCAAAGGGAGACTGCCTCCTGTCTTCACTATCCCATCACTGTAATTCAGAAACAAGGTTGACCCTGGTAATAGAATGTATTCTAAGTATTGCTTAGTTTCTTGAGAAAAGTAGTTTTAGTATTTTTGGAAGCCAGATAAAGTAATTTACTTTTGCATTATTTCATGTCATGTTGAATTAGATAATTTAATTTGCCTAAGAGAATTAATGAAACAACTCCAGGTCTTTAAGTGACATTGCTTTTTACAAGGGAAAAACAACATTCTTCTCTATTGTTGTGTTTGAAGGAGATATTTCACAAAGGTCTCTATCTTTTGTTTACACTATAGATGATTTCTTCTACATATAAGATTTTTCTTATATTTTCTTCTAAATATAAGATTTTCTATCTACTTGAATGCTATTTATAGGATGAGTTTTAAAGAAAAGAAACAGGAAGCAATAGAAATAGGTACTAGATCATTTATGTGGGTACCTCTAGCTTTCTCCATTTGAAACTCCTGATTTCAATGGTATCCAGAATTTGAATCCAGATTATAATTATGAACATATTTAAAAGATTCTTCAGTAACTAAGGAGGAACTACCTGAAGCCCCATCATTTCATTTCTGTTTACTCCTTGGAGATTTGTGGGAATGATCTTTTGCTTTAAAGTTTTTTTTGGAGACAGAGTCTTGCTCTGCTTCTCAGGCTGGAGTGCAGTAGTGGTCTGAGTGCAGCTCACGGCAACCTCTGCCTCCTGAGTTCAAGTGATCCTCCCACCTCAGCCTCTCAAGTACTTGGGTTTACAGGTGCATGTCACCACACTTGGTTAATTTTAAAAATATTTTGTAGAGACAAGGTCCTGCTATATTGTCCAGGCTGGTCTCAAACTCGTGGGCTTAAGTGATCCTCCTGCCTTGGTCTCCTAAAGTACTGAGATTACAGGTGTGAGCTACTGTTTCCCACAGGGGATGGATGATTTTACAGTGGAATTCCCAAAGACAAAACTTGGTTATGGTTCTGAGCTTGTGTAGATAAAGAGTAGCTACTTCCGTTTCTCTTGAAGAGTATCAGTCATTGTAGAAACAGAGCATAAAACATTAATGCTTAAAGATACCACAGAGATCATATAATCCAATCTCTCCTATCTTGCCTCTCTCCTACCCATGTGATAGTGATAGTCTAGGGAGGCTGTATGGTTTATTAGGGTCAAAGATAGGCAAGAGTTCCATCTCCTCATTCATAGTCAGTTTATATAAATACCAAGCCACTTTTCATTATTAGCTACGTATGTGAAGGCAAAATAGTGGATGGTTAAACACTATTAGCTTTAAAAGACTTTCCCATACTTTAGAGTTTACTGAACTGTTGGTTCTATGAGCAGAATTTTTAGCAAGTTTTTTATAGTATTTATTTTTGATGTCAAACCAGTGACATTTCATTTGCTCAGATGAAACCATACATTGGCTTTTAGGGATGCTACTGATATTTAATTATTGTACTTATGCTTCTATAATATTGTATAAAGTAGCAAGACACCTTTATTCTCCACATCACATCTGTGTAGAACACAGTGAGAGCTTTAACACCTGTACTTTTCAAATCAATGCCACAAAAGGCAAGGAATTCAATACATGCCAATACAAGTCCTCTTTGAAAAACAGAAATGTAATTTATACAGACAAAGATATTGTGGAAATGACATTAGGGCAAACTTTTCCATCAAATTATTCTAGTCTAGGGTTACTACTGGATATTATTCAAATATCCAAGGACAATTCTATTTCTTGAAAGCAAGAGTTAGGGGGAAGGAAATTTAAAAAATAATTATGGTCCTAAAGTATGGTGGTCAAATGCAGCACAAGTTGTTTCCAGAGCTGACGCAAGCAAAAGGTTTTCATCTGCCTGGGCCTGGGGAGGCGGGGACAAAAGGTAAACAAGGCTTGTCAGGGTTTTGACCTAGAGTCATTGCTGTGAACACATGTCTGTTCACCTACCACACTGAAGATAAACATCCTGTCCCCTCATTAAAGGCAACTTATGTATGGCAACAAGGGGCCGGCCAACCAGGTTATTTAGTGGGTGTTAGAAATCATAGAGATTAAACATCAGTTTCGTAAAGAGTTATGTTATTTCCATAAAGATGATGTTAGTTTACACCCTAAAATCATGCTTACATCCTGACAGAGATGCCTTGTTGATTATCTCTGTGAATTCACAGGTATAGGATGTATTCCAAATAAGTGGAGACAGAAGAGCGTGGCTTCTAGCTGTATGTTAAATAAAGCGTATTACTTACATACTTATTGCATACTTGCTACATACTTATCTAGGAAATATCATCTTAGTTTGCCTCCTGCCTCCCGATGACTACAGTGGCAACCATTCTACAGTGTGATAATTATTTAGATGTCACTCTGGTTTCTTCAGTGACACTGGCAGTGTCCCTCTTATGACAAAGTTGTATCATGTACATGGTTAACCTTTGATGCTGTTAGTTATATATCTGGCAACCTCGACTATGGAATCTGGTCAGCTCAGGATGTCTGAGGAAGAAATCCAGCAATAGGAAGGTCAAAAGGTAGGCAGTGTTTTTTGAAATATATTTCTTAGGCCATTATGTAGAAAATGCAGGTTCCCTGGCCCCAAATTTAGTGAATCAGAAGCTTTGGGGATGAGATCTAGAATTATTCATTCTTAACATACTCTTTAGGTAATTCTCGGGAGGCAGGCTGAAGTTGAAGAATTATTGAATCAGGGTAATCACGTGGCCCTATGGGTGGCCCAGGGAGAAATGGCACCAGGTAAAAAAGAACATTTTTCTTTTTTCTTTTTTTGAGACAGAGTCTCCCTCTGTCACTCAGGCTAGAGTGCAGTGGCACAATCTCAGCTCACTGCAACCTCCACCTCCTGGGTTCAAGCGATTCTGCCTCAGCCTCTTGAGTAGCTGGGATTACAGGTGCCCGCCACCACATCTGGCTAATTTTTTGTATTTTTAGTAAAGACGTGGTTTCACCATGTTGGTCAGGCTGGTCTTGAACTCCTGACTTCAAGTGATCTGCCTGCCTCTGCCTCCCAAAGTGCTGGGATTACAGGCGTGAGCCATGGCACCCAGTCAAAAACATTTTTCTAGTGTGAATAAGATTAGCATCTCTTCATGGGGTGGGCCAGGGGCCGGGGAGAGATACTGGCCATTTATATTTCTTTTTATTTGAAATATTTATTTCCTTTTTCCTGGTTTTCCACTGGGCTGCTGATGTCTTTAATACTGGTTCTTTCATGTACTTTTGTATATGAGAGAAAACAGCCTCTGTCATACGTGTCACAATTCACGTAATTTGCATTTTTTGAATTTGTTTTGATTTTTTTTTGCAATTGATAATGATTATGTTTTCGCATAGGATAGGTTTTTATAAACAATTCTGCTTTCTGTATTAGTTTGTTGTTGTAAACTACAAACTTTCTGTATTTGTTGTTGTAAGTAAGTTATCACAAACTTAGTGACTTAAAACAACACAAATTTATTATCTTACTGTTCTGGAGGTCTGAAGTCCACAGTGAATCTTGGGCAAGGTTAGTTCCTGCTAGGGGTTCTTAGGAATAGATGTATTTCCCTGCTATTTCCTGCTTGTGGAGGCTGCTTTCATTCTTTGGCTTATGTCCTCCTTCCAGCAATCACATCATCTCTGCTTCCTTCCTCATGTCTCCTTTATGTCAGCAAATGTACATGAATTCCCTAGGTTGTATCAAGGTGTGGAATTTCTGGGTCATAAGTTAACATTTTTTAACCTGCTAGAGAATACCAACTGAGCTCCCATCAGCAGTTTAAGGAGAGTTTTATTTACTCACCAACATCAATATCAAAAGCATTATTAGACTTTTAAATTTTAGCCAATTTGTAGGATGAGTATTATATCTTGTTTGCATTTCTCTGATTATTGCTGTGTTGGGCATCTTTGCATATGTCTATTGGCCATTTGCATTTTTCTTTGTTATTAGTATTAATTGTTAATATTAATATTAAATTAATGTCATTAATATTAAATATTAATATAAACATTTAATATTTGCATATTAAAGCATTTCCCCCTTTTTAAACTGCATTGTTCTCTTTGCTAAAAATAATTTTTAGTGCTCTAAGTTATGCATATCTATGTATTATTTGTTGGTTACATGCATTACAAATATTTTGAACTCATTCTGTGGTTCATCTTTTAAATTTTTTAATGAGTTCTTATCGTGACTGGAAACTCTTATTTTCAGTCCTCATTTATCAATTCTTTCTTTTATAGTTAATGCTCTTATGTCTTGTTTAAGAAAGCTTTTTATGTACCTATAATATATTGCCTTACACGTTTACATCTCTAAATTACCTGGAGATGATTTTTGTAAATGGTACAGGGTCAATTTCATCTTTGTTTTTGTATGGATACCTTAATGTCCTAGCACATTCATTGAAAACAGTGTGTTTTTTTGCACTGCTTACAATACCAGCTATAATAAGTCAAAATCTGTGCATAAAATAAATAATATACAAATAACGATAATAAAATATTAAAAATTTAAATAAAAATAAGTGTTCATAAAAGTGTGTATCTTTTTAAACTGCATACTCTTTTTTCCTTTTACTTACTTGTCTATTCTTATGTCATTGCTAATTTCATTTTAATTGCATAGTTTTGTAGTAAATCTTAATATCTGATGGAGAAAGTTCTCCCACTTTGCTCCATTCGAGTGTTTTGGCTATTCTTGGACAATTGTATTTCCTGTACATTTTAAAATCAGCTATCTATTTCACAGGTGAACTAGAATTTTGATTAGGATTGCAAAATATGTTTAAGTAAATTGGAAAGAATCAAATTTCAATTTTGGCTCAAGTATTAGAATACATAAACAGAGAACATATCTCTTTTTAAAAGTTTATTTAATACAGTTTAATTATGTTTCCCTGTCAAGGTCTCACAGAGGCATTTAAAATACTTATTGTTTGGTACTTGAGATTCCTTTGATGCTAGTATAAATGTTATATTTCTTTAATTACATTTTCTTGCAGATAGAAATACAATTGATTTCAGCCTTTTGATTTTTGTGTTCAGTAATTTTGTTAAATACATATTTAAAATTGGAATGATATATCCAAAGATTCTTTTGGAGTTTTGACTACACGATCTTTTAATCTGACAATAATGATAGTTTTCTTCTTCTTCCAGTCCCTATAACCTTTTCCTCCTACTTTTTGAACCATCAATGCCATGTTAAATGAAGCTGTGATAGTGAACATCATTGTTATTTCTTTATTTCAAAGAGAAAACTTTTAATATTCCACTATCAGGTATAATATTTGTTTCATTGATTTTATAGAAATTGTGTATAAGGTTAAGAAAATCTCCTGCTCATAATTTGCTAGGAATATTTAATCATAAGAACATGCTGGATTTTAGCAAACATGTCATATATATTGGGAAGATGATATGTTTTCTTCTCAATCTATTAATGTGTATATTACATGGATTGATTTTCTAATGTTAACCTAATCTTGCATTGTTGGTAACAAATTCAAATTTGGTCACTAGTACTTTTGGTATATTCCTGGATTCAGTCTGTGACTATTTTGTTTAGGAATTTTCCATCCATGTTCATCACAACCAAGATAAGGGACGTATCCATTTTCCCTAAAAGTTTCCCCATGCAACTTTATAATTCTTCCTTCCCACCCTACCCAGCTACCGTATTCCCAGGCAACACTAATATGTTTTCTATCACTAGAGATTAATTTACTTTTTATGAAATTATATGTTATGTTATATATTTATTAAGGTATAGTTTATTTTTTATATATGGGGCTACACAGTGTGTTCATTTTTTGCTTGACATTTGTCACTCAGCACAATTATTTTGCGATTCATACTCAGAGTTTTGTGCATCAATAGTTCATTCTTTTTTTAAATTGCTGAGTAGTATTTAACTGTATAAGTATAGTACAATTGTTTAAACTTTGTTCATCTGTTGATGAACATTTGCATTGTTATCATTTGGGACTATCTGAAATAGAGTTGCTATAAAAATTTGTGTACACATCTTTGTACAGATTTATAGACATTCATTTCTCTTGGGTAAATATCTGGGAGTAGAATGTCTGGGTCATGGTGTAGATGCATGTTTAACATTTTAAGAAACTGCCAAACTGCTTTCCAAACTTGAGGTATCATTTTGCTTTCCCACCAGCACTTGGTATGGCAGACTTTTTAATTTTAGCCCTTCTAATAAGCACATAGTGGTATCTTATTGTAATTTAAATCTGTATTTTCTTTTTTTTAAAACAACTTCAACTTTAATTTTAGATTTAGAGGGTACATGTTGTTACATGGGTACCTTGTGTGATGCTAAGGTTTGGAGTGTGATTGATTCCATCACCCAGGTCTGAGCATAGTACTCAATAGTTAGTTGTTTTTTTTTTTTTTTGGAGACGGAGTCTCGCTGTATTGCCTAGGCTGGAGTGCAGTGGCTCAATCTCGGCTCACTGCAATCTCTGCCTCCCAGGTTCAAGCGATTCTCCTGCCTCAACCTCCAGAGTAGCTGGTATTACAGATGCCCGCCACCATGCCCAGCTAATTTTTGTATTTTTGGTAGAGACAGGGTTTCACTATGTTGGCCAAGCTGGTCTTGAACTCCTGACCTTGTGATCTGCCTGCCTTGGCTCCTCAAAGTGCTGGGATTACAGGTGAGCCACCGTGCCGGGCCCAATAGTTAGTTTTTCAACCCTTGCCCTTTGCCTCCCTCCCTACTCTAGTAGTCTCAGTGTCTATTGTTGCTATCTTTATGTCTATTAGTACCAATGCTTAGCTCTCACTTGTAAGTGAGAACATGTAGTATTTGGTTTTCTGTTCCTGAATTAATTCACTTAGCATAATCGCCTCCAGCTGCATCCATATTGCGGCAAAGGACACAATTTCATTCTTTTTTAGGGCTGTGTATATTTCATGGTGTATATGTACCTCGTTTTGTTTATCCAGTCCACCATTAATGGGCACCTAGGTTGATTCTATGTTTTGCTATTGTGAGTAGTGCTGTGATGAACATACACATGCATGTATCTTTTTGGTAGAATGAGTTATTTTCTTTTGGATATATATCTAGTAACGGGATTGCTGGGTTGAATGGTAGTTCTGTTTTAAATTCTTTGAGAAATCTCTAAACTGTTTTTCACAGTGGCTGAACTAATTTACATTCCCACTAACTGTGTATAAGCTTTCCCTTCAGTCTGCAGCCTCGCCAGCATCTGTTTTTTTTTTCCTAAACTTTTTAATAATAGTCATTCCGACTGGTTTGGGGTGGTATCTCATTGTGATTTTAATTAGCATTTCTCTGATGATTAGTGATGTTGGAGAATTTATTCATGTATTTGTTGGCTGCTTATATGTCTTCTTTTAAGTAGTGTCCATTCATGTCTTTTGCCCACTTTTTAATGTGATTATTTGTTTATTGCTTGTTCAACTGTTTAAGTTCCTTACAGATTCTGAATATTAGACATCGTTGGATAAATAGTTGCAAATATTTTCTCCCATTCTGTAGGTCGCCTGTTTACTCTGTTGATAGTTCTTTTTGCTGTACAGAAGCTCTTTAGTTTAGTTAGGCCCCACTTGTCAATTTTTGTTTTTGTTGCAATTGCTTTTGAAGACTTAGCCATAAATTTTTTGCCAAGGCCAATGTCCAGGATGGTATTTCCTAGGTTTTCTTCTAGTATTCTTACAGTTTGAGGTCTTACATTTAAGTCTTTAATTCATCTTGAGTTGATTTTTGTATATGATGAAAGGTAGGGGTCCAGTTTCATTCATCTGCATATGGCTAGCCAGCTATCCCAGCATCATTTATTGAATAGAAAACCCTTTCCCCATTTGATTATTTTTATCAATTTCGTCAAAGAGCAGATGGCTGTAGGTGTGTGGCTTTATTTCTGAGTTCTCTATTCTGTTCCATTGGTCTATGTATCTATTTCTGTACCAGTACCATGCTGTTTTGGTTGCTGTAGCCTTATAGTATAGTTTAAAGTCAGGTAATGTGATGCAGCAAGCTTACTCTATATGGGCATTAATAACATTCATGAGGGCTCCACCTTCATGAGCTAATCACCTCTCAAAGGTCCCACCTCCTAATACCATCACCTTGGGGATTAGGAACCCAACATATTAACTTTGAGAGGACATGAACATTTAGGCAATAGCAACTCTGAAAGAGATCTGAAGGAAAATTAACTAGTTCTAAATGTTATTAATTTGAATACAAATTTTACTGTATTTAGTAGACATTATTTGTGTTATGTGTTTGTTTGCGGCAGAAGGGTTAATAGCCATTTTTAGGTTCTTTTTGAAGTTGGATTATTTTCTCTTTTTATTTATTATTTATTGGTTTCATAGAGCTGAGTGGAGTAAGAATGTCTTAACTCTGATATCATTTACTGCACATTCTCGATGTCTTCATTTTTATCATCTTTGTCAGTTTTTATTTTGTAGAAGTTGAAATGTACATATTTTTAGCTTATTTATTCTTAATTATGGTTCTAGTTTGTCAATAGTTATATAATTATATCCCTATTTATAGTTTAGGTAAATGTACTATGTCACTGAGGCATATTGAGACATGTACAGATTTAGATCTGCTTCAAATTCCAAAACTTCTGTTAACTTGGTTTGTTTCTGTAAGCGAGTTAATTTAGCTCTCTAAATTACAGTTTCCTTATCTATTTCCCTTCCTGGTGAATTTTAGGAGATTAAATTAGATAGTTTTATGTAAAGAAAATAACATGTAATTTATCCTCTTTGAGTGTGTTCTGTCTTTCAGAATTTCTAGCGTTTATATCTTTCACTTGTTCATTAAAACCTATAGTATGAGGTATAGATCTGACTTGATTTTTTCTATATATTAAGATCTAATTTTTAGTGATAGTTATTAAATAAAATTTTTCTTTTTTGTTTGCTACTCTGCTTTATAACACATAATTTGTGATAATTGTCTACCTGTATTTAAAATTTTATATTAATTTTTAATTTTTATTTTGGTTTTAATGACTATTAAATATATTATTCATCTTAAAAATAGAATTCATTATCCTCACTTCACAAACCATAATGTTGTAAAAGGAAGGCTTTTAGGCTTTTGATAAAAGTGTTGGTTAAAGAAGACCAGCCAGAAGGCTTCCAGGATTTTTCTAAGGAGGACTGAGCTCCATTACTAATGAAGCCTATTAATTATGTCACTTGTCTTGAGTTTCCCCACTGCAAGGCTTATATTCCAGTTTTCCAGTCTCATGTTTATTTTTGTCTTTATACTGAAATCAGATTAGTTTTCTTGGTGATGAATTCTCAGTAGCCAAGTTTATATAAGATGATGTATAAGGCAAAATATTAATTTATCAATTTGCAGTGAGTAATAGCTCTTTTCATGGGCAATAACTTTGAAGTTCATATGCTCTCTGCAAAGAATGCCCTCTGCTTGCCATAGCAATCAAGGTAGCAGTCCAAAAATTATTCACTGGTCATGAACGGAGAGCAAAGATGAGTAGATATTTTGACATACCCTTCACCTAAGCTGTAGGAATATTTGATAAAATATTCTTTCTCCATGAGATAGAAAAATCACATTTATTCTCCCAGAGAACAACACTTGTTCTTGAGTTTAGCAGGTTCAGAATCTTTCCATGTGTTTGATTTCATCTATCAGGTGATCTTTTATATGTTGTTTTATTTATCAGTCTCACAGAGTTCTAGGAGTACATTTCTACTACCACTATGATTTTTTTTTATGTGAAGAAAGACATATTCTTGTTCCAATTTTAGAATCCCTTTTTTTGGACTTTATTTTTCAAATATTTGAAAAATATTTGGTAAAAAGCAAACTATTTTTTCTTTACCCTACAGCTCTAACTAAAAACTAGTGAAGTCTAAATTTTTACATAACTAATCTTTTCCTAAAATGCATGTAAGACAATTGGCCAAGACACATGTTACAATCTCACAAAACATAGCCATATTGTCATTCAGTTTAAACAGGTGCCATCACACCAATGAGCAATTTGGAAAAAGTAGTTCTGTTTGGAGTGGTGAGAATTTGATAAGCAATATGAAGTAATTGACGGTCTCAGTTCTTTTATAGACTGTCAATGCAAGGATGGCTTTTAGAACCATGTGAGTATAAATGGACTGCATTTATTCATGTGCTCAACAAGTTATCTGTTTGTTGCTGTGCTGACCTCTGTGCATCACACATTAATTCAACATTTGTTATTTAATTATTTGCATACCCAACTAATGGCAATATAACGTTTTTGTTGTGCCTTTTTTTTTTTTTTTTTTTGAGACGGAGTTTTGCCCTTATCGCCTAGGCCGGAGTGCAATGGCGTGATCTCAGTTCACTGCAACCTCTGCCTCCTGGGTTCAAGCGATTCTCCTGCCTCAGCCTCCCAAGTAGCTGGGACTACAGGCGCCTGCCACCACACCCGGCTAATTTTTGTGTTTTTAGTAGCGACGGGGTTTCACCACGTTAGCCAGGCTGGTCTCGAATTCCTAACCTCAAGTGATCTGCCTGCCTCAGCCTCCCAAAGTGCTGGGATTACAGGTGTGAGCCACCGCACCTGGCCTGTTACACCTTTTAAAATAAGCTAGGTGCGAGAACATCTCTCAGAGACTGGGTAGATTGGTATGATGTTATTAGTAACAACTTATTAAAATGTTGGGGTTATGTTTACAAAAAAGTGATAACTTTAATGAACTCACAGCCTTTCCTTCTGGCAGCAAATAGATATTAAAACCAATTATTTGGCAGGGCGTGGTGGCTCATGCCTGTAATTCCGGCATTTTAGGAGGCCGAGGCTGGTGGAGCACGAGGTCAGGAGATTGAGACCATACTGGCTAACAGGGTGAAACCCCGTCTCTACTAAAAAAAAAAAAAAAAAATTAACTGGGCGTAGTGGCGGGTGCCTGTAGTCCCAGCTACTCGGGAGGCTGAGGCAGGAGAATGGCATGAACCGAGTAGGCGGAGCTTGCAGTGAGCAGAGATCGCACCACTGCACTCCAGCCTGGGCCACAGAGCAAGACTTCATCTCAAAAAAAAAAAAAAAAAAAAAAAAAAACCACCAATTTTTCAGGCCATACCTAAGTTGTAATGGTAAAGCCAAGTCATGTATTATAGAAAAATGGTTATATGTGTAACCATGTATGGGAGGCAAGCATCTAATTAACATAAATGATATAAAACCATGAAGGCACAAGTTAATGACATGGGGGACCTGAAGACTTTTCTATTTCACGCCACTGGGTTTTGTTACCTAATCTATCAATATGGTAGCATCTGACCCATTCTTATTTACAGGGAAATGTTCAAGAAAGGCCTGTCATGTCAGCAAATTCTGAGGTTTCTCATGTCATCTATTACCAGAGTGCTGCAATATCCCAATAGCTGTAACAGACCTTGACAAAGCTTTCTCCATATTTTTCTCCTATCATTTCAGTGCCCACGCACCCAAAGGGCCAGCTCCTGCATTTTTTCACTTCACCGATGCCAAAGCCACTTTGCCCACCTTTGCAGCAGACGCAGGGAATTAACTATCTCAAGAAGTGGCCCTTAGTTATTAACTGATGGCAGCTGGTATGTATAAATACACTATCTCCCTTATTTCTCCGATGGCTTAACCGCAGGGCATGTACTACACTGGCTCCCAGTGTTTTCCCCAGGAGGACTAAGCTTCTATTGCCCATGGTTTTAATTGGCTTGATAGGTACAATTTATTGGTAGATTTCCCTTGCATGTTGCATCTCCCTGTTATCTACCAGTGGTTCCTCTACCTCCTTCCAAAATTGCTCTCTAATCCTGTCTCAGAGTTTGCATTTGGATGAGCCCAATATAAGGCAGTGGTCAAAACAAGCTGAGAATCACATGTCTATAATTTATTAAGCTGAAACTGGCATATACTTTGAGACAGACAGTTAATAAACTGAATGGATCAAAACATTTTTCTTTGAAAAAATGTGACAAATCATATTCTGGGTCCAACCAGATACAAACTTTGGTACGAATCAGAGCCTGATATTCTGAGTAGTTTTGAGAAAGTTCTGGAGGCAGAAATTCTTCCTCCTAGGTTTTATGTAAGAGCTGAAGAAAGAAGAGATATGACTGAGAAACAGGCACAGACTGGGATACACCAAGTTGCTCAGCTTTCTTTATAAAACTAGGAAAAGCAAGTCTCTCAGGGTCAGCCGGAATTTGTCTTATATGAACTCAATAGCCAAGTAGATGACTAGAAACTGGCATCATTTCTAAACTTTTTGACCAACCTAACATTCTCCATTTGTACTTACTATGTTTGAGTTTTTTCAAGGCAATTCATGGTGAGATTTAAATTTAATCTGTTGCTCAGTGAACTTTTTTCCTTTTTTTTTTTTTTTTTCTGTATGGTACTTTATTGATCTGTCCAGGGCTTTTGTTTTGTTTTTGTCACTTGTTTTGCTACCTGCTATGGTTGTATCACTCACTCACTTGGATTATTGCAGTAGCTCTTTAACATATCTTCTTGATTCTGTGACTTCCTTCCTAAAGTGTCACCACTGTAGGTAGAATGTTCTTTTAAAAATACAAATCTAGGCTGGGCACAGTGACTCATGCCTATAATCTCAGCAATTTGGGAGGGCAAAGCAGGAGGATTGCTTGATCCCAGGAGTTCGAAACTAGCCTGGACAACATTACAAAACTGTGTCTCTACCAAAAATACAAAAATTAGGAGGAGATGGTGGCTCATGTCTGTAGTCCCAGTTACTCTGGAGGCTGAGGTGGAAGGATCTCTTGAGCTCAGGATGTTGAGCTGCAGCGAGTCATGATCATGCTACTGCACTCCAGCCTGGATGACAGATCAAGAGCCCATCTCAAAACAAACAAACAACCCCAAACCTCAACAAAGCACTCCTCAGCCCCAACTCTCAAGTAGCTCTCCATTACATTCAGAATAAGTCTGTTAGAATGGCCTGCAAGGCCAAACTCAATCTCAACCCTTTCCTCTGGGATCCTACCTCCTGCTGCTTTCCTTCTTTTAATCTCTCCACACACAGAGATCTTGCTCTTCCATGAATATCCCTCTGTCTGAAATGTCCTGTATCCAGATAGCCACATGGCTTGCTCCTTAATGTTCTTCAAATCTCTGTTCAAATATTACTTTCTAATAGAACCTTGCCTCAATTACCCTATATAAAAGTGCATCCCTCATGCCCTGCAATCCCTTTCCTGAATTATCCTGCTTTATTTTTCCCTTGATCATTTACTGTCATCTAACATATCATATATTTACTTGTTTGTTCTTTATTGTCAGACTTCCCCCATCTCCATTCTATCTTGATCATAAACTCCACGAGGAGAAGGACTTTATCTTTCACTGTCATGTCACCACTGCTTGGTATAACTATTTGGAATTCAATAAATATCCATAGAGTAAATGAATGAATACGTGAAAACATTGACGAAGGAAAGAATATATGAGGAAATAGTATTTAAATTGCTACTGAAGGAGGAAAGGATGCTGCCATATAAAAGTGAGGAGGACTCATGCAGAGTGAATACCATTTGCAAAAGCCAAAACGTTTCCTTAATTCATTTCTTTTCAACTTTTCCATTACAACAATCATAGTGCAAATTACTGTCATCCACTGTGGACCAGTACTACATCAGGCAGCTCCCTGCAGGCTTTTCTGGGACATTCACTGGAAATCCATTGAAATTTTTAAAATAGGGGGTTGACTCAACCTAATTAATATTTTAAAAGGTCACCTAGGTTCATCTATAGAAAATTATTTGAAGAAGGCTGATGTGGAAGCAGAGAGACTACCTAGGAGGCAGTTGCCCGTAGGATGGTGACAGATAAGGATTAAAACTATTAAATGGTTTGGCTCTGTGTCCCCACCCAAATCTCATCTTGGATTATAATCCCCATGTGTCAAGGGAGGGAAGTGATTTGATCATGGGGGTGGTTTCCCCCATGCTGTTCTCATGATAGTGAGTGAGTTCTCATGACATCTGATGGTTTTATTAGCATCTGGCATTTCCCTTGCTTATGCTTCTCTCTCCTGCTGGCATGTGAAGAAGGTTCTTGCTTTCCCTTCGCCTTCCAGCATGATTGTAAGTTTCCTGAGGCCTCCCCAGCCATGCAGAAGTGTGAGTCAATTAAACCTCTTTCCTTTCAAAATTACCCAGTCTCAGGTAGTATCTTTATAGCAGTGTGATAATGGACTAATACAAACTATTAAATGGCTTACTATATATTTTGGTTATAAAATAAACAGAACTTCCGAATGGATAAAATTTCGGTAGTGAGAGAAAGAATGAGATGAAGGAGTACTTAGTTTCTGGTTTGAGTAATGGGTAGACAGGGTAATAATGATTGGAATGGGGAAACTCTGGAGGTAAAATTATAAGTTTAATTTTGAACATTTAAAAAGGGGTACTGATGAGGTCTCACAGAGTCAGTGTAAATTGTTAAGAGAAGAGGGCTTGGGATCAAACTTTGGATTGGATAAATGAGGAACAAGGGAAATAGAATGAGCGAGACTGGCTGATGAAATACAAGGGATATCAGGAGAGAATGGTGTTACACAAGCCAAGACACAAGAGTGTTTCAAGGAAGAGAGAAGGGTTACTTTTTAGATATTTTTCCCAGAGGTTAAGAAAGAGGGAAAAGAGAAAAGTAGGCCTTGTTCTTGCAATGCATAGATCTTAGACAAGCTTGGTAAGGACCATTATGATAATCTGATGGGAGGACTTTGAAGTCTGATGGGACATGGAAAAGAAAAGACAGCATGTGTACGTGAACCTCAAGAAGCTTGATGAAACAAGCAAACAAATGAGGCATTAGCTACAAGGAGGGGTGCAGATGAAAATTTTCTAGGGAGAGGAAGGAAAGGGAAGGAAGAGAGGAGAGAGAGATAGTAGAGGAGACAGGAAGAGAATGAGAGAGAGGAGATAAAATGAGAGAGTGGAGAGAGAAAAAAGACAGGAGAAAGAGAGAGGAAAGAGAGAGAGAAGATAAAAAGAGAGAAGAGAGAGAGAAGGAGAGGAAACAGAAAGAGAGAGAGAGAGGAAAAAGAATAGGAAAGAGACTATTAGGGAAGGAGCAAAGTCCTTGATTTGAGCAGAACTGGAGGACTGTGTTTTTGTATGAGTAGGCCACAAATGCATGGAATAAGCCCATGGGAGGGAGGAGAAGATGGGTGCAAGTACAGGTGGATATGGAGGTTTCGCAGAGGAAGTTGAATGCATTTGAAATGGATGACTTTTGAACAACAGGATTAGATCATCAACAAAGAATGAGAAGGGAAGAGGGTGTGTGGGAGGTTTGAGGACAGAGAAGATGCAGAGTAGCAATCTAGTATGATGAGATGGGACATCTATAAGAGAAGCAGATAGAATTTCAGGGAAGTATCTGATGTTATGCTGAGATTTGAGACTGAGTGATTAATATTTAAAAAGTCAGCTCACTTGGATAATTTGTTTGGCTGTTTGTGTGCAGACAGAGATGGAGGGCAAAAGGTCTGGGGTGAGGGAGAGAGAGCAGGGCAAGTAGGTTGAAGGCATTCACAAAGAGGTGACTCTAGTTGGACTCATGAAGCTAGATTAGACAGAGAGTTGAAGCTGACAGTGAGAAAGTGGTGGGAGTCAACACATTGAAGCTTTGATGAAATGGAGTAATGACAACAATGTGAGCCCATGAGCTGGAAGGATGAGAAGGAAATGGTCAGAGGCTGTAGAGACAGAAACTGAGGCATTCCAGGTACCAATATGCCAGGTTATGAAAAGAAATGACAGCTGAGTGGAGGGGGGAAATGGAGGTCTAGAAATGAGAATCTGGGCCTTGGGTGATTCATCCACGTGGATGTTTAAGTTACTATGAACACTCTCAGAAGTTAAGAAAGTCACAAAAGACTTTAGGCCAGGATATTGGAGCCTTCATTAAAAGTAGAGACATTATGAAGAAGAGAAGAGAGGGAAAGGATCATACAAGTCTGAAAGAGGTAAGATTTTGTGCAAGATGAAGTTGATAATAGTCTGGAAGTGGCATTGGAGAACAAAAGGAGATGCATCCCAGTAAAGATGAAAGGGTATGATTTAAAGGGCAAAAAAGAAGAAAAGTCATTTTAAAAGAAATAAAATGCTGGTGTAGGCAAAAATAAAAATGCAGAGTATGAAAGAAAGAAAGGTAAAAGTATAAAGATGCTACAAGTATTAAATAAGAACTAAAAATGCAGCTTTTTATCATCTGTTCATTTGTGGGGCTAACCACCTGGTCAAGGCTGGGCTCTAGCATCTATAATTAGTGGTCCAGAGAGTAGGTTCCTCAGTACACATTAAAAAAAGATAGCTAGGAAATGGAGAATGAAAACATATTTTAACATTGTGAAAATAAAAGAATTGTATCTCCTCCAATACAGGATGATAATAACTAGATTTGATAACTTTGGTTTTACAGTCTAAAACCTCCCCCTTGCTTACAATTCAGAAAAGATAAGGGAGGCATATTAATAATTTTATTGCTGTATGCATAACTCTTTGGAAATTACAAATCAACTTAAAAAAACGAACAGATAACCAAGCAAGAAACTAGCACCCAAATAATCCAAAAACTTTTATATTGAAACTTGAATAAGAGAACCTTGTGTTAAACACCACCAGAGATGAATATTAGAATTTTAAAATGCTTGTAAAACGACAGCAAAAGAAAAATAAGTTAGACTAGGTACAGTTTGACGATAAAGCATTTAGTAATTCAAATACAGCTAAACTGGGGAGAGAATGTAGACAAACAAGATTACACATTGTTTTAAAATTATCTGATGGAAAACAGGTTGATCTAGTCAAGATTTGTCCTAACATAAATTGAATAATCCGGAAGTGGAAGACAGATTTGATTTCAAGGAGAGTAGCACTCTACTGTGGACTGCTGTATCCTAGTGCAATGTGAAATGGGTCTTAAAAATCCAGAAATTGTAAAAAAAAAAGTTGGAATTTATGAAATAGGCATGGGAAAATGTGGCAAATACTTTTAAAAGTTTGCTTTGGGTCTTAAATGTCTTTCCAAAATAGTCATGGCCATTTATGCTAAAGATTATAATGCCTTTCAACTCCAGCAAAAGTTAAAGGGTGTCATATATTTTGTACCATGACAATCAAACATTGGTATAAATTCAGAAATAAATTGCCAGATAACTAAAAACATCTACTTACTAGAGTAAAAAATGTAATTTTTGAAGACATATAATTAAAATTTTGTCAGAACATTTTCTTGAATAAAAATTATGATGCTAAAAACTTTATACACAAATGTAGAACAGATGTCTAGATGAAGATATATAAATAACCCTAAATATGTACTTTTTCTTTTAATTTTTCAGTGCAAATGCAATTACATCAGACAACATGCTTAGAAGTAAATAATATGTAGCAGATATATCTGTAATTCAGTGTCAAAATTAGCTTGAGATGGTATTTTGGTTGATATTAAATGGTAAAGTATTTATAATACACTGATTTTTGCTCCTAAAGATTACCTCTTTAGACAGTCAGATAGATATTTTATAAACATTGTGGTTTGTTTTCAAACCATACATACATAGTATTAAATTACTATTTCTTTTTCCTTTTGTTAAGAGCAAGTTGATCTGAAACTCAGCTTGAATCCTAATTATAGTATTCACTTATAAAATAATTTCCATATCTCTTCTTGGTCTATGACATGATGTATATGATCTAGAGTAAACATCTAAGAAGAAGAATGAAGTTCTGCCCAAAACTTCTTCATTGAAAAATGACATGCCTTTAAATAACTACTAAAATCGTTGATGTCTTGAAAAGGGAATTTTAAAATTTAGGACTAAATGGAAAATCAGTGTGCAATCCTGGAAGAAAAAATTAGTTGGAAAGTATCTTCCCAGAAAGATAGGTGACTAATACTTCAGTTTTTCTTGTTTTTCCCATCAATTTGCAATCCTGGAAGAAAAGTTTGGTTAGAAAGTATCTTCCTAGAAAGATAGATGACTCAATGACTCAAATGGCCATGTTTTTTCTTGTTTTTCCCATCGTTTAACAGTGTTTAGGAGTTCAGATGTAACTAAATTGGGGGGATCTTAACAACCAATGGATTTTGACAGCAACAGTTATTAAAGACAGTGATTTTGTTGTTTGCAAGACAACCTAAAAAATATCTCTGGAAGATATCAGATGTCTTAAGAAAAGCTTGTGATGATATTTCATATCAAAACAGTAAGCAAGTTTCCTGTGGTCAGCTACCATTCCCTTTAATAAATTACTTAATTAATTCATTAATACTTATTTCTATTCCTTAAAACTCCTGGACCCAGGCATACTCAAGTATGTCTTAATAAATACCTTTTGACTTTATTCCTGGAAAGATTACCCATCCTTAATGTGGCCCCCTAAGTGTCAGAAAAAGAAAAGACTCCCTTTGAATGACTTTATTTATACTTCTGCATTTAGCATACTACAGACTATCAAAATTTTACATATTCTACAGAGTTAAAAGAAGATGTATACTGTGGCTTTTAAAATATTAGCCTTATCTGTTGTTACAGAGCAAAATAGCTCTAGGTTCAGTAATTCACTCCTATCCTCTTTTGACCAGTGGAGGAAGTTGAATATTCTTTGGCTTTGTAATTTCCTGGGAAATTTGAGTAATTGGGGTAAATTCTTTAAAAGTTGTATATAATTCACAACTCCAGGGCAAATTTTTTTCTAATTTTATTTTGTCATATAGAGTTTCATTTTAGTGAGCTTATAGTAACATTGTATTTAAGAAAGAAAAAATTTCTGTACCATGCAATAGTAAATTTACCTTTTTCTTAGAATGCTTTAATTCTTTTTAGAGATTTTTAATTGGGTAATACTACATAGCAAACACACAGAAATGATATATCATAAATAGGACATTACTAAATTTTGAAACTAGAAAAATATGTTATACTATATAATTTGGACACTACCTATAAATCAGCATATATAAGCCAAGATCTTATTGACAAATCAAATCAGGAATTTAAAATTTATGCTAGTGAGAAAAATTAGAGGGTGAGATAAACTAGCAGAATAGGTTTCTATTATTATTTCATGCTTATCAACACCATATTGTCAATTCTGCTAAAGGTTCCTGGTTGATTCCTGCAAAATGGCAGCAGAGGTTTGCTAAAGCAACCACTACTTTACTTACTAAAAGCGAATAATTAGCATGGTATTACTTTACAGAAGAATTCTTTTCCAACTTTCACCATTAAACATTTTACATGTTCTAAAAACATTTTTTTAGATCCCCTTAAAAAAAAATTCCCCAAAGCTTAAGCATACTACAAGCTGCTGCTTCTTTTTTTTTTGTCCACAGCTCGGCCTATGTAAATCATTTTAACTTCAGAGCTATGTAATAAAGAGCTGGATACGAATGAATATCACCTACTAAAAACAAAACCTGAAAACACAATTCAGTTCCCATCTGCTTACTTGGAAGGTCATTTGCCACTAGTGATGACAACCATGTCAGGCCTCACTTGCTTCAATTCGAGAAGTAAACTTAGTGAGTTTTGCTTTCTTAAGTCAAAACCACAGTGGTAAAGGGAAAGACGAGTGTGATATTCCTCAACCTCACCAGTAAGCAATATTCGTCAAGACTACATCTATCACTAAACACACACTAGAATCAGAAGAATCCTTGACTCCACAGGAGATTTAACTGAGGCCCCACATTAAGGTTCAGGCTCAGGCATTGCTAGTTTACCCTGAAGAAACCTCATCCTATTGCCACTCTCTAATGGAATTTTCCTCCTAGGAAACACTTCCTAATTTGGAATTTATTTTCTCTAGTGCAATAATTAAGGTAGGAGTGCTTGATGGCTTGTGGACTTGACTATGTAGTCAAACTTAAAAAAAATGGTTAACCCTTGTATAAATCTGTGGTTGAATTTTTATTTATGTTATCTGTGAAACCAACAGGGCATCTGGCACACATTTTAGATTTTTCCCATAGATATGAACATATATTGCATATTTAGTTCTTTTTGAATTTTGCTCGAGCTATATGGAAAAGCAAAACAGAGCAAGGAGAATGATGCCAATTGCCATCGTAAGGCCAGTTACATGCTGGAGATGGACTACAGGCCACTCAGGCACAAAGAAGACTCTGCCTCAAGTTTTAGTTCCTTAGTCCTAATATAAGAGAAAAGTTTATGAATGCTAAGGAGAGCTCTCCCCTAGCAGTGGTGTTTCCATTTATTTTTCTCATTGTGATTTCTCACCTTGCTCCTAGATGACCTGAGCACGAAGTTGTGCGTTATAAATCACATTGTTGGTTTTTTAGTGGTGGGAATTGGATCTAAACCACAATGACTATGAAAAAGTGAGCTGGGGTCCTGACTACTTGCTATATTGCACGGTACTATACTTTGTGATTCGACTTCGAGCTGTGCTAGGGGAGGCGGACCCAATGGTTTGGTTAAAGTGATGGTCAGAGGAACTCCTCATGTGGCCAATGCTGGCTGTCCCTCCCAAGCTGCTCAGGCCAATGCCACCACCACTTATGCCAGCTCCACTCAGGGCACCGCTCCCAGCACCCATGCTGGTGCCAACCAGGCCACTGCTGCCTATGCCACCGCTGATCCCAGTGGTGCCACTAATTCCAGTTACGCCAGCACCAGAAACAACCCTCTCTGTCACAATGACATTGTGGGCATTGGCTAACTCGGGGTGCATACTCAGACTACCTATCATGCCGGAAGTTGGTTGGATTACTCTTTCTGTCACTACCACATTTGAAGACTCTCTAGGATGATGGATAGTCAGAGAGGTGGGTAGACTAGAGCTTGGTGCTATTACCCTTTCTGTCACTATAACATTCGACCCATCTCGCAAGTCAGGCATCTCTAACATTCCATGCAAATCAGCGCCAGAGATTGGGCCGACCACTCTCTCTGTCACTACCACGTTTGATGCTGGTCGGTTATCGTGAACGTGCACAGAGGGCTTCAGAGTGTCAGAGGTGGTGTAAGACTCGGTCACAGTGACATTACCATAGCCCAGAGGATCGAGAATAGGCTTAGGATGCAGTACACCAGGTCCCGAGGGATAGGTGCTCTCAGAAATTACTGTGGTAGTGCCGAAATGTGGGGAGATTGGTGGGTGTCCACTAACAACGGGCTCTGTTTCCTGAGGAAGGCAAACTGGTTCAGTGCTTTGTGGTGGCCAAGAAGGATCAAGGTCTGGATATGATTCTTTTCCTAGGCTGATGTCTGCCAACTTCTTAAATTTAGGTCCCAGGGTATCCAAGAAGCTGTCATCCAGGTCTTCTCCAATGAAGCTACAACAACCCACAGAGCCAGCAGGGGAACCTACACCTTCGATGTCATATATGAGCAAACAGTCATTAGATGGGCGTCCTTCATCTTCATCTGCGTAAGCATATGCTTTCTGAATTTATAGGAGAAAGAGAAAATGAAATTATGAATGCATATTTAACAATAATAGAACAGCCTTTATCATTAGTTTTTCTTCCAGAGCATTTCCAAAGAGGAATGAAATAAAACAAGATTTTAACATACTAGAGATGCTCTAAAAATCATTTTATAATTATTTGAAATAATTTGGTTAGAAATCATTTTAAGTATAATTCTAATACTATGATTTTAAAAATTTACTTAGATGGACTTATTTATAATTGTGTACTTTGGACATAAAACCATACACAAAAAAATCACATGAATTGGTTTCGAGGAGGAGCCAAGATGGCCGAATAGGAACAGCTCTGGTCTACAGCTCCCAGCGTGAGCGACGCAGAAGACGGGTGATTTCTGCATTTCCATCTGAGGTACCGGGTTCATCTCACTAGGGAGTGCCAGACAGTGGGTGCAGGTCAGTGGGTGCGTCCACTGTGCGCGAGCCGAAGCAGGGCGAGGCATTGCCTCACTTGGGAAGCGCAAGGGGTCAGGGAGTTCCCTTTCTGAGTCAAAGAAAGGGGTGACGGACGGCACCTGGAAAATCGGGTCACTCCCACCCGAATACTGCGCTTTTCCGACGGGCTTAAAAAACGGCGCACCACGAGATTATATCCTGCACCTGGCTCGGAGGGTCCTACGCCCACGGAGTCTCGCTGATTGCTAGCACAGCAGTCTGAGATCAAACTGCAAAGCGGCAGTGAGGCTGGGGGAGGGGCGCCCGCCATTGCCCAGGCTTGATTAGGTAAACAAAGCAGACAGGAAGCTCGAACTGGGTGGAGCCCACCACAGCTCAAGGAGGCCTGCCTGCCTCTGTAGGCTCCACCTCTGGGGGCAGGGCACAGACAAACAAAAAGACAGCAGTAACCTCTGCAGACTTAAATGTCCCTGTCTGACAGCTTTGAAGAGAGCAGTGGTTCTCCCAGCACGCAGCTGGAGAACTGAGAACGGGCAGACTGCCTCCTCAAGTGGGTCCCTGACCCCTGACCCCCGAGCAGCCTAACTGGGAGGCACCCCCCAGCAGGGGCACACTGACACCTCACACGGCAGGGTACTCCAACAGACCTGCAGCTGAGGGTCCTCTCTGTTAGAAGGAAAACTAACAAACAGAAAGGACATCCACACCAAAAACCCATCTGTACATCACCATCATCAAAGACCAAAAGTAGATAAAACCACAAAGATGGGGAAAAAACAGAACAGAAAAACTGGAAACTCTAAAAAGCAGAGCACCTCTCCTCCTCCAAAGGAACGCAGTTCCTCACCAGCAACGGAACAAAGCTGGATGGAGAATGACTTTGACAAGCTGAGAGAAGAAGGCTTCAGACGATCAAATTACTCTGAGCTATGGGAGGACATTCAAACCAAAGGCAAAGAAGTTGAAAACTTTGAAAAAAATTTAGAAGAATGTATAACAAGAATAACCAATACAGAGAAGTGCTTAAAGGAGCTGATGGAGCTGAAAACCAAGGCTCGAGAACTACGTGAAGAATGCAGAAGCCTCAGGAGCTGATGTGATCAACCGGAAGAAAGGGTATCAGCAATGGAAGATGAAATGAATGAAATGAAGCGAGAAGGGAAGTTTAGAGAAAAAAGAATAAAAAGAAATGAGCAAAGCCTCCAAGAAATATGGGACTATGTGAAAAGACCAAATCTACGTCTGATTGGTGTACCTAAAAGTGATGGGGAGAATGGAACCAAGTTGGAAAACACTCTGTAGGATATTATCCAGGAGAACTTCCCCAATCTAGCAAGGCAGGCCAACGTTCAGATTCAGAAAATACAGAGAATGCCACAAAGATACTCCTCGAGAAGAGCAACTCCAAGACACATAATTGTCAGATTCACCAAAGTTGAAATGAAGGAAAAAATGTTAAGGGCAGCCAGAGAGAAAGGTCGGGTTACCCTCAAAGGGAAGCCCATCAGACTAACAGCAGATCTCTCAGCAGAAACCCTACAAGCCAGAAGAGAGTGGGGGCCAATATTCAACATTCTTAAAGGAAAGAATTTTCAACCCAGAATTTCATATCCAGCCAAACTAAGCTTCATAAGTGAAGGAGAAATAAAATCCTTTACAGACAAGCAAATGCTGAGAGATTTTGTCACCACCAGGCCTGCCTTACAAGAGCTCCTGAAGGAAGCACTAAACATGGAAAGGAACAACCGGTACCAGCTGCTGCAAAATCATGCCAAAATGTAAAGACCATCGAGACTAGGAAGAAACTGCATCAACTAACGAGCAAAATAACCAGCTAACATCATCATGACAGGATCAAATTCACACATAGCAATATTAACTTTAAATGTAAATGGACTAAATGCTCCAATTAAAAGACACAGACTGGCAAATTGGATAAAGAGTCAAGACCCATCAGTGTGCTGTATTCAGGAAACCCATCTCACGTGCAGAGACACACATAGGCTCAAAATAAAAGGGTGGAGGAAGATCTACCCAGCCAATGGAAAACAAAAAAAGGCAGGGGTTGCAATCCTAGTCTCTGATAAAACAGACTTTAAACCAACAAAGATCAAAAGAGACAAAGAAGGCCATTACATAATGGTAAAGGGATCAATTCAACAAGAAGAGCTAACTATCCTAAATATATATGCACCCAATACAGGAGCACCAAGATTCATAAAGCAAATCCTGAGTGACCTACAAAGAGACTTAGACTCCCACACATTAATAATGGGAGACTTTAACACCCCACTGTCAACATTAGACAGATCAACGAGACAGAAAGTCAACAAGGATACCCAGGAATTGAACTCAGCTCTGCACCAGGCGGACCTAATAGACATCTACAGAACTCTCCACCCCAAATCAACAGAATATACATTTTTTTCAGCACCACACCACACCTATTCCAAAATTGACCACATACTGGGAAGTAAAGCTCTCCTCAGCAAATGTAAAAGAACGGAAATTATAACAAACTATCTCTCAGACCACAGTGCAATCAAACTAGAACTCAGGATTAAGAATCTCACTTAAAACCGCTCAACTACATGGAAACTGAACAACCTGCTCCTGAATGACTACTGGGTACATAACGAAATGAAGGCAGAAATAAAGATGTTCTTTGAAACCAACGAGAACAAAGACACAACATACCAGAATCTCTGGGACGCATTCAAAGCAGTGTGTAGAGGGAAATTTATAGCACTAAATGCCCACAAGAGAAAGCAGGAAAGATCCCAAATTGACACCCTAACATCACAATTAAAAGAACTAGAAAAGCAAGAGCAAACACATTCAAAAGCTAGCAGAAGGCAAGAAATAACTAAGATCAGAGCAGAACTGAAGGAAATAGAGACACAAAAAACCCTTCAAAAAATTAATGAATCCAGGAACTGGTTTTTTGAAAGGGTCAACAAAATTGATAGACTGCTAGCAAGACTAATAAAGAAAAAAAGAGAGAAGAATCAAATAGATGCAATAAAAAATGATAAAGGGGATATCACCACTGATCCCACAGAAATACAAACTACCATCAGAGAATACTACAAACACCTCTACGCAAATAAACTAGAAAATCTAGAAGAAATGGATAAATTCTTGGACACATACACTCTCCCAAGACTAAACCAGGTAGAAGTTGAATCTCTGAATAGACCAATAACAGGAGCTGAAATTGTGGCAATAATCAATAGCTTACCAATCAAAAAGAGTCCAGGACCAGATGGATTCACAGCCGAATTCTACCAGAGGTACAAGGAGGAACTGGTACCATTCCTTCTGAAACTATTCCAATCAATAGAAAAAGAGAGAATCCTCCCTAACTCATTTTATGAGGCCAGCATCATTCTGATACCAAAGCCAGGCAGAGACACAACAAAAAAAGAGAATTTTAGACCAATATCCTTGATGAACATTGATGCAAAAATCCTCAATAAAATACTGGCAAAACGAATCCAGCAGCACATCAAAAAGCTTATCCACCATGATCAAGTGGGCTTCATCCCTGGGATGCAAGGCTGGTTCAATATACGCAAATCAATAAATGTAATCCAGCATATAAATAGAGCCAAAGACAAAAACCACATGATTATCTCAATAGATGCAGAAAAAGCCTTTGACAAAATTCAACAACCCTTCATGCTAAAAACTCTCAATAAATTAGGTATTGATGGGACGTATTTCAAAATAATAAGAGCTATCTATGACAAACCCACAGCCAGTATCATACTGAATGGGCAAAAACTGGAAGCATTCCCTTTGAAAACTGGCACAAGACAGGGATGCCCTCTCTCACCACTCCTATTCAACATAGTGTTGGAAGTTCTGGCCAGGGCAATTAGGCAGGAGAAGGAAATAAAGGGTATTCAATTAGGAAAAGAGGAAGTCAAATTGTCCCTGTTTGCAGACGACATGATTGTATATCTAGAAAACCCCATTGTCTCAGCCCAAAATCTCCTTAAGCTGATAAGCAACTTCAGCAAAGTCTCAGGATACAAAATCAATGTATAAAAATCACAAGCATTCTTATACACCAACAACAGACAAACAGAGAGACAAATCATGAGTGAACTCCCATTCACAATTGCTTCAAAGAGAATAAAATACCTAGGAATCCAACTTACAAGGGATGTGAAGGACCTCTTCAAGGAGAACTACAAACCACTGCTCAAGGAAATAAAAGAGGACACAAACAAATGGAAGAACATTCCATGCTCATGGGTAGGAAGAATCAATATCGTGAAAATGGCCATACTGCCCAAGGTAATTTACAGATTCAATGCCATCCCCATCAAGCTACCAATGACTTTCTTCACAGAATTGGAAAAAACTACTTTAAAGTTCATATGGAACCAAAAAAGGAGCCCGCATCGCCACGTCAATCCTAAGCCAAAAGAACAAAGCTGGAGGCATCACACTACCTGACTTCAAACTATACTATAAGGCTACAGTAACCAAAACAGCATGGTACTGGTACCAAAACAGAGATATAGATCAATGGAACAGAACAGAGCCCTCAGAAATAACACCGCATATCTACAACTATCTGATCTTTGACAAACCTGAGAAAAACAAGCAATGGGGAAAGGATTCCCTATTTAATAAATGGTGCTGGGAAAACTGGCTAGCCATATGTAGAAAGGTGAAACTGGATCCCTTCCTTACACCTTATACAAAAATCAATTCAAGATGGATTAAAGACTTAAACGTTAGACCTAAAACCATAAAAACCCTAGAAGAAAACCTAGGCATTACCATTCAGGACATAGGCATGGGCAAGGACTTCATGTCTAAAACACCAAAAGCAATGGCAACAAAAGACAAAATTGACAAATGGGATCTAATTAAACTAAAGAGCTTCTGCACAGCAAAAGAAACTACCATCAGAGTGAACAGGCAACCTACAAAATGGGAGAAAATTTTTGCAACCTACTCATCTGACAAAGGGCTAATATCCAGAATCTACAATGAACTCAAACAAATTTACAAGAAAAAAACAACCCCATCAAAAAGTGGGCGAAGGACATGAACAGACACTTCTCAAAAGAAGACATTTATGCAGCCAAAAAACACATGAAAAAATGCTCATCATCACTGGCCATCAGAGAAATGCAAATCAAAACCACAATGAGATACCATCTCACACCAGTTAGAATGGCAATCATTAAAAAGTCAGGAAACAACAGGTGCTGGGGAGGACGTGGAGAAATAGGAACACTTTTACACTGTTGGTGGGACTGTAAACTAGTTCAACCATGGTGGAAGTCAGTGTGGCAATTCCTCAGGGATCTAGAACTAGAAATACCATTTGACCCAGCCATCCTATTACTGGGTATATACCCAAAGGAGAATAAATCATGCTGCTATAAAGACACATGCACACGTATGTTTATTGCGGCATTATTCACAATAGCAAAGACTTGGAACCAACCCAAATGTCCATCTATGGTAGACTGGATTAAGAAAATGTGGCACATATACGCCATGGAATACTATGCAGCCATAAAAAATGATGAGTTCATGTCCTTTGTAGGGACATGGATGAAATTGGAAATCATCATTCTCAGTAAACTATCACAAGAACAAAAAACCAAACACCGCATATTCTCACTCATAGGTGGGAATTGAACAATGAGATCACATGGACACAGGAAGGGGAATATCACACTCTGGGGACTGTTGTGGGGTGGGGGGAGGGGGGCGGGATAGCATCGGGAGATATACCTAATGCTAGATGACGAGTTAGTGGGTGCAGCGCACCAGCATGGCACATGTATACATATGTAACTAACCTGCACAATGTGCACATGTACCCTAAAACTTAAAGTATAATAATAAAAAAAAATCACATGAATTATTTATAACAAAGTTAGAGGGAGGTATATAAAAATACTGAGCTTGAAGGACATAAAAATGTGTTGTTTTGTTTTTTGTCTGGAAAAGTAGTTCATAGTTGAGTTGGGTTCACTCAGGATTTTGTTTCTTTCCTTCAGATGGAGTGAATATGATGATTCTGTGAAGGTTTATTGCAACATGACTTTTTCAGCACAGCAACAGGAAAATTTGACTCTGGGTCTGTTCTACAAAATTAAAGGTGATCAAAGACACTTTTAAAAAATATAATCTCTCTAAATTCAAAGTAAAAGCCCAAAGACATATACACTTTCGTTTCATCTTTGTTGTTCGTAATAGTGGATTGTAAACTTTCAGGTTAACAGAAATACCTTATAGGAAACCAACTCATTGTGCCATTCATATAAAAAAATGATTGAGCCTTTGCTATTTGCCAGACCCTCTGTGTTTGGAACTTAGCTATGCATAATGAACAATACCAGATACAGCTGTTCTCTCACAGAGCTTACATTTTGGGTGAGTGAGACAGACAACACAGAAGCATATGGTCAGGAGGTGGCAGATGCAGGGTAAAGAAAAAGAAAGTGATGGGTGCTGTTCTTTTAGATAGGGTAATCAAGGAAGGGGTCTCTGATAAAGTGATATTTGATCAGAGATTGGAAGGAAGATATTTCTATGTTATTAAAATATAACAAAATATTTTGTTGTATATATGAATAAGTATTCCTATGGTTTTCAACAAGCCTCATTACTATCTATTGCTATTTGAATGCTTTTACCAATATTTTATTTAAAAATATCAGCCACTCTTTAAACCAACCACTAGGTTAGTTAATGAAACCACTTTAGGCCAGAATGTAGAAGGACAGAAATGTTTTTCTAGTCGATGTCAGGGACAGGAACTTCCTTAAGATTGGGTATCACATGATGTGTAACCATGGACAATTGCATCTCTTCCTGGGGATGGCAAAGTTAAATTCTCCTGCAGCTGCTTCTCCAGGCTTCATGCTCTTCCCACCACCTACAGCTCGTTCTTACAATGTTTTGGAAGTAGACTATGGCTCTTGACCCCACTCTCATTAACTATTGCCTCTATGTCTAGAACTGAGCTATGTACTGGCAATACAACGTAGAGAATATATGGATGAGACACTAAAAGTGGTGGTAGACATATAAACGGACAGATTTTAGCAATGATAGGTTCTATAAATGTGTAAACAAAGTACTGCAGAAATACAGATGAGAAAACATTAATCCTATTTTGGATGAGAGGGTTAACTGTAAAAACTTCGGAGGGAGAGTGATATTTGGACTGGGTCTTGAAGGATGGGTAGGAGTTTGTGAGAGACATAGTGGGATGCAAGCATTCCAGGAGGGGCACAGGATAAGCAAACACATGGAGGTGAAAGGTGTGTGGCAAAGGTGCTCAGCAAGTGGAGTTGATGGCAAGGAGTAATTGGAGATAAGAGGGAGGGTTCATTTTGTGAACAATCTTAGTTAACATGTTAAGGACTTTGGATTGCATGCCATGAACAAAAGAGAGCTGGGAGCCATTGGCTGTTCTTACGTTGGGGAGTAAAGTGCTCAGGTCAGAGCTTTAGATATATAATTCATTAACAGCATGGATTGTTGGGCACAAAAACTAAAGGCTGAGAATCTAGTTAGGAGACTCCTGCCAAAGCCCCTTTAGGAATTAGTGAAAGCTTGGTGAAGAGCAGCAGGCACATGGATGGCGAGAAAGGCATGTGGCTAGGGACCTTACCTGACAGAAGTAGCTTTCCATGAAATTCATATTCAGACCTCCTTCTCTACATTCCCTCATAGAATTTCTTCTTAATGTTCCAGAGTATTCTTGACATATCTCAGGCATTCCTGAAGTTTTAACTCCCTCTGTTAGTTCAAATCCTGTCATTCTCTCTCCTCCTCCCAGATCTTGCATTTCTCTGCCACCATACTCATTTGTATAAACTCCTAAAAGTGTTGATCAAATTAAATTTATTTTCTTTAGTCTATCATAAACTAAAAAGTAACAACTTGCCTTGTAATATGTGATTTTTTCATTTAGGTATGCATTTGTGAACAAAGAAATAAAAAGATAATACATAAAGAAAGGAGATATAAATACAATATTGAACTCAAAATAATATTATTAATTTGTTAATTTGATAATTATCTGTTGAGAGATTACTATATTCTCTGCTGGAAGTGAAGGCTGCAGAGGACTTAAAAAAAATCTATGTCCTAAAGCATTTGATTTCAACCTGTAGGAAATTGGAGAAAAAATACTCAAATTCTGAAAGTTAAAAAAACAGTGTATAACTAGAAGCCCCAGTGTATAACTAGAAGCACAGGACATCCAGAAAAAGACATGAGAACCACTGGCTTTCAGAGAGGAGGCCATGGCTATGTGAGGAGAAAGGTTTTCATGAAGAATCTTGGGTTTGCACTTGGATGTGAGGAGTAAGTGGAAGCCTGTTACTATATTTGAGGTAGGTACTCGCTTCAGTAGCACGTATACTAAAATTAGAACTATATAGAGAACATTAGGATTGCCCCTGCACAGGATGATACGCAAATTGGTCAAGTGTTTCATCTTTTTTAAATTAAAAAAAAAAGAAATATTTGAGGTAGGTGAGATAAAATGATGGCCGGGACCGTGGAACTGCTGTGGAATGAAGAATGTTGTCAGTGGGATATGTATCCACTGGCTTTAGTATGTGAAGGATCTTGAGTTTGGGAACAGTCTGTTTTTCATGCTTCAGTTTTCCTTGGTGCCTCTTATGGTGCTTTGTTCAAAATTTGTGCAAAAGTTTGTAGATTTAATGGGAACAAATGTGTAAATAAATACTGATGGATTTGATGATTTGATAAATGTCTTGAGAACTGATTTGGTGTCAGTGAATACGACGAGTCAACAATGAGATTCTGCTTTTGAGGTGAGAAGACATTGGGGTTATTAATGAAAATGGACAAATCAGGTGGAGAAATAGATTTAAAGACTACTGTGTCGAGTTCTTTGAATAAGGTCCAGTTCTACAAGTTATACACATTTCTATGCCTGTTAGTTTAAAGTAGAAAACAATGGTTACTGTTTAAAAAGACTATGAGAAAAATAAGCTAACCAATAGTATTTATTTACCTTGAGAAAAGTAATGTGATACAACTATTTTCACAGATATGAGATGTTATTTTAATTGTTCTTTTATTATAATGGTAGTTATCCACTCACTGTGAAATTCTAATTATTCCCTGGGTTCTGCCTGTGAACTGGTCTAGATTCCTGTTTTAAGGCAAGTTGTATTTATACAGTCTTACCCACGTGCTGGAAAAAACTCCACCATGTGCACACAATCTCAGTTGAGAGCTTAGAAAGATTTTGATAGTGTTTCATCTACTTGCTTTCAATTAAAGAAATTGGACAAATATTTTTTAGGTAATATTTGTGATGATACTGAAAATGGATGCAGTTTTTTTCTTTGTTATAATAAGCAGCTAAAGTCAAAGCAATTTTGAATCCTTAAATTAATTGTGTATAAAGATTTTAGCCTCAATAAATGAGCACGGCTCTATTTTAGTTGGGTTGTACTTTAATTTTAATTAGTGTATATATGTGTATGAAATATGTGTGTGTATGTATGTTAATGAAATTTGCTCTATTAAATTAAAAATCTTGACTAAAACTTACTCATGGTTACAATTCAGTACTTCTGCATATATAGAGATCCTAATTTGGACATCTTCTAAGTACTCTTTGATGGTTGAGGAAAATTTTTAAAATGAAGCATATAACAATAATAATTACCATAGGTTTTTCCTTGCCATTTAATTTACAAGTTAGTCATTTAAAAAAGAATGATATAAACACTTTTGAAGAAAAATAAGATAATTAAAAAACAATAATCAAAGAGAGAAAATAGACTTCCTACTTAAGCATTTGAGATGTTAAACAAATTCTTTTTTCTTACCTGAGTTGTCAATGCATTCAATTATATTTGCGTTATCAGGTGGTATTTGTGGTATGACAGTGGTTATATCCTAAAAGACAGGAAACAACATTTCCATTTGTAGTGACCAATGACTATAATCTTTCTGCAGTCATACATTTGGTTTATTCTTAAATTACCTCAGATTTCCTAAAAAAAAAATACTATTTAGGAAATTCTGAAATCCATTTAAAATTTGAACTTCACTTAGAAAATCTTCCCTGGTTACTTCCATCTAATTTTGTTGTGTTTCTGATTCCTCTTCATTTTCTCCATTAGCTTTCTCAGCACAAAAAACAGCATAGACTGTGAGTGATGGCGGCCATCTTGGTTCATGTGTAAAGACTGAATTTCAGTGACTACCAACGGCTATTTCTTAGAATGTGGCACTTACCCTGGGTTCAGGCTGTGGTCCTTCTACTGCCCATGAATGAATTGCTCCATCTGAACATTCGGGAACAGGCTCAAAGCCAGCTGCACTACGAGGAGCACCTCCACAATCACAACAGATCATCAAAAATGGGACCACTGGTGGTGGAGGGATAGTAATACTAGAGTTAGCACTGGGTGCAAATAAAAAACAAAACAACCTGATTTTTTATGGTTAAATTTGAATTCGTAATATAATTCTGGTTGGTTCTAAAATTATGAAAGTTTCAGAATACAAGCTGAATGATGGTCAGACCCCAAAGTAAATGGGAGCTTCTGTATATTAGACTGCAGTCAATTTTAGTTTATTTTATAGTATTAAAAATTACAAATAGTGGGCCTGGCATGGTGGCTCACACCTGTAATTCCAGCACTTTGGGAGGTGGAAGTGGGTGGATCACTAGAGCCCAGGAGCTTGAGACAAGCCTGAGCAACATGGTGAAACCCTATCTCTACCAAAAAATACAAAAATTAGGCGTGTATGGGGGCTTTTGCCTGCAGTCTTAGCTACTCTGGAGGCTGAGGTGGGAGGATGGCTTGAGCCAGGGAGGTTGAGGCTGCTCAACCAGGGAGGTGGGCGGTGGTTGTGCCACTGCACTCCAGCCTGAGTGACAGAGTGAGACCCTCTCTCAAAAAAAAAAAAAAAAAAATCACAGATAGTATTACATTATTAAAACCGATTAATCTTTCCATGTCATTATTTAGGAAAATATTAAAGGAGAGAACAAGGAAAGATGAAAAGGTCAGGCAATATATTTGATCCTTTGTGTTCTCTCCTCCATGTCTTTATTGTCTTCCTTTAACATATGCTTGCCTTTATTTCAACAGTAAAATCTTATTCATGCTTCCAACAATTCTCTGTGAGGCTATTTCCCCCTATGCAAGTGTCTTTTCTTTCAATAACTCTTATACAAATAGAAAACATCACACTGCTTAGCACTGTCTTTTGCTGTTAAGTGGAGTTTTCTTATTTATCTATTTATTATCAGCCTCTTATATAATCTAATCTTGGTAAATGGTTTTGAATAAATGGATGAAAGAAAGAATGTGTAAATTAAAATTGTGAAGAAGGAGGAAAGGAAAAAAGAAGGAAGTAAATTAGGGAAGAAGGAAGGTAGTAAGGATAGACATAAGGGAGAGAGGGAGAGAAGAAAAAAGAAAAAAAGAGGAAAAGAAGCCCATGTATTGGTTTTCTGAAAATCTACTAGAGGAAACTTTGGGTCTACAGGTAGTGATGACTAAGGCCCATATATAATTTATAAATCTTTTATTTACTACAGTACCCAGAGGTAGTCCGCAATGTAAAAAAACAACTCAGGACGGGCGCGGTGGCTCACGCCTGTAATTCCAGCACTTTGAGAGGCCAAAGCGGGTGGATCACGAGGTCAGGAGATCGAGATCATCCTGGCCAATATGGTGAAACCCCATCTTTACTAAAAATACAAAAATTAGCCGGGTGTGGTGGTGCACATGGGTAGTCCCAGCTACTCAGGAGGCTGAGGCAGGAGAATCGCTTGAACCTGGGAGGCAAAGGTTACAGTGAGACGAGATTGCACCACTGTACTCCAGCCTGGGTGAGAGTGAGACTCCATCTCAAAAAAAAACAAAAAAACAAAAAAACAAAAGAACAAAAAAAACCCAGAAAACAAACAAACAAAACTCAACATGAAAGTTAGGTATTATTTACAGTAGTGATAATGAGCACTTGGGTAATTACGTTACTCTTATGAAGTATTAAATTTAAACATTTTACAATGTTAGTTGGTAATAAATAACAGAGAGAATGAACTCTTTTCATATGTATTTTATGTTATATTCTGCAACTTCACTAGCATTTTTGCCTTTATCTTGTCTTGGTTCATTTTGATGAGAATGCTTTTTTCTTTCTCTCTTTCCCTTTTCTCTGTTTCATAGAACTTTTCCTGGTTATTACTTCAATTAATTATGAGCCAGTAAGAATAAACTCTTATTTGTTAATGTAAAAATTTCATTTTTTGGAAATACGTTTTAAATTTTGGAAAAAGAACTCCAGCTCTAAGCTGTGTTATCACCATGGCCAGACTCGTTGTTTAGATGAGCCCAATGTTGATGAAAACTTCAAAAACATGAGTTATTTAAAATCAGAGAAAACCCAGTTCACAAATAAATGTAGCAAAACATATCTGCCACTGTTCACGTGCCAAGAAAAATGAAAGTAGAAAAGATATTTTATACATAAGCGCTCTGACTTCACATTTTGTGTGAGCGTTTGATTTAAATATCTGAGGTACCTTCTGACATTAAGATTTTATGATTCCACATTTGAAAATGACAATGTTTGCATTAATTTAATTGTAATGTGCAGACTGCAACCTACTTACTTTAGAGCTCCTGTTCTCATTTCCCGAAGACTGTGCCATGTGGTTTATCTTGCTCTAATTTCTATCATCATTCGAGGTAATGTTAACAGCCACCTGGAGAGTCCACTGGATTCTACCTTTATAGCTAGACCCTTGACTAGTGCTACCCTAGTGGCCATAGAACATGCTAAATGCTTCATGTGTGGTACTTCTTTTTCATCATCAAAGCACTGTTTTAAGGTAAGTATTATTTCATACATGGCAAAAGCAAGGCTCAGAAAGGTTAGGTGACCTTCGGAAGACTCAGACGATTAGGCTTAGAAACCAGAGTTTAACCCTCGGTCTATTTGACTATCCTTTTATTAATACTATGCAGTGTTAGTATAAATAAAATCTCTTTGAGACCTGGCCCCTGCCTATCTTTTAGTCTAAACTTTCACCATGCTGTCATGCGCATCTTTTATTTCTTGCACACTGGAGTTCTTCATCGCAGTACTTTGCACTCTCATTCTTTTAGGTTTTTGCACATAGATTTTTTTCCCCTTGTATTGTGTTCCCTTTCTCTTGTCCATCAGGCTAATTCTTATTCATCTTTTAAAATGCAACTCAGAGTTTACTCTTTCTCTGTAGCCTTTTCTTTTCTTTTTTTTTTTTTTGAGACTGAACCCCCGCCTCCTGGGTTCAAGCACTTCTCCTGCCTCGGCCTCTTTAGTAGCTGGGATTAGAGGCACCTACCACCATGCCCGGATCATTTTTGTATTTTTAGTAGAGACGTGGGCTTCACCATATTGGCCAGGCTGGTCTTGAACTTCTGACCTCAAGTGATCTGCCAGCCTTGGCCTCTCAAAGTTCTGGGATTACAGGCATGAGCCACCACACCCCGCCCTCTGTAGCCTCTTCTGATTGTCTTCTTCACTGAAATAGCAATTTGAGCCTGCTTGTTATGGCACTTTCCCATTACATTGAGACTTACTGCAAATAAATTTTTATCCTCCACAGTCTTAGAAGGGGTCAAAAAGTTTAATTTTTTCATCTTATAAACCCAGTGCCAAACACAGAAGTTTCTTTATAATTGCACAAAATGAGAATTTGTAAAATACGTTTTATCAAAGAATCAGAAAACTTAACTCCTCCCCCAGCATTTTTTGGGGGACACATATACATAGGATTGCTAAAGTACTTACATCCTAAGACCAAGAATCCCATGATGAGGAGTCCAATGCCAGCAGGACCAAAATGTACATTGTCTGATAACAAATCTTTGGCTCCGTTTCCGGGTTCAGAAGAATATACTTGGCTAGAGTCAGTAGAAGTTGTGCTGGTATCATAGTTAGTGGAAGAAGTACTTTCTTGTCTGCCAGTATTGGTAGTAATTTTAGTGTTCGGCTCTGTATTAGTCCTGTCGTCATTACCAAAACTTTGAATGTTAATATTAATTGTACCAGTGCAAGTTCTTTGAAGATTATCTGTAATAACGTTCAAAATGGAAGAAATATTTTAGACATTTAGTGTAGGAATGGTTGGACAACACAGAATTATTTTTTACATTAACATTTATTTCAGTGTCTTTATTCCCATAATTTCTCCTAACTTGAAAATCATCCCTTGTTTTTGACTCGGTTTTAAAAATCAGTTAAATTATTATATTATTATTTATAACTAACATTATTAGTCATAGTAATACTATTTATTGGATTATTTCTTTACATTACCAATAGTTGGATATTATATATAATTTGAAAAGTATAGAATTACAGAAAGAAGCAAAACAAAACCAGAAACCAAATTCATGGTAGCAGCACCCAAGGACGACACCTGCTGATATTTTTAAAAATGATCTTTTGTCCTTAATTATAATGCCGAATGGTTGCTTATTATTTATGTTACATTGATGTGATCATATGGTTCATTCCATTTTTTTTACTTTAAACTATAAGTATTCTTTTGTATTTTAATAAACTTTGTATTAACATAGTTCCTGATGGTTATATAATTTTATATCAAATGGACCATGGTTTACTTACCCTGTTGCCTATTATTGATGTGGTTTTCAATATTTAATTATTAGTGCTGTAATTAACATCTTGTGCATTCATCTTGTTATATTTAAACTTTTCCTAATATTATTGAAAGTGGAATTATTCAGCAAAAATATGGGAATAATTTGTTTGAGGTTATTTTTGTAATCTTTATTACATAGATGTGAGCTCAGTTGTCTGACTTTATTAATCGATGTAACCCTAGAATCTGGCACAATGGCTGACATTTAGTTAGGACTCAATTATACACTTTCTAAATAAATGAATAAAAACATTCTGGAAGTATATAACAGAAATATGTTTAAATCTAGTCTATATGATATCAAAGCCCATGTCCTTTCAGCTCAACTATGCTAATCCTGTTGTTTTGTTTTTGTTGCTATTTTTATCATTATCATCACATCCTTCTAAACATATATTGTTATTGTTCCATTTTAAAAAAGAGACAACAGCTATAGATGGATTAAATAACTTCTCTAAGATTCTATAGCTAGTAAGTGATGGTGGAAGACACAAATCTAGTCTCATTTCAGGACTCATGGTCTTAGCTACTAAATTATACTGCCTCAAGTTGTTAAAGATATGAGTCTATAATGCCCAGTGTGACAACTTTTGTTGGAAAGGGGTTACTTCAAAATGTGATAGTTAAAATGTTAATATCTTAAGGTATATACAGCTTTCTCTAGAAAAGATAAAAATGTAAATTAATTTCTTACCATCTATAGAGAGAATCGTTCCTTGGTATTTTCCTCCGAGCATATTGTACTGTTCCTTGGTAACTTTATTTTTCAAAGTGAGTTTGCCTGTTCTTGAATCAACAGCTAGCAGGTCAGCTGGATTATTTCCCATTACATACCTGTATTTGAAAGAAAATGATACAAATTAATGTCAGCTATCTAAAAAAAGAAATTTTAATTTAAAATGTATTGTTTTTTTCAGTGAGTAATTATAATCCCTAGATACAGTTTTCAATTACTAGAGACTTTATTTTTTTTCAGGGCAGTCTTAGCAATATGGAGCCACTCAGGGATATATCAAGATTTACATTTAAGAAAAAAAAATTACTGAGCACCCATTTCTGATGGAATGTCTTTTTATGCCCACTTGGATGTCAGAATAATCCTTTGATGCTTGCAGTCTCATTTTCATTTGATTTAAGTAGCAGCAGAACTATTACAGAAGACCCAGATCCTAGGATTTCCCAGGCTGCTCCTAATTCTAAACTATTCTTTTACAAAGAAGTTACTTCATCAGCTTGGCCTGAACTTCCCCCCTGTTTCTGCTCCTCCTTCTCACATGCACTGGAACTTGACAAGACCTCTTTTGAATTCCAAACTAAGGCCTTGCCTTGAGCCTCTATTCTATTCTTTTCTCATCTTTGACTTCGGTGTTTTTCTTCTCATCTATTATTTGTGAAACAAACACTGGTTAGGTAATTCTCTCTCTCTCTCTCTGGCATTCTGCTAAGCTCTGGGTTGCGTCTACCTTCAGTGAACTCACTCCTGTGGGGTACAAGAGCGCTCATCAGCAACATGGTACAGTGTGACAGGACTTCTAACAGAACTACTCACACTATGTGAGGAGAACACCAAGAAAGAACTTATAAAACACATGGGTGGGCTGAGTGCGGTGGCTTAAGCCTGTAATCCCAGCACTTTGGGAGGCTGAGGAGGGTGGATCACCTGAGCTCTGGAGTTCGAGACTGACCTGGCCAACATGGTGAAACCCCTTCTCTACTAAAACAAAAATAGCTGGGCGTGGTAGCAGGTGCCTGTAATCCCAGCTACTTGGGAGGCTGAGGGAGGAGAATCGCGTGAACCCGGGAGGCAGAGGTGGCAGTGAACCGGGATCGTGCCACTGCACTCCAGCCTGGGTGACAGAGTGAAACTCTGTCTCAAAAAACAAACAAACAACAAACAAACAAACAAAAAACCCCCAAACAACAAAAAATGCATGGGTAAAGTGCTTCTCCCATTCTTCTTGTCACAGTCACATGTGCAAATACAGGTACATGTGCACGCACAGATTTTTTTGTGACTTGGTAGAAATATCTGCATATATAGAGTTTTAAAAAATTACATGGTGTAGTTTTCCTTAATATAACCGAATTTTCACACCAGCGTTATTGACCAATATTAAATGCTGAATAAAGTGAAGAATATAATTGAAATGAGCTAATAAAATCTAATTGATTTCAAGCTGAGCAGATTTGCCATCGGAAAATCATTCCTTAAACTCTTCTGAGAGACGAATCACGGCCTGTGGTAATCAGCTAATTGATCAATAAGACATAGAAATACAGGAGTGTCGATACTTTTGAGACATATTATTTTCACATATCACATCTTTACAGTTTAACATCTTACATCTTGCATGAATTTTTATGTTTTCTTAAGTTAAACATTTTAAATGCACAGTTTATAGTACTTTTTACAATTAAATGATAGTTTCAAAAATAATGAAAAGTATTTTAACTCAGATACTTATAATCTATAAAAAGAACATATGTACTTAAGTTCAATATGTAAGGAAAATTAGTTGAAAATCTCATTCTTACCTAACAGTCGTTGAAGGTCTACCTGTGTCCAGGTCAGTAGCTACAAAGTCTCCCACTTTATCATTTGATCCCATATTACCAGTTACAACATATGTCTTTGAACCTGGACGAAACACTGGGCCTTCAATTACATTTAACACAGTCACAGAAATTGCAGATGCTTTCAGTTTATATTGAGACATAATTGAATGATGAAATTCAGCTTTATTTCTGACACCAATACTGAGTTGCAGACTCTGCATAGCTTCATAATCTAAGGGCTAGAAAATACAGAGTAAAATAGTTTCATTATAAGAAAATAAAACGTTCCAGGTGAAAGAAAATCCTTTGATAATAGCAAAAAAAACTTATTATCTTTCTTTTATGAAACACAAATGCACACAAATACACAATCCATTCTTAAATTTTTAATCTTTAATTGATGTAAATTTGTGCAAATAAAGTAAGAAACAATTCAATTCCCCTAGATTCATTGTTAAAAAGTTGAAAACATATGACGTGAGCTCTGATTGTTCACCAAACAAATTAAAAACTTAGAATAATACAGATAGTCAAATGTATGTATTTTTTAGTGCAAAGACAATTTATCCTACCTTCAATCATTTTATGTTTTTCAGAAAGTAGCTATTTATTACACAGTATGGGTCAAATATACTAGAGTTTCAATCATTTGAGTGGTTTTATCCATAAGAACTATTTACAAGAAATTTCACATCTGTAAGTGTGACTCTTTGAATAAATCAGATAATATAATGTAATATATATATAATATAAATAAATCTATTTTCTTCAACATGTTCTAGGAAATATTTATTTCATAAAATAATAAAGTAGTGATTTTCTTTATGAAAAATGATATTAATATCCACAACACATAAAATCCACAAACAATTATGCCATTAGGCCCATACACACCAAATATATTTTTCTAAAATTTCACAAGAGTAATTTAGATAAAAATAGAATTTCACGCATTGAACTCCCCTATTTAGCTAAAATTTTGAATCTTTGTTCTAATATTGGTTTTATTTGCAATTCAAAGAATGGATGTAAAATCAAAAGTATATATACATTACACACACATAATATATATATATGTATATAGCTATAACAAAGGATTTAATATATGATATGTCTGGGCAAACAATTATCATTCCCATTTTACAGATAGAGATATTGAGGACAGATAGGTTGAATAATTTTCTAAAGTAATATAATAGTTTGGGGCAAAATAGATTAGACTCCAATTTCCCCAGTATTGAATCCTAAATAGTATCATGGAAAGAATGTGAACTTCATATCTAGAGAAAACTAGGTTTAAATGTTGGCTGCACTACTTACTAGCTATGAGAACTTATGCAGGTTCTGTGCTCTCTTGGAGCCTCAATGTCTTTATCTGCAATATGGAAATAATATAACCTAATTTGCAGGGATGCTGTGAGGGATAAACTAAAGCACCTGCGTACTGTCTCAAATTAAATACAAGCTGTAGGCATGGTGACACTTTAAGAAGACACAGGAGGCAAAAAGCCACACATTCGTATGGGGACAGAGTCGTTTGAGAGTCTGTTTTCCAGACCTAGTCTGAAAAAAGAAATAGTTAAATAGGGATTATATTTTACCATGAAACTATATATTGCATGCAACATATACAATCCATAAACAGCTGTTGTAGATTTTAAAAATCGACTGTGTAAGTTGTGTAGCACAGGGCGAAACTTTGACTATCAGCTCCCTAGGAGGCAAATTTTTTTTCTCACATCTCAGATGAAATTTTACTGCAGGTAAATGTGGACCATTAATATGGGGAGGACATAAGAGAACGGCATCCAGTTGTTCTGGACCGGTTGACTTGGACCAAATTTCCAGTATATCTGTGTTCCTAATAAGCCTTGATCAGCAGCCACAGTGAGATGGGAGTGTGATAATTCTACATTTATAGTAATTTAACTTAAATTTTATGAAAACACGCGGGAGGAATAAATACATTTTTATTTACATGATGAATATTCTACATGTGTAATAATTGACTTACAATGTTGACATGGACACAGTTTTAAAGCCTCTATTAAATATGCTTTAAAAAGTTCTTAAGACATTAACCTTAAGGATTAATTATACTTTGTTGTAAGCATAAAATATATTTTTAAGTGTTTTCAATTTATATGATCTATTTGGGAGTACTGTATTGACAAACTGTCTCCAGTTAAAATTCAATACCTGTTTTTCTAAAATGATTATAAGCAGAAAGACTATATTAAAAAGCTCTATGTTATATATATATTTAAAACACAGTAATTTTTATTCTTTCACTAAGCCAAGTTTGTGAAATGTTAGCATCATTTTATTTTAAGTTTAACATTTTGAAAAAAGATTAAGAAAACAAAATATTTAGGATAATTATACCATACCTTAACAACCTTTAAAATTCCCACATTTGTTCTTTCATTCATTTCTATCTCAAACCAATTTCCTTCATTTCCAGAGATAAAGAAAATTACTGCCATCCAGTTAGCTGAGAACTCTTCATCCAAATCAATTACTCTAATCTCGAGCAAATTTGAATTTAGAGTATTTTCTTGAATTTCTATGGTATACTGAAACAAGAAGTGAAAACTCTTAGCACAAACTGTGTGAAAGAGAGAGAACTACAGTAGGCTTATACTGGAATGTTGATAACTTCATTATTTAGAAAAGATATCTGTGGTTTTCATCTCATTTTTCATTGCTTAACTCCATTTATTCTTGCATAAACACAAGAAAAAAGTATGTGTCTACATTTGGGTTGTATGTCAATAAACATAACATGTGCCTCTGTAAGCAGAATTGTTCGTATATGTTTTAGAATATAGCGAATTTAGATTTATTAATTCCAAGAACAAATACTTACTGAAGACTGTTCCATGTAAGGGATATTATCATTGACATCGAGGATTTTAATGTTGCACTCACATTCCGCTGACATGCCATCTGCCCCGCCATCTCGGTCAGAGCCTCTTACAGCAAGAGCATACTGGCCGTATTGCTAAAAATACATATTACAGGCAATATCACACTTGACGTAGACAGCCTTTACTTTGTCTTATGTAAAGTTCTTTGAAAAGTTGGCTCAACGTTTACATAAATCTATGATAGAGGTAGGGTTAACACAGAATATGGGAAATCCACAAGTTTCACATGATTATTCCCAATAATACTTATCACGCATTATTTAAAAGATGCAACACGTTTTAAAAGGCTTCATTTCTTATTAATAATAATATGTCCAGAGGTTGAAAAAGTTTATAAAGGGTAAAACAAACCAGAATGATCTCAAGGAGAGAGATTAAGTTTACCAAAAATTTATGGCATGAATATTCCATAACCTAAATAATCAGCCCCCGAGTGTGCAAGAAGCATATAAACAGATAACAAAGCTTTGTGTTTTGAGAGGTAGTGGGTTATGGCAGTGGAATTATTGGTGATGTATCTATTCTTGACTCTATTCAATGGTGCTTATATTTCTAGAAGCTGGTAAAATCTATGGAGGCTTTCCTTGACTCATGCAAAAATGCACACTCATTCAAAATGGTGGATATAATTTAGGGGGTTTTATAGAGACATCTTGAGGTCTCTCCATTGACCCCAGGTTGAGAATATCTGCCCTGGTGGCTTCCCAATGGCTGCAGAGTCCCTTTCCTTCTGACAGCCCTTTCTTACAGTGCTTTACCACGAAAGCTCTTTTGACATGAAAGAAACCTCATTGGGCTGTTTAAGACAGTTTGAGAGAGAAAAGTGTAAACATTCAATTTCTTCTAATGTTGATTTTCAAACATGTATAAAAGGAGACTTAGGTAACATAGAAACTTGTAACATTTAGATAATTAAAGAGTATTAAAATAATATGAATTATCCTAAACCTAAAAGTCATCAGCAAGAAGATTGTCATTTTTAATAATTAAAACAAAATTAATTGAATACCATCAGAAAATAAAGCTTCCTCACTTATGCTCCTAATGTACATTTAGGTTGCAACATTCTATTAAAAGACAATTTTTTTTAAATAATGAAAAAGCACTTATTTTAAAACTAAATCATAAAATCACAAGGCATGCTAGAAACCTCATAATGCTGATTTTACTCTGTTAACATCACTAGTTATTTTCTTATTTGTAAATAAAAAGATTGGTCAGTCTGTCATTTAATTCCTATCCATCATTCTTATCCTGTGGTTCATTTCCCAAAGTAAATGAATGGGTGAGCTATCAATAGATGTTACATAGGAAAAACAAGAATTCTGTTGTCAATGGAGCTTAGATATGCTAGGTTAAAGAAAGAGAACTTAGTGTATCAATATTCCTGGAGCCTCCAGCATACTCGCATGCACTGTAACTCACCAAAACGTGGACATATAGCAAGTCATTCCTAAATTCATTTTATTATAGAACACACTTTTTAGAGAAATGGAGCTTTTGATTCTACCTTAGATTCTACCTTAGGCATATTTTCATGTACTTTCACAATATAGTTTTCTTAAATTGAAGTAAATTTTAATCAATTAATTATATGAAAAATAGTACAAAACGTAATTGAAAAATCCTCCCTTTTTCATTTAAAAAATATTTCTTACATGAAAGAATTATGTGAAAAAGTTATACAAGTAAAAATTTAAACCATCATTTTCTTCATCTCTTTGTCTCTTCAGTATCCTTGCTTTTAGAATCAGTTCCTTTGAGACCAAAAACCCACTTAAAGAAAAAGAATTACCTCTCTGTCTAGAAAATTATTCATCGTTCGAATTTCTCCAGTATTTCTGTTGATAATAAACATTGGTGAATCTGAAGGTTCTTGTCTTATAATCTTGAAGGCTATTTTTGAGTTCAAATTGTTCGGTTCATCTGCGTCAGTAGCATTGAGTATCATCACCAGTGTATCTAGAAATTAAGGAAAATTGATTGCAAATGGGTGATTTACATTTTTGTTACAGTAGAGTATATCACCTTTCCAAAAAAGTGTTAGAGTTAGTTGATCCTTATGATGTGGACTTCACTGTCTTCCCTTTCTACTCCTTCAACATATGGATATCTTAGCTCTTTTCTATATCTTTGCCTAACAAGAAGATCACATTTTACTAGGAATCTAGACATTGTTGATAACTGGGAAACAAAGGAAATGTGTTATTCTGGCTTTCTATTTCTTCTTCTAGCATATTTTCTTCTTTTTTAAAGGATGCTGTGGCGAAACAAAATGATAATAAGGCCAGACCAACATTTTCCCAACTTTCTCAACACTTTCTAGCTATATGATCTTGGCCTCAATTTTTATATCTATAAATGGGGATGATATTACTGCCATCCTTACTGAATTCATGTGAGAATTAAATCATTAATAAGAGAAAACTATATAAAGTTCCTAATGAATAATGCACGTTTGATAAATATACATTACTACTGTTTTGTTTTGGGTGATCCTTCGTCAAGTGCAAGGTAATTAGTAGATCTAAAGAAATGCTTGCTTAACTACACATATTGTCCTGTCTCTTATCTTTTCATTAATTTTATAAGTAGTTTTGATGAAGATTATTAGATTATTGGAGAATGTGGAAAACTGCCAGTGCTCATTCATAACTTTGGAATTGTTCTCTACTCTCCAACTCCATTTTAAATACAATTTTCCTACAAATGCTTCATGGCATCTGTCATCCCCCACCTGTATTTATTGTAGCATAACCTTTAAAATGTTTTCACTAGATAATTAACATTTATATACACTTATGTAATTTATATAATTAAATTCCATGCAACTATTGAAAGCAGTGAAACAATTATGTGTCCTGATATGGAAATATGTTCAAAATATATTTATATAAAAATTCATGTTGTGGATTAGCATGTAACAGATGATACCATTTATGTTAAAAAACATGTGATTTATGTTTACATAATTATGGAGCGCATGTACACAGTGCATACCTCTGAAGAATGGTACTAGGAAATGCAGACAGCAGATTTTTGTTCCCTTTTACTTTCCATATTACATAAATTTAATGAGCATTTTATAATAACACTTTTAAAAGTTGAAAGTATAGGTACAGTATTTTAATGAATAAAAGTAAAGTGTAGGGATTTTTGGAATTCACAAGAAATTTTATCACTTAAAGGTTAAATCACAAAAAGAAGTTTTGTGTGGAAGTGATTTCTATAAGTGATTTTAAAGTAGCTAACTTTAAAAAAGGGGAAAAAACGCAGTAAGAGCAGAAAAGGGTGGGATTGTCCTTCTACACAGTTAGACTGGGAGGCTAAATTCACATCCCGATGCCTCTGCCACCATTGTGCAAAATGCCTTTAAAATTTCTTGTTAGGACTCTTCTACAGGGCTGGCCTGCGAGTTATGTGAGAAAAATCCTCCTCATTGCTTTGGAATCACGCCTTGTGTCCCTCAGTTTGGAGCTGCTTCCGTAGTTGAAAGGAAAGACTTGCTATTCTGCATCTTTTCTATAGTTTATCTCTTACATTCATGATGTGTACTTTGACATAGTTTAGTCTCCAGTTAGGTGCCTGGCTGTTAGGAGTGATTTGGAAGCCACTACATTACTTACTTGCATTAGAATTTTCTTCTATTTGTCCTGCAAATGTAGCCATTGAAAACACTGGAGGGTTGTCATTTATATCCAAAACCCTGACTCTGAGCTCTAGAGGCCTCTCTAAATCTTGGCCCATTGAGTTCAGAGCTCGGCAGTAGATCTGGGAGAGAAAAGATAAATAATTATACAGTGAAACACAGATTTATTAAGTTCTTACTTTGAGCATTATGCTAGCACTGTGGCGAATTAAAAGAATTATTATGTCTACTTAGAACATAGGCACAAGCCCTACTTACAGTCACTAAGGGAAAGCAAATGTGGCATTCTTAAGCTAGGTAGTAGCTACATGGGGGTTTATATTATTATTATGATTATTATTATTACTATTATTATTTGTATTTGAAGCGTCCCTAAGTGTAATGTGTACTATTTTACAAAATGGCATATTTCATATATAAAGGCATTATGATACTAGCCTGGGCAATATAATGAGACCCTGTCTCTAAAAAAAAATAAAGACGTAAAAAAATGCATTATGCCCCAAGAAAAGCTAACAGGGTAGCATGCCTTTTTAAAGTTTGTGGGGGATCATTGTGGGACAGAAGGGAGAAATAGAGATTTGGAATTGAAGGCTAAAGAATTAAAGTTGTGTGAGGAATACAGGCAGGCGGTGTGAGTGAAAACTGCAAATATCGATTATTATTTGAAGGTATTTTGGGATACGGACTGGTGGGGTTTTAATAGAAGAGGTAACAGGAGCAAAATAGGGTTTCTTTATTTCTATTTTTAATATTAAGAAGTGTTGGCCATGACGATAGAGAGAAATGGGAGTAGCCAAGGAGCCAGCAGAAGGGAGACAGAAAACAGAGGTGATGGAATGATTCTCCAAGTAAGTGGCAATTATAGGACCATGGAAATGTCTTGGAATATGCTGTGAGAAAAAGCAAACAATTGATCCTGCTTTTGATTTAATGAAGAACATTTCTGAGCTGGGCGAGTGAGAAATAATTATGGGAGTTTGTGATGGATGGCCTCAGCCTTTTTCATAAAGTTGGTCACAAGGTCAACTGCTTAAAGTGGAAATGAGGTTGAGGGTTTGAAGAGATAGGATACTTAAGCTATGTGACAGCTCCTGTAAAGAATGGAGTGAGATTCACTTAAGAATGGATGCATTTTCAAGGTGCATTTGGAGCTCAGGTGAGCTTGAGGAATATGAATTTATAGTAAAGTATATTTGCTCAGAAAACAGTCCTGCAGTAGCTCTAGAATCATTTACTTGTCATTAGACCTAAAATAAGGTAACATTCTTTACTGAATTTATAATAAAGTATATTTGCTCAGAAAACAGTCCTGCAGTAGCTCTAGAATCATTACTTGACATTAGACTTAAAATAAGGTAACATTCTTTACTGAATTTTTTAAAAAAGGAAAAATTAAAAAGTTAGGTAATTGTCCTTCCAAACAAATACTCTAGTTTGCCAATGAGGACAGTATAGAGGTTAGCATTTTTGCTGACACTTAAGTGAAACATTTCCTTCTCTCTTAATCTTTGCATTTCTTTTCAGTCGTGGGATGCTCGTGAATTAAGAAACAACCAAAAATGCCAAATATTGAGACTCTTGAAATCAAATTAAGTATGATCTGAGATTAAGAACTTCTGAGAAGAATTTAAGCATGAACATATATATTGACATGAAGTCCACTTACAATGAAGAAAGGAGTGACCTCTCGATCAACTATGGATGTTATATTAATTTCACCAGTTTTCTGATTAATGACAAAGATCCCATATGGTGGCTGATCAATTCCTACTCCAGAGATGCGGTATGTAACTTGCTGGTTTGCAGCACAATCTGAGTGAATCTGCAGAAGGAACACAAGTAAAAATATTAGAGGGAGCAAATAGAGTTCTATATTTGATATACGACAGCTTTCTTGAGAGTTGTTGCATGTGATGACCTTGTTATTTAGGAAATGTTGTCAATGGAGATTATTTTCCTAGATAAGAGTAACAATTACAGCTCTAATATTTTCAATGGTAACTGACAATGTAATCAAAGAAATTCGGTTTCTGCTTCTATGAAACATGAAAAAATGCGAAATATCACCCTACTATATCTAAGTCTATGCAATCATCATGCATGACTTCATTCATTCAACAGTTAAAATTTGATCTTGTATTATTTGCAGGGTCTGTGCTTGCACTGGAGCTACAGAAGGAAACTCTTTGCCCTCTTAAGGAGTTTATCAATGTTGTCATCATGCAACTTTAATCTTCAATTTGTTTTAAATGTAAAGTTTTCGAAGAAAGTAGATTTATTTAGGTGACAAGAGTTATCTGGGTTTGAGTGGAAGCTCTGAATTCTGAAAATGGGAAGGGTGTATTAGCAGAAAAGGAAGGAGACCACGCGAATAAATGGTTATAGAAACCAGAACTCTTTCTTTGAAATAAAATATTGTTTGGCTGTAAACAAATCCTAGTGGGGAGTATTTGTGAGTGTCTGTGTGGATGAATGTGTATATTCGTGTGTGTATCTGTGGACGTGTACATCTGTATGTTCATGAATTTGTGGGGGGTGTTTCTGAGTGTGTGTGTATGTAGAAAGGAAGATATGGAAAAATGAATAGAAAAGGGGTATGAGAGAGGGCACCTTGTGAATGTTAATAAACAAACAAAAAAGTAGGAATTCAATTCTAATACATTGTGAGGCAAAAAGAGCACACATTGAAGTAATTCCTTTGAATGTGCTGAAAGCCAAATTCTTTATTAAAATAATGATCTTTTTTCATCTGGAGTTTGGGATAACACATGATCATGTGTATGCATTTCACCAATGAGGTGAGTCAACGTTTGCCTGTTTCTCTGAGCACCTGCATTTCTTAATTTCTCCTTATGAGTTTCAGTTTTCATCATCTAGGTGACTATAGTTCTGTTCTGTATCGTAGCTTCTCGGTGAGACATGTTCATGAAATATTTAGCAGACAGTTTCTTTTGAAACTTTATCCATTCTGATTTTCAATGTTATGCTTTGGAGTTGATACCTACTTTGGCGATTGGGTTCCTCTTTGAGTTGTCTTCACCTTCACGACAGGCTGCTGCGAACTTGATCCATTCACGTTTCTGCCTTCGGATTGAATGCCATTTGATGGTGCCATTTTTAGTGTTATAATCTCTTACCTTAAATGACAGCAATAAAGAAATGGTATATATTAATTTGAATTCGTAATTCAAATTCCACTGAGATTTTTGGAAGAGGTTATAATCTCAGAAATAGAGGATGTTTAATTGGGAAAATTGGTAATTTTGGTAATCTATTAATTTTAGCATTATATGAACTTGACTTATGAGAATACATTTTCTTCAGAAAACATATTGTTATTCTCAAATTATTTTCTTGTTTAAAAATTTGGAAAAATGGATTTGTTATATATTACCTGGATTCGGAATTCACTGTTAACTTCTACCACCACCTGTAAAAAATAAGATAATCACACTAGTTATTTTTTAATTAAATGCTTTAAAATTTATATTATCCAGTTACTTTAAAAACAACATGAAACCATAGGCTTGTGAGTCATTAAAATTATTTTATCAGCCAAATAGCAGGTGGATTTGGTTTATGTCTTGGGTCTGATGATGATGCTAAGAATTTTTGTTTTTACCTTTCAATTTACTCTTCTTTTTATTACTATTATTTTGTACTTGTATTTCTCCCTAAATAAGAAATTTTTAACTTTTAATTGAATTTATTCAGAATTGCAAAGTATGAAAACTTTATTTGTATAACTGATATAAGAAAATTATAGTTTACATTTAAAAATACTAACAGTAGTAATTTAAAAATATAAAAAAGTTCTTTTTATAGTTAATTTTAATTGTAGCATTAAAGAAAATATGAACTTAATGTCTCTAAGTATCTACTTTAAAAAAATTGCCACAATAGATAATTCAGAAAATAAGTATTTATGATCAATATGAGAAGTATAAAAAGATAATGTTTTTATTATGAGAATTACATATCCATTGTGTATCTAATATTAATAATTATGATTGTTATTACTCTTATAATTTGTTAAATAATAGCTAGGTATTAGGTTATGTATTTATGTAAATCTATGCACTTAATCTTTACAACAAATACATGTGGTCACCACTAATACTATCTCCATTTTACAGATGAGGAAATTGAGTCTTGGATATTAACCTATGGCTAAATATAATTCAATACAATTTAGCATAAATTTTCACTTGAGCTGTGGGTTTTACAATAAAATATGAGATAGCCTATTCCCTCAAGTAAATTACTACTAAGAAAAGCATGCTACAAAGAATTTATATTGCAACTTCAAGAACTCAAAAAATTCTGATTTTAAACTAACCTATTATCCTTGTGATTGGTGATATTTACATACGACAATAGGAATACAGCATGAAGAAAAAAAAAAGAAAAGTAAATGGCCCAAATTTTAAAACATGTAACTGAAATGTTATCTGTAGAGCCCATCTTGGGTGCAGAACTGAAATGATGAAATGGTGTTCATGTAAATGCATGCTCCTTGCTGCCTGTGAATTTATGAACACTTTTCCCTCTCTCTTGTTTGTGAGTGTGGGATGGGAGATGGGCATACCTTATTTGTGTGTTTGAAAGCCATTTCTTCATAGCTACAGAATTGTGCATGGATCTGTTATCTGTTATTGCGCTTCCCTTACTGCATTGGAGCGCCAGTGCTTGCTGTTTGTTTTGGAAAGCTATGCAGATGACTAAGAAATCTTTCCAGCTTTATGAAGCTGGGTCACTCTTTTTCCCATGAGAGACAATTTGGGCAGAAGACCAAGTAGCTTTCACCATACAGTCAGACTCTCAACTGGATTTGTAATCTAAAAACCGCCAAGTCTGCTTAAAAATGTGGTGGGTTGGTGTAAGCTTATTTTCTGTTGCTCAGAGTCTAGAATAAACTCTGATACAAAGTCACTCTTGGACTTTCAAAGGCAAAATAGTGAAATCTGACTCTTGATAGAGTTGGAAAATCTTCAACGTATTTCCCCAATTCTCTGAACTTTAGTTTTCTCACTTGTAAAATGACAAGAGTAGACTAAATTTTATACAGGTAACTTTCCAGCTGTAATATTAAATGCCTGTGTGCAGTAGGAAAATATTGAAGTATTTAGATGTGAGAAGAGCATGATAAAATTGTGGTTTTAAAGCTAACTCTGACAACAGTTGGTAGGACTAGTGGGAAGAGGCAGTGATTACAGACGGTGAGCAGTTGAGGGTCTCTGTATCAAAGCAGACTGGAGGTGAGAAGGAGGTACGCTGGAGCAGAGACAGAGGGAATGGATGGGGAAAGATCAAGGGATACTGCAGCATAGCATTGGCAGGGCTTGAGAACAAATGGGATGGGGGTGTTCGAGAGAGGGAGGAAGCTCAGGGGATGGCAGTTTTAAACTGTGGGATTGGGAACAAGACAGTAATAGAATTTAGCAGATTAGAACACATTGAGTTTGAGATGCCAGATAATGCCTGGGTGAAGATGATCAGCAATTGGAAACATGGATCAAAACTTGAGCAAAAGTTCAAGCTGGATATGTAGATTTGAGGTAGATCTGCTCAGGCAGGATAGTTGAAATCGTGAGAATTTGAAATTTCCAAAGTAGAGGATACAGTCAAGAATCAGCCTGCAATTGAGGATAAAACTAGAAGAGTTCCTACATTTATAGAACTAGGAACAACGACAACAAACAAACAAAAAAAAAAAAAAGGAAGGAGAGGGCCGGGCGCTGTGGCTCACGCCTGTAATCCCAGCACTTTGGGAGGCCGAGGCGGGTGGATCACGAGGTCAGGAGACTGAGAACATCCTGGCCAACATGGTGAAACCCCGTCTCCACTAAAAATACAAAAATTAGCTGGGCGTCGTGGTGCGTGCCTGTAGTCCCAGCTACTTGGGAGGCTGAGGCAGGAGAATCAATGGAACCCAGGAGGCGGAGGTTGCAGTGAGCCGAGATTGCACCACTGCACTCCTGGGGACAGAGCAAGACTTTGTCTCAAAAAAAGAAAAAAAAAAAAAAAAAAAAAAGGAAGGAGAGAAGGAGTGGCGAAAGAGAGAAGGAATGGCGAAAGAAACAATAGGAAAATATAATGCATTATAATGGAGGTCAGAGGAAAAGGAAAACGGAAAGACAGATGGGGTTGAAAGAGATGAGGTAAAAAAGTTGAGCAGAGTGAATTCTGAGGAAATCCTGAGGTTCTGAGGGACCTTCAAGAGAATATTTTTAGCTGGATGGAACATGCACTTGCTTGACAGCAAGGGATTAGGAAATGAGAGGAGGAGAGGAGGACATAAAGATGGTCACTTTTTCAAGACATTGGTGATAAAAGGGAACAGAGGGACAAGATAGTAGCATTTTTTTTTGAGAGAGGGTAACCTAAGGATTTTTGAAAGTTAAGATAGAAGCTAGGAGGAGATTTTGATTTAAAAGAAGAGATGTTCAGCAGGAAGATTCTCATAGAAGTGTTGTGATAGGGAGAGCAGGAGAGAATGGGCAGAAAAAGAAAGGACCTCAAAGACAAAGGCAAGGAAAGATAGAGATTAAAATCGATCAATTAGGAAAGGGAAATTGGAAGACATTGTACTAAATGACCTAGACTTTGTCCCTGGAGTAAGGGTGAGGTGGATGGAGATTAAAATCAATAAACTGGGGAAGGGAAATTGGAGGACACTCTCCTAAATGACCTAGACCTTGTCCCTGGAGTAAGGGTGAGGTTATTTTCTGACAATTAGGGGAGAAGTTTGGATTCCCAAATGAGTTTGGAGTCTGTGCTATGGAGGCTGTGATGGAGATTTACCTAGAGATGAACACAGAGGTTATCAGGCTGACTGAGTATATCTCAGCTGTTTTGCCCAGTGGATAGGGACTTTGGGGTAAGTCATTAAATCAATCTGTGCTCAGTTTCCTCAGCTGTATATGAGACTAAAAGTCCCCTCTAGTCCTAAAATTCTATGAAAACAGTAAATAATTCACCTGAAATACATCCTCAATGAGTTTCCCCTTCATTTCTGTTTTAGGAACCAATCCATTTATGTACTTTTTAAAAGCTACAGGAGACAAAATCACAGGCTAATTTTAATAAATCCCCAATTACAGTAATTTTTAATGTTTTCCTTTTTAATATTGAAGTTCATGCTTCCTTGCACATAATAAAAATGGGTTTGAGAGTAACAAGCTATTTTTATTTAAAAAATCTCTTGCATTTAATAATTGTGAGATGGTCTTCCAAGTCACTTTTTGCTAAGCGTTGAATTCTAACATAATTGTTACGTTTTTGTTAAGCATTCAATTCTAATGTAATTGTTAACTTTTATATACATCGCAAGGATGCACTTGAAACAAAGCTAAAATATCACAATTTGCTTTATTTAAAAACCTCCTCTTATCTTTCCTTTGTACTGCTCTGACAAAGGGTATCAGTCTGAGGTTGACAGCACCTTAATGGGTTGAATTCTCTAATTTATTCTTTTCGTTTGTGTATTTTACAAGTACATACTGAATGTGTATTATGTGGATCCAACACTAGATTAAGACTTTTAAAGGCCTGAAAATATTATAGTAAGTCTCAGGTGAAATGTAAAATGAATTTAATACTACACCATTAAAATGTTGGGGAAATCCAGTATTATTATTTCTATGTTTAATAGCGTGATAATTTTTTGGAGTGTGTGGGGGAAGAGCTGTATAAACTATCCAGAAACTTCCTTGTGGTACCTCTGCTGTGTGTGATTAGACATCTTTTGAGCAATCTTGCACTGGTGCAAGGCACCATAAGGGATACAAAGGCAAATCAGACACAGAACCTGCCTTCAAATAACTTACAGTCTTGCAGTTTTGAGAGCAACAGGCAACCATTAATTTGTAGAGATATGATTTCTCATTAGACGAGTATGAAAAACTGTGGCCTATTCTCATAGACCAATTAAGAGCATGGATCAGCAGCCAATGGCATTTAAAAAAATTTGATCTGTCTAAGTCTATTGAAGGAATTTGCATATCAAGCATAATCAGCAAGGGTGGCATGACCCAGCACTGGGCAAGGGTGTTCCCTGAGATGAGGGAGCATTATAAATCTAATTGCGGTGCCTGGCACAGCAGGCTTCCTGCTGATATGTTAGGCAATGTCTATTAGGACACAGGGATACTCAGCAACCAGGTCTTTGATGAATGTGTTGTGGAGAAAGAGTTACCAGAAATTAAGTGCTCTGGGTATAGATAAGATAATTTTCTAGATTGATGAGATTTGTTAAATAAGTGAATCTTATTCTAGGGTCAGCCTTTCAGATTTAAGACAGCATTCTTCAGTGCTTTAGTTTCTACTCTTTTCCTAAAACAGGGATGACAAAATGTTTTTACTTTGTGGCAACTCAAACCAATTGAGCGATGATAAATGTGTACTCCTTGTTTCTGTAAAGGTGATAGAAGATGCTAATCCTAAATCTACAGCGAAATAATAAAGCTTTTATGAACACCATATAACTGTTAATGATGACACTTGAATGCAATTTGTAAGTTTCACTGAATACGTGAACAGAAATATTCCTTCCATTTTCTACAAAATATTTTACTGAAACACTGATCTCTATACTACATATCACTATAATACACGCTCAAGAAAGCACAAAGAGCTCTCTCTTTTGCTTGTCTTCTGTTTGGTCTGTACTAATTTGTTAGTTCTTCTCTTGCTTTAGGCATCTGTGAACACAATTTTGGGGACTTAAGATGTCTTCAAGTAAGTTTAGGAACTATGTAATGAAATGTGTATTATTTTCTGTGTATTTTAGCCTGAGTGATGAAAGTACTCTTAAAAACTCCTGCTCATATTTTACAGAATTTCAGTTCGGTTCAAACTGTGGAGTTAGTTTATCAGGTGTCAGAGGGTTGGGTTTTTTTTTGTTTGTTTGTTTCGAAATGAAATATTAACCCATAGAAAGAGGGGGAAAATGGTTACTATAATGAACCAAAATAATCAGATCATTCATGGTCATAGATAAAAGTCATTTTCTCTGTTCTTTGAGCTTGAGCTGCAGAAATTTACCTTTTTAGAAAAAGACATCTTCAGATTTGTATTGACTTAAATGGACTAATTGGACCTGGCAAAGTTGCAAGTAATTTTCAGAAATCATTAAAACCATAGAGATCCCTCTGGCTCTGTTTTGCTTTCCCACAGTGACCATGCTGTACTTTTTACCATTGTCATATACATGCACATAGATTTCTTTTATTTGGTGCATAAGAAGCATTGTTCTCAGGCCTAGAGAAAATACATTCTAACTCCTTTCTCTACTCCATACACTGATTACATGGAAACAAAAAGAAGAATGAAAAATAGATGCAGAATTAACAAAATGTGTTTGACTTGCAGTGTTATAGCAGGTGTAATCTCTTGCCTGTCCAGGAGACTTGTCAGAACAATGGAATAGCCATAGAGCGATCTTGATTGCTGTAAGAGCAGCTCCTCCAGCTTTGTTCTCCCTGATTCAACCCACTCATTTGAACAAGGTTCACAACCTTCAGATGCATTGAGATGAATACACAGTATGCTTGCAAACAAATAGTTACCCAGTTCTCAGGTAGATTTGCTTAAAAGACACTACCAATTTAAATATCTTAAAGGCCTTAACAATTGTACAAATACGCTTCCTAATGCAGGTTCCCGCTTATTGACTTTGAGTAGAGACGAATATAAAGACTTTACATAAATTTTTTTTCATTTTTTGGTAAAAGCATGCATTTATAATGAGACTAGGAGAAAGATAACTGAAAGAATTTGCTATAGTGGTGGTTGTTTTATGAAGAAAAAAAGTATTTTAAAGAAAAATACAGATTAGGAAACTCCAAAGCACAATTACCAAAATTATCCCATGTGGTAAAATCTGTACTTAAAATAAATTTTGATCTTCCAAACCTTAGAAAGTGAAATGTTTTCCAAAAAAACCTATGATGTCAACGTGAAAATGAAACATTGTAATTCATGATAGTGTAAGTTCTTTGAGAAAAAATTTTCATAAGGCATGTGGGAGACTTGTGATTAATTTCAATATAAAATAAGGTAACCTCCTCTTCCCCCATTCCCAAAAAAACCCCCATAAGCCAACAAAAAAAAATCTAGGCACAGCTAGAGAAAGTTCAATAAAGATATATGATTTTGATGATGATACATTTTATTGAAGAATGACTAAATAGGAAGTGGCTGTTTAAAGAAATTTGATATGCTATAATTAATTTGAAATAAATAAATCAACAAATAAGGCACATCTTAGAGATTCTATGAAAGTTAGTGTACACCTATCTGAACAAGCTGATCAACTAAAACTATAATAGCTCTTAATGGATCAAATTTATTTGAAATTTTAAGTAAAAGTGCTTGATTACTGACAATATGAAACTCTCATATTTCAAATGACATACTGTATAATGATCAGTGATCCCTACCAAATCCTAAGTAATGAAATCAACTGATCCTAAATATCCACTGAAAAGAGCATGGGATAGGACTAATGTTTGAAGGAAAGCTTGGAACCAAAGCCACCAGCTTACTGATGCTCATTTATAACTAAATCCACTGATTATGTCCCGCCTTAGTTAATAAAACTGAATTCAAACTAACCAGCATACTTTGAATCAAAGATCTAACTTATTATACCAACCAACCCAACATTCCAGTTCAAAAATTAAGCAAGTAGAAACAAATGTGAACCACAGCACTATACATCCTGCCAAGCTGGAGGGCAATTTACTTGGCACCTGCCTTTTTGAATTACATTAACCTTACTATGAGAGAGATTACAATTTTCAAATTTTCACTGAAAGTGAAATTGACATAATACATTAGTGGTGCACTTAGTATTATCTCTACAGCAAGAAAACTAATTACATGTAAGGGGGCAATGATAAAGTATTTCATTACATTCGTCAGACGATCAAGTGCACAACTTTTATATCGCAGTCATCACTGACATTCCAGTAGTAAGATCGAGTGTAATAATAATTATACTTACTCTTTAATTATAGCCACTTCTTCACTTAATATGTCATTTATAAACCTCCTGTACTGCCGTTTTTTGAAATTAAAAATGTTTTAAATAAAATCATAGTTAAATAGTGCGGGGCTTTTTATAGTAGTGATACAGATTCTAACCAAATATGCAACTGATGACTTTATTTGGATAGCGAGACCAGCCACAAACTGCTACGATTTTAAATTATGTGGTGCTATTTTTATGTTTTAAAAATTAGAGTAATTCCACCACCAAACACACAAAAAAAATAAAAAAAAAAACAGGTTAAAAATCCAGACACACTTGTGATATTTAGTTTAAAAGCCCTCTTGCAGAAGAGATTTTGAACGACAAAGTGCTACTAACTAGCGATAGGAATTTCCTAAATTCAGTCTTTTCCCAGCATGACTTAGCAATGACTTCAGTGTCAGAGATGTAATACAATGAGTTGACACTGAGGCATTAACATGATCTTGAGTCTTCAATTAAAGAGAGAAATGCTATTGAAAAATCTAGTTCATAAAATCATCTTGTCATTAATATACATTTTCAATGGGTTTAGGTTAGAAATAATGCCCACTAACATTTTCTAAAAAGTTTTCACTTGTTTACAATGGGCACGATTATGAAGGACTTTTACCAGAATCCACTCACCAGAAAAATGAACAGCATTGCAACTACTCTGAAGAAACTCCAGTCCATCTCTGCTGGATTCTCTTACATCCAAGACCAAGGGAGTTTTGTTTGTTCTTCTCTGTTCTTTTTCTTTCTCCCACTCAGCTGGTGTCTGATTAAAATAATTTCTCAGTAGATGTTCTTACATGCAGGCTTTGAGGTGTTTCTGCCTTCCTCTGGGAGAAGGACTGAAGGTACGTATAACCAGTCTGGATCCCCACCCTAAAAACTTGGGCTGGTCTCACTGAAATGCTTGACAAGATCATCATTGCTCCCAGGTAAAAACTTGGGGACACACCCTTCCTCCAGCTGAAAAGCGACTCTTGATGGGGCAAGGAAGATTCACTCCTTTACTGAATGTTTTCAGTGGCAGGCTCTTAAAGTGAACAGAAATACCGAGGGTTATACAGGTGATGGGGGCTTCTCACCCCATGCTTTCTTTACAGGTGGTTTAGTTTCTCCCCATATTAAACAGGCAGGTATAACTTGAATGCTCATCTTATTCATTCCATTATCTGTTTGTAGCCAAACCCTCAGGTCATAGTAGAAAATGACAAACTTTCCATTTTAGTAGATGTTGGGAAAGTTTCAGTTATTTTCGGTTGTTAAGAGACAGAAAATATGCTAATGCAAGACTGAGATTTTTTAAAGTTATTAATTCAAACAAGTAAAACCATGATACTTACAATTATTAGATCCTCTGCATAAGTCACAATTCCCATTAACTGACCAGCCTTCAGTCTAAGGAATCCTCCATTTTCCCTCTAAAGAAATTATTTTCTCTCCCTAATTATTTTTCTTTCTTTATGATTCTTTTATTAAATGCAACAAAATAAAAATTTAAATATTACTAAACTTAAGGGTGAATAGTGAGAACCACCAATTAAAATCCTGATAATAACTTTAAAAATGAGATTCGGTGCCTGAAATACTAATGAAAACACAGAAAGCTGCTCAGCAGGTGAGGTGGGTTAAAAGTCAATGACAATTCCTAAGCACAGAGCCAAGAATCTGTACAGCGAGCCAATTAGAACATAGGGAATACACTGAAGAAATGGCTGCCTACACAGGTAGACGGGAAACTGAATGCAGCCCTGAGGTTTGTGAAAATAAATAGCAACCTTCACAGGGCAGCATTTGGACATATTTTTGGACTCTCTTCTCTTCCCCTGGCAACGTCTAGTATAAATATTGTGAGTGGCAGGAAGCTCATAGACACTGGACACCCTCAGAGTTTGAAACGGCTACTTAGAACAAGAGACCTACCTGATAAGATGTTGATTATGGTCAAAAAGATACTCAAAATGTCTCCAAAAGGAAGAAAATCTCTGAGGGTCAGAGGGTCTATAGAAGGCTGTCATTTCACTACAGATTTGTGGCAAAGAAGATGTGTGGTTTGAATTTCCATATTATCCATCATACAGTGTGGAGGGGAGGAGATAGGCTGCCCATGTTTATTTGCAGTGAATAAGAATGTTTATGATTGTAAATAGCAGATGTAAATAAATAAAATTTAGAAAGATGAGCTGGCCGATTTTCTCTAATGAGAAATGTCAAATAAAATAGACTGTATTAACCTATGACTTAGTCTGAGCAATATATTAGTATCATGTTGTCTGACCATGAATAGCAGAAGACTCACTGGGCACCAGAGACAACTGCACCTACTCTTGCAGCTTTCCAGTGGCGAGTCAATGTTTTATGCATCTCGGATTCTGGGCATGATGCTAGGGCATGCATGGGGGCCTCCTTCATCCATTAAATTACCTTTCCTTAAACCTAACCCTGGCTCCACCCCTAACTCAATGCCTTGCTCCAACAATCCTATATGACTAGGGGATTCATAAGGCAGCAATCTCTCAAACATCTTTCTGGAGAGGAGGTGTGATAGAACTCCAATACTGCAGAGCAGCGTCTGTCTTGGCAGTTACATGAGAGCCAATACGATGTTAAACACAGCGGGAGAGGGAATTTGTTAATCACTTTCTCTCCCTTGCCTCCTTCCCTGCCTTTTTCTCTTTCTTACTCATTTTAACGTCCTCAGAACAGTGCTATCCAGTAGAACTTTCTGCAATACGAACATATTCTCTATCTATGCTGTCAGATATGGTAGCCATTTATAATATGTGACTATTGAGGATTTAAAATATGGTTATTATGACTAAGGAAGAGAATATTTAACTTTGCTTAATTTAAATTTAAATAACCACATGTGGCTAGTGGCTACCATATTGGACAGTGCAGACATCATTGCTTTTGTTGTCTATCTTCTCTCTTACTCCAAACCTTAACTTCCGGTTTTTACAAACTCACCTCTCTCAATCTACCCTATGCCTTTTCTTAATTGAGAACCCCACCATTGTTCCAGCTTTCAATGAGCACATTTAATTAGTTTTCCTTCATGTACTCTTATCTCAGTTGGTCCTGTCCCTTTTCCTGACTTAGTGGTCCTCCTTCCTAATGCCAATGAGTTAAGATACTTTAAAACATAGGCAACACAAACCATTTCATTTCCGTATTCACAATGTTTTCAATTCTTTCTTCCAGCAACCTCATCTGTAACCTCACATCACACTGTTGCTTCTTCTCTCCCATCTCAGTGAACTCCTTTTCTTTACTCTGAACATTGTTTAGTATGTGTACCTGCACGTACATAGCAACAGTTCTCATTTCATAAAAATTTTGTGAAATTTGGGGTGATTTTTCTGTCTGGAATCTCCCTGGTGAGCTGACAAAGGTTTCCATAGGGACTAAAATTCTCTAGAGAAGAGGATTTTCCTCTTTTTCACAAGGCATTGAAAACTCCAGAATGTAACTTAAGTGTTTGCATTTCTACATTTGTTGTTAGCTTGAAATATTGCAATACCCTTTAAGAAAACAAAATAATCAGCCTCTAAAAAAATAATTTTGAAAAACAAAATAATCCGCATATTTAACTAAAGGTAACACATTTTATTGATCTAGAAGTTCTCAAGCCTAATAACAGTAACTGTTTTATCCACCTTCATTTACATAGCATCCATAGCATGGACTTATATTTCAGAGAAATTCTTTGGAATGTGCTTTTTTTTCCTTTTAGCAATAAAGTATTTTTAAATTGATATATAATAGCTGTACATATTTTTGGGGTGCATGTGATGTTTGCATACCTGTGCAATGTTATAATGATTAAATCAGGGCAACTGTGATATCCGTCACCTTAAACGTTTATTTTTTGTGTTGGGAAATTCTTCTCTTGTAGCTATATTGAAATATACAACAAATTATTGTTAACTATGTTTTAATGTTATATGTGAACCTCTAGTTTTATATGTTCTAAATTATCCTAATGAACTCTACACATTGTTTAAAAAATAGGTGAAAGATGAAAAACTTAAAACTCGAGGGGAAATTGAAGTAAATATGTTAGGCATTATATAAATAAAAATTTTCTGTTTGCCTCTATACTGTATTAATATTACCATGAGATATATTGATTGTAGATCTTGTTCACATTGTTTAAAATTAAACTATTCCTCAAAGAGTCAATGTCACACCCACATACATCTGGGAGATGGGGCCTGCATTTTAGATTAAAAGATACTTTTCTTTTTCATATATAGCAGTCACAGCAAAGTCTGATTGGTAAGTGGATTTTTGGTTTGGACAAAAGAGCTGTGGAAGTAATTTTGGGATATCCAATATCTGGGAAAATTTAAATAAGAACTGTAGAAAATTATGATATATTTTATCAGGTTATATTGTATTATGTCTTTTTTTTTTTTTTGAGATGCATCTAGCTCTCTTGCCTGGGCTGGAGCGCAGTAGCGTGATCTCAGCTCACTGCAAACTCTGTCTCCCAGAACAAGCAATTCTCATGCCTCAGCCTCCTGAGTAGCTGGGTCTACAGGTGTGAGCCACCACACCCAGCTAATTTTTTGTAGTTTTAGTAGAGATGGGGTTTCATCATGTTGCCAGGCTGATCTTGAACTCCTGACCTCAAGCGTTCTACCCGCCTTGCCCTCCCAAAGTGCTTGGATTACAGGTGTGAGCCACCATGCCTAGCCATATTATGTCTATTTTTAAAGATATGTGAATTACATTAGGAGTGAAATGTCATGATGATGGAAATTTTCTTCATAATAATTCAGCAATGAAACAGATAAAATAAATATGGCAAAATATTAACAACTGTTAAATCTAAATGATAGTATATGGTTTTCTTTGTTTTGTGTATATTTGAAAATTTTCCTAATAAAAGTAAAAATAATGAACTTAAGTAGACGTCAGCAAATTATTGCCATGGGTCAAATAGGGTCCACTGTGTGGTTTTTGTTCTTTTTTTAGTTGAACGCAGCCATAGTCATTTGCATATAAATTGTGGCTCCTTTCATTCCACAAGAGCAGGGCTAAGAAGTTATGACAGAGACCATGTTGGCGTAGAAAGCCTAAAATAATTACTTCCCTTGCCCTTTACAGAAAATGTTTGACAATCCCTTGACTAGATGAATAGATTATAGCTTGCAGTATGAAATATGACTTGTGAGTAGATTAGTTGATTTTAGGAGAAGTCACAAAATTGATCTCAAGGATGTGAACAGAAATCATGATGACTGAAAGTAGCCATTAAAATTTAAAAAACTAGGCCGGGCGTGGTAGCTCATGGCTGTAATCCCAGCACTTTGGGAGGCTGATGGGGGCGGATAACTTGAGGTCAGAAGTTCGAGAGCAGCCTGGCCAATGTGGTGAAACCCCATCTGTACTACAAAATACAAAAATTAGTTGGGCGTGGTGGCAGACCCCTGTAATCCCAGCTACTCGGGAGGCTGAAGCAGGAGAATTGCTTGAACTCGGGAGGGGGAGGTTGCAGTGAGCTGGGATGGTGCCACTGCACTACAGCTTGGGCAACAGAGGGAGACTTCATCTCAAATTAAAAAATAATAATAATAAATAAATAAAAAAACTGATCACTGAGAAAAATATATTTATAATAAAATTGTATTTTTAGTTTTCTATGCTTAGAGAGATTTTGTTTATAATTGACCAAAATAATCTACAGCCTAACTCTTCTTCCTTTTTTTTCCCCAGATCTAAGGGAAATCTTAATTATTTTTCTCTAGTAAATTCTAGAATGGGAATTCAACGGCAACACATCTTTATATGCTTTTCTCTATATAGAAACAATGTTTATGAACAAAGGGAAAATCTCAAATAATTTTGAGAACTGTGAACTCTATCTAATATGTAAGTATTTTATGATGAAATAAGAATAGTGAAAGAGACTGAGCTATTATTGCTTGTGCTTTAAAGAAGTTAAAAATATATGATAATTCTGAGTTTTGCTACATGTTCATCACTGTAGTAGGCACTGTGTTCAAAACAATTTTGAACTCTGCTCTTAAGGAGCTTACCTTATAGCTGCAAACACACTGACACAGAAGTAATACTACTTACTTCTGGAAGACTGTTCTACTCATACACCTACGTGGGTTAGCCACAGTCCCACTGTAGTGTTTGGATTTCATGTGCAACTTCAGGCTATTTTTTTTTTTTTTTACTTGTAATACATTATCCCCAGGCCAGTTCTATGGCATTTATTTCTTTGACCTACTATGTTCCTTGCACTATACTAAGGGACTGAGATTACAAAGATGGATAGAATATGGTTCTTGCCCTCATGTGGCTCCAGGCTGTGGAATGGGGAAAACAACATATTTTTTTTCCACTTGCTGAACAGAAGCATGCATAAGATGCTTTGGGAATCCATAGCCCAGTTTTACTGGAGGTGACATGAGAGAAATCTTATAATGTTAATGGCTACACATTTGTGGCATAATAGAACTGATTGCTAAAATACTTAATTTCTTTCTTTCTTTGTAGCTTACCTAAATCTCTCATCTTATACTTTAAATTTTATAGTGTTTAATTGAATACAGCCACAGTTAATTGCTTCTATTGTCTGCACTTTGCCTTTCGGTCTTCATTTCTGCTTTCATGGTTTCTCTCCAGGCACCCTTCACCTGGCATTGCTGTGCATACTTCTAATTATACATTTTGTATCAAAAGTCTTCATTTTAATCCATGTTATATTTCTTTTCCAGAATAGTGTTTCTAAAACATTGCTTTCTTTATGTCATGCCTCTTCTCAAGAAAGTGCTGTAGACTGGGCGCAGTAGCTACTGCCTGTAATTCCAGCACTTTGGGAAGCTGAGGCAGGAGGATGGCTTGAGCCTGGGAGCTCAAGACAAGCCTGGGCAACATGGAGAAACCCTGTCTCTACAAACGAATGCAAAAATTAGCTGGGTGTGGTGGTGCACGCCTGTAGTCCCAGCTACTCAGGAGGCTCAGGTGGGAGGATTGCTTGAGGTCGGGAGGCAGAGGATTTACTGAGCCAAGATCATGCCACCACACTGCAGCTTGGGTCACATTGAGACCCTGTCAAAAAAAAAAAAAAAAGTAAAGAAAAGAAAATGCAGTAACTCCATATTTCCTCTCAGGTGAAAATGACTTCATATTGTAAAAACATTATGGCAAATTTATGTCTCCAGGTTATTTATTGTTTATGATGGAAACAAAGTGCCATCACCCTCATGGTCTTAAGATTTTCCCACCATTGCCTTTCATTTTTGAAGACCCGGCTTTTGATAGTGATGATACCAATATGAAAGGTAACAGTCGTGATTGATGTTTGTCCAGGATATTTTCCATTTAGGTGTATGTGTATAGCCCATGGGCATTTAAGCAGCTTACTCTATCATTTTCAGAAACTGTTTTTTGACTGCAGTTTTAAAAATTCAATTGCACCAATGTTTCTTGACCCTGGTAGGGACTGTGCTAGTTTCCAGGATAATTAATTTTTAAAAAAATTTTACTTTAAGTTCTGGGATACCTGTGCAGAACGTGCAGGTTCTGCATTACATAGTTAGAATGGCGATCATTAAAAAGTCAGGAAACAACAGATGCTGGAGAGGATGTGGAGAAATAGGAATGCTTTTACCCTGTTGGTGGGAGTGTAAATTAGTTCAACCATTGTGGAAGACAGTGTGGCAATCCCTCAAAGATCTAGAATGAGAAATACCATTTGACCCAGCAATCCCATTACTGGGTATATACCCAAAGGATTATAAATCATTCTACTATAAAGACACAGGCACAGGTATGTTTACTGCAGCACTGTTCACAATAGCAAAGACTTGGAACCAACCCAAATGCCCATCAATGATAGACTGGATAAAGAAAATGTGGCACATATACACCATAGAATACTATGCAGCCATAAAAAGGGATGAGTTCATGTCCTTTGCAGGCACATGGATAAAGCTGGAAACCATCATTCTCAGCAAGCCAGGAGAAATTTTTAAAAAATAGATACTAGAAATTCCAAAGTTTAAGAAGGCTATCATCTTGACTGGATCTCAAAGGTGTGATGAGGCAGGCTTGTTCCTTTTACCAAGCACACTGACGTATGTGGTATAGGAAAGATCTATAGTGTTTTATGAGCCCCTGCAAAAGGGAAATAATTTTCCCATTAAAGGAATTTGAGAGCACTTCATGGAAGAGGTAGATTTCAAAATTTTCAGGATGACTACATTCACAACAAATAAAGATGCGGATGGGAAAGAAGGCAGAAAGAAATACATATTTTTATGGCCCAAAAGGAGTCATGTTGGACTAAGTGTCTCACTTGTGAGAGTTAGCAGGGCTGATAATAGAATAGAATGAAAGCAGAATGTGACTGACTTTGAATGTTCTGCTGAGAAATTTGGACTATATTCAGTGGTAGAGAGAGAAACAGCGTGGGCTTTTGAGCAAGGTATTGACCTTAAAGTTGTGTTTTTGGAGTTTGTCCTGGAAGCTCTGTAATGCGTAGGTAGGCAAGAGACACTACAGGGAGAAAGATGAATTTGGAGGCTACCATAATAGTTTAGGTAAAGAACCTGAAATAGTGTGGTTTCAATGGGAAGGGGAAGAGATGGGAGCATGATGAAGTTACAATAGATAGTACTAGATGGCAGTTTCAAAGGGGGTGGAGGAATAGGGTGATGGAGGCTCAGGGGAAACACTTTCCTTCTTTTGAAATTAGGTGCAAAGAGAAGATACTTATCCTATTAATAACAAAAAAAGAATCTGTTAGAGGTTTTTGTAGAAGAACCAATCAGTTTTTAACATTTAGTTTGTTTGTGTTTTGTTTTTCCCTATTTTTGCTTAAAAATTCAAACCTTCATCCAGATTTACAATATGTTAACATTTTGCCCTATTAGCTCTTTCTATGTATAAACACATCTTTTGCTGAATAATTTAAAAGTGAGTTGTAGATATTGTGCCACTTAATTACCACAGCATATACCTTATAATAATACTTTTGCTACATAATCATAGTTTTAGTGTCTTTGCTGCAAAAAGTACTAAAAATTGATGCTAATGAGCTATTTGGCATGCTGAATGAAAAAGAATACATGAGTCCATAGTGTTCCTCAAAAGGGTGGTGGTGGTGATGAAGAGTAAACTTTTCTTTAGAGAAGATTGCTAGTAAATAGAGAAGAAAATGATAGAAGTAGAAAATTGAGATATTGCACCCAGCAACATAAATAATGGATTCAGATGAAGACCATCAATGGGTATTTATACTATTGAGTAAAAGTGTTGGAAAACTAGGAGTTTACATGATCTCCAAGTATCTCACCATCTTACTGACAGATAAAACCTAGTACTGTTAATAATGAGACAAACTGACAATAGGTACCTCCTTCCATGATGTAATGAAAACTATACAATGTCACACACAGTATTCTTGGCCAAAATATTTAAACTGAATTTGCGAAAGAGGAAACAATCCAAAAAACATCAATTTTAGAATTTCTAATAAAAATAAGCTGGATCTTTCAAAAATGTCATTGTTTATGACATACAAAATATAGTAGGGGATTGTACTAGACTAAAAGAGACAAAAGAGACAACTAAAGCATGTGGGGCTTAAAACCTAGATAATGGGTTGATAGGTACAGCAAACCACCATGGCACATGTAACACTACAAATCTGCATGTTCTGCACATGTATCCCAGAACTTAAAAAAACAAAACAAAACAAAACTAAACTAAACTAAATACGATGTTCGATCCCTAATTGGATCATAGAACATCCACCAACAATAAAGAATAGCAATAAAGGACATTTTATGGGACAAGGGACAATTTAAAATTTTGATTTTAGGCATTTTAGACTCTAGAAAAAAAATCACGTTTTTTAATGCTCATTTCTCTTAATATTTTTAATGTCATTGGTCTATGTGTCTGTTTTTATACCGGTACCATGCCATTTTTGTTTTTGAACCAGTACCATGCCATTTTGGTTACTGTAGCCTTATGGTATAGTTCGAAGTTGGACAATGTGATGTCTCCAACCTTGTTCTTTTTGCTTAGGATTGCTTTGGCTATTTGGGCTCTTTTTTGGTTTCATATGAATTTTAGAATAGTCTTTTTTTCTAGTTCTGTGAAAAATGACATTGGTAGCTCCGTAGGAATAGTATTGAATCTGTGGATTGCTTTGGGCAGTATGGCCATTTTAGCAATATTGATTCTTTGAATCCATGAACATGAAATGGTTTTTCATTTATGTCATCTGTAACTTCTTACAGTAATGTTTTGTAGTTTTCCTTGTAGATATCTTTCACCTCCTTGGTTAGATGTATTCCTAGGTATTTTATTTTCTTGTGTGGCTATTATGAATCAGATTGCATTCTTGACTTGGCTCTCAGCTTGAATGTTATTGGTGTATAAAAAATGCTGCTGACTTTTGTACATTGGTTTTGTATCCTGAAACTTTACTAAAATCATTTATAAGTTCTAGGAGACTTCTGGGATGGAGTCTTTAGGGTTTTCTAAATATACAGTTATATTCTCAGTGAAGAGAGAGAGTTTGACTTCTTCTTTTCCTGTTTGGATGAGGGAAATTAAAAAAAAAAATGAGACAACTAAATATGTAGATTGCAATACATGGTGAAGAGGTAATTGTTATAAATATTTTTGCATCAGGTGAAATAGCATAACATGATAAAAAAAAACCCACAGGCAAACTAGATAGGACAAAGAGGTTTTAATTTATATCTTTAGTCATTGACAGTTTATAAAAAATGATTCTGCAAACAAATTAGACAAAGACAACAAACACAAAATGCAACACAACAACAAGCCAAATGGAATAATCATATTCACTAATATAATTGCTAATGTTTGAAATAATACACCGATGTATAAATTTGGGGAGCACAGTAAAAGAATAAGTCATGACCAATTGAATTTTTTTCTAAAAATGCAAGGCGGTTTAATGTTTAAAAAGATCTATTACAGTAATTAATCATTATAATAACTCAAATTAAAAAATAACTTCTATGCATGTTTTGAAAAGCTTGATATAATTCATTTGTTTTTAAATGAAAAAACAAATATAAAGAAATAGGATGGTTTCTCACTTAATAAAAATGATGTATTATACAAAAATCTGTTATTCCTAGTGTCCAAATGGTAAACACAGTCTTACTAAAATCAGGGGAAAAATAATCTCATTATTACATTCTTAATGTTTTCTAGATGTAATAGCCAAAGGAAAATATTGGAGAGGAGTAAATATTATTATTATTAATAGACCATAAATTTGTCTACATAGGAATTCCAAGAGAATCAATTATAACTTGTAAGACACATGAAAATTTAATTAAGAATGTTGAGTATATAATTAATAAAATTCAATAATCTAATTATCTGTTACACAATATAATGAAATAAATATGTCCCATTTCAAGTGGCAACTGTAAGTATAAACTATCTTATAACGAAGCTGAGAAGAAATGTGTAGCACCTGCCTGACAAAAACCTCAAACTTTCGCAAGAGACATGAAGAAGTCATGAATCAATATGTGCTCTTGTTTTTGTACAGAAAGAGGCAATATCATAAAAAGACCTCCCAGTCTTTTGTGTGTGTGAAATTTGTCAAAATGATTTCATATTTCATATGGAACAACAAATAATCAAGAATAGAAATGAACATTCTGGAAAAGAATAGTAATTAGTAAAGTCAAGTCTGACAAGTTACTAAACATTGTAATATTATAGTTATTCATGTAATTTGGAACTGGGAAATGAATAAAATATTAAGGAAATTAGAGATCCAGAAATAAACTTAATAGAGGAGTTAACAAATGATCTCTAGTCTGAAATAAAGATGGCTTTTCAAATCACTGAGCAAAATGTACATAACTCAAAAGATGGTGTTGAGCATGTGGCTAACCACTTAGAACAAAATCAACCTACTTCTTATGCCAGAAAAAATTCCAGATGGAAAAAAGATTGAAATGTAAAAGAAACTAATAGTAGGGAAAAAATAACTGAGTAAAAATGGAAGTACCGGCCGGGCGCGGTGGCTCACGCCTGTAATCCCAGCACTTTGGGAGGCCGAGGCGGGTGGATCACGAGGTCAAGAGATCGAGACCATCCTGACTAACACAGTGAAACCTCGTCTCTACTAAAAATACAAAAAAATTAGCAGGGCGTGGCGGCACCTGTAGTCCCAGCTACTCGGGAGGCTGAGGCAGGAGAATGGCGTGAACACAGGAGGCGGAGCTTGCAGTGAGCCGAGATCGCGCCACTGCACTCCAGCCTGGGTGACAGAGAGAGACTCCGTCTCAAAAAAAAAAAAAAAAAAAAAAAAAAATAGAAGTACCTTGAAATGGAAGTACCTTGAAGTGGGGAATCCCTATCTAAATCCAGGACCAATAAAGGATTGACACATTTAGCAACATAAAAATTAAAATGTCTATATGATAAGTAAGCATAAGCAAAACAAAAAAAGTGGCAAGGTAGAAAAAAAGCTTTTTTACATATATAACAAACAAAGGTCTAGTTTCCAAAATATATACTTAACTCTTGTAAAACTATAAGAAAAAATCGATGACTCAAAAGAAAAATAGGCAAAAGAAATAAAGAGGTCTTTCACTTACATGAACACAAATAGTTGTTGCATTTAGAAAAATATAAAAATGGTTAATATGCAGAGGTAAAGATGTTCACCTTCAGTCAAAATCAGACATATAAATAGCAAAAACAACAACAACAACAACCAAAGAAGTGAAAAAAATTTCACCCATCAGATTGGCACTTTATAATAAAAGTACTAGATTTTTGTTGTAAATGTTAGGTATCTATTGCTGAGGCAGAAGTAGAAAATCATTTACTTGACTGAAGTGAAAGTGTAAGTTGATATAATGTTTTGGGACAGCAATTTGACAACAGCTAACAAAGTTAAAAAATATATACACTTTCATGCAACAGTTTCTATTCCCTGAATTTAGCTCAAGATGCACTGGCACAACTGATTAAAAATTACCTACAAGGATGTTCATTTCATTATTGTTGTAATAATGAAAAATTCTTGCAACCACAATGTCTATTAGAATAGAATTTAGTCAGAAAATTTGGGTACATTTGTACGGCATAATAAAAAAAATGACAGATCTTTATATATTGATAATGAATGATGTCCAACTTACAGTAAGTGTAAAATCAAGTATGTAGAATAATGGGCCCAATGTGAACACTTGTGTATAAAAATAAAAATATGTTGTGTGGATGTATTTTATATATGCATAGAAGTTTTTTGGAATTATTCACTAAAATCTGTTAACTGAAGAAATAATTGTATGCTTAATTTTCTATTCTTCTGATACATTTCTACAGTTCACTGTTAATAGGCCTTTGTTTTATAACAAAAAGTAAAAATATTTTAAGCTTCATAATTGACTTTCTGGAGTAGTGTACATACATAGTATTGGTGCAGCAACTCAATGAGATGATGTTTTGTCCATCTGAAGATAGAGATGAGGATTAAAAATGCATATATAAAAGTCGTCAGTTTAAAGGTATTAATGAAATCGCGTAAGTGGAGGAAATCATTTAGGGAGAGCTGAAGAGAAAGACATGAAAATATCTGAAGAGCAAACTGGCTTGTCCACATTTGCTTAGAAAGAAGAAGAGTCAGCAAAGGAGACAGAAAGGTGCTTCAAAGAAGTCATAGAACTAGCTCAGTCCAATGTAATTTAAATCAAAGGCAATGCTTCAAGGTAAAAAGTTTCCATATGACTCCTGAAGAGAGGAGAATAGGAAGAGCACTGAAATTCCCCTGACGTTCTTTCCAACTTTCTGAATGTTACTTTTCTGTTTCTTCGCCAGTACATTCTTCTCTAACCACCCATTCAATGTATCGTCACATGAAGCTTGGGTCTGTGTCCCTCTTTCCTGTTTGTTGTCCCTCCCAAAAGTGATCTCATGCAAATAACAACTTATAGATAGATCTATCCGGTCCAGGTCTTTTCTCCTGAACTCCAAACCTATACATCCAATTGCCTACTTGACATTTATCTTGGAAGTTTCAAATACAATTCAAACTCAATGTGTTGGAAATTCATTCTCACCTTCACCAGTGATCACTTCCCAGAAAATAATACCCCCATCTATCTAGTTGTGCAAGAGAGAAGCCCAAGAGATATTATCAACATTCTTTTTTTCCTACCCTTCTATTTTAACCCATCACCAAGGTCTATTGATTTTTTACATCCAAAATATCTGTCAAGTTCATTCACTTTTTTCCATGTTGACTATCACTATGTTAGCCAGGTGATTATTGTCCTTCAGCAGGATTGTTGTAACTTTCTGACAGGCCTGCATCTATGCTGGCCAGCTGCCAATCTGTTTACTACACTAAAGGTGGAAAAATAATTTCAAAGAGCAAACCTAAGCATATCAATCTGTTTTTTAAAAAAAGACACCTCTTGGTAACTTTTAGAATAAAGGGGAAAAAGAGTCCTTCGTCTGGGCTGCAAGGTCCTGCATTGTCTAACACTTGCCCACTCTCCAGTCTCACCTTTTACCACATTCAGTCCAGAAGGAGTTCTTGGGACCCTTGTCCATCTCCTCTTTCACATCTGTCATAGTTGCCAAGTTTACAGGTATTTGTGTGATTATTACTCTCTGTCCTCACTACTAGATTGTTATATCCATGAGAACAAGAAAAACGTTTTAATCAAAACTGTGTTCTTGGAACCTAGCATATAATATTGCTCAATAAATATTTTTGAATTAATGGATAAATGAATGAAAGCAAAGTGGAGTTTCAAGAAGAAAGTGTATGTTTCAATCTTCGTTCAGAGATCTAAGAAGATGGAATTAAATCCTAAAGAAGCCAAGAAATTTGGAAATAGATGATTGTTGGAGAATTCCAGAAACACTTAGAATTATGTGGAGGTGAGCATTGGCAAGAATATCCAAACAGACTATGGGGTATGTTCTGGAAAGGGAAGGAAGCAAAGAATAGATCCCTTATGTGACTAATTCTGAAGAAATGCAGAGTATGACTTCGGAGTCTGTGAGGTCAAAAGACATATGTATTTTTAATACAAGCAAAGGAATGAGATTTTCAGAAGGATAGTAGATTGTGGTCCTAAAACTTTCATATTTGAGTTTAGATGTATAGAAGTAAAATGATTTCCTAAGGCTTAGGGTGTGGCCATGAGAACCGGTGTTGATGATGGTAGGAACTGTACTTTAGAGCCTGTGTACATGCTCCCTGAGAAGTAAAAAGGGCCTTAAAGTGGGGGAGCATGGGTCCCTCCCTCTGCTTCCTAACCATTGCCTGGGATCCAGTGTAAACATAATAAATATTTTGAATTAAATTGAATCAAAGCACTGTTTTTTCAGAAACTCTGCCACTTTAGTTCTTAGAGCATCTCTCTAGACCGTATCTCACAGTTACTGCCGTATAAACTCTACTTCATTACAACTTCTTGAATGAATAATTAGTATTTTTAAAGCCATCTATTTCCTCATCCCTTCATCCCAAGCAGTTATATATATATATATATATATATATATATATATATATATATATATATATATATATATATGTATAGCATTTTTTTCTACTGCTAGGGACTTCAAGAATTACATTGCAGTTGCAGCCAGTAAGCAGCAAATCATTTTTGGCAATTATGGCAAGAGTTACAACAAGAAACAGGTTTTAAAAACATGCTCTGGTTCTTGGGAGGGTTTTTCAACTAGAGCAACTGCAAACATCATCAAAATTCCATGATATAATCAGCTAGGTGGTAGGAAATGCTGATGACTAACCTCTGGAAATGCACATGCAAGCAGTCAAACTTGTATATTGTGAGTCACAGAACTTTGGACTTAGAGTTAGTGGGAAGAACACCCAGGTAAATCTGCATACATTCAGATATATTGATTGAGAGGTAACACCTATTTCTATCAGGAATCTTGTGTCAATGTTATATCAACTCTAACCCATATTAATCATATTAAGCAGAAACTACGGAATCTTAACAAAATATTTTACCATTGAAAATATTTGCTTCCATCCAGAAGTATTAAATGTGATGGCAATAAATGTCTTACATAATAGAGTATAGAAAATTGTTTCCAAAATACACTTAAGATGTTTTGCATAATAGAGTATACAGAAAACTGTTTTCCAAAGTGTACTTAAACTGTGAATTCTTAGGCCTTATTTTATGTTGGATTAAATCCACATTTCTAGAGAGTGAGGCCCAGAAAACTATAGTTTTAGTAAGCACCCAAAGTGGACTGGATATACTTTAAAATTTGAGAACCTTTTATATAGATACTTGGTTAATAAAATTTTATTTCTAAAGATGTTCTCATGCATTTATCACAACCGTTATAAATAAGTACAGACTACAGTGATTCTGAGAGTATTCCATTATTTAAACTCTTATTGCCAGTTAATGACATCTCAGCAATGGGAAACAATTTGAATGTTGCTGTTAATCAGAGGAATTGCTTGGCATAGCAGGACAGAAAGCAAGCTTTGGAGTCAGACAAAGCTGAGATCAAATCCTGGCCACTTGATTTGATCTCGAGTGACCTTGGCCAAATCAATTAATGTTCATAAGTCTTATGTATTCCCATTTGAAAAATGGAGATACTATGTTGAAAAGGCAAGCAAGAGTTTATAGAAACTAAATAAGGGGAAGGAGAAATCTTGGTGAGTTTGTATAACTTCAGATAGTGCAATTGAGATGAAATGACGTGTATGAAGGGAAGTGGTGAGAGATAAAACCAGATATATGGTTATGAATGGTCTTATAGCCACTGGAAGCCACTTGAGCCTGATGATATTAATTTTCCAAATCCCAGATTGTTGCCTGATGGTCTTTATTTTATTAGAGGTATCTATGGATATCTCTAATATCCTTAGATATCTTTTCTGCTCTCTCCTTAAATAATCTCAGCCTCTCACTATCTAAAGATCCTGAAGCAGATGACAGGGACATTGCTTTGGGAACATGGAAGTCGAAAAACGTAGTGCTAATCCCTCTGCTGCAAAAAGGGTTGCCAGAGACAATTTGGACACTTTCAGTGTAAGTTGCCAAGTAGTCAGAAACACACACACAAACATGGAAGCAGAATGCATTGTTCATTGAGCACTCACCATGCTAGGATCTGAGAATATGAATACAAGTGAGGCATGTGGGTTAACAAACAAAGTCTATTGGAGGAATATATGTAAATTAAGATGTTATGTGACAATTTCTGTAATAGAGATTTGTACAAAATTCTGTAGGAGAAAACACTTATTTGTTCTAAAGAGTGAGAGAAGTCTTTGGAGAGGAACTAACATTTGAAATGGGTCTTAATGAAATGTGGAGGATGTTGCAGATGAGGAATGCGGAGAATGCATAATCCTAGAGGAAACAGAGTTTTCCAAATCCTCAGCAAGCCAAAGCCTGGAGAGCTGAAAGAGACAGGACTTGGCAGCTGACTGTTCTTGGGGTTAGCTTTGTTGTAATTAGCCCAGCCTTATTTTATTCCAGTGGGAGACACAGGAGAACTTCCTTCTCCAGCTGTGGAGTAGGCTGCAAAGGCCCTCACAGGAATGGTATGTCATGTGGGTTATCATTCTCTTCCCTCCAGCATTTCCTCACCAGGACACACCCTAGCAGGTGGCTTTGCAATCATCACTGGCCTGCTCACATCAGCCCACAAAAGAATTATTTTCTGAAGGCCGAGTGCTGCTTTCCCAGTGCTCCTTCAACAGTTGGTTTACGTTACTCACCTGCAAGGCATCTTCGGATGCTCTGTGATAAGCTTTTCCTCCTCAGCACAAGTTGAGAATGAGGGCCCTGATGGGAAAGTTTCCTAGCCATCTATGTATACAACCAGAATCTAAAATAATGTTCTTAAATGCTAGGTATTCCTCTCTAAATATTTGCTTAACAACCTATTATTGTTGCTTATCTATTATGTATCTTCTTCTCAGAGGATGTTCTTGGCCTGTGTGTGTGTGTTGCCTTGTATGTGTGTGTTGGTGCATATGTGCTTGTTGTTTTGTGTGTGTTGCTGCAAACTCCTCACAGCATACCAAAGATTCTCCTTTTCTGATTGCCCTTTTTATTGACAAGATTTTTGGATCTGGAAATGTTCCATGGGACTAGATATCCCATTGTGAAATCTCCATGTCTTTCTGCCTAATTCTAAACACAGGGGCTTTTTGACATTGAATGGGGCCTTATCCAATAAGGTTCTGCTTAAGCCAGGGTTCCCTCATGCCAGGATCCTTGGTAAGATGCAGTTTAGACTTCAAGAGTTACTTCCTCTTTAAAGAGGGCATTTCCCAGAGACCTTCTTTGTTGTGAGGGAGGTGGTACAAATAAGGTCACAATCCTGCACTACAGTATGGTCTGAGTGTCAGCAGGAATTCCACCTGCTCCTCGGAACACCCTTGCCTCCACCCACACTCACAGCCAACATACACTCACTTGGTGAAAGAATACCCATCAATTCTTATAACAGAGAAAAGATCCTGGTAGTAAAATAACTTGAGAAAGTGATGGATAATAAATTTACAGAGGCCTGCCAACTAGTAAAATTCAACAATTTATTTATTCATGCAATAAACATGGATTGAGTTCTTATTATGTTTCAGATGCTATGCTGGGTGTTGAGGAGTGAAGATACTCATAAGGAGGTCACAGTCCAGAGAGCATGATGCCCTCATGGAGAAAATGCAAGCACTGTTTTGTATTTATAGGTATATTATTTATTTTCCTCAGGTCAGAGGAGCCCAGCCTGTAAGCTAGGAGCTTAGAGGGCTGAAATAATTGCAAGGAACCTCTGAAATCTTACATTTACTCATCAAATTTTATAGACTTATTAATTGATAGATACAAATTTATATATTTTCCATTCATTATTTAAAGTAAATGAATAGTAAATATGTCCAAGTAGCTATTCAAATTTTCAAATATTTATAAAAATCATCTCATTTATAAAATCCAATAAAATTAATAAAATGTAAATTAAATTAGTTGTAGCTTTAGTCATTTTTTGGTAGATATTAACAGTAATATTACAATATAGTAAAAAGGTTTTTATCTAAACACAAGCTAAATCAATATTTAAAAGGAGACTCTCATATTCTAAAAATACAAACCCTTGGAGAACCACTGACCATTTAAACTGCTAACATAAGTGAGCCAAGACATAGTTTTTAAAACAAATAATGAGTAATTTATTACTATTGTTTTTTCAACCACAAAGAATTTTTAGTTTGTAATATTTAATGTTATAGTCTTTGATTTATTCCACTGGTGTTTACTGAGTGCCTACAACAACTATATGTTGCATCTGGCACAGAATATTGTATAAAAACTTGATATGTATTTTTGAGATTAACTATTTAAAAACAAGATATATGAATAAGTTAATTTTTCTGTAATGACTCTATTTTTCTCATTAATTTGTACATAAGATGTTAATGTTTCAGATAAAATGTAATTGACCTTGCTAAATAATACTGTCTTCAGGTAAAAATGCAGGCAAAAAATGAATGCAGCACAATGTCTTTTTTATTACAAAAACTGGAAAAAACTTAGATATCCTCTAATCTGCTCCATGACCTGATATTTATTTATTTATTTGTTTTTTCACAAATACAACCTTTATTGTTAGCAGGGTCTCTACTAAGGGAATAGCAGAGATTACAAATATGAAAAAGTAACCCTGCCCATAAAGAAAAATGGGTGTAAAATGACCAGATACACAGAGTCTGGAACTTTCCCTTTGTGTCTGTTTCTGCCTAGACTCCTTATTATGAGTTTATTTGTTTATTTTTTATATTTTTATTTATTTATTTATTTTTGGAGACAGAGTCTTGCTCTGTCACCAGGCGCAATCTCTGCTCACTGCAACCCCCGCCTCCTGGGTTTAAGCGATTCTCCTGACTCAGCCTCCCGAGTAGCTAGGACTACAAGTGCATGCCGCCTGTATGTTTAGTAGAGACCCGGTTTACCATGTTGGCCTGGAAGATCTCTATCTTTTGACCTAGTGATCTGCCCGCCTCGGCCTCCCAAAGTGCTGGGATTATAGGCGTGGGCCACTGTGCCCTGTCCTATTTTTTTATTTTTTATTCTATTTTAAGTTCTGGAATACAAGTGCAGAATGCGTAGGTTTGTTACATACGTATACATGTGCAATGGTGGTTTGCTGCACCTATCAACCTGTCATTTAGGTTATAAGCCCTGCATAAATAAGCCATTTGTCCTAATGCTCTCCCTCCCCTTGCCCCCAACCCCATGACTGGCCCCAGTGTGTGTTGTTCCCCTCCCTGTGTCCATGGGTTCTCATTGCTCAACTCCCACTTCTGAGTGAGAACATGCAGTGTTTGGTTTTCTGTTCCTGTGTTAGTTTGTTGAGGATGATGGCTTCCAGCTTCATCCATGTCCCTGCAAGGGGATATGATCTCATTCTTTTTTATGGCTGCATAGTATTCCATGGTATATATGTGCTGTATTTTCTTTATCCAGTCTATCATTGATGAACATTTGGGTTGGTTCCAAGTCTTTGTTATTGTAAATAGTGCTGCAGTTAACATACATGTGCATGTGTCTTTACAGTAGAATGATTTATATTCCTTTGGGTATATACCCAGTAATGGGATTGCTGGGTCAAATGGTATTTCTAGTTCTAGATCCTTGAGGAATTGCCACACTGTCTTGCACAATGATCGAACTTACTTACATTCCCACCAACAGTGTAAAATCATTTCGCTTTCTCTACAGCCTCACCAGCATCTATTGTTTCTTGACTTTTTAATAGTCACCATTCTGACTAGCATGAGATGGTATCTCACTGTGGCTTTGATTTGCATTTCTCTAATGACCAGTGATGTTGAGCTTTTTTTCATGTGTTTTTTGGCCACATAAATGCCATGATCTCATATTTAAATTACCCCCTTATATCATATGTTTGATGGGAAATTGTGAAGAATTTGTTAAACTTTTCAAAGCTCATAAATGAATAAATGTATTGCAGTAAACCTAAATAGTGTTGTTTATATTTAAATAAGTAAAGGGATATAAGCACTGAAAGTGAAAATGTAATAAAAAATCAGAAATTCTGTTAGTGTGATTATCTACCATATGCATTTTACTGCAGTAGAGATAGCAGACAAAAAGATTTTCAAATTTAATGAACGTAGTTGAACACCTCCTTAACTCCTAACTTTAAAGTATATTTTACATGAAATGTTCACTTCTTTTGCATTCTTAGGAAATGAATCAATCACCATCTTTTGAAACATCCTTATTTTTAAGGACGGAGTATACAGTTTAGTTTATTTAATTGTCTTTGAATTTCAGAAAGTTGTGGCATTTAAAACTGAAGATTATCTAAATTTGCTAAAACATAAGTTGATGCTCTAGTATTTTGGGTCATGTGTAGGACTAGCCAATACTTGATAGCATTGAGCAAATGAGTAGATTGTGACAGTCTTATCCATCTTCTCAATCTAACTGCTTATATACCTAAGGGCCTGTTGCTTACTAGGGGCTATTACACATCAGGATGGTATTTGCAGAATCTAGCCAGGTGATGGCTTTCTTGAACATTGGACAGCTGTTGAATTTGTGAGAACGATGCATACAAAAGTTCACTAGACCCCTACCTGAAAGCAGTATCGGGTCAAAGTGATGATTTATTTGTATTTATATGTATATTATTCACCAAATTCTCTAACTTGGGGGTAAATATTTGATTTAAACAGTAAGCCCTTAATTTCAAAATGATTTTGGAAACTCTTGCATGCATCACCTTCACAAATTCATTGACGGTCCAATGTTCAGGAAAATCATTACCTGGCTAGATTCCGCAAAATGATTTTGAAATTTGAGACATTACTAAAAGCTAAATGGTCTTTCTTTTACTGCCGAACCAAATATTTGTTCCTTTAGATATACCTCCCAGATAATGCCATAACCATAAATGCTACCTCACACTCAGCTTATGAGGCATGTCTAAGTTGAATTAGAATAAAACTTATGAAACTCAGGAAGCATTTGACCATTGTCCTATGTCCACTGCTATCTTATTATCCTGTGAGCTGGTATAGTTGCTTTATGTCAATATTACTATTATTTTGGTAAATTAATAGGTCTGCTAAATGTATATTCTCAGTGAGAACTTGTTAAACTTGTTTGTTTCTGAGTAGGTGTGCCCAATTAGCATAAATTCATACTCAGACTTGTTATTTCTTTGGACCAACTTAAGTTATTCACATAGAACTTAGCTTTGTTGGGAGGCCGAGGCGGGCGGATCACGAGGTCAGGAGATCGAGACCATCCCGGCTAAAACGGTGAAACCCCGTCTCTACTAAAAATACAAAAAAAAAATTAGCCAGGCGTAGTGGCGGGCGCCTGTAGTCCCAGCTACTTGGGAGGCTGAGGCAGGAGAATGGCGTGAACCCGGGAGGCGGAGCTTGCAGTGAGCCGAGATCCCGCCACTGCACTCCAGCCCGGGCGACAGAGCGAGACTCCGTCTCAAAAAAAAAAAAAAAAAAAAAAAAAAAGAACTTAGCTTTGAAGACAATGCATTCTTAATATTTCAAACACAGAAGCTTTAAGAAAAGAACTAATTTTTAAAAGTTTCACATCATTTGTGACATTATAAATCAGCTTTTCTTGGTAGTATTCCAGAAAGTTATGGTTAATTTTTGAAGACAATGCATTCTTAATATTTCAAACACAGAAGCTTTAAGAAAAGAACTAATTTTTAAAAGTTTCACATCATTTGTGACATTATAAATCAGCTTTTCTTGGTAGTATTCCAGAAAGTTATGGTTAATTTTTATAACATCTTTTGTTCATTTTTAATTAAATTGTTCCTTGAGAAGAATTGTCATGTCTTTTGGTCTCAGGGTTCTTTTTCACAAAGGAAAAATGGTAGGTTGGTTGAAGTGTGGCTGCTTTTAGTTCTAACAGGTTGTGATTCTAGGAAGTAAATATTTTTGTAATAAGTACATTTTCTTATGAGAAAGGAAATTTTAAAATTGCATTAAGAGTAGCTGCTGCATAGTTGGTTGTGTGTGTGTGTGTGTTTTTTTTCTTTTTGAGACAGAGTCTCACTCTGTCGCACAGGCTGGAGTGCAGTGGCACGATCTCAGCTCACTGCAACCTCCACCTCCCAGGCTCAAGCGATCCTCCTGCCTCAGCCTCCTGAGTAGCTGGGATTACAGCTACTGTAATCCTACTGTAGTAGTAGCTGGGACAGGCGCCCACCATCATGCCCGGCTAATTTTTTGTATTTTTACGTGAGACGGGGTTTTACTACATTGGCCAGGTTGGTCTCGTCCTCTTGACCTCAAGTGATCCACTTGCCTCAGCCTCCCAAAGTTCTGAGATTACAGGTGTGAGCCACCGCACCCTGCCACAGTTGGTTCTTATTGTAATATATAATTCCAGTGTTTTATATTTAATTAGAAAGAATACGCTAATTATTAACATCAATTTATTGCACTAAGAGAGCCCATGCCATCTTCAAAATTTAAAAAAGTCTGTCGAATATGAATGTTTCCTGTGAATTTCATCTTGCAGAGAGTAAGATTATAAGGTAATGGATGAAACCAGAATATCACTCTGATCATAAAAACCTAGAAAAACCTCTAAATTACCGACAAACAACAATATACTTTGTGAACATAAACTTACGTAGTGGTATAAAGTTACACATGTCTGATGGAGGAGGTAGGGTAGTAGTCGTGGAGTGTGTCAGCCTGGGTTTAAACCCTGGTCCAATCACTTCCATCTATGTGACCCCGGGAAAGTTATTTAACCTTTCTGTACCTCAGCTTCCTTATTGATAAAATAGGACTAATACCAGCACCTACCACATAGTGTTAGGAGAATTAAGTGATTTAATATATGTGCCAGGCACAGAGCAAGTGCTGAATAAGTGTTGGCTATTATAATTACAACACTGAAATATACATAATATATTAAAGTACATGCATCCTATCTAAATTCCCATTGTTTTTCAAATGTGTGGTTGAATTCACAGGAATTAATTTTGCATATGATATATTTGGTGTATTTGGTTCCTTCCTCTGGTGTGTTATATTAATTTATGTTTTCTTCAGTGTATAGGTATATACACTTGGTAAGAGTGTAAAAGGTATTTCTTGTGATGGGTTATGGTAAAAAAACAAAAGGGATTAAACATGACTGTCCCATAGCATCCAAATTCCTCCCTAGTTAAGTGCCTTCTGAAAATTAAAGCCTTAGTTTTTTTTTTTTTGCTTTCTCTAGTGAACAATGAGCAGTAAAACTGGCTCCAGGGATGGAGAGTGAAGATAATGGTATAACTAGCTTGGGAGAGCAGGCGATCGCCTCAGGGTGTCCACTGGGCGAGGAGCAGAGGCGGCAGGTGGGGAGGTAGAAATGGGTGGAGAAGTCCCAGAGCAAGCAGTAACCTGTGCTCAGACTCTGGGCTGGGCTGGACTGATGGGTGGGGAGGCTTCTCTGCGATTAGGCATGTTTGGTCCTTGAACAGATTGAGTGCAGGTTGAGAGAAAGGAGAGAAAGTGTGAAAGTGTTTTAGGGCATGTAATGCAGTTCTAAGGAGGATAGCACTGTTGAAACTTGGGAAGGAAAAGAGAGGAATAGATAGGGCAGGGGCAAATGGTGAGGGGTGTTGGGGAGAAGTGATAAAAATGAAAGTTGGAATCAATTGAATAAGATTTGGGCCAGGTGTAGTGTCTCTTGCCTGTAATCCCAGTACTTTGGGAGGCCATGGCAGGAGGATCACTTGAAGCCAGGAGTTTGAGACCAGCCCGGGTGATGTAGTAAGACCCTGTCTCTACAGAAAAAAAAAAATCAGTCAGGCAAAGTGACATACATCTGTTAATTCCAGCTCCTCAGGAGGCTGAAGTGGGAGGATTCCTTGAGCCCAGGAGTTGGAAGCTGCAATGAGCTATGATTATTCCATTGCACTCCAGACTGTGCAGAATGAGACCCTATCTCAAAAACATAAAAAAAGGGAAAAGAGTCTGTACACACTAGACTCCTTATGACTGAAATGATGTGCTAGTGCTCCTTAAGCTAAATTGAACCTAATAATTAGGCCAATAAGACCTAAATTGAACAATGGCAAATCAATGCAATGGTGTGGTTCACAGGTTGTACTGTTTGCAGTGTTTACGAACAAAAAGTTGTTGCTGCATGAGTAAAGTCCGAAGTTTCATTTCTGGAGCTAATGATGAGCCTTTATCTAATTGTAGTCTTCATAAGGAATTAAAAAAGCACAAAGGGTATTGATGTGATTTTCAGTGTGATATGTTTGGAGACTTTTCTAAGGAGATATTGAACCATCCAGGAAACTAGCCAAAGGTTGTAGTTATCCATTAAATCTGATAAACAAATTGTAGAGAAGCACAAAAAGGCAGTCTGTGAGAAAAAGTAAAAGTACTTCTGGTCCTTTTAATTGTAACTGATCTTTTAACCGATACAGGTCCCATCTGCTAAAACTCACCCCTGGATCACTAAAAAGACCATCCTTTCAACCACCAAGCATTTCTGTGATTTCTTGTGGAATTCATTCAAGTGTTTATGAGCAGATCTGGTCAGATGCTTAAGCACCACTGCTCTTCCCCAGACAACACCCACTGTCCCACTCGGGAGAGCTAGATCCTGGGATGCAGCCATACGGGGTGAAGAAAATAAAATGTTGCCCTCTTTTCTTATGGGGGAATATCAAATTAATGATGCATTATAATATCTTTCAAAGCTAAAGAGTTTTGTACCACTGTCTCCCTGAATCTCAGACATGGGTGGGCCAGGAAGAGCTCAGAGTGGCACACACTATATGGTTTTCCCAGACCAAGGCTTTGTTTCTGGGTTGAGCTTTGCCTGCTTGTCTCTTTCCTTAGGATGAAGTATCTGCCTTTCTTTGCAACCAAATATCAATTATCAATGTAACCTTTTAAAAATGACTTCATGGCCAGACATGGTGGCTCATGCCTATAATCCCAGCACTTTGGGAGACCGAGGCAGGTGGATCACCTGAGGTCAGGAGTTTGAGACCAGCCTGGTCATCATGGTGAAACCGTGTCTCTACTAAAAATACAAAAATTATCTGGGTGTGGTGGGGGTGGGGTGCCTGTAATCCCAGCTACTCAGGAGGCTGAGGCAGGAGAATCTCTTGAACCCAGGAAGTGGAGGTTGCAGTGAGCCAATATCATGCCACTGCACTCCAGCCTGGGTGACAGAGCAAGACTCCATCTCAAAAAAAAAAAAATGACTTCACGTGATTGCAAAAATAAAATATTTCAAAGGTTACTAGAGGGAAATAAATAAAATGATATCAATTCTTTCATTTTAGAACTTCTAAAGCATTTCTTTTTCAAGGATATCTCTTTTAGCATTTAGTAATTTCAATGAATAAATATGTAACTACATAAATTGTATTCTTTCCTTTTGTAGCTTCTCTTAAAATGCAAGATCTAGTAACTTGCAGGAAGTATGAATCTAAATGTAGTGAAGTCTCCCTTTCTTTGACCCAGATTTATGCCTCCAGGTTCAGTAGGTATGGGATGAGCCACCAGCAATTCAGGTATGCATGAGAGAATGATGAGCTACCCAGAAGACAATCTTATATATCTCATAGGGGAAAAGAGTCAGGTAGACAAGTTTGGTCCAGGAAACAAAAGATTGGTTGCCCTAGAGGAAAAAACAACCATGAATATACCATGTTGTCCATAATACACATTTATCTCTTGACCTCAATGTATGCTGAGGTGCTGAACGTAAGACTGAAATGACATAAGATCCTTTCCAGACAAGCAAATACTGAGGGAATTTGTCACTACCAGACCTGCTTTTTAAGAGCTCCTGAAGGAAGCATTAAATTTGGAAAGGAAAAACCATTACTGGCCACTACAAAAACACACTGAAATACACAGACCAGTGACACTATGAAGCAACTGCATAAAAAAGTCTACAAAATAACCAACTAGCATTATTTGATCCAACAGGATCAAATTCACAAGTAACAATACTAATCTTAAATGTCCATGGGCTATATGCCTCAATTAAAAGACACAGAATGACAAGCTGGATAAAGAGCCAAGACCCATCAGCATGCTGTCTTCAAGAGACCAATTTCACATGTGAAGACACACATAGGCCTAAAATAAAGAAATGGAGGAAAATTTGCCAAGCAAATTGAAAACAGAAAAAGTAGGGGTCAGAATCCCACTTTCTGACAAAATAGATTTTAAACCAACAAAGATCAAAAAAGACAAAGAAGGGTGTTACATAATGGCAAAAGGTTCAATTCAACAAGATCTAACTATCCTGAATATATATGCACCAAATACAAGAGCAACCAGATTTATAAAACAGTTCTTAGAGACCTTCAAAGAGACTTAGATTCTCACAAAATAATAGTGGGAGACTTTAACACCCCACTGACAATATTTGACAGATCACTGAGACAGAAAATTAGTAAAGATATTCAGGACCTGATCTCAGCTCTAGACCAAGTGGACCTGATAGATATCTACAAAACTCTCCACCCCAAAACAACAGAATATACATTATTCTCATCGTCACATGGCATTTACTCTAAAATTGGTTATATAATTGGAAGTGAAACACTTCTCAGGAAATGCAAAATAACCAAAATCATAACAAACAGTCTCTCAGACCACAGCACCATCAAATTAGAACTCAAGATTAAGAAATTCAGTCAAAACCACACAACTACATGGAAGTTAAACAACCTGCTCCTGAATGACTCCTGGATAAATAATGAAACTGAGGCAGAAATCAAGAAGTTCTTTGAAACTAATGAAAACAAAGAGACAATGTACCAAAGATCTCTGGGATGCAGCTAAAGCAGTGTTAAGAGGGAAATCTATAGCACTAAATGCCCACATCAAAAAGCTAGAAAGATCTCAAGTTAACAACCTAACATCACAACTAAAAGAACTAGATAACCAAGAGCAAACAATCCCAAAGCTAACAGAAGACAAGAAATAACCAAGATCAGGGCTAAACTGAAGAAGATAAAGACAAAAAAAAAAAAACACCCTTCAAAATGTCAACAAATCCAGAAGATTTTTTTTTGAAAAAATTGATAAAATAGACCACTAGCTAAACTAATAAAGAAGAAAAGAAAGAATCAAATAAATACAATCAGACTTGATAAGGGGGAAATCACCACTGACCCCACAGAAATACAAGTAACCATTAGGAAATACTATAAACACCTCTATGCACATAAACTAGAAAATCTAGAAGAAATGGATAAATTCCTGGACACATACACCCTCCAAAGATTGAAGCAGGAAGAAATTGAATCCTCAAATATACCCATAATGAATTTTGAAATTAAGGCAGTAATAAATACCCAACTAACCAAAAAAAAAAAAAAAAAAAATAGCCAGGACCAGACAGATTCACAGCTGAATTCTACCAGAAGTACAAAAAAGAGCTGGTATCATTTCTACTGAAACTATTCAAAAACATTGAAAAGGAGGGACTCCTTCTCAACTCATTCTATGAGGCCAGCATTATCTGATACCAAAACCTGGCGGAGATACAACAAAAAAAGAAAGCTTCAGGCCAATATCCCTGATGAACATAAGTGTAGAAATTCTCAGTAAAATATTGACAAACTGAATCCGGCAGAGCATCAGAAAGCTTATCCACCATGATCAAGTTGGCTTCACCCCCAGGATGTAAGGTTGGCTCAACATATGCAAATGAACAAATGTGATTCATCACATAAGCTGCACTAAAGACAAACACCACATAATAATTTCAATTGATGGAGAAAGGTCTTTGATAAGATTCGACATCCCTTCATGTTAAAAACTCTCAATAAACTAGGTATTGAAGGAATACACTTCAAAATAATAAGAGCCATATATGGCAAACCCACAGCCAATATCAAACTGAATGGGCAAAAGCTGGAAGCATTCCCCTTGAAAACTGGCACAGGACAAGAATGCCCTCTCTTACCAATCCTATTCAACACAGTATTGGAGTTTCTGGCAGGGTAATTGTCAGGCCTCTGAGCCCAAGCTAAGCCATCATATCCCCTGTGACCTGCACATCATATACATCCAGATGGCCTGAAGTAACTGAAGAATCACAAAAGAAGTGAAAATGGCCTGTTCCTGCCTTAACTGATGACATTACCTTGTGAAATTCCTTCTCCTGGCTCATCCTGGCTCAAAAGGTCCCCCACTGAGTACCTTGTGACCCCCACCCCTTCCAGCCAGAGAACATCCCCCTTTGACTGTAATTTTCCACTACCTACCCAAATCCTATGAAACGGCCCCACCCCTTTCTCTCTTTGCTAACTCTCTTTTTGGACTCAGCCCACCTGAACCCAAGTGAAATAAATAGCCTTGTTGCTCACACAAAGCCTGTTTGTGGTCTCTTCACATGGACGCTTGTGAAATTTGGTGTGGTGACTCGGACTGGGGGACCTCCCTTGGGAGATCAATCCCCTGTCCTCCTGCTCTTTGCTCCATGAGAAAGATACACCTACGACCTCTGGTCCTCAGAACAACCAGCCCAAGGAACATCTCACCAATTTTAAATCGGGTAAGTGGCCTCTCTTTACTGTCTTCTCCAACTTCTCTCACTATCCCTCAACTTCTTTCTCTTTTCAATCTTGGTGTCACACTTCAATCTCCCTTCTCTGAATTTCAATTCCTTTCCTTTTCTGGTAGAGACAGAGGAGACGTGTTTTATCTGTGAACCCAAAACTCCGGCACTCGTCATGGACTCGGGAAGACAGTCTTCCCTTGGTGTTTAATCACTGTGGGGACACCTGCCTGATTATTCACCCACACTCCATTGGTGTCTGATCAGTGCGGGGATGCCTGCTTTGGTCATTCACCCACATTCCCTTGGTGGCAAGTCAATTGCGGGGATGCCTGCTCTGGCTGCTCACCCACATTGCAGCCCAGGGCTGCTCCCCACTCCTTCTCTCCATGTCCCTACCCTCTCTTTTCTCTCCACTTTCCTGGGGGGTAAGCACCCCCCACCCCTTCTCTCCATGTCTCCATGCAGCCCAGGGCTGCTCCCAATGCCTTCTCTCCATGTCTCTACCTGGAGGGTTCTTGACCCCCAGGAAAGTGGAGATAAAAGAGAGGGTAGAGACACGGAGAGAAGGGGTGCAGAGCAGCCCTGGGCTGCAATGTGGATTAGCACATTTCTCTGGGCTTGCCTCCTTCACTATAGGCAACCTTCCACCCTCCATTCCTCCTTCTTCTACCTTAGCCTGTGTTCTCAAGAACTTAAAACCTCTTCAACTCACACATGACCTAAAACCTAACCACCTTATTTTCTTCTGCAATGCCGCTTAACCCCAACACAAACTTGATAATGGTTCCAAATAGCCAGAAAACGACACTTTCGATTTTTCCGTCCTACAAGATCTAGATAATTCTTGTCATAAAATGGGAAAATGGTCTGAGGTGACTGACGTCCAGGCATTCTTTTACACATCGGTCCCTCCCTAGTCTGCTCCCAATGCAACTCATCCCAAATCTTCCTTCTTTCCCTCCCGCCTGTCCCCTCAGTCCCAACCCCAAGTGTTGCTGAGTCTTTCCAATCTTCCTTTTTTACAGACCCATCTGACCTCTCTCCTCCTCCCCAGGCTGCTCCTCAACAGGCCAAGCCAGGTCCAAATTCTCCCTCAGCCTCCACTCCCCCACCCTATAATCCTTTTATTACCTCCCCTCCTCACACCTGGCCCGGCTTACAGTTTTGTTCCGTGACTAGCCCTCCCCCACCTGACCAGCAATTTCCTCTTAAAAAGGTGGCTGGAGTTAAAGGCATAGTCAAGGTTAATGCTCCTTTTTCTTTATCCGACCTCTCCCAAATCAGTTGGTGTTTAGGCTCTTTTTCATCAAATATAAAAACCCGGCCCAGTTCATGGCTTGTTCGGCAGCAACCCTGAGATGCTTTACAGCCCTAGACCCTGAAAGGTCAGAAGGCCATCTTACTCTCAATAGGCATTGTATTTTATTACCCAGTCCACTCCCAACATTAAATAAAGCTCAAAATATTAAATTCTGGCCTTCAAACCCCACAACAGGACTTAATTAACCTCGACTTCAAGGTGTACAAAAATAGACAAAAGTTACAATTACTTGCCTCTACTGTGAGACAAAACCCAACCACACCTCCAGCACACAAGAACTTCAAAATGCCTAAGCTGTACATGCTTAAGCCACAGCAGTCAAGCATTCCTACAGGACCTTCTCCATTGGGATCTTCCTTCAAGTGCCAGAAATCTGGCCACTGGGCCAAGGAATGCCTGCAGCCCAGGATTCCTCCTAAGCTGTGTCCCATCTGTGCAGGACCCCACTGAAAATCAGACTGTCCAACTCACCGGGCAGCCACTCCCAGAGCCCCTGGAACTCTGGCCCAAGGCTCTCTGACTGACTCCTTCCCAGATCTTCTTGGCTTAGTGGCTGAAGACTGACACTGCCTAATTGCCTCAGAAGCTTCCCGGACCATCACAGATGCTTTCTGTAACTCTTATAGTAGAGGGTAAGTCTGTCCCCTTCTTAATCAATACAGAGGCTATCAACTCCACATTACCTTCTTTTCAAAGGCCTGTTTGCTTTGCCTCCATAACTGTTATGGGTATTGATGGCCAGGCTTCTAAACCTCTTAAAACTCCCCAACTCTGGTGCCAACTTGGATAATATTCTTTTATGCTCTCCTTTTTAGTTATCCACACCTGCCCAGTTCCCTTATTAGGCTGAGATATTTTAACTAAATTATCTGCTTCCCTGACTATTCCTAGGCTACAGCCGCACCTCATTGCCACCCTTTTCCACAGTTCAAAGCCTCCTTCACATCCTCCCCTTGTATCTCTCCACCTTAATCCACAACTATAGGACACCTCTACTCCCTCCTTGGCAACCAATTATGCACCCCTTACCATCCCATTATAACCTAATCACCCTTACCCCACTCAACACCAATATCCCATCCCACAGCACTCTTTAAAAGGATTAAAGCCTGTTATCACTTGCCTGTTACAGCATGGCCTTTTAAAACCTATAAACTCTCCTTACAATTCCTCCATTTTACCTGTGCAAAAACCAGACAAGCCTTACAGGTTAGTTCAGGATCTGCACCTTATCAACCAAATTGTCTTGCTTATGCACCCCATGGCTAAAAATCACACACTATGCTCAACTCACTCTACAGTTCTCATAACTTCCAAAATCTATTTTCTCCCTCCCACCTGACGCATATACTTTCTGCTCCCCGGATCCTTCAGCTATACTCGCTTTTTGTTGAGTCTCCCACAATTACCATTGTTCCTGGCCCAGACTTCAACCTGGCCTCCCACATTATTCTGGGTACCACACCTGACCCCCAGGACTGTATCTCTCTGATCCACCTGACATTCATGCCATTTCCCCATATTTCCTTCTTTCCTGTTCCTCACCCTGAACACACTTTGTTTATTGATGGCAGTTCCACCAGGCCTCATCGCCACTCACCAGCAAAGGCAGGCTATGCTATAGTATCTACCACATCTATCATTGAGGCTACTGCTCTGCCCCCCTCCACTACCTCTCAGCAAGCTGAACTCATTTCCTTAACTCGAGCTCTCACTCTTGCAAAAGGACTATGCGTCAATATTTATACTGACTCTAAATATCCTTTCCATATCCTGAACCACCATGCTGTTATATGGGCAGAAAGAGGTTCCCTCACTACATAAGGGTCCTCCATCATTAATGCCTCCTTAATAAAAACCCTTTTCAAGGCCGCTTTACTTCCAAAGGAAGCTGGAGTCATTCACTTTTGATGGCAAGGGCCATCAAAAGGCATTAGGTCCCATCGCTCAGGGCAATGCTAATGCTGATAAGGTAGCTAAAGAATCAGCTAGCATTCCAACTTCTATCCCCCATGGCCAGTTTTTCTCCTTCTCATCGGTCACTCCCACCTACTCTCCCACTGAAACTTCCACCTATCAATCTCTTCCCACACAAGGCAAATGGCTCTTGGACCAAGGAAAATATCTCCTTCCAGCCTCACAGACCCATTCTATTCTATTGTCATTTCATAACCTCTTCCATGTAGGTTACAAGCTGCTAGCCTGCCTCTTAGAACCTCTCATTTCCTTTCCATCGTGGAACTCTATCCTTAAGGAAATCACTTCTCAGTGTTCCATCTGCTATTCTACTACTCCTCAGGGGTTGTTTAGGCCCCCTCCCTTCCCTACACATCAAGCTCAGGGATTCCCCCCTGCCCAGGACTGGCTAATTGACTTTACTCACATGCCTCAAGTCAGGAAACTAAAATACCTCTTGGTCTGGGTAGACACTTTCACTGGATGGGTAGAGGCCTTTCCCATAGGGTTTGAAAAGGCCACCACAGTCATTTTTTCCCTTCTGTAAGACATAATTCCTCAGTTTGGCCTTCCCACCTCTATACAGTCTAATAATGAACTGGCCTTTATTAGTCAAATCACCCAAACAATTTCTCAGGCTCTTGGTATTCACTGGCACCTGGTTTTACCTCAAACTGCCACCCTTAAGTCTCTCTTTAAGTGGATAGATCTTCAGTGACAAAGTACACTCCAATACTTTCACCCTGATGAAGTCCTATTCTTTACTTTTATACTTACTCTTATTCTCGTTCCCATTCTTATGCCACCCTCTACCTCTCCCCAGCTATGTCCGCCACACTATCCATCTCAGTCACTCTCTCCTAGTTGTTTCTAATCCTTCTTTAACAAACAATTGCTGGCTTTGCATTTCTCTTTCCCCCAAAATCGCCGAGGCCTTGACTTACTCATTGCTTAAAAAAAAAAAGGTTGGGGGGACTCTATATTTTTAAATGAAGAGTGCTCTTTTTACCTAAATCAATCTGGCCTGGTATATGACAACATTAAAAAAAACCCTCAAATATGGAGCCTAAAAACTTGCCTACCAAGCAAGTAATTAGGCTAAACCCCCTTGGACCCCCTTGGACACTCTCTAATTAGATGTCCTGGGTCCTTCCAATTCTTAGTCCTTTAATATCTGTTTTTCTCCTTCTCTTATTTGGATCTTGTGTCTTCCGTTTAGTTTCTCAATTCATCCAAAACCATATCCAGACCATCACCAATCATTCTATACAACAAATGCTCCTTCTAACAACCCCACAATATCACCCCTTACCACAAAATCTTCCTTCAGCTTAATCTCTCCCACTCTAGGTTCCCACGCTGCCCCTAATCCTGCTCGAAGCGGCCCTGAGAAATATCGCCCATTATCTCTCCATACCACCCCCCAAATTTTTACTGCCCCAACACTTCAGTACTATTTTATATTATTTTTCTTATTAATATAAGAAGACAGGAATGTCAGGCCTCTGAGACCAAGCTAAGCCATCATATCCCCTGTGACCTGCACATCATATACATCCAGATGGCCTGAAGTAACTGAAGAATCACAAAAGAAGTGCAAATGGCCTGTTCCTGCCTTAACTGATGACATTACCTTGTGAAATTCCTTCTCCTGGCTCATCCTGGCTCAAAAGGTCCCCCACTGAGCACCTTGTGACCCCCACCCCTGCCACCCAGAGAACAACCCCCTTTGACTGTAATTTTCCACTACCTACCCAAATCCTATAAAACGGCCCCACCCCTATCTCCCTTTGCTGACTCTCTTTTTGGACTCAGCCCACCTGCACCCAGGTGAAATAAACAGCCTAGTTGCTCACACAAATCCTGCTTGGTGGTCTCTTTACACGGACACGAGTGAAAAATATCATTTCGGACACAGACACAGACAAATGTTTCATGACAAAAACATCAAAACCAATTGCAACTAGAGCAAAAATTGACAAATGGGATCTAGTTAAACTAAAGAGCTTCTGTATAGCAAAAGAAACTATCAGATTGACAGACAACCTACAGAATATGAGAATTTTTTTTGCAATCTATTTATCTGACAAAGGTCTAATATCTAGAATGTACAAGGAACTTAAACAAATTTACAAGAAAAAAAAATGACTCCATTACAAATTGGGCAAAAGACATGAACAGACACTTCTCAAAAGAAGACATACATGTGGCCAAGAAACATATGAACAAAAGCTCAACATCACTGATCATAAGAGAAATGCAAATCAAATCAACAATGAAATACCATCTCACGCCAGTCAGAATGGCTATTATTAAAAAGTAAAAAATCAACAGATGCTGGTGAAGTTGTGGATAAAAAGGAATGCTTTTACATTGCTGGTGGGAGCGTAAATTAATTCCGCCATTGTAGAAGACAGTGTAGGTAGCAATTCCTCAAGGACCTAGAGGCAGAATTACCATTTGACCCAGCAATCCCATTGCTGTGTATATACCCAGAGGAATATAAATCATTCTATTATAAAGATACATGCACACATGTGTTCATTGCAGCACTATTCACAATAGCAAAGACATGGAATCAACTTAAACACCCATCAACGGTAGACTAGGTAAAGAAAATGTGGTACATGTGCACCATGGGATGCTATGCAGCCATAAAAAGGAAAAAGATCATGTCATTTGCAGGGATATGGATAAAGTTGGAAGCCATTATCCTCACCAAAATAAGGCAGGAACAGAAAAGCAAAACCACATGTTCTCACTTGTAAGTGGGAGCTGAATGATGAGAACACATGGACATGTGTTGGGGAACAACACACACTAGGGCCTGTGGGAGAGGGGAAGTTGGGGGAGGGAGAGCATCAGGAAGAATAGCTAATGGATGCTGGGCTTAATACCTAGGTGATGGTATGATTGGTGCAGCAAACCACCATGGCACATAATTACCTATGTAACAACCTGCACATCCTGGACACGTACCCCGGAACTGAAAATAAAAGTTGAAGAAAAAAATAAAAATAAAAGTGTTAAACTTTAAAAATATATTCTAAATTTATATAATTATAAAATGTATGAGTGAACATTGAATATGAATGAACATAGTGTAACAAATATAGAATATCCTTTGATACTTAAAAGGGCAAGTTTTGGATAATAAAAGGAAGTAGAATCACAAAAGCTTGCAACTGCAAAGGAACTTTGATGTCATTAGATCAAGTTCTACTTTTTTATTCTCCGTATGACGCAGACCTAGAGAGGTAAAAAGACGGACTCATCTTTTCACAAAAGCTTGAGGTAGCATAAGCCTTACTCTCTTTCTAGTGTTCTATCCATTACCCAATAGAACAGTTCAGAAAAAAATTACTCCCAAGAAATGGTGTGTGGCTAGTAAACTAAATTGTTTTAAAAAATGCTTAAATCAATTCATTAATAACAAATTAACACTGTGAACACTAAATTGGAAATGCTTTGTGTAACCATGGTTAGGCATTGTTATGGTAGGGATAGGGATGCTGAAACTGAAATTCACCCCAGAAACTGAAATACTGTCTAGGCACTTGACGTAAGTTTTATCTCAGTACCTTACCTAAGTTATCTCAAACTCTCAATTACACTGTCAGGTTTAACCAAAGAGATTTTTAAGTGCAGGGTTTAAGCTTCATGAAAATAGGAAACTCGTGTTTCTTGTGAACTACTTTATCTCCAGCATTCAAACCAGAATTGGCATAAAATAGATATCAATAAATATTTATTGAATGAAGTAGTGCAAATTGTATTCAAATCACAATGTGAGTGATTATAAAGTCCTTGTTGATTCCAAGATGCCCTATTTTCTCTCGGGCTCTGATGTGAACAGAGCTGACTACAAGGCAGAAGAAATTATGCCTTAGTTGCTCTCTCTGAGAACATCTCTTGTAAAATCTCAACAAGGAAAACTAGTATGTACCTTTAACCAGACAAAATTATCATCAAGTTCTGCTGCCAAAACATCATGCTTTATGAAAATGCATGAAAAAATAAAAACAAACACCCCTCAAACTGTGCATTTCTGCCACCCTACCGACCCCTCCACCCACCTGCCCATCAAGTAAAAAAGCATGTTTTTAAAAACTTTGATAGATAATTGTGTCAATGAGGCACCAAGGTAAAAATCATGCTAGACTCAAGATTAAATTTTGTTAGCTCTAAAATTTGGTCACATTTAGTTTCTTTGACAATTGCATAATAATTATTTTCAAATAACAAAATAAGATTCTCATAAATATTCCAGAGTAATTTAAGTGTTGCTGGCTATAAGAGAAGGTAAAAGGAGAAACCCACTTATCTTTTGGAACCACAGATTCTAAGCATGTGGAATGGTACATGAAACCAGTAGATAGTAATTGAAGGTTTTATAATGTTAAAATGTATGGCTTCCTAGTGTAAGGTATCTACAGGGGGTCAGGAAATTGTTATGCTAGTGAACAAGTAATCTGCCCATTCAAACCATGTGGTTATCAAAGGTCAGGCATATTTACCATTGAAGAAGGAATTCAAGTTTACTGTTGCTTCCTCTAGGAGAAGTTTGTTTTTAGTTTCTGGAATGATGTCAGAAATCAAGTAGCAGTTCCATGATAAATATGGATCAATAGTTAGAGAATTTCAGTGTCAATATTCTTCTACTCTCAGACTATACAAGCTTTATTGAAATTCTGAATTCAATTTTGAATTCATAACATGTAATAAATACTAAAATGGGGAGACAAGCCAGAAGAGAATCATAAAAAAAAGTATTCATGTTGGAAGTTAGACTTAAAAGTTAATGAACTCTGTTTATTCAGTCTAGGAAGTTAAAGCCTGAGGGAGGATAGTTATTTTCCTATCTATTCATTTAGCAAACATTTATTAGTTCTCACCATGTGCTAGTAAGTATTCTAAGTATTTAGGATACAGAAGTAAATAAAATAGTTAAAATCCCTGAGTTATTGAGGCTTTCAGTCTGGTGGAAGGAGACAGACAAGAACAATAAAATAATAAGTAAATTACATAGCATGTAGGAAAGTATTGAGTGTCATGGGAAGGTTAGAGCAGAGGAAGGGGAATTTAAAAGAGCGGGGACCAGCCACTGTTAAACAGGATGATCAGGATGAGCTGTACTGAACACATGATTTTTGAGCACATAACTTCGAACAGTCAAGGGAATTTTCCATGCAGATATCTGAAGGATGAACCTCTCAGGTAGAGGAAACATCCAAAGCAAATATCTTAAAGCAGAAATACCTAAAACAAAATAGAGGAGAAGGAGAGTAGGTCAGAAAACTGAAGGGAAGAGCGGAACAGATGATATGGGGCCTTTGTAAAGACATCATTAGGAATTTGACTTTTGCTCTGGATATGGTAAAGTGTTGCTGGATTTTGAACAGAGACATGATGTGATTTGACTTCTATTTTCAGAGGATGCCTCTCACTGCAATGTGGAAAACAGAAAAGAGATGTGGAAGAGTGGCAGTCATGTAGCTAAGAGGTTTTCACGGTAATCCAGGTGAGTAATCTTGGTTGCTAACATTAACATTGTAGTAATGGAGGTGGGAGGAAGTGGTCCTGAATAAAGTTTGGAAGTTGGCTTCACAGACAGGTTGGATATGGGGTATGAAAGAAAGAGGGGAGGCAAAGATGTTACTAAGATTTTTGGTCTGAATGATGGAAAGGATAGAGTTACAATTTATTGTGATGGGGAAAACAATGAAGGTCATGATTTGGGGACAGAATGAGGGTGCTGAAGATGAATTCAGTTGGGACATGTTAAGTTTGAGATGTCTGTCAGACATCTAAGAGCAGATATTGAATAAGCTGTTGGATAAATACAGACGGAGTTCAGGAAAGAGGTCTGGGCTGGAGATGTAAGTTTGATAGTCATTGGTGTCCACATGTTTTTTCAGGCCTTGAGACCAGAGGATACAATCAATGGAGTGTGGCAAGAAAGGAGAACCAAGGGCTAAATCTTGTGGAATTTTAAATGTGAGTACTCAGGAAAAAGAAGCAGACACAGGAAATGAATCGACAAAGTGGTGAAGAGTAAGAAGAGAGAAACCTGTGGAACACTGTGGCTTAAATGAAGAAACAATTTTAAAGAAAGATGATCAATTCGACTGAATAATGCAGATAGGTCACACCATAGGACTGATAGGAAAATGACCATTAGTTGCGTCCAGTTTCTGAGAAATAGTGGGGATGAAAGCCTGATTGGAATGGGTTTAAGGGAGAATGAGAGGAGAGGAAATGTGAAAGTGGGTATGTGCAAATCTTGCTGAGAGTTTTGCTCTAAAGGGTAAGAAAAATGGAGATGTAGCAGGGAAGAAAAGTGGGAGTAACAGATTTTGGTATTTTTTAACAAAATTTTTAAGATGAGAAAAAACAGAAGTACATTTGTACATTGATGGGGAGGATCCAGTAGAGACAGAAGGCTTTTTCTAAAATTGAAGACAGAATTGAATTTTGAATTGAAGACAAGAGTTTTTTGGTGGTCCAGTGATTATTGAACCAGAGAGGATGTATTTTGACAATAGTAAGGAAGATTAAAGATAAATATTATAAACAGCTTCCTGATCATACAGCAGTGAGACCAGAAGATATTATCACAGGAAGTTATTAAAAGTTATCATCCGAGTTTTAAAAGTCTTAACATAAATAATAATGTAACAGATGGTCATGGAGTGTTTCCAGCCCTAGAGCTAGTGGGCATACAAGGGTGAGTGAAACCCAGTCTTAGTTTTCCGGAGTTCATTATAGGAGAGTTCACCATAGGAGTATGGACCCTAAAGGCAGGCTGGCTGGGTTGAATCCTGGCTTTCTTATTTGTTAGCTGTGTGGTCTTGGGTAGGTTACTTCAATTTTCTCTGCCCCAGTTTGCATATTTGTAAAATAAGGTAATAGTATGATCCTCATAGATCAGTTATGAATATTAAATGAGCTAGCATAGTTAAAGAAATAACTTATACATAGCACATAGTATCTACAGCTACTTACTAGCTATTCTGAGTCCAATGTTATAAGTGCTCATTTAATGGAAGAAGATTAAAGTACAGTATCATGGCAGCATACAGGAGACAGTTATTCATTTTGATTTAGGGCTTATAAGGAGTCCCAGAGTGCTTTACACAGAAGGTACATTTAAATGGACCCTGCAGAATGAGTCAGACTTCACCAAGTAGCATAAAGCTCAGCCGAGCCTAGATAAGCAAAGGCTCAGAGTTTGAGCTTGCAGGGTGTGCTTGAGAGCAGGGAGATCAGTAGTGTGAAGGTCAGGCTGGAAAGTTGTCACTGGAGATAGGATAGCAGGGCCTTGAATGCCTTCTGTGGAATTGCAGTCATCTCTGACAGTATTCAAATAGGGAGTCCAGGGAGTAAAACAAGAGTAAACAGGGGTGGCCCCAGGCAGCACAAACTCAGCCTGCTTTCCTCTAACTTGCCATCTTTCCCCCAGTTGAGTGGCATCAGCAGCCACTCCCACTGCATTTTTTTGCTGTTTTTTGGTTGGCCCTTTCTATCCTCCTCAGTTTCCCACCACTTTTCATATTCCCTCTTGCCTTTATATACTTTCACATTCTGTGCCCTGTGCTTGGCCACTTCTTAATCTTCAAAGGCTCAGCTTGGACTAAGCTCTGGAGTTCTTCCTGACTTCTCTGGATAGGAAGAAAAGATTCTTCCTCCAGGCTCCCTGGGTGCTCTGGGCTTCTCCTGGCAGAGCATTTATCTCATTTTATTTTTTTAGTTTCAGCCTAAAAACCAAAATAAAAGGAAAAAATGACAAACCAAAAATACTCTTTGAGCTCCTTGAGTTCTCACAATGCTTGGACTGCAATATGCTATCATAAATGCTGAGTAAATGAACACATTGGTGAAATAACAAATGACTTTTAATCCTTTAAGAAAAAAAGTGATCAGAGAATCAGGAGAAAGTGATGTTGTAAGTCCACAAAGGAAGTTCAAGGAACTCTCTTTCACGTCCCCCTCAGCCTCCCAAAAAAGAATCCTAGGAAATCATCTTACGTTTTCTGAATTTATTGTTGAGTATTTTTAGCTTTAAGGTTTTTTGTTTAAAAAACTGAAGACCTAAAAGCACATGAAATTTAAGGCTCAAACCAGGTTCAAAACATTATCTCCCTAAGGTCTAAACTCAATGGGACACTTTTGACTACAAAGAAAATAGTGTTTGAATGAGACGCTACATTCTGACAGAGATGAAAGAAAACCCACTCATTCAGGACGATGTGTATATTACAATGTATTAACTTGAGCATCCTGTGTGGTCATCAAGGTTGTATTAGCTCCTTCTTGCATCGCTATAAAGAAATACCTGAGACTGGGTAATTTATATATGAAAATAAAGAGGTTTAATTGGCTCATGGTTCCACAGGCTGTACAGCAAGCATAATGCTGGCATCTGCTCAGCTTCTGGGGAGGCCTCAGGAAACTTACAACCATGACAGAAGGCAAAGGGGGAGCACACCCATCACATGGAAGGAGTACAAGCAAGAGAGAGAGGGAGGAGGTGCCACACGCTTTTAAACAATTAGATCTCATGAGAACTCACTATCTCGATGGCAGCACCAAAAGGGGATGGTGTTAAACCATGAGAAACCAGCCCCGTGATCCAGTTACCTCCCACCAGGCCCCACCTTCAACATTGAGGATTACAACTGAACATGAGATTCGGCAAGGGCAAACATCCAAGCCATATCAGAGGCCATCTCATGGACACATTCGATGTCCTAGAGATTAAGGCAAATAGGCATGCACTAAATCACCTACGCAGGCAGCTCAGCTCCCTCACGCAGGGCACTTGCCCATCACTCCCCTGCCTCAGGAGAGAATGCCTCCTCCTCCTCATTCTCTGCCCATCTTCTTCCTCTCAAGCTGCCTGCTTCACAGACCTTGTGGGTATGTGTCTTACAATCAGAAGAGACACATCTAAAATACTGTGATCACTTTCCTCATTCTGACTTGAAGTGCAGTTGATTGTTTATACATATATCCCTCATGTACTCACCCTGCTCTTTTATACACACGTGCACGCATGCACACGTTAGCTTCCAGGAGAAAGGGGTTAGAACCTTCTCATCTTTCACAGAGCCCTTCACAGTGTAACTTAAGTTTTCCAAGAAGGAGGAAATTAATACTAGAGACTAAATAGGTGGAATGTGCTTAGTAAATGCTTGTGGATTGTTTCCCGAATAGTGAAAAGCAATATAAAAAATAAATACAGCAATATAAAAAATAAATATAAAAACATAAAAAACAAATACAGAGCAACGTGGGAGCACAGTTTACTAAGTATTGCGAAGTGCAGTCAGGTAGCATCATTTATATAGATTGGATTGGAGGTGTTAGAACAGAATGTTTATGTTTCTCTTTTTAATCAAGAAAGTACAAAAAAGGGATATGAAATAAGAGAAGAATAAAGAATGTGGATAAGGAAAATCAAAAGGTCTGCTCTGTTGTTTTTGAAATGTTCCCTGAGATTCATTCACAAACAGGGCGTGGTTTATGAGACTTGGCAATATTTAAATTTGTGCTGTGAAAAATAAAGCAGAAACTTACCTAGTTTGATTTGGCTTTTGGTGTCCCCTAAAGGAGTTAAAGAGACCTAGTTTTCTTAACTGGAGAACATTATAAAATGGGGAGAATTTTTAGAAAATAAGAGACAGATAAGTTTTTATTTTTCCAAATGAGAGGTTACTTGGTAAATACCACCAGAACATTTATGTTGCAGGATCAGACACCTCCTCCACACTCTGAAAGCATACACATGACATACTTATTTGATGTTTATATATTTTATCTTAGGTCAGCATTAACATACCATGAAAGGAAGTCAGTCATTCACTTTCTGGGTCAAAAGTAAATTCTTATGATTCTTATGACCTTGTGGAAGACAAAGATGTTTTCAAATTTCTGTTTGTGTTCTTACATCTACACATATTTTTTATCTCATTGAGCTCTTATCAGTGGCATTTATTTAAAACCCTACGACTAAAATCCTTCTCCCATAAGCCTTATGGCAAAAGACCACCGAGCCTGTCATCACTACCATTTTCAAAAAGTGTTTATGAACCCTCAAGCTAAGTGCTTTGCCAGCCACCACTGCAGAAACCGCTCCTGAGAGGAGTGGATTGTCTGATTCATCACCTTGGAAAGTGGTGGTGATACTTCCTGGATGTAGATTTGGAGAGGAACCAGAGGCTCTAAAACCTCACTAGCACTTCCTCATTTCTCTATGAAAGCCTCTCCATTTTTCTCTAGAATATCAATTCAGCTCATGGGCATATTTCTCTTTTTTTTTTTTTTTTTATAAGCACCCAATCTGCATTATTCTTCAAAAATTAAGAGATCCCTGATATGGGAAGCTTGGACCAGGCTTCTCTGGTGGGCTCAGACACAGTCCCCAGATCCAACCATGTAATAACTAATTCTGGACTTTCATATGCAGAAGGGCAAGAAACTATGTAAAAAGTTCTGTGCCATAATAGTGTCAGCACCTTTTAGTTTTTATACTGGAGCACCAATGTTTGCCTTCTGAAAAGAAAGAGCTAACTCAGGAATGCGCTTTTAAAATTTAAAAGATGACACTATCAGAAATTATGTTATTTTGGAAGGGTAGAGGTGAAAAACAAAAAGAAAACGATTGAGAAAATAATTACAATTTGCTTTTTAAGAAAACTTTCATACAGGAAAAAACAACATGTCATTTAGGATTTTAAAAACTTGGTGCTAAAGATTGCAAATTTCAGAATGTTATTGCTAGGAAAAAAAGCAACAATAGGAATTGGTATTCTTCTATGTGGAAACTGCTTTGTTGACAATCTACAAACAGATCTCCTTTTAAAAAACACACACACACGCACCAAGCTAAAACTGCTTATTCAGTGACGCTTTCACCAAAGGAATCATTCCTTGACTCTGTTTTTAGTTGGGTGTGGTGAGACAATGTTCTCCCTTGGCTGGAGGCTTGGAGAGGGGCCAAAGCAAACACCCATGTGAACACAAAACAATTAGGAAAGATTCATTCTGAATTAGTTAATTCCCATGAATAGGCTGGGATTTATTAATCTGTCCTGATTGAAATTGCTTAAAATATGAACTTGGGAGTTTGTAAGCAAGCAGGCAGGAGAGAAGGCTAAATTAGGGACAGCTAAATGTCTGAGAACATAAGGAGAGCAATAAGAAACATAATTGGCTAATATCTTTATTACTTTTCCCATTTTAAAAGAATAAGAGAAATATTAATTAGTGTTGTGTCTATCTCACAAACTTGGCTCTGTGAAAGCACAGATAGATATAGTTCTAAAACATTAGGTCTATTCAGTATTATTAGATCTATTCAAAGAATTGATAATTCTTTTTTTCTAAGTAAAAAGACTTGTTTCAGTTTTCAATTTAGACTGTGCAAAGTCAAATAAATAATCACGAAGCATTTTCTTTGAAAAATTAAAAATAACTTATTTGAAGACATAACTTTTCTTTCCAACTTTTAAAGAGTTAAAGATTTCTGTAGAAACATTATACTACGTAACACCTTTCTTTTATAGAATACTTACGTAAAAGCTGGGACCAACATAAATTGTTCTAAAGAAATAATTGTCTGAAATGTGCACGGGCCATTTGTTTTCAAACTTGTGAGCCAGAGGTCAAATCGTACCTATCAACTTGTTGGTACAACTGCAAACAGCTTTGGAGCAGGAAAGGGCACAATCCAAGCATTGTTATTTACTTCACAAGTGCAATTAGGTACAAGTGTTTGCAGCCATACTTAAAGTAGTATTCCACCTAATAACAGCAGGGGTCAATGCTGAAAAGTCTATGTGATTATAGTATAATCCTGAGAGTTATTTTTCTTGCAATACTATTAACTTGCTTTGATGATGAAAACTGTGTGTATGCAGATATTAAAAACAAAACCTCATGGAATTTTGCCTTCTGGAAGAAATTTTACTGGCTCAAAATTTTTTCAAAATTTTATATCTGTGAACTTTGTACAAAGAAGTGTCATAGTTAGACATCCAGAATGACTTTATAGTGCTATAATATAATACCTGGTGAAAAAAAACACACTGTGTTCCATATTCAAAGTCTGGCAGATAAAGAAAAGGTTGCTTTGAAAGTTTCTGATTAGATGCTGCTGAACCCATTGGAAATCATTGTTAAGTTGAGTTAAAGAGCCTCTCCTGTTGTATCAAACAAGTGACACGTCATTTAAATAATCTCGGCTTCATTTTTCTTGCATGAAAAATATTGAGATAGCCACCAAACAATACCCACTTATTTGAAAGAAATACTGTGTTTATAATTTAGAGCAATTTTGAATTTCTTGGAATATATGGTGCAAATGTAATACTAATTTGCCTTAACATTCCACAACTTAACATAGCAGAGTTTTCAATTTTATTCAGGTATAATCTCTATAATTTTATAATTCAAAGAGATTTTTCTTCAACTTTCCAAGAACCATCAAATAAATAAAGTTTACCATTTACTGGACAAAAAACATAACATTAAATGCCATTTTATTATCTTTTTATTTACTATGGTTCTGCAATTATAAAAGTATTGTCATATTCTACCCTGTCTTATCTGAATGCTTTAAACTATCTTATCAAGTCAATATATTTTAGGTTTGGGGAGTTTTGTATCCCTTTATTATGTTTTGTTATTGCAGACATCTTCATGAATCCGCCTTTTGCTGTTTAAATAAAACGGTTTCCTAAGGATAATTTATTCTTGGTTTTCTTTTTTTCCCATGCATATTATACCTTATTAAAGCTATTACTCAACTAAAAGTATTTTATGATTTGTTTCAAGCCTTCAATTAGTATATTAGCTTTTTGAAGGAAGGTGATACATATCGCCGATATTTATGTTCTAGGCCACCAGCATAGGTGCTCAATAAAAATCTGTTAAGTAAATAAATGAGCAACTTTCCAAAAACGATATAACTATGATATGAATTTTTTCATGATTGTTGAAACATATTGTTTCCAAAAGGATTCTATAATTTATAAAGTTACTAACAATGTTTTGTTTGGCCAATTTGATCACAACATAGCCAGCATTATCATTGAAAATATTTCTGTCACTCTTACAGGTGTAACATATTATCTCAAGGTTGTTATAATCTACATTTTACATTTTAAAAATTATAGGCAAAGATAAATATTTTTCAACTACTATTAGGTTCCTAATTTTAAAATATCTTTACTTGGCCATTGTTGGTTTATTTATTCATCTTATTTATATCTGCTCAATATTTGTTATTTGAAGCATATTTTATATTCATTTTTCCTCTTTAACACTGAAGTAATATTTGGGGTCAATAATTTCTTTAAGGTACTTAAGATATAAAAGCTATTATATGAAAATAACATTATTGAGAACAGTTTAAAATTTGGCCTAGTTTATATGCAAATAAATTTAATGCTTCTTTGGAAAAACCACTCATAGAATTTTGGAAGAAATCATTTCAATCAGGGATTCCAACTTGACAGTATAAAGTAAATTGTACAGAATGAGACATTTTACACCTTATGCTAAGCTCCTATTCTTTGATTATGTTGACCCACAAGTACTGCTTTCCCAAATATGCTCTGAACATCAATCTTCACCCACTCACATGTTCATGCATGTTCTTTCAGTGACATTAAACTGTAGCATATGGCCACAGGATGCCTATGATGCTTGACACGCCCCAAATCTCTATGTTCATTCAACATCAGCTCACTCACAGACCTTTTTCTAGTCGATCAGTTTACAGTAACAAAAAGCACACTTCCTTCCCCCAAGGAGCTTAGAATCTGTGTTATTACCACTATGTGAATTCCATTTCTCTTCATTTTTTCTTTGAAAGTACTACCTAATTTTAAATACCTGGCCATTTCCATAAAGTTCCCAACTCTCACAGTCTGAACTCAGCTCTCCCACTTAATATCTTCTCAATAACTTTGTTTTTAGCCGTATTTTAAAGCACATATTCTAGTGTACCTTTTGTTGTAGTCATAAGGTGGCGTAATGGTTTAAAGTGTACTCTGAAATCAGACTTCCCAGATTTGAATCATATTTCAACATCATTGCTACCTTGGATAAGTTTCTTTACATCTCTGTGCCTCAGTTTCCTCATCTATAATAGGGGACAATAGTAGAACCTACTAGTATATTTGTTGTAAGTATTAAATGAGATAATACATGTAAAATATACATAGTAAACACTTAAAGAATGTTAGCTATTATTATCTACTCCTTAGTTTGTAAATCACTGAAAAATGGACTCTATTTTATTCATCTTTGGATCCCTGATAATTATCATGATTAATAGCATATAGTAATAACTTAATGAACAACATTTTCATGTATAACAAGTTTTCTAAAGATTCCTTTATGGCTTTGAAAAAACTAAAGCATTTTGGATAAACCTATAAAAGAGTAGATAACTAGACTGGTTAAAAGTAAAACTATTCGGAAGAAAAATGAAATTACTAGAAAAAATATAATCCTTGAAACTGGAGGTTTGTTGGATGTAATGAATTGAAGAATTGGCCCCACAACTGCTTTTCACAGTTTTTGTTGATGAGTAAAGTTGTTTGCTAGGTAGGTTTTTTTAGAAATCAATTTATTTTCAATCACCAAAATCACATACCCGAGTAGGATGTGAGACCCAAATATATCATTTACAACTGGAATTTTCAGGATTTGGTCTGAGACTCTTCAACTATTCCTACAGTACAGCTCTAAAGCCATATGGTCACCCATTAGAAAACTAAAATAAAAAGATGGAAAATGTCAAGAGTTATTAAAAATGTAGAGCAGTTGGAGCTCTCGTACATTACAATTAAAATATAAATTGATAGAAATACTTTGGAAAATTATTTGGCACTATCTAGTAAAACACAGGAACATATACATAACCTATGGCTTAGCAATTCCACCTATCCCTTTCAGAAGTGAATAATATACACACTGAAAGACACATATAAGCATATCCATAGCAGGACTATTAATAATGTCCCCAAACTAGAAACTATTCAAACGTCCATCGTTAAAGCAAACTAAATATGTCCTGAGAATGGCTCCATACTTCTATATTTGAGTCATCGTGGATGAACAGTAATCTAACTTAATAGGTAGACAAGATTGAAAACCTAATTTAGGAGTATGGGCCTGTAACAATCGCTGAGTCTTGGCCAATCCCAGCAGCCTTACTTCAACCACTCAAACGCTGCCAAGTGTTCAAACTGTGTTCAAATAAGGCAAAGGCCAACCTGTAACCAATTCAGCTGTTTCTGTACCTCACTTTGGATTTCTGTACATCACTTCCCTTTTTTTTGTCTATGAATTTGTTCTGACCTTGAGGCATCCCTGGAGTCTCCCTGAATTTGCAGTGATTCTGAGGGCTGCTTGACTCACAAATTGTTCATTGTTCAATAAAACTACTTTAAATTTAATTTGGCCGAAGTTTTTCTTTTAACATCATCAATAATAGGTTGAATAATACATTACAGCACATTCATATAATGGAATACTATAGAGCAATGAGAATAACCAACTCAGAACAATCCCAAAATATGTGGATGAATCAGACTAACATACTATTGAGTGGAAGAAGCTATATGTCACAAAGGAGAACATATAGCATTATTTCATTTATTTAATGTAAACAAACAAAAACCAAAAAACAAAAACAGGCAAAACTTTGTTATCAGTATTCATGCCAGTGGTGACATTTGGAGAGTTAGTGATGGCTGGCCTTCTAGTAATGTTCTAGATCATGATTAAGGAGCTGGTTACATGGGTCTAGTTACCTGGTAAAAATTTATTGAGGCATATGCCTATAACAGGTGCACTTTTCCACATTTTATGTTAATTTTAGAAGTAATTAAACTTACTCTATGAGTTTGGACAGAGCTTCTTCTAAATTTGCTTTTATAAAGAGCTTTTTGAATCCCTTTAGAACTGACTAAAAGAAGGCGGCCAGAAAAATACACTGCAATGTCCTTGTCTTAAGTTCAAGACACTGCTGTGTCCAGAGGCATCACATTCTCTCTTCTCTGTCTGGAAGGGCAATTAATTCTAAGCCTGCCTCCCTGAAGTTTGAAGAAAAAAAAATAGTCCTTTCCCTAAGGTTTAGTGTTCTAACAGTATCAGGAGAACCCGGCCATAAACTCCAATGTTTCCCTGGCTTATCTCTTGCTGAGCTGGGGGACCTTTATGTCAACGAATTCCTCCGACACCATAGGTAGATTCAAGGAGGTCAAGCACCCTGGGCTGCTTAAAGAAAAATTAACACCAGCTTTTATCTACCAATTGTAGAAACTAAGAGTTTACTTTGCATCCATGTATTCTTATTTCCTTGTACTGGATGTTTACAGAGGAGAGTCAATATTCTAATGGGGAGTTTTTCACTTTCGGTGTGACAAGCCTGTTCTACCCATGGGCAAAGGAGGTTAGCTTGGGGTAGTTCTGCTTTGCCTCTCCGTTCTCTGTTCGTTTTGGCAAAAAACTGCATATGGACCTTTATTTTGAAGAAGGAATCAGGAAACATGTAAATGCATCTCAATTGCAAAGTATCTAAAATTTTCCAGGAAGATGATACTGAATAATTACACAAATTCTTGACTGCTAATGTTTTTACTGTGTTACTTTAGTGAAGCACCAGAAATGAGCTTGATGCTGTCATGATTCACTTATTATCACATCCCATGAGATGAGGAAGAGTTTAAAACACAGTTGGTGTCATTTTTGCTTTCAATGATAATTAAATTATGTGTTTGTTGCCCTTTCATGTGAAAGTCAGCTTGCTGGCAAGAACTAGTGTTTTCACTTTACTTGGTTTATGGCAAAGCTCCAACTCCTCGCTCAGTAGTCACTGATATTTCCTTTGTCTCAGGTGTCCACATCTCCTCCACTTGGCAGATGATCTCAGACCAGCTCTCCTTTTATTCATGACAACATTTTACTGCTTCTTCCTCCATGTTACTTTCCAAATTTATTTCCACCTTACTACTTCAGTCAACAAGATTTTTTTCCCCAGGTCTCTTGATCATCTCTCTCTCTCTGTCTCTCTTTCCTTTGCTCTCTCTCTCTTATTCCAAACATTATCTTTTATAATCAGATAATCTCCTGATTATCCTTTTTCCCCATTGGCCATATCCCTTAATTTTATTCTGATGCAATTATTGATCACTTATATGAACCCTTCCATTGCTTTTTGCATTTCTACTTTTATTTCTTTCTTATTTCTTTCACATTCCCATACTAGTCAGTCATGCCTGTTTTCTCCTTTTTTTACTTTTCTCTCTTCTATTCTATCACTTATGCTGAAGTTATCCCATATCCAGTTTAAAACAGGTTCCTCATTATTTTTCTTATATCTTCTCTTCCATAAGCTCTATTTGGCAAAATATATAATAAAGCAGACCAGTTCTTCTCTCTCCATACCCGCATCTGAATCTATGATAATGCTTGTGCAGTCGTACTACTTTGTCTATATTAGCTGAGGAATTTAAGACAAATCTTTTATACAATTTTAATTTACTTATCCCAAATATATATAAAAAATTTATTGGATGAACATGTTGAGAATTTTGGGTTTTCAATTTCAGTAAAGTGCATAGAACTTTTCCGGTCTTCACTTTCTATTTTTCCTGTACTCTGTAACATCTGGCTAAATCATGACTTTAGCCATTTCCCATCCTCCCAGAGTCTGTGTTGTGGCTGCTTCTGTGACTTCACAGTCCTGGTGCTTTTCTTCAACCTCTGGGAAATACCCCAGGAAAGTCCCTTAATATTCACTAGGTTCACAGCATCAGAAACTGCAGAGAGAAGGACAGAGGTGAAAAAAAGAAAGAAAAAAAAAAGGAAGAAAATAATCATATGCAGAAGAGTATGGGAAAGAGAAAGAAAGAAATGGAAAGAAAGAAAACATGAAAATGCAACAGGAATAGAGACAAAAATTCTGGTTGGGAAAACTCTGAAGAAAAAATAATGCTGAGATTACATCTGTTGCCTTCCAGGGAGTTTATCTTTGCTTAACCGTGGGTTAGCTGGCTGGCAAGTTACCATTTACAAAGAAGCAACATGTCTCTGAACCTATGAAATAAAGGGTTTCATTATTTTTCTGAGAAACATTTGCTTCTACAGCAATCTAATTTGGTATATGCATAATGATGAATGGGCACTAAAATCTAAATAGGGAGGTTATTGACCAAACACTGTAGAATTTAGATGTTTATCTTCATTTTTAGAGATGGAATAACAAAGAAGTGATGGAATCAAAATTATTATGACGGGGGAAAGCACATCTCATTTTGAAGGAAAATACCTAGGTTCAAAATAACTCTGTTGACCAATGATACAACTATTTCTTGCTATTAGAGTCCCTGATCACAAAGTACAGATGTGGAAACTTGGCTTTTAAAAATAATGATAACAGCCACAACCACCTGTGTAGTGCATTACAGTTTCAAAAGTAAATCATCAAACTATATTTTATTGTCAGATAAGAAAAGTTTGTGGGGTTTTATTTCAAAGTAACTGTGAAGTGAATTGAGTAAGTACTTTAAAACCCAATGTTTAAATTAAGATTTATTTCCCAATTTATGGGCCCACTCTTAGTTTCAAAAATCATAGTCATAGCATTTGTTATCATTATTTTCCTCACATTTCAAGAAATATGTAGAAGGAATTGGCATTAATATTATTATTATTATTATTATTATTTTTTGAGACGGAGTCTCGCTCGTCGCCCAGGCTGGAGTGCAGTGGCACGATCTCAGCTCACTGCAAGCTCCGCCTCCCGGGTTCACACCATTCTCCTGCCTCAGCCTCCCGAGTAGCTGGGACTACAGGTGCCCGCCACCACGTCCGGCTAACTTTTTGTATTTTTAGTAGAGACGGGGTTTCACCGTGTTAGCCAGGATGGTCTCAATCTCCTGACCTCATGATCCGCCCGCCTCGGCCTCCCAAAATGCAGGGATTACAGGCGTGAGCCACCGCACCCGGCCTATTATTTTTGTCTAAAGTATGACTCAAAATGAAAGTTAGAACGTTAAAATGTATGCCTGTCACTTTCTCACTTAGATAACGTTTCAGCAAGAAAAAAAATTAGTGTAATCAGAGAATCAACAGAAATCTTCACAGATTTCAGAAAAACCTTGAAAAAATATTTATATTGAGTTCAACTTATGTATTCCTCAGTAGAGACTATACTGTATAAATCTTCAAGAAATCATGTCATGATGAGTACTATTACATTGTTTTCATAATTATTAATGAGTGGTATTGTTGTTAATCCCTTTTATTAGGAAATGTAATATTACTCCATACATAAAAACTGCCTGCTGCAAAGGTTGGAGACAGATTTGCTTAGGATGCTGCCACCTTCAGGAAATTTTACCTTATGATAATTTTGTATTTATGATATTAAGGAAGACATTTCTGTTTAAGGGGCATTGAAAATTCTCTGTGCTCAAATTATAATTTTTTTTTTACCTAATAAGAGAGAATTGAAAAGTACTGTTAATATTTACAAATTCTATTTTGGAACACATTTGAAATGTGCTTTGTTATTCCATTGAGAAAAAAACATTTTTCATTAAAGAAGACATGATGCAAATTTTATATACTTTTAAGTATCATCCCTGAATTTGCAAAATATATTAACCACTACAAGTGATCAATAATTAAATAATACTACTGCTTAAAAGGGATTCAGTGATAAAGTAATTTACTTACAATTAATTTGCTCTCAGTTATGTAGCAATTAATATAGTTATGCTTAATTAATTCCATAAGATGTGATCAAATAAATCATGCTTTTATTTCAAAAATAATTTTCACTTAATACTGCGTTGAAATAGTACTGTTCAAAGTCATAGCTCATCACAAATGTAAATTTGCCCAAAACTAAGGATTTAAAAAGAGTTTTGGAATTGACAATAAACTCCTCAGTTTCCTCAATTCTCATCATGACCTGAAGACTAATATTATAGAAAAATAATAATTAAAAAGTGTTTCTTTACATATCTTGCTATGTATAGTCACATTTTTATGTTTCCATTGAATTAACATTCTTCCAAAACACATATACCTATACAAAAAACATTAGCTTATTAGAGTCTTTTTTTCTTTCACAAAAGGAACATGTTTTATTTTAACCACTGCAATTTCATAATAATTACACAAAGTTAATTATTTCTTTGTACTCCACCTCTAAATCCCCCTCACACCTCTTTTAAACATCTTTTTGTGCAGTGACTTTCTCTGAACATCCTTTCATCAATGGAAAAGTTTGAACTCTTTACATTTGTCAGTTTGATGGTTAAAGCTTTGTATGATTTGTGGTTGAAATGTTAATTTCTCCGATTTTAATGACGTTGAGGCTTTAAAAATATTTTATTGACCATTTGCATTTTCCTTTCAGTGAGTGCCTCAATTTGTGGGAGCTCTGTGACTGTCCAGTTATAAACAGTGGTTGTGATTTTGAGTAAAAATCATTTCCTTCTCTGAGCCCAAGTGTGCACCTCTGTGAAATTGTGGAATTACTTTTCTATGTCGTTGCTATGATGTTTACACGAAAATCACACATGAAAGTGACTGTTATAGGTCAATGCTTGCTAAACAAACATATAACAGTTTTTTACATCAGTTTTTATGACCTCATTTATTAGAATCTAGTCTCTCCATCACATTGCTCTTACACGTTTTGAGGATCTATTTCATTGCAGTTGAGACACTTAAGAACATTTTCTTATAAATAACAATTTACCCCTGCACTTAGAGGATGATCAAAAAGGAAATGGAGAATATTCACTTATATTTAGGAAGGCAGCAAAGAAGATGGTGTCCAGGCCTGGAAGTGAGCTCTTTTTTTTTTTTTTCAGACGAAGTCTCACTCTTGTCCCCGAGGCTGGAGTGCAATGGCGCGATCTCGGCTCACTGCAACCTCTGCTTCCTGGGTTCAAGCGATTCTCCTGCCTCAACCTCCCAAGTAGCTGGGATTACAGGTGCGTACCACCACGCCCCACTATTTTTTTTTATTTAAGTAGAGATGGGGTTTCACTATGTTGGCCAGGCTGGTCTTAAACTCCTGACCTCAGGTGATCCACCCACCTCGGCCTCCCAAAGTACTGGGATTACAGGCGTGAGCCACCGCACCCAGCCAGAAGTGAGCTCTTGATTTGAATCTTGGTCTCTTTAACTTACTTATTGTGTAATCTTGGGGAAGTAACCCCTCAACTCTCAAAACCTTGGTTTCTTGTATATAAAATAAGGAAATAATACCTGCTTTAGTTTTTATTGAGGCTAAATGAGATGAGGAATGTGAAATCTTTAGCATACTGTCTAGCACATAGAAAACTCAAAAGATAGGTGTTTATGGCCACCTATATTCATTTATCTAGTTATAGAAAATAAGTTGTCTGGTAACCTTGCTTTTTACGAAGTCTTCGGCCAGCCCTACATTTTACTTCACTTGATTACATCTATTTAAGACTTCCCCCTGTTTCATTTGGCCATTTATTTTTCTGAGTGTTAATAATTTCTAAAAAAAGAACATGTGCACATGCACATCCACACAGATGCACCCTGAGTGTATAGAGGTAGTTCAGTTTTTAAGATAATCTAAATGTTTTCCATTTTATTCCTTACTCATAAGATGATCTTTTTTTAAAAGCACAGAATAGAAACACAAAGTCCCATTTCCAGTGGTTCATACTCTATGAAATACTTTGTGATAAAGAGATATATACATATATCCTTATTTCTATGTGAATGTAATTTTAAAATATTATATATAATATAGCATTTTAAATTGTATTATAAATATATAATATATAATATATTACATATATGATACACTATATATTATATGATATATATAATATGACATATATTATATATAATATTTAAAAAGTTCCTCAAAGGAAGGACAAAATGATAAATATAAGAGCTAATATTTTCTTATGTGCATTGCCTAGTACTTTATTTAAAAAAAAAAAAATCTTGGCCAGGCGCGGGGGCTCATTCCTGTAATCCTCAAACTGCGGGAGGCCCAGGTGGGTGGATTGCTTGATTCCAGGAGTTCCAGAACAGCCTGGGCAACATGGTGAAATGGTCTCTACTACAAATACAAAAATAAGCAAGGCGTGGTGGTGCGTGCCCGTCGTCTCTGCTACTTGAGGGGCTGAGGCATGAGAATTGCTTGAACCCAGGAGGCAGAGGTTGCAGTGAGCCTAGATTGCACCACCGCACTTCAGCCTGGGCGACAGAGTGAGACTTCGTCTCAAAAACAAGAAAAACAAACCTTAATTGTCTACTAGGTATTAGGGATATGTTAGGTCTTTTTTCACCTCATTAATCATGTTTGTTTTAGAGTTATGTTTCTATGTGTCACTGGGTGTATATTTAAGAACACTTTCATTTCAGCAAATAATTTATTATTGGATCAACCATAAAGTTATTCAAAACATATAGTGAGATATAATTGATTACTGTATAGTGACGTTGTATCTCTTGACCTTGCTAAATATCTCACTATTTATAGGCGTTTTATTCCAAATGCTTTTGGACTTTTAAATACATAATCAAGGTGTCTTAGAAGCAAGGTCATTTTACTTTGTTTTTTCCATACTTAGGTCTTATGTTTATCTCAAAAATGTTATATTAATTTCAAAAGAAAACAGGCACAGAAGAGTATAGACTATAATTTCGCTTGTATTAACTTCGTTTGAAAATCATGCAAAACTAACTCATGGTGATAGATATCAGAAAAGAACTTACATCTGGGACAGGGGAGGGCCACTAAGAGGCCTGGAGGAGTTCTCTTGGGTGATCAATGTGTTCTTGATCTGGATATTTGTCACCTGGGGATATACATATGTCAAATTTGGGGATATACATATGGGGATATACTTATGTCAAAATTCATTGAGCTGTGCAACTAAGATTTGTGCATTCTCCTCTAGGTAATTTATACCATTTTTTTCTTGCTTGTTCATTATTTTGATATGGGGAGGTAATGGAATAGTAAACATGGCGTCAGAGTCCTCCACATGGTTCTAGTTGGTTCAGGGCTCTATCCTTAACTGATAGCAACTAGGGATAGCAGCCGAAAATCCAAACCACAAAGCTCCCTGAAGGCTGCTATAGTCAAAGATTTACAACGAGGTTTTAGGTTATTAAAAATCCAGTCACTAGCCAAAGAATGGGAAATGATCATCTCTACTGGAATAATTGGGTTTGGATTCTTTTGATTTGAAATCTTGCCCAATATCAGGGTGTTGTGAATAAAAGATACAATTAATGCTTTCAAAATTTAAGACTTTTTGTATTGATATAAAACAGCTTTTTAAAAGTAATTTATATTAATAGGAAGCTCTTCCAATGCATCCTTACTTTACAACTGTAATACGACTTGCAGACAGTTGCTATATCTGTTTGTAATTAAGTTAAATAGGCTGAAACATTATAAAATGATGTACATTTATAAATATAAAATATCTATATACAGTTGAATAAAATGTGTACTCAAAACAGCTCAATGTGTAAATTATTTTCTCAGAGGAGGCAAAGCATGCCAAATAAGTAAAACAAGCATGAGTTACTTTAGTTAAACATTAGGTTGATTAGGAGGAACCAGACCCTGATAAGGGAAGAATGTGGATCTGTAGTTGAGGGAGAAATGTTAAGGAGGTGTGGTTTGCTTTGTAAATAGCAACCATCATGAGACACAGAAAAACAGAGATGCGTGCTATAAGACACAATGCCAGACACCATTTTCTTCCATCTTCCCTTTTTATTTTATTTATATTCAAATTTCCAAAAACACCAGTTTTAAAAATAATTAAATGGACACGAATATTCAGTCTTTTAAAGTGTGATAGACAAGATTTTAAAAGTTATTGTGAAAACATTTGTTGGGTACATGGATATATATTTGAGTTAAGAACGAATGACCTTGCTCTTTCTTTACCCCAATAGACACTCCATGCCATAAGGGAGCGTGCCCTCCCGTCCTGCCCTCCTGGCTCTGGGCATGTGGAACCATCCCTTCTATTGGTTATTCAGAACTGTCTCAAGGACTCATGTTGAAACCTGAGCCTGCAGGGTCTCTGAAAGTTTAGGAAATCCTCAGATGCCTTGGAAATTCCCCACCTTGTCAGATAAATCTCTTAAAAGTGATGGGCCACTTTGAGCCTTACTGTTTCTCAGTCTGCTGAATCCATTTAACAGGGGGCTGCAGAGGGCAGGAGTCTGGCTGAGCACAAATCTTTACAATCCGTGGTTTGGGAACAGGATATGGTTATGCTACACTTTGTCAAGAATTTGGGGCTTCTGGGTTCAGAAAATATGCTCAAAACATGCCTGAAGGTGTTTTGGAGCAAATATTTGGAGATTCCTTATTTTGTTCTAGAAACTGCTCTGGAATTTGGGGAATACAGTTCAAGGGACCCAGTAAACCTGCTTGGACTCCTGAATAACCAGACTGGACTTAAATCGGGATCTGCCAACTGCTGGTCCACAATTATAAAAAATATGTTTTAAAATGTCGAAATGACAAGAGTATGAGAAAAAGTAGCAGTCTTAATGTCCAATCCCTACATATCCCTGATTCCTACCCACCAGAGGCAACCTCTTTGAATTCTGATCTTCTGGGATTTCTTTCCCATTGTTAAATGTACTTATGTTGACTTCTCTTCGGTTCAAAATTTGAGATATAATCTATTAAATTCCTTCTACAGAAAATGAGACCATCATTTAGCTCTCTTTAAAACCAACAAGTGGAAAAATTCGTTTCACGCAGATATTTATCTTTCAACTCATCCTCCCAATTTGGTTATTCCATAATTTTTACTAAGATGAAAATTCAGTGCTTATATTATTGTGACTTCATATGCATTATTTACAGCTGAATCAGGTAATATCCTTTTTGTGTAATTTTTCATTTCTCTTGGAATTCGTTAACAATTGATGCTTACATTTCTATGTATTTTTCATTAAGTCATCCTCAACATTTGCAGAACTCTGAAAGCTTAGGTAATCATTCACTCAGTTTTAAAAATTTGTTTAATTGTTAGTTTGCTTGATTTGTTTTTTAAGTTTCCCTCCTGGAGTATTCTACCTGGGCTGCAGTTTGGGCTGCTTGCTCTCCTTATCAGATTCATCTTAGGACTTCCCTTCATTCTCATCCTTAGACTTTTTTTTTTTTTTTTTTTTTTTTTTGAGACAGAGTCTCACTCTGTCATCCAGGCTGGAGTGCAGTGGTGCGATCTCGGCTCACTGCAGCCTCCGCCTCCCAGGTTCAAGCGATTTTCCTGCCTCAACTACACGCCACCAACTCTGCTAATTGTTTTTTTTTTGGTGTTTTAATGGAGATGGGGTTTCACCATGATGGCTAGGCTGTTTTGAACTCCTAACCTCAAATGATCCACTTGCCTCAGCCTCCCAATGTGCTGGGATTACAAGCCTGAGCCACCATCCCCAGCTTTCATACGTAGATTTTTCTGCTGCTCTCCCCTTTGTTGGATCTCTTGCTTCTCAGGTCCCATGATTTCTGTTTTCTTGACTTATTTCCTTGTGAGAGAGCAGCTTCCAAGAAGAGGTGCATTGCAAGTAATCATTTTGAGACTTGACATACATTATAATGATTTTATTTACTCTCACACTTCGTTGATTGTATGATAGATATCAAAGTCTAAGCTAGAAATGAATTCCCCTCAGAATTTTAAATATATGGCCCCATTATCTTTTAACTTCTAAGACTGTGTTATTTACCATTATTCTAACTGAAGTAACTCAGGAATGGAAAATCAAATATTGTGTGTTCTCACTTATCAGTGGGAGCTAAGCTGTGAGGATGCAAAGGCACAGGAATGATATAATGGACTTTGGGGTTTCTGGGGAAAGGGCGGGTGGGGGTGAAGGATAAAAGACCATACATTGGGAACAGTGTACACTGCTGAGGTGATTGTGGGTGCATCGCAATCACAGAACTCACCACTAAAGAACATATTCACGCAACCAAACACCACCTGTTCCACCAAAACTATTGAAATAAAAGTTAAAAAAAAAAAGATTTCCTTCTTCAGTCTTAAAAATATTAAATAAATATATTAAAAAAGAAAATTGTGTCATTTAGTGGCATTTTGTCAAGAAGAATAAATACTTGTGTTCAAACTCCAATATTTAACCTTTTTAGTTATACTACATTGATTTCTTGTTCCCTCGAGTGCTTTGTACCTGCTCAAGTATGCTTGATTGCTTGTTAAGGCCAAGACGTAACACACTGATTTGTGCTTCAGTGGGCATGAAGCACATTATTATTAACATGAATAATAATTTTGTTATTTAAAAACAATTTTTTTTTGAGATGGAGTCTCACTTTGTTGCCCAGGTTGGAGTACAGTGGTGCAATATCAGCTCATTGCAACTTCCGTCTCTTGGGTTCAAGCGATTCCCCTGCCTCAGCCTCCCAAATAGCTGGGATTACAGGCGTGTGCCACCATGCTGAACTAATTTTTGAATTTTTAGTAGAGATGGGGTTTCGCTGTCTTGCCAGGCTGGTCTTGAACTTCTGACCTCAGGTGATCCACCTGCCTCGGCCTCCCAAAGTGCTGGGATTACAGGCGTGGGCCACCGTGTCTGGCCTAAAAACAAATTTTGATATTGGAGCATTATTGCACAACTGAAAAAGAAAGTTAATGAGTCAAGAGAGTTCCAGAAAATATACAGAGAACTCTGAATTACCAAAATACTTTATGCTGTTCTATTTGAGCAGTTACTTAGTTTTTACACTTCTTAATTTCAAGATGATGGCCTAAAATTATATGAGAAGTTCTTTAGTTCTGAACATACGTTATTGAAACTTTCTGAAACTAAAATTTCTGAAAGACTAGTGATAAACTTATTCGTTGTAGAAAAAGTTCTATTGTAAAATCCTTAATTATACTCCACGTATGAAACATAACTTTCAATAATACATTTTCAGCATTTAAAACACATCCTTTAAGCTCATTCGTGTACCTTATAATTGTTCACATATGCAACTGATTGAAATCCCCTAAGCATCAGAATGAACCTAAAGATACACAGCTTTTGGCAAGCCTAGTAATTTCTATCTGTATCTCAAATATAGTACATATATGAAACTAAGCTTCTTTCAGTTAGCTTTAAACAGTGATGAAATTACTTGAGATGAGACAGAAAAAATTACATTTATAGGAATTCTTTGTGAAAAGGAATTTGACTGTGGGAGGAAAACAACAGACATACCACAGGTTGAATATACCTGAAATCAAACCTAAATGATGGTAATGAGATTAAAACAATTGTTAGTGTACAAGGGTAAAGATAGAGAGAAAGCAGACAATTGTAATGACGTTTTGGAAGTTAGAAATCAAATGGACAAGTGGAAGTTGAAGCAGTAGATGACTGAGAGTTGAAACCAAAGTAGATGCATTCACATCTGAAAACCTAAAAGGCCTCATGGATTGGAGACAGATACAGAGGGAGACGAGAATAAGGTTGAGAGTTAATTATTGCAATAATTAGTACCCTAACTTCCAAATTCTGCACAGCTGATGGATGTCCCTGCTTTACCCAAGAAGATTAGAATGTTACTCTCTGGAGAGTAACTGAGTAAATCTCAGAAAGACTCTGAGCTTGCAATTACCTCCATGGTGAAATGGGTTAAATAAATATAGGTATTTTGAATGCTAAGATCCTGACTACTTTGCTTCATTAGCTCAAAGATGTTGACTGCCAGCATTATTTCTCCAAGGCAGAGAAATGAAAGATTCTTTTGTAGAAAAGAATCTGGGGTACTCAAATGTAATATCCTAGCTAGATTGCCCAGTAACAAAGTCCACAAATTGACATTCCCTGTTCATGCACAGTGCACTTCTATTCAGCTTTTTCATTGCTTCATTCTTAAATATGAATGGCATCAAACTTCTTAGCAACTCTGAACAATAGAAACAAAAGATAAATGTCTTTGAAATACTTAGAGAAAATGACTACCAACTCGAAATACTATTCCTAGACAAACTGTCAGTTTAGTATGGATGATAAAGGATAGAATACAGACATCTTCAGATATTCCGTGTCCTCAATTTTTTCTCTCATGTGTCCTTTTGTAGGAAGCTAGCAGAAGATGTCATGCATCAAAATGAGAAATAATCTTTAAAAAGAGGATGACATGGGATCAAAAATCAGGAGTTCCAACACAAGAGAAGAAAATAATCAAGATGCTGCTTAAAGGAAGATCAAGGATGACAACCAGCTTAGAGAACAACCATTCAGATCAGCGGACAGAGGACTATAGGAAATTTGTCCCCAAGAAAAAATAATAGGCTACTGAGATATTTGAATAATGTACATTTCTTCTGGAAATTTCAGGGGTGATAGTATATACAAATCTAAGAAAACAAATAAATAAGCGAGCAGAGAAAATCATGCAGTGTCAAGCTGCACAAACTTCAAACTCAGCATACGTTAAAAGCATGTGTTAGAGTTGGTTGTGTATAATATATCTAATGGCAAATTGGTTTAAAATTGAATATTGCAAAATTGGGAATTATTCATATGAGCTTAAAAGTGTTGTCAAGATTTTAGGGAAGCAATCCACTGTCCTCCTTCATTCAAGGACTTGTTTTGTGCTCTCTCTGCCTGAAATGCTCTTCCCCAAGATGTTTGGTTGACTTACTGTCTTAATCATTCAGGTCTTTGCTCAAGCATCACTTCTTTGCTTAATTTATTAAAAATAGCACCGGCTATCACTTTTAAAATTTTTTCTCTGTTTCATTTTCTTCATAGGACATGTTAGTTTTTAAAATGACACTTAAAAAACTTGTTTATGTCTTGTCTGTCTCTTTTCTGTGTCCCAGACCTTGAAACATCTGGCATATGGTAAGTGCTTAGTAAAGACTGTGGATTAAATGAACCCAATGGGCGGTGAGCTTCATGACAGCAGAGACTGTCTTGTTCACTATTGTATCTTCAACCTCTCTTCAAGTGTCTATAGTTATAGGTAGCAGGTATAGGTATTCCAAAAACACGCATTGGTTGAATGAATAAATGAATGAAATCAAAGATGAGGTTTCTCTTAAAATTTTTAATGAAAATGTTTTGCGACACTTGGGGATTTCATACAATTAAAGAAAAGTCATTTTTTTTTTCCAATGGAGTTCAGGGTGAGTGATAAATTCTTCTCTCCTCCATGGTGGACCTCAGATTCTGAGCTGCAAGCTCCGAAGGTGTGTAGTGTGTAGTGTGTTCTCTCACACCTCAGTGAGCAAATCCAAATAAACATGATCACTAATATGGTTAAAAGGAGATGAGTATACCTCAGGGCCAATACCAATTCATAAGCCTCATGGAGTTCTTTTCATGATGCATACCCTACTTCTTCTCTTTCTTCTCTATATTTGGAGATATTCATTGTTTACAAAATTTGAGGAAAAAGGCAAATAATTTTTGAATATGAATATGAATAACGCTAGGATTTGACTGATTTTTCTTAAAACAATATGAAAATAAGTGAATGCTCAAAGAAATGGGTCATCCCCTGAAAGTGTAATTAGCAAGTGTTGACAAGCTCTGGAGAAGATATCTGTGAAATAGTGACTATGAAGGGGAGGTGGGCATGGCGGTGTTGGTGTTGCCATTCTCACTCCTCTGTCTATCACTGTTCCATAGTAAGTTAGTTATATATTTCTATTGGGTAAACATTTCCACTGGGCTTTTGGCTAAAAAACATTTAAGTAACAATCATAAAGAGCAAAAAAGAAACCAAAATCAAAATTTAAGACAGCACAGACTGATACTGATGAAATAATACTCCATTGCTCATTCTAATGTTTTTAAGAGCCAAGGGTGTGTTCTGCAAGTTCCACTTTCAATCAGCAGTACTGGCAAAACAAGGGATGTCATTGCCCTTAGGCTGAAGGCAAGATCTAACCTGCCGTCTCTGTGAGCCTTAACTATATAGTCCAACTCTCTGATTCAAATAAACTATGATGAGTGAGGCTGTGCTCTGAAATACAACAAATTCTCAGTCTGGATGAATGTATATATTCTCAAGAATTGAAAGAGACAGAGAGAGAGAGAGACAGAGAGAGAAGAGAGAGACAGAAAGAAGCAAAGATTATTGAAAAATTCCAAACTATTTTACACACATATGTCCTCATTTACATACAAATATTTACTATTCTGGATTGCTAATAATAGTGAAAAGCCTTTGGACAGATTAATAAGGGTGATTTATACATCTTAAATGATGTTTCTGTTTTGTTATTTTGATGCCGCTCCTGGGGAGCATGGGGGAAAGCTAATGACTTACTCCTTGGTGGGAGAGTAAGGGTGGCTGTGCTGGAGCAGCTCAAGTGTATTCAGCTGGAGGATACATGTGTGTTTCCTGTGGACATGTGTGGACCATACAGACAGGGAGCTGGAATGGAGTCCTGGAAGAGGGAAGGGACTCTGACCATGTGTTCCTGGGCAGAGACAACTACCAGTGAAGCTAGGCCTTTGCACGTACCCTGAGCATTGTTGTGAAATGGGCCTGCGGGAGCTCCTGTACATCCCTCAAAAACCCTTAGAGAAGTATGGCCAGGACAAGAATGTGTAAAGCCACCCAATCAAGTACAAGTTCTCACCTCACCTTCCTTCCTCTGCTTTTATCCCTGATAGGGGTGCAAACATCCCTTAGAAATGAGGAACCTCAGAGCAAAAGCCAGACCCATGCATATACACACCCAGCTAATGTTTGACAAGGTCACTAAGAACATACAATGGAGAGAGGATATCCTCTTCAATAAATGGTGTTGGGAAAACTGGATATCCGCATGCAAAAGAGTGAAATTGGACCCTTATCTTACAACACATTCAAAAAGCAACTAAAAATGGATTAAAGACAAATATAAGACATGACTTGAAACTGTAAGACTAGAAGGAAATACAGGGGAAAAACTCCTTGGCATTGATCTTGGCAATGATTTTTTGGATATGACACCAAAAGTACAGGCAATAAAAGCAAAAATAAACAACTGGAGTTACATCAAACTAAAAAGCTCCTCATGCCAAATAAACTATCAAGAAAATGAAAATGCAGCCTAAAGATTGGGAGAAAATATTTGCAAACCATATATCTGATAAGAGGATAATATCAAAAATATATAAGGAATTTTTCCAACTCAATAGTGGTAAGTTGCCTGATTTAAAAAAAATGTACAAAGGATTTGAAAAGACATTTTTTTCAAAGAAGACATACAGATGGCCAATAGGGGCATGAAAAGGTGATCAACATCGTTAATCATCAGGAAAATGCAAATCAAAACCATAATAAGAGATCACTTCATGTCTGTTAGGATGGTTATGATTTAAAAAACAAAAGATAAAGTGATGAGGATGTGGAAAAGCGGGAGCTTTCATACATTGTTGGTGAGAATATAAATTGGCACAGCCGCTTTAAAAAACAATATGGAGGTTCCTCAAAAACTTAAACCTAGAACTACCATATATTTCAGAAGTCCCACAGTGGATATATATCCGAAGGAAATAAAATCAATATCTCAACGACACTGTGCTCCTAATACCCGTTGCTGCATTATTCACAATAGCAAAATTATAGAAATAAGCTAAATGTCTGTCAACGGATGCATGGCTGAAGAAATGTATATACACAACTACATACAATAAGATATCATTCAACCTTAAAAAAGAAGGAAATTCTGCCATTTACAACATGGGTGAAACTAAAATACATTATGCTAAGCGAAATGAGCCTGGCACAGAAAGAAAGATACTGTCTGACCTCACATATATGTGGAATCTAAAATAGTCATAGCAGCACAGAGTGAGAACGGTAGTTGCCAGGGTTAAGGGTGGGTGGGAAAAATGGGAAGATGTCAGTCAAAGGCTACAAAGTTTCAGTTATATAAAATGAATAAATTCTAGAGATCTAATGTACAGCATAGTGACTATAGTTAGTAATACTGTGTTGTATACTTGAAATTTACTGAGAGTATATCTTAAGTAGTTTCACCACAAAAAGGTAACTATGTTAAAAAATGTAAATTACCTTGATTTACAAGGATATGTAAATTACCTTGACTGTAGTAATCAGTTCAGTAGGTTTATGTAGTATATGTATGTCAAAACATCACATTGTACACCTTAAATATATATAATTTGTATTTAAAAAATGTAAAATATCGAAACAAAGTAAAAAGAGAAAGGAAGCCAATAGCACTCTTATTCTCAGAGGCAAAACTGGAATTATAGAGTCATTAATTGGAAAAGGGGAGAAAACTTTGCATTGAATAAATATTGAAGAGTTGATTCTCCTATTTGCACCCTCTCTCTCTCTCTCAATACATTTACACATTTATTATATTATTTCTGGACATTTTGATTTCTAAATTTGAATTGCATTTTCTGATTTTATGCCTTAAAGTTCTATTCATCTAAGAATAAGCCAAAAGCCCAATTTTATCTAGAGGCAGGGTGACATTACAGCCAGTGAATGCATTTTAAAAGGATGGTGGGAAGCCAAAAATTAAAATTGTGTTCTACTGATCTCCTTGCTTCTACTATTTAACCCCCATGATCTATTTCTTCAAAGTCGTTTCCTAAAAACAAGTTAGGAATCAAGAATAAATACGTGGATTTATTTTCATTTATTCCGTCAGCACCAGTGATCTGAGGATTTACATCTTTTTTCAGTTCTGAAAGATTCTCAGCTCTTTCTTCACTGGGAGCCCCACTGAATGGTGGTTCCTCTCAGGCTCCCCTCCTTAATTCTTAACTGTTCCGTCATGTGTCTTTAAAATCCTTTTATCTTTCTGTGTTGCATTTGGGTGGAAGTGTACAATACTATCTTTCAATTTATTAAACTCTCTCCTTCTGTCCAGTCTAGAGAATATCTCATCTGTTGATTTTTTAAAAATTTCATCAATGAGTACATTTTGATTTTTAAGATTTCTAATGTGTTCTTTTTCAAATGCTTTTGTTTTTGTATCATTTCTGTCTTGTCTGGTTTCATAATTTCTTTCTCTATCAGAAATTTCCTTCTTTATTTCTTTGAGTATCCTAATCATGTTTATTTTCAAATCATTTTCAGATTGCTCTTACATGCTCATTTTATCTGGAACAATTTACTTTCTGATTGTTGATTTTGTTGGTTTTCTTTCTTCCTGCCATCTTTTTGGAATTTTAATTTATAAGCCTTATATTCATGGTTTACAGCATCTCTGCTGTTATGGTCAACATGCTGACCCAGTTACTAAGCTAGGTGTAGAGTCAGTTCCTGACTGCAAAGTGTGTCTGCTCTCTCTAGCTTCCCTAGTGACTTTGCATAAGCCTTCACCATAAGCAAGAATTATTTTAAGCTTTTTAAACCTCATTTCAAAGGTGGTGGGTGTTTCCACTTCAGCGTCCCTAATTGCAGCTTTAAGCAATTAGCTAGGCTGTAGTACTCTACCACATGGGGGACACTTCTAGAAGCAAGAGTTACTTATCTATTATTTTAGTGTTTATCTTTGAATTTTAATGTGTGTGTGTATATATATCTTTTTTTGTAAGGAAGTCTAGAGTTATCTTGTATTTTTCTGTCTTTCTCCAAAATAAAGCAATGACTTTACTATACCTTAGCTATCCATAAACAATGTTCCCATTTCTGGCCACAACTGTATTTATTTACTTTAAAAAGCATATTAATAATGTATTTTATATTCCTTTTTTAAAACTATACTTTATCTATATATGTTAGGAACATGGCAGTGACAGATGACAGTGTTAAAACCTATACTTATATTACTTGTATCACAATTCTAATGGTTCTCTAATCTCTATAATTGTAAAGCTGTTGCAGAGTTAAAGACTATAAAGAGGTTGTCACATTTCTACTGGTCTGGCTTATAGATTGTCATAAGATTTTAATATCTCAAGTCAAATGGAATGGGCTGTAAAAGAAAAGGATTTATTTTAAAAACTGTTAATACCATAGCATTACTAAAAGAAATATTCAAAAGAAAAATATTCACATTATGGCAACATTGTTGCCATATCTCAAAATATTTCAAGACTTTCCTGGAATTACTTTCAAAGCCTTCCTTCATCAGAGTTTCTGGGGAAAAATCTCTGTCCTCTAAGATGGATTTGACTTTTAACAACGACAAAAAGTCACTCAGAAACAAGTTGCTGGATTCATCTATTATTTAAGCTGGGTAATGCATTATAGATCATAAGCAAATATTTCAGAATAAAAATTATAGAGCAGTGAGGTTCTTTTTCTGGCTTTTAAATTGGGTCTACAAATAGTTCCAAAAGAAGTACTTTAAAATGTTCTATTATTCCAGCTTTCTGAAGCAGTTACAATGATGCGAATGCTCATATCAATCGTAGATCCTGGTATATTTGTGGGAAAAAAATCCATAAAATTACCTAATGGTTGTATCTTAAGAAATGGAAAGAGAACTACAAGTCAGGATGCTTGGGCTCTAATCTCTAGATCTCCCATGAAACAACTCTGGTTCTTGAACAAACAGCTTCACCTGCCTGGCCTCAGTGTCTTCTGCTGTCAAATGGTGGTTGGTGGTAGACAGTCAGGATATGGGTTGGGAAAAGAAATCTAAAGTTTACTCTAGTGATATAATTGTGATATTTATATCCTTTTGTCTATTTCAAGACAGTTTCTGTCATTCTTTAACCTTTACTCTTCTACACTGAAAAACTAGGATTTTATAGCTACTATAACATTTCATAGTTTTATATTCAATTTCATTTTCCCAAACCTTGAATTATTTGTAGTTATCTGTGCTCCTTATAATTTCTTCCATTCATTTTAAAGTACAACAAATCAAACTGGATGCTAAGAACCTAACTGACAGTGTAGCAGAGATTTACCTCCAGGTTTTTGTTTGGCATCTAAAAATATTTTCCAGAGTCTTGACTTGCTCACATTATTTTGCTGAATCATTCGGCATGTGGAAAACTGGGACACCCTTTCTTCTCTCTTCCTCTATCAATTCCCAGGCTTTTAAAGCTGACATTTAGAGCCACATCATTACAGGTCTCCTGAAATGTAGTATAGTTTCTTTGATTTATATTCTAGAAACTGTTTTTTTCTAAAATAAACAGTAAAATACTATATATCGCAACAGGAAGAAAAACCAAAATAATGTAACTGTAAATATTTCTTGTTTTTTTTTTTGCTTTTTTTCGACCATTCCAATAATAAGAGTAACAATACCTTTAAAGATAGATTCAATGTCGGAATTAATAGGATGCAGTGAATGTCTGCATCTAGTGAGCATAATAGAATATGGAATAAATAATTATAAATCAGTGTAGGAAACAAGTTAGTGAAAAGTCAATAATAAGGATGATTAAATTTTAGATTTTAGGAAAGTTGATGAAAGTGTCGTCTTAGAATTCTAATGAAAAAAGTATTTTCTTTGATTAATGTATGTGGGATTTTATTTAGTGTCTAGGGAATGGTATTAATGATTACTACAAACATGTTTATTTCGTGATTTTTTGATGGTTCAATTTTTATGGTATTTTAAAAATCCCTTGGGAGAAAAATAAGGCAAAATGAGGGTCTAGGACTTGAGTGACCTTAGTTTTACCTTATTGATGTGGCCCCGTTCATTCCTGAGATGATAGCTCCTCAAGTTTCCTGCTGCTGGCTGCTGCAACAGGCCACCAAAGCCGACAGAAGCTATCCTGGGACTTCATGTGAATCTGTAACTTATGTAACAAACAGGAATAGAGAAGATTATGATTTTTCTGTATTTTTGAAGGAATTAAAGTCAAACTTCTTAGATTTCCTTCTAGCTGGTAAAAACAAGGGAACCATTTTTTGTTAAGATTTATAAACTGAAGAATTTCCTATCAATGCAGAATTCTAATTTTGACCAGTTGACACCTAAGCTTTTGAAAAATTTTTCACACATTGACTGGATTCCATTGTTTTTAAATATCCTGATCTTATATCTGGAACTCTGTCTGTACATTTTTTCTGTTTCAATTATAACTAATTCTGGCCTTATTTGGGAGAAATTGAAGAAATGGCTTTTAAGTAACTTTTGCTGTTTATTTGGTGTTTGTCTTGTGCTCAGGCAGAAAAAAACGGATGCCTGCTTTGCTCCCATGAGAAAACAACCTGATTATTTTATTATTATCATTATTTTTGCTTTCTTTCTTCCTGGAACCATTCCCTCAGTCCCACTCCACACATTTCACTCCAAACCTCACTGCCATCATGATACCTATTATGTAAAGAACACTCGTGATTAAAATTTCCCAGCATCATCTGAATTCTTTTTTGCATTAAATGACAGGTATAGCTCACCAAACACCACCTATAATACAATCAGTGGAAGAGGAAACAATTTTTACTCCATCAATAGATTATTCAATATGATGAATGATGATCTTCTATTTGATCCGTATCTTAACATATTTCTGGGCTCATTACTGATGAAAAGGAATCATCCTAACAGTATTGATACTAGTGTTGGTATAATGATTAATTTTGTGTCCACCTCACTGGGCTATGGAACACCCAGATATGTGGTGAAACATCATTCTCGGTGTTTCTGTGAGGGTGTTTTCAAATGGGATTGACATTTGAATTGGTTGACTGAGTAAAGCAGATTGCTCACCCTAATGTGAGTGGGCCTTATTCAAGCAGTCAAAGGCCTGAAAAAGGCAGACTGTCTATGAGTAAGAGGGAACTCCTTTTGTCTGACTGCCTTTGAATTTGGTCATCAGGTTTTTTTCTGCCTTGGACTCAAACAGAAACATTGGCTCTTCCTTGGTCTCAAGTCTGCTGGCGCTGAGACTGGAATTATATCATCTGCTCTTTGGGTCTCCAGCTCATCAACTCACCCTGCAGAGAGCTTGGGACTTGCCCACAATTATGGAGGGGGGCTAATTCCTTATATTAAATCTCTTTTTGGTTTTGTTTCTCTGGAGACTTCTTGACTAATTTAAGTGACTTAGTTTCAGATATACATTTCTGGCAAACAAGAATGACTTTTATTTCTAACACCATAGCCTTCCCCTGCAGGCTCATGCATGTTCATATACAAACCTCAAGTATGTGTATAAGTTTGATGCTTAGAGTCAAGAATGAATAACTCTGTGGTCCATTAGTTTTGCTTAAAAAACTTTTATGAGGCCAAGTGCAGTGGCTCACGCCTGTAATACCAGCATTTTGGGAGGCCGAGGCAGACGAATCACCTGAGGTCTGGAGTTCAAGACCAGTCTAGCCAATACGGTGAAACCCTGTCTCTATTAAAAATACAAAAAATAAAAAATAAAAATAAATAAAATTAACCAGGCGTGGTGGCAGGTGCCTGTAATCCCAGCTACTCAGGAGGCTGAGGCAGGAGAATCTCTTGAACCTGGGAGACAGAGGTTCCAGTGAGCCAAGATCGTGTCACTGCACTCCACCCTGGGCAACACAGCAAGACTCTGACTCAAAAAACAGAAACAAAAACAAAAACAAACAAACAAACAAACAAAAAACTTTGGTGAGTTATCACCCATATTGGTAATGTGAATAATCTACACTACTACTCGATAACATCCAAGAGAAAGCTGAAATGGGATAATGTGCAAAAGATGCTTTGGTATTGTTTATTCTCATCAATATTACCTATAGTGCTTATATCTTAGGTGGCATGAATCGAAATGGAAGCAAAGATACTGTTGGAGGTTTCCATCAATATTTTTAAAATGTAGCTGCTCATTTGTAATGCATTGGTCATGTTGATAGAGAATATTTAGAGTATGTCAAAGTGCTAACCAGTTTATTTGCCATTCTGGTTATGTATGTTTTCTTCAACAGAGGTGAGGGACAAATATCTCTGACTAAAAACAGGGAAAACAATAATTATAGTTGACACCTGCACGGTTCCCCTTATCCCATACCATTAGGAGAATATATGAGTGTTTAACTGAGGTAAAACAGAAGTGGAAATACGTTTAGAAACGTGCATCACCACTATTACACAATAGCTCTAATTGCTCATAGAGTTTGATGTGTTTCTTATTGCAAAAGGTCTGAGGGCATCGTTTGTTTTGTCTGTTCTTTATGGGTCAGGAAATAGTGAGAAAGGAATTGAAAAAGTTTGGCTTCTCAGAGCTCACCCTGAAGAGACTATCTCTAGAATGTGAGGTCATTTCTTATCTGAAGGGTTGGTTTATTTCCACATCCATGAAATGTCATTTTCTCTGCAGACACTGCCAATTTAAATTTATTTTGTGTGTGATGTAGACAGATGTCTGCTAGGAGCTGGGCTGAGGCCATTAACACTTCACAAGGGAGGTGGTTCTAGTACCTAAGCGGTAGTTAGCAGCTCTGACTTGTGGTGCTAGTTTTACCAGTGACTGGGCCTTTCAGAATTTGACTAGTATTTAGTACAGAGGCTTATTTCTTAGAAACTTTTTCTATCATGAGCAAGAAAGAAAAACTAAGACGTGTTCTTCAGTTGACTTGTCTTAAAGGTAGCTAAATTAATTATTAGAGAATAAAGCTACCTCTCTCCCAAGAGAGGGACAATAAACTATATTGTCCATTATTAAAGCATTTTCTCTATTCTGTAGTCCATAAATTTTTTTATGGAATTAGTCTTGTGGAGTATTTCTAAATGGCTTAATTCTCGTTTTTCACCACTGCTTAAGGCATACAAATATTTAAAATCTTAATGAACTGCACATTTTATATATTGTTACAACTGCAAAGATTTATCATTTCTGTGGAATTTAATTGAAAAAGCTTGTTTCTTTTTTTCTTTCTTTTTTTCTTTTTTAAGACAGGGTCTCACTCTGTTGCCAAGGCTGGAGTGCAGTGGCACGACCACAGCTCACTGCAACCTCTGCCTCCTGGGCTAAAGTGATCCTCCCACCTCAGCCTCCCGAGTATCTGGGACTACAGGTGCATGCCACCATACCCGGCTAATTTTTGTATTTATTGTAGAGTTGAGGTTTCACCATGTTGTCCAGGCTGGTCTCAAACTCCTGAGCTCAAATGATCCTCCCACCTCGGCCTCCCAAAGTGCTGGGATTAAGGCGTGAGCCACCACGCCTGGCCAAAAAAGCCTATTTCTTTCACACAAGAATTCTGGCTCCTTCTTTCTTTCCAGGGCTTTCAGGCAAGGCTCATTCCTGCAAGCAGTCTTCCAGCTTTTCTGCATATGTGAGTCTTAGAGGAAAATCTGCTCAGCTAAGCTCCTAGGCTAATAAGCACCTCTTTTCTTCTAATTCTTGAGAGCTTTTGTCTATGGCTGTTGTCAGGACTGCTTTACTTCCTGTTTTCTGGAAACATACACCAAACTGTGGCAGCTGAATGACCAAAGCTATCAGCCAGACTCACTCTATCTGAGCCATCTTTTTCTGGGGTTGTCGGGGAGGGTGGGAGGGCATCTGGTCTCCACTTCCTGTTTTCTGTGTCCTATCTAGACCCATTTCTAATAGATCCTCCAACTTCCATTCTGTTCATTCTGTCTTCTAAGCATCATTCCTCTGAACATTTAACCTGGTACCCATATATCACTATCCAAGTTTAATTTAAGACAACGGTGGCTAACAAATCAATAGCACCTACTTGTCCTGAGATAATTACTGAGCAGTACCAGTGGACTGGTTTCTAAGATATTCTACAATATAAATACAAGGCACAAGGTTTGCTGGTGAGATGTCAGATTTCATTTTGGAATAAGAGTTTCGGATTCCAAGCATGGTATAAAATAGAATATTTTATGTTAGGACATTAATCCAAAGTACCAACTAAATTCAAACTTCTAAAAGTATTAACAAGTAGGAACTAATAAGGTTGACATGGATAGGCTCTTGAGACTAAAGAAGTTATGGGATTATTTTAAATTAAAAAATGGAAATAAAAACACTTTGAAATAAAAGCCAGGGTTTATACCATCAGAGCAAAAACTAGGTAGCCATATAAATAAAACAAATCCAAGCTAAATGTTCAGCAAGACCAAAAGAAGCTTCCATTCCCCGCCCACTTAAATAAAAACACTAACCACACCCACACAGGCTATTTAGGTATGACTCCTCTGAGAAAGAGCTTCTTGCGTTTTCTCAGGGAGGAGTCAAGCCCCCAAACCTCATATTTTGTTTTCGTATGTCCTCTCCTACTATTTGAATAAGCTTTCAAAAATAACACATTGTCATTTCATTCATATAAGTCATATAAAACCTGAGATGTTAGCTTACTGAGGACAGAAAATTTGTGTATTTAATATTTTTAAGCTGTAAGTCCTATATGCTAGATTAGTGTTTACTTTTAATCATTTAAAAAATATTTTTAACTCGAGCCAAATATATTAGGTTGATGAAAAAGTAATTGTGTTTTTTGCCATTAAAAGTAAAGACAAAGACCGCAATTACTTTTACACCAATGCAATACATTTGTCAGACTGCTAAGGGAAGGACAGCTTGCATTACAGACTTCTTTTTGTATCATAAAAACAAAATATAAGCAGTGCTTCACATCTGAATGTGGGAAGTTAAAGATTATTTTATTTCATCATTTTGTTTTTGCTTTTCTGTATTTTCAAAATTTCTTCCATAGCGTATATATATTTTCTATCAGACATAAAATAAAATAGTGTTTACTTTTCAAATGTGGTAATTTCATCAATAAAGATAAAACACTGAAGCCAGTGTTTTGACTCCATTAACATAGACTTCTTTTTAAAAATGTGCAGTAGGTGAGCTCTTATTTTGACATTCATTCAAGCCCTTCCCGATTAGCCCATAGTTCATTTCACTTCAAACATTTCTTCTTTGTGTTTGCAGTTGAAATATTCTCTTAACAGCTCAGAAGGCTGCAGAAAATGCTATGCTTCATCAGGCAAAATGGATTAAAAAGGGAGTGTGCTCAACGCTGGCAGTGAAGGATGTCATTGTCTGACAAACTACACAGCAATTTGAGATTCAGCAGTTTCCTTTCCATTTAAGAAAGCTGCATTGTAAACAAGAAGCTAAATCATGAAGAGATGCAAGATTTGTCTAGGAAATTAAACGTATGTTAGAGACACTGACCAAGACTCGTTTTTGTTGGTGTAAAGGACTCTACTGTGAGATGGGCTGTTATTCAAAAGGTTCCACTTTCGAGTTGTTTTTCTCTGGGTACTACTGCCTCCCCAGCCTCTACAGACTCTAACCCTGCCAGGCAGATTGTTTATGGTGTTGGTCTTCGGGAGTGTGGTGCCTGGGCCTGTTTGTCAGTACCGATTCTTATTGCCCTCTATTTTTCTTCAGGTCTGACAGAATACTTCAGCAGCAGACTAGCCAAGAGCTGGTGCAGGACCACAAAGCTCAGGACACTAACTCCTTTCTCCATTGGGACGGCCTTCTCAGGAGGTTATTCTGATCACCCCTAGTTCCAGTTCTTTTCTATCATTGGGTCAGTTTCTGATGTGTTCAGATTCTGATAAATGTCCCAAGTGCAGCACACACAAAAAGACCAGGGGCTGCCAAGCATTCTAAATGTGCAGGTCTTTGAACCTTGGGGAGCATTTCAATATCCAAATTATTTCTTATTTGATCTTCACAAAACTTTCCCTGTGAGACGAATGTGATCCCCAGGTTACAGAGACAGCCAGATAAAGCACTGAACCCACATCTTCGGACTCCATTTTAGTGAAAACGGAGTTCTTTTTTTGTTTTGTTTTGCTTCTTTGTTTTCCAGGGTGACCTTAGGAAGTCACATTCCTCAAAGGCCAAAACAAACAGACAAAAAGCAAACCTACACAGAAAACAAATGCAGGAAGGAAAAGAGGAAAAAGGCCCTTTCTGATAAATGGCAAATTTAAAGTGCTGATAATAGGAAGATACATTTAAATTGAAAATACATTTGCCATAGCTTCTAGAAGCAATCTTGGAAAGCTTTCCTGTACCCTGAAAACACCTACTTTGCATGACCAATCTCCTCCATGTGGGGAGAGTACGCAGAAGTCATTTGCCAAGGAAGCTGCTGCACCTCACCACTGTGGAGGAAGCATGACCTTTACTATTTCTGCCGTATGATTGGGTGACTACAGTACTGCTCCTAGCATGAAAGCTGGCTCTGTTTTATGGGATTCCCACTGTCCTGCCCTACTTGGGCCGGCGTACAGTGTTAAAGATAACAAATGACCCCATCTGCTGTTTCTGACCATGCTGTATGTGTCAAGTTTAAGTAAGGAAGTCTTACCTCGTGTCCTGTCTGGGCAAGCACAATGACCCGTCTGTAGTACGCGTACCTCCCTGAGATCAAAGACCAAGTCCAGTTTCCAATTTGCTAGACTCCATTGGAAGGTTATTTATCTCAATCCATGAGTTTTAACACTTCGGGCTTTTCAAATGAATTCAAGTTAGAAGGTATTTTAGAAGTCAAATCAGTCTAAGAGCTTATCGGCTAAGGACAGTATGAAAATCAGGAAACCTTTGAGTGGTTTTCAAAATGAATTTCTTACAGTCTCACACTTAGAGACAACTAAAATATAAATTATTTATATGTAAATTGTTCATTCCCCTAGCAGTACCAGTGTTTTCAAGGGAACTGTTGTGAAGACACTAGAGCTTTCAGGGTTCTGGTTTACATCCCTGTAAAATCTGTAGAGCATTGAAAACCTGTTATTTGTAAAACACTCCACAGTTGATTCTGATAATCAAGTCCTCTTTTCAAGAAAGTCTGTTGATTTCTATTTAGAGAAAAAGGAGAAATTAAAAATAAAGCCAACAAACAGCCAGGACCGTCTTAGGGGATTTAACTCTTTATCTCTTTCCCCTGTTGTATGGTCTGCACAGCAGTTAATACTTTCTGAAATCACCTTGCTTTTTACTTGTTCCTTCCCACCCCCTCACCCATTGTATACACTCCATGAAAGCAGAAACATTGTCTCTTTTACTTTGCGCTAAAGTTTGTTGAATGAAAAAAAAAAAAAGACTTCAGAAAGCACCTCTATCCAGCATAGCTTTCATACCTTAAAAGACATAAATCCCTGTACATTTAAGTGATTTACAAATTTTCCAAAACCACAATAAATGAATGAATCAGGATAAGAACCTGGGTCTCTGTGCAGCTCAAGTGTTTGTTATTGTGTGCTAGTTAGTTTCAGGTGGTCACCTGCTCAAGTCCATTTGTCTAGATAGTATTAATTGATTGCCAATAAGTCAGGCACCTCATTAGGTGTTGTGATAAATACAAAAAGTACAATAACACTCTTCTTGCCTCAAAGAATTTATTATCTAGTAAGTACAATAAAACCTGTCCACTGAAACTACTCCCCCAAATCATTCCTCCTCCTACGTGAATAAAATCACTGAATCTTTGGCATGTTCACCAAAGACACAGCAATTAGGCACTCATATTTTGGCAAAGAGTCAAGTGTATTGTACAGTCTATAAAAATCCACTACCAAATTAATTCACCTGTGTGCCCTTTACCCAAGATATTGGTACATGTCACTATGGGAACATGGTTAGAGAGCTCTTTTGATGGAATTGCTGGATGTGACTTCTTCTAGGTATCTACACTTGACCATCTTTTGTCACAGAATTTGCTAATCCCCAAATAGCCACCTTGAGGAGGGGAAAAGAGGGGAACTAGTGCAAACAATAAATTAAGTTTTTATTTCTAAGTGCTTACCCAAGGCCTGAATCTTTCTAATGACTTCAGGAATATACTTGTTAATACAGGGCAGGCAAAAATTTCATGTTGTCAGCAAAACTTTGATGGTATCAAAATAAATATGAGTCATGTAATTTCAGCTTTTGAAGGTGGGGTCTGAGAAACTAGAAAAGATTTCCTGACTGGCAGATAGTGAGACAGCAACAGCCCCCTGGGAATGGAGAATCCCGCATCTCCACCTCCATCCAGTGCAATTGCAGAGACCACCGCCAGGGTGCCTAAGGCTGGTGCATTGAAACAAAGGAGATTCTTTTTCCCTGTCAATATTCTGAAGCTGCATGAAACAAACACCTCTTTTGTGACTCCTGCAGTCTCAGACAGATCAAAGCTTTCAAAAGGAGGTGTTGCTGGACAGTTTCATTGCTCAAGGCTAATGATTCACCTAAGAATCCACCCAGGAAAGTTGCTAAGCTGGTTTGCTGGCTGTTTGGTGAAGACTTTTAAAGAGATATTGCCACATTTGAAGACAGAATTTTACTTTACATAAAAATTATACATACAGAGGACGGCGAAAAGACAATTTATATTCTGATAAAGTAAATGGGATTTCTTTTAATTTTCATCCTTAAAAACTATATTTAAAAATGAACTGAAGAACATGATATAACTTTTCCTCAAACATCCCATTCAAAAGGTAGATTTAAAGTTTCTCTGTATGTGGTGCTATTAAACTCTGAATAAATGCAGATAAGTTGGAAATATGCCATTTGTTACTGTGGGAAAATCATGACAAAATATTACTCAATAAAGCCCTGTTTGGAGACTGTACACACAGGTGTGGGCACATGCACACCATCAACAACCTTCCTTATACTGTAAAAACCAAAGCATATGCATGCTTGATTTCTTAAGTATTATTCTTACTTGAATATAATTTGCTTAGACAAAAAAAGAGCTAAGAAGTAAATCCTTTTACAACCATCATTTCACATGGTTTTCTGGGAACTTTCATTTGGCAGGAATTCTGTGCCTTCATGTATCTTTTACCTAAATCTTAAAAGGAGAGGTGTAATTGAAAAAATACACCCAGCTATTCGGGAGGCTGAGGTGGGAAGATCACTTGAGCTCGAGGATTTGAGGCTGCAGTGAGCTAGGATCATGCCACTGCACTCCAGCCTGAGCAACATAGTAAGACCATGTCTTTTACAAATAAAAATAAGTAAAGAAAACAGAAAACAAGTAAATTAAAATTTTGACATGATTTTTAAAGGCTCTTGGCTTAGCCCCTCTCCAACAGGATTGGATTGGATGCTTACTTTACTTGTTTCCACAGCTTGTGGTGCCTTTATCTGTAACAAGGGCCACAGCATGGTGCCTGAAGCAGGAAGTGATCCAGCCAATGGTTTGTTGCATGGATTGCTAACTACCTCTAAAGCTATTTTCTTTATAGCATGTGTTTTATGAATATCCATACTACCAAATAATAGCTGTAAAGCCTATGGTAGAGTGAAGTAGAATAATCTGGGTGATCTAATAATGACGTCAACACTTGACACTAAAACACTACCATTTGAGCCAAGTGTCATGGCTCTTGTCTGTAATTCCAGCACTTTGGGAGGCTGAGGTGAGCGGATCGCTTGAGTTCAGTTTAAGACCAGCCTGGGCAATGGTGAGACCCTGTCCCTACAAAAAATAAAAAAATTAGCCAAGCATGGTGGGGCACACCTATTGTCCTAGCTACTCAGGAGGCTGAGGCAGGAGGATGACTTGAGCCCAGGAGGTCTAGGCTGCAGTGAGCCATGATGGCACCACTGCATTACAGCTGGGGCGATGGAGTGAGATCCTGTCTCAAAACAACAACCACAACCAAAAAAACAAACACAAAACCCCTAAGCACTACCAATTTGAGATTGAGGTGTGCAAGCAAATTCCTTCTTTAGTATGTTTAAATATTGTCGTAGACTCAAGTTAAAAGATAAATGGCATGTATTTGTAATCCAGAGTGTCCAGGCACTATACTTTGCATAAATATGGTCATATTTAATTGTTGCAACAAACCTCCGAGGTGTCATTCCTACCATTCTACAGAGATGAAGAAACTGAGACTTAGAGAAACCTCCTAGTTAGTAAATGGGAGAAAAGACGGGATTCAAATTTGAGTCTGTCTGACTTTAAAGGCAGTGCACTTTACATATAGCTAGTAGCATTTTTAGTTATTCATATCTTAGTGTGAATTATTTCATTCACACCTTAGTATGAATTATTTTATTGAGACCTATTTTCTGCTGGATACAGATGCTCCTCAGTTTGCAGTGGGGTTATGTTCCAATAAACCCATCCTAAGTTGAAAATGCATTGACTATAACTGGCCTGCTGAACATCATATCTTAACCTCATCTACCTTAAACATGCTCAGAACACTTAATTGGCCTACAGTTGGGCAAAAATCACCTAACACAAAGCCTATTTTATAATAGAGTGTTGAAAATCTTATGTGATTAATGAATATTGTACTGAAAGTGAAAAACAAAATTTTTGTATGGATACTTGAAGTACAGTTTCTACAGAATGCATATTGCTTTCTGTCATCTTAACACTGAAAAAACCTAAGTCAAAACATTCTAAGTCAGAGACTGTATGATGTATCAATCTCCCTGAGAAAAGGGAGTTTTGAAGAAAAGAAAAAAGAGTGGACAATTTTAAAGAAGAAGGTAAGAGTAGAAATCTGGGCCACCATAATGATGCTTTGCAAACACAGCATGAGGTTTCAAGGTGCTGAATGCATTTATGTTATGTTGAAGTTAAGCGGGGCATCTTGTGAGAAAGAAAGAAAACACGAGGGAAAAAAGGATGGTAAAGGCTTTTTCTTAGAATTTGGATATATTTGGTTTTAGTAATCACTGGTCATTAGAGAAATGCAAATCAAAACCACGATGAGATACCATCTCATGCCAGTCAGAATGGCGATTATTAAAAAGTCAGGAAAAAAACAGATGCTGGCAAGGCTGTGGAGAAATAGGAATGCTTCTACACTGTTGGTGGGAGTGTAAATTAGTTTAACCATTGTGGAAGACAGTGTGGCGATTCATCAAGCATCTAGAACTAGAAATACCATTTGACCCAGCAATCCCATTACTGGGTATGTACCCAAAGGATTGTGAATCATTCTACTATAAAGACACATGTACACGTGTGTTTACTGCGGCACTATTTACAATAGCAAAGACTCGGAACCAGCCCAAATGCCCATCAATGACAGACTGGATAAAGAAACTGTGGCACATATACACCATGGAATGCTATGTAGCCATAAAAAAGAATGAGTTCATGTCCTTTGCAGGGACATGGATGAAGCTGGAAACCATCATTCTCAGCAAACTAACACAGGAACAGAAAACCAAACACCACATGTTGTCACTCGTAAGTGGGAGCTGAACAATGAGAACACATGGACATAGGGAGGGGAACATCGCACACTGGGGCCTACTGGGGGGCCTGTTGGATTGGGGGTTGAGGGGCGGGAGAGCATTAAGACAAATACTTAATGCATGCGGGACTTAAAACCTAGATGACGGGTTAATAGGTGCAGCAAACCACCATGGCACATGTGTACCTATGTAACAAACCTGCATGTTCTGCACATGTATCCCAGAACTTAAAGTAAAATAAAAATAAAAATAATGTAAAATGGAGCAGTACACCTTTAAGTTATGAAGTGATACTGAATGCATCCTTATTTGGGAAATTATTTCTAGTTTATATTGGTTAACTTAAGCAACTATATCTTTGCTTATTTAAAATTCATTTTATCTGATTTTTCATGTTTCCATGAGAATATAAATGATGATTAAGAAGAGTATGAATGGAAAAAATGTCAAGCTTGGGACAGAGGACTAGAATTTTCTCTACAAAGACAAATACAGCCCCACTTCTTCAACACCAGTAACTTGGGTTCTGGGAATGAGAAAGGCAGGCTCACCTACTCTTTCAGCAGGCTCATGGGGTATAACATAATGCTTTGGTTCCTTTCATGCTCATCTCTTTATGAAAAAGCAGTTGTAAATGCCTACCATTACCCAGTAAGTGCTTTGCTTCTGAAGAACAATTCATAATATAGTAACTAAATATAGATGCCTAATGTTAACAAATTCCACTCCTTTCCTATGACTATTAGTCTGTCTTTCGCTAAGGATTCCAAAGTGTTGCATAGGTCTCAATAATGGACGTCCTTGAAGGCAGCCTATCAATGGTTAAGAACACCAACTCTGGAAAGAGAGCCTGCCTGGGTTCAAATAAGCCTCTACCACTTACTGGTTGTATGACTTCAAGAAAGCTACTCAGTGTAGCCAAGTCTCAAGTACCTCATCTGAAATGTGAAGTAATAATTTTATCTAACTCATAAGATTGTTGTGAAGACCAAAGTCCTCTTTGGTCCTCCTTGAGCCTGGCTGGGCACGATGGCTCACACCTATAATCCCAGCACTTTGTAAGGCTGAGGCAGGAGGATCACTTGAGCCCAGGAGTTTGTGACCAGCCTGGACAACATAGCGAGACCTCATCTCTAAAAAAATTTTTTTTTTTTTGAGATGGAGTCTCACCCTGTCGCCCAGGCTGGAGTGCAGTGGCACGATCTTGGCTCACTGCAACTTCCACCTCCCGGGTTCAAGCTATTCTCCTGTCTCAGCCTCCCGAGTAGCTGGGATTACAGGTGTGCACCTCCACACCCAGCTAATTTTTGTATTTTTAGTAGGGACGGGGTTTCACCATGTTGGCTACGCTGGTCTCGAACTCCTGAGCTCATGATCCACCCGCCTCGGGCTCCCAAAGTGCTGGAATTACAGGCGTAAGCCACTGCACCCAGCCCCCAAAAATTCTTTTTTAAAATGAGCCGAGTGTGATGGCTTGCACCTATAGTCCCAGCTTCTTGGGAGGCTGAAGCGGGAAGATCACTTGAACCCAAGAGGTTGAGGCTGCAGCAACTGGTGATGGGGCTACTGCACTCCAGTCTGAGCAACAGAGTGAGACCCCTGTCTCAAAATAAAATAAAATAAAATAAAATAAAATAAAATAAAATAAAATAAAATAAAATAAAATAAAATATAAAATAAAATAAAATAAAATAAAATAAAATAAGATGATCTATATAGTATGCTTAGTGTAGTGCCCAGCATGTAGCAAGTGCTCAGTTAAATTTTTTTTCCCAAGAAATGAATTTTGAGGTTCCAACTAATCTTTATTTCACAGTCTGTTTAATTCTTCTAGGTTAGTCTTTCTATATTCCTACTTCTCCTAAAATCCAGAGTTTGACGTGAAACATATACAAACTCCTAACACAAATATGGTGGCAAACATGAAGAGTTAATTTTGGAAGTAATTAGGAAGTTGATGAAATTGGAATCACTTTTCAACCTTCTTCTGTGGAAGGCTTCTTCCACACATAGTAACTGGTAGTTTACTTGGTTGCTCTACGGTTCTTCAGAAACAGAGAGAAAATAGAACAAACTTTGTCTAAACAGTTAAGCTTAAATATACCCATCCCAAGTGGATGCTGATTGGTAAGTTCTTGTTTTTCTTTTTTCTTTTTTTTTTTTTTTCCACTCCAGCCACTGAGGCTGGAGTGCAGTGGCATGATCTGGGCTCACTGCAACCTCTGCCTTCCAGTTCAAGCGATTCTCTTACTTCAGCCTCCCTAGTAACTGGGATTACAGGTGCCCACCAACCATGCCTGGCTAATTTTTGTATTTTTATTAGAGCCAGGGTTTCACCATGTTGGCCAGGCTGGTCTCAAACTCCTGACTTCAGGTGATCTGCTGCCTCGGCCTCTCAAAGAGCTGGGATTACAGGTGTGAGCTACTGCGCCCAGTCTAATTGGGAAATTCTAATGAAAGGTAAATTACACTCCAGGGAATTAGTGCCCAGAGATAATTGCAGTTGACCTTAATATAGGCTCCCAATAGTAAAACAAATATGAATTTTTGAACACATGGAAAATACAAAAATATCTCTCACATATTTCTTCATCTAAGTATGCCAGACAGGTCCCTGGCCTGGAGTGAAAAGACTCAAAAAGAAGAGGGAGCCATGGGAACATCCTGGCGCTCAGCTGAAGATTTTGTAATCTTCATTCAAATCTGTTAGGCATGCTTCCCAATCCTTGGAAACACTAAATGGGCCGGATGCTCTACCTACCTATCCCATTTAAATGTGATATTTATAGGTCTTGAACAACAGTTAAAATGTTTCAGTAGAATAATTTTGTCTTACCATGCCAGGTATATTGTTTCAAGTGCCGCTGCTAGTTTAATTTAATGCTTCATTTATTTTTGCTGTCTCTCTAATTGTCAAGTATGCTATTCATGCTGTTTCATTGCTTAGGCACCCAAGTAATGATGATTTTCCTGCCATGTACGCCAACACATCACTATTTCCACCACTGGAAGTAAGAAGGTGGTGAACACAAAAGTCATTACTAGATGACATCGGTGCACAACATTATGGCAGATTTTACATCCTAAATCAAGTTTATTTACGCCAGCACTATATTAGTTTATGTTCTCTCACCACAGATTGGTAAACAAAAATGAAAAAATGTTGACTGGTATTTTCAAGGGAGTAGGGTAGAGTGTGTATGTGTAATGTATGTGTGTCTGAATAGATATTTCATGCTCCTTAAAAATAATGTGACTATTCTGAGTTAAATCATTATCAAATATTATCACATTCTATTTTTCTTACAAACAAAGGTATATTAGATGGCAAAGTAGTTTTTTATCATTCATCAACTATTGAATACTCTTTTCAGGAAAAAACATACATAATTTTAGCTATTCATTAACTCCCTCCCCAAGAGTTCTCTTGCTAAAGATGGTTGAAGTGCTATAACTACAAAACGACTTCAGGATATAGAATAATATGGAGGAACAAAAAGACTGATCATTCAAAATGATTTTTTAAAATCCTGAGGAACACACAAACCAACAAATAATGAACTTCATAGACACTGAAAAAGATGTGATCAAAATGAGGTTTTCTGAGGTAAGCACAGTGGGAAACACTGGAGGTGGAACAAATTATTAGGTCATTAAACTTCTTTCAGAGAAGGGCTATTCCTTTTTTTATTTTGATGACAGCGAGATGAAGCACATATTTTTGCAGTAGTTTCAGAAGTTTGATAGACACAAGTGTTTGAGTGCAGTTCTCAAATGTATTCACTATCAATAACACATGATGCTGAAATTAATAAAGGACAGATAGAAGTGCCCAATGTAAATTCTAAGGTATGTTAATTAGTATAAGAAAATATTTTTAAAAAGGAACAGATACTTGTACTTTGTTCTGTCATGTAGATATTTTCATAGTTTGACCAATCTACTTAAATCATCTGGATTTACCTAATGAGTTTGCTCACACTTATGTTCCTAACAATGTAGGCTCCCTGAAGCAGGGATTAAAGTGTCTGGTACACATTTTAGGCCCTTAATAATGTTGAATGTGCTAGTAAATGGATGAGTTACCAATTGCACAAGTAAAAACAGTTATGCTTGTGGAAGCAATGAACAAATAAAGAGCAAACTAGAATTACGAATGCTGCATATTATATTTTCATTGTGTTATTGACCACAATTTAGTTCATCTAGAAACAATTTTAAAATCAAGCAGAGATTTTAGCTTTCATTCATATTCTTCTTGTATTGCTATTGAGAATATTTATTTTCTCCCTAATAATCATTCCTAATTTTTTTTAACAAATTACCTTCTTTAAAGTATATTGAGATAGAAGTGTTCATTCTGGATATTTTAAAACAAGAGGTGCTTAGTAAGGACCAAGAAAATGACAAAAATTCTTTTGCAAATATTTATGTGAACTAGAAGATACTCATACTTAGGGAATTTAATGCCTAAACTTTTGTCCAAAGCTTTCTTTTAAATTGTTTTAATGACTGTTGAATATTTGGTAATAAGATGAAAATACTGAAAACCAAAAAAGTGTTAGTTCTAACCCAATTTACCTTTCTATCTATAATAAGCCCATATTTACAAATTGTACTGTATGACTTTGGTCAAAAGCAACTCATCCTTCCTTTAAAAAATCCATATGGAACTGGAGAGCAATTTAAAACAAAGCCAAATGAGATTTGTCATGTTGATAGTCAGTCCCACTGGCTCAGTCCCTGCTCTCTTGTTCACCTTTTCCTTCACTTCTGGGACTGTCATTCAAGCTTGTGGTGTCAACTTTCACTTCTGTGCCAAAGATTCACAAAAACATTTTCTATCATGCCCTCTTATCTTGCTACTATTCTTGTGTTTGCACCTTTCTGTTGGTGGTGATATTGTCACCCCAGCACACTCTGTCCCAATACAAGGTCAACCACACTCAGAAGAGAAAACTGCACTCGCACCTCCTAACTCCTCTGGTCACAGACAGCACCTAGCACGTTCAGGTGGGCTGGCCGCAGACAGCCATCTCAGTGACTTCACAGCTCTTCCAGCTGTGCATGCATGAAACTTGAAATCATCTTGATCTCTTCTTTCTTCTCTGCTGTGTTTCCAAGCCTTGCCAAGTGCTCCCCTTATGTGAAGCTTTTCCTCTTTATTCCCATGCCAAATTCCAACCTCCAATCTCCATGACTTCCCTCTGTTATTTCACAGGTTACTTATTACCACAGTCCTTGTCCAATCTGGCCCATGCTGGAAAATGTTGTTGGACTTGCCCTGAAAAAAATCTGCTCATTATGTCATTTTTTTTGCCATATTCAGAATAAGCAGTAAGTATAACCTACATGGGGCACAAAGTAGCCCTGAAAAATATAGCAGTGTTTTCTGGTAATTGCAGTCTCAAGTTTATATTCTCTCTGAAAGTAGATAGAATATTATTAAGGGGAAGATTATTAAGGAGAAAAAAGATGTTCTCATAGCAATACATGAAGAATATGAATAAGTGCTGAAATCTCTGCTTGATTTTAAAATTGTTTCTAGATGAACTAAATCATGGCCAATAACAAAATGAAAATAAAACATGCAGCATTTGTAATTCTAGTTTGCTGTTTACTTGTTCGTTGCTTCCACAAATTAAACTGCTTTTATTGGTGTAATCCATAACTCATTCATTTACTTGGTGTGTGTGTGTGTGTGCGTGTGTGTGTGTGTGTGTGTGTGTGACAGAGTCTTACTATGTTACCCATGATGGAGTGCAGTGGCGTAATCACAGCTCACTGCAACCTTGAACTCTCAGGCTCAGATGATCTTCGCATTCAGCGGGGACTACAGGCATGCACCACCACACCTGGCTAATTTTTTTTTTTGGTACTTTTTGTAGACATGAGGTTTTGCCATGTTGCCCAGGCTGGTTTGGAACTCCTGGGCTCAAATGATCCACCTGTCTCAGCTTCCCAAAGTGCTGGGATTATAGGCGTGAGCCACTGGGTGCAGGGTCTGTACACACTGACTTCCATTAAGACAACTCTTCCTGTCAGAGACCCAGGCCTGACTGCTCTCTACAAGGACAGTGACAGAGCATCTACACAGGAAGGGCTAGAATAGCAATCTGATAGGGAAACAGACCTAGGGGATGTGGATTACAGCAAGGATATTACTTCCACTTAAAAGCATATATATTTTGAGGTGGCTTGAAACTACTTTACATGATAAGCAGATGTTTTATTCATGTTGAATTTTTATTAACCTATCTGCTATAAATTCTACCCCTCTCTATGAAAAAAAAAACCTATAAGGCTGCTATCCTCCATCTAGTAGCTAATTTTTATTTGTTTCCCTGGATGTTGCAAATTTTAAGAGTTTTCTTACTGAAGCATTCAGAGTAAGCACAGGGGTGATATAAAAAATATTTAGCAACCCATTTGACACAGGCACTGAGCAATAAGATGGCCATCAGCTGGAGAAGACTGGGTTGGCTGGCTCGTGCATCCTGGCTACACATCATCTGGGGCATATGTGATCCTCGTGCACTGTACACAGGCTCAGGAGACCTCTGCTACCCAACCATCCAGTGCCATGGTGTGTGGGGAGCATCTCTGCTTAGGATACAGATTTCTCAGGTCTGGGACCCAGAAACTCTCGAGTTGTGGCTCAGTGGTGTATTTTAATAAATTCTCCAGATGATTTTGATGCAAGCCAAAGACAGAGACCTAATCTATGTGGATTGTTCCCACTACCCGCTTCCTTGCCCTCATAACCTGGCATAAAAGATAGGGGCTAGAGAGCAGGCAGTTTGCAGACGACCTTTGTTCTCTCTTTTAATCTCCAATGTGTTTTCTTTTGTTCTAGTAGGAATAAAGATTAAATTGGCTAACAGAATATTGTGGAAATAACAGTGAAATAGAAAGACTATGATTGGTGCTAATAATACGGCCTTAACACCCATTGTTAAACACCCAATTATACGTTTTTATTCCATATGGTAATAGTTTAATATACAAGCTTAGGTTCACAGGCTAATATTCTAGGTTGCAGTTTTTAAATTTATTGCATGAATATAATGGAAAAGAATTTTTTTTTAGTTACATTTTTTGACAATTTGATTATTTGCAAGAGAGAATTTTAACATACAGGGATACGGTATATGAAAAGAACAGGTTTCAGTCAGGCTCAATTTTCAGATAGAAATCAAAAATTAAAATAAAAAATATTAGATGAAAATCTTGAAAAGGTATATTGCATTCTCTTAATATAATTTCTCCTTTTGTTAATAATTCAGGATCAACATTATGAATAGTCATTGTTTTATTTATATGCAGTGTGCTTAACTCTCTTTCCTATTTGGCTGTTTCTAATCATCACTGGATTTGAAAGTGATTTAATAAAACACTTAAAAGTGTGAAAACTGAAAGTAAACAGTTTCTGAAGGAAGATATAAAATTCGAAGCATGAATTGCATGAGCTTTAACTTCATTGATCTCATGACAGTGACTTAACAGGTCAGATACCTTTTACTTCATTATTGATCTTTTTGCCAACTCTTGTTAAGTGAAGTTTTTTTGTTTGCTTTGTTTTGTTTTGTTTTGAGACAGAGTCTTGCTCTGTCACCCAGGCTGGAGTGCAGTGGCATGATTTCAGTTCACTGCAACCTCCACCTCCCAGGTTCAAGTGGTGCCTCAGCCTCCCGAGTAGCTGGGACTACAGGCACATACTACCATGTCCGGTTAATTTTTTTGTGTTTTTAGTAGAGATCGGGTTTCGCCATGTTGGCCAGGCTGGTCTCGAACTCCTGACCTCAGGTGATTCGCCCGCCTCTGCCTCCCCAAGTGCTGGGATTATATGCATGAGCCACCATGCCTGGCTGAGATTCTGATATACGAAAGTTCTAAAAAATCGAATCTCTTAAGAGATCAGTAGGCTCAATTCTTTTTAAAAATGTGTTACTTCCCTTGAGTTTTAAAACAACCCTACTCGTAATCTGACATTTCATAAGAACTATAAACTTATGAATCTCTCTGAATTTGACATTCTATCAAGTTGAACTCAACAGAATTAAGGCCACACATGTAATCAGAAAATAAACTATTAAACATATTTTGAAGAAATTTATATTCATTTGGCAATTGAATGTCTCACTTAATCAAAAACTTATTTAACCAACATAGGTTGCGTTTTTCCTTCTCAGAGAGGTAAGACAGAGCCTGTATTATTTCTATGTAGTCACTGCATCATTCTGGCATGTCTTTGGTTGGGTATGACTCACTGAACAGAAAAGACCGTCTTTCACTACTGAAAATGAGACTTGTTTAAACAAAGCATTGTTAATTCTACTTGGTTGAAACAGGAGGCTACCTGGATGATTATCCTGCTATTTTTTCTTTTTTACTACGGACTCATGACTGAGTCATACTTGAGAATTACAGCATGGGGTCATTGTATAACCAAAAATCTAAAAGAAATTAAAAATAAAGCAAAATTGATAACAACTTCACAATGATCAAAAAGGTACATAATATTTCATATTTCATACAATGAATTGTTATTTATTGTGGACTCCACTGTAAGAGTGTCTTAATTCTCACAAGCTTAAAAGCAGTATGGTGTCTTGTAATGTTGGGGAAGTGAATTCACACTTGGAGGTAGCTTTATCTCACAGTCAAACTGTGGATTTCAGTTAAGGAACTTGAGTTAGAATTCTTTTCCACGCCTCTTTGTTATTATCATTTTTTATACATTTCCAAGTTTCATTTTCTCTTTGGCCTATAGAGATACCATAATATTTTTTATCTTATTCCAGGAAATTCTTAAAAGGAGGATTCTTTATGAGCATAAAAGTTCTCATATGTTACTGTCCAAACAGGCAAATAGTTAGACTCTATTGTAAAGAAAACAAAAAAACCTGTAAGACACAACTAAGTCAAAAGGAAACTAGCCACTCACTCTTGACCTGTAATAGATAATTGACACGTGATACCTTTATTAGTATACCTCAAATGCAACATAATCTACCTTGTGGTATTGTTGTAATCACTTATCACAAATAAAATGTTATCCCAGTCCACTTACATGCTAGGAATAATGTTTTGCACACACGAAGTTAGAGACTGCCTGGTTATGGCCATGTGATGAAGTTCTCACCAGTAGAGTATGAGCAGCAGTGATACGTAAAATTTCTGCCACAATTTAAAGGAAAATTGCTGGCCTTGATTTTCCTATTCTTCAAGCTGAACACAAATATGCTCACTAGCCAACTTTGACCATAAAGTTAAAAAGAAAGTCTGAGATGCTGAAAAGAAAAAAAAAAGGAAGAGATCTGGATTCCTGGATGGCTATGTAGAGCAGAGTCACCTTGGAACCCTGAACTGCTCATTTGGGGACTATTAGGTTATATATGAAACAAATCAATGTTTATTTTGAGAAGTGACTATATTTTGGGATCTCTTTATTACTGTAGCTTAGCTTTTTGACATAATGTTGAAGAGACTGGTATTGAAAGTGGGATGCAGATAGACATCACAAAAACAGAAAAGATGTGATTTTGGCTTGAAAATCAAGTAACACACAGAAAGGACAAAATATAGTAGATGGGAACTACGGTTACCTTCAGTCATGTGTTGAAAACATTTGGTAAGAATATGACATGTGATGATTTGCAAGACAAGCACATTTCCCACTGAGCTTGTTCCTCTAGGTGAAGTGGTTAGAAATTTCCAGAAAGATAGTGTGAGAAGATGGCGATACAGTTTGGATGTTGTTCCCTCTAAGTCTCAGGTTGAAATGTAATCCCCAATGTTGAAGGTGGGGTCTGGTAGGGGGTGTTTGGGTTATGGAGGTGGATCCCTCATGGCCATGGCTTGGTACTGTCTTCATGATAGTGAATGAGTTCTCGTGAGGTCTAGTTGTTTAAAATTGTGTGGCACTGCCCCCCCACCAACTCTCACCGCTGCTTCCAATTTGCTTTTCACCATGAGTAAAAGATCCCTGAAGCCTCAGATGCCCAGCACCACACTTCCTATATAGCCTGCAGAACCATAAGCAAATTAAATCTCTTTTCTTTATAAATTACTCAGTTTCAGGTATTTCTTTTTCTCCTTCCTTCCTTCCTCCTTCTTTTTTTTTTTTTTTTTTTTTTTTTGACAGAGTCTCATTCTGTCACCCAGGCTGGAGTGCAGTGGCATGATCTTGGCTCACGCAACCTCCACCTCCCGGGTTCAAGTGATTCTCCTGCCTCAGCTTCCAAGTAGCTGGCACTGCAGACATGCACCACCACACCTGGCTAATTATTGTATTCTTGTAGAGACAGAGTTTCACAATGTTGGCCAGGCTGGTCTTGAATTTCTGACCTAAGTGATCCACCCACCTTGGCCTCCCAAAGTGTTGGGATTACAGGTGTGAGCCACTGCGCCTGGCCAGGCATTTCTTTATAGCAACACAAGAACAGCCTAACACAGATAGTTACAGTATAAAAGTCAGAAAGCAGATACACTTAAAACTAAATTTTAAAAAAATGAGGTATGGTTATTGAAACATGCAATCAATTATAAGGAAAAAAACCCTGCAGTTACTATGTTTTCAATGGATTGCGTTACCAAATTAGCCATCAGCATAATTTGGAAAAGCAAAATTGTGAGGCATGAAGTAGTCTTCTGATATTCATGTAAAAGACACAAAATAAGTGCCCAGAAGGCAAGGTCAGAGGCCACAACGACCACAGGCAAAGGAGTTCCTCTCAGAGAGTAGAACCAGGGACAGCCAGACGGGTCAACCAAGAACCCACTCACCTCCCAGAGCAGACAGATGAATGACTCCCACCCAGCACAGTGATAACTTCTCTAGATCAGTCTCTGTAGTGTGCTTCTCATGCTTTCCTTTTCCAAATTGTGGCTTATATTGCATTTATCCTATTCCTGCTCTGCTACTGTTTATTTGTGGGGTGGGAATTGGAGGGAGGTAACATATTGATCTGGTGGAGAGGACTGTGTTTCAACTAGTGATCCTGAACTTTGAGCTGGATGAAATAACTGAATTAGACTTCAGCTTACCTACTTTGGAAAGGGAACAAGTATGTTCCATTTGTGGAAGGAAATTTACATCTAAACAGTGGGGTGGCTAGAGCCAAATATTGTGTCAGAAACTGCTAACTGTCCACCAAATTCCATTATCTCCTGTGTTGTAGTAATAGAATTTAAGTTGATCATATGACTTCCTTGGCAGAGATTACATTTCTCTGAGTCCTTTGCAGATGATAATGTGATGTGATGGCATTCTTGCCAATGCAATGTGAGTCAAATGGCTGGTTACCATTTCTGCCTCACTTGTTTTAAAGATAAGTAAAAGCCAAAGGGCCTGAGGTTGGGATGCAAAAGAAACAGGATGACTGGAGTGAAATAAGCCAGAGAGCACAGGCCAGACCAGTACATAGTGCAAAGCTTGAATCTTACTCTGCAAGAAACAATTGAGCCAAGTAACGATAAGATTTCATTTATATTTTCAAAAAGAGACTTGACTATGTTGGAGCAGAAAGAAGACTTCAGAGGCAATTGCAAGAGCCCAGGTGAGTGATGAAGGTGGCTTAGTCTAGAATGGTGGCAGTGAGGGACATGATCAGCTCACATTCTGGATACATTTTGAATTATGAGCCCCTTAGGACATGCTCATGAATTGACTGTAGAGTGAAAGGGAGCAGAGTCAACTCAGGTGAATTCTAGGTTTTTGGCCAGAAAAATTGGATGAATGGGAAGATTGAGAGAGGAGCAAATCTGTGGTGTGGTCTTAAACCACGAGTTTTGTTTTAGATATTTTAAATTTTGTCTATTGGAGATCCAAGTAGAGGTGTCAAGGAAGTGGTTGCATAACTGGGCCTCAGTTTAAAGATGGTGTTTAAACCTGAGAGATGAGGCGTGACCACCAAATATGTCCGTGTGTAGAAAATAAATAGAAGAGAGTCCAGTACTTACTGGCAGTGTGCACAAAATTCAGAGGCCAGGAGGAGAGAAAGAATAGTGAAGTCACAGAAGAGGAAGTTAAGTAAAGAAAGTGTTTCTGGACGGAGGTAATGAAGGACTTGAAGAAATGCTGCTCTGCATCTGAGCTGTTGTATGTGTTGTGGTTCTTTCATTATTTATAAATAAAAAGGAAAAAATATGTCTCATATAGCCAAGTCTACTTGGCTTTTCTATACCAGAAATGCTTATAGGGCAATTGTTATTAGAAAAGAAAAAAATGATACTATTTTTAAATTTTAATTGCCATTTTTTTTTTTTTGAGACAGGATTTTGCTCTGTCACCCAGGCTGGAGTGCAGTGGTGTGAACATAGCTTTCACTGTAGCCTCGACCTTCCGGGCTCTCTCTCTCTCTCTGTCTCTCTGTCTCTCTCTCTCTCTCTCTCTCTCTCTCTCTCTCTCTCTCTCACACACACACACACACACACACACACACACACACATATTAGAAACAGGGTTTTGCTATGTTGCCAGGCTGGTCTCAAACTTCTGAGCTCAAGAGATTCACCCGCCTTAGCCTCCCAAAGTACTGGGATTACAGGTGTGAGCCATGGTTCCCAGTCCCCAACTACCTTTTATAAAAGTTGGGTCCTGTTAAATAAAGTGCCCTCTATTCACCCTTTACTCTGCTGAGTACCCTGAAGGGTTTGAATATATATATGCATCTAAGTGTTGTGAAAGGTGGAATTCATTGATATAAAAAAGGGAAAATAGGCAGGACTGCCAGCTATATAAGACTGAAGAGATTCACAAACCATCTCTCCAAAAAACAACTATGAAACTGACAAAAATAGTTAAAAAAAAAAAAGCAAGCTCTGGAAATCTACAAAAGGCAAACAACAACGTAAGAGACATATATTCACAAAAATCTACTGAATTTTAGGGAAAACAGTGGAAGTCTGTGGCATTCTTGCCTGAAGTTGTCCACTGCCCCTGCCTCAGCTCAGATGATGCAGTAGTTCTACCAGGGCCAAATGGCCATGAAAACTAGCACCTTCACTGCTGGAGGCCGCTGATTTTGTTTGGAGTGGAGGATGGAAAAATCTCACCCAGCAGTGAACACGAAAAGCCTGCAGCATGAGGTTATGGTCCTGGTTGGGGCAAGTAACAGAATGTAAGACCAGCAAGATATTTAGCAGGGAGATAGCAATTGAGGCACTTGATAAACATTCCACACATGCCTGGCTGCCTGGGAGCCTGTGTGCATGAATGGTGGAGACGTGAGGGCCAACAATAACAACAAAAGGCCACGCAGACTTGAAAACTGCCCAAACTAAACACAGATCCACAAGCAGAGGGTGAAAGCCTTATAGCCCACCGTTTTTGAACACAACTTTTGTTCAATCATTGACGGACCATTTAATTATGCAAAACCAGGGGTCACTTCTAAGACACCAGCTTAAAAAATAAAAACAATAAAAAAGTTAAGCAGAGGCATCAACAGCTGCACATCATGGGGCTTCTAAACTCCTCAGATTTAATTCAGATATGTTACTTAAAAACAACAGGTAGGCAAACAACAACAAAATCCACACACACACACGCCCAACAAAAAACCCTCAGAGAAAAAGAAAGTGATAATCCAGAGTTGCTACAATATATTATCCGAATTGTCTAGTTTTCTACAAAAGTTTATAAAGCATGCAAGAACACAAATAGGAAAATGTAAATTATACTTAGCATAAAAACAGCCAGTGAAAACTGTCTCTGAGTGGGTCTAAATGTTGCATTTAGCAGACAAAAATTTCTAATTAGATATGATAAATATCTTTGAAGAACTTAAGAGGTCAGTATACACATGTTCAAAGAACTAAAGGAAATGTGGTGGCAATTGCTAAAAAGTGGGAACTATTAATAAAGAAAAAGAATCTACTAGAAAAAACAAAGTGGAAATTCTAGAGTTGAAAAATATGTAAATATTGGCTGGGTGCGGTGGCTCACACCTGTTATCCCAGCACTGTGGGAGGCTAAGGCAGGCGGATTGCTTGGGTCCAGGAGTTCGAGACCAGCCCTGGGCAACATGACAAACTCTGTCTCTACAAAACATACTAAAATTGGCCCAGTGTGGTGGCATGCACCTGTAGTCCCAGCTACTCAGCTACTAGGGATGCTGAGATGGGGGAATTGCTTGAGCCTGGAGACCGAGGTTGCATTGAGCTGAGATCAAACCACTGCACTCCAACCTGAGCAACAGAGCAATACCTTGTCTCAAAAAGAAAAAAAAAAAAAAAAGAAAAATATGAAAATGTCTCTAAATGCATTTTTTGAAATATTCAAAAAACTGGAAGCAATTTAATTATCCATCAACTAGTAAGTGACTAAGCAAAATATGCTGTATACACACACATACACACATATTCAATTATATACAAGTTTATTCCTTTTTGATGCTCAGTAGTATTCAATTGTATTCAATCATATATAAGTGAATACTACTGAGCATTAAAAAGGAATAAACTTGTATACATAAATACTCTATAGGAATAAGCAAATACAGGCAAAGAAGCTTTTTGTTTTTGTTTTTGTTTTTTGAGACTGAGTCTCTCTCTATCACCCAGGCTGGAGTGCAGTGGCACTGTCTTGGCTCACCGCAACCTTTGCCTTCCAGGTTCAAGCACTTCTCATGCCTCAGCCTCCCAAGTAGCTGCGATTACAGGCACCCACCACCACGCCCAACTAACTTTTGTATTTTGATAGAGACAGGGTTTCACCATATTGGCCAGGCTGGTCTCGAACTCCTGATCTCAAGTGATCCACCTACCTCGGCCGCCCAAAGTGCTGAGATTACAGGCGTGAGCCACCAGGCCGGCTGGCAAACAGGTTTAAATAATGTGTTTGTAATATCTTTTAGAGAATGTGTACACATCAGAATGGGTGACATTATGCTGTGGTAAGAAACAACCTGGATGATTTATGATTTAAATCAGGGGTCCGCAAACTTTTTGGCACCAGGGAGCAGTTTTGTGGAAGATGGTTTTTCCATGGATGGGGTGGTGGGTGGTGGGGATGGTTTGGCGATGGTTCAAGTGCATTACATTTATTGTGCACTTTATTTCTTTAATTGTTACATTGTAATATTAATATATAATGAAAGAATTATACAACTTACCATAATGTAGAATCAGTAGGAGCCCCGAGCTTGTTTTCCTGCAACTAGACGGTCCCATCTGGGGGTGATGGGAGACAGTGAAAGATCATCAGGCAGTAGAGTCTCATAAGGAGCGCACAACCTAGATTCCTCACATGTACAGTTCACAGTAGGGTTCGAGCTGCTATGAGAATCCAGTGTTGCTGCTGATCTGACAGGAGGCCAAGTTCAGGTGGTAATGTGAGTGACGGGAAAGGCTGTAAATACAAATGAAGCTTCACTTGTTTGCCCGCTGCTTATCTCCTGCTGTGTGGTCGAGTTCTTAACAGGCCACAGACCAGTACCGGTCTGTGGCCTAGGCACTGGGACTTGTATACAATTGTACACTGCTGCTTCTACCAGCAGTGTAAAAGTGTTTCCTTTTCACCACATCCATGCTAAAATCTATTTTTTTTTATTTTTAAATGATGGCCATTCTTGCAGGAGTAAGGTGGTATAGCATTGTGGTTTTAATTTGCATTTCTCTGGTAATTAGTGATGCTGAACATTTTTCATATGTTCGTTGGCCATTTGTATATCTTCTTTTGAGAACCCTCTATTCATGTCCTTAGTCCACTCTTTGATAGAATTGTTCCTTTTTTTCTTGCTGATTTGTTTGAGTTCCTTGTAGATTCTGGATATTAGTCCTTTGTTAGATGCATAGTTTGCAAATATTTTCTCCCACTCTATGGATTGTCTGTTTACTCTGCTGATTATTTCTTTTGCTGTGTAGAAGATTTTTAGTTTAATTAAGTCTCATCTATTTATTTTTGCTTTTTTTGCATTTGCTTTTGGGTTCTTGACCATGAACTCTTTGCCTAAGCCAATGTCTAGAAGAGTTTTTCTGATGTTATCTTCTAGAATTTTTATGGTTTCAGGTCTTAGATTTAAGTATTTAATCCATCTTGAGTTGATTTTTGTGTAAGGTGAGAGATGAGGATCCAGTTTCATTCTTCTACATGTGGCTTGCTAGTTATTCCCGCACCATTTGTTGAATAGGGTGTCCTTTTCCCACTTTATGTTTTCATTTGCTTTGTCAAAGATCAGTTGGCTTTAAGTATTTGGCTTTATTTCTGGGTTCTCTATTATCTTCCATTGGTCTACATGCCTATTTTTATACCAGTACCATGCTGTTTGGGTAACTATAGCCTTGTACTATATTTGAATTTGGGGAATGTGATGCCTCCAGATTTGTTCTTGCTTTGGCTATGTGGGTTCTTGTTTGGCTCCATATGAATTGTAGGATTGTTTTTTCTATCCCTGTGAAGAATGGTGATAGTATTTTGATGGAAATAGCATTGAATTTATAGATTGCATTTGGCAGTATGGTCATTTTCACAATATTGATTCTAGCCATCCATGAGCATGGGATATGTTTCCATTTGTTTGTGTCATCTGATTTCTTTCAGCAGTGTTTTTTAGTTTTCCTTGTGGAGATCTTTCCCTTCCTTGGTAAGGCATATTCCTAAGTATTTTTTATTCTTCGCAGCTATTGTAAAAGGGGTTGAGTTCTTGATTTGACTCCCAGCTTGGTCAATATTGGTGTATAGCAGTGCTACGGATTTGTGTACATTGATTTGTATCTTGAAACTTTACTGCATATTTATCAGATCTAGGAGCTTCTTGGATGAGTCTTTGGGGTTTTTTTGTTTGTTTTTTGTTTTTTAGTTTTTTTTTTTTTTTTTTTTTTTTTTTTTTTTGGAGATGGAGTTTCTCTCTTATTGCCCAAGCTGGAGTGCAATGGCACTATTTTGGCTCACTGCAACCTCTGTCTTCTGGGTTCGAGTGATTCTCCTGCCTCAGCCTCCCTAGCAGCTGGGATTACAGGCATGTGCCGCCATGCCTAGTTAATTTTGTATTTTTGGTAGAAACGAGGTTTCACCATGTCAGCCAGACTGGTCTCAAGCTCCTGACCTCAGGTGATCCACCCACCTTGGCCTCCTAAAGTGCTGGGATTACAGGTGTGAGCCACCATGCCTGGCCGTCTTTGGGACTTTCTAAGTATACCATCATATTGTTGGTGAACAGTGACAGTTTGACGTCATATTTACTCATTTGGATGCACTTTATTTCTTTCTCTTGTCTGATTGCTCTGGCTAGGACTTCCAGTACTGTGTTGAATAGAAGTGGTGAAACTGGGTATCCTTGTCTTGTTCCATTTCTCAGGGGGAATGTTTTCAATTTTTCTCCATTCAGTTTAATGTTGGCTGTAGGTTTGTCATAGATGGCTTTTATTACCCTGAGGTATGTGCCTTCTATGCTGATTTTGTTGAGTGTTTTAATCATAAAGGGATGCTGGATTTTCTCAAATGCTTTTACTGTGTCTCTTGGGATAATCATAAGAATTTTGTATTTAATTCAGTTTATGTGATGTCTCACATTTATTGACTTCGTGTGTGTTAAAGTATCCCTGCATCCCTGGTATGAAACCCACTTGATCATGATGTATTATCTTTTTGATATGCTGTTGGATTTGGCTAGCTAGTATTTTGTTGAAGATTATTGCATCTTGGTTCATCAGAGATATTGGTCTGTAGTTTTTTTTGTTGGTGGTATGTCCTTTCCTGGTTTTGGTAACAAGAAGATACTGGCTTCAGAGAATTATTTAGGGAAGATTCCCTCTTTCTCTATCTTTTGGAATAGTTTCTGTAGGATTGGTACCAATTCTTTGAATGTCTGATAGAATTCAGCTGTGAATCTATCCGGTTCTGGACATTTTTATGTTGGCAATTTTTTAATTACTGTTTCAATCTTGTCACTTGTTATTGGTCAGTTCAGAGTTTCTATTTCTTCCTGGTTTAATCTAGGAGGGTCGTATATTTCCAGGAATTTATCCATCTCCTGTAGGTTTTCTAGTTTGTGTGCATAAAGGTGTTTATAATAGCCTTGAATGATCTTTTGTATTTCTTTTGTATCAGTTGTAATATCTCCCATTTTGTTTCTAATTGAGTTTATTTGGATCTTCTCTTCTTTTTTTGGTTAATCTTGCTAATGGTCTATCAATTTTTTAAAATCTTTTCAAACAAACAGTTTTTGTTTCATTTATCTTTTGTATTTTTTTTGCTTCAGTTTCATTTAGTTCTGCACTGATCTTTGTTATTATTATTATTTTTCTTCTTCTGGAGTTGGGTTTGGTTTGTTCTTGTTTCTCTAGTTCCTTGAGGTCTAATTGTGAACATAGATAGTCTAATTGTGCTCTTGCAGATTTTTGTTTGTTTGTTTTGATACAGAGTCTCACTTTGTCACCAAGCTGGAGTGTAGTGGCATGATCTTGGTTCATTGCAACCTTTGCCTCCCGGGTTCGAGCAATTCTCATGCCTCAGCCTCTTAAGTAGCTGGGATTTCAGGCATGCACCACCATGCCTGGATAATTTTTGTATTTTTAGTAGAGATGGGGTTTCACCATGTTGGCCAGGCTAGTCTCAAACTCCTGGCCTCAAGTGATCTACCCACCTCAGCCTTCTAATGTGCTGCGTTTACAGGCATGAGCCACTGAGTCCAGCCTCTTTCAAACTTTTTGATGTAGGCATTTAATGCTACGTACTTTCCTCTTAGCACCACTTTTGCCATATCCCAGAGGTTTTGATAGGTCGTGTCACTATTATCTTTCAGTTCAAAGAATTTTTACATTTTCATCTTGATTTTATTGTTGACCCAAAGATAATTCAGGAGCAGATTATTTAATTTCCATGTATTCATATAGTTTTGAGGGTTCCTTTTGGAGTTAATTTCTGATTTTATTTCACTGTGGTCTGAGAGGATACTTGATATTATTTCAATTTTCTTAAATTTATTGAGACTTGTTTTGTGGTCTATCACATGGTCTGTCTTGAAGAATGTTCCATGTGCTGATGAAAAGAATGTATATTCTGCAGTTGTTGGGTAGAATGTTCTATAAATATCTGTTAAGTCCATTTGTTGTAGGATATAGTTTCAGTCCATTGTTTCTTTGTTGACCTTCTGTCTTGATGACCTGTTTAGTGCTGTCAGTGGGGTATTGAAGTCCCTCACTATTACTATGTTGACATCTATCTCATTTTTCAGGCCTAGTAGTAATTGTTTCATAAATTTGGGAGCTCCTGTGTTAGGTGCACCTATATTTAGGATTGTAATGTTTTCCTGTTGGCCTAATCCTTTTATCATTATGTAATGTTCCTCTTTGTCTTTTTTAAACTGTTGTTGCTTTAAAGTCTGTTTTGTCTGATATAAGAATAGCTACTCCTGCTGACTTTTGGTTTCCATTTTCACAGAATGTCTTTTTTTACCCCTTCACTTTAAGTTCTTGTGAGTCCTTATGTGCTAAGTGAGTCTCTTGAAGACAGAAGGTACTTGGTTGGCGGATTTTTTATCCATTCTGCCATTCTGTATCTTTTAAGTGGGCATTTAGGTCATTTACATTCACTATTAATATTGAGATGTGACGTACTATTCTATTCATCCCTCTAGTTATTGCCTAAATATCTTATTTTTTTTCATTGTGTTATTTTTTAATAGGGTCCGTGAGACTTACACTTTAAATAGGTTCTATTTTGATGTATTTCAAGTTTTTGTTTTAAGATTTAGAATAGCTCCTTTTAGCTATTCTCGTAGTGCTGGCTTAGTAGTGGCAAATTCTCTCAGCATCTGTTTGTCTGAAAAAAAGACTGTATTATCCTTCCTTTATGAAGCTTAGTTTTGCTGAATACAGAATTTTTGGCTGATAGTTATTTTGTTTGAGGAGGCTAAAAACAGGACTCCAATCCCTTCAGGCTTGTAAGGTTTCTGCTGAGAAATCTGTCATTAATCTGATAGGTTTTTCATTATAGGTTACCTGATACATTTGCCTCACAGCTCTTAAGATTGTTTCCTTCATCTTGAATTTAGATAACCTGATGACTATGAGCCTAGTTGATAATCTTTTTGCGATGAATTTTCCAGGTGTTCTTTGAGCTTCCTCTTCCTCCTCCCCTCCTCCTCCTCCTCTTCTTCCTCCTCCTCTTCCTCTTCCTCCTCCTCCTCCTCTTTCCTCCTCTTCCTCCTCCTCCTCTTCTTCATTTCTTTTTTAAGTGAAAGCAAGTTTATTAAGAGAGTAAAAGAATACAGAATGGCTACTCCATAGGCAGAGTAGCCTAAGTTTCTTGTGTTTGGATGCTAGAACTCTAGCAGGGCTGGAGAAATTTTCCTCAATTATTCCTTCAAATACGTTTTCCAAACTTTTAGATTTATCTTCTTCCTCATGAACACCAATTATTCTAGGTTTGGTCATTTAACATAATCCCAAATTTCTTGGAGGCTTTGTTTATTTTTTTATTCTTTTTTCTTTGTCTTTGTCAGATTGGGTTAATTTGAAAGCCCTGTCTTCATGCTCTGAAGTTTTTTCTTCCACTTGTTCTATTGTTGAAACTTTGCCGTCTATTTTGTATTTCTCTAAGTGTGTCTTCCATTTCTAAAAGTTGTGATTGTTTTTTTCTTTATGATATCAATTTCTCTGGAAAGTTTTTCATCCATACCCTGCATTTTTTTTTTAAATTTCTTCAAGTTGGGTTTAACTTTTCTCTGGTACCTCCTGGAGTAGCTTAATAATCAACCTTTTGAATTATTTATTTGGCAATTCAGAGATTTCTCCTTGGTTTGGATCCATTGCTAGGGAGCAGCTAGTGAGATCTTTTCGGGGTGTTATAGGACCTTGTTTTGTCATATTACTAGAATTACTTTTTTTTTGTTTCTTCTTGTTTGGGTAGACTATTTCAGTAGAAAGATCTGGAATTCAAGGACTTCTGTTCAGATCCTTTTGTCTCACAGGGTGATCCCTTGATGTGGTGCTCTCCTCCTTCCCCTAGGAATGGGGGCTTCTGGAGAGCTGGACTGCTGTGATTGCTATTGCTCTTCTGGGTCTAGCCACCCAGTGGGGTACCAGGCTCTGGGCTGGTACTGCAGAATGTCTGCAAAGAGTCCTGTGATGTGGTCTGTCTTCAGGTCTCCCAGCCATGGATACCAGCATCTGCTCTGGTGGAGGTGGCAGGAGAGTGAAGTAGACTGTGAAAGTCCTTGGCTGTAGTTTCGTTTAGTGTGCTGGTTTTCTTGAATGCTGATTATGCTAGAAGTGAAGTTGTCGCGTGGACAGACTCAGGACCTCTGCTTAGCCAGAATGTTGCAGGCGGAGGAATTCGCTGCTGTTTTCTACTTCCTTGATCAGGGTTATTTTGTCACAAGTTGCTGCAATGGCTTGATTTGTTTGGCTTCCAGCCAGGAGGCGGTTCTTTCAAGAGAGCACCAGCTGCATTATTAGAGGGGGGATATAAGCTTGCTTTAAGTTGGCCAGAATAAGTATTTGGGTTTCTCAGGCAGTGGGAGGGGCCATAAAGCTCCCAAGAGTTTATGTCTTTTGTGTTTGGCTACCAGGGTGGGTAGAGAAAAACCATCAGGTGAGGGCAGGGTTAGGTGGGTCTGAGCTCAGAATCTCCTTGGATGGGGCTTGCTGCAGCCACGATGGGGGATGGGGAGGTGGTTCTCAGGCCAATGGAGTTATGTTCCCAGGGGGATTACGGCTGCCTCTGCTGCATCATATAGGTCATCAGGGAAGTGGCGGAAAGCTGGCAGTGACAGGCCTCACCCAGCTTCCACACAGCCAGTGAGGCTAGTCTTCTTCCTGCTGTGCCTCACCAACAGTGTTTATATCCAGCATCCTGCATGCAGGACTCAGACCTCGCCCCAGGCTAAAAGCCTCTCCACTGAGAAAGTAAGCACGGCTTTCAGGCCTTGCCCCTTCCCACCTGCCCACACTATCAGCCATGTCTCCTGTGCTGGTACCTGCAGCAATTCCTGTTCACCCGTATATGCTGCTCACAAAAATTCATGCTTGGTTGAAATTACAAAGTTCAGTTGGAAGCTTCTTTCACCCTGCGACCCCCTGCCTAGTTTGGCTGGCTGTTTTGCCCAAGGACCCTCTCTGTGAGATAAAGTAAGGGATGGCCTCCCTGGGCTCAAACTGGGGACTGGGAGTGCCTACAGGACTCTTCCCACTGCTTCTTCTATAGGTTCCCCAGTGGGGATGTGTGTTCAAAGGCAAGATTCCCCCTCTCACACTTTGAAAACTCAGAGTTTTTCTGCTGTCTCACAGAGTTTGCATAGTGAGCTGCTTTTTCCAAAGGATCAGTGAACCCTTTCAGTCTTCCTGGCACGTTTGTGCTGTGGTTCCTGGAGAAGTTCATGGTGTGAGTTTTCACACGTTGTTCTGCATGTCCAAGTGGAAGCTGCACATTAGTCCTGTCTCCTATCCACCATTTTCTCTCTTCATCCTGTCATTGTACTTTTGACTTGCATTTCCCTGATGATTAATGACGTTAATCACTTTTTAATGTACATATTGGCTACTTACATGTATTATTTGTCTTTTCAAGTCCTTTGCCCATTTTAAAATCAGATTTTTTTTTTTGCTTTTGAGTTGTGGAGTTCCTTATATGTTCTGGATATTGACGACTTATCAGATATATGGTTTGCAAATATTTTCTTTCAGTCTGTAGGTTGCCTTTTTATTTTGTTGATTGTTTCCTTTGCTGTGAAGAAGATTTGTAGTTTGATGTCATTCTATTCATCTATATTTACTTTTGTTGCCTGTGCTTTTGGGGTCATATATAAGAAATCATTGCCAATATCTACGTAATGAAGAGTCCCTCTGTTTTTTTGTAGGAGTTTTTGAGTTTCCAGTCTTATGTTTAAGTCTTTCATACACTTTGAGTTGATTTTTGTGTATGGTATGAATGTCCATTTTTATTCTTTTGCATGTGGTGACTCAGTTTTCTCAATGCCATTTGTTGAGGTGACTATCCTTTCCCCATTGTGACTCTTTGCACTCTTGTCAGAGATTATTTAACCATACTTGAGTGGGTTTATTGCTAGCCTCACTATTTTGTTCCATTGATCTATATTGTCTGTGTATTTATGCCAGCACAATACTCTTTTCGTTTATATAAGTTTGTAATATATTTTGAACTCAGGAAGAGTGGTGCCTCCAGCTCTGCTCTTCTTTCTCAAGATTCTTTTTGCTGGCCAGGTGCAGTGGCTCACACCTGTAATCCCAGCACTTTGGGAGGCTGAGGTGGGCAGATCACAAGGTCAGGAGATTGAGGCCATCCTGGCCAGCATGGTGAAACCCTGTTTCTACTAAAAATATAAAAATTAGCCAGGCTTGGTGGCACGCACCTGTAGTCCCAGCTACTTGGGAGGCTGAGGCAGAAGATTTGCTTGAACCCGGGAGGTGGAGGTTGCAGTGAGCAGAGATCATGCCACTGCACTCCAGCCTGGGTGACAGAGTGAGACTCCGTCTCAAAAAAAAAAAAAAAAAAAAAAAAAAAAGTTTGTTTTTGCTATTTGAATCCTTTGTGGTTCTATATAAATTTTAGATTTCTTAATATTTATATAACAAATGCCACTGAAGTTTCGATAGAGTTTGCATTGACTCTGTAGATCACTTTCAGTAGTATGAACATTTTTAACATATTAAGTCTTCCAACTAAGGGACATGTAATATCTTTCCATTTGTGTCTTCTTTAATTCTTGTCACCAATGTTTTATAGTTTTCAGTGTACAAGATTTTTGCCTTGTTGGTTACGTTTATTCCTAAGCATTTTATTCTCTTTGATGCTATCATAAATGGAGTTGTGTTCTTAAATTTTTTGGATGGTTCATTGTTAGTATATAGAAATACCACTAATTTTTATATGCCAATATAGTTTTAACAGCTATTTCTTGAGTCCTGAGAGTTTTTTTATATATAAGATCATAACATTTGTAAACAGATAATTTTACTCCTTCTTTACTAATTTAGATGCTTTTTCTTTTTCTTGCCTAATTCCTTTGGCTAGGACTTCCAGTGCTATGTGGAATGGCTGTATTTACCCAAATGTGTATCCCCATTGTGTCTAGAAAGTAACTAGCTTGCTTTTGATTTTACAGGCTCATAGGTGGAAGGGACTTGCCTTGTCTCAGATGAGACTTTGAATTGTGGACTTTTGGGTTAATGCTGAAATGAGTTAAGACTTTGGGGGACTGTTGGGAAGGCATGGTTGGCTTTGAAATGTGGGGACATGAGATTTGGAGGGGCCAGGGATGAAATGATATGGTTTGGTTGTGTCCTCACCCAAATCTCATCTTGAATTGTGCTCCCATAATTCCCATGTGTTGTGGGAGGGATCCAGTGGGAGATAATTTGATTCATGGGGGTGGTTTCCTCCATACTGTTCTCATGGTAGTGAGTAAGTCTCATGAGATCTGATGGTTTTATCAGGAGTTTCTCCTTTTGCATCTTCTTCATTTTTCTCTTGCTGCCACCATGTAAAAAGTACCTTTTGCCTCCCACCATGATTCTGAGGCCCCCCCAGCCATTGGAAATGTAAGTCCAATTAAACCTCTTTTTCTTCATGGTCTTGGGTATGTCTTTATCAGCAGCGTGAAAATGGATTAATACATTTGTCTATTGGCAGAACATGCCAATCGAAGCAAAGTTGCTTAACTGGGATAAGTGATAAATTACAGATAGGTTGATAAATGATTAATGTAGCACTCAGGGCCTCCAGGATAGGCTTGAGAAGGCTGGAGATTCTGCGATGATTATATCTTTTACTCAGCAATTTTAATTTCATTCACTTGTCCTATTTTTCTGTTGAAATACAATCACTTTAGATATATGCCATGATATGAAAAAGAGTAGGAAACACAGATGCAAAAGATTATAATAATCATATTTTAATAAAGTAATTTTGAGCAGAGAAGAATAGAGCCAAAGGAAGATAGAGGAGTGTATTAAGGAAGCACAGTGTTTCCATATATGTTTTCTATTAGAGAATGAATAAGTAGCCATTAAGCACCTGCTACCAGACTTATCATTTCAGTTAATATATAATCATTATTTAATTTTTATTGCTTGTGATAAAATTATTGCTATTAATATTTTTCAGTTGAGGAACCTGGAGCTCATAGAGTTAAAAACAACTTGGCCAGAATCATGAGTTTGCAAATGTGGAGACTGGGAATTGAATCAAGTTGTTGGACTGGAAAGCTCAGTCATGGGATCCAGGAGCAGTTGATAATATGGAGAGCATACAGGCAAATTGACTGCCAATGTCAATGCAATCTGCATCTAGGAAGCTAGAGCCCATCACTGGGCTGGATTTAGTATGAATTTTTGAGGTTTTAGTAGGCAAGGGTAGAAACTGGCATGAATGAAACCATGTCATCAATTCTAGAGAGGCTGGGCAAGAGCTATTATCGGAACCTCAGTTTAGGATCAAAATCAGAATTGCTACTGAAGGAAGTGTTATTAATCCTGCAGTGTTAGGTTAAAAGTTGCCTGGGGAACTGGAAGAAGCCTAGGAGTTAGGAGTCTTATGAGTTCTTAACTGTGAGGGAGGATAAAAGAGCCTAGAAATAATTCCTCATCTAACACAGGGGATCTGCGACTACATTAAGATTCATTCTATAGTTTTATCCACACTTCATCATCCTGATCTTTGGGAGGGCATTTGCTGGCTTCTGTGAACTTTGTATTCCTATGAGGCTCAACTTTGTAATGGTTAACTATGGGCATTTTCAAAACTACATTTCAATTAGTTAAAATATGGTTATGACCTGCACGCATAATCTAGCAGTAGTTTTTAAACCTGAAAACACACGAGAGTAACCTAGGGAGTATGTTAAATTCATAATTTTGGGGCATAGCTGATCAAATAAATAAGAATGTCTGGTATGATAGGAACCTGAAATCTATATTTTTAATGGATTCCTCTAAAGAGACAATGCTATCACAAAAATGAGAGTAGCTATTCCAATGTTATTAAAAGTTATAAATTCATCAGTATTATTTTGCTCTGTGACCATATACTTTCTAGTTTTTAAGTTGGCTAAAATTTATCAATGTCACTCCTTTTTCCTTTTCTCAATTCTTTCTATTATTCTCTTTACAATCAGACTAAAGCACACTTCATCAAGCAGAAATAAATGTTCTATTCAGAAAAGGTTACAAAAACTGAGATATAAAAAGGAGGAAAATATGAACTGTCTTTTAGGACTTGTGGCCATTTTCTTTAGCCAGCAACTTTAAATTACTGATCCAAGAATACCAGGTTCAATACACTTTTTCTTGGTAAGGACAGTCCCTTTCCAAAACTCTAGTATCATGGTGTTGTCTTGTTTTTTTTGTTTGTTTTTTTTTTTTAACATTAGGTGAATTCTTAAAACTTCCCAGATATTAAGCTCCCAGATGTTAAACTGGGCATTGTACAAATGCCAGTCAACCTTCTACTGCTATCTTCAATTAGAGAGCAGTCGTGTGCTTGTCCTTGGTTTGATTATCAGCCAATGTTTTCAAACAATTTTATGTCTATTGAGCTTTTATAGACTATACTAGATAATTTACATTTTTATTTAAAAAACTATTATATATTATTTTATCATTTGAAGTTTAAATATAGGGGCTGAGACCTAGAAAAGTAATTTGCCCAAGATACACAGAGCGCCAAAGTGCTGAACTAAGAATTTGAACTTAGGCAGTTTCCCTCCTAAGCTTGCTGGCTCAACCATTGTACTATAGACTCAATACTCTGGGGAAACTCCAAAGTAATAACTAAAAATCATGTGACACAATTGCATTCTTAACAACAACAAAAAAGTAAAAATAAGACTATCTAAAAATTATTACACCAGAAAGAATTATATAGGCAATTTACACTGACTTCTTAATTTAAAGATGAGAAAGCTGAAATCAAAAGACAGTATAACAAATTGCAAAGTCATACTGTTAGTAAGAGATTAGATAAACCAACTCTCCTGATTTCCAATTTAGTGTATGGCTGTTTTAACCAGGAAACCTAGATATGTACAAGGGTATTTGAGATTCCACGGGGATAAACTGGATGTAGTAGGGAGGAATTTTTGGACATACAAGTGAAGTTTTATCTACATTTTAATAAAGACAACAAGTGTTTAAGGCCGATCTGTTGTTTAAAGCTAATATATTGAAAAACAAAGCCTGTATTGGCTCCAAAAAGGTAGGAAGCCTTTCAGTTTTCTTTTGGGTTGCTAAGAGCCAGAAAGAACATCACTCTCACCCTTACAGCAGTGACACAGAGCCAGACAAACTACAAATTAATGACTTTTTGAACCCATCAGAAAGGTGAGGTCACATGGCAACTAACCAATCTGAAATGTAAGAAGAAAAAAATACCTGCAGAGAGAGAGGGATGTGAGCATTTGTTTACCTGGGGGAAATGCAATCAAGTACCAATAAGAATTTAGATAAGGAATTCAGTTAAGGAGTTGGCAGAAGCCAAGTGTGAGCTGATGAGAGTGTGGAGTCTCTAGGGTCATAGATATAAAGGGAGTAACATTCTCTTTCAGGTTCTTTTCCAGGGACATTACAGGCTTACAGACACACACACACACACACACACACACACACACACACACACACAAACATGATTAGTGAGAATCCAAGAAAGCATACTTAATAGGGCAGGCCTAAGGGAAAGGAATAGTAAGCCCTGCAGGCAAGGCATGAAGGCCTGCATGGGCTTATCTCCCCTGTGTAACAAAAGTCTTAAATGCAGGCAGAGGGACAACAAGCACTGCTGCACTTATCACACTGGGAAAAACCATTCTACCTGTCTGTGGGGAACAGAAGAAAAGTCTCTAGCCTTCGAGGAAGGGCAGGAACATGTGTGGAGCTCATAACCATAGCTGGTGGGTGGGTCAGGAGCACTAAGAAGGCCACTCCTAAAGATCCAGGGATATAGAACCTACACAAGACCAAGGCTTCACCAGAATAACAGAGGCTGCCTCCCTCTCACCAGGCTTACAAGCACTGAGTAACTTCTAACAGTGCAATAATGTTGGGAGAGTTGCAAGAGTTCAGAGACAAAGAAAGAGAGACCCTCTCTGAGGCACAACAGGAAGGGAAGACCTCAAGCTAAAGATTAAGCACATAGTGAGAGAAACTGCAAATCTGTCTCCACCCTAAACACAAGTTATCTCTGGAAGAATCTGAATGCTATGGTATACACTGATTGCCAGCACAGCAACAAGAACCGAACCCAACTCAACACTTTCCTAGATTGGTTCACCTCCCCAAAATAAAGATCTAATGTAAGGACAGGTATGCCCATGTGCAAATGCAGAAACTGTTTGCCTCAGTTTCTATTCCTACATAGGTATACAACTTTCAACAAAAAATTATAAGGCATACAAAGAAGCAAGAAAAAGCAACAAACTACCAAGAGAAAAGCAATCAATAGAGCCAAATTCAGATATGACAGAGAAGACAGAACTATCAGAAAGATAATTTAAAACAACTATAACTAATATGTTGATGTTTCTAAAGAAAAAACTGACAACATACAAAAAACAGACAGCTAAGGCAATTTCAGCAGAGAGAGGAACGCTATAACATGGAATAGCATGAAAATGTTAGAAATAAAAAGCACAGTAACAGAGATGAAGAAGAACATTCAAAGGCTCATTAGAAGACTTCACAAACTGAAGAAAGGGTTAGTCAACTTGAACATAGGTCAATAGACATTACCCCAACTGCAGCACAAAGATATCCGAACTATGTGTCTTATTTATTGTTAATGAGAAGGCAAAATGCTACAATCATTTTGGGAAACAGTTTGGTTCTTTTTTATAGGATTAAGTATATACTTACTATATGATCCAGATGCCACTCTGAGTAATTACTCAAGAGAAATAAAAATGTATGCTCACAAAAAAACCTGTAGGTAAATATCTCTAACAGCTTTGTGCATAATTGTTAAAAACTGGAAAAAAAAACTTGAATAGTAAATAAATAAACTATGGTACATCTAGACAATGAAATACTATTCAGCCATAAAAAGGAACAGACTTGATATGTATAAGCGACATTGTTAAATCTCAAAAGGATTTGCTAAGTGAAAGAAGCTAAATCCCCAAATTACATATTATAGAATTTCATTTATATGACATTCTAAAAAAGCAAAACTATAGAGCTGTAGAACTCATGGGTGGGTGACAGGGGTTAGGAATGGAAGGAGAAGATTACTAGAAAGGAGGAGCATAAGCAAATTTTGAGGGATGATGGAACTGTTCTCAATGACAATTTTGATGATGGATATATGACTTGATGTGTTTGTCACAATGCTTAGAACTCAACACCACAAAAAGTAAATTTTACCGTGCATATGTTTAAAAATACATTTAAGTAAAGATGTGTTGTTGTACACAGAGTTTGGAAATGGAGAGTTTTTAGAGCTGGGCACATTTAGCAAACCTATTTTAAATTCAATTCAGTTCAAATTTGTTTTTACTCCTTCAAATGTCTGAATGATTCCAGGGTGAAATCGCACACTGTACTTTCTCAGATGGTCCTCTCTTACAGAGAACACTAAATTAGAACTTGAATGAGCTCCTCTGCTGTTCTGTGTCCCAGCCTGATTCAAAATAACATGCACTATAATATTTACTAATTGAAGAGTTAATTGTTTGTTTCTTAACTACTTAACATTTTGGTTAACTTAATCCTTTTCTTCTTCCTCCCAAATACCCTTTGTCACTCTCTCCCCATGATCTTATCAGGCATCAGATTGTTCATCCACTAAAGAATGCTGGTGAGTGTGCTAAAGAACGGCGAGGTGTGCTGGAGGCATGCGGTCCTTACCTAAGTAGATTCGAAGTGACTACCCCCTTCCACTAAATAATTTCATAATTACATGCCTTAGCTATTCAATTTACATTGCTGTGGTATCCAAAAGAATAATGATGGCAATTTACAATTACAATCAGCTTTATTTGCATTTCTAAAGCTTTGATATACTTCCTCAATTATTTAAATAATGTACATACACAAAAAGAATGAATAAACTATGGGAATTGTAAGCACTGTTGAAGCTACTTTTTTTTTTTTAACAAGTATTCATTTTAGGATTCATTACTTATAAATAGAATTACCCTGCTGTCATTGATTAATAACCTTAAAATACTCTTAGTCACTAACTTAAGTTCACCAATGTAGAGATATTAACGTATAATTTCAATTTAAGGTGTGTAGAAGGTAAACAGCAAGAACTGGAGGTGAGGTCATCCCTTTTATTCCCCCAATGTATAATATATTAATATTAACAGTAAACTTGAGAGGGTCTCTCTAGCTACTATTTAAAGTCAAAGGAAATCATAGAAGTAAACTACAAAAAGGGATTCTAAATATACCAATGAATTTCTTACTGTTTGAAGCATAATACAGTTTTCTTTTTAATACAGAATCTGGGATTTAATCTTTAGAATCAACATGCATTTTTAAAAAATGAGACAATTTTTAGATGATTAAGGTAAAATTTATATTTGCTAAATTCGTCTTCATAGTGTATCAGGTCATCTCAGCACCAAAGCTTGTATTCTCAAGACTAAGGACTCACTCTTTGTATGAAGCCCCACCTTAGTTTCCTGCCCAGTGTCTCCTCTTCTGATGTCAGAGTTCTTCTAAATCTTTTAGGCCTGAGCCTAAATCTGTTTCTGTGACTGATCTCTGTTTCCCAGTCTCTCCTGCAATATTCTATGGCCATTAAAAGTAAAGTAAATATGGCAACAGAAAAACTGATCTCATTTTACAAAGAATTTTTTAAAAAATTTTAATGCTAGAATGAGAAGTTTCCCTGAGTTAATTGGCAGTGGAAACGTATTACTTTTTTTTTTTTTAAGTAGGAGAAAATATGAAGCCCTGTGAAGACTGGATTTAGAGGGAGAAACAAGACAGTATGACTGGTCAGATGGTTGCTGGATGGTTTAGGAGGAAGGTAATGAAGACCTTAACCAGGGTGGTTGCAGTGGGAAGGGAAGAAAATAGACAGAAAAAGTGTTATATAAACAGAATCTATAGAATTCTAGCAAAGAATTCTTTAAGGAGAGTGATGAATAAGGAGAAACCATGAATGGAAGTGTCAGTAACAATGGAGGGAAGAGTGGATGTGGTTGGAGCTGTCAGGAAGCATGGACAGGCTTTGTGTTTAGAGAGACTGAGTTTGAAATCTGTCTCTGGTACTTAATTCCATGTAACAAAAAAGCGTCTGAATTTCTTTTTGCCTTAATCTGTACATCTGTTTACTCTAAAAATGCCTACCTTCAAAGGGTTCTTATGGGATTGAGTAAGCTACTGCATGAAAAGCACCTGCCACACAGTGATTTCTAGACCAATAAATGGAAGTTATTATTATTATTGCGATTATTATGACTACCATAAAGAAATGAGTGCCATGCTAATTATTAACCAGTAATTGGCAATTGTCTGCACTCGAATGGATATCGTGCAGCATTTACATGAGGCATTGCCGCAAGACCTAAGGAGCTGACCTAACCGAGTGTCTAGCTGTCCCTTCGAGGAAGATTGTCATCAGAGTGCTCTGTCTATGAGGACAGACTTTCAAGAGGTTTACTCAATTAATCTGACATGCTTGTGATTTGAGGTAATTAGGAAAGAATTTATAAAATGAAAAAGGAGATGAAAGAAGACAGGCTGAGGAATCTAAGTGGGAGGTGTCTGTAGAGGAGTCAAGGAAGGCACGTTAATGAGAGGCTTCATGCAGGTAGAAGGAGGGGATTGAGGGTTGGGCAGAGAGATCCCAGGGAGCCTGAGCCAGTGCAGGAGTCAGGGTGTGGTGTGTGAGCTGTTAGCTGCAGAGTTGCAGTCACCATAAAAAGAGGGAGGTGCCTGGGAAGGGCCCGCAGCAGGAGGGTGGAGATGTGGGAGGGGCAGGATTGGGACGCAACAAATGGGAAATTGCTGGGCCTAGTCGGGCAGGGCTCACCCAATAAATCATTCACAGTAGCTGGAACTGGCTTGAGTGTTTTCTTTATATTGTGGCTCTATTAAAAGGGCACTGCTTCCTTTTTGTGTGGGCTTTAGTCACTGCATTACTCACCGAGACCGCTGGACGGCTTCAGGCCACTTGAGGAGCGAGTGACACCGGAGCAGTTGACTGTGTTTCGCTTGAGCAAGCACAAGCAAGGTTGCTCATCTCTGGAACACAGAAGATGGTATCGGAAATGGGACATACATAATATCAGGGTGGGACAGAATTATTACTTGAATTAATTATATTGCGAATATGTGTTGCTCATGTAATCATGTGCATGATACATATATAAGTATGTAGCTTTTTCTGATAAAAGTATGTTTTTATTAGGCATTTTAAATTAAAACCTATTGCAGTCTGTAGTTGGTGTGCCAAAAAGAGAAAGGAAGGGGGAAAAGGCATTAGAGCAAAAAGCTTGCATGGCGTTGGTCTGAGCTAGAACTGGGTTCAAATCTTGGCTAAGTGGCAAAGCTGTGGGGCTTCAGGGAAGTTACTTAACCTATTTAGGCCTTATTTTCCTCACCTGTAGGAAGTGAAAAGTAATACCTATCAAAGGGGGTGTTATAAGGATTAAACGAAATACGTAACATAGCCAGCACACAGTAGATACTTCCTACAGGAGAGCTGTTATTGCTTTTTAGGTTTTACGTGAGGTGCTTTCTCTTGTGCAGTTACCTCCCATATCTTTTCAAAGTCATAGAGGCGGAAGTATAATTCCAGTTTCACAGACAGAGGAAATGAGGCAACAGTGGTTATGTTATTTGCTGGGATCATACAGTTTATAGCTAGCAGAACTAACATTAAAGTCTTTTGACTTCCAAGCCCAGCCTTTCCACTTGTGCAAAGGCACAATGAGGTAGTAATCAAGGCCACCATTCAGCATTTCTTCAGTCTACTGCTTTGTTTTATAAAGCAATGTGTAAAAAGCACCACGTATTCTACCTTTATGAAATGGTGTGATGGAGGCTGGATTGAAGGCTTTCCTTTTGGCTTGAGAAACTTTTTTTGAATATTAGAGTAATTTTTTTAAATGTATTTTAATATTTATTTATTTGTTTGTTTTTAGATAGGGTGTCACTATGTTGTCTAGGCTGGTCTTGAACTCCTGGGCTCGAGCCATTCTCCAGCCTCAGACTTCTGAGCAGCTGTGATTACAGGCACGTGCCATTGTACCTGGTGAGACATGTTTTATAGTTCCTCTTAACCCTATAGCACTGACCTTCCAGGACAATTCCCCTGTTTCCCTTGCAGAGAGGAGAGTGTCTCCGGAGACAGGTAGATAATAGATGTGGCCAAAGATGTGCAATAGTGGGAGAAGACACAGGTGGGCAGAAGGTGATGAAACCTCTTTTGCTGAAGTCAATATTTGTTTGGAAAAAGAGACGTCGACAAAGGTGCTTTTCATTTTAACCTGTTACATGGCTGCAGTGACCATGTCCATGTATTCTAACAAAGAGTTCCAGCAGAGAAGAATGCCAGACAGTGTTAGGAAGCCTCTGCATATTCTAGTGGATGTCAGTGGTTTCTAAATGAACCTCCCTAACCTGTTATGTTACTATTCTTGTTGGAACTCATTGTCCTTAGATAAAAGCCCAATTTTTAAGTACTACTAGCATAACTCTGTACAAGCTGGATCTTCTTTAGTTCTTTATTCTTATCTCCTGGTACTCTCCACCTTGAACTCCATGCTGGCTTCATGCCAAATGAACCTTCTCTCAGTTTCTTAAATATACCATTGTCTCTCTCCTGTATACCTTCATGGATGCTGTTTCCTCTTTTGGAAACACTCTCTATCCTTTCCGCCACTCCAATCTCCCCCTTTACTTGGTAATCCTTATCCTTCAGAGAATAGCTTAAAGGTCATTCCCACCAGCGAACCTTCCCTACCTGCAACCATGAAGTGTGGGTCTGGGGTTCCTGGTGTGTGCTCCCAGGGCACATTCCCCTTTCCCTGCCCTGGCGCTCCTCACACATGGCAGTGTGTTTACTTATCTGTCTGCACCACAAGTGCCCTGTTCCTGAGGGCAGAGGTCACAACTCTCCTATTCGTTATTGTATCCCCTCTCCTGTTTATCATTGTATCAGGCCTAACACAGTGCCTGGCACACAGCAGGGCAGGCTTTCTACAAATATTTGTTGAATGAGAAAATATATGCATAAAAGTATTATTTTCCAATTTGTGAAGCCAGCTTCTCAGAAAGAAAATGGAGTTTATGAGCAGAGCTTTCCAGTAAATTTGTATTTAGTCATAATACTACAAACAAGCATATCATTATTTCTTTATTTCTTGGTTTTGAATGGTAATTATTTTTGCAAGTTCTGAGTATTTGCACCAATTTATGAAATACAAGCAGTAATGAAATACAAGCAATTTATGAAACACAAGCAATATTAAACATGACAGTAGATGGCTCCTGTTTATAGGTGATGCCGGTAACATTCTAGAAATAAATGGCTTGATTGGAAACTTCTGTTTAAAAAAAATGTGGGAAGTGAAGGGAATGAGTTGGCCTTTAACAAAGAGAAAGAGAATACGATCATTTTCTAAATATAATAAATAGAATATCATATTTAATCTATGTATGCTTACATGTAGAAATAATTTTTACGACATCATGAAACTGGTAAAATATGAGGCAGATAAACTTAGGGGAAGTGATTTTTCTGGTTATGAAATACACTTTTCCCCAAGGTACTCATAATTTTAGTTATTTGTAAATAATTTTACTTCATAAAAGCATATTTCTAAGTGAATGTTTCTGAAATATTAAGTTCTTGCAATATCTGAGGTTTGTTAAGCAGGTATTTAGTTAAGCAGGTATTTAGTTAAGTTAAGCAGGTATTTAGTTAAGTTAAGCAGGTATTTAGTTAAGTTAAGCAGGTATTTAGTCTCATTTCTGTCTTACAACTCAGCAACCAGAGGTGTTCAGTGCATCAGAAAGGAGGAATATAAGCATGTTCGATAGAGTGATTCTGTCCAAGGTGTTTGCATACTCATTTTATCCTTTCAGCAACCCCGCACAGGGTGCTCTGCTTATTTTCCGCGTTATAGAAAAAAACATCAAAATGCAGAGCAGGTAAGCAGCTTGCTCAAGACCACCGAGTGAGTTTGAGGCCATCCTTATGAAAGAAGAGAAAGGAAGAAAAAAAAAAAACAGTTAAGGCAAGTCCTCAGCAGAGGATTTAAACAGAGAAACAGCCTGGAAAATCAAGCTGCAGCTGCACAGATAAGGGAGCAAAGCTCAACATAGAAACACCTTTATTCTTTGTGTAATCAGCGGGCGCCTAGGAAAAAGTTTCTTTTCCTTTCATGGACCTGTACATGGTGGGCTCCCTGGGAACTTACATGGGGCGGGGGGCTTGCCTAAAACATGCCTACAGTTGCTCAGACAACAGAAGTGTTACTCCCTGTGCTTGCGTAAGACACGCCCGCAGCTGCACAGAAAAGGGCAGTTACACAAGCAGCTATATAGACAGGGGAAGTTACACAGCTATACAGATAAAGAAAGTTTCTTATACAAACTTTTGCATTCAACTGTAAAAATGGAAACCCTCTTGGGACCCCTCTCTGCTGTGGAGAGCTTTCTTCTGTTGCTTATTAAACTTTTGCTCCAACCTCATCCTTGGTGTCCTTGCTTTTTAATTTCCTTGGTTGTGAGACCAAGAGCTCAGATAACACCTCAGACAATAAGACTGCTTCATTGACCCTAGACCGTTTCACCAATGGCCTAAGCACTCATGCTCTTTGTAACACACTGAGGATATGGTACAGAAATTGCCTTCGTATCAACTGAGCCCAGGCTCTTGAGCCTCAGCTGACGATTCCACACAACAGACTATGTCTGCCCCATTCAAATAACTTTTAGCAATATAAGCAACATTAATCAGAACAGAGTATTTCTGGGAGCAAAATATATGAGTTTGAATTCTAGCTCCATGTTCTACTAACTGTGTAAATTGAGCCAGCTTTTTTTTTTTTTTTTTTTTTTTGAGATAGAGTTGTTTTGCTCTTGTTGCCCAGGCTGGAGTGCAATGGCGTGATCTCATGAGCCAGTTTCTTCACCAACCTTTTTATTTCATGTTCCTCATTATATTAAATAGGTATTAACTAACTCATTGGATTCTTCTGAGGATGAAATATCATAATGTATGTAAATTTCTTAACTGAGTATTGAGCACATAGTAAATGCACCCCCCAAATCAGACATTTTTAATATAAAGCTTGATCAATATTTTATCTATCCATTATTAATGATTTAATATAATTGCATTAAAACAATATTTTATTGAAGAAATAAAGAAATAATGTACATTTACATGTGCAATAAACTAAACTATATAACATGTAACTCTAAAACATCTGAGCCCATGATTCAGAATCATTAGCTGGTTATCAGCACTTTAGAATCTGTAAAATATATGTAAATATGTTTGCTATCTTTATAGTTTCTATGCACATTTTCACTTGGAGTAGAAAGGTTAATACAATGTGTACAACTGTAGTATTTTGTATTATCTTTTTGTTTTCTTTCACTTTTGATTACTTTTTGAAAAACTAAAATCAAGCAAAAATAAATTTTATCTAACCTTACTTAAACTATCTGGCCTTTCTTTTAATTGTTCATGCTCTGACAATCTTAATTCTATGACTAAGATGTATAGCTATTAATTCAAGATTACATGGCTATCAAGAATCTTTTGCTATGTTTTGATGCTCTTTAGGGAATTTAAAGGTAACAGTACGCCTATCTTTCCATCCCTCTCAACTGAACTTTATATATAATCTCATTTGAGTTTAGTTAGATCTATTGAAAGAAATTTTGTTTTATGTTTGAACACATAATTAAGGCACACAAGCACAAAGACGACACTTCCCCTCTGTCCTGTGGCATCAACAAAACTCAGTTTATTCTGGAATGTGCAAAGTTGAAAATTATAAATAAGTGTAGTCTAATTCCATTTTTAAGGAAGGTAATATTTTGTAGTTCAATGTTTAGTGTTGCCGTGAATAAGGTGAAAAGACTGGGCAAGTTTGCTATTCATTTTCAAACTAAATTATGCCACGCCTTTCTAAACCACATTTTCAGATTCCAAAATGGTTTGCATCTTATGCTAGTAAAAGAATGAGTGACACTTAGACCAATGGAACAAGACAGAAATACCAGAAAGAAATCCATGCATTTACTCTCAATTGACTTCCAACAAATATGCCAAGAACACACAATGAGAAAGAACAGCCTCTTCAGTTAACTGTGCCGGGGAAACTGAATATTCGTATGCAGAAGAATGAAATTAGACCCTCATCTCGCACCATATACAAATATCAACTTAAAATGAATTAAAGACTTAAATGTAAAACCAGAAACTGCAGAACTACTAGGAAAAAATGTAGGGGAAGAGCTCCACGACATTGATTTAGAAAAATATTTTATTGGATATGACCCTAAAAGCATAGGCAACAAAAGCAAAAATAAACAAATAGGATTACATCAAACTAAAAAGCTTCTACACAGCCTGGGAAACAATCAACAAAATGAAGAGAAAGCCTGGGAATTGGAGAATGTATTTGAAAACTACACATCTGATAAGGGATTAATAGCCAAACTCAAAAAATCCAATGTTAAAAAAATAAATAATCCAATTAAAAGTGAGCAAAATAGACATTCCTCAAAAGAAGATGTACAAATGGCCAACAGGTATGTGAAGAAAATGTTCAACATCACCAATCATTAGGGAAATGCAAATTAAAACTACAATGAGATATCACCTCATACATGTTAGAATAGATATTATAAAAAAGACAAAAGGTAAGTGTTGGTGAAGATGTAGAGAAAAGAAAAACCTTGCAGACTGTTGATGGAATGATAAATTAGTACAGCCATTATGGAAAACAGTATGAAGTTTCTTCAAACCATTAAAAATAGAACTACCATTTGATCAAGCAATCTTACTATTGGGTATATATCCAAAGGAAATGAAATCCATATGTTGAAGAGCATCTGTACTCCCATGTTCAATAGCCGAGATATGGAATTAGCCTAATATCCATGAGTGGATGGATGAATAAAGAAAATGTGCTATATATACACAATGAAATACTATTCAGCCTTAAAAAAGAAAAAAGTCTTGTTTTTTATGACAATGTGGATGAACCTGGCAGGCATTAAGTTAAGTGAAATAAGCCATGCATAGAAAGACAAATACTGATCTCACTAATATGTGGAGTGTAAAAAAGTTGAACTCATTGAAGTAGAGAATAGAATGGTGGTTACAGGAGCTGCAGAGATTGGACAGATTTTAGTCAAGGATACAAAATTTCAGTTAGAAGGAACAAGTTCAAGAGACCTGTTATGCATCATGGCGATTACAGTTAATAACAATATATTGTATATACTTGAAAATTGCGGCCGAGTGCAGTGGCTCACACCTGTAATCCCAGCACTTTGAGAGGCTGAGGCGGGCGGATTGCCTGAGGTCAGGAGTTCAAGGCCAGCCTGGTTAACATGGTGAAACCCCATCTCTACTAAAAATACAAAAATTAGCCCAGCATGGTGGCGGATGCCTGTAATTTCAGTTACTTGGGAGGCTGAGGCAGGAGAATCGCTTAAACCTGGGAGGCGGGGGTTGTGGTGAGCTGAGATTGCACCACTGCACTCCAGCCTGGGTGACAGAATGAGAATTCATCTCAAAAAAAAAAAAAAAAAAAAAAAGAAAAAAGAAAAAGAAAAAAAGAAAAGAAAATTGCTAAGAGAATAGATTTTAATTGCTGTCATCACAAAAATAAGTATGTGAAGTTAAATAGCTTGATTTAGTCATTCCACTATGTATTTCTATATCAAAACCTCATGTTGTACACTATACGATTTTTATTCATCAATTAAAAATAAATAAGTAAATTTCCTCAATTGTCTTCAAAAAGAAAAAAAAAAAAAACAAGAGAATGTGTATTGACTCCCGGTTCCATTGACTTTGCCTTTCCACCCGGGAGAAGCTGAGCCATTGCTTTCTGTTTCCCCTGTCCCAGGGCTGCAAATCTTTCTTCATTTAAGTTTTCAAAATATGTTATAGTAACTACCTGAATGAAGACAGCTCAGGTAAAGTAAAATTAATTACCATGATATTTATAAGCTAGAGCGACTCTGCAAATTTAAAATAAAAAACAACAACAAAACTCACTGAAGTTGAAGTGATACAAAGACTTCATTTTCTTTTAAATTTTCATCTTCAGCTTAAAAAAAAAGAAGGGATCTATTGTGTACTCCTTTAACAGGATGCTTACTTCTAACACACAGAGCACACATGGCATAAAGGCCAGAAATTTCTTCAAGGAGTGAGTCACAAATGGAGACAGCTTTCACAGTAGCTTCTCTTTTGTGTACTTTGCATTTTAATAATGTCAAGCATTCTCCTATGAGGTTTGTTTCCTCCAAACTTTTCACTATTAAACTATAGGTCAGGGCTAAAGTAAACAGAGCTGTCAAACTTACATGATAAGAGATTTCCTTAAGTTGGCAGGGTTTAAACTTTCAAGACAAAGCTAGTAGCACCAAGGTAAACATGAAGGTTTTTGATTTGGATACCAATCTCTAGGAAGGCATTATGGACTTCCTCGATTATAATGTTGAAACCACCTCCACCGCACAGCTGAGAAGTTGCTAAATAGAATCAACTTATTCCTGATTATCTCAGCCAGCAATCAAGACTTTCGCCTGGGTTTGTTCTAGCCTCAGAAGACTAATGGGACAAGTCTCAACAAGGAGGAGCTATGGGCTTGGGTACGAGGGTGGAGAATTTTACAGACAGGCGCACAGAAACCATCACCAGCAGGACACTTGGGAGAGACCTGGAGGCTGTGGTGACACCCTGCTTGCTGCTTGACTCTTCAAAAAATGGTCATTGTTTGCAGGCTAGAAATGCAACATGCATCCTTTCACATCATTATTCATCACACACCTAAATCTTGCACTTTACACAACTGTCAGACATTTTAGCTCTCCCCTGGTCTAAATGTTTTGGTTTTGGAAGGGCCTTGCCATTCGAGGTACATTTAGTAAAGGTGCACTTTTATTTTCACCAAACTACTAGCTTGATATCTAAAGATGGGTTTGAAGGTGCCAATAGAATGTTTTTTGCCAGGTGACAAAGGTGGCCTATTTCTCTGACGTGGAAGCCCTGGCATTGTCACCTCATTGCAAGCTTTGAAATGAAGCTGATCATTGATAAAATGATCATTGACACTGGACTTGAAGAACAAAGACTCAAGACAGGAAAGGAGGAGGGGGTGATATCAGAGCTATTCCGACATCGGGAGAGGAAATGTTAGATCTGTAAAGCAGAATCAGTGGGTGGGAAAAAACATTTTCAATGTTACTGTCTTATTGAAGGTAGTTCTATTGCCAAGGTCCAAAGCTTAATTTCCAATAAGGAATCTGATTTGTGCTGAATAACTCACAAGGAGATGCCTTTGATTCCCATTCAAGTAAATGAAATTTAAAGACAACAAAGCAATGTCTTGTAGAAATTACTTAGATGAAATTATTCATCTTAAATGAAACACATGGCTATTTCTCTTCTTTTATTCTCCATTGTGGTTTCAATAGCTGTATAATAACATTAAGTAGGAGAGGAAAGAAAGTATGGTATTACTGTGGTCTTTCAGGGTACAAGAGAGATTATAGACAAAGATAATTTTGAAAGTTTAACAAATGATTTGTAATTTTGCCCCCTGAAATTCAGTAATGACTGATGAATACTTAATATACAACCATTTTCCAATTGTACAAAAAGTGAACATAGTTAAGGTACAGTTTAAGGATAATAAAATTAGAAAGGAATACAGTAATTTAGAGCTTTTATCACAAATAATAGTTTAGATTGAAGACAATCTAATCGACGTGTGATTCTGGGATGTTAGAATGTGCTTCTAAAATGAGATATTTCTTTTGAGAAGTAAACTCTTGATCTAGAGCTTGTGAATTTTATCTTTTCCCATGATAATAAGTGAGGGAGAGACCAAAGGGAGAAAAGCAAAGGTACGTTTCAGTTGGCAGTGTGCCAAATATACAGTGATTCACAGCGTCCTAATCAGACAGGAGTGACATCTCACTGAAAAATAAGGTTCACCCCACCCACCCTGGAAACTGTTCTTTGTTCAAGCTCAGCACACTGAAAACTACTTTCCAGACCTGTCACCATTCTCATTCTGGGTTGGCAAGGAAATTATAGAAAAATGCTGACCAAAGCAGGGGTTAAATCATTATATGACTAATCCTGGCCTTTCAGGTAGATTCAGCTATGAATGTGGTTGCTTTTTTGTTTGTTTGTTTTAATTCAAGGATTAAGCTCTTTTATTTATGGCTTTTTAATTTGTTTCACGTTTTCCTAGCAATTTATATAGCCCATATGCTTTTGATGAAAATCATAATCAACATTTCTATTTCACATCTAATTCTGTAGATTACATAGGTTAAATAACTTTATGGCTTCAGTGAACTTTAAAATTATCTCATCTAAATCCCACAATTTATGAGGGATTTGGAGGCCTTATCTACCAATCACGTAGCATTGGACAGTATTATATTGTCAGAACAAAAACCCCTTCTCCTCTACATGTACTCTGATTTTCAAGAACAGAGTTATTTCATGAGCTGTAGAAGATGAATATGCTTTGTGAATTATTGCTAATGAAATCTGCAAAAAAGATTAAACATTTGGGTTTAAAGTCACGGTTTCCTAACATGGCTGTGTATCTCAATCACCTAGGAAATTAAAAAAAAAAATTAACAAAATACAACAGTTAAAGGATCCAACACAGACTTACCTGACTCAGAATCTGTTAAGGTTGGACCCAATAATTAATATACTTAAAAAACTCAGCTGGGCGCTGTGGCTTACGCCTCTAATCCCAACATTTTGAGGGCCGAGTTGGGTGGATCATCTCAGATCAGGAGTTCGAGGGCAGCCTGGCCAACATGGTGAAACACCGTCTCTACTAAAAATACAAAAATCAGCTGGGTGTGGTGGTGGGCGTTTGTAATCCCAGCTACTCGGGAGGCTAAGGCAGGAGAATTGCTTGAACCCGGGAGGCGGGGGTTGCAGTGAGCTGAGATTGCACCATTGCACTCCAGCCTGGGCAACGAGAGCAAAACTCCATCTCAAAAAAAAAAAACAAAAACAAAACAAAACAAAACAAAACAAAATAACTCTTCAGGTATTTCTGACATAGTAAGTATGGATCAATGTTTGAGAAACACTGGGTGTTAAACAGGCACATGTTTACTTTCCACGATGGCTGGATAGAAAGTAGGCTAAAGTGTCTAGCTAAAGTATGTAGCTACACAAAGCATGCAAATATAAATTTTAGCTTGGAGAAACTTCAATAATTTTCCATTCAAGCTGTGTCTCTACAGGCTCTCTGTTGTCACTATTTTATTTATGGCATATATAAGAGAGCCTCTGAATTTCTGATATGAAAAGGCCTGCTCATTTGCTTTTTTTTTTTTTTTTTTTTTTGAGACGGAGTCTCGCTCTGTCGCCCAGGCTGGAGTGCAGTGGCGCAATCTCAGCTCACTGCAAGCTCCGCCTCCTGGGTTCACGCCATTCTCCTGCCTCAGCCTCCCGAGTAGCTGGGACTACAGGTGCCCGCCACCCCGCCTGGCTAATTTTTTGTATTTTTAGTAGAGACGGGGTTTCACCGTGGTCTCGATCTCCTGACCTCGTGATCCGCCCACCTCGGCCTCCTAAAGTGCTGGGATTACAGGCGTGAGCCACCGCGCCCAGCCTTTTCTTCCTTTTTGAGACAGGGTTTCACTCTGTCACCCAGACTGGAGTGCAGTGGCGCTATCTTGGCTCACTGCAACCTCCACCTCTCCAGCTCAAGTGATCTTCCCACCTCAGCCTCCCGAGTAGCTGGGACCACAGGAGTGTGCCACCATACGTGGCTAATTTTTGTTATTTTTTTGTAGAGATGAGGTTTCGCCATGTTGCTCAGGCCGGTCCTGAACTCCTGAGCTCAAGCAATCCACCCACTTTAGCCTCCCAAATGCTGAAAGTTTAGGTGTGAGCCACCACGCCCAGCCACTCATTTACTTTTCATGTAGGAATTTACAGCTGACTCTTTGACCAAAATAACTGTTGAAATATTTGAAAATAAGAACTTCGTGTTTTGATTAAAGCCTGAATACATGCCCAATAAGAATTAATGGAAGCTACATTTTTTAAAAGTAATAGGATGAAGATCTCTGTAGTTGCTTGGTGTCCATGAATAACATAATAAGACAGAGACCACAGCGTCTTTTCCTGGGCCATGTTATTGATCAAATGGCAACTGTTGCCTCATGGGTATAACACAAAATCACAGGCTAAGTTTGATGTATAGGGGGTACATTTCACGTAGGATTTTATGAACACCAGTATCCCAAGACTCTTTCCTTTCTCCTCCTAGTTGTGTCCCTGCTCACCACTTCATTGTGCAACATAATTAAAAGACCAAGAAAAGATATTTCTGATCATGTTACTTTTTTATATCCCTATTAGGCCAGAGCCCAAAAGCTTGGTCCCCAAGGACATTTATTAGTCATAGTGGACAACTAGAGTGTTCTCTCCTTAATGCTCTTCTGTTCTCCTGGAGGCAGCACAGACCTTCCTCTAAGAATCCATCCTCCTTTCCTTTTAACCTCATATTTTTAGAGGGAGATCTTAATCATAATAATCTCATCGAGCCACAGGGGTAAACACATGACTCAAGAATGGCTGCACAAAGTTTTCTTGAGATTAATTAAGATGGCCGTTAAAAAGAAAAAAGCTTCACTTCTCTGCTGATGAAGGCACAACTTAATCTGCTGTAGAAGATAGTGGAGGTGAATAGAGGGGCAGAAAGAGGGCCAGATAAGTCCCTGGCAGTGTTGGTGTCCCTTACCACAGCGTCCATTGAGCCTCCTGTCCCCTCTCTGCAATTCTTTGTTTCTGTAAATCAGTAAGTTTTTCTTTTTGGTTGCAGTTAGTTTAGACTGAGTTTCTGTAACTTGGAACCAAAAGTTTTAAATCAACAAAGATTCAAGATGCTGTGGTTTCACATACTGTTTATGGAAAATCCACATTATTTGCCTTTCTTACATAGTGGACTTGTTAGAAGAGGAGGGTGGCAGAAGCAATTTTATCGGGCTGTTCTCTGGATAAATAAGAAGTGAAGACAACAACAACAAATACCTTTTAGAAAATGTAGGATTAAGCCAAGAGAAGGGCAACAGGGAAGAGAGTAAATCTCAATAGTTATTACTATATTTTGCATTTGTGGTTTTGTACAAATATAGATACTTGCATACTTCAATTTCTTATAGACTAAATACTGTATTTTAAGTTCAAAATACCAATAATTCTGGAAAAAGCTTCCTAAATAATCTATTCATATATTTCTAAGTTCTAATAGTATGTTAGATAAGTTTTTCTTCAAGTTAAAAAGATTTTTATCATAATGGTTAATTACAGTATTTTAACAAGTACTTCCAGCTGATTTAAAATGAACAATCTTCTTGCCAGATTCTGTCACTTTCATTCCATGTTATCTATAGTCTTAATTTTGGTTTATATTTGATCTAACCATGTTAAACATTTTCAAACATTCAGACACCAAGAATACCGCAGGATGTCTTATGTTCTGAACAACAATTATGGTTGTTTTTAATGTATCTGTATGTTTTAGTGGTTGATCAGGCTTCATTTGCACTATTTACTGTAATTTTTAAGTATATTATGTTTTTATTAATACCAGTCAAGTTGACGTAGACTTTTGTAATTTTAGTCTCTGTAGTCAAAAGTTTGAGTCACAATCTGAGAACCTATGTATTTTAGTGTTTGCTGAATGTCATGTTTTTGGCATCATGTGACGACATGAATAATATACATTGTATGGCCACAGGTGATGCTGACTATAGTGCCAAGTTTGTATTAATGATAGGCATGGGAAAATCTATAGGAACATGTCTGCATTTCTAGTTTCTAAGTACTTATTAGGCACCCACTGTATGCTCAGCATTTGAATAAGAATTGTGGAATAGTCAAAATGAGTATAGGGCATGGTCCTTTTGAATAAACATACATAACACCATCAGAAAACACAAAAACTAAAGTATACTTTTTATTTGTTTTCATTAGAAGTCCAGAAAAGGAAAAAAATAAGCTAGGTCTGTTTTCCTGAAAAATACCAGAACTCTACAATACCAGAATGAGGGACATATCTAGGCAGAAAAAAGGCCTGGTACTAGACTAACCATCCATCCAAAATGGAAACTTCCTATAACCAGGGATTAACTCACTCATATTTGACCTGACCAATGGCAAGAAACTTAGTACCTGGTGAGGCCCCTCATGCTCTCTTAGGTAGTTTAATCAGAAGGTTCTTTTTGTGTTTAATTGAGATTAATCTGAACCAAAAGTTTTAGCCCCATCTGGTAGCTGAGCTTCCACCACCTGCAAACCATAGGATGGTCATGCAACCTGACATCTTGTCAGGAGGAGCCAAGCTTCCATCTTCTGATCTTATATCCTTCCAAAAAAGGAATTCTAGTGTCCTTGAGGCTTCCTGGAATTTCTTGAAAATCGCTGTGTCACTGATGATGCTAGGTTTAAGAAGAATCTTTAACTCTCTTACATTTCTTTGGTGCAACTCATGTTAGAATTTTCTTTCACTGTGATAAAGGGAGAGGGAAAATGAATGGAGATTTGAACTTCTTGAGAGTTTGCCACATTCCAGGCACTTTTTGAGGAGTGGGAGTTGGAGACACTCCACGCATCACTGCATCTAATCCTCATAACAACACTGCGAGGTGAATGTCATTGTCTGTATTCGTTATGAGAAACCTGAGGATAAGTGGAGCATTTCCTCTTCACTCACTGTGGTTATTTTCTTCCTTTTAAAGAAGTCTCTAAGTGTAGAACTATGCACTTCAGTTAAGGTGATCTTATATATTCTCACCCAGTCCAGAACACTTTTGAGAGTGACAGAGACCAATGTAATTTTGTTCCAACAAAAGGTGTAACCTGAGACTGGGAATACTTGGACCTGTTGTCATCATAACTAAAGGCCCCTGAGTAGTTCTAGCTAGGAGCACCGTAACTTAAGGACATGATCAAGTCACTTCATCTTTTGTTTGTAACTCTCATGGCCCCTGTCTCTATGTATAGTGTGAGAAAGTATCATCTTATAACAACTTCCACTCAAGAAATGTTCTCCTTTTCATAAGGGACACATTTCCACCCAAATTCACTTGGGTTCCTGAGAAAATTCCAAACAAAAGAGGCTTTCTGTAACTCTCTCAGGACAATAGTGGAGATGAAGTTCAGTCCTGGACAGTGTCATGCCTGCCATTCCTAAGGCTGGTTCACTTTCAGCCTCCCATTCACTCAGGAGTTGAACAAGTCAAGACTATTCTCTAGCTCTTTGCCTGGTCCTCTGGAATTACTATTTCTACATACCTCAGGAAAAGGTGAAATTAGTGTTTGCAGAATCCCTTTGAGATCTCTGATGAAAGATGATTTGATGGCATAAATTATTATTGTACAGAACAGACTGTGGGATTGTGTCCTTGGGGTCCTAAACAATGCTCTCAACACCATAGGAGGATATGGGCTTGAAACATCCACTTCCTGGTATCTTCTAATGACTTTCATTATTGTGGATCAGCAAATGTTTTGTCAGTCCATAGTGAGAACCACTCTGTGTGATGATTACTTAACAAGGCACTAAAACTTGTTCTACATGCACAGATAGACTGAATCATATTCTGAATTGGGATAAGCAGTAATAATACAGGTAGAAGCTTGTTCAATTATATGCCTTCTGAGAGCCAACTACCAAACAGAAGAAGACTCTAAATTTGTCAGCAAATTTATCCAAAATGATTCCAGATTTGATAATGCCAAATGAATAGAATCTTGTCTAGTTTTACTTTATCACCTTAAAACTTGCAAAGCTTAAAAGGAATTCTAGTTATCTTTTTATGTTAAACTAAAGAACAGGGAAGTTGAAATTTACTTTACAAAATAAATAACATTTTATACAATAAAAAGGTATAAAATTATAAAATTCATTGTGAAAAAATACTTTTACTATTCAATTTGTCTCTCTTCCTTAATTCCCATCAACTTACAGAATTAGGGCATCATTTTTTCTGGCTCCATTATATTTTGAATGATCTGAAGGTTCCTGTTGCTGTGATAAGCAGTAACGTTCTAACATATCACTTAACCTAACAACTGATATTATGCAATGAACATTTTCATCATGTGGCATTAAAATGTATTTTAACCCATAATGCCTACTTCAAAAACAAAATACTTGATTATAAGGGTGAATAGTGACATGCTTACAAGAATATTTCTTATATAAATAAAGAAAGATACTTTAGCGCACCTAGAAATACAAGCAAAATATATTACGAGAGTGGCTTAATGGATTTTTTATTTTGTAAAGTTCTCTGCATATAGATTTATTAGCGTTGAGTTCGTTATACCAATCTGTTTGAGGTATAACTTTGGTTTTCCTTAGCAGGAAAAGAGACTGATTTTTGTTTTCCAACCTACTTGTTTGTCACATCAAAGGAAAAATGGAGCTCTAAGGTAAACAAGCTCATTATTTATGTTTGTGTTTTGGTACCCAGGCCTTTAGAATCTAGGTAAAGAGAAGCACTTTGCAATTATTTCATGACTATAAACCACTATCAGAAGATTCACTTGCAGAAAAGTTGTAAAGATTCGCTTGGCAGAAAAGTTTGCAAACTTTAGTGAGCATAAATGTTACCTGTGGTGTTTGCTAAACATGCAGTTTCCTTCATCTCTCCCCTTCCCCCATATCCCAGGACAGATTCTTCTGGTCTGGAATGAGATCAGGAATTTCAGGTTTATCAAGCACCTCATGTTTCCCAATGCTTGTAACCACTTGCTGTTCTGAGAAACGCTTGTCCAAATTATCAGGGAGTAGAAAAAGGAAAATGTAAGACAAATGTAGTAAAGGCAGAAATAGAATGTTTATTGTAACCTGTCAAGGGTGGTAGAAATATATGGGTAGAACCAAAACATTAAACTCTTTATTTTCTTGCCATTTCACTTCTTTTCTTATCAGCTCCTCCCCCGGACTCACTCTCCACCCAATATGCCCTTCAGGTTAGACCCTATTTATTCTCATCCTTCTAGAGGATAACTATATCACTTTACAGTAAGTCCCTCTGCCAGGGGTATTTTAACTTTAAGAGTGCTCTAGAAATATGTTCTCCATCAACTGCTCCTCTTTTTGATAGAGAGGAAGTTTAGTTCAGTGATTAAAGACAGACTACCCGGATTCAAATTCTGCCTCTATCACGTATTAGCTACACACCTTTAGACAGTCACTTTATGCCTTAGGTTTGTTATCTTTAAAAAAGAATAATAATAGCATCTATGTCATAGGATTGTTGTGAGAAGCAAATAATTAACATACGTGAAACACTTAGAACAGTACGAAGAACACGTTAAAGTTGTATAAATGTTACTTATTATTTGTTGTGTTTAAGCCAATGGACCAGTTATGTGTACCTACCTAAAAACTTGGTGTGACACTTGAGTACGTTTTTTTGTCATGGATTTAGGGCAATAAAGAATATTATTTTCACTAAGCTTCAGGAACCATTGGCTTTTCTACCCAAACATAAATAAAAAGACACATAGGCATAGTAATCAACTGAAAGAAGGCATGAGAGAACTGTGAAAAGAAGAAGTTGGATTTTTGTAAAAAAAAAAAAAAAAGCTGAATCTCTTTTAGACATGTGTAAAATGTCTAAAACATAAAATTTATGATTTATATTATAAAATCATATAAAAATATGATTTCAGAAGATATTCATTTAACACAATTTAGCAGCTACTCCTAATAAAATTATTGTTATTTTTTACATCTAGGAAGAGAGTACATTATCTTAACACTGACAAAGTTTTCCCAGCCTGACAGACAACCTCATCCTTGTATGATTTTCTGATCAGGGACCCTACAGTTGATTGACAGCCGTAGTGAGGTTTTCTTTGCATTCAGCACCAGAGATTTGCATTAGTAGGGAAATGCCATTTTCTAGGAAAATACCTTGCTAAGCCTGTGACATCAGGTAAAGACTTAAGAAGCAAGGCCTGTAGGGAGATAAGAAAGCAAACCACTAACCACTCTATATTAGAAATACCCACGGAATTTAGAGGAGAATAGACAAAAGGGCAGAGCCTAAATAGAAAAGAACAAAAAAAGAGAAAAAAATTCAAAATTTAGTGCATGGGCCAGAGCCTGAGAACAACAAAAGTCACTAGGAAATCCCTGGCATGTGGTTGGGCAAATTCTGAGGTTTTAAGAAGTATTTTTAATATTATAAGGCTTTGTTTTGCTGTTTTTGCTTTCTAGTTCCTACCATCCACTCTCACCTCTTTAAAAGTCCAGTGAGGCCTGATAGGCCTATATATTTCTGTAAGGTGGTATTTTGATCAGTAAATTGTTAGGACTGTAAAAGACTGCACACCGACACACAGGGAAAGAAAGGCCCAGGAATTCCAGGTGGTGAGTTTCAGGAAACCCTGTGACAGGCAGGTTCTGGCAAAACTATCAACCTCATGGAAAGCCAGCTACAGGTTGTAATAATTTTGGAATGGATGGGACCACTTTCTCTTATTCCAGTTTGGTAAATAATATATATTGGGAATATGCTACATGTCACACACTAACTGTGTACGGTCTTTTGCATAATTATTTACCTATTATTATTTAAGCCTCACAAGAATCTATTAGGTAGGGACTATTATTATGTCCTTATATAGACAAGAAAACCGAGGCCCAGTCTTCTTGATTTACTTGCCTAAATTTACACAGTTAAGTAGAACCATGATGGCAGAACCAGGATGCGAAGAAAGACCACCAGATCTAGAGCACAGTGTAGCACTCTTAACCACTCTCAGGCCTTGGTTGACCTCAGAGACGGGAGGAGGATGACAGCTTGTGTGATGCATGACAGCAGTAAAGTCAAGAGTTCAGGGGATGGCTTGAGAGTTGTAACCTAAATGATAGAGGTACAATAGGAGTCCTGAGCTGGGCACATAGAGCCAGTGATGATGGTAAATGGCAGAGACATCAGTCCCTGGCAATGCCAGAGACAGAACCTTTGCTCATTTCTGGGATTTTGCTGCTTACTGGGGCAATGATGTGTGTGAAGACCAGTTCCAGGTACAGCATGCCAGAGTAGAGCAGAAAGTACTTACAGGTGAAACATGAATGTTCCGGGGAAAATCAGAAAGGAAAGAAAAACGCTTAATCTCACTGTTACTTAACATTATTCTGACAAGTGAAGTAAGAGCTAAGACAGAAAAAGAGATAGACAATATAAAAGGATTGGAAAAGGAGTAGAGAAAAATTGTTGTCTGCACACAACTTTTTAATCAACACACTACAGGGCATGAAATTCATAGACAATTAGACAATTAATAGACAATTAGAGGGCTGTTTATCAGTGTTTCCCAGAAACCTTTGTGAAAAAGCTTTATAATTTATTTCATAGAAATATTTATATAAAATATTTTTGTTTGTATTTACCACTGCTATTACCACCACCACCACCCTTCATGACTACAGTTCCAATTACAGGATGCAAGTTTAGTCATTCCTAATAAATCATTTTGCCTTCTTTATAAGGTTTTGCATATAACCCTTAAGATATTGTTAAGCATAAGTACAAGGTCTGGATGGATCAAAATGTTGATACTTAGAAACTAAGCAGCGCTAGCTAATATTTCGGTCTCCAAGTGGACCTTTGCCCCAAGCAAGTGTGCTAGGTTTTAGTGGAGGAAGAATAATTTAAAATATTGTTAAAATAGATGAAAAGGAAGAGAAATACATATAAATCAACATATTTTAAAATACAAACATTACCAGATTAAAACACCACCAAGACCCCTGCCCACACACACACAGAGAACACTGTATCCAGGAAGTGCCTCTGTGGGAAATAGAAAGAGAAGCACTTTCATCTGTAGACACAGCTTCATGTTAGGACACACAGCTCGGTGTGAGAGGACCATAGCCGGATTTCATCTCTTACTCACCACTCCCCATGTACCTTCCTTATTCAGGGCACAATCCAAATAAATAAATGTAGTAAACTTGCTGAAAGAGATCTTATTGGCAACAACAACAATAATATACAATAAAATTAGGAATAACCCAAATAAAATACTTGCAGAATCTATAGGAAGAAAATTGCAAACATTTTCTGATAAATACAAAGTAATAAATTGAATGTCACAGCTTGTGCCTGAATTGGATAATTAAATATTTTAAGCCCACCAACTATTCATGCAAATATTAACAGACTTAGAAACTACCAAGTAAACTACTGTGTTCTGCAGCAGAGGATGGAGGGATTCAAAGTGTGCTTCTTAGATCAGAAAACTCATTTATTGGCCCTTTACTGACTACAACACAACCCTACAGAATTAAATGTCCTCTTTGACTCTTTAAGGTTGTATAAGCAATACTGCTTTCCAGATGGAGAAAGCTTATAGACAATAGGGAAAGGGGGAAGAAAGGTGAAAGGCTGACTGTTTATCACTGTTTAGCTGATGTGATGGAACTAGTATTAGCAGATGGGTTTAAATGTCATTGTTTTCACCACTGCTATTACCACCACCACCCCTCTTCATCTCTGATTTCCCAAATCTTCTAATCTCGTTTCTTTCAGGACCCTGACCAACCAGCCTAGCCATTCATCACTATCCAGGAGTTCATAAATATCTGTGATTCGGCCCACTTCTTTCACCATACAAAGTGGCAAACCAGTTTACTGCTCTTGGCTTTACCCATTGGGAGAATTTCCCTTTTCCACTATATCAAGGGCTGCCCTTAAGTGGGGCAATAATATGGCAGCAGTCCACTTACAGCTACCTCAACATGGTGAACCAACTCATTAATGAGCCGTGGGAAGGTGTTTTTCCCCCTACTTGTTGATCAGTTGATCAGAATTAATCCCTATGAGGTTATATATGTTAGTTAAAGAAGAGACGTGAATACAGAAGAAATAAGTGTCATGGGTGTCTGGGTTATCTGACCAGATAACCTTGTGGAACTTCTTGGGCTTAATCCCATATGTATAGTTTCTATCATCTAATACATTTTTCTTATTCCACTTGGCCCTTTGTCCTGGTGGATTTTATGAGGCCAAATCATGATGGAAGGTCTGAGTTACATTACAGGGTCTTTCCTCAAGGAGACCCAATTTACCCTTCAATTGATGGCCTCTGGGTCTGTAAGCTCCCTGACATCTGGGAACTGGATGAAGAACTGTGGTGACTATACGCCCTCTGCTCACCACTTCTTGATAAAGTCATACTCTGATGGGTGATCATCCATCTCAACCCTCAGAACACCATAATTTGTTAACCATCACCACAGATACAGATAGGTCCAGACACCTTAATGACTACTGTAGCCTTGATACTCATTATAACGACTATGCCAAACATGTATGGCCTTTGCCATTCTAGAATCTCATTATCCCCATTGTCAGTAGAGAGAGTGGCACTGTCCACTCCAGCCTATAGATGACAACCACTCAGTCTCCTCAAAGATGCAGTGTCCCTGCACCAGGGCACTCTTCATTTCCTTAGTTTAAATAGTGCTCTCTAGGCCCTCTCAAGGAACATAATCAGATCATGGGTTCTACCATGTCACATAATAAATCATTTAAATATTCCCACTTCCCAAACCTTCTTGGAACATCTCAGATCCCCCAACATCTCCAATTCACTTACTGTAGACAATTTCCATGTCTAAATTTTGAGAAACACTCTCATCAGTGTATTAGGACTGGCTCCAAGTGTTCTTGCTGAGACATTCAATTTTGAGTTACACTAGAGTGAGCTCATAAAAAGAAATTCTCCCTTACCCAGTTTTATATTCTAAGCTCGCTAGTCCAACGCCAATGCCCACATGTGATCCAATAATTCCTGCCAGTACAAATGGACTAACACTTGTAATCTCTTTGTGTTTAAGCTAGTTCTTTCCAGTACAGGGATTGCATTTCTCCATAAGTCTGGCTTGAGACCTGTGTTGGTTAATCTGATGTGTTAACTTGGCTAGGCTATGGTGTCAGCTGTGGTGACAGGTCAAACACCAGTCTAGATGTTACTCTAAAGGTATTTTTTAGATGGTATTAGTCAGTAAACTTTGAGTAAAGAAATTACTCACCATAATGTGAGTGGGCCTCATCCGATGAGTTCAAGGCCTTAAGGACAAAGACTGCACTTCCCTTAGTAAATAGAAGGAATTCTCATATAAATTCTGCCTGAGTTTCTGGCATGCTGCCCTGGGGAATTCAGATTCAACAGTACAACAACAACTACAAGGCTATAACATCAACTCTTATTGAATTTTCAGCCTCACCAGTTCGCACAAATGAAGGAGCCAATTCCTTGGTCTCTCTCTCTCTCTCTCTTTCAGCTGCTTATTTCCAGAAAGAAGCATTTCATCATAAAAGTCTGTTTTCCAGGGTATTTCCCATTTTCTTAGTCTAGGTTCTCCCGCAAGCAGAGCTTGAGACAAGGTAGAGCCTTGCATGTAGGTTTATTTGGGAAGCGGTCCCAGAAAGCAGGAGGAAAGGGCAGAGGAGAGAAACATGTGAGAAGGAAAAGACAACACACAGCTGTGTTGCTGAGTTGGTCACCACTACAGTGACTGATGCTTAACTCCATGTGAACTTCTGAGGAGTCTTGGGAAATGTCTCCCAGATCTCTCTGGCCAGAAGATAAAAAGAAGAATCATATATCCATATTCAAAATTGTGCTCTGTGTTGCACGTATATGGGCTCCAAATGGACTTACTGCTCACATGATGAACCTTGACACTTGTTACCGAAAACTATTTGAAGCGTAATATATAGTAAACTCAAATGTTCTGTTCTCTGACCATGGCTAATCTTGTGTAATTCAGTCATCTCGCTCTTTTACTTTAATTGCTTTCTAACTCTTAATCTTTTATTCCTACGTTTTATCCCATTCAGTTTATCCTATCCTATCCTGGCTGGCATCAAGCAGGTTCAAATCCTATCTTACCCCTTCCTGACTCTCTGACCTTGGGGAAGTTTAACTCTCTAGGTCTGTTTTCTTGTCTATAAAATGGGATAATAACAGCACCAACTTTATGGGGTTGTTATGAGCATGATTTGAGATAATGTATGTAAAACATTTAACAGTGGATCTGATGCATAGAAACAAGTCAATAAATGATTGCTATTACAATTACAATAGTGATTATAATAATGATGATGGTATTTGTCAGATCTAGTGCTACAGTCCGTAACATCATCTACTCTCTTACCTTTTGACCCTTGGGTTTGTATTGAACCTGACTAGTAAACTTCAAAACAGAATTTATTATCTCTTCCCTTCAGTTGGACTGAAATTGGACATAATTACCTTAAAAGAGAAGATTAGCTAAAGTAACTCTGCTGTTTTCCAAACTATGTTTATTGCAAAGACATCGTTTGCTGCTGGCCTCTGGTCTTATCTTCCTTCTTTGATTTGCTGTTCTTGCTTATTCTGAGCAAAAATTGAAATCAAGAACTGGACTATCTCAAAGCCACTCTCCTTTTATTGCTTACCTACACCTACTTTGGCATCTCCATTCATCCTCGGCTTCTTTCCTGTATCTCAGAACATACTTTGTACTGTTTTCCTAGTCTAGGAATTTAGCATGTGTTCTGGAGGCCCCTTTAGTATCTGCCCCCACCCTCGGCCTCTCTTCACCTTGCTTCATCAGATCAACATACCTATTGTTACCTAGATGAGCTAGTCAACATGACCCTGATTTAGAAGAACTCTGAAACCTGGCCACCAGGGTGTGAATCTTTGCTTTGCTACTTTTTAGCAGTGTGACAATTTGGCAAGATTAGCTCCTCCATCTCTCAGCATAACCTCTATTCAAATGGAAAATAATTCTTACCCACATAGAGTATATGTGGTATCACATATCTTCTCTCAGCATAACCTCTATTCAAATGGAAAATAATAATTCTTACCCACATAGAGTATATGTGGTATCACATATATTCTTATCACATAGAGTGTATGTGATAATTAAATAAATTAATATCTCTAAAGTGTTTAGAATAGGGCCTAGAATATAATCATGATTCTGTAAGAAATTGCTGCTATTATTATTCTTAATGTAGAAAACATATCCATGAAGCTGCATAGTGGGAAGCTGAGCAAAAGCGAGAGCTCCACAACTACCATTTGTCCCCAAAATCACATTACTGGGTATATATCCAAAGGAAAAAAAAAATTCTACCAAAAAGACATATGTACTCACATGTTCACTGCAGCACTATTCATAATAGCAAATATATGGAATTAACCTAGGTGCCCATCAAAAGTGGATTAGATAAAGCAAATATGGTACATATACACCATGGAATACTATACAGCCATAAAAAAGAGTGGAATCGTGTTCTTTGGAGCAACAAGGATGCAGCTGGAAGCCATTATCCTAAGTGAATGAATGCAGGAACAGAAAACCAAATACACCAAATACCACATGTTCCCACATATAAGTGGGAGCTAAACTTTGGGTAGTCATGGACATAAAGATGGCAACAACAGAAACCGAGAACTAGTAGAGGGGTAGGAAGGAAGAGGGGCAAGGGTTGAAAAACTAACCATTGGGTGCTATACTCAGTATCTGGGAGATGGGAATATTTGTACCTCAAACCTCAGCATCATGCAATATACCCAGGTAACAAACCTGCACATGTACCTCTTGAATCTAAAAGAAAAGTTAAAATATATAAATAAATAAAACTAAAAACTACAGCCAACATTAGAAAAATTTAAAAAGTCTTTTCTTTTTGTACATGGTCACCATTAATTTGCATCACTGTGTTAAACTGTTTGATTTCTGTTAGATTTGATACTTGATGTATTAGTTCATTTGCATTGCTATAAAGGAATGCCTGAGTCTGGGTAATTTATAAAGGAAAGAGGTTCATTTAGGCTCACAGCTCTGCAGGCTGTATGAAAAGCATGGTACCAACATCCGCAGGTACCAGGAAGCTCCTAATCAAGGCAGAAGGCAAAAGCAGGGAGCTAGTGTACCTCATAGTGAAAGAGGAATTAAGAGAGAGGGAGCAAGAGGGGAAGATAGCGGGAGGGGGTTACACTCTTTTAAACAACTAGATGTCACGTGAACTCATAGAATGAGAACTCACTTATTACCACGAGGACACCAAGGCATTCATGGGGAATCCACACTCCCATGACCCAAACACCTTGCACTAGGTCCACCTCCAACATTGGAAATCACATTTCAACATGAGATTTAGAGGGGACAAAACATCCAAACCATATCACTTGAACAGGGGAAACAAAGGCTGAGGGTCAGGTGAGATGATATTCAAGGCTGTACCAGGCCTGGGTTTCGAGGACCTACAAGAGGTGATGCCGAGCATCTGTAGTGGTGTGGCCAATGGTTGCATCCTAGATAGAGGGACCCTGTGACAGACTCTTCACTGTGCTTTCTTATTACGATGTCTCCCTGGCTCCTCTCAGTGTTCTGTGCTTGGTTCATCAGCTTTCTGTTGATTCTGTGATGTACCTAGGATTATTTCAGTAAGTTTCTTTTCTGTCATATGAGCTGATGTCCATTCCTCTTGTCTGATCCAGGAATCCTAATGACTATAGTGGCCACTACTGCTTCTTGAAGCTCGTTCTCCCTTTGGGAGACATTATTCCTTTACTCCTACCCAAATGCTTCTCAGATTCATATGTCTCTGCTCTCTCCGTCAAACTCTTTAACCTCTATATTCTTTTTCTGTTCCCTTGTGGTACTTTTCTCTCATTCTAAACAGTCTCTGTGATTGAGTTCATCTGTGTAACTGTCTTCAACCACTTCAACTTTAATGTAAGTGGTTCCCACATCTATATTTCTATGTAAGCCTTCAGTCCTAAATTCCAGATGCAGTTTTGACTTCTTATGTATTATGTGACTTGGGTGAACTGACCATGTCATCTTCCATAACTGAACGCACTCATGTCACTGTACTGTCTCCGGAAGTAATAGTTAAGCCAAAATTATGCAAGAGTCATCCTTGACTCTTCCTTTCCTCCTGTTCCCTTCTCCTGTTGATACTGCTTTATTTATGATGCCTCTTCTTTAGGCTGAACAACTGCAAGACCTACTAAACTTCTAAACTGAACTACTGCAAGGCCTTCTAAACTTTTAAACATGCAAATCTGATATTGATTCCTTGCTTAGCAGTTTTGGATGGTTCTATATTTCCTTCATATCACACAAAGTAATTTTTGTCAAATTATTTCAGTTCAAAACCAGTTAACCAAAGGATCTTTTTGAAGTCTTACTATGAATAATGAAGTGCTAGAATTGTGAACATATATATATATACACACATGATTTCTTACTCTTAGAGAGCTCAAAGTCTTCTGGGAAAGAAAATCACAATGCATCAGACATGGCTTATGTTCTTAAGAGATTTCAGGTCTCTCAACCTTGCCTTCTCCCACCTCTCTCCCAGATCTTCATGGTTCCTGACAGACTTCACAGAGGTATCAAGAGTGCATCTTGCCTCCTGCTCACACAGAGGGCCTTTTGCCATTTTCTTTTCATACACCAGTAACCACACAGGATTGAAGTGACAATAGGTTCTCATTAAATGATTATTCATAAAATGCAATTTTGATATTACAGTATTTTAAATATTCCAGCATCAATTATAAAGAGAACCTAAATAAGAACATCATATTGTGCATTGGAGAATAATTGGAGATTTATAGCTTATACTATTTATTTCATCTTTAATAGACTTCTAGCTTATAAGAGTAAGAAGCATATTTTAAAAGAAAATTCTCCCAACAAACCCAGAGGCTACTTTATTGAATTGATTATGTAACATAAATAAGCATCCCAAGAATATTGTTTAACTCTATTGATGATTTTACTAGCTCATCAAGTTAAAGCTAGAGTTTACATTTAATAGCCTCAATAAAATGAAAGGAAGGCAAATGATTTTTAATAAAATATTCTCTCTCCCACAAAGGAAGAGGCAAAAATGAAACAAACCCTTCTAAACTTACATCAGGAAGGCATTTGTTGTGAAGTGTACTTACTTTTTAAGGATCATCTATGAATATTTGCTGAAGACATCAACATTTCTGGACTATTTGGCTTGTGTACTAACAATTCAAAAACTGCAAGACAATAGTATCTATATTTGTAAGCTTTATCTTTGATTTTTGAAATTTTTTATTGTGAGATAAATTTAGACTTACAGAAGAATTGTGCAGAGTAGAGTTCCCATACACCTTGCATCCAACTTCCCCTAACATTAATAACTGTATAACTATAGACCTATAATATATTTAAGAAATTTATCTTGGTATGATAATATTAACTAAACTATAGAATTGGTGGGGGGGTATTCACCAATTTTTCCACCAATTTTCTTCTTCCAGTTTCCAATCCAAGACACTCTGTTGCATTTAATTTTCCTGTCTACTTGTCTCCTCCACACCACAGCAGTTTCTTAGTCTTTCTTTTTCATGGATTTGACATTTTGAAGACTACTGGTTGTTAGGTTCACTATTTGGGTGATGGGTTTAATAGAAGCCTAAATCCCAGCATTACACAATATATCTATGTAAAAAAACCTGCACATGTAATCCCTCTAACTAAAAATTTAAAAAGAAAGAGTGCTGCGCAATTATTTTGTAGAATGCTTCTCAATTTGGGTTTGTCTGATGTTTTTTATGATTAGATTTAGCTTCTGCCTTTGGGGAAGATATCACAGCAGTGATATTTCCTTCTCAGTATACCACATCGAAGGGTACAAGATGTTGGTGTGCATTATTGATCATGTGATTCTTATTGGTCACCTTGATTATGTGATTAAGGTGGTCTCTGAAAGAATTCTCCACTATAAGGCCATGTTTCTTCCTCTTATAATTATTAATAATATTTTGGAGGAGATGCTTTGAGGCAATTCAAATATATTATTTATGCTTAAGCTATTGTTCACACATTTTATCATCCATCGGTGGGTCTTGTCTGGGGCAATTACTATTTTGGCATTCTAAAGGTTATTGCCTATTTTCCTAATTCCTTTTACATTTATTTAATTGAAGTCCACCTGTAAAGAGGAATTTCCTACTTACTCTCATGTATTTATCTGGTTGTTTATATAAGCATGGGTCTTTAATGCTTATTTTGTTCTTTATGTTATAGTCCAAGAACATGTAATTATTTTGCTGCTCAAATTCTAGCTGTGGCCATTAGGAGCTCTTTCCAGTTGATTCATGTGACCTTTGGTATGCTGCTATTTCTTTTCTTTTTCCCTGTTCTTCCTTTCCTTTCATTTTCAAAGTGTCAAAACCATGAAAAAGAAAGACTAAGAAACTGCTATGGTGTGGAGGAGACAAGTGACAGGACAAGAATAAGGAAAATAAATAGCAGAATAAGGATAAGGAAAAGAAATAAGGAAATAAGCATTTCCTTATTTTTGATATGATGACATGATTTAGGCTTATCATGTATTTTTTCCTGTACCAGACATACAATAAATCATTTCCCAAGGATTTTTGGAATCTTTTATGAAGAATTTTATTTAGAAAAGAAGACCTGGGTTCTAGATATGGTCATTACTACCGGGGCATCAGAGGTTACAGAAAGAATAAAACAAAACAAAAAGAGAGACAAACAAAAGTGACAAAGGAAATTCCCAAGATAAGGTTAAAGAGAAGTCTCAGGATATCAGCTGTGCTGAAGGTCTAGAGCTCCACAAGTCCAGCTTGGTGAGGAGGAAGGAGATACTCAGAAAGAATGCCTGCCGTGGGAAGATGAGGCAGGTGGATCACTTGAGGTCAGGAGTTCGAGACCAGCCTGGCCAACATGGTGACACCCTGTCTCTACAAAACATACACACACACACACACAAAAATTAGCTGGGTGTGGTGGCGGGCACCTGTAATCCTAGCTACTCGAGAGGCTGCGGCAGGAGAATTGCTTTAACTCGGGAGGTAGAGGCTGCAGAGAGCCGAGATTGCACCATTGTACTCCAGCCTGGGTGACAAGAGTGAAACTCCATCTCAGTAAATAAATAAATAAATAAATAAATAAGTGTCTGCAATATATAAATGGAATTGAGCAATTACTTGATACATCTGACCTCGCTGATAGCCATGATAATGGAGAAAGCAAATGTTGATTTGATCAAAAATTTGTGAAGAAAGTTGGGTGAGAGATAACTATTGATTGGGGTGGGGGAGGAGTTGTAAGAGACCTAGATATTTTCTATAGTCCAAAGTCAATAAGTAATTGTTCAAATTTAGAAAATAACAACTTATTTACAACACATTATTTAGTAATATGGTGGCAAATAGCAGAAGAAATAGTTAAAGGAGTTGAATGTAGTTGTTTCTAAGGTAAAAGAGAATTGGGATTTGGGAGCAGAGACAATACACTGATATATTTTTGTAAATCAGTGTATTTGATATTTACACACTACTTTTACATAGGTAAAAAGTAAATTTAAAAAGGGATAAAGAACACAGCTGCAAAAGTTACAATAGATAAAGTTCGATGAAGCTGCCTCTCTTCCAAGCAAAATAAATACAAAATAAATACATGTAGAGATATACTGGCAAAATTTTTCTACTCCAGGATGAAAAAAATCTTAAAAGAGTTCAGGAAAAAAATAAATAATAAAACAAACTAAAACAAAATGATTTTGAGGAAAAAAATCAATAAGAGCTATGTTCCAAGCCTATTATACCCTAAAAATTGTCTACCTTGTATGAAGTCAATAGAAATTCAATTTCAAATATTTTCAAGTTTACAAAATATTATCCATGTACCTACTTTGAAACAAAAAAAGTATTTTTGTATTTAACAGAATTGACAGCCAAATTTCACAGATTACGTAACTGATTTGCAGAGAAGACAGATAAGTTTTTTTTTTAGAAGTGGGGTCTTGCCCTGTCACCCAGGCTGGAGTGCAGTGGTGTATTCCCAGCTCGCTGCAGCTTCCAACTCCTGGGTTCAAACGATCCTCCTGCCTCTGCCTCCCAAGTGGTTGGGACTACAGGTGCACACCAGGGTCTCACTTTGTTGCCCAGGCTAGTCTCAAATTCCCAGGCTTCAGCTATGCCTCAGCCTCCCAAAGTACTGGGATTGTAGGGCTGAGCCACTCTGCTGGGCCTGAGAAATTTTTAAAATATACTCAAAGTACATAATGGTAAGAGGAAGTGTATTAGCCCGTTTTCACGTTGCTGATAAAGACATACCTGAGACTGGGAAGAAAAAGAGGTTTAATGGACTTACAGTTCCACAGGGCTGGGGAGGCCTCACAATCATGGTGGAGGCAAGGAGGAGCAAGTCAAGTCTTACATGGATGGCGGAAGGCAAAGAGAGAGCTTGTGCAGGGAAACTCCCGTTTTTTTAAAACCATCAGATCTTGTGAGATTCATTCACTATCACGAGAAGAGTGCAGAAAAGACCTGCCCCCATAATTCAATCGTCTCCCACCAGGTTCCTTCCACAACATGTGAGAATTGTGGGAGTTACAATTCAAGATGTGATTTGGGTGGGGACACAGCCAAACCATATCAGGCAGACTCAGCATTTAAACTCAGGTGTGTTTGACTTTAGTCATTATGCCAGGTGGGAGCATTATTCCAGGAGCTTGGCAATGTCCCCTTTTCCTCCTTTTTCCTCTCTTGATGTTTATTTCTCTTTGTTCTGAAAAAAAATTCTGTAACTATTCTTGGGCAAGAATTTCCAAACTCAGAATACAAAAGTTTATTAATCTTTCCTAAAAAGAAAAGAAGAGAAATAATCTGTTATTATTATTATTATTATTATTATCTTGCAGTGAAACCACAACATCAACAAAAGAAACAAAATCTGTCTGCTGAGTGCTGCTGGATGGAGATACAATGTGTTAAAATGGATATGGCACTGCCCTAATGAAGGGTCCATTCCAATGGGGAAGACAGACAAAGAGACAAAAACCAAAAATAAAGTATTAGCTTCTAATAACTTTTAAGAAGAAAAAAAAGGGACTGGCAGAAAAAATGATGGGAACCATGGGGACTACTTTAAATTGGGTGGCCAGGAGAACCTCTTTGAAGAGACAAGGTTGAGGCTGATTCATGGTAGATGAGAATGAGCTCATCACATGCTAGCTGGGGGAGAGCATTCCAGACAGAGAGACTCAAAGTGGCCCAGTCATTCTTTGGTAGGCAAGAATGACTATCAAAATGTCTAGTCTGGTCTGGACAAATACCTCGCAATAACTAATCCTATTATTTTTTATTTTTAAATATTTATTTGGTTTCTTGTGTGTGGGAGGCATAATTCCAGTCACTAGGAAATACACTCTTCGAACACAAAGAGCTTATGGTCTAGGAAAGAAAACTTGCAAGTCAACTGGAGATAACCAATCAGAGTAGAGAGACTTTATGTAAGAAGAGCACCTAATCCCAATTTGGGTGGGAGTGACAGAATCAGGAAAGGTTTACTTAAACAGACAGTGCCTAAGTAGATGTAACCCACACAGCAAGAAAATACAGGGGCTTATTATTGTCTTCTTGAGTTGGATAGGAAGAGTTGAGTAGATGACTTCAACAGTGATATGGGTTGAATCGCATGCCCCGCCAAGTTTGTATGTTGAAGCCCTAACCCTTAAGATCTCAAAATATGACCTCTTTTGGAAACAAGGTCATTGTAGAAGTAATTAGTTAAGATGGAGTCTTTAAGGGTGAGCCCCAATCTCACAGGACTAATGTCCTTATATAAAGGGGAAATTTGGACACAGAGATAGAGACACACAGAGTGAAGAAGATATGATGAGACATAGTGAGAAGACGGCCATCTACAAGTCAAAGAGAGGTGTCTGGAACAGATCATTCCCTCATAGCCCTTAGAAGGGCTTTGAAGGGCTTTGACTTGTAGATGAAGCCTATCAACACCCTGATTTTAGATTTCTGGTCTCCAGATTTGTGAGACAATAAATTTTTGTTGTTTAAGTGACCCAGTTTGTGGTATTTTATATGGGAGACCTAGCAAAAGGATACAAACATAGACTCGGAAATACCTATAATATGTATTAAATGAATGAAAATACACAATTTGCCTATAACTTTGCAATGCATCCTAAAAACAAACAAAAAAACTCAAACAAAATGGATACACTTTCTTTCTTGGGGCCTGTAAATTAGAATATACCACAGAGTGTGTGAAAGCAAAATAAATCTTTCTAATTCAGTGAGTGCAAAGTAAAGCATTTCACCTGTCTGTTCAAAAAAAGAAAAAAAAATACAGATAAATATGCTAACTTTGTAAATTGTACCTGACAGTTACATTAATTCTATATTTTTTGAATAAATAATAATGGTATTTACACTTAATCTAAACTGAAAACAAAATATAACATTTAAAACATAATATTTTTCAGACAATCATAATCCTAGTCATCTTTTATTTATCTATCACTTTTAATTTATTCAAATGTAAGAAATACATTTTCTCTACAAAGACTGGATAATGAAAATAAGGAAGTTGTTAAAGAGAATATTTGGAATATTCTCAACACAAGGAAATAATAAATGTTTGAGGTAATGGATACTCTGATTTGGTCATTAAACCTTGTATGCAGGTATCAAAATATCACATATACTTCATAAACATATACAATTATGTATCAATAAAAAGTTTTAAAGGAAAGTCTTAAATAACAAATATATATTTATACACATAGAATAAGCTCAAGTTTAATTGTTAGGGGAATGGGCGAAATGCCTTTGGAGATTTTAAATACTCAGAATATGCTTGGGACTTCTTCCACTTTGTTTCTTCCGTTCGTTTTACTTCTCTACCTATTCCAAAATAAATACATGAAATGACAAGCAGAAGGAATAGATACACCCATTTGTAGTCACGAAAACATCTAGAAATGTCTCTAATTCTCTACTTTTTCTTCTAAATTTCTATAGTGATTAACAAATTGAAGATGCACTCATTATGATTTTATTGGTTCTTGTTTTGGAGTGGTATTCTTTTAGCACATTTTTTATCTAAACCGGTAGATCTCATTCTTGGTAGCACATTAAAATCACCTGTAATCATTTTTTAAACACATGTGCCTGAGCTCCAATCCCAAAGCTTCTGACTTAATTGGTCTAGGGTGGGGCCCAGACATGAATATTTAAAAAAAAAATCTACAACCAATTAAAATGTGCAGCCAAGATTGAGAACCCCTGACCTAGGCAGCATTCTGATAATTAGCCAAGGTTAGGAAACACTAGTTCAGGACATCTACTAAAAATGCAAGACAAGCTAGACCAGTCTGTTTTGTGCTTCTTGACAAAATTTCCTCAAACTCACCTTAGTGCTACCTGTTGTTGAAAAAAAAGTTTCCTTTTAACATTTACTTTTACTGTAAAAAAGGTAACATTTACTTTTCCTGTCTGTGATTGTTTATATTGTTTATGTATTTGGTTTTTCCATTAACCCCTTTCCCAGCATTTAGGAACCAATTTGAGATTATATGTATACTTTTATATATACACATACAAGTGTATATGTGTGCGTGTGTATGTGTGTGTAAAATACATACACAAAATATTAAAACAATAAACTAAATAGTGGTAAAATACCTGTGTATATTTAATCACTGTAAACACTAAAAAGTCCTTTTCAAATGATATTTTTCTTTAGGGAAGCAGCTCTTTCTTTATAATTAGATGCTTCTTTCCTCACTAAATTTGAAATTACCATCTTCTATTCAAATGAATTTGGGATTCATAATGGACATTCTTAGAGTCTGACACTACTGGGTACAGAATGCCAGATAATCAAGCACATTTTCTTGTTTCCTTCAAGTCTTTGCTGCTAGAACACCTCATCCTCATCCTCATGTGGGAGTTAATTAGGGTGGAAAGAGTGTTCCATTTTGCTTGAGCTTTTCAAGTGAGGTCACCCAATGAGACTCCACACAAAACTGCTTCTTTTGACACGGGTATCGTCCAAACAGGGATCAAAATATAGACAGAGTTCCTTCCTCCCTTTCATACCCCAACCCTAACTCTAACTAATAGCTGGGATAGGGAGGAAGGAACTCCTTCTATATTTTCATAGTTTAAGTATTACATGTAACCCAATGTCTACAATAAATAAATTTTAAAAAACCTACCTGAACTGGTGGTGCATGCCTGTAGTCCCTACTTGGAACTTTAGCTACTTGGGAAGCTAAAGTGGAAGGATTGCTTAATCCCGGGAGTTTGAGGCTGCAGTGAACTAGATTGCACCACTGTACTCCAGCCTGGGCAGCAGAGCAAGACTCCATGTTTAAAAAAAAAAAAATGAAAAAAAAAAACACAATAAAGATTACATGTAGCATTCTAATTTACAGTAACTGTTACATTTGTACTTCACAAATTGGCATGAGGTTCTAGAAATGCACATTTCTTTTTGCAACCTATATTAAGAAGGTAAATATCTAGTTGCTGCTCCAGACATAGTAGACTTTTCACATTTAACAAGCAAACAAAACAAACAAAAATGAATAAAACATCATCAGCATCATCAACAACAATAACAACAACAAAATAACATATTTTGTGACAATAACTCATGGGGTATATTTTCCTTCTTCACTATATTCTTCCATTTTTACTGTAGGTAGTTTTTACTCAGATTGCCAAACCTTCTTCAGATAGTTTTTACTTCTTAGGCTTAACAAGTTTACTTCGTTTTAATTCTTCTACAAGAACATGAAACATTATATATTATATATGTATATATATATATATATATATACACACACACACACACACACAACGTGTGGGGGTGTGTGTGTGTATTTAAGTTCACATAGGAGATGGAATAAAATTATTCAGGTCTAAAACAAAACAAAACAAATAGCACAGACAACCAATGTTATTTTGGTCAATGTTTAACAACCAGCATTTTTCCAGAAAAAAAAATTAGAGAAAACACTAACTTATGACATTTGATGATTTTTGTGATATAAATACTCCCACCATAGCTGATTTCAAGCTACAGATTTTGAAAGACATGCACAGTCAACTCTAGTGAACGAGGACAAGAAGTTTCAGCACTCCACTGGTGGGACCATTAAGATAGTACCTCATTTAATATCCATTATAACCCAATGAAGTGGAAAAAGAAATAATAAATTTGAATTCAGAACAATTGGGTTTGAGTCTTGGCCTGTCTACTTATAAGCCATGTGAATTCAGCCAAGTAATCTCATCCCTCTAATCCTGACTCTTTCTTAATAATGCATTTAAATATTTCTCTCTAGTTATCTTCCTTTGAATGGTTTTCTTCTTCTTAACATGTTTCAAAACAAGTGTAATGTACCCTTGAGAGCATGTACCCTTGATTTGATGTGATGCATTTTTAGGGCACAATTGTTCTCCCCTATTCATTTTATTTTTCTCATACTGCCAGCAGTGTACTAGACACATAAAAGGTACTTATTAATAAATAGTGAACTTCTTCTGGACTAGCACTATCTGGAGGTCTGGCAAAATATTGGGCCCATCTCAATCTGAATCCAGACTCTAAGGGTGAAATTAGGAATTTCCTAAACTCAGCATTTTCTAGACTCATTTTCTTTGAATTATCCCACTGTAGGGGTATTGTCTGTTACTAGTTGATTGCAGAAGCACTATAACGCAATGATAATTTGAGCCCAGTGGCTAAATGAGGCCATTTCATAAAGGGAGTAGGCTTTAAAGGGTGTAGTTTCTTTTGTTTAATGTTAATTGCTCCTAATCCATTTACATAAACAAAACCACAGTTAACACAAATGTAAAGTGGATAAGTAGTTTAATGTAGTTTAATCTAAAAATATTCATGGGCTACTATCTTCTCTTTCTTTTTCCATCCTGTATCCTTTGTGTCCATTATACACTATAACTGAAAATTAAAAGTTCTTATATACTTTATTAATGAAATAGAAATATAGATACCTGAGAAAATATTTCTTTTTAATGTGTGTTTTGTCTATTTGTTGTATGGCATAACTGACAGTATTAAAGATTTTCCCAGTGTTTGCTATTTCTTTTAACTAAAATTCACAGATGCCCCAGCATCCAATTCTAACTCTTATCTTATAGCTTTGATTTTTTATTTTTCTCCAATTATCTACTCAAACCAGTAACCCAGATCCACAGACTTGCCATCAAAGACCTAAATCCAGGCTCTATGCAAGATTAATGGTGTGACCTGGGGCAAATCCTTTTTGTTTCTGAGTTTTCTCATTTGGAAAATGGAGGATTAAATGAGATATATATATATGAAACTATAGTACATTATTTTATTATTTTTAAGATCAAATTTATTTCAAATTTTAAAACTTGAAAAAAAAGGAGTTAAAACCGGAATAACTAATAACCTTAGAAACACCACTCTTTAGGGTCTTTTGCTTCAGGGACCTAGAAAATCAATTTAACACAGTTTCTGGTACTTCTAATTGAAGGAAATGTTGTGTTTGTTTAGGCTTTCTCATGTAGGGCAAGACACCTGTTAAGTTTCATGGCTCAGACAGATGACTTGAAGTTGATTTATGGTGTTTTTCTTAATCAGCTCTAAAACTAACATCATTTTCATTGTGTTTTCCTTTTTCTAGCCACACAGAGCTGCTTTAATCATGTAAATCTTGCTCTCTGCCTTCTTTGTGCAGTGTTTGTTGCTCTACCAACATGGGATGCCTTTTTCTCCTTCCTTCTTGCTTGACAAATTCCTGCACATCACTTCATATGTCAAATTTCTGAAAAGATCTCCCTGCCCTGTCTCCTCTGAGTTGTCTAATTGTCACTCCAATCTGCTGCCCTCATACCCTGAACTTACTGTGATAATGTCACTTTTCACGTTTATTTGAGCATATCCTGATGCAGTGCATAACACATAATAGCCACTCAATAAAACCAGTTGAATTAATTCATTCTTCCATCCTCCTTCATCTTCTCCATTTTTTTCATGCCTTCTCTCTCTTTTTCTTCTCTTTTATTCATTTGTTATATTTTAATCAAGCATATTATTTAAAATGTATAACCTCGGGTGTTTTCCATTAACTAGCTTATTATCACTACATTCTCTAATTTTGTGTCACAACATTAAAAAATCTTCAGTGTTGTGATTTTAACTGTTCTATTTGTTCAGTGACATGTGTACAACTATTTATCTTAAAAAATAGAACTATAAAATGCTTTACATTTTGTTTGTTTTTAGTGGTACAAGCCAACTATTCTTCAAACTATATCAGATATCTCCATTTTCTAGTACACCCTAGTAAACAGAGTATTTTCTAGCCTACTCAAGAACCAACGTAAGTTGTAGACGCCTCATTTCTGTGACTTGGTTCCTTCCCCCTGTAATTCTCTCACTAGCCTTGGGTTGGTGGTCTCCTTCCTCTCTCTCTCTCTCTCTCTCTTTCTCTCTGTGTACACACACACATACAAATACGTTTTTTTGCAACATAGGGAAAAATAAAAACAAAACAAATACTGAAATTTACATGAAAATTACTCTCAAGTCCAAGCACAATAAAATAAAAGAAAATAAAACGTCATAAGAAACACCTTATAGATCCTTTCTACTTTCTTTTTTCTTTTAACACAGGGTCTCGTTCTTTTGCCCAGGCTGGAGTGGAGGGCATAATCGCTGCTCACTGCAGCCTTGACCTCCTGGGTTCAATTGATCCTTTTCTTTTCTTTTCTTTTCTTTTTTTTTTGAGACGGAGTCTCACTCTGTCGCCCAGGCTGGAGTGCAGTGGTGCCATCTCCGCTCACTGCAACCTCTGCCTCCCCGGTTCACGCCATTCTCCTGCCTCAGCCTCCCGAGTAGCTGGGACTACAGGCGCCCGTCACCACGCCCGGCTAATTTTTTGTTTTTAGTAGAGATGGGGTTTCACAGTATTAGCCAGGATGGTCTCGATCTCCTGACCTCGTGATCTGCCCGCCTCTGCCTCCCAAAGTGCTGGGATTACAGGCGTGAGCCACTGAGCCTGGCAATTATTTATTTATTCAGTTTTGCCCAGGTTGGCCTCGAACGCATAGCCTCTCCTCCTTGCACGCCAGGGCAACCGGCCAGAGCCACCGCAGCTCCCAGTCGATCCTCTTATCTCAGCCTCCTGGGTAGCTGGGATTACAGGCGTGCACCACCATGACCGGCTAACATTTATATTTTTTTGGTGAGACAGGGTTTCCCTATGTTGTCCAGACTAGTGTCAAACTCCTGAGCTCTAGTGATCCGCCCACCCTGGCCTCCCAAAGTGTTGGGATTACAGGTGTGAGCTACCACGCCCAGCCTACTTTCTAGCTTTGGCCAATATCCTGTCTTAAGTTGTTCATGGTGTGAATCTGTACATGCTTCTCCCTCACTAGGAAAACTTTATATCCTAATTACAAGTAATGACAACAACCTAATCTCCACCCTCCTTCCCTTCCATTAGAAAAATCTATAGGATATAGTGGTAAAGAAATACATTCCTTAAAAATTAAATTATTTCATCTAAGATAACACCACCAGAGCTTTGATGAAACGTACTATAACGTACCTTTCAGAATAGTAGCAAAATAGGAAGAGATTCAACATAGTAGCTTACGTTAAACTGAGGTAAAGCTCAGTTTTTCATTGTACCTGAGACCTTTGATTTGTCTTAGGTGAAAGACAAGCTTGCAGGCACTCACAAACATCTCCAAGGTACAGGAAATAATTCTCAGAAATATTCTAGTTTAAATTTCTCTGTGGAAAAGGAAACTTTTACCAAAAGACAGCACAATCTGTCATCTTCTCTATCCACATCCCTACAGGAGAAAGTGTTTTATTTGATCACGTAAAATAGTTTCAGTCTTCCATTTTCATCTTTCTAATTTTTCAGTACATAGAAATAGCAGCAGTTTATAGTGATCATTGGAAAGATCAGCAATTTAATCCTTCATCTTCACCCTTAGACCCACAAAGCAGCATCTGAGCCATTGAGTTTATGGTTTGTTTGTTCGATTAACCTTAGGTAAGATAAATTCTTAAGGGCATTTTATGAAACACTATTCAGAAACCAATCAATAGAGATTCATTTTTGTTACGTCCAAAACAAGGTGCAGAAACCTTGAGGATTTGGTTTTATATTTAGTTCAATAGCAAAGAAATAGAAATGGTTTCTTTGAGTATGCACCACATTTGCTATACAAGTAACAACACCTGCATTTCAATCTAGCCAACAAATCAATTTATAATGCTCTGGGTGAGTTTTGTGGTTGTTAGTTCCAAAAATGCCAATAGTTTCTCAGGAAAGATTAGGTTTTCAACCAACTTATAAAACAAAAATTCGATTTCACTGTCATCGGATTCAATCACAAACATATAATAAAAGGCTAGGTATTAAAAGGAGTAACAACTTTCTGATCTCAAAGGAAACCCCATTTAAGAGAGAGATTTACTTGTTAACTTCTTTGGTTTATTTTAAATGTTATAATTTTCTCATAGTTCCAAATACCTGCTGAGGTATTAAAAGTGCATAGAGGCCAGGTGCTGTGGCTCACACCTGTAATCCCAGCACTTTGGTAGGCCGAAGCCTGGAACACCTGAGGTCAGGAGCTTGAGACCAGCCTGGCCAACATGGTGAAACTCCATCTCTACTAAAAATACAAAAATTAGCTGGGCGTGGTGGTGGACGCCTGTAATCCCAGCTACTGGGGAGGCTGAGGCAGGAGAATCGCTTGAACTCGGGTGGGGATGGGGTCGGAAGTTACAGTGAGCCAAGATCCCGCCACTTCGCTCCAGCCTGGGCCAAAGAGTGAAACTCTGTCTCTCAAAAAAAAAAAAAGTGCATATGCATCATAAGAGAAAATGCAACTGCTTGGAAGTCATGAAAAAGTACTCAACATCATGAATAGGCAAATAATTCAAATTCAAATCATGTCTATAATTTCTTTCTCATCAACACAGCAAGATTTTAAAAAATTAAATGACTATATTCAATTCTTACTAGGATATTTACTGTTATATTGACAGTAAGAAGGTATATTGGTATTCTGCTTTGGAGATGCAGGTTAGCTTTATATACCAAAAACCATTATGTTTCTTATATTTTGACCTAGAACTTCTGTTTGTGGGTCTACATCTCAAGAAATAATCCTGAGTTCAGAAAAAAGATTTATGTATTAGGGTGGTCTTTATAATAATGAAAAATTGAAAACAACTTAAATGTTCAATGTTAGGAACTGGTTAAATCAGTTGTGATATAGTTATTTGAAGGAACTGATTACAGTCATTAACATGGTAGCTATATAGAGTTGTCATGACATAGGACAGATTTTATAACTAGGAGAAAGCATGCTACAAAATTACATTCATAGTGCAAGTATAATAATGTTAAAAATTCTATACACAGAAACCGGACTGGAAACATGTATATTAAAAAGATTATCTTTAGTGAGTATATATTACCATGCTTAAAATCAACATTTAATAATGTGATTCTTAATGTATAAGTAATTGATAGTAAGATTCCATCCACATTAAAAAATACTTTTCAAACGTGTAACTTTGAAGACCACCAAAGGAAATAATAATTGGAGAAAATAGCAATAAATAAAAAAAAATCTAAAGTATTTGTTATATTCATTTCACCAGGATTTTAATCCTGAACATCATAGAAACTACTTTAACTAATTTTCAAACCGTACAGTAAAGTGTAAGCTCCATGAAGGGAGATATCATGTCTTCTTCAATTCTGTATAATCAGCACCACTGGTAATACTCAGCATACAGGAGGTGCTAATACATAAGTGATGAATAACTAACTAGTATTATTGAAATAACAATTTGAAACAGTAAGTTTAGTGGACATCTGTTGATTTGCTTGTCTAGTTACTTTTTATCCTTTTTTTCTGTCTAGCCTAGTGTTATCTTTGGGCAGTCACTTCTTCACCACTTTTTGCCCATGTGGTCAGGTCCACCACTTGACTTTAGGTTTATGTAAAAGATTCAGGCCAGAAGGATTGTGTTTTGCTCAAACTATTGGGAACAAGACATATTCTTTCAACAATGACTTGCTAAACCATTCATTGTTGAAATCCTGGAGGTTCTGGTGGTGATCTTTGCCTCCACACTGGGCAAAACTGAAATAATGAAACCAACACAAAAAAAGGCGGAGCTAAGAGATGGAGAGAATTTATGCTTAAATCTGAGTTAGGCTACCCCCAGCCTTCCAGTTACATGACCTAGCAAATCCTTTTGTCCTCAATAATTTTGTTTTGTTTTCTCTTAAGCCAGTTTGAGTTAGGTATGTGGGCTGAATAGAAAGAGTTCTGAACTACCCAGAGATGTGTGCTAATGTTTCTTTTCATAGGTTTGACAACAGTTTTGATAATAATGGGGAGTGATTATTTTATATAAAATTAATCACTATTCTACGCAAACAGCCTTAGGAAATCATTGTTAGTAATTATTAGTGCACATGAGTTACTTCTAAGTTTTAATAGCCCTTTACCCAGGCAAAAGACTGTGAGTCTAGTGAGATTGAAGGAGTTTCCACTGCAGTACACTGAACTCATGGGAGCCAAGCTTTTTTTTTTTTTTTTTTTAATAGCTAACAGTTCTTTTTCTTTGTTCATACACTTCACCCATACTAAACTCACAAACCCTTTTTTTACACCTGTAGTTTTTGGTATATTTAGTCATTCATATTTAACCCAAAGTGCCTTGTAATGGCTTCATCAATGTGTACAGCATTCCTACCAGTCTAGGAGTCTTTTAGAATAAATTAGGTCATCTTACAGAGATAATGGTTCTCTCTGTAAATGGCTTTTTTGAGGCCCTGAATTTATTCATAATGAGCCCTTTCTGTAAGTTGGTCATAAAAAAAATCTCTAATGAAATTTGTCACTGTATTTCCATAAAATATATTATTTAAATTTATAAAAAGGTGTTTTTCCTTGATGTGCCTTAAGGTTAAAAAAAAAAAAACTAAAGAAATACAAGAGTCATGTGGATCTTTACATTTAAATCTTTCTCTGTATGACCATAAATGTGTGGTAGAAAACAGATTATGCAATACTTATGTATTTAAAATAAAATATTTTCTTCTATAGGGGTTTCTCAACATTTAATCATTGTTCTTAATTTCTCTTTAAATGGCTAATATATTTAATATTTGCTGCAGTGCCTCTTTTTATCTTATCTTTTGAACTGGAAAGATAACTGCATGTTCTTCACCATAAAGTGTGCCTTTATTTTAACGTCATAAGATTTCTGTCTTCTTTTTTTCACCCTATATGATGCTTTTCTCCTAGCAAAGGCCAGAGCCCAGTATGTAACCCCTTAACTACTTGTTCAATGAATAAACCTATTCATGTATCTTTAGGTAGCCTCTACATAACAGACCTTGGATTTGCAATAACTTTGTGTTTGTTTCATTTGAAGTTCAGTCTCTTCAACTTTTTATTGCATGCCTAGGCAATTATATGGTGTAAAATATTAGTGCTTGCTCTGAGCCAGACACTGTTGGAAGTATTTTCTTTATAATATCACATTTAATCTTCATAACAACCTATGAATTAGCCACTATTATTGTCCCCATGTTATAAAGAGACCGAGGCACAGAAGAGTTAACTAACTTGCCTAGGGGTTATACTGCGAATAAGTAGTAAAGAGAGGATTTGCACCCAGGCAGTCTAGCTTCTAAGTCCAAGTTGTTAACCACTAACAATCTTTTGCTTAAGCTTATTAATTTAGACATAGGTTAAAACAAACAAACATACAGATAGAAATAAAAATAAAATAGAGCTTGCAGTGGTTTGAATGTCCCTGCCAAAAGTCATGTTGAAATTTTGTTGCCGTTGTAATGGTGTTAGGAGGTGGGACCTTTAAAAGTTGATTATGCCATGAAGTCCCCACCCTCGGGAGTGGGTTAGTTATCATCAGAGTGGACTTCTGATAACTGGATAAGTTAGGCCACTTCCCTGTCTGTCTTGTGCACTGGCTTCTGTCTTCTGCCTTCCATCATGGGATGACCCTCATCAGATGCCCATGCCATGCTCTTGGACTTTCCAGGCTCCTGAACCATGAACCAAACAAATTTCTGTTTTTGTTTTGTTTTGTTTTTTAATAAATTACCCAGGCTATGGTATTTCTTTACAGCAGCAGAAAACAGACTAAGACAGAGCTCTTACTGAATGATCTAATGCCAGAAAATTGGAAGAAATATGTCTTGTTTTCATTTAATTTTAAGGTAGATTCACGTTTAAGGAAGAGTCAATAATTTGTAATAATAAATTATTTTTTCCTATAAAGTGCCTATATTTTATTTTTAGGAAACCTTTGTGTGCAAATACAAAATATGGGAGAAATAGTAATGTAACAGATTTGCAAACCAATAATTTGGGGTTAGCTTTTACACAAGTTTTTCTATTACCTTTGAGAAAGATAGATAATGGGAAAAGAGAGCACGCAGAAAGTAGGCCAAAAGAAGTAGGATCAGAACATCAACTTCCCAGAACTGTGGAGAGTATTCTGGATTCATTTGAATTGAGCAGTGCCTGGAATCTCTTCATCCAACCAATATATGCCATTTTTTCAGTAACACCAATTTAATTTTGCTCTTCTATATCTTCCTAGTTCAGTGGAGAATATCATGTTATAGAAAAAGGTAATGATAACTTCATTAGCTGAAAAAAATGTGTTTCTATTTTCTAGGGTTGGAGAATTTGTCTTTGAATTATTTAAGCTGTATGACTATCTATTTATCTGTCTATCTATCTATCTAAATATATACTTAGATGATGCTTAAACATGCACAGAATTACACTTGGCTGTACACATATACATCTAAGTAATTTTTCTATTTCTATATTCCCATTCTTTTCTCCCAAAACGCCAGATATAAAAATATTCCATTAAAATGACTGTATTTTCTGATTGAGAAATCAAATTCCAATGCAGTCACAAAATATGTTTATTAGTGGGTATACCACTAGCAATAAAATACTACAAGATATCTTTTAGTTTTTTTTCTCCTGGGTCATTCATTTTCCAAATCTTCCTAGCTTCTAATTCTAATGAAGCAGTTACATTTATTTCTGTCTCTACATACAAGGAGAAATTGTTCCCATTGTCAAATAAGCTGAAGAAAACCTTTCTTTCCTCCCTTCTCAGCAGCATGGGTGTTGGGCTCTACCTTAACATTTGAAAATATTTATCCTTCTGTCCTAACTTCCATCACTGCCATTGAGTGCAATTGGTATCACTGAGCTCACTAATTTGGGACAGGAATAATGATGCTAAAGCTCTTGTTAGAGGAATCATTAGGGTTTAAAAAAATCTACACTTGATGGCCTGATTGTACTATTAAGCTAGGATATCCTATGTGTAATGTACAAGTAATTAGGGTGAATAGAGTGATTTTAGAGAGACTTGCTCTCAAAGATTGTAGTTGTCCTTGAAAAAATATAAAGGTAAAAAGCAGTGGCATCTTGTACAACAAAAGGAAAGCCACAAGAAAGATTATATGCTAGCTATTTCTTTATTCTCTTTCTTTTATGAAGTCTTTACATTCTGATAAGTTTCCTGTGACATCTAGAGAACCAACCACAGTGAATAGTCAATAACAGGAAGTAGATACCATGCCTTTATGAAGTTGCTGCTTTAAACTGGAATGCCAGTTCTCTAGCAGAACTACAGTGTTCTACAGGACCGATGACACTTAAATGCTTAGATGGGAGATAACTTCTGATGAGTGTGATTACACACGCTTAGGTCCTCTGATTTGCCAATGGCAGTTGAGGAGGCATCACTTCCTTGCATGGCGTTTGTGCACAATTTATGTTTGTACCCGAGGGCAAGACAGGTTAATAAGGCCAAGAAGGAGGGGAGGCTGTGGGAGTGGGTAATAACTGGGGAGGACTTCACAGCATCAACCTGGGGGAAAGGGAGGAGGGCTGAGGATGAAGGGTGTTCCCTCCTCCTTCTGCCTATGTGTTAAGTGGCAAGAGAAATTTTGAAAGCTGCTGTGAGGAGGAGCTACTGACTGGGTTTTGGGGTGTTTTGTACCCCACCCTCCTCACTTGTAGGAAAGCCTCTTTGCATTTAGACGTAATTGAACTGGAAGGAAGGAGACTGGCCAGGGAATAGGGGGAAAGAAATTCTCCCGTTGCTCCTCCTACTGTTTATCACTTGCCTCCGGACTGTCTTCCAAACCAAGCTCAGCTGCATCAAGGTGGCAGCAGAATACCCTGTGCAAGTGCCAGCGTCTTCTTAGCCGCTCTGTGCATCCCAGGCTGCCCTGTTATCTGGCCACCGTCCCTGGCCATTGGGACTGCTTCTGATGGCTCTGGCCTCTGCTGCCCCAGGGAGCATCTTCTGTAAGCAGCTCCTTTTCTCTCTCCTGGTGAGTAACAACCAAAGGATTAGGGAATTCAAGCATGTTACTACCTGCTTCCTCTCTGCAGTTTGGGCTTGAAAGAGACTAGGAGTGAGGATGGGAGGCAGAGAAGAGAGATTGGGGAAAACAAAAGCAGATCTGAGGAAGATTCAGGGAAGAGTTGAGAGGCTTGGGATTCAGGATGGAAAGTGTTCAGCTTACTTCTCAAGCACCCACTGCCAGAGTGTTAAAAGTTTTCAAGGGAATCCCTCTTCCATCCTGCTGTGGTGATTTTCTAAGAGTAGAGAAGTGAATTCATTCTTTAGGCATTTGGCCCAGAAGTTTCTGAGGTTTACTTCTGCTACCAGTGATTACATAAACTCATGTTATTTAACATGCTGAGTTCTACTAAGCTGCAAAAAAAGAGAAAGGATTCTGGGTGAACATGCAAATTATCCAGGACTTTTTGAATTTTACCCACGAAGCAGTTTAAGCAAAGAATAGTTTAAGAAAAATAACAAAAATGTGACTGTCATTGAAAATATCCTCAACTTGGCTTCCACTTGGGTTTTTAATAGCTTTGTAACTGTGTAAGGTGCTATTTTTTCTTTGGAGGTGAGGGAAGAGAGGGGGGTTATTTCACACATCCGTCCATCATTTCTGAGGTGTGAGTTTCCTATTTTTTCATTTTAGCAAAATACTTGAGTTTCAAAATATATTTTTAGAAATGGCAGGTATGAGGACAAACATTTTCTCCATGTAAATAATATACAATGCAGGGTTGATGGTCACCTTCTCATCCTGTAACTGCTTAGGGAGACGATAACTCAGATACCATCTTAAGTTAGTACAAGTTTGGTAAAATGTGGTAAAAATGTTTCAAAGGATTCTACCCACATTTCTTTTGCTTCTGATCCCTGTACTGTCTAATATCTCTTGGACAATTCATCTCCTGTTTATTTATTTCTGACTCTGAAACTGACTAAAAGGGTGTCACTAAGCCACTTAGTCAGTGATTTAACCTGAAGACGGGAATAGTATTTAATGAATGGAAACCTTCAGTGGCTCTGCCTGCAGAGGGAGGACCATCAACATGGAATCCTAGGACAAGAAGGAAAGAAGATGGGGGTGGGAGTGGAAGTGTGGATATAACTATAAGAATGTCTCATATATTTATATATATATATGTACATTTATATATATATACACACACGCACATATACAGTCATGCTCTGCAAAACAATGCCTCAGTCAATGATGGACTACATATATGAGTGGTCCCATAGATTATAATGGAGCTCGTCTGTATAGGTGAACCATTTTTTATCTTTTATATTGTATTTTAATGTACTTTTTCTATATCTAAAAATGTTTAGTTACACAAATACTTACAATTGCCTACAGTATTCAGTAGAGGAACATGCTGTACAGGTTTGTAGCTTACAATAAGCTATACTATATACTATACACCTAGGCTGTACCATGGTGCATACCATGGGGCATACATATATAAATCATGGTGTATACCATGTAGGTATAACCCAGGTGTGTAGTAGACTATATCCTCTAAGTGTATGTAAGTATACTCTATGATGTCTGCACAAGGATGAAATCACCTAACGTTGCATTTCTTAGAATGTAAGCAATATATGACTGTGTGTATATATATACACACATACACATACATATATAGGTATAGGTATATGTACAGGTATATGCATATGTATGTGTACATATGTATATGTATGTGTTTATGCATAGCCTAATTACAATATGCTGTTTCCACATTGTATACTTAGACAACTATTAACAGTATGGTCTATGCTTAGAAAGTTCTTTAAGTATAATTTATTATGTTCCTTGGCATTAGGGATGAACATATTTAAAAAGTTAAATAAATACGAATGTCTCACGTTTTAAAAAGTGGTTTTTAAATTAGGACTAAATAAAAATGTGGCCTTTTAATTCCAGATTTCTGCCTAACATAGATTTTTGTAAAATTACAAACTATTTAATTAGACTGCTACAGTATATCTGGTAGACTTGAGATGAGCTGGAAAAGAAGTGCACATCCTTAATATGGATGTTAATCCATTCTCTTTCCTCCTCGCAAGTAATGGGTCCCGTAACTCTAGAATTCAGAGAAAAGCTGAAAGCTGATCATAAAATTGACCTACATGTTTCTGGAAAACCTAGCTCTACTCTATCTTATATTTAAATAATAAAAAAGCAGTTATTTTGATAAAGAGGAACAAACAGAAAATGCCAAGAAAAAGAAGTAAAATATATTTTGAACCTATAGACATTTTTGAAATGATAGCTTTTCTTTTGTTTTTTTCAGATAGTGTCTATGTCTTTGAACTACCTAGGTTTTAAAAACAATAGCTGGGCCTTGAATTTAATTAAAAATCTTCACCCATCTGAAGGATACTCTCCATATTTTGACATATATTTCTTTTTAGATTAGTCATGTGATTTGAGATCATTTAGATTTTGGCGTTTTGGCCAAGTCAGTCACAAAATTGATTTGAGAACAATGATTTTTTGGGGGCATTATTTTTCTGTGAGGTTAAAAAAGCCCTTAACTATTTTCTAGACTTCATCAACTATAACTTCAAATAGTAAAATGATGATTAGAGAATTAGGGCATATATGTAATTATGCATTTCAAAGGTAAGTATTTTCTTCATGCTAAAAATCAGAATGGCATTTATGAATGGTCTTAGAGACGTATAACTTCTATATAAAGTCAATGGTTTGTGAAATATTTTCTTGCATTGACACAATATGATTTAGGTTCTAAGAACTACTATTCACTTAATTTTTTTCATTGACAAATAAATGACAGTGCTATTCCTAAAGCTATTCTCTTTGCTGGTTCCTTTTAAAGTGAGTATTAAAAATGTAAAGAATTAAATGATTAATTTGTTTCCAAAATTGACAATATTTTTATCAATAAGAAAAAGCTACAATGTGAAAATTTGTGATCAAATTTAATTCCTGATATTTTTTCTTTTTTTTTTTTTGAGGTTTTAACATTACTTTGCGATGCTTGTCAGAAAGTTTATCTTCGAGTTCCTTCTCATCTTCAGGCTGAAACACTTGTAGGCAAAGGTGAGAAACACTATTAACAGTTTCATAGCTGTAACTTGTCACATTTAGCTGCAGGCTGCTCTTGTAAAGTTTGGGATAAAAACCACATAGTAGGCCGGGCGCGGTGGCTCACGCCTGTAATCCCAGCACTTTGGGAGGCCGAGGCGGGTGGATCATGAGGTCAGGAGATCGAGACCATCCTGGCTAACAAGGTGAAACCCCGTCTCTACTAAAAATACAAAAAATTAGCCGGGCGCGGTGGCGGGCGCCTGTAGTCCCAGCTACTCGGGAGGCTGAGGCAGGAGAATGGCGTGAACCCAAGAGGCGGAGCTTGCAGTGAGCCGAGATTGCGCCACTGCAGTCCGCAGTCCGGCCTGGGCGACAGAGCAAGACTCTGTCTCAAAAAAAAAAAAAAAAACCACATAGTAGCTACTTGAAGTTAAAATCGGATGTACAATAAAAGACAGGCTACTTGTTTTTTGGTAGTGGTTAGAAATAATTAAAATACCAAAGTTAGTTGTATACTTCTCTTGCCAAAAAAATTAGCAAACATCAGAAGGCTCAATTATCTTGGATTACGTCAAACAAAGCAAGGCACCAAAACCAGGAGCATATTCTAATTTGTATAAACTAATCTGCTGCCAAAATTTCAAAGCCAAGATTCTTCAATTGATTAGACATGAAATGGATGTCTCAAAATCTAAATGCCCCCAATAAAATTTGTACTTGAGGTTGATTACAATGAACAAGTATCCACCAAGAATAAATGTGACATATTTCACAGAACAGCTTGTGAAAATCAAATACAGTTTTGGTGGGTCTTAGTACCATAGCCATCTCTGAAGTATAAGTTGGTTGTTCTGAGCCCAAACGTAAAATTTTTTTCATCAAGGTTTTTCACTGGCTTTGCATTCACATGTAAAAAATTACAAACAATACAGAAATGGTATCCTTTCCAAGCCAGATGTTGTTTTGCCCAGTGCTTTAAGGTTTGAAATTAATAAACAGTCCACACTCTAAAGACACATAGTAAATACACTAAATGTGTTAAATATGAATCTGTAAAGGAGGTAATTTGATAATAACCACAGCGCATCGGGTTTACTAAACCTTGAAAGATATTACAGAAAGATTATTTGCAATATTACTGGGAAATATTACTTAAGAATAGACTGGTTTTCTTCTTATTTATTTATTTAGAGACAAAGTCTTGCTCTGTTGCCCAGGCTGAAGTGCAGTGGTGCTATCTCTGCTCACTGCAACCTTCACCTCCCAGGTTCAAGCAATTCTCCTGACTAAGCCTCCTGAGTCGCTGGAATTACAGGTGCACGCCACCATGCTTGGCTAATTTTTGTATTTTTAGTAGAGATGGAGTTTCACCATATTGGCCAGGCTGATCTAGAACTCCCGACCTTGTGATCCTCCCACCTCGGCCTCCCAAACTGCTGGGATTACAGGTGTGAGCCACTTAGTTTTCTTATTTTTGGCAAGATAGTTTTAAGTATCAAACTACTGCAAAAAGTTCAAAACCTACTGACATCATACGGTTATACCACTTATGACATAAAAAATCAAGTTTGTATACACATATATAAATTTATACACACACAATAATTAAGAGTTCAAAGAAAAGAGAATAAAATCAGTGACACTAGGAAAATATTTTATTTCTCAAATTAATGTATGACGAAGGTAGTGGAAAATGTGACTCCATTAATATAATTATTTAATTTTCATGGCCCCCACGTTTTAGAATAGCAGGTGCTGAGCACATTCCAAATGTAACCTCCCTTTTTCTGCTTCTCATGCATTAACTCACGGCTGTCATTCCTGTAAAACTTGTTCCACTCCTGTTTCATCTGACAAACTGCTGTGATATTTCTTCCCTGCAGTGAATCTGGAGGAGTGTCTCAAGTCGGCCAGCCTAATCCGGTCCAGTGACCCTGCCTTCAGAATTCTAGAAGATGGCTCAATTTACACAACACATGACCTCATTTTGTCTTCTGAAAGGAAAAGTTTTTCCATTTTCCTTTCAGATGGTCAGAGACGGGAACAACAAGAGATAAAAGTTGTACTGTCAGCAAGAGAAAACAAGGTATAAGGCAAGGGCTTAAGCAGCCTAGCACAGTAATATGCTTACGGGAGTCCTTCGTGTTTCATGTGTTTTAACGTGTTTCATGTTAAAATCTATGCTATTGAATGACAAATTTGTCTTTTCCACTTACAATTAGTGTAAATAAAGACTAGACTTTTAAGGAGTGGCAGAGCCATTTACAAACTTTTATAAAGATGAATGACTCTGTAGACCAGGAGCAAAGTAAGAATATCAGAGTTTTCTAATAGTGATTTCAAGTTTGGGAATAAGAACAAACCAACCTGAGGAGCAAGGACAAGACAGGGGCGGGTCTAAAACTCAGCGAAATGTGATTCAGGCTGGAGATGTGGGCTCCACCCTGTGCGGCTCTCTTCCCACTGATTGCGGGTTTGAGTCTCTCTTTAAAGAGGAGAAGAGACTGTTTAAAGCTTACTCCCATCTTACTAGAATATTCTATAGGGCAGGCCCTCTCTTCAGAGAGTGGAGGTGTGGCCAATCCACAGAATTGATTTGAATGTTTAACTCTAGGCTCATTTTCTTGCACTGAGCGGTAGAGATCAGTTCAGAAAGCAGGGAGGAAAAAGTTGCTGGAATTCACATCTCATTTTCAGCAAATTCACCACAATGAATTTCGTCTTATAAAACCATTTCTTAATAAATGATTCTATTTAGGAGAGGATTTCCCAACTAAATTCTTTTTGATTGTATGAACTCCTCTTAATATGCTTAAGACTTTAAAAATGTTATTTTATATCCACATTGTAAAATCCCCACATTATATAAAATCAAGTATACTTGAGCAAATGCTGACCTGTGTCTACATAGATGTATAAATGATTGTATTGTGGAGTGAGGGTTTTAACAGATTTTGGTTGTGCCAGTCCTAGTGGAATAAAGTTGATCCTTAAATATTTATTAATGAATTATCTATTTTAGGGGGAGTTTATACTTTCTCAAAGTGGCATCTTTCCAAATGCCCTATACATTTCCTGGTGGTTAACTGAGTAAATAGAGAAATAGGTAGAACGGGGGAACATAATGTAGTCTGAGGTGTGTGTGTGTGTTTTATCAATAGAAATGCTTTGCTGACTAGCCATGATATTGTAATGTGTAACCCTTACATCTGCTTGTTGATGTATGTGTAAAATAATCACAGTTCCAAAAAATGATAAGCAATGCTACATTTCTTTGTTTCTTGTCAAATGTAGTCTCCTAAGAAGAGACATACCAAAGACACAGCCCTCAAGCGCAGCAAGAGACGATGGGCTCCTATTCCAGCTTCATTGATGGAGAACTCGTTGGGTCCATTTCCACAACACGTTCAGCAGGTGCATTTCACTTATTTGATTTTATATGTGTCCAAATTTTTTTTTGTTCTTAAACTTTTCATTTGAATTGCACAGCATATTGAATCAGAGGTTTAAACTAATGGTACAAATAATGATCATCTATTCACCAGAACTAGGGTCCCATAGAAGTGACCCAGTATATCTTATTACTTTCTTACAGATATCATATTTAGAAATTTAGAAACAAGTTTTATATTTGGAGTTTCTGGTGCTCTTAGGTCTATGTCTAAATTCACCCAAATACTATGCTAGACTTGTTAACACTAATGTACAGAAGGCACACCTACATGTTTTGCATAGTTCAATTCTTGCTTAAACTAACACTCATCTTTTATAAAAATGACCTGTATTTCTGCTTACCAAGTAAGATTGCCTCACTGCCACATAGCTGGATTGCAAACATAGAACAGTTTTGAAATTTTGGAGTATAGTGGCATCAGCTCAGCTCACCGCAACCTCTGCCTCCTGGGTTCAAGCGATTCTCCTGCCTCAACCTCCCGAGTTGCTGGGATTACGGACACCCACCACGAAGCCCAGCTAATTTTTGTATTTTTAGTAGAGGCAAGGTTTCGCCATGTTGACCAGTTTGGTCTTGAACTCCTGATCTCAGGTGATTCACCTGCCTAGGCCTCCCAAAGTGCTGGGATTACAGGTGTGAGCCACTGCGCCCGGCCAAAATTTTCTAATTCTTGAGGAATTAATTGTGGAAGAAAAGTTGCTTTACTTCTAGTTTTATTATCACATAATTTTCAATTCCAAAGAATTCAAAATCACGGAAACTGTTACTATTATTTATATGAAGATAAGAATAAATAGATAAAACTTGAAAAGTGTATTACTCTACATGTTTTATAGATATACAAATGACAAAAAAGTTGAGATCAAATAAGTGACAGAATTTGTGGCTTTGCACAATGCAAAATGCAAATAAAAATTCGGAAAACATGGCAGATAATGGGCACCTAAGCAGAAGAAAGAAAGAATAGGAGAGTAGGAAAGAGGGGTAGTGGTAAAAAAATAAACCATCACAAGAGGTTAGGTTGAAAATATTCATCATGACGTATTTGTTCTATTCCTAAATTATTACTGCAGATCCAATCTGATGCTGCACAGAATTACACCATCTTTTATTCCATAAGTGGGCCAGGCGTGGACAAAGAACCCTTCAATTTGTTTTACATAGAGAAAGACACTGGGGATATCTTTTGTACAAGGAGCATTGACCGTGAGAAATATGAACAGTTTGCGGTAGGATTATTGAAATATTTATTCATAATTATATCTTTATTACTGGCTTACTAATATTTTCAACTATGCTTGTTTACATATTATAAGAATCAATTATTTGATTTAATATTCAAGATATTAATATGCAATATAAACTTTAAATTTCTATTCACCATTGATGGGGAAAAACAGTGGATATAATAAGGGAAGTGGCGGGGGAGGTAAAGAAAATATAACGATGGAATTTTAAAGGATATATTTTGGTCTGTAATCCTGGAGAAATAACAAAGAGTTTTACTGAATTTAAAGTTATCCATAATAAAATGACTCAGTTATTCTCAACCATGGCTGTACATTATAAGTCATGTGAGAACTTGAAAAAAAATACTGATGCTTGGACCCATGCCCAAGTATTCTGATTTAATTGTTCTGGGATGAGATCCAGTCATCCAACGTGATTCTAAATGTGTAAGTGTTGGATCCACTGCCTTAGCCCCTTACATAGCTTTTTTTTTTTTGCATCCCTTTCTCTCACTATTCTTCAGCAATGAGATCCCTTAGTACCATTTTACTTCCTTAGTAACCCAGAACAAGTTTATCAATTCATTTGATTCTATCTTATCCTACCCAAAGACAAGACAATTCTAACTCTTCTGATAATTAAATCCTTTTGTTTCTGTTAATTTTATATAACTCTTTGGTGGACTGATGTCTCATCTGATGAAATGAGATATTCATAGTAGGTTTTTGGAATGGTGGTGAATAAAACTGATTAAGCATTTATTGTCTTGAATGATATAAGAGTATAATAAAGTTCTTTGCTAAAGGAGAATATAAAAATGAAACTTATCTCATACTTGGGCAGTTCAGAGAGTAATATCTTAGCAGACATCTGGAGAATGAGTAGTAGTTAGTGGCCACCTCAAGGCAGTTATGAAAGAAGTTAACAATTGTGGGGATGGGAAGTGGTAGACAAGTATTCCAGGAAGATGCATCAGAAATGGAAATATTTACTTGTTAAAAAGAAATCAACAACAACAACAAACCCTGGCTGAAGTGTAATTTGAAGCTAAGGAAGAGTGTGAAATATGAAGCTAGTAAGTAAAAAATAGAGAGGGAAAGACCTTATAATTTATCCTAAGGAGTAGATTCTATCGTAAGGATATCCTCCAAAGCAGTCTATAAGGTAGTGAAAAATTTGAAACTGTATAAATTTTCCACTTTAGATGTTTCATAATTAAATACAAAATTCATGGTGGGATTGTAGTGGCATATTTTCTTTATAATTTTATGTTCCCTTCCAAATTCTCTAGAATAAACATATTTTACTTCTAGTAATATAACACACTTTTACTTTAAAAAATAGTGTATCCAAGTTCTTACAGGAGAAGTAAGCTAAGCACCATTGCAATCACTTTGATCTTTCTACTCATAAACAAATAAATAATTGATAGTAAGTTCTCTGCTGCTTTTACAGTTTCTTTACTAGAGAAAAGATCTAACACTAGAAGTCACTCTTGAGGAGATATAAAAAGCTCATACTCTGTATGTTGCAATATTCACTTCATTTTCAATTTTGCTGAGGAATTGTTTGATAGGGTTCTGTTTGCCAACCTGCTTTCTATCTTTGCTTCTTACTGTGATCATTGCCAGAGGGAAAAGGAGAGAACAGTTTATAATTAAAAATAAGTTACTTTGCTATTTTTAACATTTAAAAAAATGTAAATGAATAAAATAGGTTGAAATTTATCCTCAAAGTTAAACTTTTAAATAATTTCGCCTCAGAATTACCCATGTTTCTGTAGGTCCCATTAACACAGTTAAGTTTGAATTGGCATTAAGAAACACCACTTGCAAATTAGTAAAATTCATTAAGTGAGGTATAGCAACAAGATGTAAACCTGATGCAATTATAAAATCACTTGAAGCAGGATAGAATAGAAGACTTCCCTGTCAATGCAGAGGTTAAAATAAGATAATATGTTTTTAACGTAATATACTTTAATAATAGTTTAAAATATTGAATAATGTATGTTTCTGGGAATTGGTAGATCCTAAGTATCTGTTCCTTTCCTTGTAGCCTCAAACAAATCACAACCTCCTAGAGTTCGCTTTCTTCTTTGTTTATGGGCTGCTAGTAGCTGTGTTCCCAACCTCAGTAGTGTTCTGATCATTAAATGCCGTAATACCAGTGATACCACTATGTAAACTGTAAAAGTTGTTGAAGATATTCTAATGGTAGATTTAACAATACACGTGTTCTAGAATTTTGTCCTTAAACCTGGGAATTTTCATGGAATTTCCTAATTCTTTGATTTTATATAAGCCATATTCATGTTAAGTATTAATAATAGATTATTTTTATTTGAAATAATTTGATTTCGTAGCTTTGGGAGTAGTAGCCATAGGTCTAATTCAATACATATTCAAAGAATAGTTATATAAGAAGGGAACTTTCTTCAACAATTCCAAGTGATGCTGTGAAAGCAGCTGCAAACTTCCTTTCTCTCTGAGTGTTGGGGATAATCTGTACCTTTGGAAAAGTTAGCTTCAATCTGCTCCTTTCTTACCTATTCCTATTCAACCAGAACCTTACTATCTTTTATTATCTTGTTTTTTTTTGTTGTTTTTTTGATATAGGGTGTCACTCTGTCTCCCAGGCTGGAGTGCAGTAATCCGATCTCGGCTCACTGCAACCTCTGCCTTCTGAGTTCAAGCAATTCTCCTGCCTCAACCTCCCGAGTAGCTGGGATTACAGGCGCCCACCACCACGCCCAGCTAATCTTTGTATTTTTCGTAGAGACAGGGTTCCACCATGTTCGCCAGGCTGGTCTCAAACTCTTGGCCTCAGGTGATTCACCCACCTCGGCCTCCCAAAGTACTGGGATTACAGGTGTGAGCCACTGTGCCCGGCCTCTTGTAATGTTTATTTTCTCTTCTGGGCACACAAGTCGATTAATTCTCTTCATATATGTGCTGTTAATTCACATTCTGTACCCACTCAGCTTTGGTGTTACTGCTCTCTCCTTTCTCTGCCCCATCTACTGAATGCCTGCCACTGTAAGGCCAAACTCAAGTCCCTATTTCTGTCAGTAGCTGTTTGCATTTTTCCAAAGATGACAGCAATTTCAGCAATATATAGTGTGAAAGGGCTAAAAGAGATGAGATTCTTTAAGCTATAGAATAATTCAGAGGAAACTATATCACAATAACACGCACATGACACTAAATAACCCACTTATAACCTAGCTAAAAATACAACTAATAATATTCTAAATTATTTTTTATTGTAACAACACTTAAGTATATTATTATTGCTTTTAATACAGAATGATGGATATAGTAATAAAACCATTACCTCTATTGAGTTTTTTGAAATTGTTGCTTTGTTGACTAAATAACATATTTATAATGAGTTACTCTATCATATGAACATAAGTCAATTCTCCTAGAGAGTTAGGCTCTGTTTTAATGATGATTCCAATTTTGATTTATTTTGGAGATACTTGGTTCATTATTAGCACAATAAAACAAAACCAGGATACTACCTGAAGTAAAATCACCAACTCTGAGTCAGCGGAATGTGAAATAATATTTACTTGTAGTCAAATAACAAAAATATTATTTCAAATTACAAATGAGCATATGGTGGGAAGCAGATGATCTTCATTTCCATTGAAGAGAAAAACTAAGACAAATTAGTCTAAATTATAGCAGTGTGGACTTAGTAGGTTGGATAAGGAGACTTGTTAATACCATTTTAATGAGGTAGAAAAATTCATTACAAGAGATGCAATAGAATCTTTATGACAATTTTTACAGAAGGATAACTGAAGGCGTAGTTTGTCTTCCTAAAAGGAAAGATGAGTAGAATTGAATGCAAAGAGCTATTTATTGAAGACTTACCCAAGGTAAGGCAGTGTGTTACTGTGTCAGGTACTTCTAGGATACACGTATCAGTAAGTCTCAGTCTTCAAGCCTGACAGCAACTGTAATCTAATAGAGATATAAAACCATTTTATAGTTTTATCCAGCTAAAATATCAAAATGACAGCATTTTAAGGAATAAAAATCCACATCATCTATACGAAGAGAAAGGGAAGGATTTTTAGGAAGGGTGACTGATGTTGATACCTGGATGTGCTGGTAGTGATGATGATAATGATGATGTGACAGTGGTAGTGGTGCTGATGATAGTGGTGGTGGTGACGGTGGCGATGATGATGACGGTGGTGGTGGTGTTGGTGGTGGTAGTGGTAGCGGTGATGATAATGATAATGGTGATGATGGTAGTGTGGTGATGATGGTGCTGATGATGATGCTGGTGATGATGATGGTGGTGGTGGTAGTGGTGGTGATGGTAATAGTGGTAGCAGTGATGATGTGGTGGTGGTGATAATGGTGGTGATGGTGGTGATGATGGTGGTGGTGATGATGGTGGTGGTGGTGGTGATGGTAGTGGTGGTGGTGATGATGGTAGTAGTGGTGGTGATGATGGTAGTGGTGGTGGTGGTGATGGTAGTGGTGATGATGATGGTGGTGGTGGTAGTGGTGGTGATGATGGTGGTAGTGGTGGTGATGGTGGTGGTGGTGGTGATGATGATGGTGGTGATGGTAGTGGTGGTGATGGTGGTGGTGGTGATTGCGATGATAATGGTGATAATGGTGGAGATGGTGGTGATGGCAGTGTCATGATGATGATGGAGCTGCTGCTGATGGTGGTGGTGATGATGGTGGTGGTGGTGGTGGTGATGATGATGGTAAGTGGTGATGATGATGGTGGTGGTGGTATGGTGAAGTGGTAATGATAGACTACTGTATTCCACTCCTGAATTTAGAATTTATTGATAAATAAGATATAGAGATCAGACTGATGGAAGCCATAATGTAAGTTTTGTTACTGAAAAATACCACCTGGAAGTTACTTGGAGAAAAATGAGTAGGAAGGCAGAGAGAACATGAATGGTTATTTTAATACATTCCATTCCAGAGTTTGGAGTGTACATTCTTTCCTTTCCAGGTTAGCACGAACAGTGAACATGAAATGTTGCCTTTTAACACAATAATGAGGATTTTGTGGTTAATTTAGCAGTTAGTGGGTAAATCACTGACGAGTCTGATTAGTGAGTATCGTGGTTAAAATTGTAAAGCACAATAAAATCTGACTTCTGAGGCCACATCGATTAGAACAGGGAATGTCAGAACAACTGCAGCAAAGTTAGTGAGTCAACATGTAGAATGCATTTGGAGTCACCTGAAAATGATGGCAGTGGGAATAGAAAAGAGAACATGCATGACACACACAAAAATGCCAAAATCTCTAGAACTTGGCAACTGACTACTAAGGCTTATGAGAGAGAGGGAGGAGTTTGATGCCTGGAATTTTAATCCTAGTTCACTTAGAAGTGGTTACAGTAGGGAAAATTAGAAGAGCTAGTTGTGGTAAAAAGCTGAGTTAATGCAGAATTCACTTTGGGTAGGTTTAGTTGTTCCCATGAGGGATGAAAATCCATTCAACAACTATTTGCTGAACACTTACTATGCACAAACCACATAAGGAAGGTGTAGGAATAATTTGGAGTTTAAAGGCAAAGGACATTAAATACATACTGGCTGTTGGGGACAAGGCATTCATTTTGAAATGGAATTTCTGGTATGTATATGCTTTTATTAACATTTTTATTGCAAAGAAATACATGCTTACCATAGAAAAATGAGAAAATATAGGTAAAAAACATATAATTGAGTTCCTGAAATAGTTGTGATGTCCATTTATTTGTATGTATATATACATCTGTACATAAATAGAATTGTATTTTTATAAACTTTAAAAACACGTGTTAATGACATAGTTGGGGAAAATCTACATGCATTCTAACAAGTAAAACAGCATACAGTTAATTCAGAGAACAACTGGAGTGCATGGTGCTTAGAGTGGGAGAATAATGAGCAATAACGCTGAGAGGGGATTGAAATCACATGGCAGGCAGAGACTGCATCTGTGGGTTATCTCTCTATTGCATCATTTCTTAGTTACGGGTCTTTGGGAATGATTTTTTTTTTTAATGTTACATTTTCCCCCACTGCTAGGCTTACTTTTGTGCATAATTTGTGGTTTGAGAATACATTGATGGTATTTTCCCTTCTTTCAGTTATATGGCTATGCAACAACTGCAGATGGCTATGCACCAGAATATCCACTCCCTTTGATCATCAAAATTGAAGATGATAATGATAACGCCCCATATTTTGAACACAGAGTGACTATCTTTACTGTGCCTGAAAATTGCCGATCCGGTAAGTTCACATTTTATTGTAGCATGACAAGAAGACTATTTGACATTTCGTAAGTATTATAATTAAAGATGTTTACGTTTTATCATTGCATTTTATGCATTTTCTGGTATTTCTGATTACATACACTTTTTTTCCCATTAGGAATTGATGTTATATGACATTGCTATTAAGGGTGGTAATTGACTCTGAGCACACTTTCTTAAATTTAAGCATATTCATATGATAAAATATTATACATTTTTCCCTTTTATATCATGATTTTATAATTCTGGCAGCATTTATTTGACTAAATTCTCTCCAGGGTGGGGTTGTTGCTGAAGTTGGTGTTTGGTTTACCAATGCATGCTTAGAAAGTCTGGAGTGAAGGAAATATTGCTCAATTTTGCCATTAGGAAAAGTTGTTGTTCAGTATAAAAGGGACTATACCCAGAAATCCATAGAGAATATTACAGGGGATTTACACGTGGGCCAGGGATCATTTTTTCTTCCAACAAAGTAAGAGGTTATTTTTTCATTCATTCATTCATTCATTCAGTGGTTTTTTAAAAAGTGTCATTTAAGGATATATAGAAGCCTAAATGTAGGAAAAATTCAACTTTTCCTTCAAAGCAAGAAAAATACTCCAAAAAAAGTGATGTAATCAAACATACAGGAATGTCTATTTTATGGTGCCAAGGAATTTTTTTTTAACAGACATTTGAAATTCAAAGGATTTGACTTTTGTAGGCTATGTATGTGTAGTACCAGTTTATATTAAAATCTTATAATATCAGTGTTGTTTTCCTGAATTCTCTTTATTAAATGACTGTTGGGTATTAGCTTTCATTTTAGCCTAGCTTTGTAACCAGCGTTTAGGATGATGGCAATTTTAGGAAAACACTAGATTTTTGCTTCCATTGAATTCCTTATTAATATTTTAAACACAATTATGTAGAACATTTTTAAATGCTTGACTTTCAAGGATATACTACATAAAACGTTCTAGTTTTATGAGGTTATATACTTCTCAAAGGAAAACCTTTCTGTGCTCATCTTGCTACCCACATATAGAAGGCAGCTAATTGATACATAAAGTTACTAACTGGTTAGATTAGTACACAACAGATCTGAATGTGCAACAGACAAATGCCATTCATATTAAATATAAAGATATTTTATATTTTTACCATGTACATATGTGTCACAGGTGCGTTTATGAAACAGTACGTAATTTGAATCTTTATAAAGTTTCAATACATTTTCAAGGAACCAGAAATATATCATGGCATGGAAATATCGATCTGATAAATAAAACATATACATTGCCTTTTTTGGCATATCTTCCAAACAAAATGAAAAAAAAAATTAAACTGATTTGATGCTATGTGCAGCCAAGTCTGTGACCCAAGACTACTAAGGGGTATAACAAGACTGACTACTTTGTTTTAAAATGTTGCAAGAACAGTTGTTATTTCCTGTGGCCTCCTCCATTCTGTTTCCATGTACATATGTGTGAATAATATTGCTGTTTCACAATACTAATGCAATGTGTCTAATACTCTCATGTCTGGACTATGAAGCTTGTCTAAATGATACATAGACTACTCCCTATGATTTTGTCTTGCATATATTAATAGTTATTTGTATACATTAATAATTTATCACATTTATTAAAGTACAAAGCATAAAATATTTGTTATTACATGAAAAGATGTGGTATTCCTCTGATTAACTTTATCAAGTTGGGTTATAAAAGAGGCAAGGTATGCAGAGAAGGTCCCATTCAAAAATGGTCCATGAACACTTATATGCCATTGGTGAGAATGTAAATTAGTTCAGCCCCTGTGGAAAGCAGTTTGGAGATTACTCAAAGAACTAAAAACAGAGCTACTATTTGAGCCAGCAATGCCATTACTAGGTATATACCCAAGGGAAAACAAATCATTCTACCAAAAGACACTTGCACTTGTATGTTTGTTGCCACACCATTCACAATAGCAAAGACATGAAATGAATCCACGTGCCCTTCAATGGTGGATTGGATAAAGAAAATGTAGTACACAAATGCCATAGAATACTATGCAGCCATAAAAAAGAATAAAATCATGTCTTTTGCAGCAACATAGATGCAACTGGAGGTCATTATCCTAAGCAAATTAACACACAAACAGAAAGCTAAATACCACATGTTATCACTTATAAGTGAGAGCTGAACATTGGGTACACATAGACACAAAAATGGGAACAACAAACAATGGGGATTCCAAAAGGTGGGAGGGAAGGAGGAGGGAAGGGGCTGAAAACTACGTATTCGGTACCACATTCACTACGGGGGTGGTGGGATCATTAGAAGCCCAAACCTCGGTATCGCACAATATACCCCTGTAACAAACCCGCATGTGTACCCCCAAATCTAAAATTAAATTAAGTTAAATTTAAAAATAGCCCGTGAACTTAGAGAGAAAGAATTTCAGAACTACTGTTTCTAAGGGTAGTGTGGGAACTGTTCTCATCTATGTAGAATATGAATCATGTTATTCACAGGGGCCACCTAACTGAAGTTCCCGAGTAAGGGAGGCTTGGAGACATTTAGAACAGTTTCACATTCGTCAACTTAACAGTAGAACTAATCTACTTGTGGTTTGGGGGAGAATTTGCTACAGCAATGCCTTGATTTTATTTTGTTTATAATTCAATTATATGAGTAGAAATTTTTGACACTTTTGGATTTATCTAAACAGGAACTTCAGTGGGAAAAGTGACCGCCACAGACCTTGACGAACCTGACACTCTCCATACTCGTCTGAAATATAAAATCTTACAACAAATCCCAGATCATCCAAAGCATTTCTCCATACACCCAGATACCGGTGTCATCACCACAACTACACCTTTTCTGGATAGAGAAGTAATGATGATTAATTAACTATCTAGTCATTGAACTACATTTAAACTGAGAATGAACTCCCGAGAGAAGTTGCAATATGGCCAGTCTGGCCTCCTTTCTCAGCATGCTTCTGTAGGCTGCGGTTAGGGCTTCTCTGGAGATGTCCTCGGTCCTTAGAGATGTTGGGAAAGTACCATATATTAGACAGGGCCTCACTTGAAATCACTAACCTGATTTGATTTGTTGATGATAAAATTGCTTTACATTTATTTTATTTTTGTTTTAAAAAATACTTTTATCTGGCTCCAATATGCTTAACTTTTTAAATTCATAAAGTTTGTTGTAGCAACTTTGGGTTCACAGCACAATTTAGTAGAAAGTACAGACGGGGGCCAGGCGCGGTGGCTCACGCCTGTAATCCCAGCACTTTGGGAGCCTGAGGCGGGCGGATCATGAGGTTAGGAGATGGAGACCATCCTGGCTAACACCATGAAACGCCGTCTCTACCAAAAAAATCCAAAGAAATTAGCCGGGCTTGGTGGCGGGCGCCTGTAGTCCCAGCTACTCAGGAGGCTGAGGCAGGAGAATGGCGTGAACCCGGGAGGCGGAGCTTGCAGTGAGCCGAGATCGCGCCACTGCACCCCAGCCTGGGTGACAGAGCGAGACTCCGTCTCAAAAAAAAAAAAAAAAAGAAAGAAAAAGAAAATACAGACGGTTCCCATATACTCCCTATCCCTCCCAACACACATAGCCTTCCCTGCTATCAACATCCTGCCCCACGGTGTTATATTTGATACAACTGATACATTTATGTTGACACATCATTATTACACATCATTATTACCTAAAGTCCATAGTTCTCACATTGTGGTTCACTCTTGGTGCTATATATTCTATGAGTTTGAACGAATGTGTAAAGACACACATTCATCATTATAGTATCATCCAGAGTGGTTTCACTGCCCTAAAAATCCTCCTATTGAGGATTATTTTGCTTCTGTAGTGCTTCTCCTATTGATGCCTTCTTCTCTCTTAATTCCTGGCAACCACTGATATTTTTACTGTCTCTATATTTTGCCCTTTTTTAGAATGTCATATAGTTGAAATCATATAGTATGTAGGCTTTTAAGATTGGCTTCTTTCATTTAGTAATATGCTTTTAAATTTCTTTCATGTCTTTTTAAGTCTTGATAGCTCTTTTCTTTTTAGCACTGAATAATATTTCATTGTCTGGATGTACCAGTTTATTTACCTACTGAAGGACATCTTGGTTGTTTTCAAGTTTTGGCAATTATAAATAAAGCAGCTTTAAATTTTAAAATGTTACATTAGACACATCACCTTTCCATTGTACCAATCAGCCAATATCTTGTTCTGTACTTTATTTTTTTTTAACAAAATTATACGTAAAAGGAATATTTGGGCCAGGCACAGTGGCTCACACCTGTAATCCCAGCACTTTGGGAGGCCGAGGCAGGCAGATTGCCTAAGCTCAGGAGTTCGTGACCAGCCTGGGCAACACAGTAAAACCCTGTCTCTACTAAAAATACAAAGATTAGCTGGGTGTGGTGGTGGGCGCCTGCACTCCCAGCTACTCTGGAAGCTGAGGTAGGAGAATTGCTTGAACCTGGGAGGCAGAGGTTGCTGTGAGCCAAGATCATGCCACTGCACTCCAGCCTGGGTGACAGTGAGACCCCATCTCAAATAAATAAATAAATATATAAAAGAAAAAGTAAAAAAGAATATTTGTACAATAATCGTGCCTAAACAAGTGGTTGTGAGAATTGCAAGTTATAGGAAATAAAAGTGTTCATTAATGTAGTTTTTTCCTTTTTTTCAGAAATGTGATACTTACCAGTTAATAATGGAAGTGCGAGACATGGGTGGTCAGCCTTTCGGTTTATTTAATACAGGAACAATTACTATTTCACTTGAGGATGAAAATGACAATCCACCATCTTTCACAGAAACTTCTGTGAGTATACCTCTCTATTCATTCATCTAGATTTATCTACTTTTTCAAAAAACATGTCTAGAATTTGGTAGCTCTGTGAGATCACAAAGTTTGACAGTTTGATTTAAATAACTACTACTTACAAATAACATAGGGAGAAAAATATGATTTCTGTACAAATAATTGAAGTACTAGTTATTTCTGGATGCTAGGGAAATAACCATGCTCTTGGCTACCGAAGAGCTTCTTAGCCCTAGACGTAGCTCATGTGTTAAACTTTTATTTTATTTTATTTTATTTTTTTGGTGTTAAGCTCTGCTACCAGATTCCTTGGCATTAAATCTTTATGTAGGGTGAAGGAGGAGAGGCTCTCTCTCTGGTGTCCTTTACATTTCAACTTCTTAAGATAAGTAAGGAACTAGCCTACGGAGACAGTAGTACAGGCTGGCTCACAACTCCAAACAAGCTCTTCCTGTACCATGAGTAAACTTTTCCTTAGGCGGTAAACAATAAGAGATATATATAAATATATATATGTGTGATGTGTGTGTTTGTGTACACATATATATATTTATATTTTTATGACAATAGTTTCAGGAAATGGTTCTCCTTTCCTGAACTTTTGATAAATAACCTTTCATTTTTTCATTAACTTATTCCAGAGCACAAGTCAAAGAAGGAAAAACCTGCAAGTACAGTGATAGACATGTTCATGTAATTTCTTACATGAATCCCTACAATATATGAGGATATATTTTACCTCATATTTCATATGAGGAAATAGAAAGTCTGTTAAGTCAAGATCTCATACTAATAAACCATATACAAGGAATAACCAGGATTCAAATCTAGGTCTATTACGCTCCAGTGTCTATCATCCTCCTATATGAATTCACCTTCTATCTCTAACAGATTCAATTTACTACTTCTTTTAGTCTTTAATATCTTATGCTTTTGTAATAATATTTTTGTGGAGGGCTATTGTTTAATGTCTCAAAAAAAAAGGAAAACTTTTCTGCTAAAGGTTTGCAAGTGAATCAAAAGTACATTTGGAAACACTGGTGTGAAAACAATTCTCCAGAAATAAGAAGCCAACATACGTTTATAATTACCTACAAGTACTGAGTGTTTAATATATTAACATAAGACATTTATTAAGTGTTTACTGTGTAAAAATGGGAGAGGATAGACTGTAAATATTGTAGAGGTGCAGAGAAGAGATAAATCTGAGGTCTAGAATGATTAGGAAAATTATCTCAGAGAAGTTCAGAAGATAAGACTTGGGGTAGCCTTTGAAGAATGGAAAAGATATGAAAAGGCAATTCAGGAGGAAAGAACTAAGCTACGCATTAAATTTGTAAAATGTTTCCCCATATAGTGAGGGCAGCTTTTCACATCACTTTATTTATTTTTTTCTTTAAATACGTGTTTTAGAATATAAAGCTACATTGTCAAAGTTGTAAATTGATAATAATAAGGGGCAATTCTTTCAGTATGTTACAGAAGTAGAAGAAAACAGAATTGACGTGGAGATTTTACGAATGAAGGTACAGGATCAGGATTTGCCAAACACTCCTCACTCAAAGGCTGTATACAAAATCCTACAAGGAAATGAAAATGGAAACTTCATAATTAGCACAGATCCAAATACAAATGAAGGAGTGCTGTGTGTTGTCAAGGTAAACAAATAAAATAATCAGGCTATGCTTTAAAATATCCTAACTCACGCACTGATTTTAAGAGATAATTCTTATATGTATATGACTAGACTACTGCAGTGCAAGGCCAAATGATTTATATTGGTTTATATAAACTTTGTTGTTTCTTATTCTCTTACCCTAATTTTCTCTCTTAGAAGAAAGTCATGTCAGGTACAAAACTCATTGTTCTCTATATGAAGAAAACCAAGACAGAGAAATATTGAATACTGAACCAGATATTTGCTTTAGAAGGGGTCTTAGACACTTACTTGTCCACATTTCTTTTTTATAAGAACACAAAAGAAGAAAATGGAAGAATCACTATTTGAAATCAAGCCTCAACTTTTCAACTCCTTTCATGTTCATAGTACATTTTATTTTTACCTCTCTATGATGTATTCTGTAAAAGAGACTATTGAACTAAATATTCAGCAACTTTTCCCATTAATCCCCCTATATTCCAGGTAGCCATTGCTTTGGATTTTTTAAATTTAATTGCAATTACTGGTTTCTAGGATGATTACTTTAACTGGACCTAATTCTTTTTTAGTCCATCTATCCATAGCTCTCATTGACTTCTTGCATAGCTTCATTCATTAATTTCTTAGAGACAGTTTAAGTCCTCAGAAGGTTCAGGCAGACATTGTGTTCTCCTGATAAGATTTTTAGAAAATATTCTTTAATTATTGTACTGTCTACTTTTTCTTTCTTTATTTCTTTTTCTTTTCTTGTTCTTAGGTTTTTTCCCCCTTGATATTTTTTTCACCATTTAAATGTTGTTTTAGGATTCTTTCTAACTATTCATTTTAGGACTGTATTAGTTTGTTTTCACATGGCTGATAAAGACATATCCGAAACTGGGAACAAAAAGAGGTTTAATTGGACTTACAGTTTCACATGGCTAGGGAGGCCTCAGAATCATGGAGGGAGGCAAAAGGCACTTCTCACATGGTGGCAGCAAGAGAAGAATGAGGCAGAAGCAAAAGCAGAAACCCCTGATAAAGCTATCAGCTCCTGCGAGACTTATTCACTATCACGAGAATAGCACAGGAAAGACTGGCCCCCAAGATTCAATTACCTTGCCCTGGGTCCCTCCCACAACAGGTGGGAATTCTGGGAGATACAAATCAAGTTGAGATGTGGGTGGGACATAGCCAACCATATCAAGGACCAAGCGCTTTCATCAGGAACTAAACAGCCTGAAATATAATGTGCTTTGAAAAGGTGCTGTTAAATATCATTCTATCTTTTGAGTCAGGCATAGAGTAACTGCTGTATTATAGCCAAATTTCTATCTAATTATTGTATATACTTAGTTTGGAGGCAATTTAGTTGTCACTGTTATCCCATATAATAAGCAGTAAAGTAATTTGAATTTTTTCATACACTTATCTTGCATTTCTATTAATATTTAAACTTATAATGAAAAAGGCCGAAGGCAAGATCTTCCAAAAGAAAAATGAGAAGAAAAATGGGTTGAATCTGAGAATCAACAATTTTGCATTTGGCAATGTTTGTCACTTTAGGAAGCTAATTGTTGGTCTTTAACTGTATTAGACCTAACTTTAGGTTACATTTTAAATGTAAAAATGATATTCCTTTGTAGGAAAATTTGAAATTAGAAGTCTTATATATAATGTTATATATTGACTTATTAAAGTATGCTTATTTAACAGCCATTGAACTATGAAGTCAATCGCCAAGTTATTTTGCAAGTTGGTGTCATTAACGAGGCACAATTCTCTAAAGCAGCGAGCTCACAAACTCCTACAATGTGCACTACAACTGTCACCGTTAAAATTATAGACAGTGATGAGGGCCCTGAATGCCACCCTCCAGTGAAAGTTATTCAGAGTCAAGATGGCTTCCCAGCTGGCCAAGAACTCCTTGGATACAAAGCACTGGACCCGGAAATATCCAGTGGTGAAGGCTTAAGGTGATGTACTTTTCAAAAAGCTCCTTAATTTTAATTGTGATGTAAATTGTTTTTAAAGTTATGAATGTTTTATGTATTTTTCAAAATGACAGATTTTAAGATCATGTCCCTTCTTTGATTTGACCGTTCATATTTGATTTCTAAAAATTAGGTATCAGAAGTTAGGGGATGAAGATAACTGGTTTGAAATTAATCAACACACTGGCGACTTGAGAACTCTAAAAGTACTAGATAGAGAATCCAAATTTGTAAAAAACAACCAATACAATATTTCAGTTGTTGCAGTGGATGCAGGTGAGTGCCATTTTCTACAGATAAAATATAAATATATGACATGTTTTTAAGGAAACCTTGTGGTGAAATCTGTTTATTTCTAGACAAAACATAATTCAAGCAATGTTTGCATTTTTATTGTTCATGTTATTGGATATCACCCAGTTTAGGCTTCAGTGCATCTATAATGCAAAGCTATGAGGTAGTGAATGGCCAAAGCTTAAGGCTTAATTATATCACAATAAATTTAAATGTAATTACATCACAATTAAAATTAAGGTCTAAGGATTCAAAGATGATCTATATATTATTAATTTCTGCTGAGGAAATGGTGGCATACTCAAGGATCACCGTTTTTTTTCAGAAGTACAGGTTTAGATACATTATGATTTGAGCTTGCTGAAAGGGTTCAACACACCTAAAACAGTTGGGTTCAAAGTAAGTTTGTTCTGAGCTTCTCTTAATGGAGAACAAATCATTTATCCTATTTTATAAAGCAATGGTCAAACAATGACTTAAGTCTTTTATGGTGATTTGCAATCTTTTACCAAGGTCAATTTTAGAATCAATTCTGTAAAGAATGTCCTCCAAATATAGTAAAGTAGTGATCTGGAAATTCTTTTGAACATACAAATTTCTATCAGTAAACCACTTGTTAGTATGTTTAAATATATATTTATAAATATGTTTTTAAATATTTGCTATCATATGTATTTTTATATACATGTACTATTATACTAATGTATACATCATAAAAATATACAAAACATATTAAAAGAGGATGATAAAAATATAAGTAGAAGCTACACTCTTCCATTTTATCATATTGATGACAAATTTACCATAAATTTTGGCAAATTGCCATAAATAATAAAGATAAATGAACTTGGGCTTTTATAACATAGCCTATTCGTTTGACTACCTGCCTAATCCAAGAAGGTTTCCACTCTTTTTACATGCATATGCTGGATGTTCAAAACAAACTAGCTGATACAATGCTATGGGTTTTTTTTTCCTGTGTCTATTGCATTTCTTTAGAAGGAATGGTTGACTGTATTAATAAATACATATGAAATTCCATGGTAATTAATATAAGTTGGTAGTAGTGAAAATGTTCATGCTTATTTATTTGTCCCTTTGTTTTTTTTTTTAATAACAAAATGCAAACAATGTGTTCTCAGATATTATACCCCTACTTTTTTCTATGTTGGCAAAGAAGACTTTATGTTTACTCATTTATTCCCCAACTGGTGGTTTGTCTATTAAGTTCTAAGTATTAGACAAGCTGACATGGAAATTAAGAATGTTAAGATAAGGCCAAATTCTTACACGATATCAACTATAGAATTATTATAGTTTCACAAGAGATTCTATGATGTGAGAACTTTCCTCAAAAAGAATGTATGAATATTATCAGAAGTGGCGATCAGTTAAGACCTGCTCAGATTAAGGATGAAAGAGAAGAGATTACAGAAATGCAGAGGCCTAATTTTTTAAAAATAAAATGCTATCTGGAGAGGAGAAAATTATGGAGAACAAAGTATTTAAAAAGTAACTTTGTTTTTTGGTGCTAAAAGACAAAGTCTGTAAGCACAGTGAATGTAGTGTAGAAAATAAAAAGCAAACTTTAACAAATCTACATTCCAGGGCCGTAGATAACCTGGGTGTGTTTAATAAAAAAGTAAAGATAAGGATGTTACACATTTTAGTGAAAAACCATATAGTGATATGATGGATTTTGTTTCTTTGAACTTTAATCCACACACACACACACACACACACACACACACACACACACACACATTTTGCTCTGATGCTCATGATTATTCCTGGATGATGATCTAGGTATTCTACCTGTCTTAGAATCCAACTTTCTTTCTTGTGTCAATCCTCTGTCAGTCTGGCTGATGTCCCTGCTGTCAGTCGAGAAAGCATTGTTTTACATACCTTCCACCTAGAGTAGCATTGCTCCTCCTGTCTGAAATTCAGGCCCCTTAACTTCTTCAAATAAATGGCAATGACAAGGTTTGTGATTGTTTCCATTAGTCTGGATTCAGTTCTTCTCTAAATACCTTTTGAACTGGGGATAACAATTATCATATATGGTGTGGCTTCTGTAGAAAAGGCTGCTTTCATTGTTTCTCATGTATATTCTGTTCTCCTAACAAGCTTAATTATGAGTTCAATTTTGTATAAAGACCCTTTTTCTTTGTAAATCGTCCCTTTCCAAGTATCTGGCAGAAAATGTGGTATACATATGCACAGTGCAGGTGCTGATATTTGTCATTCCTTTGTTGTTTGAGAGTCCTATGAATCTCCACGTTATACATTTCACTGCAAAAAGCTTTACAATTCTAGGGACATAATTAGCACTTGGGAAAACTGATTTTAATGTAGAAAATTGAGATTAAACATTTATTAAGTGCTTCTTTATTTTTCCCTTCTGTAAGAAGGATTTTCTTAAGAGAACAAATATTTAAGGGTTGTCATGTACAAGTGGCAAACATTTTGCATGTATAGTCCAAAAAGAACATGAACAAATTACAGGAAATCATTAGGAGGCATATTGTAGCTTAATAATTAAAAATTTAAATCTTTTAACAATTAATTTTAAAATTTATAGAGTAGGCTGATTTATAATACAGTGATTCTAGTTACTGAAACATTTGAGTAGCAATAAAAAACGACTGCTTTCCAGAATTGCTGTTGAAGTATTATGAAGATTTTTAGTTAACCCAAGATGTACTTTCTAGCTCTGTGATTGGTGTTTCTTACTCATTTATACTTGATGTTTGCTTATGTGCTTAATTTAAAGTAAATTTTAGAAGTAAATAAACACACCAATGACTTCATCATGCTCAGCTATTATCAGTAATTACTTATTTTTGGCTGTTTACCTCTTCCCAGGGGTAAAATAAAAACTTACCATCAACCTCTTGTAATTTTTGATATCTTCTAAGACAAGCTTGTCCAACCTGTGGCCTGCAGGCAGCATGCAGCCCAGCGTGGCTTTGAATGTGGCCCAACAAAAATTCATAAACTTTCTTGAAACATTATAAGATTTGTTTGCAACATATATTTTTTAGCTCATCAGCTATCATTGGTGTTAGTGTATTTTATGTGTGGCCCAAGACAATTCTTCTGTTTTCAGTGTGGCCCAGGGAAGCCAAAAGATTGGACACCCCTGTTCTAAGACCTTCTCAGCTTTGTCTTTGATTGCCTTCCATTTAAATCATTTCAAGCATCTTTCATCTGTTTTTATCAACATGCTTAAAGCAGAGACTGTAATAGAAAATAGTAAGTTATGGGATAAATGTTGGTTGAATATGTGATTAAATAAATCTTGATTTGCGTTACTATAATTACCACTTTTTTTGGATTTTTAAAGTGTGTTTTCTTACGATTTTTCTATAAAGAGAAAGGCTTTCTGCTTAAATTTTAAAAGGTGAAATTATAGTATATATATCAACTCATGTGTAGTGTATGCAACTAAATTTTTTACTTTATAAGGCCTCTTTTTCATATTATTCATTTCTTAGTTTGCTGATTTTAAAGTTATTACTTATATTCAACTTTATTTGCTATTTTCTGGCAGTCTCAAAGTATTTATATGCTATTGCAAATTTCTTCAACAAATAGCTATATCTCTCTTTTATTTCTGGATATTTTTAAATTTGTTCAGGTAGTTTTAAAATAGGCATAAATAGTAGTTACTTTATACAAACAATTAGTTTAAAAGTCACTGAATAAATTAATTTTGTAGTTATTCAACAGAAAAAATTCTTTTGAAATACACTACATGATATGACTTAGGGTTATTTCAAATTAAAAAGAAAAATAAATTATATTTGCATGGGAGTTATAGTAGTCTTTATGATAAATTCAACATACATGTTTCAAAATGTGGACCAGTATTTAAAGCAAAAACATGAAAAATTACATCAATTACCTTTCTGTTTATTTCAATTTTGATATCTTATCATTTATTGTAGTTTATTATCCTTTTACAAATGGTGGGATTTGACATGTTTCTGAACTTCATTATCTCTTAAACACAAATAATGGGCACTATTTTAACTAAAAATACTATGTGTGAAGTCTTAGGCCAATAATAGTGGCAATCAACAGATGAGTACGAGACAGTTCCTGTTGTCAAGAACATATGAATTGCATTAGGGTAGAGATGAAAACTTATTTTTCTGGCTTATTCAATTAAATGTTTTCAAGTATAAAAATAGGAACTGCATTATGTTCAATGTGTCAGTATTAAGTTATAGTTAGCTGGGAAATACTGGGCAAATCACTAGGCTCTCAAGGTGAATACAACTTACTATGCTACTTTTGCAGTTCAGTGTGTGAGCCAAAGTATTAGCAAAGAGTTCTGAGAAAGCACTGGAATATGGCTACCATTGTCTGTGGAAGTCACGAGTTTCATGAGGACGTGACATTTAAGTAGATTCTTGAAGATAATAGTGTGCTATCTGGCAAAGAAGAGGAGAAAAGTATTCCTAGGAGTGGCAACCGAATGCTACAAAGCAGACAGGAAGGGGAACACTTAGTGCATTTCTAGAGAAGTTTTCAAGGTTTGGGAAAAAAGTATATGATGCAATGGAGAAGCTGAGAAAGTGACTGACAACCAAATGTAAAGTGTTTGTATTCTAAGGATGAATATATGCGCTTCATAAAGAAGGATGTAAGACATCTGTTTTATTTTCAACAGGTCATTCTGTAGTGACCTTCCTCATAATCTCATACCTTTTAGTTTTGAAAAGCATCTGAAGAAATTATCTGATCCAGCCCTAGTCTTCAAAGAAAAGTGACATGTCCCTATTTTGTAGTCTTGGTGTCTGAAATCTGGGAAGCATGTATGCGAACTCAAGCTCAGACAGCTAGTAGAAAGCAGATGTCAACTGTGTATTTTATAAATTGTTGAAAATAAATGCATTTTCATGTGAAGAAATAACCTATTTTTAATTAATCTTAGTTGGCCGATCTTGCACTGGAACATTAGTAGTTCATTTGGATGATTACAACGATCACGCACCTCAAATTGACAAAGAAGTGACCATTTGTCAGAATAATGAGGATTTTGCTGTTCTGAAACCTGTAGATCCAGATGGACCTGAAAATGGACCACCTTTTCAATTCTTTCTGGATAATTCTGCCAGTAAAAACTGGAACATAGAAGAAAAGGATGGTATGTAATCATGCTAAATTTTATAGTCAATACGGACTTCAGATTGGTGATGGTTCTTTCACCTTAGTTTATCATAATAAATACACATTTATTTTAGGAAATTATTTTATTAACCCTAAAAACAACAATACCTAATCTTTAAAAAAAATTAGTGCCATTGTGATGAGCTTAGACTCTTGTTCTGAATATCTTTTAAGAAAACATATAAGTCCCTTTTTAATTAACATTTGAGCAACATGTTAAGTACAGATTAGTTTAATATCAGCATAAAGCAACATCAATTACTTTTCTGGCTCTTCTGGGAAATCACAAATTCAAAAAAAAAAAGAAAAATTCGAGTTTTTATTCTAAATTGATTCCCTTCCACTGAGAATATTGAGTAGGAATAATACTGCCATCTAAACAGCCAATCCATATATATTCTGTCTTTTTTTTCCCTAGGTAAAACTGCCATTCTTCGTCAACGGCAAAATCTTGATTATAACTATTATTCTGTGCCTATTCAAATAAAAGACAGGCATGGTTTAGTTGCAACACATATGTTAACAGTGAGAGTATGTGACTGTTCAACTCCATCTGAGTGTAGAATGAAGGATAAAAGTACAAGAGACGTTAGACCAAATGTAATACTTGGAAGATGGGCTATTCTTGCTATGGTGTTGGGTTCTGTATTGTTATTATGTAAGTATATTAAGTATCATTATCTAGAATGTGTTAGCTAAAATTTTATCTAGTATTTTTAAAACATGGAAGTTTTTTATATTAATAGCCTTTGGGAAGTGTGTTCTTTTAAAAATATTGTATCTATTTTATGTCTTGGGGCTCTGAGTGATAAATGTATCAGTAACAGCAGATTAAATTTAAAGTCAGTTTCAGAGGTGGTAGCCTTAGTTCTTCAATAATTATCTGTGAGACATTGGGTAAATTATTTCCTCCTTTTTGAACTCATTTTTCCATGTGTAAAATGAAGAGGCTGGGTAAAACTATTAAGATTCCCTCCATGTAAAATAATATAGTCTTTCAACCAGCCATGTTTATGTAGGGAATACATACATACAAAAAGAATTTGTGAAAACAGAGCTATTCCAAAATTTACTCAGATATTTCTGTTCCATATTATTAATGAAGTGATTTAGCATCATCGTAAGACTTCCGTGAGTGAAAAATGGTCATATGAGCCACTGAGGAAAAGCAATACAGGCAAAGGATGCTAAGATTTTGCATTGTGCAAACTGTTATTTGGAGGTACAAAAGTAATAGAAATATTGCCCACGCTTAATTAAGACTGCCTTTTTCTCTTTCTTTCTTTCTGTTTCTCTCTTCTTTTCCTTTTCTTTTTCTTTCTCTCTCCCTCTGACCCCAAAGAACCCATTTGCATTTACAAACTTTTCCTATAATCTTTACTGTATCCTAATTCATTGATTTGAGTTTCAGATTAAATTGGATATTCCTCTTAGCACTTTATTAGTTGATGTACATTTTTGAAACCAGACACCAATTTTATGTAATTGCCTTTCTTGTTTGTATTTATGCCTAATGTTCTTAGTCTTGTTATTTTAAGCCCTTTAAGTGTGTTCTGTATGATTTTAACTACTAATGATGCTATCTTAAATATCAGTTAGATGAAGTTACCATTTCAATGTAGAAGAAATAAAAGACACATATAAGTTAATTCTGGACCTGGGAAGAGAGCTATTATTAATCTCTCTAAGCTACAAATAGTATAAATACATTTTTAAAATATTCTGTTTTTAAATCTTGTGACCTGAAGAGCTCAATTTGTGGAATGAATTTTTTGAGACATATGCAAGAAGACTTTAAAAAATCATGTAATCAAATGATTTAATGTCTGTGTTTTACTTTGATCTTTTTTGCTTTTTAGGTATTCTGTTTACATGTTTCTGTGTCACTGCTAAGAGAACAGTCAAGAAATGTTTTCCAGAAGACATAGCCCAGCAAAATTTAATTGTATCAAATACTGAAGGACCTGGAGAAGAAGTAACGGTAAATCAGATTTCACATCCCTTTGAATTGTACGGTGAACAAATGATGACAGATTATTACTCAACAATGTCAATGATAATATCACTAATGTTTATTGAGCACTTACTATGCTAAGCAGAGTTTCAAGTGCCCTCAGTGTTTTAAATCATTTAAACCTCCCAATTCTACAGGGCTAGGGCTGTCACAACAAACTGAGTGACTTAAACAACAGACAAGTATTGTTTCACAGATCTGGAGACTAGAAATCAGAGATCAAGGTGTTGGCAGGTCCGTGCTCCCTCTGAAGGAACTGGGGAGGGATCTGTTCCAGGACTCTCTCCTAGCTTCTGCCAATTCCCTGGCTTATGGCAGTGGAAATCAAATCTTCATATGGCGATTCTCCATGTGTGCATGTCTGTGTCCAAATTTCCCCTTTTTATAAGGATACTGATTATATTCGCTTAGGGACCCACTCTAATCCCATATAACCTCATCTTAGCTAATTACATCTACAATGACCCTATTTCCAAATAAGTTCACATTCTGAGTTACTGAGGGTTAGGGCATATGAATTTTTAGGGGACTCAATTCAACCCATCACACCTATGATACTATTATTCTGATTTTATGTATGAGGAACAGAGAGGCACAGCAGGCAAGTGATTTGCCTATGGTGAAAAAAAATGAAAATGAATTGTTAGTTTCCATTTTTCAAATTCACTTTATCACTCTCACTTTACTTTTAGGAAGCAAATATTAGACTCCCCATGCAGACATCCAACATTTGTGACACAAGCATGTCTGTTGGTACTGTTGGTGGCCAGGGAATCAAAACACAGCAAAGTTTTGAGATGGTCAAAGGAGGCTACACTTTGGATTCCAACAAAGGAGGTGGACATCAGACCTTGGAGTCCGTCAAGGGAGTGGGGCAGGGAGATACTGGCAGATATGCGTACACGGACTGGCAGAGTTTCACCCAACCTCGGCTTGGCGAAGTAAGTTCCACTGTCTTTGAGGTCATATTACATGGAAGTTAAATGCTAGTTATAAATCAGAATTTCCCAAAAGTTTTACTCCTCATATACCTGGAATTCAACATCTTTTACCTGTTGGATTATCATAGATGTGGATGTCTGGTTTAAACCCAAAGATAAAAATGATCTTTGAAAATTCACCTTTGAAAATACAGTTTACAAAACTTTATCTAGGAGTGCCATATGTAGATGTGTTTACAAAGGATAAAAGGTTCATAGCCTCTTCCCTAGAAATTAACAGGAAAACCAGCTGGAGTGAAATATTTATTATACAGGAATGAATGGATCATAAATTATAAACATTTCTCAGTGTGCTTGAGTTCTTTGTGTGGTTATGAAGTCCTGGCTATCAAAATCAACCAGATAAATTGTTGAGCTTTTATTTTGAGTTTTAGTTCCTTGTTTTGTTTTATGTTCAGATTAATCAGTATAGGTTTGATATTAGCCAGTTTAATATATTACACTATCACAGTTATATAGTAGTGTATAAACATAGGAATCATAGCCTATATTGGTTTTCCTCAAATACGTGAAGAAGCTACAAAGGTAAATTTCAAATATACATGTTTTGTGTTCAAATGGGAAATTATAAATGTGTTGCGTGATATATGCGTAGTCTTAATTTTTTAAATGTGCTCACTAGAAGCATTTATTTATTTGCTATATTTTAAGAGTGACTATAATACAGACCAATCCTGTGCATTTTTTATATATAGGAATCCATTAGAGGACACACTCTGATTAAAAATTAAACAGTAAAAGGTAAATCAAAGACATCATTTTTCTGCTAATATGTTTAGGTGTTTTTTAAAAAATAATAAAATGTGCTCTTTTTTGATACAGAAGGTGTATTTGTGTGGACAAGATGAGGAGCATAAACATTGTGAAGACTACGTTTGTTCGTATAACTATGAAGGCAAAGGTTCTCTGGCCGGCTCAGTAGGTTGCTGCAGCGATCGGCAGGAAGAAGAGGGACTGGAGTTTCTAGATCACCTGGAACCCAAATTTAGGACATTAGCAAAGACATGCATCAAGAAATAAATGTGCCTTTTAATAGTGTAATATCCACAGATGCATAAGTAGGAATTTATTACTTGCAGAATGTTAGCAGCATCTGCTAATGTTTTTGTTTATGGAGGTAAACTTTGTCATGTATAGGTAAGGGTACTATAAATATGAGATTCCCCTACATTCTCCTTGTCTGGTATAACTTCCATGTTCTCTAGAAATCAAGGTTTTGTTTGTTAATTCTCTTTTATATGCATGTATATATTGCCCTTTTCACGACTGTACTGTACACCTTCTTGCACCTTTTATTTGCAAACTGATGTTACTTTTTGTGCTGTGGAAGAGCATTTGGGAAAGCTGGGTATTATAGAGGCCAATGAAAGATGAATTTGCATTGTAGATGTACGAATTAAATATGTTCTTCAAAATCTTGGGGAGAATTATGTTCTTAGAACATAGTTGGTGCCAGATAATTGCATTCTCTCCACCTGAGTGGTTTAAAAAGGACTTTTAAGTATTCTTCAGTGCAATCTTCAGTTTTGTGATTAAGTTCATTTCTCTTTTACACTTTTGTACTCCTCAGAGCAGTGCTCCCAGCATTGTTTTCTTTCAGGATCCTTCAGAGCTCAGTCCCTGGACCTCTGCCCATGTGGATTTGTTGTTAGGTCACTCCAACTTCTAGGGTTCTTGGAAAGATAAGGACCAGAACAAGCTCATAGCAAATTGAGGGGCAGAGATTTTATGAAGATTACATGAGAAGATTTCCATGAAAGAATTGCAGCCCTGAGGTCCATGGGTTGACTTATGCTCACAAATATGTTTCGTTTGCTCAACATGGTTTACTACTAACATTTTAAAAATATAAATACTTTAGCAAAAACATTCACTCTTGAGTTTGACATAGGCCTGCCTTATCTGTGGTTGCCACCTGCCATCTCCAAGCATTTGGACAACTAGCCCTGATGCATTAGGCTGCAACTCTGATATACAGAGACTAGCACCTTGAATATGCCAGAAATTGAATTACCATCTGTATTAGAACTTAAGACTCAGCCTAAATTTACAGTTACTTTAAGAAAATGGGCAGTCAGAATTAGGGACTAGAATGTATATGAGAAACCCCCACTCTACTAAAAATATAAGAAATTAGCCGGACATGGTGGCGAATGACTGTAATCCCAGCTACTCAGGAGGCTGAGGCAGGAGAATCGCTTGAATCCAGGAGGCGGAGGTTGCAGTGAGCCGAGATTGCCACTGCACTCCAGCCTGGGCAACAAGAGCGAAACTCCGTCTCAAAAAAAAAAAAAAAAATTGAAATCAATTACAGCAACACTTACCAAACATTTGTAGAATGATGAATAAATGAACGCACACATTCAGAAATAATTTTGAATGTATAACATTTTAATAGGATAGTATATTTTATTAATCTAAAAAGAAACTATATATTTAAATAGCATTTTCGTAGTCATTTGTGGCAAACTCTATAAGTCTATAAACAATAACAGTATGGAAATTTCTCATCCAGAAAAAACAAAGACTTAAAAAAATCTATTAACTAGATATTTTCTAACTAGTTAACTATTTTTAAAAATGAGTGGCTTTTTAAAAAAATTTTGTGACTAGTCTTCTAATTCTCAGTTCCAAATTAAAGGCGCTTCTTGATATGAAATTGGATATTGGATCAGAAGAAAAAAGTGATTTTAATAAATCAGATTTTATAAGGTATCCATAACATATAATTTTTATAACCATTATAAAATATTTTTGTGGTCATGCAATTTTTGTTCTCTGATGTACAGGTTGCTCTGATAATATCAGTTCTAAAATTTTAAAATATAATATAAATTTGGACATTTATCATAAAAAGTTACATTCTTGAATGTAGGTACAAAATGTTCTTGGAGTAATTAAAAATCATTAACTGAACCTTAACTTTAATTGTACTTTTATGTTCAGATATACATTTTCTTTCCCATAATTAAGCAAGTGAAAAGAAATATGAAGACAAACGAACATATGTAAGTTAAATTTCAGCTAATGATTTTTAGTTACTCCAAGAACAATTTCTACCTACATTCAAAATGTAATAATTAATATCCAGAGGTAGATAGCTCAGTCAGCAAGAGAAGATACTCCAAAAGCATTTGAAAAATTATTAGAAAGTGTGAGAAATAAATTTGTATTAAACAGTTTTGGCCATTTAAAATATTTTCAAAATATCATTAGAGTTTATCTCAGAGAAACTTTGACTGTCTTTTGGTTTACTTAGGCAATTCAAAATCATTCTCTGTTTACTCCCAAAATTAAATGTTAATTGTATGTTTGATAAAATATGTGACACTCTATCAGATTGCTTACAAATTTCATTTGTTAATAAAAGATTGCATTTCATGGATTTATTTCATAAAACTTAATTGTCAGTTAATAAGTTAATAGTTATGACTGGTTTTTCTAGAATTAAATCAGTATTGAGGAAGATATACAGTTAAATTTTCTTATCTTATTTCAGATCTCAAATATTTCATGTGAAAAAATTTCATGAGAACACCAGGGTAGATGAAAATCAATGTAATTTTATAAGTGAGCTTCATTAGACATGTCCTAATTTTACTGAACTTCTGCTTACTCCTGTGTTTATTAAAAGTATTTCATACAACTTGACATCTATGCATATATTTACTTTCAGAAAAGTCATATGCTGTGTTATTTAGAAAATGCTCAAAATAGATGTTTTAGAGTCAAAGATTTTTATTATCACAGAAAAGCCCTCTTTTTATTGCATGGTAGTTATGAAAGTTCTGTACTAGTTGAAAAACCTAAATGAAATTAGGGTAATGAAACAAACAATGTATATTGCTGCATTTTTCTACTCTCTTTTATCTGCTTTTCTAATAAATCTGAAGGAGTGTTGCATTTGACTAGACACTGCATTTGTCTTTCTGCTTTTGTAGAAAAGAAGAAAATAAAGAAGTATAGCAGAAGAAAACGTTACTAAGAATGGATAGATTCTTGCATATTTTATAGGGCCCAATAAAATTAAGTTAGCGTAATTTTTCAAAACTCTTCAAAAAAATGTTTACATAAAAAATAAAAATCACATTATATTACCTCAAATCCTTACTACCAAAACCAAAATAACTTTTTAAAAATAGTTATTTTAAATAGACTAATTTAAGTGTATTAGAAGGATTATAAAAACAAATGTGTGAAGTGCATTTATAATATATATCTTATGAAGTTAAGTCTTTTATTATTTTAAGATATTCACTTCTTAAAGTAAGTTTTTTGATTGACCGAAATAAAATATCCTTTCATAAATCAATCTACAGAGTTAGCAGTTGTTTATTCCCTAACTTTAGAGAAAAAAAAAACAATGAAAGACAAATGTGGTTTTCCTGTGGTCTGCATTTGCCTGAGAATATGTAGGATTTCAACATTTTAAAAATTTGGTTGTCAGTGTGCAACAATTTGATACCTGTAACTGTGGAATTCTATTTGTCTATGTTTAGAGACTTCTAAATGATATACTGTGGAATTATTAACACTAAAAAAACTCAAGGCTTCATTTGAGATATCTGAAGTTTTAATTTGCCTAAAATTAATGTTATTTTCTACCAGGTAGAGTTCAAGAAAAACTAAAAGAAACCCTCTAATCAAAAGTGGAAATGAAAGGATTTCCTTACTTGGCTTTGCCTCCCCTAAAAGATATAGAATATTTGGTACTGAGTGGTGGATGACATTTACATAGTTCAAAATCTCTCTTAAAATCCAAGTTTCTAAAGATCTTCCATCCATAGTAGGTATCCTGCAAGAGGGATGTGCTACTGTCCTACACTCACCGTATTTCCCACCTCTTTGAGATCCATACTAAAATTCAAGGTCACTGGTTCTTGAAGTGTAATTCCTGGATTAGCAGGCTCAGCATCATCTGGAAACTTATTAGAAATGCAAATACTTTGGTCCTTAGCCCAGATCTACTGAATAGGAGACATTGAGAATGGGACCCAGCTATAGAGTAGGTTAACAGACTCCCCAGGCCTTTCTGATGTACTGTCAAGGTTGAGAATGTCTGTCGTTCTATTCCTCACCTCAGCGCTACCTCTCTGATACTCAGCGTGGTCTGTGGACCAGCAGCATTGGCATCTCCTGAGAGCTTCTTAGACAAATAGATACTTAGCCCCCACCTCAGACCTATTGAATCAGAGTCTGCATTTTGATGAGCTCTCTAGGAGATCTGTAAGCACATAAAACTTGGAAAAGCACTACATAAGTGATTAGGTGAGGGGAAAGACAGCAAAAACGAATAGGTGAAAAACATGATTAGTTTCATGGAGTAAGCAATACAGGTAGCCTCAGGCAGCAGGTCCATGATATTAGTTAATGTCTAGATAATTAGATATTATTTAGATAACATCTAGAACATGGATGTGATGCCTGGTGCTCAGGCAGCCATTTTGTGAGCTTCAGAATAGTGGAGCAAAAAGATTAACAGAGGCTGAATCCCTGACAAATTGTAGAGCCTCCAATCTGCCTTAGACTTCCTACCTCTAAACTTGGTCATGTGTGTGAATAAACCTTTTTGTGTTTAAGCCATACAACTTTAGGTTTTCTGTTATATGTAGCTGAATGTAATCTGATATGGGGAAAGAAAAAAGATTGGATGTAAATAATTGTTTTACCCAAGTCATGAATCAGTGAAGGTAGCAGGTTAACTTCTGTACTTTGAAAACTCACTTTCTTTTGGTTAAGAGTTCAAATATGGGCCAGGAGTAGGGGTTCACACTTGTAATCCCAGCACTTTGGGAGGCTGAGGCAGGGAGTCCATGAGGTCAAGAGATCGAGACCATCCTGGCCAACATGGTGAAACCCTGTCTCTACTAAAAATACAAAAATTAGCTGGGCATGGTGACGTGCACCTGTAGTCCCAGCTACTTGGGAGGCTGAGGCAAGAGAATCGTTTGAACTCCGGAGGCGGAGGTTGCAGTGAGCCAAGATCGCACCACTGCACTCTAGCAGCCTGGCAACAGAGCGAGACTCCGTCTCAAAATAAATAAATAAATAAATAAATAAATAAATAAATAAATAAATAAAGAGTTCAAATATGTTGAGACTTGAAGATACTCCAGTGTTCTCTGAAAAGCCTCAGAAGAAAAGGGAGCATTACTTCATGGAAATAAAAAAAAGGTACAATACGTCTCAAAAAAAAAGTACAATAATGTGTCATTTGAAGATACTATCTTCCATCCTCTCTAAAGTCAAAAGCCTTCAGTGGCTCACATTTGTAGTCCCAGCACTTTGGGAGGCCAAAGTGGGAAGATTGCTTGTGGCCAGGAGTTTGAGACCAGCCTGGGCAATATAGTGAAACCCCATCTTTACAAAAAATCTTTAAAAATGTTAGCTGCACCGTGCCTGTAGTCTTTGCTATTCAGGGGACTGAACAGGGACAATCCCTTGAGGAATTTAAGGTTACAGTGAGCTATGATTGTACTACTGCACTCCAGCCTGGGTGACAGAGTGAGACCCTATCTCAACTAAAAATTTAAAAAATTAAAGTCAGAGGTCTGACTTTGTAGAAAGCCATTGATTTAGGAGTGAGGAGACTGGGATTCTTCTATTAACCTGCTGTATAATCTGTATTAAATCATTGAACCTCATTTACCTCAATTTTTCAACTCTAAAAATAATTTTGTTTATTGATTTTATAAACCAAACTATGATGTTCTTTAAGGTAGAGATGATATTGTATTCATCATTGTATTCTCCCTTCTAACTGTGCTTGACAGGTGTTTTGTTTGTTATGGGATTTAATATTTAATTGCTGCACTAATTAAAATTTTAAATAAAAATACCTTCCCTAAATATGCACATTTTTAAATTAAGCACACCATTTTTATCACTTCTGTTTTGTATTCCTACACAAAAATGATCTAGTAGACGTGATTCCTTAAGTCTGAGAGAGTTAATATTTTGTTGCATTCTAGTATCCTGAGGTATGTTCTCATTTTTCAGCTAATGAAAATAAAGGCAAATAAAAATAAATAAAACTTTTTTCCCATGAATTAATTCAATGAATGTTCATCACAATTCACAACTGTCTTAATGCCTGCTTGAATAGACTTCAGAATGAGTAAAGATGAGTTTAAACAGAAAATCATGGAGCGTTCAGCATGAACAAAGATAATTTTATGGTTTTGCTGTATATGACAAATGGTGATTCCATATTTGAATTGACTGAGGTGAAATTCTGCTGTTCCACCTTGTAGGCTATATAAAAAGTTGGTTTTTTGTTTATTTTTTCTTAATGATCTCAGTGAATCAGCCAGGACTTGCATTAGTCTGCTGATAATAGAAATAAGAGTGGTTTAAACAAGGTAAAGTTCATTTTTAAATTTTATTATTATTATTATTATTATTATTATTATTATTATTATTATTATTTGAGACACAGTCTCGCTCTGTCACCCAGGCTGGAGTACAGTGGTGCGATCTCAGCTCACTGCAACCTCCGTCTCCTGGGTTCAAGTGATTCTCCTGCCTCAGTCTCCCGAGCAGTTGGAACTACAAGCACGTGCCACCATGCCCAGCTAATTTTTGTGTTTTTTTTTTTTTTGTAGAGTAGGGTTTCACCATGTTGGCCAGGATGGTCTCCATCTCTTGATCTCATGATCCGCCTGCCTCCGCCTCCCAAAGTGCTGGGATTACAGGCATGAGCCACCATGCCCGGCCAAAAGTTCATTTTTATTTAATGTTAAACAAGTTCGGAGTCTTCGATTTGTATTAGGGATTACTCACGGCAACAATGTCTCAGGAGGCTTCTCTTTTTCTGCCCAACTATCTTTTGTACAAATTGTTTCATAGCCACAAGATGGCTAATGCAACTCCAGCCATCATATCTGTATCTAAAACAGAAAGAAGCTGGGTGTGGTGGCTCACACCTGTAATGTCAGCAATTTGGGAGGCCGAGGTGGGTGGATCACTTGAGGTCAGGAGTTCTAGACCAGCATGGCCAACATGGTGAAACCCCATCTCTAATAAAAATACAAAAAATTAGCTGGGCATGGTGGTGGGCACCTGTAATCCCAGCTACCCAGGAGGCTAAGGCAGGAGAATTGCTTGAACCCAGGAGGCAGAGGTTGCAGTGAGCCAAGATCCTGCCATTGCACTCCAGTCAGGGCAACAAGAGCGAAACTCCATCTCAAATAAATAAATAAATAAATAAATAAATAAATAAATAAATAAAAATAATCAGAAAGAGAGAGAAAGGGGGAACCCTTGTTTTTAGAGCACTCTTCCAGAAACTCCCAGCAACAACTTCTGCCTACTATATACCTTTGGGAGAGCTGAGTAACACGTCTGTCCCTATCTGCAAGGGAGAGTGAGGAATGCAGTTTTACAGCTGAGTACACCTGCTGAACAAAATCAAGGTGTAATGATGGAAGATATGTAATAATGATGTCAGGTAATCTAGGGGAAATTCTGTAAATATTCTTAACCAGTGTAACCCTGCCCCAGGTCAATGTTATTTGTAGCCAAATATTTATTCCTTATATAATAGTTAAGGACTGTATGCTTAGAGTGGAGAAACACATTTTTCAACTGTCAAATTTTATTAAATATAGTAGAACAAAATCTTATTTAAAAAGTCACATAGGTCAAGTGAGGTGACTCATGCCTGTAATCCCAGCACTCTGGGAGGCCGAGGCAGGTGAATCACTTGAGGTCAGGAGTTCGAGACCAGCCTAACCAATAAGTTGAAATCCCAACTCTACTAAAAATATAAAAATTAGCTGGGTGTTGTGGCAGGTGCTTGTAATCCCAGCTACTTAGGAGGCTGAGGCAGGAGAATCACTTGAACCCAGGAGGCGGAGGTTGCAGTGAGCCAAGATTGCACCACTGCACTCAAGCCTGGGTTATAGAGCAAGCCTCTGTCTAAAAAAAAAGAAGAAGAAGAAAAAGAAAGTCACATATATTAAACCTCAGTTTTTTTCAGAGATTAAAACCTGATTACCAGGCCAGATATATTCCAAATTTGTGGTGGTGAGGAGTAGGAATGATATGGGGAAGGTGACGGCTTTTACAATTGAAAGAATTTATGAATACATTGCTACATTAAAAATCAGGACATTTCATCCCAAATGCAAATTTGTGACTCCTCTTGAAAAATTGGAAAGTCTGGTGACACAGAATCCATATTCCTGAAGGTCACCAGTTGGCTAGAGGTAACACAAGGCTTTCCCTTAGACAGTGCCCTCTGCAGCTTGCCATTCATTCACAGACAGAAATGCTGTCAATTGTCATTTTATCATGACATTGTAGGTTGGTTTTCTGAAGGTAGATTTAAGAAGGGAAAAAGACATATTTTCAGTACTATTATCTTTTCTCAAAAGTAGCATAATAAAAAAGGGGTGCTCTTTTCGATCAACCTGACATATATTTGGATTACTTTTCTGGCCCCTGAAGTCATTGAAGTTTGTGGCTACTTGAACTATGTGAATTTTCAATGTAAAATGAATTATGCTATCATTTGGGATATAATTTGCTTCTTTCATGTTAATTTTTTATGGCTTTCACCCCCCTCCCTGCATCAGAGTATTAGCTCCATATGAGTAGGGATCTTTGTGCCTAGAACTGTACCTGCCACATGGAGGGAACTCAATAAATGCTTGTTAATAAAATTTATTGAGCATCTACTATGTGCAAGAAGTGTGAATGCTTTCACAAATGTTATCCCTTTTAAAATACTAATAACAGGCCAGGTGCAGTGGCTCGTACCTGTAATCCCAGCACTTTGGGAGGCCGAAGCGGGTGGATCACTTGAGATAAAGTGTTTGAGACCAGCTTGGCCAACATTGTGAAACCTCGTCTCTATCAAAAATACAAAAAAAAAAAAAAAAATTTAGCAGAGCCTGGTGGCAGTTGCCTGTAATCTCAGCTACTTGGGAGGCTGTGGCAGGAGAATCGCTTAAACCCAGGAGGTAGAAGTTGCAGTGAGCCGAGATCGCGCCATTGCACTCCAGCCTGGGTGACAGAGTGAGACTCCGTCTCAAAAAAAAAAAAAAAATTTAATAACATACTTCCAAGGTTTGCTATTATTATTCCTATTTAACAATAAGAAAACTAAGGCCAAGACACACTTAAACAAGATCAGACTTTCTCATTTCCACACACAATAAAAGAAGATGTTTATAGCTACTTAATCATTAAAAAATGCTTCCTATAAATTTGTGCTAAATATTTCACATATTCACATTCTTCTAAAATATGCATTTTGATCATCAGCTGTTAAAATTTCTGTGAAAGGAAAACACAGCAGTCTTCCACCCAATCTCAAAACTCTCTCTAAGAATGTAAATTGGTACAGCTATTGTAGAATACAGTGTGATGTTTCTCCAAAAATTATAAATAGAACTACCATGCAACTCAGCAATTCCTATGCTAGATATATACACAAAAGAAATTAAATCAGCACCTTGTAGAGCTATCTGCACTCCCATGTTCATTGAAGCATGATTCACAATAGCCAAGATATGAAAACAAACTTAGTGCCTATTGATGGATGAATGGATAAACCAATCATTGTGTATATATACACTCAGAGTGGAATAGCACTCAGCCTTTAAAAAGAAGGAAATACTGACGTTAGCCACAACATGAATGAACCTGGAGTACATTATGCTAAGTGAAATAAGCCAGACACAGACAGCAAAATAGTGTATAAGCTCACTTACATATGGAATCTAAAACAAAAGTGAAACACATAGAAACAGAGAGTAGAACAGTGGTTTCAGGGTTGGGGAGGAGGAGGAAATGGGAAGAAGTAGACTAAACGGTACAGATTTGCAGCTAGGTGGGATTTAAAAGTCTAGAGATCTGGTGTGCAGCAAAAGGATTTTAGTTAATACTATAGTATTGTACACTAAAAATTTGCAAAGAGAGTAGGTTTTAGGTTCTCCTACCACACACACACTCATACACACACACACACACACACACACACACGGCAACTATGGAAAGTGATGAATAAGTTAATTTACTTGACTGTAGTAATAATTTCTCTATGCATATCAAAGCATCATGTTGTATACCTTAATTACATACAATAAACCAAAAAAGGAATCAAAATAATTAATAGATTAACACAACAAATAAATTATAAGTATCTGAGATGATGGATGTGTTAGTCTGGTTTGATCACTCCACAATGCATACATGTATCATAGCATCACATTGCACCTCATAAATATATACAGTCATTATTGTCAATTAAAAATAAAATAAAAGTTTTTTAAAAGTATCAATGGGTTAAACAGATGGATTGCTTTCATTTGGGGTTGCTCTGACTATCCACATACTAATTATAACCGAGTTTGTTTGTGCAGACCAATGCCTCTTTCGAATTCCATGCCCATGTTACTAATTATTTCCAGTTGGATTGCCCACAGAAATCTCAAACTCAGTATTTTAAAAATCAATTTATTTAACTCCCTCACAAACTGGCACTTTCCTGTTATCCCTATCTTTGCTACTAACAATATCATCCATGAAATCTCCAACCATGTATCCATTCCAGAATTCTGCAATTATCTGCACATATGAAGAATAAGAAATTAATGCACTCTAGAAGAGACAGCTTTATCAACTAAATAATGACAACACTTTGGTCAGTTTCCATAACAGAGGCACATATCAAAGACTGTGTGCACATGGAAGATTCAAGTGCTTTTTCCCACATGGGAAAGTCGGGGACAGCTCCCTGAGCAAGGTGGGAGGGGGCATTGAGTTGAAGTAGAGGAAAGGACTCTCGAACCAAACAAAAACAAAAAATAACCAAAAGCAAAACAAACGAGCCAACATACAAGAACCATGAGAGTCCAAAAACTACAGGTGGAAAATCAGTATTTTGGAAGTTGCCTTGGAGGAGTTGTAGAGCAGGGAGATCAATTAAGATGGTCCAGATGAGAGATGAGGGATTGCAGAAAGCAGTAACCTGGAGACTGACGGTTGTGAGGTGGAGGCAGAGAGAGTGTCTATGATGACTCCCTAGTTCCCTTCCTGAATAAATGGGAGAATCATGAAACCATTAACTACAAGGCAGTTTTTATTACAGAAAAAGAATGGCTCCAGTTTGGGATATTTTGACCTTGAAGTATTTGTGAGAGTTTCAGGCAGGTACTTCCTGTCTCTAAGTTGAAAATAAGGGACATATCAAATGCAGCCCACCTTGTAATTACCTAACATCCATGTAATCCATCCACAAATGCTAAAAGCTCCTTTAGGGCAGGGACTGCTTCTTATTTACCTTTTTATCTAAGTGACCAGGGCTGTGAATCCTTCCTTTTCTATAAATATTTCAAGTATCCTTCCTTTCTTCTGCTCAATAAGGGTGTACTAAGCATCCCCCCTCCTACCCCTTCCTTCCCTCATGCCCACCTCACTGCCCCCCTCCTCATGAGGACTTTCGGCTCTAGGGTTTTGTTATGAAAATCAAGCTAACCAGTAATATGCTAGTGAGGATGACCTTTGAGTGAAATAAAACGAATATAAGAAAAAGGCATATGAATTGTATCTCCATAAAGTTGGTCTTAAAAAAAAAAAAAAAAGAAGTGAGGAAAAAAAGCAAAGAGCCTTGAGAATGAAGGGGTAGTTTATTTTATTTAATGTCGTGGTAGTGGTGGCCATTGAGGAGTAGAGAGTGAGAAGTCAGAAAGAGGTACATTTAAATTTTCAGGAAGCAGCAAAACACTGTGTAAAGGATGTTGAGGAGGTTAGCCACTGAAGAAAGGCTTTCAAAGACGGTTGCGTTAAGGCATAAGGATGACACAATAGGCCAGGAGTGGTGGCTCAACGCACGTAACCCCAGCACTTTGGGAGGCTGAGGTGGGAGGATCACCTGAGGTCGGGACTTGGAGACCATCCTGGCCAACATGGCGAAACTCTGTCTCTACTAAAAATACAAAAATTAGCTGGGCGTGGTGGCAGGTGCCTGTAATCCCAGCTACTCGGGAGGTTGAGGCACAAGAATTGCTTGAACCTGGGAGGCAGAGGTTGCATTGAACCAAGATCGTGCCATGGCACTCCAGCCTGAGTGACAGAGTGAGACTCCGTCTCAAAAAAAAAAAAAAAAAAAAAAAAGAATGATTCAGTGAACTTTGGGGACTTGGGGGGAAGAGTGGGAGGAGGGTAAGGAATAAAAGGATAAAAGACTACAAATATGGTACAATGTATACTGCTCGGGTGATGGGTGCACCAAACTCTCACAAATCACCACTAAAGAACTTACTCATGTAACCAAATACCACCTGTACCCCAATAACTTGTGGAAAAATAAAATAAAATAATAAAAATTGTTTAAAAAAGATTATTGTGTTGCTGTGTATTAAGAATGCCCCTGAAGGGGCTACAAAAGACTTGATGTACTTGAACAGGTTTTGTTTAACTGACTTTGTTTTGGAGAAAGCACATCTGCTGATACTGGGCTCGGGGTAGGGGGAGGCTAGCAATACAAACAAGTATGTGGCTCAGTAAATGTTTCAGAAGTGATTGGATCTGATGAATCTCCAGGCCCTATTGATTTTGTTCATTAAATACCACTGACTCCATTTCTTGCACCTAAACCTACTCACAGGCTTGTTCTAGGCCCCAGGATTCTTGGCTAAACATCTGCTGTTGTTTCCTAACTGATGTCCTGTCCTCCAGCACCTCTCCAGTTGGAAGAAGTGTTCCAAGTTTGACCCCCATCATGCCAATGTTTAAAATCTTTCAGTGGTTCTTCATGTATACATATGGCCGTGGTTAAAACTGATAATCTTTTGGTTAATCCAACCTACAGGCAGTTTTTATGTGTTTACAATTTTCTTTCTAATGTGATTACTCTTAGGTGGTGCATGTGTCCCTGCTAAACTTTATTATATGTAATCAGCTCAGTCACATGGACAGTGAGGTGACTGGCTCCTAAAGGCATATGAACTTGTGATTTTCTGGCACATAGGAAGGAAGAAAGAAAGGAAGGAAGGAAAGGAGGGAGGGAGGGAAGAAGGAGGGAAGGAAGGAAGGAAAAGAGAACAAAGAGAGGAAGGGAGGAAAAAGGTAAGAAAATAGGAAAGGAAGAAAAGAAAAAGAAACAAAAATGGAAAGAAATAAAGAGAAAGAAAGCAAGAGAAAACGTAAAGAAAAGGAAAAAAATGAAAGGAGGGGAAAAAGTAAGAGTTCAAGTCTATTTAATTTGGACAGAGCCAATCTTTATCTCAGAAGTTTCGGTATTAAAGGAGATACACTTCCTATAGGTGGGCAAAAGTGAATCTGTGTAACATCACTCATATTTAAGCCACTACAAATTAATAAAAATGATGTAAAACATCATCTGTGCCCTCAACACTTCTTAGCAATCTGTTCAAGGACTTTTGGCTAGGTCTGTAACTGATTCAAAGCTATTTTAATTTTTTGTCACCCATTTTAAGCCTGCCTCACCCAACCCCACATGCCTTCCTCATTGAACAGATAAGTTATTTCTTACTTTAGAAAGGAAGATATGCATTATAAGTATGACTATCTCCTCCCCTATATTGAGTAATAAATTCACCATTCTGAGTGCAAATTCCTTTCCTTCCTTCTCTTTCTTTCTTTCTCTTTCTTTCTTTCTTTCTTTCTTTCTTTTCTTTCTTTCTTTCTTTTTCTTTCTTCCTTCCTTTCTTTCTTTCTTTCTTTTCTTCCTTTCTTTCTTCCTTTCTTTCTTCCTTCCTTTCTTCCTTCCTTTCTTTCTTCCTTTCTTTCTTTCTTTCTTCCTTCCTTCCTTTTTTTTAGATAGAGTCTTGCTCTGTTGCCCAGGCTGGAGTGCAATGGCACCATCTTGACTCACTGCAACCTCTGCCTCCTGGGTTCAGGTGATTCTCCTGTCTCTGTCTCCTAAGTAGCTGGGATTACAGGTGTACACCAAGATGCCTGGCTACTTTTTGTATTTTTAGTAGAGATGGGGTTCCACCAAGTCGGTTAGGCTGGTCTCTAACTCCTGACCTCAGATGATCTGCCCACCTCGGCCTCCCAAATTGCTGGGATTACCGGCGTGAGCCACTGCGCCCGGCCCTGAGTGCAAATTTATAAAAACAATAGAACTCTAGAAACCAAAGCTGGGTTTTTTTCCCCAACTCTGTAACTTATTTGGCAAGAAAAGTAGACCTGCACAGAAATTCATTGGTGGCAAAATCTGGAGTGAACTAAAAAATTATGTCTCAGGCTCAGATTTCCCTTCAATTCACTTACACAACTGCCTACTCGTCATGTCTTTAGACACCTTAAACTTAACATGTCCAAAACGATGCTCTTGATCTTTCCACCTAAATCTCCTCTTTCTCCATTTGAGGATAAGTATCTTCAGCTCATGACCCCACGGTGGCAACTTGCAGTGCTCAAGTTCCTCAAGTTTCTTAGCAGCCATTCTAAAAATTCCTCAAGTTTCTTAGCAGCCATTCTAAAAAATAATCCACTCCCAACGATACCATGAAAGATCATCCCTTGCTGATCTAGAACATCTGTCTCTTTCTGTCTGTGCAAATCCATGCCTTTTGTAAAATGACTTCCCATCATCTTTCTGGTTAAATAAAATAAAAGATCATATTTTAATCACCATCAGGATATCTATCTGTATCTGTACATCTATCTATCTATCTATCTATCTATCTATCTATCTATCTATCTATCTATCTATTTGTGTATGTATGTATCTACATATCTATCCATCCATCTCCATAGCTACACATATTTATTAGCTGGCTTTCCCAAAACTGATTAGTCAAATATTAACCATAGTTAAATAAATTAATTTCTACTATTACTTTCTCAGGAACAAGCTACATAGAACTGTAGCTTTTGCATAAAATACAGATTAATTGACATATCAATGTTTGCAATTAAGAATAACAGGATTTGTTATTTTTAGTTTGAGTCTCATGTTTATGACCACTATTTTATTAATTTTTTTCATATACTTCCTGCAACTGGAAATTATATGAATTCTCATGCTTAATTTCCCAGTAATCCTGAAAGATAATAACCTTTATATGGGATCCCTTCTCAGATGATCCAGTGTAAATTTCAGGTTTATAGCCAGTATTTTACATATTATTATCTCAAAGCAACATCATAATTTGTTAATAATTAGTCTGTGGATTACAAGTAGTTAGACAGCATAAACTATACGTGCACACATATAGTTATTCAACAAATATTTACCAAAAGCCCACACTGTAACAGACAGCTGTAAAAACTAAAAATGGAGATGAATATAAGACCTTGTGAAAATTACATTCTAACACAGAGACCAAGGAAGAAAAAAAGTAATAAAATATGAGAGCAGGATGGTAGGATGGGAGTGGTTTATGCTAGACCAATATTCTCACCAAGGCCAATAAGAAGCTCTGGATAAAATACAAAATCTATCTGTTTAGAGCTCGCAGAGAGTTTCAGAATAAAGAAGAAATAGATTAAAATCTAAAGAGGAGAACACCAGCTCTAGCCGCATTTTTCTCAGGGAGCATTTGAAGCTACTGGACACAGGCTGGAGGCTGAGAATCCAGGCTCAGCCAAAGCAGAAGGCCACTGCTTGGGAAGAAAGAAAGTAGCAGAGTTTTTAGCAATTGTGTGGGGCTGGAGTGACAAAATCAGAGACTGGAGGGATTTCATGAACTTCTGGTTTTGCCTTCAAAGCATGTGCTGTATTCTAAAGTTTTATGAAGTAGGAAGCTGACAAACTAAACCAAACCACTGTGATAAGCAGAAAGGAGTTTCCAGTCTGTGAAGGAAATAAAGACCTGCTAGGGGAAGGGGCCACAGTAAAGTCACCAGGCTCTTGGTTAAAAGCTCTGGAAAGCAATCAGAGGTTTGAAATTTCAATTAGAGTGTTCAGAGAAGATCTCACTGAGGAGACATAAGGGTCAAAACCTGAAGGAGGTGAGGGAACAAGCAGTGTGGCTATCTGAAGATCATCCCACGTGGAAATAGAAGGCCCAAGCAGGAGCGTGACAGTGTCTTCACCAACCAGCAAAGAGCTCAAGGTGACTGGAGCATGGTGGATGATGGGAGAGTAGGAGAGATCCATGATGGATTGTCTGGTCCTGTAGACCACTGGAAATACTCTGGATTTCATCTAAAAGAGATGAGAAGCCTCTAGGCGAATGTTTAAAAATATTTTTATTTTGGAGGAATTCCCGAAGAGCTTGAGTAGAGAGATGGCTCCATCCAACTTATTTATTTATTAACAGGGACAATCTGGCTGCCAGTTTGAAAATAGACCCAAGTGGAGAGTATTGGCAGCAGAAAGACCGATGAGGAGATTTTTGGAATAATCCAGGTGAGAGACAACAGTGGTTTGGACCAGGATAATACTGATGGAAATGGTGAGAATTGGGTGGATTCCAGATATATCTTAAAGGTACATTTGCTAAGAGTTACAGACAGACTGGATTTAGAATATGAGGGGACAAAGAAATCTGAAGAGATGTTGTCCTAAACAACATGAAGAATGGAGTTGCCATTAATTGAAAGGGAAAAGATTCTGAGATGGAGAAGATCAGGAGCTCAGAATTGGAAACATAATTTTGCAATTCCTATGAGGCACGTAAGTTAAAAATTTTTATAGGGGGTAGGAATTTCAAGGGAGAAATCTGAGAGAGCATTTTAGAATTTCTGACCATCAGCTTAGAGACAGTTTTTAAAGTCAGAAGACTGAATGAGATCCACAAAAAGTGAATGTAGATAAAACCATAATAAATGTCCAACTACGGAGTCCTGGGGAACTGCAATATTAAGAGATTATGGAGAGAAAAAAGAATAAATAAGGTAGAGAAGGAAAAACAGAAGCCAAGTGAAGAGTGAGTTTTAATGACAGGTGTACCAACTTTCCACAGTTAGTTAACATAAAGCTGAAAAATGACCATTAGATTTAACAATATGAAACTGTCTATCACCTTTGTAAGAACACTTTTGGTAAAGAGGTAGGGGTGAAAACCTGATTAGAAGTGGTTCAGAAGATAATGAGAGGAAAAAAACTGAAGACAGTACATATAAAACACCTTTCCCCAGAATTTTTTTTCTGTAAAAGAGGGTAGAGGAATGGGGTGTGTTAACTAGAGGAAGAAATGGGATATAGAGAGGCAGGTATTTATGTTGGCTTGGTTCACATGCTGTTGGATAGATAGAGATGGATTCAACTGATGATTTAGGAGAGCAGGAGCAGAATTGCCAAGCAATGTTCTTAAGCAGGTGGGAGCAGGTGAGACTTAATGCACAAATGAAGCAGTTGACCTTAGCTATGAACAGGGTCAGTTCTTCCACAATACACAGGAAAAAGCCACGTAGCACAGATGCAGGCAAGTGGGTAGATGTGGAGAAGCTTACAGAAGTTATCCTTGATCATTTCCATTTTCTCTGTGAAATAGGAAGCAAAGTCAGTAATGGAAAGTGAGGACAGAAGAGGATAAATAGGCAGTTTGAGTAGAGAGAAGGTAGTATGAAAATACTGCCAAGGATAAAGGGGAAGTGAATGGGCTAGACAAATAGAGTAAGATTCCAGGGCAGGATGAAGGCCTATGTGAGGTACTAATGATGAGCTTAAGGTGAAATTCCTCAGCCTGAATATGAGTTTATCTCTAGCCACATTCAACTGTGCGTAGCAGCTAGCTAAGTGGAGAGTTAGACTGATCAGGGAGTGACCCTGAAAAGGGAGAATAATGAAGCTATAAAGGACAGTAATAGAGAAGAGGTATATGCAAAGAGTGATTACTAGACAGACTATAATGGTTATCAGGAAAGTTAAGCTGGATGAGGAGCAAAATGGGGCCGTAAAGGGGGTGAGAGAAAGTAAAACTGGTAGAATCTACGAATTTAGTTACTAGAGCAGTCTAAGATTCGTTGAAACTGAGAGAATAGAGGGAGGGAGCTGTGAAAGTAAAAGATGGTGGTCATGGGGCGGAATGCTTGAAATTGAGATTTGCGGAGTAGTCACGGTGCTTAGCAATAGTAAGAGCTAGAGTAGGATCATCCAGTGGATAGCGAAGGCAGTGGTGGAGGATGACATTGAATGGGAGGAACTTAAGGAACTGAGGAACTAGAGTGTGTGAGCTTTCTATTGTTACCGTAACAAATTATGATACACTCAGTGGCTTAAAACAACACAAATGTACTATCATGTAGTTTTGTTGGTCAGAAGTCTGTCCAGGGTCTCACTGGGCTAAAAGCAAAGTGTTAGCAGGACTCTGTTCCTTTCTGAAGGCTCTACGGGAGAACCTTCTTTTTCTTTCCTTTACCAGCTTCTAGATGCTGCTTATATTCTGTGGCTCATGGCTCCTCTCTCCATCTTCAAGCCAGCACAGCAGGTCCCTCCCTCCCTCCCTCCCTCCCTCCCTCCCTCCCTTCCTCCCTTCCTCCCTTCCTCCCTTCCTTCCTTCCTTCCTTCCTCTCTCTGTCTCTTTCTTTCTTTCTTTCTTTGGAGATGGAGTCTCGCTCTGCCGCCCAGGCTGGAGTGCAGTGGCGTGATCCCGGCTCACTGCAAGCTCCGCCTCCCGGGTTCACGCCATTCTCCTGCCTCAGCCTCCTGAGTAGCTGGACTACAGGCGTCTGCCACCACGCCCGGCTAATTTTTTGTATTTTTAGTAGAGATGGGGTTTCACCGTGTTAGCCAGGAGGGTCTCGATCTCCTGACCTCGTGATCCGCCCACCTCAGCCTCCCAAAGTGCTGGGATTACAGGCGTGAGCCACCGCGCCCGGCCCACATCTTTCTTAAGTCCTATCACAGACACTGCTTCCATCATCACATCTCTGGCTGTCACCCGTCTGCCTCCCTCCTCTACATTGAAGGACTATTTTGATTATATTGAGCCATCCAGATGAAACAGAATAATCTCCCTTTTTTAAGGTCAGCAGATAAGCAACCTTAATTCCATCTGCTACTTCTGTCATATAATGCTACATATTCACAGAGTCTGAGGATTAGGAAATGGGCATTTTTTGAGGCCATTATTCTGCCTACTGCGGTGTACATATTGAAATCCTCAGGAGTTATGAGAGGAGTGGAGTTTTAAACAGTATGACAGGGAGCCAGGGGCATTACCCTAGAATAAAAAAAATGTGCTCTGGAGAAATCTGTAGATGACAAGAAGGAGGGGTAGAGTGGGAGCAATAACCTGCTGTCTTGAGATTCAGTGCTAGGAGTGGTGCTATTCAGGTTTGCAAGAGGGAGAATTAGTTGAAAATGGAGAGAAAAAGCAAAGAGAATACCTACTCAACTTCCAGCCCCAGCAGTCTTAGAGGTATTGTATGAAAAAGGCCTCCAAGTGAAAGGGCTCATGTCCATTAGAGAAAGAACTGTGAGAAGAGGTTGAAGATATAACAGATGCTGCTGACTTCAAGAGTCAATAGGGTTTAGAGATTTGGGGTGGGGTCAGCAAAGGGTATGTCTGGAGCCTTAAGGGGATTAGATTCCAGGGGAAGAGGGATGCCTGGGGAACCAGAACTTCTTCTGGGGGCTGAGATAAATAGGATAAATACCCTAGAAGATTAGTCCTATAACCTTTAAATGTATAATAGTGAGACACAATGAGGGCTGGGCTGGGTGAGGGAAGAAAGGTCTTGTCAAGGGTTCAGAAATTTCTGAGGTTCTCTTTTGACTCCTGTTGGAGATATGGAACAGGCCAAGTGGCTGCTTTTCTCAATCTATGGGGTTCCCACCTGAACCCTGATGATGAAGGACAGTAGAGATACATTAAACTTGGTAAGATGACTGCCTGATACACATTAGAAATAATTATAGGTTCTGTACATACTAATATAGATTAGCTAATTATTATTGAATGCTTACTATGTTCTAGGCACTGTCATAAATACATAAATATATGTAAGTAAATATAAATGCTACATAATATATATATATCTGATCTCACTAAAATTTTTTGAAGTATCTCATTGTTATTTCAATTTTAGAGAAGAAGAAATAGTTCCTTCATATAAACCATTGAGGACAATATTGATCAGATATTCTTTTGAGACAGCAAAAGTCTCATTTCCTCTGACCCAATCTTAATAGCCTTTATCACCCTACAAGTCTTTAACGACTGCTAACTCCATAATAGGAAGTAGACTCAGCAATTGCACATTGTGATCTAGGAAGTGTGATCTCCACACAAATTACTATAGAAGGGACCAAAAGGGTGTTAGAGCCACACATGCTCTAGATATTGCCTTTACTTGCAAAGGCCAATCAGGCAATAAGGGAAGGAAAATGTTGTCCACTCCCTTTAGGAAAGTGTAGTTAGATGAATGCCTGAAAGCTCCTAGAAAGAAGGCTAGGGGCTACTCATATCAATTTTTTTTTTCCAGTTTAAATCTTGGAGGCAGACGTTATGTATTCAAATGACAGTGAGGAAGACCAAGAAAATGACTAAGAAAAGCAGTAACTATAGCTTATATAAACTATATAAAACCAAGCAGTCATATGATCAATGTTGAATACAGAACTATATTTTAAAAAAATCATATACAAAGCTCTCCCAAAAAAGTCCTACACAAAAATATACTTGATATAATTTCAAATCTTTATTCACAACTTGAGAAACTTCAAAAGGAAGAGTAAATGTTAAATGTACAGTTAAACAGTTAACAATTTACCTCCCGTTTCTCCCCATTTTTGATTCTAAATGTCTTCTAGGCATAAAAGCAGCTGCTCCTCAAAACTCTCTCTCTTCCGTCTCTCATATGCCCCATCAAACTGTCCTAAAGCCCAACTGCTGTGGACAGTTACACTTTCCTTTCGAATGTCACAGCTATGTATACTACATTTTATTCACAAAATTTCAAAGAAAAATTTTCCTTCAGCATTTGAAAATTATTTCTAAAGTTGACTAATTAAGATAATTTAAACAATATACACTGCAATAAGACTGCTGGTTATTTTGAGTATTTCAATATCTTAAACATGAGAGAGAGACATAAATAAAATTATTTCAAAACGCATTATCATGCTTTTCTAGAATATCAACAGGGGTTAATTTATTTCTTCACCAGTTCTGCATTTCTTTAAACTTTTCTGGGATTAGAGATATATTTATTTTATAATCTTCTTAGAATTTCATATTATTTTGAATACTTTGGGACTGACAATACTCTTAGGAGGTCCAAAAGAAGAGAAACAGCATCTCTGACTTTCAGAGGTTACAGAATGTGGGTCAATTGATTTTTGATTGGAGCACAAGATTTAGTTGCTTTCCTCAAGGTGATAAACACTTCAGGCACTGATCAGCAGAATTAGTTTCCTTCTATAATTAAAATACATTTGCTTAGTAGATAAAATGTTTTATGTTCACTCTTGTTACATAGTACTTATTATTTGCAACCAGATGTCTTCCCCAAAATATTGTTCTTTGCCTACCTTACGTAGATGTGTGACAAAACCCATTAACTTATCATTATAAATCTATTGATTTGGTTGGTAACATAACTTAAAGCTTGCTTTCTCACTAGTTTCTATTACAATTATAGGCTACCTAAAATATTCATCTCCTGTTAATAGATGACGAGGGATTGAATCTGTGTAGTTAACACTCCTCCAGAGAATATTTGGTTCATTTATCATCTTGGAATACACTCCAAATCCTCCTTTTATTTGGTGATTGTGTGTGACAAACTGAATAACAGCAATACATGTTTACTACTGGTTATTATCTGGTTATATGTGATCACCAGGTTTTACAGTCCTTCCTGTTTTTGGAACAATGTTAATTTCTCTACCCGTTTGGTTTAATAATAATTCCTTGCATTACTGCTTCCTGATTATAAGGTAGAAAAAAGTATTATATATACCAATGCTATATAAACAGACATATAACTAATAGGAAAAAATAATATACTATTTAATTTTTTCCTCTTCCACTTACTAAAATAAATGAGATTTAAACATATTGTGATATATTAATTATTTTCTCCTTATTAACCCCTTCACAAGCTTTGCTTCTCAAACTCATTCCTTTCTACCTCCACAAAAATTAGTTGAATGTGTTTAGAATGTGTGTTTTTGTTTATATAATTTTTATTAAAATGCTGCTGTTCAGTGTAATGATTTTTTGTCTTTTTAAATTTATATTGGATGTAGAAATATTCTATTTTTAGTTATTTCACTGGGTTCTATGTTTTTAAGATCCATTCATATTGCCATTAGCCTATTGGTTCTAACTTTGCACAGTGATCCATGGGGTGGATCTGTCACCATAATTTATCTACTCTCCAAGGATGGTAACCCAGATTGCTCCCAACTCCCTCTACAACAAACCATCCCTTCATAGACTTCAGTGAGAATTTCTCTGGGTTATTAGCCAAGAGATAAACTGCTGGGCTTTAGGGTATTCACTTATTACCTTGAACAATCATTGTTAGGCTACTGTCCTGAATATTTGATCAAATTTATAATTCTACCAACAATGCACCAGGGTTCCCAAACATCCACAGGCCTATCAACATTTGCTATTAGCTTCCTAATTTTTGCCAAATAGGTATAGAAGGATATTTTATGACTTTGATGTGCCTTTCTCTGATTTCTTAAAATATACTTGGTAGGCTTCAGATTCCTCTGTTGTAAGAGTATGCCTAGTAATACTCTTTGTCCATCTTTTTCTGTTGTGGTTCTGCCACATTCTGGTTGACATGTAGGAGTTCCTTGTATTTTCTAGATATTATTCTCTCATCTGTTTTAGTCATGACAAATGTCTTCTCCCAAGCTATTTTCTGTTTATCAACTTTATTTATGGTGTCACCTGTCAAATAGAAAGCCTGCATTTTAATGTAATCAAGTGTATCTGTTTTTTTTTATTCCTATATGGTATATGCTTTTTAGGTTTTATTTCAAAAATCTTTTCCTACCTCTGTATAACACTGATGTTCTCCTGTATTATTTTTCATTAACTTTATGTGTCTTCCACCACAGTATACGTATAAATACAAAATTGGTTGTGTAGGGGACCAATTTTATTTTTCTCCAATAGTGAGTCTGTTTTCCCAATGCCACCACTAAATAATTCCTTATTTTCTTCATTGTGTCTGCTGCCACTTTTATCAGATATTAAGTATCCATTTATACACTGGTCTCTTTGGAGTTCTAAGTTAAAATTCATAAGTATATTTGTCTGTTCTTGTGCAAAAGCCATACTAGAAATGTTTGGTAGGCCCATCTCATATTTTATTAATATGCTACTGTAATACACGTCCAGCATATTTGAGATTAGACTAGGAACTCCCACCCTATCAAATGTGGCCCAAGACATCACTTTAATATGCTGATAAACACTAGAATAGAAAAAGGAAAACAAAGAATTGCTTGTCAGAAATGCTCATTAGTCATTTATTTATTCATTTGCTCACTCATTCAGCAAATGTTTATTAAGTGTCTACTAAGAATCAGGAGTCATAGTAATGCTGGGAATACAAGCATGAACAAAAAAAGGGTTACTACAATCATGGAAATGTAGTCTTTGTTGAGAAACAAGTATTAATCAAATAATTATTTGAACAAATTTAACATTGCAATTGTGACAAGTGCTCTAAATGAGAGGCAGCAGTTTAATGTGGAAGATTTGACCAGGTGGGGAAGAAAATAAAAGTTGAGATTTGTAGGGTGAATGGGAGTTAACCAGGCCAGAGAGATAGAAAAAGATTCTGGGAAAGAGGAAAGGGCATGTACAAAGTACTTACAGCAGAAGGAGCCTTGCGAGTGCAAGGGTTTGAAACAATGCAGATGTATTTGTATATAGCAATATTTAGAGGCAGGCTGGGTGCGGTGGCTCACGCCTGCAATCCCAGCAGTTTGGGAGCCGAGAGAGACAGATCACCTGAGGTCAGAAGTTTGAGATCAGCCTGGCCAACATGGTGAAACCCCGTCTCTACTAGAAATACAAAAAAAAATTAGCTGGGCATGGTGGCGGGCACCTGTAGTCCTAGTTACTCAGGAGGTTGGGGCAGAAAAGTGATTACTTGAACCCAGGAAGCAGAGGTTGCAGTGAGCCGAGATCATGCCACTGCACTCCAGCCTGGGCGACAGAGCAAAACTCCATCTCACAAAAAAAAAAAAAGAAAAAAATATTTACAGGCACAATAATATTTAGAGGTCAGAGAAGAAGGAACCAGCCAAGGAGAATACATAAATACAGCCAGCAAGGGAAGAAAAAAACCAAGAGTTATTGCAATCCAGCAAGCCAAGAGGATACATGTTCTAGATTAGGTTATCTAGAGAAACATTTCATAATCCATGAAAAGATATTAACAAGTTTTATCTTGGTAATTTTTTTATCCTTATAAAACACTCTATATTTTATTTTGCAATTAATTCGAGATTAATCTTCACTTTTTTTTTCCCAAAGAAGTCAACATGATATAAATCTCAAGTGGAGAGTATTTCTTATCCAACCTAGCTATCTTATAATTCTGTAGGTGTTTCCCTTGAGTAAGTGTCCTTTCTGTCTTGTTCACCACTGCATTTCCCATGCCCAGAACAATGCCTTAGACATAGTAGATGCTCAGTAAATACTTGCTGAGTTAGTTAATTGGTAAAGCATACAAATGAAAGTTTTGTAGTTTTAAGGATACATTATTTCATTGCACCACTGGGCGGGAGGGGGAGCTCATGTCAACTGCGTCTATTAAAGGCAGACCAGACATTGTGAACTGTCTCCAGTCACGTTCAACACAATTGCCTCAGAATTAATTCATTTGCTTGTTTTAATTGAGTGACTGCTAAATGAAAACTATTGTCATAAGAACTGATTTATAATTTATTTCATACTCTACCTTGAATTTTTAAAAAATACTTTGAGGCCAGGCGCAGTGGCTCACGCCTGTAATCCCAGCACTCTGGGAGGCCGAGGCGGGCGGATCACGAGGTCAGGAGATCGAGACCATCCTGGCTAACACGGTGAAACCCTGTTTCTACTAAAAATACAAAAAATTAGCCGCGCATAGTGGCGGGTGCCTGTAGTCCCAGCTACTCGGGAAGCTGAGGCAGGAGAATGGCGTGAACCCAGGAGGCGGAGCTTGTAGTGAGATGGAGATCGCCCACTGCACACCAGCCTGGGTGACAGAGCGAGACTCCGTCTCAAAAAAAAAAAAAAAAAACAAACTTTGAAATGTAATAGAAATTGAACTTGATTAGCATACTATGTTTCACTGAGATCAATTTTTAAAAGTGAAATTCAAAGAAATATACATAGAATTAAAAAGTAAAGATAGCATTTGTCGGAAAACACAGAATTTTAAAACTTTTTCTTAAATTGAGAAGGATTCTTTTTAAACAATTGTTTCAAATTTTCAGAAAGTACACAGCTGACTCAAACTGCACAGCTCATTTTAGTATTGCATTGTTAACTCATTTATGCCAGACAAGATCTGGGGTTAGTGTTGAAGAGAGGGGGTTGAAGGTGAATGAATTAGCACTAGGGTTCAGCCCTAGACCAGGACAGAGAACTCTCTGAGGAGAGGTACTGGAAGGACAGGAAATAGGGAGCTGTCATGAGGAGGAAGTGAATGGATCAGAGAGATGTGGTCGTACAATGGCGAGGAAGATGGATGTCCACAATAACTGACACTGAGGGAGCACTTAGAATGTGCCAGGCTTTCTTCTGAGTGCCTTGATATCATTTAATTCTTGCAACAGCTCTGAGAGGTTAAAAAATTGTGCTTATTTTACGGTGATTAGCAGATGTTTCCCTTTCTGCTCCAACCTATGAAGCAACTAGACAATGTCCTTTAATCTTGCTTTTTGCCTGTTAGGTTTGTGTTTCCCTTGCTTTTGAATTCCATTCTATGTCATATGCCATGCCGAGATGGTTTCGTCCTGAAGATGACATCTGTCCCTGTGGATCACTCATCCTCTGGTGCTGGCAGGGGAGGAACTGGCAGGATTCACAAAGCTCATGCAGAGCTGTCTCTATTTGCTCATCAGTGAGTAAGTGGGATTTTTTTGGTTGTTGCTGCCCTTAATAGTTTCTGGCCTCTGATATTAGAAAATTGTGAAGCTAGGCTGGATAGATTTGGCCTGTGGGCTTTGGATTGCAAATTGTTCACTTCTTTAAGGATTGCTCTGGCCCTGACTTTCTATGTTATCTCTGAAATGAACATCCATTTCCAGCCAAGCTTCTCAAAAATCTGTCATAAGCAGTCTAAATAGTTTAATTTTAGATGTAGAAAGTACCATAGATAGCCTCCAGTATTACCTTATTATTATTGATTATCTTACTTAACAGATGGACAAATGGGAGTGTTGAGACCTGAGAGATTACTTAAGCAACACAAAAGAAGTTGCTTCTTACTTTCGGTCTGGTGTACTTTTTACTATAAAAAGTATATTTTTATTGGGAAACTAGTTCATGCAGCAGAATCATATTCATAAGCAAAAGTCATTCTTTTAAAAAAAGATCACATCTACTCACATTCCATTTTTTTTTTAAATATATGCCCTTTGTTTCAAACCTATGTTTTAGAGGGATCTATTTCAGTGACCATATAGCCTAACCTAAATACATTAAATAAATTGGGTACTTGCTCAGAGAAAGTACTTTATATTCCATTCTTTTGTTGAAAGTTTTTTTTGGAATAAAACAAACAAATCACCATTTTAATAGCCTCTATCAATTAATGTGAAAGAGGAAAATAAATATCTAAGATGAATTCTAGTCAAATTGCTCTTCCGCCCTTTCCTGGAATGAGGAAAAACATGAGCTGCCCTTAAGGCATCAGAGGGTAAAGAGTAGGCAAGAGTTTGGAAATGTCCTATAGTCAAAGCCTGTGATGATAGTCTGAGTAGATCTCCAGAACCTGAAACGCTTATAGCTTTCTTTTTGTCCTCTGAAAAGCTTCATGCTAGAGACCATGATGTCATCTTTAATAGGATGAGGTGTGCTTATGGTATCATTGATGGAAAACTATGAGTGTTAAAAAATATGGAAACGGAAGGATGTCAATTATAGTCTCATGCTGATGACTCAGGCTTATTTTACTAGCAAAGGGTCAATGATAATTTTATGGATATGGAGACAGAACAGCTCATTAGTGGCATTCGTTAATAAAATAGGGCATGAGCATAGCACAGACACAGAGAATGTAAGGCATGCGCTGTTTGACATTAATTTTTAATTTAAATATACACTCAGTATTGCAGTAATTCTGGCTCGGCATACAATGGTGTTAAGATGGTGAACATTTTCAAGAATCGAAATGGTGTGAGTGTCAGGGTTGGCTTTTCACATAGGATTCTCAGGACATCCCTGAGGAAACTTAAACCAAATAAAAGGGAGCAGACAAGTTTCTCTTTTGTGGTCAGGCTTACCTGGTTTAAGTCAGTAATTGAAAAGAGGTGCAGGAGGATGAGTCAGATGCCTTGTCATTGCTTTCTGAAGAGCTAAAAGAAACAGCATTTATATCTTAATCTTCCAGATTGTGTGCTGCAATAATTCATTTAGTTTAAGTGCACTTCAAATAAAAATGTAAATTATCCCATTCTTATTCATTTCTCACCATGAACTCTGGTTTTGATGGTAGTAAAGAAGGTGAGAACTCTCCACTGGATGTTCAGGAGTCCGGTATAGGAAATAAGTTATAACTCTATTTGTGACCAGGGATGTTCTTGGAGAAAATCAGTAACCACATGTAGCCCACGACTAGGACCTCAATGGATGCATTTCTTATAGTAACTCACCCTCGATTTTATTATTTTGCAGTCGCCTTGATTCCCTAACTTTACGTACGTATGTATGTATATATGTATTTTTGTCTCTAAATTATGGCGATTGTCTTGTATCATTGTCATGCCAGTAAATTCCTAAAAACACAAGACCCCAAAGAATGGTGCCTCAGATGACTATGATGTCTGAACTGCTTGTGGGTGTGTGTAGGAAATTCACTCCAGTAGAGTGTGTAACAGTCTCCCTGGAGTCAACTTTCTGTCAGGTGGGCCTCAGGCAGCTGTGACCTAAAACCCAGCCTCTGCGGCTCAGACCTCGCTCTGTAATTGACCCCAGGGCAGGGACCACGGCCGTCGCCGAGGGCAGCGGGCAGGGCGGAGCCGGGGCCGACCGCGCACTCAGGAGTGAGTCTTTGTGCAGTCAGGGCTTCTGCTGGGCAGGGCCGGCTGTTAATCTCGCCTGGCGGAGCGGACACCGGGGCGTGGTGGGGGAGATGGGCCTTATAGGTGGCGTCCGCTGGTGAGAAACACCTTGCGCAGGTAAAAGGGTGGCGGCGAGAGGGAGTTCCCACCCGTGGCTTTCTTAGAGAAATGAAGTCTTAAGTCTTAAATAGACAACAAGGAGGGGCCGATCGGTGTCTTTTGGACGCGTCTGGAGCCCCTCCCTCCGCCAAAGGAAAAGCCCCTTGGATGAGAGGCAGGCGCTTCAGAGAAGCTAAGAAAAGCACCTCTCCGCGCGCCCCACCTCCTCCGCCTCGCGCTCCTCCTGAGCAGCGGGCCCAGACTGCGCTCCGGCCGCGGCCCTCGCCCCGCGGAGCCCTCCTACCCCGGCCCGACGCTCGGCCCGCGACCTGCCCCGAGCCCTCTCCATGGAGGCAGCCCGCCCCTCCGGCTCCTGGAACGGAGCCCTCTGCCGGCTGCTCCTGCTGACCCTCGCGGTGAGTGTAGCCGCGGCCACCGCTCCGGGGAAGGGGGCGATCGCCTAGGGTGCAGAGGAAAACTAGGGGAACGGGGATAGGTGGGGGTGGCGGGAAAAGCTGGGGTGAAGGGGCCTCTGGGTGGCTAGAAAATGGAGTTGGCGGGGGTGGGGGAGGGCAGATAGGAAGAGGATCGCGACCTGAGAGTTGGGATCCCCAAGGGAAGGGAAGGTGTCTCCGGTAGATGTAATCAGCGCACTCAAGGAGAGGCGGGAGCGGGCCGCTTTCGCCCAGCCAAAATCGTGGCCCCTGGGTACGCGCCGGGGAGCAGGGTGCGCCGGGGCGGGAGTGCGCCGGGGTCGGAGTGCGCCGGGGCGGGAGTGCGCCGGGGCGGGAGTGCGCCGGGGCCGTCCAGCTGGCCTCTGGCACCTTCCCCGGGAACGTGCGGCTCCCTGTGCCTCGGGAACGTGCGGCTCCCTGTGCCTCGGGAACGTGCGGCTCCCTGTGCCTCAGCGCCTGCCCAGGCCACGGAAAGGGGAACCGCTGGGCGGCCGGGACGGAGAGCGAGTGTCCTTGGGTGAAAAAGGGAACTGCTCGCCTTTCTGGGAATTGTTTACTCTGAGAGAAGGGCGGGGGGAAGTGGCGGGTGGGGGAGGGGATCTTGACCCTTTGCTCCTGAGGACTGTCGACCGGCGAGCCCTAGGTGAGCATTTGTACAGTTTCAGTGGTTTCTTAACGTGCGAGGCTTCAGTTCCCTAAATCTTCGGAGGAAGGAAGGGTCTTTCTGATTTCTTGTCCCCAGAGGCGACTCGATTTTTCTGCTCACCACCCGCCCCCCGCGCCACCGCCCCTTGCCCCAGGTTCTTTCTTTCTTTAAAGAGCACTACAGCAATGACCCTACCCCTTCCCAGAGCTGGGAGCCTAAGTGGTTGGCCTTATTTGGGGCGGGACAGCCCCTTTCCCAGGCTTGACCGATGGGATCTCGTTGGGGAGCCTGAAGACGCAAAAAGCCAATGCCGGGAGCAGCGTCTGGGGAATTGGGGATATAAAAAGTCCGATTGGACTTTTCCTGGCTCCCTGGAAGAGGAAAAAAATCGACAGGTGTGGAAAAGTGCTCCTTGTCTTAAGCAGAAGGCGTTGGGCGCCAATCAATCTTGAAGGACAAAGGGAGGAACCCGGAAGGCTAATTCCTTCTGGGAGAAGTGAACTGGGGGCTGAAATATTCGTATAATTTCCCCTTCTCTTCCGCTCTCACTTCGCAGTAGAGTTCCACATTTTACAATCATGAATTGGTAATTGTTACTGTTATTAGAATGTCTTTCTCGAGGAGCTCAATGGACTTCAAACCCTTAACTGAATTCTCAGGGCATATTAATAACATAGAAAGGGCCAAGTACACAGCAGTTAACATTTTACAGATGAGGAAACCAAGAATGGAATAAATAACGGTCAGAACATATGTTGATGAGTAAGAAATAAATTTTCATTAGACTCCTAATAAAATTGCAATTTCTTTTAAAACCACCGGCCATTCTTTAAAGGAAAAGGCATGCACAGACGCTGGCAATGCGTGGCATTGCTCTGCATATACCTGCAGAGAGAGCTTTCTGTGTGTTATCTCAGATTCTGTTTAGGAGGAGGTGGGGTATCACTGAATACACTGAAATTGAATTTCCATTCCTTGTTCTTCCTTAGCTTCGGAGTTTGATAGGCGGGGAGTGGGGTAGGAAGTATGCTGGCCCTGCCTACACTCTCATTCTGCTGGTTTTTGCTCTGTGCACATCTGTGCAAAGCCCTGCCAACCTCACGTGGCTGTTGTGGTTGTGAGTCTCAAGTGTGAGAAATGCGTAAATACTAAGTGTAAGAAATTATTAAGTAAGAATGATTGTAGCTGGGCATGGGGTGCGCGCCTGTGGTCCAAGTCACTGGAGAGAGGCTAAGGTGGGAGGATTGCTTGAGCTTGGGAGGTCCAGGCTGCAGTGAGCCCTGGTCATGCCACTGCATCCCAGCCTTGGTGACAGAGCGAAATCCTGTCTCAAAAAGGGGGGAGAAATATCTTTGGTAGGAGGGTAGGATCCTTTACCTTCCTTCCTTCCCATATACCCAAGTAATCCTTCACCATTCCACAAATCAGCTTTTCCTCACTTCTTAATGTTTCTTCAGACCACACCTGGCTTAGCCACTTGAACTCTGTCTTCTGCTAACCACTAATAAACCTTCTAAGATCACTGGCTCTCCTGTGCTAAATCCAAATGACTCATTCTTTATATGGTTCCACCTTGTAGCTTTTGCCCTTATTCTTGACATTCACTCCCCCCCGCCTTTTTTTTTAATCTTTCTGACCACTCAGGGTCTGACTCCCTACCTAGCGTCTTGTCTTTTTCTTCTTTTTCTGTTGTCTTTTTTTGGTTTGGTAAAAATGACATAACATGAGATCTACCCTCCTAACACATTTCTAAGTGTATCGTATTGTTAATTATAAGCACAATGTCATATAGCAGATCTCTAGAACTTTCAGTTTCCATAACCAAACTTTTATATCCATTAAACAGCAAATCCCTGTTTCCCCTAACCTCCGTCACCTGGCAACCACCATTCTATTTTCTGCTTCTATGAGTTTGACTACTTTTTCCTGCACTCTTAAATGCTGGTGTCTCTTGGTTTTCTGTTCTAGGTCTTGTCCTTTGGAATCTACACTCTTTCCCTAGGGCATTTTATCCACTTTTATAGCTTAAAATATCACACAGTTGCCAACATATACTAAATTAATATTACTAGTTCAGATGTCTTCATTGAACAATAGTCCTTTGTATCACTCTACTGACTGTGATGTGTGACACAGCATTTATTATCTTCCCAAACAATGTTGTTTTTCTTTTAGTGTCCTGTATTTCAATATATGTCAGTACCATATGCCTGTTCCTCAAGTAGGAAGTCTGAAAGCTGTTTGTTTTTTCTTTCTCACTGCTCCCCTTCCTTAATCCATGAAGTTCCATGAACTCTACATTCAAAGACAGCTCAGGGGTCTATTCACTTGTACCTGTCACTTCTGCTATTACAAATAATGTCACAATGAATAAATTTGAATGTATGTCATTTCATATGTGGGCAGGTGTATCAGTAGGACAGATTACCAATAATGGGATTGACAAATAAAAGTGTAAATTAGGCCAGGTGCAGTGGCTCATGCCTGTAAATCCCAGCACTTTGGGAGCCTGAGGTGGGAGGATCACTTGAGCTCAGGAGTTCAAGACCAGACTGGGGAACATGGCAAAACCCCTTCTCTACAAAAAATACAAAAATTAGCCAGGCATGGTGGTGCATACCTATAATCCCATCTACTTGGGAGGCTGAGGTGGGAGGATCACTTGAACCCGGGAGGTGGAGGTTTCAGTGAACCGAGATCGCACCACTGCACTCCGGCCTGGACAACAGAGCAAGACTCTGTTAGAAAAAAAAAAGTGTCTAATTTTGTTAGATTTTGTTCTTCCCTCCATAAACATTGTATATGGCTAGACAGAAAGCTATTTTATGATAGATATCACATGATCGAGGATATATATATTGGTGTAAAGATAAATTGAATCTATGCTTCATTCAGAACACCACAGAAAATTCCAGAGATGAAAGATTTAAATGTAAAATATGTTTCCCTACAGATAATAGAAGAAAACGTAATAAATTGTTATATAAATTTGGAGCCCACGAGGCCTAGTTATGACTTAGATTTCGAAAGCCAATTTATTACAATTGAGAAAAACAATTATATAAGAGTACATATATACATACTTCTTCATGGCGAAAAAACACCTCTAACCAACCAAAAACACAACAAGCAAAGTCAAAAGGTGATTGATAAACTGGAAAAAATATTCATAGGTCATATTTAAAAGGCTAATCTAATACATAAAGAGCTCTTGTAAGTCAAGAAGAAAAAGTGCAACATGGATGTAACAGTATCCATAAAGTAGTAAAATGGCTCTTAAGTTATAAAAATATGTCAACCTCACTCATAATAAAATATGAATAAAAAATTACATTAAAATGCCATTTCACACTTGGCAGACACCCAAAAGTTCAACAACGTGCGATGTAGGCAAGTATGTGGTTGACTCATAAATTATTGGTGGGTATAATAAAAAGTTACAACTTTTAGGGACTTTACGCAGTCATATCTAATGCAAATACAAATTGTTTTGCCTCTTCTTTTCCAATTCCTGTGGGTCAAATATCATTCTATTCATATGCCAGTACCATATTGATTTAATTGTTGAGATTTTATATGATTTGTAATATCTGCTAGGGTTGATAGCCTTTCATTGCTTTTTAAAAAATAATTTTCCTATCTTAATTTTTTATTTTTTCCTTATAGCCTTTTAAATCAGCTTGTTTAGTTCCAGAGAAAATTTTATGGAGGTTTTTATTGGTATCAAAAAATTTGTAATTTAACTTAGTAAGAATCGATATAGATACGTTGTTGATTTTTGTCTTTCTTTTTTTGCAAGTGTACTTTTCTGCCCTGCAGAAATGTTTTCAGGTTTCCTTCAAATAGGCTTTACATGTTTCTTGTTAAATTTACTCCTTGGCATTTCAACTTTTAATTGCTTTTGAAAATGATTTCTTTTTTTTTTTTTTTGAGACTGAGTCTCGCTCTGTCGCCCAGGCTGGAGTGCAGTGGCGTGATCTCTGCTCACTGCAAGCTCTGCCTCTCGGGTTCACACCATTCTCCTCCCTCAGCCTCCCGAGTAGCCGGGACTACCGGTGCCCGCCACCACGCCTGGCTAATTTTTTTTTTTTGTATTTTTAGTAGAGACAGGGTTTCACCGTGTTAGCCAGGATGGTCTCTATCTCCTGACCTCGTGATCTGCCCACCTCGGCCTCCCAAAGTGGAAATTTCTTGTATTATCTGACTGGTTTTGTTTATGGGTATGAAGACTAACCATATTTTCATGGTTATTTCTGCTTCCTTACTTAAGTCTCTTCTTGTTTTATAGTAATGTAATGGTTGATTTGCTTGGGTTTTCCAGGTAAACAGTCATATCAAATGCAGAGATTTTTTTTACATCTTCCTATCTAATATCCTTCTCTTGCAAATATACCTTCAATATAATGTAAACTACATATAGTGACCTTGGAGAGCCTGTCTTGTTTCTGAGTTTAATTGGATTGCTTCTAGTGTTTTCCCATTTGTGTTGTGTTATAATTTATAAAGATCACATTGCAAAAGTACTTATCAATTCTTATTTTTTGAGACTAAAAAAAATAAGAATGGTTATTGAATTTGGTCAAGTGCCTGTCAGCATCTATGATGGTGATCACATGTCAAGCCTTCGTTAAATTCATGGCTTGAAGTTTCTGGACCAAGCAAAAGATGTGAGTGTGGATCACAGATCCACGCCAGGGCCAGTTTACTTGTGGCTCAAATTTGTAATGAAGATTTAGCATTTGGGTCCCAGATTAATGTGGAGCGGATCCTCTTAGATCTTAGGTGGGCCCTGTGCTTTGATTTCATTCTCCTTCTCTCCAGAGGCCAGCAAAGCAGAGTCAAATCTTTGCAGATCAGAAGTTGTTCCTGAGTTCCTCTTATCACTGTGTGTTCCAGCTTTATCTTCAGTTTTGGCCTAGCAATTGCTTGCTATTTTGTTAGCTCTTTGATGCTTTAGGATGTTTGAAAAATGTTATCCCTGATTTTTAATTAGTTTTGGCATAGGTTTTTCTTAATTACCTAGCTTGTTATTATTGAAAATGACAGTTTTTTCCATTCTCCACATTGGACAGATCTATCACATTCAAATATAAAGCTGCTTATTTAATTTATTTGCTCCAAGTAAATCTTTGGTTTCTCATTCTCGTTAGGAAAAAAGATCCATGTGCTTTGCTAATGCCGTTCAAAATCTGGCCCACACCCACTTCTTTGAGCCCATGTTATACCTCTGCCCCCGCTCTGGTACACACATCAACCATTCCAGATTTCTTCTTCAGGTCTGTGCCATCTCTGGGCCTTCACATATGCCATTCTTCTGTTTGCAGCATTTAAGCTCTGCCTCCTCTTAGCCTGTCTCACTTGTAGCCGCTCTTCAGGTGACCTCACCTGGCTTTTAGATATCACTATTACCTCTGCTCTCCCATAGCTCCCTGTACTTCCCTATCATTACATTTGTCTTACTTTGTTGAAATTACAAATATGTCTTACCTTAGATTGAATGTTTCATGAGGATCATGTTTACTGCTCTGTGTGTGGTACATGATACACATTCAGTAAATATTTGTTGAATTCATGCATGAATGGATGGATGTCCAAGATACTGTTATTCAAAGAATTGTCTTAATCCAACCATTTTTCATCTTCTCCAACATTATTACCTTAGCCCAAGTAACCATTACCCCACTCTTAGATTCCTGCTGTAGTCTCCCAATCAGTCTCTTGGTTTCCACTCTTGCTCTTCTATAACCTATTTTCCACATAACTAGTAGAGTGATTCTGTATAAATATCAGTTTACGCCACTCCACAGCTTCTTCATCAGGCTGTTGCTTCTCTTTGCACTCAGAACAAAATCTGCACTCCTTACCATGACCTTTTAGACCCTACATCATTTGCCATTGACTGTCCTTTTGTTTTCTTCTCCTGTCACTCTTCCCTCGCTGTGCTCTGCTGCTATGACCACCTTGTTTCTGCAATACACAAGTCTCCTTCCAGGGTCTTTACTCTGGTTCTTGCCCTACCTGGAAGACTCTTCCCTGGTTAGAAAACTGGTTTACTTCCTCACTTCATTTACGCTCAGGTATTCTCGTTGTCACCCTCTCTCCCTGCTTTATTTTTGTCGTGACATTTATCTCTCGCTGCCTTGGCATTATGTGACATTTGTGCATTTGTGTATTTCTTTTGCTTCTTATTATCATGTAATCTTCGTGAGGCAAGGACTTGGCTTTGTTCACTGCTCTAGCCATTGAATCCGTTTAGCACCTACTAAGCAACCAGTAAATGTTGGTTGAATGAATAAGTGAATGTATTCTTCCAATCACCTTGAGCTGGAATCTTCAGAATCATCTGATTCTACTCCTATTCTCTCTTGGCTATGCAGCCAGTGAAAATTCTTCATATCATTTAATTTCCAGTTCAAAACTAATGTCTTCATTGTGTCTATCCCAACATTCCAAATGAAACACAACCTCTGCCTTATTTGATCCTTCAAATGTAATTAAAACTGGATAATTTAAGTCTTTAATATATATTAAAAATAAACATTTCCATCCAAATTTTGATGATTTTAGTTTATATTTATAAACTTTGTAAGTAACAGTGTAAATGCTAGTTAACTGTCTTGCTTTTGGTCAAAGATGTTTGTAAAACTAGAAAAAAAGAATGTGAATCTTTGAGAAACATCCATTGTAAAGTTTCAGACAGAACAAAATTAAATTTCAGTGTGTTTACGTATATGTTGCATTGGACTTGGTTCACCATGAATCACTAAACCATTGAAAATTTTTAAGTAAATTATTTTCTAAAATGAACTTAACTTTTATTTATGAGAAGATACACCTTCAAAATAATTTTATATTTCAAAGTTATGTGCCTATTGTGTGGAGTAACACATAAATATTCTCCAAATCACTTCATGGCAATAAGTTAATGTTTGTCTTTAAAAGCATTTACTTTTTGTTTAGGATATTATTGATTTGATATCATATCTCATAAGCAATTAAAAATGTACTGAAACAGTTTGCTGCCTCAGTAAATTTGGTTTTCTCTTTCCTATGTATATACCTGTGCTGCCTTCCTGATAGTTTTCAGCACTCTCCCACCTAGGCTGTTGTTGGATCGTCACTGTACCCACTGAGTTAATCAGTGAAGTTATTACATACGTTTTACAATATAGTAAACAAAGCTGAAGAGCATACATAACTCTTTGAGTTTACAAGCTTTTTGCAGGAGGAAGCTAGAACTCAGTATATTGTTTTATTCTTCTCCTTGATATATTTTTGTCCTGATTTCTTTCTCCAATATGTTTTTATTTTATCTCCAATATTTTATTTATGTTTTATTTATAATAACATAAATCACATATAATTATAAATATAAATTCATGTATTTATATTTAATTAAATATTTTAAAATTAATATTTAGTGTAGTCAATATGTAATATAATTAACATTTATATAAGTATTATATGCCTTTTTATGTGTATATCATTATAAATTTATAATTTATATAAATAATATACACATTAAAGTTTTCTTTTTATGCATAATATTTATTTGATTTTTTTTCATTTTTTAGATCTTAATATTTGCCAGTGATGCCTGCAAAAATGTGACATTACATGTTCCCTCCAAACTAGATGCCGAGAAACTTGTTGGTAGAGGTAAGGAAGCCCTAAAATTTGTAATAAATCCTGTTTTGCTGTGGTACATATACGCCATGGAATACTACACAGCCATAAAAAGGAACGAGATCTTGTCCCTTGGAAGGGATGTGGATGGAGCTGGAAGCAATTATTCTCAGCAAACTAACACAGGAATAGAAAATCAAACACTGCATGTTCTCACTTATAAGTGGGAGCTGAGCAATGTGAACATGTAGGCACAGAGTGGGGAACAACACAAGTGGGGCTTGTTGGGGGTTCTGGGAGGGCGAGAGCATCAGGAAAAATAGCTAATGCATGCTGAGTTTAATACCTAGGTGATGGGTTGATAGGTGCAGCAAACCAACATGGCATGTGTTTACCTATGTAACAAACCTGCACATCCTGCACATGTACCCTGAAACTTAAAATAAAAACACACATACAAAATAAATCCTGATTTGCTGTGGTATTTTAAAATTAGTGTAATTTTTAGAATGATAACTCTGTTGGGACCAGTAGATAAAACTAATGTAGTATATTATCATTTGTAATATTTGTGGTGTCATTCTAATGAAAGGAATATTGTTATTTTTGGAAAACATGATTATATGAAGTTGATAAAAATATTTCACTTGAGTAATAATTATTAACATTTACTTTAGAGAAAAGATAAAGACATTTAACATGCCTCTAAAAAATTGAGAAATAGTACTGAAACTGTTTTTTTTAGTTTAAAGATACTGTTTTTGGATTTTTATTCTTAAATATTTCACTCTGTATTGTATTTTTTTATCAATTAAATTATTTCACATAATTCTGTAAGAAAAGATCAATCCAATGATAGCATAAAATGTGATCACTGTTTAGCAATAGATGTAAAGAATTTAGTAATATTTTCATTTAGCAAATGCCAATTTTCATCTGCTAGATTCTGTATAACTTCAGGTGTATTTAGGTGTTACTCTATAGCTTATTTCTGTTGATAAAGAAAAAAATTGTTTTGGTTTTGGTTTAAAGATTCAAACACTGGAGCTCACATATGTTTACTTCAGAGCAAATGTCTCTTCTTTAAGAGAATGTTAAGTAGGTATTAGAAGTGATGTAAGTATTTAAGCACAACTTAATTCACCATATAGTTTTATGTGTCCTTTCAAAAATTTACAAGTGTCAGTATAATGAATTTTAAGTTTTTGGCTCTCCCCACGTGCATACATTACTGTTAAAACTATATCCTATGTTTTACTTTAAAAATGATTGCTGTGCATATTTTCTACAGTTAACCTGAAAGAGTGCTTTACAGCTGCAAATCTAATTCATTCAAGTGATCCTGACTTCCAAATTTTGGAGGATGGTTCAGTCTATACAACAAATACTATTCTATTGTCCTCGGAGAAGAGAAGTTTTACCATATTACTTTCCAACACTGAGAACCAAGAAAAGAAGAAAATATTTGTCTTTTTGGAGCATCAAACAAAGGTATACAAGGCTACATAAATGAAGAAATGATATCTTTTCTTCAGACGTAATCAACATTACCAGGGAAGATATGAAATCAGAAAGGATATGGTATAGTTTGGCTTAAAGACGAATGAAAACCATGAGGCAACTTCACAGTGTTTAGAAGGAAAAGGGCTGTGTCACATGGTTCATTCGGGTTGTCATTCCTTTTCATTTGGGACGTAAAAGGAGAAATTGGGATAAGGTACAGCATGGGAAAGTGAGATTAGACACAAAGCAGCATTTTTTTTTTGAGCTTTACCGTAGAATGGATTTCTAACAACAAGTTTTGAAACTCTGTATAAAGAAAGGAAAGCTTTTTTCTCGCATTCATTTTAGCATAATCTGTGGTCTTAAAACATAGATAACTATTTTAGGAGGAGGTTTGGACCACATGCATGCTATTGTGTTGTGACACCCAAGATCAAAATAACTTGTATTCAACCATTAGCCATTCCTCACTGCAGCAGTTTGAGAGTTGTCACCGTGTTTCTCTCCTCATTCTGACACAGATCTCTCTGTTGGTTCCCTGGCTCTGCCTAGTTGCTGGTGAGTGGAAGTTGCTTGTGCTAAATTTAGAAGGGCACATACACACTTATTTTCTTTGCATATCTCTCTCCCATGTTTTTGCATGGCAATGGGGCAACAGTAATTTTTTTTTCAGTTTTGCTTCTAGGCTTCCAGTTCCATCTCTCTTTCTTCCATATTTCCACCAAATCATTTTCCCAAGAGGATTGTTGTGATAACAGTTAGGACAGTTACTTCTTCATTATCTTTTTGCAGTGTTGATGATTAGTTTGGTTTTCAAGCACTCCCATGGTCTCACCCCTACCCAGCTAATCCTCCTGAGAGGAGAAAGATGTGTCATTGTTTAATGTTTGAGAATAAAGTAGTCATTGACTTTATTATTTTTTCCTGTCTTATGAATTGAGGTCCTAAAGAAAAGACATACTAAAGAAAAAGTTCTAAGGCGCGCCAAGAGAAGATGGGCTCCAATTCCTTGTTCGATGCTAGAAAACTCCTTGGGTCCTTTTCCACTTTTCCTTCAACAGGTACCGTTTTCTTTCTTTCTGCTGTGGGAGTCTATAGTTTCCATCTCTTACCATTATGACACTGAGTATGAAGTTATTTGTAATAGTTGTGTATAAATATGTGAGTGAATGAGTATGTGTATAATATGTTTCCATATAAGGGTATAAATATATCTCTTTATACTTGCATACACTTTTGTTCAGCTTGCAAAGGCCAAGCATAAAACTGTGGCACTCAGACACATGGTTCCTTAATGAATTGTCACATCAGCAAGGGTATCGCCAAGCCTAAGAATAGCTAGAAAACCCAAAACTCTCTTGCATAATAAAGGAGAAAATTGGATGAAAGACCAAATGCCACGAAGGAGGAAGACACATAGGCCCTTCTATCTTTCTATTTCTTGTTCTTGAATCTACATCTGAAATCACACTGGATCCACATTTCTTTCTCTCTCTCTCTGTCTCTGTCTCTTTTTGTTTCTTTTTTTTTGTAGCGATGAGATCTCACTATGTTGCTTAGGCTGGTTTTGAACTCCTAGGCTGAAATGATCTCCCATCTCAACCTCCCAAAATGCTGGGATTACAGGCATGAGCCAAGCATACCTGGCTCTTTTTCTCTGTCTTGTTTTAACTTTCAGTAGAAACCCCAGCAAGCCTTCTTGCCTTCTTCCATTACTGGTGGCTACTACATTCAGTCTATGACTTTGGTTTATTTTCCCTCAGTTCTTGACATAGCAAGGGAGAATCCTTTTTATACCCCACCAACAAATTTAATACAGCTGAGAGAAGAGCATATTAAAGTTGAGAAATTGTTAGAAAACAGTTGTGTCAGTTATCCTGATATAAAGATAGGATGTTACTGAGAGGATGAACACAGCTTGGAGGAAATTTGCTTTTCGAATCAAGGATCAGAATATTACACATTCCAAAATATTATTCCATTTCTATTCTCACTCATATTTTTTTTTTTACTCAGTTCCTATAAGGAAGATGTTGGCAAAGAACAAAAAACTCATTAAGGAAATTATTGTCCACATTTTTGCCCTGCAGACAGTACACTTTAAACTCGGTTCTTAAATGTTATGTTACATATAATAAAAACTCAGTTTTTTAAAACATTGACGACAGAATAATTTTCCATGCTCAGAATACTTTGTTTTCTAAGACAGGAAGAGTCTTAAGTGTTTTTTCCATGTATAGACACCATCTAGCCTGTCAAATATTCCTTTAGTTATTCTGGAGAACTAAGATGCACTACATTATTTTACTCATGCCTTGCTCTTGAAATTTCTCAATTGGACTTTCTTATTCTATTGCTGTTTTAATTTATATATAATAATAAATTAAGGGCAATTATTTAAACTAATAAAATGGCAATGAGATTTCATAAATATATAGATGAAAGCTCTGCTGAAATAAAGATTTGTCTCATGTATATAATATCTACTTTCTAGGTTCAATCTGACACGGCCCAAAACTATACCATATACTATTCCATAAGAGGTCCTGGAGTTGACCAAGAACCTCGGAATTTATTTTATGTGGAGAGAGACACTGGAAACTTGTATTGTACTCGTCCTGTAGATCGTGAGCAGTATGAATCTTTTGAGGTAAAGTCTAAAATGTGTGTACTGTATTAGCAATGATGATGCTTGGCCATTTTGTCTCTCATTTGCAATTCACGTAACCTTTTCTGCTTTCTGAGTTTGTCACCAATGCTCTGGCTACTCCCTAATAGCACATAATTGACTTGAAACAAAAAATATTTTCATAGAATAAATAATATTGGATTCCATTAGATTGTTCCTGGTATTATGGTTTTACTATTTTTTTTTCCCCCACAACAGTACCACTTTGAAGAACAGTTTTTTTTTTTTTTTTTTTGAGACAGCATCTCACTTTGCCACCCAGGCTGAAGTGCAGTGGCGTAATCTCGGCTCACTGCAATCTCTGGCTCCGGGGTTCAAGTGATCCTCCCACCTTAGCCTCCTGAGTAGCTGGGATCACAGGCACGCACCATGATACCCAGCTAATTTTTTGTATTTTTAGTAGAGATGGGGTTTCACCATGTTGGCCAGGCTGGTCTCAAGCTCTTGACCTCAGGTGATCTGCCCATGTCGGCCTCCCAAAGTGCTGGGATTACAGGACTGAGCCACCGTGCCCGGCCAAGAACAGTTACTTAGTTGGCACAAAAAGATCTGTGAACCTCTTTATAGTATGGAGATATCATAGGAGGTAAATGAAGTTCAGTCATTAAGTAAACCTCAGTACCCTGGCAATGGGAGAGCATTAGTTTATGGGGAGCAGGTAGGGGGTGTGACAGTGCTTACCTAAGCTTACTCAGTCCTTTAATCATCTGGTTAATTTCCTATGCTGGAAAGTGAGTTAATATGAAAGAATTTAACCTAATGCTGGTTTGATTTCCCAACAGGACTTGGTCATTTTGCTTAAGTCAGTTTTAATTATTTTATGTCTATTTTGGATGAATTAATTATTCATTAGAAGACCAAATTAATCAAATAAGACAGGCAAGCTTTGAATAAAGTATTTAGGTTTAGAATTGCCATGGCCTGGCCTTCTGAGTACCTAGGATGTTCTGGCCTTTCTATGATAGCTGTTATGAGAAAATTGGTATTGAAATTCATATTATAAAAACAAAAAAATTAAACTGTATTCCACCACAGTTTACCACCATTCATTTGTTTCATTTCTGATTCACCCTTTTTAAATTAAAAATTCTTTGAAAAGACTTACCCAAATGTAACCATTGATATGCCTAAAGTCCTCATTAGTAGAAAATAGGATAATATCCCAGTTAACTGTACCTGGGTAATCCTACAGGATCCCAAGTTCAGAAAGATCCAGAAAGTTGTATTTAAAATCCATGCACCTGAACCTTTCAAACAAAGCAAAATAAAGAAGTCTTCAAGGCTGTTTGGGAAAATAACAGTAAAAATTGTTACACTCATGAATAACAGTATAGCAATAATGAAGAAACTAAAATTATCTTTCATAAATTTAAAGAGATAAATTTAAACATACAATGCCATATTGAATCATGAAATTAGGCACCTCTTTGGCATTAAAATTATATCCATATCCCAGAACAATAACAAATGGTGAGACTCATACTGTAGTTCTGAACAGTCTCCAAGTTAAAGCCAAAATGAATTTGAAGCATACCTCATTTTAAAAGATTATTTTCACTTTTCTCCTTATTTTACTCTCTTCACAGATAATTGCCTTTGCAACAACTCCAGATGGGTATACTCCAGAACTTCCACTGCCCCTAATAATCAAAATAGAGGATGAAAATGATAACTACCCAATTTTTACAGAAGAAACTTATACTTTTACAATTTTTGAAAATTGCAGAGTGGGTGAGTACCTCCTTAAACAATATATGGCAAATTAACTGTGTTTCAATTCATACATTTAGTTTCACTATGTCCGTTGAGAAGCAGCGTATCCCAGCAGCAAGAATAAGGGACTCTGGGTGGAATTTTACTCTGTGTTTCACTAGCTGTGTGATGCTTGGCAAATTTCCTAATCTTGGCAAGCCTAATTTCTTCATCTGTAAAATGGGTTATCAGTATGCCAGATTGTTATGAAGATGAAGTGAAGCTCAATACACAGCGAATGCCAAGCACAGTGCCTGACAAATAGGAGTTAATAAATGTTATGCTGTCATCCTATGGATGGATGGATGTAAGAGAACATAGCCCAAAAAGAATAAGTCTTTCACTAATTGGAGATGTAGTCTTAAAGATATGTACGGATGTTCTCTAGGATTAAATGTGATTGCCAGTATTCTGGGCACGATTATGAAAGTCACTGAGAATAATACAAACATTTTCTCAGCCCTGTGAAAATGGTCTGTTTTAACTAAAAGTCAGAATGCAGTTTTGGAGACCTTGTCTAGAAATGTCTAAGTGAACCATGCAGTTTTAGAGAAAACTGACTCCTATGATCAATCTAAGCACAAGCTTACAAACAGAGAAAAGTTATAGAATAATCAGAATTGTTTAGTCTGAAAATACATGGAGGGATAGTATCAACATTTATAAAATCATACATTAAATACAATAAATATGAATATGATCACCCAATTCGAAAATGCTAGTATGCCAGAATATTTGAAAGGAAGTGATACTGTATGGAGAGGTCTGCAAATTTATAAAAGCCATGACTTTGCCATGTAATAATGTGGTCCAGAACTTTTTTGAGGTGGGTGAAAAGGAATGAAATAAAGGGAACATAGAACATGTGAATGTTTTGGAGATTAAAAAGGACTTTTCTTCTCTAGGCACTACTGTGGGACAAGTGTGTGCTACTGACAAAGATGAGCCTGACACGATGCACACACGCCTGAAGTACTCCATCATTGGGCAGGTGCCACCATCACCCACCCTATTTTCTATGCATCCAACTACAGGCGTGATCACCACAACATCATCTCAGCTAGACAGAGAGGTAACATAAACATTAATAAAACCTGATTATAACGTGGCTATTCAATAGTACCTGTATAACTCCTGTAGATGTGTTTTTGAAAAGTATGTTGTGAATCTCATTTTAGAAACATTATTATTTTATGTATGTTAATAGAGATCACTAAATAACCTTGGAGTATGCTGGTTTTGAACTGCTAATTCATTCTTTTCTGAATTGTTTGTTTCATACAATCAGATTTCCTGATATAAACATATTTACAGTATTAAAACAAAATGTCAAATATGAAAAGTGAACCTTTTAAATATATGCAGAAATTTGTTATCTTTTCAACAATCTCATCTACATTCTACCTCTTACATAGATGAAAAGACAGTTTATGTCTCTCTAATCTCTGGTTTCCCATTTTTAATCAACTGCTAGAAATCTTGATTTGGATGTCTGACAGGTACTTATGATGTAATAAATCTAAAATTTAACTTGTCTTCTTTTCTTCTAAACATATTTTCCATTCTATGTTTTCTAGTTAAAAAGATATTTATATATTCTTTCTCTATTAATCATTTTCTATTGTCACCTTGGAGTCATGGTCTCCAAATTGTATTTGATGTCTCTTGGCCCCCCTGAATCACATCACTTCCTAAAGCATGTTTTTACCTCCAAGATTGTTTTAAATCTATATTCTGTCTCTTTCTACTGCAATACCCTAGCTTAGTAATTCATTCACTTAGTTATTCAACTATTACCTCCTCCCTGAAGCATTATTCATCTAAATTCTTATAGCAGTTTCTGTGTCCTTATTTACTATATTTATAATCCTTAATCTTAAAATATAGTAATAGATGTTTATCAGGTATTTTATTTGATTCTTAAGTCTTAAATCTTCAGATTAATTTTCTCTTCCTTCCTCTATCCCTCATGGATTAGGGTAGAGGTTCTCAAAAGCTTTGGTCTCAAGACCAATGCTTGACATTATTACATATTGTTAAATATTGTTGAATACTGTTAACAGTGTTAAATATTGTTGAAAATCCCAAAGATCTTTTATTTATCTAGGTTATATTTATCTATGTTACTTGTTAATGTTTAAAACTAAGGAAAGTTTAAATTATATATTAATTTAAATATTAAAAATAATAAATTAATTACATGTTAACAGTTAAAATTCTTATAAAATAACAGTAAAAATTGTTACACTTTTTCTTCTTTTTGTACTTACAAAATAAGTACATTTTCCAAAACAGTACAATTTAGTGGGAAGAATGACATTGTTATGCATTTTTCCAAATGTTTTTAGTATTTTGCTTAAGACAGGTGGATTCTCATATCTCCTTCTGCATTTAGTCTGTTACAATATGTAGTTTTAGCTGAAGCATATATAAAGGCAATCTGACATGATATAAAATTAGAAAAGAGAGTAGTATTTTGATGATAATTACAGATCACTGTGGATATTATTCCTTGATACTACATGAATACTTGATAAGGAGTAGCTTGTTTCCTAAATGTTTTTGGTAATGTGGACTCTGAATCCTCAACAATGACCTTTTGTACTTTATTACGTTAAAATCCATTGCTCTATCTTACACTTTGAGTGACCATTTTACCAGTACATCATTCTATATTGTGCATTGGTCATTTGGAAAATATTGGTTCACCAAGTAATGCAGAGCTTCCAAATATTGACACATTGCATTAAATAATATCAAAAAGATCACCTCTTTACTTCCATTGATATCACATTGGTTGATAAAGGTTTTCCAAGCTTCTCATTTTTGTTTGAAATCTCCAATTTATCATTGGCAACAAATAGTTGTTTTCCCTGAAGTGACAGATTAACTTTATGTTTTACAAAATACTTTCATAAAACTATAGTCTGCATAGCCATAGATGTCTATGTGAAAATAGCATTCTATGGAAAAAAAAAAAAAGCAAAAACTCAACAGCTTGTTCAGCTCCTAAATCAAACAATCACAGAAGTGCTTTTCTTTGAATAGATTCTTCTGAAATAATCAGTTGAAAACACTTGTCCAGTGAAGGTGTTTATCCAGTGGTGCTCTCTAGTAACTTTTTGACCTCAGGATTCCGGTTTTCTTCAGTTGCCTACAACCTTTTAGTCCCTTTAAACATCAGAATTTCTCTTCCATCTGAAGATAGCATAAGTTAATACTTAGGGTATCAAACTTCATTTCCTTGTTTCATTAGCCAGTTAATTATTTCCAATAAATTTTAGTTCACTACAAACAAAATATGTATTCCTTCTTGAAAGTACAGTAGCATGATGTTTTAAAATTTTTCAGTTGAAATAAGGCCATTATTTTTCAAGTCTACACATGTGATTGGTTATGAGGGAGGAGTAAATCTGGAAAATTATGTGTGTTAAAAGCAGGAAGATCAAGAGAAACTTTAGTTTTATTTTAGATAATGCCTAAGGAAAAGAAAGTTTCAGAGATGATGGAATTAAGGGAAGAATCTTTGTAAGAGAAGGGTGAACATTCTAGGTAGAAGATGAGGATAGATTTTAACATGCTATTTTGTCTTATGAAAAGAGATAAATTAGGTAGGAAAGGTAAGCATCACCATCTTATAGAAGAAGAAACCTAGACAAAGTGAATTTTCCAATTGCCCAAGATTGTGTCTCTTATTTTTGGAGTTGGAAATAGAACCCAAGTCTCCTAATGCTCAGTCCGGAAAGCATTATTACTGTATTGTTTTTAATTCTCCCATATCTCAATCACTTATGATAAATGAAAGTTATAAGGAGAAACACTTTAAAATATTTAAATGCTTCAGATGTTTAAAAATATTTTTTAAGGTAGTGATGAGTTTTCAACAATATCTGATAAATTGAAAGCCTTAAGAGCCAGATTCTATTTTCCACAGAAAGAAAAAAACCTACATAGCCCCAGACCTTTATCTTCATGTCAGTTTAGATGATCTCTTAAATGTAACATAAACCCTTAAAATCTATATTTTTTGCAGGAAGAAATTTCATTTTATTGTTTTGTTAAAAGACTATTTTAAGAGTCATTGCTGTCTATTTTTTTGAACATAAGAATGTACTTTGGCTAGGAGATAAAGGTTTTGATTAATTACCAGGCAATTTTAAATGCACTTGTGGCAAATAGCTCTTCTTTTTCTGTTGAATAAAGACAAAACCAATTGAATCTATATTCTGTAAGTTAATAGCACTATAAATTTGAGAAACTATTCAATTTTCATAAATTGATTAAAAATTCCTAGTGTGATTCTCCTGCCTCGCTTGAACCCGGGAGGCAGAGGTTGCAGTGAGCCAAGATCACACCACTGCACTCCAGCCTGGGCAACAGAGCGAGACTTCGTCTCAGAAAAGAAAAAGAAAGAAAAGAAAAGAAAAATTACTAGTGAGAGAAAATTCTTCTAATACACGAATGCTGTGAAATGTAATAATGCACTTCTTAAATTCTTAGTGCAAAAAAATTATGGAGTGTAAAGTAAGATTTCAATTATAATGTTGGTGCTTTCCCCCAATAATTAAATTCTTTTTTTGTTTTCAGTTAATTGACAAGTACCAGTTGAAAATAAAAGTACAAGACATGGATGGTCAGTATTTTGGTCTACAGACAACTTCAACTTGTATCATTAACATTGATGATGTAAATGACCACTTGCCAACATTTACTCGTACTTCTGTAAGTGTATGATATTAATTAAAGAAAAATGTATAGACCAGTTTTAATTGTTTAATATGCACATCTCTGGCCTGGCGCAGTGGCTCACGCCTGTAATCTCAGCACTTTGGGAGGCCGAGGCGGGCGGATCACCTGAGGTCAGGAGTTTGAGAACAGCCTGGCCAACATGGTGAAATCCCGTCTCTACAGAAAATACAAAAATTAGCCGGGCATGGTGACAGGCACCTGTAATCCCATCTACTCGGGAAGCTGAGGCAGGAGAATCGCCTGAACGTGGAAGGCAGAGGTTGCAGTGAAGGAAAAGAAAAAAATGCACATCCCCATCCACCCCTCATGATTTCAAATGAAGTGCCCCAGTGACATTAAAAGTTGTATAGTGCTAGGGTTTCAAATCATGTAAACATAGTACTTTGGAAATTAGAAGAGTAGGATTTACTTCACATCGTGTTCAATTTTTGTGAGAGTTACTAACGAAATTTTTTGTTTGCTTTTATTATTTTAGTATGTGACATCAGTGGAAGAAAATACAGTTGATGTGGAAATCTTACGAGTTACTGTTGAGGATAAGGACTTAGTGAATACTGCTAACTGGAGAGCTAATTATACCATTTTAAAGGGCAATGAAAATGGCAATTTTAAAATTGTAACAGATGCCAAAACCAATGAAGGAGTTCTTTGTGTAGTTAAGGTAAGAATAAATTAGAACATTATTTGTAGTTTATAATATCATAGAATAGCATGCTAGAATTTAATGGAAAGAAAGGAATTCTGATAAATGTAGAATAAAATAGGTATATAAGTAAATGCAAATGCTCTGTTCTTCATATACAATGGAAAGAATATATTAGTTTTTGATAATCTTTTGTTTAGGTATTTTTTTTTTTAAAAAGTCCATATAATACAATATCTATTTTGTAACCAATATCTTTAAATGGTTCAAAAACTAGCACAGCTTTGATGCCCCTGGGACAGTGCCAGACTTTTCCTAGCCCAGTTTTTCTGTGTTTGGGTCAAGGAGCCTTTATTTACTTACTGAATTTCCCAAATCAAGAGTTACTCTTGGTCAGCCCCATGGAGAGGTTATTCATAGGTTTGTTCATCATATTCAGTATATATTACATCCTTAGCATCCAGGTTCAGAATGAAAATCCTCAGTGATTCAACAATGCAAACACTTCTAAAACTTCTTTCTAATACTATTTCAGCAGCCAGAGTTAGTGCATAAAGCAATCTGAGCTCCTTTAGCCTTGGACAAATTTATAGACTTATTTCTGCTGCATCTTTAACCAGAACATGGTTTTACAGTGGGTCTATGCCGTTTTCTTTTTGTATATATTCACAAGGACCATGGATTAAAAAATGATGAATCCATTTTCCTTACAATGATGAAAATCAGCTGCTGTTTTTATATTATTTTCTCTATTTTAAAATAGCAGAGAAATTTCCTTTAAATCTTGTCTCTTTCTTCACCTAACCCCTCCCCTAATCCTTGGTATTCTCAGAAGGAAATTTGTGTGAAGTCCAAGACCTGAAAAAATTTCTGTCTTCTAGGGCATGGTTTCACTAATTCTCATTACAACTACATATCAGGCAAGATAAAATAAAACCTTTTATTAAATATGTTCCCGTCTTTAAGACAGGAACTGGAATGGAAGACACACATAAAAAAAGAAAATATGATGCCCATAAGCTTTGTATTTTCTTGTCTTGCTCCTCTTAAAAGCATTTTAAAAAAATTTACCCATTTTTTTCTCTTCCTCATACCAGGTACAAATAATTTTATTCATCTTAGGAGGGTAAGACAAGCTGTCCTAAAATTTATTTTGTAGTAAATAACTATTGTTTATAGTATGAATCCCCTAAAGGAGTATCTCATGTATTAATATCCAAGAACCCTCATTAAATACTCTCTGAAATCTTCATCAATACCTGTTATACTACTTATCTTAAATTTGCAGTTGAAGAACAATTTTCTGTCCTTTTTTTTTTCCAGCTTTACCCAAGTACTGAATCAGTGGGAGAACTCCTCTGTCTCCACCACCACTGGGTTTCTGGGTGTATTAGTCTGTTCTCACATTGTTATAAAGAACTACCTGAGACTGGATAGTTTATAAACAAAAGAGGTTTAACTGACTCGCAGTTCCACAGGCTGTGTAGGAGGCATGACTAGGTAGGCCTCAGGAAACTTATAATCATGGCGGAAGGCAAAGGGGAAGCAAGCCCATCTTCACATGGCAACAGGAGAGACAGAGCAAAGGGGGATGTGCTACACACTTTTGAACAACCAGATCTTGTGAGAACTCACTCACTATCATGAGCAGTGGGGAAATCCACCCCCATGATCCAATCACCTTCCCTCAGGTCCCTCCCCCAACATTGGGAATTACAATTTGACATGAGATGTGGGTGGCGACACAGAGCCAAACCATATCACTGGATATATGTTTCATATTCTCGTGGTTATTCCCAACATGACACTTAACATATTTCCAAATTTAACATTATATATACTCGTTAGCATTGCCAAATATTAAATGAGTTCATCTGATTTTTCAATACATTTGCTTTCGTAGCCTTTGAATTATGAAGAAAAGCAACAGATGATCTTGCAAATTGGTGTAGTTAATGAAGCTCCATTTTCCAGAGAGGCTAGTCCAAGATCAGCCATGAGCACAGCAACAGTTACTGTTAATGTAGAAGATCAGGATGAGGGCCCTGAGTGTAACCCTCCAATACAGACTGTTCGCATGAAAGAAAATGCAGAAGTGGGAACAACAAGCAATGGATATAAAGCATATGACCCAGAAACAAGAAGTAGCAGTGGCATAAGGTACTTACCATTCTATTTTAGTTTTAAAATATATAGCTTATTTTGTTACGTTATTATAATTTAGCATATGATAAATTTTATTATTTTAATTCATCATTACCAACAGGTATAAGAAATTAACTGATCCAACAGGGTGGGTCACCATTGATGAAAATACAGGATCAATCAAAGTTTTCAGAAGCCTGGATAGAGAGGCAGAGACCATCAAAAATGGCATATATAATATTACAGTCCTTGCATCAGACCAAGGTAAGAATTTGTCTTTAAGCCAGCTACATACTTCCTTGGCTACATACATCTTCAGTGTTTAAGCCAACAGTATACATTTTAAAGCTGGATACATGCACTCTGTTTTCATATCTCTTGATAATATAAAGTAAGAGGTTTACTATAATTTATTAACTCATGTCTGCTTTCTAATAGCCTTCTCAGTTTTAGATGTAATTATAAAATAATTTACTCTTAGAAACACTTGAGACCATAATTTATTAAAGTTAAAATTATTAAAAATTGAGAAAATTATTTTAGTAAAACTTGTTTCAGCTGGGTGTGGTGGCTCATGCCTGTAATCCCAGCACTTTGGGAGGCTAAGGCTGGAGGATCACTTGAGGTCATGAGTTCGAGACCAGCCTGGCCAACATGGTGAAATCCCGTCTCTACCAAAAATATTAAAAATTAGCTGGGTGTAGTGGCATGCACCTGTAATCCGAGCTACTCGGGAGGCTGAGGCAGGAGAATTGCTTGAACCCAGGAGGTGGAGGTTGCAGTTAGCCAAGATCGCGCCACTGCACTCTAGCCTGGGCGACAGAGTAAGACTCTGTCTCAAAACAAAAACAAAAACAAAAACAAAACAAAAACAAAAACAAAACTTGTTTCAGTTTATCTACTTATTTCGCTTAAAGTGTTCACTTTGTAGGAAAGTGAGAACATACTTACATAGTGCAGTCCTGGAAAACATACTTACACAGTGCAGTCCTGGAAAACAGCTCTAACTTTTTACAGGAAGCTAACAATATACTTGGGGGTTAGAATTCTGATTAAAGACATTATATAAAAATAAATCATGGTATATTTATGATCATGGTAAATAAATAGTATATTATAAAATTAGAGAGACAAACACTATGAATTCATATAATCATATAAAATGTAAAATTATGTTCTGTGCATTCTATAAAATTGAGAGAAATATGAGTATGATGATTATTTATGAGACGCGTTTGGTGCATAAAATATAATTTCTATAACATGAATTTGAACTTTATGTCTTTGTAAAATAAATATGCTAAATATAACAAACAAATTATTATACTATAACTTGCAAAATTAGAATTTAGAAGTGATTTTGGAAGATGATTTATGTATTCCAGTTCTCTGTAAATTAATGAGAAATGACTCAGTTTGTTAAATTGCTGAAGTTGTAATCATTATTGATTTGTCTTTAACTAATTAAAGACTGTCCTTTAAGGCCTCAGATTCTCATGTCTTTTTGCCAAGAAATACTTGTTGGTCAAAGGCAAATGAAAAGAAAAAAAAAACATGAAACTCAACGGCACTTGGAAATAGTTTATTGACAGTTGAGATAAAAATTGCTGTCTGAAATTAGAAATTTTGCCTATAATTTTATTCTACATTCTCGTCTGTTGCAGAGGAGTTTAAGTGATTGAGAGATCAAATATTTGTTATGGAATTGAGATGGGGCACTGCTTATCATCATTGTGATATAGAATAAATGTGTAATGAGGCTGTTCGCATTCATTTCTTTTGAAGAGGGTGGGAGTCATTGTGTTACTCTGTGTGAGAGAACTGTGAATCAGTAATTCCACATGTGTTTACTTTGTGAATTGAATGAAATGAGATTATACAAAAGTGTGTCATTTTTTGAAAAACCTTTTTCTAAAATCTATACTGGCTAATTTCATTTGGGTTCTCCCTGCCACTCCCTAATGGAAACCTCTCCTCCCTCATGGATACTGCTGTCTTGGGCTGGTGCTCACTTCCTGCCTTCCTACATCTCCGCAGCAATTGCTTCCTCTTTTTAAAACTCTCTCTCAAGGCTTCTATGTCTAAACTTGCCCACACATTCCTGCATGCTTTCTGGTCTTAACTGCCTTCCCCTCTCCTAAACATATATATTTCTTAAGCTTTAAATTCAATTTATCTTTTCTTCTTAACTTCTTAATCTAAATTGTGTGGGCAGCTTTACCCAGAAATCACCTCTATCTAGTTGAGCTTGAGATTAATGTTTCTATTGTATTATTCCAGCTGTTAGAATGGGGTTACTTGCAACTATTTTAAAACATTTGACTGAAGAGCATCATGCACATAAAGCATGAAACCATGGATAGTGCACCTCATGTGACTTCATATTTGGAATTAGCCTTTGTCCATGTAGAATTATATTATTACTAGAAGATGAGCATTTTATGCTGACATTCCAATGAATAAAACAGTATGTATAACTCATCAGCATATGAAAAACAGCTATGAAACACAGTGGATTAGATATCTGAGGTCTTAAATGTTCTTCTATGACAGTATTAATCACAATGTGCAAAAAAAGATTGGAGTTTAATCAGTGAGCAACTGTAAACATCTACTGGAAGGAAATTGAAGCATTTATCCCAGTTGTAGAAGAGCAAGCACTATAGAGTTCAGTTTTTAAAGATAGCACAATTAACCAGATTCAATAGGTAAGGCATGTGCTCTCAATTGTGTGTGTGGACTCAAAGGGAAACAAATGTTCAAGACAACCAGCAGTCCCAATTTTCAGAGAGAGCAAGGTAACACCACATAGCATGAGAACAGGAGAAGTTGAGGGACAGAAATTATTCTGCTCTAATGAATAGAAACATATGCCAGATACATGAAATATATATTATCCACCTGCTTCCTTTTTCTAATGTAAATACTCTTTTTCAAAGTTGTCCAAAAATGGAAGGTAGTTGCGTTGTTTCCTGCTTCTCATTGTTTTCTCTCCTAGCTCTTTTTTCTTCTTGCTGAAGTACATCCTTTACTATATTTTTTTCAATTGTGGAATGTGAATTTTAAACTCTCTCAGTTTTGTTGTTCTGAAAAATATTTTAATATTGGCCTCATACTTAAGTGACACTTTGACTTGGTTTAAAATTCTGAGTCAACAGCTTCTTTCCCATGGCACTGTGCAGCTATTAACCCATTATCTTCTGGTATCTCTTCTTGCTGATGCTTCTTGTTCTGTCGATTAACGATTGTCCTTTTGTAGTTAATATATTTAGGTAGCTTTTATAGTACCCTAAATTGAGTTCTACAGTGTTAGTACAATGTGTATGCCGTGGATTTTTTTATATTTGTCTAGTTCTGCAGTCAGAAAATACTTTCAATCTGAAAAGCCATGTTTTTCTTTAATTCTGGAGTATTCTCAGCTATTAATCTCTTTAACTATTGCTTCTCTGCCATTCTGTCTATTCTCTTTTTTAGAATCCCTGGTAGGTAAATGTTGCTGTTTATTTTCTACTGGAATTTGAGCTGTAATTTCATTCTTGTTTAATTGGTTACCCCTCTTTATGTCTTTGAAGATTCTAAACATACCTGTTTCAGAGACGTCTTGGATAGAATGAATTAATCTTTTGACTGGTGCTTTTGTTGGTTTTCCTTCTTAGTGTTAATCTTGATTATTTGGGAATTTTAGTTTGCAGGCTTATATTAAATGAGAGGTGTTTGCTTTGCTTTCTGTTTTTGTTTTTTCCCTCTCTCCCACTTTGCCCATATTAACTACTAGTCTTGTAGTTGCCTTCACCTGCTCTTTCTCTGTGGCCCACGGTTTAGAACCAGTTCTTAACTTGGTGGCCTAGTGCTCCTGACCCATGATGACGCTGGCTCTATCACGAGTCTAGTTGCTGTGCTGCAGGTGCTCTGGCTGAGGTTGTGACTTCAGGGATGTGCTCGGAGATCTTCCCGAGCTTGGCAGCTTCATATAAGACACAGCCCCAGGCAGTGGATGGCACAGGGTTTTTAAATTCTGTTTTCCACCTGTAATGTCAAAAGCCTTCTTTTTAAACAGAAAGAATGAATGATTTAGAGACAGAACTCCTGGGTTTGTGTTCAGTTTCAGACTTCACAACTGCATTACTAATCTGTGGCGTGGGTCCATGGCTGTTTCATCTTTGAATCCCCCAGATTTTCCAGTGCAGTGCTTTATATAAAGTCGTCATCCTGTAAGTTTCTTTCTTTCTTTTCTTTTCTTTTCTTTCTTTTTTTCGTTTTGAGATGGAGTTTCACTTTTGTTGTCCAGGCTGGAGTGCAATGGTGTGATCTCCGCTCACTGCAACCTCCGCCTCCCGGGTTCAAGCGATTCTCTTGCCTCAACCTCCCGAGTAGCTGATATTATAGGCATGTGCCACCATGCCTGGCTAATTTTGTATTTTTAGTAGAGATAGGCTTTCTCCATGTTGGTCAGGCTGGTCTCGAACTCCTGACCTCAGGTGATCTGCCCACCTCGGCTTCCCAAAGTGCTGGGATTACAGGCGTGAGCCACTGTGCCCCGTCTATCCTGTAAGTTTCTATTGAATATACAGATAGATGAATTACTTAGGCTACAACCCACAGTGATTATTTCAGTTTTCAAGTAATTTTCTACTCCTGGAGTCTTCTGCCCTTTGAATATTCCCATGTACTATTTTTGTTACAATCTTTCAAATATGTAACTTCAGTTTCTTTGCTCCAAAACCTAAGTGCTACCTATTTATCCAACAAACTCTAAGCTCCCTAGTCTGGCTTTCAAAGACCCTTAGCTCCTGCTTCCATGTCAGTTTCTACCTGTCTACCTTCCCTGTCATTGTCTCCAGATCACGGGTGTGTATAACGTGCGTTTCCATCTCCTTGAATTTCCTTGTGCTTTTAAATATACCAGAAGTGTCCTCATTCATACTCTCTTCCTTCCTCTTCTCACAAATCAGCCAAAACTTGCCTCTAATAATAATTTAGCGAATGAATAAACACATCTTAATAGCAGTCATTGTTTGTACAACCCATATGAAAGTAATACTATTTTTCTTGTAACATTCCCTGAGGACATAGCTTGTGACTGCTTGTCATTGTAACTTCTACATTATAGGTGCTTAATAAATATTTTTCAATGTGTTCAGTGCATACTTTTGTGGTGAAAACTCAAAACATAGAAAAACTATTTTTATTTTCATTTTTCTAGGAGGGAGAACATGTACGGGGACACTGGGCATTATACTTCAAGACGTGAATGATAACAGCCCATTCATACCTAAAAAGACAGTGATCATCTGCAAACCCACCATGTCATCTGCGGAGATTGTTGCGGTTGATCCTGATGAGCCTATCCATGGCCCACCCTTTGACTTTAGTCTGGAGAGTTCTACTTCAGAAGTACAGAGAATGTGGAGACTGAAAGCAATTAATGGTATATATTTTTGAAAATTGCTTTGTCCTTTTCAACATCAGGATGTCTGCGATACTTTTTTTTTTTTGTATGAAATAGGAGAAAATTCACCATGTGGGAAACACCAATGAAAGTTTCTCAGTTTTTGTGTGTTGGGAGTAGGTCTCTCTAGTGTGTCTCTAATCCTATGCCGAGATTCCCTTAGGTGTGTTGTGAATTCTCCCTCCTACTCCAAACACACACACACACACACACACACACACACACACACACACACACACATTTTTTCTCTTTCTCTCTTTCTCTCTCTTAGACTTGGTCTAATGCAGTCATTTCCTAACTTGTGTACCTCTCACTGGCATAGATTTCTTTATAGTTTCCTGGGTCATAAGGGAGTCCTCATTTGTTACTGGTTGGCTCTCCAGAAAGCAGACCCTGAGGCAGGGCATCTCAAGCAGAATGATGACTAAGGAATTTGCTTGGGATCAGTAGCTTTGAAAGGAGGAGAAGTAGGATTGGGCAAAAAGAGAAGTCAAGCTGCAGCACAAGCCAAATGACAACCTCAGTGAACCCCAGGGGGAGTCTGAGCTAAATGGGCCTTCAGAGTGGTCCTGAATCGATCCCCTATTCTCTCTTATTGTTCCATCAGTGTATGTGGGCTGCCCATGGCAAAAAGGCACAATCCCGGAAGGTGCTGATGGCCTCCCAAGCAGCTGGGATGCAAGTCCTTCTTTGAAAAGGGATCAGATATACACCACAGTGTCCACCACGTTATCTCTCCTCTCTGCCACTGTATTGACTTCTGACTATTTCATGTCTATTGTATTCTCCTTGGGATTCTCCCCTAACTCGGTTCCCCATGTGTACTTTTGTCTTTAGCCCAGAAGGATCTACAGTGATAAGTATGGCAAAAATGAAGGCAACCTGTCTACATTATCACCACTGCCTCATTCCCTAGTTGGCGCGTAACTCTTCAGCATGTTCCCCATCTCCTGCTCACACTGCCTATGGACCATGATGTCATGGTCTACCAGCTTTCGTGACTCTAGAACCACTGAATGAGGCTTGCTTTTTAAATGCCCTTGAATGTTTTTCAGCCCCATGCTTTCAGTGAATATCCCTCAATTTCCTGTTATGACAAATTAGAAAAGAAAGGTTATGAGGGAACGTAAAGGGAGAACAGGATGGGGAAAAGAAAGATGAAGACTTATAGAAATAAGCTAAACTACTATGTCTTGGATCCTGCTCTGTGAACTAACAAGATTTTCAGCTTTCTAAACAATATTCTGTTGTGTGTGCGTGTGTGTGTGTGTGTGTGTGTGTGTGTGTGCGTGTGTGTGTATCGGGGTTATCAGTTTATTTTGGGGTGGGGAGGAAGAATTAACTTTATTCTTAGATTTTTTTCTTTTCTACTTATTTGGTGTCATGATATTAATTTTTAAATAGTGTTGATAGAAAGTGGACATTTTTTTTTCCCAATAGTCTTACTTAGCAAAATAAAACTTTGGCAGCTGTATGTTTGTCAACATCTTTGTTATTTTAAAGATGTACTTGTCTGAGTAATCACTTATAAGCTTGGGAAACACCCAAGTTTTAAGAAGAATATACCCTAAAGAGGCTTTGAAGTCAGTTAAGCTTAGTGTCAAAAACGCTGGTTCTTCCCTGTTTGTTAGTTAAGTAAATCTGACCGTGCTATTTATTGTCTTTGAGCATCAATTTACTAAAATGGGATTTTTGGGGGAGTAAATGAGATAATGCATGTAATACACCATGACACATTAGGAATTATAAGTTTTGGTTTTGCTAGTCTCATTATAATTTTTTACAAAATAGACTTAACAGGTTAACCATGGCTTCTCTTAAGATGGACTTAATTCAATGTGTTTTTACCCAAGCATTCAAATTTGTATTTAGAGCTTCAAATACTATGCAGAAAATGAGAATGTCATACTGGGCAGCTATGTGGGAGAGGGATTATTCTATGGGACCTGGTATCTGCATTTAGAGTAGTAGTATATCTAGTCTCCAAAACCAAGATTGTATTGGCTTCTAAATTTTTTTTAGTTTTTTATTGTTTTTTTCTTCTTCTAAATTCAAGTCATACAGGTAATGTACTGTTGTCGTAATAAGGTTTGAGAGACGTGTGTCTCACACATGAGCATAAAAACCCTATCATCATGCTTATGCACCATAAAAGCCATAAAAGAATCTGTATGGGCTTTCGGTTCTAGATATTTTCTAGCCTTTATCTAAGAAAACTACATCAAAACTAAGACACGTGCAGTTGGTCCCTTTGTCCTTTAGGACCAGGAGATGCAGCTGCAGCTGTGTGACTCATGACCTGCTAATGTAGTCACTGTCAGGGGTGTTTTAAGTTGTCAGAATTAGTCTCTGACAGTAAGTCACAAGTATTTATGTTTATTTGGCACAATTTTTGAAAATGAAGTAAAGGAAAACATCCAGAATTTCAGACTATTACTTCGATGAAGCATGTGTAAAAGAAAATGTACACTCACTGGTTTAATTAAATATTTTCAAGATATGGTAAAAACTAATCTATTAACAAGTCTATTAGTTGTGATAGGAAGGATTTGTTTACACACAAATAAAATATATTATTACAAGAGCCAAAAGACTTTGTTTAAGAGGCAGCATAGACAAACTTTTATATGTAATATGTTTGCAATGGGTATAGATTAGAACTACTCTAGCCATTCACATTTAGAATCTTCTAGCAGCTATGCCATCCCATCAGGAATATCTGTTTCTAGGAAAATATAACTATCTGATAATGAGTTATTTATGTTCAGAAGAAATCAGTGACATTGTATAATGTTTGGTTTTATTTATTTATATTTTCAGATACAGCAGCACGTCTTTCCTATCAGAATGATCCTCCATTTGGCTCATATGTAGTACCTATAACAGTGAGAGATAGACTTGGCATGTCTAGTGTCACTTCATTGGATGTTACACTGTGTGACTGCATTACCGAAAATGACTGCACACATCGTGTAGATCCAAGGATTGGCGGTGGAGGAGTACAACTTGGAAAGTGGGCCATCCTTGCAATATTGTTGGGCATAGCATTGCTCTTTTGTAAGTCTTAAGTCCTTTCTTGAATTCAAATAATACCCTTTAAAGTAACTTTCAAGACACTTTTTGTTTTTTGAGACAGAGCCCAGGCTGGAGTGCAGTAGTGTGATCTCCGCTCACTGCAGACTCTGCCTCTGGATTCCAGTGATTCTTATGCCTCAGCCTCCCGAGTAGCTGGGATTACAGGTGTGCGCCACAATGCCCAGCTAATTTTTTCTACTTTTAGTAGAGATGGATTTCACTGTGTTGGCCAGGCCAGTCTCTATCTCCTGGCCTCAAGTGATCCCCCCACCTCGGCCTCTCAAAGTGCTGGGATTACAGGCGTGAGTCAACACACCTGGCAACTTTCAAGACACATTCTAAGAATCAGTGCTATTTCCTATAGCTGATCATTTGCATGTAGCTGTATTTTTATTTAATATATAAATATATTTAATTTACATATTTTAAGTGCATTTATGTATAGTTCTAGTGTCTTAGTTATTATAGACATAAAATTCAATGTAGAAACAGAACATGTAACATAATTATAGCATATCTGTTTAAAAGTTTAAGTAGATATGCTATTTAAACTTTTAAATAGCATATCTATTTAAACTTTTCTATTGTATACTGCTTTGACACAAGCAATCCAGGAAAGCTGTCTTCTTTTAATATACACTTTTAAGTTTATGATTTATGTGTGTATTAACCATTGTACATTTATAACTTCATATTATTTTATGATAAACTCAAGTATATTTCTTTCTTCCTCCAGGCATCCTGTTTACGCTGGTCTGTGGGGCTTCTGGGACGTCTAAACAACCAAAAGTAATTCCTGATGATTTAGCCCAGCAGAACCTAATTGTATCAAACACAGAAGCTCCTGGAGATGACAAAGTGGTAAGTAGTCTGGCTTTTTAAATAAATACAAAGGATGAATTCGCTTATAATGCGTATTCCTTCTAAAATGATCTTTTCTCAGAAAAGTTCTTTTGGTATCAGGCAATTTACCATAGAATGTCATGGGTCCCCTGAAACAGATAAAATGACTTTGATTTACATGATGATATATGGTATTTAAATTTGGCCGTAGTGTGTTACTTAATAGTAAAAATGCTTGAGTATGTCATTGTTATTTTTACTTCAGATGATTCATGGTTTCAACTTTAAGCCTTGTCTTTTGTATATATTTCAACTGCTGTTTGTGCTGTAAAAATGCTGCTTTTAATTATTCACGGTTTACCAACATGGTTTTACATTTTCTGGCAACAATAAAATCACTACAAGCCTTGATCATCGTGGGAAGAACTTTAATAGATTCTTTCTGGCTCTAATATGGGTTAGGAAACAGCCTGAGGCCAAATATATGAAATAGCAATGCTAGCAAGTGGTCATTTCTCCAACTTTGCTTTCTAGCTCAATATGTGGAAAAGGAACAAGTAAATACCCTATAAGAAGTGTAATTGATGACTAGGGCAAGAAAGATTTAGAAAACAAAAGCATGACAGTATCCAGGAAGGTAATGAAAAAATAAAATTTAAATAATATTAGAGTTTCCAAAAATGCAACATAAATAACTAGTGGCCAAAGCTTTGGTGTTCTTGTTATTTTCCCTGCCTAGTTTATTCATATATATTTAGATGGCAAGGGTTTAATGTTGCAGTTAAGATTTTTATGGCAATTATAGTTTTATTCTTTTTGATTTAGTTGAAGTATAACTGAATTAGATACTAAATGGAAATATTGATCATTACTTCTGTTTCTGCTTTAGTCAGGTAAAAGGGAATTAATTTAAACTAAGCAGAGTAAGTATATGTGAGACAACAGTGTTTATTTTGAGGTGTGAGATGTAGGAAGGATTGAAGAATTAGAGTTGTACAGTATTCTAAGAGGCTTTTTTTTTTTTTTTTTGAGACAAGATCTGGCTCTGTTGCCAAAGCTGGAGTGCAGTGGCACAATCACAGCTCACTGCAAGCTCCGTCTTCCAGGTTCAAGCGATTCCTGTGCCTTAGCCTCCCGAGTAGCTGGGATTACAGGTGCCTACTACCATGCCCAGCTGATTTTTGTATTTTTAGTAGAGACGGAGTTCCACCATGTTGGCGAGGCTGGTCTTGAATTCCTCATTTCAAGTGATCTGCTTGCCTCGGCCTCCCAAAGTGCTGGGATTATAGACATGAGCCACCACAATGGGCAGGTATTCTAAGAGATTTTTAAAGAAGGAATATACATCAAGCTTCCTAATTTATCTCCAGGTACCAACCACTTGACAGTTTGCTTGTGTGGCTACTACGTTAAATTATGGGGTTTCCATAGTTGGGTATGCAGGATTCACAAAATAGATTTAGTTCCTGCTCTCAGAGAGCTTACCTTCTAGCATACACACAAAAAAAGGCATTATCCGCTTGATGTTGTTCTTTTTCATAATTTTGTGTTCCTCTCTGTATTATCCCTAATGCAAATTGTTTTCATTTCAGTATTCTGCGAATGGCTTCACAACCCAAACTGTGGGCGCTTCTGCTCAGGGAGTTTGTGGCACCGTGGGATCAGGAATCAAAAACGGAGGTCAGGAGACCATCGAAATGGTGAAAGGAGGACACCAGACCTCGGAATCCTGCCGGGGGGCTGGCCACCATCACACCCTGGACTCCTGCAGGGGAGGACACACGGAGGTGGACAACTGCAGATACACTTACTCGGAGTGGCACAGTTTTACTCAGCCCCGTCTTGGTGAAGTGAGTTTTCCTAAGTGGCCTACAAATCTATTTTAATTTTCTTTAAACTTTATAAATAACTAACTGGATTCTGACTATAATTTTCAATTAATTATGAATCTACTAATTCTACTAATTGAAAGCTATTATTTTTCCTCAATTTTAATTTAGTTATGTTCAGATTTAAGTGGTTATTTACTTCCCCTCCTATTTTTTTAATTGAAAGAATTACTAAATAATGTGTGATGAGATTTAAATTACTGTCTCATGGCTTTGTGCTAATATTTCCCATCTGACAACTTGTACCTTAGAAACCAAAAATGTGGTACCAGCAAGACCAGCATGTACTATCACTATGTCTATCTGGGAAGAACTGAGCCCATATCAATTTGTCTTCAGTTTAATGGATGCATGTCACTTTCAGCTAAAATTTTGAAAGGGAAAGTAGTGACTATGTAAAATGAACACCTGTATACTTGCTGCCACATGCGTGACTTTTAGAAACATGCTATACTGAATTTATAGTGTGATGTATGAAACAGACCAATCATGTGCATTTTTTATGTATAGGAATCCATTAGAGGACACACTCTGATTAAAAATTAAACAATGAAAGGTAAATCAAAGCAATTACTTTTATGTTAGTAAATTTTGGTGTTTAAAATAATAATAATAAAAACGTTGTGTTTTTCCCCTTGGCAGAAAGTGTATCTGTGTAATCAAGATGAAAATCACAAGCATGCCCAAGACTATGTCCTGACATATAACTATGAAGGAAGAGGATCGGTGGCTGGGTCTGTAGGTTGTTGCAGTGAACGACAAGAAGAAGATGGGCTTGAATTTTTGGATAATTTGGAGCCCAAATTTAGGACACTAGCAGAAGCATGCATGAAGAGATGAGTGTGTTCTAATAAGTCTCTGAAAGCCAGTGGCTTTATGACTTTTAAAAAAAATTACAAACCAAGAATTTTTTAAAGCAGAAGATGCTATTTGTGGGGGTTTTTCTCTCATTATTTGGATGGAATCTCTTTGGTCAAATGCACATTTACAGAGAGACACTATAAACAAGTACACAAATTTTTCAATTTTTACATATTTTTAAATTACTTATCTTCTATCCAAGGAGGTCTACAGAGAAATTAAAGTCTGCCTTATTTGTTACATTTGGGTATAATGACAACAGCCAATTTATAGTGCAATAAAATGTAATTAATTCAAGTCCTTATTATAGACTATTTGAAGCACAACCTAATGGAAAATTGTAGAGACCTTGCTTTAACATTATCTCCAGTTAATTAAGTGTTCATGTGGTGCTTGGAAACTGTTGTTTTCCTGAACATCTAAAGTGTGTAGACTGCATTCTTGCTATTATTTTATTCTTGTAATGTGACCTTTTCACTGTGCAAAGGGAGATTTCTAGCCAGGCATTGACTATTACAATTTCATTTTGGTGGAGTTTAGTTTTAGGTTTTATTGTATATAAAATCCTGCACTGAATCTGTGTCTCCTCTGTTACCTACTTTTGCCAGTGAAATTTAAGTTTTAAAATACTTTCAGAATGTATTTTTACTACTGCAAGTTTTTGGTCTTTAAAATGTCAAGTAGCATCTCTCTCTTTCTCTCTGTCTCTTTCTGTTTCTCTCTCCAGTTTTTTTTTTTTTTTTAATTTCCATATGGGCTAAAGAATCCAAATATTTTAAAAATCTGTCTCTCTTTTCTTCTCTCATAAAGTGAATTATTCCTTTTTTTTGTTTTATGTAAGTGTATATATTCTTAGTTTTTCTTGAAATCATTGTAATGTTAACTTTGTTGTTTCAAATATCTTGGTGATTGCTTCATTATCTCTTCAACAAAAAAAACCTTTAATTTTGCCATTGAAACTGTAGAACTATGCCATGCTTTTATTAGAAGCAGTGCTCTGTGTTAACAACAAGAATGGTGTAATTAGAATTGGGATGTGGATATTTACTGTATGACAACACATTTACAGTTCTGTAATGCAAGGATGCAGTTTAAAAATGTGAAGTAGTGATGGTTTTTGAAATAAGCTTTAAAATATAGGGATCTTGAAGGCTCCCTGGGGTAACTATTTTATAACTTAGATAAAATGGCTAGTCATATCTGTGTGTTTGTAAAGTTATTTTTTTAATATTTTAAGATTACAATTTTAACAAATGTAGAAATGAGCCAAACTATTTAAATTTTAAAACAGTAAAACAAAATGAAACTTAATAGCTCACAAAATTCCAGTCCATGTTTCATGACTTATTTTAGTCAATGAATTTTCTATTTATACTAAACATATGGACATTTTAAATGTGTTTCTAATATTTTTGATTATCTATAATGTGCCTGTCTTCAATTCACAAGATTGGGTTATAACAATTATTTGCCAGATTAACACTAGGGAATTATTTGATAACCAGCTTATCTTATCAGTAGTTTTATTGCTGATCAGGCAAAAATAGTTTTCCAAAGTTATTTTTAATAAAGTATATACAAAATTCTTATATATTACTAGTCATGATAAAGTAAATTAAGCAGTTTTTAAAACTTAGTGTGAGTTTGTTCATCACAGGTCTGATATGAGTTTAAGGGATTTCGCACTCCCTGAATCAGAGAAGTAAGACCCCTTCCTTAGATTCCTGTTATACATTTTTTAAAATGTAGAGTTTGTTTTGGAGACATTTTCAGTGCATTGTTATTGCCATATTTATATAATATGACTATTCTAAAGGCTGTGAGGCCATGGGGTATTGGTTAAGTTGCTTGCTTTTGCTTTGTCCATTTTCATCATTTTAAAATGGGGGATAATAACAGAACTTGTTTCCTAGGGCCATTGTAAGTCACTTGAATAAAAAATAGTTTTGAAGCATGAGAGTCATACAGAGCGGTCCACCTAAAAGGCACTCCTGATAATAATAAATGATTTTAAACAAGTCACATGTACAATTCATTTCATGTTAACAAAAGGTCAATTAAGACAATAAGATACTGAAAAGATTTTTCTTTTCACTGTAGAACATGTCTCTTCATAATGATCACCTGATGACTGGGTCTTGTATGTTCAGTTTTTCAGAATACGTAGTGCAAAGATTGCTGAGGCATTCGTATGGGATTGCCTGGTTTGAAACACTGTGAAACTGTAAGGTTCAAATTGGATGAAAAGCAGAACATCTGCTTCTTAAAATGGGCACTAATTCTAACACCCTATGAAAATTATGTGTATTTTAGATTCTCCCTGTCAATCCCTTCCTTGGCTTCTTCCCTAGCTGTCCAGCTAGACATTAGCAGTCACTTGCCTGGGAGGTCATGGCTGTTTGGCAGTCGTCATAGTAACCCCAAGTGCTAAGACTTCCAAGTAAGAGTGTCTTGATGCAAATTCCGGCTCTATCCTTACTAGCTGTGGGATTTGAGAAGTCACTTAAGCTTTCTGTGCTTAGTTTCCTTACTTATAGGACCTGTACTGAGGAGGGTAGAGGAGTCTACTTGACAGGGCTTTGTCAGAGTTAATTCATGAAAAGAGTTGGCATAGAGTTAGCACTCAATCATGTACCTTAGCCACTGCTATTGTTCTATGAGCAGAGAACGCCTGAGTTGGGAACAATTTAGCTTCAGTCTCCACTCTGCTTTACTGCTGACATCTTGCCATGATGCTCTTATTCACCTTTCCCAGAAGCCCGACCAGTATTTCACCAGTGATGGCCTTTGGGAATTTCATGGCTCATAGTAGCTTCCAGGTCTCTCATTTGTGGTATTCAGCAAGTTACATCTTATTCATCCCTAGCCAGAAGTCAGTGTGATAAATCTTGATGCTTAACTGAAAAGGCAGGTAAAATTCTCGAGGAGGCAAAATCATAAAGAGTTTCCCGAAGAAATGGCTGGTGCTTCTTCAGCAAATGAAAAGCAGCAAGATCTTCTGTTCCATGCAGTGTGTGTCTGGGGGCTCCTGGTAATCATTACTTTTTCTTTATTCCCATCTTAAGACTGTTTTTATCTTGGATCCCAATTCTGTTTTGCCAAATCTGACTTTGACTACGGGCTTCCCTTTTGTCTCCATCTCCATTCCTGGACTCCAGATTGAAGTCTTGACAACTGACTTTGCTCTGATCAGCCCCTTTAGTATCATCTCCAAAATAAAATGCTTTCCCTTCTTTGTGCCTAGAATCATCTTGTTTTTCACCTCCTTAAATATTCAAAGCCCTAAGAAGTTACCTGATATCCGTATAAACCTACAGCTCTTATATCAGCTCCCCTGCGAGCCCCCTGTTAACCTAGCACTTCAAACTCATGCAAAAAGACAAACACATACTACCACATCAAATCAGGTTCTCCTGAGTTATTTACACAATGGTGCCCTTCTTCCACTTACTTAGGCTTGAAACAGAGAATCCTTGATTCCTCTCTCTTCTTTCCATAGCATCCTCTATTTTTTGCCAAAAACTGCCAAACTTTTGAGAATTGTAGACACAATTTCATTCATTAAATACTTTGTTTGTACTGTAGTCATTTGATGCCTTCCCAGTGCAGTCATATGTAGCCTTTTAAAACAGAGACTAGAAGGACTGTGCTTCTATGAGAAAGTGCAAGATGAATCAGCCACTCTCCCCACCCACACACTTGAATGCAAGTCAAGACACGGTGGATGTAAGGAGTGGGCTAATGCCTGTAAAACACATCACACAATGCCTGGCACATAGTAAGTGCATAATGCATGTTTTTAAAAAGCTTCAGATGATGTGAAAGAACTTCAGGACACTAGTGAGTGAACTTCTGCTTCTGCTACTCCCAATCCAAGCATTCATGAGGTTGAGGTGTACCCTATGTCAGCTGTTCCCACTCTTCACTTCATTCCTGATCAATATTCCCCCCCGCCAGTACCCCAGATTAAATCTTCAGCATCACTCAGCTCCAATGGTGTTTATGCTTCCAATTTCTTCCCTCTTCTCTTTTTTCAAGGGCCATCAAAGAGCAGATATGATCATGCCATTCTGCCTAAGAGCTTTCTATAGGGTTTTAGAGGATAAATTCTAAACACAAAATCACTTTTAAATACAGATGCTTCTTGACTTATGATGGGGTTACATCCTGATAAACCCATGGTAAATTGAAAATATTACAAATCAAAACAGCATTTTCCATTTACCATATGTTCAACTTAAAATAAGCTTATTGGGATGTAGTCTCATAAGTGTAGGAGAATGCTGAATGCATATTTCTTTGACACCATCATAAAGTTGAAATATCAGATCGAGCCATCTTAAGTTGAGGACCTTCTGTACTAATTTCCCCAATCTCCTTGTATCCTTCATTTTTCAATTTGTGCCTTGCTCATGATTAGTTCTCTTTTTACAATGTCTTTACTCATTGTCTCTTTCTTTGTAAAAATATTACTTTTTGAGGATCTAGTAAAAATACTACCGCCTAGACATTTGTGTGTCTAGAGCACATGGCTGTAAAGTTTTCATCTACAGGTTTGTGTGTGTGTTTCTTTTCTTTCATGTAGGACACTAAGGACCAAGAAAGGTGTTCACAATTGCATGCCTATACAACTCTGGCCATTAATTTTTTTTTTTTTTTTTTTGAGACGGAATCTCACTCTGTCACCTAGGCTGGAGTGCAGTGGCATGATCATGGCTCACTGCAACCTCTGCCTCCCAGGTTCAAGCAATTCTTCTGCCTCAGCCTCCTGAGTAGCTGGGATTACAGGCACCTACCACCACGCCTGGTTAATTTTTGTATTTTTAGCAGAGAAAGGGTTTCACCATGTTGGCCAGGCTGGTCTTGAACTCCTGACCTCAAGTGATCTGTCAGCACTTGGCCTCCCAAAGTGCTGGGATTACAGGCATAAGCCACTGTGCCTGGCCAAATTTTGATTCATCAAATTATATTGCCCAGGTCATAAAGGAAAAAAGAGAAATAATAAAAGTTAGGTTTTTTATTCTCAGCACATACTAATTTTCTGTGGCATAAATTTTACATGATAGACATGGTGTATGTTAGATTCTGCACTGAATTGTTTTTCCTCAGAAGACATTGAATGACTAGAACAATTGTTTGCATTCACAGCTTAATACAGGAAAGTGAAGTGTTGAGATTTTGGAATCCCTTCTCCCTTGGGATAGTGAGAGGGGCAGACAGAAGGGGTAGTGTCTGAATATTGTGGTTCAGGCCAGCTCAAATCCTACCACCAATAATTGCACGAACCTACTTGTAGCCACCAATAATTGCCCCATATTGAAATGTAACCCCCAAGGGTTCTCCTCTGTCTTCTTGACCACTGTATGCCTAACATGTAGAGCAGTAGACACTGAATATATTTGGTGTGTGATGAATAAATGGATGAATGAATAAATGCACATGTGTGTTAGGTACCTGGCTAAGATCAGACTGCATATTGCCTAAAGAATTCTTTTTCTCAACTTGAAAATTTTTAGCCAATGTGAAAATTATGTTTGCGACTGTCACTTCATCATTGCCAGGTTCAAACACTGCAGTGAATTTTTTTTTTTTAACCAAAAGGCCACTCTCTAACCACCTGAGGAAAAGCAACTAAAAACCACTTATGTTTAGAAATTCAAGAAATGATTCTTATGAGTTTGCCAAAATTCCCATTAGTTATTTATAAAATGTTGTAAGTCAGGCCTTGCTTCAAAAAATATCTTGAGAAACCACAAAGCAAAGAAAGTGGCATACATCTACGAGCTTTTTCCATGTTAGGCTGGGAGAACATTCTGTAACAGGAAACCACCGTGCTCATGTGTGCCCTGAGAGAAGAAAATCTTCACACAAGAAGTAGAGAATAGGGAAAGAAATGCATAGCAATGAGCCTCAGAGGCAATGCCTATATTGTGCTGTGAACTGATAATGTCACTTGGAAGATAACACGTAAGAGGTAGTTCCCAGCCCTGCTCTTCTCACGTAGGACATGTAGGACAGACCTATGTGTTTTGCTTTCTGGGGAGAGGGGATCAGTTGTATGACCCCCTTTATTATTTCCTCTTCACCAGTTCTGGTTTTCTAGGTTTGAGGACTGAAATCTTGAGAAGTAGGATCTGATCTTTCTTCCAAGAAGCTCTTCTCTCCCCACCTGTCCTTGTGTTCTTTATCCCATCAATAGCTAAGAAGCAGAACCTATTACTTTTGCTTAAATGTTTTAAATTAAGCAAATAGATACATTATGAGGCTGCATTTTAAACTTTAGATATTTCAAATAAGACATGCAATATAGAGTCTTAAGGTAAAACAAAAGAGCATAATGCTAAAAAACAGGCAACAAAAAGAAGCTAGAGCTTTGAAATAGCTAGTCAGGTAAACAGAGCACTTTAATTTAAAAGAACACACCCTAAATCTTGTTTTATAGAGGAATTTTACTGTGTCATGGATTTGGAGCATATTCTTCTCAAGCCATTTGGTATATCCTAAATTCTAGGTATACGTGAGATTAAAGAAGAGATACTCACTGATGTGCCTCCGTATGGAGTGATAGTTGGTGCATGGGAAATGGCAAGGGCTGTTTTGTTTCATTCTCTCTTCCCTTTGTGACTGTACCTTTGTATCCCTACAGAAAATCTGGGCATAGCTGAGAGGTTAGAATTGTGGAGTTTCTGCTAGCCACATCTTTTCTGTTTACTTATTTTGTTAGGATTCAAGGGAGAGGACAGAGCAGAACACTCACTGCTTTTCAGTTAACAAATATGAAGGCAAACTTGCTGATATATTCGCTTGTATAATTTTTAGAGTGTGTTTCACTGACCATCAGCATCAGAATCACCCTGGTGTTGCTGAAAATAGAGATCCCTCATGAATCAGTCACAGGAGTAACAGGCTAGTAGGGGAAAAGTATAGAAGCCTTCACTTTTCAATACATTTTCTAGGTCATTTTTTCTTACTCTAAAGTTTGACAATCGTTAGGGTTTTAGTAACTGGGTTTATTGATTATTTGGTGGTTTATGAAACTTAAGTATTTAAAATTTGCCTTTTCATATAAAACATATTAAGCAAAATGCTAGAAATGTACCAAAGAGTTGAAACACATTGATGAGTAAAATTTCACAATGTCTGCAAATTAAGCATTTCAGAATGTACATTGTTCCCTGTGGTTTCTACTTTCTACATGCATGTGAACGAGAGAAATAGTCTTAAGGTAGGAATGCAGAACAAAGCCACACAGAAAACATTTAATAAAAATTAACAAGTTTTGCCACATAAATGCTGCTAGTCAAGAAGATGTATGCAAAGTAAGTTGCATATATTTTTAAAAATCAGAATTGCCAAATCTCCAGAGATAAATAGAACTAGAAAGGTCAACAGCAGGTGGAACAAGTGACTGTCCAGAAGGCAGCAACTGTTTGGCATCACTGTGCTGTTGTGTGGGGACCTGTGTCAGGTGGGGTAACAGGTAATGCTCACTGACTGTGGCGGCCAGGAGCTTCAGAGGGGCCTGTGAATCAGGGATGGGAGATGAGGGTAGAGACGAGACTTTTCAGCTTAAGGAGTGTTCCCCTGGGAACAGGGCCAATTGGAAAACTCCCAGGCACCAAGGACATGAGTTAACCAATAGGGAATGAGAGGCTCAGAAAGCCAGAGGTGAAAGGAGCAGAGGGTGTCAATATACACAAGATGTGATGCAGAATTACCAATGAAATCAAGTAAAAGGGATTTATCCAAAAGAAGTAAGAGAATAGTGTAAAGATTCTACTCACATGCAAGGATGTTTGTCTCAGTGGCATTAAATATATGAATAACTGAAAATAAACTAAATGTTCCATGACAGGGAAGTAATTAAATGATGTATGATCCATTACTGTGATACAATGTACCATAATTGAGGACAATGGAAACAATGATCACACACAGACTTCGCAGTCAGAAAGACGTGGATCCAAATCTCAGCTTTGTTCTTGCTGTGTTACCTTGGGAAATCACAGAAACCTCAAATTTCTAGCATATCAAATAAGGACAAATTAGGAATAAATTATATAATTCACATAAAGATCCTAGCTTACTGCTTGGCTCATCAGTATATCAATAACCAGCAGCTATCACTATTGTGATATGATGATGGAATATCATGCAATCATTTTATTTTGAAAACTTTAATTAAATGGGAAAAGACATAAACTATAGTAGTATTTTAAAACTAGGATAGGTTTCCAAATTATTATAATCTCACATTTAAATAAATATGAGACTATCTGTAATACACTAAGATATTGAGTGATAAATCCTCGGTAAATGAAATATTTATTCATTGTGTGTTTCCATGTTTTCATTTTACCACAAGCATTTATAATTTATAACATTGAGGGAAAAGTTCATGTAAATGAAATACAGAGCAAGAAAAACTCACAGGCTTTAGAATTTGGGGAGCTTACAGGCCTGTGAAGAAAAGCCTTTTCATCTTAGCTTTAATAAATAAAGTTTTCACTGAACATATTATATTTACAGTAAATGATTAAATTGAAAGCAAAAAGAAAATACTGTATCATCTCACATTATCATAACTGAGTGCATTCATGTGCTTTTGGTCTTAAAATTTTACTTTAACGCACTTAGGATTTGTCGTCAGTAATTTGTTATGCACTATCTAGACTAAGAATAGGTATTAATTTACTAGAATTGTCAAATGAAATATTTCAAGCAAAGTTTGCATAATGAATGCAAGTTTAAACCAATTAAATGTGTTCACTTTTTAGCAAGCTAAGCTGCTCCTTATTTCTCCTGTAGTAGACACAATCACAGTTAATCTTTGCACAATGCATCGCATTCTCCATGCAACCTAACAGAGCGGTCTGGGATAGAGCCTGAACTTTGGGTCCCTTGGGGCCCAACAGGCAAGGTTCAGATCTGGGCTCTACCACAAACCATCTGTGTAACCTGAACCTCCCTAGTCTTCAGTTTCCTCATCTGCTTTAAAAAATTGCTAGAACATAGTTCTATGTAAATGTTCGGTGTTAAAATTTATTTGGTATCTACTGTATGTAAGATATGGCCTCTGCTCTCAAAAATATGTAGTCCCAGAAGTGATATAATATGTTCACGGAGACGTACTATTAAAAAGTGCCACAAAAAATCTGTAATGGAATGTTCTTACAAATATTACGTGTGCGTGTGTGTGTGTGTGTGTGTGTGTGTGTGTGACCTTTTTTAGCAAGAGATGTCCCAATCCCTTCACATTTACATCATTACAGAATTCCTTTGGAATCAATGGCAAATGTCCTCCTGTGGGGAGCCAGGTGTACTGTGAGTTTCTGTTATCATTCAGGGAAGAAAGCTGTCAAAAGCTTGCTTGTTTTAAAATTGTAAACAAGTTAGTGCTGGACATTGGGAATTTTACCTTATTATAATAAACAAAATCAATTTTGTTACTTGTTGAGCCTTGTTCCGGCGGCAGTTTAAGTTATTTATTAAACAAATAAATTGAGTCCTTTTGAGGTTTCTTCTTAAGTTTTCTTAGGGCAGGTTTGGTGGAGACTTTAGGGCTAACTTAAGTCCTTTGCTGAGGTGTGACTCCACCAAATGTCCAGAGTTTTCAGAGGAAGATCTTTTCTTTCCACTGCCTCAAACTTCAATAAGTTTGCTACTCACTTAGATGCCTTATGTGCATGGGGCTTTCTGTGGAAAACAAGAAATGGAGGCTGTATTTCACACCTGGGGTGTTGCAGTGTGGAATCGGGTGGAGCTCTCTAGGAATATGTAACAGAAAATTGAGTTAATCAAGAGGAAGGAAGAGATCAGAGCGGTGTGTAGGCAGAAAACTACAACAGGCTGTCTAGAATACCTAGACAGTCCGGGAGCACTCTAATATCCCTCCACACAGGGAATGGGACACAGCCTATTTCATTTGAATCTGAATTATAGGATTAACAAAAGTGAGCACTTGGGAAAGGAACCTCCGGCCATACTTCTAGTCATTAATAACCATCTTTATCATACTAGTAATACTGCAGCAGATGAAATTAACATTTTAAAGACAATAAGTTTTTTTTTCACAATAACTCTCCCTTTCTGCAGAAATTTCCTATTAGAAGAGCTGATACAGGTTTAGTGGTGTTCGAAGTCCTACTTATTCCAGTTTAAAGGTCAATCTCAGTGCGGTATGATATCTGAAAGAAATACAAATCTAAACCCAAAAGTTTTAAAAACATAATGCAGTTACTACATGCCTTCTAGTAAGAAAACTAGCAGAAAAACACAGAGTTAATAATGTGTTTCATACTTATGTCATAGCAAACACAAAGTTAACATACTTATGTCATAGCAAAGCTTCTCAAAGGCAACAGAAGGCAAATTTGGTTATCTCGGGAGTGTGAGAGAATGTATTGGAAGGATATCAGAAGTTTACAGATTCGATAGGCATGCAGTGAAATAGGAAGCAGAAACAATAGATACTGTCTTATAATGAGGGCAATACAGACAATCTCCTGTTTTAGTTGTCCTCATTATGGTGGTTGAAGTTTCTTTGCAAAAATAAAAGAAAGAAAATCCCAAATACCAGTCATTTTCAGTTATGTTAATGCAACTCACACAAAATTTTTATACAATCATCAGTTAATTTAAATTCCTCTTTGTTGCCTAACACATAGAAATCTTATGAAGATACATACGATTATAAGAACGCTTCTACATAATAAAAATAATCCTGAAACCCTCTGTATGGTTGATGGATTCATAGTCTCACACGGCTGTAAACAATAAGGTCTAGGATGATGAAATAATTTGGATGCTTTCCTGGAGACCAGAGCAGGATTTAACTCGCAGATACAACTTCATTTTCTACAATTATAATTAGATATGCTATTTCTTCCAAGAATAACGTTAATAATTTTAACCCTGCAATACATTTTAGGTTTAAGCAGAAAAGAAAAAAAAAGGCAACACTTTCAGTTTTAATCATTTTTTTAATTAAAACGTTAACATTTCTAAACATTTTCTTTAAGAGAAAGGGATTGAGGATTAGGCATTTGTGCCCTCTGCATTAAAATATGTTTCATCTTGGAACAGCACATTTAAATAATGTTCTAAAGCTTTTGAAAAAGCAGACTGGAAAACTAGATTCATTATGTTGCACCTAATTGTCCTCTTAGCATTCTAATACAATGCTAAGATAAAGCTTAACACTATAGATGGACTTTCATATTTTCTTTTATTGAGCAATGAAAATGATGTTGCTCTAAAACTGTGTTACTTTGGCTGAATAGCCAAGAAATAATAAGCAAAATTCAAGACTCAATGATAGCAATTAATGTATCTCAGTTGCCTCACTGATACCTTATTATTTTTATCTACTTTACATTTTTAAATTTCCTAAACCTTCTTTTAAGAAAGGAGGCAGCGGATAAACATTGATTAAATACACAAAGTGCTTGTCTACTCTCTTTTATTATGTTAATGTCAACAAGCAAAGACCAGGATCAGGGAGCACATATCTCCCATCACCACTTCACAGCTGCCTAAGGGACCAACCCCAGGAAAAGGGCTGGCATTAGAACACATTACTCTCAAACTTTCTAAGAGCTCTTCAGGATTACTCCTGTCATGACTTGTACAACCAAAAATCTAAACTTCTCAGGTTATCCATTGTCTCTGAAATTCTTATTCTCTCGGGTATGGTGATTATATAATTTAACTTCCAAGGTAGAACACTTTTTAGAATGAAACAAGGTGCTATTAAGAAACAGATACCTTGGAATGACATTAATAAGCCATGACTGTGCAGGACAAACTGAGATTTATGATCTAATCTTTCATCCATTTCTGTGCCCTCATATGCTTCCTTCTGCCTTCTGAAATTCATAGTCTGAATCCAAAAAAGTCACCCTAGACCCTTAATCTCTTTTCTGACCATTTTCTTCACCTTGTTACTCTTATTCTTGAGTGAAAAAAAACCCCTCAGGCCACCCACTTTCCCCAGAGACCTATCAAGTGGTGGCCAATTTTTCCTTCCCACATTCCTGGGACAGGTAGATGTCTTCCTCCCTCATCATTGTCACTGGCAATGAGGACCATTCCTCCTCCCTCCTCTCCAAAAAAGAAGTCTCACATTCTTTGGTGTGAGTGCCACTTGACCACAACACCCATCATACCTTCTTGCAGACACCTATTGGTGTCTAGAAATTAATAGACATTTAGATACTCCTCCTCATTCATTAAATATTTCAGCATCTAGTGCACTATTTTTTATGTAATTCACCAATCCGCTCTGTTTTCTTCAAAATGTAACCATCCAAATCCTCTGATAGCTCAACCCCAAGACCTTTTTGCACCATCTCCTTTCATTTATCTATTCTCATGCCTGTATTTTTGAATTTCCAATAGCCTCTAACTGTACCACATCCAAAATTGAAATTTCAGGCATCATAATCTCTAAAAACTTCCTGTTAGCTTTCTAGTTCTCTTACTCTAGCACTCCTATTCCAAATATTTAGCAAAACTGGAAAGCTCTATCACTTCATAGGCTCATTGATCTCATTTTCTTCCTTTCTCAGCTTAAATTTACTTATTCATTGTTTTCATCCATTGTCCCATAACTCTCAATTCCCTCCGCTTTCTCCCCTCCTTTGTAATCACTTGGCAAGACCCCATTACTTGATAAACACCATTTTCTACCTACTTTGTGATTTTTACTTGAGCCCTGGAACATGGGGCCCTGGAACTCTCATTCTTGACCCACAATTGTACCCTGTTACCCAAGTTCAGGGATTTTGCAAACAGTGAGACACAACCCAGTGGAGGGACATAAGATTAATTTCAGAGGTGACAACATGCATTATCAATGAATTAGAAGACGAGAATAGAAATTGTCAGAGTATATTAGACATAGGAATAGTAAGTATTGTTCACAAAACATTTGGTCCAGATTGTATATATGAATTGCAGAAGAGTTCACAATATTAGAAATATTAGAAATATTTCTTATAGTGGATTAGAGTCAACAATTCAAAACACTGACCTAGTCAATTTTCTATTTTACACCTACCCTTTTCTCAAATCTCTAACCTGCCTTCCTCACTTTACTCCTGATTTCACATACAAAATAGGAGAAGAAAACTCCCTTAACTTTCCACCACCAACAATACTAGACTATCAACATCTGTACCATATACACTGACTTATATCCTCATTGGATAAACTTTCTTCCTATTTAAGGCAGCCACTCTATTACTACATTGGTTCCTATGAACTTTTGCTTCCTCTGTCTCCTACATCTTTAATTATTCACTTTTGCTTAGCTCATTCTTATTAATAAACAGAAATGTCTAATAAAAATAATAGGTATCATGTACATTAGTAGTTATTATGTGCCATATCCTGTTGTAAAATTTTACATTTGTTACTTATTTTTATTCTTACCCAAATCGGGAATTCTTTTTCTTATTATTTTATGGACTGAGGCACAGAGGGTTAGATAACTAGCTCAGAGTGACAATACAATGCGACAGAATCAATATTTGAACTAGGCAGTCTGGCTCCTGAGTCTGAATTCTTAATCACTATGCAATTTGCTTCTTTCATGTGAATAAAACTTCTTTACTAAGTTGCACTTCAGCTATTTTTTTATTTTCTCCAGTTCCCTTTATGACACTGTAGCAAATCTCTTTTGTGTGGCACAACACAACCCCTCTTCACCGGGTTGTGGCATAGCTGAGGCTGATGGCTCCTTTTATGCTGCCAGTGCCCACCCGCAGCACCTGTGAAGTGTCTTTTGGTCTGTGTGTGGGTACGGCTCCAGAGGTCAGAAGAGTTATTGTTCCTCAGGGCCCACTCTCAAACAAGGGGGAACAGGAGTCAATGAATATGTGTCCTGGTTTCCAGTTTGTTGAGCAGACCCCCCAGTGGTTTCCTGCTTTCTAGTATCCATGCTTTTGTGTAATTTTCTTTCTCTGAAACATTGGTAGGACTTATGAGTTGCTTTTCATCAATAGAACATGGCAAAGTAAGAGGATATCATTCCTGTGACTACGTTATATAAGACTCTATTTTAGAAGACTGGAGAAGAAGTTTTCCTTGCTAGCTTGGAAGTAACAGCCACGTTAAGAAAGTCCACCTGGTAAAATCCTCTAGAAACTCCAGGTGGCCTGTAGGGCTAAACAGTGGCCTCCAGCCAATAGCCAGCAGAAAGCAGGCCTTTGGTTATACAGCAAGAGGAAATCTGCCAAGAACATGACTGGGCTTGAAAGTGAGTCCTTTCCCAGTTGAGCCTCCTGATGAAAACACAGCCCAGCCAATGCCTGGTGAGATTCTCAAGCAGAAGACCCAGCTCCGTCATGCCTAGACTTCTGATATACAAAAACTGTGGACAATAAATACGTGCTGTTTTGAAAGATTTGGGCAGCTCAGAGTTACTTAGTAATAAATTTTTTTTTTCAGAATACAGCTCTGAGATGCATTCTACATCATATCTTAGAGGATATTACCCACAGGATTATACCCATGGCATAAATCAGCTCAATAACACACCTCTTATTGATTTTTATATTTTCCCATTCTCTGCCTCTGCCTCTGGGTTTACATCCCAATAGAGTAGCATCACTCACATCTGTGTTTTAGGTTCTGCTTTCAGGAGAACCAAGATGTGACAGGCGTGAGGGAACAAAGATCTGAGAAACATCTGCCTCTGTCTTGTTTTCTTCATTCTTTTACCTAGTCTATCTTTGGCTCTCCACAGTCATATTTTTCTCATCACCACTCCAGTAAAACTTAATTTCTTGTTATCACTAATGACTTTATACATGTCAAATTGATTGACTCCTCAAAAGACTGTGCCAGAGTTAATTACTTCCTCTTGTTGACCAACTGTCCTCTGGCTTATGGGACACCATGTTCATAGGATGCTCCTCCTCAATCACTGGCTGCTCTTCTTAGTCTGGGGAAGCTGGTTCCTCTTGCCCTCCCGACTCTAGGAGTTGGAGTACCAAAGACCTCTGTCTGTATTCACTCCCGAGCTTTTCTCTTCCACTCCCAAAGTTTTAAATAATACATCCCAACTGGGATCTATAATAGGCATCTCAAATTTCATGTGTTCAAATAAAACCCCTTGATTCTTAGCCCAAATTATTTTCACTCACAATATTCCCCATTTATTCATTCTATTCACACAATTAGTCCAAGTCCCTTGAAAGGCACCCTTTAGTTTTAGTCTTTTCTTTTTCTCACAATCCATCTCCAATCTATAACCCAGTCCGTCCTGTGAGGTCTAACTTCACGTTATATTACAAATCCAAGTTTTACTTCATCTGCCATTTGTTGCCCTCTGCAACCTGTGTTCTTGCAACAACCATAAGTGATTTTAAAAATGTATAAATTAGATCATGCCACCCTCTAAATCCTCAGTGGCTTTTAAGAACAGATGAGATTAAAACAAAACCTAACCTCTTTAGGCCATTGAGTTGTTTTTTATCTTTTTTTTTTTCTACTTCTTGTTCTAGTACCCCTCATTACTTCATTCTGCTCCAGCACTTGTGGGCTTCTCTATGTTCTCTGAACATACCCAGCTATTTGGACAGGGCTTTTACACTTGCAGTTCTTTCAGGCTAGAATGCTTTTACTCCAGATCATCAATCTCTTCTATCATTCAAGTCTCCAACCAAAGTTGGTATCTCAGCAAATCTTTCCCAGGAAACCTCTCTAAAATACCCATTTCTCAGGCTATTTAAACTAGCTCAGTTGTCAGGGCTGTTTGGTCTTCCTAAAAGAGGTGTGTCAGAAAATTGTTGTTTCAGGCATTATGCAGTCATCGTTGTTAATTACATGTGGCCCGATAACACTATTAATGTTCCAGTTGAGAGTGTGAGCTAGAAAGACAAAAAAGTAATCAAAGTGTGAGCTAAAGAAAGAAATTAGGGCAAATCAAAACAAAAACAAAATCCATAACCTCTAAGTAGAGATGAATAGAACTATTTCAAAGAGAAGTAGGGTTTGATTTCAAGACTGGCATAAACCCTTGACTAATAAGGTATTGTATCGCCCCATTTAGTATGAAGACAGTCGAAACACCTTCTTTGTTCCACGTTTACTAAAGCCTTAGATAATTATTTTGGCTATCCAAGTACGAAAAGAATACCAAAATAATGTGGGGACTTTTTTTTCCGGCTAATGACTGTGGACATCAAAGTAAATTGTGAGAGTTTTGTCTACTGCAAGCAGAGGAAAATCTTAATGGCAAGTATAGTCTATGTGGAAGCCAGATAAAACATCAACATCCAGGGGTTAGAATAAATACTCTTTTCCTTCACATGGGAAAAAGAACCATTAGATGCTTTCCAGCCATAAATCTTTCACTAAAGATAGGAAAGATCTGGACATGAATGGGTATGTGGGATAAATACTTTCTTGATGTAGGTTTCTACTGAAACTTGTTTGAATCAAAGGAGAGATGTTGCGAGTGAGAATAATGGAGTACAGATAACAACAGTCCAGGCAATACAAGGGGTAGAACTACAGTACATTTTGTGATGCCTACCATGAAAGGACCTCATTAAGTATGCAAAAGTAGATCCACGCCTTTCTTGTTAAAACACAGATTAGACGGATTATATAAGTGCTGCAAAGAAGGCTAAGAAATGGTGAATGGAGACGTTGCTTCTAAATCAAAATAAAACAATTCTTTAAAAAGGGTTATTTAAGAAACATCTTCTTACAAAAACCCAGAGACCAGAATTCTTCCAAAATTGGTCTCATCATTTCGTGGGTCTTATATCTCTGTCATCATATTTTAGTCAGTAAAGAACATTCAGGTTCCCAGTGGTGCACATGCTAATGGTTATGGAAACACATTTTGAGAATAATTTATCTAGAACAAGAATTGCCTCCCTGACCTGCACATTAGAGTATCCAGGGAAGCTTTTAAATAACATAAAGCATACAATATAGAGCTCCCATCCCCAAAGATTCTGATGTAATTGGTTTGAGGTGGATTCTGAGGTGGGGCCTGGTGGTTGGTGTTTGTTAAAAGCTCCCCAAGAGACACCAACAGGCAGCCAAAGTTCAAAACGATTCCTCTTGATGACAATGCTCCTAAATGTGTAACGTCACTTGTGGACGTAACAGGCCTTAGTCAGTTCTGGCCCAGGTGCAGCTGAAACTTCCCACACCTTTGAGTCATTTGCAGAGCTGGGCCTTTGTCTTTCATGACAATAAATTTTACCTTGGCAACCACAACAAAACTTTAAAGGGTCCTTTGGTTTAAAAGTTTAGATAGTAATGCTCTAGAGAAGACAATTTTGCCTTCTTCTTTCTACCTATAAATTCAGCCTGTGAAACAAGGACTTTCACAGTTCTTATGAAAAGGAGGAATAGAAAGGAAAATTCAAGTTGTGTTTTTAACAAATAAAACATAATTCCATTCAAAGTGCACAAAATTTAATTTTTTTTGTTTGTTTGTTTGAGATGGAGTTTCACTCTTGTTGCCCAGGCTGGAGTGCAATGCCGCATTCTCAGCTCACTGCAACCTCTGCCCCCTAGGTTCAAGTGATTCTCCTGCCTCAGCCTCCCAAGTAGCTGGGATTACAGGTGCCCGCCACCATGCCCGGCTAATTTTTTGTACTTTTAGTAGAGATGGGGTTTCACCATGTTGGCCAGGCTGAAATTTCTTTTAATAAACATTTAAATAATGTATATATTATACATAATAAATAAATTTTCATTAACATTTAGTAAATATTATTGTTACAAAACAATAAAAAACAAACAAACAACCCAATTGTACTTACAAATGGCAAATAAGCATAGGAAAAATTACTCAACATCAATAGCCATCAGAGAAAATTCCAAACACAATGAAACATAATGTCACCAGGGAAATGCAAATTTAAACCACAATGAGATACCCACAATGGCTAAAACTATAAGACTGACAAAAATGTGTTGGCAAGTTTGTAGAACAACTGAAATTCACATATATTACTAAGCAAGAAGTAAGAAATTGGTCTGGTAGTTTTTAATAAAGTTGAGGACAGCATCTATCCTATGACCAGGTAATTCTACAAGTAGATATAAATACAAAAGAAATGAAAACTGATATCTTGCTACTATATTCAAACACATTGTATTAACTTAAAATACGTTGAATGAAAGAAACCAGACACAAAAGCATTGATACCACGTGGCATTCAGCCTTGAAGATGGTGTCCAATGATCTCTGCCTCCTGGATGTCACTTCCCTGTGTAATACTCTTTCCTTAACTGTGGACTGTTCCTGGTGATTTACTTCTACCAGTAGAATTCAGCAGAGGTGAAAGGGTGTCACTTCTGATACTGAGTTAAAAAAGACTGTGACTTCCATTTTTGGAACTCTATTTTTCTCGTATGTTTTGAGGGAAGCCAGGTACCCGTGTTGTTTGATCCCCTAGAGAGGCCCTTGTGACAAGCAACTGATGTCTCTGGTCAACAATCATCAAGAACTGGACGTCTGCCAACTGCTACATGAGTGAGCTTAGAAACAGATCCTCCCTCATCCAGCCTTGAGATGAGTGCAGCCCCAGCTAACCATCTTGATTGCAGCCTGTATGATAGCCTTTGAGCCAGATATGGTTTGCTAAGCCATGCCTGGATTCCACAGAAACTGTGAGATAAGTCCCTCTTCTAAGCCACTAAATTTTGGAGTAATGCACAAGTGATGTCTAGTAGATAAAAACTGAGTCAGCAATAGATAACTAATGCAACGTGTGATTCCATTTATGTGAAATTCTAGAGAAGTCAAAACTATTCTTTTGTGACGGAAAGCAGAACACTGGTTGCCCCAGGGTAGGGATGAGTATGAACTGGGGTGAAGGAAATATTTTAACCTGAATGATGGTAACATAGGCATATATGTTTGTCAAAACTCATTGAACTGTACATTTATGGCCTATGAATTTTACTATATATAAATTATTACTAAAGAAAGAAAGGTCAGGAATATTATTCTTTGGCCAACTGGCTGGGAATAGGTGTATGGATCACAATAATTGGATCAAATGGAAAAGGAAAAATACTTTTCAAAATTATCCAGTTTTACAAGATTAAGAGGCCAGAGATTTGAAAAACACATGGACCTATCCCAAGGCAACTACATCAAACAAGTCGACAAATAATTCAAAACTTCAGTTAGTCTCTAAGCAGAAGGGGTTAGAGTCCCTAGGTTGAGCCGCCTTGGAACCTTGTGATTCTTGGAACAAATCTTGCCATTTTTATAGTATTATGTTGCTGCTGAAATAATTTCATTTTTTTTGCCTTGATAATAGCTCAATACAAATATTTATTGTGAATTAAAGATCATTTCCCTCATTTGTTCAAAATTTAAACAAAGAGTCCAAGGGAGGAATAGGATAGAGGCCCTTAGAGAATCTTGGGAGAAAAAAAACATCTGGCCTACTTCTGGCCAATGGCCGTAATACAGTACTTAATTCTATGAATTGATGAGTTTGGAAAACTGCCACTGGGAAAGCCTGGCAGAGCAAGGCTCAGACCACCTTATTGTAAGAATAATTTATATGTTGTAATAAAGAATGTGGTAGAAAATAAGATATTCTTTATCTTATGTCTTAAGAACATGTGTGTGCTAATCACTTTCCAATCTCTCTGAAGAGTAAAAGCCCAACTCTCAGTGTAGCAAGTGAGAAAGGAGACGTTAAGACTGGCCAAAATTGATGTCAATTATCTTGGGACTATCACAGAAAGGCAGTTCATCATAACAGGGAAAAGATGTCATGATCATATTCATGGTGCTTGTCTGTTTGCAACTTCTTTTTTTTCCACCCATCCTAGGATATGAGGAGTGGGGGACAGGTCAAGGTCTCTAATTTCTTCTTAGATCTTTGGGACAGTGCAGCAATTTAGCACATAATTCATTATTAGAGGGCCCAGATAATAATCTGATCACTACTTAATATTGTCTTGAGCAGGAAATAAAGCAGTTCTTCTGGCAGATGTCTTTTCTCCAATATATGTATTCTGAAACTTAAAAAAATATTATTACTTCAGGGACACAGCAGGACAATTTTTGTCAGAGAGTCTCATTTGAAAAGTGAAGGATTATAGTAAGTTCGTGGCTTTCCTTGGCCATTGTCTAAACAGAACTTGGAAACAGGGAGAAATAACCAATTTTATTGAACTTGTCAAGAACGCTGCAATCTTACTAGGAGGGGGAACAAAACAACCTTTTTGATACATGCGTACACACCTGCTAGGATTATTACTAGCTACTCAGTTTTTAAATGTTCAGGCAAGACCTCTGTATTAGAGTTGTTTAGAGAAACAGAGATCTGGTATAACCCGTCATAGATGTGTGTAAGTCAAGACTAGTGCTTATCAGTTAGGGAGGGGTGTAGCTTATAACATTTGAAAGACAGATGCAGATATGAGCCTTGAAAGCAATGCAAGAAAAGAACTGGTTATTGTTGTGGGATTGCGCCTACTCAATGAACACTAAATAGCTAATTAGTAGAAAGCTACCCCTCATCTAGAGACAAAAGGCTTGGGAAACTGGGCAGGCTGAAAAGAAAAGACAAATCAAGATGAACAAATCTTGAGGTAAATAGCATTAATTAATATGTAATTATGAACAAATAAAATAATAAATGACTGTTGAGTTAAACAATTTGCTAGCCTATGGGGAGCTGGTGGCAAAAGCTGCCTCTCTGCTCCAGAGCTAGTTAATAGGCATCTAAGCTGGGGGATACACCACTTCTCCAGGCTGATGTTAAGGAATGGTCATCCTGAACTTCTGAGTAAAAAGAAGACTGATGGGGCAATGTATCAGGGAATGACTCTGGGATCAATGACACATGAGGTCTGGCAGTCAGCCCATTCACACCTGTAACCTTCACTCTTGAGCAATGCCTTTTGAACAGACAGATGCATAGAGTGAGTTCCTGGAGACATGTGAACATACAGGAGAAACTGTAGTCTCATCCAGTGGAAAGAGATTTTTCACACTAGAGGAAATCAAAGTGAAGAATTATGTGATGATTCTGAGATGAGGTGGACAAAAAGTTCACCCTGTATCAGGGCTTTGTTACATGGCTTTAGTTTAGTTGCTATAAGAAGTTATCACTCACACAATAGGGTTTTGTCTTTTGTGTGGAAATTACCATTCCTTCCAGCCAGTGGGAAGTTACTGGAAGATTGCTCCTCCCTCCTTAAAAGGACTGGTTGAAGAAGAGGATATTTGTAAAGGAGTCTGAAGATTTTAGTGGAGGAAGAGTAACCCCATTGTAAGAGATCTTGACTCATTAATTAACAAGGAGATACTGGAAGGGAACTTTTCTGAGCTTGGCACACCCTATTTGGATTAAACTATTGTAATAGTGTTACTTAGACTGGATAATGCTGAATTTGAGAAATGTACAAATGTCCGACTTTTGAATGATTGTTGCCAAGGTTATAGTGAAAGGTCACATTTCTGTGGATGGGCGTGAGCTTTCTCCTGAGAGGAAGGGATAGTCCTACTGTCAGTCATTCTGGGGAGATATGAATCCTAGGATGAGAAGTGAGGACGTGAGGAGACCCACAGCAGAACAGGGGGAAGGGGAAATGTCCTTGGAGGCCAAGGGTCATTTGGATCTAGAGTTGAGGTCCTCATTGCTGTGTGGAGTAGCATTCTCATTGGATTGAAATTAGCACCAAGTGCTAATTAGGTGCTTGCCATGGGTAAATAGGTGAGAAGGAGGCACATAGGGATTCTGGGACGGCTCTGGTAGTGGGCAGCAATGCGATATTTATAATTGACTTTTGACTTAAACCTTCTGTTATCCTCAAGGCCCCAGCAGTCTTTTGAAATGACCAAAATGTGGTGGCTGTTCTCAATAGTGCTCTGGGAAATCTGCAGAACCTCTAGTCACACTGCGGCTATTTATCCTAAATAATATTCCAAACATGCTTCTGAGTTCATGTCCCATGGCGGAACTCATTTTTGTGCCACAGGTGTAAACAAATCTTTTACTTGTTTTTAATTCAAGCTTTTTTTTTCATAAATTCCTCTGCTCTTTCTCGTAAGTTTGTCTCAAACATTGTACAGTTGTCCTGGCGGTATTTCGTAGGAGTGTTTGAGGAAACCTACAGTTGCCATGTCACCGTCCAGGTAAGCCACTGAGATGAGTAGGTGTGTTAGACTAGCACCTGTTGGTGCTGAGTTGTGCAAGGCAGCCTGGCTCGTGGGCCAGAGGTCAGGTCCCACCTCCTAAGACTAGTTAGCTCTTCCGTAGTCAGAGATTTCTCATAGGTCCAGAGTAAGAGTACTCTTCTTCATTATCTTGTTTGCTTTCTGCTGAAAATGTTGCAATTCACCTGAATTTCTGAAGTTTTGTTCTTTAGTCTAAAGTCAATTCCCATTTTTGATCCTTTGTTATTGCTGCTCTTACCCTTCAAACTAAGAACATAACAAGGGAAAATAATAAATTATTTTCCCATTTTGGCTCATTATCCTTTTAGCAGTGACTTCCAACTGACTTTGCAGTTTGAGGGATAGGGTATTAAGATAAAGACAGTTCAGAAAACTCTTTATGCTTTATGATACCTCATGATGATTTAAAATTAATTTTATAATAGAAAGCATCCAGTTCTAACTATATCTAAACTGAAGCTCATATTTGAAAAAAAATCAACAAACTATTTTAAATCATAATTTATATGGGAAAATATAAGCAAAAAATATAAGCAATTTAATTTATCCTCAAGTCATATTTATGTTGTAAAGATTCTTCTTTATATGATAAAAATGCATTGCTTTTTATTAGGACTTAGATTAATATACTCATGGTGGACAAACAGGAAATTCCAAAATCATTACTAATACTACATTCAGTTATTAATGTTCGTATTGCACCTAGAATTTTGCAATACAAGTTAAAAATATCCATAATATGTTTTCTTCGAGTTTTTCTAAAGCAGATTCCTACAACTTTTATTTTGCGGAAGCTAAAAATGGAAGCTCACAGCAATTGTCATATTAGTCAGTAGGCTTAACAATAAATATCCTCTATTACACAGCACAGTCAAAATAATCAGGGGATAGCAATTTTAGAGTTTTAGTCTTTCAAAGGACAGTCCTAACCAGGCCAGACTCTCATAAATCTGAAGATAGAGTTGAAATCATAGAAAAACTAAGAATAGTTAGAATAAAGACAAACACTTCAAAGTCTTTCATTCCCTAGGTATTAAAGAAAGCCATATTACAGCACAAATGGGTTCATATGTGCAAACTCACCAAAAGTGACAATTTTGTAACAGTAGTTACTAACCCTTTTCACACATTGAATGGATGGTTCTCCATTTCTGTCAGGATGAAATTAAATTCCTCAGCATGGTTTGTCATGAACCATCTTTCTAACCGAATTCCCAGCCATTGCATGTAACCATTCTGAACCAACCCCTTTCTGCTTTCTTACCCTGGGGCACTCTCACAAGGCTCTCCAGAGCTTCTCATGTCCTGTTGATGTTGTGTTATCTTGAAGCATTCTCCTACCCTTTCCCTTTTCTTTGCTGGGCTTATCGCAACATTTTGCTTCTTCAAAGCTTTCTTCAGCTAAGTTAGATCCTCTCCTCTAAAATGCCTTAACACCTCAACCCTTCACTCTAACAGTGAATTCAAAGTGGTGAGGGAGGGAGATTGGTGCTAGCCATCTCCTTTACTCATCTAAGTTCAAGAAAACCATTCTACTTGAGTTTCTGAGGGCTGGGGGGCTGGAAGTGACTTTGAGAAGCTTTCTCTGAGGTCATGCTGGAGGCACGTGGAGGATGGGAGGTGAAAACCCTGGAGTGGAGAGAAGTTTGGAGAACTTTCTCTGAGACTGGAAGAGCTCTTACATACAGAGACCTCCACTGACGGGTGCCTGGGAGATTCACACTGGGAAGCTCAACTTAGAGTGTCTGAGCCCTTAAAGCTGAGCCTCATGAGTTTCAGGGAAGCCCCAGACTTCAGGGAATACATGGCTTAGACGACGAGGAGTCTATTAGACTTGAGCCAGAGTGAGATGAATGAAGGTCATAACACCCTTTCATGATTAATTGGCTGTCTGAAATTCCCGACCTTGCAACTTTTGAATGGACTTCGAGGAGTAGCATCTCATGTCTGAGAGGGATTTCCTCCTGAATCCAGTAGATGGGAACTCGGGGAACTTAAAATTCAGTTTAGGGAGAAATAAGAGGATGTCCCCCTGGTGTTACAAACGACATCTCTATTAAAAAGTGTAGCCTACTGGGCTAGGAATGATTGTCTTTCGTCCCTTTCTGACTTTGAATTATTTCCGACAGGAACTAGATTTTCTGCATTTCCTTTCTTCCATGCCCTCACACAAAGCTTGGCCGACTTCGGGCCCTGATAAATAGTCGTTGCATGATGTAGAATCTGTAAGCCTCGTTTTAGAAGGTTTTGTGTGGTAGATATTCCTTTGACCACCTGAAAAATTTCATTTTGGTACCAGTAAGTAGTAAACCAATAATTCACATCTAAGAACAAAGTCGTTTTTAGAAGGTTCATATGAGTCCCCCAAACTGACAGTTAATAGAGCGCTGAGTGTAATCACTCATATTTTGGGTGCGTAAAAATGGTTAGATTAGAATTTCTTAAATTTGGTTTTAATTTCTGACATGCCAAAAACTGTTTATCATGCCATCTGGGATAAATTCCTTCTGTCGTGTATTTTGTCATGTTAGTCAAATCCGGAGAGAATACAGTACATGTATTTTGCTTTAATCTGAAAACATTGGCAGAATTTGTTCAGACGTCGAAGGGGAGATCCGCTGATCCAATGACAAGGGTGTTCCTGGCATCCAGCAGAGCCCGTGTCGAGGCAGGGATCCCTGCGGGCGGATTGGGGTTCTGCATTGAGATGCACCGCGCAGCGCCGGCGATGGGGCCGCCCTGGGACGATCTGGGCTGCCAGGGCCTCTCTGCGGGCCGGGCGGGGCGGCAGCGCCGCGGGGCAGCCGAGGGGCGTGGGAGAACTGGCAGAGGGTGCGCCAGAGACCGCTTTCCCGAGCGCGAACGCCCGGGTGGCTGCTGGGGAGCAGAGGGGCAGGCTCGGGCAGCTCCTCAGCCGCGCCGGCGATGATAAAACTTGAGAAATAACAAGGAGTGGCCTCTCCGCGTCCTCTGGGTCCAATCCGGTTTCAGAAGTGAAGTTGCTCCCGGGCAGGCAAGCCTGAGAGAGGCCAAATACACTTAAAAACAAGCAGCGGCGAGAAAAGCACCTCCCGCGCCCTGCACCTCGGCAGGTCTCGCTCTCGGCACCCTCCCGGCGCCCGCGTTCTCCTGGCCCTGCCCGGCATCCCGATGGCCGCCGCTGGGCCCCGGCGCTCCGTGCGCGGAGCCGTCTGCCTGCATCTGCTGCTGACCCTCGTGGTAAGCCAGATCTCGCCGGATAGGGCTGGGGTGGGGACGGGGGTGGATCCGCCCTGGACGCTGCACGGAGCTGGGGACAAAGCGGGCCGAAACGTGACAACCGCGGCTCAGATCAATGCTGCGGGTCTGGTAGCAGCCCCAAGTTCGGGCCTGCAGGAGTGAGGAGAGAAAACGTGTGTTTGCGGGTCGACTCTGGACTGAGCTTTTTGTTTTGAGACAAGGTGTTCGATTGTTGGAATTCTGAGTCGCGCTCAGGCTTCGCTGCGCTCTGGCGGGCGCCGTCGCGGGTTGGGCAGGGGGTTGGGATTCACGCTTCTCCCCAGGTGGTGGAGCTGGTGGTGATGGTGGTTGGAGGGCGCCTTTGGGTGGAGAGGATCCCTGAGAGCTCAAAGCACAGACTTGAAAAGGGATTTAGGGGCTGCCCCCTCCCCAGCTCTGGGTCGCAGTTGACCCGGATTGGTTCGTTAGTGAGTGGAGCCGGGGCTGTGTCCCTGGGTCCCTTGGTGGGGCTGCCCCTGAGAAGTGGGTTTCTCGGTATCTCCCCTAAAGGGTATTCAGAAGCTCACCCAAGCGGTCCACCCCCGCCAGCCACCCAGCTGGGGGCGGGATGTGCCGGGGGCGCGAAAGTGTGGGAAGACCGGGCCAGAATGGGGGTTGGGGTCGTGTTGTGTTTTGGGGATGCTGCCGAGGTGTGGAGGCGGGTAGAGGGTGACAGTGGTGGGGGATGATGGATGCGGTGGGGTTGCGTCGTACTTACTCCGGCTCCGGGGAGGACTGCGCGGCCGGAGCACAGCCTGGGGTTTCGAGTCTACGGAAACCTGCCGCCCAGGACGAAATCCTCTAGGAGAGGAAGTTAGAGACGATGCTCTGAGAACACGGGAGACTTGAAGTGTTCGGAACTCTGGCGGCGCGGTTACACGCGAAGCTTCAGGCTTCAACAGAGTTTCATTCCGCACGCCCAGAAAGGAGCCGCGGACCCGCGACTTACCCGCATCCATGGATGCGCATGGGGTCCGATGGGAGCGAGGTCTATACCCGCGTCGGCAGTGAGCCGAGTCTGGTCTCGCGGATTCTTACTGCTTCCTGGCCCTCCACCCTGGCAAGTGGGAGTGGGTCCAAGGGTTGTCCTCCCTTAAGGTCAGCGAGGTATGAATATGGGATTGGTAGTTATGATCTACGATATGTTTATGGAGAAGGAATTGGACAAATAAGCGCATCCATTTGCCCGGGAACTGTTCCAACAAAGTATCTGAGCTTATGAAGTGACTACAAATGGAAACGGCTTAGAGAATGTGTTCTTTTGTAATATATTTAAAAGCATTTTCAGCTTTTCAGTTTACAAGCATGCATTTGGGGTTTTGTGTTTCCTTTGCGAAGGGATTGAGGATGGGGAACGAAACTACGGGTGCTGCTCTCAGAATTTCTCGCATTCGCTCGAGGCTCCCAGAGGCCATGGAAGACCAGGAGCTTTCCCGGCAAGGCATGGGTGGGGGTGTCGAGCTGTGGCAAGGAAGAAGGTGCGCGTAAATCTAAACGGAGGAAGCTTCAGCTTTGATCTAGCACATACTCGTTTAAGATTTTTTTTTTTTAAAATAATTCCGTTGAGTTTAGGTTAAATGCTGTATCTGGAGACTTAAATACCGGAAAGTGCACAGAAAATGACTATTTCATCTGCAATTGTCAGTTTACAAACACTTGCAATTTCGGACCGGATGGGTAAATTAACACTTCTCTTGACCATCTCATGTATGTATTTCCTTCCTTTTGACTCATACGACTCTCAACTTTTCAATATAATATTAATGACACGGCATTTTAGAAACATTTTTCATTTTATAGAGACTTTAATGGATATCTTTAAACCATTACTTATCTTTAAAACATTGTTTGTTCTAAGGAGACAGCTTTTCAAAGCAAGTCTTTAACAAGAATCTGAGACTTGTTAAATTTTAGTCTTCCCAGTAAGCAGCCCAACAGGTTGAGGGAATTTTCCCATTCTGCATTTTTCCTGTATCTCCTTCCCACCGTGTGCCCCACCACACTCTGAAGTGTAAATACAGTTTCTAATAATCACACGCACAAAGAAAAAAATGACAGGGAGATACTAAAAAAAGAAGTATATCAGAGCATCTCACTCACTATTGTAAGTTTTTGATTGCCTCAGAAAGTGTTTTTTCCTCTTAATGTAACCAGAATTGTTAGGGATGGTGGAAACTAATTTACATGAGATCAGTTGTCTTCTGCCTGTTACAAATAATAAGATTCTTTTAAAAATATGTGTTAATACTGTTATCAAATCCACTTTAAGATTATGTTATCTAGTATACATTATAAATGGCACATACTTGGACACGGCTAATCCATCATTTTGTTAAAAGGGCTCCTCTTCTAAAGGAACTAAAATAGTTGAAACGTTTGCAATAACTCCCCTCAAATCTGTACTTTTCCTCTTTGGAGTATATGAACTCTGCCTGCAACCTATGTTGATAAATAGGCATCCAAATTTTTATATTTGTTAGGGTTAATGTGAATAATGTGAGTCCTTACCAGAAAAACTTGTGATGTTTTTGCTCTTGGTAATATTTGATATATTCATCATTTTAAATTAAAAGGGAGTATAGTAATTTCTAAAGGCTTTTACATTTGTGACAAGAAGATTAAGGCAAATAAAGGAAGTAGATGAAAACTAGTTTTAAAACTGCAAGCTTAAAAAAGTCAAAATTATAGTATACGTATATTTAGATTGATGCATTATCAGCTACCTTATTAAAAGGAGATTGTTGATGTTCCTGTTGAGATACAGCTAGATACGGAAGCACGTTCTGAATAAATAAATGTAAGCTCATGCACATTTTTGGATCCTGTTGTAATTCCCATGGCAGTCCTGTACCATATATGGTATCTGTGGTGACCTGTAGTTAATCATACTTTCCGCTGAAAGTATGATAGCTGGAATTCCCATCTTACAATGAGTTTGGGTGGAAACAAATTTATTAGACTCATTTAAGTACTGAGAATGTAGAGCAGTAAATCTTGCAATTTACCTTTGAAGTGGTAAGAATTTGAAAGGTAATATTTCCATTCTGCAGAAGACTTATGGCCACAGGAGAAATGAAGAGTTTAAAATTCTGTAATTATTGTGTTTAATCCAGAAGATCCTCTTCACATTTAAGACATTCCATAAATTTCCATTCTTTTTCTTCTCTACTGAAGTAGGGTGTCATTTTAGAAAGCCTACTTTGTGTATTTACTATAAAATTAAACAACAGCATGAAAGTGAAACAACTGCAGATAACACCTTTAATTTTCGTTCTCTCTTTGGCATTAAATTTTTCCATCAGGATTTAATGATTCGTCTGATAAGGTTTCTATCATGCAATTAATACAATTTGCTTAGTACTATAAAATGCAACAAAACTATTTTGCTTAGGCTGCAGTAGGTAATACTTTATATTATCATCTTTAAAGTTTGTTATATTTTAATTTAAAATATGGGCATTCTTGTATACAGAAGTTATTTTTATTATAAAATATCTTTAAAGGTCATTAGTTCATCATTAATATACTAGTGTCTTTACATTTTTTACTTTATTTTGTTTTCAATAAGGCATCCAAACCTCACAAAAACATAATATCAAATGACTTCATAGTTTCAAGAAACATACTATAACTGAAGTCTATTGAATATTATCCCTTTCAAAAGTTGTATTAATGAATTAACTGTACATTCTTTCTAATAATATCCTATGCAGCAAAGAAAATGAATGAGCTACTGCTATATAGTTAGGAACTTTGAAAATATTAGTAATGTTCCATTTCTTAACCTTGAACGTGAATACCCTAATGTTCATTTTATTATTTATTAAAACACACACATGCTATATGTAATCTTTGGTATTTATAATATATTTTATGAAGAACATTTTTTAAAAAGGAAAGAAATGAGCAATAGAGGGTATCAACTAAACTAAACCTCTTGAGTATAGACAAACCCTACTCTGAGCAAGTCAAAAATAGAAAAGGCATACATAAAACAATATTAGGAATGAAAAGGAAGTATAGTTTTGGAGAGAACAGATGTTAAAAAGTAAAATAACATGAATAGATAATTCCAATTAACTTGAAAATACAGACAAAACAGACAACTTCTTACAAAATACACATAACCAACATTGACTTGAGGAGGTATACAAAATCTAAATAGACCTGTAACCATTAAATAAATTGAATTAGAAGTTAGAGAGCTCCACACACACTTCTTTAGATCCACCAGGCCCAGGTTTGTGATAAGTTATTTCTTTCAGAATTATATGGAACAATGTACTTTATGTAAATTGTTTCAAAGAACAAAAAAATACAGAACTCTTCTTAACTCATTTTATGAGGATCGTATGAAGTTGAAAAATAGTAGCCTGATCTCACTTACAGACAAATATGTGAAATGAGATAAATTGAAAACAAACCAATATATTTGTAAGATATAAATATTTTATGTTCTTGTAAGGCTTATCAGGAAAGGAAACATGGGTTCACATAAGAACATCTATTATTGTATTTTAACATAGTATCAACAGAGAAAATGTATCAACAGAGAAAAACTGATTATTTCAAGAAAGTGGAAACATTTCATTTCAAAAGAATTCATAGAATTCATAGCACACTAAGAATGTAGAGAATGAACTTTTTTTTTTTTTGAGATGGAGTTTTGCTCTGTTCCCCAGGCTGGAGTGCAGGCTGGAGGTTGGCTCACTGCAACCTCCGCCTCCCAGATTCAAGTGATTCTCCTGCCTCAGCTTCCTGAGTAGCTGGGATTACAGGCTTGTGCCACCACAGCCGGCTAATTTTTGTATTTTTAGTAGAGACGAGGTTTCACCATGTTGGTCCGGCATGTCTCGAACTCCTGACCTCATGATCCGCCTGCCTCGGCCTCCCAGAGTGCTGGGATTACAGGCATGAGCCACTGCGCCTGGCCAAGAATGAACTTTCTTAATGTAATGAAACATATCTAACAAAAATGAATGAATGAATGAATGTTACAAGGAAAAAAGAAAAAGACTCATAATTAATGGCAAAACTGTAAAAATATTCTCTTTAAGTTAGAAACAAATCCATAATGGTCAGTACAGGTGTTTCTGTTCAGCATTCCAGAAGAGGTCCTAACAAGCATATCAGATAAAAATTAGCAATAATGAAAGACTTGTAGGATTAAAAGAAAAGAAACCTAGTTGTCATTTTGCCAGCGACAGGATTAACTACATAGAAAATCCAACACTATCTATTAACAGATACTAGAACTAATAAAAGTAAGCAAGTTTCATGGATATAAGCTTAATATTTTTAAATGATTTCTATATATTATCAAGGGACAACTCAAAAATATGTTAAGAAGAATCCCATTCATTACAGCAACAAATCAATGTATCTAAGATAAATGTAACAAAAAATGTGAAAGACCTTTTTAGCAAAAATTGCAAAGCTTTATTGAAAAACAAACATAATTCGGCCGAGTGCGGTGGCTCACGCCTGTAATCCCAGCACTTTGGGAGGCTGAGGCAGACAGATCACGAGGTCAGGAGTTCAAGACCAGCCTGTCCAACATGGTGAAACCCCATCTCTACTAAAAATACAAAAATTAGCTGGGGGTGGTGGCAGGCGCCTGTAATCCCAGCTACTCAGGAGGCTGAGGCAGGAGAATTGCTTGAACCTAGGAGGCAGATGTTTCAGTGAGCTGAGATCGCACCACTGCACTCCAGCCTGGGCCACAGAGCAAGATTCCATCTCAAAAAAAAAAAAGGAAGAAAGAAAGCAAAAAGGAAATATAATTCATAAGTAAGTGAGAATGAATCATGTTCATGGATGGAAAGTCTCAAGAGCCCTAAATGTCAAATCCTCTTTAAATTAATATTTAAAGGAAATGGAATTTCATCAACATCCTAAAATAAATTTTTACAGAACTTGGGGAACTGATCATAAAATTGTTTTGAGAGTCAAAGTCTAAAAAGAGCAAAAATACTACTTTAAAAAAAAAGATTGAGCAATGGGGAACTTTGAGGTTTTTGAGTATCTGGTATACAGAAAATTTTAATAAAGATGTGTCAAATGAAAAAAACAAAATTGAAGCACTCTGTTTATCAGAAGATTTCATAATAAAAGTTAAAAAGCAAACTAAGTAAACCTACAAGAAAAAAATTTAACAAGCACAAACAATAGATAAGTGATTAAAGGAGGAAGAATAGATGATTTACAGAAGATAAATGGCAAATAAACACAAGAAAATACAGTCAATCTCACAACAAATAAATAAAATGCAAATTAAAACAGCCATTAGGTTGGCAACATGGAAAAAGTCATAAAATTATTTGTAAGGGAGGATATGGGAAATAGAGAGATTTAATATGCTAGGGGCATTAATAGAAATTGATATTAGTACTTTGTAGAGCAACTTGGCAATAGCTAATAAAATTGAAGTTGTTCATGTATGGCACAGTAATTTCCGCTTTAGGCACAGCTGTTCATATAGTGTCATTTGTAATAGAAGAAATGAAAAGCAATCTAAATAACCATCAATAGGAGAATGACTAAAAATAAACTGTGGTACATTTATGGAAAAATCTCAAACATACTGTTGGATGAAAAAAGCAAACTGCAAAAGGATGCATATAAACAGATACTACCCAAAACCAGCTTATATTTTATGGGCACAAGCATATACTATATAATGAAAGTATAAAATCCTACTGAGGAAGTATAAATTCTAACTTCTGAAAACTCTATTCCCTGGAGAAGAGTTGGAAATATAATAGAGCATAAGACTTTAGCTACGTGTGTAAATTTTAATTAAAAAATAGAACAAAAATTGCAAAATGTTCATTTTTTTTAAAGATCTAGATGGGCACTGAGCATTTATGATTTAATTGATTTAAATATTTCACAGTTAACTGAGATATTTTGAAAAGAGATGTGAGTAAATATATATTGGGCATAGCTTTTTTTTGGGGATTCAAAAATAACAACTACAGAGTTATGATATATTTCAACCAATGGGTGGTTTGTTGAAGGAAACCATTTTTCATCCCAAGGTGACAACTATATACTTAAGGAAAATATTAAATTAAGCATATGTATGATATGTTTTTTTTAAAGGGCAAATGACTTATTACTTCATTGTCCCAGTTTGCAATCTGGTTATTATTTTCTGAAAATGATTTCTTGGCTTATTATATCTAAATTAAACAGCATTGTTACATGTTGGCCCTATTTGTCCATATTTTTGTGATATTTTTGTTTATTCTGACTAATTTAAGTGAGGGTAAGGTGGATCTTTGAGAAGTACGATAATTTTAGATCACATATTAGAATAATTGTGATAATGTATATATTTGTATATACATATATTTACAGTTATGTTACCGTGAGTTAAAGTATTTTAATTTTGTGCAGAAATCTGTTTCATATTTGATTATATCAGAAATAAAATACTTCTTTGTGGTTATTATGCCACTTTATTGTGCTGAAATTACTTCTGTGAATTTATAAATTTGACAAGGCCTTTCACTGCCAATTTCTAGAAGTGATTGTGGAAAGTCATTTTTTTGATCAATGACAGTGTCCTTTTTTGTTTTAAACTGCATTATTGAGATATAATTTACATTCCATAAAATTCACCTTTGTTAAGTGCACAATTCAGTGAATTGTAGTAAATTTGAAGAATGTGCAATAATCTAATTTTAGAAGTTTTTCATCACCTTAAAAATAAGCCTCATACCCATTTACAACCACTTCCCATGGAAATTTACTTTGTTCCTGTATATTTACCTATTGTGGACATTTTATGTAAACGAAATCGTACAGTATGTGTTGTTTTGTATCTAGTTTCTTTCACCGAGTATGTTTTATAGGTTTATCCTTGTTGTAGCATGCATAGAACTTAATAAAGTACTTTTTAGAGCTGAATAACATTTCGTTGTATGGATTGTTTTCACTTTTTGCCTATTGTGAATAATGGTATGTACTGTGAATATTCATGACAAGTTTTTGTGTGGACTTAGGTTTTTATGTCTTTTAGGAAGAGTGGACTTGCTGGATCATATAGGTTTACGTTTAACTTTTTGAGAAACTGCAAAACTGTTTTCCAAAGTATCTGCACCACTTTACATTTCCTCCAGCAAAGTGTAGGGGTTTCAGTTTCTCGACATCCTCACCAATACTTGTTATTTTCTGTCTTATTTATTTTAGTTATCCTAGCAAATAGGTATTGCATTGTGGTTTAGATTACCATTTCCCTAAAACCTAATGATGTTGGGCATCTTTTCATCTACTTTTTGGCCATTTTAATATCTTTTTTTGGGATAATACCTATTCTGATCCTCTGCCCGTTTTTCTGTGTTATTTATCTTTTTATTATTGAGTTGCAGGAATTCTTTAAATATTTTCGATACAAGTCCTTTATTCGTTTGAATTTTCTTCAGGCCGGGCGCGGTGGCTCACGCCTGTAATCCCAGCACTTTGGGAGGCCGAGGCGGGCGGATCACGAGGTCAGGAGATCGAGACAATCCTGGCGAACACGGTGAAACCTCGTCTCCACTACAAAATACAAAAAAATTAGCCGATCGTGGTAGCGGGCACCTGTAGTCCCAGCTACTCCGGAGGCTGAGGCAGGAGAATGGCGTGAACCTGGGAGGCGGAGCTTGCAGGGAGCCTAGATCGTGCCACTGCACTCCAGACTGGGCGACAGAGCGAGACTCTGTCTCAAAACAAAACAAAACAAAACTATTCTATGAGTTGTTGTATTTTTCACTTTTGTAAAGAAAGTGGCATTTTTGTGGAGAGCAGAAGTTTTTACTTTGAATAAGCATTATTTAAGAACTTTTCTTTATCACTGTATTTTTGGTGTTGTACATAATAAATCATTTCCTAACCCAACATCATAAAGATTTGCTCTCAAGTTTACCTCTAAATAATTTATTTCTTACATTTATGTCTGTGGTTCATTTTGAGTTAATTTTTGTGTATGGTTTGAGGTAGGCGTTCAAATTCACTTTTTTTTCAGGAAGATATCAAATTATCCCAACACCATTTGTTGAAAAGACTATTTATTTCTCTTGAAATGTCTGGAAGCTAATCATAAATGTAAGGCCTTATTTCTGGGATTTAAGTTCTACTCCATTCATCTATATATTTATTCTATTGCCAGCACCACTCTGTTTTGATTATTGTAGCTTTGTAGTAAGTTTTGAAATTGGTAAATAGGTCTTTCAGTTTTTTTTCATTTTCAATTTTATTTGGGTAACTTGTATTTCTAGAAAGATTAATTTTCAATTTCTTCAAAAAAAGTTATCTGGGATTTTTATACAGATTGTATTGAATCTGTAAATTAATTTGGGGAATAGCCATGAAGATGGGCTATCTCTCTATTTATCTAGGTCTTTAAAAATTTCCTTCAGCAATGTTTTATGGTTTTCAGTGTATAATATTATACTTATTTGATTACATTTATTCCTAAGTATTTTATTCTTCTTTATATGCTACAAATCAATTTTTTTGCTTAGTTTTCAAATTTTTCAATGCTAGTGTACAGAAATGCAGTCACATGTTCATCTTGTATCCTGTAGCCTTACTGAACTCATTTATTTAGACAGTTTTTTAGTGGATTCCTAGGATTTTCTGTCTACAAATTTATGTCATCTGTGTATAGAAACAATTTTACCTTTTCCTTTCCAATTTGGATGCCTTTGATTTTATTTTCTTGTGTAATTTTCCTGGCTAGAAGCTCCAGTATAATGTTAAATAGAAGCATGGTGAAACCCCATCCCTACTAAAAATATAAAAATTAGCTGATCATGGTGGCGGGCGCCTGTAATCCCAGCTACTTGGGAGGCTGAGGCAGGAGAATTGCTTGAAGCTGGGAGGTGGAGGGTGCAGTGAGCCAAGATCACGCCATTGCACTCCAGCCTGGGCCATAGAGTGAGACTCAGTCACACACGCACACGCACACGCACACGCACACACACACACACACACACACACACACACACACATACACACAGAAGCAGTTAGAGCAGAGCAGACATCATTGTCTTGTTCCTGATGTTAGAAGAAATGATTCTGTTTTTCTCCTTTAAATATGAAGTTAGTTGTTGTTTTTCATAAATGAACTTTACCATATTGAGCAAATTCCTTTCTATTCCTAGTTTGCTGGGGTTTATTGTAAATGGGTGTTGGACTTTGTCAGTTGCTTGTTTTACATCTATTGATATGATTATGTTTTTTTTAATCTTTATTTTCTACTGTATTAATGTGACCTTTTAAATTCTAGATCTTCAGTCGTGCTGGTGAAGCCTGCAAAAAGGTGATACTTAATGTACCTTCTAAACTAGAGGCAGACAAAATAATTGGCAGAGGTGAGAAATTTTAAAAGTCTTTTTAAAGCAGAAATTTAGTTTACATAGGCTGGAAAGAGCATGATATAATACCTTTGCCTTTTGGAGTTAGCCTGAATCTACTAAAAAGGGATGTTCCTCCAGGGAGTAAACCAGAAGTTATCATTCTGTTAAAAATGTGAAGAGAGAAATATGTCATCAGCCCTGAAGATGTTTATTTATTTATTTATTTTTGCTAAATATTTCCACCTGGGACAGATTTGAATTAAAGTGAAAACACGACTCATGGACAGCAAATGAACCCTTTGAGAGGTCTTTTCTTAACTGAGTAGTAATTTATCCATTTGCCTTATGTTAAGACAAATAGTTGAAGAATGGCATGGATGACAGGTACATTTTGATATTTATATGCATTTTATTACCTGTTACTAGAGGCCAGAAATCCCAGGGAAGAAAGACTCCATGTAGAGTTTCAGTGTGCGGCCTTGGAAAGCTTGGAACACACAGAGTATTTTGGGCCTCCAGGGAAAATTGTGTACAGAAAAGTGCCAGTGGGAAGAAAATTTCGGAGATTGGATTTTTCTAACATGACTCTTTACCAAACTCATACACTCCATTGCTCTTTGGCTCATGGCTTCTCACTGAATATAGGTGTATCTTAAACACTCAGATTGTATTGTTAGGGAAACTCTTCTATATGTTTATTCAGGTGTGTTGGGGGCATGTTGCTCAGTTTTGTCATGATTATAACATGCCCACATCTTTAATTGGAAGGTCATTTTCATAAGTCTATTAGAAGCATATAAAGGTTTAAAACACCTTATTTAATAGAAATATACACTCAATAATTATTTGTTAACTGAAAGAAAATGATCATTTTTTAAGTAATGTAAAAAACAGGTTAAGATATCTGGTAAATGCAAAGTGATTGGCTTATTTCATCCCACTTCATGGTTTTTAAGAATATTATATAAATTATTTTAACACGTTTTTTTTTCTCATGTGTTTTTACCTTACAACTTGGAAATTTTTACTTGCAGTTAATTTGGAAGAGTGCTTCAGGTCTGCAGACCTCATCCGGTCAAGTGATCCTGATTTCAGAGTTCTAAATGATGGGTCAGTGTACACAGCCAGGGCTGTTGCGCTGTCTGATAAGAAAAGATCATTTACCATATGGCTTTCTGACAAAAGGAAACAGACACAGAAAGAGGTTACTGTGCTGCTAGAACATCAGAAGAAGGTATTTAAAGTACATTAAATATTTTCAGTCATTTTTTCATTAAAATACTCTTATTAAAAATTGCAAAGAGAAACAAGGATAAATAGGGTATTTTCCCCTTTTGTTTTCATTTTGTTTCCTTTCCTTTCACTTCGTTTCCATTTTCTTACCCTTTTCCTTCCCCTCCATTTTCTTACCCTGTCCTTTTCATTCCTTCCCTTTTCCTTCTCCTTTCCTTCCCCTTCCTTTTCCCCTTCCTTTTCTTCCCTCCCTGTCACCTTCCCTCTCTCCCTTTTTCTATCCTTCTCTCTACCTCTCACTCTATTTTTGTCTCTCCCTCTCTCTCTTTCTTAACACTTGTTGAACTCTGGTTTTGGTTTTACTTTATTAAATCTGAATTATTTCTCCTCTGTGAGGGCTTCTTCCACCTCTACATTCTAACTATTGTCTTTTGTGCACTGGTGTCAGTTTGGTTATCCCTCTATTATAGAACTCAGAATTTTTTTACTGCAAAACCTTTACAGTGAGGAATGCCATTATGAAAGTAGTCACAAAATGATGAAAGGTTTAGACTGGATTACATCTAATCTGTGTTAACTGTATCAATAATAAAGCTAATTTAAGTTACAGCTTAGCACTTTGCTAAATGTTTAATGCAATTATTAATTAATTCTTATGAAATAAAATGTCTCCCTTGCTGCATCATGAAATGAGATGGACATCACTAAAAAGTCTAATAGAACTTTTTCCCATGATAGAGATGGCACTATCTGCACTGTTTGATATGACAGCTCAATATTAATGGCTACTCTGCACTTGGCATGTGGCTAGTGCAACCAAAGGATAGAGCTTCTTATGTTATTTAGTGTCAGTTAATTTAAATTTAAATAATCACATGACTTATGGTGGCCAAGGGCTACCATATCAGACTGTGTAAATAGAGCACTATGGCAGTGAAGGACATACATTTTCTTTCTCTGACCTAAGGGCATGAGCTTTTAACTAAAAGAACAAGTAAGTGCTATCTGGAGATTGTTGTAGACAGAATATGTTCTATGTCTCCATTTGGGACAAAGCAAGAAGAACTAAGAATATAGTGGTGATTTTCCTAACATGAAAGTATAGTCAGTGTTAGAATGGTATACAAAAAGAAATTCTCTGTTTCTTGAAACCTTTAAAATCTGGATATGTTCTTTCTTACCCTTCTAATGCAGAAAGACTTTATTAACTGGTTTAGCTCCAGCATGGAAATGCCTGACACTGAAACTCCAAAGAAGGATTAGGTTTATGAGCTGTCCACTATTTTACACAAAGTAGACTGTGATGCTTTTGTTTATTCATGTATTTGTTTTTCTCTAAATTCAGGTATCGAAGACAAGACACACTAGAGAAACTGTTCTCAGGCGTGCCAAGAGGAGATGGGCACCTATTCCTTGCTCTATGCAAGAGAATTCCTTGGGCCCTTTCCCATTGTTTCTTCAACAAGTAGGTTTACACCTTTTCTGGTCAGGGTTGCTTTAATTCTAAGAGTCTGTTTCATTGAGATTTAATACCTCTTTAAACATATAAAAATAAACAGATCTGATTAAAGATGTTCATGAGGTGTAACAAAAGTAAAATGAGAAAGAAAATTACTAAAAACCTAATAATATGAGAAAGGCCCTAAAGCCATTGAATGATCTTTATTTGTTTATTCATTTATTTAGCAGGGAGTTACTGAGCACTTAACTATATCCTGCGGGAGGTACTGCTCTAAGTACTAAAGATATAAGTAAATTTAGTCATGGCCCTTGCTCTCATGTGGGTTATTGGCCTCGTGAAGGAGACAGAAGTAGGATAATAATTACAATTTTCAGTGATGAGTGCTATGATTCTAGTATAGAGATGTTGGGTGATTTGGTAACAAATGAGATGAACATTAAACCCTGAGGTAAGGTGGTAAAAAGCAAGAGAAGGCTTAGAGAAGGAGACATCTGAGTAGAGTCCTGAAGAATGGAAAATTTTTCTGCAGGTAAATAATTGCAGAAGAAGAGGAAAGTACAGAAGTGAGAGCTCCTTAGAGGAGCTCTGGGTGGCTTAGTCTTCCAAGGTTTGATGGAATGGAGCAGGGAGATGAGGCTGAAGAGGGAGGTAGGGGTCAAACCACTATGGACTATGTGCATTCTACTAGTAAGTTTAACTTTATCTTAATAATAAGGAGAAATTCTTAAGCAGATTACTGACATGATCAGGTTTAGTTTTCTCATTAAGGTAATAGAACATGCACAATTGAAACCATTACTGAAGTAGGGCTATGGCCTTTTGCTTGCCTTTTTCCCCTTAAATTTCTAATAGTGTGCTTGATATTTAATACTAATGGTGTAACCTGTGTACTAATTGTTTCAGTTTTTAACTATCCTTCCACAGTCATTCACATTTATTTTTTATTCTACCCTAGTGCTAGACATTTGTTTATTCTCCATGAATATTATAACTTTATTTGTTTATTCTCCATGAATATTATAACTTGAACACTGATGAAGCATATTAAGAAATGATTTCTAATTGCCAAAGCTGTACCAATCATAGCTAGTTTTAGCCTTTGCTTTGCAAAACCAGTCACCATCTTAGTCCTCATTTCCTTGACATATTTACATTTGACATAGCTCACCTTTCCCTCCTTTTTGAAGTATTTGTTCATTTGGCTCCTAGGACACCATTCGTCTAGTTTTCCACTTACTTCATTGATCACTCCTTCGTATGTTTGGCTGGATCTTCCTCATCCATCCCCCTAGCCTCCTGTCCCAGTCTCTAAACTTCGGAGAGCTCCAGGGCTCAGTCAATGAATCTTACCTCTTGTTTCTTGATATTTACTCTCTCAGTGATCTCATCAGATCTCATAACTCTAAATACTATTTTTTTCATGAATACTTAAAACTTTGTATTTCCAGCCCAAACTATCTAATTGATATTAACACTTGGAAGTTTAATAGGGTTTCAAACTAAACTTATGGAAATAAAATGCTTGTTATTTCTCTTAAAAACAGCCTCCCATCTCAATTAGCAGGGATTAGAGTTCAATCATTCTGACTCTCTGGGCATTGGAGTGTGTTTCATAAGGTTTAAGCTGCAGAAAACATAGTTCTCTCTAAGTTCTTAACAGATAAGGATTTATTACCATTTATTAAAGAGTTTTCAGAATTGTCCGTAGGGCTGAAGAAACAAATTTTAGGTTGAACTTTCAGAAACAAATCCTCAAGCTAGCTATACCACAGTATCTACAACCAAGGGACATATTGCTTTCTCCATAATAGAGAAGACATTATTCTGAGAACCAAAGTGCCACTGGCACAGTCAGGAAAACACCATAGCCATGTTCCTCCTCATGAAACTTCAGAACAGTCTCTGAACTGCACCAACCAGCATCAGAGAAAAGATTGATCTGTATCTTATTTTGTAACACAAAGTTGGCGAATATCTAGTAGTACATATGCTATTGCAGAAAAGGAAGGAAAGAAGGAAGGAAGGAAGGAAGGAAGGAAGGAAGGAAACCAATGCATCTGAACTGAGCTGTCAGAAAAAATAGCAGAAGTAGCAAAAATGAGACACCTGCCTACCTCAAAGAAAGAAAGAAACATAAACTGTGATGCCAGCAAAAATAACAGAAGCAGCAAAAATGAGACACCTGCCTACCTCACTTTTGGCATTCCAATCTTGTTCAAGCACGTCTGACCGTCCATGTTTAAATCCAGAACTCTGGTTTCAAGAGATTCTGCAAAATTTGGAGGTTTTGGTTTATTTTCGTTTGAATATTTCTATCATCTACATTATGAGAGGACACTGTAGAAGGAAAATGAAACAGATATTGAGCTTCAATTTAGCCTATATGTCTATTCTTCTCATAGTTAAACTTTTGATTTCTGTATTATTATACATTATTGGAATAGGTGCATTTTATTGAGATCCCAATTACTAGTGGCTTAAACAAGACAGAGGTTTATTCCTTTCTTGTAAAAGTGTGATCTGGTAAAAAGGTTCTAATCTGAAAAAACACCAAGGACCCAGGTTTCTTTATTTTTTAGCATGGCTGTCTCTGCAGGTTCCAGATGGCTCACCTCTGTGTCCAACAGGGAGAAGACACTCTCTCACCTTCTAGAGCACAACTGGATTTTGCACATATCATTTTTGTTCACATTCCCTTGTCCTGACCTTAGCATGTGGCTCTAACTAATTGCAAGGGTGACTGAGAAATCCTTTCTTCTGGACAACCTTGTGATCACTACAAATTCTAATACTAAGGAAGATGGGCAGAATAGATATTAAGAGATACTAGCACCCTCTGACATAGTGTCCTTGACTTCCATCTTTATACCACACATCCAACTCATCAGCAAATTCTGATGGCTGTACCTTTAAATTATATCCAGAATCTAACCACTTCTCACCACCCCTATGGCTATCATGTTAGCCTAACTAACTACAGTCTCTTCTCTGGGTTTTTGCAGTGACTTCCTCAGTGGTCTACCTGCTTTTTTCCTTACCCATCCAACCACCTCTAGTCATGCTTGACAAAACAGCAAGTATTACCTTTAAGGATATAAATCAGATGATGTTACCCTTGTCTAAATTCTCCAGTGGTTTTCCATTAGACTCCAAGGAAAAGCCAGCATCCTCGAATTCTCCAATGTGGCCCCTATTACCTCATTACCTCTTCATCTCCTACTTCTTTTTTCCATGCTTTTTCTACTCCAATCACAGTGGCTTTCTTGCTACTCCTTGAACATGCTAGGTAAAACACCAGCCTGTTCCCTTGCACTTCCTATTTTCTCTGCCAGAAAGATCCTTCCCTGTTTATCCTCATAGCTTATTCATTTAATTTTTGTCAGTTTTCTTCCTAGGGTACATTCCAATTGGGATTCCCTTCTTCCTGTGAGAATCCCTGTTTGCCTTACTCTTGCCAACAATGGTTATTATTGTTCTTTTCTACCTTTTCTTTTGAAATTATCTCTTTAAAATAAAAAGATACATCAGCTGCATTTAAAAAATATTGTAACTGAATTTAGTTTTAATTTTTTTGCATATTTTTTTTCTACTTTTAGGTTGAATCTGATGCAGCACAGAACTATACTGTCTTCTACTCAATAAGTGGACGTGGAGTTGATAAAGAACCTTTAAATTTGTTTTATATAGAAAGAGACACTGGAAATCTATTTTGCACTCGGCCTGTGGATCGTGAAGAATATGATGTTTTTGATGTAGGACTTTTATTGATATGCCTGACTTTAAATTATTAAACTATGTTTCTTCTGATGCTTACTCCAGCTACTCTTTCCTCTCTCCTTGCATTCTCTTCTTAGAGGGTATCTTAGAGTCAATGGGAAATAGAATGTGCAACATTTTGGAATACTTGGTCAGCTCTTTGTCTCAACTGCTGTTAGGTAAGCCTGAAATGAAGCAAAGAGGTTCAATATTTGAACATAAATTTCAAAGTATTTCGATGTAAATGTCAGTAAATTTCCAAAAAGTTGGTTTTGCTTATGAGATAATCTCTCTCTCTTTCTTACTGGTTGCTGGCACCTTTTCCTCATTTCAAGACATGTCTACAGTTGATTGGAAGAATCCTGTATCTATACTGTTCTTACTTCCATTTTTGTCTTCCTTCCACACAGATGATTATTTGATCACATCTGAGAACTACATAAGAAAGTGAAAGTGGGAGACCAAACTCAAATAAGGGCTAATAAGCCAGTATTCTGATATAGATGAGCTTATAGTCAATAGCAAATAACTCAGATAATTTTCAGTGTAATATGGTAAATGCTGTGAGGTCATGTGTCATTCCCATGATTCTGATGGAATGATTTTCGGAAAGAGAGATTCTGTTCCTACAAAAAAGAAGGAAGAGATGCTGTGTAAACAAACATAACTGATGTACCCCATGTGACATGCTTTGCATTTGCTTAGAAAATTTTCAGTTCAGTGTTGTAATCACATGTTCAGTAAAATATATTCTATTTGACATTACATTGCCTTTACTCAGCAATGGGGAAACTAGTACATGTATTTTGTCAGAAAAATTCTTACAAATATGTGGTCTATTAGGTAAAATAATAACAGGGTTTGATAGTGACAAATTGGGAATTGCTGCTTTATTTAGATAATGTAGTAGGAATTTTTCCTATTGCAGTGAGTTTAATTGTTCTCTCCAGCATAATTTTCTGATTATAGAGAGAATTTATATTCACATTTAATTCCTCAGTCTAGTGGACAGAGTCAGCCCCGACTTCACTGTACTCTGACCTAGGTTTTATTTGCGATAGCCATTTCCATCACATACTGGATGCTCTTTGCAGTAAAGTGTTTCTCCATTTGGTGCTTTGATAATTAAAAACACAGTGGATAAAAAAACTTCAAAGTAGTTTATTATTGAAAAGATTTGCAAGGCAGGTAGTAGATAAAGCATCTTATTCTGTCTTGCCGGGATCTGATATTAATGGAACTTTCTTTTTGCTATTTTGCAGTTGATTGCTTATGCGTCAACTGCAGATGGATATTCAGCAGATCTGCCCCTCCCACTACCCATCAGGGTAGAGGATGAAAATGACAACCACCCTGTTTTCACAGAAGCAATTTATAATTTTGAAGTTTTGGAAAGTAGTAGACCTGGTAAGTCTGCTTTTAAGAATAAAAAGAATCATTTTAAATATGTCTGTGTACATTTTAAAAGACATAGAGCTTTTTATACTCAAGGCCAGATCAGCCTGAGATAACGCTGAACTAGAATCTACTTACCAGAAAACACTTAATCCCATCACTTTCAATCAACATGTGCCTTGCCCAGATAGTACAGAAGTTTCTGTCATTGTCAATATGATACTAATTAACTGTAAAGGGAGCTAACAGTTATTCAAGCTTTGTGTAATATTCAGTTTATATATTTTATTTCATTTCCTCGTGGGTTTTTCATTATTCTCAACTCCAAGAGAGGACATGCAGGGTGGAATGAACAATAAAACTAAAATCGGTATAGTTTTTTTCTTTGAGCTTTTATTTAGGAAGGTGTTAAATGACATCCACTAAGGGTACAGTTTTTTTTATGCTCCTATTTATATTATCTTCTTTTAAAACTACTACCTCACTACTTCCAATTTAGAATGAATACCGGAATAACTTCAGAGAAACTTACATCAAATGTTCTCTATTCTAAACACTTGCTCTTACATGTGGAAAACTGAAGTATTTTAGTTTACCTGGCCCTTAAAATGTGGCACTTACGATGGCTTCTGAGACTTGTAATATGGAGAATAACCCCTCACAATAAAGTTAAAAGAAGGAGGATTCAGTCATAAAGGATGACTTTCCTAATTTGCTTTTTAAAGTTTCCAGTAGTTGCTTAGATCTTCACTGCAATATTATATCTGCTTTTTCCCTTTATGTTTTCCTTTGTTAATCTGATGTCATAGATGTTAACCTCTTTATTACTCACGTGGTACAATTTTAAAAATTTAAAAAAATTATTGGTTTGGAGTTTAGGAAACCTAGTTTTGTTTCTTTTTAAATAAATTTTATTGTGTGTAGTGAAGGTTTACAACATGATGTTATGGAATACACACAGATAATAAAATGGCCACTAAAGCATAGAAAACATCGTTTTTGATGTAGGGTGTGTTACTAACTCACTGTGGAAACTCATGGAAGTCCCTCTGAGTTTTCTTACTTGTAAAAGGAGTTCATTACATTACATGACCTACAATGTTTTTAGCCTCACAATTCTATGACATTACATTGACATTATATTGCCTTTAATTAATTAGCAATGGGGTATGCTTTCCCTTTTTCAAAAAGGGGTAATTAGTTTCAGGCTTTCTTGAGGAGTCTGTTCTCTTTTACAGTAACAGAGAAAAAAAAAGGACAAACACTTCGATGCCCAGCTTAACCCAAGGTACTTTAAGCACATTTTATCAGTAGGTTCAGACCAGTTAAGGCTGTGATACTAAACCGGTTTATTAAAACAAATCAAATCAGGAAGTAGCAAAAAGATTATAGAAAGGAGAGGCTGGACTACTAAAGGTCAACTTGATCATCTATATTATTACTGCATACCCCTAATCAGTCTTGATTTAGCTATTAATCAAAAGTCCAATTTTTAAAAAATCTGATTATTAAGGAGACATGGTTTATTCCTCCATCTAGGTTTGTTATTGAAATATGTGCACATATGTATTCCAATTAATTTTGATTGCCATTTAACTAATTTATTTAGTGATTTATGATCAAATGTGTTAAACTGTGAGCAAAAGTATACCTTAATTTTCAGCATCAAAGTGTTATGTGTGATAAATTTGAAGTTATCCTCTTCAGTCCTATCTAAAGATGAAATAATACTCTGGTAATAAATACATTTTAGATTAGGTTTCTATCATCACTGTTAACATTTTAAGATTGTAGATACTTTTGAAAGTATATTTAACAATTCTGTAAATTAAAGGCTGTTTTATTTTTTAATGTGTAGGTACTACAGTGGGGGTGGTTTGTGCCACAGACAGAGATGAACCGGACACAATGCATACGCGCCTGAAATACAGCATTTTGCAGCAGACACCAAGGTCACCTGGGCTCTTTTCTGTGCATCCCAGCACAGGCGTAATCACCACAGTCTCTCATTATTTGGACAGAGAGGTAGCTCACACACTCCATAGAATTTCATTTCGCTGAGGATTAAGCTTCCCTCCCCCATTTATTATAACTTGCTATCCTGTGGATTAATAGTTTAATTTTATTTTAGGCATAAGACAATAAGAATTCCTAACAATTTTTTCTGTTTTTTATATTATTTCTATTTCCTTATGTTAGAGTAGCCATAAGGACTAGAAACGCAGATCAATTGGCATTTAGAAGGGATGAGAAAAGAAAAAATTTCATTATAAATTTTTTTTTCTTATGTGTGGCTAGTTGGTTCCAGTTCAGCAAAGGTTTCAATTTTCATGTAGGACAATTAATTTTGCTTGTTCTATGAGTGTGGATCATGCCCTGATTTCTACTTTAATTATTATAGATATATATACTTTTAGTGAGGAAAGGATTAGTTGAAATAAAATTGATGGATTATTAAAAATATGAAACACTTTTTTGGATGATAGTAATAGCATATTGTCATGTATCTAGTGCTTTATATTGAACTTCTTAATGCATAATTTTATTTGCCCTTTAGAATATTTTTGTTTGACTAGACACGTGTTATATCCTATCTATAAATGAGAAATGTGACAGAAACATTGATTGACTTGCTCAGGTCAAATTACTGCACTGAATCTTATCTTTAGTTTTTATTGTTCTATTTTGTCAGCAATCATGCATTATTGACTAAGGCAGATGAATCAATTTTATATGGACAAAATAGCTTTATTGGAATAGTTCAATGTTTCCCACTACAACTAGAATACCTTATATAGAAGAGTCAATATGACTAGAAAATATATTATAAGGAAGAAATCAATGGGATTTGATGCCAAAGAAACAGGGAGAGATGGTGGGAATCTATAAAAAGTACTGAGAAGTAGTACAAACGTTTTAATTGTCGTTATTTTTATTTTTTATGGGGCCGGAGCATTTTATGTTATAGATAAAATACATAAGGATAATAGTAAGTGGGAAAGTTTTAAGGGGAAAGTCTGAATGTGCTTTTGTATCTGTGGAGTTTGTAGGGATGATGTAGTAATCAAGTGAGTAATTGAAACTTTGCAAGTTAACAGGTTTTAGTCATCAAATTTTTTAAAATGAGGTTTAGAAAAATTAAATTTAGGGGTCCACAACTTGTAAGATACAGTTTTAGGATCAAACCCAGGTCTGCTACTTTCCTGATGAAGAAAAAAATCTACCAGATTTTGTGGGCAACAACCATGGAGCGTTGAGGGGAACAACATGAGAAGTAAAAATGATGGGAGATAAAAAAAAAAAACAGTGAATTTAGAGGAAGATAAAAAGAATATCAGGGATTCTTAAAGCATACGGGAAGAGCATTTTAAGGTGGGAATATTGGTTTACTTTCTCTGTTTGTATTTTTTTCTTTTTTTGAGAGAGGGTCTCGCTCTCTTGCCCAGGCTGAAGTGCAATGGCACAGACATGGTGCACTGCAACCTGTACCTCCTGGGCTCAAACAATCCTCCCACCTCCGCCTCCTGTGTAGCTGGGATTACAGGACACACCACCATGCTTGGCTGATTTTTTTATTGTTTGTGGAGACAGGATTTTGCCATGCTGCCTAGGCTGGTCTCGACTCCTGCACTCAAGCAATAAGCCTGCCTCAGCCTCCCAAAGTGTTGGAATTTACAGGCATGAGCCATGGCACCTGACTAGAATATTGACTTTCAGTATGGAAGGGAGATCAAGTAAAATAAAGACTGAGGGAAGAGATAGAGGGAAACAAAAAAAATGAAGAAAAATAAAAGAATGAAAGCGTGACTAACGAACAGTAAAATAAAAGAGGAAGGCCACAAAGATGATTGTACCACAAATTAATGACTTCAATTCACCATCACCACACCATCTGCAAAATTTCATTTTTTGCAAATCTAACAGCAACCTTAAGTCCTTGTCTATTGCTGGCACTTGTTAAAACTCTCTCTTCCCTTAGACTTCTGGTCTTCCTCCTGCTTCTCTGATCTTTCCTTTTTAGTGTCCTTTGTATGGTCTTCTTATTCCCTCCATGCTACAAATACTGTAGGTCCTTACATCCGAGGCTCTTCTCATCCTGCAGCCTCTCCTGAATTGAATAATCTGATTCCTGCCATAATTTCAACCACCATCTAGATACTGATGATTTCTGGGTAGACATTTCTAGTCATGATCTCTTCTGTACATATGAGGCCATATATCCAGGTGCCTTTTGGACTTTACTCCTTAGATTTCCTTCAGGCACATAAGATTCAACATATGCAAAGCAAAACTCAGTATTTCTACCCCTTTGCCAACCTCAATAGTGTTTACTTCCTCCGAGAATCGTTCTCCTGCATTTCTTGTATTGTTTGATGATGCACCTGTCTTCCTATCTCTCCAAGTGGGACACCTGAAAATCATTCTCTCTTAACTTGTATATAGAATTTACTGTTAAGTCCTACTCCATTCTAACTCCCAAGTAAATTTCCTGCCATCCTTTCTCTTTGTCCTCATTGCTACTGCCTCAGATTTGGGACACTTGCCCTATTTATTTATTTGTTTGTTGTTTAGAGAAGAGATCTAGCTCTGTCGCTCAGGCTGCATGCTGTGGCATGATCATAACTCACTGTTACCTCAAACTCCCACTCAAGGGTCCATCCGCCTCAGCACCTCAAGTAGCTTGGGAGTACGGACACATACCACCATGCCCAGCTAAATTTTTATTTTTTTGTAGAGATGAGGTCTTGCTATATTGCCCATGTCTGTCTCAAACTCCTGGCCTTGAGCGATCCTTCTATGTTGGCCTCCCAAAGTGCTGGGATTACAGGCGTGAGCCACTGCGCTGGCCTAAGCCACCTGTTTTAGATGATTGCTGCAGGGGAGTTTCAACTAACTGCTTTGATTTTTTGGCTTTCTCCAAATTATGCCAAAACTTCCTTAAGGATATATTTTTTTAAAACTCAAATGTTCTGGCTGGGTGTGCTGCCTTATGCCTGTAATCCTAGCACTTTGGGAGCCCGAGGCGGGTGAATCACGAGATCGGGAGTTTGAGACCAGCCTGGCCAACATGGTGAAACCCCGTCTCTACAAAAATACAAAAAATTAGCTGGGCATGGGCACCTGTAATCCCAGCTACTAGGGAGGCTGAGGCAAGAGAATCATTTGAACTCAGGAGGCGGAGGTTGCAGTGAGCCAAGATCGTGCCACTGCACACCAGCCTGGGTGACGGTATGAGACTCCGTCTCAAGACAAAACAAAACAAAACTCAAATATTCTTATTTTGTGCTGCCCCTATGACTTCCAAAAACCTTTTCGCTATTACCTGTTACTTAAAGCATAATTTCTGAGTACGGGTCTTTGTAATTTAATCTCTGCCTGCCTCTTCAGCTTTATCCTTGTCTACCAAATTCCTAGAGTCTGTGCAAATATGGAAATCAGGTAAAAGCACGGAAACACACAGATGTGTGTGTATGTGAGTGAGTGAGTGTGCAATTGAGGTTTCATTTATAAATCTACCAAAAATTTTTCAAGACTAGTTAAATATTTGCTTTGTTTCCAGGTTGTAGACAAGTACTCATTGATAATGAAAGTACAAGACATGGATGGCCAGTTTTTTGGATTGATAGGCACATCAACTTGTATCATAACAGTAACAGATTCAAATGATAATGCACCCACTTTCAGACAAAATGCTGTAAGTATATAATATCAAAATCTGCCTCTGTCTTATCTGCTATCATTTTTTATTTAAACTGAATTAATAAAATTAATACTTCATGAAGTATCATACTTTGACGTATACGTATTTTATGAATAAAATTAAAGTTTAAACAAGTGATATGTAAATTTATTTTATTTATTCATATTAGTGTTTCTATTATCTCCCTTCTGTCAAAGGCCAGTACCATGAGTCTTCATTTGTAATGAAACTTTTCTTTTATTTAAAAGATAACCCTTAATGAAACAATAGTGTTTACGATTCATAGTTTTAAAATAATCTATATAAAATTATAATGGTAAGTATTTTTGGAATGGAAGAAACTTTTTTTTAAAGTTGTCTATAAAATAAAATTTCAATTTTCAATGACTTCTTTCTGTTTCAGTATGAAGCATTTGTAGAGGAAAATGCATTCAATGTGGAAATCTTACGAATACCTATAGAAGATAAGGATTTAATTAACACTGCCAATTGGAGAGTCAATTTTACCATTTTAAAGGGAAATGAAAATGGACATTTCAAAATCAGCACAGACAAAGAAACTAATGAAGGTGTTCTTTCTGTTGTAAAGGTACAGTAATGTATAATTGACAACTTAGCAAATTAACAGGTTTTAGTTACCTAATAATTTAATCAACTAAATAGTTTCAGACCATAGACTCTACAAGTTGGAAGAAAATTTAAAATCTATTTAAACCACTATTCCAATCTCATGCCTGTGTGTCTTCTGTAATTTTATTGCTGATTGCTAGTCACCTAGCTTCTGCTTGAACATTCTCATTTATAAGGATCTCCATAGCTCCATTGGCCACTTATCCCACATTTGAAATGCTTTGGTTCTCAGAAGTTCTTACTTCTACTGTGTCCAGGTTATTTTTTCTATAACTCATATGTTTGGTTCTGATTCTTCCTCTAATGCTATTCAGAACAGCTATAATTCTTTTGAAAAGGCTGCTATGTTCATTTGAGACTTACTTTCTGTAAGATAAATATTCTCAATTTCTTAATTCTTACATGATGTGACATACAAACCCATATTCTTCTCATTTTCTCTATAATATATGCCTGGTTGTATCTGATCCTTTTAAAGGTGATATTCACAATGAAATTTAGTATTATCTCAAACAGCAATGAATGAACTTATTTTTTGTTCAGTATGTTGTATATTTGGTGGTGCTGGTACATTCTAGGATCCAGGTTATGAGGGTAGGAAGGGATCTGTTTGAAAAGGATCATTGGTTTTATACTTCTAGCCCAGAACAAAACAAAAATTAATATTGTCCTGTGGACAAGAATAGAGGTCATTCATTGATTGAAAGAGGCTTATCTGCCAAAAACAGTAAAGTGGCATCTTTGGTACACAAACACCTCTATTTGCAATTATTTCCTCTGTAAAAATTTCCAAGGCTCCTATACTAAGACTTGGCAAGTTCTGTCCAGATGTGAAGAGTCAAATATAGACTCTTGACATCAAGCCTCCCTATTTTATTTTTCTATAATATGATCTGCTCAAATTGAATACTAAAACCAAGTACTTAAAAAAACCCATTATGCTTTATAGTTGAGAGTAATAGGAAAGGAAATAAGAAAATACCACTGACTGCTTTTGTTTTTTATTAGTCCAAATCAATCTAGTCTTTATTTGGACTCTCCAGAAAGTAGAATGCAAGACAAAGACCTGAACATGGGAATGTATTTAGGAAGTGGGTCCCAGGAAGCCAATGTTAAAATGGGAAAATAAGATAGGGAAGGAGGAAAAGCCAATCTAGTCTGCATTATTGAGCTAGTCATCTTTGGTGTTCATCCATACAAGAAACCATGTAGAACTTGCCTCATAATTATCCCCTCAAAAATGGATACTTGGGGTATTTACCCCTCACATCCCTTCTCAGTACCCAGGCCCCACTGGTTGAAGGTTTCACCCAGGGATCCTTAAATTCACCACACTTCTGGATTGGGCTGTGCCTGCTGTCTGCTGAGGGAGCCCTCTGGTTTTAGAGGGAACCCTGAATCTGAAGAGCCAAATCTTTGAGTCTTGAGATGTGAATCTACAGCACACATGGGAACTGGCTGAGGGGCTGTGGTGTATAATTGTTCTGAAAAGGGCTACCGTATATCTCATACAGTTTCCAAGGCTGAACACTTAGGTAGTACAGGCATATGTTTCGAATTGATGTGATTGCAACAGATGTTCTGTTAAATGTTCTCCTGGACACCCTTCTCCCCTCTTCCTCCTGATGCAGGCAAATCCCAAAATTGGGGCTCAGCCCAGAGGGTTCCTGGCTTCACCTGGAAAAGAATTCAAGAGCAAGACAGTAGAGTAAAGTGAAAGCAAAGCAAGCTTATTAGAGCAACAGACAAAGGAAAATGGTGGCTTCACAGACAGAGCAGGGCTGCTCACTAGGCAGAGTAGCAATTGTGGATTGCTGGCTAGCTGTATTTATAACTACTCCTTAATTATATGCTAAATAAGGGGTGGGTTATTCATGCATTTTCTGGAAAACTGGCAGGAGTTCCTGGAACTGAGGGTTTCTCCCCTTTTAGATCATATCAGGTAACTTCTGGGCATTACCGTGGCATTTGTAAACCATCATGGCGCTGGTGGGAATGTCTTTTAGCATGCTAATGCATTATAATTAGCATATAATGAGCATTGAGGTCAACTAGAGGTCTCTGTCCTCATCTTCTTGGTTTAACTGATTGTGGCTGGTTTCTTGACTGCATACTGTTTCGATGAGATTCTGTTTTAATCAGCAGGGTCATGACTGATGCTCAGAAAACAAGTCCTGCTGATCTCCTACCTCACCCCCACCAAGCCTTGGTTTCTCCTGCAAATGAGTCAAAGGAATAGTTTAAGATTTGGGAAGGGCAGACAATATAACTACAGTAGCTTCTGTCAGAGACCCAAGCTCAGACCTTTTGGTGTGCTGTCTATCTGCTCCTTGGTCAGAAGGCAGCTTCTCCAGTCTCTCTCAAGGCCGTTATTCAAGATCCATGTGGAGAAACTCTATCATTATTGTTATTATTTAATATCAGAGGTTTTGTCTTGCTTAGAGGATATAAAATTTAAATACCACTAGGAATTACATTTCTAAGTTTTTTTGACCAATACAAAATGATCTCTAGCAAACTTTTTCTAAAGAATATACTCTAATTTTTAAAAAGGCCTAATCAATGAGTATATGTACTCAATGTTCTTTTGTATGTTTTTTTGTCCAAGGAGTTCTGACCATAGAGGTATTAAGAAAAACATTTCCAAAGGTGATTGGAAGTTATAACCTATATCATAGAATATTTCTCATTCCATGTGACTGACATGCATTTGTTTCATTTCTGAGTAGCACTCCAGGATTCTCCAGAATGGGCAGCAGTTAGATAATAATACTTTACTGCTTTGTTTTTGGTTCAGATTAACTTAATTTCACATCTGGAGTGTATCAAAAATTTCCCCAATACATTTATATACATTTATTTCCATTATTTTAAAACATAAGATAGTTACCCTTATATTTGATATTACATCCTAGTTTCTACATGAAGGAAATACTTTTAATATTTTTAGAATTTTAAAAGTAGCTACCATGAATCAAGTTCCTTTTATGTCACAGAAAATGCTAGGCACTTTACATAAGTTGTACATAGTTTTCATATCCCCTATATGACAAGGTGTTATTATCCCTATTTTACATTGATTTTTTTAAAAAGGCAAACCCCAAAAACACAACAACCACCTAAGGCTGATGAAGGTAAATAACTTCCTCAAAGTCAAGCATATATTAGCGATCCACCCCGGAACACAAACCTGGTCTATTTTGTTCCCAAATTAATTATCTTTCCATTACTGCATGCCATACCTCATTAAGCCCACAAGGCAGTTTGTATTCAATATGTCACAGAATATATTACATCTGCAGCCCCTTGTCATGAAATCTAATTATATTCTCAAATTCATACTTCATGTTAAACACAAATTAACAATAATGGCTAACATTTATTATTTACTAAATGCCAGACACTTTGCCAAGTGCTTAACCTATAGTATCTCATTTAATTGTTTTAAATGTCAATAGATTCTTTATTACATTTATTTATTAATAAGGCCAGTAATTTTCAAATTTTCAGTAAGCAGTCCATTAGTTCAAAGTTCAAAAGAAACAAAAATTCAAAGTTCAAAAGAAACAAAAAACATGGTGTAAAACGTCTCACTTTTACTTGGTCTGTCAGCCACTCAGCTCTGCTTGGAAGAATTAATACATGCCACCTGTTTCCTGTGTATTATTCAAAAGGTATTTTATATATACACAAACATGTTTAAGTAATCTTATCATGTTTCTTTTTTAAAAACAAATACATTTTACTTCAATTAACATATCTCTTGAGTTCATTATATATACATTGGAAATATTTCATGGTATGGTATGGACATACCATATTTTTTTAACCAGTTCCATATCTATGGAAGTTTAGACCACACCTATGGATATTCTGTATTCCTTATTCTGTGCTTTTCTTCATTCAACAACTTTTCCCTGAAGTCATTACATATTAGTATGTAAACAGTTTTGCCATTTTTTACAGCTATCTATTTTAGACATTACAGTAAAATATCCATCATATGAATGTAAATTATTATTTAACTAGTTCATTATAAATGGAAATTTAGGCCATATCAATGGAAATTCTAATTTTTTTATTATTTCAAAATATACTACAATGAATATACTACAATGTAAATGTAGGATAAATTTCTAGAAATGGAATTGCTTAGTCAAGGACATGGCTATTTTTTTCTGTGGTTGCTTTATTGCCTGATTGTCCTCCAGAAAGGTTGTGCATGTTGACATGCTCATCAGAAATGTACACACATGCCTGTTGTAAAATAATTGCCAACTATATTATCAAGTTTTGATATTTATCGGTTGAATAGCAAAAAAATGGTGTTTCAGTGTAGCTGAGCATTCCTTTTATATGAAGACGCCATTGAATATATTTTATATCTTCAAGCTCACTAGTCCTGTCTTTTAGCCAGCTTTCTATGTTTTGCTCTTCTTATCTATTAACTATTTATTTATAAGAGTTTTACGGAAGGAAATATTTTTGCAAATATTTTTACCAATTTTTATTGTTTTATAAGTTTGCTTGTGTTGGTTTTTGACCTCCAGGATTTGTTTTGTTGGCAGGGCTTGCTTGGTCACAATTTATCAGAGGCTTCTGTGGTTGTGAGATTTGTGTCATTATCATGGTATTGACATTATGAAAGCATTTTATCTGAAATTCTTCTACATTATTATTGTTTAATTATCTATCCAGTTAAATTTTTGATCTGTATGAAATTTATCCTAGAACAATTGTGATATGAATCAAATTTTAGTTTTTGTATCTGTTCCAATTCATGTTTTGACATATTTTCTTTGTCATAAAATAAGATACATGTATATTTGAGTTTGTTATTGACATTCTCTTTTGTACCGTTAATTTATTGTTTATTAATTAGCATCTATATGCTGCTGTATTATTGCTAGCTATTTAAGAATATCAAATGTATAATATGCATTTTAGTATTTGCAGTGTTCCATGCCACTCTTACCTAGTGATCTTCCTTTGTGGATTTTTTTCTTATGAATATCTTCCTTGTTTGTTCTTCCATGTGAACTTTCAAATCAGCTCCTAAGTTTAAAAATATCTCTTTTGATGTTTTTACAATTATATTAATTTCATAGAAAGAGTAGGAGAGAATTAGCATTTTTCTCCTAAGTCATAGCCAAGATTGTAATTTCATTTTTTTCAGCTGTTTTGTCTAATTTCTGTCTAGGATTTACATCCATATCCACAAAAAGGATTTACCATAGTTTTTCCTTTTCTATAATTGCTATTAAGTTTTTACTATCAATTTTATGCTTGCTTCATAAAACTAATTTATTTCCTTCTTTTTTTCCATCTCTGAAACAGTGTCCCACAAAACTTCCCAAAAAACATTGAATTAAAAGATTTATTTATCTTTCCAAAACAAGCCCATGTGGTTGTTATTCTAATTCTTCTCATTTCCAGATGAGTAGACTGAATCAAAGAGAAATAACATGCTGCAGTCCATACAGCTAGGATAGGTGATTTGTACCCCACAGTCAGGTGTTGAATGTCCAGACTATCTAGGAGAGATAACTCTGTTCATACAGCCAAGATACAAACCCAGATCTCTCTGGTGGGGAGCTCTTATTCATAATCCCTGAGCTGTTCTCCTTCTGGCTTGGTATCCTTGCTTCTCTTATGTCGCCTCTTTTCCATACTTGAGTTACTTAGCTTGATAAAGCCATTACTTCATTTGCACAAGAGGATCTTCTCTTCTTGCAACCTTAATTCATTTCTACTTTTGGGAGTTTACTTTTTAAATTATATTTTTCTTCTGACATTACTAGCTCCTTTGCTAATCGTACCTCCTCTTTTCCTTTGAGTCATTCATAGTCTGCTAACATTTTGATTAATAAAATTTGCTTTTGCCATGTTGTGTTATCCTTTTCATATTTTATCCAAACCCTTAGAAAAGCTGAATTATTATCACAGGGCTCCTTTGATAGCCATGCTAGTCTTTGAAAGTATCTTATTCTTTTCCTTGGGAAAGAGTTGTGATTGTGTGGTTAAATCATGTCTTTAAGTACTTTTTTTTTTTTTTTTTTTGGAGATGGAGTACTTTTAAGTACTTTTTTTTTTTTTTTCTTTTTTTTGGAATTTGCTGTCGCAATTCTCCTGCCTCAGCCTCCCAAGCAGCTGGGACTACAGGCGCATGCCTCCATGCCCGGCTAATTTTTTGTATTTTAGTAGAGATGGGGTTTCACCGTGTTGCCCAGGCTGGTCTCGAACTCCTGAGCTCAGGCAATCCGCCCGCCTTGGCCTCCCAAAGTGCTAGGATTACAGACGTGAGCCACCGTGCCTGGCATCTTTAAGTACTTTTTAATCTCAGTGAGTCATCTTTTATTTGAAAATCAAACACTGTATAATCATGGTGTTCAAAATCCATGTTTCTGTCATGTAGGCTATGTACCTAATGATGACTAACCTTTTGAGTACTGATTAAAGAATGACATCACTATGTTGTTAACTCTAAAGGAATCCTCCTCTTCCAATGCCCTGGTTCTTCCTTGCTAGTCAGAATTATATCCAGGGAAAGAGTGCATGTTATTCATTCCTTTATACCTCAAAGAGTTAAGTAATCAGTAGGCCAAACCAAGAATTGCTCTGGTATACTTTTAGCTGAATAAAGCTTGCAAACATTGTCTTACTAGTTAGCGTCTCCTTTTATTGCAATATATTGGCTGTTAACAAAAACATACAGCATTTATTCCCTTCATTCGCCTCTGTGACAGCTTGAGAGATTACTCAGAATTTAGTGTAAAGCCTTATTTTATGCTGTAGTGTTAAATGTCATTCTTACAACAATTTCACAGAAGAGAAGAGTTAAAGAGACTAAATAACTTTCCCAATGCCACACAGCTAGGATGTAGTGTAGACAGAATTTGAACCTAGCTCTTTGACTCTAACTATACGCTGTCAAGCACTATGTTAAATTGTTTTCCACAGCTGTGTGATCTTGGAAAGTTGGCCTCTGTGTTATCTGTAAAATGGGAACAATACTTCTTTCTGCCTCCCTAATAGCTCTTCAAATATAATATTGAACGTAACAGCACTTGGTAAACTGTGGGATATTATTATTTTATTTTAAAAAGTTATGCTATGTCCTTGAGACTAGTGTTATAATGTTCCAAAATAGATAACTTTTCTGTAACCACAAAGCATGAGTGATACAGGCTTTTGCTGTGTTCTGGGTAAACTCATTCCACCTCAGTGGCTTCTGTCCATTGGAGCAGCAGCAGTGACGCATATGGGCTTGAGTGAGGATAGTATTATTCTTGGTCCTTCTCAACATGGAGAGTCCTCAGCTCCATTTCCACAACTATACATTTTCTAGGGAGTTGTTAACATCTCAGTGCAGATGTGGGATATTTTTAAGCACTTTTTTTAAGTGGCGAAACAAAAACGTACCCTGAGGTGGAAGAGAATTTACAGGCTTTCCTATTAATTAATGAGATTAACTAATCCCATTAATCTTTAGGATTTCATCTCACCAGATTTTTAATTTTGGAGAGTTTTAAGCTACTAAAACAATATCCATCTTAAGCCTCGAAAAATGGGACAAAGAAACTCCAAGGCTTCAGCGAGTGTTTCTGGATTGAATAGTTGCACCTCCTCCAGTGCAGCAGCTGTTCTCTAAATTTCCATCCATTTCTCATTGCCAGCAGTTGCTCTTACTCTCTGTGTGATCACACCAGCACATGAAATGTGTGAAACAGTATTCATCAGCATCAAACGAACAGATATTAATATTTTTTTCCTTGACTCTCCAGTTTGTGGGATATACATACAAAATAAAAAAAGGTTTTACATATGTTTTGTAGATTCTAAGATTCAGAAACTTTCTTGACTTTTTAGTGGACTCGTGATACTAATGTCTTACTCTGTTAATACCTAGGTGTGGAGAAAGATTTAAAATAATTTTATTCACCAGTTTTGATTTTGTTCAATGTTTAGCCAGTGATTGTTTTGATAAGCAGAAAGAGAAATTGAAGAAAAAGTGCTTCAACTTTATAGTACAGTGTAACATAATGTTTTATGGGTTTTACTTGATTTGTTATCTAAAACTGAATTTTAGTCAAAGATTGATTTGGAAATTTTTTAGAGATCAGTGAGCCAATTAAGCAGCACACGATAGCAGAGGGATTATAGCGTAGGCTAAGGAAATGGACTCAGGTCAGACTACCTGGCTTCAAATTCAAGCTCAAATGATTATCTTTTGGTCTTAAAAAAAAATCAGTTTATCTCCTTTTCCCGTTTTCTGCTCTGTAAAATGAGGATGAGGTCAATAATACTTACTTCATAATGTCATGAGGATTTAGTGAGTTTATTTTCACTGTTAGAGTAGTGCCTTAGATTCAATGATAATTAAAATCAATCACATAGTATTTCCCTTACTCCTCTGTGTATCCACTGTGAATGTTTCATTGGATAAATTATAGACAATGCCAAAGTATAATTCTCAAGTTTTCAAAAATGTAATTTTCATAAAAACAGGTAGTGGGCATGGATGGATAAAGGTTTTAACTCATTCATGAAGGAACCAGCAAAAAGACAAGTTGATTCCTAAGAAGAAATGAGACTCTGGATGGATTTTGATAAAAGAAAAGCAGCAATTAGATGGCTCAGTTAGATGCCTTAGAGGGCAATTAAAACACACATTTGGGGCCGGGCATGGTGGTTCACGCCTGTAATCCCAGCATTTAGGGATGCCAAGGGAGGTGGATCACCTGAGTTCAGGAGTTCGAGACCAGCCTAAGATGGCAGAACCCCATCTTTACTAAAGAAAAAAATACAAAAATTAGCTGATTATGGTGGCACGTGCCTGTAGTCCCAGCTACATGGGAGGCTGAGGCAGGAGAATCGCTTGAACCAAAGAGGCAGAGGTTGCAGTAAGCCAAGATTGCGCCACTGCTCTCCAGCCTGGGTGACAGAATGAGGCAAGACTCTGTCTCAAAAATAAAATAAAAGAAAATAAAATACTGGAGATATCTTTTCTATGAGACAGAAAATGAAATCATTGCACCTTTTGGTTTTGTGAAAGTCAACATCAAACTTTACAAGAGTTATAAAATGCCTGGGCCATAGTCAGTAGTAACTGATAAGCCAAATAAAGGCAACTTCCCATACTCAGATGACCGTTAGCCCAGCCTGTTAGACAGTGCTCCAAGCAGGACCATAAGAATACTGTCATCTGTTTGCATTACTTTTTGAATCAGAGTAATTTTCCTTAGTAAGAGTGAAATATGAAAATATTTCCGGAATTTCGTTTGTCCAACTCTATGAAACTACCTGCAGAAGTTGTTGGACCATTCTTGGTAGAGGCTTAGCACGGGATCCACTCTCTGTTTAGCAAGGGATAAAAGTCAGTATTAACAACATGTGAACATAGAATTTATGCAGCACTGGTCAGGATGACAAATGTTCACTTGCCATTTGAAATGCCAGATGTATTTTACACTGACACTGATATACATGGACTTTATTTTAAAGCCACTGAATTATGAAGAAAACCGTCAAGTGAACCTGGAAATTGGAGTAAACAATGAAGCGCCATTTGCTAGAGATATTCCCAGAGTGACAGCCTTGAACAGAGCCTTGGTTACAGTTCATGTGAGGGATCTGGATGAGGGGCCTGAATGCACTCCTGCAGCCCAATATGTGCGGATTAAAGAAAACTTAGCAGTGGGGTCAAAGATCAACGGCTATAAGGCATATGACCCCGAAAATAGAAATGGCAATGGTTTAAGGTAAAAATAAATCTATAACCACATACTAATAATGTATTTGTAATCATTGAGATAGTAACTTATTTGAAAACATTTTCTGATGCTAAAGACTATTTTTTTTTTATTAACAGGTACAAAAAATTGCATGATCCTAAAGGTTGGATCACCATTGATGAAATTTCAGGGTCAATCATAACTTCCAAAATCCTGGATAGGGAGGTTGAAACTCCCAAAAATGAGTTGTATAATATTACAGTCCTGGCAATAGACAAAGGTAAAAAAAAAGTTTTAATCTGGTATTCTATAAAGGAATTAGAGAATAAAATGTAATTATTCTTATGCAGATTTATTTTGGTGGTAAGTGTATGGAATTCTTTGAAATTACTTTAAAGACTCTTTCTGTCTCTCTTAATTATCTAACAAGGTGAAACTGTTTGGTGACAAGAAGCCGTGTTTTATTTATCTTTATATCCCCAATAGGGCAGGACCTTAAATTCTTATGTATTTCTATGCTAGAGGACAAAAATAAAACTGAAATCTAAAACTAGATAAAATGGTCTCATCAGACTCTTCCACATCCGTTTGTGTCACTTTAAATTGAGCTTTTATATAGTTCAGCTGCATATTAGGTCAAAATGATCCTTTTCTTGAATTCTGTTCCTTAAAGTAACCTAGAGTTTTTCAACCTTGTCTTCACATTAAAATAAAAATATTAATCTGTAGATACTTTGTTAGACTAACTGAATCAGAATATCCGGTTGTGGAGCCTAGGAATCTTATATTTTAAAAAAATCTTCCTAGTGGTTTGAATATATACTGGGATTAGAAATCTTATCTGTAACCACTTTACTGCTTACTAACATGTGGCACCTGGAACCCCCAAAAATAGAGATTGAAATTCAGACATTTATTTTTATTTGGTAGTAATTCTGGTAAAAGATTTATTGACAGTTGTATCTGATATTATCAGTAGCAATAGTCATTTCAAATTAGCTGCAGATTCTATTTATCTGTCTATGTTCTTATTTATTTATCATTTCCTTTAATAATCAGTTTATTTAAAAACAGATCATGTATAGAATATAATTGACTTTTTATTCTTTAAGAAACTATGAAAGAATTTTAAAATAACACTAAACCTTATTCCTGTCTCCTTAGATGATAGATCATGTACTGGAACACTTGCTGTGAACATTGAAGATGTAAATGATAATCCACCAGAAATACTTCAAGAATATGTAGTCATTTGCAAACCAAAAATGGGGTATACCGACATTTTAGCTGTTGATCCTGATGAACCTGTCCATGGAGCTCCATTTTATTTCAGTTTGCCCAATACTTCTCCAGAAATCAGTAGACTGTGGAGCCTCACCAAAGTTAATGGTATTTAATAAAAAATAATGATTTATAAACTCTGAAATAACAGAATAACTGGAGGATAGATTGACTTGCTTACTTACACAAAGCATGAAGTAAAACTGAGTCTCATTAATATATTTTAGAAGGATAAACTAACCTTTTACAAATATTATATGGGGGCTCTGTTATATATAAAATGAAGGAAGATGTAATTTTTATGAAGGCAACATTTACATTTACAACAAAGGAAAGCTTTGTTAAAATGTTGGGCAGCTTATCATTAAGACAAACTTTGTGTGTGTGTGTGCATGTTTTTAAAAATAATGCCAATGGCTGGGCATGGTGACTCATGCCTGTAATCCCAGCACTTTGGGAGGCCTAGGTGGGTGGATCACTTGAGGTCAGGAGTTCAAGACCAGCCTGGCCAACATGGTGAAACCCCATCTCTGTTAAAAATACATAAATTAGCTGGGCGTGGTGGCAGGCACCTGTAATCCAAGCTACTGGGGAGGCTGAGGCAGCAGAATCACTTAAACCAGTAGGTGGAAGTTGCAGTGAGCTGAGAGATGGTGCCACTGCACTCCAGCCTGGGGGACAGAGGGAGACTCCGTCTCAAAATAATAATAATAATAATAATACCAGCGAGGTGAGGAGAGAGCAGAAGATGTGTAGTTTAAATTGTATTGTAAGCTGACTCTGGAAGTGAGGAACTCAGGTGTATAGACCAAGCACTCTAGGGTATCCTGGAAGTGAACCTGGCGGGATATAGCAAGGGATATGGGAAGGAGTATTGAGGGGCTGCTGCCTATTGTAGCAGTTTCTGGGGGCTGTCATGTTCTGTACTTCATCCATACTTCATTCTGTTGTTACTGCCATGTTCTTTCATGCAACTGGGCTTTTGTGTATATAGCCATATCTACATAGAATACCTCCTTTTCCATTTCTTAGCTTGATATTTATGAGCATGATATTTTTTTCATGATATTTATGAACATCTACTATCTATTAAGCACTCGTCCAGATCCTGAGGATTTATATAGAGATGAACAAGACAGACACAATCCCAGCTGAGATGCTCCACCTCTGAAGTTTGTCTTGAATTGGAAGGAGTGGCACCATGACCCTTCGCTACCTGCATTGCAGTGCCTTTCCTGTTGTATTAACATCTGATTACTTCTCCCTTCCAATACATGAGTTTCCTAGAATGTTTGCAATTCATCTTTGTACTTCCAGCACCTAGCCTAATGCTTAGTAGATACTAACTGCTTCATAAATGTTTGCTTGTTCAATAATTGATTAATAATGTGCATAAAAGAAGAAACATACCAGGAGAATAAGTATATCCATGTCATTAGAGTTTAGAAGGTTTTAGTAAGAATGCCAAGAGGTTGGGTGGAAGGAAGGGTAGCATCTGGTGGTGAAGGGCCTTGTGTGCCAGGCTGAGGGGACTAACCTTGGTACAGTAGGCAACAGCAATTATGCATTGGGAATGTGCAAATAAGGCAATGCCATTCCCAGATTTACATCTTTTAAAGGTGACACTGTTGACAGGAGGACAATATGAAGGGGGCAGAGTTGAGTGAAGAAAAATCAGAGGCCAATGCACTACTGTGAATAACTGAGACATGACAATGGCTCCACTTGTTGTCTTGAGGGAGCGGAGAGATTTCAAGGATCTTACCTTAGACACAGTGTGGTCTTGAAGGGTCCTAAGTAAACCCAAGTGGTAATTCATATTCCTCTAGGGAGCCTTCAGGTATGAGGTGCAGCCAAAATCTTTGAAATTCTTACAGCTACAGCAGAGCATTTAATCAAGGCTTAGGAATTCCAGATGACTTCCAGGGTGTGTATTATGCTACTTTTTCATTTTACTTAGTCTATTATAAAAGCTCAGGGAGGCTGTAACTGCCATTGAAATTCTGTGGAGCTTTTGGTTAGTTGACAATATGGTCATTAAAATAATAGATCAAGACTATTGGGGAAAATTGACTATCAGAGTTGATAAAAGTGAATTGTTATATAGATATTTCTGTTTTGTGTAAGCCTTATAAGTAGCCTGAGTGACATTAATTAGCTTCTGGTACTAAGATTACTTCCAGATGCAAAGGTGTTAATCGTAAACAATCTATTGTGCTTTGAAAAATTACCTTATCCATATGAATAGTGCGCAAATACTAGAAGGTCAATGGATAAGAAACGTAAACTTCAGAAACTATTTGTGTGTACCTGTAGATACATTGGTACTAAAGAAAAATGCTTGAAGTGTATGTTAACAGCCAACCTAACAGTATTAGTTTGTATAGATAAACATTACTGGAATACTACTGGGCTACTCCAATGCCAAATTATTTCTTTAGGGCTCCCTTCTAAGGAATTACAAGGGACAACACATATAAGATAACAGTAGAGTTTGAAAGGGTTGAAGACAGTCCTCCATTTTTATTTATTTTCATCTGGCAGGCAGTTCCTTGAGAATGACGCCTTCAAAAACAAGCGTGATGAAACAAATGCTAAGGGAAGAATAAATGATCATTAAAAAATAAACTTCTTTTATTTTCTTTCAGATACAGCTGCCCGTCTTTCATATCAGAAAAATGCTGGATTTCAAGAATATACCATTCCTATTACTGTAAAAGACAGGGCCGGCCAAGCTGCAACAAAATTATTGAGAGTTAATCTGTGTGAATGTACTCATCCAACTCAGTGTCGTGCGACTTCAAGGAGTACAGGAGTAATACTTGGAAAATGGGCAATCCTTGCAATATTACTGGGTATAGCACTGCTCTTTTGTAAGTATTTTCACTTTCTTGAAGTTAAAATATATAATAAAAAATCTAGGTGTGGGAAAAGATGTTTAAAAAATAATCTCGTCCAAGCATCCATCAGATGTGAGTCTCTTTCCAAGTTCCTTTTGTATTATTACCTGAGTTGTGTTTGAATATTTTCTGTGACGGGAACATGATCCTTCTTGAGATAAAAGACTTTATGCTTAGACAGAATTGTTGAAAATTCCTTAGATTTCACAGAATCTGACAAACAAATAGTCTTTATTTCTTGGTTCCAGTGCTATTCCTTTTAGGGCTAAATAGAACAATCTAAAATTTCTGCCTTAGGAAACTCCACCAAAAGCCACTTTCATTCCATATCTTCTTACCGTCCAGCCACAGAGTTACGGGAGATGTTCTGTTCTCAGCAATGTCTCTTCTTGGGTATATCTTGCCAATTTTAAATTCTGTTAACCTCCTCCAGCCTAGATTAGCTTTGTTTTGTGATAAGAGTAGAAGTTAAGAGCAAAGAACTCAGGAATCAGACTGCCTGGGTTTGTACCCCAACTTCATTGCTTGTAAGCCATGTGACCTGGGGCAAATTACTTAACTGTGCTTCATTTCCTCACTGTAAAAGGAATAACTGTAGTAGCCTACCATATGGTGTAGCACTGAGGATTAAATGAGGTAATGCATGTGAAGTGCTTAGAACAGTACGTAGTAAATTTCTAATGTGTTCATTATTTTTCATCAAGTCAAAAAATAAACATATATCAAACACCTACTGTAGGCAGGAAACTGTTCTAGGTGCTTAGGAAAAATAGGGAAAGACAAACAAACAAACAAGCAAAAACAATCATTCTGCCTTGTGACAGTTAATGAATAAATTAAATGCTATGGAGGAAAAAAAAGAGAGGCAAATAATTAGGATCTGTAGTGCTGTGGAGTGTGTTGGTGAGGAGGGTATTGGTGCCAGTGATTGCAATTTTCAATAGAGAGTTAGGTCTGAGAAGATTATTTTTAATGATTTTTGGAAGAGGTGAAAGAGCCAGGCGGAACGCCTGGGGGAAGAACTTTCAGTCAGAGAGGGAAGTCAATGGAATGGCCCTAATTTGTGATTATGTCTGGAGAAACCAAGGAGTGGCAGGGAAACCAGTGTGGTGAGAGTGGACAAGGGGAAGAGGATTAGGAAATGGAGCCAGAAAGGTAGTGTGGGGCCATGTAGGGTAGGCAAGAGTTGGCACACTTTTTCTGTAAAGGATTAGATAGTATATATGTCAAGCTTTGCAGGCCATGTGTTTTCCATTGTATCCAATCAAATCTGTCCTTCAAACAGTAACACTGCTATAAAAATATGTGAATTATGGGCTTTACTGTGTTCCAATAGAACATTATATATGGACTGTAAAATTTGAATTTCATGTAATTTTCTTTTTTTTTTCTTTCTTTCTTTTTTTTTTTTTTTGAGGCAGAGTTTTGCTCTTGTTGCCCAGGCTGGAGGGCAATGGCAAGATCTTGGCTCACTGCAACCTCTGCCTCCCAGATTCAAGTGATTCTCCTGCCTCAGCCTCCTGAGTAGCTGGGATTACAGGCATGTGCCACTGTGCCCGGCTAATTTTGTATTTTTAGTAGAGACGGGGTTTCTCCATGTTGGTCAGTCTTGTCTCGAACTCCTGATCTCAGGTGATCCACCCGCCTCAGCCTCCCAAAGTGCTGGGATTACAGGCGTGAGCCACTGCACCCGGCTGTAATTTTCACATTATAAACTCTTATTCTTCTGAATTTTTTCAACCATTTTAAAATACAAAGTCTTAGCTCATAGGCCATACAAAAATATGTAGTGCTCTGGGTTTGGGGATTTTGCCAATGCACTATAGGGTCTTTTAGACTGGAAGAATTGTTGTTGTTCTTCTTAGTTTAATTATCATGTATTTTCAATCTCCCACAATTATGATTTAGAATAAGAATTCTTAATAGGCAAGATACAAAGTAGTTTCAATAAAGATAAATCTTTTCTAGGAAAGCAGTCTGTTTTTCTCATGTTTTTATGTACACAATTCTTTTTTTACATTTCATGTAGGAAAATTATTTTTAGGGGAATCAGTAAATTTTTTCAAAGTCTTTGTCTTAAATGTCAGTGATTTTTTTTCTTTATGTACTGCTTAACTCATAATTCTAAGTACTTTATTTTGATGGGCAGAATTCAATTAGTGAGATATAATGAAAAAATACAGATGATTGCTTCTGATTCTAAAACCTAAGCTATCTGGTGACATGTTAACTTAGAACAGCCAAGATAATTCATGGGAAACCATGCTTAGTGGATTTATTTTCCACTTTGATCCTTAGGTCGTAAGAAATAAATGATGATTATTTTATTCTATGTATGCTAAAGTAAGTTATTTTATTTTTATTTTTAAATTCAGCTGTATTGCTAACTTTAGTATGTGGAGTTTTTGGTGCAACTAAAGGGAAACGTTTTCCTGAAGATTTAGCACAGCAAAACTTAATTATATCAAACACAGAAGCACCTGGAGACGATAGAGTGGTAAGTAATTTTTAAATAAATATGTATTTGTATCTCCGATAATTTAATTCATCCTCATAAACTCATTTCAAAATTTAGGAGTTAATTTATATTTTTAATTGAATCAGATTTCATAGGCATAGATATTGTCTGTCAATATTCATATGTTTATATAGTGGTAATTTATTAAACTTCTTAATCCAGATGTATTATTTTAGTTATCTTTTTTCCACTCTAGTGTCATAGTTTAAACTTGTTCTTTGATGTTGAGTATTTATTATAACAATAGTTTTTTTTGCCTGCACTCTACAATGTATATTTCCAGATATAATTTGTTTATGTAACTTGTTGACCATTTATAATGGGGAAAAAAGCTTGCTAAAAGTTCTCAAGATAGCTAGGAAAATATCAATGAGATATATCTAAAAGAAAGGGAGAGGGGTTTGGAAGATTACTGCCACTCTCTTTCCTTATATATTTCTTAGGACTTCTGAGGTGCTTTTATGCTTCTTGTTTTGTGTAAAGTATATATATATATATATATATATACACACACACAAAGTATATATAAACACAAAGTATATATATACACACACATATACACAAAGTATATATATATACACACAAAGTATATATATATGTACACAAAATATATATATATACACAAAAGTACTTACAAGGCATGTTCTTACCTCAAAAAGATGCCAACTTATTTATGAGAAATAGATCCTACTTTATGGAAAAGCAAAATAGGAACATGACAATAAACCAATATGATAAAGCACTGTCAGAGTTCAAAAACACCTATGATACCTAAATGTACTCATGTAGTTTGGATCAACCAGAAAGGCTGGTGACAAGAGGTACAGCTTACTTGGTAACTTAAAGAATAAGAAGGGTTTGAAAGTGAAGAGACGGTGAGAATAGCTAAAGAAGAGGAAAACAGCATAGCCTACAAGACAGGAGATGATAAAGTTTAGGGGCTATTTAGCAAATAATAAATAAATTGATTTAGAATAGAAGAAATCATGTGTTGGAAAAGAGGCTTGAAACAAGTTCGGTGTTAGAGAAGAGAATATTAAGAAACAAGTGGGAGATAGGACTTCTAAATGCTGCACTAAGGATTTCGGATTTATTCTCATGGTAAAGGAGAGCCAGCCAAGGCTTTTCTACAGGAGAGAGGTATAATCAAGCAGCGTGAAGCTGAGTCAGTAGGGGGATCAGTGAGAATAGGAAGACATCAGGGTTGGGGAAGATGAAAGCTTAGTTTAAGCATGAGTTAATTCTACCAGGATGATGGTAATTGTTATATTAAGATAGGGATGAATAAGAAATATTTCAAAGGTATAAAGGATAAGCTTGTTGACTGACTGAACTTAAGGAACAAAGTAAAAAGCAGAGTCAAAGTGGCAGAGGCTATAGCCAGGGACAACGACTACATATCCAGCCTTTTCTATGTCTCGGGGTGAAGATGCCTTTCTTATTCACTATTTCTCTCTTCAACTCCTCCACACCACCATGCAAAATCATAGCCCATCTATGCTTGACGTGCCTACATGTAGAAACCTGTGATGATCTCTCCAGCGAGAAAGCAGGTTTAATCCCTTGACAGTCCTTGACTCATAGTAAGTTCTTATTTTATTTTTAAGACCGGCATGGATGACTTTTACTTAATATCTGTTCTTTGCCATTTAATGCTAGAGCTGATGATATTGAGTGGCCATTTCACAATATGTACCTGTTCTGTGTTAGGAACACTTCTAAAAGGGGCTTGGAATTATTAATTTATACAAAAACATAAAATTTCATCTTGAATCTATAAACTTGCTTTAATACAATGAGTAAAAGTGATCATTTTAGCTTTGGATCTGAATTTCACTTGAAGGCATGCACATGGGATTAGGAGTTGGGTGAATAATCAGGACTGGAAAAGTAAACCTAGAAATTATTGACATGGATAAAGAGTTGTTGATACCCTGTGAGAAGGAACTTTGGGAAATGTGGATGGAGGAGGACAGAAAGGAGCAGAGAATAAAAGTATGAAAGCTAGCCCTGTAGGCTCAGCATTGCTTTTAGTTTATTTTAAATTCCTCTTTTATTCACTTAGAAATATGATCTTTGAACTTGTGTTTATTACAACGAAATTATACCATCAAGAAGATTTAATAATTAGGAGGGTTTTTTTTTTTCCTTTTTTGTAATTGAATTTTATTGTAATGGCAACTTAAATAAAAAAATGTAGGGTAGCACTGCCACCAAATGGCTACTTTTCAATTCTTTTTTTCTGGTATTTTTTTCTAAGGCAATGCGACAGTAAGTATGACTTTTGTAGATATATTTCAGGTTCAATAAATCATCTGTATTTGAAAAATCTTTCAATTTAGTTAAAGACTGCATTTTAAGTAGAAAAAAATTTAAATTGATAGGAAGGTGGCACAAAGGAACCTGAATGTAATGGAGGTTCTTGTCCTGAAAGTAATGTAACTGTTTGTAATGAAAACTGACATGTCGAGGTTACCACTGTAACTAAACTTCTGTCCTATGGCTCAGAGGGTCGGAGTGAAGTTCCAGTATTAAGTTAATGTTTAATGAAGACTTTTTCATTTTAAAGCATTTCCTTGACTCTTTGTCATCCTCTAGTTCCCTCCACATCTCTCTTTTTCTTTCAAACTGAACTTTAGGAAAGAAAAAATTATATTTGATTTCTCTATAATACTCCTTCCTGCTTACCCAGCACTCCCTGGAAATTCTTTTGGCAAAGCTCATCAATGGCTATTCTTTCACTTAAATCCAATGGGCGCTTATACTTTAATTGAACCCATTCTTACCTTGCTGTGATTTTTCTGTTGTTGTTGTTAACATCATTGGCTGCTCCCACTCCTTACCATATTCTCTCTTCATGGCTTCAGGGTCCTGCCACTTTGGTTTTCTCTGTTATCTCAGTGGCTATTCAGATCTGGCCTGTCACAGCTGTGTTTCTCTTACCCTCCCCTTAAAATGTGATTTTTCTTGTGGTTCTATCCTTAGCCCTTTTTTATTTTGGTTGACAATTTTCTCTGGATAGGTCCTCTATTCCCATGGCCTCAACTATCACCTATTTGGGAGTGTCTCCCAGAATTATATCTCCAGCTCAAATCTCTCATCTGAGTTCCAAATCCGCATATTCATATATTCATCTTGGACATCCCACATGTTTCTAATGTTTACCATGTTCAAACTTTAGTTGCTCACTCTCCTCTTGCCCATAAGCACATCTTTCCTCCCTGTTTCAGTGAGTTGTACCATCTACCTGTTTGCCTTCATGGAACACAAAAGAATAATTTCTAACTCTGTCCTTGATTGCCTCATCCATCTAGATACTTGTAGGCTCTCTGTGGAGTCCATCTACTTCTTTCAGTCATCACTGCTTCCTCCTTGGCTTAGGTCCTTATCATTTTTACCTGGAATATCAGATCAGATCAGATGCAGTGACCCCCATCTGATCTCCATGAACTTAAATTTGTCTTCTTATTTGTCTTCCACATTATTGCCTAGAATGATATTTTTGAAATGTGTTTCTCTCTGTAATGAGTTAAAATTCTTCACAGTCCCTGTGATCTTCATAATAAAGTCTATTTTTTTAGCATAGCATATAGATCTTTATATCTTATGGCCTTTTATAACCTTTCTAACTCCCCCCAACCCTAATCTTATGTGGTAGCTGTTCTCAACTGATTGAAGTTGGGGACCCCTGAAGGACATTGTTTGCCTTTTGCCTCCAGACCCTTCTACAGTGGTTGCCTTGTTTGTCCCACTCCTACTAGTCCCTAGTCTCTTAGCTCAGAGTTTTTCCAGTTACCTGTTCTATTCCACCTACCCTGTTTGGATTTGAATTTTAATGCTCTACTTCTGTGCTCTTGTAACATTTTGTGCTCACCCACATAGTAGAGTAATCACATTCTCAAAGTATTTGTTTTTCTCTCTCCCTGGAATAAGATCTTCTTGGAGCCATCGAGAGACTATGTCTATCTTTATATCCCTAGGCTTTTGCATTTGCTATGGTGAAATTTGTCCCTAAAAGCTGATATGTTGGAAACTTAATCCCCAATGCAACAGTGTTGAGAGGTGAGACCTTTAGTAGGTGATTAGGTCATGAGGGCTCTGCTCTCATGAATGGATTACTGTCCTTATCATGAGAATGGGTTTATTATCATGAAAGCTTATTGTAAAAGCAAGTTCAGCCCCCTGTTGCTCCTCTCTCCCTCTCTCCCTCTCCCTCTCACTCGTGCTCTTTTGCCCTTCCACCTTCTGCCATGGGATGGGCCCTCGCCAAATGTGAACTCCTTGATCTTGGACTTCCCAGACTTCATAACTGTAAGAAATAAATCTCTGTTCTTTAAAAATTAACCAGTCTCAGGTATTCTGTTATAGCAGCACAAAATGAATGAAGACAGTATCTGGGCACATAATTAGAAACTGATAAATGTCTGTTGAATGAATGAATGAATGAATGAATAAAAGGTTGAACAAATATTCTCTCTCCTTTGCCTTCTCATGACAACTTAGAATCCATTTCCTCTCAACATGAATTATTTCATTTTATTATTTCAGTGCTCTGCCAATGGATTTATGACCCAAACTACCAACAACTCTAGCCAAGGTTTTTGTGGTACTATGGGATCAGGAATGAAAAATGGAGGGCAGGAAACCATTGAAATGATGAAAGGAGGAAACCAGACCTTGGAATCCTGCCGGGGGGCTGGGCATCATCATACCCTGGACTCCTGCAGGGGAGGACACACGGAGGTGGACAACTGCAGATACACTTACTCGGAGTGGCACAGTTTTACTCAACCCCGTCTCGGTGAAGTGAGTTTCCTTAGGTGTTTTGAGTCTAAAATTTAAACCTCCGAATGGAGAAAAATAGACAATTCAAATTAACATATATTTTCTGTATTTTTCTGTGGGCTCTCTCTTGCTTGCTCTGTTCATTTTCCCGTGCTCTTTGATTTTGTTACATTATTTAATTTAAAAGAGATTTTATTTCATTTTTCATATTTCATTTAATTTATAAAATCCCATAAATATAGGATGTTTTTAATATTCTTCACTAACGTCTCATTTTTAGTTGTGTATTTACCTCATGAACCCTTTTGATATAGAAGATCGTGAAAGTAATTCTAGTTCCTCACAATTACAAACTTTTCAAATGAAATCTGTATTTCTCTGTGAAAACACCAACATTTGTATGCAGTTTTAGGATAAAGATTAAATAGCATGATTTATATATATTTTTATCTTATTGCAAATTGACAAAATTTAATTGTATATGTTTATGGGGCACAAAGTGATATTATGATTTATGTCTGCAATGTAGAATGATTAAATCACACTTAACATATGCATCACCTCAAATACTTATTTTTTGTGGTGAGAACATTTGAAATGTACTTTCTTTGCAATTTTGAAATATAACATATACTATTATTAACTATAGTCACCATTGCAGGACATATTTTAAATATACAAAGCACCATGCGAATGTAAAGTGCTTTTATTTTAAGGAAAGCAAGAATATGAAAGAAAGAAGGAATTAAAATAAGGAATTCTCTGTTCATACCAAAATCACCTATGAAGCAGAAGCTTTTTTCTTTCTTTTCTTTTTTTTTTTTTTTTTTTTTTTTTTTTAAGGCAGGGTCTTGCTCTGTCGCTGAGGCTGGAGTTCAGTGGTGCAATCTCCACTCACTGCAGCCTTGACCTCCTGGGCTCAGGTGATCCTTCTATGTCAGCCTCCTGAGTAGCTTGGACTACAGGTATACACCACCACACCTGGATAAATTTTGTATTTTTTGTGGAGAAGGTGTTTTGCCATGTTGCCCAGGTTGGTCTCCAATTCCCAGGCTCAAGTGATCCACCCACCTTGGCCTCCCAAAGTGCCGGGATTATACGCATGAGCCACTTGGCTTGGCAAAATCCTCTATGAAGCTTTTAAAACATAACTAATGGCTGTGTTCTACTCTAAAAGATTCTAATTTAATGAATTTGGGGTTTTTTGTTTGTTTTGTTTTTGTTTTACATTTCCGAGATGATTCAAATGTGCAGCTAGGTAGAAAGCCACTGGATTAGACACTCTTCTGGACTAAATTTTTACCTCTTTTATCAGAGGATACCAGTGCCATTGCAGGACAAACAGTAGACCTTTAATCCTTGAATGGAATGCAAATGGGTGATACTCTGGTATAGGGCTGTAGGTTATGTATCCATAGCATTTTGGAGGGTCAAATTCAAGTGTTAATTCTTTTTCTACTTCTAGACAGTCAGTATTTATGTAATATCAGGTTGAGATGGAGTGAAGCTTAAGACATAGTCTTAGGAGGGTTCCTCAGTTGCACACCAGGTAATGGGAGGTAAGGCTAACAATGTCATGAAGAAAGAACGTAAGCCATGCCAATGAACTCCACATAGGCAAGGAGTGGGCACACAGGTGAGGAAAGGGAGGAGACATGGCAGTTGACGAGTTGGCAGACAGGCCAGTGGCAGAGAGGGTAGATGTGGCTGAATGCATGGCGTCTTCATTATAAAAGCCCAGTTTTTGCAATATGGGTCATGTTCATTCTTTTTAATTTCATTGAACTTTTCGATGCATGTATATATTTTGCCATGTTTGAGTATCTTGGAAACTTGCTTCTGAAGTTAATGTGGTAAATCCTACCTAGTTTATAACTGCATATAATAGTGATTCAAGTTAACATGTATTGTACCTTTAATATGTGCTGGGCATAATAAGTGTATTATGCGTCATTATTTTGTCATTAATTTCTAAAATAATCTTGTTAGGTGGTCACTGAGACTAAAGGATATTTGGTCACTTGCCCAAAGTCATATAGCTAGTTGGTAAAGCCAGAGCTTTGACTCACAACCAAGGCTGTTTGACATCCTATCTCAAACTCCTAACCAGTATGACTATTGTCTCTATTTTTTAGACTAGACTGACCTCTGTGTATAAAATTTAGGGATAAGCATTTAATGACAACTTGAATGTACTTAAATATAAAACTTGTATACATAATTTTTTATTTATATGGAGCACTAGAAATGTAAACTATACTGACTTTATGGTATGGTTGTGATATAGACCAATCATTTGCATTTTCTGTGTGTAGGAATCCATTAGAGGACACACTGGTTAAAAATTAAACATAAAAGGTAAATAAAAATAAATTTTATGTTCATATATTTAAGTTGTTTAAAACTATAATGCAATTCATTTTTTAAAAAATTTTACAGAAATTGCATCGATGTAATCAGAATGAAGACCGCATGCCATCCCAAGATTATGTCCTCACTTATAACTATGAGGGAAGAGGATCTCCAGCTGGTTCTGTGGGCTGCTGCAGTGAAAAGCAGGAAGAAGATGGCCTTGACTTTTTAAATAATTTGGAACCCAAATTTATTACATTAGCAGAAGCATGCACAAAGAGATAATGTCACAGTGCTACAATTAGGTCTTTGTCAGACATTCTGGAGGTTTCCAAAAATAATATTGTAAAGTTCAATTTCAACATGTATGTATATGATGATTTTTTTCTCAATTTTGAATTATGCTACTCACCAATTTATATTTTTAAAGCAAGTTGTTGCTTATCTTTTCCAAAAAGTGAAAAATGTTAAAACAGACAACTGGTAAATCTCAAACTCCAGCACTGGAATTAAGGTCTCTAAAGCATCTGCTCTTTTTTTTTTTTACGGATATTTTAGTAATAAATATGCTGGATAAATATTAGTCCAACAATAGCTAAGTTATGCTAATATCACATTATTATGTATTCACTTTAAGTGATAGTTTAAAAAATAAACAAGAAATATTGAGTATCACTATGTGAAGAAAGTTTTGGAAAAGAAACAATGAAGACTGAATTAAATTAAAAATGTTGCAGCTCATAAAGAATTGGGACTCACCCCTACTGCACTACCAAATTCATTTGACTTTGGAGGCAAAATGTGTTGAAGTGCCCTATGAAGTAGCAATTTTCTATAGGAATATAGTTGGAAATAAATGTGTGTGTGTATATTATTATTAATCAATGCAATATTTAAAATGAAATGAGAACAAAGAGGAAAATGGTAAAAACTTGAAATGAGGCTGGGGTATAGTTTGTCCTACAATAGAAAAAAGAGAGAGCTTCCTAGGCCTGGGCTCTTAAATGCTGCATTATAACTGAGTCTATGAGGAAATAGTTCCTGTCCAATTTGTGTAATTTGTTTAAAATTGTAAATAAATTAAACTTTTCTGGTTTCTGTGGGAAGGAAATAGGGAATCCAATGGAACAGTAGCTTTGCTTTGCAGTCTGTTTCAAGATTTCTGCATCCACAAGTTAGTAGCAAACTGGGGAATACTCGCTGCAGCTGGGGTTCCCTGCTTTTTGGTAGCAAGGGTCCAGAGATGAGGTGTTTTTTTCGGGGAGCTAATAACAAAAACATTTTAAAACTTACCTTTACTGAAGTTAAATCCTCTATTGCTGTTTCTATTCTCTCTTATAGTGACCAACATCTTTTTAATTTAGATCCAAATAACCATGTCCTCCTAGAGTTTAGAGGCTAGAGGGAGCTGAGGGGAGGATCTTACTGAAAGCACCCTGGGGAGATTGATTGTCCTTAAACCTAAGCCCCACAAACTTGACACCTGATCAGGTCTGGGAGCTACAAAATTTCATTTTTCTCCTCACTGCCCTTCTTCTGAGTGGCATTGGCCTGAATCAAGGAAAGCCAGGCCTTGTGGGCCCCCTTCTTTCGGCTTTCTGCTAAAGCAACACCTCCAGCAGAGATTCCCTTAAGTGACTCCAGGTTTTCCACCATCCTTCAGCGTGAATTAATTTTTAATCAGTTTGCTTTCTCCAGAGAAATTTTAAAATAATAGAAGAAATAGAAATTTTGAATGTATAAAAGAAAAAGATCAAGTTGTCATTTTAGAACAGAGGGAACTTTGGGAGAAAGCAGCCCAAGTAGGTTATTTGTACAGTCAGAGGGCAACAGGAAGATGCAGGCCTTCAAGGGCAAGGAGAGGCCACAAGGAATATGGGTGGGAGTAAAAGCAACATCGTCTGCTTCATACTTTTTCCTAGGCTTGGCACTGCCTTTTCCTTTCTCAGGCCAATGGCAACTGCCATTTGAGTCCGGTGAGGGATCAGCCAACCTCTTCTCTATGGCTCACCTTATTTGGAGTGAGAAATCAAGGAGACAGAGCTGACTGCATGATGAGTCTGAAGGCATTTGCAGGATGAGCCTGAACTGGTTGTGCAGAACAAACAAGGCATTCATGGGAATTGTTGTATTCCTTCTGCAGCCCTCCTTCTGGGCACTAAGAAGGTCTATGAATTAAATGCCTATCTAAAATTCTGATTTATTCCTACATTTTCTGTTTTCTAATTTGACCCTAAAATCTATGTGTTTTAGACTTAGACTTTTTATTGCCCCCCCCCCCCCCTTTTTTTTTTGAGACGGAGTCTCGCTCTGACGCACAGGCTGGAGTGCAGTGGCTCCGATCTCTGCTCACTGAAAGCTCCGCCTCCCGGGTTCACGCCATTCTCCTGCCTCAGCCTCCTGAGTAGCTGGGACTACAGGCGCCCACCACCACGCCCGGCTAATTTTTTGTATTTTTAATAGAGACGGGGTTTCACTGTGTTAGCCAGGATGGTCTCGATCTCCTGACCTCGTGATCCGCCTGCCTCGGCCTCCCAAAGTGCTGGGATTACAGGCATGACCCACCGCTCCCGGCCTTGTTTTCCGTTTAAAGTCGTCTTCTTTTAATGTAATCATTTTGAACATGTGTGAAAGTTGATCATACGAATTGGATCAATCTTGAAATACTCAACCAAAAGACAGTCGAGAAGCCAGGGGGAGAAAGAACTCAGGGCACAAAATATTGGTCTGAGAATGGAATTCTCTGTAAGCCTAGTTGCTGAAATTTCCTGCTGTATCCAGAAGCCAGTTTTATCTAACGGCTACTGAAACACCCACTGTGTTTTGCTCACTCCCTCACTCACCGATCAAAACCTGCTACCTCCCCAAGACTTTACTAGTGCCGATAAACTTTCTCAAAGAGCAACCAGTATCACTTCCCTGTTTATAAAACCTCTAACCATCTCTTTGTTCTTTGAACATGCTGAAAACCACCTGGTCTGCATGTATGCCCGAATTTGTAATTCTTTTCTCTCAAATGAAAATTTAATTTTAGGGATTCATTTCTATATTTTCACATATGTAGTATTATTATTTCCTTATATGTGTAAGGTGAAATTTATGGTATTTGAGTGTGCAAGAAAATATATTTTTAAAGCTTTCATTTTTCCCCCAGTGAATGATTTAGAATTTTTTATGTAAATATACAGAATGTTTTTTCTTACTTTTATAAGGAAGCAGCTGTCTAAAATGCAGTGGGGTTTGTTTTGCAATGTTTTAAACAGAGTTTTAGTATTGCTATTAAAAGAAGTTACTTTGCTTTTAAAGAAACTTGGCTGCTTAAAATAAGCAAAAATTGGATGCGTAAAGTAATATTTACAGATGTGGGGAGATGTAATAAAACAATATTAACTTGGTTTCTTGTTTTTGCTGTATTTAGAGATTAAATAATTCTAAGATGATCACTTTGCAAAATTATGCTTATGGCTGGCATGGAAATAGAAATAATTATGTCTTTGTTGTATTAATGGGGAATATTTTGGACAATGTTTCATTATCAAATTGTCGACATCATTAATATATATTGTAATGTTGGGAAGAGATCACTATTTTGAAGCACAGCTTTACAGATGAGTATCTATGATACATATGTATAATAAATTTTGATTGGGTATTAAAAGTATTAGAAGGTGGTTATAATTGCAGAGTATTCCATGAATAGTACACTGACACAGGGGTTTTACTTTGAGGACCAGTGTAGTCAAGGGAAAACATGAGTTAAAAAGAAAAGCAGGCGATATTGCAGTCTTGATTCTGCCACTTACAGGATAGATAACGCCTGAACTTTAATGACAAGATGATCCAACCATAAAGGTGCTCTGTGCTTCACAGTGAATCTTTTCCCCATGCAGGAGTGTGCTCCCCTACAAACGTTAAGACTGATCATTTCAAAAATCTATTAGCTATATCAAAAGCCTTACATTTTAATATAGGTTGAACCAAAATTTCAATTCCAGTAACTTCTATTGTAACCATTATTTTTGTGTATGTCTTCAAGAATGTTCATTGGATTTTTGTTTGTAATAGTAAAATACCGGATACATTTCACGTGTCCTTCAGTATTGATTTGGTTGAATATTGGGTCATAATGGTTGAGAAGCATGGACACTAGAGCCAGAATGCTTGGATATGAATCCTGGATCTGTCACTTACTTCTGTGTGACCTTTGAAAGGCTACTTATTTCCTCTCTTAGCTTTCTCATTAAAATCAATGAACAATGCCAGCCTCATGGGGTTGTTGAATGATTAAATGAGTTACTATACCTAAAGTACATAGAACACTGCCTGCACATAGTAAAAGAATTATAAGTGTGAGGTAGTTGGTAAAATTATGTAGTTGGATATACTACCGAACAATATCTCATCTCTTTTTAGGGAAATAAAGTTTGTGCATATATATAATCCCGAAACATGATTTCCAGACAATGGAATTGATAATTTATTCTTTCTGTGTTGATTTTTTCACAATGAACATTGATAACACTTATTTTATTTTAAGTTCCAGGATACACGTGCAGGATGTGCAGGTTTGTTACATAGGTAAACGTGTCCCATGGTGGTTTGCTGCACCTATCAACCTGATAACATTTTTAATTTAAGAAAAAGGTTAATACCAGCTTAGACAGTTTATTTTGGCTCTTATATTATTTAGAATTAGGCTTGGTTTCATGGGCAGAAAAATTAAATAGTATTCAGAACATGTTTACGGGCTTCTGTATTCGACAGTTTATTTTGATTGCAAAGGTTTGAATCTCAGAACCTTCTTTTCCCTTTACTTAAAAAATGGTAAAATTCATAAAACATGGCTATGAATGGTTAAAATTCATCATTTTCACCATTTTAAAGTGTATAATTCAGTGACTTTAGTACATTTAAAATGTTGTGAAACTGTTACCACTATCTAGTTCTGGAACATTTTCATCACCCCAAGAGGAAACCTTTTAAGCAGTCATTCTCCTCTTCCCCTCCCTGCATTATCCCCTGGCAACCACTGATATCTTTTCTGTCTCTATGGATTTGCCTACTCTGGACATTCATATAAATGAAATCGTACATATGTGGCCTTGTGTGTCTGGCTTCTTTCACTGAAATGAGGACTTTTCATGCATCCCTTTACTTGGGAATGAAATCCTAGAATATCTGAAAGGACTTGTTCAGGCTTTACTCAGAAACAAATATGATTATCAGTCTTCTATCAAATTCAAAATGAGTATTTTTAAAAGGAACATCAAATGAGATAAAGCAAAAATAGATCTGATAATAAGTATAACAGTATGTACAAATACTTGTTATCTGTGGAAGCATCATATCTTCTTGGCAAAAATTTACAGCTATAAAAATTGGCTAGCATAAATGGTCACAAAGAAAACTGACAATGCAAATACTATAAATGGTTTAATTTTATATAAGGGGCCAATTAATCAAATGATTCAATTTTTATTGTAAAATATAAGCAGAAAGTAATTCCTATTAAAATAATTTTAATGAAATAATTTTAAAAATTAGTTTAACTTTGCTTTGGAAAAATTAAAATTGTTTAATTTTATTTAAGCTGGAAAATACCTTCTGGATAAAAATTTATAAATCCAAGCATAATTCTACTATACTCAAAAGGGTAAAACCTTCTAAAAATTTGAAACGAGTTGAAAATCTGTTGTTGTTCAGATCTGAACTGTCTAAATGGATCCATGTTTCTGTCAAACTGCTCTATGCGTTAGTCAGCATGCTGTCTAAAATAGAATCCATTCTGGAGGGTAATGTCTGCTGAAAATAACATGCTACATTCCTGTGCCAGAACACGTTCTGCGTAACACCACTGAACATCTTTAGGGAGTCCTTGCCTAGACTTTTTATATTCATGATTGAGAGTGGCTTGCACTAAAATACTAGCCTCTGCTCTAAAATAAATTCACCAAAAAAGTAGCAGCATCAAATCTACTTAAAAATGATCACATTTGCCTCTATATAAGATGTTCTTTCTCCCAGACTGTGCTTTGTTGAGTTTCAAGAGACCCTCCCCAGGAGCTTCTGTCCCTGTCTGTTGGCTGCGCAACATTTTACCTTCCAGAGAACAGACAGACCACAGGATTTAGTATGGGCACCTGGGAAGATGGGGAAGAAATTAGTTTTTCTCCCCAAAAGCATGAGATTGTAATACACACAAACATTCTGTAACACTTTTTTTTCTTTTCTGGTGTTTGATTTGTTCTTATTGCCCAGCTCCCATCCCATTTAAGCAACTTTGCCTCTCAGTGCTTCTTAGCTACTATGTAAGTAAACCATAAAATTAACATGGAAACTCCTGGTCTGAAACTCCCAGGTGACCATGACTGGAGTAAGAGCTGCCTCAGTGACCACCTGTGCAAGTTTATGACCAAACACCAGATGGTCATACCCAGAACTCTTACTACCCCACAGGAGTAGGCAAAATTTACACTCAGCCTCAGAAACATTGGGGTGAAAAAATCCCAAAAGACTGAGATTTATCTCTACTACTTTGGTTCAGTTAGGACTCTAAATAGAAACTGACCAACAGAAAAATAAGAGAAGTTAATTTCTGGAACATAGGAGAAGTGAACTGAGATTCTTAGCCACTAGTCAAACAAAAAAAACAACTGGAAATTAATGAAAGAGAGGCAAGAAACATTTCCTTTTGAGATAAACTGGTTTGCACTTTTCGTTTTTTTTTTTTGGAGGGGGTGGGTTACGTAAGTTCCACGTGAGTCCTCCAGGTGTTCTGCCTTTGCCTCTGGGCACCAGTGTGCATGGCTCCTTTTCAAGTATCTACAAGAAAGTGGGGGACACACCCTTCAGTGACTCAGACCTCTCCCACGCCCATGAACAAACAGGAATAGACACTTGGGGCTGGACAGACTCATTGACAGTGCCAGGACTGTTACTAAAGACAACTTCAAAGAGAAAAGGATCTTCAGAAACCAATTTGAAGAAAGCTACAGCTGCTACTTAGCCGTTCAAGAATATTTCTCTGCCTCCCATGCACAATGCAACCATAGTGGGAGGAATATACGCACTATGAACACTATAAACCAGTGTTTTTTATTGGCTCAAACTAATAGATGCAATATGATTCCACAAGGGGTCTGAGTATTTTGCTACTGAATTCTCACATAATTTATATTGATTTTATTGTTTTATTTTCCGAATACCTTAAGGTAAATGTGCATTGTGCAATACAAATGTGTAATTTATTTTATTAAAAGATAGATTTTAGTTTTAACCTTAATAGATTAACTCCCTGTACATATGTAATCTGATTCTGCGTAAATTGCACTACCAGTTATAGAATTGTGCTGTGACATTAAAATTATGGCTCATAGACTTTTCAAGTTTCTATGACATAATGTGATGTGTCCAAGCTAAAGAAGAATTTCACAGAAATTTCTAATACATTGAGATCTCTGTTTTTTTCTTAATATGAATCATCCCAGACACGTTAAAGCAGATATATATTATTATATAAGTTTATTTGGGGAAATATAAAAAAAGGTCTTAAGCATATAAGGCATAGAAAGAGAAAACAAAAGTAGAGAAGAAAGAAGTGACATGAGTTTTCTCAGAATCATATTGGTTTAGTCACATTTTTTTCTGTTGTTCTACCTTAATGAAGTGGGATATCTGTGATCCACAAAGCGATGTCTCAGAGTAGTGTAACATGAATACCTTTCTCAGTCTAAACCTTGAAATGTACTCTTCAAAAGAAAGCCACTCACCTCAGCCTCTTGATCCAGAAAGATCATATATCATTTAGAAGGAATTCAATTTTATTTATGTATTAACTTAGACTACAAATCATATAATCAATCACAAATTCAGATGTAGAAAATATGCCTTTATTTTTTCATAACTTTTGTCTTTATCTTGACATCCTTCCCATTAAGGCAGGTGGCAAGAGTGAAACAAAAACACAATTTAATTAGGTTAAAATTAGGGTTCTCCTCATTCTTCTATCCATAGATTGTGTCTGAATTTCAAGGATTATATGCCCCTTCAATTAATTGGAAATCAAAGTGAAGGATTTCTGCTCTTACGATCTTCAGAAGAGGACTTCTCAAAAAATTTTTAAAAATACTATTTTATACTAGTACTTCAAAAAGTTGTAATTTTTGAATCTAACCAATCTTTCTCAACAGATTTTCTTGGTAATCCAATTAAACAAATTATGTCAGCTATCTGTCATAATTTCCTATCTCCAATCTATACATCAACATGCATACCAAACTAACAACAGAATCAGATTATTGTCTTGATAGACGAGGACAAGGCAACAAAAGAACAATGATCCAAAGATAAGGACAACACATAAACACACATGCACACACACGCGCACACACACGCACACATACGCACACACACAGAGACATGCATACATGCACACCCACGCACACACAGACATACACACACACAGACACACACACAGACACAAATGAGCACACAGATGCGCACACACACGCACACACCCACACACATGCACTTGCACACACAGACTCACACATGCACACACACACGCACACACACACAGACATGCACAGGCCCACATGCGCACACACACAGGCACACACACACGCAGACACATGCACACATGCACATATGCAAGCAGGCACACGCACACATGCAGACACATGCACACACACAGACAAAATATAAGCTTCAAGTTTGAATGCAAGTTATGTTCTAAACAGGTATAATAATTGTTTGGCTTACCATGAGAAAAATGTTTAACTTTCCAAGTGACCTGGGCAAGCTACTTAGTTTCTCTGTGTTTCAGTTTGTTCTCTAAAACAGGGCTCTTCATTTGATTGTTCAGTTATTCAGTCATTCAAACTTTCACAAATATTTCTTGGTGAACTACCACATGCCAAGCACACAGTTCTAGAGGCTAAAGATGTAGCAGTGAATAAAATAGTCAAAATCTGTGTTCTCTTGTCAATTGCATCCCAGAAACAGAAGGGAGACAGGTAATAAACAAATGTACAAATACATGTATAATACATCATGCAGCAATAAATAACACGAAGAAAAATAAAGCAGAGTGAGGGGCATAGAGAACGATGGCAGGTTTTTATTTTATTAAGAGTGGTCGAAGGACGCCCTTACGAAAAGGCAGTATTTGAGTAGAGACCTGAAGAAAGTGAAAGGAAGTGAGGTGGCAAGCCAGTGGGCATGCAGCAAAAATGGGCAGAGAACTTCTGGGGAAAGGAAACAGCTAACTCAAGGGCCCTCAGGTGCTATTTTGCTTGATATGTTCAATAAAGTGGATGCAGCTGAACTTGACTGAGAGCAAGGAAGAGTAACAGGAAATGAAGAGAAGGCAACAGTGGGAAGCCAGAGTCTGTAGGGTCATTGACTGTGATAGCAGATGGGAGGCCAGGCATGGTGGCTCACATCTATAATTCTAGTGCTTTGGAAGGCTGAGACAAGAGGATTGCTTGAGATCTGGAGCTCAAGACCAGTCTGGGCAACATAGTGAGACCTCATTTCTACAAAAAATTAAATAAATTAGCTAGTGTGGTGGCACATGCCTGTAGGCCCAGTTACTTGGGAGGCTGAGGCAGGAGGATCACTTGAGCCCAGCAGTTGGAGGCTGAGTGAGCTATGATTGTGTCACTGCACTCCAGCCGGGGTGACAGAGTGAGACCTTGTCTCAAAACAAGCAAACAAACAAACAAGCAAAATTTAAAAAGTAATAATGATATGGGATCTCACTTTGAATAAGATCTATTGGATGGTTTTGAGCAGAGCAGAGACATGAGCTATAATAGTGTCTGCACCATAGGTTAAATGTTTGTGCACATGTTTTCTTCTTTTTTTCCTTCTCTTCCTTTTCATCTTCTTTCTTTGCCTTCTCTTCTCTTTTTTAAAACATTCTTCTTTTTTTTTTTTTTTTTTTTGAGATGGAATCTCATTCTGTCGCCCAAACTGGAGTGAAGCGGTGTGATCTCGGCTCACTGCAACCTCCCTCTCCCAGGTTCACACAATTCTCCTGCCTCAGCATCCCAAGCAGGTGGGATTACAGGCTCACACCACCACACCCGGCTAATTTTTGTGTTTGTATTTTTAGTAGAGACGGGATTTCATCATGTTGACCAGGCTGGTCTCAAACTCCTAACCTCAAGTGATCCACCCGCCTCAGCCTCCCAAAGTGCTGAGATTACAGACGTGAGCCACCATGCCTATCCCATTCTTCAATTTATATGAAATGTTTCACAAAGTTTGCGTGTTATCCCTGTGCAGGGGTCACGCTAATCTCTGTGTCATTGATGTACAATTTTAGTATATGTGTTGCAGAAGCCAACACTCTTTATTTTCTTCCCCCTGTCATCTGCCTCCCCCACCTCCTCCTTCCTCCTTCTTTTATGTTATTTTTTCTTTTTTTTTTTTTTTGAGACGGAGTCTCGCTCTGTCGCCCAGGCCGGACTGCGGACTGCAGTGGCGCAATCTCGGCTCACTGCAAGCTCCGCCTCCCGGGTTCACGCCATTCTCCTGCCTCAGCCTCCCGAGTAGCTGGGACTACAGGCGCCCGCCACCGCGCCCGGCTAATTTTTTGTATTTTTAGTAGAGACGGGGTTTCACCGTGTTAGCCAGGATGGTTATGTTATTTTTTTCTGCTCCTTTGTTCTAACCCACAGTTAGAACTGAGTTTGCATCCTGGCTTTGCCACTTGCCAGATGCCTTATTTGCACGTCATAGTGGAGGCCCTATGTGAGTGACTCTGGAATATCCAGGGAATATATAAAAAGACATGAACCAGCAAATGTTTTTGAGAACTTAAGCTGCCAGGATCAACATTTGGCATCTTGTTCTTCTTCTAACAATGGGACTCTAACTTGCCTTCTAACATATCTTCACAGCAACGAGCCTGATCTGATTTCAGATCTGATGTTTTCCCTCCAGCCAGCTTACGTTACCTTTTAATGTTTTGTCTCCACCTCAAGTCAATGCACTCTTGTTACAATGCTTGGAAAACATTCCCTTCACACAGAGCCCACATATCCTTCCAAACCTTATGCCATCTTTTGGTCCCTCAGTCTAGGTTTTCTTTTGATCTTTGCACCAACGGTTCTACAATTTACATGGTGGTAAGAAAGGCAAAATATATAAATATTTAGATTCCGAGGAGCCTGTCAAACAAATACATGGAACAATCTTCCTTATGATTAAGCAGATTAAAACAAAGTTTTCTAGGTGATTAAATCTGGAAATTTCTGTAACTTTTATAATAAAAATCGTATCAATTGTGTTTACTGACATTCTCTATAAATAGAGGTAAGGTCACTTGTCAAATTGTTTTACTACGGAGTTAATTCTACCCCTGAGTTTATGTATGTGTCCAGGTAACATATTTTAGATACTTTTTGGAAGGTGTCAAACATGACTAATGTATGATATGGTAATTATTGATCCATTTAATCTATTGTTAATTACTTCAGCTGTACCTTAATTCATAGTTAATACATTGTTTTATTTTCTTTGCTTTTCCCTTCTTTATTTAAAACCAGATGCTTTATTTTAACACACCATAAAACTCAGTGCAATTCGGGTGTGGTGGGTAGATATTTATAAGTGTTTCTTCCTGCTGCTTTGACACGAATCAAATAAACGTACTCGACTGGGCGTGGTGGCTCACGTCTGTTATCCCAGCACTTTGGGAGGCAGAAGTGGGTGGATCACTTGAGGTCAGGAGTTTGAGACCAGCTTGTACAGCATGGTGAAACCCTATCTCTACTAAAAATACAAAAAAATTAGCTGGGCTTGGGGGCACATGCCTGTAGTCCCAGCTACCTGGGAGGCTGAGGCAGGAGAATGGCTTGAACCTGGGAGGTGTAAGTTGCAGTGAGCCGAGATTGCGCCATTGCACTCCAGCCTGGGCGACAGCAAGAATCCGTCTCAAAAAAATATTAAATAAATAAATAAATAAATAAGTAAATAAATAAATAAATGTACTTGATATAATTTCTATGATAAAATTTATTTATTTTCCATACCTTGTCAACATTACGTGAATTATGGCCTATTTTTTTTAAATTCTGTTAAAAATTCTGGAAAATTGATTAGGTTAAGATTTCAGGATAGAGACTGATCTAAGTGGCTTTTTGAAAAATACAGAATATTGTTAAGATGGCAATAAACCCTAGATTGATTTCAGATTCAACACAATTCCTATCAGAATCCTAACTGGTGTCTTTGCAGAATTTGACAAACTGATACTAAAACTGATAAGGAAACTCAAGGCCAATAGCCAAACCAAACGAAAAAGAAAACAAAGTTGGAAGATCACACTTTCTGATCGCAAAACTTACTATAATGCTTTTTTCACTTGTGGATATTAAAGTAACGTTAGGTGGTGGTAAAATTAGCCTATTACCTCTTCTCTCTCTTTTTTTTTTTTTTTACATCTCCTCACTACACAATTTTAGTCAATAGTATTGTCTTTCATAGTGTTTACCTCTGTACTTTTAAATATGCTGAGACTTCTGTTACTTGAATTGCCCTCTTTATATGATATATTAAATATTTTGAGTCTCAGCTACTATAGATAAGGGAATTGGGATGTGTATTTTATTTTCCTCCTATTTCCCTTTTTCACTTCAATTTTTTAAAACAGATTTGTAATTTTGCTTTAGCTCTTTGGGCACATTTAAGACAGTTGTTTTAAATTTTTTTGTCTGGTAAGTGTGATGTCTAGGCTTCCTCCCAGCCAGTTTATGTCAATTTATTTTGTTCCTTTGAATGAGCCATGTTTTCCTCTTCCTTATATACCTAGTGATTATTTTGTTGTTGTTGCAAATTGGCCATTTCATTATTATAATGCGGTAACTCTGAAAATCAGATTTTCCCCATTCTTCAAGACTTTCTATTTTTTTAATTGTTAAAAGCTTCAGTAATCCATCTGTTTTGAGACATTTTTAAACTATGCAGCAATTATTCTTGTTATATGTACTCATTGAAGCCTCTGTTCCTTCAGCTCATGTTCGGCAAATGCTTTGAAAGAGATTTCCTTGAATGCCAGGAGCTGAAACAGACAAATAAACAAAAACACCCCCTTGCCCACCCCGCCACCACACACACACACAAAAGACTGAAAAGAAAGAACAACTACCTCTCCCAGTCTACACAAATGTACTTCATGCAGGGGTAGCCATTCACCGGTTAGCTAGGCTTGCTTTGATCCTAGGTCTCACCTTGAGGTGAAAGCTTAAGGTCTTCTCAGGACATTTCTGAGCATGAGTCTTGGCTGGACATGCACTTGTGACTCTCTAAAGTCCCGTGTGTATGTAAGCAGTTACTATTCAATGTCCTAATTTCCCAGAGTCTTACCCCAGCTTCCTCTCTGGGCCTTAGATGGTCTATTATGTGTGATCTCCTATCCCAAGCATGTGTGGGTTTGTAGTTCCTTATAGCTTTTATGAGGACCTCTTTCTTTGCCTGTATTCCAAATTATGCCAGACAGAGACTAGCGCATCAGTTCTTCAAATAACCTCCAACCAGGTTAGAACAGATATGCCCAGTAATTTGCAAATAAGGTATGTTCTGCTCCCTTCAATTTGAGGATGAGGGGAACTAGAAACTGAGTTGCTTTTTCCAATACCAAGATTGCCACTGGGCCAGGGACGGAGTGGAGAAAGTAAAAACACCACAAAATGTCTCCTACCGTTTTGGAGATGTCTTCTTCTTGATTGGGTGTTTGCTTGGTTGCTACAAACCTTTGTTTTCAGAGTTCATTCAAAGTTGGTTTAGATCATTTCAGGGTGTTTTGTTGTTGTTTTTTAACGTTTCTTTGGAGGAAAAGCATTTGGAGCTTTTTAGTCTGCTATTCTGCTGACGTTGGATTCTACAGAATTCTTAACTTTCCAAATAATTCCATTTGTTTTCATGTTTGTATGCATCTTCTGGTATTTTATGTGTGAAAAGATGTGCTGGGAATAAAATAATTAAAGAATGCATTGTTTATTATCTAGAAGTTTAGCTTTATTCCCCAATGAGCCATGAGTAGAATGTTAAATCATAATGACTCAGGCTCAGTGATAACATTCGTCTGTAGAAATTATGTATAAAATACTTCCTGATTTTGGTAATATTTATGTACAACAGCTTACATCGCTGTGCTTGATTACCCTGTAGAGTTGGTAAATATACTTCAGATACTTTATATATAATATCACATATTTATTTCAAGTCATAAAATTATTTGCTTTCATTTACAAATATATATATCTGTTGACTTTTTAAAAAATATATTTGAAAATAGCTAGTAGTGTTGACTTCATGTTTTAAATCCTTTTTTATGTTTTTAACGAATTCTTGTATTTTTTCTTTTAGAAGAAATGACACTCTTTTTCTGAGAAACTATAATGTGTGGACATAGGAACTGTCTTTGTGAAGGTAATTTTCAAAATCATGTTGACTTAATCAACCCAATTAATGTTGTAATTATGAAATATCCTCACAAGTAGGCTTTAAGGTTGGTTTTGCTTCCAATTACATTTTCAATTAACTAAGAAGTGCTTTATGGATAAAAATTTGTCCAAATAAGACCTTTGAGAATAAAGGGGTGATTTTGGAGAATGTCAACCAAGCACTTTCAAAGGATTATTTTAATAATGACACAAGGGTAAACAGAGAGAGGTGAGCTGCTCTGTGGTGTTGACTGCCCGTAGGAGTGTGTTAGAATGTCAATGCCCAACCAAGTCAATAACCACTTAATATCATGATAAATCTTTCTGCATGTATCTTTTATAAAAAACAGGAACATAAAAAGGTATAACGAGATAATCATAATGTTCCTGTTTTTTAAAAGGTATAATGAAATAATCATTATGTTTCTGTTTTATAAAAAAGATATTATTATAATAAAAATGATATATGCTTATTATTAAAAATATAAACATTGAAAACAAGTATAAATAACAAAACACATATCATCCCCAGTTTCCACCAATCTGAACTATCCCAGCTGGGGATCCTTTCGTTCTTAAGGTAGCGAAGTTTCATCCTCCACTCAGCCTAGTGCACTGAAAGACAAAAAGCTGTGTGTGATCTTCCTACCTAAGCTGAGGTCTCAAGGTGAACCTTGAAAACTTCTGCTCCCAGCAGTTTCCTAGTCTCGGTGGTTTTATCTTTGTAATTTTCCTCACAGCAGCTGTCAGCTTATCTCAGAATTGAAGGCTGTTGGTAGGAATATTCAGGATTTAAAAAATAATTTCTATTCTTTTCTCAGTACTCTCTCTTCGAGGTGGGATGGAGGTCAGAAGCTGTGCTACATATAAAATCACAAGACTTTTGTTTATTTATTTTGGTGTTTGTTTTTCTTTTCGAAGTTTGGGGGGTGCATATGACTAAGCTTCATTTCTTGTTTGATTGCAACTGGTAAATTTATTTTAACTGGTTTTATTCTACATTATGATGAATTCAGCTTGAGATAAAACCATTTTAGATTTATCTAGATGCATACGTATTAGGCTGTTATACTCCAGCTTTGTGTATCAACATCAAAAATCTGGGTGGTAAAAGTAAAAGCTAATCTCTTACCTCTTACCTTAACCACATACATTTTATTGATATCATGTCAAGAATCCATATGTTTTCAATACTAGACATTAAGAATTATCTGTCTTCATTTCATGAAAACAATGGTAGTGTTAAAAAATATTACCCCAGTCAATTTTTAAAATATATCAAGGATGAGTTATATACTTATTTAGCACCTACTTAGTCTTTTTATTTCTTTTTCTTCTTACTTACTATCTCCTTAATTTATATACAGATGTTCTAGCTGGAGAAAATAATGACAAAAATCTTTTTTTATTGTCTTTTTTTAAATTATTATACTTTAAGTTCTAGGGTACATGTGCACAACATGCGGGTTTGTTACATATGTATACATGTGCCATGTTGGTGTGCTGCACCCATTAACTCGTCATTTACATTAGGTATATCTCCTAATGCTATCCCTCCCCCACCAACCCCACGACAGGCCCCAGTGTGTGATGTTCCCCTTCCTGTGTCCATGTGTTCTCATTGTTCAATTCCCACCTATGAGTGAGAACATGTGGTGTTTGGTTTTTTATCCTTGTGATAGTTTGCTGAGAATGATGGTTTCCCGCTTCATCCACGTTCCTACAAATGACATGAACTCATCCTTTTTTATGGTTGCATAGTATTCCATGGTGTATATGTGCCACATTTTCTTAATCCAGTCTATCATTGATAGACATTTGGGTTGGTTCCAAGAATAATGACAAAAATCTTAATGTTACAACAACATTTCTATATAATAAATATTTTCTTCCAAAATTAATTGCAAATTTAGACAGGATTTGTTTCCATTAGAGAATACCAAGGAAAATATTTTAAAAACATTAATATAAATAATTGTAAATATTTTAAAACTGTACTTAAGAGTTTTTTGTGTAAGGCAGGAGTTTTCTTTTCTATGAAAGTATGGATTTTTAATTTCTGTGTGAGAATAGTGAAGAGGAAAAGGATGTCTAGACATTCTTTCCATATTAATGAGTAGTGAATCATAATATGATTTGGATTTTTTTTTTTTGATGGCAAGGATGTGGCCAAGATCTTCAGAAAAAAAAAAGCACCATACCTGAAGGCAAGGGAAATGGTAGACAAAGATCCTAAAAAATGACTCTGTAAACCAAAACTGTAGTCAAAAGCTCATTAAATAACCTAATACAGATAGAAATCAAAATAAACTAGGCAAAATTCCTACCTAGAAAGAAAAAAGTCTATGTCAGAATTTGGAGAAAGTAAAGAAAAACCAGAGCTCTAGAAGCAAAAGCATTCAAGCGAACAGCATTCAACTAAGGATTTAGATTATTTTAGAACATGGTGGAATTTACTGGAGAAAAGGAAGGTTTTACTGAGACACCACAGAAAAATTTTTTATCAAGACAGGCAAAAAGACAAAAATATGAGAAAATGAAAGGTAAATACCAACTATAATTTAAAATAGGGTGATTATCTGGAAACTTGAAACAATAATTGTTGTGCTCATGTGTTGATGTGGTTGTCTACTTGAACCAGCAAACAAGGTGAGGAGGAACAGGTGCAGCTATCATAAAATCAAAGTATGGAAAAAGTATGGAATCTAGTGGCAAGACCTTATTCAGTGTGAATAAGAAAAGGAAGCAAATTAATCTAGTTGACAAATCAGATGAGGATGCTGCATCCTATTTGTGATACTGATTGCAAATTCTTCTTCAATTTGTGTCTCAGTTGCTGAAGGACAAGATATGTATTTCTATATTGGACCAGTTACCTCTTCTCTAGGTCATATTGATTTTCTCTTCTTCTTGTAAGTTTGCTGAAGGCAAAAGTAACAATTTCAACCACCTGTAATTTAAACAAAATGTGACATTTAAAAAAACTCAACCTAAAGTTAGCAGGAATGGATCTCTGTGTGTCATCACAGTCCCATTTTATACTCCTCCGTCTTGCTATTTGCTATATGGAAATTAATGATCCAGCATCTTCTCTAGGAATGCAACTAGAAAAAGGAGGTGAGGAACTGGTACAGTGGCAGTGAAGGGACACGTGCCCACACAGTTCTTCTTCTGATCATGCCAAGAGTTACTTTGAGTCAAATTCGAAGGCCTGAAAAACTATTACTCAAATTGACCCAGCACTGAAAACATCAATTCCCTGTTCCTTCTCATGTACCTTCCTGCAGTTTATAAGCCAGAAACGTAATAGCTAAATTTCTCAGCCTCATTCGCATTTAGGATTTTGGCCACAATTTTGATTCCATCCATCAGGTGCTTTTGTACATACCCTAGAAGGCAGAAGTGAGGCAGAGGCCTGGTTTGTGTTTCTCATATGCTTTGATTCTGGAAAGAACTATTTTGGAGGTGCCTTATTTTTCTGCAATTGCTTCCTGCTAATTGATGTTTCTTGGTTGTGGCTTTGTCCTGATGGGGGTAGTTTTGTAAGTGTAGTAGTGGTGGTTTACTCCTGGAGCCAGTTGATGTAGAACTAGCTCCCATGGTGACATTGTTCTGCAGTGTGGCTCAATGTTACTTCCTACATATTCAACTTGGAATGTGTTTTCTCAGGCTTCTCAACAAGTCTGTAAACAATTAATACTCTTAATTAATATTTTTGCTAGAACTACTTGAGGTATAGTCTGTTCTCCTTGAACCCTGACCCATACTGTCTCCTATTCATTGGTGAGTCCAAATATCTAATACTGGTCCAAACAGTGCAGTTAAATATTGATGGTATTAAATATTGGCTAAAATATTCATAGCACTGAAAAGCTGGCTGCTGAAATGTGTGCATTAGCAGGTATTACTAGTATGCATGGCTAGCAGCGAGATAATAAGTGTCCATTGCTAAACCATTTCCCAGCTATTGCTTTGGATTGAGACACAGGACAATTTCTCAGGTTTCAAAGACATGGTTGAATTGTCATTCCAGTTCAAATGCTACATTGCAAGCTCTCTTGTGTGTATGAATGTATGCAGTAGGCAGTTAAAACAGGCATTTAGGATGATTACAAGTCTCATCAAGAAACCTATTCCTTTTGCGACAGGAAGACCTCTAAGATGGTCCTCAGTGATCCCAATATCCTAGTATTCATACTCTTATATAATCTCTCTTTGAACGCAGGCTGGAGATTGGGACTCTGTTCTAACCAACAGAGCATGACAAAGTTAAGGAGGTGTGACTTCTGTAATTTGGTTACAAAATATTGCAATTTCCATGTTGTTTGTTGACTCTACTGCTTTTTCAGCTTCTACTATTTGATGAAGCAAGTTTTCATGTTGAGGATGCCCATACAGCAAAAATCTGAGGGCCTCCTCCAGCCAACAAGTTAGAGAGGAACTGAGGCCCTACCCCAAGAACCCATGAATAACTGAGTCCTACCCACAACCATGCAAGCTTGGGAGCAGGTCCTTACCTGGTTGAGCCTTGCAATGATTAGGGGCCACTGGCACCATTATTATAGCCTGTGAGAGACCCTGAAATAGAACAGATTTCTAACTGAAAGGAACTGAGAGATAATAAATATGTCTTCTTTTAAGCCACTAAGTTTTGCCATAATTTGTTGCTCAGTAATAGATACTTGTTGCTTAGTTTTATTTAGCTGTACTAAATTGGTAGTTTGTTCATTGAAAAAGCACCTGATGTCTCTGCTGGCAAGCAGGGAGTGTAATAGCTTCCAACTCTCTTAGTTTAGAACTGCAAAGATTAAAAATATTTGAAACAAGATGGAGAGACTTCTGTCATTTTAGCGAAGCATTTGAAAATTGGAAGCTCTATTGGTCAAGGATTGGTTAAGAATATTCACTTTGAAAAAGACCGTTCTCTTTCTCTCTCATTTCCACTGGTCTCTCAGGCCAACTATCTCAAAATTGTCAATGGTATGTTAGCATTATTTTTATCATTATTTTCTGAAACATCTTTTCTGCTTTCACATGATAGCTATGCTTACATTTCCCCAGCTGCTTTTTGAACTTCCTTCCAAGTGAACAAGCTATGAAAACTCTACTTTTCTACCCCGCCCCCCACTTTCTGTCTCCCCCTCTCTCTGACTCTTGCACTCTGTCCCCATTTCTCCCATTTCTGGCTGCAAGGAAAGACGATATCTTAGTCTTTGAAGGGAGAGTCACTCTAAGCCAGGATAAAAGCATCCGTAGTAGGCCAGCATCATTTTGAGCGGGACCATTGTCAGACTCAAGAGCTGACCTCAGGCGTTTGGGGTTTATGAGGAGAGACTTCCAGGTACCAGCTGTGCATAGTGTCAGCATAGGGAGGTCATGTAATTATATCCAGAGTCCCCAACTGTCTGCTGTCTAGTTCCCATTTAAGAGGAAATGTCACACTGCTTGCCCCAAAAGTACTTGCACTCCAGTTCCAACATGTGAGTGGGAGGTACAAATGTCTTAAGTTTTCATGACAGTTTTTCGTTATCTTATGAAGATTTCTGCTCCATAATGGTCGCAACATCTGAATCTCTTAGAAGATTCCTGGACTCCTGGTGAAGTGGGTATGGGATTGAAAATGGACTCTCATCTGTATTTTTGGGGTTGAACTGGGTAGTTTAACATCCTTAGCCTAGGGGAAAGGGAAAGTAGATACCACTGGAAGACAACCAAGCCTGAATTCCATGATGAAATATAACATAGTTAACACAATTCACTGGAAAGAAATACATATCCCAAAGTGTTCTCATTGAAATAGTCCCAATGGCCTGCTAAGGAATGATGATATCAGTGTTTCACTAACCTAGCCTTATGAGGTCAAGCTCCTTTCTGCACTGAGGCCTTTGTGTACGGTTTTTCTTCTACTTGGAATTCTTCCCATTCTCTTTAACGGTCTTTTATTCAAGCTAATTTGTATTAATTGTTGAAGAATCATCTTAACTTTATTGTCTTCCAAACCTTTAATACTGGGTTTTATTTTCCTGTGAGCAGTTACTCAAACTGTGTAACTGGAGAAAATTCACCACCGTTTCCTTCAATACCATCACCATCACTACCCATCGCTCACTTCCAGGTGTGTTGCTTGGTTAGAAGACTAAGTGGAAGAATAAAAGACTTACTCTGACTCCCTTTTATGTAAGAAAAAAATAAAAAATTCCTTGTTCATAAACCTAACCTTATATGCAAAGGGAAGACCTCCCATTAATTTTAATTTCAGAATGTCTGCTGTGTCTTTATGTAGCTAAGAGAGTCGTCAAAGGGTGTATGGCTCTGTAATGTACCCAATTTATTATTTGTTTTATATATATCAGGAAGCCTTGGAACATAGGCTTATAAAAAAGAAAAGGTGGTCAGGCATGGTGGCTCACACCTGTAATCCCAACACTTTGGGAGGCTGAGGCAGGAGAATCCCTTGAGGCCAAGGGTTTGAGACTAGCCTGGCAACATAGCAGGTCCCTGTTTCTACAAAAAAAAAAAATAATAATAATAAATAAAAAACCAGTTGGGCGTGGTTGTGAGCACCTCAGCTACTCAGGAGGCTGAGGTGGGAGGATCGTTTGACCCCAGAAGGTAGAAGCTGCAGTGAGCTACGATCGTGCCACTGCATTCCAGCCTGGGCACAGAGCAAGACCCTGTCTAAAAAAATAAAGAAAAAGAGGCCAGGCTCGGTGGCTCATGCCTGTAATCCCAGCACTTTGGGAGGCTGAGGTGGGCAGATCACGAGGTCAGGAGTTCGAGACCACCCTTGCCAACATGGTGAAACCCCATCTCTACTAAAAATACAAAACATTAGCTGGGTGTGGTGGTAGGCACCTGTAATCTCAGCTACTCAGGAGGCTGAGGCAGGAGATCGTTTGAACCTGGGAGGCGGAGGTTGCAGTGAGCCGAGATCGCGCCATTGCACTCCAGCCTGGGCGACAGGGCAAGACTTCGTCTCAAAAAGAAAAAAAGAAAAAGGAAAAGTAACAAACGGAAACCACCACTATTCTTTGGGAGACGAAGGATGCTGCCTCTATGAGCAATGGAAGGGGTTGTTTTAGGAAAATATGTCTTTTTCTTATTGTCAATTTAAGCTTTATGCCCTTGAAAATAATGTGTGTGTGTGTGTGTGTGTGTGTGTGTGTGTGTGTGTGTGGTTTATGTATGTGTGATGCATCTGCTTGTTGGGTTCAATAGTTACCAGCTGGATGAATAACTAGGAAGAAGGAAGCATCTTTGAATACCTCCCAGGGGGACAGTCTCGACTGCTATGGGAAGATTTGAAAAGTCAGGAGTTTTCTTAGAGAAACGTGGATCCAAGGACAGGGAGGAACTGCTAGGAATTGAGGTGCATCCAGAGGTGTCTGCTCTGAAGAATGTAACTCTTGGCAACGTTTTTTTATTACTATGGTAATGATCATGGTTAACATGCAGTTTTCTCCTCTAGGTTGTAACTCCTTTTTCTTTATCCCCCAAACACTTAGTACTATCTTACGTGCCCTTGTGGTCTTTTGGTTTGGAATCTTGAGACACAAAGGAGGAAGGCAGTAAAGTGCATTCTCCCACATTTACTGAGTTCTTCGTGGGGCAGCAACACCGTATTGGGTGGTGGTGGGTGATTTATGCAGTGACCAGCAGGGAATAGACTTGGAGAAGCAGCTGCTGGTGCAGAAGTGGGTAGACATGTGAAAGCTTCTCTTCCCTAGTATGTTAAAGGAGGGTGGTATCTGAATGAATAGAGATGATTCTCATACTCCAATGAAGTATTTCTGCATATAATTATGTGTTTACCATTTATTTTTTCCCATAGATGCCCCATGAAGCAGAAGTTAAATGAAACTTGTTTATCATTTATTTCTACTTACTAGCATACAGGACACCAAATAGCTTTTAAAAAAGTATTTTTTAAATTAATGAAACAGTAACTATATTTAGGGCTTAAAGTAGGAATATTTTATCACTTTTGGAACTGACCACCAGCTTAGTTCTAGTTAGTCGCAATTAGCTGATATTACAACTATTATTTCTTGTAAAAGGCAGTATGACTATCATCAAATTGAAATGATTAGAACATTTATAAATTAAATTGCATGTAAACAGCCAAGTGGGAATGTATATGGGTAGGCAGTTCAAAGGCAGTCTAACATTAGACCTCTTAGAAGCAGTGGTTAATTATTATTTACCCTTAAGATGTATGCAGTAAATTTTGAAAAGATGGATAAAGGAAATGAAAATCAAATAGATTTCCTAAAGAAAGTGGTCCTAACAAATTGAACTGTTATCTTAATGAAATTATAATAAGTTAGTTTGAGTTCAGAGATTACTCTAAAATTATCTTTCTGGATGTAATCACTGCAGTGTGGCACTTTTGAGGCAAATGTCCACTCCGTTTTCAGATCCAAAATGTGATTTAAGAAATGGCCACTAGATGGCAATATATATTGATAAATTCAATCATTTTCATGGTTAGGTCAAAGTTATATGGTGTACAATCTTCACAAAAATTGTTTAAAAATAAATGGAATGATTCACATCAGTTAAAATATATGAGAAACTTTAAAAATAGAGTTAAAAATTCTTTCAGGAATTTTGGATTTTTTGGGGGTTTTTTGGTTAACAAATATTCTGAGTGGACAACAAAGTAGATTGAAAGTTCAGTATTTGTGATGTCAACATGTCTGTTGTGAGATATTATGGATCCTGAAAAATAATAGTAACATTTTGGTTTATATCCTCTAAATTAGCATATATTAATAGCAGGGTTTAAAAGGCTGATACTAATGTCTATATCCCTTCTCTTCAAAAGGAAGAATGTGTAGAACGTCCCAAATGGAACTCTTTATAAAACATTTCCATACGGAACATTTTTTAGGTCAAGTACTGTTCTAAGTGAGGATTTTTAAGCATGACAGATAATAACATTTGAAGTATTTGTAGCCACATGAAGAAACAGGAAATACGCATAAAGTTAAAAAAGTATATGGAATATGGATATTTCAAATCCAAAGTAATTTTTGAGAAGATTGTAATTTTTAAACTTTGAAAAGTACCTAAAATTAATTGGATAGTTCATCCAGCTTTGAAATAAATTATATCCTGTTCTGCAGTGAATAATGGGGAAATAAAAAATCCTATATTAATGAGCCGAAATAACTTGATATAATCAGAATGGATTTTTGCACATTTTAATTTTATCATTATAAATGAAGGAAATGGGAGCAGAGACGAGAAACTGGGTATTCCTAAAAAAAGAAGCTGTAAGGCTGTCATGGATAGATCTTTTACATCTTCTCTAAAGCTATAATATTTCTCACTACAAATCGTGTTCAGATTGATAAAACTGTGAGGCTACAGGATACTACAGCATGAAAGACAGATTCTGTCATGCCCGTCTTACTGGATTAAAATTGAGAAATTTCTTGGTGAGGTGTCATTGCAACCACACACACGGGGAGAACTAAATATCACACACACTTTCCCCATGAATGAATTTGCCACCATTTCCATGTGTTAGGCAGGAAAGGATTGAAGTCTGATTAATAACCGCTGGTGGATGTTTTTGAATTAAGCAATCAATTTTGATTTATCGTCCTATGCTGCCATCCTGTGGTTACCTGAGAAATGAATAAAGTGGAGAAATCCAATGTTTAAAAAAATGGTTTGAGCCATCTGCTTCTGTGGCATAATAGAAAAAAGAGACTCAAGCAGATATGTGCCTTCTGTCTCTAGAAAGAATGACATTCACGGGCATTCTTTCATTTATTTTTCTCTATCTTCCACCCCTCAGAGATAGGCTGAGTTTGAAATAGTTGCTGCATAATGTATGAAGGAGAAAAATCCTGAGAGGACTTAACAGTTCTGAGAAATAATTGTCTCTTATTCTTACATATTTCCATGGCGGGAGGGAGGAAGGACATTTATTTTCACCTTAATTTTCATTTGATCAGGAGAACTCATTCCTTTCTGAACAGTTTGTCTAAACTAAGCTTTGAAAAATATCCATCATATCCACATAGTAATGAAAAAGCGAATGCTGATCAGCGCAGGGCTGGGCTGATTTATTTTGGAATGCCACTACTGCAGGGTTTATCTTTTTTTATCTTAATGAAACATGCTGCTATTATGCAAGTGTTCTTGCTATTACCTGCAGAATAATCTACCCTGTAATGGAATGAAAGTCTCTTTTAGGCAATGCAATGTAGAAATACTTTCACTTATTCACAGCAGATAATGAATTAGCTTCTAAAAGAAGGATAGCTTCTCATCACCTATTTATAATTTAAAACAAATGACTCGCTCTTTCACAGTTGCATTTAATGAAAAAGTAATTTTAAAACACTATGTTAACAATTAACTTAAATAATATTAATATTGGTCATTGTATTAATTGTGAAACCAATTAAAGTCATTAGTATATACCAGGAAGTTTTCTGTTGATAGTTCTATTTTACATAGCTATGATGAGGTTTAGCGTGTAGCTCAAACTCATAAAGGAAATAAGTTGAAAGAAAGGATTCTGAACTATTGATTCAGTTTTATGTTTAATTACTCATTCATACAGCCCTGGATATTACATTTCAGAAAACGTTAATTATTATAATTTTCATATGAAATACTTATTCCTGGCACTTTTATGTTAAAGTATTAACAAACCATGGCTTTGTCTGATTGAAAGGAAAGCTGAGATACAAACCCGCTAAAGTTTATTTTCCCTCATTTATAACTTCTAGTTACCTACTAAATGAGGACATTATTTGTTAAATACTACTGTGTTGAAAATCTAGCTGGGAAGAATATTGCCACTAAATAAGCCTTCTATCTTTGGAATACAGGTTGAATTTAGTAAACATCATATTAAAATGCAGTCATCTTATCAATTATAAGTACATAGTTACCATCATGACTTCAGGTTATATTTAATTTCCCTCTAGGAGGAAAAAGTTATATACATAACAGATGAAAAAGGTAAACAACCACTTACTAAGTAAATAACATAAAGCAATTCTCCATCAAAGCCTCAGTAATTACTTTGTGGAACAGGCTGCCCTTAATAAAATAATTAATTAATTTTTCCAAATGAATTATGCAAGCCAATATTTTTTCTTCATTAATGTTTTGTTGAAGTAATTAAGTTTTATTAATGAATAACAAAGAAGGAATTGGGTCTTTATTCTAACTGCTAGATATTAATGTGCTTAACTTGAACTAAATGTGTTTCCAGTATGTAATCAAATTTGAATCAATCAAGTCAATTTACCAGTCAAATGTCCTTTTGGAGCTCCAGCTGCTTCCTGTGAAGGCTCTTCACAGAGAACATGCAGAAAGTGACCCAGAAGACTCTGTGGTTCTGCCAAGTATCACATCAATTCTTAATTACAATCCGCTTGATTTTCTAAAGGACGCTACTGGTGCCTCACACAGAACTCTATTATCTGATTCTAATTATGATGAATTTGGATAAAAGCTTAAAATTCATCAGTGTAAAATAAATGACTATTAGCTGAGATGTCGGTTTCCTCTCCAAAGAAGTAAGAGGACAGAAAAAGTCATGCTGGTCTTAGCTCTACAAGAGTATGAATGCAGGCAGGTATTACCATTCAATTTCCATGAGATGTATGGCCTACAATTCTTAAAAGGGTATCTGAGGCCGGGTGCAGTGGCTGATGCTTGTAATTCCAGCATTTTGGGAGGCCAAGGCAGGCAGATCACCGATGTCAGGAGTTTGAGACTAGCCTGGCCAACATGGTGAAACCCCGTCTCTACCAAAAATAAAAAAAATAGCCAGGCATGGTGGTGCGCACTTGTAGTTCCAGCTACTCTGCTTGGGAGGCTGAGGCAGGAGAATTGCTTGAACCTGGGAGGCAGAGGTTGCAGTGAGCCGAGATCGTGCCACTGCACTCCAGCCTGGGCGACAGATTGAGACTCTGTATCAAAAAAAAAAAAAAAAAAAAAAAAAAGGGTATCTGAAAAAGAGTGACAAAACTCATTTTGTTTACATATCATTGCTGTCTACCTGGAAACAAAACGTATTGGTTACTGAATACTTTACACATGACATCATGATACAGTCTTACTCCTGAGACAAAGCCTGAGCTCACCCTTATATAATCTGTGGAGTATCTGAATAGGAACACATTCTCCAGATACCTGTATTTGTTAGTGGGTATGTGTTGCTTAAGTACCGGTATTTACTGATAACTGAAGTTGTTTTACTTGGTAGTTTTCAAAGCAAATCAATAGATTTAATGCAATTCCTATCCAAATTCCAGTTCTCACATATGCATGCATCTGTGTTTGTGTGTGTGTGTGTGTGTGTGTGTGTGTGTAGACATAGACAAACTTATATTAATACTAAGATTTTTACGGAAAGGCACAGGCACTAAAACAGCTAAAAATATCTTACAGCTTTTCTGTCTTGTGATTTACCTAGTGGACAGACTTCATTGCTACTACTCCTATGAAGGTTATGTTTTGCCATCACTGGGGTCTGGGTCTCTTTCCGTCTTACTCTCCTTAGAGCAGGCCAGCATTCTTTGAATCAACAGAAGCTCCACTCTACAGAGGTGACTGTAACACCAGTGATATTTCTCACTTGTCTCCATTTTTTAGAAAGAAACTTCCACATTTCTCATCAATACAGCTTTCTATTTTCCAGCTTGGTAGTCCTGAAATGAAGCATCAAAAGTTTTTAATTATGGGGCACCACACAAAAGATGATGATAGCATATCAAAATCAACATTTTACTTCTGAAAGAGCAATGAGTGCTTTGAGGTTCATTTAGGAAAGCTTGAGCAGTTCAAGTTTGGTTGTGTTTATATTATGACATTTATGATGACAAGCCATCTGGATGAAAAGTAGAAGTTCTGTGAATTAACCAGATGTGTCCAAATATCTGAATTTGCAGCATCAAAAGACTGACAGTTTTTATCTGAAGCTAATTAGCTCTTGCCTGACTGTCAGATTGGAGGATTATTACACCATCAATGGTGTGCATCTCTCAGGTGACATTTAGCTATCATCCCTTGATTGTAAAGAGTTGGTAGAGAGCCACTAAGAGTGGGGTCTTGGGAGTTAGACAACACCTGGCTTGAATCCTACTTCTCTCACCTGTTAGCTGGGCACCTTTGAGCGGACTATGAAACTTCACTCTTCAAATTATGAAAAATCTACAGTACAAAGATTTTAATCATGAATACCTTCTAGAGTGGATATGAGAGTTAATGCAATATAGGCATCATCTGGCATAAAGTATTAAATATGAGGTATAATTATTACATGCATTGGCTTTTTAAGTGTATAGATTTAGGGGTATGAGGGTAGCTGTGTTACATGGATATATTTCACAGTGGTGATATGGGGTTTTTAGTGTATCCATCACCCAAATAGTGTACATTGCACCCAAGAGTGAATGCATGCCTTTTTATCCACCTATATTAATGTTTTAACGGCAAGGACTAATTTAATATCTTCCGCAGTGCCTAATATGCAGAAAGTACTCAGTAAATATTTGTTATATTTGATAAATAAGTGTAACAAAATGCTATGTTACATCAGTTACTCCTTTCAGTATAGATTAGGTTTTTAAGTCCTCCAAGTTCCACCTCTGAGAGCTTCCATAAACTGATTAGTAGTGCCTTCTTTAGATAAGAAAGTCACAGCAGACACACCTCTTAGAAGAGTAGTTGAGAAAACTCAAAATTTTTTACTCTCAAAATTAAAAACGATGTCAAAATAGTTCATTTTACTTTCTATTACTGTGGATAAAAGTCTTTCCACTATCGATGAGAACAGTGGGGTTTAGAAATTTGCTGAAAGTTGCCCTGATGACAAATAGAAGTGGGATGTGAACTAGGTGTTGTCTAACTCCCGAAGGCTCCACTTTAACTCCTGGCCTCTATTAATACCTCACAATCAAGAAGTGATGGCTAAATGTCATCCGAGCGACACATGATTAATGGCATAATAATTCCTCAATCTTACAGTCAGGCAGGAAACTAATTATCTTAAGATAAAAATTTAGTCAGTCTTTTGATGAAAATTTGGATATTTATACATTATCACATTATATGGGAAAGGCACATCTTCAAATTATAGAACACGTCATTTTAATCAAGTTTAAGAGAAATATGTATGAATTTTACTTTATTCCTTCGTATATGCATTCCATATATACTTACGGTCTCTGAAGCTCTGGAGATGCAGAAGGGAATTACATGCTTCTTGCTTCCAATTTGTAGACTGATAGAGTTAGGAATAACAAAAAATAATTAGAATATAACTATAATGTGGTATTGTAGATATGCACTAAATGTAAAAGTGGCAAAGAGATGGAGTGATGAGGTCTACCACAGGGAGGTAAGGGTAAGGTCTGGATAGGCATAACAGAGAAGGTGATGCTTAAATTGAGTATGCAAAGAGTAGATCTTCAGCATCAGGACCAAGAAGGCCACTGCAGAGAAAGGGAGCATTAAAAGCAAAGACGATGGCACAAAACCCCATGGTCCATTTGATGAACTGCAAATAACTCAGTTGGTTGCGACACAGAAGAGTACAAGGGGAGCACAGGCTATGGCGAGAAAAGGCCTTGGATAAATAAGCAGGGGGCAGATGTTGAACTGTGCAGACTCAGTGCTGGAGCCAACAGTAGCCAGTGAAAGTTCTTACATACAGATTTTAAGAAAGATCACTCTATTGGAAATAAGGAGGGCTGGAAAGACCGAAGACAGAGGAACTAGTTTAAGGACTATTATAATCATGTAGTTAAAGGGCGATTTTGGCTTAGATAAATGGTTCTTCGTTCTGGCTACATAGTGAAACATCTTGGGGATCTTTTTAAACTTACAGATTCCTGGGCTCCACTCTGGATGAATTAAATCAGAATCTGGAGGTCTAGAACCTGGCATTGGTATTTACAAAAAAAAACCCCAAGGGATTGTACTATGCAGCAAGTTTTGAGAACCCACAGCTCAGCTTATGATAGTTACATCAGAGATAAAGAGTGGGAGTTGAATTTGAGGCATTTTTAAGGTGTGAATTTCAGAGCAGTGTATATACATTACTGTATGTAAGAATACCCAGAAGATCTTGAAAACTACAGATTCCGAGTCAATAGGTCTGAAGTGAGGCCTGAGATTCTGCATTTCTAACAAGCTCCCAGGTGATGTCAAAGCTTCTTGTCCTTAGACCATACCTTGTGGAGGAGGATTATGCATTTTGCATAGGGGAGAGAGGGAGAAAAAACATCAAGAATGATTTATTAATTCTGACATTGGTGACTAAGGGAATCTGATCATAAGAATTTAGAGAAAGATCATGAACTCAGTTTTGAACATATTGAGTGTAAATGTGCCCATGAAAAATCTGAGAGAACATGCAAGTTCTATAGCTTGGAGGAGGTGTCTGTACAGGAGACAAAGATGTGTGCATCATCAGCCTTCTGAGAACAGTTGAACCACAGGAGTTGATAAAAATGCCTGGGTATAGTGTGGAGTGTGAGGTGGGCTAAAGACAGATCCTGAGAAAAGTAAGAAGAGAACACTAAGGTGAAAAAATAAGATTTTTCCAGGATATAGGAGGATAACCAGTAGGATGATATGTCATAGAAGCCAAGGGAAGAGAGAGGAATTCAATAAGAGAGCAATCAACTCTGACAAAGTCTGCTTGAGAGTCCCCATAAGATTACTGAAAGAGGCCCATGCAATATCGCAATAAAGAGGTCACAGATGAACCTAGTGAGAGTGGCTCTGGAGTCCTTGTTCTGGAAAGCCGACCACTGTGAGTGGACAAGTGGATGAGTACCTGGAGGCAAAGAAGTATTAAAAATAGGACCGTATTTCTTAGCCATGCTGCCTGGGCTGTGGAGGGAAGAGGAAGAGATAGATGGTAGAGGTAGTCTCAGGGGGCTAGGGAAGGTTTCTTTTTGTTTTCTTGGTTTTTTTTTTTTTTTTTTTCCTTTTACTAACTAGATTTGGCATTAATTTTGATCATCTCTCTTTCTAAGAGTAGGTTTATTATCTCTTTTATTTGATTTCGGCCTGACTCATTATCTTAGTTTACACTCTGCTCCTAGTTTAAGTCATTAAATACATCCTTAACATCTTCCTGTTACTAATTCTGTCCTTAGTTTTGAGTATAAATTGTTCACAAATGGCCTTTAAATTCTTTCAACATTGACAGTCTACCCTGTTCCCTGGTTCCCAGCTTCCCTGACTATTTTTGTTGCCTCTTCTCATGCAAGTCTACCTCAGAACATCTGTTCTCAGTACTTTCTTTGTCTCTACTGAACCTGAGCTGGTAGTAATTTCCTTACTCAGGGCTGCTCTTTTTACCCAGAGTTCTATAATCTAACACATTACAACAGATTTTTGTCCTTGATTGTATATCAGAATCACTTTAAAAATACAGATGACTGGGCTTCACCCAAAGTCATTTAAATCAGAGCCCCTGAGGTGGGCCTTGGGCCCCAGCATGTATTTCTTGTGTGTGGTTGATGTGGTGCAGAAAGTGCTACCCCAAAATAGGGCTCTTTGGCATTTGAGGAACCAGCAGAAGCAGGAAGGCCACTCTCACTCTTCCTCCTCCATTATCCCCTGAAGCAGGTCATAAGACCTAGGAAACCTCTCCCATCTATTCCGCTGCTTCTCCTCTGAACACCCTCATTTGAAAGGTGTCCTGCCCTAAAACCGGAGGAAAGGCATGTCACTCAGAAACACCAAGAAGGATCTGGACAAACAAACCTTGTCAACTTCCCTTCAATTTCTTACCATTCAAACTTCTGCATGACTGTCCATAACAATACATGGTTTTCCCTGGGTCTTTCTGTCTTCATTTTTGAAGGCTGCCATGACATGAACAACTGCCTTTTGTCATGAGGAGTCAGCAATGCACCTTATGATGGGTGAGAAAAAAATCTGTTCTCCTCTACACAATCAGGTTTGAGAAGCACTGCTTTATAGGCGGTGGAACGTTGTTTCTTCTGCACAATTCAAAGAAAACCAAAATACCTATTTTAACAAGTTAACAGATTTCTTCATCTATATCTAGATGAACATATTGATCTTAGGAATGTTATTTTTATAATATCACAAAAACTTATTGAAGGAAGACAGAATTATTATAAGCAGAAAGTGTATGGCTAGGATAATTCCTGGAAGGAAGTGTGAATTAAGACAGGAAGGGGAAATGAGGGAAACGTCTGGAAACAATGTCTCAAGATTGAAGAGACTAAACAGAAGCTTGGAAAGATACTAGTATCAAACCAGAAGGACCTGGAAGAGTGACAATGAAACTGTAGCTAGGATAGGGGTCCAGGGGAGACAGATGATTTTGTAGAATTCCATATTTATAATAGGGAGAAGCAAGTTAGCTTAGAGTTTCAGGTGGCTGTTAGGAAACAACTCTCTCCTCCAAACATGAAGTTATATCTGAATCACTGACTGATATAATTTTGCTTTCATCAAGAACTCAAGAAATATTCAGGCTGGAGCTAAACCATGTTAGGAAGGAGAAAGCAAGGTTTTTCAAATCCTTATCACCTGGTTCTTTTCTAATAATTTGCCAACATATATCTCATTTGTACCCTGAATGCCTACTTCATTGACAAAGATACATCTTCCACTCCTTATGGTTAGTTGCTCCTAATGAAAGAGTAACGGGAAATGTTGAAATATTAAGCTTAATTCCAGCATGAAACTAAATAGAACTTCCTGTATTTCTTTGGATAACCATGGCATCTATAGACTAGGAAGAATGATTGTTTTGAAGATTTGGAATACCCAATTTTTTTATTTTGTAGACAACCTTTTAGGATACTTGGATATGAATGACAACTTCTCACTTCAAGGTGTAATGATTCATATTCATTTTATGATTGAGATATAGATGGTTTAAGCCAATTATGTTTAAACTTCTATTTCTGGCTGTGCTTGTGACCATTGATTAATTTGAAGAGTTTGTTTCTACTATGGGCATAGATGACCCACCAGTCAGCTGCTAAATGATCACTGCAATTTATACACAGACACTCAGAATTGTATTTAGTAAGTACAAATGACCAATTGAAACCACCAAATTTAAACGGTCTTTCAGGACTGAACAATTGCTTAGTTCTCAGTGATATAAAAGCTGAAAAAGTATAATCAACTGGAAAACAGTTAATTCAGGGCAGAACTAATGGAGTGTAGTTTTGCTCACATTACAATCAATTTTAGTAGTTTTCAGTCTTTATTGAAATTAAAAATTAGAAAGTGTTTAAAATATCTTTTGTTTCCTTAATAGCAATATTACAATGTATCAAGGATAGATGCTAGTAGCTCTTACAATTACACCACATTTATCACAGTAATTATGAACATGCTATTGTGTTTACTGTTGCATTAATTTGATTATAAATGCCAAAAATGGTTTTATGAAATACTTCTTTGTTGGTAAGGAAACATTTCATATAAGTATATTGAAACATCATAATTTGTCACAACATTAATATATAATCATTATAAAAATGAAATGTTAATACTAAGAAAATGAACAACAATTAAATCTAAGGTATTAGAATTTATTAGATGGATAATTATAATTTACATGGACATAAAATAATTTAGCTTAGAAATTACTAGAAAAGATTTTACTTCTCAGGTATTTTTTTTTTTTACTCTAGAAAAAAATGCTTTTTTGTTTGTGAAGGAAATAATATATTATATCAGTGGTCCCCAACATTTTTGGCAACAGGGACCAGATTTGTGGAGGACAATTTTTCCACAGACCAGTGAAAGAGGATGGTTTCAGGGTGATTCAAGCAAATTGCATTTATTATGCACTTTATTTCCATTATTATTACATGGCAACATATAATGAAATAATTATACAACTCATCATAGTGTAGAATTAGTGGGAGCCCTGAACTTGTTTCCTGCAACGAGACAGTCCCATCTATGAGTGATGGGAGACAGTGACAGATCATCAGGCATTAGGTTCTTATAAGGAACATGCAAACATGTGAGAGAAAAATCTCTCACATACGTGGTTCACAATAGGGCTTGCACTCCTATGAGAATCTAATGCTGCCACTGATCTGACAGGAGGCAGAGCTCAGGTGGTAATGCAAGCAATGAGGAGTGGCTGCAAATACAGATGAAGCTTTGCTTGCTCGCCTGCGGCTTACCTCCTGCTGTGCGACCAGGTTCCTAACAGGCCACGGACCCCTTGATGTCTGTGGCCTGGGGTTTGGGGACCCCTGTATTAAATGACCTATATTTCTCCTGATATGATATTCCCATTGACAGTAACTAATCGATCCTCTAGAACTGCCCTGACCAACACTAGTGCCACATGTGGCTTTGAGTACTCAACATCCGGCCAGTCCAAATCAAGAAATGCTGGTCCAGGTTGTTTTGAAGATAGTATGGCAAAAGGGATGTAAAATATCTTATTCCTATTGTTATGTTGATTTCATATTGAAATAATAATATGTTGATATATTGATGTAAGTAAAGATGAGAACAAGCCTGCAGAGGTGGGCAGCAGTCAGAATAGGACCCTGAGAGTCAAGGGGAGGATTTTCAAGTTTTTTCTATTTTGAGACAGGGTCTTATTCTTTTGTCCAGGTTGGAGTACAGTGGCACGATCACAGCTCACTGCAGCCTAGACTTACAGACTCAAGTGATCCTCCTGCCTCAGCCTCCAAGTAGCTGGGACTACAGGTACACACAACCACACCCAGCTATTTTCTTTGATTTTTGGTGGAGATGAGGTCTCACTATATTGCCCAGGCTGGTCTCAAACTCCTGAGCCAAAGTGATTCTCCCACCTTGGCCTCCCAAAATGCTGGATTATAGGCATGAGGCACCATGGCAGGTTAATTTTTTCTTAACTAAGAAGACCTTGACAGGTTTTGAGAAGATAGTAACAGGATCAGTTTCTAAAGAAGGCATCTGATTTCTGTGAGAAGAATAGAAAGGGACAGGGGTGAGATCAATGTAGAAAAACTGAGACTGTTGTGTTAGTCCAGGGCTGAGTGCCAGGGGTGGAGATGAATAGAACTTACAGCTTTATCTTGAAGGTGAAATAAAAGGAACTAATGACAGAAGCAATGTGACGGTGAATTTTATGTGTCAACTTGACTGGTCCATGGAGTGCCCAGATATTTGGTCACACATGATTCTGGGTGTGTCTGTGAGGGTGTTTTTGGATAAGATTTGTATTTGAATTGGAAGACTGAGTAACACAGATTGGCCTCCTTAATGTTGGGTAGTCTTCATCCAATCAGCTGAAGGCTTGACTAGAACCAAAAGGCTGACCTTTCCCAGGTAGGAGAGAATTCTTCCGGCTGGACAGCCTTCAAACTGGGATATCAGCTTTTTCCTGCCTTTAGACTTAACATCAATTCTTCTTGGGCCTTGGGCCTTCTAACCTGTGGACTGAAACTAACCCATTGACTTTCTGGATCTCCAGCTTGCCAACTCACCCTGCAGAACTTGGGACTTTCTGGCCCCCATAATCACGTGAGCCAATTCCTTAGATATAATACCTTTTTTACACACACAAACACATATAAACGTCCGATTGCTTCTGTTTCTCTGGAGAATCCTTATATAAACACTAATCTGAAATATACTTTTAAAAAGATAGACCAAGGAAAACAGTTTGTTCAGCATGCAGTGTCCAAGTTTGCTCTCTCTATTGACCTAGCTTATTATGAATCTCTTAAAGCTCAGTGTCTCTAAATATACAGCATTGCAAAATATCAGAAATTCATTAGTTGGGTTTTAGAATATCAAAAACATCCATCAGAAGAGCCTCTACCCTAAATATCTTCTAAAAGCACAAGGTCATCACAAGAACTCACTGACCCTACTTAATTACCGTCATAGAGAGAACTGTATTTTACGGAGGTGAAGGTGATTTTTCATGTTATGCTATTAATCTTTATGAGTCCAGTGAGCATCAAAATTCAACAAGAGAGTAAAACTAATTATCCAAATATGTGGGGGGAAAGAATCTGTGCTTTCAGTGACTTTTATATATTCTGCCCATTAGGAGTCTTTGAATCCGGGCTGCATCTCACCCAGTGGCATGCTTACAAAAAGGAACACAACTCAGACATTTTTACTTTGAGAGCCTCAGTCACTATTTAACATTCCATCTTCATATGCTGTCTACATTGTTAAATTGCCTGAAACTGCAGAGCAGTCAAGCAGTACTCAAATTAAGCCACAAAGTAATCGGATTTCAATCACTAAATATTCACAGCTCAATTAAGTTATTTACTGAGATGTTTGTCTTAGCTGTTGAAATCTTCACATATTTATAGCCACTTCAAACTAACCTTTTAAAAATATCCTGATGTGAAAATAAAAAGCCACATTTGTTTTCTAAGGTAGGTTAAAGTTATGGCTCCAGGTATTTAAAAATAAATAAAAGTTCAATTACTTTCAAGTTTTCCAAGAGTATGATTTGGTATCTATAATAGAAAGCTGACTACAAATTGCCTGATTATGCTTTTGTTTCCAAAAGAGAATATTTTAAAAAATTGTGGTCCAAGTTACAATCTAATCTTCTGTTCTTCCTTCCATTTTGCGAAGTTATAGATGGATCATATTTCCCAGATTCAGCACTTCTATATTCTGCTTCATATTCAAACATAAAATTCTGAGTGTGGCTCCGGATAACTTTGTTCAATTCAACTGTCGAAGTTTCATTTTCCTGGCAGCAATGAGGGGATGATAATATCTACCTAAGACAGGGTTTTCCAATGTTCCTTTGCTAATATTATAGTAAAAACACTTTTGAATTTTGGTAAAGATATGTGCTCATATGTGATAACAGTGGCTAATATTTGTCACAAGAATTAGACACCTTCTAAAGTGCATTGCAGATGTCACCTTTGATCATTATAAAAACTTTGTTTTTCATATCCATTCTACAAATAAGAAACATTTAGTCTTCAGGATGTTAATTATCTAGCCTAGTATTACACAAGAGTCAGAGCAGCATATTCTAACAGGTCTGTCTGCACTCAGAGCCTAAGCTCTTCAGTATTGCACTTTATTGATTGTCTTATACCAAGTAATATGACCCACTGCATTAGTTTCTTATAGCTGCTATAACAAATTCCCACAGATTTAGTGGATTAAAACAACACAAATTTATTATCTTAGAATCTGCAGGTCAGAAATCTAAAATAGGTCCTATGAGGTTGAAATCAGAGGCTGAGCTCCTTCTGGAGGATACAGGCGAGCATCCATTCCTTGCTCTTTCTATCTTCTAGAGGCTGCCAAATTCCTCTGCTTCTGGGTTCTTCTCCTTCTCTGATCTGACCCTCTTGCCTCTTTCTTAGAAGGACCCTTGAGATTACATTATATCCACCCACATAATCCAGTAAAATCTCCTTATCTCAAGACCCTTAATTTAATCGCACCTGCAAAGTCCATTTTGCCATATAAAGTAACACATCCACAGGTTCTGTGGATTGGCATTTGTGGGGGGCCACTATTTTGCCTACCACACTCACATTGAAATAAAAAAATGCATTTTAGTTTTCGAAGAATGGCTGCTAACTCCATGTGTATCAGTACAGTATACTATTTGGAGTGATACAATTCAACTGGCATTTTTAATGAATGAAAACCTAAGCAAATATGATCACTACACCCTGTAGTTCTGTGGTTTGCATATTTTGTCCAGCAGGAATTTAGAGCTTTATCACGTAAGCCTCCTGCTAGGAGACAAATGCCTTCATCCAAGCACCATCTGTGTGGGGCAACTTTCTATCAGCTTACATTCACCAGACTGGGAGAACTTGTTTTATAATCATATGTTAGAGTTATATCACACATCTAAAATTCACTGTACAAAACACCCCAAGTGTAAGGACCATGTACTTCATTATGAAATTATAGTCATTCTGGAAAAAAAAAGTCATTTAAGGTAAGAGGACAAGAGACAATTGGATTTTTATCTAATTTTTATGCCTCTTAGAATTAGAAGATATTTAGTATGTTGGGAAGACATTTAGAATATTAGAAGATACAGAATTGAAAACATATTAACTTAAGGATTTTTTTTATGTTACCTAAAAATAAATATAACATACCCAATCTAGTATTATCTTTTAAAAACAATACATATTAATTTTTCCATGAGTGGCTCAAAGGGAAAAGATTATCACTATCATCATTATTCTTTCAAGGTTAAGACTTAACTTCATAGAGTAAATTTCTGTCCTTCATCCCATCTTCAAAATATCAATACAAGTAACAACCTTTTTGTTACATTTGGAGGGGATAATTTTAATTTTCTGTACCTTTCTTCCTTCTTTTCTCCTCTTCCTCCCATCCTCCCTTGCCCCTTCCTCTTTTTCTCTCTTTCTCTCTCTTTCTTGCTCCCTTTCTCTCTTTCTCCTTTCTTTCCTTCCTTCCTTCCTTCCTTCTTTTTCTTTCTCTTTCACACTACCTCTTCTTGTGACATGCTTAAGAGTATGTTACAGTGTAAATGCATATGGTCGGAATCTCTTTATGTCCTCCTGCCTAAGATTAACGACATTAAATTTTTCCCCAAATTTAAATATGGAAGGATATTTTTTTCTCCCACCCCGTCCTGTAGCTGGGGCATGGTATGTGCCAATTCTAATTCTGGCACCAGGCACTTTCCAGGTTAGAAACATTAAGGGAGGAGAAGGCTTTTTGCCCCTGAATGTCATTCGGAACAGAGAGACAGACATTTTAGCACAATGCACAGAAGAAATTCCTCCAGTACAAGCATCTAAAGCCCTCTTCAGCATCAGAGAAGGTAAAAAGAGGCTGGGAGAAGAGGAGGAACCTTGAGGGTGGGCAGGAAGCAGAGAGAGAAAGAGTGTGAGCTTCAGAGACCAGTGGGGAGGGTGTTACAGAGAAACTAGGACACTTGAGGGATGACAACCAGGCCTGCTCACCAGTTGAAGGCCAGGTGGGTGAGCTGCAAAATTTCTGTGTCTAAGGAGGATGTTGTACATGTGTAACCCATGGCATGAGCCTGGGGTTAAGAGCTTTTCTGAATCCTTTTCTGGACCTACTTCTGTGCTACTAAGAAGCAAAATTGAGGTTTGTTGTTATTGTTGTTTCTTTATAGGAAATAGATATGCTGTTCTGATTTTCCGATGTGAAGTGTGTAATGAAGTTACATAAGCATTAAACTTATTATATTTCAAAGCAAAAATGCTTTGCCAGTAAAGGGATTGAAACATGATTTCACCTGTTGGTGAAAACAAAAACACTATTGTCATATTTTCTTCTTTGAGGCTGACAACACTGGTTACTTCCGATAACACAAGAAATGTGGAAGCTGATAAATGGACGCTGGTTTTCTGCATCCTAAACTGCTTTCTCAGTTGCTGAATCATCTTGTTATGCTATTAGCTTTATTTTCTATGAGATCAGATATTTAAAAATTTTACTTTTTTTCAGAAGAAATGAAGGTTCCTAATGGGAGCTTAGAACATTTTAGAACTTAGAACAGATGTGTGTGTTTGTTTTTTTAAACTTTCAATAGAGTGGTAACCTAATCTGTTATAATTATTTTCCTCTCTCAAATTCTATGCTTCCCCATAACGAAGCCTAACCTGCCACTGGAACAGTGGCTTCACAGCATCTACTAGCTTTTGCCCCAGCATTAGATTGAGAACAAGGACTGAAATTTTAGCATTTCATACACAAGAGAAACTAAACAAGTATCTCTTGAATGAATAATTAAACAACAGCTATCTTTTGGTCTCAGATGCTCAAGTTAATAAATAGACCCTATTCTGGGTTGAATTGTATCTCCCTCCCCAAAATATGTTGAAGTCCTGTGCCTCAGTATCTTACAATGTGACTTTATTTTTAATTACGCTGCGGGTATATTTAGTTAAGATGAGGCCCCTAATCCGTTGTGACTGGTGTCCTTCTAAGAAGATGGCCGCATAAAGGCAGAGAAACACAGGGAAAATACCATGTGACGGTCTCTGAGGACGATGTTAAAGTGCCGCATCTACAAGACAAGAAATGCCAAAGACTGCCAGCAACTACCAGGGTCTAGGAAGAGGCAAGAAGGACTCTTTCTCTACAAGTTTCAGAGGGAGTGCAGTGCTGCCAATACCTTGATTTCAAGCTTGTAGCTGCCCAAACTGTAAAACAATACATTTCTGTTGTTTTAAGCCATGTGGTTTGTGATACTTTGTTATGGTATTCCTGGGAAACCAGTAAGACCCTCTACAGGAAATATTTCTTAATTATAAGTCTGAAGAAGTCTTAAAGAATCTTTCTTTTTACTGTGATAAACTAGGGATTGTTGTGAACCTATCTAAACCAGCTTAGTGGTTTACATTATTTATATTTCTTGCTGCAGATATCAGTAGCCTTTGATGAATGGAGGCGAGTGATGGCTGCAGACTTCCTACACACTCTCACTGCCCGACTGTATATTCAAACGCATATGTTGAAGTTCTCTCTCCCAGTACCTTAGAATGTGACTTTATTTTTAATTACACTGTGGATATAATTAAGATGATGTCATACCAGAATAATATGGCCCCTAATCTAATGTGACTCATGTCCTTCTAAGAAGATGGCCAGATAAAGACAGACCCAATTCTGCATACACAATTCTGAATATGTAAAAACATATATTAGAGAACAGGCAAAAAAAAAAAAATCATGTATGTTGTTCTTGTAAGCTCTCTGAGGTCTTAGCTCTCACCACTTTTAACAACTCTTATAAGAGGCTGTTACAAACAAATTCTAGAGTACTATCTCCCAACTTTTAAAAAAATCGTGTGACACCCTTGGCAACTGATACAACTGTGGTGAAAGAATGAGGTTACCCCAAGACCAGAGAGGCCTGGCTCACGTGCTTTGGCCATTTTGGGTTGTAGTCAAGAGCCCTGCGATTCAGGCTCCTCTATATATTTCTGAGCGGAAGCCTGAACGGAGCCCTAAGCTATAAGCATCACTCCCAAGGAGATGGACTACTTGGCTTATTAGATTCTTAGAGCATGCTCATGCCAGGGCCAAGGGGCTACACAGTATTTCTAGTCAATCCACATAACTGGGACACTACTTATTTTATCAATGGAGTCCCTATGTCAATTCATACCCTATTATGTTCATGATATATACATATAATGTAAGCTTTTGAGGAAGCTGCATCTGGAATGAGGATTCCTGGTAAGAGTATTTAAAATGATAAGCAACCATCTTGGAGTGTGTAATCCTGATTAAAGTAGTACACACTTTAATTGCCCAAAGGGTGAATTATCATACCTGCTACCACACTATGTACGCTCAAATATTTTAAAATAAGTTTTAAAAGTATATTAGAGTGAATAGATTCATTTATTCAATAAACATTTATTGAACATTTACTGTATGCTAGTTCCATGTTAGAGTACCATGTTCAAGTCTGGGAATATGAAGACATGTAAAATATGCTTCCTGTCCTCAGGTTGTTCAAAATCTATTGCTGAGATATCTGGATGTTCAACAGTCAATTACTTGTGCTCCTGCGTGCCTTTGGGAGTTGGGTGGGCACAACAGACCTGGATATAGAGCATGAAATAATTCAGCTATGAACTCATTATAATATTCCTATGCAAATGCATTTCCAACATCATATATTGGCAATCTTTCTCAAATCTCCCAAATTTCTTTGTAATAAATAATCTATTTTTTTGGTTTGATCTAATAGTTTTTAAGGTTTTATGCCTCCATTGTCCTTTCTACACCAGGGGAAGAAAAGCCCAGATTCTCCCTCTTTTGGTAGTAGTAGGAAGTCTAAACCACACATGTCCTTATCTTCATGTGGGACCCCGCACCCTGGCCCTGCCTCCTAACTACAATAAAAACCCAAGCCAGTCTACTTCCCTTACTCTCTCAAGACATTTCAGACTAGTGAGGGAGGCCTACTCTGCTCTCTCCCTGAAAGCCTCATTATACGAATAATAAGTGTGTTTTTTTGTTTGTTTGTTTGTTTGTTTGTTTGTTTGTTTGTTTGTTTTGAGACGGAGTCTTGCTCTGTCGCCCAGGCTGGAGTGCAGAGGCGCGATCTCGGCTCACTGCAAGCTCCGCCTCCCGGGTTCACGCCATTCTCCTGCCTCAGCCTCCCGAGTAGCTGGGACTACAGGCGCCCGCCACGCGCCCAGCTAATGTTTTGTATCTTTAGTAGAGACAGGGTTTCACTATGTTAGCCAGGATGGTCTCGATTTCCTGACCTCGTGATCGCCCGCCTCGGCCTCCCAAAGTGGTGGGATTACAGACGTGAGCCACCGCGCCCGGCCGAATAATAAATGTTTTTGCACCCTCTTGGTGTATGTGACATCATTCTTAACATTCAAACTAAATTTGGGGTACAGGTTTATCCTGCTTCTTCAATGTGTCCAAATCACCCCTGCAGTTAAGACAGGCTTCAGCTCCTAAGATCAAGGTCCTCCAGATATGTTCCATCCAATTCACACAATGATATGCGCAATGACTGCCACAATATCAAATGGCTTCTGTCACTACCTAATTGCCTGATGATTTTTATTCTTTATCCTACACTACAATTTCCTACAGAAAATTTGCATTTTAATATTCATCATGACTGTCTTTCTCTGATACTTTGTGACAGGTCTAACACTATTATTTGTACAACTTTTGTCAGCAATTATGGATCAAAACCATTTCCCAAAGTATGAAATTAATGGCCACAACACACAGGGAAGAACGCAGTCACCTCAGGCAGAACCATAGAAGATTTGTTGATTGAAAACATTTGTAACATTGACAGAATGGAAGGGTACAGTTAGCTATACTTAGCTTTCTTGAGATATTAGCCAAAGAAATCCAATGGATTTATACACACACAGACACACACACACACACGGTATTATAATGTGTTAAATCTATTTTTAGAGAAAAGATTTCCGAGTGTGATAATTTACTATGTTGGTTCAGTTTGAATGATGCTGTGCCAGAGGTAAACACAGGATTGGAAGTAGCATCTCCAAGGTTGGTGGGGTTGTTGAATACATTCCAGGAGGACATTCTAGAAGGACAAGTAAAAAAGCATGGAGGTGAGAGAAGAAATACAGAGGCCAGAATTTTTAAGTAGCATATATAGTAGGCCAAATTCTATGATGATCAAGGGACCCACACACTTGTAAGAGCCTCCTGTTGAGCGTAGGTAGAACCTGTAACATGCTTATAACAAATGCAATGGGAGGTTAGTCCTGTAATTATGTTATATGGCAAAATGAAGGATTACAAATGTAATTAAGCTCCTTTATAAATAGACTTTGTTTATCAAAAGTGATTATCCTGGGTCGATGCAAACTAATCAGTTGAGCCCTTCACAAGAAGGTCTTGAGATCACAGAAAGGAGAAGCAATAGCAGTTGCTTTCCTGTTGGCCCTGAAGAAATGATCTGCCATGTGTGGAAAGGGAACCTGGAAGAGAACTGCCAGTGTCTTCTAGGTACTAAAGGCTTCTGTCCCACAGGAAAAAGGAACAGATTTTCTGTCAACAACCAGTGAGTTTGGGAGAGGAACATGAGCTTTAAATGAGATCACCACTCCAGCTGACATCTTGAGCAGAAAACTTAGCTAACGTGTGCCTGATCCATGGAAACTGTGAGATAATAAATGTGTGTATTTTTTTTTAGCAGCTAAGTTTGTGGCAATTTGTTATACAGCATAAAAATTAATAAACATATTTTCATGAACATATTGGCATTTTAGAAAGATCCTCTGTTAGTGAAGTTAAAAATTATTCATAGGGATATATTAGTTTTCTCTGTTTCCCTAACAAATTACCACAAACTCATTTGCTTAAAAATATACACATTTATTATTTTATACTAAAAATATGGTATATATATTTTCATATACATTATATATGAAAATATTTTATCTATTTATGTTTATTATTTAATTCTATAGGTCAGAATATGGACACAGGACTCACTGGGCTAAAATCAAGGTGTCAACAGACTGTGTTTCTTTCTGGAAGCTCTATGGAAAAATCTGCTTCCTTGACTTTTCCAGCTCCTAGATACAGCTATAGTCCTTGGTTTCTGGTCCCTTCCTCCATCTTCAATGACAGCAAAATTTCATTTCCCTGACCCTTCTTATGTTCTCACACCTCTTCGTGATTGCATTCAGGAAATGTTCCTGCTTAAACTCAGGGGTAATGGGATTTGATTGAGCCTATCCAGAAAATCCAGGATAATCTCTTCATTCTAAAGTCCTTAACCTTAATCACACTGGCAAAGTCTTTTTGTCATGTAAGGTAACATATCCACAAGTTTCAAGAAATAGGTCATGGGCATCTTTGGAGGGCCATTATTCTGCCTACCATGACACACAGTTGGAGGTAGGGACTCTAATTGGGAAGTTAATATAGGAATCTTGGCAAGAAATAATAAATTCCAAACTAAGGAAAGTATAACGGCAAAAAATGAGAATAACTTGAAGAAATGCTAGCAAGTAGAATGCTAGAATAGACTCTTATTGGGAGAGTGCAGGGAGAGGAGAAACATAGAAAATCTCAATATTTAGTAACTAGGTAAGAGGCATCATGATTTATTGAAACAGGACACTCCTGATGAGGAGATGCTATAGGTATGGTATGAAAATGAGATCGTGCTTGATATGCTGAATTTAAGTTCTTGTGGGTTGTGGAGTTATAAATGTGCAGCAGATATCCCTTTAAAGATAATAACCCTAGAAATCTTCTAAATGAGAAGAGGAAGATGGGGCACAGGAGATAATTAGTGTATCCTGGAAGATAGAAACGTGGAGGTGACCAGCAAAAATGAGTCAAAATTATGGAATGAGGTTACACAGTAAAGGTTGGAAAGAAATGTCAGATGAGGACAGAACTCTGGGAGCAACTCAATTCGTGATTGATAAAGAAAAAAGAAACCAGCTAAGAGGACTGATCTATAAGAGATAAAAGTATAAGTGGAGAAACTGCAGAAAGCACAGGCAATGTAGCTGAAAGAGCAAACATTTTCTAAGGAGTAGTCAGGGTGTCAGTGTTGTAAGGGATCAGGTCAGATCAAAGCTGACAAATCACCATCACACTTGACATTAAGGAAGATTTACATGTTTCAGTGGAGGTATCAACAGTGGCTGCTGCAAGAGAGGTATATTCGGAGAAGGGGTTTTTCTTTGCCTATACAAATTTATGTCTCCTTTTAAAAAGTTTCAGATAACTTTGGTAATCATAATGAAAATTAGATTTATAGCCCTTGTTTTGCATACAGATATATACTTTTAATTTTCACATTAGAATTAAATATAAATGACGGGAAAGTTAACCAAAGGATAAATACATAGTGCTACTCAAAAGGGAAAAATGTTGATCCAATATTCAGCATCCTTATTAGCATGGTCAAGATGGGAGTTTTAAGTGTAGAAACTTAAATTTTGCATAAGTAGAAATTTCAATTATTTTCTTACACAAAGCGGTCCCTACTTTGAAGAAATACATTTTAATTACATTTGGTTTAACTTGAATGTAAACATAGTCCTGGTATTAGAACCCTGCCGAATCGAACACCTACTATCTCCAAAGGCTAATACTTTGAAGCGGCTGTAGCTTGAAACAGCTTCTTTCTGCAGCTGCTCTTTCTGAGATGACCATTTTTGAAGCTGTCATGTTTAAAATTCTAGCTTTTCTGAAATTTTGTCTTAAGAATTAAAGAAAAGCTACTATCACCACCAACAAGGAGAAAAATTAGTTTTAAAGGTAGAAAAATTACTTGGTCTCCTGCTAAATGCTAATGGAGCATAGCCTCTGGCCTGAAGAAGATAATTTAGGTTCAAATACCTCCCCAAAGAGGATGTTACATCTGATAACACATTCTAGTCTCATATAAGAAAAGCACATCTTGGTTGTTAACATGAAGTCAGCTCTGCAGTTTCTGCATCAACCCCACTACTGTCAGGTTAAGAGCTCTTGATTCCCTCCTAACCCTGGGTTAAGTCACAAAATTCATTCAATTAACAGTGAATAATGAGGCGTCAGGAGCCAGTTACAATCTTTCTGATTCCAAATCTCTCATCTAACAGGAAGTGACTGGAATTAACTTATCCAGCTACAAAAATAATATTTAAAAAGTGCTTGTTTTCAAGTTGTGAGAATTTTAACTTCATGCCTCTGATAAGTTTTTTATTTAGTTTTTTTTTCTTTTTCTTTATTTTTTGAGACAAAGTCTCACTCTGTCACTTAGGCTGGAGTGCAGTTGTGCGATCTCGGCTCACGGCAACCTCCACCTACTGAGTTCAAGCGATTCTCCTGCCTTAGCCTCCCAAGTAGCTGGCATTACAGGCAAGCGCCCAGCTAATTTTTGTATTTTTTGGAGAGATGGGGTTTCACCATGTTGGCCAGGCTAGTCTCGAACTCCTCAGCTCAGGTGATCCACTCACCTCAGCCTCCCAAAGTGCTGGGATTACAGGCATGAGCCACCGTGCCCAGCCCTATTTTTTTTTTATTTTGCCTTAATTGGTTATCATTTTCATATATGCTATTTATATGGAATTTGCTATGTGTCAGCCATTGTTGTAAATGCTTTGCATATATTCATTGATTTAGTAGTTATCTAAAATGATATTGTACTTACATAAAAATATATTTTCTTTTGCAGATAAGTAAATTTCCACATACAGGCTAAGTTGCAACAGTTTAATTATTATCCTTTTAGTTATTGTATATTTTTATCTCCACCTGCATTTGTTATCTATTGCTGCATAACAAATTACTACAAAATTAGTATTTGATAGCACAACAGGTGACTGTAGTCAATAATAATTTAATTGTGCATTTAAAAATGACTAAAAGAGCATAATTGAATTGTTTGTAACACAAAGGATAAATGCTTGAGGGGTTGGATACTCCATTTTACACGATGTGATTATTACACATTGCATGCCTGTCACAAAACATTTCATGTACTCCATAAATATATAAACCTACTATTTACCCATAATAATTAAAATGAAAAATTAAATTAAATTAATCAAATTAAATTATTATAGATTATATAGTAATTAAAGAATTGAACTAACATTTACATTAATTTAAAAAATTAAATTAAAAATTAAAGAAGCCCTAAAGAAACAACATAAGGCAACAAACATTGTTATCTCATACAATTTTTGAGCATTAAGATTCTGAGAGTGAGTGGGTTACCTTGTGGTTTAGCTCAGGGTCTTTCATGAGGTTGCAGTCAAATGTCATCTGGGACTACAGTTGGCTGGGGCTGGCAGTCTGCCTCCAACACTGCTCAATCATGGCCTCAGTTTCTTGCTAAATGGACCGCTCCATAGTAGTGCTCAGGACATGGCAGCTAGCTTTCCCCACATCCCGTGATGAGAGAGAATCACAGTGACTTTTATACTTCATCTCGGGTGTGACACATCATTATTTCTTCATCACTTCTGCCTTATTCTATTGGTCACACAGGCCCACCCTGGTAAAATGTGTAAAAGCATACAACTGGAAGTAAATTCCAGAATATGTGACTCTTGGAGGGCCATCTTGGCAGTTGGCTAACACACCTGAGCATAATTGATAGAAACTTTGCCTACAAGCTACAAGGTAACACTGAATACTGTATTTTATAGACTGTAGCTATTTCAGTCTCATCCATAACTTTACTCATTATTAATGTTTTATCAATGATTAAATGTTAAAATATATATTCATCGTACATGAAAATAAATTGTCTATATATTTTACTGCCATATATTTATATTATTAATAAATTTATTTTATTTTTTCTGAGCTTTATTGAGGTACAACAAACTGAAATTGTAAATAATTTAAGATATTCAACATGATGTTTTGATATATATCTACATTGTGAAATAATTACCACAATCAAGCTAATTCACATAATCATCACCTCCTACAGTTGTGTGTTTGTGCGCATGCATGTGTGTGTATGTGCATGTGTATGTGAGAGAGAGAGAGAGATGAGAACACTTAAGATCAAGGGCATGTAGAAACAATAGGAATACGGTTCTTTGGAACACACACAAACATACATCCATACACATACACATACACATACACTCATTTTCTTCTGTTTGTTTCTGGCCATAGTATTTCAGTCAGCAAATGAGAACAGTAAAAGATGCTATAGTGAGTCAAGACTGCCCTAATTCTAGAGCACTGCTTATACAATTGGGAAATCTGGATGATTAAGTATAATCTTGAATTTTAATTATACAGCTTTGGATACTTGAAATTCAGATCTATGTTTCTCTCCTCACTGGTTTGTCTTTGCATCAATAATAAAATGGACTGTGTTTAAATTGCTGATTTCCTACATTATGCTGTTGAAGTCTGTGGAGGAATGAGAAAACCTCTACAGCTAAAGGTAGTGAATGAAGGTAAGGCTATTGGGAGTCAATATTGCACAGTTTTATTTCATTATGTTCACTAATATAACATTGTAGCTCTAAGGTTTTTTTTTATATTCTCAAGAAAGAGAAATAATTTTGACACCCATGTGACTAATAGCCATTTCTCTTTGTATTGTTACTCCTAGTTGGATTTGAATGATCCTAAATGATTCTTACCTTTGGCCAGGGATTATGTGGTCTTTTGCATAAAGGCCACTATTTTGCAGATTAATCTGCTTCAAAAAGTGATTAGTAAAAACTTTATTATTTTAAAATGCACCAATATTTTATCAATCAGAATGGACTATACTGCTATGGTATTGAATTACCAAATTCTTTAGTCTCTTCAATGTAAACTGCTGATTCCCTCTCTCTTCATTAGGCATATAATGTCATGTAGACCTCTAAATGCAAGCTGGAATGAAAGACATCATTAGAAGTCAGATGTGGAGTCAGTCACCAGCTCCTGTCCGATATTTCCTTGCTGGCTTGGAAATAAAGGAAGACTAGTTGAATGAAAACAAGCGAAGCTATTCACTTGGTACTTACTATAGCAAGGGAATCAGCCGCAATCACCGGCGGTTGGCAGAGACTCAAAGGCAATTAGGGAAATAAGCTTTATAGTGGAAAAAGGGAAGGCTTGAGGCAAGTTCTGATTGGAGAGAAAGGAGGAATAGAGTAGCTGGCAGGCCATGACTAGTTCTGTCTGCTCTGGGCTGTCTGTTGCAGGAATTGTAGCTCAGAGTTCTATTGTCACATATATTCTGTCCACTATCCCTTTGTGGATTCAGTCTCTCATCGGAATCTCAGAGTCGGGGCACCGAGGTCTTGTTTATTCATTAGATACTTAGGCACAGGTCTAGGGCTTAAGAGATGTTAGAGGACTATCATAACATCTTGGACTAGAAAAGAAATGTTTGATATAAAACTTAAGGACAAAACTCTAAAGAACCAAATAACGTTTAGTTAAGTGTTCACAAAAGGTAACTTGTCATCTTCATATATTGAAAACAATCTGTGGGATAATTTTTTCTCAATTCTTCAAAACTGCAGATAAATAATTGCCAATTATAATGAAATGAAGGGCTCATAGGCAGATAATTTTAAAAGCAAATTTATAATACTCCTTGTAAAAACTTTTGAAGCAATTTTAATGTGGTTGATGGGGGCATTTGGTAGGTTTGATATAGTGTGGGGTAGGACCTCTCACAGCCAGAGTGCAGAATGTGTGTTGTGGAATCTGTCAGCACCAGCTCTTGGCCTCAGTAAGATCCTGCAGTGGAAGTTCAGTTTATAATATGGACAATGGTTAAGGTTCACTTTTGCATTGTCCAGAATGATTCAGTACACTCTAGTTAAACTAAAAATTCTGCAACCGTCAGGCATCATTATAATTTAGATTGTGGAGGAGGAGCCTTCTGGGATGCTTTGGATGCATCAGAGTGGCAAAGACATATTGTGCAGTTAATTAACCTCACAGAAAGATGAAAGAAAACTACCCAGTAGCACAAACTTGACTTATGTTTATTTTTGTATTTGTGCTTTTGTCCTCATTTGGTTTTCTTCTCCCCAGCCCACTGCCATATGCTGCTGGGACTCAGCTGTAATTATCATGCCCACAGATGAAACACAAAGTGAAACAAAGCAAACAGAACCTTCACCACCACAATTCAGGGCTCTGTTTTAAGGAAAGTGCCCCGCATTTATTTTAGCATAAAACAAAACTTCTTTCACGTGGAAAAATGATATTGAGACTTTTTCATGCAAATCTATAGGTGCAGCTACAATGAATCCATTACTCATTTGTCTGAGGCTGTATTAAAATTCTTGGTGATAAATTGAAAAAAAAATTGTATCCACCAAAGTGCACATTAAAAATACTTGGGATGCTTTACAATATATCCAGTTCCCAGCTCCACCAGAACCGAATAAATCAGAAATTCTGAGGGTAGGACTCCTCATGCCCTGGTAATTTTTCACCCCTGATCTTCACACCCACAACCTCTGCACACATATGTGGGTTACTCTGATGTGCAGCCAATATTGAAAACACTCAATTATACTGTCTTAATATTTTAGGTAATAGTACAGCTATGTGTTTTCTGTATGGATGTTCTCATTTGGGGTAGTTCTGTTGATGATGAATTAATTAGTATTCATTCTCTTGTGGACTAGTTGGTGATGATAAACTATCTCATTAATCTTCAGATCCTAATTCAGGGCTGCAGAATTTAAGCACTTTGAAGTGAAATTTTATGGACTTAATATTTAATAAAATTATAATGGCTCGAGAGACTCCTAGAAGTTGGATTTAATTGTTTAACCAAAGAGGTCAGTTTGCCCAAACAGTAACTCCATTCATTTTTTTTTCAGTGAAGTGTTTGATTTGGAATTTTTACAGGTCTACACACTGTTTTAAAACAAGCAGATAGAAGTTACTTAGCAGAGGTCTAATTTGAAAACCAATAGTAAAGAATTGCATGTTTTTCTAAGTCTTGATGACAAAGAATACATACTCAGTGCTCCATTTTTTACTCGCTTATTTCAAATTCAAAGAAACTTCACCAAAGTTTATTGTCTGATAAACTTGAAATAATTGAATTAAACATTGGTAAAATACAGTCAATGAATGTTATGAAGAAAGAAAAACCACACCTTAAAGAAAATTTTAAAGCAAACTTTAATCTAATTATGAAATAGACAATATGGCTACTATTTCCTCACAATTCTTCAAGTATTCGGTTGGATTTTATTTTGTTTTTAGACCAGAAAAGGTGAATCTGATTTTAATGTGTCTAAAATCTCCCCTAATGTGAACAGTTTCACTAGTTTTAAAAATTGGCTTATTTCACTGTCTACTATGGCATTGTTGGTGGCAGATCAATAGAAGATGAAACCTTGAAATATGGGTCTAAACCTTTTTAAAAACTTGTAGAATTATGCCTTCTTTTAAATAATTAAGTTTACATTATTTCTTGTGGAATTCTACCTCCTGTCTCTGAGTTGACACTTTAAAGCAATGAAGGAATGTGCTAATTTGTAAACTTTCAATTATCCTACACTTACTCTGAAGCAGGCACCTTCTCTGAGAGTGAGGTATGTCTATACACTGTGGCCAAAATGGTGTGCTTGCTAAAGCTAAAAGGTACTAGGTGCTTTTTAGGATAGAAAAGAAATTTATAAGCTAGAAATCTTTTCCACTTGGAAATTACATACTTTTTTTTTTTTTGCCTGAGGGACTTTTGCAATATCAAGGTATATTTGATCAAAACTTCTACTATGAGAGCCTTTGTTCTAAGCTAGAGTACTTTTAAAAAATGTCCAAAGAGTCTGGATCTCAAAGTCAAAAATAAAGTTGCCAAACTATTTCAGGTTATATATCAGCTTGGTCTGTGAACTAAAAATAAAATAATGATAGGTATCATGACTTCTCCAAAAGAATAAAGATAAAAACTGACAGCAGAGTGAAAACTTGGTGAACATTAATGTCATAGGAGGAACATAAAGAATCGACTAATATGAAACATAGAAGGCAAGTGTTTTGCAATGTTAATAAAAGAAATTGCGATGCAAATAGTGTATGCTGAATAGTGGGGCTATATACTAGAACTCCAGGACTTTCACAGACAGGACTGGCTGTATAATTTGCATGTTTCATCACAAAATAAAAACATTGAGCCTTTTGTTAAAACACTGTTAAGAAATTGAGGAGCTTTTGGAGTGACAGCAAGATGGCAGAATAAAACTCTCCAGTGCTCATTCCCTAACAGAACCATCAATTTGAATAACCATCTACGCATGAAAAAACTTTCACAAAAGCTAAGGAAGCCAGGTGAGAGATCATAGCACTTAGGTGGAGCATAAAAATAAGACAAAATGCATTGAGTGAGCAGGAAGGATAGTTTCATATTAACTATGTCACTGCTTCCCCAAGCCTGGGCAGAATAGCATACAGAGAGATACTCAAAGCAGGGGAAAAGTCATGTGAAGTTAACATTTGACTTCACTGTGTATTCCAGCAACAGGCTCACCCCAAATGAACCTTGGTGTCAAGCCAGCTCCCATAGCCCCACGGTCCAGGCCAGCCACCACAGACTCAGACTCCAGGCCCACCACAACAGTAGGGTAGCCCCTGCAGCCCTACACTCCAGAAGGCCCAAGCTCCAGGCCCACTCTAGTGAATCCAGGGTCCAGGCCTGTTCCAGTAGACTCTGGTACTTGTCTGGCTACTGTGGACCCAGGCTCCAGACCAGCCACTGTAAACCCAGAAGCAGGGCTTGCATCTGTAGAGTAAAGCTCCTGGATCACTCCAGGATCTGGCTGGCCCTTGCAGACCTAGGCTTCAGGCCTATTCCTATGGACCCAGAGGCCAGGCTCTTTCTAGTCCCATATCAGCTCCTGTAAATCAAGGCTTCATGCTGGCTTCTGCAGATACAGGCTCTAGAACCCCCTTTGTGGATCCAGATTCAATGCCTATCTCTGGGCACCCAGTCACTAGGCCCACCCAAGTGGAACCTGGCACCAGGCCAGCATATGGACCCAGATACCAGACCAGACTACCTAAGGATGGTAGTAGGAAGCCCACCAGTAGACACCACCAAATGGCTTGCTAGAATCTGTGAACAGGTTGAATGGTAAAGGGCTTTCCCTGCCAAAGCCAGTCTGTAAAGACTGGAAAAGATATCTACTTTTTCAAATGTGAAGACACCAGTAAAAGTCAACTAAGATAATGAATAACCAGGGAAACATGATACCATCAATAATTGACTCTGAAGAAATGGAGATCTATGAACTATCAGACAAATATCTCAAAATAAAGAAACATAAAAAATCTCAGTGAGCTACAAAAAACATAGATAGGCAAATAACGGAAGTCTGAAAAACAACATACAAACAAAATAAAAGTTAAACAAAGAGATAGAAACTATAAAAAACAGTCATTTGGGAGGTGAAGAACTCAATGACTGAATTGAAAAATTCTATGGAGAGCTTAAATGGCAGACTTGATCAAGGAGAAAAATCAGCAAGCTTGATGACAGGTCATTTGAAATTATCAAGTCAAAGAATCAGAAAAAGAATTAAAGAAGTGAAGAAGTCTATGGGACTTATTAGACAAAATAAAATGATATGTGCATTATGGAATTCCCAGAAGGAGTAGAGAAAGAGAAAGAAGATGAAAAGTAATTTAAAGAAATAATGACAGAAAACTTCCCAAATCTGGAGAGGAAAATGAGTACTCAGATTCATGAAGCACAAATAATCCAAAATAGATTAAATATAAGGAGATCTTTACCAAGACATATTATAATGAAATTATCAAAAGTCAAAGACAAAGAGAAAACTTTGAAAACAGCAAGAGAAAAGCAACTTGTCACATACAAGGGGAACTCATAAGACTATCAAAGGACTTCCCAGCAGAAATCTTGCAGGCCCAGAAAGCATGGGATGATATATTTGAGTGCTGAATGAAAAAACAAAACAAAACAAAACTGCCAACCAAGAATACTATACCCATCAGGGGTATTCTTCAGAAATGAAGAAGAGAAAAAGACTTTTCTAGACAAACAATAGCTATGGGAATTCATCTCCACTAGACCTGCCTTGCAAGAAATCCTAGGTAGTTCTTCAAGTTGAAATGAAAAGACTAAAAACATGAAATACGTGTAAGTATCAAACTCACTGAAAAGCTAAGAATATAGATAAATTCAGAATACTCTAATATTGTAATAGTCACGTGTAAGTCACCTTTAACTCTAGTATAAAAGTTAAAAAGCAAAAAGTATTAAAATAGCCAGGCATGGTGGCATGCACCTGTAGTCCCAGCCACTGGGGAGGCTGAGACAGGAGGATTGTTTGACCCCAGGAGTTCAAGGCTGCAGTGAGCTATGGTTGTGCCACTGGACTTCATCCTGGGTGACAGAGTGAGATCCCATCCCCAAAAACAAACAAGTAAAAAACAAACACACACACCAACAAAAACTATACCAAAATTAATGGATACTAAATATATAATATATGTTAATAGCAAATGGTGACATAAAATAACATATACTGTCAGAGAAGGAGAAGTTAAAGAAGAGAGTTTTTGTATGCAATTGAAGGTAAGTTGTTATCAGCTTAACATAGACTGTTACAACTAAAAAGTGTTTTATGGAGACCTCATGGGAAACACACAAAAAATCCTGTAGTAGATACACAAAATATAAAGATACAGAAATCAAAACATACCAGTATACAAAAAAAAGCCCCATAAAATCACAAAAGAAGACAGTAAGAGAAGAAGAAATAAACAAAGGGACTACAAAACAGTCAGAAAATAATGAACACAATGGCAGTAGTAAAGTTCTTACCTATCAATAATTACTTTAAACATAAATGTAAATGGATTAAATTACCTAATGAAAAGATATAGAGTGACTGAATTGATTAAAAAAAGATACAACTATATGTTGCCTGAAGAGACTCACTTTAGTTTTAAGGACATGTATAGGCTGAAAGTAAAGGAATGGAAAAAGATATTTCCTGCAAATGGTAACCAAAAGAAAGTGGGGATAGCCTCATTTACATCAGACTAAATATACTTTAAGTCAAAAACTGATACAGGAAACAAGTTAAGTCATTATATAAAGATAAAGGGGCCAATTTATCAAGAAGATATAAAAATCATAAACATGCTCCCAACATTGGAGCACTAGATATATAAAACAAATATTAATGCAACTGAAAGGAGAAACAGACAGCAATATGATAGTAGGGATCATTAATACCCCACTTTCAATAATTAACAGATCATTTAGATGGAAAATAAGTATGGAAATGGAAGACTTGAACAACACTATAGACCAAATAGACCCAGTAGATATAGATAAAGCATTTTATCCAACAAGTGCAGAATATACATTCTTTTTAAGTGTACAGAGAACGTTCTCCAGGATATATCACCTGTTAGGCCACAGAGCAAGTTTTAACAATTTAGGAAGATTGAAATCATATCAAGTATCGCTTATAATTACAATGCTATGAAACTAGAAATAAATAACAGGAGAAAAATAGAAAATTCACAAATATGTGAAAATTAAAGAATGCACTCCTAAAGAACAAATGAATCAAAGTAGAAATAAAAAAGAAATTTTAAAAAAATCTGGAGACAAATGGAAACAAAAACACAACATATCAAAACTTAGGGAATGCAGTAAAATCAGTTCTAAGAAGGAATTTTGTAGCAATAAATGACTACATTAAGAAAAAAGAAAGAACTGAAATAACCTATTATTTGACCCCAAGGAACTAGAAAAGGAACATTCAAATTCCAATATTAACAGAAGGAAAATAATAATAAACAGCAGAGAAAAACCAAAGGAAAGAGACTAGAAAAACAGTAGAAAAGAGTAACAAAACTAAGACTTGTTCTTTTTTTTTTTTTTTTTTTGAGATGGAGTCTTGCTCTGTCTCCCAGGCTGGAGTGCAGTGGTGTGATCTCGGCTCAATTTCAAGTTCTGCCTCCCGGGTTCATGCCATTCTCCTGCCTCAGCCTCCTGAGTAGATGGGACTACAGGCGCCCGCCACAGGGCCCTGCTAATGTTTTGTATTTTTAACAGAGATGGGGTTTCACCGTGTTAGTCTGGATGGTCTTGATCTCTTGACCTCGTGATCCGCCTGCCTTGGTCTCCCAAATTGCTGGGATTACAGGTGTGAGCCACCGCGCCCGGCCAAGAGTTGTTTTTTTAAAAGACAAACAAATTGACAAATCATTAGTAAGTCTAACTATGAAAAACAGAAAAGATTCAAATAGATAAAATTATTAAAAAAGGAGATTTTTACAACTGATGCTCCCCAAATACAAAGGATCTTAGACTTCTGAAACAATTATATAACAACACATTGCTTAACCAGAAAAAAATAAATTTCTAGAAACATATTATCTGCCAAAATTGAATTATGAAAAATAGAAAATATGAACAGGCCAATAACAAGTAAGAAGGTTGAGTCAGTAATTAAAAACCCAACAACAACAACAAAAAAGCTCAAGACCAGATGGCTTTGCTGGTTAATTTCATGAAACATTTAAAAAAGAATTAATGCCGTCTTTTTCTGAAACTCTTATAAAAAATTGAAGAGTGGAGAACACTTCTAAACTCATTTTACAACACCAGAATTATCTTGACGTCAAAGCTAGACAGGGACACTAAAAAGAAAAGAAAATTACAGGTCAATATCTCTGATGAACATAGAGACAAAAATCCTCCATGAAATACTAGCAAATTGAATTCGACAGCAAATTAAAAGTATCGTATGCCATTTTCAAATGAGATATATTGCTGGGGTGTAAGGTGGGTTTGATATATACAAATCAATAAATGTAAGACTCCATGATACCAGAACGAAGGATCGATACTGTATGACCATCTTAACAGATGCAAAAAAAGTGATAAAATTTAATATCATTTCATGATGAAAACTCTCAACAAATTAAATGCAAAAAGAATATACCTCAACATAGTAATGGCCATATATGACAAGACTACAGCTAACATCGTAACAGTAAAATGTTGAAACTTTTTCTCTAATGTCAGGACCAAGACCAAAATGACCACTTTACCCACTTCTACTCAAGATAGTACTGGAAATTCTAGCCAGAAGAATTCAGTAAGAAAAAGAAATAAAGCCATCTAACTTGTTAAAGAAAGAAGTAACATTTTCTGTTCTCAGGCAATATAATATTACACATAGGAAACCCTGAAGCCTCAACAGCAACAAAACAAGCACAACACCAACTGCTAGAACGAATAAACAAACTCGGGAAAGTTGCAGGATAAAATATTAACATACAATAATCAAGTTGAGTTTTTTAAATATCAGAAAAAGAAGTGAGAAAAAATTACATTTACAATAGCATCAAAAAGAATAAACTATGTAGACACAAACTTAATCAAGAAGGTAAAAGATATGTATGCTCAAAACTATAAAACATTGAAAAAAGAAGTTGAAAAAGTCAAAATAAATGAAAGAATTAATAATGCTAAAATGTATATATTATCTGAAGCAATCTACAAGTTCAGCATAATTCTTATCAAAATTCTAAAGACTTATTTTTATAGAAATAGAAAAACAATCTCAAATTTTATATGAAACTACAAAAGACCTTGAAAGGCCAGAGCTATCTTGAGCAAAATGAATGAAGCTGGAGGTATCATACTACCTGACCTCAAATTATAATGCAAACCTACAGCAATCAAAACAGCATGGTACTGGCATAAAAATAGATGTATACACCAATGGAACAGAATAGAGAGCCCAGAAATAAGTCCACACACTTATGGTCAGTTGGTCTTTAACAAAGAACACACAATGGGCAAAAGACAATCTCGTTAATAAGCTATGTTGGAAAAACTGGATATCTGTATGCAGAAGAGGGAAATTGGACCCTTATCTCACACCACATACATAAATTAACTCAAAAAGGGTTACATACTTAAATGTAACACCTGAAACCATGAAACTACTAGAAGGAAACGTAGAGGAAAAGCTTTTTGACACATTGGTCTGGGCAATGATTTCTTTGATATGACCCCAAAAGTACAGGCAACAAAAGCAAAAACAGGTAAACAGAATTGCATCAAACTAAAAACTTCTGCATAGCAAAGGAAATAACAGATGAAGAGATAACTGAAGGAATGAGAAAAAATATTTGCAAACCATACATTAGATAAGCGGTAACATCCAACATATATAAGGAACTCAAACAACTCATAAACAAGAAAACAAAAAAACTCTATTAAAAAATTGTCTAAGTATCAGAAAAGTCATTTCTCAAAAGAAGAAATACAAATGGCCAGCAGGTATATGAAAAAAATTCAACATCATTAATCATTTTGGTACTCCAAATCAAAATCACAATAATATATCACCTTGCACCTGTTAAAATGGCAATTATCAAAACAATAGGAGATAATTAGTTTTGGAGAGGATATAGAGAAAAGAACTGCTGTATAGTTTTGATGGGGATATAAATTGGTACAGCTTATGAAAAACAGTATGGAGTTTCCTCATAGAATTAAAAATAAAACTACCATATGATCCAGCAATTCTACTTCTGGGTATATATCTAAAGGAAATGAAATTAGTATGTCACTGAGATATTTGCACTCCCATATTTGTTGCAACTTTATTCACAATAGTCAAGATACGGAATCAACCAACATGTCTATCACCAGATCAACAGACAAAGAAAATGTGACATATATCGCACAATGGACAATTATTCAGTGCTAAACAAAAGGAAATCCTGTCATTTGCCATAATATGAATGAACATGGAGGACTTTATGATAAATAAAATAAGTTAGACAAAGAAAAATAATGCATGATCTCACTTACATATGGAATCTAGAAAAATCAAACCCATAGAAGTGGGGAGTACAATGGTGTTTAGGGCTGGGGGTAGGGAAATAGAGATGTATTAGTCAAAAGTTTCCAAGTTTTTTTTAAGAGGAATAATTTCTATATATCTAATGTACATCATGGAGACTATAATTAATATTACTGTATTATGCACTTGAAATTTACTAGAAGGGTAAGTCTTAAGTGTTCTCACCACACACACAGACACACAGACACACACACACAAATGGTAGCTATGGGAGGTGATTGATTATGGTAATCATTTCACAATATATAGATATATCAAATAATCACATTGTACACATAAATATATACAATCAAATTTTATTGTCAATTACACTTCAATAAATCTGAGAAAAAAAGTGGAAAAAAGGAACTCAGGATCAGAGGTCTGGGTAGCAGTAAGAACCTTCTGTCCTGAGGAGATGAGAGTCAGTTACAGAGCAGGGGCTATGCCTTGCTACCCTAGGCCAATCCTGAATGAGGGGTGGAGGGTGAAGAAATGACAGAAATGTGCCCTAATTTTAGGTCAGTGCCACAGAAAAGAGCCATAGTCCTCCTTGAGCCATAGGTATAAGTTATGTTGTGGTAATACATCTCATTGGTTTATTTCATAGGAAGTCCAAAGTTGCCGGTACAGACAATACGTTCACTTTAGTAAAAATAAGTATTTTGTACACTTGAAAAAAAGAATTTTAAGATGACAGCTGAGCATTTAAGTGGGTTCAAGGCTCATCTAAGTATGGGGCCCTCCATGATGGCATGGGCCACAGGCAGTTAAAGCTAGTCTTGCTCACTCAAGATGTAACTCTAAGACTATGCATAAGTAGTTTTGTTTGAACTGGAGAGTTTTAGTTGTGAAATAATATAAGCTGTTGGGAAACAGGTATCAAATTTTACTGGCCTCTGAATCTTTTTTTTTCTTTTTTTTAGAATAAGCTATTTACAGTTTTCCTCTTGGGTTGTCGATAATTTTTGAGTTTGGTGAGATAGGGTAGTGACAGAAAGTATTGCTTAGGAAAAAGAGAAACTGTTATTAGTGGTATTATGGGATAAATTGCAATAAATGAAAGACTGAAGGCAAATAATGAAAGCAGAAGGATATAGCAATTGTCTAGGGAAAAGGTAATAAAGATCTGAACAAATGTCCTATATGTGAACACAAAAGTTATAGTACGTGGTGAAATGGGGACCCTCATATATTGTTGTGGTGAATGCATAGTGGCATAACTGCACACCTACAAATGTTAAGCACCGAGTTACCACATGACCAAACAATTCCACTCCAAGGTATGTGTCCAACAGAAATGAAAATACACATTCATACAAAATCTTGTACATGAATGTGTATAAACACACTATTTATAATAGTCAGAAAGTTGACCCAGTCCCAATGTCTGTCAACTGTTGAATGACAACAAAATGTGGTATCTCCATAGAATGGAATATTATTCAGCATAAAATGAATGAAGTACAAGGTGAGCATCTCTAGTCCAAAAATTCAAAACCTAAAATGCTCCAAGATCCAAAACCTTTTGCTAGCTGACATGGCATCGCAAGTGGAAAGTTTCACACCTGACCTAACATGGTGGGTCTTCGTCAAAATGCAGATGCACAACACACAGTTTATTTAGTGTTCCCAGTGGAAAAAAGATCCTTTCAGCCCCTTTTGGCTGTGAGAGTATCTTTTCTGCACATGCCCAAATTGTCCCACAGAAGCACACTCATAAAATGTAAGAAAATGTCATGTGTGCAGTTCGGACACGCCAACAGCATATTTCTCACAATGACCCATGTGGAGCCAAGACCTATGTGCCTTATTTACAGTGTTTTGTTTTGCTTATACTTTGTTCTGTGGCATAAGGGTATTGTTGAAAATACCAGCAAGGCCCGGAGATACCTCTGTGGGTAACAGTAATAAGAAAAAGAGAATGCCTTTGTTTATGGATAGCACAGGAAGTCCAGTTGTTGGAGAAGCTAGACAGTGGTATAAGCATGAAACATCTTACAGAAGAGTATAGTGTTGGAATGACCACCATATATAACCTGAAGAAACAGAAGGATAAATTGTTGAAATTCTATGCTGAAAGTTAATCAAAGTTGATTCTTTAAAAGACTGCACAAAGTTAAAAATGAAGATTTCAATTGTGTATTGCAAGAGTGAATTTGTCAGTATCACAGTGAACACATTCCACTTAATGATACGAGCAAAGGTCTATTACAATAAATGAAACAAGCAAAGGTCTATTACAATAAATGAAACAAGCAAAGGTCTATTACAATAAACTGGAAACTGAATGTTCAATAGACTCGTGATAGAAACTTATAAAAATGGCATTCAATTTTTAAAGGTTTGTGGTAATAAAACATCTGTTGATCATGGAGCAGTGGAGAAATTTATTGATGAGTTAGCCAAGGTTATCGCTAATAAAAATCTGATGCCAAAATAAATCCGTAATGCTGATGAAGCATTGTTGTTTTGGCATTATTGCCACAGAAAGACATTGAATACAGTTGATGAGACAGTTCCTACAGGAATTAAGGATGCCAAGAACAATATAACTGTGCTGGGATGTGCTAATGCAGCAGACACACATAAGTTTAAATTTACTGTTATAGGCAAAAGCTTAGGTCCTCTGTTTTCTTATTCGTTCATTATTATGTTAACAAAACTCATAAATCACCAGAAACATCTTTTCTGATTGGTTCTACAAACATTTTGTGTCAGCAGCTTGTGGTCACTGCAGGGAAGCTGGACTAGATGATGACTGCTAGATTTTATTATTCCTTGATAACTGCTCTGCTCACCCTCCAGCTGAAATTCTCATCAAAAAGAACGTTTATGCTGTGTACTTTCTCCCAAATGTGGCTTTACTAATTCAGTCATGTGGATCAGGGTATTCTTAGATCAATGAAGAGTAAATATGAGAACACTATCTTGAAAAGAACTCCAGCAGCATTGAACTGAGGTGTGGATGTGGGAGGTTTCCAAAATAAATTTGGCATAAAGAATGCTGTATAAGCTGTTGCCAGGGCTTAGAATGCAGTGACTAAAGACAGTTGTGCATGCCTGGCAAAACCTTTGGCCTGTGTGTTCAGTGATGACAAATAAGGTGGTGACTTTAAGAATTCTGGAGGTCAAGTGGAAAAAAATGATGTCTGATTTCCTTACATATGCAAAAATATATACTTTCAGAGTCCATCAGTAAGCTGAAGTGGATAATTGAAAAACTTTTTTTTTTTTTTTTTTAAGACAGGCTCTCGCTTTGTCACCCAGGGGCTGGAGTGCAGTGGCATGATCTTGGCTCCTGGCAACCTCCACCTCCTGAGTTCAAGTGATTTTCCCTCCTCAGCCTCTCAAGTAGCTGGGACTACAGGCATGCACCACCACACCCAGCTAATTTTTCTAGTTTTTCTATTTGTTGTAGTGATAGGTTTCTCCATGATACTCAGCCTGGTCTCAAACACCTGGGCTCAAGTCCACCTTGGCCTCCCTAAATACTGGGGCTGCAGTCACGGGCCACCGCACCTGGAGGAAAAACGTTTAACATTGTTAATGAAGCTCTAGTTGTCACTCATAGATGGTGAAATAGCCAAAATGGTTTTGGATTACAGTGATAGTGATAATTGTGACAATGAAGATGATGTTGTTAACATTGCAGAAAAAGGGTCTATAGATGACATGGTGAAAATATGTGATGGCCTTATGGAAAGACTAGAGCAGTGTGTATTCATAACAGGACCAGAAATCATGTAAGTTTATGCAATCAAAGAGAAACTTCTAAGACAACAACGATTGTTAATGAGGCAAACGACTTTGGATGAAGCATTTTAAGAAGCCATTGATCAGAATGCCTCCTCATCCCTAGAGGGTCCACTTCCTGGTCCCACAACTGTTTCTGACGTTTCTTCTCACCTAAAAACAAAATGTAGTGTACGGTAACCTTGCAATGAAAACACGGCATTGTAGGTGGAGACTGAAAGTCCGCCATTGTTTATTGTTGTTATTGTTTAACAGCTGATGCAGGTATTCTGATGATGCTACTCTGCTGCTTATTTACCCTGAACATGTTTTTTTTTTTCCTGTGTAGATGACATGTCATTTTTTTTTTTTTTTTGAGGAATCTCTCTCTTGTTGCCCAGGCTGGAGTGCAATGGCATGATCTCGGCTCACTGCAACCTCCACCTCCCAGGTTCAAGTGATTCTCCTGCCTCAGCCTCCCGAGTAGCTGGGATTACAGGCTCCCGCCACCACGCTTGGCTAATTTTGTATTTTTAGAAGAGATGAGCTTTCTCCATGTTGGTCAGGCTGGTCTCGAACTGCTGACCTCAGGAGATCCACCCATGTCGGCCTCCCAGAGTGCTGGGATTACAGGCATGAGCCACAGTGCCCGGCCCATATTTTTTATTGTTAAGTACTTATGTTTAGATAAGGGTGAGAAAATAATTTGCTTCTAGGTACCATATAAAATCAGAGTCAGGAATGATGGTGATGCCAAAAATACCACACCGATTGTCCACATGGGTGGCTGAGATAGTGATACTTTTGCTTTCTGATGGATCAACATACACACACTGTTTCATGCACAAAATTATTTAAAATATTATGTAAAGTTACCTTTAGGCCATGATATGAGGTGTATATGAAACATAAATAAATTTTGCATTTAGACTTGGATCATATCCCCAAAATATCTCACCAGGTATATGCAAATATTCCCAAATCTGAAAAAAAATCTGAAATCTAAAACACTTCTAGTCCCAAGCATTTCAAATAGGGAATACTGAACCAGTACAGATACCAGCTGCGATGTAGATGATCCTTGAAAACATTGTCCTAAGCAACAGAAGCCAGAAAAAACAAGGCAACATATTGTGTGATTTATATGACATATTCAGAAGAGGGAAATCTATAGACACAAAAAGTAAATTAGTATTTGCAAGGCATGAGGGCATCAGGGAACAGAGAGTAATAGCTAATAGGTTTTGGGCTTGTTTGGGGGGTTATCTAATTGTGAATTTGATGGTAGTACTGGTTGTACAACTCTGAGAATATAGTACTAAAAACAACTGAGGTGTATGTTTTAAAAGGGTGACTTGGATGATATGTGAACTATGTCTCAAAATTGTTGTTTAAATTGATACATGAATTTAAAAAGATCAATATGTATACTTTAAACATGTGTAATTCATTGTGTGTCCATTATACTTAAATAAAGCTGCTTTAAAAATATTGAGGAAGATAATGCCAATATAAAAATTGCAAAGTGGAAAAAATAAAAATGAAATCTTGAAATACAAAATATTTTCAACTATTTATAAATAAAAACATTTGAATATGGACATTGAGAGTATGCAAAGTGTTACAAAGCAGAGGTTAATATTTAGAAGATTTTTTTTACTTACTTGATGATTGAGTGGGTTATAGTAAGTAATAAGTAATAAACCTGACATAGGTTGCTGTGTGACCAGAAGTCAATATTGGCATACAAATGGGAGATTCTTTTCAAAATTAAGATTATTGAGCTTTCTTTCTAAATAAGCTTTCTTATTTATTGCTGAATCTCCAGTATCTACCACAGTAGTCAGCAAACTGTGTCCATGTGTCAATTCCAGTCTGCAATAGGGTTCAGTATCCTGAGATAACAATGGTTGACAAAAATCAAAAGATGATCAAGAATTCATGATACAGGAAAATGATATGAAATTTAAATTTCTGCATTCATAGGTGGGTTTATTTAACATGGCCATGTCCACATTGTTGTTTTTATACTAAAATGGCAGAATTGAATAGTTGCAACAGAGACATATGGCCTACAATGTCTAAAACATTTGCTATCTGGATTTTATAAGAAATATTTGATGTTCTCTGGTCTTGACGAAAGCCAGTACATGTTAGGTATTCAAAGATTGTTTTGTGGAATGAAGTAATGAAGGGAAAAGCTATGGACTAGAAATGGAATTTGTTTATGATATAGTTAGTTTGAGGTTCCAGAGGACCATCTCCTGACAAATGTCTATCAGGCATTGGGAGACGGAACGTGGAAGCATGAGGGAGGGAGGTGGGATAGAGGCATTGACTTTCATTCTCACAAAATGAAAAGTATGACATCACTAAGAGAAATAAAGAATAGAAGAATGGTCTTAGAATGTGGAGAATACTGTTTTACAAGGTGACAAGAGAAAGAGAAGTAGGATAAGAGGTCAAAAGGGATACGTTAAGTAAGAGGAGAATGCTTGAAAAAAACACTCCTGTGAAAGCCCAGACAAGGAAGGATGTGGTTTTAAGGGGATCAGTTTTGCTTAGTGTCAGTGCTGCAATTGTGAAGATATTAGTGAACTGAGAGAATAAAACTGTTTCACGAAGAGGAGGAACCTATAATAATGCTAAAATGAAAAATTAGTCAAATAATTTAATTAAACATTACATTGGCTAAAGCATTGAGAGTTAAAAACCTTTTTCAAATAGTTATTATATAGGGAAATCTGAAAAGGAAATCGTGCTGTGTTCAATTTGTAGAAATGTGTTGGTTCATCCAAGCACAAAGGCATTCAGGTTAGTGATGCATCATTAAAAATAAATTATCAAATTAATTTCCTAATAGCTCAGGCCAAGACATTCAACCAAAAACACTTGACCAAATGCTTTTTTGGAGCTCAAAATGTCAGGATAAATGTATACTTCTTATGTTTTCCTGAAAGAAGAAAGATAAATGCTTTAATTCAAAGAACAGACTTTTTTCCTATTAAATCTTTGCTATTATTTTATCATTTACAATAAATGGTTTAATAAAAATGAAATATTATTTTTTCTATCATGCTGTGGTTTTCTTCTTTCAGTAAGCATTGTGTTGCGTACAAGTCATTTAACTTTCCCCTAAGGTCTATTGGCATTAGCTAGAGATCTTGATTGATAGCTGTTTATATGTGACACTAAACCTTCTTGTGTTTTGCTTATTTCTAGCAAATGAAAGCAAGTCCCTCTAGACCTTGAGGCAAAATTTAAATCGGTCTTTTACCTCATGCTGCACTGTCTTGCCTCTCACTGATCTAATATTACTACAGCAAATGCTTTCTCTGTCACAGTCAAAGTGATCAGGCAAGTTTAATTGTTTCAAAGTGATGTAATTGAATTTATACTTTTATTGGCCAATTTCCAGTTCTAGCCGTGTCTGTCTAAACCTGATAGTTGAAGCACTTGTGAGGTTCATACATAAGTCACTTTTGTCCAAGTGCTTACATGTGATCCTTAAGTTTTGTTTTTTAAAGTATGTGATGCTATTATGTTTTGTTATAGCGCCACCAAATAAAAGATGTAAGAATGGGCATTCTTTAAAGACTCTTTCACTTACCTTTAATTATATTCTATTTTACTTTTTTTCTTTAAATTTTTTTCAATTATTAGAGATGTTCCATTAAATCATTGAATTACTTTTTGTTGTTGTTGTTTTGTTTATAAAAACAGGTGGCTTATTAGGGTCAGTGGAACATAATTCAAAGGCTGAATTATTAATATGCTACATCTTTTTTATATAGCCATTTAGTTCAATAATAATTTGTCTACAAGTTGAATATTTCAGAAATGAGTTTCAATAAAAGTCAATGTGTGTTCAGTGTAATAAATGTAGGAAAGAAAATAGCATTTACCAAAAAGAATACTTATAAAACACAGAATAATAAAGAATAGTTTACTACTAACATATGATAATTTATTTTTAATATTAAAAGTGTTGAATTTTATTTTTATTTTTCCAGTTGCTCCCTCTTTTGGCTTACATGGATTTCCTACTATTACTTTGGTGTGATATTGTTGTTTGCTTTCTATAAGAGAATGCACTTGACTTCCTGGATCTAAACGGAGACTAGACAGAGTTCAACTTCTAAAAGTTGAAAAGGCAGAGATCTGCAAACAGCATGCAAAAGAGGGCTCAACTTTTCTTTGCCATTTTCCCAGATCTGAACCCATATTTCTAGGCATATATTTGGTAGATGTTTTCTTCTTTTAATAACTACTGGGGGAAAGGAAAGTGTAAAGTGGCTAAAATATGGCCTTGAGAATTTTGAAATCCTGTGGAGTGGGGGTGATAGATACCTGAAAAGTCTTTTTTTAAAGCTACAGCAGTCTTCTGTCTTAGAAAAAGAGCTCTGAAGACACTTTTCATGCTGACAGTTTTTGTAATGGAGAGAACAAAGCAATGGGCTGTTTCCTTAAGCAAATATTATTTTAAAAAATCTATCAGCAGCGTGCATTAAAGAGTGAACTCAGCAGGCCTAAGTTGGCCAAACCCTACACATTCCAAAAGCCTGCAGGATTGGGCATTGGCTGGGTCTTGAAAGACAACCTCAGAGCTCTTGGAATAGTCAGCCTAATAAAAGTGTCTTTGCAAACTGTGTGGCACCTTGGACCACACAGTTTATGCTAACAGTGTGATATGGCGAATGTGTGTTTTTGTTTGCTTAGGGCCCTGGTGAGTGCCGTTACAGTTTGACCTCTGGGGGCATTAGAAACTGAGAGTAGCAAGGTCAGTCATGTGGGTGCTCCATGCGGAGATGGTTGAGCCTCAATAAAAACCTTGGACACCAAGCCTTAGTGAGCCTCTCTAGTTGACAACACTTTTAATGTTGTGTCATACGTCATGCTGGGAGAATTAAGCTCTGTCTGTACAGTTCCACTGAGAAAGGACAAATGGAAATTTGTGCCTGGTTTCTCCTTTACTTCATGCTGCAAACCTTTTTTTCTTTGCTAATTTTAAATTGTATTATCTCTTTGTAATAAACTGTAACCTTCAACATAATAACTTTTCTGAGTTCTGTGAATCTGAGTGTATCAACAAATCTGAGGGTGATCTTGGGGACCCCCATCACAAGCAGAAATGGAGATGTGTAGGAAGCTGTATCTGTAAGTTAAATTACCCTGAATAACAATGTAAAACATTTTTGCGATGTAAGCAGAATTGCATCTCTATATTATGTTTCCTCTGTGAAAACTATCTTAAAAATAGATTTTAATTAGAGTGTGATTGCAAATTGTTGCTTGTTTTTGGAGATACATAATTTTGGTTAAGAGGCAGCTTGGAAGAGCCTGACAGTGAGACCTACTAACTGGAGGAAGGAATTAGTCATGTTCTTTATGTTATTTATCTTATTTTGAGGGTGGAACCACCAACTGTTTTGCTTTGTGAAACTCAAGATAGTGGTATTAATGAGGCCACATCCAAAGTTAATTGAAGTTGAATAACTCAAACACTGAGGAATATAAAAGCAGAAAAAGTTACACTTCTGATAATTCAAAAATGTTAATTGTGATAAAATTACCCGTTGGCTACTTTACCTTTTGTACTGTAATTGGGCGATTTTATTGATATATTATTATTCTGCAAGGACCGTAGGCTAAAGTCACAGACAGAAGGGGAAACATCTGCTAAAGTAAGTGCATATTTTTAACTTCAGTCATGGTGGAAAGAGAGGTCCCATGAGAGTAAATAAGCCTTAGGGACACAGTTCTTCTTTTAGGGCTGGACTCTGGAGAGTCTGGATGTGCTGGAGCCATCCTGGGTGCTAGGGAAATACAGCGTTCCTCTCTTACAGGAAAACAAGTTGGGAACAAGGTAGGGAAAGAACACTTTCTAAGTTAGAAAGACAGCTGTCTAAGCAGTCCTTGAAGATGATCAATATCTTTTAGCTCCAGGTACAATGTTTCTATGACACAGTTGTAAAAAATTCCGAGGATTTTTATTGTTGTTGCTGAGATCCTCAAGTGCTTTGTAAAATATATAAAATGTTATAGCTTGTTTTTTTCTGTGATGTGAGAAGTTAAAGAACTGCATTGGGTATTTCCTTTTTGCCCCTCCAGATCTACTCTGCCGTTATTCCTCTCTGTTGTCTGCTCCAGGAAGCAGACCCGTGAACGGCAGCAATTCTTGCTTGTTGACTTCCATTTGGATACAGCCATGGTGGGCATCATGAGAATATAAAAAATTGAGAATAAATTAATACCAAGATTTATATAACTCTGGCTGCTTCTGTGCTTGGGTGCAATAGGCTGTCTGCATCTCCCGGCAGAAGGCCAGAGTTCCTTTCAGATGACCCTCTCTGCAGAGCTAAATTTCTGTAGCTGTTCCCTTCTCTTGTTCCTTCAGGCTTAGGATTGTGACAGCTTCCACTGTTGTTGGTCCTGGAATGCACTATTCCTTGTGGTTTCTTTTAATCCTGACCATGGCTTTGTAAATAGTCAGTTATCCTCTTTGAGCATGCTGTGTTCTGCCAGGACACTGAATGGCTCAGTAATGACCTGGTGTAACCTTAGATAGTCTCTGAAAACAACATAAATACAATGGAAGAATATTTGCACTATTATTTCTTCCCAGAATGCTTCTCCTACATCTTTTCACAATCCCAGTATTAGCCTAGTAGTCCTTCCAGACTCAGCCTAAGCATCTCTTCCTCCAGTAATTCTGCTCTTACACTTTTCTGAACCTTCTATCTCATTTTCTAACTCTCTTTACCCACTACCCACTTTGACTTTGATGTTTCTTCTATAGATATGTTATTATACCTGTATTGTAATTATATGCTTATTTTATTTGAGTATTTTTAATAATTGTAATAAGCTCTTGGAATACTTCGCGTCCCTTAATTGCTTGAATTTTGGAGTTTTATATTGCTTTTATCAATTGTTTCTTTTGTTAGTAAGGTAGACCATTATCTCACAGATATTTGTAAATATAGCTCAGAAATAAAATGAAGAGGGATCAGACTAGAGTGATAATTATGTGAATGGAAAGATCAATACAAAATATATTGCAAATGAAAATATTAAAAATGTGGTAACTTAAAGGAAATATCCAGTAACCTAATGAAATAGAAAGCAAAGATATGGGTAAAATGATGGTATGATTTTCTTTTCAATCAAATTCAATACTAGCATGATGTCATGCATAATAACAGAGAAAATCTCCTGTCCAAATTATAGAGTGTGTTTTTAATTCTTAGTTTAATGAGAAATATACTAGTCAATAGCATATGAACTATAGCTAACGTATTAATAGATTAAGTTAATAATGTATATTCAGTATATAGTACTGAGGAGCAGTTAAAATATAATGTTAAGACAGGGTTTCTGATTTCCAGGAGTTACAATTTAGTTACTAACATAGTCAATAGAGACATAAAGCAAGTAAGTAAATATGTAGGCAGAATACAATCAAAAAGATTGATAAAGACAAGTGCATTAAGAGTTTAGAAGACGGACACCACTATGCACTAAAAATGGTGAAAAAAACAAAGCAAATAAACTGGGATTTCTGATGACCTTTGAAGTAAATTATGGAAAACTAAAAGTGTGGGGAAGGAAACTATGTGGGAGAAACAACATGGTAAATTCTAGAAGCCAACAATGAGTGTCATGTGGTTGAAGGTTAGGAGTAGTATAGAGAGAGGGTAGAAGCTATGGTTTGTAATGAGAAGTAGCAAAAGAAAATAGTTTAGATAGGTATGCTGTAACTGAATGCATAGGATCTGGAATACTTGAATAAGCCATTTGGATTTGCGGAAGAGAATGTTGGGTATTGACTGGATGAGTAAAATGCTGAAACTGCTGTCCTAAGGAGATTGATCTGACTATGGTGGGTAAAATAGGTTCATATAGAAGGAAGATGGAAGCCAACCAGTCAGATAGAAAATTGATGCATAATCAATTTGTGACATAGCAAGAACTAAATATGGCTGGTATCAGTGGACAAAAGATGAGATCAAAGATGTGACAGTCATTAATGAAGGAAAAGAGAGAGTTTTGTTTTAGGTGAGGCGTATTATTTGGATTTACATTCTCTCCTTACAGAAGCATATGTGACTTTCAGTGAGTAACAACTCTAAGCTTTGGTTTTCTCAATTATCTCAATCTCATCTCTGATAGACTGAGATAATTCAACATGAATGACAATAGTGCCCTGTTTTTATCACTGCTGTGCATTACCTTCTTGGAGAAGTATTTGGCACATTGTAGGTTCCCTCTGAATATCATATTTGCTGAATGAATAAATGAACGAATGGACAGTAAATGGTAGCTACTCTCACTGTGCTTATTAATAATTATAAATGAAGGAATTTGGAGATTGAGCTATATGACTGGCAAGTAAAAAATTCTCAAAGTCAAAAGATGTAGTATTTTCAAAATTGTGTTCATCTATTTGTGATCTCTAGGAGTGCCCTAAGGATTTAGTTCAGAACGCTCCAAAACAATTTGCAAAGGATGTCCAAGAAATGGAGCACTGGAAGAGTTGATAACTCTTCATGATATTTTCTAACTGGTCTTTCATCCTCTTAGTGCTGTTAAGCTTCTCTTGAGAGTACAATAGGAAGATATGAGATGTCATGAATATTTGCATTGAAGATAGAAGATTTTATTCCTTTCCCAACTCTAACACTTATTTGCTATATAACCTAAGAGAAGCTATCTGAACCTTGATTTCACTATTTGTAAAAGTAGATTCATCCAATATACATCATAAGTAGTAAATATACTATTAAACTTTGTATTCTATAAAACAACATGCAAATAAAATACACTATCATAATAACTAGCCTGAAAATAACATAACTATTATTCTAACTTGAGTCAATTGTATCAAAAAGATTATGGTTAATGAGAAATAGGACATAAAGTTTGGTTATACAAAATCAAACACCAACTGGAAGAACTGGAAGTGACTTAAATTGCAATCTTTTTTTTTTTTTTTTGAGACAGAGTCTCGCTGTCGCCCAGGCTGGAGTGCAGTGGCGCAATCTCGGCTCACTGCAGGCTCCGCCCCCTGGGGTTCACGCCATTCTCCTGCCTCAGCCTCCCGAGTAGCTGGGACTACAGGCGCCCGCCACCTCGCCCGGCTAATTTTTTGTATTTTTAGTAGAGACGGGGTTTCACCGTGTTAGCCAGGATGGTCTCGATCTCCTGACCTCGTGATCCGCCCACCTCGGCCTCCCAAAGTGCTGGGATTACAGGCGTGAGCCACCACGCCTGGCCAAATTGCAATCTTAAAGCAACTTTTTCTATTACTTCCTTTTTTCCTCAAGAGGTTTTTAAATCTTCAGATTTAAGTGGAATTATTGATTCTCCTTTTTCATATGATACAATCTCTACCACATTCATATTATTGAGCAATCTAGAAATTATTTAATACCCTTCATGATACAAATTATTGTTAATGTTTTACATGAGGTCTTTTATTATGAAGCAAGTCCTCAGTGTAATAAGTAAAGATTTCCTGACAAAATAAACAATCAACATCAGGGCTCTCTGTCAGAAAGACTTGACTCCATGTGCCAAAGCTATAGTATGTCAAATAATCCTTTAATTAGATTACAAAATGTTGCTATTATTGTCAAATATCTATTGATCCCCGGAAGAAAATGGCTTGAGGTTTCTCAATTATGCAACACCAAAATTCATTTGCCATGCAATTAACTCCAAATCACCTTCTTAAGAAATTAATATTAGAGAGAATGTTTAGGCATATAAAAGCACATAATTGAAATTTAACAAAAAAAAGCCTTAGTAATGAATAATATGGGTTTTAAAACTTTGCCAATGTATATACAATTTAGCCTTTTGCTCACTGGTTTTAACATGCATTAAGTTAAGAATTTGTATATTGGGCTGCAAAAATAAAATAGTTTGAGATATTGGAGGAAGGGAATTTATCTTCCAGCTATATAAACATTTGAGCGTCAACTCTAGTTGTACCAAACATTTGAGTGTCAACTCTAGTTGTGCTGTAGGGAGTTAAAAGGGACTCATCATGCTGGTCAAGTTTTGCCCACTTCAAGAGTAAGTAAGGAAATGCTGTGAGAGGAGTAATCGTGGCTTGGGAAAGATTAGGTCAATGGGGTATGTAGCAAAGAGAGGGTATGTATAGAAACAGAATAGCTCCTGGATATTTTCCCATCTTCTTGCTAGGTTTTGGCTATTTGGTGTAAGAGCTAAACTTATCGCAGAAGGTGGATGGACCAGTTTTTAACTTTCCACCAAGGAGAAATGGAGACAGCATTGGTTTCTGTTGAATGGCCATGACAAGCCCTTGGAGATGAAAAAGAGGAAAGGACACAAAAATTGACAACCTGTAAAGGAGACATGGGAGCAGGTGATAGTGCTTTAGAAATCACCAATGCAGCCACCAATGAGGAAGCTGAATTACAGAGACAGCAGGGCACAGAAACAGGTTTACAGTGGAATTCTGGGCTGAGAATAGAGATTCGGTGCCTGCGTTTAGTATGGCATTCAGAAGACAAAGAACAGGTACTCATTCTATATACATGGTGTTTTATTCTCCCTATAGCTTATCATTGATACTGAGAAATTATTATTATTATTATTATTATTATTTGAGATAGAGTCTCACTCTGTCACCCAGGATGGAGTGCAGTGGCACGATCTCAGCTCACTGCAACATCCACCTCCTGGGTTCAAGCAATTATCATGCCTCAGCCTTCAGAGTAGCTGGGATTACAGATGCCCACCACACGCCCAGCTAATTTTTGTATTTTTAGTAGAGATGGGGTTTTGCCATGTTGGCCAGGCTGGTCTCAAACTCCTGACCTCAGGTGATCCACCCACCTTGGCCTCCCAAAGTGCTGAGATTACAGGCATGAGTCACCGCACCTGACCAATTGAGAAATGATTATTATATAATACTTTTACTTCCAGTAGCCATTTTCCTAATTTGATGCTGATGCTGTCTTATGAATGACAGTTTTCTCTCTCACTGTATAAATGTTAATAGCATAATAGGTATTAGACTGCCCAGAAGACTTATTATCTAAGAAGTTTCTGGATTGAGATGAGACTGACACCCTAAGAGATAATCCTTGTTACTACTATTTTTTAGTTGCTGATGAATTAATTAAGCATAATTACTCAATGATCTCCACATATATGAGAAGCATTTCACAAAATCTGTATAGTTGAATTAAAATAAAATAGAAAGAGAGAAAATTAATACATATTATGCTGTCTACAAACACAAACAAGACAATTTTGGGGGGAAATCCTGTAAGTGTAAATCCTGGAAAATCTGAGCATTCAGTATTTGCTGAATGCTATCAAAGCCAAATACCGGAAGCAGATACAGGATAGGATAATTGATATAAGAGGAACTAGAATGATGAGTCAAAATTGAAAAAGAAACATAGGAGAGGAAGGGAAAATGGAGAATATTCTCATCAGTGGCATGCCTGTGTTATCGTGAGTCATTTCTCAGAGATCTGATCAGTTTCCTTATAAGGTCTAGGAAAGAGGACCGTGACAGTGGAAGGAGAAGAAAAAGAGGGATTAAATAAAAACTCAGACATACATTAATTTCTTAATTTGTCTGGAATACATTTGTGATGCCCATGTGACAGATAAATAGCGCACGTATTTTCTTTTAAAGAAAATAAAACAGAAAAATAGCATGGATTTAAGAAGAGACAAGAGGAGAAAGAAAGAAGTTTAAAAGAGTGCTACGCACTAATATCCAGGACTCCGCATGGAGTTGGTTCAATTTCTGTTGACTGTTAATCAACTGCACATACCTGGAGACCAGCAATGCTGAAAATTAAAAGCTTCAGAACTGCTGTGAGGAAGGTGATTCATGGCAATATTTTGCTTCCCTCTCCAGGCAAATCTCCATTTATCTCCTGTAGAGTTAGATAGTTTGGGATTGACTTCTAAGACACGCTGTCTTTCCCAATAGAGACCTAATCTTTCTGAGAATCCAGTGTACAGCTTTTTAAAAAGACAGTGTTTATATCTGGGGGTGGGATTAATAGTAGGCATTTGATAATTCTGGAAGTTTTTTAAGCAGATTTTTTCATATTTGTAGTCTATGATCCTATCAATTTATTGCCTGACAAAAATCTGTAAATTCCAACTAAAAATCTGTGAGGAAAAGAAATGGGATTTGAATCAGAATATTTTCTGTTTCATTAAAAGTATGACCTGAATTTTATGACCACTATGTAATCAGCATGAGGATTGTGAAATAAATTTAAAATTAGATGTTGTAGAGTCACATGTGTTTAATCTTTATATATTTAAAAACAACTATTTTGTAATCCCAGCACTTTGGGAGGCGGAGGCGGGTGGATCACCTGAGGTCAGGAGTTCGAGACCAGCCTGGCCAACATGGTGAAACCCTGTCTCTACTAAAAATACAAAAATTAGCTGGATGTGGTGGCGGGTGCCTGTAATCCCAGCTACTCCAGAGGCTAAAGCAGGAGAATTGCTTGAACCCGGGAGGTGGAGGTTGCAGTGAGCCAAGATCGCACCACTGTACTACAGCCTGGGCGACAGACTGAGACTCTGTCTCAAAAAACAAACAAACAAACAATTTGTTGTCATAGTTCTGTGGTTTGTTACTGATATTTGTTAGGCAATGGGATCTGAAGACAGCTGGTATCTAGTCCTGATATCACCTTTTGCAGCCACATACAAAAAAAAAAAAAATTAGTTTACCCATCTGTAAAGTAGGGTAATAGTACCCACTAATAAGGTTATTTTGAGGATTAAAGTAAAGATTTCTTCACAGGGGTGGGTGCTGAATAAACATCTACTATTAGCTCTCTGATTACCTACTTATTATCTCTATTTCTATCTATTTAAATGTGTATATAATGTTTGGTACAATTTAGAAAATATTTCCATTTGCAATATTATTTTTTTCAGAAGATGTTATTTGAAAATTCAAGGGACAAAGCAAAGGATAAATAACATTCTAAGTATCTATTCTATGTTATAGATAGCTCTACTTATAAAAATTATATTCTTTTATTTAACTCTCAAAACAGTGCTTTATCCCTTCCCTTTTTATGTCCCTGATATCAAGATGGGTCACAATTTGCTCCTCTGGTCACCATCACCTCCATAAAAATTCAGCCTGGGTTCATATATATATATATATATATATATATATATATGCACAAAATTTATATATAATTGTATATATACACATATATGGTGTACAATGTGACTTTTTGAAAAATTGTATATGTATATACATATACATGGTGCACAATGTGATTTTTTTTGATATAGGTGTACATTGTGGAATGATTAAATTAACATGTCCATCACCCCACATGTTTTTGTGTGTGTGATGAAAACACTTAAAATCTACTCTCAGAAATTTTCAAGAATATATATATTTTCTTTTTTTTATTGGCACCATACCATGCCGAGATTGTTTCAAGAAGATATCACTATTATCTATAGTCATCATGTTGTACAATAGATCTCCAAGACTGTCTACTGAAATTTTGTACCCTTTGTCCAATATCCCTCCATTCTCCATCTCTCTGGCTACCACAGCCCCTGGCAAACACCATTCTACTGTCTGCCTCTATGTCAATGTTTTCAGATTCTACATATAAGTGAAATCATATAGTTTATTTTTTTCTGTACCTGGCCAGACTTAGCATAAATGTCCTCTAGGTTCATCCACAATGTGGCAAATGTTCTTTTTACATCTGCTTACATGGAATGTTCTGATCTGGAAATACAGCCTCAATAATTACTGCCGATTTTATTGCATAGTTGTGGAATTAGTGCTTCCTTTGCAGAAGATACAGGCTTCATCAATTTGGACTAATTGGTATTCCTTGAATAGATTATCCAAGACATCTACTCCAATAATAACAATGCTTGATCTTTGTAGATAACATGTAAAAAAAAGTCTTTAAAAAAACCCTCCATAGTCTTCTGAAGTAGATATATTTTACATACTCAATATTTACATATTTACACTACTCAGTTATACTATTGAAGCATTAGATGAAGAGAGATTAAGTAATTTACCAAAAAAAAAGAAGGCTGGTAAAGCCTGACATTGGAATTTGAATTCACTTTTTTTAGACTGTCCAGCCTATGATTTTTCTATTTCATCATCTAGCATCTCCTATACAGAATTAAAAATGATTCTGTTTATACAGAATAAAAATATTTAATATAAGAACTAGATGGCCAACATAAATGTATTATTGTTATCACAGTTACTCCTACTGAGTACATAATATGATAAAACACCTTTTGTTTTTATGGAGAAAATAAGTGATAACATTAATATAAACAAAATGATATATTAATAATATAGTGGAAAGTTCTGTGCATTTTTCCATTTTCTTTTTAAAATGCAATGAATAGAAATTGAATTAAACAAAAACGGTGCAAAATCATTGTTACATAACTGTACACATTAAAACTTGAGAACATTTGGACTCACTTTAAATACAAAAACGTTCATATGGTTTGGGATTAAGGGGCTCAGAAAGCAATATCCTTGGGTAATCTATGGGTGGTGTACTCAAAGCTATTCAGATAACAGTAATTCTTCATTTGGACCAAGCACAGAAACAAGATTTATATGTGGATCTAACATAGTGGATCTTTTTAAGAGGATTTCAGATGTTAAATTCCGAAGAACCATAATTCAGTTATTCTTACGAAATCATGCTATTCATTGTCTTTTTTGGAGCTTGGCTTACTTCTGTCTACAGCCAGTAACAGATGCTATTATAAGTACCCATAGGAAAACCCGAAAATGTGCTGAATTTTGTATATATGAAAGCTTAAGCTTTAAACATGTTATATTTTTAAAAAGTACTTAGAGCATGTGGTGGAATTAAGATCTGTAGCCCAAGGGCACTATAGAAGTTGCTAAGGAAACACTGTGGGATATAGTATAACATTCCTAAGAGCAGCTTTTAAAATAAAGATAACATAGAAAATGCATAGTAGAAAATGGACAAAATCAAGATTTTCTTTGGGTCAATTCATAGGCTTATATTCAGCTCTGAAAATTAATTATGGAAACTTTGCTGTAAGAAAAAGATTATTCTGACTGTGAATGTTAAGAATCCAAAGAAAGGTTATGTATAAACTAAGAGACCTCAACCAAAGCATGAATAGTAGAGACCATTAATGCTAGTAATGGCGTTGTGGGATTTAGGCTTTGTCTCAGAGTTTCATTTTAATGTTTCCCTCAATATCCAAATACAGTACATATGCATTGAATTTTTCCATTTTGTCTCCTTCTCTTTCTCTTTAAATTAAAGACATTTTTTATAGCTATGACTTCGGTGTGGTATGCAGACACCTAGGGCCTGAAACCTAAGCACTTTTTTATTGTGGATATTTATTTTTCAATAGTGGGATTTAAAAAAATTGTTTGATAAAAATCTTCAAATGATTTAAAAACAGTTTTTTAAATATGTGCTTGTAATACATCAAGTGCCAAAGTCACAATACTTTTATATATTATTATATAACATATAGGCAGTTTAATTTAAATAAGCATTACAATGAAGAACTGAGAAATTAACTACTCTGCTTTTATGTGTTCATCATGGCATCATGCCACTTGGGCTATGTATCACTTTTTATAAAGCACCTAATGCAAAACCATAAACACGTAAGAGAACCAAACAATAGCACACAGTGCAGAACCATAAATAAATGTTGTGTATTGAAAGTGATGCTTTCTTGAACTTAGTCACCTAGATGAACTTGCGATTAATATTTGGATGCAGAAGTTAAACTAAATGTTGCAAACATTCATTTTAACTTTAAGTAGATACTTAATGAAATAAACATAGATACATGTAACTTTATATACAGTTTAATAAGTAATCCGGTTTTTATCTGAGCTTGCTTTTTATTTGAGAAATTGTGAGAAGGCTAATAAAGAAAAATAACCTAGGCTTAAAAGTTGTTATGATAACATCACAATTTGTAAAACACATATTTCTCTTATTTTTAGAATTAAATGTGGAGCAGGAGCTATTGAAGTGTCCCTTCTTTAGTATTTTGACTTTTAAAAGAACATTTGTTTTTTTAAATAAAAATTACTTTTATTAAAATTATTTTTGTTTATATTCCTTCTTTGTAAAGGTAACATAATATTTACATATCAATTTTGTAACCAGATGTGTAGCATTTATTTAGACTGGTGTATTTGTTTCACTGATTTCAGAGTTTATCACTTTTTAAAAATATCCTGAATTTTCTATCCTTGAGAGTTTAATTTTACTTTATATTTTTTGCCTTAAGTTAATATATCTTCAAGTATTTTAAAAATATTTTTTACAGTTTTGTTCTTGTTCTTGTTTTACCCTTGATATAACTTCAAACAGTCTGAAATATGCAGATCATAAACTTTGTTCCTTTATTTTTAAACTTTAAGTTTTGAGTTTATTGTAGATTCACAACACTTGTAAAAAACGCTACAGAATGATCCCCTGTACAATTTATCCTGTTTCCTCCAATGGTAACATCTCCTAAAACCATAGACTGTAATTACAGCAAGGATACTGATACTGATACTGATAGAGACATGGTAAACAATATTTCCATCACCACAAGGATCCCTCATGCTGCCCTTTTACAGCCACACCAACTCTCCTTAACTCTGTCAACCACTAATATGTTCTCCATTTCTATCATTTTGTCATTTCAAGAAGGTTATAGAAACGGAATCATATAGTACTTATCCTTCTAATAGATGCAATTATTATGTTATAATGTAAACATAATTATAGCATAATTCTCTGGAGATTCATCAGCAATATTGGGTGTATCAGTGGATTTTTCTTTTTATTGCTGAGTCATTTTTCATAGTATAATACACCACAGTTTAATCATTAACCTGTTGAAGGACATTTGGATTGTTTTCAGTTTGGGGCTGTTATGAATAAAGCTTCTTTAAATATTCCTGTATAGGTTTTTGTCTGAACATAAGTTTGTATGTCTGGTATGAATGCTCAAAAGTGCAACCGCTGGGTCATATGGTAATTTCATATTTAGTTTTATAAGAAACCGCCAGACTGTTTTACAGAGAGGTTGTACCATTTTACATTCCCATCAGCAATATATGTGAGATCCAGTTTCTCTGCATCCTCACCAGCATTTGGTGGTGTTACTATTTTTCTTCTTAGCCATACTGATAGGTGAATACTGATATCTCATTGCAGTTTTAATCTGCATTTCCCTAAAGACTGACATCGAGCCTTTCCCCCCAGCCCCCCACTGCTTATTTGCCGTCAGTATAACTTCTTTGTTGAACTATCTGTTCATGTCTTTGCCCATTTTCAAACTGGATTGTGTATCTTATTACTATTGAGTTTTGATATTTCTTTATGTATTCTAGATATCAGCTATTTGTCAGATATATGGTCTGCAAATATTTTCTCCAAGTCTATAACTTGTATTTTTATACAATTCACATGAACTTTCACAGAAAAAATTATCATTTTGATGATAAACATTTTTCTTAATTTTTCCTTTTATTGTGCTTTTGCTGTCAAGTATAAAACTTCCTTGTCTAGCCCTAGATTTTAAAGATTTTTCTTATATATGAAAAAAGTTTTATAATTTTAAAATTCACGCTGACGCCCACCCATCATTCCTTTTGAGTTTAGGTCAAGGTTCATTAACTGCCTATAGATTAACCCAGCATCATTTATTGAAAAAGCTATCCTTACTCTATTGTGTTGGTTTTGCACATTTCAATAATCAGGCATGTTTGTGTGGGCCTATTTCTTGGTACTCTCTTCAGATCCTTTGATCTATTTCTCCACCAATACCACATGCCTTGATTACTGTAGATACATAGGAAGACTTAGTATCATGTACAGTGACTCCTCTCACTTTATTTTGTCAATGTTGACAAAAATAATTACACGTAGTTTAGTAAGAATTACAATGAAGATTGATTTGGGAAAATTGACATCTTGACTATGTTGTCTTCCAATTTATGTACGTCCCTCCACTTATTTAGGTCTTCTTTGATTTTTTTCATCAGTATTTTAAAATTATCAGCATACAGATTCATAACTGTCTTATCAAGTTTATTCCTAAGTATTTCACTGTCACTGGGGACATCCCTCAAAATGGCATCATGTTTTAAGTTTTGGTCTCTATATATTCATTTCTAGTATGTAGAAATGTTATTGATTTTTGTGTGTTGATTCTTGTATTCTGCAATCTTGCTAACTCACCTATCAGATCTAGGAGTCTTTTTTACACACTCCTTGGAATTTTCAACATAGGCAATCATGATCTGCAAAGAGACAGTTTTCTTTCTTTTCCCTTATTTATGCTTGTTATTCTTTTTCTTGCCTATTCAGTAGGTAGACATTTCAGTCCTATATTGATAAAAGTGTTAACAGTGGACATCCTTGTCTTTTCTCAGATTTTAGTGGGAAAGAATTCTGTCTTATATTATTAAATATGTTGTTAGCTGCAGGTTTTTTTGTATATGATCTTTAACAAGTTGAGACATTTTTCAATTCATGGTTAACTGGGAGCTTTTATCATTAATGGATGTTCTTTTATTTTGCTTTATTTTTTACAGTTTAATTGAGGTAAATTGACATACAATAAACTGCATATGTATAAAGCATATACTTTCTTAACTTTATATATATACATTTATATAATATGTGTCTGTGTGAGAAACCCTCATCACACTCAAGATAATAAACAGAGCCATCACCTTCTAGGTTTCTGTCTGCTTCTTTGATCCCTTTATTTTGCCCTTTCACACTTTCTACCCTCTTCTGCCTCCACACAATTGCTGGCTGTCTTTTTCTCACTACATATTTGTTTGCTTTTTCTAGAATTATATATTAAAAGAATCATATACTCTGCACTCTTTCTACTTGGTTTGTCTTCCTCAACTCATCTTTTTGAAGTTCACCAAGTCATCATTGATTTTTGAGATTCATCCATATGTATCAATAGTTTATTTTTTTTTTTTACTGCTGAATAGTATTTCATTGTGTGGATATCCTATAATTTGTCTATTCATTTAACTTGTTAATTGACATTTGAGTTGTTCTGATTTCTGGGCTTTACAAATAAAGCTTCCATGAATATTTGTGTATAAGTCTTTGTATGAGACAAATGCTTTAATATGTCTTGGGTAAATTCCCAGGAGTGGAGTGGCTGAATAATATGTAGGTACACGTTTAACTCTTTTAACAGGCTACCAAACTGTTTTCCCAAGTGTCTTTAGCATTTTTTGTTGCTACCAGCAGTATATGAGGGTTTTAGTTCTTCCACATTCTCACCAACACTTACTATGGTCAATCTTTTTAATTTTAGCAATTTTAGTAGATAACGTAGTGGTATCTTACCGTAGTTTTAATGTGTGTTTCTCTAATAACATGACTTGGGGGTTCTTTTAATATACTTATTTGGCGAAGTGTCTGTTTAAATCTTTTGCTCATTTAAAAATTGTGTTATTTTGAGGTCAGGAGATCAAGACCATCCTGGCTAACATGGTGAAACCCCGTCTCTACTAAAAATACAAAAAATTAGCCAGGCGTGGTGGCAGGCACCTGTAGTCCCAGCTACTCAGGAGGCTAAGGCAGGAGAATGGCGTGAACCTGGGAGGCAGAGCTTGCAGTGAGCCGAGATCGCGCCACTGCACTCCAGCCTGGGTGACAGAGTGAGACTCCATCTCAAAAACAAAAAAAAAAAATTGTGTTATTTCATTACTTAGTTTTGAATGATTTTTATATTCTGAATACAATACTTTATTTTATATATATATATATATATATATATATATATATAGTAAATATATTTCTCCAGTCTGTGGCTAGTCATTTTACTTTCCTAACAGTGTCTCCAATGAGCAGAAATGTTCAAAATTTTGATAAAATCTATGTTGATAAAAATTTTTCCATTATTCTTTTGCATTTCCGCACATCTCAGCAGATGCACTGATGACTTTTTGTCTAGATTATAATTTCAAAGATGTTTGCAAAACAAACAGCCTTAGAACACCGAGATAATGTTTTCCTCCAGACCAAAAGTTGGGCAAGTTTACTTTCAGCCCCTTTTAAAAGGCTGGGGTTTCCAAAGCGCACTGTTCTGCAGTTGTATTGCAAACCCACAGAATATGCTACCTGGACCATGCTGGGTAACTTCCATGGGACTTGGGTGGCAAAGAGAATTGATGCAAACATAAAGCTCATGTTGTCATTTGTGTCTTCAGTAAGTCATTTGAGTCATTTGAGTCTTGTGTCTTCTGTCAGCAGCTACAAATCTGTAGCAGGCTAATTTGCTAGTTTTCAAGGGAGATAGAAATTCAGACCCTTCACAGTACTTTACGATCTGATTTATTATTTTTCTTTTATGGTCTACACTTTTGGTGCTGTATCTAAGACATCTTAGTCTTACCCTAGATCACAAAGCTTTCTTTTGGTGCTTTTTTTTTTTCTAGAGATTTTACAGTGTTAGGTTTTGCATTTAGATCTATGACCCATTTTTATTTCATTTGTGTATATGATGTGTTATAAATTAAGTTAATTGTTTTTATTTTTACATAAGAGATCCAATTTTCCAGTAACACTGTTAAAAAGAATATGCTTTTCCTTTCTATTGACTTTATACCTTTGTCAAAAATCAATTGTCCATAGATGCATGGATCTAATTCTGGTCTCTATATTCTGTTCAATTGATGAGTTTCTCTATATTTATGCCATTAACATCCATCTTGATTAGGGTAGGTTTATAATATGTCAAAATTAGGTAACAGGGACAAAATTGTGGACATGCACCCTGCGCAGTCACACAGGGCCCCACAGGGTCCCATGCTTGGATTAATGCTCTCCTGTTGCTATCTTAAATTCTTAACAATATTATCTTTGAGCTTTGTGTATTGTAGGTGAAGTCTGATGGGACAATGGAGGAAGCATGTAAGCAGAGGAGGTACATGCAATACGTGTGTCTGGTGATCCTTGCTACCCAATTTGCATATTGCATTCACAATGGCCTGTGAACATTAGAATTCTGGTAGAACCACAAGGTGAACAAGGGCTCTGCATTTTCATTTTGCACAGGGTCCGCAAATAATGTAGTCATTTCTGTTAGGTAGTGTTAGCCCTCCGACTTTTCATTCTATTTCAAAGTTTAGTCATTCTAGGCTATTTGCTTTCCTATATGAACTT